>NC_000011.10:126566364-131366364 GCF_000001405.40 Homo sapiens
TGAAGTGTCAGGACTGTGCCTTCTCCTGCTCTGAGCCCGTAGGACCAAGCACAGTGCCTGACACATGGTAAGTGCTCAGGAACAGTCTGCTGACTTAATGAAAGGGCTGGCTACAAAATATGGGACTGTGAAGGGTTCCTTCTGACTCGGGTCAGAATGAAAATAAGTGGGCTTCACTGTAGCACAATGGGTTTAGGTTAGCAGAGGTTGGTTGTAGAGTGAATGAAACTTGTAGCTCATTGGAAGAGAAGCCTAGATAACATAGTGGGATTTCCTCCTGGGAGAAATAAAAGGGGATGGCTTTTTAAATGGGATGGGTTTTCTTCCATTTCAGAGGGTGCAGATGGGATGTTTTCTAGCCTTAGAATTCCTTCATTCTTACTAGTAATGTAGTGATACGGTGGTATTATTTCATATTTGTGGGATACTTATTTTTTAATGACGCTGTCATATTCCCTTTCTCTTTAGATGCTCACAGTAAGTAGCTCTGTGACACAGGCAAGTCAGAAATTATCTATTTCATTTTGGTTTCACAAACTGAGGCTCAGAAGTAAAGTGACAATTTAAGGCCAACACACTAGCTGGTGATAGTGCCCATGCTGGAACCCATGGCTGATTTTTGGCTTGGTTCTTAGGGTAAAGTACGGGGTCGCAGAGCTGCAGATGCTGCAAATCAAGACAGACCAGAGACTAGAGCACAGATCAGCGGTGTGGGCTGGGACAGTGCTATAGGTCGAATTCCTCACCAATTCTGTGTTCCCCTCCTGCACCAAATTCGTACATTGAAGTCCTAATCCCAGTCCCTCAGAGTGTGACCTTGTTTGGAGATAGGAAATTTGTAGAGGTGATCATGTTATAATGAGGTCATTAGGACGGACCTTTATCCTGTGACTGGTGTCCTTATGAAGAGGAAAATCTAGTGATAGACACATATACAGGGAGACGCTGTAAAAACTTGAAGACAGCCATCTGCAATCCAAAGAGGGTGCCTGGGACAGATCCTTCCCTCCCAGCCCTCAGAAGGAACCAACTCTACTGACTTTGGACCTCCAGTCTCCAGAACTGTGGGACAATACATTTCTGTTGTTTAAGCCCCACAGCTGGTGGTACTTTGTAACAGCAGCCCTAGCAAATGAATATAGACAGGACAGGGAGGAGTGGGTCTTCTCTGAGGCCTGGCAATTTCCACTGGCCATGGTTCTCTGGAACCCAGCCCCCAGAGCACAAAGCTGCCTGCAGGGAGCAGCATCACACTCTGCTAAGGAGACCCCAGGGTGGCTAAGATCTGTTGGGAGTGGCGGCCACAAGTGACAGGAAAGAGGGAAGGTGGGGAGAGAAGGCTGGTTACGTGTCTGCATGCCTGGCACCCAGCGGCAAGCTGGGATGCCATTAGCATTCCTGCTTCCAGGGTGAGGACCGTATTGGCCAGGACAGCACTTGCTGGTTGCCTGGTTGCCCTGTTCAGACATTAATGTGCCCTCAAGTAACTGCAGATGGAGCCGGTGACAACGGATAGGCACCAGCCTCTGCTACCTCACCATTTCTGAGGCCATCAAGTGCATCTGGATGGCTGCTTGTAGAAGGCCTTCCTGTCCTGTCCCCAAGTTGCCCAGTCACAACAGTTCAGGTGTGCTTGCTGAAGACTAACCCCTTCCCACCTGAAGCTAGTAGACTCGAGCACGTCTCTGGAAGCCTATCAAACAAGAAACAGAAATTAATGGCAGGCAGTTTGGTGTGGCTGTAGCAGAAGAAAAAAGATGAGACAGGAGATCTAGCCAGGGACCAGATCCTGGAGTAGCCAATGAGCCTCACCCAGGAGTCTGGGCTCTCTCTTAAAGGAGGTGGGAGCCACGCAGAATGCTAGGCAGGGGAAAGACAGGTGAGACTTGCATTTCATAAAGGATCCCTTCAGCACTGGTGCAGATGATGGATGGGAGATGAGCTCAGAGAAGGGAGGCTGGCTGGGAGACCGCTGCCATACTCCAGGTGGGAGATGGTGGGCTTGCATCTGCTGCTTCTTCCTGCTCTCTGAAGATGGCCAGAGATCAGAAAGCAAGGGAAGGACCCTCAGTTTTATCCTGACATTCATCCCTGCCACGTTGACATAGAGAGCAGGGGAGGGGCTGAAAAAATAGCTCCCATTCCCCAGACAGTGCCTGAGATCATCTGGAGGAGACACCAGCTGGGTTTGGTTGGACTCACAGGGAGGCCACATGGGGCAGGGGAGGTTTCAGAACTAACAGAGCTGGCTGGAGCCATGCTCCAGCACTTACCAGTGAGCAACTCTTAGGCTTCTCTGAGCTTTGGTTTCCTCATTTATAAAACGTTGATTCTAACGGTAAGACCCTCCTCACATGATTCATATGAAAAGCAAATGAGCCAACACATGGGCAAAAGTGCCCAGAATGAAGTACCTAATAAGGGTGAGTTCAATAAATAGAAACAAAATACCAAATTCTACCCCCCTCGTTTTTTTCTTTTTCAGATATGAAAGTGGAGATGCAGAGAGGTGGAGTGAGCTCTCCAGGGTGATATAATGAGCTATTAGGTTGCATACTTCCCAGGTTAGCACGTAGCCAACAGTGACATGGACTGGAAATGTGAGGCCAGTCAGGAAGACCAGCCAGGTGGCTGTCATGGGAGAGGCCAAGGAACCAGAGAGCTTGGGAATGGAGAGGAAATGATGAATCAGAGACATTCCAAGAAGAGACAGTGGTGCTAAGTGACAGAGTGGGTCAAGCAGAGGAAGAGGGCAAGGATGACCCCAGTGTCTTTTGTGGGATATAATGGACAAAGAGACATGTCTGTATCAGAGTAGGGTGATGACAAAGGAAGCCTATTAAGTCACAGGTGATAATGGTACATTTCTGGACTTACTGTGTTCGAGGTGACAAGGTTCTAAAGTGAAGAGGACTTGGATGATCATGTGAGAAGGAGTTCTAGGCTGAAGAAATATTTTTAACCAGTTGCGTTGACCTCAGAGGGTAAACATTTTGTTGGGGGAAACAGCAGTTGGATCCTGTGGGTAGACTCTGCTACAAGCATTAATCCTACCCCTCTGGAACCAGGACACATTAATAAATGTGACTGGTGTAAAGTCCAAGGCACAGACACTCGCAAAGAGGCCACTAAGTGCTGGGCACTATGTGCAAGAGAAAAAAATAGTAGGCAAACTTCCTAGCCCAAAGATACTATAATCCAGTTGGCTATACAAGACATATACTTAAGAAAAGGTAACTAAAAGTCAGAGACAGGTAATAGTTCGGTAAAGAAAGTCTTGAGGCAGCACGCAAGTTATTTCTGCATGAATGGCAATTCTTACTGCAGGAGTCCCCAGGAGGAAAAGACAGCTTCAGGCTGTGGGATGGTGAGGGAGGTCCTTGCAAAAGGCCTTGAAAGCTGGAGATTGTCCCTAGTTTTGTCTTAGTTTTGGATGTCTACCAATGGCCCTCTCATTGGTTTTTGTCTATCAATAGCCATCAGTAGCCATTCTGCCCAGCGATGCCATTCTGATTGCAGAATGATGGGGTCTTCTGTTTGGAAAGTTTTCACTTTGATTCTGCTAAACTGCTTTCTGCATCGGTTCTGCCTACTCCTATTTTCAGCATAATTACTCATATCCCAGGCAATAATAATGCCCATACATCATGCAAAGATCATAATTTTCTGATCAACCTCTATCATAAAGAGGACTGAAGAGTGGAGTAGCAAAGGTATATTAATCCTGACTAGTGCCTGGCCCTGGACCTCCAGGACGAGTGATAAATGTTTAATTAGCCCAATAATACCTGTTTTATAATTTTTGGATCTCATTGCTTGCTAATTCTAAGTTTACTAAATAACTATAAACTTTACGTTGTTGTAAAGACATAATTGCTTCTTCATTGCTTATTTCATATGAGTTAATTATACTAGAACTAAGTTTTTCCCCATTCATATTATCAATTAGTTGTTTTAAACTATTGATTTGTATTTAATTAACTATGCTATTACATACCAATTAAATTCATATAAGAGGAATCTGAAACAGCTGTGGTCTTAAATTACGTTTTTGAAATAATGAGTTCTATAACATTTCATGTCAAGTTATTGTCAGTTAGGAAGAGTTGACAATCATTTGTGATAATTCCAAAAACTTGTTGTGACCCGCCAGCCCATCTCACCAGCTCCAGCAGGCAGCAAGCCTCCCTCACACACCTGCTGATCACGTGCCGATCAGCACCTTACAGCTTGGTAAGCAGTGGCAGTGCCTAACACTGGGATAACCCTTTGCCAGCCCTGCCTTCTCCAGCCTGCTCCAGCCATGCCATTATTTGGCTGGCATAGCTCTATCCCCCATGCGGCCAAGGCAGGCATTATCAGCAACTCCTCACCACCAGCTGTGGGGTCTAGAATTATCTGTGCTGCTATGTCTCAGATCCTGTGTGCCTGCAGGAAATCTACATGCCCATGTGGTCATCTATCCTTCGGCTTCTCCAAATCTCTGCTCACTGGCTTAAGTCTGTACATCTCAGGTGGGAAAAAAGACAGCAGTCATTTGCTGAGCTGCAAGGGACATTTAACTTTTCTCATCTCGTTTCACCCTCACAACACCTTTATGATCACAGGTGTTATTCTCCTTGTTGTTATTTAGCGAGAGATTGACACTTTAGAGGAGTGAGGAGTTTGTCCTGAGTCCCACAGCTGGCAAATGGTGAGGCTTGCCGTACACCTCCATGTTGGTGCTTGTTGGTGCGTCGTGCCATGCTCTGTCTCCATTCTCTGTGAGATTCGACTCCCAACCAATTCGGAGTCTCAGCCCTTTGGGCTGGCTTTTTGATACCTTGCCTAGCTCTTATCATCTTTCTCTCCTTGGAGGGCTGGGTTCCTCCCCTACCCTCAGACACTGCCTGGGATCTTTCTCCCAACTGATGAATTGCCTGGAATTCTGACACAGCCATCAGCTTTCTCTGGGGCACTTGGCCATCAACATGGGACCCAAGGTTGGCAGAGCTCACCCCACTCCTCTGTACACTGAAAGTGGGACACTGGTTACTATCTTTGGGGGCTGGGTGCAGCCCAGCCTTGCCCCTCTCCCTTGGCCAGCATCACCAAGTGTCTGCCACCTGGGACCAGGCTCATGTAGTTCACCATCACAATGAAAGCTGCCATGTGCTGATTGCTTATGCTTCATTAGTCTCTGGGCTGAGCACTTTGCATGCCTTACCTTCTTTATTCCTCATCAAAACTCTATAAGGTAAGTGCTGTTATTATTCCTATTTGACAGAAGGGAAACCGAGGATCCAAAAGGTTACAAAACTTCCCCAAGGTCACATTGCTAGTAAGTGCTGAGGTTAGTAAAGCTAATCATGAATGAGATTCTTTGGACTTCCAGTATAATCCGTTTGTGAGAGGGGTGGGGCGGGGGGATGTTAAATAATGTTGGTTAAAGAATTTTACGGGAAACAGTTTTATCCCATGTGCAAGGATGCCTCAGCCCGTCTCTGATTTAACGTATCTAATTCCAATGAGTTACTTGCTAGGTGGGGGAACAGAGAAATAGGATCATGAAGGCCATTCCTGTCCTCCAGTCTGTCTTCCACACACCCTGTGAGGAACAGGGGCTGCCAAAAGCCATATGCCTGAGGGCTGTTAGACTTTTCCTAACAGAAAGTTGGAAGTCGTGACTAGTGTTTGAATGGGGCCAGATGCTCGACAGCTATGTGTCCTACCCCTGGGGAGGCTCAGCCTGGTCCATTCAGTCCATCATGGCTGGGAGGCCAGGCAGGAAAAGGCATTTCTGCTTTCCTTATTTCTAGAAGGACCAAGAGTTCCCAAAAGACTAAGACTGAAGGCAATAAGGAGGCAGGCAAAGTCCCAGCCTGCCTCCAAGTATTCCCTTCCCCAGCCCCTACAGTTCTCTTGAGGCCAAGATCTTTGCAAAGCCAGAGGCCCAATAACAGGTTATACATACAAGACTGATTTGTGAAATTAGTCTTTGCCCAGATTAGTGAATGTGTGGATTATTAGCTTTGCTGTACAGGTGAGGCTCAGGGAAGCCAAGCAATTTTCCTAAAGTCACACAACTGGGAAATGGACGACCCAGGATTAGAACCCAGGCCCATTTGGTTCCAGAGCCCAGGCTTGCTGTGCCCTTCTTCCAGGATGTGGTCCCAATGTCATGCACACAGCCCAGCTGACCAGCAGAGACCCCAGTGGGAAGAGGGGACCCCCCCCCCGCCAAGCAGGTGCTGCTGATGGAGTCACAGGCATCACTGTCAGGTGGTCAGGAGCACTGAGAAGCCCTTGTGGGAGTGAGGCTCCTGGAGAGCCCCTTTCTCAGGGACTGGAGAGGCAGGGAGGTGGGGTGAGGTGGGGAAGCGTGGAGAATGCCTGCCTACTCAGGGTGTGCAGGCAGCAGGGGCGGGGCTGCTATTTAGTGATGGGCTTACAAACCTTCTTGTCACCTATTTATGGCCCACATAAAACTCTGATCACTGAGGATTAACTGAAGAGGGTCCTAGCAGGGCCACACGCTGACTTTAAAGAATTGATCACTGGAGTCAGGCAGTCATGTCCAGCCCCTGCCCTCAAGCCCCTCACATGCTGCCGAATGAGTAGGGGTAGGGGGAGATGTCTGCTCTCACTTGGCACAAGGGAAGGGGGCAGAGAGAAGAACAAAATGTCCTGCGAGTGGGGAGTGCAGGGTTTTTAGGGGTGGAGATGTGTGGGCTAAGGTCCAGTGGGCTGGGAATGCCCCCTCCACATTCTGGGTGGAAAAGCGGCACAGGAGGGAGGCCAGGGGACAGCACGTCCTTGCCCCCAGCCAAGTCACAGTCACAGCTGCCTGGTTCACAGTCCAGTGGGCATGCGTTGCCTCGCGGGGTGGGTCCTGTTCACCCAGGAATGCTGCGCACCTTCACTGGGGTGGAAGGAGGGAGGGCTCTCCAGCTCTCCTTGCTGTCTCTCCTCCCTCACACGTTTCCGCAGAGAGGACTGTCCTCTAGGGCATTGTAACTTGGGCCACCTTGGGAGCTGAGGCTGGTGAGGAGCAGAGGATGAGGAACTGGTGAGATCTCCCCAACAGCAGAGCCAAGCCCAGGCAGCTACCCGCTTCCCCCACCCACCCCAGCCCACACAGCAAGGAGGGAAAGTAGGCGGTGGGGTTAGGAGAGGACCCAGCGGAAAAGGCAGGGAACCCCGCTGTCCTCCCATTACTGAAATCCTCCTTGAGCCTTACATACCCCATTACGACGCTGTATCCTATAATTAAATTGAATCTGCCAGTTACCTCTCAGCACGGCAGCAATTCAAACTCATTGGAGGCTTTGTTTATTTTCATTTATTTATTTATTTAGTAATTATTTATCTAGCTATCCAGAGAGCTAGATGGAGGCCCTAGCCCAATGTTTCTTTTGTCTTCAAAAACAAGAAAGCTCAAATGCAGTCTCTCCCACTTCAGGTCAAGAGAGGAAAGGAATAACAGAGACCACAGGGTGGCAGCAGATCCGCGGGGGGACCTCTTGCTGGGGGGATATCGCTGGGACAGGGTTAAGGTCAAGATTGCAGGGGAAGTTTTGTCTGCCTGCCAGTCATGGTCTGGACCCTGCTCCTGATTCTACCCATTCTATTCTTGTCAGAGATACTTTATGGAAAGTCCACACATTCCAGAAAGCTCCATGGAAGCCCCTTACAGGCCCCAGACAAGGGGCTTCATTCTGAGGGACTAGAACATCGGTTGCGGAATGTGGAAACCAGGTTAACTGAGTATTATTGGCAACTAACACACCTGCAGAGCTTTGCAGTTGAAGAAGTAAATACATGTTCTTCTTTAACCCTAAACATTTATGGAGGACACTGAGGATGAGAGAGGTTCCACAACCTCCCTTGCTCAAAATCACCCTGCTGCTAATGGCAGGGCTAGGATTTGACCACAACGCTTGGGGTAAAACCAAACTCCCCCACCTCCTTCAGAGCCCCATATCCAAGCTGGTGGCCCAGCAACAAAAATCAAAGCTCTTTTCTTCTCTTTAATGATAACCTTTCAGCAGTGAGTGGGCAAAGGAGAGCATGATGGCTTTGAGTATGGAATCAACCTCAAACAGGTCCAGGGGAGCGATTCTGAGCCACCAGCCATCACTCAATAAGAACATGAAAGTTTATTTACCACGAGGCCAGCCCAGTGGGAGGCAGATTGCTACTATTAGCATGCCAAGGACTGCACAGACCCTGCACGTCAATAGCTGAGCCCCAGAGAAGTGACCCCTTTTGGGGTTATCCAATCTAGCAGCCCCACCAGAGCAAAGGACGAGGGTGGCTGGGATAGTGTGTGCTTACATGTGTGCACGCATTTGGAGAAAGGGAAGGAATTCCAGACTTGAGATGGCTCCTTAGACTTAAATCTCCCTTGAAAAGAAAATGCTGCTTATGAACCACTTCCACCCTTGCCTACCTACTCCTGCCAACCCATTCATTTGTTTATTGATGAGCTGCTTAATACTTCTTGGAATAGGAATGAATAGTACGAGAAAATACCTGGGTCCACACTGGCAATTCCTGGGTCTATTCTGGAACAATCATGCTTACAAGGTTTTCGGTGCACATGGGAGGTGGGGATCAGTGTGTCTCTGGGACCTATTTACCCCTATGAACCACTGGGGTTCTTGACTCAGGCTCTGTCAGTCCACAGAGGGTGGTTATGGCAATGTGGAGGAGGCCGGTGGCCCAGGGCCTGAACTGCAGGAGAATTTATACTTCTTGTTCATCTGGAGAAAGTTCTCTGGCCAGAGGACACAGTGAGGGAGCCTGGTTTAAAAAAAAGAGGCTTAAGCTAAGAAGCCCGGGGAGTAGGAAGTTCTATGCTACCCTGGCTTGAAGCTTTGGACAGTCGGGGCAGGTTCTCTCTTGGCTCCTGAGGCCAAGAGAAGCCAGCCTAGGAAGGTTGGACCATTGATCCCACAGCCCTGGGGCCTTCTCACAGTAGTGTGGGTGTCACAACCACCTCTTAGCTCTTGATCAGAGATATCCACCTTCAGTCTCCTCAATGTGTACAATGGAGAGGTCTTGGGCTGCAATAAGGACTGGAGATAATGTATGTACAATACTGGGAGGGAAGGGTAAAGAGAGTTGTGTTCCTAAACCCTGTCTAAATGTATGGAACCAAGGCCGGACACATTGTAAGCCCCTATAAATGGTACTTACTTATAAATATAATATATTATTAGAAAGTACAGGGGTATGCTAAAAGTCAGGAAAATAATAAGATACTCTAAGATTAGCCTGAGGAATCCAGTTCTGTAGCTTGAATAGAGACTGCTATGTTGTTGGAGTTAATACCCACAGCAGCTCAAGGAACAGCTTTGTTCAGCTCTCAGAGGAAGGGGCTGCCTGGTGGCTGTCCTGGGGCCGCTGTTCCTTCTATCAGGGATTCTCACACCCCTCTCAAGCATCACATTTCATTCATAGTTCAAGAGCCCCCAAGAATCTCCTCTGTGTGTGGCCTTCTCCACCCCTACCCTTGCAGATGGGCATCCCCTCCTCTGGACACCACCCCCCGCCAACTGCCTTATTCATACCTCTTCATTCATTCATACCTTTGCTATGAGACTCCCTTATAGATGCGACCACGGT
Organism: Homo sapiens; assembly: GCF_000001405.40. NCBI lineage: Eukaryota > Metazoa > Chordata > Mammalia > Primates > Hominidae > Homo > Homo sapiens. The sequence goes on from NC_000011.10 coordinate 126,575,974, forward strand.
TTTGAATTTTTGCTCCAACCCTCCCAGACTGTGAGGTGGGAACCATCTCTATTAATCTCTAGAACCTGGCTCAGAGCCAGGCACATAGTAGGCACTCAGTGCACATGTGTATGTGACGAGTAACTCCACAGACAGGGATGATCTACTCTAATGTTCAACAGATTAATATTTGATTTAGCACTGTGTGTCCCTTCAAAATTCTGGGGGCCAAGATGAGGGCTGAGGTCTGAGATCTCTGCTGGTTTGAGAATGGGACTTCCTCCTACCTTCATTTGTCCTTCCTTTTACAGAACTATAAGTCAGCCTCAGGTATGGGTCAGCTTTATGTAGTTAACCTTCCAGTCATTCAGGTTTTTATCTTTGAGTTTATTCTAATTTCATTCATTCATTCTCATTCATTCATTCATTCATTCAAGGAGAGCTCACTCTGTGTCAGTTCTGGCTGTTATGGATATTGTGATGAACAAGACAGAGAAGAATTTTTGCCTTCCCAAGCTTCCATTTTAGACAGCTTCTATGTAGTTCCTTTCCCTTACACGTAATTTAGAGGTAGGAAGTTTCATGTGGGTTTGGGCAAATTATTAAACATCCCTGGACCTCAGCATCTCCATCTTCAAAATGCTGTCACCAAACCCTCTCTCAGGCTGGCAGTGTGCCACCCACCACAGCTTGGCCTTGCATGGCTGGTGCTTGGTACCACCAGTTGGTTTGAATGTGGGTGCACGTGCATGTATGAGTTCATTAATTTGCTTCCTTTCTTCTCAGGCACTTAGATTTTTGATGCACACTGAGAGGGTCCTTTTTAATCAGCTGAGGAGCAAGGGATTCCTGAGCCACAAATGAGGCTCTCCCTACTGGAATGCAGAAGGAAGGACAAGAGATGAGCCTTTACTGAGATGCTGCTATCTGCTGGGCACTTTACACACACACAGTTATGCCATTTAGTCCACACTGTAACTGGGGAGGGAGTTGTTGCTTCCTGTGCTTCTCATATGAGAAAACTGAGGCTGAGAGAGGCTCAAGGGCTCCCATAACTGAAGACCCGTGCCTTCGCTGCTGCCACTCAACCTCTGGGTGGGGGATGGGGTGCTCAGTCCACGTGGAAGGAAGAGAGAAATAGAATGTCACAGAGCTCTCTTTCAATAAAGGGCTCAGCAAAATGTTTGTCTTAGCCGCGTTTCCTATCGACCCGGTGTGTGGCACATGGATTAAGTATGCAGTTTGGTGGTCTTTAAAGGATGAACATTTTCTCTAGGATCAATAAGCTGAGTGAGTTTGGGTCTGAATTCATCAAAATGTCACCTGAAACAAATTCAGTATCAGGACTTCTGCGCTCAGGTCAGGTCGATGGGTGGGGGCAGAGACAAAACCCAGGGAATACCAGGTCTCTGGGAAAAAGGTCCAGGGCATCTGTTGGACAAATTTGGGTCTGATAACTCAGAGTGGGGAGGGGGTCCTAGCTGGCAACCAGCATCCTAGAAACTAACCGCTGGCCTGGTACAGTGGCTTATGCTTGTAATCCCAGCACTTTGGGAGGCCGAGGCAGGTGGATCACCTGAGGTCAGGAGATCGAGACCAGCCTGGCCAATGTGGCGAAACCCTGTCTCTACTAAAAATACAAAAAAAAAAAAAAAAAAGATTAGCGGGGCGTGGTGGCAGGTGCCTGTAACCCCAGCTATTCGGGAGGCTGAGGCAGAAGAATGGCTTGAACCCGGGAAGCGGAGGTTGCAGTGAGCTGAGATTGTGCCACTGCACTCCAGCCTAGGCAACAGAGTAAGACTCTGTCTCAATTAAAAAAAAAAAAGACACTAACCGTCCTTTCTCTGGTCTAGACGTCATCCTTACCTTCAGAGAGAATAGCTGAGTGAGAAGCTGTGTGAAACTGCCCAGTTCTAGATTCTTCGAACAAAAAGTGTTTTTGAGGTTAATCAGTGCCATTCTCACACCCAGTGCTAAAGGATTCCCCCTTTAGCACCTTGGAGAAGTAGTCACACTGGTTTCCCTTGGATCGTTCTAAAGACAGGGAGCTCATTACTTTGGAAGCTGTGGTTTTCATTTTTGGAGAGTTTAAATAATTTTAGAGTTCTTCTATGTTGAGCTTAAATATTCCCTACAGCCTTGCAACTTTGCCTCATTAGTCCCAAATTTGCACTGTGAGGCAACACAGAATGAGACTAATCCCTCTTCCACCCAACTACTGAGAAGTTTAACAGACAATCTTTTCTTTTCCAAAATAAACAACCCTTAGGATGTTTCGGTCCTGGGATGCTTGCAGCCCAGGAAATGCTCCCTCCCTCTCCCCTCCAGCTTCTCTGCAAATGCAAGACTCTGGCTTCATTCCCTGGTCCTTCCTCAGTATCTCACAAAGAAAGAGGAGGGCAAAATGGGAATTCATTGGAAGAGATCCTTGGTTCACACGCTAGGAAAGAAAAGGGATGATCTTGGTCTTGGCGTGAACTTCCACATGAACGTGACTCCGTGCCTACCTGCTAATAAGAGCGGGAGTGTGGATTGTGCACATAGGTGGGGACGGGGTGAGAACTTGGGGTGTGGCGTGTCCCTGTGGGTGGACACATTGTGAACAGTAAGTATCATGAATGTGTGACAGCATGTGGGGCACGTGGGTGAGCGTGTATGCATGTACACAGGCTGTCTGCTCAGGTCCTGGGGGAGGGACTCAGAATCCGCCTCACACCCATGGAGAGTTCTCGCAATGGGTATGGCAAACTTCCTGACCAACAGGCTTCTGGACTTCTGACTCAGCACCAGTCCTGCTCCTTCTGTCTCAATGACTGTCCCCTGTCCCTGGAGATGTAAAAGTTCCAGGCTCTCCTACCACACCTAGGCTGGACTTACTGATTCCAAGGTGAAAATAAGCCATCACGTATTGACCATCTGTCAGCAAGTATCTACCCTGCAAAATACTTTTCACACACTCTCTCACTTATCCTCACCATGCCTAGAGATGGGACTTTGTCTCCATGTGACTTATGAAGACACTGAGGACCAGCAAGGCGAGACAACTGTTTGAGGCCACACAGCAACAGAACCAGACCTCGATCAAACCCAAAGCCCGTGCTCTGTCCGTGTGCTGCCTCCGAGAAGCCATGGCCAAGAAAGGTCTTTGCACCAGAGCTCACCAATGTCTCGGAGAGGTCCTCCCTTCCTGCCAGCCATTGATGATCCTGGAGGATGAACGGGTCGTCTAAAACAGATGACGCTGGTGCGGGCCCCAGGGAGTTCCACCAAGAGCCTTAGGATTTATCATGTGGGAGGGTAGTTAGTTCCCAAACGCAGGTGAGTATAAAATCCAATTTCTTAAATTGCATCCAGGGCCAAGGGGTGCAAGCTGCTCTGTCAGTTATGACTTCCTCGGGTACCTGAGACTGTAGCTCCTCATTTCCTAAATCCTCCTGCTTGTTGTCTGAGCTTTTAGCCCTCTGATTTACTTATTAGATTTCTACTGTGCCTTTTCTCTGCAGAGTGCTCAGTGTCCCCAGGAACCACTCTCTAATTTAACGAATAACTTCTCTCATGAGCAAATGGGGTCCGGGTTCATGCAAGAAGCCAGTGGAAGAGGAGAACTGGGGAGACAGAGAGTGAGAAAAGGGGCAGAAAAAACAGGGCAGGGTACAAAGGAGGCAAATGCACCACCTGTGGCCCTAGAGTGGGGAGCATTGAGGTTGGATGGCATTTGTATCTAGAGTTGCACCTGGATCTGGACAATGCTTCCAGGTTACCACTGCTGGTAAGCAATGTGCCCAACCACCCTCTCTGCTCTCATGACCCCCTGCCTCTCTCCACCTCTGCGTGATGTTTTTCTGTTCGCCTGTCTGTCTCCTTGAATTGTGAGGTCCTTAAAAGAGGGAGCCAAGTCATTTTTTTTTTTTGAGGCAGAGTCTTGCTCTGTCACCCAGGCTGGAGTGCAGTGGCACAATCTTGGCTCACTGGAAGCTCCACCTCCTGGATTCACGCCATTCTCCTGCCTCAGCCTCCCGAGTAGCTGGGACTATAGGCGCCCGCCACCATGCCAAGCTAATTTTTTGTATTTTTAGTAGAGACGGGGTTTCACCGTGTTAGCCAGGATGGTCTCGATCTCCTGACCTCGTGATCCACCCACCTCTGCCTCCCAAAGTGCTGGGATTACAGGCGTGAGCCACCACACCTGGCCCCCAGTCATCTTTTAACACCTGGCACTTGTCACTGTGTCTGGTCCACAGTAGGAATTTAACACATACTTGCTGGAGAGGCCAGTTACGGGGCACAGCTGAAAGCATAAAGATGCACTGTATAACATTTCAGCCCCCAGAGGACCCACAGTTGGGGAGACAAAGGATAGCCAAAGACACCATGGCTGGGCTGGCCAGGGAGGTCTTCGTGGAGGAGGCTGGACTATACTGGGCCACCTAGAATGCTGGGGACTGGTGAACCGGACAGCAGGAGGACATTCTAGGAGGAGGAATGGCTTGAGCCAAGGGTTCAGGTTGCGATGGGCAAGGGGGTCCCTGAGTGGAAGGCAGGACCTGTGCAGGGAAGTCTAGAAAGGTCAGTGGAGGCATACCGTGGAGGGCTTTGAGCACAGAGGGTGGAGCCTGGAATTTCTTCTCCTGTGATGGAGCCTCTAGTTCGCCCTGGCCCAGCCCCATGTGCTGTCTGGCACATTTGTGCACTGCCCTCCTGCAGGAGGGGGCCTGGCACAGTTTCTGTGCACCCTGGACAAGCAGGGCCACGTGTGGGCCAGGACTGCTCTGCCCTGTCTTCTCCTCTGATTCAGGAAGGAAGAACTTGCCCTGGACTCTGTCTGTCTAAAATAACCTCCCCTCCCCATCCCCACATGGCCCTACCTGTTCCCGGAATTTCCTGTTTTTTTTTTTTTTTTCTTCCTTGACTTTACAGTCTCCGGGTTGCACTTGAATCTCAATGGCATCATCCCCTTTCAGTCTTTGCATGTGCTTCATAAAGAAATGACTCTTTTGTGCAGATCCACTGCCTATGGTGAAGTAGGTGCTCATGTAAATGCCAGGTCCTAGCTCTGGAAAGGGTTAGACAGCCCTTCTCAAACCATGCCTGCAATGCCAGTTTAAAGAACATGGAGGCAGGACAGCAGCCATGGGAATGAAGGGTGGCAGATAAAATCAGTGCCCCAGAAGCTCTGGGGCCTCCTCTCATTGATTAAATTTTCAAATATAATTTTGCTATAGTTAGTGGGGGGTTTAGAGCTGGTCACATTATATTGAATTTTTTTTTGAGACAGAGTCTCACTCTGTTGCCCAGGCTGGAGTGCAGTGGTGCAATCTCAGCTCACTGCAACCTCTACCTCCTGGGTTCAAGTGATTTTCCCACCTCAGCCTCCTGAGTAGCTGGGGTTACAGGCACCCGCCATCATGCCTGGCTAATTTTTGTATTTTTGTAGAGACAGGGTTTCACCTTGTTGACCAGGCTGGTCATAAACTCCTGACCTCAGGTGATCTGCCCTCCTCAGCCTCCCAAAGTGCTGGGATTATAGGCGTGAGACACCGCGCCTGGCCTATATTCAATTTTAAAACTTTCATTTATTTTTAAAATTGAAACTAAAAGTTGTAGATCTATTTATGGTATACAAGACATTTTGATAAAAGCATACATTGTGGAATGAATACATCAATGAATTAACATATCCATTACCTCACATATGTATCATTTTTTTTTTGTGCATGGTGAGAACATTTAAAACCTATTCTCTGAGCAATTTCCAATTATAGGATACACTGTTATTAACTGTAATCACCATGTCCTGTAATAGACAGGAGTCTCCTCTTGAACCAGGGTTATGTCTCAGAACCAGAGTAGGAGGAGAAGCACCTCACACACGAGAGGCTCTGCTGTCCTGACGTGGCACGGAAGGGAATGGAAGGGACAAGGGGAAGGTGCTGGAAAGGGGCCAGCTATGAACTGAGCACAGGTAACAGACCACACCTGACCTCCTGGATCCCTAGTTACACAAGGGCATGTATTCATTGTTCCATTCCACAGATGGGAAAACAGAGACTCCTGGGGCTTAAGCAGCCTGCCCAGGGTCACACGGCTATGTGACAGAAGGGCTGGAACCTAGATCCTCCCACCCCAAAGCCAGGCTCCTCCCTGTGATCTGGCCCTGGTTTTGCCTGTGTGATTCCTCTGGCCTTACTGGGTGATACTGAGCCAATCGTGGAGCCTCTCTGGGCTTTTGTCTTCTCATCTCTCAAGCGAGGGGCATACTCTCAACTGAGCATTCTTTGCATGGCCTGTCCTCTCAGTCAGGCCAGACCAGGACCAGCTCCTGCCATTGTGCATTGCAAGGATGCACTGCTTGCTAGTGGGCCTGAGATTCACCAGTGGCAACACAGAGGTGCCTTCACCAGCCTTGCTAAGCTCTGGTTTGTGTTTCTGCCTCTGGTGTTTGGTATCAGAACGCATTCCCCTGATGCTGCCGGAAGCAATAATCCAGACACGGTTCGGGGGTTTAGTGGAAATCCTCTGCTATAGCGGAAGAAAATGAAACCCAGTGAAGCAAGGATTTCGGCAGATGCAAAAATCTGCCCATTTACCTCCCCAGTCTGAATTCCACGGCAGGGACAGCTGAGAAGCAGGCGGATGGATGACCTTAGCTGCAGGTCAGGTGGGGAAGGGGTGAGAACTGAGTTCAGAAGACTGGGGCTTCTGCAGGTCTAAAGCCCCATGAGGATGGGAGGGGAAGGTCACCGAGTATTTGCAAACATGTTGTAAGATCAGGATTGACCTTAATTGAGTGCTGACTGTTAAAGGCCAGTGCTTCGTGCAGCAACATATTTTCCTTTTAAGCCCTTGCAACACTGACGTATTGAAGAAGTACTAAAGAAGTATTATCCTTAATTATCTGATGCACTGAAGAAGTATTATCCTTAATTATCTGAGGTACTGAAGAAGTATTATCCTTAATATTGGTATGAGGGCTTAGATAGCCTAAGTGACTTGCCCAAAGCTACACAGTCAGTAAATGGCAGAGCACAGCAGAAATGCTCACTGCTAACAGATGGACACTGCTATCTGTTCTTGATACTCAGACCCTCCCATCTCTCCCATCCACACCAGTTACCCACCATCATGGAAACATGTGGTTCCGGATGTGGACAGCTGGCTCCCCGGGCCCCATACCTCCTGTGTGCTCCTGGAGCCTTCTCCATCTGACACACCATGTCAGATGTGGTCCTGGACCTTCCTGCTATCCTCAGCTCACTGTGGACTGTTTCTGAGCCAAGGGTATTGTGTGGTTACCAGGGAAAATATGCCCCCGCTCTAGGCCTGCCAGCAGCTCTAGGGCAATAAGCCATCTTTCTAAAATGAGATTTCCTATTTCAGGGACTCTGAAATCTCCAGTTCTGCCAAACAGCAGGTCTTCTCCTCAGCTTAAGATAGCTGGGATCATGGCTGAGGTTGAGCTGGTCACAGACCATCCCCCACTGAACCAATGATAACACCCTGCCAAGGGCCTCAGCACGAGCACCAGGAGCTTCTCTGTTCACATATTTACATATCAAGATAGAAAATGAATATACGAAGGAGTCTAGCATGAGGAGGACGGGATGCGCTGTGGAGTTAGACACACTTAGGTTCAAATCCCAGCGTTGTCACTTATTAATTGTGGGACCCCGGGCAAGACATTTAACTCCTCTGTGAGCCTGCTTCCTTCTTTGTAAAATGCAAAGAATGATCCCATCTACCTCGAGGAGCTGCTATGGGGATAAAGGAGAGCAAGCCCTCAGTACGGTGCCTGGCACGCAGCGAGGACTCCCTAAATGGAGGCTCCTGCTGTCACGACCCTCGCCCGGGGAAATGCCTGTCTTCTCCATTTAGAAAGTGACAGCTGACGGCAGGCCCGAGGCAGCCAGGTAGGGAGGCTGCCTGTGTGCAACCCGCTGTGGAGGCTGCTGGTGGCTGCAGGCTTTCAGAAGGCATTACAGGCCATTGTTTTAATCAATACTATATTATTTCCTCCGCGGCAACTATCCCCATGTTTATTATGTGTAAATAGGGTTTTTCAATGATGTGAATGTGTTAGCTTAACGTAGCTGACATTCAGCGTGCACAATCTGGTGGCTGCCCCTCAGGACTTCCAGGAAAATGAGATGATGTATCCGTCACAAAGCCATCCTCGTGAGTAAAATTTGAGCAGTGGCAGCAGCCAGGGCACCCGATGAATTCTGCAGGCGTGGGCTGCGTGCTTGAGAAGGAAAACAGACATCAACATAGCCTGGGAGCACAGTCTGCAGGCAGTGTGGACAGTTGGTGCCCCGGAATTAGGGCGTTGGCGTTCCCATCTCTTTGCTGCCATATCTAGATCCTATACAGCTTATTCCAACACCTCTCCATTGCCTGGCGAGCGCCTGTGGATGCACTCTTCTGCCTACTCCTGGAACTTGTCAAGGTTTGCCCTCTCTGACTGTAGCTCCTCACTCTCCTGGACTCTAGGATGGGCCCCTTTCTTCCCCATACAAAGCCCCCAGTAGTCTGAAAACTCATTTTTGTCTATGCTCCTCAGTTCAGCCCAGGCATGTGGGTATGACCGAGCCTGGCTGCAAAGGCAGGCAGAGGGGAGCAAAGGTGGTCTTTCTCAATGTCCCATGTGGGCTTAACTTTCCTCCTCCTGTACCAGGGCACTCAGAGTAACACCACCAATGACACTACCAGCTTCTCTCTGGTGTCTAACTGGACTGAAGGTGAAGCAGGTGGGGTGTCGTTTAGATCTGGGGCAGAGCTTCCCCACTGTGACACCCTTGAAGTTGCAGGCCAGATGCCACTACCACACATGGGTCACTGTCAACAGGCCACAACCCCAATGATGGGCACTTAACTCAATAATACCAGATATCAGACAACTGTGGCTTCATCTGTAGAGCTCTCTGGAGTGCATCATAAAGGAAGTAACCTTTTTCTTTTTTCTTTGCTTTTCTTTTTTTTTTTATTTTGAGACAGAGTCTCACTCTGTCGCCCAGGCTGGAGTGCAGTGGCGCAATCTCGGCTCACTGCAAGCTCCGCCTCCCGGGTTTACGCCATTCTCCTGCCTCAGCCTCCGGAGCAGCTGGGACTAACAGGCGCCCGCCACCACGCCCGGCTAATTTTTTGTATTTTTAGTAGGGACGGGGTTTCATCTTGTTAGCCAGGATGGTCTCGATCTCCTGACCTCGCGATCCGTCAGCCTTGGCCTTCCAAAGTGCTGGGATTACAGGCGTGAGCCACCGCGCCCGGCCTCTTTTTTTTTTTTTTTTTTTTTTTTTTTGAGATAGAGTCTCTGTTAGCCAGGCTGGGGTGCAATGGTGCAATGGCGAGATCTCGGCTCACTGCAACCTCTGCCTCCCTGATTCAAGTGATTCTTTTGCCACAGCCTCCCCAGTAGCTGGGATTACTGGCACTCACCACCACGCCCGGCTACATTTTGTATTTTCAGTAGAGATGGGTTTTCAACCTGCGGGCCAGGCTGCTCTCGAATTCCTGACCTCGTGTGATCCGCCCGCCTCAGCCTCCCAAAGTGTTGGAATCACAGGCATGAGCCACCGCGCCCGGCCAGGAATTAACCTTCACCAGGATAGTTTGTGGAATTTTATCAAGAGGCTTCGCTCCCATCTCCTGCTTTCTTAACAGAGTTTGGAAGCAGCGGACCGGATAGGAAAACTGCTTAGGGTTCCACCCTCATGCCAAGTGGCAGAGGCCCCGGGGGAAGCCTCCTGCGGAACGTGGGAACAAAGGGATGCGGGGCCTAGCACTCTACGCCGGTGTCTGTTCGTCTGTCCAGAAGGCTTGTCACACTCTGGGGGGGCATCTAGCTAAAAGGTACTCCATCAATGTAAACGACCGTCGCTCTCGTTAAGTTCCATCTGTGTGTCTTAAAGCTCCCGCACGGAACGTGATTGGAGTTGGGCTTCAGCTTCCCTGTGCTGCCTGAGACAGAGGAGGGAGATGTTTTTCTTGGCAAATAAATATGATATCATAAGCCCTGGCAGGATTCCAGCCTGAGTAATGGCCGTCTGCCTTCCTAATTCCCTCAGCAGCTTGGAACAGGAACATTACTCTTTACTTCCTCTCTTTAAAAACAAACTCTCTATTGGAGCGCATTACTCAGCCACAGGATCCCTCCCCGGACGTGGCGGCATTCAGATGATGGGAGGTGAGGAATGAGCTCAGATTACAGCGCACATTAGGGAAAACACAGCAAGGCATTTGGCCCAGAAAAGGCACCTGAGGACCTTGAATTAGAGCGGCCACTCCTCATGTGTCCTTGTTCATGAGGAACATAGAGCTAAAATCAATAAAAATCACATTGTTTAGCGCTGCCGTTTCCCTGGTTTAAATCATGAAGGAGTAAGTAGGTAATTAGGTAATCCAGCTCGGACTGGATAGTTACCTTCAAGTACGAAGCGGTCTTGCTGAGACCCTCTCACTGAACGCGAGCTGGGGGAAGGGTCTCGTGGCCTCTCTACTCACAGGAGCACTGCTGCCTCTAAGCACATACCCCGCCCTCTTTCTGCTTGTCATTAGTTCTTCCTAACAACAGTTAGAGGCATCGGTGTTGTTACTTTCCATTTTATAAACCCGAGGCTCAGTGAGACTAATTAGGTAACTCGTTCAGGGCCATAAATTATACATAGCAGAAGTCAGAGTTGAACTCGGGTCTTTTGGCTTCAGATTCAATGTTTACAACGCCACATCAAGCCTCATCACTTTCTCTGGCCTGTGAGGACTTGGGTGCTGCCACTTGTCCCTTTTGAAGTAGCGGATACAAGGTGGCACCGTGAAGGCACTGGGTCAGGAGCTGGGACACAGCTTTGCATCACTTGGGCACTGTTCTGCTGGGGCCTCCTTGGTAACCAACCATCCAGGTGAGGATAAAAACTGACCCAGCTTGTAGAGAGATCTTGAGGCAGGCATGCAGCAAGGGCCCTAAAATTACTGGGAGAAGGGCAAGTCACTGTTCGAAGGCTTGGGATGGTGAATTCAGCCAATAAACGTCCTTTGAACACTTACTATGGCTAAGCATGGGGGCACAACTGTAAACCAGAGAGAGTCCCTGCCTCAGGGAGCTGGGAGTCAGTGGGAGAGATGAATAAACAGGCAACGACGATGCAGTGTGATGGATGCTCCAGTGGAAGAGTCCAGAGCACCGGGATGATGTGTAGGGAGAGCCACTCACCAGACATGGCAGTTCTTGGAAAATGTCCACTGGGGACATGACATCCAAGCTGAAACCCGAAGGACAAATAGGGGACAGGGAGATGAAGACGGGGGCTGCAGAGCGTTCCAGGCTGTGGAGGCAGCGTGTGCAAAGGCTGGGAGGTCAGAAAGAACACACTCTGCTCCGGTGATGGCATGTTTGGTCTGGCCTGGAGCAGAGCTGCAGGGGAAGCTGTGAGGCATGAGGCAGAGAGGTAAGCCAGGAGTAGTTTGCAGACCCCTGGCTGGGCAGCTTTCCAATCTGGAACAGTGGGTCATGGAGCCATCACATTCCCAAACCCACAGCGCTTCCCTCTCACCAACCCTGTAGCCTGCAGTCTTCACTGTGCTCTCGACTCCCCCAGCCTTTCATTGTATGTGGAAGAGGAGCCAGAAATGCACCCAAACTGAAAGAGGAGCACGCAGCACCAATCCCTGAATCAAAATAAAAATCCGGCTGCACTTTATCTCGCTGAAGGACTGTAATCTGGGAGATATTCATTTAACATATTTCTGTCTCTGAATGGCTTTTACTTTTCACTAAATTGAAACCGCAGTACAATATATGTGAATGATTAGGTTGTGTAATACATTCCAGCAAATTTAGATTAGGAATGATTATGACTTAAGTAAAATAGTTGAACACAATTCTTATTGCCATCTATCTTTTCACTTCTTTTTAGTTTTCATGAGAGTGAGTGAATGCAAGGAATGAATGACTCTAAGGAGAGCTGGGCCCTGGTACAGGGAGGGGCAGAGGTCTGTCTTTGGAAGGCTTTAGGAAGAAGGGAGAGGTGGACTGGAAGACTCAGATCTAGGGCTCGGGGGAAAGCATTGGGCCATGAGGTAGATTGGGGACAAGTCCTATATCTGCCGTTTGCTAGCTGTGTGACCTCAGGCAAGTTACTTAAACTCTCTAGTCTTAGTTTCCCATCAGCAAAATGGGCTTTATTGTTCCCCGGCTCATGGAATCATTGTGGGACACAATGAGATCAGGGACATGAGAGTAACACTGGCCAAGAGCTCAGATGGGGAGTCAAAGTCCTGATCAAAGTCTGGCTCTATCACTTATTAGAGCTGTGTGGCCTTGCCCTTTGATACTCAGCTTCTCTGAGCCCCAGTTTCCTAATCCACAAAATGGGAATAAGTGTACTCAGCCACAGGTATCCTTGAAGAGAGGCTTAAATAGGATTTTTTTGCATGTTAATAGTGCTTTGCAAAATGCAAGTTACCTGGGAGGGCTATGCTGGCTGATAGGGGTGGGAATAGGAATTGGGGACTCCCCTTTCCTGGGATAGCGACCTGGAGGGGTTTGGGTGGAGCCTTGCTGCGGGCCCTGAGGCAGGGAGGGGAAGGAGAGGAGGAGTCCTTGCCAAAATTTCCCTTTGGAGTCCTAAGCCTTGCACGCGCCCTGGGCACTCCAATCCTCCTCACTCCACTGCTCTATTTTCCCCATAGCATTGAACATGCTGTAACATTCTATATAATTTACCAATTTATTATGCTTTTGTTTAGAATCTGTTTCCCTGGTTCAAAGGTAAGGCCTACAAGGGCAGGGAGCTGTTTAATCCCCTGATAAATCCCAAGCACCTAGAGCACAGCTTGGCAGTTAGGAGGCATGCTCAGGAAATATACGTCAAATGAATGGATTTATGAGTAGGGCTGGAATTCTGTCTCCTGAGAACAAGTGAGCTGAGGTGGGAAGAAGGTGGCGGTGGTGGGGGGACCAGGGGAGACGAGGGCATCAGTCACTCCAGCAGGGAGCTTGCTGCAGGGAGAAAGAGAGAACAGCAATTTGGGCCGTGAAGCCTGGCACTCATTCTTCAAGGGGGCTGCAAGCCCCCAGGATTTTCCTGGAACCCAGGGCACCCGCACACTAGCTGCCTCTCCCGGTCCCTTCCAGCAACCTGAGGAAATGCCTTCCAATCAGAGCAATTACTGCTGCCCTGGAGCCGCTGCCTCTCCAGGTGTCTGCCTCCTGCGGCTCTGGCTGGAGACAATATTTCTCCTCTGTTCATCACGAGAACAGGGACAACAAATAACACAATGGCAGATGAAGGGCCCTCCAAGCCCTCCAGAGCTGAAAGAGTCTGGGCTGTTGGCAGCGTCTGCGTGCAGGGGAACAGAAGCTACAACCTGCGTGGGGTGTGGGGATGACTGACTCTTCCTGGATGGGGGCACTGTGGCCAGCTTTGTCCGGGAACTGTGCTGCTCCTGGTCCAGGCAGGCAGGGCTGTGGCAGCCGCCCTCCGCCCGCCCACCAGCAGGCAGGGACTCAGGGCACCATGGGCTTGGGAAACTGAGAGAGAGCTATGTGTGTCAGTTGTCTTGTTAAGTTTTTTCCCCTTGGTCTTAACCATGTAGGTACTCTTGTGTTCAAAGGAGGAAATGGAATCTCAGAGAGGCTGAGTCACTGGTGCATAGTAACACAGCTCATCACACAGCAGTGCTGGGATAAGTGCTCCCATGTTTCTGAACCCAAAGCACATCTCGTCGCTCTGGCACTGAGTGATCCGTGACACAGATGTACCTATAGGGCGTGAGTGCAGCCCCTTACCTCTCAGCCTCAGTTTCCCTACTAGTGCACCAGTCACTGAAGCTTGGGAGGTGTGTCAGTGACTCAACCCACTTTATCCTGCCACCTCACCTGACCTTGCTGGCATTTCATCCCTGCCTCCTGGGGCTGGGGCTGGATCTTGCCTAGTGCCCCAGCTGCTGGCTGAGGCTCTACTCAGTTACTCCTGAACGCTCCTCTTTCTACTGTGCCCCATCCTTAGGAGCAGGGGCTCCCTCTGAATACCAGCCAGGGCCACTGCAGCAGAACATGCCACAGTCCTTTGAAAGCTGATCTCAACACCAGTATGGATACTAACTCTGGCTTTCATTGTTGAGCATTTGTTGAGCTCAAATGTAAACCCAGGAACCAGATTCTGAGGGCTGCATACCTAACCATTATACAGGCCTGCCTCTTCCTCATTTGACATGGTCTTTTGACCTTAACTACCTTGGTTATTCGTTTTGTTAATACCCCCTTTCAAATTGATTTCTAGAACTGAACCCAAAATTCCAGATGTAGCCTGATCAAGCAAAGCCTAGAAGAAGAACATCACCTCCCTCTGTTTTAAAAATTGCTTTGCAATTAATGCAGTCTAAGATTACACCCACTTTCCTGGGCCCCCAGCTCCCAGAGTCGACTCCTATGGGGCTCTTCAGCCAGCCCTGTCTACAGGGCTCTGCCTTAAATCCCTAAGTCTTCTAGAAACTAGCTGCTGTGGCAGACCTTTTGTGTGGCTGAGATCTGCAACACCCCAGCGGTCCCCACCTCAAGGGCTGTGTCTGCCGTGGCTGCATGCGGCCCTGCTGTGGCTCACTGTGGACACAGCAGACGAAAGAGAACATGGTCTCAGCTAAGTGGGGGGCTGGAAGGAGGAGAAATGGTCTGTGAAGGTCACTGCCACTGTACGGTGAGTGATCTGTCCCCATTTCAGCCTCAGTGGGAGAGTGATGGAGGGTGTAATTAGGGCTTGAGCTGTGCCTGTGGGGGCTGCTGCACCAGGCTCAAGGAGGCTGGGGACACAGCTGGTAGTCTCTGCCCTCCTAGATACCTTGGTAGCGGGAGCCGCCCTTCTTGGGACCACTCCCTCGCTGGCCATCCCAGCCAGGTCTTCCATCCCTGTTCTCCCCACCCCTTCTCTCCTCAAAATTTGTCCTGTATGTCTCATTTCACCCATTCTCTTGAGGATTTGCCTTATTAGAAAGTGATCTGGCTGGGTGCGGTGGCTCACACCTATAATCCCAGCACTTTGGGAGGCCGCTGAGGCGGGCAGATCACTTGAGCCCAGGAGTTTGAGACCAGCCTGGGTTACACGGTAAAATTACGTCTCTACTAAAAATACAAAAATTAGCTGGGCACGGTGGTGTGTGCCTGTAGTCCCAGCTCCTTGGGAGTCTGAGGCAGGAGGATCGCTTGAGCCCGGGTGGAGGAGGTTGCAGTGAGCCGTTATTGGACCACTGTACTCCAGCCTGGGTGACAGAGGGAGATCCTGTCTCTCCCACACCTGCACCCCAAAAGTGATCTGATTCAAATGCTGTATTAAGATGTTAACATCTAACGACTGGCTGGACGCTTGTAACCAGGTGTATTCCACAGGTAACAATCCTTCACCAAGAGAATCCCTTAACCTAAAGGCATACATCCCTTAGGGTGAAATCCTGTGTGTTCTGGTGGGAGGTTTGTGCAAGGTTGGCCCCGGCTGGTTATAACAGCCAGGGCATTACTGCACATGTAACCTGCACTTCCCAGTGATGAGGAAATGGCAGCTCAGAGGGCTTCTACATCTTGCCCAAGATCTCAGACATGCTCTTCCTGTCCAGCCTTGTGTATACCAGCCATGCTCTGCCTTGCACCTGGACCTGAGGTCAGCTCTGGGGGCCCCATCAGGGTGGTAGTGCTTCTAGAAGGATCTGGCTGTTCAGAGAAAGCTCTCTGTCCTGAAGGCCTGAACTGGGTGAGGAACAGGAGCACTATAAATATTGCTACAATTTCTTCATCACCTGCCATGTCCTAGATACTAAGTTAGGCTCTTTACAGCTCATACCGTGTTGTCATACGTATGACCATGCTCTGTTTTACCAGTAAGGAAACTGAAGTTCAGAAAGTTTAAGTAACTTACACTTGGCCACTAAGCAGGAAGTCCTGGCAGGGGGAAAGGCAGGCCTGAGTCAGCCTGCCTTTGGGCCCTCTCACCACCCCTGGAGCCCAAGCAACATAGGCCTCTCATAGGGCCAACAGCTCCCACCCCTATCACATCCTTCAGGGTGCAGTGCCACGGCTGGGGGTCGCTTGCCTTTGGACTCTCCAGAGAGGAGTCCCTGGGACAGCTGAGGCCTTGCTCACAGCCCTAGGTGGGCCAGGAAATAACATTCCAGGGCCTTTTGTCGAGCCCCTGGGATGGGGACTTGCATGTGCTGGGTGCCTATGATGCCTCAGGCCTTGTTCTAGGTACTTTCCGAACAGTTATTGTCGTAATCCTTATAACAACACCATAACTTAATCCTTATAACAACACAATACTATAAAGGTATCATTGTTCCCTTTATATGGATGAGAAATACTATGTCTTAATCCCTATAATACTATGTCTTATTATACAATGCTAGGTCTGAATCCTTATAACAACACAGTACTATAAAGGTACCATTGTTCCCTTTATATGGAGGAGAAAAGCAAGGCCAAGGGAAGTCTAAAGTTACATAGCTAAGAAAGTGGAAGGAGCTGAGATCTGACAGTTTCCAGCGATTCCAAACTCAGGCTCTTTCTCCTACACCCTGTAGCTTCTCCAAGAAGATTGGGGTCTAAAGGGGCAGAGCTTTCTCCAGGAGCTTCTGGTCCATTGAGGGAGATGGAATACATCAGGATGGAAAGGACCATGGCAAAAAACCCACACAGTACACTCTGCATGCCTGCTGTGCGGGAAACAGCGCGCCTGGGGCCAGAGGGAAGGGAGGAGGGAGCCAGGGTGGGGAGCCCAGGAGGCACATCAGGGGAGGCCTTGGGGAAGATGTGAGTTTGGCACCAGTCGCAGGTAAGGCCTTTTTCTGTGTGCTCTGGGAAGAGAAAGCTATTGAGCTGGGTGTGGTCACAGCAGGGAAGGGCTGGGAGCAAGACACTCTCAGCTCAGGCAGAAAAGGCCTGTTGTTGAGAGAACCGATGCAGGCTGCCGCTGGGAGCAGAGGGCTGGGCGTGGCGTACCTTTCTTTCCTGTGAGGGGGCTAGGAGCTGGCTGGGGTGGGAGGGCTGAGGGGAGCAGGCACATGGTCCAGCCACGTTAGGAGGCTTGCACAAAGGGCTTCTAGGCCTGAAGCCTCCAGCTCCCACCCCGTCAGCCGACTTGCAGATTGTCTGAATGGGTCTCCAATAGGAAAAAAGCCAGGGCTTTGGAGAAACAGATGCTTACCACGGAACCAGGATGCTGTCGTCTGCAGGTCACCCCTGTGTGGATACAGACCGTGGGCCAGGAGGCTCTTCAGAGCAGTTCTCCCACAGCTCATCCTGTAATTGACTGACTCATCGGTCACTGCTTGCGCGCTCAGCCATTGTTAACTGGTGACTTGAAAATTACCTTTATTTAGCACCGTTATCGGGAGGCTTCAGGGGCGCCAGCATTTCCACGCCACCAGCTCTCTCTGGCTGATGGCAGCAAGCAGCCTCATCACACTGTCCCCAGCTCTAAGCCACAGCCACTCCCTACCCACTGTGGGGACCAGGGAGGGGCCCTCGTGCTAAGTGGATGCAGTAGGCAGGCCAGTACCTCCCAACCTGCTGTGACCCCCTCTGGGTACAGGTGGGCAATGAACACCCGGCTGGACCTGTGGCCTGCTGTCTGTTCTCCTCTGACTTGCTTGTCTGCTGATCATTTCTCCATAGCCACGTTGCCCTGTATGCATGAGACAATCTGGAATGGGGGTCATCCATGGGGTCTGGGCCTGCACGGAGTGGAGTTAATTGCAGAACTTGTGCAATTCCTTAATTCTGAGTGAACGTGCATATAAGCCTTAGGGAGAGAGAACATTCATAGCTTTTAGTAGATTCTCAAGAGGATTTGTGAGCCCTAGGAAGCTGGGAAGCCAGGTTCTGAGTCATGGTTCTCAGATCACCCCTCCAGGAAGCTGCTCAGGTTAGCCCATTGCACCGTTGCCATCACTGCGAGACTCAGGGGGTCCAGTGGTGCAATACAACTGTCCCCCTCCACCCAGAGGGCAAGGCCAGGTCTGTACTCTGCTCAGTGGTGGATGCAGATGACAAATCACAAAGAGAGAACAAAGAGATGACATTTGCAGAAACTCCTGCCTTTCACTTTCTGCTTTATTGGGGAAAAGAAATCACATCCCCAGGCTCCCTTCCCTCTGTCCATTGGCACAGTGTATCCTCCTCCCATCCTCCACCCCTCCCTCCTGGTCACAGGTTCTGCCCTGAGATCTGAAGTAAGCTGTGGGACTCATCTACCTGGAGAAGAAGGCAGGCAGAAGAGGAAGGGAGGGAAGGATGGAGGAGCTGGTGAAAACTAACAGTAAGGTGAAGGGTAGGGCTGGGGGCTGGGTCGGAGCCACAGGATTCATGGCGTACTGTGATTTTTTTGTTGTTGCTATGGTCCTTTCTACCTGGATGAATTCCATCTCCCTCACTGGACCAGAAGCTCCTCGAGGAAACTCTGCGCCCTTTAGACTCCAATCTTCTTGGAGAAGCTACAGGGTGTAGGAGAAAGAACATGAGTTTGGAATCGCTGGAAACTGTCAAATCTCAGCTCCTTCCACTTTTTTCGCTGTGTAACTTTAGAATTCCTTTAGCCTCGTTTTTCCTTCTTTCTTTCCACATAGCATGGGGCCTTCAACTGCTGGAGGGTCTGGGCGGTCATTTATCCTTGCTGGGCCTCAGAGGCCTCATGAGTGGTGCCTTTAAGAGTGCAATGAGGCCGCAGCAGAAACTATCTCTAAGGCCAGCTCTTAAATTCTCTAACCCATGCTCCTGGCCAACTCTCCTCTGTCCAGCCGCAGGTCCTCATAGAAAGGCAGAGACACTGAATAGAACATAGAAGGGGTTGTTTTCCTAAAGCTCATATAAAATTCTGAAGCCTCAGCGATGGAACCTGCATTTGGGAGCTGCTCGATCTTTTCTGTTAGCATTTCCGCCACGTGCTTCTCAGCGTTTTGCCCCAGTTGGCCTTCCGCCCCTGGGAGGGGGAACAATGTCTCCTGGTGAAAGTCACTTTGCAGCTGCCCTGGGCCCTCGGACCCTCAGGGGCCTTCTGGGTTGTGAGGCGTGGGGCACCCCGTCCTGAGCGTGCCCTGAAGATGGGCACAGAGCTCCCCCAGCTGCCGTGGCACTGTTTCCATGCAGCTGTGGGGATGGTGACAAGGCCTGAGGGCTGTCAGCCCGGCTGAGAGCACTCAAGAGCCACTTCACCGGCCTTCTTTTCTCTTTCCAAGGCTCTTAACCCACTTGTGGAGGGGGTGGCGGGTGAGGGGCTGAAGAGGGTGGATGTCCACTTTGGGCAGACAAAGGAGCTGCAGTCAGCCTCCTCTCCAGCCTGGCTCTGGAGAAATGCAGTCAGCCTCCCCTCCAGCCTGGCTCCAGAGATCCGGAGCTGAGGGCAGTGTAGGAGCTGGCAGGGCCCTTGGCAAAGTGGAGCCCAGCAGGCTAGTTGTCCCAGGTTTATCGCCCAGGATTGGGGGGCTCTGTGTGGCTCCTGTCTTAGCTGATGACTCAGATCTTGGACTATTTCTCCCTTATCAAGGTCTTCCTCATCCTAAACTTGGCCTTGATTTGAGCCTCTTTAGTTTACCAAGTGTTTACCTGAATTATCTCATTTAATTTCACAGCAACCGGTAAGGGATGCATTGTGAGCATCATCTTACTGAGGACTCAGTGGCTATGACTCAGGACTGTGTCCTTTGCCTAAGGAAGGCCACACAGCTAGTCAGTGGCAGAGATAGGACTAGAATGAGTTCTTTTTCTCCCAGGGAGACCCAGTGGCCAGAAGGCACCTGCAGCCAGGCCACACCGCCCCCTTAGGAGCGATGGGGGACAGCAAGAACTGACAAGCCCTGATGGCATACAAAGCCTCCAGGTGACCAGCAGTGACAGACGCCAGCCAGGACATCCTTTCCAGAACCTTCTCTAGCTCTGCTGGCATAAGCAGCACCTGGTTTTCAAAGGCTTTCTTTGGTGTGTGTCTATGGTCATAAAGAATTGTAATAAACAATGATTAAGGGTCACAATATAGGCTGGTGCTGTGTTTCCTCCCTTAGGAGCAGAGGAAAGTGGTTGAGGTCTCCAAGCAGGTGGGGAGCCCTTGGCCCCTAGGAAGGCAGGAAAGTCTCCCAGGATAAATCTGTCTGTTCTAGGCTCTGGTGAACCCAACGGAAAGCCCTACGAGCCTGGCTGGTGGCTGAGCTGCCTTCTCCATAGGCTGTTCACCAATCTCGAGAGTCACCTGCCATGAAGTCCCAGGAGTTCTGACATCCAGTGTTCATGCCCATGGAGCAACCAACAAGAATGTTCTGTTCACTGCCGCATCCTTAGATCTAACACAGCACCTGGCATATGGTAGATGTTGAGTACATTGTCAAACAAACGTAAGTGAAAGGAAACCTACAAGATCATCATCTGCAGATAAGTCACAAATTATTAGCCCTATTTTTAGAGGTGGTAGTGAGGCCCAGAGAGGTAAAGTAACATGCCCAATGTCACACAGCCAGTTAGTGAGGGAAGTGCCAGACTCTAGGTCTCCTTTCACTATACTCTGTCCCTTCTGAAGGGGGGAAGGTAGGAATGTGATGACCTCGGCCCCAGGGCCAAGATATGTTCTTGCCATGTTTCTTAGCTGCATTGAGTTGACAGTGATCTGATGTGGCTAGGTAATGAAGAGATGGTTTTTCTCTGGGAAGTGACTCTGCTCCCTGACTTCTGGCAGGCATGCGGGAGTGGGGAGGAGGTATCTCTGTGTGGAGCTCTACATTCTGTCTTAGGAGCACAAAGCTCTTCACAGCTCACCTACGCATCTTGAGCCCAGCTTTCTTCTTCCAGGAAGGGGGAATGAAAGCAACTATTAATAAGGTAATAAGAACTGAATCAACCATCCAGCCTGGTCTTCCAGAAGAGTTTGATGGCCTCTAGCCTTGGGCAAGAGAGACAGAGCCCGGGCTGCAGTTTCCTGGCCTAAAGGATGAGTGTCTGCAGATCCATCTACCAGTTTCTAGAATCTTTAAAGCAGCAGGAGGAAGCAGGATGGGGCATTATATGGGCTCTAGTCTCTTTACAAAGTCATTCAGAGGAAAACAGGGACCTAGGAGAATTTTGGAGTGTGGTAGCCAGACAGACCTCTCAGAAATTCCCTTGATTTACACTAGCCATCACCAAAATCCCTGTGTCTCCATTCTCTCCCTTTGGAGGGCCGTTCCCAGCACGAGTTACCCAGAACTACCCACCCAATCAGAGCCCTTGGCTCTCTGTGGCAGGGGGCCCTCTCTGGTCAAGAGCAGCCTCGCTGGTCCTGGAGCCTGGGCCAGAGCCCGCCTGTCACTCTGCAGCTCCGCAATGTCGGGACACCAAAGGGCAGTGCCAGTAGCCCGCTGCAAGCTGACAAGGCTGAGTTCACATCAGTGCTGAGGAGTCGACAGGACCATCTGAATTAAGTGGCCAAGTTTAGTTTTTAATTAAGTCCCCGTGGTCTTTTAAAAAGGTCACTGACGACACCATCTTCTTTAAGGCCAATATGAAAAGACATTCAAAGTCAAAGTTCTGAGATGGGAGCCTTGTAACTTGAAATGTCACAGGAAGAAATTTGGAAACAGGGAAAGAGGAAGCTGGTGGGAAGGACAACCCTGTCACATTCTTTTGCCGTCAGCTTCACAGTTCCCACTTGGAGCTCCAAACTATTTCGGTCTCAAAGGGCAAGTGGTCCCAAGGTTCTCTCGAGTGCCTTCCCCGACAGAGGATTGTGGAGCCTCTTGTTTGCTGTGCCAGTGAAAAACAGAGCCCTTGTGGTCCCTGACACGGAATAAAAGTTGATAGCAATGGGGCAGAATGTGGCAACTTACCCCTGATGGCTGAGGAATTAACAAAAATGTATGCAATTGGTCACCATCCTCTGCACCCATTCCTGTCTTCACTTTTCTACCTACCTTGATCAGTACTGTATCATTTGGAAGTACAGTTCTGTCTAAAACAGAGCACAGCAGCCACTTAAGTCACCCATAGCATCCTATGAGGATTGTACAGTGAGAGCAAAGACCTGTGCCTGGCTTAGACCCCTAAGAGAAGTAGAGACTTGAGGTAATTTGAGCAGAGTGGACCACACCTCCTAGAGAAGAGATTTGGACCAGCCAATAGCTAATGAGCAGGCGCAAGAATATTTTCCTGGAGTTCTTGGCTCACGCCAATGTCTGAAGAGCGGGACTTTCTGAGTGGTGAAGCGTTCAGTGACTTTGCTAGGGTCAGAGGGGTTGGAAGTGCTCAGTAGTGTGTGTCACATTTTGTTCATGTTTGCAATAGGCCATGTAGGAAGTGGAAAGAATTTTGGATTTAGATTCAGGAAATTTGGGTCTTGGGGCAAAGAGTGCTATTTGCCTACCTAATATACATTCTCCCATTTATTTACCATTACAGTACTTTCATTGTTGGTGTGGCAGGTTACCCAAGTTAACCAAATATGGATTTCCTAGCCTTCCTTAAGAAGCTAGAGGTGATTGATGCGAATATTCAGAGATCACTGGTAGGCTTCTTTAAAGATGGCTGATTCACCTGGGAGGTGCACCTCTTTTGTCCTTTCCTCTTGTTTCTTCTTCCTGCCTGAAATGTGGGGCTGATGACTGGAGCTTCAGCAGCCATTTTATGACCATGAGGTATGACCCAAGAATGGAAGCCAGTGCTAAGGATGGGCTGCCCATCTACTCCTGGTCTTCATTTTATGTGAGAGAAAAGCAAACCCCTAATTTGCTTATGCCACTTACTTTGGATCTCTGCTACACCCAGTTGAATGCCAAACTGATACACATTGATTGCCCACTCTGTCATTCACTCCTGAGGGACTTTGGGCAAGTCACTTAATTTTTCTGGGCTTCGGTTTCCTTACCTCTGCAGTGGGAATAATAATTCTGGCTTTGTCTTGCAAGCGTTACTTCTGACCTGTAGGGCTCACTCTTAGGCTTCCTAGAATGTTCTCAACCCCAGTCTGAAGATCACGTGGTTTTTGTGCCTGAGCAGTGGCTGCCTCCCTCCCATTGTTTGGCCAGATAATTGTTCCCAAACTAAGAAATGTGCCTGCCTTCCGACTTCAATGGCTGTTATAAAGTCCCCTTGTGGGCTCCCATTTTCTAGAGACACAATAGCTTTTCCTGGCTTGCCCAGGCCTCACCCCTCCTTGCTGGGTGCAGAGACATCTGCTGTTTCAAGCTGCTAAAAGAGAAGCTTCAAAGAACCCCACATTGGCCCCTCTTAGGGCTCTGACTCATATAAATGTTTCTAGAAATCCTCAAAAGCCTTATTAATCTGTTAAGACATCCCAGAAGCAGGAGTCTGCACACCCAATTTCCACGGCTTTTCAGCTGCTTCCATTGTCTCAGCCGCATTGTCCCTGCTCGGTGTCTTGGCCCCTAATGGACTCTCTCTGAGGCAGGCACGCTTTCGGCTGCACCTGCTATTCCATTGCCTGACTCTTTTCTTCTTCTTCTCTGTTCTCTTTAACTCTTAAAATGAAAAGGTGACCAGCTCTTCCTGGGCTGTTTACTCCTCTAGCTCCCCTGTGCGGGTCTCTGCTTCACCCCCTTTCTCTTCTGGCATGTGGCTGGATCTGAGTCAGAGACATAGAGGCCCACATAGAAAGTAGGGGCCCATTTGTCTTTTCCATCAAATGGAAGCCTCTAGGGGTCTGTCATTCCTCATGCCTAGCCAAGATACCGGGTATCCCCACAAGCCTCTGAAGGGGACTTGCTTACAGCTCTTGCATATAGAAGCTCTAATCAGGCTTCTCCAGAAACTCCCTCATCTCTGGTCCATACAGTAATGACCCTCTGATGTGTAACCTTCACTGTGGTTGAAGGGCCCTGGAGAAAGAGCCAGAAGACCAGGGCTCTGTTCCTGACTTGACCCCAGCTGGTTTCCATTTTCTTAGACTAGCATCAGGGGACTTAACTTGACAGCCAAGGTCCCATGGTGGGCAGCTTGCCAATTACTCCTGCCTCCTGGTTTTCAGACCCCTGTGTGCTCCCTTCCCTTGAGTATGGGCTAGACCTGGTGACTTGCTTCTAACCAATAGAACACAGCGAGAGTGATGGGCTATCACCTCTCTAGTTAAGTTATAAAAGACTAGTTTGCGTGTTCTGTCCTGTTGGCTCTCTCTTTTTCTCTCTGTCTCTCCTTCTCAGATGCTTGCTTTGATGAAGAAAGCTGCTATATTGGAGAGGCCCATGTGGCAAGAACTTGAGTGTAGCCTGTAGCCAGTATCCAGTGGGCAAATGAGGCTCTCAATCCAACAGCCTACAAGGAATTGAATCCAACTGACAAGCATGTGAGTGAGCTTGGAAGCCAACCCTGCCCCAGGTAAGCCTTGAGATGGTAAAGCCCTGACTTACATCTTGATTGCAGCCTTGGGAGAGACCTTGAAGCAGAGGGCCCATCTAAGCTGTGCCCAGATTCTTGACCCACATATATTTAGAGGTAATAAATGTCTGTTGTCTTAAACTGCTAATTTTAATACAGCAAGAAATAACTAATCTAGGTCCTTATTAGCTAAGAAGAAATGTGTTTCTTGCCTTGTTCCTCTGTATTTAAACTCTAGGTCCTTAAACCTTTCATACCCACGAGCTAGCCACTTGGGTTGTGCATGTGCACCACCCAACTCCACCAACCACCCCACTCCAACACTCAAATCTATGGGTGGTGCAAATCCCTTTACTCTTACTCCAAACATACATGATCAGAAAAAATGGAAGAAAGACATAGCTGAAATAGAGCTCCAATGAGATGATTCCTGGTTTCTACTAGGAATATAAGTAAAATTTGAATTTTTGCCAGAATCCAAAGTATTCAAGGAAGGGCTCCTTATACACCTTTGATCATTCACTTCCATGTCTCATCTTTCAAAGCTTGGCTTAAACTTTCCTCCTCTGGGAAAAAAGACCCTGACTTCTTCAGTTAGGGTTACTGTTCCCTCTCCCAGTCACCCATCAGTTTTGTCCATATCAGAGCATTCTATTTTAGTTATTTGCATATTCCCTTCTCTCTCTCACCCCTCCACGGATCTCCTACCCCAGGAAGGTCAGCATCCAGTGACCTTTTCAGGAAATTACCCAGGATTTCACAATCTTAGTCAGAAGCGAAATTTAAAACCCTTTGTCCCCCGTCCTCCCAGCCCCCCGATGTTCCAGGAAGCCAAAGCACAGAGCAATCTTTCCAATCTAGGAAGCAATAAAGAAATGTATTTATGAACCAGCCTCTATCTAAGGGAGAGAATTTATGTCTCTTCATGCTCTTGTTGACAATAATAACTGATTGCTGCATCAATGTGATGCAATATAATTTTAAAACCCTCCAGAACAAGGATCAGAAAACAACTGGCAGAGAGACTGAGCGGCAGCCGTGGGCATCTTGGGTTTTGCAGCTCAGCCCTGGGCCTGCTAATGCCCTGAGGCGATGGGAACACAGCTCTGGGAGCACCTGCAATCTCATCTTGTTTCTTTCCAAGCACCAGGGAAGAAAAGCAATTTGTTTGCTCTCATACTCTAAAGATGAACTTCCCGTGCTCAATCAAACGTTATTATCCCAATGTAAGTCAATTTACCTTTGAATTTGAAGGCTATTTTCTTCCTAAATGGCTAATTATGGGAGATAGATGGCTGTAAACAGAAGTCTTCTACCTCAACACTCCGCCAGGTTTTCTCCTTATGGCACCTGAGAGAACCAGAGAAAGGAGGCCTCACAGTGTCCTGGCCCCCTCTGCCCACTTGCCGCCCCTCCTCCATTCTTCTCATGCATCCTGCGGTGCCATTCGCCCACCCCGCCTACATTCCTGGACGCCTATTTGGAGTTTCATCCCCCTGAATTCCATCCCCTGCCGCGTCCATTTCTAGGAGCTCCATTCCCTCGTGCCATCTCCCGTTTTTAAGGACTGGACTAAAGGTGGAGGTCTTGGCCTGAGAACCGTGCATACGGGACAGCATGAGTTTTAGGAGACAAGGGGTCCTGTGTGTGTTTGAGATGAAACAAGGTCACCTGAGGCCGCCTCTTTGATTTGCCTGACAGAGTCACAGAAGCTGACCGCTGCGAGGCAGGGGCTGCGGCCTTTTCCCGTGGCATGATCAACACCTCGCAGGAACTAATTGAATGGCCGAGTTTGTTTACTGAGAGGAGGAGTAGCCCCCTCCTTTCTCGCAAAACAAAGTCTTTCCCCAGGAGCGGTGGCAAAGAGGTCAGCCCTGGCAGCGTTTCTGTTTTGCCTTTTGATGAAAGCCTACTCTGGCTGCTCTGAAGAAGGGAGCTCATTGTGTGCTCACTGTCAGAGGTGGCTCCAGCAGGGAGGCCACAGCCCTGGGGGCTTTTTGGGTCTTGGGGTTATGGAGCCTGTGGTGTGTGGGGTTATCTACAGGGACTGAGCTTTCTAGCTCTTCTCCCAGAAGTCTGGCCTCTGGTCCTCTGCCCTTTCCACCTGGGCCCCAGAAGCCATAGTAATAGCAACCTGCCTTTGTCCGGTGCCTCGTCGTCGTTTATGCAAGTCTATATACTTTATCTCACTTGATCCTCACAACCATCCTGTGCTGTCATCCTCCCCTGACAGATGAGGGAGAGGCCCAGAGAGGTCAAGTGCTCTGCCTGAGGTCACACAGCTAGGAAGTGACATAACTGGGACCTGCCTCCCTTTGGCTTGAACGCCTCTGATCTCTCCCGTCTGTCACAGTCCCATCACAGAAAGGCAGGCATGTGGCCCCGTGGTTGAAGCCCTGCCCCAGCTGTGGATCCGCATCACCTGGGCCAGGCTTCCAATTTATGATACTTACTGAGACCTTGGCACCACGGCCTTGATAAACCCCTCTGCCCTGGGCTTGAGCTTGCTGTTCTGTCGGGGGCAGTTCGCGGGGCTGGGAGGACAGGTAAGAAGGGAGGAGCTTTTCATGAGCTGCTCTGGAAAAGTTTAAGGCCATGGTAGGGTCAGCTCAGGAAAGCACAGCAGGGCAAGGGGCAGGTAGGCCTGTCCAACTCAGCTAATAGCTACAGAGGTCTCAAGAAGTAATGATTGGAGGCCTGACTGAGGCATAGAGACCAATAGGAGACGCTCTCTCTCCTAGCTCAGACCAAGGAACCCTAGAACATGCTCCTCCAAGTTCACCCACCGTCACCCTGCAGGGGAGGGGTCTGCCACACTCCAAAAAAGAATCAATCCACTGTGTGTTCTGTGGACTGTTATTTAGAGATGCCCCTACAGATTCCTGGAGCTGCTGGGCCCCATGCCAGGGCAAGGATCCCAGGACTCCCTGTTTAGCATAGTACTTTGATTAAAACAATAAATTCCCATTGAATACCGATGGGCAGGCAAGTGGGGGCTCATGCCAGCCTCGGTGCCCTCCTGGCATCATCTCACAGCAACTCGTTTGGGGAGAAATACCTCCCTCCGCTGTGATGAGAACCCTCATTCCCAATGAATGAGGGGGCAGAAGCTGCCTGGGAGCCTCAGGAATGAGGGCATCATGGGCAGGACAGGGTAGGACTGGGGCAGCTGCAGATGGCACCAAGGATATGGGGGCCTTGACTAAGCAGGGAGGGCCACAGAAGGGGAGAGGGGGCACACAGAAACCTCAATGGCTGGCCCCTGTCTGGTCCTCACCTCCTGACCCTGTCTCTGCAGACATGCTGAACTGGGAGGAACATGCTTGGGTCTTGGCCCCCTGAGCAGCTGTGCTGGAGCCACGCCTCAGTGCCCAGCGCTGCTGCATCTGCTCTCTGGCAGCACATGGCTGCATGTTTCTCTGGGCCCTGCCTGGTGCGCAGCAGCCATATCCTGGGCAGGTGTGCTGGGGCTGTTGCCTCACCTGGCCCTGGGATGCTGGTAGCTCCGGATTGACCAGGGTTTCTGATGGGAAGGGATGTATGGGAGAAGCCAGGGAGTGGAGAGAGAACTCGTGTTCCCCGATACAAGGCTTTTTACCCATGTCTCCCCAAATAGCCCCCCCTCCTCCCACTAGCCCCGAGGCTGGAGATCAACATCATGGTCCCATCTTTAAGAGGAACCAGGATCTGTTTTGAGATGGCCAATCAGCCAAAGAATGCCATAATTCACGTTATCCATTCACTTTTCAGTTGACTTCCTTCCTTCCTTCCTGCTTTCCTTTCTTCCTTTTATCCTTCCTCCCTCCCTTCTATCCATTCAGTAATATTTACTGATAATCCTTCACATGAGGCCCGATGCTAGGCTGTGGAAATCAAAGATGAATAAGCAATAGCTTCTGTCCTTGTGCTATCTCCTCCGGGTGTCCAGTATTATGACCACTGTATTTCTGAACCGAAAACGAGGACGCAGAGCTGACAGGGGTGAGTGTACACGTGGGAATGGGCAGGAAGACCACCCTGAAGGTCTGAGGCATTCTGTTCCTAAGCTAGGATGAAACTGAGTATTCCATACATACTGGCTGCATTGCATTTTTGTCTAGCATTCTTTAATAAGAACAGTAAGAGCTGCCATTTGTTGAACATGTACCATGTGCCAGGCTTGTACAAGATAATGTGTATACCATATCTCATTTAGTCTTCACCACAGCCCTACAGAGAAATTCACTGTCCAGACAGGGAAACTGAGGACCAGGCCGTTCGCAGTTAGTGTTAGTACAGTCCTTCTTGGCCACTCTAAATCCTCTGCTGCCTCTACAGCTGGAGGGTTCTGATCCGTTGGCTTACAGGTGTGTCCTGTGGGCCACATGGGGGTGGGTGGGTGTTCACAGCACACTGCCTGGAGCCATGGTGCACACAGCAGGGGGTCTGAGGCTGCGCAGAATGGCCCACTTCTAAACAAGCGTGTCTGAGCTTTGCCAGGTGTCCATGTTTGGAACACAATAAAAGAGGAGGTCTTCGAAAGGAGGTGACTCAGAGAAGCAACGCTAGACTCACCCCAGAGCTGCAACCTGCTAACTTCACAGAGCCTCACAGCAGAATTATTTAACCCCAAGCCCCCTCTCCTCATGGGGACAAAAGAGAAATCAGGCTGATGCTATCTCCCTCATAGCACACTTAGGAGGAGCAAATGAAACGGCATATGTAAAAGTGCATTGTAAATTGCAAAGTGGCAGATGAGATTATTATTACTGCTTCCTTCACCTCAACAAAGACCCATAATCACAGACAATGCATCGAGCCTGGTGAGGGTGTGGCCTTTCTTGGCCCTGCCCTTTCTCCTTGGCTCCTCCCACGCTCTTGGCTTTTCTCCTGGATTCCCTGCTCTCCCATCTGCAGCAGGTTGGGGCCCCATGGATAACTATATCTAGGGACCGACTCCTGGGATCTTACCAAGTCACATTTGCAGTTGGTGCCTCCTTAGTCACTGCCAGGATTCCAGGCAGGTATAATGTGCTGCACTTAATGTAGAGGATCAGGGTCCCAGTGAGCAGCTTCATCTTCAGGCGTCGGGAGTGGGAGCAATGGAGCACCCATGGTCTCCAGGTCTCAGGCCACTTGGGTCTGGGATTTGAGGCTCAGGGGGAGGAGTCCTGCGGTGACTGCTGTGAAGTGGTGTGGGGGCTCAGGATGGGACCTACTTCATGGGACATGATGGATGAGACTCAGGATGCCAGGAGGGAGGCACAGCCCACACTTAGCAGCTTGGCGCACGCAAATAGGAGCTCTGCTCACAGCCTGTGCTGGGCACTTCATTTCCCAGAGACAACCGGCGCGTTTTAATAATGTCTACTTGGGTTAATGAAAGTTGTCGGTTTCACTTAATAAATACATTGCCATTCTTGGCCACACATATCCGTCATGCTGGGCCTGGAGCTGTGCGTCCCGCCTGAGTTGAGTAGGGATGCTGGGAGTGGGAATGGGGTGGGGAAAGCATGGGGCATATGGGTAGAGAGTGAGGTCTGGAGGGCATGGGACATGGTCCCTCTTGGGAGTTAAGCAGAGGGAGTCCTCTCATTGCATCTTTCCTCTGGGATCAAATTAGAGGCACAAAGGGCAGAAGGGAACCTTGGAGGTTCCTCCTGTTCATTCTCTGCCTCAGGGAAGTGACACACAGAATGGCCCCTTTGGCAGGGAGCAGTGAGCCATAGTGTGGTCCAGAGGGACGCAGGCCATCTTGGGAAGGAATCCCAGTTGACCACTCATTATCTCTGTAACTAAGTCAATTATTCAATCTCCCTGAGCCTCCATTTCTTCAGTAAAATGGAGCTAATAATCATATTTGCTTCATAGAGCCTGTTTCGAGCATTCCAGCATAAGCCATGGGAAGCTCTTAGCAGGCACCCAGCATCTAAAGCACTCAAATCAGAGTCACTAGTATTATTAATGTTAAAATATTATTTTTATGAAGGCACAGTTTAGTATGGTGTTTATGAGAGTGGATCTGGAGTGTGGGTTTGGATTTCGGGTGTATCACTTACTAGCTGTGTCACTCTGGAGAATTTATGTAGTCTTTCTGTGTTTCAGTTTCCAAGTCTGTAAAATACGGGGAAATAATACCTAACTCATGGAGCTGTGAGGAGTGAGCAGATTATGACATGTACATCCTTTGGAACACAGACCCAATAAATGTTAAGAATTATTAAGTTGTCGATTTCACAGGGCCATGGGGGAGGGAAGTCCGGGCTCTCTGGGAACTGCCTTCCACATTTCCCCACCTTAGGGTGGTCTCCAGACCACATCCCAGATGACCTTACACACCCCAGGGGTTGATACCAGGCCGAGACCCTCGACATTCCAGGGAGGGAACCGGAGGACTCCAGTCAGTTTCCAAGCTGCATAACTTGGTTCAAGGTTGGCAGTGAGGGGAGAGACCCAGGGGAGGGATCATGCTTAACATTCTTGGGACATTCTCCTTGAACTCTGCAGGGGCCTTAAAACATCCCTAAGTGCCATACCTCTACATGCTGGCCTTCTTCTGCACTCTTTTTTTCTTTCTTTAAAAGCTTAGACTGATTAAAGATGGGAAGGGATTTGGGGGGTCAAGGGAGGACTCTGGATGGGAAAGGGGAGAAGCTCAGATGATGGGAAGGGGCGGGGGTGGCCAGGCAGTGCTTTCTAGCTGAAGTAAGCAGCTTTGGAACCTGCCTATCACATGGCCGGGTATTCCAGGGTTTTTAAATTGCATGCCACATGTTTATCCTTATTAAGCAGTTGTTCTCTTCCAAGGGGCTCTCTCTGGCAGCCAAGAACCAACCACAGGGCTTGTCGTGGGGCTTATGAGTAGCTAGGGCCTCCCAGGAGGTCGTCAGAGTGGATGGAGGGGCAAAGCCAGGAAAATACCTGGGGGCTTCCACTCCCTAAACCCAGGGAAACGATGGAGTAGCTGAGCCGAGATTGGCTCACCTCCTTGTACAGGAAGAAAAACTGCGGCCAGAGGGGCAAGGCGAGGAAGTCGCCATAACACATTTGGTGTGGTTTTGGGCAGACAGAACGGGTTTCTTATGGCTGGGGCTGCTTTCTAATGTGAATATGAGTACTCTTGGCTGGGAGAGGAAGGGCTGGAGGAGAGATCAGGAAGGAGAGATCCACATCTGGCTCCGAGCTGACTCTCGGTGACCATGACCACCTCCTTCCACTGGAGGGAGCAGCCTCTCCGCAGGTGGGGCTGTCCCTCAGGAGCAGGAACTGGGCTCCCGCTGGAGAGAAGCAGCGCTCCACGTTCAAAGACCATTATTGCCATTATTAATTGATCGCTGTTATTATCATGTAGGCATTAAGTGGCTTCCTCTGCCCTTTGAGTTGTAACACTTAGGGCAGCTGCTAGCGAGGACAAAACAAAGCTTCCCTACTGCAAGAGCTTTATCTGGGTCCCTGCTGCTGTGTGGCCTTCTGCAATTAGCCATTTTACAGATGGAGAAACTTAGTCCTAATGATTTGCTGAAGGGCCGAGTTGCTTAGCCCTGCAGGGTACACAGATGAATAGGGAGCGTTGCTGAGCACTTGCAATCAAGACAGAGTTGCCACCCACTGCAAGGACGAACATCACTACTGGGTCAGCTCTGCAGCTGCAAGTCTGGGGAAAAGGGATCCACCCAGGCACTAGGGCAACTGCTCAGCCCCATCGCAGCAAGGGCCCGAGGAACGAGCACGTCAGCTGTCTCCAGGGCCTTTCTCATCATCTCCCGTGCCTGCCGTGCTGTCTCTTACCAACCCAGGAGGGAGGGTTGGTGGCTGCTGCTCCATCCTCACCCTTTAGACCACCCCACAGGTGGGACAGGGTGGGCCCAGGTGGAGTCTGAGCTGGGTGCCAATTCCAGGAATGCAGCTGGAGGTGGGGGCGGGCCATGGTGGGCCAGGACAGGTGGGAGAGAAAAGCAGGAGGCAGCTGAAGGGGGCGGTCTCAGAAGCCCCCGCTGGGAGCCTCCTATCCACCTGGCAGGCGTTTGGAACAACGTGCTGAATAACAGCAGCATTTGTGAAATCTAATTAGTGCAGGCCCAACTTCTGACTTCCTGTGCGGGGGCTCCTCCTCTAGCCCCAGGCTATCGAGCTGAATTAAGCTGCCTAAGATCACCTCATTAAATTCACTAACCTTGCTTTTCCACCAGGTTTAGCCCCTGGTGCCCTTCCTCTGTCTGTGGGAGGTGCGCGTCTGGCATTCCTCCAGTGCGTTCCCAGGCAGGTGTTTTGAGAAACTCCCCTCCTCTTCCCTCCTCTCCCCTCCCCAAATGGCTCCCTTAATCACGAGCTGCTTTCTTCTGAGCTCAATAATCACCCTGGACTAATCCATACACAAAATCCTGTGGCTGCAGTAGGAGCCCCCTTCCCAGCCCTCCCTGGCTAAGGGATGGTGGTCCCAGAGGCACTGAGGACTCCTCCTGGAGGCAGGCAGGGGGCTGTCCAGAGGCAGAGCATTGGGCCTGCTGGCAAACTGCTAACTGGCACAGGTGACTTGCATTTCCTGGGGCCTAACTGCTGGGAGTGCACTTCTGGAGTGGAGATGGGCAATGGGGATGCCTGATGAGACCTATGTCCAGGACAGGAGGGGAGGGGATGGAGAAGCAGCTCTGGAGCCCAGCTTGCTGTTAGCCCTGAGAAACAAGTGACTTCCTGTGGGTCAGAGTACAGGGTGGGTAGCAGAAACAATCAGGCCAGAGGGGTATTTGTTGCAGAAGAGAAATGTGATGCAATTAGTATGCTAGGAGAATGGAAAACTAACCCGGAGACAGGGCTAAAGTTACTGCCCACTCAACTCTGCATGGAATTGTGCTGAATTGAGGAGCACTGCAGCGAGACCTGACCACCGCCCAGCCCAGGTTGGGTTTGTTTTCCCCGCTCTGAGACCGGACCTCAGGAAAGGGGTGCGGGGAAGGTTGGGTTCAGAAGGAGAGACTCTCCAGCCACACCTGTGAAGCTCCAGGCAGTTTCCCTAATGTCTCTCCTTAGCCTCTTGCAGAGAGGGCTAATGTATGTCTTCCCCCCGGGCTGGTGGCTGGGTTAATTGGACCTTGTTTATGTAGCATCTATTATTTATGATTTCCTTTCGTCTCTCCTGAGTATGACAACTGTGGTTAAGCAACCAGAGTTATTCCTGCCTCGGGACATGTATGAGGACGGTCTCCTTTGCAGCCTACCTGAAGTGAATGTGAGGCCGAGAGGCTTCGTGAAAGGTTAAGTGGGTGGGGGACCTGCTGGGAGAGAGGGGCAGGGGAATGTGCCTGAGATCAGACAGCCTTGCACTAAGCTCAGCTCCTTTCTGGGGGGACCTCCGATGCATGCTCACTTGTATAAAATCTAACTGGAACTGGGATCGTGTTCTGGGGGTTCCGAACTTTGGCTGCATATTGGAATTATCTGAGATGTCTGAAAAACCTGACAACCAGAGATTCCAGATTAATCGGTATGGGGGTGTGGCTACAAGGTTTCAGAGCTCCCCAGTATTCTAATATACAGCAAAAGTTGAGAGCCACTCGCAGCTCCAGCACATTCTTACTGTGTCAGTTTTTTTCTGTTGATTATGAACAACAGCAGCTAACATTAATAGAACCTGATGATGCGATAGGCACCGAGATAAGAATTTTATGTGGATGACTTCAACGAATCCTCAGAACAACCCAATGTTGTTGGAAGGTGCAATGATCATCTTCCTTTTACAGATGAAGAAACTGAGGCTCAGGGAGGTTAAGTAAATGAGGCCGAAGTCACACATTGTTTCAGTTACAAAGTTAGGCCTGACCTGACTCCAAAATCTGTGCTGTTAACTTTTTTTTTTTTGAGACAGAATTTTGCCCTTTCACCCAGACTGGAGTGCAGCAGCAAGATCTCGGCTCACTGCAACCTTCGCCTCCCAGGTTCAAGCGATTCTCCTGCCTCAGCCTGCCGAGTGGCTGGGATTACAGGCATGCACCACCACGCCTGGCTAATTTTTGTATTTTTAATAGAGATGGGGGTTTCGGCATGTTCGTCAGGCTGGTCTTGAACTCCTGGTCTCAAACAATCTGTCTGCCTTGGCCTCCCAAATTGCTGGGATTACAGGCATGAGCCTGCTTGTCTGAACTGTAAGAGGATTTTAACAGTTTCCCAAGCAATGCTTCATATTCACAAATGAACACATTAGGCTCAAGGACAGAAGGGACATACTTAGGATGATAGACTAACCTGGCCCAGCCTGCAACCTCATGGGAATGTGGGATAATGAGAGAGAATGTTTGCATTGGAGGTCTGTGGGCGTAGAGCACTCAACAAATGCCAGGCACTGGGGCTATAATCACATGGGGAGAAGGAGCCAACCGTGCATGTCTGAAGCAGGTATTCTCTTCCCTGCAGGTGCCAGGACTACAGACAGGGCAACGGAGAGCAGGGGCTTGCTGGAGAAATCCATCCTTCCCTGGGATCTCTTGGAGGGCTCTCCATCTCTCTTAGAGCAGTTTCTTTCTTAGACAGTTGAAGCTGCCTCAGTGGTCTCCCCAGATCATGCAGGTCGGGGCAGAAGCTTCTCACTCAGAGAACTGAGAATATCATTTTTCACAGAAGTCTAAGGTGGAATTTAGACCAAGATATTCTTGGCCTTAGCAGTTTGACTCGGGCGGGGGTTTGAAGCTGGAACTTTTCAACATACATCTCCAAGCTTCAGGAGGAAGCTAGACACATCTGAAAGCCTCTGAACAACCTGCGATGAAGATTCTTGAAAAAAGAGACCATTTGCCTTAGGGGCTAAGAGTACAGGTGCAAGAGACAGACCGCCCACATTAAAATCTGACTCCACTCCTGAGCTGTGTGACTTTGGGGAAGTTCCTCAACTGAAGTCACAAAGACCTAATCTGGGAGGTGGGAATAGTCATAGAAAAAGGATCGTGGGGAAATGAAACGAGAGAATACATGTAACGTTCTTGGCTCACAGCGCCCGGTGAATGTTAGCTGCTATTACTGTTGTTCCTACCACCGCACCCTCTCCCATTCCTTTCCTTCTCAATTCTATTGACATTTTTGGTGTCTAACTCCTTTTGAGAGATCATGACTTTTGTAGAACTAGGCTGCTTTCACTCTTTGAGGGTGGTCTTTCTGATTGATCCATCAGTCTGCATTCTCCTTGCCGTCCTTGGTATGCACACACATGCATGGAAGCTATATTCCTCCTTCATACTGGACTTTGAGGACAACGTTTTCATGTTTCACATTTCCCACTTCATCTCCTTTGTTTTCCACTTGCTTAGTTTCCTACTCTTCCCTTTATCCTGAGGTGTCGTGAGGGCAATGGCCTGCAGAGTCCAAAGGTGGCTGTCATGTCATTTGTCCACGTTTGCATTCCCGTGCCCTCCCCACAGATGGCTGCTCTCTGGGCTGCACGCACGTTGGGTTCACTGATCGCAGAGTCTTTTTCTGGCTGCCAAGAACATGGTAGCCTCCCAGAGGCTGTTGGCATGTGGATGCTGCCTCTGTGATCCACAGCCCCGCCAGGCTGATGCTTCAGGAATGGATCACACCTTGGCTGGACCCATCAGGCTGGAACACCAGATTCTTAATCAACTGTAGGTGCTACTGTCGCTCTAGGACCTGCCGATGCCCTCTGTCCTTCTCTGGTGACTTTGTCCACGTGGATCTTCAGTTCCTTCAACATGTGTGCTTGTTGCCCCTTGGAGCCCACCTCCTCAAGCAAGCCTCCCAGCCCAGTCAGCCCCTGTGCACTCTCATGTTACCTGTGCATCTCCTTCACAACTCACGTCACTGATGGACTTACGCAGTTGGGTGTGTATTTGGTAACCTGTCTTCCTCCTGCTGAAATATCAACTCCAAGAGGGCAAGGAGTGTGTCTATTTGTTCACTACAGTATTATATGAACACCCCTGGCATATAATAAGTGCTCCCTCAGAATTTGAGTATTATATGGACACCCTTGGCATATAATAAATGCTCCCTCAGAATTTGAGTATTATATGGACACCCTTGGCATATAATAAATGCTCCCTCAGAATTTGAGTATTATATGGACACCCCTGGCATAGAATAAATGCTCCCTCAGTATTTGAATAAATAAATGTGGTGTCAATTTGGATTAATTTTCTTGATCTCATACTTGTGTTCTCTATGCATCCTATCACCTGGCTCTGCTACTAACTGTCTCATGAACTTGGAAGCTTTAGGGGTTAGTCTTTTTTAAGTACATTCGTTAAAAAAGAGATGTTGTTCATATAACATAACATTTTCCCCTTTAAAATAGACAGTTCAGTAGTTTTAAGTATATTTACAACATTTTGCAACCATGGCCATGACCTCATTTTGGAACAATTTCATCGCCCCCAAAATAAACCCCACACCCATCACTCCCCATTTCTGTCCCCGTCGGTAGCCATTAACCCACTTTCTGCCTCTGTGGATTTACCTATACTGGACACTCCTACAACATGTGGCCTTTTGTGTCCGTCTCCTTTCACGTAACAAAATGCTTTCAAGGTTCCATCCCAGTTGCCACATGCATCAGTACTTTATTCCTTTGTATGGGTGAGTAACATTCCATGGCATAGCTATAAGCGCATTTTGTCCATTCATCATCTGCTAGACATTTGGGCTGTTTCCACTTTTCGGCTATTGTGAATACTGCTGCTATGAACATCTGTGTAAAGTTTTTGTGTGAACGTATGTTTTCAGTACTCTTGGGTATATACTTAGAAGTGGGATCACTGGGTCATATGGTAACTCTATGTTTAATTTTTGCAGAACCGCCAAACTGCTTTCTGAGGAGTTTTTATTTGACTTTTTTAAATGAAAGGCCAATTTAGTGTCCACCCCCTTACATTTAAATTTTTATTTGATAAAGAACTCCTTTAGAAACATATTAAAAACCATGGAATCTCCAGATAAATGCATATGTGTGAATATACATCATTTCAGGGGTCCCAGAACCATCAGAAACTGGCTGTGGATCCCAAAGTTCGTGATTACAGGCTCGCACGCAGCAGTGTTTTAAGGTTAGATGATTTTCTCCAACACAGAACTCCAGCTACAGTTTTGGCTTTTTCACACGGATATTGGAGATGGATAATTTGGCTAATGAGTTCTAATCCATGTTCTGATTTGCATCTGGGATCAGAACATTCAGCAGCCATTTAGTTGCCTTAATTTTTTCCACCCACTCTGCAATCATTTGATTGATGTGCAATTACCTCCCCCTGCTTGGACACGTGCTTTCCCCTGCTCATGTGTGTCATCCAATGCCTGATAACCTTCATTTTTTCCCATTTATTTTGTGTGTGTTGGCCACTGTTTGATATAATTATTTTTGTAATCATCTTCTATTAGGTGAAAGAATATTGCAGTAGAGAAAGAAGGAAAAAGAAAATAAATGCCTTCCTGACAAGTTCTAATATTTTATGTTCACAAATCTCCCAATATCAGAGCAATAATATTATTTTCTCGATGTGCATTTATTAAAATGTAAAGTAGCTCCATCACATTGGGAACGAAAACCCTTGCATTACCTTGGCCAGAAAATATCACTTATTTATTTCAGATTGCATTTCTGGAATGTTAATACTGTTGCTTTTTTTTTTTTTTTTTTTTTTATTTTTTTCCCCATAGCCTTTATCTAGCAGGGGAGTGAACCTGAAGGTCTGATTTCTAAACAGGCCTTGCTGAATGCACAGGACCTTAATTTGGTTTTAAGAATTGCTTTTGGCTCTTGATTTATGATGAGGTTCTTTTCTGTGTAATTCTTTTGGCTGAAAACTGAATAGAGTTCTCCCTTTGTGGGTGGCATTTTGACATCACATTTTAAGACAGGGTACAGATGTAAGTGGGGAGTAGGGAAGATTTATAAAAGAGAAGGGGGATTAACATGTGCGCTTTAAGGGTTGGAAAAGTTCGATCTATTGTCGATTTCTCTATGGTATCAATGGCATACCCCTTAGATTCCAGTTCCTAAGTCAGAATGTTAATTTCCAGGTAGCCTAGTAAAAGAGATACTAGATTGGAAGTCAGAAGCCAGGAGTTCTAATCCTATTTTTCCCTCTAAGTAGGTTTGTGACCTTGGACAACTCACTTCCATTCTTTGCGCTGTTTTCTCAAGTGCAAAAGGAAAGGTTGAACTAAGATGGATGGGTTTTAATCTTAGCTGCGTATTAGAATGCCCTGGAGAGCTTTGAAAACTACAGTGATACTCAGGCCCTTAGATCAATTAAATCAGACTTTCTCATGAGGGTGCATGGACCTGGGCATTGGTGTCTCTACTAAACACTGCCCAGGTGGTTCTATCATCAAGCCAGAGATGAGGACCCCTGGTGCAGGTGATCTCAGATGTCCCTCCAGATTTCTGGTTCCTCAGTGTTATGAGCTGGGCAGTGATGTCAGTCCAGCCAAGGCTGGTGAGATGTATTTGCAGACAAGTGGGCCGCAATCACAGGATTGTGATTCTGTGCTGGGGTTCGAGGTGTCTCCGCTGGGAGACTCTGGGGAGATCCTGAATGGAATTGAATTTCTCTTAGTATCAGGTCTGGGTTGGGGCAGGTAAATCTTCCTTTCTTTGTGGGCTCATGGTGCTGAGAAGATGGATGAGCTGGGGCCGGTAAAATAGCTTTGTTCCTTGGAGAAAGTCATGTAGAGAGATAAGGTAGGCTTATTATTTTTCGAGTGGAACTGGGACTGTTTAGCCTAGAAAAGGGGGGACTTGGGGAGAGGCGTGATTTGCGGTCTTCAAGAGGCTGAAAGGCTGTCATGTGGAAGAGGGATTGGAGTGATTTGAGATGCTCTGGGGGGCTGAACTCAGGTCTGTGGGTAGAGAGTCAGGGAAAGACATTTTGGTGCATTATGAGGAAGAATTGTAATGTAGAGCTGTGCTTCATATTCCCCGTGCATACCTCTGCCTTAGCACCTGCTTTTATGACAGTCTTCTCTACAATGAGACGACATCTTTCTCATCTCTGTATTCTCAGCACCTAATCCAGTTCCTGGCACAGTCCTCAATAAATGTTTATTGTCATTCCTGTGATTATTAATTACTGTCATGAATGCCCACTATGCAGATCACTTTTCTTGCTTTATCTTGTTTAACTCTCCTAATGCTTTAGAAGTAAGTATATTTATTACCCCACTCTACAGTTAAGGAAACCAGAGCTTTGGGAGGTTAAGGAATGGGCAAAATCACAGCCAGTAGGTAGCAGAGGCTGGATGTGAAATTAGGTCTGTCTGACTCAAAAACCTGTGTTCCTAACCATCCTGCCCACCAGGATCCTGGAGGTATTCAAGCTGAAGATAGACAACCACTTGGGGGACCTAGTTGTGCCATGGCAATAAGTATGGATTGAGTTAGGACAGTCCCAGATGATGATGGAGCCAGGAGCTGAGTAGATTTTTAGAGTCTGAGGTCACCCAGTTACTGCTCTATCAGCCACCTACCCCACATTCCTCCAGTGAGGTGTTGGCCCGGTCCAGAGGCAGAGCCTTACTACCTTTGGCTACATAGGCTCTGGGATGGCAGTGCTCTCTCAGCAGTTATGGTCTTTTCCAGGTAATAAGTATTGCGGCCTCCTCTGCCACTTGCCTGCATTAAGCCTTTTGGTCATATGTCTGGGGAGCAGACTTCTTTGTATGCCCCCGGGGACAGGACAGGATGGAGGGAGGAGCCCTGGGTGTGTGTGTGTGGGGTGCGTGGGTGGGGAGATGCATGACTGCTTTGGTTATGAAACATTGTGTTAGTGTGTCCGTTCACTTCACATAGACACAGTGATTGCATTACTACGCGGCCGAGCATACGTGGCAGAGGGTGGAAGCAGCTGAGGAAGGAGCAGGTGCTCCAAGGAAATCTTTCATCAAAGTGATGGCATAGCTAAAGGCACAGAAAGAAATGCATTACTGAGATGGCGTTGCCCGTTCATGGGCGGCTGCAAGGAAGGCTGAAATGGTGGCTTGGGAGAATGAATGGGAGAGGGGCTGGAATTGGCTGGAAAGACAGGAAAAGGAAAGAGGGGGAGAAACAAGTTCGTGGGAATGGTGATTCCTTTCAAATGGGGTGCACAGCCTGACAAGCTGTGCGTTCTTCTTAAACACAGCCCAAATCAAGTCTTAACTTGAAAGAAAATTAAGTCAGATTCAGTCATGACCCTCCTGTTAGCCTGGTTGGGCATAGAGGCTTTCCAGAAAACTCTCTCTGGAGGGGTTAGGTGGTGGTTGTAGCAGTGGTAAGCACAAAAAAGGGAGCCAGCATTTGAGAATCAAGTGCTTAAAATACATCATCCCATTTGTTTCTGATAATGAACACACAGAGTGGGTGATAGGATTTTCCTTTTACAGATGAGAAGACTGAGGCTCACAGGGCTTTTGTTGTTGTTGGTTTAGAGATAAAGTCTTGCTCTGTCACCCAGGTTGAGGTTTCATGGTATGATCATGGCTCACTCCAGCATTGAATTCCTGGGCTCCAGTGATCCTCGAGCCTTAGCCTCCCAAGTAGCTGAGACTACAGGTGCACACCACTGTGATTGGCTATTTTTAATTTTTTTTGCAGAGGCAGGGTCTCACTATTTTGCCCAGGCTGGTCTTGAACTCCTGGGCTCAAGTGATCCTCCTGCCTTGGCCTCCCAAAGTGTTGGGATTACAGGTGTGAGCCACTTGGCCTGGCCTCATAGATGTTTCAAAGACTAAATTATAAGTGAAAGCCAGAGAGTCTTACTTAAACATGACTTAAAAATTGTTTATTTTACCACATCATGTGATCTTCCAGTTTTCCATCAGAGCAGGCAGGTTGGAGGTTGGGGGCTTAGGAGTTTGCTTTCACAGCCTCACTAAATAAATTTTGGGGAATGGCCACAGATTCTAGTGGGCCTGTTAGCCTGACGAGGCTGAGGTTGCAGACAGGACCCACAGAATGGGAGAAGCTGAGTTACTTGCAAGTTGGAAAGGTGATGTCATCATGAAACAAAATGGATTTGGTTGGTGGGCTTGCCCACGCAGTTAGATGGCAGGTGGTGAAGAAACATGGCCTCTTCTCTCTTATAACTCTGAGGGGCAGGAGGAGAGAGCTGGGAATCACTAGATTCACTGCAGAGAAGTTTGGGGCTGTATCTAGGTCATGGGTAAACTGATAATTGGAAAAGAAATTCAAGGTTGGACATTCATTTTGATTTTTGGTTTTCAAAGTTTATACTTATCTACTTTCAAAAATAATTTTAAGAGACATACTATTTTCTCAGGAAAAGAAATATATGCCCTCTAAATAGTTTTCTTCCTTGAATATTGCCAGCAAATCAGCCATCTCATTGAATATTGATGGTTGTAGAGCAAATCACGAATGCTGACCTAGAGCTGCCATTTATTGAGTTCCTACTAGGGATTTGACTCTGTTTTAGGTACATTGCACATATTAGCTTTATAAACATTCCCCACAACCCAGCAAGATAGGCATTTTTATCCCCATTTTTCAGATGAGGAAACTGAGGTTCACAGAGGTTAACTGACTTGCTCAAAGTCCCACTGTATATAAGTAGCAAAACTAAGATTTGAACTCAGATCTGTCTGACTTCAAAATCAGGTGCTCTTTCTACTCTGTGACATGAGGCTATGAACATGTGAATCTCAGAGGTAAAAAGCAGAGTTGGATATGGTTTGGATCTGTGTCCCCACCCAAGTCTTATGTTCAGTTGTGATCCTCAATGTTGGAGGTGGGGCCTGGTGGGAGGTGATTGGATAATGTGGTTGGTGTTCTCATGAATGGCTTAGCACCATCCCTTCAGTGTTGTTCTCATGATAGTGAGTATGTGAGATATCACGAGATCTGGTTGTTTAAAATTGTGTAGCACCTCCCCACTCCCCTCTCCTCCTGCTCTGGCCATGTGAGACATCTCGCTTCTCCTACAACTTCTGCCATGATTGTAAGTTTCCTGAGGCCTCAGCTAGGCTGAGGCAGATTTATAGTTACGCATTGGCCAGGGTGGTGCTAACTCACTCATGAGAACTCACCCACATGATCCAAACCATATTAGTGAGCCAAACTCTACCTTTTAGCTCTGAGATTCATGTGCGCAGAAACCGCCATGTTTCTTGTACGGCCTATGGAACCAGGAGCCAATTAAACTTCTTTTCTTTATAAATTACCCAGTCTCTTTTGTCTTTCTTTTTTTTTGTTTTTAGACAGAGTCTCATTCTGTCATCTGTCACCCAGGTTGGAGTGCAGTGGCACAATCTTGGCTCACTGCAAACTCCGCCTCCTGGGTTCAAGCGATTCTCCTGCGTCAGCCTCCTGAGTAGCTGGTATTACAGGCATGCACCACCATACCTGGCTAATTTTTATGTCTTTAGTAGAGACAAGGTTGCGCCATGTTGGCCAGGCTGGTCTCAAACTCCTGACCTCAGGTGATCCACCTGCCTTGGCCTCCCAAAGCGCTGGG
This sequence comes from Homo sapiens, assembly GCF_000001405.40. Taxonomy (NCBI): domain Eukaryota; kingdom Metazoa; phylum Chordata; class Mammalia; order Primates; family Hominidae; genus Homo; species Homo sapiens. The sequence goes on from NC_000011.10 coordinate 126,618,706, forward strand.
ATTACAAGCATGAGCCACCTAGTTTCAGATATTTCATTATAGCAATGCGAGAACAACCTAATACACTCACCCTTACCTCTTCAACACAAAGAGTCTTCCCAGAGCATCCCTGCTAAGGGCTGTGACTTGAATCACCCTCCTCTACTAATGAAAGACTCGTTAATGACTCCACGAGGTGTCAGGTCCACTGTTTGATCCTGCATTGGTTCACCCAAGGAATATTTAATACGTGTCCACTGTGTGTCAGGTACTATTCTAGAACCTGGCAGGCCAGACAAGGGCCTGGTTCTCATGGATCTTGACTTCTAGTTGGAGAAGCAAGCCCTTGAAAACAAAGTAAATAACAAAGAGTTTCAGGTGCTGATAAATGCATTGGAGATAATGAGACAGCGGTCTAGAGGGTGTCTGGCCATAGGGATCCCTTTAGATGGAATAATCAGGGAAGATTTTGCTAAAGAGATAGCAACTGAGTTGAGATCTGAATGACAAGGATATGCCTTCCAAAGATCTGGGAGAAAGGGGATTTAAGGCAGAGGAAACAGGAGATGCCAAAGCTTTGAGGCCAGACTGAGTTTGGCACATTAAGTAAGCCCAATAGCCTGGAGAGAACAATCAACTAGGGGGAGAATGGGAGGAGATGAGCCCAGAGAGGAAGGCGGAAGCCAGATGGTGTAGGGCCCACCTGCCATAGCGAGGGCTTTGGATTTTATCCTAAGTGTGGTGGGATGCCATCGGATGGGTTTGAATGGGAAAATGACATAATCTGATTCACATTTTAAAAAAAGATCCTATGTGGAGACTGGATTGCAGGAGGCACTTCTAATTGTTGGAAGGACTGTTCTCTCTTCTACTGATCAAAGTTGGTTCTTCAAGTAATGACCCTTATGAAACTGTCCTCACAACATTAATGAGAATTACAAACCAGACTTTAGGCGGATTTGTAGTTAGGCATTGGCCAGGGTGCACTGGTGCACTTTGACCCACTTCCTAGCAGCTGCTGACTGACCAAGAGTCACACAGCATGCTGACCACCTGCTTTCCCATTGTTCCTAAAGATAGAATCTCTGACACTGGACCTTTTTACTCAAGAATTACTTAAGTTATTTTTCGGATCCTGAAATCCAGTGGAATGGCTCATACCCACCAGTCTTAAGACCCCCAATCAAGGAACTGACCCAGCACAGGCATGCGGTTTCTTCATCTCCCTGTCCCATGACTTCATTCCTCACTTCTTGACCAATTAGTGATCCCCTATTCCCTTACAAAATCAAACTCCTTAAAAATCCCATCCTAAGTTTCTCGGGGAGGCAGATTTAAGGTTTCCTCTCATTTGGCTGCCGTGTGATTATTAAACTCTCTCTCTGCTGCAACTTCCACTGTTTTGCTGTTTGCCCACACAGTGGGCAATCGAATCTGGTGGTCTTATAACACTTGACCAAAAACCAAACAACAAAAACAAGGCTACTTTCTTCCTTCTTAAAATTTTTCCAATCAGCTATTATAGTTCCCTTTAGTTCTTTCTAAACTTCCCTTGTTCTTTGAATTGATCCTTGGATTCTAGACCCAAGGTGGATTCTAGACCCATTATCTTGATCATTCTTTATCAGCAAATCTCTTGCTTGTCCATGTCCTTATTAACATGTGGCATCCAGTACCAAACACTCTTTCACCAGCCCAGGATTCTGAGGGGCTGTGAATTCCAAGGACATCCATTAATGAAAAGTATTAGACTAAGTCTTTGTTGAGTAGTAATTCTTAATGTGAGGCTCTAGGTCCATGAAAGGGCCCACATACACCACACACCATTGTCTATGGGGTGCCTGTGCATGTGTGTTGTGTATGCATTTCTAGGAGGAGAGTCCATAGCTCTCATTAAAGTCTCAAGCAGAGCCTCCTCCTTGAGAACCACTGCCCTAGGAAGTTAAATCAAAGGATTTCTCTACTAAGCAGATGTTACAATTAGTTCCTTCCTGGTCCCACATTCATTCCCTTGCTGCCTTCTTCAATGCTTTTATAGGTCTCTTGATCTCTTCTTCCTGCCTCATACCCCACTTTAAATTCCTTCTTTAGCTTCTAATAAATCATCCAAACCCAGAGAAGATAACTTCTGCTTTCTTCTTGGAGCAGCAACTAGTGAGGAAGGCCGTACCCCACTTGCTGGATGAGAACATACTGACAAATAGGCCTAAGACCAGAGGCTTTTTGTTTTTTCTTCTCTTCTCTGGACTCATAGGTCTTTGGAACTGACCTGTGTGCCTGACTTGCAGACTTCTTAAGAGCAGGGCACAGAGAGACTGGAAAGGGCTTGAGTGTAAGCGAATGCAAAGGGCAAAGTCATCTTAAAAGAATTATTATTCATTTCCCATTGCAGTTAATTTTGGCACCTTCATCAGGGTTTAAATTCTAGTACCATATCATATCAAAGGAAAAAAGTATTTGATGTACGTGTTAATTACTGCTAAGATGTAGCTACTTAAATCAAGAGTTTAATCTTCATTTGACTATTCAGAACAGCTCTGAGTGGGGGATGGGGAGAACCCCTTTTGATTTGGGTTACTTTAATAGGTGATGAGAACTTCAAGCAAAATGGCTTTCTAATTTCAGTATTTGGATGTCTTGCAATTAGTACCCAGCTAAAGGAAAAATAGGAAAATCAGGTTCCTCCAGGAATTCCCAAGTTTTTGCTTGTTCTGTGAAGTGGAAGAATGTTCTGAATAATTTAATTTCATGTGCTCAAAGGCTTGAGAATCTGCAGAGTGATAGCCTAATGGTAAGTGATATCTTAAAAGCGTGTGAGAGGCTTAAAAAGTAGATCCATGTATAAAATAATAAACTATTATTTAAAAGCACAAATTGTCAAAATGATACTACTCTTAGATACACTCTTTATAAGAACCATCTTGGTTGAATCCTAATGTGCATTTTTTTTAATACCACGAAACTATAAAACCCATTGAAACACCACATTATTTACCAAGTGATTAAATCATAGTCATCTATTATAGTTTTACTAGAACATTGTTTTCTTGGAATTCCAAGGCTTTATTGCCTCAGATATAACACTTTACTCCTAATAATCCCTATTGATTTTATTATATTACCTTATATTTTTAGATTTGTTTTAATGCCTTGCATTACATTTTAGCCTTAATGTGCTATATAAAATGAGATACATCATCATGTTTCTCAAACCTTCTGAAGGTAATTATCTTAACTAACATGGATAAAAAAATGCTCATTGTTGGCTGCTGACAGTGGTGGGAGTCTGGGGGTGGGGAAGGTACATTGTAGTCTCTGGGACTGTTGGTTGTATTTCTGGACAGTTGAGGTGCTGCCCATGGGCTGGGTGAATGGTGGTGGGTGTGGTAATGGGGCATTGCCACAGATTAGGTATCTCATTTGTGTCATTATTTTGCTATCCTTGCCTCTCTTGGGATTTGTGGCTCACACTGCATTTACAAGGTGTTTTACATACAGTAATTGTTCACTTGCTAAATCAGCCAGTAGAGAACTTGGTATTCTTAGAGAAAGTTGTTGCACCTTTGGGTGCTGTTTTAATTACTTTTTCAAGGTGCCTTCTAAATGTTAAAAATGGTGACACATTTTATCTCAAGTTGAACTTTGCATCCCCATTCTCTGGATTTGGGGTCATTCTCTTGCCTTGGAGTCTGGAGGGAGGAGAGGAGTCGGTTCTGGCTTGTGAGCCATGGTGCTACTGGTCCCTCTGGAGGAAGGGTAGCTACTGATGAGCCTTCCCTGCAGCAATTGTGTCCCAAGATCTGACACACTCTTATCAGGGCCCCAGCAAATAACTCAGCACCTTCATTACAAAAGTTAGCCAGGTATGGTGGCATGTGCCTGTAATCCCAGCTACTCAGGAGGCTGAGGCAGAAGAATCACTTGAACCCTGGAGGCGGAGGTTGCAGTGAGCTGAGATCACGCCAGTGCACTCCAGCCTGGGCGACAAGAGCGAAACTCTGTCTCAAAAAACAAAAAAACAAATAAAAACTCCACAAAACTTCAGTGGAGACTAGATTCTTGACTACTAGGAACTCAAACTCTAAAAGGAGAAAATAATCACACCAGCTACACTTTTTACAGTGCTAACTATACTTTTTGTAGAGTTAACTACATGCACAATTTTATTTGCTTTATCTATATTAATTCTTTTCATCCTTATGAAAAGCAGATACTATCATTAGCTACATTTCATAATGAGGAAATGGAAGTACCTAGAGGTTAAGTATTTTGCCCAAGGTCACACAGCTAGAGAGTGGTAGACCGAGAATTCAAACCCAGGCAATCTGATGCTCAGAACCTAGACTCTTAATTACACTAATATGATATTTACAATTTACAAAGCGTTATCCACTAGTTATCTCACTGATTTTCCCAAGAGACTTTGGCTCCACTTTAGACATAAGAAAACAGAAATAGGTCATCATTTGTCTAAGGTGACAGAGCCCAAACCCACTAACAGGACAGTTTTCTTCACCTTCAACTCATCTCAATGGGTGGAAAAACCTACCCACATGCTATGAGGATGGGAAACCAAAGTGTCTTTGCACATAAACAGACTGCCTCCCTGGAAACCAGGCCTGTCCTTGGTGGTGTATGAGCAGGCCCCTGGGATCGACACATGGATGAAGGGAGCCCTCTGAATTCTCCCACATCTCTGGGCACCCCTCTAATGTGCTCTTCTCAGCTTGTTGCTCCTTCACTGTAAGTCCAAGTTCTTTGAAGGAAGGAACTATGTTGGTATTCTGTGATGTACGCGGCTCTGTGTGCTGGTGAGATTTTGTAGCCACTGGAATGATCAGAAAAACGTCTGTGTGAATCTTGCATGATGGAAGAGGAAACCAGGTAAGAGTGAGCAAGCAGGATGGTAAAAGGGATAACAGCTGATGGGCCAGCAAGGATGCGGGGAGGATACCTGTGGTCAGGACCAGGTTGTGTGCAGGGCAGCTCTGATTGCTTTCTTAGCAGAAAGCACAAGACCAGGCAAAGCAGGCGAGGAGAAAGCCATTGAATAAATACTAAGCTAGAAAACAAAGATATACATAGAAATTCTAGGTTCTCAAGAAAATAAACAAACCAACTTACAGAAAACCCCTTTCCCTGTGTTGAGGCCCTCTGTTGAACCTGGCAATAAACGTTATGCCTCTCCCCAACCCCAGTCCAGAAGGGGCTGGCAGGTACCTCTTTTTATTCATTGAGAAAGTAACGGTGAGCAGTTTTGTGAATTCTGTGAATTACCCTTGAACTGGTCAGAAAGATCCAACAGCTCAGACAAGGAGAAGGGAAGAGCTAATCTCCTCTTCACCTGTGATGACTGTTTTTCCACCTGTGGCTTGGGAAGGACCATCCTTGCTGGTGATGGATGTTGATTTAGTGCTTTGAGATCCCTGGAAGACAGGTCAGGCAACTAACAAGGAAAATGGCATTTTGGGTCAAGTCACTAGGAATGAAGAACTAGAATACAGGGAGCCAGGGGGTGGCGGTGTGGCGGGGAGGAGGCCAGAATGAAAGATAGGAGGATCAGAGAATGGTGATAAGTTTGTACAGGTGGGATCATCAGTTATTCTCCCCAAACAGATCATTCTTGTCTTCTCCTCTGATTTCCACTAGGAAAAAACAAAACAAAACAAAACAAAACCTGAGGTATTTCTTAGAACACGAAGCATGAATCACTTACACCAGAGATGAGAAAAGCACCATCAGGTGCTTAAAACACAATTATAATTGGAAAGACCAAGAATTTGTGGTTCATTTCTAGCAGGTGAACAAATGTATGTTTATAATGGTGTAAAAACCCTGGTTTCCCCTTCCCATTCCCGGTGCCTTCCCAGTGTGCTTGGAACACTCTACTGTGTTATTCACCTGACGGATTAAGCTCAGCAGAGGCAAGCTGCCTAGGCATGTCGTGTAATTCAGCATTAAGTATCCTATTGATTCACTGAAGTGCTGCCATGGATGTTAATGGAGACAAATATTGTGGCTGTGATTTTTCAAAGGGCTGAGTAATTCCCGAGCATCAATAACGTGTGTCATGATGTAATGCAGGGAGACCTCCAGATGCTTGACTTGAGGCCAACTACGGAGGGCAGAGCTGATGGAAGGGCCCGTTGGATACTGACCCAGGGCTTGGGGAGATAGCCTGCACTTTCTCCAGACCTACCATCAGTAAGGATGGTGGAAATTGGGGTGGGGCAGGGACTGCTGATGGCGTTTCCTAGTCACTCATCACAAGGTCACTGATTGTTGGATGGCATGGGCACGCTTCCCATTATGGAAGCTTGCTGGGCCTTAGGAGCTTATACCATACCCTGTTTCAGGGAACAGGGTGGGTTTTCTCCCCTCTCCAGTTGGAAACACTACATATCCCTGATGATAATGCAGCAAAACTACTATCTAATCTTAACAGCGTCTACCCTGTGCCCTACTTGATCTGAGCATGTGACCACTTCAGTGCACGATTCCAGTGACTGCTTTCAGAGAGGTTACATGCCTTCCTCAAGGTCACTCAGCTTCCTCAAGGTCATGGACTAGGCTACAATCCAGGTCTCAGGACTGCTTCCCCTGGTCTATTCTCAGTTACCTTTAGGTAGGGTCTCTGGAAATCATTTGAGTATATGGCCTGAAACAAGCGACATTTTCTTCCAAAAAGGCTCTGTAAAAATCTCAGGGTTGGTCGTTGTAAGGAATAAATTATTCCCAAACAAATCTCATTTCAGTCAAATTCTGCAGACTGCCCAATCTTTCCTACACTCCAATTCATTCTCCATACTGCTGCTTACATTATCTTGAAACAAGACAAATCCAATCTTGTCACTCCCTAGCATGAAGACTTCCATCAGCCCCTCTCTGCTGACAGGATAAACTCCTTGCATGATATTCACAATCTCTCCCCCAAGCCTGCAGTGTGATGTCCTGCCCCTCCTGTCCCCAGCACTTGGAACATAGCAGACCACTTTATGCTCTTTGCCCCCTGAATATTTTATACAAGTGATTCCTGGTGTCTAGAACATCTTTCCCCCACCTGCTGCCCAGAAAACCTCAGCCCATTCTTCAAGAGCCAGTTCTACTATCCCATCCCAGGAAACCATCCCCACGTCTCCAGGGTAGAGTTATGAGTGGTCCTTTCTCTGAGACCCCACAGAACACTGCTTATCCCTTTATTACCCCTGTATAATGACAGCCTTCCTATTGAACTTACTGATTTATTTTCTTGTGTATCTTCCTGCATTGGAATTTGGATTTCTGCGGTTGGGGGCTGTGTCTTTGTCATTTTTGTCCTCTTGTTGGCATGCAGTAAGTGTACTACATAAGTTTATTCACTGAATGGATGAATGGATTCTGGAATCAGAACCCTGCTGGGGTAGGGACTATCAGTAGGGTATAGGGCAAATAAATTGGCCCTGTGAGATACATGTTTCTATAGTCCTGGGTCTAGGAGGGACCCTTGGGGGCTTGAGAACTGGAGGCAGAAAAACTGTCCTTCAACTCAGCAGCATGCTGGGGTCTTGGAGAGAGTCTCTGGGGCTGGGTGTGCCCTTTAACTACCATGTCCCTTGAAAATGGTAGCCCTGAGAACATATGCAAACATGTATTCCCTTGGGAAACAGAGTCTGACATTCTAATGAAGAACCAGCACACTTGACTTTGATCAACACCAGCCTTATAAGCAGCATGGATATTGAAACATTCAGTAACCAGCATGGCATGTGCATGGGTCAGTCAGAATGCACACAGGCCACAGGGCTGAAGCAGAGGTCTGGAGGGCTCCATTGTGCCAACCATTAACTCTTTAGTAGCTGGACAGTAGGGGGTATCTTGGAGGAGGGTCTGAGAATAGCAGGAGAAACATGAGTAAGGGGGCTTGCAGCGGTGACTACTGACCAGCCAGTATAAAAATATTTCATTATTTTAACAACCGGCCCTGGTACTGCTCCACCGGTGCCTATCAGCCCGTTGATAAGTCTTGTTAAAGAATAACCACAGTTTTGGCTGGGCGCGGTGGCTCACGCCTGTAATCCCAGCACTTTGGAAGGCCGAGGCGGGCAGATCGCCTGAGGTCAGGAATTTGAGACCAGCCTTGGCCAACATGGCGAAACCCCATGTTTCACCCCATGTTTCTACTAAAAATTCAAAAATTAGCCAGGCGTGGTGGCGCATGCCTGTAATCCCAGCTACTCAGGAGGCTGAGGCAGGAGAATCGCTTGAACCCAGTGGGGCGGAGGTTGCAGTTTGCACCATTGCACTCCAGCCTGGGCCACAAGAGTGAAACACTGTCTCAAGAAAAAAAAAAAACAAAAAAAAAAGAATAACCACAGTTTTGAAGCCTCAAAGGAAGGTGTGTGTGCATGCATGTGTGTGTATGTGTGTGTGAAGGAATGAGGCAGAGCTCTATAAAGGCAGTACTAGAGTGGAATCTTTCATTTTTAGTTGTATTTCAATATAAGCATAAGGAGGTGGAGGTGAGAGAATTTCAGACTGAGGAACTGAAAGAGCCAGGGCACAGAGTGTGAAAGGGACCTATTTGGGAGAGGTGGCTGTAGGATGCTGAGGATTCCTGGGGGAGATGAGGAAGGAGACAGAGGCTGGAGCAGGTGGCCAAGGGCCTTGAAAACCATGTTGAAGCATGGTGACCTGGTCTGTGTTCCTATAGGCCGCCCTTTAGGCAAACCTTATTGCTTAGGCTGGCTTTTGGGTGGTCCTTGCTGGGACAACCAGTGGCGTCATCTTCACCAAGTCTAGGGTGGTCACCTGGTGATGGGAACAAGCTTCTCCTTAATTAAGAATGTCATAGCAGCCTCCCTGGCTCCATGGTGACTGACGCTGCCAGTCCAGCTGCCATGTGGCCGATGTGTCCTACCGTGGTACATCATCTCCTAATTAACATGTCTTGTCAGGTCCAGCGGTTGGCTTTAGTAAATATGCCTCAAGCAGCTGTCACTGGGACCCTGCGTGGGGCCTGCTGCCTCATTAGCTCCAGAGAAGGGAGATGGCATTGGCGGCAGGAGGGAGGGAGAAGAATGTTCTTTATGGGGGGTGTTGGCAGGATTAGAGGGATGTCAGATGCTCAGAGAGAACTCACAGGCCCCAGTGGAGGGCTTGGATCTGAGCACCATGAGCCTCTCTCTCTCCCATGTGTAGTGAGAGGATAGGTGGGTAGCAGTGTGGGCAGGAAAACAGCCCAGGAGTTGGGAGACCCACATCTTCATTCTGTCTCTCCCACCACCGAGCAAGGCTCGGTCTCCTGGTTTGAGAAACAGGAATGATCCCAGCTCTACCTATCCTGAAGTTTGTTGAGTGGTTCTAATGAGCAAATGACCTATACTATTCTGAAGGACAAGAAATGCTAAATTTTACAGAAATCAAGCCAGGGCATGGTTGTAATTTGGGGCTATCAGAGAGAAGTCTTTGCTCAGACAAGACTGGTCCCTCTGAACACACTTCGCCCACCCCTCCAAGGCTTCTGGCCTGCATCCCACTGCACTGTCTGAGCACTCATCAAGACCTGCTCACCACCCACCAATCCTGTCAGACTCTTTCTCTCCAGCCTGGCCTCGCCTTCTCTGTGAGAAGGAAAATGAGAACATTCCGGAAGGAAGCACTCTTCTTTCTCTGGCTGCTGGAGTACCTTCCAGGCTGTGGAGGCAGGGAGCTGACTTCACAGTGACTGAGGAGACATACCTTAGCCCACCCCCACTGGATTTTGAGCACATGCCTAAACTTTGTACCCATGAGAGCACATAGTAGGTGGTTAATGAATGTTTGCTGAGCAGGAAGAACAGTATATCCCGTTCTCCTAGCTCTCAAAACAATGGTGGGTGATTTCATAGTTTCTTTCAGCAACTTGTTCTATTGCCAACCTTTCTATAAGCCTTCTTCTGAGATCCAGCCCAGTCTCCTTGGGCAGTGTGTATCTGTTTCCTCTTTGTCCCCAGCAGAGAATAGAAACTGACTGTCATTCTCTCTGCCTCTCCTGAAAGACTAATACTAAGCACTCTTATCTCACCCCTTCCCATCTTTCCTATTCATCAGATTTCCTGGAGCCCAGCCTGCTACCTGGAGCCAGGGCCTCGCCTCTACTGCCCCCTCCGCTCGCTCTGCCTGTGCAGGGTCCATCCTGAGGAGAGTCTGAGCAACTGAGGATGTTGTGAAAGCATCTGACAGCACAGGGAGGCAGGGCTTCCCCAGCCCAGCAGAGGCACCAAACCCACGCAATTTGTAAATCTTTGATAATGAGCATTTAAAGGGCACGTCCTAATGAAGGGAGCCAGGAATGACTGGCCATGGAATGCAGGCAGAAGATTTTAATTAAAATGCTTGTCTTTTTAGTTTTCCTCTTCCCTTGTCTCTTCCAAACACCACCTCCCCCCAACCCCTGCCAATGATGCACATGTCTTGCTTCTGGACCAGGCCTGTGCAAAAAATGTGCGTCTCATATTTCCCTTGATTTAGTTGCTCTCTGGGGGACTGGGTGCTCTTCTTCAGCTGGGCGCGCTGTGTGGGTTTGACAGGGACTGTGCACATGTGGGTAGAGGCGGACCAGGACTGTGCTGCCTGCAGCCAAGCAGATGTCCTCACCCCAGGAAGCACAGTGGGGCTCTAAGAGAGCTCATGAATGAGTGGCAGCTGCCAGCCTTGTGAGCTTCCTGTAGTGAAGCTCTGGGGGGAGCTCTGGGGGGCCAGCTGGGAGACTTCTGGGCCAAAGGGGTGTTTTATGGGGCCTCTCACGATACTTTTCTCTCCAAATGGCTAAATGGAGTGTGGCGGCAGAGCAGCTGTGAGGGACTTTGCACTGCTCTCTCTAGGGGTGGAGGGACCGTTGGCTGGATGCCTTCCACGTGCTCCTCCAGATCCATGTCCACCCTGCCCTGTGCCCTGGGAATCTGAGCTGTGTGGATTCCAGCAGCAGACTTCCTTGCTATAGGCTTCAGATTGGGTCTGCCCAATGAGGAGGCCTTGGCAGGACATGGGCGGAAATAGGAAAATGAGGTTGGACTATATTTTCTGGCGCTTTCTTTGTGAGATCATCTCAGGGCTGGTTGTGTCTTTTGATTGAAGTCCACAGTGCCTGGTAAAGGTGGCTTCTCTAAAAGATGCTCTCCTTCCTGGTTCTATGAGCCACTCTGTCCCTTCACTGCTGCCACTCTTTCTAACCCCAAGATACTATACTCTTCCTTGTATTACTCCTGGAGCAAAACCTTGTAAACAGTCCCTTTATTAAACTCTCCAGATTCCCCAATTTCTGTGTATTGTCTGTTTTCTGCCAGGATCCTGATAGATTCACCTGTTCTTTTCCAGACTGGTTCCTTCGCACCAGACACATGGTCAGAGGGGATTATTCATGTTATTCCTGGGATCCTAGCTCTGATGTGGAATGCAATGTAGTCTGGTGGGTGATAAACGTCCCTACTTCCACATAGACGGACTGGGTTTGGAAAAGTGCTTGTGAATTTGTTTCCCAGGAACTGATGATAGTCTTTGGACTTCTCCAAAGGTCTGTGTCGAATGGAATATAAGCCCCCTCTCTGTGTGGGATGAGGTGGGAGTGGGGATTTATTCCTCCCCAACATGTTTTCATCTGGGCTATGATGCCATTCTCATTTTATAGACAAGGCCACTGTGGTTGAGTGACTTACCCAGAATCTAAGAGGCACGTTCTCTTCAACTAATATTTAGCAAAGAATTAAAGCAGGTTTTCTACCAATTGATGGAAATCTTTCCTCCTTTTGTTCCTTGCCCCTTTTGCTATTTGTTCACTATGAAGACCTGGCTTCAAGGATCTTGTGGGGAAGTGAGTAGGGCTTTGGTCTTGGACTGGGAAAAACTCCACTCAGATACACTCTCTGTCAGTCAAGCTCTCAGGCTTTTCCTTATCCAGCAATGACTTACCTCTTACCTCTGCCTGGAGCTGGCCTCTGAGTAGGGTTTCTGATCTTGGCTTAGCAGACTGATTGCCTCCTGCTTGTGCCTCAGGGCCCTAAGCTTTTAGAAGCATGCCTCACTCCCAGCCTAAGAGCTTGTCTTTGACTCCTGATTGGCCCTTTTTCCTGATGTGTGGGTTGGTGTTCTCGACCCCACAGGGCGCTGAACTCCAGTTAGAACTGCCACCCATGGCAACTCCACAGGGTGAGCCCGCCCTTTGGACCTGACACTATGTGCCTGATCACTCTTTCACAGACGTCTCCCTTCCTTCCCACTCCACCCGAGTCAAGGCTCCTGACCAACTAGGAGACAGAGGCCCTTTCTCCTTGACACGTCCTGCCTAAAGTGTCAGCTTCCATCCCTGCCTGGTGTTCCCCACACCAAAATATGAAACCAATCTTTCTTCTCATACACAGTGACACAGTAGCTACTTCGTGTTCCCTCTTCATTCAGTTGTCTGTGCAATCAGTCTGTATGTATGTATTCATTCATTCATTCATTCATTCATTCATTCATTCATTCTGCTATGTATTCAGCAACCTCTAGGTGCCACAGCTTGCAAATATCATCTGAATTCATTCTCACAGATCTCTAGCAGATCTCTAGTGTTCACTGTTACTGCCATTTTACACATGAGGAAACCGGGTCAAAGAGTAACTAAGCGGCTTGATGAGGGCCACACAGCTGGCAAATGTCGGAGCCAGAGTTTGAAGCAGAACGTATGGCATTCGCACTGGAATTCTCAAACCCCAGCACAAGGCACCTATTCACAGACAGTTTGAAGTTGTTCATATGCAGAATCGGAAGATTCTGAGCAGATTCCATCCCTCCTCCCCATAAGCCACACTTCCATTAGCTCTGCTCAGGACAGGTGGGCCCCTGTGTGTTGGAAATTGAGATGGAGAGAGGTGAGGAGAGAACACCCTGAGGGAGAAGTGTGTGGGGGTGGTGCAGGCAAGACCAATTCACCCTGAGGTGATTTGCATCTTTAGCAGGAGTACATGTCATGCTGTCACAGCCTTTTCCTGTATTGACATAATAACAATCCTTTACTTTTGTTAGCACTTTGTAGCTTTCAAAGCAGTTTCAAATCCATTAGCTCATTTTATTCCTACAACAATCTCACAAAAGGCAGAAATTATTATCCTTATTTTGCAGATGAACAAGCTCTGTGAGGCTATATAACTTCTCCAGAGTCAGGAAGCCTGGATGCAGGCCTAGATACCTGACTCCTGGTCTTATGGATTATGTACCTTGCCTCACTTTTCTCATTGTTACTTTCTGATTTTGAGCCATTTAGGGGGAAAGGATGGCTTCCTAGACTCTCAGAAACCCCTCACTCTTGGGTTCCAGGCCACCTAGACTACATAAAGCAGTGGTTCTCAAATTTTATTTGACACCGGGATCACTTGGAAGGCCATCACATAGATTACTGGGCCCCACTACCAGAGCTACTGATTCAGGAGGTCTGGGAGGGGCCCAAGAATCTGAATTTCCAATAAGTTCCCAGGTCAGGTTGATGCTGCTGGTGTGGTCTCACACTTTGAGGACCACAGATATAAGGCAATGCCTATGAGTCTTTAGCTGAATTTCTCTAATCAGGGCTCTTCTTCTGGGCTGCAGAAACCTCAGATACAGAAAGAATTGCCCTTGTGGGTCTCTCCCTGGGGTGAGAAATTTGTGTATGTCTTGCTTCACTGACTGTGGTGTGACCCAGAGAATGGGAAGAAAACCTCAGGCTTTTTGGTTTATACACACACACGAAAGGAAAATGTCCACACATGAGATTATTAATTCATTGTTCAATTAAGTTATGATCTCTAAAATTATCACAATATTTGGCTCGGAGGAAGGCAGCACTGAATAGCTTGTTACACGTAATGTGTGAATAATGTAACTTTATTACTTTTCCCACTCGTAAGTAATTGTGACTGACACATTGGCAATAACACAGATTGCCTTCTTACCTTCCCCTCTCTCTACTCTCAGCACGGAGCGTTTACTTTCTTGTCTCTATTATTTTCTTGCTCATCCTCCTTCCCTGCCACAAGCCTCCTCCACTGCATATTAGCCACTGCTGTAACAAGTATACTAATGTCTCCTCATCAATTTTTATCTCCCAATGCCCAGGCACTTGGAGTCTAAACTTAAAAAAAAAAAAAAAAAAGACCAGGCGCGGTAGCTCATGCCTGTAATCCCAGCACTTTGGCAGGCCGAGGTGGGCAGATCACTTGAGGTCAGGATTTTGAGACCAGCCTGGCCAATATGGTGAAACCCCTTCTTTACTAAAAATACAAAAATTAGCCTGGTGTGGTGGTGCACGCCTGTAGTCCCAGCTATTCGGGAGGCTGAGGCAGGAGAATCACTTGAACCTGGGAGGCAGAGGTTGCTCTATCACCACTGCACTTCAGCCTGGGCAATAGAGTGAGACCCTGTCTAAAAAAAATAAATAAACTTAAAAAATCATTCTCTATTAAAATCCAGTCTAAGCACTGCCATGATTTGGGTATGGTATGTTTGGCCATGCCGAGTCCCAAGTCTCGTGTTAAAATCTGATTTCCCAACACACACCGGGGCCTGTTGTGGGGTGGGGGTGAGGGGAGGGAATGTAGAGGATGGGTCAATAAGTGCAGCAAACCACCATGGCACACGTATCCCTATGGAACAAACCTGCAAGTCTGCACACCTATCTCATTTTTAGAAGAAATAAAGAGAAACAAACAAACAAAAAAATTGATTCCTAGTGTTAGAGGTGGGGGCTGGTGGGAGGTGTTTGGGTTGTGGGGGTGGATCTGTCATGAATGGCTTGGTGTCATTCTCATGCTCCTGGGAGTGAGTGAGTTCTCATTCTTCGTTCCCACAAGAATTGGTTGTTGAAAAGAGCCTGGCACCTCCCCCTCGCCTTGCTTCCTCTCTTGCTCTGTGATCTGCACATCCCAGCTCCATTTCCCCTTCTGCCATGAGCGGAAGATTCCTGAAGCCCTCACCAAAAGAAAATGCTGGCACAATGCTTCTTGCACACCCTACATAACCATGAGCCAATTAGATCTCTTTTCTTTACAAATTACCCAGCCTCCAGTATTCCTTTACAGCAATGAAAAGGGTCTAAGAAAAACACTGTCTTGTCTTCCTTTTCCATCATCCATCAGTGTATGTTTTTGTACCAGCAAGTATGTTTATTTAGGCAGAACCACAGGTACTGGCAACGTATCTACAGTGTAGACATGAAAAGAACAGGAAGAGCATAAGTAACAGAGATTTTGTTCACATGGTTTAGTCATGTTCCCACTGCAATGTCCCTCTTCATACAGTATTTCTTACCTCCTTCCACCTCTTCAGAAAGTACAGCGTAGTCCACATGAATGAGACCTGAGTGCACTGGGGCATCCTTCCCTCCTGCTCTGGGGGTCAGGTGTGGTAATCTGGCTTAGCTTCCTCCAAAGCTCCAGTTGGAAGGGAACACGTTCTCTTTTTCTGGGGTGATCCAGTGTCGAAGGCCAATTTACATGCAGACTGGGTGTGTTGTCTGTATTGCTCTGTTCACCGGTACCGAAGGCTCTGAGTAAGGTGGAATCAGACCCTACTCTACTTTCCCTGAACAGTGAGAGCAGCAAGAGCTAACAGCTGAGCATCTACTTTGTGCCGGACCCTATGACATGCACTTTCCATGCATTCATGCAGTCTTCACAATAATTGAATGTGGAAGGTGCCATTGTTCCCTGTATTGTACCGCTGGCCAGTGAGAGCCAGGAGCCTGTGCTCATCACAATACCATAGTTTTCAGCCCCCCAGGCTAACATCTACCCTCTCTCGTGGTGCCTGGGACCCTTCTGGACCTGATCAAGGTGTAGCAGCTAATGGACTCGGAACAAGTCTCTGTAGATTTGAGTGGAGGCGCCACTTGGGCTGGAGAGGCTTGCGGGGAGCTTTGCAGGGGAAATGAAGCTTGACTCTTGGGTCCTCAGGGTTTAAGGTTTGCCTTTTTTCTCAAAAAAGACTTAAAGGGAACCAGGTCCCTTGTACCTGCTGTGTGCACCTGGCAAAGAGTGCATCGGGTGGAATGCAGTCCTCTCTCACCAAGCTCTTGCACTCCATTGCCCCCTAGCCTAGAATACTTGCTCCCTGCTCAGTAAAGAATCAAATTCCTGCAAATATCCATCCTCGGTCCTAGGCTACAGGTCTGCGCCCTCTCGGAGGCCCTTGCTGGTGCTCTTTCCACTAAGCCTCACTGCCTCTCCTGTCTTCAAGGGGACTGATTGCACTAGGGAAGTGTGGAGGGAGGGTATATGCACCCAGGGAAGAAAGCAGCACAGCACTTCTCACAGCTCTGGTCTACAGTTGCTCCACTCAGCAAGTGGGGACAGTTCCAGCTTCTGGGCTCTTCTTGCCCCTAAACTTCTCCTCGATCAGGAGTAATATAGTCTGAGAATGAGCACAAAGAACACTTTTTCTTTTAAGGATTGACCTTTTGCTCAATGAGCAGGATTGAACCTTGAACCCAACAAAAGGGTCTGCAGTGAGGCAGGGCTGGACAGCTCCACCTCTAGGCAGGCACAGCAAGTGTGGGCATTGCTTACTGCAGAGAGGCTTCCCTTCTAAATCCACTCATGGGGGGTGCCAGGTGCTTCCCTCCAAGGCAGAAGGTAACCCCTCCCAGTCCAGAGCAAATCACGGTCTCCATGTTTTTCCTCCCTGGTCCCACATAGGTGAGTGATATATACAGAGGTTAGACCTCAGGGTTATGTTATGGATTGGAGGGAGCAGAGAAGCTTCCTCATTAAAAGGGCTGGGCTGGTTGGCTGGCTCCAAGGCCCTCAGCACCTCTGGGCTTCTGAGCCATGGGAGAGTTGGACAGAAGGCTGAACAGTGGCTGATGGCCTGGAGGAGGAGATAGGGAGGGAGGAGAAGGCTGGATGCTGGGTTCCCATTGTACACCCCCAGCAACGAGCCCCCCTGCCAGCCCAGAGTAACCAGAGATCTTGGGCCACAAGTCAGACACACCTAGACTAAGATGTGGCTTTGACCCCAGCTGGATATCTGCTCACGTCATCAAAGCTCTTGAGGCCTCAGCTTCCTTATCTGTAAAATGTGGCTGGGAATACCTGTTCTACTGATCTGAAGAATTGTTGTGGTAATCTGAAGAGGCGATTGGTATAAAAATACCAGGTAAAAGGCAGAGTGTGTCCCATGAATGAGACACCCTGTCCTTCTCCCTCAAGACATCCTCTTTGTTTCTCATTCCCAATATGAAAATAACAAACCATTCTAGGGAACAACTTGGTTATTTTTGGGTCATGGGCAGGGCCAGCAGGCCTACAGGTAGCGGGAGGGATCAGTGGAGGAAGCGACGTGATTCCTGTAAGACTTGAATGCCCCTGAGTCAAAGTCTGCTCTGAAGACCAGCCCCCTTAGA
This sequence comes from Homo sapiens, assembly GCF_000001405.40. Lineage (NCBI taxonomy): Eukaryota > Metazoa > Chordata > Mammalia > Primates > Hominidae > Homo > Homo sapiens. The sequence goes on from NC_000011.10 coordinate 126,636,056, forward strand.
GTGACAGAGATGGGGCTACCTCACAACTCTGCCACTTACTATTTTTAGGACCTTGGGGAAGTCATATAGAATTTTGAATTTTAGTTCCTTCATTTGTAAAAATGGGAAGGGTAATAGCACTATCCTTAGCATTATAAAATAATGGATACTTATGGCATACCCAGGGCATGGCATGTGCTAAGCATTCAATAAATGTGGACTATTATTGTTATTTCCTTTTTGAGCTAGTTGTGTTTGCTTGCTACGGAGGAAATACCCATTTCAAAGAATTGGGAGGATAAAATTAAGAGACTGGTAACCCAGCATCTGCCGTTTAACAGATGCCCTGTAAGTGAGTGCCTTCCTCTTTCTCCCTTCTGGCACTTGTTCTGTTGAGAGTCTGTGATGCCCAAACCTTGGAATTAACCCTGATAGAAAAAAGGCATAAAGCCACTGGATATGTGGCAGCTCTGCCTTCGTGTTGGGCTCACATTACAGACATTTGAGTGTCTGCCCCTCATCCTGCCCCCCAGATCTCACTGCTCTCTGAGTCTTACCTTAGTCTCCTGTCTTTTCTTCTGCCCTCCTGGACCCAGCTTACTGCCTGCTCTGCTGCCAGCACCCTTTCTTGTGTCTTGGTATCTGCCTGAGACCTTTGTTTTGCTGGTTACGGTTGTGGCCTGATGGGCTAAGCTAGGCCCTTTGTACCACCTCAGAACAGCAGGGGATGCAGCAATAATGCCAACTAGGAGTCCGGATGATCTGGACTTGAATTTGTATCCCGGTTTAACCACTTACTCTATAGCCTTAGGCAAGGCACTTAATGCCATTGCATGCCATTGTCACATCAATACAATGAAAGTAACACCTATATCATGGCATTACTGGAAGATAAAAAGAGATGACTGAGGGATAAAAAGGCGATGTGAAAGTCCCTAGGAGGGTAGGCACTTAGTAATACTAGGCTACCTCCCTTCCTCCTCACTTCTCTAGTCTCAATGCCTGCTTAGGGGAGGGGTAGAGATCAGGGTGGTGAGTTGTCTCCTCTGCAGGATGACTCAGCCCCTCCCTACTCCCCTACTCTGTTACTGCCTTTGCCTCATCATACTCTGGAAAACCTAGACTAAAGTAAGTTTTTTAGCTGGACCTATTTTTGGAGGTGGAGAATGGAACTTCCTCACTGGTATGCTGAGTTTTGATTTCCATATGGGCTGATTTCAGAGTAACTGGGAAAATTCAGTAATTAGCAGTAGCAGCATTAGTGAATCATGTTGTAATCATCCTCTTCTCGCTTCTTCCCTCTTCTGCATGTTCCAAATGCTATTACCGACACTATCTTTCCCTCCACTGGCCCTTGGCCTCATGTTCCCACTGCAGACGTTGTGCTTCCTGCTTAGCACTATGGGTCAGCCTCTGGGTACTTTCCTCCCTCCCAGCCTCCAGCCTCCTGCTCAAGCCTCTGCCTATTTGTCCAGAACCCTGGTGGGCACATTTAGCTAGTTTCTCCTCTTGCAAATTCAACCTACAGGTTTATTTCAATTCAAAGAAAAAAATGACTCATCTAAATCCTGATAAAAACATGGCTAGTGCTGTCTGGGCTGATGAAATCTACTTGGAGAATGGAGAACCTAAGAGAACCTTCTCTGTCTAAGTCTGGATATCTCTGCGGATGGTCACTTAAAAAAAGATAAAAATGCAGAGGAGGGTTTTCCTTAGCAAAAACTAATAATCAGTGGCTCCATCCATTTATCCATCTATCCATCTAGGAAACATTTACACAATGTCTACAATGTGCCAAGCCTAGCACTGGGCTTTAAGGACATACACATGATAGCTGAGAAGACTAGCAAGTAAACCGATGACCATTGTACAGTGGAAAACATGCCAAGAGCACAGTGGGAGCATGAGTCAGTGAGCAGCAGGGGCAGCTCCTCTGAGAGGGAAATGCTTAAATATTGAGGAATGGAGAGAATTTAGCTTTGCAGAGTTTGCTTTCATTGGTATGCGTGTGGAACTAAGGCTCAACAAATGGAAACCTGTAAAATCTATACTTACTCAAATTTTTGTAGAGCATTGTAATGTGCTGGGAATGGGAAGCTCAGAAGAGGAATAATAATGGGCTTTGCTTTGGGGTTTAGCACTGACTTCTCAGAATTTGAGAATTTGGAACATTTAAGTAATCCCATTTCCTCTTGACAGAATTTTCCTAAAACATGCCAGAGAGATAGGAATAGAAACACCTTGCTTGTTCTTAAAGAATCTAAATCTCCACAATGTTCCCTGTTCATTCCATCATCTCCTGTTGTTGGAAAAACGTACTTGTCTGTCCTCTGGCTGCAACTAAAGTCAGTCCTCTCCTTAGGGCACCCAGGAACTCTTGATGTTTCACCAGTCCTCTTGCTGAGCTAAACCCAAGAGTTGTTCTGTGTTCTATACTGAGTCTGGCCTAGTGTCACAGAATCTGCATTAGACATAGAAATCATTACTGCATAAATGTGGAGCAATATTAACAAAAAGCTGAAGCATTCAGATGAAGAGGCAGCTGTTTTGCCTTAGGCGGGCTGGGGTGGGTAGCCCCATAGTCCGTGGATAATTCTCCCTCCGTATCTTTCCCTCACTTATCCTATATGTTCACGTCACTGCAGTTATTTGGTGGGCAGTTGTAGTCTTAGATGAGCTTTAGTGAATGGGAGCCCAGCTTGAGGGCTTGAAATTCATTTAGTGTAGGAACCTTGGTGAGAAGGTTGCTGCTGTGGAGGAATCGCTATGTGAAAGGACTTTAGTCTTCAAAAGCCGGCTAATGACCCAGGCATCACCCCGTCTCCCCATGGCCCCAGTGACAGCAGGCACAATGTCTGGATATTGAGTAATTACCTATTTCCTTTTCTAGATGATGTAAGCTCTGTTTTGCTTACCACTGCATCCCCGGGGGCTGGACAGTACACTTTAATGATTTTTTTTTAATTGAATGAATTAAGATTCACAAGTAATTTGAAAGGCATCTCTATTTATCTCGCTGGTGTTTCTCAGTCCTGGGCTGCATTGCCAAAGTTTCCAGTTTCTTCATGACTTGGCCAGCCCCCCAATCATCCCAAAGCCCAGTTAAGAGAAACACTTCGGTGCTAATAGATCTGGAAACTTAAGCTCTGGAGGGCCACCTGTCAGATGAGATTTGCCTTCAAAGGCCACTGGCTCTGACCTTTTGATAACATTTTAAAAAAAGAAACCTTACATATTGACTGAATCAGGCCTGTCTCCAATGAAGATCTAGGCAGCTATTTGTATTTCTGTTTGGATTTTTGGGTCCTTTTCTTTTTGTACCTCTGGGTAAGCAAAAGGAAAAACGTTCCTTTGCTTTACCAAACCTCATTTAAAAGTTGTTTGTATATATTTTTTAATGGAACCCAATCCCTTAAGCCTTTAAAAGTAACCTCTACTGAGCTCAATAAACCATTTCCAATGTGGCAGCTTCTAATCCAGGAGAGTTAAGAAGGCAGATGCTAACCAACCACCAATTGCATCCCAGGACAGTTGCTGAAAGTCTCAGGGCTCTGCAAGCTGGAGATGAGATCGGCTAATCCTGACTCTATTCTTTCGTCTGCTCTGCTAGCTGGCCCTACTTGTACAATTAATATTCTCCCTGGTGTTGATTTTGTTCAAATATATTGGGCCCATCAATCACCCACTTTCCAACTCATCTGTCTGGATCAGTCATTTACAAAGTTATTTTTGAGCCACTAGGATTCTTGTGAAATAGACACAAGAAGGAGCTAAACTCATTTCAGGTTTGACCTCTGTGGCTGGGATCTGAGAAGGCTTAGTTTGATTACGCTTCATGGCCATCCAATCCAATCTGGCTTGTAGAATAGAAAGGCCACTTGCTTAATTGGGAACACTTTAATATAGATATCCATTAACTTATGCTAAATTACAGTAAAGCATCTATGGAGGAACTTGATGTGACATCTGCATGAATACTAAATAACTTCATTACGATCAGTACTGTGACAATGAATATGAAATGAACGTGCCCAGAGAAGACAATTAATCTCCCACCTTCCCAAGCCAGTACTGTTTTATTTTACCCTGCATTGTACTAAAAAAATAAGGCATAGAAGCTCTATGATTTTCTGTCTATCTCACTCACCCTTCAGCTGGTGAGTGGTCCCCGAGAGCTTCTGTCATTTGTAGAGTGGAAACTGACCCACCCTGAGGAATAGCCATGGGCAGTGGGTATGTGGGGCTCCTGGGGACCCACTTTGGTTTGGGAAAGGAGGTTGTCAAGACTAACTGAACACAACACACACACAGACGCGCGTGTGCGCGCGCACACACACGCACACGCGCACACACAGAATTAAAAGGCATCCTCATCCGGAACTAGCAAACAGACTGTCAGTTCAGATTAGCAACATCAAAAGCATTCCAATCTGTTCCCTGCATACATTACATGCATAGATCTGAGAGAAGAATTTGGCCTCTGAATTAAGTCAGCTTTTTCCTTCTGGGCTGCTTGTACCTGAAATGTGTGGCGAAGAGGGTCCAGCAGTCAGATTAATACACCTCATAGCATTTAGTCTGAACCTTACAGCATGGTCTTAAAGAGACACCCTCTCATATTACTTGCTGCTGTTTCACATGGGTTCTTTCTGAATCTGGAATGAACCATGGGACCCTTGGGTTGAAGACTATGCCTAACTCTGTATGAGGGGTCGCTCAGAATGGAGGCATGCATGAAAGAATATTCCTGGGTTCTCCATTCTAGTCATTTCCCTCCTACGTCACTGACTTATTGCTGGCATCTCCTCCCCTTGACCTTCATATTGGAGTCCTTGGATCTCTTCTCAATCTTATGGCTTTAAACACCGACTCTACTCTGATGTCTCTCAATTTTGTATCCACAGCCTAGACCACCCCCTAAACTCTGGACTCATCTATCCAATTGCCTAGTTCTCCCCTCCACTTGCAATGTGTAACAGGCATCTCAAATTTCACATGCTCCGAAAAGAACTCCTGGTCTTCTCCCACAGGCCTGCCCCTCTCACGGTCTTCTTCATCTTTGAAGAAGATGATAAACTTGTCAGTGGCAATTTTATCCTTCCAGTTACTCAGACCAGGAAACTTGAAGTGAGTGATCCTAGACTCTTCTCTTCCTTTCACACCCACATCCAATCTGTCAATGTAGCCTGTTGTCTCAAAATATATTATAAACCAACCACCTCTCACCACTTCCTCTGCTACTTTCTTGGCCCGAGCCTCATCACTTGTTGCTCAGATGGTTGTTACAGTCATGGTTCTGGGTTTAGCAGGGTCTCTACTCCAGGCCTTGTCTCTGAAGAGCCTCTTGGTGGTCACAAAGCTACTTGCCACTCTCATCAGATCAGGGTGCAGGGTGTCATGAGTTTTACAGATTCTGGCTACAAATACCTGAGGTAAAAGGATACCTTTGACATTAGCAACAACAGGAAGGGAGAAAATTGCTATTACCACCTAGACTGTGAGCAAATAACATTCTGGCCAGTGGGATATGTCTCACCAATCCATTTACAGGTCGCAGACATTTACAACACCAGCCTCCTGGCTTCTTATGGGGATAGTGGCTGCATCATGTCCCACTGCACCCTTGCAGCTGACTCCATACCCCTATTACATAACACAAGTCTTTCTCCTTCTCTCTTTGTACCCAGAGGCTCCAGCATATTTGCATAGCATTTATTATGCTATGTAAATACACCATTATATATGAATTTATAGCATATGTGAGAACTCAGAGTAAATCCAATTCCATCTAAAACCACGTAATACTCACTGAGGTTCCCACCACAGTCCCCTTGCTTACATGTGCACATCCTCAACTTCCACTCTTTCTCAGGTCAGGAACGTGTCAATTCTGCAACTTCAAGTGGCAGTTAGGGAAGGATCCTCTCTCCATTATATGAAAAGTAGGTGTCTAGTGGGGAGGAGCTTCCTTCTGAAATGCTCAGAAATGTACCGATGTCCTTAGATGCTGCAGATGGAGCCCAGATCCCAGTGAGCGACTGCTGGGCTGTTCACAGAGAGCCAGAGGCCCCTTTGGAAAGGGTGGATCTCCATAACCCATGGGAGGGGAGGGACCTCCAACAATCTTGTTAGTGCATCAAGTAATAGATTTTTGACAGATGCTTTCCTGCCTTCTAGTCCAAACTTCAAAATCCTTCCTGCACTGGTCTCATTGGGGTTGGTGGTTAGTTCTCACTTTCCCCATTTCTGAGACCAGCAAGAGGCTCTGTTTGCGCCAAGTCTCCCTGTAAACACTGTGGTTATGCCCACACTAGGCAATGCCTTCCTGGGAGATAACATTGCATTTATTCCAGGACTCCTACAGGGAACAGGAGGGGAAGAAAATTGCCTCTCTGTGAAAGCACATTACAATGTGGCCTAGCCCAAGCTAGACTCACTAGAAATGTTAACTCTGCCCTGCACTTTCCATTCCCCATCCCCTTTCCTCTGCCTTTTCCAAGCAAACTCTTACTCTAGGAAATACATGTTTGATTTTCTTGGGTGACCACCATCTCCAAGAGAACCTCTTAGAAGTAGGCCAAGGAGCAAAGAAGAAGTCCCATAAAGGTCAAGAGCATCTTACAGGAAAGGAAAGTGGTTACGGCAGATTGCAATTGTAGGAGGAATGACACAAAAGGGGTAGGCTAGAACCAGAGTCACATAAGAACAGCCTTCTGGAGGCAGGGGGATGGATGAAAGAATGTCTTTATGTCCCTTCAAGGGTTATGATTTTGTATGTGCAAAATTCTGAACTGTACATCCAGTTGAACAAAGTAAACATTTATCAAGCATCTCCTCTGTGTCAGGCTTGAAGTGAGAAATTCAAAGGTGAACCAAGCATGGTTCCAGAGTACAAGGATCCTACAAAGTAAAAGGGTAAAAAAAAGGTACTTTGGCCTCCCTTCTTCCCTCCCATCCATCCATCCATCCATCCATCCATCCATCTATCCATCCATCCAATGCAAGGCATATTGTAATAAAGGAGACACAACTCTAGGCAGATGTCATGAGCACTGGAATCAGATTGGAAAACTGAGTCTGCCACTTACTAATTCTGTAATATTGGGCAGAAAATGTAAACAAGCATAGCTTCAATTTTCCTATTTCTATAACAAGAATATTAATGGTATCTATTTCATAGGGTTAACATGGGAATTAAAGAAGATAATGCATATTAAAGTTCTTGGTACATAGCAGATGCTCAATAAATTAATATTTATTAAACTAATGAATTACAAATAAAGAAAATGTTAGGGAAACACAGAGGGGAGCTCATCAATAGTTGAAGAGATTGGGCTAAAATTTACAGGAAGGATGGAATTTGAGATGGTCTTGAAGAGGATTTTAACACATGCAGATGGAAGCTATTTCAGACAGAGGGAAAAAACATGAGTATTGAAGTGGAAAAGAGGAGGTCATGGTTCAGGGAAAGGTGACTAGTGGGAAATAGGACTGAAGATGTAGGCTGAGGCGATATCATGGCAAATCTTTATCTCTACACTGATGATATAGACTTGATCCTTGGGCAAAAGTGCATTAGTAGGGATTCTGGAGCAAGGCATAACTGTGGTTTAGGAAGATCAATGTGGCAACACAATGAGTAGGATTGTACTGAAGATGAATTGGAGATAGGGAGAGGAGTTTGGAGGCAGCAGTAATCTCAGTGAGATTACGTGAGGATTTTAACAAAGCTGGTGACAGTAGAAATGGAGGAAATAGAAAAGAGTTATTATGAACTGGTGACCAAAAAGATGAAGAGAATGAGGGGAGGAAGAGCAAAGCTGACCCTGAGCATTTAGGGAGAAAGAATTGAAAAGATCATGATGTCAACTCTAGCTCGAGAACACAGAGAAAAGGCAAGAGTTTTTGCAGGAAGGTAAGCTATGTGCTAGATGGAGAGTTAGGGACCTTGTAGGAAACCACGTGCAGATGCTCAGTCTAGCTGGAACTATGTGCCTACAGTCCAGGCCATCGTCCAGAACTAGATATAAGGAAGTGGCATCAGCCTCATAGGGTTAATGGCTGAAAGTGTGGGAAAGGATGTCATTGAAAAGGGGCTAAAATAACTCTTGATTTAGGGGACTAGCATGGTAGATTGAAGTAGATCCAGTGTATAGTGGGCTATGAGAACTGGGAACTGGAAAATCAAGTAGGCAGAAGGACGAAAAGCTGAGTGTTACTAATAGTAGAGGTAAAACATGAGGCTAATAGAGTTCAGGGACTGGAGCCACCAAGGGAAGTGGGAAAATAGGAAAGGATGAAAAGATTGAAGACCAAGGGAAGGCCAAAAAGTAGGTCAAGAGGGAGTGAGAAAATGAGTGAGGACAGAGAAGAACTTTGACAATTGGAGCTGAATGTTCAGTAGTTTTGAGTCGTGCATTTCAAGATGCAAATGGGGTAGATGCAGGTCACTTGGGGGAAGACTGCTGGGACCTGAGGAGGTCAGAGGCTTGGGAGGACTGAAATCACCAAGGATGAAGCTGGTGAAGACATGGGTTGGGGGTGGGGGCTGAAAGCCTGGTACTAAAATCCTAGAGGAAGATGGAGTCATGTCCAGAAAACCTGCAGATGAGGTGAGAAGAATAAAGAGATGGTACAGTGGATGGAAATATTGGGGCAAATTGCTGAAATTGAAGTGAGTCTGTGGAAAACAATATGCAGGATGAATTTATCCGTCTCCTATTAAATGCCTCAAAGAGTTAAAGTTTTTAAGTTGGAGGGTCAAAGAACATCTATGGAACAAATAATAATCTATAGATGTACAAAGCTAGCAAATATTTTAAGTGCTAAAATGTGTGGTGCTGGTCACAAATAGCTTGAGCCTGGTGCCTTTGACCAGCCCTCCTGACAAACAGCGAACGTGCCAAGTCCTACAAGGCACCGTTGCAGCCCAGGAGAGCTAAAATCTATGCCCTGGAAGAGGTGAGGACTTGGGATGAACCTTGAGGGAGGGGTTGGGGTTGAAGTGGGAGGAGCATTTCAGTCAATGGGAGAGTGGATAAATGAGCAGAGGTGAAGTGAACACAGCATATTCTGAATATATCGCAAGAGGGGTGCAGACTGGGCGTTATGAAGGAAAAAGCTGGAGGAAGATAGAGTGGGACCAGAAAGTGAAGGGATGCAGACTGACATCGTAACAATTCAAATGCTAATGAAATATTCTCAACTTGAGTTCCCTGCGGTTGTGGTCATGGGCCAATTGCAGTATTCAGTTTTTATGAAGACCTCCAGCGTCTTCATGTGTGGTCCTCAAATCCTGAATACTTCTCTCCCAGAGCATTTACCACACGGTGCTGCTGGTATGCCAGCCTTTCTCCTTCCACCGTGAGCCATTTGAGGGCAGAGACCAGACCATCTCCGCAGCCTCTCAGGCTACAGGGTACCCTGCATTATGCAGACTGAGAGCTCTAGAAATATTTGTGGCATGAATGAAAGAATTCATGAGTAATAGCCGGGCATAAATCAGAATATGCACTTGAACTGGGCTACAGTGTTCCACCAGAGGCCTTCCACATCTAAATGGAAGCATCATGGCACGAGGTGAAATTCTAGGTTTCTGAAGAAGAAAAGGTAAGAAGGACTCTCAAAGCCTTTGTTAATTAAAAACACACACAGCTCTTCAGGGAACATTTCCCTGCCTCCCATTCTCCCTCGTTGTACTGAATGGCAGATAAGGTGGTGTCTTCGCCTATGCTTTGGACCACATTTAATTAAATGCCTACATTACTGCTTCCTCACACACCTTATTTTATTTCCTTTCCTTCCTTCCATGCTAAAGAGGGCCAGGGCTAATACTAATGCATATGCTGTTAAACCTTTTTAATTAACTTCAACTTCTCCCAGAGATTTATGTTTAAACAGTAAATTTTTTGTTGATACTCAAATACATAGGCGGCACTCGGAATGATGTACGAGTACTCTTGTCCTCAAAATGATTCTTCATGAGTTACCACCAGAGACGTTTTCATGAGCCTCTTTTATTAAAATAATAATACTCAGCAAGGCAATAATGCTTTACAGCCGGCAGCTAATTAACCCACCCCACCCCCCAAACAGGTCAGCATTAGCATCTGCAGGTTCGCGATATGATCGCCCAGTGGGTCCCCCTTGTACCTTCGAGTCAGCACTGAATCGGTCTGGGTTTGTGCTCTAGCATCTGTGAATAATGATTTTCATTTAAAACACATCTTTGTTCTTAGACTGTAGCTCAATCTATTATTATTGTTATTTATTTTGTTCTTGTTAGTGCCTTCCTGCACTGGGTATCAGTATTTCTGATCTGCAGTTGACCTCTTGAAACAAAATTTAACCATGCCTTGGAAAATCCAATTGATTTAAAACTCTTGTCTAATTGCAAAATCCATTTATTTTTCTGCAACTCTAAATTTGTGCCCCAAGTATTTTTTTTTTTTTTTTTTTGAGACAGAGTCTCGTTCTGTTGCTCAGGCTGGAGTGCAGTGGCATGACCTCGGCTCACTGCAAACTTCAACTCCTGGGTTCAGGTGATTCTCCTGCTTCAGCCTCCTGAGTAGCTGGGATTACAGGCATGCACCACCACACCCAGCTAACTTTTGTATTTTTAGTAGAGACGGGGTTTCACCATGTTGGCCAGACTGGTCTCGAACTCCTGACCTTGAGTGATTCACCCGCCTTGGGCTCCCAAAGTGCTGGGATTACAGGAGTGAGCCACTGCGCCCGGCCACCCCAAGTATTTTTAATCATGATCTATGCTGTCAATTGTAATTGCAATGTAGCAATTCTTTGCCAACAAAACCAATCTACCTACCCAAGCTCCTGTTCTTTTCTTCATGTTGAGACAACGTTTTTCCCCACAAGCCAATGTGGTCATATCACATGTTGCACCACCGATGAGCCAATTATTTCAATTTTGGCATCAGATTTAAAAGAGACTTTAATGATCCTCAATGGTATAAACTGAATTTTTATTCCTACAGCAATTTAGTAATGATGATGACACTTAAGCATTTAGAAAGTATTACTCATCTTCCAACCACTGACAAACAGGAGGCTCGGCACTTTTCATTTTAGGCACTTTTCTAGGCAAGTCTGATGGGGACCTCAGCATGGACAGCATTTCACAATATTTAGGGAGCCCAGGCTCACCCCTGCTACTCTGCCAGGAGCTATAGAAAGAAAAATCTCCAAGCCCCAGTGCTTGTCTGCTGGGGTTTCTAGCTGGAAATCAGAATAAGCTCCCAAGCCTTGCATGCCCGTTTTAATTAACTTGTCTATTCACGCATCCAACAAATATTTAATGAGTTTCTGCTAGGTAAGGAAACCCAGCCCCAGGAGGGAGACTGAGATATATGAGGTATACCCCTTTCCCTCTAATCAAATTCAACCCCACCCCTCTCACCAGGGTCCAAGTTATTTGAATACTTCATTTATGCATACGTTTACTCCTTTCATTCAGCAAACGTTTATCAGGCACCTTTTAGTGTAAGGTACTCTGCTGGGAGCCCAAAAGTTTACAGCGAAGATCAAATCTGTCAGCAAATCCCTTTGGTTCTTCCTTCAAAGTAAATTTGGAATCTGGTCTTCTTGCCCCTCCAAGGCTACCCCCTGGTCCAAGTCACTTGGACCCTGTGCCTGGATGGCGGCCAGAGCCTCCTAATTGGTCTCGCAGCTTCCATCCTTGTCTTCTGCTGTCTAGTTTCAACAGGGCAGTCTGAGTAGTGCTTTTAAAAACCTAAGTCAGAGGGAGCCGTTCCTTTGTTCAGAACGGTGCAGAGCATTCCATCTCACTGAGAATGAAAGCCAACACCCTCTCCATGACTCATGGTGCTCTCCGGGGTCTGGCCTCGTTGTTACACTTTGACTTAATCTTCACTCTTCCTTTTGCTTGCTTATACAGTTTGGATTTGTGTCCCCACCCAAATGTCATGTCATATTGTAATCCCCAGTGTTGGAGGAGGGGCCTGGTAGGAGGTGATTGGATCACAGGGGTGGATTTCCCCCTTGCTGTTCTTGTGATGGTGAGTTCTCACGAGATTTGGTTGTTTGAAAGTGTGTATCACCTCCTCCTTCACTTCTTCCTCCTGCTCTGGCCATCTAATATGGGCCTACTTCCCCTTTGCCTTCCACCATGATTGTAAGTTTTCTGAGGCCTCCCCAGCTGTGCCTGCCTACAGAACCGTGAGTCAATTAAACTTCTTTCCTTTTTACCCCGTCTCACGTACTTCTTTATAGTAATGAGAGAATGGATGAGTGCACTTGTGCTGGCCTCTTTGCTGTTCCTGAAACTCACCAGGCATGCTCCTGCCTCAGGGTCTTTGCACTTATGCAGTTCCCTCTGCCTGGGATGTCCTGTCCTCGGTCCCTCCCCTGCTTCAAGACATTGCTCGGTGGCCACCTTCTTGGGGACTGACCATCTTATTTAAAATGTGCACCCCACGCCTATAGGAGTACTTTATATCCCTCTCCCTGTTTTACCTGGCTGTAGAGTGCCTATCTCCATCTGACATGATTCATCTTTATTTGTTCATTTCATGTCTCCTCCACTAGAATGTCAGCCCCATGAAGTCTTAGCTATTTGTTTTATTGACTGATGTATCAATGCCTAGTGCACAGATATTTAAAATTTGTTGAACATATATATGTATGTAATGAGTGCATGTAATAAATAGTGCTGTGATAATCTTCAAGAAGCACATGATCAAATAGGAACTATATCTAAAATAAATAATGAGCTATGTTTTAAGAAAGCTAGAAATAAATATGGTAGCCCAAAGGGTAGAAAATTCATTTTGCCTGGTTGAATGAGTGGCTAAAATCACAGTCCTACAATTTCAGGTGTGTCATGTTGGAAAATGTATTAGTCAGTTTTCACACTGCTGATAAAGACATACTCGAGAATGGGAAGAAAAACAGGTTTAATTGGACTTACAGTTCCACATGGGTGGGGAGGCCTCAGAATCATGGAGGGAGGTGAAAGGCACTTCTTAAATGGAGATGGCAAGAGAAAAATGAGGAAAATGCAAAAGTGAAAACGCCTGATATAACCATCAGATCTTGTGAGACATATTCACTACCCCTAGAACAGTAAGGGGGAAACCACCCTCATGATTAAAATTATCTCCTATTGGGTCCCTCCCACAACACGTGGGAATTATTGGAGTATAATTCAAGATGGGATTTGGGTGGGAACAGAGCCAAACCATATCATTCTGCTCCTGGCCCCTCCAAATCTAAGGTTCTCATATTTCAAAACCTATCAGGCCTTCCCCTCAGTCCCCCAAATTCTTAACTCATTTCACCATTAACCCAAAAGTCCACAGTCCAAACTCTCATCTGAGACAAGGCAAATCCCTTCTACCTATGAGCCTGTAAAATCAAAAGCAAGCTAGTTACTCCCTAGATAAAATGAGGGTACAGGTATTGGGTAAATACAGCCATTCCAAATGGGAGAAATTGACCAAAACAAAGGGGTTACAAGGCCCATGCAAGTCTGAAATCCAGTGGGGCAAATTGTAAAGCTGCAAAATGATCTCCTTTGACTCCAGGTCTCATATCCAGGTCATGCTGATGCAAGAGGTGGGTTCCCATGGTCTTGGGTAGCTCTATCCTTGTGGCTTTGCAGGGTACAGCCTCCCTCCCAGCTGCTTTCACAGGCTGACATTGAGTGTCTGCGGCTCTTCCAGGTGAACGGTGCAAGCTGTTGGTGGATCTACCATTCTGGGATCTGGAGGGCGATGGCCCTCCTCTCACAGCTCCACTAGGCAGTGCCCTAGTAGGGACTCTGTATGAGGGCTCTGACCCCACATTTCCCTTCTGCACTGCTTTAGCAGAAGTTCTCCATGAGGTTCCCACCCCTGCAGCAAACTTCTGCCTGGGCATCCAGGAGTTTCCATACATTTTCTGAAATCTAGGTGGAGGTTCCCAAACCCCAATTCTTGACTTCTGTGCACTCTCAGGCTCAACACCACATGGAAGCTGCCAAGGCTTGGGGCTTGCACCCCATGAAGCCATGGCCTGAGCTCTACATTGGCCCCTTTCAGCCATGGCTGTAGCGGCTGGGATGCAGGGCACCAAGTCCCTAGGCTGCACACAGCGTGGGGACCCTGGGCCCGTCCCATGAAACCATTTTCTCCTAGGCCTATGGGCCTGTGATAGGAAGGGCTGCCACGAAAACCTCTGACATGCCCTAGAGAATTTTCTCCATCATCGTGGGGATTAACATTCGACTCCTCATTACTTATGCAAATTTCTGCAGCCAGCTTGTATTTTTCCTCAGAAAATGGGCTTTTCTTTTCTATTACATTGTCAGGCTGCATATTTTCTGAACTTTTATGCTTGGCTTCCCTTATAAAACTGAATGCCTTTAATGGCACCCAAGTCACATCTAGAATGCTTTGCTCCTTAGAAATTTCTTCCACTAGATACCCTAGATCATCTATGTCAAGTTCAAAGTTCCACAAATCTCTAGGGCAGGGGCAAAATGCTGCCAGTCTGTTTGCTAAAACATAACAAGAATCTCCTTTGCTCCATTTCCAAACAAGTTCCTTATCTCCATCTGAGACAACCTCAGCCTGGACCTTATTGTCCATATCACTATCAGGCTTCTGGTCAAAGCCATTCAACAAGTCTCTAGGAAGTTCCAAACTTTCCCACATTTTCGTGTCTTCTTCTGGGCCCTCTAACCTCTCCCTGTTGCCAAGTTCCAAAGTCACTTCCACATCTTTGGGTATCTTTTTAGCAACTCTACTGGTACCAATTTACTGTATTAGTCTGTTTTCATGCTGCTGATAAAGACATACCCAAGACTGGGAAGAAAAAGAGGTTTAACTGGACTTACAGTTCCACATGGCTGGGAAGATCTCAGAATCATGGCAGGAAGTAAAAGGCACTTCTTACATGGCAGTGGTAAGAGAAGAATGAGGAAGATGCAAAAGTGAAAATCCCTGATAAAACCATCAGATCTCATGAGACACATTCACTTCCATGAGAACAGTATGGGGGAAACCACCCCCATGATTCAAATTATCTCCCACCGGGTCCCTCCCACAACACATAGGAATTATGGGAGTACAATTCAAGATGATATGTGGGTGGGGACACAGCAAAACCATATCAGAAAAGAACTGCAATCCACGTCTAAATGAGAAAATGGTTCCTTGCTATAGGATTTCTCAGCTAGACTAAGAAAGTCTTTTGGGAATTGGTGGGATGGTGCACAGTTTGCGTGTTTCACTGAGTCTTGATAATTATTCCAACTGGGAATCCCTCTCCATCTTCCCCAAATCTCACAAATTCCAGTGATAAACTCCACTCCATGTCTCAAACAGGGACTATTTTTGAGAACCATGCATGCTCTTTCCAGATATCAGTGGACAGCATCCAGGGGGGCAGAGTCAGTGTAATTTCTCATGGCTGATTTTGACAGGAGATGTCAGGTTAGTCTTAGTTATCCTGGAGCCTAACTGGATCTTGGGAATAAATCTCTTATTTTGGTAGCACTTTCAAATAAGTGGCAGCAGTTCATGCATAATTACTTCTGAATTATCTAGGGGATTTATCAGGTTTGATTATAGATGCATAATGAATTTACCAAATTTGTGGGTATTATGGAGATATTAATTCCATATGAAACCTCACAATTCATTCATGTGCCATTTGTTTTCATTCCTTTTTTATAATAAGCTAATTAGTTTAAATTATTTGTACTTGTACAAGGTCTTGAAACACATATTAGGAATGATTATACCAGAGAACCCAATAAATGAGAAGTTTTGGAGACAGCATTAATTGTGATGAAGGGTTCATAAAGCAGTGGATGTTCAATTTTCCCATTTGGGGTGGTAATAACAGGTCTAATCATGACACCTCCATAAAGTCATGGGAAGTCCCTAATGAAAGTTTCTGAATTCAGATATTTAAATGATGGTAGGGTAAGTCATTATGCCAATGGGAGAATGAGGCAAAAAGCGGAGTTCATCCTTGTGCTAACCAAAGAAAAGATGAAATGGTGAGGGCTCATCAATTCTGGGCCAGGAGGAAGATAGGCACTAGTAGGTCTGATCTGTCTGGAGGATTCCTTTAAAAAAACCCAAGGTTCTGGAGGTCACTGGCAGGCTGGAATTTCAGCCCCTCAGAGTGAAGGGATGGGCTTCTTTGGTTGAGTTCCGGTGTCTGTTAACCCCCCACCCCTTGTTCTTTGTGTGAAACCAGCACCCACTGGCCAAAAAGCCCGGGTTGGGGTCTCTGTGGGTTGATGGATATAAACCATCTTCTTTACTTAGGGCACAAAGAAGAACCAAGACAGGAGAGGAAGCCTGGGCCAAGCCTGCCTAGGGAGTCTATCGTGGTAGGAACAAGAGCTACCATGCCTTGAGCCCATTCTAAATGGTAGGCAAGTGCTAGATATTTGGCTCACACATTTCATCCTCATAACAGCCCTATGGTGTAGAGAATATCATTATCTCCACTTCACAGGTCAGGGGGCTGTGGACAAGAGGTCAGGCCATTTGCCAAAGTCCTCCACTCAATCTATAGGTAGCGGGGCTGGGTTCCTAAGGATGTCTGATTCTGAAGCCTGGTCCTTGATCTCTGTGCTCCATGACCTTCTGTAATCCCCACAGTCTCCCAAACATCAATGCTGTCATTACAACCCCATCACCTACCCTTACCCTTACCACACCAAAGAGTTACTCTTTTTTGAAATCTGAATCTCAGATTTTCACTTTCCAGGCAATTCACCAGGACAGAGGCCTTTCAACTTTCCTCCCTGAGATCTTCCTCCGTGAACCAACAACAAAAGGACCAGCCACCTCACTGGTCCTCTGTTGCCAGTAGAAAAAGCCCTACAAGGATTAATGCAAGAAGAAGTTCTGCTTTGGGTGAGACATCAGTTTAATTTATATTTGATTAAAAAAGTCATTCATTCATGCATTCAGCAGCCAGTATTTGTTAAATGTCTCCTACACTCTTAATTGGGTTTTGTCGGGTTGTGGGGGTGGGGGAGGGGAAAAAGAGAGCAGGTATAATAAAGCTTATGCCAGACACCTTGTTTGTAATTGTCTTGTGAGGAATATATGTACACAACTGAAAAGTTAAGTAAACAAGAGAATGATGGAATAACTAGGCAAGTGAGAGAGGCAGACAGTGCACTATCTACAGAATCCAACGGAGGAGGCGGTACTGGGGCCCGTGGTGGCAGAGGATGACGGCTTTGCAGAGGCAGAGGAACGACTGACTTGCTCAGTGAAGGATGGGCAGACTTGGGGTGGCAGAAGAGGCACCAGCTGGACCCGCCCAGGAAGCCAAGCCCCTGTGCTGCCTCAGTTTGTAAGTAGGCATTTGACCTTGTGGGGAATCACTCTCTAGCGCCTCACCGTCTTTGCTGTAAGATGGAGATAATGATACCTCATGGGGTTGTCATGAAATTCAAATCAGGAAATGGATATGAAATGGTTCTGAAAGATGTAAAGAGCAATATAAACACCAGATACGGAATGAGAAAAAAGCGGCACCGGAAGTGGCATTTTGCAAACTCCAATCCCCCAGGACCACATGTGAAGGAGCTCTTTTCAAGGTCACACGGACACTCTGACCCGACTCTCTCCTGGCAGCATTCAATGTGACACGCCAGGGCAATGAGAAACGGGAGGGGCTGCGTGAGACATGGCAAGGCTGAGGCCAAGCCCCAAAGTTCACGGACATTCCATAAAAAGTGCACGGTGGAACCTGAGAAGGTGGAGAAGGGCAGGGATGCCCCTGGCACTTTTTTTGTCTCTGGTGCTATCAAACAGAAAATGTCACCTTTGTTCCTCTATAGCCATTTTTAGTTGCACCAAAGGGGGGAGTTGAAAAATAGACCTTGTAGCTGCCTCCATGCGATTCAGGGGAAGGTGATACCACTTCTGCCTAGAGGGTGACCCCCACGCCCAGCACATATCTCACCCTCAGTCACAGCGAGGCCACAGCCCTCGATTCTAGAATCTGATGTCCTTGAATCTCCCTATCACGGGCTCCCAGTTTCAAGGGCCTCTGGACACATGAATTTCTACTTTGAGAATCAGTTTGGCTGTGTTTCGGTATCTGCATTCAGCTTCACAAGGCTGGTGAGCGAGGGCTCGTGGTTGGGACACCTGACAGGTGGCGGGGAAGACCTCCACTGGGGACACTGATTTTATTGCTAGAAGTTGCTAAAGGATGAGCAACTTAGCAGCTAGGACTTTTACCACTTCAGTGATAGAATGTAAAGTCAACCCCGAGAAGATGGATCTAGGATACCTAAACTGAAAGTTTTTTTTTTTTTTTTTTTCACAGCATATTGCAATGCAACAGTGAAAGGAATTTTAAATGGGCAGCTTCTCCTTTTCTCCTACCTCCAGGCATCTGCCTCTGAAATGTTGAAGGTGGAGGGAGATAGGATTGGCCTTTCTGGGAAGACCTCTAAGAAAGGGGTTTCCATTGAGAAGAAACTACGGGTAACAGTTAAAGAGGAAGAGCATGTGTAATGTAGGAAGCGCTTTTGCTTCAGATAGATGTCCTTCCCTCACCCCAGAGCACAGTAACCCTAATGCTATGTCCTGCATCTGTCTGGAGGGGTTGTCTAGCCTGGCCCACATCCTGAGCCCTCTCCACATGGGCAACCACACAGCCGACATCGTGAGAGGTCTGAGCCCCTCAGACTCTTGAAGGTCAATGGATATTGTGTATCTTTTTTCTACACTGCTTCAATGCTTTTCAACCATTATTTTTTTTTATTTTTTTATTTTTTTACAACCTTGAGTGTTTTAACGATTTGCTTCTTTAAAGGCTTTGCTTCCCTCTGAATATTATGACTAGCCTATTGGGTCAGAGGCCAGGAGTCTGCAGAGGACCATTCATTCACCCCAGAGGCCGCTCCTTGCTTTTATCCTGTCCTCAACATGATAGCTCAAACTGCCAGATTTTACATAGGAGGAAGGAAGACACCGAAAGATGTTCCTAGCTGGCACAGGCTGTGCTGAACACAGGTCTCACCCCACTGTGGGCAGGTGGTGGTGGAGCACATCTGTCTCTCTCCGTGTTGGTGGCTGTGATTTGGCAGCTCTGCCGAAGATTTGTGAGATGGAGAAGAAAGTGCAGGGTTGGGGTACGGGGAAAGGGGTAAGAAAGGAGATTAGTCACTTGAGTCAGGATAATTTTTCCTGATGTCAAAGCCTCACCCAGGAGAGCTCTCGCTGTTGCCTGCTTTTATCTGGAAAACAATGTGAGCAGTATCTCTCAAAATTAGGTCAGGGCTTGCAGAGGCAGGGACTTGCCAAGGTGCTAACTGCCTGAATCCTCGGTGGGTTTGCACAGCTCTCTGCTCTGACAAATGCCTCCTTTGTCTCCCTGAAAAGCCTGCCTCTTTTCTCCTTCACCCCTCCACTCCCCCCACAAACAACTGAATTTGGAAGGTTAAAAATCACTTCACTTGTCAACTCGAAAGCTCTCCCTCCCACCTCAAGTTGTTTCTCTTCCTGCCCAGGGAAGGCAGCTACTGTGTGTCCCCCTGGGGACTGGAACCACTTTGCAAAGAGCGCAGATCTGCAGTTTTCACAACGCAGTTGTCATCTCGGGAGCAGTGTGTGCCCGTCCACCCTGGGAGAGGCTTATGAAGGCTGTGTCTCAAGCATTTCAGGGGGCTGCAGATTTAGGGGGACAGTCCTGGTGGCTTGGTCTTAGGCTTGTCTTGGCTCAGGTTTCTGTGTGGCAACAGCATGATAAAAATTCTGTCCACTCTACCAAAATGGGAGAAGCAATAGCAAGACAGCAGGGCAGCAACAGTCAGTTCTTGTCTGGCTTTCCAGGACAACGTGACTTTCTCTTATTTTTTGTTCCTGACACTGTTTGCACTGACTAAGATATCACGATGATGAAACACTGTTGAATCTAAAAGGTGGGTGGGGCTGAAGGAGGGGTGGGAGGAGGCCTTAGAAGCTAATTAGAATCCTCTAGAAGTGTGTGGAAATGGGAACCTGAGCCAGGAGAGTCCTGTGGATTCACTAGATTCTGGGACTATACCTTATCTATGCTGTGCAAAGGAATAAGAAACTAGTGCTGTCTCGGGAACCAGCAACACAGATGTTCCCAGGAGCAATGTTTGCAGGTGAGTGAGGTCAGGGAGGGCTACAGAGTTAGGACTCCGAAGTCAGAAAGATGCCTGTTGGTTCTGCCGTTCATATCTGTGAGATATCAGGCTGGTTTCTTAACCATAACCTCCATGATTCAGTTTCTTCATTTGCAAAATAATTTAAATAAGATAATATGTTGAAAACTCTTAGCACCCAATAAGCCTTCAAAATTATAATTGTTTTGTATGTTTTGGCAAGAAAATAGAATAATATTATTATTGGAGTCTCTGGAAAACCTAGGTTTCCAAACCTTTCACCTTAAGTAGATTTTTATAAAATGAGACTTCACGTGGAATCTCAACATACAAAATTGGCATAAGTGGGGGATAAGGCAGCAGGTGACAGTGGTTGCGTGCTCCTGGGCACCGCCTGCCCAGCCCCTGCACTGATTGTCTTACCCACAGGGGCAGTTTAAATCTTCATGCTTTTACCACCTTATACTGAGTAAGAAGATGAATTTGCACAGATTTCTCCCTGCATAATTTCTCCGTATCTTTAGCACAGTTTGGTGATGACTTTTAAGCTTTGACATCATGTACTCATAACCTATCTCTTATGAAAATAAATGAAACTGGCTAGGCGTGGTGGCTCATGCCTGTGGTCCCAGCACTTTGGGAGGCCAAGGTGTGTGCATCGCTTGGGGCTGGGAGTCCCAGACCAGCCTGGCTGTCGTGGTGGGACCCCGTCTCTACTAGGAATACAGGGGTTGGCTGGGCATGGTGGTGTGTGCTTGTGGTCCTGGCTGCTTGGGAGGCTGAGGCATGAGAGTGGCTTGAACCCAGGAGGCTAGGGTTGTGGTGAGCTGAGATCATGCCACTGCACTCCATCCAGCCTGGGCAATGGAGTGAGACTGTGTCTCAAAAAAAAAGAAACAAAAAAAAACAGAAAAAATAAATGAAACCATGATTTTCTCTCACACTGTATTGTGTTTAATTTTCATTTGTTTATTCTATAAACATGACAGGCTTTTGAACTTTGTATTACCTATATATTTTATAATAGATCATGCATAATCTCTCAGGAGAATAAAATGAGAATTCCAAATAAATAATTAAATAAATAAATAAATAAATAAATAAATAAATCTTCATGGAATCTCAAGGCTCTGAGGGGCCTAGTTAGACAACTGCTGGTTTAAAATATTAGAGAAATAGTGGGCCAGTTCCAAAAAAGTAGAGCCCTGATGACATCCAGCCAGTTAACATGTTTTAGTAACCAAGCAAACCAACCCAGAAAGACATGGATCAGGAGAAACCTCCATATGTGGCAGGGCACAGGTCTGAGAGGTGAGTGCTGGAGGAACCAAGGCCAGAGTGGGACAAGCTGTTTAGCAAAGAAGGGCAGTGTCATTCCTCTTCTCACCCAGTGTGGGGCTGGGACGTGTGGGAACTCAGGGCCTGTAGATGGGTTGGGGGTGAGGTGGAGTAGGGAGATGGAGACAATGACACAGAGACAGTCCGTCCCCAGCCCAAAGAGGACTGCGCTAGCTTGGGAGGGAATGAGACTCAGTTGGCATTTCTGCACATGGTCTGGGTGGACCTGCGCAACTCTGATTGTGTCCATGTAGAAACCTGTGCTGTGTTCAGTCACTGTAATGCTTTTGTAGTTCTATGGCTTTTTCCCCTTTTGCTTCCCCTTAGTTTTCAGAGAAATTCCAATCAGGCTTTACTGCTATCTACCGGAAGAGACAAGAAGGTAATTTGACCAGATCAAGACCACCCAGCCCAGCAGAGCGCAATTCATGACCAGTCCACAGAGCTCTCCTCCCGGATCCCATCAGTTTCACAGAGAAGATGGCATTGCCAAAGCCTGGGGCTGCTCACCCAATCCCTTTGTGTCTGTCACAGCTCTCCCATTTCTGGAGGAGTCGAGTTAGCCCCTCCTTCTCCTTTGAATCTCTTCTCTTTAAGACTCGCAGCTTCAATACCCAAATGCTGCCATGTCTGTAGTGGTAATGCTTGGAATAACAAGTAGTTATTGTCATACAAGAAGAATAAGGAAGCTTTTGATGATCTCGAATAATGTGGATATCTACATCATTTTTGCATGTCAGTGGGTATACCCAGCTTTGAGGGAATGGTTATTTTTATACCTTTCAAGACTTGGTATGCTTAATTATCTAGGGAAACTCATAACCCCAACTTCCTAAGCCACTCCTAAAGAAAAAGCACAGATGCAGTGACTAAAAACTTTCTGGCCTCCTTATACTTCATCTCAGGGCTGGAGGTGACTCAGATGTACCTTGCTATTTTCATGATCCATTGGTGTCTCAGTAATGAATGTTCACCACTGCAGTGCCCTCATTTAGCCTAATAACCTCAGTAAGGTAATGTTTGATTTGTGCTAAGTATCTGATTAAACAACATAAAGTATTTAACCTATTGATCTTTTATACTTTGCCAGCCCTACATTGCTGGATATACTTTAATTACTGACTCGGAGAGCTTTCCTGAATGGGATCTGCATCTCGTTAAGACTTTTTCTTTGTCTTTAAGGTGCCATATCAACAGCTTCTCCTTCTTGTTGCCTCTAGGCTTTTCTTCCACTTCCTGCTCCTCCGCCAGACCCTGCTTGATTCTGCAAGACTGACGTTTGGTTAATCTACTGAAAGTAGAGTCCTTTATGTAACCATGAATCTTACTGCTTATTTTAGAAAGTCAATGACCACATAAACAATCGGACTTGTTACTTTGTCCACCCTGATCTTTGGAGCATGGGAAGTTGTCCAAAGTGACAACCCCATTTTAGGCAGTTGGTCACAGCTGTTGGATGGACCTAACCCTTCTATCTCACAAGGAGACGAGGCCAGTGGGCATCCATCAAGAGAAATTATAGGAAACCATTTAGACTGGCCAATTGGTTAGCTAATTGCTCTAGTCTAAACCACTTCTTAGAAAACTACAGAAAATGATACATTTTCCCTCTTGCCTGCAAGGATATAGTCATGAACGTTAATAATAATTAGCTGCTTTACATGCTGTCTTTTCTTCAAGAATCTCAGACATGGTGAGTTTATTTATTTTTTCTCTTATTTTAAAACTAGATCTACAAAGGCTGAGATAGCTTCTCCATGGGTCCTCCCAAAATGAGAGTGACACCTCATAGGATTAAGAGAATTCAATGAGAAAATTCATATTGAACACTTATCATAATGCCACTGAGTAAGCACTCAAAAAATAGGAGTTATACTATTAGTTATTATTAGTTATATCATCTAAGAAGCCTGCGACTTGTGGGTTGCCCATGAATTTCTGAATAGAGTCAGGCTGGGAGGAAGGCACACTGGTCCAAGTGTCTAGTTACTTTGTCCAGACCACCTGATAAAGACTGTCTCACCCTGTGTGCCAACATCCTTTGGTCTCTGCTGGCCCATCACACATAGGTCTTGGACAAAAAAGAGTGGTTTGTGGAGGATTAAAGGTCATGAAAAGGCGAACATTCACCTTCACTCAAGATGCTGCCCGAAGTCAGATCAGAAGCAGAGTCAGAATGGCTCTCTAAACAGCTTCTCAAAGGATGCCTTCCACGGGCTGATGTGCTTGATAACAATGCAAATGCAAGGAACATGCCCCAGACAACTGAACTGGAATTTCTATGAGCACAGCCCAGGAATTTGCAATTAAATCAAGCTCGTGGGTGATTCTTATGTTCAATAAAGTTTGAGAAGCATACTACTAAGTGTTGCCTTTAAAGGCAACTCGAAAACTTGCAGAAAACATCTAAAGAAGGCTGGAGGTGGCCTGGTGCTTATTGTATAAGAGCATCTGGCAAGCTCCACCCTCTAGGTGGCATTCTGGTCTTGAAAAGCATGATAAAAATTTGGGGTTGCTACTAAGCAGGGACAATTGCGCAGCTTGTGGAGTGGCTTGGAGACCTCCAATAGCCCTGCTAGGATCTGGGGCAGACAGTGGGCACCAGCCGATGCCAGGGTATGTGAAGGGCAAAGGAGGCCCTTTGGGGGAAGAGAACTGTGAGGCCACAGGACTACTGAAATAGAGCTCCATGCCCTTCTCCATTGCCTCTGTAAATACCCTGGGGATCACTTTTACTCTATTTTCTGGCTTCTCTGTCACTTGTGGTGCAGTTGGGATGCTTACTTTCACTTCCAAATGATGATACCTCAGAGAATGCAAACTGTAATGCACATAAGACACAGACAATCCATGGAAAACATGATACTGCTGAGACGTAGGCACATGTTCACACTGACGTGCATTGCATCATTGCATTTGTTCCAAAGCCGGTAAAAATGATTTTCAGATAATCTGCTATTTTGGATCGTCTGCACTGCTGCTTGCTTCCATTAGCATGGCTAATTGAGAACTGACTGTGTGTCTTGGACCATTTCCAGGAAGGGAACCCATTGCCTGTATAATACAGGCTCCCTGAGAGAGCCAAGTAAATGGCTGGAAATGTCAGGTTGAATGCCCACATTGGAGGAGCAAACTTTTGAGGACGACCTGACCATTCTCAGGCCAGAGAAGCAATCTTGTTCAGCATGTCACATTGATTGCCAAGTCAGTAAACCATAAAACTGTCCCACAGCTAGAACATGCACTGACTCTGAGAAAGATGAGGCTTGGTTAGTAAAGGATGAAGCCATTCCAAGACCAATAAAAGATGCAATATGGTTTTCCCTGGGCTGTATATTAACACCATCCTGGCAGCTATAGGGGATAGAGGCTTGGCAAACAACTGTGTTTTGCTTTGACTTTTGCAGAGTGAGGATGAGATAGAGGCCAATGGGGAGATCATCTGAGGCCAGATGAAAGGCTTGGAAAGAGTAAGTCTTTACAGAAACCTAGTCTCTAAAGAAACCACTGATGTTTATGTGTCTTGGCCAGTGTCTTCTGTCATATAACATCTTGGTGAAATACCCCAAATAGATCTTAAAACCAAAACATACTAAGAAAAAAGGAAAATAGAAAGCACAATGTTGTAACTGCCTTCTGGGTAACCATGTTTTGGATGGTGTCATTTTTCTTATGACATAAGCTCCCAGATGGCACAGACACTGTGTCTCAGAAAAAATAGCAACTAGCAGAGGGTCATGCCTCATGTGAGTTTCTGTAAGTATTGTTTGGTTGTGTGTTGTTTATCACAAAGAGAACAGATACTATTGTCAGACAATCTCACCAGCTGCATTTTGCAAGAAGAATGAGAGAAGTCCCCTACAACTTTTACAATTCTGTGTTCTGTCCCAAATAACGACGAGAGATGAATCACCTGGGCTGAAGGATAATTGAAGGAGGAGGCACATTACTCAAGAAGGTCAGAAAGCCTATGTCTAGGATTAATCTGTGCTCATGGAATCGTTTCTATGTGTTGCTAATAGCTAGAGGGTCTGCTGATTTCATCTGTGCCCAGTCAACTCCCTGGGCCCACCTCTAATCAAAAGCAGAGGACATAAACTGTGAAGATTTCCAGGATGGATTTCTGAGGACAGCTGTCTATAGCTTCAGATATGGCACTAGACACAGTGGTGCTCATCATTGGCTGCATGTTAGAATCACCTGAGGGAGCTAGAAAACTATGGATACCCAGGCTCCATCCCCAGAGATTCTGATTTAATTGGTCAGGGATGGGTCCTCTGTATGAATAATTTTAAAAATCACCTAGGAGATTTTACTTGCAAGCAGGGTTGAGACAGCCCGAGCTAAAGCCTCTTTAGTGGTATGAGGGAAAACAGGAGGCTCTGGCTCAGTTCACAAAGTTGAAGATCAAACCCAGCCTTCGAAACAGCATTCTTCTTCTTTACAGGATGACAGGAAATAAAAGACTGTGGGAGTTGGGGTTTGGGTAAAGAGGAAAGAAGGGAAGGGAGAAAAAAGGAGAGAGCCAAAACGCCCATTGAGAGGAAGGGAATAAGATTGATTTTCCCCTAGTAGTTTTTATTCAACCAGGGTCTGAAATGTGCTCAGTCTACCTCATGAAAAGTGTGTCACCCAGGGCACACTGGTGTTTCTATCGCTAGTCACAGAGGCTTCGGGCAACTGCTGAATGGCAGCATTAGGGACCCATAAAAGGAAAAATGCATTGCTATGACTAAGAGCCCATTACCATAACAATTGTAAATGACTTTGGGGAGTCTGCCCATTGACCATCAAAGAAACCAGAAAACGGGGCCAGGCCCCTTGGAGAGCACTAGAGGCTTATGAAAGCCATGCACTGGTAATGTTAGTGTCTTAGTCCCTTCGTGCTGCTGTCACAGAGTACCTGAGAGTGGGTAATTTATAAAAAACAGAAATTTATTTCTTACAGTTCTAGAGGCCGGGAAGTGCAAGATCTAGAGGCTGGCATCTGGTCTGGTGAGGGCCTTCTTGCTGCATCCTTATATGCAGAAGGTGGAAGGCAAGCTAGAACAAGTTAGCCAAACACTGCATAAAGCCTCTTGCATAAGGGCATTAATCCCATTAATGAGGAAGGAAGTCTCATAGCCTGATCACCTCTTGGAGGCCCCACCTCTCAATACTGTCACGTTGGCAACACCTGAATTTTGGAGGCGATTAGGTTTCAACATGAATTTTGGAGGAGTCCAAAACATTCAAATCCTAGCAGTTGGAGATAGCAAAGCACATTGTATGATGTGACAAGAAAGTCACATGGAGGCAGAAAAAGAAGAAGAGACCCAGTGGGTCACCCCAACTTCAAATGGGTTCTCAACATTAACTTTCTAGAGTGTAGGATTTTACTTTTTCCAAAGTCCTTTCTTTTTTTTTTTTTTTTTTTTTGCTCCATCTCTCTGATTCTTACTCATGTATTTCTACTCAGAACTGGAGCCAGGAATCCATACTCCCTGTTCACTGTCCCTTCTGGCAGAAATACTATGGAAGAGCAGATGTCAGTGATACTGCCCGATCTTGGCAAGGGAAGAACCAGCAAGAAGAGTGCAGGGCATCTCCACACGTGGGACTGATGAGCATGGGGAGTGTGGAGTGTGAGAGGCAGGAGAGGGATGTGGGGGAGGTTTTGATATCATGTCTGGCTTTTTTTTTTTTTTTTTTTTTGAGATGGAGTCTCGCTCTGTCACCCAGGCTGGAGTGCAGTGGCTCGATCTTCTTTCACCGCAAACTCTGCCTCCCGGGGTCAAGTGATTCTCCTGCCTCAGCCTCCTGAGTAGCTGGGACTACAGGTGCATGCCACCACACCCGGCTAATTTTTTGTATTTTTAGTAGAGACGGGGTTTCACCATGTTAGCCAGGATGGTCTCGATGTCCTGACCTCGTGATCCGCCTGCCTCGGCCTCCCAACGTGCTGGGATTACAATGTCTGGCTTTAACAAGACAAAGCTTTTGATAGTTTATCTCCTGCAATTCCTGGTTTTCTCTAAGGTGGTGCTGGTTTCTACTACACAGGGAGAGGGATCCACTTGTCATAATTAAAACATCTCATGGAAGCGTATGCTTCTGTGCTTTCCTGGAAAATGTACTAATAGCTGGGGATGGCAGGTTCCCAGGGAAGTGGCACATGACATGTCAGGGGAGTCCAGCAATGGGGAGGCACAACTCCTAGGCCCTTAGATTTGTAGCCTCTGAACCCATTGCATCCTGGAGCCAGTTACAGATTTCATCTGAGGGACAAAAGGAGAGTGAGAGACTTGGAGGCTCCCTTTGGAGCTCTCTGGCAATTCATGATTGTTGAGCAAGAAAGATGGGGAATGAGGAATTAGTTTTCACTGAATTGCCACAGGGCCTGCTCTGACTATAAGCATAGGAGAGCCACCCCAGTCCTGTAAAGCCCTAGAGTTGGGCTAGCAGGGGAAAGCACAAGGTCTGGAGATTGGAAGGAATTTTCCTGAGAGTGTGTGTGTCTGTGCTTTTGAGCCTGTGCCCCTGGCACAAGGGAAATTAACCAGACTCTGCATGTTGTGGGAATTCTGCATGGCAACCTAATAGAGGCTTAGCTTTTCATTAAAATTTCCATTAATACTGGAGCTGTTTAGAGCAAGTTGAATGGGAATATCCATAATGCACCTCCTATCCTCTATTACCATTCTGAGGATCAGAGTGAGGTTTCAGGCTTTTGCTGGGGCCATTAGCATTTTTTTTTTTTTTACCATCATTATGATCATCAACCCAGCACCAATTATGTAGAGCAGGCAAAGTACAAAGAGGCTCACACAGAACCTATCCTTGTCCTATGTGACAGGCAGGGCAAGAGTAAGAGAGCAGGCACGCAGAGGCAGAGAGTGAAGTCTAGTGAGACCACACGGACATGGACTTTCCAGTGTTGAGAAGCACCTCCTTCCTCCCACCTGCCTACTCTAAATGAAACAGCTCTGTCATACTGGGCTAGAGCAATCTCAGGTGCAGGGAAGGCATAGATCTTCTGTTGGAACTGGGGATACTGAAAGGGATGAAGAAGTTCGGCCTCACCTCTTGAGGATCATTTCTACAGCAGAGCTGCCCAGAGGATCACCATTGTTACCAGCTCCGATGTGCCCTTCCTGCATGCCAAAGCCAGTTCTCTCTTGGAGATGGCCACTGTTGCTCTCTGGGCTGTGGGACATCTAGGAAGCTGATGTCCTTGTTTCAGGGTCCTGGGAGGCTGTTTCAATGACATCTCATAGAGACACTTTCCTTTCTAACCCTGGCTGCAGCCTCATGGCACTACTTCCTCATCTATGAACCTCTTGTGCCCTTAGACAGGGGGGCATTCCCTGCCTCAACCACAGGTAGCTGGAGCTCATTCTACAGTGTCCAGAGTGAAACCTGTCCCCTCCAGGCAGAATGAACTGTGCTCTTACTCTGCAGCCTTCGACACATTATTCATAACATGATGATTATTTTGGAGTGCGTTCTTTTGCTTCTCACAATGAGCAGACACTCTACTTTATCCAGCTTGTATCCTCTATGCTAAGTGCACAGCAGATTACATGGTAGTTCCTTATAAATTTTTTAAAAATTGTTGTAGATTTCCTTCCACCTGCCTGAGGTGAGGCTCAACACTGTTACTGATGAAACAGTCCATGTGTGGAAAAACAGAGCCCATTAAAAAGAAAACCCAAACACAGCTAATAGTCTGGGAATGGTGTCTGCAGGATGATGCAGTTGACACATTCTGTTTGTGCCACACGTGTGTTTTGTCACTGAGACTGCCAGCTCTGAGGGGAAAAATTCTACTATAAGAATATTTAAAATAAGATTGAGTACAGTGGCTCTTTGCCAGGTGTGTGTTTCAGGAGGCATTTTAATGAGAACATGCTGTCATGGTCTGAATGTTTGTGTTTCTCCAAAATTCATGTGTTGAAATCCTCACCCCCGAGGTGATGCTATTAGGAGGTGGGGCCTTTGGGAGGTGATTAGGGCATGAGGGTGGAGCCCTCATGAATGAAATTAGTGACCTTGTGAAAGAGGCCCCAGAGAGCTGCCCTCTTCCACCATGTGAGGACAGAGAAAGAAGGTGCCATCCATGAACCAGGAGGCGGGTCTGGACCAGACATCAGATCTGCCAGCACCTTGATCTTGGACTTCTCCACCTCCAGAATGGTGAGAAATACATTTCTGTTGTTCAGTCTAAGATCGTTTGTTACTGCAGCCCAAATGGACTGAGGCACATGCTTCAGCCCCAGTGGTGAAGAGCACAGACTTTGGAAACATGCTATGTGGACCTGAGGTCTGCCTGCAACACTTAGCTGTGTGACCTCAGGAAGGTTTCTTAATCTCTATGTGCATTCATTTTTCATTTGTAAAACTGGAATCATAATAGACCCATCACCTTGTGCCATTGTGAGGATGACATGAGGTAAAAATATATACAAACTTAGAGTAGTTTATACTTATACTGTGTCAGTCTAAAGCGTTGTTGCTATTAATGAATCAGAAAGCCTGGAACTATGATCTGGACCTTTTTATTTTGAAGGCGCTCCTCGGAGATTCTGATTTGCATCCATGGTTCAGAACCACTTGCCTACTGCATTGTCTGTATCATAGAAGTTGAGGAACCATTAAGCATTAATAAATAAGTGCAGCAGGATCTTGGTTCCGCAGGAAGAGTGTGGATTCTTGGAATGCAATTGTCATGTGGCAAGTTATTTCAGGTTTTCTTGTTATCCTCCTCCCTGTATCTATAATGGACAGCCTTGGGTTTTACCTCCTGTCCAGGCACCCGTTCCTCTTTCTGCAGGGATAAGAGTGAGCATGGAAGTACTTAAGCACCAGGGAAAGGGGAGAAAGAAAAAGTGGGGGTAATCCACCAACTGTCTAACCATTTCCTGAAAAATAGAGGGCCAACTACCATTAGAGCTCTTAGAGGATTGCTGAGCCTTCTAAGGGTTTACCAAGAAGGGACAAATCTAATGATAAGAAAGTTACAGCCAAGTTTATTGAACAATAACCCATTTCCTTCATGTAGAAACAATGAAGAAACATTTTTTCTCACTTACATGGCACAAGGAAAACAATATCAATGATTTGTGCTGCCTGCTTGTCGAGTCTGTTTACCAACTTGGCTTATTTTTTTACTGCATGATATGAACACTTAGGGTTAAACAGAGCTCTCTTTTTCTCTCTGGTGAGGTTTTTGCTTTTCCCATTTTTATTTGTATTGACTAGGAGGTCTTTCACCAGAAGAATAAAAGACCATGCTTTTGAGGAGCCAGTCACTGAGTTTCTCTGTTGATCAATCACCATTGCTGGTACAGGTATATTCATTTTGGGTCTGGGATGGATACAGGTTTGATGAAAGGTCCCTGGGGAATGAGAGGGCTTAGCCAACAGTCTCAGGGTCAGCATTTCCTAGTCCTACAAGATTCAGATCCCTGATGTGGAGCCAAGGAAAGGCTTGAGTGACTAGGGGTCTTTTTGAACAAGGCACTTTAATTTGCCAAGAACTCTACATCATTTTGTACAATTTATTTCAGGGAGAGATATCACTTTAAGCTAAAAAACAAAGGAAAAAAGCTCCAGACTACTCCATGATGGAGGACAAAGCATCTCAGTAAATAACTTTGAAAGTCAAGAGTTACAGGAAATAAAAAAAGAAGACAATCAGAGAATGTGCCACTAATGAATTCAATCGCAGCAAAAGTCCATTTCCATTCCCTTGAACTCTACACAATTTCCAGTTGCAAATATCTTTCAGAAGTACTGTACACACACAGTTGGATATTGAGTTGCTTGACAAACATTTCTGATCAAAACTGCTTGCCTAGAAATGGCTGCTGGAGCAACAATAATGTGGATTTAGAATGAGCCGGGCTGTTTGCACATAGGTGTAGTCTATGAGTTTAATGGAGTTTTGCAGAAGGCAATTGCCTAGAAAATAGTGGGTTTTTAAGGATGAACTTTTGACTCCCAATGCGAGGTGAAGGGAAGATCGGGGGAGAATAGGGAGAGAAGGGCTGTCTTTTCTGTTTTCTCTGGGGCACCATGGCTATAATAACTTCTACTTTGCTGTGATGGACTCAGCAATCAATTTATTCTACGATCTTTTCCCAGACACACTCTCAACTCATGTCGGCTTAGTTGAATGGTCACCCTACCTGGATTCTGAGACCCTTCTTGGGGCCTCAATTGGGATATTTACAGCTTCCATTTTTGAGAAGTGTGTGTGTAGAGGCACTAATTTAAGAACAAAAAAGGCCAGTGACATCTAGGGAAATGTCTTCACTTTGGGCAGGAGTGGGATGACCCTCTGAAAGCTGCACAAAAGGCCACAGATCTGGCCGATCTGAGGAGACTGGTGTTTTCTGATCTTGGGACAAAGCAGTTAAAATCCTGGAGCTCTTGCATCTTGGAGAAAAATCCTGTAGCTTCTTTCTCTGGGGCAAGGGGCAAGGCTGTTTGGTCACACTGTTTAGTGATTCACAGCTGGGAATCTTCTGTGTCTGAACAATTTCAGCCCCTCATAAGGGGTTGATAGCTGAGCCCCTGTGTCTTAGTCAGTTTCGGCTATAACAAAACACCATAAACTGGGTGGTTTATAAACAACAGAAATTTATTTCTTACAGATCTAGAGGCTGAAAGATCAAGATCAAGGTGATGGCAGATTTGGTGACTGGTGAGGGCTGGCTTCTTCATAGGCAGTGCCTTCTCTCTGTGTCCTTACATCGTGGAAGGGACAAGAGGCCTTTCTTGGACATCTTTCATAAAGGCACTAATCCCATTCATGAACTCCGTTTTCATGACCTAATCACCTCCCAAAGGCCTCACCTCCTAATACCGTAGCCTTGGAGGTGAGAATTTTAGCTTATGAATTTGGGGGAATATAACCATTCAGAATAAAACACCCTGGCTATAGAAGAGAGGTGGCTTTTCCTCTCCCCAGACAGCTTCCCTTTCCCCACAGTCCAACCGGCTGTCTAAGCTTAGGGAGCTGCCCCTGGGGAAGAGGAGCCCTGTCAACTGCACCCGGAATGATGGCCTTTCTTCCTGTTCTTCCTCGTTAGTTTCTTCCCACTTCTCTAGGATGACAGAGAGGCCCCCCTTCTCGGTTTTCTCAGATAGCATGCCATTTGCTGTCTCAAATCTATAAAGAGCTGTTGGGAAGTTTCTGTTTTTCTTTCTTTCTTTCTTTCTTTCTTTCTTTCTTTCTTTCTTTCTTTCTTTCTTTCTTTCTTTTTTCTCTTTCTTTCTTTCAAAAAAGTTCAATTCTCCTAGGTGGCTCACCTGGGCTTTTAATAATGTTTGGCTCCATTTTAAACCCCTGGCTCTGAGTGTGCTGCTAAGAATCTATTCCTATAGGCGTTTGGTCATTGCAGGGTTAAGAAAATTTGAGCCGTTCCTTTCCTGCCTATGTTGGGGTGCTGGGTACTGACAGTAAGAGTGTCCAGGATGAGGGAATGCATGTTTCCAGTGACTCCTGAAGTTTTATTCACCTGTTAGGGCTTTCCATCCCAATTTTCATCCCTTTTTGACAATTCTTGGTAAAAGCTTTGCAAGTATGGAGCTAATCAAAGGATTTCTGGCTCCCAACTTGTCTGCTCTTTGTTTTGTTTTTGCTTTGGTTTTTTGCTTCTCTGGGGTATGGGTCTTCATCTTGTTTGTTATGGCAAGAATTCCCTTTAGTGACTAGTGTTGGGAGTTGTTAGACCCATTGAACAGATGAAAATAAAAGGGGTCTCTAGATCTGGGATCCTGGCACTGAGTGAAGTTTTCCTTCAGCGTATTTCAAACACGTGCAAGATCTTCCTCCTTCCCTGAGACACTTACCTCTCCTTTAGTTCTCAGGTGTTGGATCATGTCCTCTAGAAAACTTTTCCCTATTTAATCCCATGTATTTTTAACCCACTAACATAATCCCCA
Source organism: Homo sapiens (assembly GCF_000001405.40). Taxonomy (NCBI): domain Eukaryota; kingdom Metazoa; phylum Chordata; class Mammalia; order Primates; family Hominidae; genus Homo; species Homo sapiens. The sequence goes on from NC_000011.10 coordinate 126,669,441, forward strand.
ATGTTTCCATGTCTTTAGTTAATGCTTGTAATATCTATGTATTTAAGGGCTTAATCATGGGCGGTTAGATTTTTAACTTCTGGTTCGGACTAATACATCTTTTCCAGTGCATGGGTACAGATCTCAGTAGCACACATGGAACATTTGCTAACTCCGTGGTTGACTCATTCAAGCCCTCCCACGAGTCAGATTACCCAGTCAGCCAGTAAATGTTGGAGGACTCCTGCACTTCCTCGTGGGCTTTTCTCTCTTCTCCATTTACATTTTTCTCTCAAGGTTTTGCATGAAACTCCAAGGCTTTAAATACCATTGAGATACAGATGATTTTTTAAATTATAAATCCAGTCTTGACCTATCCCTTGGGCTAAAGATTTGTAGAGTCAACTGTCTTCCTAAATCTTTTTTTGGAGGTCTAATAATTACCGAAAACTGTAACATGTACAAAACAGACTTGTAGCCCCCACCCTGCACATCTGTCTCTCTCCCAGTCTTCAGCATGTCAGTGCATTGCAGCACCATCCACCCCGTTGCTCAAGCTCATGCCTCAGTCTCCCCTGACTCTTCCCATTCCTTCTCCCAGCACATTCCACACACCAGCATGTCCTGTTGGCTCTTGTTTCAAGATACATCCAGAATCTGTTCACTTCTCTGCACTGCCACTGTTCCAGTCCAAGCCTCCATCAACTCTTGCCTGAGCTTCTGTATTAGTCTTCCCAACTGGTCTCCCTGCTTCTCTCCTTGCCACCTAAAATCTATGCCCCACATAGCAGGCATAATGATTTTAAAAAATCAGCATTTGACCAAATCGAATGGCTGTTCATAATAAAAACTATCAAATAACTAGGAATTGAAGAGAATTTCACTAACTTAATATAAAGAGTATAAGAAAAACCTAGAGTTAACATCATACTTAATGGTAAGAGACTGAATGCTTTTGTCCTAAGATTGGAACAAGGTGAGAATATCTGTTCTCACCACCCCTATTGACCACTGTACTGGAAGTCCTAGCTTAGTGCAATAAGATAAGTAAAAGAAATAAAAAGTGTGGAGACTTGGAAGGAAGAAATAAAACTGTCTTTATTCTCGGGTAACATAATTATCTACATAAAAAACCCAAAGAATCTGTAAGAAAACACCTAGTAAGTCAATATAGCAAGATTGTAGGATACAAGGTGAATAAACAGAAGTTAATTTTTTCAATAGAAAGTTGGAATCGTGGTAAGCTGCCTACCTTGCCCCACCCTTGGGGGCTACATTTTAGCTTTTACTGAATGGAATGAAGAAAGATAAATACAAATTTGTGTCTTTAACGAAGAAAAAATTAACTGCTTTCCTCCATACCAAAAATAATCTCAGGAAGTGATTTTGTAGATACAACAAACTTAATGTAAATTTTGTATAGAATGGCGAAGGACCTAGAACAGTCACCACAATACTAAATAAGAAATAAGTTGGAGGACTCATACTACCTGATTTCAAGACTTACTATAATATAAAGCCACAGTAATCAAGACAGTATAATACTGGTGAAGGAATACACAAATAGATCAGTGGAACAGGATAGAGAGCCCAGAAATAGACCCACACAAATAAAGGGACAGTGTTTTCAACAAATGGTGGAGGAACAATTGGCCATCTATATTAGAAACAGAGACTAGACACAGATCTTACATCCTTCATAAAAAATTGCTTAAAATGAATTATACACCTAGATATAAAACATGAAACAATAAAACTTCCAGAAGAAAACACTGGAGAAAATCTATGGCCTTAGATTGGTGATGAGTTTTTCTCCTTTTTTTTTTTTTTTTGAGTCGAGGTCTTGCTGCACTGCCCACACCACTCTTGAACTCCTGAGCTCAAAAAATCCCCCTGCCTCAGCCTCCTGAGTAGCTGAGATTACGGGCATGAGCCACCATGCCTGGTTGGTGATGAGTTTTTAGATATTACACCAAATGCATGATCCATAAAACAAAAAATTGAAAATTTTGGCTTTATTAAAATTAAAAACTTTTGCTCTGCTGAAGACATTCTTAACATGTGAAAAAGACAAGTCATTGACCAGGAGAAAATATTTGTAAATCACATATCAGATAAAACACTTGCATCTAAAATATACCAAGAATCCTGAAAACTCAACAGTAAGAAAGCAAATGGTCCAACTTAAAAAATGGGCAAGAGATCTGAACAGACACTTCACCAAAGAAGATACACAGATGGCAAAGAAACATATCAAAAGATGATCTATAGCATCTGTCATTAGGGAAATGCAAATTAAAATTACAACATACCTCTACACACCTCTTAGCATGGCTAAAATCCAGAAAAGCTGACAATACTGGCAAGGATATGGAGCAACAGGAGCTCTCATTCATTGCTGCTGGGAATGCAAAGTGGTACAGCCACTTTGGAAAATAGTTTTGAGAGTTTCTTACCATGCTAAACATAGTTTTACCACATGATCAAGTAACTGCAGTCCTAGATATTTACCCAGCTGATTTGAAAACTTACGTGCACACAAAAACCTCCACGAGAAGGTTTATAGTACCTTTACTTGCAATCATCAAAACTGGAAGCAACAAAGATGTTCTCCAGTAGGTGAATGGGTTAATAAACTTGGGTTTTTTAAATACACAATTAAGCTATAATTAATAGCATGCCCCATGCATAATCACAGAGTAAAACAAGAAAGGCCCAGCCCATTAGGTCAAACATGCTGAGTGTTGTGGAACAGCAAAAATCTATTTCTAAAGACTTGAACAGTAGCTGGAAACATAAAAGTTCAGATTATTGGCTCAGTTGGACTTGATTATATGAGACTAGTGTGTATATAAAGACCCTAAAGTTGGGAGGGTATGTTTAAGAGATACATGAAACCAGCAGGACAGGGTGGTGCTGACATCACTTTACTACAAATAAAGTTGTTATAAATCCATATAGTGGGATACTATTCGGCAATAAAAAGAAATGAGCTATCAGGCGACAACATGGATGTATCTTAGATACATATTGCTAAGTGAAAGAAGCCAGTCTGAAAAAACATATTGAATGATTCCATTTATATGACACTTGAAAAGGCAAAACTATAGAAAAAGAGCAGTAGTTGCCAGGGGCGTGGGCAGAGGAGAGGGTTGAATAGATGAAGCACAGGGGATGTTTTTAAGGCCGTGAAAATATTCTGTACAATACTGTAATGGTGGTAGGGTATAATAAAAATATACATATTGGATCTTTGTCCTTGGTTCCCAGCATGGAGCTGGGAGGATACAAAGAATAATACCAACAGCTCTGAGAGTACATAGGGAATTTGCTATCTAGTCAGGTACGTGTTACAGTGTCTCTTTTCTTCTATGTCCAGTGAGTTCCTCCCTTACTTGTTAAGGACCTAAACTAACAATCTAGTTAATTAACCAACCAATTCCCTCACTCGTATTTGCATTAGTGTTTCAATTGCTTTGCGTTAACCTTAAGTTTCAAAATTTCTTAAGCCGGTTTTCAGTAATCTGCCCTTCATCAAATTATAGAAAGTAGCATAACAAATAGGCTTGAGTTTCCTCATCTCCTGGCCCTCCTCCGTCTCTGGGGAAAATATTAAAGACAGAAATGGTCCCCCAGTGTAGAGCTGGAGCCAGGAAGCAGGAATACAGTTGAGGGCTAGGATAACCAAATGAAAAGCAGAGCTGGGTGTTGGGCAAATTGGTTGTATTCCGCGAATGCAGACAGCTACACCTGCAAAGACGCAGGAATGCAGATGATCAGATAAACCAAGTTCAAAGAAATGAGGCCACACTTGGCTCGAAAGAGCGGAGAGGTTGGTGGGTCAGTGAGATAATTGTGCTGCTTGTTCAGAATCTGAACCAGTCCCGTCTGTTATCTGGTCAGGACAGGTGGCTTGCAGGCAGAGTTTGGGCTCAGGCAGGTGGCACCAAGAGGAAAATTTATGGATAGACCTTTAACTCTGGTCACTTTGGAGCCCAGCAGCTCTGGAAATTGGATCCAGATGGATAGTATTTTGATAGCTTCTCCTAACCAAGGAATTTATGCTGATTTTCAGGACCCAAGGGGAAGGAGGAAGCTCCTAAAGGCAAGGAATTCATAATTGCTTCTTACCATGTTTCCAAAATTCATCTGTGTTTTCACTCACCACCACAGTCAGGGCTGGCACAGGGACTGGGGAATGAAAAATAAATGAGGGCTCAGGGCCTCACTCATCACACGTGTGCCTTCCATGGGATGTCCTGGAGCAGGACAGGGAGGAGTGTGGGGAATAGTCTCCTAATTCAGGAAAAAGTCTAGGTTGGGTCTGTAAGATCTTCCTCCACTGAGAAATGTATTAATCCTTGCCCTGCTCATAGAAGCAATGAAAGAAGCTCTAAACACCGGGATGGATGTTCCTCCCTCCACATTTGGGTTTTTGCGTGAGTTAAACTACTGGAAGGGTGGAGGGTTCTCCCTCTGTACGGAGCTCAGTACAGGCCAGGAGGGCCCATCTATGTGAACACTTCTCTGAAAATGAAGCTACTTCTGGTCATAGCTCTGCTGTTAACTGTGTAATATGGGTAACCCCTTAACTGCCTCTGGGCCATGGTGTCTTCACCGGACATTTGCATGAGAGCCAGAGGATGGCCAGGACCCTTTCAAGCTCTCATCTTCAATGCTCCTAGAATCTCCGTTGGAAACCATTTGGCTCTGCTGGAATGTTACAGAAAGAAGGCAAGGGCAATTCTTCTTTTCTCATGAATGTTTTGGGAATTCTGTTGCTTGGAAGAGACTTCAAAGACTGTATCTTCTGCTTCTCTGTGAGATTCATCTCCAATTTATGTCACAAGGAGATGGGATTTTGAAGGCATACTAGGTGATCTCCATCCAGGTTTTCATAGCTTTTGCAAGCACTTACTGAGCACCTGCTATGTGCCAGACCTTGTTCTCATAAGTCCTGATTTCATACTAAGACATCCAGACAAAGAGGTAGCATAAACAAAGGGCTTGAGCCAGTAAAGATGATAAGCAGGATGAAGAATACTGTTGCTCAGTCCCCAGTCAGATAGAGCATCCAACAACAGCCTGCCCAGCTACTCTCAGAATCCTGACACTGTGGCCCAGTGCCCATCTCCTTTCCTAATTCCAAGCAAGAAATCATCCCCAATACTGACATTCACCAACAGCCCTTGCACTGCTTGGGGACCTACAAAAGGAGATTCTTTTCATTTCTCTTCCAAATTTCATGGCAAGGGCATTTGGAGGAGTTAGTGGAGAAGGATGGCAGGGGCTTTGAGTTGTCATCTTTTCTTAGGAGCTAAGAATTTTAAATTGTACTTAATTGCTGGTCACAGTCAATGGATTCTAAGAATCTGATGTGCTTACCCTGCACACTCCCACCAGTCCCTCAGCCTGGGCCAGCCATAAAAACACATTACTGGTGTCTGCCATTTGGATGGCTGGAGGAGATGGCGTAGTGAGTTTTATTTTTACCTGAATAGTGGGGAGCCAGCTGATGTGGTGCACCTCGTGTTAACCAATAAGCACCTGATGGGATTTGCCTCACGTCAAGAGGAAGAAGGGGCTCTTGGCTCTACTGGGCCACATCCCAGTTCAGTGTTTGTGGAAGGCATTCACCTTGGAGCTTGTTGCCTGCCAGGCCCCACTCTTAGGGCCTCTTCGATGCTGGGGAGAATGATGTCAGCACCACCCATTCCTGCTGGTTTCATTTATCTCTTAAACATACCATCCTGGCATTGGAGCCTTTACATGCTAGTCTCATATAATCAAGCCCAACAGAGGCAATGATCTGACCTTCTATGTTTCCAGCTACTATTTATGTCTTTAGAAATGGTTTTCTACATTCCATAGCACTCAGCATGTTTGACCTAATGGGCTGGGTCTTTCTTGCTTTCCTCTGTGATTATGCACCAGGCATGTAATTAATTATGGCTCAATTCTATATTTTAAAAGCCCACAACTTTGGACTGAGATTACAATGAACAACATTTAGCATTGGCTTACCTCTGCTTTCACGTGGAGCTGAGAGATGGAGTTAGGTAGTAGGGAGTGAAGTTTGTTATGATAGGATTGAAACCTGCAGGCAGCAGTATTAGATAATTTTTCTCTAGCTGGGGATCTGGGGGTGGTGGAGACCAAGAGGTCAATCACCAGCATGTAATGTGGGGCCATCCCAATGCCTACTGTCGTTGCCACTCCCAAGAACAAAGAGCCTGCTTCCTGGATGACTGGGAGCCAACCATGGTGGAAGTAGGGAGTAAAAAGGAACTAACAGGGTCAGCTCATGAAAGGTTTTGTAAGCCAAGCATAGGAATTTGAACTTTATTCTGTAGGTAAAGGGAAGTCATTTGAAGCAGGGAAATGATCACTTCAGCAGCTGTATGGGTAATGGATTAATGAGGAGAGACTGGAAGCTTGGAGGCCACTTAGGAGGCCACAGCAGTAATCCAAGCAGAGAAGAGGAAGCTGTTTAATAGGCAGAATTGAATGAACGTGTTGACTGAAAGATAGAAGGAGAGGGAGGTGTTGATGACTCCATGCTTTTGGTTTGAGAAGCTGGATGGATGATGATGTTAACACCAAGAATAAGAAATCCAGTAGGAGGGAGAAGTTTGAGAAAGGAAGAGGATGCCAGGTCCAGTTTGGGACATACTGAATTTCAGATGGTTTGGGGACATTCAGGTGTTTCATTGTTTGGCCATGTAGGTCTAGAGCTCTGAAGAGAGACTTCATTAGAGATTACAAGCAGGGGTGTCATCAGCATCAAGGTGCTAGTAACTATCACGGGCAAAGATGAAATCAGCTAGGAAAGAAAGCACAGAACCATCAGGAGGGAAACACTCAGGGCCAGGCCGAGGCAGAGAAGCTTCTGGAGGGCAGAGACTGAGAAGATGCTTTCATAGCCTGGAGTGAAGTCTGTCCCATCTGTCCTATCTCAGTTCAGGCTAGAATTCTCTCCTACCCTGGGGCCTCTCTAGTCCCCCAGGGCCACTGGGCTGGCTCTGCAGTTGGCCACACTGAGGCTGTTCTTTGACCAGTGTTTCTCAAATTTGCACCTGCAGATGTTGTATTGTTTTGTTTTGTTTGAGTTGGGGGGAGATGCTGCGAGTCCTTTAAAGAACCTCCCATAGCAGTCTGTGAATACGTATTCTGAGGGGTCTTTGAGTTCTCAAGTTCAGGAAACTCAGACGTGGTCCTGGACTCTCCTTGCCTGGACTTGAGGTAACTGCCTTGGCCTCCCTAAGCCAAAGATGCATCTGGGCCCCATATGCGACCCAGGGCTTCCCATGGCAACATGTGGTGTTGTTTTTACTACTGCAACTTTTTATTTTTCTTTAGAGCTGATTTTTTTTTTTTCCTTTTGAGACAGAGTCTCCCTCTGCCATCTGGACTGGTATACAGTGGCTCAACCACAGGTCACCGCAGCCTCGATCTCCCAGGCTCAAGCGGTCGTCCTGCCTAAACCTCCCGAGTAGCTGGGACTACAGGCATGCACCACCACACCACGCTAATTTTTAAAAAATTTTTTGTAGAGACAGGGTCTTGCTGTGTTGCCAGGGCTGATCTTGAACTCCTGGGCTCAAGTGATCCTCCCGCCTTGGCCTCTCAAAGATTTTTTTTTTTTAACAGCTGTATTGAGATACAGTTCACATATGGCCCACTTAAAGAATACAATTCAGTGATTTTTAATATATTCGCAGATTTGCACAACCACCACCACAGTCCATTTAGAACCTTTTAAAATCACCCCAAAGAAACCCTGTACATTTTAGCTATCCCCTTAGCCTCAGCCTCTCCCTCCCCATCACCTGGGTTTTAGGCGACTACTAATTTACTTTCTGGCTAATGGATTAATGAGGAGAGGCTATAGATTCCCCTATTCTGGACATTTCGTATAAGTGGAACCATAGACTGTAACTTTTTAGGATTGCACGTTCCCATCTGATAACCGAATCTCCATTCTGGAGAAAGGATGTTGGCATAGTCTGGGTGCTTTGCTATCTATTATCTCCTCTAATTCTCACCACCTCTTTGGAAAGCCAGCCTTATCAACCCCATTTTAGTTGAGAGTGCTGAGGTTCGGAGGTGAAATGACTTGTCAGAGGCCCCAGGGACAGTCAGTGGAAGCACGCTGAACAGGGAGGGGCACCCAGCTCTGTCTGGCTGCATTCGCTGAGCTGTCGCTGTGCTAGGTGCTGAAGCAGGGCTGGGATGGGGGTGTGAAGACAGAAAATCCACCAGCAGCTCGCACGAGTGGGTCCTCCCAGAATGAGTCCAGGGGAGCCCCCTGGACCAAAGCAGGACAGAGCTAATTCCAGGAACAACTGCACATTTGTCCACTGGTTGGAGTGAGCCTCCCCCTTTTACTGCATCTCCACGAGGCAGAGGAAGTGGCAGTGGCCTGAGCCCTCAGATACCTGGTGCCCTGGGAATGTTCCCAACCAGATGATTATGGCTGTTGTCACCACCAAGCCCTGTCTTGTCATCAGCCTCAGTGTCAGGCCCTGGGACCCAGAGACACACCCCGTCCCCAGGCTCCAGCTTCATGGAGCTTCAGAATCAGGCCCTGTTACACCCACTGCAGGGAACTTATCATCTCATTATAAAGGATAAGGCATATTTTTTCAGTATGGTTATACGCGGTAATGAAGCATGCAGGAAACCACACAAGATAGATGGCAGCTTTCACTAGTGAAGCTGAAAACTTGGTTACCTTAATAGTCTATTTATTACATTCACTCTCTGAGCTTACAGCACCTGATTAATATCTCCCATCTTCTCCCTTGCTATACAATTAAAACTAGTAATATGTGATTGCACATGCTGACTCCAGCACAGATGGGTGTGTGGAGTTGAAGGCCGAGATAAGAAGTGAAGGGGTCAGGCGTGGTGGCTCACGCCTGTAATCTCACCACTTTGGGAGGCCGAGGCGGGCAGATCACGAGGTCAGGAGATTGAGACCACCCTGGCTAACATGGTGAAACCCTGTCTCTACTAAAAATACAAAAAATTAGCCAGGCATGGTGGCAGGCGCCTGTAGTCCCAGCTACTCAGAAGGCTGAGGCAGGAGAATGGCGTGAACCTGGGAGACGGAGCTTACAGTGAGCCGAGATTGTGCCACTGCACACCAGCCTGGGCGATAGAGCAAGACTCTGTCTCAAAAAAAAAAAAAAAAAAAAAAAAAAAGAAGTGGAGAAGGAATGTTCTTCCTGGGTCATGATAGAGGAGTCAGATCCCTTGCTGGTAAGGGAGTGATCTTACAGAATTAATTACACTCGAGGAGAAAAGGACCCTATGTCCACTGCCCAGTCTCACCCATTGCCGTGGCTTCTGGCAGGGGAGTGGTGAAGCCTGCACAGAGAGAGGATATCAGTGGAGGTGGCCATACGGCCTTTAATCAGCAAAAGGAAAGATGGCTGGACTTTAACTCATTTGCTTGGATGAGAATGTTTGAGGTTGAATTCGATTACAATGATGTAGCTACTCAAAAGCCGCTCCCAACTTCCTGCTCCCCTGCCCACCTGCTCCTGAAGAGCTGAGCATTTGGCCAAGTTCTGACCAATGAGATGTAAGGAGAACTCTGCTGAGGGGTTTCTGGGAGAGATGCTTTGCTTTTTGACAAAATGGCAAGTCACATTATGAGAACTTGCTGGTGCTGCCCTCTGCCCCTTCTTCCTGAATGTGGATGTGATGACTGAGTTTGGGCTGCCATCTTGTGAGCATGAGGATGAAAACGTAACATGCCATGGATGGTGGAGAATCACCAGGGAGAGCCTAGGTTCATGATTACATCACCCAGCTGACAGCCCAACCCTGGGGTCATCTACTTCTGGACCTTTTGTTAAGCAAACAATATATAGCCTTGTGGTTGAAGCCACAGTTAGAAGGGCATTATGTTCCTTGCAGCTGAGAAACATACCTACATAATCTAAATGGCTCCATTTATTGAGCAGCATATGCGTGTCCTTTGCTAAGTGCTTTGTGTTCATTTTGAAGCTTCAAAACATGTTCCCTTTAAGGGAGCTACTATGACCTCTGTTTTATAAAGGAGGACACGAGTTTTAAGTGTATAAGGTCACACACCTATTCCAGGAAAGAGCAGAGCTAAGATTTGAATCCAAGTCTTTCTGACTAGAGAGTTATTACTATTAATCATAATATTGTGACTTTGTAGACAGTTCATCTCAACACTGAACTCTGGGAATGAGTGTTACTTAAAGTCTGGTTGGCATAATAGTACTCAGTATAAATCACGAAGTTTTTCCACATGACCCACTAAAATAAGGTGAAATTCAGTCTTATTGGTGATTGAAAATTGCATATTTTTTACCTGCCTCAACCCACTCCAAATAGCCGGGGTTGAAATTAGTTTAGCTAACCTAACTTGCCCCAGCCAATTGGATGGCCAAAAAGTGAAATGTGTATGAAGGGAAAAGGTCCCAGAGAGAGAATTTGAGTTAAAAGACCACCAGTCCGAGCCTGTGTGCAGCCCATCTCATAGCTTTTGAGTACAAAGCAGGAAGCCTCTCCTTCCGTGGCATTTGAAGACTCAGAGCAAGGTTAAGATGGCTTTGAAACCTGGGTCTGGTTCTCCCAGAAACACTTCTGTTGCTTCTCCTCATTAAAGAAAACATTCCAAGTGTGCAATTGTTCTCTGAGATGAATTTCTCAAAACACATGTGAACTACTTGAGACTATTCTAATTCCTGGAGGTGCCTAGTCAGTGCTGGCCATATAACAGATGCTCAGTAAAGATCGGTTGCTTTCATGACCAGTGAGGGCAACAGAAAAAACAAAAGATCTCTTAATGAATATGATTCATCCTCCTAGCCTCAGTGAAAAGGCAAAAAATAGGCTGCTTTCTTGGAAACGTGCCAGCTAATGGTACTTAGCATGCAAGGGACCGCGTACTGATCCATACCCATTAGCCCAATGCTCATCAACTCTTCTACTGGAGATATATATATATATATATACACATAGCCAGCAGCCAACAGAGGGACTTGGCCACATGCTGATTCTCTCTCCCCTCCCAGTCCATCAGACCATTATTCAGCAGGAGGTAGTAGGGTCTTCCCCTCCCTCTTATGCCCTTTAGGGCAGGAGCTATCTAGAGAGGGAAAAAAAGTCAGAATAAACATATGCAAGGACTGGGGTTTAAACATCCCATGAAGATTAACTTATCTGGAGTAATTGCCTTAACTAGGGGATTTTTAATGCTTTTCAAAGTTTTTTAGAGGAAGAAAAATATGCAGAATGAGTCTTAAAGCAGCCAACAGAGGAGATACTTAGAGCAAAAAAAAAAAAAAGATATCAACCATAAGAAGCCCATAGCTAGGAAATTTTAAGGCACTGATTCTAGGGGATTTAATAAGAATGTAATTTGTATAATTAACCATTCATCAATGTCAATTTCATTAAATGAATGCCAGAAATATTACCTTCAGCAGCACGACCTAACAGGATTGAATATATTATATGAAAAATGAACACTTAGTGGTTTCCCCCACTGCTCTGTCTGTCACAGCAAGATTTGCAAGGCTGAGAAATAATTTAAAGGGTAGTAAATGAAACCGGCTAAGGCAAATGTGTGCATTTTGGTAACTAACCTCCGTCATGATGTATGAGAGTTCATGTCAAAATGTTTTCCTGCAGCAATGACTAAAGGGACTTGTAGCTCTCTCCCAGGTGGCAAAATGTGAGAAATAATGCCAGGAACTTCCCAAAGGTCCCCCTTGTCACTCGCCTGGATACAGCTTACTCTTTCCCTAGATAGGCTGCCTAGGGTCTAAGACCAGAAGCCATGTGTTTTTGTGTCCAGAATTTGTAGACCTTCCCTTCATACCTCCAGGTTAGCCTTACATCCAATCACTTGCCTACCTGTCCAGGAAAAGTGATGATTGATGTGCAGGAGACAGAAATCATTCTGAGTTTTATTTATGTTATTGCCTACAGTCATCAGGGGAGCACGAAGCTTGAGGTAGGTGGGCTGATGAAATATATGTAAATAGGACTTATTTCCAAGGTTGCTCATGAGGGAGGCAGTTTATGGAGGGAGGCAGTTTATGGGGATTTATCCATTTCAGTGCATCATAGGAAAAGTGGAGGACTTGGGAGCGGGGGCTGTAGTAACTTGTCCATGTGTGTGCTCCTGGGAATGTATATACAGACACACACACACACACACCAGATCAAGCACACACTGGAGATCAGTGCTTGAGATTTGCAAATTGTTGTCACTGGAGTTGGCCTGGTGCCTCGTGTATAGTAGGTGATCAATAAACATTTGTTTAATTGAATTTCTCTTAGTGTTAACTCCACTCCCATTCTCTTCTGTTTCAGGGTTCTATGAGGCTGAAAATATTGGATCAGTATTCCTGAGGAATCTGCGTTTCAGAATCCCAGGTCCGGAAGGACAAGAAGTACTTTGCAAACAAATCAAATGTACGTTTAGGAAGATGAAATCATGCAACAGAAAGATTTTTCAGAATTTTTCAGCAACAGATTTTACACACAATTCAGAAGGAAGAAAGAACAGATGAGTTTGGGAATCAGGAGACCAGATGTCAAGACTGGACTACATCTTTATATTCATTTCCAGATTTAAAGTTCTATGTTGTATTTTATTTGATGCAAAGCAATAAAATATTCCTCCCTCCTGTGACCACCGAAAAGGTCATATTTAGGACCTGGGTGAAGGAAGAGTGGGCATCACAGAGCTGCTGTGGAGTGTGTGCACAGATTCTGTGTACTAGGTCTGTGGGCTCTGCAAGACTCAAAATCAATTGCTGAAACACTTCTTAAATGTGTTCCCTCCTATGCATTCTGCTATGCATAGTCGCCCTCTCTTCCTTCTAGGTTAGAGTGGGTGACACTGAGCATGTAACTTAACCTCTCTGAAGCACAGTTTCCTCATCTGCAAAATGAGGATGATAATATCCTCCTCCCAGTGTTGCTGGGAGGATGAAGTGAGATGAATCTGGTGATACTGAGTAGGTGTGCAATCAATATTTGTTTTTTCCTGCCACTCCTTTACCAGGCTTTTTTTCACCTCAAATGAGTGATGACCTCTGAGTGCGGAGCTTTTTTGTCAATTTTTTAAAGACAGTGGTCCCCAGCATTTTTGGCACCAGGGACAGGTTTCATGGATGGCAATTTTTCCATGGACCTGGGTAGGGGGTGGTTTCTGGATGAAACTGTTCCATCATAGATCTTCAGGCACTAGTTAGATTCTCATAAGAGACACAGCACACAGCCTAGATCCATCACATGCGCAGTTCACAACAGGGCTGGTGCTCCTAGGAGAATCTAACGCCTCTGCTGATCTGACAGGAGGCAGAGTTCGGGCGGCAATGTTCACTCACCTGCCGCTCACCTCCTGCTGTGTAGTCTGGTTCCTAACAGGCTGAGGACCGGTACCCCGGGGCTGGGGATCCCTGTTCTATGAGGATAGAAAATCTGGTAAAGTAATTCACCCTAAGATGCCATTAAATTACTATGACCTCCTGGGCTCAAGCAATCCTCGCACCTCAGCCTCCCAAGTAGCTAGGACTTCAGGCATGCACTACTATGCCTGGGTAACTTTTTTGATTTTTATTAGAGATGAGGTCTCACCATGTTGCCTAGGCTGGTTTTGACCCCCTGAACTCCAGTGATCTTACCGCCTCAGCCTTCCAAAGTGTTGCAATTACAAGCGTGAGCCACAGCACCGGGTTACTTTGTTACTCTTTAGGGGTATTGGAAATATTAAGAAAATACAGCAGGGAGAGATTGATTTTTAGGATTTAAGAAGAACAAGAATAGTTTTGGGAGTTCTGGGAGCTACTTCCAAGGGCATGAACCAAATCTGGAAAGTAGAGTTGGGGTTGTGAAATATTAGAACGTGTGGATAGTCTGATGGTTTGCAAGTAAGTGGGATCGACCGTGGGGTCTCTGGACAGCTCCCCAGAGGGCCGTGGTCCACAAAGGGAAACACTGTCCCATCCAACTCTGAGAAATGGGTCTGGGCATCCACTGCTTTCACCGAGGGTCTCTGCATGACTTTAGGAAAGTCACTAGACTTCTTTAACCATTTCTTTCTTATCTGCAAAATGGGAAGAGTAAGGGCACCCATCTTGGAGGAGATTTGGCACGTGATGCTCAGCACATTGCCTGACAATACTAAGTGTTCAACCAATGCTCATGATTGGCCAGGGCATTGACGGCAGAATCGTAAGGATCACAGAGACCTCAGGAACATGGCTCTGAAGGATAGAAGCTGAAAATCAGTGTGCTGATATCACCCCTTTTGTCTATGAGGAGTGAATGTCTCCAATTAGGCTGCATTCAGCAGGCCTGGCAGCCTCCTCTCTCTTGGGATGCAAACTGCTTATGTGGTAGAAACAGGAAGCCGTCTTGAAACCCTCGCCAGGCCCCAGACGCGCGTGGGTCCACCTACCGTCCATCTACCGGGGTCACTGAGTCACTCCTGCCCAGGTCCCCCTTCAGGGACTGTCGTGGGCTGTGGCCTCAGAGGTCCCTTACAGGGTGGTGGGACCCAGGGCCCAGGGTTTGGCTCCGGGTTTTTGGGCAGCTCCGCCTTCATACCGAAGGCAGCTTAGCATGGCACTGTCTGATCTGCTGACAGCCGCGACCCTGCCACCTGCTCAGTGGGATGGCATCTTGGGGGAGCACCTTGGGCAGGGCTGCCCAGAGCCCTGGAACTGGACTCTCCCTGTGCAGGGCTGATGGGAAGGAGGTGTGTGCAATATGGTGGGAGGAGCCGGGCTGGAGGCTGCAGACTCTGCCTCTGTGCCCGTTCTGGGAAAGCCCCTGGGCTTGCTGGACCCATTTCTGCCCTTCTGAAAGCGGGAGTTAGACTAGATTGGGGCTTTCAACATTGCTGATATTTTGAACAGCAGAATCCTTATCACAAAGCCAATGGAAACAAAGAAGTGATACATTAAAAACACATCGAAGCAAAACCTCCTGGTTGAACTGGCTTCCCTGCCCCTCCAAAGTGGTTCCAAGGTGCCTCCACAAAGCCTCAGGGCTCTGAGGGTGTTAGGGAAACCACAGGTGTCCACAATGCCTGCCATGCTATGATTTCATCTGGCCGATGTGTCACTTCAGTATTCTGATGAATTTACCCTACCAGGCCAGTCA
Source organism: Homo sapiens (assembly GCF_000001405.40). Classification (NCBI taxonomy): domain Eukaryota; kingdom Metazoa; phylum Chordata; class Mammalia; order Primates; family Hominidae; genus Homo; species Homo sapiens. The sequence goes on from NC_000011.10 coordinate 126,684,585, forward strand.
GAATCGACTCACTGATGATCAAAAAAGAGAGGACACTTAGAATTAAATTCATTTCTTTGGGCCAGTCTCCTTTGTCTGCACTTGCTGAGAAGGCATTTATGATGCCAGTGTGACTTATAGTTATCCTGGTAGGTACTGAAGCTTGTAAAGGCCACCTAATCACTTTGCTTTGGTATTCATTAGTCATTTAACACCTCTAAAGAAAGGAAAGGTGCGGCAGGTTGCGTGTGCGGGAGGGGAGAGGTAGTGTTGGCTTGGACCACAGCGGGAGGGACCTGGGAAGAGGGAGAAGTTGATGGTCTGGTCACTAATGGTCCTCAGCAGGACAGGCTTCTTTGTCCTTGTCTCCCCCCTCCCTTTTGTCCTCTTCTCTCTTCCTCTCTCCCTCATTTCTGGCTTCCCTCTTTTTCTCCTTCCTCTTCTCCTCCTCTAATATGGAAGGAACGTTAGACACACATTCCTGTAGATGCTGGAGTGGAAAGGCAGGTTGGAGGAAATACAAAGATGAAGGACATAGTCAATCTCTTCAAGGAGGTCATGGCCAAGTGTGCAAGGGGACCTCGAAGAAGCCCAGTGTGACAAGGATTGAGAGGTGTGCTCAAGATGTGCTGAGAGCAGAGGATAGCCCCAGCTCTGCTCTGGGGAGTCAGGGGCAGGGCGGCAGATGCTTGGGGTCACATGAACACACAATTGAGCAACAAAACATAGTCACACAGGGCCTGCCTCACACCCAGCACTGGGTGGGTTTTGTGCAGGAGAACTTCTTGCAGGAGACTTGGAGACAGAAATTCTTTGGGAAGGAGATGGGGTAGCTGCCTTACCAGAGAGAGCGGGATTTCTCAGACACTGCTAACTTCCCACCTCCACACAAGCTGATGAGACTGGCTCAGAAAAGGGGTCTGCCCCCAGTGCATAATAATAGCAGTGATAATTAATAATCTATAGTTAATGAGATTAAATTAATTATTATTTTAATTATGACATGTTTTCCTCCTCTCTTTCCCCTGCCAGGGCAGGCTTGGCACTTCCCAGGATTACAGTCATAATGGTAACAGATAAACCTTAATTAAAACATTCCAAAATACCATGGCTGAGTTAAAGTGCTGTGACACGTCGTTTCCATCTCATTTTGAGATCTTGCCTATGACGGCAAATGTCTCCCCACCGTCGGCAGCATCTTGGCCATTCAGAGCTGTTGCCCTCACAGCATTCAGTGATGTTTGCCAGAGTGGCTCCACGCCCCTTGGGGGCAGATGGCCGACCCACTGGATCGGGGCCACTGGAGACTTTTTCCCTCATGCTGGGCTCTTCACGTGGCATCCTGTGCCTGCTCAATGCTGAATCTGCTTCCCATGTGCACAGCTTACTCCTTTGCTCCACCCGGCTCTGCCTCTGTTCCCTTCACCTGCTTCTTCTCAGGCCAAGGTAGACCTGAGGAAAGGATTGAAAGGATTGTCTACTCTGGCTCTGTGGGCACTGTTCCTGAGGTGTGAGCAAACCCTGCCTCAGATGGCCCCCGAGTCCATCAGCAGCTCCTTCCCTGTGGTCCGAGTTACTGGCAGGGTCTCTGCGTTCTGCCTTTGTGTTGAGCTTCTCCTCCACAGCCCACCCACCTGCAGGGGCTTTCTCACGTGTGGCGCGGGTGTGGAGGCAGGTCTCCATGGATTGTACGGCTTTCCCAAGGCCTGCTCCAGACTGGTGGCCTTTTTATGGAGGTTAGCATTCTTTTGTTAGTCCACTCACATATTTTCACTCATTACTAAACATTTATGGACCATTCTAGGAACTGTGCTTGGTGATGAGCTGCAGAGACAGAAGACACCATCCTATTTTTATAAGCCTTGTGGGTCTGTGGAAGAGAATGGAAGATACACAAAGGAAGGGAGTCCCAAGCTGAATGTTCTGATAGGGTCAGTGCTGGCCACTGAGCGGGGAGGGTGGGGAGGGACTGTGCGTTCCTGCGCATGTTACCCTACACTGAATTTTATTTTTTTATTATTTTATTTTAATTTTGAGACAGAGTCTCACTGTGTGGCACAGGCTGGAGTGCAGTGGCGTGATCTTGGCTCACTGCAACCTCGGCCTCTCCAGTTCAAGCAGTTCTCCTGCCTCAGCCTCCCAAGTAGCTGGGATTATAAGTGTCTGCTCCCACCCCTGGCTAATTTCTGTATTTTTAGTAGAGATGGGGCTTCGCATGTTGGCCAGGCTGGTCTCGAACTCCTGACCTCAAGTGATTCACCCACCTTGGCCTCCCAAAGTGCCAGGATTACAGGTGTGAGCCACCATGCCTGGATCCTACACTGAATTTTGAAACATAAGAAGGAGTTATCCAGATGATAAGAGGGGAAGGAAGGTCACATTGAGAAGAGTCAAATTCAGAAGGCCTGACAGAGATGACATCCCTGGAACTGCAGTAGAGGAGTATGGCTAGAAGGCAGGACAATGAGGATGACAGGCCAGAGGTGAGGTTGCAAGTGTGGTTGGGGCCAAGACCACAACACGTGTTCAAGGTATGTCTAAGAAGGCTCAAGTTCATGAATGGGTGCATCAAAGAACCACACCCCAGAAATAAGCTAAGTAACACCTGCAACACTGTCATCAAACGTGCTGAGCCCTGCCTTGCGCCAGGCAGTGAGCTAGTCCTTATTTTCACACCTGGCTTTCTTGCCTAAGCAAATTCAGAGTCACCCTAACTTGGGTCATTTGCATCACAAAATTGCCTTCAAATTAGCACAGAGAGGGAAAAATCAACGCATACCTCCCAACATAACATCCCCAAATTTACCTAGCCCAGAGTTTTAAAAAATTTATATTTTTAACCTTGATACCCAAGAAAGCAGGAAATCTCACCCAGCTGGAAGCTCTCCTGTAAAGAATTCACAAAAATCCACACCAAAACCTCTAGATATTCCCATGGAGCTGCTAGTTCTGGAAACACTATGGGGGAAATTGCAGGGTTTTCTATTAGTTTGAAGGAGGTCTACTTCCTAAGACATTCTTCTGCTACCATCTCTTGCATGCTCAGTTCATTGATTGATAGAGTAAATCATTGATATTTTTCCCCATTGCTTCATTCAACAAATTTACATTGCACTCTCCTACATGCCAGGCATTGTTTTGGATGCTGGGGATACAAAGATAAGTGCTCTGAGGCCCCTATTCTCAGAGTGCTCAGTCCAGTGAGAAACTAGAAAAGTCTGCAGGTAATGACAGGCAAAGAGAGATGCGGTGAAATGGCCATGGGAGCACAGCCTTGAAGAGACGCCTGTGCAAGGCACAGGCTCCACTGCCAGCGAGGGAGAAAGCCCTCCTAGGCCCGAAGCAGCAAAAGAAAGCATCTAGAAAAAGGAAATAAAGGGCTGTAGGTGTATCAAAGGTATTCCAGTGCCAGTTAAATTTGAGAGAGAAATCATTTTATTTACGAAAATGTCAAGGGGAAGAAGATGCATAACTTCTTTAGGAACGACTCCTGCCTCTGCTAGTATGTCAATTCCGAGAGGCCTAAAATAATTTGGGCTTGAAGATGGATGGAGGTGGAGAGCTTGGCCTTATTGCCAACACTGTAAATTAGCAGTACCAAGAGCAGCCTGTCCCACTTCTGGTCTCTGGCTACCTCTTCACCCAGCTCTGGCCACAGTCAGGTGATCTCTGATGAGTGCATTCAATCACCTTCCTTTTCCATTTGGAACATGATTGTGTGCATGCTGTACATAAGCGATATTGATTGCAAATAAGTTGTTGACTGGAAGACATGCCTCTGTGGACATGTTTGGGTGGGGGATAGAGGGGAAATAAAATTAAAAAGAGAGTAAGAAAACACCTGTGGCCCCCAGTTGGAAACTTCTCAAATATTTGAAGCTAACAATGTTTTGGTTGCCTATTTCTTTTTTCTTTTTTTTCTAGGAGCTAAACGTCAATATTGCATTTATTGCTGAACAAACTAAAATCATAACAAATATAATAAAAGGAGAGAGTTAGCCTCAGCTTTCTGCAGAGAATGATTGGCACTTTTGAGCCCTGGATTGGTTGGGCCTTTATCTTAGCTGCGTCAGCTCATAATTAAACAATAAAAGGAGGAATTGTTACTTGCTTGGAATATATACAGTCAGTTTTCTGTAAGGTGGGGGCAGTGTGTATTTTATAAGCCCTGTTGCTGTCCCAGTTTTCTGTAAGAAGGGAAATGTGGGTATTTTATAAACTCTCTTCTTGTCTCTGTCAGTTCTAAAAGACTGAGAGATGACATGATAGCTGTCACAAGAAATTTCTGCTTAATAACAATGAACACTCAGAGCTCTTTAGGCCCTGAAGAGGAATGGGAAGATGATGAGGGAGGAGGAAATAAAAGCAAGAAAATGGTAGGACAGGAAGATTTTTTTTTTCCGCTCTCAATCTTGTCTTTGTTTGGCTGACCATAGAGCAGCTATGTAGAACTATGTGTGTGTGTGTAAGGGGGAGAGAAGAGAGAGAGAGAGAGAGAGAGAGAGAGAGAGAGAGAGAGTATTGTAATAACGTATTGAGCATGAGCTGCCTGATCTTTGCCAGGTGATAAACTGGCCCACTGTGATCTTGCAGGAAACATCAACAGTCTGAGAATTGTTGTTTCAGGAACTAGAAAGAATCCTGGAAATAGTTAAGAAAGACGATTTTCCAATGGCCAATACCTTCTCCCAGTGGCTTGTGAGATTAAGATTTGGTATTGGAATTTGTCCCATCTCGACTTGGAAGAATGAGACACCTTGGAAGATGAGGCTGACCAGGCCATGGAGCTGCCCAGACCCCCTGGGAGCCCAGAGTCCCCATCCTTGCATCTCATGATCTATCATTTAACAGCCCTGTCCAAAGTGCTTGCTGGAGATCACAGGGCTAGGCCACTTCTGCTCCTTGCAAGCTCCAAAGAGGAGGTCTCCTATGCACCCGAGGAGGATGAGTCTTCAGAGTTTCCAGCTGCCTTCTTGTCACCTGGCTCTACCTTACCTTGACACTCCCAAGTGTAGACATGCCTGATTATTCTATCCAAACCCAGCCAGGAGATGGGAAGAGACATCTTGTTAGCCAGTTGCTCTGGTAGCCTGCATTGCAAGGGCCTGGCTTTTACGCAGTTTCGCTTCAAGTCAGTGCAACTAGCTACCTGTCTTCCTGTCACTTTTCTTTGGCCACCTGGGTCTCAGCAGAGGCCCTCCCAAGACTGACAGGTTAGCACGGAAGGTATAATCTGCTAGTCAGATTTCACATGGCTGCACAGAGAATCGGTGCCCTTGGCAGGTAAGTGAATAAATATGGGAAGACATTTGCTATTAACTGCAAATGGCAAGCAGCATCTTAGAAAGCTAGTTAGTGAAACAGGGATGGGAGTGTGAGAGTTGATGCTTCTTTTAGACCCTATTTGTCTCCCGGCCTCACACTGCCTTCCTCTTGCTCAGACTTTCCCTCTTGCAGTATCTCCTAAGTCACTGGAGGAGGCCCGAGAAGAAAGCCACGACCCCCATTTGTGTGACTGAGATGTTTTCCCAGCGTCAGTCTCTCAACCTCCCCAGTTTCAGCTGCACTACTTCAGAATGGGACCTCTCCTGGCTTTATCTGTAGTGCGGACTATGTGTAAGATCACTGGCAGTGAGTGTTTATGCGCCTTAATTCATGTATGTGCTGATAGCTTATACCCCATCTCTGTATTCTCCATCAGAAACCCACACCCCAGCAGGGAAATTCTTTGAAGCCTAAATACTTAACCATTTCTTTGGCTCCAGGGAATGTTTGAAAGAAATTAGTTCTAAGCAGGGGTTTTTTTTTTTTTTCCCATTAGTTTCAGAGCAGTTTTAGGGCAAGAAAAATAATCCCCCTTCCCTCAGTGGATGGATAATGATGGGAAGTCACCTCCCTTCCCCTGGGATTAACCTAGAAGGGCTCTGGTTGGGAAAATGTTACCTGGTTCTTTGGGGAAGGATGACGGTTTTGTGCCTTATGTTTTGGGGTTTTCTGGGTGTCCCTAGGTAACCATCTGTGAGAGCATCTTGGGCTTGGAGTTTTTGTCACTGTGAACACCTTCTGTGGACTCAGGTGAATTCTCCAGTTGGCAAAAGAGGGAATGCAGGCTTCGCTGACTAATCCCTGAACCAGCTAAGGACAAGGCCTTAGAAAGTTTCGTCTACAATAAAGAAGCTTTTATCTGATGTCGAGGAATCTTTACCAGTAGCTGCTGTCGTGAATACAAGTGCACCTTTATGGCCCACAGTAAGCACTGGGGGATTTTCTGTGAAATCCTTGTCATTTCTTTTACCCATTTTCCTAGGAAGTGAGTTGTGCTCTTGTATATGCTCTTCACACTGTGCGAAGTCAGTTACGTGTGTGGCAAAGAACTTGCCTTGGTTTCTAACTTGTTTTACACTTTCTTTGCAGTGTCTTGATGAACAGAAGTTCTTATTTGGATTAAAGAAACACATATGGTCAATAAACATATGATGGGATGTTCAACCTCATTAATGATCAGGGAAATGCATATCAAGGGCACAAGAGATACCAATCTCACCCACTCGGCTGTTAAGAGTATGGAAGTATGACAATATCGGGTGTTGGAGGGAGTGTGGATCTGCAGAAGGTTTTGTGCAGTGCTGATGGGAAGGAGAAATTGTACAGCCACTTTGTCATGATCTCGTAAAGTTGATCATTCAAATGCTCCATCATCCATCAATCCCACTCTTAGGAAGTCAGACAAGGGCAACTCTCTCTCACGTATACCAGCAGACATGTATGAGAACGGTCATTTCAGCACTATTTATATAAAGCAAAACTTGGGGGCAATACAAATGTTCTCTGACAGGAGACTGGATCAATATATTGTGGTGTGCCTATTTAATGGAATAATAAACCTCAGTCAAAATGAATGAACAATAGTCCCATGCAACAATATGAATTAGTTTTAGCAGCAGAATTCAAGTGCAAAAAGTCTCAGAAGAATGCATATTGCATGATACCCTTTGTAGACGGTTAAAATAAATCCAAACTGAAAATTCTTCTTTTTTTAAAAAAAATATATGTAGCAGTAGTAAAACTTTGTTTGAAAAAAGGGAAAGCAAGTCAATGATGAACATAAGATTCGAGAAAGTGCTTAGTTACTTTGGGTAGAGGAAGAGAAAGGATGCATTGAAGATTGATGTTGCTACTCTAGTTTTCTTGTTTGTTTGGTAATTTAAAGAATGTTTATTATAGTACTGAAGAGAAATACATAAATACAGCAATAAAAAATCAAATAACCAGATTTAAAAAAAATGGGAAAAGGACTTGAATAGACATTTCTCCAAAGATGATTTACAAATGGCCAAGAAGCATATGGAAAGATGTTAAACATCACTAATCATCAGAGATTTGCAAATCGAAATGATAGTGAGGTATCACCTCACACCCATTACGATAGCCACTATAGAGAAAAGCCAGAATATAGCAAATGTCGGTAAGAGCGTGGAGAAATTGGGACCCTTGTGCACTGTTGGTGGTGTTGTAAAATGGTGCAACTGCTATGGATAACACAATGAAGGTTCCTTAAAAAATTAAAAATAGGACCACCATCTGATGCAGCAGTTCCACTTCTGAGTAGACATCCAGAAACATTAAAAGCAGGGTGTCGATTCGCACACCCACGTTCACAGCCACACTATTCACAATAAATAGCTAAGAGGTGGAAATAGGCTGGGCACGGTGGTTCAGGCCTGTAATCCTAGCACTTTCGGAAGCCAAGGCAGGAAGATCACTTGAGGTCAGGAGTTCGAGACCAGTCTGGCCAACATGGAGAAACCCTGCGTCTATTAAAAATACAAAAATTAGCTGGGTGTGGTGGCACACACCTGTAGTCTCAGCTCCTCAGGAGGCTGAGGCAGGAGGATCACTTGAACCCATGAGGCGGAGGTTGCAGTGAGCTAAGACTGCACCAATGCACTCCAGCCTGGGTGACAGACCAAGACTCTGTCTCAAAAAAAAAAAAAAAAAAAAAAAAAAAAGGAGGTGGAAACAACCCAAGTATTCATCAATGATGAATGGATAAACAAAATATAGCATATACATACAATGGAATATTCTTCAGCTTTAAAAAGGAAGGAAAACCTTCCATATGCTACAACATAGATGAACCTTGAAGACATTACGCTAAGTGAAACAAGCCAGTCACAAAAGGACAAATATTGTATGACTTCACATCTATGAGGGTCTAACATGGTCAGATTCATAGAAAAAACAGAAAGTAGGATGTTGATTACTAGGGACAGGTGACCCCTCCTTGGATCTACCCGCTTTGCAATGTGACTCTGCAGCTCTTCCCACCAACAGGTGGAGACTGCTTTCCCATCCCTTGGATCTGAGCTGGCCTGGTGACTTGCTTTGGCCCATAGCCTGTGGTGGAAGCGAGGCTGTGCTGGTGCTGAGCCAAGACCTCAAGAAGCTTGCATGCTCCTGCTCACGCCCTTGGAAAACAGACATGTGAGGCCATCCTAGACCAGCCACCCTCTAGGTGACCCTCCAGGTGACTGCAGATAGATGAGTGAGTGCAGTTAAATTCAGCTGTGCTGGGCCAGGCACTGTGGCTCACGCCTGTAATCCCAGTACTTTGGGAGGCGAAGGCAGGCAGACTGCCTGAGATCAGGAGTTTGAGACCAGCCTGGGCAACACAGCGAAACCCTGTCTCCAGTAAAATACAAAAAAAATTAGCCGGGCGTGGTGGCGCGCACCTGTAATCCCAGCTACTCAGGAGGCTGAGGCAGGAGAATTGTTTGAACCTGGGAGGTAGATGTTGCAGTGAGCTGAGATTGCGCCATTGTACTCCAGCCTGGGTGACAGAGTGAGACTCTGTCTCAAACACAAACAAACAAACAAACAAAAAAACAACAAAAAAACTGGCTATCAGGAGATGAAGAATGCATCTGAAAGTCAACAAGGAGAGAAAGAGACTCTGCCGGCATGCCGTAAAAGCGTGCAAGTCATGGCAGGGGAACACATAAGTGTGTTACATCTGTATGCACATGCATGTGAGTGCCTGTGACCACACACACACACACACACACACACCCATAGTCAGAGGAAGCCTCAAATCAGGCTGAGTTTCCGAAGGGAAAATCTCATTTGTCCACCAGTGATAGCGTATGTAGCCTTCTACATTAATGTAAATTGAGGCAGGATTACCTTCTAGTGATAAAGTCGCATCTGGTAGCAGAGAAAAAGTGAGTGGAAACGGACACATTTCCAATCAGGCTCTGGCCTGGGCTGCAGCCCCACTCCGCTGAACACCTAGATACACCTTTTTAAAACCCAGGATCCTTCGGGCTCAGCCTCCTAGTCCTTGCCCCTTCCCCAGATCCCACCCCTGTCTGCCCACCTTGTCTTCTCGGGCCCTCAAAACTTAAGCCAGAAGTCTGGGCAGGCCAGTAGAGGAAGGAGCTGGGGCCCAGGCAGCCACAGGTTGAAGAGGCGGAGGGAAGCGGCACAGCTCACAGTCACACTAGGACAACTTGGAAGTTGAATTGGCAAGTTGCAGCAGGAGATGGGAGCATGGGCTCCATCCCTAAGGGAGCCACATTCGTTTTTTTTCCTTTCAAAGTCGTCAGGCAGTAAAAGAAAATTGCAGGGATGGGGAAATAATGAAAAAGGCTCTTTGTTTTTCCCCCAGTCCGAACTCCTAGCTCATCAAACCTTGGAAATGCTCACTGCAAATGGTTGTTCTTGTTTTATTGCTTATTTATGGGAATCTATTTAAAGTGAATTGCACTTTTCCATTGTATCCTAGTGAGCGTGCACCGGAGTTGTGTCTCCCCTGGCTGTGGGGCTGTCTGGACTGGGGATTCTGTCTGATTGTGTCAGCATCACGCTCCGTGACATTTAAAAGTGGGGAAGGAAAATACTGCAGAGGAAGCAGGGCGAGCGTGGAGAATGATTGCTCAGGCCTCCATCAGCTCCAGGCGGGTGTGGGGAATGCTGTTCTAGGGCAGGTTTGGGGGTGCTGACTAGGCCTTCACACAAAGAGGAATCTGCTCTTGTGGATGAATGAATGGCGGTGACAAATCAAACTTTAATCTGGCTCTGCTGTAAGCATTGTGACCTTAGGGCAGGTACTGACTTCTATGAGCCACCTTTTTTAAAAAAAATTCTCTACAGAGAGGTGAATACTGGGCTGTTGTTAATAATGATGATGGAATTCATTATATATATGAGAGTGCTTACTCAGTATCAGGTAGATGCTCACTAAATGTAAAACTCCCTTATAAGGGTGGCTGGAATGGGGACTGGAAGAGACAGGTAAGTCCCCAACCTATCTTCATTTTCTTAACCTATGCCTTTTGACTCAAAAAGAATGAAGGCTCCCTCACTCCTTTGCTTTGATTGGGAGATGAGATGCGAGTCTCAATGCCTAGAATGCTCTATAGCAGGGGTCAGCAAACTGGCTGAATCGGGCTGCTGTTCTGGTAGCTAAAGCATTATGGGAACCCATCCCTCACCCCCTTCTGTCTGCGAGCCATCTATGACAGCTTTCCTGCTACAGCGGCAGAGCAGGATAGCTATGAAAGAGACCGTGGGGCCCACAAAGCCGAAAGTATTTACTTTTTGGCCCTTTACAGAAAAAGTTTGCCAATCCCTGCTCTAATTCATTGGTATTTTGGGGTTCTCTTATCTGTGTGATCAGAAGGTCTGAGCCTCAGAGAAAGGAAGCAGCAACTTGTCCAAGATCACAAAGTTAGTGTTTGAGTTAGAACTGCAATCAGGTTTCCCAATTCCTGGCCCAGTGCTTTTCCATTGTTTAACTGTACCATTTCACAGAGATCCCAAAGCCATTGGGATTAGCTTTACCAAAAAAAAAAAAAAAAAAAAAAAAAGAGTCTCTAAGTCACGTGGCATCTGAGCTCCATGTGATTGGTAAAGTTGGCATTAGTCCCTGCCACATTTCCCAAGTCCCCACCTTCTCTGCTCACCACACCGCTGTCTCTCCAGGCTCAGCAAATACTTCTAGAGACACCGGTGTGTCCTTGTCCTGAAACCTTTGTGAGTCAGCTGCATTGACTCCTGCTCCAGGATGACGAGGGCCAATTCCTTGATGAAGGGCCATCTGCCTGTGTCTGGCTGCCTGTCTGTGAGCTTTCGTGTCTTGGGGGCTCTGCTGCATTGCAAGAAGGAGCTGGGACAGAGCTCTGAGAGAGGGGAAGGAGGCAGGGAGAGGGAGTTTGATTCCTGAAGAATCTTCCTTTTCCCATGAAGACAAGCAAGCTGATGGCCAGCGTAGAGCCACAGCCTGGAAAACTTTATTTTTAAATTTATTTTTGGTGGGGAAAGAGTTGGGTTAGCTCTAATTTACGGCAACCTCCCCAGTTCCCTGACACTGCTGCCTCCTCATATGCTTTGCTAAGAAAACCTGGATGAGTCGGGCGAGGTGGCTTATGCCTGTAATCCCAGCACTTTGGGAGGCTGAGGCGGGTGGATTACCTGAGGTCAGGAGTTCAAGACCAGCCTGACCAACATGGTGAAACCCCATCTCTACTAAAAATACAAAAAAAATTAGCCTGACATGGTGACACGTGCCTGTAGTCCCAGCTACTTGGGAGGCTGAGGTATGAGAATTGCTTGAACCTGAGTGGCAGAGGTTGCAGTGAGCCAACATCCCGCCACTCCACTCCAGCCTGGGCCACTGAGCGAGACTCTATCTCAATTAAAAAAAAAAAAAAAAGCCTGGATGGCCTAGTGCTTCCTTATTGCTTAATTAACCCTTCTCCCTTTCTTTGACCCTTCTCCTCCTTGGTTGCCTTGTGTGGTTGATGGTGACATCATCCATCCAATTTCTTATCCTGTAACTTCCAAGTTACCCTTAACTCCTGCCTTTGCCCAATCCCCAGCCTTCTATGAGATACCACATGCAGCCTGCAAACTCCCACAGCTGTACGCAGGCATGTGGCCTCTTGCCTCGACATCTGGCCCCACCGTCCAACCCACCTTTCAGCCTCCAGGCAGGTCCTCACCTCTGCCATCCTCCACGTGATCCCCAAACGTTGCTGATCAACACACCACAGCTGGAATCCACAGAGGCGCCACAGTACCGAAAGGGTGGCTCAAACCACATCGCATGGCTCATAAGGCCCTTGGCGAGTTGACATCAGGCTCCCTCTCTCCCAAAGCCACACCGTCTTCCTGCAGGCACCGCCAGTGGACACACCGAACACCCCTCTTGTCCAAACACACTGCAGCTCCCTACATACAAAGGGCAGGAGCTAGACTGTGGAATGAGGTTGACTAGCGCTTACATCCAGACACTACTGTACCACTTGCTTTCCGGGCAGATTATCTTCCCTTTCTGAGTCTCAGTTTCTTCATCTGTATTAATGGAGATGACCTAAGAGCTGCCCTGAGGATTAAGTGGTATAATGCACTTAAACATGACAAAAAAAATGCACTAAATAAGTGTCATCTCCTTCCTTTCCAGCCTCTGCCTGCACAAACCCACTGTTCTTTCGCTCAGGGTGCTCTGCCCTGCGACTCAGCCTCCTTCGGGCTGCGGCTTAGCATGTTCCCCTCAGCCTCCTTGCAAATGAAGGCTTAGTCACTTCCTCCGCTGGTCCCCCAGACCTGTGTTCACCTGGCTCACAGCCCTCCTTAATTACAATTGTAATTGTTTATGTGCTTGTTTATGCGGGAGATGACAGGACTACAAGAAGGCGGGACTTCCTCTATTGCCCTAGGCCCTGGGGTGAACTGCAGCCAGCACTGGCCTTGCCGGCTCACTGCACAGGGTGGGCACTTAGTCCCTGACTTGGACAAGCCACTCAACCCCTAGGAACCTGTTTTCTTATCTAGAACATGAGGGTAATAGTTCCCAGTTGCCAAAGCTTTTCCCACAGACCCTGACTCAGAGGAGATATTCAATGAATGCTGGTTCTACTCTACCTTTCCAGGGCTAAGTCCTACGACTGTGACACAACTGATGCTCAGTGGCTCTTTGTTTAATGAATGAATACATGAATAGTGATTAGAGATGAGGCCCCAGGACCTATAGCTTTAGATCCAAAAGAGGTCAGAAGATTTAGACCAACCCTAATAACCTGAACTCATGTAAAAGTGGCTCTTTCCTCCCAGTCCAAACCACAAATCCTAAATGCTCATTCAGCCTCACTTGCCGGGGACTCAGCTTCTCCCGGGGCCTCCGGGTGGGTCCCATGATTGCTCTGATCACCTCCCTATTATTGGATATTAATCAAGTCCTACTCAGACCACAAACAAGCAGCCCTGCTCTTGACAGTCATCTGAGGATCTTTGTTGGTGATGAGGAGAGTGGGAGGAAGGGAGAGTGAAGGAAGAAGAGAGGGAAAGTGATGAGAAGAGAGAGCCAGGGAGGCTCAGAGACTGAGCAAGTGCCAAGAAGGGAAGATGACAACGCTGGTGAAGTCTGAACAAATGCAAAGTCAAGCACAATAATAATTTGGGCAAAATGGCAAATGGCACAGCTGAGGAGGAAATAGCATTGTGAATGTAAAAACTCCTAAATGGAGCGCAGATGGGAGGGAAAAGTGTAATCTTCTGGAAAAGCCTCTAATTGTCTGCCCACACTAATAATTTCAGCAAACGCTCCCTCTCTCCCTCCTGCGTATAATTACACCATTCCATCTGTCTATCAGCAGGTTTTTTACTGTGCCTTACTGCTACCACGTTCTCATGCTCACGGAGAGATGAGGGGTTTTTGAAGATTTAAGAATCCTTCTGACACATATCCTGAAGAAAAAACACTCAGGCAGACAAATCCCTCTCCCAGGCCTGCTAAGACTCTATTTTAAAAAGTTGTATAATCTCTCCAAACGCTATTATGAAGTCCAAAGGAGGCAGGGCCACATGGACCCTCCACCTTGGGTGTTCTCATCTGCCGGCTTGTCTTAGTAGGTCAGCTCTGGAGAGACGACAGGTCAGGGGCTGCAGGGAGAAAGGGGCTGGCAGAGACACCGGCCCGTGCATCCCGCAGGTGGCAAGTCATAAGAGCATCTGCTCAGGGCTATCCCTTTAGAGTGTCTTAGGTGTCAAGGCCAGGGTTCTGCTGCGTGAGGAGGAAGAGGAATGCAAATGAAAGAGAAGAAGCCAGCCGGGAGTGGTGGGGGAGTGTCTGTGGCCATGTATTAGCTCAGCTCAGCTGGCCTGAGGAGCGCTGCCCAGCGCCCAAATCCAGGGCTCTGAGTGACTCCAACTGCCATTGGCTTCTCTCCCTGCTCTGGCAGTGAGTTCCAGAGAAGACAGGTGGCCTCGTGCACAGAGCCCAGTAGGAAAGGCTCCAGGTTTCCCACCCAAGTCACTGCCCTTCGTGCAGGAGGTACAGAGCTTCCCATTTGCTTGCTCCACGGGCAGGAGCTGCGATCTTAAGGGGCTGGGAGCTGCCTGCAGGTTCTTCATCAGGAAGTTTTCTTTTCATGTGAAAAATCACATCCCAGCTCTTCTCCCTTTCCTTTCCAATAAGTGGGTCCTAAGTAGTTACTGGAAGGGGTGCCAGGAGAGAGGCAGGACAGGTCAAAAAGGGGAATGAAGGCCAATGCCCCCAAGAGGATCTTGAAGGCTAGAGGTGTGGTGGTGGCAGTGGGTGCCACGAGGTGTGACCTATTCACCAGATGTGGATTGGGCCAAGGAAATGTCACACAGAGGCGATTTTGACAGAGCCAGAGCCCCTCCATCCAGCTTGTCCTCACATAGCCTGATATCATAACCGCATCTTCCCCAGAATTGCTGAGTGGATGGGGAGAAGAGTTGACTCACATCACAATTCATTCGACAAATATTGATAGTGTTCCCACAAGGTGCAGTAAAGGCTGAATACAACACGTTTCCAATTCTCTATGGCAGCAACATCTAATAGAAATATAATGCGAGCTGCAGCTGCAATTTTAAATTTTCTAGTAGCCACACTCAGCGAGTAAAAAGAAATGTGAAATTTCTTCGAATAGTATGTTTTATTTTAGTAATATTTCAAATATTATTAATTCAATAGATTATAATTATAAAATTATTTGTTAGCTATTTTACCTTTTTTTAGGTAATGTCTTCAAAGTCTGGTATATATTTATATTTCCAGCATACTTCAGTTTGAGCTGGCCATGCTTCAAATGCTCACTGCCACATGTGGCTAGTGATGAGTGTATCAGATGGTATAGAGCCAGAGCTTATTAAGGAGAAAAAATTGTATGTATAATTATAATTCTAGTATGTGCATTATTATTATTATAGTTTAGGCCCGCGAAGTAATTCGCTAAACACTTTCACATACATTATCTCTGATCTTAGCAATTTTGTGAGATGATTAGTTATTGATATTTTTTATCAGATAAATAAAAATAAGGCCGGACATGGAGGCTCATGTGTGTAATCCCAACACTTTGGGAGGCTGAGGTGGGAGGATCAGTTGAGTTCTGGGGTTCGAGACCAGCCCGAGCAACAAAGTGAGACCCCATCTTTACAAAAAATAAAAAAATTCATTGAGCGTGGTGGCTCATGCCTGTGGTCCCAGCTACATGGGAGGTTGAGGCAGGAGGATGGCTTGATTCCAGGAGGTTGAGGCTGCAGTGAATTATGCTTGTGCCACTGCAGCTCAGCCTAGGAGACAGAGTAAGACTTTGTCACAAAAAAAAAAAAAAGAGAGAGAGAGATATTCAGAGAACCGAAGTGACTTGTGACTTCAGAGCAGTAACTTGACATCCTTATTTCCTACTTTCTGAAACAAGTATATGTACACACACATTTTTCTGTGTGACTCAGTATGGCACATTGGAAGAGGCAGCGTACCACCTTATTTTCCTCTTCATTACAGCTGCTTTCTTCTTAAGAACACTCTGAAGAACAGGACCGGAAAACGATGTGAGGTCCCCACACTGTGTTCCACATACAATTATTAGATTGGTGCAAAAGCAATTGAGGTTTTTGCAATTACTTTTAATGGCAAAACTGCAATTACTTTTGCACTAACCTAATATCTCCCTTTACTAATCTCTGCTGCTGTCCCCAGATCAGCTGAGGCCCCACCTTTGGCCGATCCTCTGCCTCCTAGCCTTTCTGGCGGACCCCATTCTTAGAAGGCTGGGGAGTGGGCCTCAGGAAGCAGCCGGGGCTCTGAGGAGCCCAGGCATTGTCTTTTCTGTGAGACTCATCCCGCTATTCAGCAGGTGAAACCTCTCCGCCTGTCATTCTCTCCCCACCCCATAATGTGCAACAGGCCTGACTTTGTGATGGGCAAATATCTCTCTGAGATCTTCTTTACAGGCATTCACCCCCCACACCCTCCTCAGCAGTCTTGGGCTAATGAGCTCAGTTCCTTTAAACCCAGCTCCTGCCTCAGCCCTTCTCAGAAACTTATATCCGGCCATGTAGACAAAGCTAGAATTAAGGCTTCCAGATTTATTTCATTTAACAAGAACCCACAAAGCCAGCCCAGTAGCCCATTCATCCCAAAATAGCTTCTGAAAGCCTGAACATACGTCAGTGTCTCTTTGCAGAAACCACACTGCATTGTCATGAAAGGGCCATTTGAACAAGGTAGCTACAATGAAATTATCTCAATGCATTTCAATCACTTTGCAACATCAAGGTTCATTTCTCAGTAACAGTCTCTTTGACAATAAATGAATTGCGTGATTGGTGTGTGTTTGCGTGTGTGCATGTGTGTGACACCCCTTCATGATGAATTCCTGGGTATGCCAATGTTACAAGTGATTGGTCTTTGCATCCATCTCTTAGCATAAATCCCCAGCATCAACGTGACATGTTGAGCAGCACCGAGCCCCCTGGATTCTCTCAGTCTTGGTGAGAGAGGGAGTGGGGACTGTGTTCACGCTGTTACAAAAGGACATCTAAGAGGGACAGCAGGGAGGAAGCTGGGCAGAAATGCTCCGAATCAATAGCTCTTTCTTCTTGGTGGCTTGGAGCTTGCAATCTCTCAGCCTGTGTCGAGTCATCATGAAACTGAAGAATCCTTGGAAAGTCACTGGGTTGGGCACTTTTAAAAGTAGAGTCTTTTCTGTTCTGCTTAGAAACTCTCATGGCATGCTACAGAGAAAAGAGGAGCAGAGGCCCACAGAGCTCCCTTCACCAGAGAAGGGAGCGAGGAGGTCAGAGGGTGGAGGAGGTGGGCTGGGATCTCCCAGGGCAGCACCTGGGCGGAGTTCTGGAGCCACTCCCAGCCTGGGGAGAAGCCCTGCCCCTACTGTTTGCTAAAAGTTTGGACAAATCCTTCTCTGCCCTGTACCTCAGGTTTTCCATCTGTAAAGTGGGAAGACAACCATCCCACAGAGGTGCCATGAAAGATTTTTAGGGAGTACCTAAAAGGTTCTTTAGGTGCTAGTCAAGTCCCGGGGTCTCGATGTGTCATTAACTTGCTGTGTGGTCTTGAGCAAGTTACTTAAGATTTGTTAGGTCTCCTTCCTTTCTTTATAACAGGGTAATAACCTACCTCCCTATTTAACTTATGAGTAAAGCAGAATGGCTGTGAGAGTGGGCCTGGAGCCAAAGATACCTGACTGTAAATCTGAGCTCTGCTCCATCATCTTGGGTAGTCTGCTAAGGTTTCTGTCTCCTGTCCAAACCTTCATCTGTAAACGGGAGCAAATCATCTCTAATTTGTAGACCTGTTGTGAGAATTTAATGATAATGCATGTAAAATGCCTAGCAGGGGCCTGTCACATAGAATGTACCCTATTGATGGTAGCTGCAGGTATATTACAAGGTTGTACTGAAAAACAAATGAAAGAAAGCAATCTTTCCTTGAAAAATGCACAGAGCTCCACAAATCTATGACATCATGATGATTATGATGATTGTTGCAAATGTCACATCTTCATGTGGAGTCGAGGTGGGCATTAGCCACACTGTTCCCATTACTCAAACCCCAGATGCTCCAATGACAGAGCCTCTGCTGAGAGGCTGACGTCAGGGAGAGGTGGAGGAGGGCAGATCTCCCAACCCTTGGCTTCCACCAGCTTCCTCTCACCGTGGAGCCCTAAGGCCTCAGCAGACACGCTGACTTCTTTTCAGAACAAAGCACAGCAAAACAAAACACACAGCGGCTGCTGAATGGAAAACACTTGCACTCTAGAAAGGCTGGCAAATTCCCTGCCTCGTCCCACCCTGCACGGACAGGGCCCTCTCTGCCCAGCCACCTCCTGGTGCACCCCGCTGTATCTCTGACCACACTTTAAATGTGCACCCTAGGAGGTGGATGCTCTGCAGAGAGTGTGTGTGTCTGATCTGAGGCCTGTGGTCCCCTGAAGAAAGACCAACAGGACTGGGTGCCATCCTGTGCCCAAGTTGTTCCCAGGAGGAGAAAGCCTGTAGGAGGGGAGCAAGCTCCCATTCTGCCTCCATTCCTTGCAAGGTCAGCCAGCTACATGCTTTCTTCTGGCTGGGCCCCTGAGGGCAATTGTTGCTTTTTCCTCTTGAGGAGTCTTTTTATTTTCAGAGTGGCAGGGAGGATGGTTTATGGTGAGTATGGACCTAAATGAGAAGGGTGAGTAGTAGATGGCGTATTCTCTGGGCTGTGAATCCTGGTCAGGTGGGGGTGGCTGGGCTGGGGCAGGAGACACTGTAAAGAGCCAGTAGGCCTGGATTCCTTCCAGCCGTGCTGCTTCCTGCCATTTACTCCATCTGACCTACTTCACAGGCTGGGCTGCCATGAGCGGCTGCTGCAGGCTGTGCACTGCACAAGGCCAAGGCTTACCATTTGCATGGTCTGCGGAGGAATGGTGCTCCTGAGAGCTGTTCTCTGCAGCAGCTTTGCTCATGGGGCACTGGTGAGCAGCAAACAGAATCATCGTCTTCATCACCATCAGCAGGAGCAGTGACTTTACCAATGATTGATCAGCTGTTATGTGCCAGGCTCTGTGCTAAGTGCTTTACATTTTATCCTCCCCTCCACCCTATATCAGGTAAGTACTGTTATATCTCATCCCCATTTTATAAGTGAGAACACTGAGGCCAAAGGAATTAAGTGATCGGTCAGAGGTCAGTCAGATCGGGAGTGATGGGGCTGTAATCCAAATGCTGGGCTGGCTGACTCCTAAGTTCACACTTTGTCTTCATTCATGATACAAAAGAGATGTCTGTTTTCCTGAGGCCCACGGGCAGGGGAGGCAGGACTCCTAAGCCTGGGCCCTCTGACTGCCTGGGCCAGTGTTTCCGTGCCAGAAACCCTGTCTCAGAGGGCAGGAAAGAGAATGGGGAGCCCTTGCAGAATGTGGTTGGATCCTTCTCTCTTGGCTCTGTCATCCTTGCCTTGGGATGTCCTCCCAACACAGGCCATTAATCTCACTCAAGGGCCAGTGCTGGCAGCGGTTATGCTGGGGACATCTACATACCTTGCATTCCTCCCCTTTCACAGAAAGGAAGAAGAAATGGAATTTCTGTCAGATTGCTTGAACTCACTCTCTGGAATCACTGCGCCCATCTTTTCAGAGATGTTGCTACCAGAATCATTCCCCCCTTCTCTTATTTATATACACTCACACAATTAGATATAACTATATTCACACATAGACACATATTACAACTTGAACTTAGCACCTGCTCTTGATATGTATGCCCAGAAGGCTGTCACACAATCTTGCACACACCCACACATTTGCACATGCCCATCCAGCTGAGCAACATGTATTTACACAGCACACACATTTGCATCATATCTGTTCATGTGCATGCATGTGCACAGCTGTTCCCCTTAACTGCAGAATGAAGTGAGCACAGCAGCACAGAACAACAGCTGGTAGGAAGCATGTTTGTCGGGGTGTGGGGAGTGCAGGAGAGAGGAGGTGGGGTGGGGCCGGGAAGAAGTGAGTACTAGCAGAACAGAGGCTTGCAAAAGACTGCAGCAACCAGCCCCAGCTGGCTGTAGGGGCTCACAGTCTTGTCACTTAGAAGGTCTGTCTGAGAGACCTTGGTGGAGTGCAGCTTCAGCATTTGGGGCCACAGCTCTGCAGGCTTTTTCTCTAAAAGGCTGCCCTATTTGTGTTGTGTGTCCCTGTACACGTGCGTATTTGGCTCAGGCTGACTTTCCATACACAGACAGGGCTCTATTTTTGGATGTCTTGGTTCTCATGAGTTGTGGCTAAGTGAGGAAGTCTGAGTCTCTCCTGATGCCCACGCTTCCAGGATGGCTCCTGGCTGTCTGCGTTAGCAGGTCACTTTTGGGCTAGCTACCTATACCAGTCCAAAGGCTTGATACAGGAACCACATCAGAATTGGTGACAAAACAAGCTGGGGGGCTCCTAAAGGAAGATACTGGGATTCTCAATAGGCCATCACCCAAGGGAAGCAGTATTCTCCTCCTGCGACCATGCCATGGGATGAAAGCCTCTGCCCTGTATGTCTGGCCACCTTGCTAAAAACTGTCAGCCAGCTCTAGGCAGCTCCAGAGCTGTATGACAGGAGTGGGAGGACTCTTGGGTCAGAACTGTATTTGTGGGTGGTAAATTTATATCTTACCCACTGAATATAGCTTTTTATGGCTCAAGACATAGGTTTGGTTTTCTTAAAAAAAGGTTTTCTTAATTCAAAAAATGTACACATTTATAGTAAGAATACAAACAGTACAAAGATGTCAGTCCTTTTCTACTCGTGCCAAAATTATAAACAGTTTATTTGCATCATTCTGCAAATTTTATATATGTCTTTGTGATATGGTTTGGAGGTTTGTCCTCTTCAAATCTCATGTTGAAATGTGATCCCCAGTATTGAAGGTGGGGCCTGGTGGGAGGTGATTGGGTCATGAGGTCGGATTCCTCAGGAATGGTTTGGCACTAACCTCTTGGTGATAAGTGAGTTGTTGATCAGTTTGTTCACATGAGATCTGGTTGTTTAAAAGTCTGAGACCTCTCCTTCCCTCTCTCTTGCACCTTCTCTCCCCATGTGATGTACCTGCTCCTGCTTCACCTTCTGCCATGATTGGAAGCTTCCTGAGGCCTCACCAGAAGCTGAGAAGATACTGGAACCGTGCTTCCTGTACAGCCTGCAGAACTGTGAGCCAATTAAACCTCTTTTCTTTATAAATTATCCCACCTCAGATATTTCTTTATAGTAATGTAAGAATGGTCTAACACTACGTATGTGCAAGTGTATATGTATATGTAATGTATACCTATGTGTATGTGCATAAATGGAAAATGCACTGTGGTAAATTACAGATGGCTACAAACACTTAGCCACTCCTCCCAGAAAGAGGTGGAGGCTACCTCTCCTATTTTAGAACTGCCATGGCACTGTGACTTGCCTTGACCACTAAAATGTTGAGAAAGTGATGCTGCGTAACTTCTGGGAAAAACTTTAAGAGATTTGCTGTTTCTGCTTGCAGTCACTTAGAATGCTCCTTTTCAGAATCTGGCCCCTGTGCTGTGAGAAGCCTACCCCACATGGAAATATACACAGAGGAAAATGGAGGCAGTGGCCAAAAACATAAGTCAAGCTCCTAGTCAACAGCCAGTGCTGATTATCAGCCATGTGAGTGAACCACTAGGGCCTTCTAGCCCAGTCAAGCCTTCAGATGACTGCAGCCCCCGATGTCACTATACGGAGCAGGTGAACCACTCAACTGAACATTGCCAAGCCACAGAACCATGAAAGTTAGTACATGGTGGGTTTTATTTCCAGTGGCTATATTTTGGGATAGTTTGTCACATAGAAATAGAGAACTGAAACATGAAGATATATTTGATTCATTTAAATAAATATTTAGTAATTTTCTGATTGGCTATACCATTTTCTTTTTAATTAATACCACACTTAATAGGTAAATGTACAGCTATGTGTATAATGGAAAGTGTACTGGGGACATGCAAATATCGTTTAAGTACAATTAGGTTTTTATCTAGTTATTTGCAAAAATGCAGCAATAGACATCCTGTGTGTGGATATTTGTTCACATGTATAAATATATGTCTCTAGGTTAAATTTCTAGGAACAAAATGCTTAATAAATGACATGTAAATTTAAAATTTTAATAGACATTGACAAATTCTCTTCCAAAGGTACCATGCCACCAGTGGTA
Organism: Homo sapiens; assembly: GCF_000001405.40. Lineage (NCBI taxonomy): Eukaryota > Metazoa > Chordata > Mammalia > Primates > Hominidae > Homo > Homo sapiens. The sequence continues at coordinate 126,706,597 of NC_000011.10, forward strand.
TGAATGTGCCTGATTCCCCACTTCCTTGTACACAGGACATGGAGATATGCTCAAACCTTTCATCTTCGGTTGTGTAATAAATTTTTAAAAATCATTTATTTTGCTTTTCTTCAATAACAATTGAAGTTGTTCATCTTTTGATATGTTTATCAGCTATATTTTTCTTTTTCTGTAAACATCTTTTGCCCATTTTTCTACTGGTTCATAAGAGCTTTTTTCTGTATTGAATTTTAATAATTCTTTTTCCTTTTTGAACTGTAAGAACTCTTAGATGACAAATGAAAGAAATTAGCTCTTTATCAGTCATTTGTGCTATACATTTTTTTCCACAGATTGTTTTTTGACTTTTTTTTTTTTTTTAAGAGATGGGGTCTCACTGTACATACATCACACATTTTAAGAGATGGAATGCAATGGTGTGATCATAGTTCACTGTAATCTCAACCTCCTAGGCTCAAGCAATCTTCTTGGCTCAGCCTCTCAAGCAGCTGGGACTACAGGTGCATGCCACCACATTGGCTAATTTTTAAATTTTTTGTTGAGATGGGGACCTTGCCCAGGCTGGTCTTGAACTGCTGGCCTCAGGTGATCCTCCCGCCTCAGCCTCTCAAAGTGTTTGGATTGCAGACATAAGACACCTTGTCCATGGCTTTTTTTTTTTTTTTTTTGGCTTTTGACTGTACATACATCACACATATATACATCTGACACATTTTATTTTTGTCTGATTTTATGGTTTCGTCTTTCATCTAGGCGGAATTTGTCTTGCTACAAGGGGTGAGGAAGGGATCCTGTCTAATTTTTTCTCCACAAATGTCTAGCTAGTTCCCCATAGCTTTCATTGATCATTGATTTATCCCCCACTGCTTCAAAACACTGCTTGGTCATATACTAACTGCCCAGGTATATATTTGGGCCTATGTCTATACTCTATGTCAGTCCATTGTTCTCTCTGTTCATATGCCAATACTGAAGGCTGCTTCTTAGCCTTTCCAGTCTGCATTTCCTCTGAGTCTGCTGTTCGCTGTTGGAGCCAGGGGCTAAAGTACTCAGCCTGTACTGTCAGTCCCGGATAGAATGCTTCCATTTAAATTCTCATCTAACTCATTCTATTCCCCCTGTGGATTCTTCTCAGCACTTCTTTAGAAAGTCTCCTTTCCCTGGGTCATTTCTCCCAGACTAGAAAAATTCCTTCCCATAATAGCTCTTAAGTGCTTCCTCTTGGTCCTTGTGATGAGCTTTTTTTTTTTTGGCTTTCCTAGGAATCCTTCCACTCTGGGCCAAAACTTCACCCTTCTTGCCTCCCTTGAGAAAGCAGTTATCTTTTTGTGGGCCATCCCCATGCATTCATTCTCCTGCCTGTTCGCTCGCTTGCAGTATTACATGGGGTAGCGGGGTCAAGTCGGTGGAGGGTGAAACAGGCGATTGGCAATACTCCCCTCCGCATCCCTGAAGCAGGTGATGATCTCCATAGGTCCCAGGGTATCCGTGCCCCGTTTGATCAGAAAGAAACACACCCAATCTTCCTCTTCCACTGACTTTTCCCGTGTGAAAGGACTCCCTGGTCAGGCGGTATTCATGCCGCCTGGAAACTCATCTGCCTGTGCCGCTGCTTTTTCCTGGCAGTTTACAATGTTATATTGCTACCAAAGCGGGCAAAATGAGGATGTGAAGTCGAGCATCTGAGAAGGCTCAGAAAGTCTGAATAAGCAATACTGGAATAACAATGTACTCCTCACCAAGGCATTTAGCCAGAAAAGTGCTCCTGCTTAGGAATTCTATTTGTTTTTCTCTTGGAAAATGGGGAAGTACATCTGTAATTCAGCTGTGAATACCCTATTTTCTTTGCAGGGGAAGACTGGAAATAGAGTCCTTTATCTCAGATATCAAACCCTGGCCCAGGATACACAAGACCAGGAGTCATCACCATCAGTAACAGTAACAACAGCTTCATTAACAAGTTGCTGTTCCGACGTGGGCTCCGGGGTGGGGAAGGAAGGAGGGCGTTCGGCTCAACGTCCAGGAGAGGCACCGGCGAACTCGAGAGCCAAGAGCGGCACTCCCACCTGGGCACTCCTTGCTGATGGACCGGGACCTCCTCTCCCATTTCTCCGGGGCCTCCAGGGCCCTCCCGCACATTCAGCATGATCTCTGAGGAGTTCACTAGCTTTCCTCCCTCCGCTCTCCAGCTCCCGTTCCTACCAAATGCACCAATCATCACTAAGCCAGGTCAAAGGCCATGGGATCAGCTGTGATCTCTCCCTTCCTTTTTCATTCTCCTCTCCTCATATCCAAACTGTCATTAAACTCAGTGTTTCTTCCTTCAGGCTGTTTCTTGAATTGGTTTCTTCTCTATCCCACTATTACTGTCCTGATCCGTGCTAATCCAACAGTTTCTGCCCCCACCCCAGGACAGCTTGTGTTATCACGGCCAGGTGGATCTTTCTAGAACACCAAGCTCAGCGTATCCCTTCTGATCAACAGAGAAGGAGAGGAGAGCCTACACTGTGCTGGGTCACTGTGTTACGCTATGTGCTTGTTTCATTTAATACCGTCAACGACCATATAAAGTGTGTTTGATTATCCTTAAGCAAAAAGGTCAAGAAATTATTAGATCAATTTCAAGTCCTCTTCCTGGCATTCAGAACTCGCCCCAAAATATGGCTGCCTTGACTAGTTGGCTTTATCATCTCCTCTATCCCAAGATGACCTTTGGGGTTCCAATCAGTCCTATCTCTTCCCCGGGAGTAGGGGTGGAGGGGCAGCACCCCCGGGCAGAAGATGCAGCCAAACAGGAAAGACAGAGTTCACACCTAACTGGCTAAAGTACAGGCAAACACCTGCTAATGAGTGGTGGTGGCAGTGGTAGGGAGTAGGTTGAACTGTGTCCCCAACATTCATATGCCCCAATACTTCAGAATGTGTCTATATTTGGAGATAGGGTCTTTAAAAAGGTGATTAAGTTAAAATGAGGTCATTAGGGTGCGTCCTAATCCTGCATGACTGGTGTCCTTATAAAAAGAGAAAATTTGGACACAGAGGTACAGAGGGAAGACCATGTGAAGATGAGGGAAGGCAGACATCTATAAGCCAAGGGGAGGCCTCGGGAGAAACCAACCCTGTAGACACCTCCATCTCAGACCTCCTGCCTGCAGAATTGTGAGAAAATAAGTTTCTGTTGTTTAAGCCACAAGATCGTGGTATTTTGTTACAGCAGCCCAGGGAAACTAATACAGGAGGCCGGGCAGGCATTGTCCAAGGGAGCTGGAGAGGCTGAGCACTGGGGCACGAGGGTAGGTAATGATGTGAGCTACCTTACTGAGCATCTTCTATACAGCAAGCACCAGGCTACGCTGTGAACATTCTGCATTCATTATCACTAATCCTTACACATGCCCTGCCAGGAAGTTACTGTCACAGCCATTTTAGAGATATAAGATCCAAAGTTCAGGGTGGAAAGAAATGTCCCTAGGAGACACACATAATGAGTATCAAGTCTGGCATTGGAATCCCAATCTCCTCCTCACTAAGCCCATGCTTATTCTACTATTCTGTCCTGTGTCCATCAGTAGATGGGCTGGCATCAGTGGACCCCAGATCTGTCCACAGGCAGCAGGGCCCTGACCAACAGGTGGCTTCTCGGAGCAGTGCCTTGTCTTAGGGGGGCATGTTCACTGAACTCATGAGGTCAGAACACAGGACTTCACAAAGCTGAGGAGAGAAGGGAGATAGCTAGCTCAGTGTGGCACCCCATTCTTCCCATTGAGCCCTCTCCTCTTCCTGTTGAAGTTCAGCGTGGTTCTGGAAGTACCTGAGTGGGAAGTAGCTTTAGCTTCCCACGACTGTTCAATAGCATTCAAGTAACCCTTCATGGCATGCCGAGATTCCTAATGAGATGAGAATACATTCTTTAAAGCTCCAGTTAACGTGTATGCAGATGGGAGCTTGGAGGACTATTTTGCTAAATGATGCACCCTGTGAATAACCATCACCCCCATATCTACTAGGGCAGGCACCCCTTCTCTGTCCTCAGCTGGGGACCCCTCTCATCCCACTTGGACTCAGAGTCCCTGGTGCCCCGAAGGAAAGCAAATCAGCCTCACTTATAATTAAGTGTCTCAAATAAAGTTTTGTTTTAGGCTAAATAAGAAAAGTGATACCAAGTCAAACAGATCACAACTGATTATTAAGAACAGATCTACTACAGTTTGACAACTGCCACAAACACAAATCTTATTTGGGAGTTGCTAAAACTCAGTAAATATCATTTTAATAATTAATTAAACTTTAATTAATGTCTTGACAGTAGTCTCAACCTGATAGGCCTCTTCACAATGTGCAGGCTGTGATGAGGATGGTGGCTGCTGGGACGGCCAAGGGCAGCTAGGTTTCAGGTGTCCCCTCCTTGGGGCAAGGAGAACTAAGTTCACTTTCCCCCAAGAAAAATCTGTGGTCTACACAAATCAACCTAACCACTGAATCATCAAACACTCTGAGAATTCAGGTTACCAACAGTGACTGCAGGAGAATCTAAAGTGCTTTTGCATCCTTAGAGAAAAATCTCTGCTCCATCTTTTTATGGATCCAGTGGGTGGCAGAAGGAATGGAGTTACTGCAACATGACAATCTCCATCCTGCCTGATGCGCGAGCACATAACCGCCTAAGTTTAAAGAGAATTCTGGATATAATTTATTATATAAGCCTGTAATCCCAGCACTTTGGGAGGCCAAGGCAAGTGGATCACCTGAGGCCAGGAGTTTGAGACCAGCCTGGCCAATATGGTGAACCCCCCACCTCTACTAAAAATACAGAAATTAGCTGGGGGGTGGTGGCTCATGCCTATAATCCCAGCTACTTGGGAGGCTGAGGCATGAGAATCACTTGAACCCAGGAGGCAGAGGTTGCATGGAACTGAGATCGCGCCACTGCACTCCAGCCTGGGCGACAGAGCAAGACTCCGTCTCAAAAAAACCCAAAAAACAACAACAAAAAATAATTTATTACATGAGTAGCTCCCAAATAGCATAATTAGTATCATGTTAGCTGTAAAATTAAACAAAAAAGACTTCTGTCCAGTTCCCTAGAAATTCTAATTTAGTAGGAATGAGCTAAAAGGTCTGATTTAGTAAGGTGAGAATTTAGTAGGCTCAGGAATCTATATTTTTAACCAGTTCCCACTGTGCGAGGATGCTGTGCCAGCAAAGGGCTTCTTCAAGCCACAGAGCCTCCCCTCCCAGCTGCCCTCTCTCCACTGAGCCTGAAGCATGGGCGGCGGTGGGAGCCGCTTCATTATAAAAAGCAGAACATCCCTAAAAACAGGATATTCTAGGGACACCAAAGAGCCGACACTCCATTGGAAACGCCTCCTCTGGGGTCCAGGAAGGCCACTCCACAGTGGCGCTGAACTACTGTTTCTCAGCAAGGTGGTCCGGGCCTTCTGCCGTCAGCCAGCCACGCCCCACTCCCAGTGGTCCTCTTCCGACATGAAAGATGCCAGGAACAGGAAAAGCAAAACAGCGCGCAGCGACTTTCCTACTCTAGTAGCATTTTCTTTCTGTGTCTCTGGTGAGTCAGAGTTTGTTTGAATGTGAATTATCTGCAATCACGAAAGTGACAGTACAGCTGGCTGCCGGGCCCGAAGGAAATGTGTGCTCCAGATAAGGGCGAGTGTGTGTGTGTGTGTGTGTGCGCGCGTGCATGCATTTTGGGGGGCTGGGGCTGTCCTCACTTATCAAAGCAATTCCCAAGGCGGCCTCTCTGAGTGAGGCAGGGTCTGGCAGGGCCGAGCCCCTCAGAGCCCTCTGCCCCGTTGGTGCTGTGCCGGCGAAAGGCCACGCCTCTTCAATCTGGGGCACCCCTGCCGCCTGCTCCACCTCGCCCGTCCTTGGGTTCTGGTCAATGTTGGGTTGCCCCCTTTTCCTAGGGATGTGGGAGGAGAAGAGAAAATGGAGGTCTATATTGCCACCTCATTCTCCGGGTGCGGGAAACTTTCCCTCAGAGGCAGGACGCAGGCAGGTGAGGATCACCCGCCACGGCTTTTGTCCACTCATGGTGTGAGTCTCAAGAGGAGGGAAAGTGGGTAGGGTCTTTAAGTTTGGTACTGTGGCCCTCTGAGGTTGGCGACAACCTGAAAGCTACCAGCAGAGAAAAGTAGGTGGAGACAGTGCTTTTGGCCACGACCCGTTTTTGTCATCCTCGTTCCTCCTACAAAATGAAAAATGGTCCAGAGGCCATTCAGATCCCCGCACCAGTCACTGAAAAGAAACCAGTTTAGGTGTCCAAGGCTTTTTGGTCATTTACTAGACATTTATTGAGTGCCTTCGAAGCTCTGGCGTGGTGCTAGGTATTAGGTGCTAGGTGTTAGGTGTTGAGTGTTGGGTGCTAGGTGCTAGGCACTGGGTGCTGGGTGCTAGGTTCCTCATCTCAGGGAGCTCAATCTCTCATAGGAGTGGCAGATAGGTAAATAGCTATAACAAAGTGTGAGAAACCTGAAACTGAGGAAGCACAGGGGGCTGTGGAAGCCCACATTGCTGATTCCTAACCAAGAGCGGAGGAGTTGGGGCTGTGAGGATGAATGGTCTGAGAAGGCCATTTAGGGTACGGACTGATGCTGGGATGTGCAGAAAGGGAGAAAGGAGGCTCCATGCAGAGGTCACAGCCCATGCAAAGGCCTGGAAGCCAGAGAGAGCCTCATGCATTTAGGAAGTAGCGGACAATAGGCAGGGTAGCATCACTGAAGCAAAGCAGGTGGGCCAAGGTGGGGAGGGGATGAGGGCAGGGCTAGGGGCAGGGCCCCAGATGTGAAGCGCCTTTTATGCCATTCTTAGAAGTTTGGACGTCCTCATGGAGGTAAAGGGGAGCCCCAGGATGCCTCAAGGTATGTAGGAAGATGGGGCAGGAGGCCATTGCAGAGACCCAGGTAAGAAACGATGAAGGCCTGGGACAGGGCTGCGCTGCCTGAGGTGATGAGGAGGGAAAGACTCCAGGCTTATTAGGAAGTAGACGCAACAGGCTCTGGTAACTGACAGGAGTGTACATTCTGCAGAGGGCGACAGACATTCAACAACAAATGACACAATCAACTATGCAATTACCATGGTGATAAGTGTGCTGAGGGAGAGTGGAGGGTGTGGGGTTCCGTAGGGGGATCTGACCTGGCCAGAAGTGGGCGAGACCTCCTTGAAGAGGTGATGTTCAACCTGAGGCTGACGGGCGAGGAGGAAATATCCAGGTGAGGTGTTGAGTGGGGAGCACGGAACAGCATCTGAAAATGGGTTGCAGGGGGAGCACAGTGCTTGGAGGACCTAAAAGACCAGTCTGGCTAGATAGGGCAGGTCAGCTAAGGACTGCAGACCAAATTTGATTCCCTGACTGTTTTTGTAAAGGAGGTTTTGTTGGAACACAGCCACGCCCTCTGCATTCGTATTGGGTAGAGCAGCTTTTGCATCACATAGGGCCAGGGCTGGGGAGGGGAAAGGGAGGTGCCCAGGGTGCAATACTGAAGAAGACCCTCACTCCCAGGCTGGTGCACAAGCCACAGCCCGGACAGTCAGTGCCTCCCTCAATTTTGTACCTAGAGCACCTTACCTGCCTTACACAGTTCTGGCCTCTCTGCCACAATACAATGACATAATCAATGGAGGAGTTGCAACAGAGACCTTCTGGTTGCAAAGCTTAACGTATTTACTCTCTGGCTCTTTGTAGAAGCATGTAGACCCCTGGCTTAGAGCAGCATAAAGAGGGGAGCGTGTGGCCCAGGCCGAGCCCTGATACTGTTGCAGCTCTGGCCACAGCCCCTTAGCATTCAACTAGACATGCAGAAGAAACCTGTGCTAATGCCTGCGATTCTCTGTGGGACAGCGGGTGTGATGGAGTCACGGAGATGTGATGGGGGGCATTTGGGAACATGCTCATTCTGTCTTGGGCAAATGGCATGTGCTGGAGAGTTTCCGCCCTGGGAGGCAGCCCTCTACACATGATAGGTATGGGGCTGGTGGGGATAAATGCCCCAATTTCCTCACTTCTCCTTGGGGAGAATGCCACGTCCCAGAGTTGCACGGTGGGCTGACTGCCAGTTGCACACAGTGGTATCTACATGATGATGAATCCTTTACTGGCGTCTTTCCTTCCTTTCCTACTCACTTCCTCCCTCCCCTACCAGGGTTTCCTGGGATCGCCCCCTGAAACAAACTACTTGCATTTGAATCCTTGTCTCTGGGTCTGCTTTGAGGGAAGATGTGGGATATCCCTGAGCTGCCTGAGGTGGGGGCTTATGTACCAAATCCCACCATAGAGAAGGAGGCCCCTGCTGGGTGATCAGCGGAGTTTTACTTACATGAACTTTCCTCCTGCTTCCCCATCCCAGGCACCCGAGGCGTCAAGCCACAGGGTGAAGACTCAGGCTTCATCTTTTTCTCAGATTCTAAACTCACACCCCACCTTTCTGTGTGGCTGCATGGCTGGGGACTCCATCCTCCTAATGATCAGGTTCTTGTGCAAGCCTGTGACACTTTCACCTTGTGACAATGCCCAGACAACTAATAGAGTCTCTGTTTTGCCACCGGATAATTGTTTATTTCCTCTTTCAAGGGAACTGTGTAGAGGAAGAAATCAGTTGAGAAAAACAGTCTTGAGCTACTCAGGCTATCCCCATCTATTTTGTGGGGGAAGAAAACTATTCAGCATTTTCAGGTTCCTTCCTTTCAGATCTTCCCAAAGATCTCAGTGCACAACCAGGGCTGGTCTGGGACAGTTGCTGTGCTTCTGCTCTGCCCTGGCCAGCCTCTGAGGGGGTCTCCAAATTAAAATGCAAGTTTTAAGTCAGTGCTCTCCTTTCCTGGGGATTGTTGACAGCTCAAGACCACATGGGCTCATCACTGTGATCTTAAGGAAAGAAATGATCAGGGCAAATGGCTCCAAATGAAGATGAAAAAGCTTTTACAGTGACAGGGAAGAAATATTGCAGGCTGCTTGAGAAAATGCAGTTTGGGAATATAGGAGAACGTGGACCATTTTGCAAATCAAAAACAAGAGGAAAAGGGACTACAGCACGTGAAACATACTAAAGAGAAGAGCAAAAATGAGATTAGAAATAAAAGAAGGGCAGGCAAAAGGAGGAAAGAGAATGCGGGGGAGGCAAACATCAGAGAGACTGCACAAGAGCAAGAGGGAAGACAGAGAATGTTCAAACACCATCCACGATGAACACGGTTGCAGAGAGGCCAGTGTTCCACCGTCAAGAGCGCAGAAAAGCCCTTGGTGCTCCTCTGAAGAATGCAAGAGCAATCTGCAGTGTTATTGACTAGTGGAAAAATGGCTCCTCTCTGACTTAGCACAGGATGCAATTTATCTTCAGAGAGTACCCTCCATACACCCAATGTTAGTTCTTAGGCATGAGGTTGGGCAGGAGAAGGGCGGAGGAAGAGGTGTGGGAAAAGAGGCAGACAGGGAGGTGAGGGGGAATGTGGGAGGTGATGAGAAAGAAGGAAAAAGAAGAAAGGAGATGGAGAGAGTGATAGGGAGACAGGAGGGGAGAAGGAGGAACAGATAGGAGGGAGCTATGAAAGAAAGAGTAAGGTTAGAATAAAGATTTGGGAAGGAGAGGGAGGCGGAGGAAGAAAGAGGAAGGGAGGGAGCTGGAGAGCAAGATTTTGAAACTCTTAAACTAAGAAGAGCAAAGCAGCTAATATGTATGGAGCACCTGCTAGGTGTCACGCATTGAGCTAGGTGTCATTTCATTATTATTTGATCTCATGCTAACACCACCTTGGTGTTATCTCCCTCATTTTTATAGGTGAGGGATGGGTGCTCTGAGTTTCAATAACTTTGCCCAGAACCACAGCGTTGAGGCTGTAGGGAGGTTAGGATTGGAGCTCAGGGGACAAAGCCTGTTTCAGATGACACAGGTCAGCCACATCCCAGGGAAACAGGAAGGGACTGACTTTTATGGATCTCTAGCTCCCATCTAAGTGATACTGATGGAGCACAGAAGATTCCTGGGGACACTCACTGTGGCCTGTGAAAACCTGGGCCTCCAAACACCAGGGGGAGCTATCACCCTGGAAGAAACAGCCAAATGCATCTGAAAACTGGCCATATCAGTCAAAGAAGGTATTTACTAGCCTGAGTGTGAGTGTGAGTGTGTGTGTGTTGGGGGGGGGGGGAAGTGTGGGGGAGAGTAACAGCTGATTCTTTCTAGCTGATTTTCATTTTATACTGGACCTCATCTAGATGGGATCCACCCATTATTTGCAGTGGGTGCCTGTTTTGTTTCCTTTCCCCTGCTTGTTGGCTGCTGACTCATTTGCCCTGGTTACCTGGGAAGGCGGGAATGAGCCTAGGGCAGGCATAGAGCTCAGCGCATCCAAGATGATTTGGTGCGTTTTTGACAGATGAATGACCAATGGGAGGATGAACACGTGCTTGAACTGGAAGGGTTCTGGAAGAAGCATTTGATTCTTCCTCACCCAGGTCAGATCACCATCTCAAACATCACTTTAAAACAAAGAACGCCACAAAGGGAGATTTCTTTGCCTTCCTTAGACCTTCACGCTGGTCCTTACCTTCAAGGCTGTCCTCGCTGGACTTTAGCTGTTGAACCCACTGGCATCCTTTCGGAAGCCTGAGGTTGGGAGTTAGGAGAGAAGCTAATTATTCTATGGTGTCTTGGATATGCTAACAATAACAGCTCCCGTCCAAGGCTGTCATGTTATTTAATGAAATAGTGGAAGCGTGATTATAGTTTATAAACTCAAGTACTTTGACAGTGGTCACTGCTCTGAAGGTGCCACTGTTGTACAAGTGGCTATGTGAACCAGCAGTGATAGAATGTCCCAGCTGTTGGCTATGCCTTACCCTATTACCCTAGATCTATTGACTCAGATGCTTTGAAAGTTCTCGCGGGGAACTGTTCCTTGTAGACTCTGCTCAGGCAGGTTGGCGTGGCCAGGCTTGGGAATGGCTGTCACCACACACCTTGTCCTCCATCCTCACTCATCTCTGTCCTCCTGCTGGCCAGTCACCCCCACCTAGTGGTTCTCGTCTGTTTTAATGAGTTCAGAGTCATTGCCAAACTAAGTAGTCAGCTTCCATCAGTGCTATTCTTCATGTTGAGCCACAACATAAAACACTTTATTGCAATTACAAATAGCAAAATTATTTTCTGCCGAGCCTCAGCATCTGAACTTAATGGCATGCTGTAATGCCACCCTGCGCTGATGTGTGGCATATCTAATATCCATCTTTCTTAGAAATAACAGTGTTCAGAAATTAGAAGGGACTTTAGCAGTGAAATAATTAATGTGGATAACCATCATAAACGGCACAAATGGAACAAATACAGATGGTAGTGAGCCGTGATTGCTAATATGCTAACCTGTTTTGACAGAACTCTACATTTTTTCATTGGGAGGTTCATGGATAGAAGTTAAAATATCCCTTGCCTCATGACAAGAGCTTTGTCTTTCTGGGTAAGAGATTCAATGATCTCCTACCTGGGCAAGGTAGCATCACCGGAATTTGCGCTGAGAGGAGGGCTTGCATCCCAGCTCTGGGCTCTCTCACACCCTTCCATCTCCTGCAGCCACATTTCTGCCCTCTGCCTCAGGCTCAGGCAGGCGGGCCCACCCAGAACTGCAGCCAGACACCCACCTCTTCTGTGCTATGGCTCTGAGGGAGGGGCAGGGGCTCCCTGGCTGGGCTCACTCAGTGGGAAGCAGCTCTTTGAAGATCCTAGCTGCATGCAGGTGCAAGTTGCGGAACCCAACTCCAAGAGGCTGCACGGAAATGAAAAATTGCCATAGAAAGATGACTCACCAAATCACAGACACTAAGCTATTGAGACAAATATAAGGACGAGGGTGTTTGGGGGCACTGGAAACACTTGGCTGTGCCTGCTTTTGGCCCTGCTGGCCTTTAAGCAGCATTAGCAGCAGAAGGGCCATCCAAGTTTCTCTGGATGAGTCAGAGGTCCTCAGAGAAATGCTGGAGGGCAAACTGGGGAAGGAAGGTAGAAAGGATCTAGCTTTAACTTATTAAGGATAAGTGCTGTGCTTTACACATATTTTATTTACTCTCAATAATAATCATTTGCCGTGGGCATGGTAAGTTAATATTTAAGATGGGGAACCTAAGAATTAGACAATAAGTGATTTGCCAAGTTCACCAGGGGCAGGGAAGCTATGGGCAGAGCGGCTAGGGATTAGGGTCACACCACCCCGGCCAGGAGCCCCATTGATACGATACAGGGGGCCTCACTGAGTCTTTCTGCCCCAGGAAGCCAAGCCCTCCTCTCTGATGCTGAATCCCAGCCCCCTTCTCCCACTCAAGGGCGTTGATAGAAACCTTTGTCTCCTTTCCCTCCAGAGTCATCATTCCCCCTTTATTTAATCATCTTCTTACAAATATGCTGTAATATCTCTAACTTTTTTAAAATGGAGAAGCCTTTCTCATGTTTGTTTTCCTCCTGCTATACCTCCTTTGCTGTGTTCTCTTTTACAGAACTCAGAAGAGCTGTCTCTCACTGTCTCCTTCATCTAGACAAACGCATTTCCCTTCATTCCGACACTCGGTAACCCACTTATTCTGGTTTTGTCTCAAATCTAAAAATACGCCACTGAAACGGCTTCTTCCTAAATTACCAATGACTCCATGTTGACAAATCCAATGGTCAACTCCTTGTTGACACAAATGGCCAGCTCTTCTGTTTGAACGCCTTCTTCTCTTAGCCTCTGGGAGAGCAGTCTCTTACGGGTCTACTCTTACTCACAGCTACTCCTTCTCCATCTCCTTTGCTAGTTCCTCCCCATCTCTATTATTCCCAAATGTTGGAGGACCTCAGGGCTTCTCCGAGCTGTCTACATTCACTGCCTAGGTGATCTTACTTAGTCCCATGGCTTTCATTCCACCCGCATGCTGAAGTCTACTTCCTTGCTGGGCATTTCCATTTGAACATCTCTTAGGTTTCTAAAATGTAACTCATCCACAGCCAACTCCTGCCTTCACCACACAGCCCCTCCCGCTAGATCCTGTCAAAATCATCCCTATCTCAGCCAATGGCAACTTATCCTTCCTTTTGCGACTTCTAAGGCCACAACCTTAGAAGTCATCCCTGATGCCTTTCTCTAATACTTTATCTTTCAATCTTTTATCCAGAAAATGACCACTTCTTACAACCTCTGCTGCCCCCACCCTGGTCCAAGACAGCATCACCTTGCATCTGTTGAGGCTCCTGAGAGACGCCCTGCTTCTTCCCTGCTTCAGCCTCTTCTTAACCCAGTGGCCACAGCCATCCTTACGCAATGTAGCAATGTCAGTTGGATCTGATCGCTCCTCTGTCCAAACTTCTGATGGCTTAGGGTCAGGGTGTGGTCCCTCTGCCTCTGATTTCAGCTCCTACTCATCCCCCTTTGACTCATCTGCTTCAGCTGAACTAACCTCCTTTCTCAAGCCAACCTGCAGGCTCCCTCTTCAGCTTCTTGGTCCTTACTATTTTTCCTGCCTCTTGACTTTGTCTTATGTTTCTTCATTGAACTTATTGCCTGACACAGCATATATTTATTTGTAAATTGTCTGAGCTCCCACTTGAATGTAAACTCTTTGAGGGCAGGGGCTTAATGTGTTTGTCCACTACTGTATCTCCAGTGCTCAAAATAGTAGGTGCCAAATAAATATTTGCTGAGGGGATGAATTTAGACCTGGTGAGACTCTGCAGTCCTTGCCTGTCCCACCAGCCCTCACGGCAGTGTTTGCATGCAGGAGATGCCATGTTTGCATGGTGGGGCTGTATCTGCCTGGCTCCCTAGTGATATGAAGTTCTAAATTCCAATGAAATCTCAAATCCCTCAAAGAAAGATTTTACCACTCTGGTTAAAAATCAGACCTAGAGGAAATATGCTAGATTGCAGGGTGTATCTAAGGAAATAAAAGCATTAGGTGGGTGAAAAATTGCAAAAAACAAAATTACTTTCAACTTAGATCTGAGGAGTTTAAATTAGTTCACTCCCATGCCCAGTGTAGGTGAAGACATTCACCACCCAAACACAGACACTCTTGAGAGCGAATGAGAGTTATAATTATCATAGTTATGTTAGGGCTGCAGGCACAAGCCAAGACTGTCCTAGGCAAACCAGTTATGATCACCCTCATGAGAGAGAAAGGAATTGGCTTGTGGCTGGGCCAGGGCACATGCAAATGACGCTGTAGGGCTGGCATTGAAGAGGAAGCCTGGGAGAAGGTGGGAGAAGATAGCGAGGGGACCTGGAGGAGAGGAGTGTCCAGGAAAGGGCAGAGAGCAGGAAGATCTGGAGTCATACATTAAAGGGCAGGGGCAGGGAACAATCTGGGAGAAAGGTCTATTTCATGTGCTTGAGAGAGGGGAGAGAGAGAAACTGGGATTCCTAGGGAAGAAGCTAATTGGGCACCAGCCGAGCTGGCAAGGGAGGGAGCCCTGAAATGAGAACAATTTTGGCTGAGAGCCAAAGTGTTTTCTGAGACAGACTGAATGAGAAACAACATGGTGATTTGGAAAGAACTTTGAGACTAGATTGACTTAGTCTCAAATTCTGGTGCTCATTCGCTTTGACTGTGGGGATGACACTGCTTGTGCTTAGCCTCAGTTTCCACAAGACAGCACCTTCCTTAAAGAATCATGAGGCCGGGCATGGTGGCTCATGCCTGTAGTCCCAGCACTTTGGGAGGCCGAGGTGGATGGATCATCTGAGGTCGGGAGTTCGAGACCAGCTTGACCAACATGGAGAAACCCCGTCTCTATTAAAAATACAAAATTAGCTGGGTATAGTGGTGCATGCCTATAATCCTAGCTACTCGGGAGGCTGAGGCAGGAGAATCGCTTGAACACAGGAGGCAGAGGTTGTGGTGAGCTGAGATGCGCCTTTGCACTCCAGCCTGGGCAACAAGAGTAAAACTCCGTCTCAAAAAAAAAAAAAAAAATAGAATCATGAGGAATAAATAAGATAACACATGCAAGACATCTAACACAGTGCATGGCACAGAGTAGGTGCCTCTCTGGCAATAGCAAAGAAGCCTGCTCAAGAGGACAGAGATTGAAGGCCAAGGCTTCATTTTGGATTTGCAGAGAGAAGTCAGGGGATGAGCTTGAGCCCCCATAACTGCGCTCTCCCCTAGGGTCTGGCAAGGAGGCCTTGATACTGAAGGAAGGATGATAACAGGGTGCGTTGGAGGGACAGCTGCAGCTTCACACCTGTGAAGAGCCATCTGGGTCACCAGCACGGTCCCTGACATAGGACAGCTCCATGTGGCTGATACTGGGATGGTGCCTCACAGTCAAAAAGCCTCACAGTCCAAAAGCCTTTTTGTGTTCCAGAACCATTTGTGAGTGCTCTGGTCAGAAGCGAAGGGTTCCCATGGAAGTCCTTCCCTGTGAACAATGTCAGGACCCCTTAGCATGGCAGTCAAGGCTCCCAATGATATGTCATAATTTCCACTTCCAGCCTTGTCTTCTGTCTGTAACTCTACTGTATATACCTCATGATCCTGCCAAACTGTTCCTCAAGCACCTGCTGTCACTTCTCTCCTCCATCCCAATCTATCTGCCTGAAAACATCCTGTTTCCAGTCATCAGCCCTTGGCTGACACTTGAACATGGCAGAGTCATTCCACCCCCAGGGGTCTGGACTAGCTGTTCCCTCTTCCCAAAAGGCCCTTCTCCTGGCCATCTGCATGGTTCACTCCCTCACTTCCTACAGGAAGTCTCATTCACCTTTTGGGGATTTTTTTCCCTACTGAAATTTGAAGCTCTTTCTCCAACATTTCTTGTATGTATTTATTTATTCCTGATTTATGTTTTCTGTTTAGCTCTTCTGACTATCTAACTTACACCATATCAGGGGTTGGCAAACGATGGCCCTTGGGGCCAAATTCAGTCCACTCCCTGTTTTTGTAAATAAAGTTTTATTAGAACACAGACATGCTTACTCATTTATGTATTGTCTATGACTACTTTCATGCCACAATGGCAAAACTGAGTAGTTGCAAAAAAGACCACAAGATCTGTAAAGACTGGAATGTTTACTGACTAGTGATTAGCCTTTTCCAGGAAAAATGTGCTGAGCTGTGCTCTAACTCATGCATGTCATGTACTTTATGTCTTCCCCACTAGAATGTAAGCTCCGTGTGGACAAGGATTTTTGTCTGTCTTCTGAATTACTGCATTCCCCGTTATCTGGGAAAACAACTACTCAGTACATATCTGTTGGATGAATGAATGAATGTTGAAAATTCTATTCATTGGCAAGGCCTAGCTCAAATATCACTTTTCAGGAAGCACTCCTTTGCATCATGGTGATTTCCGCACGAAATCTCATTTCTCTTACTAGATGGTAAGCTTCAAGCGTCACCTCTATCATGAAACTATCCTTTGTCTCCCACGGTGGAATTGGCCTTTCTTCATCTATTCCTCTTACAGTCTTCTGTGGCTGCACATAGTGTACGGTAGGTATTGCGGTATTTGACACATGTTGGACTCTCCACTTGACTGAGATTAAGTGGGTAGGGACTGTGGTTTGTTCGTCTCCGTCCCAGGCATCTATCTCAGAGCCTGCAGCCCTGACACATTGCAGGTACTTAGCATACAGAGCTGGATTTCCCCCACTGAAACCTCCACAGCCCTCCTAGCAGAGACAGACACACTTTTAGTAGGGGCTAAGCTATGTTTGTGGAGTAGAATGAAAGGCAAAGGGAACAGTGCTGAGCCAGAGAACACAGCATTAGTGGGAGCTGTGGAGAGGAGGCTAGAAATAGGCAAAGAAGGGAGGGGACAGGCTCTGTTTCATTTCACTCTACCATAAAGAGGTAACAATTTAAAAAAATCAACTCTCCTCAGCCTCCAGACACACATGCTCTGTGGCATCATTAAGCAGCTGGTGCCAACATTTACCTCACACCTCCCTTAGTAGGCAAGAAAGCATTTCCTAAACCCTTCTCCTCTATGCTTTTAAAATAAAGGCCTTAGTGGATCTCAACTTCAGCAAACAGAACATTTTCTACTTTTCTATACTGTAAGATTTTTGAAAGCAGTGACTGTGTCATTCTTTTATATTCCTAGTACCTAGACCATGATGACATAATAATAGATGCAGAATTAATTTTCATTGAGTTACATAAATGATACAATATGAAAAGAGAAGGGAAGAAGGAAAGATGGAAGGAAAAGACTTGCACAGATGCTCTTTGTGACTCAGAACTTTGGAAAAAGTCCAACGAGCAACAAAATACTCAAAATACTTTAAATGAAGGTAAAAACCATCATTGTTTTCTCTCTGCCTAGGGTTTTTAGGAATTTTCTTCTATTCAAGATCATAATTGCAGAAAACTAGACCAATGATCTGATTGCTTTCATAAGCTCCATGATGATTAAAAGAAGTGTAGGCAGCTCCAAGGCCACACATGAAAAGAGAAATGCTGAGGCTGTTCCATTTGAGCCTTTTTGTCTTGCTTGGCTCTTTGTCAAAACCAAGTCTCCTTCTGGAGATAGAGATGCAGATCACCACCTACCCCAACTGTTCCCACTTGACTTAAGAGACAATGTGGGGAAGAACATCACCCCCATTTCAACCTTCAGAGGCAGGTTGCTTCTGCCACGGCAAGGAGAAGATCACTTTCTGTGTAAGATTTCTGATTCCTGTCTCCTGCAGGTTGGTTCATTTTCTTTCAAACACCTGTGCTGTAATATGCTAACCTGATCCTAAGACAGGCCCCAACTAGTACACACGCAGATCCATGCACACCCACACACATGCACATGCAGACTTATTGTCATAGCTTGTATCTCTTATGGACAAGATGCAGAGTGAGTGAGCCAGCAGATGGACACCCTGGAGGTTCGGAGCCATGTCACTCCCTATCAGCCCTCTCCAAACATCCAGGCAGGATCTGGGAGGGACTGCCCTTGAGATGGGTGGGCTCCATGAATTTCCAGCTGAAGCAACACGTTTCTGTCCCCAAGGGATGAAGAAGTTTCTTCAGCTGCTCTGTAGATATGTCATGTCGAGATTGAATTCAGGTATAGTTTTAGCTGCCTTCCTTCTTGAAACTTCCCTCTCCCCGTTTGAATTCCAATGAGGCATCTTTTGAATGCTGAGATTGGGAAGCAAGACTGAGACCTGCTTATGGGCCAAGGGTTCTTAGTATTAGATAAGAGTCAGGATTATTAGACCTGCCTATGGGCCAAGGGTTCTTACTAATAGATTTTGAATAACCATAAAAACAACTTTCCTGCATTCCTCTTTATCATAGATCAACTTGTCAGTTAGTCATTCACTTAATGAGTATTTATTGTACCTTGACTTTGTGTCAGGTAGTGTGCTAGGTGCAGGAGTAGATATTCTTATTTCTGTTCTTCAGATGAAGAGACAGAGGTTCAGAGAGGTGAGGGGTTTCAGTGGAAAGTGGCCGAGTCAGGAATCAAAAGCCTGTCTTCTGGTGCCTGCTTAATGGGGTTTTAACCAATGTGGGTATTAGGTGAGAGGTGGCCAGGAGAAGGCAGGACATTAGGGGTTATTTCTTAAGCCTGTGGGTAACCACTGAGGCAGCAGGCCAGAAAGTCACGTGACCCAGTGTGATGTATGGGAGAGGACAGCGTGGTGCCTCGTATGCCATGAAGAATTAATCTCAAGGAGATGCTAGTGAGCTCCAGAGACTTAGCATCAGTGCCAAGAGATCAAAGATATGATATCTCTGGCAGAGTGCGCTATCAGGAGCGATCAAAGCAAAAAAAAGGGTTCATTTCAGTGCCCTGTGCATTAGTTGCCTGACTTGCTGACTCTGGGCACAAAGGAAGCAGTCATGGTTTGGAAATGGTGCTAACACCCGCATGGGCATTTCTTTCTTGACATCTCCATACATCTCATTGTTGCCTGTCCATAAACAAAAACATTATCATGCCCATGGGTTTGCCCCCGCTCATCCCCAAGCTGGCTGTCCCCGTTTTCTTCTGAGTGTGTTTGTGTGCTCAGTGGCTTTCCTGCCTTCCTTGGATGATGGTGGTAGAGGCCGTCCTTGTCTGGAGGAGGCCTGTCAGGGTGCACTGCTGCAGGCTGGACCCTGAGCCCGCTCTGCCCTCGCTGCAAGGCTGCTGCTGGGGTGGATGTGCGGGGCTGGTGGAGCTCTGTGGCCTGGGTCCAGTCTGCACAAAGGCAGGGCCAGGGACTACAGAGAGCATGGGGGGAGGCATCAGGATTGGCCACCAACTCACTGAGGGACTTTGTCAAGTTGCTTCCCCTCGCTGAGTCTCAGTTTCCTTATCTGTAAATCAGGCAGTTGGTCTGTGTCAGTAACTTTCACCCCCAGTTTCTCTGGTGATGTAAGTTTTCCAATCAAATTATAATAACCCAAATAGAGGAGATGCCCCATAAATACTTCTTGAATGAATCAAAGCAAATCTATAAAGATAAGCATGGAAACATGTGGACTGCAGTGGACAGGGCCCTGGAGAACGCCCTTCTGAGTGCCCTCCCTCCATTCTAACCCCCTGTGTCCCGAAGTGGGTCTCTAAGGCCCTTCTGTGGAACCCTAAGGCTCCACTGAACCCAGCTTGACAACCACAAATATGGACTTTCTTGTTTCTTAAAGCTCTGACATTCAGTGATTCTAGGGGAACTATTAAGTCTCAAATCCCTTACAAATTAATGAAAGATCTCTGACATATTTTCTAGAATTTTTCCTCAGAAATTTCCCTGGACTTCTCTGGGGCTATCCTGTTGGCTTTATGAAAAAGTCTGAACTACACAAGATGCCTCCTTTTTTTCTTTTTAGATGGAGTCTCCCTCTGTTGCCCAGGCTGGAGGGCGGTGGCATGACCTTGGCTCACTGCAACCTCCTCCTCCTGGGTTCAAGCGATTCTCCTGCCTCAGCTTCCTGAGTAGCTGAGATTACAGGCATGCACCGCCACGCCTGGCTAAATTTTGTATTTTTAGTAGAGTTGGGGTTTCGCCATGTTGGCCAGGCTGGTTTCAAACTCCTGACCTCAAGTGATCTGCCCACCTCGGCCTCCCAAAGTGCTAGGATAACAGGTGTGAGCCATGTGAGCCACTGCGCCCAGCCACAAGATGCCTCTTTATGAGAGGATCCAGTCTACCTTTCCAGCTGTTTTTTCCCACTCCTATCATTTCCCTTCTCCTAGCAAAACTCTGTATTGGCCTACACATGCCAATGTGTTGAGCATGCCATGCGTTCTTGTGCCCTGCATCTTTGCTTTTGCCATTCCTTGTGCTATTGTTTTTCCACTTTCTTCCTGCAAAACTCCTATTCATCCTCTAAGACCTGGCTGTGATGTCCTGGCTCTTGAACGGTTCTACCTCTCACTCACTCACACAGGGAGGTCAGCTGCTTCTTTCTCTGAGCCGCCTTACCCTCTGGGACACGCCTCCAGCACAGATTTCCGCGTAGCCTACCTTCACTCATCTAGATACATCATCTTCCCTGGCAGATGGAGTGCTTCTGAAAGGCAGAGACTTAGCTTTGAATTCCCAGTGCCTAGCATGGAGCCTGGTCCATAAAAACCACTCCATCCATGTTCATGAAATGACTGAGAAACAGCAAGGGCTCCTGTGCACTTGGGTGTGGCTCCAGAAGAGGCAGCTTCTGTGGCTATTCCCCTTGGAGGCCGGCTGGCCACTCTCCCTGCACAGAGCAGGCTGGCTTCGCCATCACAGGCTGCTTCTCAGAAGCTCAGCTACCTCTCCTTCCTCACCTCCCAGACCCCTCGGAAAGTGTTCCCCACCAGAAATGTCTTTTTGGTGGCCTCAACCTGAGAAGGAAGGCTACAGAGCTTACAGATTTAAACTTAAATGCATAAACAATTCACAGTGGTCCCCTGGCTTAGGCTGAATCTCAACTTGGAGGACTTGGTGTCCATGGTAAGTCTGGAGGCCTGAAGGTGGGAGGCGCTCAGCTGTCTGCAGCAGCTGTACCCTGCACCCTGCCCAGCAGGCATTTCCCTGCTACATGGCTCTCCTCCCAGCTCCCTCGGGGGGGTCTGGCCCTCCCACCCTGGGTGAGCTGCATTTTTGTGGTCCTCCTTCTTCTAATCTCTCTGCCTGCCTCACAAAGTGGAGAATTCGATTTTCTTCCCAAAGAAAATCAGATTTGACTTAGCTCCATCCATTTTCACAATTGCTACGGAAACGCTGTCTCTGTGAGGACAAAAGAACTAAACGAAGGACTTTCAGTGGGGGAATGAGCACGTGGACACAACTGTGCCTCAGTGAGAATCCCTTGCAGACCTGGGAGAGACATCTGCAGGCAGTGGGATGCGGATCAGAAGCCCTGGGTCCCCAGAGTCCAATGATGAGGAGACCCGGAGGGAAGGAATTGGCTTGAAGTAGGGCTGTCTCGGGGGTGAGCATTTCTCCCGCAGCCCCACACCCAGCAGCTCTGAGAGAAGCCAGAGCCTCCTGATGCACCTGGCATGACACTGGGACAAAGGCAATCCATTATGTGACTGGTATATCAGAGTCACAGAGGGGCTGGGTGCAGCAGGGTAAAGAGGCTGCAAGGTCACAGATGGACAAGGTGTGGCTGTCACAGCTGTGGTGGCTGGCCCCATGAAATAATTGGGACACCAGGAGGGGCAGGGTCAGAGGACCTCTAAATAGCTCTGTAGTCTTGGGTGAGTCACTTGAAGCCCCCAAGCCTCAGCTTTCCCATCTGCAGACCAGGGAGAAATATCACCTACCTGGTGGGGTGTCCTGGGGCTCAGTGTTCTCCCGTGGCATGCTGCACATGCCTCTACTGTGCATGAGAGTGTGTGTCCCACCTCCCACCGTGTTAAAGCATGTTGACCATGGGTGTGCTTTCCCACAGGAGTGTAGGCTTCCAGAGCAGGAAGGGGTGCGTCTTACTCACTGCTTTATTCCCAGGGCCAAGCACCCTGCCTGGCCCCTGCGGAGCTCAGGGTGTCTGATCACCTGAGTGAGATGATGTTGGTTAGAGTGCTTGCCACCTGCTGCACACAGGAATTAGCTTCCAGGCTGAAGTGGGGCCAGTGTAGGGCCCACAGGAACCTGGACCACCTTGACTCTTTGTATAGGGAGGGGAAAGGAGGCAGGAGAAGCCCTGAGTACTTGTCAGTGGAGTGAAGCCTGTTAAGCTTTAAGCGGGAGGATTCAGTTCAGTAAGTAACTTCGTCCCCTGGGAGGGCCCCCAGGTCCCTTCTGTGTTGGCTCCATGGCCTCTCTTCTCTCCTGCATTAATTCAAGTGAGGAAGGCCTGAGCTTGCCTCCCTGAATTCCCTGCACCCCACAGACGCTGCCCCATTCTCAAGGTGCCATGTGTAATCAGGAAGCAGACGCTAGCTCCAAAGCTTTCGGGGCAGAGGGAGGAGGGCAATGGCTGGGCAGTGGGCTGTCCTGTTGCTGAGGAGACCTTGAGGAGGAGGCTTTTGGGGCAGGCATGCCTGTTGCAGGCTTGGAGTGGGCCCTGGGGAGGGGCAGTACCCTCTAGGCCAGAAAACACAACTGGGCCATCTTCCCTCATCTCTAGCAGAATGGCTGCCTCCTTAGTCCAGACTGAGTCCTGTGGAATGTGTGGTTGGAGCAAAAAGATGAAGAGTGAGTCTAAGAGGTCATGAAGAAGGACAGACCCAGTAGACTGTGGCTCAGCCTTTCTTGGGAAGCAGACTTCTAAGAAACAAGCACGCTGGCTTAACAACAAATCTAATTCTTTTAGGGAAAAGAGGTAGTGCATGGATAAAATGTGGAAAGATATAGAAGAAGAAACAGGAAGTGGAGCCTGGTGAGGAACAAAAGGTGTCACAAGGCTCATTTTAGGGACATATTGCAGGAGAGACAGGAAATTGAAATTGGCGCCATTCTTCTAGATTGCCCAGAGTCCTCCAGAGTCACAGGGGGAGTCAAAGGGTCAATAGGTGCTTCTCCTTTGCAGCCTCAGGGAGTGATTACCTGCAATATGCCAGGGTACTGTCCCTGTAAACAATGAGGCTGGAAGGCAAGAAAGGAGCAGCTCCCTGGCATTTTGCTGCTGGAGCACGGAAGCAGTGCTGGCCAGGAGCTCACAGGTGGGTGTGAACCTGGGGACCCTCCGTAGATACTCATGGGGCCCCGGGCACTCCACTGGACAGGTGAAAAGCTCACAGCTCAGGGTCCCCTGCTATTTTATGAGCTTGGGAGGTTTCTGTGTCCAGAAGCACAATGGAGGGAGCCCCTGATCATAATCACTAAGAGCACACCATGTTTGCTGCTTTTAACTGTTTCCAAATCCTTCTAGTTCATAGGCTCCTCTGCTCCTAAACCAGTCCTTTGAGGTATCTGGCAGACAGTTTTCTGCCCTTCCCTTCCTTGACATTTCTGTGACATTTGGCTCTGTGACGGCTTCCTTCTTCAGGAAACTCTTTTGTTGTCTTATTTCTGGGACACCCTCCTCCGGAGTTTCCATTCCCTCTCAGTCCCCGTCCTGACTCTCATTCCTGTCCCCAGCCACTTAAATGTTGATGTCCCTAGGTTCTATCCCCAGCCGTCTTCTCATTCAGAATTCCCCTCCTCAAAGTAGATTCATCACTCCCAGAGACATTTACATCACGTCTCCACTTAGCCCTTGGCCCTGGCTCTCAGCCCCGCAGAACCCACTGCCGACTAGCCCCATCCACATGGGGGCCCACAGGCCCCTTGAGTGTGACACGTCCAAATGAGTTACTCACCTTCTCCTCCCTCTTCTCATCATCTCTGCACCATCAACATCCCCTAATTGTCCACCAGAAATCAGGGAACAATCCTGGCCTCCACCCTCTCCTCACCCTATACGTCTGGTCAATCATGCCTTCCTCTCAACCTGACTCCTACAGGTATCTTCAACCTGTGCCCATTCTCGCAGCTCTGAGCTTATTCCATACTACATAAGTTTGCTTAGACTGGTGGTTCTCCACCATGGGTGATTTTTGTCTTCCCCACCTAGGGGACATTTGGCAACGTCCAGGGACAATTTCTGATGGTCACAACGAAGTGGTTGCTACTAGCATCAAGTGGGTAGAGGCCAGGGATGGAGCTGAACACGATACAATGCACCAGGCGGCCCCTGCAACCAAGAACCAAAATGGCGGTAGTCCCCAGGTAAAGAAAACCTGGCTTACAACATGCAATACTTTTCTTTTTCTTTTTTTTTGTTTTTGAGATTGAGTCTTGCTCTGTCACCCAGGCTGGAGTGCAGTGGTGCCATCTCGGCTCACTGCAACCTCCGCCTCCCAGGTTCACGCCATTCTCCTGCCTCAGCCTCCCGAGTAGCTGGGACTACAGGCACCTGCCACCACGCCTGGCTAATTTTTTTATATTTTTAGTAGAGATGGGGTTTCACTGTGTTAGGCAGGATGGTCTCCATCTCCTGACCTCGTGATCCACCCGTCTCGGCCTCCCAAAGTGCTGGGATTACAGGCGTGAGCCACCGCGCCCAGCCAACATGCAATACTTTTCTAACTGGTGTCTCTGACAATCAGGTTCCCCTTCAAGCCACTCTCTTTGCTGCCTCCTGCGAGAATGCTTAGCTTACAAATGAATCTGTCTGCATGTCTCCATTTCCTAACTTCTCAGCATAGTTTACAAAGCTCCCTATGATCTGGCCCTGCCCAACTCTCCAGACCCACCTTCCATTTCTCCTGTTAGTCCATGCCCCAGCAGTACTAGATAATCTGCCGTTCTCTGAGTAAATCATGTTCTTCCATACCTCTGGGCCACTGCCTAGGTCTCAAATGACCCTATCCCAGGGTCCATCCCGCTGTGTCCACTGTTTGCATTGGGTCAGAGCTTACTTAGTCCTTCAAGACTCAGCCCGAATACCATTTCCTGGACAAAGCTTTCTCTTGGCTATGCTTCTACCACAGCTTGTACGTATTCTCATGTCTACCTTTCACATTTCTCTTTCTGCAGTCTTCTTGAGGTCACAGATGTGATTTTATTTATCTTTACAGACCCAATGCCTAGCGCCATGTCTGGTGAGTGAATGCACACAGGAAGAAAGCTTTGCCAAAATTTGCACACCTCGTTGCTGGAAGGACTAGGACTGGCATTCAGGTCTTTGGACTCCCAAGCTATGCTCACCTCATCAGACCTGATGGCTCTAAGTAGGTCAGTTTTAGGTCCTGAGCTACTTGATCCATCTGGCTCCCAGTTAGAGAACAACAAGAAACTAATCACATGTGGTGGCTGCTGCCTCCGTAAGTGCTTCCATTTATTCACAAGCTGAAAGACAAAAGCTTGGCCCCCCAGCATATGCTGGATCAAAAGCAAGGAACAAAAAGGATTGTAAAAGAAAGACGCTGGAAATAGTAGCTACTTTGATGCAGGCAGCTCTTTGAGGAAGCAGCTGAGGACTGTGCCCCCAGCAGCAAAGAGAGAGAGAAGTCACTGCCAGAGGGTGAAGGAAATCACTGCAGGAAGGGTGGGACCTCACTGGCTTCTCTGCTGGTTTCCAGCGAGTGCCAGGAATGGGGGAGGGGTGTCTCATTAATCTCACCTCCTTGCTGCCCTGCCTGGGGTCTTTACAATCTGCTCCATTTGGAGACTAAGGATTCCTACAGGAATGGCAATCTGAGCCAGAGATTTAGGAAGGAGGTTTATAAGTAATGGCTAGAGCGATAGAGTAATTAATAGGAAACTATTATTAACAATACAGTGATTTCATAATGATTCCGCAGTTTATAATACAAATGTATACATCATTTGATGAATTATTGTATTGAGCCCGAGGATGCAGGAATGGCCAGATTCTGTCCTTGAAATAGCCACCCCTTCTCATGAGGACCCCTGAGAAAATATAGTAAGCACACAAAGAAAGGAAAGCAAAGCAATGCTTCATTGTTAGCTGGACTTGTGATCAAAACCCTAGCGCTCTCTGGTCAACTGGACTAGATGACGTTTTCTACTAAGCAAGTTAGGACTAAACAGCTCATAACAACAGCCAATCCAATATACCTGCTTGTCTCGGGAAAGTGTAGTCAGCTGCAGAGAGACAGTGAGAGAGTGACTGTTTCCTTTGAATTCCTGCTCTCTGGAGTTGACTTGGGCAGCCTGGCTCTGAACCAGGACACCATCTCTGGGTTGGTGGCCATCTGAGAAAACATGGAGAAAAGACACTTTGAGGAAGGTAACCTCGTAATGCTGAGAGGAAGCTTATGCCCAAGGAGACTCCAAGGAGAATTTGGGATCTAACCCCAGAGCACTGCAGAGTGGAAAAGGCCAGGGGGAACCCCTTATCTTACCAGAAAACCAAGCAAAGGAGATAGCAAGAGGCTGGACTGAAGTTAAAGAATAATGCTTAAGTGTCTTGTTTGGGACTCAAAGGGCTTGCCCTCCCATTGTATTCACAGATACAGCAAAAGACTTTGGTGAAATGCAATGTGGAAGGAGGAAGATTGGTTCCCATTGTGAATAAGGAAAAAATGAGTCCTGGGGTTCTGAAGGCAGCTTGAGATATTTTGAGCATTTCACCTCTGAAGTAAGAGTGCAACCCTCCAATTCAAAAGTGTAATTTCTAGTCCCTTTGTTGAAAAGTCAGTTATGAAACTTTACAGTTTCACTTTTGGCTTTCGGCTGAACTTTTCAGAGCCTTTAAGGCAAGGTGGGTAAGTATTTTTAGAGATGGTAACGAGGCCTGGGGGCTATGCACACAGCTGGAGCTCAGCAGATGTCTCAGAGGAGAAAGATGAGAACCTCAGTCATGGTCAAGACCCCTCTCCGAATGGCTTCTCATCCCTCAGACCCACAAGAGAGGTGCATCGTAAGCTCAAGACACCTGAGACACCTTAATTCTCTTCCCCAGCCCTCTCTCTGTCCCTTGAAAGGATGCAATGCGCTGGGGAGATGAAACCAGTTTGCATCTTAGGAAGGATCTGGATTGTTTTCCTTCTTTCTCTGAGCTGTCACTTGCTATAAAAGCGATCATTGATATTCAGCCATTATGCCATTATACTTCCATAATCATTAATATTCTTAAAAGGCTCTTGAAACACATTTATACAAGGCTACATGATCAGTTCCTACATTTACTTTCAATTTAAATAACAGTTTTAGCCAGGGTTTTGATGTGCTGTTTACTTTAATTACCATCCTGCCCCTTTCTGTGTCTTGACACAGTGTCATTTAATATTTTATGAATTTCCCTTAGCCCTTTTTTTCCCTGATATGTGTGATTTGAACGGGTTGCTGCTTTTTTAGAAAAAAATTTGTAGTTTTAACTTTTCTGAGACTTGCTGTAAACAAGATGTGTCATGCCTATGGATTCTCTTCCCCCAGTGATAATGGGAGGAAATAAATAAAACAGCAGACAGCTGCTTTACCCAGATGGCACAGGGATGCCAGGGGGTTCTGGCCCTGCTGCAGGCACAGAGTGACAGGCCAGCAACTTCAGGTGAGGTGGGAAGCAGCCCAGAAGAGGTCAGCGTCTGCCTCTCAAGGTGTGGGCTGTCAGCATGAGGATCACCTGGGAGCCCCACTCCAGAACTACTGAGGCAGAAGCTGCATTAGAACAAGATCCCTAGGTGGTTTGTTTGAACACTGGAGTTTGGGAAGCACTGCACTAATGGAAATCAATTAGTGGATGTAAAGAAAATAGGCATTTCACGGCTGTTCTCTCCCAAGTCCCATGCTTTCATCAGAAAAAAAGCTCTACTTTTGGGATCTATGGCAGGTTCTTGGGGTCATTTATAAATAAGTGCTATACTTTAAATACTGTGTTCATGATCTGCTTCAAGATTTCCCCCTCTGTTTTTTCAGTGATCCATTTGTTTACTTAAGAAATATTTGGCCAGGCGCGGTGGCTCATGCATGTAATCCCAGCACTTTGCGTGGCTGAGGTGGGTGGATCACCTGAGGTCAGGAGTTCGAGACCAGCCTGACCAACATGGAGAAACCCTGTCTCTACGAAAAATACAAAATCAGCTGGGCATGGCAGCGCGTGCCTGTAATCCCAGCTACTTGGGAGGCTGAGACAAGAGAATCACTTGAACCTGGGAAGCGGAGGTTGCAGTGAGCCGAGATGTCATTGCACTCCAGCCTGGGCAACAAGAGTGAAACTCTGTCTCAAAAGAAAAAAAAAAAGAAATTTAGTATTCTATGTACTAGGAATTACAGAAAGTGATAAAGGAGACTGTGTGATATGGTCAGTAACAGAGTGTGTCAAAGTGCTAAGGAATCACAGTGGTGGAGACTGATGAGCAGGTCAGAGAAGTTTTCGTTGGAGGGGTACTTTCTGAACGATTCTTGAAGAATGAATGGGAGTTAGGGGTGGTTGGGGAGGACAGTGTTAATTGTGGCAGGATGGGGTTTGTGGTTGGAACGGTGCTGTCTTCTGGTCCAGCTGTGCCTGGCTCCGACCAAGGGCAGGGTCAATGTGCACTGCCTGCAGCAAGCATAGCAGTTTGGCAGGGAGGCTCATAACGGGGCGTTTACCCATCCTCAGAAAGCAAGGGCTTTCCTATGGGACTGTTGTTGGCTGCTGCCTGATGGAGGAACATGCACTGGAACTCGGGGCTAGGAGGTTACATGCAAACTCAGTTCTACTAATTGCTAGTTGGGGCCTTTGATGACACCTTTTATGTCTCTGTAAAAGTTGTAAAATGTGCTTCTGTGAGGGCTAGATGAGATAAAACCCATGACAGAAACTGGCAGTCGGTAGTAACATTAGCTGGGTCTGAACGTGAATCCACGTTTGACGAGTACGGGAAGGAATAATAGCAAAGACAAGGAGAATAAGCCCAGGTAAGCATCTCTGGGATCCTAGAACAACAGAGACCATTGCATGACCAACTGGGGAGACAGAGAAAGAGAGCTTCCACCGGCCCCATTTCCCACCTCCTCCACCTACTCTTTGTTGACACTTAATATAGAAACTAGGCCTGTAACTGGCGACAGATCAATACTTCCACTGAAGAATAAAACCTCTCATGGGGCAGCCCAGACCAGGGATATGATCTCAATAATGTGCGTCGGGGAATTGGGGCTTATTGGAGAAGGTGGCTTTGGAGGTAACAGGCAGCTGTCAGGCCCCAGAAAATGGAAAAGAAGTGGATATCAAAACCTGTAACTCTGGTTTAGGGACAGATATTATTTCCTTGTCTCTTTCTGTAGGAACTGAAGTCAATTGCCCTTTAGGCAGAACCAAACCAAAGAGGAGACATAAACTCATTTTGAGTGAACAAATCCAGCTAAAAATTACTTTCTCATTGCTTCCTTTCTCAGATACGGCATTTATCATGGGTAACAGATGAATGGATAATCTTAATTTAAAGGCAAAAATAAGGGGGATCCTTCCTGATACTGAAGGTACAAAATAAACATCCCAGTATTTCCAGGCCCCCACCTTCCAGGCATTGGCAATTCAGCAGAGGTCTGGGTTTATTCTCCAGTTATTACTGCATTTATGAATCCTCAATTAGTCCTGACTTTGCTTGAGAGTTTTTATGAAACTGCCTAGCGTAGTGCCTAGCAGAGAGTACATGTTGAATACATTTATTAGTTTCTTTCTTTCCATAGCTACTGCTGCTGGCTACCTTGCATTTCTGTGGATTTGGTCACAAGAGGGATTGTCTAGAGAGAACAGATGGTCTGGTTTACTTTCAATTGTAGTCACAGCAATAATAGCACCATTTATGGGGCCATACACTATACGCTAGAAGTTTTACACACATTTCCTCATTTAATACTCTTGTGAAATGTGCACTATCATCTCCATTTTGCAGATAAGCAAACCGAGGCTCAGAGAAGTGAAATCATTTGACAAGTCATACACAGCTAAAACGTAGATGCCAGAGCCAGGATTTGATGAGAGGTCCCCGTGACATTTCAACCCAAGCTGTTTTTGGTGTTCATATCACTTTCTAAACAGAGAACTGGAGAGCTGGAAGGACCCTCAGAGATCATCTGGGCCGGTGGTTCTCACCTGGGGGCGATTTTGTCCCCAGGGGACATTTGAGAACATCTGAAGATATTTTCGGTTGTTACAACTAAGTGGGGGAGTAGGGGTACCTGCTCCTGGCCTCCAGTGAGGAGCCCAGGGTGCTGCTAACCACTCTGCAATGCACAGGCCAGCCCCCATGACAAGGATTATCCTACCCAAAACGTCATTCGTGCTGAGGTTGAGAAACCCTGGTCTAGACCAATCTCCTGATTTTACAGATAAGAAAACCCGGGTGTGGGTAAGGTTAAAGGTCATGCTAATGTCCATGGACAAAGGCTGCTGGGAATCACCATACATCCCCCACAGTCCTCCCCCACCCTGTGCTGCCCAGGAAAAAGAGCTCAAAGGGAGTGCCCCAGACTGGCTGTCACAAGCATGGTGTGGAAAGGTCCTACTTAGTTTTCCAGGGAGCCAGCAATTGGTTACATCAGAAAACTTTATTCTCAGGGGCAGTGCCCTTATTTAGATTTCAGGGAAAAGCAAAAACAGCTAAAGTTTTCTCAAATAGTAAGTTTCCCAATTTGCTCCGGTTGATAATTTTCTAATGTAGATTCAGTGGAATCTGCCTGAGAGGGTGCTGAGTGGGGATGTGCTTGCCAAGGGGAAAATGAATGTGTCCCCTGATTGGAGGCCGGCTTGTCAGACAACTGTGACTGTCAGCACACTGGGCTGGGGCCTGGCCTCAGGAAGGGAGTGGGGAGGAGCAGGGATGGGGCCTGGGGCTCAGGAAGGGGGCAGGGAGGAGCAGGGATGCACCTTCAGGGCAGAGAGGGTGCTGGTGGATCCCAGCTCCAAAGCACAGAGACGGCACAAGGCACAGTGGGCAGGGAGAGGGCGGAGGAGGGAGTGAACTGTCCCCCCTCCTCTGTCATGCCTGCATCACTGCCCGGGCAGTCTCCACAGTCCTGGGGGCCTGGGGAAGGAGTGGAGGGGACAGACGATGGTCTCCTGAGTCACACCGCCCCATGGATTCTGGGGAAGGATCTGGGCAAATCTGCAGCAGCTCGGAGTCTCAGTTTGTTTCCCTGCTGGTACGACGATGGCAGTAATACCCGTGCTGGATAAAGTGAGAGACTCTCGAGACACACAGTACATGCCTGCCTCTTCCCCAGCTCGGAATTCTCCAGTAGAGGGGGGCATTTTTAGACACAGTGAGCTAGAGGAGGCTTTTTTCGGTTTCTTAATTCTAAATGTTTAATTATTATAGGCACCTAATAGTTGTATATATTTATGGGGTACCTGTGATGTTTTGACACAAGTATACAACATGTAATGGTCAAATCGGGATAACTGGTATCCATCAACTCAAGCATTTATTATTTCTTTGTGTTAGAAACATTCCAATTCTACTCTTTTAGTTATTTAAAAATATACACTAAAATACTGTTAACTACAGTCACCCTGTGGTACTACTGACTATTAGATCTTATTCTTCTATTTAACTGTATTTTTGTCCTTCCTCATTAACCATCCCACTTTATCTCTCCCTTCCCACTACCCTTCCCAGCTTCTGGTAACCATCATTCTCCTTAGTGAGGGCTGCTGTTTGCAGAATGTTGGCCAGGGCAGGAGAATGTAAATACACGAGTATACCTAGACCTTCCGATATGCCAGCTGCCAAGCATGTGCCACCAACATCTAAGCCCAGGAACAAAATCCGACGCATTTTCATTCATAGGGGAATGAAATTAATTAATTAATTTTGAATTAATCATAGGGGAGTAGCCTCCAACAGCCCCTGTTGCCCCCTCCACCCCTGTCTTGCCTTATCTGGTCCTTTTCCTTTGAGCAGGTGAGCGCTCTCTTGCTTCCTCACTCAGAGATTCCCAGTCACGGGCTGCAGCTGGAAGTGGGTTTCACAGAAGGTCCCAGGCTGGCCTCACCTGATATGCTCTGTGTGGACTTCACTTGAGTCCTCAGTGCCAAAGGCAGGACTGTATGTGATGCGGGGTTTGCACAGAGCACTAATGGAGTCCGTTAGTATTCAGACTGAGTTTCCTATTTTTTTTCCCCCTAGGAGTGCAACACTGTGGTTCAATATTTGCTGGGTGGTAATTAATAGCACTTAATCTGTAAATCTGGAGCTGGTTTCTCATCTGCTGAGAAATGAGGTTACCATAGCCACCCCATGTTTGGCTCCTTCTCTCCTTTTCCCTTCCCAGAAATGTCCTTTTGTGTTTTTCTCAGCCCTAGCAGGGCTCACGACAAGAAGGCTAAAAGCACCCAGAGAGATTTGCTGCTGCATTAGCAGGCAGCTACCTGAAAGAAAAGTTTATGAAGACGAGAAGAAATGGGCTTCCACCCACCTCGGAGGCCTGATGTGCTGTCACACCAGACAATCCTCACAGGCAGAGGAGTCTCTTATTCTTCCACACAGGGTCCTAAACAAAGCATCTTCGGTGATCAAACTATGATTTTTTTGACTGCCTACTGTGTTCCAGGTGGCTCAGATATATATTATCTAATTCTCATAACACTACAACAATCTTGAAAGGCGGGTATATATGATACAAACGGTACAAATGAAGAAACTGGCTTTCAGAGAGACCAAGTAACTTGCTCAAGGCCACACAGCTAGAAATTAGCAGGATGGAAACTCCAATCCAGACTGTTCTGGCTCCAAAGCCAAACCCTTCCACCCGTTCCGTGCTATTGTTGGAGATGTGAATTCCACTGATGTGAATTTCTAGCCTTCTGCATATGACTTGCCCACAGAGCATTAGGTGATACTTATAGTATTAATTCGACTGCCTTTTGGCATGGTTATGGGGCTTCTCTGCAAATTGCTTCATCCTCCTCTGCATAACACCCTTGTGTAGGAGGCTGGGTAGACATTACTAAATTACTTTCACTTTACAGATGGAGACACTGAGGCCCTGAGACATGAAGGGATCTGGGTAAAGCAAAACAGCTCTTGAGTAGTATTTGCTCTGTCAGTCAGTGTGCCAGGTGCAGGTAGCGTCATGTGCCCTACCTGGGTCTTAAGGAATGATGAGATCCAGGCAGCTGGTGCTGACAGTGGCCTGTTCATACTCTTCCTGAAGGTATGTCACCTGGCTTTGTATGACAGCATGTTAACAACATCTGTAATTTGGGCAGGAGTGAGGAGAAGGAAACCACAGTTAAGGTATGTGTGGAGGTACTATGCAGGCAAACCAGCCCACAAGGGATGCTCTGGTCACTGGTGCAGATGATGGAAAACACCTAAAGGAGAACCGTAGCCAACACTGCAAATCAGGCAGCATGTATCAGAGTTTAAAAACCTCAGGGAGTTTTGGGCCAGCAAATAAAATGTGCTCCATTTTGCCAGAGCTGAGGGGATTGGGCAAGAAGGAGCACTTAGAATTTTGACACTGCACTTTGATCAGTTTGACGGGTTTAGTATTATAGAAATATTTCATTGTTTCAGCAGAGATGAGGAAATCTAATCATCCATACAGCTGCACTCTGAATTTGTCATGACTCACTGGAGGGTAGGGTGTATGGAGGGAGGGGGCAGAGAAAGAAAGGAAGAAAGAAAGAAACAGCTGATTTAAAATGCAGTTTAACCTGAGGTAATTTGGCCCATTAGTTCAAATTGTGTTTTTTTCTTCCCTCCTTCTTTTATTTAAGTCATTGCTCTATTTTCAAGATATTATTTTTTAGAGGTGGCATCTAATTATGTTTTCTCTCCACATTCATTTTGAGCAGGTAATAAAGGCTATAGTGGGGGAGTTCTACGGTGATTAATGGAAGAAAATGCAGATGGGGCTGAATTGAAGCAACAGCATAGAATATGATTTTATAAACAGGATAGAAAGAAATTAAAGTGCTGCATTGCTAAACTCAGTGGAGATGGTATTCATTCTGTGTTTGGTGCTGCAGTAGTGGTCTGGAATTGTCTGCAGAAAAGTCTTTCTGGATATACCAGACCAGCCTTTGGTGTCACTAGGTCCTCTGACTTGAGTGTGACACAAAAGCCCCCCACTCACAGATCCCTCTCCTACCCAGGAGACATGTTCCTTATATTTGTGATGTATTCCTATGGGCAAAGTATCGCTCTAGCCCAGCATCCCCTTTTGTCTTGAGAGGGAAGGCCAATAAGATAATAATCCCTTAGCTTGACTGTGGCTCCAAGGGGGAGGTGCTAGTAGAGGGGCTCTAGTAGGGTGTCTTGATGGGGCACAGGGGATGGGGCTAGGGACAGGGAGCACAAAAATGGCCTGAAAGATAAATTTGTATTTTTGCATTGCTGGGCTAAAATATATCCTTTCCTTGTTGGGAGCAGAGAGGGTAATCCTTGTTAGATTTACATTAAAATGAGGTCGTGCTTCTTGGAAAAAGCCACTCACTGAGAAAGAAGATATCCATTGTTCCATGAGAGTCCCCCATGGTAGAGTGAGTGACAAGGTTCTTGGAAATATCATCAGATAGTGCTTACTTTGGGGCTGAGTGAGAATAGGAAAGTGGCAGAACAGGGAAAAGGTTCCACCACAAGGAGCTCATTCCTGCAGACCCGGAATGGAAAACCATCTCCTGGCATTACATAACACAGGCCAACTCTCTCTTCTTAACAACAGGAAGAGGCAATTCAGGTCAAAGACAGACTCTCCTTTCCTATGCAGAGGGCTCTTGTCACTTTGTTAATTTCTTTGTTTGTGCTTCACCTTCTGTTCTCCATTTCCACTTTTCCCACTCCCTTGGAGCACAGATCCAAGTTTTAATCCAGATGCCCATAATGCTGCTCACCCATCACCTACCTGTGATATGGATATTAATATGCATATAATTTTAATGATACAGTCTTTATGGTCTTTCAATTCCCTTACTTAATACTTACTATTTCTGTGTTTGTTCATAGTCTGTTGGCTCCCGTGGGGCCAGCACAATGACTCTTGCAGGTCTCTGTAATTCATACGGAGCCAGACACTGAACTCCACCTTCAGATATCCCATGCCCATGTGTTGAGGGTGACAAGGAATGATTTCTTTCATCTAACCAGAGTTCAACAAATGCGTCTTGATCTTCAAAGAAAACACCTGAGAGTCCACAACAAGGGCCATAGGATGAATGGGAACTTTTAGTACATCGGAGAGTTTAAAAAGCACATAGGGGAATATAAGTTGAAAAGGGATATTCGGCAACAAATCAGACTCTTGTGCATAGAAAGGAGAGATCCCTAAGTGGAGAGGATGTGAAAAATTCAGAATGTGGGGCTTTGCTCATGGAGATTGTAGTTCAGTAGGTCAGGGTTAGAAGTCCAGAATCTTCTCCTCAGGCAATTCTAATGCAGCTAACATTTGGGAACCACTGAGGTCTTGGATGGCTCCCAAATGAAGAAACTGAAGCCTAGGAAAGTTCAATGGCTCATCCAATGCCATACGGCTAGGTGAGAGGGGGAGAGTGAGACTACCATTCCATTGCTCTTTTCATTAACCTTAACTCCACCACTCAGCATTTCACTAGCAGAGAATGTTGGTCTGGGGGTACCAGGAGGTTGAATGGAGGACGCTTGTGCTAAGAAGGGAGAACTATTTAGAACACATGTGAAACTCTATTTACACCAAGCTTTAAATTGAACTTCCCATTTCCCAGTTTCAGCTTCCAGAATGCAACCTTAATCTTGTTCATTTGCATAAGCTTTAAAATAAGCCTTTAGAACAAATGTAAATGGATCTTCAAAGAACAATATTATGATGGGTTCAGTGTAAATGACTCAAAAACATATGGATGGCATTTCTTGAGGATTTCCCAGAGAGTCTTGCTGTCTGTCTGTATGCAAGGGAAGTTTATTATCAAAGCAAAACTGGGGGTTGGGAGAAGTGTGGTATTCTTAGGATAGTGTATCCTAACCTGCTTGTGGTTCTAATTTATTTTCATGCCTCAGTGAGCTGGACTGATAATATGGAATGGCCAACATGAAGCAGAAGTCAATCTCTTCGTCAGGCTGAATGTGGCTCACAGAAGCATCTCACACCCCAGGTCATAAGACACACAACATGGATCTCAGAACTGGAAAGAACAAGAGATTTTCCCATAAAGCTCCCCTCACCATGGGCATGAGGAAACCAAGGTTCAGAGAGGGCAAGTGACTTGTCAAGGTCACATAGCCAGTACATGGTTGAACTGGGACATCAGCCTAGGTATGTCTAACTCCGAATTTTATTTTCTCTCAAATATATATCACCTAGCAGCTAAGAAATCAGCAGACAGTGGACTTTAGAACCAGGCAGGCAAACACAGCTTCAGGGTGAGGTTAGGCAGCTAGAACGTTATTGATCAACAACTTTGCCACATCACTGGCACATTCGTTGCTGGGCAACGTGGCTCCTCTCTGAAGAGGCAAGAAAAAGATTCTGAAGATGATGGATCTGCATTAAGCAAAACCCAATAACCAGGCACTTTCAGGTCAAAAACTTGGTTTGCTGTGGTTTGGAGTTTCTAGGTCAGCTGCCCAGGGGCTGTCCCCTGCTCAGCTTATCTGAGATGAGGCCATCAGTGAGGACCTCCTCAGAGAGAAGAGACAGGAAAACCAATTTAAGATTCCCTTAGACAGGGCAGATGGAGATATGGGCTTGTTTTCTGCCCAATGTTAGTATTGTATCTTATCTTACAGCTAGGTTGAAATTAGAGTAGTTGGCAAACAAACAAACAAACAAACAAAAAAAACAGCACAAAGAGATGACTTGGGGATGGGAGGTGGGTGCTGCTAAACAGGGGCAAGTCATTTACTGCCATGGGCCTCAGTTTCCCTATTTATAGAACGGTGAGCCTGGACTAGCTTCATGTTAGTCTATCTACAGGTGCTGGCTGGCTATAATAATCACCTGGAATGTTTGTTAACCTAGAGACTCTGAGGCCCCAATTTCAGCTATTCTGATTTAGGAGGTTTGACATGATACTCAACAATAATTTCATCCATGCTATCAGAGGTATTTACTGCATGTCTAGGAGATGTTCTGGGCTCTGTGTTAGGTACTGGGAATATAATTGTGAATGCATATTGAATGCAAAGCACTATATAAGGCAAATGGGGTATTTAAATCTTTAAAGAAGAATTCTTGTTGGACGAATGGCAGTGTAATATTACATATGTGAGATTTAGTCAGAATTGGATTTGAATCTTTACTTTTCTACTTACTAGCTGTGTGACCTTATTTATGCAATTTACTTAACTTCTTTGATCTCATCTCTAATATGGGGATATGATTACGGTGCCTACTTCATAGGATGGTTGATTATTACATGAGATAATCTGGCTGAGTTGCTCAGCACAGTTCCTGGAACATAGCCAAGGCTCACCAATGGCAAATACACACAGATTCCTGGGGTTTTAGGAGCTTGTAGGAGTGTGTGTGGTATGTATATGAGTGTGTGTGAGACCCACAGCATGCATGCATGTACAGTGTATACGTTTCTCAGAAGAAATTTAGTGATGGGGAGACTACTATATTTCTGCTTGGCTTCATCAGGATGGCCTCATGGAAGAGGTGACATTAGATTTGGGCCTTAGCAATGGGCAGAATTTTGATAAGCAGAAAAGAAGAGGAGCAGAAAATGTTCCAGAAAGTTGGGACTAGCCAAGGGGCAGAGGGCCCAGGAAGGTGGAGCTGTGCTTGGGAAAGTGGTGGACAGGCCATTCATGGAAGGCTTCCAATGGCTGAAGGGCCTTGGGTGCCAGTCAAGGGACAAAATGGACATTGGTTTGTCTTCTGAAACACACAACTTTTTTTTTTTTTATGGGTGGAAAGCCTTTGATAAGCATTTGTTGAATCAATGACTGAGATGTTGAGCAGGGGAGCAGCCTTTTCTGGGAGGTTCACCCGCAGGAGGTGTGCTGACCAGAGAGGATGAAAGGGAAGCTGGAGGCAGGGAGGTCAGGACTGCCATACTGTCCCAGACATGCAGAACAGGCTGCTGGACTAGACGGGGACAAGGAAATGGAGAGGTGGCGCAGGTGCGAAATGTATCTTGATGGAAGCAGCACCAAGTTCTGGAGACTGATCAGGAAGCAGGTATGGAAGAAGCAGCAGAGACCTCAATTTTCAAAGTGTGTATCTGGAACAATACAGAACAGACAGAGCCACTAAATGGGGCTGAGGAAAAGCACTCAGAGCCTTTCCAGGCTAAGCCAGGGCT
The DNA here is from genome assembly GCF_000001405.40 of Homo sapiens. NCBI lineage: Eukaryota > Metazoa > Chordata > Mammalia > Primates > Hominidae > Homo > Homo sapiens. The sequence goes on from NC_000011.10 coordinate 126,744,653, forward strand.
CCCTGGCGTGTGCCCCATGGTGCTGGCAATAGTGTCTCGTGGAAACTAAGGACCCGATGAACAGTACTCGTATTACTATTCTTTATAATGCTCATGCCAATGTCAATGTTTTGAATGCTGCCTTCCCTGCTAGAATATAGGCTTCATGAGGCAGGTACTGTATTTGCCCTGTTGCCTGCTCTGTCCCTGACACAATAAATTGTGTCTGCCACATAGTAAGTGCTAAAAAAAAAAAAAAAGGTGGGAAAAGTAGCTGAGAACTGGTTTACTGAGGAAAGAAGTTGACTCACTTTCAGACACATTAGGTTGGAGGTGATGCGAACTGTCTTGCTGGAAGTGTCCACTGGGTAGTTGCATATTCTGGTTAGAGGTCCAGTTTCAAGAGGGAGACCCTGGTCACCACTGGGCACCTCCTTCCACGCCAGGTATCACCTCCCTGTGGCCCTTTCCTTGAGAGGATCTCATGGGACCTCCTTCCAAATCCATCCCTAGTCTCCCGGCCACACATACTGGTTTCTCCCCCGAAAGGCTCTGAATTTGAGCTGTGGTGATATCTCTGTGATACAGGATAGCCTCTTTTGCCTAAAGAAAACCACTCTGAAATTGCAGGCTTTCAAATGAAGCTTTGTAGTACATGCTATAGCAATTCAAAACGGTGGAGGGAGGGGAAGAAGTCTGAACAATTGCTTAGCTCATTAAAAACAGCATTTGGTTCACATTTCAACATCTGAAAAAAAAAGACAAAATGGAATTTTACAATGTGGTCACCTGAGCTAAGAAAGATTAGTGAAGCAAGATCAAGATGGAAAACAAACAAACAAACAAACAAACAAACAGAAAAACAAAAAAAAAAAACAAAACCCAAACAAAACCCTCAGATAACTGGTTGCATTACTGTGAATACTTGGTACGGCTACTTCCAGTGGCTCTTTATTTCCCCTGTAAATTTGAAGATACTGGCATGAAAGCCAAAACAGGAGATGGGGAGATAAGAAAAAAGGTATTCAGGTAGTATCAGGTGGTCTAACCACTGAGCTTCACCCCCTTGGTGCTGTAGGTGAGAGCTTAGCCTGCAGTGTCTCTCTGGATTCTTTTGATCATTCATTGCTTGAAATGTGGGTTTCCATAACTTCACAATTCACCTCCAAGATGTAGACTGCATGGATTCCCAAGGAAAAGGACATCTGAAAGTTCCAGAGGCCAGGCTTGGTGTTGGGCGTTTATCAATGTACAAGTCCCTCCCTGCCTTACTCCTGAAAGGGGCACACTAGTGGTTACTATGACTAGCTGGAGCCTGCTTGGCCTCTGTAACAACTGAAGCTGCTGGCCACCCTGCCATTCCTGAAGGGTTTGTGTCTCTCTTTCCTCCTTGTCACTGTTTGCTTTTGCTTTCTCTCCTGCCACTCCATCTGCTTTTTGTTAGGTTTCTTTGTGGACTTCTACCCACCCTTTAAATGTTGGTGGTCCCTGAGGGTCCATAGAGATTTTCTTAATTTTGTCTACATTCCTTATTCTCTTTCACCTATCCGGCAATTTTGAAAAGAAATTTCTATGTGCCAGACACCGTCCTGGGCATTTGGGGATATGAACATGAATGATGGGCCCTTGCCTTTAATCAGCGTGTGGTTTATTAAAGGAGAAACTATGTAAAACAAATACAACAAAGTGTGATATGTATTGTGCAAGGTGTCATGGAAGTGCAGAGGAGAGTGGGGGTAATTCCGCTTGGGACTTCAGGATCAGCTTTCAGCAGGAGGTGGCAATACATTGAGACTCCCTAATTCATTTCTGTGGCCATGACCACCCCTGTCTTCTGAGCTCCACACTTGAGTTTCAGATGACTTGCCAGACATCTCTACTAGCATATGCTGCGGATACATCAGACTCACAATTTTCAAAATGAAACCTCAACCTCCTTACATTGACATTGCCAGCCACCCAGTCACCCAATCTGGAAACCTGAGCTTGATTCTGGTCCCCCCTCTCCCTCCCTCACCTAACCACACCCTGATCTCTATGATCAGGTGTATCTCTATGAAAGTTCTGACCTGCCTCTTTCTACATGACCACGAGGTCTGCTCAAGTTCAGGCCCTCGTTATCTCTAACCTGGAGTATTACAAGTATTGCAACCCCTTTCCAACTCTTTGGTCCCAAACCCCATTGTGCTTAGCAAGAACCTGCGGAGCTCCTCACACACTCACATCCTGCAGTCCCTCCCCTTGAGATTCTGGTTCAGGAGGAACAGCCTCACGTGGCCCTGAGAGGAGTGGTTTGTGGACCACACTGAGGATAGACAGTGTCTCTCTGCTTTTAGTGTGCTCTGTTCTAATTAGTGCTGGCTGCTTCCAGGGTATATTCTGAAGCATAGACATGCTTCTGCCATCTTGGCTTAAAAACCTCCAGTGGTTCTGAACATCTTCACAAGGCATTGAAGACCTTTCCTAAAATGACTGGAATCGCCTCAGCTGTGTAGCTAACTTGTTTTCCTTCCCCATCAAATGAGCAAGTTGGCCTCATAGCATAGAGCTTGGCTCTTGGCTTAGTCCCAGGCCAGCAGGCCTCATACCTCTACTCTGCCCTGACAAGTTGTAACCCTCAGTAAATAACACAATCAGTGTATACTTACAAAGGCTGTTGTATGAGGATTAAATAAAATACTGGGGATAGAGCTCTTTGCTCATTATCTAGCGTAGCGTAAGTCCTCCATACTGAAAGCTAGTACCGTCGTCCCATGCTCTTCCCCATTATGTCCTCTACACTCCAGTTATCCCAGACCATTTACCATTCTCTGATTAAGTCATGCAACCTCATCGCCACTACCTGGGACTGTCTTTCCTTAATTAGAAAACTCCTATTCATCCATCAAAGGCCTGCTCACATGTTCCCTCTCTGCAAAGCAGTGCTCTCTGTGGTCGTGGCTGTGCTCACAGAAAAGGCACTGTATATCCCTCTTTCGTGGTATTAGGAACCTGGTATAACTGAGAGCGCATCTCCCTTGAGTTCCTTGAGACTAGAAACGGTTTTATTTATTTTGGAATCTCAAACCTAGCAAAGTGCCTGTCACAGAGTAAGCACTCAGCGCCGTGAATGAAGGAATGGGGTGAGGGAACGACTGTGTGCAGAGAGTCATGTGAGAACCCCTGTTCCCCTCCCTCTGCTTGGCAGAGCTGTCCTTTGTAGAAGTGATTCTCAGTGGCCCTTGCCCCTTAGCAACCTCAGGTCAACTGGAAGACTCCCCTCCAGACAGGCGTTGCGGTCTTTCCCTATCCCACAGGGTCTAGATGCGGCCTTCCCAGGTGACTTTCTGCTCTACTCTTTCTCAGTCTCCATCTGACCCGTGCCTAGCATCGTGGCCCCTGTAAAGGGCTCTTCCATTAATAATTGCCTCCCTAGTGACTGATTTATCTGCTCCTTGAATCTGAGGAGGTTCACCTTTTAAGGTGAAAATGGCCAGTCACTGAAAAGCTGAATTGTTTTTATGTTATTCCCGTTCCAGTGACTTCAGAGGTGGCCCAGGGCCCATCATTTGGGGGCAAGAAGCTGCCTGGATGCTTTCTGGCCTTCTGGGTGTGCAGACAATCTCACTGTTTCACCAGCCACTTCCTTTTACTCCCTTGCCCAGGCTTCAGCGGCAGAAGACAGTGTAAGCCCCAGGAAACTGTGACAGCAATAAAAGAACTAAATGTTTTCTAGGTCACCGCCTGATCAAGTCCCCACTTAAACAATAATCTTGCCATTGCATCTGCAAAACCCCAGACTCAGGCCCCAAAAGGTTATTTCATCAATAATTCTTGAGCTTGCCTACGGCGAGAATTATTCCCAGCAGGCGTTTCAGGCCATCTCTAAACAGGCTCTGTGGAGGCGAGGCCTGGCTCCGTTCAAGTGCTTAGGCAGGGACCATTAATATTGTTGAAGGGCAAGGGCGGGGCAGGAAGGGAGGGAATCGTGTGCTGTGGCAGGAAAGAAGAGGCCTCTGCGGGAAGGGGGCAGGGGCAGGAAGGCCAAGGCTGATTCGGCCTTGGTCTGGCAAGGGAAGCTGCGTTTCGTGGTAACAAATGAGGATTAAACCAGGCCACGTGTGCCATCCATCGCTGTGATAAAAGCCTCTCTGCCCACCGAAACTGTGCATGGGATCCTTTTGTAATCTGTAGGCTTCAGTCTATCCAGTGCCTAGCTACTGTGTTGTTGAAACGAGCTTCTTTGATTTACTCAGTGTATTTACCAAGCAATTTGCAAGACCAAGTAATTCCTTCTCAGTTCATTGCCTCGTAGGTGGGAGAGCCGCTTAGGTCCTCTTATGTGACCTCCATCCAGCCTTCCTGGGCCTTCTTAGACTCCTGTTCCTATCAGCTTTTCATCTCCTCTCCCTGCAGTCTCCAGGTGGCAGGGGGTTGCGACCACCTTCCCTGGAGAGTCTGGGCCTCTGCCCAGTCACTCCTCTGAGCCATGAACTTTTTGCTATTGTGCTTTCCATCTCCCGCTCCAAGTTGACGGCTATGGCACCTTGTCCTCCCTGCTTTGGAGTCAGTGATGAATTCCCTCCGTTCATTTCGACTGTTTTCGTGGAGGTATTTATAGACCGTGATTGTGTTCCCGCTGAGCCGGATCCTTTCTCAACTATATAAATTTGACTCTCTCGCTTTCTCCCGATACGACTTATCTGCTAATCCCTAGAACATTTGTTGGTATTTATGTCTTGCTTGGATTTTCTACACCTTTTCTAAATTGCTCCGACTTGCGTGGTTCAAGTTACCCCATTCCTCGGTGCTCAATCAAAAGAGCCTCATCTCCCCATCCTCGCCGGTTTGCTCCTGGGGACATCATCTGCTGAGAACCAGAAAGATCGTGCAAGGGGAGAGGAGGTTAACAGATGGCTCATAATTATATTACAAGAGCATCTCTAAAGGAAATAGGATCATTTTTCAAGTGACTTCTTTACCAAAGTCTTCTGTTTCAATTCGTTCTCCCCACCCCAGCAAAAAGTCCCTCTTAAAAAAAAAAAGTCAGCCATTCATCTTCCGAGAAGAAAATACAAAAGTCCACCCAGTCTTTACAGGGGAAAGGAGACAAATATTAAGGGGTGGAGGTGAGGAAGGTGAAAGTGACTGCTGTGATCATTTTCATAACCGGACCCTCAACATGTTCAGGCTGCCTGCTGAAGCTAGGAAGTCCAGAATGAGATTTATCAACTCTCAAGGCCACGGAAGACCCTAGAGATTGTTGTCTAACCTCATTTTCTACGTGTGGAGACCGAATCAGGGCTGTGTAGAGAAACCAGTGCGCGTTTTGATGCCACTCATTCTGGGTTTTCAGGTCTGCTCATCTGTTTACTAGAAATGAGTGGTTCTGGATGAAGTTTCCTGACTTTACTGAACTTCAGTTTAGTTTCCTCATCTGTAAAATGCAGGCTGTGCTACTTAAATGGGGGCTTTTTGTGGATATTGAAAATAATGGATGGAATAAATAAGTGCCTTGCACATAGTAGGCACAGAATACACAATCATTGCTACTGAGTCACAGAGCAGTGAAGCCACCTGCCCAAAGCCACTTTGTCAAACCTGGGGCCAGAACTTGGGGCCTTTATTTCTCAGTTCGGGACTTCTACTATGGTACTTCCTTCTCCGTAGCCACCCCATTGAACACATTTCTGTTCCTTGAAGGTGGCATGAGGATGTTCTCAACTATGGCACTCTGGTTGTAAATATGTTTGATGCTCCTACGTGTGGGTGCTCGAAGCCCACAGTGAAGCTTCAAGTGAGGTTAGCCAGAGAGGAACACTCTTACCCTCTTTAGAAACAGAAGGGACTGGAGAGGTTTGGCTGAGAGACTTAAGAATGTAGTATGAACTTATCAGTGAATGTAGCAGCTAGGCTTTTCTTAGGGCAACTGGGCTGGGCCAGGGTCACTAGCCTGAGCTGTGGCTAGTGGTAAAGCTTCTACAGAACTGTTTAGTGGGAAAGAATCAACCTGTGTTGCCAATCATTCTGCTGTGTGATTTACAAATGCCATCTAATTTAGTGGTTCCCCAGCTTCTGGTTCCCTGACACCAGGAAGTAGGTATAATGTTTATTATTTTATAGGTAAGGAAGCTGAGACCTAGCTATATCACATGGATTGTCCAAGCTAACAAATGGTAGTGCAAACGTTGGAACTCAGGTCCTCAGTGACTGATGCTCATATATTCTTTCCATTTTCATGAGTACTAATAAAACACATGATAGTTATCACTTTAGGGATGGCTTTGATTTGCAGGGCACCTCTCCCTAAGGTGCTAAACACATTTATAGATTTTTATAAATCCAATTAAGTTTATTATCTTAATATGATCTTGTCTAATTTATCCATATGGATGTGTACACATGTGATTTGGACAGGAAAATCAATTTAAATGATTTGGACCAAATGTATTTTATCTTATGTCAATGCTGTGGAATTTACCAGAGAATTGATGAAACTTCATGTCAACAGTATAGACACACTGTCGGAATGCATCCTGTAGCGCCACAGGACTCAGGCTGGATGAACTTCCCCCTCAGCTCATTCAATCCACTCCTCTAGGTCTAAAAGGAAGCAAGCTGTCTTATTCTGAAAGGTCTTCAAGGACAACCTTCCTGGATGCACCATCTCCTTGTCTCACAATTCTTCACAGCCAGAAAGTTCTTATGCCTAAGCAGAATGTCTATTGCTTTGAGCGAACCACTTTTCCTTCTGTTCCATTCTTGCTGGCTAAGGAGAACAGCTGGGAAGGTTTCAATATCTCTGTTATGAACTTGAAAGCTGTTTTAAAAACACTGCTCAAGTTTCTCTTCTGCTAGCCCAATACACTTGATTCTTTTAGCATTCGTCACAGGGAGAGATGATTTTCTACACATCCAGCCATTTGTTAAGAGAGTTACGATGATTTTGGAATGTGAGATCTTAGGGGGGCAAGAGTGACCACTGGTTAAAAGGCTGCACAAGTAATCATCGCAATATCTGCTACAAGTGGATCCTCACTAAATATTCTTTTTGAGGAAAAAAAAAAAGAAAATAGTGAGAACTATTGCTAGATCCTGGTGTCTATCTGAATATGGGAAGGGAAAACCATAGAGGAGAAAAAGAGTCAAATGAAAGAGGCTAAATAGGGAAAAAAGATAGTCCATACCCCAAAATTTGTATTTCTCTGTTAGCCAAGGTAGTAGAATATTATCATAAAAGTGTGGAGTTTATTTCTTGTTTATTTTTATATTTTTAGAGATGGGGTTTTGCTATGTTGACCAGGCTGATCTCAAACTCCTGGCCTCAAGCGATCCTCCCATCTTGACCTCCCAAAGTGCTGGGATTACAGGCATGAGCCACCATGCCAAGCTTAGAATGTAGAGTTTAGAGTAAGAAAGAACTGGCTTCAAATTCCAGCTCTGCCTTGGTGTGTGACTTCAACTGAGTTGCTTCATCTCCTTGTGTGTCAGCTTTTTCTTTGCAAAATAGGAACAATGATGATACCTGTCCCTGAGTTATGAAGACGGGGTAAGCTAATGTATTGAAAGGATTTCCCAGGCTCAGCGTGGGTTGGTTGGGGGGGTTTCTTGAAGCATTGTAGCTCCCATTATTCTCTTAAACCAATAGTTGTCTATGGGTCTTGGGTTTTGAAACTATCATTAGGAACTTCCTCACTTTTGGATTTTGCAGATTCCTTTCCTGAGAGTTGAAATGATGGCTTTAAAAAATGTCAGGATTAGTTGGGCATTTATGAGTTCAAGGGATCCTAGATGCTAACTGGATGATGAGTTAATTATGTAGCTATGGAATTAACATTATCATTACAGTGCTAATAATAATAATTGCATAATAGCATTATTCTTACAGCGGAATAAGACCACTGAGTGTTGTTCTTGAAAACTGATGCAGAATTAGAGAATACTTAACTCTCTCAAGTTTGGGTACAATTTCTAAGAATCTATAGTTTAGTGACTCATTGGCACTCTAATGACTACTATTCCCCCCCCACCCACTGCCTCCCAAGATTCACATGTGAAAGAATGCAAATTCAATTCCTCCTGACAAAGAAATCTAAATTCATGGATTTTCCCAGCTGTACCCTTGAGCGAGAACTTTCCCAAAGTGAAGAGCATGGAAAAAAACAATTGGTTTTGCATGTTTCCTTGGGAATTTCAGGAGGAAATGGAGCTGGAAAGGTGGTGTTGGAGGCACGGAAATGTTGATGGAGAAAAGCCCTCTTCTTTGTATAAAACATGTGCCCTTTGTTGAAGGAAGTGGTAGCAGGCTGCCATGAACCCAGTTTTCTGAGCTCTTCCAGAATCTCTTGTGATAATATTGCTTTGTTTTAGCTGAGAAACCTTGGGGTTTTATGTGACCCATGGGTACAAAGATCATGATGGAGACATAAGCCCTCCACAAATATTCTACCTTCCTCAAGTCACCATTTAGGGATATGGGGTGAATGAACTCGAGGACCAGCACTCGTCCAATAAATCCTGCTCTAGGAAAGACAGGAGAAACAAATAGGCTAAAAGTTCCCCAGGGCATGAAATCTTGGTAGATGTTTGTTTGCCCGCTCCTTACACCAGAGGAGGCCTCACCACTCAAAGCAACCTGGCTCAGAGCAGACAGAGCATCTGGAGCTGCCTCAGAGGGGCTCCATGGCTTCCTCTCCAATCCACAGCCAGCCAGGCCTTCCAGAACCAGACAGGAGGGTGCTTCAGTTACTCCAAGGAGCCACTTTGTTCCATCCTGCACTACTGGGATGTAGACGGCCCCCTTCCTTAGATTACTTAGGAAAAAACAACAAGCAAATATCACAATTGAAAAAGAGGCTTTTGGATTGCATGGTGATTTTTTAAAATAAAATGAAATAAAAGACAATTGTGGGGGACAAGAGTCTTCTCTCCAGCTCTCCAGATGGAATGTCTGTGTTGATTCATTGACTCAATAACAACTCAAGTGTTCTATTTTCTTGGACAGTGGAGATCTAGTTCAGATTATATTAAGATCTAGGGAAGGGTGACAAATGGAGTATCACCCTATAAAGCAGAGGACTGAGAACCTGAGCATTGGATCTGAGCTCCTGCCTCCCATCCCCAGTTCTCCGTATGATGCTGGGTAAATCTCATCACCACCTGTCTCCTTACCTAGAAAATGGGAATCATCACATCTGTTCCCTCATGAGGCTCCATGCATCTTCATTACATGCTTAGAGATGATTAGATAGAAGGGTCCACAGATCGTATTAGTCTTAACTATAATGGTCTTAATAAATATGTATGCTGCCCAAGAAGGGAGTGTATGGTGTTGGAATGGTTTATGTGTCTTCCTTTTCAGACTGGGACTGGGAAATGAGGGGAATAGCCTACTTTGTCACTATTTATCATTCTTAGTTAACAATGTAAGATACATGATGGCTGCTAAACAATTTGGTGGCAGAACCTCATAAATGAAGTCTGTTTTCCCTGGAAACTGCATAACCATTTGAATTAATTTAATTTGAAATATCAAATTAAATTAAACTGTAGAATAATCCCCAAGGGAGAGCATATTTCATTTGCAATGTCTTTTGATAGAGTAGTCCCTGCCAAAAGTTTTGCTTTGCATCTGGCTACAGATCTAAATTTATTGCATTAGCTTTGAGAAGACTTTTAATAGAAAGTGAGATTAAAAGAAAACTTGATGGAAAATAAAGATGTTCACTGCTGAAACAGCATTCCTCAGAACGTACCTCTCTAACTTTACACTCTCTATATGTCTGTCTCTGGTCTTCAATTCAGACCGTGTAACTAGGCTGGATGCCTGGTTGAAGGGCTTTCTTTTGATAATGCTAATTAACATGCACAGAAAATATCAGAACAAAATGGGCAGAGTCTACTTGGTTTAAGGCCTACAAACTGCATGTCTTTGCTAGATACCGCTGAAGGGGATCGTCTGCGAAGAAAGAATAGAGATACGAGATAAATTAAAGGGATCATTTTTAAAGTCACCAGGGAGTTCGTGCGCACTCAGTGGTGTCAGGTGGCTGTGTTGTCTTCTTTCTGAGTTGTCTTCTCTCTTCTCCTTCTTAATAATCTCCCGTCTAAGTGCAGGTCTTGATTAAGGCTTTGGGTCTACAGGTTGGAAGGATAGAAGCTGATGGTGAATCCAACAGTTTCCTAAAATATAGGTCACCACAAATCACCACTTAGGAAATGACTGGTCTCTTTCTCCATGGCCAGACATTGATGAAAATTGTACTGAGCAGCTGCCTGAAAGTTGATGCAGTGGGAATAATTTATTTCTTCTTCCTGGTGAGCAAATACACAGCAAGAGAGGCGGATGTGAAGAAAAGCTGTTTGCTTGACACAAACAGGGCTGGCCCTTTAAGAAAGGTTTGTATGAGTTTAAATTGGGCCCAAGGAACCCAGATAAGAGTATCTTAATCAAATAAAAAAAGCATTAGGCTTTAATCTCCAGCACTTTAGTAACCTCCTAGTTTGTTTTAAATCTTGATTGGAAGAATTATCCTGACAAGAAAATTAGTAGTAAGTCAATAAGTCTGTGGCCCAAAGGTAGGGCATTAAGTAACCAGAGGGAAAAAAATGTATTCCCATCCGAGGCCCTTGCCTGCCCTCCTGTAGCCACAAACATAGCCCTGCAGACAGTTCCCTCTTGATCCCTTGCACCAGGCTGGGTGGAGAAGTTCATTATAATTTTAGCCATGAAGTCCTGAAGTGCAGGTAATCGTGTTTAAAAAGATAGGGAACATGACAGGAAAAGAACCCAGCTTCATGAAGAAATTCTAATTTTCAGCAGTCATGGGTGGAAAATCAATACTACTCTGATGCGAAATGAGAACCGGACTGGATAAAGCCACCTCTTCCCATTGCTCTCTTTAAAAAAGACACACACCAGAAAGTAAAAAAACAAAACAACAACAACAAAAGAAAAAACAGAAAAAAACAATAGGCCTACAATAGGAAAGGTCTGCGTGCTGACACTCTCAACTTCCCTGAGTGCCTGTACACCCCCGCCCCCAATTCTTGTTGCCAGAGAGCCCTCCCCTGGCAGCAATCTAATTCCAGCTCTCCTTGTCAGAATGTGTCTTCCTGCCAGCTTCAAGCAACTCTTTCCATGCCCCTTCTTTGCACTTTTTCCACCCCCTCACCACTACCCTGAATGCGTGCTCGCCATCTGCCATTCAGGCAGAGAGAGAGAGAGAGAGAGAGAGAGAGAGAGGGAGAGAGGGAGAGAGAAAAAACAGAGAGAGAGAGAGAGAGAGAAGACTGAGCTGAGCACCCAGCACCTAATTTTGGAAACTCACTCGTAATTTCAATCACATCTAGGTGTTATCTTGATATAAGAACAGGTATCATTAATTGACTAGCAATGGAATGGGAGCTCTTTTATACTTTATGATCCATTGAGAGTGGCAGCTTTAGACATATTGGAAGATTTCTGTTTTAATCACCGATTATGTATTTGGCCAATAAAGCTCATATTGTTAACATTAATATATACATATTTATAACTCGATGAAGCCAGACATAATTAAGTAGAAATGTTCGAATTAACAATGATGATAATCATTCAAAATAAGATTCCCATGATGTCTTCCAGCAGACGACTCCACCCCCAACACTGCCGTGAGAATTGTATGTGCTGAGATGTTGTTCTTCTCACCCTTCAAAATGGGCTGTCAAATTTAACAAATGGTAAATAGAATAATAATGAATGTCTTCATTGTGTTGTATTGAATGTCATCTGTATTCTAAAACCTCTGGTGTTGGAGGAATTCTTGCAGAGAAAGGGGCTTCCAGGAGGGCTTCAGTACAAGGCCCATGCCAGTATGGCAGGTCCCTTAGAAGGCATGTCTTCTGGATGATCAGGCCAACAGTTGACCAGGACCAGGACAGATGTATTGTTGGTCTAGGCCCCTGGAATGCCAGTGGCGCTATCTCACATCCCTGGAAGAGAGTGGAGCCATCTGCTCATCTTGGCTTCAGTAGTTACATGCAACAGGTTCCCCAAGGAGGAGGCATGCAGCTCTGAAGTCAGCAGGGAGACAGGGGAGAAGTAAAGCCTTTCTTTTGGGTCAAGCAGACATCTGCTCTCCATTCCACCTCCACTCCCAATGTGCCAGCACAGCTTTCTCCTTCCTTTGCTTTGAGCAGTGTATACTCTGAATTACGTTTGCAGTATATCCCTGCGTCCCTGCCAAATTCACTGGTGGGGAAAATTGGTGGTATTGTGGGTAAGCTGACTTGGGACAGAAGTCCATTTCTCGAAGGCACCACCTGCACTCAAGACACTGGTTTCTTTGAGTGCCTGGCCAGACATATCCACCAAGACTCAGGGGTCTGTCTTCCAACAAATGCGGCTCCAATTCTCACATTTTTATATGCCATGTTACACACATCATTTCTGAACCTCTCAGAAGCCCATGCATTTCTGAGCATTGGCAATCAAGCATAAAGTTCTGGGGCAAGCTGTGAAATCTCTGAAATGAAAATCAATTCCATCTCCATTTCATGGAGACTAATGTGGCATTTACAACATAAACAATCACTTCTGTTAGGGAGGAAAATTAAAAGCTGTGCTACATAAAGGCACAATGTTTAAAGTTCTGGTGGAAATGAGCACTTGGCTTTGAGATGATTACAAAGGGAATTGGAAAAAGAAAATAAAAAAAAAAAGAAAAGAGAAGAAAAGAAAAAGCCAGCCCCAACAATTCAGAAGTGCAGAGGTTTCATAATACAAATTTGCTATGGCTGACACCACTGGCCTCAGCTCAGACCTCTGGGAGAAAAAGAAAATCTTTGGGCATTTCCTAAGCAATGTGGGAAAGGTATTTCAAGGGCCCAGGAAAGTCACATCTATTTCCTTTTTTGATAGTGTTAGGAGACACAGACAATTTCCTATGGGAAAGGGCTTGAGACCTACAGGATAGGCAGGGGGCCCAGCAGTTTTAGGGTCCCCTCAAAGTATAGGTCTTTTGAATCCTTGATCTGGTGACATTTTTCATTATATCAACCTTCATTTCTGTGTTGTTATAATAGGGCTCATGAGTGTCTATGTGCAGAATACCAAGATTTACAGATTGAAATAAAAATTAAAGGCAAGAAAAAAAAAGAGTCTACTGTTCTTTTAAAAGCCTGGAAATTAGCTCATATTCACCACTAGCTAACTAAGGAAATCTAGTCAAGGATCTCCACCTCTGAAGACTCAGTTTCCCCATCTGTACATTGAGATACTAGACCATGTGATACTAGCCCCAAAGGGAGCTGTCTCTAAAATTTTGTCATTCTCTTATTCTGTATGGGATGGCAACCAACCATTCAATTGGTATCATTTGCAAGGGTGGTGGGGAAAAGCATAAGTTGTTGCCAATCGGGAGGTGCTCATTTGCATAATGACTGATTCCCTAATTAGCCAGAAAGACTTCCAGTGTCGCCATGTAGGAGCACACCAGAGTTCCTGCTGTGACGTTACTTAGTTGAGCTCTCCGATTTGGCTATTAAGACTCTCAAAGTACTAGCCAGCCACTAAATGACTTTTCGATAAAGCTGCCCAGGCAATTAAGAGCATTAGCATAAAGGAATCTTTCTCAATTAGCTATTTTTAGAGTGGGCTGGAAATGCTATCTTGCAGCTTTTTAGAAATTTTTATAACAGTATTATGTTTGTTGTATTACCAGTGTCACATGTGTATTTTTCATTCTATTTTTGTTCTGCATCAAGTAATTTGTAGTAGTACTATTTTGAGGGGTAGTTATTTGCCAACCATTTGAAGAGAAGTCAAATGAATTTCTGATAAAGGCAGCCCTCGTTAATTCCAATCTGAGCATGGGACAGCCCAGGGTATGGCTTGTATACCTATGTCAGCCAGTCATCTCATCAGACATCTTGATTTGCCTTGATCAAAGAAGCAATTTGTGAGACATTCCCTCCCCTCTCCCCACCAAAGTGCTAATCACCTTTTCAAGGTAGAAGATAGATGGGAAACACCGCACAAATTGCTTGCCATTGCCCCAAAATGCTAATCACTTACGAACATCTAAATTATGACTGGAGACCTTGCATGATAAGGTAAGGAAACAGTGTCAGTGCATACAGAACTATTATTTACCAGTGTCAAAAATAACTATCGCATTTGCATAGCTGTGGCGCTAGATGACAATTTCTCCCTCAAAACTGCTTCCGTAGCAGAAAAAGCTTTGACCGATATGAAGTGTGGCATACTGTTATTTTTTTAACCCTTACAAAATGGAATGAGACCTCTTGGAATTAGATGTTAGAGCACTGATTTGGGAAACAGGAGCTACCCAAGAAAAACAATTTAAAATGCTTTCTTTGATTATATTTCCTTTGGGTGCATTGGTTGCTGTCTTGTGTAAGCCAACGGTCTCCAGAGTGGGTCATGTACACCCCAGGGAGTCATTTGACCCTTCTGCATACAGGAAGAAACTATTTTATTTCTTAATGCTATAATGTCTACTTTGTGGGTATTTTTGTTGTATCGTTTGAGACGAAGTCTTGCTCTGTCACCCAGGCTGGAGTGCAGCGGCTCATGGTGCGATCTCGGCTTGCTGCAACCTCCACCTCCTAGGTTCAAATGATTCTCCTGCCTCAGCCTCCGGAGTAGCTGGGATTACAGGCACCCGCCACCATGCCTGGCTAATCTTTGTATTTTTAGTTGAGATAGGGTTTCACCATATTGGCCAGGTTGGTCTCGAACTCCTGACCTTGTGATCTGCCTGCCTTAGCCTCCCAAAGTGCTGGGATTACAGGCATAAGCCACTGTACCCGGCCATGGGTATGTTTTTTAATGCATGTCATATATTAGAACCAGAGCACGTGTATAGAATTTACAGAGAAATGCATATATTCTGGAGGTATGCTCATAGTTTTTACTGATGGATGTTAGTGATAAAGGAAAAATCTGTGGAGATCATTAGACAACACGTAGCATCGTGCTGGCCAGGAAGATGGCCTGCTTCTAAGGAGAAGTTTCTAGAGGGACAAGCTCATTAGCTGTAGCTACAATTATATTGTTAGAGAAGGTATTTCCATGACATAAAGAAGCCTGCTTATGAGCACTAGACATAAGTATATCTAACATCTTGCACCCATTTCTATTCAGACAATAATGAAATTTACTTTCCTACAGTTATAAATATAGTCTCTCAAAGTGAAGAATCACAGATTGAATTCTTTTTGGGGTAGGAAAATGCATCTAGAATAAGAGACACGTCAGAGAGGAAGGGCCAAGATGAAGAAGTCGCAGGAAATAAAACTAGTTTAACAAGCCTGAGTACCTAGGCTTCCTATATTAACACAGACATCCCATGCCAACCCCAGCGCAACCCCAGGACTCCCTACACAGACAGAAAGACCTCTGAGATTGCCCAGGCAACTGGTTTTGATCTAGCACAGTTTTCTTCTTATCCCCACTGGCCCTGTCCTCTTGTCTCTCATTCATTCAATCACAAATATTTATTGGGTGTTTAGGATGTGCCAGACATAGTTCTGGCAATCTTGAGATTTTTCTTTCCTTCCTCCTGTCTGTCTGGGGGTCACCCATAGGTCTCCACGCAGGAATTTCGAGAGGCTGCAAACTCATGATTCCTATTTATTGTTCATTGCTGCCCTACTGAGATACCTAGATCATCAAATATGTTTCAAACAGAGCTCTAGCAGTGGGAGTAGAGATGAGAACTCATAGAGAGAGGAGCCTTCTATGCTCAGCCTAACTGCTCTCTCACTTCAGAATGTTTCACCTAGTTGGTCTTTTCAGTTCGCATTTCTGGGAACATCAACAAATACCCCATTCATTTCTGAGAAGCTGCTTCATGGTCAATCTTGAGCTTATTGCTGGAGAGATCCAAAGAAACACCGAAGAAGAGTCAGTCCCTGTTCTCATTGAGCTTGCACAAGAGTTGGAGGAATTAAATACACACCTAAGACTATACAGAAGCACCATCACAGAGCAGGACATGGGTAAGTGGGAGAGCTCTGTTCAGGATCTATTCAGGATCTGCAGGAGTTGAGAGGCTGTTGTGATATACTGGAAGCAGTCTAGACCTTGAAGTCAGACCATTATGATTCCAGTCTCAGCTCCATCATTTATCAGCTATGTGGCCTTGGGCAAACCACTTCTCTCTCTGAGTCTCAGTTTGCTTATCAACAGAATGGGAATAATAATACCTATTGATAGGATTGTTTTAAGGATTCTGTGAAACAGCCGATGTGGAAAAACACTTTATAGGCTGGAAAGTTGCAATGCACATTTTAGGAATTACCATTAATGGAGGGTAATCTCTCTGGTCTGGAGTGGTTAGAGAAGGCTTTATTCTGTTATCCACTGACACCCTCCAGGACAGATACCGTTAAACATAAATGAAAGAGGGAAGATGAAGCCCAGTTGCTCTATGCATTCTTTACTGCTGGACCATGGAGGATATATGGAATGGGTGTGGAGGTGGCTCACTTCCTCCTGCCTGCTTCTTCTGAAGAATCTACTAGGGCTTGGAATACCTGTCTTGATCATTCTGAGAAGAATGGAAACACTGGGAAGATATGGTGTTGGCAGGGACTCGGGACCCTGCAAGACCCAGTGGGAAAGGAAAGGTGGTCAGGTTGTCAGGCCCCTGCACTCTGCCCAGGCAAAGGTATTCACAAACCTCCCTGGGGGCTCACCAGAGGGGACTGTGATGAGTTGGCTTCTCAGGAGTTTCCTACTCGCTGGGGCCTGTGAGGCACAGCAACTTGCCTGCTTGTCCCCAGCAAAGGGCAGTGTCCAGAGTCCATTCTTCCTGCCTCATCACTGAGGAGGAGCAAGACAACCCCAGTCCCAGCCCTGCTCCTTTCTCTTTCAAGGCATGGTTAACAGTTGACAGTGCAATGTAAATGCTGGGAAGTGTCAAGATTAGTAAACAGGAAGAGGATTTGGAAGCTAAATGCATGCCTAACTCAAAGGACAGATTATATGGTTACACTGTTATTACTTTGAGACATAGTTACTCTTTCTTCTAAGGAATCTTGTAGAAATGTGATTATGGTGTAGTTTGTGTATATCACCAGATCTTATGAAGTAGACCAGTGGGCCCCACTCAGCCCCTGGGGGCTAGAGAAGAGTTATGAGCTGCACTAGTTTGTCTTGGTTTTATCTTCATTCCTATGAACTCTCTTGGGAAGAAGTCTCCCTAGGAAGCTGCTCCCCGCTTTCAATCTCATTTTCTGATATCTAGTTGTGAATTTCCTATAATTAAATATAGTTTGGGCTGGGTGAGGTGGCTCAAGCCTGTAATCCCAACACTTTGGGAGGCCGAGGGGGGCAGATCACCTGAGGTCAGGAGTTGAAGACTAGCCTGGCCAACATGGTGAAACCCTATCTCTACTAAAAATACAAAAGTTAGCTGGGGATGGTGGTGTGCAACTGGCTACCACCAGTTGCATGTTGAGGCATGAGAATCACGGAACCCTGGAGGCAGAGGTTGCAGTGAGCTGAGGTCACAACATTGCACTCCAGCTTGGGTGACAGAGTGAGACTGTCATAAATAAATAAATAAATAAATAAACAAACAAACAAATAAATAAAGTCTGGTCTCCTGGTTGTTCACCTTGGCTTACTCATCTTTCCTTTTGCAGATGCCCTGGTGAGTGCTGTTCTGAGGCAAGACCAATTGACTACAAAACCAGGTCAGGTTAGGTACCCAAGGCAGATGTGCAACATTTATTAGAACTAGTGCCAACTGAGACAAAAATTCCTAGCTGTTCTTTAAAATGCATTCTTCTACTCTTCTTTAGCTACTGTTAAATATTAGTAGAAAATAAGACTGCTCAGAAAAGGCACTTCATTCCCCAGCCTCCCTTGCCGCTATGTGATCAAGTCTTGGGCAATGGGAGGTGAGCAGAAGGGCTGTGTAAAACTTCCAGATGAAGCCTTTCCCATCTGTTTCTCACCTCCCCGTTGACCAGAATCTGGTCACAGCAGTGGGAGCTGGAGCAACCCTTGTGGACTCAGAAATGGAAATCAGGCTCTTCTGTGTACCTCCTGATGCTAGTGACAGAGCAATAAGGTCTTTTCTGGTTTCAATGTTGTTAAGTTGAGCCTTTGTCACATGGCCCTCAATGGAGACCTTTGCTCTGGAGATCTTCAGTGGAATACCTGAGAGCGTAGACTCATGTCACAGTCTCTTTCGTCAACCTGCTTGGCAGGCTATCTGTGGCTTAATGCCAAGTGGGGTCTCGAGCAAAACTCTATTGAATTTGGGACCATCTTTTGCAATAGCGTCTGCAACTCACGATTGACCCCAAATTTCTCCTTTGTTTCATTTCCCTTTGGTTGTGGCTGACAGCTGTGGGGCTGCACTCTCAGAGGCCACCCATCCTCAGGGATCCTGGGATTCAACTTTGAGAGCATAACTAGGTAGGTAGAGAGGGGCTATGCCCAGGAGTATTGCCCCAACTTCCAAACACATTCCTATCCTCGTCTGGCATTGAGAGAAGAGTGCAGGACTGGGTTTGAGAGCAGATTCTGGCTCTGTTGTCAGCAAGCTGTGTGATCTTGAACAACTCCTCTTCTCCCTGAGCAAAATGAGGGGGCTAGATGAGACGATTTCTGGAACATCTCCCAATGTCGGCGTTCTGTGATGTGACAATTCCATGACCAGCCTCATGGCTGAGGTGCCACTTTCGATACATAAAACAAGAGTCCACATCTGTGCCAAGGGCTGGGCAGGGCAGTGCTCCTCACTTCCTCCATCTGCTCAGCACCCAACAGTGCTCTGATGCAGGGGGAGAAGAGCAGGGAGAGGGCATGAGGATGCAGTGGGTGGGAGGTGTTAAAAAGGGGACTGATGGTGGGGTCCTTCTTTTGAGAATTCTAGTCTCTCTGGGGCCACATGACACCCGAACACACAGAATCTGTGGGAACAAGTTACCCAAGAAATGTGCCCAGGCTGAGGGACCAAGGCCCAGCGAGAGTAGGTGGTAGGTAGGCAATGGCCAGTGGGGCCAGCGCGGGTTTGAAATCTATCTTCCCCATACTTGCTGCATGACCTTCAATGAGTTCCCACGCTTTTGAGCCTTTGTTTTCTCACTTGTGAAATGGGGACAATAGAAACACCCCTCTCAAACGTAGGGAAAGCTTGTCCACAAAGCACTTGACACACAGTAGGCACTGAGTAAATTCTAGCTTCCCTGGTGTCCCCTCTCCTTTCCTACTTTGAAAACAGCAGTCTGTCTCATTAAGTATCCTACTTAGTTTTCAGTTGACATTCCCACTCTCTTACCTTCTGCCCCCTGAATTTTTCCTCTCTTTTCCTGTATCTTTTTTCCCCCACAACTCTGCATTCCCCTCCCCATCCACAGCATAGTTCTCCCATCATTCCTTCTTTGTAGAGGGCAAGGAAAGGTGGGTTATACAGATGCCCAGTGATATTTCAGAAGCTCTAATTAAGTGGAAGATTATGCATGCCATTTGAGTTTTAAAAGACATTCAGATCAGAATGAATGAAATGCTAACTTTTCCCCTGTCTAACCCACTCACCCACATACCCTGGGGCAAAATGAAACATAACTCAGTTTTTCCTGGAAAGGCATCAGACAGCAGGTCGCTCTGGTCAATGGGCCCACGGCAGCACCCACTGTCTTGGCAAATGTCCATTCTGTCAGGCGCCCTGCCTCTTGCCACCTCTTTCTTAGCTAGATACAGATGGAAAAAAAAAATGACAGCATTGGGCTGACACCTGCATCGAATGGAAGCTACACATTTCTGTCCTAGAGATAGGTGGCAGTGTGGATTCAGGGCTGTGTGGTTCAAGATCAACTTCGCAGAGAAACACCGTTTCCAGAAGCAGTGAGGATCTTTCATCATATGCGCCTCTGATGCTCAACAACCTTCTTTGCTGCACCCGCCGCTGCCTCATGAGGTTCCTGGCAGCTCTTACTGCGCCAGTAACAACTGGATCTCAATCCCCAAAACAATTCCCTGCTCATTCTATGAGTTACAGTTTAGTTAATCTTTGGTTAGCACATGCACACGTGGGCACGTGCAAACTCTCTCAGTGTAGGCTCTGAATGCTGCTTTTATGTTATTGCACACATGAGTGGAACATACTATCCAGCTTCTTAGGGCCTGTGCTGTAAGCCTCCGGGGCCATATAAACGCGGCTATTTTCACAGTCCAACTTCAGAACTCAGAGGGGCAGCTCTCCTTTGGACTAGGCCTTTGGCAGGAGTCCTCTACTCTCGGCCTGGATCCTCTTCAATGAACCACCTATGTGTCACTTATGTCAATATCTCAGCTCTGGTTTTTCAAGTGCAAGGGTTATTTGCTATATTTTGGAAACTTTTGAGGGTACAAATAGTATACAGGTCAAAAAGTAAAAGGTATCAGCTTAGAGAATACAAAGCAGGCAATCATGACATTCCTAGAGATGGACAGGAGACCATTTACTGGAGATCAGAGAGTAACAAAGAGTTTCTGGAATCTTCAAGCCATCTATGGTTGCAGAATGGTAACTGAGAAGCCCCTGATGGTCACCAAATACCCTGGCCCAACTATACCCCGTGGCTCTGCCAGTTCTTTCCATTGACTAAATATCAGTTTCCTCATCTGTAAAATACAGACCATGACAATGAGCAACCTTCTTAGGTGGAAATAAGATGAATCTTGTCAAAATTGTCTTCAAGCTTATCTACACATGAGAGTCAAACCCTCACCCCAACACCACAAAGCTAAGCCTCTGAGGTGTGTGTGCGGGGAGAAATCTAAAACGAAACCAGCAACCCACTGCCATGCCTGCTCAACCAACCCTCCCAGAGCATACGGCTTTTACTCTTCCTTATTACAGGTGTTCATAATGCTTTATCTCAACGGGTCTGTGTCTCCTGCATTTAGCTGTGGAATAAACAATGTTCTGATAATTGCTGGGTCACCATTATTTACTACTACAGTTATTTTTATTTAAGAAAGCCCCTTTCCTTCGGGCTCCAGTAAGAAGGCAATACTATAATTTTCTTCACTGTCTCCCTTTAATGAGGTCGAAGGCCAGGCAAAGGGAGTCAGGCAGTTTTCGGGGAAGCAACCCCGCAACAAAGCTGACCTCAGCCAGGAGAGTCCAACATAACTCACTCCTCAGGCGGATTAATTGTTCCTGGCTCCTGCAGCCTAGCTGAAAAGTGAAGAAATGATGACACCAGGCACTCTAACTAGGTTCAAGCTCACCATTTCTTTTTCTAGTTAAATCCTTCCCCCCAACTCCCAATTTGCTACCTGGGCAAGGAAGCCCCTCCCTTCCCCCCATAATCAAGTGCTCTACAATTTCCACTGTAACTTTATGTTACAGAATCCATCATCAGCTACCTGAGCTTGGGCATGCTGGGAGAATGATCTTAGCTGAGCAAATTCACCTCCTTGCTTTGCCGTTTACTTCCAAATTCCCATAACTCACTGCTTTTGCCAGCCCTCCTGGGATGGTATCTAGTATCGTTTCATCGCTAATGTTGTGAGTGAGCTAGAACAATCATCTCTTAGGATGCCCACACTAACTGGAGTCTCTACCTCTCTCCTCCTCCCCTCTCTTCTCCTTGTCTTCCTGGCCCTCAGTTGGCTGAGAACAGTAGGAGCCCATAACAGACAGCATGTCATCCATTCCTGACAGCCTTGGTGCTATAATATGGTCCTGCCAAACCCATTACAGTAATGACAGTGTTGCAGAATTAGAACACTCACTCCTACGCGGAGAAGAAAAAACTTGGGGAGAGAGGGGTAGAGTTAGAATCTTCTGCTATTTTGCTTTTTCTCTCTTTTCTCCTCCCTAGGTATGGCATTGTCCCTTTTCTTTCTCTTTTATTCTATTAAAAAGGTAAGTGAGCACACAACCGCGTGTTGCTAACTCGGCAAACAGGTTTCCAGGGCAGGTGGTGGTATCTTCTGGGTCTTGGGGAACCATCCAAAAGAGATTATTGTGCCTCATGGTGGCGCCAGTAGTATCATTCCATTACCATTTCCTCAAATGGGGAGTGTACACACGGAAGTTCTTTTCTGGGGCTTTGATAATCTCAATAGGCACTTACAGAATTGACTTTTCTGCCTTGGCCTGGGGGAGGCGGGTGTTGTAAAACTTAATGATCATCTTTCTGACTGGGGATCATAAAGTGCTGTTGATAATTGTGATAGTTAAAGTGATTTGCTTACAGTAATTAGTTCCTAGGGCTCCCTTGTGGAGGTAAGAGAAAGAGATTGCTCTGTCTTGCATAGGGGCAAAGTGAGGCACAGAGGGCTGGGGTCTATTACAAAGAGCTAGTCATGTTTGACCACAAGAGCCTGGTCTAGGCACATAGATTAGAGACTCTGCATTGAGGAGGGGGTACTTGGTGGCTCTTTGTGGGTAAGAGGGCATTCAACATGAGAGGTACAGGGCTGATTTAATGTGACAAAGAGATATGCCTGGCCCAGAGGGCCCCAGAGCTCCTTCTGAGTGTGAAAGCATATCAGTGCAAAGACTGGGAGACAAAAGGACCAGTAGTTTACACTAATACACAAGAAGAGAGCAAGCCTGGGAATCAGCCTCCAACCCAGTGCTTTTCCTACCTGACATCCCGCCCAAGGGTCAGAGGAGCTCTTGGAAAGGCGGAGGGTGTTTTCTACCAAATCTGACAGGAGGGAGCTGGTAGCATGCTTGGGACAAGAGGCAGAACTCATGTCAGTGGTGATCAAGCTATAGAAACCTGAGGGAGACCCCCACCCTGAGCTCTTGCCTCAGTTGTGGCTGAGTCAGCTTCTGGGACAGACACTCCCAGGGACTCCTAAAGCTGGGAATGTAGACAACTAATTCCAGGGCAGCAGGGAACAGCGGAAAGAGCCCTGAGTGTTAGTTTTGAACCCTGGCCCTGTTGCTTGTTGGCTGTGTATAATGATATACACTGTGTATAACGACATACACTGTATAGACCACTGTAGGGACCAAATATGTGAAGCACCTTGCCCAGGGTTCAGGTCATTGTAGTGCTGATACATGTTAGTTTCCTTCCTTTTACTCTTTTAAGGAATCCCCTCAGACATTAAATCAGTCAGCGGATATCTATTGAGAATGTACGTATGTTCAGCCTGATGCTAGAGACGGCTGAAAGGGGAAACTTGCCATAAGAACCCAGCAAAATAATGGACATTGAAACACTGCATAGAATTCGCTGCAAGAATTTGTTAATGCTATGTGGCTGACAATTTGATTGGTGAGATAAGGTTCAGGCATAAGAAATTGTCAGAAGCCAGTGCAAGGCAAGAGATAATCAAATGCTAAATTGTCTGGTAGGAATGACAATTTCTCTAATGTCCCCATCAGCTACCATAGGGTGAAGTCCAAATAATCTTCATGACATCCAAAGCCCTGTGTTCTGCTTCTGAAATGTCTCTCCATCCTCAAAATTTTATGATTCCTCTTATCAGCCATTTCTGGCAACTGTCATTCATTATTTCATCCATCTGTCCATCCATCTGTCTATCCATCTATCCATCCATCCATCCATCCATCCATCCATCCATCCAATCCATCCATCCATCCATCCATCCATCCATCCATCCATCCATCCATCCATCCATTCAATCTGTCCATCTGTCCATCCATACATGCATCCACCCATCCATCCATCCATTCATCCATCCATCCATCCATCCATCCAATCTGTCCATCTGTCCATCCATACTGCATCCATCCATCCACTTATCCCACAAATACTGAGTGCTCATTGTATGCAGGCACTGCATGTCCCAGGTCTGGAAATGCCTATGAATCAGTCAGGCAGGCCAAGGATCTTATGAACTTGGTTTATGAGATCCTTGGTTTAGTGTGTGTTGAAGAGACAGACAATAAAAAGACTAGACATACACAAGACAGATTCCAACAGTCAGAAGTGCAAGGAAGAAAGAAAAACAGGGGCATGAGCTAGACAGGGACTGGAGGTGGGTTGGAGGACTACTTTGGATGGGGTAGTCAGGATGGACTCTTGGAGGATGTGACCTTTGGGCTAAGACCTGCACAGGAGAGCCCATCCCTCAAAATGAGAAAGAGAGTTCCAAGCAGCTGGAAGAGCAAGTGCAAAGGTCCTAAGGTGAGAATGACCCAGGTGCCTTCAGGAATAGAAGGAAGGTCACTGTGGCTAAGCTTGATGGTCCTGGGGAAAGGAGGTATGGCAGGATGTCTGAGCAGTCGGCGGAGACCAGACATAGAGCTCCATGGAGCACGAGAGCCATGGCAAGAAGGCGATGTTGCTTCCCACATGCGTGGGAGCCGGTGAAGTGTTGTAAGCAGAGAAGTAACATGATCTGCTTTGTGTCTCAACATCTTTTTACATGATCACGACTTGCAGTTTCCCAAATACACATTTCCGCAGCACATTTCCATGCCTCTGCATAGGCTGTCCCCTGGGGTCTCCTTTCCGCATCTTGTTTACCTGTCAGACTCCTCGGGGCCTTTGAGCTCTAAGTCAGGTATCTCTTCCTCTGTGAGGCTTCCCCTCTTCCCACAGGTCCCATCTCTGCCAGTCACTGCTTTCCCTTCCTCCTACGCTTTCAACACATCTCTAATATGGCACACGGTGTAATACATTGCCATTACCTGCTTATGTGTCCTCCCTAGCGAGTAGCCTGCAACATGGTAGGGGCTTAATAGATTTGATAAGGGCCGGTAGTCAGGGTAGGCTCTGTGGAAGCAAATCTTGAAGGATGGATAGAATTTTGGTGATAAAGAGAGGCCAGAGTCTCACAAATCCTGCAATATCTGTCCAAGTCAACATGAGACATTATTGGATAGATATTGCCATCAAGAAGAGGGGCCCACTCCCCGTGAAAACCGTGCACTCCTGTCTTCTCTCTAACAGTTAATGAGAACGATAGGTATTGATTTGCATATGATATTCATGCATTTTGCATATTTTCATTTACCACTGAATGCATGGACAGAGTTCTCAATCCTGTCTTTCAAGCCTTCTTTCCTTCATTTAGCAACTTTTAATTAAATGATTTCTGAATATCCTGCACAATGCTAGGCCCTGTGAAGGACAAGCAAGCAGACATTTGTCCTTGGTGAGCTCACATCTTATAGCTTCCAGGGGCAAGGTGGAGGGTGCAGTGGTTTCCAGCTGGGGTTCTGGAATCAGACGACGCAGATATGGGTCTGAATATTGGCCCTGATGAGGTGTAGAATCTTGTGCAACCTGCTCAATCTCTCTGAGTCTTGATTTCCTCATTTATAAGATAAAGGTAATAACACATACCCAGGGGGGTTGGCTTGGCGGAGTGTTGGGCACATAGCTAGAGCTCTGTGGATATTAGCTGTTGATTATAGTTGTTTTTCCCAGATCCCTGTATGGGCGGATGTGCAGATCCCATTAAAATATCCTGGTTGGGCTCTGGGTAGGTGTGTGAAGCCTCTTTTCTCCCGCAATTCCAAGCCTTCTGAGTCCAGCTAAACTGCAGTTCAACTTAGAACAGGTACTGAGCAGTCCAGTGGGAAGCCTGAGTTGGGGGGGAATTTGGGGGAGCCTCCCTGCTTCCTGCTTGTCAAGGGCCCACCTCCCCTTGCTTCTTCAGTTACAAGCAGAATCTACCCGTTCACATCCTTTCTCTTGTCTTGCCTTAAACATGCCTGAGAGAGATCATAAATTGATTTTCACCCTGACCTATAGACACCCGCAAAAGTCTTCTGGTTGGTCCCCAAGACTTCTGCCCCATCCCTGCCCGTCAGTCACTGTTCCTGTCACTACAGTCGCAGCGACACTGGGGGTCAGTGAGTGGGTTGAGAGAGCTCAGACAGGATGTATGGTGTGATTCATTTGCACCAGGGGATTCTGAATAGATAATAATTGTCTGCAAATGGCAATTAACAGAATCTTTTTAAAAATGCCTTGATGGTTGTAAAACGGAAGGCGAAGCACATCGTGCCTCTTGTTGCAAGTAATTACGGAGGCGGCCTGTTATGCACAGGTTTTGAGTGACCTGATATTTCCACTCAGACACTCTGCACAGAGACACTCCCTCAACTCCAGTCTGTGACCCTCAGACCTCATCCTCAAAGATGGCATTTGAAGAAGACTCACTTTGACTTCTTCCTGAAGCCCTTTCCTTGGCTTCATACGGAGCCCCAGAGCAGGGAAGGGAACTGAAAATCAGCACTCATTGAAGATGGAAGGGGCAGAAAGAGGAAGGAGCATTTACTTATTTATTTTCTTTTGAGACAGAATCTCACTCTGTCACCCAGGCTGGAGTGGAGTGGTGCGATCTCGGCTCACTGCAAACTCCACCTCCCAGGTTCAAGTGATTTTCCTGCCTCAGCCTCCCGAGTAGCTGGGATTACAGGTGCTTGCCACCAGGCCTGGCTAATTTTTGCATTTTTAGTAGAGATGGAGTTTTGCCATGTTGACCGGGCTGGGATTGAACTCCTGACCTCAGGGTGATCCGCTTGCCTTGGCATCCCAAAGTCCTGGGATTACAGGCATGAGCCACTTCCTCTGGCCAGAACGATCATTTATTAAAGAGTGTTGTATACCAAGTCTTGTGTTAGCTGCTTTTACAACCATTGTCTCAGTGCGTCCCTAAATAGCCTGGCAAGGAAGGGAATTTTATTCCCTTACTGTTTTTTTTTTTAAACAGATGAGGAAACCGAGGCTTAGAGTGGTTAAATGACCTGCTTGAGTCCAGTTAACAGACATGAGGTTTGAACTTTGAAATACCTGCTTACAGAGCCCATATTCCTTTCCACTCTACAATGCTCCCTGCACTGTGCCCTGCCTGGAATCTCCTTCATGGTATTTAAAGCTGTTATTAATTATCCATTTATCTGATAATTTCTTTGCATCTTTTTTGGCTTTGCTGTACAGATTGGTGCAAAAATAATCACAATTTTTGCCATTAAAAGTAACAGCAAAACCTGCAATTACTTTTGCACCAACCGAAATAGTTTTACCAGGGCAGGGAGACACTGTCTTTCACATTCAGTGCTGTATTACCAGTGCTCCTCCTGATCTCTATCCATGGGCAGTTAATAAATATTTGCTGAATGAATGACTGGCTTCTACTGGTGATAATGAATCATTGGAAGTGACCAATACAAGATTATCTAATGATCAACCAACATCTTTATTAAAAAAACGTTTTCATGTGAAGCCACAGATTTGGCACTGGCTAATCCAGGTAGGCATGAATGGTATCTTGCAGACATCTACCCTGAAATAGAGACCTGAAGTTCATCTCTGCAATTCCTTTGTTGACAGGCTGAGCATGCAGCAATAGAAGACGACGTCCTCTTGCCTTGGCTAGATCCTAATGCCCTCGAATGCAGTCCAGCTTTCCTAAATGCCTCCTCTCCTCCTGCTTTCTGTCTGAGGTAGAGGAGAGGAGGCACTGTCGGGAAACCATGACCTTTCCACCTGTCAGAGCTCTAAAGCACTAAGAGGTGCCAGCTCATTCTCAGGGCAGAAGAACCAGTGTAGTCTCTCACTAATGTCTTAGCTCTGGTCTGTTCTAGATTCCTCAACCTGAGCAGGTTCATATGGTTTTGCTGAATTCTCCAAGTGTTAGTTGGGAGGGAGGATGCACTACAAATCAGAAAGAACAGTGCTAAGATTTGGATAGGGGAATTGAGGAAGAATGTCAATATTTTTTGGGTCAATGTTTGTAAGACCAGACTCTTAAATTCAAGGCAGCTAAGACCGGTTCAGGGACAGAGAACAGCAAGTGACAGGCATGCAGGTGGAATGCCAGGCTCAGCGGCACCACGTGGTGCGGGGATGGCTTATAATTTGAGGGAGACGTTTGGGAGGAGGATGCTTCAGCCGCTTGGCTTCTAACAGCTTTTGACAACTCTGCTATTCTGATGACCTGAAATGGCATGTGTGTGACATGTGTGTTTCACCTCCGGAGTCAGTCAATGTGGCTCACAGAGTGGGAAGGGCAGATGAGCAGAATCAACGTGGGCAGGAAAGAGCAAAGGCAAGTGACAAGTTGCTAACTCATGTTTGTCAAAAAGCATCCCTCTCCTGGTACTCATGCCCACCCCCTAACTGCCTCAGCCTTGAAAGCTCTGGAGAGGCCACAGGCCAGCAGGGAAGTCACTGCAGCCTCTGGGGGTGCCATCGTGGTGCCTTCTGCTTCCTCCTGCCCTGAGGAGTTTCTTCCTCTGATTCCTTGGTTTTGAGCCTTTGCCCCTAATGCCAGCACCATACCTACTGCATCTGGATCTTCATAATTTGGCCAGAAACCTGCTTGGCCAACAATCTCCCCAGTGATTCTTACGGACATCAGGACTGAGGTCCTGGGGTTCTGTCATGTGGACTAAGGTAGGGGTGAGCAAGCTATGGAAACATTTAGTGACATCAGTGATCTTGTGAAAGCCACTAAAGGTATCATGGTTCTCCAAAGAGTTCCTAAAGGAAAAGACTGTTGTTGACCAAAGCCATTAGCTCCTAAAATACTGGGAATGAGGGAATCTTCAAAATCACTGCACATTAATCCATTGATTTTGTAGGTCTGTGATGATTGATTTTTTGTGTCAACTTTGCTGGGACATGGTGCCCAGATGTTTTGTCAAACATTCTGGATGTTTCTGTGAAGGTGTTTCAGGATGAGGTTAACACTCTTGAATCAGGGGACTGAGTGAAGTCAATACAGTGTGGGTCGGCTTTGTCCCATCAGTTCAGGGCCAGAGTAGAACAAAAGGCTGGCCTCACCCGAGCAAGAAGGAACTCTCCAGCAGACGACCTCTTGACTTGAATTGCAATGTGGACTCCTTCCTGGGTCTCAGGTCTGACAGCCAACCCTGCAGATTTTGGACTTACCAGTCTCCATCGTTGTGTGAGCCAGTCCCTTAAAATAAATCTGTCTTTCTCTATATATCGCTTCCTGTTGGTTCTGTTTCTCTGGAGAATCCTGACTAATTCAAAGCCAAAGAGTGCTAGAGCTGGGTCTAGATCCTAGATCACAGAGATGTGGGAATAATGATCTCCTTACAGGGAGCACACTAGCTTCTGCCATAGGAAGAACATCAAGCTGTATGTATGTGTGTGTGTGTGTGTTTGTGTGTGTGTTTTCCTGTGAGCTCCTTGGAGGCTGGGGCCCACATATATTATTTATCTCTATTATTGCAGCCCCAAATACTGAATCTGGCAGATAGTGTTTAGTGAGTGATGCATAGATGAAAAGTAAAAACAGAATGTGATTCCAAATTATTTGAATACTTCTGGGACTTTTAAAAGTGCAAACAGCAGAACACACCCCAGGGAGGTGAGGAGGTTGTGCACTTGTCCACTCTTAACTCTTTTTTACTATTGAATATCTTATCAAATAGGAACAAAGCCAGGGACAGGGTAAGAGTCTCCGGCTGGAGAAAAAAGTGATGGGGTCCCTGGGGTAAAGTGAGTGAACGCCAAGGGCTGAAGGAAAGGAGGGAGGAGAAATACCTCTTTGTGGCTGCCACTCTGTTGGATACTTGCATGTAGGAGCTTGTATTTAATCTTCATGTCAACATAAATAAGTAGAGAGTAAAGCTTTTTTTTTTTTTTTTTTTAAATAAATGAATTGGGATAGGAAGTAGAGAAGAGGGTTAAGGAAAAGGGCTCTAAAACCTAACTCTAACCCTGCAGGAAAATAGGCCCTAGGAAGAAACCCCTCATTGCCGAAGAAGGGGGAAAGAACTCCGAGTCCACTGTGGAGGCCACCTCTGTACCCTCTAGTAGGTGCCTAGAGCTTGCACACTGGTTCCCCCGTGGCAGGAGAGTGGGGCCTCCTTGGCCTTTGACTTTGTTCTCAGATAAACAAACAAAGAGCTATGGGTGAGATCTGGTTTGACTTTAATGGAATTTTGCTTTGGTCATCCACGCTCTGGGCTACCTGGACCCAGGACAGTGTGCATGCCTTCACCCAGGCCTGGAGCAGCTTGAGCGTGCAGTATGCAAACGGTGGGGCTGAGCGTGGGTTTGGCCTGCACGCTCTGCACCCAAACGCTGCATTTACATGAGCTGTGCCTTCCCCAGGGCAGAGGAGAAAAGGGGCTCTCATCAAGTTCTCTCAGGTCCAGCTGAAAAAAACTCTCCTTTGGACAACTAAGCCCATGGGCTGGGTTGGTTTCTCCAGGGCAGGGCTCTCTTGGAGACAGAGACGCTGACCCATCTTCTGAACCAATTGGATCTGCATCCTAAATGGCAACCAAGCTGACAGCCTGGATCCTGCTGAGCCCAGCTTCATATTCCCTCAAGCTTCTATTTTTAAAGTTGCTGCTCCTGCTCCTGTCTGCTCTGTAACAAGTCTTGGACATTGCCTATAAGCTGCTCCACCCCACAGCACTCCAGGATGAACCCCTGCTGTACCTGAGAGCTCCTAGATGCAGTCTGTCTTAAGAAAATAATAACAGACTTCCCTAATATGCAACTGGTAACCAGTTGTCTGCTAGGCTTTAGTTTTCCCGAGCAGCTGGGGCAAATACCCAACAAATACCGAACTCCCCAGGTCCCAGAACAGTTTCCCCTTCTTAGACTTCATTGCCTTTCACCTCCCAGTTTATCTGTAAAAGAATATGCCAGCCATGGGAGGCAACATGAGGAGCTGTGTGCCAGATATGCTCACTTAAGGAGTTGATCGATTTAAAAAATTCAGGTAGAGGCATTGGAAGCTGGTTCCTGACAGCAAAAAGAAATTCTCCCCAGTCCCACTGAGTTAAACACCAGGCTGCATATTTTTCCTGCCAGGATGGACACTTCCAATAAAGCAAATTTTGCGGAGGAGATGCAGGCTGGTAACTCCTTGAAGGGGGTGCCCATCTTGACTCCCTGTGAGATAAATATAAGTCCCAGGACAGTGTTACTCTCCTTTCATCCCCGTGACGACAGGCTTGGCCTTATTTGTGACCCTCCTTTCCAGCTCCCCCAGTTCATCTTTCTAAATGAGTCTGAACAGCCCAGTTCAGGGCCTGCCTGACTCACTCGCTGCTGGGTCTTTAGGGCCTATTAGCATTCCCGGTGCATAGTAGGTGCTCAAGAAATACTCCCTAAGAAAAGAATGCCTTTGATGTACCACATACTGGGAATTATCTTATGTATGTGCTCTTTCAATTTTTATTTTTTAGCCTGACACAGATCTTGGAGGTGGAAGTGCTGTTATGTGCATTTTATAGACGAGGGAATTGAGCTGGGGTGTGGAGCTGGGGTTTGAATTCTTATCTTCTCAATCCAAGCATGGGCTCTTCCACACATCACACTGGCAATGTCCGTGCTCTTTTTGCCTGAAAAACTCTGGGAAAGAGGCTGCCTTGAGACCTCTGACCCCTATGGCTTGGGGGAGGTACAATGGCTGAGGCTGATGGACGACAGTACTTTCTGCAAGCTGGGGCTCCTGGATTGGGGGCCACACTCCTGAGACAGCAGAGTGGGAGCCTGGGGAAGCTCCCCCAGAGGGAAGTCAGGCCTGGCCTGGGGATTGTGGGGTGACCTTCGCTGCAGGGGATCCCTGAGTTTCTGCCAGCTCTGCCGGGAGCCCTGACCTCTAGAAGCTGGTCCAGGCTGGTTGGCAGGTGGCTTCCCTCCTGTGGCTGCTTTCAGGGGCAGCCCTACTCTCTCTTAGGCTCCATTCATGCTCTTTGAACAGGGAGGAGCTGGAGGACTTGGAAGGGAATGTGTGCTTCCGGTGGAGTTTGCTGAAGTGCCATGGAGGGAACACTAGCCTGAGAGTCAAAACACCTGGGCTTCAGGTCTGTCTTACGCAAGTCATGAAACCTCACTGAACCAGTTTCCCATTGGTAAATGTGCTGATGCCTCCTTCTCAGGGTGGCTGTGAGAATCAAATGAAATGATTTGCAGCACCATAGCAGAGATATGGTGCTGCAGGACACTGGCTGCAGACAGGTCTCTACTAGGTGTCAGAGCCGTCGGTAGGGTTAATGCAGGTCCCTTAAGAGAGATTGAGTCCTTCTCTAGCAATAAGACCTAGCATGACTCAAAAGCTTGCAGAAACACTTTAGTTGAACAAGTCTCTGGGACAAACCAAGGATTGTGGGGTCACAGAAGTCAACTGTTAAAACCTTGTGGTAATCCAAAGAGAACAGAGGGAATGCTTATGGAACACCAACACCACTTCTTCTTTCACCAAGTCCTCTCCCTGCTGCTCTTTCCCATGGGAAGGGAGCATTTTCAGAGGAGCCCTGAGAGATGGGGGCTCATACCCAGCCAGCAGTGTCCCAGCTTTCCTGGCCCTGCCTGGGGTAGTCCAAATGGAGTGCAGGAGACCGGTGCCCATGGGAAGCCTCCAAAAGTCTTGAAAGTTTGGATTTGCAATCACAGATGCCCCATGTGGCTTCTTGAGAGATGTCAGGACTGCCATTTGTGAGCTGTGTTAAACCTCAGATGTCAGGAGAGAAACTCTCTCCTTTCCACAGGGTCCTGGAACAGCATAACCAGTAGGACTGTAGTATAGGAACGTCCAGGGCCACCAAACTGGACCCATCTTGCACAGTGGAGTGTATTGCTTGCTAATTGCTGGATTGCAATGCCTGGGGATTTTTTTGATTATCATGACCGAGGGATGCTATTGAATGCAGCAAGGAAAGGCCAGGGAGGCTGCAGACATCCTACAATGCACAGCATGGTCCCCCACAATCAGGAATTATCTGGCCCCAAATGTCAATACGGCTGAGGTGAAGAAACCAACATGTGCAAAGCACTGGGCCTGGCAGGTCTAGGGAACAGTGATAATTCAGGTATGAAGCAGGAGCACAGAGTTAATGAAGGCAATGGCAAGAGATGAGGCTGAAAATGTAGGTTGGAGCCAGGCAGAGAAGGATCTTGGACACCAAATGACAAGGTTTTACTCAAAAAAAACCCCAAAGCATTCCGGGGTTAGTTAAAAGGCCAGAGCAGAGCTGACTCCCAGCACAGGGCTCTTTCCATCCTATCATTTGGCCTCTTTCCCCACCATGTGTTAGACAAGACAAGAATGATTCATGGAGAACAGAACTAGCAGCCCAAAGCAAGTCACTTTTTACCACCTACAGGATAAAATCAGACCCCTTTGTGAACACATAAAACCACGTAGATATTTCTATCACTGGTTTACCATCTGCATCTTTGAAGAGGGGCTAAATCAGTGTGAACATCTTTCCATGTCCATAAATATACTTCCTCACCATGCTGTAACTATTTATCTCTAGATCAGCCTTCTTGTTAGATTGTGGGCTCCTTGAAGACAGGAACCATGTTGAATCATCGTTGTATACCTGGTACCTTCCATGGTGATAGAAATACTGAGTCCATTGAGCAGGATGGCTGGAAAAATGAAGCAATAGGAAGGAGCAGACTAGCCTGCTGCATGGTTGCAAGGACTGGGGACGGCTTCCCCCTACTCTCTTTTCCTGGTATATGAGAAATACATGCTCATTGTAGAAAAAAAAAAAAAAAGAAAAACTATAGACAATCCAAAAGAGCAAAATGAAAATTATGCCAGCCCCCTGACCTCCCCACCCAGAGATAAATACATTTAACATTTCAGTGGATATCCTACACCCTTTCTAGGGTTGTATATTCATGAGATTCACATGCACATATTTTTTCTTTTTAATTAAAATGGGATCATATTATACACCTTGTTCTGTATCTTGCTTCTTCACTTAAAAATATTTTGGAAACTAGTGCAAGAGGAGGCCAGGGGATTTGTCTTGAAGTTGTGTTTGCGTAGCAATCACCCATTTTTATGGAGACTGCATCTTTGAAGAGGGGCTAAATCAGTGGGAACATCTTTCTATGTCCATAAATACACTTCCACACCATAGCATTTAATGTCTACAAGCTATGCAACTGTGAGGTTGTGCTATAATGTATTAAGCCAATCCTCAATTGTTGGAATTTGTATTACTTTTATGTTTTTGCTATAACAACAATGCTGCGGTAAATACCCTTTTACTGAAATCTTTGCACACATCCCAGATTTTTCCTTCGTTTGAATTTCTAGAATAGAAACTGCTAGAAGAACACAAAAATGCATATGGTACAGCTTTTGAATGGTGTGATCACATGGCTCTCCAGAAAGGTGGTACCAACATACATTCCCGCTAGTAATGTTCAGAGAGTGCTATGTTAGCTCTTTGTGAACAAAAGCTATCATGCAGGGCCCATGTAAACACCAAGATAAGCTATTTCCATTCCATTCAAGGACCCATTTATATAAGTCCAGCATGGAAAAACTGTCGTTCTTGTTATTTTATAGTCTACCAGGTAAATGTACGCAGTTTTGGTAAGATGAGCTATGCAGTTGTTCACCTGTTTCTGAACACACACACAAGGTAATACATGTAAGAGCACCTAGCGCGGAACTTGGAACACAGCAGAAACTCAACAAATGCCTTCCATGCCCAGAATTGCTGCTGTGCTTAGAGCCCTATCATCCCTTATCTGGATGGCTAAATCCAGTCTCCTGTCTTGGAAACTGATAAGCCAATCTACATACCTGCCAGAGTGAATGATCAAAAATGTAAGATGGAGCATGTTGCTCCCTTGCTTACACATCTTCAGGTGCTCCTCATTGTCCATACATGGAAGTCTGGACTCCTTGGTAAGGTTTGGAAGGCTCCATGACATTCCCTGAGATCCCACAGCTTTATCCCCGACAGATCTCACCTCTCCCAGCTCACCCAGGTCCCAGCCATGCTCTCCCAGTGGGCCACCCAGTAAGATTCAGCCCTTCATTCCTCTGTGACCCAGCACAGGGCATTCTCTCTCCCTGAAACCTGTTGTCTCCCTTCCTCCCTTGTTTGTTTGCAGAATTGCCTCCTGGGAAACAATTCCATATGTTGACAGCCTTTTCTACTTGTCCCACCCAAGCAACACAATCCTTTTCTTCTATATTCCCAGAAAATCTTGCCCAATCATTATAACACATCTCTCATTGCACTGTAATAATTGTTTTTATGTGTATATCTCCAGCTAGGCTGTTTAGAATCAGGACATTTTAAAATTTATGTCCATAGTCTCAACACCTGGCGTCAATCTTAGGACACAGTAGGTGCTTAATAAATGCTTGTCACATAAATGAACAAAATTATAATGTCCTTCCTCTCTTCCTTCCATTTGTCTAGCCATTGCAGGGCTCTGTCCACCGTAGTTACTATTGGTTACTACCAAGCCATCATTATGATGCCTTCTCCTTTTTCAAGTGGTGTTCCAGTTTCCATGAACTGATATACATAATACTTCTGTCTTAGGATCAAGCAGAATCAGCTGAACCAAGTGCTTTGCTACCATTGGGCCTTTAGGAAGAGACAGAGCTGGCAGGGAAGGAGAGAGGGTAGGTGCATCACGAGAGGCAGAGCCCACGGGAGCATCTAGTGGGGAAAGCTCGGCTGAGTCTGGCTCTGTGGCTTCAACAGGGAGCCCCACGCTGTATCTGGAAGGGAGGACTGAACTTCAGAGGGAAAAGCAGGAGGCACAGTACAGGAAGACACAGAAAGGGAGTAGGATAGGGGAGATGGACATGGAAGCACAGGGGAGAGACAAGCGGGGAGAAATTCAGGTTCAATGAAAGGAAAACAGGAAAAGACTGCAGAAGGAAGAAGATAAGGAAGCAACAGAAACCCCAGCTAGCGTGGGTGTGTGGACTGCAGATGTGTAAGAGCAGCCTATCTTCTTCCGAGTCCACTAGAGAAGTGTGGCACAGGAGAGAGCCTTAGCTTTTTACTGAATGTAATTAATGACATTGTGGCTTTAAATAAAAACCAGCTATTCGTGGGGAAGCCTGACAGGGTTTCTTTTAACTTAATGTTTGCTGAACCATCCCTTCTATCTCACTTACCTGATGTGGAACATATGCTGGGATCAGAATGACAGAGAATAAATCACCAGATTTGCTTGGCTTCTTTGAAAAATGAATTTGGGGGCTGAGATTTCTCATCAGTATATATCTTCCCCGAGCAGCCTCTTGACAGAACATCAAGCTTGGGGGATGTCCCATGCAAAGGTAAACGAGTACCCAGAGGTGCCCAGATGCCCACATCTGGCAACAGATCCATCTCCTTGAGACACAAGCCAGGCCACCTGTGCTAGGCTGGCAGGTGTATCCAGGGCAGGATGTGAAAGCCTCCTGCAGTCTCAGGAATAGGATACAATTGTGGTCTTTACATGAAATCAACAAACATATATGGAGCTTTAAATATGCATCAAAAACACCACACAGCAGGGAGGCTTCTCAGCTTTGCCACTGGCAACCATGAGCATGCCCTAGTGTCTTCATCTATAAAATGGGATGAAGCTGCCTTATGGCTTAGTTTGTTATGAGTTTCAATCTATCATAGATGCTAAATAAAAGTTTGTATTTTCTCCCTGGATACAGCTAGCAGCTGCAAGAGCTCCCAGGCCTCTGGGCTGAAACAGAGGCAGGGACCAGGAAGCAATTTTAACTCTGGAAACTTTAGATGAGGGTGAAAAGGGTGGGTGTGGACGTGCATGTGGTGTGAGTGTGAGTGGGGGTCACGTTTTCTGGGTTCTTAGTCTATGTCTGCAAGACTTTCTAACTTGGCTCCTGACCTTTCACTTTAATATCTGTGTGATGTTGGACACATAATTTAATCTCTCTGGGTATCAGTTTCCTCATCTCTACAAGGGGGAGATGAGTTGGATTGACTACCTTAAAATTTTTTTCTTAACATTCCTTTTCAGGTTACAAAAGTCACACATACTCGTTACAGAAAGCTTAGAAAACACATACAAAGATATAAACAAGATAATTTAAAACACCCATTATTCTACCACCCAGGGGAAACCAGTGTTTTGGTGTATTCTGCTTTCTCTATGCATGGTGTATTAGAGAGTGAAATCATACTGTGTATACAATTTTGTTTCATGCTCCCTCCCTTTAATGTTAAATTATCATAAGCATTTTATCTGTGTCATTAGAAAATTATCTGGACCTCATTTTTAAGGTTCCTCCTCACACTAAAATTCTATGAAGAATGGGGCTCATCTCCTTTGCTATTAAAAACATTTATTCTCTTACAGCAGCAGAAATCACATTGTGGAAGGTGCCCTTGAATGGTGCTTCTAAACTCCCTTCGGCCCATGCATCACGCAAGGACACCAAAGGGCTCTGTGGGCCACCCGGCTCACCCACTTTGATTTACCATCTTAGCTCTCAAGAATAAAAGGAATGATGTTGCTTTTAAAAAAATTGAATATCATCAAAAATGACCTTATTCATTGGTAGAAATAGGGGCCACTTATACGATAGATTTTCAAAGGTGGGGTTGCTGAAAATTTCCCTAAACCTTCTTTTCCCTGTTCCCTTGACTATGAATGCTTAAAATTCCTTTTAAAACAAGACCTTTTGTTACAAAGTTAAGATTTTAAATAAAAAAGATTTGGGGAAAGTTAACACATTGACTAAAATTCACACTAGGATTAAAGCAGAGACAATGCGATGTGCTCAGCATATAATTTCCTCCTCCTGGGTTCACAGGAAGACAGGCATTGCTCAGCCTTCCTAGGAATTAGGTTCAGGCCTGAGACTTAAAAGAGTCCTGTGTGATCTTTCAGCCCCTCTTCCCTCCCGTCCCTACTCTAGAGGCCACGAGTTCAAAATGATAAAGCTAAAAGTTGAAGAGGGCTGCCCGTGCGCCTTGGAATCTGATAGGAATAAGGAATAATGCTTTGTTGTGCTAAGCTGAGATTTTTTGATGTTTATTTGTTCCTGCAGCTTTGCCTGGCTTATTCAGACTAATACAAAGATATAACTAACTGATAGCAGTTCCCTTTGTGAGACTAGGTTTGGGTATTAGAGAAGACGAGGGAGAAAGTACAGGCTCTTGAACTCAGCTGGGAGGAAATTCAGTTTGGAGAGGAGGCAGGGGTGCCACTAGCTGATTTAGCGACTTTTGTATTAATTCAGAAAAGAAATTCGTAGGTTTACAATTCTATATGCTGTACATGTGCACTGAAACTGAACAGTTAAGTAAATGGATGGCAGATGGTGGGAGCCAGGCGTTTCACTGTTGGAGTGGGAGGTTACAGATAAGCAAAAGGAGGGGGCTAGAATGATCCAGATCCACGTGGTAATGAATTAGTGTTGGAGACATCAGTATGAACTTATATTTAGCTTAATATAGATATAGATGTTATGTATGGAAATATTTATAGCTATGTATATGTGAGGGCTAATATACACACAGATATTTCCCAGCTATATCTCCTGAGAAAGCCTACTAGCAACAACATTACAGTAGCAACAAGCACACCTAACAATCCAGAGTTTGGTTTCTGATACCACTCTGTAATAAAAGGAACCAGGGCTCCTTGAAGAAATGGCCAATTCTAGCACAGGATCAGGAAATACACAAGATGAACTGGAGCATCTTGTAGTGCCAGAAAATAAGGAAGTGCTCTGTGCTAGTTTCCTAGAGATGTCATAACAAATAACTACAACTGGGTGGCTAAGAGCAACAGAAATTTATTCTCTCACAGTTCCGGAGAATGCACGTTTAAAAATTAAGGTGTCTGCAGAGCCATGCTTCCCCTGAAACCTGGAGGAGAGAATCCTTCCTTGCATTGTCCTGTTTTCTGGTGATTTTTGGTATTCCTTGGCATTCCTTGGCTTGTAGATGTGTCCCTACAATCTCTGCCTCTGTGGTGACATGGCCCTCTTCTCTCTGTGTGTCCCTCTTCTCTTCTTATGAGGACACTCACTGGTCACATTGGATTAAGGGCTTACCTTACTCCAGTATGACTTCATCCTAACTAGTGACACCTGCAATATCCCTGCTTCAAAATAAGGTCATATTCTGTGGTATTGGGTGTTAGGACTTCAACATATTATATTTGAGGAGGAGGACACAATCCAACACATAACATATTCTCTTCCAAAAAAGCCACACTAATGAGGGTCTGTCAAAGGGACACAGAAGCCAACTGAAAGAGCTCCCATTGACCAAAGATGGCATGCTTTAGCAACAAAATAGTGTTGGAGGATAATCCAAAGCAAGTCCATACTGATGTAAATAGATGACTGAAGGAATAAATACAGAAATAAATAAATGGAGGAGAATAGATAGACTCCAGTGCAGAATTCCAAATAATTCACGTAGATGCCTTGCCCTCAAAGAAGTAGAGTATAGCTTCCCGCTCCTTAAGCGTGGGCTGCACATAGTGACTTCCTTCTAAAGAATACAGTGTGAAAGTGAGAGAAAAAGAGGAGCTTTGCAGTGGAGGAAACTGACCAATACTATTTCAGCCAGGTGAGCAAGGTTGGCAGCAACAGTGATGTGCCATGTTGATAGCACACACCCTTGATAGGATACGATGGAAACAGCACTTGTCTTTGTGGTCTTCCCCCTCGACCTCAGTGTAATCTTGAAAAGAGCATCAAACAAATCCCCATCGAGGGACACTCTGCAAGACACCTGGCCAGTACTCCCCAAAATTGTGAAGGTCATAAAAAACAAACAGAATCTGAGAAGCCGTCACAGCCACGTGGAGGTTAAGGAGACAAGACTGCTAAATGCAATGTGGTATCCTGGATGAGCCCCTGGGGCAGAAAAAGGATATTATGTAAAAACTAAGGAAATGTAAACGAAGTATGGACTTTAGTTCATAATAATGTATCCATACTGGTTCATTAATTATAACAAATGTACCATACTAATGCAAGATGTTAACAATAAAGAAAACTGGGTGTGGGGTATATGGGAACCCTCTGTACTATTTTGCAACTTTTATGTATGTCAAATCTAAAACTACTCTCAAGTAAAAAGGTTAGCTTTTAAAAGGGCACTGCTAGAATAATAATAATAATAAGTGAACATAGCCTCATGTTAGGGTACATGACTTGGTTAGAGGCTAGTAGCCTGGGTGTCAGTCTCCACTTACGTCCTCAGTCAGGTGCCCTTGTGCAGTGAACAACCTGTACAACCTTGGTAGTCCTACAGTCAGACTTACCCTCTATCACCATTTTACTTAGCGCTTATCCTGCACCTGAACATAGTACTAATTGGTGCTAGGAATGAACATAGCCTCATGTTAGGGTATCTGACTTGGTTAGAGGCTAGTAGCCTGGGTGTCAGTCTCCGCTTATGTCCTCGGTCGGGTGCCCTTGTGCAGTGAACAACCTGTACAACCTTGGTAGTCCTACGGTCAGACTTACCCTCTATCACCATTTTACTTAGCGCTTGTCCTGCATCTGAACATAGTACTAATTGGTGCTAGAAATAAAAGCATAGTCAATTACATCATAGATTACAGAGGATCACCTATGACTGTCAAGGAGAAACCCCATGAACATCCATGATCAGTGAATTCATTGTCAAGAAGCACTTCCTTCCAAGCCCGGAGAGTTACAGCTCTGGTTCCCTACCTGTGTGGAGGTAGAAAAGCCCAGTGTGTTAAGGGGGATAGTGTTCTTATGGAGAAAGTGTCCTCAAATCACATTTTGCCTGTGAAGATGAAGTAGGGGAGAATCTTATACTAAACTCTACTGAATCCTCGTGGGGGCAAGGGAATGTGGCTGGTGCGGGCCGGGAGAGTGATGGAAAGGAGAGGGATTCCTCCAGAGTTTTGTCCTCAGAGAGTTGTTTTTTGTCATTTACACGTGGCGTGGTGACAGCAAGCCAGGTGTCTCCTTATGGAAATATCTTAATACAGCAGAAACAAGCATTTTGAGTTATGCATGCCAAGTCTGACATTAATTTTCTCCTTTTCAGCCTTACAAAGAAATGCACCAGTATGTTTCTTCCCAAGACTGGCCCCACCTCCTGCATGGTCAGAGCCTCACTTGTCCCTTCCTTGTCCATCACATGCCCTGTGATATGAAGCGTTCCAGGGGAGTGGGAGGGGCTTCTCAAGAAGCCTTCTTTCTAAGGGGCAGGAGAGCCCAGGTGTTACCGTCTGATGCAATGTAAGGGTCCTATTGTGTCCCTCCAAAATATAAAACAACACTGCTGATTAAAAAGCCTATAGAAGGCCAGGTGCAGTGGCTCATGCCTGTAATCCCAGCACTT
The DNA here is from genome assembly GCF_000001405.40 of Homo sapiens. Classification (NCBI taxonomy): domain Eukaryota; kingdom Metazoa; phylum Chordata; class Mammalia; order Primates; family Hominidae; genus Homo; species Homo sapiens. The sequence goes on from NC_000011.10 coordinate 126,785,635, forward strand.
CGGGAGGCTGAGGTGGGCGGATCATGAAGTCAGGAGATCAAGACCATCATCCAACATGGTGAAACTCTGTCTCTACTGAAATACAAAAATTTAGCAGGGCATGGTGGTGCGCACCTGTAGTCCCAGCTACTTAGGAGGCTGAGGCAGGGGAATCGCTTGAACCCAGGAGGTGGAGATTGCAATGAGCCGAGATTGTGCCACTGCACTCCAGCCTGGTGACACAGCGAGACTCCGTCTCAAAAAAAAAAAAAAAAAAAAAAAAAAAAAAGCCTACAGAATACAGTTAAGCTAAAATGTGGATTAGAAAGCAATTTGGCAATGTGTACCAGCAGTCAAAAAAATGTACATGCCCTCTGGTGCAGTAAGTGATGTCACTTTTGTCAACCTGTTCCAAGAAAATAATCCTAAGCACTAAAAAAATCTGTGAGGGTAATAGCAAAAACAGCCTAAACATTCAACAGTTGAGAAATGGTTAAATAAATCATGGTTCATAGACTTGATGGAATATTATGGAATCATTAGAATGATCATTTATGAGAATTACATAATATGAAAATTGCATATGATAACTATGCTAAATGAAAAAAGGGGAAGATAAAAATATGAGTAAAGATAATTACTACCATGTTAAAATATGCATAAGAAAAAGACTCAAAGGAAATTCACCGAAATGCTAATAGTGTTTGTATTAGACAGGTGGGATTTGAGTTGATTCTTTTTTCTTTTCTTTGGTTTCCAAATTTTCTAGAGTGTGGTAATATTACATTATAATAAAACTTTTTTTTAAATGTGTTAATTCCTGTTTCCTAAAGCAATTAATAGTAGACCAGCATTTCATTTTATTTGTAGAAACACATAATAATGGTCATCAATAATAAAATAACCTTCATAAAAATTAATAGCATTAAAATAAACATGGCCTGGAAAAAATAGTGTAATGGTTTCCTAACAGAGACACACTGACTTCCTCCAGGATCACGTCTGGGAAACTTTTTCTTATCAAAATGACTGAAGTTTTGTCATTTAGGCTAGTTGAGGAAAACAGGCCAACTCTAGGCCTGCATGCTGCTCACAGCCTGGCAGCCCAGTAGCAAATGTGCTGCCACCGGGCTCCTTGGGCTGAAACCATGAAGCATGAGCTGGCCTGGTCTGGGCATCTCTGTTGGTCTGCTTGGAGGGCACTCTGGATGAAGCCCTCATTTGATTTCCTAACAGGGCTGAAGCTACTGGCCAGGCCGTTGGTTGAGATGGAGAGTCTGCAGGAAGGGAGGACAGGGCATAGAGCTGGTCTTTCCTAATGAGCAGAAGGAGCTGCTATTCCTGCAAGCAGGGGTTGGAAGGGAGAGGCAGTGGCTCTCTTCACACTCCCTTATCTGCAGTTAGAGGAAATCTTAGCAGATAGAGCAATGGGTTCTGGCTTTTGCCTGCATTAATGGCAAGGAAAGGGCCAGCACAAGGGGCCAGTTATGTGATCGGTAGGAGTGTGGGCTGAACATAATGTTAGTTCAGCCAGAGGGCCACTCACAAGAGAGAACACCTGACAGAATGATGAAATGATGGAGCCAATCAACCCCCACACAGATGTATTTTCTCTTCCCCTATGGCACAAATTTTCAGGACTCTGATTTGCAAGACATGGACCAGAAAAAGACAGCCTGCTTTATGTGTGGGGAGTTTGCACAATTAATAATATAATATTGCAAGGGCCAGCAATTTGATGGTATTTATTATTCACATAATTTAAATCATTGCCAAATGCTAAAAACAATATAGTCCACCCCACCCAAATCAATATAAACATATCCCAAATACACAGCAGAACTTTCTCCATATTGTTTTTCTTGACAAAGCTGAAGAAGGGAGACCCAACTTTTCATGCAAACTTCTGGCATCTTCTTTTCATGTTTTTCACTAGAGGAAAAAAGTCTGGTTCTTTTTTCCTGGAAAGATAAATTTTTAATGAATGTAAATGTTCTTTCAATTCCTTGGTTAGATGGAAGGGATGGTACAGCTTGGACAGCCAGCCTCCGGAATATAATTGACTTGCTTCTTGTTATTTCTTTTCCCTTTCACTACCCAGTGAAGCACAAATGCTCTCAGCTTGTGCCTTTGTTTCTGAGCTTGTCATACCCTCAGCCAGCAGATACAGGTTGCCTTAGAAGGGAACACTCCTGATGAATTGGCCTCACTGCATTGTCTTCTAACAATGGAAGCAGGTCTACTCTGACATATCTGCTCTTCACCCTGCTTCTTCTTGGCATTCATTAAGTTTGTATTTATCAAATATCTATTATGTGCCAGGCACTCTTCTATTGAATCCTCACAACTCTATGATGTAGCTTCTATTATCATCATCACCCCCATTTTACAGGCAGGGAAGCTGAAGCACAGAGAGGTCAAGTCAATTGCCCCAGCTGATCCATGACCAACTTGGTAGCCCGGCTCTGGAGCCCATACTCTTAGCCACGACAATATTCCGCCTCCCATAGCATCTAAAATCTGCTAGACATTGTGTGCAAAAAGAGTGGGTGATGGAGTTGGGCTTGGGACAAATGCACAATCTGGAAGGAAATCGTTTCTAACCATCTCTTTTTCATTCCTATGGACGTTGCCTCCCAGGGCTGCTCTCCAAGCCCCAATTCTTTTGCATACATTTGGGCTTCCACTTCCACTTGCTGAGATATGGTTTTTCCCACTGTGCTACTCAGACAGGGTATGCAAGTTGCATTTGACATTTCTGCAGGGTCTGTGGCCCTTGGTTTTGAGACTGAGACAGGGCTGTGCTTCTTCCCTTGCCTCCTCTGTCCATGTTCTAACAGGAGCTCTGCAGAGTGGCAAACACTCCTGTCAAAGAAGTCCAAGGGAACAGTGCAGCCACTTCTCAGGGTATCCACCTGGAGAGAAGCCTGCAGCATTAAGCTCACCTCTGAGGGCTGCTTTAAGAATGGAAGAAGGACCTATGTTCTGCCAGGCTGTGCTGCAGTTGCTATGTCTTGGGTTAAAAGTCTGTTTAGCCTCACCAGACCCATCATCACCAGTCCTCCACATTATAGACCACAAAGGCCCTACAATTGCTATCAAAGGAACTGATTGTTTTGATCTGGAAGCCGTCAGAGTTCAATCTGGAGTCATCCAGGCAGCTGCATGTTGTATTATCCGCATCATAGGGCAAGGAGAGAGAAATAATAGACTCTTCGGTAGATTTCAGTTCCCAAATCATGACCTCCATGTGTAGAAAATCAGCATTGTAAATAATCATTATTATCAAAGAGTGTCATGTATTAAGCATCTACTGGAGTGTGAGGCTGGGCACCTAGTCAAACAAATCCCTGTCAAGATTTCTTTGACCCAACGGTGGGCTGGGTTGTGCCCTTCCTTCCTGCTCCCATAAATGTCCTCTGAATAGCTCTGTCACTGCATGCGATGATGCTGTAACACAGGTGTCTGTCTTCCCCATATGACCATGAGCTCTTTAGGGGCATGGACTACTCTTCATCACCTTTGCTTCCCCAGTGCCTAGCAGCCCTGGCATACAGTTGGCACGTAATGCAGGTGTGCTAAATGTTCATCTTTTCTTCTTTCTTTCTCCTAAATTTAGTATTTCTCATGACCAAAGCCAACCCTTGCCACGTGCAGTGCCCCATCTCCTTCGCCTTCTCAAGGACTCCCTCCCTCACTCAGTCCCTCTCCTTCTTGCATCTGAAGCTCTTTCTTCCTTCCCTGGACCATTCCCACAAAGCAGAAAGTGAGCAAACCCATATTCAATTATCCTTCACTCCTGAAATCTCCCCTGGACCTCACACTCTGTTCTGGCTGCCATTCCACTTCTCTGTATCCCCTCCTAGAAAAATTGGAAAAAGTTGTCTGTACACATTGCTTCCACTTCACCTTCTCTCATTCACTCTTGAGCCTACTCTTTCTGGTTTTTACTCTCTGGTTCCAAAAAATTGTTTTGCCCTTGTTAAGACCCTTGCCAGTCTCTCAAACTGCCAAATCTTGAGGTCCCTCTGTCTCCATCTCCCCGGAGTTGTAGGAAGCATTCCACCACAGTGGCCTAGTCCAAACTTCTCCAGATTCATTTCTCTTCAATATGGAGACAGGGTACCATGCACTCTGTGGTTTTCTGCCCACACTTTTCTTCCAGCCCCTTCCCAGTCTTCCTGTTAGCTTCTTCCTCTTTTCCACTCCCTAAATATGGAATCCCGTCCTTGAACTTTCTCTTTCTGGGCTGTACTCTCTTTCATAATCTCAATTCTGAAAAAATATAGCTGACAATTCCCATATTTATACCTTCAGCCCAAACCTTTACACTATATCCGACTGCTAACTGGCATGTCTCATAGGACCTCAAAACGACACAGTCCTGAACCTCTTGATGTCTCATTATTCTCCCCACACCACATCCTCTTCTAGTCTTCTCTGTCTTAGTAACTAAAACCTCTGTCTACTTAGTTGCTCAAGCAGGAAACCTGAGTGTCATCCCTAACTCCCCTTACCCACTCTATTGGAGTGGTCCTCCCATGACCTACAGATTTGTTCACTTGTTTCTTGTCCTCTTGCCTCTCTTTCCGCAATCTGAGGTCACCGAACATTGCACTGGGCTTTAAGCATTCATTGACTGATTAGACGGACTCGGTCCACATGCTCTGTTGGATGAATGGATGGATAAAGACTGGTTGAAGAACAGGAAAGGCCCAGAGCCTTGGATTCCCAGACAAAAGCATAGCCTCCCAGTCTTCATGTCAAGAGGCTCTCCCCTGGTTAGCTTGATGACATTGGTCATCGAAGTTAACCTTCCTAACACTCAGTTTCTTGATCTATAAAATGGGACCAGTAACACTTAACTCATGAGGTTATTGTAAGGATTCAATAGCATAATACCTAGAATATAGTTAGTGCTCAATTCATGTTTAATTAAAAAAAATACTTGTTAGGCAACCACCCAACCATGTGATCCATTATTTTTTTTCCTATTGTTTTGGCCTGTGTCGCACCAAGCTTGAGGTGAACGTAAACAACATAACCAGGAATGAGTTCACGAGCAGAGTCATTGCCAGTGAGTCAGAGGAAAGAGTGATTTCCAACCCTAATCGCAGACGTGGGAAGAGCCTTGCTGTGCTGGGAGTGACTGGAGCTCGGCTCTGTGGAGCAGCCACATCTGCTTGGGTGGGGGCGCTCTTCCCCCATCTCTGTCCTGCATCTACCACAAGCTGGGCTTTGCCACTGTCTCCTGTTCCTGATCCCAGGGGGCAAATGACGGATGGAACCGTCATAAACAAGAACAATGCCTATTGTGCTCTGCTTAGAAATGGCCTGTGTTCTTTTAAAAAATATGAATAAAATAATATACTGAGCAAACTGGGTGGTGTGGAGGATTTGTCGATGAGAATGCAAATGAGCATGATGTCACTTCTTAGCTTTGGGAGGAAAAAATGAGTGATCCTTGAAATGGTCTTTTTCTACCGTTAGGACAGGAAGGAAAAACCATCTTTGGTAACAAAAGATCAGAAATTGCCTCCTGAGCGCTGCCTGGCTGCTTCAGAAGAAAAGTCTGTGTTTAGGAAACCTCTTATTGAGGAAAGAGTACATTTTGGGGGGCCTGTACAGGGAATTTAGTGGTATTTGTTGACCTGATGAGATGAGAAATAGTTGAGGTATTAAATCGTAAAGGGAGGGCAGGTGTTATCATAATAGGACATTCCAATTCATCGTCCCTGGCCTGGGCTGCATGCAGCCAGCTACCCGCTTCCCAGGCTTCTGCTCACGGGAGCTTCAGCTTGGCCTCAGCTTATGCGGAGTGAAAGCCCAGCCACTCCTGATGGTGACGGCATTTGCAGAAAATTGTACATATTGTGCAGATCCATCTCCTTTTCTTGCCCTTCTTTCCAAAGAAATGAATTCACTGGGCACTTATGAAAATAAATGACTGATGGGAGAAGGCTGGAGCCAAGCCTTTTGTAGGCAAAGGGATCTGAGTGCAGTTTCGAAGCCCATAGCCAGGGGTCAGCCATCCAGGCCACAGGGTCCAGGGGCCCAGATTCCCATGGCCAGGCCAGGTGTGAATGAGTCTGAGCCCAGTGAAAGAGGGAGAGGGAACAGAGAGGGATGGCCAGACCTTGCCTTCTTTGATTTCTAGAAGACTTCCTTTGCTTGTAGACACCTTTTAGCAGGTGGAGGGACAGTTGTGGGGCTGTAGGGGCGGTTTCTCAGAGTGTGAGGTATGGGAATGTGGATGTAGCATTGATTCACACTTGCTGTCTGCTGTGAAAACAGTTTAGAGGGAAGGCGGGGCTGCTTTCAAAGAAAAACAGGTGAAATTCATTGGTGGTGTGGTTCTCCTCTTCTCTGTATGCCACTTTTCCCCATTTCCTGGTGCCTCTGCCGACCTTCCCAACCCCAGCCTCCCTTTTGGGGGAGACTTGCTCTTAGCTGGCTAGTAAGGAATCGAGCCAGCAGAATGTTAACGATGGGAGGCAGCGAGATGTAAATAAACCCGGCTCTGAGGATAGGTGGGCCAGGAATCAGATCCCTGTTCTGTCACTCATTAGCTAGCAGACCACTGTGAGTCATTTAACCTCAGTGCTTTCCAATCTGTAGAATGGACATCATCATGGCCACCTCACAGTGTTGTTGTAAACACAAGATGAAATCATGAGTGGTGTTGGCAACGTTGTAGTCATTTAACCCTTCAAACAACTTTATGAGATAGGTCCTATTATTACCGTTATTTTTCAGTTGAGAAAATGGTGATGCAGAGAAGTTAAGTAATTTGCCCCAAGTCACACAACTTGCAAGCAATAGAGCCTAGGCTGAAACCAAGCAGTTTAGTGCCAAAACTCGTGTACGTAACCACTGGACTCCACTGGACTCTTAAGTTGAATCTTTACCTGTCTAATGGCCCAGCAATTCTTCAGGTATAAATCCTATTGCCTCCGTCAGAAAACATATACAAGGCAGCTCACAGCAGCATTGTTTATAACAGAGCCCAGATTGGATACAACTCAATTACCCATTAATAGGAGAATAGATATATAAATTATGTTATATGCACACAATGCGATTAACAATGGTTACAAGTAACAACATGGATAAATCTTAGACCATGATACGAAGTGGAAAAAGCAAATTGGAAAATGCTATATAAAGTCTTAATCCAGTTTTATAAAGCTCAAGAGCAAGCAGAACTAAACTATACTGTTTAGGGATATACACGTGTGATAAAGCTACCAATAACAACAGCAAAAAACTAATAAGAAGATGAAAAACAGTGGTTACTTGTGGGGATGGAGAAGGATGACACAGGAGTGGGGTGGGCAGGCTCAGGTTCTTCTATTGGGGGGTTCACAGATGGCCATTTCCTTATTAAGCTTACATCTCTGCTGTGTGTATTCCTTTGGACCTTTCAAATATTACACAATAAAATTAAAGTGTTCACTATCTCACATGTGTTAACTTTTACCTTTTTAGCTCCCCACCCCCACCCACCTCCAATAATGTCTTGTAAGGTTTATTGCAAAACAGCAGAGGACAAGATAATGACCTTTTTAGTGAGACAACAGGCCAGGGCATGTAAAAGTCACTGGAAATTCCTTTAGACTCTGGAAGAAAGCCACAGTGCACGGGGCTTTCTTGTTGTATTCACTGGGGACCATGGGTCTTATTTTAGTTTTGCTAATGCAATAAGGTTGTAGTGCTGAACAGTGCAGGCAATCTGGGTGGAGTGAGCAGTCAGGCTAGGAAGGGTTACTTTTGTTCCTTCAAACCGCTCTTAGTTCCTTTGGATGTGCATGCTCAGCTAGAGGTCCAAGGAGTTAGCCAGAGAGTGAAGGAGAAAGAGAGTAGGAGAGACAGATGATAACAGGTGCACCAGCCCAGATGTCACTTGCAGGGAGTTCCTGCAGAAGGTGCATGGCCACGGCAGATGCTGGGTGGACAACTCAGGTCACTGGCAGTGACTCACACAGAGGAACCAAGGCAAGGAGAGCACAGGTCCTTCCTAAGAGGGAGCAGTTGAAGGAAGAGGTTGGAATTTGAGAGACTAAACTATTTCACCCAAAATGACTGAGAATTAACTAAGGAAAATGCGTAAATGATTGCACTGGACCAAGATTACTGGAGTGGACCGGAAGCGTGCTCATGCTCATGAGACACTCAGATAAGGAACAGGCAGAGGTGAAGAACTCGCGTTCCTCTGCATGACTGAGCTCCACTGTGAATAAATTTGCAATCCAAATACACATGTTGCTTCTCTTCATTCTCCCCCACTACCTAGATTTTAATAGGCACCTATTGAAAATCTGAAAAGTTATATAACGGCCTGAAAGGGTGCATTTCTAATGGTTGAATTTCCAATGCTGGTGATAGACTGAGAGATAATTTGACTAGGGAGAGAGCAGGGCTGGATTAAAGAATTTAAAGGCTAAAACACTGAAAATATTATAGTATGCTTTCTTACGTTATTTAAAAATACATGTGATTCTAAGACATAAAATAATGGTAAGGAAGTCCAACAGAATTCAGATATTTCTCATGATGGCTGGGATTAATTTTTAAAATAAAATATTAAGTGTCAAATTTCATTCAAAAGATGTTTAGGTGTCTTTAGCAGTTACCTTGTCTATCTCCTGGATAATTTAGTACTCATAGATCATGCCAGCCTGGGCCATGGTTCCCTGCACAGTATTTTCTGCTTTCTCTCTGTGAAGGCTTGTTCAGTGGGGTAGACTCAAGAGGACATGGGCTTTTTAGGCAGAAGACCAGATGCCAGCCCCTGCTCTGAGCGCTTCGTATAACCTTGGGTTTTTCATATAATCATTCTGAGCCTCAGTCTCCTTATCTATAAAATAAGGATAATAAAAGCTCCCTCACAGGGTGGTAACACAGATCACATGAGAGAATATAGGGAACATGTCCAATAATATTGATTTGTATTACAAAAATATTTTAACCTGGGTGTTTTCAGAAAGTTAATTACAACCAAATGCTGGTGAGAAACAACAGGAACATCCCTGGAATGAATGCAAAGTGGTACGGCCACGTGGAAGACACTTTGGTACCTTCTTACAAAACGAAACAGAGTCTTACCATGGGATCTGACAATCGTGCTGCTAGGTATTTATCCAAAGGAGTTTAAAACTTACGTCCACCTAAAAACTTCCATATGAATGTCTATAACAGCTTTATTAATAATTGCCAAAAATGAAAGCAACCTAGATGTCCCTCACTGGGTGAATGGATAAACTGTGGTACCTCCACACAGTGAAATTTTATTCAGTGATAAAAAGAAATGAGGTATCAAGCCACAAAAATACATGGACAACTTAAATGCACATTGCTAAGCAGAAGAAGTCAGTCTGAAAAGGCTAAATACTGTGTGATGTCAACTATATAATATTCTGGAAAGGCAGACAAAAGAAAGTTCAGTGTTTGCCAGGGGTTGGGCAGGAGGAGGAGGAGAGAGATGAATTGTGGAGCACAGGTGTTTGTTAGGGCACTGAAACTATTCTGTATGATCATGTAATGGTGGATACATGTCATCACACATTTGGCCAAGCCCATAGAGTGTACAGCATACAGAATGAACTCTAATGTAAACTAGGGACTTCAATTCATAACAATGTATCTATATTGGCTTACCAATGGTAACAGATATACTACACTAATGCAAGATGCTAATAATGGGGGAAACTCAGGGCAGAGGTTGGGAGGGAGAGGACGTACATATAAATTTTATTTTATTTTACTTTATTTTTTGAGACAGAGTCTCAGTCTGTGACCCAGCCTGGAGTGCAGTGGCGTGATCTCTGCTCACTGCAACCTCCGCTTCCCGGATTCAAGCGATTCTCCTGCCTCAGCCTCCTGAGCAGCTAGGACTACAGGCGTGTGCCACCACACCTGGCTAATTTTTTTAAAATATATTTTTAGTAGAGACGGGGTTTCTACTAAAACCCTGTTGGCCAGGCTGGTCTTGAACTCCTGACCTCAGGTGATCCACCCTCCTCGGCCTCCCCAAGTGCCAGGATTACAGGAGTGAGCCACTGTGCCTGGCCAGAAATATGTAGAAATTATTTGCACTTTCTGTTCAATATTTCTGTAAACCTAAAAATCCTCAAAAAAATGAAGTTTTTTAATTAAAAAGAATTACAGAGCCACTTCAACCACCAGTTCTTCTTCCCCCTGTGCACCCCAAGAGCGTACATCAGCTCTTTGGAGGGGCATGTAGATACCCCATGCCAGGCCAGCCTCCGTACTGCCAGGCTCGTCCTCACCCTGGGTAAAGGCTCATGCAGGCATTGGGAAAAGCATGAATCAGAAATGAGAGTACATTTTTCACGTTGAGCTAGTACCTTGTCTGCTTATGTTGCCATTCATACAGCCAGTAATAAGCCACTCCACTGTCATGTCTTCATTTAAATTGTTATTTAGACTAACCTTTCAATGGGACACGTTTTTATCCATGGGGTCCATGGATCTTATTTTAGTTTTGCTAATGCAATAAAGTTGGAATCCTGAACATTCTTTTCAGTCTCTAGAGGTCATGAAGGGAAGAAGGGGTTAAAAAAAAAAAAGGCAAGACACAACATAAAATCAGACTGATTCTATGTTAAAATGGTGAACAAAAAAACCAAGGACTTGACCAGATGAAAAGAGAGGGGCTCGATCCATGTGAGTTCCCTGGCTTGCTGATCCCAGACTGGGCTGACCCAGGGCATCAGGGCTGGGGATTGTCTTGGATGGAAGGATCTCATTCTGCCCGTCCTGTCCCGCAGCATTGGGTGTGGAGGAAGGCTGAAGGAGGGGACGCGCAGTTGTGGGTAACTGGCCTTCACCTTAAATATAGCAAGTTACTTGAATGGTGCGATTTGAAAAGCCTCCAGTATCTGCTGCTGACATCTGAAATTCCCCTCCTTCCTCATGTGAAGTGCCTAGCTGGTACCCACTGGGTGATTGGGCACTAGAAATGTTGGCACAAGTGCCCTCTTATGTTAAGCATTGCCCCCAACCCTGCTTTTTATTTATTTTTATTCTTTTATTTTTATTTTTATTTTATTTTATTTTTGCAACAAGGTCTTGCTCTGTTGCCCAGGCTGGAGTGCAGTGGCATGATCTTGGCTCACTGCAGCCTCAACTTCCCAGGCTGAAGCTATCCTCCTACCTCAGCCTGGCTGATTTTTTCCCACCCCTGCTTTTTAAAAATGTTGGTGCTCCAATTAGAGCTGTACCTTAGGTAGAGTACATGAAAATCTGATTGTTGGCAGAGCCCTCGGACTTAGAAAAAGATCTGCCTGATTGGGGTTGTGAGCTAGCACAGAGCAGGAAGTGGGGAAGGGACCAGGGAGAATGTTTCTGGGGTGGAGGTCATATCAGGGCTGGGGACAGAAAGGCTGATCCTGTGAAGATTCTCTGCACACTATTGGAGGAGCTGTCTGTTGCGGGAGGGAAGAAGAAGCCTCATTCAGATCCCCCAGAGCCCACATTCGGGGCCACCTGGAGTTAGCAAATCAGAGGCTTGGGGATGTGGCACTGAATTTGGGGCTGTGTTACTGTGCAGGGAATATGAGCCTAGGCTCTGAATATGGGACCAATTTGAATTTAGATCCCACCTCTGCCACTTATTGACCTCTCTGAGACTCAATTTCTCATCTATGAAATAGACTAATAACAACATTGTTTCAAAGAGCTGTGTTGAGCATCAAATGCATCTGATTCTCAGCGTAATATCTGGCACAGAGAAGCACTGGATGCTGATAGTTTTGGTGGCGCGGCTGTTATTGGTTGGAAGAATCTGCTGGTCAGTGTCGGGGGCCCTTCAACTTCTGCTTGCAGAAGCCCGATTCATCTGTTACCTGGGAAGCTAAACTGTCCACACCCTTCTCCCATGGTGATCCCCAGAAGAAGCTCTGAGGGGGCACTAGAGTTTTATTAGTGGCTTACCATGGCACTTAGTCCCAATCTACTCCACAGCCTGTGACAGCTGGGGCTGTGTGATGGGGCTTCTGATGGGGCCCTGGCAGCGGGAGTCTCAGCATCCAAGCACAATCAGCACTGGGTCGATGTATATGAGGAAAGCACAGAATCACATGGTTGAAAAGAACTGTAATTGTAATGGAAATTCAAATCACTCCACTGAACCTGTTTTCTGATTCGTATTTTGTCCTTGTAAATCAGAAGCACCGGGAGCAATTTATTTCTAAACATCAACACTCCAGAATGCAAAGAAAAATGAAATAATTGCATTCTGACTTGCTCAAAATGATTCATCTGCATGTACATGCTGATCCTGAGGGCCTATGGACACTGCAAAGTAACACATGGGCTGTTTGTGCTTTTGCTAACTCCTGTGTGCTCCTGGAGAGGTGGAGGAAGGCTCATATCTTGGGGCCAGGTGGATTTCTGCTCCCCACTGTGAGAATCTGATGACTGTGGAAGTGATGGCTCATTGCACCCACCACAGCCAGGTGGAGAGGAAAGATGTTCCTGTGCCTGGGGGCTCCAGGCAGCATCTGTGCAACCCCCTTCTGCTTCCCTGATTCATGAGCCCCCAAGGGTGGCCTGGAGAGGCCACCAGGTGGCCTTCCCTCTCTGAGATCCCGGGTGCACAGCTCCTTCCTCTCTCAGAACACACTGATTCTTCCTTTTCTTTCCCAGATTTCTCCCTTGCCAGGACCCTCCCTTATTGCTTGCTGGGGTTCCTAACCTGCTGGCTGATGTTCAGGGTGCCTCCTGTGATTCTTGTCCAGGGCATTGAGTATCCAGTGGATGGCAGAAATGAATTCTCTGGACCCCAGAAAAGCAGAGGTAACCAAAGAATTAGGTAAACACATTTTGGAAATAATTTTCCATTTGATGTTTCACTGAAATAATTATCATTAGGAAAAGCAAAACATTGGAGGGTTTCCTTGTGCTGGCTTTATGGATTAGTATTATTTGTAAGTACATTTAGCCTGGAGCTCAGTGGGGAGTGTGGGGGAACCCATAATATTTTTAACATGTAGAGCCTCTAAATTTCCCACTGTGGCCTGCCCTTCCAGGTTCTTCCAGGTCCTTTTGATTTCTAAGGTTCTAATGGATGGGTGGCCACTTATTTGGGGTTAGCATAGGGGATATCCTTAGAGAAACCATACGGAGCAGCATTAGCCTGGGAAACATTTTTTGACTGAGGAGGCAAAATGCTATAAAAAGAAAGAACATGGGTTTGGGGTCTAAAGCTGGGTTCAGTTTTGTAGTGGCTCTGTGATTTTAATCATGCTGTGTCTCAGTTTCTGCATCTGCAAAACGAAGAGTACAGTGGGCCCGCCACAGAGGAGCACATGCAGGGACACACACGAAAGGACTTATGAACTACCAAGTGTGAGTGTGTGTATCATCTGTGTGTGCCTGTGTGTATCTGTGCGTGTGCATGTGTGCATCTCTGTGTATCTGTGTGCGTGTGCACGTATTCGTGTGTGTGCATGCATGTATCTGTGCGTGGATGTGTGTATCTGTGTGTGCGTGTGCATGTACCTGTGTGTGCATGTGCGTATCTGTATGTGTGTGTATGTGTGTACCTATGGGTATCTGTGTGTGTGCATGTGTGTATCTGTGTGTGTATCTGTGTATCTGTGTGTGGATGTGTGTATCTGTGTGCGTGTGCATGTACCTGTGTGTGCATGTGTGTATCTGTACGTGTGTGCATGTGTGTACCTATGTGTATCTGTGTGTGTGCATGTGTGTATCTCTGTGTGTATCTGTGTATCTGTGTGTGCATGCGTGTATCTGTGTGTGCATCTATCTGTGTGTGCGTCTCTGTGTGCATGTGTGTATCTGTGTGCATGCATCTCTGTGTGCATGTGTGTATCTGTGTGTGTGCATGTGTGTCAGCTATCCCCCAAATTTCTCCTGAGTTATGAATTTTGTTGGAAAAATAAGATGATAAGAGCTTGGGGAAAGAAGGTGAGACTCCTAGGAACTTGAGCCCGTGTGGAACTCATCATTCTGCAGAAAACTAGGGAAGAATCTGGTTTCACTCCTTAGAGCAGGGAGCCAGGAGGAAGGAATGGGGTGGAGCAGGAGGAGCCGGGAGAACCAGAGAGATGGCAGAACCTTTTCTTCCTCCCTGGAAACCCCTCTGCCCCCAGTTTTTATTAACTTCCAGTAGAATAATGGAAGGCTTGCCCTGAGTGATTTCTTATGGAGACACTAAAAGGAGCTAAGTCTGCTTTCCAGGGATTGGGGAAGTAACTGAGCAAATACACCTAAAAGCGCAGGAGCCTGGCTGGGATGGTGAGATGCTGGGACTCAGGGAAGGCATCAGTAAGTGGTCTCAACTCCAGCTGCTGTAGAATCATCTCAGGAGTTAAATGACACTCCCTAGTTCAATCAATCAGGATCTCTGTGGGTGGGGCTCTGAGCATTGGCATTATTTTGTGAACCAAAGTTGAGGACCATTCCTGACACTGTTGCAGGCCACCTCTAACCAGATCTCCAGGGGCTGGGCCCCGCTGCATCTAGGACACATCAGTTATGACTCAGGTCTGGCATCACCAAGAATGTACTGGTGATCTCAGGGAAGTAATCTAGACCAGCTGAAGACTAATTAACTTGGGCCATTTAGAATCTGACTCCGTGAGACAAAGAGCCTTGGACTTGGTATCCCAGGGCCTTGGAGCAGCCCTGTGTCCTCATCTGAGCACTCAGCCACTTGCTTGAGCTCCTGCTCTGCCTTCTAGTCTGGGGAAAGATAGGTTCTCACAATAAAGCTGGAGCTTGCATTGTGATCACCCGGGTCAGAGGAGCTTGAAGACTGGAGGCTACAGAAACGGTCTCATTAGGGCATTAGCATAAGTGGTACAGAAGGCAGGTAGGGAGGTCTCCAGGGAAGGATTTCTCCCTTAATTAAGATTCAACTGCAGTGAAATATCAGCAACCTTATACCTCTTGTATGTACCATAAAAAAGTGCTAGGATTCTCAAATATCCTTCTCTCCTCCCTTTTCTGCCTGCAAACAGCATTTGATAGTGCAACCTTCAGGATTACCTCAGGAATAATGAGCTCCAGGCACCCTTTCAGCTGCATTAGTGAGGGAAATGCAACACTCTATTCCTGGCACACAAACAGGCCACCCCTACAGCCAGGTGTGAACTCCAGGCTTTCTGGCTGCACAGAACCATTCAACCCCTGGACAATGAGTGAGCAAACTAGAAGCCCAGGTATCACTTTTCAGCGGATTTAGCTGTGATGGGGGATAATGGGATGGTGGAGCAGAGTGGCTGCATTCTGAGCCACAGCTGTGGGAAGCTCTGGTTAATAGGATGTCTGCTTGCTGTTGGAGGTTGGTGAGGGACAGGGACATTTAGGAGTGAGGACACGGGGAACACTGCTTTAGCAGCTGATATTTGTGGTGCATGCGTGCCCACATACCTGACATTTGCAAAAATCCAATCCCATTGGGCTTTCTGATTTTTAGAAAAACCTTGATTAACTTGAGTGCTTGAAAAAGATGTAGATTTATGGTTACCTAAATATATTCTGCATAATTGGGAATTAATGAGAAACTCCACCCCTTTTACATTTCAATTTTTATGAAAAATATTTCTTAAATACACTAGCTCTCTTTTCTATCCTAAGGATTACAGTTAATTGACAATTTTTGGGTCTTTGGGGACATCAGCCTGATACATCATTTTTCATCAATTCATTTACTCAAATGTTTTGAGTTTCCACTTTAAGTCAAACACCATGTGAGCTGCTGGAGTAATGTTGCCATAGGTACAGTCACCGATGGGGATGAGGTAGCCCCTGAATACAAATCTCAAGACAAATTCCATAACTCAGAGTATTTCTGTGTGGGGTAACCATCCCCAAATCTCTCATATGTGGAAGTCAGATGAGAAAACAATTCTACCCCAATATGAGCCATATTAGCACCAGGATGCAGTGCAAAGAGCGCATGGTTTGCACGAGAGGCCCTGGGTTCAAATCCTTGCTCTGCCACTCACCAGCTGTGGGACCTTGGCCAGGCACTTTCTCTCCTGGCCCATTTCTTCGTCTGTGAGATGGAACTGTTACACCTACCCTAGAAAGTGGGAAAGGAATAAGTGGCAGACACACCAGTGGACAGCATAGCTCCTGGCCTGTAATAAATTCTTAGTTAATATTTGTTTGAAATACAAAGTCATGCTGGGAGTAGTGGTGCATCTGTAGTCCTAACTACTTGGAGGATGAGGCAGGAGGATCGCGTGATCCCAGGAGTTCAAGGCTGCGGTGAACTCTAACTGCACCATGGTACTCCAACCGGGCTACAGAGTGAGACGCTGTCTCTTAAAAAAAAATTGAATCAGTATCCTAAAATCTAAGAAAAGCAAAAGTAAGATTTCACCTCACTGTCTCCAAACACCCCCAAATCAGTTGGTTGAAACCTGATTAATTGCTATTCCATAGGCAAATGATGCTGCCAAACAGTCATTTGTGGCTGTGAGGAAGAATGGCCAGGACAGTAGACATTCAGAAATTCAGTTTTAATGTCACAGGTTATGACTGTCGTTTACCAGGTGCCTTAACCATCTGCTTGCAGTTTTTCTTCCTTTCTTTGCCTTGGCCCTACCTCACCTGGAGAAGTTAACCAAAGAGGAGTAAGAGATCCTCCAGGTGGAGTGGGCCATGGTCAAGGCAGGTGGGGGCAGAAACAAAGGAAAAGCAGCCCAGGGAGATGGCGTTAGTGCCAGGCGGCCCGTGGAGAAAAGCTTTCGCTATACTGAAGGTCTGTGAATAATGGTGATCATTCAATGCCATTAATTAAAACATTGATGAGAAAAATATATCACTTTCCAGCTGGGTCCATAGTCTGTGTGGCGTCGTTCTTCTCATGTCTGCGTGGATTTTCTCTGTGTCCTCCAGCTTCCTCCCACATCCCAAAGCTGTCACATGAGGTGACCTGGCATGTCTACATGGCCTCAGTGTGAGTGAGTGTGGGCATGTGTGTGTGTGAGTGACCCTGCGATGGGAGGGTGTCCTGTCGGGGGCTGGCTCCCGCCTGGCACCCTGAGCTGCTGGGACAGGCTCTGGGCACTGCAACCCTGAATTGGAATAACTGGATAAGTAATTATCCTACTCTTTAAATCAATCTTTCTTAAATGTATGTATAGATCTTTTTCAAAATGCTTAACATTACGAGTATTTTGGTCTTTGTTTAGTTCAGTGATATTTCTGTGACCAGAAATATGCCATAGGAACTTAACTCTTGTTTATATCAATTAGCCTGTGGGAAAATTGGCTTTGTTATATGGTGTTTTGCTCAAGGTTGTAGTTTCCAAGAACCTATCAATGACATTAAGTGAGGACTTACTGTGTAAGGGAGCTGTATTCCCTGGAAGCTTCCTACATGGGTATTACAGAGTTAGCTAATTGATTCCTCCATTCACGTGAAAATTAAGTGCCAGCCCAGATAAGATTCCAGGTGCTTTGAGGAACTGAGAAGAGACTGAGGGGGCACACCTGGCTCTCTGCAGTGCCCAGTCTGAGGGGTCCAGCCCTAACTGATTAAACGCAACATATGCTCCAGCAGTGGCAGGCTCATGGCTCAGGGGACTTCATAAGAAAGTGTGAGACGTCCATGCTGTTTAGAGGAAGGTGGAAAGGCCACACAGGGATGAACACAACTGAGCTGGGCCCTGAAAATGAGGAACAGAGATCACCAGGCACAGAATTGGAGAAGTGGCATTGGAAGTAGAGGAAACCGTGTGTACAAAAGCAGCAAGGTATGAGAGGTGCATTGGAGAGGTGCCTAGTCGCATGAGGACTGGGTGTCAACAAAGGATTGGTGTTAGGAAACTCTTACCTTCCAAAGAAAAAAATATATATTCTCTCAATCATATATATGTATTATACATAAAAATAAATATTTATTATTGTACATGTATAAATAAATCCCACTGTTAGTAGTGTTAATAAAATACACAAATTATAGTATTTGGCTACTGTAGAATCAGATTGAGATTAGCTGGAGGAAATGGCCTCTTAATGAAAAGAGGGCTCCCACCCCAGAATGATTGATCTAACTTTCCCCACACTCTTCCCTCAGGCAATTGCTGGCTGTCACCTGTGCTGTCCCCACACCGCCACCCCCAACTCAGTACATGGGGTTTTTACCTCTTTTCTAACCTGCTTGTTTTATGTTCAATTTGTTTTAGCTATCAACTAGATACACTCAAGGGTAAGAGCTCCATAGGGACCTGGGATGCTACTGCCACACATACAACATCTATATCTGTTGCCAAGGCAATGGGTAATAACATCAAATTGGAAGCGGGCCCTTTGTGGTCAGACATAGCTGAGTGGTACCTTGAAGAGTTATCCAAACCAAAGAGGGAAGACAAGTGGCCTTTGTGGTTATGCATGTGTCTATGTGTGCATATATGTGTCATCTATGTTTGTAAGTATGTAGGCATGCATGTTTGCTTGGGAATACATGTGTGTGTGTTTCAGACACTCTGGCTGTATTTCAATAAGGGCATGTGAGGTACAGTTTATATCCCAGTCAATGGCCAGCAACACGCTAGGAAATAAACCTGATGAAACCAAAAACCTGTGACCATTGAGGTCTTAATCTGTGAAGGAAATTACAGTTTAGGAGTGTGTGATTTCTCAACTTGCTGTCAAGAATCTCTGAGTTCTGTGGAGTGCAAAGTCTGAAGATGACCTTTTCCTGGCAGAGGCGAGAGTGGAGAAGCCTATTACAGAGCATAAGCCAATTTACTTTGTACAAATAAGTGGCAATTTTCTTCCTAAAATACATAAGGGTGGAAGGGAAATGTGTATAAACTGAAAGATTCTCTCCTATGGTAAATCTCCTCTTGTTTGTGGAAAGTAAAAAGACAGCAACCCACTTAGACTCTTGTGGGAAGATGTCAGCAGAAGTGAGTCTGAGTCCTCCGCTGAACTTCACCTTGACAAATATTTCTGAAACTGGTTTTTGGTTGGGGAGGAGGAGGAAGTAAGTATATGAGTAAATATCTCTTGGCAAAAGCATTTTAGTGGAAAGAGAAAGGAGCTATGAAATATACCTCCCTGCTTTAATTTGTCACTTCTTTTTGTTTAAAAAATTCATGAGTGTTCGTAGGCTGAAAGTAACTGAAAATCATAGATCACAACCTTTTTTCCAAGCAGTGGCTCACAACCTGAGAATGTTCAGATCCCTAACAGTGGATAAACTATGTTGGGTGCAGGCTTCAGGATTTCCTTAGGTTTTCAAAGGCACCACTGATACAAAAAAGGTCAAGACTCACACTCTTGTGACTTGTTCCACAATTTTTGGCTAGGGGTTAAGATCAGAGGGTGGATGAGGTCGGCTCCACAATCATTTTGGTTGTGGGAAAGGGTTATGAGGAGATTAAGATTCAGAAAAGTTGGCTTATCATTTAAGGAGCACAGTTCATAGGGTCTGAGGAGTTTTAGCAGGTGTGTGGTAACCTGCAATGTTTTCGTAGGTGTGTGGTAACCTGCAATGAAGGAGTTATATGTGTGTGCATGTATGTATTCATACATTAATGTATTAAGGTAACATCTTTGTATTCAGATTAATCCCTTCATAAATTAATACATGAAACAATGCAGTGATGACAAGTGTTCTAAAAACTATAGAGGACTTGTTTATGAAATTAGGGCTCATACTGAAGGTCAGGAGAAGGGCTGCCATTCATCAGTCAGCATTGATATGGAGAGGGAAAGGAGATTACCCTATTACAAGTCATACTGGGTGGAGGAGATTTAATTACTCAGATGCTCTTATGCTCCTCAAAGGTCCTAGTGCACCTCTTTAGACAGTTTCCCACACAAGCCTCAGCCCATCTCATCTGGTTTTGTTCTGAACCCCAAGGTTCAGTCAGGTGCGCTGTCCCATCACAGGAAAAGAAACCTTGAGCTGATTGCAGACTGTCTCTAGGTTGTCATCCATTAATTAATGAATAAATTAAACAAGGCTTTTCCACTCTATCATCTTGTCACCTGAAGAACATTTATTTTCAGGGTGATTGCTAAACTCCACAGTACAAAGTATGTAATAGATATTACGTTTTTATTTACTACTATGTATGTAAATGAAAGAAAGAAAAGGGAAGGACAGGGAGAGGGAGGAAGAGAAGCAAGGAAGAAAAACCAAGGGAGGAGGGAATTCTTGATAGTCTCTGTCTTTCACGGTTTTCCTGCTCAGCTTATTCATCCAAGTTCCCACTCAGCCCCCAGCAGACCAGAGAGTCAAACCCAACCCAGTGGGCCTGGGCAGGTGCCGTGCCATCCCCTCCACCTTCTCCGTGCGGCCTCTCCCTTGGCTGTCCTCTGAATGTGCCTGTGCCCCCAAATCCTCCCTTCAATGACATCAACAAATTTAAAAAATCCACACCAAATCTGTCACCTGTCAAATTAAATGCCTGAATAGTCACCAGCCTGGCAGTTGTACAAACATCCAGACCTTGAATCCCAATTTGAGTTTAAACTGCAAAAAGACACAAAGAGAGGCTGGGGACTGAATAAGATGAAAGGCCAGCTCAGATCTTCAGGGAAAGCTATTGTCTTGATTTTTCAGCCTTGATGAGCCTCATGGAGGTAATAAAACCATGAATAACATTCTCCCTCATGTGCTCACAACAACAATATGACTACTAATAGTGAGGCTAATAAAAAGGACATATTGCCTTCAAATGCCATCCTTTGCCTCTCATTGTCCCTAATAGCCTTGGGGCCCTGGGCTAGCAGTCATCTTCTCCTACAGATCTCTATCTGTAAACTAGGTGGGTTGGCAGGAGAATTAGTCCTCTTCAGTCCTAAGATTCTATAATTCCATGACAGGGAGCTCAAAAAGTTTGAGTAATTATAGAAGTCCTTCCTGCAGCTAGATATGGCAGTTTCATGTAGTAGTTACTGTCACAGGTTTTTCAGTGATACTCCCTGAGTTGAACTCCTAGTTGGACCATGTGTTGGCTGTGTCTCCAACTCCTAACCTATCAGTTAGGGATAATACGAGCATTACTAGGTAAGGATTGGATATTAACCATGTTGTATATTTATTTATTTATTATACTTTAAGTTCTGGGATACATGTGTAGAACGTGCAGATTTGTTACATAGGTATACATGTGCCATGGTGGTTTGCTGCACCCATCAACCCATCATCTAGGTTTTAAGCCCCACATGCATTAGGTATTTGTCCTAATGCTCTCCTCCCCTTGCCCCCCACCCCCAACAGGCTCCAGTGTGTGATGTTTACCTCTCTGTGTCCATGTATTCTCATTGTTCAATTCCCACTTATGAGTGAGAACATGTGGTGTTTGGCTTTCTGTTCCTGTGTTAGTTTGCTGAGAATGATGGTTTCCAGTTTCATCCATGTCCCTGCAAAGGACATGAATTCACTCTTTTTTATGACTGCATAGAATTCCATGGCACATATGTGCCACATGACCACGCTGTACTCTTCAAAGGGGATGAAACTGAGACCCTGCAAGGATAACTATCTTTTTCCAAGTTCCCAAGCAGGTTTGGGAGTAGGACGTGGTCTGGGAAGGGAGGTAGGCTGACTGCCCCAGGCCCCACCTCCTGCTAACATTTTATTTTCTCTGACTCCCACTGATAAAATCCTATACTTCTAACAAAGAAATGTCATCTGAAATTTTACAATGGAGCACAGGAAATTGCCAGGTCACTAAGGTGAATTATGGGCACATTTCCATGTGGTGGGAAAGATGACAGGAGAAAGGACAAACCTGGGGAATGAAACTCTGCCATGTACACATGTTCTAACCTGTATTTTGGCTTCTAGTGGTTGAGACCTCATTAGCTATGTGTTTAACCATTCATGTCTAACTATTCAAATTTAAAAATCTGTTTCAATATAAAAATATAAAAAGTCACCCCAAATCTCCCAGTGATATGTGCACCACGGTAGGGAACACAGGTTTCGTGCATTCATAGACACACGGAACCTCATGCAGGTACCCAATTATGCTGTGCCCTTCCCCATCTCCATGCCTTTAAACTTGTCACAGTTCCTGCCTGGAGTGCTTTTCCCCTTACCATTCACCTGGATTTTGAAAAATCGTCCTTTAACCCATTTCTAGGAGGCTTCTGAGATTCTTCTACATGTCTACTCTGATGTGGTTGGAGAGTCCTTTAATGGGTGCTGCTGATGGCTATCGCTGATGTAGTGTTTACCCACTACCAGGCACTCTGTTAGGCACTTTACATATATTGTCTCAAATAATAGTCCTCATAGGAAGGTGACGAAAGGAAGCTCAAGTTGTGTGACTAATATGCCCAAGGCCATGGGCTGCAACCTTTTTATCTGTATCCCTCAGTGCCTGGCATGGTGTTATTTTTCCCAAATGCACATTTGTGTGAGGCTCAGCACTGGATAAATGGGGAAAGAATGAATGTCTGAACTAGTGTGGATTAGGAGGAAGGTGAGCAAAGATGTTGCACTGCAAGTGGTAGATGCTCTCCAGGCCAGCTGCAGGACTGCAGATACTGACCTGGGGTTGAGGAGCAATTGTATGTAGTTTGGAGAATAGGGCCCTCATCTTGAGGCTGGGAGCATAAAGGAAAGAGGGATCCATGGAGTAAGAGGTCCCTTCAGGGGAGTCATTAGCAAAAGAGAATACTTATTTGAAAATTAAATGTCTTCACTTCTTTTCCAGGAGGCTCCATGACCTGTTTTTGGCAAGCTACAATGGGGGTGCAGCTTTCAAGGAGTCATTTCAGCAATTTAGTCCTTGCTCCAGGGCTAACTCCCCCTCCCCTGCCCAATGTGGTGGGAGGGCTCTGCTAAGATGTAGAGCAGTTATTAAGGCCTTAAGATAAAGGCAGTTTTTCATGGGGTCTGTTTTTTTCCCAGTGACCTCCTGAGGCAGCAGACTCCACAGGCTTACTGCAGGGCTATACAAAAAGGTATTTTATGTCCTTAGCCTTATAAATCAATTTTAATTGTAACAACAGAAACATCAGCAGCAAAATGGAGCCAAATGGGCGGGGGCCTTTTTCTGCGCTTTTTAACCATCTCAGATTAAATGCTGAATTGTATTTTGGGGTCTGAGTTTTGTCATGCAAACGAAGAAAAACAACTTGCTTTCCAATTTCCACATGCATATATAGAATGAATTGTTGAGACGGAGAATATATTTTGCCATCTCAGTGCTTCTAGAAAAGATAAGGGGCTCTTGTAAAAAGTTCTACAATTTGTCAGCTGGCAGCTTATTAAATACCCAAAACAAATGTTTATATAGCATGAGAAGGCCACTGTCAAGGTCGGGAGGTTCCAGAATGGACTGATTCTGCTTTATTCATAACTGTTTGAAAAATCTCTTGTTCTTTTCTTTCCCCCAAAAAACAAATGCAACTATTCTGTTTTCTTTGCCTTAGGAAAAAAAACAGGCAAGGAGCCAGCCCTTGTGTACAGGCCTCTAATAATAAACCCGCAAGCATGGCTAGTTGTTCAGCAGTCATGAGCAACCCTACAATAACAGAGTCTCACAACATGGAGGCTTTGGCTTCAGCAAAACCTTCATTAAGGGGTGGCAGAGCAGAGGAGGGTCACCCAGTCATGAAAACAAGCTCTGACTCACATGCCCTAGGAGCAAATGAAATTGGGCAGGAGTCTGAAGAGAAGATGGAATCTCCTCCGTGCTCTAGGAGGTGCGTTATAAAGCCATAGGTCTTGTTAATAAGAGGGACCCCAATTCAATCCAATGACCATTTATTTAGGTGCATACTAAGTACAATGTATGTTGGGTGACACAGAAGACAGACAAGGAACTGACCGTGCCCCCCAAGGATATTAGAATCTGAAAGGGAGATAGGGTAGACAGGTACTTAAGTAACTGCAGTGCCATGTAGAATAATAAGGGTTATAAGTAATAGCAAATGCAAAGAAGGGAGAGGCAACAAGAACAAATTAAATATTCTCATTCCTTTGTCTTTAGACCAGTAACTTTATTTGAGAGCTTTGTTTAACTAATTAATTAATTCAATCGCTGTATGCTAACTGGAGAGGTTAGAGGACTCACAGAAGTCACTAGCTGCTTAGAGGTTAGGGGCACAGTGCCTAAGGCCCCGCCCTGTACAGGGCTTTGCTATCATCCCTGCCTCTAGAGAAGAGATTTGCCCTCTCCAAGATCTACATGGCCAGTTAAGGTGGGATTACAGACAAAACCCTCCTGATACTGTCTCCTGTCTCCTTGCATCTCCCTCCTTCCCTTCCCCACTCAATCTCCAGAATCTTTTCTCACATCCAGTTAACTTGAGATGGTCTGAATTTTGGCAAACGAGGTTGTCCTGGGGCTCTGGGGGTCTAGGTGTGAAAAAGTTATCTCTCTGTGATGACATGTCATTCGCCTCAGCTTGTTTCATGGCTCGAAATAGATGTCTCTCATTCTTAATGATGGCCCAATTTGGTTTGGGAAAGGCAGCGTGTTGAGTCACTGACCACTCAGGGCACTGGAGCAGCAAAGTGAAGGATGATGGGGAGGGGGAGTGCTGTCATCCCCTTGCTCACACTGGACTAAGAGCATATAGTTCACATCTTCTGTAAGCTTGGAAAGTTATCATTTGAAAGTTGTTGCTCTAGAGTGCCTTGACAATCTAACAATACAAAATAAATCTTCTATTCACACCTCTCCAGCAAGCCAGGATCCCAGGAATATGCAGCAACAGCGGAAATCAGTGATAAGCTCCCTGTTATGTTGTCAAAACTTACAGCAGCTTCACACTGCCCTGATTACCATATATTAGCTTTCTGCAGACACACAAGGACTTGCTGGGAGGCCTTTCTTCTGGTCAGCACTTTAAAAATATTTTATGTAAACCCCCAAGTCCCTTTGGATCCTTCCAGAATCTCGGATTTCCACATGTTTCCAAGCTCTAACATGCTCCTCTCGTTAGGTTAAGTAGCTTGCAAACACCCCGTAAATGGGAGTATGGAACCGCAAGGAAAGACAATAAGGCCAGAGATCATCTCTGTGCTCAGGCCCTACACCTGAGCATCCCTAGCATTTTAGAGGCTGCTTGCAGCCAGAGGTCTTTACATTGAAGAGGGAAATTGCTTCCCAAGGAAAGGCGCAGAAATGGCTTATAAAATGGGCATCTGTTTGGAGGAGTAATGGGAAGAGATGAAGACCTCATGGACTACTGAGTCTGAAACACCAAATCGATCAGGGAGGCCGAGCAACAGAGAGCAGTTTCCAGCTGTGGTTGCAGTTCTGACTGAAACCCTGAGAATATGATGGCTGTTCTGGAGGTTGTCTTAAGCCCCTCAAGCCCGGGCTCTCTCCCTGACAGCTGTGGGTGTGTGTGTGCACACTGGAGTGTGTGCAGGGAGGAGGTGGTACGTTAATGAGCCTTGCAGCCGGTCTGACAAACCCCATCTGCTTCGTTCTCTTGGCCACCCAAGCTGTCTGCCTTCCCTGGCTACACCCATGGGCACCTGGTGGCCCTGCTGAGGGCCAAATAGGAGTGTTGACATCCCCTTCTAAGCTCCCGCAGCAGCCAGGCTCTTAAGCAGCCAGCTAGCAACTCCATGTGTTGTTACCCCACCTGACAGTTCACAATTCTGTCTTTCCTCCTGCTGAGAATTCTTCTGTTTTCCAGGAGGTGTCCCTAGTACCCTTCCCACCCGCTTTCATCCTCTTTCTTCAGAGAGAACTTTGACCCAGAACCGAGTGACTGTTATGGAGCTACGAGGTCCTTGTCTGAATTCTCCGTGTGGTTGCTGGCCTGTAAGCTCCAAGAGGGTAGGGGGCTGTGTCTGAATTTTGGTTAATTGCTGCATCCCTAGAACCCTGAAAAGTGTCTAGCACATAGAGTATTCTCATAGCTGTTGACAAACTGGACAGATACATGAGTAATGAATAGGAACCTGTGCATTGGACGGGGACGGTGCCAGCTACAGCTGACCCTTCCCTCACAGCATGCAACGTTAGCAATGAACTTCTTTTTTTTCTTTTTCTTTTTTGAGATGGAGTTTTGCTCTTGTCACCCAGGCTGGTGTGGAATGGCATGATCTCAGCTCATTGCAACCTCTGCCTCCTAGGTTCAAGAGATTACTCTGCTTCAGCCTCCCAAGTAGCGGGGATTACCGGCGCCTGCTACCATGCCCAGCTAATTTTTGTACCTTTAGTAGAGATGGGGTTGCACTATATTGGCCAGGCTAGTCTCAAACTCCTGAACTCGGGTGATCCACCCGCCTTGGCCTCATAAAGTGCTGGGATTACAGGTGTGAGCCACTGTGCCTGGCCAGCAATGAACTTCTAAGAGAAATCAGATCAAGCCCTCAAACATTAATTTACAGTCAAGAGACAATCTCTGAATTCAGCCCTCCCCGTCCCCCAGCACTGGTATTGACATACTGCAGACCTTCTATTGTTGGTGGCAAATATGAGCAGGTTAAGGCACTTTTCGGGATTAGAGAATCTTCAAACTCAATATGCATAAGAACAATTTATCCTGATGACCAGATATAATAGATTCTGTTCATTAAGGAAACTGCTTGCCATTTGCTACTATTTAACCCATTCTTTCTATTGTGATCATAAGAAGAAGAAGGCCAAAGGATCATTAATTTCCTTACTTTGGAACTTTGGGGTCCTTAGGATAGCGCTGTGTATATGGCAGGCACTCATTACTATTGTTTTGTAGATGTGGCTGGTGATAATAATGAGAAGGACTGGGGGAAAACGAAGTATGCTCTCCAGGCTAACCGTTGGTGGTTTAGGCAGACGGAACTCCTCTCAGGATTTATTCAGATTCAGTGACAGCACTTCTTGAACTCTGACACCACTCCACAATTAATATTGTCCACTGAACAGAATGGTGAACCCTGAGCATCTTTCCCATGAAAGGCAAGACAGATGCACACGAGTCAGTTCTGCCACTCCAGTACTCCGCACGGTGTCTGGCACACAGTAGGCACTTCACAAATGCTAACAACAATTTGACAACTAGATTGCAAGCTGTAGATTTCAGATGCAAGGCAATGGTTAGTAACTAGATTTTCTTAGTCCGCCCTGACTTTGGGCCTTTGTCCATACAGCACCACACTGGGCGTCAGGGTCCTTTTGTTGGGATGAGTGGCTCTGTCACTCTTTCACTGAGACCAAGGCTCAGGCAATCAAGCAATGCATTTCAATCAACTTCTACAATGATCCAATTTCTGGGTCTGGCTCTGTTTCTCTATTTCCCAGTTACTTGCCCAAGAACATGGCTCCATCTAAAGGAAGTGGCCTACGGGAATCTGCGCACCTCTGCTGTGACCGGGAAGCTGGGCTCTCATTGGAGGTTGTTGGGCTGCAGTTCACGGCCCAGGTGAGACCACACTGCAGAACATAATGTGCAGATCAAGGCAATGATGCCTGTTTCTCCATTTCATTAGCCACAGCTCACTATGTGTCAAGTCTTGTTTTCTCCAGTTTAGACTCAGAAACTGACTTCCATCATTGAAATAGGGCTCGTGTCTCCTTGTAGTAACTGCAAGGCTTTAGGGAGGTAGAAAAAATTTAGTGAAAATAATTCAGCAACTCGTTTGAGCTGAAAATAACTTGATTCAAGGACTGTGCCTTCAGATACTTGGGAGGCATGAAGATGAAGGCATTTGCAGTCTTGTTTTCCTTTGTGACTGGGGCATTAATAAGGCTTTGGGATTCACTTCAAAATCATTAAAAACATGTTCACTAGTCCAAAGCACCTCTCCCACCTGTGTATGAAACAAATGAATTGGTGGGACCTTGGATCCTCGTAGTTTGCTGCTCCTGGGGTAGTCCCTCACTAAGCTCCTTATCACACATTTGCACTGCCAAGATGATATTTTTGGTTAAAAAGTTATAAATATTCTGGACCAAAATATTACCTTGAGATTTTGTCCACCTGACATCCACTTCATTGAGTGGGAATTCTGCCCAAAGAATTACTGAAGAATGAATTCCCCTGTTTATTTAGAGCTTGATATCTTCATAACCATTTTGACTAACATTAACCATTTAGTCATTAGGACCCAGGAGCACAGATAATTGGTATTGAGGTTCACATATGTGGTGAATTTCAAGCAAAGAGGTCTCAAATATGAATAAGTGAATAGTGCCCTTAAAGCTTCTTATTCAGAATCTACAAAGTGATGAAACAAAGGCAAAAAAAAAAAAGGTGGGATCCCCGAAACTAGAAAAACCCTAGAAGAAAATCTAGGCAATACCATTCAGAACATAGGCACATGCAAGGGTTTCATGATGAAAACGCCAAAAGCAATTGCAACAAAAGCAAAAATTGACAAATGGGGTCTAATTAAACTCAAGAGCTTCTGTACAGCGAAAGAAACTATCATCAGAGTAAACAGACAACCTGCAGAATGGGAGAAAATTTTTGCAGTCTATTCAACTGACAAAGGTCTAATATCCAGAGTCTACAAGGAACTTAAATTTACAAGAAAAAAAAACCCGGTTAAAAAGTTGGCAAAGGACATGAACAGACACTTCTCAAAAGAAGACATACATGTGGCCAACAAATATATGAAAAAAAGCTTAACATCACTGATCATTAGATAAATGCAAATAAAAACCACAATGACATACCATCTCATGCCAGGCAGAATGGCTTTTTTTTTAAAATTAAAAAGTCAAAAAGCAACAGATGCTGGCGAGGTTATGGAGAAAAAGGAATGCTTTTACACTGTTGGTGGGAGTGTAAATTAGTTCAACCATTGTGTAAATTAGTTCAACCATTGTGGTCTCAAAGACCTACAGTCAGAAACACCATTTGACCCAGCAATCCCATTACTGGATATATACCCAAAGGAATATAAATCATTGTATTATAAAGATACATGCACTACATATGTTCATTGCAGCATTATTCACAATAGCAAAGACATGGAATCTACCTAAATGCCCATCAATGATAGACTGGATAAAGAAAATGTGATACATATACACCATGGAATACTATGCAGCCATAAAAAGGAATGAGATCATGTCCTTTGCAGGGACATGGATGGAGCTGGAAGCCATTATCCTCAGTAAACTAACACAGGAACAGAAAACCAAACACTGCATGTTCTCACTTCTAAGTAGGAGCTGAACAGTGAGAACACGTGGACACAGGGAGGGGAACAACACACACTGGGACCTGATGGGGGTGTGGGTTGGGGGAGGGAGAGCACTAGGAAGAATAGCTAATGGATGCTGGGCTTAATACCTGGGTGATGGTGGTGGGTTCATCGGTGCAGCGAACCACCATGGCACACGTATCTATGTAACAAACCTGCACATCCTGCCCATGTACCCCAGAACTTAAAAGTTGAGAGAAAAGAAGAAAGTAAAAGAAATAAAAAGGTGGATTCCTTTAGGTCACCTTCTTGCAGTTGTACCCTAAATTTAGAGGATTCATCATTGACATGCAGAACACCTAAACCTGTTGATCCATTCTTTTGGGTGTAAAGCTTTAAAAAAAAGAAAGTCTCTTACGGTGTTGGCTTATTTAAAAACAGATGACAAAAGACACCTGGCTTGCAGTTTTGTCTTTATTCTCCAGGACCATGAGGAGCAATTAGCTTTTACAAGTTCATTTCCATAACAACCTTTAGCACACGATATTTCTGGATTGAGTTAAGGATGGGGGCATCAAGAGATGACTTGGCTCTACTCAAGATTCCACGTGGAAGGAAGGGGCAAGCCTAGTGAATGAGTCACACCCTGATTCTGTTCTTAGCTCTCACTTCTCCCACTGTGTGACCTGAGGCACACAACTGACTTCTCTAAACCCTCATCTTATTTCTCTGTAACACGGGGAAGGATAGCCGCTATTTTGTGAGGTTGTGGAGGGGATGAATGGGACAAATTTTGAAAGCACACAGTATCTGGCATGTAGTAGCATTTCATAAATGTGAGCTATTATAATTTTATTTATTTATTTTTTTGAGGCGGAGTCTCCCTCTGTCGCCCAGGCTGGAGTGCAGTGGCGCGATCTCGGCTCACTGCAAGCTCCGCCTCCCACGTTCACGCCATTCTCCTGCCTCAGCCTCCCGAGTAGCTGGGACTACAGGCAGCCGCCACCACGCCCGGCTAATTTTTTGTATGTTTTTAGTAGAGACGGGGTTTCACTGTGTTAGTCAGGACGGTCTCGATCTCCTGACCTCGTGATCTGCCCACCTCGGCCTCCCAAAGTGCTGGGATTACAGGCATGAGCTGCTGTGCCCGGCCGAGCTATTATTTTTATCATGAGGTATATTCCTTGTTCTCTTTTCCCTTTGAGGCAGCTCTTGTTGACTCTTAATAAGCAAAAACCACACGACGACAGTTTTAACTGGCTTACGTAAAGTTCTTACAGATCCAGAGCTGAGTTCATCCACTACAGATGAAGAGGAATTAGTGTGTCTTTTGAATATTAATGAATAAATAACCTCTTTCCTTGTTATTTATTTGTATTCAAAATGCCATTGCTAGTTCTAGTGATAATTATTGAATTTTCAACATTTATAGAAAAACAGCATATACTGTATAAAGATAATTGCCGTATTGGAGTCTTAAGAAAGAGTTAGTTTTGTATAAATATGGAATGCCAGTAATTATCACTAGTGCTACATGTTAAAATTAGAAAGTAGGTAAATAACAAGGACAGTATGTATTCTTTATAATTCAAATGCATGTCAGCTCAATTATCCTACAATTGCATAGACAATAGGTGAACTGTTTTTCTCCTTTAAGGGGAAGACTTCTTTCCGAGTTTACGTTTCCTGAAGTTGAGTGAAGATTCCATGGTTTGACAAGCCAATAGTATGATAATGGGCAATATTATTTAGGAGTGGGCTGATGGCAGGTTTGATCTCTCTGTGCTTGGATTCACTGCCTCAATTCTGAATTATGTTACAACTGCTTAGAATTTTAAAGTTAGAGACCCGCTGTGGAGAAATAAAGTCCTGGCTATGTTTCCATTTTATAATCTCTCAGGCTGAATTTTGAGGCCAGACCTGAGTACAAATCTGTAACCCAGGAATCTCCCACGTGCTCACAAAGTTCCAAGGATACTATTTAATCTCCTCCTTTTCACCAACCCCATCTGCACCCCAGCAGGGAGGTCAGTGGCTACATGAAAGCAAAATCTAAGGCTCTTCTTTGCGCCAAAGCCTGGTCTCCATGTTGTTACAGACCAAAGCCACTCTGAAAGCCGCAGGAGGCTGACCACAATCAATAATCGTTCAGGAAACAAACGCAGGGAAGAGAAATAAGTGACTTATTGAAAAGGCACCCGGAAATGGCATTAGCACAGCACTGCTTCTAATCATAGACTCAGCACCTCAGAGGAACAGCTGAGCAGAGCCTTGTTAAACAAATGTAGATATCATGGGTGTTTAAAGGAAACACGTTACTTTAGGGAAGGAAGAACCTGTTGCATTAAAAATAGAGCTAAGGTAAAGAGCATGTACTTGTAGGCTTGCAGGGAGAAAAATAACAAATGAGGAAAGCCAACACTATTAAAATTAATAGGAAAGATAGAAAAATTAAGCAGCTGGACCATGGATAAACAGCAAAAAAGCCAAGTGTATAAAACAGCTCATCTAAGACCAGAGGAGGCAGAGGGGATAAACAGCTCACCCTGTTGAGGATGTTTACTTTTGCATCTGTCAACTGAAAAGGAAGGAAATGAGGATTTGCCTGAGTCAGAATGAGTTTCCAAGGAAAGAGGATGCAGTGTACCACAGAAAATGGTGGTGATGATGACAGCCAGTCAACAGAAGCTGATGGTGACTTAGCTGGCATGCTGGCCATGG
The DNA here is from genome assembly GCF_000001405.40 of Homo sapiens. Classification (NCBI taxonomy): domain Eukaryota; kingdom Metazoa; phylum Chordata; class Mammalia; order Primates; family Hominidae; genus Homo; species Homo sapiens. Next base: position 126,817,403 of record NC_000011.10, read on the forward strand.
GATGCGAGTGACTGAGGGCTTCAGCTTCCTCATTGTGGGGGACAGAAGGGGATGGTTTAGCAATATCCTCAGGCTTCTACCTTCCCATTTCTCCCACCAATCAGGCATTAGCATCCCCAGTCCTCTGGTGTCCTATGGTTGGAACCCCTGCTCGGTACTCCCTGTCCCATGCCCAGAAGGGGATGCCTTGCTTTCTCATCCTTCCAGCCTATGTGGCTGCAAAATGACACTTGTAAAATGACATGCAGAAGAGCAATGAGACCAATGCCAGATCCCAGAGGGGTCAGGGAGCTCCACCGAGCTTCCCTAACTTGTTCACATCCTGTCACGCTAGCTAATGATAGCATTTGTAGGGCAGCTGGAATAAACATGTGATGGACCCATATCTAGAGGTGACTCTGGCACTCTGGCTGTCCCAACCCCACCCTGATCTGAAGGCTGAGGGGGTCATTATGTGGACCCACTACAACCCACGGGTGGGAAGCTCTAGATCTTGGCACCCCGTCCTCTTGGCTCTGGCTGAGCCACTCAGCTCTTGAATCAGAGGCTTCAGCAGGAGGAGAGGCTCAAATGAGCCCAAGCTGATTAAGGAAGTGGCCATGCTCCACAGAAGGACAGATCAATCTTGATTAGAGTATTAGGAACGTTTCGAGGATGCCTCGACTTAGCAGACAACTGGCATGGTGGCTGTATCAGGGGGGCAAGAGCATCTGTCAAAGATCAGGTTGTAAGGTGAGTCTAAGTGTCTAGGGCCATGGACACTGCACAGCCAGGACAGAAGCCAGCTGCGTGCCAGACGAAGTGTTTTCACAGCTGGGGAAAGGAAAGGCACAGATTATAGGACAGCTGTTTGCAATTGCTTCTGGCCCATCAATAAGGCAAACAGTGACTTAGGAATGGGAAGAGTGAAGAAAGTAAGTGATTTTAGGGAGGCAGTGTGGCAGAATAGAAGAGGCTCAATAGGCTTTCACATAATGCAGAAGGAACTTGAATCCTGCCTCTGCCATTTACTAGTTGTGTGGCTTTAGGCACCTTCCGTAACCTCTCTGAGCCTATTTCCTCACTACTTATGATAACATCTCTTTTACGGAGTTGTTGCATATATTAAATAAAAACATGTCTATACCTAGAATACTATAGAGTTTCAATAAAATATTAACCATTCCTCTTTACTATGTATGCTGTTTAAAGCAGAAATTGTGTAGTAGTAGTAGTAGTAGTAGTGTGTGTGTGTGTGTGTGTGTGTGTGTGTGTTGGGAAGAGGGAACATTAGACTTATCTGAAAGTTTAGAAAATACTACAGAAAGACACATCCTTATTGATTGACAGATATTCTCCTGCAAACACTCTGTCTTCTCCCCATTGTGTAGACTCTGGAAAGTTATTGTAATTGTTGATTTCAGGTCAGCCTCTACTCTACCTGCAGCTTGGTCTCTGGTTTTCAAATTCTGTAGAAATTTTTACAGCTGTTTGACTTCCTTAGACATGAGACATGTACTAGATGGCAATAGCAGGGGACGTATCCCCTACACTCCTGTCCTGGTCCAATGCCTAACCCATGGGGAACACTCAATACATTTATTTGAACTGAAATGAACCTGGTTGGTGGGCGAGGCCGCTAGGGGTAGAGGCAGTTGGGGAGGAAGGTGGCAGCCATGTGCATGTTGGAGATATGTGAGTAGCTTTAGGTATCTGGACCCCAACCAGCCCAGTGAAGAGGGTAGAGATGCAAGACTTGTAGATATGACATCAGAGGGTGGCAAATAATCTGGGTCCCTAGCATGCTGGGCAGCCTGAGGCGACGGTCCGGTCAGCCAGGCTCAGCCAAGCCCCTGAGAGCATCTCGCAGGAGGTACCGTTCTGTCCCCAGCTGAGAGGCACTAAGGCTTTCCCAGCAGAGGTTCAGCCCTACCAGAGCCGCTCAGGGGAATGTGCAGAAGGAGGACAAGGGAAGCAACTACCTGACATCACTCTGCCCTGCTTGTCAAGACAAAACAACATGAATATTAATTTCTCAGGCATAATAAGGTGTGGAGGAGCAGGAGTGGGCAGGGCCATTGTGTGGGAGGCTGCTCCTTCCTGCCATTTGTCACCGGCAGGAGTGATAGATGGTTCTTCCAGGCAGCTTCCCAATTAGATGGATACAGCCACCCCAATTAAGAGCACGTTGGCCATCTGCTTCGCAGGTACGATGGCATTAGGTGCTTTGGGCGGGGCTCAGGCCAGACTTTGCAAGACACTAGAGGAGGCAGGAACGCTCACATACACATCGGTGAGCAGAGGCCACAGGCATCACTGAGGCCAATGCCTAGGCCTGTCAAGAGGATTGTACCTGCAGATAATCTGCCAATGTACTTATAGCCTTTTGCCAGACTCACTACCAATAACTAACAATTATCTGTAAGACAGTGGCTCTTGATTGGTGAGCATCAGAATTATCCAGGGAGAGTGTTTAAGAATACCACTCTCCCGACGCACCCCAAACATTCAGAGTTGGACTTTCCACACTTGATCAGGGTCCAGGACACCTGGGTTCCACTTGATTACGGCTAATTAGGTTATTTATTTAATGAACAGCTCATTAAGATAGTCATCTGAAATTTGAAGTGCTTTCAACAACTTTCATTCATTCTCTCATTCATTCATGTAAGATTTTTAGAGCACCTAACAGATGCTAGGCACTATTCTAAGTCCTGGGGGTACACCAATGAACAGAGCAGAAAAATCCCCCTGCCCCATTCATTTTGTTCATGTGAATACTTTCTTGGTGAGAGTGATTTCAGCTAGCACATAGTTTAGAGAGAATGCTGCAGAGGGAGGCAGATAGCTGAGTTTCAGGGTTAACCCGGAGTTGCAGAGTTGCGAGGCCTGCTCCTGAACTTTCTGAATGAAGCTTTGTAGCAAGCCTTTAAAAAAAAAGTAACCAAGAAGGTCTGAAGATAAAGCAAGCCAACCTTTTCCTGCAGGAAAAGATACACGCATAGAAGATCTGTGCAGCTAGAGCTAATGGCAGCTTCCATGATGATCCCAAGTGGAATAACTATATAAGGTGTGGATTCTGACCCAGAGGAGTTTATAATCTATCCTGGGGAAATGAATAAGACCCAAGAACAGAGAAGAATACAAACACACGATAAGAGGTAAAAAATTTTGTTGAAGGAGGGAGCAGAAAAACTTAAAGCAGCTGGGGCAGACTTCATAGCAGGCAAGTTGTAGGGTGTTGATTCAGGCCTGGAAGGATGGATGGGAGGGTCTGGACAGGTGGGAGATGTGGTGGGAGATAGGACAAGGCACAAGCAGAGTCTCAGCGGGCACAGCAGCAGGCTGGAGGCAGGACACAGAGGCCAGAGCTGGAGTTGAGGCCAAACAGCCCTGGGTTTGAATCCTCCTTTTGTCACTCACTGGCCGTTATAGCTGTGGAGAGGATACTTATCCCCCTTTTCCAGGTGTGGAAACTATGGGTAAGAGACATTGACAGCTACCTTGAGTTTTCGTGAGGACTAAAGGTTTTATATCTCAAGGACCTGGCGTGCCCCCAAGGTGCTGGATGGGTGTGTTTCGAGCTTACTAGGTCTGAGATACCACGGGCACACAAAATGTTTTTAAAGAACTCCAAAACATTCCCTCTTTATCTCTCTTGGGACTGCAAAAGGTTGATGCACTGGAATGATTTGTGGCTTCACTATGAATGGAGTCCCCTTATCGCAGAGTTCATTATCAGAAGGCTTTAGTGGATATGAGAAATGTTGTTTCTTCAATTCTCAGGGACAGATAAGCAAGCAATCTCAGAGGGGTTTTCCTAGACAAGGCTTCTCTCCCTTTTGTTAGGGCTGAAGAAGCTGGCAGGGGGACACCCCCCAGCAGTGCTTCTCACCACTGTAAAGCTGATAGAATATTAGATTTTCATGGGTCAACGGATAAACACAGTATATATATATATATATATATATGTAACTTCCAACCAACATCCCTTCCTTTGGAAAGGGCTTACCTGGCCATTTTTGGATATTCTTGCTTTTTAACCTGGGACCTTGTAGTTTTCAGGAGAAGTGGCATTTGATATGTGTGACCTGGGCAAAAATTATTTAACTATTAGGGTCCCCAGCTCCCTCATTTATAAAAGGGGAGACATCATTATTCCCATCTTACAGGGTGAGGTAGGCAGAATAATGTACCCCCTCCTAAGACATCCATGAATGTGTGAATGTGAATGTGTTATGTTACATGGCAAATGGGAATTAAGTTGCAGATGAAATTGAGGTTGCTAATCAGCTGAAATTGAGATGAGGAGAGTATCCTGGGCCATCTCGGTGGCCCAATGTAATCACAGGAGTCCTTATAAGTGGAGGAGAGGGACAGCAGAGTTCAGGTCAGAATGACGCAGGGTGCAAAAGATCCCACCAGCCCTAGTTGGTTTGGAAGATGGAGTTAGGGGACATATGCCAAGGAATCCAGGCAGCCTCTGGAAGGTGGAAAAGGCATGGAAGCAAATTCTCCCTAGAGTTTCCAGAAGGAACACAGCCCTGCAGACACATTGATTTAATTCCAGTGAAATGCATTTTGGACTTCCGACCTCCAGAACTGTGAAGATAGTTAATTAGTGTTGTTGTGAGTCACCCCATTTGTGGTGAGTTGTTACAGCAACAATGGGAAGCAAATGCAGAGTTAATGAGAGAATGACATATTACAATGCTTTCTTGATCTGTAACCTTGGGCAAGCCCCTTGATGTCTCTGTCCCTCAGCTTTCATAAGTATAATATGGGAATGATAAGAATGGCTATCTTATGGAATTGCCTAGTACACATGAAGTGTTGGAATGCTGAGACATAGTAAGGGCCCTGGAAGTGTTGGCTAACGGTATTACTATTATATAATTACTATTATATAAAGCACATAGACTGGCCATGTAGTATGTTCTCAAACATAACTATGCTTATTATTTGTTGTATGGGAAGGAGAAGGAGCCTTGGTGAGTGCTCTAGAACTTCTAATTTCAGTAGCTCTGCTTACAATGTAGGCACATATCACAAATTTCAAGGGGCCCTGCCCTTTTAGGCTTTGCCCAGTTCCTGTTTTAATAGGAATTTATGTTTCCTTAAGAAAGGTGATCTGACCCTGGGGACTTTTTGCAACTCATATAGTATTGAGGTTTTCCTTTCACTGTTGTACAACAAACTACCCCAAAACTTAGTGGCTTTAAATAACCACTATTATAGCTCATAATTCATGGGTTAGAAATTCAGGCAGGGCTTGGTTGAGTGGCTCTTCTGCTCCATGTGGCATCCACTAAAGTCATTCAGAGTTACTCAGCTGGTCTGAGCAGGAGGGAGGATGAGGAAGCTGATGTCTGGGTTGGGCTGGCCGGAAGAGCCAGGGTCTGGCCAGTGTTGTTCTCTCTCCACGGCCTCTCCAAGTGGCTTGCTTGGACTTCTTCAGAACGGGGCTTCTAGTAAGTTTCCAGAGACTCACACCTGCACCAGGAAACTCACACAGTGTTATATCCACTGTATACTATAGGTCAAAGCAGTCAGGTATACCATATGGATTCAATGGGATCCAATGACCCCACCTCTTAAAGGGAGGAATGTCGAGGAATTTGTGAGTATCTCCAATCCACCACTCATCTTTAATACTCGCTGGAGTATTTAATACTCACTGGAGAGAACTCAGGGAGTGAGAAACAGATGAGATGTGAGAGACTAAACGGTCCATCTGAGGCAACTCAGCAAATCCAGAGTCCATGGGCCTGCCTCACACTAACCATTCTGGATTCTACTAACATTGATTATCTACCATTTAGAAGGACTGGTGCTAGGTACTTTCATATACTTGATGTCTTTTGCTGCTTTGAAATGAAAGCATTATACTTCAGCTAAGGGATAAACCAAAGCCTGGAGGACAAGTGGGGGTGCAATTGAAAGTTGCTCATCTAACCTCCAGGGCCTTTGCTTTTCATTACAGGCTCATATAACCTGGTCTTTATGCCTCCATTTTTTCTGACTCTAGGCAGGCAGAATGGCCTCAGCAGGAATGCAGCTATGTTAGACATCTGTGTCCTGGGAGACCCTGGGGCACTTTGAATCCTGGTCAGAATGGACCCTAAATGAGCTCATGTTTCTAAAGTGCTCTGAGCTCCTCAGAGAGCAGAATCCATTTAACTCCAGAGCCTGGATGGTCTCATTGGTGGGTCCCTGCAGTGGGGGACATGGTTTGTCACTGCTAGCACCAGGCTGGGACCTTGGATAAATAGGGAGAAATCAGTCTCCAGGCTTCTCTATCTGCCATCTTTTCAGCCACAATAAATTAATCTTCAGAAAGATAGAAAACAACAAAAGAAGGGAGAGGGGAAAAGAAACAACGACCTATCTGACAAGTCTGAAAGGAAAACAAGCTTTCTGCTGCTACAGTGCCCCAGGTGAAGTAGGGGGCTCAAGCTGGCAGGTGGGTCTGAAGGAGCAGACGAGGCACCCTGGTGCTAAGCACACTCCGGGAGGCCGGGGCAGGTGGGCAGGGACCAGGTGAAGAGCCAGGGGGTATCTTGCTGGAGCTACCTGTAGATTGTTCTGGATTTGTTAGCATCTCTCAAAATAAGATCAACTTGATGCTGATTAAAGCTGAAACACCCCACAAGCCTAGCATGCTGAGTGTCTGACTCTAGGGCCCCTGAACAAATTGTTTTCCCTTTTCATGATGATCTTTGTGAACTCTTTGGTTCAGCGTGGCTCGCCCATGGGGACAGGGCTGGAAATGGAAGCACAGGTTTCCTCTTGGCACCTAGCTGTCAGAACTGTCCCCAGGCATCCCAGCAGGAGGGAGACAAACAAGCATTCTCATCCGGCAAGCTGATGTCTGCATATGCAAATGGACTGAAGGACCCTCAGCCTTGAATCCTATTCAGAAACAGTCTACAGAGTGCCTACCTGTGCCAGGTGCATTCACAGAAATGATTTCATTTCATACAACAGCTCTGTGAAGCAGCTAGGTATTATTTACCTAAGATTTGTTATAAGGACGCTCAAGTTCAGGGAGGGTAAACAACTCACCCAACGTCACACATCTAGCTGTGGCTGAGACAGGTCTCAATCGATCCAGAAAGTTTATTTAAGGATGCATGCCCAGGAAGTAGGTCTGTGCCTTTTTCCAAAGATGATTTTGAGGGCTTCAATATTTAATGGGGAAAGGGACGATGTTAGGAAAAGAGGAAGAAATTTTTAAAAGGTGTGGGTAAATCAGAGACAAATGGTTGCATTATTTTGAGTCTTTGATCAGCCTTTCACTGAATACACAATTATATGTGAGAGAGGGTAGAAGAATAACCATTTATGCCTTGGTCTGGCTCAGTAAATCTGCATTTTTACCTGAGAGGAAGCAATCAGATATGCATTTGTCTCAGGTGAGCAGAAGGATGACTTAGAGTTCTGTCTTTTGTCCCGCACCTGTGAAGACAAGCTATTGATTTACACTGTCGGAGGTAAAATTCAACAGAACCATTTTAGGGTAAAGATCTTGAGGCCCACAAGGAATTTCCTCTCCTAGTGGACAAATTGTGAGGGACGTATGTAGCCTTTTTAATCTTTGTAGTTATCTTATTTAGGAATAAAATGGGAGACAATTTGACTGATGCAGTTCCCAGTTTGAATTTTCCCTTTGGCTTAGTGATTTGGGGGTCCTGAGATTTATTTTCCTTTCATAGTGATTTCCAATGATAAATATGGGCTCCTGACCCAGTCTAGGGTACTTTCCACCAACCAGTAGCTACAGGTAATGTGGCTGTATGTAGACCAATCAAAACGAAGCGCTTGGGCATAAAATGCCTCTTGAAATTATGCTTCATGTCTGTGCACTTGACCTAGGACAGGAATTTTAAACTTTGACAGCCTGGTGACGCTATGACCCCCTTCTCAGAATAATGTTTTAAAATATGAATATAAAACAAAATACCTAGGATTACAAAAGCCAGTTATTACATTGAAATACAATTATAAAAATATTAAAAAACAAATTTGTGGTATGGTAATGTGCCTTCTTCTTTATTAATACAGTGAATAATGAGATCTAGCAAAGGTTTAATAATGACTGTAATTTCAAGTAGTGATGAGCATAAATAACATTTTGAGATTTCTGCAAAAACATTAACATGATCTGAATATACCTGAGATTTTAAATGGTGATAAAAATCACAGGCTACTGCTGTTACCACTGGGTTTGTTGTCTATACTTACAAGGAAAGGGAATACTACATTCCTGTTAGAAGTTACTGAAAATAAAATGCGATCTTTTTCCACCATCCAGGTTCATTGGTCCCTTTGATTCCCTTGGGTCAAGCACTTTATGTATTTTTACACATTTAATCCCCACAGCAACCCAGTGAGGTAGGTACTTCCACTATCCTCGTTTCACAGATAAAAAAACTGGGGCACAGAGGGATTAAGTAACTTGCCCAAGGTCACACAAGGCCGCCGAGTTGATACGTTAATCAGGTTGTCCTTTTCTCTCCAAGGGGGGATTCTGCAACCCTCTTGAGGAATAATCATATCAAGGAGAATCTTCCTTTTGGATTTTTCCCAGTTGGGTTCAGCCTTTTCTAGTCACTCCCCTTCCTGCAGAATTTGTCGAGTGCCGGTCCTTCCTCTCAGCCTGGTTAGCTCCTAGTCACTCATCAGATGCCCCCTTTCCAAAGAAGGCTTGAATAGTTCCCCACCCCATTACGCTTGCCCCCAGCTCTTGGATGTCTTCCCCATGGTATTTGTGAAACCTCTGTCTGTGTGGTCATTAAGTTAACACCTGCTTTTCTTGCTAGATAGTGCACACATGGGACAGAATTCTGCCTTGTTTTGATGATCTCTATATCCCTAACACCTAACTGTCTGTCCGGAAAAATTTAGATGCTCGGTAACTGCTTGCAGATTGAATGAATGGAGAATAAATGAATTACTAGTCACAGATGTAAAACTGATTTCCTCATCATGATTACTGACTTCCTTGATTTCCCATATGACCATGCAGCCAATCATCAGCTATTTTTTTTATTGCTGTTTATTAAGTGGGTCCCTTTGTCTCTCTGGCCTTCAGAGCATCATTCTTTCTCTCCTGTGAACCTTCTCCAATTTTTTAAAACATTATTTCTGCTTTCGACTTCCTCTCGGCCTGCTTTGATCTTCCACGTTCTGCGTGGAAGTTATTTCTGCTTTGAACTTTCACGGCTAAGAAGTTTTGGGAAATACGTGTTGGAGGTGTTGGGAGGTATGACTCCACACAGAAGCTGGCTCTCCTTCAAAGTTCTGTGTTCTGGTCTGCAGCAAGGTAGAAGCCTATGGGGTTTCAACCTGACAGCACCATTTCTACTCACCTCTAAGAATGTAGCTGTGAGACAGGATTCAAATGTTTAGACTGGCAACAAATGAGTATCTATCACGATGCTTAAAGTGCTCTCCCCCAAAACAAATGTTGTCATTAGGACATTTAATTTCTGACTCTAGAGTCTCTCCTGCAGAGGGAAGACTTTCTTCCTCAGCTTCTTTGCTGCAGTGTTGAAAATGAGGCAGAGTAGCAGAGGTCATCCCCCTCCCTTTTCAGGCTGCTGGGATTATGGTGGGCAGAGGGCTTTCCTTGTTCTGCTTTTGGGGTGCTCCCCACCCAAGCTGCCTTTAATTTTGTCTGTATTTTCCTGTTTTACTGCTTGGTATTTGGATAAGCTATAGAGAGGAACAAAATGACATTCACCCCTCAGAGCCCCCAAATGTTAAGAATCAATATGGAAGTCTTCCCAGATTCAGATTTTTTTTTTTTCTTGAGATGGAGTCTCGCTCTGTTGCCCAGGCTGGAGTGCAGTGGCACGATCTTGGTTCACTGCAATCTCTGCCTCCCATGTTCAAGTGAGTCTTCTGCTTCAGCCTCCCGAGTAGCTGGGGCTACAGGTGCATGCCACCACACCCAACTAATTTTTGCATTTTTAGTAGAGATGGGGTTTCACCATATTGGCCAGGCTGGTCTGGAACTCCTGACCTCGTGATTCATCCACCTCAGCCTCCCAAAGAACTGGGATTACAAGCATGAGCCACTGCACCTGGCTGATTCAGAGATTTTATTACATTTTTGGGGGGCATTTTAGATTACCTTAGAGAATGATAATATTGCCTCTTCTAGGGGTGAGAAAAACAGTAATGCACTTTCGAGGATATTCATTTGAACCAGTTTTGAAAATAAGTCTAAAGGATTTCTAAAACCATATAATGTATGGCTGCACCATTACATAGGTGGGCATATCCCAAAGTGACTGCCTTAAAGTCGATAACAATCATTTGGGTATGTAAGTTTAGGTGTGTCATTTACTTTGACTTGCACCTGAGTAAGTGAAAGGGGTTCCAGGTATGGGAAGGAGATCTTCAAATGACAGGCAGCAGAGAGGGGCAATTTTCTTCCTGTTTTTATCTGAACTACTCTGAAAGAGGAGAGGGCACTGCCTTGTCATCTGATTGCCACTGGATAATGTTCCGATAAATGACACAATGGTAAGAGCATTGGGTTTTGGAATTAGAATGACTTGGATCCAATCTTAGTGGATTTGTGACCTTGGGAGCAATGTGACTTATCTTTTCTGACACAGTTTCTCATCTGTAAAATGGGGATAATATGACTTACCTCAAAGATTATTATGACCATTAAGTAAAATAAAGTATGTGAAGCATTTAGTAAAGTGCATGACATATGGTAAATATTTGCTAAATGCCAGTACTTTTAAAAAGAGGTAATTCATCCGATTCTTCATCACCCATGCTGTTTATTACTCAGTTTACTGAGTGCTTTAACAAGCAGGGTCCCAGTTAATCCCAACGCCCACCCCCTAGAGGGCACATTCTTTTCCCTATTCTGAGCTGAGAAGCCATGCTGGCAAGGTGATGCGACCTGCTTGAGGTGGCCCAGGTAGTGGCAGGGAGGAGAGGTCTGAAAGGCAGGTCTCCTGGCCTCATCTGGGGTGACTTTCCCTACATCAAGCCTTAGTCTCTCCTACAAAGTCATCTTGGAAGTCACTGAATAAGGGGATCTGGACTTTTTAGAATGTGGCAGTATAAAATAATATGGAATTCTAAAAATGAGTGTGGTTGTCTAATGTGATTGGTAAACAGCAGGACCAGGGGAGTGGGGGGCAAGACAGGTGTCAACGCAGCAGACATGAAGGGTGCACTCTGCTGGGTACAGATCTGCCCTCACTGGACCCGAGAATGGTGCTTCCTTAGGTCTGCATCCCTGTCCTAGTCTTGCACGTAGGCTCTGCAGTCACGCTTAAGAATGCCTGATCAATGGCAGCTTCTGGAAAGACTGCACAACCTTTAAAAGTGCCAGCTTTGAAATGCATCCCCATCTAGGTGTCTTAGTTCTAAGAGTTTTTATTTATTTAATTTTTATGTTTTTAAGATCAGAGCTTAGCCAGACTGAGCAGTTGGGTTCCCCTGAAAGTGGTGGTGGTAGATTGGGAGGTGATCCCAGGAAGCAGATCTGAAGGAGAGGGGACAGTGAGATGGGAAACCAGGAGAAGCCAGCAGGAGAGACAGTATTGAGGCCACTGCTGTGATTCCTCTGGACCTCTGAAGAGGTCTACAGAATGCCTCCCAAATTTGTCCCTGAAGGACAGGAGGCTGGAGAGCTTGTCTGCCTGCAAGTGTTCCCTGAGCAGTAACTTCTGGATACCTGGGGAATATTTGCATGAAGGCTGAGGGGACATCCATGGTGCTGGCGAAGGCTCCAAGGTGGGAAGGAGCAAGATGGAAACAGGAGGAGGAGAGCCTGAGCTCCTGCGGAGTGTCCATCCCAGTTCAGGCTAAAAATCAGTGGTGGATCAACAGGATCTGTCACGGGTGCTAATGGCAAAGCCAAGAGGGTTTTTCTGCATCTCATAAAAGGTAAAGGGTAAAAGTTACAAGACAAGGAAATAGATGTGAAAAAGAATCAATTTGCGGGTACACCATTCATGAATCAATAACTTTTGCTAATCAATCCTAGTTGGTTAAAAAGATCTTTTTGACCAAGATTCACCCACTAGATTCCATAGGCATTAAGAATCCAGCTCAGAGGTAGAGTAAGCTGCCTGTGTGATTTCAAGGACCTCGTGTGGTCTTGTGCCCCAAACTACCTTCTTACCTGCCCTGGAGTTACTTAAAATCCTTGTCTTACAGATGGACCCTTTGCATTGGGAAACCTACTTCCCAATGCTCATGTGTTCATTTACATTGTCATTCATCAAGAAATAGTTAGTGAGAACCTACTGGGTGCCAGGGACCAAGCATAGGGACTATAGTGTGGTCAAAATAGGAAGAGGAGAGGTAAGAATGGGTATGTTTGAAGAGCTTACAGTATACATAGGAAACAAGGAAATACACATGTGAAAACCTTTATCATTAAAAGGCAAACTCTGATTAAATGCTAAGAGAGTGTAACAGAGTCAGACAAGTGCGACGGGAATGTAGAGGGAGGTTTTCAGAAGACTGGATTTGCCAAGAAAGGCTGTTGGGAGGGAGTGAGTTTTGTCCTGAGCCTGGAAAGATGTGCATAGTCTTTCCACAGTTATTTCTCTAACCACACAAGCAATCTGCCTCTTTTGTTTTTCTTCCAGACTAAACCTTTCAAGGTACAAAAATAAATCCAAGAGTATGGCATTAATAGCCATGTTATGATCTTAAACCTTTGGTTGCCTTGCAAAAGAAAAAAAACCCATCCCCTTACTGCTGGAAATCACATCGCTGGCTTACCTGGAAGTTGTTCATGAATGAACAACCCTTGCTAATCACTCTGGTCAATATTTATCATAGGTACATTTTACAAGATGAATTCTGTCACCAGTGTTGGCAGCTTCTCACCAAGTCCCACCAGCAGCTGCAAATATTCATTAATAATATTTTGTTTGGGTTCCCACTTGCCACTTTCCATCCTCCTGCTTCATAAGTATGAACAGCATCATTACCAAGTGGCGCCCACAGAATGGAACACAAAGGCAACTTGGAAATTTTAATGAAAACAGATGTTGAGAAATGCCATTATCCCATGCACGCTACAATAAATAGCATTAACATTTCTAAGTGACAGGCCTCTGAATTGGACTGCAAGGAGCTCACATTTACAATTAAATGAGGGACTTATCCTTTTGCATCCCTGGATTCTACAGGTGGCTCGGTGACAGTCATCTCTTAGTGTTTCGATTTTAGAGCGGCTGTTAAGAGCCAGCTAAGCAGGGATTGGACAGGCAGGCACTTAGGAAGGTGTTCGTGCCAGACGCATTCATTGTCTAACTGCCTGGATGCAAAACTAACTTAGCATAGCAGCTGAATGTGAAAGCTCTTGAAATGATTTCTTCTCAAATAGTGCACTCCCTGTGCCAAGGAGGGGTATCATTGTTTATGTCACTAATGACTACATCCTGGGCCTCCATGCATTTTGTAACCCCTGTTCCTTTATTAGAGCAATCAGAAAAAAGATCACATAATTACCAAGATGTTGCTTTATGGGCAAGGGGTACGGCCACATATGCCTTCATTGATGTGAATAATACCACCCTGGGCATTACTATCACCCAGATTTCACAGATGCTAAACCCCCAGCATAGCAGTTAGGAGCATGGACTGTGGATCATAGGAGATTGGGGTTGAAGCCTGGCACTGCTACTTATTAGCTCTTGGTTCTCAAGCAAATTGTTTATTTTGTATGGGCCTCACTGTCTGCACCTATAAAACAGGGACAGTGATATTTACTTTCAGGATGTTGGGTAAGTATCAAATACCCGGCATGATGCTCACTGATAGCTGTTGGCTTAGGCTCAATTTTGAGGTCACTATTATCCCACCTATTCACTGGTGTGAGATCACCTTCACCAAGGTAATGTTCCATGAGGACGGTGATGGCCAGAGAAATGTTGGACTGAATCAGGGCACAGCTTTCTTGGAGGCTATGCTCAATATTTATTGTCAATCTCTCTGCCTCTCTCTGTCTCTCTTTCTCTCTCTTAAGTCAGTCTCTCTGTCTCTCTCTATCTCTCTCTCTTTCTCTCTCTCTCTCTCTTTACCCAACCACTTTTCTTTTGAATAGCCATCCCAGACATCAGGTAAACCTTGCCCTGACTGAAAGCATTCTTTGAACCACTTTCTTCAAGCAAATAGGTACATTTAATTCTAAGAGGACCAAGACACCTTAGAAGCAATACATGGAAACCTCCTTAATTGACTCAGCAATTGCAGAATGAGTCCCTGAGTGACTTTTACCCCAAATTTAGAAGTTGGAAAGGGGTCACTTACAACAGAAAATATGTATTTTCTAGTTTTTTTTTGAAGTATACTTGGCCTATAGTATTTCCTGAGGGGATCCTAATGCCTTTCTATTAAAGCATGAACCCGAAGTTGTAAATTTAGAGAAACAATTTGAGGTGAGGGTTTGACATAACAGATGGCCAAGGGACTAATGACAAGATCATACTCTTGGCTGAGCATTTGGAATGTCTCATTATTTGTAAAACATTGTTTAGAAATTGCCTTCCTGGCATAGAACTGGTTGACACACAGATATTAATGCATCTAACCCTCTAAACTGTACAGATAATGTGCTTCTTAAGTCTTTATATTTAATTGGCTTTATACTACTTAAATATTGGAAACTGAAAAATTCAATGTTATTTCCTTATCAAGTATTTCTGCCTTTACACTTTTAAGATGAGGAAAATGAGCCACATGTCCCAGATTCCACAACAAGAGGGAGTCCAAATGGGACAATAGGGTCAAGTTATTCTCACAGTTGACAGCACATAAGGATGATCCTAGGTGCACACACTGTGTGAACAGACATTCCTCCCTTTGGCTCAGTGCTGGGTTAAACGTGCACACTGAGCGTCTACTAGTGTAAGGCCAAGGGGTCAATGCATGTTTGCTTTGAAAGTGAATCGCTCACAATGATTACACGCCAGGGAGATAAATGTGATGGAGGAAATAAACAAACATGTGAAAGTTATAATAGCTTTAAAATAAACCTGTTCCTAGAAGGAGACCCCTGGAAATGCTTGTACATAAAGGCAACCTCCTCCCTTTCCCAGAGCTGAGACTATCGTGAGGAAAGCTTGAAGCGGGACTGTATTTGAAGACAGCAGGTTCCTTGCATGTTCAAAACCACTCAGAGCTAGTGCTCTGTATCTCATTATGGCAGAGCCAGATCGCGAGATAAGCTTGTGCTGCCACAATATTACTGTTGCAAATGTGTGGTCCTGAAGGGTCTTCTTTGGAAGGGCTCTGCTCTCAGAAATGGCCTTGGACTTGCACGCTGGGAATGTTTTCATGAGCGGACATAGATTTTGAAAGGGTCAGTGTGGCTCAGGAGGCAGCAACTGGAGAAATAGAAAACCTACTCCTTTTTGGTCTGGACGCCTTTCTTGTGCTTCGATTCTTCAAGGATCTAACAGTGTTTGTTTCGTGTTTCTGTTTGGTGTGCAGACGGCATATTCCCTTTAACATGGATTTGTTCGAGTAGACTTCACTATGGTGCACAGATCAAGCTATGTTAAAATAACGTTAAAGGTCTGCACTGAAGCAATCTGAAGCAGAGAATTCCGCGTTTCAGGCTGCCACACCACCTTTAAATCAACGGAATGTGTCCGTGTGCGGCTGTCCATAGACTCTTCTCACTGCTGTTATCCTCATAATAGGATCATTCAGGTTCTCTTATCTGGTCTCCTAGATGCTTGTCTCCAACTATTTCAAACAGAAGTGATTTGTTACCCAGCACCACCCTACTTCCTGCAAGAGGCACAAGGATGAAGCAAGCTTGCTCTAATGGGGACCCAGTTTTCCCTGTCCTCAGTTAAGTATTTTATTTACAGAGCTAATGAGCCCTTAGAAGCATGAAATAGGCACACCCACACATTACAAAAAGGCACACACAAGTGCAAGTTAAAATAATTTATAGTAGACTGGATTCACTGGTGGCTCTGAGACCAGTTTGCCCACTGCAGGTCTGCGCAGCCAGATGCAACCCTGTTGACAGAGATGAATTTGATCACCTCCACCTGCACACCTTTTGCTGTATTAGCCAAGTGTGTGTTTCTTTATCCACTCATCTGTGGCTCCCACTTAACTGGCACCCTTTGAATATCAGCAGCCCTCCCTTTGGAGAGCCAGGGAATGGGAGTCACAAAAGTGTTTCCTCATGCTGAAACATGAAAATTGGAATTTCTTTATGAAGACAGTTGGTGATGTGCTAATATGTACAATGAATGTATGGCCTCACACCTTTAGCCCCCGAGTGCTGCATGTCTCCAGGTAGGCAGACAGGCTGCAGACACACACAGCTCCCTGCTGCTGTTCAACAAATGCTGATTTCAAATCACACATTGCCCATCTTCCTGAGGGTCACATTTCTCTTTGCTCATTGTTTTTGCAGGTCTGATTAAGTCCTATATTCCTGAAAATGAGGTTCAGCCTATATCTGACTCCAGATTTATGAGGGAGAATTAACACCCTGCTGCTTCCTAAAGCTTTATTCCCTTGCAAGTCTACGTTTTGTTTCAGCCTTTGGAGTTGACCACCTTTTCTTGCAACTTCTGTTGCTCTCAGCGTCCCTGTCTCCAAATGCATTGACCCAAATGTACCAGTGCTTGGGAGAAAGTTTGTCTTCTATTCATTTAAGATTCTTTTTCTACTTTATAATTATGTACCAGGAATAGCCTAAATATCACCAAAATGTAACCTACTGCAATACATAAAGAAATTTAAGTTGCAGTTTGAGGTTCGCCTCTAGTTCCTGGAGGCACTTTTTAGTGCTTTCTGATCCCAGCACATTATCTCTGTTTTGCAAGCTGGGAGGTGAGGTTGTCATAGGTCATTTGGCCCAGAATTTGGGTGGGCCTTTGATTTCTTTCCAGGGCTTACTTTCCACACAACTGCAGCCACCAGAATGAGTCAGAGCTAGGCTGAAACTATTAATCGGTATCGTGGTTAACATCTTATCCAATTTGGGCCTAAGAGAAAAGCCTGACTCACAGATAAAATGTGGAAGTTATTTGCCTTTTCAGAAGCCCCAAGAATCCTTTCTATCAGACTGGCTCCCGGCAGGAAAGAGAAAAAACTGATGACATTGGCGATCATCTCATCTGCTCACTATTGAGGAAAAATTAGAAATCAGATCACTCAAGAGCACTGTGAATGCCGTGACAAAAAATTATTTTGAGATGCGATTGGTTTGAAATTCTGACGTCTAAGAGTCTTGCCCTATCTGATTTGTAAAGAAGAGAATTCTCAGAACAGGAGTCTCAGCAACATCCTTGAAGGCCTTCCTCACCGGCGCACCTCATGCTGGACTGCATAGAATGGCACTGCCAAAGCACTCTCATCTGTGCAGCTGGCCCTGCGGCCCTGGCCTGTGCCACCATTCCAGACACACAAGGAATGCACCACAGCTGGCACATAATTAGAAGCTCACAGCAAACAAATCATTGCTTTTTTGTCAGTGTTCCTCCTACTGACCATGCTCAGAGCGTGGCAGCTCCACCCACGTGCCAACAAACACAGGACAACAAACAGATATAGGGGGAAACAACCCAGGTGCCTCCAGTTGTGTGTTTTGCAGTGGTTTCCCTGCCACTTCCCTACTTTCCAGAACATAATTTTGTTTGAAATTTTCTGTTTCTACCATCGTGGAGTTTCCCAGTGAAAGGCCTGTGATTAATCCTCAGTGAGTTGAATTCTCCTGAAGACTTATATTTAATAATGACACCCCATGCAGAAAACAATTCAAAACAAAGAAGAGCTGCTTTAGGCTCTATACCTCCCAGGGCTTGGGAATAATTGTCTCCTATAAACATCACTGACATGCCCAAGAAGGTATGTGGCACTTGCTCAGGTTTAAGAAGGTTCTTTGACCCCTTGTGGATGCTAAGGTATAGCCAAGGAATAAATAGGCTGGTAGAAACTTTAACAATGAGTGATGTCCTGAACTTGAATGTAGGAAAAGAATTACATTAAAACAAACCATAAGTCAGCCAGAAAAGAAAAGCAGAGCAGCCAGAAAGATTGAAGCTCCTTGCAAATCCAAAGATGGACTTCCCTATCAAATTTTAAACAAACACAACTAAAATTTATGAAATGCCCACTACGTGTTTGATCCTATATGTGCTGAGTATTGGAGGCAGAATGAGAATTTTGATGTGGTCCCTAGCCCCAAGGAATTTATAATATCATCAGTGTGAACAGAGGCATGGACAAAGTGCTATGGGGGCTCAGAGGGGGACACAGATTCTACATGAAGGAGTGTACCTAGGAGATGGGTATTGAAGTGTGGTGTTGTAAAGAATATAATCCCCTAAAGAGGTCTGGCTTTTGCCAGTACCTTTGCTAGTGTCTCTAGTGCCTTCCTTTGCCTAGGGGATTTGGTTCACACTTGGATAGTCTAGTAATGCGATTTAGGGTGGGGGCTTTGGCTCTCGAGGCACCAGTGCACTAGAGACTGAGATCAACCATATGGGCAATCAATCAATCAAGCTTGCCTCTGTAGTGGGGCCCCAGTAACAACTCTGAACACGGAGGTTCAGGTAAGCTGCCCCGTCTTTGACGATACTTGGTATGAATTGTTACACATTGATACCAGGAAAGTAACATGTCCTGACTCCAGGGGAAGAAGATGGACAAAGCTCTGCATTCTGTACTTCTCCAGATGCTTTCCTGTGTTCTTCTTCCTGTAGCTTATTTTAATCATTTCCCCACAATAAACCTTAACGGTGCAAACAATAGTTTTCAGTCAGTTCTGTGAGTACTTCTCAAAAATTATGAAACCTGACAGTGGCTTGGGGACCCTTTTGCCCTTGCAGTTGATGTCAGAAGTAATGTGGTCTCTTGAGAGACCTATTCATTCTGATGGTTCAGTTGGCATAACTCACACAAAGATGCCACAGGAAAACTACTCAATCTGATACCTTTAAGGTTCCTCCCTGATATAAATCCTGACTCCAATGAAGCCTTGATAAACAGCCTTTGTGCCCTTACCAGGATTCTAAAGTATATGATAAGGGTCTGAGCCAAGCCAATATACGGAAGATGAACAGAGTGCCTGAACTTAAACTAAACAGTTCAAAACATCTTTACTGTATTGACAATCTGGTTAAAGGTGCCTACCTGGGACTCCTAGAGGATAAAGTTCTTTTTCTTTATCTTATTTACCAAATGAAACAATGTGGTAGCAAGAAAGCCAACTTTCTGTTGTGCATATGACTTGTGGAGAGAAGAGAAAATGTTGAGAATTTTTTCCTTAACTCCTCATTGCAGAATGAGTCAATAAAAGAGTTATCATCTCCTAGTGCACAAGGTGGACGTTATCCAGGGGGATGAAGCATGCAAGTGTTGCATGGTGAGATTTGACATAGGGCTGCATCCTCCAGGAAGCTTTCCCTGAACCTGGTGGTCATGGAAGCCTCACAGATGTTCGCATGACATCCTGTGCCTGACTCTGCTGTAGCTCTTCTTACAGAACAACAAACTTATTTGTGTGCTGCCTTCTAACAGAACCTGAGACCCCTAATGGTTGGGTCAGTGTGGTCCTTGCTTTGGTATTTTCAGTCCCTCAGACATTTATGGGCCTGACCCATAGAAGATATTTGTTAAGTATTTTTTTGGGGGGCGGGGGGTTGAATGAATGAACTAACAAACAGCTTCAGAGTAGCGTGGTTTAGAGGAAAGAATAG
This sequence comes from Homo sapiens, assembly GCF_000001405.40. Taxonomy (NCBI): domain Eukaryota; kingdom Metazoa; phylum Chordata; class Mammalia; order Primates; family Hominidae; genus Homo; species Homo sapiens. The sequence goes on from NC_000011.10 coordinate 126,837,106, forward strand.
AACTTTTGGATTAAAAAGCCAGTTGGGTTCAAATCCAAGCTTGGTCTTTAACAAGTGTGTGGCCTTGGGTAAATGATAACTTCATCTAAAATCCAGTTTATTCAACTGTGAAATAGGTTTAATAAAACCAGCCTTAGAACCCTGAGGGAGACAATACATGTAAGAACACTTGCTCTGTGTCTGACAGCTAGTAAATGTTCAATACAAATTAATCTCCTTTCTTTTTCCTTGAGTACAAAGAAGAAAATTATCAAATATAGCTGAGATAATATTTCAAAACTCTGAATTCAAAACTATGAACTTGTTAGATAAGGACATGTCTAGACTCAGAGTGGAAGAGAAACCTGGTGAATTGGTGGGTAGGAGTCTCTATCATGGAATTACTTCCACAATAATTACGAGGGAATCGGATCTTGTCTAGGACACAGGTCCAGATTTAAAAGAACTCCTCTTCCCACCTCTTCCAATCCTCGCTACATCCAGGAACTTACTCTGCTGTGAAAGTGTCACAGCAACACAGGGAATAATGACTCCATCTCCTCTGAACTGAAGCATAGGTAGGCTAACTAAAAGTAATTTTACAAAAGATGTCAGTGGTCTGGCAACGGTACCTCAGTGACAAACTATTGTGATTAAAGGTGATTTTGTCAAAGCATAACACTACCTCTCACAATGGAAGCTTTGTTTATTTCACATGGGACAGCAACTTGCTATCCATTTCTAGCAGCTCGCAGTCTATGTCCAGGCATACATCCTATCTCTCTACACTCCTAAAGCCCCAAAGAACTGCCATTTACAGAAATAGGTCTAGGATATAATCTGTAGTTAAATGCATAGTTGATTTATCATTATCTTGGGTTATTTGGAATTCACGTTATTTATATTACTAATCCTGTCCCCAGACCTGTAAGTCATTGCCCATCATCCCTCTAACAAATAATAATAACAAAAAATCTCCCTCAACATTATATTTGGACATCATCTGTCTGAAAGGTAATAAGATACAGCAACTACAATGATTGAAATGAAGGGAAAGGATTGTTAATATAATAGAGGTTTCTACTGGGCATGCTTTAAATCAATGTGCAGAAGCAATTTGAACGACCCATCCTGTCATCATGTTTAAAATACATTGATTTCTCTCTTTCTTTTTCCCCCTTGTGGTTTTTATCTCTTAGGTTATTTTTCCCCTTCCTGTGAATTTGGATAGCGAGCCAAAGGAAAAGAAACTTCAACAAGAAGACTGGCTCAAATCACTCTAGGGCCAGACTGCACCTTCTATAACATTTCTAATAAATCATGGGGAAAAAGAAATCTCTGCCATAGTGGCACATTTGACAAATTGAAATTAAATTTTGCCAACTCTGGAGAAACCAAGATAACCTGCTTTGATATTTCTTCCCTGTTAATAGTTAATGGGTAAGAGGGGACATTTGAGGTTTCTGTTTTTTAAAGCGCCTCCCTCTGATCAAGTGTGATTCTCAAAACCCTGAGTCCATATTCAGCATGGAGTATGAGTTCAAGGGCTAACAATAAATATGGATATTTTTGCATATAGATGTATATGTATTTTTTTCCTTTAATTCTGAAATTATTATCTCAGACAGTGGTAAATGGAATTTTTTGCTAGCAGTGAATTTTCAGTGTTATCAGCTGTCAGGTTGGAAAAATGTATGGCAGTAATAAAGGGGGGAAATATATGATCCATAAATAAAGAAAAACGGGACTTGTTTGGCATGATAAAGTTTTAATGCCTCTAGGTAGCAAAGTCTCCAAACAAATTCCCTTCCTTTAAATCTTATGCTCACTTCAGATTGTGTCTCTCACATTCCTGCTCCCAGGCCTGTAAACAGTGCTGTGGCTGGAGAGACCTGCATACCAAGGAAGAAGAGGTACTGCATGGGCTGCCTCCAAGGGAGGACTTGGCTTTTCTTCTTCTGTACGGGTCAGGGTGAAGAGTATGTCAAGCCTCTAGCCAGCGATGAGCCATGAAAAAGTTTTTCACAGAAACAGCGTCCATGGAGAGCGCCTTTGTGCCTGTATTTCTAGAAATTTCCATATGCTGCTGAAAAACAATGATCAAGATCATCAACATGTATTGATCATGTACAACAGACCATAGTCAAGGTTGGGTGCAGCAATACTGGGGTGAAGGCACCTGCCTTCAGAGAGCTCATTGTCTTTTGGGGGAGGAAGATAAGACACCCTATGAGGCTGCTGAAATAGCCTAGAATAGTGTTTACATGCAACACGTGGATGAAGATTATTAGTTGAATAAATGAATATAAATGTAAGGTTGGCATTAATTAACTGGGAATGGAAAGGGCATTGAAAAGTTGTGTTTTGTTTTGTTGGGGGGCTGGAGGAAAAGGGGTTGGATGTGTATCAATGCAGGAAATGACTCCTGATCAGGGAGGAGAGGAGGAAATGCCGCATTGGTTCCAGAAAGCTGTTCTTCAACATCACTTTATATTACATACATTTTGTTTTTAATGACTGGTTTGCCTTGGGTAAAAAGACAATGATGAGTCAGCATATTACAGGCAAACAATCGAGGCCATTGTGTGAAGGTCTTTGCTGTGGTGGAAGTGTGTTATCTCCCTGAAACATCCAGGCGGGTTCCTCTGCTGTCACTGTACAATTTGCATGCTTCGGTAATGTTTTATGTATTACGCTACTTATACGCTAAAATGTACATGCACGCTCCTGCAAATTTAGGTAAATTATGAATAAATTAAATCTTATCTAAATAAACAAGTGTCTTTTTGAACCAAAATGCAAGCTGTCATGAATATTTAAGTGGACAAGGATGAATCCTCTTCCTGCTGCACTTCGTACAGAGTGCATTCTATACTCTTGATTGCAGGAAGGAAAGTGTACACAGCTAGAGAAACATAATCGACTTCTCACTAGGGACATGAACGTTGAGAAATCTGGCCTGGCAGAGCGATACATTAAAAAATAAGATTCATTATGGAAATTAAGTTATATGGGTGTCTCCTGACCCTGGTAATCTCTGCCTTTTCACACTATATTGGAGATGCAGAGTTTGAGCACAGAGTTATTATTTTGATCTTTCTTTTAGTGGAAAGAGGCATCTCATGCATATTTCAACTCTAGAACCTAAGGAAATCCGGACTAGTTGCTTGTTGGTTTATATATGATTTCTGTAGGAAGCTCATGAGCATAAGGATTGGCTCATTGAAAATCAAAGATTTCAAGAACATTCAGCGCCCAGGGTCAAGTTTAAGGATCTCAGTTAATGTTTTCAGGCCACATCTCCTTAGTCTTATTTTCCATTACTCATAGGATCTGAGAATCTGAGTTGAAAGGGCAGTTGGGGATGGAGTTAGAAAATAATCAACAGGGAAGTTTTATAAACTTCCTCCAAAAGGCCACGCTTTCCCACCTACACATATTAGTCCCCCTTCATCCAAGGTTTCACGCTCCGATTTCAGTTCTCTCACAACTGTGGACTGAAAATATATGTGGGAAATTCTAGGAACAAAAAATTCCTAAGTTTTAAATCGCATGCCATTCTGGGTAGCGTGATAAAATCTTGTGCAGAACAGCTCCATCCTGCTCAGACCTTGAATCATCCCTCTGTGCAATTTCTCCAGGCTGTCTATGCTATTTGCCTGTAAGTCACTCAGTAGCCCTCTGGGTTTTCAGGTTGAATTTCACAGTATCACAGTGACTGTGATCAAGTAACTTTTATTTTACCTAATAATGGCTCCAAAGAGCAAGATTAGTGATGCTGGCAATTTGGAGATGCCAAAAAGAAGCTGTAAAGTGCTTTCTATAAGTGAAAAAGTGAAAGTTCTCAAATGAGGAAGGAAAAAATTATACACTCAGGTTGCTAACATCTATAGTAAGAATGAATCTTCTATTTGTGAAACTGTCAACAGCATATTGTTATTGTTCTATTATGTGATTGTTGTTAATCTCTTACTGTGCCTCATTTATAAATTAAGTTTTATCGTAGGTATGTATGGATAGGAAAGAACATAGTGTATATAGGGTTTGGGACTATCTGTGGTTTCAGGCATCCCCTGGGGGTTGTGAAACATATCCCCTGCAGATAAAGGGGTCTACTGTCCTCTTGCATATTCTGTTCCTTCTGTCTAGAGGGCCCTCATCCTGTTTGTCTGGAACAACTACAGCTTTCTTGCTTCAAGACTTGGGTCTTCTCCTTCATGGAGCCTTGTCTGAGCTCCCTAGGCAGAGCGAGGCGTGTTAACCTAGTTGGAAGCCCCAGGAGGGCAAGGCTTATGTCTGCTTCTTCTCCACATATCCCCAGCAGCCAGCACAATGCCAGGCATGTAGAAGGCGTTCAAAAATAAATCCCTCCTAAAAAAAGACTCTCCTGTGGTGTCTGAGCTTATTGAATAAATCCCTCTATGGCACCATAAGATTGCTGTAATTCATTATTCGTTTACAGGTTAGTCTGGCCCAATGGATGGCTGTGCCCTCAAAGGCAGAGGTCCATCTTATTGATCTTGTATCCCCAGGACCAAGTTCCATAAGTATTTGACAAATGTTTGTTTATTGAAAGAAAGTTATATCCATTACATTGCAATTAATTGCAGCAACAAACCTGAGACTTATTAGCTCCTGTGCACCCTACAGCGTCATCTTCATCATAGTCAGTGTCTAGGCATCCGCTTTCATTGTTGTTGGCAGTGGTCTTCTGAATCTCAACAGGCCCCGAAGGTCTTAGTCATGCTCACCTACCCAATAGTTGGTTTTTTCCTACTTAAATCCTCCAGGAAAAGACAAAGGCTTCATACATCGTCAAGGTGGACCACGGGGTTGAAATAAGGAAGCACAATAGCAGTCCTAGGGGGTAACCTTGCTTCCCGTTTTTTTCTCCAGCTCTGGATCAGCCCTGGGCAGGCCCTGCACCAGGTGAGGATGGGGTAGGGTGAGGAGTGGATGCGTGTCCACTGAGCTTTGCAGCAGAGAAGAGGCACGGCAGAGGAGAGAAGAGAGCGCTTTCAGAGGAGGTGGTGAGGAGGGAAGGGGAGCCGCTGAGCCTGCCTGTGAGTGGTTGCTGTTCGGAGGGCCAGCTCTGTCAGGAGCTCTATCTGGACTCTGCACTCAGGACAACAGACAGAGACAGCACATTGATATCAGGTCCAGTCTGTCCCTTTCCACATGGATGCCCCTGCTCAATCGGCCATGTATGAACTTCTAAGCAATTTCTATGAGCTCATTTTAGAATGTAACTCTCTTTGCCATGAAAAAAACCTCCCTTCATATCAAGTCTAAATCTCTCAGGGTTCTGTAATGTAAATCCTCTTCTATCTACTCTGTTCTCAGTGGAGAGGGCTGACACCTGGCCCCTTCCTTCTCACCATAAGCATATATCCACTGCAAGACCATGACCATATTGGGGTTCATCCTCTTCTTTTTCAGACTAAGTCCCCCAATATCCTTCATCCACCTTCACTTGGGACCTCATCCTAGGAACACAGTGCTCATGTGGGACAGATGGTCTTGTCTTTGCAGAGCTTCAGGGTCAGACCTGGCTTGGCCTACACGTGTTGGTTTATAAAATGAAACTGAAGACCTCATTCCCACTGCAGGTGATATGGAGGTGATGGAGCAACAATTAGGGGCTGTAATGGGCCAGTTAATGTTATTGGTAATGAGGACACATTTACTCACAGAAAGTGGACTGCCACCTGCCAAATGGCCAATGTCCCTTTGAGCCCTGTCATAGACAGAACACTGGGCCGACCATGAGTTTGACTCAATATCATATCCTTTCAGTCAGACTGAGAGCTGGCCTCTCCATCGGAGAGAATATGGGTCAAGTTCAGAAGGACCAAGCATCACAGATTTTTTTTTTTCTTTCTGTAAATGCAGGGCCTTTACTTGGTGCTGTGAGGAACTTGTGAGTTCTGAGTTCATCTGATCCCTGGACTCCCTGCCTAACTGAACACAATCCAAAGTCAAACTGAGGGGCTGGCTCACATTTCTATATAACAGTGTCCTCGTTCTCACCTGCCCTTTAGGACAATATCCTGCATTATCAGAGCAGCAAGTGATGACACAGAGCAGCTCTCTGGGAGGAAGATACGGTCTCTGAGCAAGACAAAAACAAGAAAAAAACACTAATGGAAAACCCACTGATGCAGTTCAAACTGTGTCCCCATCAGTATGAAAGGCAAGTTTGCAGGGCTGGAGACAGGCTTTGATCTTGCCTCGAAGTCAAAGGCAATCTGGAAGATCTCCAAGTGTAAAGGTGCATGAGAAATGCTTCCAGTGAGTGAGATTTCATGGGAGGTTGGAGTGGGTGAGCTCACTCACTCTGCCGTATATCCTACTGGGGAGAAACTCCATTCCCAAAGTCCTGCTTTCAATTGTGATCTGCCCAGTCTCGTCCCACAGAGACTTCCAGCCTAGTCAGCTATGCAATCAAACCAAAGCATGCCTAAGCGATAACTGGAGTCCCGACGGCTAGTGAGTGGGACCGTCAGAGGTGTTTGAACCAGAGCAACTCCATCCTGAATAGGGGCTGGGTAAAATAAGGCTAACTTATTTAGCCTTAAAATAATTTTCCCAGTAAGTTAATCACAGAATGAGATAGGAGGTCAGCACAAGATACAGGTCATGGAGACTTTGCTGATAAAACAGCTTACAGTAAAAAAGCTGGCTAAAACCCACCAAAATCAAGATGGCAACAAGAATGACCTCTGGTCATCCTCACTGCTACACTCCCACCCGTGCCATGACAGTTTACAAATGCCATGGCAACATCAGAAAGTTACCCTACCTGGGCTCAAAAGGGGAGGCATGAATAATCCCCTTGTTTAGCATATTGTCAAGAAATAATCATAAAAATGGGCAACCAGCAGCCCTCAGAACTGCTGTCTATGGAGTAGCCATTCTTTTGTTCCTTTACTTTCTTAATAAACTTGCTTTCACTTTATGCTCTGGACTCGCCCTGAATTCTTTCTTGTACGAGATCCAAGAACCCTCTTTTGGAGTCTGGATGGGGACCCCTTTCCAGTAACATCTTCCTGGTAACCCAGGTGGGACAATAGTGAGGAAACCCCCAATCCAAAGGCTAACTTTGGGTAAGTGGTGGGGGTCCGGTAACATCTTTCTGGTGACCACAGAAGAGACAATACTGAGAAAACCCCGACCCAAATGCTAACTTTGGGTAAGTGGTGGGGTCCGGTGACATCTTTCTGGTGACCACAGAAGGGACAATACTAAGGAAACCCCAGACCCAAAGGCTAACCTTGGGTAAGCAGTGTGGTGTGGTAACATCTTTCTGGCAAACCATGGAAGGGACGATACTGAGGAGACCTCCAACCCAAAGGAAATAGACTGCAGCACTGATTGGCAGATTTTGGGTAGGTGGTGGGGTACCCAGATAAAGGATGGGATTGGGTTAGGGGCCCAACTTAGGGCAGTTGGAGTCTCTCCTAAGACAGAAACCATTAAAGGCTCCTCTCCATAAAAGGCAAGGACACTTGACCGAACTTGAGTTTGAGGCCCAACTTAGGAAGGTTAGAGTCCTTCCTAAGATTTAGGGAATTAGAGGCCTCTCTTGGTAAAGTCTCTCTCAGCTAAGAATGGGTTTGGCACTATAGGATGTTAACTGCTATTCTCTTTGGATTATTTTACTTGGCACTCTTTGCTGAAGGCTATGGGTGACAGAGTTAAGCATGTATAGGATCTTGGGACATGGGGAGCTTTTTCCTCCCTAAAAAAGGGAAACTTGAGAGCCAACAGGTCTGCTGGAAGAGATCCTTTTGCTACCAACAAGCAGCCACCTGAAATTGTCAGTGTTGTTGCAATGGTGGGTCTTACTCTGGCCTCTCTGAGCTCTCTGCCTTCCCCACCCTGCTGTGCACAATGCTTTTTTCTCTTTCTCTTTTTGATCTTTTCTGTTACTCAGGGCAACCATCTTGGCCAGCGACCACAAGTTGAAACTCCTGGTCAGAGGGTGGATTAACGATGATGGGGCCCAACTGGGGGCAAGTTTGGGCCTTACAAGTTTGATATTGAGTACTAAGCAGAGTGCCAGTGTCTATGTTTTGTCACATGTATTTTGCTCTGGAAAAATGGAAAAAGATAACTTTCTCTTATGTTGCAGCTTGGCACCCAGGGCTATGGTGCAGTGAGCTGGGTCACTAGGGCTGCTCAGGGAAAGGGAACCCAGAAGCCTGGCATGCTGGCAAAAGGGTAAGAACTTCTTACCAATCAGACTTCTGGGCTCTCTCTCTTTGTGCAAACTGGTTGAATGAATGGTAAAAATCACTGTTTATCTCCTCTGTTCAAAGTTTTTATTAATGAGAAAAAGAATTCGTGAGGCTAATCTTAAGCTGCAGGGAATCTGGTATGCTCTGTGTGTCTTTTTTGTACTGTTTTGTCATAAAGAGGGGTACCTTAGGATAGAATGAGGGCCTAGGACCCCAAAAACCTGCTGTTCAAGATGGCCCGGAAAACTGGTCAGCCATGTCCTTAGAAGCTTGATCTTGTTACCATGTGGCCGTCCTTTCTCTTTTCAGAATGGCAGCCTGGGTTCATGGCTCAATTCCCAGCTTAGAGAATGGGTTATTCTTGGCTTAATATCTGTTTGACCTTTACCATTTGTTTATTCTCTTCCCTTCTATGAATTACCTTAAATTTTCCTTTTTCTGAGCAAAGAAATGTTGGCTGTTTGGCATGGCTAAAGTTGGATAAAAAAAGATTTAAAGGACTTTTTAAAAGAGTGCTATAGTTAAAAGTCATCTTAATTAAAAGCAGATATTCAGGCTCCAACGGCCTGTAGTTCCTTGGGAAAAACAGAGGAGGTACCACAGACCTTGTTTGGGGGGAAAAAACACACAAAAAAAACACAAAAAACCTCTGTTTTCCTCATGGAACCTCAGGAATTAAAAGTGGATCAATTCCTCTCAAAATCTAAGGTTCTCTTCTGTTTTGCATTGTGTTATCTGATGGTTTTAACTTTTGGGGATATCAGAAATTACTTTGCATTATGAGAGAGCTTTGGTGTGTAGTAACTAGGTAGGAAACGTACTTTTGGGAATGGGCTGATTCCCTTTTTGGGATTCAGGATCTGGTGTAAAAATGGGTACCTTAATTTCTGGAGATCTGTATTGCCTTCCAGTTGTGCCTGCTTATTAGGCCCTAGAAACTTCATGCTTTAAAGAGAAACTTAAAAACTGGCAAATGAAAAATCTTACAACTACTGGATCTTCTTCCATCTGTCTGTGCATTTATATGTTATGTGTGTGATGTTTATATATGAAAGAGCTTTAATTAATTCGTTTAAAAATAATAGAAGCTTAAATCAAATATTTTAACAGAAAAATAAAAATTATCATGCCTTTTAGGTCACATGACTTCAGTAATCTTTGGGAAATAAAAATCACTTTAAAGATTGTTGGTAAAATAAAGACATTTGGTCTTCTGTCTGGTGTCCTAGGCTCCACACCTAGTACATAATGAAAATCCCTTACTTACCACAGTTTTCACCAAAAGTAAAAATTGCTAAGAGTTAACATTGTGACACGTATTTGAGACTACTAAAAACAAAACAAAACAAAACAGACAAACAAAAAAAAATTTCACACGCAAGGTGTATAAAGAAAGTAAAATGCATTTTTGGTAAAAGATTATAAGAAGCTGTGAGAATATGGATTTCTTACTTAAGTTTGGAGGTTTAAAGGATTGTTTTAAGTTAGATAAGATAAAACTGAACAGTTGAACAAATTGTGAAAGATTTGTAAAAAAATTAGTCTTGTAAAAAAATTGTGTATGTGGACATATTGGCTAAAGTTAAGGGGGTATTATACAGTTTTTCCATAAATTAAACATTTGAATAAAAGCATAATGAGTTTTTCTTAGAGTGAAAAGAAAACCTGCCTATAATCTGCTCTTTAACAAAATTACAAAGGGTTATAAAAGGTTTATGAAGATCTTACCTTATGGTCAGGCATTACAATTGGATAGATTTATCTATAAGCTTTTATTAAGAATAGGGTTTAACAGTAATAGTATACCAACGGAAGGGTGAAATTTGGCTTTTTTGGTATAAAAATCATACAGGAAGCATTGTCAAAAATGAAATGGTATTTGGCTTTCTTTGGGCTGTATTTGTATAAATATCTTACTGGTATGTGTTCCAAAATTATGTGTAACTCCTATAATTCTGATAGCACTTGGTGTAGATTATCAGTAATAATAAGAATTGTTACATAAAATCATTGTATGCCACAGAGGTAACCACATTTCTTTGTTAGTCATGTTTTTGACTGTGGCTGCCCTAAACATTTTGTCATCCACAGACAATTGTTGTCTTGTTTTAATCCTCTTCAAAAGGTGGCTTATAAAAAAAGATGGCTTATAATCAATATAGGACCTTAACAGGTGCTCTTAAATGCAAGTTTCTGATAACTTTGGAGATTGTGACACTAGAATGGAGGAACAAACTTTCAGGACTCATGGAGAGCTGAAATGTTCATGAACATCAAGCAGAATAGGAGTTAACTGCATGGACTAAACTAATAGTAAACTAATAGAAGTCTGAAGTAATCTTTTTTAACTTTTTGTTTAAAACATTGCTAATCCTTTGCTTTGTTTTTCAGAGTTAAGAAAACTCTTCTGTTGAGCTATTTACAGCTTGAAGCAATTGAGTAAAGTACACTCCTGTAAACAGAATTTGGAACACATTTGTTTCCCTCTACCTGATTGCTTCAGAATTTGGAAGTTACTCGTGTTCTTAACTTATGGCAATATAGTTATTTACATAAGTGTAATAAGAATCTATTTTCTTTTGTAACAGGACACAATTGGAGAAACTGGTTATTTTACCATGTCTCTGACTGAAATGGTGTGCTTTCTTTAAGGAATCAAACTTATAGAGCCAATAAAAGCCCCTTGGGAAACTGGCCTCATACCTTCTCTACACAGTCCCTGTACAGGGTTCCTGACCTGTGGTAAGTAAAGAATGTCACTTTCTGACATGTCTAGGAGCCCAGGTCATCTTGGGACCTCAACAGGAGAGTAACTTACCCAACTCATAGGTATTTGAGGGTACAAACCCACCGCAGGGCTTGGCTTTTTAAAAAGCCTTATCTGAGATTACTTATGGAACAGAGTTTCATCAAAGCCAATTTTAAAAGCCTATGTGAAATAATTATTCTTGCTGCACTTTATACAAATAATCAGGCCAAGTAAAATCAAGTAAATCAGTCTCACCATGATTTGTCTTTAGTGAAAATGGAAAATTGGAGAGAGAAAAATTATGTTTCAAGAACTATGGTATACCTGTTATTAAATTCCAGTCTCATCAGTTGTTTGTTTTTTTCCTGCAATGTAGGCTGACCCCGCTTATTCCTGTAAACCAACCAGTAATCTCAGGCTGCTACTCAGAAGAAACAAGAGGTCTGAGTAATGTAAAAATCTGGATTGGATCAATATTCTAATCCTGGACATATATTGGAATCAACTAGCAACTCTATATCAGCTTGGTTCCCAACAGTTGCCCAGTTCATGGAAAGCCTTCTAATTTAGTTTACATGGGATAATTTTGCTTATTTTGTTATATTGCTGTTGGACTCTCTGTGTAGGAATGCAGAATAAGCTTACTCAATGTTTTCTTAAATTGAATGCTTATCACTCTTCCAGATATCACCTTTTGTTGGAACTCAAGAGTTATAAATGGCCCTTGACATACCAAAGCTTTCTGACTGAGCTCCTCTCTACCCTAAATACAAGAGACCTTCATAGTTTGGCAAAAATATCATCACCTCTATTCAGCATGAAGAAGTTACAGAAGATGGATCTTCGTTCCTCTACAACCCTTAGGATTAAGAGTTCTCTTATAAAAGGGAGTTGGGAAATGTCAGAGGTGTTTAAAACAGAGCCACTCCATCTTGAATAGGGGCTGGATAAAATAAGGCTAAGACCTGTGGGGCTGCATTCCCAGTAAGTGAAGGCATTCTTAATCACAGAGTGAGATAGGAGGTCGACACAAGAGGCAGGTCATAAAGACCTTGTTGATAAAACAGTTTGTGTTAAAGAAGCCAGCCAAAACCCACTCAAACCAAGATGTCGATGAGAGTGACCTCTGGTCGTCCTCACTGCTACACTCCCACCAGTGCCATGACAGTTTACGAATGCCACGGCAATGTCAGGAAGTTACCCTATACAGTCTCAGAAGGGGAGGCATGAATAATCCACCCCTTGTTTAGCACATCATCAAGAAATAACCATAAAAATGGGCAACCAGCAGCCCTTGGGGCTGCTCTACCTGTGGAATAGCCATTCTTTTATTTCTTTACTTTCTTAGTAAACTTGCTTTCACTTTACTCTATGGACTTGCCCTGAATTCTTTCTTATGTGAGATCCAAGAACCCTCTCTGGATTGAGGCCCCTTTCCAGTAACAGGACCACACAGTTTGGGAAAGGAATGGGGTCCCGATGGCCACCTGCTCAGGTAGAGGCTTTCTATTTCTCCTGTCCCTGCTGACCGGAAATCAGCTGCAGAAGGAGAAAGGCTTGGGCAACGCAGAGATGTCTAGTCACAGACATTTGACTAAAGGGCGGTGGGGAGAACGGGCACTTGATGGTCATGATGGGGCACTACAGAGAAGGGAAAGAGACAGAAGGTGGAGACGGTGTGAAATGGGCAGCACCCAGGAGTCACAGGTGCGGCTTTTCCAATGGATGCACCTGTTGAGGATGGAGGTGCCTGGACGCACGTTCACCATGGCACAGGCAGCAGTGAGGTCCATCCATTTTCAGGAGACTGACAGAATACCAGCAGCCTGTCTCAGAACTTTACTTAATAAATCAAAGCTGACAACTCCCAAAATGGTATGAAAACGCTTTTTAGTGTCCATGACCGGCATACATTGTATTCATTTCACTTTCTGAAATAAGAGTTGAACCATAATCACAAACAATCCATTCTTGTCAGGTATCAACAGTACATCTTTCTTTAGCCACCAAAGCGGGGGTCCCTGTAATCTGGCACTGCCTGGGCCTGGGGTGAAGGAGTCAGAGTGAAACAGCAAACATCGCGGAGACAACAGCTCCCATCTGCAGAGCACTTTGGAATTTCCAAAGATATTTCACCCACATGATCTCTTTTGAGCACCATGACCACCCTATCAGATGGATTTTATTAACTTCCCTTTTCACAAGGGCAAATGCAGGTGGAGAGGGCATAGCTGACACTCTATGCACACCACAGTTGTTGTGGTGGGCAGCCCTGTGTAGTGGGAGAGGCTTGCCCTCAGACACCTGCCCTCCCAGTGCTTGCGAGTGAGCTGCTGGGTGGGCTCCCTTTGTTGGCAGCTCTAGGCCTTGAGTTGGGGTAGAGGCAAAGCTAACCCAGACCTGTCCTCCAGGCCTGTCCTCATAGGTTCTCCCAACTCCTCCTCTATCCAAACTGCTGCCTCTTTTTTAACACTTTGCTTCAGGGTAGGGTTCCCTGTGCCTTCCACAGGGATCATGAGCTAATCATAAAAACCACTAAGGGTCAAGGGGCAAGAGTGAGTGGCAGCCATCTTTGCTGCCAACAGAGGAAGACTTTACCAGGAACTTCAAAAGGCAGCGTTCCAGCCACTGCTTATCCCCAAAATAAAAGGAAGGACTCAACTGGTTGAAATGTCAGACTTGGGAGCCTCATCTATGAGGGGCCTCAGCTGTGCAGGGGACCTGAGGATAATAGATTAGGATCCTGGAGTACTCTGCCTGGGAGAAACCTTCAACTGGTTCACTAGGAGATCCCATATCCACAGCCAGGCCAAAGCAGCAATCAGAACAAAAGACTAACAGTTACCGGACAGGCCCAAGTCACACATACACTGCAAAATAAACCTTAACTCCAATCAAGTAAGAGGCAGAGCAGCACTAGCTGTTGAAAGTTCAGCCAATTAATATGGTCAGCCCACCTGGGTCTCACTAGGCACTCTCTGAAGGTGATAGGGCCTTGAACTGTCCCTGGTGGGGTTGGGTAGGAAAAGAATTCTGTATAAAGAAGGCTTTGATCTCAGATCATTCTGCCAATGTCCAATTACACTTAGGACCCGACTGCCATTGTGTGAATGTGTATTGTGCTTTAAGGTGACATAGTGAATGAAAGAGCCATATTTTGGTAGAGTGTGTGGGTCACTTCACTTAGATGATGTGCTGGTGGTTCACTGGAAAATGTCTGAGACCAGAGGTCAGAGCATCACTTGTACACTACTGGTCCTGAAAAGCCTATTCAGACATTTGGGGTGCATATGTGACTGAGTCCATGCAGGGAAGGTACCTCTCTTGATTGCTGCTTTCTCAGCGATATCACCTTGGTGCTATATGTGCAAATATTTACATGTAAATGAAAGGATGTGATTTATTGTTGAAATTCCTAAGGGGAATGCCATGGGAGGCACTCTGGAGCAATTATCTACTCCCCGACTCTTACGCCACACAGCGTGTTTCAGACAGAGAGAACATCTCGAATGTCCTCTCTGCCCGGCCCTGGGAACCACATCCTGAACCCCCACCAAGACCAAGGTGTCTTTATTCAGGCCACCTTCTCTATCTTCCAGTGTGGTTTTCTGTCTTTCCTAAACTGCAGGATGCAAATTGTGGACTCAGGCTTCCAGTGAAAGCGATTAAGACATCCTGGCAGGGAGGCAAGCTCTTTATTTGCCCTTTTTTGATGGGACAGCATAAAGCTGGATCATTTCTCTGAGCTCCCTGGAGGCCATCAAAGTCTACATGGGCAGATGGAGCATATAAACAAGCCGGGCAACTCACTAGCTGCTGTAAAGCAGACCGTGGCTCCTCTACCTCGAGGAGAGTAGGGCGGGTGGAAGTCAGGCACAGAGGCCTTTGCACCTGCAGCCTCCTTGCCTGACCCTACTGGCTTTCCATTTGCCACTCTTCCATGAGCACATGAATTCAGAAGGTTGGGGCTATAACCTTTTTTTTTTTTTTTTTTTTTTGAGACAGAGTCTAGCACTGTCTCCCAGGCCGGAGTGCAGTGGTGCGATCTCGGCTCACTGCAACCTCTGCCTCCCGGGTTCAAGCGATTCTCCTGCCTCAGCCTCCCAAGTAGCTGGGACCACAGGTGCGTGCCACCACGCCCAGCTAATGTTTGTATTTTTAGTAGAGATGGGGTTTCACAATGTTGGCCAGGATGGTCTCGATCTTTCGACCTCATGATCCACCCACCTCAGCCTCCCAAAGCACTGGGATTACAGGCGTGAGCCACCAGCGCCCGGCCGATCATGGCTATAATCTTAGCTCTACTATTTATTACTTATCTAGCCTAGGACCAATCATCTAATCTCTCTTAAGCCCATTTGCATAACAAAATGTTATTCATACCAGTTTGCATGGTAGGAAAGGAGGAAACTGACTACTTCTGAGTACCAACTATGTGCCATATATATAGTATCTGGAGACCGTAAGTCCTCTGGGAAGGTCAACCAGCATTGTGACTCCAAAGCTTGAGCTATCTCTACTTTAATATGATGAGAGCTGGGAGCATCATGATGAGGTGAGCAAAGAAAGCTCTTGAGAAGCTCCAAATCCATATACAAATTTAAGACATTACGTCTGAGCTGAAAACATGTGTTGTGCTTTTATCACAGTAATTTTCAAAGGAGAAACTGAGGCATGGGGTCAAGGCACTGTACTAAAGGTCCCCCGGCAAGGCAATGGCAGGCTCTTAACCCTGGGATCTTTGCTCTTGGCTTCTTGTCCAGCTCTGGAAGGCAGGTGGACTCCCTGAGCAGAGGCTGCACCATCCTCAGCTGGATGGGAACCAAGACGCCCTCAGGGAATGTCCAGGGAGCAGAAGCTCTTTCTGTGTCATTTGCCGAGTTCCTTGGGATGTTATTTCTCCGGGGAAACCTGTTATTCCTTCCTAGAGTCACTAAAAGCTCACAGCAGGAACTTCATGTAACTTAAGTTTTTTGTGTCGTGCAAGTTTTTTTGTGTTGTTGCTTTTTTTTTAAAATGGGAAAAATACTTCCTTTTTCCAAATGCTATCAATTTCAATCAAACTGTGTATACTGCTGAACCAAAAAGGCTGTTTAAATCGCTGTGTGTGTTTTTTCCCTTCAGTGTCTCTCAATCCTTCTACTAGCTTCTCGAAGAATTAAGATTTGATCTTTTCAAATGTAAATTAAGCAATTTACAAAATATGTATTTTGGCATATAGGAAACTTGGCTTTCCAAACAAACTGGAATTTTATCGATTCTATGAACTGCCATGGAGTTATCTTGTGGCCATAATTTGAATCTCTAATATGAGACTGTTTTCATTTATAACAAGAAGTACATTCTGCTTTTATCTAACTTCAATCTCCATTTCTGCATTTTTAAATGGGTAAAAGAAGTGATGTCAGTTTTAATATGCTTTTCATGAGTTTAGTTTCTCAAATGTTATTTTTATCATTTTGTCAATTTTACTTATTACTGAAACAATATTTGATGCCACAAAAGAAATTGAAATAGGAAAAACATCCACCCACAGCTTCCCCAGCCTAAGACAGCTCTTCATATTCACCCATGCTCTCTCCAAGTTTTTGACACCCTGCATATGCTTTTATGGAGTTATAACAATTCTGAAAAAGTAATTCTCAAAATAAGTTTCACATAAACTTAAAAAAAAAACAAAACAAAACTTCCTTGACCTCCTTTCAAGGTCTCCGGCTCAGTTTTGCATAAAACTTTTCTGCATGTTTCATTCTAAGTATATGACAGGGACTTTACATTTCAGAGATTAAGAATACAGTTCTCAGTGTCTAGTTAATGATATTAATAGTGGGGCAGAACGTATTAATAAATACATGGTGACTGATCTTCAAGGTTAATTATTCAACCCTTTGCATCAACAAGTAGTGCACATGAATCATCTCATGGGAGTCTCCTCTTACAGCATTCAGGGAAAAGGGTTCTCCAGTCTTGATTGTGGATCTTTTTTTTTTCTTTTTAGTAAAAACAAAGCTCCTGTTAACATATGGCCTAAACTCTTCCAGTAATAAGTTTCTTGTGTGTGTGTGTGTGTGTGTGTGTGTGTGTGTATGTGGTGTGTGGTTTTTTGTTTTTCTATTTTTCTCTTAATAGTTGATACTTCTTTTTAAAAATTGTGTTAAAATGCACTAAAATAAAATTTATGATTTAAACTATTTTAATGGTAGAGTTCAGTGGCATTAAGTACATTGTACATTCATATTATTATGCAGTATGAATATGCCACTACCACCCATCTCCAGAAAGTCTGTACCCATTAAATCCTAACTCCTCATCCCCATTACCTCCAGCCCCTGACAACCACCTTCTACTTTGTCTCTATGAATTTAACTACTCCACGGACATCATATAAGTAGAACCATACAACATTTGTTCTTCTTTGTCTGGCTTATTTAACTTAGCATGTATTCCAGGTTCATCCATGTTGTAGCATGGGCCAGAATTTCCTTCCTTTTTAAAGCTGAATTATATTCTATTGTAAATATAGACCACATTTTGTTTATCCATTTGTCCATTGATAGATGATCCGGTTGCTTCCACCATTGACTATTGTGAATAATGTTGCCATGAACACGGATGTACGAACATCTGTTTCAATCTCTGTTTTCAATTCCTTTGGGTATATACCTGGAAGTCGAATTTCTGGTTCATATGGTAATTCTATGTTTAATTTTTTGAGGAACCTCCATATTGTTTTCAACAGTGGCAGCACCATTTTCACATTCTTACCAACAGTGCACAAAGGGTCCAATTCATCCTCTGCAGTCATTTCAATCTCTTTCTCTCTACTTGGAATAACTAGCCACAGCCCTCGTTATAGTCCTTCACAGATATAGATTCACCCTTGTCTCTAAGTCGTGGCTGTGGTACAGATGTGGAGTCCGAGGCACAGAGCTGTTCAGCCCCAGCCCGAAGGCCCAGGGCAGGGCAGAGGCAGGAGTCATCCCAGCGGCAGTCTGGCTCAGGAGCCTGGAAACTTCATCATCATCACGGTGTTAGATTGGCTGTCAGAGAAACTGCTCTTAGCCCCTCCTGCAACCTTATTGATATGGTTTGGATTTGCATCCCCACCCAAATCTCACATCAAATTGTAATCCCCTATGTTGAAGGAGGGCCCTAGTGGGAGGTGATTGGATCATGTGGGCAGATTCGCCCTTGCGTTCTTGCGATAGTAAGTGAGTTCTCAGGAGATCTGGTTGTTTAAAAGTGGGGAATGCCGGCTCCTGCGCCTTCTCTCTCTTCCTCCTTCTCCAGCCATCTAAGACGTGCCTACTTTCCCTTTGCCTTCTACCATGATTTTAACTTTCCTGAGGCCTCCCCAGCCATGCTTCCTGGACAGCCTGCAGAATTGTGAGTCAACAAAACCTCTTTTCTTTCATAAATTACCCAGTCTCAGGTGGTTCTTTATAGCAATGTGAGAATGAACTAATACACTTATTTTTCAAATTTGCTGTTCTTCCACTCAGAACTGCTTCATGAAAAGTAGCATTATCATATGTGTGAGACATTATCATGTGTGAGACTCAGTGAGAGGTGAGGCTCTGGCAGCCAGATGGGGCAGGCTTGCCCATCAGCTCCATCACCAGCCTTTCCAGTCCTGAGAGCTTATCCTCCTTTGCTTCCCTGGCTGTGAGTTTGGGTGAGGTCTAATGCCAGACTTGACATGACCAACCTATGACTCTAGGAGATGGTCTGTGCCCTTTTCCCTCCCACCACCATCTCTATGCCCTCTGGGCTCCTTCATCAGGGTTTCTCTGGACCTGGTCTAGGCTGTGGGCAGGCAGGAGGGGACAGGGCCTATGGACCCAGCAGGGGCTACATAGGGAGATTTGGAGGCACCAAAAGGTGTTCTTGCCCTTGAATTTCTTGAAAAGGACACTGGAGAGCCCCATCTTCCCTCTGCCTGCAGCCTAGTATTTCCCAAAGTTGGTTCCTGGGATGAAAGTCCCTAAAATGCACCTTTCAAAAAGGGTTCCAATGCTAAGTAAGTTTGGGGAACACTTTGTGGGGTATGTGTCTCTGCAGAGCCATATGCACTTTGATATGGTAAAGGCTCTGGAAAATTCCACAGTAATGAAACCTGTGGAATTAAGCCACAGTATCCACCAAGATCTTCATTAAAATACAAACACATAACCAGGATGGGAACTAATCAAAGATAACAATCTGTCTACCTCTCAGCTTTGCTTCTGCATTGAAATGTTGGAACGGGGAACAAGTGAAGACAAGATGGCCTTTAAATTTTTTTTCTCACATTATTTAATTAAACTACTTGATCTTTCTAAGTCTTCATGTTTTAAAGTATGATTTAACGTAAATGTAACACTTGCTCATGATAGAATAATCAGACAAGTATAAAATTAAAATGAAAAATAACTCATAATCTCAACAGCCAGAAATAATCACTATTAGCATATTGAGTATTTTCTGATAACATTTTTCTAAGTATATATATATATATATATATATATATATATATATATATATGTATATATACACACAGACATATATTTTTTTTTTCTTTGAGACCGAGTCTCGCTCTGTCGCCCAGACTGGAGTGCAGTGGCGCCATCTCGGCTCACTGCAAGCTCTGCCTCCTGGGTTCAGGCCATTCTCCTGCCTCAGCCTCCTGAGTAGCTGGGACTACAGGCGCCCGCCACCATGCGCGGCTAATTTTTTGTATTTTTAGTAGCCAGGATGGTCTCGATCTCCTGACCTCATGATCCACTCACCTCGGCCTCCCAAAGTGCTGGGATTACAGGAGTGAGCCACTGCGCTGGGCCCATATTTTGTATTTTTATGAAATGGTGAGCATGCCAGGGATAACATTTTATATTTTGATTTTTTTCTTACCTAACATTATAGCATGAGCATCCAGTTTAACTGAGTGGAACTGTCTCCTGAAGGTTTATGAGAAAGAAGGCACTCACATTTACGTGCACCTATGAGGTGAGAGAGCATCTGCATTTGAGGCCACATTTTATTCTCACATCAACTTTATGGTAGACATATTGCCTCCTCCATACACTGAAGGACATGAAGCCCAGTGGGGTGAGAGGGTGGAGAGCACACGATCGATGCTCCTCCCAACCCTCCAACATCTCTTCTAGAGTCCTGGGTGCCCAGCCCACCCACCTGTGTGCCTTGCTCCAATGGACCCCACCTGTGACTGTGTGCTGTCTGCTGCCCTTGGGCCAGCCCAGGTGCTTCACCCTCCTGCCTGCCCCAACTTGCAGAGAACAGGAATTGCTTGGCAGTTTATTTAGCCAATGATTGCTGTGGGAGGATGAGTATTTGCTTAGAAAGTCCAATACACTCTAAGCTATATGTTACATCCTAGAGCTTCCCAGCAGGATCAAGCTGAGACTGGGACTTTACTTAAAATCACACTTCTGTTTGGCATCATCCCTGTCTCTATTCTGCTTCCCTTTCTTCTTCCTGTTTCTCTTGGGAGCATCTGCCTAGGAATCCTTGCTCAGGGTCTGCCTCTGGGGATTGATCTGAGACTGGTATTTCCTTCATGGTCATATGTCTTAAAGCAGAAGCAGCATTTCCAGGACTTGAACTTAGGTCTTCCAGACCTCAGAGTCAACCGTTTTTCTATCACAGACCCTTCCTTGCCTGATTCCAAAGGAATCAGCCAATGCGTGTGGGAGAAAAGTCTTCAGGCTGTGGGGGTGGGGTGGGTGAGGCTGGGCCCTCTAGCTGCCTGGGATGTGAATGGAAGGAGGACTGCAGGTGGCTGTGTGCAGTGGGAAGCTCATGAAGGATGAGAAACCTACCGCTATCCTCTGTATACACACACCTTGGGGAAATTCACTGTGTCGTGCCTCAGCCTTGCCCCAGACAGCCACAGGGCTCAGGGCACAAGCTGCAGATGAAAGAAGTAATGGGCTTACCACTTTAACATGCTGGCACCCAGCCAGGTCCCCACTTACCGTGTGAACTGCCTCGCCAAATGTGCCAGGAGCCTCCTGTACGAAGGCCAGAGAAATGTGACTGTGGGCTCATGCTGGGAAGCAATTTGGTCCATTTCAACCATCATGTCATGGCAGCAGAATACACAAATATAGACTAGACTTGTCCAGGGGAGCTTTTCTCTCATTAACCTTGAAGGATGACGCACATCCCGTTGACGGCTGCTCTGGAGCCTGTGACTATGAGAGGCCAGGTTTGATGAAGCAATAGGACTTAAACAGCAGACATTAGTGCTGCCAAATGCATTTTTCTTCTTAATACACTAAAGATCCATCATAAATACTGAGAAGGGTGTGTGTGGGAGGGACAGAAAGGCTGGGATGATGTGGCAGGGTGCATATGCTTGCCATTGGGTGCTGTCTGTCGTCAGCAAAAGAGAATAATCTCTCAGTTCTCACCTCCTAAGAAGTTAGCAATCTCTCTGTCTCTGTCTCTTTTTCTCCTCTCTCTCTCTCTCTCCACATGCACACACCTCCAGTGTGAGTTCTCCTCTGCCATTCACAAGGCAGACTCATATTTTGGCTTTGATCTCATAAGAGGTCAGTAGCAGTGTCTGTGATGTGTGTGTGTGTGTGGTTTTCTGTATGGGTTCTGTGATCAGAAGAGGGGCAGAAATGCTTGTGATGAAAGATGTGTAAACAGTTCTGTGCAGAGACAGCTGATAGGCAGTGTCTTCTGCAAATGATGCTAAGGGAAAGACTGTCCTCAAAGCCATCTCAGTCATAGTGCTATTTATGGCTGGAGTGGCAGAACACTCTTCACCTGGATGTCAGGTTGCTAGAAGGGACAGTGGATTTTCCTAGGAAAAAGATTATTTCAGGAAAGAAGCATGGTTTAAACAAGGCTGAGGTTCTGCTCCTGGCTGTGGCATTTAGGAGAGAAGTGGCAGCCGCTGAGGGATGAGGACTCCAGCTATGTACAGGGTTCCTGGTTTCCCACAAATTGACTTCATGTGCTGCTGAGGCACAAACACTCTCTTAAAGAAGTTCTGCAAAGATAACTGTTGACCTTTGCTGAGCTACCTTGCAGGTAGAGCCTTATAAAGGAGACTTTATAATATACCAAAGAGAAAGAAGCCCTGTCCTTGGTTCCAAGGATGGGAAGAGGAGAGGAACACAGGCTATCTGGGGGTGAAAAGTGGTAATGATAATGAAAGCAAATATGGAATATATTAGCTTCTTTAATTCTCACGATGGGCCCAAGAGGGAGCTTCTATCATTATTCCCATTTTTACTGAGGAGGAAACTGACACATGGCAACTTATTCAAGGTCACTGAGCAACATTTAGCAGAGCTTGGATTGGACCAAGGCAATCTGGTTCCAGGGGCCACATTTTGAATCATGGTGCTATACAAGCCATTTTATAAACAAAGAGCAACTGAACTGGACAATGGATAGCAGCCTCAAAGGACAGGAGGAAGCCAGGCCAATAGGAGGAGGAGGAGGGGACCCCCAAACTATATCTGAGCTGCAAAAGCTTGTTCATAATCTAATGAGAGAAGCCACACACATAAACACTCATGGAAAAGGCTTATAACTCTGACAAAAACATACATAAATTGAATTGACATTAAAGGTAAAACTACACCTCAACTGGGGAAGGAACATAGGTGTGGAAATAAGTTTCTCCCCAAGGTTTCTTCCTCTTCTTCTTGGAAGAGAAAGTGACCTCCAAATGAACCAGGTTTGAGGAGAGGAAGGAGGATGAACCGAGAGTCCATGAGGCAGCTAGGGTTGCTTGTTATAGCACCAACCTTAACCTGAGTCTTGCTATTTCTGTTTTTGGCCATGGCAACATATCACTCCTTCCTACCTCACCCTCCTTTCTATCTCTACATATCTCAGTTGAAAACCAATCTTTTCTTTTTTGGAATTGTCTTCATCATTTACTTCTTTTCTGCTCTGATTTACCTTTAGAGCTGTATTAACTCTGACGTTCTACTATTGTCTGAGAAGCGTAATCTGAAAGGGGACAGACATTTTTGACCAATAGATTAAGTAGCAGGAATTCAGGAAGGGAGTAAGGAGGATAAGGAGAGAAAGAGGGAGGATGATATTGGAATTAATTTCAATACAACAAACAGGTAACGAGCATTTGTGATGTGCCCGTTGCTGGTACTTGGTGCTGGGAATATAAAAGATAAGTTCTCCAACACCACACTGTGAGCTCCCAGAGGGTAGGAACTGACACTTAAATGTGTAATGACATGACAATCTGATTAAATTTAATAAAGGCGTGGGCAATGGGTCTGGGAGCACAGAGAAGGTTGCCTTTATTTATGTTTCAGGCAGAAAAGCTGGGAAAGTTATAGAAGTGATATTTAAGAGCCTCAGGTGTTGGGAAGGAATTTGCTGAATGAAGAAGGGAGGAAGAGCATTCCAGGCAGAAGGAAGAGTTTGAGCAAAGGAGGAGAAGTGCATGACCTTCTCAAGACGTAGTGATTGCTCTGGGTGTGGCCAGGCAGCAGGCGGCGTGGAGGCAGAGGGGCCAGGCAGCCAAAGGCCTTGGATTAGGGCTGAAGAGTTGGGACCTACCCTATAAACAACGTATAGTTGTTGAAGGTTTCTAGACAGAAGAATGGCTTGGGGGGCTGTGTGTTTGAGAGACTTCTTCCCAACCACAGGGTGGAGAATGGGTGGCAGGCCAGTGAGGAGGCTCCTGCCCTGGTCCAAAGGAGAGAGGCTGAGACTCTTAGAATGTCCAAGGAGAGGGCAGAGGTACAAATGCAAGATGGCACCCGTGGACACATTGAAAGTTTAGTGATCCTACACTTGATTCTTCTCGCAGTTTCAGAAATACTACCTCCTTTGTACCACTCTTGGTACGTGCCACCTCCTATACAAAGCCTCTCCTGGTGCTACCAGAGGCAAACAAATTCTCCCTCCTTTGTGCCCTCCTGCTTTATGTGTGTAGCCTTTCTCTCTGGGTTCTCTAGATTTATTTTAATTTGTGTACTCGTTTTGTTTGTTCTCACATGGGTAGGGAAAAGGGCAAAGCTCTGGATGTTTGAAAACTTGTTTTGTACTAAGGATATTGTTCTTGATTGCTGCATTGCCCTGGGAAAATTAATTTACCTCTTTGAAGGCTTGGTGTCATCATTTCTGGGAATGTAACATTTAGGCTGCAGGCAGGAAAACAGCACCCATGCAGGTGTCTGCAAGGGAGAGTGAGGCAGCCCAGAGGTTAGTAACAGTAGGCAGCCAATCCCAGGCTAGAGGTACAAAGGAAGGAGGTAGTATTTCCTGAACTCAGGAATCAAGACCACCCAGTGGGAACTGGGACCACCCAGAAGACTCAGCTACTCTCTTAGAAGTGATACGGGGCAGAGAAAGAGAGATGCAGTACCCTACTTCTCCCATCCTCTACCCTCTAACCCCTTGACAGTGCCTTCCGTTGGCTGAACCTACACGGTAGCCAGTTGGCCAGGAGGTTTGGGAGGTGGAGTTCACAGGGAATAGTGGGGAATGGATCTGAGTGTGCCAACTGGCAAATGACCAATATAAAAAATTCACAAAAAGTCTCTGGCCCTACTTATTTCACAGGATATCAGTTAGAATCAAATGAAATGATACATGTAAAAGCCCTTTGTAAATTACAGAGAGCTATGCAAATGTACGCTGGTATATTCACGTTTTATCTGGCAGTCAAAAAAATCTGCATTTAGCTGTTATGAATTCTCTGCTGACCTGGATCTGAAGTGGAGTGTGGACTGACTGCTTCTCGAGGGATAGTCCTTGAGGTGTGGACGTCCAAAAGGCTGCCAGGGATGTCTGGGGGCACATGGACTGTACCGTGTGATACAAAACCTTCCTGCAGAAGATAAGCTTCTGGGCACCTGTCTCTAAACCTTTCCCATCAGACCAGTTGAGTGCACATGAGCATGGCTCGTAGGCACCTGGGCATGGAAAAGGACCTCTCCAGCTCTGCCCTTCTTGGCAGTGAGCAGTTAGCGGCCCTGAGGAATGAAGCCACAGCCGAGTGAAGGCGTTCCATGCTGTCCAGGTGATGGAGGGAGGAAATTGAAAAGACATTCAAGAGTTTCCTGAGCTGAGCTCTTCCCCTAGCATCATGCTGTTCATACTACACATGTTGTTTTGCTCCTGATGATAAAGGAGATGCTAGGGTAATAGGGCTGACGCAGTTGAACCCTGTAGTCTCTTCAGCCCCATTAACCCACATCCACCCAAATGGATTCTCAGCCAGTCCCATTAAGACATCCTGTCAGAACCTTCCCACGTCATTTGCAGAGTGAAGTGAATATCAATAAAATTGTAACGAGTAATTATCCCAGCTTCACTGACTCTTACTGGAAATGAAGCCAGCCCTCTGCTGTGGGTATTGACAAAAACTCCATTCCTCCTGGGAGCTGCTTTTCTTCCGCTGGGTAAATCTGATCCATCTCAGCAGATACCAGGTGTGCTAGTTTAACATTCATGGGCACATGGGCAGCAGGTTTGGAAAGGGGACTCTAGCCCCTGTCCCTTCTGGGCAGTGAGAAGCCCTGATGAATGAAGAGGTTCACTGCTCTCCACGCTGCGTCAACAGAGCGAGTGTTGCACCAGGAGGCAGGGCACCTGGCTTCCCCAGTCACTATCGACTACTCCCACCGTCCACCCTAACTCCATCAGGCCTCATTATTCCATCTATACCACAATAGGTCCTTTCCAGTTCTGGCATTCTATGAGCTGAGAGACAGAACAGCCACAGAGAAATCAATCTGCCAGAGAGTGATGCATTTGACAGTGTAGACACTCGAGGCCCGGTCTACATTGCCAGGCATTTGAGAAGCAGACAGAATGGGAGCTTTGCTGGCAGTTTCTCACCGTGGCTTTCTGACCACAGAGAGCCCAAGCATCACACCTGCTCTGTGGTCATGACAGCCAGCACTGGGATACCAGAGCTGTGAGTGACAAGGTGTTAATTCAAGGCTTAGGGAGTGTGATGGTTAGGGACTGGCCCACCCTTTCCTGTTCTCTGCCTGCTGTCTGAAAGGCTGTCAGCACCTCCTGCTGATGGCTGGCTGCTGGTGACTTGCTGCCTGCTTCCCCCACATGAAAGTGTGGAACACAGCACGAAGGTGTTTCTGCAGCACCTGGGCTGCTGGCTTGGAACGTGCTACCTGTGGGGGAAGACTGGAGGACTGCTCAGTTGCTGTTCTGTGCTGGGATTCCAGCCTCCTCTTCCTGGCTGCTCAGGAAAAGACAGCACAGGCCAAGCTGGGGTTCCAGAAGTATGAATATGTGGGGAGGTGGGCATGGGTGCATGTGAGTGTGTGTTTGAGTGCGTGTGTGTGTTTGAGTGCGTGTGTGAGTGCGTGAGTGCGTGTGTGAGCGCATGTGTGTGAGTGCGTGTGTGAGTGTGTGTGTTTGAGTGCGTGTGTGTGTGAGTGCGTGTGTGAGTGCGTGTGTGAGTGTGAGTGCGTGTGTGTTTGAGTGCGTGTGTGAGTGCGTGTGAGTGTGTGAGTGCATGTGTGAGTGTGTTTGACTGCGTGTGAGTGTGTGTTTGAGTGCGTGTGTGTTTGCGTGCGTGTGTGTGTGTTTGAGTGCGTGTGTGTGTGTTTGAGTGCGTGTGTGAGTGTATGTGTGAGTGAGTGTGCGCCTGTGTGTAGCAGTGTAGTAGCGGAGGAACAAAGAGGTACAAAGAGGAATGGAATCAGTGAAGCTCAGATCCTTAAAGTCACTTTAAGTTGGGTTTTCAGGGGGGATTTTACAGGCTTCTGGGGAACCCCAAGTAGGTGGTATTCCTCTGCCCTGCCTCCCTCCCGTGCCAAAGCTCACACAACAAAGGTAGGCTGCAGGTCTTGCCTGGCTGCCAAAGCTTTCCTAGAGCCAGGGGGCCAGGAACAAGTTCTGTGGGGACCCCTGTTACCTGGCTACACCATGTGTTAACCCAGTGCTGGCCAGGTTGGTTCAGATGACACAGGTGGTGAAGTGGGTACTAGTTTCCTCCGCTCCTCCCCAACCGGGCATCCTCCTTAAAGCTGAACACTTGGCTGAAGAGAGGGTCTGACCAGACAATTTATATTACAAAGTATAGAGCAGGATGCAACTTATAAAAGCCCTTCCTTATCTATTTTTCATGTGAAGTGGAGAAGGTGGAGTTATTATTCTCATTTTAGGGATAAGGAAACTGAACCCAGCAATGAACTTGGAGTGCCAAAGTTCAAACCCAGTACCTCACTCCATCCCAGGATCTCTGTCTCTTACATGAGGGGACAGTGGCTTCCAAAATAATTCCAAGGGTGCTGATAAAGGAGCATCTCCGCTCCTTTTTCCTCCATGAAACTTGGAGAAAGGCAGGTGTGGGACCAGGAGGGCTGCACAGCTTGCAGTATGCCTGCCTGGCCATGGTGACATGTGACAGCCACATGGTAGAGGTGAGGGTGGCACAGTTCTGGAATTCTTATTCCCTGGGAAGGTGCATTGCCCCACTCCTGTTAGCAGCAAATATAAGACTTGGGCTATGTGTCTGAACTGGTCTTGGGTAGTCTCCATTTCACAGACTCCAGTCTGAATTAAGCATCAACCTGCTTGATCTTTTTCCATAAGAAGTAGTAACCAACATTGAATTGCACTATGTGCTTCACATGTATTCATCTCTCACTGTAAACCCACACATTTGGTATAGAATTATCCTTGTTTACAGACGAGAAAACAGGAATAGAGGGAAAATAAATTGCCTTGAGTGCATGCCTCTAAAGCTGATGGAGCTAGGATTCAAATCCAGGCCACAAGGGCTACTTTGGATCCTCCCTCTCCATCATGCATATACCACACCATCCTTCCCATGCAGCTCATCCACCATCATCTGCTCACCTGCCTGTTTTCCTACTGGCCTTAGGTGTGAACAGAGTACATGTCCTGTTCATGATTCCATGGCCGGATCAAAGAGCTCCTCCTCACTCCTCCCTGCAAGCACCTGTGCATGAACCCACCCATACCTGGGGCACTTGTTATAAGGCTCAGGGAATTATGTGACTTGCCTCCAGGAATCAAGGCGCCTCCAGCTTGGACCAGTTTCCTGGATCCCAAGGCCTCTTTCTCTTCTGCCCCTGGGCCACATTGCTAAATATATCCCTGTATGAACCCATTTACCATCTGTAGCTAAAATGCCTCTTGACTGTTCTGAGCCAAGATTAGAAGTCTGTCTAAACGTCAATGATTATTTCATCGGCTAAAAGCAAATTGACCAAGCTCACCCTCCCTGCAGACTAAGAAGGCTCTCAGTCTATTTGTAGCTCAGTCTGATGTGCAAGAGGCGGCTGCTCTGAGTTGAGGCTGCCTGCTGCTTTCTGTACCAATAGGGTTTGCTGAGCGGGTCATTGATGTGTTTAGTCTGGGATTAGTAGATACTTTGGTATAAGTCAGCAGACTCGGGTTATCGAAGCAACAATGCCCCGGTGCTTGCACACCCTGCAGGGCCACCACAGCAGAATCCCATGGGGGTGGGGAGCTCAGGTGGGCAAGTCCCTCATGGAGGTCTGCACACCTTGTTCAGCAGTGGACATCCTGATGCTCACAAGGAAGAGTTTGAACTGAACATGGTCTTTGAGAAACGTGCAGAGATGTGACCAATTGTACAGGACCCTGAGGGATCGACGAAGTCTCTGTTTCTGTCTATTTTGAATTTAAGGAATGAGAGCAGGGACTTGGGTGGAAGAAAAATGCACAAAGAAGTACAGAAGTTTTCCTTTCCAAAAAACTTCAGCAGAATTTTTTTTTAAAAGTGAGAGCTAGAGAAAAATACTTATATATGTTTCAGAACATGTTTTTTCTTTCTTTTTTTTTAATTTTAACTTTGTTTTTCCTTGTGATCCCAAGCTTCTCACCTCCACCGAGTTTCCGGCTGCCTCCTCTGCGCTGAATAATACAGTAGCCAGCCCAGTAGACACAGCCCATTGCTGGGCAGGAGGCTCCCAATACACAGGGAAGGGATTGTTCATTTCATACATCATTTAAAGCCTGCTGCAGTGATTTACCGGTGTCAGCCTGTCTTTGGAGCACAGAAGGAGAAGAAAGAGAAATATGTATGCTTCCATTGTGTATCTGGACCTGGATCTTAGAGAGTGATGGGGGAGGGAGGCCGACTGGGTTTTCTTCCTTATCTAAACACTGCGGAGAAGCCAAAGATTACCCCACAGTTAGGAAGAAAGAGGATAGGAAAGTGGTTGATGTCTTGCAGGGAGATGCTGCTTCCCTTTCCACCTGGCCTGGCCAGGCAGGGAGGGCTGCCTTCCTACAGCCTGTGTATAGTCTCCTCATTCCCAGGTCCTCTCACTTAGATCCATCCTGCACCCCTGTAAGAATTATCTTCTCAAAACCATGCTGATACCATGCTACTAAGGACGTAACACCTTTTCCCCAGGCAAATGGAATCGCTCCTTGCCAGTGACAGTGAAATAGGAGGGGGGCCGGGAAGTGCAGGAAGAAGGATGGGGTCCCTGGGGGGGGCTCCACCCTCTGGCCTGTGCCCACGGGCCTAAGTGAGGACAAGCCACTCCTGTTTTCACGCCCAAAGGTTGCATTTTCCGAGACCACTCTGGCCTGCCACCCTCCTCACTGCCCCCCCACACACACTGACCAGCCTATAAAAACCCCGAGACCCTAGCAGGGAGGAATACACCAGCAGAAGGACACAGTGGCAGACGCTGGCAGGCCATCAACGGCAGGACGAGAATGACGCAGACGCGAGGAGAATTTATTTGGTCAGAGGAGAGTCTGACCACTGCGTGGCCTGACTCCAGGGAAGACCACCTTCCCATTCCATTCCCCTTGTGGCCTCCGCATCCACCTTGCCGAGAACTACCTCCACTCAATAAAACCTTGCACTCATCCTCCAAGCCCACATGGGATCTGATTTTTCCAGTACACTAAGGCAAGAACCCAGGATACAGAAAGCCCTCTGTCCTTGCGATAAGGCAGAGGGTCTAATTGAGCTGGTTAACACAAGCTGCCAACGGACAGCTAAACTGAAAGAGCACACTGTAACACACGCCCACTGGGGCTTCAGGAGCTGTAAACACTCAACCCTACATGCTGCCTTGGGGTTGGAGCCCAAAAAACGTTCCCCACAATCTGCCTGTCTGCCTGCTCCCCCCAGGGGTTTGAGCAGCGGGGCATCTATGCAGCGAGCCACACTCCTATCACACAGCCTGCCATGGGGATAAAGGAAATTCTCCCGTTTCAATAGCAGGTCTTCAGGACCTGTGCTGGGACTCTCCTCTCATTACCTGCACTCCAATGGGTCCAGGTGCCTCGAGGTTCTACACACGGCCTGCCTTAGCCATCAGGCTTCCCATTCGGCTGTTCTCCAGCTTGGAATGCTGTTTCTCCTCTCTCCCACTTCCAAAACTCTTTCAAGGACCAACCTAACACCCACTCCATCTGTTACTCTTTCTGTAACTCAGCCAGCCCTTTCTGATAAGTCACTTCCCCAAACTTCCATAGCACTTCAAGTCAGCAATGACTGGGATTAGATAACAGATAATACTAGTATTAGTTAATAACATTAATACATTTCACCGAATGATTACCGAGTGCCATGCCCCATCAGGATGTGCTGGTAATATTTCCAGGTGAAAGAAATGAAGGCACAGCCTCTCTTGGATACTTATTTAAAGCTACATTCAGCTAGGATGTAAGTTGGCCAGAATCTGAACCCAGACTTTCTGCCTTTTTTATGAGCCTTTAACCACAATTTTTACTGCCGCTCAGTCCAGTATGACTTCTAAGGTAATTGATTTTTAGGTTTGAGTTTAGTTCTGCAATAAAACTGTGGACTCCCCACGGATGCCATGCATGTCTTATATATCTGTATCCCCTACAGCACCTAACCTCAGAGCTAGACATGCAATAGGCATTCAATATAAACTTGATCATTCATTGATTGGCCAGACAGCTCCCTGACTTGAGCACTTCTCTCTCTTCCCATTATGGAAATGTCTGAGTAATACAGCTCTCAAGGAAGACTGGGGGTGGGGGGTGGGTGTGAAGCGGGGGTGGGAGAGCATAGCCAGTTTGTCTTTAGGAGAGTCTCGTATTGGACTACTTCAAATTAACCAGTCAGATGTCTATTAAGCATGTGCTATGGCATACCACACACATGGAGGATGAGAGAGAAGGAAAAACATTCCTGTTACGAAGGTGGCAATGCTCAGATTGGAAGAAGCTGCACCAGTGCGGTCCAGCAGGGCAGCCCTTGACTGAGGGCTTGGCTGTGTGGGGCAGAGTGTGGATAAGGGCGTTAGAGGACCCCGTAGATCGATGTGGGTCGTCAGCAAGGCTGGAGAGGGCTCAGGAGAAAGTGTGGCTGGTGGGGCTTTGAGGGAGGGCCACGTCGCCCTAGGTGGAGAGCAAAGGAGGGCTGGGAGAAGGAAATTGCCCCTGATTCACAGCCTTCCCTCTTTGGTGACTGTAATGGTGGGGCTGGGATTCATTTAGCCTTTTCTCCCACTCCTGATGACTACTAAGCTCTGATGCTTGCTCAGTCTTTCTTACAGGTTGGTTAGGAGGGTAAAGTGTAGGAGTGTCATATACTATAAGCCCGGATTCTATCCACATGTAGGGGCCGATCATTATTTGTTATTGTCTCTGATGCTGTTAGTGCCCTTTCTTATCCTCTCAGCAGCATTCAACTCTACTGGCAGTCTGCTTGGGGCTGCTATAACCGAATACCATACACTGAGTGGCTGACAAACAACAGAGATTTACTTCTCACACTTCTGGAGGCTGGGAAGTCCAAGACCAAGGCACTGGCAGATTAGGTGTCTGGGGAGGGCCTGGTTTCCTGCTTCATAGACAGCTGCCTTCTGGCTGTATCCTCACTTGCTGGAGGGGCAAGAGAGCTCCCTGAGGTTTCTTTTATAAAAGCACTAATCCCATTCATAAAGCCTCCACCCTTGTGACCTAATCATTTCCCAAAGCCCCAAGTCCTAATACTCCTAATCTCATCACCTTGGAGACTAGGTTTCAACATATGAATTTTGAGGGGACATAAACATTCAGTCCATTGTATCTACATAGAAAAAGCTGTTTGTGGTGAACATGGGTGACCCTCTGCCTGAGGGCTTTTTTTTTTTTTTTTTTTCTCCTAGCAGGACATGGCAGAATCCCTGGGTAGTTAATGCCTCAAATGCAGCCCTCAGCCAATGACAGAGGGAGGTGGGGGAATGAACACCCGGCTTCCTTGCCCCTTGGTGGGGATGATGCTGAGGGCTATTCTGTACAGGATGAGACCTGGCTGCCATACTCATGACTTGCTGGATAAGGAACCGTTGCTGCCTACCTTCACTCCCTGTCTTCCTGCCCACTCTCCTGCAGTGTCTCCAGGGATCACCTCTGACATGAGTTACTGGCACTGGAATTGCAGGGTCTATTTCTGGGCGACTGAAAGTAGGACATGGTAGTCTTTAATAATTGAAGAGATATGCATATTTGGTGAATAGATAAATTCCTCTAATTGTACAAATGGGTTCAGCTCAAGTCTAGTAAACCAGGTGGACCCATTTCCAGTGTCTAGACCCAGCCCTGTCATGTTGTCCATGTTCACAGGGAGCTGGCTGCATCCGCCTCAGGGTGCTCTCATCATAGTGTTCAACTTACACACCCCTGACCTCACCCCACTCCCAACTAGGATTGTAAAGTCCTGGAAAACAGGGGCCTTGCCACACTGAGTCTTTACTGTAAGACCCTCGCACAGAATAAGTGTTCGCTGAATCACTTTCTAATTGGATCCAGTTAAGCAGAAGAAAACTCCCCTCTGTGCAAAGGCAAAGCTATTTCCAGTGCCTTTCTCTGGCTTCCAAAGTGATGAAATTCAGTTCCCAAGGCCACAGTGGTTCACTAGAACCTTGTAATGGGTTCATTATTTATCCTGTTGTACCACCCCTGAGTGACCTTTCAAATGGTCTCACAAATGTCCTTTCCACAATTCATTTCAAATGCCCCTAAACAGTCCTCTAATCTTGAGTAAAGTTCATTGGGCCCATGTACAGCTGGCACTTCCTTTGAATCAGGGGCCCATGAGCACTGTGATTAATGACCAGGAGTGAGTGTGGGCGAGTGTGGGGCACAGGGTCGTATGTCCTGGGGCAGGGCTCCCTGTTCACGGTCTAAAGCCACATCCTGTCTGCCCCAGGCTCATATTCTGCCAGGGACCACACTGAACACCCTCCTCAAGATGCCAGGGCTGCCTGTGCCATGTACTGCAAGACAGCTGGGATTGTCATGGACATCAATATGAAAGGCAGTGCAGGAGCCAGGCTGGATTCCAATGCTGTGGCTGGCTGGAGGTCCCATCCAGTCAAGTGGCTCGCCACTTAGGTCTGAACCAAAGAGCTAAACAGGAGCTGGAGAGCTCTCCCTGAAGCTTCCATCCCTGGCCTTTAGAGACCGAAGTCTCCTGAAAGGCAGGTCCTTGCAAGAGGTAAAAGGCTCAGTAGAATGCAGCTTCCTGGCCCGGCTCCCATAGTGGCCCCTCCTGGCTCCACCATACCCTCACCATGCCAGGCTTGGCAGGCCCCAAACTGGACAGACAGAAGCTCCCTCCAACCTCGTTTCCAATTCCACTCATGGCCGCCATCTATTTGCACAGCTCATCTGGGAAGGCAGCAGTGATAATGTGAGCAGGAGTCCAAGAGGTCACGAGGCATACCCAGCTCCTGCCATTACAGAGGAGGACAGCTACCCAGAGCACACTGCCCCTCCCCACTTCCAGTGTAGTTCCTGCACTGCCCCTCCCCACTTCCAGTGTAGATCTGGGCCCCTGTACATGTGGCAAGACCTGGAAGTGGGTTCCCTGCACAGAAATTTTCTGCCTACCTTACAGAAAGACTGGACCAAAACTGTTCTACATGGCCACAACAGGCTTGGATCTCATTGCTCCAGAGAAGCAGGTCTGCCCATGCCCTGGAAGCTGGCTCAGTTTGGGCTCTGGAGCCAGGAGCAGACATCAAGAGCATCCACGGAGCCTCTTTTGATGAAAGGAGCAGATGATGCGAAATACAGTCCAAATGGACTCTTCGGAATCAGTTCATCCCTCAAACAGCGGTGTACTGCCACTCAAAGCATGCCGAGGACACTGCCGTCTGCTCTGACACCTGAGTTTGAGTTGTGTGTCCTTTGGAAGGAAGAATAAGCAAAAATAAGTGACTCCCCCTCACCGCTCATAAAGAACTTCTAAGTCTGAGTGGGGAGGGACATGCAGGACCACCTTTGAGAGAAAATCAAGAAGGAGGCCCTCAGCACAAATGGCAGGCATGCTGGGTTGTTTAGGTCCTGTTTCATGCTACATTATGCTGTGTGACTTTGGGTAAGTCACTTACCCTCTCTGAATCTTCAAAGGCTTCATATTTGCACAAAACTCTTCCACACTTCACAGAGTTTGAAAAACCACAAGAAAGAAAGGAAGAAAAACTTTTATCCAAGAGCAGGTATGAGGCTTCTGAATAAAGCTGAAAGTAGTCATTCTCCTGGACTCTTTCAGGAGAGCTGAGTTACCTTGTAGATCTACTATGAGAAAACCTGGATTATTGAGGGGCAAAGGGGCTTTTTGGTCATTTGCAGTAGCCTCTCCCTTGAAGAAGCAGGAATCACCCTTGTGGCATTTGTTTGAGCATCTTCATGATAATGGGCAGAAAGGAGCTTGTCTTTCTTGGGTCAGGAGCAGGGAGGTGAGGAGTGATCAGAGGAGACCTGAGTCTGGCACTGAAACCAGCTATACTTTCATCCAACACATTTCATCAGGTCCTGAACACTGAAGACACCAGTGAACAAAGAAACCCCCAGTGCCTGTCTTCATGGGGCTTACATCTGTAGGACACCCTGCCATCAGAGAGTGGAAGAGGAGGTGTGACTGGAGTGACTCAGGATATCCTCCTGTTTCACCACAGTTCCCTGGACTTTGTACTTAATGCAGACAGTGGCTATGAGGTAGGAAATCAGCAGAGCTTGTTTTCCCAGCAGTGGTCACAACCTGGGTTGTCACCTTGCTGATTGGAGCAGGATCTGGTAGAAACAAGGTGCAGTGAACAAGCTGGCCAAAACCAGCAGACAGTGATGAAAGTGACCTCTAGTTGTCCTTACTGCTCATTAACATAAAAAGATACTTCTAGTAGTGTCATGACACTTTACAAATGCCACATCAATATGCCATGGCAATGACCTGAAAATTACCTTGTATGGTTCCAGAAACTCCCTGCCCCTTTTCTAGAAAGATCTAAGTAACCACCTCTTAATTTGCATGTAAATAAAGGGGGTATAAACACAGTTGTCAGCAGCCCATATGCTGCTATTCTGGGCATGGGCACGGGGCTTATGGGGTAGCCCTGCTCAGCAAGGAGCGGCTCCCCTGCTGCTGCTGTATGCTGCCACTTCAATAAAGTTGCAAACTGATTTCTTTCACCATCATCTCCCCATTGGATTATTTCCTGGGTGAAGCCAAGAACCCTCCCGGACTAAGCCCCAATTTGGGGGCTCACTTCACCTGCATCATTTACATCAAACAGCCCCTCTAAGGGACCTTAGGCCTTGTTATCTTTGAAAAAATGCTCCAGAGTGTCTATCTTTTCTTTCTCTGTCTCCCTCCTATCCCACCCCATCCTGGGCTTGTTTTCATCTTTGTCAGTGTGGGTACTTTCCTGCTCTGTGCTGCCAGAATGGTGCTGAATATGAATGAGAAAGTAAATTAGATACTGATCAGCTCTCCATTTCCATAGTGTGTTGAATAATACCCCATGACAACTGGGGTTTGAAAGGTAGCCCAGCTCTGGGAGCAGGCCTCCTGGGCATCTAAGTGACGGCCACTGTTCACCAGCTGTGCCGAGTTACTACACAGCCTGGAGGTCAAGTCCTTCTCCCATAATCACTTGGATGGAAAATTAAAGCAGCCTGCTCCCTCAATGGTTATACATTCTGGCACAGAAATTAACAAATTCCCCCAGAATCCATAACAGATACATCTTTGTTCAGCCAAAGAACTTTGATATAAATTGTAGCTTTTTAGGACGGCTCTGTCAAAAGTGTAATATATCATGGAATAGTGAATACAAGTTCAAAAGTACATATAATAATATAATTAAGATAGCTTGACAAGAATGTATTTTAAAAGTATAAAATACCTGCAGGTATAATAGCTTCATAAAGTCTGTCAGATTTACTTCTGCTGTGAAGAAATTTAAAATGTTTTACTTTAATGTGATGCAAATGAAGGCTGAGGTATGCATATAACACAGTCCTTAAAAAATAGGTAGAGGGAAAAGAATAAAAGTCAGATTCAGGCCAAACAAGACATTCAACTTTGCGGGTGACTGGATAATAGATCAAGCAAACAGATTGGGGAGCGATGCCGGGCTGTTTGTAGAAAACACCAATTTCACATTTCCCTCCTTTGCTGGCTGCAGGAAAGTATGTGTTTTTATTCAAAATTAATGATTCCCTTTGTGCATTTTTCTTTTTGCTCACAAGAGTCAAGCATAATTCTTGTTTAAAGCAAAAGCAATTTTTATATAATTACTAGCTCATGAAAAATTATTTTTCAATGTATTAAAAGCTGAGGAGAAGAGTGGGCGAGTCATACCCTGCACACACATGTCCGGAACACCTCAGGTCCACAAAGAAGAGCTGCCTCCAGGTGAACAGGAGTCCAGGCATCTGTCCAGCCTCATCCATACACTGAGCAACAGTATCCCTCACTTGGCTGACTGGGTGCTTGGACAAAAATGCTTTTTCAGGCAAAGAAGCAGTAACTGCCTACCTCGTGTACAAGAACACCAACGTATGGAATTACAAGATTAATGCAATCAGCAGGGCCACATATTGGGGCACCCAGACCACCTTCCACTTCTAACTCTCCTGCTAAAAACTTTTTTTTCCAAGAATTCTATCTCCCCAGCCTGGTGGTTTGCACCGTCAAGACAAACCCAGTAATGTCCACATCTTTGCACCTCCCCTTCCTGTGCAGATCTGATGTACTAAGGTGATGCAAAGGCACCTATCCCCAACCGTTACTTAAATGAAACCTTCTGGCCTGATAGCATTTGCCAAGCCTTCATTGCTTTCTCATTTTCTCCTTCCCCATTGGCATTAGATCGAAAGGTCTCTGAGTTAGCTAGCTACCTGGTCTCAGGAACTCTCCTAAACTTCCCCAGCCTTGGTCATGGTTTACAGTAGAGTCAAAAGTCCCTTCCCTTGAGACATGGCAGAAAATTCTGATATTTCAGCTCTCCAACCATGCTTATGAGGGTAGGTGCTTGCCAAAGCAAAAAAGTTAAAGAATGGAGTGGGGAGAGCCTTGCAACAAGAGGCATCTCTTATTCAGGGTAAAAATTAGAAGCTTGAATCATGAAACAGTGTAGTTTAAAAATCAGCACTGCCGGTGCCTGTGCTGCTGATGACTGCACTCGGAAGAATTTTCAAAGTAAATGTACTTTTCACCATTATCTCACTCATTTGCATTCTGCTCCATTTGGATTCTGAAACTCAACTGGACGCTTTATTTTCAGGGTAGGTCTGCATGATGGCAAACAAACAGTTTGGGAAGGAATTAGCCATATGGGCCTGGGCATTATTTTCTTAATGTGGGAACTGGGTCAACCCTCTACAAAATGTTTCCTCAAATACTTAAACTGGCACACTTTCCTTTTGAGAGGGGAGGTTTTTAGAATTAAGCATCCCAGTTGGCTGTGCGTGGAATGGTGGCTGCATAGATTCCAGCCCCCAGAGGCTCATGAAACATCAAAGGTGAAGCAACGTCAGACACAGCCTGGTCTGGCCTCCTCATTTTCTGACTAAGACATACAGGCCTAGAGAGGTGGAGACCTGGGCAAGATCATATAGCCAAGGACCGAGTCCATGTCATGCTCCCCTGTGTCTCACTGCCCTAAATCGGGAGAGGTCTGTGTCTGCCCCTTCCTTTTCCTCCCTATGTCTAAGAACACTCGCTGTCCTGTAGGGGGCTCCTCATCTCCATGTCTGGGCCCCAATCCATTACCCCAATCCTGTGTGATTTTAGAGGTGGCAAGTGTATATCAATCAATCAATCAATCAACCAACCAGTCAACCAATCAACCAATATAGTCTTCAGCACACCCTCCATATATGACCTTGTGTCCAAAGCGTAGGCCATTGGCTCATTTTCTCCTTGTCCTTTCTCTGTTCTTCAGAACCAGGGACAAAATGAAAAAAAACACTGAAGAGACCCCCCAGAAACCACTCTTCTCCCCTAGTGAAAAACGAGAGACATAATGTGGGGAATGACACTGTCAGGGGTGTCACAAGTGAAGGATAACAATATATGAAACAGAGCTTTTAAGGGTAACCCATTATTTTTGTAATTTGTTTAAACAAAACTGAGTGACTCTTTAAACTCTAATTCACATCTTGGAAATGCAATGCAGCTATCTCTTGTTTCTCTCTCTGGAGTCGTGGCAATAATTTTAATGCCAGCAGAAGGCATTAGACATTAGAGGTGAGCAAGGCAGAGGAGTCTGGCTTTTATCAGATAATTAAGATGCTACCAAAGTCAAACCTTTATCAACATTAGACTAAAAATAAACTCCTTCCATCCAGTGGGCTTTCTAGCAAGCATTCAAAGTGACAGTGCTCTGGATAAGGTTTTGCTTTTAAAAATTGTTCATTGTTTTTCGACTTTTATTGGCAATCCATTCTCATTATGCCCAATGCATTTGTCTTCATAATATGTACTTCACAATTACAATATCAAAGAGTTTGTATCTACATAATAAAAATGATCTATAGAATAGTACAGGGAAAACATAATAACACAGTGTGATTGTTAATGAAATGAATACTTTGAGGGAAAACATGGCATCCCTTGAGAGAACTTGTTCCTATATCATGAGATGCTAGAAACAGGCAAAGGCTGGGAGGTGAAACCGAAATTGAATCTCGGGTTCCCTGGAGGTAGGGAGTGCAGCATGGCACTGCTTGGCTTTGGTGATGGGAGGGGCACAGGAGGGGTATTGGAGGTGACCTATTGTTGGAAATAATGACTTCAAAGGGCAGCCGTCTTCTACTAGCTCTTCAGAACTTTCTGGCCCCAATACTACTAGCTCAACAGACAACTGAAATGAAGCTCAGGTCTTTTCTCTCAAGAATAAGCATTGGCAAGTTCTTTTCATGGACCAAGATTTGCTGCGGCTGACCTGCAGAGGTGCTGTTCAGGAAGAAACAGATCTGCTGGAGGCAACGATCTCTAGACTCAGTTTCTCAGCCTGAAGGCACGGACTACAGAAAGGGAAAATGTGGAGAAGCAGATAGCAATGTGGTAAAAAGATGCTTGGTGCCCATCTGGATAATTTCATCCTACAGCACACCCAGGGAGAAAGAAGCCACATAGCTGGCAAGTGGGGACACACTGTGCTATCCCTGCTCACTGTTGCACCTGATACACCTATCCTAGTGCTTGGCTTACAGTACATACTCATAAATATGCTTTTTTTTTTTTTTTTTGAGATGGAGTCTTGCTCTGTCACCCAGGCTGGAGTGCAGCGGTGCGACCTTGGCCCACTGCAACCTCCACCTCCAGGGTTCAAGCAATTGTCCTGCCTCAGCCTTCCAAGTAGCTGGGATTACAGGCACCTGCCACCATGCCCAGCTAATTTTTTTGTATTTTTAGTAGAGATGGGGTTTCACCATGTTGGCCAGGCTGGTTTTGAACTCATGACCTGATCTGCCCGCCTCAGCCTCCCGAAGTGCTAGGATTACAGGCGTGAGCCACCGTGCCTGGCCATAAATATGTTTTTAATGAATACAAAAAGAATGTCTTCTTTATGGAGCCAAAATTTTCACAATTGATAACCCTTACAGTAGATTGCAGAAACCTATAAGACAGACTATCACTGAACTCATAAAAAAAGAGTTATATTACTGGGCACCCAGGAAAAGGAACAACAGATAAGGAAGAGGTGCAAGCTGCTGAGGTCTGCATAAGAATAAAGGTTGGTTGTGGCGCTTGGCCAAAGCAGGGCTGGGGACCTCTTGCAGGGCGACGAGGAGATCTGACAGATGTTCCAAATGAGAAAGAGGAGGACAAGCAGACGTTCAGCTCTGTTAAGAGACCATTGATTGAGGAGCACTGTTATGCCTCTTAGTTGACAGCCAGTGGCACGAATCCACTGGTGAGAAGAGTTCTCTTCTCCAGCCAGCCAAGAGCTGCATTACATCTGGAACTGGGCTCAGATAGCAAAAGAGCGTTCTATATATACATGCATTTTCAAAATATTGTGGCTTCTGTACATTCAAGTTAAATGTAAGTCAGGTTGGGCAGGGTTTGGTCAGTAACGGGGCAGAGGAAGTAGATCATTTGGTCTCTGAAACCCAAGCAGTCTGTAGTGAAAGTCTGCAATCCTGCAATGGAAAGAATCTCTTTCCTCCACTCACTCACTTCCCTCCCCAACTTCCCATCCACACCTATATGGACACAAGGTCTACCTCCAAAAATGAAATTCATTATATTTAGAGCTAAAATAATTCCAGAATCAATTGACGTAGATGAAAGCATTTTTGACTTGGCTTATTTGAAAAATTATCCCGTTTTATCAATTTTATTTGGCTAGCATAACTGGTGCATGTGCAAGTATAATTTTGAACAGGGAGAGAACTTAGTTGAATTGTAACTAAAATAATTCTGGGCACAGGATGGTGTATAAAAATACAGGCATGACAGGAACAATGTAACAGAGAAAGTGACATACAGTAGTATGTAATAACAGAAGTATCTTGAACCTATCATCCACATGTTTTTTGTGCCTGAAAAAGCAGAATATTATTATAATAGGTGCAAAAACAGTTGCAGCGTGTTAAGGCTGGAACTCCCCCCTAGAGACATAGTCCAAGCTTCTCACTTCACCAATGATGGGACCTAGAATCAAAGATATGGAGGTGACTCGTCCAAGGTCTTAGAAGTGGGATGAAAACCTGGACACCCTAGGCTTCTAACTCAGTGTTTTTCAATTCTACCCTATGGCCTTTCATTCACAGAGAGATAGGCAGGTAGGTACGTTGATGGAAGACAGATAAATACTTATTCTCCAGGTAGTGTCAGCTTTTAGACAAAATTATTCTGTCTTCAGATTGAACATCCCATAAGCACATCAAAAACTCCCTGTAGGACATTTAAACTTTACTGCAGAGTTAAAAACTGTGGAGAGTTAAAAGTCCCCTGCAGCTATTAAAATAGTGTGTAGTGAGAACAGTTGTATTACAGGTGACTAATGGGGTCTCACCACCTCCCACCCCCATTAGATATATATACTGTTGCATTTCTAAGCAAGATGTCCAGTATTTTTACTCCTGGGGGAGGGAGCAATTGCTGACTACTATTTTTTTCAAAACTGCACTAAAACTTTCTTTTGTAAGAAAAACGAGAGAAAAAAATCAATAGAGCATGAAAGGACATGAAAAGTGCATTTTAACCCATATATAATTTTTTTCTAACAGTGCGATTTTTTAAAGCTCTCTACAAAAAATAAAAGTCAATGTGATTCTCAAAGAAAAAAATGCAACACAACCCTGAATTCAGGAGCAAAAGAAAAAAAAAACAAGAATAATGAAGATCTAAAGATTTGACCTAGTAATTTGAGGCACAGATGAAAAATGGTGTAAGCTCTGGCCACCTCTGGGATTGGCAGGTCAAAGGGGTACATTAAATGTGATGGGAAACACATTCTGTTTTTGGATAGTTCAGCATATATCCATATTAAAGCTTTTAAGCCTCCCAACTCAGTGAAATTACTCCGAGAAACCAAGTGTCCCCTTGTGGACCTGGCCACACTTCTATTTTCGTCCTCAAAGAGAAATGGTGTGGCCAAGAATGTGAGACATCCCTAACAGGGCTCAGGTGAAAAGGAAAGGGGAAAAAAGAGTGCAGGTTAAATGCAATATTAAAGACGATCTCTCTCCTAATCAGTGTATCTTTCTTCCTTACAGCTAAGCAATCTTTGTCAATTACAGGGCATTACTCTGCAGGCCAACCGGCAATTACAATGGCATCTTTCTTCCCATCACTGACAGCAAAGGGAGGAAATAGTCTGAGTCCAGCTAAATGTAAAGAGGGAAACTGGAGCTCATCACGGAGGTAATGTACAGGGAACCTATAACCAGGATGCAGATGCTATATGCAGCTGTTATGCAAAGAAGCTCTTGCTCTCAGAGCTGATGTGTTTATTTAGACTAGTGCTGAGGCTGAGTTAATGCCAGTTTCCAGAAAGGATTAATATACACTAACGTGGAATTACTGAACCGTCACACACATCTGGAAATGTATGTTTCAACTCTTTCTTTTTTGTGGCAGCCAGCTGTACCGGAGAAGCAGCTGATGAGGTTGCAGTTGCTCCTGGGCCCCAGCTGATTTGATGTCATGCCGTTAAGATAACTATAGGTCCTTCTGATCAACACCATGGTCCTTTCTCCCCTCTGATCCTTTCACCACTCCTCTTTATTTTGGTCTCACAGTGAGTTTCTTACCTTCATTTTCAAGTCCAGGCTATAATCTCTTCCATTTCTCCCATTTCTCTCACCTCCAAGCCACTTTCCATGTAGCCATGAGGCCTCTCAAAAGAATGGAGAGATAGCCTTGATATTTGTGGTTCAGTCATTTAACCTTTGCACATTTCTGAGTGGGTCATCTGAGAGAATTATCCTTTGGCCAAGAGACCACTTAGAGGAATGGTAAAGGACATCTCAAGGAGCTCAACTGGTCTTATGACCCTGAACCTTCTGTCTCCAGAGACAAACAACATCATGCCCCTCACTGAGTGGTTAGCCTGCTTTTGTGCTCCCATTTCAGAACAGACCATTCCCCCACCACCCCGCCGCCATCTCAGTTATTCAAGAAGGAAGCCATGGTATGTACTGGGAAGTCTTGTGCCTATGGAAATTCCTTGAGATAGAAAAGCTAAAGGCATGAGGTATTGTGAAAGCAATTTGGCTGCCCTACTTCTCTCTTTCCTTTCTCTGTGCCTGTCCTTTCTTGGATGAATGGATTAGCCAATACAGATGTGCGAATTATCCTTAAGTATCCTGGAAAGGCTTTGCCTATTTGACCTTGGGTGCGGCTGTAAGTGTTTGCTCATCAGTAATTACAAAGAGCCTGGAATCTAGAAGTACCTTCCCAATATCAACCACAAAAGCAATTTCTAGTTGAAGATTCTGCTGGGGACTCTTCGACAACTGTTTTCTTTGACCCACTCACCCCACCTTTTGCTTCTTAGACATCCAACTGTTCAGAAGGATCCCACTGAGAGAACATCAGTCAAATCGTCCCTTCGTCTCTGGTTCCAAAGTACCCTGCAATCATTTGTGCCTTCCTCCAAAATACCTCTTTCACTGCCACATCAGAAGAGCTCTTTAAACGCTAACAAGAACCAATATTTTAGATTCTACTGCTAGGCATTTCAGCTCAAGTCACTTTATTGTAAAATTAGATGTCATTGTGAAAAGCATGGATATAAATATAAGAGCAAAAGGCCCTTTTCTTAATGCAGAAACCAAGGTAACAATATCCTATTTTTCCTTGTTGTCAAAAGTTGTGGTTTTTTTTTTTTTTTGATAGCTCAGCCAATATAATGCACTGCATGTTTACACTTAGCATTAAATAACTATTATGCAAAAGTACTCCACAGTAAAATCTAAGTATATTTATGGAAAGCTAAATTATATTGCCAAGTTTATTTTAGACCAAAGAAGCCCCTGGGAAGGGATATTGTGTATTTTAAAGAGTAAATGTAAACTATTAAATAGAAAGAGGCTTTGTGGAATGTAACACATTCTACCTAGGTAAATCACAGAGCAATTACACAGTAAACTTTTCTTTGATGAAGCACTGAAGTGATGACATGTAATTACTTTTCCAATGCTGTACCGTGTGTTTATCAAAATGTTAATGCAAACATAATAACAGGCTGTATGTTTGTGCTGAGAATGTCAGAGCCATCCAGCTGTCAATCACATCTGAAAATAAAATCGCAAATAAGCAGGCAGCTTGATAACAGGAGTGACAGCCAATAGTCACTCTGCTGACAAGTACT
Source organism: Homo sapiens (assembly GCF_000001405.40). Classification (NCBI taxonomy): domain Eukaryota; kingdom Metazoa; phylum Chordata; class Mammalia; order Primates; family Hominidae; genus Homo; species Homo sapiens. Next base: position 126,881,133 of record NC_000011.10, read on the forward strand.
TTGCTCCCCTCCACCAATCACAGTGTCACTGTAACGTACCTAATAGGAGGAATATATCTTTTAGGAGCTGGAATGAAACCAAGTGGCATAAATCGGCTGAACTTTGCATGCGACTCCCCCTCCCCCTCTCTGTTAATGGGGCTTCTTTTTGGGGCCAGCAGACCCCATTCCCTCTCCCCACGTTCCTTCAGATCAGTGCCCTTGTTAAAGGCTGCAGAGCCCACAAACGGGCTGGCATTGTGAAAACTCAATTCAGACCAGGTCTCCCAGCCAACTGGCCTGGTTTAATCAGTCAGCGTCAAGCCCTGCGGTACTTTCCTTGGTCATGGTCACCAACATAGGAAGTCCCAGCCTAGATCTGTCGCAGCCACTGGCTGAGCTAGTTTTTCTTAAAGCTCTTAATGCAATTAAAAAAATCATTTTAATATTTTTTGAGACAGAGTCTCACTCTGTCACCCAAGCTGGAGTGCAGTGGTGCAATCTTGGCTTACTGCAACCTCTGCCTTGTAGGTTCAAGCAGTTCTCAGGCCTCAGCATTCTGAGTAGCTGTGATTACAGGTACCCACCACCATACTCGGCTAATTTTTGTATTTTTAGTAGAGATGGGGTTTCACCATGTTGGCCAGGCTGATCTCGAACTCTTGGCCTCAAGTGATCTGCCTTCCTCAGCCTCCCTAAGTGCTGGGATTATAGATGTGAGCCACTGAGCCCGGCCAATGCAACTTTAAAAAACCGAAACAACAGGTGTCTGATTTTAAAGGACAAGTGCCAAAACTGCTAGGGAATCAGAATGAACTAATTAGTGCTTGCAGGGATACAAGGCCCATTTGAGAGCCTTCCTGGGGTGCATGTATGTAGGGGTGTGCGTATATATGGGTGTGTGTGTAGGGGGGATCAAGCCCTAAATAGGCCCCTGATTGGTCAGGTCTTTTCCCATGATCATTTCCTTGTACTCTGGAACATCTAGGAAATGAGCAGTTCAGTCCTGGAAACTTTGTTCACCCTGACTCCTGCCCTCTTGACTTTCTCTGAGAACACTTTTCACTGAAGGATCCTTTCAAATGTATCTAAAAATTGCCAACCACTTGTTAAAGTGTAAGCAGGTGCATACATCTCCTTCTCCTTTAGATTAATGATTGCAGATATTCTTTCCAGTATGGGGCACATTTTAGAATTTTACCTTGCTGTGTGCAGCAGGGCAGAAGAATGGGCCTACATCCATTGCTGAACCTCCTCTTTCTATCCTTATTGTTACAAAATTCACCTCCTTGGTTAACTGAACTAGCAACACAAATCATCCCTACCTATTTGCATTTTGCTGTTACAAAATATAGAGATGGTTTGTCCACCCTGTCCCATGCAATTGTGACCAGGAGAAACGCTCTGGCTCCTGGTACAAAGAGATAGTCTGGAGGCATCCCAGTAGAACGCAGAATGCAGGGAGGAATTACGTCCCTCAATCCTCTGGTCTGCAGTAATCTTATTTCCATTATTTTTCATGCTTTCTGGTGCTGCCAACAAATGTTGCAAAGGCAAGAGCCGATCTTTGACATTCTCGACTGCCTAAAGTGCAGCAAAGAGCTGCTTTAATCCCCCTTTTGTGCCTGCAATGACTAGAAGAAAATTTTTGATCCCATGCTTGGACTGACTAATGGTGCATTTTGAGTGGCAGCCTTCCACTTCTGCAGAAACTGTAAAACTCAACCAAACCTGGAAACATTTGAAGTTTCTGGGTTCAAGAACCATGGGTTCAGAGACCCTCACCTCCATGAATATGACTTGTTGGACATTCAATGACTGTGCAGTAGAGACAACAGGGGTGAGTGTTTAGATAGACCCAGTAGCTCTGCCTGCTGAGCCCCTCTGCCAGTACTCTAACTTCAATGGATGTGCATGATTCTTCCGTTGTAGCAAATATCATTGTAGTAAAAAGTAATACATCTCCTCGTTTAAGTGACAGCAGGTAGGGTTTGTTACTTTAATTCACTTTGCCTTTCTCTTCTGAAAATTAATTGAGTCAGATACTGAATCTGGAGCCTAACTCCTTGGCAGCTGAGCAGGAGACAGGAGGATCATCATCTGCTATAGAGAGTTCTTGAGAAGCCAGGAATAGTTAAGAGGAAATTGAGGCAACTTGGAAAGGCAAAGCAGGTCACCAGAAGTGGTAGGAGAGAGATCTTCAAGCAGCACAGCAGTTAAAGAACTTTATAGCCTCTTCCCAACAAATGCTCATTGTCGCACTTCCTGTCACCTCTCTCTCCTGCATCCCTCTCTATCTATGTTCCAGGCACACGGGACTTTGCATTACTTCCAAAGGTCATGGTCACCGTCACAATTTCCATGACCTTACTCATGCTGGCAACTCTGCTTGAAACGTCCTTAACTCATCTTCTCCACCTGGAAAAAATCCAAACCTTTGATGAAGTTTGGGTAAAGTCACTTTCTGCAGTGGAGAATGCTCCAGGAAGAATGTATTGTTCTTACGTCAGCACTCCCATAAAACCTCTATTTTAGCATTTACTTCCTTACACATAGACTTTTTCCATTCCCACTTCACACTGTGAGGATCTCCTGGACAAGCATTAGTCTCAGAACTTATGTTTGGAACTCTTACACAGGCTGGATTTTCTAAAAGCTACTAAAAAAATGCTTGTTTGAAATTAAAGATCCAATGTTAGAAAGTATGTTATATTAAAAAATGGCCATCCTATATTACCCAGAATCAAAATTGGAATGGAGAGGTGGAGACATAGGTTTTGAATCGATACAAAGAACTTTCTGATCACTGGAGCAGTTCAACAATGGAAGCTTCTCAAAGACATGAGCCCCCTGTTCCTGCAGGTATTAAAGTGGAGGGTGACTGGCCACCCGGGGAGATTGACAAGTGATTGCAATGATCCTTATGATGCTTTTCAATCTTAACACTCTATGAGGCATTGGGCCTACATGGATAAGTAAACAAAATTGTTCAAGTCTATTAATTAGAAAAAGTTCTCTAGTACCGTGGTTCTCAGTGTGTATAAGATTCACTTGCAGAGCTTGTTAAGAAGCCTGGGTCCACCCGCAGAAATTCTGTTCAGTAACATGGAGGTGGTCACTGAGAATCTGCATTTTAAACAATCCCTCCAGATGACTCTGCTGGAAGCAGCTCTAGGATTGTCATTGGAGAAGCATGGTTCTAGAGTGTGCCAATCGATGGGCCTCCCTAAGCCCTCTGTTATTTAACACATCTTTACTCATGTTGACATAAAGTCAGCCCAACCTGCAGGTATGTCCCAATACATGTGCATTAAAAAGTTTATACTCTGGGCTCAAAGTTCAAGCACAGAGAGAATTGCAAATCTACAAAGCGTGACCGCCAGGATGAGGGGCTATCCCTGGGAAAATAGCTAGGAGAGGTCTGAGGAAGGCTGACTGGGTTCATGACAGACACACCACAAGGGGAGGCAAGGTCTCACCTCTCTAAAGTCAAAGACAACATAGCACGCCACGGGGTAAAATAGCAAATGCATAAGCAAGCAAGGATCGTGACCCAGGAAACTAATTAATCGATTCATCAAATGACAGGTTTTGAGGCATCTTCTAGAGAAATGAGATAAGGAGATTTGCCAAGATTGTGGAAGTTCTCAGAAGCAATGATGTCATCTCTCGGTGGAGGCTAATGAAGTGGAAAAGCATAGCAACCATCTTTCAGTACAGAGCTGCAGTGGTGAGTAGATATCAGAAATGCAACCAATGGTTGCTTGGCAATGGAATGGCTTCCAATTAGACAGTCAACACATGACAGAGTCTGCAGAATTAAACTTCATTTGGAGTTGAAAACTTAATGTTGAGTGAAAAGGCAATAGGTTAAGAGATTTGTGTATTGTATTTTAAACATAAAGACTCTTCCACAAATCCAAGTTAATAGAGAAGGCCCTTGGATTCAGATTGGACAGTGGTAGGAAATAGGGTTATTTCAAAGACCTTGCATATGGGAGAGGAATATGATGCCCACAGATGGCCATGGGTACTATATTCTTTATTCTTGGACAACGACTTACTTTTCCATTTTTTACATTTCAGCTTTGAGAAAGATCCCAGATGCAGGGCTGTGTGAAGTCAAGATGTTTCAAGTGTAACTGGATCCCAAAATGGGAACACAGTGGGAAGCATAAAATATCCCAGTATGGTGCCATCTTCTACAGTGTCCATGTTGGCTTCATGAACACCCCAGAGAAAGAAAGACAGCAACATGAAAACATAGAGTATGTTCTCAAAATGGACACTTGGAGAAATTTTCAGGCGTATGTTTATCAAATGCATTTGGTTTCTTAGGAAAGACAGGTTTAGTACAGATAATCCTGGAATCCCAGCATCCCTAAGATCTATTTAATTTTCGTTTGCATTGTTTGTGAATACAATGATCATATCAATCATCATTGTCAACCTCATCATCGTTATCATCATCAAAGTTATTCTCTGAGAAATAACTGAGAAAAAGCCAGAAATGCTGAATCTGCCTTATTTTTTTCTAGCAGGTAATTCTTTCATGGTTACTGGGCATCCCTTCTTTTCTGAATAAGAGAGTATCACTTAGCTGAAGGACAGAGCAGAGGGCAGCAGGCTGGCTCCCGAGCTACCTTAGGTTGTATGCCTCAGGCATGCCCCACTGTGCTGTCTAATTCTAGGGTACTTTGGGCTTTGAAAGAGGTTTCACTTTTCTATTTGGCAACAAATGTTTCATCTAAAAAAGTGTGAGGCTCACAGATAAGCATGATTTTACCACTGTCTACATTAACTGATTATGGGATATTGAACCTAATCAGTAAAGATAAGAAATATGACTAAGAAACAGTTTTCTTTCTTCCCACATTTAATGCGTTCCTCACTTTAATTTTGCATTCTCATCTGCTCTTCTCTAGCTCAATGTCTTGACTCTTTTCCACTCTTTTCTCTTTGCTGTGCTTTGATACTCCCTGCCCACATGACATTCCTGTTAGTCCTAGTGAAGAGGCTAAGTGGTTTTGACCCACGAATACTTACAGATGGTGCTGCAAACCCAGCTCTGAGGATGCAAAGGGTGCAGAAATGTCTCAATGTTGGGAGATAGCCCTGAAGTGTACAAATCCTAAGTATAGCTCCCTGCATGATGATAATGGACTCACTAATATCTATTTTCAGCAGCCCCACACTGCCTCTTCGGAATCTCTCCTGAGGGCTAAGTGCATGGATATTTCATTGACTGGCTTCATTTGTACTGCCTCAGCCCCACTGTATCTCCTACCAGCGCTAATAAAAAAATATGGCTCATTAGACAAGAAGTGGGCTCACTACTTCTTGTCTGGGTTAACTTTGTTCACCAAAGATAAACTTCATTTTTAAACTGAAGGTCTTCTGCCTGAAAACACAGCCATGTTTTGTGCTACATTCCAAAACAGGTGTTGGATAATTCAGTAATTAGTATGCACATCTAACTTCATGCAGCCTCTGTTGATCTCTCAATTATAGTTAGCTGGGTCCTCTGAAGTTTTCTGTAGTTAATTAGAGCATTATTGAACAGTTGGGATGGAGAGCCAAGCTCTGCAATCAGTTGACAGCTTGGTCCCATGAACTAAGCATTGGGCTGGTCCTTGACTGGGGAATGACAGTCTTCAGGGTGACCCAGTGCCAGAATGGGTTAGATTGTCTTTTGAATAACAGCTGGAGGGAGGCCTCTTTTATGAGCTGAGAATAATGGTCACATTCCTTATTCTGCCCCACTCTTGACAGGAAAATTCACATTCCAATGGTGATCAGTTTCAGAAATGTCTCCTCAGGGGAAAAAGGAAACTTTCAACATTCAAGAAAAAAGGATAATTGTTCTGAGCAGGCTCCAGAAAGTCAAAACCTAAGGTGAACACGTGAGTTAGTGCTCAGTCTCCCTATCTCATATGGTTTCACCTTGACTCCCCTCCCAGAAGAATTCAGGAAAAGCACAGGGGGACAGCAGGAAGGTGCATGAAGGGACCCACATGAGATGCACTGCACACCAAATTCTAGAAGGCAATTTGGAAATGATTGCTTCTGAATAATTGAGGTATCATGTCATCTGCAACATCCGAGTCTGACTGTCCAAAGCTCCTGATAATTGCCCAGGTTCCATTTTGAATGCAGCCCGTGAGTATTAGAGCAAGCATGCATTCATCACTTTAAGACCAAAAGACAAGCATGTCTTGTCAGTGGAACGGAGGGGAGATGCTTTGGGGACTGGAGGCTAAGAAGCAAGAAGCATTACTGATTATGGTCATGGTCAGCGTGCTTTCCAAGGAGAATTCTCCCCGCTGCCCAAATTTAGCTTCTGTGCTGTTCTTTTTCCAAATTTATGAAGTCAGAAGGGTCACTGCTCTCTCCTCAGCAAGTTGTGAGGCATGTTGTTCTGTAACCCACCCCTCACTGCAGGGATCTGGGCTGGCTTACTGAGTAGGTTTTCATTTCCCAGCCTCTCCTCTCTCCCACCCCCACCAACCAAGGGTCCCCAATGTGGCCAAGAATGTAAAGACAGCAGAATGACACACATGGCTGAAATAATGTTTAGATTTAACTAAATGTTGGAAATAGAATTGGTACAGTGAAAAGAAGGCTGCCTTTGGCAGGATCTCATCTCTACTCAACCGCTGAGTAACCAATGTAAGTATTACTTTTCTCCATCATATTAGAAAAATGAAGATAGGCGTAACCTTCAGAATCAGTTAAACATAGGTGAGGTCACCTGTCTCCCTGGGGATGGAATGAGACAGCACAGCACAGGAGAGAGGGGGTGGGAACAGGGGTCAGAAGGTAGAAGCTTGATTCCTATCTCTCCTCTTTGCTCAGTGAGTGGTCTTGGGCAAATCTTGTATTAATGTGGACATCAATTCCTTTAACCATAAACAGGAATCAATAGGACCTATGCTATACACCCACAGTATCAAGGGGAGGACTGAAAGTAAAAACTACTGTGTGAGAGTACTTTGGAATCTGCAAAGAGTGATATAAACAAACATACAGCACATACTGGAGTGAGGCAGGTGTGTGATCAAGTGGGCTGAATTGATTGCCAGGAAGCTTGGGAGAAAATTCTGAGAGTTTGGGACACTAGACAGCAGCCACAAAGGCTGACATCAGACAATTTACAATTCAGAGCTCTCTGGGGCCTAGAGGAGTCTTTGAAGTGAGGGAGCTCAGTTCAGCTCTTCTACCTCAATCCCACTCTGCTGTGCTGTGAATTTAAAGGGCCCGTGCCAGATTCTCACCAGGGCCCGTGCCAGATTCTTACCAGGCTGCCTACAAATCAGGGAAGAGCATAGGAGGGCGCAACAAAAGTTCTAGGACTTCTGTCTTGATCACCACCCCACACTGCTCTTTCCTTCATTAATCATTATTTATAAAGGCTAGACCAGAGGCCCTGAATCAGGCACTAGACTTTGCCAAGTCCCACTTATCTTAGAATGTGTTGCTAAGACCCTCACGAGGCCCTCCCATTCCAAGATGTATCATTTCAGGATTCCATGGTTCCCAATCAGAAGTTCATTAAAAAGATAGTAATTAGACCAGGTGACGCCGCTCGAGGTTTACTAAGTGTCCTTCAGCTCAATTCAATAAACATTGCAGACTGACCGTGGGCAAGACAACAGACCAGGCCCTAGAGCAGTAGCACTGACCCATTTCATTGTCGACAGTGATTAAAGGAGATGAAACCCATTTGTGAGTTTATGAATGTATACACACCTGGATTGCTGGTGCTGTTGTTTTCTCATGTTGATGTTCCTAACACTCCTATGGGGTGGGCAGGGAAGGCCTTATCATTCCCATTTTACAGAGTAATCCACAGTCCACGGAGATTAAGATCCCATACTTAGATAAATGGTGGAGCCAAGACTTACCCAAGGGGTGTGCCTGTGTTGTAACAGATTTACTGAAGTATGATTGCACACAATAAATAACGTCGTTAAAGTAGTATACAAGGTGAGGGGTTCTGCCGTGTGTACACTCATGAAACCATCACCACGATCAGGACTGCAAACACGTCCATCACCCCCACCAAAGTTTTCTCTTCCCCTTAGTGACCCCTCCCTTTTTCCCTCCCCCTCTTTATTCTCCCCCTGCCCCTCAAGTACCCAGGGATCTGCTTTTTGTCTTGAAAGACTAGTTTGCCTTTTTAAAAAATACTTCATATAAATAAAATCACATAATATGAACCTTTTGGCTGGCTTCTTTCACTTGGCATAATTACATTGACATTCGTCATCATTACTGCGTGATCAGTAGTCCATTCCTTTCTACTGCTGAGGAATATCCCATTGTGTGGAGGCACCATGATTTGTTTTGGTTTGATGTCCAATGATTTTTTAAAAATTGTTCTTCTTGGAAAAAAAAAGGAGAAGAAAAAAAGTCAATTCCCTCTTCTCCTCCCAGAACTCTAAATGATTACCACTCAAGTCTTGTTTCTCAAATATTTCCTGGTTAAATGGACAAATATATTACAGGCCACATCAGGGCTTCTATGCACAGCTTCGGGAAGAATCAGTTTCAGTACGTTTTATTGGAACCTGCACATTGAGACGACAGCTTCTTTGCTTGTAGACAAGGAGAACTCACAAAGGCATAAACAATAGAGAACTTTGGAAAAATTATGAGAGCAATTTAAGAGTGGATAATTAGATATCTTTTGCAGGGTGTTAGGGAAATTAAATTAGCTTTTTTTAAAAATCAAGGTTTGTGGGAATCACTTCATAAAAAATATCTCCGTGACTGATTATTTTTCTAACATTCTTCGCCTTTCTTCCTTGCATATCCAAGGAAGTGGCACTTTTAGCCCTTAGCTGTGGCAGCCAATCATAGCCTCTAATTGCATTCACTGCATAAATTGTCAGTGTCATGAATAATAAAATTAGTTTAAATAAACCCCCAGCCACAATCACAAATAACTATCTGGTGGAGGATCTTGTGTCCTTTCATTCTAGGGGGATGGGTCAGTGCAATCTCTGTAGTTAAATTCTTGAGTTAAAATGAAGATAAAATTATTGGGGAGGTGGGGATAGAGCTGAGGGGTGAAAGTGGGAGGAGAATGGTTTCTGGCTCCCGGCAGGTTCATGAAAGAGAAAGGGTCTTCTTCCTGAGCAGCCTTCCGAGAGTGCCTCATACCTAAGACAGTCAGCCCTGACCAGCAACAATAGCCGAGAAAGGGCTTGTACTGGCCATGCCAGAGTCTAGAGGGAAGAGCTTGGGGCTCAGAGACTGAGCAGTCCTGCGTGCTCCTGTGGTGGCCTAATGTGACCTATTATCCAGCAACTCCCATCTATTTCTGAAAACTCCACGTGCTGGTCTGGCACTCTAATTGTCCAATCTGCTGCTCAATTTTCAACAGGATCTCATCAAGCACTTTGCCATTTAATGGTGACCAAATCCCTCCAGTTTTCTGCTCCCTGGCTGTGGACAGAAGGCACCTGGAGGGGTGCTGTGGGAGTCCCGTGGCTGCACATCCTGGCAAAAGGAGTTCATTTCGATGGCCAAGCAGCTTCTATCAGCTTTTCTCTTTCTTTACAGGCCCTGCCCAAATACTCTGCCTTCTGTAGACTCTACTGAAGCCACTAGGGTGAGTGAGAGAGTAGACGACTGCAAACATGAGCGTCCCCCAGTCCCAGCACCACAGCGGCCTGCCTGTGCCCAGCGCTGCCCCAGCATCCTCCCAACCACTGTCCTCAGCATTGTTTCAATAGGAGTCACATGATTTTCCAAAACACAATCCCTTCTTTCAACCTGAGCCTCAGCTCCCTGATATGTTAATTCCCAGGCTGATTCCAGTGCTGTTGGTCCCCCGCTTGGTTCATTACATTTCTGAGCCCACTCTGCTGCCTTTATTTAATGAGGTTTATTGTTTGTGCTTAGTAATTTTCAAAGGCCCATCACCCTCTTTGAGTTTGCCCTTAGATCTTCAGCCTGCCAAAGAGGTGGGCTTTTGAAGCTACCTTTATTAATTCAGTACCTAGCTTCTGCATTTAATGGCACATGGGTTTGAAGTGTACATAAGCCACAGTGGAAACATCTGAGAAGCGTCCCAAGATACTGCAAATTATAAAGGGTGATTAGGAAATAGCATGGCTCTCTATCTTCTCATGCCTTAGAACTTTATTCCTTATATCAAAAAGATCCTGGGATATCAAAATATCACTGTCTGACTCTGATAATGACTTCCCAGAGTTTCAGACATTGGTGGAAAAAAGATATAATTTTAATTATCAGCAGCTCCACTTAAAAAAATCTTCAGCTATTGTAAAGGGCAAGGAGCTGGAAGGAAAGGCAGAAGAGGAGGCAAGAGGTGAGCCCATGTCCTACTAAATGCCTGCAAAGTGGCTGTCTTTGAGAGCGCTCCACAGTCCCTGCCATGGATGGATTCCTTGGAAAGAGATGCACAGGGTGCTCCGACTGTTAGTCTGTCCTGCTATCACTATCACTGTCAGGGAGCAAACGGCAGAAGCCAGTCTCAGGGAAGCCAGTGGCCTGACAGTTAAGGCAAATGCACAGACTTCAGAAATCACACCAAAGCAGCTTGGCTTCTAAGATGCAGCCCTGACCGGCTGACTCAAAGGAAGTTGGCTGGCAGGTTCTGCGATCCCTGGAGATGGGCAGGGCTGGGGTCAGACTCCGGTGACAGCAGCAGTGGACACAATCCAGGACTTCCCAGTGAGGTCTGTCTTTTCTTTGAAAGGGACAGAGGAGTGTGGTCCTTGGGACATCTAGCCCAGGGAAAGAAATCTTGCCCAAGAATACATATGAATATCTGCAAAAACAAAGTTGGGGTTTGATATCTTTCAGGAAGCCTAGGAATTCTAGGCCACTGCCAGCATTGGGAATGGTTGGCTCCCTTCCCCTTCCTTCCATGCCCAGCTGGAGACAGAATGCTGGACTCTGGGTGCCTGAATTCTGATCCTGGCTCTATCAGTGTCTCTGTGCACCAGAGAGAGGCCACTTAGCCTCCCTTGGCCTCAATGGCTTCTTGGTGATCTTCCAATAATTTTTAGCAGTAGAAGCTTTCCTTTCCTAATTGAAATTTTACAGGGAACAATATTTAAAATAGCTAAGAGGGGCTGCCATGCCTGAGGGTGGTCCCTGCCTGCTCTGTTTTCTTCATCCCCTTCGTACCCTCCTGCTCAGCAGAAGCTGAGGGACTCCAGGGGACCCCAGCCCTCCTCAGGACCCACCGTGGAAGCAGAACTCCCAACTGTCTTTCTCACTGCTTGTGGTTTGTAAGTTTTATGACTCGATTTTAATCTGTACCATTTAGGATATGCTCAGGAGGGGCCCTGGGAGAGGCACAAGTGGCAGCTTTTTTTTCTTGAAAAATCAGCTATTATTTATCCTTAAGGAAGAAAAAAAGCAACCCTGAGAAAATGATTTTCTTTTCACAGCCTTATTACAAATGCTGAGCACAGCTAGAAGTAAGGCCTGGCTCTGTGCACGTGTGTGTGCATGTGCACGTGTGTATGTATTATGTGTGTGTGTTTCCGGTGGGCAGGTGTGGCTGGAGGCATGACCCCTTTTCTCTGGTTGATTTCATCTCCAGTAGCCAAGTAGAAACTACAGCATGACCTGACTTCTATGCCCCCAGCACTATGGCCATGACAGCCTCCAGATAGGAGAAGGGTCTGGCTTCATTGACATTTCCACGGTAGTGCATACAGCCCTCGAGACCTACTCAAGAGAGGACAAAAGAGAGGCTCGGGTAGAGCTTATCTAGTGGATGAACCTGCTCCTAGACACAGAGCACTGCCTGGCATCCCTGCTGCAGAATCGGGCTAGGATAGGGCTGAGTATTCTAATTGCCTGTGGGATAGGATTTCACTATATCCCTGCACAGCTGTTTTCATGCTGTGGTTGGATTTTGACGCTGTCGTAATTTCCCCCGTTGTTTGATATTCTCGCATTTACATTAAAGAAGTACAGGAGAAGAACAGTGTTCTTGGGAGAAGATTTCAGCATTTAGGATTCATACAAATAAATGCATGGACTGCCCACGCTTCCCTCACATCCGTCAAACAACTCAGTTAAAAACACCTTTTCAAAAGGCTCTTCTATAATTTTACTTCTTTTAAAAATAGTGATGGGGTTATGTCTGATGCCCCGGAACGTCCGTCATGCATTGATTTTATCCAGTTCAGTGCCAGGCAGCAATTAGCAAAGGTAACACTAATTAGGTTTTACAATGTAATATGTGTCCTTCTAAACTTAAGTCATAGCATTTTAAGCTTCTAATGATTGCAAGGTCATTTTGCTATTCTTCATAATAGCAGGGATGCTAATGAGTGCATTTGGTATGCGTGGGGATGCCCCTGTTTCCTCCTGGGGCTTATCAGCATTTACTGGGGACACTTTACTTAATTTGTTGCCGAGCTCATGACCTAAACGGAAACATTGAACCGGCCACCTGAAGGTCTAGAAGTTTTAGACTGTGGAATCAGCGCTGTGGAAGGCCCGGCTACCCGGGTTACCGTGAGCTGATCATTTGTTTTCCTCTGGACTTAGAAGCTCCGCATCCACCCTGTCCAATCTCCTTAGCTGGCCAATCTCCCTCTCCCACGTCTGAATGCACTTAAATTTGCTCCTTCCTGCTAAGAAAAATGTTATCCTATTAAACGATGCGTGTTATAAATACCTTAACATTCATAGTTTCATGTTTTAATCTTGCTGCTAGCATATTCTGGGCATGCTTACTGGAATCAGTTTTCTATTTCTTAGATTGTAAGTTCTCAGGAGGCAGATTAAAAACTCATAAGATGGTCTCTGTAAAATGTCTTTCCCAGAGCCGCGTGTGACTTGGTATTTCATGTGGGTTTTAGATGTGGCTGTAGATAATGAGATGGCGGGTATGACAGTGTTGAGATTCAAGCAGCTTCAGCAGGCTCTCCCCCAGTGCAGCTGGAAAACATGACAAAATACATTTCCACTGTTGACACGTCCACCTCGTCCTGTTGGGGTGGCCCCCCAGGGTGGTGTGGGTTTGAGAGACATTGTTGGGGCTCAGACTTCCTGCCTTCCTCTTAAGGAAAAATAAGGAAGTGATGAATTGAGGGGAATACACGCAAAGTAGAGAAAGCTAGGGTTGTCTTAATTTCATTTATTTGCTGGGTAAGTTTCTACTCACTTGAAGCTATAGTCCAGGCATTGTGTTAGGTGTAGGGGTGTCGTGGTGAGCAAGACAGGTATCATCCCTGCCTCCAGAGCTTACAGCCCAGGCTGGGGAGTCCACAGTAGGCAGCAAATGCTTTGAGTGATTCTTATTTCAAATCGTGTTAAGTGCTGGGCATGGTGCCTCATGCTTATGACCCTAACAGTTTGGGAGGCCAAGGTGGGCAGATCCCTTGAGCCCAGGAGTTCGAGACCAGCCTGGGCAACATAATGAGACCTCATCTCAAAAAAAAAAAAAAAAAAAAAAAAAAAAGGAAAAGAAAGAAAGAAAGAAAGAAAGAAAGAAGCTAGGTATGGTGTCACATACACCTGTAGTCTCAGCTACTCAGGAGGCTGAGGTGAAATCCCTGGAGCCCAAGGGGTCAAGGCTTCAGTGAGCCATGATTATGCCACTGAACTCCAGCCTGGGCAACAGAGAGAGACCCTGTCTCAAAATCAATCAATTGATCAATCGTGTTAAGTATAATAAAGAGGCTCCAGATGCTATGAAGGAATAGTGGGCCTGATCTATTCAGTGGGGATCAGGAGATTCCTAAAGGAAGTGATACTTCTGCTGAGCTCTGAGGGATGACCAGAAATGACTAGACACACAGTGGAGGGAAAGCCATTCTAGGCAGAGAGAGGCATGTAGGAGGGTCCTGAGATAAGATCATTCACAGTGTATTCCATCCTCTCTGGGGATTTTCAAGGGGAGCACTCTGCAAGAGTCACAGGATTAGCCTAGGAAAGACCGGGCTTTAAAACAAGGAGCTCCCAGGCACAGAGATTCTTGGTTCTCAAATGTTGCAGCCTGTGACGATTCCTAGTGCTTCAGGATGGCTGCTTCCCCACACGGAGCTTCCTTCTTGTGAAAGCAAGAAGAAGGCCGGGTGCAGTGGCTCACACCTGTAACCCCAGCACTTTGGGAGGCTGAGATGGGAGGATCACTTGAGGTCAGGAGTTCAAGACCAGCCTGGGCAACATGGTGAAACCCCGTCTCTACTAAAAATACAAAAATTAGCCAGGCATGGTGGAGGGCACCAGTAATCCCAGGTACTTGGGAGGCTGAGGCAGGAGAATTGCTTGAACCCGGGAGGCGGAGATTCCACCACTGTACACTGCAGCCTCAGCAACAGAGTGAGACACTGTCTCTTAAAAAAAAAAAAAAAAAAAGGAAAAAAGAAAGAAGGAAAGGGAGAAGGAAAGCAGAGAGGGCATGAGGGAAGAGATGAAAGGAAGAAAGGAACTTCCAAAGCAATGCTCTGGGACAAGCCTTTGGGATTCTCCTGCCATCCTTTTAAGGGAACTGAAGGCCAGAACCTGAGAGGGAGACATTAGTTCTAGGTCTTAGACCCAGCAAGGGTAACCAGACAGGGTTACTACTGTTCTGGTTACTGAAGGCTCCCGTGCATGGAGTGTTGCATTCCCCAGCCTCTGGAGCTGGTGGGGGTTGGAGCTTCACAGGGTCACCTCCCTAACTTCCCCTTTACTGCTGTCCTGAGCCTGGTTCAGAACTCATTCTGTCAGGAACCCCAGTGACCACATGACCCAGCTGCCCCCAGTAGGTGGCTGCCTCAGACCCTAGGCAATAAACACTCCTTGCAGCACTCACTTAATGTGACATAAAGAGAAGAAACTGCAGCGGTGTTGTCACTAGAGCGAATGGCAAATTCTCATAGCTAGATAATGCAGAAATAAAGTGCATTTGTAATAGACAACAAAAGGATTATCCCCCATTCATTTCAAAGCACCTTCATCCCACTCAGGGATTACATTTCTCTTACTTATCTTGCAAGTAGTTTTTTCTATTCTTGTTTATCCCTGAAGAGCACATGTATAGCTTATAGCAAATAAAAAGCTGGACCTGTTAAAGGCAAGGCCTTCATTAGTCAGAGAGAAGTCATTCTCCAGGACTCTGTGAGTTCTCTAATCCACTGCTAGGCAGTAGGATACCTAAGAAACTAACCCTATACCATCCAAGACAGAACTCTGCTAGTCTGCAAGGATGAACATGGTCCATGAGAAATAGCAGCATCTCCCAGAAAACCTGAGCAGGTCAGGGGCTTCTCTGACTCCTCTCCACATTTGACCTTGGTCTCTGAGATGCTCTTTGTGGCTCTCCTGTATGCCTGTTGAGATGCCCATGCCCTTTCCAGAGCTACAGACAGGCATGCTGTCATCAGACTTCCAATCTTTACTCTGAATGAGAAAAACATCAAAATCTGAGAAGCAGGAGAGCTAAGGGTATCCTAGTGAATGGAATGATGATGCAAATATCCTAGAAAGCTGTGTAGAGAACGTGGGGCCTGTCCATGGGCTTCAGTGCCCACCATGCAGTGCATGGGAGACCGAGGGAATGGCTGGGACTTTAATTCTTTTGAGGGCCGTTGCTCTTCTCAGACACCCAGGGGAGGGGTTCCATGGCCACAGCAAGCTCTCTGGCAGCCTCTGACCTGTGGAGATTCATTCTCACCACGTGTTCCAACTCTAGAACTATGTAACTGCTCAGATCTTACCCAAGCGCGTGTTCTCCTCTTTCATAGCTTCCATTCTTACCCCCATTCACATATCATCATGTGCTTCACACGCAGTGGGGATCTTAACAGGCATTGCCATTTCTTTTGCTTGATATTTCTGGCTCCTTTCTTTTGTTACTCTAAGACTTTGCAGAATCAAAAGATTCTAAGAAGAGGCCAGGGAAAGAGCAGACCATCCAAGTACCAAAAATCCCTAGTAGGCAGCCTTCTCCTCTCTCTTCCCTGCTCTTCCTCTTATCCAAGTTATTAAAATACGAAAGATCATCTCACGAATACGGGCTACAAACAACTCCACAACTAAAGCAAACCCTTCTGGTCACCCTGGGTCAGAGGAGCACAGGTGGTCCCATGGGGAAGGGCAGCAATTTGGCCCCAGGACACCAGGTTGGTGGCAGAACCTGCTGAGTGTTTTCCCAGGCTGGCGGGGAATCTCATGAGGAGGAGATCAGTCCTGGAATGTCCAGGACTGAGGGGACAGTCATGAGGGGGAGATGACACAGTTTAGGACAGGCTTCCCTTTAAGGTATTTAACTTTATAGAAAATGGAAAGCCTTCCCCAAGCGTTCTCTTATTTTGGGGAAAAAAAATGAATGTGCAATTCAACTGTACCCCAGAACAGTCCATCATGAACTTGGACCTTTGTCACTCACCTGTCAACCCCATCTAACACCACCCCCAAAAGGAGTAGAACAGGAAACCAGCTCCCACAGAGGGTTAAAGGCACAGCATCCTCCTGTTTGTATATAGCAGACCATTAGGGTATTTTTATTTCTCTTCTCTCCATGTTGCACAATACCACATCAAAAATACATTTGCAGCAAAGCTTATTTTCTGAAGATAGATAATTTGGTTAAATCTTTTCCACTTTGATTTCATCTCCAGTTTCGGACGAGCAGCAGTACAACATGCAGCAGCAAAAGCCCATTTTATTCTCATGAAAAAGAATTTAATGACCCTCTGATATAAAATTGATCCTCTGATAAGATGGCACTTGTGGGTTACTTTGACAGAAATGTTAAACTAAGTAAGTCTGCACATATCCACTGATGTATGGCACCTCGAGTTGCTGCTGGGACTGCAGAGGACACATCATTCTGCCTCTGCTTGGGAAGGGGGAGTGGGTGGGAGCTTGGACTGTCCACACTGGTCTAGCACTATTGTGTCACTGAATTCCTACAGAATCTTAGCAGTCATTGTGTGGCCTGGAGCTCACATGGGTTGGGAAGTTTGGACAACTGTCTTGTAGAATCAAACATTTTATTTCAGGCATTCCCAGGTGGTGTTTGCCCTGGTTCCAGTCTCTGATGCCACAGTCGCCTATCTCGTGGACAGGTGGAAGTAAAGAGTTAGGATCAAAGCTGTTAGTAACAAGGACAATGAAACACTACTTTATGCCAATTAGGTTAGCAAGAATTAGAAAACTGAAGGATACCAAGGACTGGGGAACAGGTGGGGAAACTGGAACTGCTCTGAACCAGTGTTGAGAATATAAACTGGTCGGATATTTTAGAATATTCCTGGCAGTACTTAATGAAATTGTGCATGCATATATCCTAAGGCACATAAGTAAGTATTGTGTGGTGGTATGAATGCTGGATTCTCACACAGTGGGAAATTAGAAGAAACCTGGAGATGCAACAAAACAGAATGGATAATGAAATTTTGTGAATGCAGCAATTAGAAACAATGAAGTGGGCAGATACCTAACAATACGAACAATTCCTAAAAGCAGCGTTAGTTGAAAGCAGAAACAGAATTATATCTGTAGCACAATGTCCTTTAGGTAAATTAAAATCATGCATATAGGTAACACCCTGTACTTTACATATATTTTGGAAGACCTTTATCAAACATAGAATAGTTACCTGGGGGTAAAGGAAGGGAAATGGAAGTGAGGACCAGAGACGAAGATGGAAAATATAAAAAAAGAGAGTTCTTAGATGGGTTATGATGTGTCATAAGCTGAGAAATATGACTAACTCAAGTCTTTGCAGCTTATATTCAATTTAAAAAATAGCACATAACTTAGAACATGGAATAAATGCCAACTTAAGTGGTGATTTTGATGGCTACAATCCAGGCCCCCTTTCCCAACTGTCCTCCAAACCTCCTTTATCCTCTTGAACAATCAGAGGGGGATGCTGTAAGATGAGACTTAAAAGCCGCAGGGGAGTTTGGGGGGGGTCTCTCGCATTCCTGAGGTCCCTTTGACTATAGGTAATAAAGGTTAACAGAAGGTGGAAGGCTGGTTAGAGAGTCAATTACAAACTAACTGACTCACAAGGATGGGAAAAAACCCAGGAGATGCACTACGATCTTGTAAAAGGGAGATTTCCTATATATATATATATGTTTCTCATTTGGGGAGTGCATTGACTTTTTGACTTGGGTATAATGATCACCTGGAGAGGCTGATCAAAACAGGAGCCTGCCTGAATGCTTTATAGCCTTTCACTCCTTGTAGACATGAAGATAGCTAAGAAAAAGTAAATGGAGGTCATCAAAGTCATTTGCACTTGTAAAATGTGACCCAGCAACTATTAAACACAAAATCTCTGATAATAGCCGTAAAAGAAAAGAAGTGTCACCTATCCTAACTGACAAAGGAAAGGAAGGAGGGAGGTGAAAGTCAGATGCAGAACACCGATTAACTTCCTCTTCTGAGAATTAAAATGGTGACCACTTTTCTCCTTCCATCTAACCAATTTGAAACAAAGACAAGGAAGGCAAAGCTTCCTCAAATCTGGATCACCACTCAACCTTTGAAAGGCTATTCCATTGTCACCAATTGGCATATCTGATCGGGCAAATCAAGGACTGAGGTTTGGAAACAGATATAGCAAAAGGTGCTATCAAGTGAAAGGGCTGAGCAGGAAGGTTGATTAAGTCCAGGCTGAGTAGGAAGGTTGGTTAGCTAGGGCTAGTGAAGCAGCTGCCCCTGAAGTTCTGTAACAACTGGGTACACCATGTAGTTTACAAGTAATCCTCAAACCTGGTCAAAAATGTTGTCATTGAGGCCTAGTGGTTGAGTTTTTAGAACAGAAAAAAGTAGCAAGTGGAGACTCTGGAAGAGCTCCTAGACACAGAACATCTTCTTAGAGCTTTCCTAGTGCTCAAATCTTCTACAAAGCCAAAACCGCTCTTTAGTTAAGCAAATTTGGGATGAGGGGAAGTAACAAATAGTCATATTAATTGCATGGCAGTGGTTGTTTTGTAAAAGGAATAGCTAGCTGGTGGGTCACTTCCTCTGCTCTCCAAATCAATTGTTTTGCACAATGGAGACACACTCCTTGGGTCAGGAAACTAAATGTGAGTGTATCTGTTCCCATGTGTGTAAATATACAGCTCTCATGTGCCTAATTTATAGCAAGTCACCTACTACTAGAACATCGGCCCTTCAGTTTTGGATCACTTGAATTATTCAAACCAAAGACGCCTTCACCACCAATGATCAGAGGAAAAGTGATTCAGATGGGGTTTAGAACTACTCAGAGTCTTCCTTGAGTGCAAGCAGTTCCGGCTTGTGAGAAATTCAGAGAAGTCTAGAAATAGAAATAACAAACACAAAAAAGAAAGCCTGCATGTTTATTGATAACAACCTGATAGGAATGCATATTCCTTCTCCAATTCCCTTTCCTTCTGCAAAGAGTTAAACAAAAAAGTAATTAAACAATAATTTCTTTGTGAGTGCTGGACTTCTGAGGCCTGTTTTCTCTGTTGGAAAAAAAATAGATTTAAGATAATGGCCCTATTCTCCTCAGAATAAATTAAGCTCAGAGATAAAGAATTCCATTACTAATGCCTTTCAGCAAAGCCCAGGCATCTTTTAAAGTCAAACTTTAAAGTATAATATGCCGTGATCTTGTTAAAATCTTTCCTGTAATGATATTTAAGTGATGGGCAAGGGTATCAATGGTTCAGGCAAAGTATTGATTGTATATCTTCAGGGCTGTTGAGCTCTTTCAGAGTATTCTGTTTGAGGGAATGCATTGTACTTATTTAAAGACATTTTCAAAACAGTTGCAAGTTAACTCAAGTAACTGATTTTTTGTATGTAAAACTGTAGGAAAAAAGGGAAAGTTGGAAGGGGAGGATAGAAAGATAGGAACCTGAAGGATACTCAAGTTATAAATCAATGACAAAGACCAACAGTAAGTGGATCACGAGGTCAGGAGTTCGAGACCAGCCTGACAAACATGGTGAAACTTCACCTCTACTAAAAATACAAAAATTAACTGTGCATGGTGGCGCACACCTGTAACCCCAGCTACTCAGGAGGGTGAGACAGGAGAATCGCTTGAACCTGGGAGGCAGAGGTTGCAGTGAGCTGAGATCGCACCATTGCATTTCAGCCTGGGTAACAGAGCGAGATTCCGTCTCAAAAAAAAAAAAAAAAAAAGACTCTGGGATATTCCTATAACCAGCACAGCACATAGAACCTGCTTCAAGTTAACGATTCTTTTAGGTGCTTAGCTCTCACCATTTTCTTTTCTGTTGAAGTATTGACAAATGACTCATCTTCACCCTTGTGGTAAGAAGTAGTCCCTTCTTCCTTGGGGAGCAGGGGGTTTCTTGGAGAGGAGATAGTTAGTTGCTAGTCTGGAAAATCTGCAGAGTCTCAGCAAATCCAGCTCCATTCTCTCCGGAAGAGAATGTGAAGAGTCAGAGGGAGCACAGGAACAATTCAGTGAGCAACGATGGAGGATACTGTCTGCAGAAAGCATGGGTGATGGCTTGGGACTATGGTGGTCCTGCTGGCAACCTCTTGGTGGTGCTGAAAGCACCTGAACCATTATCCTATTTAAGTCACAACTTGGATGTCTAAAGCCATCATATATGATGTCCACATACAGATGATGACCCCTTGAACATGGGTTTGCAATTCCCATTCATCTCCCCTACATGACTGTATGTGTTTTAAGGGCAGAGTTTGAAAATCATCCCTTCCTCACTTGATAACCTGAATAATATTCATGGCTCTGGAGAGCAAAATCCTTCAAAAACTGGTTTTCCTCCTTGAAACAAAGAAACAACCAGTGAGTTTTCCTGGAACTAATGCCATCCTAGAGTTCGCAGCTAAAGTGACACCAGTTGTTTGCCAGGTGGCTTCGGGCACACCCCAACTGCAGCATGGAATGTCTCAAGGGTCATAGGGCTGGGCCCTGCCTCTCCACTCTTCTCTTATGCAGGAGAATGACTAACACCCCCTAGGTGTTAGTTGGATTCTGCACTCGGATTCTGCAAAGACTATCCTGGCTCCTGGGCATCAACTTTCAGTTGGAAGGAGCTATGGAGGCTTGTTCCAGTGGTCTCATCATCCTGGAACATGCACAGGGCTTTGGGGCTACTTGGCCTGATAGCTCGTCCACCAAAAGGTGCTGTCATTGATGCTGGCAAGGAAATACCCACTGTGGGAAGGGCTGTAGATATCCTACAAAAGAAATCCAGTTCCTGGTGAGGTGGCACACACTTTCGTGTCTTTGTTATAGAGGAAGAGGATCCCATTGCTTAACATTTCTGGCTTACATTTATTCCAATTCTTTGGATTGAATTAATCTATTTGAAATATGTGCATGCACACACCTATATGCACATATTTATGGGATATATAGTTGCTCGTGACTTTAAAATGTATATTTCTTATGAAACTAGGTTAAAGTTTTATAGAACAGAATGTGAAAGAATGCTCTCATAAGTATATCCCCCTAATGCAGTGAATTTGTTTAACAAACATTTGTTTGGTTCTTGCTATGTGTCAGGCAAGGCGCCAATCCCTGTGGATACAGAGAAGTGTGCGTCAAAGTCCCTCTCCTCCAGAGTCCACAATCTATTGAGGCAGATGAATGAGAAAACCTACAAAGTATGTTAGGAAGCAGACAGGATGCTGGGCAAACACTGGGACACAGCTCCTTTCCAATATTCTGGATGGAAAAACCTAGTTCTTACAGGGCTATAGTCATGGAAGAGATGCAATTTTGTATTCTGTTTTCCTCCTACTTGTGTTTTAATCACATTTCCTTCTGAGGCTACATGGTTGCACCCTCATCTCTCAGAAAGACTTTTCTTTAAATAAACAGAGATCCAGATAGCAAAATGCTACCATCCAATGTCTTTGCCTATATTTATTTCATTACTTCATCTGAATAATACTTTTTTTAAAAAAAAGGAAGCCCAGCGTCCTATGACCTTGTGAAAGAAGCAAAAAATAGCATCATTTACTCAGCAGCATATTGTACCTTTGCCTATTGTTTTCTTACTTGTCTAATTATTTAAAAAAGAATAGCTGTGGTAAAGCACTCTCTCAGGCACAAATATGCTTCTGATTTAAGAAATTATTATAGAAAAATGCTGGAAGCCTTGTAGTCATCTTTGCTATATTTAGAGGGAAAATAACGTCCCTCTGCAATTACCATTTGGTATGAAGTTTAGGCACTCACATTTTTCTTTTCTTTTTTTTTTAAACTAATTTTTTCCTCTTTTTCTCTGGGTTAACAATGCAGGGATCATAGTTGCACAATTATTAAAAAGAGGCCACTTAAATTCAACTCTCCATGGATACAGTGTCTGTGGCAATGTTTAATTAGAGATTAAAATTGAGGAATTGAATAATTGAGGTTGCTAATGAATTTGAAAACTCAGCAAAGCAAGGAGAGCTGAGCGTTTTTCCGACTTAGCTTTTCTTTCTCTAACCCTTTTCTCATTTCCTACTATTATCACATTTCTGGCCTTGACTGCTGAGTTTATTACTACCCATAACCCTGGCCTAAGTGGAAACAAAAAAGCTGTAGCCTCTTTGCTGAGCTCCTGGAGACATTTGGTCTATTGGATTTATGACATGTTCAGAAGCTTGCAGTTGCAGGAGGCTGACAATGATGAAAATGAGATATGTTGGGCCACCAACGCTTTCTGTAATCACCTTAATAGGTCAACATAACAATGGATGTTGCTGGTGGAAAAAATAAGAAGACGGTCCTAAATCAAAGGCAATTTAATATATTAGAAGTTCTATTGCTACCCCCTCTAGGGAGACTGGATTATTTGGGTACCTTGCTTGGTAGGCTTGCATTAGCTTCAGGTGCCCAACAATGAAAGTAATCCCTTGGTTCACCCTGGAACAGAACCAGTTCTTTACAAGGTGACCCTATAATAGCTATCCCCTTGGTAGATAGCACATCTCAACTCTGGCCTGGAGGTAATTCTCAAGCAGGGATTTCTGCACTGGGAGGAGGCCAGATTACAAGACCCTGAAGGTCCTTTCCAACTCTAAATTGCTATGATTTTATGAAGATGGCATAGAAAAAACTGCCTCACTCTAAGAGAACCATACCCTTTGAAGCCTCTTTTTAACACACAGGTAAAGTTTTCAGGACTATTTTTATCATTTGGACACCGAACTTCAGATGAGATATTCCAAGTTTCATTTAGCACAACATATAGATGGTTTAAATCTACATTCAAGGTAAATGTCTGTATTTTATGGCCCGAAGCCCCCAAACTCATGATTATTTGCTATTTTGCCATTGCTAGTTAAATTGGGTCTTGATGTTTACTGCATCTCTGACTGCAATAAGACTGATCACTAGTGGGGATAGTGCAACTGATAAAAGGAACCTGCTCCAAAGCAATGTTAACATAGCAGATATTTGGTCAGAAAATCTTTTATGAATTAGAAGTCATTCCTAATAACATTTCCTTAAAACTTCTTAGCCACACTTCTTAGCTCAGCTGCTGATGGCTTCCTACTAATGACTTTAAATACATGTTTTTGACATCAGGAAAAGAAATAATCTGTCTTACAAGGCTGTTCTTACTTATACCAAGAACAATCTGTCTCCTGCTACAGTTTAGCACAGCTATAGCTTGGGGGTAGGGGGTCAAAGGAGGAAGTATGCATAATGTACATATTTAATCTTGTCTCGTCTATTTTTATCCTATGTTCACTCAATATTTGTAGCATTCTCTTTGCGTCTGTAAGCATCAATGCTATTCCTCAGAGACATTAAGATCCCAGAGAAGAGAAACTGTAAAAATGTTCTTTGATGGTATCTAGGACAACTCCAAGTATAGCTAAGTATATAATAAATAACTGACTATCCATGATGGGGATGATGATGATGATGATGATGATGATACAGAAATAGTGTGTAAAAAAATTCATCTTCAGATGGGTATTTGTGGCAATGCTTCAGAGGGGAGAGACATTTCAAGAGACTGGGTCATTCCCTGGTTTGGCAAAAAGGGCGACATGATGGTTGGTGTCTATGAAGACAGCTGTGTGTCATCAACAGAAGGTTCTCATACCACACAGCTCAGCTTGCAGAGGAGGAACGGGGCTTGATTCCATGGCTTCCCTACTTGAAGGCAGGGCTTGGCTTACTTCCAATAAGTCACCTTCCATGGCAAGGGGAGGGTGGGTGATATTTTTTAGTGAAGGAGATGCTTCCGGGGGGAGCTGCAAGCTGAGGGGCTGCACCAGGAATACAGGATTCCTGGGAGTTGATGGGAAACTTCTAACCTTCAACTGCCTTCTTTTCTCATTTACACAACGCTATCCTGGGGTAAAGAGCCCTAAATAATTGCAATGCATCAACTTGGCAGAGGGCTACACATTAGGTAGGTCCTTCCATAATGTCTTTCTCATTAAGAGTCTAAGCCCATAAGGCAATTTGTGGCATTTACTGTTCATCGCTCAGGGGTCAGAGGGTGGGGAGAGGGATCTTTCATTTTGGGCCTTATCGAACCTGTCCCGCTTGTGACCCACAAGAGCATTGCAAGCCTCATCCTGCACAGTGGCTTGGTGTGTGATTCGGTGTGCTAAATGGCATGTCTCCATTCTCCAATCTGTCTGGCCATGAACCCTTAACAGAACACCAGAGACCTATGTGAGATGGAATTGTTGTGTACCGCCACAGCCTGACAACACAGAGCCCTATCTGCCGCTGCCAGTTCGGGCGGATGCCTAACGAGCACACTGGGGAGAGCCTCCAGTGGGGACATGACTCCCCAAAGCACTTCAGGGGTTCCTTTGTCCGCACCCAGCCATGCAAAATTCCTGGTGCAGCACAGCTAAGTGAGGATGCACGGAGGAGATGAAACAGGCTGACAGGCAGAGCCATTCTGTTTGGGGTTTGTCTACAAAATTGTCAGTTCAGGTCTCCAGGTCAAAAATCATTTTATCTGCTGAAGCAGATGCTTTGTAGAACAAAATGCCAGGCCGACTTCAAGGCCGGGAGGTGTGCAGAGCCCCAGGCTCCAATCACACTGCAGCAGGAGCACACTCCAGCCCATCCTGCCCCTCTCTGAATTCCCTCACTCAGAGATAGGCTCTCTTTTCTCTCTGTACACTCCAGCTCCCTGGAAGACTTTCTGACAGCTCCCTTTCTGCGGGCTGACTGCTCAAGAAGCAAGATGTTCAAAGACATGGCTCCCAGTCTCGGAAATCCAAACCTCACGCCTTGTGTGACTGATGAGCCACTTTTCGTTGTTTGCTTTCTTAAAAATAAGCATTAAAAGGTAGGGAGGTATTGGGAGAACTGGAATGATCAGTCTTATCAAAAGAGGGAAACTGAGGCTTAAGGAACGGAAGTATTAGCAGCAAGGTTACTCCCAAAGAGACATGTTACAGCCCCTACCAGATGGCAAGAACCTTGAACCTTATTTGATTGCTGCCTCTGCCCAGTAACTTTAATCTCCCTCCAGCAGAGAAGTGGATAGGGACCCCCCTGCCATGAAAAACAGCGTTGTTTTTTGTTTTTGTTTTTGCTTCAGATCTCCTTTCCTTTCACTGTTTTTTTTAGCATGTATGGGAACATTATATTCACCAAAAATCAGGACTAGCATTAAACCCAGAAGATGTGAACTGCACGCATTATAAGGCAAATTAGATCCTGAAAGTCTGCACTGCACTCGGATCCCCAGCACCTCCTCTGTAGCCCACAGTGCAAGGCTGCCTGTGGCTTCTTCCTGGGACGTCTGCTCTGCCTCCTGAAAGGATGGCTTTGCCTTTCTGAGGTCCATGAAGGGAAGTCAGAGTGGCTTGGCTGAGCCCTACATTTTCTTTTTCTGTGTAATTCCATTTGATAAAGAAAAAGCATTTAGAAAGGTTCATTGTTTAGATATTGAAAGACAGGAGGGAAGCAGACCTAGGAAGGAATCCTTAGTTTCCTTTTGTTGTACAAGGACACTGCTCTCATGCATGTCAACCCATTCCTCATGGGGCCCACCACACCATAAATGAATCAGGCAATAAAGGATCCCAGTGGTACCATTGTCAGAATATCTAAATTTTGAATTAAAGACTTGGTTAAGATATGAAACTACCTACCTTCCATTTGGAAATGTCCCTTGAACTCTTTCCCTAGACCCCCACTGATTGGATAAGGTGAGTGAACCCGAGCTCCAGGTGCCTCCCAAGTCCACTGTGAAGATGCCCTGAACACGATGTGGAACCTAGGCGAGGGAGGGGTCTGCATTTTATCAGATCATGATCTGTGTCAAATATAGTTATGAGTATTTTCATCAAAGAATATCATAGTTTCCCCAGCACTTTGTGAAGGCTGCGATAGAGAGGAAATTGAAAGGCAGGGTCATTTCCAATGGCACACAACACAGTGACCTCAGACAACACAGTGAGCTATAAGAAAAAGATGGCTTGCAGACGCCAGGCCAGGCAAAGAGACTTTTTGCTGGAGGGACAGGTTGAGAAGCATAAGAGAACTTCGGCAACCACATTCTTTTTAAAGTATTGGAGCTCTTCTACCATTTGCTCAAAAAGCGTTCTGAGTACCAACTATGGCAAGGTTTGGAGCTAAAGTCTAGAGCTATAAAGATCAATGCATCTTTTCCCCTAGTCTAATGGGATAGACAGGCCTTGAGGACAGGAAATGAGACTGAAGTGACGAGATGGACACGAAGTCAGCAGGATCGGGCCCCTGCTGCCCTGCAACCTCATCTCCTCCCATTCTCCCCTCTGGCTCATTTTGCCCCAACCACACTGAACTTTTGAGTTCCCCCATCAAGTCCAGGCCCTTTCCTCCTGAGGGTCTTGGCATCTGCTCACCCTCTGCCTGGAATGCTCTTCCCCTGGGATCTGCGTGGCTTGCTCCTCACTTTCTTCAGATCTTTACTCATACATCACCTTTTCAACAAAGGCTTTCTTGACCACCTGTGATGTCACACCGCCACCCAAAAGACACCCCCCAAATTCTTCCCTGCTTTCTTTTCCTCCATAGCCCTTATCAGTACCTAACATATAAATCTGTTATGTATGTTGTTTATGATCCTGCCCCCTCCCGTCAGAATGCAAGTCCTATGAAGGCAAATATCTGTTTTGTTTACTGCCGTATTTTCAGTGCCTAGGCACATAATAGACCCTTGATAAATATTTATTAAATAAATAAATCTAGGTGGATATTCCAATCGGTTGCTTTGACATTCATGGATGCCAAGACTAAGAGATTTTTATGATCATTTTGTCCAGCCAAGACTAAGAGATCTTTATGATCATTTCGTCCAACCAAAGCAAGGACTCCGAAGCAGGACTGCTTGTGTTCAAAACTGGCCTCCATCTCTGACCAGCTGTGTGACTTTGGGCAAGTCACTTTAACCTCTCTGTGCTCTGGTTTTCTCATATGCAATGTGGGGACAATAATAGTGACTTCTTCACAGGGTTGTTGTAAAGGTTAATTGTAATTATTATATAAAATACCTAGAACAGGGCAGGGCATAGGGTAAACGTTCTAGAAACACTGGCTATTACTATTGGTATTATCAAGAAAACTGAAAGTCACAAAAGGTAAGTGATTTGCTCAAAATCACAAATTCATTCATTTAACAAGTATTAAAGGGCTTCCCATACACCAGAAACTGGGGATTCCACAGTAGATTAAATATAATAGTTTCTGCTTTTATGGGGCCTATAGTCTAGGTAGGAAGATAAATGTCGAACAAAGACTCAGGCAAATATATGCAGTCATCCCTCGTTATTCAAGGAGGATTGGTTCCTGGATCCTCTTGGGTATCACAATCTGCGGACGCTCGAGTCTCTGATATAAAGTAGTGTAGTATTTGCATATAACCTAAGCACATACACTTTAAATATCTAATTACTTATAATACATAATAAAAATATATGCTATGTAAACAGTTACTTAAATTTGTTATATTATTTAAAGTTGTTATGTTAAATTTGTGTTATTTTTTATTGTTGATTTGTATTTTTCAAATATTGTCTATTCACTTGGTTGAATCATCTCTGAAGGTGCAGAACCCAGGCGACACAGGGGGCCAACTGTAATTGCAATCTGAATGACCACCATGAAGACATAGGTCACCATGAACATGAAGTGTGGGAGACCTAATTTCTCTTCTCAGGCAGGGAAGGAATGGGGTCGGAGAGGGAGGAGTTCATGGGAGGTGTGGCACTAAAACCCAGGCTCCGGCCTGGGACTCTTTACATTATAAGTGTGTGGCCCTGGGATCAACTGTGGACTTCTTCACTAGCCTGAGAGTTCCTCAAGGCAAGAGAGCAAGGACGCATTGCACTCATCCTTGCATATCTGTAGCTCCACCTCAGGCACGGTGCCCAGCTCCCAGCATACCCACAGAGTGAGAGCCATGCCTATTCCTTCAGCACGTGCTAAGCGCCGACTCTCAGGGCATGGCTCTGAGGATGAGAGAGTGCTCTGAGTTGAGATACACCGCCCACAATACACCCCGTGGGTAATTAACAACCGAGAAAGGGCTCTGCTGAATGGAGTCGCAACAGCACCTGTCTCTGGTGTCCTCCACCCTTTCAGCAGGCCAGGAGTCTCTTGGGAAGCCTACCAAAGAAGGGAGAAATGTCCTTTGCTCTCCATAACCCTAGGGGAGGCAGGATCTTGACCTCAGAGATGACCTTTTGCCATCATTGTCTCAGCTTTCATGAAAACAGTTGTGCATGAGGCTGAAGCACCGCCATTATAAAAAACTTGGTTAAAATATGGATTAATCCCTGGGAGGGTGTTATGCAAGATTCAGATATATGGTCTGTGATATGGATATGATATTTTTTTATTGCAATAATAAGTTTCTCAACTCCTAATGGACCCTGTATTAACTGAAGATGACAGGGAGCGAGGGATGGAAAGCGGGCAATTTGTTAAGGTTGCAGAGCAGCAGTTCCAGGGTTGTAAAAGATAAAACATTTCAGAGTCATTAAAATCAGCCTAAATTGTCTATCTGAACTCAAAGCAACAAACCCAACTTGGCCCTGAGTCCATCACCAGCTATTTTTTTCTTTACAGTGTTTTGATTCTCTTGGACTATACACACAGCTCAATCTTCTACTCCCAGAAGGTCCAGGGCTTTGAAAAGACTAATCTCAGGACTTCCTGGAGGAGGTGGACTTTGAGTGCTCAAGCAGTGGAAGGGAGGCAGCCTTTGATGGATACACATACCTTTATAAAAAGGCTTTCAGATGCAGGAAGAGGCAGCCAAGGTACAGTGGGCTGGCTGGAGAGAAGGGATCACTGGGGGTGGTCTTAAGGCCTTTTTGGGGTTGGGGCCTAGTGGGTAGAAAAGATCTTGAAGCTTCTGATTAGGACTTTGTAGTTGTCTGTATGAGCCAAGAGGAGCATAACAAGGATTTGAGGACAAAGGTCAGACTCATGAGTTAGTGGGTATTTCCAGTGAAGAGGCTGGCTACTATTTGCTAAGAGCTTACTAAGGTCCAGGCTCCGTGTTGAGGGATTTTCATAAACTAACTCACTAAATTCTTACAAGAATCCCACGAGGTAAATAATAGTGTATACGCATCATATGGATGAGGAAATCGGGCAAGTTTCTCCACCCCTTTAGGACTCCACATCACATAACCAATAAGGCAGCTGGACTAGGGTTCAAACCCCAACAAACTAACCTACATGAATGTGTTAGCTGGAAGATGTCCCTCTTTATTCTGATATAATGCAGTAAACTCCCATGTGTCAGGCTCCATTCACCTGCTAGGGGAAACATCTCTGATGGCAGGGACTGCCAGGTATCCTTGCTCTCAGATGATGTCAGCAGCAGGAAGGCCCAGCAGTGATGCTGGACTAGACCCCTGGGCTTAGCAGTGAGCAAGACTGAAAGACAGATGTTCTCATTGCCGGGGGAAGGAAAGGTGGGCTTTATAACACCCTCTGCACCTGCCCTGGGCCACAGGGACTCTTTCTGCATTTTATCCTCTGTGGAGGAGAAAGTCACCATGAACAGAAAGGGTTGGCACAGAAGAGAGCAGGAGGGAAGCAAGAAGCAGCCCCAAGGTTCAAGGGATGACACAGAGAGAAAGAGAGGGTGGTGCTGGTGATGACAATGATGACTGCATATTTCTAGACATGGCCCCTCCAAGTAGGAGACATGGGCAGAAAGGAGACCAGCAAATAAAAAGCAGCCACCATGCTGAGACTCTTCTTTGAAAATGGCATTGTTGTCAAACTTAGAAAACAGTTTCCCACCCTGAATAAAACACTGACATTTGTCTAATTAAAAAAACCTAATGGAGATTCTGCAGACAGAGGGAAGCCGCCAGTGCATCTGCTGGTGAAGTCTCCATATGGCCCAATCCAATGTGTACTCTGCTGCAGAGACAGAGCAGGACTCTAGAATCGAAGCTGCCCAGCCATTAAATCACCTTCACGGCCTCACTGGCCACGGACCAACAGGGCAGGAAAGCTCAGCCCAGATTTCTGCTGTGCCCCTCCTCTCTCCCCGCAGCAGTAATGATCTGACCTGTGGACCACCCCTCAGGAAGTGTTAGTGGCAGGAGGTGATAAGGAAGAGAAGGACAGTCAGGAAGGACTTTCCTCTTCTGGGCCCCAGCAGATGGTGGGATGTGTCCATAAGAACGGCATCCGGGCACGGTGGCTCACGCCTGTAATCCCAGCACTTTGGGAGGCTGAGGTGGGCGGATGACGAGGTCAGGAGATCGAGACCATCCTGGCTAACACGGTGAAACCCTGTCTCTACTAAAAATCCAAAAAATTAGCCGGGCGCGGTGGCGGGTGCCTGTAGTCCCAGCTACTCGGGAGGCTGAGGCAGGAGAATGGGGTGAACCCGGGAGGCAGAGCTTGCAGTGAGCCGAGATGGCACCACTGCACTCCAGCCTGGGCGACAGAGCGAGACTCTGTCTCAAAAAAAAAAAAAAAAAAAAAGAACGGCAACTGGGATGACTCAGTAGAGACTGGGAAGGAAGCCCTGCAGAGAAGCTGCCAGCCCACATACTCATGGAGAGCCCCAAATCGTCCTTCAGACCCCTGGCAGTCTGGAAGCCTAGATGTCGTGAATCAAGCCTCTGGCAAGGACAGCGCAGTGACCAACCCTCTTTTCAGAAGGACAAAGTGGAATGAAAGCACAAGCCATCAATAGCATGGTCATCTCCCTGGAGATGTGCAGATACCCTTCACCTTCAAGCAGGCTAAACCGGCCGAGAGTGGCTCTGAGGACCTGCAGGTGCTGCCCACATGTGCCCTGGGCTGGTCCTCCCTCAGCTCCCTCTCCTGTCTTCACCTCCCTGGGCCATGTCTCTCACCTTTTGTGGTAATTCTTCACTTCTCTCCACACTAATTACCCCTTTCCATCTCACATTCCTCCAGCTGGTTCAGCACTTCCGATGGCTCCAGTCCTAAGCACCCCTCACAGTAGGCATCAACCAAGAACATATCACACTCACCTACAAAACAAGCAACCCACCATGAGCTGTGAGATGGAAATAACTCATCTTATCTATTCATCTGGAATACGATCCTGATGAACAGGAGAAGGGAGAAGAACTTCACCTTCCTTCAAGAGGCCATGCTGGGTAGCAATGGGGCTCCTGCCCCTGCTGTTCATCATGTTTCTGGGGTCTTTGTTTCAAATGTGAGGCACAACAGAGCATCCTGCTGTATCAGCCTAATTACCAGCCTCTCCTTCCATTCCTGCTGGCATGGCAGGTGAAGTATAGCGAAGAGGAACTTGGCGTGATAATGGAACCTAGTGATGAAATTTCTTGGCCACTACTGGCCATTCATGATCATAATTACCAATGACGCTTTATCGTGATGACAGAGGAGGGCATGCAGAGTGGTGACACCTGGGGTGCACCCATCAGTCTAAGTAGTCAAGAGAGGAAATGCCTTAAGGAACCACGAGATCCCTTGAAGAGACTCAGCTGAGCACACGTAGTTACCAGAAGTGGCTGTTAGGCAAGTGAAATGTAGAATGTTCCTCTGACCTTAACTACCCAAAGATTAGAACGCTGCTGTTCTGTAACACCTGGAGCTGAGGCTGGACAGTTGAGCACACATCATCCATCTTTCAGTGTCCTTTCTCCATGAGATAGTTAGGGTCAATAGTGATTGCAGGTGACACAAGGTTTTCCAAATATGGTTGGGGAAGGCAGTCACTCCTCAAAATCCATTTCATTTCTCTTCCATAGTGGCAGTATTATTTAGGGAAATGAGCAGCTCACTGGATGAGTCCATTGTTCTCAGGGCTATTTAACCTCCTCATCACTATTCAGTTCAGAATGGGGCTAGTGACCTTTTTTAGACTAATGAAATGCAAGGGAGGATTGCTGAAGGGTGTCTGACCAATTATCTCACTCTTAAGAGAGAGGATGGAAAGCCACACAGTTTCTCCGACTGACTGTAAACGCAGAGTGTCTTGCCCAGCTTGCAGCTGGCAGCTATCTGATGGCCATGAAGGAGGCTGGCCTGGGAAAAACGCAGTCCATGAAGAGGAAGGAGCTAAGACAAAGACAGAAAAAGAGACCCATTGCCTTCATCAAGCGGTACCTAACTCTGACCTTCTGGTTATGCTAGTCAACAAAATTGCTTATTGCTTTAGTCAATTGGAGTCAGTTTCTCTTATCAGAAGCCCAAAGAATGCCTTCCATAAGAAAAAGTGCCTCCTCTCAAGTCTGCTTGGAAAGAGACTACCATATAAGAGCTGAGTGAAGAAGCTTTGAAGAGGCCTGGCAGAGTAGAGTGCAGGTGGAGTCTGGGGACCGCATAGCAGAGGAGGGGTCTGTGTGGCTGACACCTCATCAGTGTGCTTCAGAGGAAGCTCATTGCTAGGCAGCACATCTGTCCATACTCATGAACAATAGGTCACCCTTTCCACCTCAAGGACAACAAGTCAGCAGCATTACGGTAGACTATATTTTGTTTCCAACTATTTGCAGGTCAGCATCGACTCTTGCTTGGCTTTGTGACTTTCTTTGGCCAATGGAATATGAGTGAATGTGATGCCACATGTGAGCAGGTGTTTGAATGCAAGCGTCTGATTTGGCTTGGCCAATTCCTGCCCTCTGTCATGAGGAAGGAATGTCTCGGATAGGTGCTATGCCTGTGGCCAGGGCCCTAAAAGGAAAGGGCACGTGGAGTAGGGCCACAGCTGACCCACAGCCCACTTGTGACATGAAAGAGGGAGAAACAAACATTTCCTGGGCTAGGTTACTGGGATTCTAACATAGAAGTATATACAAAGCAATACTCTATTCCCAGGACTCTATGAAGTGATTTGGAAGATAAAGAATGATGAGACATGGTTTCCATTCTCAGAGAATTTATAAACACAGCAAGCACCAGAAAGAATTACAGAGAGTGCAGAATCCTGGAATACCTTGCCCATACAGATTGTGAGGACACTAGAGTTCAGAGGAAAGGAATATACTGGCTGGGATGGCCTACAAGAATGGGAGAATGGGTGAGTGACAGATGACATTGGATAGAGTTAACAGCAGACAGGTGTCACAGCCTGAGCTGAAGATTTGCAGCTCACCTTGTCAGCTGATCTCATGAAAGGAGGGACATTGAGAATGCCTGGGTAGCATACGCCACTTTTTCTTCTGTCTGCCGGAGGCAAAGATGCTGAGACTTTCACTTTCATGTTTGAATGAAAATATCTTAGTGTACAAATTATCACTTTACAATTAATTATGCAGAGCAAGTAACACACATGAGACCTCAATATTATGACAGCTTGGAAATTTACTGTTTTCGAACTTAACATGCAACAAGTCTTGCCAAATGTACGTTGAAAAGTAGCACAAGATTAGACAATTAACATTTTAATGTTGTATATTCACAGCACATCTGTGGGTCAGTGTAAACACCACAAACAACTTGGCAGATGATGTCAAGTGGACACCCCCCTAAGACTCTGACCTTAAAAACCAACGCTCTTTAATTAGGCCTTTCCTTCCCCTTCTGGCTTTGGGAGAAGAGACTGTTATGAAAAAAGACATGATTACACCATATTGGAGTTCACCAGGCATCTCAAATACTTTGGGTTTGATAAAAAACAGCAGATTTCATTGCTGGAATCTTCCCTTCAGAATCTGTAAGCACCATGTGGATATCAAGGGGAATTTCATCAGTATGTTTCTGATTCCTTTACACTTACATCATTAAAAGATTTTTGAGGGTTTTTGAAGTCCAATAACTCTCCTGAGCCATTCTTCCCCCACTCCCAGCATATTTTTCATTTCTTTTCATTAAAATTAGGAAATTGAATTTCAGCTCTGTATTTTTTTTTTAAAGCTCGCTGCTTGTAAATAATGGTGGCTAAGGATTAAATCCCCAATTCTAAACATTCGTCCTGAGATCCATCAAGCTGATGAAGATTTGTGTATCCTCATCGGGCCCAGATCTCAGACAGGAGAGACGTGGTCAACTGTGATTTGAGAGATGAATTCAGGCATCATAGGCTTCCTTTGCCTCTCTGTAGAATCCAGTTTTGTCCAAGCGAGACAGTATCATTGACTCACATGAAGAGTGGAACTGTAGTGTTGGAAGCTGAATGAGCACTAAAGTACCACTCATCTAACTCTCCTGCCCTCATCAGGCCAAGGCTCAGCTTTGTATTTTCAAAATCTCTTTGTAAGTTCTCTCCTGGTAGCTGATAACTGTTTTAGTCACATTGTAGTCAACCCATTCTTTGTTATTTCTGACATAAAGTGATCTTACCTTTAGGTAAGAGCATTTCACATTCTCTTATTCTCTTAACAGATCTGAACCTAGTCTTGAAATGGGTCACATAACCATTTGCAAATGTAAAAAAAATTCTTCACAAAGGTTCCAGTCTGTATATAGGCTTCATGACAGCAGGGCCTCATCTGCTCTCTTCGTGCAACCTCCCCCAGCCACAGAACAGTCTCCAGCACATAGTAGATGATGCATAATATTTGTTGAATGAAGGAGTGAATAAAATTCTAATCATATGTAAAACATATACAGCCTTTCACAGTGCTTCCACACCTAGTGATTAATAGCGTTCTAATGATACCCTGAATGAGTAGCAAAGGTAGGGTGATCCTTAGATTATTTATAAAGCAGATGAGCCCAGATATGGAATAACTTAAGATCTTATGGCTGGTCAGTGGTAAAACTGGAGTAGGTTTCAGATCACCTGAGTCTCAGAATGTGCTGTTTTCATATAGACCAGTGCTTCTGAAGGTTGAGTTAGGCATATATCAGAGTCACCCAAAGGATTTATTAAAACACAAATTGCTGAGCCCCATCCTCAAAGTGTCACTTCTGTAGGCCAAGGGTGGGCCGCCAGAATCTGCATTTTTAACACGTACCCAGGTGATGTCAGTACTGCCGGCCCTGGGACCACACTGTGAGGACAACTCAGAAAGGCCATAGTTTACGAACTGCAAAATGAAGGAATATGAGGGAGAGAGAAAGACACTTCTTAACATCCTCCGAGACTATGTTTAGGGTATCAAACTCAACTGATCGGTACAGAAAGCCAGGCTGTGTGATTTAACTGCAGAAGTCTTTGCTATCCCTTAAAAAGCAAACAAACAAAAAACCTGCTAATGTAGATCACGGGACAGGAAGTTCCAACCTGGGGATATTCTAACTTAGAATGAAGGTTAGCTGGAGTCTTTCTAAGTATGAATTTAGGTTTCGAAAAGAGATTTTGGAGCTGGATAAAGCATTAGTTACATGGTCCAAACTTCTCACATATGCACCTGCAGAAAGAAAGGGGTTAGAAGGGTGATGTGCCTAGTCCAGTGTCCCAGACTCTCTTCATGCCTGATTCTTCAGCTGTAAGGCATAATCAAAAGGGGACAGGATGTCCCCCAGCTTGGTTCTCCTACGACTGTTTCTGCGGGGACAGTTGGTCACCCTATACATGTAAATTCTTTTAACTTGTACACCAATGTTCATTGCAGCAGTATTCATAATAACCAAAAAGTAG
Organism: Homo sapiens; assembly: GCF_000001405.40. Classification (NCBI taxonomy): domain Eukaryota; kingdom Metazoa; phylum Chordata; class Mammalia; order Primates; family Hominidae; genus Homo; species Homo sapiens. The sequence goes on from NC_000011.10 coordinate 126,917,045, forward strand.
AAGTCACCCACGTGTCTAACAGATGAATGCAAACACAAAATATGATATAGTCACACAATGGAATATCATTCAGCCATAAAAAGGAATAACATTCTGATACACAGTATGTTAAAGATTCACCTTGAAAATATTATGCTAAATCAAATGAACCAGACACAGAAGGATATATATTGTACGATTCCACTTATATGAAGTATTCAGAATAGGCAAATTCATAAAAATAAAAAATAGATTAAAGGTTATCAGGACTGAGACGGAAGGAAGTGGGAGTTATTGCTTAATGGGTACAGAATTTCTGTTTACAGTGATGAAAAAGTTCTGGAAATAAATAGTGGTGATGGTTGCACAACATTGTCAATATAGTTAATGCCACTAAACCGTATACTTAAAAGTGGTTAAAATGTCAAATTTCATGTTGTATATATTTTACCACAATAAAAAAATTAAAAAAAAACAAGGAAAAACCTGCAAACAACAAAAATCTTTCCAAACCACGTAGCACCTCCACACCTATCCTGCCTCTCTTAGAGCACTGCTCAGTTGTAGGCTGTGTGGGGAGTGAGTAATGATCACCTGGTGCAATCTGGTTTCTAGTATGAGTTGCTTCCACTCATACTAGAAACCATATATGTATACCACATACTAGAAACCATATACTAGAAACCACTCACACTAGAAACCAATAGTGAGGTGGTTGCCACTATTTCCATTGGCAACCAATACTTTTCTGCCACTCCACTCATTGTCTAACCTTAGGCATGGACTTTAGAATTGAGGTGGCGTTTCTGAAGAACGAGATGGTAAAAACAGTGGCATTTCTGTTCCCTCCTCCACCCCAGTTGCACGCTTTGGTAATTGTTGAACTCGATTTCACTTGGTGTGTGATGACACATCTTACAGTGATGGAGCAGAATTTAGATGCTGTGACTCATCTCTCCAAGCTGGGTTTCCATAAGACTCCACACTGATCTCTGGCATGTTTACTGCTGCCTGGGAAACTGGTTTTGTGCATTCTCAGAAATACGAGATTGGCCCATAATGATATGCATGCCTCTCAGAGGGAAGACAGAGACTCACGGTATGGCAGTTGAAGGACACACGACTTGAGGGAGATGGATGTTACTGAGGCAAAAGAAATGTTCATTGCCTACTCGCTCATCATGGTGCTTCCCTCCCATGTGTGTGTCCATTTGGGCCTCAGCAACATCCCCAGATGCTGGGCAGATCCAGTGAATTGCAAGTAAGCAAATAAACATGATTTAATAGTAGATGAGAAGACTTTGCCACACCATGGTACCTCCCCCTGCATTTATTTTGGCAATTTGGTGCCGAATATTTACGACAGTGCTTTAGACCATCCAGGTAGTTTTAGCGTAAGGAGTGAAGTCTTTGTAAACTAAGCTGCTTGTTCCTCTGACAGGGTGATAAGCAAGCTTGTGGTGGAGGGCAGTTACCGGATTTTAATTAACTAGCTGAATTATTACGTTTTTGCATAAACATTCTTCACCATCATCCACTCATGACATAGGTTAGGTACATTTACACAGAGAACTAAAATGATACATTCTCTGCCTCCTAGGAGTTTATAATCTAAGAAAGGGATTGCAAATACATAGAAAGGCTATTCCATTCTTCATCTCTGTGACATGGCAGACATTACTAATCAAGGATAGTTCCCCTTTTCAAAATCTTTTCCTGCATTGGATGCCAGGCAGCCATTGTAATCAATTGCAGGGTGTGCAAGGCCTTCCTGATGTCTGCATGTTATAAAGAATGGGGAGCTAGCTGCCAAGACATTCCTATGACACCAGATGGGGAATGTATTGTTACATGTATTTTAACAATGTAACAATATTGCATAGACCCAAGGAAATATGATTTTATAACGTCATATGTTATAACATCATATGTTATAAGATATGTATTGTTACATCATATTATATTATTATTTGTATTATATATATGTATATATGTATTATTATGTGTATTAATACTATATTATATATAATATGATGTATTGCTACAGACCCAAGGAGATATGATTTTTTAACATCAACTTAGGTTTTCATACCTTTCAAGTGATAAATACATGCATAATTTGTAGAATTAAGGCATAGTGCTTTTGTGGGTTTCGATAAGCCTGACTTCTCAGTGTGGATGCTCCCATGTTGTGGATGAGATTGAGCGCTGTGGTAGGTGCAGCCATCACTAATGTCTTTGCCCCTAAGACAGGAGCAAGCTGGGCCCCTTGGTTAAACACTGATTACAGCCACATACTCTCCTCACTTCCTCCTTTCTGTAGTTCCAGTTGAGTAATTAAAATCACTTCTGTTAAAGTAGCATGGTTGGCTCAACAAGCCAAGGGCAAGTTTACGGATCTGGAGGATGGAAACTACTTTAAACCTTGGTAGTTCTGGCTGCAGTGAGGAATAACAATTAGAATAATTGATAACCAGGTCCTTGATGTCCAGTCACCACCCAAGGCCTGCAACACATCAGAGACAAGCCTGATTCTCTGGCTGGAGTAGATAACAGAGCTGGGGTTGGGCTATTCTGGTTGCTTAAGCTGCAGTGGCCAAGGACATGCTTCACTTTGGTGACACCAGTTGTGCAGAAGCTCTTGAACTCACACAGTTGAGGTCTTTGTGGTCTGGGAGAGAAACCCTTTCCCTGATATGTGCACAGTAAGCATGGGGCTAAATAGGTGTGCATGACTTTCAGATTACATGCAAAGAAGTTTTAGAGGTTAAGAGTTCCAAAGAGGACAGACAGGATTTGCTGGAGCAGGCCTGGGGTAATACAGAATATTCCAGTAACAATAGTGTAACTGCACTACTACAGTATTAAGAGTAACAATATTGTTACTAAACAATAGGAGGATACTACTAAGCAGTAACAATGCTACTGCTAATTGTGTGCCATTTATTGAACAATGACTACATACCTGATATGATGCTAAATGTGTTTATAATGATAGCATTTAATTTTATCATTTAACTATATCATGTAATCTTCATATCAACCCCATGACGTACTTGTCACTTGTCATTCTTCTTATTGTACAGATGAAAGTTTTCAAAGATGAAGTAATTTTCCCAAAGTCAAACAGACAGGGAGTGGCTTGGTTAAGAATCTGCCCCCAAAACTCATGCTGCTCACTTCCATATATTATTGCTCTTGCACAATCTGATATGCTCTCCCATGGCTGACTCCATAAATGCCTCTTTTGTCTATATCACCATAAGATGCATCTTTAGATCCCAAGAAATCTATCGATTAGACAAAGATAAATGCTCAGCACCATAATCATGCTATCAAATCATTGAACCGATGAACGAAAGGTGGAGTTAAATCTCCCTCAATGTGAAGATCCCCACTGCACTGTGGAATTTAGTCCATTTGATCTGGATTTGGGATTCCAGTTAAAGAAATCTTCATGTGAAGAGATACTACTGCTGCTCACTGTTTCTTGCCAGGTGGTGTCAGTGCTCTGTTTGCCTAAAGGATAAATTCAGACATTTGATTTTCTGCCCATAGCATCCTATTTTTCCTGATCTTACTTGGCTATTCCTCAGGATATGTTTTAAGACAGATATGTTCTTTGATCTCATTTTAAACTTCCTCTTTGGTCTCTCTACTTTCTCCCTGTCTTACAGACCCCTGGGCAATCACTTTTTTCCCCAACCAGCTCAGACTCCATGGTCCATCACTTCAACCTTGTAGTTACATCCTCGTCCTAACATCGTACCTTCCTAGAAAACCCCGCGCCTAGGTCACTTTACAATTGGCCTTCTCTGCCTGATTCCAGGATGCTGAGAGCTGCTAGACAAAATTACCTCAACACTCAGATTGGCCCCCGTGATGGTTAATGTTAGGTGTCAACTTGACTGAATTATGCGATACCCAGATAGCTGGTAGAGCATTATTTCTGGGTGTGTCTGTGTGAGTGTTTCAGGAAGAGACTGGCACTTGCATCTCTCTCGCCCCCTGTGGGCACAGACCATCAAATCAGCTAAAGGCCTGGATAGAACCACAAGGCAGGGGAAGGGCACATTCTCTCTCCCTCTCCCCTGGAGGTGGGGCACCCTTCTTCTCCTGCCCTTGGATGTCAGCACTCTAGGTTCTCCAACCTATAGACTCTGGGACTCGCACCAGGGGCTCCCCCAGATCTCAGGCCTTCAGAGAGTTACACCATTGGCTTCCCTGGTTCTGATGACCTTGGGCATGGACTGAGCCACATTGCCGGCTATCCTGGGTCTCCACCTTGCAGAAGGTTTATCATGGGACTTCTCAGCCTCCATAATTGTGTGAGCCAATTCACCTGATAAATTCCCTCATCCTGTCTTGTATCTATCTATCTATCTATCTATCTATCTATCTATCTATCTATCTATCTATCTATCTTCCTATCTATCTACCTATCTGTCCATCCATCTTCCTGTGTTCCTATCTATTATCTATCTGTAATCTATCTATCTGTCTGTCTGTCTTTCTTTTTCTTTCTATCTATATCTATCAATCTATCTATATCTGTCTTCTATCTATCTATCTATCTATCTATCTATCTATCTATCTATCTTCCTATCTATCCATCCATCTTCCTGTGTTCCTATCTATCTATTATCTATCTGTAATCTATCTATCTGTCTGTCTTTCTTTCTTTTTCTTTCTATCTATATCTATCAATCTATCTATATCTGTCTTCTATCTATCTATCTATCTATCTATCTATCTATCTATCTATCTATCTTCCTATCTATCCATCCACCTATCTTCCTGCCTTCCTATCTATTATCTATCTATCATCTATCTTTCTGTCATCCTATCTATCTATCTATCATCTATCTCCCTATCTATCTATCTATCTTCCTATCTATCTATCCATCCGCCTTCCTGTCTTCCTATCATCTGTATATCTATATCTATCTATCTATCTATCTATCTATCTATCTATCTATCTATCATCTATCTTCCTATCTATCTTCCTATCTATCTATCTTCCTATCTATCTATCCATCCATCTTCCTGTCTTCCTATCATCTATCTATATCTATCTATCGATCTATCTATCTGTCTGTCTATCTATCTATCTATCTATCTATCTATCTATCTATCTATCTATCTATCTATCTCTATCATCTTTTGGTTCTGTTCCTCCAGTGAGCCCTGGCTAACCCTAACCTGCTTGTCATGTATGATCTCCCTCCTCAACTGGCCCCTCCATGCTGCCTCCAGTCCCTGTGTGCCTCTGTGGTCAGATCATCCATTCTCCATGAAGGCTGAATCAAACCTTCTCCACTTTATAAACTTTACTACTGCATCTCCTCACCCCTACTCTCAGTAGAAGGCCTCTTCCTGCTTCTTAAACGAAACAGAAGCCGACAGATAAGTATTTCCTCCATGTCCATCTCCAAACTCATCATCGTGTGCCTGATCTGTGCCCACCCTTCCACTTTCCCTGCCCTTACATGAGAAGCATGTAACGTTCCCTCCCATACAAGGTGAATCCCTCCATCCTCCACTGGCTCTGCAGACCCCTTTCCCTCCCACTTCTAGGGACCTTGTTCTGTCAAGTTTACCATCTCCCCTTCTTCTCAGTAGGGAAAGTCTCTAAATTATGTGCAAGTCTCTCCCACCCTAAAAACAAATAAAAAGCAGCAGGAGCAGCAGCAACAACAACAACAACAACAACAACAACAACCTCCCTTCACTCCACTTTCCTCTGCAGCAACTGCCCTATTTTCTCTTATTCAATACCAAGCCCCTTGAAAGAGTTCCTTGCATTTCCCGGACTCATTTCTTACCCACTCTTCCCACAATCCGCAGTGTTCTGGCACCCATGTCTACCCTCTTCCCAGATGGTTCTTGCCGAGGTTGCGAAGGGCCTCATGACTCTGAGTCCCTGTGACCACCAGGCAGTCTTTGCATCCCTCGAGTCGGTGCCCTTGCACCAAGCATTCGTGCCCTGGCTCCCATGGCAGCATGCCCTCCTGGTTTTCCTCCTCCTTCTCTGGATGTTTCTGCTCAGCTTGCCTTGTGGATCTTCTTCTTCTTCTTCTCCTTCTCCTTCTCCTTCTCCTTCTTCTCTTCTTCTTCTTCTTCTTCTTCTTCTTCTTCTTCTTCTTCTTCTTCTCTTCTTCTTCTCTTCTTCTTCTTCTTCTTCTTCTTCTTCTTCTTCTTCTTCTTCTTCTTCTTCTTCTTCTTCTTCTTCTTCTTCTTCTTCTCCTTCTCCTTCTCCTTCTCCTTCTCCTTCTTCCTTCTCCTTCTCCTTCTTCCTTCTTCTTCTTCCTTCTCCTTCTCCTTCTTCCTTCTCCTTCTCCTTCTCCTTCTTCCTTCTTCTTCTTCCTCTTCTTTCTTCTTCTTCTTCCTTCTTCTTCTTCCTCTTCCTCTTCTTCTCCTTCTTTTTTTTTTTTTTTTGAGACAGAGTCTCGCACTATCGCCCAGGCTGGAGTGCAGTGGTATGATCTCAGCTCACTGCAATCTCCACCTCCAGGGTTCAAGTGATTCTCCTGCCTCAGCCTCCCTAGCAGCTGGGATTACAGGCACCTGCCACCACGCTCAGCTAATTTTTTGTATTTTAGTAGAGATGGGGTTTCACCATGTTGCCCAGGCTGGCCTCGAACTCTTGAGCTCAGGCAATCCACCCACCTCGGCCTCCCAAAGTGCTAGGATTACAGGCATGAGCCACCGCACCTGGCCTGCCTACTTCTTACGTGATGGTCTATCTTGAGAGTTCTGCCCAGATCCTTTTTATAACCATAGAACAGGTTTCTCTACTGAGCTCCAGCCCTATGTACCCGAATATTTACTGGACATCTCTACTTAGAGGCTTCATAAGTAATTCCAGCTCAAATGTGTCCAAAGTGAAATTCATTGGCTTTCCCCCCAAACCTTCTTTTCTTCACATGATCCTGATGTGGCTCACCCGCTTGTTTAAGCCAGAGGCTAGAGCATCATCCAAGGCTTCCCCATTTCCCTTAGCCCCTATGACCAGTCACTAACTTTTAAAAATCTTACTTCTAAATATTGTTCATCTCTCTATTCCCAGTACTCGTCATAGCGCCTTGTAGACACTTGATAAGCAGTGGTCTTATGGCTGGTAGCCCAGGCAGCTCTTGATCCTGTCCCCTGGGTTCCTTCCCCCTTTCCCTGGCTCAGGCCACCATCACCTTTGACCTGAATGCATCCACGCAACTGGTTTTCCCACCTTCAGTTTTCCCTTCTAGCTCGCTCACTCTCCACACCACAGAGAGTAATCTTTCAAAGCACAAATGAGGTCTGTCTCATTCTCTTGCTTACACCCTTCAGAAAGCTGTCTCCCAGCACCTAGCATAACACCAGGTCCTTATAAGTACTCAAAAAATATGTGTTCAATGAAAAAATAATTGGGATCTAAAATAAAGAGGATTTCCAGGCACACGGGAAGTCTAACACCCATTAATCCTGTGCCATTATTGTACTTGCCCGTTTGCAACAAGGAACATCTTTGGCTTCACACACCCGACCCACAGACTGCGCTTCAGCTGCTGCTGACTCCCTCCCAGAAGGCCCCAGAGTAGTCTTGATTTAAAGGCAGGGCTGTTGGGGGATTTGGAAGAAGTGTTAAAGAAAAAGGAGCAGCTTTGCTCTATTAAAACCCCTGCCTTTCCAAGCAAATATGGCTGCTCCTGAGCTCACCCTGGCTTCTGCCATTGCTTGGCCAAGGTGATTAACTGGATGCCTGCTGTGTGCTCATCCCTGCCCCATCAACACCCTCACCTCAACCCTCCTGGTTAGCCTCTCTGATGTTGAGAATGAAAGTTGTTATTAGCATGATTCACTCTCCAACAGCATGAATATTCGGTGTGACTGTGGCTCTGTGTATGTGTGTGTGTGTACATGCTTATGTGTGTGTGTGTGTGTTGCAGTGGAGGAGGTTGGGATAAAATTGAAAAAAAAAAAAAACAGTCCTAGGAGTTATGCCCTTAGGGCAAAGGGAAAAGGGGTGCTCACACACTTGTCCTAGAGAGAGATGTACACTTTTGCACAGCTTCCTCCTCACCATAAAAAGGTCGGGGGGGGGGGGGGGCTGTTGGTCACAGGATTGTGCAAAGCCCTGCAAGGGTTTGGCTGGTGCACCTGCTCTGCTATGTCTCCACCTGCCACACACCATTGCAACCCCCTGGTAACAGAAAGGTTCCCTTCCCTTCCCCAGGCTGTTGGTGCCGTGGGATCTAACATGCATGTGTCCTGACAGGATGAGAGAGCAGGCACACGCATGAGGCAGCCTGGTGGCAGAAGGCCCTGCTCTTTTCCAGGATGCCTGTGGTGGCGGGGGGAGCATGGCAATGAAGAAGGGATGGGACAGTGATCAGGAAAGCTTCATGGCTGTCCTATGATGACATAGGCCTGGAGACACAGAGGCTGCCTGAGGCCAGCTTGGGGGATTTACGAACTAAATGGAAGAGGCTGTCAGGTTCGAGCTGAGCTCAGTATGAGGGCTGAGCAGGAGAGCAGATGTCAGGGACTGGGAGTTTGGCCAGCCCTGCCCTCTCCTCCTTGGCAGTATGTCTTCCTGTTGTCAATGGCCACCAGCCGTCCAGCTTCATTCTCCACTGGGTCTATGACTGCCAGCATCCCGGAGCCACTTCCAGGGACTGGGTTAAGGTGAGAACGTTGTGGTCACCTCTGCTGCCTACTCCCACCCTCCCTGCTCCTGCACTTCTCTCTGGCCACAGGTGCCAGGCAGCATGGCTGCACTGCAACAGCCTCCCTACCAGCCCAGGTACCGGCCTTCTCCATCCTCTCCTGCCACCGCATGTCCCCAGGCACTCCTTCCTCCTCTATCTGTGACAGTCAGAGAACAGGGCTTTCTGCCAGGTTGACATCAACAGCAAACAGACACCCCCGGATCTGAGACATCTGTGTCCTATCCAGAAACATACCTCATCCTATGTACTGCAGTGACTCAGTCATGGGCAGAGACACCTGGCTGTCTTCCCATGATGTTCTTATATGACTCTAACCACCACGCCCCTCTGCCTCGAACCCCTTACCCACACAATCACTTTGGGCCTCAGCCCATCGCTCCAGGAGTGGAGGAGATGATTGGTAAGAAGAACGCTGGAGGTGCACACTGCCTGGCAACAAAGGACAGGTGGGTGGCAGACGAAAACTTGGGGCCTGGCACACCTGGGTTTGAACTCTGGATAGACCATCTACTTGATGTGTGACCTCTGTGCAGCGATTCAGTTCCTTCTTCTGTAAGATGGGAAAAGAGGATCTAGCCAGTGGGTTGTGAGAACGAAAGTTAACATTAAGCATTCCTAACACAGTACCCCACATTGCCACTGACTGTAGTTATGCTCATTTGAATATTTCCCTGTCATATGGTAATGAGCAGCTCTCTTTGGAGCCACGCACCTTCCTCCCTGGGCTCTGCCAAGGTAGGTCACGGCTCTGAGAGACTGCAGGAAGGCTTCTCAGAGGAGCTGGTACTATGAGGGGTGACTCGGCTGGGCTTCTGTCTCTACACACGTCCCTTGCCTTTGCAGAAGCCTCTCACCAGCACCCTTCCTGCCCCGGTGACTTGCTGCCAGAGCTCTGCCTGGAAGTGTGATGGAAGCCACCTGGCATGAGCTTGAAAGGAACTGCAAATCTCCTATGAGCATTTCCCCCCTGCTCTGTGGTTGGGATGCAGTGCACGGCCAAGCAGCATGGAAACCTCTGACGTTGGGTGGCTTCTGAATACTAAAGAGGGCGCGGAAAAAATGAAAGCAAAGGAGAAAGATGTCTTGGTCAGAAGTTTTTCTAATCGCTATGGATTTTTCCCCCATTTTAGTGGATTTGAGAGAGGGTATAGGAAAAGGAAGAGAAAAAAATCAAAAGCAGATTATTACCCCGAGCTGCTCTTCCTTTTTATCCTGAGCCATGACAGCAGCTCTCTGCCTGCCCTGTCTGCATGCTAACAGCTAAGGCATGATGCAGGCAAAATATTGGCAATCGAGCTGAGATTATAGGTTACTTGGATATTGAAAGGCAGAATCAATTAAAATAAAGCTTTCCAGTCACTGGCCAAATTAGCCTCTGGAATCAAAGCCTTTCTTTTCATTGTCCAGAAGGTTCTAAGGACAGCTGAGATGGGGTTACCCAAATGACTGAAATGAAAAGCTCCCAACTGCAGCACACGACACCTGGGGAGTAAGCACACACACACACACGCACGCACGCACATGCATACATGCACACACATACATGCACACAACACACTATGCACTTGATACACAGTGGTTACTCAATGAATATTTGTTGAGTTTATGATTTTGTGTGTGTACACACTCATACTTATGTGTCTTACCCAGTTATATATACACCATTCTATAATTATTTCAACTTTGCAATGCTAGGAGTTAACTCTGCCAGGCTTCTGTGAGTTTGTACTAGGCTTACATTTTTCTTTCTCTCTTTATTATAACAAGAATACATTATTTTAATAAATACAAAAAGGAAAGGTCTCCTTTGACCACTCTGCCTTTGGTCTACTTTTACAGAAAATGCGGACATTATGGAAAACTTTATAGAAATGTGGCTTTTTACTAAGCCATCTAACAATAGAATAGAAAAGCAACGAAGATTTCCAGTGCTTCTTCCCTCCTCCCTCTGTCTTCCACCTCCTGAATCTTCAGCAGCATGCACAGAAAAACCAAGCATAGGAATGTGCTTTGATATCCACCCGGGGCTTTCCCACATTCTCAAAATCTCAAGAGTAGCTCTTCTTAGAAGGTGTGGCCTTGGAATGTGGAGAGGCAGCACCATCCAGACAAGGCTGTCCAGGCAGGAGGTCCTGCACATCCACCTTGCAATTCACTTAGGCTTTGCCACTTTGGGGATCTACAGTTTTAAATAGCTTATGATGAAAGCTCATAACTTTTTCATTTATAAGTGGAGAATTTCAATGAGGAAACAAATAAAAAAACCAATATTTGTTGAGTGCTCCTGTGCTTCTCCAGGCTGGATGAAGGCTCCAAGATGGCGTCTCACAAGGAGTTCAGAATCTAATGTGCTCAAATCACACAAGTCATTGCCATAAGTGCTACCGTCAATGTATTTTTAAAAAGAGCCCAGAAAAGAGAGATTCACTCTGCATAGGAGCTTCACTGGCCTTGAGGATGTGCAGGAGTTTGCTAGGTAGAGAAGAGATGGGATAGATCCCACCAGTGGGAAGATCAGGAACAAAGCTCAGATATCTGGATGTGCACCCAGTGTTTAGGGAATGGTGGATGTGGGGCTAGAGCAGAGGTGGGGAAGAAATGAGGTGGAAAAGTTGACTGGGGCCAGATGTCCTTGGGCCTTGAAATCCTTCCTACTTCATCCTTTAGGCAATGGGCAGCGATTCCCGGACATAGGTCCAGAGGCTGGGATTGCCCTGATCAGGGCTGGTTTTGGAAAGACAGCTCTGAAATTAGTGTAGGGAATGAACTTGAGAAAAGAGGCCCTGCAGGCGGACACTGTCATGAGCTGGAGGCTGAAGCCTGGGACCCCGACGTGGTGGCGAAAATCAGGGAAAAGGCAGGACTGGGGCTATTTCAGAAGTGTTAGCCATGCTTGGGGGAGAGCAAGGTCTCAGTTAATGCAAAAGACCCTCACCAGCATGACTGGGTGGAAAAGGATGTTTTAATGGACATAAGGAACACAGCAGATGTAGAGTTTTATTTTTTTTCTTTTTAAAGTTGGTTTGTTTTGTTGATTGGTTTGGAGGCAGAAGAGGTCACGAAGGAGAGGGAAGAATTAAGTTAAGTTTGTGGCGCTTATGAGCTATGTGGATGGTGGTATCTAGTTTATTTCTCTGAGCTTAGGTAAAAGGTTAAGGCCAAACTATGGGCTTGGGAGCCATGAGCAAACCCATGATTGGTCAAACTATGAGAATGAATGGATGAAATAAATCAACATGGACAGAAAGAGAGAGTAAAAGAAAAGAGAGAGAAAAATCAGAGATAGAAAGACAGAGGTCAAGTTCAGATGTACATACCCCTTAGGAGCTTTTCAAGGACGTCGGCAGGGAGCTGGGTTTACAGAGTGGAGAGGACACATCTGCCAACTGTGACTGAGCGTGGTCAGAGGGAGGAGAAAAGGCACAAGAGAGCAAAACATCTTGCAAGCTAATGGAGAATAGAATTTTAAGGAGGACAGAGAGGTCAAAGTCCCCAGGAAGTCAAGTGACAAGATGTGGTCATAGTGTAGGGATGAGTCCCAGAGCCTCCTCCCAGGTCCAAAATGTAGCTAATGATCCGAATGAAATCCAGACAGGGAGTCAAGACAGGGAAGGTACAGGCTTGTGGGTGCTGAGGGTGTGGACAGGAAGAGAGGCAGGAGACTCAGAGTGAAGGGGAGAGGCCTTTTGTGTACAGAAAGAAGGAGGTCAGTTCCACAAATGCTGCCGTCTGGAATGCAGAATTTTCTGACTTGCCTAAAAAGATCGAAACAAAACCTAAGAAGCAGAAAACAAATAAAAATAAGACACCAAATACCAAAAGCCAAATAAGACCACGTAAAAGCAAACAGAGCCTCCTCAAGCCAGAGAGGCCCCTGACCCAGTTTTGCAGCAGCAAGACCCAGAGTTCCATCCAGGAAGCAGGCTGCGGCAGTGAGTCGCCCAGGCCTAGAAACCAAAAATCCAGCCTGCCTGGAGTCCTCTTGGGTATGAAAGTTCCTGGAGAATCTATTCATGGCTTCCAATTTCCATTCATCAGGCTGCACATTTGCCTAAGAGCGATTCCACGCTAAACATAACTCAGCCCAGAAAAATGCTCCTCTGCGCTCTCTTTCCACTGCTGAATTTCAGCTTGGCTTAAGTAACACCATGTGACATAACACAAAGAGGTGAAATGAGAGCTCATAATTGCATCAGAGGGCTGTGGGGGAGCCACCCCCCCCCCCCCACCTCACCGATTCCCAAGTACACTTGAGGGAGGAGGAAGGAGGGGTGTGTAATTTGTTCATTTCTTATATTTTATGGAACACTTCACTTTGCTTTCAGCATAATTATTTGTTGTACATTTTGCTGATTCCCATTTGTGTGCTTAAAAAAAAAAAACTCTTCACTCCCCCCTGCACACTTTTCTTAATGCATTAAAATTAATAACTCGTAACAGTGACCTAATTTGCTTTGAGTACTGTAACTCAGGGTTGTTGTATGCGTGTGTATTTTTTTTCTTTCCAGATCTGCTAAACCCTTGACATGTTACTGTGGTAACAGGAGCAACTTGGGAAGTTCATGAATGAACCTCATTGTGTTCTCCCAAGAAAGCCCTCTCTCCCACCATTCTTTGCGATGTTTGGAGCTCACCCTTGCCTGTTGTGCCTATATTCAAAGCATTGGAATTGGGCTGCTCCAGGCTGTCTCCAAATCCATGCTCAATCCCCATCATCTCACTGCCCTACTGCGGAGGTAGCTGCCAGTCTGCCCTTAACTTTCCTAAATGCTCCAGGGCTCTGCATCAGGAGGGTTCTCCTTCTCTAAGAAAATATACTTTCTTGGTTTAAATCTTCTGCCCTTCCCTGCCATGTCTGTCTGGGCCCTCAGCTAAGGAAGCCTGCTGAAGATAGGAAGTAGGTCACTGGATTGCTTCATCCCCTGACTACCACCTCAATCCAAGCCACCAGCTTCTTCCCTAATTGTCTCACTGCATTCTATCTGCTCCCCCAACCCCCTCCATATCCAGTGCAGTTAGAGGGGTCTTACTAAATCAGGTATCTGGTTGTGTTACTGTCCTGCTCAGTGATCCCAGGATTGTGTCCCTACCCCTGCACACAGCTGACCAGGCTCTTCAGAGTCTGCAGACATAGAGCTGTACTTGCCCCAAGGTCCATTGCCTCCTCTGTACATGTTCCTCCTAGCTATCCTGAACGACCTGGATTTGCCAGGCTATGGCACAGTCATTTTTCTGCATGCTTTCACATTCGGTTCCCTCTGCCAGAATTCCCCTATCCATCTCCCACTCTCACACAGGACGAGTGTAGACAGCACCTTCTCTCAGAAAGCTTTGGGCAGTTGGATACCCTACCTGTGAGTTCCCACAGGCCTCTATGCTCATCTCAGCATGGAACTTATGTGCACTACCTGTGTTTGTCTGCTGGTCTTGCTGGCTTCCCCAGTAAGCTCTTTGAGGGAAAGTCCTGTTTCTTGGACACTGTTGTTTCTTGGACACTGTTGTTATCTCCAGAACCTATCGCAGTGTCTGGCACATAGGATGTACTGAAATCAAGATTGAATGAATGAATGAATGGATAGACTGGAATCTATTACCTGCCTTTCCTCCCTCCCTCCATACATTCCTTCTTTCCTTCCTTCCTCCCTACCCCACCCTACTTTCCTGTCAATCACTCCACAAGCATTCACTGCTGGTTATGTGAAAGGGAAGGAGGATATAAAGACGGATTTTATTGTCTTCCAGGAACCCATAGCATTGTGGCATCCAGACTTTGAGACAATCTTAAATACGTTCTTCTGAAGGCTCCCTTAAGTAAGCCCTCTTGGCTAGTCATTCTAGAGAATGAAGCTGTTTTATGTCCAAATCTACTTTCTAGTAGCAAGTATAAGAATGAGGATTCCAAGTCCTAGTTGTCTAAATAATTTAAATATGGAATAGTGGCAGATACCCATATTCATTCTTCCTTACAGCATTCTGGGGAAGATTATCACCAGTTTACAGACAGTAGCAATGAGGCCAGAAAGGTGGACTCAATCCCCTTATGGCAAAGAGAAAAGATGGTGACAAATGATGCTAGTAACTGAGGGCTGCCAGCACCCAGGGAGCCCCAGGACACGTGTTGCCTTCTCACCCCAATAGGAGTAGATGGACGAGGCATACTCGTACCAAGGAGGGCATAAGGATTTTATTTCCACAGCTACCTGGAGAAGAAAATTCATCATCACCCTCAGCAGACAGCAAGAAAAGAAGAGAAAGAATAAGAATGTATCAAGGAGGCTTGGTATTGATTTTGAAATCCTGGCTGACAAGACAATGATTTGAGTCCATTTCCATTTTGTGGCTGAAGCCTGGTGCATTCTTTGCCTCTGCCTGACCTCCCAGAGCAGAGTTCATCAAGAATCCCCTCTGCTGACACTCCTATCCTGATTCTCAAACAGCCTCTCGCCTGTTTGTCTCCGACAAGAAAGGACATGCACGTGAAAGGAGCAGTGTGGCTTCCTGTGTCTCCTCTGGAAGAGGAGGGCCCTATTTCAAGGCTGATTTCAAATAGTACATTTTAAAAGTCTGCTTAGCCTCACACACATATGAGCATCAACATTAGTGTCTTTACGGAGGTTTTCGGCCCGCACAGAAAGGGCAAAGCTCAATGCATTCAACCCAACAAGCAGCAGGTTCCCGTCTTGGACACCGAAAGTGGGGGGTCCTATTTCAAGACTGATTTCAAATAGCACATTTTGAAATTCTGCTTAACCTCACACAGATATGACCATCAACATTAGTATCGTTATGAAGGTTTTCGGCCCATACAGAAAGGGCAAGTCTCAATGCATTGAACCCAATAAGCAGCAGGTCCCTGTCTTGGACGGTCCCTGCTACAGCCACCCCCAGCAGGCTCTTCAGGCCAGGAAATGTGCTTCTGCTGTGAGTCCCAGCTCTTCGCATGGCCAGAATCCTAAGTAAGGGCAAAAGGCCTATGTATTTAATTTACTTGTAAGTGAACAGCTTCTATGTGTTAGAAAAAAATAAACTCAACCTACAAAATTGTAATTGCTTGAGATTTCACCTCCTGGCCACGTTTCTCTTCCTATGGAGTTATTAAAACCCACACAATATGATCTAATAATTTATTAATAATCAACATAAATAGATAACAGCTCACATAGCCATAATAGCCAATGCATGTTAAATAATGAGGGATTATTTAAAAGACACTTCGCTGGAGAGAAGGAGACATGGTAGTTAGAATCTGCAATTACTGCTGCAGTTGCAGATAAGCATGTACACAAGGCCTTCTTGGCTGTTCAACTGGCTACCTTGTGCCCCTGTTACTCCATCTGCATTTGGAAGGGGTGGGGTATCAGCCAGTCCCTGCTTAACAGAAAAAGACGTCCAAATTAATTGGAAGGGAACAAACCATTTCTTCACAGGACAAAGGAAAAATGCTGTGCAATTCAATTTCTCTGAAAGGAGCTCAACAATACTCCATCTCCTGTCCCACTATCAAAGTCCCTATCATCAAACCTGGGCATGTCTTTCTCATGGCAGTTTCTTTATCCTTACTCCTTGAAAAATAAGTGAGTGAGCCTAAGTTCATTGCAGCCTAATGAGGGACTCCCTGGTCCCTTCTGTCATTCTAGTCCCTATTTGTAAGCCCTTCCTCCTTCAAGTCATCACGTTATCTGCCTTAGGGGAACCTCCTTTATACTCTTTGCATGTTTTAAAGAATTTCAAATTCAATATCAGATGCTTGGCAACTAGATTGGAAGGAAAGCAGAAGGAAAACTGTCTTTATTTGTAGATTATTTCATATGTAAAAAAATCCCAAAGAATCTACAAAAAAATCACTAGAACTAATAAATGAAGTCAGCAAGTTCACAAGATCAATACACAAAATTAATTTGGTTTCTACACACAAGAAATCATCCAAAAATGGAATTAAGATATCAATTCCATTTACAATAGCATAAATAGCATTAAAATAATCAAATTCTAGAAAGGAGTTTAACAAAAGAAGTGAAATACTTGTACAATTCCCACCAAAAAGGAAAAAAAAAAACCAAAAACATGGAGAGAAATTAAAGAAGTTCTAAATAAATGGAGAGACATTCCATTTTAATGGTTAAAAAATGTTAAGATGACAATTCTTCCCAAATCATCTTTAGGTTAAACACAATTTCTATTAAAATCTCAACAGGCTTTTTTCTCCCCTAAAATTGACAATCAAGTTCTAAGATTTACATGGAAATGCAAAGGATCTGGAAAAGACAAAAAAAAAAAAAAATGCAAAAGAACAAAGTTGGAGCATTTAAATTTCCTGGTTTTAAAACATACTACAAAGTTACAGTAATCCACACAGTGTGGTGCTGACAAAACTATAGACATATGGACATATAGATCAATGAAGCAGAATTGAGAGCCCAGAATTAAGCTCTTATATTTAGGGATTTTTTTAAAGAAGGTATCAAGATAATTCAATGGAAGAATAGTCTTTTCAACAAATGGTTCTGAAACAACTAGACATTCACAGGCAAAAATATGAACTTAGACCCTGGCCTCATACCACAAGCACAAATTAACCCCAAATTGATATTGACATAAATGTAGAAGCTAAAACTACAAAAATTTTAAAAGAAAATATAGTAGAAAACCACTGTGACTTTGGGTTTTTCTATACACACCAAAAGCACAATCCATAGAATAACATGAAGAATGTGAACTTCATCAAAATTAAAAATTTCTGCATTTGAAAAGACAATATTAGGAAAATGAAAAGAGGAGCCACACACTGAGAGAAAATTCCATGAATCATATACTTGATAAATAACTTGCTGTAGAACGTATAGGAAACTCTTAAAATATAATAATAAGTAAGTAATGCCATTAAAAATGGATGAAATTCAAGAGTATTAACAGACAGTTCATAATGGAAGAAAACATTTGCAAAAGTCATATCTGACAAAGGAATGATATCCAAAATATACAAAGAACTCTTAAAACTCAGCAATAAGAAAATGGCAACTTGATTTTAAAAATGAGCAAAAGACGGCCAGGCGCGGAGACTCATGCCTGTAATCCCAGCACTTTGGGAAGCCGAGGCGGACAGATCACGAGGTCAGGACATCGAGGCTATCCTGGCTAACGCGGTGAAACCCTGTGTCTACTAAAAATACAAAAAATAGCTGGGCATGGTGGCGGGTGCCTGTAGTCCCAGCTACTCTGGAGGAATGGCATGAACACCGGAGTCGGAGCTTGCAGTGAGCCGGGGTGACACCACTGCACTCCAGCTTCCAGCTTGGGCCATAGAGCAAGACTCCGTCTTAAAAAAAAAAAAAAAAGAGCAAAAGACACCACCAAAGATATACAAGCATGTCAAATATGCATATGAAAAAATGCTTGTCATGAGAGAATTTCAAATTAAAACAACAATAAGATACCACTACATACTTATTATAATGACCAAAATCCAGAACACAGGACAAGAGCAAATGCTGGCAAGGATGTGGAGCAACAGGCCCTCTCATTCACTGCTGCTGGGAAGGCAAAATGGCACAGCCACTTGGAAGACAGTGTGGCAGTTAAAAAAAAAAAAAAAAGAAAAGAAACATACTCTCACTATATGTTCCAGCAGTTATTCTCCTTGGTATTTATCCAAATGAGTTAAAAATGTAGGTCCACACAAAAACCTGCACACAGATGTTTATAGTATTTTCATTCACGGTTGCCAACACTTGGAAGCAACCAAGATGACCTTCAGCAGGTGAATGGAAAAATAACCTGTGGTACATCCAGACAACTGGAATATTATTTGGTGTTAAAAAGAACTGAGCTATTAAGCCATAAAAGGCATAGAGGAAACTGAAATGCTTATTACCAAGTGAAAGAAGCCAATCTGAAAAGGCTACACATACTATATGATTCCAACTAGATGATATTCTGGAAAAGACAACATTATAGAAATAATACAAAGATTAGTGGTTGCCAGGGTTTGTGGGGAGGAAGAGATGAAAAGTAGGGCACAGAGGATTTTTAGGGCAGTGAATCTATCCTCTTTGATACTACGTGGTAGATGCAAGTCATTATACATGTGTTCAAACCCATAACATGTACTGCACTAAGAGTGAATCTTAGTGTTAATTATAAACTTCGGGTGGTAATGATGTGTCAATGGAGGTCCATCAGTTGTAACAAATGGGCCACTCTGGCTGGTGTGAGATATCAATACTGGGGGAGGCTGTGCCTTTGTCAGGAGCAGGGTCATATATGGGACCTCTGTACTTTCTGTTCAATCTCTTGTGAGCCTAAAGCTGCTCTAAAAATTAAATCTACATTTTCAAAAATGGGCAAAAAATCTTCAAAAGACATTTCACCAAAGAAGATATACAAATAGCTAATAAGCACATAAAAAACTGCTTAACATCATTAATCACTGGGGAAATACAAATTAAAACCACAATGAGATACCACTTCATACCCACTAGAATGGCTATAATAAAAAAGACAGAAATAACAGATGTTGGTAAGGATGTAAATAAACTGGAACCCTCAATACATTGCTGGTAGAAATGTTAAATGTTACAGCCACTTTGGAAAATAGTTCAGTAGTTTCTTAAAAACATAAATTTACCATATGATCCAGCAATTCCACTCCTAGATGTCTGCCCAAGAGAAATGAAAACATATGTCCACACAAAGACATGTACACAAGTGTTCACGGCAGCATTATTCATAACAGCAACAAAGTGGAAAAAAATCTAAATGTCCATCGACTGGTAAAAGAATATACAAAATGTGGTCTATCCGTACAATAAAATGCTATTCAGCAAAAAAAAAAAAAAAAGCAAATGCATATTGAATGCATATTGATGCATGCTACTACACGGATGCACCTCAAAACCATACTAAGTGAAAGCAACCAGATACAAAAGACCACAAATTGTAAAATTCCATTGATACGAAATGTCCAGAAAAGACAAATCTCTAGCAATAGAGTATAGAATTGTAGTTGCCCACAGCAGTGGGTGGGAATGCAGATGATCTGCAAATGGGCATGAGGGATCACTTGGGAGAGATGGAATTGTTCTAAAACTAGATTGTAGTGATGTCCGAACAACTGTGTAAATTTACTAAAATTCATTCAATTGCAAAGTTAAAACAGTAAATGTGATGGTATGTAAATTATACCTCAATAAAGCTGTTAAGGAATAGCAGATGCTTATTAAGGATGTCAGGAGGGTACACGAATGCAGAGGGCACACACTAAGAACACTACCTATGATTAATTTAACATAACCCCATTACTGGTGAATGTGTCTTTCAGGAATACCTCCTGCTGTTGTTGTATTTATCTAGGACATAGCCTCACACTTACATCAAGCAGAGACAATTGAAGCCACCAAGTTCAATCCAAGCATCATCTCACTGGCAGAATGAAACAGGATAACCTCCAGCTTAGCCAGAAAGAGGATATGACCCGTCAACTAGTACTGAAACAACCACTGCCTTCCAAATGCCTCCCATTTATCTCAGTGTGGGTTAAAAGGCCTAAGCAATATAGTTATCACTTGCCAGTTGACTGGCCTCTCCTTTGTACAAGGGCTTGGATAGGGATAATAACTTACTTTTGTAAAGCACTTACAAAGTGCCTTAACATACACTAGCTCATCTATTCCCATAGCAGCTCTATCAGCAGATGTGGCAGGCGCTCTTGGTTGACAGGCCCCGTCATTATCGCAGCTCCAGTCAAGGACACGTGAGCATACATTTCCTGGAGGAGCTTTGGAGAAAGCTTTTGCCTTACTGATACAATAAGACAGATACTCGGTCTCTTCCTCTTTTCCCTCCTCTGTGCCTGAAACAAGGATGATGCCATAAAAAAACAGCAGTTGGCCGGGCGTGGTGGCTCATGCCTGTAATCCCAGCACTTTGGAGGCCAAGGCGGGTGGATCACGAGGTCAGGAGATCAAGACCATCCTGGCTAACACAGTGAAACCCCATCTCTACTAAAAATACAAAAAATCAGCCGGGCGTGGTGGCAGGTGCCTGTAGTCCCAGCTGCTCGGGAGGCTGAGGCAGGAGAATGGTGTGAACCAAGGAGGCGGAGCTTGCAGTGAGCAGGAATTGCACCACTGCACTCCAGCCTGGGCGACAGAGCGAGACTCCGTCCCACAAAACAAAAAACCAAAAAAAACCCACAGCAGTCATGTTGGTACTGCCAGGGGAGCAGTGGGTAGAAAGGGCCAAGAGAACCCCAAAGAGTCACAGAGATGCTGCTTCTGACATGGGTAAACTGCTGGACCAACTCTGGCAGCATCTCCCTAGAAGCCATGTTAAGAGAAACAAATGAATCCCTACTTGTTTATACCATTGTGGTTGGGTTTTCTGTTTGTTGTTGCCAAACCTATACCTACCTGGCAAAGTAGGAATTATTAGTCACACTTCACAGATGCAAAAAGTTGTAAGTCTTTGAAAAACTCTGCAACCCATCAAACCAACATCAAAATGCCAGCAACTTGCACTCAGTTTCCTGAATTTAATAACAGAGTTAATAACAGCCACAACCACAAAAGCCACCTATTGGGTTCCAAGTGGTGTCAAGGCTCTAATGACACTGGGCACTTGACTGGCATATTTTCTCTAATTCTTACAACTCTGCAGGCTGAGTGTTACTATCTCTATTTTATGGATGAGCACAGTAAGGCTAAGAAAGGTCAAGTAAATTGCTCAAGATCACATAGGTAGTAAGTGGTAGGGCCACCATTCTAAACTGGCATGTGTCTTGCCTGCTATGAAGAAAGCTTAAAGGAATAAAACATACTTCCTAGGATTAGGCAACCAGCTACTCTAGGTCTCCACTGATTAAAAACATTATGTATAGGAAATTAGCAGGGATGATTGCTCGTGGGAGTCAGGTTAGCTAGCCAAACTCATAATATTTGCTTGTGTGTTCCAACTGTCATACTCTAAACTGTAACATAAAGAAAGTTTCTAGACACAATTTTCTTTTCACTGTTTACAACCACTTTTGTATCTTATAGAAATAAAATAGAAAAAACACACACTGATTACAAGATGCACAGTACCTACGAAAATCTCTACAGGATATGTGAGATCAGCTTTCTTCCAGAGAGTGGGTAACAATTAAAACACCAGTTTTTGTCAGCACCAGGCCTAAGGACAGCAGCCTGGAACCCAGAACAAGTAGGATGAGACAGGAGTCTCTAGGTAGAGGGTAAAGATCAGCCTAGGTACCTGCCAGGGAAAAAGCTTCAGTGTGAGAAGGAAGCTCCTAGCTGAGCCCCGCCCTGCCAGGCACACATAGTACGGACCCGCAGTGATGCCTGTTGTTATCAATGTATGGATAGTATTGGTAGTTTCTAGTAGACTTGAGCTGCTGTGGGGGTCTGTGCATGTTGGATTGGACTTAGAGGAGGGTGGTAAAAACCAGTTCAGAGAAATTTGTAGATGTTAATTGCAAACTGCTTTCTCTTCACCAGAAGCAATCTCTCCCTTCTGAGATGGGCAACATCATCTATCTCCATCAGGCCCAATGGGCTGCTCCACCTTCGAGCGCTTAATTAGTTTGTCTTTCTGGATGCTCTGTCCTCCCCCATCAAAGACAAGTAATTGGTTCTCTTAAACATGGGGCATCCAGAACTGATGGAGAAGTCTTTTCAAGGGATCATGGAACTCTGTGCTAGGGAGAAGACAGGCCTCAGATTCTGTCAGGTAGGGTTCTAGATGGTGCTGCTGAGAGGCTACCTTATTTTCACAAGTTCCAATGCTAGCAGGGACTCTCCTGGCCACCTTAAGTGGCGTTTCCAGGAGAAAGGCTGCTCCTCTGGTAGGCTGCAAGCATCACTTCGATTTGTGAGGTAAGACAAAAAGGACAGGTGAACTAGGAGGATCACACCGGTACCTTTGTGAGGAGCAAGCATCTCCCCTTCCTTCAGACTGGGTTGTTTAGACCCAAACTTGCCCTTGGTCCTCCCAAATGCTGCTATTTCCCTCTATATGATTGAGTCAGCATTTCTACTTTATATGAAACTGATATTATAGCAAATCTTATCACCATGAATGTAATGAATCTTCCTGCCAAGTTATCATCTTGTGTCTCTCAGAGGTGTGTCTTCTTTCCCAAGGTCACTCTGGGCAACTTGAGTGAGCCACAGGTTCATACAGGGGCCTTGGGACAATCATTAGGAGAAACCCAGTACAAATAAAAATCTGATTAGACTTTACCTCCTCTGACTTTTCACCACCTCCTCTATCCTACTCTACCAACCTTCAGACTCTTCTAGCTACAGGCTTTCCCAGAGCCCATCTCTGGGGATAAAATGGACTCATTTAGCTCATTGAACAGATCATCAAATGCCCACTCCCCCAAGAAAAGAAGCAGTTTGGACCACAGGCAGGTCAGAATGCCCTAGCACTTCCACAAACAGCCTGCTCTCAAAGGATTGTCAAACGTGCAACAAATCAGTGTTCTCTCATCAAAAGCATCATAACTCATTTAACATTGAGCCTATATCTTTTTAAATATATCCTTTTTTTCTAGATTGGAAAAACAATAGTTGTTTCTTTTTTCTTTTATTTCAGCAGGGTTCCAGATAATAAAAAGATTTATAATTACGCCAGTAGATTTACTTTTGCTATGCCGCCCTAGATTATGAAAAAGTATAATTATATGCAATTAAAAAATGAACAGTATTTCTTACCCGAGTGAAGCTTTAAAAGTCATTATGAATCCATTAGCTCAGCAGACCTTACAAACGGCCTTCACTACTCTGGACTGCATTTAAATTTACAACAGAGAGAAGTAACTTTTCCTCATTTCCACGGTGTGTGTGTGTGTCTGTGGGTGCATGCATTTTCACCCTTCTCAGCCATACCTGGAAGTGGCCATTCATTTTTACATTCTAAGGCCATGTTCTTAGTATTGAACTTGACCACACAGCTCATAATGCTTTAGAAGCCTCCAGCTAGAACACTGAGGAATGACCTCAGAATTCTTCTACTTAGCCTTGTCCCTACCTCTTTACTCCTCTGTAGGCAGTAATTCTTTTTTCTTTTCTTTCTTTTTTTTTTCTTTTGGTGTAACAGTATCGCATGAGCCAAGACTGTCATGAAACTATTTGGATACTGTACTCTGGTTCCTTCATCTCCTCCATCTGCATCAGCCTAAATTGTCCTAGTGAGTTCACTTATGTCTGGGTTACTGTAGATTTGGGTTTTGCTATTACTAGTTGTCTCACTTATCCAGATAATTACCTAGCTTGATTGAAGCTTAGTCTGTTGACTACCAGAAAACAACACATACGGGAGAATTGATCTAGATAATTCAGACACCATTCATGATGTTATTTCAATTGAGCATTCTTGTGTGACAAGAACTGGTAATTATTGAAAATTTCATCTGCATAAAAATACTAGATCTTACCCACAAGTCCATTTCCTCTTGTCTCTCAGTGTTAGACTCACCCTCAGCATCATTTTTGGCAGTGGCCCAGCAGTTATAGTAAAAACAAACAAACAAAAAACCCTCCATTGTCTTTTATTTAACTGGCCAAAATTGCCACCTGATCTCTCCAGTCTCACTGTATTTGTCTGATGCTGTTAGAGCCTTCTCTGTAGTGGCTGCAAGTCTGCTAATAATCAGAATCACTTGGGAAGCAATTAGAAGTATACAGAGATGAGTCCTAACCCAGACTCATGATCAGAAATTCCAGAAGTGGAGCTCAGGAATCTGCATTTTAAAATCACTCACCAGGTGATTCTCAGGCAGCCAGCCTCGCATGGTGCATAAACTGACGTTGACATTCCGGCAGCCTAGACAATGGGTATACTCAGGTGAATAAGAGGGATGGTCTCTTCTCTGGTCATTTTTCTACTCTTACCTCTTCATCCTTTCTTAGTCTTCTGATTCAAGCCTGGATGAATAAGGATTCCTGGAATAGTACAAAATACTTGCAACTCTCGCAGTCTTCCCAGAGTGGGCTGGATGAAGGGTGCTATCCCCAAATCAGGGGCCGTGCCCTGGGAAGGATGGTAGGCCTCCAGGGATCTATCTCAGTGTAACTAACTCCTCAGTGGGCTCAAAACTTTCCCTCTTGCTTTCTAGTTTTTAGGTTTTCTAGTTCTGTTGTGCCCTTTATTCAATGCAAGCCATCAACAAGTTCCTTAAACATAAAACTCTGTGACACTCTAAACTGCAAGACAATGTGACAATGAGTATGCCAGTCTGAAAAGAACAAAGGAGCAGGGTTCAGAAGAACTGGCCTTTACCAGCTCTGTCATTTTCCAGTGGTGTGGCCTTGCAGAGGTCACTTCAGTTTTCCAGGCTTTGGCCAAAGAAAGGTGGGGGCAGGTGGTACCTTCCCAGCTCAAGTCTTCTGGAATAGAGCGTACGCCCATGAAGCCCTGCACCTGTTGGAGCTTCATAGCTGTAATCAAGGTATTAATCTCTCTGAGCCTTAGTTTACTCATTAATAAAATTGGAATAATAGTATTCTCAACCATATAGTTGAGTAAGAATTAAGTGCCTCTAAAACCCCTAGCATCACGCCTGGCACACGGTAAACACTGAGTATCTTTAACATGATGTCATCATCATCATCATCATCATGAAAAACATACTTTCTCATGTTCTAAAGGGCCCAATTCATACTGCCCACTGTATCACTCTGACAAGGTAACAAAGTGACCTCAGAAACCTGGCTAACAAGAGATCAAGGCATAACCCTAGCCATGGATTCAGGGAACAGAAGCTGGCCCTTCTGTGGAAGTCCCGGCTGCCCAGGTCCATGTCGTCCCTGGCTCTTCCAGCTGGAGGGGGTCACTCAAGCACTGTGGAGTGACAGCCAGACAGGAAAGCAACTGCATTTGTCCTAGGAGTCATGTGGCATGTGCTGGATGGCGTTTTGAATAACATTTTAATGAACCAAGTCCTTCAGTGTAATGCAACCTCAGAGGTCTGAACATGCTGGCCTTCTCCCCTGCACTCTTTGTGTGGCCACTCCAAGAGTAGATGCGCTCCCTTGAGGCGCTCCCTTGAGCCCTGGAGCTTGCCGGGGGCAGCCACCCCTTCCAGGATTTCTGCTTTCCATGCAATCTCCCTTTTCCTTCTCTCTCTGAGAACCTCAAAACCAAGTTGTTTGTAAACTCCTCTACAGCCCCAAATGGCTCTGTTGCAAGGCTCGGCTCGTTAACATGCAGGCAGTAAAGTATGTCAGGAGCTCTGATTTGTCATATTAAGGAGGCTATATGACTGTGGAGAGGAACATTAAAAGATTTTATTCTAAGATATTCCCTCCAATCCCCACCCACTGCAGACAAAGTCTCTTGGGACAAGCCTCTGCTTCAGTGCTCTTGATTGCACAGATTTCTGATAAATGTTTTCATCAGTGCCATAGGCCTGGGTGCTGCTCCTGCTCCACTGGGGCCTTCTCTTTGGGGTCTCAGGATTGGCTTTTGAGGTGTTTCTGGGCCTTAAGCAGCTCCCATGGTAAAACATTCACCGTCATTCTTTCTCTCTTCTCACTCACTCAATTACAGTTAAAGCCCTGTTCCAGGGAGGAGTGGAGGGAGACTCCATCTCCACCACGGAACGCCTTACTCCTGGAACTAATCACAGCATTTCTCTACCCTCCTCGGAACAATCTGATACCATTATCACTGACATCATCAAAAGAAGTTCCCTTTATAGATTGCATTGTACAAATAGAATTGCCTAGATGTGATGGCTTTGCCCATTAGGAGTGTACAAGCATATTTACACAACGCCATGGAGCATGGGTGAAGGATGAGCCCAGGACAAGATTAAATCAGCAGACTGAACGATAAATGAACAGTAATGCATTCATATCGAATACATCTCAGAGCATAAGTGCCATCCGGGGTAGAAGGCAGGGAAAGGGCATGACTGCAGGGTCACCAGGGCCAGAATGACTGATGTGAGGGGTCAAGGGCAGGCTTTGCCTCCAGGGAGGCATTAAAGGGCCACCTCCTATAGTGAAAGGAAGGCTGCCACATTTCCCTATGCCCCCTGAGTTTTAGAGATACCCTATTTGAATGAGAGAAAACAAAGTGAGGAAACGGCTAATCTCAAGGTTTAGGAGGTGAGGGGGACATAGTATCATTCGGTTTGGTCTAGGTGGAGACTTCTTAATTTAGATATTGATGCAGTTCGGGACATACCAAAATATGTCACCTTGGCATTTGACAAAACAGCAGAGGCAGGAAGTTTGCTCTCACCTTCCCCTCGCCTTTCTCCCCTGAAGCAGGTGGTAAGATTCTCATTCCAGGTGCCCTCCCTACCCGGAAGAAAGGAAGATCCTTATCTCTGAAGATACCAGGACACAGAGAGGAATCTGAATAAATGGGCCTTGCTAGGTTCCCCAGCTTACCATCATCAGATTACACCCTTTGGTCCTCCTATTATATCTCTCCACCACTGTCCATTCCTCATCAAGTCTAAGCATAGAAATGCACAGGTTTCCCTGTATCTTTGGGTCTTCATTCCCTTAAGAAGGCTCTTGTGTCATGTAAGACTTATATTCCATACGTGTGTGTTTTTCTCTGGTTAGTCTGTCTTTTGTTACAGGAGCCTCTGCCATGAACCCGGGGATAAGTGAGGAAAGAAATTTTTCCTCCTTCACAGTATCAAGTGCCAGGCCAGGGCACTTTGTCCAGGCCTCACTGTGAAGAAAGAGTAATGTTCAAGGATGGCAGCAGGAAGGTGAGAGGATGAAACCAAATGCTCTTGGAGGGCATCGGGCTTGGTTGCCACTGAGAACTTCCAGAAGAGGCACAGCTCAACGCGGGGTGCCAGTAACCGTCATGCCTTCCTGTCCCAGTGGGCTGACTTGAGACAAAGCACAGCTGTGGTCCACGCCTTGAGACTTCCACTGGGCAAGGAAGCCCAAGTGAGGCTCCCCGCACCTCTGCCACCTTCCCCTACACCCACACCTGCAAACCTGGGGAGAGTGACACCAGCCTTCCCCAGCTCCTCTCTCAGTCTAGGCTGGAGCTGACTCGGAGAGAATTGAATTCCCTTCTCCATTGCTCCTGGGGCCGCTAATTCATAGCTGCATTAGCTTTCATTTGGGTAACAGCATGGGGGATTGTCAGATATTGGCTCTGACCAGATTTAATCTACAGGCTGTGTTCTGCCCTCTTTCCACTTGCCTTTCATTCAGGACCCTAATGAAGAGGTTTATCTGATTGGTTTACTGGAGTCCTATGTGGGATGAATAGCTTCAGCCTTTGCGCTTGCACCTCTTTGCTGTCCACTCCAATCAAGAACGGGGGCCCTCGCAACTCTCTCAGTTCTGAAACAAATTAAATCTCAGTGACAGACTCTATCTGCCTCGAGTTCTCCATTATGCTTCGCTTTAGGTTTGCTTTGGCAATGACAAAACTGCTTTGACATATTTGCGGATTCTCAGGCCCGTGTTCTCAGCTCCCCCACCTCCACCTTTCTGCTGTCCAATGTGATTTTTGTAATGGCAAAACCATTGCGATCCTTCTCAGGCATCCCAGTGTCTATAGCTTTTCAGCTACATATCAGCAACATTCAGCCACAAGTGTGGCTCTGACAGGCTGTGGGGGGCAGAGGTGGGAGAATGCCAGAGACTGGGGAGTGGTTTCCTAAGCCTCCTTCCTCACCCTCCTTCCAGCAGTTCACTCCTTTAAAGAGAAATCATTCTCTCCCGTGTCTCCGCAGGTCACTGGAAGAATGTGGCCTGGGGCCCTTCAGTACCATTTAAATCTATGCTTGCAATTTAGCAAATCTTTAGATCTGTTCCCCCAGGCTGTGGGGAAACAGATCTCAGGTTTCCCCTGATGCCTTCAGGGGAAGCTGCAAAACTACCTTCACCCTAATCACCTGCCTCATTAGACTCACAACAGACAGATGTTCCCTCCTCCTTGAGGGCTTCTAACTTAAGCCTTTCTCACCTAAGTTTCCTTATAATGGCGGGAAAAGAGAGGAACAGAATCCCAGGTAGGCCATCAATCATCCTAACGTTGACAACAATAAGCATGTTGACGGTTATAAAGTCTGCGTTTTCCAAGCTTCTGTTAGTATGCTAAGAGTTGCCCTGTTGGAATTAATAATTGCAATGATATTGGTGTTGTAGTCATCACTTGAGGCCTATTAAGGTCCCTTTTAGTTCTAAAATACTGTTCATTCATTGCCTCATTCATGCATTCACCAAACACTGAGCATCCACCATATATCAGAGCCTTTGGTCAGAGTTCCCTGGATGGAAGTCCTGTGGTGACTGCTGCTCCATCTGAGCCCCTTAAAATCTCAGAGACTGAGCTGGGTGTTTTAGAAATTCAGGTAGTCACAAATCCTGACCAGAATGGCTGAGATTTCTGAGCTGGAACCCAGCACCCTAGAACTAAGGCTCAAGCCCCTTGTGAGAACAAGAACCCTAAGCTTAGATGCCAGAATTCAAGTTTCAGTTTTTCCCCTTAAAATGACCCTAAATCCCTTAAAACTGCAAAATGAGTGGTCATGCCCCAGACTGCGGCCTCCAGACTCTGCTACTAGCCAGCCACTCTTGTCATCTGGAAGGGAAGATTTGGTTGCTACAACATGCCACCATACTGGGAGTTGCAAGACCTGGTTTGGTCCTCATGCATTGGATCACCTTACTCAAACCACCTTGGCCTCAGCTTCTTCATTAATAAAATGCTATTAGACTTTATTTACACACAGTTGAAAAAGGACTAATACAAATGCCCATAAAATCTACAGACTAGACTAGATGTTAAGTAAGGTGACTTTCCACTCTAAAACTCTATACATTATTTGATTCATTTATTTAACATATCTTGAGAACATGTTTTATGTCAGTTACTATGATAAGAGCTCATAAAATATGTCCCAATATCCATAACAGGAAGGACATTACTTCATAATAAGATTAAATGGCTGCAAAAAATTCAATGCTTGGATATCCTAATAACAGGTGTAATAATAATCACTACTCTTATTAATTTTGTACTTATCATATGTCAGGCAACAGAGTGAATGTTCTACACAGGTTTTGTTGCAATTTATCTTCACGAAACAACCATATAAGTAGATATCATTGTACATTGTTCAACCACTATTTATTGTGTAACTAGGGTGTGGTGGGCCTTGAACTAGGCATTTGGTATCACCATACAGAGATTGAATGTGCAGGCATTGAGTGGTTAAATAACTTCCTAGGCACACTGCTTGCAAATGGCAGAAAGAACCAGAAATCTTATCCGCTAGGCTCTAGAACCCAAGTTCCTAACTGCTAACTTTCATGCCTACATCAGCTTGGTTTTCATGATCCTCAAAATGTCAGTCAAAGCCAGTGTTTTCTGAATCAATAACTCCCTCCCTCACAGTGTCCTTTTCCAACTTAGCTCCTCTCGTTTATGAGCCAACCATCTCCATGGCAGTCCCCTTCACTATGAAATAGTCGTTTGTATTCTCCAGGCTTCACTAGTTCTCATTTTCAATTGCCACCTGAACACTGCTACTGCTATTTTCTTCTTGTCTTCCACTCTTTGCTCTCTCCTTCACCTCTCCTATAACTCTGCAAAAGATCTGTGAATTGGCTAAGCTGAAGGACTCTACCATAACCTGATTCCAGAGAAGCAAACTGTGAACCCTTTTGAAAACATTTGCTGCACTACTCAGAGCAGACGTAGTGACCAGGAATTCAAGACCAACTTTCAATGAAGCTGGAAGTGTGCCTGTCTTGGCGGATTTAGAAACTGGACAGCCCCTTCCTATCTTGAAACCACATTTGATTTGACAGCGTAGCTAAAAGGAAAAGGACGAATAGTAACTGAGTTGAGTTTTATGTGCACACGGAACATATAAACACAGCTTCAAGATAAAGAACTTTGAGTCAGATTTTCACATGTCATGTGTGAGACCATGCAGCAAACAATAGAGAGATGGGATGGGATAGCTGTTGCAGACTGAGATGGGATTAAAAAGGGATCCCATGGCTTTTCACTTAGCTAAAACAATCTGGAAATGTTAACGTCATAATGCACAGCATCACCTTAGGGAGTTCTCCAAAACAATGGCTGGCTGTTCAGACTAATCAGACATTGGTATAATCTTTGACCTCAGTCTAAATAGGTAGCTCTCAGAATCTGTGTGGCTGTTCATGCTGTCAGGGGCCATGATGCTGGAATGGGAGGTGAACTGGAACTGTGAAGCTACTTGATAAAACATGGTGTTGGGCTCCTTAGGCGTTAACTCAGATATCCCAATTGCTGCTTGGCTACCCCAAAACTCCAACGCACCTCATTATTTCATAAGAGATGTTAAATACAAATTGTTCATTAAAATACATATTATTGGATGTTAAACTACCGTGTAATTGATTTTCTATCCATTGCCTAGTGGTTAACCCTCAATAAATGCTTTTTGTAATCAACTTAAAGTATAATACCTACCACGCTTGATGTCTTTCTCCTTTGATTTAATAAGAAACCAATTCTATATTATTGAAATTGTACTTGATAATGAAAAAGTTGGTCAAATTTCAAGAATAGCATAAAAAAAAAACCTCTTTGGCCTGAACCTGTCCAACTTTATAGAGGGATCTCAGTACAACGGAGAACTCAGGGGAACCTAGGTCCTGTTCCAACCATGGGGTATTAGCTAAGGTCCAAGAGAGTCAAGTGCTATGCTCAGAGCTAAGAGAACAGCGGGGTAGACTAGAAATACTATGCAGGGACTCTTGTTCATAGTGCAATGCCCAAAGAACTAGCATAGTTCTTCCCCAGGGTTATGAGATCAAGAAAACTATGAGGGATTTTAGGCTTCCCAAAAAGCATAAAAAGCAGTTAAGCATTTAAAAGATCTATGGGACTCAGTTTCCTTATTCAGAGCTTGACCAGTGCTCTTTTTTGCTTTCTTCAAAATCTGGCTAGGATTTCCACCTCCTCAGGGAGTCTGCCTTGACTGGATGGAAATACAAGGTGACTGACGCCATCCATAGGGTAAACAAAGTGGTACAATGGTTAGTTCAACTCCAGCAAGGCAGACAGCTGGATATGGGGAGGAGTTCAGAAGCCAGGGAAAGAGATGTGAGCTCACCCTCAAAGCTTCTGAAGTGTCCACATAATCCCCAACCCTACAGCCTCCAAAACATAATCCCATATACATATACCATATAACATGCTGGGCTAGGAGAAGAATGCCTGAAAGAAAACATGCACTGCTCCAGGAAAAGCACCAGGCACAGAGCAAGTGTTTAAAATGTTAGCCATTCTTGGCTTTTTATATTAATGTTTATTATTCTACAACATGATTTTTAATTTGCTTAAATAATCTCCTGACTAATGGACATTGAGAGGAATATTATACAGTTATTTATTCATTCATATATTGCCTCAGCTTTCTAAATATGAATTTGCTGGGTCTACAGGTATGATTTCTGGTGAGCTTTTAAGACATGGAACTCACACTCTTACTAGAAGTGCTGTACAGAAGCAGCGCATGAGATCATTGTGGTTGGGTGATCTCACCATGTGGTTACCATGGCCTAGGAATCTTTGTGAGGTGGTGGGTCTTCTGTCAGGGGGAGGTAGAAAGAAGCAGCAGAATGACTCTTTATCAGAACTGCTCTAAAGGGACTTTATGTGATTAGTAGGCTTTGGACCCTCGCATCCTTTCCAGTTCTGAAATGTTCTGATTCATAGGCTTCTGGAACACAGAGATGCTCATGCACATGCCCCTCCCCATGGAGGGACACAAAGATGCATTTCCGCCTGGAAGCACGACAGGCTGCTAAGCTTTTTGCCTGGATGCTCTCACCCTTGGAGATCAGAAGCTGAGCATCTCTCCATTCAGCCATCAACAAAAGGGAGAGATTGCCTGAGCAGCATGCTGTTGTTAGACAAATCGGAATCCTCTTCTAGAAAGGCA
This sequence comes from Homo sapiens, assembly GCF_000001405.40. Taxonomy (NCBI): domain Eukaryota; kingdom Metazoa; phylum Chordata; class Mammalia; order Primates; family Hominidae; genus Homo; species Homo sapiens. The sequence goes on from NC_000011.10 coordinate 126,949,667, forward strand.
TTCTCTTCTGCATAGTGAGTGGGAAGCCTGCTGTATCTAGGACACGTTCCCAAAATAAAATTCAGTGGTCACCAACTGACTCAGTGTAGGAGACTTCATTCTCCAAGAGAGAAGGGCTGCTAAGAATGGCAGGAACCACCCACAGATGGTCTGGGTACCAGTTGCATCAACAGATGCATACACAACACAGCCCTTTCCTCTAAAGCATCCAGCCAAGCTCACATCGAGTTCTCCACTGTGTACATTAAAACCAAAATAAATAATCCAAGAAAATCTGCACGTCTGTGTGTTTAGGGTTCAAGATGAATCAGGCAATAGGCCAAAAAGGAATGTAAGACATTTGACCACTATTTTTTTCTTCCTTGTTTTTTTTAAATGGAAACCTAAGCATTAGATCACTTTCCACCCTTAAAATATGCAAGGATGGCCAGGCACAGTGGCTCACGCCTATAATCCCAGCAATTTGGGAGGCCGAGGCAGGTGGATCATGAAGTCAGGAGATAGAGAACATCCTGGCCCACATGGTGAAACTCTATCTCTACTAAAAATACAAAAATTTAGCCAGGCATGGTGGCGAGCACTCCCAGCTACTCAGGAGGCTGAGGCAGGAGAATCACTTGAACCTGGGAGACGGAGATTGCAGTGAGCAGAGATTGTGCCACTGCACTCCAGCCTGGCCACAGAGCAAGACTCCATCTGAAAACAAAAACAAAAACAAACAAACAAACAAACAAAACCAAAAAACATGCAGGGACACCCAATGTCTACAATACCAAGGCTGACCTCTACGGGCAGGCGGTAAAGATCTTTCAGAATCTGGCCCCATTTACCTAACTCATTACTTATCTTGGAAATGTTACAGTTCATCTGGTAACAATGGTGTCCCATTGTTCATTCTTATTTTTGACTTCAGGTCCCTACTCATGCCTAGTGCATTACAAAAGACATTTTTCTTCTCCATGTAGAAAGTTACATTCTCCTTAATGTGGATGCCTTCACCAACTGCTGCTCCCTTTCTTCTCCCATTGTACATCACACAGATGAAGGAGGAGGTGGAGAGCCACCTGTCTGCACTCCTAGCCTGGGGATTCTGGAATGCTAGAACAGCTTCTTAAGAGTCCCATTTGCATAGAGCACCAAAGCTCCTCATTAGAAAACTGATGAAGAAGATTAGACTGAAAGGTCCTTTGAGGGAACAAAGATTAATCCTCCCAAATAAAGGGGAGTTTCTAAGAACAACCCAGTTAGAGAGATTATTTCTGCCCCAAGAGGGCAAAGAACTTACTCAGAGGTAGGACAAAGATCAAAGACATGTGTTCTGTTAAGAAAAAAAACAGTTTCTGGATGTGGACAGCAGACAGAAATGTTCCCAAGTTCTTAACCCAATCACATCTTCCAAGCCCCTTTGCAATGTATCGTCAGATAATCCCAGGCTCTGGAGGTTAGGATGTGGATATCTTTTGGGGGGCCATCATCTCTCTACCTGCCATGTGGGATAAGGCACACATAGTAATAAGGATAGCTTCAGAAAAGAGGAGCCTGCACCTTTTGCTTTAAGACAAAACAGAAGAAACAGAAAAGGCCTATCAACCTAGAGACCTGAGATTGAAAAGATAGGCGAGTACATCCGTTGAGATGCTCTGGGTATTTGATAATGGACTCTCATATTTTTACATTTTCTCTAACTAGAACATATGCTTTAGAGGGGTAGAAACCATGTCTTACATTTTCCAGTTTATTGCCTGCAGCATCTGGCTCACTGAAGGACACACCGTAGATGCTCAGTAATGTCTCACTGATCAGTGTGAGAAGGAGGTATCAGGAGGAGATTATCGGGGGTATCTGCTGCTGGAGATGGTTGTATTCTGCTTAGGAATGATACAGAATAGCAGACAATCCTGAATAGGAAGAATTTATTGTGTCAGGGGGACACCAGGGTATAAGGCTGAGGCCCCAATGAGAAATGCATGCCTACTTCCTCCTTCTCTTCATGGAATGAGTAATTGAACTTCAAGTGTCAGGCATTAAGCGAAGACAGCTGTGGCAATCATTTTGTTAATATATGAGATGCTGGAGCCAAGGTAACCAGAAAGAGAACCAAGCCTTTGAGTGACAGAAACAAAGGCAGGAGCCACCAGTCGCTGGGTCCAACTAGTCCTGCAAAGAGGCAGATGAATTGGCTAAATGCTCCCTGGAAAACCTTTCCACTTTACTGAAATCTGTAGTGATGAACTTATTTCAAGAAAAGAAGCAATTGACCAAGGGAAAGGGAAAGAAGAATGGAAATTATGCTTTAAAAAAGATCCATGATGAGCCAGAGTTCAAAATTACTTAGGAGAAATAGATGTGTATTCATCATATAGATCTGTCTTGGAAAGGACAGAAAAAAAGAGAGGAGATAGAGGAAAAATGAGGGCTTAAGAATAAATAGAGTTTTGGCTGGGCACGGTGGCTTACGCCTCTAATCCCAGCGCTTTGGGAGGCCGAGGCCGGTGGATCACCTGAGGTCAGGAGTTCGAGAGCAGCCTGGCCTACACAGTGAGACCCTGTCTCTACCAAAAATACAAAAATCAGCTGGGTGTGGTGGCACATGCCTGTAATCCCAGCTACTAGGAGGCTGAGGCAGGAGAATCTGTTGAACCTGGGAGGTGGAGGTTGCTGTGAGCTGAGATCATGCCACTGCATGCCAGACTGGGCGAAAGAGCAAGACTGTCTTGAAAAAAAAAAAGAATATTCATATCCTTCACACATTTTTTGATGGGGTTGTTTTTTTCTGGTAAATTTGTTTAAGTTCTTTGTAGATTCTAGATATTAGCCCTTTGTCAGACGAATAGATTGCAAAAATTTTCTCCCATTTTTTAGGTTGTCTGTTCACTCTGATGATGGTTTCTTTTGCTATGCAGAAGCTCTTAACTTTAATTTGTCAGTTTTGGCTTTTGTTGCCATTGCTTTTGGTGTTTTAGTCATGAAGTCTTTGCCCATGCCTATGTCCTGAATGGTATTGCCTAGGTTTTCTTCTAGGGTTTTCATGGTTTGGGTCTTACATTTAAGTCTTTAATCCATCTTGAGTTAATTTTTGTATATGGTGTAAGGAAGGGATCCAAAACCACGATGAGATACCATCTCACGCCAGTTAGAATGGTGATCATCAAAAAGTCAGGAAACAACAGATGCTGGAGAGGATGTGGAGAAATAGGAATGCTTTTACACTGTTGGTGGGAGTGTAAATTAGTTCAACCATTGTGGAAGACAGTGTGGCAATTCCTCAAGGATTTAGAACCAGAAATACCATTTGACCCAGCAATCCCATTACTGGGTATATACCCAAAGGATTATAAATCATTCTACTATGAAGACACATGCACATGTATGTTTATTGCAGCACTGTTCACAATAACAAAGACTTGGAACCAATCCAAATGCCCATCAGTGATAGACTGAATAAAGAAAATGTGGCACATATACACCATGGAATTCTATGCAGCCATAAAAAAGAATGAGTTCATGTCCTTTGCAGGGATATGGATGAAACTGGAAACCATCATTCTCAGCAAACTAACACAGGAACAGAAAACCAAATATCACATGTTCTCACTCATAAGTGGGTGTCGAACAATGAGAACACATGGACACAGGGAGGGGACATCATACACCGGGGCTTGTTGTGGGGTGGGGGGCTAGGGGAGAGATAGCATTAGGAGAAATACCTAACGTAGATGAGGAGTCGATGGGTGCAGCAAACCATCATGGCATGTGTATACCTTTGTAACAAACTGTACATTCTGCACAAGTATCCCAGAACTTAAAGTATATATATAAAAAAGAATAACTAGAGTTTTGTTCATCTTTTCATAATAAACGTGCTGATAGTTCCAAAGAGAAGAGCCTGCAAAAAAGATCATGGATGCAAATGTGGATCAAATACACACACACACACTTGGGAGAGATAGAGAGACAGAGAGAGAGAACGACCAAGTACGATGACAAGATAAAAAGGCTGATTGCTGACAGAAAATAATCAAATCGTTCTCCAATTTTTTGCAAAAGAGTAATTCTGACACATTTAAACCACAGACTAGCAGGAAAGAGTTTTCATGATTTCTGCCTCTCAGAGGTCTCTCAAACAGCTTTTCTGATATACTGTTTTTATATAAATTCTGCAGTGACTTTTCCCTGGTGTTATTAGTTGTTTGGGTTTTTCTCTGCCTACCACCCGCTTATTTATGTTAATCTGATTTAGATCTTTTCTTTTCCCCTTTCTTTCTTTGCTGAGGCTAGATTTCACAGGGCAATCTGCTGAGTGACACAACGACAAGATGCACATCTGTCAGAGGTGTGAGCCTGTGTGTGTGTGCACAGGGGTGTGTGTGCACATGCGTGTGCATGTGTACATGCGGGGTCTAATTCTCCCCAGGGTCGGTCTGTGAGCGCCTCTAATACCCTATGTGGTTTCTTGAGATTTCCAAATGAGTGAGGTGGGGGGTGGTATTGAGGTATTGAGGTCATCACTTATAGGTAAGTACTGGAGGATGTAGCGTTAGCTGCTGCCTGGACTCAAGGATTATAGAGGAATTCTGGGAAGCTTTCATCAGGCCTCTTAAAAAAAAAAAAGCCCTGCCTCACAGTTGACATTTTATTTTATAGTCACGTTAGAGTTGAGTTCAGACTTATTTTGTGCTATTATAGCCGATTGATTATTTATCACTTCAATGAAGAATTTATTGATTTACTTAATATTCATTGCTGATAACATGAAGGATCTGTAAATTACAAATCATCTGGGCCCTCAGAAATGCTTAATTATGCCCTGCCTTTCTTGTTCCTCCTGTCTATCTCCCTCCTCCCCATCCCCTCGTCCTCCTCTAGGCCTTTATCCAAGCTGGGTAGAACAGATGGCCCAGAAAGCGCAAACCCACCTTGTCTGTGATGAAGGTGAGAGCATCTTCCCAAACCCTACAAGATGGCTTGATTCACAACACTATATTTCAACCTAGGAAGCACCCTTAGAGGTCATCTAGTAGAATATCACAGGCAGTTCATTTTAACAGTAGTCATATATTGAGTTCCTACCGTGGTAGGCTTCATCCCTGTAGATGGCCTGGCTTACCCTTGAACAACTTTATCAGAAAGTTTTTTCTCATAGAAGGCAGAAATTTATCTCCTGGAGTGTTCACCTATCATCATACGGCAAGCAGCAGCTCTTAGGTAATGAAAGCAGAAAGAAGACGCACCTCAAACATACTGTGTGGGCAACAACTCTGTCTCTTGCATTCCCTCTCCTTGTCACATCTGACCAGTGGTTCATACAGATGTGTTACACGTGCCCTAGCTCAGCTGAGGCTGAGAGGCTGGCTGAAGCAGGAAGAACTGACCCTCTCTCTACACTGGCCTTGCTCTGATGATGTTTGTGCCCTGAAGGCCACATCTGCCTGAGGGGGTACTGCTGCAGGCGTGTGGCTTTTCACTGTGGGCTTCCTAATGCAGTAGGTTTCAAGCATGAATTAGGGGAAGGGGCCAACAGGGTAACGTGGTAATGAAGGAGATGGCAAAGTGAAAAGCAAGTTGCTTTAACCCTGAAAGAAAGTATTTCTCTAGCAAACAGCAATGCTTTGAAAGCAATTGACAGAAAGCTGGCTTAATCCTTGTTCTGGAGATACTTACAGCTGCCCGTGGTTTTTAATTAATACACTGGGCTCCCTAACAAAGGGGAGGAGGTTGGAGAGCATTAACAGATTTACTCACCCAAGCCAAGGAAAGTGCTTTGGAAGAAATGCCCTGGCCGCCCATGGGCCGGGATCTTCCTAGCCCTCCCTTCCCTGCATGGCAAGGCACGAAGGTGGTCTGATGTGGATTCCAGGGTGAAGGTGGTTTGTCCTCCAGTGTGTGTTGGCCAGGGAGACTTCCTTGCTGCATTCTATCTCACTCCACCCCAATCCATTCTTTCCTTCCATCATTTGCTCCCTCAACCACACATATTTATTAAGTAGCTACTATACACAGACCAGGCACAGTGTGTGAACTGAAGAACTACATTTATACCAAAGGCTTGAGCTAGGTGTTTTAATGGGATCTAAAAACGAACATGATGCTCGTCCTCAGAAAGCTTAGCTCTAGTGAGAGAGAAGCATTCAGGGCTGATGTTCTGAATGGCAGTGCTGGGTTCTTACTGCCCGTTTCCATTCTGATTGTATCTGTTTTGATTGGTCAGCACCACTGATGCCCCAGTTCTTAAGTATTTTTAATATTACCCTGGAAACATGAATTGAATTACACAACAAAATGCAAAATGTTAAACGTTCTATGAAAAAAGGGACAGGGAACAATGGGGCCATGTTGCCTTCAGGGACCCATTGCTGGGCTCTCAGGGTTGTTTTCTGTCATTGAGTGACACATATGCCCACCTGCTTGCAAGTCCTGCATCCCATTCCTACCAGCTTCCTAGACTCTGCCGCCTCTCTACTTCAGTCACTCATCTCTCTTGTTCATTCATTCATTCATTCGTTCACTTACTTACTCAACCAATGAGCACTTGCTGAAGGCCAGGCATCGAGCCGTGCATGGGAACACGATGCTTCCTCCCCTTCCCAATGCCTCCTGGACTTTTCCTAGAGACTCCGCTCAGCTCTCCTTCTTACTCCTTCCCATGGAGGGATCTTTCTCCTTTGGTTAGCGAATCTGATGTCAGAGTCATTCCATCTGACAAAGTCTCTCCTCGTCTGAAACTCCCTGTCTCCTCATATCTTCATCAGTCCATTTCCACATGTCTAGTCATTTTAATGGCATATGGTTCCAGGGGGAAACTCCAAATGAGGGAAAATTAGCAACTGTGCTTACTGGGCTAAAGAAAATGACTGGAGAGGAAGTTTTCTTTAGAAATATCCACAAGAAGCAGCAGCCCAAGGAGACGTGACTCCAGTAAAAATGATGATTTTTGTTAGGGGTGGTAGTCGGGGTGGATTATCAATCGCATTTTCTTTCCCCTGGAATGTGTCACAGTCATTAATTTGTTTAATTTATTTTTGCCTCTTCCCTAGTGAAGCAGCCCAATCCACCGTCTGCCTACCCATCAGAACAAATTACACTTTGGAAATATCCGAGTGCTTCAGTTTTCCATTAAATATAATAAGAAACCACAATGCACCGTTATGGCCTGCTGACTCCTTGCCAAGGATCTACAAGCACTTTTTACAACCGCTGCCAGGCAATTCTGGTTGTCACCCTTGGTGACACAGAGGCGCGAAAACAGGTCCAGGATCACCAGGCCCTGTTTTAATTTGCACTCGTGTGCACGCCTCTTGGGTTGTGTTCTTAATCTGCTTCACATGCACGCGATCTGATTCTGCAGCACAGTTCCAAAGTCTTCATACAGGAGACACATGTCCTGCTTCTATGGTGTCTCCCCACTGTGCCAGAGCCAATGACTGCTATTGACTGATGAATTAACAGAGTTCAGCCCTGTGAGGACACAGCTAGCTCGTGGCTCATGAAAGCTGGCCTTCCAACTTCCAGCCTCTTCTACACATCACAAGGCTCAAATGCTCATCTTTCTTCTTCCTCTGACTCTCTGGCTGCTCCCTTATAATCAGCCATTGCTCAGGTCGTGAAAACTGCTCATGACTGCAGTTCAGTCTGTCCTAAGGAACATTGCTAATTGATGATTACATTTCATTTTCAGGATGTTATCTTACTTGGGCAGGTTGGAAATTGAAATGTCCAGGGGTTACACATATGGTATATATGGCTCTTTCAAGTCAGAGATTAATTGTTGAGTATTAATATTTAATTTTTTATTGCAAAAGGCTTGTCAAAGGCTGCCACGGGAAGGTGAGAGCTCAGATCCATCCTACCTGATATTCAGCGTCCTCAAGAATAGAGCCTCTAGCACTGCCAGCTCTGCAATTTCTAAGTCAAAGAAGGAGCAGTCTAGTGAGTTGGACTATGGCAGTCTAGTGAGTTCTTGGATGGGAGAAGTTTCTAAGATGAAGGAGGCAGGGTTGGACGTGTTGTAGGGAGTAGGTGACCTGTTGAGTCAGTGCTGACCTCTGCCTGGACAGGAGAGAGCTCTAAGGTCAGGTCACCTTAACATCTGTGTACACAGACAGTTAGGCATAGGCGGAGAACCAGATGTCTGGTGTCAACAGAACTAGATGTCTGAAGACCTGGGTTTGGTGCCAACTTTACCATTCACCAACAAATCATCTCAAGGAACTTCTGTTTTCTCTTCTGTAAAATGGTCAGGGTGCCATCTATCTCAAGGGCTGCTGTGCCATTCAGTCATAATACTGTTCAATTGTGTGTTACTTTGCAGTTTTCAAGGCACAATGAAAAATGGGGATCCTCTATCATCTTGAAAGCCTTACAGATTCTGATGAGGTCAGGTGGATCGAAATTGTAGCTTTGTTGCACTATAACAAAGGGTTACTAAAAGAGTTAAAGGAGATAATGTATGTACAACACAGTGCCTGACACTCAACAAATGTTAACTGATTTCTTCTAGTAGTTGCAGTTTAAAAAATAATAATAAAAGGATGTCTGGGAGTGTGACTATGAAAGAATAATTGTGTAATTGTGACCATTAGTTAGGCACAAAGACAGGACATTGGAAACATGGAGATGTCCCCAGAGGAGCCCAGATCCTAAGTGAGTTACATAGAATTACCCTCTTTCTGACATTGGCCAAGTGTCTATAAGAGGCTCCTCCATTTGAGCCCAACTCCCATCCTCTGGCCCAGGGGGGCCCTTTCTCATCAGCCACATTGTGTGATGAGGTCTAACAGAGACCCACATTCAAGATCCTGAGACTGGCCAGCCTGACATTCAGCCACACTCAGCACTTGGGTCAGCCCCATCCCTACCTGGGTGTGTTCACTCACTCTTTCATTCTATCCAGGGATATGCCTGCCTCTTTCACTAAATTTGATGGTATGAAGTGGTCTTCATTTGTGAATTCATCTACAGTGCCTAGTGCAGTGTCTTTCACACATAGTTTTTCTGCTTAATCATGATAACCTGTGCACATAAAGGCACTCAAACACTCATGCAAAGCATCCCTAGCAAAGGGTGGTTAGTGTGGTTTTGGGGATATTTCCTATAAATTAGAGCATTTCTCCTACTTTTTAATACTTTCTTAGTCTTCTTTGTCCCTTCTTCCTCCTCTAAGTGCCCCTTGTGATGGTTAATTTTATGTGTCAACTCGACTGGGTTATAAAATTCCCAGATATTTGGTCACACATTATTCTGGGTGTGTCTGTGAGGATGTTTTTGGATTAGATTAGCATTTTAATTAGTAGACTAAGTGAAGAAGACTGCTTTCCTCAATGTGGATGGGCCCCATTCAATCAGTTGAAGGCTTGAATAAAAAAAAGACTGACTTCTCTCTCTCTCTCTCTCCCCTGAATAAGAGGGTACTCTTCCTATCTGATAGCCTTGAGCTGGGACACCAGTGTTTCCCTGCCTACAGACTCTGGCTAGAACATTGGCTGTTGTGCCAGCTTGTGGACTAGAACAGCTCTTCTGGGTCTCTAGCTTTCCAACTGCAGATCTGGATATTTCTCAGCCTCCATACTTACACAGACCAATTTTTAAACAGTAATTCTCTTTCTCATCTATCTGTGTATCTATCTATCTATCTAGTCTATCTCTGTATTATCTATCTGGGATAAAGACACACATGTGCACGTGCATGCGAGTGTGCACACACACATACACACACACACAATTGGTTCTATTTTTTTCTGGAAACCCCTGACTCTTATACCCCTAAATGTTGTTGTTGTTGTTGTTGTTTTAGCCAGGGTTCTGTCTTAGCATTTTCCCCTCACTCTGCATGCTATACTTGAATAATCCCACTTTCTTCAATGGCTCCCAAGACCACACTTATGTTGGAAAATTCCAAATGTTTCTCATCACTCCAGATCCCTCCTGAACTCCAAGATACAACCTCATATATTCAGCCATCATCTCGGTATTCCTCCTTAGATATCTCAATGTTCTCCCGAATCAGCCTGTCCAAAGGAGATGGCAGCACTCTCTACACAAGCCTGCCTTTTCCTCCCCTGCTCCTGATTTCACACCTTGCCCTACCTTTCACTCATTACCCAACCTGGGGGCCACCTCTTCTACACTCTCTGAATCCCATTAGTCCTCCAGGATGTGGACTGTGCCTCCAGGACCCCTCTCACAGCTAACCCCTTCCCTTAACGGCCATTAGCACTGCTATAGACCACGTGTCACCATTGCTCGTACTCACTGCACATGTTTGTATAAGCCTTTCTACGCTGGATTCTGTACTCCTTCTGGGTAGGAATCCTCACTGATCCACTGTTTATTGTTTTTTTAATCCCTCAGTTCTCAGCAATGTACTTAGCCAATATTAGATACTTAGCACATGACTGACATCTGAATGAATGATTGAATGAATGAATGACTTCCCTTGGAAGTCCATGGGGTATAGGGAAGGAGGCAGAGCATATGATAAGAACTTGGCCTGACGCAGGAGACAAGAAACAGAAATAGAAGTCAATTTGTTTGCCATAAATAAATAAAAGGCAAATTCTCCTTGATTAAATTTGAAATGAGGAAAACAGAAACAAGCAGTTATCTTAAGAGCAGGGTAGTTTAATATCCTAACTACCTACCATGGGATAGGACAAACTCTGCTATAGAAGGTTTTTGTTTTGGGGTTTGTCATTTTCAGATATCCAGCCGAGGACACTGAACCAAACGTAGTTTTTCTAAAGAGGCCCTAGGTTATATTTAAAGTTCTCCCAGTGCTCACTCCCTGGGATCTTAAGACTTTGATTTAAAAGACAAGCACAGAGCAAAACTCCTGAAGATCAATTAATCTAACTCATCAAGACGGATCTGATTTGAATTGCGGTTCCAGGCAGCAACTAGTAGTCCAGAGACAAGACTGCTGAGTTGGCTGATGGGTAGAGAGAGCACAGCCTCAAATACCCTGCAAAATGCCAGACAGAAGGCTGACAACTAAGCAAAAAATTCAGATTTTGTAGATCTTACTTTTGAAGAACTCCACCCCTCTCTTTTCTTTCAACTATTTATCAATGTATTTTTTTTTCACTTACATGCACACCTTGTTTTATTGTGCTTTGCTTTATTGTTCTTCGCAGACATTGCATTTTTTACAGCTTGAAGGTTTGTGGCAACCCTCTGTCCAGCAAATCTATTGGAACCATTTTTCCAACAGCATGTGCTCACTTTGTGTCTCACATTATGGTTATTATCCCAATATTTCAAATACTTTCATTATTATTAGGGCTATTATGGTGATCTGTGATCAGTGATCTTTGATGTTAATATTGTAATTGTTTTGGGGTGCCACAAACACACCATATGAGATGGTGAGCTTAATCAATGAGTGTGGTGTGTGTTCTGACTGCTCCCTCAACCAGCCATTTCTCATCTTTCTCCCTTTCCTCAAGCCTCCCTATTCCATGAGACACAACTATATTGAAATTAGGCCAATTAGCAACCCCACAAAGGCTTCTAAGTGTTCAAGTGAAAGAGTCGCATGTCTGTCCCTTTAAATCAAAAGCTAGAAATGACTGAGCTTAGTGAGGAAATCTTGTTAAAAGCTGAGATAGGCCTAAAGCTAGACCTCTTGTGCCGAATAGTCAGCCAAGTTGTGAATGCAATGGAAAAGCTCTTGAAGTAAATTAAAAGTGCTACTCCAGTGAATACATAAATGACAAGAAAGCAAAACAGCCTTATTGCTGCTATAGAGAAACTTCTGGTGGTCTGTATAGAAGATGAAATCAACCACAACATTCTTTTAAGCCAACACCTAATACAGAGCAAGGCCCTAACTGTCTTAAATTATATGAAGGCTGACAGAGATGAGGAAGTTGCAGAAGAAATGTTGGAAGCTAGCACAGGTTGGCTCATGAGGTTTAAGGAAAGAAACCATCTCCATAACATAAAAGTTTAAGGTGAAGCAGTAAGTGCTGATGTAGAAGCTGTAGCAAGATATGCAGAAGATCTAGCTAAGATGCTTGATAAATGTGGCTACACTCAACAACAGACTTTCACTGTAGATGAAACAACTTTTTATTGGAAGAAGGCACCATCTAGGTCTCTCATAGCTAGAGAATAGAAGTCAAGGCCTGGCTTCAAAGTTTCAAAGGACAGGCTGTCCCTCTCATTATGGACTAACATAACTGGTGACTTTAAGTTAAAGCCAATGCTCATTTATCATTTTAAAAATCCTATTGCCTGTGCAGAGTAGATTGGAACAATGAAGGCTGAAGGACAGCACATCTGCTTACAGGTTAGTTTACTGAATATTTTAAGCCCACTGTTGAGAACTACTGCTCAGAAAAGAAGATTCCTTTCAAAATATTACTGCTCATTGACACTTAACCTCGTCACCCAAGGGCTGTGATGGAGATATGCAAGATTAATGTTGTTTTCTTGCCTGCTAACACAACACCCATTCTGATTTCTATTTCAAATCAAAAAGTAATTTTGGCTTTCAAGTCTCATTATTTAAAAATACATTTTGTTGAGGCTCTAGCTGCCTCAGATGGTGATTCCTCTGATGGATATGGGCAAAGTAAATTGAAAACCTATTGGAAAGGATTCATCATTCTAGATGCCATTAAGAACATGCATGATTCATGGGAGGAGGTCAAGATAGCAATATTAATAGGAGTTTGGAAGAAGTTGATTCCAATCCTCACGGATGACTTTGAGGGGTTCAAGATTTCAGTGGAGGAAGTAACTGCAGATGTGGTGGAAGCAGCAAGAGAAGTAGAATTTGAAGTGAAGCCTGAAGATATGACCGAATTGCTGCAATCTTGTAAGATTTTAGTGGATGAGGAGTTGCTTCTCATGGATGAGCGAAGAAAGTGGTTTCTTGAGGTGAAATGTACTCTCAGTGCAGATGCTATAAACAAAGTTGAAACGACAACAAAAGATTTAGAATATCCAATAAGCTTAGGTGATAAAGCAGCAGCAGGATTTGAGAGGATGGACCTAAATTTTAAAAGAAGTTCTATTGTGGGTAAAATGCTGTCAAACAGCATCACATGATATAGAGAAATCTTTCATGAAAGGAACATTCAAATTGATATGGCCAACTTCACTGTGGTCTTATTTTAAGAAATTGCCACAGCCACTCCAACTTTCAGCAACCACCACCCTGATCAGTCAGCAGTCGTCAACACTAAGGCAAGACCCTCCACCAGCAAAGAGATTATAACTCGTTAAAGGCTCAGATGATTGTTAGCACTTTTTAGCAATAAAGATTTTGTAAATTAAGGTCCATAAATTGCTTTTTAGACATAATACTATTAAACACTTAATAGACTATGGTATAGTGTAAACATAACTTTTATACGCACTGGGAAACAAAAAAAATTGTGCGATTTCCTTTATTGCAATGCTCACTTCCTTGCAGTAATCTGGAACCAAACTTGCAATATATCTGAGGTATTCCTGTGTTTGGAAAGATCTAGCCAAATAAAAAATAACCTTTTATAGCCTAAATGGCTGAGAGCACTGATAAAATAATGGAGAAGACAGGAACAGTTGTGGAAGAGATCTAGCCTTCTAACACTTAGTTTCCTGAAATAAAGGAAGTGTTAGCCTTCTCCCTTGCCATCCTTCACCAAACAGAACACACATACACACACACACACACACACACACAGACACACACACAGACACACACACAGATTCTTGAAAGTTTGGAAGCACTGATGCTTGCAAATAGGCCCATTAAAAGAAGATAAATCAACTGGAAATGCATAAAAAGTCTCATTTATCATAAGACGTGTTGGACAGGGTTTTGAGTTTTACATACATTTATTCTAGAAATCTGTTTATCTGTGCAACGTTTCTGAACAAAATGCTTTGTGACGAACCATCCTCTCCACTTGAATCTATATGGAAAGCAATTAAGTTCAAACCCCGAAGACAAAACATGATAAACACAGCAGGCATGCTATTGATTTGGAATTTCACAACTGCCCTTCTTCCTTTTGGATATCATCTCCTTATACCCCAAAAGGCCTCCTATACCTCCTACACTTATGAAATGTGTTTCTTACGTCTTCAGCCAAGGCAACTTCCCTGACTACTCCCTGAGGACTACAAACAATGAGTTACTTCAACATGTCTGGAGATGATTAACCTGAAAGTGGTTAAAAGTGCCACCCCTGGAGTGAATGACTTTCCTCAGCCCAGCCAGGATATGACTCCAATGCCAAAAATTTGCACATGTCCCATTTCCCCACCTGCACTTGTCCATAACGGAAGAGGGATGTGTATTTGAGCGAGGGGAGGTACAGAAAAAATTAGAAAGCCACTCAACTTATCCATATTACACTTTCAAATCCCTTCAGTGCAAGGGACCTATCTCATGAATTTTTTCATTTTCCATCTCTAGCAATTAGTGGGCAACTACAAGGTTTGAGAAAGAGAAAAACTTCATCTGTGCACAGGGCCTGGCTCAGTAGTTTCTTAATAAATATTCAATGAACAGCTATTGAATGACTAAATCTGTACATACAAAGCAGAGGATTCCAGCCCAGCTGATAGACTATTCCAGCCATATTCATAATCTGGGGTGAAAGCAACACATCTGTTCCATCATGAAGAGTGTTATTGATTAGCATGGTCAGATTGGTGTCCACTGTCTGACATCTGCAGACACAGGCTGGGTGGCATGTGGGCAACACCCCCTTCTCCCCCATAGATAGATAGTTTTAGCTCTTCAGTGAATATAATTGTCAGTGTGACAGACTCTAGTAGGAGTTTGCCTAGTCTGCACTTTATTCCATGTTGGGTAGGTCCTCCTAGAACCCCTCCTCCAAAGAAGAGAAATAAGAATCTAAGATCAGGAATTCTCTTAGAAACACTACAATAATCTCTCCTCAGCATTTCTGCACAAATGCCCAGGGGTACACCCAGCAACCTCACCCCCTGAGGGCCTGCCAACAGCTTGTGCTACAAACTCCTGCAAATAGGATTTATTAGAACAGAATCAAGTGACAGACTCAGAACGAAGGCAGCACAGATGAAGAAGACCCTGAGGTTCTATGCAGATGTTGACTTTTATCAAGGTCAACACTGAGATTTATTGACCCAAGAGGTAAATATTGATGGAGGCTCAGGAGGTCAATATTTGCCCCAAGGTGAATAAATCTTCCCAATGACCCTCAAACAGAAGTCTGTATAGAGTAGACTCAGTTCGAAAATGAATTAGCTGTGACATAGATTAAGATACTATTTCATTAGATTGTCTAGGGCATTGGAAAGCAATATTAATACTAAGCACTTCATGTTCAAAGTACTTTCCAAACATTCATTAAAGTGCACCTCCCTCTAGCAGATGCATAAAAGTGTTGTACTCCCAACTCAACAGATGGGATATTAGAGCCAAGAAAAAGTTAAGTAATTTTACCTAGGCCACAGAAAAAGCGGCTCAAGAACAGAGAGATAAAATGGAGATAAGTGTGAGTTAGGAGCTCTGGGGATGAGCAAAGGTCTACAGAACAGTGTCTTAATTAACATTCCTGGTCAAATTAATAAGTCCACTTGGTTTGATTACTTTCATTTAGTTAATTTATATCCCATTGTTCACAAATCTACTTAGGCTGTTCAATTGTATTGCTTATTTACAGAGATGCTTTTCGGCATTTACCCATGATAAACTCTACCTTTGGACATCGGTACTCAACTCTTAAGAAGTGAAGAGTGTGTTAGTGGTCACTGGGAAGGAACAGATTGGTTTATCCATGTATTTGCATAATCATTATCATCACATTCTAATTCTCATACAATACCTCTTCTCAGTAACAAGATGCTGGTACTGAGAAACCAGTATCCTGGAACCCTATTGTGAAAGACTAACACGTGCGTCATTGCCATTTGAATTCACGGATCCAGTGATCCCTGCTTTTGCATTGTCTCAAAACTGAGCTTTAAATATTATAAAATTTTGGTTCTTTGCTGATGGAGAGGTCAGAGCCATGGATAATCGAAACCTCAGCCAAAAGAAGATCAATAAATATTATTTCCTTCTGACTTTGGAGTGCGTTATTTTCCCGTGTTTTACGTTGGCCTTGTTGTTTTTCTCTGGAGAGTTAACATCAGAAAAGAGTGAGTGCTTCCAGAGTGCCAGCGATGATAGCCAGACAGGTGACAGAACTCGATGTGTGTGGGTATCAGGTCAGCAGCTTTGAGGTTGTGCCATGTAATCCACAGGTAGGTACTTGAGTGGACTGGCCTCAACTTGTAGAATTTAGAGTTTTCAAAGTTACTTCAATCTACTTTAAATCTTTGGAAGGAACAAATGGGGTCTTGAGAGTGTGACCATTTGGTTCACTTGAAAAGGAAACAATTTGACTTGAAGAGATGTAAATGGTTAGCTGATGCCAGGGTCTGAGGAAAGAATTTAGGAATTTTGACCCCAAGCTGCTTAGATACCTCATTATTTTATCCTGCAATAGGATTTTGGAATTGTAGCTGTTACCCAGATAAGTAAGTGATACCAATATGATCTGATACTGTTACAAACGGTAATTTGACTGACAATAAGGTACAGACAAATGAAAGTGTTTACAGGGTTTAATATTTAATAATGTAAAAGGAAAAAGTCGGCAAAAGCAGGCTGGAGATGAAAAGATCTGTATCGAGTCAGAATTTTTGCCGATTGTCAGAGCAGCATGCGTCTCCTGGGGACCTGAATAAGCAAGCTGCTGTTCTGCAGAAATTGTTATCTTGGGCGTATTGATTGAGTGTGCACCACTCAAGCTGTCAGTTTCTCCCTCCTATCCTTGCTTTATATTTTACATCATGGTATCCTCCTAAACTCTCACATACTGCCTGGCCTTCACACTTTAGGCCGCAGAACCGTGGTGTACTCTCGAAGGAGACCTAGGTGGTGTGCCTGACGTGTTAGTTCTGTCTGTGAGGAGCATCTCAGTGACTCTTCTCTAGGGCATACTAATGGGCTCATTCTGGAGGTGGCTGGGTGCTTTGAGTCTAGAGACATGCCACTGGCCCTTCTCTTAACTAGCATGGCCAAGATACCAACAGACTTGCTCCGTGGACAGTTACTTAACCTGTATATGCCTCGGTTTTCTCATCTGTAAAATGGGAATAATGCTTACCTTACAGAACTCTCAGGAAGATAATAAACCTAAAACAATCAGCACACTTTCTGACACAGAGCTGTCCTCAGTAAACAAGAATGACTGTTATTTATTAATGCAGTCCACAGAAATCTGTAAATTAAATAAGAAACTGTTTAGATTGCAGAAGACCTAGCCCTAAACCCAGAATCCCAGAATTCTTGAGCGAGAAGGGCATTTGAGAGGTGATCTTATCCATCTACCTGCCTTCTCTGTAAGCCCAGAGAGCTGACAATCTCTTTACTTTCAAAAGCCATTAGAAATGACTCTGAAACTTTCTCTGACCCGGAGCTCAATGTTTGTACAACCTGACAATAGCTTGAGTAGCTCAAACACCTCTGACACCTGGAGCAGAGACTGGAACCCTTTGTCCAGCTCTTCCTCTTTGTGCGTAACACTGTTCTATTTCTATTAGCTTTTCTTCAGCAATTTTACTTTCCTCGGTGCTCCTTCACCATGCCCGCACATCCCTCCAAAGAGCACTGCAAGTTCTAACAGCCCCTGGAACCTTAGAGAACAGGAGAGCACCGTGCTAATGAGACCAAAGTCAACAGGTTGCTTCCTACCAGGGAATAACTTCCCACAGGGAAGATCTGCCTTCTGGCCTCCAAACTGCAGCCTTTCACTTCAGGAGCTGCCTTGCAATAATAATAATGATCACATCTAACCTTCAGGTGCCCTTTTCTATATTTGAAAAATCTCCACATCTCAGCTGATCTTCACAGTAACCCCGAGAAATGCCACCACTGGACTTGTTACATCCATCTCAGAGACAAAGAAGCAACCGCAGAGAAATGGCCAGGATCGTGTCCTCAGAATGAGGCAATGTTCACTCAAGCCCAAGCCTTCTGAAAGTGAGCCCTGGGCTCTTTTTCTTCACATTACACAGCAAATGAAAATGGTAGTGGTTCTCAGGTGGGGGCGATTTTCTCCCACTCCCTCCCTGGGTACACTTGGTGATGTCTGGAGATATTTTTGCTTGTCGCAGCTGGGGAGGGGGCTTGCTACAGGCACATACTGGGTAGCTAAACCTCTTACAATGCACAAGACAACCCCTCACAACAAAGAATTACCCTGCCCAAAATATCAATAATGCCAAGGTTGAGAAATCTTGTCAGATTTATAGTAAGAGGACAAACAACAGAATCCAGCCACCTGACTACCAGCCAAGCCCTATTTTCCTGCCTATCTTACTAGGCCAACTTGCTTCCCCCAAAGAAACTTCATAGACATTTGCAAAGGACTTTGGGATACTCAGAAAAAAGTTAATAGCTAAATGTAGAGTTGTTGGATTTTGTAAAGCTGTTGGTAAAGTTATTTTCATTTTGCTTTTCAAATTAGTTTGGGAGTTGGTGTTCTTCTTTACATAATTACAAGCTGACAAACATGCTTCTGTATTTTTTTTAATTAACAGATATATGTATTCAAGTTCTCCAAATTACATGCCACAGCTTGCATATTACAGGACAGCTGCCATGCTCCAGATGTAGGCAATAACCAGAACATGGTAATGGCAAAATGCAAAAGAAAGAAAGGGGGAAGAAAAGAAGAAAAGAAGGAAAGGCTAATGTATCAGGACGGAGAAGAGCAATTTCAATCAATGGGTTTGGATTTTTTACAGAGATGAATACCTTAGATTCTCCCAAATTTTCAGCTCAGTTTGAACATTTGGGATGAAGCTGTCTGGGTCATTCATTGCTGCCATCAAAGGCTCACCAGCGCCTTGTAAAAGCAGATTACAGATGAAATGGGGCACATATAAATGCTAACAGCGTGCTGGAGAAACTATTCAAATTGCTCCTGTTTACAAGTGCCCTATTAAATGTGCTCAGCTCCTCCTGAAGAAAGCTGCTCTAAGCTGGGTAAACTGCTATATTTATTTTGCCCATTTATAACACGGCAGCCCCTTTTGGTCACTCAATCCCAGGTGCAGGCTCTGTCTGGTATCCACAAATCAGGAACTCTACAGGATGGGGCTCTGCAGTGAGAAAGGGGCAGGGGCAGTAGATGAAAGTCCCAGTCCCACACCTACCAACTAGCTTACTGTGTGACTCTAGGAAAAGGACTGTACCTCTCTGAGACTCAGTTCCCTCATCTGTAAAAAACGGGGCATGACTGGACAACCTCTGAGGTCCCTTCGACTCTCCAGGTTAGGAGTGGTTACATTTTTGAGTATCTCTGCAGATACGGGAAAACCCTGCCTCTCCTTGCATAGATGTCAGAAGTAACACTTCAGGCGGGGGCGTCTGAGGTTCGCGTGTGAGGGAATCAGGTGCATTGCACAGTCATCTCCTGCTCAAGACAGAGGAGGGCGCTCAGGGGCCAATCAAACGACTTCTAAACCGCGAAAACAGGCCTGGGGCAAAAGAGTCCGTAGATACCGCAGTCAAGGGGCGATTCACTCCATTTACTGACACAATAGACATGGAGTGCCTCCCATGGACACAGGGAATGAAGGGATAGACAGATGTCCTATCTTTGGGAATGCTGGCCTTCCAAGGAGAGAGTTGTCCACTGGGGAAAACGCCTGGGCAATTCCCTGCAGTGTGGCAGGTGTGAAGGTGGAGGTAAGTTTGGGGTGCTATGGGAACTCAGAGGAGGGAAAAAAGCCACTGAGGAGGTGACACCCAGCGGTATCTGGAAGAATGAACAGGTGTGAACCAGGGGAAGAGGGAGTAAGAACGTCTCCTGAGGGCGGAGGCTGTGGGTAGCAATGGAGCATGGTGTGTTCAGAGCCAGCCAAGCAATCCCACAGGAGAACACAAGAAATATCCCCACGGCACAGCCTACCCAAGTGAATAAGGCAGGAAAGACCTGTGAGAAGTGAAAAGGCTCGGGTGAACTGTGATGGTAGCCATGATGCTTTTCCACGCCCTTGATGACACAGGCTTATTTGAATAATTTTGCAGTGGGACCTGGCTCACTTTTGTAGATCCCTTCAAAGCTGGAGATTGGTGCCTTCCGGGATTCTGCCATTGAAGGAAGGAAAAAGGTAGCAGACAGCCTTTCCCTTCTCTTCTCCTTTCTCTCTACTCTGCATGGAAATGCAAAATGCTGGAGTCCAAACACATTCATAAAATAATTTTGTAGGGCTGGTAGTTAGTTCCAGCAAAACCATTGAGGGGAAACAAAGGAAGTTTTGTGTTAATGTGACTAGTGTATGACTCTATCTGAGTTAAGACAACGCAATACGAAAGAAAATCTGGCTAAAATTAGCCTTCTTCTACCAGTCACAGCCAAGCTGCCCTAGGTTGTCACCTAGGGACGGAACAGGAAAATGCAGCCTCTCTACCACTGCCCCTGCCCCCTCAGGGATATATCATGCATTTGAAAAATTCTTTCTTCTTTCAGTTTTTCGCTCTTCACAGCTCAGTTAATTCCACTTAAGACACTCTTGTTTCCCCGTATTTTTACTCATTTCCTTTGGTTTCCTTTTTGTTTTTCTTAATTTGAGCTTTCTCAGGAAGTTCTCTTCTTTTCCTTCTTTTCTTCCCTTTCTTTTCTCTCTCACATTATCTTGTTTATGAAACACTGCTCTTTATTAAACACTACATTAAACACAAATAGGTAGGCATAAGGTTAAGTGATAGTTGTGCCAATAAACAGAAGACCCTAGGTGTGTAGCGACATTAGACAAAAAGTAACCAGTACCATCAATCTTTAAAACCCCTACAGTGCCCTGTCAACCCCACAGAGGGTCCAGAAAAAAGTCATGAATTGTACCAGTATATTGTCATCTAAGGAAATCTGATTTTTATTAAGTATCAAATCACAGAACACGTTTGCTTTTACTTTTGTGTACTCAGTTACCGAATTGCTAATGAATTTACTAATGTTGTGATGGGATTTTTTCTATTATATGTAAAATGATAAACATACAGCATTTCAACCACATCCCTAGTTAAGTAAAATTTTGTGAATTAGTGAAGGAACTCCATTTAATTTAGAACATTGCTTCCATGAGAACAAGGTTTTCCTAGTTTCAAATAAGTGATATCTAAGGACCCATAGAAACACTTGCAAATTAGGATCCAATGAGGCTCACCTGCTGCCAGGTATCTACGCAGCAGGAGAACCACAAACAGAAGCACATGGCGGTGCTATGGCTTCTCCCCCACCCACCAGTCTCCCTTACAGTAGCTGCGAGGTGCACAGGTAGTTTTAGGATTTAACATGTTTAGTAAACATTGCTTTTCCATTTTCCTTTTATTTATTGTTCCCCACTCTCAACAGTGTTTGCCTTCCTTCCCATCTCTTGTCATTTCCCTCAAAGAAGCAGATTCTTATTTAGGTGGTTTTTGACTATTTACGAGTACAAAGTATTATCTACATTTCTGATGACATGAATTCCAGAAACAAAACTGAATAAACATTATGAAAAGGGTAATGTTTGGGAGGTTAAACCATTAGTGAAAAATCATCAAGGTATGCTTCTGATTCTTGAATGAATAGAGGTGACAGAGGCAACTCATTCAGTGCCCCAGTTTTCCCAGCTATAACCTGAGAATAATGATCTTTATCTAAAAGATTGTAATCATTACAAATTGCTTGGAAATTCTGAAGAGATAACAGCTAGGTGTGAAAATGAGAGTTGTAGAAACCACTGGGAGCTGGACAGGGTTTTTATGTTCTGTTCGGGGTGTTGTCTTCCCAGGCTGTCATTTGACCTTTGGCATCATTGAGTCTCTCTCTTACTGAGTTCGGCACCCATAAAAATATGATCACATTACATTAACTCAGCAGTCCTATAGGAGAGTGAGTTCCTGTCGTGAGAGCACTGAAAGGAACCACAGAAATGAAAATATCATCAGTCCGATTCTTCACTTTGGGCCCTATGTAAGATATTATTAGGGAAGGAACTTGTCATAAATCGTCTGTAACCCAAATTAGCAAAGGGCATCGAAGACGGTCCTCTGAATCTTTCCTATAGTCCATTCAAAAAGCTTGCAGGGAAGAGGCAGGAAAATCTTGCTTATTTTGATTCACTTGCATTGATTTTCCAAATAAGCCTGTTCTGGGTGACTTGGGCTGAGTGCTTGGTACAGAAAAGATGACAAGCAACTGAACTCAAGGAGGTAAGAGCAATGTCAGAAAAATCCATTCAGTCCAGGATAGACAGATTAGTGTTTGTGAATTTACATGGCCCTTTATCCAATTCATAACTATAAACCCACTGCTGCAGAAGTGACACACAAGCTCATCTGATTTCTCTTGTTTGGAAAGTTGAAATCTCCGGATGAGTTAGAGGGCATGATGCTTCAGTGCCTTTTTCACTGGAAAATATCACAGGGTAAAATGAATTTGTACATTTTCCCTAGACCTGGTGCCTATGCAAGAGGGTCTGGTAGAGAGAGAGAGAGAGAGAGAGAGAGAGAGAGAGAGGACTGTGCATACACATTTCCACACACACTGATCTCCCCCAGGAATCAGGGTAAAAGTCTCCAGATGTGTCAGGGTGGATATTTGCTATACCTTTTGGCTTCCTAGATTGGGGGTAAATTATTCCCTCTATGAGTCTTTGTGGAAACAAGGACTCCTTCCCACTCTATGCAAAAGCTGACAAATTCCAATCTTAGCTTTTCCAGCCTCCCTTGCAGCTAGAGTGCAAGCCACCATGATTCCGTCACTGCTAATCTGACCCACTTTCCAGGCCCAGCCACAGGACTTAGTGATGCTGAGAAAAGGGTAGGCCAATATTCCTTCCAGCAGAGCTGGCTGCTGTGGAAAGATCAACACAGTCACGTTACTGAAGGAGCAGGCATTCTGACCACGGTCTGGGATATTATTTAGGCCACCACAGAGCCTGGCTCCTCAGCTCTTCTGACATGCCCAATGTTGTTTTCCATTTAAATCAGCCAGTTGGCTTCTGTTGCTTGCCATTAAAGACCCTGCCTGACACCGTGTCCGTATTTGATTGCGTGTATGCCACATGTATGTACACACACCTTCTCTTCCTTCCCTACATATTCTTCTTTCCTTACCTTGATCAATGTTATGGTGCACCTAGCTAAAAACAACTGCAGAGGAATAAAAAGGAAAAAAAGTCATTTTTTCATTTTCCGCCATCGTGCACATAAAAAGGGACAGAAAAGAACGAACAATGTGCTGCTCTGGTTGAGTTGATAGCCTTAAATTCTACTCACCCTTTCACTCAAGGAGGACGCCAGCCAAAGTCAATGGGAATTATATTTGTATAACTAAGGGCATTGCTGAACCCAGAGAGACTGGAGAACAATTTAGCAGACAACTTATTCCACTGCCAACTCTAAGTTTTGAGGAAAAAAAAAAAAAAAAAAAAGACAGAAATTGAGTCCCGAGGCCAATCTGCATGAGCATGTTAGTCACGGGTTTCTGAATAACAGGCTGAATGGCCCTGGCATACAATTCCACTCATTTTTATGCTGAGGGAGTCTTCTTAGGGCTTCTATATCACCAAGATTACAGTCCCATATTGCCAAGTTCAAGCTGACCCAACCAATGTAGACTTAGCCTCAGGGGCCACCATTCAGTTGCATAGAGAGCTGCCTAAGGCATGCATTCCTTCTCTGTGTGAAGGCCAAGGGACTGCAGGGGTCAGGGGAATCAAGTCATGAGGGGATAAGGTCAACTACTTGGAAGTGATGAAGAGTTCTGGCTGCTGCTGAAATCATTGTTCAGAGCTTAGGTCTAGATCCATTTCTGTTACAGACTATCATGGTGACCCTAAGAAAGTCACTTCACCTCTCTGAATCTCAAGTCACTTGTCTGTAAACAGAACTAGCAGAAATGGCGTGAATTTAGGAGACAGAAAACTCAACTTCAGAACTTCAGTTTTGTTATTTACAAGTTTGTGATCTTGGGCAAGCAACTCAATAGCATTTTTATTTCAGCATCTGTAAAACAAGAATAATAATACTTTTTACAGAGTTTGGAAGAATTAAGAGTAATGATATACACAAAGTATGCACTACACTGCTTGGCAAGGAGGGACTCAATAAATGTTAGTTGCATTCATTCATCCATTCATCAAATATTTATTGTTGCTCCCACTGTGCCAGGTACTATTGAAATCCTGGGAATATAGCAATTTATGTGACAGATAATGTCCTTTCCTTCCCTTGTGGTACTTGCATTTTCTCTCCCTACCAGAAGAGTGAGATTCATGTTCCAAGGGCAAGACTAGGGCTCATGTTTTCTTTAGTTGTCCTGTGTGCTCCCTGAGGGCAGGTGCCACATCTAGCTCTGCTTTCTGTGCATAGGAGGTACTCATTGCACGTTAGGGGTTGAATTCAGTTACATAAGATGCAAAATATTGCAAATGCCATCTCCACAAGTAAAACATTTAAAGCACTTTATGCAACATGCTTCCACAGACTTGTCCATCTCTTTGTTTCAAATGTTTACTCCTCTTTTCTATAGAGCTCATCACCATCTTTCCTTTCCTATCTAGACCTCTCTGACTTCATTATTTCTGTGCTGTAGTCAAATAATGTTTTCAATAACAGTCATGCATCACTTAACGGAGATACGTTCTGAGAAATGCATTGTTAGGGGACTTTGTCTTTGTGTAAGCATCATAGAGTACACTTACACCAACTTAGATGGTGTAGCCTATTACACACCTAGGCTACATGGTATAGCCCGTTACACACCTAGGCTACATGGTATAGCCCGTTACACACCTAGGCTACATGATATAGCCCGTTACACACCTAGGCTACATGGTATAGCCCATTACACACCTAGGCTACATGGTATAGCCCGTTACACACCTAGGCTACATGGTATAGCCCGTTACACACCTAGGCTACATGGTATAGCCCGTTACACACCTAGGCTACATGGTATAGCCTGTTACACACCTAGGCTACATGGTATAGCCTGTTACACACCTAGGTTACATGTATAGCCTGTTGCTCCAGTCTACAAGGTTTGGCTCTATCACCCAAGCTGGAGTGCAGTGGCACGTTCTCAGTTCACCACAACTTCTGCTTCCCGGGCTCAAGTCTTCCTCCCACCTCAGCCTCCTGAGTAGCTGGGACTACAGGTGTGCACCACCATGCCTGGCTAATTTTTGTATATATTTTTAAAGGCTTAATGTGACTTATTTATTTATGTATGTATTTATTTATGATGGAGTCTTGCTCTGTCACCCAGGCTGGAGTGCAGTGGCTAATTTTTGTATTTTTTGTAGAGGTGGGGTTTCACCATGTTGCCTAGGCTGGTCTCGAACTCTGGAGCTCAAGCAATCTGCCTGCCTCTGTCTCCGAAGTGCTGGGATTACAGGTGTGAGCCACTGCGCCTGGCCTCAAAACACTATTATTATCTTATAAGACCACCGTCATATATGCAGTCGGTCCTTGACCAACAGCTATGTGGCACCTAACTGTATTGTACTTCTTCAACTGAGTGGTAAGAATGTGAAAATCCTGGAGGTCACCTTAGTTGAGGCTTTCTTCCAATTCAGCAAACCCCTTTATGTCATCTCTGATGCACTATTATCCATCCTCCATGTCAAGACAGCTGTGAATAGAGGGTTGACTGCCCACAAGGCCCACTTACTTCATGTTCACAAAGCTTTCATTCTTGCAAGGTTCTTTCTCCTACCCCCCTGAAATTTCCTTAAATAAGTATTTGCTGACCACCTACTGTGTGCCAGAACCATATTCACAACCAGGGGTACAGAAGTGGGACTACCAGTATTCCTACCCTCCAGTAGCTGCTAGTCCAGTGGAAGATTTGTTGATTAGAATTCTGCTCTCTCCACATAAAAGAGGCTTGTTATATAACTGAGGACAGTTATAGTGTTCTCTTCTAAGCCAGTTTTCTTTAAGAATGACAGTCACCTGGGATGGTAGTTCAATTGCAATTTTCTGGGCCCTCCTGGAACTAATTAATCAGACTCTCTACAAATCTAGGGACTGGAGCAGCTAGAATCTTCAAGTTTAAAAAAGCACCCCAGTTGATTCTCATGCACAATAAGCCTGAAGAACTCCTAAGTCTTGCTTTTCTGCCTTAATAATGCTAAGTTCGCTAAGTTCCTCCCACCTTCCTCATATTACATAATTCCCAGGTTTTTCTTTTCCCTCCCTCCCTCCCTCCCTTCCTCCCTCCCTTCCTCCCTCCCTCCCTCCCTCCCTTCCTTCCTTCCCTCCGTCCCCATATCCAAGCTTTCAGTATATGCCCCAGTTTGTAAATGGCTAAGGTGTGGCTCTCAGGACAGAGCATACCCATTCCAGATGTGGGTCACATCAGCAGAGGGTGCCATGGGGGTGTTAGCATCTTCCAGATGAACACATCGCTTTCTACAGAGGATGCTGAGAAGCACATTATTTGTCACCATGCCACATTGTTAGCTCATATTGAGATTTCAATAAGATAACACTCCTCCAATTAAGACCCTGCAATATACCTGACAGAGGAAAATTTGTTTATCAAATTTGTGAATAACACAACATCACAAAGGAGAGACAGATTATGAAATTATAATGACATATTATTTTTCTTAAATGAGATGTTAGCATCACTTGCTTTTAGCAAGCCAAAGGTTGCTTCCAGGGACCACAGATTATTTTCTGAGTGTTTATGAACCGTTACATTAATCTCCTGCAGATTTTTTTCTGGAGATTTATATGTTTACCTGTCCACTGTTTCTGAATCTACTGTCATCTACAATTTTACTTTTTTAAAAAGTGTGACATTTTTCCAGACTCTCCTATTTTGCAGTATTTCTTGACTATTATTCACCCAGAATGGTACCAGGATCATATTTTCAAACGGTTTCAGTGTTCTGGGAAGTTAATTTTGTTGAATCTAGTAATCAGATTTGTTTTAAACATACCATAAGCATCATCATTATTATAGTGATAGTTAATATTTATTGAATTTTTCTATGTGTCAGATAATATGCTGTACTTGCAGCGTATCATTTAATCTACTTAACAAATCTATGGCATACATACTCTTGATATGTCTACATCATAGAAGGGTAAAGGAGAGGGGAGGTTACTACTGGCATAAGGTTATTACTTCACGGTGGAGCTAGGCACTTAATCCTTGATCTGGGTGACTCTAAACCACCAACTTGTATGATCTCTTCCTGTCACATCCCCTATCTCAAGTTTTAATTCCTTCTCAATTCAGCTGATCGTCCCTCAACTATGAACA
Source organism: Homo sapiens (assembly GCF_000001405.40). NCBI lineage: Eukaryota > Metazoa > Chordata > Mammalia > Primates > Hominidae > Homo > Homo sapiens. The sequence goes on from NC_000011.10 coordinate 126,976,969, forward strand.
GCACGATAGGAAAGAGAGTACCAAGAGAGTTAAGAAGAAGTTCTCTGTAACTGATAAACATCATGCTGCATTTCCCAAGGAGGACTGCCCTTTTTATTCTTCTTCCTTCTTGAAACCTAAAAAAATCTCTCTTTTCCTTTTTTCTTTTTCTGCAGGCTTCAGCTCCTTCTGGGTCTTAGTGTCACTTGGCACCTTTGTTACAGGCTCCTGCACCTCTTTTGTCCTCTTCTTCTGCCAGGTGCCCCGCCTGCCATCTTTTGTACCTTTTTTTCAAAACTGAGCTCCTTGGAGAGTGTCTGCGCAGTCAGGTTGGTTTCTTCGGATGCTGCCGCCCTTTCCTTCTTCATCAGGATCATTCGTTTGGTGCTGTCAAAACACTGAAGCTGCCATCTTTCTTGAGCCACCTTTCTTTTTCATCACCCAGCTTTTCATATTGTTTATTTTCTACTGCCTCTGGCGATGCTCCTGATCCTCCAGGATCAGGGTCTGGCCATGCCCAGTGTCCTGTTTTTATTATGAATTCCTAAGATTAGCATCCACTTTCTTTCGAGATTCCCATTATATTAATTCAATCATTCCTGTATTCTTTCAACAAGCATTTATTGAATGCCTACTATGCACCTGTCTATTTCATCAGGTTTATACCTTGTTGGCACAATGCCTGGCACATAGTGGGTGTTCGATAAATATTTGTTGAAAAAGTGAAAATGAGTTAGACTTGAGCCCAGAGTGACAGAGTCCCTTATTGATTTTTCCCCAACCTTCTGAATGATCAAGCTGCTTGTAAGGCAATTAAAAAGTATGTCAAGAACACTGTTTCAGCAGGACCAGCCTTCCAACCAGTGTCTGGAGAGCTGAAGTTGTCAACCCTGGCTGGAACTGGCTCCTGTGCCTGATGTATGGTTGATATTTTGGATCAGGAAAGAGCATCAATTTCCTGTGTACCACACAGTCAGAGGCATCCCTGTCTCCTTTTTCTTGGTGTCCTCACTCAGTTTCTGGGCACGACATGTCCCACTCTCCATTGAGTGGATTTCTGTAGTACGACTCTGCTGCCAGTCTACTGACAGCCTCCTTCTCCAGCACGGCAGCCCACCAAAAGTGCCTCCTTCCAAGCCTGTGGCCACAAGCCCCAGGGATAATGGTCAGCACATTGTGGCGTTGGATTTTTCTGCTACTTAAATTTATGATGATGCAGGGCATGCAGGTAATCAATTATGCGATTCTTTCAGGGTTGCTTCTGCCCTTCCTCTTCTCCAACATTTTCTTTGAAAGGTGACCCTGCTCCACTTCCTCTACCAACATTCTTCCTGTGTCAGATCTGTCCTCCCCTGTGGTGGGCGTGTTCTTCACCTTCCCTTCAAACTTTAGCCAATTAGGTTTCCTCCATTCTTATGTGTGGAACCTCTGGAATGAACCTGCATTCTTTTCTTTGTTAACCCAACCCCTGGCAGCAATTATGTCCTAAAGGAAAGTCCCCTGGTAACCTCAAACAGGTTGCTCCCTCTATCATCCAATATATTCTTGTGTTTACGTGCCCTGGCCAGAAAGCTTTTTGGCTTCCAGGTCTATGCCCAGTGCATTCAGCCACTGATGCTCCTTGGTTCTGGCCACGCCCAGCTCCGTGTGGGTCCCTGAGTGGTCTACGTTCTCCCATGCTTCCCAGGCTTTAGCACCTGCTACTCCCTCTTCTCCTCATCCCGCTCTCTGCCCATTTTCTTAGCTAATGTCCACTCTGCCCTGGAGCTTTGCTTCATGGTGGGAGTTTCTCTGAGCTCTGTTCCCCCAAGGTGGGCTAGGCAACCCTAGTGTCTGCTCCCACAGGAGCTACCATATGTGGATGTCCCCTGGGTCCCTACCTCTCTGCACCCGGGATGCTTATTCTCTTACCTGGCTTCCCTGTTATGCCCTGTGTCCCTGAATACATTGAGGTACACCTGCCTTTCTGAAAGTTTGGCAGGTTTCCCAGTGTGTACTGAGAAAACAACAAGGGTTGCCAGAAATGGGAAACATAATTTCAAGGGGGAGAATGGCAAATGTACAACTCTCCAACAAAACTGAACTCCCAAACACAGTGAAAAGCGCAAACTCTCAGACAAACAGCTATTAAGGACATAGAGTCCGAATTCACCCGGAACAAAAGACCCGTCTATAACCATTATTTATCACTCAGCAAACACTCTCTTTTTGTTCCATTGTCAATGCTCCACAGACCACATCTGCCTTTGGGCAGAGGGGAAAGAGAGAAAGGGAGAGAGAAATGAATAGAAATGAGAGTATGAGTTTCATTTTATTTATTTATTTTACATATAAATCAGCTAATCGGTTTAACATTCATATTAAAGTTGTAATCACCTTTGCATACATTAAAATACAAACTAGCACAAGTAATAGGCCTTAAGAACAACATTACAATAGCTATTAACATATAACAGCTACCTTATCAACTTACAACATCCCTATAAAATAATAACTGCATCCAGGATTGATTTGCGGGAAATTCATTCTCCCAGAGCACTGAAGCCTGACTCGAAGTCTGGGGAAGGTGAGAGTCTGGTTGTTCTTTGGCTGACGCAGAGAGGTGGCTCTTGGGGAGTGAAGGACACCAGAGGCGGAGATAGAGGCTTGAGCTTTCGTTTTGGCTCTATTATCCACTAGAGAGATGACCTGGGGAAAATGTCTTAACCTCACTAAGACTCAGTTTCCTCGTCAGCAAAATAGAAATAAGGGTGTTTCCTTCATAGTGTTTCTGTGAAAACTTAAATGAAATCATAGGAGAGGACCTGGCCTTTGTAGCAGATGCTTAAGAAACGTCAGCATCTTTTCAAGAAAACCAGGTGCTCTTAGAGGGTGCAAGGGCTGGACCAGAAGGATGCTACTTAGAACATAATATGGTATCTTTCCCATTCATTCATTTGCTCACTCATTAAACATTTGTTGAGCACTGTCAGAGATGATATGAAAAATTTTAAAACATTAGAGTTTCTCTCCTTATAGGACTTACCATTGAGTTGGGAAAATATCAAGTCAAGAACAAGCTGGACAGAACTGAACACATGAAAGGATAGAATATACACATTATGTCGGCAGAGAAGAAAGGGCAGAGTGACTGTGAGTGGGAAACAGGAAATCACTACACAGAGAGGTAACCTTTGAGCCAAGCCTTGAAATATGAAGCGTATTTCAGTAAATGATGAGGAAAAGGATATTTTAAGCTAAGGGAACAGCATAAGCAAGGATACAAAGGCATGGCATATCCAGGGAAAATCAAATATTCTTTTTCTGGTGGAAGCTTGAAGAGCAAGGAGGGATGGAGAGGAAGATGCTGGAAAGAGAGATGGTGCCAGACAGAATGAATTGATAGAACAAATGCAAGTATCTACAGATTGTAGGGGACCTTCAAAGCTGGGTAAGGATGGAGGTGTCAGATACCAAGTGAAGGTATTGGGGCTTTGTTTTACAGGCAAAGGGTAGCCAGTGGGCTTGCTGAGAAGGGGAGGAGTAAATTGTGTACCCTATGAAGATACAAGTGGTAATGAATGACAATGGTGAAGGGTGACTGTGAGAAAAAAAATCGAGGAACTTGATAGGGTGCTATAATAGTTTTGGAGAACATGAGTAGGGCAATGGAAGGAAAAATGGAAAGGCAGTATAGATCCATGTGAAAGGCAATAGAGATTAAAACGTGTCATGACAAGAGAACTAATTGGTTATGGGAGATGAGAAAGAGGCTGGTGACTTGGCATCCACACTAAGTGCTGGGAATATAGGATGCTCTTTACGGAGATTAGGACCCCAATTGGGGAGAAAATAATGAGTTTAGTTTTTAGAATGTTGTTTTAAAAGTGATACTGGGCTACATGTGAGAGCATCACCGATCAGGAAAATCAACAACTCACAAATATATTTTCATTGTTACTCTCAGAATTAGCCACCAGAATGGGTGCTAGGAGTGTGAACGTGGAAAGAACCAAGATTCAGTTAGGACACAATAAAATAATTTTGAGATCACTTAGAAATTTTCATCCTCAGTACTTAGCAATGAGAGATGGTATACTTAGATCTCTGTACCGTGGACTATCATTATTCAATTTAAATTGCTACAAAGTACTATTCTTACATGATTGGCCTGAAAGCCTTGATGCTGAGTTCTAGATATTTGAAGCCTAATACCACAAACGTACCTCTCTGGACAAACTGTCACCTGGATTTTTAGACAAAAGAAGGAAAGCATGGCCCGTTGGACCACAGCAAGACCTTCTTATTTTTGCAAGCTATTCTATTTTATTTGTTCTTAGTGTTCAGCCTGGGACCTAGGCAGGCTACAGATGTTACTGCTGATGGCTGCAGTGACCAGTATCAAGTGATTTCTTATGAGACCCTGAAGAAGGAGGCTGATGGCCATTGGGCCCACTGACAGCATATTGCCTAATCGCCATTATTCTGGAGGAAAATGCTCAGGAGGTGTTATATGTGGTGTAGCTTAGGATTCCAGGCAGAAGACAGTCCAGTACCTTCCTAAGTCACTAAGGAAGAGCTAAACACATGGTCCCTGTTTCACTGAAATGAGATCTGCCTCTACCACCCGACTCTATGAAGCAAAGGCAAGGAGGTATTTCTTAATCTGAGAAGACATCTTGCCTTTTATGGCACTGTTAAAACCACACATTTGGGTGTCGGAGGAGGTCTCAGCCACACATGCTCAGGGGGCTTTTATCAATGCACCCCCATCCTTGGAGTAGGTTCCTGAGCTTGGTGCCTGGGGAACTGGGGAAGGCCCCCGTTTCTACCAAAGAGGGCCTCTCTCCAAGGTGCCTCCCAGCTCTAGGCCTGAGGTTTCTGTTGACAGTGCCTGGAGGAGCCATCTGAGCTTCTGTAGCACACACTCCCTTGCTTGGGGGCTCTGCTGGGATGACAGCCTTTAAACACCTCATTAATATTCAAATCTATTCAAGTCATTTCAATTTGAATTCTATGCATATTATCAGATAGAACAAATGCAAATATATACAAATTCATCCATATGAAGAAATAAATAGGGGAAGCTCTGCATAATGGGATTATAATCATTCTCAGGCTTGTCTCTTTCTTTTAATTCCCCAGAGCCCAGAGATCCAGACCCAGCCTCAATGCTCCCACCTGCAACTGTTTAACAGCAACTAAACCTTTCCTGGACACAGGTTCCTCAAGGGCTGAACATTTGAGAAACCTATTATCATTATCAACCTATTATCAACAAAGATGTTATCATTGTCTACTGGTTGCTTCTCTCTCTGGGCTTGTTAAGGTAGAGCTGTCAGAGACTTGTAAGGTGGGTGTGGGCAAGGGGTTGGACTCAGAGACCCATCTGTAGGCTCAGGGGCTGGCCCTAGCCTGGGCACATTGGCCTTCAGGCCTAACAGCCTCAAGTCTTCTATGGAGTCTTGATGCATCTGGTGGGAAGACACTGGGGAGGGGACTAAGTTCCCTAATTTCTTAAATCTTCTCAAACCTGAGGGAGACTTCATAAAGCCTTTAAAGTACATTAACTGAACTTCAACACCTGGGCAACAATGAGTGGCATCTAATGTTATAATCGTATCTCTCCTTTGCAGCAAGACACCTAAGTTGATCCTGGAGCTGCCACTTCTCCTTTACTTCCACGTACTGTTTCTACCCATTCCCCCAGCCCAACACCTCCAGGCGTGACTCTTTTCTAGCCAGATCCTCAGCCAAATGCTAGAAACACAATGCTGTAAGCAGACAAGGAGGGAAAAATCAAAGTGCAGGCAGTAAGCCTCCTACCCTGCAGCAAATCATACATGGACAAACGCAGGGTCCATTCATCCTTTCTTTCACACTGTTGTTGTTGCTCATCTCTATTTCATCTCAACTACTCCAAAGACAGGAGGAGGCCAAGGTCTATAGTATTTTAAAGGAGAGTTCTCATACTCTAGACTAATAAAGCCAAAGTAAATTGCTGTTAAGAATCATTTAGTGAGGTTTAACTACAGCATCTAATAGATGTGCCTGCTAATCTCTCCCCCATGGGACCCAATGATAGTTGCATCTAGTAGTAACTCCATTGATTATGTAAGCGTAATTTGTGCCAAGTCATAGTATGATATTATAATAACCATTTTGTACTAAGCACCTATTATTTGATAATCCCCATAGATATACATGGGGAAGGTCATTTTTTCTAACTTATAAGTAGTGAGGCTACTTGTAGGTACAATATTATAATAACCATTTTGTACTAAGCACCTATTATTTGATAATCCCAATAGATACACACGGGGGAAGGTCATTTTCTCTAACTTACAAGTAGTGAGGCTGAGGCACAGATTTCTTACACAGAGAGGTAGGATAGGAAAGCCTATATTTTCTTCTGAAAGGGAGGGCTCATCTAACGTCTGCCTTTGGTTCTTGCGGTAGACAGAATAATGGCCGCCAAAGATGCCCATGTCCTAATCCCTTTACAGGACAAAAGGGATTTTGCAGATGTAATTAAGTTAAGGTCTTGAGAGAGAGAGATTTTCCTAAATTACCCTCTGTGGTCTGATATAATCACTTGGTTCCTTATGAGAAAGAAGCAGGTGGATCAGAGTCAGTAGTAGGTGAGGTGAAGATGGAAGCAAGAGGTTGGAGTGAAGGGAGGAAGGGGCCACGAGCCAAGGAGTGTAGGCACTCTGCCTCTAGAAGCCAGAAAAGGCCAAGAAATTGATTTTCCCTATAGCCTCCAGAAAGAAACAGCCCTGCAGCACCTGGATGCCAGCCCGTGAGATCCATTCTAGACCTCTGACCTCCAGAAGCTAAGATAGTACATTTGTGTTGTTTTAAGCCACTACGTCTGTGGTAACATGTTAACAGCAGCACTGGGAAACAAATACACTCCATACATAGCCTTTCTCAACTGAGATTCCTCCTCTGAACCAGAGAACCCCGAGAATAATATGATTAACTATTTTTACTTCTCCCAAAAGTAGTACATATCTAGTATCATTTTAGATGCATAGGAAATAATTTAATTCATTGCATGTAATGGATGCCTTTTATGGTATTAGAGGTTAATTCTCCCCATGAGCCCCACTGAGAAAACTTGCACGCCCAGAAAGCCACATGGCACCTTGTCTTGAAAAGAGACTGAGGATGCTAACCAGATCTATTCTGACCTTGGGCAGCAGCTCAGCACATCTGGAGACACTGACCCAGAGGAAGGCAAGTACCTCACCTCTGAATAGTGCCCTTCATAGAGTTTCAAAGCCCTCACAAAAAGGTATTCTCTCTGGAGATTCACAACAACTTCATGAGTCAAGGAGGAGAAAAAGGCTCCTTCCCTCTTCCATACCAAGGCCATGCACCAGGCAAGTGACAGAGCCTGTAGCCTGTCTAGCCTCTGCTCTAGGGCTTGTGTCACATGCTTGGAGGATGAGGAGTTGTGATGAGTGCTCTATGCCTTCAAGCAGGTCTTCCTTGATTGACAGGGGGGCAGACGGACACTTCATGGCAGATGCAGTGCAGGGGGGTCACAGCCTATGGACCCAGTAAAAGGTTGCCCTGGGAAAAGCTTCCAGGCCATTCTCACTGGCTGCTGCCAGGTGCTAAGTCCTTACTATAATGGAGTTATTATGTTCTCTTTGTTATGCCTCATTTACAAGAGAGGGCCTCAGTCAAGAGCAGTTTTCCCCTAGCCTCTGCACAGAGACCCTTGTGCCATAGTTGGAATCAACCACCACTTTTTACCAGGAACTTTGTCCAAGCTCCCCGCACAAATTGCTCTCCTGCCTCTCAATGAAGTATTCACTCCACCAAGCTCCATGTGAGCCCGCAGGAAGTGCCCCCAGGAGCTTCCTCTGCCAAGAACCCTCTAAGCACATACTCTTCGGGGGCAGGAACCCAGGGAGGAGACCTGGAGGAGGGAAATGGAAGAACCCTGGGCTTGGATTTGAACTCCTGGGTTTTCATTTTAACTTTCCCACCCACTACCTGTATGACTTTAGAGAGGCCACTTAAAATAACCTGGCCTTATTTTCCTTACTTTTTAAAGGCAGGATAAGAGTTGATTCAGGGAGGAAGACCATAATTAATGTGAAAGTGTTCTGGAACTATGAAATACTATACACATGCAAGGAAGGATTAAATTATTATCACCTTTTCCCCAAGGAGGACTCGGTGCTCATAGGTACTCGAGTTGTACAAGGCAATAATAATGATAAATAGAGCACGTTCTCTGATGAAACACTTTCATGGGTTTGCAAGTGAAATGCTGGGCACGGAAAGGTAGGAGTTGTCCAGAATCCCTGACACATTATGCTCTTTTCCCATGTAAGAAATACTGATTGTATCTGACTCTGCGCCCAAGTCCAACAAAGCCACTGCACGGTAGATGGAGGTGAGAAGGACCCAGCCCTGGCCGCCAGGAAGCTCACAATATGGAAGGGAAGGCGGACCAGAAACACTCCATGTGGATAAATCATAGTAAGAGCCACAAAAGGCTTCCTGGGGCGCTGTGGAATAAGGAAGGAAGGGCATTTAAATTAGATTGTGGGGAGAGAGGTCAAGGAAACTTCCACCAGGAGGCAAAAGGAGCTGAGTCTTTAGGGTAGAAGTTATCTAGACTAACCTGGGGGAGAGGAGACGGCCACTCCAGAGGGACAGGAGGCACGAGGGAGCAGAGCACATTCGGACAATGTCAGCGGCTCCGTGTGTTGGAGTAAAGGGGCATATGAGAGGGTGGGGAGACTTTCATTCTGAGACTCTTTGTCCTGAAGGTGTCGGGATGCTGTCAAAGGAACGTACACCCATGAGAAGATAGCGAACTCTGTGCAAAGCTGATGATTTGGTTATTGTCACAGCGGAGCTACTGACATAGTTCAATGATGAAAGGAAACTTCAAAACCTTGAGTATAAGGCATGTGCCTTCATGACCCCCCTACTGGATGGGAGAGAGTTAAAGCTGTTGTTTCTGGACACTATATAGCCTAGTGATCTCCTGAAGCCTAAAATGAGTATCTCACAAACACGCCAGCTCACTTAGTCTTTCTGTTTCTCTGTCTCTCCTCTCTGGCCTGTACAATCCACCACCTGTGCCTTTCCCCCTTCCTCTACCATCACTACAGTACTCAGCCACCTGGGGATGCACACAGGGTGTACACGGCATCCACTGTGGGATGAGGGGGCCTTTAAATCTGTGGCTGGCTCCCCCCAAGCCCCTCTTGGTTGCTGGGTTCATCAGCTCATGCATTTGGTTTCCCATTGGTGAGTTGGGTTGAAAAAAGAGGCCCAGATGCCTAGTGATGAGAACATTTTTTTTTATGAATTGAAAAATAAAATGACAATAAGCAGCTAGCAGATCCCAGTTCACAATGAAGTGAATATCAATACTTGTGGTTGTATTGACCTTGAATATTTTTTTAAAAATACAGAGCAAGAATTCTCGGGGTGCATTATTATATACATTCTGAATCTCTTCACTGTACAAAACAGAAAATCTATCCTTTATGGACAAGAGCATCTCTGGTGTACAGCATTGACTTTAAAATCAACTTTCTAAAGTGCAGGTAGAAGAAAATCTATGGCTACTCTTAGAGACATTCTTCCCTGTCAACATAGATTATGACATTGCTTCCCTGGGTTCCACTGGGGTGGGACAGGGAGGAAAGCCCTGCTGAAAGGAAGCACTCTTGATTTCTTTCCAGTTGTGAGAGGAAGGCAATGATGTCAGTGACGGATTGGCATAGCTGCTGTGTTCCACATCATAGGTATGACCTTATCGTAAGTTTGGCTTCTTATGCCCAGGACAGATCCCGATTCCTGATGTAACATGAAAACATGAGAGGCAGCTCCCACGAGTCACCTTAAATTCTCTGGTTAGAAAGTGACTTTCGACTCCCTTGTAGACTTACTATCAGCAGTGTCCACATGGAGGTGAAAATGAGGGGACACCATAAGGAAGCAAGACTCAGCCTTGATGGCACCTGTGCTCCAAGCTGAGCAGGCCTCAGGAGCAGCTGGTGGGCTCGGTATAACACAGGCTGCTGGTCAAAACCCTTCTGATGTAGAAGGTCTGGACTGGGGTCCAAAAATGGGGATTTCTAACAATCTCCAAGTTGACCTGCAGACCACACTTGAAGAACCACGGTGATAGAGAATCTACGAACTCAGATAACCCAGGAACCATAGAAAGACCCTAATACTTCCTTGATATGTGAGATAATTACCTGTCAGGAACACGCAAAGGGAGTCTACACCTAGAATTAAGGGGATACACTGACCCACAAAGATTCCTTTTCCATTGCAATTGTGAGTGAGCAAATCTAGCAGAGTCTATAGTACGCATAAAGTCAACAATGAACAAGACTAAGACAATTTAACTAAAAAATACAACCGTCTATGTATTTTCAAACTTTCCTTGGCATGAATACAATGGCATGGATCTTAGAATATCTGTTGATAATAAGAGTGAAAGGTAGATTTCCTGTTATTTTCACAGACAAACAGGAGAGGTAAGTGTTCAGATTTTCTGGTTGGTATGTCTTGATTCTGACCAGTTCCAGTATTCAGCTGTTTTCACCTGTAAAGTATGGATTTCTCTCTGCAAAAACCTCTGTCCCAATCTGATGAAGAGAACACCCAAAACAAAGCTCATGCCCAGAGAAAGGAGCATTGATATGGATTTGGAACCCAGGCATCAGCTGCCAAGGCTCTGTTGATATGACGGCATGTCCCACTGAAGTAAAAAGAAGGCATTTGAAGTATTCTATGCAGAGATCTATCTTCCTTGCATTCCTCCTCTGTATTGCTCTGATTCGATCTAAAGGAGCTTTGAAAACGTCAAAGAACTTTCATGTTTTGCTAGTTTATCATAAGTGTCTATCTTAAACCAATATTACAATTTTAAGCATGGCCTGGGTAGACATGTGCCATCTTCTAAAATGATTTCTGACACAAGGTAAGTTGTACCAGCCGAGACCAAAGTGAAAAGAATCATAGGCTCTATGACACTCAGGCTCTCCTACATTCTAAGAGTCTTTTTATTTCCCCCTAATAACCATTATTAATCATTTCAGAAACACGTAATCTCCTGATATTTTTACTATTCTAGACTTGACAGAAAAGGAGGGTTTTGAAGTTCTGGAAAGTCTTTTTATGTAGAGTAGCTCCATTCTTCCAGCACACAGCTACCACAAGGCTCAACTCTCCCTAAGCAGAATGGGATTTATTTATTTATTTCTTAATCCACTGAAGGGAAGCTGGGTGATGATGAATTCTTTTAAAGAAATCAGCATTTGGCTTTCAAAATGTTAAGCTATACTGGAAGTGGGTTGTGGAGGCAGAGAGCAGTCGCTAGCCATGGAGGAAAGCTTCTCAAATTCTTACTCAGCTTTTGTTTGGGGGAAGAGGTTTTCTTCCATTTTTATCAGCTCTCCGTCCCAAATCCTACAAGCTATGAAGGAGGGGACCCACCGGCCAGGGCAGGGGTTTCTGTGGCTTGCTGATGGTCACACGGCTGTCGGGACACCAGTATTTCTGAAATCCTTCCTGAAGAATTTCAGAAAAAAGAATTTCAGAAATACTGGTGCCTCCACAGCCGTGTCGAGGGCACAGGTGGGCATAGGCCTGGAGGTGGCTCCTGAATGGAGCAGCAGCAAGGGCTGTAAGGGGTCTGCACAAGGGTGTTTGATTGGCAGGTCTTTGACTCTCCAGTCGAATGACCTTCAGGCAAGTTACCGAATCTGTCTAAGCCTCAGTAGTTTTCATCGGCAAATGGGTCTAAGGATCCCTACTTTATTAGATTGCTAGGGGATGGAATAAGGGAATGCATGCAAAACTCAGCAGTGGGCCTGGCCACAGGCCTCAGTACCATCTCCCCGTGGCTGGTCCCCATTCAGCAATCACAAGGCTTCGGGGGTAGAGAAACATGCTGAGGCCAGCACACTGAAACCATTACAGGTTTTGATTTTTTTTTCTCACCACTCTCCTCCCTCCTCAGTTCAGCTTTCTATTAAGGTATCCCAAAACACTAACGCAGCTCTTGGTGAAAGGAGAAAGGGAAAAAGTGGCCAAATCAAGGGGTCGGGGGACAGCAGGGCCAAGGTCAAACACCTCGTTGGTATAACATCTTTTAATTTGAGGAGGAGCTCAGTCCCCATTATTTTCAGTAAATTCTCAAACTATGCAGCTCTATGTTTCCTCTTCTACCCTTGTAGCATCAACTCTGCAGTTTGAAGTAAGGTTTTGCAAAACTTATGCAAAAAGTTTTCTTTTCTACAAGAGATGCTGAAGAAGTCACCTGGAATTTGCTAGTAGAACTATCAGTAAAATGAAGACAGCAATCCTGCCTTCAGCCCAACTCCACTGCCCAGAAAGGCTGGCACTGTGGGGACGAAGGGGGCAGTGGCAGCTCACCCTGATGCAGAGAGAGCGGCAAGGGACTCTGATGGTGAGTCAGCTGAGGGAAGCTGCTGGGGTCTCAGCACACCGTATAGAAAATCCCTCCAGCAACTTCAGAAAAACTGAATGAAAGGCCAAAGGTAACATAAACCGCCAGCTCTACCAACCACTCAGGCTGCAGACCAGACAAGGGAGTGGATTGTTCCCATGGTGGCTGCACCTTTCCTTCATTCTATTCCCGCTATCTTAGTTCACGCTGCCTGTGGATCAACTCGGGATCTCAGACACATCTCGTCACAATTATCAAGTGGCAAAAAAGGTGAGCCGCCATCCCCTTGGAGGTAAAGAAAGGCATGACGAAGTCTTAGGGCCAACAGGGGAACGAAGTCTTAGGGCCAACAGGGTTCCCCCGGTGTCTCTCCTGCAGCATGAAGGCCATTGTTTCCAGGGCCTGTGGCCAGGATCCAGTTATCTTGCCTGGAAGGATGTTCAAACAGCCATGGCCCGTGGTGGTTTTTTATAATGGTGTTGTTGGAAATTAGTAATACCATCCAGAGGTGAAAACAGAGTAGCACCTCCACAGCCTGCCCAGGAGATCAGGAATAATGAAGCCTCATTTTAGCATCTGTTTGTTTTGTTTTTTCAGCATTTGCGGGGAATGACAACAGAAATATTGGCTCCCTGACCCTGGAAGGGTGGAATCACTCCTTGTGGAAGGGAAAACGCCTGGAGCGGGGCAGGGGGCACAGGCCTGGAGGCGGCTCTAGGGAGAGGTAGGGGCTCTGGGCTGGCGGTCCCCCTGCTGGGGAGGACTCACCTTCACATACAGGAGAGAAACATCATCCCTGTGGCAGGGAAACCCGTGTGGTGGGCTGAGCTTCCTCGCTCCCTCTCTTTGAAGCTCTCTCAAGCCCCTCTGAGCATTTGCAATTGTACCCCCTTAGCTGCTGCCACCCTTCATCCGGATCCCCTCAAACACTCCACCCTCACACCCTGCAGAATCAGGAGAGAGGAACCCGCCTCCTGCGAGAGCCGCCGCCATCTGTAACGTTGCCCTCACCACCCAGAGGCGAGGAGGAGAGCCCCCCATCCCTCCCGTCCCTTCCCAGCTCCCGGCAGCCACTAGGCTTTCCCCTTCCCCGTCCTAAGGGACCTCCCGGGCTCTGCTCTCTCTGGGCAGGTTCAGGGCTTTGCAAGCGCTGCTGCTGCCACCATCAGGCTGACTGAGGCACTGCAGCCTTCACCTGGCGTCAGGGCCCAAAATAGTGCCCCAGCTCTTGGTGCGGCTTCAGAAGAACAGCTCCTCTCTGCCTCCGCAGTTGCCCCTCACTCAGGTGCAGCTTCCTATGTAAGAAAAAGGCTTCAGAGGGCATCTCCCTGAAGAAACAGAACTCCTTGTGAATGTGGGGTGGACCCCAGCGTCCTCTAGCAAGACGCAGAAAAAGTGCAGGTCCTAGGATTTAGGGAACGCAACCACTGAGGGATTAAGTGGTGGTTTTGCTTTCTTTGCCACAAGGTCAGTGAGGCAGGGAAGGGTGGGAATCACTCCTCCTGCCACTCCCGGATGAACGTGCTAAGCTTCCTGTGCAATGAACCAACCGGGCCCCAGTGTTACTCTGAAGCTGTCATTGCTCCCAGCATTGCCAAGGGTGACAGGTGGACTGTCACACTGCACCAGAGCCGAGTCACCTGTGACATTTGCAGGTGACTGACAGAAATGGGCACTGACATGCATTAAAGAACAGAAGGACGCGATGGTTTCCTGTTGAAGCTGAGCAGTGGGTGGCTTGGCAGAGGCTGTTTCTCTTGGCGTTGTCTCTGGTGACCCAAAGGGCATTCAAAGCCTTCCAGAAAGGAACAACTTCCTGCAGGGCACGTCCACACTTCACTTAGTCAGGTTCTTCTTCTGCCTCCTGCCAGGGGCCCTCTCAGCATCTCTCCATGTGCTGATATTACAAGCACTGCTGGCTTCTCCTCTCATTACCCCTCATTCCATTCCAATATTTCCACACTTATTCACAGCCTTCTATGTGCCCAATAGTGTGCTAGACACCAGGGGTGATAAAAGACTTGGATTTTAATCAACCAATTAAGAGAAGCAAAGTCCCTGCCTTTGCTTCCTTCCTTTTTATTATTATTATTATTATTATTTGTCAGAACAGCCACAAAAGGAGCTACTCAAGCAGTATGTCCTTAATTACTCTTCAGCCCCAAAGCCTGGCCTGTTATTTCCTCTGGAAACTTTGTACCCCGAGGTAAAACTGAATGCCAGAAAGATAAAGAAACTGACTCAGAAAGAGTCTGGAATAAAAAAGAAATTGAACTACAATGCTGCCTCCTTGTTCGAAGGTCAGACCTGGGATTCGGATGCATGATTTTCATAGGAAACTCCCTAAAATCCTTTTCCAGTCCTAGACACTGGGGATTGCCACAAATTATAAGACTATGACCTGTCTTATGACACCACAGCTTAGGATACTCTCCTGCATTTTTTAGTGTTGATGTGGAACAGCTGGATGTACCAGCATCTTGAGGAACATCAAGGCACATGAATAAGTGAACCAGACTGAAAATGACTTTAGTCAAGCAAAGTAACCTCTCTGGGGGTATGACAGCAATAATGCCCACTTCTCATTACTTCTGCTGATGAAATGAGGTAGTGCTTGTGAAAGCCACTCTGCAACTTATGAAGCTTTACACAAATGCTAGTTATCATCACCATCATCATCATAAGAACATAATTACTGCCACGACTAACAACACCCTCAACAACCAAAAGAATTTGCCAGGCACCTACAAGAAAATTTGCTGGCAAAGAGCAAATAGAATGCATCACCTACTCCCTAGGAATGTGTCATCCAAAATAAATAGATTGTTGCTAAGAGATAATATTCAGAGAATCTTACAGTTGGAGAGGTTTTGGACGTCATCTAGTCTACTCTCTAACCCATTTCTCAGGAATTGACTCCTACATTCCTGATGGCCTGAATTCCACCGTGAGTCAGAACACTCTCAGCAATGAGAGACTGTTCA
Source organism: Homo sapiens (assembly GCF_000001405.40). Lineage (NCBI taxonomy): Eukaryota > Metazoa > Chordata > Mammalia > Primates > Hominidae > Homo > Homo sapiens. The sequence continues at coordinate 126,992,377 of NC_000011.10, forward strand.
GTGGGCCAGCCTTAGACTTGAGACTTACATATCCGCAGTCATGGAAATAACACTGTCTATTTCTTGCTGAACAATCGGGGTTTTGCTTCATCATTGAGCTTGTCCTGCCAGCCTCCACCAGTTCCTGAAGAGAACAGGCCAAAGTGTGGAACATACAGGTAGATCTGATGATATTCTCTACTCTTAAATGGAAGGGTACTCAGTGCCAGAGCCTTGTAAAACATTTCCAACATCTTCTGAGTAGAATTGTTTCACTTGTAACCTTGGTTTCCCTAAAGCCAGTATAACTTAGCTTCCTCTTGAGAACAAGAAAGACATCATCAGCAAAATGTCCCTAGGTTTTTGTGCTCACCTGCTCCAGTGCTGTTTCCTCTTCTGGTTAGCACCCATCTTCAATGTTAGGCTGCCTGCGCCTCTAACTAGCCAAGGGGATCCACAAACTGGCAAATCTCATTCCTCAATGCACTCTTTCTGCTCAAGTCCAGCGTGCAGCCAGCAGTCCTGCCTCTGTGTGTTTCCATGATCTTTTTTCTTCTCTTCCACATTCTTTAGCTAACACATCATTCTGGCATTCATCTACCCACCATCCTTCTGTGCCTCCTCTCTGGAATGTGGACTAACCATTAAGGTCAGTTCCCCCCATACTTATTCTCTTGCTCACTTCATCCATCAGCTAGAAAGAACGATTAAAAAGTATATTTCCATTCAATTTTACATTTTTAGCCCCATGTGAAACACAAGAAATACCAAGAAGTAAAAATAACATGTTGATCCCTAAACCCGTGATGTAGAGAGGACCACAAACCCATAGGCTACTAGCAATGTTTCTCAGGTGTTTACTTAATTATCTCAATCCATCCTCAAAAGATGTATAATGGCACCCATGGCCATTCACGAGTTGACTCTTCCCTTCCCAACCTTCCTCTCCCACTTCCCTAACACAGCAGCACTCTAGCCATCATACTGCCCATGGCTTCTGAACATATCGCATTCTGTTCTGCCTTTTGTATTTGCATACACTGTAAGGTATGTAAGAGACTGGAAATCGCTTTTCATGCTTCGTTTAGAGAACTCTTGAGCATCCTATAATATCAAGCATGATGTCATCTCCTCTGTGCAACCTTTTCTGATGCCTTTGCTGATCCACCTGTTTTCAGAACACTCTGACAGCTCTGAACCCATCATATTGTAACCTTAATCGAAGTGTCTGCTCCCCAACCAGACTAAGAGCTCTGGGGCAGAAACATGGTCTTCATTATCTTTGCATCAAAAGCCCCAGCACAGTGCCTACTGCATAGGAGGCCCACAGTGAGTGCTGGCTGAGTGGTCAAGGGCTGAGCCTTAGTGTCATAAAATGGTATTTGATCACAAAGGAAGGAGCAGCATATTTCACCCACTGAGACACTAGACTATGTGGAGCCCCTGGGGGAAAATGTGGAATAGTGACAGCGATGTTTGTTTGTTATTGCTGCAACTCTTGGCCTCAGATTTCAGATTCCAGTTGTCCAGGCATAAGTTAAAAAGAATCTGCATAAGTTAAAAAGAAACTTGCAACAACAATCCACTGAATACAGGCCAAGTGAGCAGACCATCTAGATAATTCAGCATGATGCGCACACATCCTTTCTTATACTGACATACATAGGCCATCCATTGCAGTTTTAGTTTCAATTATCAAAAAAAAAAAATCAGCCTCAGATAAATCTACTTTGCTTTGCCTATGAAGACAGGCAAAGAGTAGGGTGAGAGCATAGCTCCCATTTGAGAAAAGTGGCTGATTCTGGAGATATCACACTGATTTAACATTAAGTGGTGTGTGCGTGTGTGTGTGTGTATGTGTTCAGTAGGGGGTCAGGAGGGCGTGGGAAGGCTTCCAGATGCCAGGAAAAACCTGTCCAGGGGATGCAGGCAGGTGTCTGTGTTTGGCTGCCCCCTTTGCAGTTATTTCCAAGGAGAAGAAGGATGACTTCCTCTTTCCACCCTTCATGCCCCAACAGAACAGCTCCACACAGAGCAGATTCACCTATGCTGGCCATTATTTCCATGGCTTTAACTTGTTACCAAGTATGCCAAGGAATAGCTGACATTTATTTAATGTTCATAGTGGTGTTGACTGTGTACGCACTGAAACATTGTATGCTTATGGAAGACATTTGTTTCCAAGCAGCTTATGCTAAATTGCAGTGATATAAAGGAAACACTTATCCAATATTGACATTTACCAACTTCTAGAAGTATACAGCCAGAATACTCATTTTTACCACTGGGAGAGGAGAAAAAGAATTAAAAAGCATAATGGTCCTAGCTCCTTCAGTGAGTTAGAAGCTATGAGTGAATGAAAGTTAACGTGCAGTAGGGGGAGGTTCAATGGGGGAGAAGATCCCCCACCCTCTTGTGACCCTTGGCTCTATGGCACAGTGTGCTTTCTGAGAGGACTGAAGCCCTTCCGTGCTTCATAATAAAGCTTTGGCAGATGGCAGGACATAGCATCCCTTCCCCAACCATGAGAGAAGTATTCTGATGATCTATAAGGTATCTATGTTCTTACTTGACCTGCACTTCTAACTGGGTAAATTCTGACTTTCTCTTGGGAAAAGAAAATGACATGCAATGACGTATGGAACAGTACTGTGTCTCGGTGCAGTCGATTCTCACATCATTCCTCTAACTGGAAATAAAAATCCCACTCTACTTGGAATACAGGATGAAGCGATTACAACCTGGGCGCAGTATACTGGCTGGCTTTGCTGCTCACTCCCTTACGAATAGCTGTGATGGGATATGAAATCCAAGGGAACTGTTAGCCCCCCAGAGCAGCTGCTCCCACCGACCCTGCTCCAAGAGTGCTGGGATGTCCGCTGGCCTCGAGGCAAGACAAGAGCTCCAATCACTCTGCTGCAAGCGCCACCATTAAAGTCAAGATCACTGTGGTGGGGGGAGTTGAAGTGTGCATTCCAGCATGCTCATGATCTTACTGACCTTCTCCACTGATGAATTAGAACACCCCTCTTCCCAGGCACAGGACGAGTTCAGTGCCTCTCTGTTTCTTGATGGACCCCAATAAAAAAACGCCTGCACTGTTTTTCACCTAAGGTCATCTCGACAATTTACAAGGATAAGGATTGTAGCTGCAAAATAATGCCTATGCCCCTCTAGCCCCCTTAGCATCCCCCATCTATATCAAGACCATAAAACCAGTGCTTTTGGCCCTCCTCCTCACTCCTCCAGTATGGGCAATTTTCTTTTCCTCATCCATGTTTCCAAAACAGTTTATCTTTTTATCTCCTTGGAAGAAAAGTACTCCACAAATCAAAGGTATCATTAGTATTGTTATTATTTTGCTATTGAAATCTCTTCAATTCGCTCTGGATTATTCATGTGCTTTTTTGGGTCTGCAATATAATGCTGCCTAAGTCATCCCCACTGGGCTGAACAAAAAAGAAAAACTGCATCTTCGGGCCTAATCTCCTGCTCCACCCCATCTCCTGCTGGCCCTGGCTTCCACCAACACAGGCACACACCAGGCAGGGCTGCTTCTTGGTACCATGCCTAGCTTGCCGCTGCCTGTTCCAAGCCAAATCCTCCTCTGTACACCCAAGAGGGGGACCCCATGGTATCCTCTTAGAGCAATGTGAAGGCCTTGACCCCACCCCACTCGTCCTCCCCCTAGGGACTTTCTTTTCCATCCTCAATAGGTCTGGCTGGCAACTGAGGACTCCCTACTGGGATACAGACATGCAACCACCCCCATTTCCAACAGACATGCCCCAGTTTCCCCACCCGAAGATTTGTTAAAGAAGTGGTCCCACACCCTTGGCAGCTGTGTATTGACCTTCTGGCACAAAAGAACTGATTCTTCTTCCTCTAGACAAGACGTCATCCCACATGGGGTTCTGGTAGGAGGGAGAAACACACATTACTTCCCTCATCTTTTGTTTTATGACATTTCTGAGTGAGTGTAAGTGTTTCCAAAGTTGCTGTTCACTCCCCACTTTGTTTGCTGATTCCTTCTCTGCCTGTACCCCCTATGATCCCTCCATTCTTTAGGCCACCTCTGATGTGTTCAGGCTCTCTTCCGATGCCTCCCCAACCCTGCCCCTCCCAAGGGAACTCCTTGCTAGTTCAAGCCTCTTGAAGTGGCTCCTCCTTTTCCATGCTTCTTGTCATCTCCATGGCTCCCTTCACCCTGGCTGGCTCCCTCTGTTCACTCTATTTTACCCTTCTGTCTACGAGATGCCTTTCTATTCCCTAGGAGATTCAGATCACCATGACCCTCTGCCCTCTGACAGCTGCTGACAGCCCCTTTTGGTGTTTCCAGCCAGGCAGGAGAGCAAGTGGGCTGCTTAGATTCTTCCCAGTAGGGAGATGGTACCTCAAATGCATCCTTAGCTCAGGGATGCCATTAACAGGTAAATGCAAGTTTTCACTTTTACCCCAATACAGTACAGTGTGCATGCAAAGCCAAAAGATCTGGGTTCAGCAGAATTAGAACCTTCACAACCACAGAATCACAAGGCAGGACAGGACGCTCTAGGAATGCCAGAGCAAAATGCCAGAGAGTAGGGAAGAGACCACCTTTCTTAAGAGCGAGTGTCTGGAGTAGAAGGCGCCAAGTTCTTGCCACTGTGGCTCCCCTGTCTATCTCCCCTGTCTCCGAGGTGGAGATCAGAGATCTCCCTGGAGGCAGGGAGTCATCAGTCCTCTAGGACCTTATTCCCTCCAAGCTACCTAAGCTGTGCATGTGCAGGCTGGATGGGATGGGGCTTGAAGCTTAAGGAGGGCACAGAAGGAAATAGTTGTGGGTGAACTGAAATGATAAAGAGGAAAAAATATAGCAAGTTCTAAGTTTATGGATGACAAAAGAATCGATTATTTTTTCACCCAGGGGCAGAACATGTCTATTCTCAGCAGGAGGCAAATTGTGCTGTGACATTATCCCTCTCTGAACAAAGCATGACCGTCCTGACAGCTGAGGGAAGAGGCATCCACGGCAAGGGAGAAGCCCACAAGCAGTACACACTGGCAGCTCTCCATTCCCTTGTTGGGAGCCAGGCCTGGGGACTCTGGCGGGGGTGGAATCGGGAGGAATGTTATTTAGCCTTACTACTGCCACCTTAAGAAAGATAAAGAAATACTTGATCTCAATCTACATGAAAAGCCCAAACTTTCAAAGAATAGGGACCCACCATATTACTGATATTAATTATACATTGATTTCTGTTCTCTGTCTCTCTAAAAGGTTATAAGAAAAAGTAAAGGTAAACAAACATTTGACAAATTAGGAAGAAAAGGATGGCTGGAACGGACTTTAAGAGTTTATTTGTATCTTGAGAGCACTGCTTGGAGCACTCTCTCTGCACGGGGACCAAGATACTGGGAGCATGGAGCTTGGGAATCTTGTTCCCAGAAACTCCTAAGTGCCATGCAGATTCCCACTGTGAGATGTGTTGGACAGCAGATGGCCATGTCATCGGAGTGCCAGATAAGGCACTAAAAACAACCCTGGACATTTGTTGTCTCTGAGGGAAAGGCCATCCCCTGGGTCTCTTCACATTTCCTGGGAGAGGCATCCCAGCATGCAGGAGGCAGGGGTCAAGCAGGTGGCTGTGTGAGGGTGCCGGGTGGGGGGGTGTAACCTCAGGCCTCATTCTGGGGGATCACAGTGGAGCCATTTAGAGCCATGTGGGCTAGACCTCCCAGGACCTGTTAGACATGGATGCGTTCTATCCAATAAGTTGATGAATGCATGACACTGGGTAGAGGTGGGGCACAGTACATGAGCTAAGCATATATGTGAGGATGGTCAAATAGAATCCTCTGGGGAATTCATAATGCTCAAAACAACATCCACATAAACAAATTTCCACAGATCAAGGCAAAAGATAACCATATCACATTGCAGTGAAGTCCATAAAACACCTTCCCACTTGATGGCTGGACCCCTTGATTCCCATAGTCGGACACTGTCTATTCAAGAAGCACACCATGTACAGGGATGCAGGGTATCTGACCAGCCATGTCCACTTGGGTCTCCTCATTTTTGTTTAGACCTGTTTTCCAGCCTCTGGACCAGGTATCTACCATTTGGTAGGGTGGACAGTGATGGCCAAGCTCAGAACACTCCAGGAGCACAAGGCATTAAGAACTGCATGATGTTATGGTTTCTTCCTAGCGCTCTCAGGACTCGGGGTAGATAAAACAGAGCATTTAACCTCCATAGGTAAATATTTAAAGATTCACATGAAGCAGTCAAGAAACAGCTCCAGACCAAGAAAGAAATAAGCACAACAGAAGATGTACACTGTAATGATTCAGACGGCCAGGGAGGTACTTAGACACCTATAGCCTTCTTATGCCAATCTACATAAGTATCACGGATCAAGCTTCTAACTACACAAAAGGCTGATTAAAGCATGCACTGGTCCCATGCAAATGTGAGTTTGTGTGTTTACGGGGGGTTGGTTGGAAGATTCCCTCCTTCTCAGGGGTTCTATATCAAAACTTCCTGAGTGAACTGGTAAGAAGCAAAGACGAATGGGAGTGTGTGTGTGTGTGTGTGTGTGTGTGTGTGTGTGTGTGTGCTCATAAGCAAGCACATACACATCCAAGAAAGAGGGTAATCTTACCAAATGGTAATATAACTGAACCTGTCTCTATACCAGTGTTCTGAGAGAGTTCTTATTCATTCAGCCTGAAACTCTGGGGAAGGCAATTTATCTTCCTGCTGCTGTAGGGAGCCTTGGTGAGAAGCACACAACCATATGAATACATGAGTGTGTGTGTGTGTGTGTGTGTACATACATTATCATTATACACAGGCATTAGTATGCACATACAAATATGAAGAAGGAGCCCCTTCGGTTTCATCAGGAGGACCAGAAGCAAAGTTTGAACTGCACAGATAAGGAGAAAGTCTGCAGTGACCACAAGCACGGGTGGAAGAGCAGAAGAAGGAAGCCAGGTTTTTGCTTATATTTGGCTTCTCCCCGACAGGGGAGAAACAGAAGACATGCTGTTTGCTTGCAAAGCCAGCCACCCATGGCAGTGCTTTGCTTTCTCGAAAACTTTTACCCTTCATTTAATCAACAGATGGACGTGCTCTGTTGTGGATTTTTTCTGAGTCTTGCACCTCTAAGAGCTGTGTTGGCTGGCACAAATGCAGCCTCAGATGGCAGAGGTGCATTGGCATTCCAAAAGAGCGGGAAGGAGCCCATGTACTTGCCCCTCCAAACTCAATTCCACAGGTGACTTTTGATGCCTTTGGCCAACTAGGCACTCACATTCCCTCTCCCGAATTTCCCTCTCCTTTCTGCACCACTACCAGCCCCAGGGCTCCCAGTGGCAAGGAGCCTAGAGGTGGCAAAGTTCTTTCCGGAGAGTCCACCTGCTTCTCTGCCCCTGCTAGGCTGCAGAAAGGAAACCATCAGCACCACGGGCGAAATTTCATTTTATACCCTGAATTCAGTGCTGTGTAGGATTCAGAATTCAACCTAATTTAGGGAACTCGATGACGTTCAATGAAACTCTTTACAAGCTTTTCCCAACCACTGCAAATTACCCCCCACAATACATTCTGTAATTGCAACCCCCTTTTCAACGGTGCAAACCACACACATTCGCTTTTGAATACACTTGTGCAAGTCAAACCCTATTCAAGCTGAAATATCCACCTAAACCAAGCTCTCCCTCCCTGCCGTCTCCTTCCCTGGCCTGGGTCTGAAGGAGAGGAGGTGCCCAGAAGTTCAGAGCGGCATAACCACAGAGATACTACCTAATTAACATACCAGAAGCATAAAGAACTCATTTGCATTGGAGAGTTTGAGCTGGATATTGACAAGTGAGAGGAGAAAGTCATTCCCCTCCCCTCCCATACCCCTTCTTTCCAAAGGAAAATAAACAGTACCATTTTGTTGCATTCGCAAAGGCGAAGAGGCAATGCCAGAGCATCTCAGCCCGGCACCGAGAGACGCATCCATCAGTCCGAGTTCCCGAAGCCTGCCCACGTTCCTGCCCACAGCCTCCCGCGCCCTGACAACCCAGCCGACTTTCTTCCAACTCCAGCAGCGCAGGGGTCCTACCTTGACTGAAGAGGAAGAAGCAGACGAAGAGCAGATCGAGCTGGAAGGGTTTCATTCCTTAGCGCAGCGAAGGAAAGCCGGCGGGGTAACTTGGCTGTGGTTAGTTTCTCTTCCTTGGCGGCTCTCGGTGCTCAGCCTCCGCCGGTCCTCTCGGGTTCGCGCCTACCATCTGTCCGTCCGTGGGTCCCTCCGGGTGGCTTCGGTCTCTTTGTGCCTCTGGGTATCTGCAGCCAGCCGACACAAACTGCCTGTTCTTAGCCGCCTCGGGAAGCCGGGATTGTCAGCAATGTCCCCACTCGGAGAAGATCCATTCTCTGGCTCTTGGCATCCCAGGCACACGGCTTCCTCAGGCGGGCTCCTCCCACAGTGAGCGAGCGAGCTAGTGACGAGTGACAGAAGGACTCCTTTCACTGAAGCTGAGGCGAGGGGAGAGGGAGGGGAGACAGGTCATAATTAAAGAGGAAACACTCGGAAAAAGGAGATCTATGCAAAACGGACAGTGGGGGAAAAGGCTGTGTTCTTTCTTTTCCCTAAATAGGGAAAAATTCAGCTTTTGTCACCATTATTGACCAAAAGGCATCTTGAGCTTGGAGTGGAGCTGTGACTTTTTGTCCACACGATGTCCTGTTTAACAGTGAAGTTAAGGATGACTATCCACATGCATGTGCACAAAAACATGCACGCCCTGCCTTTGCAAAGGAACTGGAAACTGGGCTGAAAGGGAACTAGGAAGGGGGGGTGCGCATCTTTCCCTCGGAAGGACTTGGCCAATGTGTGCAGCGGGAGGCTCGGAGTTGGAGAAGAGATAAGCATGCTTTGCATTTCTGAGAGTTTCCTGTGGGTGGGTGGGTGGTTGTGGTGGGGGGGGGGGGTAGGTAATAAAACCTGAACATTTGGATCTTAGTTTGCTTTGCACTGCTCCTGGAAGACAAAATGCAGGAACTAAAGGGAAGGCAAGTAGGCTTGTGACACACACCCATTTATTATCATTATCCTGGTTTGTGCATTTCCTAACGAGGACAGGGGAGCAGCCTGTCTTTGCATTCAGAGCCTCTCCTCTAATGAGCGCTCCATCACTCTGAGCCTGTCTTTTCTCCAAGAGGTGCTGTGAGTCCAATTGCAAAGGAGAGGCCAAGGTCATAGACAACTGCGTCCTAAGGATCTTCAAGCCTTTTACCTGTCATGAAATTCACACTCCACACTCAAATCAAACTCGGTTTCCTCCAGGATATCAACATGAATTTATCTGGGTCTATTTACTTAATAGACATTTAGGCATGCTTGGTATAAGCAGGCCATGGAGGGAAGCAAAATAATAGGCACAGACCATGCCTTCAGAAGCTCATAATCTAGTGTGCAAGCAGAGTACACACACAAGATGCAAACTCTAAGGACATAACAAAACAACACAGAAAAATATTCAACGTTATGCACTGTGAGAAGGAGAGGTAAAGAGAGAGGAGAGGAAAATGAAAGACGCTCCCCTGACATGTGCCATTTAGCATTCAATTCTAAAATCAGTCATTACTGTCTTCAGTCCCTGGACCTTGGGGAGGTCTTTTGGGAAACTCTTAGCCTTTCCTCTTTCAGTAGTAGCACATCTTTTGAGGACTCTGCTCACTACAAGGCACATTCCAACTCCAAGTTTCCATGCGGATGTTAACTTTAAAAAATTATCCCTTGGTATTTGTGAACAAGAAAGAAAGAAGCAGGGGCATATAGAAGTGTGCTAGTAGGAGCTGACATCTGGTAGTTGACACCAAAGATCTACAAATTAGTAGGTGTCTGCTTTGTTGACTTTTCTATTCTTAACTTAATAGTTTATTTAACTGCATCCCTTAGAGGCTGTTAAACACAGCAAAGGGAAATTTGTAAGCAAACTTTGGGAGGAGAAACAGAAATGTTGAGCAACAGAAACTAAAAGGACACAAAAGAGGCAGCCCATTAGCTAAATTAACAAACAAGTTACTGAAGCAGTGTCAGCTGAGCCTGAGTCCATTAGCCTGGTGTAACAGATCATGCAATAAATGGAAGAGGCAAATCAAAAACACACAGAGGAGATGAAAAATAATTTTAAATAACATATGCCAAATAACACAGTAAGACTGAAAATAACTCTATGTATAGCGCCGTCACCTTAGTAGTAGCTTTGCATTAAGCCTATGGGGTTGTTGGGGAGAAATTTCAGGTGTCTGCGTGCCATTCTTGCAGGGAATAGGACAAATACTAGAATGCAGATTCTCTATCAAAGGTAGCAACATTTGACGTTTTAACTAAAGATTTATCCTTTAAGCTGTTGTTTAATTTTGAGTGCTAATTCCTCAATGGCCCAGGGCCCAGATTTGCTTAATTCAGCCCCCGAGGGAACTATTACAAAACCAGGGTCACAAGGCTAGTGAAGTGTGCAATACGCAATAATCAGGCACACGTACAGGTGTCTGCACTCCACACTCGCACTGACTCTTGGAAAGAAGAGGGGGGCCTGGGAGATCCAGGTTGGAAGGATCTTGTTTCGCTCTCCCATTGGCCCCCAACACTGGCCTCATGGCCCCCTTACTGGCTCCAGGCATCCCCCTCACCCCCACCAACGAGCCAGCTGGGCCTGTTCCCCTCTCCACTCCCCTCTACTCCCTCCCTGTAACCTCCGGTCTCCCGCAGAAAGAAAGAAAAAAAAAAAAGCTTGGATTAAGTGATGAGCTGCCCGCCTCTAAAAGGACCAGGAGGCGTATCAAGCCTGAGTGCCGGAAAACCCACGGCAATCTTCAGCAGCCACCACGTGGGGCAGAGAACGCGAGCAGTACCTGCAGGACCCACAGCCGGTCGGGCTCTGGCGCCAGCCTCGACGGCGGCCCCGCCATCTCCGCCCGGCTGCCCGCGGCCTCACCTCCTCCGGGGGCTCGGTTAGCCTCCTGGCGCTGCAAGGCTGCCTGCGCGCGGTTCGCTCCGGGGGAGGGAGGAGGAGGGAGGCGGCGAGGAGCCGACGGCTCCACCTGATGGAGAAGCGCGGAGAGTCCCTAGACCTCGGAGTGCGCTGCAAGAGGGGAGAGGAGAGAGACCGCCGCCCCTGCTGGAAGCCTTCGCGTCCGGGGGCGGCGCGCGGGGGAAGGGGTCTCTGGACAGTCGGTGGAGGCGGCAGCCCTACAGAGACAGCCGAAAGCCAGCAACTTGGAAAACCGCCCGAATTCTGGGTTTCTGCACATCCAGGCTGGCTCCAGGTCTCTTGTGCCCACCGTGCAAGCCGGCGGGATGCCAGCAGGTGGCATCCTCTCCAGCGTTTCTTCGCCAGGCGTGGAGTCCGGAGGCCGAATCCATCAGTCCCCAGCCCCCTCCCCAAGCCTCCGGTGCCAAGTGCTGGGTCCTGTGAGCCCCTGGCCCGCCCCCCACCTCCGCCAGCGGGGCGAGCCGGAGCTGGGTGACCCAGACCCTCGCGGAGGCGGGAGCCTACAGAGGATGCCGGCCGGCCCCAGGTTCTGCTGCTGGCTGGCCAAGAAGTGACAGGAGGGCAAGGCTCCCCCGGAAAGCGTCCAAGCCCTGCTCTCCTGCTCTTCCAAGCCTTGCTGCGTGTTGCCCCCAGGGTTTTCTGAGATCTGGGACGAAGAGAGTGATGTGCAAGGTTCTGGGTCCCGGTGCAGGAGTGAGGGGTACGGCTGTCGAGTGCTCGGAGCAGGCTGGCGTTTGGGCACACTGCAGACCTCAGCTCACCGCCACTTTCTCCTGACCTTCCTCGTGGCTGTCAGCCCAATGTCTATCATGTGTTATTCCCTCGGTTTGTTCAAAGGCCTGTTTTGGATACTTAAAGACATGTGGAATAACTATGAGAATTCCTGTTCCTGGAAAGTTTGTCCTCTAGTTGGAAAGAGGTATATACAGGTCTGTATGTGGGAAAATATTATAAAACATCTCACTGACATTTTAATAAGAGAAATTGCCCTGGATGGCATCTGTCTGGGCTCTTCCTTTCCATTAGAGATGCATCCTTCTAGGTTAGCTTGCTTGGGGCCCTGCAGGAAAGCTGCAGGATGAGGCAACAGTCTAGGGCCCCCACCTGGGCCCAGGCAACAGTCTAGGGCTCCCACCTGGGCCCAGTGTCCCCACTGTCCTATCCTTCTCCATCTTCCCCACTGCCATGCTGGCCAGGCTCACAGTCACAGCTATTCTGTGTTCATGAGACACCATTATCACCAAGAAGAGGGAGCGGCTCTTTTAAGAGATGGGCAGTCATCATGTACAGAGAATTGCCTGTTTAATGCCTCTTCACAGTATTTGTTGCAGAGATACATTAGAAACCGCATTCCCTTTTTGTTTTTCATATATCCTGCCAGTACTGGTTAAACCTCTTTTGTCCAGGGATTTAACACATTTTGAACAGCCTCCTACTGGGAGTTCAGGGTAACCTGACTCTCCAGTCGTAGGTAAGTTAATAAGGACTCCAAGCTACGTACACTTCCAGAGACCAGATGGTCGTCAGAGGTCCTCGCTGGGTGGCAGCCTTTATGACCTGGGCAGTCACAGTCTTCTAGCCTATTTCTTTTTCATTTATCTGAACCAGATTTCTTGCTTACTTCTGTGTAGGTGGATTACGAGACCTTAACCCTGCTCCCTGCAGTTGGTCTTTCCATTGCAGAGGGAAAGGGCTCAGAGAACCAGATATTCAACTTTCAGAAGCATCCCCTGAAGGGCAGGTTGTCTGCTCCCCTGATTCATTGAGGATCAGGCCTCATGGAGGGAGTCTGGTGAGCCTTTTGATGTGGCGCTGGCCTGGCCACTGCTAACCAATGTGGCCCCTTAATGAACCTGGGCACACCTTTCTTCATCTATTAAATGATGTGTTTGAGCCAGTGGATCTCCAGGATTCTTCAGAATCCTAAAATCACATTGTCTTCTGTTCCAGAGGCCACACCTTTCATCATGGAGTCAAATGGAAATGCTCTTTAATGCCATCAGTGTTAGGGCAGATTATTTCGAGTGGTGGGTCACTATCCCCAAAAAAACAAGTGAGCAAGTGACAACCCTGAGATCTGTGTGGGCCTCTCCACTGTCATTGGTTCTGACCTTTCCTCAAACTGCTTTGTGTTCATTCTACTCAGTCTGAGTGCCCTCAGTCTTTCCCCAACTTACTGAACTCATTGTCTTTCCCTTATCTCCTTGTTTCCCCAGAACCAGACCCCACATCCAGCCTTGGTTCTGGGTTCTAGAACAGACTTCCTTCAACATGCATCTACAACCATGTTGGATGCAAAATGCAAACATTTTATTAAAGTAAGGGAGTGGTGATGCCGGAGTGGCTAACTGGAAAAGACTTCCTTTAAAGGGAGCGAGGACAAGGATGCCTTGTACGTCTTCTGTCTTAATGTGAATCACACTTTACAGTAAAAATTGTTTAATCCTGTATTTTCTCTGATACCCTGGCAGCCCTATGAAGGTGGGGACAGCGCCCCTCTAGTTCACAGCCGTCTCCACAGCTCTTACCCAGGTAGGCAGTAGGCTCTCACTACGTACTGCTGAATGAATGGTAAAGTTTTACCTAGTGCCCCACATTCTATTTCCTGTTTTCTGAATCCAATTTAACTTATTCTTCCCTCTGTTATTAAACCATTGTCAAACATCTGGCATGTGCCTGCCACTGCTCTGGCTGTATTTTATGAGGATGGGTAATGAATTGAGCCTATATATAGTTTGCAAAATGTGGAAACACACTTTAAGAGGCATGGCACTAAAGAAATGAAAGATATTTTTATCTCTTCAGCATCATTCTGCACAAGGATACAATTCTCCAGCAGCGCTGTTTAAGAACAATAGACCTGTTTAGCCTTGACACGCTCATGCATGCAGGGCACTGGATACTCAATTCACATGGGAGCTGCATTCTCTATCTCAGCAAAGACCTGAAGAATGTGTAATTTACAGGGAAGAAAAGATATAAGAAATATTATGAAAGGAGATGGCAGTGCTCCATGCCTTGTGTCATTGCTGGCTGGGTGCGTAGGCCAGGACCTTCCGACAAGCTCTGGGGATGGCACCAAAGGCAAGCTTCAGCTTCATTCTTCAGGGTTTGAAACAGGTTGTGTGTCATTTTGGAATATACCATGTGCTCTTTTTGTGGATATGAATAGGCTAATTATGTGGAAATTATTGGAAGACAAAGTGAAATTCCAGTTACATGACTCATTTGTGATATTCAAAGTCTTAGAAATTATACTGCATTTATTCTTTTCCTCCATTCTTCTTTTTCATGCCCCTCCCCTGAGCCATCCCCCATACCCCCTACCTATGTTATAAATTAGTAAACTTTTATAGCAGCCAAGGGAGTGAAAGATCTCACTCAATGTTCCTTTAGGCTTTCTTCTTAGATGACGAGTTTTACTTTTCTTTTTATTTATTACATACAGTATTCCTTTTTCCTTCCCATCTTTATATAATAAAATTATATATAAGCATATTAGATTTAAGTAATATATGTAACATGCAAAGTTATATAAGTTCATATATATACAAAACTTTACATACACACCCAAAAAACTTTTCTATTACCATGCTAGCAATCAATGTGCCTCCTACCCAAATATTCCAAATTACTCAGCCCTAGACCAGATTTTCATCATCTCTACCTGAACTTACAGCATCCTCAACTCACTGCCTAGTCTGCAGACTAACAAAGACCCTCTCCACTGCCTAACCTACTGTTCTACCACATAAGTGCATTCCAAATGCAGTTCTGTAATATCATGCCCTTGCTTAAAAATGTGGATGGTTTCTGCCCTGATCTGCTCATACTGCCATAACAGAATATCATAGGCGGATGGCTTAAATAACAGAAATTCATGTTCTCACAGTTCTGGAGGCTGGGAGTCTAAGATCAGGATGCCAGCATGGCCAGGTTTTAGTGAAGGTTCTCTTCCTGGCTTGTGGATGGCTGCTTTCTCGCTGTGTCCTCACATGGCCTGTCCTCAAATGTGAGACATCTGTCTGTCCTCCTCTTCTCATAAGCAGACCAGTCCTATTGGATTAGGACCCCCCCCCCCCATATGACCACATTTAACCTTAATCGCCTCCTAAAAGCCCTAGCTCCAAATACAGTCACATTGGAGGTTAGGGCTTTAACCTATGACTTTTAGGAGGATACGATTCAGTTCATAGTAGTCACCAAGATAGAGCATAAACTTGTTATCATGATATATAGGGAGTGTCAAAGCAACATAGCTTTCCTGTCCTATTGCCAGTTCCCTCCTTCATAGCCTGAACCTCGGTCTTGCCAAATTCCTCTTTATTGATTAGAGACAGCAGACACTGTTACTCTTCCATACCTTTCTTATACTTGTTTCCTCATCCTGGTGTGTCTTTCTCCTTTCCTGTGTCTTTTTGCCTAGTAAATAGGTACTAATTGCTCGAGAATCAGCTGGAATGTCATCCATGAGAAGTTCACTTCACCTCTTCCTCCGCTCAGTCAAAAATGAATTGCCTATTCATCTAGGTTTCCACAGTATTCTTATAAACTCTTATTATAGAACTGTCAATATGCTAACTATTTATTTACATGTTTACCTTCCAAACTAGAGATGAGATTTTTAAGGCCAAGGACCACCTTTCAGAATTTATTTTTGCCTGTTTTAGAGTATATATGGGCCAATGCCTGGCGTATGGTAATTGCTTGCTAATGGTGTTTAAATAAAGAAAAATTCAGCAAAAACTCCTGATGTCCTTCCTGTGACCATCCAATCCCAAGCTTGAACTTTTCTTTCTTCATCAGCTGATGCCTTTAGATCAAACTAGATCTAGGAAATTTCATATCCATCTTCTGGATATGCAGCTGAAGGACTGGAGAGAAAGATTTCTGACTATACATTTTGAACCTGACCCACGTTCAGGCAAATGTGGGTAGTGGTGCCATCAGTGTGTATAAATCACAAGATTTATACAAGAGCCTAACTCTAGCTCTTGCATTAAAACAACAACAACAAACAAACAAGAAACCCGGCTTATTCATATTTCTTAATGGCACAATCCCAAATCAGTTGAGAAGCTATCATACTGTATAACAAGTATGCAGACATAGGTTCAAAGTAAATGAGGAAAGCCAACATTAATTTTTTCCACACTGAGTCCAATTTGAATTGAGTTGATGGTTCAGTGTTTTTCTGAGGTCTGCGTCTCTTCTTTGTCTTCTTCAGCTGCTGTCTGCCTGAGATTGGGAGCAGGCAGAGGCAGAGACTCCTCCTTCATTTTGTTTTGTTGTGCTAGCTCTTACTGGCACAACAAAATTGGTTTTTTATCGTATAAAAATAGAGGATATAGAATAATACAGTGGTTCCCAACAAGGGGTCCCTGGGCCAACAGCATCACATCCCCTGAGAATTGCAAATTTTTAGGCACCACCCTGGGACCTCCTGAATCAAAACCTCTGAGGTGGGGCCCAGATACCTGTTTTCTAACAAAACTCCTAGATAATTCTGATGCATATTACATTTGAGAATCAATGTTATTAGAACCACCATGGGCCATCACTTGACACCAACAATAACCAAGCTATGGCAAATACTGTTCTATCTATCTTCCCTGCTTCCTTCTGTCTCACTGGATTATTCTGAAGCAAACTCAGATATCATATCCTTTCATTCGTAATATTTCCACATGCGATAAGGGCTTTAATATGGATGGAAATAATACTTCATAGTATACGGTTGTCAGATATCTGATTTATCCTTAGACCATTCATCCTTAGAATACTCAACAGCCTTAATATGGTAGTTTTGGGTCAAAAAAGACAGTTCAACTGGATAATAGTGAAAAAGGACCTCTTTTTTGGAGGATTAAGAATTTATTATTTTAAAAATGATGAGTTTGATCATTATTAAAAGATGAATCTGAGAGTCTTAGTCTGTTCAGGCTGCTACAATGGAATATCATGGACTGGGTGGCTTAAACAACAGAAATTTATTTCTTAGTGTGCTGGAGGCTGGAAGTCCGAGATCAAAGTGCCTGCAGATCCACTGTCTGGTGAGGGCTTCCTGGTTTGCAGGTGGCCATCTGTATCCTCATGCTGCAGAGAGAAGAGAGAGGAAGCTCTCCTGTCTGTTCTCATAAGGGCACTAATCCTATTTGTAAGGCTCTGCCCTTATGACCTATTTACCTCCCAAAGGCTCCACTTCCTAATACCATCCCACTGGGGTTTAGGATTTCAACACATGCAATTGGGGGGAACACAAACATCCAGTCCATAACAATGGGGAAGAAAAATGAACCCACAAGAAGCAAGTCCTCAACTGAGACCCTGGCAAAATAATGTATGCCTTCACCTTGAACGAGACTGACTCCTTACCATTTATAAAAGTATTGCACTATCTGCTACGCATAGAGTATGTGATCTGATTGTTTCCCCAGAACTGTGATAGATTCACAATCTTTATCTATACTCTTCTGCCTGATCTTCATTCTGATCCATTTGCATTTGTATAAAAAGTGGTTAAAGGTAAAATGCAACCCATGACCTTGACCTAATCTTACCTGAAGAACCCAGGGGTAAACCAGTGACCCTCTTCTCATAAGCTGAGTGTGCAGAGATTACAAGGTAGCCAGTTAGGCTCATCACAGGCATATGTCACTCCCTGGTCTGCTCATGTCCTATTATACTCCACAAGTACTTACTACACTCTGAGAAACTCAAGAGAATATTTGTTCTCTTCTTCAGATGTCTGTGGCAAAAACTGACACTTGCACGGAGCATGATTTGATAGCAATATCTGCGAAGTGTCAGAAAGGGGAGGGGATCAATACCCTTAATTTACTTGGAATAATTCATTGCCTAACTGGAGTTTTCAGTGAGGGCAGACAAATTCCACACTAAACTAACTCACCCACCTGGATCGGGAGGAGGGCAGTGAATCCATCTTTTGAATGAGATGTAAAGCTGAGTTTCTTGCTTTCATTAATGACTCCCTTGGTCCTTCCTTTCTTGAGAAGAGGTGTTCATCCAGTCAGCCATGTTTGAAAATGGGAGATGGATGCTACTGACCGACAGCTCCCTTGCTTTTCCCCTGAGCTGATTGCTTTTGCAATCTGCCCTGATATTTGGGTATGTTGCTTGCTCAGAGGCTGTCAGTTTGGAGCTACATTCCACCTCAAGAGGAAGGAAAAATGTAGAAAGATTTTCTGTGCTGGAGAGTGATGGTGATTTTTCTTTCCTTTTAAGTCTAAACCAATAGAAAGCCCATTTTTCATGGGACGGGAAGTTAGAAATAACGAAGAACTGCACATGACATCAAGGGGAATCCTTGGGATGGTTTAATGAGGTCATTGAGTCCCTTTGTAATAAATATTCCAGAGGCACCTGGATTAAATTGCTCCACAGTGATCTCTCAACTTCCCATCTCATTGATCTGGCCAGTGTGTAAGATGATTTGAACTAGAGCTTTCTGTGTGGTAGCAATGATAGACCATGAGTTCTGAGTTTTTGAGAGAGAATCCATTGGAGTGTTTCTCCCTCATTAAGACACAACCATCTCTGGTAAATGCCTGGCCCAGGCATTGTGTTGACATGGGACTGGCAGGGGACAGGAACTTGAGATCCCAGTCAAGGCAGCTAAGGAGCTTGGAGAGGAGGCATGTAATTATAAGGCACTTTCAAATAATTATGCTATTACTGCCTAATTAAGAAGTGCCACTTTCCACTTTAACTACCTGAAATTCTGAGATCACCAAGCAATGGACCCTCTACTGAGCTTTGGCCTGCTCCCCATGGGAAAGGAAAAGGCACATAGTCAGAAAACACTAGGCTCTTGAGGGGGCCAGAAAGGTCGCCAGAGAGTAACCTGAAATGTTCAGGAGGTGAATCTCCCTTCCCTGCATTTGTCAAACATCTTACCTTTCTGTGCCTCATCTGAATTTGAATTATCTACAAAATGAGGGAAAGAATGCTTCTCTCCCTGGCTTGCTTGTCAGTAGGCTGGTAAACAAATCAAAATATAAATCTCTGTGAACATATTTTATCATCTGTTAAAATAGGGAAATTGATCAACAAACATTTGTTGAATTTTTACTTTCTCAAAGCACTGTAGGGGATGCAGAAGTTTCAAGACGTATAGTCCTCTGACTTCAAGTACCTTCCAACGCAGTTGAAGACCCAACACAGAGGCACTGATTGTTGGATTCAGCCAGCCATTTATTGATTCACTCAAATGTTCATGCCACAAATATTTCTCGAGCACCCACTTTGTGTAAGGCGCTTCATATAGGCACTTGCAACACAGAGATGAAAAAGATATCCATTCTGTCCTCAAGGAATCTGTTATAGTCCGGTGAGCTATAAAGTACAACAGTATAAGCTTTTAAGGGAAACTAAAAGTGATCCAGTGACACAGATATTCTGAAAAGGAAGCATTTTCTGTGTTTGGACAGAAGCATTTCACCAAGGGCCTCAGAGCAGAAAGAAACAGGATTCAAATCTGACATTAGTCCCGGTTAAATTAAAGACCCCGATACCCACTGCCCCATAGTTCTCCATTTCATGTTTCATCTTCCAAAACACAAGCATTAAAACCCCATGGGAGAAGCATCATTGTGGTGATAGAGGAGAAGATTAATTCCTAATTTTGATTTCCTTTGAACCATTTTTACTTGACTGAGTCAAACTTGCTATGGAAGATGATTCACTACTATCTATTTTAAATCATGATCAGGAAGCACAATGACACCCCAAAATGACAGAGGATGTGTTTCAAATGAAGAAATCTTAATTTTTAAAACTTTCTTTTTGAATAATTTGGTCCTTCCTTTTAGAACATAAGGGAAAGAAAATACTTAAAAAATTGTTAAAAAATTCACTACTGGTGATAGAATCCATATATTACTTATGTAAGCAAAAACTAAAAAAGACAATCTCATTTTGAAAAAATCAATGATTACAAAAGAATACCGAATGTGAATACTGAAAAAAATGTCTTTCACTCACCCTCATTCCAAATCTACTCCCAGGGGTAACCATTATCAGCAGTTTGGTGTGGACCTTCCTAGTCTTTTGTTATGTATTTGAATTCATATATAAGAAGGAGTTTCTACATGCACATGCATAAATAGAATCAGAAATATTATGTATTATTCTGCAATTACATCTTCTTCAAATTTAGCATATCTCGCAGGTTTTTCTAATGATAGCCTGCTTAAATATGCCTGAAGGAAACAGAAATTGAAGTCTTCATTTCCTTTTGTGCTCTGCTTTCCCAGGGTAGACTTGCTTCTTTCATCCATCCACATCTGATCCAGCCTCCCAGTAAAGCAGTAATTGCTGTTCAGGTCAGGGAAAGGGGGCAGAAGGGAAAAGGTGAGGGTGCCGAAATAACATGAGCCACAATGAGTCTCCAGCCTCGCCCAAATGTAGGGAATGCAAAGAGACCAAACATTAATTCTTGAAACTTTTAGGTAAACAATGATCAGCTGGCCTCAGGGAGTAAGGCAATCCTGACCTCAAACCAATCATGATCAAGCCCACATTTGTTGGTCATTATCTACCTGCAAAAATGTGCAAGTACTTTAATGGTATGCCGCCCATTACTGACCCTTTACTGACAAAATAACGGAAGAAAGGGAGGAAGGAGGGAGGGATGGAGAGAGGAAGGAAGGAAGAAGAAAGGAAGCAAGGAAGGAAGGAGTGAGGAAGGAAAGGAAGAGGGAAGGAAATAAGGAAGGAAGGAGTTTTAAGATGCTCTTCTTATGGAGGGGTTGGAGGTCCCAGGAGCACACAAACAAGGCAGAAAAGGGTTTATTCTGAGTTTATGGTATGATCATCTGATGTTTACTAGGTAAACTTTCTATACTCAAATTATTCTACTCTGGAGTGAGATGGTCTTTGAGGAAGCATTCTTAAATTTATTTGGTTTCAAACCCAATGAATCAGATACATTGTCATCCACTGGGTCCTTATCTACTATCCCCCTCCCCATCTTCCAAAACATAAGCAATAAAATTATGCAGGAGAGCTGTTATTTTTGTATCGGAGAAGGAGATTCCTAAATGTACAAGACTTTTTGATGCAGTTGTAGGAACAATCAAGTCTTTGGTGATGATTCACTCAGTCCTGGGAGAACACAAGAAAATCACTACTCAGGGCTTCTCTGGAAACCAGCATAGGGTATGTGCTTATGGAGCCAGTTTAAAAATTTGGAATGATTCTCATCATGTGGAAGGGTTTAACGCAAGTCTGGAGCAAAAGCCTCGGTGGCCATGTCAGTCTGATTCCTGGCATAAAATAAGGTGTGCTCAGATGAGATTCTGAATAACATTTCATAAGGTGACTCTTTATAGAGGTGTGGGCGGGGTTAGAGTGGGTGTTGAGGCACTCAGGGACGAGGAACAATAGTAAGCCCTGGAGTAGTGAGGGAGGAACGAGTGTTATTGGAGCCTGTTGAGACTGTGGCCATTGGGGAAGGGCCACCTGTCAGGAGCTATAGTCCTAGAGGGACAGGATGCAGCCAATGGCATAACTCTGCACTGAAGCAGGAAGGGAGCAGCGGGAGAAATACTCCTGCCTCCCCCTCCTCCTGTATTCCCATCTCACTTTGTGACTGATGGCTGAGCGAATTCCACAGGATCAGCACCTCAGGGCACAGAGCAAAGTGGAGAAGGTCAGATAATGAATTTCAGTGGTGGTAGTGATGGTGTGATGGTGGGTGTGGATACAGAGAATAGCCATCATTTCAGCCTAATAGAGATTCAGACTACAGATGAAAACAGTTCAGGAAAGGAAACCTTGGCAGAATTTCATTAGGCTCAGGATTAAATCAAAAGGGCAAAGAAAGTGTTGTCCATGTCACCCTCATGTCCTTAGGGCTTGAAGGGTGGAGAGTAAAGTACCAGTCACTGAACCTGGAGAGTCTTGCTCTTTTGGGTGTTGACACCATCATAGACTCCATGGGCTGGGAGAGAAACCCACGTGGGGTTCATCCCCCTGCCTCTAGGAGGGCATTGATAGACTATTCCAGGGAGATGGGAGGTCTGTCTTTTCATTCACACCATGTTATGAGCTGTGAGTTTTGATTCATTATTCACCATGCAAGCAAAGTGAAAAAAATCATTTAAATTATAAACACTTGGAAATTTACTATGGGACACACAAAATTTTAGACTTTGTCCTGGATATAAACAAGATATGCTCTTTGCTTTTCTGAAGCTTATATTCTGCTGAATGAGACAGATACATGCAAAGCAAATTATAATTTAAACTGAGATGTGATTAGTGTTGTAATGCAGATAAATACAGTATATTATGGGAGAATAAAAAAGTGGAAGGTTACTCTTTATGGTGAATATTAAGGAAAGCAGAGTGATATTTCAGTTGGGTCTTAAAGAAGTGGGGTCAAGGAGGTGGGCAGAAACAGAAAGATGAAGAGGTACAGCTCATGTGTGGGAGATGTGGATGGCCCTGGAATGGCTGGGGTACAGACTGAGTGACTGGGGGTGAGAAATGGACTGGAAAAGTCTACTGGGGTTGGACCATAAAATACTGACTATCAACACTAAGGTATTTGGGACTGAGATTGCGGTTGCCCATTCAATATTCATTCCCAGCTTCATCCTTACTAACAGAACACCATCCATGTTCTTTCAGAGTGGCCTCATGTTCATTTAAAATGTTGAACTTCCCCAGCTACCCTTGCAGGTAGGTATAGGAGCATGATGTGACCCAGTTCTTACCTACAAGCTGTATGCAGGCATCTACTAGGTAAGGTTTCTGGGAAAGCTGTAGTATGACTGATAAAAAGGGACTCAGATAGCCCATGGCTTTTGTTCTTTTTTCCTCTTTCCATCTTCCTATCCAGAATGCAAAACCAAGGCCTGGAGGCAGAACAGACATCCTGTGACCTTGAAGCAAAGGTTCACAATTGGGAGGGCAGGAAAGGAATGAGAAAGAACCTGGTTCCTGATGACTTCCTATAACAGCAGTATCCATCCCAAAAGGCCTACCTTTGGACTTCTTAGGTGAGAAAAATAAGGCCCGATTTTTCCAGCCTCTGTGGTCATATTTCTGCTATATGAAGCTGCATATACTAGCTCAGTGCTTGAGTGCTTGAGTTTATGGTATAGGATATGTGGAACCACTGAAGCCTAAGAAGTAATAGCACAGACATGGGGTCAGGGGCCTTAACCTGTAGTCCAGCTCTATCCCTAGACATAATAAGTAAAGACCTGGTGTTAGGTGATCTGGCTGCTTTGAGCTCAGCTCTATCCCAGGATAGCCAGGTAACTCAAGGTGATTCACTTAGCTTCTCTGGGAATTGCATCCTCAATTAGAAAATACGGATTTTCTTAGAAATTCTCTGAAGGATCATCCAGCTCCATGGTTTCCTGACTGGGGCAACATATTAGGAAGATGGCAAGTGGAAATGTGGAGGCTGCCTGCAGAGATGAGAGCTCAGAGCAGGAAAGCCAGTGATGTAGTTATTATGCTTGGATAGGTAGAAGGTGGTAAGATCGCGAATCAGGGGCATAGAAATGCAGACAAAGGTGTTGGTTGTGAAATCACTGGGTCTCCCAGATTGATTGGGTGGGGGCTGTGCTGTGTGGAGAAGTTGTGGCTGACTGACCCAAAAAGTGAATAAAATACAAAGAATATAAAATGACTGGGTCTTCTTCAATATTACAAAGGTATTGAATAGATTTTTGGAGATGTAGAAATTGTGCATGGCTTTATTTATCACTCTTAGGAAGCCATAGACATAGAAGCCAATGACAATAAAAATAACTTCATGTTAACACTTCTCCCCTGAAGAACTCCAAGCATGTTTATATAATTGTTGCAAGTTTATCATTGCAATGCCCTTGCACTGTGAAGAAGGGAGGTGTGTGTCATCTCTCCCCATTAGCCTGACGGAGAAACTGCCATCTGAAGAAGCAGGGATCTGCTCAAAGTGTGAAGGTGAGCCAGGGGCAGAGCTGGCACTAGGAATTAAGCCAGCCTCACCCCAGACTGGGTGTTCCTTGAGGCCTGTGAGACATGAGAAAACCTAGGATTTGGGAGCTCTGTCCCCCAACACATTAATAGTTCCAGAGTGCATGCTCTAATAAAGAATATCTTTATCTCTTTTTATGTCACTTGACACGTTATGTTTCTCTCTGGAGTCAGATCTGGAGGTGCTAGGGCATGAATGTCTTATTCAAAGCATCAGAGTTTATATGGAAAACAGGAGCAAAGGTGCCCTGCCTCAGTTTCCCACACTGATGAGGCGTTGCGAGGCCACTGTGACCCCTGAAGGTGTTTTCTTCTTAGCTTGCTCTTTCAGTTTGCTTACCTGCCAACTTTGCCTATTATGAGACTTCAGGTCTCTATTCCTATTTTTTTTTTAACCTACATTTCAATTTGGTCCAATCTCAGACACAATTCTTTCCCAGATCTCTCTTACAAACAATGGTGCATAACTGGTATATTTTGATCCCAAAATGGCATCCGAAAGCGTTCTGCAATGCCGCCAAGCCAGCACTTTCGGAAGCATCTGACGATATTAATTTCAGTCTATTTCCTGAGGTTTGCAGGAAACTAAAATGAAGAAAGCGCTGTGGCCAAAAATTAAAGCTTCATGGAAAAAAAAAAGGAAGATTGACAGGAAACGAGGCTTCAATAGGACAGCTTGCACTGAGTAGTGCTGTCCTCCTTCCTGCATATCAACATATGCATAGGGAAAAATAGCTCTCTCTCCTACTTGCAGCATGGAGATTGGGAAGGGGCCTTGCCTACACGCTGTAGGTATGTAACAACTGGGGTAAGTATACACAAGAGACTGAAGCTCGGGTCCTTTAGACGGGCTTGAAAATTATCCCTGGTGGCCAGACTTTTTCAGAAGAACAAAGATGCATTCAATGTTTGTCCAATTTTTAAAAATCTAAGCAGACAATACGATCAGTTTTTTGCTAAAATCCACAATTTTGTGGTACTGGGTTTTTCCACCTTCCTTGTTTTTTATACATTTGAATCTGATGTTTCAAATTCAGGCCTTTTGGGAAAGAAATTCCTTTAAATCTTCCATGTGCAATGATAACTCGAAGCAAATTCTACCCCCAAACACACTGTCTTTCCTTTCAGAATAACTTTCTTTGTCTGGTTTTCTTTTATTCTGATGATCCATGTCCCGGTTTTCTTGACAGTTTCTTGCATGGCCTGAGCCTTCCCTCGCTGGGCTCCTGCGAGGGTCTCTTCCTGTTTCTCACCAGTAGGTGGACGTAGTCCTGCTCAGCACTGCAAGATTTCCAACATTTTTACTGATAGGCCCTGCACAGTCTTAGGAATCGCCAGGAAGAATGAACAAGTGAGTCATCGGTCAGTCACCCCAAAGCGTGTGAAGATAGGAGGTGGGGAGGGACAAGTGCTGTATCTTTCAAAGAAAAAAATACTTTAGCTGCTTACCTCCACTGTGACATGCATTTTTGAAAGTAGAGCCTAGTCCCTCCTGTCTTCCGCAGCTGTCTTTGCGTATTGAGATGACACCTGCAAGAAGGAGATGGCAACACCTGGAGGTATGCGTGGGTCTGCAAATTTGTGGCTACGACAGGACACCTGGGATTTTAGGGAAACACTAAGGAGTCATTGTGGATCATGCAAGGGGCATTGGACCCTACCAGGCTGGACTTTCAGAGGGGCAGGTGAGTTCCTAAAGCAATTTAGTCAGGGAATGAGGGAAGAGAGAAATGTGGAAGGTGCCCAGGCTGGGCCGAACTGAGACATGACACAGCCCTGAGCTCTTCTCCGCCCCACTGTTTTATAGTCCAACTGAGACTTTCCCTTCTTTCTTTTCTTTTCAAATCTATAAGCGCAAGACATGCCCCAATGCCACCATGGATAGTGTTAAGTCTATTATGATTTGTTGTTATTGAGATGAGGTGAGAGATGGGGTGGTGAGAAAACAGTTCTACCTCACTCCTTGCTGTAAATTTTAATAAAGATGGGGAATTAAATTCAGCACACGCTCATGCCTGCAGTGGTTTTTTTTTTCTTTTTCTTTTTTTGTGAGACGGAGTCTCGCTCTGTCACTCAGACTGCATTCTCCTGCCTAAGCCTCCCAAGTAGCTGGGATTATAGGCACCCACCACCACACCTGGCTAATTTTTGTATTTTTAGTAGAGACACGGTTTCACTATGTTGGCCAGGCTGGTCTTGAACTCCTAACCTCAAGTGATCCACCCACCTTGGCCTCCCCAAGTGCTAGGATTACAGGTGTGAGCCACAGCACCTGGCCACAGTGGCCCTTTTAAGGACACAATATGTTATCTCTTCCAAATATTCCAATACCCATATGGGGTCTCTGACTATTATGATCCCCACAAAATGGATGAAAAACAGTGGCTGGGAGAGGGAGTGGTTTGTCCAGGGCCCAGGGTAATGGAGTAGGGAGTGGCCACTAGAGTGAATTCTTGAGAAAGTGCATGGTTAATTGTAAATCACTCTGCAAACTTTGCTTGTTCTTGTTCTTCTCAGACCAGAAGCCAGGATGAGTGGTAAGAAATAACAATGGCAATTGGGCCCGCTGAGTGAGTAATAGGGTTAGAACAAGACTTTGGAAAAGTCACCTGGATCCCTACAGCCTTTGTTCCTCTATGATGTGGGCCCAGATTGTGTCACGGTGGTAATCTGGATCCTGGCACTGCCTTGGAAAGGCTTGGTGATGTGCCAGACACAAGACAAGGGCACGGGCGGCCCCCAGCAGTGTTTTCAGCAGGAAGGAGGGAGTGGACGAGTGGCTGCATTGAGGAGTGGATATTTTGGAAGGGGAGATTTCCTCTGGGACTTCTGAATCTTTAAAACTCTAACGAGTTAGACGAAGGTGTACCTGGTCCTGTGGCCCCCGTCCCACCTTCCTGCTCAAGCTCTGAGACATTTAGTCCTGGCTTGATGGTTATTGGCACAGATGTTAAAAGGCCATTAATGGGGAACATGGAAAGCTTTTTCTGAGCTAAAAGGTAAATGTGGGTTTGGCCTATTGATCTGAGCACAATAAACAGTTTTCATAATTTGAATGCCTATGTTGTCAGACACACAAAGGCATTTGCTCAATCACAAATACAGTAAACACAATTTGCCAGTGTGTGAGTGGCAGGCATGAGCCAGAGAGAGGAGACGGGGGTGAAAATGTAGGCTGAGCATTTGGAGAAGTAGCTCTCAAGATTCTGAACACCTTGTGACTATAGTTAATAACGTTGCATTGTATACTTAAAAATTGCCAAGAGAATTGATGTTAAGCGTTCTCACCACAAAAATGATAATATGTGAGATAAGTAATGCATATGTTAATTAGCTTAATTCAGTCATTCCACAATGGAAACATATTTCAAAACATCCTGTTTTACACCTTAGATACAATTTTTGTCAATTAAAAAAACAAATAAAAATTTAAAAAAAGAAGAGTCCAATTATTCTGCATATTTTGATTGGTTCTAAAGAAACTGGAATTTTTATAGAAGTATCATGAGAAAGAAAAGACAAAGTCTCAATGGAAAATGAACTTTCCAAAAAATATAAAGAGAATATAGTCATCTTATGCTTGTATGTATATTTATTGTCATATAAGTAAATGTACACTTTAGAAAAGTTTAAAATCCAAAAAATTCTCTAAGAAAATAACTGAAAATAAGATAACTACCTGCAGTATTGATGTATCCTAATATTTTCCTATGCAAAATTTTCAACATGGCTGAGGTCAAAGAAAAATTAGTTTGCTTTCTATCATGAATATTTACCCATACCACTAAATATTCTTCCACGTGGGGAAAAAAGAGATTCACCTGATCAAAAAGCTGGTGCTTTACAACCTGCTTTTCCAGAGCATATTTGGGCCATCCTGTCTTTTGGTTTGACCAACAATTCAGAATCATGGCTTCCATAAATGGCTTTGATATTGTTTTCTCTCATCAGCGAGCCTAGGGGACCTTGCTCATTTGAACAGATTGGTCTTGGTTTCAGATGCTCTGGGAATTTGCATTTGTGAACCTTCCTTGGCATGTTCCTAATGGAATCTGGGGGCAGAATGGAAGCCTGGGATGGCAGGTGTCCCTGGCTGACTGTGATTGGATTGTCCAGGCTTCGTGATCCCCCTCTATGAACTGTTCCTATTTGGGACCCAGGGAAAATCATTTTAAAAGCTGAAACGTTTTGAAGTAACAAATGACTGCTTTTTTTCTCTTCTCATTTCAGGCATGCTGAGTTTTAGTTTAGAGTGGTTGCACGGGGGCCTCTTCATCATGAATCTGGAAACCCTCTATCATTAAGGATTAGTTCACAGATTTCCTGAAAGTAAAAGAAAAATGGAAAAGGTAAAAACTTGATGTTTTCCAAATGCTTGACCTTTGGAGCATACCCTAGTGCTGCACTTTCTACGCAGACGATCTCCACAGAATTTTCTCCTTCCTTACTTTATGTCACTCCTTAATGCCATTCTCTGACTTCCTAATTCTCAGTCCATTCACACCCATCCACTGATTCACAATACCGATGTCAGCTCCGAACTTCCATTCTTTTTCTTTTTTGTCCTCACATGTCCCTGTTAGAAAATAGGAAGACACCAGCCACCACCTTGCACAGACTCTGGGATCTAAGACCACACAATGAAAGGGAGAAATCAGTGGCTGAAGGAGTCACTTCATGACTGGGGAGTACAAATGATCTAGACCTGCACCGCCTGATGCTGTAGTTACTACCCACATGTGGCTATTTAAGTTGAAATTAATTGAAATTAAATAAAATAAAAAATACAATTCCTCAGTCACAGTGGTCAAGTGTCAAGTGCTTAATAGCTGAATGTAGCTAATGGCAACTGTATTAGACAGTGCAGATTTCATAAACCATTTTATAGGCCGTGTATATCAGCACAGAAAGTGCTACAAGACAGTGCTGATGTGTCTCTTTACATAATCAGGTTTAAGCTGGCACTGTCTAGGGTAATGGCTGAAAATCAGGGTTTGTTCCTTCGGGACGACAGTTGGAGAAATGGTCAACCCTTGGTTTCATAATAATAATGCCTTTGAAGGGAGTAAGCCAGAGATAACTTCTTCACAAAATTAATGGTGTTTGTATCTAGGTCTCCAAGCCCCAATGAAGGAATTTAAGATTAAGAAACTTAAGTCTATTTGGAAACAAATGAACAGGCAACCATCTACCATGACTGCTATGAAAACTGAACTGTGTCTCCCTAAACAGTCCTATGTTAAAGCCCTAACCCCCAGTGTGGCTGGATTTGGAGAAAGGGCCAATGAGAAGGTCATAAAAGTTACACGACATCATAATGGTGTAACCTTGACCCAATAGGACTGGTGCTCTTAGAAGAGGAAGACACCAGAGCTGTCCCTCTCTCGGCTTGCACTAAGGAGGAGGTCACGTGAGCACACAGTGAGAAGGCGGAGGACCATCTGCAAGCAGGAAGAGAGCCCTCGCTAGAACCCCCCACGGTGGCATCTGATAGTGGACTTCTAGCTTCCAGAACTGTGAGAAAATACATTTCTGTTGCTTAAGTCACCCAGTTTGTGGCATTTTGTCATGGCAGTCTGAGCAGACTAATACGATGAACTTGCATTTGGGTTGCTGCTACTCATAATGGCTGGCATTTGTATAGCACTTTGCAAGGTGATTTTATATCTCTGATTTACTTCTCACAAAACCTCTTGAGGCTGGTATTAATGTTGTGATTTTACAGATGAGGAAAAAGCCTCCTAAGAGCTCTCTGATAATCAGTGATCAAACTGAGATTGGAAATCGGGGCTTCTGAGCCCTACTCCTGTGCTGTAACCACTCTGCAAAATTGTTTTACAGATCTCCCGTGGTTGCCCGATACAGACTGTACCTGGGCAATGCTGAACATGAGAGTGAATCCATGGCTGCTCACACATTTGAATCCGCTCAATAGAATAATCAAAAGTTCAGGAACATGGAAATCAATATCACACAGTTAATAAGGGGTCTTTTCCAGAATATCAAAATTATTTGTGTACAAATGCATATTTAAATGCAAGTGTGTAATTGACAAAAAACATGAACAAGAAATCTACAGATGAGGAAGTTCAAATGCTAATAATTGTTTTTAAATGTGCAAACTTCTTAGTCAAAAAGAAAGAGGGGTCATTTTTACAATTATCTAATTAGGAAAAAAATTTAAAATCTTGTAATATCAAGCATTGAGGAGGAAGTGTCATAAATTAATTCAGCCTGTTTGGAGAATAGTTTGTCCATATCTAGTAAAGCTGTAGATGGGTACACCCTACATTCCAGGAGTTGACTTCTAGATGTATATTCTAGAGAAAAATCTGTTTGTGTACACAAACAGATATGATCAAAGATATTCATTGCAGTCTTCTTAGTAATCACAAAAAAATTGGAAGCAAGCTAAATGTCTGTCAATAAGGTAATGGGTGAAGTATAGTCCATTCATATAAAGAAACATTCTCTAGAATTTAAAGTTAACGGACTTAACTCCATCAATATAGATACATCTCAAAAACGTGTTGAGTGAAAAGGGCAAGTTACAAAACAGTTATGTGTTCTTAAAAATTATTTAGGAACCAATTGATATTATATATTGTTTGTAAATACCTAAGTAGTAAAAATATAAACATGGATATAAAGAAAATCCACCTTCAAGGTAATGATTACCTTTGACGAGGGAGAAAAAGAAATGATAAAAGGGAAGTTCTTATCTGACTTTTTACTTCAGACTTTTTTCTAAAGCAAATGGGAACAAAGAATTAACGTGTTAAATCTGAGTGTCATGTGGGTATATGCTAAATTATTCTCTATACTTTCATGTATATATACATTTTTTATAATTTAAAATCTCAAAATATTTTGGAAGATCAGTATTCTCCTGACCATTCGCTGTCAGCACTCACAGCCCCTGTCCAGGTATTTATATTCTCCAGAGCAAACAAGGGCAGGTATTCATATTCTCCAGAGGGCCAAAAGAGGCACTCAGAGAAAATGCCTTCTGAAGGGGCCCCAGTAAGTCAAACGTAGATTGGAGTGTGGCAGCCTAGCCAGGAGCAGGCACCATGCCCACACTGTGCTAAACACAGATGCTGTATGGGGCCTGAGACCCTAACTTACAATAGTGGGGAAGAGTCAGGAACAACTTCCCTTGGCTCTGCCTGTCTTCACCCTAGATTAGAAGTCACCACCTGCCTTATGACTTGGCTCTAACACTCACATAACAGCTTAAGAAATCAAAAACTTAAAACTATTTCTTAAAAGCAATTAATGTGAGACTTAGGCAATTTTTTTCTTGGGTCTACATAAAGCTTAGCTTTGCTAAAAGTGGTTTGTTTGTTTTGCAGGGATAACAAAAATAAAAAATATAATTAGTGTTTCATGAGTCACCCAGCTGACATGCACCTCTTCCTTTTAAAAGCAAGCTATTGAGACACCTTCACCATTCAACACCTTCCCTTTCCCTGCTGCCTCCCTTTTCCCCTCCGAATTCAAGGTTCTCCTAGACTTGCAGAAACTTTGTGTGATATGTTCAACGTTTACATCACCTTCCTAAAACATGTGTTTTCTAGATTCTTCTTGGACATCAGCTGACTTAACCATTGAGGAAATAAATGAACATCTATTGAGCACCTGTTATGTGCTGATGCTTGCTCACTACTTGTTTCATTTGGCTTTACTGGATTCTTATGACAATTCTTTAAAATGTGTGTAATCATTAATATTACCTTCATTGCAGAACTAAGAAAACTGACTCAGAATGAGTAAGTAACTTGTCTGCGTTTACAAAGCTAATAACTCTACTAGGTGTAGTCAGGATTTAAAAGCCACACTGGGACTCAAAGTCCTGGGTTCTGATTCTGAATCTGTGACTCATGAATGTGACCGTGTGGATCACTTACCTGTCAGAGCTTTAGTTTTCTCATTCCTGAAATGAAGGCAGAGGACTAGATGATATCCAAGTTTCTTCCTAATTTTATGATATTTTCTGTGGCAATTGTATTATACAAAAAGGACAGAAGAGACCACTTATTTTACCATCTATATTTCTTTTCCTGCTCTCTGTGGACAACACTTCAAGGAATGAGTTTACCAACTGAAAAAAGATCAGTGAGCCAAAAGTGTCCTGCTCAACCAAATGTTCCATTAAGCCATGATTTCTCTGGGCAGGACTCATATCCGGCTCTTTGTTCTGTGAAATACTGATACATCTGGCAATCAACCTGTGTTATTACAGTTACTGAGTGTCTAGTAAGCACAAAGAATTAGAAGCTGAAAGAGACCCTGTGCACATTAAAAACTTGAAAAGCAATGCCTTGAACTGCATCCACTTGCATTACTTTGAAATCCTCTTAATTTGGAGATAAAGGGACTTGCTTGCTATTCATAGCATGGGGGTGTCACTGTTTTTCTTTTGCCCTATTTGTCCACAGTGTCAAGTTCATATCAGGTACCTGGAGCTCGATAATTCAGGACCAGGGGCAAATAAACTTTGGATATGAAAGGACAGATGTCTATTTACTCCAGTGGTAACTCTGGTTTTAGTTAGACTAAAAGGGTTGAACTTGAGCTGGGTCTCAAAAGAGAGGTACAATTTGGAGATTGTCTCAGAAGGCGGGGTGTGTGTGTGTGTGTGTGTGTGTGTGTGTGTGTGTGTGTAAGAGGGGTAGCAAATCAAAACCCAGGTGGATCTTGACAAAGGCCTGATAGTTGCAGAAATGAGACTCTCATGAATGAAGGAAAATAAAATAGAATAGAGGACACAGAGGGTCTCATATGAGGAATGATGTTAAATTTATTGAAAGGCAGCGTAGTAAAGATTCTGGCCTTACGCTACTTGGATGAAATTCTGGCTCTGTCATGTATCCACTTTTGGCAAATCATTTAACCTCCAAACTTTAGTTTCCTTATCTATGGTAGCTACTTCACAGGGTTGTCATGAAGATTAAATAAGAAAATTCCCGTTAAGCCTTTCAGTACACAACACTCAGTAAATGTGCATTATTACTAGCGTGGGGTTAGGGATCACAAACGTGGCTTTAGGAAGGAGCTACTGAACACCAGAACATTTGAACATGGGAAGGATGTTTCCAGGGCACTGGCAGAATGCAATTGAATTCAGAGGGAAGCAGGAGAATTGTTTGGAGGTCATTGCAATGATCTTGGTAGGAGGTAATTGGGTCATCCCTTAGAATGATGTTAATGAGAATAAAAGGAAAGGGCAAATGTGATAGACATTTCAGTGTTTAAACATTTAGTGAATAAAAAGGACACAAGAGAGAAATGAACCCAAAATGACTTCTAGTTGTTGGACTTCACCTACTAAAATAAGGGCATCATTGAATAAGTGGAGGAACTGGTTTCAGAGGAAAAGCTAATCTGAGGTTTATTTCCTAATGTTGAGGGTATGGAGGGCCACCCCAGTGGATCTTTCCAGGTGACCGTCAGAATTATTGATCCACTAAAGAGAATGGACTGCGTTTACTCTTTGAAGTTTCCTTATCTCCATTTGTGTACTACTTACATTTTCCCCATCTCATACCTACTGTAGCATTGTTGATTTAATTTTTACTTTAATTCAACTTAAACTGATTTGTTTGCCTTCATCTAAGCAATAATATCTGTAAAATCTCGGGCTTTATATGCTAGTTATATTTTGTCTCAGACACATTAAAATAAAATCATGACCGTTAAAATACGAATATTCATTCGTATACCTCCTAAAATCATTCCCAGTACTATCACTGTTATACATACATTTTGTGAGACAGGAATAAAAATAAAAATTGGAGCCATATAGAGCACTTATTTTCTCATGGAAATAGAATTCTGGAAAGATTAGGAAGCTAAAGTGAGAGAGAAAAAGTGGCCTGAGAATTACAAAGAAAGAAAGAAACAAGAACCAGGATGAAACAACGTCATGCACAAAGGTTGGGGGCAGAATAAGATGGAATGTTGTGAGAAAGTTTCAAAGAAAGGGTGGTAAAAATGCCATTATGTAGAAGAATGAATTTTGAAAAAGCCATGGTATCTAGAATTAGATAACCAAGGTGTGGGTGGGGTCAGATTCGGGATATATTTTGAAAGTAAGCCCACATGCATGATTTACTGATGAATTCAATGTGGGGCATAAGCAAGAGAGAAGAGACAAGAATACCCCTGCATTTTGGGCCTGAGCAATGAAAATATTTTAGCTGTGATTAACTGAGATATGGACGATTATAGATGATCCAAGTTTGGGGGATGGTGGGAGATCAAGAATTCCATTTTGGACAAGACAAGTTTGAGTTGTATATTAGTGTTCCCAGAGAGGATTCAGAGAAGACAGTAGAATAAATGGGTCTGGAATTCAAGGCTCAGGATCAACCAAGAGATACAATTTGGGAACCATGAAAATATAGATTATAACTAAACTCACAATACTACATGTTTTTATTGTATCAGAATAAACTTGTTTATGCTATGGCAACGAATCCACCTCAAATCTTAATGGCCTATAATTTCAAAATCATTCTTTCTTGTTTATACTGTATGTCCACCTGGTTTGACTAGAGCTCTGCCCCACTTTCCTCACTCCAGGACTCAGGCAGATAAAACAAGGAGAGGGAAGAGAACTTGGGAGGGTTTGCTTTGGCAATGAAATTCTAGTTCAGGAGAGACATGTGTCACTTTCGCTCACGAACCATTGACAAAACTAGCCACATGGCCCTAGCCAAGTATAGGAGGTGTCAGGAGATACAGGAAACATGACCAATCATGCACTTGGAAGCCAGAGAGGGAGATACATTTGGAGTACTTGGCAGTAATAGTCAACACGGTCATCAAGGGAGAAGGCAGGTGGCCAAAGGGTAGTCTTGGGGCACTTCCACATTCAGAGCTTGAGGAAGTGAGAAGGAGGCAGCTGAGACGGAAGCAAAATGAGAATTTAGTTCCCTGCAAGTCAAGTGAAGTTTTTGTCACTTGGATTGAGAAATTTAAGAGAATGAAAAGGATTGGTAGAGGTGAGTAAAGTCATCAAACCCCACAGAATGAAATAAAGCAGAAAGAAGAGAGAAAGGAGCTCAGGAGTTAGATGAAGAATAAGGTGTATTCAGTACCTTACACCAAATCAAAACATCTGGGAGGCCATGAACACAGGGATTAAGAGCTCCAGCTTTCCAGGGACAAGGGCCCAGGTTGCAGCCCCAGCTGTTACCTTGTATTATCTTTGACACATCCCCTAACCTCAGCTTCCTCATCTGAAAATGGGTCTGCTGTGAAGATGAATGTCGGAAGCGTTCAAATGGTAGCTGGCATCACCATGCCTGTTGAAGCATGAATTGCTACAGCCGCTTTGGAAAGCTGTGTGACAGCATTGGTGAAAGCTGAAGATATGAGTTACCTATGAACCAGTAACTACCACCCTATGTAGCTACCCAACAGACCTGTGAACATATTTCACCAAAAGGCATGTTCTAGAATGTTAATGGCAGCACTACTTATAAGAATTGCACACAGGAAACAAGTCACATGCCAACAGCAGCCCTCATAAAGGAACTGTAGTACAGCCATGCAGTGAGACTGCTCGGCAGTGGGAGTGAATGATGTAACACACAACAGCGTGCATAGACCTCACCATGTCATGCTGAGTGAGAGAGGACACACATTTAAAGAGCACATTCTGTTTGATTCCATTCACGTAAAGGACAAAAACAGTCCAAACCGAATCGTTCTAATAGAAGTTAGGATAGTTGTTATCCTTGGGAAGAGAAGGGCCAGTTCCTGGAAAGGGAAATAGGTGGACTTGTGAGGCGCTAATAAATGGGTGTATTCAATTTGGAAAAATTGATTGAGCCACATAGTATACTTATGGTGTGTGCATTCCTTTTTAAAAAGATAAAATTCTTTGAAGAAAAAAAAGAATCAGATGTGTTTTAGCCTCTAAGTAAAGCAAAGTCACTTTACTTTGTTTGTGGAGACACCTGATTCCACTTGTTTTTTAATTACCAGTTGCTGCCTCCCCTGCCAAAATGGCTGATTCCAGCCACAAGAGTAAATATTTGCATAAATAGGATGCATATAATTTTGGTGTGATTGGCAGTTTAATTAGATACATGTCCTCTCACTGCCATTGTAATTAGATTGGTGGAGAATCCAGAAATTCCAGGTCGTTATATTTGTCTCTTAATTGCTGGATTTTTGGACAAGTATTTATTGTACTTATGAACATGATTCGTGGTCTTGGCATGGGGGAAGCCACACTTTCACTGCAGAACGAAGCTAATCTCATTATGTTAACCAGGAAATTCACATGCTAAACAAAGAAGTAAAATAGGGAAAAACTGCCCCCTAAACTCCTTGTCTTTTCTACTGAGTGTCAGTCAGTGGCAAAATAGGGCTCCTGGAACATTAAAACAAGCCTTGAATTTAAGCGCGCCAGGAAAAAGCAAGTGGAAGTCCTTGCCAATTTTACAAGGCAATCTCCATTTCCCTATTGCTTGCTTTTTTTCCTTGTTTTACTGCAGCTAGTTTAACGTGATACTGTAACTCTACCAGGAATGAACACAAACCAGATTCAATGCTCATCCAACAAGAGTGAATGTAGATGCAGATGAAATATTGAGGGGCCATGTGGTTTATGCCCCTGTCTCTAGGCAGGATTTCTTGAACATCACCACTCAGGAAGCCAGTCACCTGAATCCGATGGCAGTATCATGACAAGGGTTTGCTCTCTTCCTTTGCTCATCCTGACCTTTCTGGATTCAGCCTAGATGATCTCAACTAGTTAATTTTAATTTTGCATACACAGGAATTAGGCAATGTCTTTTTTTTCAAAACAATTATTTTTTTCTTAGATATTTTTACTTAATTTAGAGTAAGTAATTAGAATCTCATTTTCTCCTAGAATGAACTAGAAGATGTTTGGGTATATGTATGTGTGTTTTTGAAATTTCTATGCAGATTTCAACTCAAACCTACACACTTTAAAAATACATGGTTTTTAGATATTAGTCACAATATATTGCTTCCAATGCAAAAGCAAAATATAGTAAGCCTTACATACTAAATTAGATCATCTTTTAGAGAAGACAACATGTGGATAAAGTTTTATAACTAATTCTTAGCTATTATCCATTCCAAGTTCTTAGCTATTATCCATTCCATCCTTACTTAATTCTGATCTGATCTTAGATTGCTAGAATGCTCCTTTCTAAATTGTCCTTAATACTGACTCAGAGACAGAGGCAAGCAACTTCACTCATTGAATATTTACTGAGTGCTTCCTATACATCAAGCACTATTCTTAGTACTAGAGATGGGGAAATGAATAAGAAACTGTCTTATCTTAAAGGGGCTCAAATTTAGACAAAAGGACAAACATATAACAACAGAATGTTAGGGAATAAAAATATATGTAGAAATTATAAATGAAGTACAGAGGAGGGGGGATTAACTTTAAGGGTAGAGGGATTCAAGGAAATGCTTGCTAAAGAAGGAATGTCTGAATGTGTTTTTTAAGGGTGAAGAGGAATTTTCCTAGTGGGCTTCTAGACAGTAAGGATGCAATGACCATAGGCACAAATACTTGAAACAGCCTAGCACATTCTGGGAACTGGATGTAGTGGTTTGATAGATAGATAGAGGTAAAATAAATATACCTTGGCAGAAATCGTGACCTTATTCTCTTGGTGAGGGGACAAATATGAAGGTTTCTACATTGGTCGTGTGATTGGCTCACTCTGGCAGCGGTGTGGACGAAGGACTGAAGAGTGTGCCTGGAGGCAGAAATGCTACTCCTTCAGATGAGGAAGAATAATTGAAAGGTTTTTACGTTAGTTTAAGATAGCCATGATGAGAATTTGGACAAAAATGTGAAGATGTTTGGAAATGAGAGAACAATTTGAGAGATGCCTAGAAGAAGGACCAGCAATATTGGTGAAGAGATAGGCTTAGTTTAACAATCTGTCTTCTAGCTCACTTCACAATCTTCGCAGCATTTCGCTGGCTCCTCTTCTTCTGTGATTCCCAATCACACAGCAATGCTACCCAGAAAGTGAAAGCTCCCAGCCCACTCTCTTCAAACCTAGAAGGTTTCTCAGGCTTTTGTTAGAAGGCGAGTAGAACAACCTGGAATCTTTCTCTCCATATGCTCTCTGAGCTTTGGCTGGCAGCTGCTAACTAGGTGTAGCATCATTTAAATAATTTTTCTTAAGAACATCTTGAGCTTATGATCTGATTTACTTTACAGAATACCATTTATACACCTAAAGACATTAGAATAGAATCTCTACAAAACATATTTTTATAAAACAGGAAACAGAGCATTTCATGAACAGATATTAATGGGCTTATTTATATTTCAATCACAAAAGAAATACTCCTGAAAAATCCATTTTAGGTCTAGCAGTTAGGACTCTTCGAGTTGCAAATAACAGAATAGCTCACTCAAACTGGATTAGGCCCCCAAGGGAATTTATTAGCCTGTGTAGCAAAGATAGAGGCATGGCTTCCTCTGTGCAAATAGTGTCATCAGATGCAGTCTCTGCTTCCTGGCTCTCTCTTTCATGCTGGCTTCATTCTTACCTTCCATCCATTGGTCACAAGATAGCCAAAAGTCACATACCTGGTTTAATTCCCAAGATAAGAAAAGAGTCAAGCAGATTTGATAGTCTGGAGAAAATAGAGGAGATTCCCCAGACAACATGGAGTGTGGACAAGCTGTTTCCTAAAAGAAATTCTCAGTACTGGTACCAGAAGGAAAAATGAATGACAAGCAGGTAAAGACAAGAAATATCTACTCTACTAGAAAGTTCAAAAATTCTGAGAGAAGCATGAGATTCTATGTTTACTGAGTCTGCCGCTTCATTTGTAATTTACTCAGCAGTTAGCTCAATGATGGGTGCATGACACCCATGCTCATTAAATATTTGTTGAATGAATGAATAAAAAATGAATGAGTGAATACAACATGCGCTTCATGTCAGAACTGCCACCCGATTTCCTGAATCTGAGAGATGTAATTGCATGCAAGACTCACGGCTCTGTGCCCGTCCCTCATATGTCCCACAGCACTACCATAGAACAATTACACGTGCCTTGGTTGTCTGTTTACCCATCTGAATCTCCTCTCCTAGACTAGAAACCCTAGGAGGGCAGGGGCTGTACTATTCCTCTTTGACCTAGCATAGCAATGGCACAGTCTGTCCTTAGTAATTATCTGTTGCATACCTAAACACATGAATAAATAAATAAATAATCAATTGTAAGATGGCTCGCTTGAGTTTTCAAAAGACAACAGTTTCTCTCCCACCTCATTGCCTGCACTCAATCAATATAGCCTATAACAGTGATTTCCAAACCTGCTGGCACTTTACAGTCACCTGAGGGTCTTTAAAAAGAATATCTAAAGCCCAGGACACACCCCAGACCAATTAAATCACAATATTTGGGGGAGCAGGCACAGGCATTACTAATTTTTGAAGCTCTGCAGGTGACCCCATGTACAGACAAGTTTGGGAAGCACCACTCTATAGGCTTATCAGAAACTGAGTGAAGTAGAAAGGATATTATGATTGCCTTTACTGGCAGGCATCATGGGTAGTGGTAGGGGCTTGTGATTCTGCATTTTCAGGAAGCTCCCGGGTGTTGCTGCTGCTGCTGGTGCTGTTGGTGTGTCAGTGGTCCTCAAGGTGCGTCCTGGGACTGGCATCATCAGGGAGCTTGTTTTAAATGCACATTCTCAGTTACCCCTCCAGATTTACTGAATCAGAAGCTCTGGCCATGAAGCTGAGCAATCTGTGTTTTAATAAATCTCCAATGTGATTCTGATGTAAGCTCAATTTTTTACTCTACAAAAATTTTCCTTACAAAAAGTAGGCAGGCATGTTGGTGCATGCCTGTACTTCCAGCTACTTGGGAGGCTGAGGCGGGAGGGTCACTTGAGCCTAGGAAGTCAAGGCTGCAGTGAGCCCTGATCATGCCACTGCACTCCAGCCTGGGCAACGGAGTGAGTTCCTGTCTTTGTTCTGTCTCAGAACCACCTGATGGGCTTGTTGAAAATGCAGACCAACTGAATCAGAATCTACGGTAACTGAGTGCATGTGTGTCTGGGGGTGAATGTGAGGAAAATATCTATATTTTTCTGAAAAAAACACTCCAGGTCATATTGCTGGGCAGCTAGGTTTAAGAAGCATTATTCTTGAATGTCCCTCAGAGTCATCCAGGTTGAAATCAATCATTGCAAAATGTTCCATTTATAGCCAGCTGTCCAGTGAGCATTTTGATTAACTGAGAGAACTTCATTTTTTTCCTCCCTCCCCCACTGCTTACATCCCCAACCAACTGGGTCATTCTGGACTTCAGATAACACTTGCCATTAACAGAATGTCATTGAGCTGAATTTCATTATGTCCTGACACATTTGCCCTGCAAGTCTGTGATGTTCTGTGGCTCATCTTTATGCTAAATTAGTGCTCATTCACCTGAGCTATTGATAGCTTGACGTTTTGCATTATCTTTTTCCTTTACCATCTTGAATAACCCCCCTCCTATATGTACCTGAGCTCCATGGGTTTGCAGGTAAGGTCACATTATACTTAGGATAGTTCGCTTACAAGGCATCCAGTTGTGGCACATCATAATGAAGGCAGAGACAACATCAGAAAGATAAAGATTAAAAAGTTTGATAATACTCAGTGTTGGTAAGGTTATAGGGAAACTGGCATTCTTATGTACCACCAGAAGTCTAAATTGGCACAGCTTATTTGGAGGGCAACTGGATGATATCAATCCAATTTTTTTTTTATATCACATACTATTTGGTTCAGCAATGTTATTTCTGGGAGTTTGTCCTGCAGAAGTACTTATATAATGCACAACAATGTATGGAGAAGAATGTTCATTGCTGAATTATTGATATTGATAATGGCACAAAACTGGAAGCTGCTATAGTATTTATCATTAGCAGAGTGTTTAGAAAGATTGTGGTGTATTTGTGTAATGGAATATGTTAACTAAGAGAAGTAGCTATACAAGTACTGGGGTTGAAAGGCTAGGCCCAGCGTGCCAGAATGCAGCCTCTCCAACAAGGCTGAGTTTTTTATGGCAGCTCAACGCTCCCAGAGAGACTGTTGGGTGAACAAGGTATATGCTTCATGGTCTTTTATGACTTAGATTTGGAAGACACAGCATCACTTCTACACTACTCCATGGGTTGAAGCAGTGTAAGCCTACTTAGATTCAAGGGGAGGGAAATAAACTCTGCATTTCAGAGGCAGAAGTGTCAAGAATTTGTGTCCATGTTTTATACCTGTGACACAGTCCTTACCTCTGGGGAGTAGGAGGTGGAGAAAGAAGATTTTTCTTTTCATTTTATACCTTTCTATATTATTTGATTTATTTAAAAATTGTCTGCATTGGTTTCAAGATTACAAGAGAGATAAAATAAGGAGAAAATAACTGGAGGAAAACAGAGGCCAGGGGTAGATCTGCAAGTGGAAGAACAGGTAGAAACAAGGAAGAAAGGCAGATAGACCTGGCAGGGGGTGGTATAGGAGATAGATATGGGATTGATAAATGTGGAGGGTGGTAGCAATTTGGTTTTGTGTTCACGCTGGGAACACATGGAATAGCCTTCTACCACAGCCCCCCATTGTCTATCTATCCTGCCCTTGGAAATGCTGCTCATCCTTTAAGAAATAACTTGAATGCCATCTCCTCCGTGCAATCTGCTCAGTCATAGCCTGAGCAGTCCCACCCTACTCTGTATTTTCATTGCATTTGTGTGAGTAGACCTGCACAGAGCTTATGCCAGCTTGGCTCTTTCAGTTATCTGAGTGTTCTTCTCTCCCTCTCCAGAAACTTTCCTCAATGGCTTACATAATGTTTTGTCAAGTTCCTACATTTTCACAGTGCCTAGCACTATGTCTTACAGTGGGCAGTGGTATTTTGTAAAATATTTTTAAATTAAAAATTTCTTATTTAACAAACATTTATACAGTATTTAGTACCTGCTGGGTAATGTCCTCAAATATTGGCTCAATTGCTCTCTCATAACAACCCCCTATAAGACAGGTACTATCATAGCCCTATTTTACAGAGGACAAAATTCATGCATAGAGAGGTCGAGAAACAAGGTCATAAACCTAGTAAATGGTAGAGCTTAGAGTCAATCCCAAATACTTGGCTCTAGTCCACTTAATCACTGCTCTTTCCTTCATCAGGACATAATGAAGGATATTTCTAAATTTTCACATCTGAGAGTCAAGAAGAATGTTTCATTATATTTTGTAAAATATACCAGCAACCAATCAGAATTGAAATTCCACGTAGAAACCACTCTCTGGATGGACATGCTGTAAAATAAGTAGAATGGCATTTGGGCTACTTGATGAGAGCTTTAGTATTTAACTTTCTCTTTCTCTTCATTGACCCCAACCTAGACTAGACAAGGCCTCCCAGGCAGTGCAGAAAGATCCCAGAACATGATCAATGCCTAAGAAGGTCTACAGAGGGAACGTTAGAGAAATATCGGAAGAAACCACTAAAAGAAGGGAACAGAGGTTCAGGAAAGGGCTGGGATGTGGGTAGGAAGTAACTTGAAAAAAAATATTCATAGGTATTGTATGAAGCAGTCTTGTGGTTGAAAACTCCAAAATAAAGAGGTCACACATTTATTTTTACCAACCTACCTTCCCAATGATTGCAGAGATACTACTATACAAAGAAAGAGAAGTAATCAATTTCCATGTTTGTTATCATGGCTGGTATTAAAATAGAGCAGGGACCTTGGACAAAGTACTATTTGACAAAGTGTTACAAAGTTGGAAGGAAATAGGGGAGTCAGATAGTTTCATCAGGCCTATTTCCACTTTATTCAGAAGGGGGTTTAATTTAGAGGTAGGGATTGACATGAAGGTTAAGTCAAACACAGAAGTGCTTTGTATCAAGTTTTAGTTCCACTTTGCTTTGAGGTAGCACAGATAGACAGTGAAAATACAGGAGTGTCGAGTATTAGTCCTCTTGCTTGCTTATTGCTTTTTATCATCTGAACAACTTGGTGCTAATTTCTAACATTCAACATTTATGGACTTCCAGGAACTCATAAATGTCACATCAGGCTGCCTCTTGGTGAATTTTTAATCAACGGGGAGAATTTCAGCTACAAATAGACCAAGAATCAAGAGGCCCACTATTGATCGGTCAAAGTGGCACTTATGAACCTGAGGTTGAAGCAGTTTGGATAAAAGGATTCTGGGCTTTCGATGGCCCCAGAGACATCTTTTTCCATCAAGTCCAGGTTAGTATCAGATATCCCCTCCAAGTTATTGAATAGTAGCAAATAATATGAGGTCTCCTAAAAGCCCATACGAATAGATATAAATTGAGAAGAAAAGCCAAATGTCTGGCTCAAGCCAAATATCATCTCGGCCAGATATCCTCTGGATGTTACACTCCAATCCCCAAGCAAATGGTCCCATTTTTCCTTCCGTAGGGCAGAATGTCTCCTTGGGTAGTGGGTCAAGGCCCAGATGCCCTGGCTATTCTGTGCCAGACAGGGGCTGACCTCTAAGTCTGAGCCCTTGAATCGTCCCTGCAGAGATACAGAGCGGTGCTTGTTATGTCAGGGATCACTCAGCCCAGTGAATGATGTCTCTCACTAATGCCAAGCCATGAATCATTGGTCTGTGGTACTGTAAAATTAACATGCACCACTATAAATAACCCATCTGTAATGGGCTGTCATTGATGGCTTTTTGGAAAGGTTTGACTCAGGAGTAAGGGTTTTAATGACTGTAATTGAAATTAGATGAAAAGCATCAGTATTGTGCTTTTATCCTGACCCATGCGAGGACAAATTCCATCATATGTCAAAACAATTATGCTGTGTCAAACCTGAGGGACAGGATGCCGTAGCACTTCTCCTCAGCACCTTGGACTGCTGTCTCCTGAGATGTCACCTGGTGAGTGACACGGCACATGCAAGTCACTCCTCGGTGCTGTTTCTTCACAAAGGGCTCTGCTGTAATGGAGACGGGCATTGCTGGAAAAGCAACCCCACCCCACCTCCCAGATGAGAGCTATTATCAGCAGGAAGGGCCATTATTATTAATAA
This sequence comes from Homo sapiens, assembly GCF_000001405.40. Classification (NCBI taxonomy): domain Eukaryota; kingdom Metazoa; phylum Chordata; class Mammalia; order Primates; family Hominidae; genus Homo; species Homo sapiens. The sequence continues at coordinate 127,036,493 of NC_000011.10, forward strand.
CAAGGACAGTCCTTTGTATAGAGGAATATGGTTTACAAAGCTCTTTCACTTCCATGATCGCATTTAATCTTTACCAAGGTCCCAGAGGTAGGTCAGATGCTACTGCTATTATCATCCTCAGATGTATGAAGGGATGGAGGCCCAGAGAGCTAGGTGACTTGCCCAAGGTCACACAGCTAGTGAGTAATGAAGTAGGAACCAGGAACCTCTGATCTGAAGCGTTTCTACAACCTAGTGCCCCCTAATGATGGCCTGGTGGTTGGTGTTGAATGTCTTTCTCCTCCGGTCCCACCAGCGTGCTTCTGGCTTCTGTAAAACACTGGATCCTAAGTGATTCTGGGAGACCCTTCTTCTTGATCATTAACAGGAAAATCAAATCAGCTGAGGGAAAAAGTAAACATAGCATATTTTTCACTGACTTGCTCTATGCTAAACAGCTTTTTCTAGTACAATTTGAGCCATGAGTGGAGGTTTCAAGCAAGTCAGTGAAGAGTTTTTGAAACAGGCTGGAGTGCTTCAGTCCTTTCTTTTCATTTTACTTCTGGTGTAATAGAGCTCTTCAAGAGTTTCATTTCAGGGGATGCTGAGTATTAGGAGAGGGCTGAACTGTCACAAGGAAAAGTCCCAGGATCAGGGAGCAAGGCCCTCAGGGACACTCCTTCAAAGCCCAGCCCCCTCCACTTTCCCTAAAATCAGAGGCAGCTCTACTCAGGGGTTTTCCAGCCTCCTGCCTGTGTCACAGGAAGGCTGGTGCTGAAGTCACTGCCAGGCCCTTCAGCCCTGTGGTGGCTGTTCCTGGCCTTGGTCTCAGGAGACAGACAACCTTAGAAGCAGGAGAAACCATATGCTTCAGCCATTATCTTCTGAACCTCTGGGCCCCAGACAATTAATCGGAGGAGCTGAGCCCACGTCTGTCTCCAGCCCTAACATCTCCCCAACACAGCCTGTGCCACACCGGTGGAGGTTTGCAAATGAACACGCAGCATACCTTTGTTCATACAGCATGTCACCATTCCCCACCTGGAGACAGCTCTGTAATCCTCCTGTGCAAAAACAACAAGTCCCATGTAGGATTGCGTGCATGGTCTAATTACACGTAACAAAACATCTCGTCTCAGGAGACAAGGAGTGCTTGGTAGTAAATTAAGAGATGCAAAAGCCACTGCGAGCCATGCTGATTAATCCAGCTCTCTAGCAATGGGGAAGGATCCTTGAGAAATGGGTTTGCAGTTGGATGATAATTATATGCCCACTATGGGGGCTTTTCATGTACACTAGCTTTTGTGTGAAGGGGAGGGAATGTGACTGTGATGGAGACTGCAGAGCTGATTCATTCAGTGCTGTGTTGACAGAATGGAAATTGCTCCAGAAAACACTGATACTTATTAAATGGGTAAAACACCAGGGAGCCCACCTGCACTGGCTCGAGATGCCTCACACTCCCGTTTCAGATGGGAGTGCATCTGTGCACACTGAAACCTTTATCCAACTTTGCCCATAAGAATTGTGGATTTATTTGTCTTGCCTTACCCCTTTCAGCACCAAGCTCACAGAGCCACTCTGAGCTCCAGTCCACGGGGACCTCATTGATTAAAGGGAAGACAGAACAAACACTTTAGAAAAACAGAGAAAAACATGCTTACAACTAACGAAAACTATAAAAATAGATGGTGTGTGTCAGGTAGGGGCTGGGGGGAGGGGTACATGCATGGGCACATGCATAATGCTTTCTGGTTAATACCCAGTCCTAAGCTTTTAAACAAGATGTGTATTTGTAATTTTGGCTTTGCCACTTCCTAGCAGCCATCTGACTCTCTGGGCTTTAGCTTTCTAATCTGCAATATGGGATTAGCAATTATTTCTGCCCTTCCTACCTTGGGGGTTGTTGTGGAGATCAAGTAGGAAAAGTGATGTGAAAATGCCTTCCAAATGGAAAGCACTGTACAAATGTCACTTTCCCTGATATTAGCACAATGTCTAGCACATAGCAAGTGTCTAATAAATATGCTAGTTGATGGATTGATAGACAGATGCTAAGGGGTGAGAATGGAGTTATTTGAAACATTTGGAAAATTCGAGGGATATTTACTATAAATCATGGATTTTTAGCAGAATTTTTAAATGGGAAGGAGGGGTGGAGCCTTGCTAGGAAGAGCAGAGAAATACTCCTGACTGTAGAGATGAGAAGATCTAAGTGAGAAGAGCATATTTCATTGGCTAGAATCTGAGTAGAGAAGAAGTTGGAGGAAATTAGGTAAAGGGTGGAGAAAAGGATAATTAATGGAAGGCTGAGAGATCAGAGGGTAGATGCTGGGGTAGAGCCTGCCCTTGAGAAAACAGCTGATTGCATGGAGATCTATGCAAAGATGGGCATCTATGCAAAAAATATGGGCATCCATGCAAAAAGATGAGCATACATGCGAAGGTGGGCATCCATGCTAAAAGATGGGTATCCATGCAAAGATGAGCACCCATGCAACAAGATGGGCATCCATGAAAAAAGATGGGTATCCATGCAAAGATGGGTATCCAGGCAAAGATAGACATCCAGGCAAATGTAGGCATCCATGCAAAGATGGGCATCCATGCAAGGCAAGAGAAAGGCAGGTTGGAGTTGGGGAACAGAATAGACAGAATGAAGACATGTAAAGCTCAGGGACAGAATCTTGAATTCTATTGCTTCCAAAACCTTTTGTGGTGGTGACAATTGGGGATTGGTAGATAGGGGATTGGATGGGAATAGACAGGATGGTCAAGAAACTTGATCTCTGACATTGCCCAATAAAGTGCTTATTGGAGGGTCCCATCCCAGTAAATCATTCCAGTATCTTAGGGAATGAAGTAGTTCAAGGATCTTAGTCTACAGCAATAAAATCCCCAAGGAGCTGAAAACAGCCTGTGAACTTTCCAGGGGAGGTGCATCCCCCACACCCCATAACCCCTGCTTTTAATGCATACTTTTCTACAGAGTCTGTAATTCATAAGGATAAGAGAGAAAATACATTTTCACTACAATAGAGAGAACTTCTGTGAGAATGGAACCGTGTTTTGAATGTTTTAATATATAGAAATTGACACCCGTCTGCTTCCTGTTGAAAAACCCTCTCTCTGGAATAGCATAACAATGCTTTCTCCTCTATATTTTCCTTGCATGCTGCCACGAACTGCTGTTGTGAAGCAAATCCTTCTGTTGCAATCTTTTATTTTTACCTCCCCCTACCACTTTGTAAATCTCTTTCTTTCTCTAAAATATTAAAGTGTGGCAAAAGCTGCTAAGTGACTAAGAAATGGACCCTTCTGAGTCAACAGATCTGCCCCCCTATATATCTTTGAGTCATAGCTGCTAACATTTCTTGACACAATCCGGTTTTTCTTTTGATTTTTTTTTTTCTCTCCTGGTAGCAAGGCTTACAAAAATTTCAAAGTGTTTGGGGATGGGAGGTTTCAGGCCACCCTTACCATCATCAAGAGCTCCTGACAAGTAGCACAAGAATATGAAATAATATGTTAATTTCTTGGCGCAGCTCAGATACCCCTTTCCTCCTACTGACAAATCATTTTGGGGGGCTATAAACGCTGCTCTTAGTGTGCCTCCAAGAGTTCCAAATAGCCATTTCCATGTGGTGACCACCCACTCCCTGCATGTTCACATCATGGTACAGAGAAGACAGTGGAAATTCAAATCTGCATCCTATACTTACTAGCTAAGATCTTTGAACAAGTCACTTTACCTCTCTGAACCTCAATTCTTCATCTGTGAGATGGAATACAAATATAGAAACAGGAGGACCGTTGTGAGATAAAGTGTGATAATGTGTGTGTGCTTAATACCCAAGGGTCTCTCATTAGGTATGAATTCATTCATTTTTCTCCTTTTTCATTTAAAGGCTCTCTCTCTCTCTCATTTTCTCTCTCTCTCCAAAGGCATATATCATCTTTGGATGGATGCATAAGAAATTGACAACAGTGGTTGCTTCTAGAAAGGCTGTAATCTGATATAGAAAGATGATTTTACCTTTCACTGTACAACTTTCATACTATTTGAAATCTTTGCCGTGATCATGTATTGCTTAAAAATATTAAGCAATGTATGTACATTTAGAAATTCTAAGTTCCAAACTCTTGGTCCTTTTTTATCGGTATCCTCTCTTCCTTTCAGTTTGGATGTTTCATATTGAACAGGCACAGAAAGAAAATCCCGCATGTGTTGGTTTCTGTTTTGACATGCCAAATATTCACTGTAGGACTTACCTTGTAGTGTAGAAGGCCTCCAAATTTAAGAAGTACTGGGAAATAGATGGACTTTAAGTAATAAAGGGTTGGACAACTGGATAACCATTTGGGAAAAGATAAAAATGGATTTATATCCTACACCCTCTCCCAAAATAAACTCCAAACAGATCAGAGAGTTAAATGTAAAAAAAAAAAAAAAAATGAAACCATGAATGTACTAAAGAAAACATGGTTGAATTACTTTATGAACTAGAAGAAAACATAGATGAATTACTTTATGTGTATGGAGAAAGCTTTGCTAACCCTGACTCAAAATCCAGATTTAATATATGAAAAGACAAATTTCATTGTATTAAAACCGAAAATTTTTGGCCGGGTGCGGTGGCTAACGCCTGTAATCCCAGCACTTTGGGAGGCCGAGGCAGGCGGATCACCTGAGGTCAGGAGTTTGAGCCCAGCCTGACCAACATGGTGAAACCTCATCTCTACTAAAAATACAAAAATTAGCCGGGCATGGTGGCACGTGCCTGTAATGCCAGCTGCTCACGAGGCTGAGGCAGGAGAATCGCTTGAACTCGGGAGGCGGAGGTTGTGGTGAGCCGAGATTGCGCCACTGCACTCCAGCCTGGGCAACAAAAGCAAAACTCCGTCTCAAAAAACAAGAAAACAAACAAACTCGCCCCGAATTTTTGCATGGCAAAAACATCACAAATTCAAAAGACAAGTAACTAAATTGGAAAGAGTATATGCAATAGACATTACAGAGAAAGGGCTAATATCCCCCTAATACATATAGAACATTTGAAAATCAAGAGATGAAAGTCCAAAAACTTGAAAGAAACATAAGCAAAATAAATAGCTGTTTCACAGAAAAATGTATGCAAATGGCTTTTAAACATACAAAAAATTACTCAAACTTACTTATAATAAGAGATATAAAAACAAAATTACACTTAAGATACTATTTTTTGCCTCTTAGATTGGCAGAATTCTAAAGGTTGACAACACACACTTTCAGTGAGTCTGTCAGGAAACAGATACACTCATAAATTGCTGGAGAGAGTGTAAAATGATTGGTTTCCAGGGAGGAGAATGTGGTATAGCTAGGAAAACTATGCATTTACCCTTTGACTTAGCACTTCTTCTTGTTGAGATTTACTGTGAGATACATTTCCACAAACATGAACCACTAGTGATAAGGTAATTTTTAGAGACGTTATTTATTGTAACAAAATGTTGGAATTGTTGTTGCCCTTCTGTAGTAGATAAGTTGCATATCTGTGGTACATCCATACAACCCAATGCACACAATGTAAAAAAGAATAAAGCATCTGTCTATGAACTGATAAGAAATGATTTCCAGGATATGTTGTTAAGGGCAAGAAGCAAGATGTTAACGAATGCATATAGTATGTTATCCTTTGTATAAGAAAAAAGAAAAAAACCCTCCAAATCCATGTACTTATTTGCTTATTTTTTCCAAAAAAAAATGTAGGATGCATGAAACAGAGTCTGATGAAAATGGTTGCCTATTTCGGGTGTGTGGGAAATGGGTGGCAGGGTTAGGGACGGTACTGAGTCTTTTTTGAATATACCTTTTAATATAACTTTGACATATAAATCATATAAATGTTTTATATACCGTATGTTAAAATGAAATTAAATCAAATCAGTAAGGGTGAATACAAAGCAAATCTTAAAGCTGAATATAAAATGAAACAAAGAAAGCCAACTATATATCAAATTGACAACCTAACTGTACAGAAAGTGAATAACTAATTCAAAAACTTTTGAATGCAGCATTCTGACTGTACATTCTTAGTGGGTGATAGTCTAAAAAAAAAGATCTGTAACAGCATCTTAAACGTATTTAGTCAGCTTGTTGTTGGTAGTTGTTTTGGTACAGTAATCCCCAAACTATTCTGAATATGTTGTAGGACTGAGCCAATGAGTTAAACATATTGATGGTGTTAGGAATCAGAGAGAAGGAGTATGCAGACATAGGATAGGGAAAGATGAGGAAGAATCCTGGATGTTTAATTCCAATGAGAAGAATCAGTCTAAACTCAGATGTGTCCATTGAAATGGCCTAGAAGCAACAAACTCCAGTGGCAATCAGTTCACTTAACACTCACACTTGGTTTCTTGTTTTTAATTGGCTTAAAACAACAATAAATATGTATTACCCTCATAGTCTATGTGTATCAAACATTTGGGAGTGGCATAGACGGACAGTTCTGGCCCAGGATCTTTTGCGATGTCATCTGAAGGCTGACCTGGAGCTGGCTGGATCTACTTCCAAGATGGCTCATCCCATGGCTGGCAAGATGATGCAGGTTGCTGCGCAGAGGCCAGTGTCTGCCCACATGCCCTTCTCCACAGGCTGCTTGAGTGCCCTCACAGCATGGCGGCTGGCATCCCCCAACTGAGTGAGCAATCCAAGAGAGGCTAAGGCTGACACTGGGATGTCTTTTATGACCTAGCCTCAGCAGTCCCACACTGTCACTTTCACAGTATTCTGTTGATCACACAGAACAGCCATGATTCAGCGAGACAGGACTACATGAGGGTATGAACAGCAGGCAGCAAGGATCGTTTAAGCTGAGAGCTAAAGGCTGAGTAAAGCAGCTAGTCGAGTGAAGAGAGTGAAAGAAGTACACTTCTTATAAGTTGTGGGACAGAACTTAGAAATAAGTTTATATGACTAGGGCGTAAAGATGAGGCCTGATGCATGGCAGTTCTTGCAAGTTTTGTTAAGAAGCTTAGTTTTTATAATAAAGCCAATAAAGCATCAAAGTGTTTATATTTTAGTAAGATCACTCCGGCTATTACATGGAGGGTGGACTGAAGGAACAAGGACAGGGAACAGGAATGGCAGTAAAGAAACCAGGAGACTATTGAGATGATCCTGACAAGAAATGGCAACTTGGACTACGGCAGTGGCAATAGAGGTGAGAAAACTGGGCAAGTGCTGAGAGACTTAGGAGACAAACATACATGACCCAATGTTTGGATATATGGATCACACATTAGAGAGGAATCAAGGCTGGCTCTGAGGTTTTTGACTTGTGCTTATGAAAGGAACAGCAGGTTTGGGGATTAAAAAAAGTGTATTTAGCATGTTGAGTTTGTAGTGCTTACACACATGGAAATGTCCAGTAAGCAGTGGGCATATGGGACCTGGGATCAGGACATATGCCTGGACATCAGAACTTATGGTTACCAGAATACCCAGATCTTAGTTCCTAAATACCATTCCCTGCTAAAAGAAACCAACACTTCTTGGAGACAGGGCTAATTACAGTTCTGCAGCCTGGAACATCTTCTTGTCCCAGAAAGCAAAGGAGAGCTGAAAGACAGATGGAGGCTTATCAAAAAAAGTCATGAGCTGGCTTGAAGGAGTCCTCGCTAGTTAAACTTGAGACAATGTGAGCATCAAAAAGAATAATGATGGTAATGGAGTATAACATAATAAACATAGAGTCCAACGGGATACTAAAAAATTAAAATTAAAGTTAGCATTTTAAAAAGTGGTACAATCCAAGTAAGATCTGTAGTCTAGTTCATCACTTTGTGCCAGAGTCAATTTCCTGGTTTTGATAACATAATATGGAAGGTGTTATTATCACTGGGGGAAGATAAGTTTGGGGTACGCTGGATCTCTCTGTAATATTTTTGCAACTTCTTGTGGGCTTAGTATTATTTCAAGATAAAAAGTTAACAAAAAAAAGTATATGTGTATGTGTATTGGTGGTATTCTTCATGGAAAAATTTCAGCCTTTACTTGTAGAAGTGATAGAATTAGAAGAGGTAGCATTTGCAGCAACCAATGGAATAATTGATTCAGACAAAGGTCATTAATGCATGAGTGAATGCTATTAGAGAATGGGATAGTCCCATCGTCTCACTCCCTGGATTATTCATTACCTACAGAGGGTAATGGAGCATCTATGGTGGAGAAATCTGGCTAACATCACCCTAACCAAGTAACAGAAGGAAATGACTGCCTCACTAGTTCCTGCTCCTGAACTTTTGACACCCATGTAGGATTGTTGTCAATATTGACACAAAATGGCATTGTGAACTTCCTGATGTGCTGGGATGAAAAATATGCAACACCACCTAGGTAGTATTTATGCCAAACATGTCTAATCTGAATTCAATAATGAAGAAACAAATGTAGAAATTTAGATTAGAGGACATTCTACCAGACAACTAGCCTGAACTCCAAAACTATCAGCCTTGAAAGATAAAATAAAGTGAAATAAAAAAATAAGTAACAGACCATTCTAGATTAAATAGACTAAGGAGACTAAAGACAATGACATGCAATAGATGATTTTTTTTACTGGATTCTGGATCAGAAAAAGAGTTATAAAGAACATTATTAAGACAATTAGAAAAATGTATATATAGACAGTATTTGAGGTAATACTATTGTAATAATATCTTGGGAAGTAAATATCTTGGTAATGCAAAAAACATCATGCTTGTGTAGGATAATACCCTAGTTCTTAGAAAATTTAAGATATCTGTAACTAATTTTCAAATGGTTTAGCAAAAATATTCAATTGAGGGAGACACACACACACACACACACACACACACACAAACAGATCAAAACGTTAGCAATGAAGGAGAAAGAAAAATGAGTTTTCACCGTATTTTCAACTTTCTGCAGGTTTTAAAATTTTCAAAATAAAAACTTGGGGAAAATATGATAAACTGGCATTAGTTTATAAATTATGTCATTATCCTGCATCTAAATTGGAATTCCTTCCCTTTCAGTTCATCCCTTTCCCCACATCTCAGCATCATATAGCAAGAGTTGCATGGGGCCTCATGGCCCAGTGGGGCCCAGGCTCGAACAAATTTGCGGAGAAGTTTTGCAGCCTGCTGCCACCTCTGGGCTCTGCTGCTGCACAAACAGGGACTATTCGTGGAAGCTGTTTGGCTCATCACTGAACCTAAGTGTCTGGGGAGCTTCAGGGCCTCAGTGGCCTAAGGCTTCATGAGCCCTTCTGCTTAGAGAGTTAATGCCTGAGACTAAAATCTGGGGTAACGGGACAGATTTCTGCTCAGCAGCAAAAGCTGCCCCAGCCTTCCTTATAAAATGGAGACTGCAAATAAAGTTCATTGTTTCCAGGAGAAAGGTGTACACCAACCACTGTTTTTTTTGAGACAAAGTCTCACTTTGTCACCCAGGCTGTAGTGCAGTGGGGCAATCTCAGTTCACTACAACCTGCGCCTCCCAGGTTCAAGCGATTCTCCTGCCTCAGCCTCCTGAGTAGCTGGGATTACAGGCGTGCGCCACCATGTCCAGCTAACTTTTGTATTTTTAGTAGAGACGTGGTTTCACCATGTTGGTCAGGCTGGTCTCGAGCTCCTGACCTCAAGCAATTCACTCACCTCGGCCTCCCAAAGTGCTGGGATTACAGGCATGAGCCACTGCTCCCGGCCCACCAACTGCTTTTGGATGGGTCCACTATTACTGTGGAATATTCACATAACCAGCCATGACCATCTAACCAGACAATAAACCAACCAATAAATGCATCTACTCATTCAACACATATGTGCTGGGTTGCTTGCTTTGTACTGTATATCGGAGCTGCAAAGATAAGACACAGTCCATTCTACTAAAGAATGGATTGGCCAGGCGTGGTGGCTCACGCCTCTAATCCCAGCACTTTGGGAGGCCAGGGCGGGCGGGTCACCTGAGGTCGGGAGTTTGAGACCAGCCTGACAAACATGGAGAAACCCCGTCTCTACCAAAAATACAAAATTAGCAGGACATGGTGGCGCATGCCTGTAATCACATCTACTCCGGAGGCTGAGGCAGGAGAATCCCTTGAACTTGGGAGGCGGAGGTTGCAGTGAGCCGAGATCGCGCCACTGCATTCCAGCCTGGGCAACAAGAGTGAAACTCCATCTCAAAAAAAAAAAAAAAAAAAGAGTGGATTGTGTATCTGGGGAACACAGACTACAGATTATTGCCACACAATAATTGGTAAATGCATGGTAGCAATTTTCATATTGTAGCACCGAGGTAGTGCACCTAACCTAAATTAGGAGGGGAAGGCATGAGAGAAAACTTCTTGGAGAGAAAGAATATTTTCTTTCACTTTTAAAACTATTTCCTTTTGTTCCCAAAGTTAAAAACAGATCAGGAACTAGGGCCCACAGTAGGAGAGGGGTGAAAAGTGGTTTTAAAAGTTTTATCAGGCTTCTTTCATTTTTTTTCCATCTCTGCAGTTGGGCTAGGGTGATCATCTCATCCTCATTTGCCTGGGACTTGCCTGGTTTTAGCATTGAAAGTCTTGAGTCCCAGAAAACCCTTAGTTCTGGCCAAACTGGGACCATGGGTCACCCTATGACCCTCCCACCTTACCACAGAAACTTTATGTTAATGAAGAATCGCATGTGTTGAAAGAATTGAATAACATGCTAGCTCTGAGAATTCTGAAGTGGATGAAGAGAAATGAGAAGGGTAAAAAAGCCAACCTCATTTCTTCATTTTCCACACAAATCAGATAGTGAGTAAGCGTGGTGCCTGGAGGGCTTGCTTCTCCTGCCCACTGTACCTTGTTGCTGCACTCCCTTTGTCCTGGAATGTTCTCCCCTTTTCATAAGTATATTCAAATCTTCCCCATCCAGGCCTAGCTGAAACCTTTCCCAACTGTTCTAGCTGAAAATTATCTCCTCCATCCCCTACCCTGTGAAATGTGGGTGCTTATTTTCAGTGTGCTCTTGTGGTACATGGCAACTCCTAGAGTTAGAAAGAGCCATAGAGAACTCGAAAGGAGTTCAGAAATTTATGGATTCATGCATGGCTTCATTCATTCTTTCATTTGTTCATAACTAGTTCTTAGAAAATTTAAGATATCTGTAACTAATTTTCAAATGGTTTAGCAAAAATATTCAACTGAGGGAGATAAATACACAAACACAGAGAGAAAGAGAGAACACAAACAGATCAAAACGTTAGCAATCAAAGGGAACGAAAGATGAGTTTTCACTATATTTTCAACTTTCCGCAGGTTTAAAAATTTTCAAAACAAAAACTTGGGTAAAATACAATGAACTGACATTAGTTCATCCATAAATTATGTCATTATCCAGCATCTAAACTGGAATTCCTTCCCTTTCAGCTCATCCCTTTCCCCACATCTCAGCATGATATAACAAGAGTTGCCTGGGGCCTCATGGCCCAATGGGGCCCAGGCCTCAAATAAATCTGCAGAGAAGTCTTGCAGCCTGTTGGCACCTGGGCACGGGAGATTCCAAGATGAATTGGGTCCTATCCTTGAGGAGACCATACATGTTAGGGAGGTTGTTGGATACATGAGCAGATACAACACATGGCAGAACGTGTTGGATGGAGGCTGAGCACCGGTGAGCAGTCGTTACTGGAGCAGATACTGAGAGCGGTAGATACTGTGCTATGTGCTAAAGGGGTAAAAAGACCTTTAAGATGTTACAATCAGTGTAGGGTGAGCAGCAGATCTGAAAACACATGATTTTAATACCATATGGTAAGTGCTACAGAAAACATAATCCTAAGGTCTCTGAGGATGCAAACAGGAATATTAAGCAAAGCAGAGGACTGAGTCAGGACCATGGGGATTGAGGATGTGGCATCTGAGCTGATTGGTAGGAGGTCTGCAAAAAAGATGATAAGGGCACAGGGAGGGATTGGCAGATTAGGGACATATTTAGCAGAGCAAATCAGTGGGGCTTCGTGACTGATTATAAGCACAGGGAAAATCTTGTGCCTTCTTGTGTTGTGTCTTCTGGGATATCTCGTACAGTATGCTGCACATGGTAGGTGTTTAGCATATTCCTATTGATTGAGTTAGCTGAGACATTAGGCAGAGTCTGAAAACTCCTCAGACTGAGAAATGGCATTTAAATTTTGTGTGCATCTGTGTGTGTGTACAAGAATTATAAAATGCAACAAATTTTAGGAAATGCTGTAATGCTGTTGTGGACTCTTCTTGGAAAGTGGTTATGGCATGAAGAAAAGCAAGAGAGCCCAGTAGAAGAAATATTTCTCTTTATGTCTTTGTCCTGTTTCTTCATTATCTGTAAGTCCCATCCTTATTCATTTAGAACTGATTAAGAAGTAAAATAAAATTAAAATATGTAAGTGTCCTATCTCCCCATCCCTTCTATCTCAACATATGCATGAGCTTGTGCACACACACAGACACACACACACACAGATTTTTTTTATTTTTTTGAGATGGAGTCTCACTCTGTAGCCCAAGCTGGAGTGCAGTGGCTCCATCTTGGCTCACTGAAACCTCTGTCTTCGGGCTCAAGCAATTCTCATGCCTCAGCCTCCCGAGTAGCTGGGACTACAGGCACACACCACAATGCCTGGCTAATTTTTTTATTTTAGTAGAGACAGGGTTTTACCATGTTGCTCAGGGTGGTCTCAAACTCCTGAGCTCAGGCTATCCTCCTGCCTTGGCCTCCTAAAGTGCTGAGATTACAGGTGTGAGCCACGGTGCCTGGCCACACACATAGATTTATTGTTTATTTTGTCTTCTGTGCTGAGTTAATATATTCCCTCTATAGTCAAAATATAAATTTATGTGGTTGGGAGTGGCATGGACCTTTACACATGGGCTTTAATAAACATGCATGGATGTCGACCTCCAGGGTCACATTATCATTTGTGTGGATTTGAAGAGGAGACACAGGACATTGCTGGATTCAGACGAACAGCTCCAATCTCCAATCTCTCACCCTTCTCCTTGAATTGCTAGGAGGGGTGGAAAGAGAGAGCACAGAGAAAAGTTCCCCTTCTGCCTTTGCATCTGTGCCAGAGACATCCCAAAGCACTTCTCAATCTGTTCTCTTCTGTGTGTGCCTCTCACACACCTGCCTGCTGGGTGCTGCTGCAGCGTCAGCAGCTCCAGGGGCTGGTCTGCTGCAGATGGACCTGGCACAGCAGCTCCGGTTCCTCTGAGGTCCCATGGCCAGAGGCAGAGACAGAAAAGTGAAGGTTAGAAGTGGGGACAGAAGATAGGCTCTGGATGCTCCAACAGAAGTTGGGTGTTGGGGGGAGGGCAACTGCTTTTGTCTGGTTGTCTTGGCTTCTACTTGGAGAAATGCAGAATTCTTCAGTTGTCAACATTGTTACTATAACATTTGAATCTTGGGATACTGTAGCTAGGACTCAGGTGCCACCTAGGAATCAAAGGAGGCCAAGTCCTCCCTTCTTTTCAGCCCCTGGGTCACTGGATGCTTTCCACTACACCCTTAGTCATAAGGGCCATCTATAACACACGTGGTGTCTTAATAGCTATTGAACACTGCCAGTGTGGGTGCGCTAGGCTATGCACCCTATATGTATCATGGTATTTCATTTAGTTATACCAGCATTTTAAGGCAAGCATTGCTATCCTTGCTTTACAGTTGAGGAAATCCAAGTCCTCAAGGCCAGTAAGTAGTAGAGTCAGGATTTAATTCCAGGGTGGCCAGGCTGCAAAGCCTCTGCTGTCCTGTCTCCCACCAGGTATAGAACACCACATTAGCACTGGGCTGAGTAGGGCAGCTCTTTATATCACAGGGCTATCTTTGGACCCTACTGGGTCATAAATTTGTTGAGAGTACAGACCATGCCTTATAATTGTTTTATGACACAGTCTCATTACCTGTGAAAAACAGAGCTAATCTTTCTGTTTATTCTCCAGTGAGTCAAACCAAATAATGTCCATGTGAGCCTTTGAAATATGGTGGAGAAAGTGGGATTAGGGCCTCAGGCATGAAGAAGAGCCCATGCAGCTCCTCTGGAAACCTACCCTCTGTCTTCTCAATGCCCTATTAGAACTCGCTCAGTTCTTCTGCAGATTCCTTCTGGCGTTCGGTGCCGGATAAACAGTCTCTCAAATTTCTTACATGTTATGAGGCATTGAAGATGACTCTGTATAATCAAATATGCCATTCCACATCTCATTTGTAATTTCACAATTTAGCTCTCTGCACCATTTAAGCACATATAGAGCCTCTAGAGAAGTCCTTATTTTTTTGCTAAGGCTTTTATATGTGAGTTTTGTGCTGATTTTGGTCTTTGCTGTATCTAATAAGATTTTCCCAAAGTTTTCTCACCACGAAAGGCTTTATAAAATATAAGGAACCATGGAAATAAACCTCGGCCTATTACAAAATCAAGATAGGCCAAGGAAGTATCAGGTAAGAGGCCCAGATTAGAAGCTGAATGTTCATTTTCCTCTTGTGTCTATTCCTTTTGTGTTTGGTTTGACTGGGTCTCTGAAGAATGCTCAGACTGCTTTACAATTATGCAGTGTGTGGCAATTTACAAAGCACATCTTCATTCATTATATTTGGTTTGAGTTTTACAACCACCTTAGCAAGTGGGGCAGGGCAATTATTATTATGCCCATGTTACAGATGCGGAAACTGAGGATTGGAGAGGTTAAGTGACTTGCCTAATCCACTTAGCTAATGATAAGAATTAATTAATCAACTGCAAGTCAAAGAATCAAATATGGATTTTCTAATTACAAGTTTGGTGTCTTGTCTCCCTGCTAATCCAGTCTGCCTTCCTAGTGGGAGTACTTTGTAGCTGCTGAGCTGAGATTTCTGAGAGGGGATTGTGATGTCTGAAGTTTACTGCCCATTTAGTTGCAGAATCCATCCACTTCTCTTCACCCCCAGTGCCACTCTCCCAGAGCCAGCCACTGCCATCTCTCACTTGAGTCACTGCTAGAGTCCTCCATTGGTTTCTCTGCTTCTGGTCTCACCTCACTCGGGTCTAATCTTCATATTGCAGTGTAAATGACTTTCTTTTTTTTGAGACGGAGTCTCACTCTGTTGCCCAGGAGGGAGTGCAGTGGCGCAATCTCAGCTCACTGCAACCTCCACCTCCCCAGTTCAAGCAATTCTCCTGCCTCTGTCTCTAAGTAGCTGGGATTAAAGGCACGCGCCACCACACCTGGCTAATTTTTGTATTTTTAGTAGAGACGGGGTTTCATCATTTTGGTCAAGCTGGTCTCGAACTCCTGACCTCCTGATCCACCTGCCTCTGCCTCCCAAAGTGCTGGTATTACAGGCGTGAGCCACCCTCGCCCAGCATAAGCGACTTTCTTAAGTAAAAAAGAAAAATTATCCAGATGCTCCTTTTCTTAAAACACTTTGATTTCTCCCATGATCTTTAGAAAAACATCCAAACTCCCTCACATGGTCTGCAAGGGTCTGCATGAATTGACGCTGCTTGCTTCTCTACCCCCACCTCCTGACATCCCCAGCCCCTTCCCACCACCAAACTCTCTCATGTTGGTATCTTTGTTCTCTTCTTCTTATGACTCATTGTCATCTTCCCTCTGCTTCATTTTTTTTCTCTGATCATGTTTAATAATTTTGGAACAATTTGTAACCAGCTCCCCACAAAAACTTATTTATAATTTGCAATTATCATCAGTAGTAGTAACGTTTATTTTTGCAGCATGGCTTAGAGTTTATAAAATGTCAATATTACTTCTGATGATTAGCATAACTGTGATGGACAGGGATCAGATTTATAAATGGAGGCACTGAGTCTTGAGGATATTAAGGAACTCGCCCACCTTCATGTCATGAGTAAGTATTAGACTCAGCACTTGGGAATCAAGTCTTGAGAATCTAGTTCACGTAACATCATGCAACCTGTCTGCCTTGTTTATTAGCTTCTATAAAGCATTTTCAGGCAGACAGTATAAGGCACCATGGAAAACTGGGCTGCATTTCATGGACTAGAAAGATTTACATGAGAAGTGTTCCCAGGCAGAAGGATGAGAGGCACAAAGAAAGGGTGAGAAACAATGGTCTGAAACAGCCAGCCCATGGGCTCATTAACCTCTTCTAAACAATCGCTCATCTCTCCTAGCTCCCTGCTGACCAGAAATAAGTCAGAGGGGAATTTGTGTGGTAAACTTTCACCTACAGGGACCTGATCTCTGGAGAGAAAAAGGCATCACCAGTGGACAGAGTTTGCTTTCTGTGCTGAGTCATGGGGGCAGTTCTTCTTTCTTGGAATAATTGGGAATCATACTCCTGGGGAAAATATCCATGTCCCCTGCAGTGTTGCTTAAATGACATGAATGCCGAGGGCAATGTATCTCCTGTTAAAATGTCTAACTTCCTAATGGCTTTTTCCAACTCACTTAGCATTCATTTATCACATTCTCATGTTACTCACTCAGTAGTAATAATAATAATAATAATAATAATAATAATAATAATAATAATAAATAATGTGTTGTAGCAGAGTCAGGGAAAGTTGGAACATAGCCCTGCAGATTAATAGTAAACCGTTTAAAAAGAGAAGGAAAAGTACCCAAGCAGGGGTAATGGGGGAAGCATTGTGTGAAGACCCCAAAGTAGTCAAAAACATGGCAGATTCTCAGCAATTTAGAAGATGGAAGTCACAGGACTTAAAAGTGGGTTGACCTGGCAGAGGATGAGGGAGGGACGAGCGCCAATGGTTCCCAGGGGTCTGGCAGAGCAGCTGCATGGGCCACTGAGTCATTTCACAAGGTGAGGGATGAAAAAGCGAGTTCTTTCTTTCCTTCTTGCTTTCCTCTCTTCTTTTTGTTCTTTCAGGCTTGCTGATCGGTACAGCTGAGAACATGTTGAATTTGATGTGCCTGTGGATATTTGAGTCTGGAACATTGAAGACAAGTTTGGTCTGGAGATGTAGACTGGGGATATCTCAGCACACAGATGATAACTGAAATGATGGAGCGGATGATATAAACTGGAGAGAGTCTGGTGTGGGAAGAGTCTTCCCTGAGGTGGCCGAAAGATGTAATTCTTACTCCAAAGACTGAAATAGAGACAAGAGAAGCTGAAGTTACAGGGTTTTGTCATTGGGAAGACAGTAGAGTGTGTCATATCCCAAGAGTGAAGCAAGGACAAACCAAAGAACAACTGGGAAGATCTGGGAGAAAAAGGGTGAGTGCAGTGGCTAGAAGAAGGGGGAGAAGTTTATGTGAGGAGCAAAAAACTGGGAGGAGTGAGTGGCTCTGGATATTGTCCTTAAAGAAGCTCCAGACTCAAGAGGCCCTTTCACGTGACGGCTGACGTGTGCTTGTAAGGTGGTCGTGGGCACTTTGAAAGGTAGTACTGGGCTGGACTCTATTATTCCTAACATTGCCAGGTGATCCTTGTGAGGCTAGCTTACATGGAAAAGGCCTTCAGATTTTTGTGCTTTGTTGAGCACATTGTGTTCTGCCTTAGTTTCTCCAAGGTCCTCATTTTTTTTTTCTTTTTTTCAAGAGACAGGGTCTTACTTTGTTGCCAAGGCTGGCTTCAAACTCCTGACTTCAAGAGATCCTCCCACCCCACCCACCCAAAGTGCTGGGATTACAGGTGTGCGCCACTGTGCCTAGCGGGTCATCAGTCTTTGAGATGCTGTTGACAAAGCCATTTGATGATATCAAAGAAGGAATGAAGCATAAGGTTTTTTGGCCCCTCTGCTTGGGATGCCACTTGCAGGCAGAACTCTCCACAGTTTTACCATCCAGTGAAGAATCACCTGTTTATAGCCTGTGTAAAATCAATGATGCTTCTTGGAAACAAGTCTATTCTCATAGACAGCTTGACGTTGCATGGCTGAGTCATTTGTCAGAGTGCTCTGGCTTTAAATATACCTCCAAGTCTTAAGACACATGAACTTTTGAGGTGCAGGAATCAGCAATTCTAAAAGGCACAAGTCTTCCATCCAAGGTCCTGGTTGCCTTCTAGATCCTGTTCTAACAAACATATCTCCAAATCTCATTTGCTTAACCCCATACAAGTTTATTTGCCGAGAACATCAAGGTGAAGGTATGCTCCATGAACTAGCAGCATTGGCATTACCTGGGAGCTTGTTAGAATTCAGAATCTCAGACCCACCTCAGACCTACTGAATCAGAATTTCATTTTAACAAGATCTCCAAGTGGTGTGTAAGCACATTAAAAATTTGGAAGTGCTGCCCTAGATTACCAAAGTATCCTTGATGGTTCTCATAGCAGAGGGATAAAAGGAAATCAGACACGATGAAATAGAAATAGGAGAAGACAAACAGAGGCAGTTCTACCTGCTGTTAAATCTTGAATTATGCCAAACTATGTAAAGTCTATGCCTGAAATCTCAGCATACGAGTGCCCAGGGCATAAGCTATTGGAGCCAGCCTTGGCTCATGACCAGTGCATTGTTCAGTTAGGTGGTCCTTCCCCTTCCATGCTTGTTTACCTGGGGGACAGATGCCAGGGCAGGCTGATTTCCATTTCTTCAGCTTGCCTCTTTGCCATTACTGCCTGGGCATGCAGGTGGGAAGAAGAGGGACTAATTGAGTGCATTTGATTATAAATGGAAAATACAGCACAGTTTTTCCCCCGTGTGGCACCCCAAAGAGCTAACATTAAGGGGGTGATTACTGGCCCTTTATTATTTTCATTTTGGTAAATCTGGTTTTCTTGCACCCCCACACCTATGTTCAGGGTTAATTCTGTGTTATTTTCTCCCTGCAGGCCTGTGCTGAGTGCCACAGGGAACAGCATTTAGCAACATCAAGCAGGAGAGGCAGAGAAAGCAGCAATAACTCCACATATGACTTGGAAATTGGCTCAGTCTCGTGGCAGGAGATGTGTGTTTTTATGGTGTTAAGTGTGAAGGAGTGAAAGCAGCCAGTGATCAGGAGCGCCAACGCAGCTCCTTCCCAGGAGCCTTCCCGGCTGCTTCCCCTTTGTGGGAGATGTGCTGGAAGGAGTACTAAGAGGAGAGATGCTTTGCTTTAGTAGGATGGCAGCTTTGGGAAAGAGACGCGAGAGTGAGTGTGCAGAGAGCTTGTTCTGAGTGCAAGAGATAAGTGGGATGAATCCTGTCTTAGAGGCAATCAAGCAAGAGAGGATGGGGTGGCAGGCACTTCAGCTCTCTAGCCCCTCCTTCCAGGGCAGAGCCATTTTAGAGATCCACGTCTTTTCCCCATCCATAGGCTGCTGAAGCCAGAAACAGCCCAGCACTTAAGAGGGGAGCGGAAAATGACATCACTAGTCTGGGCAGTATCTTCTCAGCCTAAACCATTATTCCCTCCCTCCCTTTTAACAAAGACTCCTAGTTTCCCACCCAATATCCAGTCTCCATTTTCTTCCTAACTGAATGTTGACTTCTTCCCCCTGGGAAACAAGATATCAAGGAAAATGATGCACCTTGTTTGCCTCCCTTGCAAGTGGGCCTGGCCCATCCATCAGAGGTAAGTAGAAGTCATCAGGTGGGGCTTTCAGGCAAGCTCTTCAATGAAGCTGACTCAGCTGGGGGACGATTTTTCTCTTCCTCCTTCTTTCTGCCTAATATGTGGACATCTGTTTGGATCTTGAGGCAAATTCGATGACAGAATCACATCCTAGAGGTATTAAAGCAGACGTTTAGGAGGACACTGGTACCTGATGACTGCTGTATCTGCCTATGACTGGACCTCAGTGTAAGAAGCCACTTGTTTGAATTTTCTGTGCATGCAAGGAACTCCATTCTAAGTGCTGTATCTCTCGCCCATGCTGCCTGTATTAGGTAGGGAAAGTAAATTTATCTGCTGTAACAAACAACTTCCAAATATTAGTAGCTTAACCCAACAAAAGTTTGTTATTCACGTTGAGACAAATGCATACATAACTGGTTGGCCGGCAGCCTCTCTGGGACCCAGGGACACGTGGTCCTTCTGTCTGTGTCTCTACTGAACCATATGCCCTTCACATCTTCTGTGTGGCAGCAGCTGGGGAAAGTGAGCAGGACTAGTACATGAGTGGTTTTATGGGCCATGCCCGGGGGAGGCACAGTCAGCATTCACTGAGATTTCATTGGCTAGAATTCAGTCACATGGCCACAGAGGGCGCTGGGAAGTGTAGTTTGGGTATGTGCTCAGGAGGAAAAGGAAATTAATTTTGGTGAATACATCATAGTTTGCCAACCACACCTAAAAAAAAGGAAGAAGGAAAGGAAAATAAAGGAAGAAAAAAGAAAGAGGAAGGAATGAAGGAAGAAAAGAAGGAAAAAAGGAAAGAAACAAAAAGAAAAAGAGAAAGAAAAGGAAAGAAAAAAAGAGAAAAGGCCAGTAAATGCTCAATTTTTCTCTAGAGGTAATTAAAACATGTTTTCTGAGGCCCAGAATATGTCAATTGGTAGAAGAATGGAATCAATGAATGTCATTGATTCCAAATGGATTTATGTGTTATCCAGCGTTCCCTTCCTTCAGAAGGGTCTTGTTCAGCACCTCTGTGTACAGAACACTGTGGCTACAGTTCACTGGGGATGAGGGGATGGCTCTCTATGAAAGCCAGTGTGGATTCACAGCCCCAGCAGAGGCCAGACTGGTGGAGGCTATTCTGCCCAGTAAGGCTAGTGGCCCAGGTGCTAGATAGATCTTGGCCAGAATCTGGGTTCTTTGTTGTAACCAAACCCGAGGCTGACCTTGGGCAGGCAACTCCCCTTTTATGGGCTTTGGTTTCTCTATTTCCTGATGTGTAAAGTAGGAATAATAATAACTGCCCTATGCGTGTCTCTCTCTTGTTAGGAGTAAGTAATGTAATGAAGCTCTTGACCCAGAGTTGCGGGTCAATAATTGCCAGCTGTTGTTCTCACCTACTTCAGCTTTCTCTTTAGTTGGCTCCTTATTGCCTATGGAGCAAAACGTCACAGCTTGGTGAATGAGACCGTTCTCTCTCTGGCTCGTACCTATATTTCCAGCCTCATCTCCTACCACGTTGTTCGTTTACTCTATAGTTCTGCTTCACACCTGAACTTCTGCTGTTCCCTAGGCCTGCCATGCCCTTCTGACTTGCCAGGCCAGTTCTGCAACCTGATGCCTCTGCTCCTGTTGCTCCCTTTACTTCTAACATGGGGTCTTTCATTCTTGGCACTACTGCTGACCTTTGGGCCCAGGTCATTGTTGGGGAACTGTTCTGTGCATTATAGGATGTTTATCAACATCTCTGGCCTCTACCCACTAGAAGCCAGTAGCACTCTCCTGCCCACAGTCATGACAACCAAAAATGTCTCCAGACATTGCCAAATGTCCCTTGGGACACAATCACTGCCTGTTAAGGACCCCTGTTCTAATGTCTTGCACTCCCTTGTCTGGAAGGAGTACTAAGAGGAGAGATACTTTGCTTTAGTAGGAGGGCGGCTTTGGGAAAGAGCCTACACATATTTGAATCCCTACCTATAATGTCAGTCCCCACTGTAAAACTTCCCTTGTCTTCTCCAAAAATAATCAAATACGAATCGCCTTGTCCTCTGTGGCCTCATGGCACTTCATTTGTTTTTTTGTTTAGCATTTACTTCTCTAATTCTCATTTATCTGTCCACTAGACTTGCTGCTATCTTGCTCATCCCTTTATCCTCAGCATCTAGCATAGTTTCCAGATGCTTCTTTTTTTAATCACAAAGTAAATTAAAAAATATTTAAAGTTAAATGCATAAATTAATGACTGCTGAATACATAAATGCCTTCTCAAAAGACAGATTGCTGTTTAAGATTAATTTGAACAGTGGAACTACTGTCTGATTAAAATGAAAGCTGCAAGTATGAGTGCTGCTAAGCACTTGGGTGGGTTCAAGGAACCATAGAACTCAGGAGGTGTGCTTTGTCCGTAACATCTGGATTCCAGGAGGCAATGGAAAGAAGCTTGGCAAGTTAGAAAGGAGGAAGGGTTGGGATGACCATGGGGCTTGAAAAAGATCTGTTAGGAAATCTGGGGAAACTTCAACTGCTTTGGGTAAAGAACGCACAAGTGTATGAAATGATGAAGCAGGTGTCAGACAAGGCCCAAATGAACCACTTGGGGCAGGGCTAATACAGGACTTCAAAGAAGGGCGTCCAATCATCGCTAGAGAAGAAAAGCCTTCTGGTCAGAGTCCCTGCTCCCTCTTTGGCCACATCTATTACCATGACAACACATTCCCCACAAGGGCTCCAGTCCAGCCCAGCTGGCCTCCTTGCTGTTTCTCCACACCTGCTGTGCTCCCACCTCAGGGTCTTTATGCAAAGGGGCCCTGGTCTCCTGCCTATCTTGCTCCCTCATTTTATTCAGATTTCTGCTCAGATCTCAAGCCCTCTGACTTCTAGATCTACAATATTATCCCTCTCTACCCCTTACCCAGATTTATTTTTACTCATAGCATTAAATATTTAACTGCCTATGATCTACCTCCTAATTGAATGTGAGTTACATGAGGACAGAGAATTTTTTTTTTTTTTCACTGCTGTATCTTTGATGCCTGAAGCAGTGCCTGGCATATAGTAAGTGCTCGACACGTATTTGCTGAATGAATAAATAGATGCATGAATTGAGGGAGTTTGGCTTCAGCTGGCCTTGAAAGAGTGGAAGAAGAGGTGGGTGTGGAGCCAGGCAGTGAGTGGGGATGGAGGAGGCTGCAGACTCGGGGCCCCTTCCAGTGGTGGCCCCTACTCATCCCCTCTCACGGTGTGCAGGGGAGCCAGGATGGCTTCCTCAAAAGCTGGCAGGAAGAAGGGAGGGCAGAAGAATGCACACTTGGCCTGCTACTTCTGCTAAGGCAGACGTGTTAGAAAAGATAATTGCAAAATATCAAGTGCCATGGAAACACTTATTAACACCAGGGGCTGGTGCTTCGACGGAGCCGGAGGCTCGCTCTGGCTGCGGTGAACAGCCAGCAGTTCTGAAGCTCATCCAAAGCACTTGGTTTCTTGGACCCAAAATCACAAAGCTCAGTACACAATGATTTAGTGCCTTCTGTCAGAGCTTCTCAGAGCATGTCACCAGCAGTCACCCTGCCCACGTCCTCGGGAGGAGGTGGCACTGAGCAGCGGGTGCGCGGTCCAGTTTGTTTGTGACTAATGTGTTTTTGGAAGCTTGTACCCCCTCTTCAGCTACCCAGTTTTCCTTTTGCTTTGCATGTCTCTGAGCTGTCCATTTGTTCTTCACAGCCAGGAATAATAACCTCTCTAACCTCAAGCATCAAAAACCTGCTCCACAGCCAGCTATTTTAGAGGCTCATAGCCTCAATGGGGTATGGAAGGAGGGTATGGGATGCAGCTGTACGGACACTCTGTCTCTGTGCTGCTCACAGGAGGAATCTGAGTGGTAGCTTCCCCAGTCCCATGACTCAGCTAGGGACAGAGGAAGGAGCAGGGGACAGGGAGACACACTGGGGGTTCAGTTTGCTCCTGGGTGGTGCTATGTGGGATCCACACACACTTACTCCATTTCCGGGCAGGCTGAGCTTCTCTGAGTGGAACAGCAGAGGGGCTGGCATGTGGGAGACAGAGATGGGTAGGTGATGCCATGGGATGCCAGAAATAGGAAACACTCAGGACAGCCGTGAGTCACACCGGCCTCTCGCATTTTTTCCTAAGCGAGGGGAGGGAAGGCAAGTTCATGTAGACTCTGCGCTCAGAAAGCAGAAATATCTAAATATCTTAGCCGTTCCCCAAGGATGCTGGTTTCTCTTAAGGTAGTCCCTGTGTTTTCTTGATTTGATGGTTCAAGAGTGAGCAAATCTACTGTCCTTCATGAAAATATTTTAGAGCCCCATAATGGGTACATCTTTCCTCCTTCATAGCCATTCTTGTCTTCAAAAAATTTTCTTAATCACATTGTATTTTCTCTAGCTGACTTTATTGTAAGAATGCAGTATATAACACATATAACATACAAAATATGTGTATACCAGTGCTGTGGGCCAGTGCTGGCTGAGAGGTAGCACTGTTACAACTCTTTTCTTCATCTTGGTTTTAATTTTAGAGACCAAAGTTGTGTGCTTATGTTATTAGTAAGGCTTCCGGACAATGGTATCCTATTAGCAGTGAAGTGTTAGGAAAGTCAAGTTATAAGTGAATTTTTGACTGTGCAGGGAGTCAATGCACCTAACTCCCATATTGTTCAAGGGCCACTGTGGTTCCTTTTGTTTTTTCTTTCAGGATACCCTTAACGTTCATAGTAACCAGAATTTGCCTTTTAAAAAATTAGGCAGCTTTGGAGACAGAAGCATATGATGTGATTTGTCTTATACCTTGTCCCATTTATTTTTAATTTTTTTATTTTTAAAGATTTAATGGCTACAAGTGCAGTCTCCTTGCACGGATATATTGCATGGGCTTTTAGTGTAACTCTCACCCAAATAGTGTACATTTTACCCAATAGGTAATTTTTCATCCCTCACCCGCCTCCCACCTCAAATCCATTCTAAGCACATGCGAACCATCTCTCCAGTCCACGCAGGGGTGGGTAGCTGTGTGGCTACAAGGCTTGGCAGAAGAGCTCCAAAACTTCTCCTTGATTTGCTTTGGCTCCTGACTAGGTTGCATTACCTGCAGGCAGGGGCATTAGCTTCTGCCCCATCCATATTTGTTGGGCATTCAGCCATGAGCAGAGGAGCTGGAAGCTGTTGCTCAGTGAACAGTGGAATTAGGTGCAGGGAACCGAGACCCCTTGTTGGCTGGGACTGACTTAGGCGAGCAGCTGCTCTTACCAGGGGCCACTGGGCATGCTTGCCATGGGCCAGTGCTGGCTGGGAAGTGGCACTGTTATACTTCCTTTCTTCATCTTGGTTTAAATTTTAGAGGCTAAAGGCAGGCGGTGGAGGGAGGAAAGACTGAAGACAATGAGGGTATGCCGAAAGCTCACTGGAGAGTGCATGGGAGGTAGATTATCTGCCTTGCCCAGTGCACTTCCCTATTCTAAGCCTGCACCCATCTTCTTTATCCCAGGCTGGCTCCTTCTGGCCTGAAGACAATTCCCCTGTCCCATTCTCCTCACCCTCCCTACCTGCTCCCAAACCCGTCTCCTGTTATGCCTTTTGATGACTTCTCCTTAGTTGCCACGAAGAAGTGCTCATATCAGCAAACAGATGGCGGCTGAGGCATGTAGCATAAAATATATTTATCAAGGCAAACAGCTGTAGCCCATTTCATTCGGCAGAATTCTATTAAAAGTTCTCCAGAGCTACAAGCCTCTCTGAGATGGCAACCTGAACGCAGCCCAGGGAGAGGCGGCTTTGTGCCACTCTCCTTCCCCCTTCTCCTTTCTTTGCGAGGCCAAAGAGAAAGCGGCCAGTCTCCTGTATTCTTCCTTGCAGGCTTCAATTAAAATGCTACAATTGCATTGGCAGCCTCGACTCTCCTGCCTCCTTGGGCTGGTGGGGGGCCCTTCCTAAGTGCTCCCATTTTCCAGGCAGACAATAATGACTCCCAGCTGCACCATTACAATTACTGGGCACTGTCTGGGGCAAGTGGCTGCTCTCTGGGCTCCTGTCCTGTCCTGTCCTCCATCAGAATGAACAAAAGTCTATTCACTGGGAACCAGGAAATGCTCCCTGTCCCCTGTCTCCAGCTCTCATCACACTTTCTTGCTGCACTTCCTGTTTTTGGGGGGATGGCCAGGAAACTGCCATGATTTCTCCTGTCATGGATTGGAAGAACAGTGATCTAAGAGTTGGGAGACTGGGATCTATTCCAGATTCAGCCATTAATTTGCTTTGAAATTGGGCAATCCTTCTCATTTGTCTGGGCTCTTTGTTTCCTCTTTGAGGGGTGGGACTTGATTAAAGGAGCACATTCAAGTATGTTTAGAAGCCAGACAGCTGTGAAATGTCCAGGTATAGACAATGCCACAGTACATAGTGTGTGCTTTTCTGAAAGGCAGGTGCTATTCTAAAAACAAGAGCCGTACCAATTTGTAGGGAAACACTTGTATATGGGGCTGTAGTATGAGACCCACCAAGACTAAATGTTTGCTAACATTCCATTAAGATTCAATTTTTTTTTTTTTTTTTTGAGATGGAGTCTCACTCTGTCACCTGGGCTGGTCTCTCCTTCAGCCTCCTGAGTAGCTGGGATTACAGGCACCTGCCATCACGCCTGGATAATTTTTGCAATTTTAGTAGGATGAGTTTTCACCATCTTGGCCAGGCTGGTCTTGAACTCCTGACCTCGTCATCCACCCGCCTCAGCCTCCCAAAGTGTTGGGATTACAGGCGTGAGCCACCGTGCCTGCCCAAGATCCAATATTCTGTAATAGCTGTTGAGATACACTTGGGGGAAAAACTGAACTCCAGAGATGGCAAATGGATATGAATTGGTAGTCTATAGGAAATTACCACCTTTGGCATTTTTTTTAGAGGAGTAATGAAAGAGATGATTGGAGACCTTGGACATTCTGCCTTTCCTTGTGGGGAGTATCCGTCACCTTGAGAAATCACCTTGGTTTAGTGGGACTGAAATAGGGGCTCTGGTGCCAGACCGCGTTCAAAGCCTCACTTTGCTCCTTGACAGCTGTGCAACCTCTCATAGGTCACTTAGCTATGCCTCAGTTTTACCTCAGGTAGATTATTTAACTGCAGCCAAGTCACAGCTTAGTTTCTCCAATTGTGAAATGGCAGTAAAAGTAGGACTTTTTTTCACAGAACTTATATGAGGATTAAATTGATGAATCTGAATAATTAATCCAGAATCATGCCTGTTGTAGAGTAAGTGCTCAATAAATGCTAATTGTTATTTATGGAGATGACCTTCCAGCTTTGTTGTGTTGGCACAAAATTGGACAAGTGTGCCATGAGTGGTTCTGTGGAGCTAATATTTACAAATCCCTGGCAACTGTGGTGAGGCTTATCTCATCTCTTCCACCAAACACATCATCGTATGGCTTCTGCTGGCAGCCAAGACTGCACACTGACAATTCCTCCCATAGATGATACACTTTTACATGCATCATCTAATTAGATTCCGTGGAGGGAAAGAGGCAAGTAATGCCTTCTGCATTTGACAAAGGCAGAAGTACAAGTTCAAAGAGGTTACGTAATTTGCTCAAAGTCACCCAGCCAGTGATTATTAGAGTCAGGATCTGAGTCTATGATATCTGATTCTCTTGACAGTTGTCTTTCCATGTTATGGGACTACTTTTATACACATTAACTACTTGCTCATGACTGCGGTTAATTAGCATGTTACAGCCAGCATAGCTCTGTTGAGTTGCCGGGTTCTCTAAATTTATCCAAAGTGCCACTTCGGGTGCTTGTTTCGAACTCTGATTTCTCAGCCCCAATCCAAGCCTACTGAATCAGGATTTCCAAAGGTGAGACTCAGGAATCTGCATGTTTACCAAGCTCCCCAGGTGATTCTCATGATCAGAAATGTCTAGGAAACCCTGGGCCAGAAAATTCTGCCCAGAAAACTCACCAATCAGCTTTGCACCTGGTCAGATATTAGAATAGATATATAGAAACATCTAGTAAGGTCATGACAGGAAGTGGGAAAAGAGTGTGGCTAGCTCGAAGAACTAAAAGAACAAACAAAGCAAAGTCCGTGGGTAATTAATTTAATTTGCAACATTGGTATTGCATTCTTATTTACGAGCAAGGTGGCTTATTAGGTCTTGCATGGTGGGTCAGGAGTATCATCTCGGAAAATGAAAGACACTTATCCGAGCCAAAGAGCATTTAGTGGTTGAAAACAACGGATGTGCTCACTTGCCTGCTCTACTTCCAAGAAAAGGTTCTGACACGAGGTGAGGTTTTTATCTTGTAACGTCTGTTAGATTGTGTTCAGTTGAACATTGCAATGAGCTTTAAGCTACTTTGTGGTCAATGAATCTTTTGGGAACACCCACAGAATACAGGACAATATGCCAAGAGCTGGGGGTACAGAGTAAAGGCTATGCCTAACCTCAAGAAGCCTTCTGTTTAGTAGGTGAGAAAATCATTGAAATACATCATTGAAAGATGTAATTCAGGGCAGTTATAATCTCATAATAATAACACTCCAGGTAATGGCTAGCTCCCTCTTTAGTTAATGGCTTATTGACACTTTGCAAGGGAGAGACAAAGGTCCCCTTTGAGTTCCACACTCAGTGTTAGCTTACCAGTAGTACTTTCCAGCTTCTGCCTTTTCGCTCCTGCTTTGTTTAGTTGGCATGCTATTCCTTCATTTGCTACCTTCACTCATGAAAACTCCACCAACATGTCAAGGATTAAATTAAATCCCACCATAACAAAATGATTTTTCAGTACAACGGGACTTGCCCATCCTAAGGAACACCCAGTGGTTCCTCCCTCATGGTCCCATGTTCTGCACTAGCTTGTTTTCTGTGTTCTTAACCTGTCACCTTGCCAGACTTTACACTTCTAGAAGACTGGAGCTGGAATTACTGAAGTTTCACCTGCAGATTTTAGCACAGAACTCCACTCACAGCAGGTGTTAGATGATCACATAGTTTGTCTGCAACCTATTTGCAGATGACACAGGTATGACGAGCCCAAACCTCTGATCCTTGAAGCTTGTCTGTGTTAGCTGGACATTTTTGATTGTACCAAATGGAAATCAAATTCAAATCATTTCAAGTAATAACAGGGATTTCATGGCTCACATAACTGCAAAATCTCTGGGTGTAGTTTTGCTAGCTGTAGGCACAGGTAGATCAGAGTTTATAAATGTTGTGAGGAGTCTGTTTATCTCAATTTGTTAGCTCTGTTTTTGTCGAGGTTGGTTTGGTTCTTGAGTAGACTCTTTACATGTGGGGGCAGAGATGGTTCCTAGCATTGCTGGGCTTATGTTCCACCTGATTAATAATCTCAGAGGAAAGAGAGAGCCTCTGTCCTATTCCTGACAAAATTCCAATGCCCACCCTTCACTGTGACCTGATTAGCTACTTCCAAACCCGAAGGTGAGGGCTTAGTAGGCTCCATTGGAACCGCAAGAATGCAGAGTGGGCAGAGATGTACACTCCGTTTTTTTTTTTGTTTGTTTGTTTTTTGTTTTTTTTTTTTTTTTTTGAGACAGAGTCTCACTCTGTTGCCCAGGCTGGAGTGCAGTGGCACAATCTCAGCTCACTACAACCTCCGCCTCTGGAGTTCAAGAGATTCTCCTGACTCAGCTTCCTGAGTAGCTGGGATTACAGGTGCATGTCACCACGCCCGGCTAATTTTGTATTTTCAGTAGAGATGGGGTTTCACCAAGTTAGTCAGGCTGGTCTTGAACTCCTGACCTCGTGATCCACCCACCTCGGCCTCCCAAAGTGCTGGAATTACAGGTGTGAGCTACCGCGCCCTGCCGAAGTGTACACTCTTAAACAGAAATGAGGGGAATGGAGGCTGAGCAGGCAAGAACAACAGATATCTGACCTAGGGTTATTTAGCTTTTCATGGGAAAATATATTCCACAACCAAACTACTTTCTTTAACACTGATATCATTTCTGATGCTAAACAGGCATTGTAAAAAATGCACACATTAATCATAAGATGAACCAATCCTGCAGCAAGTAAAAAGCTCAGGGCACCTCGTCTTCTCTATGGAATATCATAACCCATGCAAACTTATCCTAAAGAAGTAACCCCAGATGCATACCAAGAGTCAAGGCTGTTAAATGCAGCAATATTTAAGTAAAATAGCAACAAAATATTGGAAATAACATAAATATCCACAATAGAGAAATGGTTAAGTACCTTATAGTTTTTTGCTATTAAAAGTGCTGCTCCTAAAACGTACTTGATATAGAAAAATGCTCAGGAAATTACAATACGATGTTCCACAAAAACGCCAAAATGCAAAAGTATTTATATTTGACGATCCCAGATTTGTGTGAATATACACAGTTTCACTAAAGGCTGGAAGGAAATACTCCGAGGTGTTAAGAGTTCTCTGAATGGTAAAATTGCCAGTGAATTTTTTCTGCCTTTATACTTTTCTGTTTCCCAAATTTTTGCACAGGAACGGTATCATTTCATGATTGAAAAAACACACTTAATATTTTTAAATGCATACTTCAGTGTCAGTGCCGTGGAAAACACATCCCATTGGATTTATGGTGCTTGCAAGTGGGAGGACCCATTCTTTCTGGGGCAGAGGCCAGAATACACACAGAGAAGAGCTTTTTGGCTTGCGTTGCCCCAGGCTAGGCAAGAGGGCATCACTGGCTTCTGTTTCTCATGGGTCAGGGTTCCTGTTATTTCCATATGGGTGGTTTCTTCATTTGCTGCTCACTCAGGCTTCCGGGGAGATATCCACCCACCTCCTTATTTACTAAGTGGGGGAGGCAGAGCAGGAGGAAGATGGAGAGAGAGAAGAGAGAGTGCTGAAATCTTTCCCCCTAAAGCACTGCAATAAAGGAGCATATGTATCAACTAAAAAAATTCCTTGGCAACAAAAGCTTTTTAATTGAACACAGTCTCTTCAGCCAACTTATGTAAATTCTATCCCAATTTTGGGCATCTATTTTGAGCACAGAGAGAAGCGGTATGAATCTTGCCCTAAAATTGTGCTCAACAGAAGGGGTGACGCCATATGGATGCCATGTTATGGGAGCCTGTCACCTGCTAACCGAGATGAGAAATTACAGGTTATAATCCCCTTCCTGCTGTCTGAGGAGCCCAGGTGGGTGGGGAGCGCTTTGGGTATCAGGTACTGGGTGATCCATTGATACTTGCTTGGGGCCTTCCCACAGGTGTCTGAGAGGTCACAGGGTGAAGGATAAGAGAATCAGTGCCTCTAGATGGGGCAGTGGGGTGAGGGGTGGAAAGTGCTTGCTTCTACCCCCAAAGGAGCTGGATTTCCTTCTCCTCAGCTTAGGTGGGAATCTGGCTGACCATGTAAAACTAACCAGCTGAGAGTTAGTGAGTGGCTCTTTGGGGACTAGACCAACCTTGAGAAATGGCCTCGCGTGGAAGTTGGGAACTGGGAGGAGGGTGATGCACCTATTGCATTGTACCTATTAGTGGAAAAGATGGAGAAAGAGATCCGGGGAGGACTGTGGGCCCACTCTGAGTATTCTCCTCCATGGGGAGCTATGAGTTCAACCCACCCCTCCCTCTGTGTCTTAGGGAAATGATGAGTTTTGGGATCTGCAGGAGGTTGGCTACAAGTCAGATAACAAAATATGGGTAGCAGGAACTGCAAGTTGCCTGGTTTTTGTAAGTGGCTTCTAATAAATCTGGAGATTTTCTCTGGAAATGCATTTATCATAGATAAAATGATAGCTTAATATATGTGGGAAAAATCATGTGGACACGTTACATTTATTTGTCTATGCCTAACTTGTTTCCCCCAAAGTCACTCCAAATCATAGGCGAAAATCCCAGGCCAATTCAATGTCAGGTGTTTATTATTTCTCTTTGCTTGCTCTTAAGTAGGTTTAAAAGCTGTATTGGCTACCTGAGCACATAGGTGTTTCCACCATTGATGTGATAACTTTGGATGGTCTCAATCGTAGGCTGCACGAAAATGGTGTACAATTACCTTTCTGAAAAGCTCTTACAGGATTGCATCCTGTGTCCCCAGTGCCTGGTAGAGGACCTGGAACATAATTGATAGTAAGAAATGTTATTAAACAAATAGATACATACACAATTTCCATTGGTCCTGCCCACTTTTGCTTGGAGAAATAAAGCATGCAAGAGACCAATGGGGCTGTCAGTGAGAAGTGTTGGATCCAAGAGTTAAAGCAATAGGGTAGAAGTAAAAGAGTTCTTTGTCTAAGGTCAACTGAGAATACGAAGGTTATTTGTTTCACCAAAATTCCCTAGTTTTTTCTCTATAAAATGAGGATGATTGTCATATAGCAAGTGATCGATAACTCACTAGTTATAAATGTCCAAATTTTTTAGAAGCTACCTATAGATTAAAGATACCAATACGCCACCTGATCTTGCTGTTTTTCCTTTGCTTGACTGTTTTCCATGAACCAACTCAGCTGGTCCATGGAAAATATTGCTCTTTCTCCCTTATTTACTCTCTTCCTTTCTTCTTTCCTTTTACCATACATGTTTATTCAACACTTATTATATTATAGGCACCATGATAGTCATTTGGGATAAAAAAGGGAAGGGGTCATGCCTGACTTCAAGGAATTTACATTCTAAAGAAGGAAGCAAACAACCAAATCAATAGTTATACTAGACTAAGATGCACGTACATGGACATATACAGGGTATGGTAGGAATACAGAAGTGAGGTAGCTAAGTCAGATTATGAACTCCTAAAAATAGTAAATGAGGTTCTGAGATGGCTTATAAGATTGCATGTATGTGTACGAGAGAGAGACAGAGAGAGAAGTGGAGGAGAGTAATAATTTATACAACACGTTATTTGTAAAAGATAACTGACTAGACATGACATCTATGATACTTCAAAGTTGTTTTGAGGAAAAACTGAAGAAATACACATGAGCCACTTATCATAATGCCTGGCTAATAAAAATTCCAAAAATAGTAGTTATTGGTGGTGGTCATAGTAGTATTACTATTGTATCTTATACACATCAATGAACATTTAAGAATATCTATTATAGGTTAGGTACCGTATTAAGCCCTGAAGAAACATATGGTGTGGTAAAGAATGTGAATACGCAAATAATTCATTAGCTTATAGAACATCATGTGTGAAAATAGAAACATGGAAAAGTAAAGCAATAGTATAGAAAAGGGAACGCTTAAAATAGTTGGAATAGTCGGCCAGGCGTGGTGGCTCAAGCCTGTAATCTCAGGACTTTGGGAGGCCGAGGTGGACAGATCACGAGGTCAAGAGATCGAAACCATCCTGGCCAAAATGATGAAACCCCGTCTCTACTTAAAATACAAAAAAATTATCTGAGCGTGGTGGTGTGCACCTGTAGACCCAGCTACTCGGGCACCTGAGGCAGGAGAGTCGCTTGAAGCTGGGAGGCAGAGGTTGCAGTGAGCCAAGATCACACTAATGCAGTCCAGCCTGGGCAACAGAACCAGAATCCATCTCGAAAAAAAAAAAAGGTTGGAATAGTCTGAAAAGTGTTTTAAAGGATGAATAGGAGTTTGCTATATAGACAAGGAGCAGTAGGGAAGGACATGGCAGGTGAAGGCATTAATCAACATGGTATATCCAGGGAATTGCCAGAGAAGATGGGCAGCAACAGTAGTTGAGGATGAAAAGCCTGTCAACAATGGGATAACATTTTTAACAAATTACCCTGCAACAAGGAGCCACTAGATGCATATTTCTATTATCAAACTCATTCAACTGTATTGTAAGTTGTCTACATTTTCTTCCCTTCAGGAATGTGAGCTACTTGAATGAAGAAATGTTTATTATTTTTTTCACTCCCTACTGCCTAGCGTATACTGTGTACTCAATATTTGTTGAATGAAGAATCAATTAAAATCAATTCCTAAGAGGAATTCCAGACTTTCTTGAGGCGATATATGCTTGGCATTTCAGAGGTCTGGGCGCTCCTCCCAGGGGTATTCACTGAAGGGTGTTGAGTGGCTATTCTCCATGTCTGGTGAAAAGGAGACCAGGGTGAAATGTTTTAGCTGCAGTGGAGAGACTGACCTTTTAACATCAAGTCATCACCTAATAATAAGATTTTATGGGGCACCAAAAATGGGGTGATTGAGAGTGGCCATGGGATCATTTTCTCAATTTTTTTTATTGACAAAGGACAACGTATTAGGGTTCTCCAGAGGGACAGGACTAACAAGATATATGTATATATGAAAGAGAATTTATTAAGAAAAATTGACTCACACGATCACAGGGTGAAGTCCCATGATAGGCTGTCTGCAAGCTGAGGAGCAAGGAAACCAGTATTGGTTTAGAAGCCAGTCCAAGTCCCAAAACCTCAAAAGTAGGGAAGCTCACAGTGCAGCCTTCAGTCTCTGGCCAAACCAGAGTGGGGAGAGGTGTACACTGTTTTTTTTTTTTTTTTTTTTTTTTTTGAGACAGAGTCTCACTCTGTTGCCCAGGCTGGAGTGCAGTGGCACAATCTCAGTTCACTGCAACCTCCGCCTCCTGGGTTCTGAGAGCACCTGGCAAGCCACTGGTATAAATCCATGAGTCCAAAAGCCAAAGAACTTGGAGTCTGATGTTCGACATCCAGCACAAGAGAAAGATGAAGGCTGGAAGACTCTGCAAGTCTGCCCCTTCCACCTTCTTCTGCTTGCTTTTTCTAGCCACGCTGGCAGCTGATTGGATGGTGCCCACCCACATTGAGGGTGGGTCTGTCTCTTCCAATCTACTGACTCAAATGTTAATCTTCTCTGGCAATGCCCAGAAGCAATACTTTTCATCCTTCAATCCAATAAAGTCGACAATATTAACTCTCACAGAGAATTTTGCTGAAAGGGTTGTTTTTGGGGATTAATTCTAACCGGAAAGGCTCTGCTAGGAGACACAATCTGGGGGTCTTACGAAAATTGGTTTTTCAGTAGATAAACATGAGGTTGAAACAACATGGGATAGGCTTTTAGTCTAAGGGACCAGCTTTGACATCGGTTGCCTTGATAAGCTCAAAGGGAGGCTCAGAGGGTGGGTCCCCTTCCCTGCCTCTCAAGCAGCAGGTCAGTTTGAGCTCACATCTCACCTCGGGAAGTAGGAAATTGAATGACTGCTCTTCTCACTTCACAGGGCAGGTTTTTTATCCTCTGGGGAAAGTCTTTGTGAATGCTCACAGATTCTGCCCATAGAATCTAAGCTCCTTGAGGGCTAGGAGGAAGCAGGCCGCCATTGTCCACTGCTATATTTTCAATGCCTGGTACACTTCCCAACACTTTGTAAGTGCTCCCTACATATTCATTGCAGTGAATAAATAAAAATAACAACTAATACTTTTGTACCGCTTACTATGTACCAGACACTGTTGTAGGGGCTTTGCAGGTATTAATTTATTTCATCTCCACTACAAACCTATCCAGATGGATGGGACTAGTGTGAATAGAAGAAATGCTGATGATGTGATGGTAGACAGAGCAATCTGTGCATCATCCGAGCCGAGCCACAGTGATGGTGCCGGCAAACAGGGGCTTTCTCTTCAGTAAATAAAGGGCAGCCTAGGGTAGATGTGAGATCTCAATGGTAGCTCCCTGACTCTAACAACAAGTAAGGAGGGTTATCTGATGACTCTCCATGATCCAGTCCAGACAGAGACAAGCTTATGACAATGATATTTGCAGCTGCAGCAAAGCCAGTCCCTCTGTGAACGATCACACTGGTGACGCAGGTCTCAGGCTCCCTCTGTGAATGATCACATCGGTGGTAAACATGCTTCTTTCCTTGAAAGTTAAACCCGTTTTGAGCAGGGCTGTGGGGTTGAGTGTGTGCGGGAGCCCCTGGGGAGGGCAGGTCACCCTAGACAGTTAATGCAAACACAGCTGCTATCCCCGTGGAGAATGGTCTCTTAGTAGCAATTGCTGGGCCCACAGTCGAATCAATGTTGTGCAGTGTAGCTGATGGGAAGTGTCAGTTCTCCTAAGTCTTTCCTTTTCCAGGATAATCCCCTCATTGGACCTGAGGAGCAGAGAAGAGCTGGCCTCTGAGCAGGGTGCTGGGGAAAAGTGTAGCTTCCATGTCCTGCACCTGCTTCTCTCTCCCCAGGAGACTGTGGAGCTTAGGGAGGCTTGACCCATCTGTATTTGACACGAATGTTTTCTCCCTAGCTGACCTCACCACTGTGACCTCACCTTGGTGGAGAGCAGCAACAAACTCATAGGTGCTGATAATTGAAACTCAAGGAGGGAAGCAGAAATGTGTGTTATTTGGTAGAATGGGCAATTCAAGAACAATTTAGTTTTGGGATGCATTAACTGTCTTATTTCACATATGTAACTGATGTTTAGAGATGGATGGGACCATAGAGGTGATTCATTCCAAAATCTTTATTTTACAATGGGGAAAAGGAAGGGTTGGGAAAAAATTGAATAAATAATGCCATTTTATTGAGTAGTAGCTGACTCCCAGTCCATTGCTTATTTCAGTAAACAAAATTATTTCCCAGATATGAACAACTATGTCTACAGAAATAAACAAATGTTTTTGGAATCACGGCAATAGAGAATCAAGGCGAAGAAAGTTTTCTGAATTCTTCAGCCAGCAGAACCCGAAACTCTGAATTTTCCTGTAGAGGGGGTGACTTTGCCTTGGGTTTGCCATTTGAGCAGAGATCAGCTAGTGAGTTGTATCTCTGGTCTGCAGAGCTTGTGAATGGCACAGAAAATGAGGAGGATTTTGAAGCCAGCTAAGGCCAGGTTTGTATTGTAGTTCTGCCATTTTCTTATCTACTGTGCAACTGCAGGCAAGTAAGTTCGCTTTTCTGAGCTCAGTCTCTTCTTTGGAAAAAGTGAATGACGTATGCTACGTATCTGTTCCCTCTGTCTTGTCGACAGTGGTCATGCACCAGGCACAAGATGCTGAGGTTTGTTGTCTCTATTTAATGTCTCACTACAACTTCACAGTTTTTAAAATGAGGCAGCAGTTAATATTATAATGTCTATTTTACAGGAGAGGAGAGCCTGACGTTTCAAGAACTCAAGGTTCAGTACTAGGTCTTAGAGGAAGACTTCATTTTAGCTTTGATGCTCTCCGCTAGGCACAGAGAAACTTAAGCAGAATGACAAGACCTGCTGTTTGAGTAACTCACGTTCTGACCAGAGAGACAGACATGTCAGCAAGAGGTTACAATACAGTGTGCTCAGATTCTCCGGGACTTGGAGCACTTGTTCCAGAAAGGAAGGCCAGGGAAGTCTTCCAGGAGTAGATGGCGCCTCTGCTGACCTGAAGGGTGAGGAAAAAGTGTCCAGTTGCAGAAGGTATGATACTGATAATATAGAGATAAGATAGCTTTTAAAGACCTAGAGGTGTAGACTAGTTTGAAACAGATTGAAGACCTACAGATAGTTGTGTGTGACTAGAGTGGGGTTGGGGTGGGTGTGTGAGGAGATTTAGCCTGGAGTCTGACCACAAAGTGCAACACATATCATGTGAGGAGGGATCTGGACCCTAAAGCATCGGGAACCTGGGAAGAGACTCAGTAGGGAGTGACATCATCAGATGCGAGTTTTGGCAAGATAACTAACTATCTCACAAGGTTTCTGTAGGAACAGTAGAGCCTACTGTAAAAATGTTTCAGATTGTGGCTGAGCAAGAAGCCAAAATAACATACAAGGCAGCTAATTAACAGCATTTTCCAAACCTCCCACCTAGGTGTTTCTACCTTAGCTACCTTGCATTCCTTCCTGACCTCATCACAGACACTAAGCTCAGTCTGAGTGCTATGGTAGAAGTCCAAGGCTGGCAAGAAACAGAGCACGAGAATGGGAAACCACAGGGTGGATGGTTGCATCTCTGCAGCTCCTCCCCTTCTGGCTTAGAGGAACCTGGGTGCACTGACTGGCGAGCAAGGGTATCCTGCTCCTGGGCTGTCATCCACCCTTCAGGAACAGCCTCGTTGGCCTACTTGCTGCAGGAGCATCTGCATCTTTGCTTAATTGGATTCTCATCTTTTTAAAAATGTATTTTTGTGCGGTTGCCTAGAGGCATTCAGATAATGGGTGCATTTTTAATAGACTCAATAAGTAAATAACTGTTATTTTCTCCTCAAGAAATCCAGGGGGACTAGAGTTCTATTGCAGCTTTGAAAACAATCATACCAGAAATTGGACTAGGAGACATTCTTGCACAGACTCTCTGGGTGATTCTCATTGTTGTTCTCAGGACAGATGAGACCCAGCTGTCACCAGACACAAGTATGAGTCAGCTTGGGAGTGTGTGGCGCTAGTGCAGCTGCCTTACCGCAGACACCTGAGGGTTCACATGCTGGCAGCTAACCCCCTCTAGTGTTGATTAGAATAGACTATTTGCAGCTGTGGGAACAGACTTGCATGTTGAGGTGGTAAATCTGTGAGTGGGTGCCCCACCCCATGCCCCACTCTCTGCGTCTCAGGCCCACAGTGCTGAGACCGATGGTTTAGGGTTTCTAATTTTGTGTTGCATGGTGACTCCATGACCTTTTGGTAGCCTGCCCTGATTGCTCCCCCATAACCAAGGCCTCTCTCATTCTAGGCTGTACTGCCCTCCCCATGTCTCCCTGAGGTGTGATACTCATTCTTATCGCCACACTGTGTTCACGCCACTCTTTCTGCCTGAAATGCCCTCCCCTACTTCCACTGTAATTCTTCACATTTCAGATCAGGTTTCAGTTCCTCTTTCCCTCCCCGACTAAAAGTTCTTCTCTACAAATCTTGCAGCACTCAAGCACCAATGTCTTGCATTTGAGATATGCCACCTCATGCTTTTATTTAGCTCTTAATGGCTACAGAAGCTCTTGCGGGAGCAGAATGTTGACGGGCATCTTGCATGTAGCAGATAGCCCCACCTTGTTTATCCCAGGAAGCTGATGGACTACAGCAACCATCACTTAACTCTTGCATAGGAGCAGCTTAGACATAAAGTAGCTTCTCTACCTGCCCTCTTCAGCTTGTTGTGTCTGTCACACCAAACCCAAATCTTCTCTGACAACTTTCCAAAAAATTCTGGGTTACCAGCACTGCCAAACCCAGGGTGAATTATATGCTTGGGCCTAAAGTATTCCAGCCTAATTCCAAAATTATTTTGAATTTGTGGTGAGCATGCAACTTAAGTGACATAAAGGGTGGTTGTTTGAGAGCTACGTCCTGTGCTTGTGTATTGTTTTATGCTGTATCCAGCCACATTCTTCCTCAGAAAAAGAGAGGAGGTGAGCTTGGTCCTAATAAACAGCAAAGCTCTCATTAGAGAGAAACTCTCCAGGCCTGGTCCCTCATTAAATTGATTGGATCCATTTTACAGATTTGTTCACTGAGGCAGCCATGCCCTGATTGCATTTTAGGAGGACCACGGAAGTCAAGAAGTTCAGCTTCTGAACTAACCAGACTATCACTGATTCGTTCTGCACCCTGAACTTTTACCCCTCCTGTTTTGCTAATGGAAATAGGCTAATTCAAAGTCACAAGAGCAACACTTTGAAGTGGAGCCTTGCTTGAGATGAGGATTATAGACTTT
The DNA here is from genome assembly GCF_000001405.40 of Homo sapiens. Classification (NCBI taxonomy): domain Eukaryota; kingdom Metazoa; phylum Chordata; class Mammalia; order Primates; family Hominidae; genus Homo; species Homo sapiens. Next base: position 127,075,527 of record NC_000011.10, read on the forward strand.
AGTTTCGAATGAACCCCAATGGAGCCTTTCTTCCTGGGAAGACGTAGAGCAGCCCTTCTGTAACTCTCCATTCAAACCTCTGCAAATGCTATCAGCCATTGCTAAAGCAGATCTCAGCAAGTTTATTTGGGGACTTATGCCTCATATGTGCTCTCCTTCCCTTCCTCCCTACTTCCACTTATGGTCTCTATTCCACTTTAGCCACCTCTATTTCCTTCTTGCCCAGATTTAACAAGGTCCCTCTCAACCCCTCTCTCAGAGAACAGAAGTTAGTAGAGGGAATGCCGCAGGGTCCCACTGCCTGCAGAACCTCTTCAGCTGAATCCCAAAGGAAGCTCAGCAGCTGATGGGGAAGTGATTTATAATCCTAAACACAGTTCTTTCACTGTTGGTTCTGGCTTCTTGCATCACAAATTGCTCTGCATATTAGCATTACATTGATGACATTCAAAACAGGTGCAACTGCCTATAGAACAGCTGCCGCGGCCCACTGAAAGCTTCAAGCCGAGACCTGAGGTGCATGAACCCTCCTTCTGATAAGCTTCAGAGCAGGTAAAATCATCATTAAAGGAAAATTGACTTGTAAGTATGTGCAAGATTGTAGTTATTGCATCTAACCAGAAAGAAAAGCGAGGAGCCAGCAGCCGAGGGAATCTTCTTTAAAAATGTATTCAACAGAACAACAGAAAAGAAATTGCCATCTCAAGAGTGTTATGACACAACTTTAATATGGCAAGAGAGCAGACTGCTTGCATTTTCCTGGAATAGAGGGGGTCACAGCCTGGAGCTGGGGCCTGGGAGGCAGCATGGTATGGAAGCCCAGGGAGCACAGGGTGCAAGGTCCTACTTTAGAAAAAATGGAGCAAGAGGTTGTATTATGGGAAAAAAAAAAGCAACCCAAAGAAGCCTGGGAATATCAGATTTGGAGTCAGCCTAGTTAATGCTGGAACCCAATATGTCACCTGTGATAATTTTGATCCTGAAGGATAATTTCTAAGATTTATTCCATTTAAAACAAAGTGACCTAAAAGTTTTCACAATAAGAGTCTGGAACTCAGAAGGAGGGTTAAACTTAAGGTGGCCCCGGTCTGACTTCCACATGCAATTCTGGCTTCTACTTTTATACCTATACTACCATTTACTGAGCACTTACAATATGCTGGGGGCTAAGTGTATCACTTAATCTTCACCACGATCATATCTGATAGGGTATAAATGTCATCTAACAAATGAATTTAACAAATGAATAAACAAATAACTAACAAATGAGTAAACTGAGGATCAGGGCAATTGTTACCTGTCCCAAATCACACAGCTTGAAAGAGGCAAAATCAGGATTTAAACACCAGCTGCCAACCCTAAAAGGGGTTGACCCTCTTTTTTCAGAGTATCATGTAATTTATTTCACAGCCATAACGAAGCAAGAGAATGGGAGTGTAGATAAAGCCTCCTACGCAATCCTCTTCTTCCTCTGGCCTGTATACAAATAGCAAAGTGATACTGCAAAAATGATGGGGAAGGCCAGGTGCGATGGCCTACACCTATAATCCTAGCACTTTGGGAAGCCAAGGAGAGCAGATCACCTGAGGTCAGGAGTTTGAGACCAGCCTGGCCAATATGGTGAAACCAGTTTCTATTAAAAATGTAAAAATTAGCCAGGAGTGGTGGTGGGCACCTGTAATCCCAGCTACTTGGGAGGATGAGGGAGGAGAATTGCTTGAACCCAGGTGGTGGAGGTTGCAGTGAACCGAGATCATACCACTTCACTCAAGCCTGGGTGACTACGAGACTCCATCTCAAAAAAAAAAAAAAGGATGGGAAATAAGTAATAAGCAGATGTTCTCTTAGCACAACTTCATAAGTCATACTTTTTCAGATTTCAACAATGCTATTGATGGGTAATTGACACAATAAAGGGCATGTGTGTAAACCAATGTATAAGACATCGGTTGGTTGGAATGGTCTTTTGATAGACTGGCCAGGGCAGCCCCTCTTCCCAGCACCATGGCTCTGTGGGATTTAAATCCAATTGCTCAGCTATAGCCACACCTTCATTACTACCTGAGCTGTTTTTGCCCATGGCTTGGGAAGGGACTGGGATGGAGAATTCTGCAGAAATAAAGCCCCAACTTGTGGGGACAGACTCGGTTTAACCCAGGTTCATGTCATTCCTGGCTGCCCTCCCATCTTCCTTGGTAAGTCAAGGAATCTTAGAGGTAGGAGGAACTGCAGGGATCACCTGGTTCAGATCCTTCATTTTACAGATGAGGAAGTTAAGACTCAGAGAGATGAAGAGAGAATGATCACTAATGATAAAGAGATGATGACCCGGGTCTGCTGACCTGAGGCCGCATCTTTCAAGGACCACTTCCTCATATGTCCATACTGCAAAGCTTTGTCCTAGTTGTTTCTCTGGAGGGTGTGGACGGGTGGGGGAAAGGGGTCACTTCTCTTCAAGAGAAGAGCACCTCTGTGCCTGTGTAGAGCCCTTGCCCATCCTCCTGCCCCCAGCCCAGCCTTTGTAGTGATGGAGCAGAGGCATCTTGGTAAGGGGATTGGGTCAAGCTTTCAATGAGGTGCTGCAGGCAAGGAGCTATAGCAAAGCAGATCATCTGCTTCTCAACGGAGAAGCCAGGGCATCCTTACATAGCCAGGTGCTGCAAGAATGAGGGAGAACAGCTCAGGCTATTGGCTAATATCTGCGTTTTAGCCTAGTATATGCACCAGGCCATGGGCTTGGTGTCACGGGGGCATTCCAACACGAAGAAATGAACAGCATACAGCAGACAGAGGCTCAGAGATCTTACTGCACATGAGAGGTAGCAAGATATCTACACAGAAGAAAGAAAACTGACCACTTGCAATGAGGTGGGGGCAGAGCTCCCTGTGGACTGGGGTCCTCAGGGCAGCATCGGGGAAGGGCAAGCTGAGGAAGGTCTCTGTGGGGACAACATCTTCATCGTCAGGAAAAAGGGCTGGTCTGGCCTGTTCTGGGGCTGTCTCTAGTCCCACAGTTGTACAGCTGTCACTAGATAAATTAGTGTTCACCTGACCTCCGCTTTAGCCAGAGACTCTCCCCTTCTACTCTACCAAGACTTCCACTGTGCTCTGTGGCATTGCAGGATCGATTTCCCCCTCCTTCTGTGTCTCTGAGTACCATCCAAATAATCACATCTGTGCAATGCTTTGGGGTTTAAAAGCTCTTCAGCACCCATTGCCACAGTTCTTCCCCATTACTTGTAAGGTGCATGGGGCAGTGTCATTATTATTATAAGAGTGGAGGACATTCAGTTTAGGTACCCTGAATAGTAAAAGATAAAGCTGGCCTTACTATTGTGTTTTCCGGATCCTTGCATGAGATCATACCACCTCTTTGCCTCTTTCTTCTGTGCGGATTGTAGCTGCACCCTCCATGATCTGAGACCAGCTGAAACGTGGGTCAGGCCCTTAGGTGACAGGTTAGCTGGAGTGACAGAAGTGGCAAGAAGACTGTGGACCACGTGAGGTGCGTCTTTTGTCAGACAGCTGTCCCAGCACAAGCGGCTGCCAAAGCCCATGTGGAAATACGGGAGTGTCTGGGAGAGCATTTAGGATTTTAATCAAGGAGCCGAAGTGCATTTGCTTTTTCATTAATCCCCATATTAATTAGTGTCATTTGCAAAAAGGGCCTGATGTACACTTGTGTCTGCTGAAGCCTCCACTGGCAATCCTGGGAGGCTGTAATGCAGGCTAATTCCTGCATGCTGCGTCTGCCCTGCTGCAGGCTGAAGCCTCCACTGGCAATCCTGGGAGGCTGTAATGCAGGCTAATTCCTGCATGCTGCGTCTGCCCTGCTGCAGGCTGAAGCCTCCACTGGCAATCCTGGGAGGCTGTAATGCAGGCTAATTCCTGCATGCTGCGTCTGCCCTGCTGCAGGCTGAAGCCTCCACTGGCAATCCTGGGAGGCTGTAATGCAGGCTAATTCCTGCATGCTGCGTCTGCCCTGCTGCAGGCTGAAGCCTCCACTGGCAATCCTGGGAGGCTGTAATGCAGGCTAATTCCTGCATGCTGCGTCTGCCCTGCTGCAGGCTGAAGCCTCCACTGGCAATCCTGGGAGGCTGTAATGCAGGCTAATTCCTGCATGCTGCGTCTGCCCTGCTGCAGGCTGAAGCCTCCACTGGCAATCCTGGGAGGCTGTAATGCAGGCTAATTCCTGCATGCTGCGTCTGCTCTGCTGCAGGCTGAAGCCTCCACTGGCAATCCTGGGAGGCTATAATGCAGGCTAATTCCTGCATGCTGCGTCTGCCCTGCTGCAGGCTGAAGCCTCCACTGGCAATCCTGGGAGGCTGTAATGCAGGCTAATTCCTGCATGCTGCGTCTGCCCTGCTGCAGGAAAATAATGTAATTTTCTTTCAAAACCTGAGGGAGGTCTCAAGGTCTCTCTAATGGAGGCAAAAACAACGACAACAAAAATATGGGCTACAAGGTTCCTCTGCACTTGTGCCTTGGCCCAACAGCAGTAATTACACAGATTAGAAATTGTGCTTAAAAAATCCTCTTTCCCATGTGCCCCACCTCACTTCCTAGGGCCCCTCATGGCTCCTGTTCACCTTCCTGACAGATAAATACCTGGGATCCACTCATTCATGCCTCACTGTGGCTCCTTGGTACTCAACCAATTCAGCTTCCATATCACCCCTGGAATATTCCCGTCTCCCTTCCTCAGGGGCGGATGCAGCATTTTGGAGACTTCCAAGGGAGAAGAGCAAGATAAAAATTGGGAATCTGGGGGAGCAGTTTTAACAATAATAGCTACATGAAAATAATATTAATATCATTTGCTTATTAAGGACAAGCCATGGGCCTCAGTGTTTTCAGCACTTCACCTATACTAACACATTTAGGTAATGTTATCCTTCTTGTTTTAGAAATGATGCAACTGAGTCACAGAGAAGTTAAGTAATCTGCCTGCCGACACTCGGGTCGATGCCGCCTCATTCCATCACTCGGGCAATGGAGCCAAAGGCCACGTTCACAACCACTAGGCTGTCCCAGCCCCTTGGTATGATTTGTCCCTTCCTAAGGTGTGCTTCTCTCATCTCTGGTCCTATTTCTAGTTGTTTCCTGACCCTTCACCATTTCCCCCTTGGCCCACGACCTTCATCATCCCAGCAGGTGGCAGGGCCTTCCCCTTTGACCTCCTCCTACCTTCACAGGAATCATCGTTTCAACATTTGCCTTTCCTAGTCTCTGGATATCAAAACTCATCAATTCCATAGCTCTCCCCAGCATGCCCTGCTACAAGCTTAGACAGCATGGCTGTCAAGCCAGAATCCCAGCAGCCTCCCCCATTGGAAGTCCCTGGGGTGGGGTGGGGTGGAGTGGGAGCTGAGTGGGCAGAGTTTCATCCACAGCACCATGTGCCCACTGTCTTCTGCCATGTGGTTCATGGAAAAGAATGTTTATTTCACTCCTAAAAGCCAGTGTGAAAACACTGGTCGCAGAATACCATGAGTTAACCTAACCTACTGCTGTTAATGATGAAACCCTTCCCAAATAATGCTTGGCTTTAGCAGAGACCTTTTGTTTAATGAGTTAGGTCAAAGGGGTGTTTCGTTTATAAATTTCAGATACTGCAGTAAACCCCATAGGGTGTGATATTCATGGTTGTGGGGAGTCTGGAGGATCCTGAAAATCATGCCACCCTCAGTGAAGCTAGTGCAGTGGCCCTTTCATTTTAACTCTGGATGGGCAGAAGGAACATGTGTGTGCGTGTGTGTGCGTGTGTGCACAGGAGGTGGGCAGATGGGGCTGAATAGCTGAATACCTGCTCACAGCATGCTGTAGCTTCAGGCTCTGTTCTAGGTCCTCAAGCTTCCTGGGGGGCTCTGGGTACACATTTGTTTATCCATCTTTCTCCTCCACCCCAAGCAACTTCCCGTAGGCCACCTGAACTCCGCCTCTCCAACTTGTCAAAGAAGAAAGCTGCAACCATGTAATTATGACATCCTGGGGGTAATTTTAACTATAAGTCATTATTCTCAAACAGCCGATGCAATCCCTATTTGCCAGCACAAAGAGATGATTCTCACTAGCCTGAACTCACTGTCAAACATGCCAGGAGAAATAAAAAGGTGCTAATGCAATATAGCCCAGAAATAGAAAATAAGATTAGAGGCAACGCTTGAGATTTCAGGCTGTTGGGCGGGGGAAATAGCACAGGGTTTAGTTACCAGCAGAACTGTCAGACAAAAAGCCTCTGAGTTCATTAATACCAGAACCTTCATTAAGGCAAGTGGATAAAATTAAAGGGTGTTTTGTGAGGATTTAATTTTTCCTGGAGGTTTGCGGTCTCTGAAGGGCGTCTGGTGCTGGCTCTGAGGCCAAGGCGGCGGGCCCTGGAGTGGGGAATCAGGATGCTGGAGTTCTCATTTTTTGTCGTCTTCTCAGTGGGCCCTGCTGAGAACAGGCTGCATGAGGGGGCGCCTGTGCAGTGCTGAGCCGCTGCATCAGGGAACTGCATCTCCTTGTCCCCAAGCCACGTCCTGTGAAACAGCACGGAGTCTCCTGCACAGCTGGAACAAGCATAGCTCAGCCTTAGCATGGGTGGGGCAGGGTAGAAGAAAAGCTGTGTCGGGACAGGGCATCTTTGTGAGTTCTGAAGACCATCCAGAGACTCAGGGTGGTATTGGTGGAAGCGTAAAAACAGGTCTGACTTTACGCAAAGCTGAGAAGCAGGCAATGGTAGTCTTTGGTGACTTCTCGTGGGTACTTTTAGGGGTCCTCTCTTACCCCTTGTGCCCTTCCCTCACTCTGTTCTCGGAGTGCCTTTGTGTCAGCTAGTTGTCACAAGAAATATAATAAATAAATGCCCTCGATCTTGTTAAATGATTAAGGTTCAGAGGTATTAAACAGTCCTCCCAGGAATGTTTATAGTTGTAGAAATACATTTCTGAGGCTGAAAAGGACTTAATGGACTATGCTTTAATATGGAATGCAGGCATTGTGCTTGGTCAGTGAGGGGGCTACTTGGGAACTGGTCTTTCCTCTGTACTCTTTTCTTTCTTTAAAAACTACACTTAAGTTCTGGGATACATATGCAGAACGTGCAGGTTTGTTATACACGTACACACGTGCCATGGTGGTTTGTTGCACCCATCAACCCGTCATCTACATTAGGTAATTCTCCTAACGCTATCCCTCCCCTAGTCACCCATCGGCTGACAGGCTCTGGTGTGTGATGCCCCTCTCCTTGTGTCCATGTGTTCTCATTGTTCAACTCCTATTTATGAGTGAGAATATGTGGTGTTTGGTTTTCTGTTCCTGTGTTAGTTTGCTGAGAATGATTGTTTCTATCTTCACCCATGTACCTGCAAAAGACATGAACTCATCATTTTGTATGGCTGCATAGTATTTCATGGTGTATATGTACTACATTTTCTTTATCCAGTCTATCATTGATGGGCATTTGGGTTGGTTCCAAGTCTTTGCTCTTGTGAATAGTGCCGCAATAAACATACGTGTGCATGTATCTTTATAGTAGAATGATTTATAATCCTTTGGGTATATACCCAGTAATGGGATTGCTGGGTCAATTGGTATTTCTGGTTCTAGATCCTTGAGGAATCACCACACTGTCTTCCACAATGGTTGTACTAATTTACTCTCCCACCAACAGTGTAAAAGCATTCCTATTTCTCCACATCCTCTCCAGCATCTGTTGTTTCTTGACTTTTTAATGATCTCCATTCTAACTGGCATGAGATGATATCTTTTTGTGGTTTTGAGCGGATCTCCTAGCACAGCACTCGAGCTCTGCTAAGGGACAGACTGACCCCTCAACTAGGCCCCTGATCCCCGTGCCTCCTGACTGGGGGACACCTCCCAGCAGCGGTTGACAGACACCTCATACAGGAGAGCTCTGGCTGGCATCTAGTGGTGCCCCTCTGGGATGAAGCTTCCAGAGGAAGAATCAGGCAGCAAAGCTTTGCTGTTCTGCAGCCCCTGCTGGTGGCACCCAGGCAAACAGGGTCTGGAGTGGACCTTCTCTGTATTCTTAATGCTATTGTGTAGGGTCACAAATCAGGGCATTCGGATCAATCTTTACCTTGCTCTGGGATGCCGAGTAAGATCCGCCTTTGGCATTCTGTCATTCCCAGGAAAGACTGGATGGTGATAACGTGCCTGTTCTTTCACCCTGGGTGGGGGATGAAGATGGTGGTGGAGTATGTTGAGGTTCTTCATGTTTTCCTTGTGTGTTGATGGAAATGAGCTCTCTATGGAGTCTCAGTGTTCTAGGACCTTTTGGGGGGCTTTATCATAGTCAAATAAATCCAAACAAGAAATCCTCTCTGGGCTTCTTCATGTGGGGCCTAGGAGATGATGTGCTTTGATTTTGCACAAATGGAGAAATAGAAATCTAGAGAGGGGCTGGGACTTTTCCAGGGTCCTAAATTGGGATTGAGAAGGTGTCTCCTGCAGGTGATTATGCATCTGGGAGCTAAAGACAACTCAGTCCTAACTGGGATCTACTTGTGACATCTGGCCTAGGATTTTAGTAGCTTAAAAAATGTCTGACCAAATGAAAAGCTTATAACCTGACTTTTATGGAAACCCAGTGCTCATGGATATGGTGTCCAAAGCTATATGATTCCACACCTACAGCAAGGGGCTTATTTGGGAACATGTTAGAATGCAGAATCCCAGGCCCTATCCCACACTTGTGGAGTTGGAATCTGAATTTCAGTATGTGCATACTCCAGGTGATGTTTACATTAAAGCTTGAGAAGCACTGCCCTGAATCACAGATTGGTCATAAAGGAGATGGATTCCAGGCTGGGGGGATATTGGGCATCAGCTAAATTCCATGGAAGGGGAGTAACAACCCCTGTATTGCTTGCTCACCTTGGTGCTTGGAAGATCAAATGACACAACAAATGGGAAAGCCCATGGAGGAGCACATAGTGCTTGGAAAATGCACAGCATTTTCATGCTCATTGGCAGCTGGCCGGGCCCTACCCTGTTAGCCAGGGAGTCCTCTTCATCTCCACAGCCAAAATTAATCTATTTCTCTGCTCTAGTGCTTCTAGTCTTTTTGAAACAACATCACTTTTGGTTGCTTTCATCCAAACTGCAAAGAGTATTTGAATTCACATTACTGCCTTTAGTGAGATTCTCTTTTTTACCTCCATATTTTTTTTTTTTTGACACACATTTGCCATGGTGCCTGGGACCCAGTGCAGAGGAGATTAGCTCTGTGTTCAGCCACTGGCCATGCCTCTGAGGAGCAGAGCTTTCTGTTTATCTCTTAGAAGCAGATGCTTTGGATTTTATCCTGGGGGAATTTATCAGGGTGCTCTGAATTCATTCATTCATTCATTCTCATATTCCTCTCCACCCTGAATACACACACACACACACACACACACACACACACACACACACAACCTCTACACGTCAGCCATGTCAATGTTGTTTGCTGTATATTTGGGAGGATGTTTGCCATTTAGAGCCATTCTGGAATCGTCTGTAGTTTACTTCTCTTCCCTCTAAGCACATCCTTAGCTTGGGTTACTTTACCCCGTCAGTGGCAGCCTGTCTTGGCCCCAGTCCTTACATGTAGCCAATGCATATGGATTTCTTCCAGTCCCAGCAGCTCTTTCATCTGACCTGGCATTTTCAGAGCAACACCAGGGTTTTCATTTTCTTTCATACAGGTGCCTATGTTAGGATGACTTGAAGTACTCAGAGAGAGAAAGTCATTGCCCATTTGTTCAAAGGGTTCATTTTTCTTTTTTTTCAAGCACGAGTACACATGGGCATGCAATTACAAATGCACAGCTCTTACCATGAGCACATTGTAAATGCATGGTTAAGTGATTGATTTATACGGTGATTTATTTATGTTTTTGTCTCCATGAATGACCGTATGTTTAGTGAGCAAAGCATGGTATTCATACAAGTATATGAATCCATGCATGCATTAATATGTGCTCATTCAGTACGTATTAAGCACTAATGTGTTCAAGTGTTGTGTGTCACATACAGATACAGGTTTTGCTTTCAAGGGCTTTTAGTCTCCTAAAGGGGATGAGATATTTCCATGCAACTTTCATACAAAGTTGAGTTTTTTTCCTCCCAAGATGGTGGTTTAGAGATTTTTAGCATTCCTCAGCCACTTGGAAATAGCAAGATAGTACATAAAGATCAACCACGTGAGCTTTAATTCAAGATGGAAAATGAGAATCCACTGGAATCATGAAGGACATCCCAGATCCCAGGAAGGAGAACACTGGCAAACAGCGCCCGAAATAAAAGTGACTGGCTGATAAAAGTCGGTGAAGCCTCAGTACACAAGAGAGGAAAAGAGCCTCTGTCTGACTCACCTTTCTGCTGGGGATCCAAGTAACCCAGGCTAAGGGGTGGTGGAAGGGGTACACTTTTGTTTCTTCCAAGCTCTGGAACTAACTGGGAGAGAGGCTTGGAGATGCTGTGAGGGAAAGACACTGGGGAAAGCTGCAGGCATTTTTCCAGACTGGGACTGACAGCAGGATGCCATTTTTAATCCAGGGGCATAACAAGTCAACCATTCTTTGGTGACCTAGCATCATGGCCATGCAGGCATTTTAGTCTTGGGCCAGAGATTGGATCACCTGCTCTTGAGCAGGATAGGAGCCTCCACAGCCAGAACTGTGGAAGGTGCTTCAGCAGTAGGTGCTGGAGTTATCCTCTTCACCCATAGCAAACTGGGGGTGGGAGGAGAGCTACTAGAGCTGCAGTTTCTCCTGGGTGGTGCGACTTGCAGCCAGAGCCAGTTTGGCAACCTGGAACCAGTCTGCATGTGACATTGCTAGGTGTCCCAGCCTGCTCCCCTAAGGTCATGGTGCATGGGGCCCTCTCCAACTCACCCTCAGGCAGATCTCCAGCCATTTAGAGCACCCACTTGCTTGGAGCAGCAGCCTGAGCCACTCTACCCTTCCTGGGCATGGATCATGGTGCAGCTTTGCTCCATGCCCAGTCAGATCTCCAGGCATTTGAAGCACCCCCTCACCTAGATCAGCAGCCTGACCCACCCTACCCTTCCTGTGTGAAGATCTTGGTATGGGGTGGGGTGTCCCTCTGTGCTCCACATCCAGGCAGATCTCCAGGCATTTGAAACACCTGCTTGACTGCATCAGCAGCCTGAGTCACTCCAACCCTCCAGTGCAGAGATCTTGGTGCAGGGGCTGTCTGTGCTCCATGCCCAGGCAGATCTCCAGGCATCTGGATCACCTACTCTCATGGAGTTTAGGCTGCCCTCATCCCCATGCAGAGACTTTGGTGCTGAGGAGGTTTCTCAGCTCCATGCATAAGTACATCTCTAGGCACTTGGTGGCCACCCACTGGATTCTCCCTCAGTGCTGGTGCTTGTGCCTGCCATCATAAGACCTGATGTAGGTGGACCTTCCCAGTCTGACCCTGCCTTTTGTGGCTCCTGCCCTCCCTGGGGTTGAGCAGGGGGCTCAGACCATGGTGCATTCCATGAATCAACCCAGAGGCAACAGAGATCTTCTGTCAGAATAAAGTATATCCCAGCCATATTGGCCATAGCAGGCTCATATCTATAAGTGCCATATATTGGCTTATAGGTTAAATGGCATAGCCCAATATGAAACCTACCAAAAGAAATACATAGGGCTATAGAAGCAAAGCCAAAAGACACTACCTAGCATCCTCTACAGTCACAACCTCTAGGAGAGGGGAAAAGGAAAAGGAAGGAAAAAATAATACAGTAGGGAAAGAAAGAAAAAGAAAAAAATCCTACCTGCACAAAAATAATTAAAAAAATTAGAAGTACCAGCATCTGGAGATGAGAAGAAACCAGTGCAAGAATTCAGGCATCATGAAAACTCTGAATGTAGTAACATCACCAAAGAATCACACTATCTATGTCTCCAGCAATGGTCCCAGACCAAATGGAAACTCAGAAATGATGGATAAAAGATTCAAAGCATAGATTGCAAGAAAGCTCAATGAGATCCAAGACAAGGTTGAAAATCAACACAAAGAAACTTCCAAAGCAATCCAGGAAAGGAAAGAAGAGATAAACTTCAATCAGATTAATCTTGTGAAAAATCAATCAGAGCTTCTGGAATAGAAAAACTCAAGGAATTTTGAAATGCAATTTAAAGCTTTATCAATAGACAGGACTATGCAGAAGAAAAAATTTCAGACCTTGAAGGCCAGTCTTTTGAACTAACTCAGCCAGACAAAAATACAGAGAAAAATTTTTTAAACAAAATCTTTGAGAGAGAAGGAGAAAAAAGCAAATAACCTCGAAAACATATTTGAGAAAATAATTGAAGAAAATTTCCCTAATCTTGATAGAGATGTAGACATCCATATACAAGAAATCCAGAGAAGACTTATGAGATACAACACAAAATGAACATCACTAAGGCATATAGTCATCAAGTTAATGCTAAAGAAAAAAATCTGAAAGGCAACTAGAGATAAAGGTCAGATCACATACAAAAGGATCTCCAGCAGGATAACAGTTGACTTCTCAGCAGAAACATTGCAAGTCAGGAGAGATGGGAGGCCTGTTTTTAGCATTGTAAAGAAAAGAAATTCCAATCAAGAATTGTATACCCTGCCGAACTAAGCTTCATAAACATGGGAGAAATAAAAGTGTATTCAGACAAGCAAGCATTAAAGGAATTTGTTACCACTAGACAAGTCTAACAAGAGATCCCTAAAGGAGTTCTAAACATAAAAAGAAAAGAAATCTGCTACCACAAAAACACACTTAGTGCATAGCTTGCAGACCCTATAAAGCAACCACACAATAGAAACTACAAAGCAATCAGCTAATAATTTTATGACAAGATCAAAACCTCACATATCGACATTAACCTTGAAGGTAAATGGTCTAAACACCCAACTCAAAAGTCACAGAGTGGCAAGTTGCCTAAAAAAACAAGACCCATCCATCTGCTGTCTTCAGGAGAGCCATCTCACAAGTACTGACACCCACAGGCTCAAAGTAAGAGTTGAGGAACGTTCTATTATGCAAAAATAAAACAAAAAATACCAGGGGTCTATTCTTATATCAGATAAAACAAACTTTAAAGAACTACACTAAAAACGGACAGTGAGATCAGGGGCCCATAATGATAAATGGTTAAGTTCAACAAGAATATGTAACTATTACAAATATATATGTACCCAACATTGGAGCACTCAGATTTATTTTTCAAAAATACAAAAAGGTGGTTTTTTGAAAAGATAAATAAAGTTGGTAGATCATTATTGAGATTAACCAAGAAAAGAAAAGAAGATCCAAATAAATACAATTAAAAATGAAAGAAGAGATATTACTACTGATACAACCGAAATACAAAAGATTATTCAAGGCTACTATGAACATCTTTATGTGCATAAACTAGAAAACCTAGAGGAGATGGATAAATTCCTGGAAACATACAACCCTCCTAGATTAAACCAGGAAGATGTAGAAACTTGGAACAGACCAATAACAAGCAGCAAGATTGAAATAATAATTGAAAAATTTCCAACAAAAGAAGTCCAGGACCAGATGGATTCACACTTAAATTCTATCAGACATTCAAAGAAGAATTAGTACCAATCCTATTGACACTATTCCACAGGATAGAGAAAACCAAGGAAGGACATAACAAAAAAAGAAAACTACAGACCAATATCTCTGAAGAACATAGATGCAAAAATCCTCAGCAAAATACTAGCTAACTGAATCCAACAGCATATCAAAAAGACAATCCACCATGATCAAGTGGGTTTCATACCAGTGATGCAGGGATGGTTTAACATCTGCAAGTCATTAAATATGATACACCACATAAACAGAATTAAAGACAAAAATCACATGATCATCTCAACAGATGCAGAAAAATAATCTGACAAAATCCAGCATCCCTTTATTATTAAAACCCTCAGCAAAATCACCATAGAAGGGACATACCTTAAGGTAATAAAAGCTGTCTATGACAAACCCACAGCCAACATTATACTGAACAGACAAAAGTTGAAAGCATTTCCCCTGAGAACTGGAACAAGACAAGGATGCTCACTTTCATGACTTCTATTCAACGTATTACTGGAAGTCTTAGCAGGAGCAATCAGACAAGAGAAAGAAATAAAGGGCATCCAAATCAATAAAGAGGAAGTCAAACTGTCACTGTTTGCTGATGATATGTTTGTATACCTAGAAAACACTAAAGACTCATCCATAAAGCTTCTAGAACTGGTAAATGAATTCAGCAAAGTTTTAGAATACAAAATTAATGTACACAAAACAGTAGCTCTGCTATACCCCAATAACAACCAAGCTGAGAATCAAATCAAGAACTCAACCACATTTATAATAGCTGCAAAAAAAAAAAATCCCACCAAAAAACAAAAACAAAAACAAAAAAGCTTAGGAATATACCTAACCAAGGAGGTGAAAGACCTCTAGAAGGAATACTACAAAACACTGCTGAAAGAAATCATAGACAACACAAACAAATGGAAACACATCTCACGCTCATGGATGGGTAGAATTAATATTGTGAAAAGGACCATACTGCCAAAAGAAATCTACAAATTAAATGCAATTCCCATCAAAATACCACCATCCTTCTTCACAGAACTAGAAAAAAAAATCCTAAAATTTATATGGAACCAAAAAAGATCCTGCGTAGCCAGAGCAAGACTAAACAAAAAGAAAAAAATCTGGAGGCATCACATTACCAGACTTCAAACTCTACTATAAGGCCATAGTCACCAAAACAGCATGGTACTGGTATAAAAATAGGCACATAGACCAATGGAACAGAATAGAGAACACAGAAATAAAGCCAAACACTTATAGCCAACTAATCTTTGACAAAGCAAATTAAAACATAAAGTGGGGAAAGTATACCTGTTCAACAAATGATGCTTGGATAGTTGGCAAGCCACAGGTAGAAGAATAAAACTGGTCCTCATCTCTCACCTTATACAATAATCAACTCAAGCTGGATCAAAGACTTAAATCTAAGACCTGAAACCATAAAAATTCTAGAAGATAACATCAGAAAAACCCTTCTAGACATTGGCTTAGGTGAAGACTTCATGACCAAGAACACAAAAGCAAATGCAACAAAAACAAAGATAAATAGATGGGACTAAATTAAACTAAAAAACTCTGCACAGCAAAAGCTGGCCGTAAAGCAGAGTTAACAGACAACCCAAAGAGTGGGAGAAAAGTCTTCACAATCTGTACATCCAACAAAGGACTAATTTCCATAATCTACAAAGAACTCAAATAAATTAGCAAGAAAATAAAACGATCCTACCAAAAAGTGGGCTAAGGACATGAATAGACAATTCTCAAAAGAAGATATACAAATGGCTAAGAAGCATATGGAAAAACGCTCAACATCACTAATTATAAGGGAAATGCAAATCAAAGCTATAATGTGATACCACCTCACTCCTGCAAGAATGGCCATAATCAAAAAATAAAAAAATAGTAGATGTTGGTGTGGGTGTGGTGAAAAGGAAACACTTTTACACTGTTGGTGGCAAAGTAAACTAGTACAACCACTATGGAAAACAGTGTGGAGATTCCTTAAAGAACTAAAAGTAGATCTACCATTTGATCCAGCAATCCCACTACTAGGTATCTATCTACCCAGAGGAAAAAAGTCATTATATGAAAAAGATACTTGCACATGCATGTTTATAGCAGCACAATTTACAATTGCAAAAATATGGAACCAGCCCTAATGCCCATCAATCAAAGTGTGGATAAAGAAAATGTGATATATATATATATATATATATATATACACACACACACATATATATATGTATTGTGTGATATATATATATGTGTGTATATATACACATATATATGTGTGTATATATACACATATATATGTGTGTATATATATATACACACACACACACATACACACACACCATGGAATACTACTCAGCCATAAAAAAGAAACAAAATAATGGCATTCACAGCAAGACGGATGGAATTAGAGACTATTATTTTAAGTGAAGTAAATCAGGAATGGAAAACCAAACATTATATGTTCTCACTCGTAATTGGGAGCTAAGCTCTGAGGACGCGAAGGCATAAGAATGACACAGTGGACTTTGGGGACTCTGGGGAAAGGGTGGGGGGGTAAGGGATAAAAGACTACACACTGGGTACAGTATACACTGTGTGGGTGATGGGTGCACCAAAATCTCAGAAATCACCACTAAAGAACTTATTCATGCAACCAAACACCACCTGTTCTCCCAAAACTACTGAAATAAAAAATAGAAAATAAAAAACTTCTAGACTTACAAAAAGACTTAGATAGCCACACAATAATAGTGGGAGACTTCAACACCCTGCTGACAGCATTAGACAGATTATTGAGACAAAAAACTAACAAAGAAATTCTAAACTTGACATTGACCATTTGGACATAATAGATACCTGCAGAATACTCCACCCATCAAACACAGAATACTTATTTCTCTTATCTGCACAGAGAACATACTGCAAGGTTGACCACATGCTTGGCCATAAAGCACTCTCAATAACTTAAAAAAAAATCGCACAAACTCTACTCTTGGACCACAGTGGAATAAAAATAGAAACCAATACCAAGAATATCTCTCAAAACTATACAATTATCTGGAAATTAAACAACTTGCTCCTGAATGACTTTTGCGTAAACAATGTAATTAAGATAGAAATTTTTTAAAAAAAAGTTTGAAGTAAATAAAAACAGAGATACAACATACCAAAATCTCTGGGATGCAGCAAAAGCCTTTAAGAGGAAAGTTTCTAGCACTAAATGCCTACTTCAAAAAGCTAGAAAAGTCTCAAATTAACATTCTAACATCACACCTAGAGAAACTAGAAAAACAAGAACAAACTAACCCCAAAGGTAGCAAGGAAAATTAATGAAAACAAAAGTTGGTTTTTTTTTGTAAAAATAAACCAAACCACTAGACCAATAGCTAGATTAGATTAGCAAAGAAAAAAAGAGAGAAGATCCAAATAAGCACAACTAGAAATACAAAGGTGATATTACAACTGATCCCATGGACATATTAAAGATTCTCAGAGAGTACTATGAACATCTCTAAGCACATGGACTAAAAAATCTAGAGGAAATCAATATATTCCTGGAAACACATACCCTCCCAAGATTGAATCAGGAATAAATTAAAACATTGAACAGATTAATATGGAGTTCCAAAATTGAATCAGTATTAAAAGCCTGTACCAATGAAAAGTCTTGGACCAGATGGATTCATAGCCTAATTCTACCAGACATAGGAAGAAAAGCTGGTACCAATTCTACTGCAACTATTCCAAAAAAATCGATGAGGAGGTACTCCACCCTAATTCTATAAAGCTAACATCACCCTGATACCAAAATCTGGAAAGACACAACAGAAAAAGAAAACTACAATATCCCTGATGAACACAGATGCAGATATCCTCAACAAAATACTAGCAAACTGAATTCAACAGCATACCAAGAGGTTAATTTACCATGATCAAGTAGGCTTTATTCCTGGAATGCAAGGTCAGTTCAATATATGTAAATCAATAAGTGTGATTCACTAAATAAACAGAATTAAAAACAAAAACCATATGGTCATCTCAATAGACATGGAAAATACTCTCAATAAAATCCAGCATCCCTTCATGATAAAAACCCTCAAAGAAATGAGGCATTGAAGAAACATACCTCGCAATAATAAGAGCCATCAATGACAAACCGACAGCCAACATCATACTGAATGGGCAAAAACTGGAAGCATTCCCCTTGAGAACTGGAACAAGAAAAGGAAGCCCACTTGGCCATTCCTATTCAACATAGTATTGGAAGTACTAGCCAGAGCTATCAGGCAAGAGAAAGAAATAAAAGGCATCCAAATAAGAAAAAGAAAAAGTCAAATTATCTCTCCTCATGGATGATATAATCCTATACCTAGAAAACCCTATAGACTCTGCCAAAAGCCTCCAGGAACTAATAAATGACATCAATAAAGTTTCAGGATACAAAATCCATGTACAAAAACCAGTGGCATTTCTATACGTCAATAACATTCAAGATGAAAGCCCAATCAAGAATGCAATCTCATTTACAATAGCCACACAAAAAATAAAATACCTGGAAATGTAACTAACCAAGGAGATAAAATATCCATAACACTGCCAAAATGAATCATAGATGACACAAACAAATGGAAAAACATGCCATGTTCATGAATTGGAAGAATCGGTATCATTAAAATGGACATTCTACCTAAAGCGATATACAGATGCAGTGCTATTCCTATCAAACTACTGATGTTGTTTTTTAGGGAACTAGAAAAAAAACTATCCTAAAATTCATATGGAACCAGAAAAGAGACTGAATAGCCAAAGCAATCCTAAGCAAAAAGAACAAAGCCAGAGGCATCACATTACTCTACTTCAAACTATGCTATAAAGCTACAGTAATCAAAACAGCATAATACTGGTACAAAAACAGACACATAGACCAATGAAACAGAAGAGAGAACCTGGAAATAAAGCCACACACCTACATCAATCTGTTGTTGACAAAAATAGACAGTATTTTTGGACACTCCCCTTTTTTAGGACACTCTCAATAAATGGTGCTGGAATAGCTGGCTAGGCATATACAGAAGAATAAAACTGGACCCTTACTTTTCACCATCTACAAAAATCAACATATGATGGATTAAAGATTTAAATGTAAGACCTCAAACTATGAGAATCCTAGAAGCAAACCTAGGAAACACCATTCTGGACATTGGCCTTGAGAAGGAATTTATGTCTAAGTCCTCAAAAGTAATTCCAGTGAAAACAAAAATTGAAAATTGGTACCCAATTAAACAAAAGAACTTCTGCACATCAAAAGAAACTATTAACAGAATAGACAACCTAAAGAATGAGAGAAAATACTTACAAACTATGCATCTGACAAAAGTCTAACATCCTGAATCTATAAGGAACTTAAACAATTCAACAAGCATAAAAACAAATAATATCATCGAAAAATGGGCATATGATATGAACAGACACTTCTCAAAAGAAGACATACAAGTGGCTAACAAACATATGAAAAAATGCTGTACATCACTAATCATCAGAGGAACATAAATCAAAATCACAATGAGATATTATTTCATACCAGTCAGAATGGTTATTATTGAAAAGTCAAGGCCAGGTGCAGTGGCTCATGCCTGTAAACCCAGCACTTTGGGAGGCAGAGGCAGGAGGGTCACTTGAGTCCAGAAGTTCAAAACCAACCTGGGCAACATGATGAGACTTCATCTTTCCAAATGAAAAAAAAAAAAGATAAAAATTGACCAAAAAAATAGCCGGGTGTGGTGGCACATACCTATAGTCCAAGCTACACAAGAGGCTGAGACAGGAAAGTTGCTTGAGTCCAGGAGGTCAAGGCTGCAGTGAGCCACGTTCATGCCACTGCACTCAGCCTGGGTGACAGAGCAAGATCTATCTCAAACAATGATCTAAAAACAATAGATTCTTGTGAGGCAGTGGAGAAAAGGGAATGCTTATACATTGTTGGTGGGAATGTAAATTAGTTCAGCCACTGTGAAAAGCAGTTTAGAGATTTCTCAGATAACTTAAAACAGAACAACCATTTGACCTAGCAATCCCATTACTGAGTATATATCCAAAACAAAACAATCATTTATACCAAAAAGACACATGCACTTATATGTTCATCACTACACTATTCACAATAGCAAAGTCATTAAATCAACCTAGGTGCCAATCGATGATGTAATAAGGAGAATGTGGTGCATATACACCATGGAATACTATGCAGCCATAAAAATGAAATATGTCCTTTGCAGCAACATGGATGCAGCTGGAGGCTATTATCCTAAGTGAATTAATGCAGGAACAGGAAACCAAATACACATATTCTCCCTTATAAGAAGGTGCTAAACATTGGGTACACATGGACACAAATATGGCAACAACAGAAACTGGGGACTATGAGAAGGGGGAGGGCAAGATGGGCAAAAGGTTGAAAAACTAACTAGTGGGTGCTATGCACAGTACCTGGGTAATGGGATCATTTGTACCCCAAACCTCAACATCACTTAATATGTCCAGGTAAAAAACCTGCACATGTATGCACTGAATCTAAAATAAAAGTTGAAAAGAACAAGAAAATGATTAGGGTCAGGAAAGGAATAAATAAAATGAGAGCAGAGGGATATAACCTCGCTTTCAGCTGGATATCAGGGATAACTCCTAGGAGGAGATGGAATTTGAGCAAAGGATTTGAACCTGTGGAAATGAACACTGCTCTCCAGGTTGAGTGAACCCGTGGGACAATGGCACATACCTAGAAATGCTGATATATAGTGAATAGCAAGCAGTTCAGCCTGGCCGAAACACCTGGGCTGGGTGAAGGGAGGGTGATAGATGTGATCTGTCTATGTTAGATTGTGGGGAACTCTGGGTTCAAATTAAGGAAGCTTAAATTTTGGATCTTGTGTATCAGGAGACAGGATGTTTTTGAGACAGATCAGTAAGACAATCGGAGTAGTGCTTTAGGAAGATCACTTTGTAGGGATCTGTAAAACAAATTAGAGATGTAGAAGACTAGAGGCATCAAAAGTAGTTAAGAGGCTATTACAGTAATCCAAATGAATAAGGATTGTGTGAATTAGGGTGGTGGCAGAGGTTGGTAAAGGAAATATGAATGACTCAACATTGACAAAGCTCAAAAAAGGGAAAGATGATGACGAGGTTATGGGGCTTGAGATGATGGAGATGTCATAACACACATAAGGAACACAGCCTGGAAAGCTTATTTCTTTTTTGATTGGGGTAAAGGATGAAAGGTGAGTTTAGTTTGGCATGTGTTGAGTTTACCGTGCTGGTGGGAACATTTAGGTGGAAAACTTCAGCAAATAATTGAACGTTTGGAAGTGGCACTCGGGACTGATTTCAGAACTGAAGTTAAATTTGACGATCATATTTACAGAGGGGCTAATGGAAGCCTTAAAAGTGAATGCCTTGTTAAGAGAAAAGATACAGAGGAAGGATTAAAGGGCTGGCAGAGTTAAATATCTACATTCAGAATGAGGGAAAAGAGGAAGGAGAACAAAGAGGTAGAAACACATCTGTATATTGTCTCTAGCTAGCCTGTGCATGAGCACACACGCAAACACACACACACACATACACACACAGTTTAGACTAAAATTCACACATATTAAGATTACTGGTATATTCAATTTCACATAGTTGGAAGAAAACAGAAGAGAGATAGTGTCTCAGTAACCAAGGAGGGGAGGATGATTGATAGTGTCAAGCATAGATAGAAGAGCAATACATGAAGAGAAACAGCTAGTTTTGTGCATGAAGATGGTATGTTTACATGGGCACAAGCACGTGCACGCCTGTGAGTGTATATCTGAGTGTTTTGAGGGGGAAGGTATTATATAAGTAGGGACTAGAAAAGAAATGGGATGAAGTTGTCAATCAGGAGACAGCAATAAGAAGAATCATCATATATCAGAACAAATGGATATCCAACAAAATGTTTTCTTGATGGTTATTTTGATTCCTTAAAGCCTGAGCTTGGTTTCTGAACCTTGATTTGATTCTGTGTGGTGTATTCAGCAAATTTTGCTTCATTTTAGGCCTCGAGTCTTTCAATAGGTGTGGAATTACTAGGTGACTTGCTTTGCTCCGGTTCTTCCTCATGTCAGTGAGGGCCTTTCAGTAATTAGCCTCTTGAATATGAAACGCATTTTGAGCAGAAGGCTGGTCAGAGTATTTAGTTTGTTCCAGCATATACTCTACCGAATGGTGGGGATGGCACTTTATTACCCATTTGAATTATTCTTTTTAAATAGGATGGACTGTGTTCTGCTTATTTTTCTGGGTTAGGAATCTTCTTACCTAAATTTAGTCAAATACATAACTCATATTGAATGTGGAAAGGAACTAATTTGGGACAAGAAACCAAGGCAAAGAATCCTCTTTAGCAACTAATAGGATAATGGACTTAATTCTTAATAGTGTCTCATCATTTTTCTCTATTATATTGCATTTGATTTCGTTTCTCTTTCAGGCTCTCATTTCCTTAAAGTTTAGTTAGCATTAAACTCTCAGAACCCAATCCCAGTGAGGGATGGCTCAGGGGATGTAACTCCAGTCAATACTTAAATGCCACTCTTCCAAAGATGATGAGAGAGGCAAAGAGGATGAGATGATTTGGCCTATATGTTGGTCATGCGCACTTTATTCCCATAATTATTATTTTTCATTTAACAGTTATTGAATGAGGCACACTCCTCTGTGACTGCATTCCTCCCATTGTTCCTCCCACCCTTTCCCTCCCTCCACTCACCTTGCCTGCCTTCCTGCCTTCCTTCTTTAATTATAAAACAATATGTTAAAGATTCTGGTCCTGAAACCTCATTCCAGTTCATAAAAAAACTAAATTCAAAGAACCTTGATTTTTTTCCCCTCTTCACAGACTTTGTCATGAGAATTCTTAGCCGATTTCCCTTGCGGCATGCCTGGGTCACATGAGTGTGTGTGTATGTGTGTGTGTGTGTGTGTGCTTAAGGGATGAAAACAGGCCTGTCTTTATGGAACAGGTACAGTATTTCACAGCCGGCTGGCTAGGAATGGAATTCTTCTATGAAGAGCTACTTTTCTGGATCCTGAACTGGTTAGGAGATGCAAATTCTACACTGAATGCTGATAAGACCAAACCACACACATCTGTGTATCTGTAGATGGTGTGCACATGCACACACACACACACACACGATTTTTATTAAAATGCAAACACATCTGTATTACTGCTACATTCACTTCTACATAGTTGAAAATCCTTCCTTTTGCAGCTTCAAAGATAGCCAGGCAGGAGTTATTTTATAGAATGGAAGTAATTTCTACGGGGCCAAGCAATAATAAGGAAATTGGAAGTCAAGGACTATCTTCCGAATGGAGAAGAAGCTCCATCAACCACAGAAGGAAATTATGATCACTCCTGCCATCCTGCTCCTTTGTGTATCCAGGTAACCTCTATCAAGAACGTGTGTTTCCCTAGGCTTAGAATGGGGCTTTCTTCCATCACTGTGGCCCACTCCGTTCTCCAACATAACTCTTTTAGCAGCTTAAACTTCAATTATGACTCTGTAATAATTTGGTTGTGTGGCTATTTCCACCACTTCCTACCCACCTTGGAAAGGTGTATTTCCAGAGGTTAGGTCCTGGCAGCAGCTTCCATGGACCCTCCAAGTTCAGAGGTGAGGGCTGATTCAGCACTTTCCTGGCTGGACAGTTCCTGGCCCAAGCCTCTGGCTTCTTCTTCCCTGGCCTTCCACTCCCTTCCTCTCGTAAGGCTCTGGCATCAGATACAAGGACCCCAGTAGCTACAGAGGCCAGTGAATGAGCAATGAGCCTGCTGCAGAGCCTTCATTTCTCATTGTCTCTTCATCCAGACCAATTAGCCCTTCCACTGCCCTACAGTGAAAAAAAAAATGATGCATGTGAACTTGGCATCATGGGGAGGCCCCCGAGGTGTAGGTATTAAGTATATATGAGATTTCCTCTTTTATCATTGTCATGTACTTTTCACAGACATTCATCTCAGGACTTCCCAGAAGACAGACCCACCCCTAATTTTCCTGTCCCTTCTGGTTTCAGTCACTGCTCTCTTACCTTGTCTTCCTTCTCTTCCCAGGATGAAGGGGAGAATTGGAGTCTTGCACAATGAAAGGACAACATTGCTGCCAAAACAATCCATCGTGACTGTAGACATATTTTCCACCCTCATCCTGCAGGTTTTCTGCCAGTTGTTGGCCCCTCACCAATTTTGCTCCTGGGCAGTCTGAGGTGGAACATAATTTTGTATAAAACAAATTATGCTCAACCTCACTTATAATCAGGGAAATGTGAGTCAAAACCACAATAAAATATCACCTCATGCTGTTTAGGATTGCTGTTATCAAGTAGACAAGAAAGAAGTGTTGGTGAGGGTAAGGAGAAAATAAAATCTTTGCACACTGTTGGTGGGAATGTAAGTTGGTAAAGCCACTATCAAAGGCAATATGAAGGATTCTCAAAAAATTAAAAATAAAATTGCCAAATGATCCATCAATCCTTCTTCTGGACACATAATCAAAGGAAATGAAATCAGTATCTCAAATAGATATTTGCACCCCATATCCATTGCATCCTTTTTTGTAATAACCAAGATATGGGAGCAATCGAAGTGTCCATCAGCAAATGAATGGATAAAGAAATCATGGTACACATATACAGTGGAATATTATTCAGACATAAAAAGGAAGGAAATCCTGTCATTTCTCAAGACATTAATGAACCCAGAGGACATCATACTAAGTGAAATAAGCTAGATATAGGAAGACAAAAACCACATGATCTCACTTACATGTGGAATCTAAAAAAGTCAAACTCATAGAAGCAGCGAGTAGAATAGTGGTTGTCAAGGGCTTGGGATAATTGAGGAGATGTTGGTTAAAGGGTACAAACTTTAAGTTATAAGATGAACAAGTTCTGGCGCTCTACTATATAGTATGGGTGATGACGGATGTGTTAATTAATTTGATTGTGACATTCATTACACGATGCATATGTATAACAAATCATCACATTGTACACCTTGGATATATTCCATCTTTATTTATCAATTAAATATTTCAAAATGTTTTTAAAAAGGAAGGCAAAATGGGCCAAAAGGAGTAACTACTTTATGTAGAGCTGATGTCCAGGCTAGAATTTCTAAACTTTTTCTGTAACCTAGAGTCTCTGTTATACTTTTGACTTACCCATTATTCATAACAGATCTCAGGAACCCTCATCACACTGCCTATTGCTAAAAACTCAAAGGAGTTATTGTTATATGAACAACCCAAGTTAATGCAGTCATTAATGGAAATACAGAGTCTTGACTGAAAGAGATCATTTCTATTTTTTGTTGCGATAGTCAGATCATAGCCAGTCACATCTTTTAGGGAGGATGCAAATAGGCTGGACTTCCTTCAGCAAACAGGATGCTGTAGAATAAAATATTCTACATGAGAATACTTAAACAAATTGGAGTGCCTGGTGCCACCATGTAAATTGTGAGGTGTCAGACAGGCTGGTCTTTGGATTAGAGATTGGACTTACTCTCTGTGGCCCTATGAGTAGAGCAGGTCGGGGTGGGGCTGGGCAGGGAGGAAGATCATCTTAAAGTGATAGATGTAGGCTCAGTGTGAGGAAGGATTTCTAAGAGTTGGAGCTGCTCAGAGGTGAAATATCAAGAGAATGCCCTTCAGGAGCAGTGTCTGAAGACAGACCACATGGCCAATAGGGAGAGATAAGCGGGCTGGGTGGCCCTCAGCGCTTTGCTTCCAGTCTTGGGAGTCTTACTGAAATAGCTAATGACCACTCAACCCAAAGAACAGACACATGTCTGCCATGTCTCTCCAGGCTCATCCTGCTTATTGCAAGTGAGGCCCAAAGGTGGGGCTGTTATTCCCTGATGTTTCAGGTCCATGTGCAACTTATTCCCAGATCTTTTCTGAAAAAAAAAGCAGAGAGACTGTTTGCCAGACAGCTGGACCAGAATGAGGTAAAAGAAGATAAGGCCCAACCGAGAAGTCAGAAAAGCTTCACTTTTCATTAGCTCCACATTCCAAAGTAAGAAATCAATGTGCTTAGCTGCAATTCAAAGCAATTAGTCTTTGTTCTCACACACTCTCAAAGAACGACTTAAAGAAGCCCAAATAAATATTTTCAGAAAAGAGAGTAAATTTGTGTTACTTAACCCAAGGAATGCAAACAAGTGTAATTAAAGTGAATACCCATAAATAAAGTAAATACATTAGTTAGGAAATGAATTAATTAGTGTTTAATTACTATCAATTACTAAAATCACTACAGAATTACTTGTAGAATGGACTGAATCTCTTGCTCCTATTAATAATTTCCATTGCTAATTGTATGCACTTGTATTTTCTTTGGGTGCATCTTAGCAGAGCTAATAGGAGGAAGCAACAGCACAGTGAACAATGACAGGGACATTTTTTTTCTTTGTTCAGTGAAAAACAAAAGGGATTTGAAATACATCTGCCTGGTTTTCAAAAGCCAATGTGGGTGAGGAAGGGACGCAGGAAGGAAGGTTGTCCTCGTGACACAGGGTGACCCTCGCCATTCCCTGCTGAGGGGAAGCAGCTGATGTTTGTGGCAGAGCCCTAAGGTGAGGGTTGTGTGTGTGTGTGTGTGTGTGTGTGTGTGTGTGTGTGTGTGTGTGTGTACAGAGGAGAAAGGTAGGTACTGGGAGGCTCAATGCCTGAGCTCACTTCCAGCATGCTCTGTGGAATGCATATGTAGACTGGCAGCCAGGCATCTCTACCCACTGGTCTTGACAGGTGAGGGAATAAGTTTTACATTTACCTGGAGGACAAAGTTCGTCATTTGCTGCCTTGCAGGTGGAGAGAACACACCTGACATCATGCTCCCTAAGAAGCAACACACTAGCTGGTCCTAGAAACAGATGTATACAAATGAGAGGCTGAGGCTAAAGAGTGTCTTTCCTGGGACCCACTCTGCCTGCTCACCAGCATTCTCATTTTCCTGTTTACACAACATCCCCTTACCCCTTCCCTGCCCTCTCCTCCTCTCCCTCATGGACACAGACTCTCAGGCCAGACCGCCTAGGTTTGATTCCAAGCTTCCTCACCTGAAAGACCTTGGGCAAATTACTTAACCTCTGTGAGTCTCAATTTCCTCACCTGTAAAATGGGGAGAATGATAGTACCTACCTCTCTTGGTTCTGGTGAGAGCTCAGATCAGTGGGTGACACATAGCAATCTCTGCTTTACTCATTTTCTTGGTATTTCCACCACATATTTCTTTGTGGAGTAGTTGAGGGGATACATATGATGTGGAGATAAACTAGCTGGGAGGATGGCAGGAGTGATTTGGGAGGGAAACGAAGTTGAAGAGGAGGAATTGGTCCTTAAGTGGTTGTTCTGTTTATTAGTTAGGGTTCTCCAGAGAAATGACACCCATAGGAGATTTATTATGAGGGGTTAGCTCACATGATTATGGAAGTGGAAAAGTCCCATGATCTGTTGTCTGCAAACTGGAGGCCCATGAAAGCCAGTGGTGCAACTCAGTCGAAGCCCAAAGGCCAGGAGTGCCACTGTCGGGGGGGCAGGATAAGACGGACATCCCAGCTGAAGGAGAGAGAGAGCAAACTCATCCTTCTTTTGCTTTTCTGTCCTGTTAAAGCCCTTTAAGGAATAGATAATGCTTGCCTACATTGGTGGGGGCAGATCTTCTTTGCTTAGTTTATTTATTTAAACGCTAATCTCTTCTGGAAACACTGTCACAGGTATACCCAGAGATAATGTTTTTCCACCTATCTTGGCATTCCTTAGCCTAGTCAAGTTAATACATAAGGAATCAAAAAAAAAAAAAAGTCAAACCCTCAAAAGGAGAGTAAATGGTGATCACTAGGGCCTGGGGTTTGGGGAAAAAGGGAAGAGAAGTAGGTTAAAGGGCAAGTACTTTCAGCTATAAGATGAATAAGTTCTGAGGATCTAATGTATAGCTTGTTAACTATAGTTAACAATATGATACTGTTTATTTGAAATTTATTAAGAGAGTAGCTCCTAAGTGTCCTATATGCGTGCACACACACACACAGACACACACACGATAACTATGTGTGGTGATGAAAGTGTTAATTTGATTGTGGTAATAATTACACAATGTATATGTATATCAACTCATCATGCTGTACACTTTGAATATATACAAATTTTATGTGTCAAATACACCTCAATAAAGCTGGACATTTAAAAAAAGAAAGTGAAGGGAGAGACCAGGAAGAGTGAAAAGAGGTCTGCCATTGCTTGACACTGGTCCTGAATTCATTTTATCATTCTGACGCATCCATTCCTGACTTTCTCGGTAACCATCAGCCTGTTAATTATCCCAGCTTAATCCCAGGATTTTCATTTGTAAAAGAGAATAATATAAATATTTGCTTCATGGCATTGCTGCAGAGCCTAGCACTGGAAGTTTTTGAGCCACCCGCTGTAGAGCGAGGTGCAAAGGTTAGGCTGAATAAATAATAACTGGGATAATTGGCACTAAAATTAAAAAGCTGAAACATAACATTAACCATTGCACTCTGTTGCTGTGAAGATAACAGGGACTCTTGCATAAGGGCAGTGGTAACAGAGCATGTCTTTGTCCTGTCCCTCCATCCCCACTCGCCTCCCCCGTACCTTCCTGGGATACTATTTGTAGGCCCTTCCTTTTCAGAAAGTGTCAGGTCCTAGGGCTGATGGCTCCATGGATCAGATCCTTCCCACAGACTCACCTGCTCTTTACCATCCGGCTGGGCTGTAGTTATTCTTGTCACAGCTGAGCTGTGGTCACTCACCTCTGCTGCCATGACCTCAGCACTGGTTCAGAATGAGGTTAACATCCTGGTGAGCACGTACAATGACTAAGGAGGAATGCCACCTCTTCAGGTCAACTTAACATTCACCCATGACTGGGAAGTGCAAGGCTGAAGAAGTTGCTGGCTGCCTTTGAGAAGCTCCACATTTTAAGCACCCCATTGTCACTGGACAGTTCTGCCCTAGACCAAAAACCAGAGTCGCCAACACTGGGAAATATCTTTGAATAGTCTCTTTGTCCTAGACGGCTGTTATTTCACCTTCTGGAGGCACTCAGCAGTGATTCCATTGAGGCTGACCTCTTGCCAAGGGAGTGAATGGCGCTAATCTCTTGAATGTCTTCTGTGTCCCATGTTATTTTAGTTCTCATTGTAAGCTCATTCATTTTTTCATTCATTCATTCATTCATTCATTCATTCATTCATTCATTTAATGTTCATGAGGTCCAGAATGCATAACAGTAGAGAAGACTCATTCCCTGACTCTAAAGGTACAATTGAGTGGGTACTAAAACGCAGTGTGAAACATACCATGAGCTTTTTAGAAGAGAATAAAAAGAGGTGAAAGATCAGGGAGGCTACCAAGAGAAAGTAACCCTTACGCAGAGGTTTATGTGTCAATTATACCTCAATAAAGCTGGACCAAGAAGAAAAAAAGAAAGAAAAAACGCTAAGGGAGAGACCAGGAAGAGTGGATTGAGGTCTGCCGTTGCTTGATACTGGTCTTGAATTCATTTTATCATTATGATAAATCTATTCCTCACTTCCTGGGTAACTATCAGCCTGTTAATTATCCCAGCTTAATCTCAGGATCCTTGTTAAAAAAAATGGAATAATATAATATTTGCTTCACAGTATTGATGTGGGACCAGCAGTAGGAGTGTTTTTGAGCCACCCACTGTAGTGCTAATGGAAAAGGGGACCATGATAAGGAAAGTGACAGAGACAAGTGAATTACAGCCTAAGCTCCCACAGAGCAGGAGGAGCTTTTCCTTTTGAGGTATCAACAAGGGTCTGTGTGACCCTAAGGACATTAATTGTTCAACCACATCAAGCTCTTTTTTGTTCCTTCCCATCTCCCCTTGAAGCAAAATCTCCCTTCCTCTTCTGTTTCTTTCTCCTAATTTTCCCTGCAACCCTAAGCACCTGTAGCAAAGGGTGAGGGGGTCCGACTGCCTGGGTTGAACTCCTGACTCTGCATTTATTTGGTGTGTAACTCTGGATGCATTGCTAAACCTTTCTGAATGTAAAATGGAATACCTGCCTCAGAGCTGTGTAAGGATTAAAAGGAAAGGGAAAAAGGAAAGAAAGATATTGTTTGTAGAGAGCATAGCATAGCACCTGGTACATAGTAATTATTCAATAGATGATAGATAATATCATTACTGTGGATGCTAAGCTTCATTTTTTTGTCTCAGTTGATTGTTATTAAGCCACGCTAATGTGTTGCCTGATGAGGCATTGGCCTAAGTTGTATTTGCATTTCAGATGGAGATACCTGAAGACCAAAATTTATACCACCTCTAAGGAGAGCAGCCATCTTCCTCCCTGTCCTGAGCAGGAATAAACAAAGACTGCATAAACCCTTGCAGCGGGGTAGGTGGCAGGAGATGTTTCCAAGCTTTACACAAAGAAAATAGTGATGCCTATGTACATGTAAGTGATTTGCCACCTCTGCAAAAGTCTACACGATAGCCCTAGGGGGAGAGTTCCTGAGAAACCCGAGCTCGGCTCTACAACCCTCACCTCCCTTCTGTGCCGACTCAGGAAGAAAATAAGCCCCAGCAGGAAACTCACCCTTTGAAATGTCAGAGTCCACGAGGTAAGGGCGAGGTGCGCTAAAGCATCCAAATGGGCATCACCTGCCCCAAGAACTTATCCAAGCCCTCATCCTGACACTGGGGAGGCTGAGTTACCTCGGCAGGTGTCCCCCACAAATGGGAGACAAGCAGCTGTCATTAATTTTCATTTGCTGAAATCAGCAACTTAATCCTAACTTAACCAGAGCCTGAATCTCCCCCTTCCCAGGCAAAAGGCCTTCCCTGGGAATGATTGAATTTCACAGGGTGTAATAAAACAAAGGGATTCTGCTGAATCAGGTGCCAGACTCATAGGCCTGTAAATCTCCTGCTTGCTGTTCAGGTCGGGGATGTTATCTCCACCCCAGCCATCCCCTCATGTCATGGTGCCTGCTGTTTCCACAACCTCTCCTGCTAAGAAGATGACCCTAGGTAAGGCATTCTCTCCAAATCGAAACTAGCATGGCCCTGAGTCCTCATTCAGGAAACTGGTGGCAGTGGGGAGCTCATGTTACAGACACGCTCTCCAGATTGCCAGATCCGGCTAGTTTCAAAACATGCCCAGGTTCTCATTGCTGCATGTTCATTGATGGGGCTGAGAAGAGGGAAAGTGGAAACCAGACCGTCTAGGGGAATTCCAGTCCAGGTGTTCCCGGAGACCCAGGCTGTGAATAGGAGAGCAAGGATTGTACAATCAATTCTCCAGAGACCTTTAGCTTAGCAGAGTGTGTTCAATAAAGGCTGTTGGTTAGGATAAAGCAGAGAGCTAATCAGCCGAGGGAGATTTCCTTTAAGTGGGAGTTTTCAGAATCTGGTGTTAGGCTTGGGAAGTGTCAGGCTTGGGAAGAGGCAAGATTGACAAGAGCTCAGACCCCCGAATCACTGCTTATGGCCCAATTTGACTTAGTAGATAGCACACACAAAAGCCAGTCACTCCCGTCTCTTGAGATGTCCGACTTTGCATTAAGACTTCTCTGGTGAGCTCCAGGTAGGGGGTTAGCAGAGGGTTGGGGCCCAGGACCCAGGGCTAGAGGTCCTGCCTTGCCTCTGACTATGGCCCATGGTAAGCTCACCTGAGTCTCAATCTCCTTTCCTGTGAACTAGGGGATGCGAGTGAATAACTTGACTAGGTTCTCTCTAAGGCCTCCCCCAGTTAAAATGTTTATCTCACCTCTAGGAGGCAGAGAGCTTGGGGTATTTGGGAAGCCAGGGAGTGAAAAATATGTCCTGTTCTTGGACACAGGGGCCAATCCAAATGGCGTGTCTTTTTGTCCCTGTTTGTATGCTGGCCCAGGAAAGCTGCCAGGTGCTTTTGGTGGAGCAGCCAGAAACAGCTCTCCAAAGCCCTCTGACAGAGACTGTGGCAGCGGAAGTGATGAGTGACAGGTCTTTTCTCTGAATGGGCACAGCCCTCTGTGGGCACCTGATTCCACTCCTACCTCACTGTCTGTGTTCAATGATGGCTAGGAGCAAGAGCTCTTTAGGCAGAGAACCAGCTTCCAACCTTAGTGTTGGCAAACCCTGCAACCCTGGGCTACTCAGTTCCTGCTTCGTGGATCTGCCTGGGGTCAGGACATAACATCTGTGAAGCAGGAAGGACAGTGCCCAGAGCTTGCTCTATGAAGATCAGCTCCAGGAGGGAGACGGTGATGTCTCGGCTTCTGTTAGGTAGTAAACTTCTAGGGGGCAGGGTCTTCATCCTGTTTATCTCTGCATCCTCCACTGGACCCACATAGTTGGTTCAGACTTGCTTAACACAAACCGATGGATGAATAAGTGAGTAAACACAGTCGGCTCATGGTCATGGGTTTCTGGCACCTGTATCAAGACAGAGATGACTTGTAGGAGAAGCCCCTCTGAAAAATGCCTTTCTTCAAGAAAAGCTGCTTCAGAAGCTCCATTATGCTTCTGAAACAGGGATCTCCGACCCCCTGGGGCCATGAACTGGCACTGGTCCATGGCCTGTTAGGAACCAGGCTGCATTGCAGGAGGTGAGTGGCAGGCGGGCAAGCAGTGAAGCTTCACCTGAATTTACAGCAGGTCCCTATCACTTGCATTACCGCCTGAGCTCTGCCTCCTATCAGATCAACAGGGACATTAGATTCTCATAGGAGCTCAAACCCAACTGTGAACCATGCAAGCCAGGGATCTAGGTTGCCTGCTCCTTATAAGAATCTAATGTCCAGTGATCTGTCTTTGTGTCCCATCACCCCCAGATGGGACCATCTAGTTGTAGGAAAACAAGCTCAGGGCTCACACTGACTCTACATTATGATGAGTTGTATAATTATTTCATTATATATTACAATGTAACAATAATAGAAATAAAGTGCACAATAAATGTAATGCACTTGAATCATCCTGAAACCATTGACCCCTCCCCGCCAACCATCACCACCACACCAGTCCATAGAAAAACTGTCTTCCACAAAACCGGTCCCTGGTGCCAAAAATGTTGGCTGCTCTAAAATAAGGCTGACTTCCAAAATTCTGCTGATCTACCGGGCAACTCCTCAGTTCTTGCAAATGGCTCAGTCCTTGCAATGCCCCACTAGACAGTCAGGGCAAAGGATAACAACCTTCCTGGGACATTCCAAGAGGACTCTTTGTGCCAACACTCTGCCATCCCCTGACAAGGAGCTTTGTCCCATGGAAGAGTCTCTAACACCTCTGGAAGTTTCTAAGTCCGGTACAGCAAAGCCAGAACTCAGAATACATCTCTCAGAAGACATGAAATAAGGAGCTTTCCTGTGGGGCCAATGCAGTGACATGAGAAGCCGGTGTTGCTAGGATGTGCTGCTGCGGTGGTGAGTTTTGCAGGCTGTTGACCTGAGGCCCCCCGTCCCCAAACACACACTGTAGGCCCTGATTCATCTCTTCTGGAAGCCTAGGACGGGAGGCTCCCCAGGGTTCTTTCACACGGACCCTCTCTGTGAAAGAGAGGCGTGTGCCTCTCCCCATAAGCCCCCACTCACCGTCAACTTCAAGACCTTTCTATGCATTTCCAGCGGACACTTGGAGGGTTTACGGGGTGCCCTGGCTCCTAGGCTGTGCAGGCTGTCATGTGACAGCTCCAGAAGTAATTATGAAGGCAGAACAGGCAGCAGGAGGACCATCAGTCAGCCCTAGACGGAGGTGCCTGTCCTGTGACCCACCTAGGGGACTGTCAGAAATAGAAATAATTGTAATGAAAAGGCACAGTCCTCAGTCCTTCTAATGCTGACCAAGCAAAATGGAGGGGAGATTTTCATAAGAGGACAGGACTCTGCTTTTAGCAGCAAAGCAGCCCTGAGGGGTGGGAGTGGAGGAGATTTAGGGGAAAAAAAGTCCAGGTGTGTGTTTACAGTTCCTTTCTCCTTCTGCCTTTCTCTCGAGTGACAGCAGGGATAAGGACAGAGGTGCTTTATATCCTTGGAAGTCAAACAGGGAGCCATTTATCAGAAATGGGGCCAGCTTGCGACACAAATGGAAAAGCATAGAAATGTCATAAAAGTGTATCTTCCAGCTAGGTGCAGTGGCTTATGCCTTTAATCCCAGCACTTTGGGGAGGCCAAGGTGGAAGGATTGCTTGAACCCAGAACTTTGAGACCAGCCTGGGCAACATAGCAAGACCTTATCTCAAAAAAAAAAAAAAAAAGCATATCTTCGGTGCTCTTCTGCTCCCTGTTTTTGCTCCTTCCATCCTTCCATAGAGCTCAAATTGTCTGTTTCTCCACTTGGCGCCCCTTCCCTTTCCTTGAGTAGCAAAACCCACTGACTGTGAACTTCTTCAGGCCAGGACTTTTCCTTGTTCTGGCATCCCCAGAACCAAGCACGATGCCAGCTTCCGGCTGCTGCTTTTAGTATTTGTTAAAGGAATGAACAGCTCTTCTCAAAGCTCCCAATCATACCTCGATGTAGAGGACTGAAAACAGCTGAGAGCTTTGCCTCTTCTCCTGGGACATCAGTATTTTAAAAACAGATCAAAGCGACATGGAAGAAGTTCAATTACATTGAATGGTAGAGTTCCAGACAGCATTTGATCCTTTCCTTTGAGCAAAGGACCTTCTCTATCCCTAAAACCAAATCACAGAAGCCTGTGGCCTGTCAGGGCTGCTGGAAATGGGTGAGTGTAACCCTCTGCATTTGCAAAGAACGGCTGTCAATTTTAATGCATTCATGGCCTTCTCCTGAAGGGGGAGGGGGAAAGCTTACTCTCTGTTCTGTGCTCCCTGAAATCATTCCATTTACATGCAGATTGGGAGCCTTCCTTCCTCTAAGTGGTCACAGAGAAGACTGAGCAAAGTTGAAATGATAATTTTCCTTAAGAAGAAAGAAAACAGTTTGGTTCATTTCCCCATGGCACCAGCTGTCATTTCTCTTTACTGTAGCACTCCTCTCTTTCTGTCCCCCCCACACCCCTTATGTGGCCTTTCTCATCCCCAGTCACCCCAGTTTTTGCATCGATAGGCTCCTTTAATTATGCAAATCTCCCAAGCCGCTAGTATCTTCCCAGTTTAAATGGAAAAAATCCAGCCCCAAGTCCTGCGGTTATCTCCCTCCTCCTATTATTTCTCCACCAGATCTGGGCCCTTTTATATTGAACCCGAGGAAAGATGAAAGGCCACATTGCTGGGAAATTAACAGGAGGGGGCCTAGTCATTAAAAAGAAGACCTTTCCCAACTTTTGATTTTCAAGAGACATTTGAAAATCTCTCCGTTCTGAGCAGCTGACTAAGGCAAAGACAACCTCTCCCAGAACAAAGCCAGAGCTTGCTCTGGTGGCCTGAGAATCCGGGCCCTTGGGGCTCTGTTCCTGACTCTTTCATGATCTCGTCCTGGAGAAGGAACTGGCTGGTTTCTACTGTCTGTTCCTACAATATTTAGAAGCTAGTTGGGCAGTTTGGCCCCAAGTCTGCCAGGAAGTAATGAGGAAATGAGAATGGGGAAGCAAGCCAGGCTCTGGCTGAAACATCCACTGACTTGCCTCTTCTACACGAAGCTCACTGAGGGTTACGATGTGAGAACTGGACAGGCGTCCAAGATAAGAGTCAGATTAAAGTCCCTTTTATATCTGTGTCTGCTGCCAAATGCTACCTATGGGAGGAAGATTGTTGGTTTCCCGGGAAATGCTAACAAAGGGCCTGCCCTGAAGCCCCTCCCAAAACAAAGTCCTTCGCCTTTATATCTCTCTCCTAAGTTGTAAGGCCCCTGACTCCCTCAGGAGGAAAGAGGTCAGGGATCTGAGAATGCACAAAAATAAACCCCTTCACATTCTTATCTTCCTCCATCTCAGTGGTTTCAGACTCTTGCTTGGGAGCATGACACTGAAAACAGAAATAGCTTCCAGAAGACTTCAGATAAGTTCATGGATAATAGAGCCAAAAATGATCACTAAAAGGGAAGTCAGAAAGATTCAGAGCTCCATCTTTAGACAGGTCAGTAGAAAAAATTCTGAAATGTGGGGGTCAGGATGCTTGGATTCTAGTTCCAGTTTACCCATTGGTTGGTTTTATGATCTTAAGAAGCTACTTTGCTTCTCTGGGTCTTAGTTTCTGCATCACTGAAATGAATGGTCTGGTCTATATGATTTTGTACCTGTCCAACACTGATATTCTCAGTCTGAAATGTGTGTGGGTGTGCAAGTGTCTGTGTACACAAAAACAGTGAATTGTTGTCCAATTCCCCCCTCCCCTCAAACAAAAACAAAAACAAAAACAAAAACAAAACAAAGGCCTGAGTAACCTAGGGACTGGACAAGGGCTTGCTCTCTGCCTGTCTGATCTTTCTGCAAACCTCTTCTTTCTTTTCTTCTTCCTTTAGCTGGAAACCCAACCACCAGGTTTGTGAAACAAAAACAGGGGAATGAAGATGCTCTGAAATGCTTATTTAGACAGTGCCAACATATCAAAAGAACAGTTGACACAAATGGGGTATCTAGTTACCATAGATCTTATGAAGCTCATTCAAAGAATGTAATGAAAAAAAATCAAATAATGAATCATTCAGGGAGATGCAAAGGATGGCTCCTATTCTTATTCTTTTGTTCTTCTTCGTATTTCAGAAGAGAAATAGATAGGAAATTAGAGCAAGAAGTTGGGGGATATTTCAGAAAGCAAAAGGGGCAATGATGAGAAGGATGCAAAAAAGATCCAAGGTTAGGAGAAGAGCAGAAACAAAGACTAAGTACATCCAACAAAATAAAACGTTGATAAAAACAACACAGGTGAAGAGTTTTCTGGGGATGCATCTTTAAAACAATCATGGGAGGGGAAAAGAGAGGGAAAGAGAGGGTAGCGTGTTGGGTGGAAGGATGTATCAAGGTCCAGCTTTCCTGCTTCACTGTCTTGCTGAAGGCACAAAGACCTGAGCCCTGGGCTAGAGAAGGATGAGTGTGATTCAACAGGGCACCAGAGTGTTCCTAGGACCCTGCTGGAGCTGGGCACTCTGCTCTGTGCCACACCCTCAGCTCAGGGGCCAGTTCTGCCTCCACAGTCCTGAATTGACCTGTGCTGAATGCTTGATTTATCAAACCCCCACTTACCCAGACATTCCTTTTCCAAAGTGCTTTGCCTGACATCGGCAATGCCTTTCTTTTGGCTAACTCTGTTCTGGCATCAGTTTTTGTCTTCACAGCATGCTGTGGTGGAAGGGGTCTGGGGCATGGATCAGACCAATGTGCCCTTGACTCAAACCCCTACTGGCTGTTTGATTTTAGGCAAGGTAGTTTCTTCCTTGATAAAGTAAGGCTGATAATAATATTATCTACCCTGAAGGCTTGTGGTAAGGATTAAGTGAGATCACAAATGTGGAAGGATTTAATACAGAGAGGTACTCAGAAAACCTGGGTGGCCTTCTCTCCCCAAGCCAGATCTAGCTACAGAGATGAGGAAGTAGCAAGAAGCCCTAGAAAGATAAGAAATGTGTCTAAATATGGTGGCATCCGGAGCTCCCCATTCTGGTCACCAGTGTGCTAATGGCTTTCCATAGGATTTGGATCCATAATCTCTGAGTGCATCTGATTATGTGTGTGTGATATGAGAAGATTAAAGGCAACTTCCCTCAAGTAGCGGGAGGTTTCTTGATGAAAGTTTTAAAGCTCTGTGAGCCCTCGGGTATATCTGCTGTCATAAAAAAGAAGTTATTTCCCAGGAGAGTGAGAAGAACTATCCCAAAGTTGCAGTGGTCCCT
The DNA here is from genome assembly GCF_000001405.40 of Homo sapiens. NCBI lineage: Eukaryota > Metazoa > Chordata > Mammalia > Primates > Hominidae > Homo > Homo sapiens. The sequence continues at coordinate 127,112,983 of NC_000011.10, forward strand.
ATCCTCCCTGGAGCCCAGGCATCAGGGACAAACACCACTGCTCACAGAATGCAGAGCCCAGTCAGCAACCATCCTCCCCTTCCAAAGGCTGTCGCTACATGTTTTCACTCTCTTCGTCAGAGGTGACAGGTTGGAGCAGGAGAGAGAGAGAGGCATAGGCAGATATTATAGCATTTCTTACTTTCATCTTTCACCCTTTTCCAGGTAGGAGTCAGTACATTGATAACTTCCAAAGAAGTGTTAGGTTAGAAAGATGTATCCTGCGTGTATCTCCTGTAGGGATCTCCTGGGTCTGACCTGGGCTCAGAAGAAACCAGATAAGGAAGCCAAAGAAGGGCAGAAGCCCAGCATTTGTCCTGGGTCTCTTTCCTTCCACAGCAGAGGAGTCCTTTCCCCTGGGAGGTGGTAGGAAAGAAAAAGTTCATGTAGAACACAAAACTTAGCAGTGCATTTTATGGGATGTCTTATATTGTTTGCTTTACTTTTGTTCTCTTTTTTTAAAGTGTGGATTATTTATTGTCCTCAGATAAATTGTAAACATATCAAAACTCATGTTCTATAGTCAGCCTGATTCACTGCTACCTGATGATTACTTCTCATGGTGGGAATGTGCATTTTATCTTTTCTCTCCTCCTTTCAAAATCTGCATAGAACTCATTTTCTTCCACCAGTAAAACTTCCTCAAATAATTTTGAATGGCTACGATTCCTCCATATTGTTCCATCTCCTTAGCACATCTAAATGTAAATGTAAACATAAATTTTTATGCTGTAATAATGAATTCTATTAATACGTATCATATATGGGTATTTTTTATATGTATACATATATGTGTGTATGTATACATATATATGTATATGTACACACACACACACACACATATATATGTGTGTTATATGTGTGTATACATATATATGTATGTATTCCTTATATGCACTGATACCTGATTGGATTGTACGTGCTTGCCTGTCCATTAAACCATACATAGAGCCATTCCTAGCAGGATATGAGAGGCTTAGGAAATTACCCCATGATTTTTTTTACAGGTAAAATCTGATTGAACAACAGCAGCTGCCTTCATCAAGGGAGCCTGGAGAGCAAACAGCGGAAAAACAGTCATCTGGCAACATGTTGCAGGAAAAAGACATTACAAAAGAATAACAAGCTTGAGGTATGCCAGGAGGGACGGGGTTGCTGCCACAGCTTGTAGCCTACTTGCTAGTTGACCCTGCCTCTTCTCTATGAGGAAGTGCCCTGGGAGCCAGAATGTGCCAAGCCCTGCCCATTACTCACGTTGGCTTTTCTGGGATGGATTTGATAGTAAGTTATTTGTGATAAGGAATGGCAGCCACTAGGGCCTGAGAATGTAAGCACACACCAAGTATTGCCTGTAGACGGTAAACCGGAAAACACAACTACTTTTCTGCACAATTTATAGATTTCTTTGGCTATTTCTAGATTTTTTTTTTTTTGCTTATATTTGAAAATAATTGTGGGAATTATTTAGTAAGTAAAAAAGTAAAGCCAGGCACAGTGGCTCATGATTGTAATCCCAGCACTTTGGGAGGCTGAGGCTGGCAGATCACGAGGTCAGGAATTCAAGACCACCTTGGCCAACACAGTGAAACCCCCGTCTCTACTAAAAATACAAAAATTAGCCGTGCGTGGTGGCAGGAGCCTGTAATCCCAGCTACTCGGGAGGCTGAGGCAGGAGAATTGCTTGAACCTGGGAGGTGGATGGTGCAGTGAGCTGAAATTGTACCACTGCACTCCAGCCTGGGCGACACAGCTAGACTCCATCTCAGAAAAAAAAAAAAAAAAAAAAAAAGGAAAAAAGAAAAAAAAAGAGTAAAATGTCTGTAATTATGCTTATCTGAGGTGGATTCCAGGTCTTGCTCTTTCTAACCATATGACTTCAATCAAGTTACTTCACTTTTCTGACACTTCGGGCAAAATGGGTTTAAACAATGCCTATTTTGAGGGGTTGTTGAGAGAATTATATATAACCTACAAAAGTGTATAGCACATCCTTGGTGTATAGTAAATGCTTAATGATAACTATTGGTATTAATATTTTCCCACTGTACATTACCCACAGTATCCAGCAATGGTATTGATGACCTACCATCACGCTAACATATTAATGATAATAACAAATGCAAACATCACTGGCATTAAAACCGTGGTCCACCCTGAGTCCTTGACCTTGCCCTCATTGTGTTGTTGTCCCCCTGATTTCTCTACAAGCTTTCTACGTGCTCCTGCATCCCTCTAGCTACCTTCTGTGAAACTGAACCTGGCCTGGTCTTAAGAGCGAAGACCTGAACCCTGGAGCCACTTGAGGAGCCAGAACGAGGGGTCCCCATATCCTTCTTAGACCTTGTTTATTCTTTCCATGACACCTACTCATTCACATATTGTGGAATTTCCTCATTGTCTCTCTTTCATTTAAAAGTCATATATAACATGAATCAAAATAAGAAAACAGGGACAGTCAATAACAAACTGTGTGGAGAACAAGGGACATGTGAGAGCACTCTGGTTCTCCAGGCTATCCGACTGGCAATGCTGCTTAAGTCCTATCTTGTACCCACTGCAGTGAGTAAATTGGATTGCTGAGCAAGAAAAAAAATGACATATTTCCCTTGTAGTGGAAGAACCTAAAAGGCTTTTTTCCGATTTTCAGATTCAGGTCACACAGCCCAAAACTCTTCTTATCTGCTTTCATTATATATATATTTAACATCTTATGATGAGGTTTGATCTTCTTTAAGGCTTTGATTAAATAGTCTTTGCACTTCCTGATGTGCAAGTTCATGATTTTCTATCAGAAGATGCCTTGATACCTCATATGGACTTTAGAATGAAAATGTTATTTTCACCCTCAAGCCATAATGGGTTTTTCATCATCGACATTATTATTATTATTATTATTTTATTTTTTGACAGAGAGACAGGGCGGAACGCCTCTCCCCGCCTAGCTGGGCCCTGTGGGCTCCCCTCCGCAACCCTAAGGCGGGAGGCCGAGGGCAGCGGGGAGTCGCGCTTCACCTTCGCCCCTCATTTGACCCATGGACTCATTAATGGAAGAACCGAGGCAAGCAAGTTCACGGGAAGAAATGCGCCCTCCCAACTGGAGGCCACCAGCTGCCCACTCGGGAACACCTCAGGGTGCCAACTGCATCTCTGCGGGGTCGCCAGCCATTTCTAGGACATATGTTTGTCCTTGTGGTATTTGGGCTGGAGGACTCCAACAGAGATCAAGTGTGGAGAGCAGTTCCACAGTCTCAAAAGAAAACCGCGGAAGTCTTGCTCTCATAGAAGTCATGACAGCAGTCCTATGACAGCAGTCCTTTGAAGAAGCCCATACATAACAAATGTATTTGTGGCATTAACAAAAAAGGACCACAACAGTCTTCTACTGAGGCGTGGCAGTGGGATTTCAGCAGCAATTTCCGCCTATACGCCAACTCTCACACATGGAGATATGTTGCCCTATTTTCTTCTCTAATTGCCTTACATATGTATATTGCTTTATTTCCCAACCTGAGAGTGTTAGATCCTCAAGAAGAAAAACTGTATCTCCCATTTTCCCGGTATGTCAATTTCACTCAGAACAATTTGATGCACACAGTTGGGATTTAATCCATATTTGCCAGTGAGATCTTAGAGTATCAAGAAAAACGATTCCCTCAATTCCGTGAATTTCTCTGAGGTTTGCATGGATACACTTCCATTGTTGACATTCAATGCATGTGAAATAGGCATCAGAGCTTTTTACCTGCCTCACTGGGGACTGGGAGGCTGCATGAGCTAATGTCTAGGAAGAACTCAGCACAGTTACACACACACACATGCACACACGGGTGGTGGGAGGCTTATTCCCACCTCTCAGGCTTGCTAAATTGGAAGTTTCACAAGCTTCCTGGCACTTTCTCCTGGAAATTGTGTGAGAATGTGCTCCTTGCCCTTCTTTCAGTTTTTAGCTCCCAATTCTAGTGTCCAAAGTCAGAAAGTGGGGGTCAGAAATAATGAAGAGAAGGTTAACCAGAGTTCATTGGATCTCAGATAATTAAGAGACCCAAGTACAAGGAATTATTCATCTCTCTGGTCTCCATCAAATGCCGGGCTATGTGTTTTTCTGTAAGCCTTCCACTATAATTGGCTAAGCAGGGATAGCTCTGTTCTTAACCTGCAACAACTGCCCCCAAAACAGAGGCTGATTCAGTTGTGGTAATGGGAGGAAGCTAATGGCCAAGCAAGTCTGCTCCTCTGACAGCCATGGGCTCTCCGGACATATGTCTTGAGGCCTGAACCTTATCTCTCATCTTCAAACACAGGCTCACATTTGGGTGACTCACCTAAACCTTGCAGCTTGATTTTCCAAACCATGAGTGTGTCTGATCAATGATGGGGTCACTGGGAGACACATACCTGATTGATCGATCAGGTTACTTGTTTTTCCACATTTTTTCTGACTTGGATTTCAGACCTGACTTGGCATTTGAAGAAGGTCAAGAGCGTAGGTTTGCCAACTCACATGCTTGTAAAGCACATATCATTCAGCATAATGACAGCCCCTGAGATAGTTCAATTCCACCTCCCAGTGTGTGTTGTGTGCGCTTGCAGGAGCACATGTGATTGATTGATTGCTGGTTTTGAAGCTATACAATGCTATGGCCTTTTATCCTGGCCTATGTTTCATAGCACATTCCAGCTGTTCAGAGCCACAACTTGAAAAGATGTGCTGATTGAAATGCTAACTGTACACTAGACATGCAGTCAGCCCCGTACAATTAACAAAGAAAAGGGCCCCTCCCTGCTTTTCCCACTGTTCTTATTTTTCCCAAAACTATTTCTTTCCTTCCAGAGAAAAGGGGAATGTGCAGAGAAGCAATTAGTTATAATTATATATGTGCTGGAGTATAGGAGAACTAGTCAAAAAGAATTTTCAAGTCCCAAAATTGTCTAATAAAAACTACCCAACAACATCATAATTTTTGGAGGAAGTTAAATTTTTATAGAGTTTGGTGATAAGAAAAATTTGCTAAAAGAGAGTGCTCTTAATCATTACACTGTCACTTTGCAAAGCAATTGTGGAATTAGGAATAATTACACTCTAAAGAAGGAAAACTAAACAATCTGCCTTATGATCTTTTAAAATAGAATTATGATTCGGGTTTTCTCCATAAATCAAAAAGAAGAAAGGCATGAACTTGTGGGTGAGGTAATAACCTGGGGTCTTGGAAACCTAGGTTTAAAGCTTTAAGTACTCAATGCTGGGACTTGACCTACTCAGCAATGGGTAGCTATACTTGAGATAATAGGCGGGATTTTATGTGCAGCAATGTAGAGGATGCAGGGGCCCAGGATGGGCTGCCAGGTCTTCCAGAGAGTGCTAAGGTATCCACCAAGGATCATGAATGTGAACAAGATAATGAATCACTGTCTACTTACTCTTTTGGAAAAGCTTCCATATCTCTGCCAATTGAATCACACTATAACCAGTCCCAGGCAATTCAGGATGACAAGTTCCACTTCGAACAGTTCTGGGAGTCATCCTGAGGGTCCCTGTGTATAGACATAAAAAGTTCCATTTGTTCTTACACAGTGAAAATGACAGAACAAATATTATGGGGATTATGCCTGGGGAAAAAAAATCTGTCTCTGGATATTCCTGACACTATGGAGAGAAAATCAGCAAAATTTAGAATCTTGGATCTCTTCCACTCACACTAGGATGTTGTTTCTAGAAATCTCCCTGAAGTATGGTACTGACTCTTGGTGGTAAAAGTGGAGAGGCTTAGAACTGAAATCTGGTCAGTAGAAGACTGAGGGTTAAAAGTGGACGGTCAACCCATTGAATGAAGGCCTAGCAGGAAATAGAGAGACAAAAATACAGGCATTAAGGGAATAATAGCTGAATAGTAATAATAATACATTATGTCAACAGCGGTGACAAAGGAAACACTCAATGTATTTATAGAGCTAAATAAACGGCAGATCTAGGTCCTACGTTTTGACTCTGAACAACCTTCTCGGTTGGATTTTGCTTCTGCCTAAGGATTATTTTGGAAAGAGCTATTATTATCCGTGATTTATCACGCTGCACTGGGGGGAACTCATACTTTCCACGGAGACAATTACTGAATTCTCACTGGAGGCGCTTAAAGGAGCCAGGACCTGTTCTGAGGGTTCAGGTGGGAAAGGTGTGCCAGCAGGGGACTGCAGCCTGGCACCATGGGACGTGTGTGCTGTTGACCACTTCTGTGCCCAGATGCCTCAGGCGCTTTCTCATTAGATGCACCCTTCAATCTCCTGGTTATTGAAACAGGACTGGGGAGAGGAGTTCACATTTATGGTGAGCCCATGCAAGAAGACCCTCCGACAGGTGCCTGTCACCCCTGAGGAGTCACTGGTTGCAGCCCGTTCTGAAGTGTCATTGAGATAGAAACCAAGTCAAAGCCGTGGCCTAGAAAGAGAGTCTGGGCAGAATTCTGCAAGCAGATTCTTTATTTGAGTAAGTATTCCTTGAAGAAGCCCAGTTGTGCAGCTGTGTTTGGGTGGAGGTCATCAGAGGTTTAGAAAAAGAGAGAAGTCATGGTTAATATTAGAAAAGAACTCTGAGAATCTGGAGGAAGGAAAATGCATTACTAGTTCTAAGCAACAACTGTGGAAATAAACAATGATAAATACCGTATTAAATCTAAAGAGTTACGTTAATAGATAATAACAAGTAGGAGAGCTAATAGCTAGCCATTAATACAGGCCAATTTATTATTTAAAACATTTATTAAGATTTAACAATAGTCAAATAATTTTTTTGTGAAACAGTTATTAAACTGAATCTCTGCATACATTAATCAACTGATATTTATCATTCAGAATGTATCTCATTATATCCAAAAGGGTGTGTGTATAGGCTTCAAAAACAAACTGGAAGATTTAAAATGAACTGTAGTTCATTTTTGCAAAGTGTAGATGTGTAAAGATTATTATGTTTGCCAGCTGGGTAGCCAGACAGTGAAGTGGACTTGTCTAATTAGGAACAATCGCTGATAAATCAATTCTTTCCTTTTATAGGACAATTACAGTTTGTGTGTATATGTGATTGTGTTTTAAATTCTAATTCGATTTTGTGCATTGTTCTGTAACCAAGTTAATTCTTTGAAGCCTTTTTAAATGGTACAAATTTTCCATAAAATATAAATAGGTTTATTGCTGTTTTATCAGTCACGCAAATAATCCAAGATCCATCTATTCACATAATTCAGGCATTAACTGTGTATAATTACTCACATGAAGTCTTCAGTCTGGTTTACTATACGGAACCCCAAATATGACTTTAAATTGCTCGCCTCCTCTTTTCCTCTGTTATTTCTCTCCCTCTCTTTCCATCTTTGCCTATTAAAATTCTTCCTAGTCTTTAAGCGCAGCTCAAAGATCACTTCCCTGGTTTCTCTCATTTAGAAGGGATCTTTCTAACACTTGCTTCTCCACTTTTATCTCTCATTGCATCTAGCACAGTGCTTTGCACTGGGACATAAAAACGATGTATTTTAATTATTTTTTATTTATTTACTTTTTTATTGTTTGAGTCAGAGTCTTGCTCTGTCGCCCAGGCTGGAGTGCAGTGGCATGATTGCAGCTCACTGCAACCTCCGCCACCCAGTTTCAAGCGATTCTCCTGCCTCAGCCTCCCGAATAGCTGGGACTACAGGCATGCACCACCATGCCTGCCATGCCCTGGTAATTTTTATATTTTTAGTAGAGACAGAGTCTCACCATGTTGGTCAGGATGGTCTTGAAATCCTGACCTCAAGTGATCTGCCTGCCTCGGCCTCCCAAAGTGCTGGGATTACAGGCATGAGCCCCCACACCCAGCTACAATATGGTTTTTTTTTTTTTTTTTTTTGAATAAATGAATTTCCTGAGGACAGAAGTGCCTAGTCTCCCTGTTCTGGCTGACACCACAGCTCCTGGAATAGACACGTGGAAAGAAGATGGACACTGAAGGAAACTCAAATCCACGTGTGGCCAAATGAACTCAGGGGAGTGCAATTTACTTACAAGGAGAGGGAGGACGTACAGCAGGTCCTAGAATAACGTTGTTTCTTTCAATATGCCTTTGTTATAATGTTGAAATCCATCCTGTGTGGAGTTGGCACATTCTCCCCATGTCTGCAAGGGTTTTCTCTGGGTAGGTCGGCTTCCTCCCACATCCCAGAGATGTGCCTGATAGCCTCACTGGCATGTCTACACGGTCTCAGCACATGCATGTGTGTGTGTACATGGGCACCCCGCCATGGGAGAACATTCTGTCCAGGGCTGGCTCCTACCTGGTGCCTTGGACTGGACTAGGAGGGTTGGGAAATGAATGAATGAATGAATGAATACAATGATTATAAAATAAAAATTTATAAATTCTATGATAGTAATACAAATACACAACAATAAAACGATGCTGTATAAAAGTGCTCAGGGAGCCCACCATGTTTCTGATCGTTTTTGAACTGCATGATGGTAGGAGGTTCTCTGACAATTTCCGCTTTGCAAACATTTGTTCCTGGATTTAACTCACCACCACTATGACTGCTGACACTCCCTGGTTCACCAAAAGGTGGGTAAATACGTATCTTACTTGTTTGTACTAATCTTTCTGAAATGCATAGATCACATGTATTTCAATGTTTACTATTAGAAGTGTTTTGGGTCTTTATTTAGAAGTTTGGTGATGTTTCTGTGACTAGAAATATGCCATAGGAACTTTGCTCTTGTTTATATCAATTGGCCTACAGTAAAATTGGTTTTGTTAGATGGTGTTTTGCCTAAAGTTGTAGTTTCTGAGAACTTATCGACAAAGTTAAGTGAGGAATTGCTGTAGTAGTCATCATCTTTCTTCCCAAAGTCTGTGATTTGATTGGCCATAATTGCCTGGGGGAAGTATTTTTACTTTTTGGTTTGCAAATCTTAATCTTCAACAATTAAGCAGGAAAACATCTGCCACCCACAGTATGGGGCAGCAAGGTTTCCATCTGGTGGATGAAGTATGAGGCCTCTCTGTTCATGTGTGCTCAGCAGAGGCAGCAGTGGGTGACAACCTCTGGGTTGTGCAGTCCAGGTCAGGAGACCTGAGAGAGCCTGCTGCCCCTCTGAACAATTACACTCACACACCACATGCTGTACCTTGTCCAATTAGTCTGCAAGGGGGCAGAGACCCGGGGCTTGCATTGTTCTAAGGGCCTGTTTGTGTATGGTGTGGGGAGCAGTTTTAAATATAGTTTCAGTGTTGCAGAACCTTGAATTCCAAGTGACTGGTGTTTCGGTGCTCCTCACAGGTCCGAACAGCCCAAGGTGTTAAGAAAGAGAAAGGCAGATTGGATTTCAGCTCTACCTTCTGATCAGTTTTACCTAGAAATCACCTTTTGGGGATCAGAGGAGTCTGTCACTGTCTGACCAGACAGTGTCACTGGCTCCTCCAGTGAAATCTTCTATTGTAAGAATTTAGATACCTATCCATGAGTAACTTGATCAGATTCCCTTAGTTGACACCACGCTGGCAGAGAATAACATACATTGGGTTCAACCTCTTAAACTCGGTAAGTACAACTTGACCACTTACAACTATATGAAGATGTCACCAATATGATAAAACATACAGAAGACATCAAATCTCTTAAGATTTTATCTCTAAAATATTTCTCTCTGAAATGTTTTGGCCCTCATTGCTTAGCTGTCACCTCTTTGGTTCAGGACAGATGATTTCTTGCTGAGGTTAAGATAATCTTTGCTCGGTTTCTTCACTTCTTAACTTTCCCCGCTCCAGTCTAGTCTTTCCATTTTATCAGAATTTTCTTCCTGAAGTTCTGATCAGCTCTCCCGGTTACTTCCAACAACTCTGCTGTGGGTTTCATGCTATTACACATCATGGCTCACTCTCTCTCTCTGACTTTATTTCCCCCTTATCGACTGCAAATATTTTATGAGCTAATCGGATGGAGCCAACCCACTGTTCCACACTCTTGGCCTTGTGCCTCTCCTCGTCTGTGTTAGCCGTGCTACATGGAATTCTCATGCCTGGGTATAATAACATAACATTTGATCCATCCTTTAAGGCCCATCTCAAACCATGTCTCCTCGACACCTTTCCAGAATCTCACTAACTAGGATATTTGCTGTTTCTACTCAGCTCTTATTACATACTGAACTTCACTCAATCTGTCCTAGAGTCATTTGTGTATTTGTTTTAGTTATGTACTCCAGTGTTTCCCAGAGTGTTTTTCTGGAACCCTAGGCCTATGAAATATGATGCTAGTAGAGTTCAAAACTTAAACAAGGCTGGGCGCGGTGGCTCACGCCTGTAATCCCTGCACTTTGGGAGGCCAAGGCGGGTGGATCATGAGGCCAAGAGATCGAGACCATCCTGGCCGACATGGTGAAACCCCATCTCAACTAAAAATATAAAAATTAACTGGGTGTGGTGGCACGCACCTGTAATCCCAGCTACTTGGGAGGCTGAGGCAGGAGAATCACTTAAACCTGGGAGGCGGAGGTTGCAGTGAGCAGAGATCGCACCACTGCACTCCAGCCTGGCGACACAGTGAGACTCCATCTCAAACAAACAAAAACAAACAAACAAATTTGCAAAGTGCTGCAGTCATTTTTCTTTTCTTAAAGCTTTGCAAGGTATATCAGCATGGCAATGGTTCTGAGAAGCTGGATAGTGAAAAAACCTGTATACTTGTGTTTAATCTGAAGCTTCTGAAATTTATTTGTTCACAATATACCTTTTTAATGTAACACCTATTAACTAGTATTCCATGGAAAGAACTCATTCTGGGAACTCTTTTCTAGTGTATTATATAGTCTTTGAGAGTAGGGAATCTCTTTTATCTCTGACTGTCCCATAGTGTTCAGCAAAGTCCTTGTATGTAGTAAGTGCTCAATAAATATAAGCTGAAATAAGTTTTATTGGCACCATGAACTATTTGGGCTCCCTAGGAATATAATTTATTATTCTGATTTTATAATTTGTTTTTTGTATCAACATGTAAAATCATTTTTTATTTCTTTCCTTAATTCTGTGGCATATTTTCTATTTATAAGATAGTCATGAGGTTATAATAACTATGAGGTACTGATAAAAGACATGAGAAGGGTTGGGGGCAAAGGAGTAATAATATAAGATGCTAAGTAAAATATCACATAGTGTGTTGCATTTCTCTGAGATGATCTTATTTTTGTCTTGTCTAGTTTAGTGATAACTGCAGATGCTATTGTTTACAGAGCAATTATAATGTGCCAGATACCACATTGAGCATTTTACACATATTATCTCATTTTGTCTTTGTAAAAACCCCAAGAGGTAAGCATTCTCATTCTTATTTTTTAAATAAAGAAACTGAGACTTCAGTAACAAGGCACAGGGTCCCAGACTTGGTAAGGAGTAAGGCTGTTTCACACCCAGAGCCCACTTTCTTCACTGTCGTGCTAGCCTCACTCGTGGAGCTGAGCTCGGGACCTGGTGGGCATCCCTTCTCTCTTCCCATTCTTCACTGTCTCTAATCAGTTGGACCATATTTCCCACCTGATTACTAACGGACAGTCTGTCGGTATAGGCACCCTTCAGCGTTAAACTGTTTAGGTAACCGAAGCTCCTCTTCTCATTCCATTCCTTGACTACTTGGTGAGGTTGTGGGGAACGCAAAGGAAAACTCTGGAGAGGAAGCCTGCGCAATGCACTGAATGTTCGTGTTTCTCCAAATTCATGTGCTGAAACTTAACCCTCAGTTGAGAGGTATTTGGAGGTGGGATCTTTGGGAAGATATGGGAAACTCTGCACTCATGAATGAGATTAGTGCCCTGATAAAACAGGCTCAAAGGAACTCATTCTACATTCTACCCAGTGAGAAGGCACCAGCTGTGAACCAGCAAGTGAGACTTCACCAGATACCAAATCTGCCAGTGCTTCAGTCTTTGCCTTCCAGCCTCCAGAAGTGTGAGAATTAGATTTCTGTTGTTTATAAGCCACCCAATCTAGGGTACTTTGTTATATCAGCCTGAATAAATGAAGGGAGCCTATATCCTGGGCTTTTGCTATTTAAACATAGTTGAAATATAAACCCTCCCCCGACAAATGGTCTGAAATATTTAGATTTACACACCAGGTAGATCCAGTGTGTAATGGATGTGATGTCTGAAATTTATACAGTTTGGGGGACTCTTTTTAAAAATGCAAAATTACAAACATGAAATCTGTTATGGAGCATAGGAATAGATTCTTGCGAGAGGCACTGAAGTTCACTGAAGTTTAAGATTTAGTAACTTCTGGTTATAGTCCCCCTCTGTCTTCCCCAACTATAGAGTCCTACACTGGGGACTCTGCAAGTTTTAAAAAGTAGAAGACACTTTCCTTGTCTGTAGTGAATTTAGTGTTCTTATATAAACATGGTTTGAGAAGAGCTACAAAGTAAATGGTCAGTGAGTGGCCATCGATTCAGTGCCCTGAAGAGATGCTGAGTGAAAATTGGGTAATTTACTAGATTAAATCATCTCTCTGCTAAGAATAGTGCGAAGTTGCTTTAGACATGGGTGGTCACTTGTCCAAGTTAGAACGTAAGGAAAAGATGCCATAACTATATTAAGAATTGATAGACTTATGTTAGCCTCTCATATTTGTAATTATGACATCTGGTATCACAATTAGAAATGCAAAGACTTGACTTTACATGGTCCTTACAGAGCAGTTTGCTGTTTCAGGACAGAGGCAGTGGGTCTGGTTTTCCATGACCCACCTGCAGGTACACTCCTGTGGAAGATGACCTCATGCCTGTAGGAACTCTGTGGCCTACTTGTGGGGCATCTCTGAAATGTCATGCTCTGACCTCTCAGGGTTTTCTTTCTAAGCCATTTACATTTATGCTTATCTAGCAAGCAGGATACCCATTATAGGACACTCCAACTCTCATTTCCAGAATGCTTCAGTGGCAATGTCCGCCAGGGATGCCTCAAAAACAGATTATCTGCCCATATTCGAAGTTTTGCCCAGCCTCCTTCTAAATCTCCATGAACTTCAGAAAGGTCAAGGAAGTGTTACAGAGGATGGATCAGATGCAACAAGAGGGTACAAGCAACTGTTCCCACTCCGGAGGGCATCACTGCAATTGTGCTATACTTTGCTCATTTCACTCCCTCCACCAGAGTTTTCTTAAAGTGTGAGTCTCCCAGGTTTGGCATGTATTCTGTGGACCTTTACTCATATTTGTAGGATTAACTTAATATTAAAAGATGGGAGACAGGGAGATTGACATCAAGATTGTAGGCACATAAAGCATTCATCAAAACTTGGAGATTGCCTGGTTCACCTTCCATTTTACTTTATTTTTTAAAATTTTATTTGATTGCTTTTATGCTAAAAAGATGTAAGTTGAATCTGGCCATAGTTTGGAACTTCAGAAAATGAAGAAAATCAAAAGAATATCATTCATCATCCTAATGTCCTATTATAGCCAATATTATCAGTTACCATATGCATGTTCTACCTACTTGCAATGGTAGCAATGAGACAGCATTGTTCACTTTTTTTGTTTTTAAACTTAACAAGACAGATGAGGTCACTGAGGCCCTAGATCACACAACTGTGTAATATCCACCATATGCAGTGGATAATATTTTTATATTAATCAAAAATATGCATCTCGCTTTCTTTTCTTTTTCTCCTGGGGCTTCCTCTCTTGAGCTGACTCAGTGGACAGGCTCTGGAATGAGACTACCTGGGTTTGACTACCCACCCATTCCCAAACAGTGTGGCATGAGGCAAGTTACTTAGACTGACTTTTTCCTCATCTGTAGTATAGGGCTGGTGTCAGAATCAATCAATACAATGAAAGTAAATACCCTCACACTGGATTCATCCCTCGTTCCCATGGCCTCTGGCTTGAGCAGTCAGTCAATAGGGAGCTCTGGCAGGTGATGGAAGGAGGAAGAAGAGTGAGGTCAGGGAGTTAATACCCTGGGCTCTCTTCCTGGCAAGTACCCTGGAGCTGGTCGTGTCCCCTGATTAAAGATCTCTGCTTCTTTCAAGGCAGCCAACTCTAAAGAATTCCTTCTCACCAGGCTTAATAACTGCTTCTTTCCTTCCTTGTTCCTTGTGGCCTAGGGGTGCTATCAGCTTAACTGCAATTAAGCCCCAGCTTACTCTACTGTCCCTTGTGGTTCCCCCAACACCCACGCAGTGTAAACAGTCCCTTTGTTATAAACCCTCCTGGAATGTTCCTATTTTGTGTATACCATCTGTTTTCTGTTGGGACCCTGACTGATGGAACATGTTAGTGTTACTTCATCGCCTTTTCAATGAAAAATGAAAGTACAGGTTTTAAAAGACACAGATTTAAGATGGTCTATTTAACTCTTGCACGATCTGGGATGAAAACTGCTAAGAAAACAAAGCTGGGCCTGCCGAGAGCAGGATGCAAACAGCCACAGCGGTGCTCGCCATGTTCCAGATAAGAGTCTACGGACTTGGCATGTATCATACTATTCATCTTCGTGGGAAGTCTGCAAGGTAGATATTAATGTTGTGGGACTTTTCCTTAATTCAACTAAAGGCGGGATCCTTGTCACACGGCCATGAAAATTAAGGCTCACAGACAATTTGAAGAGTGAGAAAAATGGAATTTATTGGGCAAAAAGGAAAAAAAGGGAAACAGAGACTCTTAGCGAGCGAGAGTGTGCTTCCTTCCCGTGGTCTTCCCACCTAGCCAATTGAATTCCAGGTACCACCCAGGAAGAGGAGGGGCCAGGCTCCTCCCCACTGCAAATGGTGCGGACTTCTGTGGCTCCATCCCGATAGGCACCCCAGTGCACGGGCCGGTTGGAGTTTTGCGAGGGAGCTCTTCTCACCTGGCTGTCTCAATGATAGTATTTACATTTTGGAGGTGAGAAAAATTAAGATGCAAGCAAACTCATTAAGTCAGCAAGGGGCAGGCCTGACTTCTGAGTTCCCTCAGAAGCTTTGCACCACTATACCAGTGGTTCTCAAAATGTGGTCCAGGCCAGCAACATCGACTTCATCTGAGAAAGTGTTAGAAATGCAAATTTGGGGGCCCCACCCCAGACTGACGGCATCATAAACTTTGGGCTTGGGGTTCAGTAGTTTGTGTTTCCGCAATTTCTCCAGGTGATTTGGAGGCTTGCTAAAGTGAGAGCAACTGCACCAGTCGGTGGTTAATGGTTCCCCCTTCTCTACTGGGTTTGTTTTGAGGTCACTTTGAGAGCTGGGAATTACACTCGGGATGTCACATATTGATAAGACAATACAAGTAAGCATTATTGTGCAGTCCCTTAGAATTTACAAAATGCTTTCATGCCCATTACCTTTTTTGAGGCAGTGAATTCCATGGCTAAGTGAATGGGACTCTTCTAAACTGTATCAACTGGAAAACCAACTCTGTTCTCTTGAAAGTTAGTTGTCTAATCTGTAAACTTCAGCTTCCTCGTCTGTAAAGTGAGGATCATCATAGTGGGCACCTACTAGGATTGCTGGGAGAATTAAATAAGAAACTCACATGCAACACAATGCTGGACACATAGTAGACACCCAATCAATGCTGCTATTATTTTCATGAACGTCTTGAGAAGTGGGGATTCTTAAAGGTGAGAAAACACCTGCTCAGGAAATGTTGACCTGTCTAAAGTGGAGCTGAGAGTCAAAATCAGATCTTCTGAATTTAAGCCCTCATTCTTTTTTCATACCCCTTCTGAAGCTGCCTTGAAAGTCTAGTTCTTGCAATACCCTAGTTAACTGTTGGATGATGACTCTGAAAGATAATATGCCCAAGGAATATTTGAGGCCTCAACTATGTCTTCAGCCCATATGAGTAGCGTTCCTCTCAGAGTCTCCAACCAGATCCTGAGCCCCCAGTCCAGCCCACCTCCCCCCAGGTGTCTGGTGAGCCTCAGAGCATCCTTTCTGAGGTTTGCCCTTTCCCCGTCCTGCTCTGCTGTCTATGGTGACTTCTCATACCCTGGGCACATTTTCTCCTGGAGAAAGTAGAGAGCTATGAGCAAATGGTCACAGAGAAAATGGTTCACTTGGCCTCTTTAGTCCAAGAGACTTCCAGAACTATTGAGAAGGGGGCCAAACAGAAATGGAAAAGTTAATAACTTCCTTATTTGAAAGCTAAGCCTTTGTAAACTTATCACGTGTGCTTTTCCTCATGGAGGATTAACAGCCTGACAAGGTTGAACTTTGAAAGAAAAGCTATTTGTGACTTATGGGGGAGCTAGCAAAAAAAAAAAGTTCTTGACTTTTTAAAAACAAAACAAAACAAAAAACAAAACAAAACAAAAAATGCCCAAGCAAACCCAAATGCGTTAATTTTTCTCAGGCCTGTAACTCAAAAAGGGCACTTCCGCTTTGGTTGAAACTTTGCAAATAACTCTCCTCTGAGTGAAAGTGAGGTGGGAGCAAGTGGCCTCCTCCAAAGAATTGGTCCAGTAATATTTATAAGAGTTGGAAATAAAGGTCCAGAGGGGAATTGTTCTCAAAGGCTAAAATGATGGAACTGTTCCTAGCAATTCCTTCCTTTATTTCCAGTATCCCAAGGCAATTATGGTAACATTTCACCAAATCTGACCAACCTCCTTTCAAATTCCCAGTGAGTTACATAAGAGTTTGAAATTGAGCTTACTTTTATAGGGGTTTCAAAGCAAGTTAATAACACAAATAAGGCTTTAGGAAGGGGTGTTAAGGACAGAAGTGCCTCTGACATTAGAGTTTGTGTCCCAGAATTTATTAGCTGTGCACCTCTGGGCAGATTCCTTCTTGAAGTCTCAGTTGCCTCCTTTGTAAAGCGGGATAATTACAATGAACAGTTGTTAGGCTCAAATGGGAACAGTCTGATCTGATAAAAGTTAGTTATTTCCATTACTACTTATAAAAACAAGCATTTAAAATTGGTTTGGAATAAACAGTGAAATGCTAGGTATATAGCAGTATTTATGTGAAAGCAAGTCCCTCAGGAGCTCTATTCAAGAACGATTTTTAAACCTGAGTTTCATTGCTAATCATACTTAAAAGAAACTATTTTTATCCAACAGAACTACTTTATTATATATGTTCAGATTTTAAAGTTTCATTAATTCATTAATTCAGATTTTAGAGAATGCAGAATTCCTTCCCCTACTTACTCTGGTCTAAAATAATGAGAATTTTTGTATCTACTATTTTTGTCATCTTGGGGCCTCCCAAGGTGCTGGAAGAGGAAGCAACATGAATTCAATATATCACCATCATTATCAGCATTTCTGGCATTATTTGTCAAGGTGAGGTTATTGTTTCTGGCCCCATGAACTTTATAACAGGAGGGGCAGATGAAGAATCAAACCTGAGCGGTCAGATGGGCACAGCTAACAGCACACAAAGGCACAAGGGAGGCTTTGCATGGGAGGCAAAAAGAAAAGACTTGTGGTCAGGGTAGTTGGTTTGGATGGAGATTGTTAGGCTAAACATTAAGTAGTATTCTAGAGGAGATGAGTGACATCAGAAGGGGTACTGCCTGTTTTACAGAAATGACTCACCCATGAGAAAAGGCAAAGAACAGTAGAAAACCTGAATGGTTTATTATAGTGTTATGTCTGCAATTTATGGTCAGAGTCAGTTTGACTCTGGTCTTCACAGAGAAAATAATACCTGATAAGTCTGGATCCAGACTGAAGGAGGAAATGTAGTAAGTAGCAGGGAAATAGTGGTGGGGCACAGGAAAATTGTAAGTGAGCTTCTAAACATAATGGTGCTCCAAACAGTCAAACATCATAACTCGTGTATTTTTTATCCGAAGTGCTTGAAGCTGTTTCATAAATTCCCTAGCACCTCATTATTTGGGTAGAGTTTCTAAATTTTGGATTTTTAAAAATGCAGTTTTGTTATTTTTAAGTGCTTGAGATACCTGGGAAGAAGAAGCCAAGCTCTCCAGATAGTGACTTAGTATTTTTCAAACCTCAGACTACATCTCGTTAGTGGGTCACAAAATCAATATGTATGGGTTTGACTAGACTATTTTTTGTATTCTTTATTTGGGACATTTTTCATGTTTTATTTGTTATTTGATCATATCAGCATCATTTTTGATACTTACTGCATTTTTACTCCATCATCTACTATATAAGCATTATTTTGTGAATTTTTCAATTTGCTTATATACAATTTCACACATCTGTGTGTTGTGTGAGTGTACCAGAATGTAATGTAAAATATATTTCTTACCATAGGTCGTGGTGAAAACAAGTTTGACTTTCTTTATTCAAAGAATACTTAAACATTGATTTATTAGTGGTTTGAATAAACAGTTCTAATTCTTAAAATAGACTATTATTTAGTTTAAACAGTGCCACTACGAACTCATTTACACTCTTATTATGTGTACTTGGCCCAGCCCAATGCTGTGCAGCTGGCATAAGAACCACCTGGGGAATGTTTCCAAAGCCTGTATTCTAAGGCTCTACCTAGCTCAGTAGGTCTGGGGTGATTTCCAGGAATCTGTATTTTTAAAAACAAATACCTCAGGTGACTCTGATGTATTGCTTGGGTAGTACATCACTAGTGCAGGAAACAATTTCTTTGGTTGACGGGGTGGTGGTAAGTAAACATTATCCAGGTGTCCTTCTAAATTTTTTTAAAGTTGATTTGAGAATGTCCAAGTTAATAAGCTTCAACTCTGAAAGTGCTGGCATTTACAGATAAATGAAACAAAGCCTGAAGAGAAAGACTTAGGTTTAGGACCAAGGACTTGAGACCAAGGACTCTAGTTATGAACAGGGAATTTTGCAAACCTGCCCACAATCTCTACCCCTTGATAAATCTTTTCATGTTTTACTTTAGCCAACACATTTCCAGTTAGTTTGCATTTTGAATGATTTATATTATTTCATAAGTTTCATGGGAGAGAAAGATAGATGATGGAAGGGAAACAGGAAAGGGTATAAAACAGCAGTTTGTGCAGACAATGTCATGCAAATTTGAGAAGCATTGTAGAAAAATGCCGAAAAAACCCAACCAGGCTGTAAATGACAAACTGTGATCTTTCTGTATTTCTAAATCTACATCTGTTAAAAGTTGTTTTCTTACTGAAGGCTAACATTGGCTATCATGGACTTTCATTTAGTTTGCTTTTTTCTTCCTCCCTCCCTCCCTCCCTCACTCCCCCCCTCACTCCACTTCTTCCTTCCTTCCCTCCCTTCTTCCCTTCCTCCCTTCCTTCCTTTCTCCCTCCCTCCCTCCCTTCCTCCCTTCCACTCTCTTTTTCTGTTTCCATCTTTATGATAAGGTCACCTTATCATATAAGATTTGTGGGCTGGGCACAGTGACTCAAGCCTATAATCCCAGAACATTGGGAGGCCGAGATGGGTGGATCACCTGAGGTCAGGAGTTCGAGATCAGCCTGGCCAACATGGTGAGACCCCATCTCTACTAAAAATGTGAAAAAAATTAGCTGCATGTGGTTGTGTGTGCCTGTAACTCCAGCTACTTGGGAGGCTCAGTCAGGAGAATCGCTTACACCTGAGAGACAGAGGTTGCAGTGAGCCGAGATCATGCCACTGCAGTCCAGCGTGGGTGACAGAGGGAGACTCTGTCTCAAAAAAAAAAAAAAAAAAAAAAGATTTGTGGTCAGGGTAGTTGGTTTGGATGGAGTTTTTTAGGCTAAAAATTAAGTAGGGGTCTAGAGGAGATGAGTGACATCAGAAGGGGTACTGCCTATTTTACAGAAATGACTCACCCATGAGAAAAGGCAAAGAACATCAGTAGAAAGCCTGAATCATTTATTATAGTGTTGTGTCTACAATTTATGGTCAGAGTCATTTCAAGATAACATTTCAAATAATACTAATTACATATCTAGTCAATGTCTGCATTGATACAAGAAAACCAATAATCCTAATAACATTCCTACTTGCTGCTGATCTGCAGTGAATATTTATTAGGCATCTGCTTCGGATCATATACTGTCCTTAGGATGTGGTGGTAAGTAAGATGAGCAAGGTCTCTGTCAGCGTGGCATTTACTGTCTAAGTGGGGAGACTGATAACAGACAGTCAAGATAGCAGCAGATAATGGTGACCACTTTGAAGATGACAAAATAGGATAATGCAATCGAGTGTTGGGGATTCATTAGAGAAACCTTCCGCCCGGGGAGCAATGTCATAGTGAGGACAATACCACAAATGAGGACTGGGCAGAAGGACCTGTGAAAAAGCAGCTGTCACATTAGTCAGCCTTCCCACTTCCTTCTTTAATTTATCCGGTAAATACTTGCAGGGTGTAAGAGTTGGTATGGTCCAGCTGTTGGGGCAACTTTCAACACAGCAGGGTGAGCAGGCATTAAATAAATAGTCATTTGAACACGCTTGCGAATATTGTGAGTGAGGTGTGGATGATGCACTTAGAGGTTAGAACTCAGGAACCCAGTTGACACTGAAGGATTAGGGAGATTTCAAATGAAGTTAAGAGTTTAACAAATGAGTAAATGGATTTTAGGTAATGGGTGCCAGATTCCTCACTGTCAGAGAAAAAAGTTACCAATAAGTAACTTTTTTAAGTGGAAGAAAGCTAGAATAATCCCCGTGGTGCTGGATTCATGCCAAGGACAAGAGACAATATTAACTCATGTTTGTATATAGACACATATGTGTATGCACACATACCTACAGATAGATACAGATATGTGTGCATACATGGGTTAGTTTTTTATATATGATCTAGCTCAGTTTGCTGAGGTGGTCTAGAAGCAACGACACCTCAGTAGCAAGGAACACAGCCAGTATCCATATCTTGGTTTCTATTAATATATGTCATTCTCCAATAAAAGGAACTACGGCTCCTTGGAGACATGTCTGCTGATAGGGCTGGGGCAAGATGAGCTTGGAGTATAATGTAGTGCAAGAAAGCCTGAAAGTGCTAAAAGATTTAAAAAGAAAGAAAGGAAGAAAAGAAGAAAGGGAAGGAGGGCAGTAGGAAAGAAGAAAACTAGAGACATGTTAAAAGGACACGGGTCAATCTGAAAGAACTACCAATGGCCAAAATTGAAGCACTCCGAGCAAGAAAGAAATAACATAGTACTGAATTATAACCCAAAGTCTAAAATATATATATGTGGAAATCCATATTGATATAAATAAATAAAAGGTGGAGAAGGGGCCAATCTTTCTTACAGAAGCATTCCAAATAATATATGTAGACACCCTCTTCAGGAGATGGAGCTTAATTCACCTCCTCTTGTGGCTTGAACCTAGTGACTCCTTTCTAAAGAATAGAATATGAACATGGAACCCTTGTAACTTTACAGTGGAGAAAGCTGGAAATCAATACCTTAACCATGTAAGTGATCAACGCTAATATCACCAGTGATAAGTCATGCTGAGACCACATGTATTCGTCTGTTCTCACCCTGCTAATAAAGACATACCTGAGAATGGGTAACTTATAAAGGAAAGAGGTTTAATGGACTCACAGTTCCACATAGCTGGGGGCACCTCACAATCATGGAGGAAAGCGAGTGAGGAGCAAAGTCATGTTTTACATGGCAGCAGGCAAGAGAGCTTGTGTAGGGGGACTAACCTTTATAAAACCATCAGATCTCGTGAGACTTATTCCTTATCACCAGAACAGCATGAGAAAGACCCACCCCCGTGATTCAGTTACTTCCTACAGGGTCCCTCCCACTACATGTGGGAATTATGGCAGATACAATTCAAGATGAGATTTGGGTGGGGACACAGCCAAACCATGTCACCACATATCCGCAGATATGTGATAAGAAGGCACTAGAACTCTAGTCTAATAATGTGGAAAATATCAGATAAATCCAAATTGAGGGACATTCTATAAAATACCTCATTAGTACTTTTAAGAACTGTCAGGGTTATGAAAAACAAAGAAAGACTGAGAAACTGCTCCAGATTGAAAGAGACTAAGGAAACAGGTTAACTGAATGCAGTGTGGTATCTTCAAGCAGAAATAGAATACGAATGGAAAAACTGGTGAAATAGCAATGAAGTCTATGGCTTAGTTAATAATCGGGGGGAAAATCAAGAAAAAAACCCCAAAAGACCTTAGTCTTCTTAAAGGAGAAGCATCTTAGGAAGGATGGATAATACGATATTTCCTTTCAAAAGGAAACTGACCTCCAGAGGATACTTGCAAGTTGTTAGGGGACTGAACTACCCTTATGTTCTATTTACCCACGGAATATGCCAGCTTTTGGAATAGAGATTGGGGAGAAGCAGGCTGCTCCTGAGAATACTCAGGGGGCCTCTGAGTCTGCCTTGTACAGGTGTAAGACATGTCCCTAGGCCAACCTCAGACTGTTACTGAGCTACATAGGGAGGGACTTGAAGTTTTAATGCATCTGAGCGGTGTGTGACAGTGTGTATCCGGAAATGAGGAGTTCTGGGCTGATGAGCTGCTGCGTCCAGCCCTGCTGGGTCTTTCCTATTCAATACCTTCCTGCATACACAGACACCACAGGGCTGTACATATTTGCAAATAAATAGCCTAATGTTATTTAGCCCTCCCTGTTTGCCTGTTCATTTCTCTCTTTGCAAATAAGCAAATAGCTCCTACAGGGCAGGAAAAGTATATGCACAGCCTTGGATCTCCTTCAATGTAGAGAAACCCATGCCTGTGAAGTTCCTGACTACACCCACAGACTTGGCTTCGGCAAATTGACCACCAGCTAGATTTTTCTAAGGTCAACGTTTTTCTCTCTGAGTTTATTAAAATACGAAAGTGCATTGTGTTATTTATATTTAATAGTACATTGGAGAAATTGGAACTTTAAAGACAAGAGCCTTGTTTAGGGTCACAGAGGGAGTCCACAAATGAGTAAGGAACAAATTTCCTGAATGCTTAATCCACTCTCTCCAAACCCCTACTCCACCTTTCTTTGCATTTGTAGGTGAGGATTATGCATCTTTCCTGGGGTTTCTATGACTTGCTTTTCCCAGTGGCTTTTCAAAGATACATGTTCAGTAGGAAGAGATTGTATGTTTCAGGTCCCCAGCCCTATGGTAGGGCTCCTTGGGTGTCAAATGTTATTAGAGGCAACAATAATAATAATGCTGACGATGGTGCTGGTGGTGGTAATGATGATGGTGATAATGGAACGCACAGAACTTTGTTACAAAACCATTGCTGTTATTATTATCACATTGGCTGCAGCACAAAAAATGATTTCAAGTGCTGCAGCCCAGGAAGAATTTCATTCCCTTCCCACTTTGAGGAGCCAGAGAGAAGCCTAACAAAAAGATGTTGAAAGCAACCCCTCCATGTGGTCCCACATCACAACATAGTCTGCAGAGCTCTAAAAGGAAGTCATCTCAGCAAATTGTCACTGTCATCATGTCTCCATGGCCAGTGTAGCGCTTGATCATTTGCAAAGCTCTTAAGGCTGCAGGACAGAAATGAAGGAAGGGGCAAAGGGAATGGCCATACTCAGGAAAAGCTGGAGGTGCAAAACTCCAGATTGAGATCTAATAATAGTTGTAGAGTTTTCAGCAATAACTACATCTTCTCTTCCTACCTGTTTTGTGAGGGTACTTTGTTATTCTGCGATAACAAGACCCCCCCTAAATCTCACTCATGCTGTAGATCCACCGTGTGCCATCAGGGGGCTCTGCTCCATTTCATCCTCACCCTCAGATCTGGGCTGATGGGGGGTCCACCATCTGGAACATCTCTAGATGAAGATGTAGAGAGATGAGAAGACACCAAGAAGTGCGCACTGGCTCATAAATGTTTTCGTCATCTGCTGCTGACACGTTACTTCTGCATGCGTGGTACTGGCTGCTGTACCTGGCCTCATGTGGTGGGGAAGTGCTGTCTCCATTATGGCAGATGGAGAGAAAAACAGCAAATATCCCCTTATCCTGTGTGTGTAAGACAGGTAGCGTAGTAGGCAAGCTGGGGTGCAGGTACTGCATGTTGAATTGGCACCCAGTCTTAGAACTACTTTTCTACTTTGGCTCCTTTTCTACAGAGTCTGGAAAACTGAACAATTGACTTTCCAGCGTATCTTGTATCATGGGTTGCCAAATGCAGGTTCTGGGGAAATAAAATGTAGAACAGCAGTATGATGGGTGGGCATCTCTTGCTTAAGAAAGACAAAGTCTCAGGAGGAGAAGAGTCCTTACTTGTCCATTTGTTCTTGTAGGAAACATGGATGCCACACCTGAAAGGCAGTGGCCATTTCGGTAATCACCTGAGGCAAGATCAGAAAAAATCTAAAAGAATTGCAGAGATGCTGACCTTGATGACTTCAAGCTGCTGAACCAAGGTCAATAGCCACTTTTCTTTAGATTTCTTGTAATGTGATACAAAGAAACCCATTTGTTCTGTTACTTGCCATAAAATGTATTCCTAACTGTTACAGAAGCAGGAAGAACTGGAGGTCACAAGACTCTCATTTAGCAAATTAGAAAATTGAGACATAAGAAGTTAAATGACGTACTTTAGGCTCCCAGAAAAAAATAGCAGACATGCTGGTCTAGGGATTAGAAATTCGTGATTCTTTGATGGCACTTGTTTGTTGTTGTTGTTTTGTTTTGTTTTATTTTCTCTGGGTTCAAACCAACTCTGCCATAACGCTGACAGACATATTTTATGTGATGTTTGCATTAATCCTCCCACCCCTAATCTCTGTGGCCCATTATAGCCCTCCCCCGACACCAGAATCTTTCCAATCAGATTGAAAATCCATCTACAGAAGAAACACCATCTTCCCAGTCGGAAGCCAAGGCGGCTATGGCTACCTTCCCATCAGGCAAACATGATCGGTCTGAGACAGGATGTGTTGTATCCTCTGAGAAGTTTTCCACTTTCAAATTACCACTCGAATGTCAAGGGCAAGAAGAAAAGGCATCTGAAGTCAGCGTGCCGAGGTGTAGCTCTGCTACGGCAGCGCATGTAATATAGCAGGGAATCATAATTGATTTCTAATGGCAGAGAACATTTAACCCGGCCGTGCGCAGAGAGAGGAACGGAGCGAGGAGGAGAAAAGAAGCTGAGCTCCAACTCCCACTTAAAAACTTCTTGAAGTCTAAATTAATTTGGTCCTATCTCACTTACAGGGAAAGTATCTATTTCACTTGCAGCTAAACTGAGCGTTTGCTTAACCTCTTGGGGGATAGGCTATAGCTGCACGTAGACCTTTGCAAGAAGTGGCACGGTTATCCAATTTCCCTCTAATTGCTCTAACAAGGATGAATTAGGACTTTCATCAGCAGGACTGAGTGATCAGTTTGGAGTCAGCCATGGGCGGTGAAGCTGGTTA
Source organism: Homo sapiens (assembly GCF_000001405.40). Lineage (NCBI taxonomy): Eukaryota > Metazoa > Chordata > Mammalia > Primates > Hominidae > Homo > Homo sapiens. The sequence continues at coordinate 127,138,308 of NC_000011.10, forward strand.
TTAAACAAAACTACGGTGTTAACTCCTAATAATACACAGTGAGGGCAAATTAAGCAGAAGACAAATATGCCACACTGGTGACACTGGAGAATATGTTCTCTCGACTTTATATTTTAAAGTGATGCTATTATTAGTGCCATCTAAGTTCATTTCTAAGGCATAATAGGGAAGTAAATGTTCACTTGGGCTTTCTATGTAGTTAAAAAGAAACCATCTGACAAGGGAACACGGTATACTGTTGAAATGCCCACTTGGACTAAGCTCCACTTTGAGATACATTAATTATTCCAATAACATCGCATTAGGAGAGCGGACAGAAAGCCTAGACAACACTGTAGTCCCCTGATAATTGTTGCTGGCTGAGGAGGACTGTGGCTACCACTGACTTTGTTGTCTTTGCTCAAAATGTCACTGTGCTTGTCCAAGGTAGCATAAAATAAAACACTTCTGTTTCCACCCAGTTTATCTCCAGCCTTACTATCCTGTCACTGACTCCCTTTCGCAAGTGTAAGTTACAGCAGACATGCTGACTCTGGAAAGACAGGGCTATTGAAAATGCAATTTGAGTTAAATAAATTGATCATATATCATGAGAGTGGAGGAGGAGAGAGAGAACTATTTTCTCATCTCATCAAAACCTCAGTGGCCTATTCTGGTAGAACCTTGTTAATTTGCAGTAAGGGCTAGGATCGACTTGACTAATTACTGAGCAGTGAGCAGCCTGGATTAGAGGCTATAGGAGCAAACACAATTTAGAAAGTTGTGATCGTGCATCAAACAAATGGACTTTATTGTACAATTAAAAACCTAGTTGAACACTGCCTGGAATGAAATCCAATAGCGGAATAAGTGCTTTCACAATAACACTTTCCAGAGTGAAGTCTGGTGACAAGCACAGTGCCTTTGAAAGTCAGCATCTCTGCACGCTAGACTTGGCCCAAGCATTGAATCCCTGTTGACCTTCCAAAAATGACATACCTCTTTGGGGCTCTTCTCTTTTATTCTTTGAGGGAGAGCAAGTGGGTACAAACCCTTTTTTCTCTCTACTTGCTCTACGATCATCATGGGTGAACGTAGGGAGAACATTTTGAATTTAGCTGAGTTGATTATATGCAGAAGCCCATCCTCAGAGCATCGGTTTTCTTTCCCTCTTTTTATTTTTTATAGTCCCAGGGAAATCAGGATTATAGTTGTTTGGCTGTTTCAGACACACCTGCTGGTCATTCGCCACCTGAACCCACAATCGGGTATTTGGACTCGGCAGTGAGTCCTGCCACGGAGGCAGCTCTGACGCGACTGGTGGAGGATTAGCACTTCACGTGGGAAGAAGCAGCAGGAAAGGATGAAAATCTTAAGTAGCAAAGATCTTGTTTTCGTCTCTAGAACTCCAGTAATAAAGGCCAGTGGCAATGCTCTCGCTAGTACCAGTGTCTTGAAATGAATTACTTTCCCCAAAAACTTTTCAGCCAGATTTCAGCAATGGCTTTCTACTTTCTCCTCCACCTACTTGCCCCATTTTTGTATACCCACCAGGCTGGGGGAACATCAAGAGCTAGGCTGTATTACACACACAGTCATTTACTGGGCCCTGCTCGTATGCTTGTGTGTTGAGCTCTCAAACTCTAGAATTGTGCTGGGCCAAGGACAGGCAGTGAGCACCATGGTTAAGCTTCCTGGGAGTGGATGCCTCCTCCTCTGACCTCCCTGGATACCTATTTAAGCACCATGGGAAGCTGTCAGGCTGTAGGGGTATGGTAAATAGAATAAAGTTATGCATCCACATGACTTTGCAGTGCAAAGTATATATTCTCTCTCTACTAACTTCGGGCTTGGTTATGTGCCGTGCTTTGCCCAGTGGCATGGGATGTGACGTGGCACAGGCTTTCAACATACTTGATGGTGTGACCTGACCTCCTGCTTTCCTGCTATTCACACAGGAATAGCCTGCTCCAAGTAGCTGCTACTTCTTTATCCTGGGTCCCAGGTTGAGAGATCTGTGAAGCAGACCTGAACTCAGCCCAGCTGATTTTCAAACCCAAGTCAGGAAAGTCACTGTTGTGCTTGTGAGCCAGTGAAGCTTTGGGCATATTCATTATACACCACTAGAACCACAAACCAACAACCAAAACACCTGATTAACACAGGAGGATCCCAAATCAATCAGACATATAAACTCTGCACTCAAAGAACTTGGACATGAGCTGGGGAAATAAAGCCAATACAGTCAATGAAAAAATATGAGATAAAACATGATAAGTACCCCAAGAGAAGTAATATTAATAAAAGTTTCCTTCCAGTGTGAGTGTGGGGATGAGTGGGAGGGAGGAACAGAAAGACAGCTTCATGGTGGCTGTGGTATTTGTGCTGGATCTTGAAGCTCTGTGGATCTTGAAGCTCTCATGGAGGGATGAAAACACGTGAAAGGTGAGGAATGCATGCACCTGCAGTTCTAGCTACTCTAGAGGCTGAGGTGGGAGGATGGCCTGAGTCCAGGAGTTCAAGACCAGCCTAGACAACATAGGGAGACCCCATTTCTACAAAAAATGAACAACAACGACAAAAAAAAGCCAGGCATGGTGGCACCTGCCTGTATTCCCAGCTACTCTGGAGGCTGAGGTGGGAGGATCACTTGAGCCCAGAAGTTCAAGGCTGCAGTGATGTATGATCGCGCCACTACACTCCAGCATGGGTAACGGAGTGAGGTCCTGTCCTTAAAAACACAAAAAAGAAAGGGGGAAAAAAGGAAAGGCAAGGAATAGCATCTCTGGCACCCTGGTGGAGGGAAGAGCTTGCATGCAGGGAAAGTCAACAACTGTAAGGGGTAGGGAATCCCTGAGAAGGACAGTGACTGTCAGCTCCATTTTGATGATCTCAAAAGGCAATGGTCAGCCTATTGCTTTCTATTCATGGATGCCTACCTCCCTTGCCATTCACATTTCCTAAATTATTTCCCAGATTTGAACCTGGATCTTGTTGAATTGGAGAAGTGGGACAGACATGGTACATTTTGAAACCCAACCATTATATCCTTAAAGAGAAGTACATTTCTCCCTTCCACTTTGTTCAGTGTATGGAATATGAAATTCGTCTCCAAAAGCCCCAGAGATGACTCTATTGACTGTCCTTTAAATAGAATTAAAATTGACTCAAGACATATCTGCGAATCTATTGAATTACATAGTCCACAATTGAGCTGCAGCTGGTCTTGCAGGAGGAAATTAAATAGACGAGGAGAGAAATAAAGTGGACAGACTGCCATTGGATGTTGAGGTTTCTTGGAGAGGGCACAGAAGGAAAAGGTTGTGTCAAATGTGAAACTTGTATCACAGCATGAGACTTTAGCTGATCCACTGAACTGATGGGGCCAGGTAATTTTCTTCATTTATGCGAGGAAACACAGCATTCGTGATTTTGTTTTCTTCCCCTCTGACTTCAGGAAGGTGTGGAGTTTTGAATGGAAAATTCCAATATTCCATTTGTGTCATTGCACACTTATCATGTGCTGTCTCCTATGCAAGGACTGGAGACAAAGTAAGCCCGAGGTGCTCTTCGTTATCATTCATTTATTTCTTCCTCCAATCAGCACCTTTTCTTACATCTTCCCGCTTACCACCAACAGACATTTCTCCAACACTGTACTCCTGCTCAGTACTGACCAGTCCTCTAGGCTTTGGAGTTGCTGGCACAGCAAATGCCCCGCCTGAGAAGAGCTCAGCCTCCAGAGTCAGACGCAGGCCTGGGCTTGCATGTCCTGCATTTTATAACAGAGTAGTGATGGCTTTTAGCCCATTGCACTGAATCTGGCCTGTCCCTTCCAAAGACTTATAGCACAGTGGAGAGGTGACAAGCCTGCTCCAAATATCCTTTGCCACAAGAATGGTGACTCCGCTCTGAGACAGGATGAGGACTCTACCTTATACTTTATTGCCATGTAGAAAACAAACAACTTTCTTGTTATAGCTATTATTATTACTATTAGAAGAAATAGTAGCATTCACAGTAAACAAAGATTGATATTGGGGTTGCAGGGTGGGATGGGGGCCTGTGAAGGAGCAACCATGGACTCTCTGGGTTTGTTGTCAATTGTAGAGAGAGGGTATACTTTACCAGGGCCGCTCAGTTTAAACTCTCTGCATACCACACCACAACTCTCACAGACTTTTCTTCTGAATTTGTTCATTCAATTCAACAAATATTTGTGGAATGCTTCTGGCAAGTCAGGCACTGTTTCAGGCATTGGGCATTAAATAGCCAACAAACCTGGGATCACAACCTTGCCTTCATGAAGCTTACAGCAGCAAGTCACAGATACTAAGCAAACAATTGATTAAATAGATTGCTAATCACAACTCTAATAAGTGCTATGATTATCTGATTTATGCAAGAACAGGTAGAAATTCATATGGTATCTGCATGTTGTGCTTTTAGCTCCAAAAGGAACCCAACTTAGGTAAAAGGGCTGTGTTTCCCATGAACAGGACTTTGTTGGCATCACGCTTCCTTGGAAGGGGCTCTAACATTAGCATTTTAGATTCGGTAGGTTTCATTGCAGGAGAAGGTATATTAGGGTGACCTGGTTTTCCCGGGTCTGAGAGGTTTCTCAGGACATAGAACTTTTAGTATTAAAACAGGAAAACTGAGACAGTGGGTCACCCTAGCATGATGTGTCCCCGGAAAACTGAGACAGTTGGTCACTCTAGCATGATGCATGTGTGTGTGCATGTGTATGTGTTTATGCATACAATGCGAAGTCTCATGCGTATGTTGGGAAGTGGTCAAACGAAGCTTACTTCCAGCTATAAATGTCTTTGCTTCCTTACAAGTACCTGAAGAGTCTGTATATTCCGTAGGCTGGTTGGGAGAGCATCTCTGTAGCTTTTAGTGCATAAGGTTGAGGGTTGGGTATGATCTGCATCCACAGTGGATGTGTGGTAGCCATTGTGTGTGACATAAAACACAACCCCTCCCCATCATTTTCAGTGAATTGCGATTAAATGTAATTTCTATGGGAGCTTTGAGCCTGGTGCTAAACAGTTTAGCTGCCTTTGTGCCATACTAATCTACTGTACTTGATTGCAAATGGGCTGCCATTAGCCTTGTTTTTAGAGCTGGAAAATCTGTGTAATTGCTTAGTAATTTTTTTAAACTTCTGAATGGCGTGTATGCATGTGTGACTGTTCAGCGCCCATCTATCTGTAGGCCATCTAATGGGTTCCAATGGGAGCGTGCACAGCATACCTCCAGCCTGGCGACTTGCAAACTCATCAGTGCTTCAGGCGTGAGTGGCATTTTAAAGGACCTTTACCATCAGCGGAATTAGCATGCACTATCCCTCTGGAGCCTGTTAGCTTTTCGGTTCTGACCCCCGTGGTGAAAAACAAACGCATGTGGTTTATTTGGAAAACAATGTCTTCAGGGCATTTGTGCGACTCTTGGTCTTGCTCTATAGGATACATACTTTTTTGTTTCTATCAAGTCTCCAAATGGCAGTGGCCAAAATGAATATCGGTCACCCTCGTCCAGGAGGATAAGAATCATGGCGGCACTGATCTGCCATCTCTGCCAGGGCACCGAACAGTAGCCCTTGGGCTTCTCTCACCCAGCTTCTGCAGCTTTGGTCCTCTGCTGATGTCCTCCTGTATGTGATCACAAATCTATAGCTGGTTCCCACTGACGAGTAATGAATATTATTTGTCAAGATCAAACATTGCAGGAGTATGCTTAGTTTTTAAAAACAAATTATTTCCAAGAATGCTAAGGCCAGGAGTGGGGGCTATGCTTTACTGGACCGGGACTTCCTGGTACTACTTAGAACGTCACTCAAATTCCATTTTTTTCTGGTCGGGCGCTGTGGCTCATGCCTGTAATTCCAATACTTTGGGAGGCTGAGGTGGGAGGATCACTTGAGCCCAGGAGTTGGAGACCAGGCCTGGACAACATAGTGGGATCCAGTCTCTACAAAAAATAAAAAAGAAATTCGCTGGGCATGGTGGCATGCACTTGTGGTCCCAGCTACTCTAGAGGCTGAGGTGGGAGGTTCCCTTGAACCCACAAGGTCAAGGCTCAGATGTGAGGAGTGTGTGCAGTGAGCTGTGATTGCACCACTGCGCTCGAGCCTCTGCAATAGAGTGAGATCCTGTCTCAAAAAAAAAAAAATCACTTTCTCCTGCCAACTCACAATGCATCTTCCTCTTCTGAATTCCTAAAGTGATTGTGCTACTTATTGAGAACATTTTCATATATCGCCTTGTGTCAACTCTTTTTAACTACCAGAACCTATGCCACACCCCAGAGCCAGAGTGATTCTAAAACTGCTTGCCACCTGCCCTTCCCTCGGTCTTCTTGAGCACTAGGGTCATCCTATGCATTACAGACCTGGGCCTGATGCATGTCAGTTTCATTTCTAACTTTTCTTTCTGTTATTCATACTCCCTTGAGTGATAAAATGATGGAGGTGAGGGGACTTATCAGATGGCAAATGTTTAAACAGTTTTGGAATCTCTTACTTACCCTGGGACAAATTCTTTACAGAATATATTTTCCCTACAACTTTCTATGACATTAAAAAATATAAGTTATCACCAAGCTATGATTATATAGAATCTTTGTTATCCCAGAATTCATTAGTACACTAACCAAGATGGGACTTACACATGATATCTTAGAGATTTTTGCACAGATTATAACGAAACGCTCTTTCCTGGTTTAGTATTTTTAAATGCATTTTATCAATAATTTTATTTCTTTTCCCCTCCAAGCCCCAGTGCCCCATCTGGCCTTTAGTGGAGGGAAACAGGGCTAAGATTACAATGCATCCAGATTTATATCCAAATACAATCTAGTTGCATTTGGAGCCCCAGAGAGTCAGTCAAGGCTATTATTGGCTGCCAGGATTTTTAGAAAATACATAAATCTCCCTTTGTGCCATAAATACATTTCTGCATTCAGAGCTCAGAGAGAGACCTCATTATACCACATCCTGAGAGAGGGAGAGGCACATCTCATTCCAAATGACAGGTGACATGGTCTCTGGAAACATGCAAAAAGATTGCAAGCTAATTTAATTCCCTTCTCATTTTTAACCGTCGTTGAAATAATTGCAGCTGTGCAAATGATGGTCCATAGCCTGGAACACAGGAATTTGGGCTAGGTTATATCTAAAGTGCAGGTTGACTTTGTGACCAAGCCTCAGTGGCATAGGCCTTTGACAGCATGCCCCTGTTTGCAAATGGCCTACTGATTCATGGATGAAAGTTTGCTTACCAGTAAATGAGAGCAAGATTTATAAACCTAAAATTATTCAGCATAGAGGTTCTCAATTATTGGCTGCATGTTAGAACCACCTAGGAAACTTTAAAAACTACTGAGAAGCTTGGGCCTCAACCCCATGGGTTGTGTTTTAATTGGTCTAAGGTGGGCCTTGCATTGGTGTTTGTTATGTGCTCCTTGAATGATTTTAATGAGTATCTAGGCTTGATAACCAGTGATTTAGCAAAGTGGTTCTCAAATTTATCATGCATGAGAATTATCTGGAGGGTTTGGTAAAACACAGATGGCTGGACCTTGCCCCTGGAGATTTTGACCATGTACATATTCAGTGGGGTCTGATAATTTGTGTTTCTGGCAGGTTTCTGAGTGATGCTACTGCTGCAAGTCTAGGAGTCATACTTTGAGAACCATTGATGTGGTGGGTTAGGATTTTAAGGCAGTCATTCTGGTGCACATTTGGGCTGAATTATAAATTAACTTGATAATTCCCTGCCTTCCACTTGATGTCAGCCTGTTCTATTAGTAATGATGCTAATCAAATAATTAGTCATTTTCCTAAAAATGGACCTTCTGGAACATGTCTTCCCACTCTAAATATCAAAACAAAATCTCAATCTTCCAAATGTCTCTATTTCATTATGAGTTAGAGAATGAAGATGGCAAATCCTGTGCTTTTGGGAAAATGTATACATGAATTTCTCATAAAAGATGATAATGCTGAAATGCCAAAAACAGCCTTTCTGCCTTACCTAGAGCTGAAGGGATATACCTGGAATAGAAAATAATTTTCGAAGACCTGAGGTCAAGTCCTTTTGATCCTTCAGAAAACCTTAGCATCAAGCATTTAATAAGTTGAAAGAAATCTCTCTAAAATATAGAGTCTTCTAAGTCAGGGTCTTCCTCGTCTTACATGATGTTTGCCCTCTCTACCTGTTCCCATTGAGGGATCTGTGTATCAGAGTCATGACAGTCAGGGGAGCTGTTTCATGTCTTAGGGCCTCCTAATATCCGTTTAAAGTCCCTCTAGCACTCTTAATGTTGCCTAGCAGCAGGGCCTTCCAATAATAGCCATCCTTTAGCTCAGAATCATAGCTCTGATCAATGTTGTAATGTTTTCAGCAACTGGATTCCAGGGGCTATGACTCAAGGATATTTTGGAATAAAGTAGGACTCCCTCTACCTGTACCTACCAAAAGAAATTAAATAGGAAAGAAACCTGCTTCTGCAAACCAATATTAGATACCTGGGAACTGATACTCAGTTTAAAATACATTGATTATTTTTGAGTTTCTTGACCTACTTTGCATTGGAGTCACAAAAATCATAGCAAAGAGGGCATGTTCTTTGATATTGAAGTTGTGTGTCTTGTGATCATCTCTGATGCTCTCCCACTTCCATTCAAAGGGCAGGAAGATGGACTTGAAATAACTGGGTAGCCTTATTTGGGGCTGAATGACTCACAGCTAAAATCAGATTGATCATTAGCCACCAACCATCAGGAGGGGGAGGTTAGGCACCAGGAAGAATCCTGGGTCATTGGTTTTGTACTCCGTGTACATCTTTAGTGCAGTGACAGAGGTACAGGCTGTTTACGGCAAGTATTGTCCCTAGATGCAGGTAAGACAGACCTCTGTGGGGCTCCACACTTCAGAGCAGCCCTTCTTTTTATATTTTTCTGGAATTTATTTATTTATTTATTTAAATTTGTCTTTCAATTGTTTTTGGGGCACAGGTGGTTTTTGGTTACATGGGTAAGTTCTTTAGTGGTGATTTCTGAGATTTTAGTGCACCTGTCACCTGAACAGTGTACATCATACACAATATGTAGTCTTTTATCCCTCACCCCATTCCCAATCTCACCCCCACAAGTCCCCAAAGTCCATTATATCATTCTTATGCCTTTGTGTCCTCATAGCTTAGCTCCCACTTAGAAGTGAGAACATACAATATTTGGTTTTCCATTCTTGACTTACTTCACTTACAATAATAGTCTCTAATTTCATCTATGTTGCTGTGAATGCCATTATTTCATTCCTTTTTATGGCTGAGTAGTATTCCGTGGTGTATATATACCACATTTTCTTTATCTACTTATTGGTTGATGGGTACTTGGGTTGGTTCCACATCTTTGCAATTGTGAATAGCAGAACAGCACTTATTAACCATCATTGTACACTGAATTCACCTGGGGATTTTGTTAAAAATGTAAGTTCTGAATCTCTTGCGTGATGTGAATGATGCTAATCTATGGACTACTTTTTGAGGAGGTAGTGAGTCCTACTTCTCTCTGTGGAGCAAGGAGTCTGTGGGGCAAGGGACTCAGCATACCCGGAGCCTGTACCCCTCTTTATAGATTATTCTATGGGGACCGAGGGTTCGAAAAGTCTCTGCTCAGATGTTTTTTAGCACACTTACTACACCTGAAAGGGCCTCTTCCTTGGTGTGTCTTTTGAGGATGTACTATGCCACTGATCTGCACACTACTAGGCCTGCAGGTGACCAGGGAAGACTTTAGGCAGTGAGTGTGAATGGAACTTTGGTGTGCAGGCTAGGGGAGCCATAGACTTGTGCATGAGGTGCTTCATGTGGATCAAATCCAGAGGTAGGAAGAGAAGGGGATAGTATATGCTGGGTGCCAGTTCTCCCTTAGTGCCAGGTTGCAACAGTGGACTCAGAGAAGTCCCACAATTCTAAGCTCAAATCTGACATTTCAGGTCATTGTAAATTATGTTTATTAAGGTAGCAGAAAGAAACAGATTTTAACGAATTGTTTTTTTTTTTGTTTAAAGCTTTTAAATATTGAGACATATATGTGGTTCTCTTCTTGCATAGGGCCCCAAAATACTTAGGGTAAGTCTACTTCTGGCTGGTATATGTGTGTGTGTGTGTGTGTGAAGTTGACATATATCCAACTGGTATTTTCCAATTCAAGAAAATAAAGTACATCCAACTGGTATTTTCTAACCTGCATACACATCTCACATTCATTCGTAAAATGTAAGCTCATATTATTTTTTCCCTCTTCAAAATTATCCTTCTTAATTGGTCTTTAAGACTCTTATCCGAGTCACTGGCTCAAGATAACAGACTTTCTTTGTTCTCCTAAACCTCATTCTTTATTAGCTTTGTTTATTTAATATTCGGAAATTTGATTCATGTGTAGGCACAACACAAACCCAAGTTAAAACAACTGCAAAGGGAAGAGTAAATCCAGGTCCTTCTATTCTTTTTAGGGAGAGAGAGAGAGAGAGAGACCATTGAGGGTTAGAGAACCACTGTACTCTGGTTATCTGTGTTTGCAATGCTAAGCAAGTGTGCATAGCAAACAAGGAAGAGCTGACAAACCATTATGAACAAGGTAGAGGAAAGAACAGGCAGAGAACAGCTGGAAAATACCAGTGGGCCATGTTGAGATATATCCCAAACACTTAGGAATATGTCTTGTTCATCCTTGGTGCGCAGATCTACTTGTGACCATTTTAAACAGGTTTGTTTATTCTTTTGTCTCCAAAAGTTAACCTAGGAAGCAAATTACAATCACCACATCAGCAACCCATTTCGTTTCTCATAAATATGGTAGAATTCTTGTTTACACAAGAATTCAGCAAGTCAATAAAGCAACGATATTTAATTATTGTGTGATGATGACCAGCCTTAGCTGTGTTCTCGCCATATGTTAGGTATTTGATATGCATTATGTCATTTGATCCAGACAGTCATGTAGAGGCAAGTGATATTTATTCACTCTGTATGAAACAGGCTCAGAGAGGTAGACTACCTTCAGGAAGAAGCCTCTCTTCCCCCCACTCCAAACTGTCAAGCTTCCCGAGGACAGGGACTTCTTCTTCTACTTTTGTATCCTGAAGACTGTGTTAGGCTCAATAAATACTTGCTGAATTAAATTGAATTGAGAGTAGAATTTGTCTCTACTTTTTCCCTCTGGGCTTACTGACTGAGCTAATGCTTCTTCTAAATTCCTCTGAGATCTTTCTTTCTAAAGGCAGTTCCCAGGAGGGAATCAATGACTCCAGTCCCTGTGGGGAACTGATGATTTCCTAAGGATTTCTAGCACTGAGAGCTGTCCATGCTCCATCGGCATTCTGTTGTGTATCATGCAAAACCATGCTAAGGGAGAGGTCTTGTCAAAGGCAAATAAAGCCTAAATGGAAGATAAGCAGATTTTTAAAAAATTCTCTCTTGCAATGGCTATACAATAGATTATAATTGCTCCAAGTATGAAATACCTACTGCCACTCTCCTCTACCTACATAAAAAGCAAAGGTTTCTGCTTTTTCTAGTATGTATCCTTACAGCTACAGCCTGTGTGAGATACAGGACATCATCATCACAAAATTTGCAATTTATTTACAGGCTGTGTGAGATATAGAACATCATCATCACAAAATTTGCAATTTATTTAAGATGTGCCAAAAAAAAAAGGAACAAAAACAGGCTGTTGCTTATCACAGAGTGGTGTTGTAAAGATTTCATGAGCTCAAGTATCAGAAACTGTCTAGCTTAGAGTCAGTCTTATAGAAAACATCATTTAATATCTAATTGCAAGTGTTCATTAATCAGAAAGGAAGCTAGACATTACCAATTAGCATAGTTGTATCAATGCATACCCATGATCATCTGCCCTGGATTTTACCCGAGTCTCAGGTCTTTGCTAGTTTATTCATATTACTTGGATTCAATGGTTACTAAGACAAGACTAGTTAGCAATTTAAATATTTTATTGATGTAGTTCAGCTTAGCATCAAGACATGCAAAAAGGTTACTATTAATCTAGAATATTCGAAATGCATATACTGTCATTCTGAATCATTTAGGTTTCTTTTACCATCACCATTACTCTCCCACACTGCTTGATATAGAACCATCTGAAAATTTCAGGCCCAAACAGCTTAGGATAGATTCCAATATATTAAAATAAAATCTGGCTTCAAGATTCTGTTCTTCCATGTTTTAGCTGTGCAATTCTTGTTGAGCCTGATCTTTAGTTTTCTCATCATAAAATGAGAAGAATAACAGGATCAAACTCATAGAATTGTTTAAAGAGGACATAAATAAAATATATTGGGTGAGAAAGCATTTTGTAAACTTTGGTAAAGGTGATAAAGATAGTGTCAAATTATTGTTGTAAATGACATTTGACAGAAATGATTATGCTTTTAAAGGACCTTGCTATTGTTGGAGAAGAGGTTCCAATTAAACACACACTCCTATTTTCAGTTCTTGAATTCGAGTCAGAAATTCATCTGATCTAAAGTTTATTTGGGGGCTTGAACACTCAGACGATTTCTGTCACTAATTGGTTGATATCCCTGTGCTAAGAAGTTTCACACTTTCATAATATTTCTGGCAGGATAAAGTCTCTGAATCTGATCAGAATCATTTAGAGAATGTACACACAAAAATGTAAATTGCTTCCAGTGTTTAAAAAAACCCTCACATTTATTCAAACCTTTGAAGTGACTATTTCTAATAAAAGATGATTCCCTTGGGAAAGCGTGAAGTTTGAAAGTTTAGTTTTGTTTGAGTTATTTGTATGCAGATATCCCTATGGGCGAAACAGAAAATAGCTATTTCCCTGCTTGTTATTGGAGGGGAAGAGAGTATATTTTCCATAAGTCAAAATAGCTGATTACATATAAGGACACTTTTTGGGGGGTTTGGTTAGCTCTGTAGCTTCTTAACAGCACCTGCCATTAATTCGCTACTCTGTTTAACACCTACCTCCTTAAGCTTCTAGACGGCAGGGGCTACACATCCTCTGGGTTATAAAATCTTTAAGGACTTAGGTTCAGTACAAGATATCCTGTGGTGGCTCCATAAATATTTATTGATGACAATGACAATAGTTAAGATGGCACCAATTAAACGGCATTATTAAGAATAAGAAGCATGAAATTAGGCCAAGTGTCTGATATTGGAAGGAGAACTGGTACTAGAATTCTTTGCTGCATTTATCTAAAAACTAAGGCAAAATATTCAACAAAAGAGCAGGTATAAGGTTTGCTTAGCCAAGATTGTCAATCAATGAGGCTCAAGTTCATTAGATAATTGCTTCTGCTGAACTCTGTGTAGAACCAAGCTCATTGAGGAATGAGCTGTACAAGTGAGTATTTTGAGTTTAGGAGTTCAACAAATGTTTGTTGAATGAATGATTAGTGAACAAATGCTCAGTGTTGTCCATGTTTTGTCTTTTCTTTTCTATTATTCAGCCACCTGCAAAATAACCCATCAATTATTCAATCATAGAAAAACACGGACATATGTTGTGTACTTTGTGTGTGTATAAATTTGTACATCTCCCAACTGAACCAAGTAGGTGACTTCCTAGTGACAGATCTCTGGGTAACCTTTGGGGACATATGAGCATACATGTTACACTCTCCTATGTAAATCACTCTTGGAGATACAGGCAGAATGTAATGGACAGAGGCAAGGTCATGAGACTACAGTTGAAAAGAAATCCTTCAGCTTAGAGTAGCAAGGTTAAAGACAGTCTAGGTGAAAATGGATGTTTGAGGAGTGCAAGGAAATGTGGCCAGATATGAGCAAGATGGGAAAATAATTGCCCCATTGCTAAAAAATTGATGCTGACCTCTTTCAAGAGGTCAGTATTACCTGAGACTGCTTCTCTGACCTCTGAGCCATTGTTTCACAACAGGAAGTCTAACTCTAGCCACCCAGTGCTGCAGATGTAAAGAAGTGAAAATGGCAAATAACTAGCAGGTCATTCTCCTGTCTCTGGGGAAGGAAGGCTGGTGTGTTCTTCAGTTTAGGTTTAAATTGTGTCCATGATGGAGACTGTTTTGGAGAACCACATGTCATTTACAGGACATCTAAGGTCATATGTAAATTTCCAGCTGGATTCTGTGCAGTTTCTATCAACTCTTTGCATCCTCCCCTCTTTGGTCTCACTAATCAATCCGTTTCCTCCTGGCATTGGTATACTTGGCATGTCTCAGATACTCATCATTCAACAAGCTGCCACCCACACACACACCCCTTCTTGTAGTCTTCCCTTGGAAGCCAGCTCCTCAGTCCTCAGCAATTGTAGTGAGCGGAGCATTCCCTGAAGACTGGCAAAATGACTTTTGGCCAAATCATAGTTCGTGTCTCAGTTTGCCCCAACCCGGTAGAAGCTTTATTGATTGTTTTTTCCTTATAAAGCACTTTGCAATTATTTAGTGAAAACAAAATAAAACAAACAACTATAATGAAACGTCCAAATAGCTGCATTGCTGCAACTGCTATTATGACAGCACTTTAAGGAAAAGGCACCTGAACTCTGGTGACTATTTACCTTTTGAAGTTTCTATGCTTAGAAGGAACATTTTCCTTCAATGTTAATAATTAAAGTAAATTCCAAGTGCATAATACAGGCTCTTCAAATAAGCATATGCAGAGAGGGTTTTTAAAAAGTTTTCTTGATGACTTAGTTTTTTTTTTCTCTTTCCCTTTTTAGTATTCTATGGAGCACTCTAATCTTTGTACTACAAACAGTTCTCTTTAAGATTCAGAACTTGCCAACAGTTGGATAAGATGTAATAAAGTCTCCTGTTGTAATAGTACCCTGCTGACACAGGCACAGATCTAAAAGGAATGGCAGAGAATTGAAGTCTTCTGGCTTTAGAAGGTTTGCATTCTTTCCCAGAAGTTGAATCCAGTATCAGGGACCTATTGCAGGTCGTTACCGTCTGTCAAGGGAAGAGAAAGTTCTAAGGTTCATTGTGTAGGAGAAGGAGTGGGGAGTTGGTAAAACACACCCAACATAATTTCAGCTATGCTGATTAAACTTCTGATCTTGTCATTGCTGTTATTATTGGTTGATAACATAATAAAATATTTTTATCTACCAATAATAACAGAAAAAGAAAACATGAAAGAAAGATTTAAAGCCCCAACCCTACCTTTTTCTCCTGAAAAGGAGAATGATGAGAAAATTGGTTATGGCCGGCCATCTTGGTGCTACAGTGTCCGTTAGTCCTCCCTACCGCCCCATGCTGACTGGGTTTCGAGGTTAGTATTCTGTGGCTCTCTTCTTTCTTGTCCTTTCATCCCCAGGTTGGACAATAGAAGGGACAACCATTGAGTTCTCTTCTGAGGTTGAACTACACAGATGAAATTCGGTTCAACATCTTTTCATCCAAACTAAGTTTTCCTTCTAATATTATCTACTTCCATCAAGAGAATCCTTTTCTTTCTGGTACCCACATATGAAATTGTGGTATTATCCTTGAGGTTTCAATTTCTTCATGTGTGCTAATTAATTAAGGCCTGCCAGTTCCCCACGTTTCTCCTTCTTTTTTCTATCATTACTCTTGTCCTCCTCCTTCAGAGTTTCATGCTAGGATTATCAAGATAGTTTCCTAACCTTTTTTTTTCTCACTTTGAGTTTCTCATCCTCTAGTTCATCCTGAACACCACTACCAGCCCCTATTTCTTTCTGCTTTGTGGCCCAGTTCCCCAATGATAGACGTACAGTGGTTTTCTATAACTCATACTATGGATTTTCAGCATTCTTTTTGTCGTAGAATCCTTGTAAACAAAATATTGATACAGAACTCAAATAAATTTTTTAAATACAGAATTTTTTGATTTAGGGAGTTCTGAGGGAGAAATCTGGGATTCCTGCTAAGGAGTTCCCCTTAGCAGCTTCTACCCTCTGGTGCCTCGGTGGTCACTGAATCCTTGCAGATCCCAATCATTCAAGATGACACAGCATGAGAATCATTGCTCAGCGGTGGGTCAGCAAACTTTTCATAAAGGGCAGATAGTAAATATTTTAGGCTTTGTAAGCTGCATGCCCACACTGGCTCTGCCTAACAGTTCAACAATCCATTAAAAATGTAAGAACCATTGTTAGCTCATGGCCTATATAAAAACAGGCCATTAAGAACCCACCTTCAGAGCCCCACAGAGGCATTTCTTAACCTGGTATTACTGAGACAGAGGGTGATCCTAAACTCCTTATGGCACAAGGGGCCTTCCACAGTCTGCCCCTGAATTCCCACCACTGTATCTATGAAAGGCAGGTGAGTGAGGTGCTTCCAAGCACAGGCTCTGGAAAGACTGCCCGTTTTTCACTTACTACCTTTGGACAGGTTAGATAAACTCTCTGTGCCTCAGTGTTCTAATCTGCCAAATGGAGCTAATACAGATAGTAGAGACCCCCGAGAAGTATTGTGAGAATCAAGTTATTGCACATAGAGTGGTCAGAGCAATGTCTGGCAGATCAATATTGGATACAAATTAGCCAGTAAAGTCATACTGCACTTCTGTTCCACCAAACTATTCCAGGAATATTGGCCTTACTTACCCAAGAGGCTTTCTCATATTGCTTGCCTTCTTTCTCCCGTCTCTCCACCTTCTGGATTCTAGAGCCATAAAGAGGTAACCCCAACTTCACCCACCTGATTAGTAGTTAGAAGCATGGACTACACTGATATCCAAGAGCAATCAGTCTCTCAGAGGTGGCTCTTATTGTGATATTGCTGCCAAAATGGCCCTTGCAAGCAGTGGAAACATGATAGAGAGCAAAGGCTAAGAATCTGGACCTCAATATTAAAAGGGAAATGCACATAGCTTTCTGGGGTAGGCACCTGCAGAAGTGAGACAGTGGTGCTACTAGTGGTTAAATATGTGTGCTAGGTGGAAGGGTCTCACATACAAACCTGTAACAGGATGGTAAAACAGCCTCCTCCTGGCTCAGTCTTCCCTGAGGCCTGATAGGCTGAGGAACATAGGCCAGACCCCAGCAGCTCTGCCTCAGGAGGGAGTGCTAGACCACCTGCTCAGGACCAGCTAAGAGACTGTGAAACTGCTTCTTCCATAGGAAGGGGTTACCCACATCCAGCCCATAGGAGTAGCTGAGGTTGAGAAGCTAGGAGGGAGTTTTTAGAGTGAGGAGGCATCTCTCTTTCTTCTTATCTTCTAGCAGATGAGAAAGGCTTCAAAGGGGCTACTCAGACAGCCTCTTGGGAGCCCTCTAGAACTTGGGAAATCTAGGAATGGTGTTTGGTTTCTGCCCAAGGAAGGCTAATGTTGCCGGTTGCCTGGTGCCAGCACAAAGAAGCTGTTAGGAATGACTCCCTTATTCCCTCCCCTCAAAGCAAGATACTTCCCAGGGCCCAAATCTCAACACCACAGCAGGAACTGGCCTGGGGATGTTTAAAGAAAATTTTGCTTGGAGGGAGCAAAATCCCCACAGTGGGAGCTGGCTGGGCTGGGTTTCGGAAAGGAAAGTCCTGGGTTGACCCCAAGAATACAGACTTTGCTCATATCAAGAAAGATGCATCAGGGGTCTCAGCAGGAATTTTTTTTTAAACAAAGTTCAACAAACAGTAAAAAAGCTAGCAATCATACATCTGTTACTCAGAGAGTGTTCATGTCCAGATTACAACTGTACCTTACATGAAACACTGTGTCTTTTCCTCCTAATTTCGTCTCACCTTGGGCAGGGAGTGGGGTATAGGAACGGGAGAGCAGGGTAGGGAAATTGCACCCACGGCCCACTTCAGGCTTTGCCCCTAAAGGAAGCCAGACTTGGCCCTAAGGGGAATTCTTAAGTTGAATGAGGTATGGCATTTTCATGATTACAGTGGACTGAGTGTTTTAATTACTACATTGAGACTGCTTCTGTGATTAAAAGGAGCCTAGACAGCTTATAGATTTTCTTGAAATTTTACCCCAGGGATGGAAAATATTAATCCACAGTGATTATTTTAGGGACTGTGGAAGAAAGAGCACATTTACTCTTTTGGTCGTACATTATCAAGTCAGTTTATTCAACAAAATAGGTAATACTACGTTGATTAATGTTTTATTATACGTATGAGACTTTCAAATAATATAAAGGTTACTGTCACTAAAAGACAAATTCAGCCAAAATTGTGTGTGTGTGTGTGTGTGTGTGTGTGCATGCATGCATGTATATATGTATGGGGTGAAAGAGAGAGAAATAAATGGGTTCTAGAATCAGAAATGTCTTCTTGGCTCTTTTGCGCTGCTAATAACTTAACCATTCTGAGCCTGGGTTGGTTTCCTCTCCTGTGAAATGGACATAATACTAATGTCTATTTCTTGAGAGTCTAAGCATTTGATAAGGAACCTGTTACACAGTAAGCACTCAACAAACACGCGATTAGTACGATTATTCACTTCTCATCCACTTCTACTCACTCGCCACACCTTTCAATCAGGGACACTTTCTCTCCTACCACCACCCCAATGACATCTACACCAGAGGAAACAGCATGGACCTGTTTTGTCTTTTTATTCTCTAAAACCCTTAGAGCACTGAGTATCTGATAAACATGTATCCCATGAGTGATGTAAAGATGAATTGAGCACAGGTTCTGCTCTAAAGGGCTCATTACTAAGTTAAAAATAACTATAATAAATCAGAGTGGCAACTTCCATAGGAAGCATAGATAAACTCTGGGTTCAGACAGGTGATATTCCATGCAGCTCTGATTAGATTGTGAGATGGGGAATTCCAGATTCACCATTGAATCCCACAGGAATAACCCTTCATTCATTCATTTAACAAGCATCTGAATACCTTGTCTGTGTCTGCAGTCTTCTACCCACTGGTTATGACCGAACAAGTCAGACATAGGCTGCTTCTTGGGATCTTGAGGGTTCCTTGATCAGAGGGGTGGGTTAAGAGCCTCAGGCTGGGAGAACACATGGCAACAATGTGAGCCACATGTTCCTGGTGAAGTTCACGCTTCTTGGGTGTGCTGGGGTCAGCCAGGAGAAGGCAGAAGGAGATCAAGGCCTGAGCCAGTCTCAGGATGACCCACAAGATGATCAGCAGCCCCTACTGGTCTGCAGGATGTAAAACAGCCCTAGGTCAAGGTCATCTCACCAGGAAAGCCTAAGTTCAACTGGCATTAAAGGTAAGCAAGGAAGGGCAGGCCTCCACCCACAGCAAATTCTGTGACCGTTTTCCAGGAAAACTGTTGCTTCTTCTTTTCTTTCTTTGTTTCCTCTATATATTTGGCATCCTTTCTAAAAGTGCTGATGATGACCAGTGAGGCTGCAGAGCTGGGTGTCTGGGCTGTCGATGGGCAAGCCATCTGTCTATCAAACTGTCAGCCCTTGTGAAGGAATGGTGGGGTCCACCTAGGCCAGATCGAAGGCCTCTGCGTGCACAGTGGCCTGTCTGGAGTTGTGGGGAAGGGGAGAAAATGTGTCCACAGCAAGCAGTGGAATAGATGACCATGATAATTGTAACTTTCCTTCCTGACCTGTCAAATGACCCATCACCTTTCCCTGTTTAACTCTATCTCTCAGTCTCAGAAACATGTGTGACTCCAGTCACATCAGTTTTCTTTGCAGTTTATCTGCTGCTACCTTGCCATATGTCCTCGAGTTTAAAGCCTTTTTTTCTTTGAGGAAGAAAATAGTTTTTAGGTCAAGCCTTCAGATATCTGTAATGACCCCAGGCTATTGAGCATGAGGCATAATGCAAACCTTTCTTTTTGGTGCCAAGCTGACTTGATAGGTAATCATTTTTATACCATTTATATGTGTTTTAGACAAATGTGTATTTATTGGCTGTTCCCTGAGAAGAGAACAGCAGGTGAAATTTTTGTTTAAGAGATGCATTATCCTTCACAGATTGACATCTGCAATAAGAAACAAAACAAAAACAAAAACTTTTTAAAAAGTGCTGTAAGGTGGCAATGGGAATGCTTGCATCGCTAGACTCAGAAATTCCCTGTTATCTTTCCAGCTGGAAAGACACCCAGGGAGCTAGAGAGCCCCTTAGCCTGGGAGTCAGAGACCTGGGTTCTTTCCCCATATCTTCCCTTAACTGAGTGACTTAGATTTAGAGTGCTTGAATAAGACACGTGACATTACGGGGAAACAAGGAAGATGATTAATTGTATTCTAAGTTTTCTTACTGTATTAGACCATCCTTGCATCACTGTAAAGAATACCTGAGACCGGGTAATTTATAAGAAAAGGGATTTAATTGGCTCACGGTTCCACAGGCTGTATGAGTAGCGTAGCAGCATCAGCATCTGGGGAATCCTCTGGAAGCTTCCAGTCATGGTGGAAGGTCAAGATTTGGAAGGGAGATTTCAAGTCACATGGTGAAGAGAAGGAGAGGTGCTAAATTCCTTTTAAAGGACCAGATCTCAGAAGAACTCACTCACTATCACAAGGACAGTACCAAGAGAGATGGTGCTAAACCATTTATGAGAAATCTGCCCCCATGATTTAATCACCTCCCACCAGACCCCACCACCAACATACATCTAAACTAGATGATGCCACCCCGGTCCCTCTCAAATCTCATATCTTGCTCACATTTCAAAATACAGTCATGCCTTCCCAATAACCCCTCAGTCTTAATTATTCTAGCATTAACTCAAAAGTCCAAAGTTCGAAGTCTCATCTAAGACAAGGAAAATCCTTTTCATCCATGAGCCTGTAAAATCAAAAACAAGTTAGTTACTTTCAAGATATAACATGAGTACAAACATTGGGTAAATATTCCTGTTCCAAAAGGAAGAAATCAACCAAAAATAGAGGTTACAGGCCCCATGCAAGTCCAGAACCCAGTAAGGCAGTCATTAAATCTTAAAGCTCTAAAATAATATCTTTTGACTCCATGTCCCACATCCAGGGCTCACTGATGCAAGGGCTGGGATGCCAAGGCCTTGAGCAGCTCTGCCGCTGTGGCAAACAGAGGTTGCTCTCACAGGCTGTTTAGTGCCTGTGGCTTTTCCACATTGAGAGTTTAAGCTGCTGGTGAATCTACTGTCCCGGATTGTGGAGGACAGTGGTCCTCTTCTCATTGTTCCATGAGGCAGTGCCCCAGTGGGGACTCTATGTGGGGGCTCCAACCCCTCATTTCCCCTCCACACTGCCCTAGTAGAGATTCTCTGTGAGGGCTCTGCCACTGCAGCAGGCTTCTGCCTGGTTACCCAGGCTTTTCCATACATCCTCTGTAATCTAGGCAAAGCTCTCAAGCTTCATTCACTCTTGCACTCTGTGTACCCACAGGCTTAACACCATGTAGAAGCCACCACGGCTTATGGCCTGCAGTCTCTGGAGCTGTGGCCCAAGCCATACCTGGGCTGTTTTAAGCCACTGCTGGAGGTAGAGTGGCTGGGAGACAGGGAGACATGTCCCAAGGCTGCTCAGGGCAGCTGGGCCCTGGTCCTGGTCCATGAAAACATTCTGTCTCTGAAATACCTTCAAAGCTTTTTTCTCATTGTCTTGGCTATCGGCACTTGCCTTCATTTTAGTTATGCAGCTTTCTCTAGCAAGTGGTTTCTCAGAAGCCCACTTGAATTCTCCTGAAAAAGGGCTTTCCTTTTCTGCTACATGGCTAGGCTGCCAAAATTTCCAGACTTTTATGCTCTGCTTCCCTTTTAAATGTAAGTTCCAGCTTAAAGTAATTTATTTGCTCCCATGTATAAGTATAGGTTGTTAGAAGCAGCCAGGCTACATCTTGAATGCTTTGCTGCTTAGAAATTTATTCTGCTAGATACCCTAAATCATCCCTTTTAAGTTCAAAGCTCCACAGATTCCTAGGGCAGGAGCACAATGCAGCCAAGTTTTGCTATGAGAACCCCACCCTCATGATCCAGTCACCTCCCACGAGGCCCCACCTCCAACATTGGGAATTACATTTCAATATGAGGTTTGGGTGGGGATACACATCCAAACTATATCACTTCCATCCTAAAGCTCTTCGGCCACCCTAAGCAATGCTTAGCACCTTTCATCTCTAAACTCTAAGGACTATAGAATTGATAGTTTGAACAATTCAACTTATTAGTTATAGTCTATCCTACCTTATTATCTGTTTCTTTTGTTTATTCATGTGTTCATTTATGTGCTTATTCATTCATTAAATTTTTCATTTGTGGAACAAAGATTTCAAATATTTGTTTTTTGATCAAATAATGGAGGCACCCATAGAAGGGCTGCTGTAAGATCAGAAACTCAGGCAAATTTCCTGCCTTTCTCTGAAAGCTGCTTTAAGAGTGCAGCCCTTAGGTAATGGACACACATCTTATAGCTTTTAAGGAAGCCTCATCTCTGTAACATTTTATCCAAGTACCTGCTAATTTGGGGTAGTAAAGGGTACTGAAGTAGAGACTGCCTAAGTAACAAAAAATGAAACTCTCCACAAATTGCCAGTTACTTAGTTGCCAAAGTTGCTGAGATAAATTGATACTGAGATGAAGCTAATAAGACTCAAGCCCACTCTTGAATAAGAGTATTTGCTTCAACTGAGATTTGACTAAAGGAAAACAATTCTTCAAGATCCTTTCAAAGGTAATAGACTTGAATTGAGGACCAGGCAATGAATTGTGAGAACAGAAGAGAGAAAAGGCACTATTACCTTTTTCACAATCTGGTGGAATTTGAGGAATGCTGGAAAGGTCAGAAGGACCCAGATGGAAAAGTTCATTCAGGTCCAGAACATTTGCTGTGGCCTCAGTCTACAGGGGAAAAATGCCGTCCCAAAGTCAATGCAAAGGAAGGAATGGTGCTGCCAGAATTTCGAGGCAAAAAATGATTCAATTCTTAGTATAGAAATGAAAACCTTGGGAGACTAGAATAAGTAATATAGGTATTTATTTACCAGAGAGGAAGTGACGTGTCTTGGCATGGCAGCAAGCAAACTAAAGTGAAAGCATATCTGCCCTTAACTCTCTGGTTTGCAGGGTCCGCATCAATTAAAAAAAGAACAAATACCTACAATGCTGGGTAGGTAATAGACATTACAAGAGGCAATGGTGGGGACTGTGTTGAATTGGGAGGCTGCAAAATGCGTGCCGCTTCTGAAGACACTCAAATATATTTCGAATAAATTCTGGAGCCAGTTTCATTTTCAGCACTGGGTCATTTATTAATTTATAATCCTTCGACTAAATTCACTGTTTAACAAACCTTTGTGTCTAGAGATTCCCTGATTTTCTATCGTTAAAAATCTATTAAATTCCTCTACATTTAACAATGTGTGGTTTGTTGCCATATTGCTGCAAATAATGTACTGATCGGAGTCAGATTTTATGGAACTTAAACAGCTTCCCTGCAGTAGCCTTCCCCAGGAAAGTCATTCTTCAGCCCCAGCACTTTCTATTCTTTGCTAAATGACCCCTAGGAAGATTAGAGGAAGATGCTAGGTAGAGAGCCAGTCACCGAACACTCACTGTCAGTGGGTATTTGGTTGCCTCTGTCATCCAAAAGCCTGGCTTTGAGCTTTAGCCTGTGGTTGCTCTTCCCATGGTGGCCCCATTGCCAGCTATTGTTTCACAAATGGAAGCTTCCATTTGTCTTCCCTTCCTCTCTGATCCTCCAGTGGCAATGGCTTAGCTTCCATTCCTTTCTAGTGCCATCCCCTTTCTGGATGAACGTGTGCCTTTTAGCTCAGCCCTGCACATCACTCTGAGAACTCGGCATCATCTCAGACTAGGTTCAGTGAACCCCCTTCTATGTGGACCCACCTTTGCTGTCACGGCCAAGGTTCTTGCACTCCTCTAGGCCTACAATGAGATTTAAAGCTTCCCTGACTTTTATCCTTGGCAGGGCTGCACACATCCTCCACAACTGGGGCCCAGGGCTCCCTGGCCCGGCACTTATGAACCATCTTTCTTCCTGCCATTTCTTACTCAGGGCTGGAAGGCACAGTCAGGGGTAGGTTGGTTCCTATTTGTAGCACTTATGTGTTTGAATTTGCTAGATTGCCAAGAACAGCCAATATAAGGTCATTGAGCTAAGAACCCCAGGGGCCTGGGCAGCTCTTCAGCAAATATATATTTTCTTCAGATTCCACTGGCAAGCATAAATGCCTCGTTCTTCACCTCTGGATAGAAGAGGCCCTTTTCTGTACTCTTTCTTGCAGGGCCTCAGCTCTTTCTTTTTTGGTTTGGATATTAGCCCAAACATTTCACTTTTACCTTTTTTTTTTTTTTCTAGCTGAAAAGCTAAAAGAGGTAGGGGGAAAGGCTTGGTATTCTAACCTTATCCCTACCCCCTCTTGTTTTTCTGAAGTCTGGAGGTGAGGAGACTGAATGATTGAAAATACCCACAGGGAATCTTCATCTTCCCGGCAGGCAGAAAACAGAATGTGGGCACAGCCTGGAACCGTGTTGGGGTCCTGCAAGGCTGGGGGGCACTGAGTGAGAATCTGGGCCCCTTCAGCGAAGCCAGGTGCCATGTTATATACGAGGTCTCATTTGCGTCTTTAGATGTGACACCAGCCCTTTTTTGGTAATCTTTCCTATTTGAAGGATTTCTGGCCCTAATTGTTGAATTGCTCTTTGAGGAATATGCAATATTTTACAGTTTGGGGCGGGTTTTCTCTGGAGGTGGGATTGATGGGAAAGTAGAATCTGCATAATTTTATATTGATCCTACAATCACTCGCTGCTCCTTGAAAATGTGTGACTCATTCAGGAAGTATACTCCCTGAATCCAAAATAAAATAAAAAATAAATAATTAATTTAGAAAACCCCCCTCAAACTTACCAAAGTTTTAGAGACTTAAGGTGTTTCTCCACTCAAAGGTTTTGTATTCAGAAAGATCAATAATTAAAGGAGAAAATTTCTTAACGAAGGATATTTAATCTTTACATAAAATTTTGATTTCAATAAGGGGGATATGTTTAAAAAGAGGGATTTGTTGCGTGTCTTGAAAATCACAATTTTTTTTTTCATAAAGGACAAGTTGCAGTGACTTGATGTAATAATATTAGTAATATTGGCTGAGGCGGGCTGATCACCTAAGTTCAGGAGTTTGAGACCAGCCTGGCCAACATAGTGAAACCCCGTCTCTGCTAAAACTATAAAAATTAGCCGGGCATGGTGGTGCTTGCCTTTAATCCCAACTACTCGGGAGGCTGAGGAAGGAGAATAGCTTGAACCTAGGAGGCAGAGGTTGCAGTGAGCCGAGATCACACCACTGCACTGCATCCTGGCCAGCAGAGTGAGACTCCATCTCAAAATAATAATACTAGTAATATCAACTATTAAAATAATGAATATCATTTATTGGACATTGACTATGGCCTACCATTGATTTCATGCTTTAAATGTTTAAATTCATTTAATGCATCATAACAGTGAGATCCTGTGAGTTAAGTATTTTAATTATTCATGCTTAAAGATAGATAAGGAAACCAAGACACGAAGCTAGTAAGAGGCATATATTGTGTGCCTGCTCTGTGCCAAGTTCTGTTCTGCTAGACACGATGGTAACAAGGATGACTTAGATGGATGTCATATCCTTATGGAGCTCATTGTCAAGTAGTGGAGAGTGAGGCCAGGAAGTAAATTGATTCTTTGCGTTGAACAAAGAATCACCCTAGGGTCCTGGAGGATTCTGTAAGGTTAGAGTAAGAAGGATCCCGAATGTTCTGCCTGGTTCTCCCTTCAGGTGTTATTTCCTAAACAGTGGATACAGGGCTCACTAGTCAAAATCCAGGAGAGGCGGAGGGGACACTCAACTGCATTGCCACCTGTGTAGCCAGGGGAGCTGTGTAAGGCAGTGCTGTGGAGGGCAATTCACCTGCAGTGCTCCTGTTCTTATCTCACCATTGCCTCTGCTCTTCCCCTAATCTGTCCTTAGTTTACAGGCTTTCTAAACAATTCTTTGCCTTTGATTGGGCCATCCATGGTATTATGAAGAGATGAAGTTGCTGAGGGCTGTAGACTTTTGTGTGTGTCTTAAGACTAGCTACTTTCTATTCCTTGCAAGAGGGGACAAAGTGTATGTGTGTGTATGTAACCTTAGAACAAGCTCCACCAAATTGTAACCTAGACATGGACTTTTCCATAAAGACTTCCAGCTGCCTTCTCCATTGGCCTCACTGGGAGCTCTTCAGGGCACTGAGATCCAAGGCATCTTGGCTTGTTTTTTTCTTCTGTTACTACTGCTTTGGGGTTTGTGCTGTTTCAATTTGCTGCCTTCTGGAAACTTTCCAGAGGTGCACAGTCTCCATTTATTATAATTTTGCATTTCGTTATTTATACTAAGAAGCCTTTGGGTGTGAACAGCTGCAGATTAACATTCATTATCTTCAATCTAGTGCATCAACATTTTTAAGAGTTGCATATAATTTTCTTTGCACCAATGTCAACAGGTAAGGGCCAAGGGGAGTGCCCTATAGCTACAGACAATGCTTTTCTTTGATTTCACTTTTTCCCATCTGAGACAAGCATAGTATTGCTAGAGCCATTCTAAAGAGACATATTTACCAGTCCAGTAGATTTCTACGGATCTTTAGCTACTCAAATAGAATAGTTCCCTCTTCTTAGTGCTGTATTTCTTCTGTCCCTTTAAAATGGGTAACTTTGACAAAACCTGATACTATAAATCGATCAACAAACTTTGATATTAGGAGTAGCAATTTCTTCTGAGAGGAGGTTCAGCAAGTATATACAAATCATGGCGAGGCTTAGCGATGCCTCAGAGCTCTTGCTTTATTATCAGAGACACTATGAAGTAAGATTAGTGAAATAATAAATTCATCAAGAAGTGTTTACGGAGTACTTCCTCTGTGATAGACATTGTAACTGTACAAAAATGTATAAAGCATGTTGCCTAATTTCAGAGAGACTGAAATCAACTTGGATAATGCAAGATATATGCTGTGCAAAAGCAATCTAAGGCAGTGCCAGCCTCATGTTTCGTAGAAATGAGAAACGGTGGAATGGGCAAGGAAGCTTGAGCTATGCCTGGAGGGATGAATTGGCTTTTATGTGTGTGGAAGGAGGAAAAAGTATTTTTAAACAAAAGCAACACTGAGTGTATATCTTTGACTTCTCCCACATTACTAATTAATGTATAGGTTTGTCAATTAAATTTCTGCAATGTTACTCAACCCGTTATCACATTTCTAATTTTATGTTTTGTTTTAATTTTTTCCCTGAGCTCAGACCCTAGTATATTCCAGGTAAGGTGGGATAAACTTGGATAGAAAACCTCAGTCGTCCTACCTTGAAGAACCAGAGAACATAATTCAGAGCATTTGCAGCAGCCAGAATTGAAGAGGAGGGGGATTCTTGAAAGGAGAGAGCCAGAGAGGGGGAGCCTCACATTCTGTCTATAAAAAAACTTTGCCCAAATAGCTGAGCCACCTGTGAAATGTGCATTCAAAGAGCATACTTTAAGGACCCCAGCTATGGCATAAAGAAAAGAACAGAGTTTTCAGTTGCCTCCCACCAAAAAATTGATTGAGCTTTGAGTCTGAGTCCAGTTAATTCATTACTAAAACAAAAAATTTAAAACTCTTTGTGGAAACATAACTAATCTACAGTCTTAACAATACATTACACACAGTGTTTAGAATACAATTCAAACTTACAGACATAGGACAAAAAGGAAAATGTGACAACCTGTATTCAATAGAAAGGACAATCAATGGGGACTGGACCCGATATTGGATTTAGTAGATAAAGAGTTAAAGCTGTTATTACAACTATGTTCAGCAATGTAAAAGAAAATAAACTCATAACAAATGAATGAGTAAAACTAATTTCAGCAAAGAAGGATAAATTATAAAGAAGAAAAAAATGAAAATTTTAGAATAAAAAACACAGTAAAGTAAAATTTTACAGTAAAAAATTCTACAGATAAGCTTAACAGCATATTGGCTATGACAAGAGAAAGAAGAAAGTGCTAGTATATTTAAAGATAGAGGAATAAAAATTATCCAGTTGAAAAACATAGAGAAAACATAGTTTTAAAAAGAAAAAAAAGTCCCAGAGACCTGTGGAGCAATAGCAGAATTCTAACATGCGTGTAATTGGAATCTCAGAAGGAGAGGAGAAAGGGAACGCAGCAGAAATACTATTTGAATAAACTAAAACTAAAACATTTTCAAGTTTGGTAAAAACATACATTCACAGATTTAAGAAGCTCTGAAAACTCTTAAGGAGGACAAAGACCAAAAAGAAAAATCACAGCTAGCACATTAATTCAAACTGTTAAAAACCAAAGATTAAGAGAATTTTCAAAGCAATGAGAGAAAAATGACACAATACTTGGAGAAACATTTTATAAGATGACTACAAATTTTCCTTAAAGTGCTGAAGGCAAAACCTGCCAACCAGCACTTATTCTAACAGTATCCTTCTAAAAGGATACTGTTTTGAAGACAAAATAAAGATTGTTTATAGATAAACAAAAACTAAGAAACTTTATCACGAGCAGATATACATGACAAGAATTATTAAATGAAGTTGTTCAGGCTGAAAGAAAACTATCTCAGATATAAATTTGGATTTTCAAGAAGATACAAAGGGCAAGAAATGGTAAGTATAGGAGGAAATATACAAGTTTGATTTTAATCTAAATTTGAAAAATACATATCACTAAGTAAAAATTATAATATTGCATTGTGGAGTTTATAATGTATGTGTATGTAATGCATATGGCAATCAAAGCCCAAAAGACCAGAGAGTTGTAAATAGATTCATATAATTGCTGGGTTCTTACATATTATATAAGATGGTCTGATATTAAATCTAACTATGCTATTAAAAATTAAAGATATATATCATAATCCCTACCAACTACTATAAAATGAAGAGATATAACCAAAAGAGCTAATGGGCAAGTAAAAATTGAATTCTAAAGTGAAAATAATGTTTTAAAAGTCTGGAAAGGAAAAAATGAGAAACAAGAAACAGAGGTATGAACAGGAATAATAATAATAAAGTGATAGATTTAAATCAAAGTTATTAAAACTTACATTAAGTATAAGCGGACTTTAAACACTCCAATTAAAAGGTGGAAATTATAAAAATAAATTTAAAAAGTAGGATACCACTATATACTATCTACCAGAAATACACTTTAAATATCAAGATAGAGATGATTTGAAGAAAAATGAATGAAAAAGATATAACATACAAAGAGTAGGCATAAGGAAGTTACAGTGGCTATATTAATATCAAATGAAAAAAGATCTTAAGATAGAGTATTACCAGAGATGAAATAGCACATTTCATAATGACAAGAGGGTGAATTCATACATAACACAATACATAACAATATTAAAGGGTTGTGCACCTAATAATAGAGCTTTAATATATATGAATATAATATTGATAGAATTAAAAGGAGATATAGAAAAGTTCACAATTTTATATCACAATTTTAACATCCTTCTCTCAGTTATTGCTAGAATTACTTGACCAACAAAAAAAACTACTAAAGATATAGAATTACCTCAAAACACAATAAATCATTGTGATCAAATTAATATTCATAGACTGCTATACCAAACAACTATGCATAGATTTTTTTAAGTGCACATGGTGTGTTCCCCAAGATGGACCATATGTTGAGTCATAAATCAAGCCTCAGTAGCTTAAAAGTATCAAAATCATACAGAGCAGGCTCTCTGATCACAAGGGAATTAGATTATAAATAAATAATAAGATATATAGAAAACTTAAATATTTGGAAATTAAAAAACAGATTTCTAAATAATCTATTGTCAAAGAAGAAGTCACAGAGGACACTGGAAAATATAACTTGATGATAGTAAAATACAATATATTAAAATTTGTTTGTAGCTAAAGCAGTACTTAGAAGGTAATTTATGACATTAAAATGCATCTATAGAAAAAGAAGGAAGGTATAATATTAATGACCTAATATTGCACCTTAAGAAGTTAAAAAAAGAGGAGCAAAGTAAACCCAAAATAAGTAGAAGGAAGGAAATAATAGATAACAGCAGAAATCAATGAAAAAGAAAACTGACAAACAGAAAATCAATAAAGCCCAAAGTTCATTCTATGAAGAAAATCAAGAAAATGGATAAACTTCTAGCTAGACTTATGAAGAAGAAAAGAGAAAAAAGAAAAATTACCAACATCAGAAATAAGAGTGGATATCACTATAAGTTTTTTATATAGAGTTGACCCTTAAACAACATGAGGAGTAGGATTGCCAATCCCCCTGCACAGTTGAAAATCCAAAAGAAAGTTTTCACTCCCCCAAAACATAGCTACTAATAGCCTACTTTTGACCAGAAGCCTTACCGATAACATAAACAGTAGATTAGCCTGGGCAATGTAGTGAGACCCTGTCTAGAGAAAGAGCTGGATGTGGTGGCCTGCCTTAGTCCTAGTTGCTGGAGAGCCTGGGGTGGGAAGATTGCTTGAGCCCGAGAGTTCAGGTTACAGTGAGCTATGATCCCACCCCTGCACTCCAGCTGGGGCAACAGAGTGCTCTTGAAAAACAAAAACAAAAAGAAAGAGTTGATTAACACACATTTTGTATGTTATATGTATTACACACTGTATTCTTATAATAAAGTAAGCTAGAGAAAATGTTATTAAGAAAATGATATGGAAGACACAATATATTTACTATTTATTTATTTTGTTTTATTTTTTAATGTTTATATTTTTATTTTACTTTAGGTTCTGGGATACATGTTCAGAACATGCAGGTTTGTTATACATGTGCCATGGTGGTTTGCTGAACCTGTCAACCCGTCAAACCTAGGTTTTAAGCCCCGCATGCATTAGGGATTTATCCTAACACCCTCTCTCCCCTTGACCCTACCCCCTAACAGGCCCCAGTGTGTGATGTTTCCCTCCCTGTGTCCACGTGTTCTCATTGTTCAACTCCCACTTATGAGTGAGAACACGCAGTTTTGGTTTTCTATTCCTGTGTTACTTTGCTGAGAATGATGGTTTCCAGCTTCATCCATGTCCCTGCAAAGGACATGAACTCATTTATTTTAATGGCTGCATAGTATTCCATGGGGTATATGCACCAATTTTCTTTATCCAGTCTATCATTGATGGATATTTGGGTTGGTTCCAAGTCTTTGCTATTGTAAATAGTGCTGCAGCAAACATATGTGTGCATGTGTCTTTATAGTAGAATAATTTATAATTCTTTGGGTATATACCCAGTAATAGGATTGCTGGGTCAAATGGTATTTCTGGTTCTAGATCCTTGAGGAATTGCCACACTGTCTTCCACAATGGTTGAAATTATTTACACTCCCACCAACAGTGTAAAAGCGTTCCTATTTCTCCACAACCTTACCAGCATCTGTTGTTTTCTGGCTTTTTAATAATCGCCATTCTAACTGGCACGAGACGGTATCTCATTGTGGTTTTGATTTGTATGTCTCTAATGACCAGTGGTGATGAGCTTTGTATTGTGTTTCTTGGCCACATAAATGTCTTCTTTTGAGAAGTTCATATCCTTCATCCACTTTTTGATGGGATTGGATCAAAAAGTGATCCAATCCTTGTATATTCTGGATATTAGCCCTTTGTCAGATGGGTAGCTTGCAAAAATGTTCTCCTATTCTGTAGGTTGCCTGTTCACTCTGGTGATAGTTTCTTTTGCTGTGCAGAAACTCTTTAGTTTGATTAGATCCCATTTGTCAATTTTGGCTTTTGTTGCAATGGTTGTTGGTGTTTCAGTCATGAAGTCTTTGCTCATGCCTATGTCCTGAGTGGTATTGCCTAGGTGTTCTTCTAAAGTTTTTATGGTTTTGGGTTTACATTTAAGTCTTTAATCCATCTTGAGTTAATTTTTGTGTACGGTGTAAGGAAGGAGTCCAGTTTCTGTTTTATGCATATGGCTAGCCAGTTTTCCCAACACCATTTATTAAATAGGGAATCCTTTACCCAATATTTACTACTTATCAAGTGGAAGTGGATTATCATAAAGGTCTTCATCCTCATCGTCTTTACGTTGAATAGGCTGAAGAGGAAAAGGAAGAAGAAGAGGAGTTGGTCTTGTTGTTTCAGGAGTAACACAGGCAGAAGAATATCCATTCTATAGTGTAAGAGGGTGTAAGAGGACCCACACAGTTCAAATATGAGTTTCTCAAGGGTTAACCATGTGTATGTATGTGTATATATATGTGTGTGTGTATATATATATGTGTATATATATGTGTATATATGTGTATATATATGTGTATATATGTGTATATATGTGTGTATATGTGTATAAATGTGTACATATATGTGTATATATAAAAAAGTATATAAATGTATAAATAAATATGTATATGTAAATATATAACTATATAAAATATATAAATATACATATAAATATATACAAAGTATATATAAATATACACATACAGACATTCAAAATAAGGGAACATTATGAAAAACTTAAGGTCACTTAACAACTTAGGTGAACAAGTAAATATTCTGGAAAATGCAGTTGCCAATACTAATGCAAGATGAAATAGAAAATCATAATAGTTCTTTACCTATTACAGAAATTAAATTTATTATGCCACAAACAGAACTCCAGACCCAGATTGTTTCACTGGTAATTTTTTTCAACTTTTAAGGAAAAAGATAATACCAGTCTTCATGAACTCTTTTAGGAAATAAAAAGTAACTTTTACAGAGTACTTATTTACTCTCTGTGCTAAGAATGTCACACATATTATCTTATTCTCCAAATGTTCCTCTGAGAGAGGTCATATTCCATCCCTACTTTGCCAATGAGAACATAGGCTTACGGAAGTTAAGAAAATTGCCTCAGGTTGCATAGTTATTAAATGGAACAGCCTAAACTTGATCTTGAGGAGCCTGACTCTCAATTGTACTCAACAAACGTGCCATACTGTTTCTCCTATAGTTCACCACTGAGCTTTCCATAATATATATGATAGGCTCATAGTGTATATTCATTGTATAAATGAACATTGGGCCCAGGGGTAATATTTTGACAAGGAAATATTTATTCCCATGATTTACAAGACAAGAAGGCAATATACCAAGAGCGTCATACTCAACGAGAACCTTGGATTGTTTCTCATTGATAACTCTCCTTTCTTGGCATTTTGAAGCAATTCCTAGCCTCCAGGCTTTTTTGTTTCTTGTATCTTGCATGCCTTTTGCACTCCATTGGCTTATCCAAAGGCTATAAAGATGTCTTCCATGCTTCCAGGATCACCTGACCCCACATGCTTCCTGCATCCTCACTTCATCTGTTCATGTTGGGGAGGCTGCACTTAAGATCCTGTTATTTGGAGTTTGATCATGGACAGGACTTGTGATGTCACATGTCAACGGTAGCTGCACCTACTAAAAAATTTATCTTTGTTGTTTAAGGTAAGAATGTCGTAAGATGTAGCTCTTTACTAATTTGGTAAAGATAAGATTAGAAAATGCCAGTTATTAAAATAACAGATATTTTTACATGTTATTGCTTCAAAATCTGTTTCTAGGAATCTGTTGCTCTTCCTGTGGGCCTTAAAAATTGCAGCTACAACTAATTTACTCTGTGTTTATGTTACAGCAATAGAGGTGCCAAGTGTCCGCGAAAGGGAAAAGCTGAAAAGTTGATGAACTAAGCATGACGTTACTGGAAATGGAAAAACTGTAGATTCCTGACTGAAGAAAAATTATATTTACTTACTTAGTTATTTATACATAGAAAAGAGACCATATCTTAAAACAAGTGTTACTTGAGAGTGGTTTTCAAGGATTTCTACTTTTTGTAAAAAACTTAATTTGGGAGGGTGGGAAGTAATGCTTTTAATTTTAAAAAAATTTATTGAGTAATAATTTATGTATCATGAAATTTGTCTAATTTAAGTGAATAATTCAATTATTTTTTGTACATTTACCCATTTGTGCAATCATGAAAACAATCCAGTTTTAGAACAGTTTCATCGCCCTAGTAAGATTCCCCATGCCCATTTATAGTCAATTCCTATTTTCGCTCTAGCCCCAGGCAACCACTGATCTACTTTCTCTCTCTATGTATTCATCTATTCTGGACAATTAATATAAATGGAATCATACAGTATGTGGTCCTTTATGTCTAGTTCCTTTCATTTAGCATTACGTTTTTGAGGTTCATCCGTGTTGTAGCATGTATCAGTATTCATTCCTTTTTTATCACTGAATAATATTCCATACTACAGACATACCACATTTTATCCATTTACCAGTTGATAGATATTTAGTCTTTTTTCCATATTTGGCTATTATGAATAATTTCTTACACTAGAGTGTAACTTGTTTGGTTCCCAGTCTCAAAGCCCAATGGAGCACAAATATAAATTTAAATGTATGATTATATACTAAATTTGAACAAGTGGTTTGTCAGAAGTGAAAATACCTTCTACAATCAACACACATACATTGAGTACTTGTTATGTATTAAACACTATTTGATATTGTGGAGAATATGGTTAAGATACAGATGGTTCCCATTCAAATGTAGCTTCTATTCTATTTGAGGGAGACAGAGTAAGACAGGGAGAGAGGGAGAGAAGGAAGGAAGGAAAGAAGGAAGGAGAAGAAAGAGAAAAGGGGAAAAGGAGTAATGACAAGTGTTATGAAGACAATGAAATTAATTAAAATTAATAAGTAAGTAGATGACTACTTTAGATTTGGTGGCCAAGAAGGGCTCTTTGAAGAAAGATATTTGAGCTAAAGTCTGGATAATATAAAGATGGCAGAATGGAATAACGAGGGGGCACGGTGGTATGGGCAGAGGAAAGAGTGTCAAGGCCCTAGAGCGAGAATGAGCTTGCCATGCTTGAAGAAAGTCAAAAGGCCAGCAAGGCTGCAGTATAATGGCAAAGGGACAAATATTAATAGTAAGAGGTGAAATGTAAGAGGCAGGTGAGATCCAAATAACACCGAGTTCTGTAAGGCAGCATTTGGAATTTGGATTATACCTAAATTCAAAGGGAGATCATTGAAGAATTTTAGCCAAGAGAGAGCCATCATATTCTTTAGAATTAAAATTTTATCTATGGCTTCTAAGTGCAGAGAATGGACTACAGGAGGCAAGAGTGGAACCAAGAAGACCAGTTCGGAGTTACCACAGTAGTTCAGGGGAGCCATGAGTGTGGATCGGATAAGGTGGAGGTAGTAGAGTTTGAGATAAGATTTAGAAGTAGGGTAGCCAGAACTTGCATGTCACAATATGGGTGGGTTGATTCCGTGAATAAAAGAATTAAAGATACTTTGCAGTCTTAAGGCTTGAAGAATTCATTGGAAGGCAGTGCCATTTATTTTGATGGGGAGGACTGGGATGAGTAGCAGATTTCTGTAAGAGGAAGGATGACAGGGACTGAATAGAATTCTGTTTGGGCAGATTGTGTTTAACATGGTTCTTAGATATCATGTGGAGATATTAGGTAGGAAGTTGAAATATACTTGGACTTGGAGGACTTGGAGGGAGAGGTCAGGCTGGAAGATGTGGATTTGAGACTCACTGGCAGGTAGGGAGTATTTAACACTGAACAGGATGATCTCCAGGGAGAGCTGGTAGATGATAGGAGAGAAGGGGGAGCAAGAGGCATCCTGACTCTTCCATATTTGGATTTAGGGGCCTTTCTCTTACTCAAGGGAATCTGCTGATTAAAAGTCAGAAAATTCTACCCTCATTCTCCATGGTCCTAGTAATAACACCATTCTTTGAGGAAAATCGGATATACTTGGATTAATTCTTTTACAGTTTGGGACAACTGACCATTTACGTCACTGGCTGGGAGTAGGTGATTGGGGTTCTCCTTCAGGCTATGTGGTGGCCTCAAATGAGGAAGATCAGTGCCTCCACATCACAACCTGAGCCACGGCCACAGCAGCGGCATTACCTGGATTATCCGATGAAACAATGAAACTGGAGGCAAGAGATGCTCTTGCCTCACCTTGTCAGGTTTTTTTTCTGTAACTATTGACTCGAAAATCTACTGTCATCGTTAGTTAGTTATTTAATTTGTCTGTTGCTTTTTTTATTCTTTCTTTCCACTCATTTATATTTAGTTTTCTTTATTATGGTGAACTACACATAACATAACATTTACCATTTTTAAGTGTACAGTTTGGTGGCATTAAGCACATTCACAGTGTTATGTAATCATCATCACCATTGATCTCCGGAATTTTCCATTTTCCCAAACTGAAACCCTGTGCCCATTAAACACTAATTCCCCATCCCCCTCCCATGACAGCCGCCATCCTACTTTCTGCCTCCGTGAATTTGACCTCATCTAAATGGAATCATACAGTATTTGTCCTTTGGTGACTGGCTTATTTCTCCAGCATAATATCGTCAAGGTACATCCATGTTGCAGCATGTGTCAGAATATCCTTCCTTTTGTTTTCACTCATATAACAAAGGCTGTATATTACTGCAGTTAAGTGCATGTGCTTTACAGCCAAAATGCTGGGCTTGAAGCCTGTTCTGCCATTTATTAGCTATGTGACCTTGAGCAAGTCACTCAGGCCTTAATTTCTCCTCTGTAAAATAGATTTTATAATAGTAGTAACTTCTAAAGTTTGTTGGAGGATTGAATAAGTTAATACATGCAAGGAGCATAGAACCTGAAACACAAGAAAAAACACTGTTGTTATTACTATTTATTAAACATTAAGAATAAAATAAGAATTAAACAGGAATACTGCCCTCAGGATGCTTGTAGATGGGGAAAGGAAATACACCATGTTTAGAAATACCATTAGGCAAAGAAGAAATTGCTAAGAATATATAAGGTGTATATAGGAAGGGCAATATGACTTTGGGGAGGGACAAATCACTACCACCTTCAGGGCTACAGAAGCTTCATTTAAAAGCTGACTTTTGAGCTTTTAATGAAGGACAAGCAGGGAAAGATTCTGAGCAGAGGGAGTGTGTGAAATAATAAGAAATACATATGTGTCTCTGCTCCCAGTTCTTGACATAGAACTCCTGAAAACCCTTGCAGATAGAGGCACTAGAAATGTCTTTTGTTCTAATATTTGGTCTTTGACCCTGGTTTCTGACACAGAGCTCCTAAGTCTTTGTAATTTCCTGAGTAATAGGAACATCTGACACAGAGCTTCTAAATCCCTTAGAATTTCCTGGGTGATAGGAAGCATCCTTTGTTCTAATGAGATCTAATCTTTCATTCTAATGAGACTTGTGGTGGGCTCCTGGATAGCTGCAGGGTGGCGGTTGCCAGGGAAATTGATTGGAGGGTTGGAAATTTTAGTCCTGCCTGCACCCCAGACCTCCAAAAACAGGAGAGGAACTGGAGATGGACTTAACCACCAATGACCAATTATATAATTGATAATGGCTAATTTAATGACGTCTCTATAAAAACCCAAAAGGACAGGATTCAAGAACTTCTGTGTAGTTGACATGTGGAGGTTTCTAGAGGGTGGTGACCCCTGGAGAGGGTGTGGAAGCTTTGTGCCCCTTTCCCCACACACTGCCCTATGTTCCTCTTTATCTGGCTGTTCATCTATATCCTTTGTAGTATCTTTATAATAAACCAGTAAACATGTTTCCCTGAGTTCAGTTAGCTATCCCAGCAAATTAATCAAAACCCAAGGAGGGGGTCGTGGGAACCCCGATTCAATAGCTGTTTGGTCACAAGTGTAGGTGACAAGCTGGACGTGGTCATGTGTCTGTAGTCCCAGCTATTTGGGAGGCTGAGGTGAGATGATCACTTGAGCCCCGGAGTTTGACACTAGCCTGGACAACACAGCAAGACCCTATCTCTAAAAAAAAAGAATACAGAACAACCTACTGCTTGTGATTGGCATCTAAAGTGGGAGGCTGTCTTGGGCAACTGAGTCTTCAATCTGTGGGATCTGACTCTAACTCCAGGTACACAGTGTCAGAATCAAAATTGAACTAGAGGACAACTATTAGTGTCCACAGAATTGATCAGTGTGGGAAAAACCCACACATGTTTTGGTGACCAGAGGTGAAATATTCTGTGTTGAGTGTGAATGTAAAAGGAAAAAAAAAAACAGGTTTCTTCCAGTTATGCAGAATAGCACAAAGAGAAAGCACCATGGCAAGAAACCATGAAACTGGAAAGTATATCAGTCAGGGCCTGGCAGGAATTAACACTCACAGCCAGGATAATTAAGGAAACCTCAAAGTTGTAGGGCTGTGGTCAGGGTTAAGGGAAGCCAGCAAGGGATAACCAGGTTAAGAGAAGTCAACAAGGAATAGCCAGCCAGTACCTTGGGGCAAGTAGCAGTGTGGAGTCAGCACCCCTGAGCCTGAGGGGCATGGGAAGGGAGCCCTTACTGAAACTCAGAGAGGAGCTGTAGCAAGAAGGCTGCCTCACAGACACTGTGACTTTCTATAGATGGATGAAATTATCAATGGCAACTCTGACCTAGAATCTGCTCTCATAAGTTCTTTTCTTTTCTTTTCTTTTTGGTACAAGGTCTTGCTCTGTTGTTCAGACTGGAGTGCAGTGGTGTGAACATGGCTCACTGCAGTCTCGACCTCCTGGGCTCAGGTGATTCTCCATCTTCAGTCTCTCAAGCAGACTGGACCATAGGCATGTGCCACTACCTCAGGCCAATTTTCTAATTTTTTTGTAGAGTCAGGGTATCCCTGTGTTGCCCAGGCTGGTTTAAACTCCTGGGCTCAAGTGATCCTCCCATCTTGGCCTCCTAAAGTGCTGGGATTACAGGTGTGAGCCACCATGCCAGTCTCATGCATTCTTTATATACTCTGCAATACTAACAGGTGATATCCTCAATTCCCACTGTGTATGGGCTAAGCCTTCCAGGGTCAGGCCTCATACTTCTCTGTCTGGGATCTAACTCCTGCTGTGGTCCTGGAGGCAATGTGGGTGGTGGAAGTTGGAGAGAAAGATTCCTCAGGAAAATCAGTATTGCCTTGTGAAGTAGTTGCCTCATTTAAGTCACTAAAATATTTTATGCAGGGGAAGGCAGGTCCTATTAGATAGGGGTGGAAATGAGAGGTTCAGAGGGATTTGTAGATTCAGAGTTCCCAGGCTCTTC
This sequence comes from Homo sapiens, assembly GCF_000001405.40. Lineage (NCBI taxonomy): Eukaryota > Metazoa > Chordata > Mammalia > Primates > Hominidae > Homo > Homo sapiens. Next base: position 127,177,347 of record NC_000011.10, read on the forward strand.
TGATTTATCTTTCAAATGTCCCCATCTCATGCCATGGGATTCTACTCCTTTTCCACCAATGTCTTTACCTTGACAGAAGACACCTGGCAAGTTTTGATGTTTAATTGCTGCTATGACTTTGCTCAGCCATATCTGCCCAGCAACTACAGGGATGAGAAGCGTGTTCAAAGGTGTCATGAAGCCTTTTTGATTTTTCACCCAGGTACTAAGCTGGAAGTTGAAGGACTTCAATATGTCCTTCTCCCTGTAGACTGTATGGCTGTCAGAGGCAGTGCCATCCAATCCCACAGCTTTAGAATCACTATTGTCATTACAGCCCCACAGCTCCTTGACTGCTGCCTGTTTTATGCCACCACAGGTATTAGTTTGAGTTATCCTAATGCCACTGAAAGTCAGATAATCAGTTTCTGTTTCCCTCTTGCAAGATTAGCCTGTGCTCCTCAAATCCATCCCCTGAATCACAGTTGAGGGTTGGTTTCTTGGAGCCACTGCTGGTACCTGTTACCATATCAACCAGAGTCCCAGCGGGGACTAGATGAGTACAAATTACTCAAACTATGTAGTTAAAGAGAGTTTAATAAAGGAATTGTGTACAAAAAGGGTGGTCAGGCTTTAGGAAACCTGACAAGGGATGGTCTAGAATTCCAGGTGTTGCCTGAAGGGCAAGGAGAGGGATTAGTTACTAGAACATGAATAGAGAGAATACAGAGAGAGCTTACAGGAAAGACATCCTGACAGCACCTGTGGCTTTTAGTAGAGGAACATATATAACCCTATATTAACTTTCTTCCAACTTTCTGATCTCTTATTTGTGTTTCCAATGACCAAACCCAGCTAGAATCCAGAGAGCAAGAAAGCCTCCACAGGTCAGCTTCCTGGTGCAGCAGGGTGGAGAAGGTAGAGCATGCATTTGGAAAATATTGCACAAATATGCAAAGGGAAAATATTCATTAGAGCCAAAAAATCTTGTCTGACTAGCAAAGAAAGTTGATGAAGAGAGTAGTGGAAGATAAGGTTGGAAAAGCAATTTGGGACCCAGCACACAGAAGGCCAAGAACTTGTACCCTCTACTCCTGCTTTTGGTAGGTAATGGGCATAGATGACTTTTGAAATGACATAGTGCGAGATGTGCCCTTGAGAGATTAATATGACAACACCATGGAGGATGGATTAGAGTATTAACAAACCAGATAGGGGCCATTGTTGAAGCCCATGATAGTAGTCTAGATAAGAATTGGTGGGGGCCTATGAGAAGTTATAGAGAACAGATAATAGGAAATTAAAGGCAGAATTGACAAGCATTGGAAACTAATTGACTGCAAAGGACAACAAAAGGAAAAGATTCCTAGATGACTCCAGTACATGCTCCAAAAAAGAGGGGCTTGAAACTTGTCTGATGCATGCAGTGTGCCAACTCAGCTGGCTGTTAGCATTCTCATTAGGAAGAAAACAGAACTCTTTGCTAGGCAAAGTTAATACAGTTTGATGGGAAATTTCTAGCAGCCTAATTTGATTTTCTTATCACATTATTAAGATATTAAAGAAAATGATTAATAATAGAGAGTCCTATAATGTGAAAGAAATCTCAGCTTAGAGGAAACATTCACGCAATGATATTAATCCCTTGATATGGAGATGACATCTTTTCTAGAACTGAATGAACATATTTAAACATGGGCTATTAATATTTGACATGCCAGTTGAAACACTTGCAACCTATACTCTGTATATGCTACTCTGAGTATGATAGTTCCTACATGTTTTCTAGTTTAGCAGGGCCATATGTTCACTGACATTTACTGGATACCTAGCTAGGTCTTTCAGTTTTAGAAGTTAATGGGCCTTTGATAACAAAACTTTCTTCTTTATCTACACTACTGATGTTGAAAAATAACAATTGCAATAACAATAATGACAATGATAAAAATTAACTAATACTTCTTATTACATGTCAGGCGCTATACTAAGGGCTTTCTAATTTAATTTTCACACAACCCTCTAATATAAGTACTATTATTAGTGCAATATTACATAAGAAAACGTCAAGGCACAGAGAAATTCATTAGTCACCCAAGGTCACACAGCTAACAAGTAGTGAAGGCCAGTTAACAAACCAAGAGCTGGAACTTTACTCCATGCTACTCTGATGGCAGCATACCCTCAAAGGTTTCCCTTGAGGTTGAGGTATGAAGCCAGAGAGTAGTGACCAAGGAAGCCTGCCTGAGTAGCCTGGGCATGGTGACTGAAGCCTGTAATCTTAGCACTTTGGGACGCTGAGGCGAAAGGATCCCTTGAACCTAGGAGTTCAAGACCAGCCTGGGCAACATATAGTGAGACCCTGTCTCTACAATAATTTTTAAAAAAATTATCCAGGCATGGTGGCACCTACCTGTAGTCCCAGCTACTCAGGAGGCTGAGGTGGGAGGATTGCTTGAGCCCAGGAGGTCAAGGCTGCAGAGAGCTGTGTTCACACCACTGCACTCCAGGCTGGGCATCAGAGCAAGACCCTGTCTCAAAAAAAAAAAAAAAAAAAAAAAAAGAATGGTGAACTTAGGTAAAGGGAGGCAGCCAATTGGTAGAGGGAGCTGGTGAAAGAGAAAATATTCTGGTGGTAGTCTCCTCCTGCCCTGTGGACTTTTGTCAGTTCTTCCTATTGGCTGAACCCACCTAGAAGCTAAAGAGGAAGAGACCCCATTGATAACAGGCCATACAAGTTGACTTTTGGCAGCACAAAGCATCTTAGGCAACATCCCAAGCCTTCCTGAGACTTGGATGAGTTTCTGGAGAGGTATGATCTTTTGCCTCTTTTTTCCTCTAAACTGCTTTGCCACTATCTCTGAACCATAGAGACCCAGAAATGAAATTTAGTGCTTCTGCCAATTTCTTTCCTAAAGAGTCCACTCCTACAAAAGCAGTAGGGTACAAGACAAAAACAAATATTCTACTAGATAAATCTGTTCTTATAAGTATCTGCCTTTACTTCATTCAATCCCTAGGCCCCAGGTGTTTCCCCACCCGTCTTGGTCCCCCTCCCCTTACTATAGTGTCTGCTTACTCTTTTATTCAGTGCAATCTAATTTTCTTTGGCTCTAAAACTTGGACTCACATTACTGACAAATAGCTCAGCAGATCAAAAGTCGATCTGTGGCTGGGCGCAGTGGCTCACGCCTGTAATCCTAGCACTTTGGGAGGTCAAGGCGGGTTAATCACGAGCTCAAGAGGTCGAGACCTTCCTGGCCAACATGGTGGAACCCCGTGTCTATTAAAAGTACAAAAATTAACTGGGCATGGTGGCACGCGCCTGTAGTCCCAGCTACTCGGGAGGCTGAGGCAGGAGAATTGCTTGAACCTGGGAGGTGGAGGTTGTAGTGAACTGAGATCATGCCGGGTGACAGAGTGAGACTTTGTCTCAAAAAAACAAAAGAAAACAAAAACAAAAAACAGTCCATCTGTTGTCATGATCCACTCTCTTTATCTTTTCTGTTACTTATGGGGAGTAACATACATCTATAGGAAGTTAATGTTTGGTGTTTCCATTACACCAGTACTGAAGGAGATGTAGTTGACTAGAAGGTATGATTTAATAAATGAAGCAATAATCATTGTTTCCAGACATTGCCTCAGTCTTGGAGAGGCAGCATAGAATACTAGAATATGGAATGTAGCGTGAAAAGGCATAAGTTTAAATCCCAAGCCAACCACTTACTAGTTATTGTCCCACAGAATAGGCTACTTAAACTTGAGCAAACCAGCAAACCATAATTCATGCTCCACTTAGTATTGTGAGACAATTCTCCATCAGTCTTTTTTTTTTTTAGCACATTTTGCAGGCAGAGATATTGACTGCCTTTGTTCTTTTAAAATGATGTTTGTAGAACAAACATCTCTCTGGAAAGAAAGGTAGGTTTCTTCCTTTCTTCAGAGCAAAAAGCAAGCATGCTCAATGCCCACTATAGAAGGCTTGGGTTCCCTATAATGAGAGTTATTATTTTGTAATATAACTTATTGTATGTTCAGGAGTCATCCTTAGGGAACTGCGGCTATGGGAGCTGAAGACAAAATGATGTTATTCTAGCTGTGGCTATTGCTGTGGGTAATAAACTTTTATCTTTGAACCAGGGGTTTTCTGTCTTCTGGCAGCATTCATGAGGCTGTGGCAGGCTAGCTTATGGGATGCAAACTGTGTCACTTAATTTCTCAGTTCTGGACACCCAGCATCTAGGAATGTTGTGAGAGATAGTAGCAGAGAGAGGAGTGGATCAGGAGTCAGTATAGCTGGCTGTGATATTAATGGTGTGACTTTTGACAAGTCACATAACCTTGCTAAACCTAAGTTTCTTTGCCATGAATGTGGGGATGATAAAACATGCCACACCTGCCTGAGAGTGTGTCTGTGATAATCAAATACAATAATGCCTGTGCAAGAACTTTGAATAGTGATGAAGATCCTCTATTATATTGAAAAAAAATGGTAGTCTTCCTACCATGCTCTTCAAAGGAGCATGATCTTTATGGGCATGATGACATGTACCTGTAGTTCCAGCTACTCAGGAGACTGAGGTGGGAGGGTCCCTTGAGCCAAGAAGCTCAAAGCTGTCATGTGCGATGATTGTGTGTGTGAATAGGCCACTGCACTCCAGTCTGGTCAACATAGTGAGACCCTATCTCAAAAGAAGAGTGTCCAAAGGAGCATGATCTTTCTAGTGTAGATTTTGGGAAGGACCATACTAGCTGTATAGTGGGCAGTAATGAGTACAGCCATTCCTTGATCATTTTATTTGCTTTTTATTAGGTTTAACAATAATGTTCAATTAACTTTATGTTCATTTAACAATCTGAACTAATGACTTCAAAGAATAAATATAAGTGAAATGCACAGGACACTTAAAAAATGAGCAGAAGAGATTTTTGTGATTTAATTGATTACAGTTCCTAATGAGAGAGGAACGTCAGTAGACATCAGGCTCTAAGAGTGAAATGCCACCATGCTCAGGAACAAGTTGAATGCATATTGTTTAGAAGGTCAAAACGTATTGATTTTGAGTGAAGATCTGCTGTATGGCATATCACATTGACCAAGCCACTGGCCAAACAGTGATCCTAGGGAAACTGTTTTTTTAGAAGTAGGTTTAGATAGAGAGAACAATTCTACACACTGAGAAATCAATGAGGAGAGTATAGATAATCAAACCATACCTGCACTGTCCCAGTTAATTTTTCAATGTATTGCTATGACCAAAAGAAAATCAGTTTCTATGTCCCCTATAGCCAAGAAGAGAGTGTATGCTTCCCTTTCTTTTCTGGGCATAGCAATAGCATTAGCTTGTAGCCCCTCAGTTTTGTACTTGCTTATGCTTTCCATTGCTCTCAAACAGAACAAATTTCTTGATCACCATAGATCACACCTTATATTTTGCTTGTAATTCCCCAAATGACTTGCGCAACATTGGGAATATCACAAGCTCGGTGCTATTCCGTTAGAAGAAATTGCTTAAAAGGAAAACCGATAGGAAAGCAAAAGCGTTTCTTAAGCCCCAATGGGAAGATGGCAATGAACTGTGCTAGAGAAGGTGCTGGAGGAATACAAAGGAATCAGAGTGATCACAGGAGTGGAGGCTCTGGCTGCCGTCCAAGTTAAGTAATTGCATCCTGTCTCTTGAAAGCCCCCTGCAGTTCCAATCAGATATGGTACTCAGCTTCATTTCTTTTCTAATGTCTGTGCTCTGATAAATAGAGGCTGCACGCAAGGATTGGGTGAAAGGCCCAGGAAGCTGAATAACTGTGACAGAGAGCCTCAATGTTTCCCTGCAGCTCTTTCCATCCCCACACTTGAATGGCGTGTCTTAAGTCTCATTCTCATCTTTGGATAGGTGGCTTGCATTATCTCCTGGAGAGAGGGCGTAAAATCAGAGGTAAACATTCGTGAAGAAACCTAGTTTTTGTTTTAACAATCTCCTCCCTTGCAAGCGAGAATAGTATAATTATCTAATGAACTGTGAGCCACAGAGACAGATACTAGGTTTTGGAAACTCAGGGCCTCCCACCAGTTGACTTTTGCCTAAATTATTTAGATATTTCATCTAGTTCTGGTCACAATGCTGCTCTCAAAGAGAAGGAGGAGAGGAGGTGAGGAGACAGAATCCCCCCACCCCCATAACATCCCCCATTATACTCAGGTCCATTAAGAACAAGCTCCTCAATGATTTCCTCTTCTTGGCCCATAATGAAGTCAAATTGACTCTGATTGTCATCAATAATTAATGAGTCCAATGGTTCTCTGCATCTCCAGGCCATTTGGCAGATGGCACTGTCGATTTACTATTGTGCCTGCTATTCTGGAAGCTTCTCAAAGTGGTTTATGTTGTAAAATCTAGTTACAAAGAGCTTTACACTTCAGGCGTTCTCTGGATTTTGACATTCTATGTGTTATTTTTTCTTCCTGTGACTATGGCAGAAGAGGAATAACCAAGTTATACTGTCAGAGTTCATTTTTGCCCTCAACTGCAAGATGAACAAAATAAGACAACATATATGTCTTTACAGCCAATGAGAAAACACACTGGTTAAGATAAATGGCATTGTAGGAAGGTATAAAGCACCTAGTGACCCAATACCAAAAAGGAATTTATTTTGAAAGTTGAGACATGTCCAAGGAGCAGTATTCAACCAAAATTTGAAAGCTTACAAGCTTAAAAAATTCTTTTTGGAGTCCAAGCTAAGATAAATGGCTCAGGTATTAGTGAGAGCTGAGTGAGCCTGGGTGAAAGTTTGAAGTAAAAATAACACACCAGGAGTGGTAGATATATATTACATATCAGATGGCCTTAGGGAAAATGTTCATGGAATCTTTTATTGTCAGCAGGGCTGGGATTCTGTCACAGGACTTTTCTTTGACTTTCCTTATATTAATTCAGTGTCAAAGAAAGAAGGGCAGGTGAGGTGGGGTGCCCAGTGGCATATACCTAACATGCAGTCACGCCAAAATAAATGTGTCCTGGATGTAAAGAAGACCTAGGATAACTTCTAGGTTCGAACTATAAACCAGCGTTCCCTTTCCAAAGGTCTTCCAGAAAATTAAAGCTTGGTAAATCCCATATTCACCAAAGTATATTACCTGAGATTATATCCTCTTGTTTGAAGCCATTCTTCTGGTTAAGAAACAGGAGTCTGGGGCTAAAGTGGTTCCTTAGAAAATAAGCATATTTTCATTCAGAGGCTTTAAAAAATATCTACCAGGGAGAGAGTTCCAGAAAAGGTAGGACTAAGAATGAGTTTTCCTCTGCACAGATCCTGTCTCTGGGGAACAGGATAAATTGTGGAGTCTGAGAAACTTCTCTCTATCTTCAGAGCACTCACTTGATTTTACCGATAGCTAGCTTCCCATAAAGTAATTGAGTTATATGTTAAGTCACAGCTTCATAGGAGACCTGCTTTGTGACCATAATTTTACATTGCAGTTTCTTCTGATTCAGCGCACAGTGTCTGGAAGGTTTAAAATACGTAACCTTTCTTTTTAGAAAGATATTTTTGTGTACTTATGTTGAAGCAGGAACTCTCAGTATACTTCACCTAGTATAGAAATGGTCCCAGATACGCAAATAGTGGGGCCAGTATGGTTCGATTGCGAGGACTGATACCTTTAAGTACTTAAAAATATAAAAAAAGTACAACAGAGCTTTTCCCACTCTCTCTGAGAAGATTGGAGGCTTGGTGTGAACCAGCCAGTGTTTGGATAGAAGTTATATCTTTTAAAAGAGCAATGAGCTCATCAAAATACAGCTGTTGCACAGAAAGGAATTGTTTCTCATAAACCTTGTCTCCTCCTTGTCCACCGTCAGGTGCCATATTCTACCCAGGTTACATTTACTTTGCACGAGGCCTTGATATGTTGGCTCTGCCAACCCTGCACTGTTAAAACAACTGCTAAACTTCCCTCAATGGTCACTGAGCATGTCTCCTTCAAGGACAAGTATAAATAAATTACCTATTGACCTTAGCTGTCAAATGAGTGAGAGAAGACATTAGAAAGTTCATGTGAATTATGAATGTGGACACCTCCTTCTTCCTCTGTCTTCTACTCTATGGGGTCCCATGTTTATATTCACCAACATGAAATCCCGGTTTTTCTGCACAAAGAGATGAAGTTGTCAGTATTTCAGAAAATGAAGGCATTAGGAATTAGGCATGATCTAGAAATAAAATAACTCACATGCTTATTGGTCTCTTACAGGTTTTCTGTCCCTACATTTACTCATCATCTGAGAAGAAGGCAGTGCTATTGGTAAGAAAGGATTGAGAAGGTGCACATATAGTCGTTCCTAGCACTTGTAATCTTTGTTTAAAATTGCATTTTGTTTTTTTTTTTTAAATTATGAAAGCGTTACTTAATCATTATTGAAAACTATATTTTTTTTTTTTCTGAGACAGGGTCTTCTTGCTCTGTTGCCCAGGCTGGAGTGCGGTGACACATCATAGCTCACTGCAGCCTTGAACTCCTGGGCTGAAGCAATCCTCTGTCCTCAGCCTCCTGAGTAGTTAGGACCACAAGCATGTGCTACCACATCTGACTAATTTTTAAACTCACTATATTACCTATACTGATCTTAAACTCCTGGCTTCAACCAATCCTCCTGCCTTGGCCTCCTAAAGAGTTGGGATTACAGACATGAGCTACCACGCCCAGTCAAAAACTCTTAAAAGACAAAAATATTAAAATCAACCATAACCTTTCAATGCAGAAGTGATGGATATCAAAATTTTAAAATAATTATATTTTGAAGTTTTAATATTTTGGATACTAAATACATACACTGCACTAATAATTGGACTCCTACCAAAGAGACCGTTTTGTATCATGCTTTTAAAACAATAATATAGCAGAAGGATTTTGCTAGGCTATTCAAACTCATTAACAAGGCAGTTTTTAAGAGCTGCATAGAAGGTATTTCATGATAGGGCGGCACATGTTTGATTCAATACTGGTAATTTTGAGAGGTAGAAAATATGGTTATTGTTGAAATAAACAGTTAGAGAGGTTCCAGAGCGTAAGAATGGGAGGAATTCAGTTTGATATATTTGACAACAATACATATTGAGCATCTCTAGTCTGAATATCTGAAACCTGAAAGGCCCCCAAATGTAAAACTTTTTAGAGCACCGACGTGGAGACCAAAGCCTGCTGCGGTTTGTTGCTGCTGTTAAAGCCAGCACAGATACCTGGTGATGCTACCGTGTTGTTCTGTCACCTTGAACACATTATTTTTTTCACTGTATTCATGATATGTCATTTTTTTTTTTACTGTTAAGTACTTATGTGTGAATAAGTATAAGAAAAGGATTGCTTATGAGGAACATATAAATTCAAAGTAAGAAATTACGGTGATGCCAAACAACCACAGATTGTCCACATGGGTGGCTGAGATAGTGACACCTTTCCTTTCTGATGGTTCAATATGCACAAACTCTGTTTCATGCACAAAAGTATTAAAAATATCGTATGAAATTATGTGCAGTCCTATGTATAAGGTATATATGAAACATCAATCAATTTTGTTCCTGGGCTTGGGTCCCATCCCCAAGACATCTCGTTATGTATATGCAAATATTCTAAAATTTGAAAATATTCTTAATCTGAAGCACTCCTGGTCCCAACATTTCAGATAAGAGATACTCAATCTGTATTTTAACAGCCTGCCATGTGCAAGGTCATCTGTTGATTCTGGAGTCACAGGATGAGTTAAACATATATCTTGTTGTCAAAGGAGATTTCATTAGTAATAACAAATACCTTATTTTATATCACAGTTTATATTAACCTTTGCCACGCACTGTTCATTTGATCTTCACTGAGAGATGGGTAGAGCTTATGATGCCCATTTTGCAGATGAGGCTCGCAGAGTTAAATGATGTGTAATTAGCTACTAAGCAACTCAGCAGCCGAGCCATTTTGTTACCCTGTGCCCTTTGCTCTCCCCAGTACTCTCTCCCTGGCTGAGCTCTTGGTCCCATTCCTTCTTTTTACCTGCCTTTCATCATCTGTTGCCTCTGTCCAGTGGGTTTCTATGAGGATCACTAGCTAGTCTCCTGTTTCCTTTGCTCTTCATTCATATCTGTCTTCACCGTATCCTCAGAATGCTGTTCTTTCTAAGAATTAGTAGATCTAGGACCTTGTAAGAATAGCCTATGAGCTACTGCCTTTGGCACTTTGGGAGGTCAAGGTGGGGGGATCACTTGAGGCTAGGAGTTTGAGATCAGCCTGGCCAACGTGGCGAAACAAGTCTCTACTACAAATACAAAAAATTAGCCAGGCGTGGTGATGCACACATGTAGTCTCAGCTGCTTGGGAGGCTGAGGCCGGAGAATGGCTTGCACTTGGGAGGCGGAGGTTGCAGTGAGCCAAGATTGTGCCACTGCACTCCAGTCTGGGTGACAGAGCAAGACTCAGTCTCAGGAAAAAAAAATAGGCTATGAGATAGTTAAAAGGAACAGAGACCAAGGCTGTGAAGGGAAATCTTTCCAAGGAGGGAAGGAAGGAAGATGGCACAAAGGAAGGAGGGAAAGGAAAATGAGAACGAAGTTAGCCAAATAAGGAAAATGAAAGCATTGAGGAAAAGAGAAGGGAGAAACTGGTGAGGTGGGGAGGTGGTTGAGATCATGGGAAAGAGGAGGAGGACTCCTTTAAGCCACCGCAGCATTCTGAGCTTTGGTTTATTTTGTTGTTGTGTTTTAATGGGCTTTGGCTCTTTTTCTGTTTCTCTTTTACTGCATTAGTGACACCATTCAGATAGGATAGAAAAAAAATAGCAAAATGGTAATAGTCAATTTAAGGGGAAAAGAGAAACCACACACATAGAGGAAAAATATGCCAAATGCCAGCACAAAAAGGCACTCACCTTTTCACAGGGGTCTTTCTGCCAGCTGGTACCGAGGAGCTGACACAGCTCTTCTCAGAGGGTAGGCACAGTGCAGCGGGAGAGGGGGCTGGACAGGGGTACTAGGGAAGGGGCCAGAAATGGGGCTTGAGAGAGGATGGGGGTAAAGCAGCAAATGGGACTGGAGAGGTCTAATTACAGACCGTGGAGGATGTCTGACTGTTCTCTATGACCTATGGGGCGGGGGCAGAGTGGCCACAGGTTAGAGCTGGCATCATGGAGCTCGGGAGATTGTATGTCCCTAGACTTGTGCAGGATGAATTTCTCATCTGAATTCTTGGTGGCTGTCACTGACTTCTCCCCTGCAGGCTTTGTTATTATTACTGTCATCACCTTTTTGTCTCCACTGCTGGAAACCTTCATTGCCAGCCGAGTAATCTTATTTATCCCTCAAGATGCCCCGTGCCCAAGAGGGCTCGCGATGCGCATTGCCTGATATCAAAGTCTGGCTCTTTAGAAATAAGCGGACCAAGAGCAGAACAGAATTCCTTGTTTTACTTTTAGATATTATTATAATTTATGGACATGCAATATTATTAATCCTATTGGTTAAATATATTATCAATGTATTCATGATAATGATGATGATGATGGTTTACACTTTTCAGCACTTTGAATATCTTGGCAACTGTCAGAAGTAAGTTACAGACATTAATGCATTTACTTTGCACAATTATCCTAGAGGTAGGTACCATTATTATCATCATTTCATAAATGTGTAAATGGAGTTCTAAACAAGATAACTTGACCTAGTTACTAACCAAGATTGGAAGCTATCAGAAGGTTTTGAGCAGAATCGTGACATGATGCAACATATTTTTAAAAAGGATCACTTTGGCTGCTGTGTGCACTGTAGAGGACAGGGACAGAAACCCAGAGGTCATTTAGGAGGTGGGAAGTGATGGTAGCTTGGACCAAGATGAGAACAGGGTAGTTGATGAAAAGCAGTCACATTCTCAACAATTTGATGGCAAATAAAACAAAAGTTCTGAGTCATTGGTCGTGAAGTGTAAGAGAAAGAAAGAAGTCATGAATGAAGCTATGGCTTTGGCCTGAGCAAAGAATGAGCTGCTATGAACTGAAATGGGAATAATTGTGGGAGGAGCATCTGTGAGAAGGAAGATCAGGCTTTCGCTTTTGGAATGATTAAGTTTGAAATGTCTTCTGAGTATCCAGGGCATGGAGTTAAATGTAGATGTCTGGGTTGACTGTATACATTTGGGAGTCACTCGCATGCACATAACATTTAAAGCCATGCTAGTGGATGAGATAATCAAGGGAATGATTATAGATAGAGAATCTATCTAGTTAGAGAATTACTATAGATATAACTAAGGCTCAAGTCTTGGGATGCTCAAACACTCAAATATTTAGAGTTTGGAGAGTTGAGGAGGAAGCAGAAAAATGACCAGGAAAGATCCACCGGTGAGGATCAAAACCAAAAGTGTTCTTTTGAGTCCTGGGAGCCAAGTGGAGAAGGTGTTATCAAGGGGGGAAGAAGTGATCCATCCTATCAAATGCTGCCAATAGATCAAATAAAATGAAGACCAAAAAATGACCACGAATGAGAAGTTGGATCTAGCCACATTCTGGTCATTGTTCACCCTGATAAGAGCAGTTTTACTAGAGGCAGACAGAGTGAAAGCCAGATTGGAAAGTGTTCAAGGAGGAATACAAGAAGAGAAATTGGAGACAGTAAATATAGACAACACTTCCAGAGACTTTTGTTGTAAAGGAGTGCACAACAAAGGGTCATTATGTTAAGGAGATGCAGGTATAATTTAAAGATATTTTTTAAATGTGGAAATTCTGGTATGTTTGAATGGAAATGGGAATGGCCCAGGAAACAAGGAACAATGCATGGGAGTGGAACTTCCACAGTGATACCCTTGAGGAGGGAGAGGTGATGAGATCTGGTACCGAGGGTGAGGGGTTAGTTTTGGCTAGTAGCATGTTCATCAATAGTTAACATAAGGGAGGGCAGAATCAGGGCCCAGATGTGAGTCGATACAGGTTTATGGAAGTTCTCTGAGAGCACTTAGAGCAATGGGAAGCCAGGTCATCAGTGAAGAGTAAAAAAGAAGATGGGGTAGTTGGAAATTTGAGAAGAGAATAGAAGATATGAAGAGTTAACCTATTAACAGTTCTGTTGATTATTTTTTACTTTCCAAATTTGACGTTGTAAAATAGGAAAAAACATCAAACTGACTGTTTTCTCCTGCTGCATTCTCACCATGATACTCTCAAGACTTTACTTCTGTGATGTGTAGTCCTCCCTCCCCACCCCGACACACCAAGCAATTCTCTGGCAGACACCAGCACGGTGTCCTAAATTTAATTCAACTCTGACACTGTCTATCTGGAATTAGAGTCAGATCTCACGGATCAAGGGCTCAGTCCCACAAGACTGCCCTCTACGTCAGATACCAATGGCAAGTCTGGGGCTCTGAACTTCTGACCAACTGGAGATGAATTGTGGCCTCCTATAAAGCCCCTCTTCTGGCTCAAGCATTTGTTGGAATGGCTCACAAAACTCAGGAAGGTACTTCACTTATGTTTACCTGTTTATTTCAAAAGATCTTACAGAGGATACAATTGAGCAGCCAGATGGAAGAGATGCATAGGGGTATGGGGGTAGCGGCACAGAGCACGGAGCTTCTGTACCCTCTCTTGGGGCACACCACCATCCCAGCACCTCCAAATGTTCAACAACCTGGAAGCTCTCCAAGCCCCATCCTTTTGGGTCTTTATGGAGGCTTCATTATGTAGGCATGATTGATTACATCATTGGCCTTTGGTGATCAATTCAACCTTCAGCTCTTCTCCCCTCCAGGAGTTGGAGTGGGGTGGGAGGTAGGGCTGAACATTCCCATGGCAACCAGCCCCCATCCTGAGGCTATCCAGGAGACCCCAGCTAACCATTATCATTAGCATACAAAAAGACACTTATCACTTCAGAGATGCCAAGGGTTTTAGGAGCTGTATGCCAGGAAATGGGACGAAGACCAAAATATATATTTCTTATTATAAAACATGATATCACAGACACTAATTATTTTATGGCAGAAAATATACCATGGAAAATAAGCTTGAAGATCTTTTCTTTTGAGTCAGATACATTTGGGTTTTTTTCCCCAGTGGTAAGCATATGTAGTTGACATATTGTGTTGCCTTTCACTGCATGCCTCTGGCTTCATGTAGGACCCACGTGTGAAGCCTGTGAGTTTGATTGCACTGCAGGAGGACCCCCTAAAGCTACTGCTGCAAAATGCTCCTAGAGCAAAGGCCCTTCAGGGTCCAGGTATGATAATTCTATAGCGTTTTCTTGGTCCTTGAGCTTTTTTTTGGTTCTGGATTGAATTGGGCATTTCATTTCTGGGATTCCTGTGGATTTCACAATGGTGAGTGTGAAGCACAGCTTAAACAAAGATGTAAAAGGCTGTAGGGAAAAAGGAAAACTGAGAACACAAATACATTGCAAGGAGTCCATAGCTGTGGGAGCAAGCAAGCAACACAGCTGCAAGGAGATGCTGCTGGGAGCAGCTGTTACTGTATTTTGAAGCACCACTTATTTTAATTGAAGGACAATTGGATAATAATATTGTGCAATAATGGTGCACCTTTGTGTGAGACCTTTGGAGACCTCCCCACGCATGATGTAATATGGCCCCATATAGTTAGAAGAAAGAGCCAGGTATAGCTGCCTTATTTTGCAAAACAAATGAAACTGGGTCTACATCTTGCAAGAATATTCTGAAAGAACCATTGCTCTAGGCCCCTGATGCAGCAGTGCAAATAAGAGTGACCATCTGGAGAAAATTGCTGTTGGGTGACTCTTCAGACTATCCAGGGCAAAAGTAGCCAGGAGAGCAGTCAGTTATGCATGTATATTTTTCCCAAGGTAAATAGGTTAAAAGGGTAGGGTGGTGTCAGATATCCAGGCAAGTAAAGGTTCTTCTGAAAGCAACATAGAGCAAGGAACTCACACCAAGAATGCAACATAGAAACATAGGACCACAGGATTTTCAGTATGCAAGATACCTTTAAGATGGTCTAGGTTAGGTCTAGTTCATTCCTCTTTTAGCTCTTTGAAGTCTATTTCTAAGGCAAAGTTTCCCCCAGCTATGGACTCCTTGCATATGCCTTGTCAGGGCAAGAAAGAGCCAACTGGGATTGAAGTAGAGAAATTGAAATAGGCAATTAAATGGATGTGCTCAGGGAAGGGGTGAATGTAGGCAATTAGCTAGGTAGATCCTAAAAATCCAGTAGTTTAAAGTAGAACTCTTCCCTGACAAGGTGAATTCAAGACTATCTAGGGCAAAATAATTTCCTTTCTGACTTATTCTAGACCAGTGCTCCTCAAATATTAATCTGCATATGAATCACTTGGGGGTTTTGTTAAAATGCAGATTCTGATTTACTGGGTCTGGAGTGGGTGCCAAGATTCTGCATTTTTATAGTGACCCTCTCTTTTGGTTCAATCACACAGGTGACCATGGTACTGCTGGCTTGGAGACCACACTCTGAGGGGCCAGAATAGAGGCAATTGCTCAGCTCTCCATTTTTGTGTTAAACGCATTTACACCCTCACTGATTGTTTGGTGTTACATTATCTTCTTTCAAGGAGAATTCATTTGCATGAGGTATTTTTAGCTACAAGGGTTCTCTTGATGAAGCATAAGTGAATGTTTCTCTTTCTAGAGGAATGGCCATAGCTGGGAGGGGCATCCTCTGTGGTGGATGTGGAGCCATTTACTAGTTGCCACCTACTGGTTGCATGACCTAGTATGACCTTGGGCAGGTCACAACCTCTCTGGGCCTCAGGTCCTTCATGGATGAGAATGAGATGCATACACCTTGCTCCGTTTACTTCACAGGATGGTAGTGACGATGTGAGACAATGGATGTGAAGCTGCTTCCCAGAGTAAAAATGTGTTCTTATCATCCTGTTATTTATGCCCAATATCCAAAGTCTACACCCTTTTTAATTGACAGCACTTAGTAGATTTGTAATGTGTGATAGGGAGGTTAGGCATAATGGTTATAGCTGTGCTCTGGAATGCTTGCGTATTTCCTTAATTTGACTCATTTCTGCTTTGAAGGGGGAGAGGCGTGTCACCTCCTTATCCCAATCTCTGTATTTCTGACCCTTCTGAGATGGCAATGTCCCAGGCCATCAGGACCCAAATCCTACATTTAAGGAGAGGACTGTGATTGTGTTGAAACATAATTATTGCACACGCTGTCATTTTCAAGTCCTAAAAAGCAGTTGGATGTTTTACACATGCGTTTTTCTGGTTACTTCCAAGTATTGAGTATGATTCCCATTTCAGAGATGAGGCAGCAGGGGCCTCAGAGAGTTTATGTAACTGGTTCAAGGCCACACAGTTGATCTACACTTCTGCAGAATTTCAAGTGTTGGTATGCCTGACTTCAAAGACTGCCTTGATTTCATCATGAGAAGCTACCGTCCCTCTTCTTGCCCAAGGATTCTCACAGTGGAGTTCTTGTGAAGAACCTTAGCCTGAAGCCTTGCTTCAGATGGCCCTGTGGCAGGGCAGCGAGAGAGTGCTGGGGGCAAAGTGGCCTGGCTGCCTGATGATGCATGCCATATTTGAAGTGGTTCACCTCCATGTCACAGGGCATGGATATGGGAATAAGAGAGCAGGGTCTGACTTTTTCTGAGGGAGAAGTTATCAGTGACAGCAGGAGACCAGTCTCTCTACAGGGACGGTGCCCAGCTGTCACTAACAAAGGAAAGGAAAGCCACTATCAGGGAAGGGAGAGGTGACCTCCACCCATGTACTGAATCAAAAGAGACTGGAGAACAACTCAAGAGGAAGAGTTTCGGGAAATGCATGTAAATTGGATTCCCTAGGGAAGGCCAGTGCGGTCAGTGATAGTCTGGGTATTTATCTTCCCAACAGTGGTCTCCATCCTTGTCATGATATCTGTATTTGTTAGTCACACTGCATTAGTCTTACTCTTGCAGGCTTGCTTTGTGGGGTGTGTTTTATTCACCACAATCCTCAGAAGTGTTATTTCTATGATTTATTGCCCTTTGGTGTTTATGTTCCTCTCCCAGTTTTACCTTTCTTCAACCATTGTCTAACATTTTAGCATTTGACTTTCTGTATTTCTATAAGAAGAAATTTGTCTTCTTCTCATATTTATTTTACCATTTGTTTTGTTCTCCCAACATCTTTCGCTCTCAGAATTTATCTCTCTTATTTTGAAAATATGTCTCAGAATATGGTCTTTTTCTTTTCCCTACTTGCCCTTTATTTGTTTAATGTTTCACATCTTTTCTGTGCTTTGCTCCTAGCCTGGAGCTTGGGCTTTCGGAAGGGGCATTCTCTGGGGTGGAAAAAGCCTTGGCTGTTTCCAGCAGACACGGCTTTGGTGCAAGCTGCTTTATATCTCCACGCGCCTCAATTTTTCAATCCATACAAAAGGGGGATATTAAAAGCCCAAGAGATAAACTGTGATCTCTGCTTTGTCTCAGAATAGCTCTGATAGTTGCCAAGAATGAATATTTAGTTTGACGACAGTAAAAGGGACGTTCTTGCTAAGGATATAGTCTGTTTTTCATTTTTCTTATCAGCGTTAGAGGGAGGGCAGGTCTACTTGTGTCATGTTTCTGTAATTTTCTTTTTGACACATCTAGACTGCTACAGGTTCCTCAGCAGCAGCAACAGTTATAACATCAGCATTTTTGCAGCTTTTAATGAATATGCAAATATATGTGTCAGAATCACCGTTTTATCAAACATAATGATAATCCCAATTAATGGACATTAACATTTGAATAGCTACATTATAGCTTACTAGGCACATTCATAGGTCTTTTCTCCTTTGATGCTCACAATAATCATGTTAGGATTATTATCCCATTTACTAGGGTGAAACTGAGACTCAAGGAGATTAAGTAACAGCTAGTAAGTGGCAGAGCCAGAATCTGAACCAATTTCTTCTAATTCCCAGTTTTGTGTGCTTTCCCGGTATAATGTTGCATCCACATTTATTTTTGTCTATAGCATTAGATATACTTTTGCAAATTACTTCTCATTCCTTGGGCTTTCTTATGTGGACTTCCTTGTCTGGTTTCACTTAGCCTAATTTTTTTCATCTATCTGTCCTCATCAGAGCCTCTTCCTCTAGGCCAGCAACTGTCACTAATGCGTGCCGGAATGGGTGGGTTGTGGTGGCTGCTGCTTTCTAACATCATTAATTTCCAATCTCTTTTCACACTCTCCACTGTAGAAAATGCTTCATCCTTTCCTGATCAACTCGAGTTGTCTCTGATGGCTGAGTGCGGGAAAGTTTCCAAGGAGAAGGTTAATAAAACATTCCCTTCTAAAACCAACCCCTTCCCTGCCCAATGACTAGCTCATAAAAGTTCAGCCTGACTTTATGGTGATAGTGGCTGCCCAGACCCAGCCTCCCTTTCTGCTCTGTGCCTTTAAGATTTCTCTGGGCTGGGACCTGAGCTTTCATAGGGATTGGTACTCTAAGAGACACCCTGCTGGTGTTTAATAAATATCAAACTGCTGCCCTGATATTCCTGAGCAATTGGAAGAGCCTGTGTGCTGTGATCAGACAGTTCCATCCTGGGTACGTTTTTAACACTTGAATTTCCTCTGGGGACAGCTGTTAGGGGACTTCCGTCATCACGCCAACTGGGGCAGTGATGTTCAAACTCCCAACACATCTGCCTAAATCTCTTGTCATTTCAGAGTGAACCTTGGCTGTGAATATCTCAGGCTGCTTTTGTTTTCTAGTCGCATGCTACAGCAAGCTCACAGGTTCACTGGCGCTCTGATGTGGCAGCTCACCACCCTCGTGGCTCACATCCCTCCCCACTGACCTCACAACCCAGCCTTTCTGAGGTGCCTAATGCAGCAATTTGCAGAGGAACTGTTGCATGACTTTCCCTTCTCCTTTCTTCTTGTGTACTCTCTCTGTACATCTTTTGTTCTCTCGCCATGGCTCCCTTTTTCTGAGAAAGGGGAGAGAGATATAAATAAATTCATGCTGAACAAATAAAAACATATCCACACTTAATGTACTTTCGCTTACACCTACCAAAATTTTCTTCCTGAAATTCTTCCAAAGATATTGTTTTGCTCTTTTGCTCCAAGAGTCAGTGTCATATACTTTTCCTTATGTTATCCGTCATCTCCGTGTACTCACTCTCCATCTCCAAGTCCAATTCAGAATTATCCCCTATGTGCACAGGACTCTCCATAGAAATGCTCTTCCTAGCATTTGTCTTTAGGCCAAAATACTTCTAAGCTTGTACTCCATTCTCTCTTCTTGCCTTCCTTTCTCTTTAGTTCACTTTTTTCCTTAGTTTCATTTATACACTTAGAATTTCCCTGGTTTTATATATCAAAGATTATAATAAATGTAAAAATACTTTGTAAACTGCTGAATTCTGTATCAATATATAGGATTATAAAATCAATGTATTATTATATTCAAGGTACTTTGACCAGAAAGTACTTTCTTCTTTTCACAGCCTGGCTGCAAATATTACTCAAGAAAGACTCAGAGGACAGCTACATGCTCCTAACACTAGAAGGGGTTGATAGTCATCAAATTAGGTTGCAGATCATCACTGAATTATTATTGAGATTTTGCTGACCTGTTTTGTAAAGGAGTAATATTGCCTTCATTAATTGCTCCAATTAATGGCCTCTCTGGGTCCACAGTTTTTGCCATGTGAGTTGCCACTCTTCCCATCAAGGGGTGGAATCTATTTTCCATTCCTTGAATCTCAACTAACCTTTGTGACTTACTTCAGCTAGTGGAATGTGGTGAAAACAATGGTGCGCTGTCTCTGAGTCTATGCCTCAGGAGGTCTTCCGTTCACTTTCTAGCTTCTTCACCTTCACTGTGATAAGATGCCTGCAGGAGCCTGACAGCAAGCCTGGGCTACCTTGCTAGAGCATGAGATACAGTCTGCAGGCATCTCATGTGAGACATGTGAGAGTGCCCAGTGGAGATCAGCAGAATCACATGAATGAGCTTAGGTGAGACTAAAAGAATTACCCACCTGATCATGTATATTAGGTTCTACAGAGAAATAGAACATATATATATATATTTATATATGTATCATTTATATATATATATATTATATATAAAAAACACACAGACACACACAAAAGTGATGTGGAGGAGAGAGAGAGAGATTTTGAGGAACTGGCTCATACAGTTGTAGGGGCTGACAAATTTGAAATCTGCAGGGTGGTTCAGCACATAGGAAATTCAGGCAGGGTTTCCATGTTGCAGTCCTGAAGCAGAATTCCTTTTTTTTTGGAAAACCTCAGTCTTTGCTCTTAAGGCCTTCAACTGATTGAATGAGGCCCACCTGCATTATGGAGGGTCTTTGCCTTTTCTTAAAAGCTACTGATTGTAGATTAAAATTGTGTCTAAAAAATATCTTCACAGTGACATCTAGACTGTTGTTGACTGAAAACTGGGCAATGTAGCCTAGTCAAGCTAATGCATAAAATTAACCATCGCTCCATGTACCTGTGAACAGTGACAAAAGTTTATTTTTAAGTGCTGGATTTATTATATTGCGTTATTGTGACAAAAGATATACTAAGCCAAAATGCCTCTTTACTTTTTATGACCTAATTTGATTCTCAATAAAACGCTGATCTCCACTGACATGGTGAAGCGCAGAGTCCAGTGTCAGGCTGCACCCCTACCTGCGTTTAATCTGCTGGAATTCAGACATGCTAAAACTGACTCAGGGTGGGAGCTAATATTTGCTTATTTTACTTTCTATCAGAGAGGCCTGGCATCTGGAGGAATGTCACTCTGAGCTCCCAGCCCAGTAGACAATGCAGCAGCCACCAGCCTAGTTCAATCGTATCTCCTCTTTCGTTGCCTTTCTGAGTATGAGAGCATGGAAGCAGTATTTTTTTTGATCTGCAGTACCTGATGCCTCCAATTTTTCCCTCAGTTTCCTTCTATCAAAATTAGCTTCTACACAAGACTGTTATCAGTCACTTACTTCTTATTATAACTGTTCTGTTTCTATTCCAAGGCATGGTTGCATCTCTAATCTGGATGGAAAAACTCTATTCCTTACAAAAAAATGCTCAGGCAATACATTTAGGTAAGGGAGATCTTTTTATGAAGGTAAGGGGAAAGGAGGCCTTCCATGACTCCTGGAATCACCCACTGCTATGTATAAGCCATGAAGGGCAACTGCCTTTTGGCAATGTAAGGCTGGGTGCAGGGCTCTCACCTGTTGTTTATGATCTGAACATCATTTCCTCTTTTTGAGTTACTGAAATGAGTTCAACAGGAATGCTCAGAAGTCATCTTCCCTAGGAAGTTTTATCTAATTTTTCCCAGAGAACAAATCACTTCTTTTGCACTGTTGAGGAAGGCTTGTTTAATTCTATTTATTCTTGATTATTCTGTCTTGGGTTGTAGTTGTTTGCATCATTCCTGGTCTTCCACTGGATGGTGAGCAAGTTAGGTGCAAGGATCTCTTCCCTCCCTCTCCTCCTTTTTCCTTCCTATTCATATATTAGAGAAAAAGCTTCTCCTGGTGCTGGGCTTGGCCTCAGGAATAAAGATAAAATACAGTCCTGAGTTTAAGGAGTTCAGTTGTTGTTGGGAAGAGCCTTGTACATTGGAAATTCCAATGCAATGTAATGAGGGCAATGGTAGATACTGATTTGAGTTTTATCAGCTATGATAGCAAAATGCTTCAGCTCTGTATTGGGGCTTACCATAGGAAAGAAAAGAACACACCCTTTACACCATTGTAAAGCTTTTTCTTTCTTTTTTTTTCTTTATTTCTAACCAATAACTTTTGCGAATTAGAAAACAAAAACAAAAACAAATCTTTCTCTTACAGGCATGTAGTGGAGGTCAATTGTCTTTTCTGCAGTTTGCCTCACTTCTCTTATGGAACTGCCATGAAACCCCATCCATGGGCAATGCTGCTATTGGATCCCACTGATCACAGGGATGGTCATGTAACCTAAGTGGAGCCAGTTAGAATATTTCTCTGGGCCTTTCTTTTGAAATGTATTCAAGGAAAGAGATTATCTTACACTCTGACTGTAAAGATGAGAAGACGTAAGTCCTATAATTACCAGTCGCCTTGAGTTCAGCCTCATGGAGAAACACAGCATGAAGAATTGAAGGTGACATTCACAAAGAAGCTAGTGAGGACAACAGCTGGGTCAGCATTCAGTCTTTGGCACGTTCTATCTGTGGTTTTATCATGTGCCAAAACCTTCCCTATGCTGCCTAAGCTTGTTATGTTGAATTCCTTGGGAAACACAAAACTTTGACTTATTCATGCTCTGACTCAACAGTTTCACTCCAGCCCTACCAGTACCTCACTTCCCAAGAGTCCACCTCATACCTTGAGTGTCAGAGACATGGACCTTTTTTTCAGTTGAAAATGTGACAGGAATAAGTATTTTATATCTTTTTTATGAAGACTTGAATTGTATCAAGCCTTGGATTTAATGGCATATTATGGAGTCTATGATAGAACATCATTTGGCTCTTTGATAATTTGTAAAACAATAGAATATGAGCAGGAACATTCTTGGATTTGGTTTGTGGAACATGAGAGAATTAGGCTTTGTAGCTTAGAAGATAAGTTCCTGAGAGCAGAGAAGCAGACACATCAATATATTTGATTACCAGTAAACAGAGAAAGGAGAGCACAGGACATTTTTAGTTGACATTGAGGAGAAGGGAAAAGGAGAGAGCAGAACTTAAAAAAAAAGAAAATATATGTTTAAATTATGATACAGCAGCCCCTCAAGTCAATTTCTGTAGTTTAACTGCCATTTCTTCTTCAGAATCATGAAGTAATTTATAATAACATAGGTGTCCTAGTTTGAGTATTAGATGTGATACATTTGAATTTATAATTGCATAAAAATTTTATTATTATCATCTCTAACCTCACAAAATTATTGAATTCTTACTGTTTGCTTAGTTCTATTTCATTTAGGGTCCTATATAAAGAAATACAAAACATGGGTTTTGCTGCCACATTTTTTCTAACATTATTGGAAAGACCAGACATTCACTAAAAAAGATAAAGAAAGTTGCAAGGCAACTTAAACTACACAGCAAAGAGATGTTATCTGCACAGGTGTTGAGAATACTGGTTCAGGGGAGCTCATGGAGGTGAAATTTGAAGAGTAGAGCCTTGCTAGTCAAAATACAAGAGGAACACTGGGTTAAAAAAGAAATGAAAAGGGAATTTAAAAAGTATTTTGAGATGAACAAAAATAAAAACATACCTTAAGAAGAAAAGATTTTCTTTTAATTCACAAGAGTTGTGGGTTAGAATGAAAGAAAAAAATAAAGAATAAGCTTTATAATAGTGTATTCTTTCCTTTCCTATAGTGAACCCCAATACAGAGATGAAGCACTTTGCTATAACAGCCAATAAAACTCAAATCAATATCTACTATATCCCTCATCACCTTGCATTAGAATTTTCAGTGTACAAGACTCTCCCAACAACAATTGAACTCCTTAAACTCTGGACCCTATTGTGTCTTCATTCCTGAGGCCAAGCCCAGCACCAGCATACAGGAGACGAATTTTCTCTAATATATGAATAGGAAGGAAAATGGAGGAAAGGGAGGGAAGGGATCCTTGCACCCACTTGCTCACCATCCAGTGGAAGCCCAGGCATGATGTAAAAAACTACAACTCAAGACAAAATACTCAGGGATAAACAGAGTTAAACAAGCCTTCCTCAACAGTGCAGAAGAAGGAAAAAATTAGATAAAACATCATACAGAAGATGACTTTTGAGCATTTTCACAGAACTCATTTCAGTAACTCAAAAAGAGATGATATTCAGATTATAAAAAATAGTAGGAGCACTGCACCAGAGCCTTAGATTGCTAAAGGGAAGCCAGTTATTTAAAAAACAAATAAATTGGAAGACCCTTAGCTAGACTAACTAAGAAAAAAAGATAGAAGGCAAATAAATAAAATCAGAAATGAAAGAGGAGGCATTTCCATAGATGCCACAGAAATGAAAAGAATCATTAGGGGTTATTTTGAATAATTACATGCCAACATACTGGATAACATGGATGAAAGAAATAAATTCTTAGAAACGTGCAACCCGCCAAGAAGGAATTAAGAAATATACAACTGAACTCGGGAGGCTGAGGCAGGTGGATCACTTGAACCTGGGTCGCAGAGGTTGCAGTGAACCAAGATCGTGTCACTGCACTCCAGCCTGGTGACAGAGTGAGACTCTGCCTCAAAATACAAAACAAAAACAAAAACAAAACAAAACAATAAATATACAACCGGAACAAATTATTGGGCAAACTTTCCAAGAAAGAAATGTCCAGTATCAGATGGCTTTGTGGCGGAATTTTACATAACATTGAAAGAAGAATTAATGCCAATTGTTCTTATACTCTTTAAAAAAATATTAGGACCAGGAATACTTCCAAACTAATTTAATGAGGCCAGCATCACCCCGATACCAATGCCAGATAAAGACAGAAGAAAGAAAGAAAACAAAAGCTTCAGGCCAATATCTCTGATAAACATAGTTGTGAATATTCTCAAAAAATACTAGCCAACTAAATTTGACAATACATCAAAAAGTTATACACCATGATCAAGTGGGATATATTCTTAGAATGCAAGTTTGGTTTAAAATATATAGGTAAATGTGATAAAGGACATTAACAGAATAAGTTCAACATCCTTTCATAATAAAAATTCTCAACCAAATTTGTGTAGAATTTTTTTCAACACCATAAAAGCCATGTATGAAAGACTCCCAGATAATATAATCAATGGGGATAAACTGAAAGCTTTTTCTCAAAGATCTGGTAGAAGGCAAGGAGGCCCACCCACCTCACTTCTATTCTACCTAGCACTGGAAGTACTAGCAAGAGTAACTAGACAAGAAAAAGAAATAAAAGACACCCAAATAAGAAAGAAAGAAGTAAAATTATTTTTACTTTAGATGACATCATCCTATATGTAGAAGACTAAAGACTCCAAGATAAAAAAGCATCCCTACATGAACTAGTAAACAAATTTAGTATATTTGCAGGATACAAAGTCAATATGCAAGAATTGGTTTTGTTTCTTTACAGCAATAACAATCTATGCAAAAAGGAAATCAAGAAAACAATTCCATTTATGATAGCACCAAAATGAATAATATACTTAGCAATAAATTTAACCAAAGAAGTAAAAGATCTGCCACACTAGAAAATTAGAAAATGTTGATTGGTGAAATAAATTGAAAAAGGTATAAATAAATGGAAAGATATGTTCATGGATTGGAAAATTAATATTGTTTAAATGTCCATACCACCCAAAGCAATATACAATTTGTTTTTTGAAACAGGGTCTCACTCTGTCACCCAGGATGGAGTACAGTGGTGCGATCTCAACTCACTGCAACCTCTGTCTCCTGGGTTCAAAGGATCCTTCCACCTCAACCTCCCAAGTAGCTAGGACTACAGGCACACACCACCATGCCTGGCTAATCTTCATATTTGTTGTGGAGACACTTTCATCATGTTGCCCAGGCTGGTCTCAAACTCCTGGGCTCAAGCAATCTACCTGTCTCAGCCTCCCAAAGTGCTGGGATTAGAGGCATGAGCCACCATGCCCAGCCGCAATATACAAATTTAGTGAAATGCCTACCAAAATTCAAATGGCATTTTTCATGGAAATAAAAAAAAGAATTCCAAAATTTACATGAAAACACAAAAGACCCTGAATAGCCAAAACAATCTTGAGAAAGATGAAAAAAGTCGGAGGCATCATATTTCCTCATTTCAAACAATATTGGGAAGCTATAGCAATCAATAGAGTGTGCTACTGGCATAAAAATAGATATATAGACCAATGAAACAGAACAGAGAGCCTAGAAATAAATCCAGACATATATGGTCAACTAATTTTCAGTAAGGTCACCAAGAGTACAAAATAGGGAAAGAATAGTCTCTTCAATAAATGGTGCTGGGAAACTGCATAGAAAGAAAAATGTTGCCTGATTAGATTCCACATATAAGTGAGATCAGGCATACATTATGCAGGTTTGCTATATAGCTAAATTTGTGTCAAGGGGTTTGTTTTACAGATTATTTCATCACCTAGGTATTAAGCCTAGTACTTATTAGTTATTTCTCCTGATCCTCTCCTTCCTCCCATCCTTCATCTTCCAATAGGCCCCAGTGTGTGTTGTTCCCCTCTATGTGTCCATGTGTTCTCGTCATTTTGCTCTCACTTATATGTAAGAATATGTAGTATTTGGTTTCCTGTTCCTGCATTAGTTTGCTAAGAATAATGGCCTCCGGCTCCATCTATGTTCCTGCAAAGGACATGACCTCATTAGGTTGATTCTATGTCTTTGCTATTGTAAATAGTATTTCAATGAACATATGCAAGCATGTGTCTTTGTAATAGAATAATTTACATTCTTTTGGGTATATACATAGTAATAAAATTACTGAGTCAAATGGTATTTTTGTTTTCAGGTCTTTGAGGAATCACCGCACTGTCTTCCACAGTGTTTGAACTAATTTACACTCCCACCAACAGTGTATAAGCATTCCTTTTTCTCCACAAGCTTGCCAGTGTTTGTTATTTTTTTACTTTTTAATAGTGGTCATTCTGACTGGTGTGCGATGGTATCTCATTGTAGGTTTGATTTGCATTTTTCTAATGGCAAGTGGTGTTGAGCTTTTTTTTTTCATGATTGTTGGCCATGTGTATTTTTTTTTTGAAAAGTGTTGTTCATGTCCCTTGCCCACTTTTTAATGGAGTTGTATGCTTTTTTCTTGTAAATTTGTTTAAGTCCCTTATAGGTACTGGATATTAGACCTTTGTCAGATGCATAGTTTGCAAATATTTTCTCCCATTCTGTAGACTGCCTGTTCACTTGCTAGTTTGCTGTGCAGAAGCTCTTTAGTTTAATTAGATCCCATTTCTCAATTTTGGTTTTGGCATCTTTGTCATGAAATGTTCCCTCATTCCTATGTCCTGAATGTGTTGCCTAGGTTGTCTTTCGGGGTTTTTATAGTTTAAGGTTTCATATTTAACTCTTTAATCCATCTTGAATTTGTTTTTGTATATGGTGTAAGGAAGGGGTCCGGTTTCAATCTTCTGCATATGGCTAGCCACTTATCTCAACACCATTTATTGAATAGGGAATACTTTCCCCATTGCTTGATTTTTGTCAAGTTTGTCAAAGATCACATAGTTATAGGTGTGCAGCCTTATTTCTGGCTCTTCGTTCTGTTCCATTGGTCTATGTGTCTGTTTTTGTGCCAGCACCATGCTGTTTTGATTACTGTAGCCCTGTGGTGTAGTTTGAAATTGAGTAGCATGATGCCTTGAGCTTTGTTCTTTTTCCTTAGGATTGCCTTAGATATTAGGGCTCTCTTTTGGTTTTACATGAATTTTAAAATAGTTTTTCTAGTTCTGTGAAGAATCTCAATGGTAGTTTAATAGAAATAGCATTGAATTTGCAAATTGCTTTGGGCAGTATGAAAGCACCACCTCCAAATACCGTTAGCTGAGGGGTTAGGATTTCAACATACATTTTCAGGGATCATAAATATTCAGAACATAGCACTGTGCAAATCAAAACTTTCAGTTACCTCCTTAGAACTAAAAATAAATAAAAGAATATTTAAATATTTAAAACATGTAGTGTATAATATTTGGAAAACCTCCTTTTTTTTTCTCTGAAGTAGGTTAAGCAGGTGCTCCTAGGCCAGGTATGATGACTTACACCTATAATCCCAACACTTTGGGAGACCAAAGCAGGAGAATCATTTGAGAGTTTGAGACCAATCTGAGCAACATAGTGAGACCCCATATCTACCAAAGAAATTAATTTTTTTTTTTTAAAGTGGGGGACAAGATGGCAGCCTAGAGCAGCTCACATGAGCTGCTCTCACAGGGAGGAAACAAAAAGACTAGTGAACACTGAACCAATCATATGAGAAACCACGTCAGGATCTATCAAGGCAGCAGAAGTCACAAAGAGCAAAGAGGAGCAAAGCTGGACATTGGCCTCTCTGGACTCATTTGGAAGTCAGAGAGACTCTTCAACATGGGAAGGGGTGAGTGAATGAGACCCCCGGGGGCATTCACAGTCTCCACAGGGACCTGTGCAAGACTGGGAATGGGAGAATTCCCTTGGCTCTCCTGCACTCTCTGACCGTACTTCTACCCTGAGGCAGAGAGCTACCTGGACATATTGCAGGAACAACTTTTGAATCCAAGAGGACCAGTGCCGGAGCAGACCAGCACTGGTGCCATTGACCCAATAGAGGCCACACTTGTGGTGCCTGGCAGCAATGATTGCTCCATCTCCACTTGCCAGTCGGAGCTGGTGGCTTCCAGCCCAATAGTCCAGCTTTGAACTGCACTCACTGGCCACTCTATCCATACCCACCACTAGTAGCCAGGGAGGCAATGCTTGCTACAACTTCCGGCGCAGGGGTCCCACTCTTATGTGAATTCAGCAGAAGGACACAGCCTCCTGTTGTCCTGGGAAACACCAAGATGGCAGGATGGGTGACTCTACTCCCCTTCACCACTAGAAGACAGGCAGGCAACACAAGATAGAGCTTCCAGCCTAGCAGTCTGGCTTTTGTATGAACTCAGCTGAAGGGTGCAGCTTCCTGTTATACCAGGAAAGACAATGGCAAGGTGCGTGACCCCACCTTCCCCTACAGCTGGTAGCCAGGTAGGCAATGCTTGCTGGAACATGCAGCCCAGTGGTGTTGCTTCTGTATGAACTCACCTGCAGACTACAGCTTCCTGTTGCCCCAGGAAACACCCAGACAGATCTGGTAACCCCACCTGCCACCACCACTGGTAGCCAGGTGGATAATGCTTGCTAGAAATTCTGGCCCAGTGGTCCCACTTCTATGTGGGAAGAGTCCCACTTCAGCTGGAGGGTGCATCCTCTTGTCTTGGTAAAGACCTGGATGGCAGGGTGCATGACCCCACCCACCACTGGCACTGATAGCTAGGTGGGCAATGCCTGCTAGAACTTCTGGCTCAGTAGTTCCACTTCTGTGGGAACTCAGCTGGTAGGTACAGCCTCCTGTTGTCCCAGGAAGCATGCAGACTTCAGAGTGGGTGGCCCCACCCACCCCCACCACTGGTAGCCAGGTGAGCTGTACCTGTTAGAGCTTCCAGCCTGGCAGTCCTGCTTTTGCCTGAATTTGCCAAGGGGTGCAGCCTCCTGTTGCCCTGGAAACACCCAAACAGCAGAATAGGCAACTCCACCCAACCCTGCCTCTTGTAGTTAGATGGACTATACCTGCTAGAACTTTCAGTCCAGTGGTCTTGCTTCTGCCTGAACTCTGTGGGCAGGCACAACCCTGTGTTTCCCCAGGAAGCACACAGACAACAGACCCAGCAAGGATATGGCTTAGTACTGACCCAGCAAGGATATGGCTTGTCTGCCAAATGCAGTTCCTCCTGCCTGAGGGAGCCCAGTGGACCAGAACATCCAAAAAGAGCAATGCAGGCATGAAGACACTAATTGGTGGGGGTTCTCCAAGACCCAGGAGTGGACTAGAATTGAAGCCAGTTGACCAAACCCACCTTATAACATAATCAAACCCCCAAGGGCATCAAAGAAGATAAAATAAAAAATTAAAAAAAACTCATCCAAAGGACATTAGCTTCAAATAATGAATAAATCTTATCCCACACAGATGAGAAAGAACCAGTGAAAGAACTCTAACAATTCAAAAAAAGCCAGCATGTCTTCTTACCTCCAAATGACCACACTAGTTCCCCAGCAATGGTTCTTAATAAGACTGAAATGGCTGAATTAACAAATAGAATTCAGAATATGGATAGGAATAAAGATCATCAAGATTCAGGAAATAGTTGAAACTCAATCCAAGAAGTCTAAGAAATACAATAAAATGACACAGGAGATGAATGTTGAAATGGCAATTTTAAGAAAGAATCAAACTTAGCTGATAGAACTGAAAAATTCACTTCAAGAATTTTTAAAATACAATCATAAGTATTAACAGAAGAAGCAACCAAGCTGAGGAAAGAATCTCAGAGCTCAAAGACCTGCTCTCTGAAATAACTTAGTCAAATGGAGATAAAGAAAAAATCAATAAAAACTACTAAACAAAACCTTTGAGAAATACAGGAGTATGTAAAGAGACCAAATCTATGACTCATTGGTGTCCCTGAAAGCAAGCAATGTGGAAAATATATTTCAGGATATTGTCCATGAAAATTCCCCCAACAATGCTAGAGAGGACAACATTCAAATTCAGAAAATGCAGAGAACCCCTGTGAAATACTACATTAGAAGACCATTCTCAAGACACACAGTCATCAGATTCTTCAAGGTAGAAATTTAAAAAATAAAAACATTAAAGGTAGCTAGAGAGAAGGAGCAGGTCACCCACAAAGGAAACCCCATTAGGCTAACAGTGGTCCTTTTAGCAGAAACCACACAAGCTGGAAGAGAATGGGGGCCTATATTCAGCACTCTTAAATAAAAGAATTTTCAACCAAGAACTTCATTTCCAGCCAAACTAAGCTTCATAAGCAAAGGAAAAATAGGATCCTTCTCAAACAAGATAATGGTAAGGGAATTTTTTTTTTTTTAACCATCAGACCTGCCTTACAAGAGGTCCTAAAAGAAGCACTAAACATGGAAAGGAAAGGCTGCTACTGGCCACTACAAAAACACACTTAAATACATAGACCAGTGACACCATAAAGCAACTACATAAACAAATTTACATAGTAACCAGCTAACTACATGATAACATGAAGAAATCTGCATACATCAATACTAACCTTGAAGGTAAACGGGCTAAATGTCCCAATTAAAAGCCACAGAGTGGCAAGATGGATAAAGAAGCAAGACCCACCGATGTGCTGTCTTCAAGAGACCCATCTCAAATACAATGACACCCATAGGCTCAAAGTAAAGGGATGAAGAAAAATCTACCAAGCAAATGGAAAACATTAAAAAGCAGAGGTTGTTAGTCTAATTTCAGATGAAACAGACTTTAAACCAACAAAGATTTAAAAAAAAGACAAAGAAATGTATTACATAATGGTAAAGGGTTCAATTCAACAAGAAGACCTAACTATCCTAAATATATGTGCACTGAACACAGGAGAACCTATATTCATAAAGCAAGTACTTAGAGACCTACAAAGAGACTTAGATAATCACACAAAAATAGCAGGAGACTTCAATACCCCACTGTCAGTACTAGACAGATCATCAAGGCAGGAAGCTGGCAAAGATATTCAGTACCTGAACTTGACACTTGACCAGAAGGACCTAATGATATTTATGGAACACTCCACCCAAAGATAACAGAATATGCATTCTTCTCATGTGCAAAAGACACGTACTGTTAAACTGACCACACAATTGGACATAAAACAATCCTCAGCAAATTTAAAAAGAAACAAACAAACAAACAAAAACAAACAAATGACATCATACCAAATACACTCTTAGACCACAATGCAATAAAAATTGAAATCAATACTAAGAAACTCACTCAAAACCATATAATTACATGGAAATTAAACAAACTGCTCCTGAATGACTTTTGGGTAAATAATTTAATTCAGGCAGAAATCAAGACATTCTTTGAAACTAATGAGAACAAAGATAAAACATACCAGAATCACTTGGACACAGCTAAGGCAGTGTTAAGAGGGAAGTTTACAGCATGAAAAGCCAACATCAAAATACTAGAAAGCTCTTAACAAGCTACCATCACAACTACAGGACGTAAAGAAACAAGAGCAAACCAATTCCAGTTAGCCAAAGACAAGAAATAACCCAAATCAGAGCTAAAATGAAAGCAATTGATATGCAAAAAAACCATGCAAAAATCACCGAATTCAGGAGTTGTTTTTTTTTAAATAATTAATAAGATAGACCATTAGCTAGAATAATAAAGAAAAAAGGAGAGAAGAGCCAAATAAACACCTTAAGAAATGACAAAGAGGACATTACCAGTGATCCCACAGAAATACAAAAACTCTCATAGACTACTGTGAACACCTTTATGCACACAGGCTAGAAAACCTAGAATACATTAATAAATTCCTGGAACATACAACCTTCTAATTGAACCAGGAAGAAATTGAATTCCTGAACAGACAAATGATGACTTCAGAAATTGAATCAGTAGTAAGAAGCTTACCAACCAGTAAAAGCCCAGGACCAGACCGATTCACAGCTGAATTCTGCCAGTTGTATAAAAAAAGCTAAAACTGAGGAGAGACTCCTCCTAACCCATTCTATGAGGCCAGCATCAACCTGATACCAAAACCTGGCAGAGACACAACAACAACAACAACAACAACAAAAACAACAAAATTTCAGGCCAATATCCCTGATGAACACTGATGCAAAAATCCTCAACAAAATACTAGCAAACCCAAACCAGTACCACAACCATGTAGGCTAGGCTTTATTCCTGGGATGCAAGTTTGGTTCAACATATGAAAATCAATAAATGTGATTCACTGCATAAACAGAACTAGAAACAAAAGCCAACAACACACACTGGGGTCTACTTGATGGTGGAGGTTGTGAGGATGGTGAGGATTGAAAAACTTCCTATCAGGTGCTATGCTTATTACTTGGATGATGAAACAATCTATAGGCCAAACCCCTGAGATATGCAATTTACTCATATAACAAACCTGTACATGTAACCCTGGACCTAAAATAATAAAAAAAAATCTTTAAAAAGAAAAATTAAATAATGAAGCCCCTGATTTCTTCCCTTCTTTTTCCCCTTTCTATGATATTATCAGACCCCAATGTGGTCTTTTCATTCATCCACTTCTATTCTACCCAGTTCTAGATTGCTACTACCCAGTAGACCAGTAGAGCAGGCTGAGCCTTGCCCAAGCCCTTCTTTTCTCCTCCTTTTTGATGCAATATCTATCATTCACTTGCTTAATAGATTTTCCTTTCTTTCCTTCTTTCTCTTTCTTTCTTTCTCTCTTTCTTTCTCTTTCTCTTTCTTTCTTTCTTTTTCTTTCTTTCTCTCTCTCTTTCTCTCTTTCTTTCTTTTTCTCTCTTTCTTTCTTTCTCGCTCTCTTTCTTTTTCTTCTTCTTGTTTTTTTTTTTTTTTTTTTTTTTTTTTGACACAGTCTCACTCTGTCACCCAGGCTGGAGTGCAGTGAGGCAATCTTGGTGGGGTTTCACTATGTTGGCCAGGCTGGTCTCGAACTCCTGTCCTCAAGTGATCTGCCCACCTCAGCCTCCCGAAGTTTTGGGATTACAAGCATGAGCCACTGTGCCTGGCCCCAGATTTTCTTTCTCCATAAGTGGAACCAAGGTAATTTTCAGGCTTGCCAATGTTTGAGTAATCCCATATTGCTAATCAGTGGTGTCAAAATGTAAGTTCTCAAAACATTGTCAGAATCTGAATCCTGTTTGGCACACTTAGCATAACTGAGCTTCTTCTTGTTCTTTCTTTGGAAACAAAATCCCACTTGTCCAAAAAGGAATGGCACAAAAATGAACCTGAACTTTGGAGTTAGATATCTGGATTGAAATCCTGGCTTACTGTGGACTAGGAACCCACTCTCTCTCAGCTGGTGCTCTGGGAACCAGCACTGGACAAAGGAGCTGGGTGCCTGGGCTCTTGGCTCTTTCTGTTTAAACCAAAAGGAATTGAAATCACGTCATGAATTAAGGTGGGCACTGAATCAAAGGAGGAGAATAACATGAGAAATTTATAAGAGATAGGCAAACAAGTCCAACGTGAAGATTCACAGCAGGCATCTGCAAGCCAGACAGGACAAAGCAGTGCAGAGAGTAAGTAGGAAGGGGTACCAAGAGATGCGACGTGATTACTCTATAAACAAAGAGATAGCTTTTTTTTTTTTGAGACGGAGTCTCGCTCTGTCACCCAGGCTGGAGTGTAGTGGCACGATCTCGGCTCACTGCAAGCTCCGCCTCCTGGGTTCAGGCCATTCTCCTGCCTCAGCCTCCCGAGTAGCTGGGACTACAGGCGCCCGCTACCACGCCCGGCTAATTTTTTGTATTTTTTTTTTTAGTAGAGACGGGGTTTCACCGTGTTAGCCAGGACGGTCTCCATCTCTTGACCTCGTGATCTGCCCGCTTCAGCCTCCCAAAGTGCTGGGATTACAGGCGTGAGCCACCGCGCCCGGCCAGAGATACCTTTTTCAAAGGCTGCTGTGGCCTCCCTCAAGCTGGGAAGTGGGACCTTTCTGAAAACTATGTGTCTATTCTTGGACAGATAGCTCTAGCCTCTATCGGCCTTCATATCTGCAAAGTGGTTATGGTGCCTACCTCACAGACTCAAATGAAGTTAGCCGGCACATAGTCGGTGTTAAAATAAATAAAAGGCACGCCCTCAAGCAATTCTGCATGGCTCTGCTTTGCTCATTTGAGAAGCTTCCTGCACATGCAGCAGGCTGAAGATAATCTCTCTGAGATGCTCAGAACCTCATAATGGCCTGAATCTGCCCACTGCCACCGCTGATATTTTTCAAGTAGTTGGGCACAGGTTCCCGCTCCAAATCTCTTCTGTCCTTTCAGGACTTTCCTTTTATATTTCTTTCTTAAACTTTTCACCCTCATTAAATTAAGCTCTGGTTTTTGGCAAAACCTTGTTCCTGTGGGAATTCTTTAAAAGTCCCATGTTGAGTTAAAATAAAATATTTTTTCTGCAAGTACTATGGTAGCAGACCTTGTCTGTGTTGAAAGACCTGGAGTCCACTTAGCCTTACGTAGCCCATGGACGTTTCAGTTTGATATCTCAAATTATCCTTTCACTGAAAGCACCGGGGAGGCTGAATTGTAACTAGTAGGTTCTTTTAGATTTGCTTTACTTCTTGGATAGAAACAGCTCATTATAAATCCATTCCTTATTGTGCATTTGAAGACAAGAGGAGGAGATCATTCTTCCCAAACCAAAGCCTCGCCTTTCCTTTCAGTCACTCGAGCTTTCTGATGTCCTGTCCTGTATCTCCACCAGTGCCTGCCCGAGCTGAGAAAAGAGCTGTCTTGAGGATAACAATGCCACGTGCTTTCAAACAAGCCTGTCCTCATATCTGCCACTTTGGCCTTTCTTCTTTTTTGCCTAATAACTGTGATTTGACCATTATATTGGCTAAGATTAGCTTTTGTTATTTAGTGTATTTTCACAACACTCACACATCTTGTGGCAAGGGGACATGACCAATGCGTTGTTACTGTAACAATGCTTTACTGGGTCATAAAGCCAGCGAGAAATTATACGACTGCTAAGAATTGTGAGGAAATTTGAAACTAGCTATCTTCGTTGTGCATTGGAACGATGTTGGCTGAGAGGCTGAACGTCTATGTGCTGTGACTCCTCTTCCCACCAGCTCCTTTGTTCCCTGCTGGTATCTGCTCAAACCTAAATTACCTGTAGTCCATTCTGAGACTCCAGAGTATTTTTCGGGAGCCATGAATATTACATGCAGATTGAAAACGCAGAGTTTATTCATTTAAATATTTATTTATTTATTCATGTACTCTCAAAAGTTTCTCAAGCACTAGTATTTGCCTGATCCAGTGTTAAGGATATAACAAAGAATACCTCTCAGTTTACTAAAGAAATGAAACTGAATTTTAGTATAATGTGTGACAATAAAAATTTCTGTGGAAAACACTGAATACAGCACAATAGTCTGGAAAAAAACTGTGGGCAGAGATAAGAAACATTTTAACAGAGACAGTGATTTCTGAGTTGTGTTTCGGGAATGAATAGGACTTTGGGACATGGTCTGTAGGTGATTTGTGGTTGAGATGCCTGATAGCTAGAACCAGGTACCTAGCCTTGGACGTGATACAGCAAAGATTCTCAATCTTGAATGTGCATCCAAATAAATCATTTGAGGATCTTGTTAAAATGTAGATTCTGATTCTGTGGGTCTGGGATAGGGCTTGAAAGTCTGTCTTTCAATAAATTGCTGATTAAAGAACCACAATTTTATATGTCTCAAGGTTTTTTTATATAACTAAAAATGTTGGTATTAATTTCAAACACACAGCTGGACATGGTGGTGTGTGCCTATAGTCTTCAGCTACTTGGGAGGCTGAGCCTTGAGTCCAAGAATTTGAGGCTGCAGTGAGCTATGATTGTGCCACTGTGTTCCACCCTGGGCAACAGAGCAAGACTCTGTCTCTTTTTAAAAA
Source organism: Homo sapiens (assembly GCF_000001405.40). NCBI lineage: Eukaryota > Metazoa > Chordata > Mammalia > Primates > Hominidae > Homo > Homo sapiens. The sequence continues at coordinate 127,213,515 of NC_000011.10, forward strand.
ATAACAAAATAAAATCCAGCCTGACAGTTAAAAGCAAATTCAAACTTACATAAAAGTTGCAAGAAATAGTACGTTTGCCCAAACTCAAATACACCAGTGGTTTATATTTTGCACTATTTGATTTATTATTTTTTCTCTACATATTTATATATAATTTTTTTCTGAACTGTTTGGAAGTAAGTTGGTGACATTTGCCCCTCTAGCTTTAAATTCTAGAGTACATGTTTCCTAAGAGCGAGGATAGTCTTTTACATTTATCACAATCAGGAAATTTAACATCAATATTAAGTAACAACTATTTAATCCACAGGCCATAGTCTCATATCAAATGTTCTAATAATGTCCTTTATAGCAATTTGTCCTCCTTGATCTAGAATCCAAACCAAGGTCATGCATTGCATTTGGTTGTTGTCTCTCTTGAGTCTCTTATATTTTAGACCGATTGCTCAGCTGTTATTGTCTTTCTTGACCTTGACAATTTTGAATAGTACAGGGCAGTTATTTTGTAGAATGTCCCTGAGTTTGAGATTGTCTGATATTTTCTCTTAAATTAATTTTAATAGGTATTATTGGCAGGGATATCACAGAGGTAAGGTTGTGTCACAGACCAGTAAGAATCTGGTCAATGCAGGGCTGGACACCAGGAATGACTGCCAGTGTCTCAATCAAAAATTGCTCCCCTGCCAGAAGCTTTGCATTACCTACCGCATGGCTTGGCCCACCCTGCCTGGGGAAGACAAACTGGATCTTAGATTCACTTTGAAACTTGAAATAATAGATCTTAATTAAGTTCCAGGCTTGCCTTTGCATCTCGCCATTAAGTTATGGCTGTTTTTCCTTGCTCAGATAGCCCACTTCTGGCTTCTTTTTATGTGGCCTGCAGTTCTAAGTGGTCAGGCTCTGTCTCCATCTCTAGCGTCCTCTCTTAAAAATCTTGCTCTGGCCATGTTATTAGGATGTTATTAGGATGGAACTATGGAAGACTGGATGCTAGACGAGCCTGGCGACTTCAGGTTCTCCCAATGATTGTGCTCCTCTTCTCTCTAATTCTTCATTTCTGCTGTTTTTTTCTGTCTAGAATTCCCTTTTCAATTCACCTCACCCCTGCCAACTTCTTTATAAAGCTCTTTCATTCCCCAAATCACCAATTCCTTTGCTTATTAAAGTTTGCAACACCCTGCATAGATATCAGGATCAAGAAATGCAGTCTTGGCCAGGCGCAGTGGCTCATGTCCATAATCCCAGCACTTTGGGAGGACGAGACAGGCGAATCACCTGAGGTCAGGAGTTCGAGACCAGCCTGGCCAACATAGTGAAACTCCATCTCTACTAAAAATACAAAAATTAGCCTGATGCAGTGGTGGGCACCTGTAATGCCAGCTACTCTGGAGGCTGAGGCAGGAGAATCACTTGAATCTGGGAGGTGGAGGTTGCAGTGAGCTGATCTAGCGCCACTGCACTCCAGTCTGGGCAACAAGAGCGAAACTCTGTCTTGAGGACTGGTATCATGCAGAACTGCTACAGGACAACCAGAGGCAGGGCTGGGAGGCTGTGGTGTGTGCAGTTAAAATCAAAGGCTCCGTGTCTGACAGATTGGCTTCCTGGCTATGGGAACTTGACAAGATATTTCTCCTGTCTAAGCTTCAGTTTTCTCAAAATTAAAATAGGAATTACACAACTACCTATTTTTAGGGTTTTTGAGAAGAATAACTGAGATAATGCCGGTCACTGATTTACAGACTGTCTGTATTAGGATAGAAATTGCAGAAACACTGACTTGGTGCTGAATCAGGGAGCTCGTATTCCTCTTGCCTAGGGACAGAATCAGTCTTAGAGGCTGGGGTAGGGCTAAACCTGCAGATGGTGGCAAAATGGCCCTAGCTTCACTGGCCAGGAATATTCGGGGCCCGGGAAAAAAACTAACCCTTATGAAACTATTAAAGCCTTGGCAGCAAGGGGGATTGGAGCTGGACAGGGCACATTCCAGGACAAGAGTGCTTGTGTGGCTCCTAACCTCAGGAACAGTATTTGGGACCAGAGGTTTGGGGAGTAACAGAAGCAATACTTTAACAAGATTTTTAATGAAAATCACCAATGACTGTGTCAATCTGTTGTCAGAGTAAACTTCCTGTGGTGCCTAAAAAGAAGTGCTCAGGAAAACAATTCTGATCAAAGCCTGAATTCCTTTGTCACAGGCATTTTCTCTGCAACACACCCAAAGGCATTTTGTAAAATAGCAGCAGTTTCTGAAAGAAGGATGTGTTAATAGGATACGGTTTGGGTGTCATCAGCTCGTTCCCAGAATGGGTTTCACGTCAAGACAGACATCAAAATGGAGAATAGAGATGAATTCACTCACATGCTGGCACTTGATGGAGAAAAGGAGAAAATCAAATGTTTTAGTGGCCTGGATACTACAACTCTTGACATGAACATTTTTAGCTCCACTTAGCTCTCTCAAACTGACGGGGTTATAAAATCATTCTGCAAGACTGACACCATTGTTGGGTACAGTTCTATTCTGCCTTGAAGTTTGAAAGTGTAACAATTAGCAAATATTTACTGAGCGTCTACTATATGCCAACACTCTGCTAGGCATGAAAGGGATTGGAAATTTATGTAAAGTCAGTTCCTCAGTGCACATTAGTAACAAAAGTAGCTTCTGCTTGGAATATCTACCTTAGGCTATTTCAAATCATCATCTCATTTGGCCCAGGGTTGATAATTCTTATCCCCTTTTAATAACAGAAATCTGAGGCACAAAAAAAAAAATTGTCCAAGGTCATTCGACAAATGACTGAGCTGTTATTCTCAGCTGTTATTCTGCTTTTTTACTATACTATGCTACCTGGGAAGAGAATATATTGCACATATTAAAAACAGATTCAAAAGAATGTATGATAAATGTCAAATAAAAATGAATGTTCTTTTTTTCAATTTGGAGTCGGTCCATTTAAGAGATGGAGAAACTGAGGCTGGCACATATTCTCAGTAACTCTAGAGAATTTGTTATTGAGGGAGGAGGCCTCAAGTGCTTGATGCCCAGCGTAGCTTTCTTCCCATTAACCCTTGGCATTGTGATGTTTGCTTTGCAGGATGAACTCTCTACTTTCTGGACATCTGTGTCCTGCACAGATGGTGTCTGTAGTGTTAGTGTGACTCCCCTCAGCTACAGTTTGGAGTAGGCCAGTGTCATCACTCATTCTAGGTGGCCCACCTCCTGCCAGGGTTCCTCACGGTGCTGGAAGCAAAGCAGCTGAACATTGCCAGAGAAAGCCTGTCTGCCTCACTGTGAAGTGGATGGAAATCCCAACAGGATGGGGAACAGACTGCTGGGAGATTGATGTGTGCTATCCGCCCTTGCACAGAGAGGAATGGCCACCCTGCTATCGCTGCCTCCTTCCTGCTCCCTGATGAGTGTAGTTGGCTGTTTGGGGTGGCATTGAAGGAGTGTGTCTGGGTTGATTCAATGAGGGACATGGCGCTGAGATGGAACATTTCTGTCCAGAAGGGATGAGAGAGGCATGCCAAGGAGTTATGGTGGAGACATAGTGCTGTCCAATGAATTTATCACTGAGCATCTTGTTCCCATTCCCTAGAAAAAGAAAAAGAAAGAAAAAAAATAAAAAAGCTAAATACCAGGCAAAGAGAGTTAATCTGTGTCCACAGCATTTTGAAATAATAAAATCAGAGCAGGCTCACTGGATACCATCCATTTCCATTTCACGCTCTCAGAATCTGAAGACAGACCGATGAGTTTGGCTGGCAGAGTTCTTTCTTTCTTTCTTTGGCTAGCTCCCTGACTTAGTTCTTCCTGCTGGAATGGTGGGAAGAAGTCTTAAAGGCTGGAAGTTGGATTTAGGAAAACAGCACACCAGGGGTTCACATCCTTCCTCTAGCATTGAGCAAATCCATTCGGGAAATCTCAGCATCGCTCTTCTCTGTTCTGTCTGTATTATATACTTCCAGATGGGCTGGAAGGGCACCATCTCCAAGGGCACTGCCACAGAGAGCTTCTTGTTCTGATTATTCCACTGAGTCATGACAAACAGACTGTCAGGGGGAGTGTGACCTGTGTGCGAGTGGCTCAAGCTCTCCTCAGGCACAGCTTGCCCTGGTGCCCAGACCTGCCTGAAATCCCTGAGCCTACTGCTCTGAGGTGCACTCAAGTTCCCTGATCTTCTGGGATGGAGGGATAAGGCAGGTCAGGGATAACCTGGTTGCCTTATAAGATCCGGACAACTTTGGTTCCACAGCCCAAGGAGAAAACGAATAAGAATAAGAAAAAAAATGACATCCAAATCCTCTTTAATCAAAGCATTTGAAAGGACCTGACATGCAGTCATTGTGCTCCAAATTTATTACTACAACAGAACCTGGGAAATACTAATGAAATAGCTATCTGCTAGAACACAATGCGCTATTTATGGAAATGCAGCTCTGCAGTGCAAGGAGAATACAATGGGGCCTGAGGTGGGGAAAGGACTCTCATACTTTAGGGTTTTCCATTGCCCCATCATCATCATCATCAGGCCCAGAGCAACAGCAATAACAACGTCTTTAACAACAGACTCTCTTTTCAGGCCCTTCAAGGGACACCACGCCTTGACGTAGGCTTTGCTATCAGTAGCTCCAGTCTCTGGCCTCTGAAGCCATGTGTGCACTTAGGAAGGGATAGGGGAGGAAGTCCTTATAATTACCATTAGTTGAGGACTTACCATGAAGCAAGATTTACTAATTTTATTTTAGTCAATGCTCATAGTATTTCCATAGTCCTAATTTTGCAGATGACGCAATTCAATATCATAGGTATTGAGTAATTTTTACCCAAAGCCACATAACTTGCAGCTGGACAGGAATTTGATTCTGGCCAGTCTAACTTCAAAGCTTATGCACTTATCTTTCCCCCACAGACTGTGCAATGACTTCAGTTCATGATTTTTGGACCCCTTTCAATAAGTGAATGAAAGATTTCTTATGAACAGCGTCCTGTCTCCTACCTCTTGTGCCGTGGGCTGACAAAGGAAATCCTTTGCTTCAAATCTCCTTACATGCTGGGGTTCTTTCTATGTGAAGTACAGAGTTAATCAGTTAATTAATTAAACAATTAAACAAATACTATTGAGTACCTACTATTTGCCATGCACTGTGCTAGATGCAAAAGAAACATGTGAAAAAGGCACATTAAGTCCTATTCTGGAAAGGAAATAACAAAGTTAAAAACGCACTATTAAAGAAGAATCAAAATAATTACAGTGTGTGAGTAGTGCTACTTAAAAAACACTGAAAGAAAACAGGGTACCGGGATAGATAATAATGAGAGCAGGGAAAAAAATATTTTCATTGAATGCTCAGGAAGCTGAATTCAGGTCTGTAGGATGAGACACTTTCAAGCAGTTGCAAAACATGGGAGAATAAATGCTAGGCAGAAGAAATATCCATGGCAAAGTCCCCAAGGTGGGAGAGAGCTTGCCATGTTTATGCTAGGAAAGGAGGGCCAAGAAGCTGGGGCAGGGTGAACCAGAGGGAGAGTTACACAGACTAGACACAGCAGGGTAGCTCAGGCATGTCTCGTTGACCATGCTGTGGAGTTTGGAGCTGGTTGTTCTAAGTGCAATAGGAAGCAATGTAAGGATTTACAGAAGGAAAGTAATACATGCTGATTACATTTTGACAATTACATTTTAATAGGAAAACATGTCTGTGCTCCAAAATTTAAAAAATGAGTTTTTATGGTGTTTCCTTATCTCTGGCCTTCAGCCACCCATCTCCCCCACCAGGTTGGTGTATATCCTTTTGTATATACTCTATATACGTATTCTATATATATTGCATATGTTTATATATATGTGTGTGTGTGTGTGTGTATATATATATATAGGATTAAATATGGATATATTGAATGAACACACATAAATACCATTCTACAACTTGTCACCCTTTTTTTCTCTCACTTTATAATATATTTTGGAGATTATTATATATCAGGACATATAGAACCTTGCCATTTATTTAACAGCTGTTGATTGGTCTGCATAACATGGTGGTTAAGAACATAGGCTCTGGAGGCAGACTGCCTGATTTCAAATGCTGTTTTGTATGACCTTGGGCAACTCAACTTCTCCATACCTTGATTGACACATCTAGTAATGGTAAGATGAAAGCGCCCACCTCATAGGATTGTTATGAGGATTAAATGAGTCAATACATGTAAAACATCTAGAACAGTATGTGGCACACATGGAGTGAATAGGCTTCGGCATGTGGCATACATGGGGTGAATAGGCTCCTGCATGTGGCCCGTGTGGTGTGAATAGGCTCCTGCATGTGGCACACATGGTGTAAATAGGCTTCTACATGTGGCACATGTGGTGTAAATAGGCTCCTGTCTGTGGTACATGTGGTGTGAATAGGCTCCTGCATGTGGCATATGTGGTGTGAATAGCCTCATGTATGTGGTACACATGGTGTGAATAGGTTCTTCCATGTGGCCCATGTGGTGTGAATAGACTCCTGCATGTGGCATATGGGGTGTCAATAGACTCCTGCCATTATGAGTGTACCACAAATTAACCAGCCCACTGTTGATGGTCATGTCAGTCATTCCCGGTGTTTGCTTTTATAAATGTGACAATGAAATATCCTTGTAGGTATGTCATTTCACTCACGTGTGAGCATGTCTGTATAATAAATATTTAGCAATGAAATTATTGGGTCAAGAAGTCATATCTCTAATTTTGGTAGGTGTTATTAAATTTCTTTTTATAGACTATTTTTCAAGTTACAAGTTCACCTACTATGTATCATCAAACTTTTTTATATTTGCCAACCAGATAGGTAAATAACATATCTGATTGTAATTTTATTTTCTGTTTCTTTTAATTTGATTGCGTCTGAGCATCCTTTTTTATATTAAGAGTTATTGCACTCCTTTTTTTGTCAGTTCTCTGCTCAGGTCCTTTGCTTATTTCTTTTTATGTTGTTTCTCTTTTTCTATTTAACTTTATTTGTGTAGTGGGTAAGGATGTGGGTTCTGGAAGAGACTGTCTGGCTAGAATAATGTTTCTGCCTCTTGTTAACTGTATGACCCTGGGCAGGTTAATAAATCCCTCTGTGCCTCAGTTTCCTCTGGATAGCCTAGTATTTATGTTATGTGGTTATTGTAATGCTTAAATGAATTATGAGAAACTGCACTATACAAACAGACAATGGCCAGATCATTAATACAAATAGAACTCTGACCCACAATCTGCAATAATGAGGCCAGGCAGCCAAGACACATTCTTTGTACAATTGGTCCTGATTGGAAGTCGAAGCAAAAATTAGGGAAGTGATCAAGTACTGATTACATCTTGGCCCCAAATCAGTACTTGACTGTTTCCCTAATTTTTGCTTTGACCTCCAGCCAGGACCAACCAGAAAAAGGCAACTATGCTCCCCTAGCCAGTAACATAGGTGCCCTGTTTCAGTTAGCCTGCCACCAGCTTGCTCACACCAACAATCTCCAAGTAGGACACACCTGAAGCCTTCTCTTGTTTTCTCTACAAAGGTTTCCCTCCACCTATATCTGCCTCTGCTAAACACCAGTGGTGGTGGTTGACTCCCTCACTATAGCTAGCTCTGAATAAATTGCTTATTGTTTCAGTGGTCTTCATTTATTTCTGCAATCAGTCTATGTAAAATGCTGAGAAGAGAGTTTGGCATATAGTCAATATAGTAAACATCCAATACCCCAGGTGATGGTGGTTTTCTGTGGTGTGTGGTGTATGAATACTTTTTCTCATTTTGTCTTCCTTCTTCAAATGTAAGCTCCTTGAGGGAAAAGGCTGCTGCTAATACATTTTGAAATCTTCTACAGAGCCTAAAATAATGCCTTAGAGCTGAATGAATCATGCCTGAATGTCAAGCAAGCCTAGGAGTTCAGAGGCTGGTAATCATATTGCAGTTTCAAACATTAAGTTCATACATTAACCACGGGGAAAGTTAGATAGAGGAGGGGCCATTGCTCCATTTACACTGGTGTATGGACAAAAAAATAGATGGGAAAGGGCTGAAAGATAGTAAGGTATTGTAAATCCAGAGGTGTGAGCTGTGTGATTGCTCGCAAATAATACATATCTTTAGTTTCCTCCCATGTAAATTGGTGTAATGCTAACTGTACAGAGGTATTGTGAGATGTGTGTGAATGACATTATAAGCAAGTCCCCAATAGGGTTATTTTTTGGTGAGTATTTGTTAAGTCATCTGCATTTATATAATATCTTACTCTTTGCCAAACACTTATCTCTCTATGAACTCATGTATTAACCACAGTATACTGTAAAGGTAGATAGAACCAGAATTGTTATTCCCATTTAACATGTTAGAAAACTAAGGTCCTCAACCATTAAGGACGTTGCCCAAGGGTGCAAGGCTAGTGTGTAAAGATGGTGCCAAGTGTTAATCTCAGGCTTTTGATTCCAAATTCTATGTTTAGTCCACTAAACTCTACTGCTTCATAGATCCTCTTTGCATATTTGTACCTCTTTTAGATAATTTTTTTAAAATGAAAGTTTACTGGGCTTCTAAGACCCTTCTGGGGAAAATCTAAAGGCCAAAGTGCCAGGAGCTATGCGTCTCTGCATCTCTGACATCATTTCCATGAGGGGCAAAATCCACCAAGTGGAGCGAGGGCTGCAGAGCCTGTCCGTGCCCACCACACTCCATTCCCTGCCCATTTGATTCACCCCTGCTCACTGGTGCCATTTCCCCCAAGGCCCTTGGCCACTGCAAGAAACAGCAGCTGTGGCCATCTAGTTCATGCCACTGATTAAATGGAATTTATGCTTCAAATTTGGAAATAGATGCCTTCTTTCCAAGGCAAAACAGCTATCCAAAATCAGGCAACCGAGCTCATTGAGCTTCCAAAGACTCTTCTTTGACCATACACTCCTCATTCCATTCCAATCAGCCTTTATTGAACATGTACTATGTGTTAAGGACACAGAGACTATATATCTCTGCCAAATCACCCCTGTAAATATTTCCTGAGCACCTACGAAGTGTAAGCCCATGTGTTGTGTTCATGTATGGAGAGTATGAGGAGAAATAGCTGAGGACATACAGAAGACAAAGAAAATGGCACCCTGGATTAAAAAGTGAACCCAGTGAAAAGTGAGACACTGGGATACAGGAGAGCAACAAAGGTTAGGGGAAGTCAAGAAATGACTGAGATCCTAACTCTCCATCTATGCATTAAGATCTTTAATGGAAATGAAGCCCATACCATTTTAACAACCCCCCAGATTATACTGCTTCTGCTTTCCTTTGAATGGTCTTTAAAGACCATTCTATCTTTGGAAGCTGAGTTGAAGAGAGCTCAGAGATTCCAGAATCCTGTAATCCCACACCCTAACCATCACATCCCTAACTTACGCTAGACTCCAGACTAATTTTTTAAAAATAATTTCAACTCCCCTTCCCTAGTTATTCTGCTTGCAGCTTGTTGGAACCACCCATTTTGGCCCCTAATCATATGTAACCATGGGTCTCCTCATTAGACCACTGGCTGCTGTGAACATAGACCCATTTCTTTCAGGCATCCACACTCTGCAACAAGGCTTACTGTGTTAACTTGACTTATGGGATAAGAGAGGAACTTGGGGCTCCCCTCCTCTCCTGCCATCCTCAAGGGATGCAGTGCTGCTTCATGCTGTCTGCTTTTGTGAATATCTGCAGGGCTTTAAATAGAATCCTGTGGGAATAACTCCTTTTAAAGGGAAGTTGAAAGCACTTAACTCAGCCAGAACTCGGTATGCATCAAAGGTATGTATCTGCACAGCAGGCACTGTTCTCTTAGTCTTGCTCTGGTCAGAATTGACCACAAATGTCCTTTCATTAAGTGGTTGTTAAAAGCCTTATTTTTGAAACACAGGAGGAAAAAAGAATATAAAGAAGAAAGGAAAAAAAGGAGTCTGAAAGTTTTCTTCAGAGGCTTCATCATTCTAAAACTTATAGGAGTGCTTTCCTAAAATTATGGGAATATGAGGACAAGAAAGAAGGTAAGCAAGGTAATTATTATAGTTCTTAGTATTATCTCTGAAGAAATATAACTTGGTTAGAATCCTTATTATTCCTGTTCCTAGCTATGTAACTTTGGGTAAGTAATTGGACATCTTTAAGCCTCAATTTTGTAATCTATTAAACAAAGGTAATAACTGTAGCTTCTTGCAAAGGTTTGCCGAGTGGATTCAATGTAATGAGCAGTATAAGGAACCCAAGAGTAGGTTTGTAGGTTTGTGGGCACACAGTAAACCTTTCCTAAATGGTAGTTGCTCATCATCATCATCGTCGTGATCATCATCATCATCGTCATCGTCACTGCTGTCATCATTCCATTCATTTTGTGAACACCTGATTAGCCTTCTTTGTTAGTCACTGTGGTTGGCTCCACCAGGGTATAAAAATGAATCCAATTGTGGTTCCCACCATTGGGGAAGTTCAGATCTAAAAGGGAGGATAAAACACATACAGAAATAACATTAATACAGGATAGGAAATGAGAGTGCAGTATGGAGTAGGTATGAAGTGCAAAGAGAGAGCAGAGCAAGATAAGATTATTTTCAGCTGGCAGCAGGGTAAGAGGTGTGTATTCAGGGAAAGTTTGATGGAAGAGAGGAGTGTTTTGTCTGGGTCTTGTTGGATAGATAGGATTTGACATAGCAAAGGAAAAAAGTCATTCCATGGGGAAGACACCGCACCATCCAAGCCATGAAAATTGAGAGCAAATTGAAGGAAAATCGAGTAATTCAGTTTGGATTGAGCATAGGTTGTTTAAAGAGAAAAGAAAAGTGGGACAGAATAGACAGACAGATTGAGAACAAATCACAGAAGCACTGTAGTCATTTTTAATAAACATATTCCCATCAGAGAGTCTCAGAATTCTTTGTAGGCACTCAGAAGAATTGGAGCCAGAAACCCTTGGCGACTGTCCACTCTGCTCTCTGGATTCTGGGAAGAGCTATCTCTGCAGCCCTTAGATGTGAAATCATGACTGACCCCATGCTAAAGCTCTGCAGGGGCAGCAGAGCAAGAACTCTTTTGGGCACCTGTTCAGGTGTCTCAGGGGCTGCTGAAGAGATGTTGTCTGGTCTCCTTTGCTGAAATATAGAGTCATATTCCAAGTACACATCCAATCACTCTGCTTCTCCTTTCTATTCCTCTTTTGTTTGTTTATATAAAACTATATAAGACTTTATGCCTGTGAAGAAAATCAGGGTGCTTGCCATTGACTTTTAGGATGGAATGTGGTAATGGGAACAAAAATAAAGTGTATTGAACTCCTGTTATGTGACAAACGTTACCTTAGTGGTTTTCTTGTATTAAAGTTCACTTGGTTTTCATGGTTACCCCAATATACAGTGTGTACCAATTTTTTGCAGATGATGAAACAGATGTTCAGAAAAGTAAAACTCCTGAATTTCCCAAAGTCTAGTAGCCAAAAAGTGACAGAGGATAGTTTCATATGTAAACCTGCCTGGTTACAAAGCATAAGCCTAGTCCACTTGGAAGTCTATCACTGGGTCCTTTGAGGAGTTATGGGTTTTTTTCAAACTAAAATGAATTGCCTAATTGTCAAAGGATAGCCATGGTAAGAGGTGGGCAATATTTCTTTGTCCTTTTCCAGCTTATAGCTCCTTAACAACTTTACCCGGGGGCAGCAATTATGGTTGCTTTGTTTGCCATTATATATTTAGTATCTAGCATGTTCTCAATAAATATTAATAGAACCAATGAATCCTGGTCTCAATCCAGCTTTTGTAACTCCAGGAGGTAGTGTGATACACTAGTCAGTCCATTGACTTTAGACTTACCAGAGTCCAAAGACTTGACTTTACTACTGTTTACCATGTGCACTTGAGACATTTTAAATCTACCAGAGCTTTGATACCCTGTTCTGTAAACTAAAACACCTAAATCTGTTGTAGCTACTACGCAGAATTGTAGTGTGAGGGTTAAATGAGATAATTTCATTGAATAAATATTTTCTAAGCTCTTGCTTTGCACAGGATAAGGCATGGACAATGACTACAAATAATGAGACTGTGAAGAAAACTATTTTTATACAAATAAAAGTCAAAGGGCTGTTATTATATACAAGGCATCATCAGCTTAATATCAAGAAAACTTCACCCCCAAGACCTGCAGAGTTCCCTACTGATTTTTTTCCCTCCCTGCTGAAAAATTGAGCACATTCTTTTTCTCATGACATTTCATCTAAATCAAGTTGTCAGGAAGGTGTAATTTCTTCTAGGTGTGCGTATGAAAATAGATAGGCTGCTTTTTCCTTGGGGTCATTAGCACTTACCTATTTTCTGGATCCCTGGTTTGCTGAAAGCAACAATGGATGACATTCACAATCAGAATGACTGGCTGAATGTGTTTCCTGGTACTATCACAGTTTTGTCCCTTGGCTTCCCCCAGAATGCCTAGTAAGTTTATCAGAGGCCCATAACACAATTTTTCTCCTGAATATGCCCACATTCTTATTTCTAAGATTGAGACATCTCTGAAAATCAGCAGTAAACCCCAACCCAGAGATTAGGTAAAATTTAGATCAAAATTTCAGAATTAGAAGATGATTTAGTAATCATTTAGTTTTACAGATTAGGGACCTCAGATCCATCCATTCATCCATCCATCCATTTATTTACTCATTAATTCAACCTATATTAATTAGCCCCTGCTAAATGCCATGTACTGGGAATAAAATATTAAATGAGTTGGGGGTTCTTAATTACCACACCTTGATGATATTTTATAATCCTTATAACAACAACAAGAGGAACTACTTTTTGTGTGTGCCACATGATCCAGAGGGCTGCTTTCTCATGCATTATTTTATTTAATTCTCATAAATATATATGAAGTAGGTTTTATTATTTCTATTTACAGATGGTAAATCAGAAGCTTAGGGAGATTAAGCAACACACCAAAGATCATGTAATTAGTAACCGAGTTAGCATGGCAACCCAGCTCTAACTCCAAACCCACACTTTTGACATTACACAGGGAAGTTCCAATAGTCCAGAGAAGTGGAGTGATTGCTCATGAGATCATGGGAAAGCTATTGCAAGAGCCAGGATCTTATGAATGAAGTTACTGTGTGTGTAAATGTGAATATGTGTATTTATGAGTGTTTTTTTCTAAACACTGCTATTTTCAATCAGTTAAGAATTTTGCACTCTTTTTTTTTCTTTAAATAATCTCTTAAACTATTCAAAATGCTCCTTTAGTGTGGGGAAAGAAAGTTTGAAATACATGCAGCTCATGATGCAGAACTTCTAAATATTTCTATAGGGAAGTTGTATAGGGCTAGAAAACTACCTGAAGCCTTATGGAGGACAAATGTGATGACATCTTTGAAAAACAATTACCTTCAAAATTGCAGTTTCATCAATACCTGGGCATTGATAAGGCAAATCATTAACCTATCAATTTACAATCTCTCCGGAAAGCATAAGATACTGTATAAAAAGGTCATCTAGATCAGTGATTCTCAACTTGAATATGCTTATGAATCATCAGGATCTTGTAAATGAAGATTTTTATTCAGTAAGTCTGAGATCAGCCTTGAGAGTCTGCATTTCTAAGATGTTTCCAGATGATGCTTACTCTGTCCATGAACTTGGAAAAGTGAGTCATCTAAGCCAACATGGTTTCCTATTATGGCTCTCAGATGAAGTAGACAGAGATCTTAGTCTCAATACGGTTTTTTTATTGTGTTGAATACAATATTATCAACTATAAGTTTAAAACTTATTATCTTGATTGTTGACTGAATCATCCTTTACAAGACCATTCCAGAAAGGTAGTGATTGTCAAGCAGACCAGAGGCACGTTTCAAGTGGCATTTCAGAGAGAGGTCCTATTTGATAGTCTAATCATTGCAGGTCTCAAGTACAGAGTGAGAAAATGTAAAAATAATTCTACCATGCACCTGATTGCAAAGAAAAAAAAAGAAGATTAAAAATAAGCTCGACAAATTAAAATTGTAGGAAAACTGAAAAGAGGTACAAAGTAGTACATTCAAGGCCAGAAACCAAAATATAAATGAAAGGTGTGATAATCCTGGGACATATCAAAGGAAAGACCTGAAGTACACACCCACTTACAAGCTACGGATGAATCAGCAATAAGATGCTACCAGTGGGATAGAAATAGAAGTGCCACAGTACTGTAAAATTTTAAAGTATTCTTTCCATGAGAGCTTGCCCTGTGTTATCAGGACTTTACATATGACATTATTTTATTTTATTAATTTTTTGAGACAGAGTTTCACTCTGTTGCCTAGGCTTTAGTGCAGTGGCATGATCTCAGCTCACTGCAACCTCCTTCTCCCGGGCTCAAGCGAGTCTTGTGCCTCAGCCTTCCAAGTAGCTGCGATTACAGATGTGCATCACCACGCCAGATAATTTTTATATTTTTTTTAGTAGACATGGGGTTTCACTATGTTTGCCAGGCTGGTCCCGAACTCCTGGCCTCATGTGATCCACCCACCTCGGCCTCCCAAAGTGCTGGGAGCCAGCGCACTCGGCCAAGTATGACATTCTAAAGAAGATGTAGAGATTTTAAAAGTAGCAACATCACATATCTTTAGGTCAGAGAAATTTCCTCCATCCCTGAAAAATTCTTCACTGTACACTCTTTGCTCAGATGGATTATTCTTTTTCTCCTGTCATTTACATTATATAAAAAGGAGCTGTACTTAGATCCCTACTCTACAGGAGGGGCTGTGAAACTTACTGGTGTACCCGCAGCATACACACCTATGAAATCCAAGTCATATAAACTAGTAAGTTTCCTACTTTGCCAACACAGTTTCAAATGTAATGTGTCGAGTCTACTAAAAAATAACTGGTATTTATAGAGTTATCTCATTACAACAGAGACTTACAAGGTTGGCTCAATGTCTCCAACAGAATGAGTCTGGGAGCAAATCCTTTTCTGCCCATAGACTAACAGTTGACATTCATTTAGGACTTTTTGGCTGAAATGCATCAGTGAATAGAGGTACATTGGACATCTGAGAATTCACATGAAAAGCAAAAATTCAGGAACGAGTTTAGGGCCTCTTCAAGTGCTTCTTGTTTTAAGTTAATTTTATTCTTGTTCTGGCTTGTTACTGGGATGCTGTCTCAGAGCAGTGAATAACCTTGTAGGTGAAAGTTTAATGGTTGAGTTGATTTGACTTGATTTTAGGCAGCAGGCATTGACTTCTTTCTATTTCTTCCCATACGGCCGGACGTTCTTTTGGGTTCTGTGCTGGTCTAAAATTTCCCTCCATGGATAAAATTAGCTGTGTAGTAGGGGTACCAGTCATGCAAGTAGTATATTCATTCAATGAAGAAAATTCATTCATTCAGTCAGTCATTTGAAAAAAATATCTGCTGGGTTTTTGCTCTTCAGTTGGAAGAACATATGTTTCTACCCATGTATCTTTAACATCTTGCTTTCTCCCTTCCCACTCAGCCAAGAAGCAAGCAGCATTCCTCGTTCCCAAGGGGAAACACAAACACCCCGAAGCAGATCTGTCTAAGGTGGCCATGCAATGGTTTCATGAGGCCCAGAAGTAGGTCCAGGTAACTGGCTGGATCAGACTTTCAAATATTTTCAGTTTCTAGAAGAGAGTGGGTGTGTGGAGACAGTGGGTGGATAGATACATGGGCGTTTTTATTGACCTCTAATAAGTCAGTTACTGTGCTAGAAACTTGTACTTTTCTTTCTTCCCTTAGTATTCTCAAGATCTATGAGAACTTCCTTGTTGTTATTCTCATTTTATTGATAAGAATGATGAGACCCAGAGAAGCTACAAATTGTCTAAGCTTACCTAATGGCAAAACTTAGATACACAGATGGTCTCATTTACTCCTTCTTTCCTTCCTTCCTTCCTTCCTTCCTTCCTTCCTTCCTTCCTTCCTTCCTTCCTTCCTTCTTTCCTTCTTTCCTTCCTTCCCTTTTCCCTATTTTCCTTGGATTGAGTTCTATTGTATGACAGACTCTCTTAAATGGTGTGAACAGAAAGGTGATTATGGCAGGTATCCTGCCCTTCAGGAACGTAGTGATAGAGAAGCATTACTGCACGATTTCCAGTGCCACCCTAGAAATATGCAGGCACCGCAGCGCCTCCTCCCAGTCTCCCAGGCTGTGTGCTCTGGGCTGGCTTCTGTTTCTCTGGCTGCTCTGGCTCTGCTCCCCAGAAGGCTTCCCTTTGCCCCTTCAGGCCCAGGGTGACAATGGATTCTCAATGCTAGTTCCTGGATTCCTCACCAACCTTTATTGTTTTTTTTTTTTATTGTTGTTGTTTTTGTTTCTTAACTTCACTCACACCTCTGTGAATAGCCCTTTCACTAAATTTCTTTCAGGTGAATCCTTTTACATGTGCCATCTGTTTCTTGGGGGGACCCTGACTGACCTACCCATTGATCTTCAATGGTAACTAAAGTGTTTGTATTATAATATGTACAAACATATTAAACATGCCATCCTTGTAGTTTTAGTAAAACTAGAGAAGCAAAAGGAATGTATTACTGAAAACACATGAAACTAAAAGCCAAATGAAATAAACATTTAAAACATACTTAAATATGGTGTACTAGGTTGTTTGCCTAAACTACATTGCGGTTATGTGTGGGTTACTGATAACCATGGAGTGAGTTCCCTTGTGTTTGGCATAAATCTATCGCCATGTCCAGTGTGGTGACTCAATTCTCCCACCAGATCTCTGTGATCAAGTTACTGGGAAATCTTTATTCCTATAGTGAACATTGAGGTCATTTGACCTTCACTTTGAAAGAAAGCATTATTTATGTATTTAGCCAGCCTCTGCTCTTTCTCATTAGCTTTTCATTTAAAGAAGTACAACTTGTCACTATCACTATTGTAAACACAAACACAATCCCAAGCACTTTAATTGCCTGACAGTACTCTGTAATATGAAGGTGACCATCCTGATGACCCAGAATATGCTTTTATTAATTTTATATTAAATAAAATTAATAAAATTTATTTAAAAATTTATTAAAAATTATAAAATTTATTTAAAAATGTATTAAAAATTATAAAATTTATTAAATTTATATTAAATAAAAACATAAATCTAAAATATTTCTAAATGATTGGATTATGTCTGAGGACCTTCAGGTGCCGAGACCTGAGGTCACATGAAAAGCCGTAAAAGATCAATAAAAAGGGGACCAAGAGGATCAGATTTGCACACGGTATGGGGGGAGAGGAGATGGGGGATGGGAGATAAGTAGAAAAACATCCAGTCCAAGGTTTGTTTTAGTGCATCTCACATATAATTTTAAAATGTGGTGGAGGAAAAACAGTAAGACTTCATTCTTCATCCTCTTTTCCTACCATCCCACCCCAAATTAATCCGATCACACTTTTGATTTTCTTCCTGAGTGAGGAGGAATACTGCAGACAAGGAAGCAGGAAGTTGGGGCTGAATATTGAGCAACATCATGGAGCAGACAAGACTTAATCCCTCAAAAATGGAAAATGTAGACCAAAAGTTTATATATATATATAGTAACCATATACAACTGTATAACCATATATATGGGGAGACAGAGAGAGACAGAGAGAGAAAGAGAGAGATTCATCAGCAAGGCAGCAAGAACACCCCACAAGGTTTAGAAAGCCTGCATCCTGGCTTGGCTCTGCTAATGAGGTTAACTTCTTGGGTGAACTTCAGAAAAGCATTTCACCTTTGAGGACTCATTTCTCTGACTTATAAAACTGGGAAAGAGGATTGAACTAGACGATCTTTAAGATATAGCTCTAGCACTATAACCCAAGTCCTAGCAACAAAAAAATGTCATGTGGGTTTTTGCATGTGAGCAAGTGTGCATGTATACCAAGAAGTTCTCCCTAAAAATTAACCTTTGAATTGGTTCCCAAACAAACCAGAGCTCACTGTGGATTTCAGAGTCTTCTGGGCCCTGACTTTGTCGTGGCTTCTCTCCCCAGGCACCCATTTACTTGGCTGCAGCATGAAAGCACTTTAGAAGGAAGGGAGGGACTCAACCTGGCAGAAGAAGTCAAAAATGTTCTGAGCCTGGAAATAGCTCTCTGAGCAGCAAAATCTTCCAGCATCCACTTTCTGAAGTGACCCTGAGAGGAGAGGAAGCTCTAGGTGCATCCCCATCTTCTTAATGGCTGACTGGTTGGGGTGACTATGTTGGAAAGTGAAACTAATCTTCCCTGCTTTCTCTTCTAGAAAGGAGAGGACATTTTCTGTCTCTTCCCACACCAGAGAAATCTTGTAGAAATCACTTCCCACCCTTCTGTCCACTCCTTCTCTCTCACGTGAGTAGAACTAATTAAGCTCAATATTCCAAGTTTGAGGTCAACAGACCATATTTGCTATTGTATGGAGTTGCAT
Source organism: Homo sapiens (assembly GCF_000001405.40). NCBI lineage: Eukaryota > Metazoa > Chordata > Mammalia > Primates > Hominidae > Homo > Homo sapiens. Next base: position 127,231,945 of record NC_000011.10, read on the forward strand.
ACCTGGAAAGCAGGGGTCAGTTCAGCAGTGTCCTTTTCCCTGATTGTGGCCTTCTCGGAGGCTTAGGTGCAGTGGACTTTCATTTCCTCTCTCTGTGCAGGCACCCTGCACACTTGGACAAGGTGTTGATATAGTGTAGGAAGTAGGATACTTCATTTTGACTTCAGCATCAACAAAAAAGCTGTGTTGTACCATTACTCAAAGCCTTGCATTTTGGGCTGGGAGGGTTATTGCCCAGAGAAACAAGAGGGCTCTTCAGTTCTCAGTTTGCTGGTGATCTCTGTGTGTCTCCATTGATCAGGTCTCTGGAAGGAAAGAGGAGAAAGATAGGAAGGCCCAAGCATGTGTCACCATCAACAGTGTCTGGATCAATCCCACCTCTGACTCCCCATTTTTAAACACTATTGCTACCGTAGTGGACTGAGTGCACCTCCAAACTCAGTGTGCAGTTCCCTGGGTGCATAGACCGCTGTAAGATTTGTCTCAGCCCTGTGTCCTGACCTTCGGCACGACGTTGTCTTGACTGGTGCTGCAGAGCTTGTATTTGCTGAACATTGCTAGCTGTCTGCTGCTACCTCTTCTTGGAAAAAAAAAATATATATATTATTGCTGTGCCTGATCTTCTCCCGAATGGAGAGCTAACAATTACCATTCACCAGGTGGCTCTAAGCTTTTTCTTTGCTTTTAGGGGCAGAAGCAACTGACTGAAGCATTAAGCTCATTAAAACTACCCCATGTGGTATGAACATGTCATGGGTCTTTTTCTACCTGCTTCCAGGAGGCGAACATCTCCCCCTCAGTAGTGCTCAGATGGGATTAACTAGCTCTGCGGCCCTACACAGGTATTGCCCTGGACTCAGCACATTCTGACAACTGCTGCTGATCTGGAATGTGTAGTCAGTTTCCCAGCCACATTCATGGTACCCTGTGCCTGCTAGTTAGGAGGGGATTCAGTAGTGCTTCTCCAGATTAGCAAACCATCCTGAGGGATGTGAGTGAGGTAGTGAATCCTATGTCTCATGTTTTTAAAGTTTCCTATATACATAACCTGACTTACATATATGCATGTGAATCCAGGGCATTCTTCAATATCCCCCCGTGCTGTCTGCCAGGTGCAGAGACCCTGTCTCAGTTACATTCGTTCATGTATCAAGCCCCTGAATCTCCAGAACTGGTCTCCAAGATCTTCCTACAGCCCCTATTCAGGTTGATTTTTTTGTTTGTTTTTCTCAACTTTCTTCTTCCCCTGTCTCTCCATTACATTAACAGAGATAATCATTATTAGCATGATAAATCTGGATTTCACATTTTTCCTGTGTGAAAACTCACTGATACATCTCTCTTTCATCTGTCCATCCACCCATCCACCCTTCCAACCATCCACCCATCCATTATTAGCTTGTCTATCTACTTCTATCTACCTACCTACCTACACACATACACAGTCCAACACCTGTCCACATTTTAAAGCTTCCACTGTATCTTTTGATGAGTTTAAGCCTCCGGAATGTGTAGGCCAGATCTGTTTCCTAGTGCATATCTATAAAATGCCAACTCTCCTCCCAGATGGGAGAATTGAGAACCGTGATGAAAGCTGCTGGGTCTGCCCTGCCCTCTCTGTGTGCCTGGTACTGTGCTCATCACTCCATCTAGTTCCTCTCACCTACTCCTCATGAGCCTGTGACAGAGCTGCTAGTGTCATTTTTGCTATGTAGTGGGGAACAATAAAGCCTGGAGCAACTCGCCTGAGTTCACACAGCTGGGCAGTGGCTGAGCAGTGGCTCAAACCCTGTGTGTCTGACTCCATGGCCCGTGCTCTCCAGCACAATTACTTATTGCATCCTGATTCAATTGTCATTCTCTGTTAGGAACCTATTTTTTATTTCATTTTGTTATATTTCTTATTCTTAGGGCAAGGAGCTCTAGAATCTCATTTTTGATCCCTCTAAGCTTAATGGCAGAGCTTAGAAGTAATACTTATCTGTGGCAAACAGTTTCTGAAGTATTAGGAGAAAAACAAAACATAAATAAAAACAAAAAATAAAGAAAAATCCACCTCAAATATATGCTGGCTTGCACAAAAGGCATCTACTTGAGCCTAAATCACAAAAATCTTATTTTTTTCCTTTTACAGATGTAATTCTCACATATGTTCATTATGAATTTATAATGAGGGCCCAGAACAGATGGTGCAGACTTAAAATGACATACACTGTGAGCCCTGCTTCCTGCAATGGGCGGGGCTGCTGCTGCCCTCCCCTAGGAAGGACTCTCGTGTGTATGTGGTGATGGGGAGGAGAGGATGTCTGCAGAGAGGCCCCTGAGGCCTGCCTGGCCTGCGGAGGGGCTGGGTAGGAAGCTGCTGGGCACAGGCCACATTTAGCTAGATCTTGGAGTGGAAGTTTGGAGCTGATCTCTGTACCTTTTACAGCTTTCTTGGTGTCCTAATTAATATCCTAATGCTGCAGGGTTAGAGCCAGGGAGTTTATTTAGCCCAGAGTTAGTTCAGGCAGAGTTATGGAGGTGACGGGCAGGGCTTGAGCCTGGAGTCCATGAACCCCCTAACAGGAGCTCACTCACGATGACCTAAGAAGGAGCACTCCACCGGACTCTGTGGCTTGGTGCTGTTCCACTCTGAACTCACCTCTTCTTCCAGTGAGATTGGCCTGCTCTACCTTTTATGCCCAGGGCTGGTGGCTGGGGTGGGGTCACTCACATCAGTGATCGGGTGTATTAGTTCATGCTGACCATATTTATGGAGCAGGGTGTCTGTCACATGTTGACACATGTGTCATGCCACTTTATATGCACTCTTTCAAATTATGCATACTTGTATATATTTTGTATCTCATTTGAAGTGACATAAGATTTGAATGGATGCCTGGCATGGTGGCTCACGCCTGCAATCCCAGCACCTTGAGAGGCCGAAGTGGGCGGATCACCTGAGGTTGGGAGTTCAAGACTAGCCTGACCAACATGGAGAAACCCCATCTCTATTAAAAAAACAACAAAAAAAACTGAAGGTCTTTTTGCAGGTGGGAATTTTTAAAAATCTGACAGATGAACTAACATTATTTCTCCCACCTGCCAGTAACATGTGCTATGAAAGGAGGAGAGGCAACTATTAAATTGCATCTGCTTGCTGGTGAGGTTGCATTCGTTGATTTAAAACATAAATAGTAGAACTTATATTTATGTAAGATGTGCCTCACAAACTTCACATTATAAGGCCCTATTGCATTATCGATAATGAAATAAACATTTGGTCCCTGTTATATTCATAGGCTTTTGGAAGTGTTTGCAACAACACAAACTTTTCTGGACAGAGGCAGTTATAGAATACATAGCATATGAAACAGCACGGCTGTACTGCAATGTGGGTCTACACTCTCGGCAGTGGACTGGGGATCCAGACCCACGGGTTCTAGTGTTGGTGCCGCATTTGCGTCACGGCAGCTAAGTTGCCACCATCTCAGGTTGGTCTTCATCAGCTAAACGAATATTGTGAACTCGATGCTTCTTACTTCAGAGAAATGTTGTGAGATCAAATGAGGGAGCATGGTCAAAAGCCTTTGGTAAATTTTAAAGTGCTTTACAAATGTCTGTTGTTTCTAGAATATCATATTAATACAGGGTTTCTTAACCTTGGCACTATTGATATTTTGGGCCAGATAATTCTGTTCAGGAAAGGAAGGCTGTCCTGAGAATTACAGAATTTTGAACAGCATCTCTATCCTTAACCCTTAACTGTCCTTAACGAGGTGCTGGTATCACCCTCAGTTGTGACAACCAAAAATATTTCTAGACATTGCAAGGTGTCCCTTTAGGGAGCAAAATCATCCCCAGCTGAGAACCACTATGTCACTATGACGTAGCTTCCTCATCCCGGACTTTATTAAGAAGAGAGGCAGTGTTTAAGGAGATCAGATTCTTAGTCCCTGTTTTCACAGGAGGTTTTAAGAGCAGACTGACAAGGGTTTTATTCAGAGAAAGAAGCCATGGACTGAAGATATTCATTTAAATTATAATTTGTTGACTATCAACTATAGATTTATCCACATGCAAAGTGATCACCATTATGTTGAAATGCCAGGGGGGTCTGGGCGCAGTGGCTCAGGTCTGTAATCCCAGTCCTTTGTGATTATATAATACATATATTATATATCATTATAGTTATATAGTTATAATTTTATGACTCCTGACTTGAGACCAGGAGTTCAAGACCAGCCTGGGCAACATAGTGAGACCCTGTCTCCATAAAAAGAAAAAAAAAAAAAACTAGCTGGGCAGCATGGCATGTGCCTGTAGTCCTAACTGCTTGGGAGGCTGAAGCAGGAGGATTGCTTGAACCCAGGAGTTCAAGGCTTCAGTGAGCTATGATCACGCTACTGCACTCCAGCCTGGGCTATAAAGCAAGAAGATCCTGTCTCTTAAAAAAACACCAAAAAAAAAAATGCCAATGGAAGGAGGTATGGTGTTCACCTTCAGAAACAAGGCAGTTGTCCAGATCGAAGCCAGGGTAGTTGGCAAGTAAAATTCTAGTGATGAATAAAATCTAGCCCAGAGTAAATGGGAGAAAAGAATGTCTTAGCAAAAACAAAGCAAAACAAGTTAAGAACTTACCAGGCCTTATCATATTTTTTAATGACTAAGCAATGAGGCAATTAAGAAAAGCTCAATACAAAAAATAATGCAGAATTATAAACTCAAAGCAGATTCTTAAGTTTTCAAATCTATGTGGCAGGCATTAAGCCTATTGCATTCCTAAAAGTGACCACTGAGGATGGGTTCTATGATGTGAACAGTCCCCCAGGGTCTTGGATTGTTGTGCCAGATGGTGTAAGCAGGTTTGAATGAGTGGAGGAGAGCAGAGGGGAAAGCTGGGGTGATACCATAACAGGATCACAGTTTAGTGTCGATCTCCCTCAGTTAACATTGACCTTGGATGTGTTGCTTAAACTCCATGAGCTTTGGCCTCCTCATATGTAGATTGGGAAGAATAAGCTTAATGATACTTTTGAATATGAAGATGATTCTCATGAGTCACCATTTATAGAATATGCACCCAAAGTGTCTAGTTAAGAAATGGGATGCAGTGGCAATAGCTGCTCAAGCTATGACTACTGTCAGTACAAGTACTAATAATAACAGCTAATATTTATTAAGCTCATATTGTTTGCTAGAAAACATGCCCAGTCTTTTGCATGTGTTATGTTCTTTCTTAGTTCCACAGAACAATTTTTACAAGATGATTACCCATAATAATTTTCCAGATGAGGAAACTGAGGCTTAGAAAAAGGTTTCCTGATCAAGATTATACATGTGCAAAACAGTGAAGCTGGAATTTGAAGGTGAGCTCCTGGTCCCCAAGGCCTACCCTCTTATCAAGCATGTCAGCAAGAGCTTGACACCTGCATCTCTAGCATAGCTTCTTATTTGTATGTCTGTTCATTCTTCATTCATCCTCTTTAAAACGGACCTTGGCTTTAGACATTATTCTTATGCCTGAAGAATAGTTTATCTATTAATAGAAAAGAAAAGAGGATTGAGGGATTGATTTTCTCTGAAGCACCTACAGGCATGTGGTCTGGAAAGGCCATTGGCATGTGCCTTGCCTGAGTCAAGCTATCTTTTCTGAGTACTCTGCAACCCCCTTCCTTATCTGCATCCTTCTGCTGAGTAGTACCATCTATTACATTGCCTCCAACCCTACAATATCTTGCTAGGGCTTTGTTGCTTTCTCTCCTTCCGCTAAACCTGTTTCTAAGAAGAGATGTGATCAGTTTATTCGTGTCAGGGCAGGAAAGTCAATGGAAGCTTACCATGAACTCTTCTGAGGTGCATTTGAAGTTTTCAAAAGAATTTTAAGTCAAATAATTTAATTTAAGCATCAATAGCCCAGTAAACTATGTATTTCATGAGTAATAATGCCTTGGAGAGCTTTCCATGTGTTCTGTTCACCGTATTGGTCCTGAGATCATTCTATAGTTATGAAAAAAGCCATGCTCAATGGTACCCCTATGAAGTGAGCTGAATATTGTGGTATCAATGTTGCTGAATTTAGGGGAAAATAAGTATTTTTGTTGTCAGTTAAATTTAGTGGACCAACAATTATCCTTCTATTCTCCCAAGTTTGGGACCATTTGAGGGTAAATACAGAGATCAGAGATGAAATTTTAAAACTTTATATATTTGGAGAGGAAATAGTTTAGAGACTGTAGCTTTAGACTTACTGCCAAGAGCACTAACTTCACCCCAGAAACAGACAGACTTACGGGCCTTTTACTCACTATCATTGCCCCCAGCTCTCCCATAGGGGTATGAAGGAGAGCAAATACAATGAGGGGTAGAGAGAGAAGCCAGGTGCATTTTTCTAGTGTAAGACATAGAAACAGATAGCCAGAGAAGTGATGTGGCTTCTTTAACACCGCCGACTTCTGGTCACCTGCGCTTCTAATTCTACAAGATACTTGCATATAATGTATACACTGACTATACATCAGTATTTTTCCATGTGCATTCTTGTGAATGATTGTAAAACCAAAGTAGGAATGACTACAATAAAACAAGTTTGAACAAGCCTGGCTTTTTTTTTTTTTCTAGGATTTCTCTGAGCCAATAATGCATAAACGTATGCTGTAAGTGGAGGTTGGTCACCACTCAGACTTTGCCAAACATATGTGCTTTTTCTTTTCTCCTGGGACATCAAACACACCTTCACAAATTCTGTCTCAAGCTAATTGTGGAGGAGGGGGTTATTTTTTAAATTAGTAAACCATTCAAAGAACACTGGAACTCTGCTAATGGAAAGGAAGTCATGAAAAAATTAGCTAAGTTGTCCTCATCTAGCATGAGAGAAAGACCAAGACTGACATTTTGGTGTGGCATTCTGTTATATCACAAGGATATTTGTATAAGGCACGTGCAATGCAGAGTTTTTTTTATAGCTTTTGAACCAAACATATGTATAAAGTATGTATGTGCATACATAGATATATACATTTATACACATACACATATGGGTGTGAGTACACATACACAAGTGCGTAGTGTGTTGTGTGTGTATGTATATGTGTGTGTGCCTGTATATACATACCATATATACATGTATATATATAGATACGCATACCATATTATGCATAAATATACACTGTAAGAGGTTGTTCACCACTCAGACTTTGCCAAATATATGTGCCTTTTTTTTTTCTCCTGGGACATCAAACCCGCCTTGATAAATTCTGTCTCAAACTAATTGTGGAGGAGGGTTTTATTCTCTAAAGTAGTAAGCCATTCAAAGAGGACTGGAACTCTACTAATGGATACCTACCATATATATATATATATGGTATGTATATACACACACACATACACAACATGCTACATATACTACATATATATATGTATAGTTTCCAGATTATAAAGTGATTATTTTTATTTTCTGCTTACTTCGTTCTAGCTGATATCCCATGTAAATTTCCATTTTTCCCTCCTGTGATTTGGGACAATTTTACTAATTTGATGAAGCTCCATATGATCCATATGATCTTGGTATATGCAAGTAAATCAAAGGTCTAGTTTATATGATTGTTGGAGAAAGAATCCCCTTTGATGTTAATATTGCCAACAGCTCTTTTGTAAAGAATTGCATTTTATTTTGTGCTGTTTAATAGGAGAGCTGAATCCCGTCCCCTTGGTTCTAAACTCCAATGGAATGTTAAGATAACTGGCTCTAGGACCATACCTAGGCCCTGCTCAAAGGTTCGGGGGCTGGCCAGAAGGGAATTGAACCCTAGTGAACTCTCCAAGAGCCCCAAGGTTATCACAGCCTCCTTATGACAGTTGCCTCAAGCCAGAGACCAGTGTCCTTCATAATTGATTTTTCTCCAGTTACAAAACTTTTTGTTCTTGCACAAAGTTTTTCCCCATGAAACTTGTGTGTCTTTTTAGGTGGAAATGTGAGAGATTGGGAGAGGTGATGATCTAGAAAGAGATGACTACATATCCTGGTTATCCTTCCAAGTATCATTTAAATGCTTCTTCTTATTATAGTGCTTGTACTTGAGGACAGTGTCACACTTCCACAGCAATGTAGTTGTAGTTGCGATGGCACTTCCATTATAAACCCCTGTTTTCAGGCGCTCATGACAGCCTTGGCAAAAATCACTCTTTGGGCTGAAATTTCTCATATCCGTTCTCACCTCAGAGGTGAAATTCTTGTTTTGAATGTCTGGCAGAAAGCTCTGTATCTGTGACTGTGTAAGTCCTCTCCGATGGCCCATGGGGGTGGGAGTCAGGGAGCTAGGAATTTAATAGGAATGAGGTCTAGGATGTTTAGGGTCCTCACTGGCATGGTATTTGGGAATTGGGACCCCACGATCACTTTGTGGACCCTGCTCTGGAGTAACCATGTGATTCTGCAAGTGACCCTGATTCCTGGGTACTGAAGATACTTTATTAACTCTAGAAGCAGGTCAGTGAAATGATTCTTCAGGGAAAGAATGATTCTCACCACATCCATCTAGGTACACTATGTGGAAGGAGACAGTAGTCTAGGGCTACAGTGTGGCCTCACCATCTTTTTCATTTCTCTATGCTATTATTCATCCAGATTTTGCAGCCTGGAATCCCTTTCCTGCCATATTCTACCAAAGCTTTAATCCAATTCATATGCCACCTTCTCTGCGAAGCCCCTGACTTGTCTTCTCAGTTGAATTTCTTCTTCCTTGGTATTCTGATAGCATGGTATTTGGACTACTGATGTAGCACTTATTTGCTTTTATCTCCTAGCATCCTAATTTATGTGTCTTCTGCTATGCCCCACTCTGCTATTAGCTTGAAAGCTTCCTGAGGAAAAGGACTCTTGAACTTCTGTAGACATTGCAATACCTTGTGTAAATTGAGTGCTCAATAAATGCTTGTTAGATCAATTCATTTCATTATCACCACTTACTGAACAACAGCTACATGCCTAGCACTCTTTGAAGCAATAGGACAACTTTTTGAGATTTTGAACCAAAAAACCTAAATAGATATGGTTCTTGCCCTCCACAAACATGCAATTTTAGGTGCATAGCAAGGCTGCAGACAAACCCATATTTAAAATATAAAGCCAGCAGACCAATAGAAGACCTAGTGGTAGAGTTTCAACACCTGATTTCCATGGACAATACCTGTTTGAATGGGAGATGGCATGTGTGCGTCACCGAGTGGACCACGGTTGAGGAAAGAATCCACCAGAAGCTCTCTGGCCTGGATATCTCTGCTTCATTAAGGTAATTGGAAGCTTTATAAGAAAGCCCTCAACAGAGGTGAAACCAAACTGTTTTCTATGGTGGTTTTCAAATTGTTCTTGAAATAAACTAAATTGTTGTTAGATCTATGGCAAACGTCAGCACTTTAGCAGCAATTTACTTGGGGAGAACGCATATTCTTTAAAATGGGCAGGCTATACTGTGCCCTTGTTCATGTAAGATTATTGAAAGTAAAGATGACTTGAAATACAAAGTGTGTCTTAAAGTGAGGTTTTAAAATATCTTTCCTGCCCCATTTTCAGCACGTCTATTATTAATGTCTCTGCAACGATTGATTTCAGCTGTTCCTTGTCTCTTCTTGTGTCTCTGTTGTACTGAATTTGAGGTTTGTTCTGCTGAGGAGACCCAGCCTATCAGGGAGGATGTGGGAGAAGGATCAGAGCCAGCACTTGCTCCTTTAATTCTGTCTGGCATGTCGCTACCTAAAATGATACCAGGAGTCAGCTCGTGGATGAGCCCTTGTAAGTTCTCGCCCCTGTGCAATTGCTGCATTTGTTACCTTATTATTGAACAAGCTGTCTCTTTGGATAGAGTGCCCCTCCAGTCAATTTCCAAATGGATTTGGATGTTGGAAGATCATCTCAGCTCCTGTGATTAAATCCAACTCAGGATTTAAAAACAGGCATTTTGCTCATTCGGATAATTAACTAAAGCTTATCCCACTTTATCCCAAATCCCTGTTGACCTATTTTAGGTGTAATGTTTTAGGAGTTGTGATCCAGAGGTGGAAATGGAGTCAATCTGCAGCATCTTGCCACCCTCTCAGTCCTGGCTTCCCCTCCCCAAATTTCCTCCTTGATAGCCTGACTATCCCACCTGGAAGTTAGACTGAGTTCAATACTCTTTTTTTAGAAAGCCCGCCAGATGCAAGCTTGGCACTGGGACTCTAGTGGAAAGGAGCACTGGGACTGAATGAATCAGAGAGGCTCTGGCTCACCTTGAAGGCACTGAATACTTCCATCCACACGACCTTGAAAATGTTAGGTGTGCATGCTCAAAGCAGTACAAGAAAAATGTCCCATTCTCTAGCAGTGCTAGCCATTGCCATGCTGAAAACTTCCTCTATCTTTACTCTCCACTTTCCCACCACCCCCCATCACAGCCAGATGCATGCGAACACATGGACACACATGCTTGCACAGAGTCAAGGGAGGGAAAGGAAAAGGAATAACAAAGGAATCCAGCAAGAAGGTCTGAACACTCAGATAAAACAAAGCCCATCCACTCCACTCTCTATTCTTTCCTTAACTCCAGAAGGAAAAGTAAGACAAGCAAATGACCCAACTAATTTTACGATTGTGTAATAAGGCAAAATAGCATGGAAATGGTCATGGAGAGTTGTTCTTTACATAAAAACGTTTTACTGTTGCATGGCAGGCTCAGCTTCTTTTCCTTCCTTCCCACTTTTCTGACCTCTGCCATTATCTCTAGATTTATCAGCAATACTAGATGGCTTTTTCACATCAGTAAGCACCATCCAAAATATAACAATCAGAAAGAATCAGAGTAAATAAATCAATGTCCACAAACAACCGACCAATTTTGGCAAGTACAATTTATTCATAAAAGCTACAGTTCACTGGGGATTCTCTTGTCTTGCATCCACAATGCCCTTGATTCAGATGCCAGCCTGGTGAGCACCAGGTGGCAGCCAGGAAGGGAACACATGCATTGTTCCATCCAGGTTGCTTTGTTCCTCTAATGCCTCTGGTCTCCCTCTTTTTAATCTCAGAGGCATGCTTTATTCTAGAAATTCTATACGATTGTTATCCTAACTAATTGAAAATAAAAATTAAAGTTGAGTTGGCTTTTTTTGTGTGTGTTGGAGGGAGTGGTATAAAGGAGGATGCCTGGTTCTGTCAATAGGCTCACGAGCTCTGAGAATTTCCAATGCCTTCCGATCGTGGGTATCATTGCTCTTCAGAGGTCATGATCATGCATTGGCAGAAACCATCTTAGCGGAAAAACTCCATGTTTCAGCTCTGTGTACTGCCCAGGATTAATTGCACATTTTCCCCAGCGGGATCCTGTGTTTTCTGTTTCTAGCCGACACTACAGATCTTTTATTTCAGATCCCTCTCTTGTTTTCCAGCTTACGTTTACATTAATAAGGATTTATCTTCTTCTCTTTGTGAAAGCCTGTTTATGTCCAGGGTAGGAGGCGAGGCTAAATATGCTGCTCTCCCATTAGGAACATGAGAAAGGTGAAAAGGAAGAAAGCTGGAGGAGAAAGACAGACAGAGATGATAGGCCATAGTTTCGCTGGGAGGAAAGGACAGGACATATGGTTAGAGAACATTCTTTTACCCGTAAACACGAGCTCCTGGACCTGAAAACACAGTGTAAATAATTCTGCTGACAATAATTAATTAACAATAATAGTTTGCACTGAGAGCTCAGCTTTCATCGGGCAACCTCAGAGCACTTCACAAACCACACTTAATTAAGCCTGCGGCCCCCCTGTGGAAGGTAAGCAGGTATTAATAGCGCCCTTTTTCTAGTGCTGACACAAAGGAATGGTGGAGTTCTGTGGCTTGCGGTGACTTGTTATTCTGAAATTGCCACTCAGTGGGAAAGAAAGGAGCCTTCAGTGAGTTTACCAGCATCCACATTTGTGTCACTGAAGTGGCAGCCGTGACCTGCCTGAGTGACCAGTGTGTACAGCTGGCAATTAGTTGCCAACCTAACACAAAGCGCACTGTGCGTGCAGTCCATGCCTCTCTTTCTCTTCTAGGCTGACTGGCTGGCTCGTAGTCTCTTCTTATCTGACCGGAGCATGGAAAATCCTGTCTTCCTGTTCCCAGAGCAAGCTGGGATGAGCTCTCCTGCACAGACAGCATTTAATTTGTGATGGTTGATGAGGTTAGTCACCTTGCTCTTTACCGCTGTGTTCTCCTGGCCGGACTTTCTTTCTGCTGGTGACTTGTCATCTGGGGCTGATGGAGAGGGATCCGGGAAGAACAGAAGAGAGATGCTCACGTCTGCCTGGGTGGTGCTGCCATTGCCCTTTCCTGCTCATCCTCTGGTTGGCCCTTGGTTGACAGCTGCTGCTACACCCCCACCCTCCCACCCCCTGAGCCCCCCAGCTGGAACGGAGGAAAGATTAGCTCTCCTTGCATCTCATGCCAGGGCTGTGTGGTGGATTAGGCTGGCAGAGAGACCTGAATAGCTTCATCTTCTGGAGCAGGAGAATCTTCTTCAAGGTCACCCTGTAATGTACACGTGCTTGTGAAGTGCTCAGGGAAGCCACCTTCCAGGTCCACTCAGATCTCAGTTTGACACCAATACCCTAGGTTCTGACTTATACGAGTGATTCCCCAAACCTTTCTAGTATTGACACTGCTTCTTATGTCAAACATTTTGCAGAACACACCCCTTGTCAATTCCCCCACAATAAAATTTTATGTTATTATTAATCCTTGTAATACAAATGTTGTAGGGAAATTCATAGTGGCAAACAGCTATTATAAATTCAGTAATGATTTCACATAGAAACTTCTGTTGTAACAATATATAATACACTTGAAAATAAAATAAGTGCCGCGTATTCACAAAGCGCTATTTTTTCAGGCAAGAGACAACACTTAATGAGCACTCAAATTTGAAATTGCTTGCAATAACTCCATATCATTCAAGGGCACTTGGCGCATGAGTTGGAAACCTTTGGTTTATAATATATAACCGTATAATAGTTGGGGTGTCTAAGCCTGTGAGGATTTGTGAGGATTTCCTGAAGTATACCCAACTCGGACCAAATGGCTGAATTTCTACTGCCAGGGGTGTACCTGTCCTTTCTGTGGAGAAGCATAAAAGCTGTATCCACACAGTCCATCTGGGAAAATGCCTTGAACCCTCTTCGGTAGGTTTCCGTTTACCTCTCATTACTCTTGGATTTCTTTTGATGTCTTTTTTCCTGAGAATATCAAAACGTTTTTCTAAAAGTGACCATGATATGGTTTGCAAAAGCCGTGCTAAACAGGACGTGTCCATGGTGGGTCCACAAGGAATCAGAGGTGGCTCTAAATATGCTCATTACTTGAATTGGAATTCTTCTTTCCTTACATCATCAAGGTCTAGGAGGCCAAAAAAGAGAGGCAAGGAGAATTCAGGGCTGAGGGAAATCATTAAAAAGAGAACAGATTGTTGTACAGACCAAGAATAGCTTGATGCCACTCATGGCTATCCTTTATTGGGCTCCTGCTATGCCAGTATATTTACAGAGACTCAATAACAAGATATATGAAAAATGTAGATATGACTACTGTTGTTGCCGTCTGTTTTCTTCACAAGATTCGTGAAGGGTGGCTGTCTTTATTCCTGTTGTGGAGAAAACACAAGCTCAGTGTGATGTGTGACTTGCTCAGGGTCTTGAAGCTGGTAAGTGGCAAAGCTGGAGTCAAATGTAGGTTCAAGTCGAGATTAGAAGTGCAGGTTCTGGCTCTGTGTATCTGTTAGGAGGCACAGTTGTTTCTAAGAGGGTGTAGAAAAGCATAACTTGCTGCACATAGTGGGGGCTGTCAGTATCTTGTGTCCCTCCCAGTAGACAGCTGGGTGCCCCATGTGCGGTGCAGTGTGAGCCCACTGCAGGGTTCTGCTACCCTGAAGAGGAGTGATGGCTGATAGTTTCCATAGAGATGGTGCTATGTGGAGGAATGAGAGATTCTAGTTTTTGCTATAAAGAAGTGTCTGTGAACCCGGAGCCAGGAGTTTTTAGTTCCAGATATATCACTGTTGGACTCTTTGTAAATTATGCAATTTCTCCAACTCTCACTTTCTCTTTCTGTAAGTTGATGTTTCATTCATACATGAGCTAATTTTTTGAGTTCCAGCTTTGAACTAGCTGCACTGTTGGGTGGTGTTCTTGATACTTTAGGAACTCAGTGCATTGATATATTAATAAAAAAGGTAATAATAATACAATATAACACACAGAGTAGCAAAGACCTGGAAAAATTGCTATGGGTGCCTGGTGAAATCAAGGAAGGCTTCACAGAAGAGGTGACGTTTGAATCAGGTCTTGAAGACCTACAACCAGACGGGGGATTGAACTTAATTTTACTGCTGTGTGTGTGTGTGTGTGTGTGTGTGTGTGTGTGTGTGTGTGTGTGGTGTTTCTACTATGTACCAGTTACTACGCAGGGCTTGGGGTATGTAACTGTGAATAAGACGAAAATAGTTTTCCTAAAATGCTCAGTCTTACTGGGGAGAGAGGCAACTACTATATGTAACAAAATATTGCAGTAAGTACACACAGGAGGACCTCAAGGGGAGGGGTAGAACTTCAAGCAGAGAGAACAGGTTGTGTCAAGATGATAAATCCTGAAAGGGCTCAGCAGGCCCGAGCACAGTGTTTATGGATACACATGCAGATGGGGAGGCTGGAAAACAATGCAAAGGGCACACTGTAGAGGGTCACACAGGCTTAGTTAAAAGTTAGAATTTTAATCTGAAGAAAATGGAGACTGTGAATCAGAGAAACAGGCTAAATAAGAGACTTTGTTTCTTGCTTTTGTTGGTGGAGGGAAGGGGGCTAGTGAGAGATGGAAAGAAAGATCCCTCAGAAACTGGACATGATAGCCCGGGGAGAAGGTGGCAGAAGGAAGGCATCCACACAGGGCGTTGTCACCATGGCAGCAGCAGGTGGGCTGGCGGAAGGAGAAGAGCTTTCCTGGGAAACGTCTCTGAATTAGAAGAGGCAACTTGCAGATGGAAGAGGGTTGGGGTGAAAGGAGGACTCGTGGGTAATTGATAGGTTCCCATCTTGGAAGACTGGGTAGATTAAGTATGGGATGTAGTTTTCCAAAAATCAGCACTACAGCTGAAACAGAAGGTCTGATGGAGAGATCCCGAGTTCACATCTGGACATTCTCAGTGACGTGTTGTTGGATACTCAGGTGTACGTCCCCTTGGTCAGGTGGCAAGTCATGACCAGACCTCAGCAGAGAGAAACTGGAGGTTTGAATTTTGTAATTATAAGGACATGGGTGCAACTGCAGCTATGGAAACGAGGAGAAAGGAGGGCCAAGGATAAATCCCTGGGAAAGGGAACATTCGGGGGTTCCACTGAGGCAGATAAGTGTTAAGGAGATTGAGGAGAAAAGCCAGAGAGTTGTGACTAAGATCCTGGAGGCTGAGAGAGGATGGGAGGTGGGCAAGGCAGCGGTGCTGCAGAGCAGGATGAAGAGGGACAGTGACTCATTTGGTTGGCAATTAGGGGCCCCCTGGGGGACTCAGGAAGGAGGCACACCTCTTACATAAGCTTTGTGAGGCTGCTTTTGGGCCAATGAGACAAAGCATATAAAGGCAGTAGACTGTGAAATGCTAGACAATGTCACGGATGAGTTCTCTGCCTGTATTGTTTCTTTCCCCTTCTCCACCTTTCATACACTCCCAAACGCTCTTTTCAGCTGCCAACCTGTATTGCCTATGCCCCACCCTGCAACTGTGCTGGTGCCTTTCTTCATTTCTTATTCGTGTTGTTCTGTCTGCCAAGAAGGCTTGCCAACCACACCCTGTGCTTCACTGCCTCTTCCCTCTCCTTTGGGACTCGTTTTGAACATCTCCTCCTCCAGGAAGCCCTGATTCTTAGCACTGGAGGTCACCCTCCTCTCCCGACCCCACATACTCAGGACAGGCTAAAATGCCTCTCTTCTGTGCTTCCATAACTCATCCTAATTCCACATTTATCATCTATTAACTGTTTACAACACGTCCATTAGGTTGTCCATTATCTGTGTTCTCTTTTGAGCAGGGGCTATGTCTCATTTCCCTTAGAATCCCCATATTCTAGCCCAATGTCAGATATTTAATAGGGCCTTGACAAACAGTTGTTGAACTTGAACCAACAAATAAGATGCAGATACCCAGGTATTGTTTTCCCTTTGTAGAAATCAGATTAGCACTGGAGATCACCCTCCTCTCCTGACCCCACATACTCAGGACAGGCTAAATTGCCCCTCTTCTGTGCTTCCATAACTCATCCTAGTTCCACGTTTATCATCTATTAACTGTTTACAACATGTCCGTTAGGATGTCCATTATCTGCGTTCTCTTTTGAGCAGGGGCTATGTCTCATTTCCCTTAGAATCCCCATATTCTAGCCCAATGTCAGATATTTAATAGGGCCTTGAGAAACAGTTGTTGAACGTGAATGAACAAATAAGATGCAGACACCCAGGCATTGTTTTCCCTTTGTAGAAATCAGAGCACTTAATCACTGAAGAATAGTCTTTGACCACTCACCTAAGAAGTGAAGCAGTCAGTGGGGAGCTGTGACCAGACAGGCTGACAGCGCTAATTAAAACATCCAGCCCACGTGTATGCAAATCCAGAAACAGCATGTTAGGGAAGATAACTCCTGATTCAAACTCATCCCCAGAGCTTTTCCCTGAGCCCAGCTGTTTAGAAGCAATCTGCAGCATGGCCATTGGATAAAAGTTATTTCTGTTTGGTAAGGGTGGGGGTGCATGCAAATCTGTGGAGCCAGGGCAAGCAGGGCCGGAGCTGATGGGAAGTCAGATTGTAAAGGCTTAAGGAATGAAACCACAGTGAAAATAATCCCCAGAGACCTCATCAAGTTTGGGGTTAGAGAGCATGAACAAGGAAACAAATACCTGATTGGTATATCTTCCTGAGACTACCTGACTTCAGTGTTCGATACAGCATCCGGCCACAGACCCAAATTCAGAGGCACAAACCTTAGACAAATGATCTCAGCAGCCTTTGGCCTTCTGGAGTTGGTGCTTAACCCCTTGTAGTCACCAGTTTTGACAGAGAGCAAGACTATAAGTTTATTTGGCAGAGAGAGCTGTCTTCTAAGAATCTGAAATGCGATTCAGAGGAAACCTGGTGGTTGAGAGAGAGGGATATTTGGGTTCTTATTCCAGCTCTATTGCAAACTGGCCATGTGAGCTTGTGCAAATCACTTCATTTCTTTGAGCCTTTGTCTCCTCATCTTTAAAATTAGGAATTTTGGACTAATAGATCACCGGGATTCCTTCTTCTTCTATGACAATGAAATGCTACTCTCACAATTTAGTAGATTAGGAGACATGCTCCGTCCATGTTCATTCAGAGAGGTTGAACCAAGCTCTGGAAATAGCTACAAGGGTGCCATCTCCCAGCCCACTGGTTTGGACCACTCTCTTTTCCTTACACTCAGTCCTGGTTTTGTCATGTCCATACATTCCCAATGTGTTGTTTATTTTGCTTAGTCTCTGTTATCTTCGTCTTCTGGCCTTTGAAATTCTCCTTTCCATGATCTGCCTTTCAGCAATGCTGCTGGGCACTTGTGAGCATCCTAGACCTTTCAGAGAATAGGTACAGAGAGCAAAAAAAGAAAAATAGGAATTTGGTACATTTATGCCAATGCACCCTCTTGGAGCTCACACAGTTTTCTGCAGCTGCACACAAACCCAGCCAGGATTACTGTCTAAAGAGCCTCCCTCAAGTGTCTGCAATAATATTCTATCATAGTGTCAGACCTGGAGGAGTTCACCTTTTGACGCATGCGCTCTGCACTGCTGTCGTCAGGCTGATTCAGCCAATGGGGATGTCCCTGGAAGATGCCAGGACCTGCTCTGTGTGCTCTTGGCAGTGGCGACACACCATTCTTTTTAGCTGTGAAGGAGGTGGCTAGAGTTTTCAGGGAGCTGTACAGAACTGAGATCCCTCCTGCTCATGGAGAAGCAATGCACTAATTTGATAACTCCTAAAGCAGGGCCTGAATTTTACCCGATTTCTTTCCAGATTCTCAATTGCTATTCCTCTAATAATTCAGCCTTCATTATCTGTGCTCAAGAGTGTCAGCAGAGACTCAGTAAGTCATGGGAATCTATAAGTTGTATTCAATAGCCTCAATTTATTCAACAAATATATATGAAGTGCCTACTATGCACCAGCCTTTCTGCTACAGGCCATGATTACAAAAATGAATCAGCCATAAATTCTGGCATTCAAGATTCTGAGTCCAGGAAGACAGAGAATCAAAAAAATGAGAGAATTTGTCATCAGAGCTATGGAGTCAGAATCTGCTATTGGAGCCAAGTAAAAAAATGGCCAACTGTCCTTTGGGAAAGTGGGCAAGTTTCTTATCAGAGGAGTTTTTAGAAATGGAGAGTGGGGAAGGTCGCTAGAGGAAGAAGAGGATTTCCCCGACAAAACACACATGTGAAAGGTGCAGCTGCTGGGGAGAAGCTTTCAGTGTCTGGGAACAGGGTGTGAGGCAGGAAGAGACAGGAGAGGAGGCACGATGTGAGTTCATAAGGGAAGGAGGAGAAGGGTTACCAAGGTTGCATGTTCCACATGGTGCTAGAGCATTCCTCATACTTCATCTCATCTGATCCTCTCAGAGGCACAGGGCTCAGATCCTTCTCTACCACTCAAATGTTATGCATGAAGCCTAGGACAAGTTGCTAAACAAAACTAACCTTTTAAAAATCATAGCGAAGGCCGGGCGCGGTGGCTCATGCCTGTAATCCCGACACTTTGGGAAGACAAGGCGGGTGGATCATGAGGTCAAGAGATCGAGACCATCCTGGCCAACATGGTGAAAACCTGTCTCTACTAAAAATACAAAAATTAGCTGAGTGTGGTGGTGCATGCCTGTAGTCCCAGCTACTCGGGAGGCTGAAGCAGGAGAATCGCTTGAACCCGGGAGGAGGAGGTTGCAGTTAGCCGAGATCTTACCACTGCACTCCAGCCTGATGACAGAGCGAGACTCCATCTTAAAAAAAAAATAGTGAAATGGGTATAATAATATCCTCTTATGGGGCTGGTATAAAGGTTAAACCCAGAAACATGAGAGATTTCTATCTCTGGCTGTTAAAGTGGTGCCTCGTAAATGTGCAGGTTCTGACCAGCCAACTCCTCTCCTTGGAGGTCTGGTTTGTGAGAGCTGAGCAGAGATAGAAGCGGAGGAGAGAAACGAGTGTTCTTTCCTTAATACTCACAAAGTCACAGGTACGTAAGAGATGCCCTGGAAGGCTGAGCTGGAGAAGTGTGCAACATTCAGGTACCCCACCCAGGTGAGGTGTGCTGCTTGGGGGAGAGTGGCCCCATGCAGGGAGAAGGGCAGCTGACGCATGTGTTGAGTCTTGTTTCGGGCATAATATCAGTTATTTTAAATTTTACAGCAAAACCACAGCAAATAATAATAATAATAATAATAATAATAATATCATCTACTATTTGCTGAGCTGTGACAAGACACAAGATGCTAAATCAAACTTTACTATGTGACTTATTTATTTTCTGCATGTTCAGTTTAATCCTCACAGAGGCCTTATGAGGTAGATATTATTGATTCCCATTTTATAGGTGAGGAAATTGAGTGACAAAATGATCAAGTCTTAGAACCATTCAGTTCATTAACTACAAAGCAAGGATTCAGGCTGCACGGGCTGGTGAGTTTTGGAGGAGAAACTCAAGAGTGAAGATCTTACTCCAAAAGGAAACAAGGGGGCTCAGTTTTACCTCTTCCAGGGAAGAGTCTAGACTCCTGAAGTCTTCCCTGCTTGCGGTGGTAGTGGAGTAGTCCATAATGGACTGGACATAGCAGATCACCCCGCAGAGAGGAGATCACTGTCTCAAAATAGTCACAGGGCAAAGTAACGCATAAAAACATAATAAAGAGGCTACGGGGGGACGCCCTGTTCTGCTAACCTCCTTGTGTGCTTGCTGATAACTATGTATTACCACTCAGAATCACAAGCAATAATTACTAGGCAGGAATTGGGACTGAAAGGTGAGATGAGAGAGGTTGGAGATGCCTTGGCTCCCTCCTCCAGGGTTAATGTTCATGGGCAGGGGATGATGGATCCCTCTGGACACAGAAGAGGGGATAAATTTTGAAATTCCTGATGTCCTGTGCCCCTGATTGTAGAAAAATCTCAAGCAACTCTATCCAATACTAAAACTGTCATATTCAAAGCTTTTGACAAAATGACCAAAGCAGGGTGTTAGAATGAATAAATCTGACTTATCTGCTGCCTCATTAGGACAGAGCTATTATGGGGGCCTGAGTCCCAGAACCTCAGCTCTCCTGCTGCAGTCTCATGAGAGGACCCTACCCCACCTTGGATTCTTGGTGGATAATTTCATTTTAACTTTTGTTTTCCATTTTTTGATTTGGCTCTTATTGCCTGAACTTCACTGTGTTGTTTCACAGCTACTGCTATTTTGGGTTTGTGAAGTCATTTCTATTCTTAAGTGAGGAAGTGTGGTCAGACAGTGAGAGACCACAGTCAGGAGCTCCAGCATGTCCTCGAGCTAAGGAAGCACACAAAGCTAGATCCAATCCCCCACTTTGCTTTCCAGGAGGCAACTGAACTGTTGTCTATAGAGGGTAGCCCAGGGGACAGGGAGACCTTTGTGCTAGGCTTTGCGGGCCACTGCCCAGTTTGATTGGTTTGTGAACAGGCATATCTGGACACACCAAGCCTCCTCCCCAGCGCCCCATGTGCACATGGGGAGTGAGTGCACACAGCCTGAGAGTGGAGGTCCTCCCTCCAGTTCTGAGATCCCCAAAATTCAGATACAGGGTGTCTCTGCTGCACCAGCACAGTCAGAGTGGGCCTGTAAACCTCTGCAACCTCCTGGCCTAGTTCAGGGATTGGCCTTACCTAGAGAGGACCAGGTATCCCCTGGTACCTTAGAAATGATTCTCAGCTGCCATCTCACCCACTAACACATCCATTCCTATCCCAGATTTTGTGGACACAACCAAGGCGCCTGGCAAGCCAGCTCACCTCCTTCTCTCCTTCATGTATCAGCTATAATTGAGAAAATGCTTTCCTGTCTTAAAAATGTATGGACACAGAAGATGAATGGAGACTAAGAGCTAAATCCACTATTACTATTCTACTCGAACCTGCTCTTTATTTTCCTCGGAAACTAAATAATGGATCTAAACTGTTTGCTATTACTTTAAGGAGCTGCTGATGCATCATAGAAATCTTTGAAAACATTCTCTTTAGATTCACGATTCTACTTCAAATACAGCCATTTTCTACCCTCTACCCTGTCCCTTATTATTATTATTATTTTTATTTTGCAAAATCTTTACAAGGGAAAGGAATCTTGCTTGGCCAGGAGTTTCAGCAAAGGTTTTTCTTTACCTTGACTGAGCCAGGATATTGTCAATGATGTCAGAGCATGAACTCCACAGACACCTGTCTTATTACTAATTCTGGTGACTTTGGTGCTCTTCTAGCACTTATTACTTCCTGTAACATCTTCCCTTAGACGTGTGAGCACTGAGAAGAGAAGAAACTTAGCCAAGGTCATAGAGGAACCTGATGACAGAGTTAAAACTGTCCCCATCTCATCATTTTGCTGCTGGACAGTGAAACCAAGGACTGATACTCCAAAAGAAAGGAAAAATTAAATTCATTAAAGGTCCATAACATAATTGCTTAATTACACAAGTTTGCTGCTACTAAGGAACTTCCTGATCATTTATTCCAACTCCAGCTTATTGTAGGTGAAGAAGTAAGATTAGAAAGGAATTCAAGTGCCTGTCTAGCTCAAGGTCATCTGGGTAGGTGATGATAGGACCAAGTCCAGACTCACACATCTCAGTTGAGGGCTTTTGTCTCCCCTCTATTTGTACTCATGATTTCTGCAGGAAACAGGAGGATTTAATCGGCTTACTTGATTATTTGGGTTATACATCTATTAAGCAATTGCTGTGCAAAGACCAATCCAGTGAAACAGATTGCACTGGTTCTAATAACTATGGCACGTTAAGAAGGCATGGTCCCTGGCTCTTAAAGCTCAGAATGTGAGAGGCCACCAGGGCACACCCTTGTCTGTCCTCTACTCTCTAAAGCAGCAATTCTTAGTCATGAGCTCCTGTTCCAGCCACCACAGGACATTTTTTAAAAAATGCACCCTCCACCTTCGGCTTCTGGGTAAGAATTTCCATGGGGAGTCCTAAAGCATGTGCTTTCTGCACAACTTCCACTGGGGACTTTGAAGAAGCCCATTGTTAAGCGTCATAGTTCTGGCCAGGCTTGGTGGCTCATGCCCATAATCCCATCACTTTGGGAGGCCGAGGCAGGTGGATCGCCTGAGGTCAGGAGTTTGAGACCAGCCTGGTCAACATGGTGAAACCCTGTTTTTGCTAAAAATACAAAAATTAGTCAGGTATGGCGGCACATACCTTTAATCTCAGCTATTCAGGAGGCTGAGGCATGAGAATCACTTATACCTCAGGGGAGGAGGAGGTTTCAGTGAGCCAAGATCATGCCACTGCACTCCAGCCTGGGTGACAGAGGGAGACTCTGTCTCAAAAATAAATAAATAAATAAATAAAAGGGTCACAGTTCTAAAGCCCCTGGTGATTGACAGTGATGTTGTAGGGAGGAATGGCATCTGGGTGGAGGCAGGGAGGTGGATAGAGTGAGTGAGTTTCTCCTGTAGTCTGGAGGAAATCCCCAGGGCAGGAGAAAGACTCACCATACTCACTTTTCTATTCTAACCTTGAAAATCTCCCAGATAATATGTCTGCAAGGATGTGGAACCACCAAGCTTACATGAAACATCATCCCTTGCAGCCAATTTAATCTCTTGGACCTCAGGGCTTCCAGAAGAAATAACAGGTGAAGACCAGACACAAGATGCTTGAGTATTTCCAAAACCATGAGGCATAATGATGTGATCAATGTCAAAAGGTTAACACCTAAAGCATCCTCTGCTATTCACTGTTTCTCATTCTGGGCCTCACATTAGAAGATCTCTCTGAGTGGGAGGAAGCCCTGGGCATGCAGGGATGGTCAGCATGAGTCAAAGGCTATTTTGAGTTTCTAACCTCCAGGATAAAAGTCTCTTCCACAGAGAAAGCAAATTTCACCTAGTTTGCTCCTGGCTTTGTCTACAGGTCAGCAGTCTATTGTTACAAGACTCCAATCCAGCTCCTGGATAGCTAGATGCAGTCAAGCTTCTCTCCTGAAAGTCTAATCATATGGTGTGGTCAAGCTCTGATCTGTAGGAATTCAGGCAAGAGGAAACCAGAGGCGTCCCTGAGCAGAGGCTTGATTTGTAGACCACTAAGATCTGCGTCCTCAGCTGGGCATCCTTGCCAGTGATCCTCTCAGTCCCTAGATTGGGCCTCACAGAAGGAGTGAGAGGGAGGAGGGAGGCACAGGGCTGCTGCAGCCAAAGGAAGCTATGGAAGCGTGTGGACATAGAGATCGTTGCCAGCCGTCATCAGGCTTCAGCTGTGAATCAGCAGTTCTTCTTGTGCTCCGTGAGGGAAGGCCTCACATTCTGTGAGACATAGAAAGCAGCCAGGTTTCTAAGTGGGCTTTTGCTGCAGGCCAGGCATCCTTGGAGGGGTCTGGAATGTCTGAGCTGGGGCTTCCTCTGGAGAAAATAGCAATAGCTAAACAACCACAGCCTCATTTTCAGGGCAAGTCATTGTCATGTGGCTTAAAAATTGGTGGGCTGTAGACCATGATTGACAACCAGACGCACACCGATCAGTTTGCTTTAAATAGAATTTAAAAACCCTTCATGTGGAGCATGTGTTTTGCAGTTTGCTCCAGTGCCCGGTTTACTATTGTGTTATACCCAGCTGAGTTCAATGTTTGTCTTATTGCCTGGGTCCTATTGTCAATTTGGAGTGTTTGACCCCTTTACTATATTTGTAATTCTGCACAATAACTCTAGGGGCAGGCATTACTATTCCCCTTTTCCAGTTGAAGAAGCTGAGGCTGGCAGAAAATACTTGATTCGATTGAGGTTACAAAACTGCTAAGCCTCAGAAGGCAGGACTCAAGCCTTTGACTGGCAAATGAAAAAAGCATTTATTTTTTCAGTATACATAAACTGTAGGCTCTCTGGAATCGATTGCTCACCTCATCCCAGTCTCCCAATCTCTCCGTCCACTGACCCTCTTCTATACAGACAGCGTACATACACGATCTGACGGCATCATTAGATCCGGAGCCACACTGGTACCTTTCTCTTTCTCCTCCTTTGACCTCAAGATGACTCAGAAACTAAGGGGGAAGATTTGCCTTTCCCTGATAATTAGCAATGTTGCATGTCGTTTCATCTGTAAGCCATTTGTCTGTCTTCTTTGAAGAAATGTCTGTTCGGTTCTTTTGCCCATCTTTTAATTGGGCTGTTTGTTTTTTTTGCTATCGAGTTGTAGGGGTTCCTTCAAGATCCTTAAAACAGAGTAGAATAGTGGTTTTTCAGGGCTAGGGGAGGGAAAATGAGGAGTTGTTGTGAATGGATATAAAGTTACAGTTATGTAAGATGAATACGTTCTAGAGATCTGTTCTACGATATTGTGCCTAAACTTAGCAATACTGAATTGTGCACGTAGAAATTTGTTAAGAGGGTAGATCTCAAGTTAAGTGTTCTTACCACAATTTCAGAAAACAGGAAGGGAGAGGAAGATGAAATCAATAGAGGGTGATGAAATTAACACTACGTTTATTTTCCAGGATCCTCAGACAAGGTAGCAAACCTGGAATTGTTTGGACTGGAATCTACACAGTCCTTACCCTGCTCGGTCTTGTTACTAAAGATTGAACCAGCCCTTGTGTCAAAAATTTGTCCTGGAAAAAATCAGTTGCACGTGGAGGAAATTAGATAGCTCAATTTACGTTTAAGTTTAGGCAGTCACCATGTGAGGATCTGTAAGTTCTGGGGGTGCTGTTGATGGTTTTAAAATCCTCCTCAATGGTGAAATTCACTTGTGTCTTCCCTTTGGAGCCCACATCACCGTGATCTGTGTCAAGCAGACTAAGTCACCTGGCAGCAGGTAACGTGTGTTTCTGGCTGATGGAAATTGCTGGGTTTGCCTTCCACTGAGAAAAAGCTGTTGGGCCCAAATTACTTTCTGCACAAGTTTGAATGAGTGACCCTGTCATCCTGACCCTTCAGGCTAACGTAGCTCAAAGGTTTAACCTTCCTCATCATCCCTGCAAAGTGTTTTCTGTGATGAAAGAAGAAAACATGTTTACTTTCCTTTGAGAACCATTCTTTTTTCCATATTGAAGGCTGAGGGTCATTTTCTGGACGGCAGTGAAGCATGGGAAGGTTTAATAGTCACCAGGATGAGGTCGGCCGGAGACCAGGAAAGGTTTGCCGTGGAACCATGTCAGATCTGGAAGAGGGTGTTGCCCTCTCTTGTCTCTATGGTTGAATTCAAACTTTGAAGGACTTATGCACAGTGACATTAGATAGGAATGTTACTTCACGAACAGATTTTCTGTTCATCCATTGACAAATTACACACCCAAACCAGCCTGATTTTCTTCTGTGCAGCCTTAAGACTGATGTGGGGCCACTCCCTTTCAACAGTGTGCTTTGGTGATTCTGGTGGTGATATTGAAAGCAGCAATGAGCGCCCTGGAGTGGCGGAGGTGTCAACACTGCTGGCCTTCTGGGTGTTTCACAGCTTGTCCTTCCTGCCTGATCCAGGCCTCACTGATGACTTTTTTTTTTTTTTTTTTTTTTTGAAATGGAGTCTCTTGCTCTGTCTCCCAGGTTGGAGTAGAGTGGCATGATCTCGGCTCACTGCAAGCTCTGCATCCCGGGTTCACGCCATTCTCCTGCCTCAGCCTCCCAAGTAGCTGGGACTACAGGCACCCATCTCCACGCCCAGCTAATTTTTTGTATTTTTAGTAGAGACAGGGTTTCACTGTGTTCACCAGGATGGTCTCGATCTCCTGACCTTGTGATCTGCCTGCCTCGGCCTCCGAAAGTGCTGGGATTACAGGCGTGAGTCACTACACCTGGCCACTGATGACTCTTTTTAGAAACTCTGGCTGTGCCCAGGAGAGGGGCTCATCCAGGGAGTGGACTGATTATCAAGGAGGGTTGGGCTGGCTGGGGGATATACCACCAAGAAGAGTGATGGAAAGATGCCCACCTGAAAGGAGGATTGGATGTGAAAATGAAGACCGGGAACCAGAAACAGGTTGGCACCAAGGGTTGACCTGAGGTTGGGGTTGAATTTGGATGACAAGTCATGGTCAAAAATAAAAACATATATTTATTTGAGATTTAGAACCAAAAAATAAGTCTGATGAGAGAGCATGGTGATTGGGTGGAGGGTGATGGAAGGATGTGTTTGTTTGGCACCTAGTGATCCATTATTTAGCTGTAGCTGCCATTCGTTTGATGTAGTTTCCACCTCTTCTCTCTCCATGCTTTTTCCCCTCCTCTCAACCACCCTGCCTCTCACCATCTGCTCTTCCTTCACATTCTCTGTTCTCTCTTTCGAGAACATTCTAACCCCAACCTCATCACTTGGCTAATGATTGATTCTTCACTTCAGGCACTAGTCTAAATGTCACTTCCTGCAGGAAGCCTTCCCTGACCACTGTTTCCTCCTCAGTTTCGGCTCCATGCTTCCTCCATGTGCCCTCACAGCTGCTGTACTTACTTGTTCCAGCATCTATCACTCCTCTTTACAATTGCTTATTCACTGTTATTCTCCCCCATAGACTGGAAGGGCCAAGAGCAGGCACCATGTCTATATTGCTATTCCTGTGGTCCCCAATACCTAGCAAAGTAAATGCCCTCAGTAAACAGAAAATAAAATGTCATTTATTCATACGAGGCAGTTTTTCTCTCCTTTCCTGAAGAGGGAGTCAAACATGCTTTCTGAGAAGAAAGATCAAGGTTAGCACTGTAAATGATCATTCTATGGCCCAAATGAGTTAGTTTTGTCTCCTGGACAGTCCGTGGATGCTAGAACCTCTGTGTCCTAGCATCTTTCTCTCTGTCTCCATAGGCTATTTTCTTGCACAGAGTCCCTCAGTACAGTACTGGACCTACGGCAGGTACTCAATAAAAAAGCATTATCAGATTGCAACGGTTAGCTGTCAGAGAGGAGGGAGTATTTCTTCTTACAAGATAAAACAATTTGCTTCAAACTTGTCTGAGTGTTGGAGATCAGACAAGACTCTTTTTAAAAATGGGAAAATGGGACTGTACTAGGTCTTGCCCTCTTTCTTTGCCTACAGAAGATGAAGCAGGCATTTCATTCAGTTAGAGATGCTGTCTGTAGCAAATAACCCTTGGGATCTGAGAGGGATTATTTGGCCACTGGAGGGCTCTTACATTTTTCCAGGTAATGCAATTGAAACCGTATTCAGAATGACTGGATAATTAATGCCACATTGTACAAAGTGTACACCACTGTTCCCATCACAATTTTTTAAAAATGCATAATTTCAAGAAGACCAGACTTAATTTACTGTGTGTTTTGCTTTTTCAACAAAAACATGAGATGAATAATTTCCCCACGTCATTGCTTTAAATAGGGCATCTGTTAACATGGATTATTATGGATGTAATGCTAACATGATTAGGCTCGGACACTCACCCAAAAAACTAATTTTTTTAAAGGGATGACTCATGAAAAAAATGAGATCAAGATTAAGGAAGAAAAAATGCTAAGAATAAATTTGATAAGGGCTAGAAGTTATAAGTATTTCAGAGTCAGAGGATGGTACCATTTGTCCAACAATGTTTACCACCTGCTAGGTGTTGAGCACTGTGCTAGCTACTGGGTAAGCAAATGACAGTAATAATTAATAATAACCATAACAATAGTAATGATGACAGCCTAGTCCACTGAGGGCCAGGACTTGGTCTTGTTCACCACTAAACCCCGAACTTTAAATCGGAGCCTGGCATGTAGTAGATATGCAATAATATTAAATATATAAGCAGTGTTTACTGAACCCCTTATATATGCTTTGGTTATAAGAACTTGACATGTGTGCTATCATTGCTAATCTTCACAAAAATATTAAAAACTTAATAATAGTACTATCCTTATTTTACAAATGAAGAAACTGGGGCTAAGCGAAATTAATTAGTTTGCTTGAGGTCACTAGAGATGGAATTCATACCCAACTTTATCTGATATTAAGTCTGAGAAAAAAAAAATATGTGCTTCCAGGGATAGGGAGAGGTTGGTTAATGGATGCAAAATTACAGTTAGATGGGAGGAATGTGTTCTGGTGTTCTGCAGCACTGTAGGGTGACTACAGTTAACCATAGGTTATTACATAGTTTTAAATAGCTAGAAGAACAAATTCCGAATGTTCTCAACACAAAGAAATCATAAATGTTAGAGGTGATGTGTATGCTCATTACTCTGATTTGAGCATTGCAGTTTGTATACATGTATCGCAATAGCAATCTGTACCCCATAATATGTACAATTACTGTGTCAATTAGAAATCAACAAAAAAAGTTTTTAAAAATGTAAAAAAATTAAAAAATAAAATATGTGTGTCCAATAATTAAGCTACACTCTATGAAGACAATATTCTTGTGATCCGGGCATTCACAACTACTACCAGGAATCAATGTGCAAGCAAGTAGCCAAAATAAAAGTAATATAATTGGAGAAAGACACTTCTGCTGTATCACTTGTCTGCCTAGAGAATTCTGGACAGGCTTCATGTCAGAGTTAAAATCGGATTTGGTTGGTGAAGATGATATGAAGAAGAGCTGCAGCTCATCACCCAAAGACCCATTGCATGGGTGAGATGTAAACTTCGGTTGCCATGGACTTTCTGGAATCATTTGTTGCGACCTATCTTATTCTCACCGCTGCACCATGATGACTTTAAACTTCTTTCAAGTGGAATAAAGAGTAATTATATATACTTTTTACTTTTTTAAAGTAAAATAGGTATGTATATATATACATATTGAAAAGTGCACATATAAGAAAGTGTACAGCTCAATGAATTTTCATAAACTTAATATACTCACTCACATAGAATAAAAACCAGAATTTGAATCTGCATCTCAGTAGCCCCTCTTGTGTCCTTATATTTGTTGGGAATGCTATAAAAGTTATCAAAACTGGGTGGCTTAAAACAAAAGAAGTTTATTCTCTCCCAGTTCTGGAGGGCAGAAGGGTAAAACAAAGTTGCTATCAAGGTTGGTTCTTTCTGGAGGCACTGAGGGAGGATCTGTTCTGTGCCTCTCTCCTGGCTTCCTGTGATTTTCAGTAATTCTTGGCATTGCTTGACTTGTGGATGCGCCACTCCAGTCTTTGCCTCCATCTTCACATGGTCTTCCTTCTGCATGGCTCAGATCGCCCTCTCCTTTCTCTTCTAAGGAGACCAGTCATTAGATTTAGGGCCCACCCTAAATCCAGAATGATCTCGTCTTTAGATCCTTAACTTAATTGCATGCTTAGAAACCATATTTCCTAATAATCTCAAATTCACAAATATTGAGAAATGTAACTCACCACAGACCCCTTCTAATTACCACCTTCTGCAAGGGTAATGCTGCCCCATTTCACCTGTTTCTCTACTTCATACAAATGGAATTATACAGTTTGTAATATTTTGCATTTGTCTTTTCTCTCTTCAAAATTATTATTTGTGAGATTCATTTAGATTGTTGCATATAGCTCTAGAAAATTTATTGTCATTGCTGTATAGTATTGTGTGAGTATAACACAATTTATCCCTAATGTATCCATTACACAGTTACGGGCATTTAGGAAGTTTTCAGTTTGGTGCTACTACAAATAGTGCTGTTCTGAAGAGCTCTGTACGTTTTTTAGGTGAGCTTGTGAGAGGATTTATGTTGGGTATATATTCAAAGAGAAATTGTAAGGTCAGAGGGTATTCATATGATCGGCTTTGGGGGAACTGCCAAACAGTGCTCCAATGTGATTATATAAGACACTGGAAGGTTTTAAACAGAGGAGCAGAGTGATCTGACTTATGTATTTAAAAGATCACTGGCTGCAGAGATACAATGGCACAGAGGTTTAGCTTCAACATAACATTCACAAAGGAAAGTAGTAGCATACAAATCTAAAGGAAAGCTGGGGTCAGAGTGTGAAGGGTTTTCTAACTCAGCCTAGAAGTGTGGGCTCCTTTTGTTAGGAAAAAAAAGATGGTGTTTAAAAGTATAAGAATGATGTTATTCATATCCATATAAGATGGATGGGAGCCAGTTAGAATAAATTACACCTTGAGGGAGATGTTGAGTACATGATCCCAGGAGTGTGGTAAGAGGGATGCAGAGAAAGAAGATGGGAAAACGTGGGGGAGTAGAGCCAACAGATCCTGGAAGTTCCCCAAGTGTGGTGTGTAGGACAAAAGGAGCAGTCAGTGGTGACTTTCAGGTCTACCACCTCTTTGGGTTTTTTTCTTTTTTTGAGACAGGGTCTTGTTCTGTGGCCCAGGCTGGAGTGCAGTGGCACAGTCATGGCTTACTCCAGCCTCGACCTCTTGGGCTCAAACTATCTTCTCACCTCAGCCTCCCAAGTAGCTGGGACTACAGGCGTGTGCTGCTGCACCTGGCTAATTTTTATTTTATTTATTTTTTGTAGAGATGGGACTCAGTATGTTGCCCAGGCTGGTCTTGAACTACGAGACTGAAGTGATCCTCCTGCCTTGGCCTCCCAAAGTGCTGGGATTACAGTCATAAGCCACCACACCTAGCTACAACCTCTTCAGAACATTTATCCGGGATAGTGAAATCGAAAGAGGACTCAACTTGTCGTTCTTATGCCAACGTGCTGAGTGTGGCATGGTTGAGGTTTGAACGTGTGCTGTTGTGGCCATATTTACCAAACAGTTTCCCTCTGGGGCAATAAGGAGCTTTGTGCCACCAACATGTCCATCTGATGGCATTGCATAGAGAGCCCTAAGGCTATGTGGAAACGTACTGTCACCTCTGTATTCCTAAATATCAGGAAGGAGATAAAAATTAATATAGATTCATTTGACTAACATTTACTAAGAACCCACCGTAAAACACAATATCTCAGCAAAGTGTTAATTTGCTGAGATTTTGTTAATTCCCTTAACAAAAACATGTTAACAGAATCTAGAAGGTTCAGAGAAGGAAGCACTTGATCTTCCTGTGGGTGTCAGGGAGGGTGATAGTGGAGAACAGCTCAAATGGGTTTTGATAGATGAGTAGGAGTTCTTAGAAGGAGAAAGGGCTGGAAGACTGAGGCTAGAGAGTGGCTCTGGGCAAAGGGCAGAAGGAGGGAGATCATTCCCAGCATAGGAAACAGCATGTGTAGATATTACAGAATGAAAAATAATAGCTGAAAAGTGTGGTGCTCTTACTGTGTGCCAAGCCCTGCGCTAATTCATTCTAGAGTTACTCATTGAATCTTCTCCACAACCTATCAAAGCAGGTATACTTATATTTTCTTTTTAGAGATGAAAAAGTGGAGGCCTAAAAAGGTCAAGCTACTCAACCCAAGGACACACAGCTCCTGGAAGACTGAGCAAGATTCTGACCCTAGGGCTGAGGCCTCCAGCCACTGTGAGCTCCCCTGCCCTGAGAAGGTGGGTAGAATTAGCATGGACACTAATGCAGGCAGCTTGCAGCTTGCTCACAATGAAATCAGGGCAGGTAAATGCTTCATCCTTAGCCATGATGGCTGCAGCAGATTGTTTTCCAAAATCCTCTTATAGCCCATGCCCAGAGAAATAGAAATGCCACTTTAAGACTTTAAAAAATGCTGGTGACATTTACCTATGTTGATACATCAGAATAAAAATAGCCCCTCGTGACCTCCTCATTTAACCCCTTCTCTTTAACTCAACATCTCTCACTTTTGCCTCTGCTTCATTTTCCCCCCTTTGAAGATGCGTCAGGTCTCAAGTTCAGCTTAATTCAACTGCTAGATGTATTATTCATTTCTACGCTTTAATGATGTGATAAGGTTTCTGGAAATAGGAAAAGGCTCATTAAACTGTCATTTGAATATAGATCACACCTAAATTCTAAGGAAGACAAAGTCTGCCAGCCAGGGATGCATTTTCTTTCCCAACACAGCTCTCTATAAACTGAGAAGGCAGAAAGAAGCATTTCAAAGAAGAGATCCCCCAGATTAATATGTATTCTTGGTTTACTCTGTAATTAATGATAACTCACAAACAGAATGAAGGATTCAGAGAGACAGAGAATGAATACTGGCCAAATGAAGAAGGGATCTGGGATGTCAAACACGGTGAGGTGTGTGTTTTGTTCCTCTCTGTGATCACTGGTTTGATCAGGCAGGCTCTGTTTGAGGTAGAGGAGTATGTAGGGATTTTAATTTGACTCGCATGGTTTAGAACAGAACATCATCTCTGCCTGCAGAAATTGATTTGAAAATACAACATCTTGCTTGCAGATTTCCTTCTCTGTTTGCCTTCAGGTTTGAGAAGAAGCTAGAAAATGCAGAAGTGCAAGGGAGGGATTCAGGGCCAGATGCTGGAGAATCTGGCAATATGCCCACCTATTTCTCCAATTCTCAATCCCTAGATGAATGACCTGAACATACTAAGAGTTAGCCTCTTAGTACATTGCAATATTAACATGTTGCATGTGTAGACCAGGGTCTAGTACATGTAAGTTTTGTTTGTTTGTTTGTTTTGTTTTGTTTTTTGAGATGGAGTCTCGCTCTGTTGCCCAGGCTGGAGTGCAGTGGCGTGATCTCTGCTCACTGCAAGCTCCACCTCCCAGGTGCACACCATTCTCCTGCCTCAGCCTCCCAAGTAGCTGGGACTACAGGCACCCACCACCACGTCCAGCTAATTTTTTTGTATTTTTTTTTCCGTAGAGACGGGGGTTTCACCATGTTAGCCAGGATGGTCTCGAACTCCTAACCTCGTGATCCGCCAGCCTCAACCTCCCAAAGTGCTGGGATTACAGGAGTGAGCCACTGCACCTGGCCTGGTATGTGTAAGTTTTTAACACATGTGTAGACCCTGGTCTATGCAAGCAACATATATTTTCTCATTTATTTCTTACCACAACCTTTTGAGATAAGTCAGAGTTGCCCTTAGATTCCAACAACAGAGGACCCCACCTGCACTCTCCACTCCAGCTGGCCTGTGTGCCTGCCTCCAGCTGTGTCCTTTTCCAAGGGTATGAAGGGGATGAAGCTGCTTCATGGGGCCAAGAGGACATACCCACCAGGTGCCTGGCACCCTGGAGTTCCATTTTCTAACATCCCCAAGCCCAGTCCAGGTTCTGAGCAGTCCTCTTACCTGGGTTCATCCTGATGGTTGACTGTGTCCATAGCATGATCTTAGGTCCTTAGGCCAAGGGCTGGCCATCTGTGTGGCTTATGGACAGAAAGTTTCATATGGGCTGGACTGTCAGCAACTGGCTTGCATGACTTGTGATATGGGATGGAGCTGGGGTGGGGAGAAAAGGGTAGGACAGTGAGCTATGGGCAAAAGCCTGGGGTGCTTTCCCTACCCCATCATATTTCGAGAGGAACTCCATGGGGTGCAAGAATGCTGAACTCAAACCTTATGCTTCCAGGTCATTTTTAATGTGTATTTGTCAAGGTGGAAGATAGAGCATGTTTTATTTAGTGCTTTGTTGGCTTGATTTCTACTTTTGAGTGTTTTGACATGTGATGCATGGGCTGCCATTTGTACTCGTTCTCTAGGCCCTAAAAATATTGAGGGTGGACCTGATGTAGAGATATCAATACCTATATTTTACATATGGGAAAATAGGGAGTTCGATCAGTTGCTAGTAAGTGCTGAAGTCAGAATTCAAATTCAGACAGTCATATTCCAGGGTCTACACTATCCATCAGTTTCTGGTACTTCCTCCTATGGGAGACACCGTGGGGAGGTGTCCATTCAAGTCAGCTAATATCATGGTGGGATTAGAGCAATTAGACAGACACGGACCAGCTTTGGTGAGGAACCTTTCCCTCCTGTTATGTTCTTAGGAGAAGTGTAATGGAGCCTCATAGCCTCTGATAGGATGAGTGGACTGTGTCTGTGAGTGGAAGCTGGGGAGAGAAACCAGAGGCACTGGGAATAAGAAACCCTGTTTGAAACACCTTATCAGTAACCTTGTCAAATGTGTTTAATTTGAGTTTAATCAGGAGGAAATAGATCAAACAAATCAGACAACTCTAAAGTGGAGGATGTGATAGGCGGATTCCTAAAACAGACCCCAAGATTCCTGCTTCCTCCTGCCCTGTGCAGTCCCGTTCCCTTGAGTGTGGGCAGACCCAGTGAAGACTGGGATGGATCGTCAGTCCCTTGAGTATGTTATATAATTGGCAAAAGTGAAAGCGTTTTCCAAGTGTAATTAAAGCCTCTAAACAGTTGACTTTAAGATAATCAGTTGGAAAAATCTCTGGGGTGATCTGACTCATTCAGTAGGAGGTCTTAAATAAGGGTTTAGCCCTTTCCTTGGGGGTGAAGCAGCAGCAGGACTGTCTCTTTTTGACCTTGAAGAAGCAAACTGCTGTGTCATGGAAAGGACCACGTGGCAGGGAACAATGGGTGGCCTTTAGAAGCTGACAATCTCAGAGCTACAGCTGCAGGGAGCTGAACACTTCTAACAATGAGTGAGCTTGGGTGAAGACCCTTACTTGGCCTTAGATGAGAAGGTGGCCCCAGCTAACACCTCAATTTCAGTCTAGTGAAGCCCTAAGCAGAGGACCCAGACCCACAATTCCAACCGGTGGAAACTGCCTGTGGTGACACATTTGTGTTTTATTTATTTATTTATTTATTTATTTATTTATTTATTTTGAGATGGAGTTTCGCTCTTGTTGCCTAGGATGGAGTGCAACGCCACAATCTTGGCTCACTGCAACCTCTGCCTCCCAGGTTCAAGCGATTCTCCTGCTTCAACCTCCCAAGTAACTGGGATTATAGGCACCCGCCACCATGCCCGGCTAATTTTTTTTTTTTTTTTTTTTTTTCAGTAGAGACGGGGTTTCACCAGGCTGGTCTTGAACTTCGCCAGGCTGGTCTTGAACTCCTGACCTCAGGTGATCTGCCCGCCTCGGCCTCCCAAAGTGTTGGGATTACAGGCATGAGCCACCATGCCCAGCCGACATTTGTGTTATTTTAAGCTGCTAAATTTAGGGTAATTTCTTTTGCAATAATAGGAAACTAATACAAGAGACATTCTTCTATAAAACAACTGGTTGGGACTCTTCAAAAAATCATTATCGTAAAAAACAACAAACATAAAGGTAGGAAGACGATTTTAGTTTAAGGGTGTTTAAAAAGCAAACAAATAGCAACAAAGAACAACAACACCACAACCCCTCTGGGCTGGCAATGGTCTATGAAGTTTTCTCAGACTGAGTTTTGGAAACTTAACATTTGTTTTCCTTCCTTTTGTGTTGAGATCTTGCAGAGATCTCTGCCCTGTGTTTTGAGCTGAGTAGGCACCATGGCTTTGGCCCTGTACAGTGTCTCACTGTGGATAGGGATAGTTACATAAAAATAATCGCACTGTCTCTTAGCTCTAGAGAAATGCCCTCTATCTCCTGGCAGTGGCTGGAGGGCCAGGACTTAATGGATGTTGTGGGTCGTAAAAATGAACGTTAATGGCCCGCACCCAGCCTCCTCTCCCACAGCTCTGAAGCTTTGGGGGTGGCAGCATGAACAGCTTTGACAAATTTGTAGTATTAGAACAACACATTTGGACAAGGACGATACTATTGCAAGGAGGAATTTGTGCTCAGTAGGCCCTAGATGAAGTTTGTCTGGAGACTCTAGCTTGTCATTCCCTGACATATACAAACCTACTCCCTGCCTAGCCTACTGGGTCTTTGAATGAAAGAAAAAATACCTGAAAATTGAATTCATATTAAGACATGAGTGATCCCGATACAGGATTTTGGCATTTAAAAAAGACAGCTGGGTGAGTCCAATGCTTAACCCACATGAAAATATTTCTAAGGGCAGAATTTTAGTCTTTGTAGCACCTCGATATTGGAAGTCAATTTTAAGATCCCTAGAGAGATCTAATTATTGTATTTACAGGGATGGTCTATTAGATGAATTGCCAAACACTCACTCATGTGTGTGTGCACACATACATACACTCAAAACACACACACACACACGCACACACACACATACACACACAGAAAACACCAGAAGGGCTGTGTGGCAAACACATTAATTGGGACAGTGAGATATCCAAATAGACCACAGTGGTAGAGATGCATTTAGAAGGGTAGCTGGAGTCAAGGTGAAAAAGAAAGGAGTGAGCAGGAGGAATTTAGGGTGGAAAGGTTCAGGATGCCAAGTAGCCAGGCTCAAAGCTGGTGTCCTAATCAAGGCTATAGCTGGCAGGTGCTGAAATCGAAATAGCAGGGGGGAAGAACAATGAGAGAGCGATTCCCCCTCCCATTACTGCCAGACAGGATGGTGGGTCCTGATAGGCCACGCTGTTGTGCTGGTAGAGGGAGAGGAAAGGGATGAGGACTGTTCCAGATGATGATGAAGAAGATGATAACAGTGGTGGCATAGATCACATTGAATAAGCACTTAATATGCACCATGCCCCGTAAGAGGTATTGTTTTGGGTAAACTCACAACAACAGCTCTGTAACATAAACACTATGAACGCTTCCAATTTCCAGGCGAGAAACAAGTTCCAAGCGGTGAAGCAATTTGTTCAAGATCCTATATAGCTCACCAGTGACAGCACCAGGGCCTGAGCCCAGGCTGTTGAGCCAAGAGCCAGAGCTGAAAAAATGGAGAGATCCCCCTGGCTGTGAGATTCCAAATGTGGCAGGTCTTCAGGGTTTCCTTCTGATTTGTAGTCCTGCAGCCCACACCACAGGGGCTGTGGTGAATAGACGGAAAATACCGAGCCTCCTAATTGATGTGAAGCCTTTTGAAAATGTCTCCGTGTCCCTCCAAAATGAGGAGTGCCTACTCCTCATGCTGCTTCAGAACTTCTTTATCTTTTAACCATTTTTCCCTTCAAATTTAACTCTGCTGACTTCTGCACTGAGGATTACCTAAAGGCCAAGTTTGACATTCTTAATCCAGCCATTTCAGAGTTATCTGAGAACAGAAAAGGTACAGGGATAAAGGCTTGAAGTGTTAACTCTGGGAGTGCCAGAGGGAGTTGAGATGGGCAGTGTCCTTCCCTGAGTATCCTGCAGGGCTCAGACCTGTAGGATGCCCCCATGAGCTTGGCTATATTAAAGATCCTTTTAGATCCCTGAGCCCCTTGTTTGGTTGGCCTGTTTTTAAAGCTGCCTACAGATAAACTACATAGCCACTGAAACTGCTGGGAAGATATCATTTCCCCAAAAGAGCTTAGCTGGAGAGACAGGACCCATAAGAAGGTATTGACTTGATGGAACCCAAGCTGTCAAAGGAAATCAACAGGAGTTTATTTTGCAAGTGCCTACTATGAGACCAGTGAAGTAAGTACTGGGCCAGGAAGAAGACCCAATATTCTATGGAAATCATCCAAACCAGAAGGAATTTTTATATCAGTTCAGCTGCTATTATTGAGCACCTACAATGCACCAGACATGAAGCTCTGTGCTGACTGGTAAATCCACAATGAACAAAACAGACGTTGTTTCTTGTCGTCATAGAATTAATATTTCAGACTATTTATATGAAATTATGCCACATTTTCTTTTCAATTTTATTCTGAATAGCAATAGAAAATAACAGGGAAGCACAGCAGAAATGCATTCTTCACTTAGATTAAAAGATCCTACGAGATTCTCACACATTATTCATAGGCATGATTGGGACACTGGCAGTGGAGCATTGCGATCAAACACACACACACACACACACACATACACACACACACACACACACACACACCCCTTACCTCATGCATGCTCTTTGTTTAGAATTAGAGGAAAGAATAGTTTGCAGTTTCTAGAATTTTAATAAAGAGAAATTAGAGGGCAAACTCCTCCCTATTGAGGATCTTACAATCAGTTTGAAAAGGCTCTCACATGTGAGACACCTAGAGAACAATTCAAAACAATATATAGTCAAGTTATCCTATTACTCAGTCCACTTGCATCAGATTTAAACATAAATTCTGCCTCCTTAAGGGAGCAGACTGCTTCTAAGAACTTGGCATTAATCACTGGGATGCAGATGGGTACAAATAGATGCTGCCAACTATAAATGAGTCTTATCCATTCAATACCTTAGGTCTCATCAGGAATATGTTATATGTCCTGAAAGTCATAAAAGTGCATTGTAAAAAGATTACAATACTTTCACATTTGATTTTAAAATTTATCTGCATTGCCTGAGTTCACTCAACTATCCGAAAGCCTACTATGTCTAAGGCACAATCGTGGTCCCTGGGGATAACACAGTGAACAATACAGTTCCACATGGCACCTGTCCTCAGGAAGCTTACATTTTAATGTATGATCTAAGAACAGGTTAAAAAACACACATTAATAATTGCAATCTGTGAGAAGTCTATGAAAAATAGACAATTGTGGAAGGGATCTGCTTTCGATAGGGTAGTTAGGGAAAGCTTAGGGATGCATAAGGGTTAGCAACATTGCAGCCAGGCTAGAGAGCGAGAGAGAAAGGCCAATTGGATACAGGTAATGACTGTGAAGATGGACCACGTGGGAAACAGATTCAAGGGGTATTAAGAATTTACTGTTTCAATGGTTGATGGGGAAGAAAGACAAGAGGAATCAAAGATAACTGTTTTGTTTTTCGTTTTTGTTTTTTTAACTAGAGTAAATGAGTAGATGGGATGCGTTTTGTTACATGAGGGAAGAAGAAGATAAATAAAGGAAAAATGTATTTGCCCATATGATGTTCAGAGGATGAGGGGCTTTATATGTGATGGTTTCTGTTTTTTTAATATAAGATGAACTGCCTGATCAAAATTTTTGTTGCAAAATTTTAAAAACCAATGTCTTCTTCTCCAGCTGTCTCCAAACCCCAGATTTTGTTTGGCTTATAGTTCTCACTGAGTAGCCACTTTTTCAATTTGCTCTTCTTGGCATTTTAACTTCCCCTTCCCCTCTTAGCACGTCTGCCATCTCTTCCTGCTCTGGGTGTCACTTAGCTCTGAAAACATAGGCATCGGAGTGTAGCAGACTGACTCAGAGTCCTCCCAAGATGCAGATTCTACTGAAATCCAAACCCAAGGGGTCTACAAAATGGGTATGTTCAAATTTTTTTTTTGTTTTCATTACTGACTGTCTCCTATTTTAAGGCACCCAGATGGCTTGGGGGGAATGTAAATCAGTGCTTTCTTCCATTGCCAGTTTAATGACCTTGTGATGTTAATTGCCTCTTTCTCCATAATATCAACTCTTCTCCCCATATCTCTCAGACAAATTACCTAACCCTTCAAACACAATCCAAGAGGACTTCCCCATCCACCTAGGCAGAATGCAACTATATCATACTAGAGTTTTTATGTGTGTGAGTATATATATAATAAGGTAAAGCGGGAACTAATATTCTAAAAAGAAATATAATTCTATTATATATTCTATTATATAATTCTATTATTAAATATATTCTATTATTATAGAATTATACACTATAATTTCTGTATCTGTAATTATAGAACTGTAATTTCTTACCATTAATCGCAAAATGGGAGGCTCATCAGGTAGAAGGAGGGAAGGACTCCAGTTTCAGCAGTTTGTGCTTAGAGTAGAAACATAAAGGAGAATGACATGGTGATAAAACCCAGCTTAGGAGAAATAAGACTTACTAGTCAGCTTCATTCAGCAACTCATATCTCGAATGTTCACTAAACACTTATTATGAGCTCTATGGTCCTACTTTATGTTCTTGGCATTGGAAATTTTTTAAATGAATACGAATTGATTATAATAGAAGATCAAGTAGAGCTCAACTCAAAGTGTCATGGGAACTTGGATGCACGAGAGACAGCTGTACAGCTGTCAGGGGACGTGTGGAGGTGTGGGGAGTGCAGACAGTGGTTAGAGAAGGTATTTATAGAAGAGGTGATGTTTAAGCAATACTCAGTAATATTAGTGGCCATGGCATAGGGCATATAGGTGAGAAAGAGGATGGAGCCTGAAAAGAAATAAGAGATGAGGCAGAAGAAACATGCTGGAGTGATTCATCTACCTGGAGAGGTGCTCTGCTCTGCATTTCATAAATAACTTCTATAAAAGACCTCGTAAACCTATGTTTACAACTGTTTGACCACTCTAGATATTATATCTCTATGCAG
This sequence comes from Homo sapiens, assembly GCF_000001405.40. Taxonomy (NCBI): domain Eukaryota; kingdom Metazoa; phylum Chordata; class Mammalia; order Primates; family Hominidae; genus Homo; species Homo sapiens. The sequence goes on from NC_000011.10 coordinate 127,272,225, forward strand.
CTCACTCTTTAGTCTTTATTTGCTTGGATATTCTCTTTCAAAAAGATGTTCCATAATGTTTAATCGAACTTATGATCACAATTTCAGACGAAAAGCAGTTCCTTCTGCCAAGGCTGATACCTGACCCTGGCACTCTCCTAATCAATCAGCACTGTGTATTTTGCATATGCCAACACATGGGATATTCATGAAATGTATCAATTCATTATTGCATTGCTATAAAGAAGTACCTGAAGCTGGGTAATTTGTAAAGAAAATAGGTTTCATTGGCTCACAGTTCTGCAGGCCATACAGGAAGCATAGTGGCTAGCCAACTATATCAAATAAGGTAAAAGGAGAAGTAATATTATAAAAAGAAATATAATTATATACTATAATTTCTATAACTGTAATTATAGAATTGTAGTTTCCTACCATTAACTGCAAAATATGAGACCCATCAAGTAGAAGGATGTAAGCACTTCAGTTTCAGCAGGGAGGCCTCAGGAAACTTACAGTCATGGCGGAAGGCAAAGGGGAAGCAGGCTTGTCTTCCGTGGCCAGAGCAAGAGGAAGAGAGATGGGGGAGGCGTCACACAATTTTAAACAACCAGATCTCGTGAGAACTCTGTCATGAGAATAGCACCAAAAGAATGGTGCAAAACCATCAGGAACTGCCCCCATGATCCAATCACCTCCCACCAGGCCCCACCTCTAGCATTCAGAGTTGCATTTCAATATGGGATTTGGGTGGGTACACAGATCCAAACCATATCATGAGGTGTGGTGGTGATGGAGAATTGGAGTTAAGAGAGAGGGATAGCATAATCCAGAATAAAGAAACAGAAATCTTTCTTAGTCCTCAAATTCCTTAAAATCTCATTAATGGAGAAAACATGCTAACTTGAAGTGACTGAAGAGCACTTAAAAAATAACCATCAGGCAGCTGCGTGTTCTTACCATCCCAAATGAGTGTGAAGTGGAAGAATGAAATTACTGGCTGCATCTGCATAGGTACCTTAGGAAGTCTTGCTGAGCTGGCATTTGATGCATTCCATGTTTCTGTGGGGGTGCAAGGAAGGAGCAAGGCGGTCCAGGCACGGAGAGGAAGAGGAGGTGCCCAACGGAAGGACCAATGCCTAGTGAAAACACTGGGGAAGCACACTAGACTCGAGAAGTCCTTGGATGCTGAGTGCCTGGCATGGCTGAGAAACTGGTGCCCATTTGTTTTCCTGACTCAGAATCAACATTCATAGAAAGATTAAATTTTTTTAAAAAAGGACTTAGTTTCTTTGGCAAACCAATAATAGGCTTTGGGATTTTGCTTTAAACATTTTGAATAATCCTATTAGCAGCTTAGAAAAACAGGGCTATTTTAATGACAGAGTATATATATCTATATATTTCCCATCCACCAGTGTCTGAAGGAGATTATCCACACTAGCTGAAGTCTACCCTCTTTGCAGGGTTTAGCCCTATCACCAGGTCTGGAGAGGCAGGAGGGGAAAAGAGCTGCTCAGTTACTCTTCCAGCACCGAGTGTGCTGGATAATTGCATCTTTTGCCCACTTGCCAATGGCATTTAGACTAGTTCTCATCCATGTCAAGTCAGTCCAAGCCCAGGAGGGGCAGCATGGTGCATAAACCATGTTGATATCTCGTTTCTGGCCCTGACATTTCACTCACAAAGTGGAAATAGCAATAATATTAAAGACATGAGGTTGTCTCAAAAATTAAACAAAACTATGTGAGTTGAAGCACCAGGTTAGGGGAGTAGACCACTGGTTCTGGTGGTTATTCATGTTAGTCTAATATCTCTGACATTTGAAGACCTATTTTGCGGTTATGTTTTTCAAATCAGCTTCTTTGACTTGGAGCAGGTAGGGTTTATTTTCTGGTTTACCTGCTGGGAGGTAGAGAGTGTAAAAGCAGACTTGCTCTTGTGTTATCTTCCAGCGTGAGGATCTAACCAGTGAGGATCATGTTTCAGCAACATCATGTTGGTATGAGAATATACATAATTTTTTAATGAGTGTGAGTTGTATGACTTTTTAAGACAGAATATTGCTACGTGATTGGATTTTCTTAGCAATCATTTTTATGCCACCTAACCACTTTTTTTTTTTTTTTTACCTCAACTTCAAGAATTGCCTGAACTGTGGACAAGAGAAACATAGATACTTACATGAGAAATAGGCTTGGATTTCTTCCAATGCCTTCCTATCTCTTTGATGTTGTTACTTGCAGGTATCAGACTTGCATTCTGCCAGGAACATTTCTTCTGTATGTTGTAATGACTCATGCCCCCAGGATAATGAACAAGACTTGGCAAATACTGGGCCCTGATACCTGAGCCAACAGAGAACATCCGCATCAGGGAAGTCAATAGTCAGAAGGCCTGACTAGGAATGCCATTTAGAATTTGCAGACAAAAAAGTCTTTAGCTACCAAAATCTCTTTTGATTCTGTCAAAGGGCAGATCTAGTCTGTTTCTTAGATGTATTTTCCTTTACTGATCATTTACGTTTTCCATTATGAATCTTTATTTCAATTGATAAGAGAAGTAAGAAAAATTTTGAGAGATAATTCAACATCAAGGAAATCTATGGAGAGGCATGTATAGACACTTTCTTTATTCTTATAAAAAGGGCGATACTGTGAAAATAAAGCTATAACTTCACTTTCATATAATAATCAGGTGAGGTAAGTTTATTTTGGGCAAGGGTAGAGGAAGAGAAGGGGCGATGCAAATAGAGGCATACACAGAGTAGATGTTGCTTATGTGTTGGTCAAATCAATAAAGAGTGGGAGGAAACAAGGAAGAGGTCTGTAGAGGGAGGGGAAGAGAGTGAAAGTCATGCAGAAGGGAGAGAATGAGAGAAGCATGGAGTCAATAAAGGAGATGGAGGAAGATGCACAGAGACGGTAGATGCATCTGGGGAAAGCTGCTGGGAGTCACAGCTTCTCCCCTTGTAGTTTCAGGGGGCTGTTGCCTGTTGAAATGTTAACCGATGAACTTTTTAAAAATACTCTTTCAAATGTTAATCTTTATATCAACTCCCCTGTAAATTGCATAACCATAGCAACCCAACACAGGGTAAATTGTTCCTGGTGGGTAGCAGCCCATGATGGCAGCTAGAGGGTCAAGGAAATCCATGGAAAAGTCAGATGCCCCTGGGGCAGAGATCCCGAGCCCAGGCTGAGAAAATTACCTTTATATCTTAGAGGCAACTGGAGTCTAAGTCATTGATCTGGCCAGAGAGTGGCCTTCCAGGCTGGGGGTCATGGGATTGGGTACAGAGCAGGACCACACCAAGAAGGGCCTCTCTGCTCCTGCACATTCCACATCTGGTCAGCCTCAAGGTTTAGCTGCACTCCAAAGCACAGGGCAATGTAACAGAGGACTAAGCAAGAGCATTCGTTATTTCCTCCCAGGCAGAAAACAAACAGCAACAAGAACAACAGAAGATTCAACACAGGAGCAGCCTACAAAATGCAGGCTGTAACCTTGATGGTATTGATTGAGTGCACCTGTCCATCTTCATGTTAAACTGTGAGCTTGATTGCTGGCAAGTTTATAGGATTATGGGTTTACTTGGATGCCTGTGTTTTACTAGATGTAAGTGAAATTTATGGCTGTGGGGTTTGTGGTGCCAAGGTTTACCTCAGTCATTTCCTCCCAGCCGAGAGAGGGCCGAGACTCCTGGAGACAATTGGAGCGAGCTCAGGGGCTTGCATGCAAGGGAGGCACCTCTGGGCCTGCTTGCGGGCTGGGGTTACATGAGGAGCAGACAGACCAGGTGACAGGAGCCAGAAGCTCCCGCTGCATCACGGACCTCCCTCGCTCTATGACCTCACTGAATGCTAAAAGGAATGAGTAACGGGCATCCTGGAGAAATTATTGATATTTAGTTAGATCCCCAAGTGCTGGGAATGCACAGAGACTGGCTCACTCGGATGGCTGCCTTGCTTTTTTCTGCACACTGCTGCCATGAAGAGTTTAGGAAGGGCTCTTATGAGAGGCCGAAGGTTTTGGGAAGATGGAGAGGTGTCATTGAAATGATTAAATCCTTTGAACCTAGGCGTTCAGGGTACTTATCATCTGGTATTTAATAATGCGTGATATAGATTTAAATTATTGTTTCATATTTTGAAGGGTGATTGCTCTTAATAACTCATCTGACCTCACAGCAGCTATTTATTCACTGAGCACATTGTTTGCTGATTACCTAACATGTGCCATTCCTGGGGATTTTAGGTGAGAGTAGGGAAAATTCTTCTAATTGTTTTTTTAATTTTACAGATAAGAAAACTGAAGCCCAGAAAATTTATTTCCTTCACCTGGTCACACACAGATCTCCTGGTATATTCAGAACTAGAACTCAGATACTTGATTCCCATTCAGAAAGAACCTGGTCAGCTGGTTCGGGGTTAAAGAGGACAGAGAACACCAGTGAAAAAACCTCCACTGAGTAAGGGAGCTACCTTGTACTTCTATTTGGCTGCTCAGAACATTCAGATGCTCATTTTCTGGTTTTATTGGTTTTGGACAGTTGTACTCATCAAATTAAGTGACCTTCAGAAAAGTGAGAGATTATAAATCACATGGTTAGTTTCTTCCAACCAAAGATAATAGAACACTGGCTGATGAGACTCAGTCCAAATTCTCTGTTATAGAAATGCATTGCTTGCTTATGCAGTTGGCTTGGGATGAGGCCAACTCTGGGTGGGGCCCAGATTAAAGTAGCAAAGATACTATTATAAAACAATTTGACATGGCAAAAACAGTAAACATTTAAACTATTACTTACATGCCAGGTACTGTGGGCAGCACTTTGCTTGCACTATTTCATTTAATTCTTAAAAGCACCCATTTTATAGATGAGAAAATTGAGGCTTAGAGAGATTATGTAATTTTCCCAGGACATACAACTTCCAAATGGGCTGAACTAGGACTCTAAACTGCTTTATTATGACAATAGTACCCATGACTTTAACCACTACACTCTCCTGTAGAATATTTAGAGGTATGTTGCGATAGACACCATTGTTTTATACACGATGTTGACACACACTTTTAATATAATTTAAACTTTTCAAACACTGGTCTATCAGGTAAGTGAATAAGTGCATAATAGAAGATGAGATAATGCTGAAAAATTAGGGTGGATAAAACATGGAAGTAATTGACAGTCAGTTCAAAACGTTGGGCTTGATGTGGTGGCAGTAGAGAGCCTTTGAAGGCTCTTGAGCAGAGGAGTGCTATGATGACAGCTGCACTGTTTGGGCTATTGACATCCAGGTAAAGGGCTAGTGAGAGAATTCAGTAGGAGTGGGAGTTCCAAAGCAAAATTTGAGAACTTCGTGATTTATTGTACTGAGGAGTGCGTGGTCTCAAACACAGCAATCAGCTAGTTATGGTAAAAACTTTGGGGGTCCAGGTTTCGATGTTGGGTCTTAAATGTGTGTGCAGTTTATGGAGATATCCGGGAGCACTTTGGCAATTCCAGAATGGAGGTCCAGGGAAAGTAGGCAGAGGCTGAAAATATGCATTTGCATGTAAATTTGCCTAGAGGTGCCAATTTGCAGGAGCTTAGAAAAAGCAAGGGATCTAATGGAACCAGATGATAAAAGACCTCAGGAGTCTTATTTTGAGAAAGAGGAATTACAAAGAAAGAGAAGAAAGAAAGAGAACAAGAGATCCATGTGGGATAAAATTTCATGAGAAAGAGAATAATTAAAGATTTTAAATTCTTTAGAAAAGTCAGGGAATAAGGGCTAAGAAACAATTGTTGGTTTAGTGATGTAGAGATCACCGGCATCCTTGGGAGAACCATTTTGAGAGACTGATAAGAGGAAGCTATCTTGCAAAGAGCTAATGGATGGTTACGATATGAATGCAGTTTTCTTCACTGAGGGGGCACACAACTTTGTTGAGGGGATAGATAGCAGTTTAAAAATAGCAAGAGATAGATTAGCAAGACAGCAGAAGGGAATTTTATAGGTAAAGAGAGATAGAAATATGTTCGTAAATAAAGCAAAAACAGCTAGAGCAGAGAGAATGGCTCAAGCTATGAGACAAAGGGTGGGGGAATTTTTGATACAGCAAGATCTTTGTGAAAGCAGAAAGTGGTAGGGAAACAACCTAGGTGGTGAGTTTTGTTTTAAGAGGAATCATGGACTGCTTCTGTTTAGGAGCTTTGAATGAGAGAGAGCAAAGAAAGGCATTCTAGGCTCATGGCAGGTCAAGCACATAATTTTCAGGATCGCCTGGGAGTGAGATGCGTGGGATGAGATGGGTAAGAAAATGGGTGGGTTGGATGGATGAGGAGATAGGAACGTTGGTAACTACCAGGGAGAATGAAATGTGGAACTGATGTGAGATAAGGAGGTGATGAGATTAAGATGAGATGGAAAGGCCAGCTGAGTTCAATTCAAATGACTTAATCTTTTAGCAAAATGGCTAACAAAAATTAAACATATTTTCATGCAATTCTCTAGTTGCATTTTACAGCCTTGGAGGGCGAACAGAAAAAGCAAAGGGTAGTTTACTAAAGTTGAGAACTATCAAAGAGAAAATGTCACAGAAAGTGAGGCATTGGAAAGTGGTGGTGAAATGACTCCATATAACATTAAGGTGAGTAGGAAGAGGAATGAGCCAGGAATGGAGTTACAAGAGAATAAGGAAAGGCATGGTTACTGGAACTTGTGGCTAGGAAAGAAACCCAGTTCAGTAGAAGTGCCAGTGAAGGAGAAGTAGAGAATAAGAAGAGAGAAATCATTTTTAAAAATGGTTGCAAGTTCAAGAACCTGAGTGGTGGTGATGTGCAGCTGTGATGGTAGATATATTAGCTAGTCTCTGAAGGTGCTAGAGAGTGATGAGATCATAAGAATAAATGTTGGCATATAGTTCCAGGGAAAGATGGCAGAAGCATAATGGAATTCACATGCCGATGTCAAGGGAGAAGCTGTGAATGTCCTGGAGCTAGGTTGACGGTGAGGACATTATGGTATGGGATTCAAGTAGTAGCAGATGTCTGGGGATGGTGAGGGACACTGTTCTGGATGCTGCGGTGTACACAGAATGATCCCTTCTGGTTCTGGGTGGCAGAGTGGAGAAATAGAGCTTATTAGGAGGATCTCTGAGGAAGACAATATGTGTAATGGTTACAAGCATGGGTTCTTGATCAGACTACCTGGTTTCTATCCTGTTTCTGTCACTTCCCAACTGGGTGGACATGGATAAGCTATTCAGTCACCCTATGCCTCAGTCTCTTCGTCTCTAAAGCAGCAATAATGGTGAACTCACCTCATGGGATTGCTGTGATGATTGATTAAAATAATTATTAAAAGAGAGTAGCATAAAACCCACCATATGTTATGTACTCAGTGAAAAATAGCTTGCTGCTGCTTCTGCTGCTTCTTCTATTTCTTCTTCTTCTATTTCTCCTTCTCTTTCTCCTTCCCCCTCCCCCTCCTCTTCCCCCTCCTCCTCCTTCTCTTCTTCCCCCTCCTCCCCCTCCTCCCCCTCCTCCTCCTTCTTCTCCTTTTTCTCCTTTTTCTTCCTCTTCCTCCTCCTCCCCTTCTTCTTCTTCTTTTTCTTTTTCTTCTTCTTCTTCTTCTTCTTCTTCTTCTTCTTCTTCTTCTTCTTCTTCTTCTTCTTCTTCTTCTTCTTCTTCTTCTTCTTCCTCTCCTCCTTCTTCCTCTTCTTCTTCATGTTATTGGAAAGGATATATAGGAAGGAAGTGGTGTTATCAAGGAGAAAAGTAGTTTTCAACTTATGTGGCCACATGGGGAGGAGTACTTAAAGAAAGTATCAAAGATGTAAGGGATTTTGTCTATAACAGAATTGGGATTCCAAGGTTCACTCTAGTTCTGCTCCTCAGGGGAGCAGGGCTCTTCAAGAGGTAAGGGGTACAATTATTTGGGGAAGTGACCAGGGGCTGGTAAAGGAGGAAAGAATTTCTGCTGGGCTATTAAGAGTTAATCATGCAGTAAAGGAAATACGGGGTGGAGAGGACAGAGAAAGAAACATTTTTAATTAGATCATTTTCCCCTATTTTTGCCTTGGATTTGACTTGTAATCAGTTAAAAACAAGCTTTGCTATCTTTCACGAGAATAGTAATCTGTAGCATTGCTTCAGAAAATTTTAAGTTTTGAATGCAGGGAGTTTTTGCTGTAGGTTTACCAATAAACATCAAATTTAATGAAAGTCTTCTGTTTTACTAATCATAGTAGTTTCTAAAATTTTTTAAAGTATTTTATTAATTTGAAAAAAAGGATGTATTAGTATTAGTATTTACATTCCTAATAAACCCTCTGCCTTGTAAAATAACAGATACCAAAGAAGAGAGAAAGTTTTTCTTGCTTTCACTGGGAAAGGCATAGACACCAAAGAAAATGGCTCTGAGGGAAGTAGGAGAAAGAGATGTCTGAGAAATCAAAGAGATACATGAGTCATAAATGTAGGTTTCTGTGACAAAAAGAACTTGGGGGTGGGGGAAGAAAGATTTTTAAAAGCACTTTAACAAAAACTTCGTTATGAAAATTTTAAAGTTTACAGAATGGTTGGAAAAATATTTCAACGCATAACAATATATTTGCATCTAGATTTGACAATTATCAATCTTTTGTTGAATTAGTTCAATATACCTATCTGGCTATCTTTACCCACTTTTATTTGGAACCATTTAAAAGTAAGTTAAAGATATCATGGGGACAGTTTGAGTTACTTTTTCTGTTTAACAAACCCCTCCAAACTTAATGGTACAAAATAACTACTGTTTCATTACACTCATTCTATGCATCAAGAATGCACAGAGGAATGGCTTGTCCCTGGTCCACAATATCTAGAATTTCAGCCAGGAGTATTCACATGTCTGGGGACTGAAATTATCTGGAAGATTCTGGGCAAATAAGCTCAGGAATGACTCAAACTTTGGGTTTAGTTGGGCCTGTGGACTGGAATAGCCAAATGTTTCCCCTCCCTGTGCTTTCATCCTGGGCACAGTCGTGGAAGGGAAGCATCTCACATCATGTGTTTGGGTTCAGAATGGGAGCCTCTTAAGAAAGGGAATTTCAGAGAAGGATGTTCTAGGAGAACCAGATGGAACCTGCATGGACTTTTCTGGTATCACCTCGGAAGCTATGAATCATCAGTTCCACTGAATCCTGACAGTCAAAGTAGGCATAAGCACACTCATATTCAAGTGGAAGGGACAAAGATCCCCCTCTTCAATGTGACTGTGAAAGGATTTGTAGCTATATTTAAAAATCACCATAAAACAGTCTTCTACATAACTCAATTCCATTATCATCTAACAAAAATACTTTCTGAATTTCATCTAATATCAATTATCTCCCAATTATCTCAAAAATGTCTTTAATATTTAAATTTTATTTTCTAAACAGGGTTCCAATAAAGGACAATGCATTAAAATTCTTATTCTGTCTCTTAGGTAAAGGGCAGTTTCTTAAAAGTCTTCTGGCATAATATGCAATATGATATCATTCCCCATTTGCCAAACTGTGGACTCAGCAAAAGTCTAAACAACTCTTTAGTGCTTGCAGGGACAAATTTGAAGTGTGCCTTTGTTTTGGATGCCCTAAGTATGCTGAGAATAGCCTCAAATCAAACTGATTACATTACGATCATTCATTCATTCAATAATAACTAATTGAGGTCATATTATATTCCAGGCACTGTGCTAGATGCTAGGCATGAACAAGACAAAAATAAAATGGAGAAAAAAAATAAACAAAATCCTTGCACTCAATCAACCTACACTCAGGCAGGGTAGACAGAAACTCAACAGGCAATTGTAATATAGTGGGATACCTGATATCATGGAAGGAATTAGTAGGAGTCATGGGAGCAGAGAGATACCAGGTCCTCAGTGCTGAGGAGTCATTTCAGATTATAATGGAGAAATAGATATGTCTGTTGGTAACTCACAAGGCAAGTGCTATAACAGGTATAAGAATAGAGCGTGCTGTAATCCCAGCACTTTGGAAGGCCAGGGCAGGCAGATCATGAGGTCAAGAGATCGAGACCATCTGGCCAACGTGGTGAAACCCTGTCTCTACTAAAAACACAAAAATTAGCTGGGTGTGGTGGCACATGCCTGTAGTCCCAGCTACTCGGGAGGCTGAGGCAGGAGAATTGCTTGAACCTGGGAGGCGGAGGTTGCCGTGAGCAGAGATCACACCACTGCACTCCAGCCTGGCAACAGACCGAGACTCTGTCTCAGGAAAAAAAAAAAACAACTAGAGCCTGGTGAAGCAAGCACATTTAGTGACTCACTTCCCACAAAATAAAATTCAAATGACTTGTGACCTAGCACATTTTGTTTTATCTCTCCTTTTTTCACTCTTCTTTTCTAATTATCTTCCTATGTCAAAAAGTGTGTCCCTGTGTATTGAGTCTTGGTTCTTTTGGGTTGTTGTCTGGCCTAGGCCATTGCCCCATTTGGCTTATTTGTACACTTTATTTCAGAAGTTTAGACTTATCACTATTATGTATTTAGACTTATTTCTGGGCCCATACACAAAGCCTACAAATTTTCCTCCCCACCTCTTTGTTTGCCTCCCCTCGGGTTTTTCCTGTGGAAGTTGGAAAGCTGATGGGCTCCCCCCTGACTCTGCCATTTTGGACAACATCACTGCTGCTCACTAGGGAAGCAATAAAGCCTGGCTCATTTGCATGAATCTCTGCAGTGGCTCTTCTGACCCCAGGGCTGTTAGAAGTACTCATTAGATCCTCTTTAATTAAATATGTAACACACATCATGCCATCGAGCATAGAAAAAAAAAAGATAGAAAAATAGAAATCTAACAACGGTTCCTGCTTCTAATTAAAAGCAGGCTGTTTTTGCCTCAGAGCAAGCTAAGGACAGTGCTTTCATCCCGGGCACAGCCATGGAATCCCTGGTGCCAAAGCCCAGGGGGCAGGGATGTGAAACTTTGGATGCGCCAAGGGGGCTGAGTTTGTTGGGTGACACAGGCTCTCCCTTCTCAGTGGGTGGGATCTAATTTCAGCTCCTGATATGTGATTCAAAGTGAGGACAAGCTTTCATTTCCTTTCATTCCACTTTCAAATGCCCTTCGATTGAATACCATATAGTGGTATTGTAGGTAAACAGAATGTGAACACAGTGGGATGGTCTTACCAACCAAAACCTCATAAAAGCTCAAAGAAAATGAGCCACATGCATCAGTGGCTTATATGTGATGCCGGTAGGAAGTGAAGGGGCAGATTGGCATGGGGGCAAAGAGGCAGTCTCCTAGAGAGTCTTTGTTATATGTAGAACTGAAGGTTGAAAATAACATCCATTAGTAGGCGACTTCTTCATTCCACTTCTCATAATCTTGGTTCTTAGACACCCCTTAATTTTTCCTCCTCCTCTCTCCTAATCTCTCTCATTTACACTCCACCCTTGTCAGTTCTCTTTCTTCTAGTGAACCTCAGAGGCTCTCCACCCCTACACTTGAGCTGCCTTTCTTATCAGATCTGAATCTTGAAACAGCTTCCCCATGCTCAACTAAGTCAGACTGTATCTTACTTACCTTTTCGATAGTGATGTCTCCTGAATTTTTGTAATGGAAGGATAACTTTGTTGTTGGAAGGGAGGCTTGGCAGGAAAGGTGGATAAAATGAAACTTATCCTGAATCTATATGTGCATTGCAAGCCGCTTTTGATTGTTTGATTTTTGTTTGTTTGAGGTATCCTTGAAGGAATGATGGATATTCCCACCTTAGGTGCTCTCTCAGATAAACTAGGAATTCTGGATCCTTTATAAGACTTACTTGAAGTAAAAAGGAATTTTCCTTTTTAGTTCTGCTGTTCTCCTTGATTTTTCATTTCAGATGTCATCCAATGTAGTGTCCTAATGGCTGTCAGGGAAATCAAGGAAGGAGGAAATTCAGGGTATTTATTGGTCAGATTTTCTCTCAGCTCATTGGGGACAAGACCTGTTACATCTGTCAAGATCCCTCAACTGCAAGCACATTCATTTGCAAATAGTTATTATGCCCTATTATATGTCAGGCCCTATTTCAAATGCTGAGAACACATCAGCAAACAGAAGAGACAATGTCCCTCCTCTCATGGAGTTTACATTCCAGTGTGGAGAGTCAGATAAAACACACACCCAACTATATGAAATGTCAGGTATTAAAAATGCTGATGAAGTGGGGAAAGGCAGGTAAAAGGATGAGAAGTGATAGAGTTTCTAGTTTAGACAAAATGGTGGAGAAGCCCTCTCTGTTGTGTGCATATTTGAGCAAGGACCTGTGTGAAATGACAGAGTGAACTATGGGGATGTCTGGGGGGAGAAGAGTGCCAGAAAGAATGGACAGAACATTCAAAGGCACTGAGGCTTGAACTTGGAGTATTTGAGGTTATCAAGGAAGCTACAGTAGCTGGAATAGAGGGAATCAATAGGAGAGGCTGTCAGATTCTTCCAGTTAATTCTAAAGCATCAAAGTCACTTTTTAAACTTGCTACTGCTTGGAATCACTCCTATGTCTTCCTTCTAATGTGGGAAGATTTTCATTGGATAAAGGAGATGATTGTCTACTGTTTGTCATATTCCTAGTTTGGTGGCAGTTTAAAAAATCAGTGTATGAAACTGTCATCTTGGACTACAGGAAGTCCTTCAGGGGTGCACTGTTTTATAAGCCAAGCAGGGAAATGAGAGACATAAAACATAGACAACAACACTCTCCATATTTTGAACCTTGCAAGACAGGAGACAGACACAGTCAAGGAAGAGGACAAATCAGGAATAACAGAGATTTTAAACTTTCTGTGTAATGTAGGTAGAAGGGGTTATATTTGGATAGAAAAGGCTGGAGTTGATTTTAGGCACAGGGAGAACAGCCAAAGTGGAACTAGAGGCTTTGTGGTTCAAAAGAAAACAGAAAATAGCTAAGTAAACAAATTGGAGTAGAGATCTGAAGAATGGGATCAAGGGCATAGCTTATGTGTTAGAACTGGGAGAAGTACTAATTCTCCTGGTCTTGAGAGGAGAAAGGACTCATAGGAGAAATATGCAAGTGATATGAAATATGGAAGTAATGTGGAAGAAAATAAGAAATATGGAAACTCCAGTCCAGAACTCTCCCTCACACTTAGGACTTTTATATCTAGATTCATATATCTAACTACCTCCTCAGCCTATCCACTTGACTGAGTAACAGATCCCTCAAAATTATTACATCCAGAACTGAACTACAAATCTCAATCCACTTTCAGATCCACTTCACCTTCAGCTTCTCAGTCTCAGATGGGAATAACTCCATCCTTCCAGTTGCTCAAGCCATCCTTAACTCTTCTTTTTTCAACACCTTATCAGCAATTCTGTTGGCTCTGCTGTAAAAACATATCCAGAATCCAGCTACCTCTTACTCCTTTATAGTTACCACCTGGTCCAAGCCATCATCTCTCAACTGACTTACTGTGATTACCTCCTAACCAGTTTCCCTACTTTTTTGTTTTGTTTTGTGTCACTCTGCCACCAGGTTGGAGTGCAGTGGCACCATCTTAGCTCACTGCAACCTCCACCTCCTGGGTTCAAGCGATTCTCCTGCCTCAGCCTCCCAGTAGCTGCAACTACAGGCATGTGCCACCACGCCCAGCTAATTTTTGTTTTTTTTTTTTTAGTAGAGACGGGGTTTCACCATGTTGGTCAGGATGGTCTCAATCTCTTGACCTCATGATCCGCCCGCCTCAACCTCCCAAAGTGCTGGGATTACAGGCATGAGCCACCAGGCTGGCCCAGTCTCCCTGCTTTTACACTTACCTTCTCATCTCCAAAGTCTACTCTAACTCAGCAACCAGAATGGTCCTTTAAAAATTAGTGTCAGATGATGTCACCCCTTTCTCAAAATTCTGGAATGGCTTCTTATTTCTGTCAGGGTAAAAGCCCAGGTCCTTACAATTGCTGAAAGACTCAACTTGATCTGCCTTCTCTGCATTCCTCTTGTCTTTCTGAATTCATCTACCACCACTCTCCACTTTGCTTATTCTCCTATAGTCACACTGGCTTCCTTGTTGATTATTAAAGACATCAGGCATCCTTTTATCACAGGGCCTTTGCTCTATTCCTTTCCAATGACTGCATGGTTTTGCCTTAGATAGCTACCTAGTTAATTCCATCATCTCCCTGCTAAAATTTCTCCTTCTCAATAGACCCATAAAACTCCCATTTTAATACCTATTCTTTCCTGCCCCCAGGAACCCCCCATGCCCTTTATTCTTTACCATAGTACTTACCATCATTTAACATATACGTTAGTAATTTATTATGTTTAGTTTTTATCCCCTTATCAGAATGTAGGCTCCTTATGAGCATGTGACTTTGTTAATTTTTCAAAAAATTTTAATTTACAAACATATCCTAAACACTTAGAAGAGTTTAGGTATCTTATTAAATGAATTGAATTAATGGATAATAGAGAATCCTAAGCAACTTGTATTGGGTAGACTTAATTTTTCTTGTAAAATATGAGGCAAGGTCATGTGCTGAAAGTAATATTCAAGTGATATGAAATATGAAAGAAATATGGAAGAAATAATAAATATGGAAGCTCCAGTCCAGGAATTGAGGAATCTTTATTTTAAAATATTTTGAAACCAGCTCTAAGTAAAGAGGTAGGAAGTCATCCAGGAGGAAATAAAAAGATAAACAGACTAAAGGTCAGCTTTTCCTTAAAAAAGATGCAAATGTATCATGATTCCAATATGCATGATTATAATTTTATCTTCAGAAATATATTCCATCTAATCTGTAGTGAGCTGATTAGTGGCCCCCAAAAGACATGTCCACATCCACATCCCCAAAACTGATGAACACTACTTTATACAGCAAAAGATATGATTAAGTTAATAATCTTTTTTTTTTTTTTTAATTATACTTTAAGTTTTAGGGTACATGTGCACATTGTGCAGGTTAGTTACATATGTATACATGTGCCATGCTGGTGCGCTGCACCCACTAACTCGTCATCTAGCATTGGGTATATCTCCCAATGCTATCCCGCCCCCCTCCCCCCTCCCCACCACAGTTCCCAGAGTGTGATATTCCCCTTCCTGTGTCCATGTGATCTCATTGTTCAATTCCCACCTATGAGTGAGAATATGCGGTGTTTGGTTTTTTGTTCTTGCGATAGTTTACTGAGAATGATGGTTTCCAATTTCATCCATGTCCCTACAAAGGACATGAACTCATCATTTCTTATGGCTGCATAGTATTCCATGGTGTATATGTGCCACATTTTCTTAATCCAGTCTATCATTGTTGGACATTTGGGTTGGTTCCAAGTCTTTGCTATTGTGAATAATGCCGCAATAAACATACGTGTGCATGTGTCTTTATAGCAGCATGATTTATAGTCCTTTGGGTATATACCCAGTAATGGGATGGCTGGGTCAAATGGTATTTCTAGTTCTAGATCCCTGAGGAATCGCCACACTGACTTCCACAATGGTTGAACTAGTTTACAGTCCCACCAACAGTGTAAAAATGTTCCTATTTCTCCACATCCTCTCCAGCACCTGTTGTTTCCTGACTTTTTAATGATTGCCATTCTAACTGGTGTGAGATGATATCTCATAGTGGTTTTGATTTGCATTTCTCTGATGGCCAGTGATGATGAGCATTTTTTCATGTGTTTTTTGGCTGCATAAATGTCTTCTTTTGAGAAGTGTCTGTTCATGTCCTTTGCCCACTTTTTGATGGGGTTGTTTGTTTTTTTCTTGTAAATTTGTTTGAGTTCATTGTAGATTCTGGATATTAGCCCTTTGTCAGATGAGTAGGTTGCGAAAATTTTCTCCCATTTTGTAGGTTGCCTGTTCACTCTGATGGTAGTTTCTTTTGCTGTGCAGAAGCTCTTTAGTTTAATTAGATCCCATTTGTCAATTTTGTCTTTTGTTGCCATTGCTTTTGGTGTTTTGGACATGAAGTCCTTCCCCACGCCTATGTCCTGGATGGTACTGCCTAGGTTTTCTTCTAGGGTTTTTATGGTTTTAGGTCTAACGTTTAAATCTTTAATCCATCTTGAATTGATTTTTGTATAAGGTGTAAGGAAGGGATCCAGTTTCAGCTTTCTACATATGGCTAGCCAGTTTTCCCAGCACCATTTATTAAATAGGGAATCCTTTCCCCATTGCTTGTTTTTCTCAGGTTTGTCAAAGATCAGATAGTTGTAGGTAAGCGGCGTTATTTCTGAGGGCTCTGTTCTGTTCCATTGATCTATATCTCTGTTTTGGTAGCAGTACCATGCTGTTTTGGTTACTGTAGCCTTGTAGTATAGTTTGAAGTCAGGTAGTGTGATGCCTCCAGCTTTGTTCTTTTGGCTTAGGATTGACTTGGCGATGCGGGCTCTTTTTTGGTTCCATATGAACTTTAAAGTAGTTTTTTCCAATTCTGTGAAGAAAGTCATTGGTAGCTTGATGGGGATGGCATTGAATCTGTAAATTACCTTGGGCAGTATGGCCATTTTCACGATATTGATTCTTCCTACCCATGAGCATGGAATGTTCTTCCATTTGTTTGTATCCTCTTTTATTTCCTTGAGCAGTGGTTTGTAGTTCTCCTTGAAGAGGTCCTTCACATCCCTTGTAAGTTGGATTCCTAGGTATTTTATTCTCTTTGAAGCAATTGTGAATGGGAGTTCACTCATGATTTGGCTCTCTGTTTGTCTGTTGTTGGTGTATAAGAACGCTTGTGATTTTTGTACATTGATTTTGTATCCTGAGACTTTGCTGAAGTTGCTTATCAGCTTAAGGAGATTTTGGGCTTCTCCTGGTTAGCAAGGGTCAAGCATAAGCCCTACTGCCATCACCCGCTGTAACTATCTCTCACTTGCAAGCACCGCCTACTGGCCTGAAGGTCAACCTGCGGAGGCCATTACAACATCTGCTGACACAAGCGAACAGCTCTTAGAAAGCAAACAAGCTTCTCATGACCTCTGCTACCACCATTCTCCACACCACTCCAGCTACCCAGGAGGTCATAAGCTTGCTCACCCACCTGCACTGCCAGTATAACCAGCATTTGAGAAAGCCACCATACTCAACACTAAGGCTACTGGTAACTAAGGAAATCATGTAGAGTTTTCACCACTGAACACACCCAGAAGTGAAGCCTAAATGGCCCTACTCAATGTATATTATAGTCACACCCTCAAGAAGAAAAAAAGTCAATTCAAAAATAAGAAGTGACTGTTTCTCCATATGTGAAGACATAATATTATTGAAAATACGAAAAAGCAATGAGGGCCGGGCCCAGTGGCTCACACCTGTAATCCCAACACTCTGGGAGGCTGAGGCAGGTGGATCATGAGGTCAGGAGATGGAGTCCATCCTGGCCAACAGGGTGAAACCCCGTCTCTACTAAAAATACAAAAATTAGCTGGGCCTGGTGGCACGTGCCTATAATCCCAGCTACTCAGGAGGCTGAGTCAGCAGAATTGCTTGAACCAGGGAGTTAGAGGTTGCAGTGAGCCCAACCTGATGACAGAGCAAGACTCCGTTAAAAAAAAAAAAAAAAAGAAGAAGAAAAAAGAAAAGGAAAGAAAAAAGAAAAAGCAATGTGTGTGTAACCTGCAAAGGAACACAGTAATTCTCTAGTAATGGATCCTAACCAGAAAGAAAGTTTTGACATGCTGGATAAAGAATTCAAAATATTGACATTAAAGAAACTCAGTGATATTCAGGAGAAATCTGAAAACCAATATAGAGAAATGAGAAAATCAATAATCAATTCAGAATATAAATAAAAAATTTACAAAGAGATAGATATCTTAAAAAATAAAACAGAATTTCTGAAAATGAGAAATTCATTGAAGGAATTACAAAATACAGTTGAAAGCTTCAATCATAGACTAGACCAAGCAGAAGAAGAGACTTTGGAGTTTGAAGACATTTTTTTTTTTATAATCCACTCAGACAAAAATAAAGAGAACACAAAAGAGTGAACAAACTCTTTGAGAAATATAGGACTACATAAAGTGACCAAACATACATGTCATTGGGTATTCCAGAGTGAGAAGAAAAAGTAAAAATTTAGAAAACCTATTTAAAGAAATAATTGATGAAAACTTCAATAGTCTATCAAAAGATTTCTATATCCAGATACAGGAGACCCAATAAGCACCAGGAAAATACATTGCAAAACAGACTTCACCATGACAAATAGTCATCACATTGTCTAAAGTCAACATAAAGAAAAAAATCTTAAAATTGCCAAAGAAAAGCACCTAGCTACTTCTAAAGAAAACCTCATTAGCCTAACAACAGACTTTTCAGCAGAAACCTTACAAGGCAGAAGAGATTGGAATCCTATTTTCAAAGTGCTTAAAGGAAAAAAAAAAAACAAAAAACTGCCAATCATGAATTCTATCTCTTCCCAGAATAAGCTTCATAAATGAAGAAGGATTTTAAAGTCTTTTCTAAAGAAGCAAAGCTGAGATAATTCATCACCACTAGGCTAGCCCTACAAGAAATGCTCAAAGGAGTACTAAACATTGAAATAAAAGGTCAAAATTTGCCATTATAAAAATGCACAAAAGTGTAAAGCTCACAGGTCTTATAAAATAATTACAGAATGAAGAAAGAGAGAAATCAAGTGGTAACATGACAGAACTCCACCAAACTACAAAGAAAAACACATAGAAGAAAAGATAAACAATGAATCTACAAAACAGATAACGATTAACATTATTACAGGAATAAAACCTCACATATTAATATTAACCTTGAATGTAATGGATTGAATACAATACTAAAAATATATAGATTGGTGGAATGGATTTTTTAAAAAATGAACCAACTATGAGCTCCTAACAAGAAACTCAGCTTTCTGGTAAAGACACTTATAGACTGAATGTGAAGAGGTGGGAAAGATATTCCATGCAAATGAAAACCAAAAGTAAGCAGGAGTAGCTACACTAACATTGATAAAACAGACTTTAAACTAACAGGAGTTAAAAAAAAAAAAAAGATGAAGAAGTTAATTACATAATGGTAAAGGAATTAATTTAACAAGAGGATATAACAATCCTAAATATTTATGCACCCAACACTGATGCACCCAGATTAATTTAAAAAAAAGTACTAGACGTAAATAAGGCGATAGAGAGCAATACAATTATAGTGGAGATTTCAGCACTCCATTCACAACAGTAACAGAATATCAAGACAGAAAATCAACAAAGAAACACTAGACTTAAATTATACTTCAGACTAAATAGACCTATTTACAGCAAACATTCTATGGAAAAGTCACATAATATACATTCTTCTCAACAGTACACAGAACCTTCTCCAAGACAGACCATAATTTTTAAAAATTGATATTATATCAAGTATCTTCTCAGACTATAGTGAAATAAAACTAGAAGTCTATACCAAGAAAAACTTACAGAATTATAAAAATATATGTATTAAACAATATGCTCCTGAAAGATCTTTGGGTCAATGACAAAATTAAGATGGAAAATTAAAAATTTTGAAATGAATGAGAATGGAAACACAATATATCAAAACCTCTGGGATACAGCAAAAGTAGTGCTAAGAGGGAAATTTATAGTGTTAAGTGCCTACATAAAAAATATAGAAAAATAGCCAATTAACAACCTATGCCACATGTCAAAGAAGCAGAAAAACAATAACAACCCAAACCCAAAGGTAGCAGAAGAAAAGTGATAACAAAGGTCAGAGTAGAACTAAATAAAATTGAGACCAAAAAAAAAAAAAAAAAAAAAAACCTGAAGGAGCAACAAAACAGAAAGTTTCCTTGAAAAGATAAACAAAATTAATAAACTGCTAGCTAGAATAACCCAAAAGAGAGAAGATCCAAATAAACATAATAAGAAATGAAAAAGGAAATATTACAACCACAAAAGACTACTATGAACAACTATATGCTCACAATTGAGAAAACGTAAAGGAACTGGATAAATTCCTGAAAACGTACAACCTCCCAGCATTGATACAGAATGAATTAGAAATTCTGAATATACCAATAATGGGTAGCAACATCGAGTCAGTAATTAAAAATATCTCTCAACAACAACAAAAACAACCATGACCAGATAGATTCACAGCCAAATTCTACCAAATGAGCAAAAAAGAACTAATACCAATCCTCCTGAAATTTTTTCAAAAAGTCAAGGAGGAGGGAGTTCTCCCTAACTCATTTTATAAAGTTATTATCACCCCAATTTCCCACTTGCGCCACTGCTATTCAACATAATACTGAAAGTTCTAATCACAGCAATCAGGCTAGAGAAAGAGATAAAAGTCATCCAAACTGTAAAAGAATAAGTCACATCACCTCTGTTCACTGAAAATAAAATCTTATACCAAAGCCATGTAAGAACACAAGAAAAACTAGAAAATAATTACCCTAATAAACACAGTTGCAAAAATCCTCAACAAAATACTAGCAAACAGTATCTAGTTGTACATCAAAAAGATAATACAATTAAGTAGGTTTTACTTCAGGAATGCAAAGATGGTTCAACATACACAAATCAGTTAATGTGATTCATCCCATAGACAGAATGAAGGTCAAAATCTGTCTGATCATCTTGACAGATGCAGAATAATCATTTGATAAAATTTAGTACCCCTTCATGATAAAAACCCTCAATAAACTAGGAATAGAAGAAACATACCTCAAAATAATAAAGGCCAAACAACATATCTGCAGTCAATATCATATTGAATGTGGAAAACTTGAAATTAATCCCCCTAAGAACTAGAAGATGACAAAGATGCCCACTTTCCCCACCCTTATTCAACATAGTACTGGAAGTTCTAGCCAGAGCAATCAGATTAAAAAAAGAAAGAAAGAAAAGACATCCAAATTAGAAAGGAGAAAGTAAAATTATTTGTTTGCTGAAAATATAATCTTATACCTAGAAAACCCTAAAGACTCTTCTAACTTTTGGATTTGATAAATGAATTCAGTAAATTATCAGGATACAAAATTAATACACAAAAATTTGTAACATGTCTATATGCCAATAAGAATCAAGTAGTGAACCAAATCAAAATGGCCATTACACTTACAATAACTACAAAAAAATACCTAGGAATATATTTAACCAAGTAATTGAATATTCTATACAAGAAAAACTACAGAACACTGATTTAAAAAAAATGTGAATGACACAAACAAATGGGAAAACATCCCAAGCTCATGGATTGGAAGAATTAACATTGTTAAAATGACCATACTTCCAAAAGCAATCTACAGATTCAATACAACCCCTATCAAAATATCAACGTTATTTTTCACAGAATTAGAAAATACAATTCTAAAAATCATGTGAAACCAAAAAGGAGCCCAAATTGCCAAAGCAATCCTAAGCAAAAAGAACAAAGCTGGGGGCATCACCTTACCTGACCTCAAATTACTCTACAAGGCTCTAGTAACCACAACAGCATAGTACTGGTAAAAAAAAAAAATAGACACGCAGGTCTATGGAACAGAATAGAGAACCCAGAAATAAAGCCACATATTTATAGACAATTGATACTTAACAAAGTCAACAAAAACATACACTGGGGAAAGGACAACCTGAAGCTATAAAGAATACTAAAGAAAACCTAGGGAAAACTCTTCTGGACATTGGTCTAGGCAAATAATTCATGACTAAGACTCAAAAGCACAAGCAACAAAAACAGAAATAGACAAGTGGGACTTTATACTACAAAGCTGCAATGGCAAAAGAAATAAGAGTTCACAGACAATTGACAGAATGGGATAAAATATTTGCACATTATGCATCCAACAGGTGACTGATATCTAGAATACACAAGGAACTCAAATAACTCAACAACAACCTCAAAGATCACCCAATTAAAAAGTGGGCAAAGGATGTGAATAGATGTTTTCCAATAGAAGACAGAGAAATGGACAATGCCTATATAAAAAATGCCCAACCTGACTAATTGCCAGAGAAATGCAAATTTAAATCACAGTGAGATATCCTTTTTCACAAATCAGAATGACTATTATTAAAAAGTAAATAATATAACAAATGTTGGTGAAGATGCAGAGAAAAGAGAATGCTTTTATACTGTTGATGAGAATGTAAATTAGTACAACTCTGTGGAAAATAGTATGTAGTGTTTTCAAATTAAAAGTAGAACTACCATTCAATTCAATAACCTCACTACTGGAAATCTTACCCAAAGAAAAAGAAATCATTTTATTAAAAAGATATCTGTACTTGTATGTTCATTATAACACTATTCACAATAGCAAAGATATGGAATCAACCTAAGGTTCCGTCAGTGGATGATTGGATTAAAAATGTGGTGTCTGTACACAATGGAATACTATTCAGCAGTAAAAAGAATGAAATCATGTCTTTTGCAGCAACATGGGTGGAACTGGAGGCTATCATCTTAAGTAAAACAACTCAGAAACAGAAAGTTGACTACCACATGTTCTCAATTATAAGTGAGAGCTTAATAATGTGTACATATGGACAAAGAGTAGGGAATAGTGGACATTGGAGGCTTGGAAGAATGAGAGCATAGAAGGGGTGTGAGGGATGAGAAATTACTTAATGGGTAAAATGTACATTGTGTGATGGCAACACTAAAAATTCAGACTTCACCACTACCTGTATATCCATGTCAACAAACTGCATTTGTACCCCTTACGTTTACAAATCTTAAAAAGCATGATTATACTTGCTTTTTATAACCTCATATGTCAACTTGTCCTAATAGGTACCAATGAAGAGAGAAACATGTTCTAATAACATATTCTTAAGCTTTGCTTACAAAGGTGTTTTTCTGTCAAACACTTCCATTCACTGAAAGAAAATAGCTTATGATACATCTTGAAGAAAGCATGCTGACATTTGCCTTTTATAGATGGATATGTCAGCTAGTACTACTAGATAACAGTGGAAAAATCATGTTCTAATAACATATTCTCAGGATTTGCTTACAAAAATTATTGAGGACCAAGAGTTTCCAGCTATTATAACATACAGTGGCTGATCATCCTGTGGATAGTTGAAGCATAATAGAGGTGAAGATCATTTAAAGGGATGAGGCTGAATAGTTGAGAGATTGGGGTACATGAGAAATAAATAAGGTTTTCAAAAATGAAGGCTACTTTTGGATAGCATACTCATGCCATAATTGATTGGATAAAGATGTGAATATGCTGCATATGTACCAGGGTGCTGTACTCAAAGATTTGGAGCTTAAACCAAGATAGTTTAAGTCTCATTCTGTAGATGCAGAGATTCTGAGATAGAGAAAAACAGACTGTGCAGGTTGTCTTTTTAGGATCTGAGAGTATTTAGATCTCTTGACTTCATGATGTATCCCTATAACCTTATAATATCTATTTTTTATTATGATAGTTGGTGGATTTTTTGTGACTTAAGAAAAACTCTAACTAATATGCTTTGTCCATCCTCAAAGCTTCAGGATCACTCTCTGTATTTTTTAAATCTCTGTTGACATTAGTTTAGGTGTTAATGCTCACCCCCTCATGCTAAAATACGAATTGATTACCTTATTATTTTTCAGTTCAATTTCATTTTAATTATATAGACCTAATAGCATTATGATATAATCTTGTTGTCCCAAATAGCTTGATCTTTACAATGGCCAATGATTTTTCATTTTATAATATTATTTTAAAAATTTAATTATAACATATGTATATTTTAACCTTTTTTATTTTTGAATACATCATACATACAGAAGAGTCTAAAGCACACACACACATATATATATGTAGTTTACATACATATAGAGAGTTATATACAATTTAAGGGGTAATTATAAAGCAGAATCCACTAACCATCAGCGTAATTAAGAATACGTGATAGTCAGTTCCCTAGAAGTCATTCCTGTGGGTCACAAACCCAATCTTGTTGCCTCTCCCCAGAGTTAAAATAATACTTTTTGATTTTTGTGATAATCATCTATTTTCTTCTTCTTCTCCTCCTTCTCCTCCTTCTCCTCCTCCTCCTCCTCCTTCTTCTTCATCGTTGTCCTCTTCGTCTTCTTCTTCTTTCTAATTTCATCTGTATATGTGTTCTGATATGGTTTGGCTGTGTCCACACCCAAATCTCATCTTGAATTGTAGCTCCCATAATCCCCACATGTTGTGGGACGGACTGGGTGGGAGATAATTGAATCACGGGGGCAGTTTCCCCATGCTGTTCTCTTGGTATTGAGTAAGTTTCATGAGATCTGACGGTTTAGTAAGGAGTTTCCCCTTTCGCTTGGCTCATTCTCTCTTGCCTGCTCCCATGTAAGACATGCCTTTTGCCTTTTGCCATAATTGTGAAGCCTCCCCAGTCATGTGGAACTGTGAGTCCATCAAACCTCTTTTTCTTTTTTCTTTTTTTTCTTTTTTTGAGACAGAGTCGGAGTCTCGCTCTGTCGCTCAGGCTGGAGTACAGTGGCACGATCTCGGCTCACTGCAAGCTCCGCCTCCCGGGTTCACGCCATTCTCCGTCCTCAGCCTCCTGAGTAGCTGGGACTACAGGTGCCCGCCACCACGCCCGGCTAATTTTTTGTATTTTTAGTAGAGACTGGGTTTCACCGCGTTAGCCAGGATGGTCTTGATCTCCTGGCCTCGTGATCAGCCCACCTCGGCCTCCCAAAGTGCTGGGATTACAGGTGTGAGCCACCGCGGTGGCCCAAACCTCTTTTTCTTCATAAATTACCTAGTCTCGGGTATGTCTTTATCAGCAGCCCGAAAACAGACGAATACAGTAAATTCGTACTGGTAGAGTGAGGTGCTGTTGTAAAGATACCCAAAAATGTGGAAGCGACTTTGAAACTTGGTAACAAGCAGAGGCTGGAATGGTTTGGAGGGCTCACAAGAAGACAGGAACATGTGGGATGGTTTGGAACTTCCTAGAGACTTGTTGAATGGCTTTGACGAAAATGCTGATAATGGGCCAGGCACAGTAGCCCACACCAGTAATCTTAGCACTTTGGGAGGCCAAGACAGGTGGATTGCCTGAGATCAGGAGTTCAAGACAACCGTGGTCAACATGGTGCAATACTGTCTCTGCTAAAATAGAAAATATCAGCCAGGTGTGGTGGTGGGCACCTATAGTTCCAGCTACTTGGGAGGCTAAGGCATAAGAATCACTTGAGCCTGGGAGGTGGAGGTTGCAGTGAGCAGAGACCATGCCACCGCATTCCAGCCTGGGGGACAGAGCAAGACTCTGTCTCAAAAAAACAAAAAACAAAAAACACTGCTGAAGTGATATGGATGATGAAATCCAGGCTTAGGTGTTCTCAGATAGAGATGAGGAATTTGTTGGGAATAGGAGTAAAGGTGACTCTTGCTCTTGCTATGTTTTAGCAAACAGACTGGTGCCATTTTGCCTCTGCCCTGGAGATTCATGGAACTTTGAACTTGAGGGAGATGATTTAGAGTATCTGGCAGAAAAAATTTCTAAGCAGCAAAGCATTCAAGAGTTGACTTGGGTGCCATTAAAGGCATTCAGTTTTAAAAGGGAAACAGAGCATAAAAGTTTGGAAAATGTGCAGCCTGACACTGCAATAGAAAAGAAAAACCCATTTTCTGAGGAGAAATTCAAGCCAGCTGCAGAAATTTTCATAAGTAACAAGGAGCCAAATATTAATCCAAGACAATGGGAAAAATGTCTCCAGGGCATGTCAGAGACGTTTGCAGCAGCTCCTCCCATTACAGGCCTAGGAGGGAAAAATGGTTTCCTGGGCCAAGCCCAGGAACCCCCTGCTGTGTGCAGCCTAGGGAACTGGTGCCCTGCATCCCAGCCACTCTAGCTGTGGCTAAGAGGGGCCAAGATACAGCTCAGGCCATGCTTCAGAGGGTGCAAACCCCAAGCCTTGGCAGCTTCCACATGGTGTTGAGCCTGCAGGTGCACAGAAGTCAAGAATTGAGGTTTGGGAAACTCTGCCTAGATTTCAGAGGATATATGGAAATGCCTGGATGTCCAGGCAGATGTTTGCTGCAGGGGCAGGGCCCTCATGGAGAATTTTTGCTAGGGCAGTGCAAAAGGGAAATATGGGGTTGAAGCCCCCACCCAGAGTCCCTTCTGGGGCACTGCCCAGTGGAGCTGTGAGAAGCGGGTCACCATCTTCCAGACCCCAGAATTGTAGATCCACTGACACCTTGTACCATACACCTGGAAAGGCTGCAGACACTCAACACCAGGCTGTGAAAGCAGCTAGGAGAGAGGCTGTACCCTGCAAAGCCACAAGGGTAGAGCTGCCCAAGACCATGGGAACGTACCTCTTGCATCAGTGTGACCTGGATGTGAGATCTGGAGTCAAAGGAGATCATTTTGTAGCTTTAGGATTTGACTGCCCTGCTGGGTTTTAGACTTGCATGGAGGCTGTAGCCCCTTCGTTTTGGCCAATTTCTCCCATTTGGAATAGGCGTTTTTATCCAATGCCCGTACCCCCATTGTATCTAGGAAATAACTAACTTGCTTTTGATTTTACAGGCTCATAGCTGGAAGGGACTTGCCTTGTCTCAGATAAGACTTTGGACTGTGGACTTCTGAGTTAATGCTGATACGAGTTAAGACTTTGGGGGACTGTTGGGAAGGTGTGATTGGTTTTGAAATGTGAGGACATGATATTTTGGATGGGCCAAGGGCAGAATGATATGGTTTGGCTATGTCCCCTACCAGATCTCATCTTGAATTGTAGCTCCCATAATGCCCACATGTTGTGGGAGGGACCCAGTGGGAGATAATTGAATCATGGGGGTGGTTCCCTCATACTGTTCTCGTGGTAGTGAATAAGTCTCATGAAATCTTATAGTTTCATAAGGGGTTTCCCCTTTTGCTTGGCTCTCATTTTCTTTTGCCAGCTGCCATGTAAGATGTGCCTTTCACTTTCTGCCATGATTGTGAGGCCTCCCCAGCCACATGGAACTATGAGTCCATTAAACCTCTTTTTCTTTATAAATTACCCAGTCTCAGGTATGTCTTTATGAGCGGCATGAAAACGGACTAACACATATTCTAAACAACATATTTTAATTTTTGAAAATTACAAAATAGACTATACCTGTATTGAATATTTTCCTTGGAATTGCTTCTTTGTTCAGTATTATGTTCACTATTCATTCCTGTTGATACATGTAATTGTAGATCATTCCTTTCTCTAAGCTAACTGTAAGTATCATCTCTTCCATGAAATCTTCCCAATCCCTGTGTCACAGCCTATATGCTCTTTGATACAACATTTTATTTTTCAGGAATTCCTATATTCTGTTTTGTAATACAATTTTGCATCTTTTCTTGTATTTACTCTTGCTTTATTAGTCCTTTGAAGGCAAAGTTTTTGTTTCGGATTTCTTTGTATCTTCAATAGCACCAGGCCTAAAGAATATACATAATTTATTCTTTTAAAATAACTTATTAAATACAAGATGTTGAGAACTACAGTATATATTTGAGTGGCAGACCCATTATTGCATATTCCCCAAAGCCCAGCTAGTTCAATAATACATACATCTCATCTCTTTCTCTTCATTGCTTAGGCCATTGCTTAGTGCTTGACTTCAATTACATTCTCAATAGCATTTTTTTTAATCTCTCAAAAGCTGTGTTTTTTATTTGCTAAGCTGCATTTGTCTAAGTCTTGAAATCTTCACTCGAAAGAAAACAATTGGGTAAACAAAGTAGAAGTGGGTGAAGTATGAATCAGAGTCAGGGCTTTTAATTCTATGCTTCTCGGGCTACATAAATGTAATGAGGGGGAATACAGTAATAAAGATGTGAAGAGTAAGAAACAGCCCTTGAGAGCTTGTGTGGAGATGCATATTTACTTCAATCCCTGTTGGAAGGAGCACAATGGTTCCCATGACTTAGAGTCTCAGAGCTCCAGAATGGAAGCTTTTCTGAAATACATCTTCTAGAAGATGTCTTTGCCCTATCTGAGCCAAAGAACAAATATATTTGGGAAAGCTAAAGTGAATTCCCTTAAGCTCCAAGCATATAGAGCAAAACACAACTTCCTTCTGAAAAGGAAATGAAGTGTTTTATTTCTTTATTTATTAGATTTGTTACTAACTTTACCCTGTGCCAGAGGCCCCAAGGCAGAAAAGCTTATGGTAAAATAATAGAGATAATTAAATTTTATATTATGAAACAGCAATCAATGCAGCAAAACTAGTATCTAGTCCATTGGGGATATTGAAACTAAAGAGGTGGGTTCTGCATGATGTCCTAAGGCCAAACACCATTGCTATCTTTATTTCTTTCTCCCCTCCTCATCCGTTAATATATATTAAGAATAGGGATTACTGGGCACTTCACATATTGTTTTTTCTACAAAGTAAGACTGGAGTTTAATTATATAAGCAACAGAGGGTAAACTCTCCTGGATAATGTTTTGGGTATTGACCCAACAAGAATCTCAAGAGTTTATGCCATCACCCTAAGAAAAATGTGTAAAATTGGTTAATTTTGTCCTCATAGAGCTTTTACCTGATGGTGCTGCTGTTTTCCTCTTGCAGCTTTCCTCCTCAGAGCTCCCAGTGTACAAATCATAGTCCTACTCGCCCATGTGGAATTCCACATAGAACTAACTTCCCACACCTCATTCCAGCATTCTACCAAAATCCTACTTTCCTCTTAAACTTTATTTGCCTTGTGGTATGGCACTAGCATTATTTTTTAGTAAATATATTTTCAAAGGGATTTTCCACAGGAATAATACTGTAGGATTAAAAATAGAGGGTTTAGTGTGTAGAAGACTAGGGTTTAAATCCTGGTTTTCTCACTTATTGGCCATATGACTTTGGGAAGGTTACTTAATTCCTTTTATATTTACTTCCCTCTTTCACCTAGAAAACAAAACTACTCGGCCATAAAAAGGAATGAATTAATGGCATTCACAGCAACTTGGCTGAGATTGGAGACTATTATTCTAAGTGAAGTAACTCAGGAATGGAAAACCAAACATTGTATGGTCTCACTCATAAGTAGAAGCAAAGCTATGAGGATGCAAAGGCATAAGAATGACACAGTGGACTTTAGGGACTCAAAGGGAAAGAGTAGGAAGGGGGTGAAGGATAAAAGACTACAAATTGGGTGCAGTATATACTGCTTGGGTGATGGATGCATGGAAATCTCACAGATCACCACTAAAGAACTTACTCATGTAACCAAACGCCACCTTTTCCCCAATAACTTATGGAAACTAAAAAAAATTAAAAAGTATTTCACCTTTTTTTGGAAAGAAAACTAAACTAATAACTTGTTTATTGGGTATGAAAAAGTTGTTCTCACAGGAAAGACAAAGCAGATTCTGCAAAAGACAATAGGCATTCATTTCAGAGACAGAGACTGAGGTCTGCAGTCAGATGGATTCTCCTCCAAAAACGTAATTGCAATGTCCAGCAAACTCATGAGCCAATAGCTGTCTCACTATCACTGTAGTAATGTATCAATAGATAGGAAGCTTCTGGTAACTTTTAGACCACCCATAGAAATCCTCACCGATTTTCAAACCACACAGTTCATTGACATTTGAGATCCTAAGGGGGCTTTGGACTTACATGGGAGCTATGAACATTAAGGTACAACTGTGTAGAAGATGAGGAAAAGGAGGCACAGAGAAGCTAGTACCTTGGTGAAGAACACATAACTAGTAAGTGGTGAAACCCTGAATCCCATGCAAAGCTATTTCATCTATGATGAGCTTCACAAAATGAATTAAGGTTGTTTGACTTTTGGCATCCATTTGGCTCAGCAGACACTCAGTTTGACAGTGTAGACATCCAGTTTCAGGCTGTGGACACTTGGGAGAATGAATTAAGTGAAATTTTAGGTAACAATGGCATTCATGTAAGGAAAGAACATAGAACATAATTCTTCATCCCCTTAAGTACTTTTGCTAGTGGGCTGGAGAGATTTGACGCCAAGGTTTTCTATTTGGGCATCACTTCACAATGTTCAACTATTTTCATTATCAGTTAACTCACTGGTGGTACATCTTTCTGTCTGTACTTCTATCCCTGGGCAGTAAATATAATGTCCTCAAAAGGGCTACCTAAAGGGCTAGATTATCTTCCAATAGAGGACTAAGCTAAGATGTTTGCAAAAGCAGCAGCATCCTGTGGTACCCAGAGCAATACAGCAGGTATAGGGAATCCTATTATGAGCCCAAAAGGACAAGATGTAGGAGTAGCACAATGCCAATGGTGAGTGACACAGAAATGGCCAGCGCATATACAACAGGGCAAGCTGCACCTGTACCAACAAATACTCAGAGCACTACTTGTTTCATTTGTTTTACAAGGAAAAAAAATATGGTTAAAAGACAACTAGAAAATGCCTTTATTGAATCTGAAACCATGATAAGAGACTGAACACATAGGTTTTATAAAACATGTTTCTTTCCTATCTTCCCTGTGATAATAACAAGCAAGGGACCTTAAAACAATTTCTGAAGTATAATCAGTACATATATTGCGATAGTGAAAAGAGCAAAAGATTTGGAGCCAAATTTAGCATGAATGGTGGATCTGCTTCTTACTAGTTATGAGAACTCAGTCTTCTTAAATTAAAAAAGGGCAAAAAAGTCCTCATTTATTATGGTTCTTACTAGGATTAGATGTAACGTACATGAAAAACATGGTGGAAGCACAGAAGAAATTCAGTTATTCATAACTGTATTGTTGTTATTTTATTATTACCAAACAGAAAATATGAGAAATGATCTGCTGACTGAGAATAAGGAAAAAATTCTTTTCTGGATCACAGTTCATTATAAAAGAATGATGTTCTTTGAGCAAATGGTGGAGGACATTTCTCAAAACCTGGAACAATGTGGAAACATACTCATCAATGTGATAAGAATAAACGAAATACACATTTTAAGAAAAGTCAGAGAGGAAGGCTTCAATTAAACTGCAAAATTAATGCTATGGAAAGCAAACAGTGTACCTTAGAGTGGGGAAGGAATGATGAGAAAATAATGACTATAATAGAAACAATATCAGTGGGCCTCCGACATCAACATGCCAGACACTGAACATTCTCCATAAATAAAATATGGCTTTATATTTTGATACAAACATACATATATGTGTGTATGTGTACATATATGTATATGTATATACACATATACTCACGTATACACATATATATATATAAAACCTCTTTGAAGTATCACTGAAATTTAGTGGGATTTGAATATGACTACAAGGTAGTAATAGAGGGATATACCTTATTTAAACAAAGGTGGTCTAATTGAAAGGACAGGAGAATAGTGTCTCATGTTAAGATACGCATATCTGTAGAAATCTGTCAGTCAAAGATTGGAAACATGATGTCTCATATTTGAATGTGAGATAAAAGCAGAAATGAATAGAAGTTTAACAATGGCAGAGGGTGCTACAGACTCTAGACTCAGCATATCTTAAACATAGTACAAAACTTCTGAAGGGAAACACACTGACCTAGTAGAATATTTTGATTTGTCTGGGCAGCTCTTGAGAGTCTGAAACATCTAAAAGTGGAGCATCTTCTCATAGTCATAATATAAAATGCTCTTATTTTACATTTTAAATGAAAAAGAAAGTCACAAGGAGGAAATTGTTGCATGGATTTAATTCTAATCGTTGAGACAAAACTGGTTGATGTCATGAGAGCAGCAGGGACCTTGGAGAGAGTAACCCCTTTGATGTGACTGAAGTCCTAGACTTGACTTCAGAACAGCAAAGTTAAAAATAATCAGAATGTGTGTGTGTGTGTGTGTGTGTGTGTGTGTGTAATTCCAAGGAAAGAGACTTGAACAATAACATGGCTTAAGAGAGATAGAAAGGTAGAAAAACTCAGGAAAAAAAAATTCCACATAATCAGAAATTATTCTAATAATAAAGCAAAAAGATTTAAATCTAAACAAACTGGTATAACTGCAACTTAAGCACCTATTATAAAAGGACTTACATTAAATATTGAAGGAGGAGAATAAACACAAAGTAGAAACACAAAAGAACAGCACCAGGCTGTAGGAATAATGTTCGGTAGCCAAAGTGTTAAGACAAATATTTGAGAAAGATCCTTTAAAAAGCATAAGGAGATTTGAGAGCTTCGTGCAGAGCAAGAAATTGAGCAAGGAAGATGTCTTAGCCTGGGTTTCCCAGAGAGCAGAGCCTGGTACAAAGGCTTGCATGCAGGTAATATTTTTGGAAGTGATCCCAAGGAACAGGCACTAGGCACAGAGAATGTGAAGCAGAGAAGGAGAAAAAGCCATACAGAGATGCACTATAGAGTTGGTCACTGTTAAGAGACCCCAAATGGCGGCTACTGAAGTGCCTTTGGGGTGGATCTCACGTCTGTCTGCCCTAGATCTAAAAGCTAGATGTGTTATCCATCTGTTCCCATCCTTCAGTGGTCAGGGATGGCATCCTGGATATTCATTCTCCTGCACTTAGCAGTCTGTGGCTAGTTGAGAACCAAAACTGGATACTCTGGTTGTCACAGTAGACACTAGGCAAGAAGGAGGGGACATAGCACACAGGTGCAGTGATGCAGGTTGGTGCAATCCTTCTTGGAGCTGCTTGCTGCAGCTGTGGCTGGAGTAAGAGACGGGACCTAGAGGACCTGAAGCTTTGTCTAAAAGGTGCATGATAAAGAAGGGCGGTGACTTGCTTGAGGATATTGTCATGTACCCAGAGAGCAGAGTGGGAAAGTAAAACAGCTCAGCCACAACTTCTACATGAAGGGAAGAAAAGCATGAAGCTAAAAAGGATAGGCCGGGCAAAATTTAGGGAGGGAGGATTGAAGCCATTGAAAAATGCCTGGCTGGTGGTCCCAGCTTCTTTTACAAAGACACAATAAAATAAGACACACTGAAACCTAAAATGAAAAGAAAAATGATAAAAAGCAAAATACAAAATAATGTGTATAGAAAGTGCAGTATTGATAGAAGCACTTCCATTTCTGTTAAAAGGAGACATTTATATCATGCACGCATGTGTGTATGTATACATATACATACGCATATGTCTGCCTTACATATGCTTTACTGGATGACCTTGGAACAGTTATTTTGCCCTCTCAGTGCCACCTGTCCCAAGAGGTCCTCCTGCCTGTGGTTGACTGCTGCATCCCCAACACCTAGAAATAAGCCTAGCACAGAGCAGGTGCTTAGTAACACTTGTTAAATAGATAAATGAGAACTTGACAGAAACATAGCTGTTATAGGAAACATTAAAATAAATAAACAACTCTAATATGAATACATAATATGACTTTAATATAACAAATTTGAAATCATGGATATATTGAACTTTGTATACAAAGAGCATATATATTATTTTCAAATTTCATAAGTATAAAAATTGATTATATTCTACTCATAAATAAAATTATTAAATCAGAAACTGAGCAGAAAATTGTCCAGTTACAATATAGTAAATCACAAATTAATAATCAAAGTTTAAAAACAAACAGAAATAAAACCCAGCAATTTGATAATTTAAAACATTCTTTAAAAAGTCTATTAGGACAAAAAATTCAAAATTGCAATAATAGACTACTTAAAAAATAATAGAGATACAACAAACATTACTTATTATTGTAGTATCATGCAGCCAAAGTTATTCTCAGAGGCAATAATCTTAAAAGCTCTCATTATTAAAATACCAATAAAATAAAGGAATTTAGTAATCTGTGGAATAAGTTACAAAAGCAACCACAGAATAAACCAAAGGAAACAGAGAAGAACCTGTAATAATTACAAAGACAGATATTTAATGAATTTAAAAACAAAATATAATTTCTCAATAAATCCAAGAGTTGTTTCTTTAAACACAACAGTAATACAGTAATATTAATAAAAAAAGGCAAAAAACAAATACAATCAAGATGAAAAAAGAAAGCAAAAATATTTTTTAAAATAAGGATATAATAGCAGATAATTTGTTTAAGTCTACACACAAGCTATTTTAAATAATTTTAAAACTACACTAGGTGAATGATAACCTAGGGGAAAAAAATCAATGCCCAAAATTAAGGACAAGTAGAAATTTTGATTTGAACAAAAACCGAAAATAAATGATCAAAAAGTATCCTTCAGTAGCAGACCCATGATCAAATAATTTTACTGTTAAAATTTCAAAGAGCAGATAATTCCCATGCTACATAAACTGATCTAAAGCTTTGAAAAAGACAGAGTGGTATCCACTTCATTTTCTTCAGCTTGAAGCCACAAAAGACCTGTACAAGAAAACCCCCGCCTGCCAGGGGGAAAAAAGACAAAACTGTAAATGAGTTATCTGAGAAATATTAATGCAAAACTCTTTAACTATTAGCAAATCAAATCCAATAGTATCTTCAAATAATCATTCACCATGACCAGGGAGGATTTGTCTGCAGATTGAAAAGCTGGTTTATTATCAGGGGAGACATGATTATAATATACAATACCACTTAGCCCAGTACAAAAAATCCCCAGAGTAATCTGAAAGGACTCTGTAAAAAGTCCAATAGCAATCAATATGCCACGTAACTTTCTTTCCTTTCTTTTCTTTCTTTCTTTTTCTTTCTTTCTTTCTCTTTCTTTCTTTCTTTCTTTCTTTCTTTCTTTCTTTCTTTCTTTCTTTAGTTCTTCTTTCTTTCTCCTTCCTTCCTCTCTCTTTCCTTCTTTTCTTTCTTCCTTCCTCCCCCTCTCCCTACCCTTCCCTTTCCCCTTCCCCTTCCCTTTCCCTTTCCCCTTCCCCTTCCCCCTTCAAAAAAAAAAAAAAAAAACACCACAGACATATTGAGGAAACAAGTTTTAGAAGATTAATTCTTCAATTGCAAAAGGGTATCTTTTGAAAATCAACAGCTACCATCATACTTCATAATGAAACATTAGAGACAATCCATTAAAAAAAGACTCATGTTGACTGTCTTCTCTGTCTAATGGGTTGTTGCTTAACCCTATTCTTTTATAATCAGAAAATAAAATAAAGAGGAGAAGAACAGAGGTGAAGAAAGGAGAGGAAAACAGTAATATCAATAGAGCTGATAAAAGAATAACTTTAAATTGTATTCAAGTTACTTGGTGTAAACAAATTATATCCAGAGTATAGGGAAAAATGGTAAAATCAATTGGGAAACCAATTGTGATGTACTTTGAGGATTGGGGTCATGCCAGAGGCTGCTTGAGACAGACAAAAGCTGTCTAATTATTTAATACAGAGAAAAGACACATTTCAGACTACAGACTAGGGTTATTGATAGTAATCCCTGGAAATTAAAATAAAATAATGATATGAGTGCTTAGCATAGGAGACATCTGAATTGAATTTGAATTTTATAAGATTACTAAGAATTTTTAGATTGTTAAGAAATTAAGTTATACCAAATTCAAGTCATTAAAAAATACAGGATTAAAAACGTAGCTAATACAATAATGCTTTAGATTTTAGATTATTTTCACTTGCAACTAGAATTTTAGCAAAACTTACTTTGATATCCTTTTGGATATCAATATAAGAATATATGGTATATGAAATACAGTGTTGATATCTTTTTTAATAATATGGCAAGTATGGGCTAGGGATTGTAGGGTTTGGGTTGGTTGAGCAACCATATCCAAACGAGGTTGTACATGGTTGAAGCAGCAGAAGAGTTTAAGTTTGGGAGCCAGATGGACCTACATGACCATACTAGTTACATTTGTGAACCTTGGACACGTTGCATCATTCTTGTCAAACCTCAGTTTTGTCATCTTTCAGTGTGGATAGTTATGTTAGGTGGAAATAACGAAGATTAAAGTGAGCTCGTGGAAACTGCCTGAGACAGTGTCTGGTGAGCAGCGACACATGCCAGAAAAGCTTCTGTTGTCTTTGTGGCTATCTTAGGTGTCTTGAACAGAAGATTGTAGGGGCTTGTCAAAAGACTCTGCTGCTGTCTGTGTTGTTCACCATTATTTGTAAAATCATAGAAAATATTTAAAACGTGGTTCTGATTCAGATAAATCAAAGCAGGAATAAATCAATTTCTGGATAAGAGAATTAAAACTCTAAAAGGTCTTGACAAGTTGGACAAATAACACAGGATGAAGTTTAAATATATAAGTACATTTTCTGTATTTTTTAAAATGAGCTCCATTAAATACAGAGTAGGGGAAATACAGCTTAACAACCATCCATCGGTGGAAAAGAAAGAATATTTACATTTAGATGACTTTAACTGTGGGATAAAGCTGACAGTGTGATACGACTCCTAAAATGTGGGTTGTGCTAATAGCTGTAGACACAAAGTAGTGTTCTGTGCTTGTTAGACAAAAGAGCTTTTTTTCTAAGTCTTAGGCACCAAGGAAAACAATTAGAGTTGGAGAATTAGAATAGTTAAGGCTGCAAAATAATGTTGAAGAAATTATAAAGCAAAGCAATACAGTTATCTTTAAGAATCTGAAATGTTCTCATGAGAAACAGAAAATAGAGATTCTCTTCTCTCTTCAGGAGGTAGGACCATGTACAAAGGAAGGAAGTTCAAAAGAGAAAAAAGAATATTCATCTCAGTTAAGAGATTAGGGAAAGAATGAGAAGGAATTGACATTTCACTTGCTGAGCTTATATTATATACAATATATTATACAGTTTTTATACTCATTTATACCTTAC
The DNA here is from genome assembly GCF_000001405.40 of Homo sapiens. Taxonomy (NCBI): domain Eukaryota; kingdom Metazoa; phylum Chordata; class Mammalia; order Primates; family Hominidae; genus Homo; species Homo sapiens. Next base: position 127,308,837 of record NC_000011.10, read on the forward strand.
TTTCCAATAGTTAATGTTTTCCAAATACACTATTGTCATTCTTCTAGCAAAAGCCCAGAAAGTATTTTATAGGGAGTCCCATGGAAGATAAGATTTGATATCCTCTGTGGCTTCTTCAAATACTAATAGTTTATGATTTTCTAGCTAGCAGTAATACACCAGGGAATGAGGCTGGGACAGAGGCTGGGATATCTCTCAAGGCTCCTTAATATAATATGGCTGTAATCATAAAGAACAAGAAGGAGTGAAACATTTTCTTTTTCTCTAGCAAATTAAAACTCTGCTCCCTATTATATTTAATATAAATAAAAATTTAATCTGCTTAGCTCTTGAAAAAGGATCGCATATGTAGTGATTTGTATTTAACTGGAGCTCACATCAAATTCAATATTATTTTCACAGGTCAAGTTAGTACAGTTGGCTGTCTGAGGCTGGGCCTAAGCACAAAATATCCAATGAAGATTTGGAGCATCATTAATTAATTCAGATTATCTTCATCTGTGGTCTAAAATAGCTAGACATCGAGGTATTCTTGAGTTTGTGGTCTGCTTTATCTATATGTAACATAGAAAAAAAAAACAATTAAGAACATTATAATAAACAATTGCCATTTTGGCTCCTAGCAGGGTGGTATTTCCTAAGATGATCACCTTTTGTTTAACAAAATATCTTGATCAGCCTCAGCTCCTAAAGAAGACGATGAAATGAAAAAAAAAAGTTAATTTACATTGCATGAAAGGTAACATTTATTTGAGAAAACCAGATGTAAGGACAGGGGAAGTCTTCTGAAAAAAAGAAACAGGTCTAAGCAACTTAAATTCAGGTATATATGAGATTAAGTTCATAAAGAATTGATGGGCATTGAGAATCTTCTGGTGGCAGTGATGGCTTAGGCAAGTTTAGGAACATATATGTCTACTGCACTTAATTTTAAAATTATGTCTGCTTAGTGCTGCAGTGTAATAGCTATTGGCTATACTTAACTGCCTTGTGAGAATAGAGTTTCAGGAAATAAAGGGATAAGGGGCTGCGTTGGTGTATGAATTATCACCGGGCAACAAGAAGAGGACAGTCGTGAAAGAAGAGATGTAAGTTCAATGGGAATAGTCAATTAAAAAATACAGATAACCATGAGAAGGTACATTTCAGATGTGTGCAAAAATCTCAGAGAGGATACTGGACTTCTTATTAAAGATGAGAGTAGTGGTTGAAGTTAATTTTGTGTAAGTCTCAAAGGACAGACGACCTCAGCTGACATGTAGATTGACTATATAATTGCCTCAATTCTCTTCTTTCACTCTGTTTTTGTAGAAACATCTTGAAAGTCAAGCTTGTGGAACAATTACAAGCATGTTCTTGTTATTCATAAAGCTCAGCCTTTTTCTTGTTTTCACTGAAAGCCCAAATCCACTGTTTCATGTTGAAAGTAGAAAAGATAATACGCCTATCGGATGCATTTTTGCTTCCAAATGAACTTATTGGATTTGACCCTTATATACCATGAGATTGTTTGGAACGGGTTTCATAAATTGAAACAGTTTAATTTTTAATATGTTCCCATTAGTAAAAAGCTAGAGAGAGTCAAAACACACAGTTATAAAAAGCCAAAGCAAGATTCACGCTACTACCCCAAAGATTTCCCTGAGGTTTCTAATTGGTAGTTAAATACAGTTTCCAAACAGAAACCAGGTAGAAATCCTACAGAAAAGTGGCCTCACAACTTCCCATGGGCCAGGCTGTCTGATCCCTCCTTGTCTGCCATCTGGCAAGCTCCAACTTCAGCAGATAGACCATATATCGGTAAACTTCCTTCCTCTGTTTTCTTTATTGATCAAGTACAACAGCAGAGAAACACGTTTCCAAATTAAAGAAAGATGGAATTGACACCCTAACAGCCTTAGAATAGTTTCTGCTTTACTAGATTCTGAACTATTTTTTTCCCTTAAGTTATTTGAATGTGAGCCGAGGTGTGAACAAGGCAGGAGTGAGAATCAATAATTAAGCCCGTTCTCTTTATACCCACTATGCTGGGAAATCCATTTCTTTTTCTCAGCCTGATTATTATTTAGCATTTTTCCAATATCCTCAAGCGAGGTCTCCAAAGAAGTAAAATAAAACTGCAGTAAAATGAAACAAAAACACAGATAAGAACAATCCACTTTATCGTCTTGGAGTGGTCAAATCCTGGGGGAGGAGACTGGTGCAGCATAAAAGGAGAGGCATTTTGTTCTGTTTTCTTAGGATGTGAAATGTCTTACTCTATCCCATGGGGCCACTGTCTTGTGTGATTGCTGAAAAAACTGCTGAAAAAAGAGGCTCCATAGAGATGTCTATTCCAGTTTCTCCAGTCTACCTTGCACATCCATAATTTCCCCCAGAAATGGTGAGTATTTCTACCTCTGGTTGACTAGAGAGAAGGTGATAGCAAATAAGAAATGAGGCCAGGCGTAGTGGCTTACGCCTGTGGCACTTTGGGAGGCCGAGGCGGGAGGATCGCGAGGTCAGGAGATCGAGACCATCCTGGCTAACACGGTGCAACCTCGTCTCTACTAAAAATACAAAAAATTAGCCGGGCGTGGTGGCGGGTGCCTGTAGTCCCAGCTACTTGGGATGTTGAGGCAGAAGAATGGCGTGAACCCGGGAGGCGGAGCTTGCAATGAGCCGAGATAGCGTCACTGCACTCCAGCCTGGGCGACAGAGCTAGACTCCGTCTCAAAAAAAAAAAAAATGCTTTGTCATAGCAAAGTCTGCAGGCTGAACTTTGAGACTACGTCACAAAACCTTGCTGACAAACTTTCCAAGGAATCTGTTATGGATGATGTAACAGTGTTCTTAAAAACAAAAGGCAAATCATGACCTCAGAAAGATGTGATGCTTTCTTATACCTGCATGGCTGGGGAATGAGATATACCTGGAGCTCAAATCTGAGTTTGCTGGTCTCAAGTTGGTTGCCTTAATGCAGTGTGGGGAAATTGGTCCCAGCTGAAGATAAACCCTGCTTTCAATGTTTCTGTTTTCATTATTTCTCCCCAGAAGATTGCAAATCATCAAAAAAAAAATGCCTCCCACAGTGACTTCCTGGCCCCTGATCTTGTTCCACTACAGCCACAGGTATTTAATGGTTCTGTACTGGTGGCCAAGCATGAATAGATATTTTGTTCCAAGAAGAAATGGGGCCATTCTTTATGTAATCCAGCTGTTGGTTGAGGTCATGTTATCCTTTAAGGCTGAGTAATGTCCTTGTAAAGCTTTTCACACTTGATGCTTAAAACCTCCTTGACCTGTGTTTTTGCTTTCTTGTCTCTCATTATGTCTCTATCTACCTGAAATTTGGCTTCCAGCCTATAAAAAGTAAGTCAGCAGCATCCTGCATGGTTTAATACTATATGGTTTCTCTTAACTCTCTAGTGAACTTTCCTGGCTCTTCTTACCACCCCAGTCATCACTCAACCTATGTTGTTGACTCCTTCTCCCATTAAAATCCATATGATTTAGGTGTTTGTTCAATCTTTCTTCCTCTTATTCTATCCATTTTCAGGATGATCTCTTTCATTTCCACTTCATTTATTGATTGATTTACTTATTTAACTGTAGCCTCTATGTGAGAGGACAGGAGCTCCTCCTTTCACATCAGGCTTGGGCTTCTGACTGGCATTTCCACCTAATCCGTGCCTAAAACTAAACCTGTTCCAATCAAACTCATCTTTTTCAGCATCTATTTCAATGCCACCTAACACAATTAGGGACATCACAAGTTGCCATTGCTCAGTCTCGATATCCTAAAATATCTTAGACCCTTCCTCTTCTCATCCAGCCAAAGATAGGCTGGCACAAAACCTGGCAACGCCTCTTTTGCAATACTTTTCACACTTTCCCTTCCTGCCCACTCCTAATGACAATTCCCTAATTAAGGATGATTTGGTCTCATGTGAACTGTTTAGAGAACCTTCCAACTGGTCCCTTAATTTTGAGTCCTCTGGTCTTTCTTATAATTTGTTCTTCACACTGCCACAAAGTTTGCCTGAAAAATGTTCTGAGCACACTATTTGCCCATTCCAAGCCTTTACTGTTCACCAATCATACTCACAAGAAAGATTAGACTTCTTATCTTGTCATTCACATCAGACCATCACTGACAATCTTCATCCCATTCTTTCCCTGCAGCCAGGCCAAACTACTGACTCATTCCCAAACCCACTCTGCCTTCTTTGACTTCCGTGCTGTAGCTCACTGTTGCCTCTGCCTGAACTCTGCTCTTGCCTCTAATTGTTCAACTCAATCACTCCTTCCCAAAAAGTCCCTACATCTTTCCAATTAGAAATCATCTCTTCTTTTTATAAAAACCTATACATTTTGTTATTATGTCTGAAATAGCATATACTAAAACCTGAATTGTATAATTTTTTTATTTCACAGAACACTTTAAAATTTACAAAATTTGAATCTGCCATTTCATGGACTGTATCTTTCTCACTCTTCTGTGACTCTCTTTGAGGGTCAGAGATTTTTGATTATTTGCAATTGTATCCCCTAATTTTCTAACAGCCTATCTTTTATGAAGTAGGTAGCAGTAAATCATTGTGGGTTAATAGAAGTTTTAAGTTTTAACTCCTTTTTTTTTTCACCCAATCCAACATTTCTTTTGCATAGCTCAATGCTTCGATTATTGTTTGCGACTTCCAGTTTTTCTCTTGTTTCTTATGCCCCCAAATATAAGACATATTTCATTTTTGTGAGCCAAATATGGGTATTTTTCGTGAGTCAAATATGAATATAGGAGTTTTGTGTGTGATGAGCATTAGTATTAAAAATATTGACAATGATTATAGATACTAGAGAAATTTTTTAAACAGGTTGATTAGAAAAGTAATACTAATTCAGTCATTTAAATGGACTGCATACCATGGAAACCAATACTAATGTTTTATAACAGTAATGCATGTTAAATTAACTTTGTTATACATTTTACTTAATATAATTTTCTTGACAGCACTGCTAAAATATTTATATGTATTTAATTGTTTCAATTTTTGCATGGTTGTCTATTCAGAATTTTAAAAGAAATAGATGAATTTTTTCTTAGCACGAACGTCAGTATTGTTAGTTTTACCTGAGGTATAAATAAGAGATGTAATCATTAAAGAGATTGTAATGTCACTTCAAAAATAAACACGCTGTAAAATTAACTTCTGTGAGAAGCTCTATGAATTTTAACACAAGTATAGATTTAAGTAGCTGCCTCTACAATCAGGATACAAAACAGTTACATCAATTAAGAAACAAAATTCCTTGTGCTGTCCTTTCATAATCTGCCTCTTGCCCTATGCAATCACTTGCATATTTTCACTCCCCATAGTTTTGCCTTTTCCAAGGTATCATCTAAATGGAATCATACAGTATACAACCTTTTGAGGCTAGATCTTTTCACTTAGATTCATCAAACTCTGTGTGTTGATAGTCACTTCCTTTTTACTTCTGAGTATTATTCCATTAAAAATGGTTCCATTTATTCACCCATTGAAGGACATTTGGGTTGTTTCCAGTTTCTAGCAATTATGAATAAGCTACTATAAACAGTTATGTACAAGTTGATTGTTGAATGTGTAAACATGTTTTAATTTTTTTTTAAGTTTTAAGGATTAAATACACTGTGTTTTTATCCTTAAAAATTAATATAAGTCAGGTAATAGAGTAATTCTATATTTATAAGAAACTGCCAAATTTTTCCAGAGTGGTTATATCATTTTGTATACCCACCAACATATATGAGAGTTCTCATTGTTCTGCATCATCACCAATACTTGCTTTTTAATTATTTATTCTAATAAATGTATATTAGCATTGCATAATGGTTTTAATTTGTCTAATGATGTTGAGCATCTATTAATGTTCTTCTTTTTCACTCACGTATCTTCTATGGTGAAGTGCCTGATTAAATCTTTTGCCCAATTTTTAAAACTAGGTTTTTGAAAAATTAGTACCCTGCTGTTTTGATTACTATAGCTTTGTAGTATATTTTGCATTAGATAGTGTGATGTCTCCAGCTTTGTCCTTTTTGCCTAATTGCTCTGGTTAGGACTTCCAGTATTTATGTTGAATATAAGTAGCAAGAATAGGCTTCCTTATCTTGTTCCTGAAATTAGAGAAAAAGCTTTCAGCTTTTCACCATAGAGCACAATCTTAGTTGTTGATTTTTCATATATGGCCTTCATTGTGTTGAGGTACATTCCTTCTATACCTAATTTATTGAGAGTTTTTATCATAAAAGGATGTTGAGTTTTGTCAAACACTTTTTCTGCATCTGTTGAGATAATCCTATGGTTTCTGTCCATTCTGCTAATGTGATGTATCACATATATAGATTTGTGTATTTTAAACCATTCTTACATCCCTGGGATAAATTTCATTTAATCTTAGAGATTCAGGTTTGTTCGTATTTTGTTGAGGATTTTTGCATCTATGCTCAGGAATATTGGCTTGTTCTTTTCTTATAGTGTCCTTTTTTGGCTTTGGTATCAGGGTATTATTAGCCTTGTAAAATGAGTTTAGAAGTATTTCTTCTCTTTAATTTTTGGGAGAGTTTGAAAAAAATTTATATTAGTTCTTCTTTAAATGTTTGGTAGTATTCAGCAATGAAGAGCTGAAATCTTGGGCTTTTCTTTGATTGGAGATTTTTTAATGCTGGTTCAATCTCCTTACTTATTTTTGGTTATTACATTAACTGTAATGTACATTTTGAGAATTTAAAATAAGAAAATTAGTCTGTTATATATATTCAGATATTTAAAATTTCTATTGTTCTTCCTCATTCTTAAAATGCCAAGTTTCTCTCTAACAGCATTTCCCTTCTACTTGAATTTTCTTTAATAGCTCTTTCAGAAGTTGTCAGTTGGTAATGATTCTCTTGATTTTCTTTCATCCTAGAATTTCTTGACTTTGACTTTATCTCTGAATAGAAATAGAATAACTGAATATAGAATTATGGGTTGACAGTTCTTTGCTTTCAGCACTTAAAACATATTGTTCCATTATTTTTTGGTCTCGATTATTCATGAAAAATCTGCAGTCATTTGAATTTAGTGCAATCAATTAAAGGTGTACCCTTATATGTAACATGTTGGTTTTATCTGGTTGCTTTTTAGAGTTTTTACTTATCTTTTATTTTAGCACTTTGATTGCAATATATCCAGGCATGCATTGCTCTGAAGGTGTCCCATTTGCAGTTTGTTGGGCTTCTTTTTCTGCCAGTTTGTCTTTCAACAAATTTTAAAAAGTGTTTAGTCATTATTTCCTAAAATATCTTTTCTGTACCAAAACCTTTCTTCTCATCTTCTGGAATTCTGATAACATAAGTGTTAGCTCTTTTTATATTGTCTCACAGGTACCTAAGGCTTTATTCCTTAAATACAAAATCACTCTATTTTTTAACACTTGAAAGATTGGAAAATTTATAATTGCTCTATTGTCAAGTTCACTTACTCTTTCATCTGTAGTTTCCATTCTGCTATTAAGTCAATCCACTGAATTTTATCTCAATTATTATATTTTTAACTCTAAAATTTTCACTTGATTCTATTTTATAGCTTCTATTTCTTGCTGCTGAGACTTCCTATCATTTAGATTGTTTCAATAGTATTTATTTTTACTTTGTCATGGTTATAAAAACTACTTTAAAACTTTTAATCAGATAATTTCAACAGCTGTTTCAAATTATCTGATAAAATGTGGTTGGTTTCTGCTATTGTCTTTTACTTTAAGAATTGTTAAATTTTCTTGGTTTCTTTGTATGTTTTGTGATTTTTGTATTGGATACTAGATGTTTGTAAAAATATGTTGTGTAAATCTGAGTCTTTTGCAAGTCTTATGGAGATTGTGTTTTTGGTTTTTATTTTTTATCCATCAACCAATCTGGTTCGGTTCAAATCAAAAATTCAAACTCACCTTCCATGGACTACAGCTCTAATGTAAGTTTTGTTTTCAAAGGCTTTGGAGTGTTATTTGTATCTGTACAATATCTGCACCTTCCAAGAGCAATCTGAAATCTGAGCAGTGGCACAGTTCAGGTTTTTTGAGAGCCTACTCAGGCACATTTATGGACATATCCTTGCATGAGCAGGTTGAGATGAATCCAGGATTTTCTATTTTTCAAGCTCTGCACTCTCTGCTATCTCACTCACATTCTTTGGCACCCAGGCATTTAAAAAAAATGATACTTTAGTCTCTCTGTGCTTTGCTGATCACTTTCCCTAATTTGGTCAGCCTCCAGGGGCAAGTGGTAGGAGGACAGTGACAGGAAAAAAAGCAACATAAATTCCCTACACAGTCTTTGGACCAAGTTTCTCTGATCAGAAAGAATGATCCTCTTCCCTTACAGTTTTAAGGTCAGGTCCAACTACTATAGTACTATAGTGAATGCTGTGGAATAATTGCACTTTGGGAATGGAGACAGGGGTTGGAAAAAGAGAAGAAAACAAGACCAGAGTTTATCCTACTTTCTCTGTTTGGTAGATCAGAATAAGGAGTCTTCTTTTAGAGCTATTTCTGTATACACGTGGTACACAACTCTGGGATTTGTGCTGCCTTTGAATCAACAATGGGGGATATGGAAGGAAAAACAATCTAGGGTACTCACTGCCAAATCTATTGGACTATTGGATTAAAAGTTCTGGGTTTTTTTTTTTGTCCAATGCATCTGCTGCCATTTACTTTTTAGAGCCTTTAGATAGCTGCTTTGTGCATTCTATCCAGTAATTTTTGTTGCATTTAGTAGGGGAGATAGAATGGAGTATGCCTGCTCTATCTTAATCAGAACTGGAACTTGTCTATAGAGTAGCTTTGGAGATAATGATGACATGTGTTAACCCACTACTAGTGGGACTGTACATTTTTCTAAACTATATGTTATAGGACAACTGGTAAGCCAATTTCTAAAACAAAACAAAACAAAACAAAACAAGCCTGGTAAACAGATTGGGAAAAAAAGCAAACAAAATATTAAAAAGTAAATTTTCTGGAGTATTTATTGGAGACATCTTGGAAGAGACTGAACATTTATATATCCTCAGTAGGATTTGGTGAAACAAAACAAGCGGAAGAAAATTATTCTGGATAATACATCCAGAGTATAGGTTATGCCTGTACTCTGAAAACATCCCTGTATTAGTCTGTTTTCATGCTACTGATAAAGACATACCCAAGACTGAGAAGAAAAAGAGGTTTAATTGGACCTACATTTCCACATGGCTGGGGAGGTCTCAGAATCATGGCAGGAAGCAAAAGACACTTCTTACATGGTGGTGGCAAGAGAAAAATGAGGAAGAAACAAAAGTGGAAACCCCTGATAAACCCATCAGATCTCGTGAGACTTATTCACTATCACAGGAATACATGGGAATGATCTGGCCCCCATGATTCTATTACCTCCCATGGGTCCCTCCCACAAAATGTGGGAATTCTGGAAGATATAATTCAAGTTAAGATTTGGGTAGAGGCACAGCCAAACCATATCAATCCCTTTGATACCAAATGAAATAGTAGGTTTTCTAAGACTCAATATACCATTTCCTTTTAGCATGCCACCCCACAGTTTTCTGGGAAAGGTCTAATTATCTTCCGAGTTGGAAGTATCCTAGCTGCTTGCAAAATAGGTAATATGAATAAACTATTAAAATATCAACTTGCAAAGAGTATGGAGAACTGAAATTTTTTTCACTTAAGTAGCTCAATGCAATTAACTAGATCCTCAAACCAAGGCTTCAAGGTTCTTAAATTGGCAATAGTGAGTCATGAGTGACCTCATTGTTGTAAATACTTATAAAAACTTCTAAATTATTCTCTGAAGTAATAAGCTGAAAACATAACAAGCCAAAAGGTTATGCCAGAGCACCCCAACTGGTTAATTATAATATCTGAATTATGTATTAAAAGAATATGGGTCCTAGAGATTTCCACACTCTTCCTTCTCTGCTTTGGAAGACATCCACACATGCTCATAGCCAAGTATGCCTTACCTTGTATTAAGTCATCGGAAAAGATTTCCTCCTTGTGAAAGGTAAAGACAGCTGGACTAGATTGGCAGGTGGAAAATTTGTTGTTAGAATGATACTCCATGAAATATGTTTTCCTATTAGCTTCTTCCTAATCAACTCAAACCAAGCTTTTTCAGAGAGAAATGCTGGAAGTTAATGAAATTAGTCACAACTATTAGTATCTATGAGGCAATACTGACTGTTAACAAGGATGGTGTAGATATAGAGCCACAGCTACGATTGAGAAATATTGTGTTAGTATTATCTCAAGTCTCTAGCTATTTCTGCCGTGTGGTGTTCTCCATTTGGGAAATTCATGAGTTCTTCACTTTTTGAGCCAACATGTTTTAGCTAGATGACTCCGGAGAAGACATAAAAAAAATGCATTTTGTGGATGAATTGTTGAACAATATGAACCCTAACCTCATGTTCAACCCTGCTATTCTGTTACTTAAATAGCTTTGTAAACTTAGCCACACGGGTTTGTTATATTTAAATACTTGCAGGGATGTTCTATAAATTAACAATAAAGTTCATTTTATTCAGTCCAAAGGACAGAGCTGAATTAATAAAACTCTAGGAATTATATTTTTATAATTTTATATATGACTCAAGAGTACACTATAAATGAAATAGCTTCTCTTAAATGGTGTTAGTGCCCAATCGTTCCCCTCAATATAACAATATGCCAGTCCACCATAGTGTTTGGAGTATTGATGTTTAGGCCTTCATTGTTTTCATTATTTTAGTTGTATTTGTTTATCCTAGTCTCTGCCCTTTCCACTCTGTATTAGTCCGTTCTTACACAGCTATAAAGATACTACCTGAGATTGGGTAATTTATAAAGGAAAGAGGTTTCATTGACTCACACTTCTACAGGGTTGGGAAGGCCTCTGGAAACTTACAATTATGGCAAAAGGGGAAGGGGAAGCAAGCTTGGACCTTCTCACATGGAGGCAGGAGAGTAAGAAGTGCGAGGAGTGAAGGGGGAAGAGTCCCTTGTAACACCACCAGATCTTGTGAGAACTCTCACTTTCATGAGAACAGCCCCCATGATCCCATCATCTCCCACCAGGTCCACCCCTCGATGATGTGGGGATTATGCAGATTACAATTAGAGATGAGATTTGGGTGGGAACACAGACCAAACCATATCATTCTGCCCCTGGCTTCTCCCAAATCTCATGTCCTCACATTTCAAAGCACAATCATGCCTTTTCAAGACTCCACCAGTCTTAACTCATTCCAGCATTAACCCAAAAGTCCAAGTCCAAAATCTCGTCTGAGACAAGGCAAGTCCCTTCTGCCTATGAGCCAGTAAAGTAAAAAATCAAGTTAGTGATTTTCCAAGACACAATGGGGGTACAGGCATTGGACAAATATACCCATTCCAAATGGGATAAATTGGCAGTCTTACTGCCCACATCTTACTGTCTTCTGAGCCCTCCAAGTCTCTAGGAAGTTCCAAACTTTCCCACATTTTCCTATATTCTTCTGAGCCCTCAATACTGTTCCAACCTATGCCTGTTACCCAGTTCCAAAGTCGCTTCCACATTTTAGGGGAATATGTGGCCTATAGGCCCCATGCAAGTCCAAAATTCAGCAGGGCAGTCATTAAATCTTAAAGCTCCAAAATGATCTTCTTTGACTCCATGTATCACATCCAGGTCATGCTGGTGCAAGAGGTGGGTTCCCATAGTCTTGGGCAGCTCTGTCCCTGTGGCTTTGCAGGAGACAGACTCCCTCCTGGTTGCTTTCACAGGCTGGTGTTGAGTGTCTGGGGCTTTTCCAGGCCCACAGTGCAAGCTGTTGGTGAATCTAACTTTTTTTCTAGAGGATGGTGGCCTTTTCTTCACAGCTCCACTCGGCAGTGCCCCAGTGGGGACTCTGTGTGGGGGCTCCAACCCCACATTTCCCTTCCACCCCGCCCTAGCAGAGGTTGTGCATGAGTGACCCACCCCTGCAGGGCCCCTCTTCCTGGACATCCAGGCATTTCCATATATCCTTTGAAATCTAGGCAGAGGTTCCCAAACCTCAATTCTTGACTTCTGTGAACCCGCAATCTCAACGCCACATGGAAGCTTCCAAGGCTTGGGGCTTGCACCCTCTGAAGCCACTGCCTGAGCTGCACCTTGGCGCCTTTTAGCTGTGGCTGGGCGGCTGGAACGCAGGACACCAAATCCATAGGTTGCACATAGCAGGGGGCCCTGGGCCAGGCCTAGAAATTATTTTTCCCTTCTAGGCCTCTGGACCTGTGATGGGAGGGGCTGCCATGAAAGTCTCTGACATGCCCTGAAGAGATTTTCCCCATTGTCTTGGTGATTAACACTGGGTTCCTCGTTACTTATGCAAATTTCTGCAGCCTGCTTGAATTTCTCCTCAGAAAATGGGTTATTCTTTTCTATTGCATTGTCAGGTTGCAAATTTTTAAAACTTTCAGGCTCTGCTTTCTCTTGAACTCCTTGCTGCTTAGAAATTTTTTCCACCAGATACCCCAAATCATCTCTCTCAAGTTCAAAGTTGCACATATCTCTAGGGCTGGGGCAAAAAGCTGCCAGTGTCTTTGCTAAAGCATAGCAAAAGTCAGCTTTGCTCAAGTTTCCAACAAGTTCCTCATCTCCATCTGACACATTACCCTAGACTTTATTGCCCATAACACTATCAGCATTTTAGTCAAAGCCACTCAACAAGTCTCTAGGAAGTTCCAAACTTCCTCATATCTTCCTGTCTTCTGAGCCCTCCAAGTCTCTAGGAAGTTCCAAACTTTCCCACATTTTCCTATATTCTTCTGAGCCCTCCAAACTGTTCCATCCTCTGCCTGTTACCCAGTCCCAAAGCCACTTCCACATTTTTGGGTATCTTTACAGCAACATCCCATTCTACTGGTACAAATTTACTGTATTAGTCTGTTTTCACACTGCTAATAAAGACATACCGGAGACTGGATAATTTATAAAGGAAAGAGGTTTAATGAACTCACAGTTCTAGATGGCTGGAGAGGCCTCACAATCATGGTGGAAAGCAAAAGAGAAGCAAAGGCATATCTTACATAGCAACAGGCAAGAGAAAGGGTGGGCAGGGAAACTCTCCTTTATAAAACCATCAGATCTTGTGAGACTTATTCACTATCACGAGAACAGCATGGGACAGACCCACCCCCATGATTTAGTTACCTCTCACCAGGTCCTCCCATGACATTTGGGAATTACGGCAGCTACAATTCAAGATGAGATTTGGGTGGGGACACAACCAAACCATATCAGAATACACACACAGATGAAATTAGTGAAAAAAAAAAAAAGGAAAGGGGTGATTATCACAAAAATCTTAATTTTCATTGCTATATAGCATTTCGTTGTATAAACATAACACAATATATTTATTTTGCCTTGATGAACATTTGAATTGTTTCCATTTGGATATTATTACAAATAAAACTGCTGTGAATTTCTCTGTACAAGACTTCGTTTGCATAGCTAATAAGTTTTGTCTTTAGTAAACATCTTTGTTCATTTGGGCTGCTATAACAAAATACCATAACCTAGGTGGCTTATAAACAACAGAAATTCATTTATCACAGTTCTGAAGCCTGCGAAGTCCAATTTCAATGTGCCAGCAGATTTGGTGTCTGGAGAGGGTCCATGGTGGCGTGGTTTGTAGATGCTTGTTTTCTTGCTATAACTTCACATGGTGGAATGGGTGAGGGGGTTCTCTAAGGTTTCTTTTATAAGGGAGTGCCCTTATAAAATCCCTTTCATGAGGACTCTGCCCTCATGACCTAATCACCCCCCAAAGGTTGCACCTCCAAATGCCATCAGGGATTGGGTTTAACATACGACTTTTGAGGGAACACATCTTCAGTCTACAGTGGCAAATAATGCCAAATTGGTGTTAAAAGTAATCATGCCAATTTGTATTCCTACTGAGGAAGATGAAAATTCTAGTTGCTCTCTATCTTTCCCAATGTGAGATATTGATAATATGCTTTGTTTTGTTTTATTATAATGATTTTACTGTATATGGGGGATGTTGTAGTAATACCTCATTGTTTTAATTTATATTGTTTTAATTTTTAATGAGATGGCAGACCTTTACATGTTTTTGTTGGACATTTTGCTAATCAATTTTTTGAAGTATTTAAGTTCTTCATCATTTTCCATTTGGATATTGTTTTTCTTTTTGATACATATGGGTTTTTATTTATAGAATATCAGTCAGTGTGATTATTGTCTTTTACTTTATGACGTGACTTTTCCCTCATTTAATGGTGTTTTCTGAAGAACAGAACTTCTTAATTCTAATTAGCGTATAATGAACTTTTCATTTATGACTAGTGCTTTTGTGTATTGAGAAAATTTTCTAGATCCTAAGTTTCATATTGTACTATAGAAGTCACAGGTTTGGCCGGGCGCGGTGGCTCACGCCTGTAATCCCAGCACTTTGGGAGGCCGAGGCGGGTGGATCATGAGGTCAGGAAATCGAGACCATCCTGGCTAACAAGGTGAAACCCCGTCTCTACTAAAAATACAAAAAATTAGCTGGGCGCGGTGGCGGGCGCCTGTAGTCCCAGCTACTGGGGAGGCTGAGGCAGGAGAATGGCGTGAACCCGGGAAGCGGAGCTTGCAGTGAGCCGAGATTGCGCCACTGCAGTCCGCAGTCCGGCCTGGGCGACAGAGCGAGACTCCGTCCCAAAAAAAAAAAAAAAAAAAGAAGTCACAGGTTTACAATTCACTTGAAATTTATTTTTGCAAATAAAGTGACGTTACAGTCAATTTTCATTTTTTTTTCATGTAGATAGCTGATTGAGTAACACCACTTCCTAAAGAGTCAGTTCTTTTCTAATGGTCTGCAGTACTAGCATTATCATAAATCAGGTGTGGGTCTGAAGTCAGACGCTCTATTATGTTCAATTTATCTATTAATCTATATACCTTTGCCATCATTACACTCTTTTAAAAGGACTGTAGTCTTAATATCTGATAAAGTAGGTCTTGCCATATTATTCTTCTTAAGATTACCTTAGCTATTGTTTTGCATTTCCAAGTGAATTTCAGAATTGGCTTAAAAATTTCTACAAAATAACCTCTGGGGATTTTTATTAGAATTGTGTTTGATGCATAAATCAATTTGGTAGAATTGATGTCCTTATAATGTTGGATCTACCAAATCTTGAACATAGTGCATGCCTATACTTATTTAAGTATTCTGTAATTTCTTTCAATAATATTTTATATTTTTATATAAAGGGATATTGAGCATATTTTGTTATAATCATGTGCTGCTTAAGGTTTAGGTCAATGATTGACCACATATACAACAGTGGTCTCTTAAGATTATAATACTGTATTTTTACTGTACATTTTCTATGTTTGATACACAAATATTTACCATTGTGTTACAGTTGCCTACAGTATTCAGTATAGTAACATGCTGTACAGGTTTGCAGCCTTGGAGGAGAAATAGCCACTACCATAAGGCCTAGGTGTGTAGCAGGCTGTACCATCTCGGTCTGTATAAGTATACTCTGTGATGTTTGCACAATGACAAAATTGCCTGATGCATTTCTCAGAACATAACCTCATCATCAAACAACACATGACTACATATGTATTCTTGTGTTTTCCAGTGCTATGGCATTATATTATCCAAAATAGGCCTCTTAAAATTAATGGAACAATAATATTGAAAATAAATAGACAGAAAAAAAATACAGCAAATAAATGTGAGCCAAAAAAAGGCTTGGAGACCAATTTGAATATGTGAAAACAAGAATTTAAGGTAATTTTCATTAAAAACCAAGAATGACATTACATATTGGTAAAATTCACTATGGGAGAGTAAGGAATACTAAACATAAATACATATGGACCTTCCCATATAATCCCTAAATATATTAAAACATAGCTACCAGAAGCAAAATGGGAAAAAACTGAAACAAAAATTTTAGATGGAGTTTCAACATACCCTGTTCAGAAACTGATGGAACACATGGGAAAAACATAAGTGGTGAATTAAGTACATAAACAAATATATACATTTCAAGCTACTATATGTAGAATTCTATACCTAACAGATAGAAAGGACACTTTCTTTTCCCCCAAAGTGCATATGTAATATTTATAAAAATAGATCATGGATTAGACCTTACAAGCAGTATAAGGAATTACAAATGTCCAATGCATACAGAATATCTTCTCCAATGACAATGCAGTAACATTAAAATGTAGTAACACAAGGAGGATCGTAAAAAATCCATGAGTTTATACTTCAACTTCTGAGCGAATCGTAGTAACAAAGACTGAATTTACTGTCTCACCTGAAGTAACTAAAGAAATGAGCAAGGTATTAAAAAAAATGTTCTCAAAACACTGAACATCAGGTGACAAAGAATAGTGATCTCTTAGAGATGGAAAACAAATGAGGTGAGTGTTAGGATTGTCCCAGCTTCCTACCTGGACCAAGTTTCCAGGAGGTATCACCAAATGTGGTCCAGGAGTCTCCTTGGGTTGAGGAGATGAATACAGGATTCCAAAGATGCTAAGGAAGTTAGAGAAATAGTGATAAAAATGTTCCAAATTTGATATAAACTATAAACCCACAGATCCAAGAAGCTCATGAATCCCCAAGCACAAGAAACATAAAAGAAGCTACAGCAAGGTGCATAAAAATCAATTTGCTTAAAATCGGTGATAAAGAGAATATCTTACAAGTAGCCAGAGGAGGAAAAGATACATTATGTATAGATTAACAAACAAAAAGATAGCATATTTCTCATGGGAAACAATGTAAGCCAGAGAGTGGAACACCTTTAAAGTACTAAAAATAAAAACAAAAGAAAACAGAAACCAAAAACCCCTGTTAATTCAGAATTCTTTAGTGTATGGAATTATCTTTCCATAATTAAGGTAAGATAAAGACATTTTCAGATGTATAAAAGCTGAAAGAACTCATCACCAGCAGACCTACATTATAAGAAATGATAAAGGAAGAAAAATGACCTTGAGTAGTAATATGGAACTATAAAAAAAAATTTAAAAATGGTAATTCTGTAGTTAAATATAAAGAAGCCTTCCTTATTTAAGTCGCTTTAAAAGATAATTGAATGTTTAAAGAAAGTAACCATGTATTGTGATCTTTCTCACATATGTAGAAAAAATATATGACAACAATAGCATAAAAGTAGGGGCTAGAAATGGGAACATATAGTTGTAAGTTTCTTATACTAGATATGAAGTATGTTGCTTGAAGGTAGAATCTGATAAGTTAAAAATGTATATCAGAAACCCTAAATATAAGAGAAAGAGCTGTAGCTAGTAAACAAACCAAAGGGGAATAATAAAAATATATTTAATTAATACAAAGCAATGCAGAAAAGGAGGATAAAAGAGAACTAAAAAAATTAGAAAAATAGAAAATAAACAGCAAGATGATAGGTTTAAACTCAACCATCTATATCACATTAAATGTAAATAGTTGAAATGCCCCAGTGAAAAGGTAGAGATTGTCAGGTTGGATAAGAAAGCAATATCTCACTACAGTTGACCCCTGAACATCACGGCTTTGAACTTCATGGATTCACTTATACACAGATTTTCCTTTGCCTCTGCCACCCCTGAAACAGCAAGATTAACCCCTCCTCCTCCTCAGCATACTCAACATGAAGACAAGGATGAAGATCTCTATGCTGATACACTTTCACTTAATGAATAGTAAATATTTTTTCTTATGATTTTCTGAATAACATTTTCTTTTCTCTATCTTTCTTTATTGTAAAAATATAGTATACCATATATACAACACACAAAATATGTGTTAATCAACTTTTTATGTTATCAGTAAGGTTTTGATCAACAGTAGGCTGTTAGTAGTTAAGTTTTAGGGGAGTCAAAAGTTATACACAAATTTTTGACTGCGCAGAGATTGGCACCCTTAATACCCACGTTGTTCAAGGGTCAATTGTACATGCTGTCAAGAAATCCACTTTAAATGTAAAGACACAGTAAGTTAAAGGTGAAAGCATGGGAAAGGTAACCACATTAACACTAATCAAAAGAAAGCTGGAGTGGCTATTTCAATATCTAATAAAGTAGATTTTTATGACAAAATTATTACCTTAGATGAAGGAGATCATTGCATAATGATAAAGGGTAGATTTCTCAGAGAACATAATCCTAATTTTTTTTTTTTGCCAAGTAACTGTTATAAAATACATGAAGCAAAACTAATGAGAAATGGTAAAAAAAAAATAACAGTTTTACTTGGATATTTCAACATCCCCTCTCAATAACTGATAGTACAAGCAAGCACCAAATAAGAAAGACTGTCTGTCTATAGAAAACTTAAAAAACGCTATCAACCAACTTGACTTAAGTGACAGTCACAGAACAATTTTCCCCCAAAAAGAATACCCAAATTTTTCCTTAGACATAGAGCATTAACCACTATAGACCATACTCTAGCCTGATTGTCAACAAACTATGGCCCACATGTCGAATCTGCCTCTTTTTTTTTTTTTTTTTGTAAATGAAGTTTTATGAGAATACAACCATGCCTATTGGTTATGTACTATCTATAGCCACCATGGCAGAGTTGAATATTTGTGACAGAGGTCATACAGTGAATTATGTGGTGTCTAACCCTTTACTGAGAAAATTTGTTGACCTCTGCTTTAGGCCAGAGAACAAGTCTCAACATCAAAAGCACAATCCGTAAGAAAAAATTGATAAATGGGACTTCATCAAAATAGGCTTTTTACATGACACTATTAGGATAATGAGAAGACAAGCCACAGACTGGGAGAAAGTCCTGGCAAACAACGTGTTTGATAAAGGACTTATAGCCATGAGTTGTGAAAGGCACTCAAACTCAATAATAAAAACAGTCAACCATAAAATGGGTAAAAGATGGATGAATGACAAGAACATGAAAAAATGATGAACATCACAATTTATTAGGGAAATGCAAAATAAAAGCATTAGCATATCATTGCAATCTCTTAGAATAACTAAAATTAAAGACTGACCATATCAAATATTGGCAAGGATGTGTAATAACTGGAATAATCATAGGTTGCTGACAGAAATAAAACACAGTACAAAGACTTTGAAAAATAATTTGGCTGTTTCTTTAAAAAGGTAAACATATAACCACCATTCAACCCATTTGATATGGTTTGGATCTGTGTCCCCACCCAAATCTCATGTCGAATTGTAATCCCCAGTGTTGGAGGTGAGGCCTGGTGGGAGGGTGATTGGATCATGGGGGTGGTTTCACATGAATGGTCTAGCACCATCACCTTGGTGATGTTCTAACGATAGTGAGTGAGTTCTCACTAAATCTGGTTGTTTTAAAGCATGTGGCACCTCTCTTCTCTCTCTCTTCCTCCTGTTCTGGCCACCTAAGACATGCCTGTTTCTCCTTCACCCCCCTCTATCCTTGTAAGTTTTCTAAGGCCTCTCCAGAAACCAAGCAGATTTCAGCATCATGCTTCCTAGACAGCCTGCAGAATTGTGAGTCAAGTAAACCTCTTTTCTATATAAATCACGCAGTCTCAGGTATTTCTTCATAGCAATGCAAGAAAGAAATAATATACCAGTCTTTAATGCTATTGATATATGCAACAAAAATAAAAAAGAATGTCTAAACAAAGATGGGCATGCAAATATCCACAGAAGCTTTATTTATAATTTCACCAAACTGAAAACAACTGAAATATGTATCAAGAGGTGAATAGATAGATAAATTATGCTATATCCATGCACTGGAATATTACTCAGCAATAAGAGTGAATGACTGATACATGCAAGTGCATGGATAAATCTTAAATCTCAAAATAATTATGCCTAATGAAAGAATACCATCAAAACAAGATTACACACTGTATGATTCCACATATGTAAAATTTTAGAAAACATAAACTCACATATGGTGATTAACACAGACCATTGGTTGTGTAGAGTTGGTGGAAGTGTGGAAAGGGAGGAAGGAATTACAAAGGGTACAAGAAGATGTTTGAATTGATAGATATGCTTATCATCTTCTTTGAAAGAAAAAATACAGAGTTTAACAATGAAGTCATTACATATCAGCCCCAGCCAAACCAATCACCAAAGTTGTCCTGAATATACGTGGTGGTTATTTGCGTATATACCTCTGTATAATGCTAATTCTTTTACCTGGAATGATGACTGTCTGCACCCCAATCATTGCACATAAAAAAGTATCATACTTTTACAAAATTGACACTGAATACTGAATTTGTTATTTTTAGCTTATTTAAAACTCCACAATGATTTTTTTCTCTTTCAGCACATCAAATGTGACTTTTACTTCATTATTAATATTATGATCCACTTTTAAACTCTAAGGTGTTTGAGGGCTTACAAGACTATGTTTTCTGAGGTTTTGTATCCTCACAATCTCTAGCACAACAAAAGTGTCCATTAATATTTACTGAATAAATGGAGGAATTAATGTATAAATGAAAACTTCAAGGTGGATACTATGTGAGTGCCTGGTCTAAATTTCATGCAATGTCATAATTGCAATGGGAAATCTAACTAAATACCCTTTCAGATACTTTTTATCATCTCTAAAATACTAAATTTGTATGAGAATTTTGAATTTCTTCTTTTATAATATATTATTCATTTTAATGAAAATTATCTCTAAAGTCAATTTCTATTATTAACATTCTATTATCTTGTTATTCTATTGACAGTTAAAATATATTCCTCTAGTGAGTTCCCCATTGGTCCTTATACAGAGTATCCCAAGAAACACTTGGGGAAGGAGGAGTGTTCATGAAAATAAAGTGATGCATGGAATAGTTTTTTTAATAAAAAGCATTTAAAAATATATATGTATAAAAATATTAAAAACGTTTGTATTATTGTTTGTTTTACTGTGCAATAGTGTGCCTTTCAAGAAATGAGGTGCTATCATGAAGAATGTCAAGATGTTGCAAGATTGATCACCTGATGCATGAGTAAATGACATTCAGTTTGTGCATTGATGCATAGGCAGCATTTACAAACTAACTATCATATTGATGTATGTGGTCTATTTTGTCTTTGCTGGTCTATCTTATATATCTTGTCTTTTTTTGAACACATATTGTGACACTTTATTATCTTGTTTATTCTTGTTTTTAATAAAATATTTTCTCTCTCTAATTTGGATTTTTTCTATCACAAAATAAAAATACACATAAATCAAATTGTTATGACTTCTCACTGTAATTAAGTAATATGTGATGCTGTTTCTTGCCGTCTACTTTCATTCATTTGCACATTATATCTTATGATCTTTTGTTGGTGTTACATCAATACATTTTAATTTTTAATCAATTCAGTGTTCAAAAGTTTGGGAAATGCTGACTTAGTCAAATAAGTATTTGTGTGACTATTTGATTAATGTTTCCATCTCTCTCAAGAAAATAAGTTTCTAAACAGGTGACGCCTATTTTTTCTCACTGTTATATATCTAGTACCTAGCTCAGTTTCTAACACATGCAAGTACGGAAATAAAACTGTATATTGATAGCCATACAATCAGGTAAGTTAGCAGGGATTCCCACTGTGCATGAAGCCTTGCGAGGGATTAGGAAACAAGTCCTTCTGCTTTCACTGGCATGTTATTACCACTAGGCCTGGGCTGTTCCAATTTCAGCCAGCCATTTATCTGTCTATTCTATATGGAATTACCTACTGCCACTAATTGAATATGTTTTCTCTTTTTCTGCCTTGGTCTTCATGGCAAATCTTTCTTTCCTGGAAAGGAAATGTTTGATTCACCTGGTTGTGTAAAAACTGCTTTTAGTGACTTGTGGAATTTAAGCTTACTATTAATGTAGCCTGTTCCTATATTTTAAAATGTCATATTATCTTTCTAGACTATTTAAACTTGTATTTAAATTGAACATGTCCTTAAGCATTGTCATACAGAAGTTATTCTGCAACTTATGAGTATAGATGAATGAGATTTGAGCCCATATACATTGGTACTTTTAGATTTTAAACTGCTTCGTTTGTCATTTTATTGGTGACAACTTCTGCCATATTCTATTCATTAGTAGTGAGTCACTCAGTTCAGTCCCCATTCAAGGGGAAGGGAATTTGTCTCTATCTTTTGAAGGATGTAGTGTAAAAGAACTTGCGGACTTAGGTATTTTAAAGCCACCACATAGAGACACTCACAAAAATCAGTATTGTTAAATATGATACTCCATTTCTAAAACAATTACAGGATACTATAGGAATGAAACAGTCATAAAACAAGAAAGAAAGCTCCTAAAAATTAAGAGAAAAATTAATAATATGATTGCCGAAATACACACAAGGAAATCTAATAGAAAGGGTAAAACATAAAATTGGTAAAGTTGCCAGAATTTATTATAAAAATCAATAAAGATAATTTTGGAAAGCAAGAAATATGGATATAGATCATCAATAATGAAGATCCAACATTCACCCAATAGAAATTGAAAGATAGAAAAAGAGACGATTAGCAGTTATTGACAAAGAAGAAGGAGGTAGAATAGAAGAAGTAGAAGAGGAGGAAGAAGGAAAAAGGAATGAAAAGAGAGAAAAGAAGAAAAAGACAAGAAAATTTTTTTCCCAGATCCAATAAGTTGAGTTTTCATCAGCAACCCAAAGTGCTAGAAGATAATATGACAAATGGGTTCTAAAATTTGAATTAAAATGATCAAACAAAAATACCATTGTGAGAAAAACTTCCTATCGAATGGGAAACAAATATTTTTTAAGATGTGTGAGGGCAAAAAACTTCTATCTTTCACAAGAGCAGGGTTGGGGAATAAACATTGCATATTGGAACAGAAGAATTGATGACTCTGATCAAAAGTTTCCAGAAGAAAAATAGGAGAAATTATACAAATGTCAACATAAAAAGGCAACTGAGACTTCCCCTTTTACTAATGCAGACTAGATAGCTTAGACCATCCCTCCCACTCAAAATGATCTAAAAAATCTGGGAGAAAAATCTGTCTGAAGCATTGAGATTTAACAAGGCAGCAAACAAGTATTAAGCCAAAAATCTTTAATAAGAAAACTTAGAGGGAGTTTTTAACCTTAGGGACCTCATGGATTCGGAAAACATAGCGGGGCAGAGCTGTTAGTAGACTCAAATGACTTGGGAACAGATACAGACGATCTCCGATTTACAATGGTTTGACAACAAATTTTTGACTTTATAATGGTGCAAAAGTGATATGCATTCGGTAGAAACAGTACTTTGAGTTCCTATACAACCATTCTCTTTTTCTCTTTCAGTACAGTATTCAATTAATTACATGAGATATTCAACACTATATTATAAAATAGGCTTTGATTCAAATAATTTTGCTTATTTATATGCTAATGTAAGTGTTCTGAGTATGTGCAAGTTAGGTGGGACTGTGCTATGATGTTTGATAGGTGAGGTGGTATTAAATGCATTTTTGACTTGCAATATTTTAAATTTACAGTGGGTTTATTGGGTTGTAAACCCATCATAAGTTGACAAGCATCTCTATTGGAGTTCACAACCTACAAGCACAGGAGGTTTGGCAAAGCCCTTATGCTTTTGGTTGAGGCTTGGAAGGGTGATATGCTAGGATTAAGGGTAAATTCTAAATAAATAAACCTTTGCATGGACCGATGCCTAGCTTTTAATCAAATAAATCTCTTGTTGGATTATAGTGTTTTGGAATTGCTATTTCCCTAGTTACTTGTCAGAAGAAAATGTTCTGAGGAAAGGTTATATTATTTTAGAATGCAAATATCTCTATGATTTTTATAGGCAATGTTCAATATACAATCAAATATAATCAGAAATGTAAGAACACAATTAAAAACCTGGGAAACAATAGACAATTTAAAAAATACATGGGTTCAGGTTAATGAAATTATCAACTTTAAAATGAGAATGTTTAATATGTTGAAAGAAGTAAAATGTAAGATAAAAATTTCAGGCAAGAACTGAAATATACAAAAATGAATTACAATGACGTTCTAGGACTGAATAATCAACAACAAATTAAACTCAATAAATGTATATTTTAAAGCAGAAGAGATTCAGCTAAGTTTTTCAGTCTGTCCCATTCACTAAATTTCCTTCTTTTGGAACTACAAATACATACATTTTGACTTTTTTTCCACCATAGCCTTATATCTCTTACCCTTCTTTTCTTGTGTGTTTCAATTTTGATACTTTTTTCAGATCTGTCTTCTAGTTTACTCATCCTCTCTTCCACTGTATCTAATATGCTTTAAAATTGTCAATATTCGTGTCTGATGGGAAGTCAATGATGCTGAAAGGAATGAAAAGTAGTGATAATGGTCAATATGAGAGTGAATCGAAATAAATATTTATTGTAGACAATAATAAGATAATGTCTAAGGAAGTCACACACACATTTATAATAAAAAAGACATGAAAACAATACAAAATAGGCAGACATCAGAAGAGTGTTAAATGTTCTAAGGTTCTAACATTAGCCAAGAATAGGTAAAATTGTCAATTCACATTAGGCTTTTGATATATCATGGACACATGTTGTAGTCTCTAGCATAACCACTGAAAGAGCAGTGAAATAATGTATAGCTATTAAAATAATAAAGGGAAATAAAATACTAAAAAATAGTTAACATAGAAAAAACCTAAATTTAATCTAAGTAATTTATTTTAAAAGGAAATAATCTACAAAGTAAGAGAGAAAAGAGAACATGTGAGACAGATAAAAAAACACAATGGTATATTTAAGGCCAAATATTTCATTAACATCAAAAGTAAAATAACTAAATACTCTAATTAAAAGACAACGACTGTTATACCTAATTAAAAGTATAACAACCTAAACTGATACCTTTCCACAACTGTTACACTAGATTAAAAACAATAACAACAACAGCATCAACTGCTAAAAGAGACATAACTCAAGTGTAAAAGCACTCAAAGACTGAAAATAAAAGATGTAAAAACATGTATATTACATCCAACACTAACAAAGCAAAAGTTGGTATAACCATTTATTAACAAGGCAGAATATTTTAAGGAACTAAATTTTCTAGAGATAAATAGAAACATTTTATAGTGATAGAGAATTGTTTTTTTTCTTTTCCTTCTTTTTTAAATGAAACAGTTTTTTTGTTTTTGTTTTTGTTTTCTAATTTGGAAAAAAAGATAGCCAATGTCTAGGCAGACTGAAAAGCTCACGGAAGGACTGACTCTACATGTCAGATACTCAGATAAGTGTTTCATACAAGAAGATTTGAGGCCGGGCGCGGTGGCTCAAGCCTGTAGCCCCAGCACTTTGGGAAGCTGAGGCGGGCAGATCACGAGGTCAGGAGATCGAGACCATCCTATCCTGGCTAACATGGTGAAACCCCGTCTCTACTAAAAATACAAAAAAATTAGCCGGGCGTGGTGGCGGGCGCCTGGAGTCCCAGCTACTCTGTAGGCTGAGGCAGGAGAATGGCGTGAACCTGGGAGGCGGAGCTTGCAGTGAGCTGGGAGGCGGAGCTTGCAGTGAGCAGAGATGGCGCCACTGCACGTGAGCCTGCGTGACAGAGTGAGACTCCGTCTCAAAAAAAAAAAAAAAAAGAAAGAAATAAGATTTGAAATTTTCACTACAATTATGCTTCCTGAAGGTATTTTTATATCTGATATTTTGGCACTTTAAGTCTGTTTTCAAGTTGAAATCTAGAATTCTCTTATCTTTAAAAGTTCTGGAGACCACTTTGCTTTGTTACCTCAACAGCATTATCATTCAGGGTGCTTGACATTCCTTATTGCATTGCTGTGATGTTTAGATAGCCTCCTCTGCCACTGAGAGCAGTGCAAGCAAGTTACATCCTCGTGTTTTCTTCTTGTGTTAATTTCAGACCAATTTCTTCCCAGGAAGAAGCTGTACTTTTTTAAATTCTATTTTTAATTGAAATTTGCATTGATGTAATTGTAGATTCACATATAGTTGTAAGAGATAATACAGAGAGATCCCTTGCTTAATTTTTTTCCCATAAGAACATCTTGCAAAATTATAGTATAATATAACAACCAGGAGATATATATGTATGTGTGTGTGTGTGCGCGCGCGCGCGTGTGTGTGTGTGTGTGTGTGTGTGTGTGTGTATATATATAATTATTTTTTTTTTTTTAGATGGAGTCTTACTCTGTTGCCCAGGCTGGAGTTCAGTGGCACGATCTCGGCTCAGTGCAACCTCTGCCACCTGGGTTCAAGCGATTCTCCTGCTTCAGCCTCCTGAGTAGCTGGGATTCCAGGTATGCACCACCACGCCCGGATAGTTTTTGTATTTTTAGTAGAGATGGGGTTTCACCATGTTGTGTTGGCCAGGCTGGTCTTGAACTCCTGACCTCAAGTGATCCATCAGCCTTGGCCTCCCAAAGTGCTGGGATTATAGGCATGAGCCACCATGCCCAGCCACAACCAGGTTGTTGACATTGATACAATCCATTGATCTTATTTCAGATTTCCCATTTTCCTTGTACTCACGTGTTTGTGTGTGTGTGTGTGCACCTGCGTATTTTGTTCTACACAATTTTAACAGCTGTAGGTTCATGTATCGAACACCACAATCATTTTAGTTAGCTTGGATTCCTATATCAAAGACCAGCAACTGGGTAGTTTAAACAACTAATGTATATTTCTCATCGTTCTGAATCCTGGAAGTGCAAAATCAAAGTGCTGATTGATTTGGTGCCTGGTTGTGACTCTCTTCCTTGTGGCCGACGGCCATTTTTTTTGCTGTATATTTATTGGTGGAGAGAGAAAGAGCTCTGGTCTCTTCTTATAAGGGCACTAATCCCATCATGGGGACTCCCCTTTCAAGACCTCATCTAAACTGAACGACTTCCCAAAGGCCCTACCTCCAAATACCATTCTTATTGGAGACAAGGATTTCCACATATTAATTTGGGGGGGATGATATAAACATGAAATCTATAACAACAGCAAAGATTCAAAACTCCTCTATTAACACAAGAATGCTCTTTTATAACCACCCACCTGCCTTCCATCCCTATCTCTAACCTCTGGCAACCACAAATCTATTTTCCATATTCAATTTTATTTTTATTTCAAAAAGTTATATCAATGGAATTATTCACTGTAACATTTGGATATTGGCTTTCTCCCCTCAACATAATTCTCTAGATACTTGTCTATGTTGTTTGTATCAACAGTTGGTTACTTCTAATTTCATGGAACAATATTCCATGGTGTGTATACACCACAGTTTGTTTAACCTTTCTCCCAATGAAGGACATCTGGGCTATTTCTAGTTTTTAGTTACTATGAATGAAGCTCATATGAACAGTTATGTATAGGTTTTTGTGTGAAAATGTTTTCATTTCTCTGGGATAAATGTTCAAGAAAGTAATTGCTGGGCCATATAGTAATTGCATGTTTAATTTCATAAGAAATAGCCAAAATATTTTCTAGAGTGGCTGTATCATTTTATATTCTCATCAGCAAAGTATGAATGATCCTATTTCTCTTCAAATCTGTCAGCATTTGCTGTTTTCATATTTTTGTTTTAGGCATTCTAATGGGTGTACAGTGATATCTCTTCCTGGTTTTAATTTACATTTCCCTGATGGCTAACAGGTAGAACATCTTTTCATGTGTTATTTGCCATCTTTATATCCGCCTCAGTGAAATGTGTCTTCCTGTCTTTTGCGATTTTCTAATTGGAATTTTTAAATTTAGAGTTTTGAGAGTTTTAAAAAATGTATTCTAGGTATTATTCCTTTGTTGGATATTTGGTTTACAAATATTTTCTTTCAGTTTCTCACTTATCTTTTAGGACTTTTCACGAGTTATTGCAGAACAAAAGTTTTAATTTTTGTGAGGTTTAAATGATCGTTTTTTCCTTTTACAGATTGTACTTTCGGTGTCATGACTAAGAACTCTTTGCTGACCCCTGGATCCTGAAGATTTTCTTTTATTTTTTTCCTAAGATTTTATAGTTTTATTTTTTCATTTAAGTTACATTCATTTGAATTAATTTTTATCTGAAAAATACTGTTTTTCTTTCACTGTAGGCTTGTCTCTGTATAAATTCAATTTGAAAATATGGCAATATGTATCTTTGATTTTCAAATGAACAAGCTCATAAATACAAAAATTAAAGGCATAACAAGAAAATAACATGTTTTATGTCCTTTGATACCTTTGTTTTCTGCTTTGGCAGTTGTCAAAAATACTAAGTACCTAGGACTTTCCTTTCTAAAATCTTCAATTTCTTTAAAGTCTATTTCTAAGTTCTATTTTCTTGAGGAAGTGGTCCATGACCACCTCTCCTAATGTTTCTTCTCTAATGTTCCATAGCATTCATTCATTTGTACAGTTAGTTTTACAGGCAGCTGTATTCTAGTATTTTTCTGATTCTTGTAATACATTATATTGTCTTCTTCAGCAGGGCCTTTGCACATACTGTTCCTTGAAATCCTTCCTCTGCACCCTTCAACTGGTTTCCTCTTTCCTATCCTTCAGTTTTTCAGTTCAAATGTTATTTTTATAGCATGAATTAAGTCCCCTAATTTTAATCTTTCATAGAACTGATATTTAGTATAGTTGCTAATTAGGATTTATTTGTTTAAGTATTTGACTTTCCATTAGACTATATCGTCTGTGAGGAAGATGCTATTTGCTTTTGGTCACCCGTGTATTTTTTTTTTTTTTTTTTTTTTTTTTGAGACAGAGTCTCACTCTGTCGCCCAGGCTGGAGTGCAGTGTCGTGATCTGGGCTCACTGAAAGCTCCTCCTCCCAGGTTCATGCCATTCTCCTGCCTCAGCCTCCCGAGTAGCTGGGACTACAGGCGCCCGCCACTACGCTGGGCTAATTTTTTGTATTTTTAGTAGAGACGGGGTTTCACTGTGTTCGCCAGGATGGTCTCGATCTCCTGACCTCGTGATCCACCCACCTTGGCCTCCCAAAGTGCTGGGATTACAGGCATGAGCCACCGCGCCCGGCCGTATGTTTTTTTGTTTTGTTTTGTTTTGTTTTTTTGAGACAGAGTCTCGCTCTGTCGCCCGTATGTTTTATTTACAGTACAATGCCTGGCCAATAATTGAGGCGCAATAAATGCGTCTTGAAAAAAAAAAAGTGAATTTTTGATTTGTAAATTTCAAAAGGCAGGGGCTGTAATTTACAACTTAACTGCATAGAACCTAAATGCCAGAGAGACTTAGTGCTTGATTTCCAGAGAAGAAAGCTGAGTATTTAATTTATCTATACAAGAAAGTGTTTAGGAGAATAGCAATATCTACCCAAATAATTTTTATTGGGAAGAGAGGGAAAGTACAGAAAACACTTCTTGAAACAGTCATGTAATTAGAGTTAAATAGCGATCATAATTTAAACAATCAGAGTAATTACTTAAATTGTTTATTTCCTTTTGAATTGTAGAGTCATAGCTAACAAAACCTCTTACTATGTTTTTTATACAGGAAAATAAAATTCATTAAGAAATGTAGGTATGGGCAGGCAAAGGAGGCTATTAGTGGCCGAATTTGTTCCAGAGCACATTATAAAGACTAAATATAATTGTGCTGGCCTATTTATGAGTTAAAAATATACAGTATCTTGTTTGGCCCATTTTTTGTTTTACACTCTCCTGGGAACCCAGTGGAACTGTAGCTCATTTTTAGCTCCCTCCCTAGCTCCGTATTTTCTATCCACCCAGGCTGGATGGGAGTGAAAGTCACTTTGCTATTGTCAGCTGCATTGGAGCAGCTGAATCTCTCTGTCCCAGAAGTAGGGAAGGTAAAAGCTCCATGCAGAGGACTTTCCATTCTTAGCTAAAGCTAGTTGCTTTGGCCTCAGGGGCTAATCAAGTATTATAAACACTGATTAAATAAGGTAGGTCATTTCCATCACCATTTTCCAGACAGGAAAATGGAGGCACCACACCTGGGAATGACATTTGCAGACTCAGGAAGACAATTTGCGGTTGCTTAATTCCTTTGCTTTGCAAATGCCAGGAGAGAGCACTGGAGAAGTTAGGCATAGTTTGAATACTATTCAAACAGGTCACATTTGGAGGCTGAGGTGTCTCATTAAAACTTCCTGTTACTGCTGTATATCCTTACACTGTATATCCAAGTCCATGACAGAGGCGCTGTACATCTCCTGTCTTAACATCTAATAGTCCTTGCCAGATGGAATGAAAAAGTTGATTATACGCAGCTTT
Organism: Homo sapiens; assembly: GCF_000001405.40. Classification (NCBI taxonomy): domain Eukaryota; kingdom Metazoa; phylum Chordata; class Mammalia; order Primates; family Hominidae; genus Homo; species Homo sapiens. Next base: position 127,339,079 of record NC_000011.10, read on the forward strand.
GCCAACGTCTCTTGACAGGAAAGAGCAAAAAAAATCCTCCTGAACAAATGAAATGTCAGTCAAATCTCAAACATATTAAAGCAAGATATGCTATATTATTTTCCTAGATTAGAGATTAACTGGTTTCTAATTAATTCTGAAGATGTTTAATAATTTAGCATGACTAGTTTTAGGATTCAGGAATATCCTTTAATCCAGTTTTGTTGTTGTTGTTTTTATTTTTTCACTCAGGTGCCTACCTCCTTGTAAAGGTATTATCATGCAACTGGAATCTTAGCTTTTCAGAAAGCCACTGCTTTGGGAATTGGAAGAGGCGTAGAGCTCAGGATTTCTTCTTTCTGTCTTAATGAGCTGTAGTCTCTAAAGTGTTAAAACAGGCCAATAATTGAGGGGGAAAAAAAGAGTCTGAGCTATTCACATCTTGACAGTCCCCACTCTCACTCTTGCTCTGAGCTCAGGTTTGCCTCACAGGGATGTTTCAAAGAAATTGGGTTGTGTGGCAGTGTGGGTGGGAGGCAGGGAGGAAAAGGAGGATTTTAGAATTAAGTAAGACTTTTGAAATGGGTTGCAAATTTTCATTGCAGGGAATGTGTCATTAGAAATCATGGAATAGGTGCAATTTCTATCACATTTGCATTTATAGTTTTCAATGGCTTTTCTTGATGGTTGGATGGGGATGGATCTCTCCAATGTCTACCCGTTGACTCATGGGATCTTAAAGGAGAGACACGTTTCTAACTCTTGCTGCGGGGAGAAACTATAAAACTATAGTCCAGAGACCTTCAAATGGCCTCCAGTCTCTTCTTTAGTATAGAATTTTAGAGCTAAATGTTACCTTATGGATTTTTCTAGATGCTTGACACTAAAAATGTAATTGGAGGAGCAGCAACATTGCTGTAACAGCGGAGCTCGCTAGGAATGTAGAATCCCCACCCCAGACATTCCGAATCTGACCCTGCCTTTTTAATAAGATCCTCAAATGACTCATAAGTGCATTAAAGTTTGAGAGGCATTGCTCTAGATGAAACCCCTTATTATATAGATTAGGAAACTGTGGGCCTGATCTGGGGCATTATTAGCTCTCATTAAAACAATCACAAAACAGAGCCTACTCTTCTTCTTTCTCTGGCCATACTGCTCTTCCCCATATGACACTGCCCCTCTTGAACCTTAAATTCAGTGTTAATTGTGTATATGTGATCACTAGTAAAAAAGCAACTGGCCCCCCATTCGCATAAACAGATACTGTGTCTGAGTTTCTGTGATTTCTAATATTATTGCAAAAACAACTAGCACAGTGTCTGTGTATGTACTGGGTGCACAATGGATACTATAATAATATTAGTATTGTTAGTACTGACAGTTATTAGTGTTATGTGCATGGTAAAAGCAAGAGAAAATGGTGAAAGCTTTTCAGGCAAGGTATCTTGTCCTCTTATCCACCCAAGTAGCTTCAAGACCAGACCAGGAAATGATGGAAGGAAGTGGCTATGGTGGGACCTGGGTTTATTTTCACTTAGTTTCCTGCCAGAGGCTAGGAGGTGATCTGCCAGTGACTCAGAGCAGCTCATTACCATGAGGATTATTTTTACCTGCTTCCATGGCACTGATAAAGTAAAAAGATGAGGAGTCATTTAGAGACACCACCAACGTCTTTTGTGCTTTTGGGTAGAACCTCTAGTCTTCTGCTAATTGCAGGTACAGTCACTCTGGATAAATGGAAAACAACTCACTCCTGGCCAGCAATCTGTCTTCTCATTTTTCCCCCCATCCTTCTACCCTATCCTTCTTTTTCTACCTTCAATATTTATTGAGCACTTACCATATGCTAGGCTCCACAATAAACGGAAACTAGGCTCACACAAAAATGTATAATGCTTGGCTTCTGCCCTCAGAAAGATCTTATTGTAGCAAGAGGAGCAGACACTTCTGTAGAAGTGCCATGAGATGAGAGCTATGGGTGAATATGAACAAACACCATGAGAGAATAAGAGAACGTCTGATGAAGAATAAAACTAAGTGAGCACCTATAATAGCTGCAGGTTGTGATAATACATTACATATCTGTGTTACTGAGTTTTTCAAGGGGTAGGTGGTAGGAAAGTCTCCTTCGAGGTAGTAATATTTGAGTTAAGCCTTGCCGATCAAGTAGCGTTTCACCAGCTGGCAGAATGAAGAAGCGTCCTTGTTAGTAGAAGGACTAACGTAAGCAAAGATGGGACACAATGGAAGTGTGTCCAGAGAATTTAACAAATAGCTTTGTTAAATCATGAGGTATACAGAGGAGAATAGCAGAGGATGGTACTGGAAAGGTACGTGGAGGTTTGATTTTGAATAGACCTGAATGTCCTACTAAATAGTCTGGCCTCTATCTAATCCATTGCCAAATTTTAAGTAGTACAGTCACATAAAAAATGTATTTGAGTTTTAGACATATATCTCTGGCATTTTGGTTGTGAGAAAAGTTGGAGTTAGGAAGAACCAGCTTATAATACTATTAACATAGTTCAGGCAAGAGTTGCAAGCCCTCGTGCCAGCTCAGGTACAGAAGAAACAGATACGTTATGCAAAGATCTCTTCTCATCCCTTCCTTGTGTCTCCCTGGGAAGGGCAGAGAATGAACTGCTTAGCCTAAGATCAACATCTGGGGTTCACACAAGTCACCTGTGGTAGAGTCTCCTTTGTTCACACATATTTAAATACAAGAAAAGCTGTAAAGAAAAGGAAATTATGTATACACTTAGTTATACTTGGAAGTTAATCACCAATTGCAACCTTGGTACTTTTAACTACTTGGATTATAGTCAGAAACAATTTGCATGTTTTACCAAATCCCCTCACCTAGATTCCTACGTCAGAACAGCACCAAGATGCTCAGCACTTGTCAATACTCTTTCCAGCTGGCAGGTGAGATAGAACTTGGCTCAGCCTTTGACAACTGTAATGGCATCTATGGGATTTATTTGCAAGAAGCTGGATGCCTTCTCTCTTAAGATGCTTTCATTTCTGGGCATGGGATGCCACACCCAGGGCCTGGTGCATGTAATGAGTGGCAGAAATGAGCATGTCCATTGTAGAAGATGTTAAAATTACTTACTTTGGGGTCAGTTCTTTTTTGGGGGGAAAGGGGCATACATGATGGGTGACAAGGCAATAGTAGGAATTTGCTATTTGGTAATCCTTCCCTGTGAAGGAGAGAACTAGGACAGTCCTAACTGAGCTGTGTCATGGGTTCCACACACAAACACAGATCACCACCACTCTACTAACTGCACATGGAGCAGTGTTTTACTTCAAAGTGCTGAACCACTGTTACATCTTGTTCTTAAATCACAAGGTTTAAATAGCAGTGCCATGTTTAATTAGGGCCCGAGTAAGACTTCTGCTTTGAGGAAGAACAACCTCTGAAATGGATCCTTTCATCTCTGAAAGGTATGTCATAAAGTAAAAGCCTTATCCATGTGTAATAAGCAAAGGTGGAGTAAATTAGAATTAGAGATCTGAATTCTAGGATTTTGGGAAGAACTCTCTGAAACTATACAGAAGAACTAATTGATTCCTAATAAGAGCTATCTCTCATCCTGGCTAACATGGTGAAACCCCGTTTCTACTAAAAATACAAAAAATTAGCTGGGCGTGGTGGCACGTGCCTGTAGTCCCAGCTACTCGGGAGCCTGAGGCAGGAGAATCACTTGAACCAGGAGGCAGAGGTTGCAGTGAGCTGAGACTGCACCATTGCACTCCAGCCTGGGAGACAGGGTAAGACTCCTTCTGGGAAAAACAAAAAAAAAAAAAGAGAGCTATCTCCAAGTAGAAATCATGCTGGGGATGGTTTAATAAATGCATGTGTTTTATGTCTTAAATACAGTTTTAAAAGTGATCAGAAAGTTAATTTTCTTAAGTAGTGTTAACATACCTCCTTTGAGTGTTTGGGAAGCTGCGGCATAGCAGGTGGGCATGTAGTCTTTGAAAGCAGACAAATGACTTTTCAAATTTTTATTCCTCCATTCATTAGCTCTTTCATCTTGAGCATTTTACTTAGCTGTTCTAAATGCCCATTTCTCATCTTTAACCTGAGAATAATAAAACCCAACCAACAGGAGACTTACAATAATTCCATGAGATAATGTAAGGTGTCTGTCCCACAAGAGTGTGCACAATTCATTTTCTTTGAACTTTTCCCCCACAGAATAAAATGTGCTTCCCTTCAGACACATCAAGTTGATGTCATTTGATCTCTTGTCAGCAGGAATTGTATTTAAATTTTTTAATTTTTAAATTAGCATGCAATCAAATCGAATCTATGAATGTTACCATATTTATAGATTGATATAACCACAGAATGCATAACAGTTACATCTCCGCCAAAACACTCCCTTGTGCTATTACTCTGTAGCCTCCCCATACCCCTAATTCTTGGCAAACACTGATATATCCTATATCTCTACAGGTTTGTCTTCCTGAGACTATCATATACATGGAATTATGCCCTGTATAAACTTTTGAGACTAGCTCCTTTCAGGTCATATAATGCCTGTGAGATTCATCAAAGTTGCATGTGTCAATGGTTTGTTTCTTTCCATTGCTGAATGGTATCTCATTGTATGGATGTGTCACCGTTTGCTTATCTATTCACTCATTAAAAGACACTTGAATTGCTTCCAGATTTGGCAACTATGACTAGAGCTGCTATGAACATTCGATGTACTGGTTTTTGTATGAATACAAGTTATTATATCTCTAAGACAAAATACCCAGGAATAGAATTTCTGGGTCATATGGTAAATATTTGTTTAGCTTTATAAAGCCTGACAAGCTATATGTGTTCTCACTAGCTACATATGCTCTGTGTCCTCACTAGCACCTAACGTTATCAGGATGTTTTATTTTAGCCATTCTAAAAGGCCTAGAGAGGTGTCTCACATGGTTTTAATTTGCATTTTCCTAATGGCTAGTGATATTGATAATCTTTTCCTGTGTTTCTTCATTTATTTATTTATTTATTTTTGAGAAAGAATCTCACTCTTTTGCCCAGGTGGTAGTGCAATAGCGCGATCTCGGCTCACTGCAACCTCTGTCTCCCAGGTTCAAGTGATTCTCCTGCCTCAGCCTCCCCAGTAGCTGGGATTACAGGCACACACCACCATGCCCAGCTAATTTTTGTATTTTTTTTTTTAGTAGAGACGGGGGTTTCACCATGTTGGTCAGGCTGGTCTCGAACTCCTGACCTCGTGATCCGCCTGCCTCGGCCGCCCAGAGTGCTGGGGTTACAGGTGTGAGCCACTGTGCCTGGCCTCTTCATTTATGTTTTAACCATACATGTCCTCTTTTAAGTAAAGGGTCTGTTCAAGGTTGTTTTTTTTTTTTTCATGTTTGTTTTTTGCCTATTTTAAAATTGGGTTGTTTGCTTTTTACTGTTGAAATTGTGTTACCTGTTAATTTGAGAGTTAACCTCTTTATCTTATTAAGTCTTCTAATCCATGAGCACTGTATGTCTCTCCATTTAGTACGTTCTTTTATTTCTTTTATCAGAATTTTATAATGTTCAACCTGGAAATACAGTGTAAGTTATGTTACTTTTATAACTAAGTATTTTGTGTTCTTTTAAAGCTATTGAAGACTTTTCTTTTTGAGTTCTGAAATTTCATTGCCATTATATAGAAATATAATTTGGTTTTGTATGTTGACTTTGTGAAACTCATTTATTCATCCCAAGAGCTCCTTTGTCGTTTTCTTGGGACTTTTCTACATACAGAATTACGTCGTCTGTGAGTAGGGATAGTTTTATTTTTTTCCAGGCGTCTCCTAAAGTGTTATCTGTCCAAGGTTAATGACCACCTCCTGGTTTTATGCTACTGTGTGTCTACACTGAGAGAGAAAGGAGGAAAAATGTGAAATTGTCTGCCAGTTTCTTGGTACTTTAAATTTGTATCTTCTTTTCCAACCCTCCAGCTATTTTTTACCACTAGAGTCCTCAAAGAGATGCTCCATCCTTTCTGCACAGGTTTTACAGCTACATTCAACAGGAGAGACAATGTGAATTGTGCTTACCCATTTTACCTCAAACCAAAACCTAAGATTGATTTGGGACCATTTTTCTCCAGTAGTTAGAGTATATTTGTATTTCTCCATCCATACTCTGTTTTTCATTTCTGACCCTTAAGTTCCTTTTCTGACCTTAGTCCTAGATAGATAGCCAGGGTTGTGAGTATGAGGCATATCAGTGGAACAGAGTAAAACCAAGTGGATATTGAACACTGAGCTTTGGTTTCCTTAGCACTGTGCTCTCAAAAATTGAGTTAAATGAGTCTGGACACAGGACAAGAGAAAACTTTAACTCGGCTTATGTTCAGATTATTTCAAATGAGTGAGTTAATGAACCCCTTAAGCCACAGAAATTATCTGTATCAATTCACAAAACAGGAAATCAATGAACGCTTTCTTTGGCTGGCAAGTGTGGTTGTTGGAAATTCTGTGACATTTGCTTTTTAAAATGTGAGTGTGTGCGTGTGTTGCCAGCGTCGGTGACGGGCTGCAGCGAGAGGTGGCTTGGGGACCCAGTCAATGGAAAGAAAGAAATGGAGGAAAGTGGTGATGGGAGCCCTGGAGAGCTTGTTCTGACGGCTTTTACTGGTTTCATCGGGTTTCGTCTCTTGCTCTGGAGTCATCATGTAAACTTGGGTCTCTGGGAACATCTTTCCTTTCACAGTGATCTGGCTGATGAGGTTAAATCAATCTAATCCCATGAAACTGCCTGGTAGCTTCCTGCTGTTTCAGAATAAACTGTGGAAGAAAAGTCATCCCCGCCTTTAAGTTGCTGTCCTTAGTCGCAATGCATTCGGCGTTTTGGTAGCGACGCAAACACCAGCACATTTCAGGCATCGCTTTAATATTAATAATTCTTCCTATTCTCTCATTTCCACTGCACCCAGAGGCTCTAAGAGCTGGTCTGCAACACCGCCATCTGGTGGCTCCAAAGCTACATGGACGAAAAAACCAAAATCTTGCTGGTTTTTAGTTTTTTGTTGCTGCTGTTGTTGTTGTTTTGCAAGCCATTTCTTCTGCTGCTTTCAGTTGACTTAGGATGAACTTATGGCAGATTTGTGCATCATTTTATGCCTCTGCTCAAGCCATTTTTCTCTTCCTGGGGGCACATGCCCAGAGGCGTCCGAGGTCAAGAAGAAAGAAAACAGAGGGATTTGGAAAGCAGCAAGGGTTTCTGATAAGAAACTCTAAGAATTATAGAGAGAAAATGGTGCTACTGGGATGCATCTGATGTGAACGTAGTTGTATGAAGTTTCCTTGTCTTCTTGGGTAATTTCAGGAGTTTTTAGTCTTTACACAGACAATAGACAACATGTTTGAACTGGGAGATCTTTTTGCATTGACATTTCTGGGTTTTGGAGTCATTGGTAGAGAAAATGACTTCCACACCAAACTTCCCCCTGCTCAGTACCATGCCTTAGCCCCTTCTCCAGACTTAGCCCCTAAAAGTGCTTTGTTGTTTCATGTGTAATGATTTTTCCTTCTAAACAAATCTGGAGAGTTTTACTGTTCCCTGAAATTTTGAGTATTCTAGTTGAAAATGCCAAAATGAACACTAGCTGCTTCAGTAATCCTGATGGGAACATACGTTTGTAAGAAACAGGAATCTGCTGTGTTTTTATTTTACTCCTGTGGGCATCTCATCTTTCTCCCCAAGTTACTCACCTTAGGAATTCCTTTTTCATTTTTTTCCAATTTCTCCTTAATGTGATGTGTGTATATTTTTGTATGTATGTATACATGTGTGGGTGGGGTGTATGTATGTGTGTTATATATTCTCTTTACTAAACTTAAATTCCTGCATAAATAAGAAAAAAAAGAGGCACCTCTGCCTTTCAGGAGTGACTGTTCTTCAAGATTTTTAACTATGCCTCCAGGTTGTGTCCCCACCCCTCAGAATCTTGTCAATTAGAGCATTCACTGCAAGATCTGAAGACGTGGTAGCAAAAGCATCAGCATTGCTGCCTAGCTTTCTCCCCTTCATCATTTGTCCCGCAGTTGTCAACCAAGTTCAACCTATTTGAGAGTTGTCATAAAAGCCAGCTAGAAGCTCAGAAATTAGTGTTAATACAGCAGCCTCTTCACTCTAAGCAATGAAAAGAGACTGGTTATTGGGCAACAGAAAAGATACAGTGAAGATGAAATGGTACCAAATTATCTATATGCTGTATGACCAATCTCTGGACATTTGAGTATCAAAGTGATTTATTATTACACATGAACTTAGAAACATTTAAGGACAGAGACTAAAGCTATTTCATATCCTCCCCCTACCCCCTGCCATCCAAAATCTTAAGAACTTGGAAATTACATACTAGTTCACTCAAAAACATACATAGAGACTTAATGATCAGTTGGAACCCAAGTTCCAACTTTATTATAGTCAAATTCATGAAAAGTCTACAATTATCTGGATCACTGATAATAGTTGTATCAAGAATACAGAAGTAAAAGAAAAATTAAGGTTTCCTGACAATCCAAAATTATGTCACAGATCCCATTTACCAAAACTTACATTTTAGTTCTTCATTCATAGGTGAATTTCTTAAACCCATTGTCAATATACATAAATGACTTAATTTTCATAGAATTATCTCAATAAGTTTGGCCAAAACCACATTAGAGATACAAAGTTTGGCAGTGAAATTCTGGTTTAGGCAAACAAGCTTACAACACTAGGGCATTACAGGTAACAATTTGGGGAAATTTTTTTAAACACACAAAAATAAAATCAAGAAGTCAGCGTTCCAGTGGCCTGGGACATTTTGTATAGGAGTTAGTAGCCTCATCAATCACAATACTTCCAAGTATCGTAGGGTATTATAGCATCGCATAAAACATTAACTGCACCCCAGAATCTAGATTATGCTCTTCGTCCTCTGCTTGAAAGGCAATGAATATGTATGATATATTTTAGGGCTATTTCCACAACAAAATGGTTGAAAATATTAAAGATACATAACAGTGAAACCCTCTGCTTTACAGAAATAAGACATATTACTGATGTATTTCTGGCACCAGAATGGACCTGCTGAAGAATCCCAGTCACTATAAGTGTATAGGCAAAAATGTCTGACAGTAGCATGAATGTTCTTGAAAAATTGAATGTAAGTAGAACTGAAGGTAGGAGAAGAATGTTAATTTCATGGAGATGATTGTTAGTACAGAATTTGGGATAGAAAGGAAGTAATGGGAAGGAAGAGTGAAGAAAGGAGAGAATTAAAAACAAAGTCATATATTCATATACCATATTATTTATTAATTAAACAAATTTTACTGAATATCCCACAACAAAATCAAAAACAAATATTGGTCTCTGAGATAGTTCTAGCATCCAAATTTCTTGGCTAATCTCCTAAGTAAATAGCTTATTTTAAAGAAAATCAAAAGTCAGCGAACAAAAAGTATAAATCCAAAATGTGTGTGGGGGGAGCAATTTAGAACATTTTTAGACCCTTGTAACTCAAATTAGAATCTATGGATCGGTAGCATCAACTTCATTTGGGTGCTTGCTGAAAATGCACTTCCAGGAATTATCAACATGTGACTCGTGCAGTTACATAGGGCCTTATGCTCAGAAGGGCTCTGGGATTGGTTTAATATGTTGTTTTTGCCATCTTGAAATTCTTAATTTTTGAACAAGGGTCCCTGAATATTCACTTTGCACTGGACTCCACACACCATGTAGGCCCTGTGCAGGCTCTTGGGCCCCACATCTGAGCTGCTGAACAAGACTCTGAATTTTGTCTTCAGGTGATCTATCTCCCTGTGCCCTAAAATTTAAGAAACATTATTTTCAACCATAAAGAACAATTTTAATATGTAGTATTTTTTTTCTCTTGTATCACGTGTACCATTCACATGTTTTATTGTTCATTGCTCCTGCTTTAAGTTAGTGGGGGATTCACTTACATAACCTACTATACGAATGACCTTCATTGTTGGTATTTTGTGTAACTGCTGATGAATGTGTGTGTCTTCTTAACAGGTTTCTCCTTCATGAAACAAAGGGTGAGCACCATTTTCAGTTCAAAATGTGGGTAACAGGATGAAGTCAGAAAATCAGTTAAAATTGGAAGAAAAGGAAGAAATAAGAGGAAACTAAAGAAAGAAGGCCAAAGAAGAAGTGGAAAAGCAATATTGAAAGAGTGAGATTGTTAACATTGTTGTATCATAAAGAACTTGTGTTGTCTTTGTCTTGGGTTCTTGGCATGGAGTTTTTAAAATCTTTGGGATTTCCTAAGTGTTAAACATGTCTTTGTTTTTTATGAACATCTCGGATCACACCAGAGTGTAGGATAATGAGGTGATTCATAGCGGGCCCAATGATAGCTTCAGGAAGCGGGCTGGTCAACAGAAAGGACAACCGTGTGATTAGAAGGTTGGCCTTTGAGTCGGCCCAATCTCCAGGGAGAGGGGAGTGACTGGACTTAAAGTTCAATTACATGTCCAGTGGCTTAAGCAGTCATTCCTATGTAATAAAACCCAATAAAAACTCTGGACACTGAAGCTCAAGTGGAGCTTCCTGGTGGTGTGAATATGTTGATGTGACAAGAGGGTGGCAGACCCTGATTTCACAAGAAGGTTCAGAGCTCTGCATTTGAGACCCTCCCAGACTTCACCCTATATATCTATTTATTAAGTTGTTCCTGATTTGCATCTTTTATAATAATAAAAACGTAATAATAAGTCCAGCACTTTTGTAAGTTTTATGAGTTATTCTAGCAAATTATCAAACCTGAAAGGATCTTGGAAACCCTGGAATTTGTAACCAATAGTTCAGAAATGCTGGCGATCTCAAAAATATGGCTGGCATCTGAATTGGTGATAGTCTTATTGAGAATTGTGCTCTTTAGCCTGTGGAGTCTGCATTAACTACAGGTGGTTAGTGCTAGAATTAAATTGTAGTCCCCAGTGGATAGCCAGATAGCTGGTATTAGAGCAAAGGTGAAAAAGTAAATGCAAGATGTTGACCCTGTTTTGTGTCTCCACTGAGGTCAAGTCCCTGGTCACATAGATGCACACTGAACTGCAATAAGTCATTCGAAAGTGATGGCTTTGGGATGACTGATTGCAGTTCAGCATGCATAAGCCAAGCTTGCAATAAGCCAGGCTTGTACTCTGCTTTATACACATAAAGCTGGTGGCCTGTACAGGTCATGAGACTCAGAAAGAAGATGCCTGTTCATTCTCAAAGTAAGCTCCCAAAGCTCCTAAAGACAAGGGGATGGGAGAAGCAAGGGAAGAGAGTGGGAAGTGGGGAAAACATATTGTCTTCTGTAGCTGGGAAGTTCTAGCATCACAAAAATGGGACTAATGATCTACGAACCCTTGCTACCTCAAAATCGGAAGTCCTTAATCTTTTTGGACTGCATAAATGCACTTCATAATAAAAGCTGCAGACTCTTAGTTCAAAAAATTCAGCTACAAATGAAATTTTGCTTATAATTTCATCGGTTCACAGGCCTTCTGAAACCCATTCATGGTTATCTGTTCCAGTGACTCAAGGTAAGAGGCCCTGTGTTATGTAATAGCATGGATTGGTGAATTCAGTGGTGCCTGAATTCGATATGCTAACTGACCTTTGTCATTTAGACTTGGATATATTGCCTAACTTCTCAATTTGTACCTTTCATAATTTTTGTGAAAGTCACATTTGACATAAAAAAGAAATCCAATAAGTGGTAGCTGTTATCATATTCCTGAAAACCCATCTGCTAATAATATGCGTGTGTATTAGTGGATTTATTTTTTCTCTTCCTTTAAAGAAATATATAATAAACAAATATAATATATATGTGCTTAATTGTATAGAGAAGTGCTCACTGTTAAATAAAATAAATAAATTTGTGAAAAAGAAAATGGGGTCAGGTGTAGTGGCTCACACCTGTAGTCCCGGTGCTCTGAGAGGCCAAGGCAGCAGGATCACTTGAAGCTGGGAGTTTGAGATCAGCCTGGGCAACATCGCAAGATTCCATCTCTATAAAAATAAAAATAAAAAAAATTAGCCAGGCATGGTAGTGCATGCCTATAGTCCTAGCTACTTAAGAGGCTGAGGCAGGAGGATCAGTTGAAAGGTTACAGTGAGCCATGATCATGCCAGGAGTTCCAGGTTGCAGTTAGCTATGATCAAGCCAAATCAAAAAAGAAAATAAAAATTCCATGAACTTCCCATCATCCAGAGAAATCCAGTGCAAATTCCATAGTCTGTTTTCAATAAATAATCAGCATTTCATGTGTCGGTAATAGTGGTTTATATCATCATTTAAATATTTGTATAATATTGCATTGATTTAATTCCATTATTTATGAAGCCAAGCTCCTGTTGATATAGGCTTTCAGATTTTAATTATTGTAATTAATGCTGTAAAAAATCCCCCTAATACATACGCTTTTAAAAAGTTGTCTTTCTTTTCCTTAGAAAACATTTCTGTAGGTAAAATTTCTTATTCAAAGAATGTGCACATTTTATACTTTGAAATCTCACCAAATGCACTCTTGAAAAGTTTAATCAAGTTACATTACTAATAACAGGACACAGAAACAAAAGTATGGCTAAATCCTAACAACATAACACACTGTAAATCTTTCCAATCTTTAGCAAAATGCTAGATGGAAAAAAAAAGTCCCTCTTTATGTGCATTTCTTTGATTAAATAGTGATTTTGGATCCTTAGCCTTTATTATTTGATACATTACCTGTTTGTATCTTTTGTTCCTTGTTTTGTTTTTGTCTTGGGGAGAAGGGAGTTTATTTTTATTTTTCATCTTCCCCCACCAGAGATAATTAGGTATTGGGCATATAAAATTTTTGTCTGGCATAAACAGTTTTGTTTTTCAAATTTCCACTTGCTTTTCAAATTTGCTTATGATGATATTTTTTGATATAAAAGTTAAAAAGATGTCATCTATAATCGAATTTTAAGTTGCAGTTTCTGTATTTTACATCAGTCATAGAAAAAATATGGTTTTTCAAGAGAGCACTGTAGGATTTTAATTTACACAGTATAAAAATATTTTATAATGTAAATCAGTAACCTAATAATCATTTTTAAAAGCCTAGTCTTGATGTAAGATACTCCTAAATGGAAGATACTGATTACCATCAAAGACTTTCCAAAACTCCCAAAGTTTGGACTTGCAGTCTCTTAGAAGGCAGGTTAGTTATCAAAGATAGAGCAAAATCTTAAATAAAGAGAACTGGTTTAAAATGTTGATTTACCACTTAAAATTAGGTGATATGTGGAAAATCAACTCTCTGAGTCCAGATCTGTTAAATATGTTAAAGTCATACACATTATCTAATCATAATGTTAATTACTCAATAAATATTTGTTTAAAATGTTCAATTTGTTGTGTTTTCAAAAATTTTGCAACCACTATAGTTTCCTTCCTCTCTCCCTTCTTCTCTTCCTTCCATCTTTCCTTTCCTTGTATGTTTTTGTAATCATACTGCACTTTGTATAGCTTGATTTTAAGCAAAACTTTCTGAAATATGTAATTTATACAAAACTTTTGATAAATGCACAAGCTTAAAAATGACTACCAACACATAAAAATTAAATTACCAGCACTTCGAAGGTCTGAATGTACTTCCTAATCCATTTGTGCCTCTTCTGCCTCCCCCACCTCTTAATAATTATAATATTGCAATCCTGGAATTTGTTTTACTTTTTTTCTGACTTTCTTTATATTTTACTTAATGTACATGTTTCTGAAGTGTATAAAATTGAAGTTATAATGAATGTATTATCTGCATTTTTAAAAATTCAGTGTTGCTTTATATTTCTGAGATTCACCATATATTTTGAGTTGATTCATATTTGTTGCTTTTATAGTTTTCCACTATATGAATGTACTGAAATTCATTTCTACATTTCCTTAAGCATTTCTATCATTTTTTATGTGTCTTTTGGTGCACAAATGCCTGAATATGGCTAGAATTTTGGAATTCCTGGATTCCAGACAAAGCAAAATTGTTTCTTAAAATCATGACTACCCTGCCAGTAGTGTATTATTATTATTTCTTCTTATTATTATCATTTTAAGACAGGATCTCTCTCTGTCACCCAGGCTGAAGTGCAGTGGCATGATCACAGCTCACTACAGCCTTGACCTCCCTGGCTCAGTCAATCCTCTTGCCTTAACCTCCCTAGTAGTTAGGCATGAGCCACCATGCCTGGCTAATTTTTTTCATTTGTTGTAGAGATGGTGGGGTGTCTCACTATGTTGCCCAGGCTGGTCTAGAACTACTGAGCTCAAGCAATCACTCTGCCTCAGCCTCCCACAATGCTAGGATTACAGGCATGAGCCACTGTGCCAGGCTTATTTCCTATTTTTTTCATCACTTTGAAGAGTCAGACTTTCTAATTTTTGCCTATTTCATGACTGTCAAATGCCATTTTATTATGATTTTAACTTACATGTACCTCCTTGTTAGCCATGTTGAACATATTTTCTTATGTTTGTGGCCAAACATTTTTCTTTTCTGTGAAAGAATTCAAAACCTTGGCCAACTTTTAATTTGGTTTCCTTTTTTTTTTTATTGATTCATATCATTCTTTATATATTCTCTATACTAAAACATGTCAAATATTACAAAAGTCTACAAAGATAAGCTTCCCATTTCTGGTTTGTCTATTTGTTTTCTTTAGGGACCACAATGTGTTTTTAAAATTACATGATATTTAGGCCGGGCGCGGTGGCTCACGCCTGTAATCCCAGCACTTTGGGAGGCCGAGGCGGGTGGATCATGAGGTCAGGAGATCGAGACCATCCTGGCTAACAAGGTGAAACCCCGTCTCTACTAAAAATACAAAAAATTAGCCGGGCGCGGTGGCGGGCGCCTGTAGTCCCAGCTACTGGGGAGGCTGAGGCAGGAGAATGGCGTGAACCCGGGAAGCGGAGCTTGCAGTGAGCCGAGATTGCGCCACTGCAGTCCGCAGTCCGGCCTGGGCGACAGAGCGAGACTCCGTCTCAAAAAAAAAAAAAAAAAAAAAAAAAAAAAAAAAAAAAAAAAATTACATGATATTTAATCCAACTAAGATAAAATGTTGTGTATGACGAGGCCTAAGGAATCAATTTTGTTTCCTTCAAATGAAAAATTAGTTGCCCTAAAATCATTGATTTAAAACTCTTTCCTTTCTTCACTAATTGGCAATGCCAGTTCTGACGTATATCAATTTTCCATTTATATGCGGGTCACTATTTGGGCTCTCATTCTGTTGTATTTATCTATTGATCTATTACTGTACAGTTTTACCACAGTTTATAAGTGTTGATAGCTGGTAGAAAATGTCCTCCTAAATTATCTGATAGATTCAGAAGTGTCTTGGTTGTTCTTGGACTTTTGCTCTACCAAAAAAGTTCAGAAACACCTTTAGTTTCAAAGAAAATTACTAACTTAATGGGATTTTCTTCTGAATTAAATCATTCTGTGGGTCAACGCAGGGAGCACTGACAGTTTTGCAATGCATCTGCTGTTCCACAAAAACAGAATATTTCTACATTTATTCAGGTTTCCTTTAGTTTATTTCAATAAATATATATGGTATATACATTGTTTATACATAAAGGTTTGCACACATTTTGCTAGATTTATACCAGGAGTACTTCATATTTTTGGTTTCAGCAGTAATGACATCTTTTAAAAATTATGTAATCTATGTATTTAAGTCTAGTATAATAAATGAAAATGAGTTGTGCATAAGCAGCAGAAAACTTGGAAAAATATTATTTAAAATATTACTGCTTTTTCTATATTTTTATGTTTTTCTGGTTTTTCTACCACAAGAATCTTATAAGTCAATGGTATCAGTTTTATTTCATTCTTCACAGTTCTCTCTGTCTTTTTTTTTTTTTCTGGACCCTCCAAACTAACTAGAAAGAACAAAAACGAGAATTCTGTTTGTATTTCTGATTTTAAAGAAAATGCTTTCCAAGTTTTACCATTAAACATGGTCTTGCTTCCATTCCTCCATCCACCATCTTTTTCTTTGGTTGATGCTACTAGAAGGGCTAAAAAAGTTCCTTTGAATTTCTAATTTACAAAGAGATTTTATAATTAAGTACTGGTTATTTTGATAAATGATATTATTAATCTATTGAGGTGATCCTATGTCTGTTAGTGTTATAAATAACATTAGTTGATTTTCTGATTATAAACTATCTTTGAATTCCCACAAAAAGCCAATTAAGTCATTTATTTTATAAACCTTACTGTACAGCTTTATCAGTTGCTAACATTTTGTTTGGGATTTTTGCTTCTATGTTTACAAGTAAAATTGTCATATAATTTTTCTTTCTCATATTTTCCTTATCTGCTTGCAGTGCCATATTAAAGATGACATGATAAAAATATTTGGGGTGTTGTGTGTTTTTCTCTACACCGGTAGAAATTGAGTAAAACTAGAATTTATTGTTTTCAGATATATTAACAGAACCCACTTGTAAAATTTTCTGGTATTACTTTGGGAAAAGGTTTGGAACTATTGATTCGATTATGTAAATTATTACAGAATTATTCAGAATTGTCTTTTTAGATTGAGTGAATTATGTAGATTTTCTAGGTTTTTGTCCCTTTCATCTAAATTTTCATCTTTATTAACATAAAGATGATAATTATATATTTTGAATATTTTGAATGGCTACTATGTCTGTGGCTGTGCTCTAATTTTTATTTCTAATACTGTTTATTTGTATCTTCTCTTTTTTTTGTGGTCAGTCTGGCCGGTGATTGGTCACTTTTTCAGTCTTTAAAATGAACTCACTTTAGGCCTTTATGTTTTTTTTCTTCTAGTTTACCAATTTCTTCTCATATTTATTCTTACTTTCTGTCTTATGTTATTCTTTTTTAAGTGTCTCAATTTGGATATTTAATTTGTCTAAAAATAATTTCTTCTTCCCTAGCCTAAGGATTTAATAATGTTTATTTTGACATCAGATCACAAGCATCTTGGTGATTGTGCAGTATTAAGAGAGTAAATAGTATCTTATTGCCATTGTGTTTTTGTCATTGATGCTTATTTATAAGAATTTTTAAATTTCCAAATTAATATTCTTTTCCCAATTATCTTTTTGCTAATAACTTCCTTGGATTATAAGAATTCCTATTTTTGACATTTGTTGAGATTTGATTTATGGCTCTTTATGTGATCAATATTTGTAAATGTTTCATGTATGCTTAAAAAGAAAGTATATGATTCAATTGTTGACTGGTACTTTATAAATGTACACTAGACAAAACTGACAATTTTATTGCTCAAAATTCTTTATTCTCACACATTTTCATCTATCAAAGACCAAGAAGGACATTAAAATTTTTCACAATAATGGATGTTGCATAATTTTTCCCCTCAAATTTTGTTAATATTTGCTTCAGATTTCCTCATGCAAAGCTATTAGTGTCATAGAAGTTGCAAATTGTATCATACTTGAAAATGGATCATTATGAGCTGACTATATTTCTTGCTAGTAATACTTTGCCTTAAAGTCTATTTTTTCCTGATATTAACATAGCCACACCAGTTTTGCTTTTTTACATTTAAATTCATTTATTATTTTTTATTTTGTTTTATTTTATTTTTTGAGACAGGGTCTTGTTCTTTTGCCCAGGCTGGAGTGACGTGGGATGATCACAGCTCAGGCAGCCTTGACCTCCTGTGCTCAAGCAATCCTCCTGCCTCAGCCTCCCAAGTAGGTAGGACTACAGGCATGTGTCACTATGCCTGGCTAATTTTTTTTTTTTTTTTTTGGTAGAGATGGGGTCTCATTATGTTGCCCAGGCTGGCCTCAAACTCCTGGGTCCAAGCAATCCTCCTGCCTTGGCCTACCAAAGTGGTAGGATTACAGGTGTGAGTTTTGCTTTTCATGTCTTTTCGGCAAATGTTTCCATTTTTAACCCTTCAGTGTCTTTATGTTTTAAGTGTATCTCTTATAAAGAACACAGAACTAGATTTTATATCTTTGTTCCATATTTATATTTTGTCTATGCTGTTCTAAATAATTTAGTTTAAGTTTTCATTTATATTTCTTTGTACTTGTAAAGAAATAGATTTTTGTTTGTTGATTTTGTCTAGGTATCTTGCTAAATTCACTAATAATTCTAATAATTTATCTATAGATAATTTTTTCTTTGAACACTGTCATACCATATCTGAAGTAATACAGTTTTATTTGTTCTTTCTAATTTTAATACTTTTTTTCTCCTTACTAGTACTCTTGCAAGGATCACTAGATCAGTGTTGAATAGAACTGGTTGTATTTATAATTACTTCTTTCCAAATTCAAGGCAGAAGCTATCAATATTTCTAAAAGGAAATGATGTTTTCTTTTAATTATTTTAAAACTGTACCATTTATCAGAATAAGAAAGTTTCCTTCTACTCTCAATTCGCTATGTGCTTTTTATTATTAATGAGGATTAAATTATGTCAACTGCTTTTTCTGCCTCTATTAAAATGATTGTATTTTTTTCTTGTTTTCTCCCCATTGTGGTAAACTATGATGATTGATTTTATAATGTAACCAACCTTGCCTACGTTGACTAAAGTCCACTTGGTCTGTGATATATTACCGTTTTGATATATCACTGGATTCTGCTTTCTATCATTTTATTACTTATTTTTCTATCTATGCTTTTGAATGTTTATGAGAGAGATTAGTTATAATGTCCTTGTTACAATTTTTAATTCAGGCAATTGGCTTTTTAAAATGAATTATGGGATAGTCATTTTTTCAATATTCTAAACAAATTTTTGCAATATTGATAATGTTTCTTAAATCATTTAGAAAAAGTTACTGATGAAGTTAACAAGGCCTGAGGACATTTGTATTTATAATGCATAATTATTTTATAGTAAATTAACACCCTTCTCTACTAGATACAGGAATATTCAGATTTTCTATTTCTTCTTTTTTCAATATTGGTAAATTACCCCCCTCTCCCCTCCCCCAGGGGTGTCCTAGTCAAGACTGATTGCAATAATGCTAAATAACCCCGAAACTGAGTGGTTTGCCATCAGCATTGGTTTTGCTGTTGTTTTCATAGATCTGTAGGTCAGATGTGGTTCTATATTGTAGCTTAGGTTTAGGCCGGCTTCGCAAACCTATTTCAGTCTACATACGGCCTGTTTTTCTTCTGGTTGATTAAAAAAAGATAAGCAACAAAGCCAAACCATGCAAACTCATCTAAGACACTGGATGGCAGTTCATGCTTCATTAGACAAATTAAGGCACAAGGCCAAGCCCAAACTGTGTGTGTGGGATGCATAGATCAAGAGCGTGGACGATGTCAAGCAGGAAGAAAAAAACGAGTGCTACCAAGATATCGTTTATGTCATCACAAATTTCTGATTTGTTATCATAACATATATTGTTACATAGTCACTATTTTAAAATTTGCTAGTGATATCTCTTATTTCATTTCTGATCTTGTCAATCTGTATTTTTCTGCTTTATTTTCTTTTTCAGTCTTGCATGAGGTCTATCAATTTAATTATTGGTTTCAAAGTACCAAGTTTTCATTGTATTAATTTCTATTCTGCATATTTAAAAAATATATTCATTTATACATTTATCCTTTGTTTTTTGTACTTCCTATGGGCTTAATTTGTTAGTATTTTTTTTCCAGTGACTGGAGATACACTCTTAGATAATTGATTTTTCAGATATAAATATCCTTCTAAACACATATTTTGTACATCTGATAAGTTTTGGTATGTAATCTTTTTATTATTATCCAGTTTAAAATATTTTTAATTTACTCTGTGATTTCTTCTTGACCTATAGTTTATTTAAAAGCATATTGGTTAATTTCATAATAGAGATTTTCTCCCTATCTTTATTCACTTATTTGCAGCTTAAATTCATTTTGGTCAGGCAATACATTCTGAAGATCTTAATTCTTTGAAATTTATTGAGGCTTGGGTTATGATCCAGCATTTGGCCAATTTGGGAGAAATTTTTCTACATGAAGGTGAGAAGAATGCCTATTCTGTGTCCATCTTAGTGTTTTAATTGGATTTAATCTAATTTGCATTTGATGAAATTGTTAACATAGTTAAGTATCTATTCACCACTTTGCTATTTGTTTTATCTTTGTTCCAGTAACTTGTGTTTGTTTATTTTAGCCTACTTTTGGATTAATCAGACATTATAATTTATTTTTGTTTTCATCTGTTTGATTATGCATATATTTTACTTAATTTCCACGGTAAATATGGAGATTGCAACATGCTGTCCCAGGTTCAATAGAACTTAAAAAAATCATTTGAGAAGGCATAAACCACATGATACTGTAACTGTATTAAATTCTTCTTTTATGTTAATATTACTTTGCAGTTTAATTCTTTATATGTTTTGACACCATTAACAACAGTTTGGCTATTACTGTGCTCCACCTGCTTTCTTCTGGCTCTGGTTTGTCCTTGCTCCAAGTTTTCCAAATAGCAGCCTGGAATGCTCACTAAGGCCTCTTTCCACTGGCAGACCTCAAAACCTGATCTTTTTATTCTCTGCAATGTGAAACTACCAAAAACACCACTCTGCTTATACAAGGACCTTTTGTTTGGTCTCTTAGCCTTCTGTCCCAAGCAGCTTCAGAATTTGTTCTACATCTTGAAAGAAAAACAAAATGATAACATTAGGTTCTGATCTTCACCTTTCCCTTCTCACTTAAGCATCTGGCCCCTCAAGTGTGTAATTTTTTCTTTCTTTACTGTCAGAAGATGCCCTGTTTTCTCCACCTACTGGTTATTGTCTCTGGGCTGAAGATCTTTGGCTTGGCCATCAGGCTGTTGTTCTGCACCACAAATTAACGAATACAGCGAGGTAAAAACCTGTTGCAGAGTGTCAGTTCATTCTGAGGTTTCCCATTTTTCCCAATTTTTTTCCTCTTAAAACCTGACTACCTTTTTCATTCTAAGATTTCCTCAAATAGATGTTTGTCTGTATTTTATTCTCTTTTTCAGTTAATCTTGGCAAGACCATTGCTCTGCCACAGGCTGTTCATCATGCGTGAAACTAGTTGGATGTGCCTCTGTCACATTGTAAATTTCAGTTATTTATTTTTATGTATGAAATTTCATTAGATGCTTTAAAAAATCTACTTGTCAGACTTTCAGTATTTTGCTTTCTTTAAACATACTGAGCACACTAATTATCTATGATTTTTTTCTAACTTCAGCATCTGAATTCTTCACAGGCCTGATTCTGATGTCAGTTGTTTCTGCTGTCTCCCCATCAGAGTTCCTTGTTTTCTTGTGAGTTCTGGCATTTTTACTATAAGCTCATGCTCTTTGGAACTTTATCTGTTTATCTATGGG
Organism: Homo sapiens; assembly: GCF_000001405.40. NCBI lineage: Eukaryota > Metazoa > Chordata > Mammalia > Primates > Hominidae > Homo > Homo sapiens. Next base: position 127,360,445 of record NC_000011.10, read on the forward strand.
AACTTTTTGATGCTAGAGTTGAAGCTGTGCTGTTTCAGAGAGGATTTTTTTTTTTTTTTGAGATGGGGTTTCACTCTCCTTGCCCAGGCTGGAGTGCAATGGTGCAATCTCGGCTCACTGCAACCTCTGACTCCCAGGTTCAAGTGATTCTCCTGCCTCAGCCTCCCAAGTAGCTAGGATTACAGGCATGCGCCACCACGCCTGGCTAATTTTGTATTTTTAGTAGAGACGGGGTTTCTCCATGTTGGTCAGGCTGGTCTCGAACTCCCGACCTCAGGTGATCCGCCCACCTCGGCCTCCCAAAGTGCTAGGATTACAGGCATGAGCCACCGCGCCCGGCCCAGAGAGGATTTTAATCTGCTTCCAATAGAGACCCTGGGATATTACCAACTGAGGCCTGATGTTACCCACAAAGCAGAGGCTGAAAGACACCAAACTTCAGCATTTGGCCTCAGGATCAAAAGCCGACTTCAGCTGTCATTGACCTCTATGAATTTCCCTTTTTATTCTCGTTTTGAGCTTTCTGGATTTTTTTTGCCTTATTGCCAAATCAATGGCACATTTAATATATTTAACCTTTTAGTGTAAAGTTAAAAACATATATAGAGTACTGCACAAACATGTATAGGTTAAGATATAAAGTAAACATCCTTATACAAACACTCAGGACAAGAAATAGGACTTGACCACCATATCCATCTGCTCTACATCAACCACATATCCTTCTTTTCCCTCCAAAAGTAGTCATTATCCTGACTTTTATACTATTCATGTTCTTGGATTTCTATGCAGCTTAATCACCCAAGGGTGCATTCGTAGACATTAAAATTTAGTTGTGTTAATCTTTTATTTCCTTTTTTCTTACTCTTTAATTTATGACCGCCCCCTTTTCTTTACAATTATCTATTGAAAACAAACACTTACAGCACGGATTTTGCTGATTGTCTATTCATGGTGAGGTTTCCACATCTTCCTCTGTCCTCTATGTTTCCTGCAGGTTGTTCCCTGGGTCCAGAGGCTGAATCCCTTTGGCAGGTCTGTAGGAGGTGATGTGCACTTTCACCAAGGGCCACACAGTGTCTGGTTGTCTGTCTCTATGTGATACTAGCATCTGTTTATTCTCAATGCATTGATCTATTCATTAATCAGGGGTGGTAAATGGTGATATTTTTATTTTATCATTTCATTTGCATTGTAAATTTGAATAATTTTATAAAGAGATACTTCTGTTTATCAATTAGATGATTTTCTAGTGATGCAGTTTACATAGGACAGGGAGAATACATGTTTACTTTGTTTATGTACCAATGTTTACTGTAATGCATTAGTTTCTTACTCACCTGAGGCGATTATAGTACAAACATGCACACATATACACACACAGACATGCGTTGTTACTGTGTGTATATATACATATATATGTGAACCCATAGATTTAAATATATTTGATAAATTTAAATCTATTAAAAGCATTACCTTTACTGAAACAAAAATTGTTTCATCTTTAGCCACTGAGTCTCTTCAAGTCATTTCTGAAGCCCTTGCAAAAGGACCCTGGATGCTTCAGGCTCATCTTGTAAATTTCCTGCCCCAGACTTAGAATCAATTGCTTTTCCATGAAGTTCTGTTTTCTTTTAGTGAGAAGTTATAGTTCGAAACCAAAGTCTAAGTAACAGAAATGCTCATTTTATTTGGTTGTTCATCATTTATATACCTTCACAAGATACTTATATATATTTTGTCCTGAATTTATTTCTCTGCAGGACAATTGCTTAGGTTATTTTGCCTAACACATTACAAGAAAATGAAGTCTATTGTCTGCTGGTTAACTGGAGTGTCATACTATATTTCTACAGCATGAATATTAATTTAAAGTTTAATATGCATAGGCATAGCTAAATTGTATTTTTAAAGATGATCCTTTTTAGGTTTTTTATTCCCCCAAAATACTAGATTTCTATAAGCAATGCTTCCTGTAACTAAATATTGATATAAAGTCCTAATGATTTCCTTAGTTCGAGTTTCTTTAGATGCAATTGCAGGTACAAATTTGCAGAGTATTCTAACAGCTTTGAAATAGATTTCAAGCCTCTTTCTGCCTTAAGGGTAGAGAATATAGAAGACACGGACCATGGAACAAGAGTGTTCTAATATTTCTCACTGTAAAATAACCTAATGGCAGTCTGTTTTATCCATAAGTAAAATAGGAACTTGGTCAATATATTAGATGCCCCTAGAGCCTAATCAGTACTAAGCAAACTGACAAAGGTCAGTTCCTGAATCTTTAACTAGAAGAAGCAAGCTTTGGATCTAGGTTGATTCAGTTACAGGAGGCTTAGCCGGAGCAGCCGGACAGTACATAAGACACGTTCCTCTCTTGGCTGGGCCAAGAACCAAAGCGATAAATGTGCGGAAACAGCCCCTTCAGTGTGGAGGCTCCAAACAGTTACCTATGGAGACCATGTATACCTCTCCTCCTCTGCTGCTCCACCACCTAGAGGCAGCTGGCCTCTGGATATGACTCCCTCCTCACTCTACTCCTATTCCTAACGTTTTCTCAGTGCCAGCAACACAGACTTCATTCGCTTAGTTGTTCCACGCCCCCCAAATTAGCAGGGAGTAGTGTGTACAAGGGCCTGTGTGCACACAGCAACTGGGAAGAAAATCTTGCTTTGTCCTTGGTGTGGAGCCCCCGGATGTTAAGAAAAGCATAGATGGAGGGAGGAGCCAAGATGGCCGAATAGGAACAGCTCAGGTCTACAGCTCCCAGCATGAGCGACGCAGAAGACGGGTGATTTCTGCATTTCCAACTGAGGTACCGGGTTTATCTCACTAGGGAGTGCCAGACAGTGGGCACAGGTCAGTGGGTGCGTGCACCGTGCGCGAGCCGAAGCAGGGCGAGGTATTGCCTCACTTGGGAAGCCCAAGGGGTCAGGGAGTTCCCTTTCCGAGTCAAAGAAAGGGGTGACTGAGGGCACCTGGAAAATCGGGTCACTCCCACCCGAATACTGTGCTTTTCCGACGGGCTTAAAAAACGGCCCACCACGAGAGTATATCCCGCACCTGGCTCGGAGGGTCGGACGCCCACGGAGTCTCGCTGATTGCTAGCACAGCAGTCTGAGATCAAACTGCAAGGCGGCAGCGAGGCTGGGGGAGGGGCGCCCGCCATTGCCCAGGCTTGATTAGGTAAACAAAGCAGCCGGGAAGCTCGAACTGGGTGGAGCCCACCACAGTTCAAGGAGGTCTGTCTGCCTCTGTAGGCTCCACCTCTGGGGGCAGGGCACAGACAAACAAAAAGACAGCAGTAACCTCTGCAGACTTAAATGTCCCTGTCTGACAGCTTTGAAGAGAGCAGTGATTCTCCCAGCACGCAGCTGGAGATCTGAGAACCAGCAGACTGCCTCCTCAAGTGGGTCTCTGACCCCTGACCCCTGAGCAGCCTAACTGGGAGGCACCCCCCAGCAGGAGCACACTGACACCTCACACGGCGGGGTATTCCAACAGACCTGCAGCTGAGGGTCCTGTCTGTTAGAAGGAAAACTAACAAACAGAAAGGACATCCACACCAAAAACCCATCTGTACATCACCATCATCAAAGACCAAAAGTAGGTAAAACCACAAAGATGGGGAAAAAACAGAACAGAAAAACTGGAAACTCTAAAAAGCAGAGCGTCTCTCCCCTCCAAAGGAACGCAGTTCCTCACCAGCAACGGAACAAAGCTGGACAGAGAATGACTTTGACGAGCTGAGAGAAGAAGGCTTCAGACGATCAAATTACTCTGAGCTACGGGAGGACATTCAAACCAAAGGCAAAGAAGTTGAAAACTTTGAAAAAATTTAGAAGAATGTATAACTAGAATAACCAATACAGAGAAGTGCTTAAAGGAGCTGATGGAGCTGAAAACCAAGGCTTGAGAACTACATGAAGAATGCAGAAGCCTCAGGAGCCGATGCGATAAACTGGAAGAAAGGGTATCAGCAATGGAAGATGAAATGAATGAAATGAAGCGAGAAGGGAAGTTTAGAGAAAAAAGAATAAAAAGAAATGAGCAAAGCCTCCAAGAAATATGGGACTATGTGAAAAGACCAAATCTACGTCTGATTGGTGTACCTGAAAGTGATGGGGAGAATGGAACCAAGTTGGAAAACACTCTGCAGGATATTATCCAGGAGAACTTCCCCAATCTAGCAAGGCAGGCCAACGTTCAGATTCAGGAAATACAGAGAACGCCACAAAGATACTCCTCAAGAAGAGCAACTCCAAGACACATAATTGTCAGATTCACCAAAGTTGAAATGAAGGAAAAAATGTTAAGGGCAGCCAGAGAGAAAGGTCAGGTTACCCTCAAAGGGAAGCCCATCAGACTAACAGCGGATCTCTCGGCAGAAACCCTACAAGCCAGAAGAGAGTGGGGGCCAATATTCAACATTCTTAAACAAAAGAATTTTCAACCCAGAATTTCATATCCAGCCAAACTAAGCTTCATAAGTGAAGGAGAAATAAAATACTTTACAGACAAGCAAATGCTGAGAGATTTTGTCACCACCAGGCCTACCCTAAAAGAGCTCCTGAAGGAAGCACTAAACATGGAAAGGAACAACTGATACCAGCCGCTGCAAAATCATGCCAAAATGTAAAGACCATCGAGACTAGGAAGAAACTGCATCAACTAACGAGCAAAATAACCATCTAACATCATAATGACAGGATCAAATTCACACATAACAATATTAACTTTAAATGTAAATGGACTAAATGCTCCAATTAAAAGACACAGACTGGCAAACTGGATAAAGAGTCAAGACCCACCAGTGTGCTGTATTCAGGAAACCCATCTCACACGCAGAGACACACATAGGCTCAAAATAAAAGGATGGAGGAAGATCTACCAAGCAAATGGAAAACAAAAAAAGGCAGGGGTTGCAATCCTAGTCTCTGATAAAACAGACTTTAAACCAACAAAGATCAAAAGAGACAAAGAAGGCCATTACATAATGGTAAAGGGATCAATTCAACAAGAAGAGCTAACTATCCTAAATATATATGCACCCAATACAGGAGCACCCAGATTCATAAAGCAAGTCCTGAGTGACCTACAAAGAGACTTAGACTCCCACACATTAATAATGGGAGACTTTAACACCCCACTGTCAACATTAGACAGATCAGTGAGACAGAAAGTCAACAAGGAAACCGAGGAATTGAACTCAGCTCTGCAACAAGCGGACCTAATAGACATCTACAGAACTCTCCACCCCAAATCAACAGAATATACATTTTTTTCAGCACCACACCACACCTATTCCAAAATTGACCACATACTTGGAAGTAAAGCTCTCCTCAGCAAATGTAAAAGAACAGAAATCATAACAAACTATCTCTCAGACCACAGTGCAATCAAACTAGAACTCAGGATTAAGAATCTCACTCAAAAGCACTCAACTACATGGAAACTGAACAACCTGCTCCTGAATGACTACTGGGTACATAACTAAATGAAGGCAGAAATAAAGATGTTCTTTGAAACCAACGAGAACAAAGACACAACATACCAGAATCTCTGGGACGCATTCAGAGCAGTCTGTAGAGGGAAATTTATAGTACTAAATGCCCACAAGAGAAAGCAGGAAAGATCCAAAATTGACACCCTAACATCACAATTAAAAGAACTAGAAAAGCAAAAGCAAACACATTCAAAAGCTAGCAGAAGGCAAGAAATAACTAAAATCAAAGCAGAACTGAAGGAAATAGAGACACAAAAAACCCTTCAAAAAAATTAATGAATCCAGGAGCTGGTTTTTTGAAAGGATCAACAAAATTGATAGACTGCTAGCAAGACTAATAAAGAAGAAAAGAGAGAAGAATCTAATAGATGCAATAAAAAATGATAAGGGGGATATCACCACCGATCCCACAGAAATACAAACTACCATCAGAGAATACTACAAACACCTCTACGCAAATAAACTAGAAAATCTAGAAGAAATGGATAAATTCCTCGACACATACACCCTCCCAAGACTAAACCAGGAAGAAGTTGAATCTCTGAATAGACCAATAACAGGAGCTGAAATTGTGGCAATAATCAATAGCTTACCAACCAAAAAAAGTCCAGGACCAGATGGATTCACAGCCGAATTCTACCAGAGGTACAAGGAGGAACTGGTACCATTCCTTCTGAAACTATTCCAATCAATAGAAAAAGAGGGAATCCTCCCTAACTCATTTTATGAGGCCCACATCATTCTGATACCAAAGCCGGACAGAGACACAACCAAAAAAGAGAATTTTAGACCAATATCCTTGATGAACATTGATGCAAAAATCCTCAACAAAATACTGGCAAAACGAATCCAGCAGCACATCAAAAAGCTTATCCACCATGATCAAGTGGGCTTCATCCCTGGGATGCAAGGCTGGTTCAATATATGCAAATCAATAAATGTAATCCAGCATATAAACAGAGCCAAAGACAAAAACCACATGATTATCTCAATAGATGCAGAAAAAAGCCTTTGACAAAATTCAACAACGCTTCATGCTAAAAACTCTCAATAAATTAGGTATTGATGTATTTCAAAATAATAAGAGCTATCTATGACAAACCCACAGCCAATATCATACTGAATGGGCAAAAACTGGAAGCATTCCCTTTGAAAACTGGCACAAGACAGGGATGCCCTCTCTCACCACTCCTATTCAACATAGTGTTGGAAGTTCTGGCCAGGGCAATTAGGCAGGAGAAGGAAATAAAGGGTATTCAATTAGGAAAAGAGGAAGTCAAATTGTCCCTGTTTGCAGATGACATGATTGTATATCTAGAAAACCCCATTGTCTCAGCCCAAAATCTCCTTAAGCTGTTAAGCAACTTCAGCAAAGTCTCAGGATACAAAATCAATGTACAAAAATCACAAGCATTCTTATACACCAACAACAGACAAACAGAGAGCCAAATCATGAGTGAACTCCCATTCACAATTGCTTCAAAGAAAATAAAATACCTAGGAATCTAACTTACAAGGGATGTGAAGGACCTCTTCAAGGAGAACTACAAACCACTGCTCAAGGAAATAAAAGAGGATACAAACAAATGGAAGAACATTCCATGCTCATGGGTAGGAAGAATCAATATCGTGAAAATGGCCATACTGCCCAAGGTAATTTACAGATTCAATGCCATCCCCATCAAGCTACCAATGACTTTCTTCACAGAATTGGAAAAAACTACTTTAAAGTTCATATGGAACCAAAAAAGAGCCCGCATCGCCAAGTCAATCCTAAGCCAAAAGAACAAAGCTGGAGGCATCACACTACCTGACTTCAAACTATACTACAAGGCTACAGTAACCAAAACAGCATGGTACTGCTACCAAAACAGAGATATAGATCAATGGAACAGAACAGAGCCCTCAGAAATAACACCGCATATCTACAACTATCTGATCTTTGACAAACCTGAGAAAAACAAGCAATGGGGAAAGGATTCCCTATTTAATAAATGGTGCTGGGAAAACTGGCTAGCCATATGTAGAAAGCTGAAACTGGATCCCTTCCTTACACCTTATACAAAAATCAATTCAAGATGGATTAAAGACTTAAACGTTAGACCTAAAACCATAAAAACCCTAGAAGAAAACCTAGGCAGTACCATTCAGTACATAGGCATGGGCAAGGACTTCATGTCTAAAACACCAAAAGCAATGGCAACAAAAGCCAAAATTGACAAATGGGATCTAATTAAACTAAAGAGCTTCTGCACAGCAAAAGAAACTACCATCAGAGTGAACAGGCAACCTACAAAATGGGAGAAAATTTTTGCAACCTACTCATCTGAGAAAGGGCTTATATCCAGAATCTACAATGAACTCAAACAAATTTACAAGAAAAAAACAAACAACCCCATCAAAAAGTGGGTGAAGGACATGAACAGACACTTCTCAAAAGAAGACATTTATGCAGCCAAAAAACACATGAAAAAATGCTCATCATCACTGGCCATCAGAGAAATGCAAATCAAAAACACAATGAGATACCATCTCACACCAGTTAGAATGGCAATCATTAAAAAGTCAGGAAACAACAGGTGCTGGAGAGGATGTGGAGAAATAGGAACACTTTTACACTGTTAGTGGGACTGTAAACTAGTTCAACCATTGTGGAAGTCAGTGTGGTGATTCCTCAGGGATCTAGAAATGGTAATACCATTTGACCCAGCCATCCCATTACTGGGTATATACCCAAAGGACTATAAATCATGCTGCTATAAAGACACATGCACACGTATGTTTATTGCGGCATTATTCACAATAGCAAAGACTTGGAACCAACCCAAATGTCCAACGATGATAGACTGGATTAAGAAAATCTGGCACATATACACCATGGAATACTATGCAGCCATAAAAAATGATGAGTTCATGTCCTTTGTAGGGACATGGATGCAATTGGAAATCATCATTCTCAGTAAACTATCACAAGAACAAAAAACCGAACACCACATATTCTCACTCATAGGTGGGAATTGAACAATGAGAACACATGGACACAGGAAGGGGAACATCACACTCTGGGGACTGTTGTGGGGTGGGGGAGGCGGGAGGGATAGCATTGGGAGATAAACCTAATGCTAGATGACGAGTTAGTGGGTGCAGCACACCAGCATGGCACATGTATACATATGTAACTAACCTGCACAATGTGCACATATACCCTAAAACTTAAAGTATAATAATAAAAAAAAAAGTAAAAAAAAAGAAAAAAAAAAAAAAGAAAAGCATAGATTTCTCAGGAAGGGGGGCGTGGGCTCCGCATCTGACAGCCATTTCACAAGGCGCGACATCATGAAGGAAGGGGGTCAGGTATTAACACAGCTGGCAACCCACAGTGTTAAATTGTCCGTAAAAGCAGTTGTTAAAGCTGGGTGAAAAAAAAATAAAAAAAATAAAAAAATAAAATGCAGCCCTTCTGCAGACACTCCATGGGCTGCTTATTCAGGAATTTTACAAAAGCTCAAGGCCCTAATGAGGCCTCTGGTACTCCTCAGCGGCCGGCTCAGCGTGACCGGCCGGCCACGTGATCCCTGTACATTGAGGCCTAATTGATAAGGTTTTGATGCTTAAATGGAGCATTGATTGCAGGAGTTTCAAGGAACTGCTGTCAGTTAGGGCTCCGGGGTGAGGGGAAATTTTTACACTTCATTCCCAGAGCTTAGCTAATGACTGTTATGAAATGAAAACTAACTTAGGGAGAAATGGAAAAGGGGAGAGGAACGAATGCCTCTGGGTCCAATTCTGTAATCTGATAGTCCTTTAGCTGAAAGCGGCTGGAGAACAAAATACCCCTGGAATACCTTTTGCTCATTCAACTCCTGAAGAGCAGTCAGCTTGTTTCAGTTCAGATTGTAGACGGCGCATCTGCTTCTGTAAGGTTACATTAATTGGAAAAGCAAATGCCTTAAAAATGAGGTGCTGTAGTCGCATCTTGATGAATTGTAAAATGTTTCCCCTGTGGTGTAGAAGCAGTCAAACTGGCTCCTATGCTGGTTCAGCCACTTACTAGCTTTGGGCTGGTTTCTTCCTTCTGTAAGACTCATTTTCCCCAACAGTGACATTTGAGGTGAATTGGCACCTTAAACTTACAGCATTATTATGACAATTCCTCACCTTCATTTCTTCATGACCCCTTCCTTTTTGCTGTTAGTGGTGGCAGGTGAGCTGGTTGTTCTGTATGAAGAATAATATCAACCACCAACGCAACAATCACAACTTACTTTTATCTTGTGCATTCCATATACCAGGCGCTGTGCTCAAACTTGATCATCCCCTGTTATCCTGGTACGATCCCAAGATGCTACTGTGTGATTAACACCCTTGTCGTAGACACAGCTTGTCATGAGTGGCGCAAGGTCAGACATAACCAGGTCCACGCATGTTTGTGTCATTCCAGAAAATCAGACTTTTATTGATGCAATTTCAATCATAAAAGCCACAAGCTACAAGGAATTCCCAAGGTCATTTCTCTTTAGGACGTCCTGTTCACTCAGTAGTCAGAGCTGTGGGCACGCAGGCTCAAGCCATTTCACAAGTCAGTCAATACTGCAAACCATGCATAATAGTGTACTTAATCAATATATAAATGTTATAGATTAAACATTTCCCATCAAACAAAGTAACATTTAACATGAAGAGAAAAAGAGATAGAAAAAAAATGCTTAATAAACCAGTCCACGGAGAGTGACGTGGATAAGGAGTGTCTTGGCCTGATCCGGATGGATGGCAATGTCTTGCAAGGAACAGTCTCTGATTTGGGCAGAGCCTTCAGCCATAGATGCTGAGTGCTGATCATGAATGACAGCAAGATGGGGTCAGTCAAGACACCTGTCTCAAGCTGGTGAAGTCCTGCTCTTTTTATTGCCAGAGTGCTCTGGTGAGGACTGATAGTGAAAGAGTATGCCTGCTTATGTTCTTATCTGGTTGGGTGCAGTTTTTATTGATTAGGTGAATATCTGGTCCTAGTTGGCATGATACCATTTGAAACGTAAAATGGAATCTTTTTCTAAGATGGAGTCACTTATGTTAAGGGTGCTCTATACACACCTCTTCCTACAATTTGCTTCCTTCCTTTCTCATCTCTCTTCTCCATTTCTGGGCTAGAGCTTGCTCTAAGCATGAGTTCTAGCAGCCAGGGTTGCTGTGGGGACAGTCGGGCTCCTGCCAGTGTGGGCTTGACATCCAGGGCTGTGGATGTCCAGGTTCTCAGCGAAGCTGTGTCAAGAAGCAAGGGAAGCTCTGAATAACAAGGTCCATGTGTAGGGAGATTCAGATCTGAGGTTAAAAATCTGTAGTACTGAATTGTCAAGATAGCTCAAAGAGGAGTCAGGGAAAGACCCTGGAAATATTCCAAAAGCCAGCGGTATCCAGGGCACAGGAGTCTTCATGGTGTGTCTGTGACTGAGCCTGCGAGGAGGATGGCTGTGAGGCATTTCCCACAGGAACAAGCTTCCAGACTCCTCGATGAGACATGGCGGTTATTCCCTATGCTCATGATTTTTATGATTTATGGTATAAGTGTAGCTTGAAGCTTATCTCATTACAGGATCTGGTACCATCGCAATACCTTTATTCAAAAATATCTTCCTCATTGCCACATCAATTTGGTGTCTCCTACACCATCCAAACTGCCCTTATAAGGTTACCAACATCCCCCGTGTTGACAAGTTAATGAGAGTTCTTAGCTCTTATCTCATCAGACACCTCAGTAGACTTTAACTTAATTAACACTAGCCTCACTCTTTTCTCTTAGTTCTTGGAACACTCTAGTGTCCTTCGTAGTTCTTGGAACACTTTAGTGTCCTTTTAAGTTTAGTTTAGTTTTTGCGGAAACTTTAGTTCACTGTAAGCAGATTGCATGGGAGGAGGGCTTATTCAATCTCTCCCCGAGGCTGAACCTTTCTTGTAGACTATGCATTATGATGGACAATGAAGTCACGCAGATTCATCATCTGCACAGCATACTCCTATTCACACCTACATCCCTAGAAATAACATTTTAAAAGGTAGCCAAAGGCACTTTCTCACTTTCTCATTTATCAACCGCTACTCAGCCCAGCGCCATCTGGGTTCTCCCTCTATGTCTTCTAAGAAACTTTGCTTGCCAGGTTCCTAATGACCAGCAACCTAAATCTAATGATTGCTTTCTCACCTTCATTTTATATGCCCTTGTTGTAGCATTTGAGATGACTAAAGTGAAGTTCTCACTCATGTTTTCTCTTCTAACACTACAATTCGTTAGTTTTCTTCCCACACGCTATCTTCTCAACTCACTCATTCAAGCACCTCCCAGCCCCAGTGACGATCCTTTGATATCACAAGGACCTTGGATCCAATGACCTGGCTGTGATCATCTATGTTTGTACCACCTGGACTGGTCCTCGTATTTCCTCATCTTTGCTTTCCTGTTTTCCATCTCCTTTTTACTTTCTGCTACATATTCTGTAAGAGATTCTCAATGTTGTCTTCGAAACTTCTCTTTAGTTTTTCTTTCCCAGTATATGATTTTTTTTAGAACGTCCAGGGCCTCCTTTTGGAGCTCCTAGTGTTTCTTTACTTGACGTCTGTTCCTGTTTCATGGTTGCAATTTATTCTTATTTAAAAGTATAGAGATAAGAGTTTTCTTCTCCTTGCAGAGTCACTGTTTTCTTTAAGCTGTGTCTGTTTATATTTGTTTTGATCTGTATTTTTCATAAGGTGAGCATATCTAATTAAAAAATCTGAAATAAGAATGCTCCCAAATCCGAAGCTTTTTGAGTGCTGACTTGATGCCACAAGCAGAAAATTCTACACCTGACCTCATGTGATGAGTCTCAGTCAAAATGTAGTCAAAACTTTGTTTCATGCACAAAATTATTAAAAATATTATATAAAATCACCTTCAGGCTATGTGTATAAAGTGCATATGAAACATAAATGAATTTCATGTTTAGACTTGGGTTTCATTCCCAAGTTACCTCATTGTGTATATGCAAATATTCCAAAGTCCAAAAGAATTTTGAAATCAAAAACATGTCTGTCCCAAGCATTTCAGATAAGGGTTGGTCAACCTGTATAAACTATCCTCAGGTGTTTGGTAGTCCTTAATTACCAGATCCTGTTTTTGAGTCATTGTTACAAAGCTCACTGGAAATTCTCATAGTGCAGCTGTGGGATGTAGACTTGGGGGAATCAGACTCAGACAGTTAGTGGGAAAACCTCTTGTGTCAATTTCTTTATGTCTTTCCTCTTGGCACAGTGAAATTCCCCAGAGAAAACTCTACTAGTCTCTTGCTTAGTGAGTGAAGAACTGATTCTCATCATTTATGGGGCTGAATAGAAAATAGGGCATGGGCTATCAGTTCCCAGTACCCATGCATGCACTTAAATCCCCTGTTTTTAGTGTACAGACTCGTGTCCTAACTGAACCTATTATCCACGAGTACAGAGCTGCTGTTTTATTCTCTCAAAATACAAGTCTCAGTTCTTTACCAGGGCGAAGGAAAGACTGTCAGCCTGCTAACCTCAGTTGGTGAGAGGATCTGATTACTGCTCAAATCAATTTCCAACCGATCCTCGTTAATTTAGCTCCTTTCCTTCAAACTGGCTTCTGTCATGCATGGTTTCCTCAATTATTGAGACTTTTGGAGGTTCTAGTACAAATTGTGTTTGCTGTTGGATATCTCTCCTGCTTGTTTGGAATTCAGTCTTCTCAAGCCTCAGAAATATTCATTGCCATCTGATATGCACTATCCAAAATTTCATTATTATTTACCCCTTCCTCATCTTTCCTATCTCTGGAGGGTTTTGCTTTTAAAATACATTTATAGTTATTTTCATGACATTTTAGGAGAAAAAAAGAAGTTGCTGTAGGTGCCCAATCTACTATCTTTACCTCATCTTCTTTGATTTTTATTCACCTGAATCAGTAGCTTAGCATTCAGAGCCACAAAACTTGTGAGACCCGTAATTTCTGAAGATATGTTTAGTTCTCATATTTGAATGAGAATATGGCTGGGGATAACACATTTTTCTTCCAAAATTTTTTTTCTTATTAATCTATGGATAATTTCCATTTTTTTTCTTGAAACAGGTGGTGGCAGTAATAAATCTTATTTTAATCTCTTCATTCTTGCATAGGTGATCTCTGTAAGCTATTATGATTTTCTTTATTTGATGGTGTTCTAAAATTTCTCTACCTTCCCCTTCTGAATTTGCTGTTGAATATATGCTAAAACTTCTGAATCTATCCCTCATAGTTCTAATTTTTCCTGTGTTTGGAGGATAATTCCTCAGCAGGAGTTTCCAGCTCAGTTATTGGCTCCACAGCTATGTTTACTCTGTTCCTATCCTTAACATTGTCTTTTAAGTGCCCTAATGGTACTCAGTGTCTCAGGTCATGAATCCCATCATCTCATGTTGCTATGTTGGAAGTATCCCCATCAGTTGATCCCTGTTGAAATGTCTGTCCTTCTGGGGCTGTTCTGCCTCAGATATTGAATCATCATTATACATTTATCTTTATTTCTTTACAATGTTGGTTTTCTGTGATGATGGGAAGATAGTGCTACCTGGGAGCTGTTCAGGTAGCTGCTCTGCTATGAGCACATGCGCCTTTCCTTTGTATCACCAGACACAGGGCACTGCTCCCTTCCAGACCCAGCCTTCAGCGATATCTGAGGGTGGGGCTGGTAGAGGAGGCAGAGAGAGAGACCAAATTGCCTGGCTGTTCTTTCTATTATTCTACAACCAAACACCCACCGACTGGCCCCTTTGTCTCTGCTTTTAAAATCCACCATCTTACGGCATGGGAGGACTCTAAATTCACTCCTACTTTGCCCATCAGCCCCCTCCTGCACGGGTTGGACTTGGTGTTCTCATTCTGTCCATCCCATCTACATTCCATTGTGGAGACATTCTTTATACTTCTTAGCCCATTGGTGGCACGCTTTCTCATTTCCCAGTACTGTTATACATTCTTAAAGTCAATCTTTAAAAATAGATCTTTCTTATAATTTTTACGATTTGCAGTATAAGTGTAGCCTGCAGCTTATCTCACTGAAGGATCTTGTACCATTGCAATACCTTTATTCAAAAATATCTCCCCCATTCACTCTTCTGCCCACTTCAATTTGGTGTCCCCTATACCATCCAAACTGCCCTCGTAAGGTTACCAACTTCCTCCATGTTGAAAAGTTAGTGAGAGTTCTTAGCCCTGATCTCATTAGACTCCTCAATACATTTTAATTTAATTAACACTGGCCTTACTCTTTTCTCTTACTTCTTGTGACAGCCTAGTGTCCTTCTCTTCCTCCTACTTCTCTCATTTCTCTTTTCTATTCTCTTCTACTGGTCCTTCTGCTCCTACCAGAATGAACCTGGTAGGATCCTTTCAGGTCTCCACTCTGAGACATTTTTCTTCTCTTTCATAATGATTTCATTTGAATCATCTAGAATCTGATGTGAAGGCTCCAAAGAATATATATATTATATATATATAATTATATATTTTATATAATTATATATAATATATTATATATATAATATATTATATATAATATATATAATATATAATATATATATTATATATAATATATATAATATATAATATATTATATATATTTGATATAATATATATTATATTATATATAATATGTATATATATATATATATATAATTATATATAATATATATTGTATTTATATATAATATAATATATAATATATATTGTATTTATATATAATATATAATTATATATATTATATATATATTTATGTATTTATATATTATATATATAATTATATATATATTCTCCAAAGAATATAATATATATATTCTTTGGAGATTATATATCTTTGAGATTATATATATATATATATATATATATATATAATCTCAAAGATTTTTCTTCTGTGTTTCAACTCAAATATGCGATCTCCAGGGTGATATAGTCCATCCTTGTATTTAAGGTTGTTCATGATAAAATCAGCCAGTCAATATTTCATGTTAGAAAATTGTCCCTCTTCTTTGTGTCCAGTTGGTCCCCCAATCCTGTCAGTCCTATACCATCTATGTCTTGAATTAGTTTGTGCTCCCTCCTACTTCTTAGTACCCATACCCTGGTATAGGTCTTTGTCCTTATTACCATAGGCATGTTTCCTGGAGACACAGACCTGGAGATGGAGATTAGCAATTAGCACACAGGTACTTGACTGGAAATGCTTTTGGTATCACCACCTTGGGAGGGAGTGGACAGAAGCAGGGCTGGGCAGGAGGAGAAGCTGAATCTCAATGCAGTCCCAACTTGGGCTGCAGGGAACTCCATTAAAACCTGGGATGGTCCTTCAGACTTGTTCCAAGTTGGGGGTGGAGAAGCTGAGCTTTTCTACACCACGCTGAACAGATGTTAGATGTGAGTTGGTTGTGGAAGAGGGTGTGACATTGGCCACAGTAGTTTTCTTAGCCAAGGCAATTCTCAAAAAAGGCTGACAGCTGAGGCCTGTCTTTTGGAAGCACTCCCAGCTGCTGAGGGCACAAGTTCTTGGTCCCTAAAGGGGAATCTGGGTGGCACATCCTACTGTCCATAACACTTGTTTTCTGAGTCACTGAAGTAACCTCCTTCCCAGCTGGTCTCGCTGAGCTCCCAGCTTCCCCTCCCCTCCAAACCCATTCTCACACAGCTGCTGGAATGAACCTTTAAAAATATATTTGATTGTATCACTTCAGTGGCTTCCCATTGCCTTCCAACTAAAAAGCTGAAGCCTATTGACAGTATGGTATAAAGCTCCTTCAGAGTTTGTCACTTACCTTCGTCACAAGTGCATCCATACCTCTCACCACAACCACGTTCCAGCCATGTGCAAATGCTTGTCATTTTCCTAAACTTTGCATTGTTTTTTACATTCCTGTGCATTTAAACATTCCGCTGTGTCTGGTACTAATAATATTCTTCACTTCTCCACCTGACTATCTCCTATTCCCTCCTTTAAAGTTCAGCTGGGACACCATCTTCCCTAGTGAATCTTACCTACCTTCCATATTCAGCTGGGGCACCATCTTCCCTAGTGAATCTTACCTACCTTCCATATTCAGCTGGGGCACCATCTTCCCTAGTGAATCTTACCTACCTTCCATATTCAGCTAGGGCACCATCTTCCCTGGTGAATCTTACGTACCTTCCATATTCAGCTGGGACACCATCTTCCCTGGTGAATCTTACATACCTTCCATATTCAGCTAGGGCACCATCTTCCCTGGTGACTCTTATCTACCTTCCATATTCAGCTAGGGCACCATCTTCCCTAGTGAATCTTACCTACTTTCCATATATGATCAAATGCTCCTCCTCTGTGCTCTCATAGCCCATTCTGATGACCTCTTTCATTGCACCTATTGCAATATATTTTGTCCCTGTTTGTCTAATTCCTTTGATGCACTGAAATCTCCTCAGGGCCAGGGACTAAGTCTTTTCAACTTTGTGTAGCTTAATAAAGTTCATACCTCCTATTTATTTTTTGAATTAATTATCTCCCTTACCCCTGCCATGAATAAAGAGGTCATAACCATAGTGAGCTGAACCCACAGGTAGATTGGCAATGCAACATGACATTTCTCTAGAGGCAGTTCAATTTTGCGTGAACCAACTATTTTGAGCACATCAAACAATGCTTCGTGAAGCCAGACCCAGGCAGAGTATTCGGGGTCCCAAGAAGACTGCACATTGTGGTGAAGAAAGATACAGGATTTTGAGCCAGAAGATCTGGTATCATTTCCTCCTTTTCATTTATTAGTAATGTGACTTGGCAAGTCAGTCAACTTCTCTGGCTCCTTGTAAACGAATCTTTAACACAGTGGGATTGTACTACATCATCCCTCAGTCTTTATAAAGTCTGATGGTTGGATCTTTTGTCCAGCAAATGTGTGACTGTCCTCTGCAAAGTTCCATTCTGAACTCAACTCTCAATTACAGATTCCTGTTTTGTCTTGTTCTATGTGGGTATTGCTCCTATCTGATATGACAACTCTGGAGTGCTTCTCTCTCCACTCAGCCAGTCTCTTCTAGAGAGAGGCCATATACATCTCTGAATTCCAGATAGACCATTTACTGGTGGAAAAGACACAGCAGCTGTCCTATGATGGCCTGAAACACCTCAGGTCCCAGGAAGTGTAGGCAGAAACTCTATAGATCTGCAGTATTACCAAGAGCTCTCTGGATGACACTAGAGATGGCAAGTTTTCACTGCAGACACTTGCAGACGCTCTCTCTCCCAGGGAAATCTTATGTCTGTTAGATTTCCATAGCATTCATGGAAACTGACATGCATTGAAAACTCAATAAATAAGAAATTACAGTCACTTTTGATTCCATTCCATAATTAAAGGAGAAGGGTAATTTATAACTCCAATTACTGAAATGTTCACTATATTTTTACATTTAAAATAATTTGAAAATATAAATACAACATATATTCCAAACCCAATGCTCTATTTGTTTGCCACTATATATAATGCATATGGCACATGGACCACCTTTCCCTTAAATTTTTAAAAATAGGGAAAATTTTTACAGATAGGGAAATCGAGAACCAAAAATGTATGCATTTTGCCTCGTGTCTTGGTGTTTGTTATGACAGAGTTGGGAATATTTCAAGTTAGTAACATGAAGTGCACTAATGGGTATGTATTCTTTCCTTAGACTTTTTCTCTTTCTTTGGGAAAACAATCCTTAAATAACTTTGGTCCAGCAGATTGCAAAACATGTTTTTGGCTGCGTAGTTTGCGTATCGCTTGAAAGCACAATTCTTGTAAAGATAAAAGTTATTAGGAAATAAAATTCTGCTCTTGATTCGCTTGACATCATTGTAACAATGTCATGGGGTCTTCTGATCACACACAAGTGTCATTGTTTATGTTTAACAGTATTTGAGTCTAATGAAGGGGCCGTCTACAAAGTGTCTGCACCTGAGCCTGGGGGTTACTATGTCTCTCCTCTTTACTGCAAAATGTCTCTATGTTGGCTGTGTCTAGCTCTGCCAAGTGAGTAAGTGAAGCCTGCAGATATGTAGTTTGTGCCTGGAGTGGTCTGCTTCTGATTATGGGCCAAGAGATAGCCACAGTTATTGGCCTTTAAACACACTTCCAAATCTGAGACTTAATTCTATCTATCTATCATCTTATCTATCTATCCATCTATCATCTATCTATTTATCTTATCTATCTATCATCTCTCTATTTATCTATTTATCTATCTATCTTACACAAACACATACAACCATAGTTAAGACTCACCAGCTTTGGCATCCAGAAAGGGAAATAATCAAGAATGTGCCTGCCATTTCCCTACTGCATGGTAGGCGAAAATGTTAATCAGATGTTCAGGAAAGGGGATAACAAACCCCAGCTTAATAACAATGTACAGAAAGGACATAGTTATTAAACTGGGTTGTTGGGGACAGGGGAGCATGAACGTAGTGCTTCTATAAGAAAAGGAAACTCTCCAATAACCCTGTTCAGGATGTAGTGACAGTGTTAGCTTTTGGAAATGTCCTTTGAGAAAATGAATAAAAGGTCTGAGATAAGTAGCAATTACAAAAATAAGAGTACATCCTGGATGTAATACATCTCATGTGTTAGAGTTATTTAATAATATCTTTACTGTGTCTCTCTAGCACACAACGCCTAGAATTCCCAAATTAGCCATTGAGGGTTTCAAAGAGTTTTTCCAGACACCTTTATTTCCCTTTATTAGTATGCTGGCTAGATTATTCTTCTGCATTATCCATTTTGTAGAAAGAAAATGCTTCCTACTGTATGAATAAGAGACCAATTTGTAATGTGAGGTGAAATTACCTCAGGTGTCTTTCTGCCACGCACACACTAAACCTTCCTAGGATGTTGATTTGATGTGTTTATAATGGACACAATCCACTTAGGGAATATTCCAGCAGGTTGTAAGACGGAGACACCCAGAGAACAGCCTCTACCTCCTCCACCTTCCACCCCACAAGGAATCAGCATACCTTGTTTCAATTACATTTAATACCTATTGCTTCCACAACCCTTAGCCTGCTGTGATTAAATATTGATGCTGTTCTTTCAGATTGGGCTTCTGTTTTACTTTTGAGTGATATTTCCGGAGAAAGAGTGCTTCTTAAATTCTCCCCTTCACCCCCAAAAATTAAATAAATGAAGCCAGAACCCTAACATTTGGCTCTTTTAAAGAAATTGATTAAGGCATCTTTATAACTGTCACGACCTGTAGGTATCCACATTTGATACCAGGCTAACCAAGGTCTGTGTTTAAAAGTGAAATTCTTCATGGCAGGTTCATGCCCTTTCTTTGTATCTTTTCTCTGTGTGCTTGCATATTTCCTGGCACATAACAGGTGATCAATAACTCTTCAGTTAATTTAATTAAATAAAAATCCAATATTTCTCTTCTATCTTCCTTTGTCATTATTCTTACAGAGATTTCCACATCATGTACACCATGGCCAGTTTAATATTTCCATCCTCCTAGAAATGAACTAAGTGACTATGAGGGTTAGTTTTAGTGTAAACTTAAGCTGCTAAAGCATGATTTCTGTGTATGTCTGTGAGGGTATTTCCAGAAGAGACTGGCATTTGAATCAGTGGACTGAGAAAGGAAGATCCGCTGTCACCCAGTGTGTGGGCAGGCACCATCCAATCAGCCAAGGGCCTGGACAGAGCTAAAAAGGCAGAGGAGAGGTGAATTCACTCTCTTTTCTGGAGCTGGGACACTCATCTTCTCCTGTGCTTGGACATCAGAACTCCAGGTTCTCTGGTCTTCAGACTCTGACTTGTACTAGCAACCCCCCAGGTCAGGCCTTCAACTCTGGACTGAGAGTTATATTATCAGCTTCCCTGGGTCTCCAACCTGCAGACAGCACGTCTTGGTACTTCTCAGCCTCTGTCATCATGACAGTAAACCAATTTTCTGTATAAACTGCCTTTCATCTCCCTCTCTCTCTATCTTTCTATATCCTATTGGTTCTGCTTCTCCAGAGAACCCTGACTAATATAGTGACCTTTCCAAATTTTATATAAATAGCACTGGTGCTGGGGTTAAAACCCAGGAGTTTTGCAGCCCCACAGTTGTACATATGATGTGTAAGATATTTATTTATTTACTAAGTGTCTACTATCTGCTACTGCCTACGCAGAGGATAAAGAGATGAATAAGACATAAACTATTCCTGGAGAAGATTCTTTCCTAATAGGGGAGATACTGGCTTAATACATCTTAAGGTCATGTGTATTTCTCTAACGGAAGTGACACCTAGTGAACACAGTTATTGGCATTCACTGGACATGCAGTTGCTATCTGTTGATGGGATATTTTTGAATGTCTGGTTTGGTACAACTGTTTATCTCGATGTAAATATGGGCTTACCCTGTTTTATTGCATGCACTTTGTAGATACAACTTTTACTGTACAGGAACTGGGAAATCAAAAATTGTGTATGACTCTTTGTATTGTGATTGGGCTATTCACTTTATTGCGGTGGCCTGGAACCAAACCTGCAATATGTCAGAGCTATACATGTAGTTAATTTACTTTCATAGGGAAGGAAAATGAGGCTCTGGAGGGAAAAAATATAACTTATTACCATGGAACCCTTGGTCCTAGAGGCATGACCAGAGTCATGTCCAGTCCAGTCCAGAAGACATGTGATAGTTACATAAGAATTTCTGTAGAGACTCTTGCATTTGGGATATTTTCAAGTCTAGAGGCAAAGTAACAATATTAAAATCATTCTAATTAAAATTAGAGAATCATATGAACAGAACTCAAATTAAAACTGCATGAGCCAAAACAAAAACAAAACCCAATAAACTCAAACTCTTTTATCTCTATAGACCAGCCCCTTTCCGCCTCTGACTTCTGTAGTAGATTGTGGTACAGGGCCACCATTCAGCATAAAATATTCGTTATTTCTCTTTTTTCAGCATTTGCACCGAGCTTTTGGTCAAGATTTACCCTGGGTATTCCAGGAAAGATTCACATCAACTCACCAAATGGCCAATTCATTTGCAGAGCCTCTTTAAACGTTTCTGGTCTGCAGGATATAGCTGAACATTTTATTATATATTGCTTCCACTAAGATGTAGAAAAAGACTTATTTGTAACTCCTGCTCTTTCTAAGTTCCCCCTTTAGAATGGGCAACATAACGCAATGCTACGGGATTTTTACTTCTTTCAGCTTTGCTTCCTGTGCCAACATGTTAAGTGTTGAATGGATTTGTGTTAGAAACGAAGGGCCAGGCCAGGCGCAGTGGCTCATGCCTGTAATCCCAGCACTTTGGGAGGCAGAGGCAGATGGATCACTTGAGCCCAGGAGCTTGAGACCAGCCTGGGCAACACGGCCACAAAAAATAAAAAACTTAGCCAGGCGTGGTGGCGTGCACCTGTAGTCCCAGCTACTCAGGTGACTGAGAGGAGAGAATTACTTGAGCCCAGGAGGCACAGGTTGCAGTGAGCTGAAATCATGCCTCTGCACTCCAGCCTGGGTGATAAGAAAAAGAAATAGAAATGAAGCACCAGTCATCATGGCTTTGGTGTTTGAACTATATGCCAGATTAACCTTAATTGGTGCTACCTTCTTAATATGCACAACAAAACTAAATGAAACACAATAATCAACATTCTTACTATATTAGTACTTGAAAAAGGGACTTATCCCTTTAATTTTAAAACTTTCATTCAAACTTTTAAATTTAAAAGTTTATTTTAAAGAGTCATTTAGTCATTTTCTTTAGATCATTCAAGTGTCTCCTTACAGATCATACATAAGCCACACAACAGAAATGGAAGACAGATAGATATATTTAAAGGTAAAGAGACAGGTGATGCTTTTAACTGGAAAACCATCAAAGTAAAGCTAAAATATGCCTTTGCAAATAAATACAAGTAAATGTAAAGTAGGATTTGGTTTACCAAAATTATACTTAACATTTTTGTTTTGACTGGATATGCTCTTTAAAGGGAAGTGTCTGTATGTTCATTTGCCTAAAGAAGAAAGAGAAAAGAAGAAACTCCTGTCGCTGGCCTATTGATTTGAAGCATAGTTTGAAACTAATTTGTAGGGAAAGGGGTATCTCCAAGTAATTCACAACAGTGTCTGTTCCTAGCCAGTGTAAACAAACTAGAGCAGTAATGAATTCTTGGTGGTTACTGAAGTCAGCTTGCTGTGGAGAAGCAAAATGATTTGCTTTAGTGGATTCCTGACGTGTTGACTGGCTGCCCAGAATTGAGATCCAGTTGCCAGAGGGGTGCAGGGAGTAGAGAACTAAATCTCAGCTTTCCATGGTCCATAAATGTCTTGTGCAAAGACAGGGTGTAACAATTTTCTGCCCTCATGAGCTGGTATGAAATGAACGATTGAAAGTGTTATGCCTATACCTGAAATAGGAGCCTTGATTATTAGAGACTGGCCGCCACCTAGGTCCCTGCTTTCAGATGCCAAGAGCAGTGAAAGAGGGAACAACGCCCCTCCACCTGACCAGGTGTGGTGGTTGTTTCTGCTGAACCAACCTACCTGCTCCCAAAGAGTCTTGACTATGGTAGTGTAGACCTAGAGGATGCTTGGTCTCGTTTTTCACTCATTCATTTTCCTGGGAAGAAGAGAAACTCCTGTGATTAGTGAGACTGGGAGAAATAAGTGAGAATGTGCTCCCCAGCTCCTTCCTTTTTGTCTCTTTTGATTGAGTCTGGTGGTTGTCAATCCTAAAAGTACATCATCATCACCTAGTGAGCTTTTGAACAATCCCCAAGTCCAGGTCCCACTTAGTTCATCTGGGGTGGAGCTCTGGGTGTTGACCGTTTCAGAGTTCCGCAGCTGCTTCCAGTGTGCAGCCAGTTCCAAGAAACCATGAGCCAAGCTGCCCCCAGGATACATCGCTCCTCTGCTCTTCCTTGCAGTGGTAGCCTGCACTTACAGCAGAGGGCTGTCTGTGATGTCCTGTGACAATAGGGTGAGAATGTCACTTTAGGGAAGGTATTAGCAAACTCAGCGTGGCAACACATTTGAGAAGAATTCTTAAATATGTTTTATCAGTAATAAAGCTAAGTATTTCCTTGGTCTCTCTGACCGCTATACTGGGTTTTATTTTGTTCCAAGCTTAGAAATGTGAGAAGCATGATTAACTTTTAGCCTCAAACCTGGGAGAGGTATTTGCCATCTTTGGCTTAACTTCTTCAGTTTCTGTTAGTTATGTTTGCACCTGGAGCTCCTCCACATCATGCCTTGCACAGCCCTGAGAGGACGAAGGATGCTAGCCCTAGTGAGGGCTTGGAAATATGCTTGGTCTGTGCCAAGAGCATTTCTCCCTTACATTTAAGAAGTGTAGGCTGGGCGCAGTGGCTCATGCCTGTAATCCCACCTCTTTGGGTGGCTGAGGAGGGTGGATCACAAGGTCAGGAGATCGAGACCATCCTGGCCAACATGGTGAAACCCTGTCTCTACTAAAACTACAAAAATTAGCCAGGTGTGGTGGCAGGCGCCTGTAGTCCCAGCTACTCAGGAGGCTGAGGCAGGAGAATCACTTGAACATGGGAGGTGGAGGTTACAGTGAGCTGAGATCGTGCCATTGCACTCCAGCCTGGGCGACAGAGAGAGACTCCATCTCAAAAAATAAATAAATAAATAAATAAAAAATAAAAAGTGTAGCAAAAATGGAAGTAGCTTCTGCGTATTGGTCTTCCATTTCTCCCAAAAATCTTTAAAACATTAATCCATAGATATTTATGAAATATTTGTATTTCTAATAAAAAAGAATGTATTTCTAAAGATAAATTAAAACCAAAGAGCCTAATGGCATATGTCCTGATGCTGAATGCTGCAGTAGGAGAATTACACCAATTTCCTGCCCTCTAAGACATTGCAGGATACACTGCAACCAATCAGAAGCCTTGTATTTATTAAAACACAGTTTATTTGAGAAAGTTATTAGTCTCCTTACTTGACAGAGTCAATAAAGGCCATCCTTTTTTGTCTGTTTGTTTGTTTTTACTTTAGTGAAAAGCCTCTGTAACTCTGCTTTAAAAAATATTTACTTACTCTGGAGCTGGAAAGAGTACCATCTTGGTGGAATACGTTTTCAGCCATCCAGTCTACACAGAAAATCACGATTGTGTTGTCTGTGTTGGGGAATGATTGTAAACAGCGCACCAGCTCACTGCAGTGGTGCCAGCCCCTAATTCCATAAGCGGCTGTGGATGCTTTAACCAGGCAGCACCGCACAATGTGTCTAATCTGCTATGCAGCTGCAATGTTAATGGGCCAACTGCGTTATCTCACATTTGCCTGGAAGGAACAGCGGTTTCTGAATGAATCGCTACGATTTCTAATACAGATAGAAGGACCAGCCACCACGGGCCCATGTTAGCAACTGACAGACCATACACAATGGTGGGGCCTTGTGTTTATCTTGCTTCTCCTAGAACCTGGAGAATGACAGATTTGATGCAGGTAGATAAATGAGGAGGAGAGCAGATTTTGAAAGGGAGAAGGTTGTAGACTTTTCTTAAGTGCTCAAATGAGGAAGCAAGGTTCCCATTTGTACCGACTTTACAACAGGACAGGGCAATTGTCTCTAGCTGATGGTCAGTAGGTGTAGAGGATCAGATCATTCTGGTGGAAAAGGGAAAAGGCATTTGGAGCCAGAACTCAGGATTTGCCATTGATTCTTATTGGTGGCTTAGAATATTACCAGCATATCTTTTCCATATTCGAAGCCAATATTTGTCTCTCATTAATTCCCGGAGTAAGACTACTTATCCTTAATTAATGTTCTTTGTCAAAGCACAGCAGAGGATGAATGTCAGGTTGGTTCAACACCATCATCTGCACGCATGATCATTTCTGCAGCTGTGGCTGCTGGCTGGTGCTGGGCTGCAAAGGCAGAGCCAATGTCTATCCTAAGAGGAGGCTGGGTTTAGGGAGCTTTCTACTTTTCTCTCTGACTTTACCCCATTATCACAAACATGTAAAACCTGTTATTCTTTTAAAGACAAAATTAGAGGAAGGTAAACCATTTTCTAGGGGAGCTCTTGAAACAAGAATAAGTCACAGATGGCAAGATTCTGAGATGTTTATACAGGAGGCATGAAGGCTAAGCCACCTATACTTTTTGGTTGATGGGAGTCAGCTTGCCAACTTGAGGTATAAATGTCAAGAAGAGGATGAACTTCATTTTTTAACAATGGGAAGCTTTCAGGCTACTCTTTGGGCTCTTGGTGAAGGAAGAGCTAGGATCATGATTACATGTCCTGATAGTACATTGAACTTCTTTACAGTAATGAGTACATTTATTTTTAAAATATTGTGTAAACTAATGAGGCTACATACTCTTTTTGAAATATTAGTCGACTTGTTCTTTCTATCTAGGTAGTTTTCTCCTTTTCTCTTTTCCCCCATTCAAGCATTTCCCCAGGAGGGCTTATAAGAGGGTGGGAATAAAGGAATCTTCCTAGATTTGGTTTCTAAAAAATGAATGGTTAAAAAAGGGAGGAATAGAGCTTAAGAGCATTGGTAAAAAATATTATGAAAAAGATAGACCTTGTTATCTGAGATAGATAATAATGAGGTAATTTAAGATGGACAAGAAGAGAAAGAAAAAAAAGAGAGGGGCAACAGATTAGTTGAAAATAGATGGTTAGTGGACTGAAAGTCTCTATGAGTACAAAGAACATGAATAGTAAGAAGAGGATGGGAGATTCTGAGATACAGCAGTTGCGAGTGATAACAAGGCTTGAGATGTCATTATGGGAAGTGGTAGCCTATGGGAATGGCAAACACCATTGGAGATGATGAGTTTTAGAGTCCAGGTGGTGCTCATGTTGGAGATGGTCCACATGAATGCTGATGTCTCCCAGTGTCCTGGCAGTGACCGAGGTGGATATGAAGACCATCCTCCTGGTGCTCGATCCCTCAGTAACTGTGAAGCTTAGTGCACCCTGTACCAAGGTATCCTGTCTCCCTTTAAGAGATCTGCTTATTTAAAACTTCCTCCACCAGCCTCCATCATGCCTCCAGGCCCCTTTGAAGGCTGCACACACCATCTTGCTTTCATGATTTCCTGAGTACACACATGAGTCATAAGCCTTTTTAAGCAACCAGTTGTAGAGCCACCCTTGTCTTTCAGTAATTTGGTTCTTAACAATTGCCCATCAGTGCGGTAAGATGGAACTTCCCAAAGTAGGGAACTGGGGGAGGCCACTGGTTTACTGAACGGTCGCATCAAACTCTGCTGGGTGAGATAATTTTAAATATCTTATTATTAGCTTAATATTGAGGATTTCTTAAAAATGAAGATGCTCTATATTGCTGTACTCTTGGTAAATTGTCCCCAGTCTTCGTGCTGATGAGCTGATAAGTCAGTATGTGTTTTCTGAATATGGTCACAACTATCTCTTATATTTCACAGCTTCTCCTCCAGCGGGACCTTGACATCCCTCCCATTAGGGGTGGTCTGTACGTACTTCCCTTTGAACCTGGGAAGAACTTTTTGACTGCCACAATCAATAGAATGTATGAGAAGTAATACTGATTTCTGAGGCTAGATTAGAAAAGAAAAAGGCTATGCATTCCTTGATTTCTGTCTTGGAACCCAGCCTCCAAGCAGTGAGGGAGCCTGAACTAGCCTGTATAGAGAGACCACATGGAGAAGCCATGTGGAGGTGTTCTGGTTGACAGTTCAGCTGAAGTCCCAGCAAGCAGCCAGCATCGAGTGCCAGATGTGTGATCACAGGCACCTCCAAGATGACTTCCAGCCCCAGACAACAAACCACCCAGGCCTTGAATTTTTCCAGTTGAGTCCCCAGACACCATGCAACTGCACAAGCCATCCTTGCTGCACACTGTCCAAATTTCATATGCATCGATTCAATAAGCATAATAAAAATAGTACATTTTCACTTGCTTTATTATATGACAAT
The DNA here is from genome assembly GCF_000001405.40 of Homo sapiens. Classification (NCBI taxonomy): domain Eukaryota; kingdom Metazoa; phylum Chordata; class Mammalia; order Primates; family Hominidae; genus Homo; species Homo sapiens. The sequence goes on from NC_000011.10 coordinate 127,387,933, forward strand.
GGATTAGCAGAACAACATGGCATTAATAAAATTTTTGAAGTTAAGTGCTGGTGAGTCTGCATGTGTGTGTGTGTATTCACTAAAACACCATCTCCTCCTGATTTAACCAAACTCATATCAACCCAGCAATTAACCTGTCCTGGAAAACTGTCAGCATGCAGGTGGTGCTTCGAGGATGCCATAGAGCTACAGCCTATGTGAGTACAGCTCTAGGATGGAGAACAGATCTCAGGAAGATTATACTGGATTGCACAAAAAATTGTTTTTCTACCCTCAGCAGATTCTTTTGGTATTTTCCTGGTTATTTACCCTCAGCTCCTCTTTTGTAGCAAAAGCTCTCCTGCTTAACTCATGTTAGTTCCTAGAGAACTTTTAGTACTTGACTTCTTATGCCAACCCCCCTTTCTTCCTCTGCATACCTCTGATCTCAGATCTCGGGTTGGACATCATGCTTAATATTGGCTTCTTTAGAACCAACACACCCTATCTTTTCCTGGTTTTTATTCTGTCAAATGTATGTATCATATCACACATGACTGAAACTTATTTTGCCATAAAAAATCTCAAGTATCTGTATCCCATTTTGACCATTCTTTTATTATGAGTATCTTCACCACTTACATATGTATGTATCTCAGTACTTCCTTGTATATAAATGCATAAATGACACACAAAGTGACATGTTGGTTGACTCATTTTATATCTGCTTTGAGCATGTCATTGGATAGATAACACAAAACTGAAACTCCTTGGGATAGATTATAACATTAAGACCTCCTTAGGAACAGTGTCTCATGTCTTATTAACTTTAGAGGTTCAAAGACTTTCCAATTGTGTAGCTTAAAGATTTTATACTAAAATTTAAATATATAGCCTCTTGGCTTGCTCTGAAGTGGATATAAAGGAAATGATCACAAAACCTGCTCAACCATTCATGCATTATTCCCTCACATGCTTGAATACTGGCACGAGATGTGGTTTCAGAATGTAAAGCATACATAAACCCACTTGAAGAATTAGCCCTTACCTAGTATTCCTACCTTGGGTGCACATAATGCTGCAGAAGTACTTCCCAGCATATTGTTCTACTCTCAGAATCTGTACAAAATACACTTAGTCCTTCACATTTTTTTTTAACAAACAAAACCTAAGAGAAATAATTCTCCTCCTTAGAAAGAAGGGCATCACTGCAGTTATTAATGATCTGCAAAGGGTAGACCAGAAGACAAAGCTTTGTATTTTGACCAATCTATTCTTGAGAAAATCCCCAAGAGTTGTGGTTTGTCTGTTTGTTTTTTAAAGGTGGAGGGCTGTCACTAAAAGGAATAAGCCCTAGGAGAAGAAACAGATGAGTATTTCAACCCGGTGCTATTTTGCTTTTGGTCTAGAAAGGCAAAATATATTTTTGCTAATAGATTTTTTTTTCTCCTGTCACATGTACGGCAGGTTATAGAACGCAAATTATGGTAAATCTCCTGCTCTTTGCATTAGAAACAAATAAACAAAAAATGCCAACCAAACAAAAGAATATGATTTATAATTCTCTACAATTGCATCTCTTTCCAGCAGTGTATAATCACACTGCCACTCTCATTTTACAGCTTGGGTGGGATGGGAGAAATCACGTTTTTTTTTTAACTTTTGCTGATAAAAAATAATAAGCAGAATAATAAAAGCCATTCATTTTACTGAGTGTATTGCAGAGAAAAAGCAAAATTCTGTGGCTATGTATTAATCAACTGGATTTGTACATGCAGAGTATTTGACTTAAGCTCAATCTGCTCCCAAATAAATATCCCCACAGCAGGTTATGCATTAGAGCCATTTTTCTCGGATTAAAATCTTCCAAGTGGAGCCTTCGGTGCTGTCATCGTTCAGGAACCTGAAGCCTTACTGGAGACTTTTGTTCTGATGGAAGTAGTACTTTCCTCCAACTGCCATTCCCCTGGGCTGCCTCAGGCTCATCAGATGCCCAGAGTACTCTGCTCTGTTGCTCCTTCCAGAACACTAGCTAGAAAGAGTGCTGTGGCTTCAGCTTCTAAAGGGGAAGGGGGGGCACAGTTTGTAGAAAAATTGGGGATCAGTTGAAAACAGGGTCAATATTTCTATTTAATGTTTCATGGGCTATTCATTTTTGTCAGATTCTAATCAGGAATGTCATATGTTACCTGCTCTGTGGTATATTCCATCTATCTATACATCATTTATTCATTCACTCATTCATTCACTCAAGCAAACATATTTGTTGATTAGTTAGCATATGAGAAGTTACATGAATATAATAATGAAAAAGATAGACAAGATCCCTATTCCCCTAAACCTTATTTACCGACATGGAGACCAACAATTAAACAGATTTACACATAAGCAGACTATTTATAGATTGTGATAAGATTATGATGGCCACAAAGAGATCAATGAGCTGGAGAGTAACTGAAAAAAGTCATTTCAAATAAAACAGCAATGGCCTTTGGGAGAAGGTGCTCCCTGAGCTGATATTTGAAGAAGGGACCAGCCCTGCTGCAAAAAGCTGGAGGAAGGGTGTTTCAAGTGCATGGCAAATGCAAATTTCCAGAGCTGCTCAGAAATAAAGGGAAGGCAGTGGAATTGAAGCATAGTTAGAGACAAGAAGAAATTTGAGATAAGAAGAAAGAAGTAGGCTATAAAACTGAGTGTGGACAGTATTTGAAATGCCATAGGATAGTGTTGACAGAGTTTAATCTAGGGAGTAATGCACTCTGATTCACAATTCTAAGAGATGACGTTGGCTGCCTGTGAGCAGATGTCGTAACGCTAGAACAGGGAGATTATTTGACGTCTGTCACCATAATCTGCAGAAGCAAGGGTAGCTCAGACTAGAGTGATGGCCATAAAGTTGGAGAGGATTAAAAGTATCTGACATATATTTTGAAAGCAAAACCAATGGAATTTGATGATGGAAGAAAGGTGGAGAATGAGGGCACAGTATATTTATGTGCAATGTAACAATGGTATTTGGCTTGATGCACTGTGATGCCATTTTATTAAATGGGAAAAATGGAAAGAAAGAAGACAGAAAAAAGATGTTTGGATAGGAAAAGGTTATCATCAGCTCCACATTGGACAGATTTTGTTTGATATGTCTATGAATATTTCCAAGTGGAAATATACAAGTTTGGTACTTAGGTCAGCCTGAGAGATTTAGATAGGGCAGTCATCACCGTAGCAATGGTTTCTAAAGGCATCACACTGAATAAGAGTGCCTAGGGAGAATATGTAATTCACAAAAGGAAAAGGGCTCAAGACTGAGCTCTAGGACATTTCAACATTTAGAGGTCAGGTGGAGAACTGTCAAAGGGGCAACTGAGAAGGTGCAGCCAGTGGGGTGGAAGGCAAATCAGAAGAGTGTGTTGTCTTGGAATCCTAGGGAGGAAAGTGGTTCAAGATGACAGAAGTGCTCATACTGTGTCAAATGCTAAGATCTGGCAACAGGGAGTACCCTGATTACCTTCAACAAAGTTATTTTAATGGAGTTGGGAGGCAGGAAAGACAAATTTGAATGAGCTTCATAGTAAAATGGTGCCAATAACAAAATAGACTACTTTTGAATATGTCCAGGTCCTTTGCTTGAGATAGTTATGAGCTTAGACTTTGTACTGAACTGAGTTTAGAATCAAGGTCTCAGGTTCCTTTTCTTTAAAATATGGATATTGGTTTCGCCTTCTTCATGGAATTATTTTGAAGCATACTTTAGATAACATATCTAGAAGACTTATAAGAAGTACCTGGCTCATGATTTGTGCTCAGTAAATGCGGATATTGAATTAGAACTTTTGACTGAAGCATAAAGATACAATCAATTTGAAATTCCAAAATGAGATGCCCGCTCACTGTGGAGCATTTGCCAATTAGGATTTCTTTGTGTGACTCTTGAATTTTCCTTACCCGCAGAGCCGCTAGAAAGGAGTCAAATATTTAGGAGGTTTTTGTAAAAGGAATTTCTGAGCGCGCCATGGGAGTCCTGTTGGCCCATGCCCAGAGGTCTCTTGCAAAACTTCCTGTATGATTTTGGCAGTTGTGGGATACGGTGGGCCCTCATCTGATTCACACTTAGAAAATCAAGAGGGCACCAGAGGAGGGCTTACGAGCTGCTTAGGAAAAAGGAGACCACAGCTACTTCACTGGGGTTATGAGCCAGGCGGTAGCCCCATAGAATAAGAGCCAGCTTGGGGGCATTAAAATTCTTTCCTAGTAGACTTTGAAGGAGTGCAGATCCCCATAGAAAAAGTCTGTGTGGGGTGAACTGATGACTCTACCAACAAGGAGCAGAATGTATGGTCCTCCATATGAAAATTGCCTTGTAGGGGCTCTGCAGGAGACACTCTCAGAACCCCAGAAAACATCCCAAGACTATAGAATCAACGCCTTAAGATAGTTCCATGAGATAAGCACTTTTCTTTTTTTTCTTTTTCTTTTTCTTTTTCTTTCTTTTTTTTTTTTGAGACAGAGTCTTGCTCTGTCGCCCAGGCTGGAGTGCAGTGGCTGATCTCAGCTCACTACAAGCTGCGCCTCCTGGGTTCAAGCAATTCTTCAGCCTCAGCCTCCCGAATAGCTGGGACTACAGGCACACGCCGCCACATCTGGCTAATTTTTTGTATTTTAGTAGAGACAGGGTTTCACCATGTTGCCCAGGCTGGTCAGGAACTCCTGAGCTCAGGCAATCCGCCTTCCTTGGCCTCCCAGAGTGCTGGGATTACTAGTGTGAGCCACTGAGAGATAAGCACTTTTCTATGCACAAGTTTAGCATTCCTCTCTTCTTTCTGTTCCCCTCATCAGCCCCCAGCAGAGTTGAAAACAACAGTAGTGAGTGAGAGACATAAACAAAGGCAGCAGAAGCAGTGAGCTACGCTGCCTTTCTACATGACAGGAAGATCCCCTGCCACAGACAGGCTGGGGAGAAAAGAAGCTTGGTCTTTGCATGGAGAGTGAAGTGCTGATTACCATATTGGATTAGATTTGTGTGAATAAGTCTCAGTAGGTGTGCCTGCCATACACACATCTTCAGCTACTGTAGCAGCCCTTGGTGGTCCTGGCCCTTGGAGCTCTGCTGTACAACTTTAGGGGTCTCAGCTCTGGAGAAGACTGGCTTGCTTAGGCTCCCAGCTGCCTTATTTACTATGAGACTTCAACCAGGCTGTCTAACCTCTCTGGTCTCAGTTTTCTCATAACACTATTTTCTACTTCTTGGCACTTATATGAGGATTAAACAAAACAAGGTGGAAAAAGTTTAGAATATTTGTTCTAAATAGAGCTGATAAATATGACCTGTTGTTATGACTTTCACTGACAGTTCAATAGAGGCATATTAATAAACCATCCTGGCATTTCCAACCATAGTAATAACCTAAGGAGGATTGGGCAAAGATGTTGATGAATCCCTATCACAATGCTAGGTAATACAGATTTAAGTCTAGGTGCTCACAATGGGCAGATAATCACTTGTAGCAGTTCCAGGCCTCATATCTCCCTCCCTCTGTATTCAGCCCATCTTCACCCTCGAACTCTTCTCCAGATCATGTAGATCAATTCCAATTTGCCCTTTCTTCCCAGTGAATTCTCACATTAATTCATATGTTATTCCTTTATCCATGATCTCAGCCCCTGTTGTAGTTGACAGTCTCCTTGAAGACAGAGGCCCTAGGACCATATCTGTTCACCAGTGGGCATTGCTGTAACACACAATTCTCCGATTCACTTTACTTGTTGACTCAGCAAACATTTTCCCCAAACACTTGAAGCTTCAGAAGAGAGGCCACGGGCTGGATTGGTGGTTTGTGGATTCAATTCCCCTTTCATTCCTATAAATAGCTGTTTTAATTTGAGGCTGGGGCCCATTTCTATGGGAACCTGGCACTTTCACTGCCTACAAATCAAGGATGTCAATCTTCCCTGCTGTCAACCTTTAACCAGAGCCAATTGCACGGGGATTTGTGTTGCCCACTTCAGTGTCCTTGGGCTATTTCCTTTCTGGTTTGCCTGGTCTTGGCTAAAAGTTCTGGAATCACTTCCCAGGAAACATTAAACTTTCTCTGCCATATATGTTCATGCTCACAACTCCTTAGAGTTTGACAAATTGTTTCAGTTCCCACCAAAGCCAGCTTATCTTGGCAAATCCATCAGACCTGCCAGCATTTCACAGAGGTTGTATAGAGGGGAGGATATCTTGTCTCAAATGGGAGCTCCTTTCTAGGTAGAATACTAATACATTTGCAATGTTCTGAGTCACAATGAGTACCTAGCACATTGTAGGCAATAACAATGACAACAGTTTTTATTGTTTTGGGATGCATATCCTAGGAAATGCTCTGAAATGCATTTTAGAGGCATCAACCTTAGCTATATTTTATACTTTGCCGTTTTAGTTGTGGCTCAAGTACCTTGGATCTAGTAGCTAGCAATACATTTGGTACTATACTTCAACAAATTCACTGAGTATTTAGGGAGCCTATTATGTGAAGACATTGTGCAAAGCCAACAGGGGATACCAAGATGAACAACGTGAGGTTCTCATCCTAGAGAGATGTTGATATGGTTTTGTTGTGTCCCCACCCAGATCACATCTTGAATTGTAACTCCCACAGCTTCCACATGTTATGGGAGGAACCTGGTGAGAGGTGATTGAATTATGAGGGTGGGTCCTTCCTGAGCTGTTCTTGTGATAGAGTGAATGGGTCACACGAGATCTGATAATTTTAAAAAAGAGGAGTTCCCCTGCACAAACTCTTTCTCTCTTTGCCTGCCACAATCCATGTAAGATGTGATTTGCTCCTCCTTGCCTTCTGCCATGATTGTGAGGCCTCCCCAGCCACATGGAACTGTGAGTCTAATTAAACCTCATTCTCTTGTAAATTGCCCAGTCTTGGGTATGTCTTTACTAGCAGTGTGAAAGCAGATTAATACAGATGTATAATCTAGAACATAAGTACACCAACAACTAAGAACAAGCCTTGACTAGAACAAGAGCCATGGGAGCAATAGGTGGTGAGCTCCATGAGTTTAGAAGAGAGGGAGATATCATGACTGGTCCCACAATCAGCAAAGCATTTTTAAGGAGGTGACATTAGCGAAGAAGGATTTTTAGGTGAGAGACAACCTCGGTAAACAATATCTAGGAAGGATTTCCTTCCTAAAGAAAAGAACAGGTTGGAGTGAGTGGAGGGTATTGAAAAGAGAAATAAATAAAGCCTTGAATCGAGGGTGAGGAAAGAGTTTTTTCTCAGCCACTAACAGACTATCTGAGCTTAATGAGTCACTGAAGGGCACAGAGCCCAGGTTTATCTGTAAGATAAGAAGTTTGAGTTTTGTAACCTTAATGTCTAGTGGTCTTTTGTTTTCCCTTGCTAAATAGCCAGGGCTTTTTAAGGCTTTCTAGTTGTGAGATATGTATTTCTATGGGGCGGTAAGTAGAGTATCTCTCTCTGGTTTTTTTTTTTTTTTTTTTTGAGACGGAATTTCTCTCTTGTCGCCCAGTCTGGAGTGCAATGGCGCGATGTTGGCTCACTGCAACCTCCACTTCCCGGGTTCAAGTGATTCTCCTACCTCAGCCTCCTGAGTAGCTGGGATTACAGTCATGTGCCACCACGCCCAGCTAATTTTTTTGTATTTTTGATAGAGATGGGGTTTCATTAAGTTGTCCAGGATGGTCTCAATCTCTTGATCTCGTGATCCACCCAACTCGGCCTCCCAAAGTGCTGATTCCAGGCGTGAGCCACCACGCCTGGCTGAGTGTCTGTCTTATCTAATAACGGGAAGTTCTCACTGCTTCTCCTTCAAATTGTAATTTTTGTTTGTTTGTTTTAAGGTCCTAGGTTTGAAAGAGCATGAATATTTTAGGTTTGTCTTCAGCAAACCCATCCAGAATTATACTCTCCTGTCAGACTTTTTCCCCAGTGTAGGCTGACCTTCTCACTGGCTCGTGAAGCACTTTATGAGCCATTCTTCTTCTCACCTTCTTACTGGTTCTCATGTTGATGGGTCCTCCTAATACCCACCTCATCCAACTGAGCTTCCCCAACAAGAATTCTTCATGCTGCTGCTCAAATTTCACCTTCCTTAAAAGTCTTCACTAATTTCTGCAGATCCATGGTTTCTTCTGTCTCTCTTTAAGTAGAAAAGCTATTTTCACTTGCAGGCAACTGAGCTGTGGGAATTGTCATTTTCATATTCTGTTTCAGGAGCATAAGTCTCCCAGCACAACAGCCTGCACGCTCCTTGGTGGGGCATATCCCACCCTTGCTTAGTGTCAGCAATGCCTTATTTAGTTCTGGAACATCGCTCTATCAACGCTTACTGATAAATCATTGTATCATGGAAGCCATAAGACTTCTCTAACTTCAAGTACAAATTCAGATAAGCAAAGAGATTCCTCTGTATGACCATGTTACTGTGGAGAGCTGTCAACCAGTTTTCCAGGGAAAACTTGAATTTTTGTTTTTTTTTTTAAATCTCTGGGAGGGAAGGAAGAAGAGGTTAGATATGTTTCCTCAGTAAGCTCTTCCTGGTTTCCTCATGTCACCTGACTGCTGTATGGAGAGTCACCGCTATACCTCTCCTTCCTGATGAAAGATGAAGTCAGCTGGACTGCCTGGGTCGAGTGGGGCATTGGAGAACTTTTCTGTCTAACTAGAGGATTGTAAATGCACCAATCAGTGCTCTGTGTCTAGCTAAAGGATTGAAAATGCACCAATCATCACTCTGTAAAAATGCACCAATCAGCGCTCTGTGTCTAGCTAAAGGTTTGTAAATGCACCAATCAGGACTCTGTAAAATGGACCAATCAGCAGGAGGTGGGTTGGACCAATTAACAGAATAAAAGCTGGCCACCCTGAGCCAGCAGTGGCAACCTACTCAGGTCCCCTTCCATGCTGTGGAAGCTTTGTTCTTTCATCCTTCACAATAAAGCTTGCTGCTGCTCACTCTTTGGGTCCACACTACCTTTAAGAGCTGTAACACTCACTGTGAAGGTCTGCGGCTTCACTCCTGAAGTCAGGGAGACCATGAACTCACTGGGAGGAGCAAACAACTCTGGATGCGCCACCTTAAAGAGCTGTAACATGCACTGCGAAGGTCCGCAGCTTCATTCTTGAAGTCAGCGAGACCACGAAACCACCGGGAGGAAGGAACAACTCTGGACGTGCCACTGTTAAGAACTGTAACACTCACTGCAAAGGTCTGTGGCATCACTCCTGAAGTCAGTGAGACCACGAACACACCGGAAGGAAGAAACTCTGGACACATCTAAACATCTGAAGGAACAAACTCTGGACACACCATCTTTAAGAACTATAACACTCACTGTGAGGGTCTGTGGCTTCATTCTTGAAGTCAACGAGACCAAGAACCCACCAGAAGGAACCAATTCTGGAAACACTGGGTTGGACTGACTCAGAATGTAAGTTCACCAAAAGGAAGCAATCAACACTTCAGGACTTTCACAGATTTTCCATGACTGAAAAATCAACCTGTCTGGTTCATTAAATGAGTTGTAAATATGGAGAAGGCAATAGACAATTAGACACGGTGGTGTTATATATTAATTGGCATTGTGTAAAAGGATTTGGAAGGGCTCTGCAAATGACAGTTCCAGGGCTCTTCCAGGAGGTGCATTCTTCTCATGGGGCTGAAAGCTAGAATGGCTAAAAATCCCCATGTGAGTTCTGTGCATTTGAAATGACAGAATTAAAACCCTGAAAACATCCACTGCTAAAAACACACAAAAAATTCCTCTTAAAAATAATTTAATACATATTTAAGAAAGGAATTAGCTTCCCTGAAGGAGGCTTAGTAAGTGGTGAAATTCAGTCATGGAGTCTCGGCCCTAATTTATGCTAAGTGGACAATGATTGATGCCAAATTGCAGAGGAATACCTAAGAAATTACCTACCACAGTAACACAAATATCAGAAAAATTTATCATAATTAATGGCATTGCGTTGAGAACCAAAGGAAGGGTGAGGAACGTGCATTTCTTATAAAGTGCTGACTATATTATTTGCTTCAGGTAATAATAATTACAGCACCCAGGCTTGCTAAATCGCCACGGTTAACATGCGGGAGTTGTAAACAAAGACACTAGCTATAGGCAGGTTCAGTTTAATCTTTAGCCTGAATGCAAGCTGCCTGTTTGTATAACATATCATGTGTCAGCGCAATCCTCCTATGTTTTGGAGGACTGGAGGTTAGCAGGAGCAAGATAATGCAAATCCCTAATGAGATCCCCCATCACCGGCTGGGGCTTTTCTAAAGAGATCTTCAGGGTATCAGAATAAAGCGAGAGCTCAAATAATCACTTTGGATTTCTACAATATCTATCACTCCTAACCTCAAAGTTTACAGAACCGGGGAAGTGGTACACATTTTTTTCAAATAAAAACAAAACGAGGGAAGAAACTGGCATATTTTTATTTGTATGTGTCATCTGAGATACTTTATGCCCAATCTCTTATTTAACCCTCATGACCATCCTGTGGTAGTAGAATTATTATTTCTATTTTACAAGTAAAGAATCGAGGTGAGGGAACATCCTGTAAACTTGTACCAGGTCACGCAGCTGGTAAGAAGCAGAGAGAGGACTACATCCAGATTCAGGACCCCCCTGTCTTCCCATCCCAGAGAGATCAGCCTGCTGCCTAGTATAGAACTGTGGTTTCCCTCTAGTGGGGCACCTATTTACTGAGAATATTTTGGTCCTTACTTCTGCACTACCACAAAGCCCTGTGGAAGTCATTCCTATGCCATATGACTCAGTGTCCTCATTTGTTAAATGTGTGAACCCTTATTCCAAATATAAATTCAACAGGGTAATTTTGCCAGAGCATTTTTAATAGGATTAATACTATATTACTGAACAGTGCTATGTGCCTAGCATTTGTATGATATACAACGTGTGTGTGTGTTTCAGGAGTGGTTGATTTACATTGATCCATTCACATTCTCTCATCTCGTAGGTATTGGCATGTAGATACTGTCTCACTCCATGGTATCAGTGGCCGGTCATAGTTTTTATGGCCTCAATGCCCCCAGGAATCAGGCTGGGGACCTGCACTGGTCCTTACTAACCCCATTAACCCTGATAGATATTTGCAAGAAGGACTGCTGGCATAGGCTGAAGTCTACCTTGGAGCTTTTCACTCACTTGGAGCTACTTTTAGTTGAAATTCCCAGGTTGTGACATGGCCGTAACCTCAAGGGGTGGTGGAATTATCCACAGCTCCTCCAGGATGGTTTTTATACATGTCTCATGGAAGGACCACATCATATTTTACAGCATGTATCTCCGTGCATATGTGCATGACCCCAGAGCCTCTGGCAGGCTGGTGAGGCCCATAGTTTCTTCACAGGATAACTAATTCATCCTGTGAGGACACTCCCATATCCTGACAACAGGCAAGGTTCTAGGATTGCTCTTCTGGGCCGCCATCAAAGCACTTGGATTATTCGTCCTCTGATGACTTATTCTATCTGTGTTACTTTACTGTCATTGTCCTGTTTCATTAAGCTGTGAGCTCCTTCTGAGTAAGAACAGCACCCCTCCCCCCCGCTTTTTTTTGAGACCAAGTCTTGCTCTGTCGCCCAGCCTGAAGTGCAGTGGTGCGATCTCAGCTCACTGTAACCTCTGCCTCCTGGGTTCAAGCGATTCTCGTGTCTCAGCCTCCCAAGTACCTGGGATTACAGCCATGCGTTACCATGACTGGCTGACTTTTGTATTTTTAGTAGAGACGAGGTTTCGCTATGTTAGCCAGGCTGGTCTAGAACTCCTATCGTCAAGTGATTTGTCCACCTCTGCCTCTCAAAGTGCTGGGATTACAGGCATGAGCCACCGCACCCGGCCTGGCCCCTTTGCAGTTGTCTATTGCCTTGCACTTGATCTGGCACCTAGTAAATGTTCAACGAATGGCCATGGAATGAATGGAAAGGGATAAAACACCCTGAATGGGCATCACTGGCATCAAACCCACAAGCCTGGTCTTATTATTACAGTGCCCAAATCACCAGAGCTAACCTGGAGACCTCAGTCTAATCTCCAGAAAGAAGAGGATCCAAGAGCAACACCACGAAGGTCAGAAAATTGGCATCTTGTGTCAAGTTAGAATCCATTGACTGCCTTGTGTTTCCTTTGCTAGTTGTACTTTGGTGTGAGAAATGAGCAGAGATACAGAAACAAGAAAGTGACTTAACTTGTAAGGTTCTTGGTCCCTGTCCCCACCCTGCCCCCACAAGGAAGTGTTATCTTCAGAGCGGCTGCTGCTGTCATCCTGACGGTTGTTCTTTTTCTCTGATAGATACCACGCAGCTCCTTTAATGGAGCGTATACTATATGCAGAGAGTTGATAAACCTAATGACCAGGAAAGCCACCGTGGGCTTTCTTGACTTTGGACTGACTTCCAGAGCCTAGAGCCTAAAGAAAGTCAAGCAGCGTTCAACTTTATCCTTAGCATAACTTTGCCAGCAGTTTCCCGAACAGTTTGAAAGAATGGCAAAGGAAAACAGAGAGCTCCATAAGAGGTGACATCCCACCAGAAAGGACTGTGGGCATGTCAGAGCTTCTCTAGGGAGGTCTGAAGAGTAGTCATTTCCTAAAAGAAACTGAATTTGGTGCTTATTTTCCGATGACCAGAAAAGAAACATGTGTGTTGGGATGAAGGCAGAGGACAGCAAAGGAAGATATTTGGTCCTGAATTTAGTTTCCCGAGAAGCAGGATCAGCTGAGAAAATTTTACAAAATATATGCCAAGAGAGTACTTAGAGTGGAAAGATTACATAGTCTTTGGGCACAGTTTCAAATTTGGACACAACTCTTGCTATGTGACTTTAGGCAGTGATTGACACTCTCTAAGCCTCAGTTCCCTCCCATGTCATATGGAAAAGCATGGCTCTGCAGTGCATTGCAGTAGGAACTAAGTAAATAATATATTCAAAGTCCTAGTGAAATGCCTGTCACCTAACGGGTACTCGGTAAATATTTAGTTTCTGGTACCTATCTATAGTGGTGAACATGCAACTTCATGTTCTTTCTACCTTGAATACTTTCCTGCTTTTGCATGTGCCTGGGACCTCTGTATCTATCAAACTCTACAAAGGAGGATCCATCACTGTGAAACTTTCTTGACTCTCCAAACTGAGTTACTCTCCTTCCTCAGGTCTACATCCCAGTTTTGTTATCACACTTATATTATTGTATGCAACACCACGTATTACAATTATTTGTATATTTGCCTTTACCTATAATGTGTTCTTTGAAACAAAAGCCTCTTGTCACATTCTTCTCTATGACCTGAGGTAAGTAGGGCTTGTGTTATGAATACTGTAAGTCATAAGTAGGAGGCAACTTGGTAGTTTGGTTGTTTATTTCAATATAGATAAATCTGGGAAAGTGGAATGCTTTTGGTGGGGACTACAATGGTATATTGGAAGCAAATATTATGAAAAGATAATGTGGTGGTCAGGGCCAAGGTCAGCCAAACCAAAGCTAGTACTTCCAATAAACTGAAATTGTAGAGAACTGGTTGTACTTTCACTACTGAAGGGAGCTATTCATTCACATCAGGCCTCAGATTATTAAAACATCTTGTATGCTCTATTGGGAAACTAAGAGATATGATTAAAAATATATAAATATGTCCTTGAAAACTAACTCAGCAATATTTATGGGTAATTAGGCGAGTGTAAGAGAAAAATAGGAGGAGTAAGGAATGAGTTCAGTGGTTTCCATCTGTGATTCAGGTGAAAAGGCTGTGTGGAGAGAAACAGGGGATCCATCTGGGGTCCTGGGGCTTTGTGTAGGAGTACCATTGTTTCATGAAGAAATAAACACACCTGTGCTCGGAGCTTGCCAGCAAAGCCAATCTGTTTCACATTTTAAACTCACTCAATTATAAAATCTATGGGTCTCTCCGGAATAGAAGTGTGTCAGGATAACATCCCCCCATCTCCAAATTAGTGGCAACAACCCAATAATACCATTGCCCAAGCTAATGCTTTTATCAAATGTGTGTGTCTGCAGAGCTTGCCAGCCTGGATAGCAGCATGAGGATCTTAGTGTGGTTCCCATCTCATCCCATTGACTAGGACCTAGTATCCTTAGTAGTGTAAAATCTGAAGCAAAATCAAAGTGAATTAATAAAAAGGCTTAGAAATTTTGAACAGTGGTTGCCTTTGAAAGTCTGGAAGAATAAAGGTGAGGAAAAATCATCATATGGATATTTTGTATAAAAATGAAGCAAAAGAAGAAGAAAAAAGCCCACCATGTCATTTTCCAGGGATTTTTTTTTTCACTAGTGTATGAAAAATCGTTGTGTATGTGTGTGTGTGCGTGCTGAGAGGGCAGTGGGATTGGTGATAGTGGTCTCTAGACCCAATTCAATGTGTTCATTCAAATTCGTATGAAGCAAAAGCCCATAATTTTTGAAAGCCGGTTTTTTAAATGATTTTTAAGTCACTCGTTTGCTTCTTCAACATAATGTGGCTTTCGTAAGGTTAAGGTCTAAGACTAATATAGAACTAGCATAGAACTAATGCTCCTTACAGTGTCTGGAACATGATAGACAGCCAATAAATGATTACCGATTAAGTAAAAGATTGGGAGGGAGTAAAAAAGGAAAAAAAGGGAGAGAAAATGTCAATAACTAGCATCTTCTGATAATTCCTAAAGTTTTTTGCACTTTTGGAATTAGCTATCCATGGAAATTTATCCCTACGTGTCCCATGATCTAGGATAAGGGTTGGCAGCCTATAGTGTTGGTGGTGGCATTCAAACCAGCTGGCACTAGTGTATAATCTGGCATAAACTAATATATTCACTCTCATGTCCTGATTTTCCAAGACTCAGAATGTGAACTAACAATCTTACTTCTCTCAATTAGAACCTCCCAAATCTCCCCTGATTCATCTTGCCCAAGACTGTCTTTCACATTTGGTATCACCTCCACCCACCAGCACATATAGTTACAGGATTCTTTCCACATAAGTCATGTGTATTCTAATGTGATATTTTGGAGAAAATGGCCCCATGCTTTGTTGTGTAAACCAAAGGGGTGACTCCAGAGATGCCCATTTCAATCCAGGTTGTGGAAAAGAGGCACCAAGTTTTATTTGTATATCTTAATGTATCTGCAGTTATTGGCTTGTCAGCTGCAGTATAGTCAGACATTGCTATAAGTGCCTACTCAGAATGTTATAAAAATCAGAAAGTCACAGAGTTTGAAGCAGAGGCCAGTCTTTCCCATTAGCCAAGTCATTTTGGTGTTATCATGAGCTGTCCAACACAGTAATCACTAGACACATGGGGCTATTTAAATGTAAATGTAAGTGAATAAAATAAAATAAAATAAAATTTTAATTTTTGGTAGCACCAGTCATATTTCAAGTACTCTGTAGCCCCATGTGGCTAGTGCTACCACATTGGAGACAGCGCAGGTGAAGAACACTTTTATTATTGCACAAAGTTCTATTGGGCAGTCCTGTAGAACTCAGGTGTTTTGGAAAATTTGAAAGAATGAGAGGATACATTTAGGAGACCACCATAATATTTTTGGCACTTGTAGCATTACTAGAAAGCAGAAAAAATTGGTTTATTTTATTCAAGCTAAAAGATTTTCATGATGTTTGTGACCTCTTATTATTAATAAGATAGGTAACTGTGGCAAATAAACTTGTGTTTACTTTGTATTTTTTTTTTCAGCTCACCATGCTGTGCTTTTGTTTCTGGTTAAATATTTGCATTGTTGGTCCTTGGGCCTGAAATTCCATAGAATATAGAATTGATTATCCATTCCCTCTTCTGCCATAATAGACGCAAAAACGGCAGGCCAGTAGCAGGCACATGTTGGAACAAGTGGGACCCGAATCGTACTTTGCCCATTTATTTTTTTATATAAGCAAAACTCTGATGGGGGTTATGTGGCCCAAATGTTTATAAAATTTATGGAACCGAAACACCTGAGAAATGTTTTAGCTGTATAGTCAGCTCATGAGTAACTACGAGTTGTCCTTTTCTTTCTCCTTTTCTGTTTCCTTTTCTTCCTTATTCCTACCTCTCTTTTTTCATCTCTATCTTCCTCCCTCCACCCCTAAACACATACCTGTTGCATGTTGCTGAGATTCTGAGAAGCGGTCAGTGAATATGACAGACACGGTGCCTGTTATCATGGAGCTCACAGTCCGGGAAAAAGACAACAGAAAATTACCTACAAAAGTAATTGTTCAAGAATATTCTGATAAGTGTAATAAAGGAAGAATGTAGGCTGATAAAGAAACAAGCAAAAAACTGTGATGAC
Organism: Homo sapiens; assembly: GCF_000001405.40. NCBI lineage: Eukaryota > Metazoa > Chordata > Mammalia > Primates > Hominidae > Homo > Homo sapiens. The sequence goes on from NC_000011.10 coordinate 127,404,247, forward strand.
GGGGAAACTTGACTCTGCCTGGAAGGTAAAACAAGAAATAATAATGGATACCAATAGGTGGATCTTTGGTTTACCCTTAATTAATGAATGGGCTTTTCTTCTTCCTACACAACAGGCCAGGCGAAGTGTGCTGTGCAACCACACGGCACTACTGATGTTTCTTGCATGAAGTCTGAGCCCCTCTGAGCCTTGTGACCTAAATTGCAAGGCTGGTCTCATGAAGCTGTTCTCAGAGCAAGAGTTAAGAATTACTGCAGGTGAGAAGTCTGGAAGACAGTTGGGAATGGATGAGGAGTGTGAGGGTGCTGCTGTGAGCCATTTTCTATTACACAAAAATAAATTTGTTCTACCTAGGGCTCAGGAGGGGAAAGATGAGGGCACACACATATTTCTTTGTCGGCAGTTATGTTTTCTTGGCAGCTTTGTTACTCGGACCCATCAATGTCAACTCATTGATCCCAACTTAGCTTGTTGGCTCTCTCCACTGGTTTAAAAAAATGTTTCTAAATTATACTGGATCCCATGATAAACTATATTCAGCTATCCCCATTGCTGTAGACTTTCCCTGACTTCTGTGGCTACATTATGAGTTGTGCTTTTGCCTTTATTCTTATTCTTTTTGTCTTTATTATTGCTCTTTTTATCACAGCACCTTCATCTTTTACCTCCGTCCTGATCAGATTCTGACTGTTAGTTGCTGATGCCTATGAAATTTGGAATGATTACTTATTAAAAGGTTCAGGGTAATCCTTTGATGTCATCGGATTTAAGAAATATGATAATGTGTTAAAATACATGTAACATCTTTCTCTGATCGTGTCTGTGCTTGCGTGTGTGTGTGTGTGTGTGTGTGTGTGTGCATATGGTTGGTCTTTCCTCAAATGCGCTCATGCAGTGTCACTTTTGGAATGCAGTTGTCTCCTCAAAGTGGCTATCAAGGGAATTAGGACTCAAATTAAGGATTATTAAAAAGACATTCACGCTGAAATATGTTATTACTGCAAAAGCTGTTCTTGCATTAGCAAAAGGAAGTTAGTGGAACAACTGTCATTTACAGCCGAGGCTGTAAATCAAAATTCTGCAAAGCAGCCTTGTTTTTCCACTCCAATAGCATCCTTCTCTCCTCTGCAATTCTGTCACCATGAACTTTGGCAAGCACTTCATTTTATGGAATACCAGGCAGGCTCAGAAACCAGTAGAATGTTGGCTACTGCTTCCCGCATTTCCCCCTAACACTAACTGTTTCCTTTTTGGCTTTTGGGGTGTTGGCACAGCAGAAATTTGAGGCTTTGGATGGCGGGTCTGGGAATCTAGTACTATTGTAATTTGTTTAGTAAGCTATTTGACTGGTACTGTGATATATGTTGGGGCTACTAGATGAGAAAGACACGTGCCTGATCTTCAAGAACAAAAATGTTGCAGCTTTTCCTAAACTCAGTCTTTCTCCAATATTCTCTAGCTCACTTGTTAGTTCAGATACTACTGGGTCATTCTGTTGGAAATCGGGGCCTGATCCTTGCTTCCTCCCTCTTCTCACCCACCACTCGCGATATCACCCACCTCACAGACACATCATAACACTTTCTCTTAGCCTCCTCAATCTTTCTTGAATCTGCTCTCCCTCTAGTGCTTGCTTCACCAATATTGTCATCATTTCTTGCCTTTATTATTGCAGTAATCCCTTAATCATCTATACTGTCTTCAGTTTCCTCCTCTTCTCTCTCCTCTCTGCTTCTATTCTCCCCAAAGAATCCAACCACCAAAACTCAGAAGCAAAATGTAAATTGGGTCACATCATGTTTTTTACCCCAATTCCATCAATAGTTAGAGTGGGCATAGGATTAATTTTGAGAGCTTGTTTGCAGATTCGAGCAGAGGAGCACAGCTATTCGTATACCCTTGACTGAAGAATGGTCCTCCTCTACAAGGGATAGTCGTCCTCTTCAAGTGCGCATGCAGCTTCAGGAGGGACACACATGGAGCGGTGAGGGGACAAGGGGACTTTTGCCTGGCCAGCCAGATCAGCGGAATCAACCCTGGTGATCAATGCGATGACATATGTTATAGCTAGATCACCCTCACATCCAAGTTTGAGTAATTTAACTCTATTAGAACCTTGGCTAACTTTTCATCTGATTCTATATTACTTCTGAATTTTATGTAGTTTTCTATGGAATACCCCACCACGATGTGGTCCCTCTCTCCTTCTCTCTCACTTTCTCTTTTATGCACACACACACACACACTCTCTCTCTCTCTCTCTCTCTCTCTCACATACAGGAATGATGGCTTTAAATTCAATAATTGTTGCCAGAAGAAAGTCTTCACTGAATCCCCAGATGTCCAGGCTGAGTAGGAAACCTTTTTCCTATGCTCTTAGAAAATGAGATCCCTTACATTTTTATATAAATGTTAAAATCAGTTTGTCAATTTTGGTAAAGAAATCAGTGGGACTTTTGATTGACACTGTATTTAATTTGAAGATTATTGTTATTATTATTTTGAGACAGTATCTTGCTCTGTCACCAAGCCTAGAGTGTAGTGATGTGAACATGGCTCACTGCAGCCTTGACCTCATAGGCTCAAGCGAGGAGATCAGTTTTGGAAGCATTCCCATCTTTACGACATTATCTTCCCATCCATGAAAATTGAATGTCTCCATTTATATAAGTTTTCTGTAATCCCTTCCAATGTTTTGCGGTTTCTCTTTAGAGCATATTTTTTTTCTCCTTCTATTAAATTATTTTTAAGTGTTTTATTCTATTTTATGCTATTATAATTAGAACTGTTTTCTAAACTTCATTTTTGTATTGTTCATTGCAAGGGTGTAGAAATTCAGTTGATTTTTGTATATTGATCTTTCATCCTTCAACCTTGCTGCACTTGCATGTTAGTTGTAACAGCTTTTTAGTGGATTCCTTAGTATTTTCTGCATACAAAATCATGTTGTCTGCAAATAGAAATAATTTTACTCTGGATGATTTTATGTCTTTTCTTTGCATAATTGTCTTGAATAGAAGATCCAATACTGTGTTGGACAGAATTGGCAAGAGGAGGCATCCTTATCTTGGTCCTGAACTTGAGGGAAAAGTATTCTGTCTCTTCACTATTAAGTATGGTGTTAGTTATGGGTTTTCTTTTTTTTTCATAGATATCCTTTGTCTGTTTGAGAATGTTTCCTTCTAATCGTAGTTGGTTGAGTGTTTTTGTCATGAATATGTGTTGAAGTTTGTCAAATACTTAGTTCAGCATCTATTTGGGGGGTCATTTCTCTCTATTTCTACTGAAAGAGTATGTCATATTAATTGATTTTCTTGTTAAATTTATTTTACTTTTCTGGGATAAATTCCAGAAAGTCATAGGAGTAATCTCTAGATCACTAAATACAATAATCGTTCCTTAGGCCTCATTCTCTGACCTCTCTAAAGAATTTTGATACAGGTCCATGTACATTTTCTGTTGATTCTGTAGTTTGTATCTTTCTAGGAATTTATACATTTCCTCTAGGTTTTCTAATTTGTTGGTATATAGTTGTTCTTAGTATCTCTTAGTTTTTATTTCAGTGAGGTTGCTAGTAATATCTCTCTTTCTTTCTTGATTTTATGGATGTGAGGGGGATGTGGCTGTGACATTTGCCACCCCATTGATCGCCAGGGTTGTTTTGGCTGATCCGGTTGGCTAGGCAGCTGTCCCCCTCACCACTCCATGTCCGCCCCTTCTGAAGCTGCATGCTTAGTGGAAAAGGATGACCATCCTTGATAGAAGAGGACTGGTCTTCAGTCAAGGGTCTAAGAGTAGCTGCGCTCCCCTGCTACAACTTCCAAACAAGCTCTCATTCTTGATTTTATTATTTTAAGTCTTCTTTCTTATTTTTCTTGGTCAGTCTAGCTAAAGTTTGTCAATTTTGTTGATCTTTTTCAACAACCAACTCTTGCTTTTGTTGATTTTCACTATTGTTTTTCTTTCTGTATTTCATTAACTTTCATACTAACATTTATGATGTCATTTCTCTGCTTGTTTTAGGCTAGCTTGCTTTTCTTATACCAGTACCTTATTTGGAAAATTAGGTTCCTGATTTTAGATCTTGTATACTTCTTCTGCTTTCTTCTCAATTTATAGCTATAAATACTGTAAGTTGAGAAGAAAGCAGAAGAAATATACATTTATATAATTTTATAATTTTTATACTTACATAATTAACTTTTCTGGTGCTTTTTGTTTTATAGTATTTGTAGGTATAAATTGAGAAGAAAGGAGAAGAAATATACTTTTTAAATAATTACATAATTAACTTTTCTGGTGTTCTTTTATTTTGTAGTATTTGTAGTTATAAATCGAGGAGAAAGAAGAAATATACTTTTTTATAATTACATAATAAATTTTTCTGGTGCTCTTTTTTTTTTTCCATATTGGTTCATTTACTTTTTGGAGTTGGTCTTTCTTGGCAAAATTGCATTTTCAGCCTGAAGGACTTCCTTTAGTACTGCTAGCAATGAATTCTCTCAGCTTGTGTTTATCTGGATATATCTTTATTATGCCTTAACTTTTGTAGAATTGTTTTTCTGGTTATAAGATTCTCGGTTTACATTTTTTCTTTCAACATTTTGAATATATAATTAACTGCTTTCTAGCCTACATTGTTTCTGACGAAAAGTAAGATCTTAATCTTATTAGGGTTTCCTTGTCCATGACAAGTCATTTCTTTCTTGCTGCTTCTAAGATTTTTGTCTTTTTATTTCAGTGTTTTTACTATAATATGTTTGGATATTGATAACTTTGCATGTAATATACCTGGAGTTCTTGATATTCTTTTCTTTTTTTTTTGAGACAGAGTCTTGCTCTTTCACCCAGGTTGGAGTGCAGTGGCGCGACCTCAGCTCACTGCAACCTCTGCCTCCTGGGTTCAAGCGATTTTCCTGCCTTGGCCTCCCCAGTAGCTGGGATTACAGGTGCGCACCACCACACTCAGCTAATTTTTTGTATTTTTTAGTAGAGACAGGGTTTCACCATGTTGGCCAGGCTGATCTTGAACTCCTGACCTTATGATTTGCCTGCCTCAGCCTCCCAAAGTGCTGGGATTACAGGCATGAGCCACCATACCCAGCCTCTTGATATTCTTAAATGTGGAGATTAATACTTTTTGTCAAATTTAGGATGTTTCCAGCCATCGTTTTCTAGAAAATTTTTGGAATGTTTTTCTCCTTCTTTTTTTACTCAGCTATGTCTACTAATCCTGTTACAAGTATTTTAGTACACATTATGTCATCATCTATTTCTCTGAGGCTCTTAATTTTCTTCATTCATTTTCTGTTATTCAGATTATATATTTTATATTTATCTTCAAGTTTGCCAATTCTTTCTTCTGCAAGTTCAAATGTACTGTTGAGCCTTTCTAGTAAAATTTTTATTTCAGTTTTTGTACTTTTAAATCCAGGATTTCCATTTGGTTCTTTTTTATTTTAATTATTTATATCTCTCTATTTATAGTCCTATTTGATTACTGATTATCATCATACCTTCTTTTTTTTCTTTAATCATGGTTTCCTTTTACCCTTTTAAATATAGGGAGACTCTTTTTCAATCTTTGTTAAGTCTGACATCTGAGCCCCTTCAAAAGCATCAAAGGTGGTTTCTGTTGCCTGCTTTTATATACAAGTCATACTTTTCTGTTTGTTTCACTGGACATTTTTAGATAATTTCGCAACTCTAAATACTGCTCCCTCCCTTCTAGGGCTTCCTGTTGTTGTTTGCTTGTTTATTTTCTTAGTGGTTTAGCTAAACTATTTTTTTTTCATAGTGTGAAGCCTCTGAAGTCACTCTTTAGAGGGTGTAGCCTTGGGCATGCGCACAGTCACCCTGGGATGACAGTGTTTCAGCAGGCTTTCTTTCACTGTCTCTCTTCATGTTAAACTCTGCCTCTTCTGGCATTATATCCAGCTTTAGCTTCACTAATTGTTGGTTAATTGTTCTATTGTTCTTGACTATAGCCGGGGCATAAATGGTTTCATAGTTTTATCCAGTTAAACTTGTGACCCTGTACAGGGGTACTTTTTGAAGCCAGTGTTTGAGCTTAGTTCTGACCTAGAAGGGCTCTTCTTAGTTGTTTCTTCCTGGTTCTCTCTGAAATAAAATAGCAGAACTCTACTTTATCTTATTGCTCTCATAGAGCTACCAACATTCTCTTAACTACTTACCACAAAAATCTCCATGGTTTTCAAAGCTTGAACTTTCCTATGCTCTGTTTCAAATAAAGTTTGTTTCTTTGGGAAAGTTTCACATTTTCTGTTCTTATGACCTGCCTTTTTCCCTGGGCAAAATCTTTACACCACTGATCTGGAGATGGGGTCAGGCACAGTGACCTGCTTATACAAAAGTGACACCTTGCTTTATAGTCACGGTACTGGATGTAGGCAGTAGCTTCTGCTCTGCTCTTCTGGGCTTTTCTCTGACAGCATGGAAACTCTTCCTGACATGCAAGCTGTGGCAAAGAGAATCTGGGACCCCAAGTTCTCTGACGGCCATGCCTAGGCACATAACCTCCACTCTATGGGTGGGGGCTGGGAGGAGAAAGGGAGCTATTGACCTCTTAGCCATACTGATCTAGAATTTAGCCTCTTTAACAGGAAGTTATGGGTAATGAGGAATGCCTGCAGGCTGCTCCTCCCAGAGAAGCACTGTAGCCTTTGATTGGGAGTTGTAGGAGAGTGCAGTCTGTTTTCTTAGCAACCCTCCACAGAGTGGGGCTTTCATCATGCTGATCTGGGCCAAGGGAGCAGAGGGAACATGTCATGGTTCAAGTGCCATAGCTCCTGTTGTATCAGTATTTAGTTGATTTTCTTGAATCAATGTTTCCTCATTTGCTGCATGACATTATAACAATTTCCAGAGACTTCAAATAGTTGTTTTAAAAATAATTGTCAGCAGTTGTGATTGTTTCACTGTGGAGTGGCCCCTCAAAGCTCCTTAAACTGTTATGGGATCTTTTCCGGCCAGAAACCTCTGTGGCTGGTGGCGCCTTTGCCCAAGTTTTGCTGAGGCCCACTGAGCTCGTTTCTCCCACTCAGGCTGGCAGGCTGTGCTTGGCTCATGCTACCAACCTCGGTCGTATGCCTGCCAAGGGTGAGTCAGGCATGGAACAGTGAGGGGTGTAGGAGCAAGCGTGGGGTCCAGCCACTGAACACAGTCAGACATACTGGCTACAGTAGGTCAGGCAGCTCCAGGTGCTGGCACGAACACTGGCTCTCTGCAAGGCTGGAGTCAGACCAGTTGCACCACAAGCAGCTTCCATGGCTGGCACTGGGGAACATGGAGATGCCAGGAACCACAGGGCCCCAAGGAGGGAGGCACAGCCTTGGCTTGAGGAGCTCCCAGGTCTGGGCTCCCTGAAAGGCCACAGCCCTTCTTTCCATCTCTTCGCCCGCAAGGTGGCAAGCAAGAGGCATGTCTCAGCCCTGTTAGTGTTATAGCTCTTTTAGCCTCACCATTTGTTGGGTCCTGAGTTCTTGTCCTGTGACCAGGAAGAATGAGGTATGCAGGTGAGTGGAAGGTGAGCAAGACAAAGAGGAGCTTTATTGAGTGATAGAACAGCCGAGAGGAAACCTGCAGGAGGCAGCTCCTTTCGGCAGTCAGGGTGTCCTGATGAGTGTTCAGCTTCTAGAAGAGAGGGTAGCTCCTCTGCTAGGCAAGTTGCCCTGACAAGTGTCAGCTCTCAGCAGAGAGGGTAGCTCCTCTCTGCAGCTGGCTGTCCCATCATCTGCACAGCTCTCAGCAGAGAGGAAGTCGTAGAGTGGGTGGCTCCTCTCTGCAGGCAGGTCATCCCGTCACCTCCTCCCATCGTCTCTCTGTCATCTCTGCAGCTCTCAGCAGATTGGAGGCCCTAGAGTGGGTGACTCCTGTCTGCAGGAAGGTGGTCCCATAGTCTGCAGCTCTCAGGAGAGAGGAGGCCCTAGAGTGTGGTGCTCCCCTCTGCATTGGTCATTGGTCATCTCATTGTCTGCTCAGCTCTGGCTGAGTCTGGGACTTTTATGGGTCCCAGAGCGGGGGAAGTGCACTCCAATTGGTCCATGGGTGGCCGTGGGTGGGCCCGAAAAAGGCATCACAAGTTCCTACTCTTGTCCACGGAACTGGCAGCCTGGCACCCAGCCTTCAGGCCCTTCCTGTCCTGAATGCGGGGCCTCAGTGAGGACCCACCTCCTCCTGCCCAGGAGCCTGTCTGTGCTGTTCATGGCGCCCAGGCTGTAGGTGCCAAGGGGCATCTGCAGGCCAGTGCAGAGCAGCCCTCAGCCCCACCTCTCAACTTCCCTCCTATGCTCGTCAGTGCCCAAAGTCCTGAGGGGCCCAAGGCGGCACTGCCCTGAGCATGTGCACCCCCAGCCAGGCTGCAACAGCACCCAAGTTCAGCCCCAAGTTTGCTCCAAGATTGGAGTGGGCACTGACAGCAGGGAGAATCCAGGCAGTGAGAGCAGGAACTTCTGAGCCTGTGAGGGCAGGGGCACTTCCTGGACCCCAACAGTGCAGGGATTCCTGGGTCCACAGCTGTGGTTTGAGTGGCTGCATCTGCACTGGCAGGACGGGGCTCCTGCCTGCTCCCTGGAGTTGGAGGCCTGGGTCTGCAGCCGAGGTTTGGGTGGCTGTAGCTCTACCTGGCTTCTGTCTGCTTTATGGAGCAGGAGGCCCGGGTCTGTAACCACTGTTTGGACAGCTGCAGCTGTGCCTGGGAGGGTGGGGCTCTGGCCTGCTTCTGGGTCCTTAGTGCACAGATATGCCCAGGTCTGCAGCCATGGCTTGGGAAGCTGCACGGGCACCTAGGGTGCTATTGCACCGACTGGGAAGGGACGGGGTTCCCGCTTGTCCACAGCTCCTGCTGGCTTCATGGAGTTTGCAGCCCCGGCTGTGCCTCCTGGCTGCAGCCAACGTGATGGCAGCAGCCGCTCCAGATGGCCCGCCACTGCCATCAAAATCACTATTCTAGACATGTATCTTTGGTTGAGTGTGTGTGTGTGTGTTACAAACTGCACTGTTAAACTCTATTACTGTACTTATTTTTAGTGTTTTCTTTTACATATGCCAAATAGTATTGGTAGTTGTTTACAATACTGATACAAAGTTTCATTTTAAAAGCAAATTATTTGTCTACATAATAGGTGTAATAGTAATGAAAATCCTAGCTGTTACTAAAATAGAGGACATTAATTATCATGTCAAACTGAAGAAAAAGGAAAGACATGAATGACCCCTTTTAGCTCTCACTCTAAAATAAACCAGCATCATCCACAGTGCCTTTGCCCATCACTAACATTTATGTTCGCTCCTAGCACCCTGGTTTTGGTTTCTAATGTTCCCCATTAAAGAAGAATCAAGATTTATAGAAAACAGTTTGAGACAAGAAAAAAAATCAATATAGCTCTAGAAAAGACTATTATTGACAGAAAGCAGGTATATTTTTAAGAAGTTCAAGAGCAGTAATAATAAACAAAAAAAACTGGCTTAAAGAACATTACTGGGAAAGTTATGATAATTTGGATATTAAAGGAAATAGTAATATGGTTAATTACAAAAATTATGAAAAGCTAGAATGTTTCATACCAAAGAAAAATGAAATCGAAAATAGTTTAATTTTACTTGTTTAATTGGTTGACAAATACTATCATATCTGAGTAATTTATTCTTTTAGGTACATAATTGCAAGGCACAGATATGTGCTTGTTTTTATGTTTTTAAATATAAATTCATAAATACAGGAAACTTGAAGTAAGTCAGATAGTCCTAGGCAAATTAGGAACTGTACCAAGAACTCATTAAGAATAAATCTATAAAATTTGTCATATAAATCTTGTTAAACTATCAGTTATAAAGGGTCTATTGGTTAATAAGCAAAATTATAACTTATTACCAAATTTTAGTTTGTTTCAGGATAACATATGAGTCAAATACCCTCTACCTCTGAAAGTAGTCTAAATGTGCAGTGGATTTGACATCACCTATGACATACGACCTCCAACTGACACTTCTAACTAGGTGCTGGTGAGGCATTCATTTGTTTTAAAAAATGTTAACAAAATGAATAAATATATTATGATGGGAGATAGATATATTATGGTTGCAGGACAGCAAGCAATGCCAGGTAAATAAGACTCCAAGAGACTATCATTCTGTGGAAAGGTCCCAAGTGGAAAAATACGCAAAGCTAAATAGAATACATGGAGTCCAAAGGCTTTATCGATATAATTAATGAAGTTAAAACATAAGAAGGAAGCTGAATCTGATGTAAGGCCTTAAGGTTGGGTCATATTTGGAAAAAGCAACCACATGTTACATCCTGACCAGTAAGCCATTAACTTATAACCCAGGTCTTGTAATATTGGCTGGTCTGAAATGATATTATTTATCCTTTTTGTCTGGTAAAATCTTCAACCTTGGAGAAATATCTGAATAAGTTTAACAATCTTTGGTAGGTATCACAATAACTATAGGCTAAGTAAGTATTTAAAAAGTCCATAAATAATGAGAAAATCAACTAAACCATGGTACTCATAAGTTAGAATAGGTTTTAGACTAAGCATGGTGGTTTTTTCAGAACAGAGATAATATCTATATTTTTGTATAATTTACTTGCTATTAAAGTATTTAAAGCATCTAAAAGAATCAGTCACACTAAATTTGTAAATGTGGCTTAAATTGTTTAAGAAAATATTAATAATATGTGTCCATTCATGTCTATATAAACTTGTTTAAAGATTATTAAATATATATTTAATAAATTGAGCATTCAATGAAGTACAATTGATAGGGGTTTTTGTTTATGCAGATAAATCCCTTGGACATGAATCAAATCTACAGTAAAAAAGCAAATTTATTGAAAAAAATTAAGTAAATATTGATAAAGATGGTTGAGGATTTAAGGCCAAAAGAGTGAAGAAAACATGTAGATAACTGATATTTGGATAAACATTTTTTTAAGGGTTTTAAGTATTAAAAAACAAAACACAGCTATTTGTGCTGGGCAGATTTGGGTTGAATCCTTGGTACATCATTTATTAGCTGTGTACTTTGAGAGACAACTTTCCAATTCCTTAGTGTCCTCATCTGCAAAACTGGGATAATAATACTTCCCTTCAAGGGTAAGGACAGCATGCTTAACACAGTATATGAGAAGTGATGACATTTTCAAAGATGGTTGGTGTTATTTTTACCATTCTTTAAAAATGCAAATACTCTTGGGAAAGATAGTATAATAAACTAAACCAATTCATGCTTATTTTTATTCTACCATGCTTCTTCTTTTTTCTTTCTCAGTCAAGCCCCTTAAAATGCTTATGTACATAACCACCCCCCAACCCCCCACCCTTCTTTCACTACATTCGCTTTCAGCCTACTGCAATCTGGCTTCTAGTCTTACAGTTTTGTTGAAATGTTCTCTACGTTTTTCAGGCTTTATTGAAAATCACCTATTTGTAGCATTTGACAATATTACCGTATCTTCCAACTTAATATAATTTCCTTTCATCCTCCCCTTATTGACACCCTCTGCCATCTGTGGTCTTCCTTTAACCCCTTCTTTTCAGTCCTTTTGGCTGAAGCATTTATTTTTGCCACTCCTAAATGAGGGAATTCATAAAAATTCCATCTCCTGATTTCTTTTCTTATTATACTTTAAGTTCTAGGGTAGATGCACACAACGTGCAGGTTTGTTACATATGTATACATGTGCCATGTTGGTGTGCTGCACCCATTAACTCGACATTTACATTAGGTATATCTCCTATTGCTATCCCTCCCCCTTCCCCCAACCCTATGACAGGCCCTGGTGTGTGATGTTCCCCACCCTGTGTCCAGGTGTTCTCATTGTTCAATTCCCACCTATGAGTGAGAACATGCGGTGTTTGGTTTTCTGTCCTTGTGATAGTTTGCTCAGAATGATGGTTTCCAGCTTCATCCATGTCCTGCAAACGACATGAACTCATCCTTTTTTATGGCTGCATAGTATTCCATGGTGTATATGTGCCACATTTTCTTAATCCAGTCCATCATTGATGGACATTTGGGTTGGTTCCAAGTCTTTCCTATTGTGAATAGTGCCGCAATAAACATACGTGTACATGTGTCTTTATAGCAGCATGATTTATAATCCTTTGGGTATATACCCAGTAATGGGGTGGCTGGGTTGAATGGTATTTCTATTTCTATATCCTTGAGGAATTGCCAGACTGTCTTTCACAATGGTTGAACTAGTTTACAGTCCCACCAACAGTGTAAAAGTGTTCCCATTTCTCCACATCCTCTCCAGCACCTGTTGTTTCCTGACTTTTTAATGATAACCATTCAAACTGGTGTGCCATCTCCTGATTTCTTTATCATCCAGCCCACTCTTAGGGAATATCATCGAATCCCAACAGAATTCTAAAATCTCTATTCATGGACTTGACTTGTCCCAAGTTCCATACCTACATAACCAAATAATAAATAATCAAATAGATGAGCTTCTCTAACTTGACAAATTATAACTCAAATGCGTTATCTTCTCTGTTTTCCTTAACTTAATTGGAGATCGCACTACTCAAAAGTAAAATCTGGGTTTTTTTCTCACCCTGTTTCCTTACATTATGAAGACCCACTATGTGCCAACCACTATGTGAATGTCTCAGATTACACTGGGGTGTGTGTGTGCGTGTGTGTGTGTGTGTGACAGACAGAGAGAGAAAGAGAGACCATTTCTGATCCCATAGAGTTTGCTGCCTCTGTGGAGGAGACACACAAGTCTACAGAAATCAAAAATAAATGTGCACTATGAAAACACTTAATGTTGGTAATTGACTTATAAAAGTCAAGGAAGGTTTTATTAAGAAACTGATGATTTGGTTAGGCCTAAGAGAAGTGTAAGAGTTAGACAAAGTGACTGACATTCCAAGCAGAAGCAATACTATGTCCAAAGGCCCCAGGGAGAGAGGAGTCGTGGTGAAGACCAGGAACAAAAATAAGCCCAATTGTAGCAAGAATAGAGAGAGTTCTAGAAATGGCAGGAGTGGTAAGGGGGAGAATAGGACTTTGGGCTTTACCTAAAGGTTAGTTGTTTCTTTTGTTTGTTTTTTTTTTTAATAAAAATTATATTGAATTTTTGTGGGTATAGGAGGTGTATATATTTATGGGGTACATGAGATGTTTTGATACAGACACGCAATGTGTGATAATCACATCTGGGTAAGTGGGGATATCCATCCCCTCAATAATTTAGCCTTTTTTTTTTTTTTTTTACAAACAATCAAATTATATTCTTTTCGTTATTTTAAAATGCCCAATTAGATTATTATTGACTATAGTCACACTTTGTGCGATCAAATGCTAAGTCTTATTCATTCATTGTAACTACTTTTGGTACCCATTAACCATTCCTACTTCCCTGCCCCCACACCTCACTCCCCAGTACCCTCCCAGCCACTGGTAACCATCCTTCTACTCTCTCTGTCTGTGAGATTCATTGTTTTGATTTTTAGCTCCCATAAATCAGTGAGAATATGCGGTTTGTCTTTCTGTGCCTGGCTTACTTAACTTACCATAGTGACCATCAGTTCCACCCATGTTGTTGCAAATGACAGGATCTCATTCTTTTTATGGCCGGATAGTACTCCATTGTGCATATGTACCATATTTGCTTTATCCACTCCTCTGTTGATGAACACAGGTTGCTTCCAAAGCTTGGCTATTGTGAACAGTACTGCAACAAACATAGGAGTGCAGATATCTCTTTGACATACTGATTTTCTTCTTTTGGGTATATCCAGGGGTAGGATTTTGAGATCATATGGAGCTCTATTTTTAGTTTTCAAAGGAACCTCCAACGTGTTTTCCATAGTGATTGTACTAATTTACATTCCCACCAACAGTGTACAAGAGTTCCCTTTTCTTCTATCCACCAGCACTTGTTAATGCCTGTCTTTTGGATAAAAGCCATTTTAACTGGAGTGAGATAATACCCCATTGTAGTACTGATTTGCGTTTCTCTGATGATCAATGATGTTGAGCACCTTTTCATATGCCTGTTTGCATGTCTTCTTTTGAGAAATGTCTATTCAGATCTTTTGCCCATTTTAAAATCAGATTATTAGAATTTTTTCCCATAGAGTTGTTTGAGCTCCTTATATATTCTGGTTACTATTTTCTTGTCAGATAGGTAGTTTGCAAATATGTTCTCCCGTTCTGTGGGTTGTCTCTTTATTTTGCTGATTATTTCCTTTGCTGTGCAGAAGGTTTTTAACTTGAAGTGATCCCATTTGTCCATTTTTGCTTTGGTTGCCTGTAGTTGTCGGGTATCACTCAAGAAATTTTTGCCCGGGCTAATGTCCTGGAAAATTTCTCCAGTGTTTTCATGTAATAGTTTCATAGTTTGAGGTCTTAGATTGAAGTCTTTAATCCATTTTGATTGAATTTTTGTATATGGCAAGAGATAGATGTCTGCTTTCATTTTTCTGCATAAGGATATACAGTTTTCTCAGCACAATTTATTGAAGAGACTGTATTTTCCTCAATGTATGCTCTTTGCACCTTTGTCAACAACAAGTTCACTGTAGGTGTATGGATTTGTTTCTAGGTTCTCTATTCAGTTCCATTGGCCTATGCGTCTGTTTTTATGCCAGTATCATGCTGTTTGGGTTACTATAGCTCTGAGGTATAATTTGAAGTCAGGAATGTCCTTCCTCTGGTATTGGTCTTTTTGCTCAGAATGGCTTTGGCTATTCTGGGTCTTTTATGGTTTTATATAAATTTTAGGATTTGTTTTATTTCTTTGAAGAATGTCATTGTTATTTTGATAGGAATTGCAATGTATCTATATTTATAGATACATTGTTTATATGTATAGATACATTTTCTTTGGGTAGTATGGCCATTTTAATGATATTGATTCTTCCAATCCATTATCATGGAATATCTTTCCTTTTTTGGCGTCCTCTTCAATTTCTTTCATCAGTGTTTTTTAGTTTTCATTGCAGAGATCTTTCACTTCACTGGCTAAGTTAATTCCTAGGTATTTAACTTTTTGTGGCTATTGTAAATGGGATTACTTTTTAAATTTCCTTTTCAGATTGCTCAGAGTTGGCATATAGAAATGCTACTGATTTTTGTTTGTATGTTGATTTTTTGTCCTGCAACTTTACTAAATTTGTTTATCAATTCTAATATGGTTTGGGTAGAGTCTTTAGGTTTTTCCAAATATAAGATCATATCATCTGTTAACAAGGATAACTTGACTTCTTCCTTTCCAATTTTGTGCCTTTTTTTTTCTTGTCCAATTGCCCTATCTAGGACTTCCAGTACTATGTTGAATAACAATGGTGAAAGTGGGCATCCTTGTTGTGTTCCAGGTCACAGAGGAAAGGCTTTCATTTTTTTCCCATTCAGTATGATAGTAACTGTTGGTCTGTCATATAAATGGCTTTTATTATATTGAGGTATATTCCCTCTATATCCAGTTTTTTGAGTTTTTTTATCATAAAAGGATATTGCATTTTATCAAATACCTTTTCAGCATCAATTGAAATGCTCATATAGTTTTTATTCTTCATTCTGTTGATATGATGTATCATGTTGACTGATTTGCATATTTTGAGCCATTCTTGCATCTCAGAGGTAAATCCCACTTGTCATGATAAACGATCTTTCTGATGTACTGTTGAATTCAGTTTGCTAGCATTTTGTTGAGGATTTTTGGATGAGTATTCATCAGAGATATTGGCTTGTAGTTTTCTCTTTATAATATGTCTTTGTCTGGTTTTGGTATGAGGGTAATACTGGCCTTGTAGAATGAGTTTGGAAGTAGCCCCTCTTCTATTTTTTGAAATAGTTTGAGAAGGACTGGCATTAGTTCTTTAAATGTTTGGTAGAATTCAGCAGTGAAGCCATCAGGTCTTCAGTTTTTCTTTTCTGGGAAACTTTTTATTATGGCCTCAATCTTGTTACTTGTTATTGGTCTGTTCAGATTTTGAGTTTCTTCCTGATTCAATCTTGGTCAGTTGTATGTATCTAGGAATTTGTCAATTTCTTCTAGATTTTCCAATTTATTGGCATGTAGTTACTCATAGCAGCCACTAATAGCCCTTTGGATTTCTGCAGTATCAGTTGGAATTTCTCCTTTTTCATTTCTGATTTTATTTATCTGGATCTTCTCTCTCTTTTTTTAAGTTACTATGGCAAAAGGTTTGTCAATTTTCTTTAGCTTTTCAAAAAATCAGCTTTTTGTTTCATTGTTCTTTTATATATTTTTAATTTCAATTTCATTTATTTCTGCTTTGTTCTTTATTATGTTTTTTCTTCTACTAAATCTGGGTTTGCTTTCCTCTTTCTTTTCTAGTTCTTTAAGATGAATTGTTAGGTTATTTATTTGAAGTTTTTCTTTTTTTTTGATGTAGGCACTTATAGCTATAATTTCGTCTCTCACTACTGCTTTTGCTGTATCCCGTAGGTTTTGGTATGTTATGTTTCTATTATCATTTGTTTCAAGAAATTTTTCAATTACCTTCTTAATTTTTTCATTGACCCAGTGGTTGTTCTGGAGCATATTGTTTAATTTCTGTGTGTTTGTATAGCTTCCAAAATTCCTCTTGTTATTGATTTCTAATTTTGTTCTATTGCAGTTAGAGAAGATGCTTGATATTATTTCAATTTTTTGAATGTTTTAAGACTTGTTTTGTTACCTAACATAACGTCTGTCCTTTAGAATGATCCATGTGCTGAGAAGAAGAATGTGCGTTCTGCGGCTGTTGGGTGAAATATTCTGTAAATATCTATTGGGTCAATTTGTTCTATAGTGGAGATTAAGTCTGATGTTTCTTTGTTGATTTTCTGTTTGGAAGACCTGTTCAATGCTAAAAGAGAAATGTTGAAGTCTCCAGCTATTATTGTATTGAAGCCTATCCCTTTCTTTAGCTGGAATAATATTTGCATTATCTATCTAGGTGCTCTGGCTTTGGGAGCATATATATTTATACTTGTTGTATCTTCTTGCTAAACTGAATACTGTATCATTATGAAATGCCCTTTCCTGTTTCTTCTTACAGTTTTTGTCTTAAAATCTATTCTGCCTGATATAATTATAGCTACTCCTGGTACTTTTTATTTTCCATTGGCATGGAGTATCTTTTTCCATCTTTTTATCAGTCTACATGTATCTTTATAGGTGAAGTGTGTTTCTTGTGGGCAACAGATCATTGGGTATTTTTTGTTTTTTAATCCATTCAAGCACTCTGTGTCTTGATTGGAGAGTTTATTTCATTTGCAATCAGTGCTAGTATTCATAAGTAAGGACTTACTCTCTCCAGTTTGTTATTTATTTTCTGATTGTTTTGTGGTCTTCTCTTCCTTCTTTCCTTTCTTCCTGTCTTCCTTTTAATGAAGGTGATTTTTTTCTGGCAGTATGATTTTATTTTTTGTGTATTCACTGTATGTTTCTCGATTTGAGGTTATCATGAGGCTTGCAAATACTAACTTACAACCATTATTTTGAACTGATGACAGCTTAACACTGGTTGCAAAAACAAACCAGCTAAAAGAAAATTAATAAAAACTTTACAATTTAACTCTGTTAGTCCACTTTTCAACTTCTTGTTTTTTGTCTCTTCATGTCTTATTGTATTCTCTATGTCTTGAAAAGTTGTTGTAGTTATTATTTTTGATTGGTTTATCAACTTAGTCTTTCTACTTAAGATTAGAGTAGTTTATACACCACAAATACAAATTTATAATGTTCTGTGTTTTTCTGTGGGCTTACTATTACCAGTGAGTTTTGTACCTTCAAGATGATTTCTTATTGCCCATTTACATATTTTTTCTGACTGAACAACTTCCTTTAGCATTTTTGGTAAGAGAGGCCTGATGTTGATAAAATTTCTCAGCTTTTTTTTTTTGTCTAAAAAAGTCTTTATTTATTCTTCATGCTTGAAGGATATTTTTGCCAGATATACTATTCTAGGGTGAAAGCTTTTTCCCTTCAGCACTTAAAATTTGTCATGCTACTCTCTCTTGGCCTATGAAGTTTGTACTGAAAAGTCTGCTGCCAAACTTATTGGAACACTTGTATGTTATTTGTTTCTTTTCTTTTGCAGCTTTTCTAATCTTTTCATTATCCTTTGCCTTTGGGAGTTTGGTTTTTAAATGACTTGAGGTAGTCTTCTTTGGACTCAATCTTCTTGGTGTTATATAATCTTTTTGTATTTGAATATTGATATCTTTCTCTAGGTTTTAGAAGTCCTTTTATATTATCCCTTTGAATAAACTTTCTACCCCTATGTCTTTCTCTGTCTCCTCTTTAAAGCCAATAACTCGGATTTGCCCTTTTGAGGCTATTTTCCAAATCTTGTATGTTGGCTTCATCCTTTTTTATTCTTTTTTTTTCTTTTGTCCCTTCTGTGTATTTTCAAATAGCATGTCTTCAAGCTCACTAATTCTATCTTCTGCCTGATTAATTCTCCTGTTAAGAGAGTCTGATACATTCTTCAGTATTTTAGTTGCATATTTTCATTCTAGAATTTTTCTTTGATTCTTTTTATTTCAATCTCTTTGTTAAATTTATCTGATAAAATTCTGAGTTCCTTCTATGTGCTATCTTAAATTGCTTTGAGTTTCTTTTCTCAAAGCAGCTAATTTGAATTCTCTCTCTGAAAGGTGACATATCTCTGTGTTTCCAGGTTTGGCCCTTGGTATTATTCAGTTCATTTGGTGAGGTCATGTTTTCCTGGATAATTTTGATGCTTGTGGAGGTTTGTTTGTGTCTGGACTTTGAAGAGTAAGGTATTTATTATAATCTTCACAGTCTGGGCTTATTTATACCTGTTTTTCTGGGGAAGGCTTTCCACGTATTCAAAGGGACTTGAGACCCAAGCCCAATAGTACTGTAGTTCTTGTAGACTCATAGAATTACCACCCTGATGGTCTTGGATAATATCCAATCCAGAAAAATGCTCTGGATTACCAGGCAGAGAATCTTGTTCTCTTTCCTTATTTTTTCCTAAAAAAGGGAGTCTTTCTCTCTGCTGTGCTGCCTGGAGCTAGAGGTGGAGTGATGCAAGTACCACTGTGACCACCAGCACTGAGATTGTACTGGGTCAGGCCTGAAGCCAGCACAGCAGTGGATCTCACTCAAAACCCACATAACCACTACCTGGCTACCACCTATGTTTACTATAGGTCCTAGGGCTCCTCCCTTCAGGGCAGCAAGTTCCTTCAGTCCCCAAGTTGGTCCACAGTTGCTATCTGGGAGCTAGGGACTGGAGTCAAAAACCTTGGAAATCTACCTAGTGTTCTATTCTACTTCAGCTAAGTTGGCCTCAAACCACAAGAAAAAGTTTTCTCTGATCTTCCCTCCCCTTTCCATATGCAGAGAAACCTATCCTGGTGGCCACCACCACAGGCCCATGGGGAGTTCTGGCAGACCACCACCAATGTTCACATAAAGCTCAAGGGCTCTTCAGTCAGCTTGTGGTGAATGGTGGTGGGCCTGAGACTCACCCTTCAGGGCAGTGGGCTCTCCTTTGGCCCAGGGCATGTCCAGAAATGCTATCCAAGAGTCTACTTAGATGTGGGGACCCAAAACGCCTGCTTGGTGCTCTACCCCAGTGTGGCCAAACTAGTATCTGATTTTTGATTCTTATTATGGTACTTTTTTGTATGTAGTTAGTTGTTAAAATTTGGTTTCTGGGGGGTGGGTAGGGATGATTGGTGGCAGCTACTATTCACCCGTCTTGCTCTGCCCCTCTACTAAAGGTTAGTTTTAAGCAGGAGTGGCATGGAGAGGGCACAGAGATTTAAAAATGTTCTATATTGAAAATTATACAGTTAGCTACAGAATGGATAATGACTTTGGAAAAATTCTGAAGTAAATGAGAGGACCAGTTAGAAGTCTATCTCATTAATTCAAGTGAGAGGTGGTGGCTCCTTAGACAGGGCAGTGAACAAAAATTCAGGGGGAAAAAAAGACGTGAATGAATCCCCCCAAAATTTTTTAGTGCAAAATGAAAAGAATGTTTGAAAGACTGGCTATGGGAAGTGAAGGCAAGAATGACTAACATTAGAAGAAGACCAGGTTTTTTGTTGTTTTGTTTTTGATTGTATTTGTTTGTATTTGTTTTATTTTTGTTACATGGGGAATATGAAGTGAGAGCAGTGTGAGTTTGGCTTTAGATACTTTTAGGTGTTCGTTCTTATTATATTTATTAAGTCAGCTCAAGTACCAGGCATTTGTCTAGGCTCTTGAGATATATCAACGAAAACAACAGACAAACCATCACTGTCCTCTTGGAGCTTACACTCTTGTGATAGGAGGTGGACAACAAAAATTAAGTACCATAAATAAGTAAATCATATAGTGTCCTGTAAAGTGGTTGCAATGGAAATAGAAATATAGAAGGATAAGAAGGATTGAAGCCATCAAAGTGAGGAGGATACAATGTTAAATAGTGTAGTTATAGTAGTCTTCATGGAGAAAGTCATGTTTAAGCAAAGATTTGAAGAAAGTAAATTAGCTAGTGATGTGAACATCTGAGGGTGGAGTATTCAGACAGAGGGAAAACCCAGTACAAAGACCCTGGAGCAAAAGCTTGATTGACATGTTTATGTCCAGGCAACAGCAAGAAGGCTGTGGGAATTGAATGGAGTGAGTGAGGGAGAGAATAGTAGGAATCGTGTCTGAAATTAATGAGTGGGTGTCCATATTGTATAGGACCTTGCGGGCCCTTGTAAAGTGCCTTGTGGGCTCTTATTTTAATTATATGAACTTTGGTTGAGTTTGTGGTGTCTTTTACTTGTTCCAGTGGAAATGTCACTTGTCAGTCTGAAACTTAGGGGAGAAGTCATGGATGGATATGGATGATTTTTGATTCATCTCTAGGTAGAAATTAAAGCCATGGATATGGAAGATATTATCTAGAACAGGGTCCGGCAAATGTCCTGGGACAAATTGGGCATGCTGATTGATTTTGTGAATACAGTTTCATTGGAACACAGCCATGCCTATCAATGTACATATTGTCTGGGGCAGCTTTCATTCTACAACAGTAGATTTGAGTGGTTGCAACAGAGACTGTATGTCCCACAAAGCCTAAAATATTCACAATTTGGCTCTTTACAAAAAAACCTGGCTAACCCCTTGTGTGGAGACACAAGAACCGTTCAGAGGAAAAGCCAGCCTCTGACTGAGTCTTCGGTAATTCTAACATTTACTGTACCAGAAAAGTAAGCTGAACGTGCCAAGGAAAAAGAAATCAAACAGCTAGAGGAGTAGGTGAAAAAACAGCACAGATTTCACAGAAGTTAAAGATGAAGGAGTTTCTGTTTTTAAACTGTGATCAATTAAGAGCAGGACTGAGCACTCTTCTTTGGATTTAACAACTTGAAGATCATTGGTTTTCTTAGTGCAAGCTGTTTCAGTGGAGGGTTGAGGGTTAGAATTATAGTCAAATGGAAGTGGCTTGAGGATTGGATGAGACATGAAGAAACTATATATAAGGATTTTAAACATCTTTTTGATATGTTTTTCAAGAGGAGGATAAAGGCAACACTGTAGCTGGAGATAAGTGTTGGAGACAAGAGAGGGTTTTATTGTATTTCGTTTCTAATTTGTTGTTTACACTGGAGTAAATTCAACTTAATTAAAAGTTAGTGGAAGAATTCGAGGAGGAGAGGTTAACTGTTGCAGAAAGAAGGGCTAAAAATAGGGTTAATTTTTTCAGATGGTCAGAAGGGATGGAATTGAAGCATATGTTGCAGGAACTTGGACAAGCCTCATCCTGCAGCGGAAGAGGAAGAAAGGAAGGATTTTAGAGGATGGAAAATTATTATGTCTGAGAATGGGAAGACGAAAATGTTCCTTTCTGTTAGCTTCTATTTTCTCTTTGCAACAGAGGTAGAAACTTGGAGAGTGAGAGCAAGAGTTGAATAGAGGAGCAGAAGTCTTGATAGTCAATGTTGAGAACTCATCTTGGCTTGAACATGGGGTTGTAATGTTGGGTGTTTTCTTTTTTCTTTTTTTTCTATTTGTGCTCAGCAACTCTGTTGCAGGAATGGAGAACACATTTGCTTGGGGTCTTTCAGTGTTAGGGGTTTGAAAGAGACAAGAGGCAAAACATTGAAGAAAAAATGAGTTTAGGTTTTATAGTCAGTGTTACTTGAATGACATATTCTGGATTCCTAAGATAAAAAGTGAAGAGTGGAGTGTAGATGACTGTAAGGTTGAAATGGGAGTAATTTAATAAGCAAAATGGAAGAAACAAGTTTTGATTAGAGAAGTGGATGCTTGACTTAGGGATTGATTTTGCAATGTGGAGAAGTCTACCATATAACCAAGTTCAAGGAATAAACTTGAGTGGATTAGAGAGGATCATTTGTAGGTGAAGAGGCTAAAGAAGTGAACTAAAGTGTTCAATAAATCATTCTTGGGGAATTGGAGGTAATGGGAGTTGATGCTAGAATTCTGGCAGAGCCTGGGTTGACTATAAAGAGAATGGGATAGAATATTTAATGACTGAAAGTGTATGGGACAGACTACTTGATTACTGAAGAGAAATAAATTGGAGGTCAATAGGTAATATTTAGAGAACAGTGCACTCTAAGTGTAGAAACTTCAAAGGAGGCAGTTTAGTTTTAATAGGGGGAGCAAAAAGATGCCACTGGGATTCAGAAGGACAGTATCTGTACTTCTTTATCTAGAGTTAAAATAGATGTGAGAAAATAATCATGTATCATTTACAAAGGCATCAAGGGAGATGAAGTGCCAACCAAGACAAGAAGGTAGTTAGTATATGGCACATACACACACACACAGCAGTATGAACAGTTTCAGAGGGTACAGCAGAATGGTTTGTAAATGGGAGCCTGAGAGAAGAGTAAGGGATTACACAGGATTATGTGATGCTGACACAATAGAGCAGATTTTGATTCAGGGGTCACTTTGAAATAGGTAGGCAATCAGTCTACATCTAATAAGTCACCTATCCTATGTCAAAACAACGTCAAAATCCAGACATTATTAAAAATACACTCAACATCTATCGTTATTTCTATTCTTGATTATACCTCTACTGTCTTAATTTAGATCACCATATCTCTCATTTGCATATCTTGCCATATTCTCCTAACCAGCCTCCAGGTCTCCACTCTTGATCCCTTTTAACTCGTGCTCTAAAACACTTCTTGAATAAACTTTACATAAGTCAGTTTGATCATACAATTGCTCTTAAAATGCCTGTTACAGCCTTCCCAACACAAGGTTCTGCTTAATAGGGTGCCATTTGTTCCCAAATCTCTTCTTTCCTTCCATCAGGAATGTTATGCTTTATCAATATAGGACCCATGTATTCCAGAATTTACCATGCTACTTTTTAATCCCTGAGTGTTTGCTCAGGCATATTCTCTGTCTGGAACTTCCCCTTTCTCTCTCCTGTGAGACATTTTCTCTCCTACAGTCAAGCATCTAGCTCAAACCTTTCCTTGTTTTTAGTTTTCCAGGAAGAATTCATCAATCCCTCCTTTGTAGCTTGTGTATATGTCTATTCAAATTGCTTTGACAAATGTTTGTTGAATTTATTTTTTTTCTTTACGGTTTTTCCTACTAGACAATAAACTCCTTGAATAACAGAGGACCTGGAATGTTGTCTGTAACACAGAAGATTCTTAATAAAGGCCTGCCAACTTGAAGTGGACTTAACACACCTGCTCTTGCCATAAGCACATTGTTTTCAAGTAAGTTTTCTCTCTTTTGCCTCCACTCTTGAAATACAAATTGACCTCTCAGAATTTTTCCTCTAATGCCCTTGTAGGAAAATGTTAATAACTGGTCAGTGACAAGTGTGATTAAGCCTTCCCTTTTCTCTTATTTAGACTGGTGTCACTGCACTGGCTCTGAGAGAGCTGTAAAGAACATTAACACTGCATCCACCTTGACAGAACAAACCATTCCCTAGAAATTGATAAGGGTTTTTTTTCTGGAAATGAATTTGGTGGTGGCAAAACAAACGGCTGCCTCAATTGCCATCCATCTCCCTTCCTTTAATAACTTTCATTTATTTTACTATGTCCCTTTCTCCGATTACTGTAATGAATGCATTTATCTTTGAAGGATGGGGATTAGCAGAATTTTCGAACACTGAGGAGAACAATGTCCCTTATCCAAGCCCTTTTCCATACTTTAAAGTGGTATTGTTTGGGGATCTTGGTTAACCTCTTAGAATTCTGGTTCCTATTTGTCTAAAAGGAATCTATGGTCCTGAAAAATAATTTAAAGGCAAATTTTAATTCCTTGGCTGGGATCAAATATTCATACTTGTAGTATTAAAGACATTTTCAAGATGGTTTCATGTGAATGTTGTTGGATGATATGATTAAAGAATAAAAGAATCTCTCCCTTCTGGTCCTTGGGGAAAATAAAATTCAACCAATTGGTATCTTAAAACCATGAGTTTAATAAATCTGGCAAATGTATATCAGACAAGCATTTGTAAACACAAATTGCTTATTAGAAAATGCGGCTCTCTTGTTCCTTTGAATTTCATTTGTCAACAAGGAGTTAAGAAAAGGAATAAACCAACACATATTGTTGCAGTGAAAGGTTTACCCATTTTAACCTTGATTTAAAAATTTTCCATTTTTTTAAACAAAAATTGATGCTTAGTAGGCCTCAAGCATCCTTTTTGTTTCTCTAGAAAATGAGAAAATTTAGGCCTCAGCAGAAAAATAAAAGATTACAAAATATTGTTCATCTTTTTAAACGCTCTGACTTAGTTAGATTCTTTCAGGCAAATAATTTGAAAAATAATTGAATCAGGAAAAGAAAAATACACCAAAAAACAAGAGTAAAGCAAATAACCAAAACAATAACAACCACAGTCTTATCATTTCCCCAACTTAACCCAACTGAAAGTCTTCCATAAAACTTCTCAATGGAATGATTTTTTAAAGAATTTTAATGTTTAATTAAAAAATGTAATTATACAAGTAGTCTGGGGTCACCTACAATCTCTGATGACCACCCCCTTAAATGAAAATAATTTTTCATGCCTTATACTATTTTACACCTAGAAAATAGGAATAACCAAATAATTCAGTTTTCCAAGACATTCTCCAGTATCCTTGTGACATACTTTTGACAGACACTTAGTAAGAACTCACAGCCCCATCCTGAAAATAAGAAAACTTGTAAGTGAAGGGGTTTTAGTACCAGGTCACTAATTTCAACTAGGAACAGAGGTCGGGAACATGAATATGTGGGTGAATTGTTTCATGTGACTCATAACACTATTTATTTAATAGGTTATTCTGCATTCATATGCCAGCTGCTAAATAGAATGCAATGATGCCTTATTAATCCAGAATGATCAGAGACAAAGTGTCATACAAAAATATTCAGACGATAATTATACCTCACACTCATACAGAGCTTTTCCATATGCACGAGGCTCACATTCATTATTTTACTTCATCCTCACAACTTCTGTCATTGCACAGTTGTGAGCAAACTGAGATTAAGAAACTTGCCCATGTTTACAAAATCCCTTGTCATCAGGGGTGAGGTTTGAGCCTTGGTAATTTAACTTACAGTCAAATGTTCAAAAAAACAAAACAAAACAAAACAAAACAAAACTTCAAGGAGCTGTCAAACATAAAAATTATCTGCACAAGTGCCAGAATAAGTTTTAATCTAAAGTTGTTTTTCAAAATCCTTTAAACATTTATTATTCCTTTCCTGGTATTAACAGAAAAAGGGCACTGAATAAAATTTAAACTCTTTTTGTGACTCAGGATGGGCATAAGTAATTTCTATGATTTGTTTTGCTGAGGTAAATAGAGGTCTACATCTATTTTTTAGTGTTTCTTTCCTATTTCTCAATAGCAGTTTGTCAAATATCACCTCTCCTGATACGTGTGCTACCTTCAAAGAGCTTTTCCTTTTCTTTCCCATTTCATCTTCTAATGTTATACTTCTCATATACTGTAGGCAGAGAGGTTAGGTCATTAATCTTATTAAATGTGTTGGCCATAGTAATAGGTAAGGCAAATCAGTGAGAGACTAAAACTGTCAAACTTTAGTGTACATAAACACTACTTGGGGAGTGTGTAAAATACAAATTCATGGAACCTACTCACAGAGATTCTGGTTTGATAGATCAGGATGGAGCGCAGAAATCTGCATTAATAATTTTAATTCTTTATTTTAGATACAGGAGGTACATGCGTAGGATGGTTACACGGGTATGTTGGACCGAGGTAATGAGCATAGTACCCAATTACACGGGTATGTTGGACCGAGGTAACGAGCATAGTACCCAACAGGTAGTTTTTGAATCCGTCTTCCCCCGCTTCCTTAGCGGTCCCCAGTGTCTATTGTTCCCATGTTTATGACCATGTGTGCTCAATGTTTAGCTCCCACTTATAAATGAGAACATGTGATATTTTGTTTTCTGTCCCTGCATTAATTCGCTTAGGATAATTGCCTCCAGCTGCATCCATGTTGCTGCAAAAGACATTATTTCATTCTGTTTTATGGCTGCATGCAGTAATCCATGGTGTATATAGACCACTTTTTTTTTTTTATCCAATCCACCATTGATGCACACCCAGGTTGATTCCATGTCTTTGCTATTGTGGTAGTGCAGCGATTAACATAAGCATGCATTGTCTTTCTGATATAATGATTTCTTTTCCTTTGGGTATATAGCCAGTGATAGGATTGCTGGGTTCAATAGTAGCTCTGTTTTAAGTTCTTTGAGAAATCTTCAAACTGCTTTCCACGGTGGTTGAACTAATTTGCACTCCCACCAACAGTGTATCAGCCTTCCTTTTTCTCTGCAGCCTCACCATCATCTATTGTTTTTAGACTTTTTAATAATTGTCATTCTGACTGGTGCGAGATGGTATCTTATTGTGGTGTTAATTTTCATTTCTCTGATGATTAGTGATGATGAGCATTTTTTCATGTTCGTTCATTGTGCATATGCCTTCTTTTGAGAAGTGTCTGTGTCCTTTGCCCGCTTTTTAATGGGTGATTTGTTTTTTGCTTGTTGAATTGTGTAGGTTCCTTATATATTCTGCATAGTAGAACTTTGTCAGATGCATAGTTTGTGAATATTTTCTTCCATTCTGTAGGTTGTCTGTTTACTCTGTTGATAGTTTCTTTTGCTGTGCAGAAGTTCTTTAGTTTAATTAGGTCCCACTTGTCAATTTTTGTTTTTGTTGTAATTGCATGTTAACCAACCTCCCAAGTATTTCTGAAGGAAGTGTTCTCCTGTCCAGAGTTTAATGAACACTAATTTAGAAGCAAAATTTATATGGTTCATGAGTGAAATAAATTACATCAATTTCCTTATCTTTTAAAATGTTTACTTCAGATTCTAGGAGAGACAACATGACCCACACGGAGTACATAGAATTTGGAGTCAATAACATCTGGATTGAAATTCAGCTCTGTTCCTTTCAAGTTGAGTGACCTGGGCAAAGTTTCTTAACTCCTCTAATCCTCCATTGCATCACCTGAAAAGTAATTCCTCATCTTCTCATGTCATGAGGTTGTTGTATCTGATCAAATGAGATAGTGCCTGTAAACATATTTTCATATACTATACAATTTCATACAATTGTTTAGAGTTTTATAGTTTGTTGTTGCCAGAAGATGTATTGATACATCAGTAATTGCTTTTCTGAAGTTATATGGCTTTTCAGTTGAAATGGCCAAACTGCTGCTGTACTATAATTACTGTCTGCATTAGCAAACAACATGTAACATTCAAGGCTAGACTCTGGCCACCAGAATTTCAGGACACATCAGGAGACAATTTTGCTTGAGATTCTGCTAGAAAGTGGAAGAAAAAAAATAAGGAATTCAAGCAAGAAGAGCCTTCCCTCAGAGAAATAGAAATTGCGAGGTATTATTGCAGCAGATTCTTCCTCCAGGTTCAGCACCTGCTCAATCACCCAACCCTCCCAATTTGAATAAGTGATTAACAACTCATTAACAGATCATTCGCTAAATCAGCCCAATGTAGTGAGGAGGGCCCAGGTTCAATAATTTTCCTGGATTATCATCAAATGTAGATTCAAAATTAAATGTCTTATAAGAATGCTAGTATTTATGCTATTTTTCTATCAGCATAGAGTAAAGTGGTTTGTGGAAAATGACTCTTTCCTTTACATTGAGGGCAACATTATTATTGTCCTGTATTGTACCCTTCTGAGTAAAATTTGGGAAGAGTCTGATCCCCTAACTCCATTTCCATCTCAGAGTT
Organism: Homo sapiens; assembly: GCF_000001405.40. Lineage (NCBI taxonomy): Eukaryota > Metazoa > Chordata > Mammalia > Primates > Hominidae > Homo > Homo sapiens. Next base: position 127,432,503 of record NC_000011.10, read on the forward strand.
TCCCAACTTGTTGGGTGGATTCATGATTGCTGCTGGACCATTGGCAATTTCAGTTTTATGTCTACTCCCAACAGCCTCTTGTGTTGGTCAAAACAGGTCAGATGTTGATTTTGGTTACTCAATGACCATTCTCCGCACTTCATATGAGAAATTAACCTTTTCCCCATGTTTACAGTCTGATGAAAAGATGACACACAACACAAATGAAGCCAGTTGGAGTCTACCATCTTGAATACAATTTCTTAAGCAGAGATTTAAAAAGATTGATAATGGTTGTCATTCCAATTCATTACAGAAGTAGGTTTAGGTTCTAATCAGTTGTGGTTTCTGCCTTTACAAGTGCCTTGGCTTCTGCCTGCATCCAAGCCTGAGTCTCCAGTTTCCCCTTGCTTCTGTGAGTCCTCATTATCTTTCCCATGCATTGCCTTTGCCTAAACTATACTGAGTCCATTTCTGTTGCTTTCAACCAAAGAATTCTAACAGATAATGTGGGCGTTTGAGCTCCTACTTTCACACTGGTGGAGAGAAACTGAGATTTTTTTGTTTGTTTGATTTTTGAGACAGAGTCTCACTCTGTTGCCCAGGCTGGAGTGCGGTGGCATAATCTCAGCTCACTGCAACCTCTGCCTCCTGGTTCAAGCGATTCTCCTGCCTCAACCTCCCGAGTAGCTGGGATTACAGGTGTGCACCACCACATCTGGCTAATTTTTGTATTTTTAGTAGAGACGGAATTTCACCATGTTGGCCAGGCTCATCTCGAATTCCTGACCTCAGGTGATCCTCCTGCCTCAGCCTCCCAAAATGTTGGGATCACAGGTGTGAGCCACTGTGCCTGGCTGAGTTAATTCTTAAACTTGGAATCAGTGCTCTCATTGTTCCTACTTAGATGGCTTGCTGTTTGAAAGACTTCTTCATCTCAGACATTGCCACTGCTATCCATTCACTGGCACATTCCAGAAAACTGGAAGGCATTTTTAATTCCTTTCTTCATCAACCCCTGCCTTTAGCCATCAACAGGTCTGATCATTTCACCTCCAGATGATAGGTAGACTCTGTTCATTTGTCTCAATCTTCATTGCCATTCTTGCCCTTCTGTGGAATACTTTTCACACAGCAACCACACAATCCACATTTTTAGCATAAGTTGGATAATCTCACTAGACTACATAAATACTTTCAATAACTTCCTACTGCACTTAGAATTAAATCCCGTGTGACCTACTTACTCACTGAGATCTTTTCCTAGCCTCCTCTCTTGCCATTCCCCTTGCAGGGGTGCTTTAGCAAAACTGCACCCCATTCAGATCCTTGGACTACCTGAGCTATCTCAGTTTAGGGTTTATTAAACTACCCTGCTATTTCCTCTTCACATGAGTCTTTCCTTTTTGTCCTTCAGGTATTAGTTTAATCACCTCCACAGAGAGTCCTTCTGTGATCTTCCTATTCAAATAAATTTTGTTTCCTTTAAAGGACTCATAAACTTATAATTGCATATATATTTGTTCCTTTACTAATTTATTGTCTATAATCTCCATTCATAGGATAAGCATAAATTATAGTCTGTTTGGAACAGTTCTATTCTGTATCTGCTGTCCCGGCAAATTATTAAAGGTGCTCTCTTTCACTCTAAAAGTGTCCAGGTTTAGTCAGTAAATTAAAGGGTCACCCCAGTCTTTAGACTATAAGCATTATAAAATCAAAGACTAATGCTTTTCCTTCTTCTTTAATTTCATCAAGGCATATCAAGTTTCGAAAAGAAAAACTCTCTTGAGGACCTCACTAATCCATGAGTAAATTATCATCATCAAAATCTTCACAAAAGGGATATTCCAGAACACTATAACACTCAGGTGTTACAATGTTTATAACTCACCTCTACTTTACTGTGGCCCATGAGATTTATTTTTCCCTCTCTCCCCTATGAAAACTTTTATTTCTCCATTCATCCTAAACTGCTGAAATTAGGCTAAACAAATCACTAGATTAAAAAAAATGACACCGTGCTTCTCTTATCCTTATTCGCCACTCATCTCTCCCTCTCTCTCTCTCTCTCTCTCTCTCTCTGTCTCACATTTTAAAAAACTATATACCATTTTTATCAGGCCACCTGAATTTCTTCCCTCTTTGTCTTCTAAAATGCACTCATCTCTCTATATGCTCTCTTTAAATTTATACTTTGACTTCTAGGTCTACACTCTTGATTCCCTCCCACCCTATTTTCAACAACTGGGGCCTTCCAGCAAGGTAATTGAAAGTATTAATGGGTTTTATAACACTAAGATCCAGATTACCATCATTACTATGCCACTTTCTAGCTTTGTGACCTTGAGTGGGTTACTTCAACTTTCAAATCTTTAATTTCCTCATTTTTGTAATGAACATAATATTAAAGCGTTATCTTTGAGGATTAAATTCTATCAATATGTCATCCTAAAACAAGCTAATCATATAGTTGAGGGCCATTATTATTGTCATCGTGACTCTTGTGTGAAGCATTTAGCACAGTGCTTGGGACAGGTAGATCCTCTATACTTGCTGTTGTTATAGTCCATGGCGTCGGCATTCATCCTGATCACCAACATGACACCCAAGAACTCTCACATTCTCCACCTCCTTCATCTTCACTTAATCTTGACTTGAGTCTTACAGGACCAACACCAACAGACTCCAAATCTCATCTTTACTCACAATGGCACTTCAGCAAACATTTAAATGATCACTTTCCCTTTTTCTTTCCTGTCTTTCTTCGTTTCTTCATTCCTTTCTATTTACCCAAGTTCCTTTTTTCCTGATATTTGTATCTATACCAGCCTACTTTCAAAAACGGTCTTGTGGGCCGGGTACAGTGGCTTGTGCCTGTAATCTCAGCACTTTGGGAGGCTGAGGCGGGTGGATCATGAAGTCAGGAGTTTGAGACCAGCCTGACCAACATGGTGAAACCCTGTCTCTACTAAAAATACAAAAATTAGCCAGGCATGGTGATGCGCACCTGTAATCCTAGCTACTCAGGAGGCTGAGGCAGGAGAATTGTTTGAACCTGGGAAGTGGAGGTTGCAGAATGCTGAGATCATGCCTTTGCACCCCAGCCCAGGAGAGAGGGCGAGATTCCATCTCACAAAAACAAAACCAAAACAAAAATAGTCTTATGTTGCTTAACAAAGGAAATACATTCTGAGAAATGCCTCATTAGGCAATTTCATTGTTTTGCAAACATCGTAGAGTATACCTCACTAATCTACATGGTATAGCCCAATACGCACTTAGGCTATATGATATAGCTATTGTTCTTAGGCTATAAACCTGTACAGAATGTTACTGTACTGAATATTGTAGGCCATTTTAACATAATGGTATTTATGTATCTAAACATAAAAAGGTACAGTAAAAATATAATATAAAAGTTAAAAAATACTACACCTGTATAGGGCACTCACCATGAATGGAGCTTGCAGGACTGAAAGTTGCTCTGGGTGAGTCAGTGAGTGAGTTGTGAGTGAGTGTGAAGGCCTAGGATATTTTACAGTACACTATTGTAGACTTTGTAAACACTATACACTTAGGCTATACGAAAATTATAAATAATTATTTGTATTTCTTCCATAACAAATTAATCTTAGCTTACTGTAACATTTTCTACTTCATAAGCTTTTAATTTAACTTCCTGATTTTTCAAATAACATTTAGCTTAATCATGAACACATTCTATAGCCGTACAAAAATAATTTTCTTTCTGTATATCCTTATTCTATAAGATTATTTTTATTTTTAAAACTTTTTATTTTATTTTTTTACTTCTTAAACTTTTTGTTAAAAAGCAAGACACAAACATGTTAGCCTACACCTACACAAGGTCAGAACCATCAGTATCACTGACTTCCACCTCCACATCTTGTCCCAGTGGAAGGTCTTCAGGGACAGTAACGCCCATGGAGCTGTCATCTGTGATAACAATGCCTTCTTCTGGAAACCTCCTGAAGGCCCCGCCTGAGGCTGTTTCACAGTTGGCTTTTTATAAGTAGAAGTACACTCTAAAATAATGATAAGAGTATGGTATAGTAAATACATAAGTCGGTAACATAGTCATTTATTATTATTATTGAGTATTAGGTACTGTACATAATTTATATGACCAACAGCACAGTAAGTGTGTTTACACCAGCATCACCACAAACACGTAAGCAATGTATTGCACTATGATATTATGATGGCTACAACGTCACTAGGTGATAGGAATTTTTCAGCTCCCTTATAATCTTATGGGATCAGCATTGTGTATGTGGCCCACTGTTGATGGAAAGTTGTTATGCAGCATGTGACTATACATTTTTTTAATCTCCAGAGAGTTAGTTTAAAAAAAAATCCTTATGGAGAGTATAATTTTTTTAAAAAAGATGAGAAGTAATGTAAATAAATAAACTTGGATACCTCTTAGAATATTAGTGAATTCATAACTACTGCAATCCTTATCTTATAGGCAGCCACTGAGACGGCCCTGGTGATCCTGCCTCTCTGTATTTATACCCTTGAGTATTCCCCTGCCTTTGAGTGTGGGTTGGACCTAGTGACTTCTTCTAACCAATAGGATTAGGAGAATGTGATGGAAAATCAACTTCTATGATTCGGTAACAAGTCAACAAGTTAGTAACAAGAAGAGGTTGAGATTGTAACTTCTGTGTTGCTAGCCAGCTCCCTCGTCTTATTGGGTTGCACACTTAGATGACGCAAGCTGTCATGCCAGAGATACCACATAATAAGGAACTGAGGGCACCCTTTGGCCAATATCCAGCCAAGAAAAGAGGACCTTAGCTTACCAGCCCATGGGAAACTGAATCCTGCAAACACTCACAGGAGCTTGGAAATAGAATCTCCTCCCCAATGAAAGCTTTGTGATGACCACAGCTCAGCCAACACTTTGACTGTAACCTGTGAAGGATGCTGAAGTAGCAGAGCCACTTAAGCCATGACAATATGTATGACATTTTGAGCTGCTAAGTTTTAGGGAAAATTTATTACATAGCAGTAGGTAACTAGCGCAACTGGTTGCCTTTTCTATTATTTCTCTCATTTCAAGTTCAAGGTGTTGAACACTGTAGATATTTTAAAATCTTGCCACCTGGAAGTCCTATAACCTTGTACTATCTAACCTTAATTTGGTCTTCACCATTGCCTGGAAGGAGCTTGCTTATTCATGATTTCCTTTCAGTGCTACTGAGTACCTTTCAAACTTTCTTCTACTGGTAGCATTCTCAGCTAACTCATCCTCTGATTTTAGTGAGAAGTTTAACCTTAGCCATCCTCAGGGATTCCAAATCCCTTCTTTTAGTGTTGATGTTTCCCTGTTTTTAACCATCCTCCTCCTTTTCTTCTGTATCAGAGGAGGGGGTGGGCCTTTTTTCTGATGACCGCCCTTCCACCTCTGCTAATGAGGCCTCTTCCCTCAAACCTCTCCCTGACATTGTTACAGCAATTAAACTTCTCCATCCTAGGTTCCATTTTTCCTGTCCCTATTCAATAACTTCTACCCCTTTGATGTAGCTATAACTACATCTCACCTATCCTATAGAAATAATAAGAATTAACCCCCAAACAGAACAAAACATCAAATGCTGACATCCTTTCTGCCCTTAAGTTCTCTTTCTGTTCTTTACCGGGCGTCGCCTATGCTTGTCCCAGATTCCTCACCTTTTCTTCATTTACCAACATTTAGCCCACTTTCAAAGTACAGCTGCTGTCCTAGTGAAAGATAATTGTCTCAACTTCTGTCACACAAACACTCCATCTCCCACAGTCTTTTTGACACTTAAAACATCCCATTTGTGTCCTCTGATCATTCCTTTTTCCCCCCAGCTCTATGCCTTCTTCTTTCTACCCACTGAAAGGGGACTCTGTCCTCAACTACTCTTTTTTTTCTTTAGTTTTAAACAAATATTCATTAAGCACCTCTGTGTCTTAGATATTGTACTAGGTACTACATCTATGTGTCATCTTCGATAGTTTTCCTTCTCCTTTTCTTCTATTCTTATTTTAGCTTTCACTGTGGCCTGAAAATCATTGTATGAATTTCATATTAACTCCTCACAGAAATCTTTGTGACTACTCATTTGTGCATTTTGTCTCCCTCAAACCTCAAATTTTGCCCCTGTCTTCATCTCTCTCAGCTTGTGGCTAAATCAGCATATCGTCTATTGCGTGACTTCTTGCATCCATTCCCTCCATTGCCTTCCACTGCTATCGCCCTAAGTCAGGCCCTTGCTACTCCCTTCCTAAGCTACTTCGTCTTCTCATAGTTTCTCCTTCTTTCTCTCAATCGATCTCTGTTCTGTTCTATTCTGTCCCTCCCTTTCCCTTCCCTTTCATCCCCCTCCATTCCTCCCCTCTCTTTCTCTTCCCTTTCTCTGACTGCTATTAGTTAGGTAGATTTGGTTTGATCTACAATATCCCTCCAAGCTCTTCTTTTCTTTTTTCTTTTCTTTTCTTGAGTTTTGTTCTGGTTGCTCAGCCTGGAGTTCATTGGCATGATCTCGGCTCACTGCAAACTCCGCCTCCAGGGTTCAAGCGATTCTCCTGCTTCAGCCTCCAGAGTAGCTGGGATTACAGGTGCCTACCACCATGCCTGGCTAATTTTTTGTATTTTTAGTAGAGATGGAGTTTCACAATGTTGGCCAGGCTGGTCTCAAACTCCTGACCTTAGGTGATCCACCCATCTCAGCCTCCCAAAGTGCTGGGATTACAGGCATGATCCACCATGCCCGGGCCAAGCATTTGTTTTCATTCCTGGTTTACCAGTGCAAGTCTCCATTCCTAAAGATTCTGAGATAATTGGTTTAAACTGGGACTTGAGCCTTGGTATTTTCAGCTTTAATATATAGCCAGAGTTTTAAAAAAATAAAAAAATAAAAAAACAAAATAAAAACACTGAATTAGCTAATTTGAGAAGTTTTAGTGTTTTCTCACCGATCATTGAAAGAAGTTCCAGTTTTTTAATGTGACATTTCAAAAGCACTATGATTCCAAACACGTTTAAAATCGTAATTCTTAGTGCATTCTCATATGGATACTTATCCAGCTGAACTACCTGTTATACTTGTATGTTACTTGACGTCTTCCATAAGTATACTTCTGCTCATAATGTTTTCATTAGCAAGCTTGATATTACTGCCCTATCCTGACTTCTCTACTTGTCAAAATCCCAGTTAATAACATTCAAAACTTTTGTAATAATAAACTCAAATAAACTCAAACCCCAGCACTCAAATATTTGGGCAAAGGACATGGATACACATACATAAAAGATAAATTGCAACTGGGTTCTGTGGCTCACTCCTGTAATCCCAGCACTTTGGGAGGCTGAGGCAGGAGGATAGCTTGAGCCCAGGAGTTCGAGACCAGCCTGGGAAACATGGCAAAATCCCACCCTTATAAAAAATACAAAAATTAGCTGGATGTAGTGACACGCGTCTGTAGTCCCAGCTACTCCTGAGACTGAGGTGGGAGGATTGCTTGATCCCAGGAGGCAGAGGCTATAGGCAGCTGAGATTGTTCCATTGCCCTTTAGCCTGGTCAACAGAATGAGAATTTATCTCAAAAGAAAAAAAAAAGGTAAATTGCTAATAGCTGAACATAAGAAAAAAATTACAAACTCAAATACAGATTTAAATGGCAATAGGATACTTATTTCAAATACAATCATTATTCTTTTAAAAAATAACATTTAGTTCTGGGAAAAAGCTTGTGAGACTAGCAACTGCATTTACTGCTACTGAAAATGTAACTTGTACTTTTGTTTTTGCCATATGTCGCAAAATGTAGTGAGAATCCTAAAATCATTTTTAATATAGTAATTCCACTCATACAAATTTATCCTAAGGAAATGATCAGAAATTCAGACAAAGATTTATATGTAAAGATATTGAGCAAAGTGTTGTTTATCACAGCAAAACACTAGAAACAAATTAAACGTCCAATAGTAGGGGAATGACTATATAAATCATCCACATGTTAGACTGTCTGCATCCATTAGAAATAATCTTTACAAAAAATGTAATGATGTGGAAAAAAAGGGATGATGCTTAAGTGAAAAATTATCTAACAACTTATATACATTATTATTTGGGATGGACACTTATTTCTTACTCTTGATGATTCCTTCCTTGCAGGAAATGGAGGGCACATCCATTAGCGTTACTTCTAGTCTTTTTTTCTTACTTTACGCATTTCACTCCTTGAAAGGAGTAACTTGACAGATGGGTGAGTTTGCACACTCAATTCTTCCTTCTGCTTTTCTATTTTCATATCTTTTTGGCTCAGAGAACCCACATTCTGGACTTTTTCCTATATGTAAAGGATTTTCAATGGCAGTTCCTAAAATAGGGAGGTCCACAGTTGTCCAGCAGTTCTCGTCCCTGTGTGGGTAAACCTGCCAAATTTTATGTTCAAGTGTACTAGGTGATTTACATACATCACTTCATTTAATGTTTACAAAAGTTGGAAGTCACTATTTCCATTGTACAGATGGGGAAATTGAGGCTAAGCAACTCATTTGTTTATTCAGTGTCCCCAGTTGGAATATTGACTGAGAGAGTATTAGAATTTAGGTCTGACTGACTATACAAGACTTGTGCTTTTAATCATTTGTATCACTGTCTCCCTGACAGAAGAGGCTGCTTCTCTTAAAACAAAGCAAAACAAAATAACAAAACCTAATGCAGCTCATAGAAAAGAAACTGATTTCCAGGCACTTTTATTTTGTATTTTCTAGGAACCACCTGGTATAAGTTGAAGTGTCAAAAAATTACACAATAAATGTCCAATTTTCAGAGTGGGGCTCGAAACAGCAGAAGCCTTAGCTGAGTGGATGATCGTGTGAATGACTGGCCTTTTCATGCCTCTTCCCTGAGCTACCGCAAGTGCTCACACGGGAAGAGCACAATCTCCAGGAGCTTCTGCAGCAACTTCGCATTCTTCAGTAAGGTGTTCTCCTACAGCACATGCTGCCTTCAGAATTTCAGTAATTGCTCATAAATCCTACTAAGCTCCGGAAGCTTTTGGTCCATTTGTTCAGCTCTGGTGTGCTGTGGACGAATAAACCAGAGTGAGACCCCAGTACTTGGAATCAACTCTTGGGAATTAAACAGCCCAGTAAGATGCTGGTTTATTCCCATCAGATATGATGGCTTAGAGTAAACATACCTTGTATGATGGGCCGACATGCAATGCCTCATTTCTGGGAAAGCAGAAAGCACCTAGAGCCTTCCTCCATTGTGATATCAGTGGAGGTCAACAGAACACAGATCAGAGACTAAATACAGGAATAATTACAACTTTCCTTCATTGCCAAAAGAAATTGGTAATATGCTTGTTTGACTATAGCCCTGGGCTCAACACAGAGGCTCAAGAACTGGATAGTATTCTCATCACCTTAGAGTTTACAAAGGGAGTTTGCATCCTCAATGTCTTTGTTCTCCCATTGAGAAAATGGAGGGAGAGCTCCCAGGTAAAACAGAAGCCCTCCTATACCTTTTTGTATGTCTTCCCATAGGTACTGAGAGGTAATGAACACTAAGCCACATTTTTCATCTCCCATCTTTTACTTGACACTGTGTATCCAGTTCCTGTTCTAGATGCAAAGTCTCACTGAAGTAGCATGATGACTACTTGTATTTTCTTTCTTTCCATCCATTCGCTAGATTTGCAACCTAAACCCATATAATCTCTGCTGTGCTCTGAATGTTTTTGTCCCTCCCTCAAAGTTGGTATGTTGAAATCCTAATTCCCAAGGCAATGGCTTTAAGAGGTGGCATCTTTGGGAGGGGATTGGGTCATGAAGTTGGAGTCTTCATAAGTGGGATTTGTTCCCCTATGAAAGAGGTCTAGAGAGAGTCCTCCACCCTTCCATCATGTGAGGTTATAGTGAGAAGACAGCTGTCTATGAGGAAGATGCCCTTACCTAGCTCCAAATCTGCTTGCACCTTGATCTAGGACTTCTCAGCCTCCAGAACTGTGAGGAATAAAGTTTTGTTGTTTATAAGCTACCTAGTCTATGATATTTTGTTATAGCTGCCTGAAAGACTAAAATAATCCCTGAGAAAGTCTTTATAAAACATGACTTCCATCAAGCACGTCTTGTACTCATAAGCTATCACACACCCCAAGTCTACACATGTCAACTAGCATGCAAGATTGAAAAGTCATGTATAGATATGCGTTATAACCAAGCTTGATTTCTGGCTATTGTTTAATAAAAAGTTTCCCAGCAAAGCTAGATTTTTGATTGTCTTCTAAGGATAACAAGCTGGGTTTCTTTTCTCCCTCTCTTTTTCTTTCTCTATATTTATATCTATATCTACATCTATATAGTCATCAAATTAGACTCCCTTCTCTCATTCTCCATATCCGTTTATATTCCATCCCACTTACTATCTCAACCTTAGTAAGAAGAAGAACTAAGAAGAACTACCTTATGGAACTATTTCATACTTAATGGTAAGCATAAAGATCTTTAGTCTTTGGGAAGAAATGCCCTGTGCTTCACAGGATGGTTTAAATGATGTACAAACACTAGCCCAAGGCAGTGTTCTTTATTATCTCCCAACAGGAAAAGAATAATTAGAATAGTCAATCTCCATAATTCAGGAGAGAGGGATGACTATAAGGAAGGGTGGCATGGCAGGCTTCTCATGATTCCAGGGTAGATATTCACGGGGAATCAGAAATAGATAGTTTTCCAAAAACACATAAAATTCGTTGACTTTTACCTTTCTCCTGGTTAACATGAGACTAAATGATGCAATCAGAGCAAAACTGAATATATGTATCTTTAATAATTTTGGAGTTCAGGATATAAAATTATTTGAAAAAAGGAAATAACTGGATAATAAGTGTTGCTTTTTCTACTCCATTTCCAATTGGAAGCTGTCAATTTGGCAGGGAAAGTAAGATATGAGTAGGGAACAGCTGGCTGTATAGATGGTGTCAAAGCAAGATTTGTTTTTCTGGACCATGGCTTTCCAGAACAAAGAGTTCCTGGCAAGATACGGTGTTCATATTACAGGAGACGTGGGAGGAGAGTTACTGACCTGACCAAAGAGCTTTAAAATGAAATTTGTGGAAGAAAGTGAAAAATGCCCAGAAAAAACTGCAAAACTAGATGCCCCTGAGGATAATGATGACAGAGAGAAGCATCATGATGCAGTCTCTATTCTCTTATTTTTAGGAGAAAATAGGAGGGCAGGAGATCAAGATGCTTTGGCCCTAGATGTCCATATTCCAATGCAGGTCAGCCCCCTGCCCTGTTCCCTTTCATCTGCTCTCTGCCAGCTCCTGCCTCTCAGCCTAATGGTGTGCTTTGGCTTTAGAGTCAGATAGACCGTTTGGGCTCCTGATTTAATTCTGATCTGGGCAGATGCAAGTAATACACCCAAGACACCTCAGCCTTGACCAAAGGCATGCTATGCCTGGGGGGCCTGCCACCACTAACAGGATTCTAAGTGTATCCGCTTCAGCTCTTCTTCCCTGTCGATAAGGCTGCGGTCTGAAGTGATACACAGGGAGAATTCGTAATCTGCACAGACATCAGTTGTACCCGTGCCTTAGCTCTGATCTTTTGAACTGAGCTTCTGCCTTGATTACCTTCTTTTAAACATGTCTGCTTGACTCATGTAATACTTCAGGTTTTTAAAATCAGAGATAGGTCCTAAATTCTGGAAAGTGACTAAACCACTATGGTGCAAATGTTAAGATTAAGGGATTGGAGGTCAGACAAACTAAGATGGAATCCTACTCATACTGATTTGCTGATCTCTGTAAGTGTCCATTTCCTCCTTTATAAAATGTAAATTATTACAGTGCTTATGAATCTAAAAGAAGTGAAAACGTGTAATAGCTTCATTCATTGCCTAACTCATAATGACCCAATACTTGTTTGTTGTTATTCATTTTATTATTCTTTTCATTATTAATATTATTTTGTTAATTTAATGTTCTGCCAAGTATCTTTTGTTAGAGGAGATCAGATGCCGGAAACCCAGACACGTGTGTATGAACCTCTTGTTGCTTCTCAAAGCCCCATCAACTGGCACACTGGCCTGCCACTTAGAATTTGCCCCTCAGGTGACCTTCCTGCCATAAGACATTCTATATTGCTGACCACTAGATACATTCCAATTTTAACATTGTGCAGAGAGTTACGGCCCAAGCTTGTCAACTCAGGTTGAACCACCCAGAATTTCCCTACCTCCTTCTAAGCAGGTCTCTACCCACACTCAGCATCTTTCTTGACTCCGCCAGCCTCATTATGTCAGCTTACTAGCAAGAAGACAAAACAAAACAAATCAATGGAATGCTTTCCCACAAGACAAAAGATACCCTTTCATATCCATCCCTGAGGTTTTAATTGGATGATATTAATGACTAGAATGTGGCAAGGAAAGGAAATCTTATTTGGAAAGGAAAAAAAAAATCACGTTAAGGGTATCAAGATTTATTTTCCAATACTTGAAGACTTTGTCTTGGAGACTTAGTAGTATATTTGTTTTGTGTTATTTCAGCCAGCAGATGTAGGAGCAATGACGAAAAATTATAGGGAGGCAAATGTCAACAAATTAAAGGTGAGCTTTCTAACAATTAGAATTGTTGAAAAATAGAGTGAGGTGGCTCAAAATCTTTGCCTTTTTTCAAGATTCAAGCAACAATAACAACTACACAAAATAATTTCATGCTAATAATTAATTACTTATCCTTGAGTTTATGGTTCGTTTAACAGCATGACCTCCACATTTTGTCTTCTATGCCCAACTCTGGGCCTTTCACACTCCAAAAATAGTTATTTTTAGATCTGAATGCACTCCTCATACAAATGAAAGCTACAGACACAAAAATAAATGTAGATACAACAGAAGCCAATAGAATACAGGCCAAAATGTTAGAAGAATATACCAAACCCCAAATGGACACCGAGCTTTCTTCAAAACCTCCAAAAAATACCCCTGTCCCCCTCACTACTCTGGGTTTTAAATTCCTTTTTTTCACCTAATCTCGGGACATGGATGAGATTGGTCTATTTAGGGGAGTAGGTAACAGATGTTTTGAGACCTAAAGCCAGATCCACCCACTTGGTGAGACAGCTGCTGGGGGAAGAAGGTCGGTGCAGCAGACAGAGCTCTGTGCCCTAAGGTCAGGCTACAGCAGAGCATTCTTCTGGCCCAGGCCTCAGTAACAAGCCTAGTGCAGAACTGGCTTAGGGCTGGCTAACAGTGAGTCTCAGCCTGCAATAAGGGACTTCTGAAATGGGCAGCATTCAGAAGTCAACATGCGAGAAATTCTGGTACCTGGCACCATCCTGCTCCTCTCCAGCCGATGAGATGTGGTGTTAAAGAAAAAACAAAAAACAAACAAAAACACTCAATGATATTTGTTAAAGCACAGTAAGGCAGACTTTATTCCGGATCACTGTGATAAGTATAGGGACGACAGCAATGGGATTTTGTAAATGGAAAAGAAAGACTGGGTTCAACTCCAGTGTAACATTGGCAGAGAGGAATTTAAAACCAAGGAGCAGGGTGGGGGTCAGCAGGTGGAAAATCATGAAGAGGAAACAGGTGAGGTAGGTGGGTTCTGCCTAAGCTGACCAAACAGAATTCTTGCTGGAGATAGGTCAGAGGGACCAGACGTCACGTAGGGGGCGGTGGAGAATGAGGAACCGAGCAGGTACCGAGGATGATCTGTAAAGGCGGGTGGGGGGATGTTACTAAACTGACTTCGGTTGTTTGTTAAAGTTGGATTTTATAAGGAAGTACACAGAGGACCCAGAAGAAGTTTCAGAAGATGGACTGAGTTTTGACCAAGCAAAGAATCTTTAGCAGTGGTTTAAGGAAAGAACTCAGTCTCCAGAAAAGAAATTGAAAATTAAGCAAGGTAAGGACTCAGACCCATAGAGACAGGGCAGTTAGGGAGGTTGTAGCAACACAGAATCAGGTACAGTGCTCAAAAGGCAAAAAGCCAATAGCCTTTATAACTAGATGCAAGGTTTGGGTGAGGAGCTGGGGCGGGCTTGGGTTTGAGAAATAAGGTAGAATCCCAGTTATCAGAATCCAGAACTGAACACAGATATGCAGTGGTTTCCCCAAGTCTCATTCTCTCCCTGTTTCAGGTCCTCATAGATAATCTCCCACCTTTTTCTTCTCTTTGTTATAGAAATAGATGTAGAAGCATATGCAATTCTTCCAAGTTTTTCTGACCCCATGCTTTCCTACAGCAGGTGTTAGTGAAAACATCCTGAAGAGGGGTGGAGTTGATTAAACAGAGGCAGCTGATGCCTGTGACGCTGACTGACTGAGTGCTCCTCATTTCCTCTGGGTCTTCAGGCATTTTCTGAAACAGAATTGAGTACAGTCAGAGAAGGGCCACTTCAGTGATCAAGGAGGTAGAAAGATTGACAATGAGAAGAAACGTGTTATACATGAAGGATACAGAAATAGGTATATGGGAACTGTTGTCACGGCTTCTTGGGTGGAGAAGAACTAGAGCCCTCCTTTGAAGCAATGAAGAGGCAATTTCGCAGTAAAAGGAAAATGTAGTGCACGGGAGGAAGCAAACTTGTGGAATTCAGTCCCACAAAAGGTGGAACAGGTTAAGAATGTTAAAGGATTAGCTAGGGTGAGATCAACTCATTGTTTGGTTATGGATGGAAATGAGGTTTGGGCGGGGGGTGGGTGCAGGGGGCGGGCGTTCATACTTAATCACATGATCCTGTCCTTGAGAGACAAAATACTGTTGATTGGTCCCAGGGCTGATGCAGATCCAGTCTTTGAGGGCCTTTGTCATTGGCATTGGAAAGAGCAGCTAGCCCCACAAATGTCTGTGCTATACCCAGCACCACCCCAATTAACGAAGTAGTTTAGAAGTTCAGAGGGAGGGAATGTAGAGTTATGTCTAAGAACATGGTTTCTGCAATTGGAATTGTTCAATTTCCTATCAAGGTTCTAACGCATATCACAAATGTGATCTTGGGCAAGTTATTTAACCTCTCTGTTTCACTTCCCTGTGTGTAAGACAAAGATAATAATAGTACTTACCAATAGATTGGTTGTGAAGATTAAATGAGCAATCTCACATAAAGACTATCACAGTGTCCAGGACGTAAGCATTCCATCAATGCTGTTAGTTGCTATTGTTGTGCTTGTTATAATTAAGATTGGGTCAGGTACTGGAAGTCAAGGCTAAGTCAGAGGCAGAAAGAGAGATCTAGTATTTCCCAGCTCCCACCTCCAAAAATAGTTTCCAGGCTAGCCTCCAGGATCACTGCCTCTTTGGTGAGGACCACTGTAAGTCGTCTGTAGCATATAGAAAACTCAGACTGAAAACACCTTGCTAAAGGGGGCCTTATAAGCAGTGTTAGTTACATGGTTTTTCCAGTCTGGGTACCAGAATCTTGAGGCTTAAGAGTCAGAAAGGATCAACCCATTTCAGAGAGTTACCTTTAAAGCTACCTAAAGTTTACAAACATACACAAAAGGATTTTATGAGAAAGTACAAGCCAACGCTGAGGCCTAAGGACAACATATATTTTCCTATACATTTAATTTAGGCATAAACCTGTCCCATAAAGTGTAAGTTTCACGGAGCACTTTGCTCACAATTTCCAATTTCCTTCTCTAGCCACACCCTCAACCCTAAGGGGACAGCCTCCGTCCGGCCTGCCTGGAGCCTGCTCCTTTCAGATTACTCCCTATAGTCTTCTTGCCGTGGTTACTTCCTGAGGCTGTCATTCTGATCACTCTCTGCAGATGGTTCTTTGTCCGTAGCAGCTTCTCAGCCTTGGCACTACGGACCTTTGGCGTTGGATAAATCCTTGCTGTGGGGGCTGTCTTGTGCATTGCCGGATGTTTAGCAGCATCTGATAATCCCTGGTCTCCACTCACTGGACACCAGGAATGCAAATCGTCTCCCCTCCCCACTGCGTCAACCAAAAACTTCTCCAGACCTTTCCAAATATCCATCAGGTAGGCTAGGTGCCTTGGCTCACGCCTGTAATCCTAGCACTTTGGGAGGTTGAGGTGGGCAGATTAGTTGAGGTCAGGAGTTCGAGACCAGCCTGGCCAACATGGCCAACCCTTTCTCTATTAAAAATACAAAAATTAGCTGGGGGTGGCGGTGGGCACCTGTAATCCCAGCTACTCGGGAGGCTGAGGCATGAGAATCGCTTGAACCCAGGAGAGGGAGGTTGCAGTGAGCCAAGATCACACAACTGCACTCCAACCTGGACAATAGAGTGAGACTATCTCAAATATATATATATATGTATATCCCTCAGGGAAGGGTGAGGGGGATCATCCCTGGATTCTCTTTATATTTGAGAACCACAAATATAAAGATATTTGCACAAAGATCACTCGGAGATAAAACTGATGATAGAAAGAGGATAGCACCTACTGAGTGCTGTGTGGGCCAATGTTTTACAGGCATGCTTCATAAAGATTCGATTTTATATCACCAGTGTAGCATAGTAATTGCATAGTGTGATCCATGGATCCTGACTCCTGAGATATTACAATCTTTATGCCAGTTTTCTTGTTTGTAAGTGAGGATAAAAGTTCCTTGTAGAGAGTATGTGGTATGTGGGTATGTGTGTGTGTGCGTGTCTGTGTGTGTTGGTCTGTAGTGTTTAGAACAGAGCATAAAATGTGCTATTCAAATATTTGCTATCATTATTTATGTTTACAGAAGCCTTATGACACAGGCACTATTATTATTGATGAGGACATAGAAGTTCAGAGAGGATAGGTAATAAGTGCCTTGCCCATAGAAATACATAGCAGAATTAAATTATAACCGAGGTTTGTCTAATATGAATTTAGTACTCTTGCTCCCTTGTCTCTCTCAGCTCTCCCTCCCGCTATACCCCCACCCCACCTCAACTCCTTACCACTCAATTATTTACAAGGCTTATTTACTTCAATATGCTCTGCCTGTCTTTCTAATATGTGTTCTGCGTTCTCGTTTAGCCTCCCACTTTGCAAGGCTCTGTTTCAAACTCCTTCAGGTGGGTATCGATGTCTAGTTTTGAGGAATTAAAACAACACTTAAAGTGTTGTTAGTGTTTAAAACACTAAGCACAGTGTCTGCATGTAGTCAAAATGCAATAAATGTTGGCTATTTGTTTTGGTCAGTTTAGTCTGCTATAACAGAATGCCATAGACTAGGTGGCTTCACCAATAAACATTTACTTCTCACAGTGCTGGAAGCTGGGAAGTTCAAGGTGAAGGAGCCAGCAGAGATGGTTTCAGGTGAGGGTCCACTTCCTGCTTCACAGGCAGCTATCTGTCTTCTCACTGTGTCCTCACAAGGCAGAAACAGTGAGAGAAAGCTCTCTGGGGTCTCTTTTATAAGAAAATTAATCCCATTTATGAGGGCTCCACCCCAAGACCTAAATCACCTGCCAAAAATCTCACCTTCTTTAGGAGCTAAGATTTCAGCATGTGCATTTTGGGGAGACACAAACATTCAGCCCATAATACTACTGCTACTGAGATGACCCTCCAGTGGGAGGGAAATGCAAAGCAGATGACACTTTTAGTGTAATATGATTAACCTCTATTCTTGGCAGTAGCTTCTCCTTCCATGACCAATAATCATATTTGTTGCAGTTAGATTCCATGAAGCTTCCCAGTCTCCTATACTTGCGGCTATATACTTAGCTATACAGTGCTAAATAGGTGTATAAGACAATACTGGTATACTGAACTAGACCAGAGAAAATACAGACTTCATTTCTGCTGGGCATTATGGCAGACCCTGTTTATTGGTTGATACTACATTTCTAACCTCCTTCTCCCTTTTCTCCTCCCATACTGAAGTGGGGAAATTAAAGCAATGTCCCCCAGACTCCCTTGCAGCTTGAGATGGCTTAGTCCTTTAACACTGCTCTGATGTATGAAATTCAAGTAAAAGTCTCCTGGCAGCAATAGGAAGGCTTTTAGCTCTCCCAGTAAAAAGGAAAGGCACAGCTACCACTGCTCTGCTTTCGTCTGAAGGTGAATGCTGCATTTGAAGATGCCATCACAGTCTTGCCCCATAGGGGAAAGATGACAGGAATCACAGAGACAGCAGCCCTGACCTGTGGAGCTTCTGAGCCAATGCCAGCAAAACCCTCATCCAGATTCCCATGTGAGGAAATGAGATCTCTATTTGCTTAAGACACTAAACTGGGTTTTCCATTATTTGTAGCCAAATGCTTTTCTACCAGATATAGACATAGGATATGCATTTTCTTAGTCCGGGGAAAAGGCAGTGAGCTGGGAAGCATATATATAGAGGGTGAATTCCTTTCTCCTGTGCAATAAAGAGGCAGAGGACAGACAGGAAGAATCCAACAGTTTTTAAGTTTTTAGCAGACATAGAGTCATTTTACCATGTGGCTTCACTTACCCCTCAAGAACCCTGTGGTGTTAGGCATGATTTTCTCCCTTTAACAGATGAGAAAAGTGAGGCACACTGAGGTAGTAGGACCTGCTCAAAATCACTCAACTAGTAAGTGGTACAGCCAGAATCAGAATTGAAGATTAAACAATGCTGAAGTTTGTGCACAAAAGATGCTTTTCCCACTATATCAGAATAAATGCCTTAATCCCAACAGATGGGAAACAATCAGCTTGCTGAAATATATGAACCTAAATGACTACCACTATCAGAATTGGGAAGAAAGAGACAGCTCTCATCTCAGGTTCATGTTTGCTCCCCATATTCCTTCAATGAACTGTATGAAATCTGGGGATTTGTATCATCCTGAATAGAAGCAAGTTTTTCCCAGCTCACTCTGCTGTCCTCAGAACCATTTTTCCATCCCTCCTCCCTTGGAGTTCTTGCTGAAAACTATTCTTCCTGGTACCTCCAGTAGATATGCTCTTCTCTGATAAACAGAATGCATATACCTAGAAGCTTCATACACAGATTTCCTAACAGCCTCAAAAAAAAAAAATGATTTTGACAGCTAAGTGATGTCAACCAACTGAGAAATGCAAAATAGAACACAAAGAAAAAACCCAAGGGATGCAGTGCCTGAAGAATCACACCAGTTTCATTAAACCCCAGCAAGTGTCTGAGAATGACAGGCAAGGGGCCCATGTCCAGATAACTCTTGCTACTCCTCCCAGATGACCAATCGGCATCCTCTTCTGGGCAACAGGTGCTCAAAAGAGAAAGAGGATCACAGATCCCTGAGTTCCTACTTTGGGGGAAGGATGATCATTTTAGCTAGGGCTCTGCAGAATTGCAATAGGTGTGTGGTGATGGGGCTTGGCTGTGGGCAGAGTTGGAGATGTCGGACACTGGTGAGAAAGGGGGGACAGTGCCCTCATGAAGCTCAAATCCAAGCAGAGTCTGCCAGAAACTAATTGGAGGCTGACAGCTTTCAATGTCATCCGGAGCCCAGGGTGAGTTCTGCAGTTGTACTTGCCAGAATGCCAGAATGCACCCTTCAGAAGGCAGCTGGCCACCAGCTCTGTGCCTTCTCTTTTGTGAGTCCCTGGATTTCGCACAAGGCCTCTCTCAGGCCTCGCGTCTGGAGCAGAGCTGCACTTTACTCCCATCTGGCACCGTGTTGTTTCCCATGGACCGGGCTTGGCGGAATCCCAGCTTGGCTTTGGGGATAACTTCTCACTTCAGTAGTCCAAGGACCAGTCTCCAAGAAGCGATTGTGGAAAGTACAAAAAACAGAAAGAGATTGAGTGTGAAAGCTTCAATAATACAAAGCATTTTGAAGCGGAGTTCAAAGATTCTGCCTGTGTCAACCAGATTTGGTCACCCCAGCAGCTCCATAAATGTGTGGATTTCTAAGTCAACTTCCTGGGTCCCCACTGACAGCCTGGCAGTTGCCTCCTTCATACACTGAGTTTTTGTCCTGGCATGGAAGCAAATAATCTTAAAAGTGGCAAGGCCTTCCTCAGCCATCTCTCATCTAATCGGGGAAAGCCTTCTACCAAGTTCGCAGTAAGACACCCAGCTGGAGCAGGAATACCTTCAATAGTAAGAGGGCTTAAAGAAGGGCTAGAGAAATGCCCTAATAATAGACGGCATTGAGGGTGGGGCCAGCACTGCACTGAGCTTTTATTCTTCATATCATAACACGGAGAAAAGCACTAGGCAAAGTAGGGATAAGGCGCAGGCATTGTTACCTAGTAATGGATCTTATGTGGCTACAAGTATTTTATTTTATTTTATTTTATTTTATTTTTTATTTTATTTTTTTATTTTTTATTTTATTTTATTTTAAAGATGTCACAGGGCTTGCAGAGGGTATAAAAGAAATCGGAATCCTTTCCTTCTGCTTACATATTGCTGCAAATATGCCCCTGTGTCCTGTCCATCTTTCCTACTTCACGACCTGCCCTACTCAGACCTAACTCCCTCCCTACCAGTCTCAGCATGGACCTCAATGTCAACTTTTTGGGTCTCTGGCTTTGGCGTAGGGCACTGAAGAAACAAATCCACCAGAGAAAAAAGCAGAGAAAACATCAGGGGAGGAAGAGGTAGAAGGAGGGACATTGCTTTCTTTGCCTGTCTGTCATCAGTCATTCTCATGTGTGGCCCTAGATCTGACAACATCACCTGAGAACTCCTTAACACTGCAAAATTTTAGGCCTACCCCAGGCAGAATGAATCTAAAACTCTGTGTTGGGGCCCAGTGAAAATGTTGAGACACCCTTCTCTAAAGTCTTTGGTGAGAGAAAGCCTGCCATTTCCCAAGGCAGCAAATGCTATCTTTGTACAGCTTTCCTGTAATAGTTTCCTTTCTCCTTATTACATGTTCGATTACATCTATTTCTCTGGAATTCCCATCCCATTGTTTCTAGTTCATCCTTTTTTAAAACTTTAATACCCTAAACATTTATACTTTCATTCAGCTGCTACAAATAAGTCCTGCACTGGGCGCACCTATCTTCTTACCTTTATGACTCCCATTTTAAAGATGCCAAAGACTGTGCCCCGGATAGATGTTTCATCTGGGGAGGAGCCACTAACTCAGAGCACTTTGCAGCAAGTGATCAGAATTTCTTGTAATGCTAGCTGAAGCTGACAGACCTTATAGCTTATAAATACCTAGAAAATAAGAACCTTAAAGGGAGAAATGCACATTAATGGAAGAAAACATTTCTAGCAAATATGATGAGAATCAAACTGATGCTTGGTGAGTGTCACTGAATGAAAATATTAGCTGAATAAAAATGCTAACTATAGACACAAATATTAACAGCTGAACATAGCTGGTAATGCACAGCAAATATATTTGCTGAAGGAAAATATATTAACTGTAGGAGAAAAGAAAGAAGCAGAGTGATTTATAACAAACACACACCTAGAGCGGAGGATGCTTTCTATGGTCATAGATTGTTGTAGCATTCATAGCTCCTGTGTCAAAACGCCTCAACCTGACTTGGCAGCTTTTTTTTATTCCATACTCTTGCAAGATGCCTTTACGTTCCAGCCACCAACAGCACGTATTCATTTATAAAGGATTGTTCCATACGCTATCCTAGATTGTTTGCCAAATTGCTGTCCTACAGCTCATACACCTGGCATCATGCACGTCGCTGACACTGGTTCTCCCCTCGTGCAATATCAGTGGGATAAGACTGCAGACGCTGAGGTCTCCAGGCATAGAATGACATGGTGGCCTTTTTAAGGGAAAGCCAAATTGAAATGAGGTCCTCACATTCTGCTAAAGGCGTTCTTGATCACTCAAAGGAAACTTAAAAAGGAAAGAAATACGTTGCTAGTCCCTATCTAGAGAAGAGGTAATTGTTTTGACATGTGAGCTTAATTACATGAATGAAATACGGAGTGTGCTACAATTCACCATTGCAAATGAAAGGAGCCCTTTTGAGCATGTCTACACAAATTGACTTTGCAGTGCACTGTGGGAAGTGTCACTACACAAATTGACTTTGCAGTGCACTGTGGGAAGTGTCACTACACAAATTGACTTTGCAGTGCACTGTGGGAAGTGTCAACTGACATGAGTGAGTTGGATTTTTTTTTTTTGCTGTTTGTTCTCATTTTTATTTATGTATTTTTTTTGCAGCAAGTCTGAGATTATGCATGTCAGTTGTAGACATAGTCTTTCTTCCATGTATTGCGTTTGTTTTATCAATCTGATTTCCAAATATCCTCTGGACTGTATCATGACTTTAAAGTTTCAAATAGGTGAATAATAAGTTATAAAAGGAAATGGTAGCTGTGTACCTTACCTGGGAGTCAATCTCTATACCAGCCTTTGACAAACATGTGCCTGGCACATAGTAGGCAGACAACGTATATTTATGGAATAAATGAATAAAATATGTAACTACAGCTAGGTATCTTTCGCCTGCTTTTGTGGTTCCCTGCAACCTGTCAAAACACTGGCAGCAAGTGACTTTCACACTTCAGTGTATCAGATTGTACATTGTGGGGCATAGAGTGTGACTCATTCAGTGAACTGTTAGTTTAATGAATGCTTCCTGCACTCACCATCTGGTTTTGCGGCAGGATCTGAAGGGGTTAATGTCTGCAGAGTGCTTGGAGAGTGGAGGCGAATGGCTAATGTTGTGTGAATAGCAGAGTAAATAATTACTGCTTTGTCTTTATGAGATGGCTTCCAGACAGAGAGAAGGAGCAGGAGGCCCCCGTGCAGTCTGTGAGGCTGAGAAGCCTGGCCTTTAGGCAGGTGAGTCCCACCTGGGCATACATGCTGGGCACACCTCCCAGAACACCTGGATCCAGGTGGGGAAATGGTCTCTGTGGAGGGATTCTGTACAGAAAACTGTGAGAGCCAAATTCTATTAGCTGCCCACAAAGTTAACCCTTCATGCTCCTCTCAAATACAGGTAAGCAGCGGGCAGGACTCTGGTGGCGTGGTTTTTATCTTCAGAGATTTTAGGATTTTTTTCTCCCTAGCCTTGTTGAAGTATAATCAACAAATAAAAATTGTATATATTCAAGGTGTACAACATGATGATTTGATATATATATATATATACATTGCAAAATTCTTACCGTAATCAAACTAATTAACCTATCATCACAATTAGTTACTATTGTGTGTGAGTGTGGTGAGGACACTTAAAATCTACTCTTTCAGCAAATTTTCAGTAAACAATGAAGTGTTATTAACTATAATCACCATGCTGTAGTTAGATCCCCAGAACGTATTCATCTTGTAACTAAAACTTTGTACCCTTTGACCAACATCTCCTCATTTCCCCCACTCTTGACCCTTTGCAACCCCAGGTCACTCTCTGCTTCTATGAGTTCGACTTTCTTTGTTTGTTTTTTTTTTTTTTTTTGGATTCCACATATAAGTGAGACCATGCAGTACTTGTTTTTCTGTACTTGGCTTATTTTACTTGGTATAATGTCTACCACATTCATCCATGTAGTAGCAAATGACAGGAGTTTTTTTAAGGATAAATAATATTTCATTGTGTGTGTACATGTGTGTGTACCATAATTTCGTTATCTATTTCTCCATGGATGGATAGCTAGATTGTTTTTCATATCTTGGCTATTATGAAGAATGCTGCAGTGATCTTTGCAATGATCTTGGGCATGGGGAAGTACAGATATCTCTTTGAGATACTGATTTCATTCCCTTTGAGTATACACCCAGAAGTTGGGATTGCTGGATTCTACAGTAGTTTCATTTATTTTTTTGTTTTGAGGAACCTCCTATGTTTCCCATAGTGGCTGTACTAATTTACATTCCCTCAACAAAATACGGTTTCCCTGTTTTCCATATCCTTGCCAATACTTGCTATCTCTTGTCTATTGCTAAGTCTTATTTTGACAGGTGTGACATGATATCTCAGTAGGGTTTTGATTTGCATTTCCCCAATGTGTAGTGATGTTGAGCACCTTTTTATATACCTATTGTGACATCACCACACTTTCTGATCTAAAACAATATTAAAAAGCTGTAGTAATCAAAACAATGTGGTACTGGCATAAAAACAGGCACATAGACCAATAGAATTGAATAGATGGCTAGAAGTAAACTTCTGCATATATGTTCAACTTATCTTTGACAAGGGTGCCAAAATGCACAATGGGTAAAAGACAGCCTCTTCAATAAATGGTGTTGGGTACACTGTATACCCACATGCAAAATAATAAAATTGTACCATATTCAAAAATTAACTCAAATGGATTAAATATTTAAACATATGATCTCCTGTAAAATTCCTAGAAGGAAACATAGAAAAAACCTCCTAGACATTGGTCATGGCAATACTTTCTTAGATATCTTAGATATGACACCAAAAGCACAAGCAATGAAAGCAAAAATAAACAAATGGGACTACATCAAACTAAAAATTTCCTTGCAGCAAAGGAAACAATCAACAGAATGAAAAGGCAACCTACAGAATGGGAAAATAATATTTGCAGGCCACATACCTGTTAAGAATTAATATCCAAATATATAAGAAACTCATACAACTCAATAGCAAAAAATAAAAAAATTAAAATTAAAAAACCCCAAATAATCTGAATAAAAATAGGCAAGGGACCTGGATATACATTTTTTTTTCCAAAGAAGATATACGAATGGCTTTAGGATTATAATTTTATTTCATTTTTTCTGGGATACAAAATTGTCTATGGAAGGAATACATAGGTGCAGAGAATCTAACCAACACCTGCCACGCTGCTCTGCCAGATCCTCCCATCCTCATCTCCACTTCTCCAAATGAGGCCTCACTCCATCCCCTTTGCTCAAATAGCCCTATAAACTGGAGCTGCAGTTAGAGGCACATTCTATCCATGTTGGTCGTGGTGTCTTTGTGAAAGAGCATTGGCCCTGGTAGTCAAGCAGTTGAGTGCAGGTCTTGCCTCTGTCACCAACCTTACCTATGACTCCCGTGGGAGATTCCCCTTTTTGAGGTCTCAGTTTCCCTGACCGTGCAATGGTGGGTAATGACAGCTGCCTTCCTGGTCCACAGAGGGCTGTTGTGAAGATGAAATGAAAAAATAATTGGGAAAGCCCTTTGAAAGACGTGAGCAACCAATAGCTATAACATGCCATTTTTACAGCTGTGATTTTGTGTCTTTGGAAAGTTATGAAAAGAATGGGAAAAGCAAAACAGTCTGCTAGAGGCAGGGAGGAAAGCCCCCTTGTCATAGCATCAAAGGTAAGAAAAGGTGTCCCAAAGAGGAGGCAGGAGGTGCTGGCGCTGAAGTGTAAACAGCGGTGCTATGATCTGAGGGGGACAGAAGAGACTCATGAAGTGAAATTGAGTGCCAGTCTCTGGGTTGCACCAGGGATGACCAGTTGCACAAAATCTGAACCAATCTTCTCAAGTCAGAGCTTTCAAGAAGGTAAGACAGCATAACAGAAACAATGTGGGTCTTGATGCGTGAGTCCTGAGTCTCTTACTCATGATGTTTTCCTATTGTCCTTGGCAAGGTCCACTTAACTTCTCTGAGCACCAGTTCCTCATCCATAGAACGGGGGTGATTTTAGAACCTGCCTTATGGAGTTGTAGGAAGGGACAGTTGTAGTCATTTGTGAAACCTTTATGCATTTTAGGCTCTCAATAGGAGTTGGCTCAGTCAGTGATCCACTTACTCATTCATTTATTCCCTCATTTATTCAGAACATCTCAGTCTTGGGTTGGTGCCTTCACCTGGGAGTCATTAACAGTTAAGAACTTTTTCAGTGGTAAAAAGAGCTGGCTCACAAACATCATCACCAGCAGTAGTTAAGAGAAGTGAGAATACCTCACGGCACCTTTGTTTGTATATCAGATTATTCTTTATTGCTTCCAGAATACTGGGAGGCTTAAGTTTCTCTGCTGGCTCAGGAGGCTCTCCCTTTTACTGCTTGGGTGTGGGGAGGCCACCACTAAGCCAGGTTCCCTGAAAAGAAGAAAAAAATCCTATAAGCTTGTTGCCTTTTCCTCCGTGAAAATGCTCCCAGAGGTACCATATAATCAGAGCAGGCCTGTGACAGCATGTCTTTGCTCTCCCCATCTCCCAGCTGTAATACAACATTAAAAGCAATTAGAACTTGTTCTAGGTTGTTTGTAAGATGATTATTATAGCCATTGCAGGGACATTTCAAAACAGTGGAGTTAAGGATTACCACGTGTTCCACATTTCCAAAGCTGCTAATGGGGGTGGGTGCTGAGAGGAGCCTGAGATGCAGGGACAGACACAGCCCAGCCCAGCACCCCAGCCAACAAAGTCTGGGCCTGGTGTTCTCAGTGGGGAGCACCTGAGGCAAGTTGCATCTCCTTTCAGAGCTGCTCAGCAGGGGAGACTGGGCATTGGGAGGATGGGCCACATCTCAGCTCAACCACTAGATCCTGCTGTTTCCCAGACATGTCAAAAAGCCCCTTGATATCACACATCCTGGCATCTGAACAATTGAAGAGGCTGGCTATGGTCCCTCTGTTCCATCAGGCACCATGCACAAACTCGATCTGGAAAATCTTCAACCCCAATCTTCCACAATTGCATTCAGGCTCACTTTTGTTCAGAGGAAACAGAAAACAAGCTGGTTAGTTTGCTGAGCAAAGCTGTTCCCCTGCCTTTCCTCTATAACTCTCTGTAGACACCATCTTTTAGCTCCTCAGGTGTGGGATCATGGGGTTGCCTTATTCTATTCACTTTCTTTTCATTCCAAGAAGCATTTACTTAATGTGCACCTATCATTGCCAAGTGATGTTCTATGTGCTTGGATTATCAGCACACAAAATAAAAACTCCTGCTCTCATGAAACTTACTTTACAGATATGTAAACAGTATAGTATGGCAAAAGCTAATTAGTATTAAGGAGAAAAGAATAAGAAGAGCAAAGGAAGATAGATCAGAGTTATCAAGGAATTCATAAATCTGACTTGGACTAGGACAGTAGTCTCTTTAATGGTGTTCCCTTGCTTCACCTAAAGCCCAACTCTCCCATCATCATTGCCCTAAACAGAATCTGTCTTACGGCTCCCCCATTACCTACGCAATCAGCTTCTGGACCATTAGTGTGGCCCTGTGTGTATTATTCCCAGCCTGCTTCTGCTCCAGCTCCCTCTATTTCATGAATCCTGTGCGTCAGCCAGAACAAACTTCATTATTCCACTCCCCTCGCCATGCCCTGCCCTTTCTTGCCTTTCAGTACACTATTTGTGGGGGGAAGGAAGCTTGTCTTTATTGAACCTTGCTAACAGACAGGCCTTTGCATGCCTCTTTACTTATGTCTTCTCCTTTCCATTTCACAAGCACCCTGTGATGCATAAGGGGAGGGAACAGAGGTGGTCTTCCCTGCAATCACACAGTAGAATCTGCTATGATTTGGATCTCCCTCTGTCCAAGTTCAAATCTGCTGCTCTTTCTCCCAGAGTACACAACTTACTATGAATCTGTTTCCTGAATTCCCCCAGAAACTGAAAGGAGAACTGTACCTACTCACCTCTGTGACCCCTATGGTAGCTGGCATAAAACCCCCCTCAAACTAGGCCAAAAACATTATGTGAATTACATTTCTTTTAATATAATTGAATTAAGTTAAACATGTTTATAAAGCCAGTACTTGACCGATCTCTCTGCAGCCTCCTGTGTAGACTGTAATCTGGTAGCTCTGTCTGTCAGTCCTTTAATAATCTTCATGTCTCTTTCCTGACTTCCACACTTGTTCTTTGAACGTCTCCATGAGACCAGAGCTGTGATCAGCCGAGAGCGTTTTCAAGGCAGATCATGGTAGATTTATCTGTGTCTTTTGTCTTTTCTTCACATTCTCCCTCCCTGCTTCATTTTTCCATTCGAGATTCCCTTATGGACAACCATTTTGCCACCAAATTTAACTCATCCCAGTACTCGCAGAGTCCTTGAAGCAACTGTGAAGCCAGGACTTGGGGGTCTTCCATTCTGGCTCTGCCTCTGATCCTCCTTAGCTGGGCAGTTGAGGTGGCTCCAGGACAACCACACCTTCTCCGGGCCTCAGTTTCCTTATAGAAGACTGTATACAGGAGGCCGGGTGCAGTGGCTCATGCCTGTAATCCCAGCACTTTGGGAGGCCGAGGCAGGTGGATCACGAGGTCAGGAGACTGAGACCATCCTGGCTAACACGGTGAAACCCTGTCTTTACTAAAAAAAAAAAAAAAAAAAAAATTAGCCAGGTGTGGTGGTGGGCATCTGTA
The DNA here is from genome assembly GCF_000001405.40 of Homo sapiens. Classification (NCBI taxonomy): domain Eukaryota; kingdom Metazoa; phylum Chordata; class Mammalia; order Primates; family Hominidae; genus Homo; species Homo sapiens. Next base: position 127,460,663 of record NC_000011.10, read on the forward strand.
GTCCCAGCTACTCGGGAGGCTGAGGCAGGAGAATGGCGTGAACCTGGGAGGCGGAGCTTGCAGTGAGCCGAGATTGCACCGCTGCACTCCAGCCTGGGCGACAGAGTGAGACTCCATCTCAAAAAAAAAAAAAAAAAAAAAGAAGACTGCATACAGAATTCTAGTTCTACCATGTGTAATCTCATTGTTTAATGTACATAACTAATAAGTAAATATTTACTTATTCTAATAAGTAGAATTTAGATCCTATTTGATGTGGAAGCACTTTGGAGGCCCTCTCCAGAGTATTCTATCTGAGCAATACCCGGCCAGGCAGCTGTCCATGGCCCCTCGAAGCAGCCTTGTTTTCCTTAGTAGGTCCCGTGTGATCAGCAGGCATCCCCTGAGACCAGGCTCATGGGTGAATACGTGGAGATCCAGGTCTTTTAAATGAAGACCTTGCAAGAGAGAAGAAAGTGGAAGCAGGGGTGCTTGAGGCAATTCTCACATGCCTTTTGCCTCTGGATGTGACAGGTTTGTGGCTCCACTCTGCCACAGACATTTGAGTGTCCTAAAATCCACGTTCTGTGATTTTAACATCTTCAGATGCCCACCTGGTAAATCTGACCACTTCTTGCACTCTCCCCTCCGTAGCCTCCAAACCACAAAAAGCCACCAGTGGCATGGGGCCCCAGATTCAACCTCACAGATGGGACTCTTGGTAAAGGGGGACGAGTTGCTAAATAAATAGAATGCATTGTAAGTGTTGATAGATTTTCTGTTCTGTCCTGGCATTGTGCTCAGTGGAGGATTACCGCTGTGTGTGTTTAAATGTGACAGCTGTTTCATTCACTCCCTGGTGTGTTGGAGAAGCTGTGATAAAGCCAGTGATATGCCTTCGGAATCCTTAAAGTGAAATCCTCCAGAAAATAAAATCAAATCATCTCCCAACCTTCTCTGTCCTCATCTCCTTGCTCATTTCCCACATGTCTTTCCATTTATTGGATTTTATCTCTGATTTTTAATGTTTTGGATAAGACATGCCCTGGAAGACCTTCCACCCCTAGTTACTGGGCATCCCTGAAGCAGTCAGCTTCATTTTGGTACCCTGGGTGCAGAGGGAATGCAGAGCATTTAGAAACCATAATTAAGGAACATTTAGGAAGATAGGCTGATGAGGGGCAAGATTAGCAATGGATTTCACTGCTGCCTGCCTACGACTTTCTGTTTAATTATTGCAAGGAGAGCTGCCAGCAAAGCAGAGCAGAAGGTTTGATAGTGAACTGCACTGACCTGGATTTCTGTTTCATTAGATTTCATTTAATTCAGGCAAAGGCGGCAATTTCTTAGACCCTAGTGTTGTTGAATGTTAACCTTCAGGCCACAAGAATGAGGGAAAGGGGTGTATTTTATCTTGAGCTCTACTGATTTCCAGAGACATAATCCTGCCTGCTCTCACCACCTCTTACTGTTTTGGAAAATAGAAAGAGCGGGGATCTATTGTGTCCCATTGAGGACTTAAATGAGCTGAATAATTGGCTCAAGACGATGCTCTTTGAACTAGAGAGGGCCCAAGAAAGTCTTCCCTACTAGATTTAGAGGAAAGGATCTCTTTCTCTCTAGGAACTTCTGGCTTTTTTTTCTGAAATATATGAGCTTGTGACCCCCAGGGATAATTCAACTTATCCTGCTCGTGGCTGAGAAGAGCTGTGGTGAAGTCCAATTGGCATGGCAGGGAGTGCAGCAAGGAATGGGTAGGAAGGGAAAAGCTGGTTGGGATTCTATGCAAACTTCAGGTAAATCACCATGTCTATCTACGTGTGTCCTGATTTTGTCCCTTCCACCTCTTCTCTATCCTAAGACAATGATCAGAGTTAGTTGAGGGATTCTGAAAACTCAAGAAAGAACTGAATCTAGAGTCAAATAACTTGAGTGCTGCCCCTAGTCTATGCCTTGAGAATCAGTTAACCTCTCTAAGTTCTCCCAGATAACAAAATAAGAATAATAACTTCTGTTTCACAGGAAGCTTATAGAATTAATAGAAAAATGCTTAGTGTAACAATCAACCTTTAATAAGTTTTCAATAGACATCAGTTGAATCAAGGCCATTTCTACTTCATGCATATAAGGAAAGTGAGGAAGACCTCCTTCTGAAAAAAGCCAAAGGTTATCCCACTTCTATTTGAGCCTGTATTCAGCTAAAATAAGAGGATGATAAAGGTAAAATAAAAGTCATTACTAAAGAAATAAAAAGTTAATAAAAGGTGACACATCCCTACAATGGAATACTTCTCAGTACAGAAAAGAAATGAACTATTGAAACATAAGAAAACATGTATACATTATCATTCTTTTTAATAAATAGCCACCTACTTATATTAACTTCATGATAAGCCTCAGGGACTGACCTCAACACATCACCTCCCATGTTCATCTCAGGCAGCAAATTCATACAGTAACTTTTGCTGTATTTTATTAATGTATTTTCCCTTAGAAATGGTAAAAAATAATTATGCAATACTAATTAAGTCAGACACAAAAGGCTACATACCATATTGGTCAATTTATATGACATTCTGGAAAAGACAAAACCCTGGAGACAAAACAAAGATCAGTAGTTGTCAAGGACAAAGGTGAGGGGAGGTGATTGATTGAAGCAGGAAACAAGGACTTTTTTCAGGGTTTGTAAATATTCTATTTTTTATTTATGATGGTGCTTATTCTTGAAATGTACACCTAAAAGGGTGAATTTTGCCATATGTAAATTGTACTTCAGGAAACTTATTTTTTTAAAAAGTTGGCAAATATTTCTATTCTCTCTCTTCTAGAATTATATGACTTGTCCCCATTGTGAGATGCTGAGGATCCCACAGGGTCATCCCTAGAACTTGGGGCCCACTGAATCTCTAGGGATGTGAAGGTTTCAAAATCACCTGTAATTTCATACAAACATGTACAAATGAATTTTTTCTAGGGAGATGTCTCACAGTTTTAAGTAGAAGGTCAAAAGTTACTGTGGATTACTGTCCATCTCCCATACAAGAACAACAATCAGGAGAAAAATAAAGAAAGAAAGGACAATAGAAAAGGAAAGGAGAGGAAAGGAGGGAGGGAGGAAGGGATGAAGGAAAATTATCAATCATTATTTTTCAGGAGAAAAGAAAAAGCGAGAATAATTGTTTGAGTTTGTCACCATGGATGGACATGGGGAGGCACTAGCTTGAAGTCAGTCCCTGAGCTCTATCCTTACAATACTATCTCTAGTTACTTATTCTTATTACAGGGAATGATACCTTATATGCAGGCTCGTTTCTGTGAGTCTATAGTGTCATTTACTCTGGCTGCCAATCTCATAGCAGAGAATGAGGAGTGAGTCTTGCATAAATTCTCCCTGATTCAGGCCACTTAATAGCTTTCTTGCACACTGCCTGCAGAGGTTTGAAAATGGAAACAGGGAAAGGAGGTCACCAAGGATAGGTAGAAAACAGGATGCCAAGCAGAGCTTAATGGAATCCATGGTATTGATCCAAGTGGCAAATGCATAGCATTGTAACGGTATTGAAAGCTTCATGCTGGGCACTAGCTCAGAAAAGGCCACAGCTGCTAATTTGCAAAAATATCAGGGTCTCAAAAGTTATTGGGGACCTTCAGGAGATGAATCACTAGGAACCCCTTTAATAACCACGACACATTTTCTTGCCTTCATGAGATATTTCTATCATCCAGAAAAGTCGGCCCTGAAAACACACTTCTGCCAGTGGTGCTGTTATATCACAAGCTTCCAGGCAGGAACATTACTTTGTGCCTCACACACTTTGAATAATTAGTCAATTTGAGATGCTGATGGTGATGACAACAGTAATAAGAGGCTGCAATAACAGGCCAGCTGTGCCCCTCCACGGGCCTGAAAGAATGGGTCATTTTGGACGCGGCATTGCCTATGCTGGGATGTTCACCTACAATTCCTGGTGACAGAGGCCCGATTCATGTTAATGAAATGCTGAGGAATGTTCTCTTCTAACACAGACATTGCTATAATAATGATGGGAATGCAGTTTCTAGTAAGCCACATATCCAATTTTTAAAGCCATATTTGCAAGGATTAACAAAAGCCCCCTCTCATATGCCTGCCCCCTCCCTCCTAAACCCTATTCCTTTAACAGTATGTTGATGATGCCCACCAGCCCCAGTCCTAACTTTTGTTTTTAAACTGGAAATTCTGAAAAATTATTCTTAGGTCCAACAAGGTCCTAATAAGGCTGAAAAGGCCTCCTTGCTCTCTCACCATATTTTTGTCACTGCCAATACTAGCAGATAGTCCAAAACAGAACAATTAATATATAGGATAGAAAGAAGTGAAGGGCAGTATTGGGGAACTGGCAGTTCACATGCATGGAAAGGGGGTTGGAAAACAGTGCTCATGAACTCAGGTGCCTGGATGCAGATGCAGAGGGTTTGGGTCAGTAACAAGGAAAATGAACCCTATGGCATCTGGTGATAAAATACAAACTTCTCAAGGGACCCAAGACTAAAGAAATATGACCAAAAATGAAAAAAAAATTCAGAAGACAGGCTATTTGTAGGGGTGTCAGAGTTAGTTATGTTAAATAAAGTTTAGCCTAAAGCTGCCTCCTCACATATTTTAAGTTCAGCCTAAAGATTTCTCCATACATAGTGAACTTTAACCTAACTGGATATGTCAGCAGATTGTAATCTGCTTTTGGGCTAATCACAGGTAGCCAATTGTTTAAGCCATGTTCAAATAAGGCAAATACCAAGCTATAACCAATCCAGCTGTTTCTGTATCTGACTTCTATTTTGTGTACATCACTTTCCTTTTTCTGTCCATCAGTTCTTTCTGACCAGGTGGCGGTGTCAGGGTTGCCCCCAACTTACTCTGGGTCAGGGGCACCTGGCTGATTAGCAAATCATTATGTCCTCAATTAAACTGTTACATTTAATTTGTCTAAAGTTTTTCTTTTTTATGATTACGTATGCCAAAAAGACATACTTGCCTGAAAATGCAAGAAGCTGGCGATGGAGACTTCATGGATGTGAGAATATAAGAATAAGAATAAAAGGGGAATAAGGCCGGGTGCTGTGGCTCACATCTGTTCTCCCAGCACTTTGGGAGGCCGAGGCGGATGGATCACTTGAGGTCAGGATTTTAAGACCTGGCCAACATGATGAAACCCCGTCTTTACTAAAAATACAAAAACAAACAAACAACAACAACAAAACAAAGACAAATTAGCCGGGCATGGCGGCATGCACCTGGTAATCCCAGCTACTCAGGGGGCTGAGGCAGGAGAATCACTTGAACCGGGAGGCAGAGGTTGCAGTGAAGTGAACCAGGATGGTGCCATGCCACTCCAGCCTGGGCGACAGAGTGAGAGTCCATCTCAAAATAAGAAAGAAAGGAAGGAAGGAAGGAAGGAAGGAAGAGAGAGAGAGAGAGAGAAAGGAAGGAAGGAAGGAAGAAGAAGAGAGAAAGAAAGAAATGAAGGAAGGAAGGGAGAGAGAGAGAAAGGAAGGAAGGAAGGAAGAAGAAAGAAAAAGAAAAAGGAAGGAAGAAAGAAAGAAAGAAAGAAAGAAAGAAAGAAAGAAAGAAAGAAAGAAAGAAAGAAAGAAAGAAAATGAAATAGAGGGGTATATTTGTGGGAATATATTAAAACTTGCCCACCCAGACAGAAGTAGTGGATGCTGCATTTTTAAATCTAGCAACTCAACTAGCATAGAAACATGATGCTCTGGCAGGAAGAAACTTAAATAATCAGTTAGATTTTTGGTAATTTTCTGTAGCACACAGGAACCAGCAAATGGTATGGCTGTATGCCATACCTGCATGCCAACAAGAAAAATTTGTTAGTGTCATGGAATGGATAGAAATTTGGGAGAGGGTAAACATGCCATCCTGATGCTCCTAATGTCCAGAGAATGAAAATCTGGGCTGAATCAGAGGAGTATTCTAGAGAGAAGGAAGCTACCAAAACATGATCTCATAGCAAGAGACAGAAGACAAAATTGCAAGAAATTCTGTTAAAACAAAAATAGAGGCACTTGAAATCAGTGTTGATGCATAGGGAGCTCTCTGAACAGACAATAGAAATAAAGAAAATAACTAGTGATTAGTATAGAGTTGGCATACCTAAATTCTAGAAATGCTAAATTGCAAAATGAATTGGAAACAATGGCATTTCTTTGGAGACAAAAGGTATTGAAATGGGACACAGCCCCATTTGGTCTCTTGACAAAAAATGGACCTTGTCATAAAATGCTCTCATATTCAACATTGACAAAACTTCACAACCCTTTTAATTCTCAGATATGCTACTTTTTGACAAAAATCATGAGTTTCCTGTTGAAGATGACAGACCCAATTATTTTAATGGGGAAACAAAACCTATGAAGGGGTTTGTAAGAAAGTGTATGCCTATCTTTCATCCCAAGCAAATGAGCAATTAATGGAAAGGATATTGTATCTTCTGTAACCATGATTGGAAATCTTTCGGGAATTTTGGAGAATGGGGAGAATGTGGAAAACAGAAAATAAGTGTATTTGTTTGTGATTTTCAAAATTAAGAAATTTACATTGGTGAATCCAGAATGATGTTTCTCAAACAGCATTTTTTCTTGAAAGAATAATAGAGAGGTTAACTACAGTTATTTAAACTTGAGTATTTGACCTTTTTTTAAAAAATGAAGGAGGCAAGCTTGTCCTATCATGTTTTCCAGTTTTATCATTGGCAACAAATACCATTGTACTGTTACAACTGACAGTATTTGTTACCAATGGTCTGCATATCTGGACTTCCATAACTCTGCCTCAACTTTTCATATAGGAGAAAAAGTTTTAGTGGAGTATTAAAGGATCTTATCCTGTTAAATATTTTATCAGTGACTTGGATAAACATTGAATCTGTGGCTACTTCACACTAGAAAGTTACACGATGTGTTGAATGGATAGAATTGAGATCCAAAGAGATTTCTTAAAGTGATATTGGTGTGTCAACTCTAACAAGATAATGTTTACTAGATTTAGGTACCTAAGGTACCTAAGCTTACCATAAAATATGGTAAGCTTTAGGTACTTAAGCTTACCATAAAAATACGATCTCACTTATTCATCATGGGTGCGATAAGGCTTCTTAGGGATTTGTGAAACAAACAAAGAAACAACAAGAAGCTTAGAAATATCCAATGTCATAAGAGTAATATGAATAAAAAGGCTGAGATGTCTGTCAAAAAAATCCTAACAGAATCTTAGAATAAGGAAGATGTTGCCTCTATTCCGTATTGATCACAACATGTCTGAAATAACATGCTTTCTTTTGGAGGGTAATATTTTAAATGATACATCGGTAAATAGAATACATTTAAAGAATAGAGTACATTTATAGTTTTGGAAATCTCTTTAATACCAAACTTACTAGAAGATAACAGGATTCTCATATCTGCTTTTACATTCAGTCATAAAATACACCGTTGGAAAAGGGAGGAGTATTTTAATAGCCTTTTAGCTAATTGTGGATGGTCTTCTTTGATAGAACAGCAAAGTTCAAAAAGTTTTAGTTTCTTAAATATTAGTTGTGATGTAGAATCTGAAAAAAAATGAATGAATCTGAAATGAATGAATAAATGAATCAATGAATGTTTTATAATGTTACATTAAAATCCATGGGCCTGGTCTGTCTTGCACTTTGAGAAAATCTCTTACCAAAGATGGTTCTATAACAACCTAAATGACATATATTAGTCATTTAAAAAATACTGGTTTTCTGATTCATTTAAATCTTCCAAATGTCGGCACATTTTATTATAAAACATCAAAAAAGTCACAATCACTAGTATTGTGGGTGTTTAAAGCTCCTGGTGAAAGATAAAGTTTTCCAAAATTCTATTTTCTTTTGAATTTTTCAGGTTTATCATTGGTAACAAATACTGCCAATTGTAACAGTACAATGGTATTTGTTGCCAATGATAAAACTGGAAAACATGATATGACAGGCTTGGTCAAATACTCATGTTTGAATAACTATAGTTAGCCTGCCCATCATTCTTTCAAGAAAAAATGGTGTTTCATGAAAAACTCAGCTAGTTCAACACACACCCCAAACAATTGCATAAACACTTTTTTTTAAAGAAAGCCATCATGCTTCAGTGACGCAACAGAACTCTTTTGTGTGTACGTTCCATTTTGTCAAACATAGTCTTAAAAAAAAAAGAAACCAAGATATGTAATCAAGGATTAGGATTTAATAAAATTAATAATTTTTACATCTTCTTTAAGAGTAGTCTGATGTGAAACTGGCTTTTTAGAAAATTTCTGCAGCGTATGACAGTGGAAAATATAGTGGCTACTGGTACAGCTTAGTGACAGAGCCACAATTCTTGTTAAGGTGCCAGCATTGCTTTTAACTATTGGTGCAAATGTCAATATAATGAATGAGGCAAATAACATTTTGGTGTTTTATAAAAATAGTTTTGCTCCAATGGACCCCTGAGAAGGTCTCAGACACCCCCGAGGGTCTACAGACCATACTTTGAGAATTGCTGCTATTAAGTAAGGTGGCTTCGAAATCTTAAATTATTTAAAAAAGAGTTTTGTACTTTGTTATTCTGTGATTCCAGAGCTGTATCCCCTTAATTGGATCATATACATCTTACTCTATTCATGTGATTTATGCCTTCCATTTTTAAACACGATTTTATGATGTCCAATTCTGCCCCAGTACTGAGAAGTGTAGCCTCTCTATTACTTTGGTTTGGGAGGAAAAGAAAAGGATTTGAAAAAGGGAATGCAGGAGAAAGGCTTAGGAATAGTTGCATCTGCTGAGAAGTAGAGACATAGCGTTGTGCAGACATGCAGTGGATGAGCAGGAGAAGACACGCTGCCTGTTGTAGGACCTTTGGGAACAAGGCTCTTCCCTAGGGCGACCTGGGATATCATTAGTCCTTAAGGAGGGTTGTGTTTCAGAAAATCCTAGACACATTTTATAAAATGTGCATTCTTGGGCGATCCACTCAGACGCTCTGAGTTTGTATATCTTTGGGGGGTAGGAGTAACAGGGCAATCTTAGTTTGCAAACACCCAGGTGATTTTGATCTACATCTTGATTAAACACAATTGCCTTGGGAGGTAAGATGAATAAGCACAATTGAGCCAGTAGATAATTGGTTTATCTGTTTCCATAGTGTTGAATAAAGGATGGGTGATTCATCTTCCATGGTTGGGAGAGAGAGTTCAGGGCTTAGCAACAGTTCTGAGGATAGTCAAGGGAACACATTAAAGAATACGGTTTTAATCTGAGTTGGTCGGTGGAGGAAGAATTTTCCCAAACCCCAGGAGCTCTTTTTTTGTTGTTATCAACATCTTTATTCAGCATTACTTCACTCTTTAGCAAGATAGAAGTTAATGACAACTAAGAGTCTTAGGGAAAAAAAAAAGGCATTGAAGACCAATAGCGGTCCACAAGAACATGTCTGAGTAGTAATTGCTACTTTCCTTTCATCAATTTAACTTGCAGTCACTCAAGTAAGAACACTTGGAGTGGAAAATCTATTAATATTAAGGCCTGGGACTGGCTGGAAGCACAAACTGTGCGGAATGAGGGTTATAGCTGCCCATTTTTTCAGTGTTGTAACTCAATCTACTGAAGACATGGCAAAGAAACTAGAAAAGCTCTTCTCTTGATTTTTTATAAGCGGCATCAAATAGCCTGTTCCTAACAGATGCATGGTCCTGGTTTATTCTGAGAAAGACTTGGGATGGTGGTTTCTGATGGGCACAGCCTGAAAGATCTGAACACAGATGAACTAGGCCAATTCACTGCCAATCTCTTCAGATTATTTTTAAAAGTGCAAAAAAAAATGGTACTTCTACTTTCTCTGTTTCTTACAGAATTATGCAGTTTGGACAATGGCCATTTGGACTCACATAGAGGTGTCATCCTGTTACTGTGTGGTTTTGTTTGTTTGTATTATGCATTTTCAACCTCAAAGGAGGTGATTTCCAGAAAGCTACAGTTTAGCCATGCAGCCACCAGGGAGTGGTAGTGTGCAGCTTTAATGTGGCACCAACTACGTGGAGTATACTTTCTCTGGAATATAATATGGCCGCTCTAGTCCAACACTTACTTGCATTAAAACCTTTATTTTCCATACATTATTTTAATATCTTATTATAATAGTTAAAGCAAAATAAATGTGAAAACAGTTAATATTTTGCGAATAATATAAATGAACTTTGATCTGGTGATAACAAATATCTATCAAAAGCATGCCATTAACTTGGAACCGGTCAAAACACTTTGAAGCTGTAGCTCATTGAAAGATCTTGATGACCCTGTGAGGTAGGTACTATTAATGTTATTTTTTTTTAGATGAAGAAACCAAGTCACGGATAAATTAAATACAGATGCTTCTCAACTTACAATGAGGTTGCATCCTGATAGCCCATTGAAGGTTGAAAATGCATTTAATACACCTGGCCTGGCAAACATCACAGCTTAGCTTAGCCTGTGCTAAATGTGCTCAAACACTTACATTAGCCTATAGCTGGGCAACATTATCTAACACAAAGTGTATTTTATAATAAAGTATTGAATATCTCACGTACCATGTATCGCTAGATCTAGAAAAGATCAAAATTCAAAGTTCATTGAAACTGAGGCAGTTTTATGCTATTGTAAAGGTGAAACATTGTAAATGAAATCTTTCTTAAGTTGGAGACCTCCTGTAATATGAACAAATTACATGGCTAGATAGATTTATGAGTCATACTCAGGCGTCCTATCTACAGGGCCCCTACTATTAACGAAGCTACTTTGCCTCTATTCGACTTTTATTTCTCTCATGACTATTACTATACATTCTAACGCTAGTCTTATATACTAACTGTATACATTATAACTAACTGTAACATTTTGTTCAGGTTTATTTTCTTCTGGGTTTCCCACAATAATTAGCTTCACAGGATATTACAAGTAGCTATTACCCCTGAATGAGGATCTTTGGGACATCTGAAAAGTGAGCAAAGTGCTTCTAATACAAGGTTATATTAAGGAATTTAATTAATAGAAAATACTATACAACATATACGCTAACCATTTTATTGGTATTATTTACATTCGCTGCCTATTGATAGGAAAACCCACTGGGCAGCCTTAGTCATATTACCCAGAACTCAGATACCCTTTCCTTTCCACTGGGGGCGCAAGACTGATGATAGACTTTTGGCTTCAGTTTCCCAATGGTTATGGGACTCTATAAAATACATTAAGTCTCACAAGGAGCCAGTATTTCTCTGGTTTCTTTGTTGTTGTTGTTGTTTGTTTGTTTATTTTTTCATGGAACTATGAACTGTCTGCTAGAACTGGCCCTCTATCCTGGCTTCCCTGTCTTATGGAATGCAATCCTGTTGCTTTCTGTCTTATGGAAGCTGTAGGTTGTATAGTAGCTTCTGTCTGCTTTAAAATCTCCTGTCTGTCAGAGGCAAACATGTGACCAAAATCCTCTTGTATATCTCTAGAAGGAAAACAAGAATGATAGACATGTAGTTGTAAATGTATATATTTACTTCTGCTGGTAGTTCCTGTTTTCTATTTGCAATGCCTTTTCTTTACTTAGGCCATTCATGTTGAAGGTTCCAGGGATCTTTCTGATGACTCTGTCCTTCAACTCCCTGGAACTATAATAGCCCCTATATTCCAGAACTGATATAAAATTCAAACTTTGTATCTTCCTCTAAATCCTGTCCAGACACTGGAATAGTCCAGCTTTGAACTACCCTAGTATCAAAGTCTCACATAGTGGTGTCCCCTCCAGTCCAGGTGTGAGCACGGCAGTCTAGGGAATCTTTTCTGTGACTGAACTTCTTGGTGCACTGTTTTAAAATAATGCTGTCATGGTGCAGCCCCAGTGTGACTCACCTCCCAGGATTTACGCCCTTGTGTATTCCCATCCCGCATTGAATATGGCTGGCCTTTTCACCCCATGGTATAGCGTGGAAGTGAGGATGCGTGACTTCTGAGGCTAGGTCAGAAAATATACTGTGCCTTCTGCCTTACTCTTTCCTGGATCACTCACTCTGGAGCAAGTCAGCTGCCGTGTAATGAGGACACTCGAGCAGTCCTGTGGGGAGACTCCCACAACAAAGACCTGAGGCCTCCTGTCAGCCCCTGTGCCAGCTTACCAATCACGTGAGTGAGCCACCTTGAAAACAAGTCCTGCAGCCCTAGTCAAGCATGTGGATGACTGCAACTGCCCAGCTCAGCTGCTTCCAAGATGCACAGAAAATGTGGCACACACATTTAGAGGTAATTGTTTATGCGGTAATAAATGACTAACATATAGAGAGTTCTCCATCCTCAACTAGTTTCTTGCTGCCAGAAGCCATTTGGCAATCCCTATGATTAGTTTGCTGTAATCACAGAAGTATTTTCTATGACTTCTCCCTCTAGGAAAGGGGTTAAATTGACTTTTCTCCTACACCCAAATTCACCTCTTAGGCCTATAGCTACTGGACTGATTTGCATAGGATACTGAGATTACTTATCTACCAAGCAATACTCAGTTCCCACTAGCAATAACCTTGGATGCTGGATTATTTTAAGAAGTTTAAAGAGGCCATATTCACTGTAAAATATAGGTAGAGTAAGAGTTTCTGCTGCATAGTGGGAAAAAAATCTTTAGGTTTAGAGTCGGGCATATCTGTTTTGAATCCATCATTGGCCACTTATTAACAGTGACTCAGAAGTTGCCTTGCACAAATTATGGAATATATCTGAGCTTCAGGTCCCCCATTGTAAAACAAGGATAGTATCTTGCATGGCTATGTGAAGATTTTAAATGATATACCTTTTAAAATCAATCTCACAAAACATAGTGCCATACAGATAATGGGAATTTAATAAATCATAGCCCCCATTAATAGTAAAAGAAGATCTTCGACAACAGACTGAAATTGAAAAACCAACTTATTTTGGGACAGAGATGTCCCAGGTGGTTCCAAAGTGGGAGAGGAGGAAAAGCCTTCTTTCATTTAAGGTAGGGCTTGAAGAACAGCCAGTGTCTCAGCAGTGGAGCGAGAAGGATGGCATCTTAGGCCTAGTGTTAGAGAGGAGGAAAGGGGTCACTTGTTTTAGGATGAAGTTGGGGCAGAAAGTAGTTCAACTGGGCTCCAGCATGGGAAATATAGAGAAAGCAATAGATGGTACACTGGGAGAGGTCAGGAAAAGCCATGGTGAAAAGCCTTGGCTTTTCAACATTGGCACTATTGACACTTTTGGCTGGATACATCTTTATTGTGGGGGACTGTCTTGTGCATTGTAGGACGTTTAACAGCATCTCTGACCTCTACCACTAAATGCCCTTAGCACCTACCTCTTACCATTCATGACAGACAAATGTATCTTCAGGCACTGCTAAATGTTTCCCTGGGGGCAAAAATTGCTCCTGGTTGAAAACAATTGCCTTAGTCTAATATTCTCACCTTTGCTGAGAACGTCACTGGCACTCAGAGAAGATGCTTGCCTGGACCAAAGACACACAGCCTGACACTGCTGAACCAGGTCCAGATGCTCCAAGTGCTTCATCCCTCTCTACACGCTTGAAAAGCAGCCAGGTAGTCTTTGCCAGAGTAAGTGGAATGAGAAAGAAATAGATTATTAAAGAGACTTAGGTGTAAAGGAGCAAAAGGCATCATTAGTCTGGACAGGGAGAGTCACGGATGTCATCTTATTTAAAAAGCATTAATGTGAGTATTAAAGGAGTCGACACCAGGAAGTGTCCAGCATGGTATGTGGTGCCTTGTAAGTGACCAGAAACGATGCTTTCTCCTTCCTTTCCTGATGATAATTTGGGCTTAATTCAGTGGGCCATGGGGAGCTGCAGGACACTTTTTATAGGTCAGTGCATTATCATAGTGGGAAAGTGACATTCTACCTGAAGCTCATGGCTTTTGTTTTATCCTAGGAATATGTCTTATCTCTAGGGGACATATGCCCCCAGGGACTGGCATGGCGCCTGCTCCCTAAACGTCCTCAATTACCATTTCCACCCATCAAGGAAGTTACTCTCTCCAGAAAAGATCAGGACATAATGAGTCCTATGCTGAGTGATTAAAACAAATGATACTGCAGTCCAGCAAGGTGGCAGGGCAGTGAGGAGGTGGCTGAAGTGATTGGCTCCCCTTAAATGCAGCTCAATTTTGAATAATACAGCTGCTTACCCAATAGCTGCCTGAACACAAACCTTTGGCAGCTGGTCACCCTCCAGTGCCTTCGGGATGGGGTCACCAAGGGCTGACACACTTTCTGAATTGAAGCAGTGGACTGTGAAATAGGAATTACTGACAGCTCTTAGGTATATCAAGAGAACAGCCCTATTCCTTAATACAGAGCCACTAATAGACATCTAGAAACCTATAAAACAGACAATTCCTCTATATCATCCTAGTTAAATCAATGTACTTATATTACCCTCATCATTTTCCCTTTAATGTTTATTACATTTTGCCACAGTAATTTATTTTTTCATATCCATCAGCCGATTAAAGACTTTATTCTGAAGATACACACATCCTTGTGACCTAGTTGAAACTGACCTAAACTGTTAAGTAAAAAGCAATGCGGTGTTTGGTGGGGGAAGTTACCTTCTCTCTTTCTCTCTCTCCCCGCACCATCCTCCACCTCCTTTCTTCCCCTCTCCCCTCTTCCTTTTTCTGTGTAGCACTTCCGTTGTTCTAGGGGAGTGAGATTTCCAGTGATGTAAGCTTATATTTTTTGTACTCTTCCTTTCTAGGCATTCAGACAATTTGCTAACCTCCCTGAATGTCTCTTTTCTCTGGTGTTGTGTTAGTTCCTCTCTTAGTGTGTCCCTTTCCTGCTTTTTGCCCCCGCTCTTCCCCCCTCCCTGTAACCCTGTGTCTTCCTGAATGACACGTGATTTCCTGATAGGGAAGATATTCAAGACTTGAAAGACCCACTGGCCGTGGTAGACTGGAAGATGCAGGAGTGCTCACCTTGACCACATGCTGCACCTGCTGGCAGCAAGAAAGAAGCCTCAGTGCATCTCTGCCTTTGGAGCCACAGCTAGAGGACATTACAGAATAAAGAGATGGTTGAATTCAGTATATAATTTAAGTCACATTCCCCCAGAAAATGCCCGCGCTTCAAATGCCATGTTATCACTTCTTTGAGGTGAAACTTACAATTGGAAAAACAAAGCACATGTGCCCTCTTAGAGGATTACAGTATGAAGTTGTCATCATTTGCTAACACCATAATTTATCATTAAGTTTGAACAAAAAGTGGAATTGTATAACTTTGGAAGAAAATACCTGGGTACATAGAGTAGTCTGCTGATGGATTGAGGTGGGCATAGACATCAGTGTAGCTAGTCGAAGTTGGGAAGTTCAGAGAGATTCTGGGCAGTTAAAGAGAATCAGGAGAGCTCTGACCTGGACAGAGGCTGAAGACAGGAACACTTTGCTCAAATAGACGGCCCACTTTTTCCTTGGGGCAAGGTGTTTCTGAGCATTATGCTATGGTTCTTAAACTTCCTTAGCTACAGAATTCTTTTTGAAGTGGACTCTAATGGCGATGACTAATATGCAAACGAGGAAAATCTCAAGCTTCTGTGATTGGGGAAGAAGTAGACAAGGGAACCCAAAGGGAGCTTTGCAAAATTTGTAACCTGAAAACCTCTGAAACCTTCTGACACCCAGGTTACCTCCCTTCATATCCCATATGGAAAGGTTTCCAGTCCAATCTTAACCTTCCTTATTAAAGAGAGAACCCCCATACATTTATAAGCATGAGGAAGTGGAACCTCAGCCAGTTGCTGAGTTTGGCTGTTTGAGAGATTTTTCCTACCTTGAATTCACTCAATCAGGCAAACTGTCATTCATCCTTCAAATTCAATCCAAACATCATCTCCAGAAATCTTTCTCTCAATTCTGAGTCTGATTAAAACAGGTGCATCTCTTCTTTGCTCTTATAGCACCTTTGTGTATGATTCTACTGTAACACTTATGTTACCCTCTTGAGATCATCATTTTGAATGTTTGTCTCTACCCCTGGCCTCTGGGCTTCTAAAGTGAAAGGCAATAAAGGTACTGGTTGACTTGGAATTTCTGGCACATACTGGACTTTGTGGTCTATGGCTGGTTCTCAATAAAGTTTTGCTGAGAAAATGAATGAATGAATGAATAACATTTGGTGACTGTATTTAATTCGATCGTTTTAGATGACAGACTCTAACAAGTAGCGCCTGTATTCCAGCACCTGGACTCTACATACCATTTTTTTTAAAGCAGGACATTTGTATTACCAATGCATTAAACTATCCTTTGTCTTCCTGCACTATACCACGTCTACCTCATTCCTTGAGTAAATACTTTGCCTTGTGGTATTTGTCATCAATTTTCTATGGCATTTACTTATGTTCCAACTGGGGCATGTGTGTTGTGTAAACATCCCCTTGTCATATACATTTCTTGGTGATAGTCCTCTGGAACCATTTATAAACTGTAATTAATTTGTGCCAGAGCTTTGCTGAGGTGAAATGGGTGCCTTTAATCCTTCCTTTGCACATGGAGAACTGGAGAGATGAAATGATTTAAAAGTAACCATGTCTTAGATCAGTGTTTGGGATTGGTAAAGGGATTTAGTGCTTCCTAGGCTTACGCTTTAGCCTCCAGGTCCTGCTGCCTCAGATAAATTGCATTTTTTTTTTTTTCAGGGAAACCACAGTCATAACATTTTGCTTACACAGAAATCCTGCCCATAGTCAAAACCTCCCATAGACAACCTAAATTCAGCCACCCACATCCCCATTCCACAAATATAATATTTTCAGGGTCCTTTGGCTTTTTTATCCAGGATATTTTTTCCCATAGGAGTTCTTTGCCATTAAATATGTAACAGAATCTTGCCAAAATTCATCATATGATTTTGATAATAAGAAAATTAAATGACTGGAACAGAAGACATCCACACAGTCTGTTTCTCAGTTTATCCTGAAACGAAATGCAGTCTCAAATCTTAACCCTAACTGGAATCCAAAGAATGAAACATTTCAGAAAATAAGCTAATTTCATAAGCTAACAATTTAATCAATATCATCTAACTTTAAGATCAGCCAATCAACAATATTAACAGTTTAATCTTTACCTGGGCTTTGATCCACCTTTTGGGATATACATATTCCTAGTTATTTTCTGGTCTACATTGATATATTTATATTCATGCCAGCTGTTATGGATATGGATACTTGAAAGCAATTAACAGCCAGCTGCCTTAAATCATTTTCCAAATAAAGCAGCATAAATAAACATGTATTCCTCAACTGTGGTTCCCAGACACCTCATGATACCTCCCACTATTTCAATGAAGATTTAAAGGTCTACCCTTAGAATAATAACTACTAACCTACATCGAGCCCGCACTGTGTGTCTGGCAGTGCTCTATGCCCTCAACACACAAACTCAAGTCTTCCTTATAACCACATGGGAAATCAGGTAATTTGAAGCTCATCCCAGGTTACATCAATGGTAAATGTATGCTTTTGAATTTGAACACAGGCAGTCTAGTTACAGAGCTTGTATATCAAAATACCTTATAATAATGATAATCTTAGAATTGGCCGACTTTTGGGGGACTTGCTATTCAAAGTGGGGTTTATAGAGCAACAAGATCAGCATCAGCTCAGAGCTTCTCAGAAATGCAGCCTCTTGGTTTTTCCCCAGACCTACCAAACCATGATCTCCATTTTACCAATTGTAACACTTTATTTTCTTATGTTTGATTTTTAATTTTCTTATCTTTTCTTATTTCATGTTTTAGAATCACTTGTCTAGTTGTGCCATCTCATAGCCAAACTAAGAAGTCAAAAGGGCCCAGAAGTATTTGAAGGAACTTTTTCTTTTTAAAAACTACCATATGTACAGGAACACTGTGTTTTCTATGTATAAAATGCTACGTCTAACCATGAGAAATTTCGTGAGTGATCCTAAAGTACATCATGTTAGCAGATGGCCTTGGGGAAATATATCCTTTAGTTACACATCAGTTTCTGAGCTTCCATATTTGTTTCTTTGATTCTGTCACTCATTAGCAAGAATAAGAATTGCCTGAGGAATAGGTTTGTTGGTAACACCAGTGTCTGTTAGTTAAGAATATGTGTCAGAAATATATCCATTCAGTGGGGTTGAAGAGCATGAGGGAATTGAGCTGAGTCAATTCAAGGCTACTGTACTAGTATGGATTCTGGGTCTTGAATATTTCAGACAATCCAGACTGAGTTGTCACTGAGTATCGCAAGTGGCAATTAAAATGGGACTATCTAGGGTTTTTCCACTGATGTGTGGACAAAATAATGCTGCTGAACCTGTTTTAAAGATTGCCCTTATATTAATAAATTATCTTTATCTGTAGTTATGAACACTTTAAATAGGATTATAGATTAGGAAGGATCTTTAGAGATCATCAGCCCTATCAAAGTCCTGTTCTCTGAGCAGCCGGTGAATGTGAAAGTCCATGTTTATCTGAATACAAGCCCTGTGCTCTTTCCTCTTTGTCCTCTTTGCTTTCTTACCAAGTATAGAATTACTTTGGTTTCTTTTTTTTTTTCCTGTGAAACTGTTGTTTATATCTCTTGAACCTCAGGCAAGGGCAATCAGAATGTACAAAGTAATGGAACAGAGCTGAGAGCTGAGTTGGGATGAAAATGAGAAAAAAGGAAACACATATTTTCTTCCCCCTTTAGGTTTAGAAATGGGGTTGAACTCTTAATAAGATTTTTTGCATCTTGTTATATAATCATTAGATTTTTGAAAGTGGAAGAGACCTCTCTGATTATATATTACAAACAAATAATTTTATAGTTGCAAAAATGGAAATCCAGGTAGGTCAAATGACTTGCCAAGCTGATTTGTGAAAGAACCAAGCATAGAACCCAGATATTCTTACACCCAAACCAGATTTTCCATTAACTCACACTCCCTTTTTTCTTTAAGTAAACCACAAGTCACTTCTCTAGTGATTTAATGCACTGGAAAACGGACCAGAAACACTTTGGTACATTTTATATTCATTAGCTAATGTGTATGAGAGGCCTCAGAAAGACTGGGCCTGCTTACTTCAATGTTTTTCTCTAGCTTAGCCCATTTCTGACCACCCAGCTCCTCTTTCAGAGTCCTAAGGCATTTGTTAGAGTTGAAAGGGGATTTAGAAATCATCAGTCCAAAAACTATCAAGCTGCATGTTTCAGAAGCTGATCTTTCAAAGGAGATGCTTTAAGAGACACCTGTCTCTGGTGCTTGAGTGGGTGAGTCACGTACTTTAACTAGAACATCTTCACTTTCCTCGGTATTACATATGGTGCGTGTGTATAAGATGCTGTTTAGGCCGGGCGCGGTGGCTCACGCCTGTAATCCCAGCACTTTGGGAGGCCGAGGCGGGCGGATCACGAGGTCAGGAGATCGAGACCACGGTGAAACCCCGTCTCTACTAAAAAATACAAAAAAAAAATTAGCCGGGCGCAGTGGCGGGCGCCTGTAGTCCCAGCTACTTGGGAGGCCGAGGCAGGAGAATGGCGTGAACCCGGAAGGCGGAGCTTGCAGTGAGCGGAGATCGCGCCACAGCACTCCCGCCTGGGCGACAGAAAGAGACTCCGTCTCAAAAAAAAAAAAAAAAAAAAAAGATACTGCTTAAAAATGTATTCTCTTAAGAAAAAAAAAAAAGATATAATGGACCAAGTCAGCCCTCTTGCTTTTCCAACATATTTCAGGTAAGACATTTTGAGTCCCAACTAGGGGAAAGAAACTCATGCAAGGTTACGCAGCTCAATTTCACTATGAATATGATGAGAAACAAGCACAAAAAAAACATATTTCCTCAACCTAAAAATCAGGACACAAGGTCTGATAAGTCTAGGTACACTTATGGAGACAACGGGCCAGAATATTTGAAATTGAGACCATCCCAGAAAACCCATAATATACGGTCACTCCAGGAATAAGGCAAGAATAATTCCTGACTCCAAGACTAGCTTGAGTGACAGGTGAATGAACTATGGTATAGAGTCACAGAGGGTGACCGCTACTTCTTTCCTATTTTCTGCATTCTTTGATATATGATAGGACCTGCCAAATCCTATTGATTTCAGTGATGATTTCTGTATTAAGATCTATACTTCAATGGCTCCTTTGGACTTCTTGGGCAGGCTAGACTCTCAGCTTCTGGAATGCTTTGGGAAAGTGGGCATGATTCAGTAACGAATCTGACTTCTGATAAATCAGGTAGGGGCAAGCCTTATGGTATGGCAGCAACTACGGTTTTAATGCCAGTAGTGGTGGGCAGCCATAGACAATATACGTGTCCCTTAAAGTTTGTAAGAGCTTCGAATTGCCACAGCATGAGGTACTCAAGGAACATGCCTTAGAAAATAAATGAGTACATACAACAGAATGTGTAGTACTGGCACAATAGTCTCTCAGCCTGGCTGACTCTGCTCAAAACACGGCACCGTTGTGCATTAAATATGTTACTTATATAATGATACACATCATCTTTAGAGCTCAGATCTCAGCAAATATAATGGCCGTCAGAAGGCAGTGAATGTGCTTTGGAAGATTGCTGTGCTGGTCCAGTTCACAGGCCAGCTTAGGCAGCCAAGAGAATTATTTTTATTCTGCATAGTTCATAGTGGTTGATCCTTCTCATCAGGAAGGCCTTCCATTTTTCCCTTTCTCTGAGTGTTTTCTGTTTTGTTTTTGTTACTTTGCTTTTTTTCTCTTTAGAAAAAGCTTGTTTAAGGGAATGTTACACAAAGCTCAAATAAATGTCATTACTTCAAAAGCCTGGCTTTCTCTAGCTGATAAGACCAGGTCCAATTTTTCTCTGTCTAGCATTTGGGCAAACCCTGCTTCCTCCAACTTAAGGATGCAATTCAAATCACTACAAAAAAAAAAAAAAAAGGAGATTAAATAAAAAAGAACAGAAACTTCATAATTAGGGATCTTGTCCTTGAGGCAGTTAATCCCATGGTATTTTGGGCCACTGAATCAGAAAGCCAGAGCTGTGAACCCTGAAGCTGCACAGGATCCTACACTTGGAAGGGCTCCGTTCTTGGCTTAATGCACTGTTGCTGTTATCTTGAAATTCTTAAGAGTTTATGAAAAAGGTTCCCTGCATTTTCATTTTGCACTGAGGCTTACAAATTAAGTATCCAACCCTATGGCAAACCCCATGGACATTCTTTGAGACATTTAGGGTTATACTCGATTACCATTTCCACACTGCATGGGTGAAAGCTCATGAACTGCAATTAGACACCTTTTTCACTTGCTAGCTCTTTGATTTAGACAAGTTCCCGCTTCTTTCAGTGCCTCAGTTTTTTTATCTTTAAATGGGGATGGCAATATGACTTATCGCATAACTTTATTTGGAAGATTCACTGTAACAATGTACCTACAACTCAGCTTAGCAATTGTTAAGAGTATGATCTCAGCAAACATTGGTTAAATAAATGAACAGAGATAAAACTATCTCACAGGCTCCTGGGCTATCTGTGGAACTTTGTCTGAAAAACAAAAACAAACAAACAACAACAACAACAAAAAACAACCTCTTGAATTCTCAGGAGACTAAAATATACTTCTTCCATCCTGCTGTCTGTCTTTTTCCACTTTACATGTTTTATCCTTTGAAGACCTCACAGAATGGTCAAGGAGTCAGCAGACTTTATTTTTAAAGATGAAAAGTGTGGGAGCCTAAAACATAGACCAAACTGACCAATGAGAAACTCTTGTAACAGGCTGGGATCTTGAAGATGCTTCTACTGTTTTTTTCCTCGGTGCCAGCCTGCATCGAGACTCCACATCAGTCCTTGCAATGGTGGGTGGAGAGGGCACACTGTTTTGGGTGTGTATGCCCATGGAGAAGCATTTATTTAAGAGAATAAGCATGGCTTTAGTTTGCCTCTTTCCATCTGTGTACTCTTGATCCCATTATGGACACTGAAGGATTTAGTAGGATTTATCATTTAGTCATGTCTGTCAGTGTTTAAAAATTCGTGACCTACAGACTCTAGTCTCAAACCGGCCAAAGAAGTAATTTTAAAATAGCTCAAGGCCTTAGAAGGGAATATATGGACAATGACCACACTAATAAATACTAGGGGATACGGAGACCACAAAAAAAATTCCCGAACTGCCTTTTCTCCCCCATTATGTTAGGCCATTTTTGCATTGCTATAAAAGAAGACCTGAGACTGGGTAATTTTTAAAGTTTTATCATTTAAAATTTTTTATCCTGTTCAATTAAATCAAGAGGTTTAATTGGCTCACAGTTCTGCAGGCTATACAAGGATGGCCTGGCATTTGCTCAGCTTCTGGGGAGGACTCAAGGAGCCTCATGGTGGAAGGTGAAGCGGGAGCAGGTGCGTCAGATGGCAAGAGAAGGAAAAGGTGGCTGGGGAAGCCAAACACTTTTAATCAACCAGATCTTGCAAGAACTCACTCACTAACATGAGTACAGCACCAAGCCAAGAGGGATCTGACCCGGTGACTCAAACACCTCCCAACAGGCTCCACGTCCAAAACTGGGGATTACATCTCAACATGAGATTTGTGGAAAGACAGACATCCAAACTACAACACCCATCCACTTCCATCCCTTCCTGCATCCTCCCATCCTTCCCTTTGCCTCCCAGTTGTGGCTTAAGTACTATTTGTTTCTCTTCCATTTCTCCTTCTTTCATAATTCTTTACTAGAAAAAGCCCAAAAGAGTTATAAAAGAGTTATTGTGACAAAGCATGACTCTTCTTAGAAGACTGGAAAATAAAATAATTGAGATGTTGATACCAGAGTTCACTTCTGAGAACAGTGGAGGAAAATGTCTATGATATATTAAAATATATATCCTGTCACATATAATTAAAATAAAATCTATTATAGTGGTTCACCTACTCTATGGAAGACACTAAAGTTGTGTTGTAAAAACTTCATCCTGCTTATTTTCATAACAATTCTATAAGAGAATATTAGTGGGTTGCAGATTTATTCATCACTACAGATAACAGTCAAACCAAACCTAAGATAAGACAACTCCAAAGTTCATGATATATTTATTCAATTTGCAGCAGTCATTCAAGAAAACTTACCTGTGTGGCTACCGTGTGTAAGACTTTCTAATGGGTCTTGTGAGACTTGACAGAGATAAGTAAGACGTGGGTTTCGACTTCCAGGAATTTAAAATCAAATACAAAAGATTAGGCATGAGCAAAAAGGTTTGAAATAAGTCTGGGAGAGGTGGCTCACCCTTGTAATCCTAGCACTTTGCGAGGCAAAGGAGGGAGGCTCTCTTGAGTCCAGGAGTTCAAGACCAGCCTAGGCAACAATGAGAGGCCCCGACTCTCCCAAATATATACACACACACACACATACATACATATATACAGATATATACACACACATATATATATACATATATACACACCTATATATGTGCCAAGTTATACTTGGCTAATATTTTTCATATATATATATACACACACAGATATATACATCATATATACACGCATATATACATATACACACATATATACATGTATATATACATGTATGTATGTATTTTCATATATATGTATATATGTGTGTATATATGTGTGTGTATATATATATATATATATATATATATATGAAAAATATTAACCAAGTATAACTGCACATACCTGTAGACCCAGCTACTTGAGAGGCTGAGGTGGGGAGATTGCTTCATCCTGGGAGGTCAAGGCTGCAGTGAGCCGTGATCACACCACTGCACGTCGGCTTGGGTGACAAAAGGAGACCCTGACTAAAAAAAAAAAAAAGTCTGCAGTATAAAAAGTTCATAATAAGTGCAGTGTGAGCAGCACAGACAACATATGCAACACACAGTGATATTCTTTTATGAGAGAAATCTAAGCTCAGTCATTTGGAATGTCTTCCTCAGAATTACACAGGACAGAATCACATTATGGAGCCTGGAATTAAAAGATGTTAGTTACCAACATAATGAAACATGTATGTGTGGATGCCACTTCACGCAGAAAGTAATTCGTCCAGTGCTTATTTTTGCATGGTTTATATCCTCCTGTTTGAAAAAATGAAATACATTTTATCAAATATTCTTCTCAACTGCTTCCAAATATAATTCCTTCCAACTTTTGGGTTTAATACAAGCCTGGCTCATTTTGCAGTTTATACCTCTGGAAATACCTGGAAGGAGTTGGGAAAGCAACAGATTAAGTATTGGCTAGTTTGCAACACTCTATGGCCCAAGGTAACTATTGCATTCAGTTGATACTGTGCTTCTGCTGTCCTGGAGCTGGACTCAGGCCCTGTACTCTGCAAATTGTGTCCTTTCCGCATTGTCTCAATTAATTAGGGACAGGTATGGGGCTCTAGCAAAGATTTTGGTAGAATTTAAACTTAAGTTGAGCCTTAAAGGATGACGATGTGGACTTTGGTAGATATAGAAGGGAGGTGAGTGAGGGCACTCAGAGGAAGACAGTGTTTCAGAAAAGGCTAGGGGAGAGGTTCCCAAAATGTTCCCCAAATAATTAATAATGCATTTATAGCGTGGGTGGGTAAATATGGTCATGAGATAAAGATTAGAGAGGTAGATTGAGTACATTTTGTGAAAATTGAAATAAAAGGCTGTGAAATTTCACATTTTTTAAATTTTAGGAGATGGAGAAACATTAATTTTTAAAGAAAGAACTGATAGATATCAGTTTCAAGGAAATAACAGCAATCAGGAGTGCTCAGTGAAGTTGGGAAGCTTGGGACAAACAGTGGTGTTTACCCATTAAGCATCTTCTACAAAGTCTGAGTAAGTGATATGCATGCCTGGTTTAGGCCAGTGCCTGATTCCAAGTTCTGCCAAATTTTAGTGAGCCACGCTGGGACTTCCAGCTAAGGATACCTTAATATAAAAGGAGGTCTAATTTGTTTTGTAAAATCTAGCTCAGGGAGTTGGAGTGGCAATACTAACAATAACAATGGCATTACTCATCGTTAAAATATGCTCTGTGTACTCCATAGCATGCTCTAGACACTCTGCAGAACATTTTACTTGGCAGTCAACTTTATGAATCAGGTATTGTTATCCCTATTTTATAGGTAGGAAAATCAAGACTTGAAATGGCTAATTAACCACTGACCACTGTTGCTGAACCCAAGTTTATACAGCTGGAAAGCAAAAGAGCAGGGCTCAGCACCCAGGCACTGAGAGAGGAACCTGTTTTCTACCCCTGCGTTGTGAAGTCTTCAATAGCTAAAGCCATGACATCATGGCTCTGTCATATGAATATGGTTTTAAATCCCATTCCTTTTAACATTACCAGGCATGATATTTTAGACGATTCATTCAACAACATCGAACCTCATTGTCCCCCTCTGTAATAGTGTCTTTGTAGGGGTTTTGAAAGTTAAAATTGCTAATATGTGTGAAATTTCTAGCAAGATAAATATTTCAATCAGACGAAGAACCAGCTTTGAGATTCCAGGCAGTAAGCAATACTGAAATCCTGACAACGTGATGGTAGTTGATCGATTAGTTTGTCACAATCCTCCAGCAAGTCACTGGGGAAGAGGGTAGGAAGGCAGTCCTGTGCCCACTTGGCTGAGGGAGGGGACTGTCCAGGGACAGCCAGGTGCCATTACATCAGTTCACTTGGCTAATATACGAGGAGGATTCTATCAGAGAAATGTCTGTATAAAAGTTCAATCATGGTGGCTCATACCTGTAATCCCAGCATTTTGGGAGGCCGAGGTGGGCGGATCACCTGAAGTCGAGAGTTCAAGACCAGCCTGACCAACATGGAGAAACCCTGTCTCTACTAAAAATACAAAATTTGCCAGGCATGGTAATGCATGCCTGTAATCCCAGCTACTCGGGAGGCTGAGGCAAGAGAATCACTTGAACTCAGGAGGCAGAGGTTGCGGTGAACCAAGATCATACCATTGCACTCCAGCCTGGGCAACAAGAGCGAAACTCCGTTTTAAAATAAATAAATAAAGTTTAGTCATACCGATTAATGAGGCAACAGAGTAGGGCCAGGAGGAAGACGTGAGGGCAGCATTTGTAAATATGAAGGCGCATGGACACTCAAGTCACAATAGGTACACTTTATGTTGGAAGGATTAATTCCAGAATCTAACATCTAGAGTAGTGTGGTGCTACTACTCCCAAAGTCAAAGAGACCTTTGAGTCTATGGCCAGAAGCATTTGAAGAGAAAGGGAGCATAATTTTTCTAGTGTAGGGAGTCAGAAATAAGGTATCTCCATAAGGACTCAGACAGCTGTGATTTAGCCATTGTTCCCATTTTCAGGAATGCATTCCCACCAGCACACACACACACACACACACACACACACACACACACATCCAACATGCACATGTAGAACTATGTCTCAGAGAATCAGATCGGCTCAGGCACCCTAGAACTGATTCTACAGGAGAAAGGAATACAAATAATGGCAAAATGCGATAAACACATTTAATCACCTGTGTCCACTTGGGTACTTTGGCAGTGCCTGACTCTCTGCCTCCAGAAGGACTCTGAGCCCTCAGCTTGGAGTTTAGCATCACTCACTATTGCTTTATCTATTTATTTATATGTTTATGTCTCTCTTTCCCAGTAGAACGTTCATTCCATAAAGAAAGGGCGTCTTTTGTCACTTTCATTGCTGTACCTCCAGCATGTGGCACAGTTGCTACTCGATAAATAACCATTGAATGAATGTATGAAAATGCTTTTGGGCATATTTAGGTCACTGTCTTCTTTTATTCTAGAGTATAAATAATAAAAAAAAGTTTCAAAGTTTTAAAAGTGAAACCTTAAACTTAAATATGGCCCTACCTGCTCTCTGCTCCTCCTCCCCCTTGAAGATTAAATTACCATTTTGTCAAGAGCCTTTGACTGAGGTTAGAATTTGTTCTATAGGTGTAAGGTAGGTTTTAGAGTTGTTTGAGGAGGAGATTGGCATGGCAAATAGATCTCTCCTTTAAAAATAAAACTTTGGAAAGAGAATGCAGCACTCGTTGGAAGGAAAAGGGATTGGAAGCTTGGAATCCAGTTAGGAAGCTATTACGATGTGGTGAATGCGAAAACAAGTGGATGTTGGGACAGGTTGGTGGTGGTGGATGGATGCTTGAGGAGCTGCATGGCTCTGTGTAGAATGCACTATTTTCCTCACTTAATAATAATAACAGTAATACTAATAAAGACAATAATAATACTAAATCACAAAATAACCAAAATTTATTGAGTGTCTATTCTCCACTCAGGACTCATCTACAAGTTTAGGGAGATTAAGGAAATTGTCCAAGTTTGCACACCTATTGGCAAAGGGGCAAAACTGAAATGTAGATTTAAGTGTTCTGATTCTAAATCCAGAATCTTTTCTGCCATATTACAAAAAAAACCTTAAAGTACAAGATGTGTACTTTATAAATACAAATACATATCACTTGCAAAATGTATTTTGATTTTAAGTGAGATGTGAGCTTCTGGAAGGCAGAAGCAATTTCTGTCTTTTATTTGTTTTTTTAAAATCTCAAAACACAGAGCCACATCTTTGGGTATGTGTGTATGTGTGGAGTACGTGTGTATGTATGTATGTGTGTGCATGTGGCTCTCTCAGATGACTACGCCAGTCTACATATTAACAGGGGTCCATGGAGACAGACGCCTCATCCAAGAGCAAAGCCCTTCTTATGGGCAAACTCTCTGTTGGTGTATTAGTCTGTTCTCACGCTGCAAATACAGACATACCTGAGACTGGGTAATTTATAAAGGAAAGAGATTTAACTGACCCACAGTTCCACATGGCTGGGGAGGCCTCTCAATCATGGCGGAAGGCAAATGAGGAGCAAAGGTATGTCTTACATGGCGGCAGGCAAGAGGGAGCATGTGCAGAGGAATTGCCCTTTATAAAACCATCAGATCTCATGAGACTTATTCACTATCATGAGAACAGCATGGGAAAGGCCCACCCCCATGATTCAATTACCTCCCACCAAGTCCCTCCCACAACACAGGGGAATTATGGGAGCTACAATTTGAAATTTGGGTGGGGACATTGGTAAATCATATCAGTTGGGCAGTAGGAGTCTATTTTGAGGGTTCGTTGGGGGGGTCTTCATTTAACCCTCAAATCACAGGTTGAAATTCACATGCAGAGCTCTCAGGCCTCTTAACACACTTCTCTCCATTTGGGTGGGGGAAGATGGAGGCGTTGTGGACTGAAAGGGGTGATGCTGGGCACTGCTGGTGCTCGGTGAAATCTTTAATGTGTCCTCAAAAGCTGACTGCTCTGTGCTCTCTTCCTTTCTGCCTTGCTGTTTACTTTACACAGCAGTTGCTTTTTCTCCTGACTCTGCATGAGACTCCAGGAATAAAGAAGCTTAGAAGAGAAGGTGGGATTTGTACAAGGCCTTTGCATGAGGAGGGAGCCAGTTAGGATGAGAAAACAGTCGCCCTCATCAGGTGTACCCACAGAGGCCCTTTGCTGAGGCCTGGGCTCACAGCTTCCTTTCTTCCCCACTCCCACCCCTTTTGCGCCTCCCTCATCTCAATTGCTTTGAACCAGCCTCCTTTGTGGACATTTACAGACAGACCCAATCAAAACCTTGTTTAGAGATTTGCAGAGGTGAATTCTGGAGGCCTTTTATTTGCATGGTGGGTGCTGTGCTTGGTTCTGCCTGACAGAGAAGAGAATGGGAAGCTCTCAGACAGCTATCAGGTCTCATGGGTACATAGGATTTTGCACTTAGTCCAGGGGGACAGATAAGCTCTGGTTTTAGTGCAGAATCTCTGGGCCCATTATTGAAGCTCCAGACCCAAGGTATAGATCTAATTTATTTTAGGAAGGAAACTGGTGTTTACCTTTTCCTCTCTTTTTTTTCTTCCCAGGACAATATTTTAAAAATATAATTATACATATTTTTATTTTCTACTGATTATCTCATTCCTTCTACCTGCCTCCCCATGGAAGCAGATAATTTCTAGCAGATAATCAAGTTTGGATATGGCTCAGGGGGGGTTGTGACAGGGCACATAGCAAAAAGTAGCCTGTGAATCTCGGGACTTTGGAGTTTCCAAATTCCCAAACTATTAAGCAGACTATATGCTAATATTATACCATTATATATAGTATAGTACAGGTTGAGTATCCTTTATCTCAAATACTTGGGACCAGAAGCATTTTGGATTTTGGGGGGGATTTCAGAATATTTGCATTACATGTACTGGTTGAGCATCCCAAATCCAAAAACCTGAAACTTGTAATGCTCCAAAAAGCATTTTATTTGTGTGTTATGTCAGCACGAAAAATTTCAGATTTTAGGAAATTATGGATTTTGAATTTTTGTATTTGGATTGCTCAGCCTTCATGTACTATGAAATAGCGTCTGAGAAGCATAAACATTACTTTTTTGTAAGTAGCTCTAAGGGAAATATCTAGAATCATTTAAGAGAGAAAGGGCTTCCTTCCCCCATCTCCATGAATAGCAAAAACACAAGGTCTCTATGTTAGTGGGTGGGAAGTGAGACATAGGAGAAAAGATGAGAAAGGAGGTCAGGATTCTCCAGTGGGAGAGCACTGAGCTGGAAGCAGCAGTGATTGCATGCCCAGATGCTGGGTAGGAGTGGAGCCATTGTTTAAAGACTGCCCAATAGGCAGGGGGCCTCTGCAGAGACAGCTGCTCAGTCCAGAACCATTGTTGCCACCACTTTCTCCTAGCACCTTCTGGGACAGAGAGGACTTCCTTCAAAGTAAGCAGGACCTCTCCCAGTGACTACCTAGCAGCTGTCTACATTACCAGAACTGGCCTACCCCGGGCCATTTACCCACTGTGGACAACTCCCACCTTGCAGTGTTCTGTGACTCTTAGAAGCCACAAAGAAGTGATTCATTTGACTACAATAAAGAAAATTTTAAATTGAGATCTTTTCAAAAATCTACCATTTATAAATTGGCCTACTTTCCTGAGGCAGAGGTTTTATTTTTCCTGACAATATGTAGAAGAAATTGTATAAATTCCTACCTAAACTACTCAAAGGAAAATGCATAAAATCCCCCCTCCTCCTCCCCAACATCTGCCACCCAAAAAAGTTTCTTAGAAATGAGATTCTCTTCCTCGGCCCAATAGCAAAGTGCATTCCTTGAGAAATGTGTAGCTTTCAGACAGGGGCCATGCTTCTGTGATTCACAGCCTGAAGACATGTCTCTTTCTGAGTTGATCCACACAGAGAAATAGCTGTTGAGTATTAAAAAAATCAAGAAAGGACACACACATATCTGGGTTTTGGCTTTTTTTTTCGTATAATAGAAATATCTAGCAACATTGAGCCACATCATCATGTGCTGTTCCCTTGCAACCTGACAGCTCGCAGGCTTACCACCCACCTCAAGTTCTCACTGTGTCTTTGACATTGAGGCAAGGCTAGGTGTATCTACCCTTGAGTTCAGGTTTCTGGCATCTTTCCCTTCTCACATTCAGCTCTTCACTTTTATATTACCCTCAAGGGCCTTGAAAGCATTACAATTTTGTCTTAGAGCAGTAGCCTCTGCTCTTGGCCCCAAACAAATGTTTGCTTTCATGATTTAGACTAAAAAGAATAGTCATGGGCCACATGAGCTGGTCCATTTCCCCATCTGGGAAATATCTGTGGGCATTTGCTTGTGGAAATAATACCTCAGATTGCTTTAATTTTTTTTTTAATCTGAATCTCTAAATTGTTCTCCCTAGGTCTCAAAAATGGAGAAGAGTGGGCAGAGACAGGACTCATTAACACTGACCTGGAGCTTTCAACCTATGTGAGAGCTCTCCAGCTAGACTCATTACCAAAACACCAAGAGTTCAGTATAGGCTCTGCTGCCCACTGCGCAGAATGCCAATCACTGAGACAACAAGTGTTATCAAAGAGAAGGCTTTAATAGGGTGCTGCAGCTGAGGAAAATGGAGATAAAGTCTCAAATTCATCCCTCTGACCAATAAAATTGGGAGGTTTATATAGCAGGGACGTGGGAAAACAGGAATTAGAGGGGAGTAAGGAAGTCATCATGATGGATGAGGGGTGTGGTGTCTCATTGTCTGGATGTGGTGATCTAGTAAGTTTCACTCCTTTGGCTGAGTGTTGGTTTCCTGAGGAAGGAACTCAAATGAAACAATCTAAGCTACAACTTTTAAGACCAGGGAGAATCAATTTTTATGTTTACTTAAAAAAAAGCATACATATTAGTTGTATGGGACAATCGGACTGGTTTCATACTCACTCTTAATTTGTACTCCACCCCCAAATTGATTAGCTGTGGGCTCTATTTGTGGCTCTGCATATCGCTTATAGATGACTTCAGTATTCTTTATGCCCCACCCCCATGTCCTGCCTTGCTTGTAATTATGTGGTTTCTTGAAGATTATGCAGCTCTAAAGAACAGGAATTTGTTTGAGGCTGTCTACCTAAGGAAATGAGCACTCTGTGGCTTGGAATTATGCCAAATGTGTTTGATAATTAATTATGTGACTTTACACAAGCAATTTGCCCTGCTAGTGCTTCAGTTTCCTTTTTATAAAATAAGACTAGACCTAGAGTGACCTCTAGTAAATCATGTAAGTGATTCATTCAAAAAAAGTATCAAGCACCTACTACATCAAAGGCACCGTCCTAGGGGCTGAGAATATAAAAGAAGGAAATGGCAATGGCACCACTCCAGCAACTTAAAGTCTGCAGGCAGAGCCTTATGCCTTTTTATTTATCTGTTTATTATCTAATATAATGTATTGTAAGTATCTGTACCTGTAATGAAAAATATATACACATTATTTAGAAAGCAGCATGGTAAGGGTGGGCGTACATATGCACACAAACATGTGCAATTGTTGAATAAGAACTCTTGCAGGAAATGAGGACATCCTCAGAGGAAAGGTAAGTTTTGTGTGGATCTTGAAGTATGAACAGAATCTTGATGGAATTCAAGGCTAAGGGAACATCATGTGAGGTATTTGGGATGACTGAACAAATCAAGGTGTTTGGGATGTAGGAAATTTGGAATGACTGAAAGTGGGGCAGGTGATGTAGGCAGGTTCCACCAGAGACAGTTTTTAGAAAGCTGTGTATACCATGCTCAGCATTGTAGAAAGTCATTCCTTCAAGGTCTTTACACATGAATACTTATTTACTCACAAATTCTTATATTTTTCTGGAATATTTTGGTGTTGTTCTATTAATAACCTGAGATCATTGGTCCTCTTGAGGTTTATTTCAAAATCAAAATGTTCAACAACTGAGTTAACATGTGAAGCACTGGTAGGAAGCAATGTAGAAATCACGGCTGGATGGTGCTGCTGCAGATGTTCGGATCATGAAATAAAGTACTCATCAGAAATGGATGAGTACCTTCCTCCAGATTAGGGGGGAGTGCAGCCCCCAAAAACAAAGCATGAAACACAACAGTAATCTCAGTCTAATGAGATAAACCACTCCATTGAGTGTAATTCCAGACAAACTATTTCCTCATCCCTTTGAAATCATTTTAGTTTAGCAATGCCCTCTCTCTCAGTAAGTGGAGTTCATACTCAGAGATTCTTCCCATTTAGTAGTTCAAGGTGAGAAAAAGAAATATATTTTACCCTAGTTTCACCACACCAGATCCTACTGGGAATCCTCCCCTCTCATGCTGATTCTGTTATTGCCAGAACATACCTCATGGTCGGTCTCCTTTTGGTTTCTTTCTCCATCTTTACATTATTAAGTCTGTAGCTCCGGCAACATGGTGCCTCTAGTTCAGTTCTACTCCCTCTGCTGGCCAGATGTCAGCTAACAATAACAAAAAGATGCTATTTCAGGGTGGTTCCTTCACCAAGATTATCATAAATCGCTTTTAATTTTTTGGCAATGCAGTGTTGAAATTTTTTTAAAAACTATTTAAAATCCAACAGCTCTTCCTTTAGCAGATTATAATAATTTTAAAACACTGCAGATTAAATTTGCGGCCTCCACTGGGTCCCTGGCCTTGGTATTAATTAACAAAGCTTGAAATGAGCCGTGATTAATTGCGAGTCCAGGAGCACAACACAGTTTGATGAATATGTTCAGATTTCAGGGAGAAAAACATTAAAACGGCTGCTTGAGGCAGGAGCTTCTGCAATAATAACCACTATGGTTTCAAAAACGTGTCTTTCTCATACAAATTGCAGAGTGTATCATCCCTGGAGTGAAGTCTGCTGATAATAGAGTAGAAGTGGAGGTCTGGAGCCATCTGCACAGCCAGCGTCTTTAGGGCTTCTTTTCTTTCTCTCTCTTTCTCTGTTTCTCTCTGTTTGTCTGTCTTTCTTTTATTTTCCCTTTTCAAATAATCAGACTTAAAGAATAGAATAAACCCAAGTAGGAGGAGGAGCTGGATATGAGATAGAGAATTTCAAACTAATGTAAGATACATTGACTATTTAAAAATACGGACATTTATTTATGAATTTTTTTTCCTTCATTCACAGAATCATGGTAGAGATAGTTGTCCACTAGAGCTCAAGGATCTAGGGGGAAAAGATTATAAAACTACGGTGACAATTTTCTCTAATCCCTTGATTTATAGGAGGAGAAGCTGGGATCCATGTCACTTAAGCAGTGTATGGGCAATGTCACAGCCATGAATGGAGGAAAGCCAGGGACTGAATCCTAATCCAGCCAGAGGGTGATGAGAAAGATGGACTTGGACTTCAAAGGTTTGCATGTGATTCCTGGCTCCGTGTCTGTCTAGTAGCCGGGTCGTGATTGTCACATGGGCTCCCTGCTTAGAGGGACTACAAGTTGGTTTAATGCTCTGCTATTGTCGTCTTGAAATTCTTGGATTTATTTATTCATTTGTTTTTAACAAGACACTCTGCAAATTCTGTAGCTGGTCTCATCTAGCAGTATGGGACCTTAAGCACATCACTCTACCTCTCAAAGTCTCAGTTTCCCTTATATATAAAGTGGATAACATTTATACCTGTATGGGCTGAAATAAATTAAACCAAATTAATTAGAGGAAAATACCTGTAAATGATAACTATGCAAATATAGGGTAAAATTGCTAGCTTTCCTGAGTCACAGAAAGTCTTAAATAGCAATGTTTTTCTTATGCTTTTTCGGGAAACTTATAGGGTTGTTTTTGCTCAGGGTCTCTGATGTAACTTCACACTCATATGGAACCACTGCACCCCTGAAGTGGGGTTTCTTTCTTTTCCAACAAATTCAGCTCTCAAGGGCAAAAGAGTAAGAGAAGACAGTGAAGGTAACAAGAATCTTTAAAGACACAATAAATAATTACACTTTGTGATGGGGGCTCCAGCAGAAGGCCACATTTGGAGTGATTTAAGGGTACCAGTTAATGAACACCTTTCTTGTAGGTTCTCAAGCATGAAGGTCAAAAAAGCCAAACCTCTTGCTATAGCTTTCATTTATCCAAGCATATTTGGAGTTAGAGAGTGGCCTTTGAGAGAAAAGCATGTAGGTGAATCAGCCTGTCCTGAATGCCTTGGGTCTCTTTCCTTCTCCTTTTCCCACATCAGTGGAGTCCCACTGCTTAGAGATGGGAAAGAGCAAATGGGGCATTGTGGGTGAGAAAGTCCAGAGGGGAGTAATGATGCTGGATCTTGCAGGCCAGTCTTGTGGGTGCTATGAGGGTTGCTGGCTCTCTGGGAAGGTGGATATAGGGAGCACTGTGATGGGGAAGGTGGATACAGGGAGCACTGTGATGGGGAAGGTGGATACAGGGAGCACTGTGATGGGGAAGGTGGATACAGGGAGCACTGTGATGGGGAAGGTGGATACAGGGAGCACTGTGATGGGGAAGAACATTTCCAAAAGACAGAACAGAGATGCTGTTTGTTAATACATGTCAGTGCAGCAAGTATCAAGGATGAACTGAAGACTTCATCGAATGTGGTATCAGGGAAATCTTATCATCAATGCTGGCTATAGACAGAGTGAAAACAGGAAAGATAGAGAAATATTACAAGATTTGCCTGAAGAATGTGTGCTAACTGAGGTCATTTGTGAGACCCAGTAAACTATTTATGATTAGTTACCGTCTCCCCGACACATACCTACCCCGTACCCATTATACGCACCCTGACTATGTAGAAAACTGTTTGTTTTAGATTTTAATGGTGATGCCGGAAGAATTACTGCACTCCCAGTCTTCAATTGTTTCTGCAGCCTGGTTATCAATTTAGGACTCATTGAAAACCAGGAAAGAGTGACATGGAAATGTGGACACTGGCGAATATGTTAGACAGTCAAAAGAAGAGGGTTGGGAGGATCCAGCTAGAGTGGGCGGATGAGTCCATTAAGAAGAGGATCTTTGAGAAAAACTTGGAACCCATGGACTGTAGGAGAGGAAACGGTTAGTCATTCCAGAAGAGGGAGTTTTTAAACATCTTATTTTAAAGTATGACTGTATTCATTCCCATTAATGTTGCAGAAATGAAAAAGCATCAGAGAGAAGGAGAGACAGGGGTCTCAGATACAGAGGCCACCGTGAATCACATCACCCAGCCCTGCAGTTGCCTTGCACCTCCTGCATTAGCGGCACCAGTGATGCGTGTCTGTCATCTCCCCTGCCACGGTTTGCATCCCTAGCCCAGCACCGGGATGGATGAAAGGGATCAGAGTCCAAGAGGAGCCTGCTCTTCAAAAATGCCTAGCGACAAACAGTCCTGGGAGGATGGCCACAGGGAAATGGAAGAGAAAACTGAATTATTCTGATTTACCTTCTCTTGTTAATCGGGTCCCTTTGCAACCACTAGAGACTTTCAGGAAAAAAAATCAGCTTATTTATCTCCTTTCATATGGAATGTAGGTTTTTGAGGTCTCATTCTATATTCCTTATGTATCCTTAAAGAAATACTCTAGAGATAAGACCAGTTTCTGGAAGAGGTGGGGGTGAGTTAAAGAGAGGAGCAAATTCTTCTCTGGCCCAAGAAAGAAAATGCAGCTCAATTTCTTTTCAGGACCCCAGGAAAAGTCCTCATGTCCAGAAACTCATCAGATTCACTTTATCTTTGTGATCCTCTCTGAGTCTATCTCTGCTATTAAGGTTGTTGCTGCCCAAAGACTCCCCACACACAACTCACCGAAAGGGGCTGGTGAGAATGTCAGGCCTGCCCCCGATTCAGTAGCTCAGTGACTAGAACTAACTCTAATTTCAAGGTTGAGGATTTTATAATTTCAGAGGTTCCTGGGGCAACTGTTTCTGGAAAATAAACATCCTTGAGAGTAAACTGGATTTCTTGGATGAGTGCACTGTATGGGTGCTGTGTCTTGGAACAGTCACCTCCTTTCGTCTTCTGCACACAGGATAAGATTTTACTCATTTTTCAGTCTTGGTCAAGGGAGTAGAGGACAGAGTTTTAGTGAAGGAGGGAGCCTGCCTTAGGCATGCATTTGAGCCCCACTATCCACTATTTTTTTTTTTTTTTTTTTTTTTATTGAGACTGAGTCTTGCTCTGTTGCCCAGGCTGGAGTGCAGTGGCACAATCTCGTCTCACTGCAACCTCTGCCTCCCGGGTTCAAGAGATTCACCTTCCTCAGCCTCCCGAGTAGCTGGGACTACAGGTGCCTGCCACCAGACCCAACTAATTTTTTGTATTTTTAGTAGAGATGGGGTTTCACCACGTTGCTCAAGCTGGTCTCAAAAACTCCTGATTTCAGGTGATCTGCCCACCCCGGCCTCCCAAAGTGCTGGGATTACAGACGAGAGCCACTGTGCACAGCCTAGCCCCACTCACTCTTGACTCTTCACATCTTCTTGGTTTTTTATTTTTTCTTGGTTCTTCATATTTCATTTATGATTCTCTTGTACCTAAGTTTTGATGACTAATTAGGGTAGAGAAAATGGAGACCAACAGATAAAGGAAAGCCAACCTACACATTCATAAAGGTCCTTAGAGGGCCTGTGAAGTATTTTTACTATTTCAAACATGAAAAATATGTGTTTATTTGAGGAACAGTGCAACAGGTGAACTACAATATCTGTGTCTTTTTCCTTCATTTGGAATTGAATTGGTTCAAAGTGGCAGTTCTGCTTATCTGAAGCTGATCAGAGCTGTGATTGGCTATGATGTCAGCACTATTTCTTTTTCCATAACACTTTGATCTTCTAATATGTTACATTATTTACTCATTTATGGTGTTAGTTGGATTGTGTTAGTTCTCTTTCTAGAATGGAAATTCCATGAGGATGGGGGATTTTCAAATATTTTGTTCCCTGTTATAACCCAAGCCTCTAAAACAGTGTAGGAAGTACAATATTTATTGTGAAAAACAACAAACAAAATGAGTATTTATAGAAAGTTTGAATTCAAGCCAGTAATTTGTTGTAGAGTTCCTACCTTTTCTTTCTTTCTTTCTTTTTTTTTTTTTTTTTTTGAGATGGAGTTTCACTCTTGTTGCCCAGGCTGGAGTGCAACGATGTGATATTGGTTCACCACAACCTCCGCCTCCTGAGTTCAGGCAATTCTCCTGCCTCAGCCTCCTGAGCAGCTGGGATTACAGGCATGTGCCACCACGCCCGGCTAATTTTGTATTTTTAGTAGTGCCCGGCTAATTTTGTATTTTTAGTAGAGACGGGGTTTCTCCATGTTGGTCAGGCTGGTCTCAAACTCCCGACCTCAGGTGATCCGCCTGCCTCGGCCTCCCAAAGTGCTGGGATTACACATGTAAGCCACCGTGCCCGGCCTAGAGTTCCTATCTTATCTACATTCTCTTCTTGTCCCAGAATGAATGCAGAGAATTTCAGGGGTTCTCCAAACCCCCTACCGACCTAGTTTAACTGTACTGGATGACAATATCCGAGGAAGCCACTAATAGAGAGAGAAGAATGTCATGGAAAGCATACCAGCTGGGTCATTGCAGCTCTTTCCCTGACTACCTGGTTGGTGACCCTGGGCAAAGTGCATGTATCTCCCAACCTCTAACGAATGATAAAAGTACCAACTTCACTGTATCTTTGAGAGACTGAAACAAAGTAATACATGCCACAAGTGGTGAGCCTGTTGTTTGTCACATAATAAGCATTCTACAAATGTTAATTTTTCTCTTCTAACTTTGATAGGCAATAAAACCAAGGGGGAAACAAGCTATAAAGTGACGCATTTTTCACAGCAATAGCTCCTAGGGGGTAAGTATTGTTTCTTTTGTGAGTTCTTAACAGTTTCTTACTTCTGAGTACTCAAAGAAACTATATCATCACTAAATATTACTTTCCAGGCCATTAACCTATCTTATCAGAGGCAAGTAAAAAATATTATCATTTGATTATTGACTTACTACAGCTACTATTCACATGTGTGTAGGGTACTTCCTTCTCCAATTAGATTATAAAAGCTACCTGTATTTTCCATAGTGACTTATAATACTGCTTTGTGTGGACGTGGCCAATATATTTTGTTCACAGGTTGTTTAATGAAGAGTTTCTAACATTTTATTAAACGTCACATGCTGTGCTTAATGAAGAGAAGTTCCCCTAAATCCCAAAGCATAGAATACATCAGTCTTATGCCTGAGCCCCATCATGGGAATTCTGGGTCAGGTTTACATGGGGAAGGCAGAGGCATCCTGCTATTCTGCACCTCTGGCATGCCTGGGTCTCTAGATTCACTGCTGCCATATCCCTGGGAGCTGGTGCCAAAGGACTGTCAGTATGTCTGGGCACCTTCCCGAATCTCAAACACAAGTGGAAAAACATAGGCTCTTCTGGGGATACAATTGATAGATGACATTAAGCAAATTGCTTGGGAGTTGATGACTAAACAAGGCCTCAAGGGTCCAGCCCAGGTATATGAAAGAGGACTTAGGAAGGTAACAGCCTAGACATGAACACATTTTTTCTCAGGTGTTATCTTAGCCTCATTTTCAAAAGAATCACTCAGAGAGATTTTTGAAACATAGATTCATATGTCCAGCCCTAGACCTGCTAAATCAAGATTTCTGTATTTACAAAACAAAACAAAACAACAACAACAAAACCTTCTCAGAAGATGTTGGTGCAGCGAATCCAGTTCATTAGCAATAGAATTACTAAATTTTTCTACACCTATTGTTGCCAAGAGGTATAAATGCACCAGCATGTCCTCTGTACAGGTAGACCTCATTTTATTATTTACGCTATTGCACTTCACATACCTTGTGCATTTTTTACAAATTGAAGGTTTGTGGCAACCTTTGGGTCTATCAAATCTGTTGGCACCATTTTTCCAAAAGCATGTGCTCACTTCGTGTCTCTGGGCCACAGTTTGGTAATTTTTGCAATGTTTACAATTGTTAATTATTCTCATATCTGTTATGGTGATCTGCGATCAGTGATCTTTGACGCTACTGTTGTAATTGTTTTGGGGCACCACAAACCAGTCCCATATTAGACAGCGAACTTAATTGATAAATGTGATGTGTGTTCTGACTGCTTCACTGATCTGCGTTTTCCCCATCTCTCTCCCTCTGCTTAGGTTTCCCTATTCCCTGAGACATAAAAATATTAAAATTATGCCAATTAATAACTTTACAATGGCTTCTAAGTGTTTAAGGGAAGAGTCCCACATCTCTCACTTTAAAGGAAACCCCTGAAATGATTAAATGTGGGGAGGAAGGCATTTTGAAAGTGGAGATAGGCCAAAATCTAGGCTTCTTGCTAGAAACATCCCAGTTGTAAATACAAAGAAAAAGTTCATGGAGGAAATTAAAAGTGCTACTTCAGTGAACACACAAATGATAAGAAAGCAAAACAACCTTATTGCTGATATGGAGAAAGTTTGAGTGGTCTGGATGGAAGATCAAACCAGCCACCACATTCCCTTAAACCAAAGCCTAATACAAAGTAAAGCCCTAACTCTCTTCAACTCTCTGAAGATAGACAGAGGTGAGGAAGCTGCAGGAAAAGTTTGGAGAGAGCAGACGTTGATTATGAGGTTTAATAAAAGAAGCTATCTTCATACGTAAAATTACAAGATGTAGTAGTTTTGTGTTGACGTAGAAGCTGTAGCAAGTTGTCTAGAGGATTTGGCTAAGATAACTGATGAAGGTGGCTATACTAAACAACAGATTTTTCAATGTAGATTAAACAGCTTTTAATTGGAAGACAATGCTGATATGGTTTGGATCTGTGTCTCCACCCAAATCTTATGTCAAATTGTAATTCCCAGTGTTGGAGGTGGGGCCTGGTGTGAAATGATTGGCTCATGGGGGCAGGATCTCACCAGTGGTTTGGCATCATCCCCTCAGTGTTGTTCTCATGATAGTGAGCAAGTGAGTTATCATGAGATTGGGTCATTTAAAAGTGTGTGGCACCTCCCCGTCTCCCTCTTCTCCTCTGGCCTCGTAAGACGTGCCTGCTCCCCCTTGACCCTCCACCATGACTGTAAGTTTCCTGGGGTCTCCATAGAAGCAGAAGCCACTATGCTTCCTGTACAGCCTGCAGAACCATGAGCCAATTGAAACTATTTTCTTTATAAATTACCCAGTCACAGATATTTCTTTATAGCAGAACGGACTAATACGCATGCCATCCAGGACTTTCATAGCTAGAGAGGAGAAGCCAATGCCTGTCTTCAAACCTTCAAAAGACAAAACAACTCTTTTGTTAGGGGCTAATGTGGCTGGTGACTTTAAAATAAAGCTAATGTTCCTTTGTCATTCAAAAAAGTCTGGAGCTCTTAAGAATTATGGTAAATCTAGTCTTCCTGTGCTCTATAAATGGAACGACAAAGTCTGGATGAAAGCACATATGTTTACAGCATGGTTTACTGAGTATTTTTAGCTCACTGTTGAGATCTACTTCTCAGAAAAAAAGATTCCTTTCAAACTATTACTGCTCATTGACAATGCACCTGGTCTCTGAAGAGCTCAATGGAGATGTACGAGGAGATTAATATTGTTTCCATGTCTGTTAATACATTCATTCTGTTGCCCATGGGTCAAGGAGTAATTTTGACTTTCAAGTCTTTATATTTAAAAGATGCTTTTTGTAAAGCTACAGCTGCCATACATAGTGATTCATCTGTTGGATCTGGGAAAAGTAAACTGAAAACCTTCTAGAAAAGATGCACCATTCTAGATGCTATTCATAACATTCATGATTAATGGGAGGAAGTCAAAATATAAACATTAACAGGAGTTTGGAAGAAAATGATTCCAACTCTCATGGATAATTTTGAGGGTTCAAGATGTTAGTGGAAGAAGTAACTGCACATGTGTTGTAAATAGTGAGAGACTTTTAGAAGTGGGACATGAAGATGTGACTGCATT
The DNA here is from genome assembly GCF_000001405.40 of Homo sapiens. Classification (NCBI taxonomy): domain Eukaryota; kingdom Metazoa; phylum Chordata; class Mammalia; order Primates; family Hominidae; genus Homo; species Homo sapiens. The sequence goes on from NC_000011.10 coordinate 127,501,978, forward strand.
GCTGCAATCTCATAATAAAATGTTGGTGGATGAGGAGTTGCTTCTTATGGATGATCAAAGAGAGTGATTTCTTGAGATGGAGTCTACTCCTGGTGAAGATGCTGTCTGTGAACATTGTTGAAATGACAACAAAGGATTTAGAATATTATACAAACTTAGTTGATAAAGCAGTGGCAGGATTTGAAAGGATTGGCTCCAATTTTCAAAGAGTTCTATTGTGGGTGAAATGCTACCAAACACCATCACATGCTACAGAGAAATATTTCATGAAAGGGAGAATCAGTCAATGTGGCAAGCTTCATTGTCTTATCTTAAGAAATTGCCACAGCCACCCTAACCTTCAGCAAACACCACCCTGACCAGTAAACAACCATCAACACAGAGGCATCACCCTCCACCAGCAAAAAGATTTCTACTCACTGAAGGCTCAGATGATTGTTAGCATTTTAAACCAGTGAAGTATTATTAAATTAAGATATATATATCATTTTTAAGACATAATTCTGTTGCACACTTAATATGCTATGATGTAGTATAAATGTAACTATTATATGCACTAGGAAATCAAACAATTTGTGTGACTTGCTTTATTGTGACATTTGCTTTATTGCTGTGGTCTGGAACTGAACCTGCAGTATCTCCAAGGTATACCTGTAGTTATTTCCTCCAGATATACATTATACCCTTAATTAGATGTAAAACTTTGTTCTTTTGCACCTCCTTGTTCCTCTTTTTAGATTGCCTCTCCACTATCTGTGTGGCGATCTTTCATTTATTACCATAGGGCTTTGCTCATCTCTAACCTCCTATGTGAAGCCTTTTCTAGCTGCCCTGGAGAGAGCAAATGGCTCCCTCCACCACATTTTCATTTGTATTTCACTCCACTTCTGTACTTTTCAAAATATTCGCAATTATTTGTTTGCTTGTGTCTTTCCTCGCTAACAGTCAGTTCTTCAAAGGGAGGAATAGCACCGTTTTCATTCTTATGTCTCCCCAGCATCTAGCTCGGTAGTTAGTATTACTATTTATTATTTAAATAGATGGATTAATGAATGAATGAATGATTGAGTGAATGTTTAATTAATTAGAAAAATAATTATTTTTCCTAGGAGAAAAGAGCCCCGAGAAAACTGCGAGAGTAGTATTGATACTGTGGCTTTCTCACGGCTGCTCCCGCCTTCACCCACCCACACACGGGCAGAGCACCGCACTGCAGGCAGAGACCAGCAGGGTCAGGAGAAGTTATGCCAATCCCAAATCAGAAAATTTGTCTTCCATCTGCGAGCTAGATCCGGTTACCTGGGGAACCAGATTTATCTCTGTGTCCTCAATACAGTACATCTCAATGAGGGCACTTTTAATAACCAATTGATGTGTAATTGCCTGTATAAATTATGTATCTCTTATCCAGCTCCAGTGCATGGAGTGAATTATGGAGAAAACCTCCCCTCAGGACAGTTATGTGGCTGCTATGATGTGATTGTAGGGTCCTTCAGAGAGTTTTAAAGGGGACCTAATCCACTTCTGTTGGGCTTTTCAGACATTCTTTGAAGAGAAGATGGAAAAGGGAAAAGAGTCACAGGAATCTGTAAACTCACATAACAGAGAATCAGAAATATAGAAACATTGAATTTCAGCCTTAGAAAGACCTCAGAGGTCATTGAGTTCAAATTTCTAACAACTAGTTTAACCACCTGAATAAGACAAGATAAGGGAGTGTTTGTCCTCTGCTTGATATCTTCAGTGGTGTGAGATGGGATTGTGGAGTGCTAAAAGCAAGGTTTTTGTACTTAGGCAAAACAGAGGTCAAATGCTATGTGACCTAGAGAAGAGACTGAGTCTCCCTGGGCCTCAGTATTTTTGTGTGAAAGGAGAATAATGCTTACCTCATTGGATTACCATGATTGTTAGATGAAAAAGTACATGATGATAATAATATTGTCAAGATATTAAATGTATACTAAGTTTTATTTTCCCCATGTTCCCAATCACAAGTCCTGTTCCCCTACAGCCATCCTGCCCTTTGGATCCTTGAGAACCTTAAGGCACGAGCCACCTCTTGCCGAGGAGGACGCGCTATAGGAAAGATTATCTCCATGAAGAAGGGAGAGAAAAGGAAGCCTTTCCAGTTTTGAGACAGTACATGTGAGGCAGAAGAGGCAGTCATCCGAGAAGCATGGGTTTCAGGATTCGTATTCCTGCTTTAGGGAAAATCCTGGAAGGGTAGAGTTAGGCAGGTTGATGGGAGAGTTAAAGATGAAGAAGTAAATGCCCCTTCCTTAAGTGCATCTACGAGGAGCCACTCCTCAGGGTCATCTCACAAGCACCATGGGCATCAGTAGCAAAAGTGGAAATGTGGCACATTCAGGCAGAGAAGACATGAGTCAGCCTCTATGGGCTTCTGAATGTTCTTCAGGAAGAGCAGAGGTGGCTGATTTCAGAGGCTTGGGGCCTGCCAGTGAGATGCTGAGTCTGGCTGAGAGATGTCCCCATTGCATCTCCATTGAAAGTGTTTAGTCTAAACCTCAGAAGTGATGAAGAATGTAGTCCAGGACCAAAAGGGCTTCCACAGTGCCAGAGGAGATAAAGTGAGCCTGGTCAGCAAGAGTGGTCCAGCTGATCTTGACCCAGCCTGGAGAACAAGCGGTCAAATCACCAGCGGACCTGTATTTTACAAATGAGAATGCTGAGGCTTGGACGGATTAGGTAACTCCATCGAAGTTAGGAATGCAGTAAGCGGTCAAGCCAGAACTCAATCCTAGGTCTAGGCTGCTATGGTACACGGGATGAGTCTTTTGGGTACAGTTTCCTAATAAGTTGAAAGCCACCTATTCTTCTGTCACACAGCCAAATTCTTTGACTTGCTCAGAGTAACATCATCTGAGGGGCAGGCACTCCATGTTGGACAATGGCTGGACTCTCTATCCTTCTCCCTGAGAAGTAGAATTAGGTATCGAATAGAGCAAAGGCACATCCTTCTGACCAGAAAAATATGTTTTCTTGATCTCTTAGTGTGTGACACTTAGCTAAATGGTATATAAGGAAAGTTCTGTAAATACAGTCTATGATCTCCAAGAACTGAGAAATAAATAGCCAGTGTCACAGACAGTTGTGGATGCAGATCATAAAAAGAAATAAAACAAAAAACCAGGTGAAACTAAAACAAACCAGGACTTGCAGATATTCTTATATTGCAGTGACATGCATTTATGGAATGGAACCATTGCCCACCACAAGGGTGATAGTGAGAGTGTATCAGGGAGGTGCATGAGGAGGGTCTGAGGGCAACAATAGTGTAAAGACAAACACCATGGGCTTTGGAGACAGAGTTCAGAACTGTCACTTGCTTGGTGTGGAACCCTGGGGAATTTACTCCTCCTCACCAAGCCTCAGTTTCCTCATGTGTAAACAGGAACATTTTTAGGCTCCCATAAGGTTGTTTTGTAGATTAGATGAGATACTGCCTGTGAAATACCTAGCCCAAGTCCCAGCACAGCAACACCCCCTGGACACTATGAGTGCTGTGACTCTTGTTCTCACCATTATTATCTCTGAGACTTCTGAGGTATCTGAAAAGGCCATCGGCTCTTCCTTCATCCATGAAGAGTAAGAAGTGCAAAGGGAGCCTGTGTTTTTATTCTAGGCTTCTCCCAGGAGGAACAGATGTAGAGGCATCTCCACAGACTTTACGTCTGGACTCCACTCCTAGACATCTGGCAAGGAGAACTCTGTTGGCAGTGGTCCAAGCCTCCAACTGTGGTTCTCTGGGAGGCTCTTCACCTTGTGTGTGGGTGGGGCTCTTACAACTCTATCTCCTAATCCACCGTCACCTCCCCAGAAATAAGGACCTTTCATTTTTCTCTACATGATGTCCGGCTTTGTTTGACATAATGTTGAAATAATTTTCTCACTTACTTCTAATCCTTTCAAATAAGCCAGCTAATGTAAGACTCCAAGAATTGGCAACAGGGATAATTTGCTATGTCATGTTTCAATACATTAATAATCTAATTTTATACCTAGTTAAATTGAAAGCAGGCTGAATTCAGTGTCATCTTAATTACAGTCATTCTCATTCTTAAATATCCATGTTTTATCCTAATTATCAAGTATTTTAATATGAATAAACAGATAATGCCATGGACTCTCATCTTCTTTTATAGTTAAGGTTGAAACGGCCCTTCTTCCTGAATGGCCCTAAAAGGTCAACCTCTGTCTGAGGAATTCTCTTCACAGTGATGTATTTTCGAAGACTTTTATTTTCTTGGTAACTTGCTGAGACTTTGGCTCTTAACCTTAGTGCCCTAGATACAATGAGGATCACCTGAAATTGTAAAGTGAGTTGAGATATTTGAGTAAGAGGTGCCTAAGTGCCTTGGGAGGGGCCCTATAAAACTGAATTCAGACCAGAGTCTAGATAAGGGGCTGGTAAATCACTTAGGATGATAAAAGAGCTGGCTGGGGACTTCCCAGCCCTGTCTTCCTGAATTAATTAATTACACTCTTGTGCCATTTCCTGGCACCTGAGGTCTTTAAGGACTTAGAGTTGAAATCTAGTAATACCGCAGAGGCTAGTTTGAATTTTTCTCTTTTGCGCTGATACCTCCTGAATTGATAATTGTGAATACTAATAGCTTCTTTTAATTGAATGCCTACTATTTGCAGAAAGTTTGCATGTTGTATCCCTAATTCTCATAAAAATTCTTTAAAGTGGGTCTTAGTCCTTTTGTGGAAAAAGAAACCAAAAACCATAAAAACAAACAAAGTTCCTGTAATTTCATAACTGATAAACCACAGAGTTACAATTCAAACCTAGAAGCCTTGGCTTTTTCTCAGTTCTCAACTCAGCCCAAAGCTCCATATAGCAGCATCCCCTACAGGAATCAAAATTTACTGTGCTCTTGGAGAGGGCTCCCAGCTTCCCTGTCAGCCCTTGTGAGGGCTCCTGGTGGAGGGTGGAATGAAGAGATGGAGGCTGTAGGTAATTTGCAAAAGCAGCCCCTGTTGTAGGTGATGATGCTCATTTCCATGCAAGCTGCCCCAGCTCAGGAGAGCATCTTCCTCAGGCAGCTGAACACATGGGGAGCCACTCATCCCTCTGGCTTCTGAAAGCAAGGGACAACCATAAAGTATTTTAGAACAGAGTAGGCCAACTTTTTCTGAAAAGGCCCAGGTAGTAAATATTTTTGGCTTTGTGGACTTTACTACCTCTTTCACAACTACTCAATTATGCCGATGTAGAGAAAGCAGACAGCAATATATCTGTGGCTCTGTTGCAAAAAACTTCATTTATAGACACTGACATTTGAACTTCATGTAATTTTCATTGTCATAACATATTATTCTTTTGAGTGTAAAACCCATTCTTAGCTCTCAGCCATTCTTAGCAGGTAGCAGGCCAGATGTGGCCTGCAGGCTGTAGTTTGCTCACCCCTGCTTTAGAGAGTCAATTCGTTTTTAACTTGCAATTTCAAATAACAACTGAACATTTTTAAGTGGCTCTTGAACACTAGAGACAATACTGTGCAGTCGATTTTTCTGGGTTAGGATTTTTAATCATAAAATAATTTCCACATTAAAAGTATATACCTAACATATATAAAAGATGTAACATAATATTAAAAAGAAAAAATGTGTATCTGACACCAGCTTAAAAAGTATAAACTGCAGATATCATTGTAGCCACTGGAACTTCCTCCATGCTATGCTCTCTTTTACCTCCAACAAGAGGTAAATTTTGTCTCTAAGTATTTATTGTAATTTCTTTTGTGGTATCAATAATATAGTACAGAAAAATAAAGCATATTCCTAGTTTAACACTTAATTATAAAACTAATACTTATTTTTATTTCTTTTGTTTGTATGTCTCTTTCATTGTACTCCTCTGTGAACACAATCTCACTTTCCTGGATTTAGTGATAGCTATTTCCTGCTTCTCTTTTAAAATCTTATTCCATCTGTTTATGCATCCCTTACAAAATTATGTGTATATGTTTTTATGTAGAAAGTTATATATGTATTTGGCTTGCATTTTGCAAACCATATGATTGGAATCATATTATATGTATTATTTTGAGCCAGGCTTCTCTCACGGACTCCATGGAACCCTAAGATGTTTTAGTTTTTGGCAATTTGGTGGTATCTCACTGTGGTTTAGTAGTACTTCATTGTGGTTTATTTGCATTTCTCTGATCACTAATGAGATGAAACACTTTTTACAAATGCTTATTAATCATTTGGATTTCTGCTTTTGTGAAGCACCCATTCACAGCTTTTGTTCATTTCACTTCGTATTTTCTATATTTTCCCCTATTCTGTATGCATGCCCTTTGCCAGTTGTATAAATTACAGAGTCTTCCACTTTGTCTATTTTTTTTTGTTCACTTTCTTCATGGTATCTTTTCATGAGCAGAAGGTATTCTTTCCTATCTTAGGATAATGAAGACTTTCTCCTGTATTATCATGTAAGATCTTTATAATTTTAATGTTTATATTAACTTCTTTAATGTATCTGGAAATTTCTTTTATATATGATGTGAGATAGTGCTTCACTTTCTTCTTCCCTTCCTCCCTTCTTTCCTTCCTTTCTTCCTTTGACGAGGCTATCCAGTTGTTTTAGAAACATTTTTTTTAAAGTGTATCCTTTCCTACTGATCTTAAATACCAACTCTATCAGAAAGTAAGTCACTTTCTGGGCTTTCTGTTCTGTTCCATTCATTTATCTGTCTACTTTTCCACCAATACCATGCTATCTTTTTTTTTTTTTTTGAGATGGAGTCTTGCTCTGTCACCCAGACTGGAGTGCAGTGGCACGAACTCGGCTCACTGCAGCCTCCACCTCCCGAATTCAAGCGATTCTCCTGCCTCAGCCTCCCGAGTAGCTGGGATTACAGGCGCCCGCCACCGTGCCCTGCTAAGTTTTTTGTACTTTTAGTAGAGATGGGGTTTCACCATGTTGGCCAGGCTGGCCTGGAACTCTTGACCTCAGGTGATTTGCATGCCTCGGCCTCCCAAAGTGCTGGGATTACAGATGTAAGCCACCATGCCTGGGCGAATTTTTTATTAAAATTTTTCATATTTTTTTCTGTATAGATTTATTAATAATACTTTATATATTTTGCCATTTCTTTATACAATATACTAGAATTTCATCTTCAAACTAAATCATATAGGAATATAATAAATTTCTTCATACTAATTTGTAGCAATTTTATTTTGCTTTTTTATTATAATTTTTTATCTGCAGGTATTTGTGCATTTTCTATCTGCACATTCATTTCATTTACAAATAATGAGAGATTTGTTCTTTCAGATCTATCCTTATACCATTTTTGGGGAATGTCATATTTAATTGTTGGTAACACCACCAGTAAAGTGTCAAATAGCAGTAGTGATCATGATAATTATTACATTTTTCTCTGATATCAAAAGGAAAGCTTTTTGTAGTGGGCAGATTTCTAACATGGCCACAGTGATCCCTGCCTTCTGGAATTTACACTTTTGTGTAATCTCCTGCCCTTTAATGCAGGCTGACCTGCTAACCTGCTTCTCACCAATAGAATATGGCAAATTTAAAATAATGTAACTTTCATGGTTAGGCTAGAAGAGATTGTGACTCTTTTCTTGCTCTTAGTTGGGATACAATGTACGTACCATACAATTCACCAATTTAAACTGTAGGATTCAATGACTTTTAGTATATTGTCAGAGTTGTGCAACCGTCATCACAATCTAATTATGGAACATTTTTATCGCCTCTAAAGAAAACCTCTACCCACTAGCAGTAACTACATATATGCCCCTCTCACCCCAGTCGGAGGCAACAACCAATCTATCTTCCGTCTTTATAAATTTGCCTGTGAAATTATAACAACATGTGGTGGTTGGTGACTGGTTTATTTCAATTAGCAGAATGTTTTCAAGGTTCATCCAGTTGTGGCATGTAGCTGTACTTGATTTATTTATATTGTTGAACAATATTCATTTGGATGAATATACCACATTTTGGTTACATATTCATGAATTGATGGACATATGGATTATTTCCACATTTAATAAATTCTGTGAACATTTTTGTAAGCATATTTGTGTGTATATTTTTTTCTCAGGTATATACTTATGAGTAAAATACCTGGGTCATATGATAACTATATGTTTAACATTTTGAAAAATTGCCAACCATCTCCAACAGCAATAGATGAGGATTCAAATTTTTCCATATCCTTACAAACACTTGTTTTTGCCTGCCTTTTTAAGTAGTCATATCAATGGTTATAAAGTGGTATCTCATCAAGGTTTTGATTTGCATTTCCCTAATTACTAATAATTTTAGCATGGTTTTATGTGTTTATTGGCCATTAGCTTATACCTTTTGTAGAAATGTCTATGCAAATCATTTGTCCAATTTAAAGTTGGATAATCTGTTTTTTAAAATAATAGTTGAGTTGTAAGAGTCTTTTACATATACGAACACAAGTCCCTCATCAGAAGTATAACTTAAAAGTATTTTCTCTAATTCTGTGGATTGTCTTTTCACATTATTGATAATATCATTTGCAGAACAAGTGTTTTTAATTTTTATGCAGTTCAGTCCAATTCATCTATTTTTTTCTTTCATTTGCTGTGCTTTTAGTGTCGTATTAAGACTACCGCCTAACCCAAGGAAATGAATGCTTTCTTCTAATAGTTGTATAGTTTTAGGTCTTAAGTCCTTTTATTCATTTGAAATTAATTTCTGTATATATTGTGAGTTAAGTGTACATGTCCATTGTTTTCTGTGGATTTACAGTTTTCTCAGCACCATTGGTTGGAGATACTATTCATTCCACCTTTGTGGAAAACTAATTGTAGATGTAATGGTTTATTTCTGGATTCTCAATTCTATTTTACTGATCTATATGCCTATCTTTTTGCTAGTTGCCACAATGCCTGATTACTATAGCTTTATAGCAAACTCTGAAATTGGGAAGTATGAGTCTTTGAACTTTGTTCTTTTCCAAGATTGTTTTGGATATTGTGGATTCCTTGCATTCTCATACAAATAATAGGATCAGTTTGTCAATTTCTGCAAAGAAGCCTGCTAGGCTTTAATAGGCATTACATTAAATCCATAATTCAATTTGGGAATTATTGTCATATTTTTTGTTTTACTTTAAGTTCTGGGATACGTGTGCAGAATGTGCAGGTTTGTTACATAGGTATACATGTGCCATGATGGTTTGCTGCACCCATCAACCCATCATCTACATTAGGTATTTCTCCCAGTGCTATCTCTCTTCTGGCCCCATACCCCCCTACAGGCCCCAGTGTGTGATATTCCCCTCCATGTGTCGATGTACTCTCATTGTTTAACTCCCACTTATGAGTGAGAACATGTGTGTTTGGTTTTCTGTTCCTGTGTTAGTTTGCTGAGAATGATGGTTTCCAGCTTCATCCATGTCCCTGCAAAGGACATGAACTCATCCTTTTTTATGGCTGCATAGTATTCCATGGTGTATATGTGACACATTTTCTTTATCCAGTCTATCTTTGATGGGCATTTGGGTTGGTTCCAAGTCTTTGCTATTGTGAACAGTGCTGCAATAAACATATGTGTGCACATGTCTTTATAGTAGAATGATTTATAATCCTTTGGGTATATACCCAGTAATGGGATTGCTGGTTCAAATTGTATTTCTGGTTCTAGATCCTTGAGGAATTTTCACACTGTCTTCCACAATGGTTGAACTAATTTACACTCCAGACCACAGTGTAAAAGCATTCTTATTTCTCCACATTCTCTCTAGCATCTGTTGTTTCCTGACTTTTTAATGATTGCCATTCTAACTGGCATGAGGTGGTATCTCATTGTGGTTTTAATTTGCATTTCTCTAATGACCAGTGATGATGAGCCTTTTTTCATATGTTTGCTTTCATATGTCTTCTTTCGAGAAGTGTCTGTTCATATCCTTCACCCACTTTTTGATGGGGTTGTTTTTTCTTGTAATTTTGCTTAAGTTCCTTGTAGATTCTGGATATTAGACTTTTGTCAGAAGAACAGATTGCAAAACTTTTCTCCCATTCTGTAGGTTGCCTATTCACTCTGATGCTAGTTTCTTTTGCTGTGCAGAAGCTCTTTAGTTTAGTTGGATCTCATTTGTCAATTTTGGCTTTTGTTGCCATTGCTTTTGGTGTTTTAGTCATGAAAACTTTGCCAATGCTCATGTCCTTGCCTAGATTTTCCTCTAGGGTTTTTATGGTTTTAGGTCTTAGGTTTAGGTCTTTAATCCATCTTGAGTTAATTTTTGTATAAAGTGTAAGGAAGGGGTCCAGTTTCAGTTTACTGCATATGGCTAGCCAGTTTTCCCAACACCATTTATTAAAGAGGGAATCCTTTCCTCATTGCTTGTTTTTGTTAGATTTGTCAAAGATCAGATGGTTGTCGATGTGTGATGTTATTTCTGAGGCCTCTGTTCTGTTCCATTGGTCTACATATCTGTTTTGGTACCAGTATTATGCTGTTTTGGTTACTGTGGCCTTATAGTATAGTTTGAAGTCAGGTAGCGTGATGCCTCCAGCTTTGTTCTTTTTGCTTAGGATTGTCTTGGCTATAAGAGCTCTTTTTTGGTTCCATATGAAATTTAAAGGAGTTTTTTCTAATTCTGTGAAGAAAATCAACGGTAGCTTGATGGGGATAGCATTGAATCTATAAATTACTTTGTGCAGTATGGCCATTTTCACGCTATTGATTCTTCCTATCCATGAGCATGGAATGTTTTTCCATTTGTTTGTGCCCTCTCATTTCCTTGAGCAGTGGTTTGTAGTTCTCCTGGAAGCAGTCCTTCAGATCCCTTGTAAGTTGTATTCCTAGGTATTTTATTCTCTTTGTAGCAATTGCAAATGGTAGTTCACTCATGATTTGGCTCTGTCTATTATTGGTAACAATAGTAAGTCTTCTAACCTGTGAACATGGGATGCTTTTCCATTCATTCAAACCTTCCTTACATTCTTTTGACCATGTGTTGTATTTTTAGTGTAAAAATCTTTCAGTTCCTCTGTTAAATTTATATTTAAGTATTTCACTCTGTTTGAAGTTATGTAAACAGATTATTTTCTTAAATTTATCTTCAGAATATTCACTTCTAGTTTAAAGCAACACAACTGACTTTTTATTTTGGTCTCATTGTCTGAAATCTAGCTGAACTTGCTTTTCAGTTTTAATAGAGTTTTTGGTGGATTCATTATGATTTTCTGTACATAAGATCATGTTATTTTTCCCTTTTCGGTCTGGTGCTGTTTATCTTTTTTCTTGCCTAATTGCCCTGGCTAGAAACTCCAGTATTGATATTGAATAGAGGTGGCAATCATGCTTTTTTGTGATTGGCTTATTTCAATTAGCATAATATTTTCAATGAGAAAGATAAAGCATTGTCTTTTAATATTAAGTATGATATTAACTTCGTCTGTTTTTCATAGATGCCGTCAAACTACTTGAGCAAGTTCTTTCCCATTTCTATTTTGCTGAATATTTTAATTATAAATAAGTATTGGATTTCTCAAATGCTTTTTCTGCATTGTTTGAGAGACTATATAGCTTTTGTTCATTATTCCACTACTATGATTAATTGATTTTTAGGTATTAAACTAAGCTCTCATTCCTGGGATAAATCTCACTTGGTTAAGGTGTATAATACTTTCAATACTTTCTTTTTATTTTCCTAAATTTGTTTTTTTAATGTTCGTTATGATTTTCTTGGTCATGCTCATAAGAGATATTGATTTGTAGTCTTCTTGTTGATGTTTTTGTCTAATTATCAGGATAATACAAGCCTTATAGAATAATCTGTGATGTGTCCCTTCCTGCTCTATATTTTAAGTGTTTCAGAGCAATTGGTTCTAAGTTTTTGACTGCTTGATAGAATTCAGTCAGCAGTGAAAACATCGAGGCCTTGTTTTTTATTTATAGGAAGTTTTGAAATTATTAATCTCATCTTATTTGTTATGTAAATTTATATTTTCTGATTTTTTCTTGAGTCAGTTTCAGTAATTTATTATCCACGGGATTTGTCCATTTCACTTAGTGGCATACAGTTATTCATAGTATTTACAGTATTCATATATATATATATATGTGTGTGTGTGAATGTGTGTAATTCTGTGTTTGTTAATTGATGTTTCGTCTTTCATTCTTGATTTTAGTAACTAAATCTCTTTTTTCTTGGTCAGTCTAGATACAATTTGTCAGGTTTCACAACATTTTCAAAAATTTAGTCTTTGGCTTTATTGATTTGCTCTATTGTTTTTCTATACTTTATTTCATTTATTTATTTTCACTCATTGTTATTTCCTTTCTACTTCTTCCTTTGGGTTTTGTTTGCACTTTCCAATTTTCTTATGGTATAAACTTAGTTTATTGATTTGAAATCTTTTGGTTTCTTAATAGAAATGTTTACAGCTATAAGTTTCCTGGTGAACACTATTTTAGTAGCATTTAATGCACTTTTGGTATGTTGTAAATATGTTTTTCTTTATCTCAAAGTATTTTCTAATTACATTTGCAAACTTTTCTTTAACTTATTGGTTATTTAGGAGTGTGGTGTTTACCTTCTACATATTTGTAAATTTCCCAGATATCTCCCTGTTATTGATTTCTAATTTAATCCACTTCATTTCATTGTCATCGGAAAATATACCATAAATTTAATTCTTTTAAATATATTGAGGCTTCTATTTTTGGTCTAGCATATAATCTAAACTGGATAATGTTCTCTGTGTGCTTAAAAAGAATGCGTATTCTGGGCTGGGCGCGGTGGCTCACGCCTGTAATCCCAGCACTTTGGGAGGCCGAGGCGGGTGGATCACGAGGTCAGGAGATCGAGACCATCCTGTCTAACACGGTGAAACCCCGTCTCTAATAAAAAAAAATAGCCGGGAGTGGTGGCGGGCCCCTGTAGTCCCAGCTACTCTGGAGGCTGAGGCAGGAGAATGGCGTGAACCCGGGAGGCGGAGCTTGCAGTGAGCTGAGATCAAGCCACTGCGCTCCAGTCTGGGCGACAGAGCCAGACTCCGTCTCAAAAAAAAAAAAAAAAAAAAAAAAAAGAATGCGTATTCTGCTTGCTGTTTTGATGTGGAGAGTTGTGTAGATGTCTATTCAGTCTGGTTTGTTTTTAATGTTGTTCATTTTTTTTCCTTGTTTATCTTATGCCTCATTGCTCTATCCATTTTTGAAATTGAGGTTTTAAAGTCCCCAACTATTATTGTTAAATTTTGTTAATAAATGCATTTATGTTAATAATGTTAATGTTATTAATGAATTAACTCTTCTTATTACCATAAAAGGTCCTACTTTATGTCTAAAAGTTTTTGGTTTACAGTTTATTTTGCTTCCCCATCTGCTAGCTACTCTATTTGTTTTTTTAATAATTTATTTTTCTCATTATTGTACTTTTCATTTGTAGTTTTGATTCTGAATTGTGTCTCTTGTATACAGTTGGATTTTTTTAAAGAATGTGTTGATTGATCAATTGATACATAATAATTATGCATGTTTGTGGGGTATATGTGATATTTTGATACATGCATAATTATCAAAGCAGGTGATGTAGGATATCCATCACCTTACATTTATTATTCTTTTGTGTTAGGAACATTTCAAATCTCTTCTAGCTATTGTGAAATATACATTATTGTTAACTATAGTCACCCTACTGTGCTATCCAATATTAGAACTTATTCCTTCTAATTGTATGTTTGTGCCAATTCACCAACCTTTCTTTACTCTGCCTCTCACCCTTCCCATATTCTGGTAACTATCATTCTATTTTCAACCTCCATGAGAAAAACTATTAGCTCCCACATAGGAGTAAGAACATGCAATATTTTTCTTTTTGTGGCTGTCTTATTTCATGTAACATAATGACTTCCAGTCCCCTCCATGTTGCTATAAATGACATGATTTCATTCTTCCTTATGGTTGAATAGAATTTCATTTTGTATATATACCACATTTTCTTTATCTATTTGTTCACTGGTGGACACTTAGGTTAATTCTTTACCTTGGCTATTGTGAATATTGCTGCAATAAACATTAGGTGCAGGTATTCCTTCAAATCTTAATTTTCTTTTCTTTAAATAAATACCCAAGAGTGGGATTGCTACATCATATGTTAGTGCAATTTATAGTTTTTAAAGAAATCTGCAAACTGTTTTCCCATAATGGCTGTACTAATTTACATTATCAACAAAAGTGTGTAAGAGCTTCCTGTTCTCCACATTCTCATCAGCATTTGTTATTTTTTGTCTTATTGATAATAGCCATTCTAATTGGGGAGAAATGTTATCTCATTTTGGTTTTGATTTTCATTTCCCCGATGATTAGCATATCAAATGTGGAGCATTTTCATTTCCCTGATGATAAGCTTAAATGTTGAGCATTTTTAAATATATCTTTTAGGCATTTGTATCTCTTCTTTTGAAAAATGTCTACTTAGATTATTTGCTCACTTTTCAGTGGGATTTTTTTTTTCTGTTGAGTTGTTTGAATTTCTTGCATATTCTGGATATTTGTTTTTTGTTGAATGGATAGTTCACAAATATTTTACACCCTCCTACAGGTTGCGTCTTCACTCTACTGATTTTTTTTTTTTTTTTGCTATGCTGAAATGTTTTAATATAGTCCCATTTGTCTATTTTTTGTTTCTATTGACTGTGCCTTTGAAGTCTAGCCATAAAATCTTTGTGTAGACCAATGTCTTAAGGTGTTTCCCCTGTTTTCTTTCTTTTCAAAATTTCAGGTCTTAACCTTATATATTTAATCCATCATGAATAGATTTTTGTATATGGTGAGAGATAGGAGTCTAGTTTCATTTTTCTGCATGTAAATATCCAGTTTTCCCAGCATAATTTTTCGAAGAGGGTGTCTTTTCCTCAATATAGGTTCTTGGCAATGTTATTGAAAATCAGTTGGATGTAAATGCATAGATGTATTTATGGGTTCTCTATTGTGTTCCAATGGTCTACATATGTATGTTTTCATATCAATACTGTGCTGTTTTTATTTCCATAACTTAGTAATATATTTTGAAGTTAGGTAATGTGATGCCTTTACCTTTGTTCTTTTTTCTTTGTATTTCTTTGGCTATTCAAGGTCTTTTGTGGTTTCATACAAATTTTAGGATGATTTTTTCTATTTCTGTGATGACTGTCATTCGTATTTTGATCAGAATTGTATTGAATTTGTAGACTGTTTTGGGTAGTATGGTCATTTTAACAACTTTAATTCTGTTTTTGTTTTTAGTCCAATATGACAATGTCAGAATTTTGATTGAATTATTTAATTCGTTTACATTTGATTTTGTTGTTGATATGGTTTGATTTGCCTCTGGATTTTATATTTTGTTTTTTATAAGTTAGATGCCTTTTTGTTCCTCTGATCCTGCACTATTGTCATCTTTTTTATTAATTGGATATTTTCTAGTGTAACATTTTAATTCCTTTAATGATTTTTAGATTATTTTTGAGTCATTTTCTTAACAATTTCTGTCAAACTTTCAGAATTGTTCTTAATTTATCATAATCAATTTAATATTTATATATATTCCCAATGATGTCTACAAATTCTACTTCTATATAGCTCCATTCTTTCTCCTTTGTTCTATTATACATATATTTGTTCTATCATTTTTATACATATTAGGTGTACACATGTTACAAATACAATCTTTTGTTTTAATTATTATTGTATACAATCTTATGTATGCTTTAAAAGGCTGAGCAAATAAAAGAGATCAAGTAAAATTTATATAATTTATTACATTAGCCTTTTTTATTCTTTCTGATCCTCTTCATTTCCTCCTGTAGACTTATTCCAGTACAACTTTGTTCCCACCCACCTCCTTTATGCTGACATTATTGAACACAGTACCTTCCTGTATATCATAGTCCTAACAATATAGAGAAATGCAATATATTGTTTTTTAAATCAGTCAACCATAGAAAGAGAAATGAATGAGGATTTATATTGTCTTTAGTAATTATCTACGTAAGTATTTGCTGTAACTATTTGTTTTATTATGTGCATTTGAATTACTCTCTGGCATCAACTTACTTTCAGTTTGAAGAATGTTTTTCAAAATTTTTGTAAGACAGGTCTAGTACCAATAAGTTCTCTTAGTTTTAGTTTACCCAAGGGGGGTCTTTATCTTACCATAACTTTAAAGAGATAATTTTGCTAAACATAAAATTCTTGGTGGACAGGTTTTTTACTTTCAGTATTTTGACTATGTCAACCCAGTGTCTTGTGGCCTTATTTATTTCTGGTGAGAAATTAGCTATTAATCTTTTGGAGTTCTCATTGTACATAATGTGTCATTTTTTCTCTTACACCTTTTAAGACATTCTCTGTACCTTTGGTTTTTATCGTTTGACTATAATGTGTGTATGTGGATGTGAATTTCTTTCCAGTTATCCTGATTGAAGTTATTTGAGATTTTTGAATGCACAAGTTAATTTTTTTAAATCAAATCTAGGTAGTTTTATCTGTTGTTTTTTCAAATATGTTTTCTGTCACTTTTTGTCTTTTACTGCTGAAACTCCTATTATGTGTATGTTGATGTACATTTAACCCACATTTCAATAGGGCTCCTTTATTTTTTTAAATATAGATTTTATATGTTAGAGAAGTTCAAGGTTCCTGACAAAATTGAAGAGAAAGTGCAGATGATTTCATATACCCCTTTCCCCTGCCACACACATAGCCTTTCTCATCATCAGCATCATGCACCAAAGTGGTACATTTGTTATAATTCATAAACCTACATCAACATATTATTATCACCCAAATTTCATAGTTTACATTAGGGTTCCTTCCTATTTTACATTTTATGGGATTTGACAAGAATATATAGCATGTAGCTACAATTATAGTATCATACCGAATAATATCACTGCACTAAAAATTATCTGGCTCCACTCAATTCATCCCTTTCTCTCAAGTAGTGCCTGACAACAACTGATATTTTTACTATCTCCATGGTTTTGCCGTTTTTACTATCTCCAGTTGGAGACATACAGTATGTAGTCTTTTCAGATTAGCTTCTTTCACTTAGTAATATGAAGTTAACATTTCTCCAGTTTTTTCATGGTCTGACAGCTCATTTACTTTTAGCACCAGATACTAGTCCACAGTCTGGATGTACCAAAGTTTACCCATTCACCTACTCAAGGCCACCTTGGTTGCTTCCAAGTTTTGACAATTATGAATAAAACTGCTGTGGACATCCCAGTGCAAATTTCTGTGTTTTCAACTCATTTGTGCAGATGCCAGGGATAATGATTGCTGGGTCTTATGGTAAGGGCATGTTTGGTTTTGTTCCTGTACCATTTTGCATTCCCAGTAGCAATGAATGAGAATTCCCATTGCTCCACATTCTCACCAGCATTCGTTGTTGTCAGTGTTTTGGATTTGAGGCTTTCTACCATTCGCAGAATGGCAGAAGAATCATTATCTATAATGATATCTTATTGTTTTAATTTGAAATTTTTAAAATGACATAGTATGTTAAACATCGTTTTAGATACTTATTTTCCATAAATATGTCTTCTTTGGTAAAGTGTTTGTTGAGGTCTTTTGCCCATTTTTCAATTGAGTTGTTTATTTCCTTATTGTAGAGTTTTAAGAGTTTATTGTATATTTTAGATAACAAATATTTTAGATAACAATTATTTCTATGAGATATGTCTTTTGCAAATGTTTTCTCCCAGTCTGTGGCTTGCCTTCTTATTCACTTAGCAGTGTCCTTTATAGAGAAGAACTGTAGATTTTAACAAAATCCAATTTATTAATTATTTCTTTCATGGATTGTGTCTAAAAATCATTGCTATGCCCTAGGTCATCTTGATTTTCGCCTATGCTCTTTTCTAAGAGTTACATAGTTTTGCATTTAACCCTTATATCTGTAATCCATTATGAGTTATTTTTTGTGCGGGTTATAAGGTCTGTGTCTACATTTATTTATTTATTTATTTGGCATGTGGATGTCCAGTTGTTCCGAATCAGTTGTTGAGAAGACTATTATTTTTCTATTAATTGCTTTTGTTTCTTTGTCAAAGATCAGTTGACTATTATTTGTATGGGTATACTTTTGAATTCTCTATTCTGTTCCAATGATCTATTATCTATTTTTTTTTTTACCAGTATCACACTTTCTTGATTACTATAGCTTTATAGTAAGTCTTGAAGTCAAGTAGTAATGGTCTTCCAAATTTGTCCTTTTTGTTACCATTGTGTTGACTTTTCTGTGATTTTTGCCTCTCCATATAAACTATAAAAGCACTTTGTCAATATACCAAAATAACACTGGAGTTTTTATTTGAATTGTGTTAAAACTATGGATCAATTTGGGAAAAACTAGTATCTTAACATTGTGAGTCTTCCTGTCAATGATCATAAAAATCTCTCCCCAACTATTTAATTAATTGATTTTTTTCAAGGCTCTGTTAATTTTTTTTGTTATTTTTATTTCTGTTATTAAATTGTATAATATCTACTGCTCTATCTTCGAGTTTACTGATGATTTTTTCTGTCAGCTCAAATCTATTCACCTCTCTAGTGAGTTGTTTCATTTTGAATGTAGCCCTTTCAACTGCAGAATTTCCATTTGGTTCTTTTCAATAATTTCTTCTTTACTGATATTTTATATTTGATGATTAATTTTTGCATATTTCTTTAATTCTATATGTACAGAATCTTTTAGTTCTTCTTTTTCTTTGAGACAGGATGTTGCTCTGTTACTCAGGCTGGAGTGCAATGGCACAATCATAGTTCACTGCAGCCTTGAACTCCTGGGCTCAAGTAATCCTCCCACCTCAGATTCCTGAGCAGCTAGGACTACAGGCATGTGCCACCACACCCAGCTCACTTTTGCATGTTGTATAGAGGCAGGATCTCATTATGTTGCCATGGCTGGTCTCAAATTCCTGGCCTCAAGCAATTCTCCTGCCTCAGTCTCCCAGAGTGCTGGGATTACAGGCATGAGCCACTGTGCTCGACTGATTTCTTTAGTTCTTTGAACATATTTATAATATCCAATTTAAAGTCTTTATCTCCCAATGTTTATCATTTGTGTTCCTTCAAAGGTATTTTCTTTGCCTACTAGTTTTCCCTCTGTATGCATTATACTTTTCTGTTACTTTGCACGTCCCAGTTTTTGGTGAAAACTGGATATTTTAAATAATATATCATGGCAAATATGTATACTGATTCTCACACCTCTCCTTCGGGTATATTATTATTGTTTTTGTTTGGCCATTTTTTAGTTTGTTTAGTGATTTGGTTAGTTATTTCTTTTAATTCTGTTTCCCCTCCTCCCGTAATGGGCACTCTCTGGTTCCTGTAGTCAGATTTCCCTCCTTTGTTTTATCTTACTCTGGATACCAAGGGGTTGCCTCTGGTTCAGTTATTGTTCAAAGGTTGTGTTTAAGCTTCCTTAGCATATTATATTTCTACCGTTTCTCATTGAATATGTGGGAGACTTAGAGGTTGTTTCACAGTTCAGGGTGTTTACACTTTTTGCCACATGATCAACCAGCAACTCATAGTTTTAAATTCTTTCTCTACTCACTTCTGAAGTGGCACAACATAACACAGTCACGTAATTCCCCACTGCCAAGAGTAAGTGTCATTTTATGTTTATGCCTGGCTTCCTAGGAATCTCCTCTGAGTCAGAGTAGCTTACTGTCCAGTGAGTGTTTGGTCAGGAGCTGTGTTTAGACTTCTTATGCTAGTTAAGCATCCACTCCATGTAAGTCTGCCCCATCTCCTCTGATTGCTTCTGAGTGAATTCAGCCTTCCTGAATCTCAGAGTTGACTAAAATTCCAAGGGCTCTTCTTGATTATCTTTTTCCACGGTCCTCCTTAATAAACTCCTGGATGCTTTGCCATTTTGTTTAAGTGATACCAGCCTCTTCTTAAATGCCCTCCACAAGTTCTCCATTGTTACTACAATGCTCTTTGGCTTGGAGTCCTCCATACTCTGTTCCAAATACTGTCGGTCCTGAGCTGACTTCTTCATCCTTCTGGGCTGCCTTCCTGGTGGGCAGACCCTCAGCAACACTGCATCAGAGCTGGGGTGAGTATTTGTTTTCCCCAGAGTGACACCTATACTCTGTGAGTGGGCATTGGATGGGGATGGCAAGAATGCCTGTCCTTTCATCTTGATCCTCCTGGCATGGAATTCCCCCTACGAATTAGCTGGGTTTAGGGTGATTCAAACCCCCGTATTCCTGGCCTGCAGCACATGTCTTAAAGCTTCGTCTCTGAGTAGGATCTGTGTGGGAGAAAGGAAATTGGCCCTCTCTAAATGTCCGCTCAGAATAGAGCTTCATCGACATGGGGCTGGAGGGGGGCAAACACTGGGAGCCTGTTCCTTCTGAGGTGAAACCATATCTTCAGACTGGGAGCTGGGGAAAGAGGGAGCCTCCATCTTCTTGGCCACACTTCTATGAAGTAGGAACTCAGGATAGAGCTTCCACAACACAGAGCTGAGTAGGGAGTGGGGAAATATGTCGTGCCTCAATAACACTATCACTGTCTTACTGAGATTTAGTAGATTTTCTTAAGTGAAAGTTCTTTATTTCCTGCATGCCGATCTTAAGACAGTTCCAGAAATATTTGGAATGATTGTTTTTGTTTTGCTTTTTAATAATTTTCAGTTTGGGTGTTTTTTTTTGGTTTGTTTGCTGGGGAGATGGTTTGCTGAATTTCTTATTCTGCTATTCTGGAAGTCCTGCCTCTTTGCTAATAGTTTTTAACTTAAATGTAATCAAATATTTTATCTGCATCTACTAAGATAATCATAATTTGGTTTATTTTAAAATGTATTATTGGAACTGGCTAGCTATAGTGCATAGGCTAAATCTGGCCTGGTGCTTGTTTTTTAAAATAATATTTATAGTCATTACTCCTCCCATCCAAAACAAAGAAAGAAGCAAAAATCTCTACGTTCTTGATTTCTAACATTAGTTTTCTTTATTTTTAATTTTTAAATATTTTAATGTTTCAGTGCTCTATTTAAATTTCTATGTGTTCATCTACCTATTCAACTATTTTTCTATTTTAAAAATAAATTACATAGAGTTACTTGAAAGTCTTTTCTGCTAACCTTAAAATGAGGCTAACTTGTGTTCTATTTTATCTTTTTTTCTCTCATTTATCAATTATTTGGTTCTGTTGATCCATATGCCTGGTAATTTCATTTTAAGTGTTGAATATTGTGTTTTAAAAATGTAGAGGTTCCAAAAGATATTATTTTTATGAAAAATACTTCACCGTTTTGTCTGCTAGGCATATAGAGAAGGAAGATGAGCATCTTAATCTAATGAGGGAATAATCTTGGAAAATGCTGGCTTGCAGCGTTAGTACTACTCAATCTTCGTCTGGTTTGGCTCTGTTTCTAAGTAAGCTCTCCAGAGCTTTCGATTGCAGAGTTTAGAGAGCTTCGTGTTTCCCATTTCTAGATCGAGGAATATTCCTACCATCAAAGACAATAAATCATTTATAAAGAATGACTTCTTGCCTATGTCTTTGTCCTAGTGTTATGGGATTAGGTCCAAATCTTAGAATCTGAAATATTCCTTTTCCCCAAAGATCATATTCCTTTTCCCCAAAGATCTTCATCTTATTACTTTTCCTGAAAGCTAAAGTGACCATTCTAATTTTATTTGCACTAGTGATACTTATTTCTTTATAGGCAAAAGGATTATTGTCATAGAAATAATGCTTATAAGCATTAATAAACCTGGGCCTCAGCTTTTTGCAGCTTTATTAACCTGGTAACAAGTACTGCCATCTTGTCACTGCAGTGCAGTCACTGATGATCTGGTATCCAACAGGCAGCCAAGAAAAATTATTCCAAGGGTGATCCTCTGATCCTGAGATCACATGTATATTTATAATTCCTGACTCCACCAACACGAATATTTTGTTAAGTTAGCTTTAAGGTTCCAGAAAAATGAAAGACTTAAAGTATACCTTAAAACGTGCCTTAATTATAATGGTCACATGGAGCATATAAAACCTTCATCAATTGCTCCTATAATTGCTAACAGTCAAAGAGGCAATGAGACAGTTGGTTATTGCCTAGACTGCAGCCAACACAGCAACTCTAGGATTGACTGTTGCCGTCGTTACCTTGACTGGTATAATTCTCCCACATGGGGGGTGAGAATAAAGTATCCAAAGAATAGCTGGATCTAGGGGAAAAAAAAAATCATGTCTGGTTTTTACTTTTTCTGGGAAGTTTTCTAATATCTTAGAGCTGAGTGGGTATGCCATTTTTGGGTTTATAATGACAGGCTGGCAAAATTGTATGTCTGTGTACTTTTTGTGTTTGTGTATGAGAGTGTTTTAAGCTTTTGAAACAGGTTTTACAAAGTATTATCATATATATATATATGTGTGTATATGTGTGTGTGTGTGTGTGTGTGTGTGTGTGTGTATGTATGTATGTATGTCAAGGCCAGGGAAAATTCTTAGTCTGCAGCCATTCAGGTTCATAGGAAATTGATTGTGATTATTGTTCCCTAAAACAAAATTAGTTTGCGAGAAAACACAACGTGGTAACAGAAGCTCAATGCTCTTAATAAATTTTCCAAGTTTTATTGACAGCCTCCTCACCAAATGCATTTTTTGAGCGTGGGTGTGCACACACACATATACACATATATGCTGCACACACAAGCACACTTCCCTCATCTCTGATACTTTCCATCTGTCTGCGAGAATGAATCCTTCCAATCATTTTTAAAACCATTCTGTTTTGTGAAGCTTTGAGCTTGTACCCAGTGAAAGCTTGGCAGGAAGCATACGTTTCTTGCTCAAGTTCCTGAACACGACAGCTGTGCTTCTCTCACACAACTTGGGAAAATGTTCCCAGCCTTAATCAACTGGCACAAGGCAGCAGAGGGGCTAAATGCAGCCTGTGTCACAGAGCACCCATAAATGTGTCAGTTCTTCTCTTCTTCTAGATATCTATCCTGCATCTTTTTATATGAAAAAATTAGCCCCTCTTTTTTCAGCCTGTGGCACTTCTGTATCTGAGGTTATGCCTATTTTTACAACACACACTGCAGGGTCTTGTCTTCTTGGCTATGTAGCAACTCATAGTAAGTTAAGGAGAATTAGTGCCCACTTTCCTCCCATGTCATCCGTATTAACCCTAAGAGGTAAAAGCAAAATCTTGCTTTCATTCTAGGGTACATCACAAATTCTCTGCAGTGTTGGCACAAGATGTACCCTTTGAATCACATTAACAATAATAAAAGTAATTGTGTTTAAACTTTAATGATTATTTGCAAAATATAAGGCATTATACGAAGCCTTCTACACCCCTCATCATCACATCAGTCGTTGTATATATTATTCTCACCATGAATTTATTAAATGGGTATTATTATATCTACAGGTGAGAAAAAAACTGAGGCTGCCTTGGTCACACGTTTAAATATTTGCTTTACAATGATATTCTATTTTCAGCTCTAGGGTGAGAGCTTGATCAACTCTATATGGATAGAATTTCCTGACAAACTAGTGCTATAACTTGGCCATCTACCTGGGGAAGCTTATAGTGATAAAACCTGACCTTTTTAAAAACTATCTGCCTCTTAGATGGAACAGGACTTGACAACAGATACCTCTATTTGACTGCTGTTACTGGAGACTACCTCTAGTCTTTGAAAGTCAGTCAACACTGCTTGAGTCTTTGTTTTTTTGTATATAACATGGTGATTAAAATATTTGCCTTACATTGTTTCTCTAAAGCATAAATTATGTAATGCTTGTAGAAGTGGTATATTCTTTTTTTATTTTTGCGTATACAGCTTATATATATGCATATTCAAATGTAAATATATATTTTGAGGAGAGACTGACTATATATCTGAAGCTTTACGCTGTATTCACATATAGGAGATAGGTCCAAGAGAATTTGAAAACTACACTGTACATGCTAATAATTTCAGCTTATGACATTAGCCCTCCAGGGGAGGAAAATCCAGGTGGCCTGGAATATTTATGATTTACTACAGTGTTTAACATACATTGTGATAGGGGTCATCATCAGTATCTTTATTTTTATTGTCATCATTCACATCATCATCAAAGAATTGATGATAAATTGACATTGACCTGTCAATGTCAGAGGCTTCTTGAGAAACTGCTGAAAATAAATAAATAAACAAATAAATAAATAGAAAAGAAAGCCACTGTAGACAGCAAAAAGTCATGTGGTAACATTTGTTGTTCTTTTGCTATTTAAGCCCATTTTTTCTATTCAAAGGCAGTTTAGTTGTTACTTGGCTCCTTATCCTACATAGCTCTTGTTGCTCTTACTGTAAACTCTTGGCTTTGACTATTAAGGGTCCTTTAGTTCATCATTTTTTTCTTACTTTTATCTGATCATGGTACTTTAGATAATCATTTAGGATCTAATACAGGATTTGTAATTATAAGACAGGTGTCTGGAATCAAAGATACTCTCATTAATATTTCTTCAAAAATATTACTGAAGACTCATGCATTTGTTTACCAAATAAACAAAACCAATCTCATACTTTATCAGTTTGTAGTTAGAATATTTTTCCTTCATGTTCTCCCATTCAATATTTGCAATCACTGTAATTTCAATATGTGTGTAGTCCATTGATTGTGGTCGTTGTGTAGAGGCCCCAAACCACAGCATCAGTGAAATGAGAAGCTGAAAATCCTGGCCTATATCAGTATTTCTGGGTACATGGTCTCAAGATGCTAAGATCCAAGAAGGTGATGATAGGTTGAAAAATCTGAGGAAAAACATCTCTGAGTTCAAAATGCAGCTTTTTATCTTTCTTATGTTCTCCCTACCTTATTGTATGATGTGGCTATTGTGATAGTGAAAGGAGATTAAAACTAAAAGGAAGTGGTTAAACATTATGGTGGAAATAGTTATTATTACAAGTCATGTTCTGAATGCTCATTTTGAAGTTTAGTTGAAAAAAAATCCATTGACTTAAATTCCATGAAGTCCAGGGAGGCAACATGAAAGTAAAAAAAAAAAAGATTAAGCTTAAGCCAGACTGATCTTTATGATCTTGTCCTTGTTGAAGTTAATCTGAGTCCCACAAGAGGTAAAGGTAGCCCTGGAGTGGATGACAGCTTACATAAAGAGGGCCCTGAGATGTCAGATGGGCTCTGCCTTCTCAGTCATGGTGGCCTGCATTCTGATGTTGGCTTCCAGTTTAGAAGACAGAACTATCCCTCAATTTTGCCCCACTGCCCCTTTTCTTGTCCAGTCTGGGCTGATGATGTGGAGACATTACTGCCAGGGAATCGAGTGGTAATCACACATAGTGAAATAAATGAATGAAATAAATTTCCACATCTTTTGGGTTTAAGTTCTTCCCCCCTTGACCTTTGAGATCTACCAAATGAGACAAAGATTGTGGCTACTTGACATTCACTACATATTTATTGGTACCTCTTATGGATCAGACATTTTTCTAGGGAACCGAGAGCATTAAGATGATAAGTGGAGGTAATGGATTACCATATATAATGTACACAGACTGCTGATTTTAAGGACAAATGATGGTAGTTAAGAAAAAAATATTTTTCCTCTGGGGATAAGCTAGGAGGTTGCTATGCATGCGGAAAAATTCAGGTACATTAGACCAATAGGCAATTATTCCAAAGAAATAATATAATTTCACCATGAATATGAAATGAATTGTGGTAAAATTGCATACTTTCACTTATTAAGCTATGGACATTCATGGTGGAAGATAAATTTGTATTTTAATAAGATTAATCCTTAAAAATAATGATGCAATATGAAGTAGAAATGTTAACTTGGCAAATGTTCTTAGAATCATTAAAACATGTTAAAATTTTAAATTTCTTCAGTTTGGGTTTAGCAAGGGCAGGCTGTGCATACTTAATCATTTAAAATTTCCTTCTAACACACTATACTTCTAATCAGTAATTTAATCAAACATGTAGAATATAAGAAATTGGTGTAGAGAAGGGGTGAGGTTACCATACTATTCAGTAAAATGTTTAGGGGAGCATTAGCTGTAACTTAAATCTTGAATATAATTCTAACTTTAAAATTTTTATTTGGCAGAAACGTTAAACTGAATTGGCGCCTCCATTTGAGAAGACTACTTTGTCAATATTAAATTTCAGGATATCTTCCTTGTATCATCTAATTTTGGGGGAGGGGAAAGAGAGACAACATTTTTATGTTTTTCCTATATCCTAGAAGTTCATCAGTATAAGTTTTTGCCAAAAATTGACTTTAACTCCCAGTCATTCAGCATTCAGCCAAATTATATTTTCCAATTGCCTCGAATTGTCAAGGCTTTTTTGAATGTGAAATTGTTTAGAAAGCTTAAAGACAATAGAGACCCTAGGGGTCACTATATTTAAAAATCTAGCCAGGGCAATAATTCTCTCAACTGAATGTCAGGCAATAGAATTAGCACATCTCATGATGGCTTCTTTAGGTCACGTGACATGAGGTTCCATTTTGAATAGTTCTATTTGTGCGATGACTTCCATATATGTAGGGCTGAGTTCTGTCTTCCCATAATCTTCACCCCTTGGTCCTTGTTCTGCCTTTGGATCTCACAGACTATTTCTATGCTTTCCCACTATTGAAAATGTCTGAGACAATCTAGAGTACTTGTTTATGATACTATAACATCCAAGTTCTTGAAAAGATTTGATAGGCAACTAGTTCAAGGTCCAGTGTATAGTAGATTTTAAAGTACCAGACAACTAGGGACACTCCCTGTGCCCCAGAGCCTGCTGAATTTATTCAAATTGGCCAATCCTGAGCCTGTTCACCCTGCCTCATGGTTTCTTTCTGTGGAAGCCACAAGGAAGCCTCCTAGCCATCATTTTCCCCTCTCCCTCTGCCTTATTATCAACCCCAGTGCTTCCCGTGAGGCTACCAGTAGCATCGTCTACTCCCTTCTCTTGGGATCTGGGACAATAACAAATTTTTTTTTTTCAATGGCAATCATCTTCATCTGTTGACCTGGGCAAACATGTATAATAATAAAACCTATATTTGAAAACAGGTTCCCTCCTCTGAGGTACTTTTAGGCACTAAGGAAAGGGAAAAGCTGAGGAATCCATTTGAAATAGCAGACCCTCTTGCTAAGGACTGGCATTGCTGGGCTAGAATCAATTCATGCTAAAACAGCTGGTTCGTAATTCTCTTTCAATCATGTGATCCTTGCGCCCTGGGTTAAAATGCTCATTTCTGGAAAGGGCCATCTCTTCATATATCTAGTAGAGGTGGTTGCCTGTATAGTGTGATTAAAAGTTTTCCCCCTAAGAGAATGTCTCAGATGGGTCTTTCACAGTTACATCTCCCTCAGCCTGAGAGGGTCATCACCGAAGTTACCTCTTTGGCTTAGACGGTAAGCACATGGTCTCTACACATGCGTGTTAAAAGTACCTTTGATATGTGTACCTGGAGCTCATTTCAGTCATTCATATATTTACTCATTTATTCAACAAATATTTATTAAACGATTATGCACACAAAGAAACAGTGATAGGTTTTAGGGATACCAGCGAGACTCCATCTCAAAAAAAAATTACAATCTCATTGGTAATAAAGAAAAAACAAATTAAAACCACAATATACAATTTTACACCAATCAGACTGACAAATATTTCAAAGTCTGGCAAAATCAACTGTTGATGACAACGTGCTAGGGGTCTCTAAATGGCTACCAAATTAACTACAAACTTCTAAACTACCATTCAAAGGGCATCACAATTCTCCAGACTAATTGCCCCTCTATTAACCTGCCATAAATATATGTCACACTACAGAGGATAACTTGGTATTCTTCAGCACACGCTTCATTTCAAGTTGTGCCTTTTCCCCACCCTCTGTCAATCATAATCCAACCCACAGTTCAAATCTATTCAATGTCATATTGTCAATCAAGACCCCCCACTTTTTTCAGTTTCCAACATTCTATTATTAGTACTGTAATAATGATGGCAACTAATATACACTGAGAATTTACTAGGCAACAGGAACTGTAAAGCTTTATGTCATTAATATTCACAAAATATCTATGACTTGGTACTATTATTCCTATGTACTGAGAAAGAAAACCAAAGTATAGAAAGGTTCAGTAACATAATAAAGATTATAGAGCTGGTAAGCAGTGGTGGCAGATTGCAAACAAAAATATTCAGACTCTAAGATGTTTTGTTGACAACCCATTGAAGCTTCATTTTATAGATGAAGCAACTGAGGTTTAGATATGTAAAATTGTTATCCAACATAATTTTTTTTCTTCAACATTTATTTTAAGTTCTGAGGTACACGTGCAGGACATGCAGGTTTGTTACGTTGGTAAACGTGTGCCATGGTGGTTTGTTGCACAGACCATCCCATCACCTACGTATTCAGCCTGGCATTTTATGATTCCAAACCACATGCTCAAATTCTCCCTTCATGATGAACATCGTGGGATGTTTATACTTCTCATAAAAGCTACCCTTGCTCTGCCATCTAATAGAGTGATTTGCATAATGATCACATCTCTAATTGGTAGTGGTAAGCGCTTTGCTCTCTGGGACTGTAACTCAGGATGGTCAACTCAGTCTTCCTATTGTATATGCTCAATAAATATTTGACAGATATAATGGGACAAGTCATGTAATGACTCTGACTCTCTTTTGTCTCACTTGATAAATGAGGAAAATAAAAACCGCCTTACTGTCTCAAAGGGATATTGAAGGACCCGGTAAAATTATGTGCATGAGCATGTCATAAGAAGAACATTGTACCATGTAATGGTAAAACATCATTGCAGAAATAACTGCA
Source organism: Homo sapiens (assembly GCF_000001405.40). Taxonomy (NCBI): domain Eukaryota; kingdom Metazoa; phylum Chordata; class Mammalia; order Primates; family Hominidae; genus Homo; species Homo sapiens. The sequence continues at coordinate 127,530,846 of NC_000011.10, forward strand.
ATGGAGATTTAATTTGCATCACCTTTCAAGTAATCTTTATCAACTACACCTGGCAGGATAAGTGTCAAAGCTCTCAACAAGGGGTTTTGCATTCTAGACTTTGTAAATCTGGAGAAGTCATTGCCATCGAAAATGTTGCTTGCGGGTAAAATATTAAAGTATTCCTTGAGATCTGGTGATGAACTGAACTCAATTACATGCAGCTGTAGGAAACCTGCCCCCTACATCTGTGTGAATTAACAGTTACTCAGAAACTAATTGTGAGTACTACTTATTTTACATTTCTGCAAATGTGTGTGTGCATATATATAACAGAAGCCTTCCTTAAGAATTGATGAGCATTTCAGGAAAAAGCAGACAGAATAAATAAAAATAAAAATGCTATCAGAAAAGAAACCAGCTAATTTTCCTGTGCATTGTTTTCTCCTGTCCACTTAGGCATTTGTGGACAGGAAGCCAGTGCTTTTGCTAATGTTTCACTTGTTGCTTGCAACTGTCATCTCCTCAGTTTCAAGCCAGCTATTCGACTTCACAGCTTGTTATTGGGTGACGAATTCAATATGTGTCAAGGACATCCTAAAAGGCACAGGGGAAGAAGAAGGCATACCACATTCCTACACAGCACTTATAGAATAGTTGAGTCATGGCATCTGTATATGAAACTGAAAATAATAATCAGTGATGTACTTTAAAAATCTTCCATAATGGAAAAGACCGATATAATTTAATATAATAAAAATTAAAAACTTCAGAATAGAAACAACTAGTATAAACAAATGACAGACTCAGAAAAAAATGTAAGCAGCACGCATGACAAAGGAAAATTTCTAGAATTTCAAAAGCCCTCATAATTAAGTAGAAAAAAAGACAGACATGCCAAAAGAAAAATGGGCAAAGAAAATGTACAGGCAGTCCACATGAAAACAAATGAAAATAAAAATAATCAATAAATCTATCTAAGAGAACTGTTTTTAACATTTTGTTTAAGTACATTCCTCCCCTGCTTCTTGGTGCAAACTTTCTATCTCACTCTTACTCTCTTTTTCTTGTTCTCTCTCTCATGCTCCAAATATGTATCAATTCACAACCAGTCAATCTACTATCTGTATGTTACCTCTCCAGTGATGATGAGCAAGGGAATCTCAACCACATGCTCAAACCACATGCTCAAATTCTAATTGGTTATACCGTCCCTGTCTCTAACTTTCAAGCTAAGCTTCCGTCATGGCCTACCTCCCATGTATCACATTTTTTTTTTTTTTTTTTTTTGAGACAGAGTTTCGCTCAGGTTGCCCAGGCCAGAGTGCGATGGCACGATCTCGGCTCAATGCAACCTCTGCCTTCTGGGTTCAAGCAATTCTCCTGCCTCAGCCTCCCAAGTAGCTGGGATTACAGGCATGCACCACCACGCCCGGCTAATTTTATATTTTTAGTAGAGACAGGGTTTCTCCATGTTGGTCAGGCTGGTCTTGAACTCCCAACCTCAGGTGATCTGCCTACCATGGCCTCCCCAAGTGCTACAGGTGTCAGCCACTGGGCCTGGCCTCCCATGTATCATATTTTTTAAGCCCATGAGATCATTATCTATAATGGAAAAACTACTTAGTTAAGAGAAATTGAAGTAAGTTTTTTATTTTATTTTATTTCATTTCATTTCATTTTGTGATAAAACCACTTAACATGAAATCTGTATTCTTAATAATTTTTAACAATACTGGACAATACAGTATTGTTAACCATAGGCACAATATTAGATAGTAGATCTATAGAACTTATCCATCCTCCATAATTGAAACTTCATACTTGTTGATTAGCAATTCCCCATTTGGCTCTCCCTGACAAACACAAATCTACTTTCTGCTTCCATGAGTTTGACTATTTTAGATACCTCATATAAGTGGAATCATGCAGTATTTATCTTTCTGTGACTGGCTTATTTGACTTAGCATAATGTCCTCAATGTTCATGTTGTCACATATTGCAGGATTTTCTTCTTTCTTAAGGCTGAACAAAATTTAATTGTATGTATAAACCATATATTCTTTACCCACTCAGCCACTGATGAACATTTAGTTTGGTTACACATCTTGGTCTTGTGAATATTGCTGCAGTGAAAGTGGAAGTGTTAATCTCTTCAAGATACTGATTTCATGCAAATCAAAATCACAGTGAGATACCATCTCACACCAGTGAGGATGGCTGTTATTAAAAAGTCAAAAAATAACAGATTCTGGCAAGGTTGTGGAGAAAAAAGAATACTTATATACTGTGATGGGAGTGTAAATTAGTTCAACCATCGTGGAAGACAATGTGGCGATTCCTCAAAGACCTAAAGACAGAAATACCATTTGACCCAGTAATCTCATTACTGAGTATATACCCAAAGGGATATAAATCATTTTATTATAAAGACACATGTGTGCATATGTTCATTGCAGCACTATTAACAATAGCTAAGACATGGAATCAACTTAAATGGCAATCAATGACAGACTGGATTAAAAAAAAAAAGTGTTACATATACACCATGGAATACTCTGAAGCCATAAAAAAGAACAGATCATTTGCAGGGTCATGGATGGAGCTGGAGGCCATCATTTTTAACAAACTAATGCAGGAACAGAAAACCAAATACCACATGTTCTCACTCATAAGTGGGAGCTAAATGATGAGAACACATGGACACATAGAGGGGACAACACACACTGGGGCTTATCGGATGGTGGAAGGAGGGAGAGGGTCAGGAGAATAACTAATGGGTACCGGGCTTAATACCTGGGTGATTAAATAATTTTGTATGACAAACCCCAATGACATAAGTTTACCTAGGTAACAAACCTGCACATATACCACTGAACTTAAAAGTTTAAAAAGATGCTGATTTCAGTTATTTTACATAAATATTCAGAAGTGAGATTGCTGGATCAAATAATAGTTTTATTTTTGATATTTTGAGGAACATTCATATTATTTTCCATAGTGGCTGCAACATTCTGTATTCCTACCAACTGTGTGCAAGGGTTCCAATTTCTCTACATCATTGTCAATATGTTGTCTTTTGTTTTTTGATAATAGCCAACATTATAGGTGTGATGAGATACCTCATTGTGATTCTGATTTGCAGTTATGTGATGGTTAGTAATGTTGAGCGTCTTTTCATGTATCTGTCAGATATTTGTATGTCTTTGGAGCAATGTCTATTTAAGTCCTCTGCCCATATTTTAGTTGAGTTTTGGTATTTTTTGCTATTGATTGTAGGAGTTGTTTTTATTTTGGAAAACAATCCCTTATCAGATACATGGTGGCTTGAAAATATTTTCTCCCATTCTATATGTTGTCTTTTCACTCTGCTGATTGTGTATTTTGTTGTGCAGAAGCTTTTGAATTGGATGTGGTTTGATTTATTTTTGCTTTTGTTGCCTATAGTTTTGATGTCATATCTGCAAAATCATTGCCAAGACCAATGTCATAAAACTTTTTCTCTATTTTTCTTCCAGGAGTTTTACAGCTTTAGGTCTTACATTTTGAGTCTTTAATCTATTTTGTGTTGATTTTCATGTATGATGTAAATGAGGTATAATTTCTTTCTTCTGCACTTAGATATACAGTTTTCTTGTAAACGTTTGTTGAAGAGACTATCCTTTTCACATTGTGTAGTTTTGACATGCTTGTTGAAGATCAGTTTACTGTATACATATGTGAGGATTTACTTCTGGGCTCTCTATTCGTTCCATCCATTGGTCACTTTATCTGTCTTTATACAAATACCAAATTTTTTAAATTATTGTGTCTTTGGAATATGTTTTGAAATCACAAAGTGTGATATGCCCAGCTTTATTCTTTTTTCTCAAGACATTTGATTGTTTCAGATCATTTGTGGTTAAATAAAAATTTTAGAATGTCTATTTCTATTTCTGTACCAAATACTGCTGGGATTTTGATAGAAATTACATTGAATCTGTGGATTGCTTTGAATAGTATAGACATTTTAACAATTTAAGACTTTCAATTCAGTAACGTGGGATGGGATGTCTTTCCATTTGTTTTTGTCTTCTTTAATGTCTTTCATTAATGTTTTGTAGTTGTTAGTGCACAATTCTTTCACTTTCTTAGTTAAATTTATTCCTAAGTACTTTATTCTTTTTAATGTTACTATAAAATCACTTTTATAAGTGATTTTCTTCCTAATTTTCTTTTCAGATAATTTGTTGTCAGCATACAAAAATGCAACTGATTTTTGTGTGTTAATTTTATATTCTGAAACTTCACTGAATTTGCTTATTAGTTCCAACAGGTTTTGGGGGGGAATCTTTAGAGTTTTCTATAAAAACCATATCATTTGCAAAGACAGACTATTTTAGTTCTTCCTTTCTGATTTGAATTCCTTTTGTTTTCTTTTCTTGCCAAATTGCTCTAGCCAAAACTTTCACTACTTTGTTGACTAGACATGGTGAAAGTGGATATCCTTGCCTTGCTCTTGATCTTAGAGGAAAAGCTTTGTTTATCACCATTGATTATGATACTAGCTATTAAATGTTCACATATGGCCTATATTATGTTGATGTAATTTTTATCATGAGATGATGAGAATTTTTATTATGAGAATTTTTATCATGAAAGTGTTTTGAATTTTATCAAGTGTTTGTTTCTACATCTATGCAGAAATACCCTGTTTTATTTCAGTTCTTCGAGGTGTAAAGTTAGATTGCTAATTCTTTTTTTGTAATGTAGGTGTTTATTGTTATAAACTTTCTTGTTAATAATGTGTTTACTATGTCTCATAAAATTTGATATTATGTTTTCACTTGTCTCACGATATTTTCTAATTTTTATTTTTATTTTTTCTTTGACATATCAGTTGTTTAAAAGCACATTATTTAATTTCCATTTATTTGTTAATTTTTCAGTTTTATTTGTACTGTTGATTTCTTGTCCTGTTCCAATGTGGTCAGAAAAAGATACTTGATATAATGTTCAATCTTATATTTGTGGAAACTCGTTTTGTTACCTAACATGTAATCTGTCCTGGAAAATGTTGACTGTGTGCTTAAGAGGAATATATATTTTGTTGCTCTTGGGTGGAATGTTCTGTTAGGTCTTTTAGGTCCATTTGGTTTATAGTGTTTTTCAAGTCTGCTCTTTCCTTACTGATTTTCTGTATGATTGTTCTATTCATTATTGAAAGTGGGGGATTAAAATCTCCTCCCATTATCGTATTGCTGTTTTTCTTTTCTGTTCTGTTAAGGTTTGCTTCATATATTTATGTTCTATGATGATAGGTGCATATTTATTTGTAATTATTGTATCTTTCTGATGAATTGATTCTTTTATCATTACACAATGTTTTATTTGTCTCTTGTTATGATTTTTAAGTTAAACTATTTTGTCTTATATGAATAGTCTTTTGGTTGCCATTTGCCATTTGCATAAGATAACTTTTTGCATTTCTTAACTTTCAGCCTATATATATCCTTAAATTTAAGTGAGTCCCTTGTAGGCTGGGATGGTGGCTCATGCTTGTAATCCCAGCACTTGGGAGGCTGAGGCAGGAGGATTGCTTGAGGCCAGGAGTTCAAGACCAGCCTGAGCAACATAGTGAGACCTTATCTCCACTAAAAATTTAAAAATTAGCCAGGTGTGGTGAGTCATATCTGTAGTCCCAGCTATTCAGGAGGCTGAGGCAGGAGGATCACTGGAGCCCAGGAGTTTGAGGATGCAGTGAGCTATGCTCAAGCCACTGTACTCCATCCTGGGCAAGAGAGCAAGACCCTGTCTCAAAAAAAAAAGGAGAAAAATAAAATGAAGTAAAATAAAGTGAGTCAATTGTAGATAGAATATCACTTGATCTTGTTTTTTCATTCATTCAGCCACTCAATGCCTTTTGGTTGTGACCATTTATATTTAAAGTAATTATCAATAGGGAAGAATCTGCTATTGCCATTTTGTTGTTTTCAACTTGTCTTGTATTTATTTTAGCCTTTTTCCCCTGCTGTCTTCCTTTGTGTTTCATTATTTTTTATAATAATCTGCTTTAATTTCTGTTTTTCTTTTGTGTATCTACTACAGGTATTTTCTTTGTAGTTATCATGAGACTACCAAAAAGATCTTATAGTTAAGCTGTCTATGACTTTACTTCTCTTCCCCTCACAGTTTATGTCATTGGTGCTATAATTTACATCTATTTATAGTGTATATTAATACTTTTATATTTATAGTTATTCTTAATATTTTTGTCTTTTAACTTTTATACTAGAATTAAAGGTGATTTACCCATCACCACTACAGTAAGACAGTATTTGGTATTTATCTTTATATTTAATTTACCAAGTTTTATACTTTTATAGGCTGGGGCTTTTGGCCTACTCACTTCGTGCCAAGCCAAGGGAGGAGCTGTGGTGAATGCCCACACACTATTTCAAATTGCCATCCTTGGTCTCTGTCACCCTCAGGGATCCAGCGTATGCTAGGTTCTGTCAGTGTTCCAAGACAAGCAAGACAAAAGTCAGTTCCTCATATAGCACCCAGAAAATTTGGGACTTTGGATGCATGGCCCAATTATTTTCCTTCCTAGAGAGAAGATGGGAGCTGGTGTGTTTTGCCTGCTTACTCTGTACTGAGTCAGGGTGAAGAGCTCTGGCATGTACTCCTGCTAGTTCAGACCATCATCTTTGTTCTCTGTAGTCCCTAAGGGTCTAGCATATGCCAGATCATGGGTGACAGGTTTTAAAGGGCAACCAATATTGAAAAATCTGGATGGTAATAGTATCATGTTGGTGGTGAAAGCTATGTTGAAGTGAGTGTAATTAAGCATTCTTGTAATCACACATCATGAACTTAATTTTAATCCAGCAATCAATTTTAGGTGGAACATATCATATTTACTGTGCTTTTCAGAATATTTTTTAAACATTATTTAACAAAAGATGAGGTTAGGTTAAGTTATTTGGGAAAATAGAAAGGACCATCCACATCCACATATTCCTGTTTCTTTTTCCAGAGCAATACAAGAAAAGAAAAAGAAAGATGATCCAACATCAGGGAAGACATCTGCTAAAGTGGATGTCAAGACAAAGCTTCACATTTTCACATTTCCCTCAAATAATCATTTTTCTTCTTTCTGAGGAAAGTGTATTTCATTTGCACAGGGCTATCTGGGAAATAGCAATCATTAATACTAAACGTACTTGGTCCTACAGCTGCCTTGCTCACAGGGAAGCAAAGGAAGAATGCTGGTTCTTGCTAGACAATCAGAGGGCACAGTGACTGTAAAATTAGTGTCAGAGTGGGCCTGGTACCATTAAAATTTAGAACGAGGCAAGAACAGACTGTGTCATTTTCCCAGTCATGAGCTCTCAGTTTGAGCTGATCAATTCCATACAAGAAAGAGAGTGTCACAAAGTTAAGCCTAAAATTCAGCTGTTAGTGCAATTTTCTCTTACTAAATTTAATACCGGGTATATTGTGATCGAGAACAAATTTACATTTGCTTTGTCCTTTAAATGGAAAGGTGAAGTCTTCTCTGTGACCAAAGCTATGAACCCACAATACAATCAAGGGCTTTAGAGTTCTCAACCATGCAGCCTTTGCTGTCTTTGACACTTGAGTATTTTTCCTTTACTTTTCTATTTCCTGCTTTAAAAAAATGGTTTAAAAATTTCTTGGACCTTCAGATTAAGTTTCTGGGAATCTAAAGATTTTTAACATTATTAAATTGTCTATTATAGTAAACTTAAAACTCACAATAATTTTTCCTTGAAATACCAAAGCTGATTTGCATAATTAATTTTATGATAGAAATTTTTACATTGCTTTTATTAAATTTTCAATAGACATATACAAGTATTTTAATATATATTTACAGAGTAAAGAATATAAACATAATTAACTCCAAGATACCTACCAGTTTATCTAAGATAGAGAATAAAGCTAATGCTTTTGAAATTCGCTGCTTCCTGGTTCCCAACTCCTTGCCTCTTCTCTTAGAACTATCACTTAAAAGTTGGGTTTATGATTTTCTTGCATGTGTATGTGTGTATGTGCATTTATCATATATGTATGCTTGATCAGAAAATTGTTTGGCAGAATGTTTTTAAAGGCCTAAATGGAAAAAGGCATTTTTACTGACACTAATGATTTGCTTTTTTCACTTAACTTTCTCTGGCTGCAATTTATCTGTGTTGACGCACATAGCTGTAACTCATTCACTTCCCTTGCTGTATAGTATAGTATTTCATTGAATAAATATAACACAATTTACATATTATTCTCTTGTTAATGGACATTTGAATTGTTTATAGATTTTTTTGCTATTTAAATTATTGATATCTCCTTTGCATGTGTATAAAGCTTTTACCAGCTACCCCTTGTCCCTTCCGTTATTTCTTTAGGCTTACCAACCACTCCCACTTCCCAAACTCTTATTTTATCTCCTTTTTTCTGAACATGCTATTCTCTTAGACTTAAAAAGCCCTTTTCTACCCAATCTTCCTTGTGAACTCTGGTCTCTTAAGTTTGGATTATTGAATTTGACCACCTTAAACTCCCTTTGGATCCTGAAGTGAGTTCCATTAAAATTCTTATCATACTGTAAGTAATGGCCACTACACAGAAGATAAGCTTCTTGAAGAGAAAAACTACATATTTTATCTCTGTGTTACTAGAACCAAGGCAACAAGAAAGAGCTGAATATTCAACATTTCTGACTCTATGTTATTTCCACCACATCGCCTAACTTTATGCGTCTAAAAATATCACTTTAACATTGATACACAACTCACATATTCCATTATGCCCTTTGAATAAGTGATTTCCTATTTGTAGTCCATGGAACACTTACCCCACCTGCTCTCCCTTGTTACTTCAAAAAGAAAAAAAAATCCCCCTGGAATTAATGGGGATTATAGCACTGATTTCAATAACACACACATTAATTCACACAATCAGTACAAACATGGATAAAAACACCTCCTAGATAATATACCAAACCTGCCATGGATGCCAAGGTCCTACTTTGGAAAACATTACATTCAATGGACTCAAAATTCAGTGCGGTCCTTCATAGAAGGCTCACACATTGAAATGGCTTTCGTGAACTGACATGTTATTAATGGGAAATTTTGGTAATTTCCTTTTGTTGGAAGTTTCAAATTTTGCAAAGTCAATATACAGTATAAAATTGCAATTATTATTTTTGTCATTTATATGAATAGTCTATGTTTAGTTTCTGGGTTAACATTGGTCATGCCTAATATATCTCTTTGAAATTTTTTAATGAAAATATTTCATAGAAATGAAAAAATTTTTGTAATCTTGCTCCTTCTAATGCAAAATTATTTTTAACGAAAGAATTGTAAACTAAAATTAAGAACAAATCACATATCAATGCTTAGATAATTTTTTTATTAGCTGCCATATTGATGGGGGTTGCCCAAGGCATATGCCCTTGTACCACTGGCCAATTGAAACCCATTTTCACCTAATACAGCCCAGAGAGTACCCAAGAAGGTGGAGAAACCATACCACTTTCTCATCTTTACACCCCTAAATCCAGAATGCAGGGATCTCACAGGGAGGCAAACAAGCCACCAAACTCCATCCATAGAATGCATGCGAGGGGCAAGATGGGCAGAAACTCAACATCTGTGCTCTCATCAATGGATCTCTCTTTCTGCATGTGTTGACACACGGCATACCAAAAAATGGGGGTGGGAGGAAAGGGAGGCAGTGCTATTCCCATGTTGGGATCTTTTATGATTTGCAGTAAAGTGTTAAAGGCAAGGACAGCAAGAGAAAAATAGCTCTAAGGGCATGCCTACTGGGAACAGTGGCTTTTATATTTCACATAATACAAATGTCACAATGCGCTTTTTATTCTCTTACTTACAAGACATAGTAGTAGTAAGGGAAGTAGTGGTAGATTCACTCCAAATAAATTATGCTAACTATAATTTATCAAGGGATTGTGTGTGTCTTTTGTATCTAAATCTGATAGCTGTTTGGTGCTAGCATCTAAGAGGCTATTGGAAGAAGATAAGGACGCTAACTAACTCTCCATCCCCATTTACAATGTTTTGGAAAATGCCAAGCTTGAATAGATATTTCACCTTTCTATAATAACTAAACAGAGAAAAGTAAAAATAGTCTAGGATTTAGGAAAACATATTGCAGCGTAAGGAGAGACAGTGCATAGCCCAGAAAATCCAAAAGAACATATTTCAGGAAAATGGATCTGAAAGGTGTAATATCAATGAAAACAAAATAAAACTCTTACTTGAAGTTTGTGGTAAAACAGATTTTGACCTTTGTAGAATGTGAAAGGGAAATATAGTAAGAGAAATCACTCAGATGAAATTGGTGGTTCAAGGAAAGTGATGAAAAAAAAGACTACAAGGGAAATTCTTAAATGATAGTAGAAATATACTTATTTCAAGTAGATCAACTATGCACAGGACACACCAGTGGTTCCCCCATAAAATGCAGGGGGAATATTATAAATACAGTGGCAAGAGAGAGGAGATGCAATTTAACGATTAGAAGTATTTGTGGAAAAAATCCACAAAGAAATATAAAGAGAGGCAATAATCAAAGAGGACATAGAAAGAATTCCAAAACTGAAAAAAAAAATTCCCAAGCTACAATTAGAAAAGAAACGCTGCTTGTGCAAAGTTAATCAAAGAAACCTCATCTAGATATTTCTTAGCTTTTCCTTTATAATTTTAATGATAAAAGTTTAGAATCCTGTATGGAATTGCATAACAAAATTTTTAAAAACTAAACAAAACACACTAACTTCAGACTTCTCATAATATCAAGTTTCTGTAAGACCTATGTCAATCTCTAAATACTTAGATAAAATGGCTAATAATCTGAAAATTGTATATCCAGCCAAAGTCTCCTTGGTGCGCAATGGTAATATTCAAATGTGCATATTTTCTAAGAAAATTTGTGAAATAATTACCTTCTCTGAATGAACAAGATTCATTTGATATCAGATGTTAAATATAAACTACTAATTTCATATCAAATTTTAAGTATAAATAAACTTGAATGAGGAAACATCACAAGGATCTGAAGTTATTTATATGTCATACATAAAGAAAAATCTATTATTTTGGTTTTGTAGTTGATCATTGAGAAATGTCAATAAATGTTATTTGATAAACTTTAATGCATTAAAGTCATAAAGAAAATGGATGAAAATGTTGATTTTGTAACATTTAAGACAAATGAAACCCCAAAATCTTCTGTTTATCAAAAGTGCTAAAAACTGAGTATAGTGGCAAGCAGCGATGAGGGAAAATCTTTGAACAATGTATGAAGGACAATGCTAATTTTTTAAATTTGTGAAAGCTCATATTTTTAAGAAGAAAAATAGTAACAACAGGACAGCCAAATGTGCAAAGCACATGGAGAGTTCATAAGAAAAAAAGTTATTGATAGAATCTACACTATTAGACAATTTTGTAAGGGAAAGATTATTTACTAAATAAAGATTATTTTGTTGGATTTTTGTCTGATTGATAGTCTATTATCTTTAACATCATTCTAATCAAACACTAATTTCAAATCAAAACATAATTTATATTTTCTTAAATGTTTAATATGTTTATAAATTAAGGCACTTGAATTTTTAGATGACTGACATACCAGATTCTCCTATATCTTTTATCAAAAGCATATCTTAAAAAGCAGAAACATGATACAGTTACAAAATTCAGTACTGCCCATACAATGAATTGTTTATCAAAACACATAGATTACAGTTTGTACCGTCTTATCTCCAATCTGATTCTAATTATGGTTCTAATTCTATTTCTCAGTTTTAACTTATTCCTGGGATTCTTATTCTTCTCACCTAACCTGAAGAGGAATGCTTAACATTTCAAACCAGCTGAAGGTTTGCTAATTGGTTAATGTTTCAGTATTCAAGGCCATACTGAATATTGGACATACCTTTTAGGTAATTCTGCTCAAGCCTGTAATTCAGTGTGGCATTTCACTCTTATTTTGTTCTCATCTATCAAAATGTAAATATTATGTTTTTGCTAAAAAGCTAGTAATAAGAGAAAAACATGTGGTTTCAAGGATTCCACTGAACATTATCTGGGAGACTGAGCCCAAACAAAAAGACAAACATGCACAAAACATGATATTAGAAAAAAGAAAAAGAGAGCAAGCTATCTCACTGACAAATACTGTGCTTCCTCAAGTAGAAAAATTGTGAAGACTCTACAAGAAAACTCTTAGAAACATTAATAGATCTCTAGAGTGGGAGAGATTAAGCTGAAGGAAGATTTTGTGGTAAGGAGTGACATTGTGGGGTTGTTAGAAGAAACATTTGTCATTTAGAATTATTGGTGATGGCCTGGATACAGTTTTGTATGAATTGAAAAACTAAATGGAATAAGAGAAGGAGAAAAACAGGTATTAAAGGACTAAGAATTGGGAGGACCTAGGACATCTAATTAGAGAGTGCCTAAGGAGATTCAGCGTAGCCTTGCCAGCAAAGATTATTTATTTACTTCAAGAGTTAAGAGTGGCGGTTTGGGGATTGCACCAGGAGATATCAGCTGCGATGGCTTGGAGAAACAGTGTAAACCGGCAGTGTAAACAAGAGCAGGGCATGTATGAATAGTTGAGAATGGCGAATAGGAGTATGACTAGACAGAAGATAGTAGGGATGACAAGTTTTTTGGGGTACAGTCCAAGTTGGTCTGGTTTCTGGAATGAGACTGGGGCCTAATAAAAAGGAGCGTCTATACAGGAGCTCAAATAGGCTGTACCTTGTAGCATTCCGAGGAGAGGCCTGAATTCTGAGAACAGAAAGTGGTAAAAGTATTGTCCAGTCCTTTTTAAGTTGGTGGCTGAGCTTGGTGAGGTGTGTTTTTAAAAGACCATTAGTCTGTTCTGCCTTTCCTGAAGACTGAGGACCGTAAGGGATATAAAGGTTTCACTGAATACCAAGAGCCTGAAAAAATGCTTGGCTGATTTGACTAATAAAGGCCGGTCTGCTATCAGACTGTATAGAGGTGGGAAGGCCAAACCGAGGAATTATGTCTGACAGAAGGGGAGAAATGACCGTGGTGGCCTTCTTAGACCTTTTGGGAAAGGCCTCTACCTAGCTAGTGAAAGTGTCTACCTAGACCAAGAGGTATTTTAGTTTCCTGACTTGGGGCGTGTTGAGTAAAGCTAATTTGCCAGTCCTGGGTGGGGGCAAATCCCTGAGCTTGATGTGTAGGGAAGGGAGGGGGCCTGAATAATCCCTGAGGAGTAGTAGAATAGCAGATGGAACACTGAGAATTTATTTCCTTGAGGATAGATTTCTACGATGGAAAGGAAATGAAAGGTTCTAAGAGGCAGGCTAGTGGCTTGTACTATAGAATAGCGTGCCTTTGCTGGTGTGTGGTGATGAGGCCTGGTGGAATTGCCATCAATAAACCAAGTGTGATCAGGGTGAGAAACACGGAAGAAGGAAATGTGGGGAAATGGGGTGAACGTCAGGTGGATCAGAGAGATGCAGTCATGAGGGTCAGGTGTGGTATCAGGAATAATGTGGGAGGCCGGATTGAAGTCCGGGCCAGGAACAATGGTAATTGTGAGAGACTCAACGAAGAGTGAGTACAGCTGAAGGAGCCGGGGAGCAGAAAGTATATGCGTCAGGTGTGAGGAAGAAAACAGATTTTGGAAATTATGAGAGCTGTAGAGAGTGAGTTGAGCATAGCTTGTGATTTTAAGGGCCTCTAAAAGTATTAGGGCGGCAGCAGCCGCTGCACGGAGACATGATGGCCAGCCTAAAACGGTAAGGTCAAGTTGTTTGGACAAAAAGGCTACAGGACACAATCCCGGTCCTTGTGTAAGAATTCTGACTGCACAGCCCGGCACTTCGGCTGTGTGTAATGAAAAGGGTTGGGATGAGTCAGGGAGAACTAGTGTGGGGGCAGTCTCTAAAGCTGTCTTCAAGGAATGGAAAGAGGAGTGGGGAAAGGATTTAGGATCTATGGGGTCAGCTAGGTTTCCTTTTGTGAGTTTATATAATGGTTTTGTTAGGATGGCAAAACTAGGTATCTAAAGGCGAAAGTATCTAAGTATGCCTAGGAAGGAAAGGAGTTGTTGTTTTGTAGAAGGGGTTGGGGTTTGAGAGATTAGTCAGACACGATTGGCAGGGAGAGCACATGTGTTTTTATGATAATTATGCCGAGATAGGTAACAGATAAGGAAGAAATTTGGGCTTGACTGAAGTAATGGGGGCTGTCTGTGAAGTTTTGCGGCAGTACAGCCCAGGTAATTTGTTGAGCCTGATGGGCCAGTCCAAGTGAAAGCGAAGAGAGGCTGGGATGAAGGGTGCAAAGGAATAGTAAAGAAAGCATGGTTGAGATCCAGAACAGAATAATGGATTGTGGAGGGAGGTATTGAGGAGAGCAGAGTATATGGGTTTGGCACCATGGGGTGGATGGGCAAAACAATTTGGTTGATAAGGCATATATCCTGAACTAACTTGTAAGGCTTGTCTGGTTTTAGGACAGGTAAAATGGGGGAATTGTAAGGAGAGTTTATAGGCTTTCAAAGGCCATGCTGTAGCAGGTGAGTGATAACAAGCTTTAATCCTTTCAAAGCATGCTGTGGGATGGGATATTGGCATTGAGCAGGGCAAGGGTGATTAGGTTTTAATGAGATGGTAAGGGGTGCATGATGGTCGCTAAGGAGGGAGTAGAGGTGTCTTATACTTGTGGGTTAAGATGGGGAGATACAAGGGGAGGATGTGAAGGAGGCTTTGAATTGGGGGGAAAGGCGGCAATGAGGTGTGGCTGTAGCCTAGGGATAGTCAAGGAAGCAGATAATTTAGTTAAAGTGTCTTGGCCTAATAAGGGAACTGGGCAGGTGGGGATAACTAAAAAGGAGTGCTTAAAAGAGTATTGTCTAAATTGGCACTAGAGGTGGGGAGTTTTAAGAGGTTTAGAAGCCTGGCTGTCAATACCCACAACAGTTATGGAGGCAAGGAAACAGGCCTTTGAGAAGAAGGTAATGTGGTGTGGGTAGCCTCCATATTGATTAAGAAGGGGACGGACTTAGTTTCTACTGTGAGAGTTACTTAAAGCTCGGCGTCCATGATGGTCTAGGGGGCTTCTGAGGCGATCGGGTAGTGTCAGTCTTCAGCTGCTAAGCTGAGAAGATCTGGGAAGGAGTCCGTCAGAGACACTTGGGCCAGAATTCTAGGGGCTCTGGGAGTGGCTGTCAGGTGAGTTGAACAGTCCGATTTCCAGTGGGGTCCTGCACAGATGGGACATGGCTTAGGAG
The DNA here is from genome assembly GCF_000001405.40 of Homo sapiens. NCBI lineage: Eukaryota > Metazoa > Chordata > Mammalia > Primates > Hominidae > Homo > Homo sapiens. Next base: position 127,546,140 of record NC_000011.10, read on the forward strand.
GAATCCTGGGCTGTGGGCATTCCTTGGTCTGGTGGCCAGATTTCTGGCACTTGTAGCAAGCTCCTGGGGGAGGCGGTTCTGGAGGAATACCTGGCCACTGCGGTTTAGGTGTTTGGAAGTTCTTGTGTGCTGGAGATGTGGCTGGGGTTTGTCTCACAGTGGAGGCAAGAAATTGCAACTCAGAAATATGTTGCTACTTGGCTGCCTCTACTTTATTATTGTACACCTTGAAGGTGAGGTTAATTAAGTCCTGTTGTGGGGTTTGAGGGCCGGAATTTAATTTTTGGAGTTTTATTTAATGTCGGGAGCAGATTGGGTAATAAAATGTATATTGAGAATAAGACGGCCTTTTGACCTTTCAGGGTCTAGGGCTGTAAAGCGTCTCAGGGTTGCTGCCAAACGAGCCATGAACTGGGCTGGGGTTTTATATTTGATGAAAAAGAGCCTAAACGCTATCTGATTTGGGATAAAGAAAAAGGAGCATTAACCGTGACTATGCCTTTAGCTCCATCCACTTTTTTAAGAGGAAATTGCTGAGCAGGTGGGGGAGGGCTAGTTATGGAAGGAAACTGTAACCAGGTGTGAGGAGGGGAGGTGATAAAAGGATTATAGGGTGGAGGATCGGAGGCTGAGGAAGAATTGGGACCTAGATTGGCCTGGCGAGGAGGGGAGAGGTCAGATGAATTTGTAGAAAAGGAAGATTAGAAAGACTTAGCTATGCTTGAGGTTGGGACTGAGGGGACAGGTGGGAGGGAAAGAAGGAAGATTTGGGATGAGTTGCATTGGGAACAGAGACTAGGGAGGGACTGATGTGTAAAAGAATGCCTGGACATCGGGCACTTCAGACTATTTGCCTATTTTACGAAAAGAATTATTTAGATCTTGTAGGATGGAAAAACTGAAAGTGCCATTTTCCGGCTATTTGGAACTACTGTCGAGTTTGTATTTGGAATTACTGTCGAGTTGTAATGTCAAGCAGCATTGCAGAAGAAAATAAGATGCTTAGATTTTAGGTTAGGTGAGAGTTGAAGAGGTTTTAAGTTCTTAAGAACACAGGCTAAGGGAGAAGAAGGAGGAATGGAAGGTGGAAACTTGCCTATAGTGAAGGAGGCAAGCCCAGAGAAAAGAGAGTAGAGACACGGAGAAGGGGTGGGGGGTTCTTGCCTTCCAGAAAAGCAGAGAAGGGGTTGGGGCGCAGAGACAAGAGGTCAGAGCATGGAAATAAGGGATTGGGGTGCAGAGATAAGAGGTCGGGGTGTGGAAATAAGGGATCGGGGCACAGAGATAAGAGGTCGGGGCACAGAAATAAGGGATTGGGGGTTCTTGCCTTTTAGAAAAGCGGGACTTGCCACTAAGGGTGAAGGAGAAGGGGTTGAAGGGTTCTTGCCTCTCTTCTAGAAAAGCAGAGAAGGGGTAGAGACATGGAGAGAAGGAGTTGGGGTTCTTGCCTCTCCTCCAGAAAAGCAGGACTTGCCGCTAAGGGTGAAGGACCAAGGCAGGCATTCCTACGTGGTCTGACACCTCTGAAACCTGGATGAATAATCCGAGAGGTGTCTTTGCAATGATTAAACACCAAGGGAAGGCTGCCGTCCTTAGTCTGTGACTGGCGCCAGAGTCTTGGGTCCACGGATAAAACATGTCTCCTTTGTCTTTACTAGAAAATGAAAGGAATTGAAATTAAGAGAAGGGAGAGATTGAAGTGTGGTGCCAAGATTGAAAGGAGAAAGAGGTTTAGGGATAGTGAGGGAGATTGGAGAAGAGAGTAAAAAGAGGCCACTTACTGGATTTGAAATTGGTGAGATGTTTCTTGGGCTGGTTGGTCTGAGGACTTGAGGTCATAGGTGGATCTTTCTCACAGAGCAAAGAGCAGGAGGACAGGGGATTGATCTCTTAAGGGAAGTCCTCTGATCCAAGTCACGGCACCAAATTTCACTCGCGTCTGTGTGAAGAGACCACCAAACAAGCTTTGTGTGAGCAATAAAGCTGTTTATTTCACCTGGGTGCAGGCGGGCTGAGTTCGAAAAGAGAGTCAGTGAAGGGAGATAGGGGTGGGCCCATTTTACAGGATTTGGGTAGGTAAAGGAAAAAGTGGGGTTGTTCTCTGGCAGGCGGGAGTGGGGGTCACAAGGTGCTCAGTAGGGGAGCTTTTGAGCCAGGATAAGGAATTTCACAAGATAATGTCATCAGTTAAGGCAGGAACAGGCCATTTTCACTTCCTTTATGGTGGAAAGTCATCAGTTAAGGCAGGAACCAGCCATCTGGATGTGTTCGTGCAGGTCACAGGGGATATGATGGCTTAGCTTGGGCTCAGAGGCCTGACAGATGCAATATCAACATAAGTAAATCAATAGTTTTTCTATATACCTGTAATATACAATTGCAGAATATTAAGAAAAAAATCCAATAATTATAACAACAAAAATCTATAAGGGAGCATAATGTAAAGCTAAAAGAATGTATGTGATGTTTATGATGAAAATTACAAAATATTATTGAAGATAATAAAAGAGACTCGAGAGATATACCATGTCTAGAGAGTCAGAGATAATTCAATGTCATGAAGACACCAATTTTTCTGAAAATAATCTGTAAATTTAGTTAATTTATTCTAAAGTTCAACGTGTGGTTTACTGTTGTTGACTTTGAAAAGTTAATTCTAAAATTTACCTAGAAGAGTAAGGGCTAAACATGGTCAAGGCACTTTTGAGAAAAAAAAAATCAGACTTGTTATATTATAAATTAATACTTTAGTGTTTTATTAATGGAAACAGTGTCCCATTGATGTGGGAATCAATAAATAGAAACTATGTCACGTAGAAAAACATATATATGCAAAAACTTGATAAACAAATACATAATATTATTATTATTTTGAGATAGGGTTCTCACTATTTTGCCCAGGCTGGTCTTGAACTCCTGGTGTCGAGCAATCCTTCCACCCCAGCCTCCCCAAAGGCATAAATTGTTGATCAGTGAGGGGCTAGAGTGTAAGTAATGCTGGGCCAATTGATTATCTATTTGTAAAAAAAAATATTAATTAGCCACATACTTCATATCCACACCAAAATAAATATCAGGTGAATTAAAGACATATGTTAGAAGGAAAACTTAAAAGATTTAAAAATGTGTATTTACTATAATAACTTATAGCCTTCGAAGAAGAACAAATAAATTTAATTTCTTAAACAAATTGCAAAAAGAATACATCTTACTAAACCAAACGGAATATTTTGTGTATATGAAACTTTAAAGCTTCTGTACAGAAAAGATATCCTAAGCAAGCAAAACAAACAAAAATGCCAAGTCACTACCTAGAACACATTTGAAATGTATATAGCCAATAAAGAATTCATAGAAAGAATATGAATATGTAATACACAAATCACAAATAAAAGGCCAAAATAAAAGGGATCAAAGCATTCGTATGAGCAAATCACGAAAGAAGAATCTCAAAAGGCCAATAAAAATGTGGAAAACTAGTTTAAAATTATGAAAAAAATTCCCTTCACAAGAGAAATTTAGAATATCAACTATTTAGAAAGAAAATTGTTCATTATTATAAATAAGCAGTTCTTAATAAAGTACAAAAATTTAACATCTGATTCACAGAATTAGAAATAGTAATGGTTATAAATCACATAAAATGGGTTGGTATCAGATGAATAAATGAAAAAAGAAAATCCACAATCTGATATTCTTTTCCCTATCAAATTTGGAGAAAATGGAAGTATATCCACTGTTGGTGAGGTTGAAGTTATTCAGACAGTCACATGCCTCTCAAAAATGCATCAATAGTAAAAATATTTGGGGAAAATATGTAGTCGAGAATGTACTAATATTTCAAATTTCATATCTACAGGCCTAGGAATTATATTTCTACTTCTCTATCCCAACTAACTAAATAAATAAAATATCTGTCAAGATGAAATGTCTCCAACAACCTTGTAACAATAACAAAAATAAATAAACTGCAAGAAATGGAGAAAAAAATTAAAAATGCACGCAATGAATTAATATTAGGTATCAAAATATTCAGTGTAGCATCAATCCAAAATTAGGATGCAAAACTGTGTCATAGTATGGTTACATATATGTGAGGAAAAATATTAAAAACTTACAAACAACTACTTATTTCTCATAGTGCACTTGTGAGTTTTCTTCGTCACTTTGTCCATGCTCCTGATCTTCCAATCTTCCCATTATGCATGGGTTATTACACCTATGGTTTAAAACAACACCAACTTGCTTGTATTCAAGTAATTAACATTTTAATCTTGTAATTAAATTGTTGACTAATCCTGATATCAATACTCTATGCTTCTATTATCTTTATCTATATACATATATTTATATCTATCAGTAAATATGTAAATTTACAAAATATATTTACAAAATAATTTGTGTTTTTTTAACATTTTAATTTTTAATTTGTTGTTTATAGAAAGCAAGCTATATCCTCCTTTTTGGAGGAATTGAGATCTTTCAGATGCCTGTTAGGTTAAAATTGCACTTCACGATTGTTTTGTACAATTCAAATAACTTTAAAATGTTCATGAAGAAAAAAAGAAATGTTTCTTTAAGAAACTATTCAACTTGGTAGAAAGTTTGTTGTTAATAAACTCTAGAAGTTAAATAGACTGTGAAATAATTCTATTTTTAAAATCTTGCTCTATGTGAAATCTGAAGGGATTTGTCATGGGGAGATAATGATTGACACTTTGGTGGCTAAGGAAGCTAAAATAAATTTTCTCTGATTGGGAAAGAGAGATTCGTAAACCCTATTTCATTCATTCATTCATTCATTCATCCAAGTTATGGACAGAAATCCATATATGGGCAATATCTCTGAATTCTGAACATCCATAAATAGAGTTTGTCCTCTAATCATGTAAACATAAAACTCAGGGTCTTGCATCATGGGAGATACAGAGACAAAGAAATTGGGATTTGTTGGGAAATGAATGAATTTGAAAGGGGTGGAAGTAATGCCTCCCGGTTGTAAAGCATTTTAGGGGTGGCTAGTGGTGAGGGATAAAGGAAAAATTGACAATGACAATTTTCAACAGAAACAAAAATCCCTCGTTCAATTTCCACATGAATTGGAGACCCTGGAAAACCAGCAATATATTATTTGAATTTCTGAAATGTATATAAGGAGCAGTTCATAGTTAGAACGCCTGATGACTAGGTTTTATTTGTTGGGATGGATCAGAATTTGTTGAAATTTTTTTGTTGTTTTTGATTTTGTGTATGTGTGCGTGGTTGTGTGCATGGTGTGTGTTCCTTTTCTCCTCCTCCTCTCCCCCTTCCCCTCTTGTGCTCTCCTTTCTCTTCTCCTCTTTCTCCTCCTCCTCTTCCTTTTTTTCCTCCTCATCCTCCTCCATTGTTTTTCTTCTTCTAAGATTTGCTATTTAAAGCTTGTGAAAATGTGTGGTAAGGAAGAAAGAAAAAAACATATCATACATATGCCACTAAACAGGGCTAGTGTTGCCAAGGTTGGAGTGCAGTGGCTATTCACAGCCATGATCATGGTTCACTGCAGCCTACAACTCCTGGGCCCAAGTGATCCTCCTGCTTCAGTCTCCCAAGTAGCTGGGACTACAGACTAGAAAGGTATATCCCATATGGGTCTTGAAGGAGACTAAAATTAGCATTTGCAGTCCTTAGAGTGAGACTGTTAAACAATGTGTCCTGAACAGAGAAGAAAACACAATTCTGTCTCACATTCTAATTTGAGAGACGAGCAGAGTGTTGATGTGCTTGAAGGGACATACACAGCTGTGGTGGTCCAAGACTTTTTGTGTGGACTTGGGCAACTATATGCTTATTAATTGCTGTACGCATTATATAGCATTTTCTGTCAGTTACGATTTCAAACGTAATTCTCTTCATCCTTCCTTTTGGCCCCATGTCCTTCCATCCTCTTCCTCTCTCTATTCCTCCTCCCCTGTCTCCTTCTTACAGCAATATCTAAGGTAAAGGTCTCTACCTTCTATTTCTGACATAACCAGGAATGCTAGAAAAAGTATTTATGCATCTGTGGTGGTGATTTGGAGACTAAATAATTTCCTGAGGCCACTTAGGTAAACATGCGTAGATGCAAATGTAACAAGAGTAAGACTTAAACGTTAATTAATTCATTAAATGACTTACTGAAAATAAAATATATAAGCTACTGCTATAGTGGCTTGGAGGGTGCAGAAATACAAAAAATAACTGTTGTCCTTGCCCTTAAGAAATGAATATACTAATGAAAATGAAAAAAATATATAATTGTGATATGCATAATAAGTATCATTCTACACAGCAATTAGGCCAAAATTGTAAACTGTAGATATCGATGACAGTAATTAACATTGCTTTTACATAAACAAACATACAATTACAGCTTAAAAAACAAATCTTTCCTAATATAAATTAGCATCAGTATTCACCACTTTTTTTTCAGACACTATCTACATGTGGAGTAGTTCTCCCATCATTCTTATGTGCATCATCATCCTGACTCACCATCTGTATGAACAAACGCCCTGGATCTAAGACCTCAATAGCCACAGGTCCTTATTTTACCTCTCGTGCAACCACCAGCTGTAGCAAAGAATTTTGGATTTCGTAGTGTACTTCTGTTTAAGAGATGATCTTGGGGAACACATTCGGCTTCCTCTGTTTATCATGCTTACGGTTTCTTAGATTCTGTGGCATTGAGATCACAAAGCTGTCTATATTTGTGCTGGAAGTGATGGTGTGATCGCCCTCCACAGATGGGTCAAAAGAAAGGATGGGACAAGCAGCAGACAAAATTAGAAAAGGGCTTTGTGTAATTTATATCTCCAAATTTTGTGATAGGGTAAGCCTAAGAATGTTATGGTCAACTCAAGAGTGGTTAAGAGACAGACAGGAAAGAAAACTATGAGAAAAACTTAGGAAATTTAGGAACTGGCACAAAGCAGAGGTTTGCAAAATTTAGTGTACTTGGCCAGGTGCAGTGACTCACCTGCAATCCCAGCACTTTGAGAGGCCGAGGCAGGTGGATGACCTGAGGTCAGGGGTTCCAGAGCAGCCTGGTTGTGAAACCCCATCTCTATTAAAAATACAAAAATTAGCCGGGCATGGTGGTGGGAGCCTGTAATCCCAGCTACTCAGGAGGCTGAGGCAGGAGAATTGCTTGAACCTGGGAGGTGAGGGTTGCAGTGAGCCAAGATAGCACCACTCCACTCCAGCCTGGGCGACAGAGTAAGACTCTGTCTCAAAAAAAAAAAAAATAGTGTACTTAATAATCAACTAATTATCTTATTAAAATTCTGATTCCTGAGCTCCTCCCCAGGAAATATGCCCCTTTCAAGGGGCCTGGTTATTCCAATGCAAGCTGCAGTGTCTTTGGAGAGTATGGGGTGAGAGGCAGATAATGGCAGGTTCATCTCTCAGCTATCATTGAGTTTGAATGGTGGTGGGCAGGCTCAGCTCCCAAGCCTGCAAGAGAAAGCAGCTCCTAATTCAACTTGTATTACCTTTCCTTTAATAGTTCCCAAGAACATGTAGTCTTTAAGTGGCCACAGCCAATTTGACTTCATTAGTCTTCTGCAAGAAGACACTGGGACATGTGGAGAGGAGTGAGAATGGACCATATTTTTTATTTCTTTCCTACTCACTCTTACCCACTGCACAAAAAAGGCTTTTAGAAATTTATGCCTAGATGGGATTTACATATTCAAAATATTGATTTATGATTTTAAGGTTAAAATCAATTTCTTCCAATTCTCCATGGTCTGCTGATGCATGGAGTTCCATTAAGAAGGAAATAGTTTTTAATTCTATTTTCCATTTCTATAATTAAGGTTAAAAAACTTCAAATGCAACTACCTATTGAAGGGATTTATACTCAAAAGTTATTTAATATAAATGTGATTCATATATAAGGGAAGGGGTGGGGTCAGTCTCAGGAAAAAAAAGAGTCAGAGACTGGTCACACTGAAGACAAAACATCCTTTACAATTTTTCTTTTTTTTCTTTTTTTCTGAAATGGAGTCTCGCTCTTTCACCAGGCTGGAGTGCAGCAGTGCAATCTCGGCTCACTGTAACCTCTGCTTCCCGGATTCAAGCGATTATCCTGCCTCAGCCTCCTGAGTAGCTGAGACCACAGGTACCTGCCACCATGCCCAGCTAATTTTTGTATTTTTAGTAGAGACGGGGTTTCACCATGTTGGCCAGGGTGACCTTGATATCTTGACCTCGTGATCCTCCCACCTCGGCCTCCCAAAGTACTGAGATTACAGACGTAAGCCACCATGCCAGGCCAGTAATTTTGTCTTAAAGCATCACAAGGCCAATGCTACTACACTGAAGAAGTAGGAGGAGTTGCATTTGGAATGAAGTAGGACACACAGCTGTTTTTGTTCTCATTAGAGCATGAAGGGAAGCTTCAGCTGGATCTGTGATCACAAATGCCCAAGGTATTGGAGCAACTCTGATCCTAGTTAAGGCCAAATAAACAAGCTAATAGAAAGACTCCAAGCCTGAAACATAAGAACAAGCCAGAAATAGTTTTCCCAAGCAATAGGTTTGCTGCAAATTATAGTGGCATCCAAACAAATGAACCTCTTAGAAGCTCTGCCAACCGTGGAGCAGAAAAACAGGGGAAGGTAAACTCACAAGATATTTGGGGATAACTCCAAAATTTATATTAAGATCCATTTTGATGTTTATGTTTAGTAAGGCAGTTTGCACAGTTGTTTTTTTAATAGCCTTATTTATATTACATTTGTTTTGTCATATCTGTTACTATAAATTTGATTGTTAAATGTAGAATAATGCCATATTTCCTGGATTTCAAGACATGATTGATTTTAAAATGAATCATTAATTTCATAACAGCTTTTAGGGGATGTAGAGCAAAAAGAACCTACCACATGAAATTTACATATAGATGTATGCATGTGTGAAAAATACAAAGTGCATTTAAGAGAAGTTATTGTATTTCTCCATATCATTCTGATTGTGCAAGCTTCCCTCTCTCTGTCTTCTGTGTTAAGCTGTGCAATTACACAAAGCCCCAGAGGTCACACGATGATGTGATGGCACCTGCCAGAACGGCAGGCAAATTTAGGATAGGAGATATTCAGAAGACGCTTTTGTGTCAGCCTCCCATTTCCAAACCTATTAAACAAGGGCAGGCTTCAGTACTGCCTAAGTATACGCCATTATGAAAATCCCATACAGAGGAGGAGTATATCTTCAGGTTCTAAACTGAAAAAATAGAGGCCTTTCAAAACAAGCTATTTAGGAAGTACGTTTCTTCTTCATTCACAGCCCTCACCAGAAACTCTGGAAGAACAATATATAGTTGACTTGTCCAAGGCAAAAAGGGGTTGCTTGCAAGGCCTGCCTGCATCTGTCAACACAAAAATATTTGCCCATGTACAGATGAAATATAGCTCAGCCAGAAGACGTCCGGGTTTGCCATTTGGGGAAGCACACCTGTGTTCTAAGATTAACTGGGAATCTGAAACACTTTGTTAAAGATTTACTATTAATCCTTAAGAAATGAAGGGATTTTGCTGCCTGTAGTAAGACCATGGTGCTTTTTTTTTCTCCCTCAATTCTAAGTGCTATGATGATTGAAATGGTGAAGTTCCTTCGGAATGGGGCAAGATGCCTCCCTTCATCTACTGTTGTGGAGCTCAGACCAGCCCTGAGCTTCCCACTTCAAGGACAGGAATTTCCAGAGGGACTAGTTAGCTGACTTCCCTGTTATGGGTCATTCCATTTTGTAAATTGGTGCCTCTATTTTAGTTCAGGATTTTCACCTTCCATTCCAAGTGAAGGTAATAGCTCAATGGCTTCCCTTTAGTACGTGTTTCCAAAAATCATACATGGCACTGGTGGTAGGGACTGAAACATTACAAACCACACAAAGTAGCTGGAAGAATGTTCCATCTACTTTTTTGACTTCATACATTTCACTATTGGGTGTATAAATTTTTTTTTGTTTTTTTGAGATGGAGTCTTGCTCTGTTGCCCAGGCTGGAGTGCAGTGGCGGGATCTCAGCTCACTGCAAGCTCTGCCTCTCGGGTTCATGCCATTCTCCTGCCTCAGCCTCCCGAGTAGCTGGGACTACAGGTGCCCGCCACCATGCCTGGCTAATTTTTTGTATTTTTAGTAGAGACGGGGTTTCACCGTGTTAGCCAGGATGGTCTCGATCTCCTGTGGTGGCTCACGCCTGTAATCCTAGCACTTTGGGAGGCCGAGGCGGGCGGATCACAAGGTCAGGGTGTATAAATTTTAAATTAAATATCAAATTCATCTGTAACTACAATGGTTAGCATCATTACAAATGGCTCCTATATAAAAAAATATTACCAGTTTATAGAGTAAAGTAAGATTGTAAGATGCTTTAAGAAGTCAATCTGCAACACTTGTATTTGTTCTTTAAAATGCATTACTCTGCGACCCTTGTTAGGATTTCAGACACCTGGATAAGCCCCCAAAAGTAACACAGCCTTTACAATAGTAACAAATAGTGGAAATCTGTGGCCTGGGACAGAAATCAATCCAGAGAATTCAGATCTTCTCTCTTCTCCATGATGTGCAGGGCGGAGGAGACTTTAACCTAGAGCAACATTGAAATCAGATGCAGACCCTTATCATGGGAGAGGTTGTCAAGCCCTCTCCTAATTGATGAAGGAGCTTATTGGGCAAGAGCCATGCATAGAAGGGATGATTTTCTTTGTAAAAAACTCTGCAGCCATAAAAAAGAATGAGTTCATGTCCTTTGCAGGGACATGGATGAAGCTGGAAACCATCATTCTCAGCAAACTAACACAGGAATAGAAAACCAAACACCATATGTTCTCACTCATAAGTGGGAGTTGAGCAATGAGAACACATGGAAACAGGGAGGGGAACATCATACACCGGGGCCTGTAGCAGGGTGGGGGGAAAGGGGAGCGAGAGCATTAGGACAAATACCTAATGCATGCTGGGCTTCAAACTTAGATGATGGTTGATAGGTGCAGCAAACCACCATGGCACATGGATACTTATATAACAAACCTGCACATTCTGCACACATATCCCAGAACTTAAAAGTAAAATAATAATTGAAAAAAAAAACTCCACGATTCCTCATCAGTGTGTGAGGAAGTAGAGGGGCTCATCAGGAAATCAGATATAGAATTCATTTCTTGCACCAAAAATGAGAAGGAAAAATGATTAAACCAAGGGTCTCCCTGTTTTTGTCGCCACTACTCACTCATACACACACATACATACATGCACACTAACACTTCTGAGGATGGATGGCATTTCACAGTTGAAGAGTGTGTGGTTACTGAACTGCTTGGTAGTTAGTACCATATTCACGAGCTTCTGCAGAGGCAACCCAGACTGCCAAATGATAACCAAGTTTTTTATTCTTTGGTCTCAGCTTTTACTTATAGATAATAATCTTGTTTTATTTAATAGTTCTTTATGTATTTAATGATTTATTTGTTCATTCAATAGTGATTCATTGAGCATCTATTATTTGCCAGACATCCTCCGAGTTGATGGGCATACAATTATACTGCTTTCAAGAAGATATAGTCTTGAATAGAAAATATAACACTAGTCTATATTACTAAGCAGAAAATAACAAGTGACTTACAAGAAGTAGAGAGAAGTTGCTATGGAAGCTCTGAGAATGAGAAACAGGGAAGGTCTTTATGGTGTGTGCTATTAGAACAAAGAATAGAAAGGAGATATGTTGTCAGTTTTTTAAGAAGTAGGATGATATATGGTACTTAGGGCATAGCTCAAGTATATACACATCCATATAAAATCTGAGTCACTTACAAGGGGAATGATGATAGAAGAGAAATAGCCAAAGGCAAGAATGTTATAGTCACTTGACAATGGTCTTACTTGGTCTGGCAGGCTGAAAAATGTGAACTGAATACTAGGAAATAAAATAAAAGTAGTATCAATTATATTGCATTTTGGGAAAATTAACACAGGTCAATACACAAGGAATATGTTTTTTAATGTACATTTGTTTGAAAAATCAACTTACTTTTCTGGATCATTTAGGAGGAGAACATTGGGTGAACATAATCTCTGACATCTTACAATAATCATTCCTTTATCTTTAATATCAACTGGATTGGCAGGCTCATTCTCAACCCAGGCACTTCATATTGAATCATCTATCATGTGTCTCATAGTACCTGTGTTTAAATGTGTTTATTTCTCTCTAAACAAGTTCTAATTGAGTATACTTCTAGGGTGCTAAATACCATTCTGAGCTCTAGGATTTAGGGGTAAAAAAGAGACAGAAGAGTCTCTTTCCTGAAGGAATATTTTCAATTTGCAAATAAACATCTAATTGATATAATCTAATTGATATACTAATTGATAAACACATTACAATATAACTTCAGATAGTATTTTTTTTAATGGCAGGATAAAGGCATTTATGAGGGCTGTTTTGAATGGGGGGGCTACAGAAGTGCTCTCTGAGTGAATGTAATTTGAGGAAGTCTCTGAATGAAGTGAGGGATCACGCCATGTAAAGATTTGAAGGCGGGAGTGGATATTTTCTGCAGAGGAGCTAGCAAATGCAAAGGAGATAATATAGGGCCTTGGAGATCATGATTTTAGGATTGTAGTGTATGTGTGAAGGAAAGCTATTGGAGGATTCTTTGCTATTTTGACTGTAAAAGGAGTACTCCCATTGCTGTGTGAAGAATAAACTGTAGCAGGACAAAAGTAAAAGTACTTTGGAAAACCCTTAATGCTGGCTCTCAATAAGATACAATTGTAAAGGATATGAAAAGTATTCTTCTTGTGTTCAGGAAATGTTCTGAAGCTTCAACTAACAGGACTTGTTCATGGGTTGGAATATGGGCCAGGAGGGAAAGAGAAATTGTACCTTTTTTTTGGCCTAAGCAACTAGGTGAATGTAGAGAGCATTTACTGAAATAGAGGAAGCTAGAAGTGAAATCAACTAGAGGGCAGGGTGTGGTTGTGAGAATTGTTTTTGATAAATTAAGTTTCAGGTAAGAAGTACCTATATACCTGGAGCTCCAGGGAGAAGTTGGAGATAGAGACATATCTGAGAGTAACTTAAAGCCATGGGTCAGGATGAGGTTACTCGGGAAGAGCGTTTAGTGGAGAAAAGGAGAGCAAGGAACAAACTTGAGAAATACTAACATCTTTAAGGTCAGTAGGAAAGGGAGGAGGCAGAAAAGAAGACAGAGAAAAAAAAAAAGAGCAACGTGATAAGATAGCACCTTCTCTAGATGGAGAAGCCTAGAAGCCAGGTAAAAAAAGTGTTACAAGAAAGAACATGTGCCGTGATCAATGTTGTTGAGAGGCCAAGGAAGATGAGAATTGAAAATTGACCGTTTGGTGTTATAATCTGGATGTAGTTGGTGAACTTGACAAAAGATGGAGTGACATTGACAGAATGGCAGGGAATAAAGTGGAATAAGTCCAAAAAGAGACATTTAGGGCGAGGAAGTACAAATAGTGAGTATAAACCTCTCTTCTATGAGCTTTGCTATTAGGGGAATAAAGTTTTCAGGTGGTAAGCGGAGGGGTAGGTGTGTTCTTCTAGTGGACTATATATCACTGTATAAGATAGTGTGCTGCTGGGAATGACCACAGGCACGCTAGGGAGTGTCAACTTGATGATGCATGAGAGAGAGGATATGACTGCAAGAGCAAAGGACTTGAGGAGTCTCAAGGAGATGAAGGTACAATGTTCAAGTTGTGGATTTGGCTTTTGTGGGAACAGAGATGGTGCAGTCATTGCAACAGGAAGGAAGGTGGAGTATGGTCCCAATGGAAGGGAGGTTGGCGGATTGGGTGGTGGGAAAATGAAGTCCTTGTCTTATTCAATGTTTAATCAGAGGATATACTGAAACATTTGCTCTAGAGAGAGCCAAAGAAGGAAATGAGCATATGCAATGTAGTCAGGAAAAATGCTCCCAGGCACATAGCAGCCCTATGTGAAACCCAGATACACAGTTCCTGGAAAACAGTGGGAGCAGATGGGACCAGCCTGACAGGCATCCTCCAGAGAGCAAGATGGAGGGATACCAGGGGAGCTCTTTTTAAGTAAAGGCTGACGTTGAGCCTGAGGCTGATTCACCATCTGCCAACAGGCTCTGCTGTGACAAACCAAAGGGCAATCTTTCCAGGTCTGTGAAGGCAAAATGCTGATTCTAGAAAGTGTGTGTATGCGCATGTGTACTTGCATCCAAGGGTCTTGTGTGGGAAAGGCCGAGGTACTCTGTCATCATGGGAAGAGAGGAAGACAGAGACTGGAGAGATTTGAGTTCTAGTTCCCTCTCTTTTCCAAACTTGTGTGTGATTTTGGACAAAACACAAAAAGTCCCCTGAACTTTTGAAACTCGGCTGTAAAAAATGATAATAATAATAAAATAAATAAGGGGCTACCCTGCAGCAAACTCCTCCATGAAACCAGCAGTCAAGACTCCATCTCTTTCAGGGATGTCTGAGTTCATCGGCCACAGTCCAGGCTTGTCACTCTATTCTTGACAATCACTGTGGTGATGTTTAAGGAAATAGGGTTGCTGGGCTTGTAGGGATCAGCCAAACCACAACACATGGCAAAGCATCGAGAGGAACAACCGTTTTGTGACAACTGTGCTAAAAACAAAACAACAAAACAACCAAGTAGTAGAAAAAGCAAATTTCAGAGGAAGTTTCTTGAAATTAGGAAAAAGTTGTGGCATGCACACAGGTGTGGCATGCACACAAGGAAGGCTTCCTCCCCTACTGAAAGCTGCTCTCACTACAACAAACGAAAGGGTGGAAATGTGCTTCCACCACATTCACTGGCCATGAAACACAGGAAGAATGTTCAGGAAAAATGGGAACCTGTGAGCAAGTAAAGAAAACTTCCCTTCATACTACCAGGTTGAATGTGAACTTGAATTGCCCTGTCTTATGCTGGCATCATGTTCTTTTTCTGTTGCAAATTGTCTCAATTATAAAGGGAGTGGGGAGGACAGGCATGCAGAAAACTGGCTTTGAAGATCATCTCAGCCAGAAAATAACTTTGCCTTATTTAAGACTCTACATGTATACAGCATTATTTTATTTATGTTTTGTGGTTCAGGGGTCCAAAAACTTCCAGATATTTCTAAGTACTTGAAAGCTAAAATGAAGCCAGGACAGACTAAACAGAAAACAGACTTTTTAAGTTTCTTCAGCCAGAATATTGAGGTTTTTCTATGAGAAACTATATAGAATTTAATTTTCCTCAACTACTTAGGAATTTTTCCTCTTATTTTATTTCTTTAATTTTTTACTCTCTGTCATAAATTTCTTTTGATGCCAAATGAAATGCTGGAGAAAGATCAATAATTTTGAGCTTACAGCATTTTATTGATCTTCTTTTCTCTTTTTTAATTTTTATTTGTCCAAAGGGGGAAAAAACAGAGGAAAGAGGTTAACAGGGGGGAAGGGGGGGAATCGTGATTTTTCTTTACTGTCCTTTTTTCCTTTCTAAAGTGTAGTTCAAACAAAAATTCTCCTGCCAAAGCTGTTAGTAATGGTGCAAATCAAAGCCTCTCCTTGCCTTGTTGGTAAAAGCAGGCATCCGACAGTTGGGTCCAAAGAACAGGCTTTCATTACAGAGGAGACCAGTGCTTTGCTAGCTTCAGAACACTCTGAGAGATAAGGGGATTTCAACTTGGACCCTTTTTTATTTTCTGTACCATTTAATTCTCAAACACATTCCAGAGCATCTTAAAGAGGTTAGGATGCCATTAATGCCTTATTAAGGCGAATCATGTGATCTTTCTTGGAGGTGTTTAAAAGAAAAAAAGGAATTACTAAAAGAATTTTGATATAATGAATTTAACATTTATGAGGCTCCTTCTATATTCCCAGAAAAGTACCAAAAATATTTCACTCTTATCATAGCAAAATCCCTGGGATAGAGATCACATGACCATGTGACCAATGAAATAGACTTCTGTCTTCCTGTCCCCGCTTCTGTCTACTCACCATCAATGTCTGCTTTCACTTTAGAGGTGAAAGCTCATGAGGTTTCTTTTAGAAACAGGCAGTCTAGACCTAATGGCTGGAAGCCCTGATGCCATGTTTTCCTGATGGAAAGCACTGGGGAGTGACCTGTCCTGTTGGTAGGCAGTCACCAATCGGGCTCACATTCCTCTCATCCTGCTATGCACTGGCTTCTTTAACCAATTATGATTTGCTTATTGATCACCACAGTTGCAGTCTACAGCATTAAAATTATTTAGAGGTTCTCTCTCTGCACTCAAAGAGGTGCTAGAGTACTGGTTTCTCCCCTTTCACAAATCCAGTATTTCTTGGAGGATTATAATGATACCTATACATGGTGCCTCCCACACCAGCCTCCCAAGTAGCTAGGACTGCAGGCACTTGCCACCTGCCTAATTTTTCTGGTTTTGTAGAGACAGGGTTTCACTACATTGCCTAGGCTGGTCTCAAACTCCTAGGTTTCCCAATGTGCTGGAATAACAGGCATGAGCCACCACCTTCAGCCTCTTTAGTTTCTAAAAGCACATGCCACCCTAACTTTGAATCCTTCTAATAAACTCCCTTCTTGCTTAAGGAACTAGAGATGTATTTCCAATATTTGCAATCAAGGGTCTTAAACTAAGCAGCATAAAGTGCAAAGATAGAAAAATATTTACACATGAAGGATACAGGTTCAAAAGAGGTAAGCTCACTGGATGTTGGTTTCAGAACTGGTCTGGAAGCCAATCATAGATATTCAGTGGTTGTTTGAGGAGATCTCTCATTGGCGTTGAGCTGAGGGTTGGCAGGAATGTCAGAACATGCTTCTTTGAACTGTCTCCATGCAGTCTCATTGGGCCATCTTCATTATTGTCTTGATCTTCACCTCCTGGAAATAAAAAGGAACCTTTCTCAATGTCCCCAAGACTTAGCGAAGTCCAGACCATACTGTGTTGACCACATTTCATTTCTTTTGTCCTTTTTCTAGAGTGTCCTATGGGAGTTCTATTTTTACCCTATTCCCACTCCTCTGGTCAAGGGACTAACCCTTGACCAATACCTTCCAGTCAAGGTTTCTCTAGGACCTATCTTTGGCCTTTTCTGAAAGCTAGTTGTTTCCTGTGGCAAGGCTCAGCTTTTCACCAGGAGCTCTAAGTCAGTATCTATAATTAAATTCCCAAGTGACTTTGAGTCTTTAGGTGGTGGGCATAATTTTGAACTGACCTTTTCTCTTATAGCCATAGTCAAAGAGAGATGCTCCTCATCCCTCAGTAGCAGTGCAATACGTCAGTTAAGAATACACAATCTAGAATGGGTTGCTTGAGTTCAAACCTTAGCCCTACCGCTTGGAAGCAGAAGAGAAGAAATGTCTAAATTTCTCTTCTGTAAAACAGGGACGACACTATAGCCCAGTAACTGGGAAACTTTTTCTAAAAGAATCAGATAATACATATTTTAAGCTTTGCAGCCAAGAGGTGAAATGGAGGATATTATATAGGTACTTATTTAACCATTAAAAAGGTAACCATTTAAAAATGTAAAAACTATTCCTAGCTCACAAACCGTAGTAAAACAGGCAGCTATCTGGTTTCACAGGCTGTAGTTTGCTGACCTCTGAGGCTCATTTCATTAGATTGTTGTGAAAATTAAATCTGTTACCATTTTCTAAGTTAGGAGATAATTCCCAACAGACAGTAAGCATTTAGCAAGAGTACTTCCCTGATTCCTTCTCTCGTGAATAAAATAAAATCAATTTATAACAAGCAAGAAAAACATATGATTCTCTCTGGCCCATTTTTTAAGCTTCTCCTCTTGCCTTGGCACATCATGTGTAGTGCCTAATTTTAATAGTTTTATCATAGGTTTGTGGTAACTCTAGCTCTCCTCCTTCTTTCAACAACAATTAATTGCTCTCCTGTCTCTCTTTTTCTAAAAAAAAAAATCTTATTTTATATTATGTATGCATTAGGTTACCTCAAGTCTCCTTATTTTAAAATATGGATGTGGTCATCCGGGAGACCTTTACTAACCCTTAAAACGTTCTTTCTCACACACTCAATAACCTTGACGAAAACTTACTTACATGCCTGGGATTATATATCCCCTATCTGACTTTTGCCACTGTGAGTTGGTCATTATAACCAGAGAAATGACTAGTTTCCTGATTAGGGAGGTGCCACATAAATGAATAGGTATTTTAAGAAAGGTCACAGATGCATTTGTCTCTTAAATCTTATTTATTTGTGTAATCTTAAATATCTAGTTTCCATGTTCCTCTGTGACAGCAATTAACGTTCAATGACAGCGGTCAATCTTACATTTTTCTTACAAACACTATCTTCCCCAACTATTTCTAGGTAGGAAAAAAGTGCATCACATTATCAGACTGACCACTGGATCATCGGCAGGGGCAATTTCAAGTTATAGATATTGACCTTCCCCAAAATGAATAGTAGTTACTAGGGACAGAAATCCATGTGCTATCTCCTTGTCAGAGCATCAACCTCTCAGCGCCCCCTCCCCGCCTCCTTATTCTTAGCTGCAGGAATGCCAGGTGGCTCTGAATTTCTGTGGCTTCTGCAATGTTTCAGCCATGGTTTCAACAAGCAACAACAGTGAGACTGACTTCCAGAAGAGATGTATTTTATAGATGGAGAAATTAAGGCTCAGAGACGTGAAATGACTTAACTGAGGATGCTTTGAAGTTACTGAGTGGAGATGTAAATTCAATGCTATCTGGCCATGAAGCCCAAAGGCTAAGCTATTTTCGCTGTGCTATCCAGTCTCCCTCTAAAAACACTCACTGGGGCCAAGCACTAAGCTACTATTTTCCATGGTTAGCGGTTGAGCTCAGTGATGACTCAGCTGGCATGAAGCAAACCTGAGGTTGAATAGGCAGTAACTAGAATTGGTCAAAATTGTGAATAGGGTGAAAATATGGGCTCAGTCACAGAGGATCAAAGGTGTGGCTGGGATGAGGTCAGGCGTCTGGATTTATGTGAGACAGACATGAATATAAATGTCAACTCTATTACTTCAAAGTTTTATTAGCTAAGTTACTTCATGCCTCTGAGATGCCATTTCCCTAAAAAAGATGATAATATCTGCCTCATAAAATTAGTAAGTAACAGTTTATGAAAATCACTTTACACAATCCTTGGCTCTCCAATAAGTGTCCAATAAATGGCAATTTCTATTGTTAGTCCATCAATTGCTAAAGTTCTGTTGGTGTCTTCATTATTGAGCCTACATGCCTTGGGATTGGACTTAGATAAGGAACTGTATTTTCCATGTTTTGGGTGAATTCTCTTCAATAAAGTCATTCTCTGGGGCTCATTCTCTGGGTATGACTACCGGAAAACTAGATTTCAGCCAGGTGCTCTTTGATCCAAGTCATTATCTTCAAGGCAAAAGAGCAGCTTGATAGGAAATGCTCCTAAAGAAAGTCAGTTGAGTAAAAAAGCAAACTGTCTCCATACCACGAGGGTAGGTTCTTAGGTAAACCCACCACTTAGAATCTTTTTAAAGAAATCATCTCCTAATGGCCTCTTATCAGGTATTCATATGCTATGTGATTACAAATGAATTACTTCTACCTACATATTTCTGTTCTTGTTTAAAAAATCTCTATCTTGTTTCTGAGTCACCTCCAAAATTTTCTATATTTTAAAAGTGCATTGGTATTTATATTTCTTAAATTTTATTTTTTCTTTTAAAGAGTGCTTGGATATAAAACGTTATTTTGTCCTTGATTCTGTATTTGCACTTACACTGATCATACTCAAAAACAGAGGGATCTATTTATTTAACAGTGATTTATTAAGCATGTATAATATATGTGTGTGTGTGTATTTATATATATGCCAGATAGGGGACCCTGGGCTGGCATACAAGTGAATAAGATAAAGACCCTGCCCTCTGAGAGCATACATCCCGGTGGAGCCTGTTTATGAGTCTCTAGATCCATTATATATTAACCTTTCTAAACAACTAATAGGGAGACATAGCGCTGTCTCGTAATTCTATTTAAAATTATTCTAACTATATTATGATTATTATGGATTAAGTGCTATAAAATAAAAGTTAATTCATTTTTTGTGTATCTAACTATGCACAAGGCACCTGGGCAACACACCAATTATGAAATGTAAACCTTAGCTATACCTACTATGCATTCTAATTGGACAGAACAAACATAAACACAGGGGTAAACAACATCACAGTCAAATAATAATTTAAGCAATGCTAAGAAAACTTGTCATGGGGGTTTGCACCTCTAGAGGCTCATTACCTAGAGACTTTCTGTGAATTCAGAGAGTGAATAAGGAGCAGACAACACAATTTTTGTTTCTGCTGCTTTTTTCTTCCACTGTAAGAGCAGAAAATAAAAATCTTAGGAAATAAAGCCATCTCTTCTCCTTTCTTTGTAAAAACCTGTGATGACCTCTCTTCCAATCAGGAAAGAGTTTCCCTTGGCAACCATATCACTTATCATCCTTCCCAACACAGCTCTGTAAATAAAAGTTATTTTGAAGAGAGCAACTAAAGATTACTCTCTAACAAACCATTTGCTTTATCTTACTCCAAATTAGATGGTGGCATGAGCTCTTATTTAAAAGAAATACATTTCTGATCCATTATAAACATTTTGAGAAATAGTTTGAATAATTTAAAAACATATTTACATTAGAATTAGTGATGCCCTTTAATATGGTAACTTGAAACCCTCAAAGTCTTTTATTTTTAATCCTTTGGGTTAGATTCATCAAATATAACCTCATTCTGGCTTTAGATATAATTGAGGACAAATGATGAAATCAAGCAGAATAGCATGGCCTCGTAAGTCATAGTTAAATACATATAATTAAAATGTATCTAATCAGTATGCAAAACAGTTTGAAAAGAGGAAAATAAAATATCTTCTCTAAATCCAAGTAACCCTTATAGGCAGAACCATGGTGAGACTGATATTATCATCGATATAGTCTTGAATCTGGTCTAATTTATATTTTAAAATATCAGTTGCAACATATAGAGAGGTTTAATGATTTTTAAGAACACACTGTTTTACTTTTAACAACACATGCTACTTATTCCATACCAATGGGATGCAGAATTATATTTAATAACCACTACCTTGGGCTGTATTGTAGAACTCATCTATGAAAAAAACACTGCATCAGCTAGCTTTTGCTGGAGATATCTTGCTGGATGAAGTTGCTCTAGGGCTACCTGAAATGCTGCTGGCTTTGCCTTCTTTTCCCAGTGAATGGAAGAAAGGGTCCTAGCAGGTATTTTAAGAATGTGTGAACAATTCCTTTCATTTTTGTATTTCCTTTACTTTTCACTCACTCAGAGCTGCACCATGACAAATGTTCCCCTTGCTTCTTGAAGAGCTGAATATGCAACAGTTATTATATGGAATGAAAATCTAAAAAAAAATTTCTGCTCAACGCTGGAGTGTTTGAGGAGTTGCAAAATGAATGGAATTTTTATGCATCTCAGTAAATGACTTTGCTTGCAATTAAAACAAACCTGAGAAGTCATGTCTCCCTGTGGTGAGAACCTCCTTCCTTTTCAGAGAGGCTCACTGTGGGGCAGACAAGGCTTTGGGGTTCCCCAAGTGACTGTATTTCTTTATGAATCCACGGCAAATCATTAACAAACTCACAATCCCAGTCCCTTAAAATAGTAACTGGTTTTTTTTGTTGTTGTTTTTTGTTTTGTTTTGTTTTGTTTTTGCTTCACTACAATGTCATTATTCAATCTAACACCTTTCTCAGCTGATTACAATGTCAGATTGCTTTTACCATCCCTTTCACCTGAAAAAGAAGGTGATATTGGAAACACATTTTTTATGCAAATTAGAAGCTGTCACCACTCTTACTGCTATAACAGAGACTTCTATGGAAATTTAGGGGCAGGAGATCAAGGAATTGAGACCCACTGCATCTTTACTTGTGGCAGTTGGGACATGTCTGGAAAGTAGAGAGCTGCAGGCCTCTTGCTGACATTTTATGATTCCTGAGAGAATTACTTTGGACCTTTCTGCCAAATCTATTTCACCATATAACAATAGGTCCTACTTGTGTTTCATGCTTCCAGTATTTCTTTCATCAGTTCCACCTTTGAGTTCCCATGAGAGGTTTCCATTTATTCATTAAATCAGCAAATATTATTGAGCTCCCGCTATGTGTCAGATACAGTGCAAAGAGCTGGGGATATCATGGTAACTAAAGTAAATATATCTGATCCACAAAAACCTTCCATTTAATGAAAGTAAGCAATAGATATCAAATTTTATGTAAAATTATAACTGCGATTCATGCTTATAATAGAGGCTTAAAATTGTGCTTTAGAAGTGTTTTGTTAATAGATAAATAGATCAATGCAGCAGAATAGAGAACACAGAAATAGACACACATACATATAGTCAACTGATCCTTGACAAAGGACCAAAGGCAATTCAATAGAGAAAAGATAGTCTTTTCAACAAATGGTGCTGGAGCAACTGGGCATCCACATGCAAAAAAAAAAAAAAAAAAAATCTAGACACAGACCTCATACTCTTCAAAAAATTAACTCCGTGTTTAATTTTATGTGTCAACTTTACTGAGCTAAGGAATGCCCAGATAGGTGGGAAAACATTATTTCTGAGTGTGTTTGTGAGGATATTCCAGAAGAGATTGAGTTCATAGACTGAGCATAGAAGATTGCCCTCACCAATGTGGACAGATATCATCCAATCGTTTGACAGCCCAAATAGAACAGAAAAGCAGAGCAAAAGTGAATTTGCTCTATCTTGGTTTGAGCTGGGACATCCATCTTCTCCTGCCTTCAGACACTGGCACTCCTTGTTCCCAGGCCTTCAGACTCATACTGGGATTTACATTATTGCCACACTCCCTCCCTGTCCCATTCTCAGGCCTTTGGACTCTGATCAAATTATGCCACTGGCTTTCCTTATTCTCCAGCTTGTAGATAGGAGCTTGTGGAATTTGCCAGCCTCCATAATCATGTGAGCCAATGCCTATAATAAAGCCGCTCATATATATACGTCTATAACTATATCTAAATTTAATGTATATGTATCTATTTCCTACCAGTGCTGGTTCTCTGAAGAAACCTAATTAATACAAATACAAAGTATATAATAAACCTAAATGTGAACTGTAAAACTACAAAACTCCTGGAACCTAACGTTGGAGAGAATCTAAGTGACCTTCAGCATGGCAATAGTTTTCTAGATACAATACCAAAGCCTTGATTCATAAAAGAAATAATTGATAAGTTGGATTTCATTAGAACTAAAAAGTTATGTTATTTTAAGACATAGTGAAAGAATAAGAAGAAAAGACACAGAGTGGGAGAAAATATTTTGCAAAAGGCACATCTCATAAAGGACTTTTATTATACAAAATATATAAAGTACTCTTAAATGCAACAATAAGAAAATGAATCACCCAACTAAAAAATGGGCGAAAGACCTGAACAGAAACCTCACCAAAGAAAATATACACATGGCAATAAGCACGTGAAAAGATGCTTAACATTATATGTCATTAGGAGACTGAAAATTAGAACACCTGTAAGACACCACTACACACCTATTAGACTGACCAAAACACAAACACTGAAAACAACAACTACTAGCAAGGATGTAGAACAACAGAAATTCTCATTTCCTACTGGAATACAAAATGATATAGCCACTTTGGAAGACAGTTTAGCAGTTTCTTACAAAATTAAACACATTCTTACTATACAACCCAGCAATTACACTCTCAGGTATTGATCTAAATGATTGGAAAACTTAGGTCTACACAGAAATATGCACTTGAATGTTTTAGGTGCTTTCTACATTACTGTAAAAACTTAGAAGCAACCAAAGTGTTATTCAGTAGGTAAATGGATAAATCAACCATGGTATCTTCAGACTGTGGATTATTATCCAATTCTAAAAATAAGTGAGCTTTTAGATCATGAGGAAAAACCTTAAGTGCATATTACTAAGTGAAAGAAGCCAATCTGAAAAGAATATGTAGTGTATGAACCCAACTATATGCCATTCTAGAGAAGGTAAAACCATGGAGAACGTAAAAAAGTCAGTTGTTGCCAAGAGTTGGAGTGGAGGGAAGAATGAATGGGGAAACACAGAGTATTTTTAGGCAGTAAAACTGTTCTGTTTGATAGTATAATGGTAGATACATGTCATTGTACATTTGTCAAAACTCATAAAATGTACAACACCAAGAGTACAACCTAATATAAAATACGAACTTCAGGTGATAATGGTGTGTCAATGTAAATGTATCGATTAGAGCAAATGTTTCACTCTGATATAGAATGTTGAAAGTGGGGGAAGCTGTGGTGGTGGGTAGGGTGTATATAAGAACTCTGTATTTTCTGCTCAATTTTTCCATGAACCCAAGACTGCTCTAGAAATAAATTATATTAAGAAATGTTTTTGTTACTAAAAAGAGGTATACACAATAGTATAGGTGTGTATAATCAGGAAAAACACTTTCAGAATTGTGGGATAAGGACCTCTGAAAAGTCTCTTCTTTGTAAAGCAACAAAAATACTGGCGAATATTATCAAACTCAGCTTTGTTAGAACTGTAAAGATTAACAAAGGCATATAACAATCTGAACAATGCTTATTCAAGAAAAATTATTGACTCTCAGTAAGAACAGCAAATTTTGTTGTGTTTTAACTTGACTAATTCTCATTCTCTTTTCCCAGTTCTGTAGTTCCCTTGAAAATTTATAGTATTAATAGTAGCTTTGTAACTATGGTAGCTATGAAAATCAGCAGCCTAGAAGCTGTAGGAACAGGAAGGACATATTTGGAGCTCTCAAAATTTTTATCTCCCATGAATTATCACTATTTTACCTGCTTAGAAGCTCCATTAAAAATTTCATACACAGGAACTGCCTTTACTTGACTTGATTTAAAACTTACTCTGTGTGAATCACCTTATTCTTGAGCATGTGTCAAGAACAATCAGTGGCAATTATTTAACATTGCATCTGCCTGAGGCTATAATACAAGTTGGCAAAACAAAAGATTACTAAAAATCTTAAAAGATAAACCTGTGGGATAAGGTATTAATTGGAGTTTAAAAGCTGGGCATCTACAAAAAGAATGTGCATGTGCAGATATTACAAGTTTCCAGAAAAGACATGAGAAAACTCTAATTTCTCATCTCTGGCTGATTTTGGGGCTCCAAGCAGGCAGAGATTTAAGATGAAGATGGAATTACAAAGTGCCTACTGAAGTATTGAAGGTGTGCCCTAACGCACAGAGTCCTTTGGCAAGGGCTGGGAGACTTATTGGCTCAAGAAATGTTAGGAGATATTTGTCTAGTTATTAACTAAGCACTAAGCTAAACAAGCAAAAATGCCTGATATAAATCCTACCTTATCAATAAATGTAAATGGACTAAACAGTCTAATAAAAAGGCAGAATGACAGAATGGATTTTTTAAAAATCCAACTATGTGCTTTCTACTTTATACTTTACATTCCAAGACAAAAATATATTGAAAACAAGAGGATGGAAAAAGATATGTCATGCAAACAGCAACCACAGAGAGTTTGGTGGCTATGCTAATATCAAACAAAATAGACTTTAAGACAAATTATTACTAGAAACAAAGGAGAACATTTCTCAATAATAAACATGTTAATTCTATGTATTAGTTTGTTTTCATGCTGCTAATAAGCACATAGCTGAGATTTGGTAATTTATAAAGAAAAAGAGGTTTAATGAACTCAGCATTCCACATAGCTGGGGAGGCCTCACAATCATGGAGGAAAACCAAGGAAGGCCAAAGTCTTGTCTTACATGGCAGCAGGCAAGAGGGAGTGTGCAGGGAAACTGCCTTTTATAAGACAACCAGATCTCATGAGATTTTTCACTATCACTAGAACAGCACAGGAAAAACCCGCCCCCATGATTCAATTACCTCCTACCAGGTCCCTCCCACGACACATGGGAATTATGGAAACTACAATTCAAGATGAGATTTGGGTGGGGACACAGCCAAACCATACCAATCTATAAGGAAGACATAATAATTGTAAATATATATGCAGCTAACAACAAAGTCCCCAGATACAGGAAACTAGGAATGATAGAAATAAAAGTAGCAATAGGTCATTCACTAATAACAGTTACAGACTTCAATTTCCCATTCTCAGTAATAGGTAGAATAATGAGGCAGAAAACGAGGAAATAGAAGACTTGAACAGCATTATAAAAAAACTAGACCTAAAAGACATCTAAAACAATCCACTCAGCAACAGTAAAATACACATTTTCCTCAAGTGCACACGAAACATTGTTCAGGATAGACTAGATAGATGTTAGGCCACAAAATAAACTTTAATAAATTTGAAATGATTAAATTATACAATGTTCTCTGACTACAAGGGATTAAAATTAAAAATTATTAACAAGAAGAAATTAGGAAGATATACAAATATACGAAATCAAATAACACATTATTAAATAAGCAATGAATCAAATACAAAATTACCGCAAAATTAGAAAATACATTGAGATGAATGAAAATGAAAGCACGTATAACAGCATCATCTGAGAAGCTGCTAAAGCAGTGTTTATAGGGAAATTTATAGCTGCAACTGCTTATGCTAAAAAAGAAGAAAGATCTCAAATTAATAACCTAATTTTTTACTCTTATTCTCTAGAGAAAAAAACATCAAATTAAACCTAAGCAAGTTGAAGGAAAAAAATATTAAATATGAGAGTAAAAATAAAATAGAGAAAAAATAACAGAGTAACATAAATGAAATACAGTTATTTTCTTTGAAAAGATCAATACAATCAATGAAACTTTAGCTAGAGTGACAAAAATGGTAGAAGGCTCAAATTACTAAAGTTAAGAATGAAAGTAGGAGGGTTCCTTCTAATAATCTTACAGAAAGAACAAAGTATAAGGAAATACTATCAACAATTGCCTGACAACAAATCAGATAATGTGGATATCCACATAAAAAGACATAGGTAAATAGAGACACACAAGTAAATCTACAATAAGTAAAGAAGTTAAACTAGAAATCAGAAATTTCCCATGAAAAATAGGTCAGGCTTAGATATTAAGTTGTTGCAAAGGTAACTGTGGTTTTGGCCATGACTTTCAGTGGCAAAACCTAACTACTTTTGCACCAACCTAATAGCTTCACTGGTAAATTCTAGTAGAGGTTTAAATAAGAATTAACATCAATACTTTGCAGACTCTTCCAAAAATTAGAAGAGACACTCCCCAACTCATTCTGTGAAACCAATATTACCCTGATTCCAAAACCAGACAGTCAACACAAGTAAGAAAAATCAGACTGTGACCCCCGATGAACATAAAGTGATACATGCTACGACAGGGATGAATCTTGACAACATCACGCTAAGTGAAAGAAGCTGGTCACCAAAGGCCATATGTTGTGTAGCTCCTTTTATCTGAAATGTTAAGAATAGGCAAATCCATGGAGACAAAACGTAGATTAACGGTTGCTATGGGCTGAAGGGAGGGGACAACTGGGAGTGATTGCTAATGAGTAGGGTGTTTCTAGGGATTAATGAAAACACTCCAAAATTAGATAGTGTTCATGGTTGTACAACTCTGTGTATTTACTAAATACTGAATTGTATGTTTTAAAAAGATGCATTTTATGATCTTTGAATTATATCTCAATAAGGCTGTTAAATATTTTATAGTGTGTATCATCAGGAGATTTGACTAGAGTCAGTAACCATCCTGATTTACCTGAAATATGTCTTTCCTAAGACTTGGAGCTTCTAGCAGTAAAACTGGGAAGATCCCAGGCAAACAGGGATGGGTTGGTCACTCTGACCCAAGAGAGGAGCATTTGAATTTAGATTTCAAGGACAGGAAGGAAATTAATAGAAGAAGTTGGGGAGAGAATTGTATATACCAAGGCCTTGTGGGAAGAGAGAGGAATAGTTTAAGGGACTGAAAGAAGAAATAATGGCTGAGGGCTGGGTAAGCCGAGGCTGGAGGAAGGCAGTAGGGTTCAGACTCTTACAGGGGATAGTGAAGACCCTAAGAATTTATATATCTGGTTCCTCAACTACAAAACAGTCTCCATGGGAACATAGATGGGGGTCTTCTTTGGTGTCTGGGGTAGGTAGTGCCTGGCACCAGGGAGACGCACAGCCGATGCCTGGAGACTCTCCAGTAAGTCCAATATCTGGGTTTCTGGCCTGTGGCTCGCGATGTGCAAATAGATGTTCTGCTATTTCCAGCTTCCTGGCTCCGTTTTCTTTTCTTTTCTTTTTATTTTTTTTTCCCTGCTTTGCCTGTTACCTGTCAGCTGCAATGACTAGACTCAACTTCACAGAGCTGAGAGAGCCCAGACGGGTGCTACTCAAAAGTGAGGACACCAAATGGATGACTGTGCTCTCAAAGGAGGAAAGTGACAACCAGAGCTAAGAGTTTTTGGCTTCTAATTAAGTAACTTATGCCTGAGACTGGCAACAGCTTATCTGTTCCCCGCACCTCCCTTCCATTAACATATGCTCGCCTCGCCTGCCTTTTCCTGCCTGTCAGGGTGGCAGCACCTTGTGTTGTCAGGAGGCCAAAAGCAGCTCCTTGGTAGCAAGTTGAGAAGATCCATATGTCAGTGGAAACATAGCAGAGACAGACAGGGAAAAGACCAGAAAGACGGAGAGGAGCAGAGGCAGGTAAAGGAACTGAAATTAGGGGAAAGAAGGAGAGTAAAGGGGAGAGAATGCAAGGAATTCTAGGGTGTTCACAGCAAAAGGTGAAAGAGGCCCATGGAAATAAGTCATGAGGAATGGAAAAAGCTACAAAAACACTCAGAGAAGATGAGACATACAAAGAGAAGAGCTATCTTTCTAGTTAGAAGAATGTCTCAAATCTTTGCCCCTGCTGAGCTCCAAATACAGGCAGCCCAATCACTAAAATGTTCATGAGTTCACCAGGCAGTCTTGGAAATTGCTGATGAGCCCTACATCAGAGCAACCAAACAAAAATCACACTCTTCTCCCTTAAAACAGTGCCTTCAATGCTGCTTTCTTCCTCTCTGTCCAATTATCCTATTTGCACTCAAAAGGAACGTCGTACTTGAAGGCATATTAGAAAATATTTATTTAGAATGCTATTTACCACATTGTGCCAAGGTGACAAGGGTAGGTAATAAATAGGGACACTTTCTTTAGAAAAAGAAAAAAGAAAATTTAAGTGGTAGCATCAAAGGCAGCATTTCTATTTCCAAACAGAAGAAAATAACCTTATAATGAGGAGTCATAGAGAGAACTGAAGATGCTGCTGTTACTACATATCCATCTTCAAAACCTTATTGTTCTAGTTGAAAGGGAGAGTGCAGGAGATGGAGGGAGTCAGTAAATTAGAAGAAAGGAGAAAAGTATAAATAAGTTATGCTCCCTTAAAGGCACATAGGCGAGATGAAATTCATATTTTAAAACGGGATCTTTCTGCCGTTATTAAAAGTTAAAGAACTTTGCAAAGCAGCTAAATTACTTTGTACCGTTTATTCTTTTAGCTTACTCTCTCCATTTCAATTTGTAGCATGAGACAAGAGAGGAGGAGAGGGGGTCAGTTTTTCTTTGATTTTTGCTTGTCTTATCAAGTTCCTTGTATTTGTTTTCCATCCTTGTGCATTTTCATCTACACTCACACATTCTCTTTTGGGGTAGATCACATTTGCTTAATTTTCTTTTTATTGCAAAATCTAGACCAAATGTACAATAATCCCTTTAAGAAAGACTGAAAGCATCAGGCCATTTAGTTTCACCCCACTGTTCATTGCGATTCTGCTCTACCTTATGCACTTCTACTAGGCACTTTTGCGCTATCTCATTTAGCGTGTTTTTGTTTGTTTTGCTTTTGAGATGGAGTCTCGCTCTGTTGCCCAGGCTGGAGTGCAGTGGCGCAATCTCGGCTCACTGCAACCTCCGCCTCTTGGGTTCAAGCAATTCTCCTGCCTCAGCCTCCCAAGTAGCTGGGACTACAGGCATGAGCCACCACACCCAGCTAATTTTTGTATTTTTAGTAGGGACGGGGTTTCACCATGTTGGCCAGGATGGTCTCTGTCTCTTGACCTCGTGATCTGCCCGCCTCAGCCTCCCAGAGTGCTGGGATTACAAGAATGAGCAATTGCATCCGGCCTAGAAGGGGCCCTTTGTCATTCAGATTTTTTTTTCCCCCTATCATGGACTTCTGTTGAAAAGGATGAATTACTTCCCAGCCCTTGCAATCACATGCTACCCTATTCTAACCTCTTCTGAAAGGATCTTAAAAGCGCACACTATTGAGAGCAATAATTTTCAGTTTGGTCCTCAAAATGGCAGCTTCAGCAACTGCTGGGAACTTGTTAGAAACGCGTATTTTCATCTTAGACTCATTGACTCAAAACTCTGGGGGTAGAGCCAGCAGTCTGAGATTCTTCCTCATGCTGATATCTGAAACAATGGCTCAAAGCAAGCTTTCAGTAATATTTTATCCTTTTTTTTTTTTTTTTTTTTTTTTTTTTTTGAGACAGAGTCTTGCTCTTGCTGCCCAGGCTGGAGTGCAATGGCATGATCTTGCCTCACCACAACCTCTTCCTTCCAGGTTCAAGCGATTCTCCTGCCTCAGCCTCCCAAGTAGCTGGGATTACAGGCATGCACC
Source organism: Homo sapiens (assembly GCF_000001405.40). Taxonomy (NCBI): domain Eukaryota; kingdom Metazoa; phylum Chordata; class Mammalia; order Primates; family Hominidae; genus Homo; species Homo sapiens. The sequence goes on from NC_000011.10 coordinate 127,576,847, forward strand.
ACCACACCCAGATAATTTTAGTATTTTTAGGAGAGATGGGGTTTCTCCATGTTGGTTGAGCTGGTCTCAAACTCCTTACCTCAGGTGATCTGCCTGCCTTGGCCTTCCAAAGTGCTGGGATTACAGGTGTGAGCCACTGTGCCCAGCCATATTTTAGTCTTTTTCTTTCCTTTTTTTTTTTTAATTGAAATGGAGTCTCACTCTGTCTCCCCGACTGGAGTGTAGTGGCGCAATCTCAGCTCACTGCAAGCCCCACCTCCCGGGTTCCCACCATTCTCCTGCCTCAGCCTCCCGAGTAGCTGGGACTACAGGTGCCCGCCACCACGCCTGGCTAATTTTTTTTTGTATTTTTTAGTAGAGACGAGGTTTTACCGTGTTAGCCAGGATGGTCTCGATCTCCTGACCTCATGATCCGCCCGCCTCGGCCTCCCAAAGTGCCGGGATTACAGGCATGAGCCACTGCGCCCAGGGCCATATTTTAGTCTTAATACAGAAGTTGAATTTAAAATATCCCAATAAGTTCAGAAAGTGGGTGCAAAGAGAGAAGCGACATAAAGGATAATATGGGGTGGCTTCATTTAGGCTTACCAATTTTTATACAGTCTCATAAAGGACCCATGAGAAAATCCAGGGAAACCAACCCATTTAATGTATTTTTGAGAAACAGCTTAACCTATTTGGGAACCATGACCCTCTCCAGCAGGGATGATTAGAAGACAGATATATTAACTTCATAATTTGTGAATTTCACAACTCTCATTTGCTTACTATTAATTAGTTCAACCTTCTTTCTTTTCCAAGGTTTCCAAAGCCTTATAACTTTTGTCCCCTCAATTAAGATGCGGAATCTCTGTCCTTGACCATTGTTAGAATGCTAGATCCTGAAGTTCGCACTGCATGCCATGACTAGACTACGGAAAATTGTAGTTCATTTAAAATAAATGTATTATGCATTATTTAGAATTTAACTGAGGTTATTTTATGAAAGAACACTATATTTTATTTGTATGAAATAACTTGATATGGTTTTCCAGATCAGCAATGAGAGGAGATATTATGGTTTCTCATAACTAGACTGAAAAAAAAATAGAGCTATGGGAAGGAAAGTTATAAATTTTATCCAGCAACACAGAATGTTACTTACACTTAGGATGTTAACATCTCTGACTTTTTATGTGCCTACTTTGTGATGTGCTGTTATTTCTTCTTCTCAGTCCTTTGCTTCTGAGTAAGAATCAAGTACACACCAGTAGTAAGAAGGTGCTGGAAGGTTTCATAGGCTTCCTCAGGGGTATCACACTGCCCAACCAGTCCTTTCTTTGCAGACTAGCCTTGCAGACCAAGAACTCGTGAGACTCCAGGGGCTCGGGCTAGGGAAAGGAGGCTGCATCTGGGCTATGATCACTTTGCTTCAGGGTCACACAGCAGGTAGAGGGCTGAGAGCAAGTTTTATTCTCTCTGTCTCGTCTATTCCCACAAGCAGTGACTCTTGCTTACAGATTTTGCCTCACCCGTTATGGCCCAAGAGCTGTCGGCGGTAGTTAGTTAGCTATAAATTAAAATCTCAGCGGTGGTGTACCTGTGAATTGAATTTTTTGGGGAATGGTACTGCATTTGGACATCCCAATGGAGTGAAAGTGTTTCTTTGCTAATCAGTGTACTGTCTGTCTTTACATTTCCTTGGGGCTTCCCCTTCATATTTCTTTCCCATGGCTTCCTATACCCTATTAATGTATAAGACTCAGAAAAGATGGGTAAGGAAATTGTGTTAGCACAGATGTGACAGGCTGGATTTTCTGGGAAGCAGGGATCAGCACACAGGACTTTAATTAGGGAGGACTCTTGGGCTCAACACCTGTGGAAGGCAGGCGAGGAGGCAGGATGGAGTGGAAGGGAAAGTTGAGCTGGGATGCAGTCCCAGTGACTTTCTCAGTTGCAATCCCATCCATAGCTCTGGTATCTGAAAGTCCCTTCAAAATCATACCTCAATGGAACAAAGGCGAGGCGGAGTTAGATGTTAATCAACCAGTCATTGGGTCTGGCTGTCTAGAAGATGTCACTTTAGAAAAGGAGGTTTTCTTTAGCCAAGCTGAGGCAATCCCGAAAGAGGGCTTGTAGGGAAAGCCCTTCTGGAAGCATGTCTAGCAGGTAAGGGAATACATTATTTCTGATGAGGGACCTGCCACAACTGGTGAGAAAGTCCCTTCAGAAGAGCACCTGAGGCATAGTCAATGTGTTAGAGATCATAATACCTTGAAAGAGATTCCCATAGGAAGGCCACACTGACACTTGGCTTACCTACAGCTAAAGACTTGCAGGTACTCCCCAAAAAGAATCTGAGGCAGGGCGTGGTGGCTCACATCTGTAATCCCAGCACTTTGGGAGGCTGAGGAGGGCAGATCACCTGAGGTCAGCAATTCGAGACCAGCCTGGCCAACATGGTGAAACCCCATCTCTACTAAAAATACTGGGCATGGCAGTGGGCACCTGTAATCCCAGCTACTCGGGAGGCTGAGTCAGGAGAGTCACTTGAACCCAGGAAGCGGAGATTGCAGTAAGCCAAGATCGTGCCACTGCACTCCAGCCTTCATCTCAAAAATAAAAATAAAAAGAATATGTATGGTAACTAAAAGATTGATTTTTTTTTTAGTGTCCATTTGAAATTGGTAGTTGAGAGACCAAAAATCCAAAATGTCTGAAGGACAATAGGCTTGTGGAATTTTGTAATTTTTTTTTTATTTCTATAATCCTGTTTCTGCAATTTCTTCCTTAATGTAGACCTTCCCTATATGAAAATGCAGCCACTTCTGGCATGGTTTAATGGTTTTCAGTAAGGCTACTGATAATAATCATTAGAGTTCTGTTTATAACTGAGAAACAGACTATTCACATAATCTAAGAATTTCAAGTGGTGCTAAGGAGGGCTGAAGAAAAGTAGTTTTCATGCCAGCAAGGAAATTTGACACTTGTTCCGGTTGTTTTAGAACCATACAAGTGGGAATCCGCCAAATATCGTGACACTATGGGGCTAACAGAGGTTAAAAAAAATTACCAAGCTGCCGTTGATTGCATCATAGCAGCATAAAAGAAAATAATAATATATATAGGCTTTGCCACTCCCAAATCTTGATGGTTAATGATTGTATGAGATAAGAGCCATACGAATCAAGAGAGTATCCACAGGTCCAAGAACAGTGAGCTTATCATCAGGCAGATCTAGTTTTGAAGACTTAGCTCTGCTTCTTATTTTAGTGGCCTTTCATGATTACTCCTCTGAGCTTCAGTTTTCTCATCTGAAAACACAGAGATTAAAATTTCACTAACCCCATATAATTGTTTTGAGAATTCAATGTAATAATGCATGTGGCTTTCAGCACAGTACCTGGCACATAGTGATAATTCAATACATGTTAGTTATTATTGTTATTATTACCCAAGAGCTTTGGATTTCTGTATACAGCTAAATTCTGCAGGCTAATAGGCCTGAATTAAATGACTAATAAAGGTGGAGGTGGGGTTCCTCTTGAGCCTTAGACCTCTGAGACTGCTCTATATTCCCAAGAAGTTCTAAACTTCAGTTATTTTTGGATTTGAACTGTTACTTTTAATAATACCGGTTTGTATCAGCTAGAGTAGAAAGACTAGAGTTGTGTCCTTCGGGGAGATAACCTACATCTCAGGTAACCCATTTCTGTTTATTTTTTGTTATTCACATTACGGATACAGAGCTCGTGGGATAAACTGTCTTAGGCTTCATTACCAATGAAATTATATCAACAATAACTACCTGGAATGGCTGTGCCTATTGGCTTTTTTACTTCTGCATCTATTCTTTCCTCTCTTGCCACCCAAAGCAATAATGAGATTTCACAGCTGGATTCTACTTAAATATCTATGGCTGGTGAAATGGACAGTAATCTCCTATCTTGGTCATTTACAGGTTAATGTTATACCAGAACAGACTGTATAGAGATCAGCTATTTTGGCCCAACTAAGTATTCATTCAGGCAAGGAGAAATCTCCAAGCATCCAAGTCAGTGTTGAGTTGCTTGAGAAGGCAGTCAGTAGAAACAATAACTAATTTGGATGAATAGCTGAAGCTAAATAAGACACGTTACTAAAACTTCATTCCAATTTCTTAGATTATAATATTTGATATATTTATGAAGCACACGCAAATCATGAGAACCTTTCAATCTTTAAGATTCCATTTCATAGATTATTTATGAACGTCTTATTGCAGAATCCCATTTATACCTCCATTAGATTTCTAGCTAGGTGATTGTACAGTTCACACAACATATGTCTTACAAAATTTTACCGTGTATAAGCTAATGTATCCCCCTTTCCCGTATGTCTACTTAGGCACTTCCTGGTTTGGAAGAAGTACCTCTCATCAAAGGGGAGAGAAGTCAGTGGAGTCAGCTACGGCTGGAAAGAAGCTGGTAGTATTTAGTCACGAGAAGTTACAAATGTCAAACAGAAAGCAATATCTAGGAAAAATAATAACTTAATAATCATGAACTTGTTACCGACTGTGGCTGAGATTCTGCTAGGTGCTGAAAGTAGAATAACAAATCCCTGTGGTACTGGGTGCACCTATTCCCAAGGCTTACTCACTGTCCTATAATATCTAAGAGGTTGTAATAGAAATCATCTCTTGCTCTTATGCATTCAATGACAGCATGTGATTTTTCTACATATGGTCTAAGTTTACTTTCGTGTGAGATATATAGGTGGCTCTTACCTTCCTGACTTAGCATTGGATATCTGATCTGGAGAGTATAACTGGAACATGAACTCATATGAGATCTAACTATCCTAACATCTGTGTTTTTTTCCTTTGGCTCTCATTTTCAAGGCTGGATCTAATGAGAAGGGCCCAGAATTGTTTGAGCAAGATGAGGGCCTTTGAATAAGTATGGAACTTCAAAATTGGATAGCTTTGGAGGACAAGACACATCTGAGTGTATAAGTTCTGAAGAATTCGTCCAAAAGCATGTTATGTAATATGTTCATGATCCCCTGTTAAAAAATTAGCCAGGAAATTGTAACTAATTTTTAGGAAATTTCCTCTCCTGTTCAATGAGGCAACTAGCAGAATAGTACCCTTGATACACGGTATATGTGCCCAATGGAAGTACACATATCTGCAAACCTGATTATTCATATAACGTGTATCATTTCTATAAATATATTCCATCATTAATAGTCTGTGGCTGCCTATCACTAGCTGTTAAGATAGATTAATTACACTACATTTTCACTGGAGTTAACACTGTGTGCATGTCCCTCAAGCAACCTCAGAGACAAAACCTGTCCAACTTAGGATGCTGTCTCCCCTAGGAGACACAACACACACTCTTATTTCAATGTTGAGACTAGTTTCCATTGAATTCCCAGCGAGGCCTCACGTGATCCTACCTAATGATGCTGACGGGAAGTGACCCAATTCCGAAGCTCTGAACATCATTCCCTTGAGAATGAGGCTCCGATCTCAAGTTCGGCTGGGGAAGTGGTACCAAGGTGCAGAGCTAACTTAAAGTTAGTTATCCCGTATCTTCCTCTACCATGAAAGAGAATTCATATCAGACAAATTTAGGTTATTGACTGGGTTCGCAACTGATTCCAGGCCTTATTTTAAGAAATGAGCTTAAAGCACATGCTTCTTTTATTGACCTGCTTCTCTAAGGTCACTGACTGACATCAAACCATGAAGGAGTGCCCAAAATAAGAAAGCCTGCTTTAATGGACAATGCAGGGTTACCTGATAGATTTCAACACTTAATATGTTGAGTTTCCACTATTTCCTTTTTGTTGTTGTTTTGTTTTTTTTGAGACAGTCTTGCTCTGTCGCCCAGGCTGGAGAGCAGTGGCTCAATCTCGGCTTACTGCAACCTCCACCTCCCAGGTTCAAGTGGCTCTCCTGCCTCAGCCCCGCCAGTAGCTAGGACTGCAGATGCACACCACCACGCCCAGCTAATTTTTGTATTTTTAGTAGAGACGGGGTTTCACCATGTTGGCCAGGGTGGTCTCAAACTCCTGACCTCAAGTGATCTGCCTGCCTTGGTCTCCCAAAGTTCTGGGTTTGCAGGCATGAGCCACTGTACCTGGCCCCACTGTTTTCAATAGACTATGTTATTAAGCTTGTAAGAAACAGAGTTATAAATGAGACTGATCATTACCCTCAAGGACCCCACGGTTTAGAGGAAGACATAGATAATATGCACTCCAATAATCATAATGGAAGTCAGAACGTGATAAATACTAAAACACAATAGGGTGCACACACATTTCTAAAATCAATTTCCTCGTCTCTATTGGTATTGCCATCCTCCTAATTTGTAGATATGCTTTCCCTCTCTTGTCTGGACTATCAGTAGCCTTCATACTCGTCTGCTTGCCTCCAATCTTACTCTAAATCACCTTCCACGTAGCTATAGGAGTTTTTGTCCTTAGAAAGCATGTGAATATGGTCCCATTGCCTACGTGCTTAGAATCCTCAATGGCTCCTCATCGCCTACGGGATACAACCTGAACTCCTTTGAGAGGCTTGTCAGGCTTTTCTTCCTGATCTGACTCCTACCTTCTTACTCAGCTTCATTTTCCTCCTTTTCCTCAGTTACTGCTCCACTCCAGCCGTACAAAATTACTCATACCCTTCCCTCACACCTTTTCACAATCTTCTGCTTAGATTGCTTTTCTTGCTCATCTTGGTCATTTGAACTTCGTATCATCATTTAAGCTCTGCTCCAACAGTACTGTGCCCATTATTCCAGGACTAAAATCGGGTGCGTATAGAAACTTGTGCTTGCCTCTGTTATGGTCCACAGCATCCTATGCTGTAATTGCTGGCTTGCAAGTGTGAAGTGTGAAGGCAGTGGCACCAATGTCTTTGAGGAGATGAGCCTGTCTTATTTGCTTTTGTGTGCCAGATGCATAATAGGTACTTGAAATAGTTTGTTGAATGAATGAGTGACACAAAGTGCAGGGGAAAGAGTAATTATCACTCACCAAAATATTCAGGGAGAGCTTTGGAGAACATATACTTGAGCTGGTCCAGGAGAAGGAAGAAGCATTTCAATTAGCAGAGATGAGACAAAGTTATTCCTAAAAGGGCACACACCATGTGCAGAGGCCCTTAGACTACGCCCTGCACAATCTGTGAAGGAACCTCTGGAGTCTGGTATTAGTTTTATTCATGAAGGGTTTCTTTGGCTGACCAAATGAATCCCTATTATTCAGGCAGCCCTCACCCGAAGAACCTCAGCTGTGACTCAAGAAAACTTGTTGAAGGACTGATAGTTTCAGGACTTCAAATGCATTACGGAGGCAGCACATTTTGCCCTATCTTGCACACTTTGCTTGGCAAAATATCACTCCTAAGATAGAGCCAGAGTCTAATTCTAGCTTCTGTTACCGTTCATCATGACTTTCTCAGGTGCTCTGTCTAATGGATTAAGCTCTCTATCATGAAACTATTTTTTCCACTTAGATATATCTATTATTATTAGATGAGTAAAAATATCTGCTTAAACTGAATATTGGCCACAGAATCAGAGTTGATCCTGGAGGGAGAAACCTCATTATTAACTCCCTTTAAAAATAAAAATAGAAAACATATAGTAGGGCTGTTGACTTTATTCTGTCGCTTCAGGGACTTGGCTTTTTGGAATGTGGAATCTTAAGAGTCATTTTGAAGCATTTGCTTACTGGAGTCAGCTTTGATAGGGTGGGTTATGGTTTCAGGAACTGAGTAGTGACAGGCTTTGATAATTCTGAATAAAGACTTCAGTAATGTCTATACAGTTAAAATAATGCAGGAGACTGGTATACTGCCGGGATAATTCAGCTCATGTAGATTCATCTAGAATCCAATCTTTTTCCCTCCAGTCCATTTGCAGGTTTATTTCCTGAATGGTCTAGAAATTGCTTTTATTCTGAAATTCAAGACAGCCAAAGTCATAAGAAATGTCATTTTACTAACAATATGATTTGAGGCTAAGTACAGATTTAGATGATAGGTGTGAAAGTTTAACTTTTCTTTTTTTTAAAATAAGTCATCTGCACGGCATGGCATTTTGGATGTTATTGACTGTGGTGCTGAGAACTCACGTGGCCAGTGCAAAATGGGAAGATACAAAGATATTAAAATGCAGACATTGGCAGCTGTCTTGTTCCCCCTCTATTGATAGCCCTTCTTTCCTTTGCAGGTAATTTTTACTCTCCTGGAATGCCTTTTTACTGATTCATTTTCATATTCGCCTTCCAAATCTGGTAATATTTATTCAGACACCAAAATACATCAAAGGCCTATATTAGACATGGAAGACATAGAAATTCATTCATTCATTCATTCATTCATTCATTCATTCATTCATTTATTCCACAAAGTTTTATCGCTCACCTGCCATGTACAAGGTATGATTCCTGCAAACAAGGAAATTATAGTGTAAAGGTGAGAGAAAAGAAAGCCAGCAAGACCACTTGGGGGCTGCAAGTACTGTGCCAGGATTATGATTCATTGTGATGGCTTATAAAAAAGTCTGTGGTTGCATCTAACTGTGTTGGTGACCATGAAATGCATATCAGGAGGGTTTTCTACAGGATGCACCTATGAATTGCACTAATCTACTGTGAAACTCCTCATTGATCTGATTGACCAGTTCCATATTATTTAGAAAATATTAGCTTGTCCTGCCCTTGTTGCTTTTATTATTTCCATATTACAGCTAAAAAATAAAAGTGGAAAAGTGGTGAAGTCTTTAATTCTTTCAAGTGTATTCATTATACGGTATAAGATTAAGATTGAAAATACTTCAAGGGTAGGGTCTATAATTTTTTTTCTTTCTGAGTTTTTCTTTTTAACTTTTGAGATTCCATAGGGATTACTAAGTTTTGGGGCTCAAAAGTAATTGCTTACTTACTAAAAGTATGTATTTATTAAAAATACTTATTAAATAAACATTTGCACACACATTTCCTTAGTTTTGATGTCAGTTGTCTCAAAAATTGTCCCCATTTGCCTCCTCACTGTGGAAAGGTGCTTGCAGGTGACCCAAATAAGGACTGACAGCTACTTTCTGGTAACCAGTGTTTCTGTCTCTAGGAATAGATTTTTCCCTGAAGATTGAAAAAAAAAAAAAAGACTAGCAACATTATCTAGTTCATTGGTGCTTATCCTCTCTCCATAGGAAAAATAAAGTACATTATGCACATATGCAAAATAGTACATACACTTCCATGGTGTTGAGAGACTCACTCTCTCTCCCTCCATGCCCGTATTTTATAAGCTCTCCAAATATAAACGTGCGGATTCAGACTCAAGAAGTGCAGGTTCAAGTCTCCTCTTTGTCATGAACTCGTTGGTTGCCATTAGGTATCACGTAATAGCTTTGCACTGTTTCCTTTTCTTTCTAAGTTGAGTAGTAGATCCTCTGTCTCCTAGAGTTGTTAGTAGATTAAACTGAGATAAAGTATTGGAGGATACTTTGAGGAAAAAAAGCATTAAATATATATATTAACATTAGAGATAATAATGCTAATAAAATGAAGAATGATTTAGGATATTACTGCAAAGTAGTTTGTTTAAAAAGAGGGCAGCCTGGTTGGAAATCTTCCCAGGAGAGCCATAGAAAATATGTTAGGGTAAGAAATAAGACTGACCTTGATTTCAATTAATGAAACCACTTGGTTTTTAAAAAAATCTGAAAAGGATTCTTATTAGACTTATTTGTAACCATTACTGCAGTATAGACACAGATGCTCCTCATGAGTTCCTAGAGGGCGCATATGCATCAGAGTTCCAAGGAGTCAAATTCTTGGCAAGTTTTTAAAAATACTATAGTCTTTTTCAAGCTTTAAAATGTCTGTTCAGAAACATTCTAACTCAAAGAATGCTAAAGCAGAAATTCACCATATTGCTTCACAGATATTTTCTTCCTTCCTAATTTTTAATATCAGGGCGCTACTGAAGATTGACGGATCTCAGTGGATAGCTCTATCCCCTGAGATTGCTTGACAATCACCCCAAGAAGTGATTCCTCCCAGAGGGATTGGTGAGCAGTCTGCTCTTAGCACCCAGCAGCTTTCAGGACTAAAAAACTCAAAAATTTTAAAATAAATGTTATTTGCATCCTTACCCCTTAAATGATAAATATTCTCTAACAAATTATACATCATCTGCAAAATATCCAAACCAGAAACAGCAGACATATGCATTTTCTTCTCTTCTTCATGTTCTTCCCCATCTTCTCATTATCCTCCTTCTACATAAACTGAGCTTTGATCCGATCCATAATAAACCTCCACAGGCACTTGGTCATATACCTGGCCTGGAGGGAAAGAGAATAACTCATACTGAATGAGAACCCAGGACACTCAGCAACCCTTCTGGGCAAGAGAAATCTAATTTTATGTTGTTTTCTAAATTCTGGCTCATTCTAGCCTGGGAACAACAACAACAACAAAATTGATAGGCAGATGCAGTGAGCTAGAGATAAATAGCCCAAGTACGGAGGCAGACATGCAATAAATAAGTCCATTGATGTGGAGCCTCTCTATATAAACAGCTGCTCAAGTTGGTTGGACATGAAGACCCAGCTGTTAGCTAGACAGGAGTTGAGTAGGTAGAGAAGAGGTAATTGGATACAGTAGGTAAAGGGATTGACTTGGTCATTTATACAAGTGTGCACTCCCCATTGTCATTTCAGAGAATAAATGCCCAGATAACCAACCGCAGTCTGTATGCGCCATCCATCCACCTGTAATGAGGTCTATGAATCATGTTCCTCCTGAAAGACAGCCTGATCTATCACTGCATTTGACAGCTGTCAATCACAGCAGCTGTCAGGAGCCCATTTGCCATTACTCTTATGATATTCATCAAACCCAATTCAACAACAAACTCTCTGTGAAAGTGCAGATGCAGATTGCAATCACTCAACTGCATTAGATTCCCATACAATTTGTTTTCCATTATTGCTCTGGTGAAGCTTTATTCCATTAAAAGACATCAGAGTGGACTATATTTAACCCAGAAAATTGACAGTGCTTACTAAGAGGTAATGAGCTTGGCTCAAACTGCAGACTTTCTCGGTGAAACTGAGAGCGATATCACTCCTCATTCTACACAGGAGGCAGACCTCCAATGCTTCTCCACATGTATGAGCTAGCCTGTCTACTATGGTATATATGGGAAAACTAAAAATCCTAGGGGTGTTGAGGCTGCCAAGAAATTGAAAATGGATCTAATACTGTTACTTTGTCAGAATTTTTTTAAAAAATTTATACAGGCTGGATGCAGTGGCTGATGCCTGTAATCTCAGCACTTTGGGATGCCAAGGAAGGTGGATCACGAGGTTAGGAGTTTGAGATCAGCCTGGCCAACATGGTGAAACCCCATCTCTACAAAAAAAAAAATACAAAAATTAGCTGGGCCTGGTGGTGTGTGCCTGCAATCCCAGCTACTCTGGAGGCTTAGGCAGGAGAATGGCTTGAACCTGGGAGATGGAGGTTGCAGTGAGCCAAGATCATGCCGCTGTACTCCAGCCTGGATGACAGAACGAGATTCTCTCTCGGACAAAGAAAAAATATATATACAGAGTAATAATATATTTTTTAGTGTTTTTCCTCTAGCCAAATTCCAAAGTATTTTATGGTTGTGTACAGCATGTGGGGATATCGTGTTGCTTCACCATGACCTAAGGCATCTCTAGAAGGAAGGAGAGACGGGTAGCGCCCAGGTGAAGTAATGTAATAGCTCCAAAGCCGAATGTGATAAGCAGATGTTCCCAGAATGGCCTTTGGCCCCAGTTTTCATTTTCATGTTTTTATACTGGATGTGCCTTGAAAACAATTTATTCTTAAGCCTGTGGAGGATTTGAGGTTTCTTTCTGAGAATTACAGGCTTCCCTCCAACTTTTATGGACTTCTTCAGCATCTTCTTTTCATGGGGCTTAGTGATAGGCACGGGGTAGGTGTAATATCAGGGTGTGACCAGTTTTGGTGAGAAAGCTTTCTTCTTACAGGAGAGGCACAACAATTCTGTGCAATAGAGAGGATAGGTATATTATTATCTTTATTTTAAAGTTCTGGAAACCACGGTATAGTTTGCTTCCTTCATTGGGTGACACAGCAAGTAAATGCCAGAGCCAGAACTTAACCTCAGGTTGCCTGACTTTGAGTTCTTTTCTGATGAAGTTCATTGCTTCATAAGATGTGCAAAATTTGCAATTCCTCAATGTCTCTCTGGAATCACTGGAGTCTGGCCCTTTCTCAACATGTGATTCCCTTTCTAGAAATCCATGCTCTCCAATTCCACTCAATCTAGATCCTAGGCTAAGATCCTTGGCCACCAGTATAGGGAACTGTGACAGATGCTTCCTGACCAGCGTACCAAGCCAGGCCCTCAGACACTTCCACCTGTAGAATTTTTCTTGTTTCTCAATTAATTTTTCTTCTTTTCTTGGTTACTGAGTCCCACATTCAGCTCTTTGTCTATTGTTCAACAACCTCTAACTACTTCTTTCCTTTTGCACATTTTAGGTTCCTATCACATAAAATCACTGTTTATTTGCCTAGAATGGACAAAATGTGACATCAAGTTTACAATCAAACAACATTTAAAAATTTACACACAAAAACACAAAGCCACAAAGCTAGTGCCCCTCCTCTCTCGTCTCTGTTGACACTGCTACAGGTGAGGGTAGCACCACAAGCTGTAGTACTTACTTCCTGGATATAGAAGGTATCAAGGTAGCAAGAATCATGAGGTCTTTTTAAAATATGAAGTTATTTGGTTTTTTTGGAAATTATTGCAAATTGTTTCCAAAGGAGTACCTGGGAAGAGATACTCATATATAGGTAGATGCCGTATAGCTCTAAAATTGTTCTCTGTTTCTAAGAAGTGCTTTGTTTCCTACTTCAACTAGTATGTTTAAATGGAAACTTTTGTCTCTTCTGACCAATGTGTGGCTCAAGGGTCCTTTTAGATTTACGTATGTAATTAGTCCAGGGATAGATGTCAGACATTTCATACGCACTTGACCATCACAGTCATTCTTCAGGATTTTGAACTTATGGCAAAAAAAGTATGTTTCTTAATCTGAGTGTGTGTGTGTGTGTGTGTGTGTGTGTGTGTGCATTGACCTGGCAGCTATTGGAACCACTAGAATACAAGCTCTTCAGAGCAGAGATGTTCTGTGCACTAATATTCCCCAGTTCCTACAATAATGCATGATATATTGTTGAAATAATTAATTAAAGAAAAGATGATTATTTCCTCCCATGTGGAAGAAACAGACATGGAAGGATGAGGCTGATGTGTAGAGAGAGGGATAGAGATGAAGAAGGACCCTTCAGTGTTTGAATCCCTTGTCCATTTTCCCTAGGATTCCTGTCTCTGACACTGCCCTTCTCTGGGTTAAGAGAGCTGATAGTGTCTTTTATCTAAGCTGTTTTGAATTTGGATTCTGTCACTTGCAGGCAAAAATATCCTGTATTACATGCCTAAGTACACCCACAGGCAATTTAATATCAACCCAAACTATTTCTCTCTCTCTCTCACTCTCACTCTTTCTTTCTCTCTCTCTCTCTCACACACACACACACGCACACACATTTATTTATTGTGGAGGGAGAGGAATGTGCTATGTGGGGGGCAGGGTGGCATGACTGGATTGGTGTAAATATTAAAGTGACCTTGACCTTGAAGTAAGGTTGATGAGTAACTGAAAGGAAAGCTTTTGGAAAGTGCATAGGAGGCCATTCCAACTGGCAGGACAGCCTTTAAGGGGGAAACTTGATGTGGGACAAGGAGGATCTTTCTTGGTCAAAGCTGAGAGTGAAGACCAAGGCATCATAGGAAAGAAAGCCTAATTGCTGGGAATGCAGCAAAGGGTTTAGAAGGAAGCTGCATGTAAGACCAAGCATTCCTACATTGGGGTTTGCTTCCCTCACCTTATCTCTTGTCTCTGTTTCTGTCAATGGGATAAAGTCTCTTGATGGATCAAGATGTCTTCAATACCATGTGTACCATGAGGAATCAAATGCATGTTCCAAATGACTCCCTTGTGCCTCATGCACCTGACAGATTTGTATCTCTTGTCCAGTTACTAGACCTTTATTACTCCTCTAAAGACAGATTAAATTCAAGGAGTTGTTTCTAGTCCAACATTTTTCTAGAAAGGGGCCAATCAGAGAGTTACTAAACTGCACTGTGTCCCATAGAGGCTCTTGGCAACTGAGACCCTGCCTCCTCCACTGACTAATACCGCTGAATGTTCATCTCATTAATTTTCTTAGAGTGTAACGGACGATATAATGCTACAAAGCTTCTCTCAGAACATGCAAACCTTAAAAGCTAAGTGTGAGGTAGGTGTGTGTATGTGTGTGTGTGTGTGTGTGTGTGTGTCTACATCCAGTTCTAAAGACAGCACCCAAGCAACAGAGTCTTTAGCAAAAAATTCAAAACGCCAAGCAATTTAAATCTCCAATAGAGGTCGGGTGCTTTGGCTCACACCTATAATCCCAGCACTTTGGGAGGCCGAGGCAGGCAGATCACAAGGTTAGGAGTTCAAGACCAGCCTGGCCAACATGGCAAAACCCCATCTCTACTAAAAATACAAAAATTAGCTGGGTGTGGTGGCGGGAGCTTGTAATCCCAGCTACTTAGGAGGCTGAGGCAGGAGAATCATTTGAACCTGGGGAGGCAGGAGAATCATTTGAACCTGGGAGGCGGAGGTTGCAGTGAGCTGAGATCACACCATTGCACTCCAGCCTGGGCAACAAGAGTGAAACTCTGTCTCAAAAAAACAACAAACAACAACAACAACAATAAAAACTCCAATAGAACACATAATGGAAACAGAAAAAGGGAAAGGAATGGAAAGGGAGGGAGAGAAGGAGAAAGGAAGGAAGGAAGGGAGGGAGGGAAGGAAGGACGGAGGAAGGGAGAGAGGAAAGAAGGAAGGGCGGCAAGGCGGGAGGGAGGAAGGGAGGGAGGGAGGAAGGGAGGGAGGGAGGAAGGAAGAAAGGAAGGAAAGGGGAAGAGAAGGAAGAAAGGAAAGGAAGGAAGGAAAGACGGAAAGAAGGAAGGAAAGGGGAAGAGAAGGAAGAAAGGAAAGGAAGGAAGGAAAGACGGAAAGAAGGAAGGAAAGGGGAAGAGAAGGAAGAAAGGAAAGAAGGGAAGGAGGAAGGAAGGAAAGAAAGGGGGAGGGAAGGAAGGAAGAAAAGGAAGGAAGAAAGGAGGGAGGGAAGGAAGGAATAAAGAAAGGAGGGAAGGAGGGAAGGAAGGAAGGAAGGAAAGAAAGGGGGAGGCAAGGAAGGAAGAAACGGAGGGAAGGAAGGAAGGAGGGAGGGAGGGAAGGAAGGAATAAAGAAAGGAGGGAAGGAGGGAAGGAAGGAAGGAAGGAAAGAAAGGGGGAGGCAAGGAAGGAAGGAAGAAAGGGAGGGAAGGAAGGAAGGAGGGAGGGAGGGAAGGAAGAAAGGAACGAAGGAACAAAGGAAGGAAGGAAGGGAGGGAAAGGATACAAAACATGCACCAGTCAAGTGTGACATTTCTGTGATCATTTTAGCTTAATTGCTGCAATACTATACATTGCAAATCATTTAGCCTAGAAAATCTCCCCTGATCCATCACCTCTTAGGTAATTACTGCTTCATTATGCTGAGTTAATAATGATCCATTTACAATCATGGAATGGATTAACTCCCAGCACAGAGAACTATAACAGAGGCCGATTCTGCTGGCACCTCTTCCTGTCAGCTGGCCTCAGGAGGAGTTTTCTGTAGCACACAGCTTTCACAAAAGATCTGCTGAGTGAACACCAAGTGCTAATTGGAGAAGAGAGTAGAGAGAAGAGGGTTAATAGTAGAGAAAAAATATTATGACAATATTAAGTAAGTCAGATTGCTGTCTGTCAACTCTTTAAATGAAAGTGAACTGGTTAACGAAATCATTACCTTTTTTCCTTGGGTATTCAAAACTGTGCCTGATTTCCGAAAAAGCCCAAAACCTCTGTTCTTAGCTTAGAAACAGGGTTAAAGCAATAGTCCTTGGGGCCTTATGAAACTTTGAACCTCAAGCCCACCTTTTAGCTGGAAGGTGTTGAGGGCAGGGGCTCATGGAAAGCACGGGTGATGGAGTGCTTTGTCCGCTCCACATATAAAAGGGAAGCCAGCAATGAGAAGAATCAGCAAAGATATAAGAATGAGATTTGATGAAATGGAGAGGAGGAGGCAAGTACTGGAAACAGGAGAACGGTGCCTTCTCACATCAGGTGGAGCCACTGCAGCATGATGTGCAAGCAACCTCTATGATTCCCGATTCAAGGTTAATCAGAACACCATGTCCAGAGCTCCCTCTTTTACTGGGAAAGTAAAATGAAGACAGCTTACTCCTCCACCCCTCACCTCCCAACACTATCCCCAGGCCTTTGGGAAAACTCATGTTTCTTTGTTCTCATCTACTTCCCACCCACTGCTTATCTGACTTTGGCTTGGCCACTTCCTGGTTGATTAATTGATTGATTCCTTCATTCATTCTTCATTCGCACATGTGTTCAAATGTTTCATGGAGTTATTTCCTGTACATCAACCAGTGTCAGAAGACCTTTACTGAACTTTAGATAATGAAACAGCACAGGTAGTGGACGCCTGTACCACACTTGTGTAACTATTGTGTCTGGTACGGGCAAGGTCGCAGTTTCACATCAGTCAGTGCTTGGCAGTCCCCTTGGGGGGTGCTATGTCCAGTGCATGCTGTCCTCTTTGCAAGGGCTAGACAGGACCCAGAGGACTGTCAGAAGCAGATGGTGGGATACTGGAAGAAAGAGACTTTCTACATGCCAGACTGGGTTTAGGTGGACTGGGTATGTTAAACCCAGAGAAGAGAGGACTTCGATTCGAGATTGCAACTACCTTCGCAAAACAGAAGACCCACGGTGACTGTAAGCTTTATTGTGAGAGTCAGTGTTCCTGCTGGTTTTACTAAACTAGCCAAGTTTTCAGCATTTTCTTTGCATGGAGCACTGTATATTTTCTATATATAATGTTAGATACTCTGCATTAATGCATTGAAATAAATATAATCCATTTTTTACATGGAAAAACTGAGGCTTACAGAAGTAAATAAGTTGCCAAGGGTCACCAGTTCTAACATAAAGAGCTAGAATCTAAAGCCACGACTGTTGGATTTAAAATGACCTACTCTTAGTCACACTGTTACTGTGACTACAAATTATTAAGATCATGCGTATAACATGAAAAACCATAGTAAATGCTCCGTAAATAGACCACATCTTCTCTTTCTTCTTTCCTTGCATTCTTTCTTTTTAAATTAGAGGTGGTTGCTTATTGTGGATAGAGGAATGACTAGCAAAAAGGGTAGAAAGTGTTAAAAGGAACACATTTTATTTCCATTTTAAAAATTTATTTTTTTCTTTTTAATTTTTGTACACACATCGTAGGTGTATATAATTATGGGTTACATGAGATATTTTGATACGAGCATGCAATGCATAATAATCACATCAGCGGAAGTGGGGTATCCATCATCTCAAGCATTTATCCTTCGGGTCACCAATAATTCGATAAGAAACACATTTTAAAGACCTGAGAACAGTCCCCTTTCGGGAGGGTCTCCCTCATGAGGTGGTTCCTGTCCCCCGGTTGGAGATACTCATGCACAAGCAGCTCTGTGGCTGTTTTTGTGAAGATGCTAGTAGAAGGCACTTGGCTATTGAATAGGGACTTGCCCTAGAGGCCCTTAGCTTTCTTCTAACCCCCATGTTCCACGGAGGACTTCACTTTGCTTTGGCAACATTTAACCCCCTATTACCAGGTATGTTTCTGGACTGCAGGTGACTACCAATGAGCCAGTATTCTTTGTCAGCAACATTGTAAGTGTTCTTTTATAAGAAAATGGGAAGCGGGTATGGATTATTAAATACACCTGTATGTTTAAGGCGAATCACTGATTCAGCATATCCAGAGTGGCAGAGCAGCCTCTTGCCTAAGAGTGAGTGTGTGTTTTAATAATCTGTTACTGTTTATTTGACACATGGCTGTCTGGGTAAATTTAAATGATGTGTATTTAGGAACCTTGATATAAACCACTACCTTAGAAACATAGTCATTTATCAGGGACTAAGTTGTTGTTAATAACCTTCCCCAGGGGAATTGCAAGCAAATGGTTATGTATTTGGTGATATTGGGCCTTCAGTCAGACACTCTGGAAAACTTAATCTTCCATTTCAGAAGAATAATAGGATGTTATATGGTAGAACAGTGACAGGGGCTGCAAAATAGACTGCATTATTTTCTCACAGCATTAGGACAAAGGCAGGATTGGGGTGCACATGAATTTGGATTCAAAATGAGCTTGGTTTTGTGCTAGAAGAATCCTTGTAAAGACAAGTTGAGAGCTTTCTCATGGAAAGAATCATTGATTGTTTCAGCTGTAGGCGAATTTGAAAATCATCTAGTCTAATGTGACAGTCGAATACTTTAATTTTTACTGATGGAGAAACTCTAGCACAGAGAACTGTAGTGGGGGGTAGGTGGAGGATTCCTGTTCAAAGTGTCAGAGTAAGCAATGGAGGAAGCCAGGGTGGAGGAATGCCAAGATTCCATCCTTCATGGAGACTTCAGCAACCATGTAAATATAAAACAGTGAAGTAGCAGCACCACGCATGTGAGCAAGTGGCTTTGCCAGGTGATACAGTCAGGAACTGCAGAGATCCCCAGGGACTGGGATAAACAAGGGACACCTCATGGAGGACGTAAAGGTTTGAAGTGTCTTGGCCTGCAGATGACCCTCAATTATCAAAGAAGAAACCCCAGGGCATTACTGATGCAGAAAACGTTGGTGCCAACTTGGATGTAGGGCCAAGCATAGCGTAGTTGGGAAATTGTCTGCCCTGAGCAGGCATGGAGCAGGGGAAGATGAGATGGGACAGATAGAAGCACCAGCAGGTACCACGGCAGTGTCTGAGTGAAGGACAAAAAAAGTCCCGACATCTAAGTATCTATGTGATTTTAAACTTTTAGAATTTTACAAATGTTGTAGCTGTATCTGCCTAGATAACGTAGGACCTGATAATTATAAATATTTCTGGTGGAGGACTTTCATGATTTTATCCTCAATCAGGGTATTGGGTGGAGGGTAACTGAAACGTCACCCCCTCTGTGTGAATGAAGCCTTTTCCAAAACGTCTTCTGCTTAATTAGTTTGCTTACTGCCAGAGTAACAACTTACACATTGTCTCCAAGTTTCTCCTTTGTCTCTACCTCCCCTGATACTCTTTGTTATTTAGGCTGACACCATGGATGAATAATCTTGCTATCTCAGACATCTAGCACAGTTTTCAGGAAATAATAAGTGCTCAAAGTATATTATGAGGATAAATGAAAAATAATGAACATTATGTATACAGTACTTTCTATTAATAGTTTTCTAAAGTGTTGCACATCAATTATCTTTTTAAATTCTCACAATTTTTCTGGAAAACAGCTCTAATTACTATTCACATTTTAAAGATGGTGAAGCTTGTTCATAGAGGTTAATTGTCTAAGATCATGCAACTAGCAAGTGACAGAAATAGGGAGTCTTATAACTCCAGAGTCCTATGGTCTTTTGCAGGGTGGGAGCAGATTATCTAGAATAATTGCCTTAAAATTATTTTGCTCCTGCAGACCCAGCTGTCACACGAGAATGCAATCAACAAACTAATGCACAATGACACTCACCATCTATTCAGCTGCCTAAGCTAAAACTGTCAGTCCTGGTTAAACCTGTGTACGATTGGGCACACAGCCTTGGGATAAGTGGGACAACTGAAGTATAGACAAAGGGGCCTTGGGATCACAGAAGAGGAAACTATCAGCTCTGAGTAAGGAAACCTGGCCAGTTCTTACTGAGAGCTTAGTGATAGATGAGAACGTTAGAGGATCAATAGAAACCTGGAGTGCTAAGAAAGGAAGAAAGTTTTGCTGGATTTGATTGAATGATTTGAGTCTAAAAACAAGGCAGTGTGAATATGTAAACATGTCTGAGTACTTGCCAGGGGCCTGGGGGTTGGAATGGCAGGTGAGTCGTGGATTATGGAGAAAGATGGTGAGCTTAGAGTGGTCGGGTGATCTAAAGAGCTACACACACCATACCAGGGAGTCTGGACATAACACGGGCAGCACAAGAGCTGTGGAAGGGCTTTAATCTGAGGAATGACTGGGACAGACATGCGCCGTAGGAAGATCATTCTGCTAACTTTGTGGAGAGTGGACAAACCCTGACACACATAGCACTTGGGGAGGTTATCACAATAATCTAGATCAGTGTTCCTCACACTTTAGATTTACATTACCTGGGGATATGGTTAAAATGTAACCCTGATGGAAGAGGTCCAAGTGTGGCCTGATATTCTGCATTTCTAACAAGCACCCAAGTTTTGAGCGGCAAAGAGCTGGGGGAGAGAAAACAAGAGCCCTGCTGAAGCCGTGGTAGCAGCAATGAAGAGCAGGGGATGCCCCGGAGGCACTTCTGAGGTCCCAGGAAAACCAAACTTGACCTTTACATTGTCTAGCTGTGTTCTATCAGGTATTCGCTCATATCTGCAGCCCATAGGTCTTCTTCTGTACTTCTAAGGAGTTTACTATGCCATGAGCTATTTGGACATTCAAGCAGATTTCTTTCTTTTTTTTTTTTTTTTTTAGATGGAGTCTCACTCTGTCGCCCAGGCTGGAGTGCAGTGACACAATCTCGGCTCACTGCAAGCTCCGCCTCCCAGGTTCACGCCATTCTCCTGCCTCAGTCTCCCAAGTAGCTGGGACTACAGGCGCCCGCCACCACGCCCGGCTAATTTTTTGTATTTTTAGTAGAGACGGGGTTTCACCGTGTTAGCCGGGATGGTCTCGATCTCCTGACCTCGTGGTCCGCCCTCCTCGGCCTCCCAAAGTGCTGGGATTACAGGCGTGAGCCACTGCGCCCGGCCTCCAGGCAGATTTCTTTTTTAAAAAATAAAAAGATATCAAATGTGTTGTTATTTCCTGGCTCCCTATGACATTAAAATTCCCTAAAGGTCACAGATTAAATAATAATCGTCTTGCTGCACTCTAGTAAGCACACAGCAGTGGTACTAAAAAATATTTATTCGACCTGGGACGTTCCTGAAACACATAAGAATATTGGCTTTTTTTTGATGTTAAAAGTAAATTATGCTTTTGGTTCTGGGAAAGTAAATGTAAAGCTCACAAGTTAAAGTCAATTTCTGGACAAATATTTTATGTTCAGGAATCATTTGTAGCATGAATAATTATTGAATTTATCTTATTTAATAGAGTTATGTGTTTATTAATAAATGTCCTTCCCCATCATCTCACTTAGAAAATTAAACATAACAAGTTTTTTTATATAAAGAAAATATTCATATCTATGCATTTTTAAGGCAAAGCCTTGAGCACCCATTTGGGGCTCAGCATGCAAACCTAAGGATTCAAGAATTCAGTGAGGACAGGGTGAGTTATGGCCCTTTGAAAGTGATAAAGTCTGATGGTAGGAATGGTAATAGCTGACACCTTTCTTCCTCAAGAGAATGGAAACAAATTGGCTCTAAATTCGATTGAGTTAACTCTGATTCTTTGAAATTGCTTTAGATCCCTGAGCTGGTAGAGTCTGGGCATGAACTTGGCTTAAACTCTAGCAATAAAATGTCCTTTTAGTTCCATTAAGTCTAGAAATGAAAAGGCTGCATGGTCTAAGTAAAAGGTCATGGCTTTTAGAGAAAGACAGATGTGGGTTAAAACCCTCCAGGCCTTATCAGACACCAGAATTATGGAGTAATTGTGGGCAAGTTATGCAACTGTGCCGGGCCTCAGCATCTTCATCCATAAAAATGGTGAAAACCACACTTGTGAGGCTTAGACGAGACCTGGAGTTGTCAGTCCTCAGATATCGTTTCTCTTTCTCCCTCAGTCCTTTTACATTTTGACTTCAAGACCAAAAACTGGCATATGGGCCAACTAAAAGCTCTGATGCTAATCATTATAAGAAAAGAGATTCTTATGTTGTAATAAGCTAAATAGTAGCTTTGGTTTCAAAATGTTCTCTGAATATATAAAATGGCTTATGTTAAAAAAATGTGGGTCATATAAAGCACGTTGAATATTGTTGTATTCTCAATGTTAGGGTAGGTACAATGTTGTGTTGTACAGTCTGCCACCTTTTGGTTGTCTGGATAAAAATAAAATAATATCTTCCTGGAAGATTGATGAGAAAATACAGATATGCCAGTCATTCCCAGTGAGATCACCTCCCATGGAAATTTTCCTAAAGCGGATATTCCCCTTATTTTAACCTTGAGCTGTGTTTGCCTTTGAAATATTCTTTGTTTTCTTTGTATTTTAATATATACTCATTATTGTATTAAATACTCTAGTATTATAGTATTTAATACTATATTCATTAGTTTTGTGGTCACTTACCGTTTTTGGGCCTCAATTAACCAGACACAAAACCCTGTATTCTCAATATGACTCACGACTATTTTAATGAACAAAGTACTTATTTATGCAGTAAAGGGATTCTTTATCAGAAATAGTCTCAATAGGTTTTAAGAAAGTATGTGCAAAAATATAATAATTATAGCCAAAGATACAAATGGATGTAAGAACCTTCAGATATAATTTAGTCTATCCACTCACTCCGTGTGCTGCTGATAGTAACAAGAGCAATATTAATAATCACCCTTATTTTGCATAATAATTTAGAATTTATATAACATATATGCTTCAATTGCTTAGTCTAATGAAACAAATCATCCTGTGATTCACAGATTGAAGCCAGCTCTATCTTTTTCATGAGTAATCTTCATCTTTTATTTGTCCAAGAAATATTTATTGAGCATATAATATGTGCCAGGCACTCTACTAAACTCTAGGATTATGGTAACTGGCAAAGCAGATACATACCTGTTCATAGGGAAATTCTGCTCTAGTGGAGGAATACAGAAAATAACCAAATAAATATAGAGATGATGGGAAGTGTCACAAAAATAAAAAAGCAGAGCCAAGGGAAGACTTTAACTGCTGGAGGAGACATAGAATCGGTGGTCAACGAAGATTTCTTTGCTAGGTGATTTTTTTTTTCCATTAAGTATGTAAAGGAAATGAGAGAGAGCAAGCCAGAGGGCTGTCTTGGAGAAGAGGTTTCCCGACAGAGACAACAGTGAATGTAAAGGGCCCAGGTGGCAGTGTGACCAGCTTGTTGAAGGAGACCAAGGAGACAGGTGTGTCCAGGGCAGAGGAAGCCAGAGAGGATGGAAGGAGATGAGGTCAGAGAGACAGAAGGGAGGCAGAGTGAACCTTGTGGGCTGTGATACTTTGCAACTGATGTGGGCGTCCTCACGGAGTTTTAAACATATGATTCCATTCTCTCTTTTATGTTTCCATTCTTATGATTCCATTCTCTCTTTTATTTTTTATTTTTATATTTTGAGATAGAGTTTCTCTCTTGTTGCCCAGGCTTGAGTGCAATGGCGCAATCCCGGCTCACTGCAACCTCTGCCTCCTGGGTTTAAGCAATTCTCCTGCCTCAGCTTCCCAAGTAGCTGGGATTACAGGCATGTGCCACCACGCCTGGCTAATTTTATACTTTTAGTAGAGATGGGGCTTCTCCATGTTGGTCAGGCTGGTCTCAAACTCCCGATCTCAGGCGATCCACCCACCTCGGTCTCCCAAAGTGCTGGGATTACAGGCCTGAGCCACCGTGCCTGGTCTCATTCTCTCTTTTAAAGGGTTACTCTGTTAGCTTGGAGAACTCGACGGGGTGAAGAGTTGAAGCAGGATGGAATGACCATTTAATTTGTTACCCAAACCAGGGCACATTTGACAGTGAAAATTGAAACTATTTATTACTATGCAGTAGAACTGTAGCAGCCATTGTGCTGGGCAAACCTGGGTGTGTGTTTACCCTAAAGCAGGCTGACCAGTTGGAAGCTACTACATGGCCCTGAGGATGTGATGGTCAGGCAGCAGGCTCCCTGCTTCTGTCAGGCAGTCTGCAAATATTTGCCCTTCTGGAAACACCCTCTACCTGCCTTTGTCTTGCTCTCTGCCCGAAGAAGCTGGCCTATGAGGAAATCTTTGGTGTTCTCCTGTGTCCTATGGCTTCAAGGTGAGTTCAGCCAAAGGGGAACCCCAGCTGGAGATGAAGGGAGGCGCTATGTGTTCCTCTGGCTCCTTTTTTAAAGGTTGCCTTAAATTAGCTGTGTCCCTTGTTCCACCTTTCTAGGCAGCCTGCTAATGTGACCCTTTCCCTTTCCAGTTTCTGGTAGCCTTTCTCTTCCCTTGTAGTTTCTGGTAGCCTTTCTCTTCCCTGATCTCTTTAGTCCTGGAGCTGGCTTCAGTTGCCACTGGCAGCCCAGGGTTCTTCTACCATCCTTTGGGGCCTCCCTATCACCCAATCTGCACCTTTATTGCTAGCCTTTGTGCAGAGAAGTCTTCTTGAATTATCCAAGTTTGGCTGTGCCATCTGTTCTTTATGGGAGAATGCCTGGTACACTGCCCATCCCTGTAGATAGTTCTAGGCATAAATCACTGCAAGATGTGCCTAGCAAATGGGATCTCAGATACACCAGGCCTTGGAGTGGCCTCCATAAATCATAACGTGCATTAATTTCTTAAGGGGACAAAGAAAAAGCAAAGAGGATACTTTTCTTCTGTGACTCCCTTTAAACTCAGGAATTCATTAAGGAGCCCTTGAAAGGAGGCATTCAATACAAATCTTAAAATACTGTTTTTCAACTGCAGCCTGAAAGGACTGTTTTATATTTCAAAATAGGTTATCATGTGCCTTTATAATGAGGAGAGTTTCTCAGCAAAGGCAGCGCCAGATTGTGCCTTTGCCTTTCAAGGAAGTTTCCTTATTTGCACAGCACTGAAAGGGTTTCACCTCAAGAAGGTGGCAGAGAAGAGGCACCGCTGGGTGATGCTGAAGCATAGCTTTGTGATGTTGAAAAAAGGGGATCAGAATAAGAATGATTTAAATCAAAAATAGTTCCTTAGAGTCAGGGTGAACAAAAAAAATTGAGTTTGGTGCCAGATAAAATGCAAAAATCTTCATGGGAACGCTCTGGGTAATAGGGATGTTGTATATTAGTTTCAGTGAACTTGGGAATCTGAGTAACCAGGAAATTTGAAGTCTTGCTCCTCACATTGTCCTGGAGGGAGGGGCAAGAGAGGGTTAGAGGGTTATTACAATCTCTAGGAGCCCAACACTAGAAGAAGACCTGTTGGGAAGCCATCCCTTAAGTCTCCATATTACAAACACTTCATACCTAGCAATGTTTTAGAAATGAATAAATGTTTATCAGGTGAATGAATAATGAATGAAGTAATGGATGAGAAATTAATTTCAGGATACAGGAAAATATCATGCCATCCATGAGGTTTATTGCTTCAAATTGAATTAAATTGGTAAGAAGAATTAGTCAGGAAAATAGACTGTTTCTCATTGTGTAACCTAAATAAATGATTGCTTGTCCAATACTCTTCATATTCAAACTGTTTCTTTGAATTAAAAAATTCTAGTAAAGATTCATACTCTCGTGATGTTCAGATTGTGAAAACATCATTTCTTTTCAACTTCAACTGCTGAATGCATGTTTTTTGATTAATGAGGATAAAAATATTTTATTACCAGGTTTTGCAGGATATTTTAACAACATTCTAAAAGAGAGATGGTTATTCCCTGGAGAGTAGACAGACAGAACTATCAATGGACAGCCCAAGAAAAGGTGTCTAATATTCTTTAGGGGCAAGCATTGTCCAGCCTTGGTAGCAGCAGAAATTTTGCAGGAAGAGGAATGACAGGTTCTCAGAGAGAGAGAGAGAGAGAGAGAGAGAGAGAGCTTGCTGCCTTTTATTCTTGGCTTCCCTATGGATTCAGTCAATGGCTTTGAACCTCAGACTGCATAGAGTCCCCAATTCACTGTTAGTCTTCATACGTTTGCCCCTTAGGACAAATGTAAGTAATTGGATTACTTCTCTCAGAGGCATTAGCATT
The DNA here is from genome assembly GCF_000001405.40 of Homo sapiens. Taxonomy (NCBI): domain Eukaryota; kingdom Metazoa; phylum Chordata; class Mammalia; order Primates; family Hominidae; genus Homo; species Homo sapiens. Next base: position 127,602,906 of record NC_000011.10, read on the forward strand.
TAAGCCTTAGCTCATTGTTGCCCTCAATAAATAAATTTCGAGCCTCAGAAAAGAGAGTTTCAGTGATGAAACGAGTGAAATAATCTTTGTTCTTTAAGCCACAACCCACTGGTGGGACCTATTTGAAAGTAAGACAAAGCCTAGAGCATTCTATAGAGTAAGATAGAACACTGACTCGTACATTGTTCATCATAAATATGATATTCTTCTTACTAATTAACTAATTTAGTTTAATTTTGGCTCTTCACATTTAAAAACATCATCTAATTTGCAATGGGAAGGAACTACATAGATACTCTATTCCAACAAATAAGACTTCCCCAAATCAAAACCTAGTAAGTAGATGATTCTCAACTAGAACACAAATCTCTCAAATTATTGACCCCATCTCTTTCCAAAATACCATCCTGCTACACTTGATCTCTTTTGATCCCCAGTAGTTTTTCATTATACTCCTTTCCCTGCATTGTTCTGCATATTGGTTGTATTAGTTTGTATTCGTGGATATAAACTATCTAGGCAGTGAAGACTCTAAATATATTCTTCTAGCTACTATGTAGCTATTTCCAATGAAAGAGTTTCTTTGCTCCAATTATCTGAGTAATTTAAATACATAGAATCAATCTGAGTTTATACCCAGTGCTAATGCTCAAACCATTTTCTTCCTCCTTTCTGAGTAATAAAAATTTTAAAAGAACAGAAAAAGCATTAAATGAATATATTTTTGCGGTCGTTTGAAGGTCTGTAATGAGAACAGAAAATACATAATTGAACACAGAGTAGTACAAGGTAAGTCATCAGTGTAATAAATTGAAACACACAGTCGTGCAAAGTAATAAACTGGAACACTTTTGTATGAGGTCAGGTGTGTTGCTTTGAAGTTGAACTGCAATTTGCCTTCCCTAGGATGGAACTGTCTCATGATTCTCCATGCTCATTGATCTACAGTCACTTAATGAGGCAAAGGGTGACCAACAGGTAATATAAGAAAATTTGTTATACTACCCACAGGGCTAGAGATCAGCTCAAACCTTGAATATGCAAAATTAGATTTCTTTATTCTTGAGTTGATTATCAGACTAAGTTCATTTACACTGTGACATCTTACAGGTGCCTTAATGTTGCCCCCTGACTTTTATTGCCTGTAAGTATATACAATAACACCAACCACAAATTTTTTTCCAATTGCTCAGTGAACAGCAGATCAGGGATCTAGTCTTAGCTTTACCAAGATTCAGTACATGAAGAAACAAACTTTTCTTCAAGGGCCCTAACTCAAACTGGCCCCTCCAAATCCTCATTCACTCCATATTCCACCATATCTTATAGGGCCATATAGAGCATGAAGAGGTTGGTGCAAGGGATGTTTTCTGGGGCCTTCTGGAAGAAGAGATAAAACCAAATCCCAGAAATTGTAATGTAGTTAAGAACCTACGGGTATAAAAAAAATTTGGCAGGTGTCTGAAAACAAGCAAAATCCAATTAGCTAGAGAATTCTTCCTGGAGGTGTTTGATGAACGTGCCTTCCAGCTGGGCTAGAACTGCTACTATAATTTTATTCTCTAATGACTCTCAGGGAGATCTCAGAATGTTTTATAAGCATTAATGAAGCCTTAGAACCTGTCTTTGAAGAAGACTTGAATGAGCAGGATTTGGCATTCCAGATACGGAAGGGGCACGTGTTAGGAACAATCTAGTAATGATGCCTTTATTTGAGCTCTGTTCAGTTCTGGACATAAAGCTGCATCTGGTGTCTTAATTCATGGCACACTTTTTCATATCCGCAAATCTTCTCAGATAGCAGCATAATTCCCAATGGCTTTGAGGACTTACCTCAACTGTTAATTGAATTATTCAACAGATGCCTTTGGAGAAGCTACTATGTATTCAGCCTGTATTAAGCATTTTAAGCCTTGAAATGGGGACCTGAGATAGTGAATCATGTCACGGGGAGAAAGGAAGGGATGTGCACAGAGAAGGACGGAAGGAAAGTGAGCCATGGTAGGGAAAAGTGGTCATTGAGGAGGAAGAAGACTTGGTTTGTTAAGACCTCCTTTTTTTTTTTTTTTTTAAAAACAGAGTCTCACTCTGTCACCCAGGATGGAGTGCAGTGGCAGAATTTCGGCTCACTGCAACCTCCGTTTCCCATCTCCCAAGTTCAGGTGATTCTCATACCTCAACCTCCCGGTAGCTGGGATTACAGGCACCCGCCACCACGCCTGGCTATTTTTTGTATTTTTAGTAGAGATGGGGTTTCACCATGTTGGCCAGGCTGATCTCAAACTCCTGGCCTCAAGTGATGCACCCACCTCGGCCTCCCAAAGTGCTGAAATTACAGGCATGAACCACTGTGCCCAACCTCCCCTTTTTTTGTGTGGCAGGGTCTCCCTCATTTGCCCAGCCTAGAGTGCAGTGTCATGATCATAGCTCACTGTAACCTCAAACTCCTGGGTTCAAGCCATTCTCCAACCTCAGCCTCCTGAGTAGATAGGACGGCAGGTGCACACCACCATGCTTGCTAATTTTAAAAAATGTTTTGTAGAGATAGGTCTCACTATGTTGCTCAGGCTGGTCTAGAACCCCTGGCCTCAAGCGATCCTCTTGACTTGGCCTCCCAAAGTGCTAGGATCACAGGCATGAGTCACCTTGCCTGGCCCAAGACACACTTCAATGTTTAACTAACAGAGCACTTTTTTTCCTTATTAGTATTAATATATCCAGAGGCTGACGTATGTGTAAGCTGGAGATAAGTGTCAATAAGACACTTCTTGCATTACCAGTTACACTTGGAAAATCAACCTCCACACCCCTACCTGTTGTTCCAAGTTAAAAGCACTTTTTGTGAACTTATATATAAATTACTTCTTTCTTACTAAAGCAAAATTCTACTTGATTTAAGAGCAGCAAATTAAAAACTTGGCATTCAATAGCAAAAAGTCTAAAGACTCCAAGAATGTTCTATTGCTGTTAGCAACTAATATTCTTTCAGAAGAAATCAGTGGTGCTGAGTGCATGACAAGCTTCTCCCTCATTACAGACCATTTACCATTTCGAGATGCTGCATATGTCAACTTGACCTCACAGTGACCTTTCTAAAACTACAGTTACGACAGAGGAAAAAAGGACAATAAAAATACAGAAGCTGAATTTAGAACCAAAGCCACTTGGCTCAGTTTAGTTAAAGTTACTACTAATGAGGCCAAGGTTGAGGTTAAAGCCCCTGTCCAACTGCTTACCTTTCCCTATCTCCTTGACTAGATTCTTAACAAATCTGGCCATCTCAAGCGGGTACAGCCAGAAAGCAAAGGGACCATCTCCCAAGGAATTCATGGTACATGCCTTGCTTGGACTGGAGTTCAGGTTATCTCTTTTAGAAACAATGGTAATAATGGCTATTTCCACCTGCATATTTTGGAAGTGACATTCTCCTTTTATTGTGGCTATCATGCTCCACCAAGAATTTTACTTTTTGTTCCATCCGAATACTATTTCTCCCATGCCTTCCTTCCCTTTCACCCTCAACAGAACTGACTGTTTTGATCTCCTACAATGAGGTGCCAGCAGCTGAAAATAAAAGGAACATTGATAAGATTCTATTCTGAAACATATAGAATCAAAAGGAGTGGGTTGTGTTGATCACACTGCCCCATCTAATTCTTCTCATATTTAATATGAGATTCCTTATTTCAAAGGGAAAGCCATATTTATCTCTTTCTTTAGAGTCTAGTTCCCCTCATTAGTTCATTCATTCAACCACTCAATTAATACTTATTGAGTGCCAAACAGTGTACGAGACACGAGGACGAAATGGTGTGCAAAGGAGCAAGTAAAATCCCTGCTCTGGTGGAACTTCCAGCCTACTGAGAGAGGCAGACTTAATTAAGTGATCACACAATTAAATCTAAATTTTCCTGTGATAAATGCATCAGAGAAAAAGTACACAGTGCCTTGATCTAGGCAAGTGTGATTTCCCTTTGGCTGGGGCTGAGGTCTCTACATTTCTAAAAATCAGTCTTGTAACTCTCCCTACTATTCAAAGCAATTTGATTCTTGGGTCTTTGGAAATTTGCACGGTAGTGATGTCTTTTTCTGTCCCCCATTATTTTTTCAGTGGTCAGTGGGGCCAGGGAGACTCCAGGGCTCTTATAACAATGTGGGGGAGTACAAAGTTCAAAGTATCTCTTGAGAAGACATACAATCTGGCGGCCGGCTCAGATCAACTATTTACTCACCCTGCAAACTTATACAATTCTCTTATTCTCTGTCTATAATGTCCTTACCTGTGAAATGGGCATGATAACTATCATCCTCCTAGGATGTGTGTCACACTAATATGCATGGAAACAGTTTATAAATGGTGAAGTACACAAATAGTGTAGCACTATTATTATTTGTGTCATGAATATAATGACAACAACAAGAAAAGCTGAAGGGAGTAAACATGAAAATTCCATGATCTTTTTCTTTTATCCCTTGTTTCCTGCCAGAAACTGAAAAGCCGTGGGTAGGAGCTCTTCATTTTTACCCAGGCAGACCTTGTCACAGTGTGAGCTTTCTAGCTTATGGTGTCCATAAATTTCCTACGCCAAAATTGGAATACATGATCTGACAAAGGGTTTTTTTCCCCCACTGATATATGGCTTTATTTCTATGAAAATCTACAATAATTACAATACTTTAAGATATAATTATAACGTTTCAACTTTATATGAAAGAATAAAAGAAAATAAAATGGTATGTTCTGAGAAATAGTATGACTCAACCCTTGCCCCGCCTTTGTGAAAAATGATTGCAGATTAGAGTTTCTTCCAGTTCTGGTGGCTTTCAACGCGGGGTGAATAAATCTGTTCCCGTGGGCCACCTTCTGAAGGATGATCATCTAGGTTCTGAAGATGTTTATTTACCTTTGCCATGATTTAGAGGCAGACTCCTCCTTCACAGGTTCCCCCTGCCCTTTGCGGCTGACAACACATCCCTCTGGATTTATGTCGCTACCCAATAGCGGGATTTGTGAGTCCAGATCATGTTTCCAGCACCACCCTGGATAAGACACATTTATCACAGCTGTGCTTCATCTTATTTGCATTATGGCTTTTAGTGTCTATATTGTTAAAACCAACTGTTTTTAACTGTGGGCTGGGAAGTAGAGTGTCTCCCAGATCTGTCAGCAACACAAAATTCTGCCTTTAAAATCAGGAAAGCAGAACTTAACAGTGCCCAACTACTGAATGTACCTCCACCTCCAGCCTTAACTCTACTGCCATTATATTAGACATCCGTAGAGGGAAGGCCCAAGGTCACCTTAAGACAGCCTTATCAAAGAAGCCAGGCAGATGATGGATCTTAGAGTATCTTGGGCAAAGGGATCTTCCAGAAAGAGCTGCTCCCAGCTTGCCTTAGGTAAGTGGCTCTTTTGGAAATCTCAATATCAAAATATTTATGACCTGTAAGACATCAAATAACTTGAGCTAATAATGAGACAGAATAGATCAAAGGCAGAGCTGGGCTTCAAAAGCATCAAGTCAGTAAGATCAGGGTTATGGGGGTATGGAAAAGAGGAAGGATTGAATAGGCGAAACATCAACCTGGCTATGGCTTTGTGGTGCTTGAGCAATTTCCATATTTGCAAGGATGAAATTTTGCTGCTTGTCATCTGTGAAGTGTTATTTAATAAAACAAAACCAAACATTAAGTCATTCCAAAGACCATTTGCAAAACAAATTGATTTCTTGCGCCTGGTTGCAAGCACTGAAAGGGAGATGCGAGTTCCTGGGATCATAAAGAATTTGTGTTTGTGTGTGTGTTTTTTGTTGTTGTTTTGTTTTGTTTCTTATGGAAACAACAAAACATAAGAAAATTCCACTTAACCTCAGTCTTAAGTAATATCTTAAATTTCTATTTCTGAACCAGTCCTATGGTGACATCTTCCTAGGTGTCTGCTGAACTATCCCGCACTGCCAGGGTTATCATGCTCTCTGTGGTATTTACCACCATACACCTAATGCAGTCCTTCAAGAAAGGCTGCTCCAGCTGCCTCCTCGGCCACCACCTTCACCTTCACCGTAGAGCTTTTAGTACGTGGTGACCTCCCTACTTCTAACTCACAGCCTTCACTGAGCCTATCACTCAGCAACTGATCACACTCCTCCCTGTGACATTTCCTATCTTGTAGTCTTTGTTGTTGTTTAGTATTGGATTATTTAAATTTATTTTTATGATTTGTCCCAAAGCAAGACAGCAAATTGAGAGAAGGGATCTTATATATATTATATACCAATTAATTATATATTAATATTATTCACTAACATTATATATTATTAATATTAATATATCGATTATAATATTAATGATATATTTACATATTTTAAAAGCAAAATTTGCTGGAGTAAATTTTGGATGTGACATTCTTTGCCAGACTATCTTGGGCAACTTACAAAAAATGCCAATGATCTAATTTTATCACTTTCAGTAACCCCATGCTAGCTGAGAGAGTACTTTGGGTGTAATAGATGCACAGTATTTTTGTTACTTGCTGATAAACTCTGTTTGCATCCCTTGTAACACTATCCTGTCTGGGTAGATGGGTGTGGGGTATAGATCTCATGTGATCTGGAAGGGCTACATTTGGACCAGGACATCTGGTGGCCAGGCTAAGTAGGAAGGGCTGCTCCAGAACGGTTATCCACAGGTAGCAAGAGCCCAGGAGAACAGGAAAGGGCGTAGGTGAGAGGCCCAGGAATGATTGCGCCAAGCCCCAGCAGCATGGAGAGAAAGTAAATGTTAGATAGACAGGAAGGTTGGCAGTCAAGAGTTTCAGGAAAAACAGAGTGAAAAATAGAGTGAAAGTGACAGCAGAGCATAGAGCAAGGGAAGCAAACTGTTCAGAATTCAACGCATGGACTCTGGGCATGTGGTAGATGTTTCTTTTATGCCACTTATAATAACAACCAGAACAATGGCTAAGTGATAGATATTGCCTTAAAAAATTCTCCTGCCTAATCCTATGGCTTCTTTCACTCCCTTGCTAATTTGCATAGCGATTTTAAGGCTGTAACTGGGACATGACGGGTTTGTTATGAATAGTTCCTAGATATGGAGCCTCTTGGAGAGGCACGCTGGTGAGGATGCTATTTGGGCTTTGTTCTGTTTATTGGCCCCCAGTCTGCAGGTAAAACCCATCAACCCGGCTGCCCTGCTGACCAGAACTCAGACTCAAGAGGGAGTCCTGGGAGAAGGGCCTGAGAGGATTGATACAGTTCCATTTTCATGCTGTCAAAAACAACGTGGTGACTGTAATAAAGCTGGGTTTATCTCGTCTGAACGAGACTGCATTTGGAAATACCTAAATTGGAAGGCTTTCCATGTATTAGCATTTTGCTTGATGAATACCAAAGGAAGGAAGAGGTGGGAGAGAAACAGTCAACATTATTTGTAACCTTTGCAGGAGAATGAATCTTGATTTTTTTCTCTTCTGGAAGACTATTAGTTCCTTCTTTTTTTCTGCCATGAAAAGTTGAGACTGAAATTTCTCATCTCCTGGTATCCTTCTTCAGCTGGCTGAATATTCTTGGGCTGAGTCTCAGAAGGAAGTTTGTTTTGCCTCTCCAGCATATCATACGCATTTAAATGATTAGTCTGTCTCTCTCTTTCTCTGTGTAATATGTATATTACACACACACACATGCGCGCACACACACACACACATTATATATTTATCCTGAGAGAGTTCCTGTGGTTGAAGATGGACCTGGTCACAGCACAGCTGTTACTGCCCTGCTGTCTGCCTTTTAGCAAAACCACTCTGCAGGAATCCTGTTTGTGGAAATCCCAGCAAGTCTCTTGTTTCTCCATTCACAGGAATGAAGATGCTACAGCTTGTGCTTTCATAGATGCTCTGAACACAGATGTGTTTTCATCGTCTACCTTTTGGACTAAATCCAATAATAGTTACTGGTTCTCTAACACGGTTTAGCCAGTGGGCCTAGTAGAGACTGCAAGCTGAGCTGAGGTGTATAAATGGCCCCTTGAAGTATGGCCAAAAATAGCAATTGCCTTGGTGACTCTTAACTGACCTGTGCTCAGAACAAAGTTGCTAAAGGTGGGAGTAGCTGTGTTTTCCCTTCCCTGGCAGACATGGATGCAGCTGTGCCATTTGAGAATTCTTATTTCTTCAGTAACTTGAGCTGAAAGAAGAAAGCAGTTGTTACAAATCCTATTATATAGATGGGTAAACTGAGGCTGCATGATTGTGCTGTACCCAAGGATCATCCAGGGATTTGCCAAAATCAGCTACAGAGCTGAGCCAGCTACCGGCTTCCTGACCCCAGACTGATGCCCTTAAATTAGAGCACATGTGCTCTACCAAACATATTTACTAAATTTTACAATGAAAATAGGACACCAAGCTAGACTCTAAGAGTGGCATAGTTGTAAAATGACCTACCTTCAACTGTAACTATATATTTTGTGCCTTTACAGAAGTGGCAGAATTCTGAAAGCAGTGCATTGTGCCCCGTTCTTTATATCCATGGTGGTTTTTAGTCTTGCAGAGAAGCATTTGTAAGGATGTGAAAATCAGGGGAAAAGGGGAGGAGAGAGGACACTGATTAAGCTCCTTCCGCAAGATCTGTACTGAATAATCTTCCATTTGTCTCAGGACCACCTCACCTTGGGTAGATCATTTAACCTCCCTGGGCCTCATGGCTTCTTGAAAAGTACAGAAGGGATAAAATGGGCTGATGTACATAAAGCATTTACAACAGTAGTCAACACATAAAATATTTAGGGTTATAATCGTATCTCTTATGACCATCTACATCTCCAGAAAATAAAACTCAGAATTTTAAATACTTCCCAAGATTGCACAGCAGATAAGAAACTAGTACACACACCCAAGTCCAAGTCTAGAGGTTTAGTAGGACCAAAATGACATCTCTGAAATATTCTATGTCATTTGCTGAGAAACCTTTAAATTCTTCCATGAGGCACACATTCCAAAAAAGAGTAGGCGGATCTGACAGAGAAGGGAGGGGGCAGGGTTGGGGGAAGGACTTCTTTGATGGCCAGAAAGCTGAAGATTCATGAAAGAGCAGCCTGTAGAGAGCATTACCTATTTAGCGCCACTGCTCCCTGGAGGAAAACAAAGATCTTTTCTGAAATCTACAGAAACCAAAATAATTAATGGCCCAATATATGGAAGTCTTTCACATAACATTTTTTACAGCTGAGCAGTCTCCATTTTAAGAATTCTCCTACACAGTATTTTTTAGCACATTTTCCCCAGTTGTCTCAATAATTCACTTGAGGAGCAACAGATTGTTCTTCTTTCCTATTAATTATAAGATAAATTATAATTTCAGTGTTTCAACAGTAGCTATATGGACACTGTGTCATTTCAGTAGGAGCTGATTATTTTTACCTTTTCCATTTTAAGTTAATCTCTGGGTTAGGATGATCAACCTGCAGATCTTTTGGCATAAAATAAATCATCCATGGTAACACACTGACAGACTTCTCTGTAGGGCAATCAAGCATCTTCCCAGGAGACTCTGGGCAAATCTGGACTTAAGAAATTTTCTGTAGGTAGCATGAGAAAGACAGGTAGGAGGCTGCCTTTGTGTATTAGACCATTCTTGCATTGCTATAAAGAAATACCTGAGGCTGGGTAATTTGTAAGAAAAGAGGTTTAATTGTCTCATGGTTCTGCAGATAGTACAGGAAGCCTAGCAGCATCTGCTTCTGAGAAGGCATCAAGAAGCTTCCAGTCATGGCAGAACGCAAAGGGAGGCAGGCATCTCACCTGGAGGGAGTAGGAGCAAGAATGGGGGCAGGGTGACACACACTTTTAAACAACCAAATCTCACGAGAACTCACTGTTGTGAGGATAGCATGAAAGGAATGGTGCTAAGCCATGCATGAGAAATCCACCCCCATGATCCAGCCACCTCCCACCAGGCACAACCACCAACCTTGGGGATTGCATTTCAACATGAGGTTTGGGCAGGGCAGATATACAAATGGTATCACTTGGTTAACTCCAACAGGAGGTGTGAGATGTTGCTCTGTTTACTTCAGGGAGGGAGTCCAAGGCTCTGTCATGTGCCAATCTTCTATTCTCTCTATGATTCTCTTTTCAGCTGGGTTTTAGGTTTAGCACAAAGAAAAAAATAGGCCTGTTATTCACTTACTGCTATGTATTTCTTGAACCTTCCTAAAAGAAACAAACACACAAACAAATAAATAGCTCTCCTTTCCTTGTGTGGTAGGAGGTCTCTATGTATAAATTCCACTCCCAAAGGAAAACTAGCATATCATATTTCCTAACAGAAAACTGTGATGAGGGGAAAAAGGACTGTGTCCAATGTCACATTAGATATAGGCTTTTTAAAAAATGAATGCATTGGAAAGCAAATATATTGGCACTCACCATAACCCTGACATTTTGACAAATACCTCAGTGTCTGCCTGTGTGATCAAATTAATTATCTCTGTGAGTTTCCTTCAAAGCCAGTCACCTCTGCGGCACCTTCCTCTTGGTTCTATGAACCCCTGGGGCCTGATGTGAGTATGCTGCTTGTATTCTAGAATTCTTTGCCACCTTCTTCCATTTTGTCTCATTCCCCAGAAGAAAATCAGTTCAAGGAAGGCAGTGGGAGCTGGCTTGGGAGTAAGGCAAATATCCTTAATTGCTTAGTTTTGTTGGGGCGCTCTTTGAAGGGAAGAAAGCTTTGTTAGAGGGAGCTCAGGACAATTCATTTCATTCTCTCTTGAAAATTTAATTGAGAAGACTGTGTCCAGATGAGTTGCATTGGCTGGTTTTAACTCTGCCATAGGAGAGACAGCTATAGAAGCAGAGGAAGCCACAATTCATTGGGATGAATACGCCTGCTGACCACATTGACACAAGCATAGGAAATGCCTAGCAAAAAATAGGAAATGCTAGCAAACACTAGCAATCACTAGTTGTTGGTAGTGATGGTGTTCTGAGGAGGAGAAGGAGAGGGAGAAAGAAGAGTATTTTGATCCTGATAGAATCCTTTAAAGAAGATAGAGCTGCTGGGATTAATTTACCTTAATTTGCACTGAGGTATGAAGACACTGTCTTCATTCATTTATTCATTCATTCAGCAAGTGTTCATTGAAACTTTACTGGGTCTCAGGCTATGCCAAGCACTGATAACACTAAAGACAATTGTCCCTCATGTTAGAGGCAGTTGCAGATTAGAGGTAGGTGCCTCCAACCTAAGGGACATGTCTGTTCTAAAAGACCTTCCTTTGTGTAGCACTTTCTAGTCTTTTGCAGGGAGAACAGGATTGAAGGGAAGTTTGCGATCAGTTCTTCCTCATAAGAGAATAAACTAAAGGTGAGAGACATTGAAGGGAGTAGATGAGGAAAACAGATTGACGTGAAGAAGTGACAAAAGGCACCTAATCTGTGTTGGAGATCAGTTTCTGTTAATATCTTGAACATTCTCTGTCATTAGTCTGAAGCTATCCTATCTCCAAAATTATTCATTCATATATACATATATATACACACACCCCCACATTTTTATGTGTGTGTATATATATATTTGTTACCAAAGCCAGGATAATTCAAATTCAAGTTATTATCTTTTGCCTGGATTGCTAACTACACTGGCTTCTACACTGTTCTTAATTCCAGGTTCACTCCAAATTCCCTTCTCTTCAGCCACTGGCATGAGCTGTGCGGGACCAATTATTTCCCAAGTGAATTCCCCCTTCCCAACTCTCCCCATTTGAATCTATTGTGCGTGCAACCACCAGATTAACCATATTATTGCACAATTTTCTTCATGTACCTCCATGCTACGATTTTAACTGAAGGAATATCATGAGCGCCTGCTTTGTCTACTCTGTGCTCTCCACAGTGCTTTGTACCAGGTTCATCTACCTCCATCCCCTTATGCCAGTCAAGCTGGACTCCTGACTGGTCCCTGAATCCTTCGGGCCTTCCTGTCACTTGGCCTCACTTGTGTTATTTTCTTCCTCTGGAATAGTCCTGAAAATTCCTTTCTCTCATGCCTCTAATCATTTTATAAAGCATATCTCAGCACATCCTCTGTGCAGCTTTTTGGTACCTATTTTGTACATAGTACTGTCCTGACATGCTTTACCCTTTGAAACTATTCTGAAGACAACTGGCATATTCTTCCCCAAAGCTCCCCGTGGGCCTCAGATTTAGACCTGACAGTCTGTGAGAACTTTTGAGAGGGTTGTGAAGGTGTCTTCTTTTCCCTGCCAAACTCAGCACAGTGCCCGGCACATTATCATATTATTACTAATGAAGTAAAAGAGCAAATTGATGGTGCACGCACAGAAACAACAACAACAAAAAAGCTTTGGAACTAGATGCAGTTGTTGACACCTGCCTTCTTCAACAGGAATTGTCCTGTAAATGGACATGAACACTGCCCAGATGATGACAATTTTGAGGAACTGAGTGGGTGTGGTTTTCTTTGGTGACCTTCTTTCCATGTTTACTGGCCTCATCCTTGCTAGGCCAGTTTTAACAATCTGACTAGTGGCCTGAAATGACTTACCAGCATTTCAACAATGTTTGGTATAATGTTGTTGTTGTGTTTTAGTTCTTTTTTGTTGTTGTTGTTGTTTGTTTTTTAAATAGATTAAATCAATACATGACTGGAAAAGCCTGCTTGCTTAGGGCGTAACCCAGCACCCCTATCAATTGGACCATTATGTTCCTATTGACGGCATCTCTCAAATCCAGGTGTCTAGAGCTACCATCCACAGGGGGGCTCCAGGGCTCACCTGGGAACTGGCCAACTGGGGATCTGGCTGAGCATTTTCAGGATGTATTATGCTGAACATAGGTCATAAACAGTGAAGTAGGTAAGGATCACTCACCCAGATGAGTATAGCATGGCCAGCCACTGAAGGTAACATGAATGCCCTGATGGTTTCAGCATCCCTGGAAAAAACAAATAAATGTGCAAGGCAAAAGGTAAACCAAGATAAAGCTCAAATGCACCTACAGAAATTGCTGTCTTTGTTTTCCTTTTGCAAGGGGTTGCAACTACTCATGCTTCCACCTGCTGCAGAGGGGCAAACCTGCTCTTTTCAGTAATTGAGGAAATGCTATGTGAGTGGCTCAAACCTTACCTGGACTCTTCCTTCCTGCATTTACTGACATTTTGAAGCCAAAACCCATTACCTTAAAATTGGCTAAATAAGGTCTTTCCAGTTAATTTTGCCTATAAAACAATTTTCCTATTCAAGAACACTGAACACCGAACTCCATCTCTCATAAAGAGGCCATTAATTCTCTGCTACTGCTCATTATTCTTATTAACTATTCGCAGACTTTTTGCTGGAGGCAAAATGTATCTATTAGAACCAGCAAATAGGGATTGCTAACATGCTGAGGCCAACGTCCTCACCCAGGCACTCAGCAAAGCCAGCGACATTGGACTCCACCAGCTGGGCTTGTGCGAAGCATCTGTGCCGTCAAGAGCCCGACAGGGAAGGTGGGAAGGCAGGCTGCTCTGGAGAGGGAGGCGTTGTTCAGATTTTCTTATTCAGAGCCCTCTGTCTTGAATGTGAAGAGAAAACAGAAGTTTTCTAAGAGTAGAAACTGATCACTTAAACTTTTCTTTAGTTATTTATATTTTTTAATGGGAAAAAATGGTTTATATGAGAAGAGGGTGAAAAAGAGAAGGCATGGTGCTCTGCTTCTGGCACTCCTTGTCAACTATAATAAAGTGAAAGAGATAGTAAAGAAATGAACATTTCTTGGGTAATTAACTTATTTAATTCTTACTATTGGCTTAAAATAACTTTATTGAAGTATATTTCACATTTCATAAAATTTACCCATTTCAAATGTGAAATGCAGTAATTTTTACTAACCTTATCAAGTGGTAGAATTATGACTATCATAGTAAATCAGTCCTAGAACACTTAATCCCCCCAGTAAGGTCCCTTTTGCCCATTTATAAATCATCTAATCCATACCCCTTCCCCTAACCCCAGGCAACCACTAATCTACTTTCCACCCCTATAAATGTACCTTTGGGAGACATTTTATATGAAGGAACCATACAAGATGCAGTGTCTTGTGTCTTCTTTCATTCACTCAGCCCAAGGATTTAAATTCATCCGTGACATAGCATGTGTCAGCAGTTCCTTTTTTTTCATTGCTCAGTAGTAGTTCGTGTATGGATAGAATGTGTTCTGTCTGTCCATTCAACAGTTAATGAGCATTTAGGTCATTTCCATTTCTGGCTATTATGAATAATGCTGTTATGAACCTTTATGAACATCTATGTGCAGGTCTTCCTGTGGACAAGTTTTTATTACTTTTGAATATACAACTAAGAGTGGAATTACTGAATCATGATGTATTTTAGGTTTAACTTTTTGAGAAACTCCCAAACTCTTTTCCAAAGTGGTTGCACCATGTCACATTCCCACCAACAATGTATGAGGGTTCTTATTTCTCCATAACTTTATCAAAATGTCTGTCTTCTTTAGTAAGCTATTCTAGTGAATATGAAGTGGTATTTTGTTGTGGTTTTAATTTGCATTTCCCTAGTAAATAAAATATTGAGCATCTTTCTAATGTACTTATTGGCTATTCATGTCCTCTTTGGGATGATACCTATTTGTATCCTTTGCCCACTTTTAAGAAATGGGTTGTTTGTCTTTCAATAATTGAGTTGTAAGTGGTTTTTGTAAATTCTGAATGCAAGTTCTTTATCAGATTTCTGCTTTGCAAATATTTTCCCCTAATCCATTGCTTGTCTTTTTATTTCCTTAATTGTGTCTTCTGAAGTGCAAATGTTTCAAATTTTGATGAGGCCCAATTTACCTTTTTTTTTTTTTTTTTTTTTTGGTATCCTATGTAGGAAATCTTTGCCTAGCGCAATGTCTCAAGGATTTTCTCTTATGGTCTCTTATAAAAAATTGTTTCATCTCTTCACTAATCACGTTGAGTTAACTTTCATATATGAGGTGAGGAGCTAAGTTAATCTTTTTCATGTGGATATTCAATTATTCCAGCACTATTTGATGAAAAGACTACTTTCACCAATGAATTCATTGCCTTGGCACATTTGTAACACAATCAATTGTCTATATACTTAAGGGTTTATTTTTATAGTCTCAACTCTGTTTACACCTAGCATGGAGTTTCAGTTCTCCAGATGAGGAGCTGTGGCTGGTCAGTGTAGAACAGGCTTCCAAAGCCAGATCTTCCCTTTTTTTAATATTCATAATCTTTCTTTTTACTAACTATACAATATTGGAAATATTACTTTTTTTTTTTTTTTTGAGATAGAGTCTCGCTCTGTTTCCCAGGCTGGAGTGCAGTGGCGCAATCTCGGCTCACTGCAACCTCCGCCTTCCAGGTTCATGCCATTCTCCTGCCTCAGCCTCCCAAGTAGCTGGGACTACAGGCGCCCACCACCACGCCTAGCTAATTTTTTGTATTTTTAGTAGTGACAGGGTTTCACCATGTTAGCCAGGATGGTCTCGATCTCCTGACCTCATGATCCACCACCTCGGCCTCCCAAAGTGCTGGGATTACAGGCGTGAGCTACCGCGCCCGGCCTTAAATATAACTTTTAATGTTATAATATTGGTTAAGGGATCAGGAATCTAAGGTTTATCTTTAGTGATAGACTTATTATGAAGAAGGCTGTCCATTATCTTTTTATATTAGGAAGGGAATTTAAGTGTACAGAGGCCTCCTCTTTCATTTAGTCAATGATAGTGCAATAAAAATAAACTTATTTATTCATCCATACAACAAATCTTTATTGAGTTTCCACAATATAGAGGAACTCACAAGTCTGTTAATAACAAGTATTTATGGTATATCCTTCATGTTCTTCTCAGGATGAACCTGTTATAAAGTGCTACTCCCCATCTTCTGACAGGCGTCAATTTGACCACATGTTCCCAATTATCTACTCCCTTCTCTGCACCCCAGCAGGGCAAGGCTCAGAAGCCATAAAGACTCTGGTTTGGAACTCAACAAGAACTATAAAAAAGCACCAGGCCTGAGGCAAAAATCTGTCTCCAATAGCAAATTCTGCCCTGATTTGTTATTTCACATCTGTTCTCTTGCTTGCCTGGCTCTATTCCTTTAGTGCCTGAGAATTTCTTAGTCCCTGAATATTTCCTTCATCTTTTGACAACCTGCTTTTCTCTGCTTTGTTTGGTTTTGTGTGTGTTTTGAAGTCCTCTCTCTCTACTCCGCCTGTGTCTGATCTCCTCTGCTGATGTGTGTGATGACCTCTTAATTTGACCTGCACCCTTATCTCCACCTCTTTGGCTTGGGTGCATTTCCACTAGGAACTGCATGATTCCAGATGCTCAGCTCAGCCTTAACCATGAAAAACTTGGTTCTGACCTGGAACTGCCTTATTCTTGAGTTCTTAGGATCTGTCCTCTGCCTCCATTAATGTCACCAAGGTCAGAGTATTATATATAGGTCGGTGGTTATTAAGAATATGGGCTCTGGGCTGGGCACAGTGACTCGTATCTATAATCCCAACACTTTGGGAGGTCAAGGCAGATGGATCACTTGAGTTCAGGATTTTGAGATCAGCCTGGGAAACATGGCCAAAACTTGTATCTAAAAAAAAAAAAAAAAAAAAAAAAAGCCAGGTGTGGTGGCACACACCCATAGTCCTAGCTATTCAGAAGGGCTGGAGTAGCCCTAGCTACTTGGGAGGCAGAAGCTGTAGTGAGCCAAGACACACTACTGTACTACAACCTGGTGACAGAGTAAGACCCTGTCTCAAAAAAAAAAAAAAAAAAAGAATATGGCTCTGGTCTAAGACTTTCTGGGTTATGGCTGGGCATGGTGGCTCATGCCTGTAATCCCCGCACTTTGGGAGAACAAGGTGGGTGACTCACCTGAGGTCAGGAGTTCGAGACCAGCCTGGCCAACATGATGAAACCCTGTCTCTACTAAAAATACAAAAAATTAGCCGGGCATGGTGGCAGGCACCTGTAATCCCAGCTACTCAGGAGGCTGAGGCAGGAGAATCACTTGAATCCGGGAGGTGGAGATTGCGGTGAGCCGAGATCGAGCCTCTGCACTCCAGCCTGAGCAACAAGAGCTAAACTCCATCTTAAAAAAAAAAGACTTTCTCGGTTAAAACTTTGGATATGCATCAGAGAAATGCAAATCAAAACCACAATGAGATACCATCACACACCAGTCAGAATGGCTGTTATTAAAAAGTCAGGAAACAACAGATCCTGGTGAGGCTGCAGAGAGAAGGGAACACTTATACACTGTTGGTGGGAATGCAAATTAGTTCAGCCACTGTGGAAAGCAGTTTAGAGATTTCTCAGAGAACTTAAAACAAAACTATCACATGACCCAGCAATTCCATTACTTGGTATATACCCAAAGGAAAAGAAATCATTCTACCAAAAATCACATACACTTGCATGCTCATCACAGCACTATTCACAACAGCAAAGACATGGAATCAACCTAGGTGCCCATGGACCGTGGGTTAAATCAAGAAAATGTGGTACATATACACCGTGGAATACTACCCAGCTACAAAAAGAGTGAAATCGTGTATTTTGCAGCAACAGCAACATGGATGTACCTGGAGGTCATTATCCTAAGTGAATCAACACAGAAACGGAAAACCAAATACCACGTGTTCTCACTTATAAGTAGGAGGTAAACATTGGGTACACATGGACATAAAGACAGCAACAACAGACACTGGGGGCTACCAGAGGGGAGAGACAGGGAGGGGGGCAAGGGTTGGAAAACTGTTGGGTACTATGCTCACCAGCTGGTGGACAAGATCAATGGTACCCGAAACCTCAGCGTCATGTGATATATCCATGTAACATTCTGCATGTGTACCCCCTGAATCGAAAATGAAAGTTGGAATTATAAAACAAAAACTTTGAATATATCCTTTCCTAGTTACGTAAACTTGGGCAAATGACTCAGTCTTTCTGTGTCCTAACCTCATCCACAAAACAGGAAGAATAGTCATATTTACCTCATGGGGTTGTTAGAATTAAGGGAGATAACTCACATACAATACTTAAAATAGTGTCCAACACATGATAAGCTCTCAATAAAATTGAGCTGTTTCTATACTATGGCTAAATCCACTCTGGGAACCCATCTCCCTGCTTCTAGGCTGGGTTCCCTACAATGCATTCTCCACGCTGTAGCCACAGCAACTTTTCCAACATGCAAATTTATAGCATCACTCCTCTTGCTTCAGGTGAAATCTGCAGTTGTGACCTTGTCTACAAGGCCTTTCCTCACCTGTCTCTGCACCTTCCTTGGAGTCATCAGGCCAATTTCTTAAGAGTGCTATAGTGATTTTTTTGGATGTTTTGAACTTTTTTTTTTTTTCAGCATCACACTACTTCTTGCCTCTCTGCTTTCTCTCATACTGTTCCTGCTGATTGGAACAAGCATCCCTTTATCTAGGTAACTCATGCCTTTATCTAGGTAACTTGTAGCTAACCTTCTGGTCTTAATCATCAATTCCTCTAGGAAACCATTTCTGGTTCACCAAAACAGTTTATGTACATTTTTGTATGCTTCCATAGTACCTTGAATTCCTTATCGTGAAAATGATCATATTCTATTATGCCTTTCTCCTTTCTCTTTCATTAGATTATAAGTTCTTTAGGCCAGAGGCCTCCTCTATACTGCTCAGAGTTTTACTTCTAAGTCCTAACACAGTGTTCATAATATAAAACGCTTCCAGAAACACTGTATTGGGCTTCTAAGCATTTGACGATTGTTTGCAATTGTACATGGAGGAAAGGCAAAACACAGACCAAAATGTAAGAATATTTATTGCCAGACTTACAAATAGTATTCCATGCATTCCATGAAGTAGCTTTATGTTTAAAAAGGATAAAACTAGAATAGTTTTATTAATGCAAAAAGACAAATGGAAGAGGATTGTAGAGCTCTCTTACTCGTCTGTTTATCTTCATAGAAGACGCCATAAATCTTGGGTGAAAAAAATCAAACACATGGCAGAGATGGAGAGAGAATGGCAGGGTGTTGGCACAAACATAGTACCTCTGGAAGATTGGCTGCTTCTTTAGGATACCCAGATGATGGCCTGTGAAATTGCCACCTAGTATAGAGTTCATAGGTGGTTTTCATGGGAATGTCCCCATGCATTTCATTTATCTGTCACTTTTGTTTACTCCGATTTATATACTCATCTAATTTGGCTTGACATAATCAGGACATGGCCATGAGAAACAAGAGGACATGTTTTAAATATTTCATTTAATACGAAAGTACTGGATACAGCCTCCTGTTCCTTTTTATTAGGGAAGTAGACATGGACTAACCACCATTACTCACAGGCTCAGCATGAATTTATAATAAAATTCTCAAGACATGTGCAATATCTACACATTAACTAATGGAAATTGATTTAGATTTTTATTTATTTTTAACGAGTTGTAATGAACTTTTCTTTTAAGTTGTTCCCAGTCACACATTAGCCCTTTAAGTGCCATACAGTCTAAGAGAAACATGTACACTATAACAACTTATGATGGTGTTTGTTCTACCAAATGTGTTTGGCTTTCCCCAGGCCTCTTGAATGTGACATGGCCCGATTCAACATGGTGGCTTTCTCACTGGCTTGGCCCTATTCCCTGAGAAAAATAACTGCAAAGGCTTGGAAGTCAACTGATTCCAACTTCACTTGTTTAGCGGAAAATTAAGGATTTATAAGAGAGTTATCGTGTCTTTATGAAGCTGTGGTTTCAATGAGCTGAAAATTCAATTCTCTTAATGGCTCTTTTGTATTCAGTTCAGTTCCCAGAGACCCAGAAGGAAGTTTTTAAGAAAGCTAAAGAAAATTTGCTTTAATTCTCATGTTGGATTGTTCTAAAGGTAATGCCTATATATAGTGTGTGATTTCCTTCCTCATTGGTGTCTGTGGCATTTTTTGAGCCTTATCTACTTTAAACCAGTTGTTCTTAATTAGTAAAATATGATCTTCCACCAAATGAGAAAAAGTTCCTGCTGTCTATAAACTGAAATGACTTTTTTCATCTAGAAATGATTTACTTGCATCTTGCCTTACAGAAGTAGTCCATATTGGACTAAGCAAAATATATATATACTTAGAAGACTAAGAATAGTAGTTTACAATGGCTAAAAAGCAATAATTTGAGGGTAGCTATGTTTGAATACTCTGAAATGAATTAAGATATTATCATTCTTAGATGACAAATTACTTAATAAGATGATATGAGTCTTCATGTCACTAGTATGACCTGTACATTTGCAGACTTCTCAGAACAAGTCTGTATGGTCAGTAGGTAATGATTTCCTCCATTATTAATGTTAGTGTTATCCCAAACATGACCCCCTTTGCCTCATCAGTGGCCACTGGCTGATCACAGTTTTACAAATGTTGCCAAACCGTCTCAGGAAGCCATAGAGGTAACATTGCTCATTTCACCTCTTGAGAAAATTAGATCACCTGCTCTTCAAAATGTACTGCCTCCAACCTCAGTCCTCTCTCAAAGTCATATGTAGAAAAATATAAAGAAAGAAATTTTCTTCTTAAGTTCAGGAGCTGGTTATAAGGGTTATTTTTTCCCCCTGTAATTCTATTCTACAAATATAGACCTCAGCCATCTGTTGATTCCCTTACTCGTTTGCAGGTGGCATAAGTGAGACTAACTAGGGACTGAAGTCCCACAGAGCTCTACCGCTTTAGTCTTAGTCACCCCTGGGGCCAAGGAATACAGCTTCTAGGCTTGAAAAGACTAGAAAATATGCTTTTTCAAAATGCGTCTCTGCGCCTGCCTGTTGCTGCCTTGCAGCCATGGTCTTAAACTTTAGTACCTACATTCATTCTAATTTAGAATGCTCGTCAATCACTTCTGAAGCCCTGGAGGGAGAAAGGTTAAAGACTTAAAAAGAAAAAAAAAAAAGATTATTCCTGAATTCCAGGAGAGACCCAAAGAATTAACCATTCATTCGTTCAATGATTTTTTTTTTTTAGTGTGTATACTTTCAGTCACTCTTGTGAGTATGAAGAAATCAAAATTTAAAAGTCATAATCCTCTTCTTATGAAGCTTACCATTCAGGAAAGGAGATGGATACAAAAAGGAAAATAAAAGAATTCTGCTTCTATCTTGGAGGTCTGTATGAATTATAATAAAAGCATAGGAAAAGAAACGCCAAAATTTCCTTGGGGAGAAAAGCAGGGATGACTTCATAGAGGAAGAGGTTTGGGGCAGGGCCCTGTGGGATTCCCAGTGTAGAGGTGGGAGGAACAAAAGGGGTGATATGAACAAAGACACAGGGCATGATATGGAAGGGAAGCCCTTTGTAAGAGAAGACACTAGTTCCCAGCAGAGGTCATCCCTCTCCTTGGTGACCTGGAGGACCTGTAATAAGTGCCTTTCTAGAAGAAAAAGAGAGAGCAAGTCCAAGGGGCTGCTCATTCTTCTGGCTGAGCAGCTTCAGAATGTGCCATGAGTCCAGCTGCAACAAAGCAGAATCCTTGCTAGAAACTAAGCGTCATTCAACTTTCTCTTATTTCACCTGACTTCAATCACAAACAAGGTGACGGCACATGACTTCTGCCATTCTGATTAGGCAGAAGAGATCTGTGAGTGTGATTCTGAAAAAGGTCTCAAATAAACACCCACTGCAGTTGGTCCTCGTTTGAATGTTGTACACTCACTCCTTCGCCGAGCCAACTGTGCTCAGAAACGTCTGCTCCGTCTCTGGCGTGTGTCCAGGCATTTCTGTGAGCCTTGAAGCTGAAATATTCTGCAACCCTTGTGAGGTTTAGAAAGGAGCACATCACAAAGGGGATTTGGAAGTTCTGATTCCAGGAAATGAGCTGATAGTTCATTAGAAAACAAACGGTGTCTTCGCTGAGTGAAGATCATAACCCAGCAGGTGTTCAGGGACACTAGACACCTTCACCAGGGCAGTGGAGGTACAAAAAATTAAAAAAAAAAAAATTACAATAGCATTGCCTCCCCAGGAAGCAGGAACCTATCAGTGGCACACGAATGTACCTGACTTCTCATCAGGCATTGTCTCACAAGCCAGTAACATATGTGGAAGATAATTGACAGGATGCTGGGTCCCCTCTGTTGGGTGAGACATTAACCAGTGCATGTGTGACTCCAGATTGCAAAATAATAATAATAACAATAATTTCAGAAAGCTTCTCTTTGAAGGAGACTTATTAAGAAGAAAACCCCAAAGCAGACTTCTTAGAAGAGTGCTGATAACTTATTGCTGTCATTGGTATTTTCCCCACCAATGAAAAATAACAAGGACAACACAGAGCAGAAAGTGAAGATATTGCTTACCAGGCTTCGATATGAGAGGGTTGAGACAATGCAGGGACCCCCTCTCAGTGGCCTGGTGGGTGTCTCAAGTGAAAATAAGTGAAAATAAAGAAAAGTCTTGTGTCCCTTCAAGTGAAATTGCAGGCACCTAGCTAGTCTTGAAAAGTAAGTGAGCAACCATTAAAATGAGCAAAAAGATAGCAGCAGCAGCCTCCCCAACAAATCAGTTACATGGTGTTTGGGTTCAATAGAAACTAAAAGATGATCTTAACATCTGTTCTTCGGCTGTTCTTGAGAAATCCCCACCAGATGGAAAATGACGGCCACTATCACACAGACCTCAGATAAGGGGGAACTGAAGACTGAACTCTGACCATCAATCTTTGTTCTAAATTTTTTCCCGAGGGGCCTGGAGAGGGTCACACCCACAGGGCAAACCAATGTATAACTGCCATGGATTGCTTTATGATTTTGCCTGTAACATCTGCTTTCCTGAAAAGACCCCTGACCTTTAAAAACCCTTGTCTGTAAGCCACTGGGAAGGTTAGGTCTTAAGCATTATCTGCCCATTCTCCTTGCTTGGAGCCGTGCAACAAATGCCCTATTTCCCTCTGCAAGTCTCCCTGCTAGTGTTGGGCTTCACTGGGCTGTGTGAGCAAACCTTGGTTCAGTAACAGGTTCGGTTTTACATTTTCTGTTTTGTAACCTGCCTTTGGACAAGGAGTGCCTCAGTTTCTCAATGGATAAAACTTAGAAATATGGATAACATAAAGAACAAGCTGTCATTAAGTGGTTATTGAAGCCACCATGGTTATTAAAGTTTTATGGTGACCAATAAGGCCAAAGTATGGCATCTCTTAGCCAGTTTTCAAAACAAGGAATGGTAGCATGAGCTTGGAGGAAGAGACGCAGAAGGAATTCCTTTGCCCCTTAGGAAGATGCTTCAACCCCAAGAGGCTTTTATTAGAATACACATTTGACGACAACTGCTCCATGTGATTTCATTTATTTTACATGAAGTAGTTGGATTGGGGAGTACTTTTTGAATATAACATGCAAGTAAATGCAAACTAGAAACCGTGTGTATAAAATATACTGTGATAATGTGTGGATTTAGTAGACAAAAAAATTAACCTAATTTCAGACAGGTTGGAGAGGATGTGCTCCAATAAAAACTATGATTTCTGCTGGGCGCGGTGGCTCATGCCTGTAATCCCAGCACTTTGGGAGACCGAGACGGGCAGATCATGAGGTCAGGAGATGGAGACCACCCTGGCCAACGTGGTGAAACCCCGTCTCTACTAAAAATACAAAAATTAGCTGGGCGTGGCAGCGGGCTCTTGTAATCTCAGCTACTCTGGAGGCCGAGGCAGGAGAATTGCTTGAACCCAGGAGATGGAGGTTGCAGTGAGCTGAGATTGCGCCACAGCACACCAGCCTGGCAAGAGAGCGAGACTCTGTCTACAAACAAACAAACAAACAAACAAACAAAAAGCTATGATTTCTAAAGTGAAACAGGGTGGATTCCAAGGCTCATTTGTTTTAGGATACTTTAACTACTACGCCCACACTAAGAGTTTCTTCTCTGCATATGTGGTGGGAACCTTGGTGTACAGTGTGGTTTTGTATAGCAAACAAGATGCATGTGTGTGTAAGAATATATTGCATGTATTCAGTCAGTTATATAGCAAATGGTGAGGGAGAGCTTGCTACGTGGCTGACACTGTTCTACGCACTGAAATGGGGCAGCAAAGAAGACACACGCAAATTCTGTCCTTGCGGATTTTTACATAGTAATTGGGCAAGGAAGGCCTGGAGGAGTTTCAAATAACAAGTAAAATATATAACAGACACAATCAGTTCTGTGTAGAAAAATAGAAGAAGGAAGGAAGAGAGTGTTGGCAGGACTATTTTAAATACAGTAGTCACTGAAAGGTAATTTTTAAACCAAAAATTTGATGAAGCAGAGCTATGAAGCTATGGAAGGGGAAACCTTCCAGGCAGAGGGAATAGCAAGTGTGTGGTCCTGAGCCAGAAGCATGCTAGACCAGTGGGCAGAAGCCAATTGAGGAAGCAGGAAATAGTGGAAGATGAGACTGGAGAGGTAGCAAAGGGCATTGGGGTGGTGCATGCTATGTTTATGCACACATATGTGTGAGGGTGGGGTGGGGAGGGGCTCTGCCCTATTCCCCATTTAAAATTGCTAATGTAAGACTTTTGCAGCAGGTGAGGGGCCTCAAGGTTGCAGATGGCCAAAAGTCAGTATCCATCCTAGCACTGTAAGTTATCAGAGTTTGCAGAGTTTTATCTGGTAAAGCATAATACGTATGGTATGAGGAGTAAGTCAAAAGTCAGACTCCTCTGTTTAATACCTTCTAGTCCTGACTCTGTGTCGAAGCATTTTAAGGCCAGTGTTCTTAACTGGCTTAGTATAAATATATTTATTTATATATTTTATAAATGTCATAAGGTGTACTACCACTTTCTACTTTTTTTGTACTTTAAAAAGTGTAAATGTCAATCCCACTTGAATAAATAAGCGAGTGATACACAGTAAGAGGTCATTAGGGCTTATTGATATATGATGACACAACAGTTACATAACATGTAATCCTAGCATCTATCACAACTCTTCATTATGAAGCGCTTACAGCACGCCTCTTGTTTAATCACATCCTTGAGAGAAAGAG
This sequence comes from Homo sapiens, assembly GCF_000001405.40. Lineage (NCBI taxonomy): Eukaryota > Metazoa > Chordata > Mammalia > Primates > Hominidae > Homo > Homo sapiens. The sequence continues at coordinate 127,627,938 of NC_000011.10, forward strand.
GATTGGCAGACATAAGTGTTTTCACATTATATGAATGTGAGCACAAGGAGAAAACTCTGTTTAGAAAAGAACATTTTGTAAAAAAAAGAAAAAAAAGAAAAATCACTTTATCTTTTGAGGTAATGAATATAGAGCACCCAAATCATCGTTTAAAACTGCTGAGTCATTTGCCACTTGAAATGAATTGAAGGCTGTTAAAGGTTTTATAGAAGAATTCATTAAATGTGTATTGAGCCAGCTTAAGATGGAAATTGTTATAAAAACTGGCAACAATTCAAACAGCAAAATGTTTCAGTTTATGGTGGAGATATTTTACTCCCGCCTGGATTCAGTCCTCCATTAGTCCATTCAAACCGGCTGGGCGCGAGTCATCTGTAGGAGGCATGGTAATTGCTGTAATTGCTCACGCCTCTGTTCTGGGAGCCAAGTAAAACATTGTGATTCCAGCCAGGTGTTCCCTCGCCCAGAAGGCACAGGGTGTGCAGTGAGATCGCTATGGTCACCTAAGTGCTGACAACTTCTGACTGTCTGGAGGTAGGATTTGAGACCATTGGAATAAATGCTTGGATGAGCATACATATGCATTCAAAGACACACACAGGCAGAACGGGCAGGAACTGCATGTTCTTCCCCATGTGCTATTTCTAGCTCTGGGGATGAGGAGGTGATGGAAAGGTGGCAGGGAGAGTTGGAAGCATCATGCTATCATGATGACAGCAAATGGCTTGGAATGAAATGGATCTGGATTCACATACCTGTTGTGTCACTCACTGGTTCGGTGACCGTCGTCAGGTTACTCGGTCTTAGCCTTGTGACCCCATTTGTTCATATCACTTTGATAATAATCCCTATTTTGTTCTTAGTAATTCTGCTATACAGATATTTCTGCTATAATACTCTATATGTATTTCTAATATTCTGAAAAAATCGTGTTCTAGAAATAAAATAACAGAGTAAAGCAAATGTAGGGCTGGGGTTAAATGAGTCAAAATCTATGCAATTTGATAACCAAAACACAAAAATTGTTTTTTAAAGTGCTAGCAATTTTAAAAAATTAAAGTCCCAATAAATAGAAAGTAAGTATCATGAGGTTAGGAGTTAGAGACCATCCTGGCCAACATGGTGAAAACCTATCTCTACTAAAAATACAAAGATTAGCTGGGCGTGGTGGTGCGCATCTGTACTCCCAGTTACTCAGGAGACTGAAGCAGGAGTATCACTTGAACCTGGGAGTTGGAGGTTGCAATGAGCTGAGACTGGGCCACTACACTTCAGCCTGGGAGACAGAACAAGACTCTGTCTCGAAAAAAATTAAAAAAAAAATAAGAAAAGAAAAAAGATGAAGATAGCTTGGCAGAAGATGGTATAAGGAAAGGTGGGAACACTGTGTATGAACACAAGGTCAGAATGCGTAAAGACTGGAATAGCCACCCTTCCAAAACAGAGCATGTGGTGAGACAGAGCCAAAAGAAAGAACACGGGATAAATGGGCACTACTTGTAATACTACTCTTTTGTAGCTTGCTACATTCAACTGAGTTAGTGTACTTTGTGTTCAGGTGCTGTTACTTGGTGGCACAAAATTTAGTGGGCTGGGAAAAAATCACTTAGTATCAATGAAACTTCTACATTTTACTGATCTCATTCCACTCTGTGAGTGAACTAATTTGCATTGTTAAAAAAATAAGAAAGATGGAGAGAACAAACTGTACTTAATGTATACTTCTAAGTGTCATAAATAGTACAGAATTGGGAAGAATGACGTGATGAGGCAGGTGATGTATTAAAGTATTTGGCACAGCGTCTGACACAGAATATATGATAAATATATATGTTTCCTACAGAACAGAAAATCAAGAAGGGTATAAATGTTTAGAATTTTGTGCAGAAAAAGACCAAGAAACCAAGAAGTCAAAAAATCTCACTCTGCTTAACGTTATGTTGGGGCAATTTTAGTGTCAGAAATGTGATAGAAGGTAGCACTGGAGAGAGTAGCTATGATGAAGAGAAAAGCACTGATATCTCTAACTGCTGCAGAGGAAAGTCAACCCACATCGTGATCTACCAAAATGCCTAGATAGCATCTTGACCTCCAAGGTGAATGATGACTTTTCAACTTGCCAAAGAAATCTCTTAATTACAAATTATAAAATGAAGTCTGATATTGAAGGACTTGCTAAATTAGTGAGAAGCATTGTGCCTCGGGTAATTATCCATACTGGAACTCTAGTGAAAGGAGTTTTATTTCCATCTTCTGCTCTCATAAAGCCTTTGGTATTGACATATATTTTCACTTAATATCTGGCCTTGAGTTCTAGATTCAAACTTGAGACAATGATAATGAGAGTCGATGCTGATGAGAGCAAATATATTGTATAAAATGATCTTAGTTTATAAAGCATTATCAAATTCCAATTTTATGTGGAATTTGGGTGGAAAACATAATGGGAAATATTTCCATCCTCTAATTTACTGTAGACAATACGAACATAAGTTTTTTGTGTTTGTTTTTTAAAAGATAGGATCTCGTTCTGTCACCCAGGCTGGGATATAGTGGTGTGATCATAGCTCACTGCAGCTTCAAACTCCTGGACTCCAGTGATCCTTCAGCCTCAGCCTCCTGAGTAGCTAGGACTACAGGTGCACACCACCATGTCCTGCTAATTTTTTAATTTGTTGTAAAGACTTGGTCTCACAATGTTGCCCAGGCCAGTCTCAAACTCCTAGCCTCGAGCAATCCTATCTTGGCCTCCCAAAATGCTGAGATTATAGGCATAAGCTACCACACCCAGCCAGCACAAGTATTTTGAGGTGAATTTCATACCATTACACTTACTGACCCAGTTATTTCTACAGAGCAGGTATCTGGAAAATCAGTTCCCCCAAGATGCCCCTCCCACCCCACCACTTCCACAGAATACAGGATAGATAACATAGGTGTAATGCTGTGCTTAGAACAAAGGCACAGCCTCTCATTTTGAGAAACTTATGGTCCAAAGTGTGTCCAAAGAGGAGGATGCTCAGGGGGCAATGGGAAAGCATAGTGGACAGCTTCTCTTGGAGGTCGAGGTAAGGATTTCAGAGGCAGAGCATCCTGATGGAGATCAAGTGAACCGGATGAGCAAAGACAATGAGGTCTGAAACAACGTGGTGTAGAGAAGGAGTGCAAAAGCTTCAATATTACTGGAACACAAAGTGCAAGGCAAGGGGCTGTCAGCAAATGAGGATAGATAAAATATGTAATAAAGGCTACATCATAGGGCTTTGTTTGCAATGCAAAAGAGCCCTGTGATTTTTTTAATGTAATCTTGTAGCCATTAGGACAAAACCGAAGAGTGTTAATTAGGGAAGGGAAATAGGTCATTTTGTGATTTAGGAAAGCTAAATGCTCTGATGAAGGAGACTAATCAAAATAAAGTTACATTTTGTTCTTCTGCAAGCTAAAGTTATACCTAGCTACTAGTCCCATGCTCTAAGTGCCTGGTAGCTAACCTGCCTTCCCTACCCTCATTAATCTTCCTGTCTCATCTTTCTCAGCTATCTATCTTCCTCCACCATTTGAAATGAGGATCTGTCAAAATTCAACATAATCAAGTGGCAAGGGGTATGACATCAGGGTGTGTCATGCACTGTTATGAAATAGGGAAAAAATGGTCGGAGCAATCATCATGGACTTCACGGAGGAGGGCATTCTTGAAAATGTTACACAACTTGAATAGGTGGAAACAGCAATAGCAAAAAACACTGACGTAGGACCCAGCACTATATTCCAGACTTTATTACTAGTGAATGTGTGGCTGTTTTTGAGGTTATTTCATCTCTCTGCAAATCAGTTTCAGTATCGTTAGAGTGTTAAGGCAGATAATTATTAAAACAGCTTCCAGTGGTGGCTGGTCTGTGTGTTTCCCTAAAGGGAAAGGAGTGTGGAGGATGTTGGTTCTTGCTGGATAAAGAAGGAGATTTGTCATGGGACTAGCGGAGTGTAGAGAAAGGAGAAACGGCTGCATTTGAAAGACTGGAAGAAGGTCATTTAATGTCCTTCACCATTAAAGAAGCTATGCCATTCCAAACTAGCTCCCACTAAGGAATGGGACTTGGTCCTTCCAGAATGCTCAGCTTTGGTGAAAGGTTATTGGAGCCTTTTCCTGAGTCTGATGCCTGGAAACAAGCTTCTGAGCTGGATGATGTCTGCTGAACTCCGGATGCAAATTACGCTCTGCACCTCACGTGACTGCTATTTTTAGCCCTTTCAGTATGTGATTTCTCTCAAGGACAACAGGAATGTTCATAAACTATGCATAGGTCATGATGGTGCTTAATGGAGAAATAACCATTTGTTAAGAGAGCATTAAATGTTTAATAGTCCATTAGCATAAAATCTTTTAAAAATTATTCGCGGATATTTTCAAATACTCCTCCTTCCCCTAGCCAGATGAGCGCTGCGGTATTGAAATTCATAAAGGTGCCTAGTCTTTTGACCCTAGCAAAGTCTAGTAGGTTTTTCACCTAATTCTCTGGAAATGTCAAACTTAATCACTCTATAATTATCAGTTAAACAGTCAGCTGTATCTCCTCATGGGCCCTTTGCATAAACATTTAGAACAATTAGAGACTGAATCACTGTGCGATCCCATTATGAGTGGAGTTGGAATGGATTTGCCATTTCTTGTTTAAGAGGCGCCTCTGACAGTTATAAGGGCTGCACAGCTCGAGCTGCTTGGAGGAAGCCAAGCACTCCTGGGTCCTATGTATGCATCTGTGCTCCGAATGACTGGCCATGGAGTTAGATTTTACCTCAGTATATCTCAGCAAGGGGAACTGAAAGAGGGTTGATAGGAACAGGAGGCAAAAAGAGAAAGAAGTGGGTGGTGTTGCTATCCAGAGCTTTGCCAATCAAGCTGAGAAGAGCTGGAAAGTAGTAAGAGCCAAAATCTCTCCATGCCAAATCTTCCCTCTCCCATGGCCAGTTCAAGCAGGACTCATTTTAGTCCAGGAAAAATGAGGTAGAGATGTTCAGCAGCGCAGAAAAGGAGGTCAGTTCAGACCAGGTACATTTCAGACCAGTTAAAAAATGCAGCATTTCCTCTTTCCAGGCCATTCTTTTCTAGAGCTGGGCTTCCTCCTTGTCTGAGGGGAAGCAATCTGAAATTCAGAATCCTGGAGTGTGAAGACTGACTCCTGAATCTGGCAGGGTTAAAACACCAGAGTCCATGGGTAAAGCCCTATTCTCGATTCCCATGAGACTGAGGGGAATGCATTGCAATGCTATGACTAGATAATGGAATGAAATATTCATTATTACAGCAACTTTTGTTTCTTCATAGCCCTTGTGTCTCCATTTTATAAATACCTCCAGAGGCTTTAAACAGGGAGTATTTCTGAAAGATCAATAATAATTACAATTGTAGAGAAGAAAACAGATCAAAAGTTGGCATTGCCTTTTGAATTGGACTAAACAGTGAGAGTCATAGATCACAGATATTTAGACTATTCAGACTGGCAAGGTCCTTAGAGATTGGCTAAGCTGACTCCTTTGTTTTGCAAATGAGGAAATTTACACAGGTTACATTACTCCCCCAAGGTAACAGCTCTAGTTGGTGGCAGGGCTGTTCCTAGAAAACAAATATCCCTACTTCCAGAGGAGACATTTCATGATCAGGCTTATTTGTTATCAATAACAATCAGAAAAATAGCAATTATATTTCCCCAACTAAACAGCTTGGGGTAATTTTGTATTTCGAATGGAAAATGATTAATACAAACCTAAGAAAAAAGAGGGTGGTCATGTATAAAAATATGCTTTTTAAAAATACTAAAAATGGTAAAGTTGAAGCTTTGGGGCTCACATTAACATTTTCTTGGACAACTGGAGATACGATTTAATTAACATCATTGATGTAATTATATACACACATATATATTTAACAAACCTTAGCTACATGCATTTATCATATTGGCAAAATGAAGCACATGCTGCTGTATTGAGGCCTTTAGTAATTATATTATTCATGCTCCTGATACATTGTAATGTTTTCTATCAGTTTATATTTGTCTTTCTGCATCTCAAATGCAAAACAACCTCCCTTAATGTTATGATGACTTACAAATCAGAATATATTTATGTCACAACATGCAAAATTTAAGATTCAAAACCTTGGAAGTTTAATAGACTTATTTATATCTCTGAATATAGAACAGACCTTTTCACATTTACTAAATTCTGTATGTTTTAATTTGCCAATGTAGGTCTGTTTTGAAATACATTTCCAGAGTTGAATATTCATTTTTAAGAAAAGTAAAATGATTTCAACTACTTAATTGCGTTCCCATTTAGATGACCTCTGTAGGCGTGAAGTTAATACCTTACCAAAATGAGTGGGTGAAGGAAGGGACAGCTCACATTATTGATGTTCACTGCAGAATTTTATTAAATACTAATATCTTTGTCTTGCTTCTCCTTTTTCTACATCTTTTCTCCCATTCTCCTTCAGGAGAAAGTCTTGGAAAAACCCATTCAATATGGTATTTGACTACCTTTTTACCTCAGTCTTGGGAACAAAATGGAAATGACTAAAAAGTAGTTATCTTCTACCTTTCTCTGTGATACCTTAACCTGCAAAAGGCTGCTATTCATATTAAGAATAATGAGAATTGAGGTGAAATCTTGATAAACTGTATCTATCTCATTTACCGCCTCTCCTGATCCATGTAAAATTATTATAATGATTACATATTAGGACTTTTTTTCTAGAAAAAAAATAAATTGCCTTAACTAAGATACTGTCTTATAAGTCTTCATTCTTCTTAGTACCTATCTTGTAACATAGCCTGTATGTTTAGTAAGTGCTTTGAGAAACTTTTGATAAAGAAAGATCTCATAGAAGCACTACATTCCAAGATGCCTGGAAATGTGTTTCCCTGGAATAACTTGCCTTGCCATCTATAATCATACAAGTATGGATCATTCATTGGGGGAAACAGGGAGTACACTGTCTAGGGTTACAAATCAATAGGCATGTCTCCATTTGTATACTAAACTTGCCTCCACAGTGGCCTTGCAGGTAAGAATTAATCAGGGCCACAATTACTAATGTCATTTCTGCACTGTATGTACATGAGTGTACCCAAACAAAATGTTTGGATATGAATATTGACTGGGTTGATTGGCATGTACGCACTCTGCAGGGCTTGGGAAATATGAGACTCCTCTTCTAAGAAACCAGAGGTGCCAGATAAAGCATATGAATGAACAATGTGATTAAGAGCATTAATCCTATTGAGTTTCAAGCTTTTCCCCATAATCTTGATACAAGGTAGGAAGGCCTAGCAAGCCAGAAAGAAACATTTGGGGGTGTGGTGGATTACTTTAAGCCCATTGGAAAATTGATTTTCAAAATACAAGTGTACAAATAAATAGTAGACCATGTCGTCTCATTCATTTACTTGTTAATTCATGCAATAAATGTTGTTGACTACCTGCTACATTCCAGGTCACCTTTCAGGCACCCAAATAGGGCAATGAACAAAACCAACAAAGACTGACTCTTGTGGGGCTTCTATTCTTTTCAGGAGGAAAGTTAGTATTTGTCAGCGTTGTTAACGATACCTAGGCAAAGTTTAGAATAACAACTAGTGACAGTCTAGTAACAATTTACAAATTTCTAGATTATAAAGTTTTCCAGCAACATAGTGGCATTTTATATTCTGTTGCTGTTAATTGCTTTGTTTGTCACTGGCTGAATCCCGGCCATCTGCCACTTACAGTTTGACTTGTTGAGCAGAGTTAGGACTTTTCTCTGAGTCCAGCTTCATGTTCCCAAATTCCACGGAGGTTGAACTGAACAGACAGCACTGCATTATTGCCTTCTGTTTGGCTCATTACCGCCATGACCTCTAGATCTCTCTCAGTACCAGCTCTAAATAAATTTAAAACTCGAATCCTTGGACGAGCGTCAGACATTGAGAAAGAATGTGGAGTCTGCACTTGACCTCATATCTTTTCATTCCAAGTTTATAATGGACTGAACAAATCTCAAGAAATTTATATCTCAGTTTTATAGAGTTGAAGAGGAATGATCCATGTAAATGAAAATGAGCCTGCGGTCCTTTTGATAGGGAGAAGTTTGTATTGCTGTGTGGAATCCTGGCAGTTGGGCTATTCCCCATTCTGAATTCACATTACCTGAATGCAGAGGCTTGGAATGGTATAGGTGTTTGTTCAGTACCTGGATTTGTGATTTATCAGAGTGAATGTGTCCCTCCAAAATTCATGTGTTGGTAACTTGGTCCCCCATGTAGTAGTGTTGAAAAGTGAATGGGACCTTTGGGAGGTGACTGGGTCATGAAGGCTCTGCTCACATGAATGGATTACTTCATTCCTAGATTAATGGGTTATTGAGGGAGTGGGTTAGTTATCATGAGATTGAGTTTGTTATAAAAGCTAATTTAGCCATCCTTCATGAGTCCCCTTGCCATGTGATGCCCTGTGCCACCTGGGACTCTGCAGAGTCCCCACCCTCAAGAAGGACCTCATCAGATGTGGTCCCTAGATCTTGGACTTCCTGGCCTCCAGAACTATAAGTAAAATTTTCTTTATAAATTACTCAGTTTCAGCTATTCAGTTATAGCAACAGGAAGTGTGCTAAGATCCAGAGATTTGCTTGTATCTGTTTAAACAAATTATGGTCCCACGTGGAGAAAAGTGATTGCCTCAGTACCAAATGTCCCTAATATTATTGGCACTGCAGTCCTGGTCCCAGACACACTGCTGTATCTTCCAGCCTTGATATGGTCTTATCAGCCAGTGAGGTTGTCTTGCAAAAAAGGAGAACCTCCTGGAGTCCTTGCTCAAACTATCAATAGTTGTTATTATTCCTTTAAAGAAAAAAAGAAAAAAATAAACCTCCACAAAATATGTTCTGTTTCTGAACTTAAATCCTTTATAGCCTGAGAGGCAAATGGGAAAGGTAGAGCTGGGTTTTCTTTCATTGAAGTTTTTGATTCATCTCTACACTTTACTGGAACAGTAAGTGTATCAGCTCATGTCCCTACAGTCCACTTAATGTGGCACAACATGAGAAGCCTGTAGCCATGCTACTGCCATTCCTCACTGTGATCTTTTAACAAAATCCTTACCACGTCTATGGTGCACACACATGAACAATAGTCACAGTGCAAAACATGGGGTGTATACAGCTTTTAAAAACAATTAACTCCACTCCAGAGACATTGAAGGGAGAATGTAGGCTATCAGATCTTAAAGCCTGGGCATCTTTATGGGAAACTGTGGAATCAAGATTCAGCCACTGTGATGCTCAGTGTAAAACTACATGTGGTATTTAAAAATGGGGGAATCACAGGAATCTTTTGAAATTACAATGGTTATTTCTTCTTTCTAGGAAGGAAATTGAAACAAGGAGAGAGTAATTCTCCTTGTAAACTGTTTCTCTGCATTTTAGCGTATTGCGTCCATCAGCCAAGGCATGTTTACCGAGCATGTGACCCTGGGCTATGTTCTGGAATACAGGGGTGCACAAGACTTACTAAACCCTGGCCTCATGGAGGAGATACAGATACGACACAAAGAATTACACAACTTGAGACTTGATTGCAATTGTGTAAAATACCCAAAGACAGTCCAGGTTGCTACAAGAGTATTTGTTTAAAGAACCTAATGGTGTCTGATAGTCAGAGAAGGCTTTCTTGAGGAAACAATATTTGAGATAATACTTGAAAACGTCCTTGGAGTTGACTTATTCCTTATTATATGTTGGTTGATGTAAAGAAATTCCATAAATTTAAAGTCTTTTTGTTTTCTTTCCACAAAATAAATGTTTTCAAGAGTAAAAGAGGATGCTATATTCTATTGGGCTAAACATTGACAGTACTTATTAGACTTAAAATAAACACTCACAGTATATTATAAAGGAAGGCATTTTTTAGATTTATCTCCATCTCTGGGTTGTTTCATTCACATCAAATGAGTACATGGCGATGCCACCCATCTCCTCTTTGAAGTAGAACAGAAAGTTTCCTGTGAATGTCATTTTGGTAGCAGTGGTTCCAGACAGATGCTGGAAAATTACTGGTGTTCCTAGAACCATCAGTCTACTATCACCTTGATTCAGGACTCTGACACCATCACCAGGATTAGGTCATTCGCCTGTTGGTTGGTCTCCCTGACTCGAGTCTCTTTCCCACTGAATCCATTCTCTGTATTACTGGTGGGTTGCTTTTTCTAAAAGCAAGGCTAAGGATGATGATGCCCCTGATGGTAATACTGTTTCTTAAACAATGTTAGAATGCTGCTCAGGATCGGCCTCTTTCCCTGCCTCACCCTGCAGTAAATTCACAAAAGCCCCAAATGGCAGCTACGGAGAACTGTTTGCAGTCGCTTGAGCATGCCATGCTCTCCCCACACCGGCACCTTTACATACACCGTCATATCCACCTGAAGAACTCTTCTTTGCCTTCATTCTCTATCTTATTAACTCTTACTTATTGCTGAATACTCAGGCCAAGTTAAAGTCTTTTCAGGGAATCATCCCTTCCTGTTCCAGTCTGAGGGAGGTGTCTGTCCTGTGTGTTCTCCTTGCACTGGATACATTTCTGTCTTCTGGACTAATAACACACCAGCAATGTGATAAACATCAGCCACATGTGGAAATTTACATGTTTAATAATGAAAGGTAAATACAATTTTAGTTTCTCAGCCACATGAGGTATATTTTACATGCTCAATAGACATGGGTGCTGGAGGTCACATATTGGACAGCACAGACATAAAACCTTTTACCATTGCAGAAAGTTGTATTGGACAATGCAAGACAAAAGGTTCAGAACATTGTTGTATCTCCCTCTTTGAACTTTGAACTTCTTGAAGTCACATGTGTATCCCCAACAAAAGCAATGCTCAATAAATATTTGCTGAAAAATTTTAAATTGAATATTATTAAGATCTGAGTTTCATATGTTCTGTTATTGCATGTAAGCAATCAAGCAATCACAGTCTTTTTTTGCTTTCTTAATCTAACAAGAAAAAACTTGGGCCAAAAGGGTTTCTAGACAGGCAGGATGAAAAGTTAGAAACAATAAGCAGGGCAGAGATCTTGGTATATACGTCTTGCCTCAAGCTCAGGAAAAGATGAAGCCTCTACTCTGATGCCAAATTAGTGAGAAGAAAACAGTAGAAGTTTAGAGTTTAGTAGCAGGTACGAATATTGCTCACAAAAGCAGGCTATATCATATCTTCTACAAATGACATCTATTAAGCAATGTTACTTTTAGTTGGAAGGTGATACTAGTGGTAGCTTACATATTTAGTTTTAATTCTAAGGGGAGAAACTGAGGTGATGGAGCCGTTTTACATCACTTACCAGCCATCACTCCAGTGATTAGTTAGTTTAAAGATATTCTTTTGGCTGGGCATGGTGGCTCACACCTGTAATCCCAGCACTTTGAGAGGCCAAGGCAGGCAGATCACAAGGTCATGAGTTTGAGACCCTGTCTCTACTAAAAAATACAAAAATTAGCCGGGCATTATGGCACATGCCTGTAGTCCCAGCTACTTGGGAGGGTAAGACAAGAGAATCGCTTGAACACAGGAAGCAGAGGTTGCAGTGAGCAGAGATTGGGCCATTGCACTCCAGCCTGGGTGACAGAGTGAGACTCTGTCAAAAAACAAAAACAAAAACAAACAAACAAACCACAAGCAAAATTAAGATGTTCTTCCAAGTATGGACTGTCCTCTGGGGTTATACAATGTCCAAATCTAGGAAGATCAAATTTCATAATAAGCAAGGCAGATCTATTTTCTACAGCAACGTAAGGGAGCGTTTGATCTCTGAAACCTGTTTGAGGGTTGCTGAGCCCTCAAACAAAAAGAAGCTGATCCTGAAAAGAAGGAAACATTAAGAGTTAAGGAAACTTGGTTTTGGTTGCTGCTTTTGTTTTCTGAATACAACTGTACTGTATAGACTGCTAATTCTGCCCTTAGTTTGTGGCAAATATTCAAGGATCCAATTCCTATCCTTTTCAAATTAGGTATCCTTGTGAACTGTAATTGCTCTTTCAACTGTCTTTTGAAGGATGCCAATGGTAATTATTGTAGCTTCCAAAGTTTGAAGCCCTGGAGTGACTCCTACATTTGAATGACTCATAATGATTGACAGATTTAGCTGGCTTTATACGGCTTAACAGTTAGTCACCCCTTCCTCTGTGTTTCTTCCTCCATTGACCTTGGATGGAATTTTGCTTAATTAGGAGAAAAGTTCATTCTATGATTACAACTCTGGGTATAGCCATTTGGCAAGAAAACCAAGCTACTTATGAGATACTACTCATATCGTTGATTGAGTTTAGTTTATCCCAGTGACAGTCAATCCCAGAAAGTGTTTTCGGGATCTTAAAAAATGGAAATATTAGCAATGATGACAGAAGGAAATACAAAAAAACAATAATCAACCTTAATCCCAGCACCCCAAACCATCATTCTTACAAGTGCCTATAATGTTTGAGTCTACCTACATGCATACACATTTTATCAGTTGTAGTTTACATATTACTTTGCATTCTGATTTTTTTTCACTTACAATTCTATTTCAAACATTAAGAAATTCAGTTTTAGAAAGCCATAACACTGGTGTTTCTCTGCAGTAGTCTGAAGAGGCATTTACTGCCTGAGGAATCCCAACAAATCATTTCAGGCTTCTGTCAATCTCCGATGACACCATTTAGGAAGAAGTAGAGGTTAAGAAATAAAAACTAATGAACCCTGCAAGGTAAGAAGACAACAGATTTGCCAAGTGCTGTTTTCTGACAAGGCCTCTAGAGAGGCTAGGATGAAAGCCACTCAAATTACTGAAAGCAATTTAAGAAATTGGAGACCTTCAAGTATGGGAAAGGGAGATGTAAAGAATAGTGTGGTCTGGAAGAATCTGTTCTGTTTGCTCAAGAATATGTGGTAAAGATGGTTAGCAAAGTAGATTTGTATATTTCATAGAGTACCCTGTTGGTCTGGACAGAGGGAGACTGCTAGTCACATTGCATTTGAGGGGGAAGTGCAGATTTTGCATTGTACATCTGAAAGTTTCTGTGACAGGGCCCTCTCTTATTACTGCCTAAATCAGCCATTTGTCCTTGTCCTGACCTTGCAAAAAAGGGTGTTTACATTGTCTGCAGCTGTCTGAGCCATAGTCTTTCTGAGACACTGTCATCCTTGTGAATGTGGCACTGCTGCCTGGAATAGTAACATAGCAGACACATGTGTGCATGCTTGTGTACATATGTAGTCTTCCTATCAGTTCAAGGGGAAAAAGGGGACAAACTTCCCACCTGTTCTCTTCTCTCATGCTGGAGTTTTTGCTTAGGATGTGACTCATGAGAAGAGGGAAGTCTAGGTTTACAATACAGCTGGTAGACAGAGGGGAAACCCCAGAAGATTTACTGCATTCTTTGTTTTGGTGACTGAGGCCACAGTAAACTGAAATTCAAATGTTGTCCTTATGATCAGTGGGTTAAAATGAGAGAGAAAGGGAAAGAGTAAGCCTCACCTTTCTTTGGTTAGCTTGTGTGTCCCTGGAACATCTTATTTTATTTGTTTACAGTAGGGTAAACAAATTTAAGCTGGCAAAAATCATCTGCAGCGTAAATTTCCAGAAAAATTGAAGGGTGATTTTCTCACAATTCCAGGCACCTGGAATATGCCACATTCTTCCCGTGTGTCCTTCCTATTTTTCATTCTCTGCTTCTTTTTCTAAAATACGGGCTCTCTAGGTGCCCTCCAAGGTTTCTTGCCATTCTAACATTTTATTACTTATGATTGGCCCTGCACAGTGAGGATGGTGACTTAGGTAGAAACTACTGAGAGAAGGGGAGGAGGAACTAAAATTCATTAAGGGCTTGCAGTGGGCTGAGCACCATGTTAAGCATGACGTCGATGTGATATTCTTTAATCCTTAACGATGGGATAAAACGTCTTTCTCTCATTTTTTAGATGAGAACATTAGCCAGAGATAAATAACTGTTCAATGTTTTCCAGCTATTTGGCTATATAATCAGGGAGGGAGCACAGCTTTCTTTGACTCCCAGATCCAACCCTTTTCTAATCTGGCTTTAGGAGTAACATGTTGCCCTGCGATGCAAACACATAGTTCTGTACCAGACCCTTACGCAGGACCCTCCGATTTGAGGGAGAGGAACAGAAAGCAACATAGTGGTTATGAGAATGGGCTTTGGACTCATCATGTCATCTGCATAGACTTCAGAGAGAAGGGCTGAGAACAATCTTAAACAATACTAAAGATGTTATTACTAGTGAGAATCTCATAATCCCATCATCTGAAGGCAGTTGTTTTAATTATTGCATGCTTTACACATACATGATTACTTCATATATTTACAATTACAGTCTATATGACACTTGTTCTGCCATTTTTAAGATTAATATTATTTCATAAACACTTTGCAGGGTGCTTTAGTTATCCAACATTACCCAAGTTCTACCCCTCATTCCTTCTACTCTTCACACATGCGGAACATATGGCAAATAATAAAGCTACTTGAGACCAAATGACAGGTAGTTTTTGTAATACATTTCTTTTTGGAATAGGTTAAAAATGGTACATATTGATTCTATAAAAATTAAGACATTCAGGGTTTGAGCATGTTCTGACTAATAAGTGGGAGCTAAACATTGAGTATACACAGACACAAAGACTGGCACAATAGATGCCGGGGCTGTAGAGAGGGGAAGGAAAGGAGAGAGGCAAGGTTTGAAAAAGTACCTATTGGGTACTATGTTCACTACTTGGGCAACGGATGATTGGAAGCCCAAACCTCAGCATCATGCAACATACCCATGGAACAAACCTGCACGTGTGCCTCCTGAATCTAAAACAAAATAAAAGTAAAAATAAAATAAAATAAGACATTCAAGATTTCAGTGATCTCTCCCTATATATAGACATAGATATGGATGATATAGATATAGATAGAGATATAGATATTCTTTCTGAACAAGGCAGTTACAGTTGATTCACTTTGCAAGGAAGTGAACCCTTGAGTCATTGATCATATAGGTAAGGATAATGTCACATCTAAATTTCATTAATTTTATAAGAAATCTATACATTTTTATCTTTTTCATATATGAACCTATGTTATATATCCATAAAAATTTGGAAAGCAAAGCCTTCAGTTAAAGCTGAATTCTAATAAGAAAAAATAACTGGCATATTATGTGGAAGGAAAAGCCAGGCACCATCATTTACTGTAACAAGTTTGCGGTATTAATTTGACAAGAGTATTTTGTGCAGATGAGAGGGAGACACTTTGATGTGTGCCATTGCCCTGACTGACCTAGGCCTGCAAGATAATCAGTTTCCACTCCAAAAGTTTATAATCTCAGGGCTGTTCTATTTATCCCCAGAGAATTAGCAGAATGAAGTTATCTAACGGCAGCAAGGTTGCATCCCACAGCTGCCCATAGGTTCACAGCCAAGATGAGCTACCCAGCAACCTCAGATCCTTAGAGTTTTGCCCTTGCCCTCGCTGGCTAAGGTCACTTGTTTTATAATAATATTTATTGCAGATTGGATCTGTCTGGTTTATTGTTCTGCAACAACCTTCTGGATCTGTCTGGTTTACTGTTCTGTAACAACCTTCCTAATCATTTTTCCTTTAACCATGTCGTCTGATGATCACAAATGGCCTCAGGATTAGACAGTAACTGGAGGGCTGAAAAGGTGAGTCAGCTACTGAGCTAGCCCTCTTCAGCCCCTGCAAGAAGCAGATGATAGGAGCCCAGGGGATCTGATCTAAACCTGTGCTCTTTTTGGGTGTGGATGCAGGACTTTTCTGGCAGGGAGCAGTATCTGTCGTGCACAGGACCTAGTCAGAGCCCTGCCCGACTTATCAGGGAAACAGCTGGCCTCCATTACAGCACTAATCAACCTAAACAGGCCCTGATTAAGGTGAACCCTCAATGCCACAGATGGTTAATTCCTGGGCACTGCCCAGCACTTGACTCTGAAGTGCTGAGCTGTAGAAGAAACCTCTCTTTCCAGAAGCCACAGGCCCTAGCAAGCTGTTCCTAGACTGGTGATATGTACATGGATAAACTCAATGGACCTTGACTCCATCTCCTGCTCAGGAGAGCTTTGTCCTGAGCTTCTAAATTTCTTCTCTCAGCCCTTAGCAAAGAATGATCAATGGTCTTCTCATTTCCATTTCTATCTGTTTTGGCCCCAAATGGCACGGTAACTGCTCCTCAAAAACAATGATAAGATGAAGGGTGTCTGGCCCAGCCCAATATATCTTGTGAGAGAACTTCAGTGTCTCCGCAAACCACAGAGCCTTTGCCTAACACGATGTCATGATGGAATGGAAGGGGCTTACGTTTACAATCAGATTGGATTCCACATTCCAGCTATTTCATGTAACATTTTGTGATATTAGACAAATCACATCACTTGACTGTTTCAAATTTCTAACCTACCAAAGAAAGCTAATAATACCCAATTTTCAGAGTAGTTGTTAATAATAAACAAGACCAATTACAGTGCCCGATATGTAGTAAGTTCCCAATGAATATTAGCTTGTTAATAAGCTAATATTAATTAGCTTATAATTACTTAATTATTAATAAGTTAATAAGCTAATAAGTTGTTAGCTGATGTAATAATTTATAAACCCCAGGCCTGTGTAGTATGCTTAATCCATGTTAATTATATTTACTAACGTTCATGATGTTACGCATCCTTTGTAATGATATTCATATAAGAAAATGATGAAACCTCAAGAAGCGGCTGACTATGTAGTAACCTGAGAGAGAATAGAGGTACTTGTAGAAAACTGAGGGTGGAAAGACACAGTGTGGCCCACATTGGGCAGAAAGACCACTCTCCACTCTTTTGGATATACAAAGACTTAGGAATGTGCATCCCCTTAGCAGAGTGAATGTCAAAGCCTGGACCTTGGGAAAGGAAACGCCAAATAGTATACTCTGAAATTGACAAGAAAGCTGCCTATGCTCAGGGTAGTTTCAGCTAAAAGCCAGAAGAAATGTGCATTGATTGCCAAATAGCAGTAGCATGTTAATTTCCAGATACCAAAATGAAGTCTACAGATGTGGATCAGGACAGGAAAATGGATGTCAAGATAGATAGAAAACATGTAATCATAATTAGCAGAAATAATTAAAGAAAGGAGTGGAAATAAAGTGTGTTTGGGAAGATTTGTTATGGCAAGTTCTCATCAAACACCATACATAAGTTCTTGGAAACCATAACTTTAGGCAAAACATCAAATAAAAACCCATTTTACCATAGGCTAATTGATATAAACAGGAGTTAAATTCCTATGGCATATTTTTACTCACAACAATATCACAAAACTTCTAAAGAAAGACCAAAAATACTTCTAATATTAAACATTGAAATACGTGTGAGCTATACAGACACTTAAGATTAATACAAACAAGTAAGATAATTATTTACCCAGTTTTTGGTGAACCAATAAGTGACAGTGGTCATAGTGGCGGTGGGTCAAATCAAAGAATAAATGTTTGCAAAGTGAACACTGTCAAGGGTACTTCCTCCTGTAGACATTACAAATTTCTTCCTCTTTTTTTGTTTGAGATGGAGTCTTGCTCTGTTGCCCAGGCTGGAGTGTAGTGGCAGTGATATGATCTCAGCTCACTGCAACCTCTGCCTCCTGGGTTCAAGTGATTCTCCTGCCTCAGCCTGCCGAGTAGCTGGGACTACAGGCCTCTGCCACCACGTCTGGCTAATTTTTGTATTTTTAGTAGAGATGGGGTTTCACCATATTTCCCAGGCTGGTCTCAAACTCCTGACCTCAAGCGATCCACCCGCCTGGGCCTCCCAAAGTGCTGGGATTACAGGAGGGAGCCACCATGCCTGGCTGACATTACAAATTTCTATTTGACAATAATTTGTATTCGTTCATTCATTTCCTAACTGGCTTATTCCAGTTTGGGGTTGAGGGTCGCTGTAGTGTGTCCCTGCAGCTCAGGGCACAACGTGGGAACCAACCCTGTCCAGGCCACCATTCCATTGCAAGGAACATTCATATGTACCCACACTCACTCTGAATGGGACCATGTAGACATGCCAGTTCACCAAGTGTGCACACCTTTGGGATGGGGAGGAGATGGGAGTGCCTGGAGAAGACCCAAGCAGACATGGGGAGAACATGCCACCTCCACAGGGACAGTGGTCCTGGCAGGTAAGTGGTGATAATGAAATGAATTTAAACAAAACAATAACCACTAGATAACCTGCTTTATTTTCAAGAGTGATTTCTTCCATATGGCTGATGCTTTACAGATTGTGAAACACTTTTACCCATAGTAGTTATATCATCATATTAATCATGTGATGGACAGATATTTTTCTTCTCCTTTCCTATAGATGAGGAAACTGAGATCCTAAGTGTCCATCTGGTTAGCCCAAGGTAACACAGAGGGCAAAAAGGAGGGTCAGGGCTGGTCTAGGTTTATAAGTTTGAAAACTAATCTTTTATTAAATGTGAAGAGTTGTTCTTTAAGCTGTATTTTTTACTAATATCACCTCTTTACATTTTGGAATCCCTGAAATTCTCCATTGACGGAACACGTGTAGATAAGATTATATTCATGTCTTTAATTGGCTACACACAGATGTACCAGTAAGAGGGAATAAACTATAGAAAAGCACTTTATAAATATTAACTCTTACTGTGTATGAGTAATAGCTAACTTTACAATATCATGTTATTATACAACCACAAGTCATTTGACAATTAGGGTAAGAAAAAAAAAAACAGGAAAGAAAGAAACAAAGAAGAGTACTATGGCCTATTTTTCTGCGATTATATTTCAGCCTAGAGTAGAAAGCACTTGAAAGGCCATGTGGCTGGCAGATGCTTTTATAGGGGAATTTAGGATTCACTGGTGAAATCAGGAATAGCGACCTATGCAATAAATAAATCCTTACCTTGGCCAGTGATGTGAATGACAGCAGGACCCCATCCTGCAGAAGAATAGGGCCCTGATCTAGGGGCTTCAGTTCCCAGCTGTATTCCATGACTTGATATTCATGATACTAATTGGTCTATCAAAAACTAACATTGCATTTGAACTTTTTTTCAGTTTCCTATTTCTATCTCCTTCACCTTTGTACCACCAGCACATTGCTAATGCTGTATTAACCGTCATAAGTTTCTCTCTCTCTCTCACTCACTCTTGCATTTCATGACATGTCTGTTCTTCGATAAAGGCTTCCATGCTTTCCCTATGCCCGTGTATTTTTCCTTCCACTGAACTCATGGAATATCCTGTCTATATCAAGCTTATGCCATCCATAACTTTTTATCTTGTACATATGAATGTATTTACTATTCCTTTACTAAACTTCAGATACGTGAGCAAAGAAAACATAAGTCTGATTTAGTTCTGCATCCCTCTCATGCCTAGAACAGTCACCAGGAAGAGAGGTCCCAATAAGTAGTCATATAACCGCATCTAGAGATGGCATATTTATTTAATCCAAGTCAACACTAATGAATCAAATACCTACTATAAGCGTGCTGCGGTAGGTAGGTGAATATGAGTTCTTTTTAGCGATTATTAAACAGATTCAACCTTGAGCATACACGGGATGTGATTACTCCTTATGGCTTTATCTATGAGCTAATTCTTAAAGGAATTTCTTTTTTTTTTTTTTTGAGGCGGAGTCTTGCTGTGACACCCAGGCTGGAGTGCAATGGGGCTATCTCAGCTCACTGCAACCTCCGCTTTCCAGGTTCAAGCGATTCTCCTGCCTCAGGTTCCCGAGTAGCTGGGATTACAGGTGTGCACCACCACACCCAGCTAATTTTTGCTTTTTTTTTTGAGACGGAGTCTGGCTCTGTTGTCCAGGCTGGAGTGCAGTGGCGCGATCTCGGCTCACTGCAACCTCTGCCTCCCGGGTTCACGCCATTCTCCTGCCTCAGCCTCCCGAGTAGCTGGGACTACAGGCGCCCGCCACCACGCCCGGCTAACTTTTTTGTATTTTTAGTAGAGACGGTGTTTCATTGTGTTAGCCAGGATGGTCTCAATCTCCTGACATTGTGATCCGCCCGCCTCGGCCTCCCAAAGTGCTGGGATTACAGGCGTGAGCCACTGTGCCCAGCCAATTTTTGCATTTTTAGTAGAGATGGGGTTTCGCCATTTTGGCCAGGTTGATCTCAAACTCCTGATCTCAAGTGATCCGCCCACCTTGGCCTCCCAAAGTGCTGGGATTACAGGCTCTTCAAGGCATTTTGAGAAATTGTGGAAGCAGTGGTGTCTCCACTATGCAGATCATTGAGGATTTTTAGGTTGGGCCGTAGAGAACATTCTGGACACTGGAAGACACTTTTTTCATTCTCAAGCTAAGACTGCAGGGAAATGTAAATAAACCTTGTTTATTCTTTATGCTCCAAACTCATTAACTCTAGTTTAAGTTTTCTGCTAATTGTTTTGGTTGAGAAGCAGTATTTTGCTGTTTATCCTTGTGTATCCAGCTAATGCTGAGTTTACAGGTTTGAAGGGGAAGTCACTTCAACACCTCCTTCCTTTCTTCACAGTGAAATATTTTCTCAAGGCGAGGTTTCTGTGTTTATAGTCTTTCTTTGCTACTGTTTAAACCATTTTCTATAGCATTCCCATTAATTGCTTTACTTTGTCTCTTCCACATCTAATGTCATTTACACTTGACCTCATTAATTAATACCTATCCTGCTTGGTATTTACAACATTGATTTCCAGTTACATAGAACAAAAATGGGAAACACACTTTAGAAGGTGGTTCAGGACTCCTCTTCAAAGCATAATAGAGCAGAGGCCTGGCTAGGCTTTTAGTTTCTTTTTCACTTTCCTTTACTGAATTTATCTGAACTCAAAACTAACCATGTCTAATAGGGCTTCATAATAAAGTTGGAGCCCAGGTCATATCTATACTAATTATAAAAATTAACATTGGTAAAGACTTTTACAGTTCACAAAGTTCTTCCACATATGTTATCTTGCTTCATATAACAATATATCAAGAGGATATTATTATAACTATATTACAGTTGAGAAAGCTGAGATTCAGAAAAATTAAATGGCCTACTCAGGTTCATATAATCAGCAAGCTGTAGAACCTGGATTTGAGTCCAGATTTTATCTCAAAAGTCATATTCTTTAATCTATATGACTCTGCATCCTTATGAAAGTAGACTGTAGACTATGTGTAGCAATTCTGTGTTGCCACTGAATATCCAGCAAGTACTAAAATCTACCAGTAAACAGGGCCCCTAAGCAGACTCGAGTTTGTGTCTTCGTGGTTAATATGTGACAGAGGAAGCTTCACAAATCAATGATGAGGGGTCAATTGTTCAGTAAATGGTTCTGGGAAAATAGGCTAAGTTTATGAGGAAAAAGAAATCAATTTAGATCCTCATATAAAACTAAACATCAAAATAAAATCTAAAATCTAGATGAATTAAAGATTCCCATTAAAAAAGAAATAAATTGGAAGAAAATATAAATGAATAATTGTCCCATCCTTGATAAGGCAAACTGTTCATGTTTAAAACTAATGGGAGATATCTCTAAGGAAGCAAACGATATAATTGACTGGATAAAATTTTAAACTTTTTTATGTCAAAACATAAATAACAAATAATAAAAAAAGTGAAAACATTTGCAACATATATGGCAGAAAAGGCTCAATATCCTTAATATATGAAAAGTTTATGTCAATCAATGAGAAAGTAATTAGAACAGTTTAATAAGAAAAAATAAAAGAGAAATATAAGTATGGAAAATGTGTTCAACTAGCAATAAAAAATATGAAATCACAGCAAGAAGTTTCTCTCAAAAATTATATATGTGATGTGTGTGAAGGTCCAGTGAGATAATGAAATATTCCCATTCACATGAAAGACATAAATTGATATGGCCTTTGAAAATGTATTTGAGCAGTTTATTTAGGTTTAAAGAATAGTAAAAATATTCCTGTCTTTCAACCTTATAATACTGCTTGTAAGAATTTATTCTAAAAATAATTAGAGATGTGAACAAAAATGTAAAGTACCAATTACAATCCTGTTTAAGAAGTTACATTAGAAGAGGAACCCTGACTGTCAAAGCCATTATTTTATTCCAACTAACAAGAACAGGACCTTGAACTGTAGGTAAGAGCTTCAAAACATTGGTTGAATCATGGAACTAATGATTTTCTACAACCTATTGCATAATAGTTAAGGAATTATTAATTAAATTGTAGTATATTCATATAATTAAATATACTCACTAAAATCATCATTTAAAAAATATAAATTAAAAATGCTATTGATGTAACAGTTTTGAGAGAACAGGATACAAAATCATACATGCGATATAATACATGCAAATATATATCCAAATACACATACACACAGAGAGAACAGAAAATACCAGATGGAAATATGATAAAGTGCTAACAGTGGTTATTTCTTAGAGTTGGAGTTGTAGATAATTATAATTTTCTTAATAGTATTGTTCTGTATTTCTCGCATTTAATTAAAAAGAACACATGAAACAATCTGAAAAGATTCAAGCTAAAAAGTAGGAGATTATTTCTAGGTGGTGAGACGTTTTCAATTTTTGTAAATTTTCTACAATAAGCCTTATTATTGTTGTTATTATTATTATTATTATTATTATTATTATTTGAGATGGAGTCTCACTCTGTTGCCCAGGCTGGAATGCAGTGGCACGATCTTGGCTCACTGCAAGCTCCGCCTCCCGGGTTCATGCCATTCTCCTGCCTCAGCCTCACAAGCCTTATTATTTTAATCAGAAAAAAATGTTAGTTTTAAAAGAAAGAGATCACCAGTCAATATCATGAAAAGGCCATCCATAAAACTTGTTCAGACTGCATCTCACAGAGTCAAGATTAGAGATAGATGTGTAGCAAGGTGAGACCCTGATCAATCAATTGCATTGATGGTCCTGATTCTTCACACTTCCCTATGTCCATTGCCCTTTCTGGGTAACTTTTAGTGCCTTCACTCACTAATTCCAAGCTTGTCTATATGATTTGCCATGACCAACAGACTTAGCAAATATGACTTAAACAGAGCTTGACATGAGCTTGCACCTTGGGCTCAGTTCTTACCCACTGACACTGCCATGAGAACATATTCCTTCTTTCCTGCTGGAAGAAGAAAGATACATGGCTAAGTCATCACTCACTTTAGCTCAATGATAGCCCACTGCCAGATGTGAGAGTGAATTCAGCTAAGGCCAGAATACCCAGCTAGTCCAGGCTACACCACTGGTCCACAGACATGTGAGCTAAATAAATGTTTAATGTTACGATGTCTTGAGTCATAGGGTGATTTGTTATACAGTACTATTGTGACAAACATGTTTGAGTCACAGGGATATAATGACTCTTTGTTGGTTAGAAAGGTCACAATAAAATTATGCTTCAGTGCAAGGATGTTTAGGCCTCGTTGAAGTCTGCATGAAACGTTTTTCTTGACAATCGACTTCCCATTGTTCAAATTCTTGTCAGTCAACTCATAGCCCACAGTTCATAGATTCTTGGAGGAAAACATGCCTCAGTAAAATGCTTGAACACTGTTTCCTGGAAACATTTTCACGCCAATCTCCATCAATATTAATAAACTAAACTGGCATTCAGATAATTTATATATCTATTGTGTTTAGTTAGTCTTAAAATATCTCTGTGGTTCCAGTAAAATTGGGGCAATGACAAGCTATACTTTCTGAAACTAGGGAGTTGAGACTAGACCCTGAAATCTGGGCAGTGTACCAGGATACTGGCATTGTATGAGGCTTCACAGCAAAGCAAAAACTAATTTTTGCCTGGCTGTTGCTATAATCTTTCCACAATTCTTTAACCTTCAATAGCAAACATTAAACCAAGTTCATGAATCAGAGGAGAGCAAAAATTTAAAGGTAGGAATCCACTACTTATGAACCCATTAAACATCAGCAAGTTTCTATTCCAATACTGTTTCAGAGGAGAAGGACTTAGTCTGAGGGCCACACCAGAGCTGATGTCATCATCTATTTGAATGATATGAGTAATGATAAAAACCACCATTTACTGTTTGCCTAACTAGTATCAATACTGTGCTCTTCTCTTTACACACATGGTATCATAACCCTTTCAAGTAAGAACTATTTCCTCCATTTTACAGAAAATACAGAACAAGTGCATTAGCTGAGGTTTAGAAAGGTTAGAAAACCAGAGCACAAGCTGGTCCGTGGCAGAGACAGGGTTCACAGCCATGTCTATGCAACTCTCAAGTCCATCCCTAAATGCCCAGATCATTCAGCTTCCCATGTGGCTACCCTGGAGTAAGCAGACATGCTGGTTTCCTCTTATCTTGGAAGTTACATTTACCCTTGTAAATCACCAGATTGGCATTCTGGTTTTAGAATAAAATTTAGTTTCTGATTAGCCCAGCTGTCTCCTCCAGGGTCTCTTTCATTTGATACACAATGAGGACTTTTATACTTGCTTTTCATACATATCCAATAATCTTAAAACACTCCAAAATTATAAATTCTCACCTAGCAATCTGTAGTCACTTTAATATGAGGACTTAAAGGACAATGGATTTTCTTTGTGTGCCACTTAACATACAGTACTTTCTGATTCTGTGAGTATAATATGATAATTACAGATGCACACAATTTAATGTTTACCATGCGTTCTTGGTCTCATGAGTGTAAATACAAGAAATATGATCCCTATATAGCTAATAATCCTTATTTTGCATCAGAGTAAACCCCAGTCTGCCCCCACTCAGTTCCCTCCTCTCTTCTTCACCCTTCCCGTTCCCCAGCTTGGGTCAGCCTTTTGGCCAAAGGGAATCCCAATGCAGTGCCTTGCCCTGGAGAGCACCTCCTCATCTCTTGTCTGCTGTGCCCTGGACACAATGAACTGTCTTTTGGAAAGATTTCAGTAAGATAATCACATTAAGATGATATTAATTTACAGCAGCTTACAATCTCACTCACTCTGGATTACAGTCATGCACTGCATAACCATGGTTCAGTCAATGATGGATGCAGATATGACAGTGGTCTCCAAAGATGCCAGTGAAGCCGAAACATTGCTGTTGCCTAGTGATGTTGTAGCCATCCCAAGTCAGGGTACAAATCGCTACACTCGTGTTTATGGTGATGCTGAGGTAAACAAACCTACTGCTCTGCCAGTCATATAAAAGTCTAGCACATTCAATTATGTACGGTACATAATACTTGAAAAGGGATGACTGTTACTGGTTGATTATTTATTATACCTTTTAATCATTATTTCAGAGTGCATTCCTTCTACTTATAAAAAGAAAGTCAACTGTGAAACAGCCTCAGGCAGGTTCTTCAGGAGGTTTCCAGAAAAAGGAATTGCTATCATAGGAGATGACAGCTCCATGCTTCTTATTGCCCCTGAAAAGGTTCCAATGGGATAAGAAGTAGAGGTGGAAGACAGTGATATTGATGATCGTGACCCTGTGTAGGCCTAGGCTAATGTGTGTGTTTATGTCTTAGTTTTTAACAAAAAGTTTAGAAAGTAAAAAAGAAAAATAATAATTTTTAAAATAGAAAAATGCTTATAGAGGCTGGGCGTGGTGGCTCACACCTGTAATCCCAGCACTTTGGGAGGCCGATGCAGGTGGATCACAAGGTCAGGAGATCGAGACCATCCCGACTAACATGGTGAAACCCCGTCTCTACTGAAAAAAAAATACAAAAAAATTAGCCAGGCATGGTGGCAGGCATCTGTAGTCCCAGCTACTTGGGAGGCTGAGGCAGGAGAATGGCATGAACCCAGGAGGCAGAGCTTGCAGCGAGCCGAGATCACGCCACTCCACTCCAGCCTGGGCGACAGAGCAAGACTCCATCTCAAAAAAAAAAAGAAAAAAGAAAAGAAAAAAAAAGGAAAAGAAAAATGCTTATAGAATAAGAACTAAGAAAAATATTTTTATATAGTTGTACAATGTGTGTTTTGAGCTGTTATTACAAGAGTCAAAAAGATTTTTAAAAATTAAGAATTCACAAAGTAAAAAGTTACAGTAAACTAAGATTAACTTATTATTAACCTTAATAATATTTATAAAATTCTTTTAGTAAATTTAGTGTAGCTTAAGTGTCCAGTGTTGATAAAGCCTACAGTAGTGTAGAGTAAGGTCCTAGGCCTTCACATTCACTCCCCACTCACTCACTGACTCACCCAGAGCAACTTCCAGTCCTGCAAGCTCCATTCATGGTAAGTGCCCTATATAGGTATACTATTTTTTATCTTTTATACCCTTTTTTAGTCTTTTCCATGTTTGGATACACAAATATTTACCACTGTGCTATAATTGTCTACAGTGTTCAGTATAACAACATACTGTACTGGTTTGTAGCCTAGAATCAGTAAGCTATACCATATAGCCTAGGTGTGCAGTAGGCTATACCATCTAGGTTTGTATAAATGCACTCTGTGATGTTAGCACAGTGACAAAATTGCCTAATGATGCATTAATCAGAATGTACCCCCATCATTAAGTGATGCGCAATGTATGTGTGTTTTAATAGAGGCAGTGATAAACCTAAAAAGGAACTCTAGCAGTAGAAATCTTAGCATTAAGTGAAAACTTGTGAGGTGAAATACTTTTTAGAATTCATCTTTTCCCGTGTCTTTCAGGTCACTTTGTATAGGTCCTATTTCTCTCAGAGACACCGCATTTTCTTATACCATTAGTGGTGGTTCATATGAAGGCTACAAAAAAGTCAGACTTCCCCCAAATCATGAGAAAGCCAAACTTGATACTCATAACTTTAGATTGCATTCTGTTGTTTTCCTTTAAATTCTGTTTCTGGCACCAACGTTTTGATCTAAGTCAAGAAAGGTCTATGCTTGCCTACTTTAAGATATTTAGAGGAAAATAAGATTTGTTTCATTCATTATGATAAGAATAACACCAATTTAAGTGAACAAGAAACACTGTGTCTACACATGCTCACTTCTCTATCTCCACATCTGAAACCTGTTAGATATATAAATAGGTAGCTATTTGCTGAATGAGTGCATGCATGTATATTTGCACACATACACATATTACATACACACACTTGCTACACATACAGACACAACATACACATTCAATACACAGATATAGACAGGCATATACACTTAACATGAAAACAAAATTATTTCCTGATACTTAGTAGGGAGATATGTAAGTGCCTTGCCACTTAATATATTTTGCCTTTCTGAAAGATCTCAGCATGGGGACAAAATTGTGCCAATTCCTTTTCCTTCTTTACAAAATATTAAATCTGATTAATTGGACGCCTGATCAATTTCCTTAGGAAACTTTAACTTAATCCCCTAAATATTGGCACTAGTTGTTATTTCACAATCCTAAATCTTGAGGAGATCTTGGTGGCCCAAATGCCTCCCTGAGAAACGAGGTCTGGACTAGACCTGGTTTTACTAGGTTTCTCTTTGCTAAAGGATCCGATCCACCCAGTCTATAACCTTCTTTCCCAAGAGCCTTAGGTCATTCAGGTACAGAACTCAACTATCTGCAATTCCAGATTTAGAGGTATTCCTGGAATTAGGACAATAGGAAAGAGGTTGGAAAAGGAAGAGAGTTAAATACAATCCAAATTCCCTTTTACATCTACCCAGTGATGTTTTCATCTCATTTCAGTATTAGAAATTTAAATCAGTACCAAACCCTCAAACTTGAATTATTACATTCCTCAGAAGAGCTCCAACGCAGACACACCATAGGAGATAATAGAATTTCATGAATTTGTCATTCTTTATATAAATCTCTCCAGCAAGTATCTTACTTACAAACACCATGCTAGTTGAAATGGAAGAAAATATTATTTTATTTATTCTCCTTTCAACAGAAGTTTATTGAGCACTTAATATATGCCAAACACTGTTTTGGATTCTATGAATAAGGCAGTAACAAAAGTGTTTTTTAAAATCCCATTAACATTTAGCTTACAGAAAATGAACAAAGAAAAATAAATAATAAGCAAGTAAACAAATACATAAAGCTGTCTAGCATTTCCTCTCCCTGATTGCTGAAGAGAGTATGGAGTAGGGGGCCAGGGAGCTTTCTGTGGCCATTTTGAAGCACATTTCATCTTCTTACAGAGACGTGGATTACATTTAAGGAGTGCCTGGTATGTGTGTTGGTGGTGTGTAGGTGGAAGTTTGTGGGAATGATGTAGGGCTGAGTGGATTAAACACAGCCTCTTCTTTTCCTTCCGTAGGCTGATTTGAAAGGTATCAGCAATGTGCCTTTCTGATACAGTTGCTTCAAAAGGGAAGTGTGGCTCTTTGGCAGGCTATGAATCCTGCCTTTCCTGTTTGTAGGCACAATGAAAACCAAATGAAAGTCAGCTGGATTTTGATAAACGCTGCCAAAAAAGCTGTGCTCCTGAGCTGCTCATCATACTCTTCTCTTTGTTGGGTTTATTTTTGTTTTAAAGACATAATTGTATCTGGCAGGAGCCTGCAGAAACCCCACAGTGGGATAGAATCAATCCCTGTTTTGTATCTCTGTGAGCAAAGCAGACTTGCAAAGCATGTGAGCCTCCACGTGGCAGTTACTGTGTCTGCCCAGTCACCTCTAGTTCAGTCTTCAGTTTTCAGGAGAGAGCTTCATAAACTCACTTCGAGGGTGATAAAGAAGATGACATAGAGGAGTGAGCATGAGTATGAAGATGGTCATTTACAAGTGAAACCTAACAGCTTAGACTAACATAGATCTTGTGCTTGCATATCAATGAATGTGAATTCCTGGGACTTCAACCACATGGCTCAGTGCCGTACCATTTTGTAAGCTCAAAGTTGAATGTAAGAGTATGAGGTGAATGCAAGTTGTTCTAAATTACTTTGTTTGATTCCATGACTCAAGATAATTATTCCTCAATGCAATCTGTGTTTGAAAGCACAGAAAGGCAAACAGCCAGGCAGAGGCAAAATAAATAAATAATAAAATAAAATAAAATAAAATAAAAGGCTCACCTTTCCTTTGAACTAGATGAAGGAGCTCATTACAGAGATTCAACCAGAGTTGACTTCACTGAGGCACCTCTGCTCTGTACAACAATTACCCTAGAAGGAGGTTCCCCATGGTAGTTATCTTACAGAGAAAAGATTGATTAATGATGCTGGCTAATGGAGCTTAAGTGTGCTATGTGAAGACAGTAGGTTGTTGATTCTCATATATTGTCATTGCCTTCGTATGCTTTTAGACTATATTTTTATGCATTAAATTTAAGATTAAGGAAGAAAAATCATATGATTATCCCAAACAGAATAATAATTTGATAAAATGCAAAATCTATTCAACACAAATACTTCTAACAGAATAAAAGAAAACATTCCTATTCTTATAATGTAAATCTATGAGTACTTACCAAAAACCACACTATTTGATTTTCAAAAATTAGAAGCATTCCTGTCAGTGTCAGAAAATAACTTAGGAATATCTGGTACTATCACCCTATCCAGCATTACAGTGGAAATGAAAATACATAGAATGCAATAAGACAAGAAAAGCAAATTATAGATTTTCTCTCCACAGTTGCCCATGGTGAATCCCAGCCCTGTGACTCCGGGGGCACCCTTTGAACTGTCGCAGCCTGCAGTCATTGAGGGGTTTAGCCCCACTGCAGCAATCCAGAAGGTTTCAAGGAAAAGTTCCTTTGCAAAGACATGCAAGAACCCAACAGTACCCATAGGTTGCCTGAGCAAGGCCATCACCCTTACCTACAGCCTCTTCTACTGCTTCTACCAGGGCCATAGCCAGTGCTTTCAGCTCATGACACGCACCTGCATTACCACTCAGGGCTTCACAGTCACAGCAATCTTGCTGCATCTGCTATGGAGTCTTGACCCCTAGCCCGTTGTCTGGCCTTGAAAGCTCTGTCAACATTATTCCAAGACCCAAGAGCAATCATTGGCCCTACCATGAGACTTATTTCCTCTTCTCCTTTGAGAGACCCCTGAGTCTTTAGGGGAGAAAGTGGCCCTGTGTGTAACTGTAACTGAAAGATTTTTTCTTCAAAAACCCCAGATTCTGTTCAGTTTGGTGTTACACACATTTATTTGTGCCACACCTCCTTCACTTAATAAACTCTAATCCACTTATTAAAAAAACTTTTATAAGAAAATATAAGAGTATATATTTACAGTAGCAGAGTACAAACGCACTTCTGGAAAAGATAAAAATCACAATAAAGGGAAAGGTAGACACATTTTACTACATTAAAATGAAAAATATAATCTCAATGACAACAGCTTAAACAGCTGAAAGATACGTTACAAATGGAAAACTTTACTTTGTATGTGACTAACAAAGGTAAATATGTTGAACACACATAAGAGCTCATTGAAAATCAACAAGAAAAAGATGTGCTACCGAATAGAAAAAAGTGTCAAAAGTTTGAAACCAGCAATTTTCATGACAGGAGATCTGAAAGGCCAATATGCATATTAAGGGATGCTCTAGATATCAGGCAGTCCTCACTTTGCACAGTTCTCATATGCCCAGATTTTAGTCACAAAGTTTAGTTAAACAACACAAGTATTCCAACAACATAGTTTAAATTTCAAGCACCAGGGTATATTAACTGTGAGTAATTACATGAAGTACAAACTTTGCTGCTAGTTCTTCAGTTTACCGTGTAAATAACAGAAGCTCATGATGATCAGTGATTGACTATCTCACCTCTTTTTAAGTCTATGAATAATTGGTCATTGCACATCTGTTATCTAATTTATAAACAGTCAACAATCCATATAGTTGTGTGCCACCGCCGCCGCCTCCTGCTCCTTCTGCTCCTCCTCCTCCTTCTTCGTCTTCCTTTTTTTCTTCCTTAGACACAGGGTCTCACTCTGTGGCCCTAGCTGGAGTGCAGTGGTGTAATCATGGCTCACTGCAGCTTCAATCTCCGGGGCTCAAGTGATCCTCAGCCTCAGCCTCCCAAGTAGCTGGTACTCCAGGTACATGCCACAACATCTAGTTAATTTAAATATATATATGTATATTATATATATAATATACATATAATATATAATATACATATATATATGGAGATAGGGTCTCACTCTGTTGCCCAGGATGTTTTCAAACTTCTGGCCTCAAGCAATTCTCCCTGCCTTGGCCTCCCAGAAGTGCTGATATTATAAGCACAAGCCACTGTGCCTAGCCTGTGTTGCTTCCTTGCTAGGAGTAGCACCATGTAACATTTTACAGAGAAGGAATTGGCCAACAAAGATGAAAGTGCAGCAAAGAAATACAGCAATAACATTGGAAGTGAAATTTGAAACAAATATAAGTGGAGTTACAAAGAAGCTAGCTCATGATGGGAGTGCTGACACTGCCACCACTTGAGAGGTTCCAATGTGATGCCAGAGTAAAATAGTGAAGATAAACTTATTGATGTGAATGAGGAGCATGGTTATAATAAAAAGGATAAAGATGTCCCAGAGAAATTGGTGCTGCAAAAAACTTCACCATAATGGACATGTCAGATATTTATACTTTTATCATAGTGAAAGGATAAAATATTCCAAATTTAGAAAGGAGTAGTATGACAATTCACCGAGGGACAGGAAAAATGCTTTCTCTGCATCATGTTACACAACAAGAAAGCACAAGCATTAAACTGCTCTTAATTTGTTTTTAAAGAAATAAAACACTAATTCTCTATTTTTCTAATGTTTTAAATTACTGTGTACTTAGTAAATACTAGCATTACTTTTTTCATTTTTCTATATATTTATAAACAAGAGTAAGAGAGTTTTAAATGTTTTGACAACAATTTTTAAAGGTCAAAGAACAACTTTAATTTATTCCATTGATTATTCAGATCACTTTGCATGGTTTCAGTCTGCATAGTCATTTTTAAAGCCCCACACCACTATGCTACGTGGGTACTGCCTGCACTGTTAATCAGAACAATGCACATCAAACCACCATGAGATACCTTTTCAGATCCATCAGATTAGAAACAGTTAAACATTTGAAATGTACCATTGTATGGTCAGCCTTAACTTCACGGCCTTATAAGAACTGAAATCCCTCAAAGGCAGGAAGAAGCATGGAAACATTAGTACAAAGAACAGGCTGCTGAGATTGCCCCCATATTAGACCAAGTCCCCAGTGAATGCATCAGGAGCAGGTGCACCTAACTTCCCCCAGTCTAGGAATTCTTCAGTGAAGCAATAACTATTGGTTATAAAACAGATGTAACAATGTTGAAACATTGTCAAATGACAACTTTATTATTTGCTAGCTACACTGACTTGACCCCAGACAGCAGTATAAAAATTAGATTAAATATTTATGCAAACCTCAAACCTTTTTTCTAATCTTTGATTATCCAAGGTTTTACTTAGTACCTCCCTCAGGGGAATATATACACCTCATGGACAATCCCAAGTATTACACATTTTTATGACCAAGTAAGATGTATATATCCAATTTTTTTATTATTATATCATAATAAGGGAGAGTCTTGGTATTTTACTACTTCTTCAGACTCATGCAGAATATATTTTTGATAATAACCCTAAAGTGTGTTTATTTTTATCCAAATGTAGATAAGCTATTTTTAAATATTTAATCTGTTGTTCAGGTTGAGTAATTTCTATTGAACTACCTTCAAGTTCATTGACTGTCCTCAGTTCTATCCATTTTGCTAATGAGTCCATTCAGTAAATTTTTTATTTCAGAGATTATATTTTTCAATTATAAAAATTTCCATTTGGTTCTTTTGCATAACTTCTATTTCTATGCCTAGGGCTTTTACTTCTGATTTATTTCAAGAGTGTTTACCTTTACTTCATGGAATGTAATTATAATAGATGATTTGAAGTCTTTGATAATTCCAACCTCTAGGGATCTCAGGATGATATCTGTTGGTTATCAAAAGATAATCCTTTACAATTGGTTATTTTCCTAGTTCTTTTGTACATCAAAATAACTAATGTTGTCTTTTGAACATTTTGAAAATCATGTCGTGAGACTCTGGATCTTGTTATAATCCTCTGGAGAATGCTGCTATTTTGTTTGTCTAGCAGACAATAAACCTCACTAATATCAGACTTCAAATTCTGTTTCACTTTCTGTGGGTAATGTTTCCAAATATCATTTTATTATTTTTATTTTTCATTATTTACTTTCCATAAGTTATTGGGGTACAGGTGGTATTAGGTTACATGAGTAAGTTCTTTAGTGGTGATTTGTGAAATCCTTGTGCACCCATCACCGAGCAGTATACACTGCACCATATATGTTGTCTTTAATCCCTCGCCCACTTCCACTCTTCCCCACAAGTCCCCAAAGTCCATTGTATCATTCTTTTGCCTTTGTGTCCTCATAGCTTAGCTCCCACATATTAGTGAGAACACAGGACATTCGGTTTTTCCATTCCTGAGTTACTTCACTTAGAATAATAGTCTCCAGTCTCATCCAGGTCACTGCAAATGCAATTAATTCATTCCTTTTTATGGATGAGTAGTATTCCATTACATATAGGTATACCACAGTTGCTTTATCCACTAGTTGATTGATGGGCATTTGGGTTGGTTCCATGATTTTGCAGTTGTGAATTGTGCTGCTATAAACATGCGTGTACAGCATCTTTTTCGACTTCTTTTCTTCTCGGTGGATACCCAGCAGTGGGATTGCTGGATCAAGTAGTAGTTCTACTTTTAGTTCTTTAAGGAATTTCCACACTGTTTTCCATTGGGGCTCTACTAGTTTACATTCCCACCAGCAGTGTAGACGTGTTCCCTGGTCACCACATCCACACCAACATCTACTGTTTTTCAATTTTTTGATTATGGCCATTCTTGCAGGAGTAAGATGGTATCACATTGTGGTTTTGATTTGCATTTCCCTGATCATTAGTGATGTTGAGCATTTTTTCATATGTTTGTTGGCCACTTTGTTGGCCATATGTTTGTTGGCCATCTTCTTTTGGGAATTGTCTATTCATATCCTTACCCCACTTTTTGATGTGATTGTTTGTTTTCTTACTGATTTGTTTGAGTTTGTCGTAGATTCTGGATATGAGTCCTTTGTCAGATATATAGATTGTGAAAATTTTCTCCCACTCTGTGGGGTGTCTGTTTACTCTGCTGGATGTTCCTTTTGCTGTGCAAAAGCTCTTTTGTTTAATTAGATCCCAGCTATTTATCTTTGTTTTTACCGCATTTGCTTTTGGGTTTTTGCTTACGAAATCTGTGCCTAAGCCAATGTCTAGAAGGGTTTTCCCAATGTTTTCAAACCCTTTACTACATTGCTTTGGATCTTTCCCATGAATGCACCACTCAGACATTAGTCTATTTCATGGAGTAGTTTCCTGTTCACAGACATTGCTATGCTATTTTGGGTCTGTTCCACAAATGCATTGTCTTAGTCCATTTGGTTGCTATTACAAAAAACAAAAGGAAGGACGGAAAAAAAACAGTCTGAGTGGCTTATAAACAACAGAAATTTATTTCTCATAGTTCTCAAGGCTAGGAAGCTCTATATAAAAGTGACAGAAGATTCAGTGTCTGATGAAGGACTATTTCTGGTCCATAGATGTTATGATCCAGATGTTATGATCGTCTGTTATGGCCTCATGTGGCTTAAGGGGCAAGAGTGTGCTTCAGAGTCTGTTTTATAAGGAATCTAATTCCATTAATGAGGGCTCATAATGTAATACATTCCCAAAGGCCCTACTTCTCAATACCAATTCAATGGTGATTAGGTTTTAACATATGAATTTTGGGAGAGACAAACTTTCAATTTTTAGCAGTGATGCTCAAGGTGGAGTTAAGAACTTGTGTCCATTTATACACAGAATTAGGGTATCTGCTTCTCTAGCTCTTTCTTCTCTTGGAGGTAGACTGGAGCCACCCTTGAGGCAAAGTGAAGGAAAAGAGAGAAGGAATAAAAATGGGATTCATATTTTTCATTCACACTCTTCAGACCACAGGGCTCCCTTTTTCCAGTTTCTCTGACTAGAGGGGTTTCTCTTGGCATTACACACACATTGCACATACACATCAATATAGATAAGAAATAATTCCCGTTTGAAAATTTTCTTAAAGTCATTTAAGTTTATTATTTCACAGAAATGAAATAAACTGTACAGCATTGGTCATAAGCATAGGTACTAGATGAGTGATATAAACAATGATAAATGGCAGGTAATTATGCCATTTTTTTCACTATTATTATTAACTTCTTCTGATTTAGAAAAAGGGAACAATTATTCAGATATTCAGTAGAAATTTTAAGATGCAAAAAATACTAACTACAATTCTTTGGCAATGAAAGTAGACTATTTCTTCTATTTTGCTCTGCATGTATGAAAGGAGTCAGAATGGCCTTTTATTTTAGTAATTTTTCTAACAGAGGGATGCAACTCTACTTAGCCATTGTTAGCAAAGCTGGACCAGAAGAACGGCACTCATCGTTTAGGTAGCAATCAAAATTGCAAAGCAAATTTATCTGAATCAAAGAGTGAAATAAGTAACTTACTCCTTGATCTTGGAAAAAGAGCAAAACTTAAGGTCTAATAAAACTTCTAGTTTCAATTTCAACAAGTAAAGAGCTTGAAGTCATCACTCTAATCTTTACAATAACAGCAAAAAAACCTTGACAAACTGAAAAACAAGTACTTTCCTTGGGTCTATGAGATAGCTGAAGTAGCAGGGCAAACCATCATTCTAGAATCTGGAAAGACAAGAGCATCGGGAGACATGCAGAAAACTGCTTACCGGCAGAAGAAGGCACGGGAGCCATTGATTAGTAGTAATATTTAAATAGTAATTATGACAACCTGCTGGAGGGTACATGTGGACTAGAGTAGAGTGAGAGTGAGAATCTCCTGTGGGCCTTAGTCTTGAAGGGGACACCGTTTTATGAGCTTGATCTCTATAAATCCCATTAGATTCACATAGTGAAGATCTCAGAGACATCACCTAGCTCAAGCACGATTTGTGGAACCGTAATCATTTCGACATACACCCAGAGTCACCTTTGTAACAGGTGTAGGAAATTCCTTTCCTACTCATCGGAGGAAAGCCATTTTCCAGAGCCTTATCCCAGCTGGAAGAAGGTAATTCTTCACACAGTAGCTCCCTCCAGCCTTCCTGTCTCGCAAAAGAGGTAAGGGCCTTACAGAAAAAGATTCGGAACACAGTAGCCAGGGAAGGGAGTAGCGGTCAGGGATTTGGGAGAGAAGCCATGCCACTAGAGAAACCCCTGTGAAAGTTACATTAGACCAGAAGACTGATATTTAATCAGAGTGTTATAGAAAGATCTTTGCTCCTCCACATTTTACCAACACTCCAACAAGGCTACAGTACAGTAACAGTGGATTACAGCTGAAAGCGCTGCAAGAGAGACTTTGAGGAAGACTATTTAGGGAAGCCCAAAGTCAAGAGGGAAGGAAATACTTAGAAAGCCAGAGTAATTTTAAGCTTCTGTCACTTATAGATACAGTAAACATTAAACACAGCCCAACTCTTAGCTAGATAAGCAAAAATCTTCACACTAAAGGCCTATTTATCTCAGTTTCCATTGCCAGTTCAACTTGTCCAGATTTCAGCAAAAAGCACAAAGCATGGCAAAAGCAATGAAAAACCATATTCTAAAGAGATACAGCAATATTGTAACAAGACTCAGATATAACATAGATATTGGAATCATTAGACATACTATAAATAATATGGTAATGGCTCTAAAAAAAGAAGTTGACAACATGCAATAACGGATGGCCGATATAAACAGAAAAGACAAAAATCTAAGAACGAATTAGAAGGCAAGCCTATACTATCCAAATACTATAATAGAAATAAAAATATATTTAATGGGCTTTTCAATAGTCTGAATATATTTACAAAAATTATCAGTGACCCTAAATATAAGTCAAAAGAAATTGCCCAAACTAAAATGCAAATAAAAGATAAAAGAAAAATAAACTTTTTGGATTAATAAAAATAGAAAAAAGAAACAGAATATCTAAGAATTGTGGGGACAATAATAAAAGGTCTGCCATATGAATGATTACAATCCAAGAAAGAGAAGAAATAATGGAGCAGAAAAAAAAATATTTGATGTAATAATAACAGAGACCTTTCAAAAATTAATTACAGACACTAAATCATAGGTTCAGAAAGCTCAGGACATGAACTAGAGTAAACATAAGCACACACAAACCCTACACATACACAGACACAGACACACCTCTAAGCATATTATCTTCAAATTGCAGAAGTCCACATACTAAGGGAAAATCTTGAAAGATGCCAGAGTCAAAAGCACCTCACTTACAGAGAAACAAGGATAAAAATTACGATAGTTTCCTTGGCAGGCCATGAAAGCAAAAGTAGAGTGCAGTGAAGTATTTAAAATGTTGAAAGAAGTAACCACCAACCTAGAAATCTATATCCAGTGAATGTATCCTTCAAAAGTGAAGAAAAAATACCTTACCAAACCCTCCAAAAATTAATAAAATTTATCATCAGCAGAACTTGCCTGTAAGAAATAGTAAGAGATGTTCTTTAGCAGAAAAAAAGTTACATAGGCCAGAAACATGGATCTAAATAAAAAAGGAAGAGTTACTGAATAGGTCAAGATCAAATAAAATATATATTTTTTTCTTCTTAATTGCTGTAACATGCAACTAGTTACTTATAACAGGAACAATGTCTTGGGTAATTATAGTACATGAATAACTGAAATAAAACAGTGTCACAGGATAGGAAGGAAAAACTGAGGATACTCTGTCATAAAAAACCTGCACTAAACATGAGGAGTATGGCATTATTTGAAGGTGAACATAGATTAGTTAAAAATTTGCAGTGTAAATCCTAAGACAGCCCCTAATTTTGCATAAAAAGAAGTTAATTGATATGCTGAGAGGGTCAATAAAAAGGAGTCACGTTAAACGCTCAATTAAAACCAAATAAAGCAGAGAAAGAGGGAAAAATCAAAGAAGAAAACAACAGAAAACACAAAAATAGTAGATATTAATCAAACAATATTTATAGTCACTTTAAGTGTGAGTGGTCTAAATACCTCAATTAAAGATTTCCAGAGAGGATAAATATAAGATACAACTGTATGTTGTCTACAAAAAAGTCACATTAGATGTAAAAATTCAAATAAATTAAAAGTGAATAGATATAGAAATATATACCATGCTAACATGAATCCAAATAAAGCTGGAGTATTTCTCTTAATTTCAGAAAATCCAGACTTTAGAATAAGGAATGTTATCAGGTATAAGTAGAGGAATTACATAATAATATAAAGGTCAATACTGCAAGAAAATGTGACAATCCAAATGAATATACACCTAACAATAGAGCATCAAAATATATGAGACAAATTCTGATAGAAATAAAAGAAGAAATAGACAGATCCGTTATTCTAGTTAGAGATTTTAGCAACCTCTGTCAGTAATGATTAATCAAGCAAGCAGAGTATCAGTAACAATCTAGATGACTTAAATAGCACCATTAATCAACATGATCTAATTGTCATTTATAGAATACTTCACTCAACAAAGCAGAATTTATGTTTTTCTCAAGCTCATATGGAATATTCAGCAAAATAGATCATATTCTGTGCCACAACTCAAATCTTAACAACTTTAAATAACTAGAAATTACACAAAGTATGCTTTCAGACCACCAAGGGAATTAAGCTAGAAATCCATAAAGGAAAAACAGCTGGAAAATCCCCACGTATTTGAAAATTAAACAACATTCTTTGAAATAACACATGGATCAAAGACACCTCATGAAAAATTAAAAAGAAATACTTTCAACTAAATGAAAATAAAATACAATTTATCAAAATTTGTGAGATGCAAATGATAATAGTGGACAGACATCAAACACACATTAAAATAACAGATGCTGGCAAGATTATAGAGAAAAGGGAACACTTATACACTGTTAGTGGGAGTGTAAATTTGTTCAACCACTGTGGAGAGCAGTATGGTGATTCCTCAAAGAGCTAAAAGCAGAACTACCATTCAATTCAGCAATCCCATTACTGGTCATATACCCAGAGGATTATAAGTCATTCTGCCATAAAGACTCATGCACGGAAATATTCACTGAGGCACTATTCAGAATAGCAGAGACACAGAATCAAACTAAATGCCCATCAGTGACAGATTGGATAAAGAAAATGTGGTGCATATGCACCGTGGAATACTATGCAGCCATAAACAAGAAGGAGATCGCATCTTTTGCAGGAACATGGAGGGAGCTGGAGGCCACTATCCTTAGCAAACTAACACAGGAACAGTAAACCAAATGCTGCATGTTCTCACTTGTAAGTGGGAGCTAAATGATGAGAACTCATGAACACAAAGAAGGGAACAATAGACACTGGGGTCTGCTTGAGGGTGGAGGGTGGGAGGAGTGAGACGAGCAGAAAAACTAACTATTGGGTACTAGGCTTAGTACCTGGGTGATGAAATAATTTGTACAACAAATCCCTGTGACACAAGTTTACCTATATAACAAACCTTTACATGCACCCCCAAACCTAAAATAAAAGTTAAAAATTAAAAATAAAAAAATGGTCCTGAGAGCTAAAAAAGGAAAAGAAGAAAAATTAAAAATCTATAACCTAAGCTCCCACCTTATGAAACTAGAGGAAGAAGAACAATTTAAGCTTAAATTGAACAGAAAAAAATACAGGTTAGAGAATAAATCAATGAAATTGAAAACAATAGAACAAAAGAGAAAAATTAATGAAACTAAAAGCTGGTTCTTGGAAAAAATTAACATAATTTATAAACCTCTAACCAGGCTAACCAAGGAAAAAAGGGAGAAGATAAATTTCTAATATCAGAAAAGAAAGAAAGAGAATCATATTGGATCCAATGGGCATTCAAATGATAAGAAATATGACGAGTGACTCCGTCCCTACAAATTTAAAAATTTAGATAAAATGGAATTCTTGAAATACACATACCAAGAAAAACAAAAACCAAACCAAAAGAAAAAACCTACAACCAACACAAGGAGAAATAGATAACTTGAGTAGCCCTACATTGATAAAATAAATTGAATCACTAAGAAATAATCTTCCAAAAAAGAAGGCATCCATTCTGGGCAATATAGCAAAATGCAAAACCTGGTCTCTCAAAAATTAAAAAATTAGCCAGGCAGGATGGGGCACACTTGTAGTCTCAGCTACTCAGGAGCCTTACTTGTGGGGAGGACTGCTTTAACCATGGGAGTAAGGAATGCAGTGAGCCATGATTGCATCATTGCACTCTAGCCTGGGCAACAGAGCAAGGCCCTGTCTCAAAAAGTTAAAATAAAATAATAAAATAAAATAAAATGGAGACTTCAAGTTCAGACGGTTTTATGGGTAAATTCAGCCAAATATTTAAGGAGAGAAAATGTTACCAATTCTCTGCAATTTTTTCTGGAGAGAGCACTTTCTAACTCAATGTATGAGTTCAGTCTTTCCCAGATAATGCCATTGCAAGAAAGAAAAACTTCAGAACAGGTATCTCATGGACATAGATAAGAGATTATTCAGCAAAATATTCAACATAGTACTGGAAGTTCTATCTAGTGCAATAAGACAAGAAAAATAAATAAAAGCTATACATTTTGAAAATCAAGAAATAAAACTTTCTTTGTTCATAGATAAAATTATTGTCTATGTAGAACTGCTCCTCTCAGAAAAGTCCCTCCTGGAATTAATAAGCTAAAGAGCAGTTGGTTTTGTGTATCGGCCTTGTATTCAGTGACCTTGCTATTTAGCCTATTAAATATATATATATTTTATATATATATTATATATATATTATATATCTGATATATATTTTATATATATATTATATATATAATATATATCTGATATATATTATATTATATATATCTGATATATATATTTGATATATATATATCTCAACAATGAACAAGTGGAATTTAAAATTTAAAAATACATTTATAATAGCATAAAAATATGATATTTAGGCATAAACCTAACAAATATTTACAGAATATGTATTCAGAAAACTACAAAACTCTAATGAAAGAAATCAAAGAAGATAGAAATAAATGGAGAGAGATTCTCTATTCTTTAATTTAAATACAAAATTGTTAAGGTGTCAATTCTGCCCAATTTAATACAAAGATTCACTGAAATCTATGTCAAAATCTTAGTGTACTTTTTTTTTTTCAAATCAACAGATTCTAAAATTTATATGGGAAACCCAAAAACCTAGAACAACCAACACAATGCTGAAAAAAATCAAAACTGGAGCATTCATACATAATTTCAAAACTTAGCATATACCTACAGCAATCATGACAGTGTGGAACTGGTGACAAATTAGACGGACAGATTAAACTCGGAAATTGACCTATACAAATATAATCAGCAAACTTTTGGGAAAAGTACATAGACAATTCAATGGAGACAGTTTTTTTCAACAAATATAATGTTTATATGTCACCTTTCCTCGAAAAATAAACTATCACAGACCTTACAACCTACAGAAAAATATACCTTAATGCAAAACGTGAAACATACAAGTTGAGGAAGTAAACGTTTTTCAGAAGAAAATCTTTGACATTTTGGGTTTGATCTCTTAACACTCATTAGTCACACAACCCAATTTAAAAATGGGAAAAAATATCTAAACAGGCACCTTATCAAAGAAAATATCCAAATGGCAAATAAGTATATGAAAAGATGCTCAACATTATTTGTCACTGGGGAAATGCAAGGTAAAACTATGGTGAGGTACCACTCTGCAGAATATTGACAACAGTAATTGTTGCCAAGGATATGAAGCAACAGGAACTTTCATTCATTGCTGATGGAAATACAAAATGGTGTGGCATTATAGAAGACTGGGAGTTTTTTACAAAGCTAAGCATGGCCTTACTTTACAATCTGGCAATTGGTTTCATAGGTATGTACCCAACTGATTTTAAAGTGTTTATCTATATAAAAACCTGTGTATAATTGTTTATATCAGCTTTATCCATAATTTCCAAAAACTGGAAACAACCAACATGTCTTTGAAAAGCTGAATCGATAAACAAACTATGGTACATTTTCCACTGGAATACTGTTCAGTGACAAATAGATATGAACTATCAAGCCACGTAAAGACATATGAATTTAAATTGTACATTACTAAGTAATGATACAGGAGTTAAGAATAAATTGCTTAGGCAGATAGTGAAGGTATAGAAGTCCTCAGTAAGGTTTTCCTTTTAATGAAAAGCAGCCCTATATCATTTTCTAACAAAGAGCAGCCTGTAAAGTCAAGCTGCAGACATAGTCAAGCTGCAGACATAGACAAGCAAGCTGGGAGCTTGCCTGGGTAAATGCTGTCGGGAAAGAGCTATGTGGGACTAAATATATTCAAAATGGCAGCTCCATCTTCTCTTCTCTGCCAGCCACGTGCACAATAAGGAGCAGATAAGATGGCACCGGCCAAGGGGAGAGTTCATTTGCATAATAAGATTACAGTAGGGCGACCAGCCTTCCCTACCTGCTATGTAAACGTCACACCAGATGGAACCAATGTGTGAGCCCTGCATAAATCAGACATCACCTCCTCAAGCCTGACTATAAAATCTGGCGCACGCCCTGCTGGCTGGCTTTTCCTCTCTGAAGTCCCCTCTCTCTCACTGGAGGAAGAGCTGTTTTCCTTTCTTTTTCTTTCTCTTTCTTTTGCCCATTAAACCTCCACTCCTAAACTCCTGTGTGTGTCCGTGTCCTAAATTTTCTTGGGGGAGACAATGAACCCAGGGTATTTACCCCAGACAACGTAGCTGCTTCAGTAAGTCTGTCTGAAAAGTCTCTATCCTGCATGATTCCATTTATAAGATAATCTGGAATAGGCACAGATATTGAGATGGTAAACAAATTTGTGGTTGCCAGGAGCTTGGGGTGGGGACTGGGTTGAGTAAGTAAAGCACAGGAAGTTTTTCTAAGGTGGTGAAACGAATCTATGTAATACTCAAATGGTGGATACAGAATACTATGCATTTTTCCAATTCTGTTGAACTTTATACAACAAACAGGAAACCTTAATGTATGCAAATTTAAAAATCACTTAGAGGACCCACGGATGTAATGCAGACTGTGAAAAATATTATAAGATTATGAAGCAACCATCCTGAAGGGGCTGACTTAAGTAACTTTGGAAATGAGTAGTCTATAACACTAAAGATCCAAAGACCAGTATATAGCAATGTCTTCTAGTAGACAAGGTTTTTTGTTTTTTTCTTTCCTCACAAGCGTACTGGTTAACAATTCTGAAAAGTATATTAGAATTGAACAATTATGTAAATGAATGGCAGATGGTGGGATCCAGTTTTCTTACTTTTGGAGTGGGAGATTACAGATAAACAGATAAGCAAGGAGGAGCCTAGAATAATCCATGTGATAATGTATTACATTTGGTGAAACCAGTGTGAACTAATTAATATTTAACTTATCGATACAAATAGATACATTTGAAAATATTTATAGACATGAATATATGGAAGAGTTTGTACACATACATACATTTCCTTGCATACAGGGCCTGGAAACAGTGGTGCCCCAGTAATAATGAACAAACCTAGTGCCCAGATCTTGTTTTCGAATACCTTTCTCCAATAAAAGGAACAGGGCTTTTGGAAAAGTGGCTGATTCTAGGACTGGGCGGGAAATGTACAAGATTAGTTTGAAACATCTTATAGTGTTAATAAGGAAGTACTCAAAACAAACAAATAACTACATCAAAAA
This sequence comes from Homo sapiens, assembly GCF_000001405.40. Taxonomy (NCBI): domain Eukaryota; kingdom Metazoa; phylum Chordata; class Mammalia; order Primates; family Hominidae; genus Homo; species Homo sapiens. The sequence continues at coordinate 127,671,776 of NC_000011.10, forward strand.
CACAGTAACAGGGTATGTCAAAGAAACACAGGAAGCAAATGAAAGAGCCACCAATGGCCAATGCCAGAACAATTAGAGCAACAAACGCAAATAAATAACATACTACTGAAGTATATCTCAAGCATAAAATAATTATTCATGAGTCCATACTGACATAAATAGATGGTCAAATAAAAAATACATGGGGAGAAGAGATGAAACTCCCATGAAGAGGAATTCTAAATAATTTATACATATACTCCACTCCCAAAGAGATGGAGCATAATGCCTCACTCTGTGTGAGCAGTGCAAAGTAACTTCTGCAAAGAGGAAAGAGTGCAAAAGGGAAAAAAGAGTAGTTTCACAGTGGGGAGCTTGGCAAACACTGTTTCAGCCAGGTGGTCAAGGTTAACATCATCAGGATAAATCATATTGATGGTATTACCCTGATCTAGTGTGATGAGAATGGCATTTTACTTCTGTGGTCTCCCTCCTCACAATCCATATCCCCAGTCTAATATGAGAAAATCATCAGACAAATCCCAATTGAGGCACATTCTACAAAATACCTGACCAGTGGACTTCAAAACTGACAAGATCATTAGAAACAATGAAAGTATGAGAGACCTTCACAGCCAAAAGGAGTCTAAAGAGATCTGGTGACTAAACACAATGTGTTGTCCTGGAATAGAAAACAGACATTTCCTTGGTAATTTCCAAGGAAATCAGAGTAAAATATGCACTTTAACCAATAATAATGTATTCATATTGGTTTATTAAATGTGACAAATATACCATACTAATGTAAAATGTTATCAGGAAACAAATGATGGAGTACAAGGAAAGTCTCATTTTCTCCTATTAAAAACAACATTCCTTCTTTTCTCCATCGCTTTGAAATATCACCTTTATAGTTCTCTAAATCCTCTAGATGTGTGTGTGTGTGTGTGTGTGTGTGTGTGTGTGTGTGTGTGTGGGGATATCCTTTAATCCATTGATCTATTTATGTATCAGTGACAAATGATTGACTACAATTTTGTAATAGTTTCATTATCTAATAAAGCAAGTTCCCCGTTAAGTATTTTTCCTTAAAAATTCTCACCTGTTTCTTTTTCTATGTGAATTTAAATTGTAATTAACTTGACTAGTTTTACAAATATATAACAGTAAGTATTTTAATGGATTGCATTAACTGATGCATTAATTTAAAAACAGTTGAAATTTTCTAAACATTAATATTCCTATGCAGTTAGAAGGATATATATTTCTGTTTATATATCTTGGTTTCCTTCAGCAGAGTTTTAACTTTTTTATCATTTGGATTCTGCAAATCTATTAGGTATTTTGCTAAGTATTTTATCTTTTTTGACTGATACTGATAATATTTCATCTTGCATTTATTTCCTAAGAGGTTTTTGTTTGAACAAAATTGACAACTATTATGTTTTGCTTAATAAAACTGTAGTCAACCACCTTCTGTCTATTCTTAAGTTTTCTAATGATTTTTGGTTGGCTGTGCTGAGATTTTCAGGTTTACAGTAATCATATGCTCTGAAAATGGTAATGCATGTCCCTCCTTTTTTCCAGTTGTCCTCTGTCACCTAGACTGCCACACAGATGCCAGTTCAGTTTCTTTTCTCACCACCCAAAGTAGGTCATTTCCTAATCCCATCTCTTTTCCTTCCTAATTTACTTCCTAAGTTTAATTGCACACACAAATTCCAGCAATTTTCTGGAAAAGGGTCTTTGAGATATACCTTTTCAAGATTTCACATGTCCAAAATTGTCTTTATTCTGTTTACATTCATTGTCTGAGTGAAATGTAATTTCACTTTGAATTTTGAAGGCATGTCTCCACTGTCTTTTTTGCTTCTCTTGTTGTCCTTGTGAAGTCAATTATGCCATTTTATTTTCTCAGTTTTTTTTAATGTGACAGCCTTTTTACTAATGCTCTCTGAATAGTTCTAATATTTTTAATTTGCCAATTTTTCTTGAAATTTCTGGATGTTGTTGTTTGGAGGAAGACTTTTTAAAGTCTTTTAACTCAGAGTACGAAGAAGCCAGTGGGTCTTTGTATCTGGAATACGTGTTCTTCAATTCTTGAATTTTTTTTTGTATTTTTAAAAATAAATTTCCATCCGTTTGGTTTGCTCTTTTTAAAAAAAATTTTTGAAATGTCTTTCAACTGTGTGTATGACCTGCTTCACTAGCCCTATAATTTCCACAATTTTTATCATTAATTTTTTTGTCTCGTCTCTTTGTTTGCTGTCTTTTAATATGACCTCATAGTGATGGTACTATCCTTCCATTAAATATTGTATTCTCGTTTTTAAAAACTTTCAATGCTTTTTATAAGAATTTAAGAACTTTCCATGTTTCTTTTCTGATAGTATCCTATTCTTCCTTCACCGTTGCCATATATTATCTGATTGAACCAATGATCATATTTTATTTGATTTTATCTACTGCTGCTCCAAGCATTTGTCTGTTTTTTGTTGTTGTTGTTGGTTTTTTGTTTTGTTTGTTTTGCTGCTCCAAACATTTGTCTCTATGTATTCAAAGTTTCTTTCCTCTGTTTATTTTGATTTTTGTCTTTTCTCTTAGAGGTTCTTGAAATATGTAGTAACTATAGACTGTTTTTATTCAAAAGTGTGTCATTAAAAAGTTAATGGAAAACATACCAGTCTTGCAGGGCGTGAGAGTAAGGATCGCACGTGTCCCTATTTATTTCCAAGGCTAAAAGGAAAGAGACAAGTAGTAGGTTGAAAGGGGGTCCTCATGGCTCAGTATATATGTGGTCACTTAATCTTTTATTTCTACTAAGGACCCTCACTTCTTCCACTGTGCTATCACTGATCATTCAGTGAGGAAGTAAGTTCAATTTCTTCTGAGGATAACCCTGTCTATTGCTAAGAGTAGGGGTAGTTACTGGCAACTCAGGAAATGAAGGGCTTCTTGGAGCCCCACTCTTTTCTATAAAGACTCAAAATAAATCCTTTATTCAGCCCTATAAGTCTCCCCTTTTCAGAGGTGTCTAATGCTTCTAATTCCTGAGACATTTTGTTGTGTTCTTCAGGGTGGGTTCAGAGTGCACCTTGGTTATGTTGACTAAAAAAGGGAATGGACAGGATATATCTATCCATATTTAATATATACACTATTTAATATATTAATTTAATATATATTAATATATATTTATTTAATAAATTTATATTTATTTAAAGCCTGAGAAAAAAATCATTAAGAAAATACAGAGCTAAACATAAGGAACTTGACACAGGAATCCCAAACCCACACGTTGGAGAGCAGGGATTTTAAGAACCAAAGAGCTACTTAAATCCACCGACAACTGATTACACTAATTACATGTCCAGAAGAAATATTTTAAAATCTGGAAGATTTGTTTGAGTGAATTCTGCAAGGCAATGAGGGAAAAGCAACAGTGGTTTGAGACATTTTTAGAAGAGAACACCACGAATGACAAAGAACATTCTCCCTGACTTGGTCATTGAGTACAACTTGCATTTTGGGAATCTAGAGTCTCTTGGAAGCTCACGGATGGGTGCAATGTAGAGACTAAGTGGTTTCAAGGCCAAAGAGAGGGCATGTGGTAATAGCTGGCAGAAGCCATGCCTAGTGGGAATGTCCATGGCTGGGGGAGTAGTGAGACACACTGGTGGACTGAGCTTATTCTAACAGAAAAGCCCAGGGAAACTGAGATGCCTGAAAGGTCCATTCACAGAAGAAGCAATTCCTGGTAAGCTAGTATGGATGTCCTGGAAGTATGTTTTACTTAAACAAATGTGAGTCTGTGATCTATCAACCTGCAAACATATTTGTAAGAGACTTAAGTGCTTAGGCAAAAACAGAGACAATTTGTGCTACATGATAACTGAGATATTGGGACTTCAGAATAGCCAGTCTCTGTGCCTATATCCACATCCATCACTCTTGTGAAAATAAGGCACAGAATGGTGAGGATGTGGTGGCTTTGCAGCCAAATGCGGCACTTAAGCTGTTGCTCAGATGACTGCTACAAAGAAAAACCCTACTGACCTTTGCTCTACTTGGCAAACATGCATGTTTTGCAGAGAGGAAGTGCATGCATTTGCCTTCAAAAAAGTTTTGCAGCCATTAAAGAGGAAAAGAGAGTTTCTTCCTATAACCAATGTTCAGGAGCCAGCCAAGCTCCTGAGGTCATGGACTCAACATAGAGTGCTGAACGGACTCTGTGCTTGATTTTTATTCCAGTGCTACAGGCAGTCCTTTGACCACTGCCCAACCTCTTCGCAGCCTACCATCCAAGTCTCATATCTATCTGCTTCAGGGAACCAAAACTATTAGACTGTAGTACTGTAGTCCCGAGAGATACAGGAAGTTAAGTAGCATCAGGCTATAATGTATAGTTAAATTATGTACCCCTGCAGATACAATAGGGTGATTTAAATAGTAGGGAAGTAATGATTAGAGGGCATAGAAAGAAATACAGCAGTCACTCCCATAAACTTTGATAATGAAGTAGAAATTTTGCAATCATGTCGTGGGGAGGAGCATACACTAATTTAAAGCATGGGGAATGTGATCCTAACCTTGCTGTTCAAATCAGAACACTGACATTTACCCAGTGAAAGACAAAGACATTAACTACCTTGGTTTCCATACTGTATTAGTGCATTTCCCTCTGCAGACGAGTGATACCATTTGCCACAATGACAATACACACTCATAAGCTAGACCATGAACAGATCAGATAAAATCATGGAGGCTAAGAATATTAAGAAGACACACTAGTCCTATCATATTTCTCACAGATTTTAAGAGTACACAGACAAAATTAACTGTCAAAGACTCTTATTAAAATAACATAGATAGGTTTTCTTAATGCATATTATTACTGTATAAGTAAGAGGCAAGGCTTACAATGAAATTTGTTTTGCTTACAATTTGGGTCTCCAACAATCCTAGAATAATTTTACCACATTTAAAAATCAGCATCATGGATATGAAAGTCTAGAATATCTCTAGAATAATTGGAATGTTTGTCAACACTGCACTCAGGTTCCAGCATACCCGTGATACATTATAAATGGGAAGAATCTAGAAATCACATGCAGTTATTTATACATTGTATAAGCACTGGCAAAAGATGAGTAGGTTGAAAGCTGAGCACCTAATCATGTTAAAATCTGGAATACAAGACTGATTGCTTGTATCAATTAAGAGAGGTATGGAAATTGGGTGAAACCTCTAGTCCTGATGACTATGCCTCTTAGCCCATCCAGATAACCATCCAGATTCACTGGGAGGGTTCCTCCAGCATTAAGATTTCTGAATGTTAGAAAAAATTATCTGTCCTTCCCATTGCCTGCCTCATGTCATCATTAAATTCAATATAATTGCCACACATTTGAAATATTTCATTTTGTCTTTTGAATACCCATGCTGTCATAGGTGACCTTGTTAATTGGTCATGCTTTTTATCTTCCCCACATTTTTAATTTTTTTTTTTTTTTGGAAGGTCAAGAGTGTTTCACCTAAAGAGCCTCTTGCTCACGTGAATATGTTGGGTTTTTTTGTTGTTGTTGTTTTTAGTGTTTTCATTTTTATGCTGGTTGTTTAAAGATCACCTGGGGATTTTGTTCAGAATACAATTGTTGTACCCCTTCCTCAGGAGATACTGAACTGTAGACCTGGAAAATATCAAACGACTCTGTTTGAAGGGAACCTGTTTCCCAGGTGATTCTGCAGTGTGCACCTGTTCTTTCACAAGTGGACCATCTCAAGTCCAGAGAGATGAAGTAATTCATTTAACATTTCACAGCTGCTCTATGCACAGGCCAGGACTAGAATGCAGGGTTCCCCATTCACTGACTAGCTTTCTTAACCTACAATACTTTGAGGAAAGAAGGCTGCTTATTTCTCCTGCAGAAAGTCAGGGAGATGGTTACGGATACTATACTGGTTCTTCCTGCTTTTAAGCCCCACTTCTTAGATCTCAACCTCAATGTGCTAGTCTCTTAAAACATAAGACTTTGCTAAGTCTCTTCCAATGGAGCATCCTAGGGCACCATGCTGGGTGCCTTTGTCTGACCATTCATCAAGCATTTTCTGCTGACAGGCAGTGACTTGGCTCACTTCTCCACCCTGCACCAGAGAGCTTCATTTGCGCTGATTACCCTGCATTTCACATAAAAGTCATTAAGAATTCTGTTTCAGTGAATAAAAGAATGTAAATGAGGTAATTATGAGCTCCACTTACCTTACTAACCCTGTGCATTGTGCAATCATTAATGCTTTCACATGATCTGTTCACCGGAAAAATCAGAAAGATGGAAAGTAATATTGTTGGGAAAGAAAATAGTATTGAGGGTTATTCTGTGGTTGAATTTTTTTTTCAATTTGGGGGAGTTAGGGAGAGTCTTTTCATGTAAGCTCTAAAAAAGACAGCTTGAGAAATGGCTGCATAGTGCCGCTTTTAACCCCCACCTCCCCTTTGCATAAATTAACTTCAAGTTGCAAAGGTTTTCTCATAACAACACTTTACAGTTGGAAAGCAGCATTCATCTGAAGAACTCTTTAAGATACATCCATATGATTGTTTTTACTTACTAGACAAATGCATCTTCCCACACAGCACAAGTTGCTGTTGAGTATTAGAGAGTAGAATAAAGTTGGGGTGCTTAAATTATACCCTGGGAAGCGAACAATGCAGCACTCAAATCTGACCTCCGCCAACTTTCCTTCTTTCCTACCCGTAGTGAGCACACTGCTTTTGTTGTCCCCGTGCCTGTGCTTGTGAACCCACTACCAGCCTTCATGTAATATTGATGTGTCTTTCCAGGTGTCCTACTATCCTTATTATAAGAGTGGGCACCACATTGCCCAGACTTACCTCATCATATGTGTCCCACCCTGTGATCAATGTGAGTTGTGCAGGTAGAAACATGTGACCCTAGTAATTCCACCAGAGTAAAAATTTGGATGGATGTGATATATGGTTATGGAAGACAGATGGTCTTTCTTCATTTTGGATTGCAATTCGTACAAATGTAGACTTGGGGCTGCCAGAAACCATGTTTCCTGACACATGGAGAAAACCTGACTGAGAAGGAGTCCATGCAGTCATGCAGAGAGGAGCAGAGCCGAGAGATAGAGATAAAGTCAGCATCCTCATGGCAGCCTCTACATCCACAAGGCTGACTGTGCCCAAAGTCTGAACATTCCTTAGGCTTTCTGGTCAAGTAGGATCATTAATTTCATTTTGTGGAAAGCCAGTTTTAATAAAACTTTTAAACATCACAGCCAAGAGGGTTCTCATTAATAGAAAAATGGGTACTTCTAAGGAAGGCACTATGCGTGACAAAGCCTAAAATAGGAACAAGACTAGATGGAAGTGAGGTGAAGGTTGGGGGGAGAGGTAGTCCCTCACTGTTAGCTGGAAAATAGTCAATCTTCATTATTTAGAAGACAAACCATTGGAAACGGCTCTCTATTTAATCTAGCTTCTACTAAATACTACTTAGTTTAGATTACTAGGATATTGGGTAAAAAATGTTGAGATGCAAAAGGCTGTTATGGTCTTTGGTAAGGTACAAAAATCATCATCATCATCATCATTGGTCTCAATTTACCTGTTGGAAAAGGAATAGTATGTACCAGAATGGACCTTTGTCTTATGGCTAATGACACATTATTACAGAAGGCCAAATGATTAGTGGAACTGCAGTTGGTATGAACAAAGATGGGACAATGAAAACCATAAGATTTGGAACCAGAAAATAAGGAAATGGGAAAGGCCAAATACATAGGAACCAGACTAAACTTCCGGTGGGCATCAACTCATAGCCTAGTAGATAATATTCCCCTGAAAATCACCCTCCACTGGGATCTAGCCTGGTGGCAGAGAACAAATTATCTCTGCCTTAAACAAGCTGAAACCAGGGTGGAAACCATTAGTGGAATATTCAGGGGATGGTCGAAGCCTTGATGCCTGTTGCTAAAAAATAGAAACCGTAAAAGTAAATTACAGTTTACTTCAGCAAATTTCTGGTATCATTTACTGACCAAGAAAAAAAATATACCAACAGCTTACTAGAGTTTTTAAACTGGCATATTGCTGGATTTCTTCCCAAGTCTGGTAAACAAAGATGTGTGACTGCTGTCTCAAAAACCAGGCATTACCACCTCCTCCCCGGGTATTGTTAGGAAGGACAATAAACTCTGAAGAGCCTATTATAGGGTAGAACTGGGGTCAGCCGGATTGACGAGCTAGATTGAGGAGTTAGATTGTATATATAGCATTCATTCCTCTTCTTTTCTTCTTTATAGAACCCTGATTTTGTTCAAGGATTCCTGCTTTCTCCACACAGCGTATGATTCAGAGGATGCAGCAAACCCTCCCAGCTCTAGCAATGTGAACCAATTGTAGCAATTAATAGCACTGGCAGTGATTTATTTAGGTATAAACATGTGCCTAATTCCTAGACACGTATTATTTTGAGGGGAGGGGAAGTTTTGTTGGACATTCTGGGAAAAGTTTCATTTTCATTAAGAAACATTTCCTCTGAACTTTGGAACAGGTGACGACACCTCCACTTCACCTGGATATGGCACTGAAATTCCAGCAACCACCTTGTGACAAGCGTGAGGATGAAAACATCACACCCAGAAGGACAAAGCTAAGACAGTCATGCCCAGATACCAGAGGTACTGTGAGTAGTGCTTGGTCCTACCTGTGGATCTCTTGTTTTATTAAGTAATAAACCCTCTTATCGTTTTAACCAATTTTTATCAAAGCTTTGTTTTATGTGCTGCTGAAATCTTCCTGACTGATAAACTACCACGAAATTCATCCCAAACCAAGGAAGAGAATCTTTGCTTTCCCTATCAAGCAAGAGGCAGTGAATTCTATAAACATTTGCCACTTTTCTACATGACCGTTTAATTGAAGTTATTTCATTTCATCCCATCATAATTTACTGTGAATTTTGAGCGTAGGTAAAGTTTTTGTTTATCCATCTATGTAGCTAGATGCTGAGGAACTACATCTAGAGTTAACAAGAATAATGCACCACACTCAGGGATTCTAGATATGAAACAGAATGGAATACAAGAATGCGTCTTCAAATTCTGTTTGGGATGGAAAGGGAGCAAATGTTTTTGTTGCTGTGGTGGTTGTGTGTTTCATGAGAGATAGAAGAGGAACTATTGGAATTATGTCTTATGCAGATGACATTATAGTCTGCCAGACTCCATTGCTTGAAGAAACAACCACACCCCCATTGCAGGACTGTCCATCACAGCCCTATCCCTCACTCACACCACCCCAATCATGGCATGCAGCTCAAACTAGACTAATCACTGTACCTGCATGAAGTGCACAATACATTGTTTGGTGGGGAGAGTGATGCGTAGTAGTGAGATATCCAAGTAGGTCTAATCAGGGTCCTTATATGAAGAGATTTGATATACCGACATTTGAAGGCAGAAGTTTTATTCTTTTTGATTGGCAGGCAATATGGGTCTAGGCTTGCCATTTTTAGTAGCCATCTTTTCTACCATATGGAGAGAACCAGCCTCACAATAAATTCAACACATAGCAGGAAGAAGAGCCGGAGAAGAGAGAAAGAAAAATAAACATATATTGTTTGAGTCCCTTTATCCATCCATGTGTAATGGTCGCTAACTTTGTAGCTATATGTGACAATATATCTCTTGTTTGGCGTAAGCTACTTCTGTCTTTGTTTTTTGTTGTTGTTGTTTGTTTGTTTGTTTGTTTTGTTTTTTTCTTAGAGTCTTGACTAATATAACATCTGACTAAAACAACACATGAGGAACGATATCAAAATAATTAAATAATGGTAAATGGAAGACCAAGCAATATTTGATTAGCTGAGACTTCATCCCCCAAAGTAACTAAAAGTCAGCAGCTTTAGTAAACTGGACTATAGAGGGTCATTTTTCCTTTGGTAATTAGATACAAAAACAGCTTCATCTGTCTCAAAACTTCTAGTGTTAAATACAAGCATCTGATCTTGTTGCCCTGATTTAAAGAAAGACGAAATCTAATGCACATCTATTGCACAAAGTAAATAAACCCAAAGAGAAACGTATTTCTTCTACAAGCTATTTATACATCCAAATTCCATCCACTAGTAAACTTGAGCAAATAAATAACTTTAAATATGGCTCCTTAAAGTAGGAGAGTTGGGGGAAGAGAAAAGCTACTTTCTTCAGACACTAATATAGGTATGGAAAGCAGATGATGGGCTGATTCCTACACAAATAATATAGATCAATGATAGGATGACATATTTGCCCAGAAAGCACAAAACAAAATGATTGTAAAGCGAAAGTATATGTCATGCCATATATTTTGTATGTTGCTGACTGTTATGTGGGCCTATAAATTGAATTTTTTTTTTTCTTGAGATGGAGTCTTGCTCTGTCGCCCAAGCTGGAGTGCAGTGGCACAATCTCAGCTCACTGCAACCTTCGCCTCCCGGGTTCAAGCGATTCTACTGCCTCAGCCTCCCGAGTAGCTGGGATTATAGGTGTGCACCACCACACCCGGCTAATTTTTTGTATTTTTAGTAAAGACAGGGTTTCTCCATTTTGGCCAGGCTGGTCTTGAACTCCTGACCTCAGGTGATGGGCCTGCATCAGCCTTCCAAAATGCTGGGATTACAGGTGTGAGCCACTGTGCCCTGCTGGGCCTATGAACTGGAATTTGGATTCATCAAAAAAAAAAAAAAATCTTTTGAGGTCTCAGTTTCCTTATCTGAGTTATATAAGAAAATCTCTAAAATCCTCTATTTAACATTTATGTTACTCTTATGGAATTTTATGTGATATATGGCTAAATAATTCCTTAGAAGGCATGAGGATTCTCTCTAGTGATTCTCTCTTAACTCTAGGTCAGAAGTAGTCCCCTGCTTCTAGTTCCCGACCATGATATTCAAGCACTCTCTGAAGATGTTGTTGCCAGGGCATTTGGTGTTGAGATAAGAAAGCAGGAAGATATGCTTGGATGAATGGCAGAGACTCATCAAGAAGAGCAGGGACTTTAACATTGACATAGTCCTCCAAACTGGGAAATTCTTTTCAATGGCACTTTTCTGTTTCATAACCTTGTTTAGATTCCCACTGCTTACTGCATTCAGTTTATCTTACAGAGTTTGTTAAATATGCCCCAACATATAATTTCAGTCTCTTCTACAGCCACCCACAAATGTTATATCACTGCCAAACATTTCCTTGCCAAATCTTTCTCTTTCACATTCCATTCTCACTACCTAAAATTCTCTCGGCCTTATTTCTCTACCAAGAAAATTTCCATTTATCCTGCAGAACACAACTTCAATGGAACCACTGTTGAGTACAGCCATCGTCCCCTTTCCAGTGAGTATTAGTTTCTGATTTAGAACTTCACCTGTATCTTACATGGTCCACTCTTCATTAAACTGCAATTTATTTATCACTAACTTCCACCCACTAAGCTGTGATTTCCTCAGTGTCTAGGGATTCTTAATTTATCTTTATCTCACCCTGTATGATATCTGGCCTGTAAGAGAGACTTTACAAGGATTTACTAAATTAATTAATGAATTAAACAATTGTGGAGTATGTAGAGTTTTGGAGAGGAAAGGGCATAGCTAGCCACATAGAAGTGGAAATGAAAACAAAACAGAGGGAGATGACCCAGGAACAAGCGAACAAAGCCCAGGTTAAATTGTCTGGAATCTCCTGTCATCTGATAAATCTAAAACAGTGTTTATTGAAACCTGCTGTGTGAAAGGCATTTTTATTTGCCCTGAAGTGCTCATTCTCTGATAACTTTTAAATTTTATTATGGTGAGCTGACTTAAATACAACTGTGAAAGGACAATGTAATGGAAAACAGATGATAGTTTTTGAAAATAGAGAGGTCGGAAAGAGTGAACGTAGCCAGAACAAGTCTTCGTAAAGGACATAAGACTTGAGTTTTACATGGAAGACTAGGCAGGATCCACACAGAATCATTAAATAAGGAATATTAAAGTTATTAAAGTTGGAAAGACCTTTACTGATCCATTGAAATGGAAGTTCCAAGGCCACAGAAATTCTGTCTGTATTGTTTTTCATTTTATTCCCATTTTCCACTACTTTACCTGGACATAGTAGATGCATAATAAACACTTGTTGAGTAAAAGAGTGAATCTAATCAGCCCACTGCCTCCATTCTTCCTGTGAGTATGCCCATGTTCTAACACAAGTGAAATTGTAGGATGTTAGCACATAGCAATTAGTTCAACGGCTTCAGAGTCAGAATGCCTGGGATCAAATCATGACTTACCTAACCTCTCTGAGCCTTAGTTTTATAACCTGTAATATGAGGATAGTAATAGGACCTATTTCACGCAGTTTTATCAGTATTTATAAAGTGCCTGGAGTATAATTGGTACTCACTAAACGTTATCTATTACTATTAAGTCACAGTCATTAACAAATGGTAGGTTAAATTAGAATCCATGTCTTCTGATTCCCAGTCCAGTCTTACTTTACATAGATTAGAAAGAAAGTATTTCTTCATGAGAAAAAAAAAAGTTCCAATTGGGTTGAATAGGTACTGATATGAAGAGAACACAAAACAAACAAACATAAAAACTCCCCTTTGATATCCAGGGAATGGAACCGTTCGTTGAATATAAATTCTACCATCCATAAATGCCTGCAGGAACTCTGGATCATGTCAATTTCAGTGCATCTCATCTCATTCCCATCATCCGGTACCTGCCTCTCCAAGGACACAGCAGCAGAGGCACAGTGATGCTGAAAGAGGAACCATCTTGCCAGAGGCTGGCATGGAACCGTGGCTGCGGTGAAAAATGAAGGAAGAGGAGTTGAATGAAGGCCAGTGAGCTGACCCGAAGCATTTGAAGGTCCCGGACAACCTTACTCAAATATGAACTCGAGGTTAAAAGGAACCTTGGTATTTTGTACCTCATGCTGAAATTACTGAAATATCTGACATGAACTATAAGAGTGAGTTCAATTTCTGTCATAAATGCTAAAAGGAAGGTGAAGATAAATGAAAAACTTGAGGAAAAGTATAACAGCAAATGCTTTTTAAATTTGAGGGAATTAATTTTATAGAGAAAAATAGGCACTGAATACAATTTAAAATTTTTACTACACATTTGAAGTACGCTTATTTTGCATAATAAATGAGACGGTCAGCACTTTGTAATTTCTGTTTTTTAAGGAAAAGGTATTTTAAAGGCTCATTAAAGGTAACCTAGCCTAGCTGGTCATCTGCTCCCAGAAGCCAAAATGTTGATGATTTAAGCAGAAATGAGTCAGAAATGTGTGGTTGCAATTTCCTTTCAAATGAATGAGAAAAAATGCTCCTGGCAAAAACCATTTTGCAATTCTACTGGACCAGAACCTCTGAAATATTCTCTGAGGCACAAATCACCTGGAGCACTGTTGAAGGAGACAGCAAGGTGCTGGCAGAGAGAAGAAGGTAGAAGAGATTCACTTGGTTATGTGTCTTTTATTCAATTATCTGACTGAGAGTCTTAATCTAATGATATCTATTCTTTTCCATGTGGCAGGAATGTGACAAAATAGAAGTGTTAGTTATTCTGTAATCCTATGGGAAACATGTTTTGTACAGAGCTATGGAAATTGCAACTCTTAGGAATAGCATTATTGTAATAAAATGTGAGGGGAGGCTAGTCTTAATTGAAACCTTCTTAAAATCAAGAGAATTAGTAACAGTTTAGTTCATTTCAAATTGATGTGTTAGAAACTTTAGAAATTATTTGTGCAGCCAGCATAGGAGACTTACTTAAAGGCACTGTTAGTAATTATGCAAACTGTGGATGGAGTGTTTTAAAAAAGATTTTTCTTTTCTTTTTCTTAAGTTGACCTGAGTTTTTATTTGAGAGTGAAAATATTCACCTCATGTGGTCTGGAGACTTTATCTAATTGGATTTGAACATGATTCTGATCAAGAAACGTATATTTTCCCATTTGGAAGCCTGGACTGAAAATAATTGCAGGAGATTGAGAGTACACGTTGGTGATTTCCAACACAGACACAAAGAGATTAGTATGGAGGTTAAACCTATTCTCCATACAGTATTTAAATGACTTACGTGATGAGATCAGGTCCCAAAGGACATCTTAATTTGCTAATAATGGAAAACCATGGAGGATCAAGCCATCCCAGTGACACTGAAAAGATTTAGCAGGATTTATGCAGAGTAGAAATGGTAAGTATCAACAAACACATGTTATTCCCATCCAGTTTTATAAAATAGCAAAATTAGTTTCTGATATACAAAGACATGAGGACATCATTCCAGTAGTGAATGAGTGGGAAGATGGAAATAGAGGTAAGAATTGAAATTGAGCAATGTAAAAAATGATATTCTAGTACCAAATTTACTGTCTCTTTATATAATTATATGATACATATAATTAGAATTATAGATCTGGTGTTTTGGAATCTATTTTCCTAAAGAAAAAATGATATATTAATAATCTTCCACATATTTACCACTCACTAAATATGTGTTGATTGGTTGAGATTTATAGAATACTTTTAGAGTTTGACTTAGAAGACATTAAAGAGGATATTGAGAATGAATTTTATAAATCGAGTGGTGTTACATATTAGTTCAGGTAATATTAGTTGGTATAACCAACAAACCCAGGAAATTTAAGATGACTAAAATTCATAGAAATTTATTTGAGTCTGAAATAGGTGTTTTAATTGGGAATCAGTTCTGGTTGTTATTCATGGTCCCAGGCTTTTTAAAGTTTTTTTGGTTCAACATCTCATAGGGCCTTGGGTTCCCTGCTGAGTCTTCTCCATCCAGCTGGATAATGGGAAAAAGAGAGTGGAGAAGTCACACCTCCCTGGTCACCTAAACCTGCATGTGATGTAATTCACTTCTGCTCACATTTCATCAGCAAGAACTGGTTTACATGGCCCTAATTATAGCAAGAAGGCTAGGAAATATATCCCATGAGGGGCAGCCACTTCCAGCAGTAACTGGGAAGCATGAATTTTTGGTAGTCAACTATTTGTCTCTGCCACAGTTCACCCCTTTGGCCACTAAATATGCTTTTGTAACTTTTTTCCCCACAAAAAAAAATATGATAAACAAAGGGGAACAACTTCAAATCAAACATAATGCTTCCTGTTCAATGTCTAGGATCTCTTTATCAGATCCATGTGTGGCTCCTCTGATACGGCAATTTATCAATTAAAGTATGACTGTCCCCTAAACACCTCCTAATATAAAAAGAAGAAGCAGGGTCAATATAATGAAATTAGAGTTTGCTTTTCTTAAAGGAAGGAATGGGAGACACAGAGAAGTCCCTGATGTATAGCAATGGTGAGTTCTTTCAAAATAAGCATTTTGAAAGTAGAATGGCATTTAGTTTTTTAAAAATATAGTATCACATACAAATAAGTATATTATCTGATGCCAGGGATAAGAGTTTGGGTATTTTGACATTTGAAGCATGACTAAAACAAGGACACCAATGTCCCCAGATTACAAGGAAAAATACTCCATTAGACTGACTCACTTTTCAAATTTGTATGAAAACATGCCTCCTCCCACACGCACATGGAGACACCTTGGTAGCACTGAAAATTGTAGTTTTTATTTTATTTTATTATTTATTTATTTTTGATATGGAGTTTCTCTCTGTCACCCAGGCTGGAGTACAGTGATGCAATCTTGGCTCACTGCAACCTCTGCCTTGCGGGTTCAAACGATTATCCTACCTCAACCTCCTGAGTAGGTGGGATTACAGGCGCCTACCACCACCCCCGGCTAATTTTTGTATTTTTAGCAGAGACGAGGTTTCACCATGTTGGCCAGGCTGGTCTCGAACTCCTGACCTCAGGCGATCCACCCGCCTCGGCCTCCCAAAGTGTTGGGATTACAGGTGTGAGCCACTACACCCGGCCAATAGCACTGAAAATTAATGATGCAGTGGATACAACTGCCTCATTTGTTATTGGTCCAATTTCTAAATCGGTCACTTAGATGGTAATAACATAAAGTATGCTCAAAAGATATAGGCAGTTTCAATGAACCCAGACCCCCACCCCCATTACAAATAAATGTTTTTCCATTCTAATTTTTCCTCTTTGCCATGCTGAGTTCTTTCACAGGGGCAATTGGAAAGCCTCTTGCTAGTTTAGTACCTGTCAGACATTTCCATCCAGTGGGATTTGTACCCTGGCCATTTCTAGTTCTGTGTCACTGAATTGGCCAGGAAACTCTAGCAACACAAACACATTTTTATATCATTTCCAACTTTCCCCTGCACTTGGTGCCAATATTTGATTATCTGCTCTAACAGAGGGGAATAGAAATACAAAGAGATCCCAAAGTCATTTATATTTGGCTTTACAGTATAATGACAACTTTTCAGTTTCTGCTCCTTTTTCATGCAGTTTTAGTTAGACTAATATTAAAATGAATTTATGCCCCTAGAAAAAAAAAAACAACATGTTGGTTGAGTGTCAAGAGGAAAAGTAATTCAGTGCTAAAATTCTGTGATGGATAATCTACAATGTGGAAAAGCTACCACCAGTCAATCAAGAATTGATGAATAAATTGATTTTTTTCTTGTTTTTGACCACTTTATTACAATATGATTGACATACAAAAGGCTGAACATATTTAATGTATACAACTTGATGAGTTTGGAGATAAAGGTACACCCATGAGACTATCACCACAATCAAGACCATAAATTTCTCCATCGCCTCCCAGCATTTCCTTCTGCCCTATTTTTAAATTTTTCTTTTAAAATTAATGTTTGTTCTATTGTGGTAAGAGCATTGAACATAAGATCCACTCTCTAGCAAACTTTTTAAGTATAAATTATTGTTAACTTTAGGACCCAAGTTGTACAGTATTTATTACTCCAGAACTTACTCATCCTCCATAACCAGAACTTGGCACCCTTTGACCAACACCTCTTCACTTCCCCTCTCCTCAGCCCCTGGTAAACACTGTTGTACTCTCCGATCCCACGAGTTTGACTATTTTAGATTCCTCATTAAAGTAGGATCATGTAGTATTTGTATTTCCGTGTCTGACTTATTTCACTTGCCACAAGGTCCACCAGATCCACCTATATTGTCAGAAATGGCAGGATTTCCTTTTTGAAGGCTAATAGTCCATTGTATGTATATATAGGTATATATCACATTTTCTGTATCCATTCATCTGTGAATAAACATTTAGGTTGCTTTCACATGTTGGCTACTGTGAATAGTGCTGCAGTGAATATGGGAGTGCAGATACTGCTTTGATATACTGATTTTATATCCTTTGGATATATAGGCAGAAGTGAGATTGTTGGATCAAATGGTAATTCTATTTTTAAAATTTTTTTGAGGAATCTCCATACTGTATTCCACAATGGCTGTACCAATTTACATTCCCGATAATAGTATACAAAGGTTCGCTTTTCTCCACATCCTGCCAACACTTTGTTATTTTTGTTTGTAATAGCCATTAAACAGGTAGGAAGTCATATGTCACTGTGGTTTTGATTTATTTCTCCCTGGTGATTAGTAATGTTGAGCACATATTCATGTACCTGTTTGTCTCCTTTGGTGTAATGTCTATTGAGGTCTTTGCTTATTTTTAAAAATTGGGTTAGTGTTATATATTATTATTATTATTTGGTCTTGAGTTGTAGCACTTCCTTATGTATTTTGGAAATTGTACCTTTCTCCGATGTACAGTTTGCAAATATGTTCTTTCATGTTTTCTCTTATGTTTGGCCTTTTCATTTTGTTGATTATTTATTTTGTTGTGCAAAACCCTTGTGGTTTTAGGTAACCCTAGTTACCTATTTTTGCTTTTGTTGCCTGTGCTTTTGGTGTGAGATCCAATAATCATTGCCAAATCCAATCTCATTAATCATTTTTTCCTATGTTTTATTCTAAGCATTTTATTGTTTCAGGTTTTACATTTAAGTCTTTAATCCATTTTGAGCTGATTTTTGTGTATGGCATAAGATAAGGGTTTAACTTAATTACTTTGGTTTCCTACACCATTTATTGAAAGTATTGTCTTCTCCCCATTGTGTATTTTTGGCACCCTTGATATAGATTAGTTGACCACACATACATGGGCTTATTTCTGGGACCTCTAGTCTATTCTATTAGTTCGTATGTTTGTTTTTAAGGCCAGTACCATACTGTTTTGATATCTTAGGCTTGAAAATATATTATGATAAGAGGGATTATGATACTTTAAGCTGCTGTATTTTTACTCAAAATTGTTTTCGTTTATTAGGGTCTTTTGTGTTTCCATATAAATTTTATGATTTCTTTTTCTATCTATGTAAAAAGTGCTATTGGTGGATTGGCTCATAGAAAATAATTTTATATAATTTTTAATTATAATAGAGATTACACTGATTCTGTAGATCACTTTGGGTATAAGTTGATTTTTATTTGAAGAATAAATTCTTTTCTCCTTCTGTGAAAATGGGTTCATGATTTTACTCGACTAAATCATCATCACAGAGACAATCATAGAAACCACTACATGTGCAAAGTGTCCTAAATTATCCTATCTATTGTTGATTTTTCTCAAAGTAATTGAGACGCTTACTGTTTCTTCCCTTGAATAAGAAAGCGTACGGCACCCATCTATCCAAGGTACATGTAGATGAAAGCTCAGAGCTTCCTAGTTGGGATGAAGTCTTAGTCTATTTTTTGTTGCTATAAAGGAATATCTGAGACTGGGTATCTTATAAAGAAAATAGGTTTATGTGGCTCATGGTTCTGCAGGATATATAATAAGCATGGCACTGGCATCTGCTCAGGTTCCGGCTGCTTCCACTCATGGTAGAATGTGAAGGGGAGGCTGCATGTGAAGAGATCATATGGCAAGAGAGAGCGTAGGAAGGTGCCCAGCTCTCTTTAACCAACAGCTCTCTAGGAACTACTAAAGGCAGAACTCACTCAACTCCCAGGGAGGACATTTATCTTTTCATGAGATACCTGCCTCCGTGATCAAAACACCTCCCACCAAGCCCCACTTCTAACATTGGGGGTGAAATTCCAACATGAGGTTTGGAGGGAAAATATATCCAAACTGCAGCAAATGGACTCTGCCTGAATCATATCATAAGGTGTAGGCAGAAGAGTAAGATCAGAAATGCTTGGGAGAATAGCTTGAACCCAGGAGGTGGAGGTTGCAGTGAGCTGAGATTGCACCACTGCACTCCAGCCTGGATGACAAAGCGAGACTCTGTGTCAAAAAAAAAAAAAAAAAAAAATGCTTGGTGGATTGGTAGATTGGCTCATAGAAGAAGGTTTTATATAGGCAAGCCTAATACTAAACTCCACACAAAAATTTCCCTTGAAAAGGACAGTCTGCACTGGTTTTCATAGTGGTGTTATTGGATAAAGGTTATACTTCCTTCCGTCACAAAGTTGTTCATGAAAGCAAGTAAACATGAGAGCTGAAAAAATTTCCTTGGAAAATATTTGGAAGTTAGATGTCTTGAATATTTAGGATTATTAATGTCTGTTATTTTTCCAAGATGAATACCTTATAATATAGCTTTTTACTATTGACATGGCAAACAAGCTGCATATCTGCCTTCATGCTAACCAACTTTTAGTTTCCAGTTTCCAAACCAAATTTGAAGGCAAAGATGAAGTGGGACTGAAAGACCGATTTCTATTATAATTACCCCAGTAAGAATATGGAAGTAGTTATGCATCACTTAATGATGGGAATACGTTCTGCGAAATGCATCATTAAGCAAACAAACCTACTTGGGTTAGCCTCCTACACACCTAAGCCATATGATGTAGCCTATTGCTCCTAGAATACAAAACCGTATAGCATGTTACTCTGCTGACCACTCTAGGCAATTGTAATACAACAGTAAGTATTTGCACACCAAAACATACCAAAACATAAAACGGTACAGTAACAGTAGGGAATAAAAAAACAAAAAACGATATACTTGTATAAGGCATTTACTATACACAGAGGTTGCAGGACTGCAAGTTGCTCTGGGCAAGTCAGTGAGTGAGGGGTGAGTGAATGTGAAAGCCTATGCAATTATCGTACACCATGATAGACTTTATAAACACTGTACACTTGGGCTACATTAAATTAATAAAATATATTTTTAGTATTATTAAAGTCAATAATTAACTGTAGCTTACTGTAACTTTTTTTACTTTAGAAAAGCTTTCAATATTTTAACTTTCTGACTCATAATAACACTTAGCTTGAAACACAAACACATCCTACAGCTGTACAAAAAATATTTTCTTTCTTTTTATCTGTACCCATTGAGCTTTTTTCTATTTTTAAATTTTACTTATATTTTTACTTTTTAAACCTTTCTTAAAAAAGCAAAGACACAAACAGACACATTAGCCTAGGCCCACACAGGGTCAGTATCATCAGTATCACTATCTTCCACCTCCACATCCTGTCCCACTGGAACATCTTCAATGGGGGGCAAAACACACATGAAGTTGTCGTCTTTTGTGATAACAATGCCTTCTTCTGGAGTATCTCCTGAAGGAACTGATTGAGACTCCTCTTGAGAAGCTGTCACTCTATTCAGAAATATATCCATGGTGGTTTGCTCGTTTTTGTTTTTGTTTTTTTTTCCTCATCCCAGATCTGCTTTGTAAACAGATAATGCACATGAACATTCCTCTCTATTAATGAAAGCTTTTGGTGTTGTGGTTCATGTTTTAGAACCTTTTAGGGAACTTGTTGAGTTATGCAAAAGCTTCTGATGAACTATTCACAGTGAATTTTCTTGAGAGTTCTTCTTTTCCTTCTCCACAGTTTCCTTTTCTTTTGACTCTTCTTCAGCTACCCATTCTTGTTCCAGTTCCAACCACTCCTCATTAGTCAATTCTTTAAGAACCAATGAAGGTCCTCAATATCATCATCACCCACACCCAGGTAAAAGTTTTTTGCCATCTCAACCACAGCCTCGTTGATTTTTGCAACTTCCTCATCCTTGGAAAAACCTTTGCAGTCATGGGTGAACCTCTTCAAAGTCTTCTTCCAGATGCTGTTCATACATTCCTTAGTGACATCACTGCAAGCCCAAGCAGGGTTCTTGATGCAGTTATGGATGCTGTAATCCTTTCCGAATTGCATCAGTGTCTTCTCTGTGTCTTCCTCACTTGCAGCAACAGCCTGAGCAAAAGTTCTCCTCAGGTAGTAGGTCTTCAAAGCTGCTATAACTCCTTATCCATTGGTTGGATCAAAGAGGTTGTGTTTGGAGGCAGAAACTCCACATTGATGTTGGGATGAAGATCATTCATAAAAGGACGATGTGCCAGAGCATTGTCAACAGTAAGTACAATCTTGAAAGGTATATTATTCTTCAAATAGTACTTCTACATTTTACTGGCATAGCAATTCAGGAGGGCATGTTGGAAGAGGAGCTGCATCATCCATGACTTCTTATTGCTCCTGTAGTGCACCGACAGTGTGTGCTTATTGATATGCTTGACCGCTCTGTAATTCTCATTGTGCCAGATCACAATGGCTTTAAATTTGCAGCCTGAAATATTGCCCCTAAGTAAGACTGTTATCCTTTCCTTAAAAACGTTAAAGCCTGTTTTTGTTTTTTTCAGGTATTTGTTTCCAGAATAGAAAGGTTTCATCCACAATGAAGATTTTCTCTGGCAAGTAAATTTCCTCCATAATCAGCTTATCTAGAGTTTCCAAAAATTCTTTAGCTGCCTTCAGATGAGCAGCCAAGGACTGACCACTTACATTCACACTATGTAATAAATAATGATTCTTGAATTGATTAAACCACCCAGACTGGCAGTAAATTCAACATTGTAGTCATGTCCATCTTTTCTTTTAACATTGCAAACAAACTTTGGTTTGGCTATGATCATCATGGTACTGACAAGCAAATATTTTTCTGTCTAGTCTTCAATCAAGGCAGCTAGGAGTCGTTCCATATCTGATATAGTCCATTCTCAAATTTGCGTTAGTCCCATTGTCTTCAATGGAGCAGATCATTCAACAGCTTCCAACACTTTGTTCTTGTTCTTTAAGATCGTGGCTGTGGTGGAGTGGGGCATGCCTGACTGGTGAGTAGTTACCATCACTGAGTTCCTACCTGCCTAGTCCTTAATCACTTTTTTCATTTTGTTTCCAGGTCAACCATTAGACATGCCAGGCAACTTTAGCAGTGAATTCTGTATGCTTTGGGGCCATGATGAACAAAACAAACAACATTAAATCAAGTATAAGAAAAAATGATGCAATGAAGAGATGTAGTAAACACAAAAAGTATGAGGCTGTTGGCAGTGTAATATGGCATACTGTTTTACAGTAAACTTTAAAAAAATAAGAAGTACATTCTAAAATAATGAAAGTGTAGTACAGTAAATACATAAGCTGGTAACATATTCATTTCTTATCATTATCAAGTATTATGTATTGTACACGCTTTTGTGCTGTACTTTTATGTGACTGGCAGCACAGTAGGTTTGTTTACTACAGCACTGTCATAAACACGAGTAAAGTGTTGTGCTATATTACAAGGAATACATCACTAGGTGATAGGGATTTTTCAGCTTCTTATAATCTTGTGAGACCACCATCCTATATGTCATGCATCATTGATTGAAACATTGTTATGCAGAGCTTGACTAAATGTATACTTCCATTCTTGAAGTTCTTCCTGCTGCATGGAAGCATCGCACACAGTGCTGCAGACTCTGGGTAGCCATACAGGGTAAAGGAAGAAAAAAATGTGAATAGTTTGTATACGGCTATTGGTCAATTCAGTAATAAGTTAATTAACCTGGTCAATGCATACTTTGCCTTCATAATGGGAGAAATGTCTCTTACTTAATGTCCTGTAATGAAAACCCTATTCAGGAGTAAGGATTCCTGGCTTTTCTTCTTAGCATATCACCAACGATTAATTCAACTTTGGTTTAAGAAAACAAAAACTGAAAATACTGAAAAGTAAAAACTAGCAAAATTCAACCAAATGGGAAAGTATGTAAATGTAAAAGCAAATTAATTATTCACACACTCTGCAGGTTGCATTTGTTTTAAAAAGAAAAAAGGAAAAAAAAAATCCTAAGGATGTAAGTTGTTAAATATTGTAATTGATTACTGAGGTGACTGCAGAATCGGTTCCTGAGGCAATGAATTCTCACCGGACTCCCAAATGCACAACATGACCGCAGAGGCTAGGACAGAGAACTCTTTAGATCTTTTAGCCTAATTACTTATAAAATTTCATAATACATTGGCCATTACACATAAATCTTATTCACTTTATGTGTATGCTTGTGTATGTGTGTGTGTTCGTAAATGGGATGCTATTTAAGAGACTCATTGTCAGTGCTTAAATTTCTATAAGCTGGAATGAGAGTAGGGTTGTCTGTGAAAACTGATCAGGAGCAGAAGAGGAGATTGCAAGAGCCTTTAGCATTGACATTTAAGCCAAGTAGCTAAGATAAATATCCAGTCCAAGGGGTGTTAGAAGACCTGGAATCAAGAGAAAAAGCCTAGGTAGAATGGGTGTACCTGAAGAGCATAGGCAAACCTGGGTGGCCTTCATGAGACAGCATTGAGCCAATGGTTCAGGAATGGAGCAGGTTAGATATTTTAGAGACTCCAGGAAAGAAGTAGAACTCTTTTTAAGCACCATGTTTTTAAAAAGTTTAAGAACAAGCCATTCCTTTATCAGTTAAATTTCCAAAGTGTCTGCTCATTGTACTGCTGGGGAAATACTGGAGAGAGGGGAGACAAATATGCTCAAGATCTAGGTGGAATAGTGAGTATTTTTAGCAGTGAATAAAAGACAAAAAATGGAAGAAAATAAGTACATCAGAAGAAAAGAAAAATATGTGACTCAAGAAAATATGTGAAAAGACAAATGGGAAATAGAAAACGTTGTTGGGAGTCCCATAGCAAAAACTACGTTGACTTGGCCTCCATCAGTAATGAGCCTTGGGGGACAGCACTAAAGAATATGAATTTCTCCTATGAAGGAGGGGAGATAAACTAAGCTGAACGTGGGCTAACCAGGAAAAGAATAGAAATAACAAATATTTAACAGTGCTTGGTAGTTTATAAATGCTCTAAAATATATTCTTTCTTTGGAAACTTTTAATTTTTATACCATGTCGGTAAACCAGTATCTTTTATTTAGCAAATTAAAAAATACCTATTTAAAGAGATTTAAGTGATTTGTGCAAGGTCATATAGTTAATAAGCGGTAGAATTAAGATTCAAGCTCAAGTCTGATGCTAATTCTCATACTCTTTTTCTAACATGTGGGTGTGAAAAACTTATTACTATGAATACATTTAAAGATGAAATTCAGATAGTAGAGTATTTCAGCTGGAATGTAACTGCAATGGTGCCAAAAGATGCTGCTAAATACAAAGGAAGTTTAATATCAGTCAGTTTTTTTGGATTTTCTCATTATAAAAGTTACATAAAATAAATAAATAAATAAAACCCATGCCCAAGTGATAACTGCTTCAGTTGGTTTATTTAGCCTACAAACGCAATGAATCCCTGGCCTCCAAATCTGGAACAACATATCTTGGGACATAGCATGAAGTGGAAACAAAATTCAACAGTGTAGAAGAGAAAGGCGAGTGCTTCTTTCTAAATGACTCCATGTGGACACAAAACTCTCCACCCGGACAATGGCCTGACCCCTTCTCCTAGCAGGAAGGCTCATCAGGAAGAGCATAAAAGATCATCCCTTAAGTGTTAAAGGATAGATTTATTCTGCATATGTGAGGTGTCTTACCTGGTGTCAAACAGCAACAACAACCAATGAACAAGACAGTGAATGAAAGTCTGATCTGCATGAATGTCAAAATCTCAGAGTTGAGAGATGTTTGCCTCAATCAGTCATTGAGTTTTTATGGCCTTAATATATTTTAACATTTGAATTTTGCTAGGTCCATTGGTCATTAGTTTGAATTCCAAAGACTGGCTTTAACACAACATATATAGAGATATTTATGTGTACCAATATACCTTCTAACTATACCTGTCATAGCATACTCTATTCTAGAAGGTTTTAGTCATTTTAATAGACTGTTACCACATTTTATTTATTAACTCATATATTTCATTGTAAATACAATTAGAAACTTTGTTCTTCTCTGATACATCACTTAATGAGTCCAATTATCTAATTCTTGAGAACGAAATAGAGTTTTTGTGATTAAATACAGGTTTCAGAGAATAAATGGATTCTATCAAAAATTTGTCTCTATCAGGCATGGAAGTACCTGTAATCACTATAAACAATTTTATGCACAGTATTCTGATAGAGAAAAAGGTTTGACATTACTCTGAATGAATTCTCAGATTAATTTTTAGAAAAATTACGTAAGCAAATGCTCAGAAAAATAAAGAATTATTAATACTTGCATAACTCCTGACAGCCTCACTTTTCATAAATTAACAAATGGTTTTCATACCACCACTGAGGGTGTGGTAGTTCATTAGCTGGAGAGATCATTTGAAACCACATCCATCTGAATTCTAAACAAACATTCTGAATTGCTGTGAAGAAATATAAAGCAATTCTACTTGTTTTCCAACTGATATGCCATGGCACACTTGTGATGCATATGCCTTTCTGAGGTAAATCGCTAAACGCATTTTCTTTTTGTTTTCTATTATCTTTAATGTTAAATATTTTTGTATCTAAGTAAACACCTGGTTTTAAAACTAAAAAGGTGCTACATGCTTATAACAATAACAGCAACAACAACAAAAAAGCCAGTAGTTTTCTGTCCTTATCACTCCTCACCCATTTCTTGTGTCCTATAGGAAACATTTCAACTATTTTATTCATTTATTCAACTATTTTATTCATTTGACCTTAATGTTTGTATCTATTGTATTTATATTGCAGTTTCTTTATTCATCAAATGTAGAGTCAATAAACTACCTATTGTGGTGATTCCATTAAATCTTCCTTCTGCTTCCCCTATCCTGTAAACATAACATTTCGCCTTTTAGTTGATCCTATATTCATCATATTGGATTTTATGAGCGTACAAATGTTATTTACTGTGGAGCCTTATTGAATGCTTCTGTTACAGCCCTTTCTCATGTAACATATCCTCCCCTTTCTCCCTTAAATAAGTTAACACTTGCCTTTTGTCTTCTTAGTTTTCTTTGAATCTTTGGCCAAACATTTCTGTCTTTACTAACAGCTTTGTAAAATGTCAGTTGACAAAGTTTCCTGCATGACCAAACCTGTCTGTTCACTTACCATTTTTATATTTCTCTTGAAATTTCCCCTGGGAACCGCCATCTCCTGCTTCCATCAGCATTGCTTGCCCTGAAGCTCTGCAGTCCAGTTTTTCAGTGCCGGGGCTCCCCTCCACAGTTAGCCTGAGAATCTCCTTCACTCCTCTTCCAAGTGGATTCTCTGTCTCACTCTTCTTTCCCTTGGCTTTAGTGAGTCCCATTCTCCTGTAGGTTCCTTAGGCAGAGCTCTGAAAGGTGAATATTTTCAGTTTTACTATCAGAAAATGCTTTTATTTTGTTCTCAAACTAGATTCTTAGTTTGGCTGGGTATAGAATTCGAGATAGGACATTATTTTCTCTAGCATGTTCAATGTATTCTTCTTCTGCTATCTAACCCCCATGGTGGAAATATGATACCCTTCTTATTTCTGTCACTTTGTATATTTTGAGTGTTTTCTGGAGGTGTCCTTTTTTCTTACTGTTTTATGCTTCTTTTCATGGTTGGTCTCTTTCAATTTGAAGTCATGTTGTTTAGTTCTAGGAATGTTTGCACTGAATATGTTATTTTATTATCATTATTTAATTATTATTATTATTTCTTCCCATGATTTTTTTTGGTTCTATTTTTTCATGGGCAGGGAACTCCTATTAGTTGAATTTAGAACTTTCTGAATTTGTCCTGTCATTTTCTTTTTGTCTTTTATTATACATTTAAACAATTCTATTGGGGGGGGGATTTCTTCACTTCAAACCATTTTAATTTTTTCCACTTGAATAACTTTTTTTAAATTTTTGAATAGAATAATTGCAAAAGCTGTATAGAGAGTTCTAATGCCCCACACCCAGTATCCTGGATTGCTACCATTTTACCTTTGTATGGTATATTTGCCAAATTAATAAACCTAAACTAATATGTTATTCTTAGAGTCTATACTTTATTTATAATTTATTAGTTTCTGCCCAACGGTTATTTTTCTATTCCACGATTTCATCCAGAATATAACGTTACATTTAGACCTCCTGTCTTGTTAGGCTTTTTTGGAATGTGATGGTTTCTCAGATTTTCCTTGTTTTTGATAACCTCCATAGTACTGGTGATGACCTTGAGGAGTACTGATTGGGTATATTTTCTAGAAAGTCCCTCAATTTGGGTTTGCTTGATGTTTTATCTCACTGTGGAATTGGAGTTAAACATTTTTGGGAGGGAAATCACAGAGATGAAGTGCCATTTTCAAAATGATTTATCACTGCTGTTGTTAATTTTAAATACCCAATAAAGTACAGTTTGCCAGATCTCTCCACTGTAAAGTTCCTTTTTTTTTTTCTTCATTCCACATTTTGCTTTTGGAAACAAGTCCCTGAGTAAAATCTACACTTAAAAGGTAGGGATTATGTTTTACCTCCTTGAGGAGGTAGTGTCTATATATATTGTTTAGAATTCCACATGAGAGCTTTGTTTCTTCTCCCCTGTTTACTTGAGTGTTCAATTATTTATTCATAATAGTGTGGGTTCATGGGTACTTATTTTATACTTGAGTTATGATCTGATAGTATGCTATTAATTTTGTTACTCAATTTCTTCCAGCTTTAAGTATTGGGAGCTCTGTCAACTGGCTTCTGTGTCCCTTTGACATACCTCTGTTTTTGTTTGTTTGTTTGTTTCTTGTTTGTTTTGTTTTGTTTTAAATGTGTTTTAGCATTTTCCTACTTTCTGGCAATACAAAACGCTCCAGACTCATCTACTATATTGCTCCCCCTGCCCTAGATCTGCCAGTTCTCTAAGGAGCTCTTGCTCCTTTCATTGGTGAATAGTGTAGGAAAACAAGGTCCGGGCACGTGGGATGCTCATTGCTACAGGAGAGCCATTGCTTCTAGGTCCTTGCAGTGGACACAGGTAGGAAATACATGTGAAATGGGAGAGTTCCCTGATCCCCCTTGCAGGATGTGAAACAGGGGTGTGGCTCACCCATTTGGTTGCCATCACTGCTCACACTCTTGAGGGGAGGGGGAGAATGCAGACAGACAGGTGCCGGAGCCCAAGTGGTCTTGTGTTGCAGTGTGCTCTTTCAGCCCAGCCGTCCACTGATGGTTTGAGTGTTAACCAGCTCAGTGGACCCTCTGCCTTTTCGCAAGGGCAGAGGGCCAATGTGACAGCTTTCTGTATCCTGAGTTCTTGTCCACCGTCCCAGAAGAATCAGGTCACACATGGGCTTGAAAAATGAATGCGGAGTTTTATTGAGTGGTGTAGGTGGCTCTCAGCAGGCTGGATGGGGAACTGGAGGCAGGACAGAGTGAGAAGATGATCTTCCCCTTCCTGGAGTTTGGCCATCCAGCAGCCAAACTCATCTCTTACCACCCCCAGCTGAACTCCTTTTGGCCTTCAGACAATCCTCCTCTTTTCTCTTTCTCTGCTGTGCTGTTCATCTGCTTGTCTCCTCATCTCTTTGTCTCCTTGTTTGAGCATCTGCTTCTGGAGCCTGGGATTAGGGGTTTATATGGGTACAGGATAGAGGTGTGGCAGGCCAAAAGGCAACTTTTTGGGTGCGAAAACATAAATGCCTGTTCCCATTTAGGGCTGTGGGTCTCCAGGCTTGAGGGTGGGACCTTTGCCTTGGAACCACTTTCTCCTACCCAGTATTTCCCTGTCTCCTGTTTATATCATATGTATGGATACTGAGCTGTGTATCTACACACATCTATATTTCTTTCTGTATCTATTAATCAGTGTCTATTTTAAGATGAACTTGAGTTCATACTGACGTTTCCAACTCTAATCCAGTAACCCAAGTTCATTCTAGCTTCCTTCTCTCTTATCTGTGAATGACCCATTCCAACATGAAACCTCATTCACATCATCTGCCATTAACTTAGTTATTTTTCAGTTTTAGTATACATGCCCAGCAATTTAAGAATTGTTAACCCCTACCTCTGTGGGAAGCAACTTTATCAGCTAGAGTACAATGCTATGGACAATTCCTTTTGTCTTTAGTCTTACACTTTCTAGTCGTTTTCCACATTACTTAGATCAGCAGCTCTTTTTTTTTGCCCATCCCCATCATTGAAGTTGTGACATACATTTGTAATGCAGTTATGTTCTTTTGTCATAGTTTGTATACATCCTGAGATCCTCCACCCTCCCAGTTAAATTCTTTCAAAATTTACGTATAAGTTTGCTCTTTGTGATGTAAAGATCTATGAGTTTTTACATAGAACTATAAGAATTGTCATTTGACTGTACCATTTGACTATGGAATAACGCCATGTATCTAACACTATTGTATTACACAGAATACTTTCCTGCCCTACAAAATGCCATGTGCTTTATTTAGTCAACCTTCCCTCCACTCCACACCTCTTGTTTTCTATTTTCTACATCGATTTTTTTTGTCTTTTTCATAGTGTCATATAAATGAGACCATGCACTGATTCCATTCTCAGACTGGATTATTTCATTTAGCAATATGTATTTGAGATTTATACACATTACTGCCAGGATTAATAACTCATTCCCTTTGAAAACTGAATAGTATTCTGGTTGTGGATGTGCCACAGTTTAAATGTTAACCTATTGAAGGGAATCTTGATAGTTTCTAGTTTTTAGAGATTATGAATAATGTTGCCATAAACATTTGTGTTCATGTTTCTGTGTAGATATGTTTCAAAAGCAATTGCTTAAATATCTAACAAATAATTGCTGAAAAGTATGATCAGATTATGTTCAGCTTTGTAAGAGGCTGTCAAACTGTATTCCAAGGAGGCAGTACTATTTTGCATTCCCACAAGCAATGAATCAGAGCTCTTCTTGCTCTACACATAGCTTTGGCAGTGACTGGTGTCAGGTTTTTTTTTTAATTTTTAAAATTTTAATCATTGTAGTAAGTGTATACTGGTATCTTATTATTTTTCTTTGACTTGTTTTTAAATTTTAGGTACCAAATTTTTAAATCTTTGCCAATGTCTATAATTGAGGTACTATATTTATATAAGATTAAGATTAAGACAAATCTTAATTGTATAGTGCAATGAATATTTCCTAAGTGAACTCATCTGTGTAACCACCACATTGATCAGAGTAGAAAATACTGCAAACAAACAAATTTTCACATATAAGATCCATTCATTGTCATATCCAGAGGTAACCATTGTTCTAAGCCATAACATTATAGATTATTTTGCCTGCTCTTCACTTTTATATAAATGGAATCATGCAGTTTTTACTCTTTTATATTGGGATTCTTTCACTTAATATTATGTTTACGAGGTTTATCTACATAATTTTCTCTAGCAGCAGTCTATTGTATTTTCGTATAGTATTCCATCTTATGTAAATGCAACAAATTTTATTTATAGACATGTGAGTTGTTTCAAGTTTGGAACTACTGTGAAAAATTCTGCTATGCTAATTATTTTACATGTTTTGGTCAACATATGTGTACATTCTGTTTGAAATAAACCTACCAATGGTATTGCTAGGTAAAAGGATATGTTCATATTCAGGTTTAGTAAACACTACCAAACAGTTCCAAAGTGATCACATCAATTTATGCTTCTACAAGTGATCAGAATACCAGCTGGTCCATATTCTCATTCACAATTGGTATTGTCAGGTGTTTATTTTTAATATTAATCATTCTCCTGTGTGTGTGTGTGTGTGTGTGTGTGTGTGTGTGTGTCTAATCTTGATTTAGTTTGCATTTACCTCATAACTAATGAGATTAATCACCTTTTCTAATGCATTCTGGCCATGTGGTTACCTCTTTTTATTAACTGATATTCAAGACTTTAGCTCAACGTTTTTATCAGATTTTTTTTGTCTTTTTCTTACTGATTCTTAAGAGTTACATGTGCATACGTATCCTGTATGTAATTCATGGATGGATATATGCTTTCAAATATCTTCCATTTAGTATTTATTTGGGGGCTCTTTTCACAGCCATATTTGGCAAATAAAAGTTTTTTTTTCATGGAGTCTACCTTACCTATATTTTCATAAATAGCTAATACTTTTTGAGGTCCTGTTGAAGGAATCTTTGCTTATTCATATTCATGATTATAATCTCAGTTTTCTTCTAGAAAATTTGTAGTATTAGCTTTCCTATTTAGGTCTAGATACTATTTTCAATTTATTTTTGTATTATATAAGAAAGGAACAAGTTTATTTTTCTTTGTATATGCCAATCCAATTCATCCTTTATTATTTATTAACATATTTTCTCATAACATTGTATGGCACTTTTTTTATACATGTAGTTACCGTATATGGAAGCATCTGTTGATTCTGGGTCTCCTCCATTGAATTAGTTGTTTAGGTTTGTGCCAATGCTGTAGCTTTGTTAAAAATAATGATGATATCTTTTAGTACAAGTATTTCAACTTTATTCTTTTAAGAATTTCTATATAAACTTATATATTACCCATGTAAATTTTAAAAAGAGTTTGCCACTTTCATTAAAGAAACAACAACAAACTGCTGGGTTTTTAACTGAAAGTTCTTTGAATATATAGGTCAATTTGGGGAGAATTAACATCTTTATAATATTGTTTTTTCCCAATCCAAAAGCACTGTATTCCCTCACTCACTTAGGTCTTCTTTAAGTTCTCTCCATAATGTTTTTAGTTTTAAGTGTAGAGGTCTTCAACACCTTTTGCTACATTCATTACTATGCGTTTGACGTTTCCTTCATGCTCTTATAATAACAAGTTTTCTATTTTATGTCCTAATTGAATTTTGCTGTTATGAAAAACAAATTAAATTGGCATTTTGTATTTTGACTTTGTATCTTGTTACTTTAATACATATTTTAATTCCAAAGGGTATCTACAGATTATTTTTGAATATCCAATGTATAATCATGTTATCTTCAAATAGTGACAATTTTTATTCTCTCCCAGTAAGTATACTTTTTATTTATTTATTTATTTTCTGTGTTTCTTCCTTCTGGCTAGAACTGCCATTACAATTTTGAATAGAATTGGGGATGGCAGGCATTCCTGTCTTCTTCCAATCTTAGGGGGGGAAAATTTTATATCTTAGTTCAATTTGTTATAGGTTCTTATTTTAAAAAACCTTTTTATCAGAAAGGTTTTTTTTGTAATCATGAATTGAAGTTGACTTCTATCAAATATTTCCCTGTATTTGTTAAGATGATCAAGTGGTTTTCTTCTGTATTCCATTAATGTGGTGAATTACATTGATTGATTTTTGAAAGTTGAAAGAATTTTTCATCTCTGGAATGAGCTTTACTTGGATATTATATTTTATTTCTGAATGTGATTTCTTAATATTCTACTTACATTTATCAACTATAAGTTAAATTGCCTTTATTTATTCATTTAAAAAGATCTTTAAAATCAATTTTGGTATCATTTAAAGTCCTGTAATGTTTTTTAAAGTGACTTTTTAAAATTGTGTCGTAAAGTGTTCTGTATTTATTCTCTGGAAAACTTTATGAAAGATGGGTGTTATTTCCTCCGTTAAAGTTTGGAAGAATTTACTGGTGAAGCCATCTGGGCCTGGAGTTTTCTGTGTAGAAAAGTATGTAATTAGAGATTGATTTCTGTAATGAATATAAGAATATTCAAATTTTCTATTTCTTATGTCACTTTTGGCAAGTTTTTCTTTATAGGAAATTTACTCATTTCTTTTAAAGTTTCCAATTTATTGACACAAATAGATTTAGACTATCTCTTATTTACATTTTAATGTTTGTAGGATCAAAGTAATCCTGATAAAGTGTGTGTTTTATCTCTTTTTCCTCATCAATTTCAATTAGTTATTTTTATTTCTTTTAAAAAAATTAACTTTTAAGTTTCTTGACTTTTCAAACTGTCAGTTAATTGATTTTTTGCTCTTATTTTTATTATTTCCTTCCTTCTAATTTATTTAGTTTTAATTTGCACTTTTATTTCTACTTTTCTTTATATGAAGCTTACATTATTTTTATCATATATACATATTTTATATATGCATATATAAAATTTTAATATATACATTTTATGTATATATGATGAAAATCCATGTGTATGCATATTTTTATGTGTGTCTCTGTGTGTATATATGCTTGTATATGCGTGTGTGTATACGTGTATATGTATATATATGTATTTACACACATAAAAAATATATAGATACACACATACACACAAATATTTTATATGTATGTATATATATATGGCCACAAATTTCCCTCAAAGCATAATTTTAGCTGCATTCCAAATGTTTTGTGATATTTTATTTTCATTATTATGCAGTTCAAAATACATTCTAATTTCCATTATGATTTACAAATGTATTATTTAATTTCCAAGTATTTAGGGATTATCTGATTAACTTTTTGCTAATGAGTCCTAGCAATTCTACTGTAATAATATATTCTATATGAAACCAATCCTATGAAATTTTTTTCAGACTTGCTATGGCTCAAAATGTAATCTATTTTGAAACACATTCTCTATGCACTTGAAAAATGTGGATTCTTCCATTGTTGTGTGTACAGTGTTATATGTATATAAATTAAGGTAATTTTCTATGGGTAAATTTCTAGGTATGTATATCAATTAGGGTAATTTTGTTAATAATGTTATACATATCTCATTTATGATTGCTGATTTGTATATCTGCTGCTTATAAGGTAGTGAGAGAGATGTGTCGATATCTCCATTTTTTTTGACTTGTCTATTTCTTCTTTCTATGCATTTACTTTTGCTTTACACATTTTGAGGCTATATTCTTAAGTACAGGTAAGTTTAGAATTATTATATTTTCAGGTAGGATGGAACATATCATTAGGAAATGGCTTTAATATCTTTAGTGATTCATTTTTACAGTCTAATGATATTAGATTAGCTATGCTTTTGTGTATTTGTGTTTGTATGAACTTTTTAAAAAATCTTTTACTTACAATTTTTTTCATCTTTATGTTTAAAATGGGTCATTTGTAAAAAGAATATACTTGGAGTTTGTTACACTATCCAGTGTGATAATCTTTGCATATTAATATGCTGAAGTATTTAGTACATGATATTTAATGCCATTTCTGATATGTTTGATTTTATATCTACAGTGGCATTATTTGTTTTCTATTTGTCTATTTTTTTCTGATCTTTTTCATCCTTTATTGCTTTCCTTTAGAATTATCAAGTAATTTTTATTATTCTATTGACCCCGTTTTCTTCTTTTACGTTTCTTGTATTTATTACTTCAAAAATGATAACATCTATCCATTGCATACTGAAGTCTACCTAATACCATATTTTTAGTATTTGTAAGGCAAAGACTTTAGAACACTTTATTTTTTATTGAGTTTTATGCTATGTTTTTATGTATTTTAATTTTCAAATATCCTAAATCTCATAGGTATTT
This sequence comes from Homo sapiens, assembly GCF_000001405.40. Taxonomy (NCBI): domain Eukaryota; kingdom Metazoa; phylum Chordata; class Mammalia; order Primates; family Hominidae; genus Homo; species Homo sapiens. The sequence continues at coordinate 127,706,411 of NC_000011.10, forward strand.
TTATTATGGTTTTAAACATTCAATAGCCATTTAGTTTTATCTAAATAAGAATGATTTTTTTCTTCCTCATTACTGTTATTCATCCAAGAAAAACTTTTTTTTGCCTTAAAAATTTCCTTTTATGATTTATTTCCCTTTAGGTATGCTGGTGGTTAAATCTCTGTTTTTTATTTTTATTTATTTATTTTTGTTTGTTTTTTATTATACTTTAAGTTCTAGGGTACATGTGCACAACATGCAGGTTTGTTACATATGTTTACATGTGCCATGTTGGTTTGCTGTACCCATTAACTCGTCTTTTACATTAGATATTTCTCCTAATGTTATCCCTCCCCCTGCCCATCTCCCCACAGCAAGCCCTGGTGTGTGATGTTCCCCGCCCTGTGTCCAAGGGTTTCATTGTTTAATTCCCACCTATGAGTGAGAACATGCGGCGTTTGGTTTTTTGTCCTTGTGATAGTTTGCTAAGAATGATGGTATCCAGCTGCATCCATGTCCCTACAAAGGACATGAACTCATCCTTTTCTATGGCTGCATTTAAAGAAGTCTTTATCTCACCTATATATTTTGAGCTTATTTTCCCTGGGCATAGAATTCCAGGTTGAGAAGTACTTCTTAGCATTTTAGAGATATCATTTCATTGTTCTCTGATTTCCAATTTTTATGTTGAAAAAGGGACCTGTCAGGCTTGTAGTTTCTCCTTTGAAGGTAATCTATCTTTTTCCCTCTGATTGCTTTTAAGATTTCTCTTTTTCTCTGGTTTTCAAAAGTTTTACTATGATATGCCTATATGTGGTATTCTTTGTATTTATACCTCTATGGTTTTACAGATCTCCTTGAATCTGTTGCGTCATAATTTTTCAATTGGATTCAGAAAAGTTTCGGTCAGAATCTCAACATCCTCTCCCTTCCCCTTCCACACTCTTCTTTCATTCTTCTACTCAAATTATACATGTTAGAATTTTCATGATATTTCATTTGGTTCTTCACTATTTTCAGCATTTATTATTTTTTCCCTTTTCTATTATTTTATCCTTTTTTAAAATGAAACACTTTCTTCTGTCATTTAAGAATTATTAGAGAAATTTTTTTTCTAATTTTCTTTTGTTCTGTGCCTCTTACCTTCAAATTTATTTCTCCTATTTCTTTCCTATTCTCTTACTTTGTTCTTTTGTTCATGTTAGAAGATTTTATCAACTAATTGGTGGCTCTTGGTGGATAGATGGATGGAGGGAGAGAAAGGTATATAGACAGATGATAGGTAGATGACAGATGATTGATAGATTGATAATAGATGTTAGTTTAATAGATAATAGATAGTTTAAGAGTGATACACTAAAACATAGATTGGAAACATGACATAAGGACATGTCTGGTGAATGTGTGAGCATCATTGTAGAGTAGCAGCTGGATATCCATCTTTTTGTTTGTTTGTTTGTTTGTTTTAAATCGAGGACTCACAAGTATCAGTATTTATAGCTCATGTCTTACAAGTTTTCACTTTTTTTCCAGAAAAGTATCTTTTTCTGTCTCTTTTCCTGGAGAGGGAGGATGTACACACTTCATGGTTAGTATCCTGGAACTGGTAAAAGAGGGGAACTGTAGTTGACTCCATTCTGAAGATAACTGTAGTGTAACAACTTTCCTTTTTCCAAAACCTCAGAGCTACCTTCTTCTGCGTTTGCTGTCCTTACACCCAAAACCTCCCTGGCTTAATTGCCGTGAGAGAAAAATACCTCCCCATTCCTATATGGTTGATAAAGGAGTAGGTGTCTCTCTTTGTTGGGTGTAGATAGGAGCATGGGGGCTTTGAAGCACCTCTGTACATTTTTAAGTAAATCCCTTTCTTGCCCTTATTAGTTGTCTCACCCCTACTTTCCATGGTACCTGGTGCCTTTAATTCTTGATCCCTCCCAGGACTCTATAGGGAAAATTGGCCTGCTATTATTGCTGGTATTTCTCTTTGTAGATCCCTAGATTTGCTTTTTCTCCACTCTGCTGAGTCACTTATAAATAAATCTTCCATCTGTACAGAATACCATTGTTGGAGGCACAGAGACTACCTAATATTTAGAACGAAGGACTCTGGAGACAAGGCTTTCTGGAATTCTACAGAGGCAAGGCCCATCTAAGCTGATAATGCCACACCTACTCCAGTGGCACAGATCCCCCTGGAGGCTGCCACTCAAGTTTCTTCCTGACTGCCCTCCAGCTTTTCCAGGGCAAGTCTCCGCCTAGCTCTGGGTACTGTGTTTATTTCTTACCAAAGATTCCATTGTGCGGATGGTGGTGCACTGGAGGTGGTCTTTTCATATCAGGCGGTTTAAGGACCCTCAAGGGTCAGAGACACACAAATCTTTAAATATCAACATTTTAAACTATATTACTAATCATGTCCAGCAGGAGATGTTTTTGATGTTCACTAATTTATGATACTGAATGTAATAAAAGGTAAGATAGTGACACTTTAAAACAATTATTCTATGCATTCAAACTGGGCTTCCTCTACTTAGGCCAAATTAGTGAATTTTTTCAGTAGCCACACATACTTCTTGGGCACTTTCCATGTGGTGGGCAATGGCTATATAAAGAAGAAGACATAAGTATAGGCATAATTGCTGCCGTGATATTGAGGAATCTTGGCTTGGATTTTCAAAAAAAAATGCATATGGATTTTAAGCATGTTTTGTAACCTTTTTTCCCCCAAATTTTGAAACAAAACAAGAATTCACCAAAGATGTTCCTGAGAGGGAATATAGGATTGTTCTGTTTTTAACCTATTCTATATTCACTGTTCAGCTAGCTTTATTTTTATGCAGTGATTCACAAACTAACACAGATCATAAGTGATGACTACTCGAGTTGCCAAAATGTTTATTTTTTTAATTTTCACTCTCAATTTGCTTTGTTTGTATTTCATATATCTCTGATTGAAAATGAAAAAGCATTTTAATTAAAAGCATTGCTGCAATGAATGATTAATTGCTTTTAAAAAAATAAACAGATGAGAGTGAATAGTAAAATAAGAGCTTTCACCTTATTATGCTAATAAACTATGAAAAATATTGACCTTAGATAGAAGTCTTGTATCAAATTTGAGTCAACAATTACATCAATAATTAATAATCAGGAACCAGCTAATCAGAAATCTAGAGGACATAGTTAATGTTGGTTATAAATAACATCTCAAAAATCCAAATACTTAAATTAGGAAGCAAATTACCTTTGATAGTGTAGATTTATCATTTGTGATTGACTTAATCAATCCTGTTCTCCTCCTGGGGACAATGGAGAAAGGGTGTAGAGGTGAAGGCAGGGAGAGTATAGTAAGCTTTATTGGGATATTATTTATGTTGAATGCTGAACAGTCAACACTGATGAAAACACATACTAAAAATATAAACTGTACATATGTATATACATACATGCATATATGACCTTCAGTGGTATTTCTAAAAGTGTGGTCCACAAATTACCTGCATCAAATTCGCTGAGATGCTTGACAAATACTGATTCTTGGGATTTATTCCCAAGTATTCCAGTTTATGTTTCTGAGCCTGGGGTCAAGAAATTTACATGTAGACAAATGATCTCTGGGTGGTTCTTATGTACAATAGTATTTGAAAACCACTCGTGGGAGAGGACAGAGGACTCGTGAGCTCATCAATAGAATTGTTCTATTTGCTGAAGTAAAGAATTCCTGGGAAAGTGAAAGGAAATATGCAAATCTGTACAGTGCATTCGGTAGAGGGACTGTAATCTCTTCCCTATTCAGACCTCATTTCCTTTCTCAACAATGCCTTCTGCTGTAATCAGAAACTATTCACAGAGCTGTTCCTTCTGTTATTTATTTGTGTCTATCAGCTTCATGTACAGAGGAACAGGCTCTGGAGCAGACACACATGACCTACTCTTGCCTTCCCTTTTCCCCATGAAAGGATCTGCAGTGGACCATTGATTTTGAGTTGGTTCAGAATAGAGATGACACAATTAGTCTTAATTTAGGCTGTATAATTGTATTCAGTACCAATTAGGAGGAACACTGTGATATACAAACACATTTTCCTCCAAATTCTCCTGTTACACTAAATAATTTAGGATTACCAAAAAACACGAGAAGTATTCTTTTACTCCCCCCAACCCGGCCCCCCACCCCTTCAGCCCTGGCCCAACTAACATCCTTGAAATTGAGTTAATTTTCCTTAGATAACTTTACTTTTTCTCTTCTTATTTTTAGCTTGAGCCTTCTGGGCTTTGTTATTGCACTTGTGAATTACAGCCTCCCGAAGCAATGAGAGCTTTCAGCCTTCTCTGAGAGTCTCTTTATGCTGCTCTTATAGACATACATTCTCACTAAACCCTGTTCCTCACATTTCTAGAGCAAGCAACGTCCACCTTCTTTCCAACACTCTCCTGCCTCCCTGGATTTATGTCTCACCTGAGCTCATCACATCCTAGCTTCAGGGTGTATTTCCTAATGAAATTTTAAAGTGGGAAGGCCATTCCATTGTGCTTAAGAAACCAAAATGACTTTTTACATTTGTGTGAAGAATACCAAAGCTCTTCTGCAATGCTGACAGAAGGAGGGGTGGGGAGGGATGACAGGTGACACTGCTTTGTGTATTGGTAGAGGCAGAAGTGAGATGAGCTGGGTTTAATTCAATTCTAGGCACAGTTTGAAAAAAGCAGCAAGGAGCTGGATAGAAGACGAACTGTTGACTCAGACTGTGGATGTCTAAAAATAAGTCATCTTTGTCCTTGTAATTGAACTTGCTGAAGAGGCAGTGAGGTCTAATCACTTAGAATTGGGGCTCTGGTTTCAGATTACTCGGGTTTAAGGTTCTGAATTGAACATTTGCAAGTTGTGGGCCTACAGCATGTTGTTTTATGTCATTGCTCCTCAGTTTCCTCTTTTGTACTGTGAGATGGGTTATCATCCCTGCCACATAGGGTTGTTGGTGGGATTAACTGAGATACTTGAGTTTCAGGATCTGGTACCTAATTAGTGCTGAGAAATAAACATACAATTCGAAGCACCCCAACCAACTGAACAGACCATCTCTTCTTGGCCAAGGGGACCCCAAGAAACCTTGAAAACTGAGTTCTTGGCCATGATGAAAAAGGAGATTGGACACGTCTTGTTCTACCCCTCCCTCCCTTGCTAACCACCCTTTGGATTTTCTTCCCTAAGGGCTAAACAGAAACTAGCCCATTCAAAAGACTTCACCACTGATATCAACCAATGCCTGATGCTGCCCCTCTTTTTTGCCGTTTTCGCACAACAACCAACCAACGGTCCTTCCTGATGAGAGATCACCGACCATGGAGGGGTTCTGGCCAGTCCATGGAGGATGTGTAGTGAGGGTTTTCATGTCCTCTGCTTCAACTTTTCACATCAGAGGGCTGAAAAACGCCACCCTTGGATCATGCTAATGCTGCCATTTTTTGAACCTGGGACCCATGAAGGGGCCATGCGCATGTTTCTTCTTCCATGAGTATTCATGACTCCTCCCCTAGCTTATTAAATATGGCTGGTCAGCATAAATTCCTGTTCCCTTTGCTCCTCCCTCGAAGTGTCTGTTGCTGGCTTCTGGTGGGAGACTTGTGCTTCCCGGCTGTCAGAATGGCCATGTTGCAGGCTGCAACCTTTCGTGAGAAATAAAGCCCTCCCTTTCCAAATTGCTGAATCGCATCATGCTTCAGTTGTCAGTGCTCAATAAGTTTGTACCAATCAGGCTGTTCTGATTGTTGCTTTGACTCTGCTGTCCATTATGGTAGCCATACCCACCTGGCTTTTGGTGGCTGTGAGCCACCACTTGGGCCCTGACACTCTGAGACCCAACTGCTGCCATTGCACTTAGATTTCCCAGTTCCATGGCTGCATTCTCACCGTAAGGTCTGGTCTTCACAGAAGAGAAATTCCAGGCATTCTGAAGTTGCTGGGACTCCCCCTCACAAATTCATGTCTCACAGTTGAAGTGAAAGCTGTCTTCAGGACCCGTCCAGGGTGGATATGTAGGCCTTTAGTGACAAAGCCACTCTAACACTGCAATCTCTCTAAGCATTTGAATTATTTCCTTTACAATAAACCAAGGCAGGTCTGGCCTTTCCAGCTCACTCACTCTGGGCCACTTCTTCATCCATGTTTCAGCAAAATAACTAAACAAACTGTTAGAGCCTTTTTAAATTCTCTAGATGGAAATAGCATAGATTCTCTGCTTAGTGGGCCCATATCAGTTAATTTTGCTTGATTCAACTCTATATTTCTTCTACTATTATCCCACTCCTTTAATTTCCATTTCCACAAATGCTCCCTGGATTTTTGTCAGTATACATTAGAAAACTTTAGTAGTTTTTTTGGAGTGTATCACCCTTCCTCATGAGTCACACTCTTTAGCTCACCTTTTGGGGCCTGCTGGAACTTAAGCCTAGTTTTAGGTCTGGAAACGAAAAAGGATGGGGAGGCGAGGAGCCCTAAGGAGAATCAGCATTGTCTTGCCAGGCAACTGCCTCCATGGAGGCCATTACTGTTTTCTCAGGCAATTCAGAGTTAATTCCCTCAGATGGGGGTAAAGAGGCTGACGCTATTTGGGATGGAGAGGCTGCTTTCACCTGGCAAAGACTTACCAGAATTTAGTCACTCAATATCCTTAGTTCCATCAGGGTCCTCTCACACATCCCCATTCCAACTTTCAGAATTGCATTCCTGTTTTTTAAATTTATTTATGGGGTTTTATTTATTGATAAATTTATTGATACATTTAATTACATTAAATGTATCAATACATGGATAAATTGTGTAATGCTGTTTTTTAAATGTATTTATGTGGTACAACATGATATTTCAATGCATATATAAATTATGTAATGATCACCTCAGAGTTATCAGCATATTCTTCCAATCAATGCCCTCACTTACACTATAGACATCCAGGGAGGCTGGGAATTCAGTTGATATTGATAGTATTCTGAGTTTGGTTTTCAGCAATCTTAGTATTGTGGCTACAGGAAATAACCACCTCTTTCGGGGCAGACATAGGTGCTTTCCAGTCTTTATGTAATCCTAGAGCTGAAGATTTGACTCCTTGAGCTCTTCATTTTCTTTCTCTATTTTGTCCAGCAACATTAGGAGCAAGCAGCCAATCTCACTCTACTTGTAACTGTGACGAAAATGTTTGAAAGTATCATAGACATGATTATTTAGATTCTTGCCTCTTATAGGTGTTCAGTAATACCTATATTATGCATCTGTGATACATTGCATAGTTTTATTGCCAGATCACACTATTGACCATCAGTGCTCGCTTTACTGTAAGTCATTAGTGTTTCTAAATCTAATCAGATTAGAGAGCCAATGCCAGAGACCTCAGAACCAATTCAGGAAATTTATTTTGAAGATTCTGTTTTTCTTAGGACCATTCTCAATATCAAAATCTATCTTAGTCAGCTAAGGCTGCCATAACAAAATAGCAGAGATGGCTGAACATCCAAAATCAAGGTGCCAGCACGCTTGTTTTCTGGTGAAGAAAATATATCACACCTGCCTACCAACAATTGCATATCTTTTATGAATATCTTTATTTTTCTTCATATATTTTAAAAAGGTGTGTCTTACTAAAAGTCACTATCAAACACTATTGTTCACTATCTCCTTGTCTTGCAGATGGCTGTCTTCTTACTTTGTTCTCACATGGCCTGTTCTCTGTGTGTGTACACTTCTGGTGTCTCTTCCTCTTCTTATAAGGACACTAGTCCTGTTCGAATTAGAGTGGCATCCTTATGATGTCATTTAATCTTAATCATCTTACAGGCCATGTTTTCAAATACAGTCACATTGGAGGGTAAGCCTTTGACATACAAATTTGGAGGGGAACACGGTTAAGTCCATAACGTGTTGGCATGGGAAAAATGTTCAGTAAACAACAAAAGAGATAGTTTGTAAAATTCCTTTTTACAAAGTCAGAGGTCTGAGAATCTTCACATTTCTTTATAAGCTTATAAGCAGTCACCCCATGAAAACAGTGGAGAAAGTTCCAGGAGTCGTTAATTCAAAATGATATCTATAGGGCACTTATCTGAGAACTAGACAGAAGTCCATGCCTTGTGATTTTGCTCAGGGAATGCTGGGTTTTCGGCACTCTTCTATGTCAGCTTTAAACATTTTTGTGGAGAGTAGAAGTCAACACAGAATGTCATTTTGTTCTCAAGCATAACTCAGGGAAAACTGAAGCCACTTCACTTGTTTTGACTCACAGAGAACTGCAAGTCTAATAGCTGAATAATATTAACAATGATAATAGAATGATGATAATAAAATAGCCACTTAGTGGGGACTTATTTTGTGCCACATACTGTGTTGATGCTTTTCATATATGAACAGTATTTCCTACAGACACATTCAACAACACAGTTTTATGAATAATAAGATAATGAGGCTTAGCTATTTGCCCAAGACCAAACAGCTCTTATGTAGTAGACGTGTGAAACAAATCCAGACCCAACTGTGCTGAAGCCCAGAATTTAAACTGGCCACATTCCCTAATCTGTTCAATGGATCCTTACAAGACAGAATGCCTTTTTAAAACATTTCTCATTGATTTTTAAAAAATAAAATTCACATCTTATCACATTATTCAGTAACATACTTGGAACCCAAAGATCTCTCTCACTTAAGCATTCATGCCTACCAAACTTATTGTGAGCATACACTGTGTCCTAATAAATTTTACACACTTAAAGTAGATAAAGTGAAATCTCTGTGGAGAAAATTGATCACACCTGCCTATCAACAATTGCATATCTTTTTTGAATATCTTTATTTTTTCTGTATATATTTTAAAGAGGCCTGTCTCACTAAAAATCACTATCAACAATGAATTAACAACTCCAAAGTCACCAAGAATATTTTGTATTCTATAAAATATTAAGAAATATCTCTAGTCTGTACTGCGATCACCTTCTTGTTCTGACAATCCTTTTTACAGTGGATTCTAAGTATTTCTGATTGTACAACGCTACAAAAAATACACACACAGCTCTGAAACTTGTACTGTTTGTTTATTTTTCTTGGTCCAAGCTACCAAGCTCTCTCTTGCTTATAATCAGCAACAGCCTCCCTTCTTCCTGCTCTTTATTTTTTGAGACGGAGTTCTGCTCTTGTTGCCCAGGCTAGAGCGCAGTGGCAGTCTCTGCTCACTGCAAACTCCACCTCCTGGGTTCAAGCGATTTTCCTGCCTCAGCCTGCCAAGTAGCTGAGATTACAGGCCCCTGCCACCATGCCACCATGCCACCACGCCAGGCTAATTTTTGTATTTTTAGTAGAGACAAGGTTTCACTATGTTGGCCAGGCTGGTCTCAAACTCCTGACTTCAGGTGATCTGCCGGCCTTGGCCCTCCAAAGTGCTGGGATTACAGGCATGAGCTACAGAGCCGGGCCCTTTTTGCTCTTCTTATTTCTTTCCCTTATAGCCTATTTTAAATACGGAAGATAGAAGGCTGGGCATGGTGGCTAATGCCTGTAATCCCAGCACTTTGGGAAGCCAAACTGGGAGGATCGCTTGAGGCCAGGAGTTCAAGACAGTAGCTAGAATGATCCTTTAAAAATGTAAATCATATCGTGTGGTCAAAATCTTCAGTCGCATCCCTTCTAAACCAGATTAAAATCAAATTCCTTGCTGAGGTCTACAAGGCCTTGTGTGATCTGGCTCGTGCTTGCCTCTCTGACCTTTTCTCCCACCTCCTACCACTTTACTCACCGTACTCCTCTGATTCAGCCACATCACTAGCTTCCTTGCCTTTCCCCAAAGATGTCAGAGCTGTTCCTGCCTCAAGGCCTGTGCTTTCACAATCTAGTCTGCCTAGATCTTGCCTGGTTCACTCCCTCACATCACTAAGGTCCAAAGGCCAGATCTTCAAGGAGAATTTATCCGACCTGACCTTCCTAAACTAGCTTCTGCCCATCAGGCTCTAGTCCTGTTCTGTCTGCTTGATCCATTGGTTTTGTTTTTTGTCTTTTACTTTATATCATTTATCCTCACTTAATATATATTTATGTGTCCACTTATTTTCTATCTCACCACATGGAGCCTGCATGAGAGCAGAGATTTTTTCATTTTTGTTCATACCTCTATCTCCGTGGCTAAGGCAATATTTAACACATATAAGATGCCTGACTTTGGTGAGCAGATGCGTGAGTAAATGAATAAATGTATTTGCTACTGAGTAACAAATTATGCATATCCTAAAACTTGTATCAAGTGGAAATTCTTTTTTAAAAAGCCATAAAAATAAATACAAATATAAGTTCTAATATGTTTTTCTGTAGCTTAATGGAGTGTTTTGTTCACCTTTGGGGTATTCTTGGACATGATATGGGTCTGCCCTTAGTTCTGGGCCTCTGTGTCTGATTGCTCCCTGTACTCACCCTTTTAAGTGTGAGTGACATAGGTAAATCACCCTCTTCCAATAGAAGTTGACTTGCTGGGCCAACTTACTTTTAAATTGAAGCACTTTCTGTCTTCAGGCCTTCTTATACCTGTTCAGCATCTTCTAATGTTCAGCATCTGGTTTTGCCCTCTTGAATTTGACTGTGTCTTCCTGTGGCTCTGCCTCCTGTCTCAGCTGTGTGTATTCCTCTGAATTCTCAGTCCCCACAGATCTAGAGAGGAATCCCCTCCGTCATCCATGCTGTCAGACCAGATAATGATATAAAATTTAAAGAAACTATGTGTTTTTTAATTTTACAGATTAAAACATTTAAATCAAGTGGAAAGCAAGATCAGAATAAACTGAGAAGGAGAATGGCCACCCCTACAATTTTTTTTGCATTTAACTATGTCTCAGAAAAATATAAAAATCCACCTTTTAAAAGGTAATTTTTTATGAAGAAAGATTAATAATCATGTATGTATAAGTCTGATCTCAATGTGCTATTAAAATTATACTTTCTGTTTTAAATATTAGTGAGAGTCAAAGAATTGATTTACTGATATGATGAACTAGATGTCCAGAGAAAACTTCTATGGCCTGCAAAGCCCCAAGCCAAAATTTTAATCTGAAACCACTCTTGAATGAAAATGCCCTTGTTCATGGCAGAAATGAAGTCAAATCCTCTCTAGAGAAACTGTACTTTAAATACAGTCATTAAAATTTCAAATAGATAAAGTTCCAAGAAAGAGGCTAACAATAAAAAATTATAAGATAAATAAGGAAACACGCCACCATGAGAAAGAGTCAGCAGAAACATCAGATCACAAAATCAGATCCAAAAAGATGATAGATATTTGTAAAATAGCTATAAAGTATGGTATATATGTTAAAATATATGAAAGGGCAATTAAAATACACTAATGAACAATGGACATTAAAATAAACCACTACTTGATTTTTTAAAAAAGATAACAACTGGAGAGAAAAAGTTTAATTATTGAAATAAAAATTTATGGACCTGGCTAAATAGCAGATGAAGGAATTAGTAACTAGCATACAAAACTAAAGAAATAATTTAAAATAAAACACAAAGGAAAAAGTAATGGGATATATGAAAAAGAAGAGACACGGAGGATAGGGTGCCAAAGTCCTAGGAAACAATAGAACAAATTGGATAGAAGGAAATGTGTTGTAATTAATGAAAGATATAGACCTTCAGATCTAGAGAGACTAATGGATCACACACTACAAAGATGTGTAGGAATCCACCACCAGAGCCCTTAATATGAACATGCAAAACACAAAAGTCTCTTGGAAATATGAAACGCAATTGCAAGAAAAGACAGATTCCCTCCAAAGGGATGTGATTTGCACTGCCGGCTGACCTGTCGTAGCAACGGTGGAAGCCAGGAAAGACTGCAATATCTTCAATTGAGAGGCAATGATGGAAAACCCAGAAATCTATGCAGAGTGGAACTATCTTTCACAGATGAGAATGAAATATATTTTCAGATAAAAACTGAAAAACTTTACCAAGAACAGATTTTATTCAAGGAACTTTTAAGTAATTTGCTTTAGAAAGAAGAAATAGGACTGTAGGAGCAATCTATGAAGGCAAAAAGAAGAAAAACAGAACAAAACAAAATGGAGAGCACATGAGCAGATGCACAAAATGATAGCAAACAATAGTTGTATGGGTAACAAAACAAATAGACTAGTAAGCAACTATATATTTGATCAGAGCAGATACATTTGTTAAAATTTCTAGGGTAACAACTAAAAAAGTAAGAATCAAATGTTTAATATTCAAACAAGAAAATTAAAACAAATCAAAAATAAAACGGTAAAAATTATTTCAAATCTATTAGTAATTGCATTAATGTGTATAGACATAACTCACAACTTAAAAGGCAATGCTTGTCAGAGTAGATTAAAAATATCCACTTATATGTGACTTAGAGTCATATATGTAAAGCATGAGCTCCCATGCATGTAGAATATTAAAAAAGAAAAAAATATAAAAATGCTAATAGAAACATCCTGCTAGTATGTTAATATCCAACAAAAGACAATTTGTAATAAAAGGCATTATTTCAGCTAGTTTCTCCATACTGATTAAAGTTTAAATTCAGCAGGAAAATTCTGAACTTGTATACAACAATAGCATAATTTTATAGTTTCAAAACAGTACTCTACAGAATTGCCAGGAGGAAGTATTAAATTGACCATCATATGAGAGATTTTTAACACACCTTTCTCAGGGATCAATAAAACAGCCAGGCAAAAAGTGGGAAGGAAGGATATAAAATATGTGAAGGAGAAACAAAGACATATGGGGAAACTGCACCCGGTAATTGGGAAATATGCTTTCTTTTCAAGTATGCATGGATTATTATTTGTTCAATTGAAGAATCATTATCACAAAGAACATACTGCTTAGCCATCTCACAAATAAGTTAGATATCTGTGACAACAATAATTTTAAAAATATGATTGTATATTTTTGAAAAACACATTTTAAAATAATTTATGACTCAAAATAGAAAACATTTGGAAAACTGGAAACACTGAACAATACGATTATAAAATACTATCTCTAAAATGTAGGCATTTCTGCTAAAATGGTAATGAGAAAATACAAGTTTAAATATCTGTAATAGAAAAGAAGAAAGCATAAATGTATTGAACAGAAGGAACAATTTAAGAAGATAGAGATAAATAACAATAAAATAAAACCAAAGGAACAAGAAGAAAGGTAGAATTAAAGTTAAAAACAGAAATTAATAATATCGAAAATATGGAAAAAAATGGATAGAGTGTACACCCCAAAATTTGATGCTTTGCAAAGCCTAATAAAGTAGACAAATTTCCAGCAGGACTAATCAGAATAAAAAGAGAGAAGACACATGTGTTAGGCCGTTCTTGTGTTGCCGTAGAGAAATATCTGAGGCTGAATCATTTATAAAGAAAAGAGGTTTAATTGGCTCACAGTTCTACAGCCTTCATAGGAAGTATAGTGCTGGTCTCTGTTTCTAGCAAGGCCTCAGGAAGCTTCTAATCATAGCAGAAGGCTACAGGGAGCCGGCGTGTCACACAGTGAGAGAAGGAGCAAGGGCAGGGAAGTAGGGAGGTCCCAGACTCTTTTAACAACCAGATCTTGCACCTTGTGTGAACTAACTGTGCAAGAACACACTTATAACCAAGTGGATGGTGTTAAGCCATTCATGAGGGGGTCAGTCCCCATGATCCAATCATCTCCCATCAGGCCCCACCTCCAACAGTGGGAATCCCATTTCAACACGAGATTTGGAGGGGGCAATCACCCAAACCATATCAACACAAATTACCAGTACTAGAAATTTTAAAAAGGTCCACAAGGACAGATACACCAGAAGTTAAAGAAAAGTAATATTATACAGAAGTATGTACAAATAAAAAATAGGAGTAAAATGAGAAAATTCTTAATAGCAAATTAACAAAATAAGCTAAGAATGCAAATACATTGAGCAGTAGTTAAAAAATTCACTGGAAATAGAAAATACAGTTATTTTCAATCATTTTCAAATTATTTTAAGAATAGGAAAAAATAAGAGAAACTTTTTTATTTGATTAAAGGTACTTATTGTAAAAAAATTAACAATATGGTGAAACATTGAAAGCATTCTCTTAAAATACAGGAGGAAGGTAAGAATGACCAATATTTTCACTTCTATTTAGTACAATAAGAATGATTCTAATATTCAAAAGTCATTTAAAAATCAGGAATTCAAAAAAACTGTTACTTGCAGACAGTATGACTGTCCTCTTAGAAAACTGAAGTCAAAAAACAAAAAAATTTAAAAATCCATAAAACAATCAGATATTTTGAATTATAAAAATCTTAGCCATTTTGACATATTTAAATTCAATAGCAAAATAATGCTCTATACAGCATTTTACATAAGGAGAACATTTTGTAAAAAGCAATAAAAACATATAGACCCTAAGATTAAATATAATAAAAGATAAGGAGACTAAGATTAAATATATTTGAGGTTAATGTGATATAGAAAAATATAAATCATAGTAAAAGATATTTTTAAAGTCCTAAATAAGTGGAGAGATTTGCTGATAAATAGAAATAATCAATACAGTAAAAATATCAATTCACCCTAACTGACACATTGATTAAATACAATTCCAACCCAAAACCTACAAGAATTTTATTAAACCTGACAAAGTGATTCCAAAATGTATTCGAAGAATGAAGTGCCAATACTCCATTCTGAAAAAAAAAAGAAAATAGTCTTTTTTTTCCTCCTACAATTTGTCATGAGTTTTTAAGTATCACAGACAAGTTGGCAATGAAATGGAATAGAGAAACAGACGCTCATATGGAAAATTAAAATATGATGGAGATGACGCCCCAGAACTTAACATATAATGGAGATTATATCCAGCGATGGAGTATTTATTTATTATTATTTTAAAATCCACATGAATCAAGGGCTGTAATGTGAAACACAACACTATACAACTTTAGAAGACAACGATAGGGAAATATTTGAATAACCTCATGTAGGCACGATGTACTGTAAAGTCCCCAAAATACAAACCATAAAAGAACATTAATAAATTTAACTACATTAAAGGTAAGAATTTCTGTTCATCAAAACAGAGCATAAAGAGAGTGAAAGGGTAAGCCAAAAACTAGGAGAATATATTTGCCATATGCTAGTGACAAATGGTTCATATGTAGAATATGTAAATAGTTTCTCAGGGCAAACTGTTTAAAAAGCAAGCAATCCAATAGAAAAGTAATCTAAGAATATAAAAGGTTACTCTTGGATTATGTAAGTATAAAAATTCTCAATTCCATTAGTAAAACAAAGAAAAATTAAAACTATGAAATAACATTTTGAAACTAAATAAATTCTAAAAAATAATGTCTGTCAGTATCAGTATTGACCTTGCAGAGCAATATGGAGTCTATTATGCTGCTGGTGAGGTTGTAAATAGATACAACTATTTGAAAGCACTTTGCTACAATCTCGGAAATGAACATACGTACCCCATAATCTAGCAATTACACCATTAGATGTATACCCTGGAGAAACCTTGCACGTGTATAGAAATGATATAAATGTATAACCATAGCAGCAATTTTTACAGATGGAAAACTTTTTCAAAAATAAAATGTACCTTAATAGTTCAATGGATAATTTTGATACATTCATACAATAGAAATATTATACAGTACTGAAAATGCATTACCTTCAGCATCCCTCAGTCCACAGTAGGAAAGAGATGCCACACTTAAACTGGACAATGTGAGGTCAGAAGAACATAATATTTACAGTAGAATATTTACAAAGTAGGTTGTATATTACTCCAAGGCTAGACAGTATGAGCTATAATCTCCCTTAGACCCAAAGGGATGAGGGAGAAAAACATTTGCTAAAATTGATAGAAGGCAGCAGTGAGAAGAGGGCCACCAGATTGTATCCCTCCAAGTGCAAGAAAGCAGCAGCCCTAAGCAGGCCCCACGTGGAGGGAGCAAGTCAAATAAATTCCCCCACCTCACTCTTCTCCTCCTGCGGCATGCTGGTAGATAAGATTTATGTGCTCCAAAAGCAAAAGGCCTGAATTAGGGCATTCACAAAGGGCATAATATCCATCCCCCCACCGCCCCTAAGCTAAGACAGGGTGGGATCACTTAGGTCGTACTCGTGAAGTGGAGCTCAAGGAAGAGCTCTAAGGGCCTCTAGAGTTGAGGCTGGGGATATGAGAAGGAGGAGATGATCCTGTAGAACAGCTAAGAGACAGTAGGAATCTGAAAACCAGAGGAAGAAGCTTTCCCAGTTGGGAGTCCTCAGAGGTGTCAGAGGCTGCTGATTGGCAGGCAGGGGAGGACTGACCAAGAAGTGGCCATGCATGCAGCGATGCTGAGGTCCTTGGTGACCTGAAGAGAGCTGTTTCTGTAGGGGTGATGTGAAAGTCTCACTGGAATATACTGAAGAGACAAATGGAGGAGAGACATTGGAAACAACAGGCAGAGATAGTTCTTCTGAGAAGCAGTCTTTCACTAGGTATGGGGGAGCAGTGGCAAAAGCCCAAGTGAAAGATTGGCTTTTTTGGGTTTTCTGAATTTTTTTTTTTTTTTTTTTTTTTTTGAGATGGAGTTCCGCTCTTTTTGCCCAGGCTGGAGTGCTGTGGTGCGATCTCGGCTCACTGCAACCTCCACCTCCTGGGTTCAAGCGATTCTCCTGCCTCAGCCTCTCAAGTAGCTGGGATTACAGGTGCACGCCACCACACCCAGCTAATTTTGTATTTTTAGTAGAGATGAGGTTTCACCATGTTGGCCAGGCTGGTCTTGAACTCCTGACCTCAGGTGATCCACCCACCTCGGCCTCCCAAAATGCTGGGATTACAGGTGTGAGCCATCGTGTCCAGCCTGGGTTTTCTGTCTGTTTAAGAAAGAAGATATTGTAGCATTTGTACTCATGTGAATTATCAAGATATATAATATGTTTTTTGATCCTCGGAAAAACAGATATTTGGGAATTCTCTTTGTAGCTTCTTTTCAAAGATTAGAAATGACGTTTCTTGCTTTTGAAAGTAGTCAGCAACATGTTTTATTTTAGCAATCCTATTTATTTTCCCCACATATAGGCATTCTTTTCTGTGAAATTACAGGTCACTACTCTAAAATAATTCTAAAGAAAGAGAAGTCTCTGTTGTATATTTTTTCAACTATGATGTCAATAGTCTTTAAAAAATGTAAACTGGATATTGCTCTCAAAGGAAAAGCCATACAGAGGTTTAATTAGTCATTCAAGGAATGGCCACAGACGGTCTCATCCAAGTCACATTAATCTTCATTTATTCAATCTTCTTGAGTTTCCTGGTAGAGAAAGAGTTGTTAAACAATCTTTACCCATCAAAAGGTTCCTATTAAAGCACAGTGATTACTATTTTACACACACAAATACACACAGTTATGCATGTGTATATTTGTGTGTTTATATTTGTATAGATATATATATACACGTGCTTATAAACATATGTTTATGGGTGTGTATCACTGTATGTATGAGAATATATGTGCATGTATGTGTGCTGTATTTCTGCATAGCTATGGCTTTCAAAATGAAGTTTAGTAAATCTAACCTGAATAGGCTACATGCCCAAAGAATTAATTAATTTCACAAAATTTTCTGTTTCTCTGATGGGCAGTGCATAATACAAGTCAACTGGGGTTATTCAAAGATAATTAAACATAGTCTTCAAGTAGTTTAACATCTGATAACCAAAATGAGACATTTTTATAATAATGATTTTTTTTTTTTAGCTAGAAAATGAAACATCTTTTAAACAAGCTAGAAAGAAGATTTCAGGAGTTTGAAGGAGGGAGAGAGTTTACCATGACCTGGGGCATTGCAGATAAACCTGTGTGAAAAAAGTAACATTGAACTTGTGACTTAAAGGATGATAATGTTTTGTTGACAGAGGGATGAGGAATTGGGAAAACTCCATCCGCAGGGGGCTTTCATCAAATAAAGATGCAAAGTTGAAAGATTTAATATTCAAGGTCTAAGGCAAGTTAATTTTAAATCTGAGCATTTAATGAGATGCTTCTTTTGCTTTTAAACTTTTAATAATGATAATATCATATATATATATAAACCATGTGTATTTATATAGCTATATATACACGTGTAATTTTATATTATATATAGTATATGTATGTATGCATGCAGATGGTTTAAAAATAATGGAAGGGTATGAAATTTCAGAAAATTCTCCTGCCCAACCTTCCCCATCTCTAGTCCAAGATCTCAGAGATAACGACTTTTAGCTCTTTCTGCTTTCGGTTCTAGAACTTGTTACCACATCTAAAAATATAATCATTTTTCCTCCATTTCTTAATTTGTCATATTTATAGAGTATCTATTCATTCATTGGCATAAAAGATGAGAATTTTGGCCTTTGTAAATCAGTGTCCCTCACACAGTCTCTTCTTTCTTCTGACAATTTTAGTAATTTGACTTTATTACTTTTCTCTCAATTATCATTTTAGCATTTTTTGTTAAAATCTTTTTTATTAAATACTGAAGAAAACCAAAAGAAAATGTATGTATGAGATATGGCATGATTTCTAATCTCCTCTACACATAGCCCCCATCCTACTCCCTGCCTGACTCCTTCAGAACTATTTTGAATTATACATTTATTATTTTTTGTTTGGTTTATATTTCTACAATTATTTATAACTCTAAATAATACATTTTTACTTTATCATGCTTTTAAGCTTGGCATACATAGACTTATATTGAATGCATTTCTCTGAAAGTCGTTTTTTCTGCTCAATTTCTGTCTACAAGGTTTATCCAGGTGTTTACATATTGCTATAATTCTTTTATTTTTGCTGTTATATAGAATTTCTTTATATGAAAAAACAACTTACATACCCATTCTGTTGTTTTATGTGCATTTGCGTTAATTCCAGTGTTTTTTCTAAAACAAATAACACAGCAATATATATTCTTGAACACGTCTCCTTGTGCACAAGAATTAAATACCGAAGAAAACCAAAAGAAAATGTATGTATGAGATAGAGCATGATTTCTAATCTCCTCTACACATAGCCTGTCTAGAGGCTACACACAACCTCTCTTGGTCAGAGGTTGGAAAACTTTTTCTGTAAAGAGCCAAATGGTAAATATCTTAGGATTTGCAGGCCACACCCTATCTCTGTTACATATTCTTATTAGTTATTTGTTTGATTTTTACCAGCACTCACAAATGTACAAAGCATCCTTAGCTTATGGGCCATGTAAGAACATCCCCCAGCCTAGCTTTGGTCAGGGCCACGTTTTGCCATTCCCTGCTTTAGGGCAATATTTTTCAGTCATTTCAACATCACTCACACTAAGTAAAACATTTCATATTGCAATCCCAGTATACACACACAAACACACACACACACACACATAAATATGTGAGTAAAAATGTTTTGTGAAATCATACGCAGGCTTATTACCTATCATGCTGCCATTTCATATTCTATCCCTTAAAACAAACAAAAAAAGAAGTTCTGATTATTACCCATTAAGTTAATTTTATAGCCCACTATCAGACCCATAGTTTGAAAACCATTATTTTAGGAGTTGAATTATTGAATCCTAAGGTATCTACATCTTCTTTACCAAGTAATAACAAATTGCTCTCCAAAGTGGAAGTAGCAATTTGTACTCCCATTGGAAGTGTATGAGGTCTGAGCCTGGAGGCGTGGCTTGTGCCTGCAATCCCAGAGACTCTGGAGGCTGAGGTGGGAGGATTCCTTCCTAAGCCGGGAGTACCAGGCTGCAGTGAGCTATGATCCTGCCATTGCATTCCATCCTGGGTAACAGAGAGAGACCCTGTCTCTTAATAATAATTTAAAAACCCACAAACAGCAACAACAAAAACACACATTAAAAAGTGTATGAGTTCTTTCTTACAAGTAGTTTTGTCAGAATTTTATATTGTGGTTTTCTGTTAGAAATGAAGGTATCTCATCTTACTCTTACTTTGTATTTCTTTTACATTTTTAATTGTGGTAAAATACACATAACATAAAATTTACTATTTTAACGATTTTTAACTGTACAATTCAGTGGTAATAAAGTACATTCAAATGGCTGTGCAACTCTCACTACCATTTGTCTCCAAGACTCTTTTCATCTTGAGAAACTGAAACTGCATACATTAAACTCTAACTTCTTATTCTCTCTTCCCAGCAGCCCCTGACAACTGCCTTTCTACTTTCTGTCTCTAGGAATTTGAGTACCCTGGGACTTTACACAAGTGGAATCATACAATATTTGTTCATTTATAACTATCTTTTTGTGTACCTAGTTTACAGTCCTCAAGTTTTATCCATACTGCAACATAAATTTTAACTTTTATTTTCCTAAATTTTAATGCTCTTGAGCATCTTTTCATATATTTATTTGCTATTGACATGTTCCCATCTATGATGTTTTGGCCTATTTCTTTAATTAATTAATTATAACTAGTTACTTACATATTCTGCCTTCTAATCTTTTTTCACTTATTTGTACTCCAAATATCATTTCCTAGTTGTGCCCAACATTGGTTGAAGGTGCTTTTTTAAGGTAAATGAAAACACTACCAACTTGGAACCCCTTTAAATTATAGCCCGATAGACTTTTTTGACCACCCATAGCTTTAAGGAGGCTAGTTTGACCCTATGACTTCACCAAAACAAACAAAATAGTGGCCCTGGAAGTCTCCTAGTAGTTTCCTGTGAGTTTCCTTGAGGCCTGCAGCATGTAGTTGGAGGAGGTTCTCCCATGAAGCAGAGAAAGCTGACGCTTCAGAGCCCTGTTCTCGTGTAGAACCAGCTTCACATTTGTCAGGTTGTATTAGTTTTTCCTTAAGGTTCTAGTGCTCTATAGAACTATAGGATGACCAGAGTGAAAAATACTATACTATATAGTTTCAAATAGCTAGAAGAAGGATACTCAATGTTCCCAGCACAAATAAATGAGAAATGTTTGAGATGATGGATAAGCTCATCACCCTTATCTGGTCTGTAGCACAACATCACTATGTACCCCATGAATATGTACAATTATTATGCGTCAGTTAAAATTTTTTAAAAAGCTTTAAAAATTGTATAAGTGGCCAGGTGCAGTGGCTCATGCCTGTAATCCCAGCGCTTTGGGAGGCCGAGGTGGGTGGATCACCTGAGGTCGGGAGTTCGAGACCAGCCTGACCAACATAGAGAAACCCCATCTCTACTAAAAATACAAAATTAGCCAGGCATGGCGGCGGATGCCTGTAATCCCAGCTACTCAGAAGGCTGAAGCAGGAGAATCACTTGAGGCGGAGGTTGCGGTGAGCCGAGATCGCGCCACTGTACTCCAGCCTTGGCAACAAGAGCAAAACTCTGTCTCAAAAAAAAAAAAAAAAAAATTGTGTAAGCTTCAGAGACCCACAAAATGCAGAACTTCCTGGGTTCAGTCTTTGGGGGGGTGGTGTGTGTTGTTGCTGATTTTTGAGACAGAGTCTCACTCTGTCGCCCAGGCTGGAGTGCAGTAGCACAATCTCGGCTCACTGCAACCTCTGCCTCCCGGGTTCAAGTGATTCTCCTGCCTCAGCCTCCCAAGTAGCTGCGACTACAGGCATCTGCCACCACGCCCGGCTAATTTTTGTATTTTTAGTAGGAACGTGGTTTCACCATGTTGGCCAGGATGGTCTCGATCTCTTGACCTCGTGATCCACCTGCCTTGGCCTCCCAAAGGGCTGGGATTACAGATGTGAGCCACCACGCCCGGCTGTGTGTGTTTTTGTAATAGTCCCATTTGCCTTAGCCCTGGGCTCCATACCATTTTTCTCTATGCCTCGCCAGGCTTTGGAGATCATAATCAAAGTTCACCATTTTTAACAAATGGCCTTAAGGGAAAAGCCAGCTTCAATCCACTAATGACTTCTACCAGATTCCTTCTTTCATTTTGTTTTTGGCTTTTATATAATTCTTATTTTCTTGCCAACTCATTGATGTGTTTAAAAAATTTTTAAATTATATTTTATTCAGCTTGTATAATTGTTTCATGTGGATGATTGATCAGATTATCTAAATGGAAGATTTTGAAAATTGAAATTTTGTAAATTATTTTGACTCCCAAGTAGGCGAAATGAAAACTTTTGAGCCCCTAATCTTTTCTTCAACTGACCTCTCTCTCTTTTGCATTACCTAATTTCTGTGAGGTAGAATTTACATTTTCTATTCTATGATATTTATTACAGTTAGGACGTCTGTGTTTTGTTTGTATGTTGATTTTAACATTAAAATCAGGAAATAGTATTTCCAGGATTATATTTATGTAAAGGATACTAGTTACAGAATTATTATAATTTGAGCTATAAAAAATGATATCCAGGCCGGGCGCGGTGGCTCACGCCTGTAATCCCAGCACTTTGGGAGGCCGAGGCGGGCGGATCACGAGGTCAGGAGATCGAGACCATCCCGGCTAAAACGGTGAAACCCCGTCTCTACTAAAAATACAAAAAATTAGCCGGGCGTAGTGGTGGGCGCCTGTAGTCCCAGCTACTTGGGAGGCTGAGGCAGGAGAATGGCGTGAACCCGGGAGGCGGAGCTTGCAGTGAGCCGAGATCCCGCCACTGCACTCCAGCCTGGGCGACAGAGCGAGACTCCGTCTCAAAAAAAAAAAAAAAAAAAAAAAAATGATATCCATTATCACTTAAACTCTTTGTGTGTGTGTGTGTGTGTGTGTGTGTGTGTGTGTATGTGTGTGTGTGTTTTTGTTTGTTTGTCTTTTGTTTTTTTTTGAGACGGTGTCTCGCTCTGTCTCCCAGGCTGGAGTGCAGTGACGCGATCTCAGCTCACTGCAAGCTCCGCCTCTGGGGTTCACGCCATTCTCCTGCCTCAGCCTCCCGAGTAGCTGGGACTACAGGCGCCCACCACCACGCCCGGCTAATTTTTTGTATTTTTAGAGAGAGGCGGCAGTGGCTCACGCCTGTAATCCAAGCACTTTGGGAGGCTGAGGTGGGCGGATCACAAGGTCAGGAGGGAGACCATCCTGGCCAACACAGTGAAACCCCGTCTCTACTTAAACTCTTATAGCTCGTCAGGTCTACAACATCATACCATATTGAAGCTTGAGCCAAATTGGTTTGAAAAAAAATATGTCACACAGACAGCCAATCCTCATTATTTGCAGATTCTATATTGCAAATTTGCCTACTTGCTAAAATTTATTTGTAGCCCCCAAATCAATAGTTGTTATATATTCTCAGTCACTCATGGTCATGTGCAGAGCTGAAAAAATTTGAGTTGAGCTACAGACATGTTTCCAGCTGAGGTCAAAGAAGACAATGTTCTGCCTTGTCTGAATTCTCATACTATGACACAAATGTCCTATTTGTGGTGTATTTAGTGCCATGTTTTTCACAAGATATGGAAGCAACCAAAGCATCTATCAATGGATTGGAGGACATTATGCTAAGTGAAATAAGCCAGGCACAGGAGACAAATAGTGCGCGATCTCACTTATATGTGGAATCTGAAAAAGTTGAACTTGTAGAAATATAGAGTAGAATGATGGTTACCAGAGGCTGGGAGTAGAGGTGGAAAGGGAGTGAATGGAAAGCCGCTGATCAAGAGATACAAAGTTTCAGATAGACAGAAGGAATAAGGTGACTATAGTCACCAATAATGTATGTCTCAAAATAATTTTGAGAATAAATTTGAAATGTCTCACCATAAAAAATGATAGGTAAGCAAGGTGATAGATTAATTAGCTTGATCTAATCACTCCACATTGTATGCATATACCAAAACATCATGTTGTACTCCAAAAACATATGTAATTAGGATTTTCCAATCAGAAGTAATATCAGTACAAATAAAAAAGAATGCGATAGGTGGATAAAGATGTCCAAGATATATTGCTGAATGAATAAAACAATTTTATAACATATGATTCTATGTTTAAAAAAAAGCAATATATATCAAAACTCATCAAGCTATACACTTTAGGATCTATGCATTTTTACTTTACATAAATATTACCTTAATAAAGATACAAAGAACACCTGCATACTCCACATGCAATGTATTAGTTTGCTAGGACTGTCATAACAAATTACCTCAGACCATGTAGCTTACACAAAATAAATTTGTTAATTTATTTTCTCAGAGCTCTGGGAGCTGGAAGTCCAAGATCAAGGTGTTTACAGGTTTGGTTTCTCCTGAGGTTTCTTTCTTTGGCCTGCAGATGGCCACCCTCTCGCTGTGTCTTCACGTGGTCTTTCTTCAGTGTGCCCACTTCTCTGATGTTTTTTTTTTTTTTCTTTTTTTCTTTTAAGTGCTGGAGTGCTGTGGTGCCATCTTGGCTCACTGCAACCTCCACCTCTCAGGTTCCAGCAACCTCCACCTCCCGGGTTCCAGCAAGTCTTGTGCCTCAGCCTCCCGAGTAGCTGGGATTACAGGCATGTGCCACCACGCCTGGCTAATTTTTGTATTTTTAGTAGAAAAGAGGTTTCATCATGTTGGCCAGGCTGGTCTCCAGCTCCTGACAACAAGTGATCCTCCCGCCTTGGCCTCCCAAAGTGTTGGGATTACAGGCGTAAGCCACGGTGCTAGGCCTGATGTATCTTTATGTATCCAAATTTCCTCTGCTTATAAGAAGAGCAGTCAGACTGGATAACCTCACTTAACCCTAAACATCTCTTTAAAGACCCTATCTCTAGATATAGTCACATTCTGAGGTACTGTGGATTTGAAATTCAACAAGTATTTTGGGGAGACACAATTCACTTCATGACACTCAGGTTCGCCACTGTTAACATCCAGCCACATTTTTCTTATTACTCTATTTATGCATACTGCTATTTTTTCCCCTGCCACTTGGGAGTAAGTCACACACCTGGGTCATCATTACCCTTTAGTATTTCAGTAGATGTTTCCTAAAAACAGAGATATACTTCTAGAAAACCAGCGTATAACCATCCAAATCAGAAAATCAACATTAAGATTCATATTGCCTTCTAACTCAAAGACCCATTTCAATTTTGCTGTTTGCCCTAAAAATGCCTTCCAAGGATTAGATTCTATCCAAAATCCTGTGTACTGTTTAGTTGTCAAACTTCTCTGATAGCCTTCGATTTGAAAAATATTGCAGTGTTTTGCTTGTCTTCTCTGACCTTAACGTTTTTTAACAGTATAGGCCAATTATTTTGTAGAATGCCTCTTAGCTTAGGCTTGTGTATTTGTTTCCTCTTGATTAGGTAGCTGCAATAGAAATACCACAACAGTGATGCTGTGTTCCTCCTAGTGCCCCACAGCAGAAGACACACAATGACATGTGGTATTCAGTTTTATCATATATTTAAGACGCTTTCTGCCAGACTTTTCCACTCTAAGATTAATGAAGAAGGATTCACATTTATTAATATTAGTTGACATCTTACTGTGTGGTAGACATTCCCCTTCTCTATTTATTTACTTCGTTATTTACCTTGGTGCAGGTTCATGCATTCCTATTTTATTCCAGGTACTACAATCTGTTGCTATAATTATTTACTCTGATGCTCAAATTGTTCTGTGTTTGGCTTTCAAACAAGTTCGTATATCCTTTTGATATGTCTACATTTTTCTATGGGGGAAGTGCCACTGTAGCTTATCTCACTGTATGGGAAAAGAGTGACAGGGGACAGAGGAGAGAAGGTAACAAATGTGGCTCAAATATTTCATATAGTATAATCTTTAGAATTTATCATTTTTTTTCTGACACAAAGCCAGTCATGCTCCCTACACCTGTCAGGGTAGATCTTGGAGCATCCTTGGAACTAGGCCTGGATGAATAACTTTCACCTCCTCTGCAGCCATCTGTTTTATTTTTTTAGTAAGATTCCTTCCCTCCACTCTGTCCCTCACTGAGAATTCTCTTGCTTTCCATTTTCCAGAAATATTTATGGTTTTCTCCTGTACATGTTCTCTACTCCACTTTGTATTGAAAGTAAAAATAAGCTACTTTTGAAACATGGTTACTCTTATGATTCATAAATAATATTACATCATAACTTCAAATTTGTACAGCATATTTTACAGTTTACAAGGATAAATCTTTTAACTTATCCTTACACTCTGATGAAGTAAGGTTAAGAATTATTTTCCCAAAATAAAAAAAAATAAGGTTTTTGAAATTAGACATATTTATTGATATTTTCAAGTTCCTAGAATAAGCAAATGATATATCCATGGGCTAAAATCTATGGCTTTTCACTTTCACCCATTAGGTTTCAGTGTCTTCATTCCTTGGAAGGTAAGGTCAATCTACAGCCCCCATTTTGGATTTTATGACTGAAGGAGTCCTTAGCAGGCTATTTTCCATATATATTAAACATTTTAGCCTTATATTTTATAAAGTCAGGATTATTAAAATCCCTGTTAAGATATATAAATTAATACCCAAATATTGTGTGCTTATCATGAAATGATGCTTATTGTAGAATGATGCAAATACAATAATTTGAATGTAAAACTTCAAATTAAGACTTTGTAAGAAGAAAACAACCCATGGTCAGTGATCTTTTTTGTCATTTTCTATATAGGAGAAAAGGTAATAAAAATATCTTTCTACCTCTTGAGAATGGCCTCGACACTCACTAATATTTGTAAAGTGCTTCCAAGAAGAAAAGGGCTGACTTACTGGTGAGGAGATTGGGTAAATATGAAAAATACTCTACTATGATAGCGATACTCTTAAATGACAAGTCAGGCAGGGGTTTATCAGGTTCTGTGTCCTGTCTCCATTATTAATAAACTGACATAGCTCTTTGCTTAGATGTTTGTAGTCACAACCAAAGGCAACGTGAGTTTAGCTTAAACCAGCTGAAAACACGGATGATTCAAAATCATGTATTTCTATAACACCAGCAGAATGCAAGTAAGCAGTTTTAAGAAAACACTGAAAACAATTTTATTTGATAGAAAAAAGCCTCATTGGTGTGGCTGGACTTTTGGTATTAAAAATATTGTCCATGTTTAAATGACATTATTTGTTATCAATAATTATCCCACTGGTGCATTTGGGAAGGGAGAGATGAAAGTGGTTTTTATCTCATTAGCATGTCTTCACTGTTAACTGTTTGTAATATTAGTTTGCTTTGATCTTCCTTTTGATTATAGTGTGCAAAGCTGATATAATCTGTTATTATTTCCATTAATAACTAAGTATCTCTTGTGGCTGACAAGGCAATTTGTTATTATCAGACTGCCTTTATTCAATGCAAAGAGGTTTACACCCGTTCCCCCACCCAGCCTGTGTAAAACAACAGGCGTTTATCTGCTCCCAGCAGCCTGGAGACATAGCCCTCTTCAAAGAGGCTCCGTGAATGCTGCTGGACAAAGACAGGAAGCACCTTGACAGTGAGCTGGAGACTTGGGCGTGTAGATTCTAATCAGGACATAGTTTCTACCTCAAGGGGATTTGCAAATTGGACAATCTAACAGGAGCATATTCTGCTGACCCTGTTTTGTTCTGTTTTGGTTTTTCTAGAGGTTTAAGTTGGGCAAGAGAAGGGGGGTTAGAGACAGAAGTGAGATAGTGGTGGCGAAGCTGAAGTTTCCCTTGCAACAAGCAGAGCGTATTCTCATCATTATGTCCGCAGCATCTCAGGCTTCCAAAATGTGAGTTCTGGCAGATTACGAAGGCAAAAGATTTGCAACTCCAGGGCTTTATTGTCAAGTTTCTATATCTGTCTTGCATTTACTGTCTCTGCCATTCTCATTCCCAGATATTTTGAGATATTTGACAAATTTTGACACACACAAGGATAATTTCTCTCCACTTCCAAAATGACTCCACCTCCTAGAATAATACCATGGTTGACTTATTAGGAGAGAAAAGACTGTGAGTGGAGTTGAGTTCAAGATATGACAACTTCACGTCTTTTAAATAGAGTGGGAGAATTTCAAAACACAAACTTTTTCTAATGGATTTAGTTGGCACTCTGACTTTATTATCTGCCAGGGGAAGTTTCATTTTCTCCAAATCTATTGGTTGGCAGGGCAGATTATATTCTCAGAAGTCTTGCTGGTCCTATAAATTTAACCCATCTCTAACAACAGCACAGAGAAGGTGAGGGAGCTACCTAAAGTGGCAAAGTCCATTGGAGGCAGCTGTTGACAGCTACTTGAATTCCCCAAGGCATGTTTTATTTGTGGATATATGTGCTGCTGCACAAAAGACATTGATGATCTTTGCATGTAGTCATGGAAAGCTACCTGCCACCATATTTGAATGTGTCAGAAAGAATAGAGAGAAAGGAATGAATGAGGTTAAGTCAGAATGTCCTGACATCATTTGGGGCCTGTGTTGACCTCTGAGATAGTTGAGGTGCTTTTGGATGTTCTTTTCACCTTCAGGTTACTGAATTCATGGCAGAAGCCTCCAGAGATGGAAAGGATAAACAGAGTTTCTGTATGTCTTGACTCCACAAATTTCAGCTCCTTAATTGATCCATTCAGATCATGTCATAGTTGGAAGTACATCCTCTGGGCTAGGCTAGAGCAATCTAAACTCTATTATTGCTAAGGACTTATACCACAAAAGCCTCTTTAACTAGCATGGTTGGCTGGTTAGATGGTACCTGGCTGTCCTGAGAAGTATTCACTCACACTCACCTTAGTAACAAGGAAGAAGTGGAGAGCAACTACCTTTTTCTTCATGCCTGATTATAAGCCTTCAGAGAGCTAAGAGCTCTGCAAATGTCTTCTGTTTTCAGATTATGCCATAATTTAGGATGACTCTTGTATTTTTCTTTTTATTTAGAGCAAGAATGAGGTCTTGCTCAAAGATAACTTCAGTAAGAAACCGAAGCAACTTAAACTTTCTGTAAGCAACTGAAACTTAACTTGGAGGTATTTCTTATCACTGACTTAAAAACAAAAACGAGCTTCAGCCTATCACAAATAGCCAACCAGCCAATTGGTTGTATAACTAGTGAACTCCCATCAGACTATATCCAAATAAGACAAACACGTTGCTATAGCTAATCAAGTAATTTATTTACTTGCCATTCAGCCTATAAAGGCTCCTGGCTTGGGCTGCTGGAGTAGAGCTCTCTGAAACCTCTTCCAGTTTTGAGTGCCACCAGATTAATAAATTCTTCCTTGCACAAATGAACTCTATTAAGTGTATTTTGTCTGATGTTTTTCCCTGAACAAAAATGACCAATACAGTAAACATTTTGAGACCTTATGAGCCATGAGAAGTCACAGGGATTTTTCTTGGATTTCTTGATGTCTGCACAAACTAGAATTACAATTTATATATTAACTACATTGATTGCAGCCCTTCTCCTTGCTCATTTTGGGAAGGAGGGTTTGGGGGACAGACATAGAACTTTGTCCACCCCAGGTGACTATTTACCCATGAGTTATTCTGACCCTTACTATTATCTGATTGCTTACAGAAATGATTGGCAGCTTGGAGGCTTTACCTTTACCGCCAATGCAGGCAAGTCAGTAACAACATTAAACACTAAGCAGAGACATCATGTTCCATTTGTTACAGGTGTGGAATTTATCTTCTGGGAAAGCTGCACATAGTTCTTGATGTGACTGACTTTAGTACAATAGAAATCAGTCATGATTTGTTAATTTCATTTGTCCCTTCACAAGAAAGGAAAAAAACATTAATTGCGTGGTGTTGGCAGAGGTTTTTCAGCCCATAAACTGAAGTTTGACCAATATTCTTACAGAACACAGTCTTGGGAAGTAGATGTCATTAGTCTAATTTCAAAAACAAAGGAACCACGTTTAGAGAAGCTGACTAACTTCCCCAAAGGTAGACCACTACTAGAGATGAAAACACTTTTTGAAATGAAAGCTAAGATTTTTTACATAAATACATATTTAGCTATTGTTTTCTCTATTCATTTCTTTATTGAAAGGAAAAGAAGAAAAAGCTATAAAATTTTCAGGGAATTAGGCTCAGGGTGATTTTTGGAGTAATGGGCTTTTTGACATGAATTACCTGACTGTCATGGTTTAAATCATAACCATTGTAGAAGGTGTCAGAGAGAATGAGCAAGACTGGGGCTAGCTATTAAGTGTAATTATTTTATTGAGCTGCTATTACTATAACTACATGTTATAGAATGTTATTTAAAACCTATCTCGGTATATAATTTGTGTAAATTGATTGATAGGACTCTTTTTGTTTATCGATATAAAAACATTCATTTTTAGCTTGGAGATACGTACTCTTTCATCTTAGAAACTATCACTCTTGGCAATGTTTAAATTTGAGCTCCCCATCCTCATTTGACCATGGCCTTCTCCTGAGTGGCTTAGAAGAGCAGGATAACTGCCCTTGAAATGTACTGTGAACACGTGGGCCAAGTACATTTGGACTTGGGGTCAGATGTAAGTTTGCAAATGTGTCCTTGGACAATCACACGTCCTCTAGAAGTTCCGGTTTCCTCAGGAGCCAAACTTTACAGAGGTACCATAAGAATTAAATGCCATATATATGTGAAAGAGTGTAACAACATTTTCCATAAATAGTAGATGCCTGATACATATTCTTTGACTCTGTATCTATTTGCAAAGCAAATTGAAGTTACATGAATATATTTTTTTCTAACTGATTAAGAAAGGTTTTTGGCTTTCCTTTACTCAGCAACCAGATTACGCTGCTTAAAGAGTGAAACTACCTAGATGTTTAAGAAAAGCACAAAAGCTATATGGATTTTTTGTGACAGCCCTGTTCCGAGAGGACAGATGTGAAACTGTAAAACAACTGAAGAATCATGTATTCTGGCTACGCTAGGCCTACATACCCTTCCAGGAACTCCTGTTATTAGCCAGGCTTGTCAAGAACTAATCACTAGCTTTCAAGCTTTGTAAGGATACTCTGAAGGTTTACTTTAACCTTACTATATACAAAAATGTTTGTATTGCTACCCACTGATAAGAAAACTATTAGCATTCATTAAGTACAGCCATAAATCCCTCTCTCTCTTGGAAGAGCAATAATGCAGCCTTCCGGCTGCCATAATGAATGCAGTGTTTAATCTCCCCTTGGGAAAGTGTCCTAACTTTAGACCTCTACTATAGTTAGACACCCTGGGAAGAGCATGGCATTGTGGAAATGAGACTGATGACAAAGAGTTATACTCTTGCCTGATTTTAGGTCCAGAAAGCCTCCAAGTTACAATTAAAACAGAAGCCTTAATTTTAAAAAGGAAATGAAAAGTGACGTGTTCAAGAAGATGGAATGTTAACATTTATTGTGCACCTACAGAAAATGACAGGCACAATAGAAGGAAATTTTTATTTCCATTAGCTCATTTTCTCCTTATAACTACCCTCCAAGTTATTGTTCTACCAATGTTACAGAGGAGAAATAGGAATGCAGAAAGATTGATATAGCAGCCCAACGTCAGAGATAAAATCCAGCACAAGCAGAGTGAATTTAGCTGTCTCTGATTCTAGATGCTACCAGGTGCTACTAGATGCTATCCCTAAGAGCAGTATCTTATTTTTAGAAATTACACCTGTCTCAGTGAGAAGGAAGGTGTGACCTTCAAGGTAGAACATGGAAGTTTGGAACAGTGTTCCAACTTGTTCCACGGAAGCTTGTTTCAAACTTTGGAGAACATTTATATCATATCACATGAAGTCTTCTTTGTCTGACTTCACTTACACACTGTTCCAGGGTTCCCTTTGAAGAACAGCATCCCTGCATTGCAGTACCCTTAAACTCATTTTGTCTGTGGGCTTTTCTTCTATTTCTAAGTTCCCTGACTGGAAAACACCTGGTGCCCCTTGTCGTCTGATGCAGCCACACAGCTCAGCTTTGGAGAATTAGAACCAATGGCCCAGGGACAAGGAGGGGTCTCTTTCTCTATGGAACAATAAGAAAGTCATCACTTGAGGCTGTGCTAAATTATCAACCAGATGGGAGATGGTTTAGGCAGTTCAATGGCTCCTTGTCTTCCCCCTCCGTAAGTTTCTTGCACAGGAATCTAAATTTGCAACATTTAATAACCTCTGAGTTTGAGCACATGGTAATGAATGATCTTCACTTCCAGGAGAAACTGAAAGAAAAGAAAAACCAACATCTCCAAGTCTAAGACATTACCTTCCCATAGGCAATACCATGTAGTGACCATCCTCATCATGACCTTCTCTAGGCACTTCCCACCCGTGGGAGAAGATAAAATATAGAGGTTGTTATATGAGATTTTTGAGCATCAGGAGAGTGCTGCTTTGATAATTTCATTTGGAAAGACTGAAAGTTACCTTAAACATAAGCTTCAGCATCTCGAACAGCATGGTATACAAAAAATGGTGAACATTTGCCTTCTAGTTCAGCAAGAGAAAAGAAAATCTAAACAACATAAAAACAATTAATATGGCTTGATATTTCAAAAAGCTAAATTAAATTCGGCATGTGATCAACTTACTAACAAATCACATTAGAACATGGAGATCCTCTCCAAAGTGAAGAGCTGGTAGATGGGGTGACTGTATTTTTCCAGCTGGTGATTCCATAGAGTGTAGAGCAGAATCCACCAGCTCAGCTTTGTTTGGTTGGCAATTCATCCTCTTTTGAGTCTATTCATAAATATTACATGGAAATAACAGCTTTAAATAAGCTTTGTGTGTGATTGCTAGAGTTGGTTTAACGCTTTATTTAACACCACATGTTTAGCTTGCTTGAATACACTTGCACAGACGTTCTGTTCTGTAAAGGATAGAAAAGGACAAGAGGAAACTGTTGAAAGGAATTGTTCTTATGATTATTTCATTATTTCTATCTCTGCAGAGTTTAAGTCTCTAGCCTGGCTGCGAGTCATATGTGTACTATTTCATTCCTCTAAGAATGAGCTAATAAGAATATCCGTGTACTACAAAGAGAAAATATATGTGTATTTGTATGTCCGTGTGTGTGTGTGCGTGCACATATGAGGGTGTGTGTGAGAGAGAGAGAGATTGGAGGTAGGAAAAATAAAAATCTCTCTTCAAATGAATTAAAAATAAAACGTGTGTGATCTTATGATGCTTAATAAACTATGGAAATGGTATTTTGGTCTCAGTAGGAGTTTAACGATTTGCATGTATTTTCAGTTCCCTTAAGGCACTTCCAAAAAAAACAAAAGTAAAAGAAGATTATTAGTTTCCTCTCTAGGAGTGAGCTGGATAGTTTCCACAGTTTAGGATGAGAGAACACTGAAGGTCAACGATTGGAAAGGAACCAGAAATAGGCTTGTGTTTCGTGTTTCTTTTCAGGTGTAACACCTGGTTTTGGAAGGGCCTGTCTACTCTGGGGCTTGTATTCCTGCTTCTTTATTGACACGAAACTTACAGCAGAAAAAGATGGGGCCAGGTATGGTGGCTCAGACTTGTAATTCCAGCACTTTGGGAGGTAAAGGCAGGGGGCATTGCATGAGCTCAGGAGTTCCAGACCAGCCTGGACAACATGGCAAAACCCCATCTCTAGAAAGAATACAAAAATTAGCTGGGTGTTGTGGCACATGCCTACAGTCACAGCTGCTAGAATGTTGAAGTGAGAGGATTGCTTGAGCCCAGGAAGGTGAGGCTGCAGTGAGCTGAGATTATGCTACTGTACTCCAGCCTGGGTGACAGAGCAAGACCCTGTCTCAAAAAGAATAAAAAGAAAGAAAGAAAGAGAGAAAGAGAGGAAGAAAGAGAGAGAGAAACAGAAAGAAAGAAAGAAGGAAAGAAAGAAAGAAAAGAAAGAAGAAAGAAAGAAAGAAAGAAAGAGGAAACTTACAGCAGAAAAAGAAATGCTCTCAGTTCCCTCCTACGTCCCAAGATACTGTGAGCATTTTTTCATTTTGGGGAGTGTCCATATTATCAAAAAACCTGGAAAAACTTTTTTCCCCTACTAATTTCCATTATACAAGTAGAGATTTTTGTTGTATAATGGTGGCAAGCCAGATTGATATTGCTTGGCTGTGTCCTCAACCAAAATCTCATGTTGAATTGTAATCCCTATAATCCCCATGTGAAGGGTAGGACCTGGTGGGAGGTATTTGAATCATGGGGGCACTTTCCCTTATGCTGTTCTCATGATAGTGAGCAAGTTCTCATGAGAGCTGATGATTTCATAAGCGTCTGGTATTTCCCCTGCTGGCACTCATTCTCTCCCCTGCCACTCTGTGAAGAGGTGCCTTCTTCCATGATTGTAAGTTTCCTGAGGCCTCCCTAGCTATGTGGAACTGTGAGTTAATTAAACCTCTTTTCTTTATAAATCACCCAGTCTTGGGTATTTCTTCATAGCAGCATGAGAATGGACTAATACACACAGATTTTCCAATAGGCTGATCTACCAAATACTAGGGATAACATAGATTGTGGTAGGCAGCTTCATGGAAGTCTGGAAAGTGCTACTGATAGATTTCTGCTACTGTTGATATTTATCAGGGACCAGCAGTCATCTGACACTTGTGTACTGGGACCTCAAAATGTTTCCAGTCTGATGTTTCAACTTCTTGTTTTATTAATCCAGTTAAAAAAATCTGAATATAATTTTATTTGAGCATTTGCACATAGAACAAAAAAAGTCTGTGTAATAAAGTGTCATTGATTTGATTTTGTTTCATTCCAAGTACTGCCTAAATTTATCCATGTGTATTCCCAAATCACCCAACTAGAATTTCCTTATTTACAGTGTTAAATTAATCTATTGTATAGATGATATTGAAGTTGAAGGAAAAACCATATCCCTGGAGTGCTTTCTCACACTTGCTGCATAATGAAAGTGGCAAATCAGATCTGTGAATTATTATTGTGTCTTGATAATAGAAAGAAGAAAAATTTGGTACTAGAAATAATGTTCCATTATTTCCCAGCCTTCCTGTACTTTGGCCCCAAATATTACTGAACACTTTAAAAATCATTATTAAAGATTATTAAAATAACTATTAAAAATGACTCACAAAATGTGCTATGGTTTCTGTTCTTTTAGATCAAAATCATACCTCTGATACTTCAATTCATGCTCATTCCAAGACATTTATTATTTCATTTGAATTTATCTGGTGCAAAATATTACAAGCCTGCAGTCTTGCTAAAGAACTTACATATTTGCCACCATTGTTTTTATTTTTTTAATTATTTTTATATCAATGGAATAATACACTGTGTGCTTTTCTATTATTTTATATCAGTGGAATAGCACACTGTGGGCTATTACTGTCCATTTGTTTTATTTCAGAGTAGAGATATGTGCTTATACCATAGTCTGTTTATCTATTCACATCATATTGGACTTCTGAGTTGTGTCCTGATTTGGTCTATTACCTATAAAGTTAATAAAAACATTTGTAAACAGTTCTATTTATGGGCATAGGTTTTATTTCTCTTGTATAAATATCTAAGAGTAGAATGGTTGGATCATATGATAGAGGGATGTTTAACTTTTTAAAAAACGAACAAACTGTTTTGCAAAGAGATTGTACTATTTAATATTTCCATCAACAGTCTATGGCTATAGCCTCTCAACACTTGATATGGTCAATGGTTTAAATTTTAAATACTCCAACAGATATTTAGGAGTATCAAATTGGGGTCTTAATTTATATTCCTCTTCTGGCTACTGAGATTGAGTATATATTATATATTTACATGTATACTTATATATATAGTTATATATATACTTATATATATAGTTATATATATACTTATATATATAGTTATATATATACTTATATATATAGTTATATATATACTTATATATATAGTTATATATATACTTATATATATAGTTATATATATACGTATATATATAGTTATATATATACTTATATATATAGTTATATATATATGTATATATAGTTATATATATACTTATAGTTATATATACTTATAGTTATATATATAGTTATATATATACTTATAGTTATATATATACTTACATATAGTTATATATATACTTATATATAGTTATATATACTTATATATAACTATATATAGTTATATATACAAGTATATATAACTATATATAGTTATATATACTTATATATAATTATATATATTATTATATATATTTATATATATTATATATTATATTAAGATATATATTCAAATATATATTTATATATATTTATATATAATACCTAAAAAAATATCCTTTTTTATGACCTGTATATTTTGTTTGATAAAGAGTCTGTTCAAATATTTTGCTATTTTATTGGGTTGTTTATGTATAATTGAATTTTTTAAAATGTTTACATAAATCTGAATATAAGGCCCTTATTGTTTTCATGATTTGTAAATATTTTGTCTCAGTCTATAGATTTTCTTTTCATTCTCCTAATGTGTTTCAAACAGAAGAGTTTTTCACTTTTATAAAATTCAATTTATAAACCTTTTTTAAAATGAATTATACTTTTGAAATTATGTATAAGAGTTCTTTGGATACCCCAAAGTCATAAAGATTTTCTTTATTTTTTTGTACAAGTTTAAAAGTTTTAAGTCTCATATTTAGGTCTGTGATCTGTTTTGAGTTGGTTTGTATAGATGGTGTGAAATATGGATCAACTCATATATTTTTACATAAGGATATTTAATTATTCCTATACTTTTGGTTTAAAAGACTGTGATTTCTTGACTAAATGATGTTTGCATCTTGTCACAGATTAATTAAGCATACATGTGTTGGGCTATCTCTGAACTTTCAATTTTGTGCTATTGATAGGTCAATATGGTAGTGTCTTGAAATCAGCTAGTGTGATTCCTCCAGTTTTGTTCTTTTTCAAAATTGGTTAGGATACTCTAGGTCCTTTGTATTTCTATAATTATCTTAGAATCAGGATATTTTAGAGTCAGCCTCTCAGTTTCCAAGAAAGTGTAATTGAATTTTAATTAATATCATATTAAATATTGTCTTTGTTCATTTTCTGTTGCTTATAATAGAATATCTGAAACCAGGTAAATTATTTTAAAAATAAATTTATTTCTTAGAGTTACAGAGGCTGAGAAGTTGAAGGTCAAGGACTTGCATTTGGTGAGATCCTTCTTGCTGGTGGGGACTCTACAGAGTCTCCTCTCGAGGCAGTGCAGGGCATCACATGGCGAGGGGGCTGAGCGTGGTAGCTCAGGTCTCTTCCTCTTCAATCTTCAAGTGCTCGTATCCTTATTTTCTGTCTACTTGTTCTATCAATTATTGACATCAATTATTGAGGGACGTATATTGAAATATCTGACAATTGTGGACTTGTCTATTTTTCCTTGAGATCCTATTAGTTTGTGTATTTTTAATAGAATTTTAAAAGAGAAATTTAAAGTTCACAGCAAAATTGAGCAGAAAATACAGAGAATTTACACATATTCCTATTTCTTTACATGCATGACCTCCCCCGTTATTAATGTCTCATGCCAAGGTTGTACATTTGTTAGAATCAATTAACCCATAGACACATAATTATCACCCCAAATCCATAGTTTACATTAGGGTTCACTCTTGGTGTTGTACATTCTGTGGGTGTGGACAAAGGTATAATGACATGAATCCACCATTTTAGCGTCATACAAAATAGTTTTTGTGCCCTGAAAATCCTCTGTGCTCTGCCAATGTATCCCTCTCATTCCCTTAACCCCTAGAAAATAGTAATACTTTTACTGTCTCCATAGTTTTGCCTTTTCCAAGATGTCACACAGTTGGGACTCATACAGTATGTAGCCTTTTTAGGTTGGCTTCTTTCACTTAGTAACATGCATTTAAGGCTCTTCCATGTTTTTTTATGGCTTGAGAGCTCATCTCTTTATAGAGTTCAATAATATTCTATTGTATGGAAGCACCATAGTTCATTTATTCATTCACACTGAAAGGACATCTTGGTTGCTTTCAAGTTTTGACAATTAGGAATATAGTTATATACATCTGTGTACAGGTTTTTGTGTAGATGTAAGTTTTCAACTCCATTGCATAAATACTAAGGATATCAATCTCAATACCAAAGAGCACTATGGATGGGTCATATGGTAAAACCATGGGTAGTTTTGTAAGAAATGGTCAAAATGTCTTCCAAAGTGGCCATACAATTTTTCATTTCTATCGGTAAAGAATGAGAGTTCCTTCTGCTCCATATCTTTGCCACTGTTTAGTGTTGTCAGTGTTCTGGATTTTGGTCATTGTAATAGGTATGGAGTAGTACCTTGTTATGGTTTTAATTTACAATTTCTTAGAGATACATGCTGAGAATTTTTTCATATGATTATTTTTCATCTATGACTTTTCTTTGGTGAAATATCTATTCAAATATTTTGTCCATTTTCTAATCAGAGTGTTTGTTTTCTTATTGTTTGGTTTTAAGGTTCTTTTTATTTTATTATTATTTGTTTGTTTGTTTGTTTGTTTAAGATGGAATCTTGCTCTGTCGCCCAGGCTGGAGTGCAGTGGTGCAAACTCAGCTCACTGCAACCTCTGCCTCCCAGGTTCAACTGATTCTCCTGTCTAGCCTCAGGAGTAGCTGGGGCTATGGGAGCACAAAACCACACTTGGCTAATTTTTGTGTTTTTGTAGAGATGGGGTTTTACCATGTTGGCTAGGCTCTTTTTGTTTCATACAAGTATGTTATGAAATATGGCTTTTGCAATGTTTTCTCCAAATCTGTGCCTTGTCTTCTCATTCTCTTGATAGTGTTTTTAGAAGAGTATATAGTTTTTATTTTAATGAAGCCTATATTATTAATTAGTTTTTTCATGGATTGAAACTTTACTGTTTGGCAAAAAGTGATGGCCAAACCCAAGGTTATTTAGATGTTTTCCTACGTTATAGTCTAAAGAGTTTTATAGTTGTGCATTTTACATTTAACTCTATAATGTATTTTGAGTTAATTTTTTAAAGGTTGTAAAGAATCTTTTTCTAGATTCGCTTTTTAACATGTGGATGTCGTTGTTCCAGCACCATTCCTTGAAGATTCTGTCTTGTTTCCATTCTATTGCCTTTAAACCTTTGTCAACGATCAGTTTGTGTAGGTCTATTTCTGGGATCTTTATTCTGTTCCATTGACCTATTTGTCTATTTTTTTCACCAAAAGCACCCTGTTTTGATTACTTCCTTTACAGTAAGTCTTGAAAATTCATAGTGTCAGTCTTTAAACTTTATTCTTTTTCAATATTATATTGACTATTATGAGTCTTTTGCTTCCTATGTAAATATTAGATTCAGTAAGCCAATATCCACCAAATGACTTGCTGAGATTTTTTGGGGTTCACATTGAACCTACAGATCAAGTAAGAAGAACTAACATTTTGAAAATATTGAGTCTTCCCATGGAATCAACCCAAATGTCCATCAATGATAGACTAAATAAAGGAAATGTGGTACATATACACCGTGGAATACTATGCAGCCATAAAAAGAAATGAAATTATGTCCTTTGCAGGGACATGGATGGAGCTGGAAGCCATTACTGTCAGCAAACTAACTCAGGAACAGAAAACCAAACACTGTATGTTCTCACTTATAAGTGGAAGCTGAACAATGTGAACACAGACACAGGGAAGGGAACAACACACACTGGGGCCTGACGCAGTGGGAAATGCATCAGGAAAAATAACTAATGCATGCTGGGCTTAATAACTAGGTGATGGGTTGATAGGTGCAGCAAATTACGACGGCACACATTTGCCTGTGTAACAAACCTGCACTTTCTGCACATGTACCCTGGAACTTAAAATAAAAGTTACAGTTAAAAAAGAAAGAAAATATTGAACCTTCCTAAGTGTATTAGGCCATTCTTGAATTGCTGTAAAGACATACCTAAACTGAGTAATTTATAAAAAAAAAAGAGGTTTAATTGGCTCACTGTTCTGAAGGCTGTACAGGAAGCATAGCACCAGCATCTGCTTCTGGGGAGGCCTCAGAAAGCTGTTACTCATTGTAGAAGAAAAAGTAAGAACAGGTATGTCATGTGGTGAAAGTAAGACCTAGAGAGAGTGGGGGAGGAGACGTCACAGACTTAATCAGATCTTATGAGTGCTCACTCACTATGGCATAGACAGCTTCAAGCCTTGAGGGATCTGTCCCCACAACCAAAACGTTTCCCATCAAGTCTCACCTCCAACATTGAGGATTCCATTTCAACATGAGATTTGGGTGGGGACGAATATCCAAATTTTATTATTCTGGCCCCCTCTGCTAAATCTAATGTTCTTCTTACATTAAAAAATACAACCATGCCTTCCTAACAGTCCCTCAAAATCTTAACTCATTCTAGCATTAACTCAAAAGTCCAAAGTCTAAAGTCACATCTGGAATAAAGCAAATTCTTCCGCCTATGAGCCTGTACAATTAAAAACAAGTTATTTACTTTCAAGATACAATGCGGGTATAGGCATTGCGTAAATTGTCCCATTCCAAAAGGGAGAAATGTACCAAAGGACAGAGGCTACAGGTCCCATGCAAGTTCAAAACCCAGCAAGGCAGTAATTAAATCTTAAAGTTTCAAAATAATCTCTTTTGACTACATGTCCCACATCCAGGGCACATTGGTGCAGAGTGTGGGCTCTCAAGGCCTTAGGCAGCTCCATTCCTGTGGCTTTGCAGGGTTCAGCTTGTGTGGTTGCTTTCACACGTTGTTGAGTATCTGTGGCTTTTCCAGGCATAAGATGCAAGCCGCCAGTGCATCTATCATTCTTGGGTCTCATTCTTACAGCTCTTCTAGGCAGTGCCCTAGGAGGGCTCAGTGTTGAGCACTGCAACCCCACAATTCCCCTCTACAGTGCCCTGGTAGAGGATCTCTCTGAGGGATCTGCCCCCTGCAACAGGCTTCTGCTTGGGCACATAGACTTTCTCGTACATACATTAAAATCTAGGTGGAGGCTGCCAAGTCTTCACTTTGGTACTCTGCATGTTCACAGGCTTAACACTATGTGGAAGCCACCAAGGCTTATTGCTTGCACCATCTGGAGCTGGAGCTGTGGCCTGAGCTGTACTTGGGCCCCTTTGAGCCCATACTGGAGCTGGAGCTGGATCTGCTGGGATGTGAGAAGCAGTGTTCTGAGGCTGCATAGGGCAATGGGGCCCGGGACCTGGCCCACAAAACTATTCCTCCCTCCTAGACCTCTGGGAATGTGATGGAGAGGCTGCTGTTAAGGTCTCTGAAATGCCTTCAAGGCCTTTTTCCCATTGTCTTGGCTATTTGCACTTAGCTCCATTTTATTTTGCAAATTTCTCTAGCAAGTGGTTGCTCCACAGCCTGCTTGAATTCCTCTTCTGAAAATGTTTTTTTCTTTTCTACAACATGGCCAGGCTGTCAATTTTCCAAATTTATACACTTCAATACCTCTTTAAATATAACCCAACTTTAAGTAATTCCTTTGCTCCTGAGTGTAGGCTGCTGGAAGTAGTCAGGTCACATCTTGAATGCTTTGCTGCTTAGAAATTTCTTTGACCAGGTACCCTATGTCATCCTTCTCAAGTTAAAAATTCCCCAGATCCCTAAGGCAAAAACAGAATGCAGCCAAGTTTTTTGCTAAGGCATAGCATGCACGACCTCTGCTCCAGTTTCTAATGAGTTTCTCCTTCCCATCTAAGACTTCATCAGCCTGGACTTCACTATCCATATCATTATCAGCATGTTGCTCACAACTGTTTAACAGGTCTCTATGAAGCTTCAAACTTTCCCTCATCTTTTGTCTTCTGAGCTCAACAAACTCTTCCAACCTCTGCCCATTACCCAGTTCCAAAGTTACTTCCACATTTTCAGGTACCTTTTTTTAGCAATGCCCCACTTCTTAGTACCAATGTTCTATATTAGGCCATTCTTGCATTGTTATAAAAAATACCTGTGACTGGGTAATTTATTTAAAAAGTAGGTTTAATTGGCTTATAGTTCTGCAGGTTGTAGAGGGAGCATGGTGCCAGTATCTGCTTCTGAGGAGGCCTCAGGGAGCTTTTACTCAGGGTGGAAGGTAAAGCAGGATTTTGCATGTTCTAGGGCAAAAGCAGAAGCAAGAAAAAGTGGGAAGGGGAGGTGCCACACACTTAATCAGCCAGATCTCACAAGTACACACTAATTATTGCAAGGACAGCTCTAAGCAATGAGAAATCTGATCCTATGAGCAAAGTATCTCCCACCAGGGCCCACCTCCCACATTGGGGATTATACTTCAACATGAGATTTTGGCAAGGACAAACAACCAAACTATATCACTCTCCATGACATGTAATGTCTCCCCACTTATTTAGGTCTTTGATTGCTTCATTCAGATTTTTGTGGTTTTCCTCAAATATATTTTGTACATAGTTTGTTAAATTTATATCTAAGTATTCATTTTTTAATGGCTAATTTAAATGATATTATGTTCCTAAGTTCAAATTTCAACTGTTTATTATTGGTACACAAGAAAGCAATTAACTTTTAACTTGTTATTCTGTAACCTTGTTGCAATTTTTTTATTAGTTTGAGAAGTTTTATTGTTGACTCTTTGCAATTTTCTACATAGACCATCATGTCATCTGCAAGCAAATACAGTTTTATTTGTTCCTTCCCAATCTGTGTACCTGTTATTTCCTTTTCTTGTCTAATTGTTTTAGCTAAAACTTCCAGCCTAATGTTGAGAAGTGGAGAAAGGGAACATCCTTGCCTATTTCTGATCGTATCAAGAAAGTTTCAAATTTCTCACCATTCAGCATGATGTTAGAGTTTTGTAGATTCTTTTCTTTTTTGGTCAAGTTAAGGAAGTTCCTTTCCATTCTTATTTGGCTGAGAAGGTCCTATTAGTTTTTTCTTCATGTATTTTGAAGCTGTATTATTAAGTACACAATTCTTAACACTTTTATAATTACTGCTTGATGAATTGAACTTTTGCCATTATAAAATGTCTTTAATTTCAGGGGACTTTTTTCTTTTGCTTAGAAAGCTAAATTCCTTCATATTAATGTAGCTACCCCCCACTTTCCTATGACTTTAATACTGTAATCATTTTTCATTTGTTCATTTATATTTAAAATGTGCTTTTTGTAGGCATTATACAATTGGATTCTACTTTGTCAACTCAGAATGACAATTCCCACCTTTTAATTATGGTATGTTGTTTATTTACATTTAATGTGATTATTGGTATGGTTAGATTCAATACTGTCATCTTACCATGTGTTTATTATTTGTCCTTTCTGTGCTCTGATTACTTTTCAGAAAAATTTAATGCCTCCTTTAGGATTAATAGAATATTCTTATGACAAAATTTTATTTCTTCTCTTTATCAGAAGCAGAAAATAATTATAATTATTTAAAAATTATTTTAGTCATTGCTTTAGAGTTTATAGAATACTTACCTTACTTACTTACTTTATAGAATACTTACTTTTGAGTGATATTATGCCCTATCCCATATAGTATCAGAGCCTTACAAGAGTATAATTTCATTTCTCCTCTTTTCATCAAATTGGTATTATCATATATTACCTATCTATATAAGCCCTACAATATGTTGTTATTATTATTGTTAGGTAGTTATTTTTTGTATGTTAATCACATATCCTACAAACTTGCTGAACACATATATTAGTTCTAATCACTTTTTAATGAATGTATTAGCATTTCTAATATGTAGGATCATGTCATCTGAGAATAGACATAATTTTACATCTTGTTTTCCAATCTTTTCTATAATAAATACTTTAAATTTATTTTTCTTTCCAAATTCCCCTAGCTAGGGCCTCCAGTAAAATGTTGAATAGAAATAGTGAAAGCAGATATTTTTGTTTTCTTTCTGATCTTGGGAAGAACACATCTAGATTTTCATTAGTAAGTATGATGTTATATGTGTTTTTTTGTAGGTGTTCTTTATCAAGTTTTATTCTTAATTTATTCATTATGTTTTATCATGAAAGAATGTTGGCTATTATCCAATGATT
Source organism: Homo sapiens (assembly GCF_000001405.40). Lineage (NCBI taxonomy): Eukaryota > Metazoa > Chordata > Mammalia > Primates > Hominidae > Homo > Homo sapiens. The sequence continues at coordinate 127,750,258 of NC_000011.10, forward strand.
TCTTTGTTTCTATTGAGATAAATTTTTTTGTGTTATTGATATGGTGTATTAATTTATTTTCAGATGTTAAATCAATCTTGTACAGTTAAGATGAATTACACTTGCTCATCATCCGTAATTCTTTAAATATTTGCTGAATTTGGTTTGATAATACTTTAAAATTTTAGCATACATATTTCTAAAAGATTTTGGTGTAGATTTCTTATCTTGTGATGTCTTTGTCTGGTTTTGGTATCAGGGCAATCAAATGAGTTGGGAAGTGTTCCATCCTCTACTATTTTGGGGAAGAGTTTATAAATCATTGACATTCTTTTTCCTCCAAATATTTCATAAAATTCAGCAGTAAAGCCATTTGTATTTGGACTTTTCTTTGTGATAGGTTGTTGATTACTGAACAAATCTCCTTGCTAGTTATAGTTCTATTCAGAAAGGCAATTTCTTCTTGAGTTAGTTTTGGTAGTCTATATCTTTGTAGGAATTTGTTCATTTTATCTAATTTATCTAATACATTGACATGCAATTGTTCATAATATTCCTTTTAATTCTTTTTATTTTCACAAGTTAGTAATAATATCTCATTTCTTTTAGTTCTGATTCTACTAATTTGAGTTTTATTTATTTATTAATTCATCTTTTGGTCAATTCAACTAAAAATTTGTTTGATCTTTTTGGTTTTATTGATTTTATGATTGTGTTACTGGTTTTTTTCATGTATTTACACTAAACTTTATTATTTTCTTCTTCTTTTGGCTTTAAAATTAGCTTTTTCTTCTTTTTTCCATTTTTAAGGTGGCAGGTAAGGTTATTGATTTGATTTCTTTCTTCTTTCTTAATTTAGCCATTTCAAATACAAAATGTGGTACACTTTAAGTTTTATTTTAAGTTCCAGGATCCAGGCACACGATGTGCATGTTTGTTACATAGGTAAACATGTGCCATGGTAGTTTGCTACACAGATCATCCAATCACCTAGGTATTAAGCCCTGCATCCATTAGCTATTCTTGGTGCTTTCCCTCCTTCAACTTCCCACCCTCCGATAGGTCCTGGAGTGTATTGTTCTCCCCATGTGTCCATGTGTTCTCATCATTCAACTCCCACTTATAAGTGAGAACATGTGATGTTTGGTTTTCTGTTCCTGTGTTAGTTTGCTGAGAATAATGGCTTTCAAATCCATCTATGTCCCTGTAAATGACATAATCTTTTTTCTTTTTATGACTGCATAGTATTCCGTGGTATACATATACCATATTTTCTTTATCAAGTCTATCATTGATGGGCATTTAGGTTGATTCAATGCCTTTGCTATTGTGAATAGAGCTGCAGTGAACATATGTGTGCATGTATCTTTATAATGCAATGATTTACATTCCTTTGGGTATATACCCAGTAATGGGATTGCTGGGTCACATGGTATTTCTGCTTCTAGGTCTTTGAGAAATTGCCACTGTCTTCCACAATGGTAGAAATAATTTACACTCCCACCAACAGTGTAAAAGCTTTCCTTTTTCTCCTCAACCTTGTCAGCATCTGTTGTTTTTTGACTTTTTACTAGCCATTATGACTGGCATGAGATGGTATCTCATTGTCATTTTGATTTGCATTTCTCTAATGATCAATGATGCTGAGCTTGTTTCACATGTTTGTTGGCTGCATAAATATCTTCTTTTGAGAAGAGTTTGTTCATGTCCTTTGCTCACTTTCAATGGGGTTGTGTTTTTTCTTGCAAATCTGTTTAAGTTTCTTGTAGATGCTGGATGTTAGACCTTTGTCAGATGAATAGATTGCAAAAATTTTCTCCTATTCTGTAAGTTGTCTGTCACTCTCCACTCTGATGATAGTTTCCTTTGCTGTGCAGAAGCTCTTTAGTTTAATTAAATCCCATTTGTCAATTTTTGCTTTTGTTTCAATTGCTTTTGGCATTTTCCTCATGAAATCATTGCCCGTGCCTATGCCCTGAATGGTATTGCCTAGGTTTTCTTCTAGGGTTTTTAGAGCTTTGGGTTTTACATTTAAGTCTTTAGTCTGTCTTGAGTTGATTTTTGTATATGGTGTAAGAAGTCTTTAATCTATCTTGAGTTGATTTTTGTATATAGTGTAAGAAAGGAGTCCAGTTTCAATTTTCTACATAGGGCTAGCCAGTTCTCCCAGCACCATTTGTTAAATAGGGAGTCCTTTCCCCATTGCTTGTTTTTGTCAGGTTTGTTGATGATCAAATGGTTTTAAGTGTGCAGTCTTATTTCTGGGTATACATTTTGGTCTGCTGTGTTTTCATTCTCATTTATCTTGAAGCATAAAGTGTTTTTTAACTTCCCCTTTGACCATTAGTTATTTCATGGTGTTTTCATATTTTTGAGTTTTCTAAATTTTTTTCTGTTATTGACTATTAATGTTTATCCTATTATAGCTGTAGAACATAATTTCTATCATTTTCATGCTATTAAGTTTATTGAGGTTATTTTTACGGCCTAGCAAATGATCTATCCTGAAGAATGTTCCATGTGCACTTGAGAAAGACTTTATGTCCTGCTGTTGGCAGAGTGTCCTATAGATGCCTGCTATTGCTTGGTTTATAGTGCTGTTCAAATCTATATTCTTATTGATCTTTTGCCTACTTGTTGTATCCTTTATTGAAAGTAAGATATTGAAATCTCCAACTATTACTTCAGAACTCTCTATTATTTCCTTCAATCTGTCAATATTTCTGTCATATATTTTGGTCCTTTATTATTAGTTGCATATATACTTATAATTATGGTGTCTTCTTTACAGGTTATTCCTTTTATCATTACTAAAATATTTCCTTTTATTTCTGGTAATGTTTTTCCTTAAGGTCTATTTTGTTGGATAGTATAGCCATGATGGTTTTCTTGTGGTGGATTTTTGCATAATATATCTTTTTCCATTCATTTACTTTCAATCTTTATTTTCTTTGAATCTGAAGATTGTTTTCTATAAACATCAAACAATTATATCTTGTTTTTTAATACTGATGTAATATCTGCCTTTCAATTGGATTATTTAGTCCACTCGCATTTAGTACTATTATTTGATACAGTCAGATTTACATATGCCCTTTTACTTTTTGTTTTCAAGGTGTGTTTTCTCTGAGTACTTTTAATGTATCCCACTGCTTTCTGGTCTCCAGTATTTTTGTTAAAAAGTCAGCTCTTAATTTTACTGGGGATCCCTTGTAACTGTACAGTTGTTTTTCTCTTGTTGCTCTCAACATTTTTTTGTCTTTAACTTTTAGCATTTCAATATTATGTGTCTGTGTGTGAGTCTATGTCTCTTTATTTATCCTATCTGTAGTCTGTAATCTTCTTGGATGTGTACATTATTGTTCTTCAATAAGTTCAATAAGTTGTGAAGCTTTCATCCACTATTTATTTAATTTTTTTTTACATCTTTCTTTTTCTCCTTTCTGATACCACCATTACGTGTATATTGGAACACTTAATAATGTCTCACATTTCTCTGATAATCTGTTCATTGTTTTTCTTCCTCTTTTCTGTATTCTTTGAGTTGCATAATCTCCATCAATCTAGATTCAGGTTTGCTAATTATTTCTTCTTATAATTCAAATCTATAGTTGAGCCCCTCTAATGAATTTGTATTTCATTTTTTATACTTTTTATCACCAGAATTATTAATTAATTTATTTATTAATTTATTTTGTTATGGAGTCTCACTCTGTCACCCAGGCTGGAGGGCAGTGGCATGATCTCGGCCCACTGCAATCTCCGCCTCCCAGGTTCACGCCATTCTCCTGCCTCAGCCTCCCGAGTAGCTGGGACTACAGGCGCCTGCCACCACGCCCGGCTAATTTTTTGTATTTTTAGTAGAAATGGGGTTTCACCACATTAGCAAGGATGGTCTCGATCTTCTGACCTCATGATCTGCCCACCGGGGCCTCTCAAAGTGCTGGGATTACAGGTGTGAGCCACCGCGCCCAGTCTATCACCAGAATTTTTATATTGTTGTACTTTAAAAAATTTATAGCTCTTTACTGCTATTCTTTATTTGATACAGTGTTGTCATCATACTTTCTTTTACTTTAATGATGGCTTCCTTTAGTTCTTTGGACATATTTACAATGGCTAGTTTGAAGGCTTTTATTTTTCAAAAAGAAAATTTTGATAGTTTTGGGGGAACAGAAGGTTTTTGGTTACATGGATAAGTTCTTTAGTGCTGATTTCTGAGATTTTGGTGCCATCATCTAAGCAGTACACACTGCACCTAATGTGTAGTCTTTTATCCCTCACCCTCCTCCCACCCTTCCCCGCAAGTCCCCAAAATCGATTATATCATTCTTACGTTTGCATCCTCAGAGATTAGCTCTCACTTATAAATGAGAACATACAATATTTGGTTTTTGATTTCTGAGTTACTTCACTTAGAGTAATGGCTTCCAACTCCATCCAGCTTGCTGCAAAGGCCATTATTTCGTTCCATTTTACGGCTGAGTAACATTCCATAATGTATAAATACCACATTTTCTTTATCCTCTCACTGGTTGATGGGCATTTAGGTTGGTTCCATATTTTTGTAATTGTGAATTGTGCTGCAATAAACATGTATGTGCATGTGTCTTTTTCATGCAATGATTGCTTTTCCTTTGGGTAGATACCCAGTAGTGAAATTGCTGGATCAAATGGTGGTTCTACTTTCATTTATTTAAGGAATCTCCATACTGTTTTCCAAAATGGTTGTATTAGTTTACATTATCAACCCCAGTGTAAAAGTACTCCCTTTACACCACATCAATGCCAACATTTATTGTTTTTTAATTTTTAAATTATGACCATTCTTTCAGGAGTAAGGTGGTATCTCACTGTGGTTTTAATTTGCATTTCCCTGATAATTACTGACATTAAGCATTTTTAAATATGTTTATTGGCCATTTGTATATATTCTTTTTTTTTGTAAGATATTGTTTATTGTAAAACTCTTGTGTTCCTTCCATACATACTAAAACAAAAGGTCACTTTAAAGGCACATTATGTTGTAGTCAAGAATAAAAGAATACAATGTTGTGAAATGTCATACTGTATGATGGGCCCTGCCTTGCTGTGCCTTCTTTATATCAATTTAAAATATACACATTAGATACAAAGCAAGTGGCAGAACATTTAGTTGGACCCCACTTATGCAAAAATTGTATTTTTTTATATGCACAGAGAGTTTCTGGAAGGACAGAAAATAATCTACTGATAATGATTATATCTAAGGTCAAGATTCTTTTACTTTTTCTTGTTTTTTGAAACAGAGTTTCACTGTTGTTGCCCTGGCCGGAGTTCGATGGCGCCATTTGTATATATTCTTTTGAGAATTGTCTATTCCTGTCCTTTGCCCACTTTTTGATGGGATTGTTTGTTTTCTTCTTGCTGATTTGTTTGAGTTCCTTATAGATTCTGGATAATAGTCCTTTGTCAGATGACAATTTTGCATAAAATATCTTTTTAAAAAATTACAGATTACAGACTAATTTTGAGAATATTTTGTCCCACTCAGTGGGTTGTCTGTTTATTGTGCTGATTATTTAGTTTGCTGTGCAGAAGCTTTTTAGTTTAATTAGGCCCCCTGTATTTATTTGTATTTTTGTTGCATTTGCTTTTGGGTTCTTGGTCGTAAATTATTTGCCTAAGCCAATGTCTAGAAGAGTTTTCCCTATGTTATCTTCTAGAATTTTTATGGTTTCAGGTCTTAGATTTAAGTATTTTGTCTATCTTGGGTTGATTTTTATTTAAGGTAGGAGATGAGGATCCAGTTTCATTCTTCTACATGTGGCTAGTCAATTATCCCAGCATCATTTTTTGAATAAGATGTCCTTTTCCCACTTTATGTTTTTGTATGTGTTGTTGAAGATTAGTTGACTGTAAATATTTTGCTTTGTCCCTGGGTTCTCTGTTCTGTTCCATTGGTCTATGTACCTGTTTTTATGAGTACCATACTGTTTGGGTAGCTATAGACTTGTAGTATAGTTTGAAGTCAGGTAACATGATGCCTCCAGGTTTGTTCTTTTTGCTTAGTCTTGCTTTGGCTATGTGGCTTCTTTTTTGGTTTCACATGAATTTTAGGATTTTTTTTTTTTCTATTTCTGTGAAAAATGATGATGATATTTTGATGGGAATTACATTGAATCTGTAGATTGTTTTGGGCAGTATGGCCATTTTCACAATATTGATTCTATCCATCCATGAGCATGAAATGCATTTCCATCAGTTTGTGTCATCTATGATTTCTTTTAGTAGTGTTTTGTAGTTTGTCTTGTAGAGATTTTTCACCTCCTTGGTTAAGTATATGACTTAAGGAGATTTTGGGCTGAGACAATGGCGTTCTCTAAATATGCAATCACGTCATCCTCAAACAGAGACAATTTGACTTCCTCTTTTCCTATTTGAATACCCTTTATTTCTTTCTCTTGCCCTGGCCAGAACTTCCAATACTATGTTGAATAGGAGTGGTGAGAGAGCGCCTCCTTATCCTGTGCCGGTTTTCAAAGGGAATGCTTCCAGTTTTTGCCCATTCAATATGATATTGGCTGTGGGTTTGTCATAAACAGCTCTTTTTATTTTGAGATACATTCCATCAATACTTAGTTTATTGAGAGTTCTTAGCATGAAGGGGTGTTGAATTTTGTCAAAGGCCTTTTCTGCATCTATTGAGACAATCATATGGTTTTTGTCATTGGTTCTGTTTGATTATGTTTATTGATTTGCCTATGTTGAACCAGTCTTGCATCCCAAGTATGAAGCTGACTTGATCGTGGTGGATAAGCTTTTTGATGTGCTGCTAGATTCGGTTTGCCAGTATTTTATTGAGGATTTTCCCATTGATGTTCATCAGGGATATTGGCCTGAAATTTTCTTTTTTTGTTGTGTCTCTGCCAGGTTTGGGTATCAGGATGATGCTAGCCTCATAAAATGAGTTAGGGAGGATTCCTTCTTTTTCTATTGTTTGGAATAATTTCAGAAGGAATGGTACCAGCTCCTCTTTGTACCTGTGGTAGAATTTGGCTGTGAATCCATCAGGTCCTGGCCCTTTTTTGGTTGGTAGGCTATTAATTTCTTCCTCAATTTCAGAACTTGTTATTGATCTATTCAGGGATTCAACTTCTTCCTGGTTTAGTCTTGGGAGGGTGTATGTGTCTAGGAATGTATCCATTTCTTCTAGATTTTCTAGTTTATTTGCATAGAGGTATTTATAGTATTCTCTGATGGTGGTTTTTATTTCTGTAGGATCCGTGGTGATGTCCCCTTTATCATTTTTTATTGCAACCCTTTGAACCTTCTCTCTTTTCTTCTTTATTAGTTTGGCTAGTGGTCTATCTATTTTGTTGATCTTTTCAAAAAGCCAGCTACTGGATTCATTGATTTTTTTGAAGGGTTTTTTGCATCTCTATCTCCTTCAGTTCTGCTCTGATCTTAGTTATTTCTTGCCTTCTGCTAGCTTTTGAATTTGTTTGCTCTTGCTTCTCTAGTTCTTTTAATTGTGATGTTAGGGTGTCGATTTTAGATCTTTCCTGCTTTCTCTTGTGGGCATTTAGTGCTATAAATGTCCCTCTAAACACTGCTTTAAATGTGTCCCAGAGATTCTGGTACGTTACGTCTTTGTTCTTATTGGTTTCAAAGAACTTATTTATTTCTGCCTTAATTTCATTATTTACCCAGTAGTCATTCAGGAGCAGGTTGTTCAGTTTCCATGTAGTTGTGTGGTTTTGAGTGAGTTTATTAATCCTGAGTTCTAATTTGATTGCACTGTGGTCTGAGAGACTGTTATGATTTCCATTCTTTTGCATTTGCTTAGGAGTGTTTTACTTCCAATTATGTGATCAATTTTAGAAGAAGTGTGATGAGGTGCTGAGAAGAATGTATGTTCTGTTGATTTGGGGTGGAGAGTTCTGTAGATGTCTGTTACGTCTGCTTGGTTCAGAGCTGAGTTCAAGTCCTGAATATCCTTGTTAACTTTCTGTCTCGTTGATCTCTCTAATATTGACAGTGGGGTCTTAAAATCTCCCACTGTTATTGTGTGGGAGTCTAAGTCTCTTTGTAGTTCTCTAAAAACTTGCTTTATGAATCTGGGTGCTCCTGTATTGGGTGCATACATATTTAGGATAGTTAGCTCTTCTTGTTGCATTGATTCCTTTACCATTATGTAATGGTCTTCTTTGTCTCTTTTGATCTTTGTTGGTTTAAAGTCTGTTTTATCAGAGACTAGGATTGCAACCCCTACTTTTTGTTGCTTTCCATTAGCTTGGTAAATCTTCCTCCATCCCTTTATCTTGAGCCTATGTGTGTCTTTGTACGTGAGATGGGTCTCCTGAAAATAGCACACCGATGGGTTAAGTATATTACTAAGTATTTTATTTTATTTTATTTGCAGTGGTTGTAAAAAGGATTGCATTCTCGATTTGATTCTCAGCTTGGTTGTTGTTGGTGAATAGCAGTGCTATTGATTTTTGTACATTGATTTTGTATCCTGAAACTTTACTGAATTTGTTTATCAGACCTAGGAGCTTTTGGGATGAATCTTTAGAGTTTTCTAGGTATACAATCATATTATCAGTGAACAGCAACATTTTGACTCCCTCTTTTTTAATTTGGATGCCCTTTATTTCTTTCTCTTGTCTGATTGCTCTGGCTAGGACTTCCAGTACTGTGGGGAATCAATTTGGCGAAAGTGGGCATCCTGGTCTTGTTCTAGTTCTCAGAGGAAATGCTTTCAACTTTTCCCCATTCAGTATTATGTTGGCTGTGGGTGTGTCATAGATGGTTTTTATTACTTTGAGGTATGTCCCTTCTATGCCAATTTTATTGATGGTTTTTATCATAAAAGGATACTAGATGTTGTCAAATGCTTTTTCTGTATCTATTGAGATTATCATATGATTTTTGTTTTTACTTCTGTTTATGTTAATTAACAATGTTCATTGCATATGTTAAATTATCCCTGCATCCCTGGTATAAAACCCATTCATCATTATGTGTTATCTTTTTGATATGCTGTTGGATTTGGTTAGCTAGTATTTTATTGAGGATTTTTGCATCCATGTTTATCAGGGATACTGGTCTGTAGTTTTCTCCTTTTGTTATTTTCTTTCCTGGATTTGGTATTAAGATGATACTGGCTTCATAGAATGATTTAAGGAGGATGTCCTCTTTTTCTATTTTTTTAAATACTTTCAGTGGGATTGGTGCCAATTTTTCTTTGAATGTCTGATATAATTAAGCTGTTAATCCATCTCGTCCTGGACTTTTTTTTTGTTGGCAGTTTTTATTACCATTTCAATTTCACTGCTTGTTATTGGTCTGTTCAGAGTCTCTGTTTCTTTCTGATTTAATCTAGGAGGACTTTATATTTCTAGGAATTTATCCATCTCCTCTAGATTTTTTAGTTTGTAGGCATAAAGGTGTTCATGGTAGCCTTAAATGATCTTTTGAATTTCTGTGCTTTCAGTTGTAATATCTCCCATTTCATTTCTAATGAGTTTATTTGGATCATCTCCCTTTTCTTGGTTAATCTCACTAATGGTCTATCAATTTTGTTTATCTTTTCAAAAAACCAGAGTTTTGGTTTTATTCATCTTTTGTAGTTTTTTGTTTCAATCTCATTTCGTTCTGCTTTGATCTTTGTTATTTCTTTTCTTCTGCTGTGTTTGGGTTTAGTTTGTTCTTGTTTCTCTAATTCCTTGAGATGATATTTGGTTGTCTATTTGTGCTCTTTTAGACTTTTCGATGTAGGCATTTAAGATTATGAACTTTCCTCTTAGCACCGCTTTGGCTGTATCCCAGAAGTTTTGTTAAGTTTTGTCACTATTTTCATTCAGTTCACAGAACTTTTTAACTTCCATCTTGATTTCATTATTAACCCAAAGATTATTCAAAAGCAAATAATTTAATTTCCATGTATTGTTAGAGTTTTGAGGTTCCCTTTTGGAGTTAATTGCAGTTTTATTCCACTGTGGTCTGAGAGGGCTCTTGACATGATTTCAATTTTCTTAAATTAATTGAGACTTATTTTGTGGCCTATTATACAGTCTATCTTGAAGAATGTTTCATGTGCTGATGAGAATAATATATATTCTGCAGTTGTTGGGTAGAATGTTCTGTAAATATCTGTTAGGTCCATTTGTTCTAGGGTATAATTTAATTCCACTTTCTTTGTTGACCTTATGTAGAAGAAGTAGAAGAAAGAACTTCAGAGATCAAAGATAAGGCTTTCTAGTTAACCCAATCAGACAAAGACAAAGAAAGAAGAATTTTTTAAAATGAACAAAGTGTCTGAGAAATATGGGATTATGTTAAATAGAAAAACCTAAGAATAATTGGTGTTCCTGAGGAAGAAGAGAAATCTAAAAGTTTGGAAAACTTATTTGAGAGAATAATTGAGGAAAATTTCTCTGGCCTTGGTAGAGATCTAGACACCCAAATACAAGAAGCTCAAAGAACTCTTCAGAAAGTCATTGCAAAAAGATCATCACCAAGGCACATAGTCATCAGGTTTGTTCAAAGTCAGGATGAAGAAAAAAATCTTAAGATCTGTGAAAAAAAAAGCATCAGATAACCTATAAAAGAACACCTATCAGGTGAACAGCAGATTTCTCAGGAGAAACCTTACAGGCTAGAGGGGATTGGGGTCCCATCTTTAGCTTCCTTAAACAAAATAATTGTTTGCAAAAGAATTTTGTATCCAGCAAAAAACTAAGCTTCATAAATGAAGGATAGATAAAGTCTTTCTCAGACAAACAAATGCTGAGATAATTCACCACTACCAAACCAGTGCTACAAGAAATGCTAAAAGAAGTTCCAAATCTTGAAACAAAACTTGAAAATACACCAAAATAGAATCTTCTTAAAACCTAAATCTCACAGGGCTTATAAAATAATAACACAATGAAAACAACAAGGTATTTAGTTGATAACTAACATGATGAAGAGAACAGTACCTCACATCTCAATACTAACATTGAATGTAAATGGCCTAAATGCTCCACTTAAAAGATACAGAATGGCAGAATGAATAAAAATCCACCAACCAAGTATCTGCTATCTTCAAGAGACTTACCTAACACATAAGACTCACATAAACTTAAGGTAAAGGGGTGGACAAAAGATCTTCGATGCAAATGGAAACCAAAAGTGAGCAGGGGTAGCTATTCTTATATCAGACAAAACAGAATTTAAAGCAACAACAGAAAAAAAAAAAAGACAAAGAAGGACATTATATATTGATAAAAGGATTAGTCCAACAGGAAACTATCACAATCCTAAATATATATGCACCTACCACTGGAACTCCCAAATCTATAAAACAATTACTACTAGACTTAAGAAGTGAGAGACATGCAACACAATAGTAGTGGGGGACTTCAATAGTACTCTGAAAGCTTCCAAACATCTGATTACTTCCACAGGCAATTTTTATTGCCTCGATTTTTTTTTCAGGTATATGGGACATACTTTTCTGTTTCTTTGCATACCTCTTAATTTTTTGTTGAAAACTAGACATTTTAGATAATACATTGTAGCAACTTTGAACAGCACAACTCTCTGTAATATATTGTGGCAACTCTGTGATTGTTTTGTCATATGCTATTTATTTGTTTAAGTACTGACTTTATTATTTTAGTGGAGACTTCCTCCCTCGCCCACAGTGTTAAGCCTCTATGTTGCACCTCAGAGTGCCAAGTCTTGGATATGCCTAAAGTCACTTTGGGTTGATGGTGGTTTTGGCCAGGAATCTCTATCTCTTTACCTGATTACACTCGGCTATTAAGTTCCATTGGTTGCTAGTTTAGTACACTGCACAATGGTCTGGGGCATAAATTGCTCCATGGACTGAATCAATCAAATGTGAAATCATGGAAAGTTTAGTTTCTGTAGTTCGGTTTTTGAGATATGTTATGACTTCAGATGGACTTCTCCAAGAGTTTATAGTAACTCTCCAGAGAGAGACCTTAAGACCAATTAGAGGAAAATTGCAATAGACTTTTACCACAATACTGAATAGAAATACTGAAGCAGACATTCTTGCCTTGAGCCTGGCCTGATCTTTGTTAGAAATTATTTAGTTTTTCACCACTAAATATAATGTTAGCTGAAGGTTTATTGTAGTAAACCCTGTAGTCTGAGGAAGCCCTTTTTCATTCTTAGTTTGTTTAGAGTTTAGGTATGTGTTGAATTGTGTCAAGTGATTTTCATGTATCTCTTCATATGATCATTTGATTTTTCCTCTTTATTCTGTTAATGTAATGAATTATATAGATTTAATTTTGATTCTTTACTTTTCTTGGATACATTTCTCTCCACATGACTCCTTCATTTCCAGTGAACCACCCTGTATATTCTAAACTCTTTAGTTGCTGTAAATTTTTATCTCTGCCTCTTCAACTCTTAAGCACTACTATGTTTCATTCCAGCTTACTTTACTATAGTTGAAAAATGGTGCCCAAGTAAAGAACCATTGTGATCACTGGGCTCAATTAATGAGTTTCCTTTCTCTTGGGGAGTAGCTTCATGTGCTTTTCTCCCATTGTCAAATAATTTAAAACAATTACTCACCTTTTGTCCAACTTACTGTTTATTGTTAACAGCAGAAAGTGAGTCTTATGCCAGTCACTCTATCACATTGAGCAGCAGAAATTCACAGGTGTTTAATGAAGGATATTCTTGCTGGGTGGAGAATTCCAGGTTGCCCTTTTAAGAAAAAAAAATTAAATATATAGTCTTATGGCTGAAAGACACCTGATGTTCTTATTGTTATTTATTCATGGCGATGTGTATCTTTTTCTCTGGCTGTTTTAATATTTCCTATTTGCCTTTGGCATTCAGCAGTTTAACAATAAAATTCCCAGAAGTGGTTTTATTTAAAATGTTATGCATGGATTTTATAAAGCTCCTTAAATATGTGTCTTTATTTTATCAGTTTTAGAAAATTCTCAGCCACTGTTTTTTCAAATAGTGTATCTTTTTTTCCTTCTGGTGCTCCAATTACACATATGTTAAACGTTTTTGTGTCTCATAAAGTTCTGACACTCTGTGTGCTTTTGTCCAAATTTGCTACTTAGCTATCTGTCACTTTATCAATCTTCTTTTTAAATTTCCCTAATCTACTGATAAATCCATCTATTGAAATCTTATTTTAGTAATTGCATTTTTATTCCTAAGTTTTTTATTTTACTATATTGTATATAGATTATGGTTTTCTAGGGAAATTCTGTATCTTTTCACCGATTATTTGAGTAATTTAAAGACAGCTCTTCTAAAGTCCATGAAAAATAACTCTTTTTTTGAAAATACTTGTATTCCTTTCCATTTTTTTCATTCTTTCTATTTTTGCCATTAAAAGTAATGGCAAAAACCCAATTACTTTTGCACCAACATAATATTAGTTTTCAATCATTTGCAACTATATCCTGGTATTCCTGATAATTTTTATTTGAATCCTGAACTTATAGATGGGATATCATGTAGCCTTTGGATGATCTTTCTTTCTTCAGAAAAGATTTAATTTTCATCTGACTCGATGTTTGAAAGAAAGCATATCGCGTTTATTTATTGAAAGATTGAAATCATGAAATACTAAATTTCAGATTTTGAGGGTGGATTTATTTCTAGTTTGCCTTTAATTCTAAGACATAACCTTTCACATTTCTAAAATAAAAGCCAGGGATATTTATCTATCTCCAGGAAGAAACCCTGAATTACAATTTTGTATTTCTCTGTTCTATTACACTGCCAAAAGCTCTCCTTAGCTTTTTATCTTCTTGGAAACCACTTTCTTCTTGTTTTCTCTTGTTCCTACGTAGCACAGAATACAGTAAAACTCTAAGGAAAAATAGTCACAAAGAATGTTGATGTCACATGTGTCGTGTCTTTTTGTCCATGTTTTTGACCCCACAACCCTGATGACTTGTTAGCCATGATCCTTAATAGTTGTTTTCTATCTCCCATGATATTTTCAAAAAGCCTTGTCTTCGATGTTGTTTGCCCATTATGCCTCACGCTATTCATTGGCGAATCCCCAAGTGGAAGAAGCAGTGAATAACTTTCTCCTCACCTCAATATATTCCCTTCTTTCCAGGGTCCTTTTAATTCAGCATTTAAAAAGTTACTCTTAGGAAAAGGAACTACCTGATACAAACCACTTCACCATTTTTAAAAGCAGAACTTTCCTATTCTTCCTTTTAATGCCATTTGCTCCTCTCAGCTTTCCTGAAAGATACCATGTTTCATCCAATTTTGTATTGATTGGTATGATGAGTTAGACAAGGTTCTTGAATCTCTGAATCTTTATCCAGCTGCCTACTACTTTTGAGACTTAGAGTGTGATACATTCAGAAACAACCTATTTACAAACCACTATAAGAAAATGGCTTCCATTAGATTAAAGGCATATCTAATCAGTCTTATCTAAGCCTGCTTTTCCCTATTCCTCATCCTTGACCTTTGTAGCAAAAAGAGAGACATCCAAGAAAGGGGAATATTCCGTTTAAAAATCAGCTGCATGGGACTCAAATAAAGACCACCCAGAGAAGTCAGGGTTCCAATAAAGAAAAAATAATAAAAGCATACAGAATTCATTTTAGAATTTTAAATTCATTATGCTTTTCATCATATGTAAGGCCTTCTCCCACAGATTAATCTCAATAGTGTCTTGAATCATGCCGTTATCAAAATTTATCTTCTCTTTCCTCCTACTCATTTTCTTTATTCTATTATCCTTGAATAATATTTATTAGAAATCTAAGTCCATGTGGATGTCTAAATATCATACAGAACAACATTTCTGCTCTTTGCTAGCATGTGGTCTGAAAGCAAATATGAGATTGTGGATAACGACACATTCACATATATGGAAAATAAAACAATTAGGGAGAAGATGCAACAGCGAGATCCAAGCGTGTGATTAAACGAGTAATTCATTGTACTAGTAATAAATTCAATATTCTGGTTTCGTGCTGAGAAAGTGAGCAGGGCCTAGATAAGGAAGTAAATTTTCTTATTGGAGAAGGGTTCCTACTGTTCAAGACACAGGCATGAATCAGCCTTGAAAATATTTTTTAAGACTCAGACAGTGTCTTCGTATTTCTCAGTATTCAGTTCCCTCTCCTCCCAATCCATCTGCAGCTTGCTCTGCTCATCTCCTTTTAAAGCGCACACTCAGATTCTCCCCCAGTTGTATAATTGTGTTATTAAATAGAAAGAACCATTTAATATTAGAAATGGAAGAGAGCTTACATGTCATATTGTCCAGGGATGAAAACTAGGTTTTATCTCACACACCAGCTCCAGTCAATCAAAAGAGATTACTTGGAAAGCTGAGTTGTGAAGGTTGTAATACTATGTTTAAACTTAGTAGAAAAGAGGGGGTAATGATTTATAACAAGAAGATAGACTAGGGGATTAGCATGTTTACCAGGTATTTGTCATGCCAGATTTAATCCAACTCTTTTATTTTTTTTCAAATGAATAAAATGGAGCCCAGAGGGTCAAATGACTTCCCTAAGTCATATTATTGGTATAAAAGTCATGTTATTGGTAATATTAAAAATCAAATCTATGTCCCCTTTCTCAGTTTCTTAATACAACGCTTGTTCTCCTCTGGCCTAGAATCTTTTACATACTAGAGTAAAATACTGGAGTTCACTGATTTTAAAATCCAATCTATCTTTCTGCGGGCAGATTCTTGGTGCTAAGAACTAATGGAAACCAAATTTCAAGAGTCTGAACCCCAGATCTGACACTTTTTATCTAACGGTGCCATAATTAAATAACGTATCTGCAAATTGCATATATCATATGAGTACATTCAAAGCACTTGGACCAGAACCTGATGTAGAAAGTGCGCAAAAAATGTTTAGTCATAATTGTTACCTTTATGGTTCTGATAATATACTTATTCAGGCTGATCATTTTCAAAATGAACTGAGTCTAAAAATAATTGCAATATCATCTGTTCTTCTCTATGAAGACCCTTTAACCTCTTCTGAAGGCTCTTTAATCTTCACACAAAAAATAAATCCATTGAGCTCATTAAAATTGGGACAGAAAATAGTAAGAATCAGTATGAAAACAAGACAAGGAGCAGAGTCTGGCTACTATTTTTATTTGTTCCAGGGTTTTGCCTGTTCCGAGCACATCCTGTCCCTTGGAGCCTCATATATTTTACTTTCAAACAATAAAGTGCTCATTAACTAGAAACTTTTAGCTCTATTAATCTTTCAAAACTTCTTCTTATGAAGTTCAGGGGGATGCTGTACTGTTAGTGAGGAAGAGAGGGAAAAAGATATATATCGGAATTAAGGAGCCCATTCATAAGATAGTCAAAGCTTCAGACCAGGAGTGTTGCCTGATATTTTCACTTTTACATATTAAATGCATGAGATTCTCTTTCACTGACAGAATCCTTGAGGCTTCTAAAAGATCCTGCAAGTGACTGGCTGATCTCAAGGGCACGCACACCTGCGCAAGGTGTTGGCAAGAACCCTCTGTGAAGTCTCCCTTCTAGTACTAAGACTAACCTGTGTGGTGTAGGGAATATATCTGTTGGAGAAAGACCTGAAGGGGCAGATCTGAGGAAACACAGAAGCCCACCTGGAGAGAGCTTTCCTTCCCTGATGTCTCAGTGCCAAGGATTCTGAGCACCTTAGTGACCACCCTAATTGGAATTCTGCCTGCATACCTCATGAAGATGAAGCCCTATTTGGGGACAGGCAAACTACAGGCCTTTGCCAGCACTTAGAGGATAGAGGAAGCTCAGACATTCAACATAATATGACATCACCACAGTGTGGCAATTGATTTAAAATTTGTGGGGAAAAAATGTTCACTCTCCCATTGGTGATAATATAAAGTCATCACATGTACTTTTCTTCAGGACTGTTTTTAAATTAAATTGCATCATGGCTTGTTGAATTACAGACCTCACATACAGCTTCCTTCTGATTAGTGGATACTTTACTGATGTTGCATGTTTAACAAACATGTGAACTCCCAGGCTTGACTTCCTGGAATAAAATTTCTAAATGAGGCCTTTGTAAAGTCATTTTAAAGATGTGGAGGAAGTTGATCCATTTTCCCTGCTAGTAAGCATCCTCTTCAGCTGCTCTTAAAAGTTCTGTTGATAAGGTAATACAGATATTACACAGCAGTGATTCTCAAAATTGTGTGTTCCAAGAACCACTTGAAGTAAGTCTGTTTCTCACAGACCTCAAGAAGACAGCCATGGATCTCAGTTTGAGAAACAGGGAATTAAGGAAACAAGATCTCATACTTTAAAAATATATTTTGATAAAAAAATTATCACTGTAAAAGAAGTCTTGTAGAGTAAAAGTAAAATCTGTAAATTCTGTAAAAAGTAAGTTTTGTAAGATTATAATTGAAATAAAACTCAAAATATAACAAAACTTAGTAATCTTCTCATGATATGTCCATGAACTTTAGTTTGGGAAAATCTTATAATAGTGCTTTAGGGCTTACCAAGTACATTCTCATGTCTATTGTCTCATTTAGTTCTTAAAACAATACTGTGTAATATGTAATATTATCTTCCCAGAAGTACCTGCAGGATAATTGCAATGCTGGCATTTTAGCTCTGGTCTTATAACTCCAGGTATCACTATTACCACACTGAGTACTATTTTGCTCTTGTTTGTAATCCATTTTTTGTGGACTTCATAACCACCACCAAGATAATAGGCTGGATATTATTTCTGTGAGCAACCTAAGGGTAAGGTCCAAATACTCTTTATTCCTTTTCTGCATCCAGTCCCTTCTGTCATTAGGACAAATCTGTTTATACTGCCATTCATTTTAAGTTATTTGAGTATTATGTTTAACAAGATGGCGATTATCCTAAATAAATTAACAGGTATTTGTGAAATTTTATATTGTATTATATTGTATTTTTTATATTGTATTGTATTGTATTTTTTATTGTATCTAATTCTGAATAATAATCTAATCATTTAAAACAACATTTCCCAGAGTGAGATTCAAAAGAAAATTAGTCATGCCTTGGAGAGAGAGCTGGGGAGGGAGGAATACAAATTTGTTTAAAACAAAAACTAAAGTGTCTATCAAGTTTTTGAAGACTTACTATGGTGCCTTAAAAGCTATGAGGCATTCTGCAGTATAAATCTGTTTATTTCACATAGTATTTCTTAGACTTATTTGCCCCCTCTTATGAGTGTGTGTGACAGTCTAGAAGTGTACATCATTCTATAGTGGCTCATGACTCATTTATAGAAACTAAGGAACTCATTGCTTGAAGGCAGAAACATGCTTCAGAGTATCCTTCTGAAGTCTCCAATGGCCTAAGCTCTCTGACTACCTGATATGTGTCTCTTGCAAGTTTCAGTGTCTCCTGTTCACTGAAGCTGAGAGAGTGAGATAGTTTCTAACAATTGCCTTTCTTCGGCCAAGGGTGACTCAAGCAAAGATTTGTGTTTCTCTATTTAATATGAGGTATTATCACACGTGTTTTTACCTCCATAAAGGGTAAACTCAGTGTCACTCAGTAGGGAGATGGAAAGATATTTTGAGTAAACCAATAAGTGATCCATGATTTCAAAACATTGCAGGAGAGGCTTCTATGTATAAGTGTTTAATAAACATTAGACATTATTATTATTATATCATCTAATCTACTAAGTTGCTTTCACTCGCGTCCGTGTGAAGAGACCACCAAACAGGCTTTGTGTGAGCAATATAGCTGTTTATTTCACCTGGGTGCAGGCGGGCTGAGTCCGAAAAGAGAGTCAGTGAAGGGAGATAGGGGTGGGGCCGTTTTATAGGGTTTGGGTAGGTAAAGGAAAAAGGGGGGTTGTTCTCTGGCAGGCAGGAGTGAGGGTTACAAGGTGCTCAGTAGGGGAGCTTTTGAGCCAGGATGAGCCAGGAGAAGGAATTTCACAAGATAATGTCATCAGTTAAGGCAGGAACAGGCCATTTACACTTCTTTTGTGGTGGAATGTCATCAGTTAAGGCAGGAACCTGCCATCTGGATGTGTACCTGCAGGTCACGGGATATGATGGCTTAGCTTGGGCTCAGAGGCCTGATATTCCTGTCTTCTTATATTAATAAGAAAAATAAAATGAAATAGTGGTAAAGTGTTGAGACAGTGAAAATTTTTTGGGGGTGGTATGGAAAGATAATGGGCGATGTTTCTCATGGCTGCTTAGGACAGGATTAGGGGCGGCGTGGGAACCTAGAGTGGGAGAGATTAAGCTGAAGGAAGATTTTGTGGTAAGGGGTGATATTGTGGGGTTTTAAGAAGAAATATTTGTCATTTAGAATTACTGGTGATGGCCTGGATACAGTTTTGTATGAATTGAAAAACTAAACGGAATAAGAGAAGGAGAAAAACAGGTGTTAAAGGACTAAGAATTGGGAGTACCTAGGACATCTAATTAGAGAGTACCTAAGGAGGTTCAGCATAGCCTTGCCAGCAAAGATTATTTATTTACTTTGAGAGTTAAGAGTGGGGGTTTGGGGATAGCACCAGGAGATATCAGCTGTGATGGCTTAGAGAAACAGTGTAAACTGGCAATGTAAACAAGAGCAGGGCATGTATGAATAGTTGAGAATGGCGAATAGGAGTATGACTAGACAGAAGATAGTAGGGATGACAAGTTTTTAGGGGCACAGTCCAAGTTGGTCTGGTGTCTGGAATGAGACTGGGGCCTAATAAAAGGAGCTCAAATGGGCTGTACCTTGTAGCATTCCGAGAACAAGCCTGAATTCTGAGAAGGGAAAGTGGTAAAAGTATTGTCCAGTCCTTTTTAAGTTGGTGGCTGAGCTTGGTGAGGTGTGTTTTTAAAAGACCATTAGTCTGTTCTGCCTTTCCTGAAGACTGAGGACCGTAAGGGATATAAAGGTTTCACTGAATACTAAGAGCCTGAAAAATGCTTGGCTGATTTGACTAATAAAGGCTGGTCTGCTATCAGACTGTATAGAGGTGGGAAGGCCAAACCGAGGAATTATGTCTGATAGAAGGGGAGAAATGACCATGGTGGCCTTCTCAGACCTTGTGGGAAAGGCCTCTACCTATCCAGTGAAAGTGTCTACCTAGACCAAGAGGTATTTTAGTTTCCTGACTCGGAGCATGTTGAGTAAAGTCAATTTGCCAGTCCTGGGTGGGGGCAAATCCGTGAGCTTGATGTGTAGGGAAGGGAGGGGGCCTGAATAATCCCTGAGGAGTCATAGAATAGCAGATGGAACACTGAGAAGTTATTTCCTTGAGAATAGATTTCCATGATGGAAAGGAAATGAGAGGTTCTAAGAGGTCGGGCTAGTGGCTTGTACTATAGCATAGCCTTTCTTTGCTGGTGTGTGGCGATTAGGCCTGGTGGAACTGCCATCAATAAACCAAGTGTGATCAGAGTGAGAAACAGGGAAGAAGGGAATGTGGGGAAATGGGGTGAATGTCAGGTGGATCAGAGAGATGCAGTCATGAGGGTCAGGTGTGGTATCAGGAATAATGTGGGAGGCCGGATTGAAGTCCGGGCCAGGAACAATGGTAATTGTGGGAGACTCAACGAAGAGTGAGTACAGCTGAAGGAGCCGGGGAGCAGAAAGTATATGCGTCAGGTGTGAGGAAGAAAACAGATTTTGGAAATTATGAGAGCTGTAGAGAGTGAGTTGAGCATAGTTTGTGATTTTAAGGGCCTCTAAAAGTATTAGGGCGGCAGCAGCCTCTGCATGGAGACATGATGGCCAGCCTAAAACAGTAAGGTCAAGTTGTTTGGACAAAAAGGCTACAGGACACAATCCCGGTTCTTGTGTAAGAATTCCGACAGCACAGCCCTGCACTTCAGCTGTGTGTAATGAAAAGGGTTGGGATAAGTCAGGGAGAGCTGGGGTGGGGGCAGTCTCTAAAGCTGTCTTCAAGGAATGGAAAAAAGAGTGGGGAAAGGATTTAGGATCTATGGGGTCAGCTAGGTTTCCTTTTGTGAGTTTATATAATGGTTTTGTTAGGATGGCAAAACCAGGTATCCAAATGTGAAAGTATCCAACCATGCCCAGGAAGGAAAGGAGTTGTTGTTTTGTGGAAGGGGTTGGGGTTTGAGAGATTAGTCAGACACGATTGGCAGGGAGAGCACGTGTGTTTTTATAAGAATTATGCTGAGATAGGTAACAGATAAGAAATTTGGGCTTGACTGAAGTAATGGAGGCTGTCTGTGAAGTTTTGTGGCAGTACAGCCCAGGTAATTTGCTGAGCCTGATGGGTGTCAGGGTCAGTCCAAGTGAAAGTGAAGACAGGCTGGATTGAAGGGTGCAAAAGAATAGTAAAGAAAGCATGTTTCAGATCCAGAACAGAATAATGGATTGTGGAGGGAGGTATTGAGGATAGGAGAGTATATGGGTTTGGCACCATGGGGTGGATAGGCAAAACAATTTGGTTGATAAGGCATATATCCTGAACTAACTTGTAAGGCTTGTCTGGCTTTAGGACAGGTAAAATGGAATTGTAAGGAGAGTTTATAGGCTTTCAAAGGCCATGCTGTAGCAGGCGAGTGATAACAGGCTTTAATCCTTTCAAAGCATGCTGTGGGATGGGATATTGGCATTGAGTGGGGTAAGGGTGAATAGATTTTAATGAGATGGTAAAGGGTGCATGATTGGTCACAAAGGAGGGAGTAGAGGTATCTTATACTTGTGGGTTAAGGAGGGGGGATACAAGAGGAGGAGGGAAAGGAAACTTTGGATTGGCAGGAAGGGTGGCAGTGAGATGTAGCTGTAGTCCAGGAATAGTCAGGGAAGCAGATAATTTAGTTAAAGTGTCTCAGCCTAATAAGGGAACTGGGCAGGTGGGGATAACTAAAAGAAGTGCTTAAAAGAGTATTGTCTAATTTGGCACCAGAGTTGGGGAGTTTTAAAAGGTTTAGAAGCCTGGCTGTCAATACCTACAACAGTTATGGAGGCAAGGAAACAAGCCTTTGAAAAGAAGGTAATGTGGAGTGGGTAGCTGCCATATTGATTAAGAAGGGGACAGACTTACCCTCAACTGTGAGAGTTACCTAAAGCTCAGCGTCCATGATGGTCTACGGGGCTTCCGAGGCAATCAGGCAGCGTCAGTCTTCAGCTGCTAAGCCAAAAAGATCTGGGAAGGAGTCAGTCAGAGAGCCTTGGGCCAGAGTTCTATGGGCTCTGGGAGTGGCTGCCAGGTGAGTTGAACAGTCCGATTTCCAGTGGGGTCCTGCACAGATGGGACATGGCTTAGGAGGAATCCTGGGCTGCGGGCATTCCTTGGCCTGGTGGCCAGATTTCTGGCACTTGTAGCAAGCTCCTGGGGGAGGCAGTTCTGGAGGAATGCCTGGCCACTGTGGTTTAGGCGTTTGGAAGTTCTTGTATGCTGGAGATGTGGCTGGGATTTGTCTCACAGTGGAGGCAAGGAATTGCAACTCAGAAATATGTTGCTACTTGGCTTCCTCTACTCTATTATTGTACACTTTGAAGGCGAGGTTAATTAAGTCCTGTTGTGGGGTTTGAGGGCCGGAATTTAATTTTTGGAGTTTTATTTAATGTCGGGAGCAGATTGGGTAATAAAATGTGTATTGAGAATAAGACGGCCTTTTGACCTTTTAGGGTCTAGGGCTGTAAAGCGTCTCAGGGTTGCTGCCAAACGAGCCATGAACTGGGCTGGGTTTTTATATTTGATGAAAAAGAGCCTAAATGCTATCTGATTTGGGATAAAGAAAAAGGAGCATTAACCTTGACTATGCCTTTAGCTCCAGCCACCTTTTTAAGAGTAAATTGCTGGGCAGGTGGGGGAGGGCTAGTCAGGGAACGAAACTGTAAGCTGGACCGGGTGTGAGGAGGGGAGGTGATAAAAGGATTATAGGGTGGAGGAGGAGAAGCTGAGGAAGAATTGGGATCTAGCTCTGCCTGGGGAGGATGGGAGAGGTCAGATGGGTCTGTAGAAAAGGAAGATTAGAAAGACAGCGATGCTTGGGGTTGGGACTGAGGGCACAGGTGGGAGGGAAAGAAGGAAGATTTGGGACAAGTTGCATTGGGAACAGAGACTAGGGAGTGACCAATGTGTAAAAGAATGTCTGGACATCTGGCACCTCAGACCGTTTGCCTATTTTATGACAAGAATTATTTAGATCTTGTAGGATGGAAAAATTGAAAATGCCATTTTCCAGCTATTTGGAACTACTGTCAAGTTTGTTTTGGGGTCAAGCGGCATTGCAGAAGAAAATAAGACGCTTAGATTTTAGGTCAGGTGAGAGTTGAAGAGGTTTTAAGTTCTTAAGAACACAGGCTAAGGGAGAAGGAGGAGGAATGGAAGGTGGAAGCTTGCCCATAGTGAAGGAGGCAAGCCCAGAGAAAAGAGAGTAGAGACACGGAGAAGGGGTGGGGGGTTCTTGCCTTCCAGAGAAGGAGAGAAGGGGTCGCGGCATGGAAATAAGGGTTTGGGCCGCAGAGATAAGAGGTCCGGCGCGGAAATAAGGGATCGGGGCGCGGAAATAAGGGATCAGGGCACAGAGATAAGAGGTCGGGGCGCAGAAATAAGGGATCGGGGTGCAGAGATAAGAGGTCAGGCACGGAAATAAGGGATTGGGGGTTCTTGCCTTTTAGAAAAGCGGGACTTGCCACTAAGGGTGGAGGAGAAGGGCTTGAGGGATTCTTGCGTTTCCTCTAGAAAAGCGGGACTTGCCGCTAAGGGTGAAGGAGAAGGGGTTGAGGGGTTCTTGCCTCTCTTCTAGAAAAGCAGAGAAGGCGTAGAGACACGGAGAGAAGGGATTGGGGTTCTTGCCTCTCCTCCAGAAAAGCAGGACTTGCCGCTAAGGGTGAAGGACCAAGGCAAGCGTCCTTGCATGGTCTGACACCTCTGAAACCTGGGTGAATAATCAGAGAGGTGTCCTTGCAGTGATTAAACACAAACGGAAGGCTGACTTCCTTAGTCTGTGACTGGCGCCGGAGTTTTGGGTCCACGGATAAAACGTGTCTCCTTTGTCCTCACTAGAAAATGAAAGGAATTGAAATTAAGAGAAGGGAGAGATTGAAGTGTGGCACCAAGATTGAAAGGAGAAAGAGGTTGAGGGATAGTGAGGGAGGTTGGAGAAGAGAGTAAAAAGAGGCGGCTTACCGGATTTGAAATTGATGAGATGTTTCTTGGGCTGGTTGGTCTGAGGACTTGAGGTCATAGGTGGATCTTTCTCACGGAGCAAAGCAAAGGAGGACAGGGGATTGATCTCTTAAGGGAAGTCTTCTGATCCGAGTCACGGCACCAAATTTCACTCATGTCTGTGTGAAGAGACCGCCAATCAGGCTTTGTGTGAGCAATAAAGCTGTTTATTTCACCTGGGTGCAGGCGGGCTGAGTCCGAAAAGAGAGTCAGCGAAGGGAGATGGGGTGGGGCCATTTTATAGGATTTTGGTAGGTAAAGGAAAAAGGGGGGTTCTCTGGCGGGCAGGAATGGGGGTCACAAGGTGCTCACTAGGGGAGCTTTTGAGCCAGGATGAGCCAGGAGAAGGAATTTCACAAGATAATGTCATCAGTTAAGGCAGGAACAGGCCATTTACACTTTTGTGGTGGAATGTCATCAGTTAAGGCAGGAACCGGCCATCTGGATGTGTACTTGCAGGTCACAGGGGATATGATGGCTTAGCTTGGGCTCAGAGGCCTGACACTAACCTTATTCCATGCAATGCAGGTGTTTAGAACATTTGAATGTGTACTATATTTTCATAAACTAGAACGTGTTTAAAGATAACAATGCAGTTGGATGTTTAAGGGAATCATGGCTAAAACTTAAAACTAATGATTGCTTGCAATATGATTATAATGACCACACTCATCAAGTGTACAGTTTTTCCTGTTATTTTGGGTCTTCTAAAAATGAGAATATAACAAAATCGTGATAGGGCATCCATATAGATAATATAATGTGTTGGCTGCCTCTAAAGTGATAGAATTTTGTAGAGAAGATGAGGAATGATTATGTCTATAAGGAGAATATCAATGCATTTTGCAGTTGTTTCCCTTCGGGAAAATCTCCTAAAACTCCATAGCATGTTTCACTGTTGAGACATTTATTCAGGAAAATGTTTTCACTGTCCTTTGCTCTGGATACCCATGCTCTGTGCTTTGTAAATGTCTGTACATGCATGTTATACACTGATGACATTTTCGTCCTGGAAGTGTATTGTCTCCATAACTGAACACCTGCCACAAATCATAACATCAGACTCAGAATGTGCATTTGAATATTCTAGAGTCAATATATTAGAAGTTTTCAGAACATATTGCTCAACACACACAAAAATTAATCAAAATGTCCTGTTTTAGCTTTGCCAGCAATAGCAGGGCACAACAGAATACAGAACTGATTAGTTCCTTATTAAATAAGAATGGTGGCAACAGAGTTTTAAAATATCAAATTAGTTTAACAGAGGTCTCAGCAAAATGGAAAAACCTAAGCACAAGCTGGGCTGCAGACACAGCAGGGGGCCATCCATCTGTGAAAGGTGGAAATAACAAAGGTTCTTGCTGAGGTTGCCTTCTGACAAACTTTTCATACTTTGGAGCTGTAAAGAGTTCCTCTGGCTTGTTCTGATTTTTTTGAACTTTTCCATGGAGCAGATTTTCCCATTTGATCTCTGATGACACCAAAGAAATCAAGAGCACTCAAGACATTAAACCTGGTGTAGAAAATTCTCCTCCATCTGGCATAATCTTGGCTGCTGAGAAACTGGAGATGCACCCAATCTTGACAATAAGTAAAGCTATTGAGTGGCATCACCAGACAATCTCAGTAGCCTATTTGAACCACAAAAGCAAAGGAAAGTTTTAAATAGGCAATCACATACCCTGCTGTCTTACATATATCACTAGTCACCTTTAATAAATGGCAACTCATTATCTGACAAAGTAGAATTAGCGGTTTTCAGGAGCAAGAAAGTATGGGATAAAGATCTGTGCAGCTCCCTCATGTAAGATGAGAATCTGTCTGTGCAGGTTCTTCATCTACATGAACTTTGAATATTGGTATTCAATGTTAAAAGGTTGTTGAAGAGGTAGTACACACAACTTTCTCTAAAGCATAGCACCATCCCAATTTGGGACCAAATATATAATGAACTCTTAATGTTCTTTATCTATAGTTTCATTTTTAAGCATTATGAATAATCAATATCTGCTTATTACATTGAGTCCAACAAGGCAAGTGAAGAAGAAAAACCAGCTGTGAAACAGTTAAGGAGAAATTGCCAAGTCCATAATTTCCCTCTGTGCTGATAATGCCTCCAAATGGATGTATTATTTTATGAAGAATTCATCCCCAAGTTAGCACATGCCCTGAAAGATCTTTCCAAAGCCTTTAAACTATGTAAGGTGTTCATTATGGGCCTAGGTTTGGGAAATGGGGCTGTTTATATCTTTTTTTTTCTATTAAAATGAAAAATATTTATTATAAACCTATTTTTTTTGTTTGTTTGTTTTTTATGATACTTTAAGTTTTAGGGTACATGTGCACATTGTGCAGGTTAGTTACATATGTATACATGTGCCATGCTGGTGCACTGCACCCACTAACTCGTCATCTAGCATTAGGTATATCTCCCAATGCTATCCCTCCCCCCTCCCCCGACCCCACCACAGTCCCCAGAGGGTGATATTCCCCTTCCTGTGTCCATGTGATCTCATTGTTCAGTTCCCACCTATGAGTGAGAATATGCGGTGTTTGGTTTTTTGTTCTTGTGATAGTTTACTGAGAATGATGATTTCCAATTTCATCCATGTCCCTACAAAGGACATGAACTCATCATTTTTTATGGCTGCATAGTATTCCATGGTGTATATGTGCCACATTTTCTTAATCCAGTCTATCATTGTTGGACATTTGGGTTGGTTCCAAGTCTTTGCTATTGTGAATAATGCCGCAATAAACATACGTGTGCATGTGTCTTTATAGCAGCATGATTTATAGTCCTTTGGGTATATACCCAGTAATGGGATGGCTGGGTCAAATGGTATTTCTAGTTCTAGATCCCTGAGGAATCGCCACACTGACTTCCACAATGGTTGAACTAGTTTACAGTCCCACCAACAGTGTAAAAGTGTTCCTATTTCTCCACATCCTCTCCAGCACCTGTTGTTTCCTGACTTTGTAATGATTGCCATTCTAACTGGTGTGAGATGGTATCTCATTGTGGTTTTGATTTGCATTTCTCTGATGGCCAGTGATGATGAGCATTTTTTCATGTGTTTTTTGGCTGCATAAATGTCTTCTTTTGAGAAGTGTCTGTTCATGTCCTTCGCCCACTTTTTGATGGGGTTGTTTGTTTTTTTCTTGTACATTTGTTTGAGTTCATTGTAGATTCTGGATATTAGCCCTTTGTCAGATGAGTAGGTTGTGAAAACTTTCTCCCATTTTGTAGGTTGCCTGTTCACTCTGATGGTAGTTTCTTTTGCTGTGCAGAAGCTCTTTAGTTTAAATAGATACCATTTGTCAAGTTTGGCTTTTGTTGCCATGGCTTTTGGTGTTTTAGACATGAAGTCCTTGCCCATGCCTATGTCCTGAATGGTACTGCCTAGGTTTTCTTCTAGGGTTTTTATAGTTTTAGGTCTAACATTTAAGTCTTTAATCCATCTTGAATTGATTTTTGTATAAGGTGTAAGGGAGGGATCCAGTTTCAGCTTCCTACATATGGCTAGCCAGTTTTCCCAGCACCATTTATTAAATAGGGAATCCTTTCCCCATTGCTTGTTTTTCTCAGGTTTGTCAAAGATCAGATAGTTGTAGTTATGCAGCGTTATTTCTGAGGGCTCTGTTCTGTTCCATTGATCTATATCTCTGTTTTGGTACCAGTACCATGCTGTTTTGGTTACTGTAGCCTTGTAGTATAGTTTGAAGTCAGGTAGTGTGATTCCTCCAGCTTTGTTCTTTTGGCTTAGGATTGACTTGGCAATGCGGGCTCTTTTTTGGTTCCATATGAACTTTAAAGTAGTTTTTTCCAATTCTGTGAAGAAAGTCATTGGTAGCTTGATGGGGATGGCATTGAATCTGTAAATTACCTTGGGCAGTATGGCCATTTTCACGATATTGATTCTTCCTACCCATGAGCATGGAATGTTCTTCCATTTGTTTGTATCCTCTTTTATTTCCTTGAGCAGTGGTTTGTAGTTCTCCTTGAAGAGGTCCTTCACATCCCTTGTAAGTTGGATTCCTAGATATTTTATTCTCTTTGAAGCAATTGTGAATGGGAGTTCACTCATGATTTGGCTCTCTGTTTGTCTGTTGTTGGTGTATAAGAATGCTTGTGATTTTTGTACATTGATTTTGTATCCTGAGACTGCTGAAGTTGCTTATCAGCTTAAGGAGATTTTGGGCTGAGACAATGGGGTTTTCTAGATATACAATCATGTCATCTGCAAACAGGGACAATTTGACTTCCTCTTTTCCTAATTGAATACCCTTTATTTCCTTCTCCTGCCTAATTGCCCTGGCCAGAACTTCCAACACTATGTTGAATAGGAGTGGTGAGAGAGGGCATCCCTGTCTTGTGCCAGTTTTCAAAGGGAATGCTTCCAGTTTTTGCCCATTCAGTATGATATTGGCTGTGGGTTTGTCATAGATAGCTCTTATTATTTTGAAATACGTCCCATCAATACCTAATTTATTGAGAGTTTTTAGCATGAAGGGTTGTTGAATTTTGTCAAAGGCTTTTTCTGCATCTATTGAGATAATCATGTGGTTTTTGTCTTTGGCTCTGTTTATATGCTAGATTACATTTATTGATTTGCGTATATTGAACCAGCCTTGCATCCCAGGGATGAAGCCCACTTGATCATGGTGGATAAGCTTTTTGATGTGCTGCTGGATTTGGTTTGCCAGTATTTTATTGAGGATTTTTGCATCAATGTTCATCAAGGATATTGGTCTAAAATTCTCTTTTTTGGTTGTGTCTCTGTCCGGCTTTGGTATCAGAATGATGCTGGCCTCATAAAATGAGTTAGGGAGGATTCCCTCTTTTTCTATTGATTGGAATAGTTTCAGAAGGAATGGTACCAGTTCCTCCTTGTACCTCTGGTAGAATTCGGCTGTGAATCCATCTGGTCCTGGACTCTTTTTGGTTGATAAACTATTGATTATTGCCACAATTTCAGCTCCTGTTATTGGTTTATTCAGAGATTCAAATTCTTCCTGGTTTAGTCTTGGGAGAGTGTATGTGTCGAGGAATTTATCCATTTCTTCTAGATTTTCTAGTTTATTTGCGTAGAGGTGTTTGTAGTATTCTCTGATGGTAGTTTGTATTTCTGTCGGATCGGTGGTGATATCCCCTTTATCATTTTTTATTGTGTCTATTTGATTCTTCTCTCTTTTTTTCTTTATTAGTCTTGCTAGTGGTCTATCCATTTTGTTGATCCTTTCAAAAAACCAGCTCCTGGATTCATTGATTTTTTGAAGGGTTTTTTGTGTCTCTATTTCCTTCAGTTCTGCTCTGATTTTAGTTATTTCTTGCCTTCTGCTAGCTTTTGAATGTGTTTGCTCTTGCTTTTCTAGTTCTTTTAATTGTGATGTTAGGGTGTCAATTTTGGATCTTTCCTGCTTTCTCTTGTGGGCATTTAGTGCTATAAATTTCCCTCTACACACTGCTTTGAATGCGTCCCAGAGATTCTGGTATGTTGTGTCTTGTTCTCGTTGGTTTCAAAGAACATCTTTATTTCTGCCTTCATTTCGTTATGTACCCAGTAGTCATTCAGGAGCAGGTTGTTCAGTTTCCATGTAGTTGAGCAGCTTTGAGTGGGATTCTTAATCCTGAGTTCTAGTTTGATTGCACTGTGGTCTGAGAGATAGTTTGTTATAATTTCTGTTCTTTTACATTTGCTAAGGAGAGCTTTACTTCCAAGTATGTGGTCAATTTTGGAATAGGTGTGGTGTGGTGCTGAAAAAAATGTATATTCTGTTGATTTGGGGTGGAGAGTTCTATAGATGTCTATTAGGTCCGCTTGGTGCAGAGCTGAGTTCAATTCCTGGGTATCCTTGTTGACTTTCTGTCTCATTGATCTGTCTAATGTTGACAGTGGGGTGTTAAAGTCTCCCATTATTAATGTGTGGGAGTCTAAGTCTCTTTGTAGGTCACTCAGGACTTGCTTTATGAATCTGGGTGCTCCTGTATTGGGTGCATATATATTTAGGATAGTTAGCTCTTCTTGTTGAATTGATCCCTTTACCATTATGTAATGGCCTTCTTTGTCTCTTTTGATCTTTGTTGGTTTAAAGTCTGTTTTATCAGAGACTAGGATTGCAACTCCTGCCTTTTTTTGTTTTCCATTTGCTTGGTAGATCTTCCTCCATCCTTTTATTTTGAGCCTATATGTGTCTCTGCACGTGAGATGGGTTTCCTGAATACAGCACACTGATGGATCTTGACTCTTTATCCAATTTGCCAGTCTGTGTCTTTTAATTGGAGAATTTAGTCCATTTATATTTAAAGTTAATATTGTTATGTGTGAATTTGATCCTGTCATTATGATGATAGCTGGTGATTTTGCTCATTAGTTGATGCAGTTTCTTCCTAGTCTCGATGGTCTTTACATTTTGGCATGATTTTGCAGCGGGTGGTACCGGTTGTTCCTTTCCATGTTTAGTGCTTCCTTCAGGAGCTCTTTTAGGGCAGGCCTGGTGGTGACAAGATCTCTGAGCATTTGCTTGTCTGTAAAGTATTTTATTTCTCCTTCACTTATGAAGCTTAGTTTGGCTGGATATGAAATTCTGGGTTGAAAATTCTTTTGTTTAAGAATGTTGAATATTGGCCCCCACTCTCTTCTGGCTTGTAGGGTTTCTGCCGAGAGATCTGCTGTTAGTCTGATGGGCTTCCCTTTGAGGGTAACCCGACCTTTCTCTCTGGCTACCCTTAACATTTTTTCCTTCATTTCAACTTTGGTGAATCGGACAATTATGTGTCTTGGAGTTGCTCTTCTTGAGGAGTATCTTTGTGGCGTTCTCTGTATTTCCTGAATCTGAACGTTGGCCTGCCTTGCTAGATTGGGGAAGTTCTCCTGGATAATATCCTGCAGAGTGTTTTCCAACTTGGTTCCATTCTCCCCATCACTTTCAGGTACACCAATCAGACGTAGATTTGGTCTTTTCACATAGTCCCATATTTCTTGGAGGCTTTGCTCATTTCCTTTTATTCTTTTTTCTCTAAACTTCCCTTCTCGCTTCATTTCATTCATTTCATCTTCCATTGCTGATACCCTTTCTTCCAGTTGATCGCATCGGCTCCTGAGGCTTCTGCATTCTTCACGTAGTTCTGGAGCCTTGGTTTTCAGCTCCATCAGCTCCTTTAAGCACTTCTCTGTATTGTTTATTCTAGTTATACATTCTTCTAAATTTTTTCAAAGTTTTCAACTTCTTTGCCTTTGGTTTGAATGTCCTCCCGTAGCTCAGAGTAATTTGGTCGTCTGAAGCCTTCTCTCAGCTCGTCAAAATCATTCTCCATCCAGCTTTGTTCCGTTACTGGTGAGGAACTGCGTTCCTTTGGAGGAGGAGAGGTGCTCTGCGTTTTAGAGTTTCCAGTTTTTCTGTTCTGTTTTTTCCCCATCTTTGTGGTTTTATCTACTTTTGGTCTTTGATGATGGTGATGTACAGATGGGTTTTTGGTGTGGATGTCCTTTCTGTTTGTTAGTTTTCCTTCTAACAGACAGGACCCTCAGCTGCAGGTCTGTTGGAATACCCTGCCGTGTGAGGTGTCAGTGTGCCCCTCTTGGGGGGTGCCTCCCAGTTAGGCTGCTCGGGGGTCAGGGGTCAGGGACCCACTTGAGGAGGCAGTCTGCCCGTTCTCAGATCTCCAGCTGCGTGCTGGGAGAACCACTGCTCTCTTCAAAGCTGTCAGACAGGGACATTTAAGTCTGCAGAGGTTACTGCTGTCTTTTTGTTTGTCTGTGCCCTGCCCCCAGAGGTGGAGCCTACAGAGGCAGGCAGGCCTCCTTGAGCTGTGGTGGGCTCCACCCAGTTCGAGCTTCCCGGCTGCTTTGTTTACCTAAGCAAGCCTGGGCAATGGCAGGCGCCCCTCCCCCAGCCTCGCTGCCGCCTTGCAGTTTGATCTCAGACTGCTGTGCTAGCAATCAGCGAGATTCCGTGGGCGTAGGAACCTCCGAGCCAGGTGTGGGATATAGTCTCGTGGTGTGCCGTTTCTTAAGCCGGTCTGAAAAGCGCAATATTCGGGTGGGAGTGACCCGATTTTCCAGGTGCGTCCGTCACCCCTTTCTTTGACTCGGAAAGGGAACCCCCTGACCCCTTGCGCTTCCCAGGTGAGGCAATGCCTCGCCCTGCTTCGGCTTGCGCACGGTGCACACACCCACTGGCCTGCGCCCACTGTCTGGCACTTCCTAGTGAGATGCACCCGGTACCTCAGATGGAAATGCAGAAATCACCCGTCTTCTGCGTCGCTCACGCTGGGAGCTGTAGACTGGAGCTGTTCCTATTCGGCCATCTTGGTTCCTCCCGAGGCTGTTTATATCTTAAATTAACTTCTAGTCAGGCTTCACTCCACAACTAATTGGCATGACCTTGGGTGTATCTTCTCTCAAATATCCTTGACATCCATCTGCTGTGAAGATGAATTAGTTATTTAGGTAGCAATCCCATCTCTTGGTTTAGCCAATGTGCATCCATTCCTCTTTAGGCCTATTAAGCTGGGGATGAACTTTCAAGTTAATGCACAATGCAATCACTACCACTCTGGAGATGTCAGACACCTAAATATTTTCTATTCAGTAATGAAAAACCTCTTTCTAAAATAAGAGGGATAGAAAGAATAAAGGAGGAGGGATGAGGAGGGAAAAGTCAATAAAGACCTAGTGATTCAATTAAGAGTTTAGGTATCTGCCAGCTTTTATTAGGTCCAACTTTGACTTATACTGCTAAGGTCAGCAAGTGGTCAGTATGGATGCAGTGGGGAGGGTGGGGAGGGGGGGACCTGCATCAGAGTCTTAGGTAAAGGGAATATCAAGTCTCTTAAATGAATAAGAAGAGACAGTTGGCCCTGATAACAGGGAAAAAAAATCACATTTTTTTACTGGGAAAGGATAAATTTCTCCACAGTACCTTAGCCAGCATGAGAGACTCACTCACTACCACATGGCAGGTCAGGATAACCACCAAACTCCTTCCAAATGCTGACTCTCTCTCCTTATACACATACATGTACGATCCTTAGAGAAAGAAAAGGTGTGCTATCCATATCTGACTTTAAAATAACACATAATCTGAGGGATCTGGACGATTTATTTAGTAACAGACTATGAAATGGTAATACTTTTTTTCTGAATGTGATGTTTGTTCACTGGAATAGAAAAACAAATATATATTTTAAGAAAATACTAGATGGGAGAATTTGACCAGGTGCAATGGCATACATTGTCCCAGAATGTCAAAGCAATATCTATTGGGTAAACATTATTGTCTAGTTTTAGAGCTAAAGACATGGATCTCAGTGGGGTGTCAACCTTGCTTGAAGTAATCAGCTGTTGTCACCTCACATCCAAGTGTTTTGATTTTACAGTATACTTACTGTCACTACTATATCCATGCAGGAAGCAAACATTTATTCAGCATTCAGCATCTACTATACGACAGTCAGTGTACTAGATACTGGGGATACAACTGTGAATAAAACAAAAATCCCTGGCTTCATGGGTCTAGTGTTAAGCAAGTTTCCCCATGTTCTGTTTATTTTTCTTCTTAACACTTGAGAACAATAAGTAGATGACATATTTTGGTTTCCTTGCTTGTGTCTTTTTATGTCAAGATTTCTTCTCAATTATTCTAGGTCACATCATGCCCAAGCGAGTCACATTACTTTGGTTTCATCTAATTCTTAAAGTACCTACTCTGTGTTAGTGACTAGACCAGGCACTGGAGATGCATAAATAAAACTATGACAGTGAGAGTTGAAAAGAGAGTGGATTATAGATTTTAATGAAATAATAGGATTCTTATTTAACCTGGTGGGTTGAATACATTTGTTTATCCTACCTCCCTTTGAAACATCACTATTTTGAAATTAAAAGAGTATAAAAAGTAAAAAGTTAGAAGAGTTAACAATATAGGAAATGTTAGCAAGAAAAGGGGTTACATGTAAGCAGGCAGAGAACAGTTTTATCAGTGAAAAATGACTAAGCTTAGAGGGGAAAGCCAAAAGCTCAGTGGTTACAGGGGAAGGAAGTTAGGTGATGGTAATAAGTAGACCAGTTTGTGTTTCCAAACACTGGAAAGGCTCAAGAGTTGAAGGATGTGGCACATCAGACGACAGGGCCTCTGGTGGGACTATGAATAGGAGGATTGGTTGAAAATCTTCATAAGATGCATTTCATTAAATACTTCTCATCCACCACCCCACACAAAGGATAACACCATCTTCCTGACCTCCATAGAATATAGGCAATTAACTCTCTGGAGGAGCGGAATTGTTGTTTTGGGGATGCTGCACATAGTGAGGGGCAATTTTGAAATGATGTGAGCTCAATCCCAATCTGCCTTAAATCCCCTCCCCATCCATCCCATTCCCTTCTTGGACTCTGTGCTGGGCAGCTTCCAACACACACTCACTATTCCCCACTTCCGAGTGCTTGCATCCTTTTGGAATTCCCACCCTTGAGTGTGGCCTGAACCTGGTGACTTGTTTTCTCCTTAATGGAATATGGTAAAGAGATAGGATGTCACCCCAATGATTGACAAGGCTATGATGTCTGTCTTGCTAGCACTCTTGCTGATATTTCTTTTGACTTCTTGTTTACTGGGTCTGACAAAACAAGCTCTATGAAGAGGTCCTCAGAGAAAGAAAATAAGGAAGACATTTGTCCACTTGCCTGCATGGACCTGTATCCTGCCCACCACTATATAAGTGACATAGGAAGAGACCCTTAACAGAGCTCTATGATAACCGCAGCCTTGTAGGGCGACTGTGTGTCCTGGTTTGCCCCAGATTGAGGGATTTTGCAGGACCTAGGACTTCTGAGGCTAAAATTGGTAGAGTCCTGGGAAAACTGGGATGATTATTCATCCTACTTATGAAAGATTCAGAGCCAGAAGTCCCAGCTAAGGTATATCCAAATTCTTGGTCACAGAAACTGTGAGATAACAAATGTTATTTGAACCCACTGTTTTGGGCTAATTTGTTATGCAGCAATAGATAACTCAAATAGACTCCTAGAACACTGACAGATAGACTTGTACCAGCAAGTCATGGTATCTAGGTACTTCCTTCTGGGTAAAATGATGATGGGAAGAGAAAAGGCAAATAGTTACTTAGAGTAAGGGGCTTTCCTAACAAAATTCTAAGGTTCCTGTTCACACATCCCCACAATGAAGTCTACGTCTTATCAAGAGCTGCCTCAGCACACAAAGCTTCCTAAAGGCATTTTAACATTTATCTCTTAAGTGAACTGACAACCAAGATTAAAATGATATTTTAAAGAAAGCTTCTAATACAATGGTCAAAAATCAAAGGAAATGAATAGAAAAAGAAAATGCGAGGAAAGAGAGTGTGTAAAGAACAAAAGAAAATTTCACTAGAATCATTAATGCACCCATGGATCTACTCAGAAAAGTAAAAGAAGACATGTATCCATGAAATCATAACAAATGCTCTAAAAAGAGCATGAATGGAATAAATAATCTTGGAAATGGAGAATATTATGAAAGACATTAAATCATCACAGAAGTGTTAAAAGATAAAAGTAACCGTCTCAGAAAAGGAGAATTGAAGATATAAAAGGGAAAAAAGTATGAAAACATCAGTCTAAGACTAATAGGAATTCCAGAAAATCAGAGAACTGAGAACATGGAGAGAAGAAAATTATTAAATAATTTGTGAAAACCCAACTTGAAGAAGCAAATACTCCACACAGCAAATAAGAAAGACCCACATCAGAAACAAAGAAAAATTCATATCACAAAATTTTAGAACCCTAGGAATAAAGACAATAACTTAAACATTGAACAGGACAATAAAAACCCATATACGACAGATAAAAAATTAGAACTGCATCAGGTTTCTCAAAAGCATCATTGGATAATTTAACAATCCTCAAAGGAAATGATTGCCAATTCTGTTTCTAGGAAAAAAAAAGTAGTCAGTAGTTTACTGGAAAGGAAATGGGATAAAAGGAAATGCAGGTGGTAAAATGCAGACCACCAATGGCAGAAGTTTGGCTGAACTGTAGGAGAGACCTATGTCTGTTGAGCAAGGGCATATGTGTTTGTGGTAGCGTTTCATAGTGCTCATTAACATTTTGAGAACCTGATTTATTCTGGGCCCACAACTACATTGTCCTGTTCGATCCCTAAGTTTAGACATAGCCATATGACTTCCGTAGTCATAAATTTAAAAACGAAGTGACATATGTTACTTCTCCATATTCTGTTTGTCTGAGCACTGAACCCCGAAGCATTGTGTTAACATGGTGGAGCCTTGGTCATCCTAAGTCTCTGAAGGACCAGAATGAGCAAAGCTCTGTGACCACTGACAATAGACACATAGCCCACATGAGGAGGAAGTAAAGCTAGTTTGTTTTACAACACTAATATTTTTAAGCCGTTTCCAAAGCATGATTTAACCATCCTGGTGAGTGAGATGTCTTTCCTGTCCATTTGGATTTAATGTGGGAGATAATTTTACATAATCGTATGATAAAAAAGCACTAAAGAAGGAGACATAGAACATTCCAAGCAGAAGGACAAATGATAAAGATACAGAGGACAGAGAGACTGAAAAATTACAGAATAATTGAAGAATTAACCTTCAGTAAGGAAATAAACAGTTCATCTTTTGAGATAGAATGAAAAGAACTATCATGGCATAGAAATGCAGATATGATAATGAATAGGAAGTCAGTATTTTTTTTTCCATATACTTCTGTTTTCTTTTCTAAAAAGTGGGAAGTGAGATTATTTGTTGTGCATTGTTGAAATTATGGGGGAAAATGGTGGAATGTGAATGTATCAAGTTTAGTCAGGAAAACAGAAGGCATCTTTATTCAAATGCAAGAATGAGGGATTTTACTTCAGGGAACTGGTGGTTTCTACAAATATTACATATGCTGAGAGAACGAAGGTCAAGTGGCCAACATTAAAAATCTCAGCCTTCAATTATAAACAAGAGACTCCTAAAAGATTCTTATGAAAACTGTGAGAAATCTCAAAAGCCTTTAGAAAGATCTGACTAAGTATCTTGGTCTGCATAAGCAGGTGAGTGGTTCTTAAACTGCCACAAACTCTATCTACCTACACATCTGGCTACCACCTACACATCTGGCTACTGTTGCCTCCAGAGAAAAATGGCTTTTTCTCCCCCTCCACCTGGAAAATCCCACCTGAATATCTCTCATTGGCAGATACCGAGTGGCTATGGGAAAGGGGACTCTGGGAAGTGTGATTTCCTCTCAGCAATTAAGAGGACATTTGTGAAGTGGGCAGTAATGATGGCATATTGAATGTCCTTGTCACATTTTGATAGCTTTTCATAGTGCAAATCCTGTTTTACCAATGTGGAATTCTCCCCCAAAGCTATATCTCCTAGTTTCCCTTATTGTTAAAGACTAGACATGTATTTTACTTTCTTCAATTTGATATACTGTGAAAAGCTGATTCAGAGCAGAGTTCTGAGGAGAAGGAGGCAGAACACGAAGAATATGTCTTGCCCACACAGAAGACAGCAGCACAGCTGAGGTTGTGTATTTCTGATGTGAAAGCTCCCTGGGCATGGAAGAGGCAAAGCTCCTTTGTTTTGTGGACTCCTTTGGTGGACTAGGTCAATGGTGTGGCTCTGGGAGTTATTTCTAGAACCTTAGCCTAAAATCTGTTCTTCAGCCCTCCTAACAATTCCATAAACTATTTCTAGACTTAACAAAGACTTGTCTACTACAATCAGGTAGTGTTTTCTGTTTTCCTCAACAAAGAACCCTGATCAATACTGTGTGATTAGGGAGAGTGGTGAAGGCTTGGAAAAGCTGCTATAGGGATGAGAGGATAATTAGGGGGCATCTTAAGAGATGGACTGCGAGCTGATGTAGTTGTGTTGTGTTGACAATTACCCAGATGTATGATATTTCTCTCTAGCAGTCTGAGCAGCTTGTGTTATGAAGTGGAGAAGGTTTGCATTAACTCAACATTCTCCTAGTTTCACCATTTCAAGAACTGAAGAACTGAAAGTTGATGCACAGTCCCAGGCAAAGAAGTAATGGAAATGTAAATTGAATCCATGTTAGTTAAGGTCCACATATAGTAATGAGTTTCTGGGAGACGATTTCTTTCTTACAGTTTTCTTCACTTAACAACTAAAAAGCCATTCCAAGGAAAATAACTATCTCAATATCAGTTAAGACTTGTTGACAAAGATGGTTTCTTACATGTATAAATATTAAGATATTTAATGTGAGTCGTTTGTTCATTAAATGTTTCATGTTATCTAGAATAAGAGTTGCTGGAATTTATCAAAATTTCTCTATAATTCTACTTTGGTAGTTAATTCTGTCCTCACCCTACCCAAGTGTATATCACTGTTTAGAAAGTTGCTAATAAGAAATACGATTGGTCTGCTAGGTTACAAAACAAAGGAACTAATGTCCACAGCTGAGGTAAAGCAAAGAAACAAAAGACTAACTATAACATCACATTATCACTCTTTTATTGTATTTAAACTTGAATGTATTCAGGAATACGTTTGCAAAGAGGAAATTTGTGAATTTAAAGAATTATCTCTAAAATATAACTTTATATGTATTCCCAATTTTTCATTTCTAATTTCTCTAGACATCCTACATTTATCTATTCACAATAACTCTTTTCTAGATATTACTAGGTAACGGGGAGGTAGGAAAATTAAGCAGAAAAGATCCCTGCCCCTAATGAAATATAGAGCTTTGTAGGAGAAATTGACATTTAACAAATGATGAAATACATAAAGCATCAAACATTGCTATAAGAATGCTAAAGGAAAATAAAAATTAGCATGTAATGGGCACTATGTTTTAGATTTGGGATATTGAAAAGGTCTTTCTGAGAAATTTATGGTTAGTTAAGACCAGAATAATGAGTAGGAATTATCCATTTTAATAATGAGTGTCACTTATTTCCAGATAGAATAAATAGCACATGCAAAGGTCCTGATGCAAGACATAATAGCCTATCAAGTCCTGCACAGAAGCAATGATTTGAAAAAAATAATAAAACATGTTGTCAGGGCCGGGCATGGTGGCTCACGCCTGTAATCCCAGCACTTTGGAAGGCCGAGGCAAGTGGATCACTTGAGGTCAGGAGTTTGAGACTAGCCTGGCCAACACGGTGAAACCTCGTCTCTACTGAAAATACAAAATTAGCTGGGTGTGGTGGCATTCACTGTAATCCTAGCTACTCAGGAGGCTGAGGCAGGAGAATCGGTTGAATCTGGGAGGCGGAGTTTGCAGTGAGACGAGATTGCACTGCTACAGTCCAGCCTAGGTGACAGAGCGAGACTCCATCCCGAAAAAAAAAAAAAAAAAAAAAAAGTAAAGAAAAAGAATATGTTATCAGTTTGACATAATAGAAAGCACAATTCTTGTAATCCCTGTAACACCAACATGCACAGGCGCACACACACACACACAATGCATGCATGCTTGTGCTTTGTATTTTTTTGACTTCTAAAAGATTTCTTTCTTATGCTGGTGAATTGGATGGCTAGATTTCTAAATTTATATTTTAAGCCTCAAAATAAGTGTTTCAAAACCTTTAACCGATTATAGGTAGAGAGTCTATGCTGAGCTCTGGGATCTGAGTTGACTGGGTCTCCTATGGCCATTCATTTTGAATATGCTCTCCTGTGCCCGCGGCCACCTGGTGGTTAAGCCTTCATGTTTCTGTTGCCTCGGTGTGAATGGTCTATATGCTTGTTTCATTTCCTTTCAAATCTTCCTGGCCCTGGGTTGACCCTCTTTCTTGAGCCTCAGATTTTCTAAACGAGCAATGTTACCTCAAATGACTAAAAAGGATTTGAGAGCTTTCTAAGCCTTGCTTAAGCAAGTACGTTCCGAATATACTTCAAATCTTTCACTATGAATTGTTTGTCAGGGAAAGAACATTCAGCACATAAGTAGGAGGAATATAATACCCAAATATAACACTGTAAGAAGAGGTGAAGCCTGGAGAACATGTTATCAAATTAGCAGTGCCAGATTAAACAAACGAGGAGGCCTGTAATATCTGCTGGTGAATTATAATTGGTGACAAAGGAAAGTAATAACCATCAATGCTATTCCAGAGTAGGGCTGGCTTGAGAATGTGGTGAGGTGTTGAAGAAAAGAACTAAAAAAGGCACTGTGCTCAACTCAGAGAACAGGATAAAGGCAAACTTCATTATTTATGTTTTTGAAGACAGGTAGTGGAAATGCTAATTTTGCCATTTTAAAACTTACTTAAAGCTGAAATCGATGGAGCAAAAGCAAAGAAACCCATAAGGCCAGCCAGCCTTATGGTTCGGATAATGCCCATTGTGTGGTTCATTAATTGTGTGTCTCATTCATCATCTGTCCCTGTCCCTTGAGAGTTTCCCGGGAGCAGGGCTGGAGGCTTTTCCTGAAGTAAGCTGAGGATTTGGAATATGCGGCTCTGGGAGCTCAGGGTAGGCAAGGATTTCAACCCTGTCAAACCCAATGTCTCTTTTTTATTATAGACATTTTGTAGGACCCCTTAACAATTTTGAAGTGTATCTATTCCCATGCACATATGCAGGCTTTACCATAATATCAGCGTAGACAGAGAGAAAAGACTTTCCAGAAAACAGCAGTGGTAAAGAAAAATTATAATACCTGAAAGTCTTGAAAATAACATAAAATAGAAATAAAAGAAAATTAATTTATAATAATGTACTAGCTATACTATAAAGTTAAAAATTAAATATTTTTTATACTAAAACAATAAGTATTACAATATGTAAATGCTCAGGTATATGGCATGGTGGCTTAAAATGAGTTGCTTTCTTCTATATATTGAAGCAGTCTAAAAGCAATAGCCCCCAAAACAAAAGAATTCAGATATGCCGTAGGTGATTCAATTACTACAGGGAACACTGCTGTCAGCAATATAGCTTTCCAAAATGGTGAATAGTACTTTTTTTTGGAACTTCTGAACCAAACTTAAGGGTGATATTTTCTTGATTTACCTAATAGTTGCATTCCAGGGAAATATAATAGATATTAAAACTGTGCACAGAATACTTTTTTGTTTTTATGTAAAACTGAACTACAGTCTAATCACAGATAATTATAAGTAGTTTGTTCCTACACACTGTAATTGTACACCTCCATGATGGAAACATGAATATGTAGGCATGAACGTATTTATTTTTCTGACCTCTACATTTTCTTGGGATCTCAGTACTCATATATCCAAATTTCAACTCAAATATTTTTCCTTAAAGATATAAACAGCGCTTGTAACTTGGTGTGTCTGAAACCAAATTTCTGATATGCTCCCCACCCCCAGCCTTGCCCTCCAAAATAATCTCTCCCTTTCCTCCTTCACTATCTCTCCCTTCAGTGACTGTCACCTCTATAGTTCTGCTTGCTCGGGACAAAACTTTGGGCTGCTACTTAATTCCACTCTTTCTATGTGAACTACATCCACACACCAAAAACTCCTGTAGGCTCTGCTTTCAAAGCTATCCAGACTGATCCAACAGTTTTTCTACGACAGTTATACCACCTGGGCCTACGATGCTAACAGCATTCACCTGCATTATTCTCACATCCTCCTGACTGCCCCCTTTTGGGCCTGTCCTTTACAGCCTATTGCAGCACGCTGAAACGGAATTCTGATCACATCTCAGTCATTTGAAGCCCTTCAACACCTTCCGTGGCTCCCTTCTCACTGAGTCAAAGTCTATACTCCCACCATTTTTCCCTGCCTCTTCCCTTACTTCTCACCTTGCCTTCTCATCTCCCTTCACCGGGGCACTCCAGCCCGCTGCTCAGAGACACCAAGCACACTCCTGCTGCTGGGTTTTTGCCTGAACTCTTCCTTGCCCAGGTGTCTACATGCCTCGCTCCTCTCCTTCAGCCCTCTGCTCAGCGGGATACTTCTCATCGTGTCCTGCAGGGATGGGAAGAAAGGGCATTTCAGGCATCAAAGTCAACCT
Source organism: Homo sapiens (assembly GCF_000001405.40). Taxonomy (NCBI): domain Eukaryota; kingdom Metazoa; phylum Chordata; class Mammalia; order Primates; family Hominidae; genus Homo; species Homo sapiens. The sequence goes on from NC_000011.10 coordinate 127,792,387, forward strand.
GAAAACCTTCAAAAAATAGCAGAGACCATGAAGAGTACAGTTTGACTGTGGTTTAGGGGATAGAAAGATAAATAATCCTGAAAATCTTACCAGGAGAAAGATCTAGAAAGATGTTGAATCCTGGCTAAGGAGTTTGATGGTCACCCTATAGTTAATGGAAAGTTGCAGAAGTTTTTTTGTTTTTGTTTTATTTTTATTTATTTATTTATTTATTTATTTTTTGAGACGGAGTCTCTCCCAGTCGCCCAGGCTGGAGTGCAGTGGTGCGATCTCGGCTCACAGCAAGCTCCGCCTCCCGGGCTCACGCCATTCTCCTGCCTCAGCCTCCCCGAGTAGCTGGGACTACAGGCGCCCACCACCACGCCCGGCTAATTTTTTTGTATTTTTAGTAGAGACGAGGCTTCACCGTGTTAGCCAGGATGGTCTCGATCTCCTGACCTAGTGATCCACCCGTCTCGGCCTCCCAAAGTGCTGGGATTACAGGCGTGAGCCACCGCCCCCGGCCCAAGTTGCAGAAGCTTTTTGGGCAGGGAGTGAAATAATTTAAGAAGGTTCATCTGGACGAATGGTGTGGAATGGGTCACTAGGGAGAGAAATAGATATTGAACAGCTAAGCCACAGTGTTATTGCAATTGTACAAATGCAAAATAAAAAGGCACTAATATAGACAATTTATCATTGCATGAAGAGATTATCCACAGAGAGATTAACCATGAAATATGTCAACTGGATTGATTTGGAAGATAAGTGGTATTTGCTCAGTTAACACCTTCTCAGTAAGGCTGTCTCCAAACACTCCACTTATTCATTCAGATTATATTATTACTTATAGTTATTATATTATATAATACTATAGTAGTATCTCCCCACACTATTTTCTTTCTCTGCTTTATTTTATTCTATTGTATTTGCTACAAACTGAAATACTGTTTACCAGTGGTCAGCAAAATTTCTCAGGAAAGGACCAAATAGTAAAAGTTTGAGGCTTGCAGACTATACAGCCTCTCTTAAAACTATTCAGCTCTGCCACTGTAGCATGAATACAGCCACAGATAATATTTAAACAAATGGATGTGCTCTCCTCCAATAGAACTGTATTTCCCAAAGCAGGTAACAGGCCAGATTTGTTGCAGGTGGCTGACCCGTGCTCTGTATGACAGTTTGATTTTTTTTTTTATTTGTTTTACATTGTCTATCTCCCACTCTAGAATGTAAGGACAAGGAGGATAAACACCTTTGTCTCTTTTGTTCATTACTCTATCCGCAGCCTTTGGAGTTGTGTGGGTACCAAGTTAGCATAAAGATTACTATCTAGTGATTAGTCATGCGAAATTAGGTGGGATGAAAAGAAGATGAAATGTTCCCCACCCTTGTCCTATCCATACTTGACATTTCTAAATATTTACTAAAATAGACATGCAAATCCCTTAGTTAAAAAAATAAATGTTGGCTCTCCATTGCCGACAGATTCAATTTAAGCTTCTTAGCATGGCACATAAAGCATTGTTTTAAAGGAGATACCGAGGAGCTGGTGTAGAGTGACCTAGAGGAGGGTCATGTTTTTAAGGATTAGAAGTGCAATTATGACTGAGTCAAGTCAGCTCAAAAGGGACAATAAACAAATGGGAATTCCAGTATATTCATTTACGTGAGAAATCTATTAGATGAGCTGTTTTTGCATAGATGCGTCCCTGGCACCAAGAACAGAATCTGTTTTCTGATCAGGTCATTGCCTTCCTGTAATCGAATCTATTTGAGAAGAAAATTAATAATCAGAAGATTCCTCGATGAAGTAAGAACTGCCACAGAGAGATGTAGCTTGTTCAAATATTAATTATATTATTACTATAGATATAAAGGGAAATTGAGTTCCCTGGAATCTAGGTCTTCCAAGCCTTCCTTATCTAAAGTCTTTTCTTCTGTATTGTATACTGAATTTATGCATAAAATTTCATGGGAAAAAAAGGATTTACTCTGAAAAATGCAATCCGCTGAATTTCTTAATTTGATGATACAACCAACCATCTCATCATCTTCTGATGTTCTGATGAATGTTTTGGAATAAAACACACCCTGTTCACTGGGATGCGGTGCATGGAGAATGCAGCTGTTGGCTTTGATTCATTTCTCTGTGTGATTCTATTGCTGAAAAAAAAATTTGGATTGACTTTTAAAAAATATAAGTTAATATATTTAATTAGGTCATAGTCAAAGTCTTAATCTTGGAAAGTGCCAGTCTATTTAAATGGAATTTGCATCTCAGCTCTAATCCATTACATATTTATTTCGTATTATAACTTTCAGAGGTTAATGTTATCTGCCTATTTCCAAATCCTCATTGTTCTCCCAGTTATTATCCTCAAAACTCTTTATCGCACCTCTAGCTTCTCTCTCAACACAACTTACATTTGAGCTGCACTGAAATCCTCACTTTTGCTCAATACAAAGACCCAAAGACCTTATAAGCTGGTATCTTTGCATTCTTTTTTTTTTTTTTTTTGGCATGTGAAATGTTCCCTTCATCTTTTTATTTCTGTGTTTAGAATTTAAATTCTGAAACCTGGCTGGTTGAATGTGAAGCTCAGCTTGATTACTTCCTAGCTGAATGACCACAGGAATTTACTTCACCTCCCTGGGCTTCAGTTCCTCATCTATGAATGGGGGCACAAATACAACTTGCAGGTTGCAGTGAAGGTTAAATGAGCTCATTCCATTTCTGGCATATAGTAAGTGCTCAATCATATATAGTTCTCAGCATTTTTACTAACCTTTCAAGTCCCATATCAAATGTCACCTCCAGTGTTAGGCCTTCTCCAGGGACAGAAAAAGCAGTGTTTTGATGTCATTCTGACTTAACAGTTATATGGCTATCATTACACAGAGGCAAATGAGAAGACAATGAGACAATGCGAAGGCTCAGGACTACTGTTGAGAAACAGTCAGGTAGAATTGAAGGGAAAAAAAAAAGGTCATTTTGGAATTAATCTGGATCTTCTGGGGCTTTCCTAAGAGTAATCCACCTCTGGATTTCTTTCATGCCTCTAAGCAGTCTTGCCAATGATGAAATTCAAAGGCCAGGATAAAAATGCATTATTTTATTAGAGTTTTATGCTAATACTTGGTTAATGAAGGATGCTGTTCCCTGAGGAAAAAGGCACATGCCAGGTAGATGGGAGGAAGAACATGTCACATGGTGCAGGAATTTATGCAAAATTAACTACAGACACAAGTGTTAGGAATGGAGGAAATAAATGATAGAGGAGAAAAATATATTCAGCTAAATATTATGCAGTTTGACTGAAGCTGTGTCTCCCCAGTGTAAGGACCTCTGAAGGTACCAGCATCAGCTGTGACTTCGCATCAGTACTCAGATGTGCCTTCTAGGGTTCCCAGCTGTAAATAAAGCTGCTGAGAGGATAAGAAAGAGGAATTCAGTTTAGTGCATGCTACTGAAACTGTCCCTGATCCTCTGATCCTTCTCCAGCCTTGAGTATGTCAGGCAGGCATGGCCTTCTGAAGATAACTAACTATATATTAACTACATATCCCCAGCCAGTGGATGCATATTTTAATTTTATATGAAGCCTAAAGTAAACAGAACGAGAAATCTGTTATGAAAGGGCAATAGCTCTCTAAGCTACCTATTATAAAATAGTAAAGGAGTCGGTGATCCAGGGAGTTAGTGGAGACTGCTCCAGAGACATCATCCCACTGCACTTATACATCTAAGGAAAGAGATATTTTAAAGAAAATAAAAAAAATGTAATCTTACAAACAAACCACACAAGTTGGCACATATCTTCCAAATGTACCTCCGAATTTCCAAATTCTGTATATTTGCTCCAGTGTTTTCCTACACTTGGAATTTCTTCGATTTTTTAAATGATGAGTCTCAGATGATATTTAAACTCCTCCATGAATATTTTCTGTTTTTAGCAATCTCATCCTCTAATCTTTCGAATTTCTAGAATTTACTTGGCTATCCTCATACAAATTGCAAAAATCCTCACTGGCCCTTAAGAAATTATTTTCATTTCTCATTTGCTTTTTTATTTGTTAGAATTAACATTTCCTCCTGTATACTCCTATAGTAGTTTTCTTGTTTGAATTTGCGCTAATAGTCTATGGTCATAAAAGTAGTAGAGGTTTATCAGAGAACATTTGAAATATGCAAAAAGAGTAGGAAGGTAACTTTTAAAGTATCTTTTATAATCTCATTATGCAGATGGAGATATACGTTCTTTACCTCCAAAGACACAAATAGTTGAAAGCGAATGGATGAAAAGAAGATATTCCATGCAAATAGTAACCAAAAGAGAGCTAGGGTAACTGTTCTCCTATCAAACAAAATATATTTAAGTGTCAGGTCTAAGAACTTTTTGCCTAACCCTGGATCACACAGTTATTTTCTCATGTTTTCTATTTAAAGTTTGATAGTTTTAAATAAATTCAGATCTATGATTCCTTTTGAGTTATTTCATGTATAACACATAAAGTTTAGCTTGAAGATTTTATTTGGTTTGTTTGTGTTTTGACCTGAGGAGTTCAATTGTTCTGACACCATTTATTAACCAGACTAGTTTCTCCATTGAATTGGTTTTGTACCTTTGCCAAAAATCATTTGGTAGTATTTGTGTGAGTCTATTTCTGCAGTGACTGTTCAGTTGAGCTATAGGAATGGTCTCTGTCAATATTGCACTATCTTAATTACTGTGACTTGCTAATATTTTGCTGAGAAATTTAAACCTAAGTACATGAGGGATAGAGTGATCTGTAGCTCTTTTTCTCTCATGCTGTTTTTGTTAGATTTTCTTATCAGGGGTGTCCTGACTTCTAAAGATGAGTGGGAAAGTGTTTTCTCCTCTTCTACTTTCTAGATATTGTGTATATTGGTATTATTTCTTCCTTAATAAAATTTGTCCCTGAAACCATATGGGTCTATAATATTCTCTTTAAGAAAGATCATTAAGTACAATTTCAATTTATTTAACACATTTAATTTGTTTAATAGATTCAGGTGGTTTACTTGTTCTTCTGAATCTCGATATTGATAGCAGTAGGAGGCGGGCAAATTCCTGGGCAGGTAGGGACAGTCCCTGGTGAAACTTGACCTTCAAGCCAAGGACTGTCTAAGGCGTGAAAACTGAGCTGCCAGTTCTGGATAGAATCCACCGACCAGAGTGAGGACTCCCATGCTCATTTGGTGTGCTTCCTCCCTATTGGTCCTTACCTTTCACCTATTTTACATATACCTATCTTTCTGTAATTGGTCACTGGCCGACTTTTCATTTGCGTAGAGTCAAACATCACTCCAGTCCCCAATTGGTTGTGGGCCAAGCCTTTACTTCTGCCTCGAATTGGTTCTTTACACTATTGTGTCTGTTTCTGAATGGTGCTCTTTCCAAAACGGCCCGCAGACCAATCAACACACTTCTCCTCCTTCCCAATCCATAAAAACCCCGAACTTAGCCCCACAGCCAGCAACCCTCTTTAGGGCCCTCTCTCTGCCGAGAGCCTTTTCTGTTGCTTTAATGAATCCTACCCTGCCTTGCTCACTCTCTGGTGTCCACGTGCCTTATTCTTCTTGGTCGTGGAACAAGAACCTGGAACTTGCTATTCTGTGGGAGCACAGGAACTGTAGCTCTCCAGCTTGCCAAGTGTGGGTGGCAGGTACAGAGCTGTAGCACTTTCTCCCCCTAGCCCAACTACGGGAGTGAAGAAGCCACTGCGTGTCACTCCCTCCTGCTCCAGCGAAAGTAGGAAAGCCACAACAATAGCATGTAAATTTTGAGGAACTAATTCTCCGTTGTCTAATTTTGGGGTATAATATTGTTTATAGTATCCTATCATAATCATATTACTGTATGAATGAAATCTTCTCTTTCGTTCCAATGTGGTAATGTGGGTAATATGTGCCACTTGCCTTTTGTTTTGGCCTGTCTAGAAGTTTATTAATTTTATTTATCTTCCCAAAATACAACTTCTGGTTTCACTGATATTCTTTTATTTTTTTTTGTTTTTAATTTTATTGGTTTCTTTTCTGTTTTCCTTTTTATTTATTTATTAGGTTGGTGCAAAACTGCAATTACTTTTGCACCAACCTAATATTTCTGTGTGATCTGGTTTGGATCTTATTCTAGTTTTGTAAAATGGAAGCTTAGATTATTTGTGACCTTTCTTCATTTCTAATCTAAGCATCTAATGCTATAAATTTACCTCTGAGTATTGCTTTAGCAGCTTTCCAAAAATTTTTTATGTTGAATTTTTTATTTTCAATCAATTCAAAATACATTCTCATTCCTCTTGATTTGAAATTATCATTCGTCTTTAACAAATCGGACATTTAAAAGTTGTTTAACCTGCTGCTAGGATCTGAATGTTTGTGCCCTCCCCAACCCCTGCTCAAATTCATATGTTGAATCACTGATGTGATGGTATTAGGAGGTGAGCCCTTTGGGAGGAGATTAGGTCACAATGGTGAAGACTTCCTAAATGTGAATAGTGCCCTTGAAAATAGGACCAAGGGAGCACACTTACAGCTTCCACCCTGTGAGGACACAGCGAGAAGACATTATCAGAAAGCAGAAAGTATGCCCTCACCAGATACCAAATCTACAGGTGCCTTTTCTTGGATTTACCAGTCTTCAGAATTGTGAGAGATACATTTCTATTGTTCATAATTTACCCAGTCTAAGGTGCTTTGTGATAGCAGCCTGAATGGACTAAGGCACCTGTCTCTATCATTACATTTAAAATAAAATTTTTGTACACATTATATACTAACGCACCTGTCTCTATCATTACATTTAACGTAAATTTTTGTAGACATTATATAGTTGAATCTGTTTTTTACAAGTGAAATCTGAAAATCTATATATTTTTATTGGTGTATACTTCCATTTAACATAATTATTGACAATGGTTGGATTTGGTTCTACGTTTAGTTATGAATTTTCTCTCTGCTTTTTCAGTTTTTCTTTTTCTGTATTACTTCTGTTTCTCTTTCTTAACTTTTTTGTTTGAACATTTTGTAGTATTACATTTTAATTCATCTTTTGTGTTATGAACTCTATCATCTATCTCTCTCTCTGTCTCTCTCTCTACCTACCTACTTATCTATCCATTTGTCCATCTTCTATCTGTCTATATTTGCACTAGAGACACTCAAGTCTTCACAATTTATTCATAATGTTTTATCCTTCAAATAAAGCATAGAAATGTTAAAATAAAGGCCCCCCGCCCTTCTCCTTTTGTGTAGTTGTCATATTATTACATCTGTATACATTGAAGTATCTATCAGACAATGTTATAATTTTTAATTTTAACAATATTATGTATTTTAAAGAACTTAAGAGGAAAGAAGTAATTTATTAAATTTGCAAGGCATTTATCATCTCTCATGCCTTTCATTTATTCCCGAAGCCTTAGTTTTGTTTTGTTTTTTTCCTGTCATTTTCCTTTTGCATTAAGAACTTCTTTTTGCATTTCCTTTTTTTTTTTTTTTTTTTTTTGAAAACAGAGTCTCGCTCTGTCGCCCAGGATGGAGTGCAGTGGTGGATCTCGGCTCACTGCAAGCTCCACCTCCCGGGTTCACGTCATTCTCCTGCCTCAGCCTCCGGAGTAGCTGGGACTACAGGCAGCCGCCACCCCGCCCGGCTAATTTTTTGTATTTTTTAGTAGAGACGGGGTTTCACCGTGTTAGCCAGGATAGTCTCGATCTCCTGAACTCGTGATCCGCCCGCCTCGGCCTCCCAAAGTGCTGGGATTACATGCATTTCTTTTAAAAGAAGTTTGTTGACAATAAATTATTCTAATTTGTATTTTATCTGAAAATGCCATTATGTTACCTTCATTCATGAAGAGTTTCTTTACAGGATCTAGTATTTGAGCCTGACAGTTCTTTTCTTTCAGAGCTGCCTCTGGCCTTCAAGACTTCTAGTGAGAGAGATCTGCAGCAATTTGAATCATTGCTCCTTTATCTGTTATTTGTTATTTACCTCTGGGTTTTTATGAATTTTTGTTAATCTTTGATTTCTAGCAATGTGATTATAATGTGTCTGGTTTTTTTGTTTGTTTCTTTTCTTTTTCTCATTCTTCATGTATCATATTTAGGGTTTTGCATAGCTTCTTGAATTCATAAATTTGTGTCTTTCACCAAATTTGGGAAATTTTTAGCCTTTTTTTTAATTTTTTAATACACTAATTTCTTTTCCTTCTTCTCTTGGGACTCCAATAAGATGGACACCAGACCTTTTGCTATTGTTTATGAGACCTATTGCCATAGGTCTCTGAGTCTATGTTAATTTCATTTCAGTCTCCTTTATCTATATAGTTCTGATTGGTTAATTTCTATTGAGATATCATCAAGTTCAACAACTTGAAGTTCAAAAGTTCCTTTGTAATTTCCATTCTTTTCCTGAACTAATGTAGTAATTTTTAAAATTTCAGATCTTATAATTTTCTATTTCTAAAATTTACATTTCCATTTTCTTCCATCTGTAGTTTCTATTTCTGGGTTGAAAACTTGTATCTTTTCATTGATTTTTTTAAAAAAGTTTCCTTTCACTTCATAAAGCATAGTTGAAAAATTGCATTAAAGTCTCTAAGACTTCTAGCACTTAGGGCATCTGTTGATTTTATTTTCTGTTGAGAATTGGTCACATTTTCCTGTTTCTTTGTACACCAAGAAATATTTTATTTTGTTTTTGACATTATGAATATTGTGTGATACGAACTCTGGGTCCTGTTATAATCTGCTAGAGCAAAGGTTGGTGGATGTATTTGCACAGGGCCAGTTAGTAAATATTTTAGGTTTGTGGCCCACGCAGTCTCTGTGTAACTTCTCAGCTTCACTGCTATAAAGGCATGCATTAACAATACATAAATCAATGGACATGATTGTGTTCCACAAAAATTGTATTTACAAAAAAAGGATAGTGGGCCAAATGACCCTGCATTCTCTACTTTGCTACTCGCTACTGTTTTCGTTCTAGTTGTTTATTTCAGCAGGCGGTCAATTCATTTAGGTTCAGCCATAACATCTGTTTCAGCACCTGTGTTCAGTGGTTCAAATCTCAGTTCAGGTCTCCACATTTTTGCTGTGTCAGCTACAACTTGTGTGGATTCATGCACAGAATCAAGGTGTTATTTTTCTCCATCTTTCTCTGCTCTGTGATTCTCCTGTACTCTTCGGTCTCTAGGACTTTTCTTTCTTTTTTATTCCATGTTTTCTCTGGCCAGAAAGATAGGGTTTCTATTGATGTTTTACTGAACTACATTGACACTACTTTATTCATAATTGGAGTCCACACCCTTGGAGTAAAATTGTCAGAAAACAAAACATAATGAAAAACAACTCACTCCTTCATTGCTGTTGAGTTTTGACTTCACTCCAAAATCCACCTGTATTTTTTTTTTTACACATATGAAGGTCCAGGTACTTGTATGTTATATTTTCTCTAGAGCTTTTGGTTGTAATCAGTGGGAGGGATGGACAGTAGTAGCTTCAGCCACTGAAGAAGAATCAGACTCAAACAATTCACTCTTCACGCATAAATCTACTTCTCCACATAGAACATAAACATCTTGGGGAGAGGGACCATCTCAAATTCTTCATTGCATTTCTCTCACCTCTGAGGAGAAGGTCTTGAAATATTAGTTCTTCTGAAGTATTGGTTAATTGACAAGTTGGCTTCTCAGGAACTCAAGGTTGTTAGAAATAAACTCAAAAGTCATCTATTCCAAGCTATTTATTTTACAGTGAGGTCCAGATAGGTAAAATGGCCCATCCAGATTTGCACAGTTCATGAACATGGCAGAGCTGGGACTGGAAGAAGGGCCCTCTGCATGCCATTTATTTTTTATGGATGATGCCTCTTGCCATGTTCATGATCTAATCAGGTGACAAACATAAAAGAATTAAAGATCAGCTTTCCTATGAAGGACCAATGAATGGAAAAGAAAACTGACTAAAAGAGTAAAAAATACTGGGCCTAGAAAATTAGTTGATGCTGGGCACAATGGCTCATGCCTGTAATCCCAGCACTTTGGGAGGCCAAGGTGGAGGATTGCTGGAGCCCAGGAATTTAAGACCAGCTTGGGCAACATAGCAAGTAGCAAGTCCCTGTCTCTACAGAAAATAAAAAATTAGCCAGATGTGGTGGCATGCAGCTGTGGCCCCAGCTACTTGGGAGGCTGAGGGGGATAAGATTGCTTGAGCCTGAAAAGTTAAGGCTGCAGTGAGCCATGATCATGTCTCTGCATTTCAGCCTGGGTGACAGAGTGAGAATCTGTCTTGAAAAAAGAAAAGAAAATTAGTCAATGAAGCATGCTAGTCATTTAGAGAGTCTACAGTTCTAGAAAAGGATCCTTGTTTCTCACCATACCCTCTAGCAACCATCAGCCTTATTATCATTATTATTATTTAGGATTAAGTGAAACTTACAAACATTATTCAATCAGTTAAAAAATACAAATAAGTAAGTGGTAAAATCCCAGGAAAAGGGAATGCAGCAGGTCATAATTAGGAAGAACTGAAAGAACAGTACCAGATCAGGAGATGAGGAAATATAGCAGATCCCACATATGCAGTAAGTTAAAATAAGTGTACCAAGTCACTTTAGTATCTAGGGTGGAGAGAGTGTGTGTGTTTGCATGCACCAGCAGAAAGTGAATTTTTAGGGAAAAGGAATTGAGGTGTATTATCCACTTCTCTGTTTCTTTATCCCAAACCTGGGTAGCTTGTAGGTGGCTTTGTTCTTGTCAGTTGGGGAGATGATGGGAAAATGACTGTCATAATATCTAAACACCTTAGTTCTGAAAGTCTGAAATACCTAGCCAATCAGGATGTTTCTGTTATTAGTGCCATCCCTGTAGTTAAGACACTTAGTCACATCTGGTAAAAAATATTAATATTATGGAAAACATGTTACGTGGTCTAGGATATTAGAGTACTGTGTGTATTCATGGCTGTGGTATGGGATTTTTTCATGTGTATTTGTGTGGGGTGAGGGGTGGGGAATGCAACTGGGAGAGGTTCCAGGAAAGTTACCTATAGCAGTTTGAAATTTGGGACAAATACAAAAGCATTGCCTTTCTTGATGGGCACATAATTATAAAACTAATTTCACTGAAAATGATAAACCTGTATATAACACTTTTTAAAGTATATATATCAAGCACAGTTTTTATTACTTTCATATACATTGCCTCATTCTTCATTATCTCTGTAAGTGCTTTTTAATCCACATTTTAAAGATAAAAAAAACTGAGACACAGAGCTATTAAATAATTTGTCCAAGGTCATTCAAGTTGTTAATAATCAAACCAATACATTTTTAGACACTATATTTACTACACTTGTCCTCAATCTTAGCTATGTATTAGGATCACTTTAGGAGCTTTTAAAAATGTTAATGCTTAAACCACAATTAAATCAGAATCTTTTGGGGTGTGGCCAAAGCATGTCTGTCTGTCTGTATGTATGTATGTATGCATATATATTTGTATGTATGTATATTTCCCTTTTTACTGCTCCCCAGGCAACCTCAATTTGCAGCCAAGATTGAGAAATACTATTTTATTGTCTCCCATTATACATGATACATACTGGAAAGATGTGTGATTCTTTATGGACAAAAGGCAAGGCTGTTTACATGGTAACCATGTCAATTTCTTAGAGTTGGAATTAGGAAGGGCAACAAATTACAGCTACCTACATGGTGTACCAAAATTCATTTGGAAAATACAGGGAACAGAAGTAGGCAGCATTGAACAGAGGATAAGATTTAAGTCTGGGCTGTACTCTGGACTCTAGACCTGGCCCCACTGTTAGTATTCTTAGTCCTTTCACCTCTTTGTGACACTATTTCTTTTTTTTAATATTTAAATTGTTATTTTTAGTTCTGGGGTACAAGTGCAGGATGTGCAGGCTTGTTACATAGGTAAACGTGTGCCAGGGTGGTTTGCTGCACCTATTGACTCATGTCTATGCCACTATTCCTAAGCCTGAGAAATAAGTTGTGCAGACATTATACCTCAGTGTCCCTTAGTACTACTTTTCTAAGAATGGGTGACCATAAGTATGACCCAGTATAACATTTTTTATTAGTATTCTTATAATAATAATAATTATTATTATATTATTATTATTCTGATAGAATACAAGAGGGCAGGAAATGTGTCTGTTGTCTTTACTGCTTCTAAACTTATGCCCAGAGCAGAACTCAATTCTTAGTGCATGCATGAATGAGTGAACTTGACTTCCTTTAAAATAGCAACTATGCGGTATTATTCATGTGTATCCCTCAGCTCCTAGCTCAGTGTCTTGTTTATACTAAGTGTTCATTCGTTTTCTGAATCCTGAATTTGACCAAGAAAGTCAAATTTAAATTTTATTGTCAGTTTGTTTTATCAGCTCACATATTTTCTGGTTCACTGGCCCTTTCATTTGCATGGACAATTCAGAACTGACTTGTAAGAACATTTTAACAGCTCAACTGTAGAAGTTTATACATCATAAAATGTATACAGTCCTCATTCTGTATTTTCCACTGAGGTTGCCTCATTCCTTATCTAGTCACTAGCAGAGGTTCTCAACCTGGTTGCTCTTTAGAGTCTCTGGCACCAACCCAGATAGAGTAAATAAAATTGGCTAAGGACATGGTTATATTTTAAAAGATCTTCAGGCTATAAAAATGCTCAGTCCAGATTAAGAACAACTGTGGATATGTTACAGAAATGACATTGCTTTCATATTCTTTTTCTTCTCTTTGACTAGAGCCAGGGCTATCTAATCCTTGTGTTCACATTGAACTGATTCTCCAGGAAGTTCAGGCCTCGGCTTCATTAGCAAATAACAAAGGGCACCCTTGATGTGTATTTGTAGCTTCAAACCAGTTATTCCAAGATCCAGCTGTTTGTTCTAAGCATTTGCTCAGACTCATTTCATCAGTTAAGAGCTATGATCATATGGCTGCAGCGCTGAGACCAGGACAGCATGGAGGAGAAAGTTAAGGCAGGAAGTTTCCAGGTTGTATTTTTTCCACAGAATGACAATCTCCAGAAATCTGTCAACATTTTGCTCTGAACTATTTGGAGGACAGAAAACAAAGGACCATTAGATGATAATAAAAGAATATTGAGAACGGGTAAAAGAAACACTTCGCTTTGCATTCTCCTTGGTTTCAGAAATACTGGGCTAGAGCCCGGGGCAGTGGCTCGTCCCTCTAATGCTAGCAATTTGGGAGGCTGAGGCAGGAGAATCCCTTGAGTCTAGGAATTTGAGACCAGCCTGGGCAACATAGTGGGATCCTGTCTCTGTATTCTTTTTTTTAAAAAAAAAGATCTTCATAAATACTGGGCTGGGATGGGCAAGTGAGCCCAATGGGTTGGGCAGATTCCTCAACGATCTCAGGGAAACTTTTCAACTGAGAACAGCATAAGTACTTATTCAGATGTCAGGGTGATCAAATCAGCCATTCTGGAATGTGAACTGATTACTTGTGCCTTCTGTAAATGACCCACCATGCACAACCTTAGTTCTAACAGTTGGTGTGAGCTGAGGAAGTAAAGCAGCTGGAAGTAATTTGTTCTCCTTCTTCCTTTCACCCAGTTTAGCAAGTGTGAAAATCCAATTTCCTGAATGCTTTAAGGAAGATCTTACCATTCTTTCTTTAGAACCATCTCCCCATCTTATCTACAAGGTTGAAGAGGCAGAAGAGGTGGCTGGCAGGTGGCTTTCCCAGTGTGAAGCCCTGCAGGGGAAGGTTGGAGAGGGGATGATTCCTCTGGGGGCAATGCCCAACATCTCCCTCTGTCACTGCTTGGGATTTTAAAATCCCAGATGGCGGGTATCCATTTTAAGAGCATCTTCCTTCTGCGCCCCAAACCTCCTTCTTAGACATACACACAGAAGAAACTATTTGACATGACTTTCTGAAAATCTCTGTAAAGGGAAGGGCCATTGACCTGCTACTGATGGTTTTCCTAAAGTTGTCAGAGAACTCCAGCCCCCTTTTTATTTTACTAAAAGCCAGGCAGTCTCTGAAATCCCCAGGCCCTTGCTTTCTTCCCTCCCTCCTTTTTCCTTCCCTCCCTCCCCCTCCTTCAACCCAACTTCTCCTCCAGGTTTCCAGAGCTCTTGCTCAGCCTTCTGAGAAAATCTGAGAGAAGGAAAGGCTTCATCAGTCCTGTGATTATAAGTTACACTGTAACTTCTCCTAGCAGGGGCCTTATCTAATGGTGGGATAGGAGACATGAAGGACATAAATGTGCCCAGATAAGAACTGCAAGGCTAGAGATTCTCCCTGGGGCCTCTGAAGTCCTAATCTTGACTCTTCCTTTGTGTGAAACTGTTCGGTTGCTCTGTTGTACCACTCCCTATGGCCCCTCTCCCTGCAAGGAAGCAGTTACTTGGCTAAACAACCTGATAGAAATTTCTGTATTGAGTAAGATTAGAGTCTAGGTAAATATGTATTCTGAGAATAGAATAGTGGAATCTCTTGTTTATTTTGCTTTGTCTTCCTGTCTGTTTATGTTCAAATATCAGTTCTTGTGTGCAAGTCTGGCCAGCTGCCTCATTTCTAACTTCTTAAAGCTTGCTTACAGTGTTCATGCCACAATCACTGCCATAGTGGTGAAGCCTGAGGAATGGTAGACATTTAAAAAAACCGACAACTGCTTGAGAGTTATGACATTTTCTAAACTTTGTATTTTTCGAATCTACTGCCAAACATTATGAGATAGTAGCCTGCCTTCCTTCTCCTCTCCTTTCCTCCCTCTTTCCCCACCTCATCTCATCCTTCCTTCTTTCTGTAAATTATGTTGTTTAATATGTAAAGAACTTTGATAAATGCTGGGCTGGGAGGGGGAAACACATCCAGTCTTAGATTCCATGATGTTTTATAGGTCTTGACTATCTTAAGCTATCTTTTTTGCAAATAAATAAAAATGTTTTGGTTTATTTCACAAAATTTGTGTATGTGTTTTTTTATAGGTATGCAATATATAAATATATCTCTGTGTAAATATCTGAGTATACGTATGTATGTTCATATATGTGCTATATGTATATATGTGTATGTATGCATATGTCTGCATACAGCTCTCCTATTAAAAATAATTTACTCTCATTATAGAAACTTGGGAACAATAGACAAAGAAAAAATAATCACCTCTGGCTCCACTACACACAGCTAAAATACTGATATATTTCCTTCTAGCATTCAATTTTGCAAAGTCTCTCTTTTCACTTAGCATATTTTAAGCAAAACACTTTATTTCTCAGCCCTCTTCAGTCAGATGTCAAGTCTTACACTGAAGGTTTGAGAATGGTATTAGAATCTTCTTCTGCAAGCCAGGCTGGGACAGAGACCTCCCAGGACATGAATCTCTCTATAGGCAACTCCCATTGAGAAGAGCTGATCTTCCCCTTTTAATAAGGTGGCCTGTAAATATTAAATGGGAAGGGCTTGCACTTTTATCTCTCAAGCATTTTTTAATGTAGAAAGTGTGTAAAGGCACATCATTAAGATCTCAGGGGAGACATTTTAGAGCATTTTCATGCCCACCAGGCTAAAACTAAAGCTTTGAAGTCACCCCTCTCCGTGGGATGTGACTAATCTCTCTCATGCAGATGTGCTGGGCCAAGCCTGCACCGGAGGAATTACTATATGCTGGTGTGACTGATACTAAATAGCATTGACCACTTTTTTAAGATTTGACAGGATATGGAGAGTGTATTAATAATTTCCCTTTAATAAGGAATCATCTCTCTCCTTATGAGTTGGTACTTGTTCCTCTTCTCCCCCCGTGCCCCCAGTTTTGGCTCAAGAGCATTTCCTTAAAAACCTTGAATGGGATCAGGTCGCAATAGGGAGGAAATGCAGAGCCAGAGAAGTCTGCAGTGAATTTCCAGAACACTGTGCCTGCTCTGCCACCTCGCACAAATGGGATTGGCTGTTACCTCCCTACAACTTTTAAAAAGCTCTTCTTCCCTCTCAATCTTTTGTCAGTAGTGACGATAGAGCTAAATATTACGCACCAGCTTCCTGGGTCCCTCGGTTTTCCGGCTATTCTCAGAGCCTTCCTTCTTTGTTTTCCCGAACCCCTGTTCTCTAACACTGTTGCTTGCCATCTAAGGCCAGCTTCATGTGTATGCGGCCAGCACAGTCACACAGGGCCCTGCTCAAAAAGGCCTCACACTCAGATTTAATGCTCTGAGAACTCAGGGTTTCATGGAGGGCATGCTGGGGCTGAGAGCTTCAGCTGAGAGCTCCCACCTCCAGCTGCCTCCTGGCATCCTGGGCTGGGTGGCTGGGTTCTCTGTTTTCTGTTACCTTTTATTTGGTTCCAGTAACTGCTCACCTTGGCTCTCACTCCCTGCCCTAGCTTGATGGCCTTTGCCATCCTCTGCTGTCCAAGCTAGGTGTAGGCGAAGCCCTCCGTCAGCCTTCCCTCTTCCACTAGCAGGGCCTTGGAGCAGGTTTGGCAGGATCGGGTTTGTACTTAACACCCTGTAGCCTTTTTGGGTAAAGCAAGGTGGTGGCCATCCTTGCCCTGGCCCTGGCAGTGCCATGGTGCATTTGATAACTTGTTGGGGAGCAGGAGTGGGGGAAGTGTCTCTCATTTACCCTGGACCCAGGGCAAAGTGACATTCCCTTGGTGGTTGCCCTCTGTCATGGGAAGGGGAGATTGCATTTTCGGTTTGCTCTGGCTCTGCACATTATGTAGCTGGCCCTGACTACCTGGCATTCACTCCCCTCTCCTTCCTTAAAAGAATCATGATTTCCAGGGTCCATGCAACCATGTTCACAGCAGAAGTTGACCTTGGCCATGGCTGCCAGATTGGGCCTGACTTATCCAAGAAACCAATGTGTTACTCCATTTCTTAGCCATGAGTATGAATTCAAGAATAGAAATGTGATGTAATTCCAGTCACAGGGATTTGAGAGAATGTCTTTTGAAAAGTTTTAGAGAATTTTTTTTTTTTTTTTTTTACTTCAGAAAAGAAAAGACCACTCTTTCCCTTTAGCATGGATACTTTGGGGTTCAAATGTCATGGCTGGGCCTGATGCAGACGTAACAGGAGCCAGCAGACAAAGCCATGCCTGGGGAAGGCAGAGACAAGAGAGGCAAACAGCCTGGCTTTGTGAGCTGCCAGCCTCATGCAGAATCACTGCATTTACCCCATCTCTGGACTAGGGACTGTCCTTTAACACCTGCTGATTTGGACCCATTTGATTTGCAGCAAAATTTACCCTAACTTACAACACCCATTCTTCCTCTTTACTTTCCACTTCTAGTTTCAGTCAGCACCATTTTTCCTGTTGTAAGCTCAGTCCTCAAGTAAGTTTATACAAAGCTGCAAAAGACATACAATGCACATGTTTGTTTTCCTTTTTTAATTTTGAAATAGTCGGCAGTCTTATGATAGAAGCCTCAGAAAACACACCTGGAAGAGATGAAAATACATGCTCTTAAAGCAAATATGTCAGTCACTTTTCTTAGATTTCATCTTGTTTCTATATACCAATGCAAATGTAAAAAGTGTTTGATGTTTCTTTTTCTTATTTCTTTCTTTATGTTAAGAGATAGGGTGTCCCTCCATTGCCTTTTTGATGTTTCTGACATGACACCTCTGCCTCTATCACCTAAAAAGATACCCTGAGAAGAAAAACACAATAACTTGTATGTCTATGTTCTCTCTTGTTGGAGGCTGTGTATAAGGGGAGGGAGTTGATTGAGAGTGAGCAGGTCGTGCATACATACATGGTCAGCTGTAGTTACTTCTCCCTGTTTTAAGGGAGACTCTCCCATGTCTTCTTCTCCCAACAAAGTAATGTAATTGAAGGCAGAAACAATGTCTCACTCATCTTTGAAACTCTTTGCTCAAGAGAGCTGAGTACATAGAAAGTGCTCAGTAAAAATGTGTTGGCTAAATGGATATATGAATGGATAAATAAATAAATGAAACAATAAATGAATGAACACCTATTACTCCTACCATTCTTATGATTTAACATTTTATTTTATAAGGCCTTTTTTTCCCCTCTCACTTGTGTAGCTAAGTTGTAAGTCTCTAGCAAATTGTGAGTTCTTCAGGGGTTGGGAGGATTTATTAGCATCCCTATGTATAGGATTCAGTGTGTTACCATCCCTTTTTTACTTAACAGATACTTATTGAGTGCCCAATTTATGCCAGGTACTACTCTAGATTCTGAAGATAAAATGACGAACTAAATAGATAAGGTCCCTGTTTTGAAGAAAATTAGAATCTAGTGTGGGCTAACAGAAAATAGAATTTCAAAAAATAAATTAATTAAGAGGATAATTCCAGATCACTTGGGTTCTAGTTCCTAACTGATATAATGGCAAAATTAGGAATATGAACAAGGCAAGTGTCTGGCTGACGGGGAGAGGAGGAATAAAACTGTGGAAGTGAGTAAGCAAGGAACTGAAAGACAAGGAAGGAGGGATAACCCATGTAGATGTTGAAGTCACCAACAATGATGACAAGAATAAAGGTGGGGATGAAGATATTATGCCAAGACATAAAAACTTCCATGAAGGGAAGAAATGATGGGCAGTTGGTGATGACAAACACGATGTGGGGTGGGGAGTGGCATAGCCTGATGGCACAAACTCCAGAGGAGATAGAACAATGGATGGAAAACTGTGAAAGAATTGTTTGGAAGTGGAAATGAGGAGCAAGACAAGGACCCACTCTAATCATCAGGTCCAGTGGTTTGTGTCATTTGAGGGGTAGTAAAACTTTCATTTAGGACAACAGAGGAAAAGAACATTTAAGGAAAGATTGAGGATATTACAAAAGTTTGCCAATGGAAAACTGCAAGTTGAAGTTCCATAAGGTGCATTGGAAGGGAGTATTGAACAGTGGACAGCCGGGTCCGTTTCATCGATGTTCAGTGTGGAGATGGATGTCCTGGTGACAGTGATGATGCAGAGGACCTGGTTTCAATGATGACCCAAGAAAATCGTGATTCCATACAAGGTGGCTTAATTCTAAGCCTAGGTTCTGGCTGGCTATCAATTTAAGTTGGAAAATTTGGGGAGGCTGAACAACTGACTCAAAATTGTTATTCATAACTATAATTCTACATTGAATCCAAATTTATCTCTGCTTCGTGGAGAAGCAGAATGGTACAGCAGAGAGATTGCTAATGTGGGAGGATTCCGAAACGTGGATTCCAGTTCCAGTTTTACTAACTAGCTTCATACACTTAGTTACATCACTTACCTTCCTCACCTGTAAAATGAGCAAGCTGGACAAAATGACCCTGGATTCTATCTCTGAGAGGTATCAGGCTGGAAAATTGGTTGGTGTGGGTTTTAAAGTTGATGGTTCTCCTTGAACTCATTTAGTTTTATTTTTTCTGAAAAGCACACATTCATTATGAGCTATGGTTCAACAGTTAAAGCAGGATTTTTATCCCAAGTCTATGGATACTAGTTGCATGACCTAACTCTAAATTTTCTCTAAACCCTAATTTTCTCATTTGGAAAGTATGATAATAGTAACAATATAAATTAGTTATTATGAAATTAAATGGCAGAGTGCCTGGTAAATAGTAAACATTAACACATTTTAGCTGTTTATTAAAATGTGAGAAAAGTTTCTTGACTGCTTTCATTTAAGTATTGAAAATATATGATAATTATCCAATGCTTCAATATTTTAAGACATTAAATCTTCAGTATGTTGATGATTAAGTATATGGCCTCTGGTATTTATATTTTCAGGTGAAGAGCAGAATTGCATCTAAATCAGGGTGAAAAGTCCTTTCCAGCAATATGTGAATCCAATGACTAAAACTAAGTTATTTTTTTCTGTTTTTTTTCCTTTGTTAATTGTGTTAATTACAAATGCGAAGATAATCAATTGTTCCCCAAACTAGTTGTTTTCCTATATTTCAGAAATAAACCTCAACATGAATTTTCATGTTAAATTATCCATATCCCACAGTACAGTACAATTTTACAACTGTGTCAGTGGTAGTGGAACAAAATGGGTTTGTCCAATATTGCCTTTTGTTTTGACCTTGACAAAGAACAATATCTATTATAGAAATAAACTATGTAGGATGACTGGAAAGATATAACACATTTGGATCAATATATGAAGCTACACTATTCATCATTTTCCACATAGGTGAAATGGGGGACTCTAATATTATTCCTCCCTCCCACTATTTACCCATCGATTCATACATACCACTGAGACATTGGGGATGGTGGTGGTGAATGTTATCAAGGTTGAGAAGTCTTGAGAGAAAAAACAAAATCAGAAACAAAGAATGACTACCCTGGCCCACACATCCTTGAGAAAATAATAAAGATCAAGCCATATTTATGTTCTCACTATATATATATATGGAGAGGGCGTGGTTTTGTGTTTGTGTGTGTATATATATGTATATACACACACACTTATACATAAACATACTATATATATGCACACATACACTTTCATACATAAACATATATATACGCACACATATATGTACACGCATACTTTTTTCCTTTTCTCACTAGTATTTTAGTGTTTTGAGGAACAAGTAGAAAGGCGTCTTTAGAAATAACTTGGTTCAGTGTTAGTTATGAAGTTAGGAGAACCATGCCCATCACCTCTCTCCCTGATTGCCTGCTCATGCGTAATCCACCCCCTTTCATCTAGGATACATCTTCTTCTCCAACACAACCAGTCCCTTTAATGCTATCTCACAGCGTGCAGTTGCTTTGAGACCAGAAAAAGTATAAGCCCGTCACTACTTCTGGAAACCTAACTAACCACTCATGTTCTGAAGGAATACTGGAGAGGGTTATATGTGGGCAGAAATACTATAGGTTATTAGATCAGGACATAGCTAGACTGAATATTAATTTGTTTGGCTATGCTAAGCTATGAACAGAAAATTCAAGAAAAAGCTGCTCATGTGTTCTTTTGTTTAATAAATATGCCTTTGGAGCTTTCTTATGCCTATGCAGGAAGAACATGGTAATGAACAATATAGACATGGTCCCTGACCTTTCATGGTATGTGTGATCTTGTGAGGGTGTGATTTAGTTTAGAAGATATATATATATTTTTTTGTTGCATGTGTGCACGAAAAAGGCAGTTGGACCAGAAATTAGGGAAACTAGCTAGGAACACTAGTCCCAGCTCTGTTACTAAATCGCTACATAAGTTGGGGTTATACAGACTCCCTCTCTGATTAGTCTCCCAATCAGTAGAATGAAGAAGTTTAACCAGGTGATCTACAAATCCCTTTAAAATTTCCAAAATTCTATGACTCTCTGATTATTGCTATTTCCTGAGTAGTGCCACTAATATATTACCAGAGTAGACATAGTGCTTGTGCCTTTCGCCTCCTGCCCTGCCCCATGGGAGCAGTGAGCTTCTCCCAACACATACAAGGAGCAGTGCAGAAAGATAAAGTTTGGGAAACAAGGAGGAGCAAAAAGCAGCCTGAGCAGCACCCATCACTCAGATCTGCCCTCACAAGTCACGTTTCAACCATGCAAAGGGGAAACATGGAAGTTCTCCTTTGATGGATACAGTTGACACGTGGCCCAGGAACAAAAAGCAGAGGCACTGTCAATATGCTGTAAAATATTAAATGCTTACAATTTTGGAAATAAGATTTTTAAGTGGTGATATGCCCATCAAGATTTTTCAATACCTAATCAACAGTTAAATCATTTGAAATAAAAGAGATGAAGCCAGGCTAGAGAATTTAACAAACAATATTGGGATAACATTATTTCATTATACAAATCAAGACTATGATTTTATTTTTTCTTTTCAAAACACATTCTGTTTGTGTGTGTTTATGCTCGTGTGTTTGTATGTGCATATACATGACTTAGTTGACAAAAAGTTTCTTCAAAAATTAAAATCATGACACAGAGATGCTGAGGCATTCAGGGATGACTGTAGCCAAGGTCGTCACCCCAGTCTTGCCATCCAATTCAAGGTCACTGGTGCTCCTGAATATGCATACAGGCAGCTGTGAGCACTGCAAGCTAAGGAAACCAGAAAGGCAGTAGGAAACAGGAGAAAATCTCTAGCTTTGCAGGCTGTTCGTTTTCTTTAAAAACAAGAAATGACTGTATACTATTAATGCTGTCTAAGCCATAGATAAATTCAGTTGTTTATCTGGACGTGATGCTTAATGTATACATAGGTCTTTTAAAAATGCAGATTCTGATTTAGTGTATCTGGAGTAGTACCTAAGATGTTGCATTTTAACCAGCCACCATGTGATGCCCGATCGGCTGATCTATGGGACACATTTGAGTATCAAGAATTCTATAGATCCTGTTTCTAGGCAGAATTGCTTTAAGACACTTTCCTCATGCTCTCTAGGAGAACGTTTTTAAATTATATTTTACTCATTTGTTCCAGGACCTCCTACACTTCACAGAAAGGGATTTTTTATAACTAACTTGAGGTTTTTCTACTACAATCAGTCACATTTCTTCCCATGTCTTTCTCAGTGAAGGATGGCTGGCTCTCTGTCTTCTTAGATTTGAGGATAATGTCACAATATTACCCCGCCTCCTTCTCTGCCAGGATGATATATCCCAGGCTTTCTTTTCTTTTCCTTTTTTCTTCTTCTTTTCTTTTTTGAGTTGAGTACATTTTCAAATTGATTTAGAGATAGGTTTTGAATGTTTTTTCTATAAATTTCCCAAATTGGTTGTTTTCTACTGTTTATCTGTTGCCTATTTTGGATACAGGACATTCCACCATTGAAGAGAGTCCCTGGTGGCCAATAACACATCTATGCATCCCCAAGCAGCTACCATTTAGGGACATAAATGGAGGAATATATGGAGTTCCATTTATTTATTAACAGCGCTGAGAAAATGCCAGCATAGGGATGCACCGTGGTAGCATTCTCCAGATGTTGAGAAGTCTGGCTTGGTTTGGGGGCCACTGGTGATTATTTGTCTTCTAATGTAATCATAGCACCTGAAGGGAATCTTGGGTCTCCAAACATGAACAATGCAAA
Source organism: Homo sapiens (assembly GCF_000001405.40). Taxonomy (NCBI): domain Eukaryota; kingdom Metazoa; phylum Chordata; class Mammalia; order Primates; family Hominidae; genus Homo; species Homo sapiens. Next base: position 127,815,423 of record NC_000011.10, read on the forward strand.
GATATCTTGAATTGAATGACCCCTGTGGGTACAAGTCTAAGCTGACTGACTGTGACTGTAATGGTGACATTCATTTCCTGCCTGCTGCCAGTGCTGAAATCATGGTTAGACAGAAGAGCAGAAGTTAATTGCCTCAGGGAAAAGATCCCTGTGCTAATTGTCATGTTAAAGTTCACATTGCATTAAAGTTTCTAGCTCAGGTTTATCCCAGCAGCTGGGCTCAGATGAGCCATGGAATCTCAAGTCTATGCATAATGACTCTTCTCCAGAGAAAATTTCCACTTCCATTGAGACTGAAATGGGAAAAATTTAGTTTGAACTCTAGTTTGAAGAGCTCATCAGGTCCAGGAAGCCTGGAGTGAGAGAGGAAACTTTATTTTGTCTGGTGTGGGCCAGATCATACCAAGAGGGGCTAGCTCTCAGACCCAGAGATTCAGGTGGCTAAAGTGTCATTTATTAGACTTGATAAAGATGGTTATGAATCATGTTATCAACTCACCACAGTGGGACAGATAGCAACCACAACCAACTTAACAAAGAAACCCCAGGAAATATCAACATTTGATTGGTTTATTGGGTGGGAGGCAAGAGCTTGAGATCAGGAGTTATCTTTTTTTAATAGATGGGCCTAGCTCTATCACCCAGGCTGGAGTGCAATGGCGATTTTTATAGGTGCAGTCATAGCTCACTAGAGCAAACTCCCAGGCTCAAGCAATCCTCCTGCTTCAGCCTCCTGAGGAGCTGGCATTACAGGTGTGCACCACCACGCATGGCACAAGTTATGTTTTTATGAGCACTTAGCATATCAGAGCCACTCTCACCTTCCCCATAATCTGTACCCTTTTACCTCTCCTTCATGTTACATTTATTATACAAGGCAAATCTGCAGAGTAAAGTCACCAAAGTGCTGCCAAGATAACCTGGATTCTAATTATGAGTCCAAGTTAATCATTTAATAGTGCCACGTGGTCTCAGACAAATTACATAGGCTATTTAAACCTCAGTTTTCCAATCCTTAAAGTGGAAACAATAACATTTATTTTGCAATTTAAATTTGTATTTTACTTTTTTAGCATTAAATGAGATTGTATGTAAAACAATTTTAACACTGTGCAGATGGTAGACACTTTGGAAATCTTCAGATCTCATCTGTCTTGACTCCTTTCTTCTGAATCCTTCTAATCTGATGCTGTTTAATTGTGTTCTGCTTGAGATTTTTATATTTTGACCTAAATGTAGATGAAGCTTGTTTACCAAATATGAAAGTCAAGTCCCCAGGGATAATATTTCTTCATCTGTTTCTTTAAATTTCCCTGAGAGACCCAGATAGTTTTGTTTATTTAAATCCAGTTTACATTTTGAATTTCTGCTAGTGCCAGGCATCCTGCTGGGCACTGTGAAGTGCACAGCAGTGAACAGGACATGGCAACTGTCAGGAGGAAATATGGTATTTATTAGAGAACTAGCTAATTATATTATAAAGAAGACTCTGATAAACACCATAGAAAAGGTGGAATTAATGAGGAGGGAGAAATTAATTATCTAGTGGGAGTAATGAGGAGAAAGAAATTAATTCCTTCTCAGGAGGTAGGGGAAGACTTTTAGAGGAGGTGGTATTTATGCTAGACCTTGAAGGAAAGACCTCTATTTCAACCTCTTGCTCTTCTGTACCTTAAAAGGCAATCACTCTTTGAATCACGCTAAATTGCTAGTAGTCAAAAGTGAAACCAACCCATAGCACTGTCTGTTGAGTTCCTGCATCATTGCATTATGGAAAGAGCATTGGACAGTCTCGTAGACCTGTACTTCCACTTCAAGGCAAGGCAAAGGCATTCAACCTTTCAACACAAGTAGTTGGTTTTTTTGTTTTTTGTTTTTTTTTTTTTTTTTTTTGGCTATGGTTTGAATGTTTGTCCCCTCCAAAACTCATGTTGAAATTTAATTGCCATTGTAACAGTATAAAGAGGTGGCACCTTTAAGCAGTGATTAAGCCAGGAGGGCTCCACCCTCATGGGTGGGATTGGTGCTGTTATAAAGGGTAGGTTCAGAGCCCCCTTTCCCTCTCTTGCCCTCTTGCCTTCTACTATGTGATGACACAGCAAGAAGGCGCTTGCCAGATGCTGGCACTGTGTCATTGGACTTCCCAACCTCCAAAACTGGGAGCTGATAAGTTTCAGTTGTTATAAGTTACCCAGTCTCAGGTATTCTGTTATAGCAGCACAAAACAGACTAAGACACATTTCTTTGCAACTTCTTATATCTCAGTGTAGTTTAAAACCAATTTCCTCTCATTCAGTAGAAACTATATTGCTATATGCCTCATATTCCAGAAGAAAATAAGTTTTTTAATATAGTTAAACACAATACTATTTCACCCATTATTTTAAAACAATTATATTATTTGTTCATTATTCATCTTTATTTAGTTTTAATTAATTTGTTAATTAATTTATTTTGAGACAGATTTTCACTCTTGTTGCCCAGGCTGGAGTGCAATGGCGTGGTCTCAGCTCACTGTAACCTCTGCCTCCCAAGTTCAAGCAATTCTCCTGCCTTAGCCTCCCGAGTAGCTGGGACTACAGGCACCTGCCACTACACCGGCTAACTTTTTTATTTTTTAGTAGAGACAGGGTTTCACTATGTTGACTGGGCTGGTCTCAAACTCCTGACCTCAGGTGATCCACCTGTCTCAGTCTCCCAAAGCGCTGGGATTACAGGCATGAGCCACATCGCCTGCCTTCATTATTTATCTTTAAATGTCTTCCCTAAACCCTATCAGCTTCTTCATATCTCTTGTCTGTTGAAACATACAGAATTGGACATAGGGTGCTGGGGAGGCTGCAGCCAAGATTTAGAATGAAGAAACTGATTATCCTCAGCTACACTTTGCTCAAGGCCCACACATTGGTTCATGTAAACACAACCAGATATAAGCTGCCTTGAAAGAGTATGACCCTATGCACTCTCTGTCAATTGACCTAAATTCTAAATTGTCTCAATCAATAAAAATACAACAAACAAAACTAGCCTTTAAAGTGTTTCTCTAGGTCCCAAGACTGTGTCTGCTTGCTTGCTGGGTGGGTGGCATTGAGCTCTCAGCCTCAGAGCTAGCTGAGAAGCAAGATATGCTCCACTTGCCTCCTGCAGGATTTCTCCTTCCTGGGTTAAATGTGTTTAACCTTTGGAATAAAGCAATATGATATTCAAACATCTTCTAATGAGGCTCTTCAAGTTAGGTCTTTGAGTTTTTATTCACCTGAGTGATTTCCCTTAAGCCTGTAAAAATAGACAATTTCCAGGTTTAATACCATCTCTTTTCTTGTTAAGAAACCAGGAACCAAAACTGCCAGTCAGCTAGGACACTGTAATTGTGTTAGTGCTTTAGCCACATGAAAGCACAGACGCATTGCTGCTCAGGCTCAACTGAGGTATAGCTTTGGGTAACACCACTGACAGTATCAACAGCCTTTCACAGACTCCGAAAAGAACTGTTTTCTGAACCTGCCGAGAGAAGTAGGAGGCTACTATTTCTGTTCATAGGTAATATGCATATTTACTATGATTGTTCCAGAAGAAAAATTAACCCCCATAAATAAATCTGTTCCTAAATAACTACCTAAGGGAGTGTTATCTTTCAGGATAAATACTAAGGGGAAAAAGCATCCTGACTCTGGTAAAAGGTCCTGTGTTTGGATTGAAGAGACCTGCTACAGATGAGCTCCAAAAAAGTCTAGTTTGGTCATGGCATCCATTTGGGTCTTAATTTTGCTTGTGTTTTGATTTTGTTTTACTATGAGAAGGGATGCTAATCTCTTTTCTCCCTAACAATTAAGTATATTGTGCACATTATATAATGCAAAAGATGTAAAACGTCTTTGAGAGTAAAAGTAGTAGGAAAAAATTAGTAAGGCAAAAATACTTTTTACTTTAGCTCCCCAATTGTTTCGATGAAGTGAATCAGACTTATGTTGCATTACTTTCTCTACACCCACATCAAGGTTTTGTGGGTTGAGGATAGCAGGCATATCTGAAGGATTCATAGTTGGGAAACAACATGATGCTCAGAAAATCACTGGGCTGATGATTCCATATGGGAGAGAGGATGCAGGATCCTGGGCCTAGAGAAAGGGCAGTAGAAGTCCCGCTTTCCTGCGAATTGCCTAGTGCTTGGTGGTGTCCTTAGAATTACAGGGACAGGAAGAAACAATTACATCACATTTTTAAGCTGAAAGAGACTTTTACACATGAGCATCTCTAGAATAAGTCACATTGATCCTAAAGGAACCAAGAAGGTTCTGTCCTAGGGGACTGAAGAAAGTATATCTGAAAAAAGGGTGACCATAGAATTGCAGTTTAGTCTTGTTACTCATAGATGTATAGAGCTCTTTACCCCCAACTTGAGAAAAAACTGGGCACTATTTCTGGTCTTTGTCTTGACCCATGTTTGAAGCCAAGAAAGGGGACATAATCAATGTTTCCTCAGAGGCACAGAATTCACGGACCTGGCTTCAGGAATCCCTGAAGACAGCTTGGCCTGATGATTGGGCTTCTTCAATCCTCCTACCGAGGTGCATTTAGGCCATGCACAGGGAACGAGGAGTTCAGTGGTATTTTGGAGGCAAGACTCTGTGACTTTCACTCTGGCTTCCATCTGATTGGAATCACAATCTGCACAGGCCCTTATTGGACATGCGTCTTTTCACACTGCAGAATTCAGAGAAGTAGAGTATGGGCTTTGAAGAGGATAGAGTATAAACTAAAGAATAGGGCCTGGACTTTGGCGTCAGACAAACGTCAGGTCAAACCACACATCTACCCATTATCCAGCCAATGACATATTCTGTCTTCATTTGTCAATGGGTAATAATCATCTGTTTCCTCTGTGCTTGTTGTGAGAATTAAAATGCAACCCAGCATATGTCTGGCACAACTAGAAAGTTCTGAGCAATAGCTCACTTCTCTCATGCAATCTTTATGACTGGTACACAGCAGGCACCTTGCTAGTGGGAACAATGGTTATAGCTGAATTTGAACATGTTCAAGAGAAAATGTAATTTATGGTTAATAAAATGTTAATTTAGAATATTCCTAAAGGAGCAGGAACCTGAATTCTCTAAACATGGTTAGTATATTATTAAGCAACTCTTAGGACTCTACAATTTTTTTGTTTGTTTGTTTTTGTTCCTTTTGGCTTGCTTGTTTTTTTTCTCCTAGCTGCTGAAATAAAGATAGTATCAACATTACTGTTTAAAAAACTTTATTCACAGCAGCAGCAAATATCTCCCAAGCATCTAAGTAGCCTGGGGTCTTCCACGAAGAGTTGTATGCTTAATCAGCCCCCAATTCTTTTAGGATGAACTTGAGTATAAATTGTTAAGGTAGCTGCTTACCCTGGGAAATGAATTTCATCTTTCTTGTAAAAATCCCCCATCTGATAAATGAGAATATGAGGGTAATGAACAGAATCTGCAGTCCCTGTGCTTTCTTGTAGGAGGTGAATTACTAAGAGTGAGTACACCCCAAAACATGTCTTTCTGGCAACTCTGTCTCATTCTCTTCTCAGGAATGTCACTGTCACCTCTCACTTCCTGATGATTTCCCCACAACCCTAGCACGAATGCACGAATGGGTCCACCCATTCATTCCTTCTTTGCTGATGAACAAGCTCTGAAGGCTTAAACACAGCACCTGTTCACAGAAAGGTTAGGGTCCCTTCAGTAGGTAACGTCTAAGGTCAACTCACAAATAAAAAACTATGGTGAAAATATAAATATAGCCAGCTCTGCAGCACTGCTGACTCTCACAGCAAAGCTAACGAGGTAGTTGAGGATAAGGGTTCTAGTCTGGGTCAGCTTGGATTTGAGTTCCCTTTCTGCCATTTAATCATGATATGGCTTTGGGAATCTTAAGTCTCTGTAATTCATTTTTTTTTTTTTTTTTTTTTTTTTTAGTTTCTAGTGTGGATATCAAAATAGCAGCATTAAAAAAGTTAACATTTGGCTGGGCGCGGTGGCTCACGCCTGTAATCCCAGCACTTTGGGAGGCTGAGGTGGGCGGATCACGAGGTCAGGAGATTGAGGCCACTCTGGCTAACAAGGTGAAACCCCGTCTCTACTAAAAATACAAGAAATTAGCCGGGCATCGTGGCGGGCGCCTGTAGTCCCAGCTACTCGGGAGGCTGAGGCAGGAGAATGGCGTGAACCCGGGAGGCGGAGCTTGCAGTGAGCCGAGATTGCACCACTTCACTCTAGCCTGGGTGACGAGCCAGACTCCGTCTCAAAAAAAATAAATAAATAAATAATAAAAATAAATAAAAAAATTAACATTTAAATTAAAAAAGCACAGCAACATTACATATATACATATATATGAAAAGAGACAATATAGTGTCCCTCACAGCAACCCCTTGATATGTCTTTCTCTTAATTAATTCAATTAATATTTTTTATTACATGCAAGTGTCTATTGCTAGCAGTTGGGATGGAAAGTGTGGCATGGTTGATGTTATAATGGAGGAGAAATGTGTTGCAATGATGGTAGACTCTCAGAAATCCTCCAAGATTCCAGGAGGGAGGAGGGGAGAGTAGTTAAGAGTGGAGACACTGGCATGAGAGGATGCTCGCCAGTGAGGGCTAAAGAGGAGTGTTGTACACATAAAGATCCAGTGAACATATGGATTTCAGGAACTGGACAGTCTTCAGGACAGCACTGAGTCTTTCCCACCTTTGTGTGACCCAGGTGTGAAGAGAGGCTTTATAGGACATTCATGTGGCTGCTGGAAAGCCCTGCTGGGTAGTCTTTAGAGTGCTTCTGGGATGAAGCATCAATCCCATATCTTCTTGGGGTCCTTTAAGGGAGTGGTAGACTGGGAGGGGAAGAAGGAAGGACAAATGGAGATTAGAATCATAGGAGTTTCAGTGATAGCTCACCTTACTACAAGTTCCAATATCAGAGCAAGTCTTCTAATTTTCCCAGACACAGACAGGTAGCTCTGATGGTTCTGGAAGGTTCCCAGAGTACCCTGAGAAATAGAGAATTTGCATAATTTCTAATAAATCTTCTTATGTTTTAGGGGTAGACATACCTGGGTTCAAATTCCAGATTGGCCTCTTGTCAGCTGTGTAACCTTACACAAGTGTATTTAATTTCTTAGATACCCATTTTTCTCACTATAAAATGGAGATAATGATAGAATATAATGGGTTTTTGAGATGCACAAAAGACATGATACTTTTAACATATCTTAGTGTCTGACCTTCAATAGGCAGAAGCTATTATAATTATTATTTTTGTATTTATTATTTGAAATGCCTATAGTCTGGATCTATTAAGGAATCAGCCCGTTTTAGAGATCAGGTCTATTAAAGAAAAATGAACAGAAACTGCAAACTTTAACAAAAGAGAAGAAGAAAGGTTGGGACAGTTGAGTGAGATGAGCTAGTCTGGTAGACTTGGTGAAGGGCCTTCATGCTAAGAGGACGGGGTTAAACACTGGTGCCATTGGAGAGAATGGCACAACAAGGTTTGCGGGGAGAGGGGAGGGCATGCATTTAAACCAACAGACAGAGAAGATGCTTTTAACATTTCCTAACTTCCTAGTCTCTGTGGAATTGGGAGAATTAATGAACTAATATCTATAAAGTACTTGGAGACTACCAAATAAAAGAACTATAGAAATCCCAAGTAGTAGTATCATTTTATTAAACATTTATTGAACATAGTACAGAATATATAGGAGCTATACTTTCTGCCCAGAGGGTTTAGAACGTAATTGCAATATTTTATTAATCATCTTGAGGGCAGAGGGAGTTCTAGACAAACAAGTTTAACATATCTCCAAAGAATTAAAATAGATATTGCATCTGATCGCCATAATTTGCTCCCTGAATTTCTGGAATGCAATTTTATTGTCATTATACAATACAAGCACTTATACTGATACTAATGATAATGATACAAATGAAATAAATTATATGCCAGACACTTTTCTAGGTACTCCATATGTGTTATCTCTAATCTTGACAACAAATTCTGAAGAATGGGATTAATATCCTCATTATAAAAATGAGTAAATTGGGGCTTGGGGAAGTTATCCAAGATTACACAGCTAGAAAATAATGTATTCGGCCCTATAAAACAGCAGAGACAAAGATAATCTAGCTTATAGATTATCTATTTTTTCCCCATAATCTTTTGAGGTAATTGAATAGTCTAACTACATACAAGCAATATAACTCTAGTATCTGTCTATTAAGAACTAAAAGTTCTTAACATAGACTCTACAGATACTCTTTAAAGTTTCATGGAATGCTGGAAAATTCTTTGCAAATTTGTATTTCTAATGTGTTCTGCATTTTTCAGGGGAGTGGATTTAGACGCTTTCTTAGATTCTTAAAGGAGTTCATAGTCCAAATAAGATGAAAAACACTGAGCCCATCTTGGGCCAATTCTGTGTATTGGACAGGGTCCAGAAATATGCTTAGCATGAACCCGATCCTTAACTTCATATATGGCTCAGCTACTGAGGGAGTCAGGGATCTACATGTGAATGAGAGACTCAACGTTCTTGCAGCTTTCCCCAATTGATTTTTGTACTTCTTGTTTTTCAGTCACCCCTTGTGATCCAGGGATATTAAATATACTACCAAGGCTTGTATTAATCTAGTCCCAGGCCTGTGTCAAATACCATCTCTTCTGTTATATATTCCTTAACTCTCACAGAAAAGTTAGTTACTCTTTCATTTGTGTGTATCTCAGTATAAACCCATATTCAAGACATTATATAGCATTGTAATTATGTATGTGTTTATCTCCTTCATCAGAGTCTGCAGTTCTGTAGGGCAAGAGCAAGATCATAATTCAGTTTTTTTCATATCTATATCATGGGACCTAGAATATAATCAGTACTCAACCAAAGATCAATAAATAGACAGGTAGTTAGATAGATGGATATACTGGCACGTGAGTATTCTTTTTATAGTATTGAAAACTAAGATATTGAAGGTCATGTATTAGGACATAAGAACCTACTAATTGGCCGGGCGCGGTGGCTCACGCCTGTAATCCCAGCACTTTGGGAGGCCGAGATGGGCGGATCACGAGGTCAGGAGATCGAGACCATCCTGGCTAACACGGTGAAACCCCGTCTCTACTAAAAATACAAAAATTAGCCGGGCATGGTGGCGCACGCCTGTAGTCCCAGCTACACGGGAGGCTGAGGCAGGAGAATGGCGTGAACCCGGGAGGCGGAGCTTGCAGTGAGTCGAGATCGCGCCACTGCACTCCAGCCTGGGCGACAGAACGAAACTCCGTCTCAAAAAAAAAAAAAAAAAAAAAAAAAAGAACCTACTAATTTTAGGCCAAGTTGTACACAGACTTCTATTAGTAAAATTGGTTATGATCATGGGGAGAAGATGCCTGTCATACATGAATTGATGCTTTCCTTTTACAAATGGTTACAGAAGAATAATTCAATGTAATAGAATTTTGCAAAGGGTATAGCTTTTCCATTTAGAATAAAGTTAGGTGATTGGCTATAGTGTGCTATAAAACCTATTTCAGTTTTCCGGTTGTCTAAAAAAGACACACTCCAGTTGACTTTCCAGCTCCTGCTTTATGTAACTTGGCTTAATAGAGCAAAAATTTCTCACGATCACAAAAGCCTAATATTAGCACGTCAGTAATGTATTTAAGTTGCCACCTACCCATATAGGTTACAGATCCTTGGAGGAGCCTAATAGGACAGGAGAATTCCTGCTATTTTAGAATGCCATTGACAGTGAAGAGGATAATAATCTTAAGCAATCTATCAGGCTTACGTTTAGTGAAAATTCATAGCTTGTTAGCCTGGCTAATCTTTGAGTTACCTGTGTTTGTACAGAAAATCCTGTTATCTCTTATCCCATCTATTCCCGTGGTGATCAATGGGACTGTATTCACGGTAGGAACCAGTCCCGATGATGTCATCCTCATCACCATGGGAACACTGTCTTTTTGCAAAGATGAGAGTTAAGTCCATCCTAACAAAAGTCCAAGGGCTCTCTTGAAATATGATGAGAATTTTCCAGTGGGATTTAGGTATAATCCATGAGGGGTGACATGAAAGAATAAGCATTTATGAATTTTACTGAAAGCCTATGAATTCTAAGACTTAAAAAAGAAAATCTTATCTTCAAATAATAAAGAGATAAAAGGAATCCACTTTTACAGAGGCAGTTAGGTGTTTACCCAGTAGAATAATCTGTGTGTTTTATGCTTTCCTCAGGTGTATCAGAATAGCCTTCCAACCCTCCAATCTGCATTACTGCCTGGCATCTCAGGAAAACCTGGTCCTAGAACAGAGAAATGTTTTCTGGACTATTTTGGTATAACTTTCTTATTTCTTCAGGCTATAAAACAGAGTTGCACATTTACCACTCTTTGGTAAAGCATACTGACTTCATGAATTTGTGGCTCATTTTTTTCTCATTCGTTCAGTGGTTATTACAGCAAGAAAGTTAGGCCGGGCACGGTGGCTCACGCCTGTAATCCCAGCATTTTGGGAGGCCGATGTGGGCGGATCACAAGGTCAGGAGATCGAGACCATCCTGGCCAACATGGTGAAACCCCGTCTCTACTAAAAATACAAAAAATTAGCCAGGCGTGGCGGCAGGCGCCTGTAGTCCCAGCTACTCGGGAGGCTGAGGCAGGAGAATGGCATGAACCCGGGAGGCAGAGCTTGCAGTGAGCCGAGATCTGGCCACTGCACTCCAGCCTGGGCAACAGAGCGAGACTCTGCCTCAAAAAAAAAAAAAAAAAAGAAAGTTCTGAGATTTTCGCCCAGGCAAAAAAAAAATTCTTGTGGCATGAAAGATAACTCTTTGGTTTCTAAGTGGACATATTATATATTCCTTGGATACAGTATCCTCTGGAGTAGGAGGCCCCAAATTCTGGGTCATGGACTGGTACTGGTCTGTGGCCTGTTAGGAACTGGGCCACACAGCAGGAGGTGAGAGGCAGGCGAGCCAGTGAAGCTTCATCTGTATTTACAGCCACTCTCCATCACTCACATTACTCCCTGAGCTCCACTTCCTGTCATATCAGCGGTGGCATTAGATTCTCATAGGACTGTGAAGCCTATTGTGAACTGTTTATGTGTGGGATCTAGACTGCATGCTCCTTATGAGAATCTAATGCCTAATGATCTGTCATTGTCTCCCAAAACCCCCAAATGGGACCACCTAGTTGCAGGAAAACAAGCTCAGGGCTCCCACTGATTCAACATTATGGTGAGTTGTATAATTATTTCATTATATATTACCATGTAATAGTTATAGAAATAAAGTACACAATAAATATAATGTACTTGAATCATCCCAAAACCATTCCACCTCCCTCCCACTCCACCCCCAGTCCATGTAAACATTGTCTTCCACAAAACCAGTCCCTGGTGCCAAAAAGGTTGGGAACTGCTGCTCTAGAGGAAACCTTGTGTGTGGCAATGTGGAGGTTACAGAGAAATATTTTGTTTTATACTTTATTCTTTCACTGGAGTTTCATGCTCATGAGGAGTCTATTTGCATTTTCCATAATGTCAGAAGTCGTGGATAAGCCTATGAGAAGCTGAGGATGTGGGCAAGATCTCTGTGTTACAGCCCTAAAAATGTCTGGCTGGTGATTTCAACAGCCTCGGGGGCCTAACGAAGTAGGCAGAGTCCTGTCCTTTGATGCATGGAACCAATCACTCTGCTTTGGAAGTTGAGGAAAGGGTGACATAAGTACTAAATCTATGACTTCTGGGGTCATAAATCCCTGACTCTGAGATGCAAATATAAGAAAAATTGGACACTTAAGGAGTAAAGGCACTTCTAAAGTGCCTTTTATGTCTGAAACCTCTTATGTCTGAAACCCCAATGTCCCCCAGACTCAGGCTCAGAGAAGCAGACTAGCTTACTTAAAATCCCAGAATTGATGGATGATAGAACAGAATTTGAATCTGTACTCTGAGATCCATGCCAAAAAATTTTAGTCCTTTTTAGTAAAAAGATTCAAAGCTGTTAAAGCGGTTCTTGTATTTTATCCAGATAGCATTCTAGTCTGTGAGTTGCTTACCACATGTGCTTTATTCCCCACCTCACCACATGTTATACTTTCATCTTCACTAAAGACACTGCAATATCAATGATGCAAAAGTTCATCTATTATTTTTCCAACATTAATAAGAGACAGGAAAGATCAGCAAAGTTACAAAGTGGAGAAAACCTGAACATTTACTTAGCTTCAGCATTGAATCCAGTGTAATTTTTGAAACCGATTAATTTTGGAAAGCTTTTGAAATTTTGCACTTACTTGGAGATTATAGGAAATTGAATTAAGAGGCTCTTTGACTCTTTGCTAGCTGGGATATAGATCATAGCTCAGACTGGCTGCTGCCTTATGTTGGCAAAGTAATTTGGGCAATTCATCCACAGCCTGCCTTTTGATCTGTTAACATAGAGGTAAGAACCCATGATGGGTTTAGTCTTATTGGTTGGGTGCTCAAGTGCTTGTGAGAACTAGAATGCTGTGATATCGCAGGCATAGTTCAATATGTGGCCCATAGTGTTGCTAATAAAGAACCCTTCTAAAATGCAAAGCTGATTGTTACTCTCATTCTCCACCCCAACACTCTAGTAACTTTATTTTCCATCAGAACAACGCCAAGCTCCTTTTTCTGACATTCAGGTTAACCACAATCTGGCCCCACTTCACATCTATCAGCTACCCTTTCTACTACACAGACCAGCACCTGCTCCTTTGCAAATGCCAAATTCTTCATTTGGGATTTTATACTCCTCACTTCTCCAGGAACTTCAGGAAGCCTTCTCCCTGTCTGCCTGAGTTTTGTAGGAACTTTTTCTTTACTATCATAGCATCTTATATATGGTATTCAGCACACTGTATTGTAATCAGTGGTTTTCTTGTACATACCACTGTAATTCCAAGACTCTGGGAGCAGGCACTCTCCTACCTAATCACATATTTATTCCAAGTATTTACCTTGGTATATTTAGTAAAACAGTAAATGAATACTCAGGGTTCATACTTCAGGAAGACACTGGGGATGCAAAGTATACAATGGGACTTGACTTGTTTATCACAATTGTATAATTTTTGAATCTCAACTTTTGAAACCTAAGTAACCTATGTGCCAGGAAGAAACATGCACCTTTGCTCTGGGCATATTCTATGACTTTACATTTGTAAACTGGCATTTGTGGTTCAGTTTCAGGTACCAACTGAATCCCCAGGTTCTAAGCTACAGCAAGATCGAAGGTGAATTAAAAAAAGGGCAGCTGAGTATAGGCTCTAGAAGCAAACATGTAAAATTCAGAAGGGGTCAACTGGTGAGCTGACTGGGGGGAAATGATGGCCATGTCCAGAAAGCAGTTAAATGTCAGTACCAGCATGTCATGAATAAAAGAAAGAGCCACACTGTTTATTCGGAAAATCTCCACAGAGATAGAAAGTGGGCAGACTCTAGAAATGTTCAAAATAGCCATAGCCCTTTAGGGTATATTTTCCACCTCCAATAATGCATTAATTTATTTTTCCTTGCATATCAGTTCCTTCCACAGATTTTATTATCTTTCAGGGTGCCACTAACTTCCCAATAACCTAAAAACATGACACTTAAAGATTTGAGTGATCTCTTATTTCCAGGAGGGAAGAAGAAAGAAGAAAGTTATGGTTGGGATATGGTTGTTTACATAATTGGCTACAGGGAAGTTGCTTATTTGCTCAGAACCAGAGGTGGCGCCTCACAGAAGCATTGTTTCTTTGGATAAAAAAGATAAATAGAGAAGGTGTGGTGCCCACTGGAGATGCATCAGCAATCTGAGAGGAGTAAGTACAAGGGGGGAGATTGAGAATCTTAAAAAAAAAAGAAACTAGATAAGCAAAACCATATTTTATCTCTCTCTGCACCATATGTATCATCTATTAAATTAGCTGCACTTGAGGATACAGTTAGAAAAAAGTAGTCTATCCACAGTATGCCTTGGAATAGAGCAGAAAAAGCAAAACAAATGAAAACATTAAATTCATACAAAGTGTCTCTAAAAAAATAAAGATATAAAATGGGAATCAAACCTTTTAACCTCTGGTTTCTGGTCTGGCATGTAAAAAGGTTAGAAATTACTTTTCCATTTTAACAACATGTAAAAGGCTGAACAAACTGAAAAGAAATAAGCAACTGTGCGTAGATCCATCACAGGGCAAACTGCTGCTCCTAAATTGGCAAGATCAACAGACAAACACAGAGAAGCGCAACTTACTGGAGCAAAAACCCCATAGGGAAAACCACTATGGGAATCAGTGCCAGGGTAGGAAAAATCTAAACTGTAATTGACAAATGCTTGAGGGTTAGTGTGGACAAGTCTGAGAGATTAAAAACTTTAGCTTCTTATTAAGTCCTGCCCTCGAGAGAAACTTTTTTATTTATTATTATTATTCTTTTGAGATAGGGGTCTCACCATCTGGTGAGACCAGCCCAGGCTGGTCTCAAATTCCTAGGCTCAAGAAATCCTCCTGCCTCAGCCTCTTGAGTAGCTGTGATTACAGACACGTTACTATGTTTAGGGGAAACGATTTAATCATACCCTAACCTGCCAATGTTTTATCAAAGCCTGACTAACCCAGGGGAAGGAGAATGCCCAATTCCAGCTCCATCTAGCCATCCTGCCTGACTTACCACAGCAGGAGGAACTGAGAAGCACTGGTGAAATTCACAGTTCAAGGGCAGAGGCTCATCAAAAGACTGATACCTACTCATAGAGCTATCAAACTCTTCCCCTCCCCCTGCATCTTACCATATTACTAAGACCTATTTACTACCTAGTACATCATGTCCACCTTTTAACAACAGCAACAACAAAATTCTAAAGCACGCTAAAAAGCAAAAACAGTTTGGAGAGAGGGAACATGCATCAGGACCAGAGTCAGATACAGCAAGACTTGGAATGATCAGACCAGGAATTAAAAAGCATATAACCTAAGGATTTTAATGAACAAACACAGACAACATGCAAGAACAGGTGAATACTATAAAAAGAGAAATGCAAATTATAAGAAAAAATAAGAAATGCTAGAAATTAAAAACTTAACAAATAAATAATGCCTTTGGTGGGCTCATTAGTAGACTGGACTCAGAAAAGAAACTCTGAATTTGAAGATATCTCAATAGAAACCTCCAAAACTGAAGAGCAAAGACAAAATACTAAAAAAGAATTTCTAAGAACTATGGGACAACTACAAAAGGTGCAACATATACCTCATGAGAATACAAGGAGGTGGGGAGGGAGGGAGAGAGAGAGAGAGAAATGAATCTAAAAAAATTAAAACAGTAATGACTGAGAACTTCCTTCAATTATTATAAGACACAAAGCTACAAATCCAGAATGTGCAGAAAACACCAAGCAGAATAAATGCTGAAAAACCTACACCTAGGAATACCAGATTCAAACTGCAGAAAGTCAAATATATAGAAAAATATCTTCAAAGAATCTGGGTGAGTGGAAGGCCAGGGAGATCTCTTACCTACAAAGGAACGAATATAAAAATTACATCTGACTTCAGAAGCCATGCAAGAAAAAAGAGAGTGGAATAAAATACTTAAGGTGTTGAGAAAAAACAACAACAAAGGAACAAACAAACAAGAAGCCCCACCAACTTAGAATTCTGTGCACTATAAAATTAGTCTTCAAAAGTGAAGGAGGAAAAAAATACTTTATCAGGCAAACAAACATGGAGGAAATTTGTTGTCAGTAGACCTGTCTTACAAGAAATGTTAAAAGAAGATCTCTACAGAGAAGAAAAATAATATAGATTAGAAACTCAAAACTACATAAAGAAGGGATAAAAGAGGCATACCACAGAATGAATACATAAAGGTAAAATAAAAACTTTTATTTTTCTTATTCTTAGTTGATCTAATAGATAGCTATTTGTTTAAATAATAATAGCAACAAAGTATTTGTGTACATACACACATGCTTATGGACACTTATAGATATATATAAGTGAAATGAATAACAGTGATGATACAACAAACAGGAAAGAAGAATTAGAAAAATTTTGTTATCATGAAGTACTTGTGGTACCTGTGAACTGGAATAGTGTTATTCAAAAAGAGACTTGGATTCGTTGTAATATATGTCACAAACTCTATGGCACCTATTTTAAAAAGTGAAAAAGAGAAATATAATTGACTAAGAAAGGGGAGATAATGAAATTCTATAAAATGATCAATTAAAACCACAACAGGCAGAAAAAGTGTGGAAGACAAAAATAAGAACAAAGAGAAAAGGCAGCAAAGAGAAAACAGTCACAAATATGGTAGATATTAACTCAACTATATTGACTTTAAATATTAACAGCCTAAATATGCCAATTAAAAGACAGAGATTGTCAGAGTGAATGAGAAACAAAACCCATGTATATGTTGTCTATAAGAAATCACTTTAAATATAAAGGTGCATATATATTAAAAGTATAGGGGCGAGACAAGCTATATCTAGCTAATGCTAATCAAAAGAAAGCAGAAGTAGCTATATTAATTTCAGATAGAGCAGCCTTGCAAGAAGACATAATAATCCTTAATATGTATGTACCTAACAATAGAACACCCAAATGTATGAGTCAAAAACTGATAAAGTTACAAAAAGAAATAGAGTAATTCATTATTACGATTGAAGACTTTAACACTCCGGCAGGCAAGAAATCAGTAAGGACATGGTTGAACTCAAAATCATCAATCAACTGGAAATAATTGACATCTATAGACTATTTTGTCTAACAACAGCTGATTACGCATTCTTCTCAGTCTCACATAGAATGTTTATCAAGATAGATCGCATTCTGAACCATAAAATACATCTTAACAAATTAAAAGGAAGATATATCATACAGGATCTGCTTTCAGACCACAATGGAATTAAACTAGAAATCAATAACAGAAAAATAGTTGGAAAATCCCAAAATACGTGGAGCGTAAACATCATGCTTCTAAATAACAACTGGGTCAAAGAAGAAATCTTAAGAAAAAATTTAAAAATGTTTTGAACTAAATAAAAATTAAAATATGAATTGCCAAAATTTGTGAGATACAGCAAAACTAGTGCTTGGAGAAAAATGTATAGCATTGGATGTATGTATGTATTTAAAAGAGAATGATCTAAATTCAATCTTCTAAGTTTATACTTTAGGAATCTAAATACAACAACAATTAAAATCTGAAGTAAACAGAGAAAAGACATAACAAAAAGCAGTATAGAGATCAATGAAACTGAAAACAGGAAATCAATAGAGAAGATCTATAAACCAAGAGCTGATTAGCTGAAAAATTAATTAGATTTTAAGCCTTTAGGCCAGGCTAAACAAAATTTAAAAATTACTAATATTAGAAATGAAAGAGAAGATATCATTACAAATCCATAGACATTAAAGGATAATAAAGGAATATTATGAAAAACTCTATGCCCACAAATTTTATAACCTAGATACAATTATACAATTCCTTGAAACACATAATCCACCTAAATTTATATTAAAAATAAACACTCTGAATAGGCCTATATTTATTAAGAAAATTGAATAATAAATCAATAAACTCTCAAAGCACCAGATGCAGATGGGTTCACTGGAGATTTCTAGAAAATATTTAGGAAAGAAATTATACAATTTGTTTACAATCACTTCAAGGAATACTTCCTTGAGCGGAGGAATACTTCCTAACTCATTTGATTATGCTAGCATTTCCCTAATTCGAAAACCGGACAAATCATTACAAGAAGAGAAAAATACAGACGAATATCTCTCACTGACACAGTGAGACACAGGTATAAATCCATACCAAACTAATAATAAATCAAATCCAATGATGTATAAACAGAAGAATTCCATACCACGATCCAGCTGAATTTATTTCAGGTATGCAAGGCTGGCTCAACATTTGAACACCAATTAATGTAAATCATCACTTCACCAGGCTAAAGAAGAAAAATTATATGATCCTAGCAATAGATACAGAAAAAAATTCACAAAATCCAACACTTACTTATGATAGAAATTCTCAATAAACAAGGAAAAGAGGGGCATGCTCTCTACTTGGTAAATAACATCTACAAAAAACTTACAGCTGACATTGTACTTAATGGTGAAAAAGAAGATGCTTTCCAGGTAACATCAGGAACAAGTCAAGGATGTCTCTTCTCATCACTGATTTTAATAATTGTACTGGAAGTCCTTGATTATTCAATAAAATGAGAAGAAGAAATAAAATGTATGCAGTTTGGGAATAAAGAAACACAACTATCTTTCTTCACAGATGATATAATTATCTATACAGAAAATCCAAAGGAATTGATAAAAAAAAATCCTGAAACCAATAAGCAATTCTAGCAAGGTTGAAAGATACAAGGCTAATATACAAAATCAATCATTTTCCTATATACCAGTAATAAATAAGCAAAACTTGAAAAATTAAAAAGACATTACCATTTACACTAACACTCAAAAAATACTTAGGAATAAATGTCACAAAACACATAATAATCTATTTCAGGGAAAACGACAAAACACTGATGATAAAAAATAAAAACTAAATATATGGAGAGATATTCTATATTCTTGGTTAGGAATCAGTATCATCCAGATGATTGTTCTTCCTAAATTGATCTATAGAGTCAATGCAATCCCAGTGAAATCCCAGCAAATTATTTGGAAGATACTGAAAAAGTGATTCTGAGATTGATATGAAGACGCCAAAGACTCAGAATAGTAAACTCCATTTTGAAAAAAACACCAAGTCAAAGGACTGACACTGAATGACCTCAAGGCTTACTCTCAAGCTACAGTAGTCAAGACAGTTTAGTATTTGCAAAAGATTAGATAAATAGCTCAGTGGAACAGAATAGATAGCTCAAAAATATACCACATAAATATAGTCAACTCATCTTTGACAAAGAAGCAAAGTCAATATAATGGAGTAACTGGACATCTACATAAAAATAAAATAAAACTAGACACAAACCTTACACCCTTCATGATCTACTTTGAAACTCCTAGAATATAACATCACACAATACCTAGATGATCTTGGATATGGTGATGACCTTTTATATACAAGACTAAAGGCATAATCCATGAAAGAAATAATTATATACTGAACTTTATTACAGTTAAAACTTCTGCTCTGCAAATGACAAGGTGGAATGACAAGACAAGTCACAGACTGAGCAAAAATATTTGCAAAAGACTCATCTGAAAAAAGGGAGTTTCTAAAATATACAAAGAACACTTTAAACTCTACAGTAAGAAAATGAACAACCTGATTAATAAGCAGAAGATTTTAACAGACATCTTATCAAAAAATATATATAGATAGAAATTAAGCATATGATAAAATGTTTATCATCATATATGATTAGAGATTTTGAGGGGTTCAAGACTTCAGTAGAGGAAGTAACTGCAAATGTGGTGGAAATAACAAGAGAGCTAGAATTAGAAGTGGAGCCCAAGGACGTGACTGAATTGATGCAATCTCACGATAAAGCTTTAATGGATGTGATGTTGCTTCTTATGAATGAGCAAAGAAAGTGGTTTCTTGAGATAGCATCTACTCCTGATAAAGACGTTGTGAACATTGTTTAAATGACAGCAAAGCATTTAGAATATACCATAAACTTAGGCAATTAAGCAGCAGTAGATTTTGAGAGGACTGACTCCAATCTCGAAAGAAGTTCTATTGTGGGAAAAATGTTACCAAACAGGATTGCATGCTGTAGCAAAATCTTTCATGAAAGGAAGATCGAACTGTTGCATCAACTTCAATGTTGTCTCATTTTCAGAAATTGCCACAAACACCCCAAACTTCAGCCACCCCGACCCTGATTGGTCATCAGTCATTAAGATTGAGGCAAGATCCTCTGCCAGCAAAAGAGCAAAAGGATGACCACTGCTGAAGTCTCAGATGATCATTCGCATTTTTTAAGCAACAAAGTATTTTACATTAAGGTATGCATATTGTTCTTTAGACGTAATGCTATTGCAACTTAATAAACTACAGTATAATGTAAACATAACTTTTATTTGCATTGGGAAACCAAGCAATCCTGCGACTCACTTTATTATGATGTTTGCTTAATTGCAGTGGTCTCAAATTGAACCTGCAATACCTCCAAGGTATGCATATATATATACACACCATCGTACTTTACAGCTGAGACTTAAGGTGCAATAAGGAATGGAATAGTAGTATGTAAATGCTGTATTTTCTGAAAAAAAGATAAAATCATATAACTGAAAACTACTAGAAAAAAAGGACAAAAGAGAATAACATTGACTGTTGTATAGTTTGCATGTGAGAGTCTAAAACTACTGACACTAAATAGTAAAAAATTAAAATCAAACTAAAATATTGAATAAGAAAAAATAAGATTAGATATTTAAAAAGAATACAAAGGTCATTACCAAGAAAAATACAAATTTTTCTAAATTCCAAAATATACTTTTAAAAATAGCAGGAAGACATACTCAATAGAGAAAAACAATGTACACATAATATAAGCAGTAATCATATAAGTTATAATGCAGTGTTAAGGTCAAACGTAACAATCATATGTTAAAGAAGAATAGTTTTGACTCACCTACTTATATAAAGTAGATTTTCAAATTGGATAATAAAGTTAAACTCAATTTCTCTGTACAGAGGAGATATATTTAAACCATAAATATCTAAAATAAATAACCACATTGAAAGGTGGGGGAAAAAGAACTAAACCAACCAATCTTTTTCATAGAATTTTGACTGCATGTTCTTAGTACTGGAGGAAAAAGGAGTACAAACACATCTTGAACATTTCGTAGGTTACATGTTTTTGTTGGTTGTCTGGATGTAGCAATTATGAAACTATTTTGTGTATATTTTAGAATTAAACAAATGAGTGACTGTGTGTTAATATTGTTGGAATCCAGAGTTCTTACTGTGGAAGAGGAAATATACAAATATGGAAGGTGGGAAAGGAAGGAGTTATGGGGTTGAACTAGCAATGGAAGTGGTGATGTGTTGGGGGTCCTGGGCCTCAGTTTTTGAGAAATTTTGCTTGGTTGAGGATACATTTCAGTATATTCCATGATAAAATCTTAAGTATATTTGTGCACTCAGTGCCTAAATCCAATTTTTCTTTATTACTAAGACATACCTGGGATGACCATATGTTTCTCTTCCAAATCTGGACACTTTTCAGAGTGAAAGTGGGTTATAATAATAGCTACTCTGGGTCTGTCCCAAGGAAGCTGGGATTTGCAGCCATCCTGCATATAGTCCTCAGGCTGCATGTAGTCCATTTGGTTTCTTTGTCCCCATTTAACAGCTTTCACCTTGATAAATACATGGGTAGTAAGGAAAGGCAATCCTGAGCTAGATCCATCATATACCCCTGGGCCAGCAATTATGGGAGTCTTAAGCTATCCTGCAACTTACATATTTGGATTAGTTAAAATCTAATGCCCATGATTAACTCATCAGAGACTCGTTTTCCTCCTTTGTAAAATGTGGGGAATAATAATTAGCTCTAGAATTCAACAAGATAATATAAATTACTTGGGATAGTTAATTGCACTCAATAAATGCTTTTATTATTTTTATTGTTGTTACTTTTGTTGTTATTATTGTTTTTCCTTAACATCAACTTCAAAGGTTAGCTTAAAAACACAATCAAATTTTCATTAATAACCCATTACAGATCAGTCATCTATGAATTTATTTAAACCCTTTTAGGAACATTGATTCCTGTTTTACTTCTTAATGAATTCCATAAACTTTATTACCTGCTGTGTAACATGGCATTTCCTTTGAATTGCTTTAGCTTAGCTATTCCAAGCATTGCTAGATTCCTTAGAGTTCTAAAATCCAAGTATTTTGTATATAAACCTCTTTTGATCTAATTTCCCTTTATGAAACTTTTATTGTTGCCATTCATAGTCTTTCATCTTCATCGTAATTCTAGACCAATGGATTTTATTAGTATCGTTCGAAATTACATTTGAACTCAGAAATCTGAAACTTAGCTCTAGCTTTATGAATCAGATGGAAGAAGCAGGTCCTTGAAGGACAGAGCCTACTCCTTGGTCTTTCCCTTATGGTCTGTATTACCATAGCCTTTAGAATAGGGTTCTGAAGGTCTGGATGAACTTGGTCACTAACTCAATGGATTACACGAGAGAAAGTTATCCCTAACGAGGGCTATTACTATATTGGTATCATGACACTACCACATCCATATGGATTCTCTCCCTCAAATCGAAGGGAGATTTCCTAGAGCCTTCCTTTCATTGCACTTACCTTTCTGATTTTAGTCTTGTTGAACTTCAGATAGAACATTGTTCCAAAGATTAGAACAGTAGAATCAGTAATATGCACTCTATTGAGTGTGTTTTAGGGTTTAGCGCAGTGTTGTCTCTTTGTGAGAGAGACTCAAGAGGAATATGAGGTATGATGTTTATCTTGGTGGACCAAAAGTCTAACTGGGTAGACTAGATAAGGACACGTAAAAGCTAGAAAAAAAGACGGTACAGGCTACTTGTGTTGTACAAGAAAGAAAATTAGTACAAGGAAGAAACCGATGGACCTCACTACTATATCCTGGGCAGGGGGTGGAATAATATAGGAGAAATCATATGGGAGAAACAACATACATCTATAGATAGATAGATAAATAGATATGTATATACTCATACATGCATATGTATATAATTGTTTTATCAAATATAAATGTATCTATTATTTTATAAATATGTGTATTGTTGAAAATCATAGAATCAAAGATTTATAATTTAAAAAGCAGTTCCTGGCCCCACCCCTCCTCAGCACCAATTCCCAGATAAGAATCATTTTCAACAGTTAGAGATTTCCCCCTGAATATTAGCCTCAATATTTCAAAAACATTTAAACATTTCTAATCTCTATTCTTTTAATTTTTCTATAGCTTCTATCAACATTTTACTTTGTAAAAGGGTGACTTCAATTTTCACAACTCTAAATACATATGTTCTCTCACATAAAAACCTACACTCTTACACATACACTCTCAAAAACTAAATCTTCTCACATCTTCCCAACATAGCTATGCTATAACTTTTATTTAAAACACATCATTCTTTAGGTATTACTTACTGCTGAGCCATGTAGTTTTAAATTTAACTTTCCTTTTGGAAATGTAGGTTTACATCTCCTTTCCTGTGCCGCCTTTTTGTTTTCCTTGGTGTTGATGACAGAATCAATCCTCTCCCTCTCTTCCTCTCACTCTCTTAGTTTTCCAGGGACCTAATATCCATTTACATCCCAACATTCTTTCAGCAGTATAAACATTTTCTCAGAATTGCCCATCTTTATTTGTGGGTGCCCTCTGTCTTCTCCAGTTCAGCCTGGTGCTTGCTGGCTTACTCTGAGCCTGCTGTCCCCTAACTGCCTTTGTCATCAGGCAGGAGTTCCCCACACCTCTCTCTTGTATTGGATTCCTCACTTTTTGGATATCATATCTTATTGATTGATGATTTGCTTCCTCATTTTACTAAAGCATGTCCTTCAGTAATCTCCTTAGAAAGAATACTTGGAGGCAAACATTTGAGTACTCACACATCTAAAAATGTCTTTATCTTCACGTCATACTTATTTCATAGTTGAGCTGAAGGGAATTCTAGGTTGAAAATTCTATTTTCTCAGAATTGTGAAGACATTGCTACATTCTCTTCTGTCTTCTAATATTGATGTCAAGAATAAGATTCCTGATTGTCTATCTGTGACTTTTTTTTATCTAGAAATTTTTAGAACCTTGTCCCCAAGGTTTTTGAAACAATGTACTTTCACATGGCTATTTTATTTTTTCAGTCATTATGTTGGGTATATGTTGAGCCTATTTAATCAAGAAACTCATGTTCTTTGGTTCTGGTGATTTTATTTTAACATTTTTTTCATTATTCATTTATTTTACAGGTTCTTACTCTGTTTTTCTGTCCTCTCTTTTTGCTACTTATATCAGAAAAAAACATTAGTTTGATTCAGGAGAACTGCATTTTCTAATAATTTCTCTCATTTTCCTAACTTTATTTTATTTTACTTTTTGTTTGTTTGTTTGCTTTCTGGGATATTTCTTTAGATTTAATCTCCAATCCTGAATTGAATTTTTAATATCTGCATTCACATTTTTAATTTTAAGAGTTTCTTGTTCTCTGAATCTTTTTTCCACCTGGTTTTCTTCTTATTTCAATGATCCATAAATTAAATCGTGTCCCTTTGAAGACTGTACATTTTTAAAGTTTTCTTCTGATCATTATATTGCTTTTCTGTCTTCCAGGTCCCTTTTTAAATATTTTTGTTTTTATCTTTGTTTTTTTTGTTTTTGTTTTTGTTTTTGTTTTTGTTTTTGTTTTGAGACGGAGTCCAGCCCAGGCTGGAGTGCAGTGGTGCGATCTCGGCTCACTGCAAGCAACGCCTCCTGGGTTCACGCCACTCTCCAGCCTCAGCCTCCTGAGTAGCTGGGACAACAGGCGCCCGCCAACACGCCCGGCTAATTTTTTGTATTTTTAGTAGAGATGGGGTTTCACCGTGTTAGCCAGGATAGTCTCGATCTCCTGACCTCGTGATCCGGCCGCCTCGGCCTCCCAAAGTGCTGGGATTACAGGCGTGAGCCACCGCGCCCGGCCCTTATCTTTGTCTTTTATATGAAAGGTTTTCCTGAAAGATCTGGGATTTCTTAGTTGATCATTAATATTTGAAGTGTGACTGACTAAACATCTCTTGGAAGTTCTGTACCCCTCAAGGAGCTTCTTGTCTGGCAGGTTTTCCTGGCTAGGGTCATTGTGTGGCCCCTTCCCATTAGTCTGTGCAGGTCTCAGTTCAGTTTCTCAGAAAGAAATCTCTATTCTAGATCTCCAAATATCTAAGCAAGAAACAGGAGTTTCTTGGTTAAATGGGTTCAACATATGCCCCAGATAATTTCGCGCATTGCAAGCCTGGCTTTCAGCCTTTTGAGAGCCAAGAGGGCAGGAGAGCCGATGCAGCAGGGAGCAGTGAGCAGGCTCGCAGTCCTCCCTTTCCAGGAAGTCAACTCTGTGTCCAGGAAGCAGTCTCTTGGTTGTGATGGTTCTATGTCCAGAAAGTTTCTGCTTCATATCTTCTAGGAGTACATTTCTAGTCTTCTGTCTGGAAGAGGAGAGACAGTTTCCCCTTGTTGCTGGGTGAGAGAGAGGATCTGGGGTAAGGCTGCCAGGAAAAAGTACAGGACACAGTGAAATTTCACTTTTTTTTTTTTTTTTTGAGATGGAGTCTCACTCTGTCGCCCAGGCTGGAGTGCAGTGGCGTGATCTCGGCTCACTGCAACCTCTGCCTCTGCCTCCCAGGTTCAAGTGATCCTCCTGTCTCAGCCTCCTGAGTAGCTGGGATTATAGGCATGTGCCACTATGCCTGGCTAATTTTTTGTATTTTTAGTAGAGATGACGTTTCACCATGTTGGTCAGGCTGGTCTCGAACTCCTAACCTCATGATCCACCTGCCTTGGCCTCCTAAAGTGAGCCACCGTGCCCAGCCTGAAATTTCACTTTAAGATAAACAATGGGCCAGGCGTGGTGGCTCACGCCTGTAATCCCAGCACTTTGGGAGGCTGAGGCGGGCAGATCACCAGAGGTCGGGAGTTCAAGACCGCCCTGGCCAACGTGTTGAAACCCCGTCTCTACTAAAAATGCAAAAATTAGCTGGGCGTGGTGGTGGGTGCCTGTAATCCCAGCTACTGGGGAGGCTGAGGCAGGAGAATCAATTGAACCCTGGAGGCAGAGGTTGTGGTGAGCAGAGATGGTGCCACTGCACTCTAGCCTGGGCAATAGAGCGAGACTCTGTCTCAAAAAAAAAAAAAAAAAAAGAACATTTTTGTTTGTTTGTTTTTTTATAAGTATGACCCAAATTAAAATATCTATTTTACATTCAATTTTATTTTGATTTTTTTTCAACTTTTATTTTAGTTTCTGGGGGTGTATGTGCAGGTTTGGTGCATGAGTATATTGCATGATGCTGAGGTTTGGAATACGAAACCATGAAGTGAGCATAGTACGGAATAGGTAGTTTTTCATTCCTTACCCCACTCTCTTCCTCCTCCCTCTTGTACCTGCGGTGTCTATTGTTCCCATCTTTATGACATTCAGTTTTAACTGGGCATCTGCATTTTTTTTTTATTTCAATAGGTTTTTGTGGAACAGGCAGTGTTTGGTTACACGCATAAGTTCCTTAGTGGTGATTTCTGAGATGTTGGTGCACCCATCACCCAAGCAGGTGCACTGGACCCAGTGTGTAGCCTTTTACCCCTCACTCCCCTCCCACCCGTTCCCCCAAGTCTGTATTTTTGTTTGCTAAACCTGGCAACGTCAACCCGGAAAGATGTTGGACTTTTCACTACTATTGTTCCTTTTAGGCCAATCTGCACCTCCACGTTCCAAGGTATCTGGCTGGAATCATTAATTTTTCACGTTTCTGGAGTTCTGTGGTAAAAGTCAGACTGCATCTGGCCGTTCTTGCCACCCGCCAACATAGGTTTCAGTTTTCTCTTAATAGTCAGCTAACATTTCTAGTTTGCTTCCAGAGTCTCAGGTAGTGCTATTGTTTCCTCTTATTTCCTCTGTACTTGAGGGTTCATACTTTAAGAACGAACAAACAAGCAAACAAACTCTTTACTTGCATTTTGGTGGGATCTCCTGTGTTCTTTAATTCACTATGTGTAGTCAAGAATATTCAATTATATTATTTTTAAATGTGTGAGTAATAAGTTGTGATGAAGATCATTTGCTGTCTGGTTAAACAAAGCAGTTTAACCACATGCGTTTCTCTTCCCCTTCTTCCCTTTCTCCCTAAACCCCACTACCCGATGCCAAAATTTTTTTAAGGGTAACAATTATAGGAGAACAAGTTTCAACTAGTTTTTTGGAAGACAGAACAAATTAACTGACTGTCAAGGACTGAGAGGACAGAGGGAGCTCCAGCTGAGCACCCGCACATGAATACTGTCAAAGAACAGCCCATTTGCCCACCCCACCCTAACTCTGCTTGTCCAGTGGAAACACCAGGTGTCTTGGCAGTGGGAGATGATAGGCTGAACTGACAACAGGCTCCCTAGTTTAAGGTCCTTGTACTGGAAAGCCCCTCAGAGACCTTCCCATGTGCTGCGTGTCCAGATGATGCTCCCTTCACCCCACCCCACCCTGATGCAGGAATGATTATTCTCTGGAGATACAGAAATGGAAATGGAAAGGACTTATCATGTGCATCAACACAGAAGACAGCATGAGTGAGGTATGAGGCCCAAAGTAGGGAGACGGATTGAGAAATACCTACAGAGAGAACCTCAGGGCCCTTCCCTGATCTGGCTTCCAGAATTCTGCCAGGCATGTATCTTCCCATCTCAACCACACCCCTCATATAAGGGATTAGGAGATTCCCTGGAGACATAATAGCCCAGAGCAAAGATCTCCCTCCATGTACTGACAGTGACAGGTCTCCGAATAAAAAGGACAATTATTATTCATTGTATTTTAGTGCCCCCAGAACTCAAGAGGCCCACATGTATCTACACAGAAATTCCAGTCTGCCTTTTGTGGCCTTGCTCTTTAATATGAACAGACTTTAATGTGAACAAACATGCATTGCCAGACTTCAGACCTTTGAAGAAAATCTTTGACTACAAGAAAAAGGGAGAAAAGGAACTAAGAGAAAAATGAAACAATACAGAGAGCACATGCACACAAATCCCCTTCAAAACATCGTGATTAGTGTTTCCTCAGAACAAATCGAAAATATTGAATCCATCACAAGAGGCAGAGTGCTGTTAAATGAAATAATCAAACCAGAAAGAGAAGTTGTAAATATAACTAAAGTAAGAATAAAAGGTGGAAATATAAAATTAAGAAAATCTCCCAGAAAGTGAAACAAATTAAAAGAAGAATAGTAGAAAGATAATAAAAATAAACTAAGGATAAATAGAGTCCAACATTCAACTAGGAGTCCAAGAAAAATAAAACAGACAAAAATTACCAAAGAAATAATGTGAGAAAATTCTCAGAATGGAAGGATGCTTGTGAGTCTCCAGAGCTCTTGAGTGCTCAGCATAATAAATCATGCCCACACACAGGCATGCACACACGTGCACACATGCGCACACATATACACACGTGCACACACATATACACACATGCACAGAGACAAGCACACACGTGCACACACATGCACACACACACACACGGGGACATAAGAATATTATTTTGAAACTTCCAAACAATGGGGCAATAGGAGAGAAGAAAAATATGGAACATCACACCAAAGAGCTTGGATAGAATAGTGACAGATATTTTTTTATCAGCTATCTGATTTGGGATGATGATAATGTCTTCAAAATCCTGCGGGAAAATAATTCCCAATCTAGAAGTCTATATCCAGCCCAAACAGCTCTTGATGTTTAGAGAACTGATTCTCAAATCTTTATGTGTAACAAGTCACCTGCAGGTGGCGCTCGACACTCCACGTCTCCTGCAGACTCCCTGGTGATGCCAGTGCTGCCTGCCAGTGACCTACGCTTTGAGTAGCAAGGTTTTAGGAGATGCCTGAAAAAACTAAGGGATTAAACCGATAAGAAGAAGCCAAATAATCTTGGAAACAGGTGAATAAACACCAAGGGAAAACCCAAGATTATGGATATGCAGAAAGACTAGAGCTATCAGTTCAGACTTCAGGAGATGGAGGGAGACGGATGTAGTTTTTCACAGAAAAGCACCAAGAAACTGACATTTTCAGAGATGTGGGAAGGAAAGTATTTTCAAATACTAGAGAGATATGGAGAAGCTAGAAAAATAAAACAGCCTCAGGTGAACAGAAAATACACACATTTAAAAAGACATGGCAGTTATTAATTCTAGGGAAAACAAAGCAGTTGTACAAGAAATAAAACATGTTCACAGGACAACATGTGGCTCAGTATTAAACTGTGAGTGTGAGTCATTATTCCAATCCAAATTTCTGCTAGTTAACAGGAGGTTGCTAGAAACTGCAGAGTACATATTGGTGGGTAACTAGTGTAAATGAAAATAAGTAGAGTCTATCTAAAATTAGTAAAACATGAAACAGCAATGTAAGCACATTTGTTAAAAAATAGAGAAAAAAAGAAGTGACTGATTCCTTTGAAAGAGGCTGCTTCTGGGGAGGAGAAGGAGATTGTGAGGGAGTAAGGCAAGGAGGGGTACTGATTTGGCATACACCTTTCAGTATTATATGACTTCAAATGTCCTGTGTGTATGACTTTGACAAAAATTGAGTGTGTGGGTGTGCACATGTGTAGTTCTATTGTGATGGTAGGAAAAATGGAAAAATGTGATTTTTGTGTTCATCCCACTGGATTGTGGCACTGTAGCTAATTCCATCATTTGTTACTCTTTGAAGCTGCCTGCAGGCTTGGGGAACTAGACACTGAAAACTCAGTGCCCATTCATTGCTGAGTCTGATGAGTTTGCTCTTCGCGTTCCATTCATCTCCACCAGCAGGCAGACCTCTGGCCCCACAGGCCCAGGCAAGGAGATCAAATCAGAAATGGCAACCTGATCTCGCCTGTGTCCTTTATTCATTCTGACAAGCCACAAGAAAAGGTCAGCTGGTACCTTTTAACAGGCCAGTAGCTAGATCCAGGAGAGAGGATTTTTATCAGTGAGAAAAAAAAAAAATGCTGCTGTTCTGCAAAACTCCAAAAGTAAACAAAGACATTTTCTTTATAAACCATTTAGAAAACGATATGGCAAGTTTGGAGCAAAAGAGACTCTGTGCGTTTTGCCAAGGAACTGAGCCTCTTTTGGGGATGCTTTCAGATTTCCCAGCCATAACCACTTCATGTCAAGTCCTGTGCAGCCATTCTCAGATATACACACTACGTAAGGAAGAAATGCATTGAAGTAGATAATCCCAAGTACCTCTTAACCTTCAAATAATCATTTAAAATTTCATTTAAAATTCACTTATTTTTCCAAAGGATTTCCTTTTTTTTTTTTTTTTTTTTGCCTGGACTAATGCTTGTTGGAATACCCTGAATGTATGCCTCCTTGACTGCTTGTGTAGCTAATAGCATGGGAATATGCACAGTTCAGTTCAGAAATCTGTTGAAAATGAGAAAGAAGGAAAACTAGCCTTGGCTTGCTAATTTGCTATCGCTAATTCATAAGCCACACATGAATGCCCATTCATAAATCACCTCTGTCTCTGCAATGCAGAGAAGTCTAATTAAGATCAGACTTCAGGTGAATCAATAGTTCCAATGTTTTAGAATCCTCTATATTAACCAAATGTTTAAAAAATCAGTTGTCCTTTGAATTTATTCACCCCCTCCATTCTTTCATTCATTCATCTATTCCTTCATTTCTTCATGCATTCTACATTTATTTATTTATTCAACAAATACATAATGAGCACTATATATCCCAGGATCTATGCTGGTTACAGGGAAAATAAGGAGTAAGTAAGTCATGAATAATCCTTTCCTTTGTGAATGAAGCTTATAGGCTAGTCTAGAGCATTAAGCACAAGATTCATCTGGTGAGCTTATTATAATGCATATTCCTAGGTTCTATCTCTGTAGGTTCTAGGCGGTAGATGTGGGTTGAACATAGAAATGCATTCTAAGGGGAGACTGAGGAAAACAATCCCACAACCTCACTTTGCAAATCACTGGGGACAGAATTTCAAATATCAGAATTCCAAATATCAGTGTAGAAGAGGTCATGAACTACATGGCAGTTGGTCTCAAGGAGAGTCCTATAGACATATGACACCATTTGTACATAATTGTCCCACTGCTGCTATTCTCTCTACTGCTGAACTAGCTGAGGCCAGTGTTCTGGAGCAGTTGTTTGAGCTCTCATGGGTGCTCCAGAAGCCCAAAGAGTATGTTAAGAATGGTGTTTCATGGGTCTACATAAGCTACAGCTGCTACTATAGCATAGCAGCAGCAGTTAGACTCTGCTAGCAGGGGCTGCCAGTGCTGAGACTACTGCTATATCAAAGCAATCTAACCAGACGGTAGATGACAATACCATTTGAAGGCGGGGGTAACACTACCATTTGAAGTGTACTTCCCATTGAGTTCCCTGTGGATCTCTGCAGAACAAACACCAGAAATGTATTGACTGAAACAGAGGTTCCCCAACTTCAGCAGGGATCAGAATCACCTGGAGGGCTTGTTAAAATCAGATTTCTGGCCCATGTCTCCCAAATACTTGAGTCAGTAATTCTAGGGGTCAGCGTGGGGGTTCTGAGAAGCGGTAGTTCCAACAAGTTCCCAGGTGATCCTTGTTGCTGGTCTGGAACCCACACCTTAAGGATTGTGGTGCTAGCATGACTAGGAAGTCATGCACGTTAACAGAGTCGGCTTCAAGGTGCTTCCAACCACGGCTCTTTGAAAAAGACCTGCCTAGATGCAAATGATTGTAGAGTCTGGAAATGCCATTTGCAAAAATAAATAATAAACAAATGAATAAATATCATGTACTATTTGCAAAAATGATACTACTTTCTTCAGGAAGGGGAGGCAGAGGCAAAATTATAAAGCTCACATTCCTTGCATTTGCTTTTTCTTTTTCCAGTACAGGACCTTGCAGGTTGGGAACTATTTATCACCATTTTGAGCAAAACCAGTAGGTGCAGGTCTTTTTCTACCCCTCAACTGAATATGAAATTATACTTGGAATTAAACTATACTGCAAGTTTGATATGTCTTTTTACTTTCCTGTTTCTTTTGCTTTTTAGTTTTTAAAAGAGTAATAAAATAACTTTAATAATAAACCCAACCCTGACTCATTTTTAACAGCTAAATAATTTTATTTCCTAATTATAAAAGTAGCAAATGCTCATTTTTGGAATATATAGAAAGTTATAAGTAAGCTATGTTTTCACTTAAATATTTGATATATCTGAGAAGAATATTCCTGCATATGACATTACGTCATAAGCATTTTCTCATAGCATTAAACTATTCCTTGGAGAAAGTAATCTATTCATAAAGTATAAGAAGAAAAATATGGCTGCCAAAAATATAGTTGTATCTGTGGAGGGGAGACAAGGTAAAGTTGTAGATAGAAGTTAGCTTTTATTGTTTAATCAAGTTCTACAACAAGACATTCAGAGATGGGAACAAAACACAAAGTGCAATTTCCAAAAGAAAAGTTGTCCTAAGCTGTCACAGCAATGCAAACAATTACTTTTCATCTACCTACAGCTCCTAGATGAATTAATAAACGAATCTCCCTACTCTTAGTCTAACTTTTGCTGCTCTGTTAGTGTGTAAATATTACATAGCTACCTCTTTCTATCCTAAAGATGTCTTTTCAACCACACATCTTTACCCAATAAATATATAGCATGTTAATACCAAACACTACTTTTTTAACACCTTGTGAAACCACGAATCAAGCCGTTATTTGAGCTAGTCAAATAAAATATCTCTCTTTAATTAATCGAGATACCCTTTGTTAGTGATTCTCAAATTTGGCTGCGCAGCAAAAACACAAGGGAGTTTTTAAAAAATTGCTAAAGCCAAGAACCCATCCCTCGGGGATTCTATTTTAAACAGTAGGAGGGGGTGAGAATGAGAGATATCTGGACTAGCATCATAGGCCTCACCTGGGAATTCGTTTATAAATTTAAACTCTCAAGCTCCATTCTGGATCCAAAGAATCCGAAACCCGGGGTGGGACACAGCCATCTGTGTTTTAACAACCCCCTTTAAGGCTCGTTAAAGCACAGATGGCTGCGTCCCACCCAAGGTTTCATGTGATTCAGATGCCCACTAACGTTTAAGGACTGTGGCCTTAGGCCATCAAAGCATTTAGATACATTTTAAAAAGGCCAAAGTATTTGTTTGACTACAAATTATCATTAACCACTTAACAGTTAAGAGCATTGACTTTGAGGCCAGGTGCAGTGGCTCACACCTGTAATCTTAGCACTTTAGGAGGCTGGGGCAGGAAGTGGAACGATTCCTTGAGGTCAGGAGTTCAAGGCCAGCCTGCGCAGCACAGCAAGACCCCCATCTCTACAAAAAAAGGAAAAAGAAAAAAGAAAGAAAATTAATTGGGCATGGTGGCGTCTGCTTGAGCCCACCAGGAGGTTGAACATGCAGTAAGCTATGATCACACCACTGTACTCTCTAGCCTGGGTAACAGAGTGAGAACCTGTCTCAAAGAAGAAAGCAAAAAGCATTGACTTTGCATGAGGACTGGTACTGATTGAGTGTTTTACATGACTTTATATTGATTCTCTCATTAATCCACCAAGGAGGTACTATTATTCCAGTTATTTCAATGAGAAAAGAGATGCAGAAGTAAAAGTTATTTTCCAAGTGCAGACAGCTGCTAAGCGATGGATTTAGGATTTAAATGTGAGCAGTCTAATTCTAAAAACTCAAGCTCTAAGCCTAACGATAGCATCAAAAGGACTCTAAATATATGCCCCAACTCTGCCCACATTTTGACAATAGTTACCTGACCTCCACACTATCAAAACGTTAATTGTGGTTTAAATACATAACCCTTTTAAGTAACAGCCTTCATCAGCAAAAGTAATGCCTTCATCAGCAAACTTTAGAGGTCTCTCCAGGCAGGGTGTTCTTGCCATTTGGAGTTCTTGGTCAGTGTAACTGGAAATTAGAGGTGTCTTTGTGAAAGGGAAAAACAACCTGAAGTTCTGATGGAATGACTTCCACCTAGGCCATGCATACTTTTGGCAGGGTCAAAATACTCTGGAACTGGAGCCCTTTGCATTTCAGTCCTATGTCACTTAAAGTTCTCACACAGACTTGACCTTGGTTTCTGGACTCGAACTTGGATCTTTGGCTTATGAGCTGGTGCAGTGTTGTCCTAGATAGCTCTGAAGAGATCTGGGTAGTAATCCTTTTGATTCCATAAGTGATATAACGTATGAGAAAGTCCCTTGTAAGTAGGAAGCTCTATATAACCACAAGGCATTACCATAAAGAACAAAAGAACATGCACCACAAGGGAGAGACTTAAGCAATTAGGAAAGCAAAGGAGTTTGGCTTATTTAAAGAAAGACAGATTCTCTACAAAATAACTTCAGGTGATGAGATGGACTCTTTCCATCTCCTTTTTGGCAAGGCACAGCGCACTATTGAGATCATCCTGTATCTTCGGGTCTCGGTTCAAGTTCTGTCCTTGATGTTAACATTTTTATAAATGGATTTGACAAGCCTTCGCTCTTTCTCTGATTTTCTGAGCTACACACTGCAGTAAAACATTGTTGTCCTATATCTACAATTTTCTCCCCAGAAAAATCCCTAAGTGGGCTTTTTTCCTTAGTATCATTTCCTCCTTTTTTATGACCTAGAAGCACATTCTCCTCCTTACCGACTCAAGAGGCCCATCTCTGTCCTCTCATGGGCTTGTGAGCTGCTTCTGGCCCCCACTGGACTGTGTCCTGCTGTGATCTCTATTTAGACCCGGCTCACCTGGGGCTTTCAATGAGCCAGTGGTTTTCTTACTAGTGGGATACTTTGTGCTTAGCCCAGAGAATTGCTTTCCAACAATTCCTTCACGAACAAATCCTTAAAACTACAGTTAAAAAAAAAAAAGAAAAAAAATGGCTATGGTAATTCCAGAATATAAAAAGAAATGACTATACAATTTAAAGCTAAATTGGGAAAATGATCCAGAAGTGTGTCCATCCAGAGATAATTCTGTTTTGCTGTCATCAGAATTCACCTCGAGCTTTATCTTAATTTTCCATCTAGGCTTGCTTTTTTTTTTTATTGTAGAGGTCCAATCAATATCAGCCTTTTATTGTATCTCAGAGCCATGCTATAATAGATTACTGAAAAGAATCAAAGAATATTATTATCAGCCCAATACTTGTATTAAATCCTTATAATGAATAATATAGTCACGAGAAATGCCATGATAATTTCCGCTCAAGGTGAAAAAATGAAAAAAAGCAAATTTTGCAAAACCATCCTGTTCTTTGAAGGTCAAGGCTAGACAGATTGCATCCCATATCCTTCCAGGGTAAACGCTGATCCTTGACTAGATACCTGGTTGCGTGTATGTCAACCTGGCAAAGGGTTAGATCACTTGCTTGTGTATGTAACACAATGAAATATAGAAGCTTGCTTTCTTTGAAACTGTAAAGCTTTAATTTTATAAATGGATCACTTGCAAATTTCAATTATTCATGTGAAATAATTCGTCATTAAGGCATCTCCCAAGAGGAGCAAGGGATAGAATGGCCACAGCCCTTTATCTAAGGGAGCTGCAAACTTGCACTAGAAAAGAAAAATCAGGCAGCCTAAACAGAGAAGATGGGCAAAGTCTCTCTCTTCTTCTAATGTCTTTGCTTTTGATCGAATTCAGTTTGTGTGTTTAAAACAAAATCTACCCCTAGATTCCCTCTCTGCTTTTCTATGGCAGCAGAAAGAGACGCAGTCACTATGGACACTGAACATGTCAGGTGCTGGCTGAAGAGAATTCTGACTTCTCAAACAAGTGACTGGATTAAAAACAGAATATGTTTTTGTTTTTGTTGCCCCTGTCAGCTTTTTACCCAGATTGCTTTTTTGTTTTCATCTCACATTTTGCCTTTTTGGCCTTGGCATTCCTTAGTTCTTCGTTCAATGGCCAATCCTTGGCCATTACCTCTCACTTGCCTGATAATGAGCTAGCCTTGGGAACTTCCACCCCTCTTTTCCTGGTGTTGCAGCACTCTAGTTCACCCACTATTTTTTGGCCATATCTTTCCTGAGCCAAGGTCAACAGCTCAAATATAGGAATGAATGATTTCTGCTGGTGCACCAAGTCAGATTGGTGACACCTTCTCTTGTCCTATGGCTGGAATTCATAAGCAGGGTAAAGGAACTACAAATCAGCACCTGTTTACCCTGCTTCATAGTGTATTCAGATGGAATTTTCTTTCTAAACAGACAGCAAATGTATTTGGGTTAAAAACTCAGACATTAGAATGAGGAATTGTGTTTGCATAAAGACAGAGAGACAGGTTTTGATACTAAAGAAATATTAGGGAACTAGGCTTTCATTGAACAATGATGATATAAACCCTCCCATGACCTTTATGCTTTAAGTCCGTTCCATCTTTTCAGAATGTACTTTGGGATCTCTCATCTTTATTCCTTCCCATGCTGCAGGTGCAGCATGGAGGCTGCTGCTGGGAGCAGCGTGGTCTTCCTCATTCCTCCTTTGAAGTAAAGGCTCAGCCTGGAAAGAGGAGCTATGCTTAGGCTGCTTATGCTAGTTTTAAATCTAGGCTTTGAACATTAAAAACAAGCTTTCTGGTATTGCTTGAGGTCCAGTCTAGATCACTTCTAAAAATCACATGGGAAGGGGCCTAAAGCCCTGCAAAGAAATTAAGTAGAAGTTAAGGAATAGTCATTTGCTTGGTGTATCCCTCTGTGAGCTCAATTCACCAAGGGGAACTGAGACAATAGCAGAGAACTAGTGAATGTTAGCGGTTTCTTTACCCTGGCCTGGATTTCATCTATCCTGTCTAGTTGGAAACAAGTGATAGCATGGTAGCAGAAAAAAAAAAAAAAAAAAAAAAAAAAAAACAAGAAACAAACAAACAAAAAACAATTTCTTCTAATAGCCAGAGATCCTCTTTCTAGTTTAGACCTCATCATTTGCTAAACAAGTCACTTTGAGGAAATCAGTTGTTTCCACTCTAAGTGTCACGGTTACCAAATAAGGATAATGATGTCCTGTTGGAATTGTTGTTCAAATGCAACAAAGAATGTAAAAATAGTCAGGAAATGTAAGGTACTGAAAATTACTAAGAATGGCGGGTTTTATTTGACAACAATGTGTCTTTCCTATTAGATGATAAATCTCCTTGAGAGAAAGTATTTGCTTGATACTTGTTTGCACCCCATAGAGGGATGGGGAGGTCTGGGGGTAGGCTGGTCCAGCACCATAACATCATAAGGTAACATTCAATAATTACGTGTAGATGGATTGCCCATCTTCATGCTCTTGCTGAATGGGAATATACTCAATATTGTGTTTTTACTTAAGGAGGAAAATTTCAGGCAATTATTTAACAAGATGATCAGGTTGATGCCAGAATTTCAGCTGTCAGCTTCATCTTCCTTCTAAACTAAAAATGACATCCTCCCTTCTTTTCTTGAACTAAGTTTTCTGCAGACTGTTAGAGCAACTCCAGGGGGTGTGGTTATAATGAGGCGTTGCCTCCCTGGGGCCTCAGGCATTGGTTCTGTGCTCAAGCTTTACCCCCTGGGTATGATTCCATCTTCATAACTTCCTCCTCTTCTCTACTCAGCCCCATCCCAACAGTTCAGACATTCTCACCACTTACTCATTTAAATAAAATAACACATTTTAAATGATTGCAAAATTACAAGTTAATTATGTCTTATATTTTGTAAATGCAATTGTTTCAGGCACTTTAATCCCAGCCTTTCTTGGGAATATTAGATTCGATGCTGCTGTCCTCAGTTCTGCCTCTGAGGTAGCAGGCTCAGTAATCAGCAAGCCTACTGGAGAGCCCAGTGCCAACAGAGGATGCAATTCAATTAGCTCAAATCTTTTTGAGTTTTACAGCCTAAGTGGAGGAGACAAATCCCAGGAGCCCCTCTCAGGAAATCAGGATATGCGCAATGATGCAAGAAGCCTGAGATTTCCAGGGTCACTTTTTGATTACTGTTTAGTATGAGGTGCAAATAACTTTGAAGAAATGAAACCCCCGAGTACACTTACTAAGTGTAGGATGATCAGGCCCCCTACAATGGTGGTTGATACATGGTCTACATAGGTCGCTGTAAGAATATTGCTAATTCCACGGGGAAATTTGTCTAGAATCAGTTGAAAGAGGGATTGCCCACCTTCATGCTTTTGCCTATTTTCTGATTTCTAACATTACCAAAACTGAACTAAATGCACAGGTATTTGAAGAACTTCCTAGTTTTCTTTAAAAATGATGACACTTTGGAAAGCTTTAGCATACTTTCCAACTAGTAAGCAACACTTTTTAGTTCTTACAAAGCACTCCATAGTAAGCTAGGCGTGTTGTGGGTATCTTTAAATTAGGTAGTCAATGACCTACACCATTTGAAAAAAAAAAACAAAACAAAAGGAAAACAATGAATGAAGGCCAAAAACACCATGACCATGAAATGTTACAAACCCCCTTTGCCCAATAATAAGGATTGTTATTATTTCATTTTTTAAAGTTATTGCACACTCCCTCTCTTACAGCACTTAATATGTAATAGACACTCAACGACTGTTGGATAAACATATGAGTAAATGATAAATAGTGTGGGGCAAACTAAAAGTACTCAACAAGATAAGAGCTGAAGGAAATGATTGGTACCCAAAGTAGAATAGTATATCCAGGAGTTGGTAGAGACCTGGCAGAACATCATGATATTGCTACTTTAAAAAAAAAACACACACACAAACAGCTTCATTGAGATATAATTTACATATCATACAATTCACCCATTTAAATTATGTTCTACAATATTTTGTGGTATATTCATAGTCTTGCACAAGCACAATATAATTTTAGAACACTTTAATTTTTCAAACAAGAAGTCCTGTATCCATTAATCATCACTTTCCATTCTCCCCACCCCAACCCCGGTCCTAGGCCACTGATGATCCTCTTTCATTATAGATTTGCCTAACCTGGACATACCATACAAATAAAGTCATAAAATATGTGATCTTCTTCAATTTATCATGTTTTTAAGATCCATCCATATTTTAGCATATGTTAATATTTCATTCACTTTTTATAGCCAGGTAATATTCCATTTCTGGATTCACATTTATCCACTCATCAGTTGATGGACAATTGGATTATTTCCACTTTTTAAACTATTGTGACTAATGCTGCTATGAAAATTTGTATACAAATTTGTGTAGATTATGTTTTCATCTGTCTTGGGCATATACCTAAGAATGGAAATTCTGGGTAATATGGTCACTCTATGTTTAACCTTTTGAGGAATCACAAAACTCTTGTCTAAAATGACTTCATCATTTTATATTTCCATCAATAACATATGGGCATTCTACTTTCTCAGCATTCTTGCTAATATTTTTTATGATCAGTCTCTTTGATTATAACCATTCTAATGGATATGAAGTGGTATCTCATTATAATTTTGATTTGCATTTCCTTAATGCTTGATGATGAGCAGTTTTTTCATGTGCTTATTGATAATTTTTATATTTTCTTTGGAAAAATATCTATTCAAACAGTTTACACTTTTTTTTTATTTGGGTCACTTGTCTTTTTAAGATTGAATTGTCCAAATTTTTTATATATTCTTGATGAAATCCCCCATTAGATGTACAATTTTCAACTATTTTCCCTGAGTTTAAGTTGTCTATTTATTCTCTTGATGGTATTGTTTTTAGTTCAATAGTCTCTAATTTTGATGTAGTTCCAATTCATCTCTCTCTTTTTTTGTTTTTGGCACTATTGGTGTCGTAAGTAAGAAACTATTGCTTAATCCAAGATCATGAAGATTTATGTTTTCTTTGAATAATTTTAAGGTTTTAAGTCTTACTTTTAAGTTATTTATCTGTTTTTGAGTTAATGTTTGTTTATGGTGTTAGGTAGGGGATCCTAAATTCATTATTTTGCATGTGGATATTCAGTCATTCTAACGAATTTTCTTGGCACCCTTGTTGAAAATCAGTTAGTCATATGAAATGGGAGAATTCCCTGACCCCCATCGCAGAATGTGCAACAGGGGTGTGGCTTATCTGTTTGGCCGCCACTTGCTCAGACCCCTTACAGGAGGGGAACATGCAGATGGGCAGATACAGGAGCTGGGAAGAGCACTTTTGGGCTCCATCCCCACAGTAGCATCTAGAAGTGGGTGCCCGTGACTCCTGAAGTCCCAGTGGGCATGTTACAGTGCTCTTTTATCTCTGCCATCTGCAGACGGCTTAAGTGTTAACCAGCTCAGTGCCCTCTTGGTACCCGGGTTCTTGTCTGGCATCCAGGAGGAATCAGGTCACACGGACAAATTAAAGGATGGCAAATGCCAGGCATTTTATTGCCAGATGGAAGTGGCTCTCAGCAGGATGGATGGGGAGCTAGAAAGAGGATGGAGTGGCAAGATGATCTTTCCCTGGAGTTTGGCCATCCCGCGGCTGATTTCCTCCCTGACTGTCCCCAGCCAAACTCCTCTCGACATTCAGACGCTCCTTCTCTGCCTCACTGCTCTGCTACTCTGCAGCTCTTCTGTTCCTCTGCTCTTCTGCTCATGGAGCCTGGGGCTTGGAGTTTATATGGGTACAGGGTAAGGGGGTGTGGTGGGCCAAAAGCCAACGTTTAGGCACAAAACCAAAATTGCCTGTTCCCTTTTAGGGCCATGGGTTTCCAGGCTTAAGGGTGGGGACTTTGCAGGGGAACCACCTTCTTCCACCCAGTATTTCCCTGTCTCCTGTCCATATCACATACATGTAAGGCTTTATTTCTTGATTCCTAATTCTAATCCAGTACCCTATTTGCACATTCTTATACCACAGTGTCTTGATTGTGTTAGCTTTGTGGTGAGTTCCAAAATCATGAAATGTGGCTTCCTCCAACTGTTTACTTCTCTTTCAAGATTCTTTTGGTTATTCTGGGTCCTTTGCATTTACCTAGGAATTTTAGGATCAGATTGTCAATTTCTGCAGAAAAAAAAAAAACTAAAAAACCCAACTGGGATTTCACCAGGGATTGTGTTAAATCTGCAGGTTAATTTAAGTAGTATTGACATCTTAACAACAGTAAATCTTCTGATCAATCACCATGGGATATCTTTTCATTTATTTAGATCTTTTTAAAATTCCCCCAATAATATTTTGTAGCTTTCAGTATATGTCTTATACTTTTGTTAAACTTATACCTAAGTATGTTATTCTTTTTGATGCTATTTCAAATATAATTATTTTCTTAATTTCATTACAGAATGTTCATTTCATTGCCAATGTAGAGAAATACAATTGATCTTTGTATATTGATCATGTATTCTACAGCCTTGCTTAACTCCTTTATTGGTTGTAATTATTGTTTTTGTTTATTTCTTAGTATTATGTATTTATCATGATGGTTCTTAAAGCTTCCATCTGGGTGGAACTTATGTCACGATGTTAACGTTCCATTTGCCAAACCATCTTACCTAGATAAGCCTCAAGTGTTTATGCATTCATTTCATTTTGTCACACAGAATATTGACAGTATGAGTAGTCAATGGTCAAAATTTCATAACATTAATAATTTTATTATTTTATCAAATTCCATTTTATGTGGAATTTTATTTTATTTTATTATTGTTTTAGATGGAGTCTCACTCTGTCGCCAGGCTGGAGTGCAGTGGCACGATCTCGGCTTACTGCAATCTCTGCATCCCAGGTTCAAATAATTCTCCTGCCTGAGCCTCCTGAGTAGCTGGGATTACAGACATGCACCACCTTATGTGGAATTTTTTATAAGCACCTAGCAGTGATTGCAATGATGATACACAGAGTTTATTTCTACTACACTGATTCATGCCTTCATTCAGTTTTACCCCTTATAGATTAGAATAAATGCCAACACAGTGACAAAGGCAAATAATATTTTGGTATTAATATTAAAATAGTTTTCACCTAGTGGGCCCATTGAAAGGACCTCAGAGACTGCTGGATGTCTGTGGACCCCACATTGACAACTAAGAATTGCTCCAGTATACTTCGGGCGATTTTAGAAGACAGGAGGTTCTTCAAGTTGACCAAAGGTGTGATAGTATATGTGGAAGCAAGCAACATGTGTTTATTTGGACTTTAAGAAAAACAACTTTGCTGAAAAGAAGGCTGCATATTTGAAAAGATCCTATAGAGAAAGAAAGAATGAGGACAGATAAAATATTCAGAGGATATTAGTTTAGTATAGCAGGGAATAAGCAGCCTTGATGGTTGGCAATAGTGTTCAGGAATCTAGAGACTGATTTTTGTTGTTGTTGTTGTTGCTTCATTGGTTTGGTTTCTGACCCCTGAATCAAGTAGAGTTAAATGGCCTCAGAGTTATCTTGTCATCCATTAACCCAAGTTTAAGGCGCTTATACATATATGTAGGTGTTCAGCCCACGCTGTATCTTAACTGGCTTTAGAACTTGACTTGGTAAGTGATGGAGGCCCCAGGAGTAACCCATGTGCTGTAAGGACATCCCTCTGGGCCTCTGACAGTTATGGATTCATATTATGTTAAGGCACAGGGTAGTTAATTCAATTCTAAAAATAAGCAAATACTTTAAAAGGAGTTCAAAGAAGTATAAAGCTATATAATAAGGGGCATTCAAACCTGTAGTTCCTCCCCAAAGGAAAAAACAAACTCAGAACTGTCAATAAAATGAAAAAAGCAGACACTTTAATGAGAGAAAAACACACTACCATCTTTAAAGAAACGAAATCCCATTATATTCCCTGTAGGGCTATAGAGATCAAATCGCCTGATGTTGTCCAGCTCTGTGGATTTGATCTGGAGCTTCAAAGCTTTGAAAATACTCATTCCTCCTTCTGTGGCATAGTCAGGACTTAACCCATCAAGATGTATGAAGTCTCCAGAGAGGCACTGAGACGGATAGTGAGAGAGTGGACAAGACTGTGTTTTTCAGCTTCTTCCACACTGAAGATGTAGGAAGGGGTAGATTTGTGGCAGCCAATCCACCAAACAGGAAAACCCAACCTTTCTTACTGATAAAGGGGATGTCTGATAACCCACATTCTGAACATCCATAGTCTCTCATTCCACTTCTATTTATCCACTTTTAAACTGACTATTTTATCAGGTAAGAGAGGTCATACTCAAGGGGTCCGACTATTGATCTTATATTTCTATTTGTGTATGCGTAGTCAGGTAGCCTAAGGCTATGCATTATTCCTTAATGTGTTGACAGCAAATTGTACCTATCTGCGGGGAATGGGCTATGTCTACAAACTAAGGTAGTGGGCAGATGAAGGCACTTACATTTTCTTGAGTAGTTTCCCATCCTTACTTGGTGACAACAAACAAGATCGACAATGGGTATGTTCCTACAACATATGATAGGTATGGAGAGCAATATGTCCAATGGAGTGTTCTTGAAAAAAATTTCCCTCTAAAACTAGCACACTCTTAGATTTTTCCCTTGCGTTCATGTTTTCGATCTTCCTCTCGTTGGTCTCTGGTACGTATTTAGCCCAGTCACACTCAGAAAGATGGAGACGGGACTTTCATTTTTAATCCCTCTATGGTTTTAACTGTTTTCTGTTTTTGTTTTTACTGAACTGGATATAGTAAAAAAAAAAAAAGAAATAAAGGTAATTTCTTAAGGCTTTTATTTTTCTGCAGAAGCAAAGATTGCTTTGCTAACCTAGAGACCTAGGAGACTCACAAAATCAAATTATATCTTTCTCAGCTCCTCTGGGTCCCTTTAATTTAGGTAGAGGCAGTGGGTATAATCCCTAATATATACATTATAGGCTAAAGGTATAAACTAGTACTATGGAATAGCGGCACACCACTGGGTTTTGAGTCAGAATTTCAGCATTGTTTGCTACTTTCACTTAAATAATCTAAATTTCAGTAACTCAAAATAAAAATGAGGCAACTGATACATATTTCAAAGATGTGTTCTGGTAAGAATAAAAGATGATGTGGATCAAAAGGCTGGTAAACTAAGAATAACTACAAAATCTATGTTGTGAATAATTTCTGAGGAAGAATTGTAACTTTGTATGAAACCTAATTTATCTTCCTCATGTAAAATGTGCAGTGGGGCTCCCAGGTAGGCAGCAGTTACCATGTGAAAGTAAATGACGTGTTTTTTTGCTAGTCCTCAGCATTGTTTTTATGCATCGTTTGACTCCCATGGAAGCTAGGATAGCAATGTCCTGACGAGGACATTCTGAACCATGCATGCACTTAGGGCTCAAGTGTAGGCTTGAGAAAATTTTGGGCCCCTATTGGGAATTCAGGGCCTCTGTGAGGAAATCTATTATGGAGAAATGAGTCAGGCAAAATAGATGGACTTGAAAGCCAGGCAGAAGAATAAAATAGTGAAATGTTTCAAATCACAATGTGGTGACTTTTGTTAAATTCCACCCAGACTCAGCCCTCCTTGTGTTCTGTGTGTGCCTTAGGGAATGAACAGCTTTGTACCTGATAAGTGTAAATCTCAGGGCCCAAGCAAATCTACTGAAGTGTCTCTCTCTAAAGGCAAAATAGAGGA
Source organism: Homo sapiens (assembly GCF_000001405.40). NCBI lineage: Eukaryota > Metazoa > Chordata > Mammalia > Primates > Hominidae > Homo > Homo sapiens. The sequence continues at coordinate 127,859,744 of NC_000011.10, forward strand.
AAGAAAGTTGGCTTCTAAATTGAGGGTCAGGGGTGGGAAGAGCAACAGTAGCCTGAATTGGCAGCAGTGGGAGCCCTGGGACAGCCCTACAACACTCTGCCTGATGGCCATCAAACCACCGTAGTGAGGACAGAGGTTCACCAGAGAATGCTGTCTAAGTCAGGCCATTCCCATTGTGTACTTAGTAGCCTCAAGAAAGCTGTGGTTACAGCCTGCGAGATATTAGTACCAAGATAGACAGAGGTCCCTGGAGAGATTAAAAGCTTAGAAGTTGGTGGCAACATGACAACAGCAGCTTATGCCAAACAGAAAACAGTGGGCTGTAGTAGGCAACGGAAGAAACGTGGGCCCTGGCCAAGAAAGTCTCCGGAGAATAGTTCTGAGCATGGTGACAAATGAAGCAGACACTCAAGAAAAGATTCATGATTCATACTCAGAACAGAATGGAAAACCGGGTCTTAGCCTAGACAGATAGGACTTCAGAGCACAGATGAGACATCTATAGAAGACTGACTGTATATTAGCAGGGCGGAGCCTCAAAAGTAAGCATTCAGGTCATCCAGGTGACATAACATTACACAGATCATTAAACTCAGCCCCACCAATATGTACTGTGCACCATTTATGTAAAGTCACTGTGTAAACAGATTCAGATAAAGAAAATCATGTAAAGTAATCTCTTTCTTCTCTTAGAAAGAAAACTCCTGAGTTCTCAGACCTACCTATCTCAGATGCTGTTTCATCTCATTGAGTGGAACAGTACCCAGTAGACAGTAAGTACTCAATACGTATTTATGGAATGAATAACTAAATGACCAGATGAAATCACAAGGCAATGTAGTAAATAAAACAATGTGAAGAGGAAATAGGTAGGAGAGAAGAATGTCTATTGAGAAAACGGAAGGTGTCAGAGAAGCTTTGCAGAAGAGATAATGAGTAAATCATTTTATTTTTAAATAATAATTCGTCAGATAAATCAGTACCAGGGCAGGAGCTAAAAAAATAGAGCATTTTATGGGCATGGAATAATGTTTATTAAGGTATACGTTTAAAGAATTACTAGAGAAATTACCTAAGATCTTACTCATTAAAGAACTATTGATTATTATACCCCCTGAAATAATGGCTGCCAACAGAAATCCTTGGGTAACTATTTATTTGTTGGCAATTCACTAGGATGAGAAAAGCCCATGGAATTCGTTAATAAGATTGATTTATTTGTCCAGAGCACTCATTTTAATTCTTTCAATTTCCTGGATGAACCCCTTCAGGGAAAGAAAATGGTTTTTACAGGTCCACTGAAAATTGCCTTGAAGTTTGAAAAGAAGGCCAAGGTGTCTAAACATCCAGTCCTGGCTCTTCAGATTTTTGTCAAATCCTCTTGTGCATCAAGTTATGCATGTGATTTTCTACAGTCTAGATGTAAATTATGAGGACTGCCTTTCCAAGAAGGCTTTTCTTCTTAAAAGGATTCGGGGACATTAATCACCCTGTCTTATAAGGTACCATGATTGATGTGGTTGGTCCTCTGGCATGCAAGATTATTAGCATGGACATTCCTGTTCACCTTTCTTGATGTCATACAGACTTATTTTTCTGGAAAACCCAAGTTAATAAAGATTATATCCCGCTCCCGAGTACAACCACTGCTACTGACAAAGAAAGAAAGTTCAAGCTTTGCTAATGTCATTGTCAAATTGGATTTGATTTATTTAGAAAGGCAGTTGAGCTGGAGAGATGGCCTAAGTTAAAGTTGGGGAATTAGCTTGTTATTGTAGCTTCTCTAGACAATTATTTTTTTCTGCCTTATGTATGTAAGTATAGACCAACATTGTCTCTCAGTTTTCAACTTTGGAAACTGAGAATAGAAAAACCTTAATTATAACCAATCATGCGAAGTTAAAATCAAAGCCAAGACATGTAGCCAAAGAGTGGACCGCAAAGATAATGTTTAATCATGTCTGAGACTCAGTTTGATCTTGATGAAAGTAGAGAGGTAGAAGGAAGAGAGCGTTTTAACTTACTGCTTTAAAATTCTGGGTGGAACTGGCTGGGCTGCATGCCTGTAATCTCAGCACTTTGGGAGGCAGAGGCAGGTGGATCACCCAAGGTCAGGAGTTTGAGACCAGCCTGGCCAACATGACAAAACCCCGTCTTTACTAAAAATACAAAAATTTTCCAGGCGTAGTAGCACGTGCCTGTAATCACAGCTACTTGGGAGGCTGAGGCAGGAGAATCGCTTGAACCTGAGAGGTAGAGGTTGCAGTGAACCAAGATCATGCCGGTTGCAGTGAGCTGAGATTGTGCCATTGCACTCCAGCATGGGCAACAGAACGAGACTCTGTCTCAAAAACAAGCAAACAAAATTCTGGGTGAAACTATGTACTCAACAGCACCATGTACCAAAACATAACCCAATCTGGGGACTTGTGGAGATGAATGCTCGGGAATTTCTGTGATGATTTTTAAATCCTTTTTGTTGTCTTCAAGATATTAAAGATTATCAAAGATTATTTCTTCTGTAAATTATTCATAGTCATACCACAAAATGTGTTAATAATGACTAAAATTCATTAGGATTCACTGGCTCATGAAAACAAAGGAGATCCATTAACAATGATTAAAAATTTTCATTACCATCTACAAAACAACCCAATCACTTGAAACAATCTCTCCTGGCCAAAGTCTTTCCCACTTATTACTTGGAGGCCATGGGGGTACTTGTATGGCAGACATACCTGACAGCAATATCTTAAGCATAACCTGAGAATGACCCTACAATCTAAGAAGAGCGTGTTGTTGGTTCCTAGCTAAGGAATCTAGGGGTGGCCAGCCTGAAGATTCATTCCTTATCTATGAGAAACATCTGAATGCCCAGCCCATCCCATGGAATGTAAGCCACACGGGTTGGAGTCCCTTTGTTTTGGGATGGTTGCCAGGTGGAGGTTGCTAGGGGGAGGGTGCTAAGTGAAAATGCTATATAACTGAATTTTTTAAATGATATTAATACTTTATTGTTTAAATATGTTTTTATTTTTTTATTATTATTATACTTTAAGTTCTAGGGTACATGTGCACAACATGCAGGTTTGCTACATAGGTGTACATATGCCATGTTGTTTTGCTGCACCCATCAACTCATCTTTTACATTAGGTATTTCTCCTAATGCTATCCCTCCTCCAGCCCCCAACCCCCCAGCAGGCCCCAGTGTGGTGTGTGATGTTCCCCTCCCTGTGTCCATGTGTTCTTATTGTTTAACTCCCACTTATGAGTGAGAACGTGCAGTGTTTAGTTTTCTGTCCTTGTGATATTTTGCTGAGAATGATGGTTTCCAGCTTCATCCATGTCCCTGCAAAGGACATGAACTCATCCTTTTTTTTGTGGCTGCATATTATTCCATGGTGTATATGTGCCACATTTTCTTTATCCAGTCTATCATTGATGGACATTTGTGTTGGTTCCAAGTCTTTGCTATTGTGAATAGTGCTGCAATAAACATACGTGTGCATGTGTCTTTATAGTAGTATGATTTACAAATCTTTGGGTATATACCCAGTAATGGGATGGCTCGGTCAAATGGTATTTCTAGTTCTATGTTTTTTATAAGGGATTGTGGTTTTCCTATCCAGCCCACTGCCAGTGGATTGCCTTATATGTAAGTCACCTCAATAAACCTTTGTCTTGTTCACTGGCTCTGGGTCTCTTTTTTGGCCTCTCGAATATGGTCCCATCTCTACAGAAGTCAGTAGTGGTGCTGCACAACAGTACTTCACACCTCTTCACCAAGAGCCCTATGGTATTTTCCCTCCAGCTTTCTCCAGTGTCACATTGACTTAAGTAACCCCTTTATAACCAGGAAATCCTATTTAAGAAGAAGATTAAGACCTATCCATGTTTTTATGTGGTAAGATTATATCAATTAAAAAATGACAATGAAGAGATTTTAATAGTGTCTGTAAGCCTTTGCGAGAACTTTTGTTTTTACTTTTTAATTTCTTCTCTTTTTTTTTTGTTTTTTATTGTTTGTTTGTGTGTGTATGTGTGTGTGTGTGTGTGTGTGTATTTTGTTTGGTTTTGTTTTTACCATGAAGGCCCTTAGGGTTTTCTATGACACTACCAAGTACTCTAAGATAATATTGGCTGTCACCCTCTGAAGAGGCAACCTAGTGCATCGTACGGAGATGGGGAAGTCTTCTGCCAATTCAAAGGAGAGTGATCATGGGTAGGAACTGTGCCAAGGATTTACATATTTTTTCATGTAAAGATTAGAGCTTAAAAAGAAGCCTGCCATCCCTAGTTAATTCTGTCTCTCATATTTTCTCTTGTTCTCACACTAACTTATTTGTGTGCACATACAGACACCCATGGATAGACACACAGGAACACATGGTACCGGGTGAATAATAAGACAGTTTTCCATAATCCAAGCAAGAAAGCCAGGCTCATCACTTTATAGGCTGTCCTTTTACTATGAAATTCTTTGTTCTCTATCCCACTAATGTTTTCTTTTTACTTCCTGCAATCTCTAGATCTCTAGCTTACTTTTTTTTCTTCTAGGGTTTAAATTAGCCTTCTGAAAATCCCTAAGGTAGGAAAAAAGAAACCTCCTCAGGAGAAAAAGTGAGGACCTTGTATCCCTAAACTTTGATGAAAACTCTGCTTCCCAGGCAGCAGTGCCAGGCTTACAAACAAGCTATAAAACCAGGGGATGCACCGGAGACAGAACTGTCTGTCCCCATCCCCACCTCCCCATGCCTGGCTACATATTTCTAACCAGGTTTCACTGCCAAAACAATGCTCCTTGGGCATCTGAGTAGGAAATGGAAGTGTCACTTAGAGGTTAAAGACAGCAGGGATTAACAACTGTTAGATATTTAGTGGCAAGGTCAGCATTTGTGCACCACAGAGATGGGTATGAGGAGAAAGGAGTAGGGAGTGGGGGTAGCAGTGAAATCTGCCCAGTTAATTCATCTCCCCTGACTGGCATATTGTTCTCATGGAAACCTACATTACTGGCACCATTTTCTCTGAATCCACAATCAAATAAGAAGGAAAGCAGTAAATGATCGGTATTCCTATTTTACTGGTTTAAATTATTTTAATATGACTTACATTATTTTACTGTCAATTATTATTGCTAATAGATTTTAAATTATATTGCTAAATTATTATTGTTTATTTAAGGAAAAAAATGGCATGATGCCTTTTCTGCAAGAAGGGTGGAGAGCCTCCGGCAAGCACCATTCAAATCTAATTTATACATTTGTGGAAGGATGAAGCCAAGACTCTCCTCAGGCCATTGACCTAAACTGGATTTCAGAGATGAGAATCTCACTTGTATAATTCAAAAGGCAATCTGTGTGCTGTTACAGCTTTAATTTTTTAAAGATTTGGCTTTTTACAAGAAACTCTTTACCTTCTACTTTGTCTTCTGTGTCTCAGCTTCTTTCTTCCTTGTCCCAGAACATGTGTCTATTTATACCGCCCCACTCTGGCATGAAGGTACACTCAAAAAGACTGTAACCTAGATAATAATTGTTGGTTGCAGATTTTTCAATTATGACTTCACTTATTTCTCTAAGGAGTACTTAGGACTCTTCTTGGCTGCTGTTTGGTTCTTTCTGCAATCATTGCAGGCAAGAGGGTAAAATGGCAATGCATTAAATTTTTTTTAATAAAAATGGAGATGAAAGACAATCCCTGTAGACAATCCCTTCATTTCCAAAAGAGGATAGAGGGGTGAACTTATAACAGCCAAAGAAAGCTCAGTAGTCAGGAAACTAATAGCCTGAGAGTAGGTGACACTGCCATTCAGATCCACAGAAAATAATAGAAAAGCATCTGCATCGATAAGAACTCCCAGGAATAAAAAAGGAAGTATGATTCTCCTATAGGATCCATTAAGAAACTTTTTGCTCCAAGTTACTGAGGCCCTTTCAGTAATCCTGATGAGCAACATGAAGGTGAAATGGCACAGGGAAAATGAAGTTATAACAAGTTAGAGAAAATGTCTACAAAATTCAAAATTTGCACATTTCATCTCATCTTAGTCATGCTCCTACTGTGTGTTCTGGGAAAAAGGAAATTCTTCCTCTTTTGCAATGTTCACATCTTTAGAAAGGTATGTTAGGAAATTAGAAAATTTTAAATTGTCTTTCTCTCCACTATCACTATCCTCTCTACATTTTATTCACTTATTAACTTCCATTCCTTCTGCTTCTGTCTTGCTTTTATTTTTCCTAAGTCATCTTCCTTTGCAGACCAGAAAATCTGCAAAGGCAATAAAGGAAATAAAGGGATCATCATTAGCACTGCTGGTAGAAAGAGTGAGCTCACAGGCTGCATGAAAGTCAGAGTTGATAACGATTTAATCAAGCTGAGAAAAACAAGTGAAGACTAGAATGCTAAATAATTATCTATAAATGTGAAGTCTTGCATATAGGTCAAAAATCAATTGAATCAGTAAAAGATAAAGAAAAAAAATCCTTGGCTAGCAGGAGGTGAAAATGATGTGGCAATGTTAGCTGATGTTAAATGTAATAGGAGTCATCAGTATGATGTGTCATCTATGTAAGATAGAACAGAGTCTAGAACAAGGGAGGTAAAATCTCATTTTGCTCCATGCTGGTCTGACTGTATCTAGAGTACTCGGTACATATTGTGAGCATCACACTTTAAGAAGACTCAGAGAGAAGAAGTGAGATTTTATAGAAGAGTAAATAGAATGGACACATGAAAGAGGGATGTTCTATCTGATAATGAGAAGACATACCATTATGAGGAACAGCCAGAAGCCTGACAGCCGCCTTTTAGGTTTTCATTACTTCCAGAGCTGAAAAGCCAGCAAACTGGTGCTACTCTAAAGAGTAGAACTAAGGCCAGAGATGGGCAACTATAAATTTTAAAATGCTATTATTTAAATTATTTGGACCTTTGAACCTAATAATCCATGAGTCTTCGTTTTCCCTCTGTGTCTTTAGGGAAATAGGTTCATATATTATACCTCAGTTTTTCCATCATGGAAGTGAGAATCAATGAGCCAAATTTATGGGTTTTTAAAAAATGTATGCTTTGTAAAATATTTTGAAGTGAACACAATGGTATGTATATGCCAAGAATTAATTAACACCAGACTCTGCAGTTCGCCTTAGGAAACTAGAGGGTTCTTAGGGTTCCAGGGATGTGGCTGGGAAGGCAGAAAGTAATGAGAACGTGCTCTCCACTCTTCAGGCATATTGCCACTTTTCAATTATTTATGCAGTTTAATCCTATTGAAAAAGCACATTTTCCAAAGAACACCCTCAGGTTCTCTGCATGCTGGAGCTGGCAAAAAGTAATATGGGAAAAATGGGAGTGAGGGTTGTGCTTAAAGGAGCTCATCTGACCTTCCTCAAGACCCTTAGTATTAAAATAGGCAGTTTGCTTAGCTAATAATAACTATGCTCGGGATTTGTCACCTACAAAGAACTTTAATTAATCCTCATAACACCCTGATGGGCTGCAGAAGGTAAGTGTTATTATCTCCACTTCATATGAGAAAAACGCAGGCACAAACAGAGAAGGGAAATGGCTTACGGAGATAGCAAACATAAAGTTAAATTTAGCACTAAGGAATACCTTAGGCCACGTGCCTTCCTGCCATAGAGTCCCTTCAGTAATGAATCTGGGACAGAACATGTGGGGCCACTCTTAAAAGCTATAGAGGCAGGTGGAAGGCCACAGCCAGACCAAAATGTGTAACTTGAGACATACAAAGGGAGAAAAGGATAAAGAGTTAAAAATCTAGGACAGGAAATTTCATAGAAAAGGAAGGGAAACAGTGACACTCTCCAGTTTTGGCCTGAGCATATAAAATTATTTGCCTCTGAAGCCCTGAGATCCTAGGCCAAAATAAAACAAAACAAATAAAATTAAACATCACGATAACTTCAAAGCCTTCGTTTCTACATAAGCAGGAACTGAGGAGGAAACTGAAGCATTGGGCTGCCTAGGTATATGATCATTGCAATGTCTCTAGGTGGATGGATGAGTGCCTGGGGAGCAGCATAGACTGATCTCTTGCTTCTACTTCTAAATCATGGACTTCCCCTATCATCTACCTAACAATGTTGGACCCTGCAATTTCAACCTGTGAATTTTGTGATACTTATTATATGCAGTTTTCAAGCTCTCTTTAGTTTGCTTTTTCTTAGGTGGAGAAAAGACTCATTCAAGTTGATGTTGATAGTGGATATCACCCCATCAGATACTATGATCATAAGATTAGAGCTTGGAGAGCCCCAAAGAGTACCTGGTCTTCTTTTTCAAGCTGAGGATACAGAAAGCCCAGAAAAAAACATGATTTGCTGAAGGTTACCTACATAGTGAGTAAATGCATGAGAATGAGAAGCCAGGTATTTTGCTTTCTGTGATCACTCTTATCAGAGGAAATTCTTATGGTTGCACTTATGACAGCTGCATTAAGAGTCTGTACAATGGAAAGCTTTGGAGGAGCTGTTAAACATATGGAGTCTAAGGAAATGAGAGTCAGAGAGACGGCTTCAACTTATCCCTTATCTATAACTTGGCAGTAGAGCTTTCAAGAGCTCCAACCGCCAAAGCTATGGTTTGCTTTCTGAATTGCTGAAACCACAGTGAAAAAGGAGAAATAACAGGAGTGTACAGATTTTTCTGTGTTCTTTGGCTTTCACATTTATCTGGTCCAATAAATTCAACAGGTATTTCACTGCAAGTTGAAGTTGAATGATAATGTACAACTATGAGGTATATTTTCTCAGCCATTTCTCTGAAATAGAGTGAATAATGTTAAGAGAATCTCTCAAGGATCATCTTGTACCTTCTGAGTTTCTACAAATAATATATTAAAAAAAGTAAAAAAAATTATCAGAAAAGACCAACCTTATCTTTTTTTTATTTTTTTATTTTTTATTACTATTATTATACTTTAAGTTTTAGGGTACATGTGCACAATGTACAGGTTAGTTACATATGTATACATGCGCCATGCTGGTGCGCTGCACCCACTAACTTGTCATCTAGCATTAGGTATATCTCCCAATGCTATCCCTCCCCCCTCCCCCAAACCCACAACAGTCCCCAGAGTGTGATGTTCCCCTTCCTGTGTCCATGTGTTCTCATTGTTCAATTCCCACCTATGAGTGAGAATATGCGGTGTTTGGTTTTTTGTTCTTGTGATAGTTTACTGAGAATGATGATTTCCAATTTCATCCATGTCCCTACAAAGGACATGAACTCATCATTTTTTATGGCTGCATAGTATTCCATGGTGTATATGTGCCACATTTTCTTAATCCAATCTATCATTGTTGGACATTTGGGTTGGTTCCAAGTCTTTGCTATTGTGAATAATGCCGCAATAAACATACGTGTGCATGTGTCTTTATAGCAGCATGATTTATAGTCCTTTGGGTATATACCCAGTAATGGGATGGCTGGGTCAAATGGTATTTCTAGTTCTAGATCCCTGAGGAATCGCCACACTGACTTCCACAATGGTTGAACTAGTTTACAGTCCCACCAACAGTGTAAAAGTGTTCCTATTTCTCCACATCCTCTCCAGCACCTGTTGTTTCCTGACTTTTTAATGATTGCCATTCTAACTGGTATGAGATGGTATCTCATTGTGGTTTTGATTTGCATTTCTCTGATGGCCAGTGATGGTGAGCATTTTTTCATGTGTTTTTTGGCTGCATAAATGTCTTCTTTTGAGAAGTGTCTGTTCATGTCCTTTGCCCACTTTTTGATGGGGTTGTTTGTTTTTTTCTTGTAAATTTGTTTGAGTTCATTGTAGATTCTGGATATTAGCCCTTTGTCAGATGAGTAGGTTGCGAAAATTTTCTCCCATTTTGTGGGTTGCCTGTTCACTCTGATGGTAGTTTCTTTTGCTGTGCAGAAGCTCTTGAGTTTAATTAGATCCCATTTCTCAATTTTGGCTTTTGTTGCCATTGCTTTTGGTGTTTTGGACATGAAGTCCTTGCCCATGCCTATGTCCTGAATGGTAATGCCTAGGTTTTCTTCTAGGGTTTTTATGGTTTTAGGTCTAATGTTTAAGTCTTTAATCCATCTTGAATTGATTTTTGTATAAGGTGTAAGGAAGGGATCCAGTTTCAGCTTTCTACATATGGCTTGCCAGTTTTCCCAGCACCATTTATTAAATAGGGAATAATTTCCCCATTGTTTGTTTTTCTCAGGTTTGTCAAAGATCAGATAGTTGTAGATATGCGGTGTTATTTCTGAGGGCTCTGTTCTGTTCCATTGATCTATATCTCTGTTTTGGTACCAGTACCATGCTGTTTTGGTTACTGTAGCCTTGTAGTATGGTTTGAAGTCAGGTAGTGTGATGCCTCCAGCTTTGTTCTTTTGGCTCAGCATTGACTTGGTGATGCGGGCTCTTTTTTGGCGCTGTATGAACTTTAAAGTAGTTTTTTCCAATTCTGTGAAGAAAGTCATTGGTAGCTTGATGGGGATGGCATTGAATCTGTAAATTACCTTGGGCAGTATGGCCATTTTCACGATATTGATTCTTCCTACCCATGAGCATGGAATGTTCTTCCATCTGTTTGTATCCTCTTCTATTTCCTTGAGCAGTGGTTTGTTGTTGTCCTTGAAGAGGTCCTTCACATCCCTTGTAAGTTGGATTCCTAGGTATTTCATTCTCTTTGAAGCAATTGTGAATGGGAGTTCACTCATGATTTGGCTCTCTGTTTGTCTGTTGTTGGTGTATAAGAATGCTTGTGATTTTTGTACATTGATTTTGTATCCTGAGACTTTGCTGAAGTTGCTTATCAGCTTAAGGAGATTTTGGGCTGAAACAATGGGGTTTTCTAGATATACAATCATGTCGTCTGCAAACAAGGACAATTTGACTTCCTCTTTTCCTAATTGAATACCCTTTATTTCCTTCTCCTGCCTAATTGTCCTGGTGAGAACTTCCAACACTATGTTGAATAGGAGTGGTGAGAGAGGGCATCCCTGTCTTGTGCCAGTTTTCAAAGGGAATGCTTCCAGTTTTTGCCCATTCAGTATGATATTGGCTGTGGGTTTGTCATAGATAGCTCTTATTATTTTGAAATATGTCCCACCAATACCTAATTTATTGAATTTATTGAGAGTTTTTAGCATGAAGCATTGTTGAATTTTGTCAAAGGCCTTTTCTGCATCTATTGAGATAATCACATGGTTTTTGTCTTTGGTTCTGTTTATATGCTGGATTACATTTATTGATTTGCGTATATTGAACCAGCTTTGCATCCCAGGGATGAAGCCCACTTGATCATGGTGGATAAGCTTTTTGATGTGCTGCTGGATTCGGTTTGCCAGTATTTTATTGAGGATTTTTGCATCAATGTTCATCAAGGATATTGGTCTAAAATTCTCTTTTTTGGTTGTGTCTCTGCCTGGCTTTGGTATCAGGATGATGCTGGCCTCGTAAAATGAGTTAGGGAGGATTCCCTCTTTTTCTATTGATTGGAATAGTTTCAGAAGGAATGGTACCAGTTCCTCCTTGTACCTCTGGTAGAATTTGGCTGTGAATCCATCTGGTCCTGGACTCTTTTTGGTTGGTAAGCTATTGATTATTGCCACAATTTCAGCTCCTGTTATTGGTCTATTCAGAGATTCAACTTCTTCCTGGTTTAGTCTTGGGAGGGTGTATGTGTCGAGGAATTTATCCATTTCTTCTAGATTTTCTAGTTTATTTGCGTAGAGGTGTTTGTAGTATTCTCTGATGGTAGTTTGTATTTCTGTGGGATCGGTGATGATATCCCCTTTATCATTTCTTATTGCGTCTATTTGATTCTTCTCTCTTTTTCTCTTTATTAGTCTTGCTAGCGGTCTATCAATTTTGTTGATCCTTTCAAAAAACCAGCTCCTGGATTCATTAATTTTTTGAAGGGTTTTTTGTGTCTCTATTTCCTTCAGTTCTGCTCTGATTTTAGTTATTTCTTGCCTTCTGCTAGCTTTTGAATGTGTTTGCTCTTGCTTTTCTAGTTCTTTTAATTGTGATGTTAGGGTGTCAATTTTGGATCTTTCCTGCTTTCTCTTGTGGGCATGTAGTGCTATAAATTTCCCTCTACACACTGCTTTGAATGTGTCCCAGAGATTCTGGTATGTTGTGTCTTTGTTCTCGTTGGTTTCAAAGAACATCTTTATTTCTGCCTTCATTTTGTTATGTACCCAGTAGTCATTCAGGAGCAGGTTGTTCAGTTTCCATGTAGTTGAGTGCTTTTGAGTGAGATTCTTAATCCTGAGTTCTAGTTTGATTGCACTGTGGTCAGAGAGATAGTTTGTTATAATTTCTGTTCTTTTACATTTGCTGAGGAGAGCTTTACTTCCAAGTATGTGGTCAATTTTGGAATAGGTGTGGTGTGGTGCTGAAAAAAATGTATATTCTGTTGATTTAGGGTGGAGAGTTCTGTAGATGTCTAATAGGTCCGCTTGGTGCAGAGCTGAGTTCAATTCCTGGGTATCCTTGTTGACTTTCTGTCTTGTTGATCTGTCTAATGTTGACAGTGGGGTGTTAAAGTCTCCCATTATTAATGTGTGGGAATCTAAGTCTCTTTGTAGGTCACTCAGGACTTGCTTTATGAATCTGGGTGCTCCTGTATTGGGTGCATATGTATTTAGGATAGTTAGCTCTTCTTGTTGAATTGATCCCTTTACCATTATGTAATGGCCTTCTTTGTCTCTTTTGATCTTTGTTGGTTTAAAGTCTGTTTTATCAGAGACTAGGATGTTTAGTATGCTTCATCTACTAGAAGAGTCCAGTGAAAGGAAGAATCAGGTGACATCTCTGATAATTGCCCAGATACCAAAGCCAGGCAGAGACACAACCAAAAAAGAGAATTTTAGACCAATATCCTTGATGAACATTGATGTATGTCCTTTCCTGGAGTCTTATAAGACCCACTGTCTTATAAAGAAATGCCTCTTTAGGAAACTATAGACTTCTAACATAATATATGCATTGTCACCCTTCCCAAACCAACTTGCTTTTTTGCAAAGGTCATTAAAGTGAATCATACATTTATTTTGAAAGTCAGTAGAGTTAGGCTGAATCAAAGAGAGAAACATTTGTCATAGGGTTTAAGTGGGTTTTTTTTTTCATATTTTCTATGGACTTGTTTGGACTGATTATTTTTTCATGTTCACTATCCTAGAAAAATCATCTTCCAAAAGCCAGTTCCATACCTCATACATACTCTCAGCACTTGACTCAATTCTATTTATTCTTAAAGTTTTAACCCTTCTAAATGTCTCTATCTGATTTAATTGCTCCCTTTTTTGCCTTCCCATAATATTTTGTTGATGCAAGTGTCATTAATGTCAATTAAGTAAATGAATGAATTGACCAATGAGCACAATGGCATACTTTACTGTGAGGGTAACGACTCTGGAATCAAAAGAATCTGAGTTTAAATTCTGGCTTTACCATTTGGGAGCTCTTTGACTGTGAGTAAACCCCTTGACTCTCAGTGCCTCAGAACCCTCATCTGTAGAATGGGAATAACAATAGTTACCCTGCAAAGAAGTGATGAGATTTAGATGTCATACACAGAATGCACTCAGCACAGCTTACTTAAAAAGGGGCTCAATAAATGCTATTATTAGCTTACTGTATTATAGTTAATTGTGCATGCAATTTTATTTTATAAGCAATAGAGAGTCGCTGAAGCTTATTAAGCAAGGAAATGGCATTAGAAAGGTGTTTTGGAATCCAAACTAGGAAATAGTAAGGAAATGAAAAGCTAACAAGTAACCTAGATAAATAAGCAAGAACAAAGTCATACACTTAGTTATATCACCCTGGCAAAATGAACACAGCCTGAGAGAAAATGCCTAGTAATTAGCAAAAGCAGTTCCTGGGATCCTTGCCACTTCCTCTATGAAGAGGATTGGAGAACAGGCCAAAGAATTAGAAGACTTGTTTTGTGCTGTTTTTCTCCTACTTAGCAGCTGTGTCCCTAAGTAACCCACCTAGCCCAATGACTGCTCTTGGTTTCTGGGTAGCTTTTTCTTCCTCTATTTCCTGTATCTGAGCATGGAGCTCAATATCATTGCATAACTTGAGCTGAAGACATCCTCCACTCTCTCTATCCCAAAAGTTCAGCAAAAGTCAGTAACATGTAACCCACGCTCCAAATCTCTAATGCTCCTTAGTTGAACTTCAATATTGGTGGTACAAGACAAAAAAATTAAAATTATGAAGATGGGATATTTTACATGTAAAATGTATGATGCTTCCCTTCTGTGGTCAAATTGTAGCATTCTTTTTCAAGGGAAGCAGGGAATATATTTGAATAGGGCATGGTTGTTGAGAGGACTGCCTTACTATTGCTGAATAATAGAGAGGAGAAAAGGAAGGCAGAACAAGTAGAGACTTAAAAGGAAGGATTGGAGTTAGATATTATGGGGGAATGCCTTGAATTTCGGTATGGACATACCGACAGGCTACACAGAAAAGTTCTGAAAATCTTCTTCCCTAACATGCTGAAGAATAGGAGAAAAGAATCTCATACCTCGACAATTTCAGGTCACTAGGGTTGATGTTACCACGGCATTCTTATATAATTATATAATTATATAATATTATATAATTATATAATACATAACTTAAAAATACATTATATGTACATTTATATATAATTTGCTTTCATATACTTATATAGTACTCAATATATAGTCATAAATTATTTATATATATTATTTATATATACTCTATAGATACATATTAAGGTTTTAATGTGTTCCCCAAAGTTCAGGTGTGGAAACTTAATCCCCAATGCAATGCTGTTGAGAGGTGGGGCCTTTAAGAGGTAATTATGTCATGAGGAATCCTTAGAAATGGATTAACGTCTTTGTCCCAGGAGTAAGTTGTCACAGGAGTGAGTTCCTAATTAAAAAAAAAAAAAATGAATTTGGCATCCTTTCTCTCCCACAAGTATGCTTTTTTGCCCTTCTACCAACTGCCATCAGATGATGCAGCAAGAAAGCCCTCGCCCCTCAACATTGGACTTCTCAGCCACTAGAACTGTAAGAAATAAATTCTTATCTTTTAAATTACCCAGTCTCAACTATTCTCTTATAGCACCACAAAAAGGACTTAGACTATATGTATATATATATATATATATATATATATATATATATGTGTGTGTGTGTGTGTGTGTGTGTGTGTGTGTGTGTGTGTGTGTGTTTACATATATACACACACACATATATCTATAAACACAAGTGTATATATGTAATTATGTGTGTCTATATATATTTATACAAACACACACACACACTCAAGTAGAAGTAGATATCTTGCTTACATAAATTTTCAAGCAGGCAGCTGTCATTCAAACAGTGGTTGGAGGATCCCATCTCTACCTTTTTTGGGCTCTATCACCTTGAACTGTAGCTTCCAGTCTCTGTATCCATCTGCAACAAGTCAGCAGAAGGCAAAAGAGCAAGAACAGCTGTGGGGAGAGTTTTTATGGACCAGGCTAGGGCGAGTGTCCTTGGTTTAAAATCCTGCCTACATTCCTTTAATGTTTATGTGTCGTTTTAGTTGACAGCTGTATCCACTCCTGCAAATATTTTTATCCTTTAGTGAACCACATTTGAAAGGTATTCTTGGATTAGAACCTGGGCCAAATAAGTGAGATTTTCATAAACTGCCTTTGTTCTTAGTTCCATGAAATAGTCTGCTATGATAAATAGTAAGCCTTATTAACATCAATCTTTTCAGTTTAGATACAATCTGTGAGGCCTCTCTCTCTGCATGGTTTTGAAAAGGAAATTTTTCCACTGCCTAATTTTGTGATGTACTCTTCTGACTGTGCAAAGAGAAAAAGCAATGCTTCAAAATGGGAATCCAAGAATTCTGTTTTAAATTACACTTATTAACACAATAATTATTGTTAATATTAATACTGTAGTACTTACATAGCATAATTTATTTGCAAACACTTCATAAACACTAGTTTCTAAATAAAATAATAAATTAGCAGATATTAATTACAAAGTCATGAAATGGAAAAGTAGTTGAATTGGGACTGCAGTTTGAGGTTAGAATCCCCATTCTCGTTGGGGTTTCTTTCCCCGACACTGACTCTATCTCTTTGGGTTTTGTAACTTCCTTACTTGAAGAAGGAGGGCTATAAAATCTCAGTGACAAGAATCAGATCCTGTTTGAGCACTAACAATAGTCCACATTAAGGGCCTGCTACATATTCATAGTCTTGGAGAGTGCAGATAAAAATATGACTTTTGAAATTTTGATTTGTGATCATTTCTGAATCCATATGTACTCATTAAATGCCACTGAATACATTTTTAATAATGAGGAGGAATTTGACAAACGACCTGTCTGAGCTGAACAAAGAGATTTCACACAGTGGATTTCACACAGCAGAGAAAATACCTGGAGAGTGTTAAAATCCCATTTGTTGAAGTATATTGTATTATGTTCAAACTATCCATTTTAAGACTGGTTGCTTATAATAATTATTGTCATGGTGCCATACATGCCTATCTTAGTGACTAAAGGGGAAATTTACCCCATATCTGCAAAATAAATAGGTTTGACACAAGTTTTGAGTGCACACATTTCGTAACAATAATTTTACTGCAAGGGAAACTGTTCTTATTGTCACATTAAGCTCTCCTTTAGAACAAAGTTTCAACATTTTTTTCCTTTGTATTTGTAATCTCTTTGTTCTACAAGGAGTCAAATCAATAGAGAAGAAGATAAGAAGTGACCTTCGTATAAATTAAGAAAATAAAAAATGAACCTCTATTAATAATCAAGAAGAAAAAGAGAAAAATCAATATTTATTGAGTTGTTTTGTGCCAGGTACTGTGCTAGGACATTTGTGCCCCAGATTATTTCAAGTTGGGGATGGCAAACAGAGACAAGTTTATTTAGTTAACTTTCCATTATCCAATGGATTCATTTGTTGACTAGTATTACTGTTATTATTATTACATATTATGCATTTTTAAATAATTATAGTCTGGTCTTCTTCTATTAGAAAGTTCAGAACTCTTCATCCTCATACCTCTCAACTGATAATTACCTAGAGAATGCAAATATTTAATTTATAATGTTTAGTTTATAATGGTGTAATTCAGACAGTATACTTGCAAAATAAATAAATCAAGGTGTGGTCCAAACTCAAATAGAAACTTTTTTTATTATTTAATATTTGAATTCTTATCGATGATGCTAAGTTCTATTAGTGTGGCTAACCAGGAGTTATCTGTAGAGATTACTGTATTTCCACCAATTTTGTCTTTTGGGAAGCAGAAGAAAACCACATGGATCTCAGTTATTTAAAGTTCATTTTTAGCAAATAGCAGATATAATTCCAAAATAATTGAAAACTGGTAAAATACAGAAGGCAATGTGGTAAATAGGATAAATATAAAGAAATAGGATTCTGGACCTAGGTAGATGCTTGGAGATCATACGGTCCAGCTTACATTACAGGTTAAAAATTCAGAACAAGCATGTTAAATGATTTGCCCAAATCAAACAGCAGGGGATACCAAAGACTAGCATTCTGAATTTTTTTAAGTAGCTGTTTCATTTTTTATTTCCCTAAACACAACAATGGGCAGATATCTTGCTACTTTATTAACTCTTATTTTTGCAAGTATCAAATACCAAAGGAAAAATGCATTTTTACAGCTAGTAAAACCATGTAAGAACTATTTTGGTTTTGATCCTCAAAAAGTGAAATAACACTAGGGAGAATATAGTGAACAAATAAGAAACTTTGTCCCAAGTTATGGAAGCATTGACAAAACTATTACCAATTATAGCTGAACTTTACTGGGTAGTACCAGAACAAACAGAACAAAATCTCTTATTTATTTATTTATTTAAAAATATCTAATTGACAATAACTGTATGTATTTAATATGTACATGTGATAACTTAATATATGTATACATTGCATAATGATTACCTGAGAATGTTGTTTCTCCACCACATCTCAAAAAGAGATGGTTTATTTGTGAGACTCTATTCCTTCATTCAGAAAATGGGGGAGTATAATCTTTTGTCTTTAGTGACATTTCTAGATGCCTCCCTTCCCCATTTCCTCCTGAAACAAATAAGCAAACAAACAAACATTTATGTTAATGGCATCATCCCTTCCTGTTAACTTTTTAGTAACTTTCTCTGTCTTTCTGAAGACTGGACTTTTTTTCTTTAACATTCAACATCTTCAGTTGTTCTTTAATATAGCTCAATACCCTAATCCCCTCTGTTTCAATGCCCTTTCCTACAATCAGCCAACCAGTCCCCTGGCTGCTGGTTCTGAAGAAGAAACTCACACTCAAACTCACAATGCTTATTCTAGTCTCTTACTCAACAATCGACACAGAAGGCTTCTGTGACCAAATGTGAGGGATGGGGTTTCCCCACACACCCGTCAGTTCTGCAGCAGACACCAGTTGGTGTAGTCCAAGTCAATTCTCACATTATCTACCTGGCAACAGTGTCAGATCCCACCCGTTGAGGGCTCAGTCCCACAAGACTGCCCCACCCTCCATCAGACACCAGTCTGAAGTCTGGGCCTCAGAGAACTTCTGACTGGCTTCTGACACTGGTTTCAAGTTGGGGCTCCTACAACCCCTTCTTTCGATTTCATTAATTTGCTAGATCAGCTCATAGAACTCAGAGAAACACTTATGTTTACCAGTTTATTACAAACACTATTACAAAGGGTAGAGATGAAGAAACACACAGAGTGAGGTAGGGGGAAGACGTGAAGTGCTTCCATGCCCTCCTCAGGCCCACCACCCTCCAGGAACCTCTAGAAGATCTCAGAATCTGGAACTTTTGGGATTTTGTGGAGGCTTCGTTTCCTAGGCATGATTGATTAAACCATTGGCCATTGGTGATCAACTTAAGCTTTAGCTTCTCTCTCCTCCCTGGAGGCTGGGGAGTAGAATTGAAAGTCCCAGCTCTCTAATCCTGCCTTGGTCTTCCTGGTGACCAGCCCTGTCCTGAAGCTATCAGTCATTCACTAGCACACGAAAAGACAGCACTTTCAAAATTCCAAGGATTTTAGGAATTTTATGCCAGGAAATCCGGTCAAATATCAAACATAAGGTTGTCAATATCACACTGGTGTTTCATCTTTGTAATCTTTATACCAAGTATTCCTTTATCTCATTCTCACCCTGCTGCAATTCATATCACGTCTAAATCTCCAATCCGTGAACACCATCAATTCTCTCTATTCCTAACCTCCCTCCTATCTTCACTGTACTCTTTGCCCAGCTTAGATTTTACCATCCATCATCAGATACAATCACTATCTACTATCCCCTCCCTCCTTCCTCTCTTCTACTCCAGTAAAAACTCCAGCTTATCAGAACAAACTTTCCATCTTTTCTGTGCCTGCACTCAAGCAGTTAAATATTACAAGAAAATGGTATGATGGGGATGACTGGATTAAAAATAAATTCATGAATACTAAGCCATAATAGGCAGTAAACATGTTGGAAATCCTACTTTGGCAGAAATTTTGATTTTGTGTTCTTTGATGCATGCTTTCTCCTCTCTCCTTAGACATATCCTACATTCCACACATCCTGGCAGTTGCTGGCGTTGCCTCACATTTCACTGAGGAAATAAAACCCATCAAGCAGGAAATCCTTTACTTCCTTCCACCAAAGCCTCAACCATCTCCTCCAGCATTTCTCTTGTCACGCTGGAGTGACATTTCACCTACTGTTAAACGCTCGTTCCTCCACTTGTGCCCATCATCTTGCACCAACTCAATTTCCTTATTCCTTCAGTAATGTTTCCTCCCATTCATTTATTTATCCAACAAATATGTATATTGAGATTCTATAAAATATAAAAATTCCTTTGGCTTTATGGAGACCACAGAAAGGAACCTGTATTTTGTTTCTTTCGTGAGTTTGACCAGGATGGTGGCATGATGTGATTCACTTTTTTTTTATTTTTATTTTTTGAGATGGAGTCTTGCTTTGTCACCCAGGCTGTAGTGCAGTGGCACAATCTCGGCTCACTGCAACCTCTGCCTCCCAGGTTCAAGCGATTCTCTTGCCTCAGCCTCCTGAGTAGCTGGGACAACAGCTGCGTGCCACCACGCCAGGTTAATTTTTTTTTTTTTTTTTTTTTTTTGTACTTTTAGTAGAGATGGGGTTTCACCGTGTTAGCCAGGTCTCAATCTGACCTCGTGATCTGCCCGCCTCGGCCTCCCAAAATGCTGGAATTACAGGTGTGATGCACCGCGCATGGCCGTGATTCACATTTTAAAAGATACCAGTGCTATTGTTGAACTATAGAGTGAGAATGAGTAACAAAAGAAACACCCATTGCCACAGAGCAGGGAAGAGAAGACAGTGGCTTGGACTAAGATGGCAACAGTTGAAGTGATGGGCAATGGTAGATTCTGGAGATATATGGATAGATACAGATATAGAAATATAGATTTTTTGAGACAGGCTGGAGTGTAGTGGAATTATCATTACTCACTGTAACCTTAGACTTCTGGTCTTAAGCAATCCTAGTGTCTCAGCTTCCCAAGTAGCTAGGAATACAGGCACAGACCATCATGCCCAGCTAATTTTAAAAAATATTTTATAGAAATGGGCTCTCACTACTTTGTCCAGGTTGGTGTTAGACTACCAACCTCAAGCAATCCTCCCACCTTGGCCTCTTGAAGTGCTGGGATTACAGGCATGAGCCAGTGCACCTGGCCATAAGATTTATATTTTGAGCTAACATCAAAATGACTTGCTGGTGGCAGAGATAAGAGAGAAAGAGAGAGAGAGATGAATTATGAATGCAAACTAAAGTTGGAGCCAGGGAAATTGGGTGGAGAGTGAGATTGGTTACAGAGGTAAGGAAACAAAGAGGAGCAAATTTTGTTGGGCGTAAAAGTGGGGAACCAAAAGCTTGTTAGGCTAAGTTAAGTTTGGAAGGTCCCTTGGATATCCAGATGGAGATGTGGAGTAGATGTATGTACATATCAGCCTACCTCTCAGGGGAGAGAGAGTGCACATATTGGCGCTGCTTAAAGTTAGAGGTCTTGATGAGATCAACCAGGAGACAAATTATCTGATCAAATCCTCTAGACTCATTTCCTCTACCTCCTCATCTATCATTTATTAAAAAAAATAAGAATGAAGAAATATTCTAAACATATAAAACTGCAAAAAATAATATAATAGTCAAGCAACCCCTACCAAGATTGAAAGAAAGATATTAACATTTTTCTGTATTTTCTCAGATGTCTCCCTTTTAGTTTTAAGAATTAAAGTATTACAGAAATAACTAAAGGTCTGTTCTATTATCTTTTCCCTCCCCAATCTAGAGGTAACCATTTTCCTGAAGTTGATGTATATCCTTCCCATGAACATTTAAAAATTTCATGTTTCTATATACATATACACTCACAATTTTTAAACACAATGCCATGTCTTTAAATTTTTGTAAATGATATTTATGCAATTATTAGTAATAATTATTAATTACCAATGTTATTACTATTATGCAATTATTGACGATGCTCTTTAACTCAACATTTTGTTTTGAAATGTATTCATACTGATGTAGATTAATTTCTTACATTTTACTTGCTATCTATATTATATCATTGTTTGAATAAGATGATTTTAGCCATTCCATGTGGATGGACAGTCAGACCATCTCCGTTGAATCTTTATTATCACAGGGCTTCAGTGATCAGCCTTGCATATGTCACTTGTGCATGTGGGCAAGTTTCTCCGGGGTACATAGTAAGAAGTAAAGAGCCAAGTCATATTGATAGGTATACTCCACTTCCCTGACTCCTGTATTGCCAAGTTGCCTTCCAAAACAGGTTTTCCTAATTTACAAAGCCTCCTGAAGTGTATGTGTGAGAATTCCTGTTTCCTCACATGCTCAACAGCACTTGGTGTAATTAATTTGCTTAATTTTTGCCAATTTGTTGAATATGAAAGGTAATTTTGATGTTGTCTTTTTCTCTTTTCTCACTCTTCTGACTTTCCGTCTTGCCACTCCACTAAATTTTCTGCTTTCAGCCATCAGTGATTTCCATGAAGTTGAATGGAGTATTCTTGGTCTTCCTGTAGCTCTACAGGCCAACAGCATGCAACTTAGTTGATCACTCCCTGTTTGAAACACTCTCCTCTCAATCATATGGAAAGAATGCATTCCCCCTACCTCTCTGACAGATCCTTCTTAATCTCTTTTCTTACTAACTTCTCCTGTTCTGCAAAGGCTGACATAGGCTTTTATTATTTTTCTACCATTAATTCTTGAATGATATAACCCTTCCCTATGACTTTAAATACTCACTTTATAATAACGCCTACCAATGATATTGTTCGGCAATTCTGTGTTTCTAATTTTTGCTTGATATCTGTACTTTGATGTATCATAAATACCTCAAACTCAGCATGAAAAAAAATGGAACTCTTTATTACCAGCCCCTTCACCACCTAGACTTCCCCCAAAATGTGTCTCTTTCAGTAAATGACCCATCCTCATCCATTGATTTACTAATTCAAAAGCCTTGGTGTCAGACTCTGCACTTCTGTTCTCTCAGCTCCCATATCTGATTTATAACCTGGACATGTTTTTTTCCTCCAGAATGCATTCTGTATCATACCACTTCTCTCCTTGGTCTCTGCCACCACTTCAGTTCAAGTTTACCACAGTCCTTAAGTTTCTGTTTCCTCAGTTTAGTTACTGTCCCATGAAAGGCCATTTCTACATGACAGCCGGAGTAGGATTTTAAAATGCAAATCGGATTATGACCATTTCCTGTTTAACGTGTCCAAGAATTTCCTAGTTCACTTGTTGCACTTAGACTAAATTTAACATATTTATGGGCTTAATACTCCTGTCAGCTTCTCCGACATTAGCTCACTCCCCATTCCCTCCCTCTCACTACGCTTCATTCACACTGGTGTTCCGGCCATTCCACAAACACACTCTCTCTTGCCTTAAAACAATGGTTATTGCTCTTCTCTTCCATCAAGATATTGTTCTTATGACTTGCTTCTTATCCATCAAGTCTCAATTTAAATGTAACTTCCTCAGAGAGATCTGCTTGAACCATAGCATCCCAGGGCAGTGGGAGTGAGAAAAAAGGAAAATGAAGTAGGAAGGGATGGGAGGCGGATCCAAGGAGTTGTGTTGCCCTACCAACCACTGCTTCCCCTCTTCCTGACAGTGAGGAGACACAGCTCCACACTTGCACCTGCTTGGCCACAGTGAACATTGCAGAACTGGCTGGGAATCAGAGGAGTCAAAGGAGACAGAGCTTCTGCCCTGTTTCCTCCCGTCTTCTCTCTCCCACTGGTCCCTGCTCACCTCGCAGGGGAGTTAATCCTCTGCACTTCTTGATTTATGCCACGGAGCCTTTTGGCGTCAATACAGGGAACCAAGCCCCACATCCTGCCTTGAATTTTACCTGATTTCTGGAAGTGGCAGGAGGAGCTGCAGATCCAGGGCATGTGCCTGGAGGCAGCTGGAGATAGCAACCCATGAACTCACATGGAATTCAGCGTGTGGTAGCATTTTCTGTGTTGTAGAAGTGCTGAGCATCTGAGACACAGGTGAGACCAAGAGAATAAGAACAGTACTTCAAATGTGTCAGATCCACATGTTGTCGGCTTTATTTCAGGTACCAACCTTAGATTGTAAGTAGAGGTAAGTGGCTGGCACACTCATAAGGGTTTTTCTTAAGAAAGGGAAGAAATAAATTTACCCAGAAGGAATGATGAAGCAGCCAGGATTAGGAGGAGTGGAAAGCTCTTAACACTCCTCGTCCTGAAAGGGCAAAGGGAGGGAACACTGACTTCAAAACCTGGTGAAAGCTGCAGCTATGACAAGCCGTCTATCAGTGCTGTAGCCTCTAGGAAGATGGTAGCTATTATTGGAGTCTTGGCAGGGCAGGGGGGGAATAAAAGGGAGTGATAAATACCCTCTCCAGGAGCCATCCAATCTTATACCAGAGTCTCTCATTGGCCAACTCCGACCAGAAGCTGGAGGGAAAGGGAACTCAGGACTGTGGTAAAGGTGAGCATCTCAAGAAACAAAGTGAAACAAGGAAGAGTGAAAAAGTGTATCAGGGGATGGAGTGCTAACAGAAGCATTCCAGTATAGGAGGACAGACTTTAAGTGACAAGTGGACAGGATTCATTTATCATTCATTGATGGCCCTGCCACCTGCTACAAGTTCACCAAGTTATTTTATTTTGAATGAATGAACTTAGAAAGTATGCTTCCAGGCTTCAGCTTTGCATATAGAAACTGTAGAAACTGTGGAACTCTATAAGGCTTATATTTAATATTTCCCTGGGAAAACAGAGTTGCAGAAATAACGTATAAAAACAAATTGCGAGTTTTCACTTCTGTCTCCAGTATAGAAATCAAAATAATCAGGATTTAAAAAATGTAAAATTCAACACATCAATACAAATTTTACACCTTTATTATAAATTAAATTATATATGAAACATATATGTGTGCATGTAAACACATGTATATATGTCTGTCTGTCTATCTATCTATCTATCTATCAAGGAATACCTCACAGAAGGATTGGGAATTGACTCCAGACCACAGCAATAAGGCAAATATTACAATAATCTATCATATATATTTTTTGTCTTACCCATGTTTATGGAAGTTACATTTACACTATACTGCAGTCAGGAAGCTTGTACTAGCATTATGTATAAAAAGAACAATGTACTTGCTTACCCTAATTTAAAAATCCTTATTGCTAAAAAAAAAATGCTAATGATTATCTTAGATTTCAGCAGGCAGTAATCTTGTTGCGGGTGGAGGGTCTTGCCTCAATATTGTTGGCTGCTGACAGATGAGGGTGAAAGTCACATCTTACATGGATGGCAGCAGGAAAAGAGAGAGAACTTGTGCAGGGGACTCTTCTTAATAAAACCATCTGCTCTCATGGTACTTATTCACTATCATGAAAACAGCATGGAAAAGACTTGTCCCCTTGATTCAATTACATCCCACCAGGTCCCTCCCACAATACATGGGAATTATAGGAGCTACAAGATGATATTTGGGTAAGAACACAGGGCCAAACCATATCATTCTGCTCCTGGCCCCTCCAAAATGTCATGTCTTCTCATTTCAAAACCAATCATGCCTTTCCAACAGTCCCCAAAAGTCTTTAACTCATTTCAGCCTTAACTCAAAAGTCCACAGTCCAAAGTTTCCTCTGAGACAAGGCAAGTCCCTTCCATCTATGAGCTTGTAAAATCAAAAGCAAGTTAGTTACTTCCTAGATACAATGGGGGGTACAGGCATTGAGTAAACACAGCCATTCCAAATGGGAGAAATTGGCCAAAACAAAGTGGCTACAGGCCGCATGCAAGTCCAAAATCCAGCGGGGCAGTCAAGTCTTAAAGCTTCAAAATTATCTCCTTTGACTCCATGTCTCACATCCAGGTCATGCTAAAGCAAGAGGTGGGTTCTCATGGTCTTGGGCAGTTCCACCCCTGTGGCTCTACAGGGTACAGCCTCCCCCCTGGCTGCTTTCACAGGCTGGCGTTCAGTGTCTGGGGCTTTTCCAGGTGCAGACCCTCTCTGTATAGGGGGTCCAACCCCACATTTCTCTTCTGCATTGCCCTAGCAGAAGTTCTCCATGAGAGCCCCGCCCCTGCAGCAAACTTCTGCCTGGACATCCAGGCATTTCTATACATCCTCTGAAATCTAGGTGGAGGTTCCCAAGCCTCAATTCTTGACTTCTGTGCATCCACAGACTCAACATCACGTGGAAACTGAAAAGGTTTGGGGCTTGCACCCTCTGAAGCCACAGCCCGAGCTGTATCTTGGCCCTTTTTAGTCATGACTAGAGCAGCTGAGATGCAGAACACTAAGTCCTAGACTGTACACAACACACAGACCCTGGGCCCAGCCCACAAAACCATTTCTTTCTCTTAGGCTTCCAGGCCTGTGATGAGAAGGGCTGCCATGAAGACCTCTGACATGCCCTTGAGACATTTTCCCCCATTGTCTTGGGGATTAACATTCGGCTCCTTGTTACTTATGGAAATTCCTGCAGCTGGCTTGAATTTCTCCTCAGAAAATGGGATATTCTTTTCTATTGTGTGGTCAGGCTGCAAATTTTCCAAACTTTTATGCTCTGCTTCCCTTATAAAACTGAATGCCTTTAACAGCATCCAAGTCACCTCCTGAATGCTTTGCTGCTTAGAAATTTCTTTTGTCAGACACTCTAAATAATCTCTCTCAAGTTCAAACTTTCACTAATCTCTAGGGCAGGAGCAAAATCCCACCAGTCTGTTTGCTAAAACATAACAAGAGTCACCTTTGCTCCAAGTCCCAACACATTCCTAATTCTCATCTGAGACCACCTCTGTCTGGACTTCATTGTTCATATCACCATCAGAATTTTCGTCAAAGCCATTCAACAAGTCTCTAGGAAGTTCCAAACTTTCCCATATTTTCCTGTCCTCTTCTGAGCCCTCCAAACTGTTCCAACCTCTGCCTGTTACCCAGTTCCAAAGTCACTTCCACATTTTTGGGTCTCTTTTCAGTGGCACCCCACCCTGGTACTAATGTACTGTATTAGTCTGTTCTCACGCTGCTAAAAAAGACATACCTGAGACTGGGCAATTTACAAAAGAAAGACATTTATTGAACTTAAAGTTCCACATGGCTGAAGAGGCCTCACATCAGGGCAGAAGGAAGGAGCAAGTCACATCTTACATGGATGGCAGCAGGAAAAGAAAGAGAGCTTGTGCTAGGGATCTCCTCTTAATAAAGCCATTAGATTGCATGAGACTAATTCACTATCATGAGAACAGCACAAGAAAGACTTGCCCCCATGATTCAATTACCTTCCACGGGGTCCCTCCCACAACACACGGGAATTCAAGATGAGATTTGGGTGAGGACACAGCCAATCCATATCAAACCCTCAATGTTCTCCATGAGGATTGGAATCAACTTCTAAACTCTTGCAAATGTTTACCTTTTGACCTCCTCTCATGAATTATGACTATTCTTAATGATGTCTAGAATGGTAAATTTATTCTGGAAGGCTTTCAAGTTACTTTGGCCAAATCCATAAGAGGAGTCACTATCTATGGCAGCTGTAGCCTTACAAAATGTATTTCTTGAATAATAAAACTTGAAAGGTTGAAACTGATCCTTGCTCTTTTATCCATAGGCTACAGAATGAATGTTGTTAGTAAGCATGAAAACTACATTAATCTCCTTGTATATGTCCATCAGAGCTCTTGGATGACCAGGTGCATTGTCATTGAGCAGTAATATTTTGAAAGCAATCTTTTTTTCTTAGCAGCAGGTCTCAACATTGGGCGTAGAATATTCAATAACCCATGCTTTAAAAAGATGAGCTGTCACCCAGGCTTGATTGTCCTATTTATATAGTACAGACATAAAAGATTTAGTGACATTTTTAAGGGCCCTAAGATATTTAAAATAATAAATGAACATTGGCTTCGACTTAAAGTCGCCAGCTGCATTGTGCCCAGATAAAACAGTTAGCCTTTGTCAGCTTTAGCTAAGGCTTTGAAGCTTTGAAGACAGGCATTGACTTATTCTCTTTAACTATGAAAGTCCTATATGGCATCTTCCTCTGAGAAAAGGCTGTTTCATCTACATGGAAAATCTGTTGTTTAATGTAGCCAGCTTCTTCAATGATCTTAGCTATGTTCTGGATAATTTGCTGAGGCTTCTGCATCAGCACTTGCTGCTTCACCTTGCGCTTTTACGTTATGGAGATGACCACTTAAATCTCATCAACCAACCTCTGATTGATAGATTCAAACTTTCCTTCTACAGTGTCCTCATGTCTCTCAGCCTTCAAGGAAGTGAAGAGAGTTAGGATCTTGCTCTGTGTTAGGCTTTTTCCTCAGGGAATATTGTGTCTGGCTTGATATTTTATCCACATCACTAAAACATTCTCTATATTTTCCATAAGGCTGTTTTGCTTTCTTTTCATTTGTGTGTTCACTGGATTAACACTTTTAATCTTCTTTGAGAACTCTTCTTTGCAGGCAGAACTTTGCTAAATGGTGAAAGGGGTCTAGATTTCAGCCTATCTAGGTTTTCAACATGCCTTAATCATTTCCAGCTTTTGATTTAAAGTGAGAGACATGTGACTCTTTATCATCTGAACACTTAGAAGCCATTTTAGGGTTATTAACTGCCATAATTTTAATACTGTTTTGTCTCAGGGAATAGGAGG
This sequence comes from Homo sapiens, assembly GCF_000001405.40. NCBI lineage: Eukaryota > Metazoa > Chordata > Mammalia > Primates > Hominidae > Homo > Homo sapiens. Next base: position 127,888,019 of record NC_000011.10, read on the forward strand.
GCCCAAGGAGAGGGAGAGAGATGGGGGATCATCAGAATACACCCAACATTTATCAAATAAGTTTGCTATCTTATATTGTTCCCAGACCGAACCAAGGATTGGGATACTTATTCTCGCAGCCCAATAATAAGATGCAGGTGAACTGGGAAAGAAGAGAGTTTATTTCTGTAACCGAGTACAGGGAGAAGGCCAGGAAAATATTGCCAGACCAATTCAAAATTAAGAGGTTTTCCAGAGCTTATATACCTTCTAAGCTATATGTCTGCGTGTAACTGTGTAACTTCTTCTAATCTATAACTAAGGTTTGAGTCCTGAAGACCTTCCTCTGGAGCCTCAGTAAATGTACTTAATCTAGATGGGTCCAGTTGCTGGGGTGATTCCCTTATTTTGTCTCCTGCTAAATCATGAAGGCTTGGGGAGTTCCTTCAGATCCCAATAAAACTTGTTTGTGGAAGGCTGAGGAGTTTCTTCAGACCTGCACTAAAACTTGTTTAATCTTAAATGAGTCCTGTTAAGAATTTCTTCATTTTGTTGTCATGCTTCAAGACCCAGGAAAGGCCTGGGCAAAACTTGATGGGATTTTGTTACATTCCAGCCTTTGTATAAGGGCACTGGCTCTCTCAGCTTTTAATATTTAACTTTACCACTCAGTCAGTGCTGAAACAGTTGTCATGGAGGTCTGCCTCTTCTGCCATTAGTGAGACCTGGCCTGCCACAATATGGGCACATTTCATGGTATCCAAAAACAAAATAGGTTGTGAGGAAAGTTAGTATTTGTGTTTTCTATTATGAGCAATGTAAGTCTCTCCAATTATTTAGGTCTCCATTTATTTAGGTCTTCTTTAATGTCTATTCATTTTGTACTGATATAATGATTTCCATGAAAGTCTTGCACATGTTTTGAAAATCATTTTTCCAGGGAAACTTATATTATGTTTTCATTGGAAATGGGCTTCTTTTTTCTCAGATTACATATTCTAACTGTTGAATTTTCTACATTGCTCTTGTACACTTACCAACAATGATCAACTTTTAAAAATTAATTTTAGTAAATTTATCTATAAATTCATATTATTTGAGAGTAATGATAATTCTGTTTCTTCCATTCCAATAATTTTTGTACTTTTACTTTGCACTGACCAGAACCTGAAATACAATGCTGTTTAGACATAACAATTGTTACTCCTTATTTTAAGGAAATTAAAATGTTATCTTAAAAGTTTTCAATTGTTAGCTTCAAAGCTACCTTGGAGATGGAATTATATGCAGTCCAAATTACAAGAAGAGTTACCTCAGATTCAGTCCTGTCCCCTCTAATTTTTAGCCAGACATATTAGAAAAGTGAGGCACAGAGGGAATGATGTTGGGGAGAAAGAGAGATAAAGACAGCGACAGAGACAGAGAGAGCCAAAGAGACAGAGACAGAGGGAGACACACATAGAGACATATAGAGACAGAGAGAGACAGAGATAGATAGACAAAAGAGAGGGAGAGAGAAACAGAGAGAGACAGAGAGACAGAGACAGAGACTGGTTCTCTATTTACCTACAGATTGATAAGAAGGGTGAAATTCTGTTGAATAAGCTCAGTTGCTTCTGGAATTGGTAGCTATTTCAGAAAGGAAAGTAGATACTTAGAAATGAGGACAAGAGGCAGAGGGAGGCAGAGAAATGAGGAAAAGCTGAGGAAACAATCACTTACTAGATTGGTTGTTTTTCCAACTATTCTCTTTCCAACATTTATATTCTAGCATTGCCACTTGTTAAACACGCATCTTTCGTTTCTATCCATTCCTTCTTCACTGTGCCACCAATTTGTGTTCTCCTCCACTCACATGACTTGGAAAGATCAGGCAAACTCCATCCTGGGACAAGGGGAATTGACATCTGTTATACCAATGAGCAAGCAAGGCACCTCCCAGCACCTGCCTTTGGTCCCTGAGAAGAAATAACCCTATACAAAAAAAAAAAAAACTCATATTCAGCATTTCCAACTATTAAATGTTCCCATTATTTGAATTTTCCAGATAACTAAAGCTTCATAATTTAAATATACCATGTATATATAATCATTTTGATGGAAATCTTTCTAAAATGTATTGCAAACTTATTTTCCTTACTAAACAGAATATTCTTGACATAACTTAATCTTTTCTTGATGATTCAGGGCCATTGGTATGGCTCAAATATAGAGATGCCCTCAGGGATGATTGTGGAACTAAGGGCTGTGTGGCCAACACTTACTGGCTGTAGGCTGCTAGACATTTCCAGTTAATGTATCTTCTGTCCCTTCTGTTTCTGACACTTGTCACTTTCCAGTGTGCTTGCTTCTAACAGCACCCCTCCTACTTTGCTGCTTCTAATTTGTTCTCCACTGTAACTTTGGAAGAACTGATGGTTGCCAGGGGAAACCAGGAAACCAAGGTTATGAAATCAGTACTCTGAATATCCTTGGCTGTGGCCTGGGGAGGGTTTCATCCTTTGCTTCCAGAATAGGGAAGAATTCAGGCATTAGACAACTATCATTTTTGAGGTCCAGAGGTCTGGGTGGGGTACTTAGGACATTTCACTTTTAAGCTGTAGCAAAAGGAAGATAAACCTATTATAAAGGCTTGGAAATCTTTGAATCATTTTTTCAGGAGAGCAAATAAGGATTTTTTTTTTTTTTTTTTTTTTTTTTTTTTTTTTTTTGTGAAGTGTTGGTGAGGGCTCGGCATGTCCTTTATATAGGGATCACCCTAGGTTGAGACCCATATTAAGTATAATTAGTAAAACAGAGCCATGCATACTCTATCAATGTTCTAAGAAGGGTCCAGTCAGCAGCAGGCCCTGGTCAGAAAAGTTTCCTGAGGTCAACAGACTCATAAATACAACTGTGGGTTACCTCATTTGAAGAAAATAATGGATTATATCAACTGTTATTTGGCTGTTAGACATTTGGAAATCTTAAAAGAAAACTAAAGATTTCATTTCTTGAAAAGTTGTAGGCTGGGCGCGGTGACTCATGCCTGTAATCCTAGCACTTTGGGAGGCTGAGGTGGGCAAATTGCCTGAGGTCAGGAGTTTGAGACCAGTTTAGCTAACATGATGAAACCCCATCTCTACTAAAAATGCAAACACACTAGCTGCGCATGGTGGTATGTGCCTGTAATCCCAGCTACCAGCTACTCGGGAGGCTGAAGCAGAGGAATTGTTTCTATCAGGGAAGTGGATATTGCAGTGAGCTGAGATCTCACCACTGCACTCCAGCCTGGGTGACAGAGTGAGACTCTGTCTCAAAAAAAAAAAGAAAAGAAAAAAAGTTGTAGAGGGTAGGTCAGCAGAACCTGGGGACAACATGTAAGCTCAAAGTACCATTTTTGATTAATTAAACTAATTTCACAGATATCTATTGCAACCAACAATCTTCTGATATTAATGTGGGATTTTTTTCTTGAATTAATTCTAAGACTCGCAAATTAATAAACATCTGAAGACTTGCAAAATAAGCCCCAAATATGTAAGAAGTAGAATTCGATCGTTCTCTCTCGTTCTTATTTTTTCTACCTCCTTCTGCCTCTGCCTGTTTCTCTCTGCTATGCTTGGACACAGTACAATGACAGGAACCTGGTTATTAAGAATTGGATGTTGGAGCTGAAATCTAATTAATTAGGCAGTGACTGATCTCCTTAAGTACAAAATCTGGAGAAGCTGACAACAAATTGACTCAATGCTGTGTTGATGCTGGAATAATGTGAATCTCTCCCATCTAAGGTATAACTGGACCTTTAGAATAAGAAGGGGCTGATGGCTCGGGTGAATGTCAGATGGTACTTTTCTAGCAGAAAGAAATATACCCAGTAGGTGATGAGAACCAGGTAGTATAGCATAATTCTCATGCTGGCTGCTACTTCTGCCTGTGGCTAGAATGAAAAGTCAATTCTGAGATGCTTCTTATGAGACCAAAGTTGTTTAACTAAGACACTACAAAAAATTATTATCCCTGTAAATGTTGAGCAATATGGTTTCCAGCTTTCTCCTAATGACTTCCTCTCCTGCTTACCTGATGGGTGGAAGTTAAATGTCTAAGGTCCATTTTATGTCCTTAAAAGAGTTTGACAGTGTTGATTACCTGGGATGCTGAATACGTTCCTTGTATTCCTTTACATCCAGGTTACTTCTTCACCATCCTACTTGGTGACCTGGGTGGCTGACGTCTATGGACTGCATCAAGAAGTTCTCCTGTCCTTTGGCTTCTTGTTGATTTTGGCTAATTTCAGGGACTCACAAGGGATCAAAAAGTGGGAGGAGAGTAAAATCAGAGTATTTATTCTCTTCTCGCCCTCCATTCCATTTCACCATAGCTTGGCTGTTTCCTTTTGCTGAGAAACCCCCTGTACACAGGTTCTCTCCCCTGTGGCTACAGACTGTTCATCTTTTGCTTTTCAGGCATTGCAGTGAGAGCTATGAGTTACTGCTAGCCCTGGGAGACTGACCATCCTCTTCTGGTTTCTCGTATTCCACTCCCCATTTTTGTAAAAAGTCTCTTTACTAAAACTCTTTCATGACCTCCTTTGAGTACGTTGTTTATTTCTGCTGGAACATCTGGCAAAGGTGGAACTACAGAGAGGGAGGTTTCATGGAGAAAGAAGATGGAGGCTGAGGACATATAACTCGTGGAACTTGCTCTGGTGCAGAAAGTCCTAATTATACTAACACTGAGAAATAGTATGTAGGACAATCATTGAAACAAAAGGCAAACATTGAAACAAAAGATGATATCTTCACTGAGCGTAATATAGTGACATAGTATAGTGACAGGATATTTGAACTAAAGTCAGAAAACCTAGAGCCAAATCGAAACTCGACCTTTTTATCACTGCATATATTTTAGAGAGCCACTTAATGTCCTTGAGCTATTTTTTCCTATAAAATTTTCCTAAGGAGTAAAAGAGCTAATGAATGAGGAAGGATTTTATAAACTACAAGACACATACAAATGTTAGTTATTACTGTTAACCTCATAGATTCTCCATTTCTCCCCATTCTTTTTATAGCACGTTCCAAATTGTATTCTGTGGAACATTGGTTATGAGAGATACTTTAAAAAAAAAAAAAAAAGAGAGCCCAGTCTGGGCAATATGGTGAAACCCTGTCTCTACTAAAAATACAAAAAATTAGCTGGGCTTAGTGGCGGGTGCCTGTAGTCCCAGCTATTCAGGAGGCTGAGGAAGGAGAATTGCTTGAACCCAGGAGGCAGAGGTTGTAGTAAGCCAAGATCGTGTCAATGCACTCCAGCCCGGGTGACAGAGTGAGACTCCATCCAAAAAAAAAAAAAAAAAGAGAGAGAGAAGGGGATTTAAATCCAAAAAGGTTTGAGAAATATTGCATATACCCGTAGTCTCTTTGGAGATTCATAATACAACTTAGTTTGCTAGAGAATCTGAAAATTATGGTATTAAAATCACTCAGTTAACTTAGCTTAAACTATTTAGCAATTTCCAAACCAAGGTACCAAGAAGCCCTTCATGACCTGCAACTTGTATGACCATTTGGTGGAACTAGCAGTTCATGGAACATACCTGGTAGATGCTGTCACCTAAAGATTTCTCTGTTTACCCCGGATCCATGGGGTCTTCCCACTCCAGACTAGTCTGCATAGGTGCTTGTATGATATGCACTCAACTCCTTAAACCTCAGGGCATCAAGTAGCTCAGTAGGTCACCATCTTTTTTTCCCTACAAATTTTTCTTAAAATTCATATAAAAATTGCATTCATATGAATATATTGATCTACCCAGATTTCAGTGACCCTCCCCACTAAAATTTCTAAAGGATGTAATGTATCTCTATAATTATTTGTAATCGGCCCAACGAAGTAAGAATGCAACTGGAAGAAGAAGTGATGTCACGCATATAAACTGGAATGGTATACATCTATACAATGTCCAGGGCACTAGTCAGATCTTAAGCTTCAACCCTTTCTTCTCCTAGTAAAAAAAAAAATGCAAATGGGGCCGGTCGGGAACGGTGGCTGACTCCTGTAATCCCAGCACTGTGGGAGGCCAAGGTGGGAGGATCACAAGGTCAAGAGATCTAGACCATCTTGGCTCACATGGTGAAACTCTGTCTCTACTAAAAATACAAAAATTAGCTGGGCGTGGTGGCATGCGAGAATAGTCCCAGCTACTCAGGAGGCTGAGACAGGAGAATGGCGTGAACCCGGGAGGTGGAGCTTGCTGTGAGCCGAGATAGTGCCACTGCACTCCAGCCTGGCGACAGAGCAAGCCATTGTCTCAAACAAACAAACAAACAAACAAACAAAATAGCAAATGAATGGGTATGGTATCAACATAGATTTAACATTGATTCAATTTTCACTCATTTTTAAAGTGATTTTTTTCTATACACAAAAACTGTTTGCTACATATCTCTCAACTCATTTTCAATAGACACACTGAAGAACAGATGGTCTTTAAACAGATATTTTCCTATGGTAATGATGAGGCTCTGGCGGGCATTCCAGCCACTAGGGAATAGAAATTTAAGGCTACTTTCTCCAAAAAATTTTAGATATAAAGAGAGAAAACAGAAGTTGCTGGTGGTGAATGTCTGACTTGTGTCACCGAGACACTCATTTGTTCAAAGTGAGGGGTTTTCTTTCCTGAATAATCTTCCTTCACTCAATACATTTCTATTTCAATAGTTTCCACTGTTTCTGGTTTCTCAGAAGATTCTTGGCATTGTGATTTTAAATAGAACTAAGCTTTGAGGTACAAATGAGAGCAAAAACAAAGAAATATTTAAACTTGAAGGGGAAATATCTGCACCCCTACATCCTTTAATTTCTATTTTATTGTTATAAGAATACTTAACATGAGATCTACCCTCGTAACAGATTTTTAAGTGCACAATACAGTATTTTAAACTATAGACACAATGTTGTACAGCATATCTCTATTCATCTTGCACTACTGAAACCTTATACCTGTTAACTGGCACCTCCCCATTTTACTAATCTCTCTTTATCTACTAGGCCGGATAAGCACTACGAAAACTTCTGATTGATAATGGAATTGGCTCTGCAATAGTCAGACAATGACCTGAATTTCTGAGATTCCCAAAATATTTTTCTGGGAACAACATCGCAGGTAACTAGATTTGTATTCAGATTCATTTAGTGTAAGATTATGCATGCACTTCACATATGCCAATATGAATAGTAAATGTTGTTTATGGGAATTTTCCAAGTGAAGATTTTGCAAGGAGTATTTTGACATTTATGTCATTATGATTCAAAATTTGTTTTTTTCTCTGATTCTTATCCACTCATCCATGAGAAGCAGTAACACTATGAATTTTTCAAATGAAAGCACCAAGGTACCTGACTTATATAATACCACTACTGTACTCTGACAGTAGCTTTTCAAGTTCCAGGCATAGTCCAGTATGACTCTACTTTTTCCCAAGTCCACTGTGAGAGCTTATCCACACAAATAAGCTTTGAGAGAAAGGCTTGCCACATTCTTTAGCCTACAGTTGGATGCTGTGTTCAAAAAATAATACAAGACCATCTACAGCAAGAGAATTCAATAATTCTTTGACTACATGGGACTTGTATGCTGAAGTGCTTGTGATTGGGTGAAGTGTGAAATAGAGAGCCACTGATTTGCTGTTCATTATGGGAAGTAACGAGATATGTTTATCACTGAGTAGACAGAAAAGACCTTATGGATTCGAAAGGAAGTAAAATACTTGCTTGTCTTGGAAATGTTGGCATATCTTTAAGTGAAAGCTTGGTCCCTAGAAGGTCTGGTGGGAAAGATTAGATTCATTTCCCATTTATTCCAATTGGTAAAATAAAATCTTGAATATGAACAGGGAGGTTTGAGATCTGAGACCTGGGCATCATTTTATACAAGGAACGAACAGTCCATGTCTCAAATAGTGACTCATCTTTTTGTGACAATATGATTTACCTTTAGCATATCAACAACCAGCTGTTCTCATTAACTGTCTGACTTTGGGATGTGAAGTATACAGTTTAAGCCCTTGCGGGAAGCAATTTTATCTTTCTTTATTCCCAAAGACTGCTGAATTAGGACACACAAGCATTTTGCTTTCATAGTCATTGCATTGAAATAAGCTTGTGCCGAAGACTTTCACTTAAAAGTGATCAGTTTTAATTGTAATTATCAATATTAAGTTATTCTTAAGTGATTATTTATATGTATTCGTGCTACGGTGGCAATAAAGACTTCACTGCATTCAACTAACAAAATTAAAACATTGCCAAAGCAAAACTGGGTAAAATAGCCCTAGTTACTCCCTGTTTTCTCTCTCTCTCTCTCTTTCAAAAAACACATATCTATATTCATATCTACACATACACATACACGTATAACATACACATATTCATAAATTTCTCATGACTTCTCTTTTCCTACTCAATACTTATTTATTCCATACCTGAATCAAGCTGGAAACAAGCTTCCAGTGTTCCCCTAAACAAGAAAATTCTAACCAATATGGAGAATCTTTCTGATTGTATATGCAGTTTTTCATGTGGCTGATACACTTCACAAGGGAATTTTTTTTATTACTTCATGTACTGTCCTTGCAGAAGGTGCCCAGTTGATTTAAAGCTCTGATCTTTAAATACCTCTTTACTCACTCTGCTTAGAGGGGAGGGAAAGTGGCTTAACCTAATAGATAAATTTGGGAAAACAATTTAGGCATGCTTGGTTCAGCTCCTCTCTTTTTCCTTTGGAGGACCTGCTTCTTAACAGAGCAGAAATTTACCTCTCCTATACAGTCATGCGCTGCATTGGAACATGAGACGCTCTTCCTGACCTACAGCTCTCTGAGAATGGGTCAGTGCATCTGTTTGCTTCCAGGGTTTAGTTAGCAAGCCCTTTAAGCCACATTCTTCAACTTATACTTTATGATGAAATTTCCCAAATGAGGTTCCATAAATGGCCAAAGACATGCTGAGGCAGGAGAATAGAGTCTGGAGGTGGTGAACCTAAGGCCTATTCACCTTGACTTCGTAAAACTGAATCAAAAGGAAAACCCCACCTCTCTACACCAAAGTATCAAAAGGATCAGAGGCTACTCCCTTTGCACTGTGTTGCAGATGAAAAATGGAAAGTACCTCTGATTGTTCCCCTCCTGCAACCAATCAGACTTGTCATGGGCCAAGTCTTCATATGTAACTTTGAACCTCACTTCAGCCTCTGATTGGTGCCCTCCCATAACCAATCAGACTGGTTGTGGGCCATTGCTTCGTTTACATAGGATATAAAGAAGTAACCAATGAGAAACCTCTCGAAGGTATTTAAACACCCCAGAAAATTATGTAAGCAGCCCTCTTGAACCATTTGCTTGAACCCATTCCTACTTTATGGAGCGTACTTTAGTTTCAATAAATCCATGCTTTTATTGCTTCGTCTTTCATTGCCTCATTTGTGTGTTTTGTCCAGCTCTTTGTTCAAAACACCAGGAACCTGGACAACTCATAGCCAAGACCCTCCACAAGTAACAATGTGTCCAGAATTGGTGAGTTCTTGGCCTCACTGACTTCAAAAATGAAGCCTCGGACCCACGTGGTGAGTGTTACAGTTCTTAAAGATGGTGTGTCCAGAGTTTCTTCCTTCTGATGTTTGGACTTGTTTGGAGTTTCTTTCCTTCTGGTGGGTTCGTGGTCTCACTGGCTTCAGGAGTGAAGCTGCAGACCTTCGTGGTGAGTGTTGCAGCTCTTAAGTCGGCGCATCTGGAGTTGTTTGTTCCTCCGGTCTGGAGTTGTTCATTCCTACCGGTGGGTTCATGGTCTGGCTGGCCTCAGGAGTGAAGCTGCAGACCTTCGCGGTGAGTGTTAGGGCTCATAAAGGCAGCGCAGACCCAAAAAGGAGGCAGTAGCAAGATGTATTACAAAGAGCGAAAGAACAAGGTTCCACAGTGTGGAAGGGGACCCAAGTGGGTTGCCACCGCTGGTGCGGGCAGCCTGCTTTTATTCCCTTATCTGACCCCACCCATATCTTGCTGATTGGCCCATTTTACAGAGAGCTGATTGGTCCGTTTTACAGAGAGCTGATTGGTCCGTTTTACAGAGAGCTGATTGGTCCACTTACAATCCCTGAGCTAGACACAGAGTGTAGATTGGTGCAGTTACAATCCTCTAGCTAGACATAAAAGTTCTCCAAGTCCCCACTAGATTAGCTAGAAACAGAGCACTGATTGGTGTGTTTACAAACCTTGAGCTAGACACAAAGTGCTGATTGGTGTATTTACAATCCTTTAGACACAAAAGTTCTCCAAGGCCTCACTAGATTAGCTAGACACAGAGCACTGATTGGTGCGTTTACAAACCTTGAGCTAGACACAGGGTGCTGATTGGTGCATTTACAAACCTTGAGCTAGACACAAAGTGCTGATTGGTGCATTTACAAACCTTGAGCTAGACACAAAAGTTCTCCAAGTCCCCACCTGACTCAGGAGCCCAGCTGGCTTCTCCTATTGGATCCCATGCTGGGGCAGGGACGGAGCTGCCCGCCAGTCTCATGCGTGCCACCTGCACACCTCAGCCCTTGGGTGGTGGATGGGGCCGGGCTCCACGGAGCATGGGGCGGTGCCCGCGGGGGACGCTCCAGCTGCGCGGGAGCCCATGGCTGATGGGGGAGCTCTGGCATGGTGGGTTGCAGGTCCTGAGCCCTGCCCTGTGGGGAGGCAGCTGAGGCCGGGAAGAGTTCAAGCTAGGCGTGGGTGGGCCGGCAGTGCTGGGGGACCAGGCGCACCCTCTGCAGCGGCTTTCCTGGGTGCTAAGCCCGTCATTGCCTGGGGCTGGTGCTGGCTGGCTGCTCCGAGTGTGGGGCCCGCGGGGTCTGCTGAGCCCGTGCCCACCCAGAACTCAAGCTGGGCTGTGACTCTCAGCCCCAGTTCCTGCAGGAGCGTCTCTCTCCACACCTCCCCACAAGCAGAGGGAGCCGGCTCTGGCCTCGGCCAGCCCAGAGAGGGGCTCCCACAGTGCAGTGGAGGACTGAAGGGCTCCTCAAGCACAGCCAGAAGGGGCGCCGAGGCTGCGGAGGCCCCAAGAGTGAGGGAGGGCTGCCAGCTCACTGTCACCTCTGAACAATGCCAACATATTATTTCCCTCAGGACTTAGGGTGGCTGGATGGGATCCTGTGGTTACCATGACTTCATACCATTCATCACCTGTCATAGGAAGCCTCATTTGTAAAGATATTATCATTTCCTATATGTGCCCTCGGGATTAAAAAAAGTTTGGAAAACAAGCTTTTTATTGGAAATTAAGGTGATATATTTCATTCTTCCTATGCCACTCTTTTGTCTTAATTTGTTCAGACTAGAGAAGGGAAGGCAACTGCTCTTTATTGAACTGACTCAGAGATGTCCACTTTGGTCTCTACAGGGCAATCTTTGTTTAGGTTTTTCTCCTGAGACATTTTTCATTTTTCTCCTGATAAGTCTAGTCTTCATTTGGTGAGTATGTTTAGAGTGCTCTCTTGGTGTTCAGTGCTTTCTTGCCTTCTCTCTTACCTTATTTTCCCCATCTTCATAACAAATGGCATTTTCTGTATTGGATCACTGGCTTCACCACTTGCCTGTACTTCTTTATAAGAATTGATATTTCTCAATAAGGTATATGGTGAATAACATAGACTACAGGGTCAGATAAAGTTGGTTTTACTTCTCAATCAAACACTTCATTTGACCTTCGACAAAATCTATAATCCTTCTAAAACCTCAAGTTTCTCATATTTCATTGGAGACATTAATGGGTCATCCCTCTTTTTGTTGCCAGGATTAAATGAAATTAAGTGTATACGTGTAATACTTAATATGATTTGTATTTGATAAGTATTATCTGGTATTGTTGAACAAGGATATGCTAAACATTAAAAATTTAGAGACCCTAGGAATATGCTATATCTACTGCTTTATTTTGAAAACTTTATAATTTTGTTACATCATAGGTGATTCAAAGTTATAAATAAAATTAAAAATCAATGTTATTTTTTCTGTGGTCCAGTTATAAAAAGATTGGCATATTGACAGAAAAATTGTAAGAACTGGCTAAAAGGTTACAATTCAGCGGTCTGAAGTCCTTAAATGTAAGGGAAAACAATGTTCCATACTTCAATCGTTTCTGACAGTATCACCCTCTTACAGAAAGCTAGAAAGATTCATGTTGATAATCTTGTTCATGAAACATAAAGAAAATGTCACTGTATTCCACGTAAAGAACATGCTAAAGCATTTTAGGACATTTTAATCAAAATAGTCACAAAAATTTGCAGAAAGGTGGAGACTCCATTTCTATGGAAACTAACTCATATGAAACACTCTCTAATGATACCAATGAAGGAGGTATTATTTGAAGAATAACTTCTATACTGTATTGCTTTTAACTGTTCAAAAGACTTCCATATTTTTGTATCTTATTTTGATCTCACAACAAATGTATATGGTATTTGGTTGGTTATTGTAATCTTCATATGCAAAATGAAATCTAGATGGGAGAACGGAACAGAACACTTAAAGTAGAGGTATCTGCAAAGATGGCACAGCTGAGAAGCTGAAGCTTCATTTTTCTGTTAGAGATAGTATTATTATAATTATTGAATAGTTTTTTTCTGGTGAACCATTATTATTGTCTTATTTTTATTTGGGCTTTTTTCTTCTCTCTGTCATTTAAGATACCATTCTATTTTATAGATAACAATGTAAGTTGTGTCTTGTTTGGTGAAGTAGCCATGTTGGTTGAATATTTTGAACATGATGATACAGAGACAAATAATGAAAACAAAGTTACCACTTCTTGAATACCATATAATGTCTATATACTGGCTCATTTACCCCTCACGATAGTTTTGCAAGATAAGTATTATTATCCCCATTTTACATATTAGAAAAACACAAAAAGATGAATCCAGGTTCTGTAACCTCTAGTCTGAGTTTTTTCTATCCTCACTCATTATCTTCCACAATGAGTCTCTGGAGTAGCTTTCAAGAATAACCCAGAGCCTGAACAGGAAAGAGTATTGAATTCATCTATAAATATCTTTGGCTCACCTGCAAGGAAATGTGAAATCAAAAGGAAGCATAAGTGAGAAAGCTTGATACATGCTGTCAAATTTGGAAAACGTTTCAGCTTTTCCAAGGGGCGCACTCAACACACAGAACAGCCTCCCAAGAGTCAGTAGAACCTGATCTGTAATCGTTCCCAAGAATCCAACCGGAAGTATCTGCTAAGTCAAGGAATATTTGCAGAGAGTTTTCAGACACTCATAAACCACAGCACCATCAATCCCATCCACCCCAGCCATAACCTTTTAAGGGAGCATGCTGAAGTGCAGTTAATCAGATTATCGTTAGCAGAGAAAAAAATATAAAAGACAATGAAGAACTGGTCAGGGTGAGAGTAAAGGGCAAACCCCAATCAGCTGCCTTATTTCATCTCCTTTCAAGGACATAAATATCACATAACAGTCTCTATATGTCAAAGGAGCTAGGGATCTAGATAGTCTGCAGTTAACACAGAACTAGAGACTCCTTTCTCAAATTATGCTTTAGGAGCCACCAAATTTCTAACTATTCTAATATGACACTTTCTTTCAGATGGTTAACATACGTCGTTTTCTTACCGTGAACATACTTTCGTTAAAGGCTCAAGTATTAGTTCAGGAAACAAGAGAGCATTCCAATTTTGTCAGTCAGTCTTAGTATACTTGCTACCTAAATGGGACTCATCCTTTTTTGGTATTACGATTACAGGGATAAAGAAAATAATTGCTTAGAATATGGCTCGTTATACACTCTATTATTTTAGTCAACTGGTCCATCACTGTGCTAAGGAACAGGAGCCAGATGAAAGAAAAACTGAGATAGAGACTTTGCCCTAGTGGATTTAACAATTTTTTTTTTTTTTTTTTTTTTTTGGAGAGGCAAGGCTGACATCAATGAAGTTATTACTTACACTGATGTTGATGGAGAGTGAAAATTCTCTTTCTCAGGAAATCACAACCTAAATTGGACAAATAATATACTGTGTGAAACAACTGGAAATGCACCCAAGTGAACTTATAGGGCTAGCATATTGGCATGACTAACATAATGAGAGTTTCATGTCATACTCTGACATGCTGAAGTGTTTTAGCAGAACCTTTCTGGAGTAAGTAAATGTTCCCTAGAGGGATACAGTTCTGTTAACCGCCCGATCTTTTGATCTTGCTTCACCTGATGGTCTGTGGGTTCTCTTGTCCTTTCCAGTCCTTTGATAGAGGATCTTGAACAACTATAATAAGGAGTACTGATATCCTAGGCCTAAATCCCTTAGGTATGACACTTTCCACTGCTCAGCATTTGAGAAAATTGATGTCTGTGCCTGTCTTCCTGCCAGCTTTCTCTCACTAGAGATTATTCCTTTTTCTTCTTTCAGCCTCAATGCTTTACATTGCCTAAGGATAAACCTGGCACTTTTTACCATCCATGATCCAATTAGCAGGGAAAGGAGCAGCTCTGTTTGCAACAACACACAGATTCTGGTATGAGCCCCACAGAGAGAAAGCAACACTCTAGACATGATTTGTGCATAGCTGCCTATCTATTCTCTCTGTGATCTCAGAACAAAGGCCCAGGCACTTTGCTAGCTGCCCAGGGCTATGATTCACATCTGGAATTGATGGAAAAGGAATCATGTAACATGTTTCCATTGGTGCAGGTTCACTAAATACTTCCTATAACCTGAACTTTTCTAATAACCATTTACTTTTTTTTTTTAGACTGGGCAATGGGAAAAGAGAATTTTACTTGAGGATAAAACTCCCAGGAGAGAGTGTATTTATATGTTGAACTAAAGGCATGAGTATGCATAACTTCTCATATTTTCTATATGAGACTTTGGGAATTCTGCTTCCTGTATACAAATTGCCTATAGGTTGAAGATAAAGAGATTGTGGTTCTCTTTTTGGAATAGATCAGAATTCAAAACGATATTACTCATTTAATTTTTTATGAGTATTGCTCATACGACAGTATTTGTTAAGAACTGGAGGAGATACAAAAAAACACAGGATTATTTCCTGCACTCTAGGGCTGTATGTTTAAGTGATACACTTACCATTCACCCATTCTCAATTTACAATTTTTAGGCATCAGCTGGTCTAGTGGTTAACAAAAAAGTGCAGTATTATCACCCACCAGAGTTTTTTGGTTTTGTTTGTTTTAATAATTGGGATAGTATTAGGATCTAGCAGGGATAGGTGATATGTGATAAAAGCATTTAGTATTTAGGCATTAGTGATGCTAACCAATTGCAATACTCCTCTAAAGGAAAAATTGTCTAATCCAAAATGTCAACAGCAACTCTCTCCTTACAACTGAGAAACACGGGGTAGACTATTTCACGTCAGCCCGGGGTTTTTTTTTGCCATAGTCTATCTGATATAGCTTGGATATTTGTCACTGCCCAAATCTCATGCTAAATTACAATCCCTAACAGTAGAGATGGGGCCTGGTAGGAGGGGTTTGGATCGTGGGAACACATTCCTCACAGCTTTGTGCTGTCTTTGTGATAACGATAGTGAGTTCTCATAAAATCCGTTCATTTAAAAGT
The DNA here is from genome assembly GCF_000001405.40 of Homo sapiens. NCBI lineage: Eukaryota > Metazoa > Chordata > Mammalia > Primates > Hominidae > Homo > Homo sapiens. The sequence continues at coordinate 127,903,631 of NC_000011.10, forward strand.
GTGTGTCACCTCTCCTGCACCTGACTCCCTCTCTCTCTTGCTCCCACTCTGCCATCATAGAACAAGTAAATCCTCAGACCCCCAACCCCCTGGATCCAAGCTTCAGAAGAAAAAGGGAGAAGTGCCTGCTCCCCCTTCACATTCTGTCATGTTTTTAAGCCTCTGGAGACCTCCCCAGGAGCAGAGGCCACTATGCTTCCTGTATAGCCTGCAGAACCATGAGCTAATTAAACCTCTTTTCCTATCAATTACTGAGCCTCAAGCATTTGTTTCTAGCCATGCAAGAATGGCCTAACACACACCCTTGACCCCCATCTTTAGGACAGCAAAGCAGAACGCCTCAGTTAGAGGTTACATCAGCCAGCTTAGGCTAAGCTATGCTGTGCTAACAAACAACCCCCAAATCTCGACGACCCTTAACACTAAGGTTTGTTTCTTATGCCCCATTTTGGGGTCTTTGATAGCTTTCCTCTATGTAATCTTGAGCCTGGGATCCAGGCTAAAATATAACCCCTTTCTGGGATATTGTCAGCTGTGAATCAGAAGACGGCATGGTAAAATGATGAAAAATGCTCTTAAACTTTTGCTTGAAATAATGCATGTCATTTCTACTCACATTTCATTGACTAAAGCAGGTCACATGTCCAAGCCTGATATCAGTGAAGCACAAATATAAAAATCCTGCTTCAGAAAGGTACAGCAAATATTTTGAATAGTACAATCCACATTAGAAATAAAACAGAGAAAGATGATTCTTGTATGACAACATTTCTTAAAATGGGCTCCAGAAAGAAACTCTGCTGCTCATCACAGAACAAATTAATTCTCAGACCCTCCTTGGATACAAATTGTAGAAGAAAAAGGTGGAAACCCAGTGGGAAGAATAAAAAATCAGTTCAATTTTTTATGACAAAAATACATTTCCATCTCTAGTAATCTCCCAGGCCCAAGCCATGAGATTTTTTTCTTCTCGTTCCGGTTATACTCTCTTGCAGGTGAGTGCACCTTAGCAAAGATCTCCAGAGCAGCCAAAATCCTTGTTCCTGTCCTCTTTGTCTGGCTGTTCCATTTTGACTAAGAAGTGTGAATAATCTCACAGATTTTATTTCTAGCCCTCACCTTTTCTATCTTTGTGCTTTCCCTTAGAGGCTGTGTATGATTTTGATACTCCACTGATCAATAGAAGATCCCCAAATATGAGTGTCCTTTCTTCTAAGCTTCAGCACCACTTTTCTTTTTAGCCACAGAACATTTTCGTCTTTAAATCAACTGTATCTTAAACCAAGGTTGTCATCAGCACCCCTTATTCTCCCTCACTTTGCTTCTACTGCCAAACCAGATTCACCTAATCCTATTAATGATATTACCAATATCCTAGTCATATAGACTTAAATCTTTGTGTTAGCTTTCGGTCTTAATACTTTTTTTCCTCCACTCATCTCCACCCAAATAGCCACTACTCTCTGTTAATTATCTATATATATTTTTTCTTTCTGTCAGCCTTTAATCATGGAAGTCTAAAGCACATCTTCTCCAAATGAGAATTGTATTCCACTTATTAGTAGTAGGATAGTTAAATAACCTTCATAGAATAACTTAGGGGTTTTAAAAATAAATCTGAAATTTTATTTGAAAGTTATTAATGTTAATTTTATTATTAAAGTTGTAATAGTCTCGTTCTAAAACATTGACGATATGGTGCATGAACAATATTATCATAGCTGCAAGATTAATTCTTAATTCTACAGCCACTATATTAAACATTGGCAATAATACTAAATAGACACACTCAGGTGGCACATTAATGATATTGCTAACATTTTTGTCTACAATAGAATTTGATTAGGAAAAAAGATTTAAATTATATGTTTTCTAAAAGAAGTTAGAAGCTGTGATTGTAAATTGGGTAAATATAAAAAATCCTTCAACTGCTGAAAATGGTTAGCAGTGTGTAAAATGATTTTGACAAGCTTAGTGTTTAAAATGTTAACTTCCATAGACTCACACCTATAAGGAAATGTCTTATTAAACAATATGTATAATTTATGCTGGTTTACAGTTTGATTGGTATGAGCACATTTTCTTCATAATCCTTATATTACCTAATTTCATAGATTTAACATGATTTCTCAGGGAGATTGTTGTGGTATATGATTTAGGAATTTTTTTCTTCTTGTGAAATTTTGAAGTATGAAAGTTGAAATTTTGATTTTACAACATCCTTATAAAAATGAAGAATTTCAAGATAGAAATTTCAAGATAGAAATGCAATAATAAATGAGTTAAGTACAGTTCTTAATATTTTTAATGTTATGAATGCTAGAGTAATAAACACATCAATCAAATTTAGATTTAAAATATAATAAAGTGGCCGGGCACCATGGTTCATATCTGTAATCCCAGCACTTTGAGAGGCCAAAGCAGGATGATCACTTGAGCCCAGGAGTTCAAGACCAGCCTGGACAACAAAGTGAGACCCCCCACCCCCCACCTACCTCCAAAAAATAGTGAAAAAATTAGCTGGGCATGGTGGCACACACCTGTTAGTCCCAGCTACTTTGGAGGCTGAGGTGGGAGGATCGCTTGAGCCCAGGAAGTCGAGGATGCAGTGAGCTGTGATTGAGCCACTGCACTCCAGCCAGGGCGACAGAGTGAGACCCTAACTCAAAAAATAAATGAATAAAATAAAATATGCAAATAACTATTATTCTGCTTTGGATTATTGGAATTTTATAAGCATTTATTGGTTCAAGAAAAGCATAATGTTCTTACTGAAGTTATTTAGCTAATACAAAATCTCTTCATAGTCACACTAGCAATCTATTTACCCATTTATTCATATCTTGAAAATTTTTAATTTTTATAATTGAAGTTAATAGCTTTTAAAACCATTGTGGCACTTTATTCTTCTTTGTAGCCTGTCTTTGCCCCTTACTGTCTGTATGATCTCTGGTAACTTATGGATATCTCTGCCTCAGGTTCCTCATTTATTAAATGAGCAAAATATAAAATTCTTAAACATATTATTGGCATATAGCAAAACTATATATCATAGGAATGTTAAGTTTTGTGGCTTATATATCAGGCATATGTTCTTGTTAACATAGATAATTGCAAAGTAGTTATTCTGATTTATTATTGAGCAAACTAAAGTTCAGACTAACCCATAGACTCATTTATATTAAGTAGTCAGAGCTGGTCTGAACCTATGTCTCTATGGTCCTGTCTTGGTCTGTTTTCTGCTGCTTTAAAAAAAAAACACACAGATTAGGTAATTTATAGTGAACAAAAACTTATTTCACACACAGTTCTGGAGGCTGGGAAGTTCTAGACCAAGGCGCCAGCATCTTATGAGGGCCTTCTTGATGTGTGGAAGACGAGAGAGAGAAAGAGAAAGAAAACATAGGACTGCAGTTATCCTTTTATAAGAAACCCACCCCCACAATAACAGCATTACTCCATTAATGAGAGCAGAGCCTTCCTGGCCTAATCACCTCTTAAAAGCCCCACCTCTCATCTACCTTGAGAGGTGGATACTGTTGCAATGGCAATTAAGTGTCAACATGAGTTTGAGAGGGGACATTCAAATCATAGTTGGCCCCAAAACCTATTTTGTACCTCTGATGCTCAAGATCAGTGAATCTTTTTCTTATAACTTAGCAAAATAGGAAGAACTTAGAGAAAACAAGATATATCAACAATCAAGCATTTGGAAGATAGTGCTAAAAACCTTTCCCTCATTTCTCACTTAAGTACACACTGTCATGTACTATTATTTGAATTTTCCTAGGTGGTATGTCTCATTCCCTGAGTAAGTTGTAAACTTCCCGATGGAAGCGAAGTGTACTTTCTGCTCACTTGCAGCACTTAGGAAAATGTTGTGACAGTAGCTTAAATATGAATATTTTTAGTAGTTTAAATGGATTCAGTTGAGCTTCAAAGAACACTGACAAAGGCAAGACAATATATTATCTTTAATTTACTGGTGAGGAAATTTAGAAAGATAAAGGGCAAGAAGTTTATCTAAGATCACTCATCTTGGTCACAGAAACCTGGGTCTAATGTTAGCAGTAAATCCTCAATAAATATGTGTTAAATTGATAAATTTATTCTAGAGAAGAGAAAAATCATGAGTATGGAGCAAAAACAGAAGAGTAGCTTAATAAATTTGCAAAATGTATAAAGGCTTTCATAGTTTTACCTCTGGAGTTAATTTTACTTCAGAAATTTCAAATGATGTCTTAATAATAAGTGAAAACTTACATCTAGTTAGTACTTGCAATGTCCTAATATTATGTTTAACATTTACATTAATTATTTTATTTCATACTACTCATCTATCTATGAAGAAGATACAACTTTTTGATTTTGACACTTTTTGTTTCGTTGGTTGGTTGGTTTTAATTAGTAGCCTGTTTTTTTTTTTTTGAGTAGTTTTTAACAGAAAATTGATCAGAAAGTAAAGAGTTTTCATGTATCTCTTTCTCTCCTCTTATAATTTTTCCAACTATTTACATCTTTTATTGATGTGGTACATTTGCTACAATTGCCGAACCAATGTAGATACATTATTTTTGTTAACTTTTATTTTAAGTTCTGGGTTACTTTTTGAAACTTTTATTGAAGTATAAATATGCATAAAGAAAAGTGACAAATTGTAAGTAAAGTTTTCTCAAACTGAATACACTCAAGTAAACAATACCCAAATAAAAAAAAATGAACATTAAGTTAAACCCAGAAGTTCTTCTTGTGTCCCCTACCAGACCATACTCTCCTCAAGGTATCCCCTACCAGACCATACTCTCCTCAAGGTAACTAGTCTGACTGCTAACCTCACAACTATCCTGACTTCTCACACTGCAGATTAGTGCTCACTGTATTTGAACTTCATATAAATGGATGATACAATCTGTCCTCTTAGGTGCTTAGCTGCTTCTGCTGCTTCTTATTTTTTTTAAATAAACTTTACTTTTTAGAGCAATTTTAGGTTCACAGCAAGCTAATCAGAATCTACAGAGATTTCTCTATATACTCTCTGTCCCCATATATGCATAGCCTTCTCCACTATCCACAATCCCAAACAGAGTTGTGCATTTGTGACAATAGAAGAAACTACATTGACACATCATAATCACTCAAATACAATAGTTTACATTAGGGTTCACTCTTGATGTTTTACATTTTATGGTTTTTGACAAATGTATAATGGCATAAATCCACCATTACAGAATCACACAGAAGAGTTTCACTGCCCTCAAAATCCTCTGTGCTTCTCCTATTAATCTCTTCCCATTAACCTCTGGCATCTATTGTTATTTTTACTATATCTCAATAAATTTAGTTTTATAAGAATGTCCTATAGTAGACTTATATAGTACATACCCTTTTCATATTAGCTTATTTCACTTGGTAATATGCATTTAAGATACCTCCTTATCTTTAGCACTGAATAATATTCCCCTATCTGAATGTAGTACAGTTTATTTATCCATTCACCAAATAAAGGGCATATTTAAATAGTAGAACATCATTTATATAGCATGCCAAAGTAGACTAAACAATACAATGTTTAGGAATACATAGATATATGGTAAAACCATGTAGACAATCAAGGAGAGTGGAAAAACAAAGATATAGTCAGGGAGAATACACAGGTTGGCTTCAAAAATGTTGTTTTTTTTTTTTTCTTGAGCATTGTATAGGCACGTGGGTACTTATTTTATTTGTATTCTCTAACTCTGTAGATGTGTCAAAAGTACTATTTCACACATATGAAATAATTCCTCATTTAAAAAGTAAGTAAATACATGGTTATGGTACAGAATATTAAAAATTCAGAAAACTATATCAGTAAAATAAAAATTATCCAAAATTGTATTACCCTGAGATAACTATAGTATTTTTTTTTTTTATTTCCATAGGTTATTGGGGAACAGGTGGTGTTTGGTTACATGAGTAAGTTCTTTAGTGGTGATTTGTGAGATTTTGGTTTACCCCTCACCCAAGCAGTATACACTGCAAGCTATTTGTAGTCTTTTATCACTCGCCCCCTCCCACCCTTCTCCCCAAGTCTCCAGAGTCCATTGTATCATTCTTAGGCCTTTGCATCCTCGTTAGTTAGCTCCCACATATCAGTGATAACATACAACGTTTGGTTTTCCATTCCTGAATTACTTTACTTAGACTAATAGTCTCCAATCTCATCCAGGTTGCTGCAAATGCTGTTATTTCATCCATTTTTATGGCTGAGTAGTATTCCATTGTATATATATACCACAGTTTCTTTATCCACTCGTTGATTGATGGGCATTTGAGTTGGTTACACGTTTTTGTAATTGAAAATTATGCTGCTATACACATGCATGTACATGTATCTTTTTCAAATAATGACTTATTTTCCTCTGGGTAGATACCCAGTAGTGGGATTGCTGGATCAAATGGTAGTTCTACTTTTAGTTATTTAAGGAGTTTCCACCCTGTTTTCCATAGTGGTTGTGCTAGTTTACATTCCCATCAGCAATGTAGAAGTATTTCCTGTTCACCACATCCGTGACAACATCTACTATTTATTTATTTTTTTGATTATGGCCATTCTTGCAAGAGTAAGGTGGTACTGCATTGTGGTTTTGATTTGCATTTCCCTGATTATTAGTGATGTTGAGCATTTTTGCATATGTTTGTTAGCAATTTGTATATCTTCTTTTGAGAATTGTCTATTCATGTCCTTATTCCATTTTTTGATGGGATTGTTTGTTTGATTTCTTACTGACTTGTTTGAGTTTGTTGTAGATTCTGGATATTAGTCCTTTTCAGATGTATAGATTGTGAAGATTTTCTCCCACTCTTTGGGTTGTCTGTTACTCTGCTGACTATTCCATTTTCCTTGCAAAAGCTCTTAGTTTAATTAAATCCCAGTTATTTATCTTTGTTTATATTGCATTTTTTTGGATTCTTGCTCACGAAATCCTTGCCTAAGCCAATGTCTAGAAGGGTTTTTCCAATGTTATCTTCTAGAATTTTCATAGCTTCCGGTCTTAGATTTAAGTCCTAATCCATCTTGAGTTGACTTTTGTATAGGGTGAGAGATGAGGATCCAGTTTAATTCCCCTACATGTGGCTAGCCAATTATACCAGCACCATTTGTTGAAACGGGTGTCCTTTCCCCACTTCATGTTTGTGTTTGCTTTGTTGACGATCAGTTGGCTGTATTTGGGTTTATTTCTGGGTTCTCTGTTGTATTCCATTGGTCTATGTGCCTATTTTTATACAAGTACCATGTTGTTTTAGTGACTATGGCCTTATAGTATAGTTTGAAGTCAGGTAATGTGATGCCTCCAGTTGTGTTCTTTTTGCTTAGTCTTGCTTTGGCTATGCAGGCTCTTTTTTGGTTTCATATGAATTTTGGAATTATTTTTTCTAATTCAGTGAAGAATGTTGGTGGTATTTTGATGGGAATTGTGTTGAATTTGTAAATTGCTTTTGGCAGTATGGTCATTTTCACAATATTGTTTCTACCCATCCATGAGCATGGGATGTGTTTCCATTTGTTTGTGTCATCTGTAATTCTTTCAGCTTTTTTTTTTTTTTGTAGTTTTCCTTGTAGAAGTCTTTCACCTCCTTGGTTAGGTATATTCCTAGGTATTTTTTTTTTTTTGAGGCTACTGTAAAAGGGGTTGAGTTCTTGATTTAATTCTCAGCTTGGTCACTCTTGGTGTATAGAAGAGCTACCGATTTGTGTACATTAATTTTGTATCTGGAAACTGCTGAATTCTTTCATCAATTCTAGGAGCTTTCTGGAGTAGTCTTTAGGGTTTTTTAGGTAAACAATCATATCAGCAAACAGCGACAGTTTGACTTCCTCTTTACTGATTTTGATGCACTTTATTTCTTTCCCTTGTCTTATTGTTCTGGCTAGGACTTCCAGTACTATGTTGAAGAGGAGTAATGAGAGTGGGAATTCTTGACTTATTCCAGTTCTCAGAGGGAATGCTTTCAAATTTTTCCCATTTAGTATTATGTTGGCTGTGGGTTTGTCATAGATGGCTTTTATTACACTGAGGTATGTCCCTTGTATGCTGATTTTGCTGAGAGTTTTAATCAGAAAGGGATGCTGGATTTTGTCAAATGTTGTTTCTGCATTCATTGTGATGATCATGTGATTTTTGTTTCTAATTCTATTTATGGGGTGTATCACATTTATTGACTGCATATGTTAAACCATACCTGCATCTCTGGTATGAAACCCACTTGATCATGGCGGATTATCTTTTTGATATGTTGTTGGATTTGGTTAACTAGTATTTTGTTAAGGATGTTAGCATCTATGTTCATGAGGGATATTGGTCTGTGATTTTTCTTTTTTGGTTGTGTCCTTTCCTGGTTTGGGTATTAGGATGATACTGTCTTAAAAGAATCATTTAGGAAGGGTTCCTTCTTTCTCTATCTTGTGGAGTAGTGTCAATATGATTGGTACCAATTCTTCTTTGAATGTCTGGCAGAATTCTGCTGTAAATCCATCTGGTCCTGGACTTTCTTTGTTGGTAACTTTTTTTTATTACCATGTCAGTCTTGCTGCTTGTTATTGGTCTCTTCATGGTCTCTAATTCTTCTTAATTTAAGCTAGGAGGGTTGTATCTTTCCAGGAATTTATGCATCTCTTCTAGGTTTTCTAGTTTATGTGTGTATAGGTGTTCATAGTAGTCTTGAATGATCTTTTGCATTTCTGTGATTTCAGTTGTAATATCTCCTGTTTCATTTCTTATAGAGCTTATTTGGATTTTCTCTCTTCTTGGTTAATCTTGCTAATGGTCTATCAATTTTATTTATCTTTTCAAAGAATCAGCTTTTTGTTTTATTTAACTTTTGTATTTCTTTTGTTTCAATTTTATTTAGTTGTGCTCTGTTCTTGGTTATTTCCTTTCTTCTGCTGGATTTGGGTTTGGTTTGTTCTTGTTTCTCTAGTTTCTTGAGGTGTGACCTTAGATTGTCTGTCTGTGCTCTTTCAGACTTTTCAATATAGGACTTTAGGGCTATCTGCCTTTGCTGTATCCCAGAGGTATTGACACATTGTGTCACTATTGTCTTTCAGTTTGAAGAAGATTTTAATTTCCATCTTGATTTCATGTTTGACCCAATGATCATTCAGGAGCAGGTTATTTAATTTCCATGCATTTGCATGGTTTTTAAGGTTTCTTTTGGAGTTGATTTCCAGTTTTATTCTACTGTGGTCTCAGAGAGTGCTTGATATAATTTAAATTTTCTTAAATTTATTGAGACTCATGTTGTGGCCTATCATATGGTCTATCTTGGAGAAAGCTCCATGTGCTGTTGAATAGAATGTGTATTGTGCAGTTGTTGGATGGAATGTTCTGTATATATGTTAAGTCCGTTTGTTCCAGGGTATAGTTTAAATCTATTGTTTCTTTGTTGATTTTCTGTCTTGATAACCTGTCTAGTGCTGTAAGTACTTGGGCTTGGAGTATTGAAGTCCTCCACTATTATGATGTTGCTTTCTATCTCACTTGTTAGGTCTATTAGTAATTGTTTTATAAGTTTGGGAGCTCCAGTGTTAGGTGCATATATGTTTAGGATTGTGATGTTTTCCTGTTGGACAAGGCCTTTTATCATTATATAATGTCTCTCTTTTTCTCTTTTAACTGCTGTGCCTTTAAAGTTTGTTTTGCCTGATATAAGAATAACTCGGCCTGCTCACTTTTGGTGTCCATTTGCATGAAATGCCTTTTTCCACCCCTTACCTTAAGTTTATGTGAGTTCTTATGTGTTAGATGAGTCTCTTGAAGGCAGCAGATAGTTGGTTGGTCAATTCTTATCCATTCTGCAATTCTCTATCTTTTAAGTGGAGCATTTAAGTCATTTACATTCAGTGTTAGTATTGAGATGTAAGGTACCATTCCATTCATCATGATATTTGTTGCCGTATACCTTGCTTTTTTGTTTTTGTTTTTTAAATTGTATTTTTGTTTTATGGGCCCTGTGAGATTATGCTTTAAAGAGGTTCTGTTTTTATGTGTTTCCAGGATTTGTTTCAAGATTTAGAGCTCCTTTAAGCAGTTCTTCCAGTGCTGGCTTGGTAGTGGCAAATTCTTTCAGCATTTGTTTGTCTGAAAAAGACTATCTTTCCTTCATATATGAAGCTTAGTTTTGTTGGATACAAAATTCTTGTCTGGGCCAAGTGCCCAGGCTCATGCCTGTAATCCCAGCACTTTGGGAGGCTGAGGTGGGTGGATCATGAGGCCAAGAGATAGAGACCATCCTGGCCAACATGGTGAAACCCTGTCTCTACTAAAAACACAAAAAATTATCCAGGCGTGGTGGCATGCACTTGTAGTCCCAGCTACTCAAGAGACTGAGGCAGGAGAATCGCTTGAACCTGGGAGGGGGAGGTTGCAGTGAGCCAAGATCACACCACTGCACTCCAGCCTGATAACAGAGCAAGACTCTGTCTCAAAAAAAAAGAAAGAAAAGAAAAACAAATTCTTGGCTGGTAATTGTTTCATTGGAGGAGGCTGAAGATAGGGCCCCAATCCCTTCTAGCTTGTAGAGTTTCTGCTGAGAAATCTGCTGTTAATATGATAGGTTTTCCTTTATAGGTTACCTGGTGCTTTTGTCTCACAGCTCTTAAGATTCTTTCCTTCATCCTAACTTTAGATAATGTGATGACAATCTGCCTAGGTGATGATCATTTTGCAATGATTTTCCCAGGTGTTATTTGTGCTTCTTGTACTTGGATGTCTAGGTCTCTAGCAAGAGCAGGGGAGCTTTCCTCGATTATTTCCCCAAATATGTTTTCCAATCTTTTAGATGTGTTTTCTTCCTCAGGAATGCCGATTATTCTTAGGTTTTGTCATTTAACATAATCCAAACAGTCTTGGAGGCTTTGTTCATATTTTCTTATTCTTTTTTCTTTGTCTTTTATGAATTGGGTTAATTTGAAGACCTTGTCTTTGAGCTCTGAATTTCTTTTTCTACTTGTTCAATTCTATTGCTGAGACTTTCCAGAGCATTTTGCATCTCTATAAAAATGTCCATTGTTTCCTGAAGTTTTGATTTTTTTAATGCATCTATTTCATTGAATATTTCTCCCTTCACTTCTTGTATCATTTTAAAAAATTTCCTTACATTGGGCTTTGCCTTTCTCTGGTGCCTCCCTGATTAATTTAATAACTAACATGAATTCTTTTTCAGCTAAATCAGGGATTTCTTCTTGGTTTGGATCCATTGCTAGTGAGCTGGTGTGATTTTTTGGAGGTATTAAAGAAACTTGTTTTGTCATATTACCAAAGCTGGTTTTCTGATTTCTTCTCATTTGGGTAGACTCTGTCAGAGGGAAGGTCTAGGACTGAAGGCTGTTGTTCTGATTCTTTTGTCCCACAGGGAGCTCCCTTGATGTAGCACTCTCTCACTTTTCCTATAGATGTGGCTTCCTGAGAGGTGAGCTATAGTAAGTGATATCTCTCTTCTGAATCTAGCCACCTGGAAAATCTACCAGCCTCTGGGCTGGTACCGGGGGTTGTCTGCACAGAGTGCTGTGATGTGAATTGTCTGTGGGACTCTCAGCTGTGGATACCAGCACAGTATTTGAGTTATCTCCTGGGTCCTGCAGGGTCAGTCTACTTCCTTCAGAGAGTCTGTGGTTCCTCTCATAAAGGGAATTTTGATTGCTTTGAAGTTTTGGTAATTATAAATAAAGTTGCTATAAATATCTACATGCAGTTTTTTGTATGCATAACTTTTCAACTTTTTTTAGTAGATACCAAGAAATGAGATTGCTGGATTGTATGATAAGAATATGTTTAATTTTGTAAGAAACTCCCTGTCTTCCAAAGAAGCAGTACCATTTTGCATTCCACCAGCAATGAATGAGAGTTCCTGCTGCTCCATATCCTCATCAGCATTTGGTGGTGTTAGTGCTCTGGACTTTGGCCATTCTAATATGTGTCTAGTGTATCTTATTCTTGTTATAATCAGCATTTCTATGATGACATGTGATCTGGAGTGTCTATCTTATGCTTATTTTTCATCTGTATATTTTCTTTAATAATTTCTGTTAAGGTCTTTTACCAATTTTTAATATTGGATTGCTTCTTTTCTTATTGCTATTTTAAGAGTTCTTTGTATATTTTAAGACAATTTCTTTTATCAGATGAATGCTTTAGAAATATTTTCTCCCAGTTTGTGCCTTGTCTTCTCATTCTCTTGACATTGTCTTTTGCATAGCAGAAGTTTTAAATTTTAATGAAGTCCAGCTTATCAATTCTGTCTTTCATAAATCATGGCTTTGCTGTTGTATCTAAAAATTCATCTCCATACTCAATGCCTTGTAGATTTTCTCCCATACTATCTTCAAGAGTTTTATACTTTTGCCTTTTACACTTAGGTCTATGATATAATTTCAGTTAATTTTTGTGAAGGGTGAAAAGTTTGTGTGTAAATTCACTTTTTTTTGCATGTGGATCCTCAATTATTTCAACACCATTTGTTGAAAAGCCTATCTTTGCTCCATTGTATTGCCTTTACTTCTTTGTCAAAGATCAGTTGACTATATATATGTTGATCTATTTCTAACCTCTATTGATCTATTCATCTATTATTTTTGCTAATACCACACTGTTGATTATTGTAGTTTTATAGTAAGTCTTGAAGTTATGAAGTGTCAGTCTTACAACTCTCTCCTTCTTATTCAATATTATGTTGGCTACTCTTAGTCTTTTTCTTCTCTATATGAGCCTTAGGATTAGTTTGTTGACATTTACAAAATAACTTGCAGGCCAGTGTCTTTGAGGAACATCAATGTGAAAATCCTCAATAAAATACTGGCAAACGAAATCTAGCAGCACATTAAAAACTTATCCGCCATGATCAAGTCAACTTTGTTTCATCCCTGGGATGCAAGGCTGTTTCAACATACGCAAATCAATAAACGTAATTTATCACATAAACAGAACCAAAGACAAAAACTACGTAATGATCTCAATAGATGCAGAAAAAGCACTCAATAAAATTCAACATTCCTTTATGTTAAAAACAATAAACTAGGTATTGATGGAACATGTCTCAAAATAATAAGAGCTATTTATGACAAACCCACAGCCAAATCATATTGAATGGGCAAGAGCTAGAAGCATTCCCTTTGAAAACTGGTACAAGACAAGGATGCCTTCTCTTGCCACTCCTATTCAACATGGTATTGGAAGTTCTGGCCAGGTCAATCAGGCACAAGAAAGAAATAAGTCATATTCAAATAGGAAGAGAGGAAGTCAACTTGTCTCTGTTTGCAGATGACATGATTCTATGTTTAGAAAACCCCATCATCTCAGCCCCAAACCTCCTTAAGTTTATAAGTAGCTTCAGCAAAGTTTCAGGATACAAAATCAATGTGTAAAAATCACTGGCATTCCTTTACACCAACAATAAACAAGCAGAGAGCCAAATCATGAATGAACTTCCATTCACAATTGCTACAACAAGAATAAAATACCTAGAAATACATCTAAGAAGGGATGTGAAGGGCCTCTTCAAGAAGAACTACAAACCACTGCTCAAGTAAATAGGAGAGGACAAAAACAAATGGAAAAACGTTCCATCCTCATGGGTAGGAAGAATCAGTATTGTGAAAATGTCCATACTGCCTAAAGTAATTTATAGAGTCAATGCTATTCCCATCAAACTACCATTTACATTCTTCACAGAATTAGAACAAAATTACTTTAAATTTTATATGAAACCAAAGAAGAGGTCATATACCCAAGAATATCCTAAGCAAAAAGAACAAAGCTGGAGGTATCACCCTACCTCACTTCAAACTATACTATAAGGCTACAGTGACCAAAACAGCATGGTACTGGTACCGTAACAAACATATAGACCAATGGAGCAGAACAAGGACCTCAGAAATAACACCACACATCTACAACCATCTGATCTTTGATAAACCTCACAAAAACAAGCAATGGGGAAAGGATCTCCTATACAGTAAATGGTGCTGTGAAAACTGTCTAGCCATATGCAGAAAACTGAAAGTGGACCGCTTCCTTATACCTTATACAAAAATTAACTCAAGATGGATTAAAGACTTAAATGTAAACCCCAAATTCATAAAAACCCTAAAAGAAAACCTAGGCAATATCATTCAGGACATAAGCATGAGCAAAGACTTCATGACAAAAATGTCAAAAACAATTGAAACAAAAACCAAAATTGAAAAATGGGATCTAATTAAAGAGTTTCTGAACAGCAAAAGAAACTATCATCAGAGTGAACAGGCAATCTACAGAATGAGAGAAAATTTTTGCAATCTACCCATCTGACAAAGATCTAATATCCAGAATCTATATGAAACTTAACAAATTTGTGAGAAACAAACAAACAACCCCACCAAAAAGTGGGCAAAGGATATGAACAGACATTTCTTAAAAGAAGACTTTTACGTGCCAACAAACATGAAAAAAAGCTCAACATCACTGATAATTAGATAAATGGAAATCAAAACCATAATGAAATTCATCTTATGCCAGTCAGAATGGTGATTATTTAAAAATTCAAGAAATAATAGATGCTGGTGAGGCTATGGAGAAATAGGAACACTTTTACATTGTTGGTGGAAATGTAAATTCGTTCAGCCATTGTGGAAGACAATATGGTGATTCCTCATGGATCTAGAACCAAGGATACCATTTGACCCAGCAATCCCATTACTGGGTATATACCCAAAGAAATATAAATCATTCCACTATAAAGATATATGCACATGTATTTTTATTGCAGCACTATTTACAATAGCAAAGACATGGAACCAACCCACATGCCCATCAATGATAGACTGGATAAAGAAAATGTGGAACATATTTGCCATGGAGCACCATGCGGCCATAAAAAGGAATGAGTTCATGTCCTTCGCAGGGACATGGATGAAGCTGGAAGCCATCATCCTCAGCAAACTAACAGAGGAACAGAAAACCAAACACCACATGCTTTCACTCATAAGTGGGAGTTGAACAATAGAACACATGGACACAGAGAGGGGAACAACACACACTGGGGCTTTTTTGGGGGTGGGGGTGAGGTGAGGAAAGTTAGAGGATCAGTCAATAGGTGCAACAAATCACCATGGCATATCTATACCTACAAAACAACCCTGCGCATTCTGCACATGGATCCCAGAACTTAAAGTAAAATTTAACAAAAAAGAAATATGAAAAGATAAAATAATAAATAAATTCTCTGATGATTTCAACATGTTTGCCATATCTCATTATGATGCTTGTTCTTTCTCTTAAAACTGCGATTTTTTTTTTTTTTTTTTTTTTTTTTTGCCTTTTGATATGCCTTGCAGTTTTTTTTTTCTTTTTATAGCTGGACGTGATGTATTGGTTAAAAATATTGCTGTAAATAGTTATTTAGTAATGTGGTGGTAAAATGTGGGGGTAGAGAGAGTGTCCTGTAGTTTTATAGTTTTGTAACCACCCAACGGGTTCTTCTTGCCTGCTGCACAGTTGAAGCCAATTGACTGAGACAGAAGGATTGCAGCAGAGAAACAGTTTAATTATCTCAAGAAAGCCAAATGGAAGGATGGGAGATTTTTCTTGAATCCACCTCCCTGAGAACTCAAAGGCTAGGGATTTTAAGGATAATTGTATGGAAGGGAGTTGGGGAATGAGTGCTGATGATTAGTTGTGGATGAAATCATAGGGATGTTAAAAACTGTCTTTATGTGCTGAACGAGTTTCTGGGAAAGGGGTGGGGGAGTCATAGGACCAGTTGAGTCAGTTCCTTGGTATGAGTCACAAGTCTGAGTGGAGTTAGTCACCAGAATGCAAAAGTCTGAAAAATATCTCAAAGACTAATCTTAGATTTTACAATAGTGATGTTATTTCTAGGAGCAATTAGGGAAGTTACAAATCTTGTGACCACCTGCTACATAACTCTTGAGCAGTAAGCTATTATAGAAAAGCAAGCTAGGGAATAGGCTGGTAATTGTTTAACTGCACCTACATTATAGCAGAATTCAAGCCCCTTTCATAATTCCAACTTTGAGGCCTTTCATTAGTCTCACAAAGATAGTTTTAGTCCCCAGAAGGGTCAGTTTTGAGAGGGACTAGTATCATCCTTGCTTCAAAGTTAAACTATGAACTAAATTCCTTTTATAGTTAGCTTGGCCTACACCCAAGAATGAGCAAGGAGAGCTAGCTTGTGAGGTTAGAAGCATGATAGAGTCAGTTAGGTTAGATTTCTTTCACTGTTATAATTTTTGCAAATATAGTTTTGATTTGGTCTCAGTTTTTTAGTAAGCCTTTGCCTCTGGATTGTGAGCTTCACAAGTGTTTGTCGGTTCCCTTTCTCTTAGGTTGGACAGGATGGCTAGAGTGTTCTGGAGTTGGGTACTTTTCTTTCCTCAGATCACTTCGGAAGATTTAGCTTTGGTTGATAGTTTATTCTGAGGCAGGCCTTGATAAGAAAGACAGAATGCTCTGACATATTTCAAAATTGTTCCTTTACTCCTCCCCCTTCTGGAAGCATGAGGGAATTTTTTGTTGACATTTACTGTGAGTACTCAACAGAGCTTACGGAGGTAAAATTCACAAAAATGGAGTACCCTCCCTGCAGCAAATTTTAATTTGCCTCAGCAACCGTTTTAAATATAAACTACACATTTTCATACCAGAAGCAGAGCACAGTCACCCTGGACACAGTTTCCAGTTCTACACCCAGCTCCAGTTCTTCAATATGGTCCATCAGTCCAGATATCTGTCTTATACAACTGCTCCCTAGTGATCAGTTCCCTATCAGACAGGTAGATGTAGCCTGCTTGAGTAGGCACATTGACTTTCTCACCCCACATAGACTGTGTGGATATGCTACAGTGACTGGCTCTCAGTCACTCTGTGACCTCCTGGAACACGTGCCTGCTTTCTTTCAACCAACCGATTAAAATTCCCTGTGGGAATACTGTTTGAATAATGCCCTAGGCCCAATAAAGGCATTAGCCCATGTTTCCCTCTTTCTCTCTCTGCCTGCCTTGACCTCCATGTCAGGGTCCTCTGGACATGCCATAAACCATCCCTCCCTAGAACCTGTAAGTAATAAAATTTCATTTCCATTTTGTGTCTCTCCTAATCATTGGAAAGGTACTCTCTATCCTTAAAGATCTTAAATTAAAACATCCCCCCAAAATGGGTTCCTTTATCGTTTTTTGACTCAGAATTGTCCATACTGAGACTAGCAATTTTTAATTTACAGTTCAGTTTTTCCTACCCCGGCACTGGTTCCCAAAGTAATTTCCACCTGTGAGTCTCTGCTCTGGTAAGGGGTGACTTCTTATATCCATCTGTCCCTCTCTTCAATCTTGAGGGCAGAGTTTGCCCTATGCCCTTACCTCTTTTACAGACAAAGAGTTTTTGATTTTTCAGCCTGTTTAGCTTCCTACCTATTGTTAAGATGGGGTGGCATCTTCCAAATTCCTTACATGTAGAACTGGCAACCATAAGTTTATCAGGGTTTTTTTTAGGGTAGTGAAATTATTCTGCATGATACTTTAATAGAGGGTACAAGAAAATATACATTTATCAAAACCCATAGAACTTTATAGCACAGAGAATGAATCTTATTGTTATTACATGCAAAGGTTAAACTATAATTCAAAGGTCTGAAGGACGCCAGGATGGAATGTTAATGTGTCAAATTATCTAAGTGCATTTCAACCTTATTGAAGTGAGGGGATGAAAAGGTTCTGACCTAAGTAACTTTGGTAATGAGAGGAGTCTTTTAGACTAAAGGACAAAGGAAATGTACATAAAAACTATACTCTGACAAAGTTATTTCTTTCAGCAGTATGGGTTAACAATTCTGAAAACACTATACATCTATACTGAAATTGAACAATTAAGTAAATAGATGTGGAGGATAGAAACGAAGTTTCTCACTATTGAGAAAGATGTTACAGATAACCAAAGTAAGATGCCAGGATGAGCTATGTGATAATGGGTATATATAAACATACTTAATATAGTTAAATATGGAAATATGTATATGTATATACATAAGAGTTAGTATAAATACAAGGATTAATATATACCTTACTGTATCATCTAAGGAGCCTAAAAACAATGACATACCACATGAGAAGATCTAAGAAACAAGTAGACTTAGTGTCGAGGCTTTGACTTCTAATACAATTTTCGAAGAAATAAAACAGAACTTCATGGAATAATGAGTGATTCTAGGACTGGGGAAGAAATTGTACAATATGAGCCTGGAGCATCTTGTAATCCCAGAAAATAAAAATAAAGTTTGCGAAAACAAACAAACAAAAAACCACACTGATGATAATATTCTAAAGAGACTGATATGGTTTGGACATGTCCCCACCCAAATCTCATCTTGAATTGTAGTTCCCATAATCCCCATATGTCATGAGAGAGACCTGGTGGGAGGTAATTGAATGATGGGATGGGTATCCCCCATACTATTCTCATGACCGTAAGTTCTCACAAGATCTTATGGTTTTATAAGAGGCTTCCCCCTTTGCTTGATTCTCATTCTTCTCCTTCCTGCTGCCATGTGAGGAAGGATGTGTTTGCTTCCCCTTCCATCATGATTGTAAGTTTCCTGAGGCTTCCCCAGCCCTGCAGAACTGTAAGTCAATTAAACCTGTTTTCTTTATAAATTACTCACTCTTGGGGAATCCTTTATAGCAGCATAAGAACAGACTAATACAGAGACACAGGAGTTAATGACAGAGCTTCAAAGACCAAAGATGAAACGATTTGAGTAGCAAAATAAATAAAATGTTATTGAATTATAAACCAAAGTATACAATAATAAAATAAGGAGAGGCAACAATTCTCCCACACAAAAGAATTCCAGATAATGTGTGTAAATACTCTCTCCTCACCGAAGTAGAACATAACTTTCCACCCCTTAATAGGGGCCTGTGCCTAGTGACATTTTTCCTAGGAGTACAGTTGAAAGGAATTGGGGAGTAACTCTATAGTAGGTAACATGGCAAACACTACCTCAACCAGGTGATAAAAGTTATCATCACAGTGTAATGCATGTTGATAGCATATGCCCTTGAAATGATGTGGTGAGATCTCTGTAGTCTCCCTTTCCCAAAAGCAGAACTTCAGTGTAATCATTGGAGAAATATCAGACAAATCCCAATTAATGGGCATTCTAAAAAATACATGACCAGCTTGCCTAAAAAATGTCAGGGTCATCAAAAATAAAAGGTTTAGCAGAACTATCTGTCAAGAGGAGCCTGAGGAGATGTGGTAGCTAGATGTAATGTTGTATTGTGGATGATATTCTGGAACAGAAAAAGGACATTAGCTAAAAACTAGGGACATTTGCATAAAATACAGATTTTAATGTATCACTATTTTGTTCAGTAATTGTGATAAATGTAATATACAAATGTAAGATGTTAATATTAGGTGAAACTGGTACAAGGCATATGGAAACTCTGTGTTATATTCTCAATTTTTCTCTGAATCTATACTACTCCAAAAATTAAAAGTTTACAAAGCATGGAAGGTAGTCTACAAGATGCAGTAAATAAGATCTTTCATGACCCCCAGAAAAGACATAATTAAACAAAATGAATAAGATTAAGATCCTTAAGATAAATGAGGAAATAGTACCCAACGAAAAGAATGGAAGTACTAAAACCAGTTTAGGCAGCTGTGAAAAAGAGCCAGGATCTGTAATTTAGAAAAATATGACCTTTGTCAATTAGTTTGAATCAACTAAAAAAAATTCATAGTCACCTTCAAGTCTTCCTTGATTTACTTGCTCTGCTCAAAAACAGAAACATGGTCTTGATTGAATTCAACATGGCAGTGTTAAGAAGTTAAAGCAGCTGAGTGTCACATGTTGTAACTTGTTCAGAATTGAGTTAAATTTGGGGAAGCTGAAAAATGGAGAATTAAATAAGGTTTGTACTAATACTCCAAGTGCAAAAAATATTACACATAACAAAGGCTGATGTAGTGAGAAGATGGAGAGTATAGATTTTAAACATTAACCTTTGTGACTGATGATATATTCAGGTATATTGAGGAGGGAGTGGTATATATTAAATGGCTATATTAACAATAAAGCTATTAAATAAGAAAAATGTGTACATTCATTGCAGACATGGGTCTTGCATAGATTCTTGAGATAAAACACTGAACAAGACAGATGCACTTCCCATTTTAATGGAGCTCACAGTCTAATAAAAAACTAAACAAATAATTGCATAAACAGTGTTTAACAATGACCATTAAATATGCTATGAAACTGAAGTGTTTTAGAAAAATAATAAGGTAATCACACCAACTGTGAGCGTTAGAGAAGATTTGCTGAGGAATGCAAGAAATGTGAGGAAGAAAAAAATGTTAGTACATAAAGCTGATGATTGTTTTATTGGACAATTTTAATTTGTAGAGCCTTTGGTGTGAATATCATGTGGGATAAGTGAAAGATGTCTACATTTCCTTCAGAATTTTTTTATCAAATGAGAAATACTGAGAGTCATTTCATATCACAGTTTGGCAATATGCCAATATCAGCCCTACAGCCCTAGTACATGTGAACCCCAACTTTTTTTTTTTTTTTTTCTGAGACGGAGTCTTGCTCTGTCGCCCAGGCTGGAGTGCAGTGGCGTGATGACCGCTCACTGCAAGCTCTGCCCCCCCAGATATGAACCCTAACTTTTTAAAGCCTATCACCAAAATCACCCCACAAAAAGAAGAATTACAGGAGCATTAGGGAAGTGAGGAAGGTAAATATTTGGACAGAGAGCCATATTAGGCATATCGCCATGGTTGTGTTTTTATTTTCTTGAAAAGCAATGTCATTTTTCTGAAATGAGTGAGACAAGAATCTTTCTAGAAGCAGGTGCCTTGTGGGCAGAACTCTAAAGAGTCCCTTCCAGCATTTGAACACAGACGTCCTTGCTTCATCCCTGTCTTTCAATCAATGTCTTTTATCTTGTTTCTACTATCTTTAGCTCATATTCTAGCCCAGAGCCCTGCTTGAAAAGTTCCAATTCTAGAGACTATATTATTAGAAAATGATAAAACAGGAAGTAGAAAAATATTCTAAGTATGGAGAGGAATGTTTTCTCTATAATGCTAACTCTCTCCAGCCATTAGTACCAGTTCTAAAATGGAGATAATAGCTATTGTACAGAGTTGTTTGAGGAGCACATGAAATCGGGCATGTAAGGTGGTGAGCAGAATAAGAACTCAAATGTTAGCAATGATTAAAACTATTACTGTACCATTATTATTATGCAACCGTATTTTCCACAGAAAGTTATCTGTAAAAAATTGATTTTTTCTTTCCCCTACTCATTTTGTTTCCTGCTTCTCCTCTAGGTTTTCCCTGGTACTTTCTCACTTCCAAGTAAATTTAAATATTAATGACACTTCAAATGTCTTTTGGGGGAATTGTGCAGTCTTAAAATTTTTAAGGCTGCCTTTTGGCTGCCTTATTTTAGGAAAGCGCAGGGGTGAGATACACACACAACAAAATACGTCTAAGTCTTCCCACAAACTGAAATAAAAATTTATAAAACAGATCTATTTTAAGGGATACCTTTTCCTTCAAATACATTATGAGATTCTGGAACCTGTGGTATGTGTAGACAGCAGATGATCCCTGGCAAGCCTTGTTCTATGGGCCAAGTCCAAAGTTGCAAGTTACCCAGGAAGCCTGAGCTTTGTATTTGATCCATAGGAGGCCACATAGTTAAGTCCAACTTGCTCCACAGCTGGTTACTCCTCAGGGGGAAGGTGAGATACACCTCTCTGCAGCTGGAAGATCCAGCAGAAACCTGGAGGGCTGAACCTTTCTCTGTAGGTATGGAGTAACCCATTACTCCTGGAGCAGCTGCATACATGAGGTTCAGGGGGTGATTCAGCATGGTCGACTCATGGAGTGGCATCTGGGCTGTCTGCTGTCCGGTTGCTCTGGCTGGGTGAGTGAGAGTTCATATGATTCTCAGGGGCGTGTTAAGCTCATGAACATTTGATTGCAGTAATTACCTGGGAACCCCCCTGACTAATTTGCACACCAACATAGAGTGAGGGAGACCTTATTTCTAGGGAGTGATAAATGGCAACTACTTAATCGTTTGGAGAAAAGGTGGTGTAGTTTCCATTTGGCCTGGTTCCCAGTCTGTATAATCATCAGTGCATTCCAAAACAGCATCAGTAATAACATTCTGTAGATAGCTAGACCCCACTCCATTGATATTTCTTATAGGCATTATTTCTTATGTATATTCTCAGGGGAAGGCTAGTATAGTATTCCTAATCTATTTTTCCCGTTATAGAAAATTAGATATATGAAAGCAATGGGAAATGTTCAAAGTCACATAATAAATGTCAATGCTAGAGGCAAAAATGAAACCCAGATGACCAGTTCCTTAGTAAACTCAACTGTATGAGAAGGAATGGTATAGGATATTGTATCTGAAGAAGTTTTTTCCCCTTAAAATGAGAATGAAGAAGGAATGGTGTTGATATTTATAAGAACTTAGCACAGACCCTTGCACATAATGCTAAGCTAACAAACACTCATTTACTTTCCTTTTCTTTGCCCCCCTTCCTTAGCTGTCACCTTTGACTTTTAATCTCTGCAAAAATTATTTCAATCTCATCTCAATCTCCCAATGACACTACCTTCCCAGAAATTAAAAAAATCTTACTGTCTCTGACTCTTCCTACCTCCTCCCTCCTTTCTGCTCCCTTTGCTCTCCTGATCCATCCCCTACACACACTCAAATTGACAAAGACGGCATCAGGGAAAGAGTTAACCCATCAAAGTCAACAGATGGCGAATCAGTACAGCAGATCCTAGAGAAAGAAAAGATGAGAGCTTCCTTTTTTCCTTTGCCTTTGGGAACTTGAGAAAAAGTGGGGGAAAAAAATCACTCCTATGGGTTAGTGTTTGATTTTTCACAACTTCATGTTTCTGTCATTCTTGGCTAGCCCCACCACCTGCCGGAGTCTGACCTGACAGAGTTAAGGTTAGCCTGACGGAAAGTGCTGAAAGGATGTCGACAGAAAAGTTCGATGGTAGAACACGCTGTGCTCACAGCCAGAGTTTTCTTGCACACCTGTCCAATTAAGAATCTGGGCCCATCCTGAATAAATTACGCGGCGGCTTTTGCTCTGAAGTGAAAGGAGAAGTTGTGCGCCTGCTGGAACCAGACACCTCCTGGGACAGTGGTAAATGCACCTGGCCCAGCGTCCAAGCAGAGTGGCACCGGTCTGCTCCATCCAGGTGTGTGGCAAGCTTCCTGCCTGCCAGAGTACATGCCACCTGGCAAGCTGCCTGCAAGTGGGCCAGAAGCTCATTTCTCAGCAGGCTATGTGTGCTAGGAATTTGTCTTCCATGATCAGTTCTCTGCACTCATCTTCATGGTGGCTGGAATGTGTTTCTACTGGGTGGTGGGGAACCCCGCACACAAACCACCTGATTCAAATTTGAAGTAGTCTTCATTTTTAGTTGTCTTCTTCAAAAGAGGACACTTTCTCAGGTTCAATTTCCATGAATTTAGAAATGACAAAATACAGGTACACCATATTTTAATATTGGTGATGTCTTACGCTTCCTGGTTTGTGCTCACTTCATCATCATACCACATATTAGTGACTATATCCTTCCTTCTTTACATATATATATATACACACACATACATATATATATTTTTTTGTTTTTTTTTTTTTTTTTTTTTTGAGACAGAGTCTCGCTCTGTCGCCCAGGCTGGAATACAGTGGAGCGATCTTGGCTCACTGCAATCTCCGCCTCCTGGGTTCACGCCATTCTCCTGCCTCAGCCTCCCGAGTAGCTGGGACTACAGGCGCCAGCCAACACGTCCGGCTAATTTGTTTGTATTTTTAGTAGAGACGGGGTTTCACCGTGTTAGCCCCTTCTTTACATATTTTTAAACACACACACACACACACATATCTTACTACTTGCCATTAATGAGGAGAGTACTGTGGCATCCACTTCTGGCAGTTTTCCATGATATCTATAGTTAGTCAGGGAGGGAGGGAGGACCCGGGTTGAATCCAAGTTGTGTCTACATCAGATACCCCATGTTTGCTAATGGGCTTATAGAGGAAAAACTCATCAAAAAGCAATAAACTTCAGGTACATAACCTTGACCCAGTGAAAATGCCTCAGGTGTCAGAGGGGAGCAAAGGAGTCCTAGCGAAATAGAGTATCTGCTACTCAGGTTTGTTCACTGGTTTAACTTTTATAAACTTAGAAAAGACAGCCGCAAGTAAGAAATGGTAAGGGCTAATTAACTCTATGTGAGAACTGAGTGCACAGGATACCATAGCTTTGATGCCTCTTTGATGGAATGAAGCACAGATGGAAAGGCCTCATTTCCATTTGTCAAGGAGCTTTGGCTTTGAGGCATCGGAAACCGCTACACGTGACCATTTCTTCATCCACCGTGTGTTAACGACGCATGGCTCTGGAGGCAGCAGCAAGTATGTGTGAGGACCGTGGGGGTAGGGGCATGGACGGCTCTGGGACCATGTGGCAGGAGCCTCCTTGGTATGAGGCTTCACACTTGCAAAAAAGGTAGGATGATGAGACAACCCCAGGAAGCCATCTCAGTGGCAGAGGCCTTATCACGGGGGACAGTAGAGAGTGACAAGTGTCAGATGGAACTTGTGAGATAGACTGGGGATTCCCAGACTTGACTGTAGGTATTCTTTCAATATCAGTTGGGCTCATGTTATAAAATACAACATACTCCCTCTTTATTTATTCCGGGGTGGTTATATCCTGAAGAAACAGTGTTAGCCATGGAATAGCAAAATGTTAGGGCTCAAAAACATGTGAAAAGATATCAAGAGAAATGCAGTAAACTGTGAAGGGTCACAAACCCCCTGAGAGGTGATGCTGTGGGTGAAAACAAAGTACCCGTGTCTCTTGCAGAATGTATCCTCTTGTTGCATTTGTGCAAGATTATTTTCACCCTTTAAAGTATAATATAACTATATACAAGTGGCAGAGTAGTCTCTGGTCTCTTATAAACGTGGTCTCTGGTGTTTAAGTGCCCAGGTTTGAATCCTGGCTCTGCCTCTGCCTAACTATGTGACTTTGCACTAGTTTGTTTTTTTTTTTCTTTTTAAATTATTTGTCTGTCAGTTTCCCAAAGGGTAATAATACATTATGAATTTGGTGAAAAGAAAATGAATTCTTATAAGTAAATATCTTAGACAAAAAGTTTACATGAGTAAATCTCATAAAAAAGATTGAATCATTCTTTACTAGGAATTATTCTAGAAGAAATTAAAGAGCCATAGTAATTCTAACTCAATAGATGAAAAATCTAAGACATTAGAGGCTGAATGACTTGGAAGGTTATGTCTACAAACACCTACTATGCATACACATTAGAGGTCATTTAAGAGTCAAGAATAACACCTAAGAAATAGTTCAAAATAAACCAGAAATGTACGTGATCCACTGTTGACCTTTATGATGTACCAAGAGAATGGAATCAACTTCTACAAGGTTGGCAAGAGTTGTCATTACAGTCTACATTATTTCTAAAAATATTTTATGGAGGAGGTAGGAGATAGTGGAAAGTTAAAATCATTGAATTGTTAGGTGCCCAAGCAAAATTTTAGAAAGTGCTTTTTATTGACTGACTAAAACCCCTTGTATC
The DNA here is from genome assembly GCF_000001405.40 of Homo sapiens. NCBI lineage: Eukaryota > Metazoa > Chordata > Mammalia > Primates > Hominidae > Homo > Homo sapiens. The sequence goes on from NC_000011.10 coordinate 127,929,336, forward strand.
TATTGTTTATATCACTTAAATCAACTTAGAGGGAGAGGAAATCGCTGCCTTTTCTCAGAGTGCCCTTGGAAAATTAGCCATGCAGCAGAGCATCACCAGGCAGAAGCAATTCTTCCTTACAGCTTTCATTTGTTTATTTACAAGAATTTTATGGAACTCCTATGATTTACCCACACACTGAACAAGAAGCTGGGGACATAAAGTAGCTGCCAATAACGAGTACCCAGCCTTGAGGAAATCGGATATGCTAATAGGCAACTAGAACACATTCTGACAAATGCTTTGATAGAACACGTGGATGAACAATCCAGGCTGGTGTGTGTGTGGTTGAACGGCAGGAAAGGAGAGGGTGTAGGGGAATAAAAGATCTGGCTTGGGTTTGTAAGGGTGAGCAGTAGCCAGCCAGGCATACAGAAGTGTGATGTTCCTCACTCAGGAATTCAGAGAGAAAAGAGAGAGCATGGATCCTAAGGGAACTGGGTACTGCTCAGTGCACCTAACCATGGGGTGAGAGAAGTGGTTGAAGAGAGGACAGCAAAAGCTTGTGAGGTGAGGACGTCAAGTCAGGAGAAACCTGTGTGCCAACCTAAGTGGCTTGGACCTCTCCCTTGGTGGAACCCAACACAGGAAGTGAAGAATTCTGGAGATGGTCATGGTCAAGCAGGGACTCGGGGGGCCTTGGCCGGGACAGCCCCTTAACCCCAGTGATGTAGAAGCCCATAGCAGAGCATGATGGGGCCAGACTGCTGGTGTTAAAATCAGGCCCTGTGCTTAATAGCTATGTGGCCTAAGCTTTCTGTGACTCAGTTTCCCTAACTGTAAATCAGCATTTGGCAGAAGGTTTTTTAGAGGATGGACTGAGTCTGCATGTGCAGCCCTTAGAACAGAGTATGGTATATAATACCCATGAGCTATTACTAATACTTCACTGTTCTAATTGGAGACATGGGATTCTCTTGGTGTAAACTGAGAACGTTAGCAAAAGATGTGGGGTAAGTCCAACTCTGTTTTTTGTTTTTGTTTTTTGAGATGGAGTCTCTCTCTGTCACCCAAGCTGGAGTGTAGTGGTGGGATCACAGCTCACTGCAACCTCCACCTCCATGGTTCAAGCGATTCTCCTGCCTCAGCCTCCCAAGTAGCTGGGACTACGGGCATCCTCCACCACACCCGGCTAATTTTTTGTATTTTTAGTAGAGACGGGGTTTCACCGTGTTAGCCAGGATGGTCTCGATCTCCTGACCTCATGATCCACCTGCCTCAGCCTCCCAAAGTTCTGGGATTACAGGCGTGAGCTACCGCGCCTGACTCTGTTCTTTAAAAATGTGGAAGAAACAGTCCCAGAAGCTTCATCATCTACAACAATAAGCATCCACCGAACACTCGCTACTCTAAGAAAAACACTGAGTTTGATGGAGCAATGTTGGCTGTGTCGACTTGCTAAATGGATATTTACTAAAATAAAATAAAAGAAATCCACTCTGTTAGACTTCCTAGAGCTTTGTTTAAAGCTTTTTAAAAATATGTAATACAGGTTTCCGATAAAAAAATTCAAAAAGTATGAAAGGCTATAAAGAAAAAAAAAAAAAAAACACGTTCCTGGCCTTTTTCCTGGTCTCCTGCAAGCATCTTTTCCTCCTTTGAGGTAACTAGCTTTTATTTTGTTTTGTTTTGTTTTTCCCTCTTTGTTTTCTGCTGCCTAGAAATCATGTGTCTTTTAACACACACAGACAAAACACACATAGAAACAGAAACAGAATGGTAATGATAGATACACATTTTATATAAATGATATGCACTGACATGTAACTATTTTTTAAATGAAACATATCTTAGAGATATTTAAAAATAAATATATACTGAACTATCTTCTTAAAAACTACATACTTTTCCCTTATATGGATATATTATTATCCATTAACCTAATCCTATATTGATAGAGATTTAGGTTGTTTCCAGTAATTTACTTCTATACAAAATTTGGCAATTTATATGCCAAAACATATATTATTTTGCATAAGAAAAATAGTACCTACATGTGATATTTTTGAGTCAAAATTATGATTCTTATTAAACATTATACAATTGTCCTTCTAATGAAAAATCAAAATTACTGTATTTCAAGAAATCTAAGAAGTAAAGCAAATGAATATCAATTATTTAATTAATATGTAGTTTGTGTAACATTCAGGTTACATGTAAGATAAAGCACAGTTCTATTTTGTATGTGCTTCTTCTTTTTTTGGTCAGGTCCTCTTGTGCAGAAAATACACATACCTAATTTTTAACACTTAGAATATATGTTTACCATTTCAAATAAGTATAGACTTTTACAGTTGTATCTTTGCTTTTATTATATAAACTGGTCATATCAGTGATTCATTTGGTGCTGACCTCTTGTTCTGAAATGTAGCCTCAGATCTCAACACTACATTTGCAAAACACAAATTTGATTATATCAATCCAGGGTTTAAAGCCCTTTAGTGGTTTCTCATCAAAAACCTCCTAGATTAAAAAAAAAAAATGTCGAAACTACAACAACAAAGAAAAACCGGTCAGACTCTGTGCACAACGCCAAGGAGCTCCATCCCCGTTGTATTCGCTATGCTCAAAGGGGCCAGTCACATGTCATGCAATGGCATTCAGCAGAAGAGCCACTGCAAAGAAAGAAGCTCAGACCCTCTCCACTTTGAAAGGATCATTGTTCCTTTCTAAGGGAAAATCCACAAGCATGACTTTGAAGAGGAAAGCACGTGAACTTTAAAGTCAGGTCGGCACTTGACTCTCTACTCTGTATGTACAACATGGCTGAGTTCTCCTTTCCACTTGTATAAAATGGTGAAAATCATACAGTACATAGCAAGAGTTTTTATAATGAGTAAATCAGATAACACAAGCAAACAGGTATTCTCTAATTACTGTCTTTTCACTTTTCTGATCACAGAAATTGTTGATTTCTGAAATTATTGTTTCAGAAATTGGCTGTAAAGTATTACAGTCAGGAGATCGAGACCATCCTGGCTACCACGGTGAAACCCCGTCTTTACTAAAAACACAAAATATTTACTGGGTGTGGTGGCATGCACCTGTAATTCCAGCTGCTCAGGAGGCTGAGGCAGGAGAATCACTTGAACCTGGGAGGCGAAGCTGTAGTGAGCCAAGATCGCACCATTGCACTCCAGCCTGGGTGACAGAGCAAGACATCATCTCAAAAACAAAAACAAAAACAAAAAACAATAAAGTAGTACAATCCAGATGAGGGGTTGACAAACTATACCTTGCAGGCCAAATACTGCCCATCACATGTTTTGGGATGGCCCATGACTGTGAGGTAAGAATAAATTTTACACTTTTTCTTTATTAAATACTAACTTATACATGCATATACATAATTGTGAATTTTATGAATACATAATGGCTATGGGAAGTCATCTTTTTGAAAGCAGGTTGAGAATTTCAGTAGAATTTAAAGTTTGAAAAGAGGATGATTATGAACTTAAATCTCGGAGATCTCATCTTCATGATGTGAATTAAATTATCTAGTAAATAAAATTCTTCTTTATTTTTTTTCTCTGTCAAAAGGTATGGGTGTAGTGTGTGCCTATGTATGTATGTGTGGGTTGGTGGGGGTATGTGGGTAAAAGTACCACTCTGGGTATCAACCTAATCCAGGAGTAGAAAAGTGCTTTTCTCATCTCATCAACCTATTCAACTCAGTCCCTTCTAGTTCACAACAGGGAAGCCTCCAGCAAATTAAAGTCCAAAAGGGACTATGAGTAGTTGCCTGTCTTAGACCATAGTCTGAGTCTGTAACTTGATATTGAATGAGGAACTGCAGGGGATACTTTGCCACACCTCAGAAAATCACAGAGAAATGAGACATTCTCGTGAATGACTCCTTTCCACAGAAGGACAGCATTAACAATTGGCTACACCTAAATATATGCAGCACACAGTTAAAGGTAAACACTGTTGTTGAGAATGATGCAAATGTTCTCAAAAATAATTGAATCTATTCACATTCTACATTTTTAAATGCTGGAAAAGGTCAAAATAAATATTTTGCAACATGAAAAAATTATATAAAACTCAAATTTCATTGTCCCTAAGTGAAGTAGCAGAACACAATTGTGTTTCATTCCCTTACTTGTTGTCTGCGGCTGTCATTACACAACAATGGCATGGCTGAGTTGTTGCAATATAGACATTGCTACATGGACTTTGCAGCAGAAACCGTATGTCCTGAAAGGCCTAACATGTTTATTATCTGGCCCTTTACAAAAAATGTTTGTTGATCCCTGACCTGAACAATGTTGTTATAATGTGTGTGTGCATAGATACATTTATGTACACATGTTTGTATATGTGTGTGTACATTTCCATATTTAATGTTTATATATGATATGTGAATTGGCTAAAATATTTTAAAGACACAATCCATTCTTGTATAAATGGAGTGTTGGGATGTAGTCTATCACCTGCACCATTATTAGGAAGCTCCTGAAACTTTTTCCTAGAGTGATCCTATATCTAGCCACATTGTGGGATTTCTGTTTGGCTAATAACAGCTATAAGAATCAGAAAATCCTAGCTACTTGGGAGGCTGAGGCAGGAGAATGGCGTGAATCCGGGAGGCGGAGCTTGCAGTGAGCTGAGATCACACCACTGCACTCCAGCCTGGGCAACAGAGAGAGACTCTGCCTCAAAAAAAAAAAAAAAAAAAAAAAAAAAAAGAATCAGAAAATCTTACCCTTGGAAAATTATTGTGACTACCTTGAATAAATTTTTTATACTAGTGTGGTTGCATCACCCAAAACCACCAGAGTTTTTGTACATGGTTGCGTGATGAGTGTCTCTTTACTAATGAATGTTTCCTTCCCTCCTTCCTTCCTTCCTTCCTTCCTTCCCTCCCTCCCTCCCTCCTTTCTTTCTCTCTCTCTCTCTCTCTCTCTCTTTCTTTCTTTCTTTCTTTCTTATTTCTGATGGAGTCTCGCTCTGTCACCCAGGCTGGAGTGCAATGGTGGGATCTCAACTCACTGCCACCTCCGCCTCCAGAGTTCAAGCGATTCTCCTGCCTCAGCCTCCCGAGTAGCTGGGACTACAGGCACGTGCCACCACGCTCAGCTGATTTTGTGTACTTTTAGTAGAGATGGGGTTTCACCGTGTTAGCCAGGATGATCTCCATTTCCTGTCCTCGTGATCCACCTTCCTTGGCCTCCCAAAGTGCTGGGATTACAGGCATGAGCCACCGTGCCCAGCCAGGATGTTTTCTTTATACATGTTTGTGTGTTGGAGAGAATTTGGTCTGAAGTTTTAATTTATTGCAAATTGGTAGTAAGACTGTATAGTAGATAAGTAGCTAACCATCACCTATTTCAAACTCTTAGCGTTCCCTACAAGAATCAAGAGTTGCACATAACCAAATTGACTTGGGAAAGTTCATAAAATGCACTTGATATTTTGTTGACAGATATATTTCATACTCAACTAGTAGATCATAAAACAATTATTGAGTGTTTGCACATCTTTTTTAAAAAAGAATCTAACAGAAAAATGAAAAGTGTCATAAAGCCACATTTATTTTTGTCTTTCTGTGTTCTAAATACAGAGAGAACTAGAAAATATATGAGCGTGAATTCAGTGAAGGGTCTTCAATAGGAATCCTAAATGATTGAAAGCAGAACGTGAAAAGCAGTGGGAGACAGGACCTGTGGGTATTATTTCCACGCAGGGGAAAATTAGCTGGCTGGCCAGGCCAATGTTTCCAATTTTTACTCTTTTTTTGCTCTCCCTTGTTGGTTCTCTTCCCCAGGTTTACAGGATGTACACGAAAACTCATTTTGTGGTTGCTCAAATGTGGAAAACATGCTTTATGTTACAGTAGTTAGCTGACATGAATATTCTATGTAAATTACTTGTATCAATCCTAAAATTAGCCCTTTTGTTGTTTATTCCTCCATGGAACCAAGAGGCATTCGTTCCTGTCCGCAGGGTGTGCCAGGAAATTTGCTGAAAAAGAAAGTCACACCCAAAGTCTACATTTTTGTAAGGCTTTACAGCTTACAAAGATGGCTCCCAGCCTGCTACCTCTAATTTGTCTTCGTCTAATCCAAACTTCCCAGCCTCCCTCCTGCCTGCCAGTGGAAACAAATAATCCTAATTCTACGTTTCATTGCCCCTACCTATATAATTAAGTACATCAAGATTCCTCTTCTTTCTCTATACCAATCATTTCTGGAAATACCCAGAGGTGTCTTGTTTGCAATGGTGCCAAAACCTGGGGTTACAGGATCCCCTTATTTTTCCTGGTGTTCAGTGTCCATGAAGGCAGGGGAGAGCAGTGATCTGCGCTTCCAGCTACCGTGGCTCTAGTGCTTCCTGAGATGTAGGTTCTATGGACACCACGTCCTGACAGTTCTTCTCAAAGAAACCAGGGTAGTGCTTCAGAATCCCTTTTCATTCTTTTAGCCTCCCTTCTCTACAGCCAGGCTGTTTTCTCTGAAAAAATAAGGACATGGATCATCTGTCCCACTCTGTCATACTTTTTCACCTGGACATCATGATGCCTGTGTCCTGTGTCTCACAGAGTTTTCGAAGAAAAGAGCCCTCTCAGCAAGCATGTAGTAACTCTTCCCAAGAGAGCTCAGGCATTTGTTTTCATGGTGGGGAACAGGATGGGGAGATAAGATTCCAGTCTATCTTCTCCATGCCCCATTCCTTCAGTTACACCTACCCTCTGGCGCTCAGACTCAAACATCTACCTGAAGATCTTTCCCATCTTGCAAACTAAGGTCTGCTAATGAAGCCCTGTGGCCTTTTGGGAAATACACTTCATTTGCAGCAATCCTTGAATTTAGACAGAATACGCACATTCACACCTTGTAAGAATCTGAGGCTGGGCACAGTGGCTCAACGCCTGTAATCCCAACAATTTGGGAGGCCAAGGCAGGCAGATTGCCTGAGCTCAGGAGATCAAGACCAGCCTGGGCAACAGAGTGAGACCCCATCTCTACTAAAATACGAAATAAATTAGCCAGGTGTGGTGGCACATGCCTGTAGTCCCAGCTACTCGGGAGGCTGAGGCAGGAGAACTGCTCGAACCCCGGAGGTGGAGGTTGCAGTGAGCCGATATTGTGCCATTGTACTCCAGCCTGGGTGGCAGAGCAAGACTTCATCTCAAAAAAAAAAAAAAAAATCTGAGTGATTAAATAACACATCTTTAATCTCACAATTAGTAAGTAGCAGAGTAGGCACTTGAATCCATCTCTTTGACCTCTGCACATGTTCTTTTTCAGCTTCTGACCCCAAGTCTGAAAGTGGTTGCTTGAGTAAAAGCCTTTGTTGCCTGGCTTTTCATCTCTTACCGAATTTGTAAAGAAGAGAAGGATAGCACTTGTTCTTATTCCCTCGTCTTTTTTGTTTCCTTAATAAGAAGTTCTGCAGACTGCCCAATGCTGAATATAAATCAAAAGTGGAGGAAAAAAAATCCAGTTTGGTCATGAGGCAGCATCACATCCTTTTCATTATCGCTTATTCCCCTTGTAGACAATGACTGTGGAAGCACATAATTGGAAATAAGGGCTATTTTACCTCTGATCTGCCATCTGAGGCTTGAAGAAGAATAAAAGCATCTTGCTCTGGAAAGGGTTTAGTGAGGTCAAAAGGTCCAGTTGCCTGGATTCTACATGTGGCTTAAGTTCATGTTGAGAAGTCCTAAAATATTCACATCTCTTCCCTTGTGGCCTAACTGTGATACTTTAAAACACTGAGAATTCTTTTCAAAAAGAAAGACGTGTGTGTGTGTGTGTGTGTGTGTGTGTGTGTGTGTTAGCTGAGGAGGAAAATAATATAGAATACACAATAAGAATATACAGAAGTACATAATAAACAGGAGCATGTTATTTTTCTAGTTTAGTTGAAGCAAATGAAAATAACACCACAAAACCTACACAGAACAAGTTGGCGGATAAACTAAACAAAACTGATTTTTGCTTTGTTTTCTTTTGTTTGAAGTTACAATATACAAGGGTTATTAAGCTTCTTTGTGCCATGAACCACTTTAAAAGTCTGATACAGCATATCAATCTGTTCTCAGAACAATGTTTTTAAATGCACACAATAAAATACACAGGATTACAAAGGAAACTATTTATATTAAAATGTAGTTATCAAATTATTTTGAAACCAGTCATATAGTTTATGTGTGCTCCTTTGTTAACACATTAAAAAAATCAAACAGACTGACAGAGTGCTGATATGAAAATATCCATGGCAAAGCCACAGTACTGCTAATAATACTTTTGTAATTTGTTGCCTTCATTAATAATTAAAAGAAACTTTAAATTCCCATAAGAATTTAGTGAAAATAAAAATTCAACATTTTCTCCATCCATGTTCATGGACTCCCTGGATTCTATCCTCAGATCTTTTGGAGAGTTCATAGGTTCTAAGTGGAGAACTCCTTCTATAGAGAGACAGTGGGGAGGTTGGAGACGGAAGATGACAGCCAGGTCTGGGCATTTCTTGGCTTTTCTGCTAGGAGAAATTACATGTGATTAAGTGTTCAGCAGGTGCCCTACTTCTCTCTCTTTGAGGTCCTGCTTTTTTTCTGGTTGCATCTACCAGCTCCTTCCCCATTAGGATCCCAGTCACATCCTCATCCTCTATGCCTCTTTAGTCCTGATGTTTAAAAGTCACTCCACATGTGTATGGCCTACCTAAGTTCCCCTGGCCTAGCTGAGACATAATCAGCATCTTGAAATAAATCCCGGCTGTGCGTGGTGGCTCACCCCTGTAATCCTAGCACTTTGGAAGGTCAAGGCTGATGGATCACGAGGTCGGGAGTTCAAGATCAGCCTGGCCAACATGGTGAAACCCCATCTCTACTAAAAATACAACAATTAGCCAGGCATGGTGGTGGGCACCTGTAATCCCAGCTACTCGGGAGGCTGAAGCAGGTGAATCGCTTGAACCCGGGAGATGGAATTTACAGTGAGCAGATATTGCGCCACTGCACTCCAGCCTGGGTGACAGAGTGAGACTCCATCTAAAAAGAAAAAAAAAAATGAAAAGAAAAAGAAAGAAATCCCTAGCAAAGATCAAGGTCCCATTTAGGGAGAGGCCATTCAGAACCTAGTGATCCCTGTGTGCTTTTTTCTGTATTTGAACCAGCACTTGTTAATGGTGTCTACAGATGGCTTTTGGGAGAATGAAATGGCTTCACAAAAAGCTGGTTAAAGAGGTTTCAGAGAGCTCAGGAGACTGCACAAGTCATGGATCATAGCAACAAGGTGGAGCAGCAGCTGCCACATACCCAGCACAGAATGAGAGTGCAAAGAGAAGGGAACCCCCATGATCAGCCAGTCAGCAACCTCCATGCAGTGTTGCAGATTAATGAGGAACAAGGAGCTTTACCCAGTACCACTGCAGGACCCCCCAGGCCCTCTGCCCCTGCTTTCTTTCTGTGTGCTGACTGAAACAAGAGTGCCTTGAGTGTTCTGTGTGCCAGTCCGCTGCAGGTTTTTCCGAGCAGGTTTGAACCCAACCCAGGGGCTTGAGCATTGTCAAGTGCTGATAACAATATCTAGGTTGTTGCTCAAAACACTGAAAGACACTGGCCGTGGCCCTGGGCCAAGTTCCTCAAGCCCTCATGTACACTCCATTACGGAGACATTGCTAGGTAGGACATCACTTTTCTCTTGCTGTCTATCACAGGGGTACACTGCAGCACCCTGTAGTGGGTTCCTCTCATCAACGCTTTGGACTGATGAGCCTGATGTTTAGCACTTCTTTCTTTGGAATTTCATCTGGCTCCATTTCAGGAGGGTTTGGAGCATTCCTTGCCTCTGACTTAGGGGCATCTCCACCTGAGGGTGTGGTGGGATGAAACATCTACCAAGAATTAGAACCTGGAGACTAGATCTGTCATGTTAAGAAAAAAACTGTCCAACGCCTACAGAAAGTGCTGTGAGGATGATTGCCTGTCCTTTCAATGTCATTCTGGAGCATGATTTAACCGTGCCACCCAAGAAATATTTAATTTTCTAGGAAATTGTAGCATTGTTTGACTTTGTTTACTTACATCCCCGAACTCTACAAAGTTAGGTGTTAACTTGTAGATTTGTGTTTCATAGAGATGCAAATAATTTTATGTCCCATAAAAAAGATAATCTTCAAAGTTATGGTTTTATTGCCCCATGGGGCACTAACAGATTTGGTTCAAGTATTATTCTAACGTCTCTCTTTTATTTTTAAGTGCCTATAAATATCTCGTTTTACCATCATTACTGGTTTCCACATTCATTAATGGATTGATTAGAATCTTTGACTGTACAAATTTTATGTTTGTATGAGTCATGATTTTAACATTTTGGAAATTATATTTTTAAAGTAGTTTGAACTAATTCATTATGAAGTAACATTCCGAATCATCCCCAGGATTTTGTCCACCAGTTACAAAGGTCTTTTCTCCAAGAAACAAGCGAGTGGTCCTAACACAAGTCTACACTATGGTTCCCTGTTGAAGACCTTTAATGGATCAGAATGGGAGGAGTTTAAGGAAAATCACTTGCTTCAGTCACAAATTGGACCAGTGGTTCTCAAAATTCACAGTGCATCATCATCATCATCTGGAAGACTTGTTAAAATAAAGATGCTTTAGCCTCACTTGCAGAGTTTCTGATTCAGTAGGTCTGGGATGGAGGCTGAGAACACGCACGTCTTACAAGTTCTCAGTTATTGCTGATACTGCTGGTCTGGGAGACGACCCAGTTTGGTGGAGGGGAAGATGCAGATTCAGCTAGGGTGCAGAACTTCATTTTCAGAAGGATTTTGCTCTGACACACTAGCAAGAAAGATGCTTTATGCTTGGTAACTCAGTCTCTGAAACTAATTCCTTTTCTCCTAGGACCTTTTTCTGTTTTTTTTTTTTTTTTTTTTTGAATGCACCAACACATTCGCATTTATTTTCTTTTTTTTTTTTTTAAAGCAAATGACAAAGACCCAGTTTACCAGCTTTACTTTTTTAAACCTAAGCTTAACATTACATATTTAAACAATTGTCAAAACTTACTAAGTTGCCAGCATTCATGCACAACTAGAAAACATCCTTAATTTATATTAAACCAGAAATGTATTACCATTAATGTATTAATATCTTTCACTACTAAATGCTGAAAAAATTTGAAATTATTTCTGTAGAAGAATCGTCCTGGCAATGTTAACTTCACAGCAGGCCGACACTACGTGGCTCACATTTCAGACACAATGAAAAGCAGGTCCATGCTGGTGTTAGTGTACAATCTTGTCCTACACTAAAGAGTCAAGACTCACCTTGGAGTACGTTTAATAAAAAAGCAAAGTGCATACAGAGATTTACAACAATTTTAAAGACAAAAAAAAAATGGTCCTATTATGTGGTCCCAACAATCAACTCAAAAGTCTATGACAAATAGAGGCTCCGATGAGCTGTTTATAAATACTTTAGGTACAATTATACTGAAAGTCGAGTTCGTTTGAAATCTTCAAAAAAATGTTCCTGTTAATCCTCAAATGGTGCTTGTTATAGTTTAACATTTCTGTTAAGTGCGTGCGTTGAATTACTTGTTATCCAAGCGCAGCACCTGCTCCTTACCATTTATTGTTAAGGACTTTAACTGGCCATCTTCTTCAACTTCTACTCTTTCTTGACCGTTCTCGACAATTCTCTTTGTAGTGATTTTTCTGCCATTAACCATTTTAGTTGAAGTTGATATCTATTTGAAGTTGCCCATGCCACTACCACCAAATGACGTGGAAGAGAATGAAGTGAGGCCCCCGTGACCTAGTGACCCAAATGAAGTAAATCCTGTATCAAAAGAAGAAAATCCACTTCTAAAAGACGGAAATCCACTGAACACGGAGAAAAACGACCCCGTCCCTCGGCTTCTGCTTCCTCGGGGACCCCTTCGATTCCCAAAGAAGTCCTCAAAAGGGTCTTCAAAGAAGTCAAATGAAAATGGGTCCCTTCCACCAAAAAATTCCCTGAAGACATCATCTGGGTTACGGAATGTGAAGCCAAATTCAAATGGACTGTCAAAATGACTTCCACCTCCTCCTCCACCATTTAATCCTTCTTTGCCATATTTGTCATAGATGTCCTGTTTCTTAGCATCCGACAGCACTTCATATGCCTCCGCTACTTGCTTGAATTTTCTCTCTGCTTCTTCTTTATTCTCAGGATTTTTATCTGGATGCCACTTCAGTGCCAGTTTCCGATATGCCTTTTTAATATCCTCGGGTGAGGCATGTCTCTGCACGCCTAGAACTTCATAGTAATCCACCATGTTTTACGAGATTGTTGGAATGGGTCCGAGGACAGAAGCGGCCGGTGGCGGGACGCAGGGGAGGCAGGGTGACGGCCCGAATCTCCTCACAGCTCCAGGACTGCTGCGCTGGTGGTGGCGGCGGCTCCTCGCGCTTTCCTTTCTCTCCTTTCTCCCCCTTTTTTCTGTTTTAGTTAGACTTAGGGTCATATCCCTTTGCTTTGTATTCTGCAGTTATTTTCTTCCCCTACCTCTCTTCCTTCTTCCTGGTAAACAACAAGAGGCACGTGCAACTGTGGCTTTGTGCACACTCAAAACTACATCCTCTGCCATCAGCACAGGTGCCCAGATTTTCGGGACTGCTGATATTTCCACCAGTGAGGGCTGAAAAGTAATGGTGTCCTGACTGCTGTATCCATTTGCCTGCTGGATGGGTGCAATCTACCCATCTGACAAAGGGCTAATATCCAGAATCTGCAAAGAACTTAAACAAATTTACAAGAAAAACAAAAAACAACCCCATCAAAAAGTGGGCAAAGGATATGAACAGACACTTCTCAAAAGAAGACATTTATGCAGCCAACAAACATATAAAAAAAAGCACATCATCACTGATCATTACAGAAATGCAAATCAAAACCACAATAGATACCATCTCATGAAAGTTAGAATGGCAATCCCTTTACTGGGTATATATCCAAAGGACTATAAATCATTCTACTATAAAGACACATGCACACATGTTCATTGTGACTCTATTCACAATAGCCAAGACTTGGAACCAACCCAAATGTCCATCAAAGATAGACTGGATAAAGAAAATGTGGCACATATACACCATGGAATACTATGCAGCCATAAAAAAGGATGAGTTCATGTCCTTTGCAGGGACATGGATGAAGCTGGAAACCATCATTCTCAGCAAACTAACACAAGAACAGAAAACCAAACACTGCATGTTCTCACTCATAAGTGGAAGTTGAACAATGAGAACACAAGGACACAGGAAGGGGAACATCACACACTGGGGCCTGTTGTGGGGTGGGGGACTAGGGGAGGGATAGCATTAGGAGAAATGCCTAATGTAGGTGGCGGGTTGATGGGTGCAGCAAACCACCATGGCGTGTGTAACGTAGGTCACCTAATGTAGGTGACAGGTTGGCAGGTGCAGCAAACCACCATGGTGTGTGATCTATGTAATAAAACTGCACATTCTGCACATGTACCCCAGAACTTAAAGTATGTATATATGTATATTTTAAAAACTTAACTAAATCAGGCAGTCACTCTATCTTCCAGGAGATCGTAATCTTTTTTTGAGATGTTAGGCTACCTCACACCACAGCCAACCTCCACCTAGTTTCAGACCACATCTGTTTGAAACCTGCGCTTTTCTTAAGACCTCCGCCACCTGGACTCTGATCTGCCACTGCCTCCTGCTTCTGTCCTGGGAATCTCAGGCTGATGACCTTGCCTTTTGTCAGTGTGTGTCTCTGGAGTATCCAGGACATTTTTATTTCTCCCTCTTGAATGTCTTTGCCTTCTATGACTGGGTTAAGACCAGAATTGCATCCCAGGAAACTAGGAGAGGCCTGCTGCCTGATTCCTTCCTGGTAGCTGTCTCAAGATCTTTTCTACTTCTTTTTTATTGTGTAAGAGTCCTGAAATGAATCTACTCCATGTCAGACACACTTGTGGTATCTGCTAGGAACTTCTGAAGTCATAAACCAGCACATGCCGGTGCACTTGGTCTGCGTTGCCACACCAGTTGTCCACCCTTCCCTGAAGCTCCTACTGCTCCCGTATTTGACCTCTGTTCTTCTCCCTTTCTTCTAAGTCAAGTTTTGCATGGTCTCTCTGGGCAAGCCCCGAAGTCAGTGCTGCCCGTGGTGTATTCTAACATGATGCAAATCTTTTTGTATCCCTTTCATAGTTTCCCACCCTGCGTTCCTCTTTTTTGGTCATTGTGCCTCTGGGGGAAGATGACTGTAATAGGACAAAATCATTACATTTCACTTTCTGCTCACTTCACCTGTTATCTGCAGATTAAAGCATATGGGCAAGGCAATTGAACAAGCATTTTGTGAAAGGATATAGTTTACTCTGATGTTCTTTTCTGGTTGGGGATTTGTTGAAAGGGCAGGTGTAACAGAGAAGACCTGTGTCTCCTAACAATCAGAGGAATGGGTAAATCAAAATGAAGCACTTGATCTGCACCGATCTCTACCTCCTCTCCCACTGTAAAATGTGAAAGTCTCTGTTGACTCATTACTGGATTTATGGGTCTCACTTCCAATTCCCACAACCTCCTCCACTGAGCCACCCTTCACCGATGAATAATCTCTTCTCAGAACACCGTCCAGATCATTTGTTTCATGTTTAGAAACAACGTTTACTTAATCATGCTTCTTCCTTGAAGTGTATCCAAATGCCTCATCTGGATTTTAAAGCATCCTAAGAATGAGACATGGCAACTTCTTTGGAGGCAAACTCACCTGAGTTTAATTTCTAGCTCACCCATGACTAGTATCTGTTCTGGAAGAAACTGGTTAATTTCAAATTCCTTATTTGCCTAATGGAACTAATGATACCCATATTGGAAGGGCGTTGTGAATATTAACTCAGTCATAAGCCATATAGTACTTTATATCCCTGGGAAATTGGTATTCTTTACCTGGTAGTTGTAAGCACTGCACCATTATGAATGACAAGATACAAGGCTTGTATCGTATCTGGAAGCTTTGATAAAACTGAATACCTGCTTAGGTGAGCCACAGAGATTGTCTTTGGACTAAGCAAGAGACAATCTTAGGAATAATAGCTATTGCATTGTACAATAAATACATCATAGAGACCTGGATAAACACATTCCCTGTGGCTGTATAGAGTATGGAGCAGACACCCTATTGTTATTGTGAATTTTTGTTTCTGTTTTGTATTTTTGTTTGCCTCCCAATATCCAGGTTATGTTTAAACAGTTGGGGGAAAAAAGTACTTTCTGCTTTGCAGGTTTTGATTTCCAAGAATGTTTATCACTTCAGTTCAACTAGAGACAAAAATCCTTTTCAATTTCCGCAGTCTCCAATTATTCATGAAAAATATCAAACTCAGAAACAAAGGCTTTTCTTTAGGAAAAAAAAATCACAAAAAACAAATGAACTGGTGTTTTTCAGCCTCAGCAACATCAAACAATCTTTCACATTGAATGGTGACAACTTCAGGAGAAAGGGCTGTGATTCTAGCATTTTGCTAAGGAAACCCTTCTTTTCCTGGTGTGCTTTTGTGTTAATAATTTAAAAGTCAGCAATTTCCAAACCAAATTATTCTTTGCTGCCAGGTAGCTCTATGTTAAGATGGGGCCCAAAATCCTAGGGCTAAAACATGACGTGAATGAATCAATATGCAAATTTTAGTGGGAATAAAAAACAAAGTAACAAATTTAGTGGATCCTTTCTTTAACATTGGTGTTTCAGTTGCATCAATCAAAGAAAAACAGGGAATTGTAATGTTTGCAAGGGTGTGCTGTCCCAAGGGAAAAAAAATAATTTAGTCAACATTTATCATTACTATTATGTGCTCCAACAAAGATATGCCAATTTTAAGAGATATCATGTTTATTATGTAAATATCCACAATTTTTTAGTATTGCGGAAGTACTTTAAATATTTCTATTCCTAAGCTTTCCATGCTGACATTGGTGAATGTCTGTCCACTCAACTTGTTAGATGCATATTAATAAATGGCAGTAGGCTTAGTCAAGACTCTCAGGCTCCAGAGCCCCAGCTCTGCAAATGCTAAGCATTGTGATCAGTGCTCCGAGGATTCAAGGCACAAGACAAGGGTCACTGCTCTACTACCAAAGGGGCCGAGGATTTCACTGGGAAGGCAAGAGGCAGAAATGCATTCAATTGACTAAATTTAAACAATAGAATAAGAGGTTGCCATACAATCAAAGCCATGGGGCAAAATGTGTTCGAGCTCAAGTTAGCCACTAGGACTTTGGCACTGTCAGTGGGAGGAGAGTAAGATCATGACAGGTTGGGATTAAAAGGACCACCCTAGGGGCACGTGGGACCTGAAGCAACGAATTCTACTGCATTTCCACTTACTTCACTGAAGTTAGACAAAGAATCAAAACCAGTCCAGTGGAAGCATTTTCTTTTTGTCATAAAGTAGTATTTATTCAAAGAAAATATACTTTATTTTTAATGTGAGAAAGACCTATCATCACCTAAAATTGTCCATGTTATACAACTTTGGGGTAAAATCGACATCTTTATAAAAGTTAGCACTGAGTCCAAAATACTGAAAAAGAATTTATGCAGTCTCAGAGTATTAAACCTGGAAAGAACTTAGAGTGTTACTAATTGAACACTTTCCCTTTTATAGACACTCCCCGCACTCCCCCCAAAAAAAACAGGGTTTAGAGATATAAAAATTTGGAGTGACTTGCCCAAAGACTGAGGGATGCTCAGCTCATTGGTGAAAGAGCAGAGCTAGATTTGGCCAAGTGTTCTGTGGCCAAATCAAGGTCACTTTTTGTTATAGCCATTATCTCCGTCCCTTTGATTTTGCAAAGCAGAATTTAACATAAAAATGTATGGAGTGCAAAGCCTAAAAGGGAATTACTGGTTTGTCCAAATCGGAGCCAGTAGCTCAGAGAAGTTATCACGTTTCCAGTCAGCAGCCATACTTAACAGTTCTCAAGAATCCATTTCCCTAGTTTTTTAGGGCTTTATCCCTCGTTTCTTTCATTCTGAACCAGGATAAAAGTGAAGCTCAAATAGAAAATAAGGAATTTTTCAGTTGCCAAGAGAAAGAGTCATTGTGTTTAAAATGAAAGAACCTGGACTGGGACCCATTCCAGTGACATACTAGCAAAATCCCCAAACCTTGGTTTAATTATCTGTAAGTTGGAAGTATTCATAGTACCTAATTCAACCAATAAATGTGTTGGTGTGTGCAAAAGCTCTTTCTACACAGAAAGCGCTCTACAGAGGTAAGTTAACATCTTCACATTGGATAAAGCAGTAAACCAAAGACCCATTTATGATAAATTGCTAAGGGATTTTCGTTTTCATCTGCAGTAGAGAATTACTTATGTGACAAATGTTACTCTTTATTTTAAAAAGAAAAGAGAAAGAGCTTATATGCTTGGATCAGAGAGTTAAATATAACTTGAGGAGGCTGGGTGCAGTGGCTCACTCCTGTAATCCCAACACTTTAGGAGGACAAGGCGGGAGGATCACCTGAGGTTGGGAGTTTGAGACCAGCCTGGCCAACATGGAGAAACCCCATCTCTATTAAAAATACAAAAATTAGTCAGGCATGGTGGTGTGTGCTTGTAATCCCAGCTACTTGGGAGGCTGAGGCAGGAGAATAGCTTGAACCTGGGAGGTGGAGGTTGCGGTGAGCCGAGATCACACTAATGCACTCCAGACTGGGCAATAAGAGCAAAACTCTGTCTCAAAAAATATATATATATATACGTGTGTGTGTGTGTATATATATATATACACGTGTGTGTGTGTATATATAATATACACGTGTGTGTGTATATATACGTGTGTATATATATGTGTGTGTGTATATATGTACGTGTGTGTGTGTATATATATACGTGTGTGTGTATATATATACATATATATATATATATATATAACTTGAGGAAAAAAATTATTCTTTTGGAAGAAGTGTGTTTGAGGCAATTCAGGGGGCCATACCTTCAAAAGGCAGAGCCTTGCTGTCCTAAGCCTTATCACACCCCCTCTCCCTGAAGATGGTGGGGGTTTTTGTATGCAGTAGGTGCTTAATAAAGTATGTTGGATGAATAAAGGGCTGAATGAATAAACATGAATAGTCTCCCAACTTAGTATCTTTTGGTGCCAGAAGATTTGCATCATTTTAAGAGAAATTTCCTCCTATGTTATTTATGTAAACATAAGCTAGACTTTTCTCAGACCCTCAAATGTGTAAGACTGTCTCACTTGCTAACTTATTCTCAATTTACCTCCTCCTAGGAGAATATTTCAATTTACCTCCTCCTAGGCCTGCAAAAGGCCAGAGAGTAAATATTTCAGTATTTGGGGCTTTAAGGGCCATAGGGTCTCTGCATTAGTATGGAGCCAGCTGCACAGACATGAGTGAGCATGACTGGATTCGAACAAACGGACACTGAAAATGGAATGTCATGGAATTCGCCCATGTCATGAAATATTATTCTCCTAGTGTTTTGTTTTGTTTTTTCAAACTTTAAAAACATAACAGCCATTCTTAGGGCAAAAACAGGTGTCAGGTTGGATTTGGCCCAGTGTAGGAGTCTGCTGACCCCTGGCCATTTCTGAAGGCAGGAAAACAGGAGAGTTGTCCTTTCTGGTTACTGTCCAGGCTTTCTGGCAGTCCTGGGAATCCTGGAAGGAGCCCATCCTAGGGCATACGTAGAAAACCTTCCACACAGTGGTATTCTCTATGGAAGGGGATGACCAACCTTGCCCAGACGAATTAACCTCTTCCCCTTGTAATGATGGTAACTTAGCAAATTAGAGTTGTTTGTGTTCTTGCACCCTGAGGTTCCACCCTTCTTCCCTTTTTCTCTCCTGTATGGTCTTCTTTCCTGTCAACCTTGAGTTAACAAAGACCTATTCAGGCAGCTGATAGACTTTCCCTAATTCTCCCGAGGATTTTCAGGGACAGAGAGAAGACACATTTAATGCAACTCTCTGATATTGTAGGTTAATAAGACGCAGCCCTAGCCTCGTCCAGCCTTCGAGCTGAGGCTGGCAGTCCTGATTCTTTGAGCAGTTCTCGGAGGCTTGTTACAATAGAGCAACGAGACTCCATTAAAATAGACCTGGCAGCTAATCTAGTTAATGCTAAATAATTTTTCCTGACTGAATGAAAGAGGGGTAAGAGGTTGGTTAGCTGTGTGTGTGTGTGTGTGAGAGAGAGAGAGAGAGAGAGAGAGAGACAGAGACAGAGACAGAGAGAGAGACAGAGAGATTTAAAAGTGGAACAAGAAGATCTGCAGTGGCTTTTGCCATGGGCGCAGTGCTTTTGTGGGAATGGCTTAGCTGTGTCCCATCTGAAGTAGAAACAGTAAATGTCTCCAAGAATCTTCCTTGCACTATATGAACTTAGAGGTCTCTCCTGCTCTGACATTTGGTGATTCTGATACTCTGCTGATATATTATCTTAGAAATATGAAGCATCTGAAAAATACTTCCATTTATTCTTATTTTGCCTATGGCATTATTAAGCATGTTGAAGGGATAGTCAATACCAACAGTGAAGTGGGAGGAAGATATGAATAAAATTGCGGGGCAAGGGTCAGAAAGTTTTTTTTTTTTTTTAATTCTGAAGGATGGACTTTCATGTCTAATTATAGAAAAATAAAAATCTGTGTCTTTCAACAACAAAACTATTCGTGATATTTTGTATATCTTTGACATATGAATCTTGTGAATTTGGAACCTATAAATCCAGTGTTTGTACAAGGGGTCTCCTTTCATTTTACCTTTTTTTTCACTTAACTCTCCTCCCTCCCTCCAACCTCCCACTCCCAACTACACACCTGTTTCTATGATTCCTAACCATAAGCAAGGGCCTCTAATCTTAAGGCCACACACCTGTGGGAAAACACATATCTTTATCAATCTCACACCAAACACCCACAGACACTCACAGAAACACATATCCTTTCAAATACATTAACATCTGGTCCACACTCTAGAAATACAAGATTTATTTTTGTTAAATATGCTGACCTGAAGTTTCTGGCTGTAAATTTTTATAAAATGCTGTAACTAAAGTAGCCGTATACCTCCCAAACCCGGCAAAAACATTGCCCAGATGCTCATCAGGCACAGCTGTTGGCTGTTTTTAGATATTGCATTTACTGATTCCACAGCATGTTCCCTTTTCTATAGTTCCTCTCGAGCAAGGGTGGTGAGCTCAAATCCAATAATCACCAGCCCTTGTTATTATGGCTACACTCCTTCAAGGATAATAGAGGCCCCTCTATGATGATCAGGGCTTGAAAAGAGGAATCAATTTTCTAATTTGGCTTGCTGAAAATAGACGAAAGAGTTCCAGAAATAATAATATCTTGGGACACAGAGATCCTGTTTTCTGTTTAGTGGTGTTTGTTTGTTTGTTTGATTTTGCTGTTTTTCTTCTTGCCTCTAACACTCAGTGGCAGATCATGAGAACAGCAGAGTGGGAAACAATAGTGTAATACAACATATAGCGATTAAAGAAAATGGGATTTGGAGTTGGAAAATTGGGTCTCAACTGTTAGTACATCCACTTGTCAACTACATATGATGTTAATTCAATTCAGCTCTCTGTTCCTTAATTTCCTCATCATTAAAATTGGGATTATTTTAGTTCAAATTTATTTATTATTCATTCAGTTGTAAGCAATAGGAAATTCTACTTAGCTGACTTAAACAATAAAATCTTTTATTGGCTTGTGTATCTTGAAGAACAGAGGTATGATAGTTGCCAGAGTTTGTTTGATTCAGTGGCTCAGTAATGCCATCAAGAATCTAATTCCCTTTCTTGTCTTTACTGTCTTCCACTGTGGCACTTTATTCCAATTTGACTTCCTTCATGGTGACAAAATGGCTGTAGCAGTTTCAGAGCTCGTCTGTCTACAATCTGTTAGCCAGAAGACAGACAGACCTCTGCTCGGCATTCCAAACAAGATCACAAAACAACTTTTAACAAATGGCCAAGGCCAGGGGAATGGAATGTGGTGACAAGCTGGAGTCAGCAGGGACCCAGCCCTTGACCTGGAACTGCATTCAAAATTTTTAATAGTCAAGACTAACATAGCTCTACTAACAGTGATATAGATGGTGAAATTACAGGGATTTAATGTAATAGAAGCTAATTTCTGGTTCAAATCATAGTCTCATGTTGGTCAAACAACTCTCTTCTAAGCTGTGACTTGGAATCCAGGATTAATTTGGTGTTGTATCTCCTCCATCTTTTTGCTTCCGATGCTCTCCTGAATTCTCTCTCTAGCTTGTAGTGGGGAAGAGGACAAGGGTTGGGAAGCCATCAGACATGTAAACTACCAATATTTCCATTCACAGTCCATTTACCAGAACAAGTGAAATGGCAGATCCAAATACAAGGAAGTCTGGAAAACATAGATGACTACATGGATATTGGTGAGCACTAGTGGTTTTTGATCTGGTCTTAGAAAATCTTTCTTTTTCTCTACCTACATATAGAACACATTCACCTATTCCTCAAGGGACAGAACCCAAAATATTCACTTCCTGCATCCATCACAAAATCCAAATGGTTTATAGGCATCTCTATGCGATCTGGATATGTCTCCTCCTAGACTGTCAACCTGTAAATAAAAAGGCAGAATTACCCATTTCCCTACATATACATTCATTATATAATCAATCTGGATGGAAGAACCATACTGTATATCCCATTTGGAAAGAGAAAACTGAGAAACACAGGAGACACTGATGATCAGCTGGATTCTGAAATTTTGGGGTTCTGGAAACATAAAATTTCCATGCCTGAGTGATGGAGGAAGTTATTGGATTGGATTCTGCATTACTCTTTCATAGATAGGGGATAACTTCTCCATCCATGTTCACCAAATCTCCCAGCTCTGCTGTCATGGAGATTCTGTCATTCTCTTTGGTCTCCATAACCCAATCTACACTGGGCTTTGTAAAGCATGCCCTCTTTGAGGATTCTACAAACATCTAAGCCTGCATTGTGGTTAGGACCAGTTTGGGAACCCCAGGGGTTTTTAAAGCCTCAAACATCAAAGCCTTTTTTGTCCATACTTTGTGAGTTTTTTGTTATACTTTCACTATAATTTCTTATAAAAATTATGAGACTTCTTATCCATTTGTTTCTGTTCAGTTTCATGGCCAATAACCATAAAGTTATTTTTCTGATATAACACTAGAACCTGACTAATTTTGTTTTCATAACGCTGCATCCCTTCTCCTTTTAAATTTAAGACCTACTCCTTTGAAGGTATCTAGAACAGTAGTTTAAAAGACCACACTCTTAATCTGATTGTTGCTTTCAGTAATTTTCTTTCTGCTGGTAAGTTGAACATTGAGTTATTTTGACTGACTGAGAAGCTTTATTAGACCTTGGTTTATCAATGCCTTTTTAAAACTTAAATCTTAATAATCTGGGACTAAAAATGTAAAGATTTTCAGCCATGCAAAGATCTGAATTTCTGTATTTTATTTGTTTATTTTATTTCTTCCTGCAAACCATTCAATTTTTTCTTAGTCTCAGCTTGGTTCTGTAATACCTTTCCTAATATGCCCAATAGTAGTTAGCATGCCCTATTAACAGTCTGTTTTCCAATGTCTTCCCCTAGAGTTATAAATTCAGTAGGTTTGGTCTATCTTTCTAGTTATAGCAGAAGTCCCTTTTATAAAATGCTTTTGCATCTGCGTAATATGGATCCTCAATTTTCCAGGCTCAAACATGAGTTTTTTTACCCAGTGCTTCCTGACATATAAACCAAGGCCACATGGTTTAGGCTTTTTGTTGTTGTTACAACAGGGTATCACCCCTAGTACTGATTTTTTAGTTATTCAGAATAGAATAGACTATGCTATAGTAACCAATAATACCTCAATTTTCGGAGGCCTAAAACAATAGAAGTTTATTTCTTACTCAGTCCAGTGTAGGTTTAGCAACTGTCCTCTAAGCAGTTGTTTATATCACAAGATGCTTCAGTATTACGGCTCTACTATCTTGTAAATTACAGGTCGCCTCGACATTATTCAGCTGTCAGAGAGGGGCAAGATAATGTAAATGGAGGAGGCACACTGATGCTAAACAACATGCCTCCCTGAGCCTAGAAGTAGTACATTTTATACTTACTTTGCACTGGCCAAGATTTAATCAGATTGCCAACCCAATTGCTGCAGAGAAGAGAAATTAGAGGAGCCCGTGGATATTATCAGAAGCTAGTAGTGTCTACTACAGAGTCATCCAAAGTACACGGAAAATTGTGTTTTTTAAAAGTAGAATAAAATAGATACTTAAAAAAGGAACTGATAATATCCACTGCAAGGTATTTCAACAGGTTGTTCTGAAGACTAAAAAACATATTGTATGCAATATACTTAGTACAGTACCAATCGCACAAGTGCTCAGTACACTGTACTTACTCTTTTTATGCTTGTCATCACCACTCCCTTATATGGAAATGTAGATGCAATATATACATCTTTTGAAGATTTCAAAAAGTCTTTCGAAGATTTCTTCCAGCCCAAACATCATGTATTTCTAATTTTCTCATTTTGCACTGTGGATGAGATCTGGAAAACAACATTTGCATGGAGATTTCCAATTTCTGTAAAAATGTCCATTTTACAGGTTTTGTCAGCTTCTCTGACAGTTATATTCTATTTGTTCCTAATTTATTTTTTTTTCACAGCAAGCCATCACTGAGATTGATGAAACAAATTGATCATAGATGTCTCCTCTTTTCTTAAAGTCAAAAAGGGTGTGTTTGGCCTGGCTTCCGTTTCTTGATGAGTGAAACTTTTTGTGTTTCAGCTCAACATGAGAGAGTAAAACAGACAGTTGACTCTGCAGGGCCAGGGTGGCATAGTAAAGCTATGGATACCCTAGAAATTTGGTTTGTACATAGGAAAAATGGGGGCCCTTGATATTTATGATAGTGTTAATATTTCTCATATGTGATTTTTGAGCATGCAATAGAGGACAAGAAAAAGTCAGTCTTCCATTGCAAAGAGTGTTCCCTTGGTGCCTAAGGCCAGGCTGTGGGAAGTTACAGAAGAAAGAGTTCAATTTTCTCAAGCCTCAGGAACATTGTATTTACAGAAGAGTCTAAACAAATCTAAGATGTGAATACAATTAAACAAAAGAATATTTCAATTATCTAATGACAACTATGTTGATATATGCACATAGTACTAATAATTTAAAAAATAAAACAAAATAGAATAAGTGAATGTTGTGTGATTAGTTATAGATGGTGGTTAAAGGTAAATGGGAGAAAATTTCTGAGCAGCCTAAGATAATGATCACTGCTTAAATGCAAGCCTCTTTGTCTATGCCCCCCAAATAAAACAGAACCATGAGAAAAGACAAAACTAGGTAAATTATAAGACACAATGTCCATGCCTTCATAAACTATAAACAAAATAAAAGGGAAAAACCCTACTGAACTGCAATGAACAATTATTTCTACTACTACCACAAAACCTTGCTGCAAACAGGTGTAGTCTGGGAGAACAAAACAAATCAAAAATAACAAAAATAGAAAAACCACAGTATGCATGGAAAAGAGAAGATGGGAGATAGTGCCAGGCCTAAAGTTTTTCTCAAACTTGTATGAGAATGAGAAACTTCACAATGAGTGTGAAAATATTAGTAGCTGAGAACACCGAATTCACAGCTGGGAATTTTAGGTTTATGTGATTTTAGGTAGCAGATTTCAAATGATGTGGTTTCTAAGGAAGACAAAAGCAAAAAGGAAAAAAGAAATATCTTATGGAAATATGATGGAAGAGGTAATTTCACGGCCCTACTAATAAAAGAATATGTTGTAGGCCCCACAAACTCTTCTTTGACACACACACCCACACACAAAGACTTAGCAAAAAGAGTCGACTTTGCTACACTGGTATCAGTGAATACCACTAAACCAGGACCTTTACCAAAAGAAAAGATTAAAAACAAGAAGCAAGCTCTTGAAACACCATTTCTCTCTACCACTCTTCCCTCCCCTCAAAAAAAAAAAAAAAATGAAGAGGAAAAGAAGTGTAACAACATTGCAAACAAAGATAAACATACACAAACAAGCATTTAGAGATATGGAAAAACATTCTGAGTCAGAAATTCAAAAATTAAAGGCAAAAAAGTACCAAAAGAAAATGCGGAAAGAAATGAAAGTGAATTAATTAAATTCAAGAAAAATGTTTAAAAAAGACAATGTCATCTCACATAAGAAGAATAAATTCCACATGAAAATTTAACAAGAGGCTTTGAAGAAAGGTAGGAACCAGACAAGAAAAGTAAAATGAGACAAAAAAAAAAAAACAAAAAATCACACACACAAGTAAAAAGGGTCAGAGATAAAATGGTGGAAAAGGAAGATAGACAAAGAAAGAATAACATTAGTATAGTTGGATCCCCTGAAGAAGCTAAGCAAAAAAAAGTATCAAAATTAATACTTGAAATTAGAATCTGAAAGCACATTGCAGAAATGAAAGAAGGCCTGAATCTATATAGCAGAAGGGTCAATGGAGTACCTAGAGAAAATTATCTGAAAAAATCTACTCTGAGACATTTTCTAGTAAAACATGGCTTTTTTTCATAGATTAAGAAAAATAATCTAAATGCTTTCAGGCAAAAATATCAAATAGTAACTTGTAAGGCAAAATAATCAATTACACTGGCATTAGATTTCTAAAATTAAAGAAAAAGAAAAGCAACCACCACAGAAATAAATTGTTTCAGGTAAGAAACACCAATACTAAATGGTGGGTAAAAGTATGATGAGAAATGGGATATTTATATAGTCTCAAAGTAATTATCTGCAGGACGCTTATTAATTACAAAGTTAAGAATAAAAATTTTAGTTAAAAAGCCTTGCAGATCTCAGCTTTAATGAAGTGATTTAAGCTAACATTACCAGGAATGTGACAGATCAACACTTATGTGACTTCAGCTTTTAGGCAATAATAGGAACACAACATCGCTTTTGTTGTATTCCTGCCAAAAATGGATAAAATGAAGCTAATCATGAAGAAACATTAGACAAACAAATCTGAGATACACTCTACAAAACACCCAGGCAGTACACTTGAAAAAATCTCAATATCATAAAAGAAAATGAAAGTCTGAAGAGTCTCTTTTTGGAGAAGACATGAGGACATGAAAACTGATATGGTTTCACTATGTCCCCACACAAATCTTATCTTGAATTCCCACATGTTGTGGGAGGGACCTGGTGGGAGGTAATTGAATCATGGGGGCAGGTCTTTCCCATGCTGTTCTCATGATAGTGAATAAGTCTCATGAGATCTGATGGTTTTGAAAAATGGGAGTCTCCCTGCACAATCTCTCTGTCTGCTGCCATCCATGTAAGATGTGACTTGCTCGTCCTTGTCTTCTGCCATGATTGTGAGGCTTCCCCAGCCATGTGGAACTGTAAGTCCAATTAAACCTCTTTGTTTTGTACATTGCTCAGTCTCCAGTTTGTCTTTATCAGCAGTGTGAAAACAGACTAATAGAACAACTAAGTGCAATGTGTGATCCTGGATTGGATCTTGGGTTAGAAGAAGTACATTGCATTAGTGAGACTACTGGTAATTTGAATAAGATCTATAGATTAGATAATAGCATTTTATCAATATTAATTTCCTGATTTTGACAACTCTAACAGAGTTTTACAAGAAAATGTTCTTGTTTTAGGAAATACAAACTAAAATATTTAGAAGTAGAAGTTTATCATATCTACAAGTTAATCTTAAATATTTCAAAATATATATATTTAAATATGTATGTGTTAATATGTATATTTGCATACATACTTATGTATACATAAAATGTATGTGTATGTGTGTTTATATGTGTGAGGTAAGAGAGAGAATAACTCATAAAGCAAGGGAAGTGGAAAACATCTGGAGAATCTAAGTGAAAGCTATCCGGGAATTCCTTGAGCTATTTTTGCAAACACTTATAAGAAATAATTCCAAAAGAAAAAGAAAAGTGAAGGCTGGGCACGGTGGCCCATGCCTGTAATCCCAGCACTGTGGGAGGCCGAGGTGGGTGGATCACCTGAGGTCAGGAGTTCAAGACCAGCCTGGCCAACATAGGGAAACCCCGTCTCTACTAAAAATACAAAAATTAGCCAAGTGTGGTGGGCGTGCCTGTAATCCCAGCTAATTGTGAGACTGAGGCAGGAGAATCACTTGAACCCGGGAGGCAGAGGTTGCAATGAGCTGAAATTGCGCCACTGCAGTCCAGCCTGGGCAACAGAACAAGACTTGGTCTAAATAAAAAAATAATAATAATAAAAATAAAAGTGAAGTGGAGGCAACCTTTTTATGTAAGGGATACTGCTATAACATACTGACTAAATCATTAAAGAAATCTAATCCAAGATCCGAAGAAATACTTTAGTTACTTACAAGATCATAAACAAAATAAGCTAACCCTGAGATATGTAATGTAATTTACCTGTCTGGTTCAAATTCTGTAAATAGACACACATATATACTCATACATGCAAGGATTCACTCACACAAGCACACACATGCCCACACATGCTTTTATTTTCCCAAAACAACCTGAAATGTCAATATATGTTGCAGCAATTGACAATATAAACCAAGAATCAGTCAATCAGCTTTTGTGGAAAACATGGTTAACACAACAGTAGTACTCATCACAGACAACTGCCCTTATAGAATTAGAATTTAGCCTTCATGGTTTGCAAAGAAAAAGAGGCAGCAAAGCTAGTAATGATTTTGTTTAAAGTCAGATCAAATAATGCTAATGGTTTCAAAAGTACATACATTTGTCTTCTCATTTGTGACAGAGCTAGGAGACCCATTTGTAAATTGACATATCACCCTGCATCTTGATTCATTTTCAACATAGTCCATAGCTCTGAGGGAAGCACAGAGCTGAAATAATTTAGGGTTGAAATATCTGGGTTATAGAATCCTGATTTTCTCATTAATGAAGTTTGTAACTTTTATCAGGATCCTTCACTTCTCTCAGCCTCAATTTGAATGTATATAATTCTGTAAAATGCATATAATTATACTTATCAAAATATGTGAATTAATCCAGTAATATTAGTTATGTGAAAGTACCTTTTAAACTTTTAAATCCTATTTTTATATATGTTTACATTTAAGTGTCTTTAAAAATATAAAATTGCATTTATTTATAAACATCATCTTAGAAATTTAGTTGTTAAAATATTCAGTCTTTTATTCTTTATTACATAAAAACCTTAGCATGCATTTTTGACATATTTGGCCAGGGTTAGGGATATAGATGTAACTTAAGAGTTTTGCATGCATGTGCACTTTGTTCCTTTTTTTTTTTCCTATTAGTGAAACTTGACCATAAAGAGAATAAAACCAGACCTTGTTCTCGTCAGCACCATATTCTGAACCATCCATCTGATAATGGCACCTTTATACGTATATTTACATCTCAAATAGGGTTTATTTGTTTGATTTACCCCTTAGGTAAGGCGGGCATTACTTACCTATTGCAGCTGTGGCAAATATAAACAAACTTAGTGGCTTAATACAAATTTATGATCTCATAACCCTGGGGGTCTGAAGTCTCACTGAGCTAAAATCAAGGTGTCAATAGGGCTGTATTTCTTCTGGAGCCTCTGGGAAATAATCCATTCCTTGCCTTTGTCAATTCCAACTACTAGAAGCTACCCAGTTACCTTGACTCATTCCCTTCCCAATCTTCAAAGTCAGCAATGGAGGCTGACTTCCCACATTGAATCACTCTGAATGGCCTGCCTCTCTCTTTCACTTATAAAGACCTTTGCAATTGCATTGTAGTCACCGAGACAATTAAAGATAATCTTCCCATTTCAAGATCCTTTACTTTATCACAGGGCCTGCAAAGTCCTTTTTGCCATGGAAGGTTACATATTCACAGGTTTCAGAATTAGTATATGGATATTTTTGAAGTGATTTTGTTCTGTCTACCATATCACATAAGTGTGCATTTTTACAGAATCCATACATATCTAAAATACCTTCCAGGTTTTAGTTTACATATTTCCACGAGATGTGTATGGATAAACATCATCACCATCACCATAGTTGGAAAGACTGACACTCGGAGGTTAGAAGGCATGCGTATAGTCAGTCAATGAGTCAAGGGGTAGAAATACTACATCCTCAGCTCTTGATGGTGTTTACCTAACAATGTGGCCCAATATTTTTATTTCTGCCTAGATTTTCTGCCACATATCTCATGTTGAAATCGGGTTCCCAAGGGACCTAGTCACTTATATTTTCCAGAGAGTTTGCCCCATGCAAAATTGAACAGTCTTGCTTTTGGGAGATCGGAATGCTCTGGGTGGGCATAGATAATGCTGAAATCCTTAGTTCTTTAGTTGCTTTTATTTCTCTGTATTTAATGCTGCCACAAACTCTTTAAAAATATTTGAATTCATTGTGTCTCTATTTATTGTGTTCACACACTGAGGCACATTCGCAGAGAGTGTAATTTTTAAATTCTGAAAAAAAATGAATTAAATGGAAACATATTTTGGGAAAGGAGCTCTAGAGGTCATATAGTTTTGCCTCCAACCTGCAGGCAGAATTATTCTCAAGCCCCTCTTATATGAGTTGTTTATTATCTTTCTAGTACACGGTCCAACAAGAAATAATCCAGTAAATATGTCAAGCAGAATACTTTAGCAGAAAAGAAAACATAAAGAGAATAAATCTCACCTTAAAATTGTTTTTAATGCTTTTATCCACATGGTCTTACCACCAACAAAGCATTCAGGGTTTAGATTACTATCTTAATTCATAGGGGAGACCAAAAGCTGGTAATCATTAAAGTTCACTAGAGGATCGGGGGTGTGTGAATTATTTTGATCAGCATTTCATCTACGTTTATCTTATGACTTTATATTCTAATTAGAATGAGAAACAAGAAATGTGTGTCCTCTTCTCTGGTTTTCGATGTTGCTGGTATGCTGCGAAGTACCTTTACCAACACAGGGCAATAGCCAGCCTGCTCCCTTTAATAAAAGTCTAGAATTTTTGAGCGTTTATTTTATCCCACAAATAAATAAACAATTGCCCAATTCTAAAGTAACAAGAGGTTTTAGCTATATGGATAATGCCATTTATTTGTATGTGCATTTGTTTGCTCAACAAACTTGCTTATCATCTGTTTTTTTTTTGTTTGTTTGTTTTGTTTTTGTTTTTTTTTTAGCAGAGTCTCACTCTTCACTCTTCACCTGGAGTGCAGTGGTGCGATCTCAACTCACTGCAACTCCCCAGGTTCAAGTGATTCTCGTGCCTCAGCCTTCCAAGTAGCTGGGATTACAGGCATGGGCTAGTACATCCGGCTAGTTTGTATATTATTAGTAGAAATGGGGTTTTGCCATTTTTGCCAGGCTAGTCTCAAACTCCTGGCCTCCAGTGATCCACCCGTCTTGGCTTCCCAAAGTGTTGGGATTACGGGCGTGAGCCACCACACCCAGCCTATTATCTGTTAACTACTATGGCAGATACTGGGGGTAAAAATGGTAAGGCAAACTGTTTCATTTAAAACTGGGGATTTTCAACTTTTTGCCCATGATCCACAGTAAGAAATGTGTTTTACAGTGAGACCTATGTACAAATTCTCAGAAGGCAGGAACGAAAGTCCATGAAATAATACCTTTACTATGTTAAGAGCACTTTTACATTTCCTCTTCTCTTTAAGGTTCTATTTTTTGTGCTGCTATCTGTCTCTATTATTTTCTGCTGTTAAAAAAATGCTGGTCAGGAGTCACTAGATAGATTTTATTACCCAGTAATGGGGAGTGACCTGTACTTTGAAAAATATTTCTCTAGAACCATGCTACCTTAAGTATAGTCTAAGTATAGTATAAGGTATATAAGTATAGTCTAAGTATAGTATAAGGTATATAGTATAGTCTAAGTATATATAGCATAGCCTAAGTATATACAGTATAAGCCTAAGTATATATAGTATAGCCTAAGTATAGTCTAAGTATAGTATAAGGGATATAAGTATATACCCTTAGTATAAGGACACAGGAGTGCGTTAGAATTGCAGAGTTTCAGCCTCCTCCATCTCCAGATGTATAGAATTAGAATCTGCCTTCTAACAAGATCCCTCAAATAATTCACACACATTTAAATTTGAGAAACAATATTCTAAGACTTATTTTAAGTGTGGAGTACTTTCTATGCTCAGAAAGAATTTTGAGGAAAAAATGTAGACACACAATTTAAAATTGATATATAGTATTTTTCATCTTTAATTATAAATAGCTTCAAGAAACAATATTTGTGTTTTAAGTGTTGCTATTTTAAATTAAAATTCTTGTATATCTATCAGATGGAATGTAATACAATAGTGCTTTGATATCCATGTTTATCCATTTATAAAGATACATAAAGAAATGTTTCTTTAATGATAATAATTTGCACCTTTTTTCATTTCTAAAACTATTTTAAATTATATTTTCTAATAACTTTTATCCTCATTTGATAGTTTTCTTCTTGATAATCTTTTATTTTTCATTGAATCAAAATCTTTGCTATAAAAATACTTATACACATCTAATTTTTATAACTTTATTCTATTGGTCAAGCAGAATTAATTTATTACAAAATTTAATAAGTAATTATTAAATGTAAGATGATTCTTTTGACAATTTATCTCATAAAGAAAGAGGTGGGGACATATGAGGCTTTGAGTAAGGGAAGATTTAGCCAACAACTGTACTTCAAATTATATCTTGCTTACTCAGAGTGATGTTCAAATTAAGATGGGGTAAGAGCTATGTCTTTCTTTTGTTAATTGTGAGTGATAAGAGCAATGATGAAAGAACTGTGATAAAAGAGAACCAGCATAACTATATAATTGAGTTCAGAGGAAGGTCAATTTTAGAAATGAATACAACTTCCTCAACTTCCATGTTGAGGACATGAAACTTGACTCTCTAAATATTATTCAATCCATGTACCCTTTAAAAAGTGTTTGTATGTCCCAGAGGTAAGGGAATCCCAGTTTGAGACACATTGCACTAATGAGTGAGGCTCACACGGGCACAACTAATTGCATAGTGCCATGAAGTACGCATTACGTTCTCTGTAGCACAGAGAAATGGGCAATTAAGTGCCTGGGGATGGGAAGGGGAAAGTGGGGCCACCAGGAAAGGAGATACTTGACTTCTGCATGATGGCAAAGAAAGCAACACATATAAAGCCGCAGACATGTAAATGTAACATTAATGATCAAAGGTAAGGCTAAGGCCACTTTGCAAAGGTGCTTCTGGTCAGAACTCATGATGGACATTATTCGCAGAGTAATAGCTCATATCTTTAAAACAGAAGTAATATGAACACTTAAAAAAAAAAAAGCCAGAGTAATATAATCAGATTGTCTCTAATGATCTAAACTTAGAAGCCCTTAACCTAGGGTTAGCAAATGCCTAGGAGCTAAAGAATGTTTCTAAGACATATAATAATATCAATGCCAAAAACAAAAACAAAACCACTCTTTTGCACATAAATGCATTTCTGTTTTTCAAAATGTATAAAAATGTAGTTGTACAAAAATAATTTGGAAGGGCTGTAGCATTCATGCTAGTTTGTGTGTTTGGTAAGGGCTCAGGGTGGGGGTCTGTCATATATTTTCTCCATGAGCAGACACTTATCATGAAGTAGTCTAAATGTTTTCTTGCAATTACAAATAAAACCACTTTTAGGGTATGAGCAAGAATGGACTGATTACTCATTAAATTTAAAAATGGAATATGTTTGCAATAGGTCTGTGAAAGGACATTTAGTAACTTTCACACTGTTGAAGAACACAAATGAAAGAGGTCTATGTTCTCTTCTGCAGAGGATCTTACATTAGGCAAACCCAGTGTTTGAAAATCTGGGTTTACATAAAGGCTAAATTTGGAAACTAATTATTCACTTTTTAAGGGATTCACAGTAGGACATAAGTCAATAGAAAACTCTCTAGCATATTGAAAATAGAATTCAATTTACTTGCAAGTTTTGGGAAGCTTTCCTATTGCACAAACTAAGATCAGTTTTGTCCACTCTTTAACTGACATGCCATGAAGTACACAGACAACAAAACTGTTCCAAAGTTGGATTTATGGCTCTGAATACAAGCAATGCCCTCAGGTCACCTTTAAAGGGAAGCAAGAACTGATACTTTTAAATGCATGCGCTGTCAATGTCTCATGTGCCCATGTGGTAATGATCACAGCTAATTGGACACAGACCAATACTTGACCCATACAACAAGTTCTCCTTGAAGGGCTTGATGAGAGAACTCTGCCCAAGAGTAGCTCAATCCTGGAAGCTGAATTGCCATCCCATCAAATCATAACTTTATAATTTGAATGTGAGGCCTACAGTGAGATAGAAAGAATCAATGACTAGAAGCAAGAGAAATGAAGGTAATAGGTAAGTCATCATAATAAGGAAATATGTTAGGTCACTTTCAATTGCAGTGAAAGAACCCCAATGCAAATTGACTTATGTGAGGAAGGAGATTTATTTGTTTATGCAACTAAAAGTTAGAAGGGTAAACTGACTTAAAGAGTAGTTGGATCCAGATGCTCAAAAAGTGAAAAGACAATGTCATTGAGAATCTACCCCTTCCCATTTTTTGACCTTGTTTTCTTATGGATTGACTTCATTTTCGGGCACTTTTCTGCAGATGACAAAAATATCCATCAGCAAGTCTTTGTGAAACATTTTTACCATTAGCCTTACATAGGTTGACAAAACTGAGAAGTGTAATGATGTCCCTGGGAGATAAAGCTCCTTTCTCCAAGAAAAGTTTTCTATTGAAGAAAATAAAACCCACACAAATGTTGCATACATGACAAAATGTGCAAAACTGTATCTATCGGAAGAGTCACACATTGATTGAGAGCTCCAACTGCAATTGAAAGTTATTTAGGATTCTTGGAAGCCTTCCAGTTCTCTCTGCCTTCTTGCTATTTGTTCTAGCCACACACTTTACTTTCCAAAGTCCCACAGTCACTTCCCATCCTATCACTGGCTTTGTGACCTTGAGAGAGTCACCTAAACAGCTGTGAATCTCAGTTTTTTCACCAATATGAAGACAATAAGAGTGTCAATCTCTGTATGAAAATAGAAGTATTCAGTGAAACATATGCAAGTTTCCTAGATTAGAGTTTGACACACTGTAGGTTCTTAAGTCATGTTTATTCTTTTAGACACTGGACTTTTAGGTGATATGATGAGAATTCACAGGGCAGAGGTCTCCATGACAGTATATCTGAGCCCAGATAGCCAACCGTTGCACAGAGTACAGCTCAAAATAACCTTCGGATGCTCTTGGAAGCTCAGATGCTAGTGTCAACTCTCCAACAAACAAGATATGTGACCTTAGGTAATTCTCTTTATTCCTTTGAAATTTTAGTTTACTCATTTAGGAAAAAAATGAGAGTTGGGATGAAATGGTTTCCAAAGCTCTCTCTCTCTCTTTCTCTCTCTCTAACACATACATATTCTTTGTGTGTAACTCATCAAGATTTCAAATCCTAACAAACAGTTAATATATTTTTATTTTTAGGAATGGTAACTCCAATTTAATTGATATAAATAATAAGGAATTTTATTACTTCCCATAACAAGAAAACTGAATAGAGGATTTTAGAGTTGAGTTGTTCAGAGTCTCCATGAGATTTTCAAGGGTTCAGATTCCTTCTGTCTTTCCACTCTGCCTTCCTCAGCAAGTTGATCACAAGATGATTGGGGAAACTCCAGGCAACACATCTTGTACATTGTTGTCTGAGAAAAGGAGGAACTCTTTCTCCTTCAACATTTTTGAAAAGGAAAGTATTTTGTAGAACCATAAAGAATGACTAAATAGTTTATGAATTCATTCATTCATACATTTGTGAATTAAAACACAAATACCCTTCTGAGAATGAAAGGGGGTGAGTATTACTATCTACTGAGGACAAGAAGCAGAAATCAGAACTATTCTGGACAAATCTGGATGTATCCCCCTCACATCTCATTGACCAGAGTTGTGTCTCCTGACCATTACTACATGAGTCACTGTAGAAAGGAATGGAGACTGTGACTGGCTTGGACCAATAGTGTTTTGCTACCTGTATGGGAGTGGGGCTGGGTTTTCCTCCCCTGGTTACTCCATGAATGGATATCTGCACAAAAATTGGAATGGCTGCTGAAAAGGCAAACAGCAGTGTCTGTTTCAGCTCTTAATTATTAGCTGAGTATGCACCCCTCTCCAGTCTCAGCTCTTGCTTTTTTTTTT
Organism: Homo sapiens; assembly: GCF_000001405.40. Taxonomy (NCBI): domain Eukaryota; kingdom Metazoa; phylum Chordata; class Mammalia; order Primates; family Hominidae; genus Homo; species Homo sapiens. The sequence continues at coordinate 127,964,690 of NC_000011.10, forward strand.
TTTGAGTCGTGGTTGCATATTGAACAGACTGTAGTTCTGAAATGCATCATGCTATTGCTCACTTTTATTCTTTCCTTCCCTTTGTCTGGAATTATTGCCCCCTCCCTGCCCCAACACATTGCCCTCTGGTCCTTGCCTACCTATCGTGGTTACTTTTAGGTGTCAACTTGACTGGGTTGAGGGATGCCTAGATGGCTGGTGAAGCATCATTTCTGGTTGTGTCTGTGAGTATGTTCCCAGGAGAGAATGACCTTGAGTCAGTGAACTGAGAGAGGAAGACTCACTCTTTGTGGGCAGGCACCTCCCATGGGCTGGGTACTGGCTGGGAAAACGGGGAAGAAGAGGGATCCTCCCTTTTTGCTCTCTCCTCTCCAGAGCGGGACATCTTTTCTTCTACTGCCCCTGGATACCAGACTCCAGGTTCTTCAACTTTTGGACTCTGGGACTTGAACCGGAGGCCTTCCAGGTGCTCTCAGGCCTTCTGCCTCTAACTTGGAGGTTGCACCATTGACTTCCCTCATTCTGAGGTTTCTAGACTGAGCCACACTAATGGTTTCTTTGGTTCTCCAGCTTGCAAATGGTCTATTGCGGGGCTTCTCTTCCTCTGTAATCATGTAAGCCAATTCCTCTAATAAATTCTTTCTACAATATCCTGGTGATTCTGTTTATCTGGAGACCTCTGTTGAATACATTAGCTAATGCTTTTTCATAATTAAGGTAAAAGCACTCCAGTATCCCTCCTCCAGCCCTCAGCCTCTGCCTACACTGTGTAGGGTGCCCCTTCTCTGTGCTCCTGTAAGACATGAACTTCTGCCTCTGCATTTTCCACTTCGTGGTAATGGCCGGAGTGTTGATTTGTTATTCTAAACCTTGAATTGCATGAACTGATTCATCTATGTATCCTTGGTGCCCAGCATATGGTCAAGCAACTGCATAAGCTCAAGAAAAACAAACTAAATTAATAAATGAATAAATAAATCTTAACCCCAGAAGGAGAGTCTGGATTTTTTTCCCCATGAAAGGCCTGAGCTTGAGAAAATAGAAACTGATTCCCAAAGTCCTAACTCCTAGCATCCATCCTATCTAATTCAAATAAAAATATCCTTAACTCAGTAGTAATGTGAGCTAATGGGATTTAGAAGGAGAAAAGAGCAGGCAGGCTGCTGACAGCATGTGGGGTTGAGAGAGACATCCCTATTATTAGGATATAATTAACAACTTTCCTCTCATAGACATTAATTTATTTTGTCATTAAATTAATTAGAATTAAACAAGCCTTTAAATCACTGCTTGTTCCTAGAAGAAGAGATGTGTTTTCGAATGTGAAACCAAGCAAAATATCCCACTACTTTCATGTCCCTAAAGAGACAGAGAAGGGAGTGGCTGCCTTCTGGACATAGTTACCTAAGGCTTCCCTGAGACAGGGTTGGAGGCAGCAAGGAATACCAGTGGGTTGTTCTCCTCTGAAGACAATGGGACAAGAAGAAACTGCCTGTGGAATGCATAATAAAGACTCACAGATCTAGATCCTGCTGTACTATTGGGCATGCTGTGTTTTGATCTTCTGTTTTCTCTTTGATAAAATGAGGTAGCAATTTCCACCTCATAGGGTTGTGGTGAAACTTTAGTTTGATAATATAAGTAAAGTGCCAAGAGCTTATTAGACTTGCATTAAATATAATTAACTTCCTTTTTCTTTACGCTGACATTTCAAGTTTACTTCTGATAAAGATTGCATCATGGATTCCCAAGAAAAGATTCAAAATCTTATTCCCTGAAAGGGAAAAACAAAACCAAAACAAAATTTCACAACTGGATGATTACATCATTGATTCTTTATATACTTACTCATACCATCTAATTTGTCCATATAAATATCTTTTTTAGTCTTTTTTGGCTTCTTTAAAGTCTATACACTTGTTAGTTCACTCTGTATTTCTTCTCTAAATCTACCTATCACTTCCAGTCTTTTCCCTCAAATATCCCTTGAACCCACACCACTACCCAAGACACTCCCCTTAATTAAAACAGGTGACATAGTTATCTCTTCATTTTCCTTTTCATGCAGAGATCAATGATGAAAAAAACAAAAACAGTGAACATAGCTTGTGCATATGCTTATATAAAAACCATGCATTGTGCATTTAGTTTTTATAGCATCTTAGACTTGCAATTTTTTAAAAAATACAAATTCTTGATGAAACCTATTATTTGCAATTTGTACTCATAGAAATGAGGCTCTTTTTGAATTATAGCCTAGAGGCTATTTTTAGACTTTGATGTGTTTGAAGACCGCATGGGCTGATCTCCTGAGATCTCTTGCAGCTCTGGAGCTATGTGGATCTATGAATCAGTGCTATTTCCTAGTTTCAAGAAAAGCATGTGAGTTGTCTTAATAAGGACATGTTCAAAAGAGTGTACTCTTTGTTGATGAATCCACAATCCAGTGTGACAAGGACATCAACTGAGGTGCCCTAATTGACTTTTATTGCAGCTCAGTTTCAGAGTGGGAGAGGCAAATATTGGCCTAGACTCCAGCTTTTGAAAAGACAATGATGGGAAAGTAGACTGCATAAAGAGTGCCTCAGATTTAGAGAAGGTTCAGGCAAAATAGCTTAAGTCTACTGTTGAGTCTGATGGCCGATTAGTTCAACTGCTACAGGTTGAGAATTCGGCTGCTTATGCACTTAGATCGAACATCAACAAGTTCAACATTCATATTTTAACCTTGAAGCAAAAACATGAGTAAATATATTGCATGTACTCTAATATGATTTTCTGCCCTGACTGATATTTTACTGAATAAAATCAACCTATAATTGAACAACTTAAGTGATGTTGACAGAGGTGCTGAGTGCTTTTTCCTCTTGATCTAACAAAATAAAAACTAAAAGCTGTGCTAGTTCTTTTTTTTTTAAATTAAGACTACAGTCTTATCAGTCTTTAGAAGACCGAATAGAATGCACAGATGAATAGCTAATTAAGCTTTCCAGGAAACTTCTGAAGGAAGCAGAGAAAATATAGACTGTTACTTTTTGTAATTTTTTTTAAAAGTTTCAATTGTTTTTACCATGATACATTTTTTAAAAATGCATGGTCAACAAAATGTAAGTTGAGAAAACAAAGCCAATAGTTATTTTTGTTTGTTTGTTTTTTGTTTTTCTTTACTTATTGCCATTGTTCAGAGGGCATCGTTGAAGAGCTTCTGCAGGTACATCTCTGTATATGCTTGGAAAGACCCCATGTGGTCCTGTGCCTTGCTTAAGATGACAGTTCTAGCCATGTATGTTCTAAATTTGTAGGAAAAAAATTACTTTTCTTACAAGAGCTGAATTTAAATATTTTAAATATTCTTAGCCACCGGCATAACTGTAACCAGTATATGAGTAAATTTAGGCTTAAACAGCATTGAGTATAAAATAAGATTACATGTCCTTTAATAATCAAATTTTAATACGTTTGAGTTTTCACCCACTTAATGAACAGTGACTTCAGTCTTTTGTACAGGTCCCTCTCCAAATACATCCTAGAATCCCCCAGAGATTTGCATGTGGCAGTCCCTCAACCATTACTAACTTCCAGGGAGCAAGAAGTCAGACATGCACACAAACAGCTGTCGTTGAGGTTGTTCTAGTGCCCGATGGAAGAAGAGCTGTGCTGGTGGCCCCATGGTCCTACAGATACTTGATTCTGATAGAGTGGCTGCCCCCAGTGCTTTGCTTTCCACTCCCATTAATGCCACTGAGTTACTACTTTTCTGGCCCTAGTTTACCTTCCTTTCATTTCTCAGAGTAAAAATAACCAGTCAATGGAAGTTCTCTGGTAGAATAATTAACTATACCCCGTTTTTATGACCTTTGATAACACGGATAGTCATTTTACTCAAGGTAGAATCAAAATTCTAGGAAACCTTCCAGTATCAGGTTCATTCTGTCCTCTCTCTTGAATGACACTCTCCTTTACCTATCTTGGGCAGTTAATGAGTCAAGGCCTCAGTTCATGTTCTTTTCTCTTACGGTACATTCCTTTTTACTAACTTTCATTCCTGCCTGTGATCACACCTCAGGTGGACTGTTCACACTTGTTTGAATTTATCAGACATATTTGTATTGAGGGAGAGGAAGGAGTGGTGTCCCAATCTCTTTTATCCCAAAAGTCACCTAGAATTTTATTTAAACCAAGGTATGCATATGTCTAGAAGGGATGAGTTCTCCTTATTTCTAAGACTCAAATTCAAAGAGAGATGTTGAGGAAGAAATATTCAGAAACTACCCCCCATCAGTTGCATATAATTTCCAAGTTCTTTCAACACTTAGATGATCACTTACAAATCATTACCATTTATTGCATGCTCACTTTGTACAAAAAAACACTGCAGATTATCAGAGGTATCAAAATGTATGACAGTCTCTTTTCCTAGGAGGTTAATACTTTATGGAGATCAGCAATTTTCAAAACTGAGTTTCATGTTGAAGTGTTACTTTAAAGCATTTGCTTCATTTTTAATTTTACTTGTCTACTTAAACTATTTAAAAAACTGTAATAAAACTAACAAATTCAAATGTATTATATTCCATTTTTTCCCACCCTGGTGGGAGTTCATTAAATTGTCCTGCCAGATTAACTTGGTTTGGGGCAGACCTTGGCATAAAACTTTGTCTGCTATCTTAGGTCAAATAATTGAAATTTTTATAAATGTGTCATTGCTTAGAAAAATGTGGTTCCACATTCATCTTTTTAATTAGACCTCCAAATGTCTACGAAGATAGAATTGTATAAGCAATTATACTACACTCCTACAAGTGCCAGACAAGTCTAGCATCTGCCAGGATCATGGACTTAAGATATGATGTGTTGTTTATCATAATTTCATATTGTAAAATTTAGTATTTATCATAAATTGTGTTGTTTTTGTTTAACCTTCTATAAACTTAAGGTCTTGATATTTTTGTGCTTACAAATGTAGGAAAAATTTCAGGAAAAATACCCAGATATTTTTATTTTGGTTTTCACAAATAATTACAATAACTAGAATATTTGTATATTTTGGGTTAATATTTGACATGAATGCCTGATATATTTAAGTGTTTTCTATGATAATAAACAGTTCATAAGGTTATAAGCTATTAAGTACATTTTACCTAATGACAGTGCTTTAAATGGTTATACAATATAATCATTGGCACTCTCTAAAGAATTCCAGCATTCATTAGGTATCATTAGAAATTCAAGTCTGAAACACAGTTTCCAATATTTATCTTTCAGACATCTAGATAAGTTTTATTAAGGAGTATTCTGACATTGCAAGGAGAGTTATCAAGAAAACAAATCTCATTTGTAACTTTTTGTCAGTATATACTACATAATTCTCAATTCTGGATATACAAAACGAAATGTAGATTAAATTGTGTTCTTTAATTATAAAATGGCAGAGTTAAAATTTTGTATATAATATAATAGCTTCCTTGCTCTCTTTGGGTGACTATATAACAAAATTTTAAAACTTGAAGCAAAGGTACTAAAAAGTTTGAAAAACCAGTAACATAGTGGATAACTCACGAAGTTTTTGATGATTAGTAAAATATTTTACATTCAATTTTACTTGAATTTTTAAAAATAAATGGGATGGAGTCCAAATGTTGAAAAATTATAAAGGTAATTTATTTTCTAGGGAAAAAGCATAAAAAGAATGAATTATCAAGCTGAGCTTCCTTTACCTCCTGATATGGTTTGGGTTCTGTGTCCCTGCCCAAATCTCATGTCAAATTGTAATCCCCAGTGTTGGAGGAGGGGCCCAGTGGAAGGTAACTGGTGGGGCTCTTATGAATGGGTTAGCACCGTACCCCTCTTGGTACTTTATAGTGATAGACTTCTCATGAGATCTGGTTGTATAAAAGTGTGTGGCACCTCGCCCCATGTCTCTCTTCCTCTTGTTCCGGCAATGGGAAGTGCTTGCTCCCCCTTTGCCTTTTGCCATGATTATAAGCTTCCTGAGGCTTCCCCAGAAGCCAAGCAGACTTCAGCATCATTCTTCCTGTATAGCCTACAGAACTGTGAGTCAATTAAACCTCTTTTCTTTATAATTTACCCACCCTCAGGTATTTCTTTATAGCAATGCAAGAACAGTCTATTACACACCTCACCTTGATTCTTAGAAATTAGGAAACATTAAAGCCATGGGAGAAGGTAGGAAAAAAAATGCAATGTTATCTAGGGAAAGAGCACAAGAAAGGCAAACAGATAAAGGTGAGGTAATTACTAAAGACAAACGCTGAATGTTCATTTCATAGTAACAATTATTATATTCATGAAGTTTATTTAAAAACTTCTTATGAACACTTCAGTTCTAGGAAAATAGGATAAGCATATTTTTCTCTATTTCTCTCATTAAGTACAGTAAAATCCCTGTACTTAATATATAAAACAAACATAAAGAGACTCTAAAAGACAGACTGCCTAGGGACCTTGAGACCTGAGAAATAACACAGTGGTGAATTGCGAGTGTTTTCTTTTGGCCTCATATATCCAGACATGGAGTTAAAGAAAATGCAACCCAGAAATGCCAACTGGCATAGAGAAAACCAACCAACCACCACCACCAACAATAACAAACACCAAAGGCCGACTTTCTTTAGCCAAAGAAGCAGAAGATAGGAAGCCTAGTAAGATGGAAACCTTTTAGACAATAGCCACTGTACTCCAGGCAAGTATCATAGAAAAACTAAAAGCTGTAGTCTTACCACCATCCATGCTAGCAGAAGCCAAGTGGGAGATAGGACTTTCATCCCCGTTGGCTGGTAATGAGGTACCCTCACCCTCACAAGGTCAGTAGAGACAACACAGAAGCCTGGATTTCTACCTGTATCCAACAGAGATGAGATATCACTTTCTCTCTCCCAGTCGTCAGTGGAATCTGGCAGTGATCAGTGGAATCCTGGTAAAAAGTCAGAACTTGCGCAATATCAGCAGTAACAAGGCCACCTCTGCTGCAGTGTCGGTGGAGACAACATGGGAAAATGGAGTGCCCATCCAGCAGTAAAAAGTTGCTCCCTCTTCAAGTGTCAATAGAAACTGAATGACGAACTTGGACTTCTACTTTCATCTTGCAATAAAGTTGTAGTACCTTCCCTTCCCCTATTGTAGTGATGTCCAAAAGAGTCAACTAAAACAAAAGGTTTAAATACAAAAAAAAGGTTAAGCCTTCTTTAAATCTGAAAGAAGATTTATATAGAATCTCATAACATAATATGAAAATGCTCAGATTTTAATAAAAATTACTCACTGTAGCAAGAACCAGAAAGATGGCAAAAGGAATAGTAAAAGACAATCAATAGATTCTGTATTAGAGTTCTCCAGAGAAGCATTACCAATAAAACGTAGATATAGATAGAAATAGACATATAAGTGGAGATTAACTTTTGGAATTAATTCAAGTTTTTATGGAGGACAAGACATCACAAGATATACTCCCTGCAGGATGGAGAACCAGTAAAGTTGGAGGAATAATTTGGTCTGAGTCCTAAGGCCTGAGAACCAGGGGAGCCAATGGTTTAACTCAAAGTATAAGGCCAAAGGCCTAAGAACTAGGGAGAAAGGGTGACTGTAGTATGTCTTAGAGTCTAAAGATCTGAGAATCAGGAGCTCTAATGTCCAAGGAAAGGAGAAGACAAATTTCTCAGTTAAAGAAGAGAAAGAGAGAATTTGCCCTTTCTACACATTTTTGTTCTATTTGGAACCTCAGTAAATTAGATGATGACCGCCCCCCAACCATATTGTTGAGGGCAGACCCTCTTTAGTCAGCATAGTATTTCAAATGCTAATCTCTTCCAGGCACACTCACAGACACACACAGTGACATCTACAAGTTGACATAAAATTAACTATCACAAATGGCCAACATCAAAATGATAGAAATATTAGAATTATCTGACAAAGACTTTAAAGAAACCATCATTAAAATGCTAGAATAGGTGATTACAACACATTTGGAAAAAAATAAATAAAGACGATTTAAAAGCCTCAGCCAAAAAAAAGAAAAAAGATGAAAAGAAGCACCAGATGGATATTTTAGACTTTATAAATACAATTATTGGAGAAAAAGTTCAATAAATGGGCATTCATGAAAAAAATAGAAGAACTGGAAGATAGAAAAATAGAAAATAATCAATGAGGAACATAGACAACAAAACAAAACAAACAAGTGAAAACCAGAGTCTTAGAGACTTGTGGAACTATAATGAAAGACTTAACATTTGTGTCATCAAGTCCAGGAAAGAGAGGATAAAGAAAGCAGAGCTGAAATAGTACATGAGGAAATAATGGCTGAAAACTTCCCAAATTTGGCAAGAAACATAAACCTAGAGATTTAGAAAGCTGAGCAATTCCCAAGCATGATAAAACCAAAGAAATGCAGGCACATCATAATTATGCAATTAAGATGAATCATAAATTATACTTCTGATAATTAAGACTAAGAAAAATTTTGAAAACAGAGAAAAATGATACTTTATCTGTAGGGAGGAAATGATACAAAGGAATGTGAATTTCTCATCAAAATCTATGGAGGTCAGGAGAAAGTGGTACAATATTTTTCAAATGCTGAAAGAAAAAAAATCAATGTGGAATTCTAAACTTAGAGAAAAGCAAATCCTTCAAAAATGAAGATAAAATCAAGACATTTTCAGAAGAAAAAAATGTAAAGAAAGTGTTCTCAGAAGATCCACCCTGAAATAATGGCTAAAAGAAATTCTCTGAATAAAAACAATACGAAAAAAAGAAGAAACCTTGAAACATCAAGAAGAAAGACATAATTCAGCAAGCAAATGTATAGATTTTCTTTTTTCTTAAGCTTTCTAAATTATGTTTGATGGTTGATGCAAATATTATAGCACAGTCTGATGTTCTAAATATATGTGCATATTTAAAATAATATGAATCATATTATAAATTAACATAATATATAAATATATTTCAAATATTCAAATAAAATTATAAATGATATAATGTAAGAAGTCATAAAAGAAAATATGCTTTCTATGTCACTTGAACTGATAAACTAATGATGACAGTGGAATGTGATGTTATTTATACATACTGTAATACATATAGCAAACATTAAAAATAAGTATTTTTGTGTTTTATGTATGCTCAAAGACATTCCATATCAATAAAAATAGAACTCTAAAAAAATTCAAGTAAACTTTAAACCTCAGAAAGGCAAGCAAAATAAAATACAGAAACAAAAAACAGAACAAACAAAAAAAATAGCAGGTTTAGCTCAAATATATCAACAACTACATTATACATAAGTGTTTTAAATACCCCAATTAAAATATTGAGATTGGCAGAATGGATTTAAGAATATTATCTAACTATATGCGGTCCACAGGAAACTTGCTTCACATAAAATGATATAACAGGTAGAAGTAAAAAAAAAAAAAAAAGAAACAATGTTAATCAAAGGAAAGATGTATTATCTATAGTAATATTAGATAAATTAGACTCTAGAGCATAGAAACTTACCAGAGAGGGAGAAGGAGAAAGAGAGAGAGATTCTGTAATAATAAAAATGTCAATTCATCAAGAAGACATGACATTTCTAAATGTGCAAAAAGCAGATGCAAAACATATGAAGCAAAAATAGATGACCTAAAAGGAGAAGTTAACCTCACAATTGTATTTGTAGAGTTAAATATGACCCTTTCACCAATTAGTAAACCAACTAGACAGAAAATCAAAAAGCATATAAATCAATTCAACACCATCAACCAACAGGATCTAATTGACAGCTATAGACTACTACACCCTTCAACAGTAGAATACATATTCACTTCAAGTAACCAAAGGAAGTATACCACAATGGACAATATTTCAGGCCATAAACCAAACCCAATATATTCAAAATAATTGAAAAACTACAGAGCATATTATCCAATCACAATGGAATGAACTCAGCAATCAACAACAGAAAGAATAGGAAACTCTCAGCACTTGGAAACTAAACACTTTTAAATATTCCATGAGTGAAAAAAAAAAAGTTCTCAAGAGAAATAAAAAGTAAGGCGGGGCATGGTGGCTCACGCCTGTAATCCCAGTACTTTGGGAGGTCAAGGTGGGAGGATCACTACAGGTCGGGAATTTGAGACCAGCCTGGACAACATGGTGAAACCTGTCTCTACTAAAAATACAAAAATTAGTCAGGTGTGGTGGTGCATGCCTGTAATCCCAGCTACTCTGGAGGCTGAGGCAGGAGAATCGCTTGAACCTGGGAGGCGAAGGTTACAGTGAGCCGGGATTGCACCACTACACTCCAGCCTGGGTGACATCACGAGACTCTCTCTCTCAAAAAAATAAATAAATATATATATATATACATATTTAATGAATGATATATATATAATATATATATTTAATGAGTGAAATATATATAAATGAAATATATATGTATTTAATGAATGAAAATATAGCATATTAAAATTTGTGGAACACAGGTACAACAGTGTGGAGTAAGAAATTTATAGGACTGAATCCTGTAGTGGAAAAAATGAAAAGTATCAAATCAATAATCTAAGATCCCACCTGAAGAAAATAAAAAAGAAAGGGATAAATTAAGCCCAAAGTAAGCAGAATAAAGGAAATAATAAAGATGAAAGGAGAAATGTAGTGTTATTCATTGTGTTCGCTCACTATCCTGGAGCTTCTGTACTGATATCTCTTTTGTATTCGTATTATAAGTAATTTGTGTCTTCTTTTTTTTTTGCCACTCTTGCTAAAGTTTTGTCAATATTATTGATCTTTTTAATTAACTAAATCTCTTTTCATTGATTTCTCTATTGTTTTTCTCTTTTGACAAGAAAACACTGAAAAACAGACTTTTTGATTATCAAAATAATAACAATGTTGCTCTAGGTCTCATACATTATACACAAATTAATTCAGAATTGTTATTGAGCTACAGGTAAAATATTATACATTTGGGTGAGGTGCACTTTTTCACTGGGTTGCTTGTTTTCTTGTGGTTAAAATGTTAAGGGATTTTTGCATATGATACAAGTACTTTATAGATATTTGCTTGCAAATATATTCTCCAGTCTATGAAAGTGTCTTTCACAGAGCAGAGTTTCTAATTTATTTTTTTATTTTTTTATTTATTATTATTATTATACTTTAAGTTTTAGGGTACATGTGCACAATGTGCAGGTTAGTTACATTTGTATACATGTGCCATGCTGGTGTGCTGCACCCATTAACTCGTCATTTAGCATTAGGTATATCTCCTAATGCTATCCCTCCCGCCTCCCCCGACCCCACAACAGTCCCCAGAGTGTGTCCTTCCTGTGTCCATGTGTTCTCACTGTTCAATTCCCATCTATGAGTGAGAACATGCAGTGTTTGGTTTTTTGTCCTTGAGATAGTTTACTGAGAATGATGATTTCCAATTTCATCCATGTCCCTACAAAGGACATGAACTCATCATTTTTTATGGCTGTATAGTATTCCATGGTGTATATGTGCCACATTTTCTTAATCTAGTCTATCATTGTTGGACATTTGGGTTGGTTCCAAGTCTTTGCTATTGTGAATAGTGCCACAATAAACATACGTGTGCATGTGTCTTTATAGCAGCATGATTTATAGTCCTTTGGGTATATACCCAGTAATGGGATGGCTGGGTCAAATGGTATTTCTAGTTCTAGATCCCTGAGGAATCGCCACACTGACTTCCACAATGGTTGAACTAGTTTACAGTCCCACCAACAGTGTAAAAGTGTTCCTATTTCTCCACATCCTCTCCAGCACCTGTTGTTTCCTGACGTTTTAATGATCGCCATTCTAACTGGTGTGAGATGGTATCTCATTGTGGTTTTGATTTGCATTTCTCTGACGGCCAGTGATGATGAGCATTTTTTCATGTGTCTTTTGGCTGCATAAATGTCTTCTTTTGAGAAGTGTCTGTTCATATCCTTTGCCCACTTTTTGATGGGGTTGTTTGTTTTTTTCTTGTAAATTTGTTTGAGTTCATTGTAGATTCTGGATATTAGCCCTTTGTCAGATGAGTAGGTTGCAAAAATTTTCTCCCATTTTGTAGGTTGCCTGTTCACTCTGATGGTAGTTTGTTTTGCTGTGCAGAAGCTCTTTAGTTTAATTAGATCCCATTTGTCAATTTTGTCTTTTGTTGCCATTGCTTTTGGTGTTTTAGACATGAAGTCCTTGCCCATGCCTATGTCCTGAATGGTAATGCCTAGGTTTTCTACTAGGGTTTTTATGGTTTTACATCTAACATTTAAGTCTTTAATCCATCTTGAATTAATTTTTGTATAAGGTTTAAGGAAGGGATCCAGTTATCAGTTTTTTTTTCTTTCATGGATTATGCTTTTGGTATTACTTCAAAAACTTACCAATAACTTAAGGACACCTAGACTTTCTCCTGTGTTATCTGCCGAAAGTTGTAGAGTTTTGCATTTTACATTTCTATTTATAATCCATTATGACTTAATCACTGCAAAAAGTATAATAAGGTCTGTGTTTAGATTTAATTTTTGTTTGCATATGAACATCCAATTGTTCCAGTAACATTTGTTGAAAGGATATCTTTTAACAATTGAATTGCATTTGTTCATTTATCATACCACATAACTTTGTCTGTTTGGGCCTATTTCTGGGCTCTCTATTCTGTTCCATTGATCTATTTTTCTATTCTTTCACCAAAACCATGCTGTCTTGCTTGGTGTCACTTTATAGTAAGGCTTGAACATGGATGTGTCAGTTCTCCAAATTTTCTCTTTGTCTTTTTCATTATTATGTTGGCTATCCTGGGTCTTTGACTTTCCATGCAATGTTAGCATGAGGTTGTTAACGTCCTCAATATAACTTTCTGGGATTTTGCTTTTGATAGCATTGAATCTGTAGATCAAGTAGGAAAGAATTGAAATGCAGCAATGTTGAGGATTTCTGTTCATAACATGGCATATTTCTTCATTTATTTAGATATTCTTTAATTTCTTTCATCAGTTTTGTAGGCTCTCTCATTTAGATCTTGTGCATATTTTGCTAGACTTATACCCAATGATTTAATTTGTAGGGGTACTAATGTAAATGTTGTTTTACTATATTTCAAATTTCAATTTTTCATTTCTGGTATATAGAAAAACAAGTAATTTTTTACATTAGCTTTGTATCCTGGAACTAATATTATATTATAATTGTTTATTAGTTCCAGGAGCGTTTATGCTTGTTTGGTTTGGTTTTGGTCAATTATGTAATCTTTTCTATATAAATCATATTGTCTGTGAACAAATTACATTTCATCCTTTCCAATCTGTATGCATTTCATATGTTTTTCTTGTCTTATTGCATTAACTAGCACTTCTGAGACGTTGTTGACCAGGAGTAGTGAGGAGGGCATCCTTGCCTTGTTCCTAATCTTGAGAGGAAAGCTTCTAGTTTCTCACTATTAAGTATGATGTTAGCTACAGGTTTTTTGTGTATATTCTTTTTCAAATTGAGGAAGATTAGTTTTTATCATGAATTGGTGTTTAATTTTGTCAAATGCTTTGTCTCATCACATTTTTCTTTTTTAATTGGTTGACTAGATGAATTACATTAATTATTATTATTATTATTTTTTGATGGAGTCTCACTCTGTTGCCAGGCTGGAGTACAGTTGCATGACCTTGGTTCACTGCAACCTCTGCCTCCTGGGTTCGAAGGATTCTCCTGCCTCAGCCTCCCTAGTAGCTGGGACTACAGGCGCGTGCCACCACACCCAGCTAGTTTTTGTATTTTTAGTAGAGATAGCATTTCACCATTTTGGCCAGGATGGTCTCGATCTCTTGACCTCGTGATCCACCCACCTCGGCCTCCCACAGTGCTAGGATTATAGGCATGAGCCACTGCACCCAGCCACATTAATTAATTTTTAAATTTGAGCTTGCCTTGCACAACTAGAATAAATCCCTTTTGATCATTGTAAATAATTATCTTTATATGTTGTGCATTTGACTTGTTTGTATTTTATTGAGAAATTTTGCCTGTATATTCATGGGAGATATTTGTCTGTAATATGTCTTTTATAATGATTTTATCCAGTTTTGATATTAAGGTAATGCTAATCATGGAATGAGTTAAAAAGTATTCCCTCTGTTTTTATTTTTCTGGAAGAGATAGTAGAGAAGTAGAGTCTTGGTATCATTTCTACCTTAATTATTTGGTAGAATTCATTAGTGAAACTATCTGAGCCTATTTGTTCCTTATTGCAAGCTTATTAATTATTGATTTATTTTATTTACTAGATATAGGACTGTTAGATTATCTGTTTCTCTGTGAGTTTTGACAGTTTGTGTCTTTCAAGGAAATAATTTATTTTATCTGTTATCAAATTGAGAGTTGTTAATACTGTTTGTTACACTTATTATACGTTTTATTTAAAACGTCCCCTCTTTTTCTGATTTCTCTTGTTTTGAGTATTTTATAATTCCATTTTCTCTCCTCTCTTAGCATATAATTATATTTCTTAAAAAAAAAAACCCTATAGTGTCCTAGAGTTTTTGATATACATTTAAAATTAACCTAAGTCCACTTCTCTAATAAAACTTTGTCACTTCAGGTATAGCATTTTCAGGTGCCTTATACCACAGTATTCCTGTTCTTTCATCCAATCCCTTGTAACATTGTTGCCATTCATTTCATTTATCCATATACTATAATCACCCGGTACATTGTTGGTATTATTAATTCGAACAAATTGGATAAATAAGAATGGAAAAGGTAGATTTTATTTTACCTTCTTTTTTTCTTTAATATTCTTCCTTTCCTTGTGTAGATATATTTCTCATCTGTGTATCATTTTTCTTCCTTCTGAAAGACTCTTTTTATCTTTCTTGCAAGGCAGATCTACAGGCAACAAATTCTCATTTTTTTGTCCAATAAATATTTATTTGTCATTCACTTTTAAAGAAAAAATTTATGTTACAGAATTCCAGATTGGGTACTTTATTTGTTTGTTTTCCTTTCAACTCTTTAAATGTTTTTCTCCCGTCTCTTTTTGCTAGTATTTTTTCCAGAAAGAAGTCCAAAGGAATCCATACCCTTCCTCCTTTATAGATAAGGCAGCTTCCCTTCCCCTACACAGATTCTTTCAAGATTTCAGTTTGCCTTTCATTTCCTGCAATTTAAATATGATATGTTTCTATGTAGATGTTTTGATATTTATCCTACTTGTCCTTAAGCTTCCTGATTCTGTGGTTTAGTGTCTGTCATTACTTTTGTAAAATTCTCAGCCGTTCTATTCTCTTTTGATAATTGCATTACGCTTATGTTCCATCTTTTTAGTTATCCCATGATTCTTGAATATTGCCTACTGTCTTTCTTAATTTCTTTTTCTCTTTGCTTTTTAGTTTAAAAAATTCTACTAATATATTTTCAGGTTCAATGATTTTTTCCTTTGTCATGTCCAGGCTACTGATGTACCTATCAAAGGCATTCTTCATTTGTGTTACAGGATTTTAAATTTCCAGTATTGCCTTTTGATATCGCCTTATAATTTTCAAATTTCTTTTTATATTACCTGTTTATTCTTGTGTGTTGCCCATTTTTTACATTAGTGCCCTGAACATATTAATTATAGTTTTTTGTTTGTTTAAATTCCCTCTTTGATCATTCCAAACTCCTTGTCATATCTGGGTTTGGTTCTGATTTTTGCTTTGTCTCTTCATCCTGTTTTTCTTGTCTTTAACATATAATATTGAAAGCTGGACATGATGTTTGAAGAAAAAGAAACTAAGATTGTTAGGCTTTTAGTGTAAAGTTTTATGTTAATCATTGTAGGAATTAGATTGTTTTTACTGTTTGGTTTTGCTTTCTCTAAGAACTCCTTCTTAATAAAATATTTCTTATGGCTTCTCAGTTACAAGCTGTTTTTATACTAGAGACCTGTTTTATATGTTGGGTAGGTGTTGGGAAGTTAAAATGTTCTATAAACTTATGATCTTATGATTATATCTCAGTTTCAGTGGGTCTGAGCCCCTAGCCTGTGACTCTCAAAAGCATTTACTAGACTTTATTTTTTTAATCCCCTCACGTGAGACTAGAAGTATAGAGGAAACTAGAGTTGTCTAATTGCCCTTCCCTTAGGTCAAACAAGACTCTAGTAAAGTAGTTTACCTTAGAGGACAGCCTTTTAATATGCTTTGGGTTTATTTCCAGATGGTTACTTTCTTCTACCTTGCCTGAGCTATTAGAATATTTTTCAGTGATATTCACCTTGAGTACCTGGTAGGGCTTCTGGAGTGGGGCCCTGCCTAATACTGTGCCCCCAGAAGTTTTCAAATCTCAAGCTGGTCCATATTCAGCAGACAGAAATTCATCAAAATTAACCATTTTAGCGTTCTTACCACTTAACCTGCTCCAGAGGGCTCTTCTTCAGGTAAGCTGATCTCAGCTGCAATTCTCTGTGTTTGCCTCTCCTTCTCTATTTTAGAGAAGCAGATTGCCCTGTGACCTCAATTCTCTTACGTATTTAAGAAAAGTCATCGATTTTCAGTTTGTTCAGCATTTTCCTTCTAAAGATGAGAGTAATGATTTCCAAGCTCTTAACAAGTTGGAGCTGAAACTGTAAGTCCTTAAATTGCTTTTTTCAGAGCAGTGTTTTTCCAGAAATTAATTTGTTTTCCAAAAACCTTTTCTGCATCTATGAAGATGATCATTATTCTCTTAATGAAGGGAATTATTGATTTATTTTTAAAATATTAAACCTTGAGTCAGTAGAATGAACCTCTCCTAGTAATAATGTAATGTTGGCTTGTTTTCTACATGATAAGCCAGATTTTCTAATAGTTTATTTAGATTTTTTCATTTATATTTCTGAGAGAGATAAGCCTCTGATTTCCTTTCTTGTAATGTACTTACCATATAATGGTATATCATGGTTTCATAAAATATTTTGTGACTTACTTCTTTTTCTGTTCCCTGAAAAAAAACTGGGTAAAATTGCTGTTATTTCTAACTTAATTGTTTAGAATAATTCATCTTGGCATGGAAGTTTCTTCAAAAAAATTGTTCTAATGAAAGATTCAATTTCTTTAAAAGATAAAGGAATACTCAGATTTATTATCATTATTATTATTGAGACAGGGTCACACTCCAATGCCCAGGCTGGGGTGCAGTGGCATAATCACAGGTCACTGCAGCCTTGACTTCCCAGGCTCAGGTGATTCTCACATCTCAGTCTCCTGAGTTGCCAGGACTACAGACACACACCACCACGCCTCGGCTAATTTTTGTATTTTTAGTAGAGACAGGGTTCCACCATGTTGCCCAGGCTGGGCTCGAACTCCTGGACTCAAGCAATCAGCCCACCTCAGACTCTAAAAGTGCTAGGATTAGAGGCATGAACTACTGCACCAAGCCAGTCAGATTTTTACTTATTGTACTCATTTTTATAAATTATGCTTTTAAAGAAAGTTTTTTTAATTTATTAACAATTTTAAGTTTACTAACATATTTTTGTTTATAATATTATTTTGACAATTTTCACTTTAGGATATAAAGTAACATTTTTTTCATTCTTGAGCTGGGAAACTTATCTTTCTGTTTTCCATTACTTAATCAATATCACTAAGGTTTTACAAATTGTATTAATCTCTTTATAGATTGACCAGCTTTAGACTTTTTATTTTATTGATATCTGCTTTTACTTTTATTATGTCTGTGATGATTGTTTGTTTGTGTCAATATGGCTGTGCCACGGGGCCCAGATATTTTTGTAAAACATTATTTTGTATGCTTCTGTGAAGCTATGCTTTGAATGCGATTAACATTTAAATTGGTGGACTTTGAGTAAAGCCAGTTACTTTCCATAATGTGAATAGACCTTATTCAATCAACCGAAGGCCTAGGTTGAACGCAGACTGACTTCCCATGAGCAAGGAGAAATTTTGTCAGCAGAGTGACTTTGGACTCTTTTCGGGGGTTCCAGCCTGCAAGCGACCCTGCAGATTTTACACTTGTACTCCACAATCCGCAACCTCCCTCTATGCCTCTCTCCCAGCTCTTCTTACCTGAAGAACCCTGCCTAAGATAATATCCTTCCTTTTACTTTCTTTTAGTTTATTTTACAGTTCCTTTTCTACCTACTTGAGATGTTAAAACATTCATTTTCATTGTTTCTTCTTTTTCTAATATGTGAGTGTAAATTATCCTAAAATAACTGTTAGCTGCATTTACATGTCTTATATGTCATATCTTGATTGTTACTTAGTTTAACATATGTCCTTTTTTCTATTGTGATATTTAAATTGTGAGTTATGTAGCAGTATATTAATTTTTAAATATTTGAACATTTTCTAGTTAGCTTTTAAAAAATTGTGTTGCTAAATTCTGCTCACATTTTAAGCTGTGTTATTAGATGTGTACATATATAGAATTGTTATATCTTTCTCTTAAATTTTTATTTAATTATGTAGTGACCCTCTAAACTCTATGCATTCCACAATAAAGTATATTTTATCTTACTAATATAGCTATACCAAATTCATTTTGTTCAATATTTGCTTGGTATATATTTTTCTACTATGGACATAGTAGATATACTATGGACAAGTAGTAGATATACCATAATTTCCAGCATATCTATAAAAAGAAGTTGCATCTCTTGAAAGCAGCATGTAGTCATAGTAATTGCTGTTCTTTAAGTCAGACCATTTTACATTTTAATTATGACCTTCAGTTGGATTTATACCTACCATTTATCATTTGTTATTTGACCCACATATTTTATATTTCCTTTTTCTCTTCTTTGATGCTTTCTTTTGGGTTAAAAACTATTTACTATTGCTCTATTTTCTCCCCAGTGAGCTAGCTAGACATATTTAATATTATTTCATGAGTGTTTATTCTAGGGCTTATCATATGAATCACTTATTCATTAGTGTTTAATATATATTAGTGCCATAACCAATTATTGGGCAATTCAAATATCTTAAAAAGCTTTAACACTAGTTATCCCTCTTTTGCCTTCATTTTTATTTTCTTTAATTATCCATATATTTTAGACTACACCGAGTATCATTGTTATTGTTTCGTTCGGTGAAATTTTCATTAGATTCATTCACCTATTTTCACTCTTTCATACTCATTTTTCTTATTTTATTTACATGCTTTCTGCTGTATCATTTTCCTCATTCCTGATGATCTTGATATAGTATTTATCTTATGAAAGGTATACTAGCTTTTCATGAATGTTTATTTACCTAGAAGCATCTTTATTTTACTTCAATTTTAAAGGATAACTTTACTGGGTATAGAACTCTAGGTTGACAGTTATTTTTCTTCAGTATATTAATAATATCATTCCTTTATCTTCCTGCACCCTTCGTTTCTACTAAGAAGTGGACAACTCTCAGTCATACTGTTGCCCTTTAAATGTAGTATGCTTACCACCATAACTACTCTCAGCCTCTTTTAACACTTTTAATTTCTGCTTTGAGTTTTTTGGCAGTTTTAATTATACATGCTCAGGTGAGGTTTTATTAATATTGACTCTGTTTAAAGGTTGCTATGATCTGAATGTTGGTGTCCCCCCAAAATTATTTGTATGTTGAAACCTAACTCCCAGAAATTTGGTATTAAGAGGTAAGGCCTTTGGAAGGTGATTAGGAAATGAGGGCTCTGTCCTTATGAAAGGTATCAGTGTCTTTATAAGGGAAGTTAGGGAATTTGCCAAATCTTTGCCTTTTTTCCACATGAAGACATGACAATACAACACCATCTATGAAGCATAGCACCCTCACCAGATTCTAAATTTGCTGGTGCTTTGATCTTTGACTTCTCTGCCTCCAGAACTTTGAGAAATACTTTATTTGTTGATTATAAATAACCCAGTCTAAGATATTTTCTTATAAGAGCCTTAACTAATGGAACAGTCATAAAACTTAATCCTATGGCTTGATTCCCTTCGCCAGCTTTTTAAAATTTTTAATCATTGTCTCTTCAAATAATGCTATCCTCTTTAGCATTTAGCAGGGGAAAACCTGCACATAGTCCTAGGATCACTTCTTTGCATATATCCTCTCCCTGGGAGTCTGTGCTCTCATATCCCAGATGTTCTTGCCCTAATCCTGAATACCTGTAAGTAAATCACATTACATGGCAAAAATGTATATGTTGCATTTTAGTGCCCTGTAGGAACATTATACTACCTTATATTCTGGAGCTGTAATTGTATACATTAGAAAATTACACTATATCATACATTTTTTATTTCTTTTTCTCTTATTTTTATAATTTTCTCTTTTCTCCATTATTCGTCATTTTTGTATTCATGCTTTAGTCTGAATATTTTCTATGGCTTCTGGTTCACTAATTTTCTCTTCAGCTAGTTCCAATTTGTAATTAAATGTATTTATGAGTTCTTAATCTAATCAGTTATATTTTCAGATATAGACTGTCCATTTAATCTGTTTTAATCAACTCTAGTTATATAATTTAAAATTATCCATCTAATTTTCTTGAGCAAATTCATGGTAATTTTTTTTCTTCTTAAGTTTACATCTTCATAATTCCAACACCTGAATTATATGTGGCTTGTTACCATGGCCTGTTTTATCTTGATAAGGTTTTTTGTTACAACTGGTAATTTTTTCTTGGAGACTACATATTATGTTTGGATGGATTTAAGAGGCTTTGGATGATGCTGTTCTCCAGAGTGTGTCCTCTATCCTCTGGAAAACACATTGATTGGGAGCAAATCATCTCAATGCAACCATGGATTGAGCTGACTAAACCAGACTATGGTCTTTGTAACTTTTTATCTACTTTTGTTTTAATCCCAAGCCTAAGGTGTAGACCCTAGAGGTTCTACCTTAAAACCCAGAATATTTACCACTGCCTCTCTTCCTCTAATTTTTATCTTTATAGTTCTGAAAAACTATAAAAAGTCTCCTAACTCTTCAGTTACTTGTTTAAACTTTCATTTCAAGAATAGCAATACATCTAGGGAAAAACCTGCAAATAGTGCTAGGATCACTTCTTGGTATGTATCTTCTCCCTAGGAGTCTGTCCTCTTATATACCTCAGATATTCTTGCCCTCATCCCCAGAACCTGTACATAAATCATATTACATAGCAAAAATTTACATGTTGCATTTATAGTGTAATGCCTTGTAGGAATTATACTGCCTACCACATAGAGGTACAGAGATCAACTTCTGGAAAGATGAGGACCTCCGTATAATTGCTCTCCCTCTAAAGCAATGAAAATGCAGACCAAACTACTAAAAGTGTATAATTTCAGAACTTTGGCAAAAAACAAAGGCCACTGAAAGAACTGAAAATCATCTATCTAAGAGAAACTACCAAAACTTGATGACACAGTGGGGTGTGTGAAGTTTGAAGTTGGAGCTGTATGCGTCCCCCATCTCTTCCCAGCTCTGTCATTTGGGAACCACCCAAAGGCCAGCAGCACTGTGGACAATAGAGAAAGCTGATTGCTTTTGGCGTTTCTTTTAAAGCACAGTCCTCAGAACACAGCCAATATATTGTCAGACTTGGAAGTTCCCTGGGAAATGCGTGTGGTGGTTATCTCATTTGACTCAAAGCACAGCTCAGGTGGTGGTAGAGAGTTTATCCTCAGGGCATGGCAGAGTACTGACAACATCTCAAGTCCCCACAGTTGTGATTTCAGTTGGGGCAACTGAGAGCTTGCCTGGGAACTTTGAATAGAAATCCTAGAGACATAAACATGCATAGGGGACTTTAAAAATTATAGCATATTTCTAGAGATCGAACAATGTTAAAACTCCAGCATATTCCTAGAAATATAAATGTCTGCCCAAGACTTTTTGCATGCCCAGGAAACAGAGAAGACCTGGGAAAGGAGAAAACAACCGTCACTCACCTCTCACTTACCTTGAAGCCATGTGCAAGAAAAAAGCAAAAGCTAAGTGAGAGCAAACTTCTCTTGGAAGTTTCAAATTGTGTCTTTGCATACAGGTCCATTTGAAAAAAGGAAGAAGACATATAGACAAGACTTCAAGGAAATCTTATGAACAATCATTGTTTGGTTGACCTAGGTATGAGTCCTCAGAGGCCAGGCTTAAAAATAAAAACAAAAAAAATAAATAAAATAACAATAAAGCTTACAGAGAATCAGTGGCCTTATGATTACTTGTGTCCTTGAAATAATCAGCAAAGCTAAATGCTAGATAAGATCTCTCATTTTTGTGAATCTGATTTGGCAGTTCAATCCTTTGTGCTAACAGATGAGAAGGTCCTGAGATGTGGAAAAACCTAAGTAGATTTGGGAAAATGCTTAATGTAGTTAGAACTAAAAATTGAAGATAGGAGCAGCCTAAGATGAATCAAGAGAATAAAGGAGGGGTCACACATAATGAGTCTTAATGCAATAATAAAATGTTTGAACTTTATCCTAAAGGCTAAGAACTCATTAAAGTGATTAAAAGAATGATTAAAAATCATGTGGTTTTTCTTTGTTAAAAAGAATCTCATTGTTTATTGTAAGAATATACTAGATGCATATATGAGACAGGAATATGAGTTAAGACATTGTTGCAGCAAATCATGTTGTTGCAGTCAATGAAGGAAATAAATGTGAAAGACCTTACTAGGTTGGCAGTGATAGAACTTTTTAAAATGAATTTGAGAGCCTATAAGTGATATAATTGAAAAGAATTGATAAGTTGTTAGATAAAGTAGATGAAGGGAGAAGACTCTTTGTGCAGTGTATTAGGCAACTTAGTGAATAGTGATGCTATTTTCTAACACAGAGAACATGGGAGAAGCTGCAGGTCTGGTGACATGTGAAAGGCAGTAAGTTGAAGTTTGGAAATGTTGAGTTTGAGCTGCATGTATGACAAGTACATGGAAATGTATCTTGGGAGGGTAAGGTCATGATGAATTTGGAGTCTGGATGTTCGTTGGACTGAAGACAACAGCCAAAGTCATGGCACTGAATATAATCAACCAGGAAGAATGCATATAGTTAAGTGGTGGGATTGAGGGGTAGTCAGGGGATAGAAACCTGGGGAGTACAGAGGAAAAACAATGGGATAACTGATGTCAGAAAAGCCAAGAAATTAGAGAATTTTAAGGGAATGGTGGTAAACTGTCAATTACTCCATAGACCTCAAATATCTTAAAGACTAAAAACAATCTCACTTCCTCGACAATAAAAATGTAATTGATGGCTTTTAAAAAGTTGCTTCAAAGAAGTTGTGGGAAGAGAAACTAGAATAGTGAGTGAAAACATAGAAAGAAAGGGGTAAAATTTATATCATAAGAAGGAAACTCAGAACAAATAAAGTTTTTTTGTTTATTTGAAGATAGAAGACAATACCATGAGTTTTAAAATGCATTTTAAAAATGTGGACAATTACATAATCAATTTTCTTGAAGAACTAAGAAGGGATGGATCCAAGAGAATAGGGATAGATTAGCCTCAGATAGAGATCTATAATTAGATATGAGGAAAGAGAATGAGGAAGCATTTCTTGTAGATATGGCTGCTTTGGTGGATAAGGTATGAGTATTATGTCCCTTTTGGTTTCTATGTTGTCTGTGAAGTAGAAAATCAGCACATTTGTCAAGAGTGAGGAAAGAGGTGTTGACATTGGTGGCTTTGTTATTATAATGAAGGTGGGATATATTCATTGTGCAGAATGGGAGAGAACTGGATATGAAGGCTGTGTTGAAGGTCCATTGAGTAGGGAGACCAAATAATCATACACATTCTACATTTGAATATTTCTCTCTGGAAATGTTCAGCAACCCAAGACAAAGGAAGAAAGATATATACTCAGGGTCAATTTCAAATTCTAACTATATAGGTGATATGGTTTGAATATTTGTCCCCTCCAAAACTCATATTGAAACTGAATCCCCAATATGTCAATATTGACAGGTAGGGTCTTTAAGAAGAGATTGGATCATGAGGGATCTGCCCATACGTATGGATTAATCCATTCATGAATTGATGGACTAATGGTTAATGGATGAATTATCATGGGAATGGCAGTTATCATGGGAATGGGACTGATGGTTTTATAAAGAGAAGAGAGACCTGAGCTAGCATGTTCAGCCCCCTCACCATGTGATGTCTTGTGCCACCTTGGGACTCTGCAGAGGCTCTCACTAGATGTTGCCCCTTGACCTTGGACTTCTCAGCCTTCATAACTGTAAAACTAAACTTATTTTCTTTATAAATTACCCAGTTTCAGGTGTTCTGTTATGAGCAATAGAAAACAAACCAAGACAATAGTGAAGTATTGATCCCCATACCCCTCCCTGCAATCTAGAATGTAGTGACAGTTTAATGAAGGCAGAGGCATTATATGTTATATTTTGCATTTGTATACCTATCACCTAGCATAAAGCCTTGTAGATTCGAGGAATAAAAGAAAAAAAAAAGGAAGGCATGGCCTTTTGGGACACTCAATTATACTCATTCTAGCCCTTATTTTTGCCACAAACCCCTAGTAAATCGTTTCAGTACATGCTTATTTTCATGTCCTATACTTGAGAAGATACTTGAGAATGTTCACTACTTTTTGCATACCTGATAATGTATACATTTACATTATATTAATTCACAATTACATAATTTGAACTTGTGATCAATGTTAGCATATTGAGTACCATGCAGGATATTTTCTGCATCAAGTAACAGAATATTGAGCCAACCATGATTTTAAAAGTAAGGATATGTATCTCACATGATAACATGTCTGGAGATAAATTATGTCAAAGTTGGTGTACCAAAGATCTATAGATTCAGGCTCCTTTTCGTTCCTCGGCTCCTGTATCATCCTAGGCTTAGTGGCTTTCTGTTCTCTGACTTGTTGCTTTATGGTAGCAAGATAAATTTTACAGCTCAAAGCACCATGTACTAAGATAACAATGTCCAAAAATAAGTCAAAGTTTCTATCTCCCACCATTTCTTTCTGAGGAACAAAAATCTTCCCTAAACTGTAGTAGACTTTCCCAGAGGTCCCATTGGCCAGAGTTGGATGACATTTTTGCTAAAATGGAGGCTAAGAAATCAGATATCTGGCATTGTTGGCCTCCGTTATGGGAGACCACTTTGTAATAAGGAAGAGGGATCAGGAAAAGATGGCTATGAAGGCAGCCTGGAGATCTTATGCCCCATACTCAATACACATCTCCTGGAAGTTAACACCCTCAGCAACCTCAGAATCATGGATAGCAGTTTGGTCCTGCCTTCTACCATATGAGGCCAATGTTCCCTCCTTCTCAGCCTTCCTTTTGGTCTCTGGCTACCCCACAGCTTTTATTGGGATACCCAAAACCGTGAAGTAACCCAAGTTCTAAGATTACACCTCACTCTACCAGAGTCTTCTCAAACAAAATTTGCATTCCAGGAGGTGTTTAGCCAACTGAGATAACTAACCCATGCTTAAAAATGCAAGAGATAAAGGCTTGACTTTCTTCCAAGGACACTTTTTCAATTTGAAAGAGAAGTTTTTTTCATCCAATTATTGTATAATTAGGTTAAGTTTGGATAAGGAATTTTGAACGTGGAGCATTAGAGCTAGAGTGTATTGGGGGTGTTTGTCTCCCTTTGGGGCCTAATTGTCTGTTACTAATGTTTTATGAGAGGTTGAGTAACAAGGAGGACTGTACCTACCTACTTCCCTCCTCTCTACTCTCTACCCCGTTATATGACACACTACCCCTTATATCACATGCATAAAGACACACAAACCTTTGGACAGCAGAGAATGCCTCCAGTGATGGAGGTTAAGCTATAGCACAGTTTTTAAGATTCTGTTAGTGGGATGCAGTGGCTCATGTCTGTAATCCCAGCACTTTGGGAGGCTGAGGCAGGTGGATCACTAGGTCAAGAGATCGAGACCAGCGTGGCTAACATGGTGAAACCCCGTCTCTACTAAAAATACAAAAATTAGCAGGGCGTTGTGGCGGGTGCCTGTAATCACAGCTACTCAGGAAGCTGAGGCAGGAGAATCGCTTGAACCCAGGAGGCAGAGGTTGCAGTGAGCAGAGATTGCACCACTGCACTCCAGCCTGGTGACAAAGTGACACTCCGTCTCAAAAAAAAAAAAAAAAAGGAGAAAAAAAAAGTCTGTCTTCTGGTACAATGAACGTATCTTCAATACACCTAGCATAGAGATAAATGTTAGACCCCTAGAAACTATGAGACCTTCTCCTGCAATGAAGCTGAAGGTTCACTGGGCCCTTCCCAGAGGTGTGTGGATTTCCATCAACTCCAGTTTGTTTCCTAAAAGAATAATTTTCTAATTCATCATTGTTTAAGGTCCAAAACAGCATTACCATCATTGTCATTTTTACTAAATACTGAATATATTTCTGTCTTCAGTTCCCATCTTTCAAAATATTGTATTTGGTTCTTCCTTAGGACAGGGCTGCAATGATCATAGGAATGAAAGGGCCAAAATATTTACACGAGAATGTGGTGAAGAACTACATACACTCTAGTATGAACGCTACTCAACTTATGATGAGGTTATGTCCCAATAAACCCATAGTACATTGAAAATATCTTAAATCAAAAATGCATTTAATAACCCTAACCTACCAAGCATCACAGCTTAGCCTAGTCTAACTTAAACATACTCAGAACACTTATATTAGCCTACATTTGGGCAAAATAATATAAAACAAAACCTATTTTATAATAAAGTGTTAAATATCTCATGCAATTTATTGAATACTGTAATGAAAGTGAAGAACAGAATAGTTGTATGGGTACCCAAAATATGGTTTCTAATGAATGTGTATTGCTTTCACACAATTGTATAGTCAAAAAATCGTAAGTTGAACCAATGTTAGTTAAATCAGGGACCTTTTTTTTGTACTGTCATCTTGCACGTATACTCTTGATAGGAAAACAAATAAACCATTTTTCTTTGTGCATCATCAAAATTTCCTTATTTTGTTTCTTTCTAAACACTATCTTTTCTGCAGTAGCTTCATGAACTTCAAGTTTAAAAACAATATGTAATAGAGCTGAAATCTTATAATTCCTTCCCTAGTCACACCTGCTCTGTGTTGTTTTGTCAAGCCCACCAATGAATTATCTTGATTGGACTGAAACAATATTTTACGTAGCGCAGGTCCTAAACACCCACACTCAGCAAAGTACCCTGAGCAGAGTAGGAGCTTACTCAGACAATTATCTGAAGTGGAAGAGGGTGATGACAGTGACACTACATTAACCTGACTGGAGATATTGGATAAAACACATATGCATAGCTCCCCAGTTCTGGCTGAATATCTTTCTAACCACCAGCCACTATGCCTTCAGGTGACTACCCAGCCAATCTGAGAAACAGTACTTAGAGCTAAGCGCAAGATGTGAAGATCTACTCTCAGATTAAGAAGCAATTACCTGCTCTATCTGCAAATGTGGGATCTAGAAAATATTTTTTTAAATCTTTATATGTTGTTTTTAATCAATGACTTTGTTTTACCTGAGATATGAAACTAATTCGCTTTGTGATTTAGTAAGGGGCAGATTAAAAAGCTCAGTCAGAAACACATTAATTCTCTCCCAGGTATAAAGCCATGGGAAGAAAACTGCTAAGATAGTGGACAAGTCTCTGAATTAGCTTCCTAAGGTTGCTGCAACAAGGTACCAAAAACTAGGTGGCTTAAATAACTGAAATGTATTGTCTCACAGTTCTGTAGGCTAGAAGTCCTAGATCAAGGTGTTAGCAGTCTTAGGTCCATGATAGGGTTAAGAGGGAGAATGTTCCAGGCGTCTCTCCTAGCTTCTGTTGGTTGCCGACAATCTTTGGTGTTCCTTTTTGCTAACAGATACATTATCCTGATCTCTGCCTTCATCTTCACTTGACATTTTCTCTCTGTGCCTGTCTGGCTTTGGGTCCAAAAATTTTCCTTTTTTGCAAGGATACCAGTTATATTAGGTTAGGGTCCAGACTAATAACCTCCTTTTTTTTTTTTTTTTTTTTTTTTTTTTGAGACGGTCTTACTCTGTTGCCCAGGCTGGAGTGCAGTGGTGCGATCTCGGCTCACTGCAACCTCCACCTCCCGGGTTCAAGCAATTCTCCTACCTCAACCTCCCAAATAGCTGGATTAATGCATGCACCACCACACCTGGCCAACTTTGTAATTTTAGTAGAGATGGGATTTCACCATGTTGGCCAGGGTGCTCTCAAACTCCTGGCCTCAAGTGACCCACCCTCCTCAGCCTCCCAAAGTGCTGAGATTACAGGGTGTGAGCCACCGCACCCGGCCGTTAACAACCTCCTTTTCACCTGATTACTTTCTATAAAAGCCCTATCACTAAAGAAAGGCACATTTGGAGGTACTGGGAGTTAGGGCTTAAACATATCTTTGGGGAGTGTGGAGAAACAATCCCACTCAAGACAGTCTCAGCAGAGTGTGCAGCATGCACACCATCATTTATCCCTAGAGAAGAAATTTTAACTGATTAGATTTTCTCTCAAAAAAAAATTTTCCCCAGCGACTTTAATGTTAATAATGTGCGTATATGGTTTTATTTCTTTGCACCATGTGAACAACTTTCCAAATACATTATTAGTCCAGGAAAATGGGATACTCCTTTTGGAATGAGGAGTCAACAAGAGAAAGAAAGGTTGGCTGATGAAGGGAAGTCCCATGCACATGCAGAGAGGACAGCTGGTGAGCACGGCCTCTTCAGTGAGAGATGCTGAAAAGGGTAAGAGGGTGGGCAGAGATTTCAAGGCTTGTTTCTTCAACGCTAAATGAACCTGGCAGCCCAACCCACAATTTGAGTGTGCAGCGCCCATGTAACTGGGTCATTGTCTGGAGCGGCTGTTGGCTATAACCCCAGGGAGTTTCTGAGCCTGGGGATTTTTACAAAAATAGCTGCCATGTATTGGGCTCTTACTGTGTATCAGGTACTATGCTAAGGCATTACCGTGTGTTACTACATCCTAGGCTTCTTAACAGACTTATGAGAAAGCAGATGAGAGAATGAGGCTCAGAGTGGCTACCTGTCTTTCCAGCACCAGTTAGTGACAGAACCCAAGTTGGAACCCCAGTTTTAGTCTTTGGCCATGTTACTGCCATTGGAGCCAAGGCTTGTTCCCTTTCCTCTCTCAGGCCTCACACTGGTCTATCCCTGTGAAGGAATGCATCACCAGACTGCTCCATCTGGACCGTCCAACTGGCAAACATGGTGCGTGTCAGGCAGGCACGGGACAGCTGAGCTCTGCTGCTGAGCACACTCCTATGGGACCTTCTGTGGGATTCAGCTGGGCGGCATGGCACAGACTAGTGGAGGACATGGGTACTCTTATCTTGGAGGAAAGAATCTCCATCTCTTCTCTTATCAACTCAACCCCAATATACTTTGAACCTTAGATCCGATTGCTGCTCCAGTGTGCCCCCTTTGGACAGCCTTGGCGAAGACGGCTCTTGTTTGATTTTCTCTCTTCCTTCAACTTCTGAATTTCTTATTTCTCCCCACCACCCCAGCCTCTTTTTTTCTCCTACAAAATATAAGCAGTCGGACTTCATTGGAGTGTAAAAGGATCATTAGTTATGTAAGTACAGTTTAGGGAATAAGATTTGTTAGTTAACTTCTGCTTTTCCTGAGTGGTTTGGTGATGGAACTTTCAGCATTTTTCAAAAGCTTCAGGAAAAGGTGCATAAATCACAGCGTGCAAATGTGTGTGTGTGTGTGTGTGTGTGTACATAGTTTAATAGAGATAAAGGTTATTTTATTATTTTCTAGATTAGACAACCCCCAGCATGTCTCCTGTGACACTTTAACCTTAAAGCCAGCACGGACATTTCTGTAGGCAAAAGTTAAAAAGTCAGCACACTTCTCTCTCACATCTGGACACACAGTCCATTTCATTTTATGGGAAAATGAGGTATTATTTAGAAAAAAATAAGTTTTTCTGTGACTTATCTATAACTTTTGAAGTGACCATTAATGTTAAATAAGGTAACTGTTTTCTTTAATCATAAATCACTTGAAGAAATTTTAACCAATTAGATTTTCTCTCGAAAAAAAATTGGAGAAGGTAGAGGAGAGGTAGATAGATACGGTGATATTCTGACTAACATGGCTTAAGTTCCATTTAGGTAGACTTTCTCACACTTCTCTGAAATAAAGTAACCTTAGGGAAAGAAGAACAATGTAAGACTCAGAGTGTTGAGGCTATGAACGAACACATAATGCTTCAGGCATTTGAAATATCTGAGTATGTTGGGTTTGAAATTCCAAGTCCTAACTCAAAGGTTTTGTACTAGAGATTTTTACCCTAAAACTACTACTCGTACACCAGGAATGACAAAATACAGCCAGGCTTTTTTTCCCCTCCATTTTATTGTAATATAATACATATTCAGAAAATATTCCTGCCACAAATATACAGCCAATGGAATGTTTACAAACGGAACCCATGTGCATTCAGTACCCAGCTCAAGAAACAAACCATTGCCCATACCTGGAAGCCCCTTCATTATCCTGTTTATTTTCTTCCTCTCTCCACTCACACTATGCTGAGATCAGCCTCTTAAACAAGATCAGCTGGGCCTCCACACCTTTATGTACCTTGAGATAAACAACAGAAATGGCAGCAGAGGAAGCAAGGAAAAGACATCATACATTCCCTCTTGAGCCTGGCTGTGTGGACAGACTCTCCAGTGGACAATGTAACGTGTGAGAGCAGCTCTCTGGGGCTTCTGACCCAATGGGCTGAGCAGGTGTGTTCCTCGTGGAATTTTGAGGTGAAATCAGCCTATAGAGCTCTGCACTTTGGAGGTAACTTGCTATTTTCCACCTTTCAACTGGGATTAGACAAACGTTTAAAATGGTAACCATAAACACACAAGGTCATTCTCAGCTGTTGAATCCGTAATTGGGGTTGGGGGGTGGGGTTGTTTTTCCTGAAATCTTTCCTTAGGACTTTCCCACTCATCTTCTCTGTTCTCTGAGCTCCTCTGTCTTAATATATGATATTTCTCTAACACTATGGATAATTTTCTCTTTGGGTATTATTTCAGCTGCAGACTTTAAAATGCCTAGCATTTGGCCGGGTGCGGTGGTTCATGCCTGTAGTCCCAGCACTTTGGGAGGCCAAGGCAGGTGGATCACCAGGTCAGGAGATCGAGACCACCCTGGCCAACATGGTGAAATCCCGTCTCTATAAAAATGTGAAAATTAGCTGGGTGTGGTGGCGCGTGCCTGTAATCCCAGCTACTCAGGAGACTGAGGCACAAGAATCACTTGAACCCAGGAGGTGGAGGTTGCAGTGAGCCGAGATCGCACCACTGCACTCCAACCTGGTGACAGAGAGAGACTCCATCTCAAAGAAAAAAAAAAAACGTCTAGCATTGGTAGATAATGCCATTCTCTGTGCATGTCTCAGGCAGTTTGCAAAGGTGAACTATGCTCCATGCTGTCCACAAGACAGAGAGGGAGTTAGTTACATTGGCTATGTCTTTTGACTAATAGAAATAAGTTTCACTTTATGATTTTCACACACAGCAATCCATATGCATGAATAATATGTTCAAAACATTTCTCAGTCAGAGGTGGAATTAATAAAAAGTGCTGTGGTTAGAAAAAGGTTAGTGATTTTGATCAGTGAAGAAGTTCCCCCAAATTCTTTCTCCCCTACACTAGGACAATCCATCAGAAACACGGCAACACTGCAGTACGAGTAAGGTATGCCTATTCTGACCCAACAAAAACATGAAGGAATAACCTATTTTGTACCTTTCACAAACTAGAGCAAAAAGTTATTCTTCAGTAAATACTGGCTTTGAAGTTGGCACAAATTTAAGACTAATTCAAGAACTAATACAGCCACGTACTAGACAAACTTGTCAAGTCATCCAGGACCTAAGAGTCTCATTTTTATCCTCATAGATGTGTGTGTGGCCTTCTCTACAAGCATGAGGACCAATAGAGATCTGATAGTCCCTTGTCATGGTGAAGTGTTGTACAAAAATAAATTACCATGGCTCTCTCCACATTGCCTGGGGCCCAAGAGAAGGACACACTTTTGGTTCATTGTTTTGCCTTAAGAGATCTGTTGGATTACTACACAGGGAGATGGAGGAATGTCTTGCTAGAATTATAAGCGACTTTTAAATTAAAAGATCATCACCAACCTATCAACTGTATGACCGGCACTCTGCCCTGTTTTTTCAGGACAATGTTGATCTGCCGATCCTTATGACAGCTGGCAATTTGATGGCTGGAGGCTGGTGTGAGGATGTTTTCTGTGGTAGTGGAAAAAAAAAAAACACAACTAACTGGCCCACAAAGAGAGAAAATCCTAAAGTGTGATTTCACAATTTAAAAACTAACTGAATTACGCAGACATTCTGGAATGCATGCCTCATTTCTATGGGACGTGCAAGGATCTCGCTTGCTCTGAATGTCTAATTTTGTAACTACATTAGTAGAATATATATTGCAATGATTTTTTTTATAGTGAAGGAAAACAAACATGGTTATCTACAAGCAAACACAGAACTCTGTCTCTGTAAAACCTGAATCTATCATCTTGAAATCTGTCACTCCTTAATCTTCATTTGATGTGAGCTACATGTAGATTGTTTAGCATCGTCGTTACTTGCACCTGGTTTGTAATCAGACATCCTGACTCTTCCATTTTCTCACCTTGGGATCTTAGGACTGTGAAATCACTCCCTATGTATACCAGTTTCTTCCTCCATATAATGTGTGCAATTATTCCTGCCTCATTGTGCTCTTGTGAGGATTAGATGAAATAATATATCTTAAGCACTTAGAACAGTGTTTAGCACATCCTAGGCACGCATTGAACTGAAGCTTTTATTATTATTCATATTGTGTTCACTTATGGAGACATACAGGAGTCAATCAATTCATTTTCATTTTCCAGCACTAACATTTCTTCTGCTTTTCTGGCAACACTGCCATCACAGATGTGCTCCTTATATACTAAATTGTGGGGGGGTGGCGGGGGCAGATTCCATGTGATCCAAATTATTTTGTGCCATTAAAGCACTTATGCTCTAAATGATGGGCAATCAAATCTCATGCTTCAGAGACTAGGTTGATCATTAAAGAGTCTCCATTCTTTCTAAATGTGGGTGCTTCACAGCAGATGGTGCTGTCAGTGATATAGTGTCCTTCCTACAATGAGTGAGGATGGCTTAATAGTGCCTTACCTTTGCAAAGCAATTTCCATGTCAGTAAAGAATGTGTGCTCTGAAGTCAAATTGCGTAGGTTAGAATTCCAGCTCCTTCATTTACTTGTTGTGTAACCTTGAGTAAGTTATTAAATCTCTATTCTCAGCTTCCCAGTAGTGAAATGGAAATAGTAACAGTTCTTACCCTAACATACTGTTGTGAGTTTTCAATGAGATAATGAGATGATGCCTATCAAGCTTTCAGCCTTGGCTGGTATTATAGCTTTACTACTAATTTTATTGTCAGTTATAATACTATTTATACATGTGTATATATATATGTGTGTGTATATATATGTATATATATAGTGTATATATATGTATATATATAGTGTATATATATGTATATATATAGTGTATATATGTATATATATGTGTATATATGTATATGTGTATATATATGTATATATGTGTGTATATATATATGTGTATATATATGTGTATATATATATTTGCCCTATTCATGGCATAAAAGACTACTGGAGTCTGATATTTTACATCAAAAGAGGATAATAACCCCATTGTCATTTCTAAGCAAACTTTAGCACGATCCCCACTTTAATCTTAAACTATCACAAAATTTGAAGAAAACAGTGAAGCTCTGTGATACCAGCAGAGCTCCATTCCATAACATGATGAAGCTTTCATGTGTTTATTAAGTGATAAGTCATAGCTACAGGCTATGGAATGTTGTCCTTGCTTCTAGTCCCTCTCAGCAGAGAGAACAAGGAAATATCTGTGGGCATACTGACTCACGTATGTATATAGACACAGATCTGCAACCATCTGTACCTCTACCGAGCTTGACATGAGTTCATAGAGATGTCTCCAGATCTAATTTGCTGCCGCATGTATCATTCAAGCCACCCGCACTTGCTTGTATGTAACCTCCCACTGCAACAGTGAGAAACTAGGCTCCCATCATCTGCCATCCGTTTAATTGTTCAATACAAATATGCAAGTATAGCACTATTATAATTGTTAACCTGTACTCCTGTGGGCACAGGTTAACGATTTTTCAACTAGAGTACAGTCTTACGTACGATCTCTGTTGTCTTTCGTCGTACAAATACCATTTATTTATTTATTTACTGTTTTTTTAATTTTTTTTTGAGAGGGAGTCTCGCTCTGTCGCCCAGGCTGGAGTGCAGTGGCGCGATCTCGGCTCACTGCAAGCTCCGCCTCCCGGGTTCACGCCATTCTCCTGCCTCAGCCTCCCAAGTAGCTGGGACTGCAGGCGCCCGCCACCTCGCCTGGCTAATTTTTTGTATTTTTAGTAGAGACGCGATTTGACTGTGTTAGCCAGGATGGTCTCTATCTCCTGACCTCGTGATCTGCCCGCCTCGGCCTCCCAAAGTGCTGGGATTACAGGCGTGAGCCACCGCGCTCCGCAATACCATTTATTTTTAGTCACATAAGTCAGTATTTTTAACCCTCATCTCCTTCAATGAGTTGTTCTGTATATTTGTAATACAATTAGATTGTTTTGT
This sequence comes from Homo sapiens, assembly GCF_000001405.40. Taxonomy (NCBI): domain Eukaryota; kingdom Metazoa; phylum Chordata; class Mammalia; order Primates; family Hominidae; genus Homo; species Homo sapiens. The sequence goes on from NC_000011.10 coordinate 127,999,396, forward strand.
CAAATTCGGCATTCTATCCTGAGACCTCCGACCTTTTAAATCAAGTTTTTAAAATGTGCATACACTGAGTGAGCCCTGTGCTGCAAAGTTCTATGATGCTGACAAATGCATAGTGTCACATAGCCACCATTCCAATAACTACAGAATAGTTTCACCTCCCTAAAAATAATTCCCGATGCTTCATCTATTCAACTGTGCATCTCCACTCTCCTGGTACCCATATTTTTCTTTATTTACTTATGTATTTATTTTAATGTTTCTTTAGTTTTGCCTTTTCCAAAATGTCATAGAATTAGAGTTTTACAGTAGGTAGCTTTTTCAGACTGGCTTCTTTCACTTATAAATATCCATTTAAGATTCATGCATTTGTTTTCATGGCCTGTTAGCTCATCTCTTTTTACCCTAAATAATAATATCCCATTGTGTAGACGTACCACGGTTTGTTTATTCATTCACCTATTGAAAAATAACTTGGTTGCCCTGTTTTCTTGTAGATTGTGAATAACGCTGCCATAAACAGTCTCATGCAGGTTTTTGTGTACACATAAGTTTTCAAATCAGTTGTGTAAATTTCTAGGCGTGTGATTGTTGGAGATTGTGGCAAGACTACGTTTACTTTTGAAATAAACTGCCATACCAGATTCTAAAGTTGTACCATTTGCATTCCCACCATTAATAAATGAGAGTTCCTGTTTCTCTATATTCTTGCCAGTAATTGGTATTATCAGGCTTTTTGCCCTGAATTTTAGCCATTTTAATAACATATGCTGGCATCTCATTGTTTTAATTTGCAATTCCCTAATGGCAAATAATGTTGTGCTTCTTTTTATATGCATATTTGTCACCTGTATATTTTCTTTCGGAAGTGCTAGTGAGACCTTTCTGGAATTTTTAATTGGTTTACTTTTTATTGAGTTTTAAAGAGAGTTATTAGTATATTTTGAATACAAGTCTTTTATCAAATATGTGTTTGGTTAATATTGTCCTCCAGTCTATGGTTTTCTTTTCATTTTTTTAGTAGCATCTTTTCTCCAGTAGAAGTTTTTAATTTTGATAAAAGCCAACTATCAATTTTATTCTTCCATGGATTACGGTCTTGGTGTTATATCTAAAAACTCATTGCCAAAACTAAGGTCACTTAAATTTTCTTCTGTTTATTTTTTTTTTCTAGAAGTTTTATAATTTTTATTTCACCTTTAGGTCTGAGATTTATTTTGAGTTCATTTTTTAACAAAAGGGGTAAAGTCTGTGCCTAGGTCAATTTTTTTTTTAACATGTGAATGCCTAATTGTCCCAGAACAGTTTGATGAAAGACTATCCTCTCTGCATTGAATTGCCCTTGTGCCTTTCTTGAAGATCAGTTGACTGTATTTATGTGAGTCTTTTTATGGGCTTTCTATTCTGTCCCATTAATCTACATGTCGTTGTTTCTCTAGTAAATACCACGCTGTCTTGATTAGTGTAGCTTTATAGTAAGTCTTGTAAATGGTTTATGTGAATCCTTCAACTTTGTTCTTCTTTAGTACCACGTTGGCTATTCTTGATCTCGTGACTTTGTACATAAATTTTATACTGAATCTATTGATATCCACAAATAGGCTGCTGGAATTTTGACTGGGATTTTGTTAAATATTAAGATAAAGTTGGAAAATATTGACATCTTTACACTGAGTCTTCCAATTCATGCGTATAAGCTGTCTCTCCATTTATTTAGAACTTCATTGATTGTTTCATGAGAGTTTTGTAATTTTCTATATATAAACCCTATAAATATATTGTTAGATTTATACGTAAGTGTTTTATGATTTTGGTTTTATTATAAATGGTACTTTAAAAAAATCAAATTCCAACTGTTAATTGCAGGTATATAGGAAATCAATTGACTTTTGTACATTAACCTTGCATTCTGCAACCTTACTATGCATATTTGTTAGATCCAGGAGTGTGACTACTTTGGTATTTTCTTCATAGGCAACCATATAAAATGTGAATAAGGATAATTTTGGTTCTTTCTTCCTAATTGGTAGATCTTTATTTTCATTTTCTTTTTTTGGTTTTATTGTATTAACTAGGAGTTTTAGTATGATAATGAATGTAGGTGGAGAGGTGTACATCCTTGCTTTGATCCTTGTCTTAGGGGAAAAGTGTTCATTTGATATGATGTTATCATTTTTCTTCTTTAGCTAGTTGATGTGTGGCTTACATTTATTCTTTTTCAAATGCTGAACCAGTCTTGTACACTTTGAATGAATTCCATTTGTTATGGCCTATATATAATTCTTTTTATACATTGTTGGATCTAATTTGCTAATATTTTGTTGAGAATTTTTGCATCTATATTAACTGACATTGGCATGTGGTTTTCTTTTCTGATAATGTCTTCATTCATTTTCATATTAGGGTAATACTGACCTCATATAATAAGTTAGGAAGTATTTTCTCTGCCTCTAACATGGCAGAGATTGTTGAGAATTGATATCATTTTTTGGTTAAACATTGTCAGAATTACCAGAGCTTTAGTTTTAGAATAATTTTGTTTTTTTCTATGTCAGAGAGTTATTAGTAATTGACTCAATATTTCTAGTGGCTATGGACCCATTTACATTACCTGTTTCTTCTTGTGTGAGTTTTGATACATTGAGTCATTCAAGAAATTGGTCCATTTAATCTAAATCATTAAATTTGTGTGCATAAAGTTGTTTCTAAAATTTCATTATTACCCTTGTAATACTTGCAGGATTAGTAGTGATGTCCCATCTTTCATTTCAGGTAGAGGTTGATCAATGTTATTGATATTTTGAAAGAATCAGCTTTGGGATTCATTGATTTTCTATATTGATTTCCTGTTTTCAATTTCATTATTTTTACTCTAGTTGTTATTATACCTATTCTTTATCTTGCTAAGGATTGAATTGCTCCTTCTCTAGTTTCATACTATTTGGATTTCTTCTAGTATGCATTTAAGACTATATATTTTCCTCTAAAAGCTGTTTTTTCTGCATTCCACAGATTTTGGTATGTTGCATTTTCATTTAGTACAAAATATCTTTAAATTGTTCTTGAGACTTCTTTGACCCATGCATAATTTTAAAGTATTTTTGTTAAATTTCCAAATATTTGTAGATTTCCCAGCTATCTTGCAGCTAACAATTTTTAGTTTAATTACATCGTGGTCTAAGAGCATATTTCCTATGATTTCTGTTTTTTAATATGTCACATCATATTTTATGATTTAGCCCAGAGTACGGTCTATCTAGATTAATGTTCTATGTGTACTTGAGAAGGTGTGGTTCCTATTATTTATGGAGATTTCTATAAATGTCAATTAGACCAAGTTGATTGATAGTGCTATTTAGGCCAACCATATTCTTACTGGTTTTCTGCTTGCTTATCTATCAGTTAATGGAATAAGAAATGTTGAAGTCTTCAACTATATAGTGGATTTGTCTATTTCTCCTGTCAATTCTATTTGTTTTTTTGTGGGATTTTTTTTTTGCTTCAAATATTTTAATGCTCTGTTTTTAAATACAAACATCGTAAAACTTTTAAGTTCATCTTCTTGGATAATTGACCCTTTATAAGTATAAAATGCCTCTCATTCTTGATAGTTTTTCTAGTTATGAAGTTGGCTTCATCTGAAATTAATATAACTATTCCAGATTTCTTTTGATTAGCGTTATCATTATGTGATTTTCTCCATCTCTTCACTTTTAACCTTAGTCTTTATATTGTCCATATGCTGTAATCTTCCAGTAAATTCTTACTAGTATCACTTTAAACAAACAATTGTCTTCAAATAAATTTAGAATAAGAAACATAAACTAATTTATTTTACCTTCATTTATTCTTTCTCTGAAAATCTTGCTTTCTTTATGTAGATCTGAGTTTTCATTCTGGGTTTCATTTTTATTCTCCCTGGAGAACTTTTTTATTTTTAACATTTATTGCAGGGAAAGTCTGCTAACAATAAATTTCTACAGTTTTTTTGTTTTTTATCTTTGTAAGTCTTTATTTCTTTGTCACTTTTGAAGAATCATTTTCTAGGTATAGTATTCTATGCTGGCATTTTTTTCCTTTCAACACATTGAAGATTTCATGTTACTCTTATTGCTAGTATAGTTTCTGCTGAGAATCTCTCTGTATTTCCTTGTTCCTCTACAGGTAGGGAGTGTTTTCCAACCCCATCTTTCCACCCTTACTCCTGGTTTCCTTCAAGATGTTTTTCTGCCTTTGACTTTCTGCAGTTTCAAATGATATTCCTGGAGTTATGTGGTGGGTTTTTTGGCTATTTTTTTTTTCTTCTTGATGTTCTCTGAGCTTCCTAAACCTGTGGTTTATTGTTAGCAATTAAGCTTGGAAATTTTTCAGACATTGTTTAAGTTATTTCCCCTGCTTTATTGTTCTTTCTTTCTTGTCCTTCTGGTTTTCTAAATACCTGTATGTTAAAAATAAATACCTGTATGTTAGTTATATCTTTTGACATTTTCTCACAGTTGTTTAATACCATTTTTTTTCATTATGTTTTCCCTTTGCAAATCAGTTTGGGAAGTTGTATTGACCTATCTTCAAGGTCACTGATTTTCTTTCCTCAGCTTTGTCCAGTCTACTAATGAGCCCATCAAAGACATTGTTCTTTATGTTATAGTGTGTCTGACTTTTAACATTAATTTTTAAATTCTTTTTTGGCATATTCATGTCTCTGCTTACAAAACACATCTTTTCTTGCATATTGTCTACTTTTTCCATTATAGCTCTTAATATATTAATTATAGTTATCTTAAATATCCAATGTGATAATTCTGACTCTTTGTTGTATCTGAGTCTGGTTCTGATGCTTGCTTTATCTCTCAGACTTTGTTTCTTCTTGCCTTCAGACATGCTTTGTATTTGTTTTTCTTTTTTGTTGTTAAAAACTAGGCATGTCTGAGATACTGAGAATTACTGAGAATTGAGATAACTGGCCCCTGAGTGATGATTTATGGTAATAGGGCTAAACGTAAGGCTGTGCTTAATATTTGCTGTAGTTATATGTACCACAGGCTTCAAATTCTTCTAATGCTCTGGTTTTTGGTTTCCCCATGAACTCCTGCTGAGAGAGAGCCTGTATATGGCATTCACTGCAGGATTCAGCTTTTTAGGAACCTACACAAAGAAAGATGGTCTCGTGGTCAAAGTATATGAATTAGAAGCAACTTAACTGAACAAACCACTTGGTCCTGAAAATTTAAATCTTTGCTTTCTTTTCTCAATATCAAGCTATAGGAAGAAGCGGATTTAACTCTGATACTTTCACTTATATCCTCACTCCTAGGACCTTATAAAAGCTTATTCTGATAATGAGTGAAGAAAGGAGGATACAGAGATATACAAAGGCAGAATTATTTAAAAGTGTCCCTGGCAAAGAAAAATAGAAAGATAATTCACTGAAAGTTTGTAACTTTCTTTACAAAGGATGTCCCCAATTAATACCAATAATATAGCAGAAGGTATCAGGAGTTCATGACACATTGTATTAGAAATAAACAGTAAACTAGGAATCAGGCCCCTTCATTCATATGTTCATTCACTCAATAAATATTTACCCAGTGCTTTCTATCTGTCAGGCATTGTGCGAGGTGGTACTACTAACACATCCTGTGACATTGTGCCAATCATTTTATCTTCCTGACTTTCAGTTTTTATAAAAGCAAAACCAAGAGAATTATATCTGCCCACAGTGCTTATTGTGAAGTTCAAATGAGACAGTAACTGTGGATATACTTTGAAAAGTGCATAACAACATTGAGTTTTATTTATATAATGTTTACATATATTGTATTTATAAAAAGGCTGTTTGAACTAAATTTCAGAAGCTTCACAAGGATTGTAATTTTTCATTGGTTTTACTTATTTCACTTTTTTTCATAGTACCGCCTTCCAAGTTTTTTTACATTAGCTTTATAGGAAAATGCTCAGTTTTACTGGCTCTGTTTTGAGATTCATCCTCTCAGAACTCTTGCCTTGATTTTTACAAAAGTAGATTTCTTACTAGGGACTAACATTTTAGGAAGGCAAAATTTACTCCCAATTTGTGGTTCAAATGGAAAAGTTGAGCCCAAGAAAGTGACTGAGTCAGTCAAGGGCAGGGCTCAGAAGAAGTGACGATACACTTCACTCCCTGCAGCCACCAAAAGTCCAGACCCTTTAAGTCTACAATTAATAGCAGCAACATCAGGTCTTAGATCATACTTTTTCTACTTACCAGAGCTATCTGTAGAGGCTACTGAGCTGTGGCCATCATCTCCTCTCATGGCATCCTTTGGTTTACTGTGAAGGCATTATGCAGAAAGGGTGATTTATTTGTGTCTACTTTCCTCACATGGAAAAAACTCCAGCCAGAATTCCGAGCCTAATTTCCATCCATTATGCTTACTGGAGCAGTATGCTGTGCTGTTCAGAGCAGATAAAAACTGGAGACTCTGCATTTTAAACTCACCAAATGATTGAGAAATAAATTTAGTTCTAAGCACAGCCAATGAATAGCTGCAAGGTGTGTTGGTTTATCATAACAGATACGTCAACTTTATCCTCCAGAATCCCAGCATTATCACAATGAGTTTCCTCAGCAGAAGCTGAATGGAGTATTGCACAGAGAATTTAACTTTAAGAAAAAACATTGGTCCAATGTCTAGGAGCCTATTAACATATTCTGCTGTCTTTTCATTACAGTTTCCCTTATTGCAGTAGAACCCCAGAATAGTATGTTTCTAAATGTCATTAAAAAATTAACGAAGGGAGGCAAGATGGCTGATTGGAAGCAGCTGCAGTCCACGGCACTCACGAGGAGGAATGAAAAGGGGCAAATGATTTCAGCACTTTCAACTGAAATATCCAGATTCTTGCATTGGGACTGACTAGGCAAACAAATTGACCCACAGAGAACAAAGAAAGGCAGGGAGTGGGGGTGGGGCAACAGCCCATCCAGAAGCAATACGGAGCCAAAGGAACCTTCCCCCCACAGCCAAGGGAAGCGGTGAGTGATTGTGCGATCTCATCTGGGGAACCATGCTTCTCTCATGGATCTTTGCAACCTGCAAATCAGGAGATCTCCTTCCGAGCCCATGCCACCAGGGCTTTGGGTCCAATACACAAAGCTATATGGAGTTTCAGCAGAGCAGCTGCTCACTAACTCCAGTCCCAGGATCTGGCAAAGTGGAAAATTCATCTGTACATATTCCTAGGAAGAGGGCTGAATCCAGGGAGCCGAACAGCACCCCTCTGCAGGCCCCACTTCCATGGCACCTCACAACTTAATACCCACTGACTTGGAACCCCAGCCAGCCAATGGCAGCAGGCTGGAGTCCACCTGAGATGGGAGTGAGTTCCTTGGGGGAGGAGTGGACCCCATCTCTATGGTTCAATAGAAGCAGCCATTCCAGCTTGCCAGCTGTGGAGAATACAGGTGGTCTGGTTGAGGAGGGACCACAAACAATGCAGTACAGCTGCCTTGTCAGATCATAGTCAGACTGCTTCTTGAAGCAGGGCCTCAACCCATTTCTCCTCACTGGGTGGGACCTTGGTTCCACAGATAGAGCTCTGATCTCTCCTTGGGATGATGCTATTGTGGGAAGGGGTGGCTGTCATCTCTGTAGTTTTATAGATTTAGCAATTCCAGCCTGCCAGCTGTGGAAAATACAGGTGGTCTGAATGAGGAAGGATGCCCCCCAGCACAGCATTACTGCTCTACCAAGAAGCAACCAGACTGATTTTTTGGGCAGGTCTCTGATCTCATTCCTCCTGACTGGATGAGATCTCCCGGCAGTGGTCCCCAGCCACCTCTTACAGGTGTGCACAGGCCAGCAACACATCAGTGCCTCCCTGAGACAGAGCTTCTAGGGGAAGGAGGTGGCTGCAATATTTGCTGTTTACTGTCCTTCACTGGTGATACCTCCACGTATGGGAGAAACCAAGGCAACTGGGGTCTGTAGTGGACCCCCAGCAAACCACAGGAATCCTACAGTTGAGTGGCCTGACTGTTAAAAGAAAAACAAACAAGCAAAACAACAACATAAAAAAAAAATCCCACAGAAGCCCCATTCAAAGGTCAGCAACCTCAAATATCAAAGGTAGATAAGCCCACAAAGATGAGAAATAACCAATGCAAAAATGCTGAAAACTCAAAAACCAGGGTGCGTTTTCTCCTCCAAATTACCACAACACTTCTACAGCAAGTGCACAGAACTAGGCTGAGGCTGAAATGGCTAAATTGACAGAAGTAGGCTTCAGAAGGTGGGTAATAATAAATTTCACTGAGCTAAAGGAGCATGTTCTAACTCAATAAAAAATTTAAGAATCAAGGCAAAACCAAACAGGAGCTAATAACCAGAATAGCCAGTTTAGAGAGGAGCATAACTGGCCTAATAGAGTTGAAAAACACAACATGAGAACTTCACAATTCAATCACATGTATCAATATCGGAATAGACCAACAGAGGAAAGAATCTCAGAGCTTGAAGACTATCTTTCTGGAATAAGACAGGCAGTCAAGAACAAAAAAAATAGAATGAAAAGGAATGAACAAAACTTCCAAGATATGTGATGTATAGAGACTGAACCTATGATTGATTGGGGTACCTGAAACAGATAGGAAGCATGAAACCAAGCTGGAAAACATACTTCAGGATATCATCCAGGAGAACATCTCCAACATAGCAAGACAGGCCAATATTCAAATTCAGGAACTGCAGAGAACCCCAGTAAGATACTCTATGAGAAGATTAACCCCAAGACATATAATCTTCAGATTCTCCAAGGTGGACATGAAAGAAAAAATGTTAAATGCAGCCAGAGAGAAAGATAAAGTCACCTACAAAAGGAAACCCATCAGACTAACAGCAGACTTCTCAGTGGAAACACTACAAGCCAGAAGAGATTGGCACCAATATTCAACATTATTAAAGAAAAGAATTTTCAACCCAGAATTTTATACCAAACCAAACTAAACTTCATAAGTGAAGGAGAAATATAAACCTTTTCAGACAGGGAAATGCTGAGGAAATTCACCACAAGGCCTGCCTTGCAAGAGCGCCTGAAGAAAGCACTAAACATGGAAAGAAAAAAACTGTCACCAGCCTCTACAAAAACACACTGAAGTACAGAGACCAGTAACACTATGAAGCAACCACATAAACAAGCCTGCAAAATAACCAGCTAGCATCATGATGACAGGATCAAATTCACACATAACAATACTAACTTTAAATGTAAATAAGCTAAATGCTAGAATTAAAAGACACAGAATGGCAAGCTGGATAAAGCACCAAGGCTCATTGGTCTGCTGTCTTCAAGAGACCCATCTCACGTGCAAAGACACACATAGGCTCAAAATAAAAAGATGGAGGAAAATTTATCAAGCAAATGGAAAACAGAAAAAAAGCAGGGGTTGTGGTTCTAGTTTCTGACAAAACAGACTTTAAGCCAACAAAGATAAAAAAGGACAAAGGAGGGTATTGAACAATGGTAAAGGGTTCAATTCAGCAAGAAGAGCTAACTATCCTAAATATATATGCACCCACCACAGGAGCACTGAGATTCATAAAGCAAGTTCTTAGAGACCTATGAAGAGACTTAGTGTCCCACACAATAATAGTGGGAGACTTTAACACCCCATGACAATATTAGACTAGATCATCAAGAAAGAAAATTAACAAATATATTCAGGACCTGAACTCAGCTCTGGATCAAGTGAACCTAACAGATATCTACAGAACTCTTCACCCCAAAACAACAGAGTATACATTCTTCTCACGACACTTATTCTAAAATTGATCACATAATCGGAAGTAAAACATTCCTCAGCAAATGCAAAAGAACTGAAATAATAACAAAAAGTTTCATAGACCACCCCACAATCAAATTAGAACTCAAGACTGAGAAATCCACTCAAAACCACACAACTACATGTAAACTGAGCAACCTGCATGACTCCTGGGTAAATAATGAAATTAAGGCAGAAATCAAGAAGTTCTTTGAAACTAATGAGAATGAAGAAACAACATACCAGAATCTCTGGAATGCAGCTAAAGCAGTGTTAAGAGGGAAATTTATAGCACTAAATGCTTACACAAATAAGCCAGAAAGATGTCAAATTAACAACCTAACAACCCAACTAAAAGAACTGGAGAACCAGGAGCTAACAAACCCAAAAGCTAGTAGAAGGCAAGAAATAACCAAGATTAGAGCAGAACTGAAGGAGATAGAGACACGAAAAACCCTTCAAAAAATCAACAAATCTATGAGCTGGTTGTCGAAAAAAATTATAAAATAGATAGACTCATAGTTTGACTAATAAAGAAGAAAAGAGGGAAAAATCAAATAGACATAATAAAAAATGATAAAGAGGATATTACCAATGACCTCACAGAAATGCAAACAGCCATCAGAGAATATTGTAAACACCTCTATGCACATAAACTAGAAAATCTAGAAGAAATTGAAAAATTCCTGGATGCATACACCCTCCCAGTAAGGTGAACCAGTAAGAAATTGAATTCTTGAATAAACCAATAACAAGTTCTGAAATTGAGGCAGTAATAGATAGCCTACCAACCAAAAAGAGCCCAGAACCAGACAGATTTACAGCTGAATTCTACCAGATGTACAAAGAACAGCTGGTTCTATTTCTACTGAAACTATTCAAAAAAAAATGAATAGAAGGGACTCTTCCCTAACTTGTTTTATGAGGCCAGCATCATCCTGATACCAAAACATGGCAGAGATACAACAAAAAAAGTAAACTTCAGGCCAATATCCCTGATGAACATCAATGCCAAAATCCTCAATAAAATACTGGCAAACCGAATCCAGTAGCACATCAAAAAGCTTATCCATGATCAAGTTGGCCTCATCCTTGGGAGGCAAGGTTGGTTCAAGCTACAAAAATCAATAAATGTGATTCATTACATAAACAGAACTAAAGACAAAAACCACATGATTATTTTAATATACATAGAAAAGGCCTTTGATAAAATTCAACATCCCTTCATGCTAAAAACTCTCAATAAACTAGCTATTAAAGGAACATACCTCAAAATAATAAAAGCCATAAATGACAAGCCCACAGCCAATATGATGCTGAATGGGCAAAAGCTGGAAGCATTCCCCTTGAAAACTAGCACAAGACAAGAATGCCCTTTCTCCCCACTCCTATTCAACATAGTATTGGAAGTTCTGGCCAGGGCAATCAGGTAAGAGGAAGAAATAAAGAGAATTCAAATAGGAAGACAGGAAGTCAAATTATCATTGTTTGCAGATGACATGATCCTGTATCTAGAAAACCCTATCCTCTCAGCCCAGAAACTACTTAAGCTGATAAGCAACTTCAGCAAAGTCTTAGGATATAAAATCAATGTGAAAAAAAATTTCTAGCATTCCTATACACCAACAACACACAAGCAGAGAGCCAAATCATGAATGAACTCCCATTCACAATTGCTACAAAAAGAATAAAATACCTAGGAATACAGCTAACAAGGGAAGTGAAGGACCTCTTCAAGGAGGACTACAAACCACTGCTCAAAGAAATCTGAGTGGACACAAACAAATAGAGAAACATGCCATGCTCATGGATAGGAAGAATCAATATTATTAAAATGGCCATACTGCCCAAAGTAATTTGTAGATTCAATGCTATTCCCATTAAACTACCATTGGCATTCTTCACAGAATTAGAAAAAACTGTTTTAAAATTCATATGGAACCAAAAAAGAGCCTTAATAGCTAAGTCAATCCTAAGTAAAAAGAACAAAGCTGGAGGCATCACACTACCTGACTTCAAACTATACTACAAAGTTACAGTAACAAAAACAGCATGGTACTAGTACAAGAACAGACCCATAGACCAATGGAACAGAATAGAGAACTCAGAAATAAGACCACACACCTACAACCATCTTATCTTTGACAAACCTGACAACAACAAGCAATGAGGAAAACGCATCATTTTTTTTTTTTTTTTTTTTTTTTTTTTGAGATGGAGTCTCGCTCTATCGCCCAGGCTGGAGTGCAGTGGCGTGATCTTGGCTCACTGCAAGCTCCGCCTCCCGGGTTCATGCCATTCTCCTGGGAAAAGGCATCATTTTTAATAAATGGTGCTGGGAGTGCTGGCTAGCCACATGCAGAAAATTAAAAGTAAACACATTTCTTATACATATACAAAAAATAACTCAAGATAGATTAAAGACCTAAATGTAAAACCCAAAGCTGTAAAAATCCAGGAAAATAACCTAGGCAATACCATTCCAGACATAGGAAAGGGCAAAGATTTCATTAAGAAAATGACAAAAGCAACTGCAACAAAAGCAAACATTGAAAAATGGGATATAATTAAACTAAAGAGCTTCTGCACAGCAAAAGAAACTCCATCAGAGTGAACAGACAACCTACAGAATAAGAGAAATTTTTTCCATCTGACAAAGGTCTAATATCCAGCCTATAAGAAATTTAAACAAATTCACAAGAAAAAAACAACCCCATTAAAAAGTGGGCAAAGGTTCTAAACAGACACTTCTCAAAAGATGACATACATGTGACCAGCAAACATCAAAAAAGCTCAACATCATTGATCATTAGAGAAATGCAAATAAAAACCATAATGAGATATCATCTCACACCAGTCAGAATGCCTATTAAAAAGTCAAGAAACAACAGATGCTGGTGAAGGTATGGAAAAAAAGAAATGCTTTTACACTGTTGTTGGGACTGTAAATTAGTTCAACCATTGTGGAAGACAGTGTGGCAGTTCCTCAAAGACCTAGAGGCAGAAATTTGACCATTTGACCCAGTAATCCCATTACTGTGTATCTACCCAAAGGAATATAAATCATTCTATTATAAAGATACATGCACGTATATGTTTATTGCAACACTATTTACAATAGCAAAGACATGGACTCAACCTAAGTGCCTATCAATGATAGACAGTATACAGAAAATGTATGTGTACACATTTGAATGTACATATACACAATGGAATACTATGCAGCCATAAAAAATAACAGGATGATGTCCTTTGTGAGGACATGGATGTAGTTGGAAGCTGTTATTCTCAACAAACTAATGCAGGAACAGAAAACAAAACAAGACATGTTCTCACTTATAAGTAGGAGTTGAATGATGAGAGCACATTGACGCATTGCAGGGAGCAACATACACTGGGGCCTGTTGGGGGGTTGAGAGAGGGAGAGCATCAGGAAGAATAGCTAATGGATGCTGGACTTAATGCCTAGGTGATTGGATGATCTGTGCAGCAAACCACCATTGTACATGTTTACCTGCGTAACAGCCCTGCACCTCCTGCACATGTACCCCTGAACTACAAATAAAAATTGAAGAGAAAAAAGTTAACAGAACCAGAATCAGAGGACATAAAATCAGCAAACTGAAAAAAAATTACAGAGAAAATGAGAAAATGAGCTCTTCTTGACAACACAAAAAGGAATTTGCCATTTAATTTTTATCCCACAGAATAAAAATAGGAGAACTCTAAAATAAGGTCATTGGACAAAAAATTGTATACGATGAGTTGTGTAAAATAATGAAATCTCAGGAAGAACAAAGAAAGCATAAATGACAGAGATAAATTTTATTTTTATAAAGCATGAAAGAAAGGTCAGAAATATCCTTCATCTCACTGTTATTCATCCTTCACATTATCTATTGAAGCTTATAGAAAAACAAGACTGAAGGATTCTGGTTCCAACCTTGTTTTTGCCACAGTTGGGATTGCCGACCCCTTGCTGCTGAGTTAAATCCTCTTTATACTGTAGTAGAACAAATCTTTATTTTAGGGGAAGAACTAATGACATAGTAGATCATTGGCAAAATAAATACCAAGCCATGCGGTAATTAGTAAAATGACTATTGATAATAACAACGTGAATTAATATTTGGTGAATTTTATAAACAGAGCATTTCAAAAGAAAGAAAGTGTAGCATCCTTTGGAGACAAAATAATACCTCAAAGATTACTGTTCTAAAATAATACCCTCAGAAATGCCTGAGTCTAAACAAAATAGTACTTGGGACTATTAAAAAGGTATACAAACAACTCAAAATTCATCCATCTCAGCGGTGCTCACATCATCTCTGTGAGATCAATAGAAATGGAGAATTTTCTCTACATTTTGGAAACAGAAAAACTGAAACCACCTAAAGAATTACGGCTGCTATGGAGATTAGAAAGAGCTAGAGTTTTTTTCTAAAATATTATTGTCCTTATTAAAAACAAATACACACACACTAGAAAGAATCTCTGTTATTTGATATGATAATTCACATTCATTTGCAGATACATAATTGCCAGTTTGGATTGAATACATGTAAGTAAGGCAGTTAATAAGAGTAGGGGTTATACAATAAAAACAACAACAAAACTAACCATTTGGGGGTGTTCACTGGAACAAACATCTTATATGAATTATGCCAATTTTCACCAGGCCTTTATAAGGTAGTATCATGATTCCCTCTGTGCATCCGTACAGAGAATATTGATGCACCAAGAAGTTTAATCGCACTTCAAAGCCCTGTAAGTAATAAGTGGTTGAACTGGAATTTGTGCCCATTTAGTCATTATTCTGGAACCTGTTCCCCCAACCCCAAATTGTCCTGTCTCGGTCAGGAATGAGATACCATGCTTTGGCATTTTGAATGCTTCCAGAAATCATTTTTGCATTGAAATGAGCTTCCGGGCATGGGTTTGGTCCTCAGAAAGGGTAATATGTTTGTAGGAACAAATTCTCCTTCATTAAAGTGTGATACAAAGATTTTGAAAAGCATTTTTGCTCTGGCTGAGGTCAATTGTTTTGTATGTTTCATTTAGAAATCAGGTATTTGCTTTTAGAAGTATTTTAACTAGACAAAGCACACAGAGCAAAAGCACACCGTTAGAGCTGAGGATTTGATTAAGAAACTTAATTAACATTGCTGGTGTAGTCAGGAGCTGCCCAAAAGGGAGCTCACACCTCAAGCATGGGACTTGGTCTCTAGCATCAGCTGCTACGAAAATCTTCATTCCAAAGAAAAGGCCATAGTGTGGCTCCAGCCAGATGTCAATTATTTGAATAAACTTTCCTTGAAGCAAGTAACACCAATGTAATTTAAGAAACAGTAATGTGAGAGAAAGAGAGAGAGAGAAGAGAGAGAGAGAGAATGTTACTTTCCAAAGTCACTGAAACAACCATCCCAAAGGTTCTAAGAAGGATATTTTTGACTTGTGCTTTTGAACTTTGATGGGGATGGAGATATCAGGAAGCAGTATTCTCCCAGCCCTCAAGATACTTTCCAGAATCTGGGCATCATGAGAATTTGCTCTAATTTCATACAGATTATTAAACCAGGAGAGGTATAACTCACCGTCCTAAATATTCAGCTCCAAAGGGCTTCAACATGTTTTACTCTATGTCCCAGTAATCAGGGCCCTGACACACACAAAAAAAACGTAAAATATTTTTTGATTGGTGTGAAAATAAAATTAAAGATCAAAAAGAGCTCTCCACGGAAACTGATCAGTTTTATTCCCAATAATTTATACATCAGCAAATTTTACTGAGTACCTACATATACCTTTCACGTATAATTCTCCATGTCCTTATTATAAGCACCAGGACTACCTGTTCCCACCAGCATGCCCAGCCTCATTCCATGCTCTGTTACTAGCACTACATAAGAGGGAACTTCTCTGAAAAATCTGCTTTTGCCTTGAAGTTCGCCATCTATAAGGTTTCAGCCACAGAGGTGAAGATGGACGGGTAAAACCTAATAAGATAAGGCAAATAGGGAAAAGATGGGATCAGAATTAGCTGTGTGTTTTAGGACTGGGGTAGGCACTGGAAAGGAGATAGGTCTGGTTGCCAGTAATAAAAGGACCAAGGAGACAAGCAAAATAAGGAATTGGGAGGTTGCAGAAGGCATGAGGAAGATCCAACAGCAAAGACGTCTCTGACAGTAGGGGAATCTATTTTAGTTTCCAGTTCCAAGTTCTTAGATTTGGTTCCAAAGAATGACTCTACTTTTAGTTCAGGGGTTATCCCAAGCTAAGCAATGCTCTATGGGGTGGAGGGTCAACATAGTTACTGGTAGTAAGGCATTTGACTTGCTAAGCTGCTTCTAATGTGGAGCGGGTAAAAGATCTGTCTAGAATCATTTTATAGGACTCCTATTGGGAGTTCTATATAATAATGACAGAATGCACTGCCCTCACCTAGGAATAATGTCTTCTGGCCAGTCAGGGCCCCATGAACAACACAGAGGTAGGTCCCTGGACATTTTTGCTTTTGCTGACATTCCGTCCTTCCAGTGGCCCCATGTGTGTGGATGCTGAGCATCCTGAAACTGACAATAACAATCCCTGAGCAACATAAATGGAGTAAGAACAAGCAAAGGGGAAACATAAGTAGGCACAGGTGGAGCAGAAAGAGAAGGACACAGAGATCACTGGCGGCTAGGGCCTAGGAAGGAGAAACAAGCCAAGACCCTGGGCCATCTCTTCTGTCTAAAGTCCAAAAAGCAACCACCATGTGATATGGCCACTCTTTACCTGGCAGAACTCTACTGCTTGCCGGTCTAAGCCATGACCTTGCTTTCACTTCCCTTCCATAGCTAAAGCACCTGAGGAAGTGTGCTCTTCAGATGTACTTCCTTTCCCATCACTTATGTTTAATTCGAAGGAGATTTTCCTAGCCCTGAAGTCCCAAATACTCTGTTATGGAATCTAACAGCCCAGCAACACTTGAAATTGTCTCTGCTTTCTCTGTATGGTCTCACAAGTTATTGAGAAGGGTTGACCTTGTTCTAATCATATGTGGGGACACACCACACTCCTTGGTATGCTTTGCTAAAGCTGAGTTCTTGCATATTATCTATGGATTGCATAACTAGAGTTCAACCTACTCCTCCACTATAAGCTGGTTTGCACATTTCCATCTCACTCCCTTAGCCCAGTAGACATGGATGGATTTAGACTTGGGGCCTTTCTAGGCTGCCTCATCCAAGAGAGCTAATGCCTCATGTCACAAGGTATGGTGGCTGAAGCAAAGTTTACACCTGTCTGCCAATTTATTAGCACCTTACATGGACTGATTCAAGAGTCCAGATTTACAAGTAAACTTACACATTATTGATGGCAACTCTCTTTTTCCCCTTACACACACATACACACACACACAGACACACACACTATTACCTTCTACTATTTTCTATCATAAGGAGACTGAGAAAATCAAGCTATCTTTTCATGGTCAACATACTCAATATCTTTCCACTAGCAGAATTCCTTATAAATGAAAAATATAGGAGACAAAGAAGCAAAAACATTTTGTATTGAGCACATTGTCTAACTTTCCTCACCCAATTCCCTGAGTTCTTGTAAACCTGGGCTTAATTATTATTCTCATTTTTGTCATGATAAAGTCACTTACTTTATGGAGCTCACAGTCTATTTAGAAAATAGACTTCAATAAAATAATTAACTAAAACAAAATAATATTACAATAAAGAAATGTGTTCTTCCTTAAAGGAGAAGGAATGAATTTAGTGTATAATAAAGAGACCTGCCTTAGTTTGGAGAAATGGGAAAGGCTTCTCTAAGGAAGAGTTTGAGCTGAGAACTGAAGGTCGAACAGGAGTTACCTAGAAGAAATACGGAGTATTCGAGACAGAGGAGGGGACATGGCCTGGTTCAGGGCAGAGCATGGCACATTTCACCTGTTAAAATAAGGCCAGTTTTCTAAAGTACAGTGAATGCTGTCAGATGAGGCTCATTAAATATTAGTTGTTTCTTCTTCTACTTTATTATTTTAATTAATTAATACAAAATTATTGAACAATTTTAATCAAGGAGAGAACAATCATATTGGTATCTGATATGAGACATGGAGATAAGAGGGATGAGGTTGACTAGGTTTTTGACATTAACACCTGAATGAATGACAGTACCATTAGCTGATAGGGAAGACACTGAAGGAATACCAATATCTGGAGTGAGATCATCAGTGTTGTATCAAAATTACCATGGACAGCTTTTAAGTCTTCCGAGTGCATACATCTAATAGGCAATTAGTTGGTAAAGCCTAGAACTTGGAGGAGAAGTCAAAGCTGGAGATATAAATTTGTGAGTTATCAGTATGTAGGTGTAAGGGAAGTTGTAGGCATAAAGGTGAATGTGCTATGAAATTCAACACTGAGTAACTCCAAAAATATTAAACAATGCAATTTCATGATAAAGAGCTAAGACTCTGAAGCCAGATTGCCTTTGTCTGAATTCCAGTTCCTTCATTATAGTAGCTGTGCGGCCTCAAGCAATTAACTTAACCTCTTAGTACTGCCATTCCCTCATCAGTAAAAATGGAGCTAATAACATATACCCCAGGGCTTTGGGAGTATTAAATGAACAAACACATTAAAAGCTCTAAGAAGAGTGTCTGGCACATAATACTTAGCAAATATAAGTTGTTTCTTTGGCTGCTTCTTGTTAATTATTATTTTCATCATCATTATCAATATTAGACATTAGAAGGTGATTATGCAAAGTAGACAGAAAAGGAATATCCAAAGAGGGAATCAGGAGAGCATGATGTCTTACAGGCCAAAGAGGAATGAGCTCAGAAAGAGGCTATGACCAACCATGCTGAATTCTAATGAGAGGTCAGGTAAGATGAAAACTGCAAAATGCCTATTGTATTTATGGACATGCAGGTTATTATTAGCCTTAGAAACTTTTTTGAGAGTTTCAAGCATAAACATGGTTAACATTAGATGGAAATGATCAAATTGAGAAACAAGCCAAAGAGAGAAGATGAAGAAGGAATGATGTCTTCTAAGAGAACAGCAATGACTGGGCTCCAAAGCTCAGGTCATGTCAATGGTCTTAGGTGGAAGGTGTTACAGCTCCTGATAGCAGGCGGGAAAGAGAAGAGGAAGGTCACAGACAATGGTTTTATCATCGGGGGCTGAGGGAGATCCCATTGCTGTCTTTTATTTTCTTTTAAAAAAAATGTGAGACTCCATCTTAAAGAAAGAGAATTACTTATGAGAGCATAGGATGTATAGAAAGAGAAGGAGATAGGGAGTGAGTGGCCAGGGGATTTAAAAATTTGGAGAAAGTTTGCAGCATCCTGCAGTGGGTAGAAAGGTGAGCTAACTTGATAAAATGTTGGATGATCTTTGGCAGTCCTGAGG
This sequence comes from Homo sapiens, assembly GCF_000001405.40. Classification (NCBI taxonomy): domain Eukaryota; kingdom Metazoa; phylum Chordata; class Mammalia; order Primates; family Hominidae; genus Homo; species Homo sapiens. The sequence goes on from NC_000011.10 coordinate 128,018,608, forward strand.
GACTATTTGAGGTTGGTGACAATAAATTGAAATTAGAACCAACGTGTTTTATTTTGTACCTTTTTTCATCCCATCTTTTTCATGGTACAATTATAAAGATAATTATTTGGATTCACCAGGGTTGATGCTTGAACAAGTGGGGATAATATTTAAGAGAAGGAAAAGGGATTGTTGGTACTACTGGATTGATGGGTGATGGAGGGAACTGTTAAAGGAAATGAGTAAGAGCAAGGAGAGGAGCTCTGATGAGTCCCCAGCGATGACATCATGGGGCCGAACAGAGAGCTGAAAGGGGAGAGACCACAGTGGAAGAGCGGGATGCTCAGGTTTAAGCTTTTGGAGAGAGGACCACCATGCTCAGGCTCTTTCTCCAACAGATTTCATCTTCTTACCTCTCAAGGTTCCTGCTCCATCGTTCCCACCGACACTGCGGATATCCCTATATCAATGACCAAACCAAACAAAATGCCTTTGTAACCACTGAGCTCAACCAGACATATTACTGATCACCTTTTTTCTTACTGTCAAACCACTACATAAATGAATCACACACTCTGCTCCCACTTTTCTTTCCTTTCTTCACTTCAGAAATCTTATTTCTGCCTCCAACCTCATAGAAATACCATGTTCTATCTTTAGTGTTACTAATGATCTCTTTTCTACAAAATCCAATGGTATTTTTCTATTCATCATTCTTCCCTAAAGAAAAGTAAGGACTTTGAGAATCAAAGAAGTAGAGAGGGAATTTCAGGTAGAAATATAACTTTAGCATAAAGAAATGTAAGCAGAGGTATGAAAGGAACCTTCAAGGGGCCATGCAGAGCCTGTGGACAGTAACGGATGAACGTCAGAGATAGCAGGAGATGCAACTGGAAAATTGTAAAATAGGCCATTGGAAAATAGAACAGGGATGAGCTAAGTTGACTTACATACTAGGTCCCCTTGTTTAAACTTAGTCCTATTAGGCAGTGAGGAATATTCAGAACTTTTTTTAGTAGGGAAATTACATGAAAACAGTGTTGTTTTAGGAAGATTAATCTGGCCAAATTCAGAACGAATTAGATATGGCTAAAAGCTATGCATCTAGTTCAGATAATTAATTCCATCCAACAAGCGTTTATGAAGCTTTTCTATGGATATGTGCCGTCCATTGTCCTATAACATTGTCCTAGGGAGAAGCAAAGTGCTGACTCCAGAGATAATACAAAGTAAATATGATATGTACATATTCCTTAGGACATCAGAATTCTAACATTGGGAGCAACGCAAAAGAACTTTGGGTAAATACCTCTACTATAAGGCATTATAAGAGATGTTTCGCCGGCTGGACGCGGTGGCTCACACCTGTAATGCCAGCACTTTGGGAGGCCGAGACGGACAGATCACGAGGTCAGGAGATCCAGACCATCCTAGCTAAAACGGTGAAACCCCGTCTCTACTAAAAATACAAAAAAAATTAGCCAGGCGTGGTGGCGGGCGCCTGTAGTCCCAGCTTCTGGGGAGGCTGAGGCAGGAGAATGGCATGAACCTGGGAGGCAGAGCTTGCAGTGAGCCAAGTTCACACCACTGCACTCCAGCCTGGGCGACAGAGCGAGACTCTGCCACACACACACCCACACACACACACAAAAGCGGAGTGTTTCAAAACAGAAATATTCACTAAATGTTATGTAAGCTTCAAGGAGTAATCAATTAATATCAACTGAAGTGGAAGATTAACAGAAGGTCTCTCCTAGGTGACATGAGTGGAGCCTTGAAGGAGAATAGAGTATCAGCTGGTGGAACTTACTGCAATTGCACAATGTTGAGTCCTTTGCCACTATTACTCTACAGGCCAGCTTTATAACTCCCAGGCCCAAAGGCTGACATAGGCTTGGAGTTTCAGGTCAATTGTGTGGAGAGCTTGGATACGAACCATGCTCCATCCTGTAAATGTTCTAACTTGGGGGAAATCGGCAATAGACTGCTGGAACAACCTGATTCCGGCAGTAATGAAATATTGTTGGCTATTGATCTACCAGAAGACTGCATTGATTATCTGCCCTGTTGGTGACTAGGAAGCAGTGAAAAGAGACAAGAGGAGAGAACAGCGGCCATGCAGAGAGCAGGTGGTGCATGGTCCAGGCCTCCAGTCTGTTTCAAGAGATCCTGATGCTACTTTCTATGAGTACAGTGTTTGGGGGTGACAGGTTAGCACTTCACTGAAAGAGACATTGAGGGCTGCTGCAAGAACAGAGAAATGGTCAGCTGATCACTGACTTGCTCTCTATTCTTGGGCAGATCATCTTTCCCTGACACATTGTTCCTACCTGTAAATTGAAGATAATAATCCATGGCCCTTTGTTATCACAGTAAGTGGAAAATGAGATCCTGTAGGTGAAGGACGTTGAAGTCACAAAGAGAAAGGAGCTCTTCTATGAAACTTCCAGAGGGTAGTGGCAGCATCAACTGACATTTATGGGCGCTAACTCTGCACAGGGCACCATTGCTTATCCTGTACACTGCATTAACTAAAACTAAAAATTGTCCCTGTCTAGGGAAAGTTTGCCCTTCAAAAATCTTAGCTGCAGAGGTTACATAAATACATTCATAGAAGAAAAAACATAAGGAGGAGGGGAAAGATTTTTTTTAAAGCCCATATCTCTATGTTTAACTGACATGAGATTTTTATTTATTTTTACTACTTAAATTTTTTGAGCCTACACCGCAGGAATAAGCAGAGTCTATTAAAGAGTCTGATGCTGCAAATGATCTTACAGAAGATCACTAGAATTTATGATCAGCTCTGCCCTTGCAACCTGCCTTCCCTGCAGCAGCAGGCGAGGAAGGCAGAGAGGCTGAGAGGTCATTGGCTGACATCAGCAGGTACAAAGTATGCCATCCTTCCAGGTTTGGAGACGTGGAAGTAAACACGGATTGTGCCAGGAGCAAGCTTTGACCTGACTGTGGGGTTGCGGGTGGGGGCATGTGTGTCTGCTGGGCAGCAGGAGAAGAAGTTTCTCTCTGTACTGGGGCTGTGAAAGGCTGGGCTGCCCTCACACTGCAGGTGTCGGGGGCTCAGGAGCCTCTTCTTATCTTTTGTGTGACTGCAACTATTTTCCCAAGAAAATTAAAGTGACTTAGTCAGTTAACCTGAAATTCCCAGCAGCAGATTAGAAGTTTTGTCATCAGACTTTGGTGGCTGAGAGAGCAGAAAGTGCTGAGTGTGACAGAGGTGGGATTCCACTACCACCTAGTGGGCAGCAAGGGGCCACCTCTTTGCCCCTCATGGCTCCAAGGAACATCAAGGGAACTGGGAGGGAAACAGTCAAAAAGGAAGTTAATATAAGTTCTAGGTAGAATTAGACCATCTTGTAGTGCTTCCATCAGCCACCTGATGGGGTGCATTCTGAGCACCCCATCAGGTGTTGATAGTAGGTTGGAGAGCTGCTACCCTCCCTCAGAATTTGGTTCCTGGGCCCTGGAATGACAGGATGCACCCAGCCTGCTTCGGGGCAGTCGACTGGCCAAAGAGAGGCATTGGACCTGATTCGAGGAAACCTATTCTCATATTTGAAGCCAGGGGCTTATTCATCCACTGCAAAATCAGTTCACTGCTGTCAAAGACTATAGCTGAGTCATTTCTAGTTTCCTCCCTGCTGCCTGCCTTATGCACTGAGCATGTTGCTCTTGAAACACATTTTTTTGACAGTAGATGCAGTGCTCACAGTTTTATATGTGAAAGGAAGTGATGTTTATTATGATCACAATGAGACTAAAATGTGAGGATCACTGCCCACAAGCAGTTCATATTCTAGAGGAGCTGGGAGACACAAACAAGTAGTTGCAGAAAAATCTAACAGTGTGTAATGGTTAATTTTATGTGTCAGCTTGGCTAGGCTATGGTATCATTTTTGGTTAAACACCAGTCTAAATATTGCTGTAAATGTATTATTTAGATATTATTAACATTTAAATTAGTAGCTTTTGAGTGAGGCAGGTGATCCTTCATAATGTGAATGTGCCTTGTCCAACCAGTTGTAGGCCTTAAGAGAAAAGACCTCAAAAGGTCTTTTGAGTAGAAGGAATTGTGCCTCCAGACTGCATTTAGATTCAAGGTACAACATTAACTCTTTCCAGGGTCTCCAGCCTGCAGGCCTGTCCTTCAGAATTCAGCCTTGCCAGCCCCTACAATTGCATGAGAGAATTCCTTAAAATAAATCTCTCAATACATAGATGATTGATAGATAGATAGATGACAGATATAGACAGATGATAGATAGGTGATAGATGTAGAGAAAGATAAATGATAGTGATAGATAGATGATTGATAGGTGACAAATATAGACAGATGATAGATATTATAGGCATATGATTGATAAATAGATGACAGATATAGATGGATGATAGATAGATAGATGACAGATATAGACAGATGATAGATAGGGGATAGATATAGAGAAAGATAAATGATAGATAGTGATAGATAGAAGATTGATAGGTGACAAATATAGAGAGATGATAGATATTATAGGTAGATGATTGATAAATAGATGACAGATATAGAGGATGATAGATGATAGATCGATGATAGATAGATAGAGGATGTGTATATAGATCCATAGATCTCTACAGCTATGCACATTCCATTGGTTATGATTCTCTGGAGGACCCTGACTAATACAGATTCATAATGGAGAGCATTTCAAAGCATTCTAGCATCACAGAGAAGAGATTTATTCTGCCTGAGGGATCAGGATGAATTTACATCAGCGGTAGCACTTAGGATACTCTTTCAAGGACAGACAAATTGAAGTTCCACAGATGAGGAAGGAAAATAATTTTTTTCAGGCAAAGGGAATAAGCAGATATGATCTGATCAGAGACACTATGCAAACAGAGTGACCTTCAATAACTCTAGTCTATGGTGCCTGGGATGGCACATGCTGAATGAAAGCTGAGATAGAATGAGACAAAGTTACTGAGGACCTGTTGTAAAGGACCTTGATTGCTCAAGGTTTGTCCTTCCTCAGAGACACTAAGATCTCTGATGTCCTAGGCATGAATGCATAGTGTGAAATGAAGTCAAGAAGTGACAAGTTTGATTTCCTTAGAAGGCTGCTTGGGATAGACAGGTAAACATTAAAAGGCTGCTACAATTTTTATTTCAAATTCTAATAAGAATTATCTGTAGGTGTGAAGACTAGCAGTGGGTCACAGAGCACCCCAGAGACAAAGAAATAGAAACAGTCTTCTCTCTGCTATCCTCTGATATCTTCATAAGAGTGAGTACAGCAGGATGGTTGAGAAGCTTGGTTCTGCCATCAAACTGCACTAAGTCGGTATCTCTCCACTACTGGTTAAGTCACCTTGAACAAATTATTCTCTAAACCCCAGTTTCTTCACTTATAAACCAGATCTAATAATAGTACTTGCTTCATATGGCTGTTGAGAGGATTAAATGAGATCAGACATGGGGGTGCTTGGCCCAGCACTGAGCACCTTGTAAAAGCTCACTAAGCATTATTTTTTAATGCAAAAAGGATACTAGAGAAAGATGCTAGCACTGTTTAACATAAGCATGGACATTTTTTTAAAGATTAGTTTCTAATACCATCCTAACCCTTTTGTCAAGTGGGCTTGCTGGTATATTGATCAGAAACATAAGCTTCTGTTCTTCAAAGATGGCCCATTAGGGTTACAATTGTGTTCTTGTTTTATCAAAGGGAAGAAGGAAAGACACTACTAATGCTAATGGTGTCAACTAATAATTTTGGGTACAGAGAAGTCTAGAGAACACATTGCTTATGTACGTATCACTTTCTGGTGTTTACCTTACAATCAGATCCTTAGGGCTCCCAATGGGCCACTGTGAAACTAAAGGGCAGTCAGGATATCTCATTCTAATGTCATGTTTGAAAGGAAGATGCATGCCATACAATCTTCACCATCTTATACTGCCTGCCTTTTTCCTAAGAGCTCTAAATTTCTGCTGTGGGTCAAGGCTGGGAGGTGGTGTGATCAGATGGCTAAATGATTAAGAAGTAGCCTCATGAAGAGCCCGAGGCAGCCTGGCCCTCATTAATATATTCTGTTCAAGCCCCCTAGGGCAAGAATGACAACTGGAAATTATACTTGTCATCTTCCTAGAAGTTGGCATTAGTAAAGTATTTTCTCCTACAGGGTTAATGCTGGTTGAATATTCCTGGGGCATCTACAGATAGGCACTGTATGATCAGTGGAGATATTTTAAACCACCACAAATTTGCACAGGTGTAAATACGATGATTCAAATAAGTGGACACACATTTACACATACGTACACCCACACTTAAATACCACACCACATCCCCAAGTGTCGTATGACATCTAAGGCTTCCCTGTCTATCATCTGTAAGAGGAGTCCACAGATGAACCTATCTCAGGTGAGACTCTCCTGAGCTCAACACTTAGCTCTCTCTGAGTCCCTGGTCTCCCCATAAAGAAGAAGTTTTAAGAGGGTTGTGAAGCCATTTGACTGCCAGGAAACTCACAGCCAGATTTTGTGCTCAACTGCAGCAGCTATCCTAGGATTAGAATTTAGGTAAGATTATCACTCTCCTTTTCTATTTCTCTGCTCTTAGCTTTTTCCGGAGGAATGCATATTATACTCCTATACCTAATTTATAACCATAGAAGTTATCCTCAAAGGCCTTCATGGCCATAAATCTCATGAATCCTGTCCCATCCCAGAGTCATAGAGTGGATCCTATTTCTTCTAATGGCATCCCTAGTCCCTAAATACCTAACTAGGTGAAGGTTTAATTTTGAAACACACTGGTTCTCCAATGAAACAAATGCATGTAGGTCTGGGGGTTGTTTCTCTTACTTATAGATGGCTCAGACTATGACAAGGGCTTCATTCACCCAGTAGTTAAGGGAGGAAAGAACTGGAGACTAAAGACTGAAGGCAGACAGGATACTAGAGGGCTGGACCAGGGTCCTAGCCCATACATGATGCACACTGGGGTTCCCACCCAGCTCACTCTAGGACTCAATTTCCGCTTCTCTAGTAGGTCTAAATTATTTAAATCATCAATTTTCAAACATGTCTAAACTTGAAAAAATTTTAACAAAATATTGTAATGAAGCCAATAATAATAATAATAAAAGCAATAAATATTGCAAGTATTAATACAACAGATGGATACCTCAGTGTGACAGTTTCAGGAGTGAAGGGCGTTTCCCCATAGCTGCTAGCAGCTGACTGCCTCAGCTTTCAGACCTCTTTGACGACTGCCTTGGCTGAAGAAAATTGTTTCACCCAAAGTCACACATCTCCTTCTCAGGGCAGGCTTCATCTAAAGCTTGATCAATGCAGGGTTATAAAGATGTGGCTCCCTTGTTCCAATTCATGACAACTCCAGTGAACCAGCCTAGCTCTCAAGCTTCCTATGGCATTGGCTGTGAGGCTTCCTTGCAAATCAACTCAACTTTCTGTCCAATCTTGCTTCCTCTCCCTCTTTCCCCCATGTGTTGATCCAACAATACTCTCTGATACACATTCTGCTCTCTTATCTCTGCCTCAGGGTCTGCTTCCTGGGAACCTACTTGTGATTTTAACTAACATTCATTGCAACCTATTGCTTCAGGATCTGTGATAGGCTTTCCGCATGCATCATCTCATTTAACCCCTTTAACAGTCTTGCACAGGAAGGTAAAATGGGGTACAGGATAATATTGTAGGTACAGCACTCCCCCATATCTGTGGGGAATATGTTTCAAGACCCCCAGTGGATGCCCAGTGGGGAATATGTTTCAAGACCCCCAGTATGAAACCTGATTGCTGTCAATTGGAACATATTTTTGTTCGTGTCTTCCATGCAGAAATTTAGTGCCTTTTCTACCTTAACTAAGGACTTATCATGCACCGTAGCCAAAACTTTTGCAGTGTGAGAGGTGGCAGCAAAACCAGCATCATTTGTCCCCCTTCTTCACAATGCAATGGATAGAAAATTCGTTCCTACCAGAAATCTCAGTCACCTCAGCAAACAACTTTTTTTCTTTCCTTATTAAGTTAACCTTTCTACTTGAAGGAAGCCTTTTATGACGCTCTTTGGCATATGTGAACTGCCAACGTGACTACTCTTGCATTTTGGGGCCATTATGAAGTGAAATAAGGTTGACTCAAATACAAACACTGTAATGTTGCAATAGTGCATCTGATAATGAAGACAGCCACTAAGTGACTCACGGGAGAGCATTGTAGACAGCGTGGACACGCTGGACAAAGGCATGATTCACATCCCGGGAGGGAGAGGGACAGCACAAGATTTCTTCATGCTACTCAGAACAGTGTGCAGTTTAAAACATATAAGTTATTTATTTCTGGAATTTTCCATTTAATATTTTTGGCTCTTGATTGACCTTGGGTCACTGGAACAGCAGAAAGCAAAACCACAGCTAAAGAGCATTATTGTCTTGGCATCAGCTAGACCAGGTCATCCTACTGCATTAGAACTTAGTATAGAATCTTGGGCAATATTTTATTTTTTCTAATCCTGTTTTCTCATGAGTGAAATAAGCCTTATTAATAGAACTAAGTTTTGATGCCTCTTGGAAACATTAAATAACATATTTTCAAGGGGAAGCATCCCAATTGCAGTAAGTTTTACATGAATTCAACTCTACATCTCCGGTGAGGTTTTTTTTGCACCATTTATATTATGTAGGCAGTGGAAATAATCCTGCCTAAATAATCAGCAGAGTATAATAGTAATAAAAGGAACTCTATGATCTACCTGCTTGGGCCCATGTCCACTGTCACATCGTGCCAGATTTTCCACCTGTAAAAGGAAGATAACAATAGTAACTACCATGGCATGTTTTGAAGATTGAATAATTTGATATATGTGAAGCTCTCAGAATAGAACCTGACACATAGTAAAGTTACTAAAATATCACTGCATGTTGGATAAAGATACAGCTTTTGTTTAAAGGTAAAGAATGAATTGTAAGGGCTTTTGACCATTGATATGGAGGTACCATCGGTATTCAGATGGCCAGGAAAGACAGGTAAAGTTATTTCACCAACCCATTGGAGGGCAAAACTAAAACATCAGCTGAGGCTCGCTGAGAATTGCTGACTTGAAACGAGATAGGAGAGCTCATACAAGTCTAAATTCCCAAACCCTGTAAAAAGTAATAACCTTTTCTGAGAACTTGGCATTTTCAGGGCTGCGTTTGCCTGTTTTGCATTGCTATAAAGGAATACCTTACACTGGGTAATTTATAAATAAAAGAGGTTTATTTGGCTCATGGTTCTGCAGGCTGCATAAGCGTGGCATCAGTATCTGCTCAGCTTCCGGGGAGTTCTCAGGAAGCTTCCAGTCAAGGCAGAAGGCAAAGGAGGAGCAGGCACATGACACAGTGAGAGCTGAAGCAGGAAAGAGGAAGAAAGAGGAAGGAGGGAGGCCCCAGACTCTTTTAAACAACCAGATCTCACATGAACCAACAGAGTGAGAACTCACATTGCTGCAAGGACAGCAGGAAGCCATCATGAGGGATCCGCCCCAGGACCCAGACACTAAAGAAAAGTGTCATCAGGCTCCACTTCCAAATCTGGGGATCACATTTCAACATGAGATTTGGAGGAGACAAACATCCAAACTATATCGGGATCATTTTAAATGTATATATACTTCCCTTATTCATGAACTGACTCTAGAATTTAATGCTCTTGTAAACAGTATTTCTTCTATAAAACAGTACTTGTCATGATAAATGTAAATAATTGATTTATTAATATTAAATAAATATAAAGCACTTAAAATGATGCCAAGCACATGGTCATTGCTATAAGAAATTTAGTAATGATTATTGTTATCCCCATTTTACAAATTGAAGCATATAGATGCTGAATAATACAATCCATCCCAGTTATCTGTCTTAAAACTCTGGGATCTTATCCACTTTGCTCCATTTCAAAAGATACAGTAAATAAAAGTAGAGCGCCTGGTTGAAGTTGGCTGATCACTGGCCCCTCAACTGCCCCCTGATTCTGCAACTCCTGAGTGAACTCTGTGGCCCAATAGTATTCTATGGAGCACAGTTTGAAAATCCATAGAGCTTGATGATCCTTCTAGTTCCAAAATCCTATGATCACCAGTAAGATCTGGGCAAATCCAGTCCTATCCCCTACCCAGGTGGCTATTGGCAAGATGGCTGCTCTGACATAGGTATTCAGGTAGCCACCTTAAAATAAAATTTCTTTCTGTAAGCTACACAGGTTTAATCTATATCCTTAGAACAGATAAAGATAGCAATTGGTATTCCAAGCTGTCATCCCATCTAGACCAGGATCCGCTCTTTAGCCGCAGAAGCCAAAGAAATGTGGCAAATGTTCCATCACCCTCATCTCTACTGGGTCTTCCCTGGAAATTTCTGAGAAAGAAAGATGTGGTTAAAGAGGCTCAGCTGTGTAGATATCAGGGGCAAAGAAGAAAATGATGCAGTTTATCAATGCTTGTTAGACTTGGCCCTTGGAAAAGTATAGAACCTCCCAGTAGTTGGGAAGAAGTCCTTGCCATCTGCTCCCTTACATAGTTCTTTTACATTTTTTTCCTGTCAGCCAAAAGTTCCTTGACTTTAGCTCTCCAAGAAGGACTTAACCCTGTACCCAAAAGCCACTGTAGGAATTACCACTCTATTTGCCCATCTGGCAGCCCCTGAACCAAATCTGTTGACAGCTGGGACTATTGACTCATTATTTTGTAACTTTTATCACTGACCAATGGACACATGATCCTGCCATGTTGATAAAGGGAATGGGACAGGAGATTTCTCTAGGGGGGGGGCCACAGGGGGACACTCCTGGTTTGTCCCTGTGGCAGCATCCTGATGTTTAGAAGAATTATAGAAAGTTAATTTAGGAGGACTGACATGCCATTTTAATGCAGGCAAACTAATCTGTAAAAAGTCACCCACCCACATGTTAAGTACCTGAACTCCTGGCTGGATCTGGGTCTGGAGTTACACAAGACCACGTGGCCACAAAGAAGGAGCCCAAAGCCAAGTGGCATGAAGCCAAGGGAGAGTGAAAGGGCATCTGGGGGAAGGATGGAAGCAACTGAGCTGTCCCATTAACAATGCTATCCACGGGGCCTGGAAAGAGAAGTAAAAAAATTAGAAGTACAAGGTGCAGGATGGAAATCTCCAAACAGGTCTTGGAACAAAGGGGAGGAGGCAAGTCCTGGAAGGAGACCCTGAGCTGCTTAAGGGAACCTCAGGGGCCTTCTATAGAGAGGCTGCACCTCGCCTGAGGAGGGTGGCAGCAGCAGTTCAAGGTCACTGAGCTGGCGGAGACATGATGGGCCCAACAGAAAGGGAGATGGCCTGAGGAGAGGGGTGATTTGCTCAGAGCCTTCTTTGCAATGCATTCCTCCTGGTTTTTATTTCAGCATGAAAGCTTCCAGGGAAGCTGGGATGAAAACGTGCAATGGGTTTGCTACACACAGCTATTTGTATCTGTTCTGAGCATCAGGGAGTGGATAAAGAAGAAAGAATGAATACAAAGGGGTACCAAGGAAGAAATGGGGCCAGGGTCAAGCTATAATTTTCTGGCCTGAGTAGAATATCTGTGGCCTGGGGGTTCCAGAAAATGATTCACAAAACTAACACACTTTGACCATGCAGGTTATTGTCAACTCTTATTTAAGGCAAAATGTGGTTTCTTTTCCTCTAATGGTTTCTATCTCTTGAATTTTTATTCTCTTTCAAATCTAGTTGATATTCTTGAGAGAAATATTCTTGATATAAAACTATTTAAAGCAGTTATAGAAGGAAAAGGTTGGGGAAAGGTTGTCCTTCCGAATTGGGACAGCCTCTTACAACCTGGGCCCTCTGCAGGACACAGTGGTGGAGCTGCGAGCTTCACCAGGTGCTGACTTGGTCCTCGCCCAGTGCTATGACTTGTCGGCTCGGTTTCAGTTAGGAATGCTCCCAATGAATGTTTCAAAGACCCTGACTACAGTGGCTTAAGCAAATGGAAAAAAACGCCTTTCTTCTATAATGTGCACTCCCAGGTGAATGGGTGGATGTTCACAGGCTCAACTACATCAGCACCCAAGTCTTTCAAGTCTCTCTGTTTTGTTTTCCCCATTTTATGCTTTGAGCCACATGCCCTTACTCCAGGAGAAAGAGGGCAAGAGAAAAGGGCAGCTCCTAATATCCGGATATTAAAGGCTTTCTTAGAACCCCACAGCAGGCATCTGCTTACATCTCACTGGCCAGACTATGCCACATGCCTGAAGAGGGCAGAGGAACTGCGTGTGACTTGAGCCACTCAATGAAGTCAGCCTCAGAGCACAATAAATACCTGGGGAGAGTCAGGAAGAGAAAGAGCAAAAAAGGGAATCAGGAGAGGGAGGAGAAGAGGAGGAAAGGAAGAGAGAGAGAGAGAGGAAGGAAGGAAGGAAGGAAGGAAGGAAGGAAGGCAGGCAGGAAGGCAGGCAGGCAGGCAGGCAGGCAGGCAGGCAGGAAGGGAAGGAGGGAGGGAAGGAGGGAGGGAGGGAGGGGGAGGAGAAGAAGGAGGAGGAGGAGGAGAAGGAAGGAAGGAATGAGTTCAGTGTTTGAGGGCAGGAAGCATCCAGCACGGGAGAAAGGGAGGGAGGAGAAAGAAAGGTGGTGTCGGGGCAGGAAAGAAGGGAAGGGAAGGAGTCTGGGCTTTAATTAAAAAGAAATGAATTGAAGTTTCAGACCTATTGTTAACTAACCGTGGGGACTTGAGAAAGTTAAAGTCTTTGAGCCACATTCTTTTTCATTTATAAAGTGGAGATACTTATATTTAATCCACAGGTATTTTATGCAGATTAAATATTTAGAGTATGTAAACAAACGTTGTAAACTGTCCTGTAGGGCTAAGCATTTTAACAAAAACATTGATCCAATATGAAAGCGTGATTGGTGACAGTCACTTGGCACTTCAGGTTAATTTCCAGGAGAAATTTCAGTGTGGTTTGGGCTTGAAAAACCTCTGCCCCAAGATGTGACATACAAGTGAAATATACACTATACCCCTCTATGATAATTTCAGGTATTGATTTTACACAGGCAGAACTGAATTGCAGACATCTTAATGAGGATCATGGTGCAGAAGGGGCACTAGATGGCAGCAAAGTTCTATGTTGGGATTTCCCAGGGGTGCTAATCAAAGTATAGCAACTAAGTACTTTATAAAATAGGAGGACGGACGTGGTGGCTCACGCCTGTATTCCCAGCACTTTGAGAGGCCGAGGCGGGCAGATTTCGAGGTCAGGAGTTCAAGACAAGCCTGGCCAACATAGTGAAACGCCGTCTCTCCTAAAAATACAAAAATTAGCTGGGCATGGCAGCATGCGCCTGTAGTTCCAGCTATTTGGGAGGCTGAGGCAGGAGAATCGCTTGAACCCGAGAGGTGGAGGTTGCAGTGAGCTGAGATCGCACCACTGCACTCCAGCCTGGGCAACAGAGCAAGACTCCGTCTCTAAAATAAGTAAATAAAAATAAAATAAAATAGGTATGCCGCATCTATGTTATGCTTATTTCTCTTTGCAGACATCTCACACTCTTGTGTTTGTCTTCTCTGGAGGTGAAAGTCAGCCATCTCAGTAGAAACTTATATTTGAGGCTTAATTAGGGAAAATTAGGAGCTTAGGCATAAAACCTTAGCCAGTTACTGATACGTGGCAGTTTCATTACCTGGAAAATGGGAATCATAACAGTATTAATATCTATGTCTTGGAGACTTGTGACATTTAAATAAAATCATGTCTGTAAAGAACTTTGCGCAGTTTTGGGGGTAAAGCAGACAGGATGTTGGTAATTTCTGCTCACCTTTCTCTTCTTTGGGTCCTTTTGTTAAGAGAACACTGATGAGGCTTCTCTTCTAGGGACCTGGGTGTTGCGCATGGGTGAGGAAGAGACACTGGATGGCTCAGTGTGATTATGGCCTAGAGAAAGTGTGGAGGAGGATCATGAGCTGGAAAGTGCTGGAAGATGAGAGGTCTAGGGCCCCAAGGTGAGAGGCCAGCACCTAAGGACAGACCGAGAGAGAGAACCATCCCCATTCACTCAGATGGCTGGGAAAATTGAAGAACAAGGGTATCTTATAATTAATTTTCAGTTGTTTATTGTACTATTATATCACACTCTTCCTATCTCTGAAACTTAAACAGAGGTGTCTTGCACACCCACCAGCATCGCTAGTGCTTTTCATCCCACACTGCATGGGGCACAGAGAGGTGACGGCCATACGCATCAACGAGGGAGAGTTAATAGTAGAGGCAGGCAGTAGAGCAGATGGACTTTTCCAGGGGTCTGCAGAAATTCCAGGACTTAATATGGGGCTCATATAATCTTTACCTAATATGTTGTGGTGCATTTAAAATACATTAAACAGGCCAGGCATGGTGGCTCACACCTGTAATCCCAGCACTTCGGGAGGCCAAGGTGGTTGGATCTCTTGGGGCCAGGAGTTCGAGACCAGCCTGGCCAACATGGTGAAACCCCATCTCTACTGAAAATACAAATATTAGCCAGGCGTGGTGGCTCACACCTGTAATCCCAGCACTTTGGGAGGCCAAGGTGGTTGGATCTCTTGGGGCCAGGAGTTCGAGACCAGCCTGGCCAACATGGTGAAACCCCATCTCTACTGAAAATACAAAAATTAGCCAGGTGTGGTGGCTCATACCTGTAATCCCAGCTACTCGAGAGGCTGAGGCAAGAGAATCACTTGAACCCAGGAGGCGGAGGTTGCAGTGAGCTGAGATCACGCCATTGCCCTCCAGCCTGGGCAACAGAGATAGGCTCTGTCTCAAAAAAATAATAAAAAAAATAAAAATAAGTAAACATATTTGGAAATGATTTCAAGCTTACTGAAAATTGAAGAATAAGATTAGTGCAGCTGTAATCCCAGCACTTTGGGACGCCAAGGCAGGCAGATCACCTGAGGTCAGGGCGGGGCTAGCCTGGCCAACATGGCAAAACCCTGTCTCTACTAAAAATACGAAAATTAGCCAGGCGAGGTGGAGCATGCCTGTAATTCCAGCTACTCAGGAGGCTGAGGCAGGAGAATCACTTTAACCCAGGAGGCGGAGGTTGCAGTGAGCCGAGATCACACCACTGCACTCAAGCCTAGGCGACAGAGTAAGACTGTGTCTCAAATAAATAAATAAATAAATAAATAAAATAGTGCAGAAAGACTTATATACCTTTTGCTCAGACTCCTGTCTTGTTAGAGTTGACCCATTTTGCTGTCATCTGCTCTATATGACTAAACACTTTCCATAGGTTTTTGCATTAAACATTTGAGAGCAAATTATATACATCCTGAATCTTTACTTTTAAATACTTATGCGTGCATTTCCTATGAATAGTAATATTCATTTAGCAGTAACAGTATATTTATCAACATTGGTAAATTTAACATTGATGCAGTAACTTTAGTCTGCCATCCACATTCCAAGTCTGACACGTGGCTCACTGATGTCCTGAATAACCCTTTTTCTTTTCTAGAAGAGAATCTGGGCTAGGCTCAGTTATTTATTTGCTATTTATATCCTTTTATCCTTATTTTTTCTAGAACACCTCTACATCGTTCTTTGTTTTTTAATGCCATTGAATAACAACTTGAATAATACTTTTTAAAAGGATTTGAATAATACTGCTCACCTTGTTTAAAAAAGTATAATGTTCCCCATTTTGAGTTTATCTGACACTTTCTTGTAAACATGTTCAGATTGTGCATTTTCACCCCACATACCTCATAGACGATATTGAGTACTTTTCAAAGTACCTGGAGACATATTAGATCAACTGTCCCTCACTGATGATATTAATTTTGATCACCTGCCTGAGGTGCTTGATTTCACCACTGTGGAATCACTGCTTTTTTCCCCTCTTGCAACAATAAGCAATCTGTAAGGAGATATTTAAAATCACGAGGATGTCTTGCTCTTCTTTAAAACATCCCCCAAATCTAGCACCCATTGTCTGTTCATTTCTGACCCAGTCTTTATCATAAAGTTTGCACATAATGGTTTTCTGTCCTCAGCTTTCCCTCCATATTTACTAGGCAGCACCCAGCATTCTACTGCAATCAAGAGTCCTCCTGCTACCCTTTATTTATCTATTTATTAGCTGTATGGACTTAGACATTCCTAGGTTTTCAAAGGTTTATCGTTAACTACTGAATTTAATAATTATGATGCTCAAAATGTCTCAGATTTGGCCAATGGGATTCCTTCTGGGCTGGCTCTTGTGTCTCTGCGACATGCCCCCATTATGTTTTTAAGCACTTCCTTAACTTCCGGCACAACACGATATTCCTGGCACATCTTGTTCCTACTTTCTCTGCCATCACCCCGAGGATTCTTGTTTCCTTTTCATACAGAGACAGATTTGAACACTAAGCACCCTCATTGCTCCTAGGCTGTCTCTCCTTCTCGGCCCTCTCAATGGACAGTGTTGGGAATAATTGCATATGCACCTGCACATGCAGGGACAGTGCTACAGAAGTGTCTACACACATACACGCCATGTGCATTCCTACACACACACTTCTGTATGCACACGGGAGCAGGCACACATACATACACAGGGTTTAGACAGCATGGTTGACCACTTGTGATGGTGAATATTGAATGTCAACTTGATTGGATTGAAGGGTGCAAAGTACTGTTTCTAGGTGTGTCTGTGAGGGTGCTGCCACAGGAGATGAGCATTTGAGTCAGTGCACTGGGAGAGGCAGACCCACTGTCAATCTTGGTGGGCACCATCTAATCAGCTGCCAGCACAGCTAGTATAAAGCAGGCAGAAGAATGTGAAAAAATTAGACTGGCTTAGCCTCCCAGCCTACATCTTTCTCCCGTGCTGGATGCTTCCTGCCCTCAAACATCGAACTCCAAGTTCAGCTTTGAGACTCTGACTGGTGTCCTTGCTCCACAGCTTGCAGACAGCCTACTGTGGGACCTCACCTTGTGATCGTGTGAGTTAATACTCCTTAATGAACTCCCCTTTATGTATACATCTATCCTGTAAATTCTGTCCCTCTAGAGAACCCTGACTAATATACCACTCATACCTCTAATTTCCATTCATCTCTATATGATCTTTTTCTTCTCCTTGGGATAGAAGTGCACTACACTTTAATTTAAACCTTAAAACAAAGATTGCCCCCCCACCCGCCTGCCACCACCACACAATAAAACCAGAGGATGTGTGGCCGATTTGGCAACAAATAATAGATTTACGGTAGCAGAAACATAAAGTCACAGAGCAGGTTAAAACTGGAGAAAAGCAAATAAAAACAGCATTATAAATATCTTTCCAATGACTTATGCACTCATTTCAAAAAACATTTTTTCGGAATCAACTGTGTCAAGCACTATTTTAGGTATTGAGATATATCGGTGAACAGTTTAAAAGTCTGTCACTTTAAGGAACAGATATTCAAGAGATGTGAGACACACAGCATAACATTAGTACAAAAGATATAATAGGTGCTCATTTTGAAAATGCTACATGAAAGATCAAAGCAAAAAAAGGGGCATAGAGGTACCTCAATGGGCGTATTTCCTTATATAGAGGGTTTGGGGTGCAGACCTTTGTGATAAACTGATATGTGACCGGAGACCTAGAGGATGTGAAAGAGCAGCCGTGAAGATCTCTGCCTGAGGCTTCCAGGCAAAGGGTGGG
The DNA here is from genome assembly GCF_000001405.40 of Homo sapiens. Lineage (NCBI taxonomy): Eukaryota > Metazoa > Chordata > Mammalia > Primates > Hominidae > Homo > Homo sapiens. Next base: position 128,036,299 of record NC_000011.10, read on the forward strand.
TCAAGTGCGTCCTAGAAGGCTGTGATGGGGGACAGTGAGGGGCTGCTGTGGCTGGAGCCCAGTGACTGGGCAGTGTTAGGAGGAGTTGCAGGAGGCAGTGCAGGGTCGGATCCTACAGTGCTTTTCACACCTGTAAGAATTTGGCATCAGTGCAAGATGGGAAGCCACGGGAAGATTTTGAGCAGAGACATGCCATTGTCTGACCTGAGTTTCACCATAGTCACTCCAGCCATTCTGCAGAGGATACACTCACATGGACAAAGGGAAACAGGTCAGTCCAAACAGGGGGCAAGTAGTAGAAACCAGAGATGAACTTGAGACTCTCGCAGTCATTCAGAGATGACGTGGTCTGTACTGAGGTTATGGCAAATGTGTGCACTGTCTGTGTAGAGACAGATGTCCAGTCAGCAAGCATTATTGCATGTCACTATGTGCCAGGGAATGTGATGACTTCTGGGGAATACAAAGATGAGTGAGACACAATCACAGCCCTCACAGAGCTCACAGTCTTTGGAGAATGTGGTGGGCAAGGCAGACATGCAGGAGTAGGATGAGAGTGTAACCTGATAGGCCCTGAGGCAAGTCAGGAGCAGGCTGAGCCACAGGCTCACGTGTCCAGTGCTCCATATCCGTGGATCCCTGGACTCAGAGACAGCTTCAGACAGGACATGATTTCTCTTGAAATAGAAAGGAATCAGGAGCAAAGAAAGAGATTCTGGGGCTCTTGAGTGATAGAGAGAACATCCTTGGCTCTTGAATTTCCAGTTCCAGTCACAGCCCTCATTATGGCTTGCTGAGTCTGTCATTCCCTTGGGTGCCCATGGAATTGTCTGCCATGGTTTTACAACAAGCTCCCCTTACCTCATCTGCCTTGAGAAAGTTTCTGTACCTTGTAGCCAATGACTCTGGTCTGTGACATAGAGAAGATACGAATGCAGAATCAACAGCCTGATGCTGGCCAGGGCATATGCAGGGTTAGCATGGGGTGAAGGCAGGGCTGGTGTCCAGATTTCTGGCCCAGGTGTGACAGCAACATCATTTGTCAGAAGAAATAGGAAGAAGCTACCGAGTGTGTTCTCAGGTGTAATAAGTTTGAGAAGCCTCCAGGGTGCAGATGGCACACCTCGAGCTAAGGGGCCCTGGGTGTGGGAATGAGTTCTGGAAGGCTCCAGTAAGCATTGCCAGTGAAGCTGGGGGACCTGCAGGTAGAGGAAAAGTCAAGCGTGGAACTCCAAAGAATGTCTCGGTTGCACGCAAAAGAAGAGAAGTCAGGAACAAAGAACAGCCAGGAATGAACTAAGACAAACGAGAGAAGGAATCCAATAGACACCATGAGAGGAAAGCATTTCCAGGAGGAAAAAAATTCCAATTCCCCTTCCTTCTTTCCTTCCTTCCTTCCTTCCTTCCTTCCTTCCTTCCTTCCTTCCTTCCTTCCTTCCTTCCTTCCTTCTTTTCTTCCTTCCTTCCTTCCTTCTTTTCTTCCTTTTTGGGACGGAGTCTCGCTCTGTCGCCCATGCTGGGGTACGGTGGCACAATCTCGGCTCACTGCAGCCTCCATCTCGGGTTAAAGCAATTCTTTTGCCTCAGCCCCCCGAGTAGCTGGAATCACAGGTGCAGGCCACCACACCCAGCTAATTTTTTTGTATTTTTAGCAGAGAGGGGGTTTTACTATGTTGGCCAGCCTGGGAGCTCCTGACCTCAAGTGATCCACCCGCTTCGGCCTCCCAAAGTGCTGGGATTACAGGAGTGAGGCACAGTGCCCAGCCCAATTCCTTATACTTTAAATGACTCATTTGCCATAGCCCTTTTATTTCATATATTTGTGCAGCGGTCTTAACTCCCCCCCTAAGCTCTTGCATAGGGGCGGGGACCGCGGGCTCTCTCTGAATAGCAGCCTGAGCTGAATGAGGTTCACGGGGTGGCGAGCCAGCAGAGGGGCTCTGTGGAAGGAAAGATCCCGAATGCCCCTCTCATTCTGTGCATCCTCAGATGTTATTTTACTGACTGGAATTTTTTAACGGCTAAAACCAGGACAAAATATGCTTAACAATTCAATACATTTTCTTACAAATAAAAGGAGTAAAATAAATGTATATTCTCCTGCAGAGCTGATCTGGAAGCGTCCTCACACACCCCTTTGCCACCTGGTGGCATCCCCGTTTCTCTTGGATTCCTGAGATGTCCACTGATGTTGTTGTCAGAAAGCATTGAACTCTTCCCTCCCACGATGCAGCGTGTCTGGCTGCCTCGGATATTCACATACCAGTCCAGCTGCCCAGCTCTTTACCCTCTGATTCTTCCCTCCTCCTTCTTCCAAGTCAGAGAGGGACACTGGCTTGTTATCTTTGGGCCCGCAGGTAACGTTTCTACATCGTTCCGGGCCTCACTATTTTTCCCATGTATAGATTAAGGAGATTGTTGTGCTCATCTTTAAATACCCACCTCAAATATTTTCTCTTCCCTTAGCCTATTCCATCTTCCCTATGGGTCTGCCCCGAGAGCTGCTTCTGTGTTCCCAGCGCAACTGAGTATGGTGGCTGTCTCAGCCCTTACCACAGGGCACTGTGAGAGATTGCTGGCCTGTGTCCTCTCTCGATCAGTGAGCTCCTTGGATTCAGTAACCACGTCTTACATGTCTTTAAATCCCAATGATCTGGTTAAATGCCTGATGTCCAGATGCTGTTCCAGAAATGTCAACGCACTGGACCGACATTGGTCCAAGAGGTCACGAATGTACCTTCTTATCCTAAGTGCCCTGCTTTTCCTAATTCTTAATGCAAAGTCAGCTATGTGTCTCTCTATTTATTTTTTTATTGTATGAACAGCGTAAAATGTCATGGAAATTTTGTTCTGCATCTTATCTTATTCATCTTGGTTCACTTCCTTTTATTACACAAAACTTTCATGGTCATGTGGTAAGATATTACTCCACTCTTACAGAGGGTTAGCATTAAAGAAATAAGCAAAGGAAATGTCAAAGGTATTCTGGGAATTTAACTCAAATTATTGTCCTTCCTCATGTTGACCCCTAGGGTGAGCAAGGACTGTAAAATACAAAACAATGAATAAACAAATACCAAGGCCACATCCGTGGTATACAGTGGAAAGTGTGGTGTATATGACCTGTGTGTGGTGTATATATGTGGTGTATAAGAAGGTGTAGTGTATGTGGCTTGTGTGTAGAGGACTTTCAATATCTCTGACTGTTCTGCTCAGGGATACCCTTTATAGCCAATTCCAAGTGCATATAGAGCTTCAAAATCCCCAGGCAATACCACCCGTGTTAAATATCCTCTGACCAAGGGAGAGTATAGGCTCTGTGTGTAAGCTTGGAGTGGCTCGCCAAGATCATCTGTGTACAATCGTGTCATTTTTCATAAACTTTTTCTGAGTCCTGAGGAAGAAACAGCCTTGTGGCCACCATCCATCATTTCTAAAGCTAGCAGCAAAGCCATCCTTGGCAAGACTCCTGCTCTCTAAGCCAAACCACCAACAGCTACTCTTTCACACAAGACTTCCTGGCCTAACCTACACTCTGCTAACCACACAGGCGACGCCCTTCATGACTGTGTTGCAAGGCAGTCATCGCCAGGGTGCAGGCAGCTGGGGACAGAAGGCATATGAAACCAATTTCAATGTGTGGGCAGTAATTTGTAGAGCTTTTGTGGAGTGTGAATTGTGACAGAGGGTAGGGATGGGCTTAACACGGGTCAAAAATGGATGGTCTTTGTAAGAACAAGTTGGGGAAATGCGTGAGGATTTTATGGGGTAATTTTTATGTAATACTTTATTATCCTTTTCACACATATATTAGAAATTGTTGAAGCCATCCCTTCGCCCTCCATATTTGCATAGCATTTTATGTATTTTATATTATTTATTACGATCTTTCATGAATTAGTAATGTATATGCCAGTTTTCCCTGGTAGACCTAGTAGGAGAGGCATTACCATTCATCTATTTGTATCACTTCCACAGTGTCTGGAATAGTGACTGATTTTTGAGTGCCTTTTTAACATGAGTGACATTTTCCATGCTTAATTGATATATGTTTAACTTACTTAATTTCATTATTAAAATAAAGGTAAAGCACAAAACAAAGCGACACTTATTATAAGAAGTCGATGAGCAAAAGTAATCAATTCCAGAGGTTTTGAAGAATACATTCTGACTCTTGGTGATCATTTGTGTGTCATTTGATGAACATGTTTTGGATGACAGTTGAGATTTTTATGTCATTCAGTTTAATTAGCACTTCCATGTAGACTTTCATTTTAATAAATGTCAATCTTTTTTTTCTAAAATATTAACAGTACAAGGAAAGAAAGAGACAAAAGTAATAAAACCACAAATAGGACGACCGAGCTGGAGCTCAGCCATCTAACAGATGTTCCCATGCCAGCATCAACCTGGCTTCTCTCACAGCCAGATCGAAATCAGTCTTTACTTTCCACATGGACAGGAAGGTAAATATTCAGATAATGTGCAGAAGAAAGATTTAGCTGTGATATGATTTGAGGCTCAGGGAGCCTGGAAACAACTGATTATTGAAGCAGAGAGTGTTGAAATAACATGTTGTTTTAAAATTCTTCAGTGGGAGACTAATATTTCAACACATTTGAATGACTTCCTTGCAGCAAAATGCTTAGGCTTAAAACATGAAGCTGGATAAGTAACAGGAGCTTCCAAGAGAAAAATCACTCAACTTATATATACTCCATGGCCAAGAAATTCAGGGTCCGTAGTTAGACACGTTCCCAGCAAGCCCACCTCATGTTGTCTGTTCTCAAGAGGGATGACTTTGGGTTGGACCTACTTTTCAAATAAAACTGTTAGGTTAGTGAGAGACAAATTTCAGATTCCTAGTTTCTCATGATGCAATGACTGAGGAAATTAATGTTTAAATGACAAAATTTGATTTTCTGACAATTAGGGAAATAAAGATAAATACTTCTATCCAACCCCTACACAAATCCATACATTGATTGTACAGTGATTTAGTGAGAGCCTACATGAAATAAGTCTTGTGGCTAGAGTTTCATCTACTGAATTTAAGTGATGAATCAGTTGCATAAAATTAGAAATCCTCTAATTTGAGTAGAGAGAATATGATCTTCATTTTTATAATGAAATTGCTCGGTGGGGGGAACTACACTTATTAGATCAATGCCCATAACCAGAATGTTGGTTTTTTCCCAACATTTATTAATTCTTTACTTACTGTAAGACATATTATTATTTTGGCTTTTGTTTGCACGACCTTTTGTTTCTTTTAAAATTATTTTTTAATGTATTGTTAATATTATTTTTGATTGACAAAACATAAATATATACATTTATAGAGTACAATGTGATATTTGGATATACGTACACAATGTGGAATGTTTTGTTTCTGATTCTTCAATAGAAATAAAATGATAATAATTATTATTATAAAAGCACATGAAAGAATGGAAATTCCAATAGGCAATCTAGACTTCTAGACTGGAGAGGACTTTATGAATATCCCTAGGTCTCTCATGAATAATCAAGGTCTGTTGTATAAGGATTTGTGAGAAAACAAGACTATAAACAATGTGTTCTTGGGTCTTTACATTTGTACATAAAAAAGTCTTTCCATGAAGTAAGTATGATTATTTATTCTTCATGATGTCTATTAGAAGTGAAGGTAAATGTGAAAGTGGGTCTCTTTTTTTAAATGGTGATGAGAAGCCGGGACCCAGGAATACCAGAATCTTGCCCTCCAAACCATCTACCTTCCCAGCCCCCAATAGGATTCCCAAATGATCCCTGTGAAAGGATCAGTAGACAATTAACAAATAAAGTAGCATTTTATTGCAAGCTAGGTGAAGACCCAAGCCTAAAAACAGGGCTCTCTGAAATAGCTGGCTTGGCATATCTTGGCTTGAGCTAATGTCCAAATTGGGCTAAGGCTGGCATCCACCCACTCCAAAGCCCACACCTAAACTTTAGATCTCACTCCTATGATCAGCTTCATGATCAGGAAAGAAACCAAAGGATGTGGCACACAAATCAGTGGAGTAAATATTTGCATATGGTTAGAGAGAGAGTGAGAGGACACCACGGCTGCCCTAAATAATCAAGCCCAGGGGAGATGAAAGAGATAGCATGCCTGCCACATGCATGATTAATGGGCCCTGTCAGTGCTCACAGTCCAGCCCGACCAGCAACCCCACACCCCCACCACTTTTGGTGAGGGGAGCCAGGGTGGGATGGACAGAAAGGCAGGCAGTCCTCCCCATTTCCACAGCGGGGGTAGAGCAGAATGAGCCAGGACCTGGGCTTGCACTGATGGAAGCAGGCAACAAAGAAAAAAAAATAGTTACAACCTTTGGTGACCTTCTCTTCATGGCTCATGATCTGAGGACTGAGAACTAATGTTTCAAATCCATAGGTCACATTCCTGCCTGCTTCTGTCCACTCCTGCCCTAATACCTCATGCAAAGATATTCAAGGGCTACTTTTATGCTCAAAGGAAACAACAGCTCTCTCTTTTCCCCCAAGTTCTGTTCCTGCTCCAAACTCCCCCTTGATAAATAGGGAAAGACATAGTAAAAATGTTTTTTAATTTTTAATTTCTAAATAGTTTTAATGTTATATCAGTAACAACTGTAAATGATTTCTAAAGTCAAATAATTCTAAAAGTCTTAAAGTGAAAGAGTATCCTGTTCCACCCCATCCCATTCCTCAGGCATTTTATTCCACAGGTAACTCTTCTTAATTTTTCTGGTTATTTCACATGATCTTAGCTTTCATATGTCTAAATAGTATGTTTATTTTGCTAGACTTATATATATATATCTGTTATATTTACGTATATGTATATGTGTGTGTATGTGTGTGTGTATATATATATATGCCTAGCAAAAGGAAGGAATGTCAATGAAACCACAAATAGGAAGATCAAATTGGATCTCACCCATCTAAGAGAATGGATACACACACACACATACACACACACAGACATATATATATATGTATATATTTCATGTGTCTCTATGTGTGTGTATATCAATCTATCTAAGTTTTACACATTATATACTTATAACCTACAATTGGAGATGAGGATTAGCTTTTCTACACCCACTACCATCCCAGATTCACCTACTCCCAGCTTCCTAACATAGTTATATCACAGCTTTTAGTAAAATCGATAGTTCACATTCTTATGAGTATCCAAATATTGTTCACTATTCTACTTCCATCTTTCCTATAAGCCCTCTGATGCTGTTGTTGCTCTTCTTTTTGGAGTTATTTCCTCAATTTTTCATTTACCTAGTTTTCCATAAAGTAACTGATATTTTTTCAAGAATTCTAATCTCTGCCATAGGCCCAAAAGCATTATTTTTCATATACTCAGATTTGCCCTCTGTTCTAATTTGTACTATTTTCTGTGAAGGTCTTCTTTCCAGGTATAAACCTGAATATTTCTTTTGATGCTCACTTACATTAGTTATTCTTTTTGCTAGATGTAAAATTTTCCTCTTGATCTCTTTTTTCTTTAATTTTTTGTTCAAAAACATATTATAATATCATCCTGAAATAAGGTGGTAATAAGTTAGTTTTTCAGCTCCAATATATCAGAAATATTTTATCATCACATCTGATAGTGTATCTGGGTATAAAATTTGATGCTAAGAGTCTTTTCAGTCAGAATTTTAAAACTGAAGCTCCCTTGCCTTCTAACTGCCAATCTTATTGCTTAAAATACTGTTGCTGAACTAATTCCCAAGACTTTGAGAGGTAATAATCTGGAGTGGTTAAGAATGAAACCAGCTGGGTTCATATCCCTATTTAACCTACCGATTTAGCCAAGTGACATTTGACAAGTTATGTAAACTCCCTGTGTATCTCTTCCCTTCTCTGTAAAATAGGGTGTGATAAAATTCTATTCAGAATTAGTCTTTGTCTTGGTTATTATTATCTTTTGATGATTTTAATTTAGAAGGAGGAGAAAATGTTTTGGGTAAAATTCACCTTTGTGGGACCTAATTTTTTTATGGATGAACATAAGTTTCAGCTAATGATCCATAACAGAGATTTGCAGTAAAACACAGCATGTAATACTAAGCACATCCTACACACACAAATACAAACCCACTAAGTTATGGTATGTCAATTTTTGGAAAAATAACATGTATTATGATACTATTCAATTTGCAGTCTGTAAGTTGTAATTTTATTGTGAATAGTAAAAAAAAAAAATAGTTCACCAATAGTCTTTCTCTCTGAGGAGATGCTTTCCAACTTTAAGCTCCACAGTCACACAAAGTTAGAGGGAGATTATAAGTGACGCATATTGCAGCTGAAGATGGTTAGAACTCTTAGAAACAGAAGTGGTGGAGAGGAATATTCTCCTGGGGGAAAATATTCCTTTCTTGAGAAAATAATAAATAAATATGGTGTAAACAGATAAACTTAAATAGAGAAACAAAATTAAACTTTCTATTTTGTTCAATGATAGGTTTTCTCACTCTTTAAAAGGTGAAAGTGGACTACAAACCTGCAGAGGAGATTCACTATGCCCTTCTTTATCCCAATTTGACCACATATCTCCCTGACTTTTGATTTTACATTAATAGGCTCTGGAAGATTTAAACAAGCTTGGGAAAGTCTGCATTTATATTTCATTCCCAACCAGTTAGTTATCAGATCTAGCTATATGGATCTGCACTTACATTTTGGAGATTCCACATAGAAAGGAGAAAATCCATGTAGACATGGAGAATGGACACATTAATTAATTGAAAAGGGGAACATGAGGAAGGGCAATGATACAAATTTCATTAGTTCAGGTTCACTAAGAAGCAGATTCCAAATTGAGATTAGATGTGTGAGACATTTATTGACGGAGGGATCAGGAGAAGGTAGGGAGAGCCTTCAGAGGCTAACACCTATGAAAAGTCCTACCTCCCACAGGACTGAGCCTGCCCTAGTACCCAATGCAGTCAGTCATTGGTTGAGAGTAGCAGGAAGAAACACAGTAGGAGGTCCATATGGGGTGGTGAGTAAATTAGGCTCTCCACAGCAGGAAATCTGAACTTCACAACCTCTTTGCCAACCACACAAGCCAAAATCTAGTCAAACAATTTTAAGACACAAATTTACAAATTTGTTAATTGAGTAATGACCCATCGTTTGCCATTATCCAAGCATAATAATTTATTGTTTTAAAGTGAATTTCCCTCTGTTTATTATGATAATTCGTGCTAGGAATGTGCTACACACCACAGATGTGAAGTTGAGTTTTGGAAATATCCTGATTTGGAGATGGAAAATGTGGGCCGTTTGTTCCACATGGTTGTGTAACTTACTTAACCTCTTCTTCTCAGCTTCCCTGTCTGCAAATTGCTGCAGCTATTTTATTAGAGCATTTTTCTAAAGGCTAAAATAGTCTATGTAAAAATTATTGGGAAGTACTATGAAAATTACTGTTAGCAGGGACTGAGACTGAGGCAATGTTTTCATGTAATGTAAGTTCTTAGGAAAGCAGAGACTCTTATTTCATTTAATCCATGGTTATCTTTTAGAACAGAAATAAATTAGAGCCTGGCTAATAAAATTTCTATTAGAAATTTCATTTTCCAAACATTAAATAGCTTTTTAGCCTAAATTTTTTATCATAAACTCAAAAGCTAGTTCATGTCTTTCCTGTGTATTTTTTGTCATGATAGAGCAGCTGCCTATTAAAAGTTATCATTATGCATTTTTCATTCCATATATCTCATTCTTACATTTTTGTATGTATATGCTTGTTATGATTTATTTTACTAAAGACAAATAATAATATTCTATAACATGTATTGATGACTTATTATGTAGCAGAAACTATGTTAACAGGGAATCTAACTACATTTGTTGTCTTCTATATCCTAAGACCATAATGACGATCTCTGAAACAGTACTAATTTTCCAATTACTCTTATCTTTAACTGGAAAAACACAATGAAAATTGCAGAACTCCTTTGGGGAGAGTTATGTTGTGCAATAAATAAAGTTATTGTAGTTTCATAAATCTTGGACACCACTAAGCCAGAGGGAAAAGTGTTGTATTTGGAAGTTCCTTTTATTAGTACTTGATGCTATATACACTGGGTGCCGTACAAGACAAAAATAACCAGTGATGCGATAATGAAACAGACAAAAGGTCAAATAATTGAAAATCCAGTATAAGCTAGACATGATGGCTAATACGTAGAGTTTCCTGCAGAAACACAAGGAATGGACAAATCTTTCCTTTTCTGATTTAATTTTTTCCTACTTTGCCTGATTACTTTAGTACATTAAATACTAGGATCTGACAGGCTTTGCTGGAAGAAAGGTCAATCTCCAGGATGATATTTAAGAGAATTTAAACAGATTTTTGCCTGTTCACTTAATAACTGGGTAACTTTACATAAATTGCTTAAGCTCTCTAAGCCCCGGTTTCCTTATTTAAAAAAATGAGACTAAGAATATGTAATAGGGTAATTATGAGTATTACACAAGGAAATATATTTAAAGTAGTTTCCATTGTGCTTAATCCAAGTAAACATACAATAATTATAGAGTTATTATTTTAAAAGATACTATTTATCGACTTCTCATTATAATGCTAGTTTTGTGAACTTTTCTTCCTTTTATTGAAGTTCCCAATATTCCTCATAAGTTATGCAATCCCTAAGTTGGTAGAGCTTTCCATCAGAACTTTGCTTTTAGAAATATAAATATCTAGTACTTAGTTAGTAAGGCATCTAGGGATAGTCCTGGTTAACTGTTGCCTTTGGCATTCTAATAATACACGTTTTTTACTCCATTTCTCCTAAAACCCAGTTTTACAGCTGGAAATACAGTATCAACGTCTCTGTTAATGCCACTTTGTAGTTGACTCACAAGTCAGAAAAACAAAAGCCAAGTTAACAATGACATTTTGTTTGTGAAAGAAGGTTACATAGATAAGCAAGAGTTACTCATACTGAACAAAAATGAATTGCTCAGTTTATTCCACTGTTCAAAATAATCGAATCACCAAAGTTAAGTGAAGAATGACTTGAGCAGCCGTTGTAAAATACAAACTCTTCTTCAGCTTCTGGGAACTTCAGAACCAGCTCCCATATCTAGTTCTCTATGGAATAGACAGGTGCTTTACCTCTACATGTACTCCCTGACCTCAACCATCTACTAATACCACAGAAAGAAATAGTACACTAATTAAAGAAACACAATTCTTAATAACATAAAGCAAAACAAACGAAAAAAACACAAACAAAATCAACTAATAAACATCAACGCTTTCTCAGCACAACACTGAACATTAGCTAAGAATGATAACACACCAAATTCAGTATAATGAAACTGAACTGGAGTCCATGTAGCTCTTCAACTGCATCTATGATAATATTTAACTTATGTAATATATTGCTACTATTATTAATAATAAAAATAATTCTGAAAGAAATATGGTAAAATGTTGAAATTTAATCAATTATGCTGATTATGTTATTTACTTTTCATTATACTTAAAATATTTCATGACTTTTTTAATGATGAAAAAGGTTAAGGTAAACGATGTGTCATGTGGCACCGTGGAAACTGGAAGACATGCATTAGAATTCTGGTTCTACCACTGAATGGATCATACTCTTGTCAACCCTTAGTTTCTACCTATAAAATCTCTACCTATAAAAAAAGAAAGCCATAAAATTGTTCTACTATTTTTTACCTGCCTCATAAGGTATTTTATAAGTATAAAACAAAGCTGATGTTAGAAAATACTTAGCACAGTGCCTAACACAGAAAATTCTACTAAATATTATTTTTGCCTGAAAAATCATTTTAATAATAGTTTTTATGATGCATAGAATAGATTCTACACAAAGCAAGAAGACTGGTGTTGCCAGTGGGTTTCTAACATGCCTTGTGAGAATGAGCTACTAGAGGAGTGTCCTTACAGCAACATTCGCTGACCAAGAAAAGTGGAGAAATAGACTAGACTGGATTTATGGTCAGAGTGGTGGAGTTAATGAATAATAGTACCTATTTTAGTCATGCTTCAGTAAAGGCTACATTAAATTTCCCAGACACAAAATTGACAGAAGTACTTGGAGGAAGAACAGATTCCTGTTAAAACAAGAACAAGGCCAGGTGCGGTGGCTCATGCCTGTAATCCCAGCATTTTGGGAGGCTGAGGTGGGCAGATCACCTGAGGTCGGGAGTTCGAGACCAGATTGACCAACATGGAGAAACCCCATCTCTACTAAAAATACAAAATTAGCCAGGCATGGTGGCGCATGCCTGTAATCCCAGCTACTTGGGAGGCTGAGGCAGGAGAATCACTTGAACCCGGGAGACGGAGGTTGCAATGAGCTGAGATCGCACCACTGCACACCAGTCTAGGCAACAAGAGCAAAACTGCTTCTAAATAAATAAATAAATAAATAAATAAAAGAACAAATTTAAACTATGCTAAGAAAAATGAAGACTGCCCATTCTCACTTCCAAAAATTTCAGAGAAAAATGAACACTTGAAAGAGAGAGGTGGGGGGCTTTCAAGGGAAAGTATAAAGCCACCATCTTTGGGGAAGTAAATAGATATTTCCAGCTGTGGAATCATTTAATGGAGTTCTTAAATAGGAAAAAAAAAAAAAAGCAGAAATTTGAGCAGAAATAGCAAAATCAAAGACCAAAAAGAAGAAATACGCAAAGGCAGGATCAAAGTGATGAGCAATGAAGAGTTTAAGCAAGAATCAAAGCTCCAATCCCAGCCTTCTGAGTGTGAGCAGGATGGGAAAGGGAAGTAGCCATGGGCTTTCAAGACACGGCAGCCACGGGCAGGTGACACTGAGGAAAATGGCACAGACAGCTTGTGCAGGAATCCTCTAAGAGACGGGGTGGCAGGGATAGAGGTAAGGAACGGCTCAACACAGTGTGACTATTCAAAAATGAAAAACAAAATAAAGGAGCAGCCACCATGACCGTTTACAAAGTAAGCCACAAGGTGGAATTCCTGGAGAAGAGAAACATCCAGGGTGAGCCCCTTTCACTGCAGAGTCCACTCTGTTATAGGGTGACTGGGTTTACCTCTGGCTGCTAATAGCAAATGGGAGAAAGTTGAAAAAGTTAGAAGAAAGGAAGAAAGGAGGCATTAGGAACATTTTTTGAGAGAAACAGAAGGACAAGATTGTAAATTGAAGACTAAGCTTGCCATGAAGTCTGACAAGAAGAACAGGAATGATAAACAATGCAGCCAGGGTATACAAGAGCAAAGAGATGGTGATTGGTTTTCTGTGAACTTCAAGGAAAATGGAAAATAGGCCCAAAGGAAAAAATCAAAGGTTGCTCATCCACAAAGATCTGATTGATCAAACAATTATTTTCTGTCTAAGACAATGCATAACTCTTTTGTGCCATAGAGGCTTCTGAAATACAGGAAGGTGTTGTAAACCAGGAGACCTCCATGAGCGAAGCTTCAGTGAAAAAATACCAGAGGGATTGATGAGTAACACTTCATGTAGAGCCATCTCTATGGGTTTGAAGCTTTCCTATTAGAATTTACCTGTCAGATTCTGAAGAAGAGGGAAGTAAAGAAGCTAAAGAGATAAATGGTGTGCAGGCTGAACACAATCTGGTCTTCCGGAGATGACACCACATTCACAATAATAAAACAAAGGCACTAGGAACACCAATAAGGAAAAATCACCCAGAAGTGAAAGTGTGAATCAGTAACATAAAATGTAAGCCATAAAGATGAAGCTCCAACCGTCCTGAAGACGTGGGCATTGAACATAGGCCAACAAAGATCTTTAGCTCGTGCTTTGGAGAGAAAGAAGTTAAAAATGAAATTATGAAAATAAATAAAATAACAAAAACTAACAACAACAATAAAATAGCAGGTGACTTTATAAAGTACCTACTACTTTTCTAACTACTTTGCATATATCCACTAGTAATGGGATTATAATGACCCTTTAATGTAGGTGCCATTATTATGAGAAAACTGAGGCATAGAGAAGTTAAGTAATGACTTGCGCAAGGTCACACTACTATAACAGCAAAACCTGGATATAAACTCAGACGTTTTGCCTTCAAAGTCTATATATTCCTGACCACTGTGATATACTACCATTGCAAATTAAAACTTGGGGCTTTAAAAATGATCAAGAATCATATTCAGGCATATGTTAAAAGAAAAACTTCAGGCAAATTAAATTTAAAAGAATTTACATGAGCAAAAAATGATTCAGGCGTCAGGCAACTCTAAGAATCAGAAGAGGTTCAGAGAGCTTTTTTTTTTTTTAGGAGAGTGAGCAGCGAGCTTTTATTGGCAGACACAGAAGTAAAGTAGAAGAATCATTTTATTGGCCACAGCTAAGATGTCTGCCTTATTTGAGTACGGTATGATGAGTTGACTGCCTGTGACTGGCTGAAACACTTCTGTTTATTATACTCCTAAGTTAGGTTTAAGTGCTAAGTTAGGTTGTACTTTGCTACGTAGGAACTCAAAGTATGGAGACAGACTCAGGCTAGTGGCCTCCAGCTTATTTAATTTAACCTATAGAACTTCAGAGTTTATGAAGCATTTATATTCACGATCCCATTATTCCTTTTATCACCATGAGAGAGGCAGTGCAGAAAGCAGGGTTTCCCTTCCACAGAAGAGATGACTGGTGCCCAGGGAGGACTCAGTGTCTGATCCATGTCCCAGTGAGTGACAGGTCTTTTTGGCCTAAATCTTTGTCTTTTTTTTCCCCAAATCCTATGACCTTTCAACAACATAGAGTTGACTCAACTAGAAAGCAAGTAAGATTGACCAGCTGGTTTCTGATGTCAGGTTCCTTGATAAATACAAATATTTTCCACCAACAAGTGAGACTAATGCTATGTCTCAGTAAAATAGTAAAAGGAACTCACAAAATAGTTTCTGCAGATTCATGCACACAGGGTGTGTGTGTGTGTGTGTGTGTGTGTGTGTGTGTGTGTGTAGTTTTGGTAGTAACAAGGGCAAAAGAAAATAAAAGTAAAAAACACTACTTGCTTCCCCTCAAACATGTGAGGAATAGCAGGCCTCATATATGTATTCTGAATGTCTGAATGCACTATAATAAAAGACTTTTGATCCAGTGAACAAAGAGATCGGTTTTGTTTTGGCTTTTTTTTTTCTTTTCCTGTGAGGGTGCTGTGGGGCAGGTGATGGTGAACAGGAACATGAATCAGAAAAGAAGCAAGAGTCCAAAAGGCAGTGATGGGGTCTCACAAGTTGAAAGTGGGAAGAAGAAAAAAACAAATTATTGTATTTCTTTATTCATTTCTCAACAGACTTTTTTAGTTGTTTCTTCATCTTAGCTGTTTTGAATGATGCTGCCGTGAGCATGGAGGGCAGCTGTCTCTTCAAAACTCTTCTTTCATTTCCTTGGGGGGAAACATAAAAGAAGAGAATCACGTTCTTGGAAATCAGACGGATGAGTGTGCAAAAGAGAACAGGAAAGAACCAAAATAAGGATGAAATACTTTGGAGAAGAGAAGAATGAAATCCATGAGAAACAAAAGCAAAAGTGACAAACAGGGAAGAGTGCTGAGTTCATAGGAAATTTATGTTTTCTTTCTGGAAATTTTAAGTGGCTTGCATGATTGTGAGGTAAGAGTTCTCAATAAGTTAAATACATTTTAAAATAAAAATTTAAAAGGCTATCAAATGTGATGATTTATGTGAAAATATTCTCCAAAATTATAAAATGCTGTTGAGGAGCTAGATATTATTGTTGCTATTACCATTGATGACATTTTCTGTGGTGTCATTCCTGGCAGGCCACCAAGTGATTTTACTCAGCTCCATCATATTTGGGGGCTATGGTTCCATGTTAGATAAAATCACCTGTCCTTCCACTCCTCTGAATACAGTCGAATGGATATTATCTACTGATGTCAACTACAATCTTATAATAAAAGAAATAGTGAGCTATTTTCCACTTTTATTTAATATGGAATATGAGAAAATGATCATAAATTACAGCAAGAGTGATTTAGGTTCAGAATGGCAAAAAGAATATTTTCTTGCTGTTTATGCATGGAAACCGATTACTCGGGAAATAGAACTATCTCTTTCCCAGCGATAACAAGAAATTGTTTCCTGCTTATTTTCAGTTGTTTAGAAGAGGGCACTTGGAGGTGGACTGGGCTGCTGAAGGGGGTCATTTTGAGAGACCTGTTGAAATCCTCAAGCTGTATTATATAAATACAAGATGTGCTATTGAGATGTGCTATTAAGCTAGACACCTACCAGTGCTTCAATCCTATGCATCCTCAAGTAGCCTTCAACAGTTAATACAAGTTTTAAAATACCTTTAGTTCTGAAAATTGTTGAAAACGTTGAGAGTGAAAACATTGAAAAATCTCAAGTATTTCAGGTAATAAAGAAATCATTACTGGATTTTTCTGTTTTCAATTGCTATTTCATTTATTTTCCTCACTCAAAACATTCTTTGCCCAGGCTGATGCAACTTAGTTTGCTTTATTCACCCAAAATATAGGACTTGATGTTTCCTTCCTTATACAACTTCCTACTCAAATCCCCTATCTTCCTTAAAGGCCGTGAAGGTGTTCTCTGCTTCCTTATCCTTTCAACCAGTCCCAGAAAGTTGTTTCCCTTTTCGTTAAGAGGCATAAAAATGTCAGTGCCACTGAATATACAATATCTTTATTCTCATCATCTAGGAGACAGGATGTGGTTAGGGTGTTAAATGTCAGGCATGTCAGATTTCACTTCCTGCTTCATAATCAATCCAATATGGGTCTACCAGGTCCCTGTTATATCCAAGCTTTTCCAAGATCTTGCTTCTAATCTGACCTGGACTGCTCTTACTTCAATTACCCAGGGACAAAGTTAACAATACCTGGCAATAACCCTCCCCTTCATCTACCTCCTGGCCCTTCTTCCATCTCCAGGGTTATAAAAATGAAGGAAATGTGTTACGACTGATTCACATGGCTTGGGAGTTGCTTGCTGGATGATTTCATAGTCTGGCTATTAGCTGTGAAGAAATATAATACCATCTTTACATATCTGGTTTTAGTTGGGAGGGAAAGGCTCAAATTAAAGCCTCAAGAGAGGCAGAGGGAATGGAGTGAAAGAGCATTAGAATTCTGGGGACTCAGTCTGATGATTTAGTAGGATGATTAGATGGAGTATTTATCCTGCTAATGTTGGTGTTTGATGCTCCAGTTTTTTTACTTGTGGTTTGTGTGCCAGGGTGGGAAGTGACTCTGGGGAATACCATGCTGGCTTAGGTGGAAGGAAATACTGGGGAGAGAATGCACAGCTTTTTGGCTGGTTGATTTCCCCTGGTGGAGGGGTTAATGATGAGGTTGGCAGCCAAAAAGCCAGAGCTCTTGGGTTCAACTTTAGATCCCATTACCGCATTGATGGGTGGTCTTGAGACAAAATCCTGTAATGGTTAAGAGGTTGGGCTCTGGGATCAGGCTGATGAACGCTCAAGCTCTGTGGCCTTGTGAAAATAAGCCCCATGTCTTTGTGTCTCAGTTTTCTTAAGTAAAAAAAGCAGATAATAATTGTGTTTAAATGAGATAAGGTATGAATTGTGCTAAGCGTAGTGCCTGAAACATGAAGACAGCTCAAAATGAGAAGGAGGAGGACAATGGAAATAAAACAGAATATCTGGATTTCTTTTTCTTTTTGATTCAGCAAATTTTTATTGAATGCCTATTATGAATCAATAAGTGCACATGATATTTTGAATGAAAAAAGGGCACCTTGAACACAGCTCTCACCCTGGAGACTTACCATCTCACTGAAAAAAAAAAATTAAATATCAGGCTACTTAAGTAAATGTGATGAGAGTTTAAGAATTCAGGAAAGAGGGTAACTATACATTGGAGTAAAGAATGTCATGAAAATATTTAAAATATTTAGGGTAAATTAGAAAATATTTTGTGGTTTCCATGAAACTATTGGAAACAGCAGTTATAGAGAAGAGAACTAACCTTGAATTAGAGGGTATGGATTTAAATTCAGTGGCTCTGTCACCTTTTTGTGTTGTCCTGGGGACTCTTTCACCTCTCTTTATTTGAGTTTCCACATCTGTAAAATTAATATAAGAGATGATGCATGGATTTCATGAGCATAGAGCAGGATCACATACATGTGCTTTGCACTAGGGAATATTCAAGAAGTAAATATGAAACAAACGCTTACTTCCTCTGTCTCTCTTCCTTTCTCTTTCTTTTTGTCAGAGCGACAGTGGCTCTCATTTGATTCCCTCAGTTCCTATGCTATTTGTGTGGAAATAAGCAGATTCACAGTTAAAAAACCATTCATATGTGTGCCAGGATGATTCACTGGACATGTCCTATTTCTCTTGCATCTTTCCACAGCCTCTTGAGTGCTCCCTGACCAGAGTTGCTGCCACATAAGGTGCAGGTGGATGGAGCCAGGGCTTGCTGCTTGAATGTCTGCCATCTGCTCTTGTCTCTGCAAGAGCTTCACTGGGTGAGGCTAGTTTACTCACCCTACAGTCTAGAAAGAGTTTACAATGCTAATTCCTGCTTCAGGGAAGCTATAGGAAGATGACTTAGCACCAGAAGTTGAAGATTCTTCCAGAGGAAAAGCCCTGTCTCAGTTTTACATAAGACTTTTTACTGTGTTATCCTTCACTCTCCTGGGTGACTTTGTCACCTCTCCAGGATCTAAAAGGCCTTTGAGTAATATCATAAAGAGACCCAATGTTTTCCCTCCAGGCCACTCTAGGGCTGCTTTTCTTGGTCTCAACAATTTCACAAAGCACTTTCTTTTCTTAATATAATAATATGCTAGAAATGAAAATATTTCAGCAAACTGTACGATCACAGCATAGTTGATGAGGAACTGTCCTGCACTTGTCAAAGTGCATAGCAATTCTTAAAAATGTAACTTGGAATTGCAGGTTTTTAAAAAAATTCTAATTTCCCTTTATTTCTTGAAGAAATTGTCCATGTTTGTGTTTGTAACACAGATGTTCCCTTTCTTCCAGGGGCAAAGTTTTATATCTCAAGGTTATTTATAAAAGTTCACTATAGTTAGGGGTGGAATATAGGTGGGGTAGTTATCTACATTGTGTCAGTCTATTTTTTTAAGCTCAGTGTTACTAAAATATAATTCACATACCATACAATTCACCCATTTAAAATGTACAAGTCAATGATTTAAGTATATTCGAAAAGTTACCCACCACCACAGTGAATTTTGGATCATTTCATGACACCAAAAAGAAACCCCACACCCAATGTCAGTCCCTCCCCATTTCCCCCAGTCCCTTCCACTCCAGCCCTGGCAACGACGAATCTACTTTCTGTCCCTGTTGATTTGCCTATTCTGGACATTTTATTTAAATGGAATCATACAGTATGACGTCCTTCTTTCACTGAGCAAAGTGTTTTTCATGTTCATACATGCTGTACATCCACACCATAGCATGCATCAGTGCTCCATTTATTTTTATTGATGAATCAGGTTCTATTATATGAATAACCCACATTTTATTTATCCATTTATCACCTGAAGGAGATTTGAGCTGTTTCCACTTTTTGTGTATAATGAATAATGTTGCTATAATCTTTTGGGTGGAGACATATTTTCATTTCACCTGGGTATAAATCTAGAAATGTGACTTCTGAGTCATGTGGTCACTCTGCATTTAACCTTTTGAAGAACTTTCTGGCTGTCTTTCAAAGGGGCTTCCCCATTCAGCATCCCCAACAGCAGGGTATGAGGGTTCTCCATTCTCCATATCTTCACCAGCACATGTTATTTGCTGTCTTTGTGATTGTAGCCATCCTACAATCTGGGTGTGAAGCCTCTATTTATTTACTGTTCTCTTTTGATTACTTCTTCTTTGACCATCATTTCTTCATGATTGAAATTAATAATTAATTCATGATTACCCCTTCTTTAAAATCAAAATAATGTCCAGTCCTGAATATGTCTCTGGTGGGAATAGCTCAACTGCAGAGAATGTGATAAGAGAGAAAAATGTCCACCACCGCCAAGGGCTGAAAATTTTACTAGGAGAAGACACAAACAAATCCCTCTTTCTAGACTTTTTTTCTCCATCTTTATCAGCCATTTTTTTTTTTTTGCAGTGGAATTTAGGAAAAACATTAATGAGAGAAAATAAAACCATGGGAAGTAAACAGAACAAAGGTATATATTCACTATTTCACTGAACAAAAGATACCAGCAAAAAAGACAAACCACTCTTCACACCCAAAAGCCAAAATGGGGACTGACACTAGGGCAGGAATACTAGAGAGAAAACTCATCTTTCAATGACAACATGACTGTTCCAAAATTATAAGACTTACCTTTCTTACCGGAGCATAAAAAGGACTCCTTGACAATGACCCTGAGACATTTTTTCCTGTTTTCTCACAAGGCCCTGCATGTTCATAATAGATAATAATGTTGCTGTTGGTTATTTAAGCTAACATGAATAAGCACTGACTATATTCAGACATTGAAATAAGTACATTATCTATACTTTTGCAGCAACTCAATAAGGGCATATGTGTATGTGAATGTGTGTGTGTGATTCCCATTTTACTTATGAGAAAACTGAGGCACAGATAGATTAAGAAACTTGACGATAGCCCCCAGTGAGTAATAGCAAGGACAGGGTTCAAGTCCCAACCTGTCTTATCTGGAATCTTATAGCATACCCACTAGATTTCACAGACTCTTGAAAAAAAAAGATATTTAGTGAATAAATGGATGAATATTTACAAATATCAAATTTGAGACATCTAGGAAAGGGAAAATAATGTTTTTGGAAGAAAGTATAAGTGAATAAAAGGACTTGTAGATGACAGAGTAAACTAACCTGCCACTTTTTCATTGATAGTTTAAAATCTACACATATCTATACATATCTACATCAAATAATTTAAGGTACATTTCTACAGGCTTTGACTACAAGTGAGTACAATGAGTACAAAATTAATAGTAATAATTCCACAAGTGCCATTTCCCCTGCTTCCACAAAAACCTCTTTAACGCTTCAAAGTCTAATCCTATAGTCTAATCCAGTTGTTCCTTGGAGTGACTTGGAGATGTATCACCTGAGCTTGCAAACAATTCCTAGGGCTCCAGTGGCCACATGGCATCAGCAAGGTTCTTCCTCTCCTGTTCCAGTCTCCTCGTCAGTACCTGCTTCCTGATAAGCCAGTTCAGAGTACCACCCTCTTGCCCTCTGGCAGTGCCCACCATGGAGTATCCATGTTCTCATCACAAAGTCTGCATGCCTGCTCCATACAGAGTGGAGCTCTCAATACACCAAGGCTATGCCGGGTTTAGCGTAGATGTAGACAAAAGGCTCCTCTCCCTCACTTTGTCACCAGAGAACCAATGTAGAACTGGTTGTGTTTCAGAGTCTCCCAGGAAATAATGGAATTGTTCAAACAGTTTATCTTACAGCTGCACTTTGCTTTCTATAGGGCTCAAATAGAAGCAGCTAATGCCGGCCCAGAGAACTTAAAAGATCTCAGATGTCCTCCTGGTGCTTCTCACCAATCCTCCTTTACTGAGGCTTCTTTCCCACATGCAATTGAATTCCTTCACTAGATGCCAGGGAGCTGCTTGCTCTACTTGCTAACCGGTCAAACCCAGACATGTCTGAGTCCCAGGGGTGAGTGCAGCTTAGGCTGAAGCTGGGACCATGTCTGCATGACTTTTTAAACCCTTAATTATTTTGGAAATTTGATCAGATATTTTTGTCAGGTTTGGTACTGAGAGGGAGGAAACGTCATATTCTGCCAAATATAATTTGAGAATTGCAACTTACATGTTTTTCTCCATCGCCAAAATGCACCCCCTCAACTCAGATTAGGATGATGGTTATGAGGCAGCGTATTAAAATAAGAACCTGCCAACTTCACACAGACATGGAATGTGTTCCAGTGTTAAACAAACAAAAATGAGTGTGTATTGTGCATATGACTAATAGAATTTGACATTTAAGAGGTGAAATGAAAAATCAACAGATCAGTAATTAAGAGAAGCACAATGGCAAAGATGTACAAATCAAAACATAGATTAAGCGGTCATTATTGTTTTTATTTTTTAACCAACTAAAATGTATTGACTTCTTACTATACCTAGGCATCAGAGATATCAAGGAAAATATAACATGCTGGGTAAACTAATAATTGTAATGCAAGATGACATTGGTTATAATAAAGTAATGGAAACATGTTATTTGTAATGGAAACATGTTATTTGTCCTAAAAACAAGAAAAGAGTGATTGAATCCTCCCAGTGTCATCAGAAATAGGTTCATTCAAGATGAATCTTGAGCTTTATCTACAAGATAGATCAAAAGACATGGAGGTACCAAAGTCACTGAATTACAAAATCTAAGAGTCATGAGCAGTAATCGAATGAGGCACTTTCTAAAAAGGACAAATCTGGTACAGGCTTCAACTCGGGTTCCACGTGACTTAGCTGGGTGGCACGTGCCAGCTCTGTCTTTCCAGACCCACTTAGTTGTTCTCCCTGAGCCCTGTATTTAGAGATGTAGCTCCAAGCAGTATCTTAGCCACTCATCAACAAAGCAGGAAATATCCTCTCCCCTGCCAGCTGGTGGCTCCAGTTGTGGTATCATTGCTGTAGACCCACTCTCTATGTGTACAGTTAACCCCTAGCACTTTGGTCTAGTCTGCACTTCTATTTTGGGTTATTGTTGATCTGTTTCCTGCTCAGCCCAGAAGTCTAACTCAAACTAATCTGCTTGCTTAGGCTTGAGTCATGGTCTAGCACTTGTCATTTGACTGTCATCTGTAATCAGACCCTTCATTCTCTCTCCCAGCCTGCATGAAATAACCTTTACTTTCTGAAAACCCCAGCAATTAGGGCGTGTCCATCAGAAAGGACGGCCTTTGCCATCAACACCACCTAGGCCTCATCTCCTTTTGTCTTCCTTCCTTCAACATTGTATAGTGAATTGCCAACTTTCCCTACAAAGCCCGTTTCTACCTATTCTCCAGCTGCCTATGCAACCTAGACCTTTCCCTTGAGCTCCAGATTCATCCAACAACTTTATGGATGTCTCCATTTCTTAGACTTACAGTTTCCACAAACTCAACATGCTTGTTTAAAAACCTCGATGGTGTCCTCAACCAACACCCCAATCAGCCCCAGATTCTCTCTTGTTTTGTATTTCATGGTTTCTGCACAATTGCCCAAGCCAGAACTTAGGAACTTTTCTCAACTATTCTCTCTCACCACCTACAAGTCAGTGATTCAGTCTTGTTGAGACTACCCATCAAATATGTCTCATTTTTACCCCCTTTCTCCATCCCAAATCCTTCTGCCATGGTTCATGCCACCAGTACCGTTTTTCTGGAGTCTAGCCATAGCTTTGTCTCTACTATTGCACTGTCTCTTCTTCTCATAAGCTGAAGTCTGTACCGTGGACTGTAATGGTTCCACAAAGCCCATCGGATGCTGCCATTTTGCGACTTTTATCCTTTTGATGATTCTGCTGTCTGTAAAATAAAGGGCAAATTCCTAGTGTGGTACCTAATGTCTCATAATCTCTTCTCCAGCAATGAAAAATATTGAGTGTTTCCCAAAATAAACTGTACTTTTCTCCCCATTCTTTTCATTGCCAGAGTTCTTCCTTCTGTCACCACAGAAAAATTCTATTAAGCTTTTAGGACCCAATTTTACAGTTATATACCCTGTGAAGCCTTATTTCGAAATCTCCTTTACACTTTCATACAAGTATCCTATATGTGTCCCTTGTGCCATCCCTGTAACTTACATATATTGTAATCAGGGCACCCAACTTTATATATTATTTTCAGTTTTTGTTTAGTTCCCCCCTCCACTAGACAAGAAACTCTTTTTGGCATCTTTGATTATTCTACATCTAGTTAAGGATTTCTCAGCAATGATGATATTGGCATTCTGGGCCAGTAATTCTTTGTTTTTGGAGGGGTATTCTGCTCATTACATGATGCTTAGCAGCCCCTCTGTCCTCCACCCACTAGATGTTAGCAGGATATTCTTGACTTCCCCAGTAGTGACAACCAAAAATGTCTTCAGGAATTTCTAAACGTTCCCTGCAAGGGTAGGGAATGATAAAATTGACCCCAGGTAAGAACCACTAATCAAATTTATAGTTTGGCATGTTGTCTAACTTGATCATTTGATGAATGAAAGGAAAAAGGAAAGGAGAGAGGGAAGGAAGAAAGGAAGGAAGGACAGAAACACATGAAGAAATACATGAAAAGTAGGATATAGAAGCATATAACAATATGGTATTTTTAAAAGAGCCAAAAATTGCACCCAGTCAGGGATCAGTCACCTGTAAGTCTAAGATTAAACTATCCTTGTTGATATCACTGGTAGTGAGAAGGTAGAAGCAAGAAAACATAAAATAAAAATGAAAGAAAAAATTATGTTAGAGATAGTTCAGCAAAAAGAGGGAAAAAGAAAGCCAACAAAATGAGATGCACTGGTTATAGAAAATGAAGAAGCACTAGTGGCATCCAAGGCTTATCCCAGACAGCAGTGAGACACTGCTGTGGTCAAGAGCACAGATCAGAAACCAGGCTTCCTGGGCCCACACTCCTCCCTATCACTTACTATCTAGCATCAGAACCTCATCTGTGGAATAGAGGAGATAGCAATGCTGCCTATATCCTGGGCTATTGTAAAGAATACATGGGACTCCAGGTACGGGATTTGGAAGAGTGTCTGGCACATTTTATACACTTCATAAATGGTAAATATAGCCCTTTTATCTGTATTAAATGTTGTTGACAAAGAGCTGCATAGTGTTATGGGCCCAGTTCTGGTCTAGAAAGAATGTACCCCCAAATTGATCAACATGTGGGAGAAAGATAGATCTGGGGTATCATTGTAGAGCCACTGGAAGTCTAGACATTCCTTGACATTCCTACTGTCAAATATTCTGCTTCAGTGTTTGGGCAAATATGTTTATCTTTTCAGGCCTTGCGTCCTTGCATTTTTATTATGTCCATGTAATGCCTAATTTGGAGAAAATCTTCAAGTCAAGCCTTGAGTCTTTTTTCTTTCCCTGTCACTGAGTCACACTTGGCTTCTCACAGAAGCCATTAACCAAGGAACACTCAGGTACAAATCCCAGAAGAACTTGAATGAGGCTGGGCCTGAGAGAAGCTGACATATTTACTGCTGTTGACCTAGTCATAAACTTCTCCATGCCAGGAGCCTCAGGCACTGGAGGTGGGGAGAAAGAGGATGGAACAGTGAGGGGGAAGGGGCGTTTTGCCAGGTCCCCCTCAAAGAAGAGTGGATTGAAGGCAGGTCAGAAGTCAACACCAGCTTAACTGTTGCAGTGTGTGCTGAAGAGGGCTCTGCAGTCCTATCAGGATGCAATCTCAGCATCAGATTTCAGTGGGGAAGAGAGCTTGTCTGTAAATGAAAGTGCGGCTTTTACTCTTAGCGCGCTTGTGAGCTGATGTAATACAAGTGTCAGGTTGATGTATGAAGGTCCCTGTGGCATTTAAGAAAATAGCAGTTGCTTGTTTCCTTTCACATGGTCATTCCTTTTGGTTTAAAGAGGCTAAGATCAGTGGACCCGGCACAAGTTTGTGGGAAAAGAACTTTTCAGGGTTCCAGTCCTAGTTCCCTGAATATAACTCTTTGATATTGCCATTTTACTTCCCTAGACTTAGTTTTTTCATTTGTAAAGGAAGAGGGTTCCACTTTCCAATTTCTAAAATCCCTAAATTTTGGTGACTTCTGCTTGGAGTAAGGCAATGAAAAATGTTTCCATAACACACTGGTCTGCTCTGCTCTCTGGAGCCCTTCCTACATGCATTGCAGTGAGCATTTGAAGATGGGGTAGGGGAAGAGCAATGGTCATCCCCAGCTTTCCCCATCATTCTACATTAACATTCACATGCTGCAGGTCTTATTCTGTGAAATGAAGCTCAAAGTGCCCTTATCTAAGTTAACATTCTCATTTAAATGTCATTTTAAATGTTCGTCATTCAAATCTTGCTTTACTTATGCTGAATTCATTCTACTGCAGTCTTCTCAATGTGTAGGTGTTAGATTGTAAAATCCCATATTGTGTGTTGTGTGTGTGTGTATATACATATATACATATACACATATATACACATATATACATATATACACATATATATACACATATATACATATATATACACATATATACACATATATACATATATACACACATATATACACGTATATATATACATATATACATATATACATATATACACACATATATACACGTATATATATACATATATATATATATATATATATATATATATGGGACAGGGTGGCAGGAGCAAAGATGGATGAAGGACTGGTGTTATGGGTCATCCTTCTTATCAGTATAAGGTGAGAGAAGAAATGAATTAGAGAACCAAAGAAGCTTGCATTCTGATCTTCATCCTAATATTTGTGTATTTAACTTTCCCTCTACCCTTCACATTATCCACACACATACGAGTTTGTTTCTTTGGTTCTAGAACTATATTTTAATCACTTTAATATTCCCTAAAAGGACTCACATGTAGGAGATTAACTGAGTTGGATCTCTCCAACTACATCCAGGAATTTTAGCAATCATTCCTTTGCATTAAGCATTATCATTAGGCCAGGTGTGGTGGCTCATGCCTGTAATCTGAGCACTTTGGAAGGCTGAGGCAGGATGATCACTTGAGCCCAGGAGTTTGAGGCTGGAGTGAGCCATGATCGTGCCACTGCACCCTAGTCTAGGCAACAGAGAGAGACTGTCTATACAAAAAAAGCATTATTATAAGCCTTCCACTCTTATTTTTAATATAGTATATGTGATATGTGAGGCAATTTTCTAAGTACTTTATATGTATTTTCTCTATTAACTTCATGACAATTTTATGAGATAAGTACTATTGTCATCTCTATTTTAAGATTTAAAAAAATATGTTACACAGAGAAAGTAAATAATATATCCTAAGATACACAGATGGTTAGTAGTAGAGCCAGGAATAAAAAACCAGACAGACTGACTGGAGACCTAATGTTCCTACCTCTTCCACAATTCTACCTGTGGATGTAGAGATGATCCTGAAAAAGTAGTACATTAGCTATTAAACATCTTGTTATGAGTTGCTGTGCTCCACACTTGTAGATCCCTAAGATCTGGCATAACAGAGGGCTTAAAATGTAAAGATAAGGAAAGACTGAAATAGATAGACCACAACCTAGACTAATAAGAGAAGATCCAAGTAAACACAATTAGAAATGAAAAGGGGATATTACCACTAAGCCCACAGAAATACAAATAACTATCAGAGAATATTATGAATACCTATATGCACACAAACTAGAAAATTTAGAAGAAAAAGATATATTCCTGAACTTATACACCCTCCCCAAAATGAAGCAGGAAGAAATTGAATCCCTGAATAGACAAATAATGAGCTCTGAACAGATAGTAATGTTTATCAGTAATAAACATTCTACCAACCAAAAAAAGCCCAGGACCAGATAAATTCACAGCCAAATTCTATCAGAGGTACAAAGATGATCTGGTAGTTTCCTAATGAAACTATTTCAAAAAATTGAGAAGGAGGGACTCTCCCTAACTTATTCTATAAGGCCAGATACCAAAATCTGGCAGAGACACAACATAAAAAAGAAAATGTCAAGCCAATATCCTTGATGAACATCGATGCAAAAATCCTCTACAATATACTACCAAACTGAATCCAGCAGCACATGAAAAAACTACTCCACCATGATCGAGTTGGTTTTATCCCTGGAATCCAAGGTTGGTTCAACATAAGCAAATCAATAAATGTGATTTGTCACATTAACAGAACTAAAGACAAAAACTACATGATTATCTCAACAGATGCAGAAAAGGCTTTTGATAAAATTCAATATCCTTTCATGTTAAAAACTTTCAATAAACTGGGTATTGAAGGAACACACATCAAAATAATAAGAGCCGCCTATGACAAACCCATAGCCAACATCATTCTGAATGGGAAAAAACTTGAAGTATTCCCCTCGAAAACCAGAACAAGATAAGGCTGCTCACTCTCACCACTCGTATTCAACATAGTATTGGAAGTCCTGGCCAGAGCAATTAGGCAAAAGGAAGAAATAAAGGGCATCCAAATAGGAAGAGAGAAAGTCAAACTAACCCTGTTTGAAGATGACATGATTCTATATCTACAAAACCCCATAGTGTTGATCCAAAAACTCCTTAAGCTGATAAACAACTTAATAAGCAAAGTCTCAGGATACAAAAATCAATGTACAAAAATCAGTAGCATTTCTATACACCAACAATGTCCAAGCTGAAAGCCAAATCAAGAACACAATCACATAAACTATAGCCACAAAGAGAATAAAATATCTAGGAATATAACTAAACAAGGAGGTGAAAGATCTCTACAATGGGAACTAAGAAAGTCCTAAAATAAATGACATAAACAAATGGGAAAATATTTTATGCTGATGGATAGGAAGACTCAATATATTTAAAATGGCCATACTGCCCAAAGCAATTTATAAATTTAATACTATCCTTATCAAACTACCAGTGGCATTCTTCACTGAATTAGAAAAACAATATTTTAAAATTCATATGGAACCAAAAAAGAGCCTACATAGCCAAGGCACTTCTAAGCAAAAAGAACAAATCTGGAGGCATCACATTATCTGATTTCAAACTATTCTACATGGCTACAGTAACCAAAACAGCAAGGTACTGGTACGAAAACAGACATATAGACCAATGGAACAGAATAGAGAGCCCAGAAATAAGGCTGCACATCTACAACCATCCAATCTTCAGCAAAGATGACAAAAGCAAGCAATGGGGAAAGGCTTCCTATTTAATAAATGGTGCTGGGATAACTGGCTAGCCATATTCAGAAGACTGAAATTTGACCCCTTCTTTACACCATATACAAACATAAACAAGATGAATTAAAGACTTAAATATAAAACTCAAAGCTATAAAAACCTTGGAAGACAACCTAGACAATACCATTCTAGACATAGAAACTGGCAAAGATTTCACGATACAGGTGCCAAAAGCAATTACAACAAAAGCAAAATTGGCAGAGGGGCTCTAATTAAACGAAAGAGCTTCCACACAGCAAAAGAAGAGTAAACAGACAACCTACAGAATGGAAGAAACATTTTTCAAACTATGCATCCAACAAAGATCTAACATTCAGCATCTATAACGAACTTAAACAAATTTACAAGGAAACAACCCCATTAAAAAGTTGGCAAAAGACATGAACAGAAAGTTTTCAAAAGAAGATATACATGTGGCCAAGCAACATATGAAAAAGAGCTCAACATCACTGATCATTAGAGAAATGCAAACCAAAACCAAAATGAAATAATATCTCACACCAGTCAGAATGGCTGTTATTAAAAAGTCAAAAAGTAACAGATGCTAGGGAGGTTGTAGAAAAAAAAAATGCTTATACACTGTTAGTGGGGGTGTAAATTAGTTCAACCATTGAGGAAAGCAGTGTGGTGATTCCTCAAAGAGCTAAAAAGCAGATCTACCATTCAACCCAGCAATCACATAACTGGGTATATGCCCAAAGGAATATAAATTATTCTACCATAAAGACACATGCATGCATATGTTCATTGCAACACTGTTCACAATAGCAAAGACATGGAATTAACCTAAATGCCTATCAATGGTAGATTGGATAAAGAAAATGTGCCATATATACACCATGGAACACTATGCAGTCATAAAAAATAACAAAATTGTGCCCTCTGCAGGAACATGGATGGAGCTAGAGGCCATTACCCTTAGCAAACTAATGCAGGAACAGAAAACCAAATACCATATGTACTCCCTTGTAAGTGAGAACTAAATGATAAGAACTCATGGACACATACAGGGGAAAAACAGACACCGGAACCTACCTGAGAGTGGAGGGTGGGAGGAGGGGGAAGATCAAGAAAAATAACTAATTGGTACTAGTCTTAATACCCGGGTGATGAAAAAATATATACATTAAACCTCCATGATATGGGTTTACCTATACAACAAACCTGCATATGTACCCTTAAACTTAAAATAAAAGGTTTTAAAAAAGACTGTTAGAATTGATTGTAAAATTTCTCAGTTATGTTTTGTAAAAAAGACAGAAAGAGGAAGAAGAATTTTTATATCAGTGGTTACACTTATCCCACAAAATTTTAGTTAACAGTTAAATAACCTAATCAACTGGCTTCAAACTGACATACACAGCTGTTCATCAGATGCCTGTGGAGCTTCAAATGAAAACAAACAAAACGGAATAACCTCAAAAGCAAGATCTTGCTTACACTGTGGATGGAGATGTGAAATGATACAGAGAATTTGGGAAACAATTTGGCAGTTTCTTACACAGTTAAACACACACTTATCATATAACCCAGCCATTGCACTCCTGTATCATGCAAGAGAAATTAAATCGTATGTCTACACGTATTCTTATTCATGAATGTTCCAGAAACTTTATTTATAATAGCCAAAGCCTGGAAATAACCCCAGTGTCAAACTGGTGAATGCATAAACAATTTGCAATATATGCATACAGTGAAATGCTATTGAGAAACATAAAGAAATAAAATCCTGATACATGCAACATGGATAAATATTTTTTAAAATCCTAAATTAAAGAAAGCAGACACAATGTACTGTATGTTGTATGATTTTATTTTTATGAAATTTGTAGCAAACACAAAACTAGAAGGGTGGGAGCATACAAGTATTTGAGTCAGGAGTAAGGACATTAATTAACTGCAAGTGAACACAGGTAACTCTTTTGAGGTGATGCAAATATTATAAAATCAGGTTATGGGATGTATTAGCCCATTTTCATGCTGCTGATAAAGACATACCTGAGACTGTGCAACTTACAAAAGAAAGAGGTTTAATTGGACTTACAGTTCCATGTGGCTGGGGAAGCTCACGATCATGGCAGAAGGTGAAATGCTCGTCTCACATGGCAGCAGACAACAGAAGAGAGCTTGTGCAGGAAAACTCCCCCTTATATAACCATCAGATCTCATGAGACTTATTCACTATCATGAGAACAGCCCAGGAAAGACCTGACCCCATGATTCAATTACCTCCCACCAGGTACCTCCCACAACACGTGGGAATTCAAGATGAGATTTGAGTGGGGACACGGCCAAACCATATCATTCTGCCCCTGGCCCCTCCCAAATCTCATGTCCTCACATTTCAAAACCAATCGTGACTTCCCAACAGTCCCCAAAAATCTTAACTCATTTCAGCATGAACTCAAAAGTCCACAATCTAAAGTCTCTTCCAAGACAAGGCAAGTCCCTTCTGCCTATGAGCCTGCAAAATCAAAAGCAAGTTAGTTACTTCCTAGATACAATGGAAGTACAGGCATTGGGTAAATACACCCACGCCAAATGGGAGAAATTGGCCAAAACAAAGGGGTTACAGGCCCTATGCAAGTCTGAAACCCAGCAGGGCAGTCAAATCTTAAAGCTCCAAAATTATCTCCTTCAACTCCATGTCTCACATCCAGGTCACACTGATATAAGAGGTAGGCTCCCAGGGCCTTGGGCAGCTCTGCCCCTGTGGCTTTGCAGGATATAACCCCCCTCCTTGCTGCTTTCACAAGCTGGTGCTGCATGTCTGTGGCTTTCCAGGCATATGGTGCAAGCTGTCACTGGATCTACCGTTCTGGGGTCTGGAGTACAGTGGCCCTCTTCTCACAGCTCCCCTAGGCAGTGCCCCAGTAGGGAATCTGTGAGGAGGCTCCAATCCCACATTTCCCTTCCACACTGCCCTAGCACAGGTTTTCCATGAGAACACCACCCCTGCAGCAAACTTGCCTGGGCTTCCAGGCATTTCCATACATGCTCTGAAACCTAGGCAAAGGTTCCTAAACCCCAATTATTGACTTCTGCACACTCACAGGCTCAACACCATGTGGAAGCTTCCTAGGCTTGGGGCTTGCACCCTGTGAAGCCACAATCCAAGCTCTACATTGGGCCATTTCAGCCATAGCTAGAGTGGCTGGGACACAGGGCACCAAGACTCTGGGCTGCACACAGCACAGGGACTCTGGGCCTGGCCCATGAAGCCATTTTCTCTGAGGCCTCTGGGCCTATGATGGGAGGGGCTGCTGTAAAGACCTCTGACATGCCCTGGAGACACTTTCCCCATTGTCTTGGTGATTAACATTCGGCTTCTCGTCACTTAAGGAAATTTCTGCAACTGGCTTGAATTTATCCTCATAAGATGGGGTTTTCTTTTCTATCACATTGTCAGGATGCAATTTTTTGAACTTTTATGCTCTGCTTCCCTTATAAAACGGAAGGTCTTTAACAGCACCCAAGTCACCTCTTGAGTTCTTTGTTGTTTCGAAATTTCTTCCACCAGATACTCTAAATCATCTCTCTCAAGTTCAAAGTTCCACAAATCTCTAGAGCAGGAGAAAAATGCCAACAGTCTCTTTGCTAAAACATAAGTCACCTTTGCTCCAGTTCCCAACAAGTTCCTCATCTCCATCTGAGACAACCTCAGCCTAGATTTCATTGTCCATATCATTATCAGCATTTTGGTCAAAGCCATTCAACAAGTCTCTAGGTAGCTCCAAATTTTCCCACATTTTTCTGTCTTCCGAGCCCTCTAAACTGTTCCAACCTCTGCCTGTTACCCAGTTGCAAAGTTGCTTCCACATTTTTGGGTATCTTTTCAGCAGCACACCACCCTACTGGTACCAATTTGCTGTATTAGTCTGTTTTCAGGCTGCTGATAAAGACATACCCAAGACTGGGCAATTTACAAAAGAAAGAGGTTTAATTGGACTTACAGTTCCACGTGGCTGGGGAAGCCTCACAATCATGGCAGAAGGTGAAAGGCACTTATCACATGGTGACAGACAAAAGAAGGGAGCTTGTGCAGGGAAACTCCCCCTTATATAATCAGCAGGTCTCATGAGACTTATTCACTATCATGAGAACAGCACAGGAAAGACCTGAACCCATGATTCAATTACCCAGGTCCCTCCCACAACACGTGGGAATTCGAGATGAGATTTGGGTGGGGACAGAGCCAAACCATATCATGGGATAATTGTATAACTATAAATTTACTAAAACTGACCTAATTGTTCTCTCAAAACGGGTAAATTTTATGGTGTGTAAAAATACCTCAATAAAGCTGATTTAAAAAAACGAAATCAAAAAACATAAGCCTTCTTCTAAACTTCCTAAACCAGAAATCTCTGGCACTATTTTTTTTAATGTGGAAAAATACACCTAACATAAAATTTTCCATTTCTATCATTTTAAGTACACAGCTCAGTGGCATTTAGCCCATTCATATTATTATGGAATCATGATGATTATACATCTCCAGGATATTTTTAGCATTTCAAACGAAATTCTGTACTGATTAGACAATAATCCCAAATTTCCTGCTGCCCTAGCTCTTGGCAGCCATTCTACTTCTATCTCTAAGAATTTGACTACTCTAGGTACATTATGTAAGTGAAACCATACAGTGTTTGTCTTCTGGTGTCTGGTTGTTTCACGCAGCATAATGCCTTCTGGGTTCATCAATGTTGTGGCATGTGTCAGAATTTCCTTCCTTTAATGGAATGATTTTTGATTCCATTGTATATATTTACATTTCATGTATCCATGCATCTGGCAATGAACATTTGGGTTGTTTCTACCCTTTGCTTATTGTGAATAGTGCTGCTAAGAGCATTGTTGTACCTTGGTACTGTTTTTATAACTTGTATTTTTTCTTTGGGGGGAAGGGAATCAATGGCTTTAATTATATTTTCAAAGGGGTTTGCGATACAAAATTCTAGCTGTGTAACTGACTATAGTAGACATAAATAAATAAAGGCTTCATGCCTTCATTTCCTGGCTGAGGGATCAGTCTAGCAATTCAGAATGGATCATGTATGTACTATATCAAATACTTATCATATATTTACTAGAATTAAGCAACAACACATAGATAATGATGATCATCCTACAGTACTTCAACATGTACCAGGCTCTATACTAGGCACTTTTTATCCCTTATAACATTTAGTTCTTAGGATACACTTCTCATCCTCACTTTTGAGGCAATGGGGAGTTCAATAATTTACGCAAAGTCAGTAGAGATTTCTTAGTCAAATTCAGCTCTTTCTAGCCCAAAGGTTATGTTCACAACCACTTTGCAATACTGTCTCTGGAGAGAGATTCCATCGACTCACTTGAATAGTTTGAAAATGGCTATAAGTTGGCAATGCATTTTAGGAAAGACTGGTGCTTTGATTCAAGAAACAAAGCAAACACTCCTCACACTTTAGAGTATAATTAGCAGAATCTAATAGCTAATAGGAAGGCTAAGAACTCAAGCAGTGATTATGTTTTAGATCTGATTTGGGATTCTCTTGTGCAAACATTAAGCCTTTTGGAATCAATCCAGTTCTATTTAAACTAAATCTTCTTAAACTTCTTTGTATTTTCTTGCCCACATCTGGAGCAGACAGAAAAGACCACTTTACCACAGCAACAAAGCCTGCATGGTCTTTGGCCATCACTCCTTTCTTAGTAATTCTCTCTCAGTGAATCCTAGGCAGGTGTCAGGAGAGGGGATATAAGAATATGCATGTTTCCGTCCCTAATTCAAAGCAGGCTTTCCCACCAAAATATTCACAATGGCCTGGAAGCAAGTCAGGCAGTTCTTTCACAGAGATTTTGCTCAGATGCCTCCTATTAAAATGGAGACACCTGCATTTCCAGGCATTGTTGTCTGTTGCTTCATTTTCTATTAATACAGACTTTGGAGACAAACACTAAGAAAGAAAATACCACTCAAGTATTGAGCTTTGCCCACAAATCTGATCAAAAGGCAATTTGGAAAGTAGAGCAGAACAGGGATTGAATAGATATGATTGATGAAAGTAACATGGGTCACCGTGGGTCTTTCTAAACTGCGGTAGATTTGCATGCCATTGTACTAAGGCAGGCCTCCTGTGTTTAAAGCTTGTCACTTCCAAGTTGGACTCCCCTTTCTGTAAGGGCAGCACTTGGGTTCCCATTACCTTTGTGTCACATCAGTCCTCAAACAAACGAATGATATTTTGGCAACAATATTTCCATTTACTCTTTGCGATGTCATCTGGAGTAAAATATTATTTAGTTTTCCCACTTTTAGTGGCATTAAGATTAATAAGTAGTGACATTTTGCTGCTATGGACTGAAGATATACACATAAATATCTCAACAGAATAACAACTGTGGGCTGTTGAGGACTGTGCTTTTCATAAACTCATGGGGGAGTTAACAGAACCTTGTTGATTTAATCCTAGGCCTATGAAAAGTATTAAGATGGATGCTCCCAGAAGGCAAAGGGATAGAAACTTGTACTGTGAGATGAAGGGAGAACTTGTCAAAGGTGATATCTTTCTCATTAGAAAGGGACAGTCTTTGGAATGTAATGTGGAAAAGACATGTACTTCCTTTGCACACTGTGCCAGGCAGTACCTGGACCTCAGATTGTCTATGGTTCTCTGGAGCTTGTGGAGGATGGGCACTAGGTATCACATTCTTGAGAGCTGTAGGAAGGATCCACGTAGTAAATTCGTATTAGAGCCAGCACCTCTGTGTGCTTAATAATTACAATCATGGGCCTCCTTGCTCATTCTCACCTGGACTGCATAATCTCAGAGTCTTTGTTCTAATGTGGGAGGAAGAAGGAGCTACCAAAACATTTGTATTGCACATCTTAAGAACTTTGGTGAATGAGAACTTGGAAGTAGATTTTACTTGATTTAGTGGAGATGTGATCATTATAGCAAACATTTTATAATGTGCCAGTAATTGTTCTAAGCACTTATATTTACAAACTAAATTCTCACATTTCACACAGAGGAAAATGTACTTGCCAGTTGTGCTAGTTAACCTCTCAGTGCCTCCGAGTCAGGATTTGGAACCCAAGCAGTGCAACTGTAAAATGTCTCTCATTCAGGTAAGGCATGATTTACATTAATTGCAAGCTTAAGGAAAAGGAAGGGAGATGAATGTTGGATGAGCTATTCCCCCAAATACACACACTCACACACACCCGTTTTGTTCAGGGGACTCGCTATGCTTCTGTTGATTTACCTTTAGGTAATATTAGGAATAATGCTCAGTTTGATAAATATGTACTGCATTGGGCTGAGGTGCATTGAAAGTCTTTATTGCACCACTTGCAGTTAGAAGAGAGTGACTTGGAGATACAGAAGAATGAATTTATCTTTCTACTTTATTCTTTCTTTTCCCCACATCTATGTTCTTATCCCTCATCTGGACACTCTCCTAGTCTAGACTGTTGGGAATGACAGCTAAGTGTGACAGAATATTTTATTTTACACTTGTTTACCCTAGTAGGTTCTGATAGTCATGTATTTCTTGGAAATGGAATTTGTCATAGAGGGAGTAAGATTTAGTCAGGTCCTTAGTCCTGTTTCTTCTTTTAGGCAATACATGTATATTTCCTCTTCTTACTTTTTCTCACCTGTTTTTCTCCCAACATTTCCTGAGTAGAAGCCAGTCCAGCCCCCAAACAACAGCTCAACTATTCCAGACATACCCCTGCCCTCTTGCAAACAGCTCACACTCAAGCAAACAGCACAGCCTGGGAGGTTTGCAGGTTTGTGGATTGCCACTGGACCCTGTCCAAACCCCATTAGCCTGTGCCCAAGAAGGTCTAATGGGATCTACTGTTACGTTGCATAGGATTTATTATACCTGAGCTTTTGAAGAGCAAGAAAGACATTCCTCTTTTCCTCTCTTTCGCCCTGTGATTTCCACTCCATTACTGAGGTCAGTTCATGTGGCCTGCCCAAAAGAAAAATTGGTAAAAACGGACAGTGTTTTCTCCACAGCACCTTCAGTTGCCCTTTTATCTTCTCATCCTCCATCTTGCAACCCATACTCCTCTTCTCCTTCCATCTCATTCACGTCCATCTTGTTTTTTCTTTCTTTTTTTTTCTCTTCTTCCTGTCCCAGTACCTTCCTTTTAGACTGACAATACTGTATAGCTAAATAAATATCCTGTCAATCCTTCAGACTCTCCTTCGTTTTGGTTTTCTTTTAAATAAAAATTGAATTCTGTAAGAACTGATTTGGTACCTGAGTTTTTGCACTTGTTATAATAAGAACAGATCTGAAAAGATCTGAGAGGAATGAAGACATCAGTTAAGAGGCTTCTGTCATAATCCAAGGAAGAGCAGATAGTGGCTTGAGTAAACGGGCAATGGAAAACACAGACACATTTAAATATGATAGTGAAGCAAGACACTCATAGAAGGAAACTCTTGCTTAGGAAAACAAAAGTGGCAATTTAGGATTGTCCATTTCTAAAATGATAGGGATTTAATTACAGCTAGTGTCATTTCTACTCGTAGCAAAAAGCAATGGTACTGACACTTTTCATGCAGCTGCCTCTGGAAGGTCAGAAAAAAAGACAAATGCACCACATATGAAAAACGAGGCAGCCTTTTGGTCCCAGTAGCAACATAAATTTATAATCTTAAAAGCATGCTCAAGGGGGAAATATACTTTGGTATTATAGGACTAGAATTTGAAACTAATTACTGAAAGATGTGTTTCAGGTAATAGAAAACAATCTTAAGGTTTTGAGATATAAATAATCAACTGGATTACAATATAGTAACAATAATATCTAATTTGAGTTATAAAACATAATAGCTCTAAAAGATTAGAAAAAGAATAATTGCTAAGTTATAATAATAAGAATAGTTAATATGTTAACTTATAGTTCAGAGACATTAATTGACCTTATACTTTTAGTAAAATATGCATATATTTAGAAACTACTCAAAGAATGGAACTAGTGCATGGCTTATGAAACAATAGAGGAACAAACTCTACCGTTGCCTCTGAAATAAAATAAATAAAGCTTTACCTTCTTTATATCCTTATTTCACAAGTGATTAATAAAGGAAACCAGCCAGGCTGAGCTCTCATTGGTGGTGAGGCTGAACTTGAATTATAACTCACAGAGGACATTAAGTCAAAGAAAGGCTTCCGAATCGCAAATCTCAAACCAAAGGAAACAAGCCACCATACTTGATAGCAGAAATAATAAACAGCATAATTTTACCCCCAAGAGTCTTGTTTATTAGAATATACATATATAAAATGTAAATAATAAATAGTTTAAATAATTAGACTGGGCATTGAAAACATGAATAAGGAATGATAGCTTTGAAAATAACTAAAAAGATTATAGAAAAGATAAATTTTATTATTAAAATTTTATAAATCAATAGATTATTTAAATAGTAGATTCTATGGTAATTCTGAAACAGTTGGTGAAGTATAAAATAGATCTAGAGAAAGTATCACAATTTTGTACAGAGATCAAGAGATATGAGATAGGAAAGATTAAATAAGGAGACGGAGGAAATGATGAGAAGCACTATCAAATAGTTGATCAAAGGTGAAGTTTTTCTATGACAGAAAAACATATTTGATGAGAAAAGGATTAAAAATGTCTAGAAAAGATGGAAAATAAAAACAAAAACAAAAACAAGCCCTGAGCTTTGGGATGCTCAATGAATCCTAAGAAGGATAAAAAAGACAATAAATCTGGTAAAATTTCAAAACACAAAAAATGAAAAGAAGATATTAAAATCTCCCAGCTTAAAAAGATAGATTGTCTATAAAGAAAGAACAGACTCAGCCCTGACTTCTTAATAACAAGTGTGGTAAAAGCAGGAAAATTATGCTTTCAGTGTTCTGAGAGAATCTCAACTAATCATTGAATAAAGACAGTAGAATAAAGACATTTATATTAAAACAAAAAACAACAGAGTTGACACAAATGACTCACAAGTAAGTAACTTTCGCAAGATATGCTTCAGGTAGAAGAAAATGATCTTAAAGCATGTTTTGAGATATAAGAAAAAATAATAAATTAGCATATTATGTTCGCATATATGTAGAAATT
Organism: Homo sapiens; assembly: GCF_000001405.40. Classification (NCBI taxonomy): domain Eukaryota; kingdom Metazoa; phylum Chordata; class Mammalia; order Primates; family Hominidae; genus Homo; species Homo sapiens. The sequence continues at coordinate 128,075,340 of NC_000011.10, forward strand.
CCTTAAAGAATGGAACTAGTATGTGGCTTATCAAACAGTAGAGGGGCAAAACAGAATATAAAAATTCAATAAATACTTTCAAAGACAGAAAAGAAATATGAAATGAGGGCTATAGAGAAAAAAATATTTAGAAATATTTCACAAACACACAACATACACACATAAAACATACAATTATAGCAATTATGAACAGATTAAACTTTCTAGTTAAAAGACAGAATATTGAACTTGTTTAAACCAATCTCACTATGTGCTGCCTAAAAGAAATTATTCTGAAATATAAGAACACATAAAGGTTGTAAAGAAGAGAATAGAAGAATAAGTATCAGATATATTTACTTTAAAAATATAATGCAATACCATTTAATAATAGAATTTAATAATAGTCTTACACTTTAAGCAAATAATTTAGTGATCTAAAGACAACCACTAACTAATTTTTTTAAGAGTTTGATTTACCAGTATATTTACTAGTACCTAAATTTTGTGTGCATATAATAAAACAGCCTCAAAATATATAAAGTAAAAAAGTATTTTTTAGAAGAAATTTACAAACTTGCAAACAGGGTAAATATTTTAACAACTCTCTTAATAATTAATTGACCAATAAGATAATATAAGTTAGAATATTAAGGACTTCTTTTCAGTATTCTTAAAGAAATTCCAACCAAGAATTTCATATCCACCAAATTAAGATTCATAAGCAAAGGAGAAATAAAATATTTTCTTTTTTTTCTTTTTTCTTTTTTTAAATTTTATTATTATTATACTTTAAGTTCTAGGGTACATGCGCACAATGTGCAGGTTTGTTACATATGTATACATGTGCCACGTTGGTGTGCTGCACCCATTAACTCGTCATTTAGCATTAGGTATATCTCCTAATGCTATTCCCTCCCCCCTCCCCCCACCCCACAACAGGCTCCGGAGTGTGATGTTCCCCTTCCTGTGTCCATGTGTTCTCATTGTTCAATTCCCACCTATGAGTGAGAACATGCGGTGTTTGGTTTTTTGTCCTTGCGATAGTTTGCTGAGAATGATGGTTTCCAGTTTCATCCATGTCCCTACAAAGGACATGAACTCATCATTTTTTATGGCTGCATAGTATTCTGTGGTGTATATGTGCCACATTTCCTTAATCCAGTCTATCGTTGTTGGACATTTGGGTTGGTTCCAAGTCTTTGCTATTGTGAATAGTGCCGCAATAAACATACGTGTGCATGTGTCTTTATAGCAGCATGATTTATAGTCCTTTGGGTATATACTCAGTAATGGGATGGCTGGGTCAAATGGTATTTCTAGTTCTAGGTCCCTGAGGAATTGCCACACTGACTTCCACAATGGTTGAACTAGTTTACAGTCCCACCAACAGTGTAAAAGTGTTCCTATTTCTCCACATCCTCTCCAGCACCTGTTGTTTCCTGACTTTTTAATGATTGCCATTCTAACTGGTGTGAGATGGTATCTCATTGTGGTTTTGATTTGCATTTCTCTGATGGCCAGTGATGATGAGCATTTTTTCATGTGTTTTTTGGCTGCATAAATGTCTTCTTTTGAGAAGTGTCTGTTCATATCCTTCACCCACTTTTTGATGGGGTTGTTTGTTTTTTTCTTGTAAATTTGTTTGAGTTCATTGTAGATTCTTGATATTAGCCCTTTGTGAGATGAGTAGGTTGCAAAAATTTTCTCCCATTTTGTAGGTTGTCTATTCACTCTGATGGTAGTTTCCTTTGCTGTGCAGAAGCTCTTTAGTTTAATTAGATCCCATTTGTCAATTTTGGTTTTTGTTGCCATTGCTTTTGGTGTTTTAGACATGAAGTCCTTGCCCATGCCTATGTCCTGAATGGTATTGCCTAGGTTTTCTTCTAGAGGTTTTATGGTTTTAGGTCTAACATGTAAGTCTTTAATCCATCTTGAATTAATTTTTGTATAAGGTGTAAGGAAGGGATCCAGTTTCACCTTTCTACATATGGCTAGCCAGTTTTCCCAGCACCATTTATTAAATAGGGAATCCTTTCCCCATTTCTTGTTTTTGTCAGGTTTGTCAAAGATCAGATGGTTGTAGATATGTGGCATTATTTCTGAGGGCTCTGTTCTGTACCATTGATGTATATCTCTGTTTTGGTACCAGTACCATGCTGTTTTGGTTACTGTAGCCTTGTAGTATAGTTTGAAGTCAGGTAGCGTGATGCCTCCAGCTTTGTTCTTTTTGCTTGGGATTGCCTTGGCGATGCAGGCTCTTTTTTGGTTCCATATGAACTTTAAAGTAGTTTTTTCCAATTCTGTGAAGACAGTCATTGGTAGCTTGATGGGGATGGCATTGAATCTATAAATTATGTTTGGCAGTATGGCCATTTTCACGACATTGATTCTTCCTACCCATGGGCATGGAATGTTCTTCCATTTGTTTGTATCCTCTTTTATTTCATTGAGCAGTGGTTTGTAGTTCTCCTTGAAGAGGTCCTTCACATCCCTTGTAAGTTGGATTCCCAGGTATTTTATTCTCTTTGAAGCAATTGTGAATGGGAGTTCACTCATGATTTGGCTCTCTGTTTGTCTGTTATTGGTTTATAAGAATGCTTGTGATTTTTGTACATTGATTTTGTATCCTGAGACTTTGCTGAAGTTGCTTATCAGCTTAAGGAGATTTTGGGCTGAGACAATGGGGTTTTCTAAATATACAATCATGTCATCTGCAACCAGGGACAATTTGACTTCCTCTTTTCCTAATTGAATACCCTTTATTTCCTTCTCCTGCTTAATTGTCCTGGCCAGAACTTCCAAGCTGGGAGCTGTGGACCGGAGCTGTTCCTATTCGGCCATCTTGGCTCCACCCCCCAAATATTTTCTAGTAAACAAGCACTAAGGGAATTCATGACAATTAAACAAAACTTACAAGAGATCCTTAAGGGAGTTCGACACATGGAAATAAAAGAATGATATCTCCTACCACAAAAACACACTTAAGTACATAGACCACATAACCTATACGACAAACACATGATAGAAACTAAAAATCAACCAGCTAACAAATTTACAATCTACCTCAAATATCAATATTAACCTTGAATACAAATAGTCTAAATGCCCCACATAAAAGGCATATAATGGAAACTTGAATTAAAAAAAAAAACAAGATCTATCCATCTTCTATCTTCAAGAGATTGATCTCACATGCAATAACACACATAGGCTCAAAGTAAAGTGTTGGAAAAGATCTACCATGCAAACAAAATAAAAAAGAGCAGGGGTTGCTATTCTTATATTAGATAAAATAGACTTTAAACCAACATCAGAAAAAAAAGAAAGAATTACATAATGATAAAGAGTTCAATTGATATATTCTAAATATATACACACCCAATATTGGAGCAATTAAGGTTCATAAAATAAATACCTCTAAACCTATAAAAAAGCTTAGAAAGCCACACAATAATGATGTGGTATTTTAACACCCCACTGACAGCATTACAGGGATCATTAAGGCAGAAAACTGACAGTCTGGAATTGAACTCAACACTTGATCAGTTAGAGCTAAGAGACATCTATAGAATACTCCACCCATCAATTACAGAATATACTTTCCTCTCATCAGCACACAGAACATAACTCAGGATTAACTACATGCTTGGCCATAAAGCAAGTCTCAATACATTCAAAAAATTAAAATTATACCAACCATAATATCTGAGCACAGTGGAATAAAAATAGAAATCAATACCAAGAAGAACTCTCAAAACAATAAAGTTACATGGATATTAAAACAACTTGCTCCTGAATGATTTTGGAATAAAAAGCAAAATCAAGGCAGAAATAAAAAAAAATGTTCAAATAAATGAAAACAGAAAAACAATATAGTAAAATCTCCAGGATACAGAAAATGCAGTATTAAGAGGGAAGTTTATAGTGCTAAGCTCAAAAAGTTAAAAAGTCCCAAGTTAATTAACTAATGCCATGCCTAGAGGAGCCAGAAAAATTAGAAAAAATTAACTCCAAAGCTAGCAAAAGACATGAAATATATAAATCAGAGCAAAACTGAATAAAATTGAGACTCAGCAATCCATACAAAAAGTAAATGAAACCAAAAGTCAGCTTTTTGAAAGGAGAAACAAAATTGATAGACCACAAGCTATATTGACAAAGAAAAAAAGAGAGAAGATCCAAATAAGCACAACCAGAAATGATAAATGTTATGTAACAACTGATCCCACAGAAATACAAAAGATCTTCAGACTATGATGAACACCTCTATGCCCACAAACTAGAAAGTCTAGATAAAATGAATAAATTGCAGGAAAAGTAAAACCTCCCAAGACTGAACCAGGAAGAAATGGAATCCCTGAACAAACCAGTAACAAATTCCAAAATTGTTTCAGTAATAAAAAACACCTACCAAGAAAAAGCCCAGGACCAGATGGATTCACAGCCAAATTCAACCAGATGTATAAAAAGAGGTGGTACCATTTCTACTAAAACTGTTCCAAAAACCTGAGGAAGAGGGACTTCTCCCTAACTCATTCTATGAAGCCAGCATCATCCTGATACTAAAACCTGGCAGAGACATAACATAAAAAAGAAAACTTCAGGTCAATATCCTTGATGATCATAGATGCAAAAATTCTTAACAAAATATTAGCAAACCAGCCAGGTGTGGTGGCACACAATGGTAGTCTCAAGTACTCAGCAGACTGAGGTAGGAGGATAGTTTGAACCTGAGAGGCAGAGGTTCCAGTGAGCTGAGATCACACCACTGCACTCCAGCCTGGGCAACAGAGTGAGACTATCTCAAAAACAAAACAAAACAAACAAACAAAAAACCTCTAAATATTAGCAAGCCAAATCTAGCAGCACATCAAAGAGTTAATCCACCACAATCAAGTAGGCTTTATCCCTGGGATGCAAAGGTGGTTCAACAAATGCAAACCAATAAATGCAATTCGCTGCAAAAACAGAATTAAAAACTAAAACCATATGATCATCTCAAAAAACACAGAAAGCTTCTAATAAAATCCAACATCCATTTTCATGATAAAAACCATCAACAAACTGGGTATCAAAGAAACATACCTCAAAATAATAAGCACCATCTACGGTAAACTCACAGCCAACATCATACTGAATGGGTAAAAACTGAAAGCATTACCTTCAAGAACTGGAACAAGACAAACATGCTCCCTCTCATCATTCCTATTCAAAATGGTACTGAAAGTGATAGCCAGAGCAATCAGGCAAATGAAAGAAATAAAAGGCAACCATATAGGAATATAAGAAGTCAAACTATCCCTCTTCACTCATGGTATGATTTTTTTTATGCTTATTGGCCACATGTTATGTCTTCTTGTGAAAAATACCTGTTCATGTCCTTTGTCCACTTTTTAAGGGGGTTGTTTGTTTTTTTTTCTGGTTAATTTGTTTAAGTTTCTTTTAGATCCTAGATATTAGACCTTTGTTGAATGCATACTTTGCAAATATTTTCTCCCATTCTGTAGGTTGTCTGTTTACTGTGTTGATGGCTTCTTTTGCTTTGCAGAAGTTCTTTATTTTAATTAGGCCCGAATTTTTCAATTTTTGTTTCTGTTGCCATTACTTTCAGCATCTTTGTCATGAAATCTTTGCCAGGGCCTATGTTCAGAATGGTATTTCCTAGGTTATCGTCCAGAGTTTTTTAAATTTTAGAGTTTGCATTTAAGTCTTTAATCAGCCTTGAGTTGATTTTTGTATATGGTGTAAGAAAGGGGTCCAGGTTCAATCTTCTGAATATGGCTAGCCAGTTATCTCACCACCATTTATAGAATAGGAAGCATTTTCCCATTGCTTGTTTTTGTCAACTTTGTCAAAGATCAGATGGTTGTATGTGATTGGCATTATTTCTGGGCTCTCTATTCTGGTCTACATGTCTGTTTTGTACAAGCACCATGCTGTTTTCATTACTGTAGCCCTGTAGAATAGTTTAAAGTTGGATAGTGTGATGCCTTCAGCTTTATTCTTTCTGCTGAGAATGGTCTAGGCTATTTGAGATCTTTTAAAATTTTTTGGTTCTATATGAATTTTCAAATAGTTATTTCTAATTCAGTGAAGAGTGTCATTGGTAGTTTGATAAGAATAGTAGTAAATCTATAAATTGCTTTGGGCAGTATGGCCATTGTAAAGATAATGATTCTTCCTATCCATAAGCATGGAATATTTTTTCATTTATTTGTGTCATTTCTTTTAGCAGTTTTGTAGTTCACTTTGTAGAGATTGTTTACCTCCTCATTTAGCTGTATTCCTAGATACTTTGTTCTTTTTTTGCTACTGTTTATGTGATTGCATTCTTGATTTGGCTTTCAGCTTGGATGTTGTTAGTGTATAGAAATGCTACTGATTGGCCAGGCATGGTGGCTCAAGCCTGTAATCCCAGCAATTTGGGAGGCCACGGTGGGTGGATCACAAGGTCAGGAGTTCAAGACAAGACTGACTAATATAGTGAAACCCCATCTCTACTAAAAATACAAAAATTAGCCAGGTGTGGTGGCAGGCACCTGTAGTCCCAGCTACTCGAAAGGCTGAGACAGGAGAATCGCTTAAACCCGGGAGGTGGAGGTTGCAGTGAGCCAAGATCGCACTACTGCACTCCAATCTGGGTGACAGAGTGGGACTCCATCAAGAAGAAAGAAGGAAGGAAGGAAGGAAGGAAGGAAGGAAGGAAGGAATGAAGGAAGGAAGGAAGGAAGGAAAGAAGAGAGAGAAAGAAAGATGAAAGAAAAAGAGAAAGATGAAAGAAAGAAAAAAGAAAGAAAAAGAAAGGAAAGAAAGAAAAAGAAAGGAAAGAAAGGAAGAAATGCTATTGATTTTTGTGCATAGAATTGTAGCCTGAGACTTTGCTGAAATTGTTTATCAGATCTATAAACTTTTGGGCAGAGACTATGGAGTTTTCTAGTATAGAATCATGTCTGCAAACAGATATTTGACTGCCTCTCTTCCTATTTGGATGCCTTTTATTTATCTGTCTTGCCTGATTGCCCTGGCCAGGACTACCAATATCATGCTGAATAGAAGTGGTGAGAGTGGGCATCCTTGTCTTGTTCTAGTTCTCATGAAGAAAGCTTATAGCTTTTGCCCATTAAATTTGATGCTGGCTATGGGTTTGTCATAAATAGCTCTTATTATTTCGAGGTATGTTTCTTCATTGATTAGTTTTTTTTTAGGGTTTTTAACATGAAAAGCTGTTGAATTTTATCAAAAGCCTTTTCTGCTTTTACTGAGAAAATTATAAGGTTTTTTGTTTTTAGTTCTGTTTATGTGGTGAATCACATTTACTGATTTGCATATGTTGACCAATCTTGCATCTCAGGGATAAAGCCTACTTGACTGCGGTGGATTAGCTTTATCTTGTGCTTCTAGATTCGATTTGCTAGAATTGTTCATGTTTATCAAGGATATTGGCCTGAAGTTTTATTTTTATGTTGTGTCTCTGCCAGGTTTTGGTATCAGGATGATGCTGACCTCATAGGACAAACTAGGGAGAAGTCACTCTTTCTCAATTTTTTGGAATAGTTTCAACTGGAATTCTACCAGCTCTTCTTTATATATCTGGTAGGATTTTGCTGTGAACTTATATGGTCCTGGACTTTTTCTTGCTAGTAGGCTTTTTATTACTAAATCAATTTTAGAAGTTGTTATTGATCTGTTCAGGAATTCCATTTCTGCCTGGTTCAATCTTGAGATGTTATATATTCTCAGGAATTTATTTATTTCATCGGTTTTCTAGTTTGTGTGCATCAAGGTGTTCACAGTAGTCTTTTGAGATTTTTTGTGTTTCTATGGGGTTGGTGGTAATGTTCCCTTTGTCATTTCTGATTGAGTTTATTTAGATCTTCTCTCTTTTTTTCTTTATTAGTGTAGCTAGTAGCCTACTAGACTAATAAAGCTACTAGACTAGTAGCTAGTACACTACTAGACTAATAAAGCTGAATTCTGTATTCAATAATAAAGAAACACATACTGTATTCACTGATCTTTTGTATGCTTCTTGAGTCTCAAATTCCTTCAGTTCAGCTCTGATTTTGTTTATTTTTGTCTTCTGCTCACTCTGGAGTTGGTTTGCTCTTGTTCCTCTAGTTTCTCTAGGTGTGATGTTAGATTGTTAATTTGAGATCTTTCTGCTTGTTTGAATGAGTGCTTAGCATTATAAACCTTCCTCTTAACACTGCTTTAGGTGTATCCCAGAGATTCTGGTATATTGTATCTTTGTTCTCATTTGTTTCAAATCATTTCTTGATTTCTGCCTTGATTTCATTGTTTACTCAGTAGTCATTTAGGTGCAGGTTGTTTAATTTCCATGTAACTGTATGGTTGTGAGTGATTTTCTTAGTATTAATTTCTATTTTTATAGTGCTGTGGTCTGAGAGTGTGATTGGTATGATTTTACTTTTTTTGAATTTTCTAAGGATTGTTTTATGGCCAATTATGTGGTCTTTTGTAAAGCATGTCCATGGGCAGATGAGAAGAATGTATATTCTGTTGTTGTGGGGGTTGAAGAGTTCTGTAGATGTCTATGAGATTTATTTGGTCCAGTGTTGTGTTCAAGTCCTTAATATCTTTGTTAGTTTTCTGCTTGATGATCTGTCTAATACTGTCAGTGGGTGTTGAAGTCTCCCACTATTATTTTGTGGGAGTCTAAGTGTCCTTGAATGTCTCTAAGAAGTTGCTTTATGAATCTGGGTGCTCCTGTGATGGGTGCATATATATTTAGGGTAGTTAGGTCTTCTTGTTAACTTGAACTCTTTACCATTACCCTTGTCTTTTTTTATGTTTGTTGGTTGAAAGTCTGTTTCATCTGAAATTAGGATTGCAACCCTGCTTTTTTCTGCTTTTCATTTGCTTGGTAGATGTTTTTCGATTCTTTTACTTTGAACCTGTGGGTGTCATTGCATGTGAGATGAGTCTCTTGTATACAGCATATAGGTGGGTCTTACTTCTTTACCCAACTTGCCATTCTGTGCCTTTTAAATGGGGTATTTAGCCTCCTTACATTAAAAGTTGATATTGATATGCGCAGGTTTGATCCTGTCATTGTGTTGTTAGCTGGTTATTATGCAGAATTAACAGAATTAACTGTGTGGCTGCCTTATAGTGTCAGTGATCTATGCACTTAAGTGTGTTTTTATGGTGGCTGGTAATGGTCCTTTTTTTCCATATTTAGCACTCCCTGAGGACCTTTTGTAAGGCAGCTCTGATGGTAACAAATTCTCTTAGCATTTGCTTGTCTGAAAAGGACCTTATTTCTCTTTCACTTATGAAACTTAGTTTGGCTGGATATAAAATTCTTCATTGGAATTTCCTTTCCTTAAAAATGCTGAATATATAGACACCCCCAATGTCTTCTGGCTTGTAGGATTTCTGCTCTTAGATCGACTGTTAGTCTGATGGAGTTTCTTGTGTAGGTGACCTGCCCCTTCTGTCTAGCTGCCTTTAACAGTTTACTTTCATTTTAACCTTGGAGAATCTAATGACTGTGTGTCTTAGAAATAATTGTCCTGTATAGTATCTTGCAGGGGTTCTCTGGATTTGAGTATTGACCCCTCTAGTGAGATTGGGGAAATTTTTGTGGATGATATCTTCAAATATGTTTTCCAAACTGCTTTTCTCCCCCTACAGGGACATCAAAAAGTCATAGATTTGGTTTCTTTACATAATCCCATATTTTTCTAAGTTTTATTCATTCTTCTTTATTTTTTCTTTATTTTTATCTAACTCAGTTATTTTGGAGAACTGGTCTTTGAACTCAGAGATTCTTTTCTCAGCTTGGTCAATTCCACTGTTAATAATTGTGATTGTATCATGAAATTCCAGAAGTGAGCTTTTAAACTTTATCAGCTCAGTTTGGATCTTTCTTAAAATGATCATTTTGTTTTTCATCTCCTGTATCATTTTATTGTTTTTATTAGATTCCTTGGACTGGGATTCAACTTTCTCCTAGATGTCAATGATCTTTCTTCCTATCCATATTCTGCATTCTATTTCTGACATTTCACCTATTTCAGCATGGTTAAGAACCATTGTTGGAGAACTAGTGCAGGCATTTAGAGGTAAGAAGACACCCTAGCTTTTTGATTTGCCAGAGTTCTTGCACTGTTGTTTTCTCATCTGTGTGGGCTGATATCCCTTCAATCTTTGAAGTTGCTGTAGCTTCAGTAGTTTTTTTTCTTTTATCTTCTTTGATGCCCTTGAGGGTTTGATTGTGATATAAGGTGGGTTTAATCAACTGGCTTGATTTTTGTCTGCTCTTGGGTCTTGTGAAACCCCCTATGATTACTGTCTCCAAGACTGCATTCCTTTTTGGGGTGCTCCGTTCCAAGGGTGTATCCTTATCGGGTCAGGCCTAATCTGCTGCCTGAGTGCTTCCTCAGGGAAAAGAGGGGTTATAGCTGCCCACAGAGTTCAGGCAAAAGTGGGACTGCTGAACTGGACATACTAGTGGGTGTAGCTAATCTGGCTATGAAAGACTAGGTGAGTGCAGTTGCCTGCCCGGCCATCTGGGTATTTCCCAGGCAATATGAGGCTGCACTCCTCAACAAATTCAAGCAGAAGTCAGAACACTGGACTGGAAGATCTAGAAGATGTGGCTGGCATGGCTATGAGAAGTAGGACTAGGTGGAGTCACCTACTCTGCCATTGGGAGTTTCCCAGGACAACAGGAGGCTGAGCACACTGGCTAAGTTTAGACAGAAGTGGGACCACTGGCCTGAAAGCTCTAGCAGGTATTTCCCACATGTAACCAGTAGCAGGGGTAGATCTAGTCACCTGCTCTGCCATCCCAGTGCTCTCCAGGACAACAGGAGGCTGTACCCACTGGCTGAGTTCACACAGAAACAGGACTGCTGGACTAGAAACTTTAGCCAGAATTGCCTGCCTGGCTACTAGCAGTGAGAATGGGTAGGGTAACTCACCCTGCTGTCTGGGTGTTTCCCGGGCCAATGGGAGGCTTTCCTCACTGGCTGCATTAAGGCAGAAGAGGGATCACTGAGCTGGAAGCTCTAGAAGGAGTTGCCTGCCTGGCTACTAGTTGCAGGGGTGGGTGGGGTTGCCCACCCTGCTCTCTGGGTGATGTTTCCTGGGACAACAGGAGGTTGTGCCCTCTGTCTGAGTTCACATAGTAGTAGGACTGCTGGACTGGCAGCTCCAGCAGGAATTGCCTCCCTAGCTACCTGTAGTGGCAGTTATGAAGTTGTCTGCCCTACTGTCCACGTGTTTGCCAAGACAACAGGAGGCTGTGGCTGCCAGCCGAGTCCCGGGAGAAGTGGGACAACTGAGCTGGAATCTCTTGCTGAGCCCTGTCCAGGAAAGGGCCATTGTGACTGTGGCCTCTGTTGGGAATATGGCACCAGTATTGGTCTGCTCTGGGGCTCATGTCTTGTAGTTTCTTTTGGATTGGAGAGTTTCTCTTGCAAAACATCCAGGTAGCTCTCTGTCTCAGTCTAGAAACATGTTGGGTGAGTGTAAAGGGGCCAAGAGGATTCTCCCATTCTCAGTCTTGCACAGGTCCCTGTGAAGAGTGTGAATCCCCCAGGAGGCTCTCACTCACTCACCCTTTCCCATGTTGTAGGAGTTCTCCTGACTTCATGCTGAACCCAGACAGGCTGGTGTCTACCTCTACTCCTGTCTGCTCTCTGTGTCCCCCTGCTGCCTTGATGAATCCCAACATGATTTCTCAGATGATCAGCCTGCAAGGTCAAGGTTCACTACCCATTTTGTTTTCTCTCTATGAAAGTAGCTCACGTGAGCTGCTTCTAGTCTGCCGTATTGGCCCATCCCTCAAGTATTTTCTTTTATGATTAATGTTATTTCTGTCATCTATGGACCTGGCATTTACATTTAGAACTACACTCTATTTCAAATTGACTTTTGTATATGGAGTGAGTTCAGGATTACAATTTTTATTTTTACAAATGAAAATACAGTCCTTCCGTAAAATATGGTAAAAATAATTTTCTTTCTTTATTGAGTTGACAACTTTGTCGAAAACCAATTAGATATAAATATGAAGCTTTATTTCTGGACTCTTTATTCAATTCCAGTGATCCATTTATGTAATATTGCACCAATACTACCAATAGTAACTGTGTCTTCGTTACTATGGCATTATATTGAATTGAAAATAAGATAAAGTTCTTCAAAGTTGTTCTTTCGACCTTCAAGATTATTCTGTTCTTATATATGCTTTGAATTCCTAAATAAATTATAAGTTTTCTTATCAAAATGCTAGTATTGGCTGGGTGCAGAGCTTCATGGCTGTAATTCTAGCACTTTGGTAGGCCTAAGGGGGCAGATCATTTGAGGTCAGGAGTTTGAGACCAGCCTGGCCAACGTGGTGAAACCCCATTGGCTCTACTAAAAACTACAAAAATTAGCTGGGTCTGGTGGCGGGTGCCTGTAATCCTAGCTACTTGGGAGGCTGAGGCGCTAGAATCACTTGAACTCAGGAGGCAGAGGTTGCAGGGAGCCAAGATCACACCATGGCACTCCAGCCTGGGTAACACTCCATCTAAAAAAAAAAGTAGTATTTTTTATTAGAATGGTGTTAAATCAATCAATATGTGCATTCTACATTATGTACCTCTTGATAATACTGTCTTCTGACCTATGAACATGATATATCAATCCACTTATATATGTCTTCTTTTATTTCTCTCAGCACTATTTTATTTTTCACCTCTTGCATGTGTTTTAAGGACTTTTTTTGGTATTAAATTTTTATGCTGATGTAAATAGAATTGCTGTTTAAAAATTCATTTTCCAATTGTTGGTTGTTGGGTGTCTTAGGGGTTTTTTGTGCTACTACAGTGGAATGCCTGAGGCTGGATAATTTATAAAATCATAATTTTTAATATAGTTCTGAAGCCTGAGAAGTCCATAATCAAGATGCCAGTATGCTTAGTGTCTAGTGAGGGCTGTTATCTCTGCTTTCAGGATGGTACCTTGTTACTGTGTCCTCTGGAGGTGAGAAAAACTGAGTCTTTAAATAGCAGAGGGACAAAAAGGAATGAACTCCCTTCACGAAGCCCTCTTATAACAGTTTTAATTTATTCATGAAGGTGTGGCACTCATGACTTAACTACCTCCCAAAAGGCCATACTATTTAATACTGTTACATTGGAGAGTTTTTTCAAGAGATGAATTTTGAATTATAAGGGACACATTCATACTATGGCATTCTTTCCCTGCCCTCCCCCACTAATGTCCTTCTCACGTGCAATGCACCTTCACTTTATCCAAATAGCCTCAAAAGTCTGTACTTGTTCCAACATCAACTCAAAAGTCTAAAATCCAGATTTCCATCTAAGTAAGTCAGAAATGGGTGAGACTCAAGGAACAATTCATCCAGAGGCAAATTTCTCTTAAACTGTGGGCCTGTGAAATGAGCAAGTTATGTACTTCTAAATACAATGGTGATACAGGCATAGAATAGACATTCCTGTTCCAAAAGGAATAAATAGGTAAGAAGGAAGAGGTAGCAGGTCCCAACTAAGTTTAAAACCTAACAGGGATAACAACATTAAATGATAAGGCTAGAGAATAGTCTTTTTGAACTCCATGTCCCACCAAGAGGACACACATGGGTGGGGATGCTCCCCTCCCCTACAGCTTCACTGACTGCAGCCCATGCCACAGCTCTCAGAGATAGTTAGGTGTCTACAGTCCTCCCAGGCAGGAGTTGCATGTTGGTGGCTCTATAGTTAACAGGCCTTGGGGATAGTTCTGACCCCACAGTTCTTCTGGACATTGTCCTAGCATGGACTGTATTTGGAGCCCCCACCTCTGCTATATAGTTCTCTGCCTCAGGAAGGCTGTCTGAGATATTCTTTGAAGTGTAAGTAGAGGCAGCCATACTTCCACAGCTTGTGTGCTCTGCATTCCACATAGATGATGCCAAAGTTTAAGGCATGTGCCCTTAAGTCACATCTCAAGTCACACCTAGGCCCACCTGCACCACAGCTAGGGTGGCCAAGAAGTAATACACTGGAATACAGAGAACAGAGAGCTAAGGTATCACAAGCACCCTAGGAACCTCTCCCCAAACTATTCTGACCCCAAGGTGAGGGAACTCTGGGCCTGTGATGCGCATGGCAGCCTGGAAGATCTTTCAAATGCCTTTAAGTTCATTCTACTACTTTCGTTATGAATAGTACATGGCTTTCTTCTATTTATACTAATCTTTTTATAAAATGATCTCATGTCTACATCCTTGATTTCCTTTCCTAAGCACACATTTTTTTTTCTTTACATGGCCAGGCTAATTTTCCAAATCTTTACAATCTGCTTCTCTTTTAATTATAAATTTTATCTTTAAATTATTTATTCCTTCTTCCCTTTTACTATAAGCAGTTGAAAGAAGCCATGCAGCATCTTAAGTGCTTTGTTGTTTAGATATTTTGCTGACAAATACACTAGTTAATCACTCTTCAGTTCTTCCTTCCACAGGGTCCTAGGTCACATATAATTCAACCAAGCTCATTGCCCCTTTTTAACAAGGATGGTTGTATCTCCAGTTTCCAATACCTTGTTCCTCATTTCCACCTAAGATCTCATCAGAATAGCCTTTACTCTCCATATTTCTACCAACATTCTTTTCATGACCACTTAAATAATGTCTAAAAAGGCAAGTTTTTCCCTATATCTCTCCTCTTCTTCTGAGCCCTTGTCAGAATTGTTCTTAATGCTCTGCTCATGGTAATACAAGCTTTTTTCTGCATGAATTTCAAAACAGTTTCACCTTCTACCCATTAACTGTTTCCAAAGCCGTTTTTATATTTTTAGGTATTTGCCATAGCAACACCCCACTCCTGGAACCAAGTTCTTTCTATGTTTTGTGATAATAAAACAGAGTACCTAAGATTAAATCATTTATAAAACCAGGAATTTATTTTCTCATAGATCTGGAGGCTGGAAAGTCCAAGATCAAAGTGTTAGTAGGTTCAATGTCTGGCAAGGGCTATTCTTTCTGCCTTCAAGTCAGTAGGATTTATAGTGATATCTCTCTTAATTACTAATATTTGTGGTCCATCTTTTCTCTTTTTCAGTTTGAGGATTTTATCAGTTTTGTTGGTGAACCAACTTTTGACTGTTGACTTTCTTCATTATTTTCTATTTTGTTGAATTTTGTCACCTTTTTATTATTATTTTTATCTCTACTACTTATTTTGGCTTTATTTGCTGTTTCTTCTCTTCCTCCTCATCTTTTTCCTTCTCCTTATCCTGCACCTCCTTCCCCTTCTTCTTTTTTCATTTTGTCTAATCTTCTTAACATGAAGGCTCTGAAAAGGGATTTTAAATATTTATTTTTAACCAAATATAAGAACTTAAGCCTACAATTTTTTGTTTACAATGTTTTACCTGCATTTCAAAAATTTTGACATTTTGTGTTTTTATTATCATTCTATTCAAAAGAAGGATTTCTTTTGGACTGATGAATTATTTTAATAATATGCTGCTTGATTTTTAAGGATTTACGTATTTTTTTTAAATCTTGTTATTGGTTTTCTCTTTAATACTGCCACAGTCAGAGAACATACTCAATAATTTCAGTCTTTTGAAATGTATTAGTATGTATTTTATGACCTAGTACATGGCCTATCATGGTGAACACTGCATGAAAACTTTCAAATAATGTGGATTTTGCAGTTTTCTGTAATGTTTTACTCATTTCAATTAGATTGAATTGATTGATAATATTTTTTCAACTCTTCTGTATATTTCCTGATATTTTTCTACTTTTATAACAAGTAGTTGTTAAAATCTTCATACATAATTGCATATATTTTATGTGTCCTTTTAATTCATTTGTTTATATATTTAAACAGTTATTTTGTTTATATATACTTATGAATGTTATAGTTCTTAATGACATATCCTTTTTTTAATTTTTGGTAATGTTCTTTGCCTTAAAATTTACCCTTCCTAATGTGAATATAGCTATAATTACTTTGTTTTTAGTTTAGTATATATAGTATATCTGTTTCCACCCTTATATTTTTAGTCTGACTACATTTGTATTTAAAGTGTGGATGTTATAAGCAGTTATCAAGCTGGATCCTGCTTTTGTATCCAGTTGGATACATTGTGTTCTTTCCTTGGAATGTAAATTAGAACAATATGGAAGTAATTTTATTTAAAAAATTTCCTTTAATTATTGATGTGACTTTTGTTAGTATCATCAGTTTCTTGTTTCTCTCTTATTCCTTTTGTGACCCTTTTGTTTTCTGTGGCTTTTGGGTATTTGGTTCTTCTATTGAATTTTTCTTTCTGTTCCTGATGTTATTTTTAGTGCTTTCTCAATAGAGTCATTATGCATCTTTACATTATCAATATATACCTTCACATGTTATATTACTTCACAAAAATCTTTCATCAGCATAATTCCTCCCTCATATTGTATTTTGAAATATAAAATTTTCTTTTTATATTTCTGCATCTGCATTATATATGTTTTCTTACACACCTTCTATAATTTTTATTGTTTTCTCATTAGCCTGCTTTTCTAGTGCTGTTTTCTTTATGATCTAAAAGTTATTAGGAGAGTAGGATTTCAGTTTGGTTTTGGTTTTTGTTGTTCATTGTTTCCTTTTAGCTTGAATTTATTGTGGACAGAGAAGGTAACCATATTACTTACTTTGGGAATTATATACATATTTTTAATTGACTATCCACATTTTGTAAATGTTCTATGAAGGCTTGAGAAAATGTGAATATTTATTTTAGGTACAATATGTTCATCTGTGCCTTTCAAGTATATTAAATTTATGAGAACCCTATAGTGGCTTACGTATCTTAGGTCAACAGTACTAATTTTAATGAAAAAAAAACTATTCTCCTTAATTTCTATATTGATTCCAATTTTTGTTAAATTATTATCAAATATTAGTAAATAGACATATCCATAGAGAAGTAAAACACTATTTTAAAATATGTTTTCACCTAATTAATTATTCTATAATATGGTTGTTTTTTCTTTGTTTATTGATAGCTATTACCAAAAGACTGAGATTATGCGTACTAACAAAATATAATGCATGGTATCCATAATTTACATAATTCCTAAACCTTTAATACAAAAAGAGAGAAAAAAATTAGAAAGAAGTAAAATCAATACAAATATTGTATTTTAAGGACATAATATATTTAATTATCAGTGCTATCAACTAACAAATCATAGGCACTTTGAGAGAAAAAGTTAATGTAACATGTTGCAATATAAAACTACCACTATAATTGCATAGTTCTGGTTCTTTCTCTAGGAACTTTGAGTGCCTCTGTAGACCACACAAAGTTAAAATAAGGATATTAAATAAACCTCCTTATACACAAAAATCTCATAATTCAAATGACTAAATCTAAGAGTTTATCTCAAACCATTTCTATCAGTACTTTACATACCTGATGTGACAAGGAATTAATGTGTGTGCTCTGTTACAATTATAATTTAACCAATTTTTATATCTATATTTTGTCATTATATATGTTAGCCGTCATTGAGAACATATAGGTTTATGACCACTATATTTTACTATATCTTAAAGGTATATTATAATATTTAATACAAAATGAATTGTGGAAAATGACTCTAGAGAAACAAAGTTTTAAGGATAAGTTTTCTGAGTTGGTTCTGTGGTTTCTCTGAATTTGTTCTCTAATCTGATTAGACTTAAATATGCTAATTACTCCATTTCCAGTAGTAAAAGGAGGACTAATAGTCCATTGAATAAGCTATTTATAGAGAAACAATATGTTTGTGGTAAGTACTCTTTATCACTCAGTTATGAGAAACAAAGAGCTAGGTGATTCTGTAGATGACACTTTCAAAGATTTCTTGATTAAGACCCCAAAAGCTCAGGCAACTAAAACAAAACGGCACAAATGGGATCCCATCAAACTAAAAAGCTTTTGCACAGCAAAGAAAATACTCAACAAAGGGATGAGACAACTTACATAATGAGAGAAAATACTTGCAAACTATTCAATTAATAAGAGATTAATAATCAGAATATATAAGAAACTCAGCTCAGCAACAATGATAAATGATCTGATGAAAAATATGCAAAAGATCTGAATAGATATTTATCAAAGGAAGACATGTAAGGGACTGATAGGTAAATGAAAACGTACTCAACATCACTAATCATCAGAGAAATGTAAATAAAAATCACAATAAAATATTCTCTTACCCAAATTAAAATGGTTTTTATCAATAAGATGAAAAATAACAAATGCTGGTGAGCTGAGATGAAAGAGGAACACTCGTACACTGTTGGTAGAAATGTAAATTAGAACAGTATGGAGGTAATTTTATTAAAAAAAGGTTTAATGAACTCACAGTTTCACATGGCTCAGGAGGCCTCACAATCATGGCGGAAGGTGAAAGAGGAGCAAAGGCACATCTTACATGTTGGTAGGCAAGAGAGCTTGTGCAGGGGCACTCCCGTTTATAAAACCATCAGATGTCTTGAGACTTATTCACTACCACAAGAACAGTACAGGGGAAACCACCCCCATGAATCAATTATCTCCACCTGGCCCCACCCTTGACCTTTGGGTATTATTACACTTTAAGGTGAGATGTGGGTGAGGACACAGCCAAACTGAATCAGAGCTTCTAGTTTTAAGTGGTGTCCAGAACAAGAGAAGGCCCTGCAGCAAGTCCAGCCTGCTGTGAGAGCTATTCTGCCACTTGGGCTATATAATTCAGCACATCCTATGGTGTCAAAGTATCAACTGCAGATAGGGATATTGTTTGGAGACTTTGGCAGGACCCTATAAAGAAACCATAGTGCAAGACTTGAGGATTTTGGAGTAAGGTTATGCTGTCATTCACAGATAACTACTCTCCCTCTGAGAGTCAGCTCTTGGCCAGCTATTGAGCCTTTATAGAGACTGAATGGCTGACCATGAACCACCATGTTATCATATGTCCTGAGCTGCTCATCATGAATTGGTGGCTACCTGACCCACAAAGCCATAAAGTTGAGAGTACATAGCAACACTCGTCCATCAAATGGATGTGACTGGGGCTAAGCAGGTCCTGAAGGCACAGGTAAGTGACATTAAGAAGTGGCCCAAATGCCCATGATCCCCACTCCTGCTACACTTCCTGCTCTCTGCCAGCCTGCAGCTATGAAGTCATTAAAAAATTCCCTATGAGCAGTTGACAGAGGAAGAGAAGACTCAGCCTGGTTTACAGAGGATTCTGCAAAATATGCAGGCATAACACAAAAAGGGACAACTGCACCCCTATAGCCCCTCTCAGGGATATCCCTGAAGGACAGTGGTGAATGAAAATCCTCCCAGTGGACAGAACTTCAACCATTCCACCTGATGATTCACTTTTCTTAGAAAGAGAAATGGCTAGAGAGGTGATTACCTGCCAATTCATGGTCTGTAGCGAGTGTTCTTCTTTTTCTGGATGATCAGAAACTTAGAAAGGACACATGGAAAAATTGGTGACAAAAAATTTGGGGAAGAGAGATGTGGGCACACCTCTATGAATAAGCAAAAAATAATGGATATATTGTATTTCATGTGAATGCTCACCAAAGGGTGAGCTTGGCAGAGAAGGATTTTAACATTAAAGTGGATGGAATGACCCATTGTGTGGATGAATACAAATCAGTCTCTTTCTCCAGCCAACTTTGTCATTTCCCACTGGGCTCAGGAACAAAGAGGCCATGGTAGCAAGGATGGAAGTTACGCATGGGCTCAGAAACATGGACTTCCACTCAACAAGGCTAACCGGACTGTAGAAAACTGAGTGTCTAATCTCCCAATGGCAGAGACCAACACCTGGCTCCTAATATGACACCATTCCCTGGGGTGATTAGCCAACACCTGGTAGCAGGCTGATTGATTACCTTAGAAAACATCTGTCATGAAAGGGGCAGTATTTTGCCCTTCCTGGAATAGATGCTCTGAATATGGATTTGCCTTTCTTGCACACCACAACTACCATCTGTGAACTTAACTCACTGGCTTGTCCATTTTCATAGTCTTCCAGATCACATTGCTTTTGATGAAGGAACTCACTTCACAGCAAGGGAAGTGCAGCAATAGGGCCAGGAACATGAAAATCATTGGTCTTACTATGTTTTCCACCATTCTGAAGCTTCTGGCCTGATACATTGATGGAATTGTCTTTTGAAGACTCAGTTACAGTGCCACCTAGGTGGCAATACCTTGCAGGAATGGTTCTCCAGAAGGCTGTATATGGTCTGAATCAGGGTCAAATATATGATGCTATTTATGTGGTAGCCAGAATTCATGGGTCCAGGAATCAAAGAATGGAAGTGGGAGTGGCATCATTCACTACTGCGCCTAGTGACTCACAAGCAAAATGTTTACTTCCTGTTTCCATGACATTATGCTCTGCTGGCCTAGACGTCTTAGTTCCAGAGGATGGAATGCTTCACCAGGAGACACAAGAATAATTTCCTTGACCTGGGAGTTAAGACTGCCACCCAGCCACCTTGTGCTCTCCATGCTGCTGATTCAACAGGCAAATAAGGAAGTTATGGTGTGGGCTACAGTGATTGATCTGACTAACAAGAGGGAAATTGCTCCACCATGGGGGTGAGGGAGAGTACATCTGGAATACAGAAGTTCCCTTAGGACACCCTTAGTGTTCCCACACATTGCGATTAAGGCCAGTGGAAAACTACAATAACTCAGTTCAGGCGGAACAACTCATGGGGCAGAATCTTCAAGGAATGAAGATTTGAGTCCTTCTACCAGGTAAGGAAACAGGACCAGCTAAGGGAGTTGCTGAAGGCAAGGGTTGTACAGGATAGGAGTAGAAGGTAGTTATAAATACTAGCTACAACTATGTGGCCAGTTCCAGAAATGAGGACTATAATTGTCATGAGTATTATCTCCTAATTTTGTTATGAATATGCTTGTATGTATGTGTATATACATATGTTAAACACTATCTTTGTTATTTATCCTCTTTTGATTTTCCATATCAGGTAACATAAGCTATACTGACTCTTGTATAAGGATTTAAGTATTGTTCATTTTACTTCATAGTATTTAAGTTATGGAACATCAGGAGAAAAATGTCACTCAAGGACTTCATCTCCTTTTCTGAGGAAGACATTACTGTGTATTTGGTAGTATGAAAATTGTTGTATCATGTTAGGTGAAATCACGATGTTATTGTTATCTTTATCTGGAGATTAGGTATGATTTAAGGAGATACATAAGCCAAATTGATAAGAGGTAGATCTGTAATTATTAATTTTATATGCCAACTTGACTGAGCTAAGGGATCCCCAGAAAACTAGTAAAATTTTATTCTGGACACGTATGTGAGGGTGTTTCTGGAAGAGATTAGCACTTGAATGAGTAGACTGTGTTAAGATCATCTGCCTTCACCAGTACAGGTGGGCACCCATATTCAGAAGGACTGAATAGAACAAAAGAGGGGAAGTTTCTTTCTCTGCTTGAGCTGAGACATCCATTTTCTCCTGCCCTTGGACTTTGATGTTCATGGTTCTTGGGTCTTTGAACTCAGACCAGGGCTTATACCAGTGCCTTCCTGGTTTTCAGGCCTTTGGATTTGGGATGGAATTACACCACCAGCTTTCTTGGGCCTCAAGATTACAGAGGAAAAATTATGGGGCTTCTTACCTTCATAATGACATGAGTCAATCCCTTATAATAAATATTCTCCTGTCTCTCTCTCTCCGTGTGTGTGTGTGTGTGTGTGTGTGTGTGTATACAGAAAGAGAAGTCTATACATCTATCTCTACATAGATACATAGATATATATATATAGAGAGAGATACAGATAGAGATAGAGATATCTATTGATTATGTTTCTCTGGAGAACCCTAACACAGAAATATATGGACTTTTTCCTTTTATTTCATTATGGATGCTATTAATTTTACCTACCTTGTTTCCTTTTATGGGTGGCTTTAGATTTTGTTTTCATTTATTTTGCGTCTGTTATAAATAACACACAAATAGATTCCTTTTTAACTCCAAATGGGCCTATGCCTTTCAATTGAGAATTTTTAAAATTAAATTATACTTCTTTTTTTTTTTAACTTGTGGGTACCTTTCATTTTATGTTTCTTTTATGTCTTCCTTTTTTGGAAAAATATCAGATCATTTATAATTAATTTTGCTTTCTACATTCTTTTGATATTTTGAAAGATAGGATGTTGGTTTTTAGAATTCTATCAATGATTGGTTTTAAGATTTTAGAAAATATTTTTAAAGTTCTCATTGCTTTCAATTCGTAAAATATTAAAAGAAATATTTTATTGCATTGACTATGTGAAGAAGTCAGTATACATTCAATTCTTCCTGAATATCTTTTTCAATTTTAGTTACTTTAATCTCTTATTTTACATCTTGCTTATTATTTTTTCATAGGAATAATTTTATTTCAAAAATAATTTTAGACACCTAAATTCCATTTGTGACCATATTAACAACAATTATTTATTATTTGCCTATACCATTTTTTACCATGAGTACTATAGTAGCATAACTTATCCATTCTTGAGTTATTTTTTTTCTTCTCTTATTCAACAGAAATAGTTCTCTGAGCAATTTTTACTTTGAAAGGGAATTGAGTAGAGTACTTTATAAAAATTATTACAAACGAAATTTTCTTCCCTTTAGGAGGAAGGGATCAGTGAACATTTGGTTGTATGGCAATAGTTGTATCATGTTGTGTGGAATTATGATGTTGTTGCTGTCTTTATCTGGAGATTAAGTAGGATTTAAGGAGATATATATGCCAAGTTGACAGGGTGAATCAAAGAACAGAGTTAGTAGAAAAGAATATAGAGTTCCTTTTTTCCATGTTCTCAGTTACATGTGGGCATTCAATTCACCTAGCATTTTTGTGTTTTGTCTTTATACCCAAAGAGTTATGAGTGTAATTACATCACCATTTTCTGAAAGAAAATGCCAAAAGTATGATGTCAGCTGAAATTTTTACCTTTATGAACATATATTTTTTCTACCTGGATTCTTAAAAGATGCTATTCCTATTAAAAATTAACATAAATGCACTAACAAATTTCTATTTCTTTAAATTTGACTTTTAGTTATCTATTTCATTATGAAAACTTAAATTTTTATTTAAATTATAAACATTTTAAATTACTTTTTATTATTTCATACACTATATCTCTTGTACTCACCTCTTTTGAATTTCCAATTTTATGTAAAATATTTAAAAGCACATATACATTGTATATTTTCTCATTATTTTTGTTCTTTTTTTCTGAGGTTTGTGAGAATTTTTTCATTATGCTTATATCATGTATTCAATTTTAATCCAAATATAAACTCCTACTCATTGCCTCAATTACAGTTTTACTTAACAGAAAAGTCATATATTTTTGTCTCTCCTGATGTTAGATTTTTCCTCCTTTATAACTATAGTTAAATTAACAAATTAAAAAACATTTTTAATATGGCTGTATTAGTCCATTTTAAATAACTTCCTGAGACTGGGTGATTTCCAAAGGAGTTTAATTGACTCACAGTTCAGCATGGTTGGGGAGGCCTTAGGAAACTTAGAATCATGGTGGAAAGGGAAGGGGAAGCAAGGCACCTCTTTCACAAGGCAGCAAGGAGGAGAAGTGTCTCCTGAAGGGAGAAGAGCCCCTTATTAAACCAGATCGCATGAGAACTCACTATCATGAGAGCAGCATGGGGGGAACCACCCCTGTGATTCAATTACCTTCACTTGGTCTCTCCCTTGACACCTGGGGATTATGGAAATTATGCAGATTATAGTTCAAGATGAGATTTGGGTGGGGGAAGTAAACCTAGCCATATCAGTGGGTAGGAACATAAATTTTTCCTATTAATGAAGAGCTGTTTCATGGAAAATATTTGTTCTGACTTCACAGACAGATATCATTTTTTTTAACTGCATTGTGTTTTCACAAAATAGTATTTTTTCTCTCCTAATTCTTATAAAGGATTAACTATATTTAAACAGGATTTAGAGTTCAAATTGAGGCGAACATCTCTATTAGGCAGTGTCATGTTCAGATGATACATGCTTAGATGATACTTAACAATTTAAGAACAAAGGTCATGGGCAGATATGCAGGAAAAATAGAGACTTAAAGTGGGGACAATGGGATTAGATGACAAATATCTGTTTTCTAGTTACAGTAGTGTTCTGAAGCCAGTTGAGGTCTGACTGCCTGTTAGTAGCCAGCCTTGGAAATGTCTCATTTTTTAATCTCCCATGGTCATCTATGGGAAGTGGGGTATAAGTGCTGCTGTGTGTAACCTGGCTGGACTGGCCTATGAAACTGTGCCTTTTCCAGAAGTGGCTTTGAGATCCAAATGTAGCATTAGCCCAGTCCCTGCTCCACTTCTTGCTGCTCTGAATTAACATTGATATTAATATACTGATGCGATCTGTCATGTGTATGTCGGGCAAATATTCTTACTTAAGTGGACAGCCAATGATCAGGCTACCTCTTCCACTATAGCATAAGTTACCAGCAAATTTTTTAAAATTCCTAGCATTAGGGTGCTATCTTTTTCTAGTTTTCAGAATAGAGTCTAGAATTTCCCTTTTTTTATATTTTTGGTTACTTTCATGAGAATGATGTACATGGACCTTCAGGTGTATGTGCTCAAGTTTCCATTTTCTCTATATCCTACAGTGTGTTTTTGTTTGTTTTATTGGAAATATTATGTTGCTGCCCTACTTAAAATTCTTCAGTATTTTTCCATTGTCTGGAAGTTAAATTAAAATTATTTAGGAGGGCACTTATAGCCTTTTAAAATCAAATCATTATGCATTTCTGCTACATGGAATCTCATGTTGCTGATCCATGACCTTAAACTCCAGCCTGCAGAGTACTTTGTTTATATTTATCCAGTATCTTGTCTAATCATTTGACCACAAATATCTTTAGCCTGGCATGCAATCCAATTGCCACAATTCTCTTTACTCCCCATTTTTTTATACCATGTCCTTCCTATTTTTAAATTTTCTGTCTGAGCACTGATGGCTTTTGAGTTTGCCATTTCTCTTCTTATTCTTTATCTTTCCATTTTTCTATTTCCAGTATTTCATTCGCTGTAGAGCTATTCTCACTTCCCTGTGCTGGAATTTCTCTCATTTCTGTTTTTTATGCCTCAGTCCTTTCTCTGTTGGGAATACCCTTCCCTTTCTCATACATTCTTTGCCTGATAGTGCCTATTTGTCCTTCATACTTTACTTGGACATCACTTTGTCTAGGAAGCCCACTGTGATTTTCCAGAATGGCTCTGACATCCAACTAGGGTACTTTTAGACCTCTTCCAGCGCCATTGCACTCTCTTGTCAATCAATATACTTGATTTTTTCTTTCTTTTTCTCTCTAGACATGAGCTCCTTCAGGGAAGAAAGGTCTGTTCCATCTTTATATCCTATGTATATGTCATGTAAGGTGTTCTAGACAAATTTATTAAATTAATAATTATATGAATGTATACAGTTTTCTAAAGGAGTAATTTAACGTTTTAAAAATGTGTACTTTGATCAAGGCTTTAATGTAAATGTATGACAGAACTGGAAGTAAAAATGACTTAACTACTGACTTATCCCTGCCTTTTTTAAGAATTATGTTACTTATTCTTGGGGAGCATATGTATAAGTATTCATGTTTTATTCAACAAAACATTATTAAGTGTCTTACGTGACAGGAACATGATAATGTATGGGGATAATAGTGGACAATATGCCCTATCTTCCAATTTTTCCTTATTTCCTAATCATTATTTGGTTTTCAGAAATGTATTTTAGTTGTTGGATCTGTGCTATAGGGCAAAAAGAAAAAAAGTAAAATAGATTTTGTTTTCAAATTTTTTGCAGGAAATAATTTTCAAAATTTTTTGTAGGTTTTGCAGAGTGCCTCCAGAAATAAAAGTGTTACAAAAGAATCACTTCAGAAAACCTACACTTAGAGAGTCCATTTGAAAATTGCCCTATTTGAAATGAAGTGGAGATCAGTAATAACAAGGACTTCCCCATATAACCCAAGGTAAAACTAAATGCAATGCCATTTCCAGCAACACATTATGAGAACGGGATGTCTTTGGCTTTTAGCTTCTTCTCCTGTTACCTCCTTTCCTAATTCTTAATATTTAAGCCAGAGCCAACTCTGCAAAGTTTAGCAGAGCAATCAAAATTATGAATTTTAATAGAATGTAATTTGAAAGATTTTTGCCTTGTGAAATAGGTATTATTTGCTTACCAGCACTATCTGTAGCATCTAAAGTTCTAGAGTTTTCTTGAAGATACTTATAATTTTTCCTATCACAGTCCCATTACAAGGGTAATATAGTTTAGTTTATGCTGGTTTTACTTTTTTAAAAATCAGTGGGCCAAGTGTTTGATTTAGTAACTTGGAAAAAGGTTCATATTTTTTGAGTCTCCTGGAAGCTCAAAGCATATTTTTCAGGGTACAATTTAACCTCTGAGCTATTTGGTTTAAACCATTTATTTATCTGTGGTTAGGATTAGAGTTTGACTTATAGTAGCTTCAGGAAACATGTTCTGGACCTTTACTCTTGACCAATTTACCTTCAAATCCAAACCTGAGGATGACTGATTAGAATAGTCTGTCAACTTTTCAAAGCAACAGTGCTTCATTCTTTTTCAAGAAGTAAGGTAAGGGAGAAAGATATTTCACTGCACATCAAAATAAATAAAAATATAAATCTTTCATTGGGTTGAAAAATATTTGTCCTGGGGAGAGTTTAGACCCAGCTCATCTCACTCCATTGTGCTATTCAAAAATAACAGTCAGAGGTTAATATCGTGGCCAATTTCTATCTGAATAGCACTAAGGTGAAGGAAACTGTTCTCCCCAGAGCAAGAGGGCTTTGGGACTCACATCTTAAAGATTTAAATGACCACTTTAGAGTTATCAGGAGTCCTGTGAGAAGAAATCATTTTAATTCTGCATGTTGCATAATGCTCTTGAAGCTTATATTCTAAAGAAGATGACAGTCCATTAAAAATAGTTTGACTATATATAATTTCAGATGGTGATAGAGATGAATTACAGTACGAAGCAAGGTAATACAGAAAATCATAGCATGAGGAACTAGAGTTAAATAAGTTGGAAGAAAGAATCTGGAGAGAATTCTGAAGGATGAGAATCTAGTCACCGGGCAATTTGGGTTGAGTATACCAGGCAAGGAACAGCAAGTGTAAAGGCTGTGGAATGGGAATAGGTTTGGGACACGCAAGAAGAAGCAAGCAAGCGAATACAGCTAGAACATAATAAACAGAGAGAGTGATTGGACGTATAGGTGAGGGGCAGGTCACATAGTATCTTCTAGGCCCTCAGTCAGGAGTTTGTATTTAAGATACAAAGAAAAGTCATTGGAGAATGTTATGCAGGAAACTTGATATCATATTTATTTATAAAGGATAATTATGTCTGCTGTGTGAAAAAGGGTCTGTGGGAAGTCAAAAGCAGTGTCAGGTAGACCAGATAGGACTGAGTGAGATAGGTGTAGCCTGGTCAGAGACCAGGTGAGAGGCTGCAGCAGGCTGGGCTAGAGATACAGCTGTGCAGGTGCAGAGAAGGTCCTGGATTCAGAATACATTTTGAAGACAGAACTGACAGAACTTGCTGAAGGATTAGATTTAGAGAATGAAAGCTTTTGGCCTGAATCATTGGGTGAATGATGATAATACTTATTCATTTAGAAACAATAGAGAAAGAAGCAAGTTTAGAAAGAAAAAAATAAAAGTTTTGTAAGTTTTGTTTTTGTTACATGAGTTTAATGTACTTGACAGCCAAGTAAAACTGTCAAGTAGGCAAGTAAATTTTCAAGTTTGAATTTATAAGAGTTTAGGGATAAAGCTATATTTCTGGGAGACATCACCACATAGATAATTAATATTTAAAATAAGGTTGCTGGGTGAAAGCAAAAATGTAGCTAAAGAACAGCAGGGTAAGGACTGATCTCAGGGGATGCCAGCATTTAGAAGTCAGAGAGAGAAGGGGATTCAGCAAAGAAGAACTGGAAGAAATAAGCAACCAGGTAAGAGAAAAAACCGGGGAGTGGGTTGTTCTAAAGTCAAATGAAGAAAGTGCTTGGAGGATGGGGTAGTCTCATGTCAAATGCTGTATGAAAATTGAGTAAGATGAAGAGAGAATGGTTGACTGGATTTAGTGAGATGAATGTCTTTCGTGACTTTGACAAAAATGGTTTCAATGCAGTGGTTGGAAAAAATCTTGATTCAGATGGGTTGGAAGGGAAAGCATTTCAAGGTGATGACAATGACTATGGACAAATCATTTGAAGTTTGTTTGGTGTGAAGTGGGAAGAGAAATGAGGTGGAAGTGAGAGGTTGTGAAGCTGTACAGGGATTAAGAGGGGATCTTTTTGTGTTTAAGATGGAAACTATTACCCTGTGTGCTGGTGGAATTATCCAAGGGAACGGAAAAAGTATACTTTTAACTTGGGATGAAATTTTTTCGGGAGGAAAGAGTGGATGGTATCTTGTGCATAAGTGGAGAGAGTGACAGAGAGAAGGGACCAAGTCCTGAAGCACGGCTAAAAAAAAAAAAAAAAAAAGCTGTTAGAGACCACTCCATATGCAAAGAAAACACTCCATAAGAGGGGCACTTTGTCAAAATCCCAGCCGTAGGCTTTGATCCTTGAAGTAAACAGCAAAGATAGAAACTAGAGCAAAATGGGAATAGAGAGGACAGTCTTCATGTGTGTGAGGGATAGGCAAATTGTACTTAGTGAATGTAGCGACTCCCTATTTCTAACGATAGATCATTTCTAGATTCACTGGTGAGGTCAAGCTCCCTTTGAAGCAGACTTAACACAACTGAGCTTTCCCACTGCAGTACTTTGGCGCAAGCTGACAGAGGCAGTACCAACAGAATTGATTATCAATACATAGTGTTTGTATTTACACTAATGAATAATTAGCTTGTATTGATTGGTTTGTTGATGGGTATAAGAAAGATTGTGAATATCATCCTCTTAATAATCTGATGGGTTAAAGTCAGGCATTGCTGCCAGCATCTGAAAGCAGGAGGAACCAACCTCAAAGTATAAAAGTTAACGAGGATAAACCCACAGGGGATCAGAAACCTCACAGATCATCCTAAGGAGTATCATCACAATGAGAACAGCTAAGAACTGCTAGCTATGTAACATAGTTTTACAAAATAAACGCAGCTGTTACATATTTTTAAACTGTAACATTTTATTTACTGTTTTTCACTTCTAAAACTGAGAATTATTAGGTAGTACAGAAATGTCACTAAAACATTTACACACTGTTCTACCAACTATTATAAGTGAATAGCCTTATAACTCAACAAAGATAAAAATAATGCAACTAAAATAACTCCATTCTCCTGCCCTTTAATCCTTTCTACTCTCTTCCCCCTAGAAATAGCCACTATTCTGACTTTGCGAAATGAAAGCAAATAAAATCTCAGGACCCCAAACTAACTATGCCAAAGCCAAAAGTTCAGCTTGGACACAGATTCACACAAAAAATTGGCTCTCCTTTTGTTCCTAAACAAGATAGAAGGACACATACGTATCTCTCCTCCTTCACCCTGACAATGTAAATTAACAGCTTATTTTCACAGGCACTGGATATAGACAAGACTAGAAATTATTCCTCTGCCCACCCCAAGATAAATACATATTTGACTTATTCCTCTACTCTGTTGACTTTATCTTATGTAAAATGTAGATTTACTGAGCATGCATTAATCCATAATTGACTGTTCCTCTACCTGCTCCTTTTACATGTAATGTGGGTTCAGTGAGCGCTAATCAAAGTCTCACAAGAATGTGACTACTTTTATCACTACCTACACTCCCTTTTTTTTTCCCTTCCCTCCTTCCCCTCCTGCCTACTCTTTACCTTTAAATAGTGAAGTGCTCAAAATGCTGTTTTCAAAAGACATGGATCACAGATGCTGCCTGTGATTTGTGTTTTTCTCCTCCAGGCATGTCCTCAACCTGGGCAAAACAAACCTCTAAATTGACTTGAGACACAACTCGGTCATTTTCTTTGGTTTATGGTGATAATCATTTGCATGCCTTTCTTGGTAGTTTGGTCATATGTAGAAGCATCTCTGATTCCTTTCCTCACACACACACACTATTAAAGCTTTTCAATGATACTTGTTAAAGCACAGGAAGGCAGACTTTATTCAGGACCAACATCATAGGCATGGAGACCATGGCAATGAGATTTTGCCATGGGGTAGAAAGATTAGGCATGGGAATGTATAGCCAAGGAACAGGATGAGGGTCATTAGATAACAAAAATACTAACAGGAAACATTAGGGGTAGGGGAGATTCTGGCCAAACCAACCTAACAGGATTCTTGCTGAAGGCAGGCCAGAGTGATCAGACATCACCTGGGGGATGGGGGAGGATGAGGGCCCTGCTAATCAGGTATCAAGAGTGGTAAATGTTAAAGGTAGAGGATTCTTGCTAAACTGACACAGCAAAGTTCTTTCTTTGCTAAAACTGGGTTTTATAAGGAAGTGTACAGATGGGCCTAGAACAAGGTTCGGGAGCGTGATTAAAGATTGGCCAAATGAAGAAGGTTTGTCAGCACACACACACATAATCACATTCACACACTCCAAGGTAGTTCTGAGTCTTTCTGCATGTTTTCTTTTTGTTGCTATTTCCCCCTTGTGAAAACATATTTTCACATATATGGCCACCTACCATTCTGTCTTGAAATGAGAGTTTATGGTGACTCCTTCTTAGGGTCATGTTTCAGGAAACTGGAGTGGCAGAAATGAGTATGAGGCAGTATCAACCAAGTAATGTTGAGATGTGGACCTAACCCAGTCATATTATTTAACCTCACACTTGAAGAAGGTTATCCAAGTTCTGTTTCTGCATGAAGACACTTCCCAAGGAACTCTAGGCCTTAAGGGATTCCTTTTTTTCTAGACTAGACATGGAAAAATTGTGGAATTGGTGAAGTTACCCTTTCTGTGCCACCCACATCCTCAGCCCCTCGCTTATCAGTGTGGTCTGACTCTCCTCCCTGAAGGCTTCTGGACTTAACTTTCCAAACCCCATTTCCTTTAAAACTTACCTATACTGTTTCCCATTCCTGGACTGTTGATAATCAGAGATATAACCACACAACTAACACTTACTATATGTCAAGTATTTTGGTAGACATTTCGCATTATTAAATGCATTCTATCATTTGATCCTGACATGAATTATGCAAGATAAATCTCATTATTATTTCCATTTTACAAACAAAGATAACTAAAGCCCAAGATAATACACCTAGTCAACATCAAAATATTTTGACCCTGACCTGCCTTACTGGAATATAAAATACTCTTTAATTACAGCAGACTCTGCTGCTTTTCATTAGCTTATTCAAGCTCAAGTATTAGTAACAGATATTGTACAAACATATTTAAGCATAATAAGATAGATAGTGTCTACTCATTACTAAATGTAAATAGGTCTTTTTAGCCAATGTATGTCACAAGGTAATTATACGGACTATAATGAGTAGAAATTGTTGGTTTTATGCAATTTGGTTTTATGGTATTTATTACTTAATAGTTATGTCTCAACAAAGGTAAGTTTAGAAGTACAGATAAAAATTATAGAAAATGAAAATTTATCAAATAATATTTAATCAAGTTATAAAATAAGATTGTGAAAGCTGAGCATCTTAAAGTGTATGTTAATATAGATATTTAAATTAATCTGTACAGATTAGAAACTCAAAGGAATCTTTCTATAAAAATAACACTAGAACCCAGATAAATTATCATAAACAAACTTTTCAAATAAAATGTTGGTCTCTCAACCCTATAACGGTAATATCCAAAAGTAACAAAACAAAACAAAATGATCAACCAACCACCACCATCACTACCACCACAACAAATATTGAAACTAATAAGCAAATGCAAAGTCAAAAATTGACTTATGAGTAAACGTCAATATTCACACCAAAGGAAAAAAGTAGTTCTTTTTGTCTCTCTAAGAGAGGGGAATGGGGTCATAATACTTTTGTATTAGTTCTGCATACAATAATATATAAACCAAAGTAAGTCCAAATAGCATTCCGCAGCTCTTGTTTGATGCAAATAACTGTCTCTAGAGTAAACTGTTCAAAATTTGAGCTCTTAGGATGCCAAATTTTGAGCTACTACTCATCAATTGTTATGTATGCAAGGACACAAAACAACATGAATGGTTGGCTAAAAAAAATAGCCAATTCAAATAAAATAGTCAAGTTAGACTCTCAAGAACTTAAGATTTTCAATTATCAGATATAGAATATAAAATGTATAAAATGTCTAAATAAATTCAATACAAAATAAAATGATAATCAAATTTTAAAAATCAGATTTGAAAACAAAAACAACCAATAGAATTATTAGGTTTACATTAAAATTACACCTGTATTAATTTATATTTATTATGTTTATATAACAAATATATTAACTTAGAAAAAAAAATTTGCTGTTCTGCAATAGTTGCTGTTCTCCAGCCTCTGCTGGTGATACCCAGGCAAACAGGGTCTGGAGTGGACTTCCAGCAAACTCCAACAGACCTGCAGCTGAGGGGCCTGTTAGAAGGAAAACTAAGAAATAGAAAGGAATAGCATCAACATCAACAAAAAGGACATCCACACAAAAACCTCATCTGTAGGTCACCAACATCAAAGACCAAAGGTAGGTAAAACCACAAAGATAGGGAGAAACCAGAGAAGAAAAGCTGAAAATTCCAAAAACTAGAGCGTCTCTTCACCTCCAAAGGATCACAGCTCCTCTCAGCAACAGAACAAAATTGGATGGAGAATGACTATGATGAGTTGACAGTACGCTTCAGAAGGTCGGTAATAACACACTTTTCTGAGGTAAAAGAGCATGTTCTAACCCATCACAAGGAAGCTAAAAACCTTGAAAAAAGGTTAGACTAATGGCTAACTAGAATAAACAGTGTAAAGAAGACCTTAAATGACCTGATGGAGGTGAAAACCACAGCACGAGAACTTCGTGACGCATGCACAAGCTTTAATAGCTGATTTGATCAAGTGGAAGAAAGGATATCAGATCAGTGATTGAAAATCAAATTAATGAAATAAAGCAAGAAGACAAGATTAGAGAAAAAAAGAGTAAAAGAAATGAACAAAGCCTTCAAGAAATATGAGACTATGTGAAAAGACCAAATCTATGTTTGATTGTGAAACAATCAAACCTGAAAGTGACGGGGAGAATGGAACCAAGTTGGAAAACACTCTGCAGGATATTATCCAGGAGAACTTCCCCAACCTAGCAAGGCAGGTCAACAAATTCAGGAAATACAGAGAAAACCACAAAGATACTCCTCAAGAGGAGCAACCCCAAGTCACATGATTGTCAGATTCACCAAGGTTGAAAAGAAGGAAAAAATGTTAAGGGCAGCCACAGAGAAAGGTCTGGTTACCCACAAAGGGAAGCCCATCAGACTAACAGCGGATCTCTCGGCAGAAACCCTACAAGCCAGAAGAGACTGGGGGCCAATATTCAACGTTCTTAAAGAAAAGAATTTTCAACCCAGAATTTCATATCCAGCCAAACTAAGCTTCATAACTGCAGGAGAAATAAAATCCTTTACAGACAAGCAAATGCTGAGAGATTTTGTTACCACCAGGCCTGCCTTACAAGAGCTCCTGAAGGAAGCGCTAAACAAGGAAAGGAATAACTGGTACCAGCCACTGCAAAAACATGCCAAATTGTAAAGACCATCGATGCTATGAAGAAACTGCATCAATTAATGGGCAAAATAACCAGTGAACATCATTATGACAGGATCAAATTCACACATAACAATATTAACCTTAAATGTAAATGGGCTAAATGTCCCAATTAAAAGACACAGACTGGCAAATTGGATAAAGAGTCAAGACCCATCAGTGTGCTATATTCAGGAGTCCCATCTCACATGCAGAGACACATATAGGCTCAAAATGAAGGGATGGAGGAAGATCTACCAAGCAAATGGAAAGCAAAACAAAAAACAAAAAAAAAAAAAAAACAAACAAACAAAAAAAAAAAACGCAAAGGTTGCAATCCTAGTCTTTGATAAAACAGACTTTAAACCAAAAAGATCAAAAGACACAAAGAAGGCCATTACATAATGGTAAAGGGATCAATTCAACATGAAGAGCTAACTATCCTAAATATATGTGCACCCAACACAGGAGCACCCAGATTCATAAAGTAAGTCCTTAGAGACCTACAAAGAGACTTAGACTCCCACACAATAATAATGGGAGACTTTAACACCCCGCTGTCAATATTAGACAGATCAACGAGACAGAGTTTAACAAGGATATCCAGGACTTGAACTCAGCTCTGCACCAAGCGGACCTAATAGACATCTACAGAACTCTCCACCCAAAATCAACAAAATTTACATTCTTCTGAGCACCACATTGCACTTATTCTAAAATTGACCACATAATTGGAAGTAAAACACTCCTCAGCAAATGTAAAAGAACAGAAATCACAAACTGTCCCTCAGACCACAGTGCAATCAAATTAGAACTCAGGATTAAGAAACTCACTCAAAACCGCTCAACTACATGGAAACTGAACAACCTCCTCCTGAATGACTACTGAGTACATAACGAAATGAAGGCAGAAATAAAGATGTTCTTTGAAACCAATGAGAAAAGAATCTCTGGGACACATTTAAAGCAGTATGTAGAGGGAAATTTATAGCACTAAATGCCTACAAGAGAAAGCAGGAAAGATCTAAAATCAACACCCTAACATCACAATTAAAAGAACCAGAGAAGCAAGAGTAAACAAATTCAAAAGCTGGCAGAAGGCAAGAAATAATAAGATCAGAGCAGAACTGAAGGAGATAGAGACACAAAAAACCCTTCAAAAACATCAATGAATCCAGGAGCTGGTTTTTTAAAACGATCAACAAAATTGATAAACCACTGGCAAGACTAATAAAGAAAAGAGAGAAGAATCAAATAGACACAATAAAAATTGATAAAGGGGATATCACCACCGATCCCACAGAAATACAAACTAGCATCAGAGAATACTATAAACACCTCTACACAAATAAACTAGAAAACTTAGAGGAAATGGATAAATTCCTGGACACATACACCCTCCCAAGACTAAACCAGGAAGAAGTTCAATCTCTGAATAGACCAATAACAGGCTCTGAAATTGAGTCAATAATTAATAGTCTACCAACCAAAAAAAGTCCAGGACCAGATAGATTCACAGCTGAATTCTACCAGAGGTACAAAGTGGAGCTGGTACCATTCCTTCTGAAACTATTCCAATCAATAGAAAAAGAGGGAATCTTCCCTAACTCATTTTATGAGGCCAGCATCATCCTGATACCAAAGCCTGGCAGAGACACAACAACAACAAAAAAAGAGAATTTTAGGCCAATATCCCTGATGAACATCGATGCGAAAATCCTCAATAATATACTGGCAAACCGAATCCAGCAGCACATCCAAAAGCTTATCCACCACAATCAAGTAGGCTTCATCTCTTGCATATGAGTCTGGTTCAACTTATGCAAATCAATAAATGTAATCCATCACATAAATAGAACCAATGACAAAACCACATGATTATCTCAATAGATGTAGAAAAGGCCTTTGACAAAATTCAACAGCCCTTCATGCTAAAAACCCTCAGTAAACTAGGTATTGATGGAACACATCTCAAAATAATGAGAGCTATTTATGACAAACCCACAGCCAATATCATACTGAATGGGCAAAAACTGGAAGCATTCCCTCTGAAAACCGGCACAAGACAAGGATGCCCTCTCTTACCACTCCTATTCAACATAGTGTTGGAAGTTCTGACAAGGGCAATCACACAGGAGAAATAAATAAAGGGTATTCAATTAGGAAAAGAGGAAGTCAAATTATCCCTGTTTGCAGATGACATGATTGTATATTTAGAAAACCCCATCGTCTCAGCCCACAATCTCCTTAAGCTGATAAGCAACTTCAGCAGTCTCAGGATACAAAATTAAAGTGCAAGAATCACAACCATAGCTATACACTAATAATAGACAGAGGGCCAAATCATGAGTGAACTCCCTTTCACAATTGCTACAAAGAGAATAAAATACCTAGTAATACAACTTACAAAGGATGTAAAGGACCTTTTCAAGAAGAACTACAAACCACTGCTCAATGAAATAAAAGAGGACACAAACAAATGGAAGAACATTCCATGCTCATGGATAGGAAGAATCAATATCGTGAGCAGTATGAGGCCATACTGCTCAAGGTAATTTGTAGATTCAATGCCATCCCCATCAAGATACCAATGACTTTCTTCACAAAATTGGAAAAACACTATGTTAAATTTCATATGGAACCAAAAAAGAGCCTGCATTGCCAAGACAATCCCAAGCAAAAAGAACAAAGCTGGAGGCATCACGCTACCTGACTTCAAACTATACTACAAGGCTACAGTAACCAAAATAGCATGGTACTGGTACCAAAACAGATATATAGACCAATGGAACCAAACAGAGGCCCCACAAATAACACCACACATCTACAACCATCTGATCTTTGACAAACCTGACAAAAACAAGAAATGGGGAAAGGATTCCCTATTTAATAAATGGTGCTGAGAAAACTGGCTAGCAGTACGCAGAAAGCTGAAACTGGATCCCTTCCTTACACCTTATACAAAAATTAACTCAAGATTCAAGATGGATTAAAGACTTAAATGTAAGACCTAAAACCACAAGAACCCTAGAAGAAAACCCAGGCAATACAATTCAGGACATAGGCATGGGCAAAGACTTCACGACTAAAACACCAAAAGCAATGGCAACAAAAGCCAAAATAGACAAATGGAATCTAATTAAACTAAAGAGCTTCTGCACAGCAAAAGAAACTACCAACAGAGAGAACAGGCAACCTACATAATGCAAGAAAATTTTTGCAATCTACCCATCTGACAAAGGGCTAATATCCAGAATCTACAAAGAACTTAAACACATTTACAAGAAAAAAACAGCCCCATCAAAAAGTGGGCAAAGGATATGAACAGACACTTCTCAAAAGAAGACATTTATGCAGCCAACAGACACATGAAAAAAACCTCATCATCACTCGTCATTAGAGAAACGCAAATCAAAACCACAATGAGACACCATCTCATGCCAGTTAGAATGGTGATCATTAAAAAGTCAGGAAACAACAGATGCTGGAGAAGATGTGGGGAAATGGGGATGCTTTTATACTATTGGTGGGAGTGTAAATTAGTTCAACCATTGTGGAAGACAGTGTGGCGATTCCTCAAGGATCTAGAACTAGAAATACCATTTGACCCAGCAATCCCATTACTGGGTATATACCCAAAGGATTATAAATCATTCTACTATAAAAACATATGCACATGTATGTTTATTGTGGCACTGTTCACAATAGCAAAGACTTGGAACCAACCCAAATGTCCATCAGTGATAGACTGGATTAAGAAAATGTGGCACATGGCCGGGCACAGTGGCTCACACCTGTAATCCCAGCACTTTGGGAGGCCGAGGTGGGCGGACCACAAGGTCAGGAGATCAAGACCATCCTGGCTAACACAGTGAAACCCTGTCTCTACTAAAAAAATACAAAAAATTAGCTGGGCATGGTGGCGGGTGCCTGTAGTCCCAGCTACTCGGGAGGCTGAGGCAGGAGAATGGCGTGAACCTGGGAGACAGAGCTTGCAGTGAGCCGAGATTATGCCACTGCACTCCAGGCTGGGCGACAGAGCTAGACTCCGTCTCAAAAAAAAAAAAAAATGTGGCACATATACACTGTGGAATACTATGCAGCCATAAAAAAGAATGAGTTCATGTCCTTTGCAGGGACATGGATAAAGCTGGAAACCATCATTCTCAGCAAACTATCACAAGGACAGAAAACCAAACACCGCATGTTCTCACTCATAGGTGGGAATTGAACAATGAGAACACATGGACACAGGGTGGGGAACATCACACACTAGGGCCTGTCGGCAGGTGGGGGGCTGGGGGAGGGATAGCACTATGAGAAATACCTAATGTAAATGACAAGTTGATGGGTGCAGCACACCAACATGGCACATGTATACCTATGTAACAAACCTGCACATTGTGCACATGTATCCTAGAACTTAAAGTATAATAATTTAAAAAATCCTTAGATTTGAAAAAAACAACCAATAGAATTATTAAGTTTACATTAGAATTATATCTATATTAATTTATATTTATTATGTTTATATAACAAATATATTAACTTAGGAAAAAATAGAAGGATTAAATAAAAGTAATAGTTACAAAGAGTTAGTAAACTACAATATAGATCCAGATAAATGAATACAGAAAAATAAAATACATAGAAATGAGAAAGAAGTAAGAAGATGTAGAGGATAAAATAAAGAGGTTTAGCAAATTTAAACTATGCCCCAGAATGAGACATAGAGAGAATGAAAGTCGTCATTTGAGGAGATAACAGCTGAGAATTTTACAAATATGTATACAAAAATGTAAGATTCATATAGTCAATAAATTTTTAAAAAGAGGGATATCTACTTATAGGCATAACTGGAAGAACAGTAATGGAAAATGGAAAATCTTGAAATCACATAAAAGAGAAAGAGAAAGAGAGAAAGAGAGAGACAAAGACTATGTTTAATATGTTCGAAGACATAAAAATATATGGTTTATAATATATGAAGGTAAGAAGAAATATATAAATGACTGAGAAAGAGTTAAAGAAACCTACTGAAATTTTGGAAAGAATTTTTTTTTCTTTTTTTTGAGATGGAGTTTTGCTCTTGTTGCCAAGGCTGGAATGCAATGGCACGATCTCGGCTCACTGCAACCTCTGCCTCCTGGGTTCAAGCGATTCCCCTGCCTCAGCTTCCCAAGTCTCTGGGATTACAGGCGCCCGCTACCACACCTGGCTAATTTTTTGTATTTTTAGTAGAGACGGGGTTTCACCATGTTGGCCAGGCTGGTCTCAAACTCCTGACCTCAGATGATCCACCCGCCTTGGCCTCCCAAAGTGCTGGGATTACAGGTGTGAGCCACTGTGCAAACACTTTCAGATTTTATTCACTCTATTTTTCTTGAAATATATTTTCACTAGGTCCAGATTATAGGATGGTGGTTACTATCTCTTTTCACGTTGAAAATACTATTCCCATTTTCTGGCTTTCATTGTTACTGCTGAGCAATCCATTTTCAACTGTCTTATCTCTCTGGCTACTTTTCTGTTTTTCTTTGTCTTCAGAGTGCTGTGATTTTACTATAAAATCTCTAGTTTTGTATTTCTTTCTATTTATCCTGATTTGAGCTCATTTGGCATCCTGAAACTATTGTTTTGTGCCATTCATTGGTTTTGGAAAATTCTCAGCTGATAGCTCTTCGCATATTGTCTCCAACCCATTTTGTTGGAGAAGAATGAAATTCTTCTCATTCTTCGTGTTTGATTAGACTTTCTCAGACTAATTACAAGGTCTTTTTCACTCTGTTTACTTCAATTTCTCTGTTTACTTCAATTTCTCTGTTTACTATTAGAGGATTTTGGATAATTTCTTTTTCTCTCTCAGTTTCATTCATCAGTGTGCTTCATTTTCAGCTTAACTCATTTATTTATTTATTTATTTATTTATTTTTTGAGACGGAGTCTCACTCTGTCACCACATCAGCAGACACAACTAAAGATAATTCCAAAAGACACAGTTCAGGTAGAAGTAAAGTACGTCAGATGAAGAGTTTGAGATATAAGAAGGAAAGCACAGCAAAAGAAAAAAATGATAAATACATGGATAAATATAATGACAATCAATTAGAAATATGTCTTTGGGATTTTTAAAAATGGAATTTAAATATATTACAATAGCATATCAATCAAGACTGATGAATAAAGCTAAAAATAAACGAAGAGGAGTGGGCAGGATTTCAGGAATGGCAGAATAAAGAGCTCTACAGACCCTCTCCAAGCAAAACAATTTAACTGGAAATTTAAAAAAAAAATCATTCATATATCTGGTGTTAAAGTCTCCTACTATTATTGTGTGGAAGTCTAAGTCTCTTTGTAGGTCTCTAAGAACTTGCTTTATGAATCTGGGTGCTTCTGTATTGGGTGCATATATATTTAGGATAGTTAGCTCTTCTTGTTGCTTTGATCCCTTTACCATTATGTAATACCCGTCTTTGTCTTTTTTTTTTTATCTTTGTTGATTTAAAATCTGTTTTATTAGAGACTAGTATTACAACCCCTGCATTTTTTTTGCTTTCCATTTGCTTGGTAAATATTCCTTCATCCCTTTATTTTGAGCCTGTGTGTTTTAATGAAAGATTTCTGCAAAGATGGGTAATTGAGGTAACACCAGAGAAATATACACACCTACAAAATAAAAACTAAAATATCTTAAAAAATAAAAATCAGCCTTGTGCAGTGGCTCACACCTGTAATCCCAGCACTTTTGGAAGCCAAGGCGGGTGGATCACCTGAGGTCAGGAGTTCGAGACCGGCCTGACCAACATGGTGAAACCCCATCTCTACTAAAAATACAAAATTAGCTGGGTGTGGTGGTGCATGCCTGTAATCCTAGCTACTTGGGAGGCTGAGGCAGGAGAATCACTTGAACCCAGGAGGCGGAGGTTGCAGTGAGCTAAGATCGTGCCATTGCACTCCAGCCTGGGCAACAGGAGCAAAACTCCATCTAAAAAATAAATACATAAAAATAAAAAATAAAAATTATTTAAATATCTGGAAATCGTCTAAGGGCATACAGCAAACAGGGAAATATTTATTTAAGAAAACCTACTTCGTATTTATTAGAATAATGAGAGTCTATGGTATTTGAGCTGCATCCTTCTCCCCTACCCCTCACACCCTTTTTTGTGTTATAGAAGCTTTAACTTGGGCACTCTATTCTGGGTAGGTGATGCCAACAAGACAGAAACTCCCTCTCCCCTCAGATTATAGTCTGGGAATATAGATTTTCCAGATACGTTCCAGAAGCCCTGTTCCAGGCAGTCATGGCTGAGAGGACTTTTCTCCTTTTCCCCACCCAGCCCCTACTCTTAGAGTGGAAGATCTACTTCAGGCATTTCAAGCTAAGAATACTGAGGTCCTAGTTGCTTTCCCCTACAGCTGGCTTGTAGGATGAAAGCTTAATGCCAGGAGAAGAAAGTTGAAAAGAAAAGAGGCTCTTAGCCACCCCCGACGCCCACTCAAAAAAGGGGTTTTATTTCCAAGAAAAGCAGTTCCCTCCCACAGCTCCAGTATAGTGGAGAAAGAGTTCTGCTTGGGCGGCGGAGGTTTGGCAGGGCAGAGAGGGACAGACTTGATTAGGAACTGAGTGTGGAGAATTCCACACTAAGTGCATTGTTGCAAATCATGGAAATATTCATGGAGACCAATTAAGAGGAGGCTGGCAGCTTCATAATACAAGCAAAACAGTAGAGCAGCCATAAATTTAATAGAGACAGCCAGGAAGATCCTTCCTAGAATCACCATCAGCACTAGGGTCTTAATGGCTGAGTGCAAGCTGTTGGCTGCATCTACAAGGGAGTAATCAGAGCAGGGCAGATTTGAAAGCATTTCCGAAGGTGCACACAGACCCATCAACATAGGGCGGAGGCGTCACTAGCACATAGATCTTAAACGCAACCTCTGACCAAACACTGACTGGCAGGAAGCCAAGCTTAAAAATAAAATCCTGCTCATCCCTGGAGATCTGTAAGACCGTGTGCGTGCTTAATAATGTGTCCCGTAGGAGCAATCAGAGAAAAAACCTTCAAGCAACTAGTCCCTGAGAAAATGTGGAGCAAGGAAATGTAAACTCTCTGAACTGTAATAGCAGCCTCAAGGCCACACATATATCCAATGGTGTAGGATAAAGCTCTCACTGGCTAACGAGATTGAAGCAGAACCTTTGATAAATAAGTGGCTTATGCCATCCTAGGGGACACTTCTAGACAAAAAGATAAAACCTTGCTTAAAGATAAAGCCAAGGGAGGAAACGCTGAGGAGGGTCATCTGAGGCTGCGCACTCTGGGGGAAATGAACATTGTAGAATTAGTTCAGCCAAGTCACAAAACAATAGACAACAAAACAACAACCACTCCTGAGGGAGAGGGAGAATCAGTATTCAGAGTTGCTACAATAGATTATCTAAAATAGGCAGTTTACCACAAAAATACTATAATACCTGCAAGAAAAAGAAAAGTGTTACCCACACACAGGAAAAAAAAATTTTTTTGACCCAAACCCATGACTTAGAAGTGGCTGAGAGGGTGGACTTAACTGGCAAACAGCCCAAGCAACCATTATAAATTTGTCCAAAGAACAAAAGAGGACCATGATTTAAAAAATGACGGTATGATAATAATATCTCATCAAATAGAAATTATTTTTTAAAAATTAAGTTAGTGACATTGCAAGCATAACAACCAAAATGAAAAATTCACTAGAGAGGCTAATAGTAGGTTGGAGAATCTACAAAGATTCTCAGAAGAATCAGCAAAGTGCAAGATAGATCAATGCAATATTATGCAATTTGAAGAAGGGAGAGGAAAAAAATATGAAGACAAATAAAGTTCTAGGGAAAATATTTGAAGAAATAATGGCTGAAAACATCCCAAATTTGATTTAAAAATTAACGTACACATCCAAGAAGTTATACAAAGTCCAAGCAGGATAAATGCAAAGAGATCCATACACAGACACATCATAGTAAAAATGTTGAATGAAATCAGAAAGTATTGAAGGCATCGAGGTAAAATTACCCATCGTACAGGAAAACTCCCATAGGATTGACAGCTGAGTTCCCATTGAAAGCAACTGAAGTCAGAAAGCAGTGATACAATAGCAAATATGGAATCAACCTAAGCGCCCATCAATGATAGACTGAATAAAGAAAATGTGGTACATATACACCATGGAATACCATGCAGCCGTAAAAAAAGAACAAGATAATGTCCTTTGCAGGAAGATGGATGGAGTGGGAGGCCATTATCGTTAGCAAACTAGCATAGGAACAAAAAACCAAATACTGCATGTTCTCACTTATAAGTGGGAGCTAAATGATGAGGACACATGCATACACAGAGGGGAGCAACACACACTGGAGCCTATTGGAGGGTGGAGGGTGGAGGGTGGGAGGAGGGAGACGATCAGGAAAAATAACTAATGGGTACTAGGCTTAATACCTGGGTGATGAAATAATCTGTACAACGAACCCCTACGACACAAGTTTACCTCTGTAACAAACCTCCACATGTATCCCTGAACTTAAAATGAATGTTAAAAATAAAAGAAAGCAATGAGAAGACATATTCAAAGTGCTGGAAATGAAAACAAACACAAAAGACAATTATCTGTCAACCAAAATCTTAAATACAGCCAAAGTGTCTTTCAAAGATGAAGGTTAAATAAAAAGGCATTCTATAAAACCTCATAGAGTTTACTACTTTGCAGAAAAAAAAAAGTAAAAGAATGTTCTTCAAGCTGAAAGCAGGTAAATCAGACAATAATTCAAATGAACATTTTTAAGAAAGATACTAATAAAGGTAATTAGGTAGGCAGTTACAAAATATAATGATATACTTCTTTTTAAAATTGTGAAGAAATACACATAACATAAAGTTTATTATTTTAACAATTTTTAAATGCACAGAGAAATGAAGTACATTCACATTGTTGTACAACCATTACCGCTATCCATCTCCAAAAATTTTTATGTATTTCAAACTAAATTTCTGTGTTCTTTAAACATTAATTCCCTATTTCCCTATTTCCCAGGCCCAGGTAACCACTATTCT
Organism: Homo sapiens; assembly: GCF_000001405.40. Classification (NCBI taxonomy): domain Eukaryota; kingdom Metazoa; phylum Chordata; class Mammalia; order Primates; family Hominidae; genus Homo; species Homo sapiens. The sequence goes on from NC_000011.10 coordinate 128,119,210, forward strand.
ACTTTATTTCACTATGAACTTGTTTATTCTAGGTAAGTCACGTAAATAGAATCATACAATATCTGTCTTTTTGTGCCTAGGTTGTTTCCCTTAGCATAATGTCTTCAAGGTTCATCTATATTGTAGCAATATCGTAATTACTTTCCTTTTTTAGGATGAGTAATAGTCCCTTTTGTGTATATACCACAATGTGTTCATTGATTCATCCACTGATGAACATTAATTTGTTTCCATCTTTTTGCGATTATGAATACTATTGCTATAAACATTCATGTACAAATACCTCTTGGAATCCCTAATTTCAATTCCTTTGGTATACATCCAGGAGTGCAATTTTATCATATGGTAATTATATACTTAGTGCTTTGAGAAGCTGTTACACTGTCTTTCATGGTAGCTGTACCATTTTACTTTCTCTCCAGCAACGCGCAAGGTTCTAACTTCTTCACATCTTCAGCAATACTTGTTATTTTCTGTTTTTATACTAGCTATCCTAATGAGTTTGAAATGACAATTCAGTGTGGCTTTGATTTGCATTTCCCTAATGATTAGTGACATTAGGTATCTTGTCATGTGCTTTTAGCCATTTGTATATCTTGTTCAGGGAAATATCTATTCAAGTTTTTTTGTTTGTTTGTTTTGTTTTGTTTTGAGACAGTCTCCCTCTGTCACCCAGGCTGGAGTACAGTGGCATAATCTTGGCTCACTGCAACCTCCAGCTTCTGGGTTCAAGTGATCCTCCCGCCTCAGCCTCTGGAGTAGCTGAGGATTACAGGTGCCCACCACCACACCGGGCTAATTTTTGTTTGTATTTTTAGTAGAGACGATGTTTCACCATGTTGGCCAGAACTCCTGACCTCAAGTGATCTGCCTGCCTCAGCCTCCCAAACTGCTGGGATTACAGGCATGAGCCACCATGCCTGTCCTATTCAAGTTCTTTGCTCATTTTAAAATTAGGTTGTCATTAAGTTGCAAGAACTCTTTATATATTCAAATATTAGCCCCCTTATCCAATATATGACTTGCAAATATCTTCTTTCATTCACTGACTTGCCTTTCTCTATATTGATAGTGTCCTTTTGGGCACAAAAGTTTTTAAGTTTGATAAAGGCTAATTTGTGTATTTTTGTTGCGATTGTTGTCAGTGCTTTTAGTGTCATTGTCAAAAAATATTTGTCAAATTCAGTGTCATGAAACTTTGTTCTATGTTTATGTAGTATCAGCAGCTTAATAGTCTTAAGTGTTCTAATTTATGAACACAGCATGTCTTTCCATTTATGTCTTCTTTCATTTTTCAGCAATGTTTTGTACTTTTCAGTGTTCAAGTCTTTTGCCATGGTTAAGTTTATTTCTAAGTATTTTATTCTTTTTGACGCTATTATAAATGAATTTTTTTCTTCATTTTCCTGACATGTTGCTCTCCTTGAGTCATTTAAAAACAAACTGCATAGAAAAATATGTATATAATTATATTATTGGGGCCATAATGTAAAAAGTAAGGTTCAATATTCCACTTTCAATAATGCATAGAACAACTAGTCAGAAAATCAGCAAAGAAACAGAACCTTTAATAATACTATAGCACTTTAAACCAAATAGACCTAACAAACATCTATAGAACACTCTACCTAGATCAGCAGAGTACATATTCTTCTCAAGCACATATGAAACATTTTCCAGGAGAGACCACAGGCAACTTCATAAAGCAAGTTTCCACAAATTCCAAAAGATTAAACTCATACCAAGTATATTCTCTAACCATAATAACATAAAATTAAAAATCAATATCAGAGAAAGTTTGGCATATTCACAAGTATGTGGAAACAACGCATTTCTCTATAACCAATGAATAAATCATAAAAAATTCAAAATGTCTTAAAGTACAATATACCAAACCTTATGGAATGCATATAATGCACTACTAATATGGCAAGAAATTGCTATATTAAAAAGTAAAATGTATCAAGTCAATAGGCCAACCTTCCACTTTATGAAACTAGAAAAAGAAGACTTCAAGTAAGTCCAAAGTGAACCCAAGAAAGAAAATAATTTGGGCTACAGTGTTAATAAATTTAAAAGAAACTAGAGAAACAATAGAGAAAAATCAACAAAACCAAAACTAATTCTTTGAAAAGATTAACAAAATCTACAGACCGCTAGGTAGACTGACCAAGAAAATGAGAGAAGGCTTCACCTACTAGGACCAAGAGTGGAAGAGGGGTTATCACTATTGACTTTACAAAAATTAAAAGAATTATAAGGGAATAATGTAAACACCTGCCAATAATTTAGAAAATGTAGATATTATGGAAAAATTCCTAGATAGACATAAATTACAGAAACTGACTCAAGAGTAAATAGAAAATTTGAATAGATTATATTATTAATTTAAAAGCCTCTTACAAGGAAAAGCTAAGGCCAAGATGACCGCAATGGTGAATTTTGAAAAACACTCGAAAAAGAATTAATACCAATCCTTCACAAACTTTTCTAAATATTATAACAGGAAGAGACAATTCTCAAATCATTCTGAGGCCACAATTACTCTGATAACAAAACCAGACAAAAACGTCCCAAGAAAACTACAGGCCAATGCATCTTATGACTATGGACACAAAAATCATTAACAAAATACTAACAAACCAAATTCAGAAACATATGAAAGGAATTATCCACCATGACCAAGTGGGCTTTATCTTAGTGTAAGGTTAGTTTAACATAATAACAAATCAATTAATGTAATATACCAAGTTAATAAAAGAAAGTACAATAAGCACATGATCATTTCAAAAGGAGCAGTAAATTATTTAACAAAATACAATCTCTTTCCTGATTTGGGGAAAAAAAAAAAAACTCTCAACAAACTAGGAATAAAAGAGAATATTCTCAACCCAATGACAGGCATTCATAAAAAAAACAAAAAAAAACCCAAAAAAACAAAAAATATGTTTCTTAGGGAAAGATTGAATGCTTTTCCTCTAAGATCAGAGGAAGGTAAGAATATCCACTATAGCCACTTTTTAAAACATATTACTGGAGATTATAACCAGTAAAATTAGGGGGAGGGCAGTGCTCTAGAGTGGAAAAAATAAAACTGCTCTTTTTGCAGATGACATGATCCTATATATGGAAAATCCTAAAAAATCCACTAAAAAGCTATTAACACTGATAAAATGTTCATTACAAAACATCAAAAATTGTATTTTATAAACAATGACCATTCTGAACATAATAAGAAAACAATTCCATTTAAAAATATTATTTATATATTTTAAAATAATACGATACATAGGTATAATTTTAACAAAGTAAGTTCAAGACTTTTATACTGAATACTATACAACGTTGTTGAAAGAAATGTAACCACATGGATTGTAAGACTCGACACTATTGATATGGCAATACTCCCCAAATTAATTTATAGGTTCAACACAATCGCTATTTAAATCTCAGCTGGTTTTTTGAAGAAATTGACAACATGATCCTAAAATGCATAAGAAAATGCAAGGGACTCGAATAGCCAAATAATCTTGGAAAAAAACAAAATTGTAAGACTCACATTTTTTAATTTCCAAATTTACCACAAAGCTACAGTAATCTAGACACTGTGCTACTGGCATGAGGATAAATCAATGAAATGGAAATGAGAGTTTAGAAATAAACCTTGAATTTTTGGTCAATTGATTTTTAAAACAAGAATGAAGACACATTTCAATGAGGGGAAAAAATAGCCTTTCAACCACTGGTGCTGGAACAACTGGATGTCCATATACAAAAGAATTATGTTAGATCCCTATCTCACACCATACACAAAAATTAACTCAAAAATGAGCATAGACCTAAACATAACAGCTAAAGCTATAAAACTCTTAGAAAAAAATGTAAATAAATCCTTGTGGTCTTTGATTAGGAAGTGATTTCTTATGTATGACACCAAAAGCACAAGTGATGAAAGAAAAAATAAGTAAATTGTGAGATATAAAAATTATAATATTATGAGCTACAAATGATACCAACAAGAGAATAAAAATTCTAAGCACAGATTAGGAGAAACTATATACAAATCATGTGTTCAATAGAGGACTTTTATTCAAAATATATAACAAATTACAAATTACAACTCAGTAATAAAGACACAAACAAAATTTTAAAATGAAGAAAGTACCTGAATAGACATTTCTTAAAAGTAGATAGACAAGTGAGCAATAAATACATAACAAAGTTCTCAACATCTTTAGACATTTAAAAAAACGCAAGTCAAAACTTCAGTGAGATACATTCGTACCCACTAGGATGGCTATCATCAAAAAACAAACAAACAACAATTATAGACAAGGGTTTGAAGAAATTGGAATGCTTATACGCTGCTGGTGGGGTGTAATATGGTGCAGTCTTTTTGAAAACAGTTTGAAGCATTTCCTAAAAATATTGAACATATAGTTACCACATGCCATGGCAATTCCACTCCTAGGCATATATATATCAAAAAAAAAAAAAAAAGCATACGTCCACACAAATACTTGTATATGAATGTTCATAGCAACGTTATTAACAATAGCTGTATTAGTAAGCATTCTCTAGAAGAACAGAACTAATAGGATAGATACATATATGAAGGGGACTTTGTTAAGCAGTATTGACTCACATGATCACAAGGTGAAGTCCCACGATAGTCCATCTGCAACTGAGGAGCAAGGAAACCAGTCCGAGTCCCAAAACCTCAAAAGCAGGGAAGCAAACAGTGCAGCCTTCAGTCTGTGGCAGAAGGCCCAAGAGCCCCTGGCAAACCACTGGTGTAAGTCCAAGAGTCCAAAAGCTGAAGGACTTGGAGTCTGATGTTCGAGGGCAGGAAACATTCAGCATGGGAGAAGGATGAAGGCTGCAAGACACAGCAAGTCTGTCTTTCCACCTTCTGCTTGCTTTATTTTAGCCATGCTGGCAGCTGATTAGATGGTGCCAACCCAGATCGAGGGTGGGTCTGCCTCTCCCAGTCCACTGACTCAAATGTTAAACTCCTTTGGCAACACCCCTACAGACACATTCAGAACAATACTTTGCATCCTTCAATCCAATCAAGTTGACACTCAGTATTAACCATTGCAATGGCCAAAGAGTTGAACAACACAAATGTCCATTAACCAATAAATGGATAAGTAAAATGTGAAATATCCATGTAATAGACTCTCATTCTGCCATTAAAATGAAGTACTGATACATTCTACAATATCAATGAACCTTGAAAACATGCTAAGTAAAAGAGGTCAGACACAAAAGACCACATATTGTATGATTCCATTTATATGAAATGGCCGGAATAGGCAAATTTGTAATAACAGAGGGAAGGTTAGTGGTTACATAGGGTCCGGGAGGATGTTGAGGAGTGGGAGATAGATAAACGCTAAAGGGTAAGTGGTTTCCTTTAGGGGGAGCAAAAATGTTTCAATAACTAGATGTGGTGATGGCTGCATAACCCTGTGAGTATGCTACACAACGTTGAATTGTGCTCTTTAAATGGCTAATTGTATAATACATGAATTATATCTCAATAAAGTTATTTAAAAAAAGCAAAGGTTCTTATGGGTGAGGATAAGGCTACTGCTATTTGCATGTTATAATTGCCAGAGTACCCATTAATAATAAAGTGCATAATTTCAAAAGTAGTATAGGAAAAATTATGATGAGGAAAAAGTACCTAATTAATAAAAGAGGACAAGAAATAAGAGGAGAGAAACACAGAAAGGTGGAACGAATACAGGATACATAACAAATGTTATATATAAATATGCTAATCTATAAATACTTGTAGTAAATGTAAATGCAGTAAATGTTTCAAGTAAAAAACATTACCACTTTCGATTTTTAAAATCTTGCTACATATTCATAAGAAATGCCTCAAAAACATAAGGATCCAAAGTCAAAAATAAAAGTATGGCACAAATATTGTAGGCCTATTTCAATCAAATAAAGGTGATGCAATTATATTGCTATCAGAGTAAATATCTTCATGGCAAAATAGGCTTGGTAAAGATAAAGAAGGTAAGTTCAGACGCGAAGAGAAGGAATGCGGAAAAAAGCAGAAATTAATGAAATAGAATACACAGATATAAAGATCAGCAGATCTAAAAGTTGATTGTATGAAATAGCTGTAACTGTTTAACCAAATTTGCAGTGAGACTGAGCAAAACTAACAATTACAAATAATCATCATTAAAATGAAAAAGAGACATAACTACAAATAGTATAGACATTGAAGATATAATAAGATGATTATTATGAAAAACCTTGTGCCAACAAATGTGAAAAAAATTAGAAAATATAACTAAATAAAACTAACAAAAAAATCTAAATTGCCTATTTCTATTTAAGTAATAAATGTTTACGTAACTTTATACCTTTCCACCATAAAAATCACATGCTGAGGTAATTTTGCAAGAAAGTTCTGCAAAATATTTTTTAAAATCCTATTTTCATTGCATATAGACATTGCAGTAATAAAAAGTGATTACTCCCCAACTCATTTTATATGGCCACCAAAATCTTGACAACAAAACCTAACAGGCACAACAAGAGTAAAGAAACTTTGTGCCCAAGGACTGATATTATACAAGATGGGTTAAGAAAGTGTGAGCGAAGGGTAATTTTAAGTGCCAACTTGACTGGATTAAGGAATAGCTAACACCTGATAAAGTGTTATTTTTGGATGTGTCTCTGTGGGTGTTTCCAGAGGAGATTATCATGTGAGTCTGAGTGAACTAGGTGAAGAAGATTCACCCTCCATGTGGGCAGGCACCATCCAATCCGTGAGGAGTCCAGAGAAAACAAAGGTAGGTGAGTCAATCTATTTGCCAAAACTGGGATACACTCTTTCTCGCCTATACTTGGACAAAGACTTCAGGCTCCACAGCCTTTGGACTCCTGGATTTGTGCTGACAGGCTTCCAGATTCTCAGGCCTTAGGCCTTGAGCAGGGAATTACACCTAAACCTCCCAGGTTCTGAGGCCCTCAGACTTGGACTGAGCCATGCTACCAGCAGCCCAGGGACTCCAGCTTGAAGGAGGTTTATCATAGGAGTTCTTACCCTCCATGAACGCAAGAGTGCATCCCCTCTTACATTTCTCTGTCTGTGTATCTATATCCTATTGATTCTATTTGGAAAACATGACTAATATGCATGGAGTCCCCAGATTATAACATTAGGAATGAAAAGGGGACAGAACTACAGATCTTATAAACATTAAAAAATAATTAGGGGATTTTATAAATAATTGCATACTGATAAATTAGGTAATTTGGATGAAATAAACAAATTGTTTTAAAAATACAATTTACAAAGCTGACAAAGGAGAACTAGAAATAAGTAGCTTTATTGGTGAATTGGAAATATTCCAATCCTACACAGTCTACTGGAAAGTAGAAAGCATAAGCATTTCCCAATTTCTTATATAAGGCCTGATTCCAAAACTTGACAAGGACATAGCAAGAATAGAAAATTATAGACCAAGTTTTCTCCTAAACACAGATGGAAAAACTCTTTAAATATTTAGCAAATCAAATCTAACAATACAGGAAAAAGGATAATTCAGTCCAAAAAACTGAGATTTATTTTGAGAATGTGAGAGAATTTAACATTTGAAAATCAGTTAATGTAATTCTCCACATTGACAAAAAAAGAAAAAAAATCACATTATAATCTTAATATATTAGACTCAGCACAATCAGTTGACAAAATTAAAACCAATTCATAATGAAAAAACTCTTCGTAAACTTGGCATAAGGCTGTCTTAAGCTGAGAATTTTTAAAACTTCATAATTTAATAATGAAAAATTGTAAGTTTTCCTTCTCAAACAAAATAATGAGACTAGATTTATGCTAACACCACTTTTATTCAAAACTGTGTCAGAAGTTAACGCAATGAAGAAGAAAAAGCCAAAATTACTGGACAGGAAGTAAGGTTATTTTTCATAGACAGCATGATTGCATATGTAAGAACAATCAAATAGAATATAAAAGATGTGTTAGCATTGGTAAATGCACTTAACAAGAAAACTGTATACAAAATCAAAACAAAACAAAAAACATTTCTATAAATTGGAAACAAAAAACAAAATTTGAAATGATACCATTTATACTAGCACTAAAGCTATCAAACCTTCGTGAATAAACTTAAAGAAAGAAGGGCAAGGAAATCTACACTGGAAACAACAAAACTCTATTGAGATAAATAAGTCCTAAGTAAATGACAGTTTATATTATGCTCATGGATCAGAAGGCTCAATACAGGAAAAATGTCAATTCTTCACAAACTATATTCAATGTCATCCCAATTAAAATCTAAGCAGGCAAGCAGCTGTGCGTGCATGTGGCTGTACGTCTGCAAATTGACAAGCTGATATCTGCAAATATTTCAAACTGTAAAGGGCCAAGAATAATAAAAAATAAAGCTGGAGGACTTACTAAGAAATATTAAGTCCTATTATGAAGGAATCAAATCAGTGCAGTATTAGTGCACGGATAGACAAATAGACTAATGGAACAGAATAGGAAGTGTGGAAACTGACTCACACATATTTCACACCTGATTTTTCAGAAATATGACATTTCATCATAGGGGGAAGATTAATTTTTCTAATAAATTGTGACGGGTCAATTGGACAGGTAGATGAACAAACATATATCTTGATCCCTACCTAACTCTATACTGAAATATCAATCCAGATAGATAGCAGTTCTAAATATAAGTAATATTACAATAAAGTTTTCAAAGAAAACATAGAAGACCTTATCATGGATAGGTAAAGACTTTTGAAATAGGCCACAAACATGCTAACTATAATTCAAAAGAAATTGATAAATTATATTTTAATTAATAAACTTCTGTTTATCAAAATCCACCATTATGAAATGGAAAAGGCAAAACACAGAGTACAATAATATACATTTATCCAATAAAGGACTCATACCAAAAATATATAAAGAACTCTTACAAATCAGTAAGAAAAAGGTAAATCTGAAAAGGAATTTATTAAGTGGGAGTATCCAAATATCCAATAAATATATGAAAATGTGTTCAGCTTAGTCATGAGGGAGATGGACATTTAAACCTCAACGAGATTTTACTGTGTGCCATCAGAATAGTTATAGTGGAACATGCTGGAAAATAACAAGTGTTGAAGATTATACAACAACTAGTACTCAAATACATTGCCAGTGGGGTGTAATTGGTAGAATCATTTTGGAAACCTGGACAGTATCTACTTAGGCTAAATATGTGCACTCTCATGACCCAGAAATTTTACTTCTAAGTAAACACCCAAAAAAAATGCCTATGGTTGTTTACCAAAAATATGGCCCAGCATGTTCATGACAGCACCGTTTTTAATGGTTTTAAACAAGAAACTATCGATTACTTATTAACAGTAAAATTTAGAATAAATTGTAGTGCATTTATGAAATGAGATATAGACAGCAATTATAATCTTTACACACAGCTATATAAATAAATATCAGAAATATAATGTTGAGTGCAGAGAAGTCAAACAAAAAAATACACTATATGATTTCATTTATAAAGTTCTACAGCAGGCAGGACTCATAGACATCAGGATAGTGGCTATCCTTTCTTTGACAGAGGTAGTAACTGGGGGAGGGGCATCTGGGATACTGTTCTTCATGTTCTGTTTCTTGATGTGGACATCATTACAGGATGTGTTCATATGCTCAGTTTGTGAAATTTATCAAGTTGCATATGCATGATGTATGCACTTTTCTGTATGTATAATTTAATTAAAAAAATAAGAACACTCAGCTGTAGCTGTGATAAAAGTTTCAGGATGCCACCAACTGCCAACATGCTTTCAACACCCATGATGCTAAGTGTAATGCTACTGCAGAGAAAAAAAGAAGAGAAAAAAACAAAAACACAGACGAACAAACAAAACCACTTCACGACATTGCCTACCAGCAGCAACATCCAAAACATTAGCACGCTGCCCCCATCTCACTCTTACTTCCCAAATATTGTGTGAGTTCTTCTAAGTAGAACATGATTCACACACAAGAAAATGCTAAACATGGGCCCCAGCCTCTGAAATACGGAAAAGCCTATGAGAAAATGGTTAAAGTGATGCTGAATGCCAAATCCATCAGTGCCAATCCATCATATCCCTTAAAAAGAGTGAGGTGCTTGTGTAACACAGCAACACATGAGCATCTTTTGGGGGCAGTTGGAAACATCAGTCCTGAGCTAAAGGTGATGTCTACACCCATATCTTTGGGGCCATCAGCATATGGCAAAGCAATCAAAATATCAAAACTGATTATTGTCCCAAAGGACAGTGGGAGTAGAACAGGAACAGATCAATAATGAGGTTTTGCACAACACTATTTCAAAGGGCCAGAGACAATGAACTATCACAGGACATTGGAGAAAACCTTTCAGAGAAATAAAAAGGGGCAGGGCACTGTGGCTGATGCCTATAATCTCAGCACTTTGGGAGGCCAAGGTGGGCGGATCACTAGAGGTCAGGAGTTTGAGACCAGCTTGGCCAACATGACAAAACCCCATTTCTACTAAAAATACAAAAATTAGTTGGTTGTGATGTCGCACACCCGTAATCCCAGCTACTCTGGAGGCTAAGGCAGGAGAATCGCTTAAACCTGGGAGGCAGAGGTTGCAGTGAGCCAAGCTTGCACCACTGCACTCCAGCCTGGGCAACAGAGTGAGACTCCACCTCAAAAGAAAAAAATAAAGAAAGAAAAAGGAAACCAGGAAAGAAAAGAGCCAGATTCCAAGAGAGGAAAAATATTTTAAGAAGTTCAAATATAGAAGAAGAGTCCTTAGAATTTGTTCATGGTGAAACAGAATACTGTATTTGGAAGACACCTTATAAATAATTATCTCCAGTCTTCTTAATATGGAGATGAGAAAACTAAGTCCCAAAAGAGTTAAATTCTTGGTTGTGAGGGAGAGCATGACACCTGCAAGGATCTTGAAGTAAGGATTTGAAGGATTATGAAGCCAATGAATAAGCTAAATGGAACTGAGCTAATTATTTCACCCCTCTGCTTATTCAACTGTAGAAAACAGCAGGTAGGTGGCAGGATTAAATAAGTCAGTTCTCTCATGCACCTAGCACAAAGCTGTCATCTTATGCCCTTGAGGGTTTGTTTTTTAATTCCCTCTTTTTAAGCTCCTTGAGGGCAGGGACCACTCATGCTGGATTCTCTGTTGCATCCCCAGCATTTAGCATGCTGCTTGGCACATATATACACTCAATACATGTTCCTTGCATAGAAGAAGGAAATCTTGGTATTGTAGCTAATCAACCAGAGTTGTAACCGATGTTTCCCTTATTCTAGCTACTCTTTTGAGACTATTTGTTAGTAGAGGCCCTATGGACAGAGTGCCAACTGCTCCACCAGGCTATAGCAAAGTGGAGCTCCATCTTCTCTTAAGGCCAAAGGAGAGGCCCTAGAAAAGTGTATTTTCATATATTAGCTGCCCTACTCTTCAGACTACAGTGTTACTCTTCTTGCATCTGTTTATAATCACTCATGCCACCATTCCTCACAAGCAAGCAGAGGCTAACTGAACAAAAGGCAGCAGGATGATAGGTGGTGTAAATTTCCCAACTCCTTCTGCTTTTCATTCAGCTAAGCATACTTCAGCCTCTTAAAAACAATGTGATTTCTTGATGTTCTATCGAAATTTGCAGAGCTTCTTTTGAATCACCTCATTATAGCTGCCCCCTTCCACCTTGACTAAAATAGGAAAACAAAACAAAACAAAATAAGAGCTAAAATTCCAGATGGCTTATGTGTTTGAGGCTTTTATTTGTTTTCATTTTGTTGTTGTTGTTATGGTGAGTGAAGACCAATGGAAGTTGTACAAATCCAGTCTCGGGTCTCTACCTTACTGACTTGTTGAGAACCCCACTCTCACCAGAAAAGCAAGGCTGACAGAGTATATGAGCAGGATGAATTCTGGCTCAAAAATCCACAAAATGTCAGTGTCCGAAGGGCATACAAGATTATCTAGTGTATCCTCCGTACTTTAAAAACTGAAACCAAGTGAGGTGAACAATTTGCCCATGGTTTCTTGAGGCTGAACAAAATTTTGCATCCCTTTGATCTAATGCTTCTTCCTTTAATTTAAAGTGGTGTGAATTTTAAGCAAAATAAAATTCCACATGCTTCTGATAGGGTTGCATTCACTGCGTCCAAAAAATCATTTAGTCTGAGGCTGTCAGTGATCAAGCCACCCTCTGAGCCTCTTTACAGGCATTTAAACCTATTGGAAATGTAAAACGGTATTTTTGCCAAAGCAAAGTAAAATCCCCTTGAACTGGGGCTTTTGTAGTGAGAGACAGAGAGAGAGAGAAAGAAACAGAGAGAACTGAAGTGGAAAAAAGCAGAAGACAGATGATAAGAATTTGTATCTAAATATTATCTTTTATTATCTTTTTATAAATTGAAGCTGTGTTTTCTTGCTCCTGTTGTTGTCTGATAAAGTCTGGCATAAGACACTGTGCCTTCCAGGTTAGTCTGAGGACAGGAGGCTTAGAGGTCCCTTTTCCGGAGCCACCAGATCCAGTACAGATAATTGACCATTGCTTCTCTTAGGGAGAGCTCTGTGACCACTTGATCACGGAACTTGCTTGATGTTGACAAAAATGCCCATGGATCTGTTAGGAACTGGGCTCACACAATCATTTATTTTCCCAAGTTCACTTCTGAATCATAACAAACCCTCAGTGGGCTCCAGAGAGACAGAGTTAAATAGTTTCCTCTATTCATCATTCTGGAGCTTAGAAACAATTAGCCCAACTAAACCGTATTTGTTCTATTAGAAATAGAAATGGTGGGTAGCTCTTCGCAAGAGCACACAGAGTCTGAAGCCAATTGACCCTGAAAATCATGCCAAACACAGAGAAAACCTTTCAGAGGGGCTGATCACCCCTCAAAGGTGGGGCCCAGGAAAGGGCCTGTGAATGTCAGGAGATAAAGTGACGCAGACACCAGAGGGCATTACTGGGACACTGTCACCATGCTACCTCCTACCTTCCCACTGCTCAACTCCCTCATCCAATATTGCTCCAAAGGAACAACTGTTGACCATCCCCAGGCTCTTAGCAATGTTTTGGCTTGAGAGACTCATTTGCCAAGTGGTTCGCGGCCTTATGGCAAAGTAATTGGGTTTCTCCCTTTTGATCCACACAGTCCAATAAAGACTATAAATACTTGCTTTTCCCCTTGAAAGCCCCCCCTTCCTGATTTCACCTGGGCACACATTTAAGTTTGGAAAGAGGAGGATGAAGTAGTGATGTGATGTGGGCCTGTAGTCTTGTCAAGGCGAGTGCTCCTTGGAGATGGCTCTGTCGGAAAGAGAATGTGATGGTTCTCGGGGGTAGATGGAAGAACAGGAGGTGTAGTCCTGTGAGAGGGCCCAGGTGACTGTACAGCTACTGCTCTATTTCCAAGGGGGAGAAATCATCACTGGAGAGGCCAGTTCTTGTGCAACTTCAGCCTCCATTTTCAAATGAGGGCACAGGGGATGCCCTCATTTGAAGGCGTTAGGATTAGGGGCAGCTGGAGGAGGTGCTCCAGCCCTCATTTCTTCATTTCCAGACCATTTGTCATTTAATACTTATTCAAGCAGGTTTCTCATTCTGGGCCCTAGGGGCATTTTGAACCAGATAATTCTATTTCATGGGAAGCTGTCCTGTACATTATAGGATGATGTTTAGGGGCATGCCTGGTCTCTACTCAATAGATGTCAGTATCAAATCTCACTTTTTAATGATGTGACAACCAAAAACCAAAAATGTCTCAAGAGATAGCCACATGTCCCCTCGAGAGTAAAATTGCCTGAGAAGAATCAGTGGCCTAAAGGATCCAAATGCATTTTACAGGGCTCACCAATGACCTGCAGTTTGGACCAAAAGCTGCACTCAGAAGATTTAGACCCAAGCCAGTTCTGACCACCACCTGTCATTCCCACTGGAAAGGCACCCCAGAACCCAGGCACAGTTGTGCCAGAGCCCCACTCTAGGCTCCCTTATTCTTTCCCCGTTCCCACACAGATATGGGCTCTTCTGCCTGCCCTTGGAGTCCTCAGCCTAGTTTTAGAAGATCCAGAAAAGGAAACAAATAAAAATAAACAAAGGGGTAGACATGAGCAAGGGAGAAAGCAAAATATTTAAAAGTAAACAGTCTGGGGGTAGTGAAAAAAATGTCTCTCTCTCTTCTCTCTCTCTCTCTCCCTCTCTCTGTCTTTAATAGAGCTCCTGGGCTTTCTCAAGTCAGCCGCTGCCTGAGTCTGGTTTTCATTTGCAGGCCCCCTCAACTTCACTTCTTCTCATAGATAATTTGACTTGATTACTTTCTGAAAGGGCAGACAGAGCTGGAGCAGCTTTGCACTCATTTACTTGTCACTCCTAGCACTGGCTTAATTTGGCTTGAGCTGCACCTCCCCCTCCCAGGAATGATTGTGAGGCTGGGATCCAACTTCCAGTGGAAGGGCTGGGAGGACATGGGCAGTCTGGCCCACTCTGTCCAAATTAGGCAGGCAGGCCCTTGCACGTAGAAAGGCTGACACCCTTTGACAGAAAAGGAATGGTAGCTTAACAAAAGGCTGAAGCGGTCAATTCCCCACCAGAATGAATTTTGACTTTGTCCCTTGATATCAACATCAGCTAGGAATATAAAATAAAACTTGGGGATAGTTAAAAATCAAATTGTTGGCATGGTAAGGACAAGAACGCCTGGGTTGCACTTTTTTTTTCCTATTTCTCATGACACCTGGCACAGCACTGGGCACATAGAGGAGTTCGATAATTTTTTTTTTAATTTATTGTCATATTGTATAGAACCCATTCTAATGAGACTGTGTTATGAGTGGTGTTACATTTTCCCAAAATATTGTTGTATAAACTCAGATTATTAATCTTTTTCATACTGTGGTAAAGTGTTACAGGACCAGATATTTTAAAATAAATGGTCTGTGGCCATGTCTCTGTAATTGTTTTAATTCTACTGTTTCTGAAAGGCTCATTTGAAGATTCTACATTTGTGTGTAGCTTTATGAAAACTATAGCCTTCAATTATTTTTTTTCCTAATTGCTAGTGAGTCTATTTTATAAACTAGGGGTTAGAAATGACAATGTGGTGGGGTTTTTTTGTTGTTGTTTTTGTTTTTAATGCTAGTAAGCTGTTTTTTGTTTTTAATATTATTTTTATTTTCTATTAATGGCTTTTGACAAAGCCTGTCCTCTCCAGCTCTTCACCATCCAGATGTCCCCTATGGCCTTATAAGTAATGCTTCAGATACTTATATTTCTTGCCTGGCTCCTGTTTGAAATAATATCATGGTTTATGCCAAACATACAGTGCTTGGAATATGTAAATCCATATTAAATTGCCATTGCTATTGTTAAAAATGGTCAAGAATCAGGAATTTTATATTGTTCAACCTATAATACACTGTTAATTCTCTGCTATGAGACTAGAAATGAATTCTGCCTAGTTCTTGCTTCATAACTAAAAAGGGGTTCTATTCAAGACTCACAGAGGTGCTTAATAGTTACAGTTCGATTAGGGCTTCAAAGTCTTTAAAAAGACTTTGGTTGTCTGGGATTTTAAATTTGGGCATATGCGTACAAAGGAGTAGAGAAGAGAGGTCTACAGTGTGGGGTTTTGGATCAGAAATAATTTGGTTTGAGCTGCAGTTGAAGCCCACTGTGTCCTTGGGCAAGTGACTAAATCTTCCAAAGCTTCTGTTTCTTCATCTAGAAGTCCATAATAACAATGATATCTGATAATAATAACAAGATTGATCTAATATCCTTTCAGAGAAGAATGTTATGACTAAAGCGCTTAACACAAAGCCTCAAATATAATAAGCATTTGATTGATGGCAACTGTTATTACCACCATCTTAAATAATATCATTATTAGTAGTTGGTTATGAAATAAGACAAGTACAACACATAATGCAAAAAATCTGTCCCCTAAAAACTCCACAGAGAGTAACAAACAATATTCATATTCTTGAAAAAACTTTTTTCTCAAGGACGTATCTTTGTGGTGTGTGAGTATGTACTTGCGTGTCTGTGCATCTAGCTATAAAAAAGTGTGTGTGTTTTATGTTGAGAGTGTGTGGATGGGAGTGGTTTCTTGCATTCACATTTCAGTTTTATATGTTACCTCAATTTGACAACTGAAAAGAACCAGTGAGGTTAAGCATCACAGGGAGAAGAAATCCATGGTTGAGAAATAGGTTGATTTTGTCACATACTGTTGGCTCAAGGTTGTGAAAATTAAGTGTAGGAATGTTGCTTTCTTTTTCCTTCTGGCAAATGAAAAGGCCAAAGCTCAGAATTGTTGGAAATGACAGTCCAATTAATCAGGCTCCATGCTTCAAACTAGGTGCTGAGCCTGTCCATGGTTGTGAAATTTTTAAATGACCCCTTTGTCCTCGGTGGTGCCAAAGTGAAATTCCTTTGGGATCACTTGCTTCTTGGCACCTGGTATCTGACCAACAAGAATGCGAGACAAAAGGTTCTTTCAAAAAAAAGAGACCAAGCTGTGCTTTTGTTTCCTCTGAAAGAAAAAGGTAATTTTACAGAAATACAGCAGGATTATCCAACTACACTATATGCCTCTGGCAGGTATCGCTCTATAAACAACTGAATCCAGTTAGACCTACAAATGTTGACTCCATTTTTTAGAATGCCAACAGAAAAGAAGGATTGTAATATTCTTAGACTTTTAGAATGGAGAGTCGAGATCAAATCTTCTTTTCTTCTACTCCCTGAATTTCTTTTGTCATATGGGGAACAATTTTTTTATTAAATGGAGAACAAAGAGATAAAATTAAATGTCTAAGATAGCACAGGAAGATACAGTTAGAATGAAAACCATGATCTCCTAATTCCCAAGCAAAGTCTTTGCACCCTAATGGACCCCCAACAGTAGAGACCTGTGAACTCTCTTCTTCCAATGCTGGAGAAACAACATTGAAATCAACCTAGAGATATAGCCTGCTTTACAAAGTTAATTTAGGATTTCCAAATACTTCATCTCAATTGCTCCTGACTACATAACTATGAAATAAATTGGACAAGTATCATAGGCATTTTATGCACAAGCAAACAGACTCAGAAATGTTAAGGAACTTGGCCTAAAGTCTCAGGAAGCTGAGTATCCTCTCCAGGTCTCCTAACTCCAAATCGATTTTGTACTAAGATGGGATGGAATTATTTCAAAAGAAACATGACAGAAGAACAGAGATTTTTTTTGTTTGTTTGTTTCTTTCTTTCTTTTTGAGACGGTGTCTCGCTCTGTCACCCAGGCTGGAGTGCAGTGGCGCGATCTCGGCTCACTGCAAGCTCTGCCTCCCGGGTTCACGCTATTCTCCTGCCTCAGCCTCCCGAGTAGCTAGGACTACAGGGGCCCGCCACCACGCCCGGCTAATATTTGTATTTTTAGTAGAGACGGGGTTTCACCGTGTTAGCCAGGATGGTCTCAATCTCCTGACCTCGTGATCTGCCCACCTTGGCCTCCTAAAGTCCTGGGATTACAGGCGTGAACCACCGCACCCGGCCAAGAACAGAGTTGTTAAATAGCTTACCTGAAGTTATACAGCCATCTCAGATTAAATAACTTTTCCCTGGAACATGAGTGATTGATAATGGAGGCCTTTTATTGCCTTTTAAAGAAAATGTCAGCATTGATGGTTGGTAATTTACCAAAGAGGGTAAAATGTGCCTAGCCTGCCACTAACTCGCTCAGTGAATGCTTTTTTGTCACTTATTGTATGCTTGAGAATTTTGCTGGACACTTTATGTACACTTAAAATTTACCTCCTTTGAACTCTATGAGTTAAGTAGGACTAATCCAATTTTTCAGAGGAGGAATTGAGGCTTTGAGAGAACAACAAAGTTTCCAAGTCATATTGCTGAAGAACCAAGGTATGCATCAAGGTAGAGCATGATGAAAGTTATTTGAGGCCTTGTAACTATTTATGGCTTTTTATGACTTGACGCAGGTCCTAGCCTCCATGCTAAGGAAAAGACAATCAATGGATTGGAATTTAAAACCCAAGTCTAACCTATTTTAATGTCTATACCCTTTCCTCTACTGGCCAATTTCTTTGCCATAAAGAGTACTATTGATCTAAAGTTTCTCTTCTGAATAGGAATAACAGGACCATTTCCAGCCCTTTGAAGATCTCTACAGACAATACATTTTCATAAAATAATAGTTATTTTCCTATTGAATCACATTGCCTTATTACTTCTACAATTTTGACTTCATTCATTTAACCTCTCTATAGACTGCACAATTTGCCTTCCCCACACGAATATTATTGTGCTATTCTAATACCTGTGGAAGTTAAAACGACACAGTCATCTATTGAATAGGGAGTTGGATCATTACAGCCCAGTTTAGAAAGTAATTTTCCCAAGACACGCTTTATTTAAAGTCAGGGAAGAAGCCTCCATTATAAATGCTTTCCACTGTAAAGGGTAATGAGTTGCCCGGAAGCTCTGATTAGCTGATTTCCCCTGTGTACTCCCTGCAATGGGCAAATCAGTGCTGACTCAGTCACTGCCTACTTGGCCTCAGTTATATGGCTCTATTTGACTTGTTCTTGGTTCACCACCTTCTTTCCCTAACTCTCTCCAGGGCAGTAGTCGCTCAACTGATTTTCTCACCCCAACAATTATCTTGATAAGTTGAGGCCTGACAGAGAGCCCAGGAAGTGCCCTGTTCCATGCCCAACAAGGACATCTTGGTGGCTCTGCGACAGCTATGTCTTGTGAATTGCATTTGTAGGATGTCGGAAATCTCTGCTATGTCTCTAGAAACATAAGCAAATAATCATTCCAAATAGACATAGGGCTAAATTTACTGAAGTGTATGCTTGGAAATACTAGCTCTTTCTGTGGTCACCTTTTGTGGTCATTATTTGACAAACAGTCCTCAGCAGGTACACAGAAAGCACTCTACTTCCTATCGCAGAGATTAGCACTGAATATTAACATAAATGATGGGAGAAATTCTATAGTAAAGAAATTCATGGCCGGGCGTGGTGGCTCACGCCTGTAATCCCAGCACTTTGGGAGGCCGAGGTGGGTGGATCACAAGGTCAGGAGATTGAGACCATCCTGGCTAACACAGTGAAACCCCGTCTCTACTAAAAATACAAAATAGCCGGGCGTGGTGGTGGATGCCTGTAGTCCCAGCTACTTGGGAGGCTGAGGCAGGAGAATGGCTTGAACCCCGGAGGCGGAGCTTGCAGTGAGCCGAGATCGCGCCACTGCACTCCAGTCTGGGCGACAGAGCGAGACTCCGTCTCAAAAAAAAAAAAAAAAAAATTCATCTGGTTTTATTCAACGCAGTCATTACTAAAGTTACTTGACCATGGAACTGGGATTTTCAGTGAACACTAATAAACACCTTCTAGCACTACTTGTTCATGGAATGTACTTTCCGAAATTCTAGATGAGGGAAATTTTTGTTTTACCTAAGAGCTCTTTCTGTTCCCAAATTGTAAGAATGTTAATTAAACTGAAAGTGGTTCATTTAATGAAAGTGGAGCTAAAATAATTAGGGTCTCAACTTAAAATTTTTTCAATTTCCATGCCTTCAGTAAAGAGAGCTCTCAAAATTGGCTACAGCCCCTTTGGGTAAGTTTTGGGAAAACTGCTACCCTCTAAATTGGAGAGGCAAGTGAATATGGATAATCACAGCTTACCAGAGCAGCAGCCCAGAAGTCTACCTCTGAATCCAGTATCATGGTGGGAGAACTTAAATGCTAATTAGTAAATTTTTGGAGGCTCAGAGTAGATAAGCTTGAGAGTTAAAAAATCCAGTGGGGGAAGTTATTCTTAAGACAATCTCTACATTTTCATGTGTTTTTCCCCCAGGTGCCTTACCCAGGTTGTTAGGATGAAGATCAAAGAAATATTATCTTATGCTTCCTTTAGGGGGAGGAAAAGAGCGATCATTTTTGAAATATGCCCAGAGTATTATGTTCTCTTTAACAAAAGCCAACTCTCAAAGGAAACTATTTTACCAGAGCCTAACCACTTTGGGTCTTACAGAGCCTAATTAACCTTGGGGAAGTGCAATATCTAACAACAGCCTGTTTCAGCCTTCTATGTGTGGCAATTTGAAACACTCAACTCCATTTCTATCTAGCCTTTCTATGTCACTGAAAGAGGAGAGGGAATTGAGACACACTTGTAAAGGTTACAGCCCAGGGGTACAGGCTCACTAAAAGATAAAGAACTAATCATAGGACTATAGAAAACCTCTCCAACATCTACCACCACTTCAATACAGCATCCATATAGTAAAGCATTACAACTAAAAAATTGTAAGTCTCAGAATTTATTTAAGAAGTCTCTAGGGAAACCCAAAAACAACAAAGAAGAAACAAATAAGGATACCTCAGGAAAATTTAACCCCTGACACCAACAACTATAGTAAACAATAGGCACACACTAACTCCTAGCCACAAAAACATAAAATCTCACAATAGAGGCTGATTTGCCTTAGTTCCTTTTACTTAATAAATCATGTCTAGCATTCAATAAGAAATTGCAAGGCATGTTGAAAGGCAAAAAAAAACTCAAGAGATCAAGGAAGTCTCAGAACCAGATACAGATATGGCAGAGAGTTTGGAATAATAAAACCACAAATTTAAAATAACTATGAATAATATGCTAATATGCTAAAGGACTTACTAAAAAAAGTGTACAAAAGGCAAGAACAGATGAGTTATATAAAAACAAAATGGAAAGTTTAATAAATAATCAAAAGGAAAGCTAGAAATAGACTGAGCCAAGATGGCCAAATAGGAACAGCTCCGGTCTACAGCTCCCAGCGTGAGCGATGCAGAAGACGGGTGATTTCTGCATTTCCATCTGAGGTACCGGGTTCATCTCACTAGGGAGTGCCAGACAGTGGGCACAGGACAGTGGGTGCAGCGCACCGTGTGCGAGCCGAAGCAGGGCAAGGCATTGCCTCACTCGGGAAGCACAAGGGGTCAGGGAGTTCCCTTTCCTAGTCAAAGAAAGGGGTGACAGATGGCACCTGGAAAATCGGGTCACTCCCACCCTAATACTGTGCTTTTCCGATGGGCTTAAAAAATGGCGCACCAGGAGATTATATCCTGCACCTGGCTCGGAGGGTCCTATGCCCATGGAGTCTCGCTGACTGCTAGCACAGCAGTCTGAGATCAAACTGCAAGGTGGCAGCAAGGCTGGGGGAGGGGCGCCTAACATTGCCCAGGCTTGCTTAGGTAAACAAAGCAGCCAGGAAGCTCAAACTGGGTGGAGCCCACCACAGCTCAAGGAGGCCTGCCTGCCTCTGTAGGCTCCACCTCTGGGGACAGGGCACAGACAAACAGAAAGACAGCAGTAACCTCTGCAGACTTAAATGTCCCTGTCTGACAGCTTTGAAGAGAGCAGTGGTTCTCCCAGCATGCAGCTGGAGATCTGAGAACAGGCAGACTGCCTCCTCAAGTGGGTCCCTGACCCCTGACCCCTGACCCCCGAGCAGCCTAACTGGGAGGCACCACCCAGTAGGGGCAGACTGACACCTCACACGGCCGGGTACTCCTCTGAGACAAAACTTCCAGAGGAACGATCAGACAGCAGCATTCACGGTTCACGAAAATCCGCTGTTCTGCAGCCACCACTGCTGATACCCAAGCAAACAGGGTCTGGAGTGGACCTCTAGCAAACTCCAACAGACCTGCAGCTGAGGGTCCTGTCTGTTAGAAGGAAAACTAACAAACAGAAAGGACATCCACACCAAAAACGCATCTGTACATCACCATCATCAAAGACCAAAAGTAGATAAAACCACAAAGATGGGGAAAAAACAGAGCAGAAAAACTGGAAAGTCTAAAAACCAGAGCGCCTCTCCTCCTCCAAAGGAATGCAGTTCCTCACCAGCAACGGAACAAAGCTGGACGGAGAGTGACTTTGATGAGTTGAGAGAAGAAGGCTTCAGACGATCAAACTACTCCGAGCTACAGGAGGAAATTCAAACCAAAGGCAAAGAAGTTAAAAACTTTGAAAAAAATTTAGACGAATGTATAACTAGAATAACCAATACAGAGAAGTGCATAAAGGAGCTGATGGAGCTGAAAGCCAAGGCTCGAGAACTACGTGAAGAATGCAGAAGCCTCAGGAGCCAATGCGATCAACTGGAAGAAAGGGTATCAGTGATGGAAGATGAAATGAATGAAAGGAAGTGAGAAGGGAAGTTTAGAGAAAAAAGAATAAAAAGAAATGAGCAAAGCCTCCAAGAAATATGGGACTATGTGAAAAGACCAAATCTACGTCTGATTGGTGTACCTGAAAGTGACAGGGAGAATGGAACCAAGTTGGAAAACACTCTGCAGGATATGATCCAGGAGAACTTCCCCAATCTAGCAAGGCAGGCCAACATTCAGGTTCAGGAAATACAGAGAATGCCACAAAGATACTCCTCGAGAAGAGCAACTCCAAGACACATAATTGTCAGATTCACCAAAGTTGAAATGAAGGAAAAAATGTTAAGGGCAGCCAGAGAGAAAGGTCGGGTTACCCACAAAGGGAAGCCCATCAGACTAACAGCGGATCTCTCGGCAGAAACTCTACATGCCAGAAGAGAGTGGGGGCCAATATTCAACATTCTTAAAGTAAAGAATTTTCAACCCAGAATTTCATATCCAGCCAAACTAAGCTTCATAAGTGAAGGAGAAATAAAATACTTTACAGACAAGCAAATGCTCAGAGATTTTGTCACCACCAGGCCTGCCCTAAAAGAGCTCCTGAAGGAAGCACTAAACGTGGAAAGGAACAACCAGTACCAGCCACTGCAAAATCATGCCAAATTGTAAAGACCATCGAGGCTAGGAAGAAACTGTATCAACTAACGAGCAAAATAACCAGCTAACATCATAATGACAGGATCAAATTCACACATAACAATATTAACGTTAAATGTAAATGGACTAAATGCTCCAATTAAAAGGCACAGACTGGCAAATTGAATAAAGAGTCAAGACCCATCAGTGTGCTGTATTCAGGAAACCCATCTCACATGCAGAGACACACACAGGCTCAAAATAAAAGGATGGAGGAAGATCTACCAAGCAAATGGAATACAAAAAAAGGCAGGGGTTGCAATCCTAGTCTCTGATAAAGCAGACTTTAAACCAACAAAGATCAAAAGAGACAAAGAAGGCCATTACATAATGGTAAAGGGATCAATTCAACAAGAAGAGCTAACTATCTTAAATATATATGCAACCAATACAGGAGCACCCAGATTCATAAAGCAAGTCCTGAGTGACCTACAAAGACACTTAGACTCCCACGCAATAATAATGGGAAACTTTAACACCCCACTGTCAACATTAGACAGATCAACGAGACAGAAAGTTCACAAGGATACCCAGGAATTGAACTCAGCCCTGCACCAAGTGGACCTAACAGACATCTACAGAACTCTCCACCCCAAATCAACAGAATATACATTTTTTCAGCACCACACCACACCTATTCCAAAATTGACCACATACTTGGAAGTAAAGCTCTCCTCAGCAAATGTAAAAGAACAGAAATTAAAACAAACTGTCTCTCAGACCACAGTGCAATCAAACCAGAACTCAGGATTAAGAAACTCACTCGAAACCGCTCAACTACATGGAAACTGAACAACCTGCTCCTGAATGACTACTGGGTACATAACGAAATGAAGGCAGAAATAAAGATGTTCTTTGAAACCAATGAGAACAAAGACACAATATACCAGAATCTCTGGGACACATTCAAAGCAGTGTGTAGAGGGAAATTTATAGCACTAAATGCCCACAAGAGAAAGCAGGAAAGATCCAAAATTGACACCCTAACATCACAATTAAAAGAACTAGAAAAGCAAGAGCAAACACATTCAAAAGCTAGCAGAAGGCAAGAAATAACTAAAATCAGAGCAGAACTGAAGGAAATTGAGACACGAAAAACCCTTCAAAAAATTAATGAATCCAGGAGCTGGTTTTTTGAAAGGATCAACAAAATTGATAGACCGCTAGCAAGACTAATGAAGAAGAAAAGAGAGAAGAATCAAATAGACACAATAAAAAATGATAAAGGGGATATCATCACTGATCCCACAGAAATACAAACTACCATCAGAGAATACTACAAACACCTCTACGCAAATAAACTAGAAAATCTAGAAGAAATGGATAAATTCCTGGACACATACACCCTCCCAAGACTAAACCAGGAAGAAGTTAAATCTCTGAATAGACCAATAACAGGCTTTGAAATTGTGGCAATAATCAATAGCTTACCAACCAAAAAGAGTCCAGGACTAGATGGATTCACAGCCAAATTCTACCAGAGGTACAAGGAGGAACTGGTACCATTCCTTCTGAAACTATTCCAATCAATAAAAAAAGAGGGAATCCTCCCTAACTCATTTTATGAGGCCAGCATCATCCTGATACCAAAGCCTGGCAGAGACACAACCAAAAAAGAGAATTTTAGACCAATATCCTTGATGAACATTGATGCAAAAATCCTCCATAAAATACTGGCAAACCAAATCCAGCAGCACATCAAAAAGCTTATCCACCATGATCAAGTGGGCCTCATCCCTGGGATGCAAGGCTGGTTCAATATATGCAAATCAATAAATATAATCAAGCATATAAACAGAACCAAAGACAAAAACCACGTGATTATCTCAATAGATGCAGAAAAGGCCTTTGACAAAATTCAAAAACCCTTCATGCTAAAAACTCTCCATAAATTAGGTATTGATGGGACGTAACTCAAAATAATAAGAGCTATCTATGACAAACCCACAGCCAATATCATACTGAATGGGCAAAAACTGGAAGCATTCCCTTTGAAAACTGGCACAAGACAGGGATGCCCTCTCTCACCACTCCTATTCAACATAGTGTTGGAAGTTCTGGCCAGGGCAATTAGGCAGGAGAAGGAAATAAAGGGTATTCAATTAGGAAAAGAGGAAGTCAAATTGTCCCTGTTTGCAGATGACATGATTGTATATCTAGAAAACCCCCTTGTCTCAGCCCAAAATCTCCTTAAGCTGATAAGCAACTTCAGCAAAGTCTCAGGATACAAAATCAATGTACAAAAATCACAAGCATTCTTATACACCAATAACAGACAAACAGCCAAATCATGAGTGAACTCCCATTCACAATTGCTTCAAAGAGAATAAAATACCTAGGAATCCAACTTACAAGGGATGTGAAGGACCTCTTCAAGGAGAACTACAAACCACTGCTCAATGAAATAAAAGAGGATACAAACAAATGGAAGAACATTCCATTCTCATGGGTAGGAAGAATCAATATCGTGAAAATGGCCATACGGCCCAAGGTAATTTATAGATTCAATGCCATCCCCATCAAGCTACCAATGACTTTCTTCACAGAATTGGAAAAAACTACTTTAAAGTTCATATGGAACCAAAAAAGAGCCCGCATCGCCAAGGCAATCCTAAGGCAAAAGAACAAAGCTGGAGACACCACGCTACCTGACTTCAAACTATACTACAAGGCTACAGTAACCAAAACAGCATGGTACTGGTACCAAAACAGAGATATAGATCAGTGGAACAGAACAGAGCCCTCAGAAATAATGCCACATATCTACAACTATCTGATCTTTGACAAACCTGAGAAAAACAAGAAATGGGGAAAGGATTCCCTGTTTAATAAATGGTGCTTGGAAAACTGGCTAGCCATATGTAGAAAGCTGAAACTGGATCCCTTCCTTACACATTATACAAAAATTAATTCAAGATGGATTAAAGACTTACATGTTAGACCTAAAACCATAATAACCCTAGAAGAAAACCTAGGCAATACCATTCAGGACATAGGCATGGGCAAGGACTTCATGTCTAAAACACCAAAAGCAATGGCAACAAAAGCCAAAATTGACAAATGGGATCTAATTAAACTAAAGAGCTTCTGCACAGCAAAAGAAACCACCATCAGGGTGAACAAGCAACCTACAAAATGGGAGAAAATTTTCGCAACCTACTCATCTGACAAAGGGCTAATATCCAGAATCTACAATGAACTCAAACAAATTTATAAGAAAAAAACAAACAACCCCATCAAAAAGTGGGCAAAGGATATGAACAGACACTTCTCTGAAGAAGACATTTATGAAGCCAAAAAAACACATCAAAAAATGCTCATCATCACTGGCCATCAGAGAAATGCAAATCAAAACCACAATGAGATACCATCTCACACCAGTTAGAATGGCGATCATTAAAACGTCAGGAAACAACAGGTGCTGGAGAGGATGTGGAGAAATAGGAACACTTTTACACTGTTGGTGGGACTGTAAACTAGTTCAACCATTGTGGAAGTCAGTGTGGCGATTCCTCAGGGATCTAGAACTAGAAATACCATTTGACCCAGCCATCCCATTACTGGGTATATACCCAAAGGATTATAAATCATGCTGCTATAAAGACACATGCACACGTATGTTTATTGCGGCACTATTCACAATAGCAAAGACTTGGAACCAACCCAAATGTCCAACAACGATAGACTGGATTAAGAAAATGTGGCACATATACACCATGGAATACTATGCAGCCATAAAAATTGATGAGTTTATGTCCTTTGTAGGGACATGGATGAAACTGGAAACCATCATTCTCAACAAACTATCACAAGGACAAAAAACCAAACACCACATGTTCTCACTCATAGGTGGGATTTGAACAATGAGAACACATGGACACAGGAAGGGGAACATCACAATCCGGGGCCTGTTGTGGGGTCAGGGGAAGGGGGTGGGATAGCATTAGGAGATATACCTAATGTAAATGACGAGTTAATGGGTGCAGCACACCAACATGGCACATGTACACATATGTAACAAACCTGCACATTGTGCACATGTACCCTAAAACTTAAAGTGTAATAATAATAAAAAAAATTAAAAAAAAAAAAACAAAGAATTATTTAATCACCATTCCTCCCTTCTGGAATGTCAGCTGCATGTCTCTCTTGTTCATTATTCATTCATCAGTGCTCAGCAAGTACTAAATAAATAGGTAATGAGTTAAAGTGAGAGACAAAAAATCCAGTAATATTCAATTGTCTTTTTATCTCAGTCTTCTCAAGATTGTTGAATTGTGGTTAGGCAGCAAAGTTGGCCTTTCTGACTACAGGAGTGGGCAGGGGACCTGGATAAGGCCAGTTATCCTATTGCATGTTCGTGCTTCTGTCAGAATTTTCCTTGTAGTTTTCTTAAGTGGAGGTGCTGCAGAAAACTTCTCTATTATTTGCTTGTGGAGCTTTAAGAATATAATCCCAGAGCTGAAAAAAGACAGAGAATAAATCTATCACCCAGAGAGAGGGGGAAAAATAAGAGGTAGGAGAAGGGAGGAAGAACGAAGGAGATGGTTCAGATTCCAGTTTTTAAGATCCCTGAAAGCTGTTTTGGTTTATATTTTTTCTCTTCTTTTTTTAAACTCTGTTTTTGAAACGTTTTACTTATTTTGCTTTCCACCTTTCACACTCTTCGCAAACTGTTTTGGTTTTTCATTCATCCCCAGTATCCTTTTCTCTCAAACTAGTTTGTGTTGAGTTTCTACAAAATGTGTCTGAATAAACTCTAACTATAAACATACTCAGCTTGAATTTGCACTGTGCAAAGATAATAAATCTCAACCATTTGGCTATAAGTTCAATCCACGGGGACAGAGCAGCATCATTCAAAACAAATAAAATGTAGTCCGGCCTGATTCATTTTTGAATTGCTTAATTTACTTAAGTCATATTTCAAAAGACAATTTCACTGCCAAATACTTGCTCGCTTGTAAACATCAGCATAAACAGCAGAAGGCCCTAGATATGCAGATGGTTTCGAGCTGCCCAGCCAGGTACAGGCTAGAGATCAGACCAGCAATGTGGGGAAGAAAAGCAAATCTCATCATATTTTTAGGGTTACCTGAAATGGAATTTTGTACTCTGTATTAACACATGACACGATTGAATCCTGAGACTCTGAGCAGCCAGACTGGCATGGCTTTAAGCCAGCTGTAGCAAGAAACTGAAGGAAATGTGAGACTCCTGCCCTGCAGGGATATCTACAATTTAGTTGGAGAAGAATAAGCCATAAACACAGAGGAAATTAAATAGCTATAAAGTACAAATACCATTTCAATAATGCAGTTAAAGTGAGAAGGCAGTTGTATTACTGCCAAGAGAACAAAACAGGTAGCAGCAGAGGAATTCAAGAGAATGCAAAGTCACTTCAGGCTGAACTGAGCAGGAAGAGAAACCAGGGGAAGCTCAAGGCCAACAGAGTGTCAAGGATTCTGTGGCAGTGGGGATTTGTAGTTTATAGGAGGAAACAGAAATAATAATAGTAAAAACAACGACAACTATTAACAACTAACATCTTCTGAGTGTTCAATCAGTGCTACATGCTATGTTCCACATGGGTTCTTTTTTTTTTTTTTTCCAGGCTGAAGTGCAGTGGCAAAATCTCAGCTCACTGCAACCACTCATTGCCTCTTAGGTTCAAGTGATTCTCCTGCCTCAGCCTCCCAAGTAGTTGGGACTATAGGCGCGAGCCACCACGCCAGGCTAATTTTTGTATTTTTAGCAGAGGTGGGGTTTCCCCATGTTTGCCAGGCTGGTCTCAACCTGACCTCAAGTGATCCACCCGTCTCAGCCTCCCAAAGTGCTGGGATTACAGGCGTGAGCCACCCTGCCTTGCCCAAATGTGTTCTCTTGTTCTCATGACAGTCGTATAAGGCATATAGAAATATCCCCATTTTACAAATTAAAAACTGGGTAGCATCTCTGGGTTGCTTAGCTTGTGAGTGGAAGAGTCAGCATCCAATCAGGTCTGTAGGATCCCAGAGCATGCCCCATCTACCACTAAATTAAGCTGTTGGAGAGCATAGGTTTTGAAACGTGGCAGATCTGAGTGTGAATATAGATCCACCATCTACAAGATCTGGTAATAATCTCAGGCAAGCCGCTTGACTTGGTGAGCCTCTTATTCTCATCGTGGACATGCTCATGCTTACTTTCCATGGGAAGTCAGTGGTTTAGAATTAATGACCGCTCATGAGGGCACCTGGCATGCAATAGACGTTAGACACGCCACGTTTCTTTTCTCTGTTTGCCCATTGCCAGGTCTCCTGCTGATCCCCTTTTAGCCAAATGGACAATATTGTTTAACTAACTTTAATCTCCATCCAGGAAGCCCACCTGTGTTGTCTCTCAGTTCTACTCTGGGTCTTTGGGTGGGAAGCAGACAAACCTCAGAAGGCTCATTTCTGGACTGGCTTGCCTTGCCTCACACAGGGGATCCTTCCAGGGGCATATTTTGGGAAAGCTTGTAACTCTTCTCCCCTCCTTCCTTCCCATCAACATGCCAACACACCCTTTAAAAGGCCCTCAGATCCCCCTTCCACCAGACAGCATAACAGTCAAGCTAATTAATGGTCTGCCTGCTTCTTCATAGTCTATGTGCTCGCTCCCAGTGGTTTAAAAGAATGAGGGAGTAGGGAGCAGAGGGGGAAGGCTTAGGGCTTCTGAGACTTGACCCCAAAGGTGTCTGAACTTCAAGAGTCAAAGCAAATCCAGGGGAAAATGGCAGTTTCTATTGTAAGATCAGTCCCCAATCAATATGGTACAATTTCATAGCTCATTATTCCTGTGTGTGCCAAAGCGCAAGTGGGGAAGGGGTGGGGACAGTGAGGGAGGCTGGGAGGAGGGACAAGGGGAGAATCATATGGAAACAATTAGTGGAGCCTTCATTCAAAAAAGCATTAAGGTACTTGTAGCACTGAGGCTCAAGTGACCCCTAGGCTGGGACCATAATTCACCAACACTTAATACCGTTTACCCTGCAGATGTGCATTTTATACAGAAATATCAGCTTACCACTTTGAAAAATTAACCTATTGAAGGCTGTCAAATTCTGATGCCCTCATGGGGGTATTATATATTGTCTGCATGGCTCTCTGTTTCGCCTTTTACCCCCAGAATCAGGAATGCCTGGGTTAATTGGCAAATTAGGTGGCTAACAAGGGGGTGGGAGGTTGTAGAGGAATGAGGACCCAAACAGAAATGCTGCTTTTCCTAAGCAGAAAATATTCTTTTCTTCAATTCCAAAACATGAAGGGTTTGGGGAAGTGACACCCCACCGCTGCAAAGACACACACACACATACACACACACACACACACACACACACACACAGACACTCTACAAGTTCTAAGTCAGAAAGTCCAGAGTTAATCAAGGAGGTAAGATAGAAGTTAGCATAAAGGGAAAGTGTGGCTCAGTGGTTACCGTGTCTAAATTATATTTAACAAAGATTCGTCATTACAATGGGGTTGATAAACCTATGACTAATAGAGAAAGCCTATGTGGTTAAATTTGTTTTTTAATTATCTCAAAGAATGTGATGCTGATTTAAAAAATTCTAATGAAGCACCATTTTTACCTACACAATTGATATTTAAAAGTGTGAATATCCAGTGTTTTCAAGGTTGGCAACAATAGGCACCCTCTAACAACACAGGTGGGAAACTGCTTTAACAACAACAACAAACTTTCTACAGAGCAATTTAATAACAGGTATCAAAAAACCTTAAAAATATGCATACATAACACCCACAAATTCAACTTAGAGGAATTTTACATAAAAAGTACGAATGTAGAATTTGATATTTGTGTAAATAATCTTTGTCATAACTTTGTTTTATAAAAAGGACAAATGGATAAAAACTAAACTCCTATAATAGGAAATTGGTTAAATATAACACATGCATATAATATAATAAAATACACTCACTAAAAATCATACCTTAGAAAAATATTTGCCAACATGAAAAAATTTTTAGGTTGAAATAGAAACAGAATTTTCAAAAGAACAAGCCACAAACCAGCATTTGCACATGTTTCTAGATTTTACAATCCCATCCACGTGTATATACATACATTACTGCTACATCATGTTAGCAACATCTTTAGCTAGTGAGAATATGTTTACAAATTTCGTTGTATTCGATTTTTCATTGCACAGGTACTATTGCAGTGGAGGAAGGTGGCCTGAAGCCAAAGTATGAAGTCAGAAGCATGGTCTTCTGAGCAGTGCCCTCCTTTTCATTCCTGGCCTTGCTTCCTGAACCTGGTTAACAGTTTTTCTAACAAAAATAGCTCTAGCTTCAGTACCCGCCATGCCATAGCTCCCTGCTCAATTCCCCGCTATCTTGTGCTTTGAACAGGATTCACTAACACTCAATGGTATAGCAGGTCGGATGTGAGTAGGAAGCCCAGCTTTATGACCTTTGGCTAACTATTTCATCTCACTGAAACTTAGTGCCCCCTTCTAGAAAATAGAAACCTAATGTCTGTCTTATAAGGTTGCTGTGAGAATTGAATAAGAACATGTGTATAATGAGCTTGGTCATATACCAGATAAACTAATATTAACTCGCTGTAACTCATGATTAAATATCAGGTTAACATCTACTGAGTTCATCTTACCACGTATCATCCCACTAACTCCAGAGGGTGAGAATTTATTCCCTGCTTAATGCAAAGTTTCCCCATGACCAGAGATTCTGGTTCTCTGAGGGTGATTGGGGCTACTGAAAACCATAAGAACAAGCTTGTGACTGGTGGTATTTTACCCTGCTATTCTCTTCTCTCATCCAGAAGTGTCTTTAGAGCACAGGGAGGGGAGGTGGGAACATACAGCTGGGTTCTGAACTCACTCCTACCAGCATCCATCAGGGAGCTCAGGCTGACCTTTGCAATGTCTTTAAGACACAGGGATTAAGGCATAGGTGACCCATGAAGCTTAGGTAACTAGTCAAGGAAAGGGGAGAGGATGAAAGAAGCATAGGAAGGAATATTTTTGGGGTGGTGAGTTTGTAGTGTCCTTCGAGTTAAATTGCACATTCCACAGAAGCAGATACCTAGTCACTTAATGATCAAATCATTTAGGATGCATCCTCCTGAGAAGATTAGAAATGGGAAAGGTCTGTCATAGCTACTAGTTCTGGTATCTGAGTTGCTCTCTCTCCGCACTTCTCAAATTTGGCTACACATTGGAATCACCTACGGAGCTTTACAAAGTGCTGATGTCTGGATCTTGGACCCAGAAATTTTGACGTAATTAGTGTAGGGAAGTGTTTATTAAAGTAAAATCCCCAGATCAGCAGCCTCACCTGGGAACTTGTTAGTCTTTAAAATCCTCAGAGCTCACCACAGACCTGCTGAACCAGATACTCTGCAGGTGGAGCCTATCAGCCAGTTCTAACAAGCTGTCTGAGGGCCTCAGATGAGTGCTAAAGTGGGCAAACCACTGATCTAGGTTGGGGCCTGGGCTATCTCCCCAGCTCCCCAGATGATTCTAGTGTGCATCCAAGTTTGAGAACCACAGCTCTACATCCTTTTTTTTTTTTTTTTTTTGAGGATTCTTAGGTCTTTCAAATATTCACCTTCACTTTCATCATAAGCTTTCAATGGCCTTTCCTTATGTGCTTATGGGGTCTGTGGAAACAGTTTTCTATTATTTCCAGGTGAGGTGGCAAAATCTGTCATTGCACTGAGGGATGTTAAATTCTCTGAACCACTGACAAATGGGCCACAGAAAACTGCCCTCCAGCTGCAACTGCACACCAGCAAGTCAAATGGCTCAGTCAGGGCCAAAAGAAGGATAAATAAGCAGAGTCAACAGAAGCACTGTCAAGCCCTAAACAGGAGGATAGATCACAAGGCAGTCAGCTTGGCAGATTAGCAGTGGCAATGAAATACAAGGGCTGCAGATTTAAATCTAACCTCTTTGTTTTCATGCTAGAGAGCCCACAGTAGGTCCATGACCTATTTAGTTTAGATCTAACACAGCTTAGATTCTAGCACTTTGGAAGGCTGAGGCAGGAGGATCACTTGAGTCCAGGAGTTCAAGAATAGCCTGGACAACATAGTGGGACCCCATATCTACAAAAAATTAAATTATCTGGGCCTGGTGGTGCATGCCTGTGATTCTGGCAACTCGGGAGGCTGGGGCAAGAGGAGCTCTTGAGCCTGGGAAGTTGAGGCTATACTGAGCCATGATCGTAAGAATGCACTCCAGCCTGGGTGACAAAGCAAGATCCTGCCTTAACATATAAAAAGAGTGGGGAAACAATCACAATACTCTCATTTCCAGTAGGAGAAACTACAAATTTGATTGAAAAGAATCTAACCCAGGTATTTCAAATCTTGGCTGAATTCTTGTGCTGGTTTTGCTGTTAAGTCTATAGATCTAATACACAGCATGAAGACTATAGTTAATAATATTATATTGTATACTGAAAATTTATTCAGAGAACAGATTTTAGGTGTTCTTACTACACAAAAAAGTAACTATGGAAGGTGATGGATATGTTGATTTGCTTCGCTGTAGATCATTTTGCTTTGTATATGTTTATCAAAACATCATGTTGTTCACCTAAAATATATACATTCCTATGGAAAGAAAAAAACAGAGCAAAGGAAGGAAGGAAGGAAAGAATGAAGGAAGGAAGCGAGGGAGGGAGGGAAAGAGGGAGGGACGAAGGGAGGAAGGAGGGAAGGAGGGAGGGGAGGGAAGGAGGGAGAGAGGGAGGAAGGAGGGAAGGAGGGAGGGGAGGGAAGGAGGGAGAGAGGGAGGAAGGAGGGAAGGAATAAAGTAAAAGAAAAAGAAAAGAAAAATGAAAAAAGAAAAGGGAAAGAAAGAAAGAAAAGAGAGAGAAAAGAAAAGAAGGAAATACCAATGTGAATAATTCTTTTTCCCTTTCTGGGTCTCAATTTTGTCATCTATAAAATGATCACTCTGGTCCATTTTCCATTTGGCAGAGCTCAAACAGGCTGGAAGCCGACTATGAGGATGAAGACAGCGCCTAAACTTTCTAACACTCTTTATGGGGCCTATTTCCTAGAGTTCATGCAACTCATCTTGAGTCACAATTTATATATGTTTAGGTGATCAAACTACCTTTTATTTATATTTCCAGTTTATGAAGCATGGTTGATATGGTATTTCACTAACCCTCACAAGAACCCTAAGGTAGGTAGGTAATAATGTCCCCATTTTACAATGAGGGCACCGAGGCTAGATATGGCCCACAAACCTTCTGTAAGCAAATAAATGCAAATGCAGGGTTAGTGCTGGAACTCACATCTTCTGACTCCTTCTGTGCAGCTGAACTGTGAACTCCAGCTTGTAAAATACAATTCCTTGCTCTGTAGCCAAAACAAAACTGCATTTGGAAATCAGAATCAGAAGGTTGGTGATAGGCCGTCAAGTGTTTCACAAGTGATTAAAGGAGAATCTGGGTTCCCCATCTCTTGGGGCCTCCTATTCCTCTCTCAGATCCCTCAACACTTAGTATAAATTATCTGGCATTAGGATAGAGATCTTTTTCATTAGTGTGTCTTTGAAAAACATTAATGTACAGGAAAGAAAAATTCCTCTTCATAGGGACAAACATAATCTTATCAGAAATGAGCAGGACAATAACAGGAAGGAGAGGATTCTGGAATGTCAAAGAGAGGAGGGGCAACAGGGAAAGAAGGCAGGCTGCAGGAAAGGCCCGGAGAGGCTTTCATCAGGGGCCGGCAGCCAGGATATTATTGTGAGCTGGAAACATGGGCAGAGCCAGGCAAGGAGGAGGGCATATTGCAAAATGGCTGCCTTGCTGCCCTTGTTGACGTGCGCCCAAAGACTGCACATGGACAAAGACATATTTATGCAAAGTCCATTTTCCTTCCAATGACTTCCAGGGGAAGCTCACAGCCGCTAAGGTGATGAAGCCTGAAGCTAGAGAGAAAGGACCTTCAAAGACGTTGAGTCCCTCTCCATGGGATGGGATTCCATCTCCCATCCTGGACTTGAGACCCTGACAGCAGCATCGATTCCTTCTGTCACTAATCCAGAGACAGCGCATCCCACCGCTGCCTAGACTGCCCGGAAACTCTATCCCCTCCCTCTTGCAGCCTTCACACACCCCCGGAAGGGTCCCAACCAGACTACACCTACACCTTCCCAGACCAGCACCAGCTGTTAACAAAGTGAAATGTCCCTTTTCTTTGACTGTTAGATTTCAAATGCTGCATGGTCCAAAACTGCTTTTTCATGTCTCACCTACACTCATCACACTGTTTCAGCCTATTTACTTTATTTTGTCCATAGGGTACATAGAAAGCAGCTGGCCATCTTCCTGGGCATAATAACACTTTAGACACTTGACAGAAACAATGGAGCCACAGAAAAGACCACCCAGACATAGATATCTGTCTCCGAGGAAAAGTTGGGGGCACAGCAAATATTCTCAGGACTTGGCAACATCCGCTTCTCTCATTATGCCCTATACAAAATTACAAAAATACTCAGTTCAGACATTTGATTTTGGTCTTGAATATTCTATTTAACACAGTGTACTTGTCTTTACATATAGACATGCACATCTGTTCCTAGAATTCTTGCAGAATAACTTGCTTTCCTTGCCACTTTACTTTGGCTTTAATTGTTGTCATGAATACAGCCTTCCGTACATCTTCCCATAATGTTCTTCTTAGTTTTTTAAACTCTTTAATCATTTTCTCCCCTTAGAATTTCTGAAGTTAAATGATAAAATGGATTGGGATGTCAGTCCAAAATCTCCAATGCTCCGAAAATCTCAGACACATGTTGCCTCGGAGATGGGTCTTTGGGGGCAATTAAAAGATAATGTCAATAGGGCTGGACAATGACAAGCTAATGGTCTCCTGCTGCCAAAGAAGGGGCCTTGGAGAAACTGAGATGTTATTTTCAAAGCCAGAGCCCATTATGCTGTCACAGCACCATCCTCCGATGACCTGGCTCCTATTATGCCCAGTGATTAGAACAATAAATAAAAGAGAGGCAGTAAGGAATAAGTGCAAATTTCTGCAGCTAACCAGCAAACCAATCGAGTTAAGAGTGAGGCTCCCCAGACACATTTAGCCATCAGCATGTATGTCTGAACCACTGGCTCCAGAAATGTTACCTTTTCATCTCCATGCATGGCATTTCTTGCAACTGACATTTTAGTTTTTTCTATTAACTCCTACAACTGGATTTTATTCTTGCCAGCCAACTCCTACCTAACCTTCAACACCCAACTCAGAATGCTTTTAGGAGTCTTCTCAAACCCTGTAGCCCACAGGTACCCTCCTCTAAATCCATGTATTTTCAACCTGTTGTGGTCTTTGTTGTCATCATTAACATCCTTTATAACCCCCTTTGCATAGTGGTCCCTTTCTTTACTACTGCTTAAGTTCTCAGGAACTGGTGTTGACCCAAATGGAGTGTAAATTACCAGTCAACAGAGATTATATCGCACACATATTTGTATACCCTTAAATCCCAATATATGCCCTCAACAAACACCTCTTAAGTGGTTGGACTTTTGTGAATGTTTCTGTTTAGATTAGTCATGGTTGAAAAGGTAGAGTATGTGTCAGGCCATGATGTTTATCTCCTCCAGCAGGTGAGTAGGAAGAAATTGATGTTGCCCAGAACGTAATCATCAGAATATAAACTGAGATGGAGTGAAATCACCCTTTATGGTCTGCTGGCTCACTTCTCCTTCTTGTTTGTTGCTTGTCATAGATCCTACCCCTTTCTGAAATGGCATGACTCTATAGGAGGTCCCAGGCCTGGTATCCTGGTTATTGGCTGACTGACCAATTGCTTTCTAACTTAGTTTCAGATTTGTTTTTCTGTGAATTCAAGAAAAAGGAGTGGTATTTGCTGGCAATTTTGCTGTGCAAGTACCTTGCATTTTAACCTTCTGGGACCGTTGTCCCTTTATTTTTATATTGACTTTGTTTAGTTGGTTAATTAATTTGTGAGTTAATAGCTTTGTCAGAGTACAAAAAGATAAGCATATATGGAAAGCTGAGATGCAGTTTGTTAGTGTATGTTCATTTTAATCTCTAAACTTTAAACCAATTCTGTTTTTCTTCTAACATTTCAAATTACTTTAAAAGTGTTAAATTATTTATCGTCAAGGAAGACGCCATCACAAGAACAGTGTTTTCTCCTCCGTCAGTGGATTAGGAATCAGAAGATCTGAGATGTATTTCTCTTTTACCACTGACTTATTCTATTGCGTATTTTTGGAATGTATTTGCTCATTTCTTACTTTACAAATTCTAGAGGGAACACACAATCTATTCCATGTGCTCTCTTTTGAGCACTAGATAAGGAAAGGTTTTTTTTTTTTTTTGGCAGATGATTGATTAGTTTACAAGTATCCTTCTTCAACAGTAGATATACCATGGCAGGGAAGTAGAACCACTGTCCAAGGTTACCTAGAAGCCAGTGACCAAACTAGACTTCGGGCTTTCATCTTGTGAGTCACAGTGTTACAATCACTAATCCCCATTATCAATGAGGCATGAAGTTGTGTATGTAGAACACTGTAACAGTCACCAGGGCAGCACACTCAGTTCAACATTACTTACCTTGGGTTCTATGCCAACGTCCTCAAGCATTTTAAGAAAATGGCTTAGAGCTTAAGTCGTACAATGTAAAAAGCTGATAAAAGATTGTCCCTATGTCAGTTTCAACTTTGCCCTCAAATGCCAACAGCAAGGACACCTTCATGAGCAACTGGCCCTAGGACTTAGAGAGGCTACTAAGTGGCTGTAGGAACCATGACACTCTGACATTCCTGGCCCAAGTAGAAATATGAAAACCTAAGCATGGTGGGTTGAAACTTCATGAATGTCTCTCGACCCTGAAATGGGTTGCAGGTGTTTGTCTCAAAGACGAGAACAGATAATGAATAAAACATGCCTGGAGCTTTGTGTTCAGAAAATGTGACAAGCTTGAATCTGATGACTTCAGGAATGAGATGAAATATGAGTTTGAGCTCATCTGCAAAGCTCTTAACGAATCCAAGATGTCGTTGCTGGTATTGCTGCTCATGGACTACAGTTTGCCCCAGGTTTATGGGAGGATAGGGGTGGAAACGAAGGGGGTGAAAAGATCTGGAAAAGAAAAGAATGAGGAGGGAAAAAGAACATGAAAGCAAGTTTTGACTGCAGATCTTTAAGGGAGAGCTCTCCCTGGAAATCTCACTGAAGACTAAATTTGACCTTTATTTTGAGCCCATAGAAGAGAGATGAAGATAAAAATACTCTGCAGATCAATGTATTGTATAAATATACTCAGCTTTATGGACTCTGAGGTTATTGCATTTCTATATCATCACTGATTCCACTTTTGCTTTAGGTAGTAAAATAGAGACTATTCTTATCATATTTTCATCTAAAATTGCACATTTAAGGTCAAGTTATCTCTTACCACATGAAAAGCTATACTTACACATATGGAAAGTAAGATAACTTTTTGTGACTATTCTTTTTTCCATGGGACATTATCTTATTTCACACATGTGTTACTGCAAATCTTTTGAAGAGAGAGATGGATTGACACTAAGATTTTAAATTCTGTCTTGGATTGTCACACTTAGTAAATTTCTGTGGAAATTCCAATTGTTGGTTTAGGAAAATTCCAGCAGGTGGAGCTGTAACAGCGCTCAATTTCAACAGAGTTCTCTGTTATTGGCAAGATGGTCTGGAGCCAATATGGACTCCAAGCTTCTGTTTGTGAACTCTGTACTCTCAGTGAAGGGCTCTCTCTATCTGAACTCTTGCTATATTCAAGAAAAGCTGGTAATTTTGGACCCTAACTCAATCCTTGATATTTTGGGGTCTCCGGAGAATCACATAGTTGAGGTACTAGTTAGCACTCTCACTGGAAAAAGCAATTTGATAACGGCCCCCTAGTGGTCTAAACTGGTACATGTGGCTTTGTAAATGCCAACCCACCCATTCATTAGACCTCTGAGGGCACAGAGATGTTTTCAATCATTGGCTCTGTCGTTTTGACTTTTCTCGCCAAAAGCTTAAGGGAAGAAAAAGTGTGTGATACATAAATACAAAACATGCAACAGTCAGTGGGACAACTCCAAGTGCCACTATTTATTAATTTTATAATATTAGGAAGTTCGCTTTTCCCTGAGCCTCAGTTTTTTAAATTTCCCAAACCAAAATGAAAACAACATCTACTGCAAAGGATTGTTGTAATGGGGAGCAAACGACATGATACACATGAGAGAATATGTGATACACTTGAGAATGTTTGATAGAACATATTGTGCATACCAGGTTGTTTTTTATTATTAATAGTAGTACTGTTGATTTTATCAGGATGAAGAATGATCTCAGGGCTTCTATGTAGAGCTCATCTCAATGGATCAAACTATAAGGAGACAGACCTCCCCTCTGTGCTCAAATTATAAAGTCCATTCCATTCTGTACATATGGGTCTATCAGCCTGCAAGTTCATTACAGATTTTTCTCATCAGTCTTGCCAAACTCCTTAAGGTCAGGGACCATAAGATTTTTGTTTCTTTTACCAAAGCATTTGGCATGATGTTTGGTTCATTGTGGTTATCCCACAATGTCTGTGGACTAAGTATCACTGAGTAAAGTACAACATTACATTTGTAAAGGGAACTCTCTCATTCCACTTATTTATTCCTACCTAGGAGTAAACAAACCAGAGAAGAGAGTAATATGCAGGCACTTTGGGGGAAGTTGGCATCGCAGTAATTCTGGTATACTGTTCTAACTCAGTACAAACCAATTAAGACACTTAATGAGAACAAAATATGCTCAAGGTAGTAGTATATGCTGTGGGAGATTAAAATTATTGCATAAAATTATTGCATAATTAAGACGGATTGCATAACAGCTCTCCGTCTCCATCAAGAATTTTAAGGACTGAAATTAGAAATGTTTCAGAGAGAGAATTAAGAATATAAAATGTGTGACAAAGCTAACCATCAACCAAAATTCAAGCTTCCACCTCCGTAATTAAGGATTGCCCTTGGAAGGAGCCCTTTAGCCAGGGGCTCCATTTCCCATCACCCTTGCAAGTGAGGCCATGTGACTAGTTCTGTTCCAATGCAAAATGAGAAAAATGTTTGTCATTTTGAGGCTAAGATAGGATGGCTTCTCTGGTCTTTTGGATGCATACAGAAGACTCCAAGGCCTTGGGACTATTTATAGAGAGCATGACGGAAGAAGCCTGGGTTCCTGAACCATCACGTGGAGGAAAAACACCTAATGGCTGGAAATCTGCAATGGACTATGTCACGAACAAGAAATAAGTTTCTGTTGGGTTAAGTCACTCAAATTTTGGAATTTGTTAGAGTAGCTAGCATCATCCTCACGTAAGATGGAAGAAGGCACCACATGATTTTCAAATGAAATGAGAAAACATAAAATACATTTAACTCAGAAGATGGAAAAATCACTGCATGGCAAAGTAGCCAAAAGCTTTCTTCAAGAGATGAAGCTGCAGCCGGGTGCGGTGGCTTACCCCTGTAATTCCAGCACTTTGGGAGGCTGAGGCACGTGGATCACCTGAGGTCAAGAGTTCAAGACCAGCCTGGCCAACATGGTGAAACCCTGTCTCTACTAAAAATACACAAAAATTAGCCAGGCCTGGTGGTAGGCACCTGTAATCCCAGCTACTCAGGAGGCTGAGGCAGGAGAATCACTTGAACCTGGGAGGCAGAGATTGCAGTGAGCCGAGATCGCGCCACTGCACTCCAGCCTGGGTGACAGGAGCAAAACTCCATAAAAAAAAGAAATGAAGCTGCAGCTGATTCTTATGGATTTATGGATCAGGGGACATACCTCTTATGGAAGGAACTACATGAGCAATGATACCAGTGTAGGGAGATTGAAAACATATTGAGGAGACAGTGAGTGGAGAAGTTGTACTGGAAAACAAAGGCCATCTTAGCTCCAACAACTGTCACTAAGCACATTATTACCCATTTAAGTCTTTACCTTGACTGTTGTCTTTAAGTTATTATGGACCATAAGATCCAATTCAGTCAGGTCTCTTATTACCAACAATCAGATATTTAATTCTCCCTGCAAAGCCAGCTTTGGATCCAAGAGGGGCAGATTTTGCCAGCTGCATAGAAATACGAAGCACTTGTTTCAATTGTATTTTTCATTTGTAATTTCTGCTATTATAGATGCTACAATCAGACATAAGTATGAAGACTCAGAATTACTTAGTGATGCCAGAATGTAGCAGGCACATTCTGTTTTTTAGCTTCTCTTACAGTTGGCATCAAGAGTTGGTGGATTTTTATAGCTATTTGTGTAGATGTCTTACCACTCATCTGTAAGGACAGAAATGATTTATTACTTGTCTTTGTATTCCCCTTTAACTAAAACCAAAATCTGCCTTGAATAGAGACATAGACTTATAGGTTAGAACAGCATAGGATGACAGAACTCATATAATTCAGCATCCTGATTTTGTACTAGGATCATTAATGTTCCTTGTTGAGAACCAAATATTCTTAAGTGATACATCCAATTAAAGATAGCAGTAAATCCATGAACAAAATCCTACAAAGTGTTAAATTAGTTAGCTTTTTTTTACTGTAAAAGACAAAGTAGCTTAAGAAAAGAAAAAAAAGGCAATGAATAATGAGGATACTAAAATTTCTCCTAAAACCCAGGGAGATAAGTAAGGCTAGGCTTCAAGAACAAGTGAATTTAAGTAAATTATCTGAGTTTTTCTCTTTATCCACTGTCTTTACTATCTGCTTATCTACTTTACTCTCTGTTTTACACAGAATAGTCTTCTCCAGTTCCTTGTACACGTGATGAGAAATGGCTCTTGCCAAGAGATCTCAGTTTATATCTCAAAGAGAATAGATTATTCTGAGTTGGAATATCTTAGTCTCTATTCCAAACACAAGGGTAAGAATGTAATTGAGGCAATGAAATTTTACCAGACATGTGACTGATAGGCTCATTGTCTGGAGTGAACCTGGGAAATGCATGGAAGCGAGGGATAGACAATTCCAAGAAATTGTGAAGCCTGTTAGACAAACATGTGCTAAGGGACTTACGCAAGGAAACACACAACTCGTTAATGCAGAAAAGAGCAGAATACCAAGAGGTCAAGTAGCTACGTAACAAGTAGTTAATGGAAGAGAAAGGACTAGAGCCAATTTCTTAATCCAGTACTGGTAACTTTTTATTAAATGTTTCCTTCTCATCATTTCAGTCCTCAAGGGAGAGTGTTAGCCCTTGAAACCATTCTAGACAGGAATCTGCCTCAAATGTCCAACTCTTGCCATATATTTTCCCCTGAGATTCTAAATACCAAACTCCAGGGTCATTTTAGTCAGTGATCTGTTCCTAGGCACTGTTCTGTTCCTTTCTGTTTCATGTAGACGCTGTGCATGCTGCTTAACACAGATGGTCTTCTGTCAAAATGATTGCTTGCTAGAGTTGTCAAAACAGATGCCAAATTGTAAAATTTGGTATGGATGATGCTTTGGAAGGAGAAAGACATATTCATCACTGGGTTGAATTCACACCTCCTGAATTTGCTTTAAGAAAATGAATTCCCAGTGTTGGTCATAGTTTATCATCTTCTGAAGTTCAGATTTGCCAGGTCAGTTGAAAAGTAGATGAAACAGCAAAGACTTAATTAGCAAAGCTGACATTTCTGGCTCAGCTTCAATCATGGTGAGTGACACCTTAAAGGTTCTGAACCAAAAGCTTAGATTGTTACTTTATACTTTATCTTCTCAAGAGAATTGATTAATTGAATGCAGTCTATTGAGTTCCATCTAACTGATGTATCTAAATGACAATGAACTCACCCCTGAAGAACTAAAGGCCAGGATTTTTCATGGTGTTGCTGTTGTCAGTTTTGTCCCAGAAGACAGCTGCTCCCTGAAGCTGCTCTTCTACAACCCCCAAAAGGGAGATTCACTATTAACTAGTAGCATAAAAACATGTCTGCCTCTCCAAAATCCAATTGCCTCACATGGCTGGAATTTGATCTGTTGCCGGTAGGTTTACTTTGATGTCAAAAGTAACATCTCTGCTGACTAGATTTCTTGATTAAATATAGTCTGTTAATATTAAATGGAATGAATCAGAGACAATATCTTATGCCTATCTAATTTAGAGGCTATGAACACTCTATTAATTAGCCAGCTTCTCTTTGGGATGGATATTTTGGTTCATGAGTTTTTAAAAAATATTAATTGCTAGTCACCAAGTCTTTTTGAATCTATAACTTGGCTAATGCAGTTACATATAAGAAGACAGACTGAGAATTAATGTTATCAATATTTTGCAGTTTGAAGATTGATATATTCTCTTTTAAATGGACTCTTTTTAAAGAAAAATATCCTTTCATGTTTATAAAATATGTTCATTTTTGAAAAATACAGAAAACTATGAAAATTAAGTCACCTATAATCTTCAAGCCAAGGAATAACTACTAATATTTTGAGTATTATTATTTCAATCATGTGTGTGTGTGTGTGTGTTTGCATGTGTAGACATTTTCTTTCTTCTCTTTTTCTTGCACATATGAAAAAGGATTTTGAATAAGATAGCTAGAGGTGGTGAATACTGGCAAAAAACAAATGCTTGTTTGTCTGGAGATAATTTATTCTTAAAAAAGGCTATGAAACCTAAAACTATCACAAGCAATGCAATGCCACCCCTTTAAAATGAGCCAGGTATAATATCCAGAAATACATGAGCCAGATATTCCTCCAGGGTGAAGCAGGACCATCAGTGAGAGAGGAAAGAGATTCAAAGACCAAGGGATTCTCAAATGTGAAGGAAAATCTCATTGCCCTCTGCAGTGAACACAGTATAATTTGAAAGATGAACTTCATAGGAAAGAAACAAATGGTTTGAATCTTGTTGTGAGCCCTAGGAGCATGTGGCTTGCCTAAAAGTAAGTAAGTTAGTTTGTTCATTTTTTTCTGACAACCAGTATAGGCCCAAAATTGGACTTTCAGCTGTTATTAACATAGAAATGTGTCATACACTTTCTAAAATTAGAATTATATTCCAAAAGCATTTCTACTTTTACAAAACTTAAAATTGTATAGTATTGTTACATTATTAAATATTTTTGAAATATAATTCTTTTTGAGGATTCCATAATATTCCAACAAGTGATGCACCATTGTTTATTTAACTGATTCTTTTATGTTGGTTTCTATGTCAACATTTGCTTTTAATTATAAATAAATTTGCAAAAGATGCCAATCTTTGAGTGTAGTCTTGACTGTCTTTTTTACAACAACTTCTTATAGGAGGAATTTGGAGGTCAAAGGTTAAGGCCATGTTTTTAAATTTTTAATAAATATTATTAAATTCCTTTCCAGAACAGTATAAACATTCCCATTTTCTTCACTCTTACATATTTGTTAGTCTGAAAAGTGACTAAGTTAGATAACTGAAAAGGTATCTGCATGGCCACTGGGTTAGATTTTTAAAATTAGAAACATACCAAAATTAACAATGTACCTTAGCTCTAATAATTTTCTTTTTTTTTTTTTCTGAGATAGAGTCTCACTCTGCCACCCAGGCTGGAGTACAGTGGCACAGTCTCAGCTCACTGCAACCTCCACCTCCTGGGTTCAAGTGATTTTCCTGCCTCAGCCTCCTAAGTAGCTGGGATTACAGGCGTGTGCCACCACGTCTGGCAAATTTTTGTATTTTTAGTAGAGATGAGGTTTCACCATTTTGGGCA
Organism: Homo sapiens; assembly: GCF_000001405.40. Taxonomy (NCBI): domain Eukaryota; kingdom Metazoa; phylum Chordata; class Mammalia; order Primates; family Hominidae; genus Homo; species Homo sapiens. The sequence continues at coordinate 128,163,919 of NC_000011.10, forward strand.
GTCTGATCTCAAACTCCTGATCTCAGGTGATCCGCCCACCTCGGCCTCCCAAAGTGCTGGGATTACAGGCGTGAGCCACCATGCCTGGCCTGCTCTAATAATTTTAGAAGTGCAGCAGCCTGTTGAAAGTTCATATGATTATCTGAAGGAGAAGGAAGCAGAAGCAGAGATAATGATACACATTACCCCAGCAATTGTGATTTCTACTCACAGTCAGGAATTCCCTATCTATGAATATATTTATGCAAACACAGGGTCATGTGGTGTCATCAAAGCTCTCACTTCTGGGGTCCACACGGGGTCCTCCAGCGGATTCCGTCAGCGTTTGCTTGTAGTCTTCATGCATGATGACCTCAGAGTCCAGTGCTTTATGTTTGCACTGCATCTCTACCCAGGCAAGCTCATTACCATTCAAAATCCCTTTGTGTTACTTCGGGAAAAACAGATTAGAATTCAAAAGTCTCTGGTTGTTCATTGACTGTTAACATACATAACCATATAGATATAATAATACTTCAGAGAGTGCTGAAAGTATAATTTGGAATAAGTAAATAAAACAAACAAAAAGACTTTAGACTTGAGCGAAATGCTTGCTTGCATGTAGAAAGGGTTATTTATTAAACTGGCTCCCCAAACAGAGCAAAGGAAATCCTACTGCTTGGGACAATTGAAACTAGATTGAAAGAACAATTCCCTATTGTCAGAGGCTGAGACTTGGGTGACAAATACTGTATTTCTTTCTCCCTCTTCACAAAAGGAAGTACTCAAAAGAAACTAAGAAGTCTGCTTCTCATTTTGAACCCCAAAGTTGCCTTAAAGTGTACACAGCCTGCTGTTGTAAGATTACACATACACACACACACACACACACACACACACACGTCAGTCACACAGTCAGGACAAAGTGACAAATAGCTTCACACACTAACAGATCCAGTACTTGCACTAGCTCCTTAAAAGATCCTCTCTTTTAGGCCAGGCATGGTGGCTCATGCCTGTAATCCCAGCACTTTGGGAGTCTGAGGTGGGCGGACTGCCTGAGCTTGGGAGTTCAAAACCAGCCTGGGCAACATGGCAAAACCTTGCTTCTACTAAAAATACACAAAATTAGCTGGGTGTGGTGGCGGGCACCTGTAATCCCAGCTACTCAGGAGGCTAAGGCAGGAGAATCGCTTGAACCCGGGAGGCAGAGGTTGCAGTGAGCAGAGATCATGTCACTGCCCTCCAGCCTGTCAACAGAGCAAGACTCTGTCTAAAAAAAAAAAGTTCCTCTCTTTTAGAAGCAGTTGTATGTGTGCACATACTGAAGTGTGTGTGCGTGTGTGTGGCGTTCCTAGGAATAATCATATTACTAGTAGATAGAAGGGTAAAGGATTTCAGGGAGGAAATAAAGGGAAGGAAAACCCTCTTCCCTTCATCCTGATTTGTTATGGCCTAGCTTCCATTTGTGCTGATAGCTTTCTGCGTATTTATTTTCCTTTGAGTGACATTGTCTAAAGTTGCAAATAACTAATCTGATCATTTCATAACTCAGGACTGGGCAATGAAGGCTTTTCTACCATGAATGTTAATCATTCAGATGTTCAATATCAATATAAAATATTTGTGAATGCTTTTTTTCCTTTAATGATGCATTTGTCAAAATAAATTTGAGTTTCCCTTGCTGGCCTTACATATTCAAGAGGGAGAAAACTTCAAAATTCCACTACCGGAAAGTGTTTGCAAGTGGCTTATCCATGCTGGGAAGAAATAGAATCAGTACAGCCTTTCTGTCTTCTGAGCAGGCTAGTTTCCTGTGAGGTTTCAACTTCCTTCACTTCCAGCTGCCTCTGCTCTCTTCTCTACCTCTCTTCCTCTTTCTCCTCTCCTCTTACTCTAGGCTTTCCTCCTCCTTTTCTTTGTAGCTTCTCTAGCTTTCTCCTTTCTTCTCCTTTTTCTTCATAACTCTCTTTTTTTGTGCTCTATAGACAACTCCACGGTCGAGAATCCCTAGTTCAAGTTCCAAGTCTGAGACGGATCTTAGAGAGCATTGTTCCATCACCCACTTCCTAGTTCTTCAGACTCACCTGATTTCCCTCCACACATTTTGTCTATGCCTGTTCTTCTTCCCAACTGTTTTTCTTCCATGCCCAGATTCATAAAAGTTATGTAAAATATTCTAGATCTTTCCTAAATGTCATTAGGTCAAATAAATGGAACAACAACAACCACGAAAAGGCTCAGGGAAATAAAACAGAAATGTTAAATACTTTTGATTTTTTTCTCTTGCAGAAAGTCAACTGTTTTTTGAGGGAGCAAAATATTAAAAAGAAAGAAAGAAAAGGACCAACATATGACATTTCTGGTGCTTTCTTTTATCATGCTGAAGAGAAATTATCTGCAATTCCTTCTCAGTGGTTATGATGTCTTTTAAAAAAGTTACTAAGGAAAGGTGTTGAAAATCTGGTCAAGGATATGGCAGGAGTAGTACTAAATTATGGGCAATTGGATATGGATTCTTAGTTATAATGCTTGGAACCTCAACAGATTAGTAAAATTTAACATTGCAAGGTCCTTTGACTCTTCTATTTTCCTAGGTTTAGCTTTAGGAGGTTATTAAAGTATGTCCATTTCTTTAATGTAAAGTTTTGTTAAAAGCACAGACTTCTGAGCACCACCAAACCTAGCGTGTGTGCACCATGACACACGCGGATGTGACACTGCACCAGCCCACTCCTACCATGTCTCCTCTTGCTCTTCTTATGAACTGAATTTGTGCCATCAATTTAGGCTTAAAAAAGATAAATGCAAAACAGAAAAAAAAAAAAAGAAAAAGAAAGTGCTGTATTCAGGCACTCTTCCTCCCTATTGGTTTTACGAGTCAGTATCAAGCATCTTCTTTCTTATCCTTGCCAAACAGAAGAAAATGGATCTGTGCCTTGGTAGAAACCTTTTGGAGGGCGAGCAGCCGCTGCTTTGATACCAGCTTGCAGCTCTGCTGGCACCTAGCCTGTCGACTTTGAATGCGACCATAGTTTATATTTTTATCTGCATTTCCCTGATGTGATGAATGTCTCCCATGTACTCCTGCAGGGTCCCTCTTTACTTGCTCCGCCCTTTGTGTGCTCTGGGAGGCTAATCCAGATGTGCCGCATCAGGAGGCCTCAAGCTTCTGGTGGAGCTCGGCTTGTGGGACAGTCAGCCTCTGGGAGACGGAGCAAGTGGAGGAAGAGAGAAGTTGAGACAATTATTTCCCTAATTCCCTTTCTGGCAGGTCCTACTGGGTTAGTGTGATCTTCTGCGGAAGGCTGCAGCTGCTGTCAGGAGGCCCTCTGTCTACACTCCTCTCTGGAGAAGTGTAAGTGTTTTGTCAGGTAAATACTTCGTCACTCTCCAGCGTAGCAGTGAGAATCATCCCTCCTATCTCTAGCATCAGAGTCCCTCCTATTGTTTCTAACCACCCACCCCCCGTATCCTTGTAAATAATCTCTTTATTAAATTGTCTGCAAATTACTTCATTTTAATGTGCTGTCCATTTCCTTTTGGGACCCTGGCTGATATTGATACTGATGTTGGGTAATTACTGATTATTGATACTGATAGTTGACACTGATACCGATAATAATTATTATTAATAGCTAATATCCATAATTTGATACTGATTATCAGAAAAGGATACTGACACTCTAGGATATTAGCAGGATCAGTAAATACTGACACTGATACTGATATTAATACTGGCTGCTACTGCTAGGTAATTACTAGGTCTGTCTATCAATCTATCCATCTATCTAGGATGTTCTCACTCTTGTAAATATCTCTATAAAGCCTTGTCAAACAGAAAAAGGAGACAATGTGAAAGGGTCTTGTGTACATTTAGTCTCTATTCATCTATTACAAGTTTCCTTTCTAAACCAAATAGTTCTATATTGTTTTGGAGACTATCTAACCCTCATTAATTAGCTGTTTTATTTCTATTTCTTTATTGCTCATATATAACAATAGGAAAACTTGGTTAGTCAGTTAATTAACAAATATTTAGTAATGTATATTATTATATGACTTGAGACATGATAAACATGTTCTAAAAGTGTGGAACACAACATTTGATAAGAAAGGCAGAATCTCCATCTTCAAAGAGATTGCATTATAGTGGAAAGAGCCAGACAATATATAAATATATAAACCAAGAAATAAGATCATTAAGGTACTGATAAGTGTTATGAAGAAGATGAAACGGGGTGATTTTGACAGACATTGACTGTAACAGGACCAGTTGTTTTAGAGAGCATCAGAGCAGCTCTTCATGAGGAGGAGCATCAGAGAAGCTCTTCATGAGGAGGAGCCTCATGAAGGTGAAACCTAAATGATGAGAAGCCAGCTATGTAAGAGGAGCATTTGACACAGAAGGAACCATAAGTACAAATGTAATGAGATGAGAAATTTCTTTGGTATGTTGAAGACATCAGGACAGGTGAGTAGCATGCACCTGTGTCCCAGCTACACCAGAGGCTGAGGCAGGAGGATTGTGTGAGCCCAGGAGCTTGAGGATGCAGTGAGTTATGACCATAGCACTGCACTCCATCCTTTTGTGATGTCTTTTTTTTTTTAAGAAACGTCACTGTGTTCCGGGTGACAGAGCAAGATGACATTTCTGAAAAAAAAATGGGGGGACATCACAAAAGACCATGGATAAAACTAAGTAAACCAGAGAAACAAGAAGGAAGAGAGAGAGATGAATTGGGTGCATTGGCAAAGCCAGATAATGTTAGAATGACCAGGCCATGGGAAGAGTCAGGTTCAAAACATACTTAGAAGCCACTGGAGACTTTTAAATGGGCATAGGAGGATCTGATTTGTAGTTTAGAATGATTTCTCTGGCTGCTGCGTGTAGAACAGATCCTATGTAAGGGAGCAAATGTGGAGGCAGAAAAGCTACTGCAGAGGTGATAACATTAGCTAAAAGATCACAGTATCTGGGGAAAGGGTGGTTGCGGTAGAGAGAGTAAAAAGTAGTTGGTTTCAGAATACATTTTAATGGAAATGGAATAGCAGACTGATGATTGGATAATGGGAATTGAGGGAAATCAAGGAATCCAGAATGACTTGTAAATTTTTGTTCTAAGAAATTGAGTGGATAATGATGGCATTTACTTAAATAGCAAATACTTGTGGAGGTAAATTCTGGATATGTGGGGCAACCAAGGGTTTTGTTGATGCCATGTAAACTTTGGCATGCCAATTAGATACGAAGAGATACTGAGTGGAAAGCTGGATACTCAGGGGACCACAGTCTTCTGTTTCCTGGATTTCAGGTCCCTTTTAAACTGAAGCATAGTGAGAACAAGTGTAAAGCACAACACAGACGGAAGATTGCACCTTAGCTCACTGCCCCGTGCACCCCGGTTACACCGTCTAAGAAAACACTCTGGATTCAATCCTTGGAAAAGTAGGTAGGAATTTGCTTTTCATGGAATTCAATCTGAATGGTTTATAAAAGAATCAAGTCAGTTATTCATGTGGCAGCATTATGTGCCCCTAAATTCTCTGATTTCCATTAACTAATCTCAAGTAAATAACAATAGGCAATGTGTCCAATATTTTGATCTCTCCAAACTAGTAAGAGGCTCAAGATCAGAATCAATTCTTTGCAGAAATTCCAATCTCTTCATCACTAACATGGTATTTACTCTCAGTATGTGCTGAGCTACCACTTCTGGAAGAGTCTTTCCTGGTTAATTACTTGAAACCTGTTGCATTGGGAATTTCTCAGAAAGTCTGCCTTGATGAGCTTTACTCAAGAGCCGCAACTTCACGGATCGGACAACAGAAAAGACTTCGGCAGTTACCAAATCTGAAGTACTCATTGTGCATGCTAGCAATCTGGGACTAATAAGGTTAAATTGTCTGAGACCTCAAGGTGGAAGTGACAGGTGGGTCTAGAACTCAAGTTTACCAATGACAGTCCAGTGTTATTGTCATTATCCTTTAGAATTGTTCATTTATTCATTCATCACACACTTATGAAAGTCCTATTATGTATTATATACTAAGCTTGAAGACCAAAACAAATCAGTAAGATCCCTATCTTAAAGACTCTTAGATCTAGTACATGACTTAGTATAGGTGAAGAATTTTAATATAAGACTCAGTAGATGCTATAATAAAATAATGAGCAAAACTATATAAAATCCCAGAGAAAGTTGAAACTTATTCTGTCTTGGATCTTTGGAAAATCCTAAAGAAATTTGCGAACTTTTATAGGGAGTCTTATATAATGAAGAAACGTTTACTAGGCAGAAAATGGAGGGAGAGGTAGTTCAGAAAGGGATAACAACAGAGAAATTCAAAGTAGACAGAAGTGTGAATCATGGGGGAATGGAGGAAAGTGAGATTACAGAGGGGGTTTGGGGACAGACAGTACAAGCCTGGTAGACCCATCTAGGGAATTCGGAGTCTAGGAGGCCAGAAAGAGTCATGAAGCTTTGAAAGCAGGAAAGTGACAAGTTCAAATTTGTTTTAAAGCTGCTTTGGCTACAGCATAGAAATTGAGGGCTGGGCATGGTGACTCACGCCTGTAATCCCAGCACTTTGGGAGGCCGAGGCGGGCGGATCACGAGGTCAGGAGATCGAGACCATCCTGGCTAACACGGTGAAACCCCGTCTTTACTAAAAATACAAATAATTAGTCGGACGTGGTGGCGGGCACCTGTAGTCCCAGCTACTTGGAAGACTGAGGCAGGAGAATGCCGTGAACCCAGGAGGCGGAGCTTGCAGTAAGCCAAGATCGGGCCACTGCACTCCAGCCTGGGCGACAGAGAGAGATTCCATCATCTCAAAAAAAAAAAAAAAAAAAAAAAAAGAAATTGAGCAAAAGAAAGAGAAGCTGTCGATGGGGTGGTAGCTGTATGTTCACAGACATGTGCACCATATTGCTATGCTGTTGCAGTTTTGGAAGAGCGCTTGTGCTTCTGCCACTAAGTACTCGCACAGTTTTACATTAAAAATCTCTTATTGAGAGCTTACTAGGAGCAAAACAGCAAGGAGAGTCCGGCATGGTGCGGAGATTTCCATCTTCTTGCCCAGGAAAATGTTTATAAGGAAAAAGAACTAAAGAGATTCAAAGTGAGGACAAGGCACTGTTGAAGAAATTAGAATGGCTTTTTGGAGTAAATAAAATTTGGCATGGAGGGGTGATGGATATACAGGACTTTTGTAAGTAGAAGAGATTGACTGCTCTGACCAAAATGTCTTCCCTAACGCGCCCACTAAAATGCAAGCTAAAAATTGAGATTAGGGCCAGGCGCGGTGGCTCACACCTATAATCCCAGCACTTTGGGAGGCCGAGGCTGGCGGATCACAAGGTCAGGAGATCAAGACGATCCTTGCTAACACGGTGAAACCCCGTCTCTACTAAAAATACAAAAAATTAGCCGGGCGTGGTGGCGGGTGCCTATAATCCCAGCTACTCAGGATGCTGAGGCAGGAGAATCACTTGAATCCAGGAGGCGGAGCTTGCAGTGAGGCAAGATCGCGCCACTGCACTCCAACCTGGTGCCCCAGCGAGACTCCGTCTCAAAAAAAAAAAAATATATATATATATATATGTAGAAATTAGAGTGTCTATTTCTAACTTCTCTTCACTATTTCCTTCTTAGAAGTCAGAATGAAAGAAGTGCTCTAACAGTGTCGTCAACCTCGATTAAGCCTCAATCAAGCCAAAATTTGTGCTTGAAAAACCTAAAGAGGAGAACTACCACTGTTTATTTTTGTTACATGATGGCAAACAGTATGAGTCATGTTTCCATGGAATTGACTAGCTGCAGGGGCAGGTAGAAACTCAGCCAAAACAATAGAGTTAGAATTCTAAGGCTTTGGCGTGCACTCAACCTGACTGTAGATAATTCAGCTAATTTTTCCTTCAAGGTTTCCAACCATAAGCCCCTAGGAATAAAGCACTATCTGATTGTCTCTGGCCATTTTAAAGTTCGCACCAACAGGTTGGTCTAGATAGGCTTATTTTATTTTGAAACTAAGCCCAAGTCCAGTTTGAGTTAATGTCAGAAATATAACCCAAATCATTAATCAGTCAATCTATTTATCAAAGCTTGCCCCATCTGTAAATAATTAGTTGCAGCCCATTTTACACTGTGGGTAAATAAAGTGTTTCTATTGCTCTCTTGGTATTGTTTCTGAAAAGCCATTGTTGTCACCTCTTATATATGGCCATGAGCAAGCTCTCAACAGCATAACTGGAAGACCAAAGAAAGAAATTAACTGAGCCATCCTGCATTAGTAAGGAAGGTGCTGATAGATAGCAGCAAAATCAAACAAGTTAGGAGTGGACCAGACAAGAGGGCCTTCTCTTTCAGTTACGAATGCATCTGGCCTGTGTCCATGGCTAGATCATATATCTGACAATATCCTCCCTTTTAATGCTTTGCAGATCCAAGGTATAGTATCATACCCTAAGACTGAACTCTCCAGGGAAATTATGTCAAGCCATAGCCAAGAAAGTAGGATTGTAAAAATCACCCCAGGAACCAGCTGCCTGGATTTCACCTTCAGAAAACAAGGGAGAACATGGGCCAAAAGGTGGCGCTGTGAGACTGAGAATAATGCCCGATGCTGCACTTTAGTCTCAAGTCTCTGAAAATATGCTCAGCACTTACCCCAGGGGGAAAAAAAAAAAAATAGAAGTTAGCTTTATTTTTAGAATTTATCTCTGTGCACTCAGGATGGACTTAAGATTCCCATAAACTAATCTTCCTTGTTGATTATGTGTAGACAACAGATTCCCAGTGTGGGCAGGAAACAAAATAATTTTTATAAAGCCTCTGCGTCAAATGTATTCATTATTTGGATCTTTTGACCTGAATGGCAGTATTATTTTATAAGAATGGAGAAAATCAACATGGCTTCTAAAAAAGATAAGGTTTCTGCAAACTATTGGGAAAATGACTTGGCAGGCAATTAGGAATATTGATCTGTGCCGATGAGAACATGAAACAAATAGTCCCGCAGATTTCACATAGGGTGTTGGAGAACGCACCTTTTACAAAGAGAGATCTCATTGTTCAGCACTGTTGGAAATATAAGTGGGCATTCTTTGACCACAGCTAAGCTCCCAACATTTTAAAAGGTCTGCAGAGAAACTGAAATGTAGAAAAGCCCCATTGTGGCCGGGCGCGGTGGCTCACGCCTGTAATCCCAGCACTTTGGGAGGCCGAGGCGGGCGGATCACGAGGTCAGGAGATCGAGACCATCCTGGCTAACACGGTGAAACCCCGTCTCTACTAAAAATACAAAAAATTAGCCGGGCGTGGTAGCGGGCGCCTGTAGTCCCAGCTACTCGGGAGGCTGAGGCAGGAGAATGGCGTGAACCCGGGAGGCGGAGCTTGCAGTGAGCCGAGATCGCGCCACTGCACTCCAGCCTGGGCAACAGAGCGAGACTCCGTCTCAAAAAAAAAAAAAAAAAAAAAAGAAAAAAAAGAAAAGCACCATTGTGTCTATGTGACTGAGTTTCTTTCTAGCCAGGAGTTTCGTGGAATAAACATCAAAGCTCCTGCTTGCATTTATGGCAAAGGAGATCACATTCTCCAGCAAACCTTATTCCCTGAGCACCGAATATGTACATCATATTGCGCCAGGGGCCAAAGTGAGACAAGTACATCCCAAGTTCATTCTCCTTGAGCCACCCCTAAAAAAAATACACCAAATAAGAGACCTGTGATACCTTCTTGATCATCAACGTAATGGGATCTCATGCTATTAAGCTAAGACAAGTTCTATAAGCCCAAATTTCTGGTCTCTTTAAATCACCATAGTAGGGTTTTTCTGGTTGAAGTTCATTAAAATATATAACCTCAGAATCTGAATGGACCCAAATGATTACTTACATTTATTTCACTCTGGGTTTTTGTGTCTGTAATGATGCCATGTACTTTACAAATCTTTTCAAATCTTTAAAAGATGTATTATCTTTGCATATTAACAATCCATTGGGTTTGTCCCTAATTTAAAAATAAAGAAATAGGCCGGGCACAGTGGCTCACACCTGTAATCCCAGCACTTTGGGAGGCCGAGGCGGGCGGATCATGAGGTCAGGAGATCGAGACCATCCTGGCTAACATGGTAAAACCCTGTCTCTACTAAAAATACAAAAAGTTAGCCGGGCGTGGTGGCGGGCACCTATAGTCCCAGCTACTTGGGAGGCTGAGGCAGGAGAATTGCTTGAACCCAGGAGGCAGAGGTAGCAGTGAGCTGAGATCGCACCACTGCCACTGCACTCTAGCCTGGGGGACAGAGCGAGACTCTGTCCAAAAAAAAAAAAGCAGGTTAGAAAAATTTAGTGATTTGTTCAAAACTAATTAATAAAAGACAAAGCCATGGATTTTAATTCAACTATATATGATCCTAGAGTCTGTGCTGTGCCAAACAGTTTTCAAGACCTGAAAAATCATGTCGTCGAGTCTACACACCAAAAGAGATTGTATCAGCTGCCTAACATGCCCACTAAATATTCACTCAGTCTCCTAAACACAAGAAACTCACTCCTTTCTGAGGCAGGTCGTTGCATTTTTGAGCAATTTTAGTTATTTGAAAACTCTGATGATCACATTTTCAAAGAATGGCAAAACCTTGATGTAGAAATGAAAGAGATAATTGAAAAAATCCAGGAAATTCAGAAGCTGCGGCTCACAAATTCTTTTGCCCACTTTAATTTGAATGTTTTAGCTCCTGTGAATGATGCATGAAGCCGCTGACATTGCAACAGATGGCGCTTTGGAAGAGATTCCTTTCTGAACTGCCTGGCCCTCTTATGGAAATCCTGTGAGGGGTGATCTCTGGTGACCAGGCTCAGCAGGAAGAGGAATGTGCATCCGACCTTGTGCGGAAGGTGTCCCCCAGCTGTTTTTGCAAATATCTGTTTTGTCACGGGGGTGGCTAGGTCACAAAACCTAGAGTGGCTCATGGCTTCATAGTAATATAAGTCTACCAACCTCCAAGACAGACTTCAAATCTCACTGTCAAAAGCACCTAATTGCTACATCTACTGAGCCCAGCAGGTCCTATGATAAAATTCAGTGCATTACATACTGACCTAATTCTTATCTATTCCTTTCCCAAACCCTTTTTCCATCTTCCTTTGCCTTCAAAATCAGGAATATGAAACTGTATCCATACAGCATTGCCATGTAAATTACTGGATGCACAGATACATTTGAATTGCAGATCAACAACTCATTTTTTAGTATAAGCACAGGACATGCTCACACTGAAAAATACTTGTTGTTTGTGTGCAATTCAAATGTGACTGGGCATTCTGTGTTTTTATTTGCTAAATCTGGTGACCCTAACCCATACAACAGCAAATCTATATTTTATTAAAGTATAAATGAGTACATTATTGTATATAACAGCTGTATTGAACGATTTTTGAATAGAAAAAGTCAAACTATGTTCCAAACATCTTTTAAATCTTTTTATAAGGCCAGGGATCCCTTTGTAATTAGTAAAACGAAAGCACCCCTGGATTTGTATAAACTCAGGTTTCCATACCTCAGATCCGTTTGAAGTGAAGCACTCTCAAATTCCCTCAGTTAGTGATAATGGTGGTCCTTACAGGAAGTACCTTTGTTTCATTCCCTAACATTTGTTTTCCTCACCAAGGTGTTACCATTAACTTTGAATGGGTCAAGTTCATGCTCCCCCAATGCTGCCTCTTTATTGACTTGTCCTGCTCTATGTGGATGAAGAGGCTCCAGAGATCCTAAAGCTGTACTCTGGACATAGCTTAGTGGCAAGCACAGGGAAAAGTGTACAGAGGAAGACAATAGGCTGGAATCGGAGGCTTCCAAAAATAAAATTGATTTTCTTTCTTTAAGAATTCCCAACTTTGTCTTAGGGACAAAGCCGCTGGATTTAGCAAATAAAAATACAAAGCACCCAGTTAAATTTGAATTTCAGATAAACAACAAGTAATGTTTTAATATAAATGTCTTGTGTATTGCATGAGATACCCTTATACTTAAACATTACTCATAGTTTATCTTAAGTTCAAATTTAACTGGCATCTTGTGTTTTATCTGGAAAGCTTACCTGGTAACATGGGGAGCTGCTTGCTGTCCTCAGCACTGAGGTGTAAAATATGTAGGATGACTGGCACAAAATAGGCAACAACAATAGCAACAAATAAACAGTCACAACAGCAGTAGCAGCACTCAACAAACGCCAGCCTGGATAGATTTCCTTTAAGGCCCAAGAAACGGTTTCCAAGTGCTCCTCTCAAGCTGGGCTCTTCCTTTATATTGCCCCCTGCTATGGTTTCAGTGTGTCCCCTCCAAAATTCAGGTGTTGCCTATGTGATGGTTTCAAGAGATGGGGTCTTTAAGAGGTAATTAGGTTTCTTCATCTGAAAAATGGAATTGATGATGGTAATAGCCTCCCAGCATTCATCCCAGGATATTCATGAGAAGCTTTACCATTCAAGGGCCTTGTGTATGTAAATGATTATGCTACACTTATTTTTCAGGTCTGGTTTCCTCTAATAATAGAAACAATAAACTGTTTGATATTTCTTGGCATCATTAATAAATCAAAAGTATGTTCCCCTTGTGTTCTATATTTTGCAAAATAATGAGGAAAAGAAAGAACAGGGTTACTGAGCTCTTCGTTGGAATTTTCAGGGAGTTTTGGGTAGAAATTAAAACCAAGAGTAATTAAAGCAGCAGTTCACTGACTGAATGATCATCAGACTCAACTGTAGACCAGGTAGAACTTGAACGCCCAGATCCAGCATACACTTGCTGAATTAGGATGTTTTGGGGTGTAACTTGGAAGTGTGTCCTTTGTAAAAGTTCCATAGGTCATTCTGATGATCAGCCAGGCTTGGGAATGACTGATCTAGGTGGAGGATAAATACGGGTTACCTGATCGATGTGATGTCTTAATTAGTAGATACATGTAACAATTGCTCCCTTTTCACCATTTCCACATGCCTTCCTCTCCCAGGAAGAAATGGCCACAACTCACCACTCACAACCCCAGATCTGTTTAGTTCCTTCATTCTTACCATGTTATAATCTGGCCAGCCAGAGGATTTAGGAATTGATTAATTTAGGAATCTAAATTGATAATTTAGAGAGATATCTAGGAGGTAAAAGTCAGGAGGATTTGATAGTAGATTGAAAGTGAAGAGGGAGAAGAAAATGGTAAGAAGAATGACCTGTTTTCTTGTTTGAGCAACAGAGTATGTGAACACATGGATCCTTCTCAGAGAGATGGAATTTAAAACAAGAGGGTGGAGTCAATTGTTTTAGTAGATACGTGTGACAATTATTCCCTTTTCACCATTTCCCCATGCCTTCCTCTCCCAGAAAGAAATGGCCACAACTAAGAAATAAGAAACAAGTTTGGAGATGCAGGCAAAGTCTCTATTCACCCACTCATTCAACCATCCAATTATATCCTTCAGCACTAACAGAGAAAAACCTCTTCAGACACTGGTGCTTTCCACAGCTCTTCTCAGGGGTCAGTCTGGTAATGAGTTTGGGACTTCAAAACATGCCATGCAGCCAGGCAAACTGCTCCTCTATAGTAGTCATGAGGACCTCCACACTCCTGAGCCCAACAGACATCTTTCAATTCTCATGGTACCTGACAACTGCATTGCATTTGATAGGGTTCTTTCCATTCTCCTGGTTTATTTTCATTTCTCCAAATATAGTTTTTTTTCCCTATCACGTCCTCCACCAATTTGACCTCTTCAGTTGGAATTCCTCAAGCCTCAGTTTTGAGCCCCCTTTTCCTCTTACTCTATGCTTTCTGTCAAAACATTTGACTCCACACTCTTGTTTTAAATTCCATCTCTCTGAGAAGGATCCATGTGTTCACATACTCTGTTGTTCAAGAAAGAAAACATGTCATTCTTCTTGCCATTTTCGTCTCTGTCTTCACTTTCAATCTACTACCAAATCCTACTGACTTTTGCATCCTAGATAGCTCTCTAAATCATCAATTTCATTTTGTTTCTACCATCATCATCCAAACCCAAGCCACAGCCAGTACTCACCTGGCTCCCAAAGGCTATCTTTGCTTCCACTTCATCATCCAAACCCAAGCCACAGCCAGTACTCACCTGGCTCCCAAAGGCTATCTTTGCTTCCACTCATGACACTCCCATCTTGCCCCTGTTTTCCAAGGAGCAATTAAAACAAATGTTTAAATATTTAAATCATGTTTTCTCTTCTACTTAAAATGTCTAATTTAGTGGCTTCCTTGCATACTTAAAGATACAACATTCTTAATAGAAATCCCAAAGCCTCCATTTACCCCGCACTTAATTGACATTTGCAGACTCACCCTATACCACCTCCTCCCTCTCGTCAGGCTGTAGATACACCGGCCTTTCTAAAATTACTGACATTCACCAAGATCTGTTCTCTAATCTGCTATGGACTCTTTCTGAAATGCCTTTCCTCCTCTCTGGAGATCATCTCTACCCCTTCCTCAGGTCTCATATTTAACAGTTCTTCCTCAGGGAAACCTGTACTTCTCTGCCTGTACTATACTTTCCTCTTAACAGATATCACTCCCAGACTCATATACATATATATATATATATATTTGAGACAGAGTCTGCCTCTGTTGGCCAGGCTGGAGTGCAGTAGCATGATCTCAGCTCACTACAACCTGTTCCTTCTGGGTTCAAGTGATTCTTCTGCCTCAGCCTCTCGAGTAGCTGAGATTACAGATATGTACCACCACTCCTGCTTAATTTTTGTGTTTTTAGTAGAGTTGGGATTTCACCATATTGGCCAGGCTGGTCTTGAACTCCTAACCTCAAGTGATCCATCAGCCTCGGCCTCCTATGGTGCCAGGATTACAGGCATGTGCCACCATGCTCAGCCCCACACTCACATTTTTATATGTGTGGCTCTCTATTTAATATGTGCTTCCCCCACTTACTGTGGACTCCCTAAAGCATGGAACATATTTGTTGGCTTACCACTGTGAAATTAACAGAAAACTGGTACTTATGAAATACTCGTTGAATATTTGTTATATAAATGAACTGATATATGAATAAATGGAGGAAAAAGAGCCACTCCCCATCTTTTACTCCTTCTCACAGTATTGCAGGTTTGGCTTGCATTTCGAGATTTTGCTTTCTTTCTATCTGAGGTGGTTCTCCCAGGTCCAATTATACCTGAGCTTCCCCTGCTTCTTTTGCAGCTCTGGCCAAGCCACTAGATTCCTCTGAATGTTAATCAAGCCATCTGGAAAATAGGGCATGAAATTGTATGTCCCTGACTAGCAGCAGATGCAGCAACTGAGCTGAGCTGTGTTTCCTTTTCAGTAACTAATTGCACACATGCTGCAATACAGAGAAAAACATTATAAATCAATTAGGCTATTACAGCAACATTGTGCTCTGTAACTAGAGAACTAGGCCTTGTGTTGCATAGTGGGAGACAGGAGCACCTGATTCTCCTTGCAATGGCCTTGGATAATTACTTACATCGTTGCATTTGATTGTCTCACCTCCAATGCAGGTTTCCAGGAAGATTTGTTTACTGATCTTTCTTAAGGGATTTGATTTCCTGGATTGGCAGGTGTCATGTTGCTGGAGGAAGACAGTGGCTTAAAAGTATTATTGAATAAAACACACATGTAAGTGTTTGATGCTCATGCTGTCTTCAACAGTCAAGGTCAGAGCTTAGTTGGTGCTTTGGGCCAGAGTTACAGGAGCAAGGGGAATGTGAAACCATGAAGTAGCTGTGGAGTTGGCAATGTCCCCAAATGCCCAAGGCTTAGGAGACATTTATATGGGCATAATAGAAATCAGATGAGCTGGATTTTGGGGAGGTGGAGAGAGGGAGAGTGGAGAGAGGGGACTGTAAAAGGTACTTAGTATTCTCTATTTCTCCTCCTTGCTGTCTTTGTTTTAACTTTCATGGGAAGTGAACTTATAGAGAAACTTATAAGTGAACTCGAATGTGCTTCTGGAGATAAATCTTTCACATTTTTACAGTCCACAGAGGAGGGGGTAGGCAAGAGAAAGAGGCCAGAGTTTTACTAAAGATAAAGGAAATGTTGTAAAAGAAGGTAAATATGGATTTTAGAAGAAGCCTCTAATACAATTGTTGGATAGTCAACGAGTTTGTTGGAAATTTGCAAAGCTCATCTGGATAATTTGGATGAGAATGTTGCCATCAGGACTAATGTTATTTGAAAGGGAATGCAGACATGTTGTGATCAACTTTTCTCTAATTATGCCATGTGTTAATTTTGTCTTGTCACACAGTTGTCCTCAATCCTGGCTGCACATTAAGTGATGTGGGAAGCTTCATAAATAGAGCAATGTTCCTAGGATCTCTGGAGGTGGGACTTAGGCATTGGCATTCTTTAAAATTTCTCCAGATCATTCTCTTATGCAGTAGTGTTAAGAGCAGAGAACTATAACCAAGATCTTGAAATCAGGAACTTCGATACATACATAAATTATCCCATTGAGCCCCTGGATGTTCATATGTATTATCTCTGTTTAATATTCACAGTTTGTCTCCATGAGGTCATACAGCTGCTTGAGGTTGCTCGGAGAGTAAGAAGCAGAATGAGAACTAGAACAGAAGCTCACTTTGGCCTGAAGGCTCATGTGCTGAGCATCTTCCCTTGTCTGTCTCCACCCCTAGCCTGGTGCCCAGCATGTAGAAGACCTTCAGTAAGTACCAGGTTGCTGACTAAGTAACTGAGGAAATGACTCACAATTGGACCATTCCCATGCTGAAATTCCACAAGAATCTTGTTATCGCCTGCACATTGCTTAGGCAAACATAATTCTAGACAAAAATGGAACCCCAGAAATCTCAGTCAACATCCCTCACTCAAAGCCTAGCACCTGGCTTCCTTCTAACAGTGCCCTCTGTTGAGTGTTCACCTGGGATTTCCAGGACTGCAGCTGCTGTCTCTTTATAAACCCAGGCCTGGGTCACAGGGTGGGGAGAAAACAATGAGTGTTTTGGTTGTTTGGTGATATCCGGTGCCACTTTGTGCCGCTTGTTGCAAATTCAGTCCCATTTCCTGTGAACTGCCTCCTTGGGCTTGACTCCCCAGCACCATACAGGGGCTTCAGGGACACTTGGAAAACAATCTGTGCTCTGACCTCGGTGTCCCTGGACCTATCAATTGCCTAAGGCAGGGAGACTGCTCATACTTCAAGTAGTGGCCTGGGGACAAGATGGATCAGGAAGTAGAAAATAGAAAAGGATGGGGGTGAGGAGCCAGGGCAGGAGAGGAAGGTTATAAGGAGGAACAATGAGAGATGGACAGCTTTTTATTCTCTACAGAATGGGCTGTTTCCTAGACGTCACGGGATCATCATGTGGTGGAGATTGCAAGAGGCCAGTTTGGGGGTGAGGAGGGATTGCCGAGTACATATTTTATCACTGTGATGTGACTCAAGGGCGTCATTCCCTGTAAACAACTTTTGAGTAGGAGGGTTTTCTCTGGATAAGAAATTAACCAGTTAGCAGTCAAGAAATGGCAAAAGCTCAAGTAACAATTCTGTATACTTAACAAAATACTGTTAAACTCATTCATTCATTCGTTCAGCAGAAGTATGTCCAGGTACATCTCTGTACAAGGCATTGGGCTGATTGTCAGTTATATAGCAGCCTCCAAGAACAACATCATATTCGACCCCAGGAACTATAGTCCAGTGGGAAACACAGACATTGAACAAAAAGTACAATGTGAAGAATATAGTAGGAGGAAAGAAACAGGAGCATGCATTATGTCATTTATTATTATTTTTATTTGAGACAGAGTCTTGCTGTCAGCCAGGCTACAGTACAGTGACATGATCTCATCTCACTGCAACCTCCACCTCCCAGGCTCAAGTAGTTCTCCTGCCTCAGCCTCCAGAGTAGCTGGGATTACAGGTGCCCACTACCACACCTGGCTAATTTTTGCATTTTTAGTAGGGATGGGATTTCACCATGTTGGCCAGGCTGATCTCGAACTCCTGACCTCAGCTAATCCGCCGGCCTTGGCCTCCCAAGATGCTGGGATTACAGGCATGAGCCCCCATACCCGGCCTATTTTTTAAATACAACTTTTTGATGATTAACCTCATTATAAACTTCATTTATTAATGCCATTTCACATTGAGGATCTGAGAGGTTAGGTGGTCAGGACTTGAACATGCACATTCCGCCTTAGTTCCTCCTCTCCTGTTACTCTGTAATCAATACCACAAAACCTCCCCAGCTCAGCTGCTTTCCACCCTTGTGGCCTGAGGCCTGAGACTGCTTCCACCATACTGAATACCATTCTGTGGTGCTTCAATGTTAACCCCTGTCATAAGCAACAGGCTCTGCAATAGTGTCCCCTGGCTTCTCAGCCCAATGCCTAAGGTGACCGACGCTCAATCAGCAACGCAATTATGCAATGAAAACAGCTACACAGGGAAAACCAGAACCATGAAAGTGGGTCAGGTCCAAACCATCTTTGTACCATGTGGCTTGCAGAAACCCAGATCTCGTTTGCTTGCTTGCTGATGCTGAATTTGGGGATATGCATGCCTTTTAAAATAAGAAAGTATTTATTCTTAGATGCTCTTAGACTGTTTTGAAGCTAGAGCCATTGTAGTTTTGCACACTTACTTCATAAAGGAACTGTACCTATAGTTTAAAAGTTGTTATTTGGTAATTGTCATGTAATGATTATCTCCTTGCTCTCCTTACCACTCTGATTGTATACAAGTTGATTTCCCTGTTTCAGGAGGGGTTTTCTGATGCATATACTATAGACAATCTTCTCTATTTACACTTCAGTTTTTAAAAAACTAAGCTTTTTTTTTTAAAAAAAGTGAAAGTCATAATCTGTTTCTTTTCAAAGTCCTAGATGCAATGGGATTAAACTTGGAGAAAATGGGATTAAACTTGGACAAACACTACCTATTTGGACTTGTGATGATGGCTTTCAAACTTCTTAAAGCAATGAAGTATTTTTTCCAGAAGAAACCTTACACAAGAAGCCCAGCACACTGAGTCAAGCATATGTAGGTGGAAGATATCTGGTTGAGACCAAGTAGAGATAAACCTGTAGATTCAACTGTGCCACCACAGTGAATTCTAAGAATCCACTGACTGTGATCTGTAAGCTCCTACTCCACAGGAGGTCAGGGCACACAGCTTGAAACCGGAAGGCAGAAGAGTGACAGGGAAGGGTCATGGACTCTGAAATTAGAGCTATCTGTGTTTTAATACTAGTTCCAATAGGCACATGGTCTTGGATAAATGGTTTAAATTATCTGAGTCTCAATTTCTTTCTCTGCAAAAAGGGATGATTAGTACATATGTAATAGGGTTTTTATAGAAAATTGTATAACTTGTTAAACACACATGTACTAAGTGCTTGGTGCCCAGTATGCACTGAATAAATGCTAGCTCCTTGCCTTTCATCTCTATGACCCTTCCCAAATCTCTCAGCCCCATATTGCTTCATGTAGTGTGTGTATATTTGGGAAAATTTGTGTGCATATTTACAGATGGGATCCTACTCTTCTATTGACAGACTGTCTTTTCAGATGTGCCTTACTTTCATTGCATTGGTTTTTCAACTGAAAGTGAACATAAAGGTTTTAAGCATGCCTAGGTCTTATCTTTTTGGTCAAATATCTAACACCCTCAATAACAGTTGTAAATCATTCTTTTGTAATTTGATCATTCATTTTTATAAAGTAAAACACAACTGCCCACTGTAAAAATAGACTTCATTTGCTCTTTTCTTCCAGTGCAGCAAATGACAGACACTTTAAGAACACACATTTAACTTCAGCAAACAAATCATGTATATTTTAGACATAACTGTCAAGTATAGAAATGATACCATCCAACTTACCAAACTATCACATAAGAATGCCCAATAGCAGACATTAGGATGGGGCAAAACTGAAAGAAGGATTGACTTCATCAAACCCTTGATGACATACAAAATGGAAACCATTCAAGTTCAACTGAAGAAAACGATATCCCACAAGATCTAGGGGTAAAAAGCAGACAAAGTTTAGGAATGAATTTAAACTACTGACTTACGTGTTGTCAGGAGTCTATTTCTATTCCTCAATTTTACTCCTTTTTGTACAACTGTGTGCATTCTCTCTCTGACTCTCTCTTCCTCCCTCCCAACACCCCCCACCCTCTTCTTGTTGCTGTTTCTCTCTATTTCTTCAGATCAAAGGGTTGATCTCTTCCAAATGTACATATTACAGATCCACACTCTTAGAAAAACAACAGAATCTCTCTAGTGCTTAATTTAATTTGTCCATCTAAAAGATATTACTTGGCCCAATTTGACCAAGCACCATCTACTGGACCAAATAATGGTGGCCAGAGAAGCATGGTCACAATGGGGAATGGGAATAAGATGGGGATCATATGGGGACTAAGAATGGGCAAGAACATCTCCCAGAGTGGTAAGAGAAACAATCTAATGGGCATATATTCCCAGTGTCCTCAAATACTCCTCTACCCTAAATTGCTTGCTCTGCTCTTGGGCCTTTGGATGTGCTGACCTGAGTAGTGGTAACAAGTTCAGAATTGTAGGGAAAGGGCTATGAGTTTATATTTTAAGGGCAGAGAGTGGCATTTATGCAGTGGAAACACATGGAAGATGAGTAGGATTGTGAAGGATAAACTTGGGAAAAGAACAATGACCTGAAGAGTACTAATAAATGCAGGGATGGGTGACCAGAAAGAAAGGATAGATAGGAGGAAAATCTTAGAGTAAAACTGGCAAAAGTTCACGGCCAGTTTAGTTAATGGAATCAAGGACAGTGAAAACGCAATGATAACTTCAGTGTTCTGGTTCTGATGACCAAAGAAGGTCATCATTGTGATGGATATTTTCTCTTATTTCATAACCTCTGCTCTATGCTCTGTGTGATTCCTCTCCTTCCATTCAACTTGCCTTGCATTTTCCGGAGTCTACTCCTTGGCTAAATAGGGTCCTTCTTTCTCAGTAGCCCTTACTACCGAATTAAATCATGGTGCCAGGGCTCATTCTGCTTTGTTTCTGGAAACCTGCCAAGCATGCTCCTGCCTTGGGGGCTTGCACTGATTCGTTGCTCCATATTGAAATGTTATTTGCATGGTCACCTGTGGCCCTGATATGGTTTGGCTGTGTCCCCACCCAGATCTCGAATTGTAGCTCTCATAATTCCCACGTCATGGGAGGGACCCAGTGGAAAGTAACTGATTCATGAGAGCAGGTGTTTCCCCCATACTGTTCTCATGATAGTGGTATAAGTCTCACAAGATCTGATGGTTTTTATAAAGGGGAGTTTCCCTGCACATGCTCTCTCTCTCGCCTGTTGCCATGTAAGATGTGCCTTTTCTCCTCCTTTGCCGCCCACCGTGATTGTGAAGCCTCCCCAGCCACGTGGAACTGTGAGTCCATTAAACCTCTTTCCTTTGTAAATTACCTGGTCTTGGGTATGTCTTTATCAGCAGCATGAGAACAGACTAATACAGGCTCCTATCCACACTTCCTCAGGACTCTCTCAGAGACCCCTTGCCTTACCAGCCTATGTTATTCCCAGTAGCCTTCTATCCCTGTATCTGGCTTTAGCTTATTCATGACCTGATATTTTACCATCAGGAAATAAATATAAATATCAACAATGAAAGTATAAATGAATGATATCTCTTTTCTTGACCATCCCTACACAACAGAATCCAAGTTTCATGACAGCAGGGATATGTGTGGCTTACTGCAGTACTTTTACCTCCTAGAAGTCTCCTAGGCCAATGGTAGATGCTCGATTAATATTTGTAGGATGAATAAGTGAAAAAAGTTTTGACTAGGGTCAGTAGTGTTAATCTTGGTTCAAAATAAAACATGAGGTAAAAATAAACGAGTAAGAAAAGAAACAATTTAACAGACGATGGCTTTTCCCACTTTTATGTGATGTTGCCTAGGCTTTGCCATTTTATTGAATGGACAAACTTCTTTATGACATAACTTCCCTCTCACTCTCTCCTCCCAATAGCATAAAATAATGTAAAAGTCAGGAGATCAAAATCTAGCAGACCCAATTTCAGTTCAATATAATATTGTAACATTAACCATAAAAACCATAGAAAAAAACCTAGACAATACCATTCAGGACATAGGCATGGGCAAAGACTTCATGACTAAAACACCAAAAGCAATTGCAACAACAGCCAAAAAGTGACAAATGGGATCTAATTAACCTAGAGTTTCTGCACAGCAAAATAAACTATCATCAGAGTAAACAGACAACCTACAGAATTAGAGAAAATGTTTTCAATCTATCCACCTGACAAAGGGCTAATATCCAGAACCTAAAAGGAACTTAAACAAATTTACAAGAAAAAAACAACCCCATCAAAAAGTGCGTGAAGGGTATGAACAGACACTTTTCAAAAGAAGACATTTATGTGGCCAACAAACATATGAAAAAAAGCTCATCATCACTTGTCATTAGAGAAATGCAAATCAAAACCACAACGAGATACCGTCTCATGACAGTTAGAATGGCGATCATTGAAAAGTCAGAAAACAACAGATGCTGGAGAGGGTGTAGAGAAATAGGAATGCTTTTACACTGTTGGTGGGAGTGTAAATTAGTTCAACCATTGTGGAAGATAGTGTGGTGATTCCTCAGGGATCTAGAACTAGAAATATCATTTGATCCAGCAATCCCATTACTGGGTATATACCAAAAGGATAATAAATCATTCTACTATAAAGACACATGTACACGTATGTTTATTGCAGCACTATTCACAATAGCAAAGACTTGGAATACTATGCAGCCATAAAAAATGATGAGTTCATGTCCTTTGCAGGGACATGAATGAAGCTGGAAACCATCATTCTCAGCAAACTAACACAGAAACAGAAAACCAAACACCACGTGTTCTCACTCATAAGTAGGAGTTGAAGAATGAGAACATGTGGACACAGGGAGGGGAACATCACACACTGGGTCCTGTTGAGCGCTGGGGGACAAGGGGAGGAGTAGCATTAGGAGAAATACCTAAAGTAAATGATGGGTTGATGGGTGTAGCAAACCACCATGGCACATGTATACCTATGTAACAAACCTGCACGTTCTGCACATGTATCCCAGAACTTAAAGTATAATAAATTTAAAAAAAGAAAAAAAATTGTTGTCTTCTCTGTGCCCGTTTTCTTTTATTTTAAAATGGCCTGAAATAATTTAATATGTGTTATGGATTAAATCGTGTCCCTCAAAAAGATGTTGAAATCCTAAGCCCCTTATCTGTGAGTGTGAACTTATTTGAAATAGGGCTTTTGCAGATGATTAAGTTGATATGGGGTCCCTTCAAGGGGAGCCAATAATATTGGATTACAGCTCACTATAATGACCCCATATCAACTGGGAGATACAGAGACAGGTATGTACAGAGCAAAAATTAAGTGAAGACACAGAGAGAAGATGTCTGTCTACAAGCCAAGGAACGCATGAAGCTAGGAGAGAAGTATGGAGCAGATTCTGCCTCGCAGCCCTCAGAAGGAACCGGCAACCAACCCTGCTGATAACCTTGATGTCAGACTTCCAGCCTCTAGAACAGGGAAGCCAAAATTCTGTTGTTTAAGCCACCTGGTATTTAAACCACAAGGTATTTATGGAACTTTGCTACAACAGTCCTAACAAACTAATACAATGTGAAATACACACACACACACACACAGCAGCAGCAGCAGCTCTGTGCCCAACATAGATATCTAGCTCTGTCACTTATGCTTATTTATCCATCTTTTCTCTCGTCTCTTTCCCTCCAGAAGCTGCAATGAGGAGAGGAACCTGGTTTATTTCAAGGGACACAGAGTTAGGGTTCTTCAGAAGATCACTTTCTTGTTCTACAGGCCAATAGGGGAGTAGCAGGGAACACAATTTTGTGAATGAGGAGAAAGCTAGCCATGGAGCCTTTGGAACATCTGTTGGAGTCCCCCACTTATTCAGGACCAGATGCTAATGGTGTACGCAATTGCACATGGAGGGAAGTTTCACTGACACTAATGAGCCATTCATTGTCCTGCACTCCAGGGCTCCTCCCACAAGGCCTGTTTTCAGATGTTCTACATTAAGTGAAATGCAGCACCCAGTTTCCATAGGAACTGAAGGCAAAGGCTCCCAGAAGGCCACATATGTTAGCATAGACTGATGCTCTGGGAGACTGCAGGCATTGATTCATCTGAGAGTGAATGAGCATTTTTTCACATCTGCTATTGCCAGGCACCATGTTAGGCACTAGAGACACAACCCAAAGAATAAATTCAGGGGCTGAGGCAGACAAGCAAAAATGATCATGTAAAAATGCTGTTACACAGTAAAGGGGCGGGTCACTGAGTTCACAGGATGGGCCTCTACCTAAGCTTTGAGCCAGGGAAAAACAAACAAACACGTATTCTAGAGAAGGAACCCTGTAACCTCTGAGGTGTCAAGGGCATGGAGACAAGTCAGGCAGGATGGCAGGAAGAGGACAAGGAGGCAGCTCTTCCCGACAGAGGGAGAATTGGCTGTGTCTCTAGGAATGTGGATGAAAGAAATCTAACTTGGAATGCCTGGCTTCAAAACTCAGCTGCCCTGTTGACTGTGCTCTGTGATGTGAGGCTTTCAGAAATACCTGAATTCCACCAGCCAGGATGTCCTGAAGTGTTCTAAAACCTCACCCTTCCCTCAGAAGTGTGGACTGCAGCTTCATTCAGCATTCATAAGGCTGGTTCAACGTCCAGCTCTGGAGAAAGCAAGTGCTTCTTATGTAACGTGAGGCACGTCTCCAGCAGCAGCCACCTCACATCCCAGCCCCGCACATCATGTCACACATTCCTGACTCCTCACACTACCCTAAAAAATGTGTGTTATCGAAGATTGATGTTCCCTGCCTTTGAACTCAGCCTAGGCTTTTATATGCTATTAAGGACAAGGGTAAAACCCGAGTCCCACTGTGAAAGTCATTCCAGTTGTCTCCATGGTCCATTTTCCCAGCAGGGTCACTTTGGCACACAGAGAAAGCGAAGGCCTGGGAACAGACTTGCAAGGAATTATGGAAAACATATTTGGCTGAGACACTTTGCTTGACTTCTACAATTTCCATTGTCCCTGCCCATGTTTCCAAATGACAAATGTATCTCCAATTGAGACACTGCAAAGTGCCTCGTATATAGTAGTTATTAATTATATGTGATATAAAATTATATATACATATACGCATGTAATTATGCATGTTTTTATATGTAATTATGTATACATATATAGTATGCATATGTGTATATATACACATATAGTATGCATATATGTACATATACATATATACATATATACATGTATGCATATGTGTATATATACATATAAATACATATATACAAATGTATATGTATATATACAATGTACACATGCATATGTATATATAAATATACATATACATGTATATGTATATTTGTGCATATACAAATATACATATACATGTATACGCATATAAAACATGCATATATATTAACATATTCATATGTTAATATAAAATATGGATATGTGTATATATACACATTATATAGATATATATAAAATAGAGGCAGAACTGACTTTTCTCTGCTTTAAACTTTACTGTAGCTACCAGAATGCTTTTGCATATAGTAGGATCTTATTAAGCATCTGTTGGTTGATTGACTAGCTAATTGTCTAGCTGGTGGGCAAGAAGAAGTAACTTGTCTTCGTATCACAAGGCCAAAAGTCTATAACAAAATGTTAAAGTAAATTCACCAAAACTTCTATTCCAAACAACAAGAAAAATATCTGGAACATATACAAAATTAAAGAGACAAGAAAGAAAGAAACCAGTAAGTACCTTTTTAGTCTAGAAATCTTTTTATTTAAAAAAAAGTTATTTTCTTATTTATTTATATGGCTCCAAACCTAGAGATCAGAAGGTGTTGTATGACTGGCTGGGGATATCAATGAAACAGATTATGATGTATGCATGAAGTGTGCATGCAGGCCAAAGTAGAACTTGATCCTGTGCCTCTCTGACAAAATAGGTGCTACTCACAGCTTTTACTTCCCTTTTGAAAAGGGCACTTCTCAATGAGGGGAGAAAGGGCACTTCTCAATGAGGGGAGTAGGCCAAGGGGGGTCAAGTTTCAGGACAATGTTTCAGCTCTACATGGGGCCTAGAGCAAAAGATCATAACGCACGTTTAGGTCTACACAAGATGTTTCTCAAGAAATGTTTTTGTTTAAAGTTTGTTTCCTACAATTCTCTCACGCACGTGCATGCACGTGCGTGTGCACGCGTGCACACACACACACACACACACACACACACACACAGCTTGTAGACTCTTCGTTATGGGGAATGTCAGGAAACCACACCCTGAAAGATTTTCTCTGTCTTACAATATTAAGGGATCATGACCATATTAAAGTCCCTTCCAGTACAGGGTTTGTCCATGTGAGCTTCTGAGAACAGGCGAGCTGTGGTTTTCTCACTAGCACAGAAGAGGTGAGAACACAGCCTTGGAACCCCTCCTTCTCACCACCGACCCTCATCAAAGGGCGTATGCAGTGCTCACAACCAGTCCTGGATGAGAGGGCTTCAGGCACTCAGGAGAACCAGTATCTAGACCACAGAGCAGCAGGGAGAGTGTGGCCACCTAAAGATGTGAAGGCACCGTAAAGACCCACTTGAATCTTTGCTCACCTCAACGCCATCCAACAATTGAAGCCTGGGCAAAGTGAAACACCCATCTCCTGATTCAGTCTCTTGGCTCTTGGTGAGCCAATGCTCACCTCTTGGCTTGAAGTCAGAGTGAGGGGTGTCAATAGGACTCCCTTATGTCCCACTTTCCCCACATTTCAGTTCCTGGCCCTGGACCCCACTCTCCACTTGACTCCATCCCAGATAGCTGATGCTGGTTCTCCCACATCTCCCCTATCAGGCAGCCAATGCTGTTGCCTAATTTAGCACAGAGTAAATTTATTTTGCCTTTATACTTTTACAATATGTTTAAAAAATGTGGACTCTGTTTCTCAGTTCAAATGTGATAATTGATTATGTCACGTTGAAAGATCAGTTATCTGTGATCTCCTGAAATAGACATATTAATGTTTGAAATTTCTGAAATGATAACACATTTCAAATAGCTTTTTAAAAAGATTACCATTCAGTTGCATGTCCCTGAACTCCTGTGGCAGACAATTCTACCATTTTTCATTTTCTTCCTTTTGCTATGAGGTGGCACTACGTGACCTAGATTTGACCAATGGAATAAGGGTGAAGCTTATATATCAGAATTTCTGGCCTGGCCCCCGGAATCCCATGATCTGCTCTCTGCTTGTTCATGATTTAGCAGATTGAAGAGAATCTGGAGAACTGCAACTCCCTGGAGTCCATCGAGTCAGCAGATGGGGGACTTCTGAGTCCCCACTTCAACAAATGTGATACAATGGACGAAGTATCACTTCTCCACCATTATGGACTGACGTTGTATACAAATATGAACGAGAAGTAGATCTTGCTCCATTAAGCTTCTGAAATGTTAGCATGATTTGTTACAGCAGTGGGCCTTTATTGAAGAATCCTAGCCCATTTCTAGAAATTCCCGTCCTGACTCTGATCCGCTGCACAAAACTCACAAGTTCTCTTGTCCCTAAGGCTATTTCTTTGTGGCTTTATGGTCTTGACCTTCCCTAGCCTCACTGAGCTGTTGCCTGAGCCCCAGCTTTGACAAGAAGTAGCTATCTGTAATATCTTTATATAAATAGCCGGGGCTGAAAGAAAGACTGTGGGAAAAGAGAAAATTCTCCTCCCATACTCATCACTTCCCTCCTCTTACACCCCTGGTTTTAAGTGCCCATATTTTCTAGGTCTGAAATCTCTGTACATCTCTCCATAGAAACCTGATGATTTGTGGAATTATTGTTTAATTTCCTATTCTTTCATAAAAATTTGAGTTCATGCAGTTAGGTAAATATTTATTAAGAATTATCTGCCAAGTGTTCAGGTACTATATTTTTAATTTACTTTAAAAATAATGTACTTTATAAGAACAGACACAGTTTTATTTGAAGAGGTTAAAGAAATCGGGGCAAAAGAAGAAGGCAGAAGAAAGCTCACCTGCAAAATACACACAGTATGACCTGATGAACATGTGAGAGGTAGTCCACAAATTTGACAGTAATACATTTACTTCTTGAAAATAATGTAATTCAAAATCAAAATATTTGGGGATATTTTTGATATTCCATATTTTGTCCTTTCAGGTATTGGAGGTCCGCTTAAATGTGTTTTTCCATTCTGAATGGATATTGAAAAGCTCTCGAAAGCACAGATGCCTGGGCCACCACCAGCTCCTTAAGTCAGAATCTCTAAGGCAGGACAATTTAAAAGCCTTTAGTGATTTTTATGTATACCCAGGGTTGAGAATCACTGTTTTTCTAAGCATCTCCAAATACTGTACGAATTGGCATAAAAATCTCAAATATATTCATATTATGTCAATTAAAAATTATTTCAAAACTAAATATATTCAAGTCAAATATGACACATACACACATACACACACACTCTCATGTGTGTTGAATCAACTGTCACAAAAATCCCATGAAACCTCAACTAGAAATTACACAAAGGGGATAAGGATGATAGCCACCCCTCAGACTGTGAAAATTAATGAGATAATGGGTATAAAGTAAATATCAAACTATCCAATAAATGTCTATTGTTATTGTTGAAATAATAATTAGCAATTAAATATTAATTGACCTTCTTTGACCCCTGAACTCCTGCAGGTCATTTTCAAAACGGCAGCCAGAGTGATCTTTTTAAAATGTAAGCCAGATAATGTCATTCTACTCAAAACTATCCAAGGCCTTTTCATCTCGCATGGAATTAAAATCAGGGTTCTTACCAGGGCCTACAAAGAGCAGTAGGATATGCGCTGTCCTTTCTGATACACTCTCCACTGCAGCCTCCATAGTTCACTTTGCTCAGAGGGACAAGTTCTCGTGTTTCCTTGGACAGGCTGGACATTCCCCACCTTGGGGGCTTTGCACTTGGTTTTTCCTCAGCCTTCAAGGCTCATCCCACAGATATTCGCCTTCTCCTTCTTTATCTTCTGTAAGTCTTGGTCTAAACACTCTCTCCAGAGAGGAGGCTTCCCTCAACACTCCAGCCCCACCTAGGCCTCTTCTTTGCTCTATTTTTCTCCTCCACACATAAAATGGCTTGATAAAAATATATTTGTTTATTTCTTTAGTTATTTTTTCACCTCCCTTTCTCACTCTATTTTTTCTCTACAGTACTTGTAACTGTCTGATAAACTATGCATCCTATATATTCATTTTATTTAGAGTGAGTTCCATAAGAATGCTTATCTTCTCATTTACAACTGTACCTCCAGTAATAAAAAATTGCCAAGCACAAAGTAGGTCTTCAGTAAATATTGAAGTAAGAATTAGCTGTTCATCACAGAAATAAATAAAATTATCTCTGTGGCTGGTCTGATGGATAATTAGGCATTTGTTCTGCAACTTGAGGTGTAATCTTCAAGTTGTGATCCCGTGAAACATGTCGCAGAGCTCCTTACTAATCACAATCTGTGACTCCAACAGTTAAAGCCTGTGAGAACATGGGCACATTAATTAACTCTCTAATCCTATTTTCTGATTTTGAAGTGGAGATAAATCCACTTTATGATATGAGAGTTAAATGAGGTTGACATTTAATTTCTAGAACTCCTCATCTGAGTTTTGTGGTTGCTGTTGTTCTTTCAGGCCAGGGGATGTGGCTCCATCGCATGGAAGATGAGAACTGTGCCTTTGTATCTGGTAATTTGCTTATTTTATGGAGTTATCTTTCTCCATTCATATCCCTTGCTAGTGAAGTATGAATGATGACTTGACAGAAATATGTGAGAAGCTCCTGGCGATGAAGGAATTGGTTTAGATCGTGTTTAGGGAGGTTTCCTTCCTGCCCTGACAGGCTATGGCTCTTTCATTCACACCCTAGTGTTTCTATCTATCAGAACATCGGCAGACACCTCAGTTGGTAGAAGGGTTTGAAACGAAAAAAGAAAAGTAAATGTAAAAGGCAATTTTCCTTTTATCATATCCCTGTCCCCAAGGATTCTTGATTTATGAGTAGGTTTTACAAATCTCCATAATGCACAACTTAATAACTCTTTTGTGTTCTCTTGGCAAAAGGTTGCATAAAGAGGGTTAAATGACCAGCCATCTTCCAGTCCTTGGTGGCTATAAAATCCAAGGTATAAAAATAAAGCACAATGAAATAGTGTAAATAATAGGATGACATTTAGAAAAAAAGGAACTTGGGGAATAATAACTGGAAAAAACTTCCTTATGTTTTAGATCAGTTGGATGATGAAATAGTCTCTGAGGGAAATGGTGGGAGCCTTCAAGCTTGAGATATTTTGAAATCTGGTTGTACTGAGCCCCAAAGGTCAATACTACAGGATCATTTGTTTTGTTATGTTTTGTTTGTTTTGTTTTTAAAGAGAAGGCAGCAACATAAGTTAATAGGTATTTTTCACCCTAATGCCAATTTATTGAATCAGAACTTGAGACTGTGTCCCTTACTCAAGTAACATATTCATTTTTTAACCAAATGGCAATAGTCCCAGGGGTGGTTCATGTAGCCACATATGGTGGTTATTTCTGGAAACTTTCTCCATAAGTATATTGACACAGTTCCTTTCTTCCTCCCTCCCTCCCGCTCTTCCTTCCTTTCTTTCCTTCCTTCCTCCCTTCCCTTCTCTTCTTTTCCTCTTCTTCCCTCTGTCTCTTCTCTTCTTGCCCATCTATTTTGTTCTGTTTTGTTGTTTATTTCCAGAAACATATGAAAGGTTCAACAAACATCTTTTCCCTCATCCATCATCAACTCTTAAAGCATGTCAGATCTTAGACAGAGCCCCAACTGCAAGTGACTATATCCAAGTGCTCAGAAATGTCCTATATGATAAAGAAATACACAAAAGAAGTGGGAAGGTATAATTAAATAGCTAACAGAAAGTGGCTGTAAATCAATGAATTTATCACAGTAGTCTTTGCACTCAGATATATCATCTTTAAATATCAGCGATGTCTAAACAACACTTGAAGTCAATGGTAGTGGAAATTCAATAGAGATAAGCACAAAGTCTTCCCCAGTTCATAATTTTCCAAAATATCGCTCAACATATTTCAAATCTGTTATGTAATTTCTTTACTTTCCACTTGGCTTTGCTGTACACCAATTCAAAAAGCCATCTCTTCCTGCTTCTATTATACTGCCTTGCCCTGAAATGCATTTGGACGCAACTGAACCACAACGGTTCCCGCAGTAAAGGAGTGAGCAGAGGCAAGAGTAATCTTATGTAACAGTTACATAGGAAACAGCTGGGGAAGTGAGAGATCGGTACAGCCAAGGCCAGCCACAGGAAAGAAACACCCAAGCATCAATCATCATGTTCAGAAAATGACAATATTTAATTCTACCAGGAAAAAAAAAAAAAAAACTGAGGTGGTGAGGGAGCAGAGAATGGGTGAATGTCTGTCCAGGCTGTTAGACAAACATAGACTCTGGATTTATTTTGAATTTAGATAAATAATCCCTGCATCCTCAGCAGGAATTTTGTTCTGGGAAGTTTGTACTTCTGTTTACGTGCCTGCCCTGGGTCTCAGTGTGGGAGCAGGCAAATGGTTAGTGCCTGGCTTAAAGTTTACAGTGGAAAGCACTTCATCAACAAAGTGTATACATTCATTCAGCCACCCAAAAATGCAACATATATTTCTCTGGATTTTTAATTTCCAGTATCTATCAGATAAATATATGTATATTTACATTTATATATATATATGTATATATTTAAAATAAATATATTGTATATAAAAAATATATATATATATTATTTTTTCTTGCCCTCTCCAAGTTCTTAACCACTTTAATTAACTTACTAGCTCTCCCACATGATATGAGACATGATTCACCTTCTACTGGATATGAGCCTACATGAAATTCAAATAGAGAAACGTCCTTACTGTCTAAACCTGAAACCACAGGGAGAAAGAAAATAGAAAACTTTTCACATAAGACAGGTAATTTTCTTAACAACTACAGATTAATATATTTTTTGCTGTAAATTTTATAGGACATTCTGTAGCCCAATTGCAAGAGCAAATTTTTCACAATGTATGTGTAGGTTTCTACCTTCAGTTTTAGAGAATATTTAGTGAAATCAGAGATTTGTTTTATTTATTTGAATATCTTTATTGTCTGCAGTTTTATTACTTTTGGAAAAAAAGAGGAAAAATCCAGCCTCTTCTGGTTTGCAATCTAAGCTCCATTTTTTTCAGGCTATTTTAAAGAGACTTCCATTATGAAATCCATTCTCTAACATCTGCAAGACTTGTCTTTTTCTGGAAGAAGAGTGGTTATAGTAATTGAGTAATAGGGAGTGAGATATGTCTCAGCATTCTGCACATTTTATTAATCACCAAGTGGTAAATAGTAAGCCTCTGCCCTCTATTTATAGTATAATTGGATGTATTTCATGACACTGGCTACACATCTGGTCAAACTGTAAAGCACACTTGCAGCCACCTTCTCTTTTTGAACTCCTAATGTATCACAGACTACAGAAAGATGTCTGCAGATAATAACAGAAACACAAAGTAATGAAAACCTTCATGAAGGACACTTCCATGGATTGCCAGAGCATGTGTCAATCTATGAGAAACTTTGATGGATTCAGCGACCTTCTTGAATTAAACAACACAATAAAAGGTTTTAATGGTAATGTAAATTAAAAATGCAATGTTAAGTAAGGCCTTAGGGATCTTGGTGAGCAGAACTGTTGAGATGGTGTTCGCAACGGAGTCTAATTCTTTGCACAATCATACATTCACACACATCGGTATACAAACTCCTGAGTTCCCACATGTGGATTCACAATTTGTAAAAGATTCTGTTTTTCATTAGGCTGGGAAGAAATGTGTTCCACATTTCTTTAGGATTTGAATTCTTTATAGGGAGAGGGTGGAAAAAGGAATCTATCTGAATATTGGACTTCAAAAACATAAGAACCAAATAAAGAGATCTGCACTCCAGAGTATAACTAATTCCAAATTACTTTGCCCAGTGATTTTAAGAAGTGAGATTAAATGTAATAATGCCTACTTTCCCCAGGATTTGAGTTTTCTGGACAGCATTTACCAAATGGGACTGGTAGAGGGTGTAATAGTGCTAATAGAAATGGTACCATTCTTACCTTCCCTATTAGATCTTCAGTTAGATATTGGCAGCCCCATGGTGTTTGTGTTTACTAATCAATGCTAGTGGTTCCAGGAAGCATTTCACAGTATTAATGAATTACAGGCTTAATAAACCTGTTTTCCCCAATTTCATGACTTTCTAGGTCAGAAATTCTCAAATATTAATGTACCAAAGAGTCTCCTAAGTAGCTTGTGAAAAGTACAGATCCAAGCCATGCCCAAAGATGGAGTCTACATCTCAGTCTCAGATTCTGCGAGATATCCGTAGGGTATTCTGAGATACCCTACGGATAATCCAGATGCAAATGATCTCTAAAGTTCACTTTTAATAAATGCTGTTCCAGAGATATTTCCCTACTTCATCTTCTGTCTTCTCCAAAATCATAAAGCTATTGGGGGGAGAGGGTTCAGTAATTATGCTTATTCTTGATTGTTGGACAGTAAGTCACTTCAATAGCACTCCCTATAGCACCATCATATTTAGGGGCCTTAAAAAATAAGTTAGCCTTCAGTGAAACTCAATCAGTACTTAATCAATTACTCTACCCAAGGATGATTAGCATTCTTTTTGTTCTAAGACATAAATTAGATGGAGGATGAGAGTCATCAGTGAAATGGATGCCCTACTACCATAAAGTCATTTGGCATTATGTATTATAAGACATAAGTGTATTGTGATAAATTAATCCTATTATATTATTATATGACTATGTTATATTACTATTAATATGTCAAATAATTTGATATTCTTATGATAAAATGATATTCCTGCATGGTTGTATCAAATAGCTGTCAGATGAAAATTACGAGTTATTTATCTACTGTCACTAATCAATGATTTTACTATCAATAATTTGTGCTACTGGGAGATTTTATTGGAAACTATAACAAAAATAAGAGGTACTATCTATATGTTAAAAACTGATTTGATTGTATTATGCTTTTTTAGCTCTGATTACCTGAAAGTTATAAATACATTGAGTTTTTGCCCTAATTATCCAATAATTGTCTTATTTCAATATTTTATTCTGTAATTTAATATTCTGTTCCATCTATGTTCATGACTGTCACTCTCCAGAGCACATTTTTTTTCAATGAGTAAAATTACTAACAGAAAGGGGGGACTTAATTTAACAGGAAAAAAAATTATGCAAGAAAGGATTTATGGTCCTGCAGATGTTTCCAGCTGAAATACCAGCTGGCATTGTAGTTGTTTGTGTGGAGTGGAATCCCATAAGCCAATGAAAGGAGACAATCAGTTTTAGCTGACTCAAATTTTTTTATTTCCATTTTTCTAACACAGATGAATATGATGCAAATTGTTTGAAAATAAGAGCCTTACAGCTAAGTACATTACCATACTCTGTTGAAAACAAAAAAAAAAAACCTGGTGACGTGACAACTGTCTAGAAATACTGCCTTCTAAAGGTTGTTAAAATGTGGCGGGAACCCTGTTAGTTATTTTGACTTTTGCTGCTATTGCTGGTGCCACAAATGATGGGAATGCCTCAGTTTTATAATGTACTTTCCTTAAAGAGTTCAAAGGTCCTTACCAATAAAAGCCATTGGGGGCCAGGCACAGTGGCTCACGCCTGTAATCTCAGCACTCTGGGAGGCCAAGGCAAGTGGATCACCTGAGGTCAGGAGTTCGAGACCAGCCTGACCAATATGGTGAAACCCCGTCTCTACTAAAAATACAAAAAAAAAAAAAAAAAAAAAGTTAGCTGGGCATGGTGGCGCGTGCCTGTAGTCCCAGCTATTCAGGAGGCTGAGACAGGAGAATTGCTTGAACCCAGGAGGCGGAGGTTGCAGTGAGCCGAGATAGTGCCACTGCACACCTGCCTGGGCAACAGAGCAAGACTCCATCTCAGAAATAAATAAATAAATAAATAAATAAATAAATAAATAAATAAATGTTGTTGGGGAAAGTGTATACCACATCTTTTCTCATGTCCAGGCATCATGGGTGACATGGCACGGCAGACTTCCATGACATCAATCTAAAAATGACTGGAATATGGTATCCCACACTTGATGAGTGATGAAATGTTAACAACTCTAATAGCTCATATATACTCAGTGTTTATTATATGTCAGGCACTTTATGTTATCTAATTTTCACAAAGTTCTATGATCTATTGTTATATTAAACTCATTTTACAGATAAGGACACTGGGGACAGTTAAATTTTAAATAACTGACCAGAGGTTGTATGGTCAAGACCGTACCAGAGATTCACACTCAGGCCTGATCCTGAAACCTCTGTGCTCTTAACCACTTTGCAGTATTAAGTCCTTTGTTTCTTACATTTTATTAGGATATGTTCAAGACATATTGCAAACAATCAGAAAGTTGGAAGAGCAGAATGGCAGGTCCTTACATTGCTCAGTGTCAATATTAACATTCACTAGGCCAATAGACATTGCTGAGCATTTACTAAGTGCCAACTAGGAGCTCAGGATATGGATATAAGTGTTCAGAAAATAATATGACAAAGCTTAAACAAGGAATGCCCTATTATTTAGTCATTAAGAGAACAGAAGTAGACAGACAGGCAAGCTGCTAGGAAAACTCAGCTAAACCATACTAATTTTGCTTGAAACTGGAAGACAAAATTTGGTGAAGAATTGGTCTCTATGTGAAATACGCTGATCTGTGCCAAGAATCTGGTCTCTACCACATAGTTTCAAATGATCCCACTGAAGAGAAACTCATGATGGACATTGGGGAAATTTCTCAATGAAGACTTCTGTGTTCTCTGCCTCTTAAAAGTGAGTTGAAGGGAGTGAGGATGATGACATTTTGCAGGGTGATTTTTTTGCTCTCTCACTGTCAATACCCATTCTCATATCATTCTCTTTTAAATTAAGTAGATAAAATTTAGGCCATTTTGCTGCACACTTGAATGCATGTAGTGAGCCGAGACTCCATCAAAATGAAATCAGCCAAACACAGCAACAACAGTGCATGAGAGTGGAAGGTTGGGATGGATCGATATGCTTAGGAAAGCCTAGGAGACCTGCCTGAGCCACTCTCATTTCTGCAACACCTCCTGAATCACTGGAGGACTTGGGACATTCAGTGAGATCAAAACCTGCCTTTTAGCCTTTGGGCAATGTCATGCTCACAAGGCTTGAAAAGTAGACATAGATCTCCCTGCCAACAGCTGACAAGGGACTCAATCTTCCTCACAGCTGCTGTTGATCCATTGCATACAGTTTATGACAACATCTATGGGCAGGGGGAGGCTTTCCAATACATCTCCCATTGTCCAGAGCTGCTCCTGAAATCCGGCGCATGCAGAGCTGGGACTCATCTCACCATATTGTCTACTCATGAAATTATTAACAACAACCTCCTGTGGTTGGTGTTTGGCAGGGAGATCTTGTTTCACACGTGGCTGGCATATATTTGGCCAACAAACCCACAGTTCACCCCACAAATAGACAAGTGATCTCAATTATCCACTGGCTGAAAGTACAATATGTCTCAGAGCCTCCTCTCTAGCCCATGGTTGGTTGATCCATGGACAAGGGTCTTGCTAAAAAAGCAAAAACATAGGTGTCAAGTCTTGGCAAGATTCCAAACTAAGGTCATCAATGGCAAGGTTTTCTGTGAGAATACGGCTCTAACCAGTGCAAGATAGTTCAATAAGCTTGTGAAAACGTTATGTTAGGTTTGGAAGACAGACGAACGGAAGGCCGCAGTGTTCGTTATAGCATTGGTCTCTCAAACTCTCTCAGCATTTCTTTTTCAACATCTCATTAAAGTCTCTATTCAGGGACCACCTTGAATATGCAATGAAGAAACAAACAGAAAGCGTTTATATTTTTTCCAGATATGTTAGAAACCACTAGACACAGCAGGTAAAGGACTTGTTTTTCAACTGTTTTCAAATCTGTGGTCTCATTCCGCCTTGCTCCTAACAGCACCAAGAGGGACTGCTACAGTTCTGTATTTTATCTCACAAGATGAATCAAACGTCTCAGGCACCCGTCACCACTATTGTGAGGTTTTGAAAAGTGACACATTACTTTCCTAATTCAATTCATATGAAAACTTGCAGAGATAAAGTTTACCTAGTAGTTATATTAAATGAATGGAAAGCAGATAGCCCTGTGTACAAAATAGCATGCTGCTGCTGGTAAGAGTCAGCGGAAAGTTCTGACCCTCACTCACCACACACCTATCCCCAAGCTCCTGCTAATGTACATATTGCCAAATCTCAGCAACTTAATATAGTTAAATTCCCTATAATATAATAATTAAGTTCCTTGTAATGTATTTTTCTTTGTTTCTTCTTTAGTGCAAGTACCTAACCACCATTCTTTACACAATATAGTTAGGACAACCTGGAATAAAGCTTGAAGGCCCCACTGAATTAAGCAAATGTAAAGCAAATTGATGCTCAATGTCCTGGAAGAACAATGCACAAAGGCCTCCCACCTAGTTAGTTTGTATATTACCTTGGATACAGTCAGAAGACAGAAATCATATAGCAATTTGCACTGCGAATTTTAGCAAAGTATTAACTGGTAGTAGAAGATTAGCTACTAAGAAAGGAAGAAGGAAAATTCTGAAGAATATTCTAAGGCTGAGGTAGAGCACCCCCTCCCCAGGAAGGAACAAACTAGGAAGGAGAATCCCATCTCCGAGGCTGGGTTTCAGAGCCTGTTTTTGAGGGTGTGGCCAAAGCCTGTGGGATGGGGGGAAAGTTTGCTGGGGTGTTCCAGACCAGAGGTGATGCCAGTTGCCAGGCCAACTGTAGTGGGTAGAAAACAACAAGCAGGAAATAATCTCCTGAGTTGGCAGCTGGCTGGTGCTTGTGGGCAGGGAATCATTGGCCTGGGTCTGGCAACTTGAACGTGCCCCACACGGCTGGCCATGGAGAAGGCTGAGAACAGACACTCCCGCAACACTCTCCAGTGGAAAAGTAGAAACATTGACATGATCCAGCTCCAGCATCACAAGCTGTCAATGAAGGTGGATTTGATGACTGTTGAGAAACAATAATCTGACAACTGGCATTGTTGGAGTTTTGTGTTTGTTTACTTGCCTGTTGTTTGCTTGTTTTGGACGAGTTGGAAAATACTACCTGGCCCCTCCATACACACTGCTTAGATCTGGAGGATAAAATGAACTAGTTAGCAAAAAGAGGCTGAGGTTTTCCAGACAGGAAAGCATAGTATCATTTCTCATAATTACAGTCTAGGCAGACCTGTCACAACAGACCAGGTCACACCTGAGGGGCTGTGGCCAAAGCCCAGGGGCAGGCAGGACATTGAAGTTTGGGGATTAAATTTACATCGATAAAGGTGGGTGTTGAGTCTTTGTACCAGGCTGGGTCTAGATGTCTATGTCTTTGAGGGGGCTTTCAAGTTTCTTTGGTGTGTGGCTGATACTGGAAACGTTTCTAGTCCCTGCCTCAACATCAATAAATCCATCTTGAAGAATAAAGGCTGAGCATGGTGACTGTGAACTACAGAGAGCTATAACCCTGAGCACAAGTTTGAGCCCCGTGAATGCCCTGCAATATATGTGAGTCAGTAAGTGCACCCTGGGGAAGGTGCCATATCTTCAATGCAGACACTATGCATTGTGAGGACGGAGCTGGCTTGACCGTTCTGTCTACATCTGCCACCAGAAGCAGGTACCTACCCTCATCCCAGCAGGCATGAACCCCGACTCCAGCCTTAGGGAAGAGTAAGCCTCTCGGGTTCTTGAGACAGGAGAAGGCTTAAGAGAGAAGTAGTGGGATTTTTTAAATAAATACAACATATTTTTTATATTTTTAATAAGAAATAAATTTACAGAGAGAAAAATTAAAGTATTTCAAAAGAACATATTATAACAGGTGTTAATTCTACCCCTTCTCCAATCCACCCAGGTTCACTCTCAAGAAACTATTGTATTATTAGAGTTTTGGTAGTGCTTCCAAAGATATGGTATGCATTATAACTACACACACACATATGTATATTCTATATATAATCTATATATTATATACATATATATAATCTTATTCTGTTTCCACACAAATAGCATTCTACACACTGTTCTGTGCTTTGAGCTTTGATTTTTTTTAACTTTTCGAGTTATACTTTTACCAACAATGTATAAGCCATAGTTGCCTGTCTCCTCACACCTTATTAAATTTTGCTAGTCTAATAGATGAAAGATTGAATTTCAGTTCAATCTAGGTTTGAATTTTTACTTAATTTATTCCCTAAGTTTGAATTTTTACTTAATTTATTCAAACTAACACTTCGTATTTTTGGTTAGTTGAATATCCATTTATTTTTTTTTCTACTGTGACTTGTCTATTTAAATTACCTCCCATTTTCCCATTATGTTGCTTCTTGATTAAGAGATGCTATTCTTCTCTCAGTTCAGAGATCAAAATGTGTTTCTCTCATTTTTTCACTTGATTGGTAAGTTTATTTACTTATTTGTTTTGGTGATTTTTGTCATGCAGTGATTTTTAAAATGTATTTAAATGTATTAGTCTTTTTAGTTTTAATTCCCTAAAAAGGCCTTTGGAACCACAATATTACAATGTATTTCCATGGTTCATCTAATAATTTAGTATCTTACATTTAAATATTTAATACAGTTATGTATTTATTTTGGGTATAATTCATGAGGTAATATTCTAACTTTATTTTTCCCATATGAATACACAAGTCTTTTTATATAGTTGTACAAAAAAATTTCTCTTCCAGGCCAGGTGTGCTGTAATCCCAGCACTTTGGGAGGCCGAGGTGGGCAGATCACCTGAGGTCAGGAGTTCGAGATCAGCCTGGTCAACATGTTGAAACACATCTCTACCAAAAATACAAAAATTAGCCATGCATGGTGGTGGGTGCCTGTAATCCCAGCTACTGGGGAGGCTGAGGCAGGAGAATCACTTGAACCCCAGAGTCAGAGGTTGCAGTGAGCCAAGATCACGCCACTGCACTCCAGCCTGGGTGACAGAGCGAGGCTATGTCTAGAAAGAAAAAAAAAATCTCTTCCAAATCAAGTTTAATGATACTGTCTCAATGTTGACAGTCCTGAAAAAAATTGTGCTTTTTAAACCTTTGTTTAGTTTTTAAAATATGCTAGACTTCATTTTGAACTTTTTCCTGAAACTAATTATTTGAACTTTTTCTTGGACTCCTAATTACGTGTATGTTGAATCTGCTTTCTCTGCCTTCTCTAGATGTCATTTATCATTCATACTAAGATTATGTTAGTTTCATTTTACTGTATTTACTTACATCTACCATTCCTGTCTTCTGCCTTATTGGAAGTGACTTTTCTCCCCTGTGTGCCTTGTTTTTTCACACTAACTTCTGTGATGTTTACGTTTTTTAAATGTTTGTATTTTAAAAAAATGTTTGATACTCACATTTCACTTCTTTCTAGTGTGTAGTCATCTGACTCTTGTGTCATTACTTTGTATTCTTATATTATAGATTCAATTGCTTCATTATTCATTTTTTTAAAAAATTCATGAGAAATATTTGAAGATGATTTTGATCTATAGCCACGTATTTCTGTTGAACATTATAAATTCACCAGTTGCTCCATATTTTCTTTGTTTTATAATGGTATTTTATATACGTTGCACTGGTTCTTCTTAATTATTCATCTCTGAATTAAATAAGCTTTTGCCAAAACAGCTATTTCAGGGAGAGTTTTATGGTAGTAAGTCAGGATTACTTACATACCAGGAAGAATTTGTGTCCTGACCGTGGCATTGTGAGTGAGTTTTAATCCGTACTTCTCCCCAGCCAGTAAAATGTCCAGGCACAGGGCTGATTACAATGAGAGGCTTCTCATTTACCTCTGTCCTGAAGATGATACCAACTTCAACATTTTCAAATGAAAAGTCTCCTGGTGGTTTCTTGAGGAATTGATTGGAAATAAATAAAATAAATATAGTTGTAGTATGTCTTGTGTGAGTGTATAAGTCAGACTATAACTGATTCATAGGGTTTTGAAACAGGAATTTTATACTAAAATTGGTTAAAATATTCGTAACCAGCACAGTCACATTATCTCTGTAGACTATGAAATACAAATGTTATACCAGAACATTTAAGTGTTTCTTCTTTCCCTTACAGCATCCTAATTCACATAGCATTCTATCTTACAGTAGGAATAGTCAAGTCTCAATTATCTAACATACTCTTTAAAAAAAGGTGTGCTATTTTCCTCTTGGGATATATTCTTCCATTAACAGTCAATAAACCCATAGATTAATGGAGAGACAAGAGAGATGCTGACAAAAATAATGAAAGTTAGGCCCTTTATATTTTTAATTCACAAGCAAATATTTTCCATAATAGCCATAATCCATATCAAATAACTTTGATATCTAGGATTATTTTGTTTCTGGATGATACTAAACTAGACTTTGATCTGTATCATCCTTAATCACTACCATCACTGTCTCTGTCATCACTGTCTCTCCTATCCTTAATCACTTAATCACTCTATTTCCACTAGTTTTTAATTAATAGATGAGAACCTCTAAAGTCATGATGATTGTATCTCAAATACACTACATATTGTATAAATATATCTTGTATTAGTCTGTTCTCACACTGTTATAAAGAAATACCTGAGACTGGGTAATTTATATGGAAAAGAGGTTTAATTGGCTCACACTTCTTCAGGCTGTACAGGAAGCACAGCAGCTTCTGCTTCTGGGGAGGCCTCAAGAAACTTAAGAAACTTACAATCATGGCAGAAGGCAAAGCTGGAGCAGGTGACTCACATGGCTGGGGGAGGAGCAAGAGAGGGAGGAGGGATGTGCTACACACCTTTAAACAATCAGATCTTGTGAGCACTCACTATCATGAAAGGAGCACCAAGAAGATGGTGCTAACCTATTCATGAGAAACCACCCCCATGATCCAATCACCTCCCACCAGGCCCCACCTCCAACACTGGGTATTACAATTCAATGTGATATTTGGGCAGGTACACAGATCCAAACCATATCACATGTATGTATTTAATTGGGCTTTCAGAAGACAGTGGTGACACCTAAAGTAATGACCTCTGCAAAAGAAGATAGAGTAAATTTTGAGATTGATCTTTTTGGTGGACTAGGGGAGAAGGAAGGGCAGAAAGGATTATAGGGTAGTTCTCATTAAGCAACAGAATAACATTCAAGCAAAACAAGTCTTTACACTTAGAACCAATTTAAATTATCCAGTTCTTCACCCACACACATTAAGCTAGCTGATCTCAGGACTGAAAATAAAACAAAACTTTGTGTAACTCATAATATGTAATCCATAAAGCTCCCAGGAAACAGATTCTAGTGTCTTAAGGCATACTTCTCCAATACAATCATTCTGACACCATCACATTTATGAAATCAAACTCAGAGGAATGGGGGTGCTAGGGTTTAGATATGGTTTGCTTGGCCCCACCAGGTCTCATGTTGAAATCTGATCCCCAGTGTTGGAGGTAGGGCCTAATTGGAGGTGTTTGTTCTTGGGGATGAATCAGTCATGAATGGATTGATCCTATCCTTGCAGTAATGAGTGAGTTCTCACTCTTATTTCCTGAAAGAGTTTGCTCAAGAGCTGGTTGTTAAGAAGATCCTGGCACATTCTCCCCCTTTTGATTTTTCTCTTGCCATATAATCTGAACATGCCAGCTCCTCTTGCCCTTCTGCCATGAGTGGAAGCAGCCTGAGTCCCTCACAAGAAGCAGATGCTGGCACCATGCTTCTTGTGCAACCTGCAGAACTATGAGCTAAATAAACCTCTTTTCCTTTTGAATTAACAAGCCTGAGATATTCCTTTATAGAAACACAAATAAACAAATACAGGAGGTACAAACATAAAGGGGTAGCATGAAGGAGTTATTCTGTGGTGATAGAAGAATTCTGTATTTTGAATGTGATAATGATTATATGAATCTGTATATCGGACAAATTGCATAGAACTACATACATACACACATGCATGAATACATGTAAAAGTACTGAAAACTAAATAAGATCTATAGTCCAGTTAACAGCAATGTACCAATGTCAATTTCCTTGTTTGATGTTGTACTACCATTATAATATGATGTCATGCTTGGGGGAAGCTGGGTGAATGGTGCAGGGGTTCCTAGGTACTCTTTTGCACAACACTCTGAGTCTATAATTACTTTGAAAGTTTTTTTTTAAGCTAAGGAAAAGTTTCTTTCATTCAATAATCAACATCAACATTAACTTTCAACTGTTGACCTACATTACCACAGGGGTGAGCAGCTTGGGAGAAGAGGGCTCCTCAGTCTTGGTGCCAACGTGTTGTTTCTTGGCACCCCCACTGTTAATCTTGAGCAGACCTCCAGACCTACTCCAAATAAGCACACCAGTTGTGTAAAGCCAAGTATCCTGTTCAAGATCTTTTCTAGTCTTCATCCTTCCCTAGTTAGATCGCTACTTGAAACACTTTGGAAGCCACCATTAGATTGAGGGCTACTACTGGTAGTTCAGGGACCCAGATGGAAGAAGACACAGAGGTCAGCTGGAGAATTATAAGGTCTTCTTAATCTTATCCAATGTTTTTCAAGGATGGCAAATCAAATTCTGTCACTAACTTGGTTGTATTTATGTGACAAACGTTTAGTCAGTGCCTTCCCTGAAAGTCCTGAAACTTGTGAAAATGATTCCTGGTTGCCCAGTGCCTACAGGATAAATTCCACATCACTGAGTCGCTCACATAAACTCTTTCACAATATTTGCCCAACCTGCCTCTCTAGACCTATTTTTTTTCTTACTCCTTTCACCATCATTCTTCTTCAGGTTACCCTTACCCCAGAGGATATGATGCATTCTATATTCATCCACGTACATTTACTTGCAGTTTCACAAATATTGCACCACCCATTGTTCCTGCTAATCACTAAGTTTGGAATGTTCCCTCTGCCATTCCTGGAATATCCCTTGTCCCAACACACACATACATACACACACACACACACACATTCAAGCACAGAAAACACACACAAATCTTTTAGGGCCCAGTTCAAAAGTGGTTGCTTTGACATATTCCCTAACTAACCCCTGTGGTTTAGAATGGCCACTTCTTTCAGCTCCTCGCATTAGGAGGTGGAGACAGTTTTCCCCATTCTTGATTCTGGAATGGCCCAGTTAATTGTTCTCACCAGTTGAATGCAGTAGAGGTGGCACTGTGTGACTGTCCAGTCTCACTCAAGAGGCCTTGCAGTTTTTGTTCTCACTCTCTTGGAAAGCTGCTGCCCCCATATTAAAAACCTGGGTCAATATGCTGGAAAAGCCACATGGAAGAGAGCCAAGACACTCAGCTGCAAATTCGATGTTACTGCCAAGTATGTGAAGGAAACTTTCTTGGATCCTCTGGCTGCAGCCAAAACACCATGAGTAATCCCAAGAGATGCCAACAGAAGAGCTGTGTGGCTGAGCCCAGATCCCAGAGCAAAATCATGAACAATACCTTTTGTTTGAAGGTTCTTTTTTGGAATGATTTGTTACACCGTACTAGACAATTGATACAGCCTCGCCCCAACTCCAACCTCAAAAAACTAGTCATTCGGAATTCTGAAAGACCACAGCACTCTATGTCTACTTCTATTATAGATTCATATTTGACCATAATTATTTATTTCAACATTTCTCTGCACTACCAGACTTTGAGTTCCCTGGAACTAAAAATA
The DNA here is from genome assembly GCF_000001405.40 of Homo sapiens. Lineage (NCBI taxonomy): Eukaryota > Metazoa > Chordata > Mammalia > Primates > Hominidae > Homo > Homo sapiens. Next base: position 128,208,910 of record NC_000011.10, read on the forward strand.
TTGCTTGGACCTCACGCTGTACCTGAATACCTGGTAAGCACTAAAGTAGTAATTGGCAAAGCAATGAAAAGCTAAAGAACTGGCCTTACTCAGGTTGATCCTGTCTGAGTGTGTTCGTCAAACCACAGGCAGAAGGAACTTTCACTTCATACACTGGAAAGAATAGTGAACCTCATGCCTCAGTGGTGTGGCTCACCTGAGGTTAAGTTTAGCAGCAGTAGTAGACTGGAACTTTTTAGAATGCTAAGATTCAACAGCCTCAGATGAACAGTATTTTACTAGCTCTGCCAATCTAAAAGCCTAGGGAACTCTTTGCTTGCAAATAAAAGAATATAATTCCAAGCAAAATCCTGTAAGACTTGGCTTTGAGTCAAAATTATAAAAATAAAAACATTTGATTTTTACAATTCCTCTCTAGAGTTTTGTCCAGCATTATCCAGATGAAGTTGAATTATTCAATATACCCTATAGTTATTTACATATAACTGGTGACATGGCTGAAAAAAGGAGGATCTTATCAATTGTCTTCAGATAATAATTTCTCCAGTTTAGAACCATATTTTGCCTATATGTTAGCTGGACGAGTCCAACTATTGAATCATTAAGTAATCCATTTCTAAGCATGGATATTAAGTTACTTTTTTACATTTAGTTAAGGTTGCATTATTGCATTTAGTACTATTTTCATCTTATGTGTTACTGTTAATATTATGTTATCTTTAATCACTAGATGAAGTTGGAAGGCAAAAAATGAGTAAGGGGCTTGGAAGAAGAAATTTTCAATTCTTGTTTTGCTTTGTCAGTGACTTGCTCCTTGTCCCTTTTCGTCTTAAATATTTGTCCCTAGTTTCATTACTGGCAATGCCTTTTAATGAAAAAAGAAATGTTTTAATTAACCACAATAGTATTTGTTTATGTTAACTTAAAAATTACAGCATTTGCAAATTTTTAACTATAACCAAAATCAACAGCTAGCCTAATTTTAAAAAAGACTTTAGAATGCCTTGATATCTATTGGAACATTACATATTTGTGATCCATTTTACTTTCTACTGTTGAACAGCAGATCCTTCTGGTTCAAGAAAGGCTACGACTCCTTATTAAGTTGCTGTAGTATTGGCAAAATACAAACCAAACTCTATATTAGTGACCCTGTATTTATTTGTAAGAAAATTTAATCCATATGATTTTGAGTCATTGTCACTTACAGTAATACAAGCAAATCATGCTGCGTAAGTGCTACTTGATTTCCAAGATGCCTTTTGAACCACCTTTTGAGGTGGTCTTTTTTATTTAGGACAAGAAGGTTTATTTTTACTGGTTGAAAAAAGGCTCAAGTTTGAGTAAAAATATGGGCATTCATCAAAACAGAGGATGAAAAACAGACTTCTTCAGACAAGTAACAGCGTAAGTGTTGAGGAGTGTTCTAGACAGATAGACTGACTCAGCTGTGACATGTACACTTTCTGGGCAAAGATTAACCCTCCTGCCAGCATAAGCCGACAGTAATAAGCAAGTCAACTTTTCTTTTCCACATTGTCCAATGTAGACAACTGGTGACTGAATTAAAAATGCAAATCAAATTATTGTAAAGTGAATGTGTGTTGATTTTGTAACATTTATTTAGGTGGGAGAGCCAGGGTTTGAATCAGTCTTGTGTTGTCTGTTGAACTGGGTGCTGAATGGAATCCACCTAAACTGGCTCGTCCTCAAACTTCATACCAGAGCAATGAATCACCTTCAAAGCTAACTCAGGGAGCATATTGGCTCCAAAGACCATTAACCCTGGGAACTCCCCAACTGAAAGGTGGGACTGGAGAGATTTAGAACTGCTGGCTTGGAGTTGTGAGTCATGGTTGAATGCCAACAACCTGGCATAAATCACAGAAGCACTTGAATTTCACATTCATTACTTACAACAGTGTGGAAATTGCTCAACATTTATGGCAGACATGCATTCCACAGATATAAAAATAAAACTTTATTAGAAAACTTGATATTAAATTTAGACACTGAGAATTAAATTCCAGGAGAGCCAATCTTTATCAAATCATAAATAAGAAATAGAGTGGTTCCATTGTTTAACTTTTCTTTTTCATAATCTATATGGCTAAAAATCTTAATCAAAAGACATGACATTTAGAGACAAAAAAACATAGATTTAAGATCCTACTCTGCTGATCACTAGTTAATTGATGTTGGGAAATCACAAAACTCTCTATTGTAGCTTTAGTTTTTTCAGCCTAATGTGCATCATAGGGTTAACATCGAGATCCAATGAGGTACTATGTCTAGCAACCTTTTAGAGACATTAATTTAGAGTCATTCATTTATTCTTTGGATTATATGTGCAAAATTGAGAAAAAGGCGTAAGCACAAAATTTCATGTGACTAAAACTCAGGAATCTCTGAATATTTTTAATCTCTGTAGGAAAATGTTGTAAGATCTATAACACTGTATTTCAATCTGTTTCTAGGCATTAAGAACTTATTTGCCTCATAACCCAAATTCCTGCTCCCCAATAAAAAATGAGTAACATCAGGGTATAAAATGCCAGCTGGAAGAGTATTCGCAACCATATACAATGAAGAGTCACACTTCCAAGAAGAAAGCCGATGTCCCACTTCAGCATCAAATCTAAGACACTGCATTTCACTTTTTCTGTACAAATATCATAATCTGTTTGTTAATCTCTTGGTTTTATTTCAAAAATGAAACTATATTTAGAGAGGGAACAAATTCTACCAGTTGCTGTTGGAAGCAAAAGATCTTTTTCATTCTTGGATGCTTTATATTTGGACAGAGAAAGGTACATATTTGAACCATATGTGAATTCAAGTCTAATGTATTAGTTTGATTGTGCCAGAGTTCCTAGAGGGCTCCAGAAACCAAAGGATGTGGCTGTTCACCCTAATTTTGGAGAATTGAATGCCTTTGCTCACAGTAGGAATCCAGAATAGAACGTAGCAACTTCTGTTCCTCATGATTTTGTATACTCCATCCATAATCATCTGTCCTCATTCCAGACGCTAGCTTGGTTTACCGTATGGTAGCAAAATCAGTCAGTTTTCATTTTCTCGGGGAGAGAGGAGACTACTGGCAGGAGGAAGAGGAAGGCAGAGTAGAATGACAAAATTGTGTGTGTGAAACATGGCTGCTCAGCCCAGTACTAGCAATAGCAATCATTTTGCTATCTTTCTTCCATGTCTATTAAGTGAGAGTTTGGCCTGGTTGATTTCTAAGATTTTTTCTATGTCCAACAGTGAGCAATCTTATCAAATTCTTGAACTAGGCCACCACAGATGACTACAATCATTTGGCTCATATAAAGATGAATTAATGCAAAAAATGCTTGCATAAATGAAGGTATGGCACAAAAGAAATATAAATGGAGGTAAAGAGAGCTATACCATTTTAATGCAATCATGATTTTGACTTCAGTACACTCTGGAATATACCAATCAAATTACAACATCTTCTCCCTAAGGCAGGCATTTCAGTAGTGGACATAAGAGAACTAGTGTATCAGTCAGGATCCTCCATAGAAAAAGAACCAAGAGAATATGTCAATCCACCCTTGTTTGTTTGATTGATTGAGTAGTTGCCTCATCCCAGTTGTCAGGACTGTCAAGTCTGAAACCCATATGTCAGGCTCACAGTGTGGAAACTCTGGTAGGATTTGATGCTACAGATTTGATGCTAGGGCCTTGAGACAGAATTCCTCCTCCAGGGTATCCCTTAGACTGTCCTTCAACAGACGAATGGTTCAGCTTACTGTGCTGTTCAGCTTTCAATTGATTGGATGACATTCGTCCACATTATCATGGGTAATACCTTTTACTTAAAGACAACTGCATCAGCAAAATAACTTCACAGTAACACCCAGACTAGCGTTTGATTAAATAACCTGCTTTTTAGCTGAGTTAACCAGAAGACTAACCATAACAACTAGTATAGTGTTGAGTTAAAGAATATTCCCTTTTCAATAAAACATTAGGGATTCCGCAAAATAGAGTTAATGCTCTGAAATTTGTCAGCGTTTGTAACAGATTTTACATTTCTGCCAGTCCATGTCAATATTTTCTTCATGCGTCTAGTTTCCAGTTTATTTAGTTAAAGATGCCCAAACCACTTGGTGATTGAGCAAATGACTTTGTTTCCAATGGCATTATGTATAGGAATATTTTAATAGGAACTTGTTCACAAGTCTACATTTATGCACATTTTTGAATGTTAAAAAATTTACAGAATTTTTTAAATCAATGGGCATAACCATGTAGAATCTTAGAACTGCATGGGCCTTCAAGATTATGTCGCTCTACTTTTCACTCAATGCCACAATATCTTCTTCCTTAATGTTGAAATTTTTAGTAGAATATTCCTGATGATGGGTAGATTACTACTTCAAATATCAGTGGATTCTCAGTTCTAAATAGCTCATTATTGGAAAGATCTTTCACGAGATGGCCTGTGTCTATCAACCTGATAGTTCCAGCCACTGACCATCTCTCTGCTCTGTAAAGACATGTATGATAATCTATCATTTCTATAAATCCAATCCTAGTTTCACATATGATCTCTAAAATATTTGTAAACAGCTCCCTGCTTTCTTCACCATGCCTCAGGTGGCACTATAAATTGCTTTCACTATCTCCCTAATCCCCACTATGCTCTAAAAATAAAAAAAAGGAGTATTAATTCATCAGATGTTTATTGAGTTGAATCTATATGTAAGATGCTAGATGAAGTTTTGGCATTGTGCCATTTATCTAAAAAACTCAGACAAAGGCATTTTTAGTCAATGTAATAAAGCCTTAAAATGAATTTAAGGCCAAGATATAGGTATCCATACTTTTAGAATAACTAAATCTTGGTTATTCCTTCACAACAAAAAAGGCAAAAGCCATGTTAATAAATGGATAATACGTTTTTATGCAAACTAGATACACACCATTGGAAGGAAATAGCAATGTTGGTGAACTATGTTTGAGTTTAGGAATTTAGTAGGAAATCAGATAACTTCTGAAGATAACCATTTTCTTTTCCTTTTCTTCTTCATCAATCCAAACAGAATCAGAATCCATCCTTCTTTTTCCTAACCGGAATTTGAGAGACATGAGAAGGGAACTAAACACACAGGCTTCAGGATCTGGTGGAAAGAGATAAGGTGTCTCAACGACTGTTGGGTAAGGATGGGGTGTCAGGGACATCTGAACGAAGAAAGAGTTTAAAGGAGAGGCCTGTGGAGAGGCACAAATGTGTCCGAGATTGGTGGGTTCTTGGTCTCACTGACTTCAAGAATGAAGCCGTGGACCCCTGCCGTGAGTGTTACAGTTCTTAAACATGGTGTGTCAGGAGTTTGTTCCTTCTGAAGTTCAGACGTGTTCAAGAGTTTCTTCCTTCTGGTGGGTTCTTGGTCTCGCTAGCTTCAGGAGTGAAGCTGCAGACCTTTGCGGTATTACAGCTCTTAAGACAGGGCATCTGGAGTTGTTCACTCCTCCCGGTGGGTTCGTGGTCTCACTGGCCTCAGGAATGAAGCTGCAGACCTTCGTGGTGAGTGTTACAGCTCGTTAAAAGCAGTGGGGACCCAAAGAGTGAGCAGCCACAACATTTATCAGAAAGAGTGAAACAACAAAGACTGGGTTGCCACTGCAGGCTCGGGCAGCCTGCGTTTATTCCTTTATCTGACTCCACCCACATCCTGCTGATTGGCCCATTTTACAGAGAACTGATTGGTCCATTTTACAGAGAGCTGATTGGCCCGTTCTGACAGGTAACTGATTGGTGCATTTACAATCCCTGAGCTAGACACAGAGTGCTGATTGCTGCATTTACAATCCTCCAGCTAGACCGTAAAAGTTCTCCAAGTCCCCACCAGATTAGCTAGACACAGAGCACTGATTGGTGTGTTTACAAACCTTTAGCTAGATACAGAGTGCTGATTGGTGCATTTACAAACCTTGAGCTAGACACTGAGTGCTGATTCGTGCATTTACAAACCTTGAGCTAGACACAGGGTGCTGATTGGTGCGTTTACAAACTTTGAGCTAGACACAGAGTGCTGATTGGTGTGTTTACAAACCTTGAGCTAGACACAGAATGCTGATTGGTGTATTTACAATCCTTTAGCTAGACATAAAAGTTCTCCAAGTCCCCACCAGATTAGCTAGATACAGAGTGCTGACTGGTGCATCCACGAACCCGGAGCTAGACACAGAGTGCTGATTGGTGCATATACAATCCTCCAGCTAGACAAAAAAGTTCTCCATGTCCCCACCCAACTCAGGAACCTAGCTGGCTTCGCCTAGTGGATCCGGTGCCAGGGCCACGGGTGGAGCTGCCTGCCAGTCCCATGTTGTGCACCTGCACTTCTCAGCCCTTGGGTGATCAATGGGACCGGGAGCCTAGAAGGAGTGGGCGGCACCCGTCAGGGAGGCTCAGGCTGCACTGGAGCGCACCACGGGGGGACTTGGGCATGGCAGGCTGCAGGTCCTGAGCCCTGCCCCATGGAGAGGCAGCTGAGGCCTGGCAAGAATTTGAGCACGACATGGGTGGGCCAGCAGTGCTGGGGGGACTCGGCACCCCCTCTGCAGCTGCTGGCCCGGGTGCTAAGCCCCTCATTGCCCAGGGCCGGCGGCGCCAGCCGTTGCCTCTAAGCAGGGCCTGCCGAGCCCACGCCCACCTGGAACTCGCCCTGGCCCACGAGTGCCATGCTGCAGCCCAGGTTCCCGCCCACGCCTCTCCTTCTACACCTCCCCGCAAGCAGAGGGAGCAGGCTCCAGCCTTGGCCAGCCCAGAGAGGGGCTCCCACAGTGCACTGGCGGGCTGAAGGGCTCCTCAAGCGTGGCCAGAGCGGATGCCCAGGCCGAGGAGGCGCTGAGAGCGAGTGTGGGCCGCCAGCATGTTGTCACCTCTCACAAGGATTAAAGTGAAGAGTGCTTAAAATCTTCTGGAACACCTTCCCTTCCCCGTAACTGCTTAAATATCTCAGTAATATTTTATAATTACTGAAGATATTTCCACAAATGGAAACATTTCCTTAGATGTGTTTGTTCAACCTAAATCAATATGGTGGTTAAAACCTGTATATGAATGTTTAGAGCAGCTCTATCCATAATGTCCAAGTACTAGAGCAAACCAGATGTCCTTCAACAGATGAATGCTTCAGCCAACTGTGCTGTATCCATAGCACGAAACACTCACTACCCAGTGATTTAAAAAAAAAAAAAATACCAAACTACCGATACATGCAAAAATTTGTATCCAAGGAATTAGGCTGAGTGAAAGAAAAAAAAAAAAGCCAGCCCTGAAGGCCTACATACTATTTGATTTCATTTATACAACATTCTTTAGGTGACATAATTAGAGAAATGGAAAATGGATTGGTGATTTTTAAAGACTGAGGGAGGTGGTAGGAAACTGTGGCTACGAAACAGCAATACAGGACCTTTGTGATGGCAGAACTCTTCTATCTCTTGCCCATATCAATGTCAATATCCTGGTGTAATATTATACAATGGTTTTGCAACATGTTACCATTGAGGAAGACTAGGTAAAGTTCACATGGGATCTTTCTCTATTATGTCTTACTGCTGCATGTGAATCTATAATTATCTCAAAATAAAAAGTTTAAATAATCATATGGGCATATTTAGGTCTGCACCTGCATTATCTATTCTGCTCTTTTTCTATTGATCTATGTCTGTCTCTCCACCAATTCTACACTGTCTTGATTACTGCAGCCTTAGTAAGCCTTCGTATCGGGTGGAGTGCCTCTTCCCACTTTATTCTTTACTTTCAAGATTGTTGTCACATTTCTAGGCTATATGTCTTTTCATACTAATTTTCAAATACACTTGTGTATGTCTACAAAATGTCTTGCTGAGATTTAGATAGGAATTATATTATACCTATAGATCAATTTGGGGAGAATTGACAATTGTATTATTTTGAGTCTTTTCAATTCATAAACACAGTATTCCCATTTATTTAGCTCTTAAGTTTCATCATAGCATTTTATAATTTTCAGCATAAAGAGATTGTACATATCCTGTTAAGTTTATAGCTAAGTATTTCATTTTCTTTGGAGTTATTTTGTAAAAGATTGTGTTTTGAATTGTGTGTCTAATTTTGATTTTCAGGTATTTGTTGTTAGTACACAGAAATGTGACTAATTTTTGTGTGTTGGTCTTGTATTCTGAAAACTTGAGGACTTTTTGGGAGGCAGATTCCTTGAAATTTTCTATGTAAATAATTATGTCATCTGAAAATAGGGACAGTTTTATTTCTTACTTTACAAACTTCCAACCTGTTTGTTTGTTTCATTTGCCTTATTGTAATGGCTGAAACTTTTAGTACTATGTTGATTAAGGTTAGTGGATAGATATCCTTGCCTTGTTCCTAATCTTAGGGAGAAAATTTGGTGAGAAAGTCATCTACACTTAGGTGTGATGTTAGATAAAGGGTTATTATAGATGCTCATTAGTAAGTTGAAGAAGTTCCCTTCTATTCCTATTTTTCTGAGTTATTTTTTTCAATCATGAATGGATGTTGAATTTTGTCAAATGCTTTGCTCTATATTGATTTATATGACCATGTGATTTTTCTTCTTTAACATGTTGATATGGCGAATTATACTGGTCGATTTTGAATGTTAGATCGGCCCCACATAGTTGGAATAAAGCCTGCTTAGTCATGGTATATAATTCATTTTATATATTGCTGTAGTTGATTTGCTAATATTTTGTGGAGGATTTTTGTTATGAGGAATAATTGCCTATAGTTTTCTTTATTTTTTTAAATTTGTATTTTCTTTTCAGTTTTTGGTATCAGAGTAATTCTAGTCTCAAAAAATGAGATGAAAAATATTACCTAAAATTGGTGTCAATCCTTCTTAAAAGTTGGTAGCACTCTCCAGTGAAACCACCTGGACCTGGACATTTCTTCTTCCAGACATCTTAATTACAAATTGAATTTCCTTAATGGTTATAGAAATATTCAGATTGGCAAACTCATCTTGGCTGAGTTTGGGTGGCTGGTGGTTTTCAAGGAATTGGTCTGTTTTTTTCTGTGTTGTTGAATTTATGAGCATTCAAAGGGTTAAAACATATTAATAGTCTGCTGTGGTATAGTCAAGCTCCAAGATGAGCCTCAATGATTCTTGCCTCTTGCTATTCACACTCTTGTGTAGTCACCTTGCACATTATACTGGAGTTAGCCTGTGTGAAATATAGACTATGTCAGAAATGGCAATTATGTCTCTTCCAACACTGGGTTATAAAAGACATTGCAGCTTCTGGTATAGTCTCTGTCTCTCTCTGACTATGGCTCTGAGGAAATCCAGCTGCCACATTGTGTGTAGCTCTATGGAGAAGCCATGTGGTGGAGACATCAGCTCTGTGAGTGCACCATCTTGGATATGGATTCTCCAGTCCAGTCAAGGTTTCAGATGCCTGCAGCTCTGGCCAACATCTTGCCCACAATTTCATGAGGGACCATGGTCCAGGCCATTCAGCTAAGCTCCTCCTAAATTCCTGTCTCTCACAAATTCTAAGATAATAAATGTTATGGAGAAATTTATTAGGCAACAATAGATAACTAATAAGATTGCCATTAATATAATTTTAGGACCATTGAACCAGAATGATTTTCCTTTTTCTTCAGTTTTAATTATTTGATCTTTCTTTTATTCATTCATTTATTCATTCCTTCAGTAAATAAATATTGAATAGACCTCTACTATATGCCATACATTATATTGGGTCTGAGAATACAAGAATGTTAAACAGAATATTAAATAGAATTTTCCTTTTCTATCAGCCCCAAATTAAGGGGCAATAGATAATTGCTCCTTTCTCCTAAAGATAATATCTTGGAATTACAACATATACCTTCTAGGGCTTAATAAAAAATAGTAGGATTAGTCCTGTGCCCCTCAAGCCAGGTAGCTTCTGGAGAAGCAACCAGCTTCTACCAAGCAAGGCCAGAAATCTAAAAGGAATTCATAAATGAGAGTTGTTAGAGTAGGAAGAGCATGAGAGAAACGCTCTGGCCTTTCTCCTCTCCTTCCCATTGTGGGGATTTTTCAAGAGGGTCTCCACAGAGATGGAGTTGAAGTGCCTCAAGAAGACTGGCAACTTATTCACCAGCCTAATTAAGCGGAGCTGCAGAATCACTTATGCTTAAATCAGTACTGCTGCTGAGCTGAGGAATTTCACCCAGGTATGACAAGCATGCACTGGGGTTTAAAGTTTATAGGCTAGAATGGAAACCAATAACTGCTTCTTTTATGGTGCATTCCTAAGGCAGGAGACTGTCTGGAGTAGCTACCATTGTAAAGGAGAGAGTGCAGCAGTAGCCAGCACAGCTTCTATACACCTGTCTCCAACCCTTCATCCCTTTCCCTTCCTTCTCCCTGGGAAGTCGGAAGCAGCAGAGAGAGGAAGTAAAGGAATGATGGAAAATTAAACATTCCCTCCCTACACACACACACACACACACACACACACACACACACACACACACACACACATGATCCCTGAACAATGAGTTAAATCTGAATTTGGATAGAGCAGATAAATAGTATTGCATATGAGATATGAGGTTTCAATGGATTTAGCAATCCCAGAATGTGACCACAAATCTATGAAATATGCTTGAGCTGTGATGAGAAGTGGGAAAGGAAGATACAAAAGGACATGTCTGAAAATAGTTATTAGAGAAGAATAATTTTTTTTACTGTCAGAATTCAGGTCTTCAATGAACAAGTTAATCAACAATGAATTAAAAGTAGAGACACTGTCTTCCTGGTGTCTGGAATCTTTTCATGTTGGTCTTTCAGTCCCTGGAATTCACAATAAGGAGAAAATGACTTACAAGATATTTGCTTAGCTGTTGACTTGATCTGGGAATATACCAGAATACAGAGAGGGAACAATATCCAAAATGGCGTGAAACAAAAATAATTTTGGTGAGGGGGTGAAAGGGCCAAGAAAAAAACAAGAAGGAAAGGGAAACTGAAAACCAGAAAACAAGCCTCTGGTGAGTGTCGTAGGAACCGACTGCCTCTGTCTCTTCCTTAATCCACTTCTGCCAAATGAATAGAATTCTCTCCCTGTCTCAGCAGCTCATGTGCGCCTTGAGTTTATATCCATATATCTGTAATGGTGGGCACAGTGTAGGGTGAGAAGAGGAAGAGTAGGAGAGATTATTTAAAAAGAAAGTTTTACAACCAGGAAGTATTGGAAGAGGCAAATCATGGCAACTCTGGATGTTTTTCCTAAAACCCCAGAGAGAACTGACTCTAAATAAGCTAAATTTTTCTCTAGATAAAAAGTCTTTTTCCTCCTGGAGTCCCAACAGTCCCTTGCATCATAAATGAAGCCAGAAAAAAAAAAGTTATGTTGAATAGAACTTGGTAAACTTATCCGTTGCCAAGTTACAACGATGTGACATCCCACCTCTAGCAATAAGAAAAGCTGTAGCTTTGGATCTATGAACACAGAAGTGTTATAATAATTGTTCAGTCACATCCTATTCGCCTAAGAAAAATAACTTGCCTTTATAAATTACTCACTAGCAGGGAGTATCTCAGCACTGAATGAATTTCGCTATATTTTCACTAGTCTTCAAATAAAATCTCTTCATCACAAGACACTGAAATGGACAGGACTATTCAAGAAGTGGAATTTAGGCTGGGAACAGTGGCTCACACCTGTAATCCCAGCACTTTGGGAGTCCAAGGCAGGAGGATCATTTGAGTCCAGGAATAAGAGATCAGCCCAGGCAACATGCTAAGGCCCCATCTCTACAAAAAATGCAAACGTTAGCCAGCATGGCGGTGCAAGCCTATGGTCCCAGCTACTCGGGAGGCTGAGGTGGGAGGATAACTTGAGCCCAGGAGGTTAAGGCTACAGAGAGCTATATAACTGCACTCCAGCCTCGGCGACAGAATTAGACCTTGCCTAAAAAATAAAAAGGTGGAATTTAGAAAGTCAGCATATATTTCCTCTGCTTTTAAAAAATCTCTGCAAAGATATCTTGCATAATTATGCCCACCTCCCACCTCTGTGGATCAAGAGCCACCTTATGTTTGCAAAAACTTAAATTTTACAGAACATTTTAGAAGAGGTCTGATTAGTTGTTTCTGGAACAAGATGGACTTGGAATACCAAAGACACACAGAGAGTAAAGAAGCTTGGGTCTAAGTGAAGGCTGGTCCTTTTATCTTATGTGTAACTTTTGTTTTTGTTTGTTTGTTTGTTTGTTTTTTTAGACAGAGTCCCACTCTGTAGGCCAGGCTGGAGTGCAGTGGCATGAACTCAGCTCACTGCAACCTCCACCTCCCGGGCTCAAGCAATTCTCCTGCCTCAGCCTCCTGAGTAACTGGGATTACAGGCGTGTGCCACCACACCAGGCTAATTTTTTTTGTTTTTTGTATTTTTAGTAGAGATGGGGTTTCACCATGTTGGCCAGGCTGGCCTTGAACTCCTGACCTCAGGCAATCCGCCCACCTCAGCCTCCCAAAGTGCTGGGATTACAGGCGTGAGCCACCGCACCCGGCTCTTATGTGTAACTTTTAACAAGTCATTTAACCCCTCTGACCTTCAATGTATTCATCTGTAAAGTGTAGACAATGTCTTCCCTATATATTATAAATGACTTAGGAAGATTAACCAGTTAATACGTGTATTAAAATTATCATCACTGACCATGCTGCGTCAGTTTCCTATTTCTGATTTCCTACTAACTGCACCAGATTAATCATAAAATTCCACTTTCTTCATGCAATCAAAGAATGCTGATTTTGGGCAGGACAGTATTATTCTGTATCCAAAACATGCCACAGCATAGCCTCAGTCTACCATTTCCACCTTCAATCTCATTTCCCAGCACTCCACAACATGTGTGCTGTGGACTCAGCCTGAACTATCCTACAAAATATCTTTGCCTCCATGTCTTTGTTTACCCCAGAGATAAATAAAGTATACATTCTGCCTTCGCATGTTTGGGCTTTCTCCACACCCTTGAATGTCTCCCTTGGAGTTCACAAGGTAGTGTCCAGGCTTTTGGCTTGAGATGTAACATTATTCATCTTTTTCCTCTCTCCTGTATTGTCTCCTTGAGGAAAGAGATAATGTATTCTGATTGGTCGTTTTCTGTTTTGGGTTTTTATTTTTTGTATTTTTCACAACATAAAGAACAATATTTTGCACACAGCAGATGCTCAATAAATGCCTTTTAAACAATGAATGATTTCAATTTCATATAAATGCAAGACTTGTTCTGTGGACTCCACCTTTCAGAAGAGTGGGTAGAGACAGAGGTCACCTCTTCTTATCTGCCTCGGAAGCTTATTGAAAAAAGAAGTGTGCGGCCCAGAAGAAACAAGGGTGCTGAGAGCCTCTAGGGAGAGCCACCTTGGTCCGAAATGAAGAATGCAGAGGTTTATCCTTCAGCCTTGAGTAATAAATCCCTCAAACCTTGAATTATTTTTCACTATAAACAAGAAGGCATTCTCTGAGTACTTAAAAATTCTTGAGATAGCAGCAGGTCATGGGAAGCCATGCAAAGTCTGCTCAGTGCAGGAATCTGATTCTGGGTGTCCCCCTGGGAAACCAATCTCCTGAACCCAAGGAGATCCTCATCTCTGAATTTTTTCAAATAGCCACAAAGGAGACCTAAGTCGGAAGACTTAACCTCTTCTATGCTCAAGTAAGCCCTTAGCTGCAACTGGAATTCAGAGTATTTCCACTTCAGAATATCACACACATTTCGGAGGAAATGGGGGATTGACTTAGCCTGGAAAGATAAGGCATCAAGGAGATCTCAAAGGAGAAAGCAGTTTTTAGCCTCTCCACACAGTGCATTACTAGGGCAATCACCAAACATTTAACACCTGCACTGTGGCTTCAGCAGGGAGCCCTGGCTTCTGCTTGGTTACCCCTGCTGAATTCCCCTCAGCACAAATGAGAACTGGCTGTGATTTCTTTCTCTTTTTTAAATTTTAAGTTATTGGGTGCATGTGCAGGATGTGCAGGTTTGTTACATAGGTAAATGCGTGCCATGGTGATTTGCTGCACCCGTCACCCCATCACCTAGTTATTAAGCCCAGCATGCATAAGCTGTATTTCCTGATGCTTTTCCCCCTCCGACAGACCCCAGTGTGTGTTGTTCCCTTCCTGTGTCTATGTGTTCACATTGTTCAGCTCCCACTTATAAGTGAGAAGAAGTGATGTTTGGTTTTCTGCTCCTGTGTTAGTTTGCTGAGGATAATGGCTTCCAGCTCCATCCATGTCCTGCAAAGGACATGATCTCATTCCTTTTTACGACTACATAGTATTCCCTGGTGTATATGTACCATGTACCACATTTTCTTTTTCTTTTCTTATTTTATTTTATTTTTTTTAAGAGACAGAGTCTCGCTCTATTGCCAGGCTGGAGTGCAGTGGCGCAATCTCGGCTCATTGCAACCTCTGTCTCCTGGGTTCAAGTGATTCTCCTGCCTCAGACTCCAGAACAGCTGGGATTACAGGTGCGCACCACCACACCCAGCTAATTTTTCATATTTTTAGTAGAGACCGGGTTTCACCATGTTGGCCTGGATCTCCTGACCTCGTGATCCACCCACCTCGGCCTCCCAAAGTGCTGGGATTACAGGCGTGAGCCACCGGGCCCAGCCACCACATTTTCTTTATCCAGTCTATCATTGATGGGCATTTGGGTTGATTCCATAGTTTTGCTGTTGTGAATAATGTTGCAATATAACATACATGTGCATGTATCTTTATAATAGAATGATTTATATTTTGGGGGGTATATACCCAGTAATGGAATTGCAGGGTCAAATGGTATTTCTGGTTCAAGGTCTTTCAGGAGTCACCACACTGTCTTCCACAATGGTTAAACTAAGTTACATTCCCACAAATAGACTTAAGATTACACTACAAGGCTACAGTGACCAAAACAGCATGGTACTGATAGAAAAACAGACACATAGACCAATGGAACAGAGTAGAGAACTCAGAAGTAAGACCGCACATCTACAACCATCTAATCTTTGACAAACCTGACAAAAACAAGCAACGGGGAAATAATTCCTTATTTAATAAATGGTGCTGGGAGAACTGGCTAGCCATGTGCAGAAAATTGGAACTGGACCCCTTCTTTACACCATTTACAAAAATTAAATTAAAATGGATTAAAGTCTTAAATTTACAACCCAAAACTATAAAAGTCCTAGAACAAAATCTAGTAATACTATTCTGGAAATAGGCACAGGAAAGGATTTCACGGCAAATACATAAAAAGCAATTGCAACAAAAGCAAAAATTAACAAATGGGATCTAATTAAAGAGTTTCTGCACAGCAGAAGAAACTATCTCAGAATGGGAGAAAACTTTTGCAGTCTATCCATCTGACAAAGGTCTAATATCCTGAATCTACAAGGAAATTAAACATGTTTATGAGAAAAAAAACCATTAAAAAGTGGGCAAAGGATGTGAACAGACACTTCTCAATAGAAGACATTTAAGCAGTCAACAAACATATGCAAAAAACCTCAACATCACTGATCATTAGAGAAATGCAAATCAAAACCAAAGTAAGATGCCATCTCATGCCAGTCAGAATGGCAATTATTAAAGAGTCACGACTTTTTTTTACAAGCCAAGACATCACTTGTCATTGGTTATAGGTCTCTCACAGCTGCCACTAGATATGGCTATTCTCAGAGCCAGTCCTCACTTCAGATTTCGTATCATTCCTGCCTGTTTTCTACCTTGGCTCCACGTGTAAGGGATTGCTTACCACAGGAACATATGTTTTCCCCCTCCTCTGTATCTGTGTAGAGAAATATGGAACATGTATTTCTAAAGAAGAAAAAAAGAACTTTTTTCAAGTACAAGGCCATTTTAATGCAGATTTAGAAAAGTAAAAGTGAAACTTATGTGAACATTTTGAACCTGCCATTACAGATAAAAAATTAATTCAAGAATCATAACTAGCTGGTAAAGTAAACATTTACACAATTGACACATTATAAAAAAATCAAGCAGCAGCTAGGTGCAGTGGCTCACACCTGTAATCCCAGCATTTTGGGAGGCCAAGGCAGGTGGATCAACTGAGGTCAGGAGTTCTAGACCAGCCTGGCCAACATGGTGAAACCCCATCTCTACTAAAAATACAGAATTAGTCAAGCATAGTGGTGCATGCCTGTAATCCCAGCTGCTTGGGAGGCTGAGGCAGGAGAATCGCTTGAACCTGGGAGGCAGAGGTTACAGTGAGCCAAGATCATGCCACTGCACTCCAGCCTGGGTGACAGAGCAAGATTCCATCTCAAAAAAAAAAAAAAAAATCAAGCATAATAGAAGCAATCAACACACAAATAAATCAACAATAGCTAAAACTCCACACAGTAAAATTGTTGAAAGTGAAACATTGGGCAAAGAATCACCTTATGATTAAACAGACAAAAAATAAATTTGATAGAAATCATTTTAGATAGACTGAAAATAAGCAAAATTATACACAGTAAATATTGATGACAATAATATTTGTTAAAATATCAAAATATTCTCAGAAATTTAGGTAACATTTTTAGACATGAAATTTGGACTTTGTAGAAGTTATGGCCACAAAAGATAGTTTACAATTGCATATGGGTAAAAATTGATTTAAATTCAAAGGAGACATTTTTTATAAAATTTACAATAAAAGGGATTTGTCCAGATGAAAACAAGTTTAGTAAAATAATTTTTTTAAAAAAATTGAGGCAATTTAACTCTGGATACCAAATTGATGAAGGAATTAAATAACCTTAATGTCATTTTCTCCAGAAATTTTTTTTCAGTTAAAAAATTATCAGCACTAGTATATGTAAATAGAGTGTTAAAATATACTCAGTCTAAGAACAGGCAGATGTTAATAACTGAGGTGCAAAAAGGGCCAGATGCACTTCCCATGGGGAGTGAGCACAGAGCCAACTTCTTATATAAAACCAGGAGTCGAAACATCCTTCATACACTCTATACTACCTCCCCTGACGCTTCTTCAATGTCCCCCCTCAATGTTTGTCACCTCAGCCTCTGCTGGGGTGATTCCACTATCATGGATCCTCTCTCCAGAGAATATCCTTAAATGCCAAGCTTGCATTCTGGTAGATTGGTCTTAAATTCTGACACACACACTCTCGCATTCAGCCTCACACATAAAGGTATGGAGGTTGAAGCGGGTAACAAAGTAGTCTTCTGAGATGCAGTGAAGATAATTTATTTCTGGTTATGGAGTCTCATTTGAGTCTTGCAACCCTACAACTGCAGTAGGCTCCAGCACAGAGTGACAAGACAGCCATCCACCCATCTCCCTCTATGAAGAGGAGAAACTGAGACTGGGGAAAGCTGGGTGACTCGTGGGGACTGGCATGACAAGTTGAGGGGGCGAGGGTAATGGAAACATTCATTGTCCTTTGCTAGTACTTCTATGGAAAAACAAATTATCACAGTTAGTTACTCTTAGTCAGCCCTGCACGCAATTTAAAGGCAAGAAATATTTTTCTTTTCTGCCTTTCCATCCCACTTCTCAGAGCTCACTGACACTTCTGGCCTTAAGTTAGCACATTGCCCTGGCTTCATCATCCTGCCGAGGCCGGCCCTTTCCAGCCAGGCACCACATGCTGGCTAACCCTCACCACCATCCTGTTTCTCAGAACTATTTCTCACCTAATTCCCATAGGGCTGCTAAAAGCGCCTGACTTTCTGATTTATAAATCACTAATAGGTGTATATGTGTTACAAAATTTCAGTGTGCTTCTTCTCCAAATGTATTTGCATTTCAACAGAAGACTCCTAAGAATACTTGTCTACTTCAATTTTAAATTAATTTTAATTATTTAATAAAAAGTTATTGTGCTGGTATTAATGGCATGCTAATTATATTTGTAGGAGACATGAGGCAGGGAGTAATTGCTAAATTTGGATGCCAGACTGTAAGAAAATAATTCTGGCAAAAGAAAAATATGTGTGTATATGTGTATGTATGTACATACACCTATGTGTATGTGTGTACATATGTGTATGTGTGTGTACATATATATGCATATATGTGTGTGTGTGTGTGTGTATATATATATATATATACATAAGTATGTATACAGAGAGAAGTCATGCCTCATATCATACCAACTAGGCAACCAACAAACAAAATATTCAATTTCAGATGTATTACAGATTACAGATCTAAATGTTAAGAGTAAAACAATAAACAATCTAGAAGAGTACCTTTGTAACTTCAGAATAGCCATTTTTAAACAGGACACAAAGGCATCAAACATAAAGGTAAAAATCATAAATTATACTATAGAAAAATTAAGAAATTCTGTTTCTCAAAAGACACAACTGAGTGAAAATGTAATCCATAGAGCAGGAGAACGTATTTACAATAAATATATTTTAAAAGGAGTTATACCTAAAATAGATGAAGTACTAAAACAAATTGATAAGACAAAGGCAAATACCCAATTGAAAAAATGCTCAAGAGACTTGAGTAGATACTTCACAAAAGATAACATCAAGATTGCCAATAATCATGTGAAAAAAATCATTCAACTGGATTAATCATTGGTAATTACTAATTAAAACCACAATGTGATACCACAACACACAAGCTACAATAACTACGATGAAAAATTCTAAATGTGGCAAAGAGGTGGAGCGACTAGAAGACTGATACACTGTGCATGGGAGGTTTAGTTGAGTCAACCACATTGGAAAACAGTGTAGCAGTATCTACTGAAACTAAATATGTAAGTGAACTATTGCTTAGTAATATCACTTTTAGTTATATACCCAAGAGAAGTGCAAACGTATGTTCACCAAAATACATTTACTAGAACTTTCATAGCAGCATTATTCATAGTAGCCAAAGTTGGAAATTACCAAAATGCTCACCATCAGTAGAATGGATAAGCATGGTGTATTTTACACCATGGAATACTACACAATGATGAGAATTAATGATCTATAAATCTATGTACCAAGATGCATAATTGTCAAAAACATAATATTAAACAAAGGAAGCCAGTATATATTTGTGATTCTATATACATTCCAAAAGAGCAAAACAAATGTGTTAGAAGTCATAGTAGAGGTTTCTCATGGGGAGATGGGTAATGTCTGGAAAGGAATACAAAGAAGGGCTCTGGGGTGGTGCAAATAGTCTGTTCTTTTAGCTGGGTGCTGGATGCACAGGTGTAGCTGGTAAAAAATTAGCAAATATATTCCTGGAATATGCTCATTTATCTTTATGCATATTATAGTGCATTAAAAATGTTTACAAATAGTAAAGTAAATTTAGGCAGAAAAATATAGTAAGTCCTTACCTGCATGCAAAAACTAATTGCAGACTGGAGAGATGTTGGCTTGAGAGCAACACATGGAAAAAGGCCTGACTGAGGTTTTAATTAACTACAATCTCAACCCAAGTCAAGAGTAGAGTGTGGATGCTAAAATTACTTAAAAAAAAAAAGTTTCACTAGTATAAGAATTAAGTGTATTCAGAATGTAAAATGTTCTCAGGGACTGTACCATACAGCCCTTTCATTTTACATGTGAGAGAATCAGAGGCCACAGAGGACTTGGCTCAATAAAATTTAGATTTTAAGAAAAAGAGTTAGAGCTGAACACCATGCTTTCTGACTTCCTCACCCAGAGCACATTCCTTTAGATCTGTGCTTCCCAAGCCTTCCTGAGCATAAGAATCAACTTTGGAACCCTTAAAAAAAACCTGAATCAGCCCGGCACAGTGGCTCACACCTGTAATCCCAGCACTCTGGGAGGCCAAGGTGGGCAGATCACCTGAGGTCAGGAGTTCGAGACCAGCCTGGCCAACATGGCAAAACCCCCATATCTACTAAAAATACAAAAATTAGCCAGGCGTGGTGGTGCACACCTGTAATCCCAGCTACTCGGGAGGCTGAGACAAGAGAAACGCTTGAACCCAGCAGGCAGAGGTTACAGTGAGTCGAGATCACACCACTGCACTCCAGCCTGGGCAACAGAGTGAGACTCTGTCTCAAAAAAAAAAAAAAAAAAAAAAAAAACTCTGAATCTCTAGGTCATTCTGTACAACAAGCTGAGGACACACTGCTCTGGTCTGTTCCAGACCACTGTACCAGAATTGGAAATGCGATGCTGTCGCTCTACTCATCCTTTCATTCACTGTGATGGATTAGTCAGAGTAGTTTCTACTTCTTGAAAGACAGTTTTTTGGCAGTGGTCAAAAAAGGGAAAAACACACCGAACCCAATTTCCGGTCAGTGCATATCCTCTGAATATGTAATGTTGCAAAATCATATTTCAAGTGAAAAGAAAAACCACACTAGTTTTACAAAATGAAAGAAACCTCATCGTCAGCCAGAAAATAACTAAAATACATAAGCAATAAATTTGACTCTTAGGGACCATGGTGTTCAAAACAACCCACACACCGTATAGGACAAAAACAAAGTTCATTGGCACAGGACGCAGTGGTAAAGAGAGGAGTCTGAGCCCACAGTTTACACAAAGCTGTGTCACTCAAGTGCTGGTCTGCTGGCCCATGGCCTGGCTCCTGCCATCCCAGTCACAGGGCAGAATGGGCAATGATGGAAAGAATGGTTCTGCCCTGCTGAGGATAGGAAAGGGGCCCCAGGGGAAAGCAGGGAAGTAAAAGTACAGACAGGCAGAGGAAAAACATCTCCTTACACAAGAAGAGCTTGCAAATGGAAATTACAAAGTACACGAAGAAAAAGACTCAGAAGAGATTGCCTACAAAATAAAACATTTCAGACAAAAATTCACTCCTGACAGTATTGAAAATACTGACATTAAAATCTTCAAGATCCTTAAAAACTGGAGGTGAAAATTCATGAAATAAAAATGGTGTTATGGAACAAGAGACGTAGATACTGAACACAGCTGGATGATAAAACCAACCAATCCCAAATCATAAAGTGAAAAATACAGTCATTAAAATAAAAACTTGATAGAGGGAACAAAGTCTAAATTGGACATGGATGAAGATATAATTAGCACAGTAAAAGAATGAAGTATTTAGTAAGTGGCACTGGGAGAGCTGTCTATCCTATACATAATATGTATTTTGCATATATTATATGTAATATATAGTATGCATAAATGATTTTTTATTTCATATTATTAATAAAATAAAATATAAATGTTAAAAAATCTTTAAATCTATTAGGAGAAAATATAGGTGCACATATTTAAGATTTCAGAGTAGGGAAAGATTTATCAAAGCAGACACAAAAAGACAAAATCGTAAAGAAAAACTGATAAACCCGACCAATTTAGACTTAAAATTTATGCATAAATAATGGTATATAAAACAAAATTAAAGGCCACTGACTGGAAACATGTTCAGCACATATAAGTCTACACTCAGAATACGAAAATAAATATATTCAACACAAAAATATCAAAGAATGTAATAGAAAAATGGGCAAAGTATCTTCATGTGTCATTCATGGAAAATGACAAACTGAAATGGAAAACTGCATATGTTAAATGCAAGTGAAAACATGCTCACCTATAAAAATGATCAGGAACATTTTTAAGAAGTAAGACACACTTTAAAATCCACCAGACAGGCAAAAATATCAATGTTTAGCCAAGAATGAGAGCAAATCGGAACTCTCATTTAATACTGGCAAGAGTATGCGAATAGAATCATCACAAAGAGCAGTGGCATCACCCCAAAACGTTTATACTCTGTAGCCCAGCCATCCAAGGTGAGAGTGCTTCCCTGTGTGTGTGTTTGGCCTAGAGAAAATCTATGAACTCTTACAGAGTAAAGATAACTATATACAAGGATGTCCCATACAACAATGTTGTAGCAAAAAGGGGAGATAATGCAAACGTCAAGTGGTAGTGAATAAAGTTACATAGTTAGATACATGGATAAATTGTGATATGTTCACATAATAAAATATACTGCGGTTAAAAAGAATAACCTACGTATGTATTGTCATGAATCTGCTTTGAAAATATAATATTGAATGAAAAAGCAAGTTAGAAAACTTTACATGTACTGTATTTAAATAATGCAAATGAATGATATAGCTTTGCAAATATGTATAAACTATATATATTTTTGTATATGTGCATATGTTATAGTTAAAGGGTACATATATAGAACTGGATGCACATCAAATACTTCTTAATCGCTAGCTCTGGAAGGGAAGGGAATGCAAATTAGGAAGGACATCACACGGGTCTCAATTTTACCTATTACGTCTTTGCCTTCAAAAAAGTGTAAAGAAAACTGGAAAAATATTAACAGTTGTTCCATTTTGGTAATGGATAAGTGAGTATTTATTAACTTTTTTTCTTTTATTAAGGGAAAATACCTAAATTCAGGAGCTTAGTGAGGGCTACAGGGTTTCCAAACCTAGAGAATTTAAAAAGGATCTTAAAGAAATAGCATAGAGATGGGTGTGGTGGCTCATGCTTGTAATCCCAGCCATTTGGGAGGCCAAGGCAGCTGGATCACCTGAGGTCAGGAGTTCGAGACCAGCCTGGCCAACATGGTGAAACCCCATCTCTACTAGAAATACAAAAATTAGCTGGGTGTGGTGGCGGGTGCCTGTAATCCCAGCTACTTGGGAGGCCAAACCCAGGGGGCGGAGGTTGCAGTGACCTGAGATCGTGCCACTGCACTCCAGGCCTGGGCGACAATAGCAAGAATCTGTCTCAAAAAACAACAACAACAAACAAGAAGTAGCATATTTATCAGCAGAACAGCTACCATGGTAAGGGCACCCAAGCACATCATATTTGGAAGAAGTGAGAGAACAAGGAGAAGGAAGAAAGGAGGCCATCAACACAAATTCTCTCAGATACTAGAACAGCTGTCACTGACTTGCATTCTTTAGCTCCAAGGTCTCTAATGAAAATCCATATATGGACGTTAGAAGATTAGCCTCAAATTAAGAAAGAATTCTCTAGCAATTACAATTTTGAAAAATTACTTGGCAATCTCAGGAGGTAGTAAGATGCTATCACTGAAGTTAGTCAAATCTAGTGTGAGTACAACCTGGTATGAATACAGCTTTTGGAGTTGAGTAATGCTTGCCATAGTTTGAAGTTTGGCTATGGGGAGAATGGCAAGTATGATAACACCGTTGACTCCAATAACAAGGCATTTTGCAGAGCATTTCAAAAACTCCCTTACTTAATTCTTAAAATCACACTAGAGGTTGGTAGTACTTCATTATTCTCATTTTACAAATGAAGGTGAATATCACATGCGTGGTAGAGATTTGAATTTAGATTGTTCTGACTCTAAGGCCTAAACATGTCATTAAGTTCCTTACGACCACTAGAATGTCAAGATTTATGAAATCAAAGAACTAGATTTCTAGTTGTGAAATTTAAGGTTCACCAAGGTTAGATGTCTTGAAGATGCTTGGGCCAATTCAGAGTCCCTGAAGGCAAACCACTTAAAAGTAAACTTCAAAGGGTACTATTTGGTCTCGTAAAGTCTAGTTTTAATGCTATGAATGTTACTGACTCTACAACATAATAGGAAGTTGCAAAATAAATAAATAAATAAATAAATAAAACCTGACACAATGATAGAGGGATTTGTACAAAAGAAGAAATAAGTACAAAGCCCAGTTCTTCAGACATTCGGTGTCTGTGGGTGTGGGTGTTTCACCATTCAATGATCCCATGACCCTACACAGTCCACAGTACATTTTCAATGTACCCCTTACTCTACTCCTGTCATATGCTCAATCCTTATCACTTGAAAAATCTGTGAAATATTCTATATTCTCATAGCCTCAACCAAACCCTTCCCACACAGCTAACTGCCTGGCATTCATTTTATCTATATCTGAATAAGAGAGAGGTAGATGAGTCAAATATTCCAAAATTGTAACCTAGAGTGTGAAAGAAGTGTAGGTGTTTGCAACACCAAGTTTCGCTTACTCCCCCAGGCGGGGGGACCCTCTGGGGATGACGTGGAATTTGTCCACTTAGCCTCCGTGTCTATGTTGGTTAAGAAGGGCACTTGCCCAAGAATATTGTGTCCAGGTAGAGGAAACAAATTACAAGAAAATTAAACCCAGACCAAAAAGTACCTCTCATTGAACCCTTGTGGCTATGCAGATTCCTCAAAGAGAACCTGAAGGACTCAGTGAGTTCTGGTTCAGAATTTGGGGTCAAGGGTCAAACCCACAACTAAATGTGTTTTGTGCAGTAAGAGATAAAATGGTGGGAAGGGGTGATGTGGGTGCTGCTTTGTCTCAACCACATCCAGTGAAAAGCTCATCACTAGTGTTCTGGGACAGCCCGAAGGAGGACAAATGGGAACAAACACAACCTCTCCAGCTCTGCAGGCAAGAAGCTCTCTTAGCACTGCTTCTCTTGCCTTCCTTCCCTTTCTCTCTCTCACCTCCACCATGATTAGGATGCTGAGCATGTCAGAGGTCATTCAAATGACTTTGCTAATGAAAACTTAATTTCCCCCAAATATGTGCATGGAAATATAATCAGGGTAGGTATCGGATCCCAAAGTTTTGGTCTCCAAGGAGCACATCTCCAGACAGCCACCGAAAGAAGCCAGTTGGTCCGAGCCCAGAGAGGTAGCTGTGCAGAATGTTCAGGGCACTCTGGACCTTTGGGCTTCTCTGTCCGGGACAACTCTGCTGCCCTCACAGTCGAAATGGCTCTTCAGCAGGGATTTCTACTAAGCCCGGAGAGCAATCAGGGCTGGGTACGGAGGAGATTTTATGCATCTGAGCAAGAGCGACTGAAAGAGAAAAGTGTTCTTGGCAGGAGCTTAAATTTCTGATTCTGGAAAAGGATTCTACTCAAATTTCTCAAAATTACAGAATTATAAGTACAAAGTCCAGGCTGGGCATGGTGGCTTACGCCTGTAATCCCAGCACTTTGGGAGGCTGAGGCGTGTGGATCACCTAAGGTCAGGAGTTCGAGACCAGCCTGGCCATCAAGGTGAAACCCCATCTCTACTAAAAATACAAAAATTAGCCAGGCATGGTGGCGCACACCTGTAATCCCACCTACTTGGGAGGCTGAGGCAGGAAAATTGCTTGAACCCAGGAGGTGGAGGTTGCAGTGAGCTGAGATCGCACCACTGCACTCCAGCCTTCGCAACAGAGTGAGGCTGTGTCTCAAAAAATAAAAAAAAAAAGGAAAATAAAAGCACAAAGCCCTATATCATTATTCATTACACAGAAAACTTCCCTGTGCAAAGAAAAAAAAAAAAGTACAAAGTCCTGTGTAATTTTTTGTTACAACCCATCTATGAATTGAGGGCCCTGGTAAGCTCCATCTGAAATCGGCATCATGATATTTGCATACATAAGGAGAGTTCTGAGACCGGGTGCATACTTGTGGTTAAAGTCCCATTAGAATAGCTCCTGTATAGAATACATTGTACACACAGGCTGTAAACTCAGACAGTGATGGGAGAATATCAAGGCTAGGAGCCACATGCGAAGACACTTGCAGGCATGCGTCCGGAGCAAGTAAACCTCTGAGCTTCAATTTTCTCATCTGTAACAATGAAAGAGTCGTACTTACTCTAACCATCTTAGAAAGGTGATTAATTGTGGCAATCAAATAGGGTAATTGCATTGTTCTCCCCAGACTGCCATAACTAAATACCATAGACTGGGTGGCTTAAACAAAGACATTTACCCATTTTTCACAGTTCTGGAGGCTGAAAGTCCAAATCAAGGTGCCAGTGACATGGTTTCTGGTGAGGGCTCTCTTCCTAGATTGCAGACAACCATTGTCTTGCTGCAGCCTCACATGGCAGAGAGATAGAGCTCCTTCTAGTCTCTTCCTCTTCTTATAAGGGTGCTAATCCCATCATGGGACTCTTCTCTTGGGACCTTACCTAAACTGAATTCATGTCTGAAGGGCCTAACCCCCCAATCCCAATACCATCATGATGGGAATTAGGGCTTCGACATATGAATTTGAGGGGGTCACATTCAGTTCATATCAGTAATAAAATGAAAGTTTTATAAGTTATTTAGAACTCTGTAAGTCCACTTGGTATCATCACCACCATTACTAATGTAAGCTTCATATAATATGTTAGAGCCTGACACAATATCCTGTCATTTTCTTTCCTTGAGGATGATGGCATTTTAAGGAAACTTACAAACATGCTGTAATCCCTGTCCCCATCCCTACTTTCCACATGAGGAAACAGATAAAGCTGGGTATAAATTCTACCTTCATATTTTAATAAGTATTGTCCTAGAACAAGTTATTTCACCTCTCTAAGGCTTCGTTTCTTCATTTGTAAAAAAGAGACAATGCTGATAACACCTACATTGTCAGAGCTGTGATGAAGTTTAAATCACACAATGTATGTGACATGCATACACTAGTCCATATTAACACAGAGTAATAGCCTGATATTGTTAGTGTTAAATGTCACTGAATGTTAAATGCTTCTGTTATGTTTTGTTATTATTAATGTTATTGTTAATCACAGAGTTGGACTACATACCAAGTCTCCTGACATCTGGTGTTCTTCAGAAAAAGAAGGCGTTCTAATCTAGCAAAGCCAATTAAGGCTAAGAACAATTTTTTTCTTAATGACAAATCTTACTAGGTCTTTTCCAGCTGTGTTTTTTCCATCTAAACAGTAAAGTTGAGTGCAGGGGAAAGCCAGTTTCTGGAAGTACCCACTAGAAGGGCAGTAAGTAGAATAGGACTCAGGTTACAAACCTCAGTAGGTTTTAGCTGGGCCTTGTTGCTAAGATACCTGTATTTTCCCGAAAACCAAAGGCAATATAAAATCTGGTTTGAAGCCATAGAGAAAACTTCCCTGTGCAAAAAATATCACTGGATCCTCTCTTCTGCAGATAGCTCGCTGTCGAGGGGAGTATTTTCTCACATGGTATTTACCTTCTCTCTGTACTAAGTCTGTTTGTTAGTGTTTAGAATTGCTACTTTACTTTTCTAAAATGAGAACAACAACAACCAAAAAATCAAAGTATGAGTGCCCAGTCAGAACTGGTAGGGTTACTACCGAGTGTTCAATGACCAAGTTCTCTGCCAGAGGGGGACTGAGTGTTTGCCTCATACCCAGGCTTCCTCGGCCTAAGTAGAAAAAGTTAATGGATTAGCCCTGATGAATGACTGAGGCTCTCAGCAGGCATGGGCTCCAAGCCAGAAACAGCCCTATGTACAGACAGCAGCCATGTCTGGGGTTGCTGGACGTGGCTGATAACAGGACCGGAAACCCATCAGAGACACCCACCCCCTTACCTCTGGGCCTCATCAAAATTACCTGCCAAAGAGACTCTGCTCCAGACCAGCACCTTGTCAGACTGTTTTGTAATAGGAAACAGCTGTCCCTGTTGAGAGGCAGAGGTGGAAAGAGTGAAAAGAATGGAGAAAATGAACCATTCATAGCTTTTCTGGTTGTGCAGAACTGAAAGTTGCAATAACATGGCATGTAAAAATGGGAAATTCTAGGGACCCTGTGGGAATGATAGTATCCTCCTCTGAAGGGGCTGATAGGAAATCACAGCTACTGAATTTAAATCAAAGACGACTGTTTATCCTTAATAATGGATTTTGAGTAGAAGCTGAACACTGCTTAGCAACATCCCAGGGATAGCAGAGGCAAAGTGGTAGAGAGTTTTGATCAGGCAATTCAGGTAGGGAGTAGAATCCTCATTGCTGCTTCTTCCTATTTGTTGCTGTAATTTAGTGCCTAGAACAATGGCTATTGCGTGGCATTGTGCTCCACATATACTTGTTGGATGAATAATAAAATTCATGACCTGCATTTTCTAAGGCTGAGCAGAATGAATTTTTTGGTTCATGTGATCACAATTTGAGTCAACGTTCTGTCACTTACTAGCTCTGCTGTCTTAGGAAAGTTCCTCAATATATCCAAATCTTAGTTCACTTTTTTAAAAAATTGGGCTTGAACAGTTACCTTATATTGAGAGGTGACAGCGTGCTGGCAGTCCTCACAGCTCTCGCTGGCTCTCCGCGCCTCCTCTGCCTGGGCTCCCACTTTGGCGGCACTTGAGGAGCCCTTCAGCCCGCCGCTGCACTCTGGGAGCCCCTTTCTGGGCTGGCAAAGGCCGGAGCCGGCTCCCTCAGCTTGCGGGGAGGTGTGGAGGGAGAGGCGCAGGCGGGAACCGGGGCTGCGCGCGGTGCTTGCGGGCCAGCGTGAGTTCCGGGTGGGCGTGGGCTGGGCGGACCCCGCGCTCGGAGCAGCCGGCCGGCCCTACGGGCCCGGGCAGTGACGGGCTTAGCACCTGGGCCAGCAGCTGCTGTGCTCAAGTTCTCGCCGGGCCTTAGCTGCCTTCCCACGGGGCAGGTCTCGGGACCTGCAGCCCACCATGCCTGAGACTCCCCCGACTCCGTGGGCTCCTGTGCGGCCGGAGCCTCTCCAATGAGCGCCGCCCCGTGCTCCACGCGCCCAGTCCCATCCACCACCCAAGGGCTGAAGAGTGAGAGCGCATGGCGCGGGACTGGCAGGCAGCTCCACCTGCAGCCCATTGCGGGATCCACTGGGTGAAGACAGCTGGGCTCCTGAGTCTGGTGGGGCCGTGGAGAACCTTTATGTCTACTAGCTCAGGGATTGTAAATACACCAATCAGCACCCTATGTCTAGCTCAAGGTTTGTAAACAAACCAATCAGCACCCTGTGTCTCAGGGTTTGTGAATGCACCAGTCGGCACTCTGTGTCTAGCTACTCTGGTGGGGCCTTGGAGAACCTTTATGTCTAGCTCAGGGATTGTGGATACACCAATCAGCACTCTGTATCTAGCTCAAGGTTTGTAAACACACCAATCAGCACCCTGTGTCTAGCTCAGGGTTTGTGAATGCACCAATCGACACTCTGTATCTAGCTGCTCTGGTGGGGCCTTGGAGAATCTTTGTGTGGACACTCTGTATCTAACTAATCTAGTGGGGACGTGGAGAACCTTTATGTCTAGCTCAGGGATTGTAAACGCACCAATCAGCACCCTGTCAAAACAGACCACTCGGCGTTACCAATCAGCAGGATGTGGGTGGGGCCAGATAAGAGAATAAAAGCAGGCTGCCCGAGCTAGCAGTGGCAACTCGCTCGGGTCCCCTTCCACACTGTGGAAGCTTTGTTGTTTCGCTCTTTGCAATAAATCCTGCTACTGCTCACTCTTTGGGTCCACCCTGCTTTTATGAGCTGTAACACTCACCATGAAGATCTGCAGCTTCACTCCTGAGCCAGCGAGACTACGAACCCACCAGAAGGAAGAAATTCCAAACACATCCGAACATCAGAAGGAACAAACTCCCGACGTGCCACCTTAAGAGCTGTAACACTCACCGCGAGGGTCCCCGGCTTCATTCTTGAAGTCAGTGAGACCAAGAACCCACCAATTCCGGACACAATATGACTTTAAAGATCACTAAATTAAATAGAATGTGTTCTTAAATATCTTTCATGAAATGTAAGCTCAGTAAATGATAAAAGGGATCATGAACTGTGTGGTCATCCTATCCCACAGTAACTATTAATGTATATAAATGATGCCCAGATTTAACAGGACAGGATAAAAGTAATACCACAAACACTAAGAAATAAATGTTAATATCAGACTGTTACCTTGTTAATAGTGGGGAAGTGTCACATGTTTCAGAGACATCCTAGTTATTTACATCCAGAAGAGGTTTCACCAGGCACATTATATAGAAGAGCCCACCAAGAAACAGTGAGCTGAAGAGACCTTGCATAGCCAGCTAACACCAGAGACAAAGATCATGTGAGAAACTAGAAGCCAGTTGTGAAAGGGGCACCATCAGCATCACTGGTCCTTGCATTTATAAAGAGGCAATTTAGTTTTTTAATTAGATCAGGTTTTCTGACTAATGAAATAATATCTCTGTACAAACATATACATACACACATGCAGATACCCAATACACAGAAAAAAAAAGAGTTAATTGAAGAATAGGAAAGGAATTTAAGATCACTCAAATCGAGATCTTCAAAATTCAAGTATACATATTTCACTCATAACAGAAACAGGAAGCTGTGAATAAGGAACAGTCATAAAACAAGGAAGATGTCTTTGAAATCAAGATTATAATTGCCATCTACATACAGTTGCTTGCTCTATGTCTCTTTCTCTTTCTCTTTCTTTCTCTCTCTCACTCTGAAACTTCCAAATGTCTTCTATTAACAGGACACTTAATTCCAGGTGATGTATGTATCAAATTAGAATTCTAGCCCTTCTATATAGTCTCAGGTTGTCTGTCATCTCTCCCTGAATGTTTCTGAGTCCCCCACCTGCAGTTCCCTGTGGCTTTTTCAGTGAGAATGTGCCACTCAGCTTTTCTAATGGGGTCTTCTGGTGGCCCTGAGTGATGAGATCACTAAGGAAATACTTTAGTGTTGAGAGACTCGTCCTGGGCCCAAACAAAGCCCACCTTCTGATGTCAGAAGGGGCACTTAGAAGTGAATCAGCACTCTGTCCTATCAGGCTTTCTATTTATGAAGAACAAGAGGTGAATAGCACTGTCCTTGCTGTGCACACTCATATTCCTCTGAAGCCCCTTTGATACAATAACTCAGCTGGTTCTGTCTTCCTCTCAGAGCATGGAATCTCTCCTGCCAATGGGGGGACTGTGTGGTTTGAAAAAGCTCCTGTAGGTGGTTCTGATTCAGAACACCCCACCCATCCAGCACTGGATTGAGAACTAGGGGTCAAAAGGCACACTGAACGGTAGACGTGAGGCTTCCTACGTCTCCTATTTCACAGACTTTATGGAAAAGCAGGTTTGGAAATGAATGAACCCAGGATGAAAATTTAAGTCTCTATAAAATATTTTTCATCTACAAAGAAACAACTTTTTCCTCTACCAAAGTTATTTCAGATACATGTGTCTTCATTATGGTCATCTGGGTATTTGTAAGGAATACCACATCCCTTGCATTTCAGGTGTGTTGTGAATTAAAGATTACATTATTTTCCTTTTATCCTTATCATCTCCAAACCTCCTACACAACAATTGCAAAAGAAGTAATACTGCAAACTCTCAAGTCTGTTGTGAGGATTAATTTACTTAGATTACATAAGATATTTAAAACAATAAAAGGTGCTTAATGTATAAAACCTATTATCATAGTTAACTTTTCTTTTAGTCTTATGGCTACATTGTGTAGTAAATATTGTATAATCTGCATTGCATAGTCATACAAAAATGTCATCTTCACAGTACATTTCTAATAACCTGGAAAGCATTCTGTCATTTTCTTAATATTGGCATGATTCTTGGGTTTGGTTAAAAGGGATTAGAAGAGATTCATTCTCCCCATCTCTACTAAAAATACAAAAAAATTAGCCGGGCCTGGTGGCGGGCGCCTGTAGTCCCAGCTACTTGGGAGGCTGAGGCAGGAGAATGGCGTGAACCTGAGAGGCGGAGCTTGCAGTGAGCCGAGATCACGCCACTGCACTCCAGCCTGGGCGACAGAGCAAGACTCTGTCTCAAAAGAAAAAAAAAAAAAAGAAGAAGAAGAAGAGATTCATTCTGTGTTTGGTCTCTTTTCTCCCCTGTTTGAATTTGTCACAGCCCTTTCCCTATACTGAATCTGATTGCTAGGAAACAGTCCGTTGTGAAATATGTCTCAATGTTACACTTATTTGCAATATATTCAGCTTTACTCCATGCTCTGGCATTGTTCTAATGAGATCAATGTATTGCCAAACTGAGTCACTGGTTCCTTCCCTTCTTCCAAAGAAAACAACGGCAATTCCAAGGAATTCTTTTCTTTGTTAGTTTTTAGCCTCCTATTTCATTTCTATTATAAATAGCATCAATTATCTGATGTGTAGCTGACAGAGAAGTTTGCCTCCCATGAATCATTTCATTCAGCTGATTCGGCAAAACATTTGACCATGAACGTGCATGCGTGTGTGTGTGCACAGACTCCAGTGCCTGAGTTTTCGTATAAACTAGATAAAGTCCATTTGTCTCCAGATTAATGATAAACAAGATTAAGAACACAGTTTCTAAGTTTTGTTTCATTTGGGCCTTCTCGAGCTGCATTTAGCCGATACTAAGTTATAATGACCTTTGGAAAGTTCACAAGTTTCCAGGGGTCCAGGATAGTAATTAGCT
Source organism: Homo sapiens (assembly GCF_000001405.40). Taxonomy (NCBI): domain Eukaryota; kingdom Metazoa; phylum Chordata; class Mammalia; order Primates; family Hominidae; genus Homo; species Homo sapiens. Next base: position 128,241,079 of record NC_000011.10, read on the forward strand.
CTTAATTGTAAAAACAAGTGCTGCTGAAGAACATAAGGTCATAGGAAAATCAGGAATCAGGACTTTGTACAGAAAAAAAAAAGTGAATAAAATAATGTTTATTCATTTATGAATCACTCAGTCATGATTTTCTTTTTATAATATCATCGAAAGAAATAAAATGCCTTGTGTTTAAATTTTCACTATGCTTGTATTTCAGCCTCATCAAGAGATACTACCCCTGATCTTTTCATTTCACTTTCCTCGGGTCTGCCTAAACTCAGTGTCTCTCCTAGAAAACCACCCAACTCATGAAAAACTGTTTGTAAGAAAATGTTCTCAACACAAAGAAATAATAAAGGTTTGAGATGATAAATATGCTAATTACCCTGATCTGATCACTATACATGATATGTATGAAAACATCACTATGTACCTTGTAAAATTATTATACGTCAATTAAAAAAAGGGAAAATGTGTTGTGCTTAATTATAATAAGAAAATTTAAACAGATTGATGAGAATTCAAAGTTTTCACTGATGTGAATATTAGTTAACAGGAAAAAAGAACTCATAAAAACTGTTCCATACTTGTTTTACCCCAAAATGTTAATCCATGCTGTTATAGATACCCTGTGAGACACACAAATGCTTTTCCAACTCATTGATTTCAAATCAAAGGGCAAAATATACATTAGTAATGATGATATGCCAAAACGCTCCTTAATGTGAACATCAGTATTTACGTTTTAATGTCAGTTACAAAGATCCCTGGGCGGGCGCGGTGGCTCACACCTGTAATTCCAGCACTTTCGAAGGCCGAGGCTGGTGGATCATGAGGTCAGGAGATCGAGACCATCCTGGCTAACACAGTGAAACCCCGTCTCTACTAAAAATACAAAAAATTAGCCGGGCTTGGTCGTGGGTGCCTGTAGTCTCAGCTACTTGGGAGGCTGAGACAGGAGAATGGTGTGAACCCGGGAGGCGGAGCTTGCAGTGAGCTGAGACAGCGCCACTGCACTCCAGCCTGGGCAACAGAGCGAGACTCCGTCTCAAAAAAAAAAAAAAAAAAAAAAAAAAAAAAATCCCTAAGCAGAGATTTGGGATCCTTTATATTCATGAATCTTTAATTCAGGAGTTCAAGATACCACAAACCGGCCGAGTGTGGTGGCTCATGCCGGTAATCCCAGCACTTTGGAAGGCCAATGCAGGTGGATCACTAGAGCCCTGGAGTTAGCCTGGGCAACATGGGGAAACCCCCCGTCCCTACAAAAAACTACAAAAGTTAGCCAGGCGTGATGGCATACGCCTGTAGTCCCGGCTACTCAGGAGGCTGGGAGGACGGCTTGAGTCCAGAAGGTGGAGGTTATAGTAAGCCGTGAACATGCCACTGCACTCCAGCACGTGCAACAGAGCAAGACCCTCTCCTCTTCCTCTCTCACAAAAAAAAAAAAAGAAATCACAGAACTATATTACTGCATATTTGTTTGTGTACAATTTACTTTTAATGTGACAACTTCTAGTTTCCCAATAAACTGAAATCCTACACTGAAAAAATAAATCCAGTAACTCACAATTATGTGTTTTGGCTGGCCAAGCATGTTTATCATTTTAAAATAAAATACAGTGTTGCAAAAACAGTTGTAGTAGCTTGGCAATTGTGTTTCAGTACTGTAATGCATGGGTATCAGAAGAGATTGGGCAGATTTCAGCACATTAAGTTACATTTTATTATAGTTCATTACATTTAAGAAAAAATTAACTGAAAATGCCATTTTTCTTGTTATCAGCATGGAAAGGCCTCAGTATAATAAGTACCATGAATTGATTTATTGAGCACTTACCATGTGCCAGTCAATTGACACTGTTGTCACGTAGTCTTTTAACATGCCTGTGGAGTAGACAGATTATTTTTATTTACATTTATAGATGAAAGTGAGTTTTGGAGAGGTAAGGTAACTGTACTCAAGTTAAAAAAGAAGAAAAAAGGTAGTAAGTATAGTAAGTAGAGGTTCTGAGAATGAAACCCAGCTGCATATGATTCCTTAGACTATGATAACTTCTCTGCTATTGTCATTTGCACAAGCTGGCTAAAAATAAACAAATAAAAGGAGCAAAACTAAAACAAAGAGATCCCATGCACACAAGATGTGCACATAGACTCCTATACCTAAGGAATCATCATACACTAAAAGCTCATATGTTTCCAGGTATTTTTCCTGAAGAGTTGATGGAAATGTATCCTTTGAAGGGTATAATGTGCCACCAATCCTTACCATTCTCCTCCCTCCCATTGCTCTAGTGTCTTGTGTTTTGAGGTGAGTATCCTGAACCAGACCTCTGAGTAGCTGAGTCTGTAGGTAAAACACACATTCATATCATGGACCCTAAGGAGGCTGTGTGCAAATGTACCCTTTCATTTACACGCTAGATCAAAGGCTGTAAACATCATTCCTGAAGACGCATGTGATCATCTTAGCAATGCTGACGTGTACAAATGTGGATGAAGATCAAATTTGCTTAGAGTTGTCTTTCTTTAGCTATTTCTCTTTTAAAACCTATGCTTGGAGTTTTAAAAGAGTTCAAAGCAAAAGTTAAACAATTTTATACCAGCTCTCATCCAAGATAAGACCAGTAGCATCACCAACACAATCAAAATGGTCCCAAGCAATGTTCCATTTGAGAATTCTTTTACCACAAACTTTTAACCCTCATGTACTTCAGAGGAAAACATTTTGTTTATGCTTATTTCAGCAAACGTTACTGAGTAAAACTGATGGGCTCTTTAAGTTGTTTCACAAGGTTTGATTTTAAATCAAGATGCTATAAATTAAGAAGGCTTTTAAAAATTCAACTTTCTAAAGATGTCAAATTTTACTGGGTATGTTTAAAATCAAAGGAAATGTTCTAAATAATATTTCAACTTGCAAAAGATGTTCAACTAAAAACCTGATGGAAAATAGCCAAGCATGGACAGCTTTACAGTAGAGGGGAGATGAGGCAGGGCTTGTCAGGACTAAATGAGCTATGAAAATCATTCCAATGTGGGTTCCAATAATGGCTGCACAATTGCCTTCTATGAGACCTCTGCTCTTCATTGACTCAGAGGTCAACTTTTAAGAATGTATAGAAGATTAAATTGAGATAAGATATGTAAAATGCCTGGCACATCGATCACATGGATGTATAAATTAAATGTACTACTATGACCAATTAGAGTTCTAGACCAATAGAAAGTGTGATACTAAAACATACAAATTGGAGGGTAGCACATAAGAGTTCAGCTGCTGCTTTCGACAGTTTTTAGCATGCTGCTCAGGAGGTCATCCTTGCAGCAGACTCATCACACATAAAAATCAACAATTCCAATTGGGAGAAAACTGACCCCACTCTCACCCCTCCAAGAGAAGGGTGATGGTTGTACCCTGGAAGGTGTCTGGTCACAGATGGAGAAATTTCTCTTAAAGTCTAGCTCATTTTTATCACATTGGATCCTAGAATGGAAATGGATATTCTTGTGGATAAGCACATTGATGCTAGGTCTGCACTGCCAAAATTCTAATCATGGCTGCCTTCCTCAGATCCAGCTATATAATTTATAGGGCCCAATTCCAAATGAAAATGCAGGGTCTCTTGTCCAAAAATCAGGGGTAAAGTGTCATTATGAGAAAAAAATTAAAATTGTAAATTATTAGCACAAATGTTACCATTCATCTTTACATTGTGCATACCAGTTTAAATGCAAATCTAAGACCATTCAACTTGTGTGCAGAATTACTTAAATTACACAATTTGTCTTCCACAATTCAGATATTCATATGTGTTTTGTTTCTTTCCAGAACAGTGGAAACTGCACTTAACTAACTCAACTGTACTTCTCGATATGTGCACATTCTACCAACACTCTCTATCTTTGGCTTGCTGATAAGTAAGGAAGGACGAAAAGAAAAAGGAATTATGGCTTGCCCCATCTTTCCCTTTCCTTCTATGTCATCATTACAAGCATAAGTAGTTGGCTACTACAGGGAAGTAACATGAGTAAGCAGGGATGTGATAAAGTGCCTGGGCATTCATGTCTCTTAGAGACATGCCACTGCCTTCTGTGTCCAGTGCAAGTTCTGGTTTGAATAGAAAGCGAGACCTCGTAGGGCTGCAGTGCCCATGCTTAGTCATAGATACGACATGCTTACTTTGTGCTTGCTTTGAGTCTCTCTGCACTCTCATGCATTGGGGATCCACTGGAGTTCTGTGTTCAAGGAACATCATCAACACTACATGTGGATGGAGCAATAAAAAACAGCGGACATCCACATTGCCCATACTTCCTCTGCTCACACGCACATTCTTGTCACATTGAGCTTCAATTATAAAACACAAATTCAAAGATAAAATTATTATGACTTCCAGGACAGTAACAGCGGAGCATTAGACCAAACATGCAACCCTTCTGAGAATGGGGCCCTGTGTGATTGGACAGGCTAAACACCCATAAAGTCAGCCCTGTGCTTACTAATTGTGGGAGCTCAGGTATATTTCTAAACCTCTCTGTATCTCAGTTTCTTCTTCTGTAAATTAGGAAAATGATCTTACCTATCCTATCTTATAAATTTGTTGTGAAAACAAGTTTACTAATGTGTAAAGTGCTTGAAATAGTGCCTGGCATATAGCACAATATAATTAATAGCTATTATTGTTATTGTATGATCATCATCATAATTTTTTTTAGTGGGGTAGGATCTAAAATTATGTCCTTAAAATGGTATTCAAGAATAATCCTTGAATTTTATATATCTGTACCATCCTTGTCCTGAAATTATCACAAGGTTTAAAAATTATGTTATAGTACAGTTTCTCTACATTAGCATGATTTACATTTCTGGCCAGATAATTAGTTCATTTTTGTGGGGTGTTATCTTGTAGATTATAAAATATTTGGCAGCAAGCCTGACCTATATCCATGAAAAGATAGTAGTACTCTCTCCCCAGTTGTGACAACCAAAAATGTCTTTGGACATTGCCAAACTTGGGGGGGCAAAATCCTCCTCTCCAATCCCACTCTCCCATTGAGAACCACTGCTTTGTCATTATATAGTATCCATCTGTCCAAGAACATTTAAGCTGTCTTGCCAAACAAGTACATCAAGGGCCAAATACCACCACCACCCACAAGCAGCACTCTCAAACTCTAACATAGCAGGACCCCAAAATGACATTCTCCTTAGGTTAACCACAGTCCTATAGCAATCTGCCTTTTCTTCTCACTTACTGAGCAGGGGGGTTCAAGCTGTTTAAAAAAAAAAAAGTGGAAAGGTTCATTCAAGTCTGGGAACTGTCAAATCTCTGATAAGCCGGTCCAAAGAGACAGAAGTGAATTAGTTCTTGCTCCCAGGATGGGAAGCCCTAGGAGGTATTATTGTCTAGACGATGCTCCAGCCCCGCTCCCTCCTCCCCCACTGCCGAGGACCTTGGCATGCCTCGGCTCAGACAGAGCCCTTATGGAAAGTAACATGAGGATTGTGCTGACTCCAGTGAGTTTGATTTATCAGGACTACTGGCATTTGCAAAAGCAAGTGGTCTGTTTGGATGAGATGTTTCCCAGGCAAAATGAAGAAAAAAATCTGGCCGGATTCTCACTGCTCTTGGAACTTCTGAATGTCATTGATGCTTCTCAGCAGAGCGAAAACAACAGGCATTTTATCTGCAGGAGACTGTAGGTGTCCCAGGCATATGTGGCCCCCATTGCGCATCACCTCCTCGAGCACTTTTGAGTCCTTAACACCAAGAATGTCAACAAGCCCACCCTCTACACTGCTCGACTTTGCTTGTTCTGTAGCCTTCCTCACCACACTCCCCTCCTCAGGCCTCCCTCCATTTCCCCTCCCCCAACTCCAGGTCCACTCCCATCTGTTTTCTGTTAAGAGTTCATTTTCAGAGTGCAGGCTGGTGGAATTCGGAGTTCAGACCCCCTCGAGTGATGAGAGTCCTGGGGCTGCTGAAGGTCCCTTCATGCAGTCCCTGCCACCTCCCCCTCCTTTCCCTCCCTGTGCCCCATTTGCCCTTGTGCAATAACATGCTGGAGCCCACATCTGTTTTCAATTCCATGTTCATTTGAACTGTTCTGGGAAAATGGAGGATCTCACTAAAGGCTAGGGTCTTAAAGCAACAGCATGAATGCAAACAACTTCATTGGACCAACAAAGAAATACATATATATATATATCCTTCCATATGCAAGCTGGAGCTATTTCATGGATGATCTCTGTGTCTACACTGGTTCCTGGATGAGGCAATATATAATTACGGACTCTTAATTCCTTAATTCTTAGTTCCGATGGTCATCTCTTGCCCAATTTCCAATGTGGGAATGTTGCCTGAATTCCATCCACAATCTGAATTAACAGAGTAGATGTTCTCAGACTCCTGTCTTTGGCTTCAGCTTATTGTCTGATCACAACAGTAGATTTTTTTGTTTCCCATTGGAAAAATAATGTAGGATATCCTTCTTCTTCTTCAGAGAAGTCTATTTGACCATAATGAGGAAGCCATTACCTATATCTTACAGGTCACTGCTAAGTTGGGGGAAGAATTAATTTAAAAAGCTTCAGAGTCCAGAAGATCCTGGAAAAACAAGCTGTGTCGTCATAAAAAAAAAAAGCCCTAGTGATAGGAAGTTACCATAATAAAAAGAATTTGTTCTTTGAGGAAATGGGGAACCAAAGGTTGTTTATTTGTCATAATGGAGAATATAATGCTTCTATTTCATCCCTTCTCCAAAAACAGCCTGAATGTTGCATGCCCCTGCATCCTTTGAGGAACATCCAAGTCACAGGTACAAGGAGAAGAGAATTATTAACTCAAGAAGTATTCATGTTAATTTAATATTCATATATTCCATATCAATAATGCAACATTCATTTATTATGTACCTTATATATAACAATATGTGATATCCCACCCTGACAAATATTTGTGGAATAATTATACATTCATATGTCTTACAGGTTATATATGTATATATATATATACACACATTTATTCAACAAATACTGAGACAATATATAATAATAACCCTAATGTATAATTAACTATATATAGTATGTAGCTATTATATGAGTAATGTAAATATATACAAACATGTTGAAATGATGCATATAAAATTAATGTAAAATTATATTCTAGAATGTATAGAATAATCAATATATAATAGATTCATATATACTAGTGACATTCATTCAACAGCAATTTAAGGCACTGTAGCTTGGTAGTTTAGAATTTGGGCTCTGGCACCCGGTTTTTCAAGTTCAAATCTTGTTCAAATCCACTTAATTATTGTGTGACCTTGGCAAGTTACTTCACCTAGCTGGGTCGTGATTTCCTCATGTGTGAAATAGATATAATGACATTAGCTACCCAAAAGGGGTCGTAAGAGATTTTAATAAGTTAATCCCCGAAAAAATTCTTTAGAAAACTCTAGCATATGGTTAGAGCTTGATCAACATTAACAGTTATGTGCTCCATCTGGGCAATGCTAGAGTTATGGTCTAGTGAGGGAGACAAGCACTAAAATGGGGTGAAGAAGGTGAAATAAGTGGTAAAGTAGTAGGTGCCACTCATAGAGGAAGGAGATGAGGAGCTTTCTTTCCAGCCCCAGACTCTTTTACAAGAGAGTTCAAGATAGGATTCCTATTTACTGAGAAGTATAGTTACCACTGAGTTGACATCAAGAACCAATATTATTATCAACTTTCTCTATTTTTTATTTGATTTTACATCAATCTGAGGATGTAATTGGCTTGATTCTCACCCAAAGTTAGTAGGTTTTGAGAGAAGAGGGATTTGGGTACTTAAAGTATCACCCGATAGATTTACTGCTTCCACAACAAACCCTACATGTAAAGCTGCTACAAAAAGAATTTTATGTAGTGTCGTCTCTAAAGGTTTTAATCTAATTTTAGGTTGGCATTAAATTTGAAGCCTAAATATTTTATTAAGGAGACTCTCCACAACCTTAATTCAGCTTTTGGTTGGAACTTGGGTTGGATTCTAGAAAGCCTCTTTCTCTCAAATAAAAAGCTCATAGGTCAGGTTTCTATAAATAAATGTCATTTTATTTTCATTCACTCAGTTTCCCAACTAACTCAGATATAATTTCTGATATAATTTCACTTATTGATAATCTCAATCCCCTTCTTAGACCCTGCTCACTTTAACCTGCAGATGTTCCAGAGGGTAAAGGGTGCAAAGGTGTACAGATGAAAAACAAAATATTTTTTTCAGTCCCAGGGCCTGTTTTAGCACCTGTTTGGCACCTTCTCCCAGAACTCATATTTACCCAAGACTTAATAAAATAAATCTAGTTCTTCACCATAAAGTCTATAGAACTTTGAAACTCCATATACTTTAAAAGAATCTCATAACAAAGGACAAAATGTCCTTGAAGAAATAGTAGTTGCTTAATAAGTTCTTCAAAGGAAAACCTTCCATATAATCTTTTTTTTTTAATTAAGAAGGAGCAAAGTTAAAAAAAAAACCCTCCCATATAATGAAAGGAAAAAATACTGGGAAACAAGACCATATTAAATTTGCCCAATGAGGCAGGCTCACAGGGGGAAAAGTAGTGTGCTCAGACCTACTGCTATTGATCATGGTAAGTTTGAAGAAAATGAGATCAGAGAGGGTTAAAAGATTGTTGACTCAAAGAGCAAAGCAGCAATATGACAAGTGCGTTTTGGAAAAGAGACCTGAGTTCAAACCTCATATCTGTCTTTTACTAACTATGTGACCTCGAGTCATTTGCCTAATAAAATGAACTTTATCTTCCCTGTTTGTTCCATGCCACCTGTTTGGCTCCTTGCAATGATTGGCAATTGGTCTCATTAATCTCTGTGAACCATTCCCAGCACATGAGAATTATGAAATGCATGCTACCTGTCCTCATAGGAAATCAACATGTCACAGTAGAAAGAGTACGGCATTGGAATTAGGTAGGTGGAGTTTCAGAGACATGCCATGCGTTGACCTGCTCTGTAATCTTGCACTCAGTTGCCTCTTTTTAAAGAGGGGCTAATAATACCCACCAGGCATGACAGTAATATGAATTAAATCAAATGACACCAGTCTCTGGCTCATAGTATGTATTCAACAGAGGGTAGATATTTTATCACTTCCATGGAACAGAACAGAAGAGAAGTTCCAGTATTACCTCTAACACTGCTTCATTAGGCCCCAACTCAGTGCCCTCCATGGACAACCGAACATGCTCAAATACTCCAGGACAGAAAACCTCAGTCAGCTGGAGAGGTAGGAGAGCTTTATAGAGATGGAAATTTAAGATGATAAAACACTTCACCAGTGGGTGGTAAATATATAGATACCCTATTTCCCAAAATAGCTCTGGGCTTTGGGGTGCCGGGGTAAGCGGGCTACCATCCCACTTCCATAGCTGATAGCAGAGAAATGCCTGCTGGGGACAGAAAAGCTAGAGAAATGTGTTTATCTTCCAAGGAATACTTATAAAATAATTGGTGAGGGGGGTCTTCTAGGGTTACGTCGAATGTATAAACTGTTTATTTTTGCAGCACTGATTGGGAGTGCATGGAGAAGGGCTAATGCACTTGGGTTCAATGTTTACTCCTTCTAAGGGGCTGCACCCAGGGTTCATGAATGTGCAGTCATCCTCTTTCTAAAATAGATATTATTCCCCAGTTTTTCTCCAATGATACCAAGCCATAACATCTCACTCCATTTCCCCTCTTTTTAACCCAGTGGGTACAATTGGAAACCAGCAGCCCATCCCACAAAAAATTTAGGGGAATACTCCCATGTGGGTATCCTAAAAGACTCTCTTGTACTCACTCCCACTAATTGGTTGGAGGAGGGAGTGACTGTTTTCAATCAACTCTGCGTTAACTTGAACTTGTCCCTGCATCGAAACATAATGGGGAGGGTATTTTTTCTCAAAAGATTTATCGTAACTAATTAATCATCATGACCATAAAAATCTGTTCATTTTTGTGAGGCATAGAAATTATGTGAAATCTGTCCAATAATGTTCATAAGAGTAACACTGAATGAACGCTGATTAGGCACCAGGCATCCTTCTGAGTACTTTGTAGAGATTAATTTATAAATTATCACAACAGTTATTCTGTGTGATTTAATATTATTATCCCTATTTATAGATAAGGTAACAGAAGTACAGAGAATTTAACTATCTTGTGCAAGACGCTTAAGAAATGAAAGGAGTAAACTATGAATCTGCAATTTGGAATGCAGGCAAATCAGGTCAGGGCCTGCTATTTAAATCCTGCTGTAGAGGACTGCATTTTTACATTGACCATAGAAATGTATTAGACAGAGGAGCATCTAGAAACACTAGAAATCCTGCAAATCCACAAGGTCTAGCTCTCAGCCCTACGAGGAAGGCCCCTCTCCAGGTTTGTTCCTCCCTTGGGTATTGATATTGTTTGGCTGTGTCCCCACCCAAATCTCATCTTGAATTATAGCTCCCATAATTCCCACTTGTGGAAGGTACCCAGCGGGAATTAACTGAATCATGGGGGCAGGTCTTTACCATGCTGTTCTCATGATAGTGAATAAGTTTCACAAGATCCAATGGTTTTTTTAAAGAGGAGTCTGCCCATACAAGCTCTCTTCTCTTGTCTGCTGCCATGTGTGATGCGCCTTTCACCTTCTGCCATGATTGTGAGGCCTCCCCAGCCACTTGGAGCTGTAAGTCCATTAAACTTCTTTCTTTTGTAAATTGCCCAGTCTTGGGTATGTCTTTATCAGCAACATGAAAATGAACTAATACAGGTACACTGCCTCAGTCCTATAGGCAGTAGCTTCTCCCTGGAGCTACTATTTCTGTGTTCTTTAGCCTCTCTTTTCCCTGTACTAGTCAATCCCTTGTCACTCCAGTCTCCTGTTAATCCCCTATTTGTATATATTAAACTGTTACTGTTCAAATCCCTCATGCTTCCTGCCTCCCCAGAGGAATGGCCCCGAAACTTGCTCAGTGCCTCCTGTCCTACTTTTCCCTTTGCATCCGCTTCAGCTGCTCTTGACTCCTCGCTGTTCCTCTGGTCTTCCATCTGTGTTCCCACCTCAGAGCTTTTGTACTTGCCCTTCCCTGGAAAGACTCCACACACACACACACACACACACACACACACACACACCTCTTAGATTTGATAAGTGAATGTATTGAATTCACAGGATACAAAATAAACTGACAAAACTCAGTAGCGTTTCTGCACACCAAAAATGATCAAGCTGAGAAGCAAATCAAGAGGCAATATCATTTACAATAGCTACAAAAACAAAACAAAATAAAATAAAATACCTAGGAATATATTTAATTAAGGAAGTGAAAGACCTTTGATGGAAGAAATTGTACATGGCACAAAAAATAGAAAGCACTCCATGTTCATAAATTATTCAAATGACCAGACTGCTCAAAGCAATCTATAGATTCAATGCAATCCTTATCAAAATACCAACGTTATTTTTTTACAGAATTAGAAAAAACAATCCTAAAATTCACATGAAACCAAAAAAGAGCCCAAATACCCAATGAAATCCTAAGCAAAAGAACAAAGCTGAAGGTATCACATTACCTGACTTCAAATTATAATACAGGGCGATGTATGGCACTGGTGTAAAATTGGACACATAAATCAATGAAACCAAACAGAGAAACCAGAAATTAAGCCATATCTCTATAGCCAACTGATCTTTGACAAAGTTGACAAGAACATACAGTAGGGAGAGGATACCCTTCTCAATAAATAATTCTGGGAAAATTGGAAAATTGGATATCCATATACAGAAGAACGAAACTGGACCCCTATCTCTCACTATATACAATAATCAACTCAAGATGGATAAAAGACTTAAATGTAAGAACTGAAACTACAATAATACTAAAAGAAAACCTAGGAAAAAATACTTTGGACATTGGTGTAAGCCAGGGGTGTACAATCTTTTGGCTTTCCTGGGTCACACTGGAGAAGAAGAATTGTCTTGGGCCACACGTAAAATGTAATAACACTAACAACAGCTGATGAGCTCATAAAAGTCACTAATAAATAATAATGTTTTAAGAAAGTTTAAGAATTTGTGTTGGGTCACATTCAAAGCCGACCTGGGCTGCATGTGGCTCATGGGCTACAGGTTGAACAAGGTTGGTCTAGGCAAAGAATTCATGACTAGGACTTCAAACACACAGGCAACAAAAACAAAAATAAACAAATAGGATTTAATTAATTAGAAAGCTTCTGCATAGCAAAAGTAATAATTAACAAGCTGAATAGGCAACCTACACAACAAAATAAAATATTTGTAAACTATGCATCTGACTGGGGACTAATATCCAGAATTTACAAGGAATTCAAACAACTCAAAAACAAACAAACAAAAACCAGAAACAATTTTATTAAAAAGTGGGCAAAGGGCATGAATAGACATTTTTAAAAAGAAGACATAGATGTCCAACAGGTATATGAAAAATGTTCAACATTGCTAATCATCAGCAAAATGCTAATCAAAACCACAATGAGATATCATCCTAACTCAGAATGATTATTATTAAAGAGACAAAAAATAACAGATGTTGGCAAAGATGCAGAGAAAAGGGAGCATGTATACACTATTGGTGGATATGTAAATTATTTCAACCTCTATGGAAAACACTATGGAAATTTGTCCAACATCTAAAAATAGGACTACCCTTCAATCCAGCAATGCCACTACTGGGTATCTACCCAAAGGGAAAGAATTACTTATATCTAAAAGATACCACCACTAGCATGTTTCTTACCACACCATTCACAATAGCCAAGATATGGAATCAACCTAAGTGTCCATCAGTGGATAATTGAGTAAAGAAAATGTGGTACATATACACAATGGACTACTATTTAGCCATAAAAAAGAATGAAACTATGTCTTTTGTGGCAATATGGATGGGACAAGAGGCCATTATCTTAAGTAAAACAACTAGAAACAGAAAGACAAATACTGCATGTTTTCATTTATAAGTGGGAGCTAACTAATGTGTACACACGGACAGAATGTGGAATAATAGATAACGGACACTAGGAAAGTTGGAGGGGTTGGAGGAGGGTGGATGACGAGAACTTAATTAATGGGTACAATGTATGTTAGTTGGGTGATAGATACATTAAAAGTTCTGAATTCATCACTTTGCAATAAACCTATGGAACAAAATTACATTTGTACCCCTTAAATTTATAAAAATAAAAAATACAATACCAAAAATTCTAAAAAATTATGAGGTGGTTTGAACTAAGCAATGAAAATAACATAAGAACATCAAGATGAATCAATATAAAGTATCCAATCTGAAGAACCCAGAGAAAAAGAATAGTGGCGGAAGTATTGGAGACCTGTAGGACAATATTAAATGTTTTAAAATATGATTATTTGAAATCTCAGACAATGAGGATACAGAATGGCAAAAAAAAATTTTCAAACAATTAACAACTGAAGTTTACAAATTTGAAGCAATTCAGAAATTTAAAGAATCAGGAAATTCAGCCACCCAAAGAGGCTAAACATGAAGATGATCATACCTCAACATATCACACAAAAATTGCTACAAACCAATATTTTGAAAGCAGTCAGAGAAATACAACACATTGCATACAGAGAGGAAATGATGATTCAAATAACTATTAACTTCTCATCAGAAACAAGGAAGGTTAAGAAGACAATGAAAAAAATTATATTGGTAATTGACAGATTAAATTAACCAAACAATTGATAAGATTTAAGAAAACTATGCAACAAAATATGTTTAACTTTAAGCTTAGATTTTTTTCAGATCATAAGACAATAAAGCTACCAAACCCAATAAAGGTAGACAACTGTATTCTCACCTTCACTCTTTGTATTTGGGTTATTTTAAAATATTTTAAAGGAATTCATGGGTCAGTATAGAAATCATATGAGAATTGATAACATGTTCCACAATGAATTGTAATAAAAGCAGTGCTAAAGTTCTTAAAATGAAACATATAGTCTTAAGTGTCTATTTTAGGAAGTAAAAAGTATTTCTTAAAATTTTACTTCTGCAATTTAGAAAATCTGAGTAATTCCAAGAAAAATAGAAAGAAGAAAATAATAAACATGAAAGAATACATTAATGAAACATTAAACAAAACAAACCATCAAAAGCAACAGAAAAAAATTAGTAGGAAAATGAAATACATAAAATGTTGACAGGTTGGTCAATGCAAAATGGAACTTTCAAGTAATTAATCTAAGAGTAAAAATTTGATGTAATTGCAGATGACATAGGCTTTTAAAAATTAAAAGACAATATAAGGAACATTGGCGTGTAATAAATTTGACAACTTAAATGTAATGAAGCTTTTACTAAAAGATTATTTTAAAAGTACTCAAGAAAAAATTTAACAGACAAAACAAAATATACTCGTTAGCCATTAGAGAAAATGAATTAATGTAGATTCTACTTTCCACCAAGAAAAAGTAACAGAAGTCATTTTTGCCTAGCCACCTGAAGCAAACAAACAAAAATAAAACAGACAAAATACCAGGAACAATTGAATATCAGGCAACAAAAGATTATGATCTGTCAGAGGGATCTAGGAAAGCAATGAGCTGAGGCCTAAGACCTTCCCATCTTACTCTTTCGAGACTCTGTCCAGGATTTAATTCAGGAAGAGGCAATCCAGATGAAGAATGAAAAACTCCTGAGTTGAGAAGACAGAACTGAAAATCTGGGATTATCAGTGTGGCTGGACTTCCCAGGACAGAATACCAGAGAGGAGGGAGCCACACAGAGAGAAAACTAGAGACAAGCAGAAAATTATCCTTGATTATTCAACAGAGCACTCTTCAGTATATGTGTATGAGGAAATTACATGACACAGGAGAAAGAGCATCCAAAATGATTAGAAGAAATGGTAGCTCATATTCTCACTGTATGGGAACACTGCCTGGATTGTTCCAACAAGACAGAGAGAAAAACCTTGTAATTTATAGGGCATTAGGTAAAAGTCTCAGAAAGTCTTATCTCATTAGTGGAACATAACTAGGCCTAGACTAAATGCTGTTCTTTTCCTACCCAACAAATCTCCAAAGCAAGAAATAAAAGGATCAAACTGTTCACAAGTATCTCAAGTCTCAGGAAGATCTAGAAAAAAACTAAAGACTCCACCAAAACACACTTAGACCTGATAAACAAATTCATTAAAGTTATAGGATACAAAATCAACATACAAAAATCAGTAGCATTTCCTTTATACCAATAATGAACTGTCTGAGAAAGAAACCAGGAACGCAGTGCCGTTTACAGTAGCTGCCAAAAAACAACAAACAAACATAGTAATAAATTTAATCAAAGGGGTGAAAGATCTCTGCAAGGAAAACTACAAAATACTAATTCAAAAAAATGGATAGGACACACACAAATGGAAAGACATTCCATGCTTATGGATCAGAAGAATTAATATTGTTAAAATAACCAAACTAACCAAAGCAATCTATGGATTTAATGTAATCCCTATCAAAATACCAATGTCATTTCTCATGAACCAGAAAAAAATCCTAAAATTTGCATCAAACCAAAAAAGATTTTCAATGCCCAAAGCAATCCTAAGCAAAAATAACAAAACTGGAGATATCACACTATCTGACTTCAAAATTTATCACAAAACTGTAGTAACTTTGCATAGTTTGTATCAACATGATACTGATACAAAAACAGACACAGAGACCAATGGAACACAACAGAGAACCCATAAATAAATCCACATATTTGTTACAGCCAACTAATTTTTGACAAACTCACCAAGAACATACATTGGGGAAAAAAACCGTCTTCAGTAAATGGTGCCAGGAAAATTGGATATTCATATGCAGAAGAATGAAACTGGACTGCTATCTCTCACCATATACAACAATTGACTCAAAGTGGATTAAAGATAAATGTAAGATCTGAAATTATAAAACTAGAAGAAAACATAGAGGAAACACGTCAGGACATTTATCTAAGCAAATATTTTGTGGCTAAGACCTCAAAAGCATAGGTAATAAAAAAAATTGACAGATGAGACTATTTTAAACTAAGAAGCTTCTGCACAGCAAAGAAAATAATCAGCAAGTGAATAGACAATGTATTGAGTAGGAGAAAATATTTGCAAATTATTCATCTGACAAGGGACTAAAATAAGTCAACAGTAATAAATAAACAAATAAAATAAATAATCCCATTAAACAGTAGGCAAAGGTCCTGAATAGACATTTTCCAAAAGAAGACATACGAATGGCCAACAGGTATATGAAAAAAATGCTCAACATCACTAATCGTCAGGGAAATGCAAATCAAAACCACAAGGAGATATCACCCTACCTCAGTTAGAATGGCTATTAAAAAGACTGAAAAATGACAGATTCTGGTGAGGACTCAGGTAAAAGGGAACAACAAATATGTACAAATATTATGTATCAATTAAAAAATACACTGAATGAGATTAACACAGATTAAATATCAAGATAAGTAAACCAGAAGACATTATAAATATGCAAGTGATTCACATAAAAGAAAAAATAATAATTTCAAAAGTGAAAAAAGCATCGGTGAGCTCTGAAACAGTTTCAAGTAAGCTGGCACATGTATCTTAAATTCCTGAAAAAGCCAGTGACAGAAAAAAATATTTTAAAAATAATAGTCATAACATTTCAAATTTTGAGAAAAACTACAAATCCACAAATCTAAGAAGCATAATCAATGTCAAGCACAAGGATTATTTAGAAAACTACTCCAAGACTTATCATAATCCAATTGATCAATACTAGTGATAAAGAGAAATCTTAAAAGGAGCCTGAAGCAAAAGGAACATTACATAAAACATAAGGTTGACAGCAGATTTATTGTCTGAAACAATGCAAGCACAGAGACAGTATAGCAACATCCTTTTACGTACTGAAATAAAACACTCTAAACCTAGAATGTTGTGTCTAGAAAAAAATCCTTAAAAATGATACAATGTATTGTATCATTGTTATGTAATGTATCATTACAAGTTAAAATAATGCATCACAAAAAGACCTCAACTACAAGAAATGTTACAAAAAGTCCTTAAGGCAGATGAAAAATGTTAGCATATGGATATATGGATAAACCAAAGCAATAAAATACTATTTAATCCTAATTATGTGGGTAAATATATTCAATTTTTTACTTAAAGATTTTTAAAAGATAATTGGTTGTTTAAACAGACAAATAAAAATATAACATAAAGTCTATAATGCATGTATAATTGAAATGCAAACTATGATAGAAAATAGATTAATGGTCCTCTGGGGCCTAGGTTAGGGTAGAGATTTGAGAAGCTAGAAAGATAAATTACAAAGGGACGAGGGCAAATTTGGGGAGATTACAGATGCTTTCACTATCTTAATCATGCTCATGCCCTCACAAGTATACACATATATCAAAACTTCTCCAATTTTACATTAAAAATAAAAGTCTATAAACAAAGTCACTGTGTTAAGGTTTTATAGCAAGTTCAATTTAACTATCCAGTAATAAACAGTCTCTATTTTATAAATCGTATCAGGAACTAGAAAAGGAGGGAACTATCCCCAAATCATTTAACAAGGGTAATATTACCTTGAAACCAAACTAGAATAGGGTAGCATGAGAAAGGAAAAAGTTTATATTAGGTTTGGGGCAGATTTGGTACTTGGCTTGGAGTCCTCTGCTGAGAGAAACAGACTACAAGGACATTCAACAGCACCTCCTATGCAGTTAGATTTACAAGGGCCCCTGAAATCCACTGCTGGCTCCAGGGCAGGGACAGACCTCAGCCCCCCAACCTACATATGCCCCAGCTGTTCCACTTTTGAAGTTTACCAAGCAAGCAACTGTTTAGAGACAATTTAATTGTAATGAGCCCTCATAGCTAAGTGGTCTTTTATTAGCCCAAATGGAATCCCATGCGTCAGGAGGGGTCACCTTCTCCCAATTCCCCTCCAGTCTTTCCCCATTAAAGTGAAATATGGCTTTAATATAGTCACACCTGGGGGAAGTGCTCTCTTAACCGGCAGCCATGGATGCCCACCCTCCCCTATTTAAAGGTTGCCTCTTATTTCTTTATTCCTCTGGGCTGGGTTTGGCAGCTTTTTGAATGATCAGATTAGTTTTAAAGTCAATAGAAACATAGCATACGAATAGCAAAATCACTGGCACTTAAGTACTTTGGAGCTGACTTCAGTCATAATTTAAGTATAAAGAGATTGGGGGAAGACAGAACAAATAGCCCATGAAAACTAGTTTTAGAGTTCTTTATTCAGTATGTGTTTGGGGAAATTGCAGGATAGACGACTCCAACAAATCCAGGTTTTAGTGTCTCTTGGGCTCCTGAAGCCTGGGAAAGGCAAAGTGGGCCAAAGCTGGCCTCAGTGTGTGTGGGAACTGCAGGGGATGGGGGTTAGGAGGACAGTTTATAAAGAAAATGGTTCAAAGCTCTATTTTGATTCCTAGGGTAAAGTAGGCTACCAGGAGGAACACAGAGTTCATTCAAGGCACAAAGCTCAGATTAAAATGTTTCATCAGCTTTCTAACTTCCAGCACGCTCACACTTGGGCACATCTAGCAGCCTGTGTACACCCAGAATTCTGTTGCTTTGGGGCACCAACAATACACTGAAACCAGTCTATGATGATTTTCATTCTCAATCATGTTAGCGAAGGCTCAGAACAGTTAACAACTATGAGAAGGTCACACAGCCCTCAACCCTTTGACTCCAAAGTCTGTGTGCTATGGGAGTCAGTGGATGAGAATACGTTCCTCTCTTGTTGTATTTTCTTGGCTCTCACTTACTTCTAAAGGTGTCTTTCATATTTTCAGCCTCCTCCTTTTACAAATAAGTCAACAGTATGGCCTGGCAGAGTCACTTAGTAGCTTTCCTCCAGTCATGGGTGATCAAATATTCTTTTGCATATTTGGCATATTTATATTCCTCAGGAAGTTGTATCCACTGGCCCATATCTTCAGTCAAATATAAGTTTTATGGTTGCAAAGTTCTAAATCTCTCTTACTCTCACATTTAAATTATCCCAGATCTTTCTGGAGATTCAAGGTCTACAGGAACCAGCAAGTATCTCTAAGCTGTGACTTAAAGAATTTGATTTATTTGGCTTCTTCTCCTTTGAATAGCTTGAGTGTTCCTGCTACAGGGAAAGGCCACAGAGTAAACAAGAAAATAAAATAACTAATGAAATCCAAGTATCTAATTCCAACAGAAGAGAAAGAGAGAGAGAGAGATCATGTAGAGACTCAAATAAATTATTTTGATTTACTATCTGAAACCTTAGATCAAATTTCTGACTACTTTTATTCACACATTCATTGCATCATTTTTTCCTCAAAATCCGCCTTTACTTTTGATCTCAGGCTGCTCTCAGAAACTATGATATCATTGAGTACTACAGTATTCCTCTTTTTCCTTGAAAAGGTCACTTATTTAATTTGCTCCTTGGACAAAAGCCCACGTGCCTTATAATCAAGGCCTGATCTTGCTTAATGCCATGAGAGTGAAAGGGATGTAGAGAGAGTTTATTCTTTTTCTAATGATATTCATATGAGCTGCTGCATTCCCACAAAAACAGGGCCAGGAAGGGTATGCTTAGCTTTTTCGAGAAAGGTGTAATAGTCAGGCAATATTTTTCCTATCTGTAACTCAGCTCCTTGAAAATGAGCCACTGTGGCATACCAGCTAGGAGATACTTTAGGTCTAGAATGTGGACATTCTGCTATAATGTTTCCTCACATAAATAGGAAACAGAAAATATTCTAGAGCAAAAGCAAAATTAACATGATCTGAGCTTACTCCGAAAATGTAGAATTCAAATTACATATGGAAGATCTTAACCAGAAGCAATGAGATGGGAGAGTTCCCTGACCCCCCTCACAGGAAGTTCTAGAGGGGTGTGGCTTATCTGTTTGGCCACCACATGCTCAAACCGCTTACAGGAGGGGGACCATTCAGACAGGCAGGCGCAGGAGCCGGGATGAGCACTTTTGGGCTCCAGCCCCACAGTAGCGTCTGGGGAGAGTACCTGCAACTCCTGAAACCTTGATGGGCTTGTTGCAGTGCTCCTTTTAGCTCTGACATCCACAGACAGCTTAAACGTTAACCAGCTCAGTGCCCTCTTGGTAGCCAGGTTCTTGTCTGGCATCCAGGAAAAATCAGGTCACACAGACAAATTGAAGGATGGTAAATGCTGGGAATTTTATTGCCAGATGGAGGTGGCTCTCAGCGGGATGAAAGGGAATGGAGTGGGAAGATGAGATCTTCACCTGGAGTTCAGCCAGCCTGCGGCTGATCTTCTCTCCAACTGCCCCCAGCTGAACTCCTCTTGATATTCAGATGCTTCTTCTCTTCTCTCCTTCTTTGCCTTGCCACTCTTCTATTCCTCTGCTCTTCTGCTCATGGAGCCTGGGGTTTGGAGTTTATATGGGTACAGGATGGGGGGCGTGGCAGGCCAAAAGGCAACGTTTGGGTGCAGAAACAGGAATGCCTGTTCCCATTTAGGGCCGTAGGTTTCCAGGCTTGAGGCTTTGCTGGGGAACTGCCCTCTTCTACCCAGTATCTCCCTTGCCTTCTGTTCGTATCAGCAACATCAGTAGGATATGGAATTATGTTCCCAGACGACTTCTGAAAATACATGATCTCCATCAGGGCATAAGACTTCACAAGAAGTACATAATAGAAATCATCCCTAGCATTGAGAAGAAAGAAATGAAGTCAGCTCCATCCACTGCAGGCCCTGAAGCCATGGGACAACAAGGAGGTAAATGCAACAGCTCATGTTCCTTCAGAGTAGCAGGTTTTAGCGGGGAAGAGCATAGCCAGTGATCAAAGAAACTCATTAGAAAAGATGACAAGAAACCTTCCTGTTTAATACTGCTGTACCTTTTCCACTTATTACTGAGATTTCCTCTTCTGAAAAAAAATCATAGTGATTCGGACATTGTCCGGCGTGAGTAAAGCTTAAGACAGCTCTGCTTCAAATTCTTCTTTCATCCACCCCCATTTATTTCTGATTGACATGACACTTCCAGCCTGAAGAAGCTGACAATCATTGGATAAGAGGTAGCACAAGAGGTTCACCTGAGAGGAAATAAACAGGAGCTCAATGGGGAAAAAACAGTAATACCACATTTCAGTGGCAGGAATTAGTAAAGTGCTTTTATTTCCATCTCCCTTTATCCCTTCAGGCAGCCACTACAGTTTGACTCCTTTGATTCTCAACCCAAAAGATCACATCCTGATCTAAATGAATCCTTTTTGTTAGAATGTCTTCCCTTTCCCATTTGTGGGAAATGCCTAAATCCTGACCTAAATCCAAACCAAAACTGTCTCCTATCTGCTGTGCTATGCCTCTTATTCTCCATCTCCCACTTCCATGGCCCAGAAATATGAGTCCGTCACCGTCTTCTCTCTGTGCATCCTCTGATCTGCTGGACTCTAATCGCTCACTCCTGACTTTCGCACGGTAGAAATAACAGACTCTGCTGGCCATGTGAATACAATCATCCTTTTCTATCTCTGTGTATGCAGAGTAGTGGGGGCAGAGGTGGTGAAGAGAAACAGGACATAGGGAGGGGGGCTGGGCTAGAGGAAGGAAGGCTAATGACAGAGAAAAAGGGAAGAAGGGGTAAATGAACTCTCTTCAGACAGAATGAATACATTCTAAGCCCCAAGATTTGGATTTTCACAAAGCGCTTATAAACCCACCCAACTGAGCTTCAACACTTCTTAGAAACAGATTTGGTATACTAAGCTTGAGCTTACCATTACAGTGTTTTATGCATGAAAGTGCCAAGTCAGAGAAAACATGAGTAGAGAATGGGGAAGGAGAGAGACGGAAAAGAAGCCGTTGCACGAGTTTTAACTGATGAGAAGCACATTGTCAGGTTCTGCCCTGGGGAATCCCACTCTGGCTATGTCTGCAGGGATGGTAGATGAAGAACACAGAACAAGGTAGGCAGAGGAACACCCTTGGTGTATCCAGAAATGGGCTCAATTGCTGCAGGAAAGCCGGGGCCATCTGTTCTTTTTCAGTTTGTGGAAAATATTACTTCGGTCCAAAAGGAGGCTCTGTATTTGGCCACTTTTAATAGCTGCACATAAAGACATGGTACCTGTTCACAGACTGAATATTGTTGATGACTTTTGTTCATTTAAAAATATAGGTTTATGTTGAGAATATTTCAATTCAAATACGATTATATTATAGATAATTTATATACAAGAAACTATTGTTAACTATTGTCTCCCTACTGTACTATAGAGCATTAGAACATATTGCTTCTGACTAACTGTATTTTTGCACCCATTAACCAACTTCTCTTCATGCCCTCTCCATAGCCTGCCCAGCCTCTGGTAACCGCCATTCTACTCAGCACCTCCATGAGATCCATTTTTGTCAGCTTCCACATGAAAGAGAACATGCAGTATGTGTCTTTCTGTGCCTGGCTTTTTTCTCTTAACATAATGACCTCGAGGTCTATCCATATTGCAACAAAGATGAATGTCTGGTGTGATGGGTTTCCCAATTACCCTGATTTGATCATCACACAATTTACACATGTATCAAAATGCCATCTATCCCCCAAAATATGTATAACTATTATATTTTAAACAATAAAATTTTTAAGAGCAAATAGATGAAGAATAGATTTAACTTTATCTAAAAAAGGTACAAATACACACACAAAATAAGCCACCAATAATCCAATTTTGAATATGAATATAGATGCAACACACATACAAATGCTAATGTGTGCATGTGTAGGCAGGTAGATAGATGGATAGACAGATGAATAATAGGAAAATAGATATAAGAATGTCATATATGCAGGAAGATTGTCTTCCCCTTTGCCTTCTATCCAAGATTAAAAATGTATTGTATATATTTTATGTTTATAGATTTTTTAATTTAAATTATAAACCAACCAGAATTTCCTTTATGTATAGCATTTAATATCAAAACCTAAGGATATATTCTTCTAAGTTTATTTCCAATATCTCCAACATTATTTAATATATTTCCCAGTGATTTTGAGACATATTTATCACATATTAATTTCTCATGTACTTTCAGATTTCTTTTTAGACTCTATTCTCTAACACTAATTTATTTGCCCCTTCCAGTGCCAAAATGTTTGCTTTACAGCTTGTACTGACCCACATTTACACTCTCATCTGACCTTTAGAATTAATTTGCATGATTAGTGCCAATATCTATTCCCCAGGGTGAAAAGTAATTGCCTTCTTGTTATAATTGCTATACAAGTTTGGAAAAAAAAAAAAACAGAAAAAAATAGCGATTGAAGCATCAACATGTATAAGGATGTTTAATCTCAGAGGCAGTATCAAGGCAGAGACTCATAGATCATCCCAACCCCAATGTATTTATACCTATAGCAAAATGCACATTTTTTGGCATTGAAGCTGAATGAATTTGCATTAAAAACATAAGTCTGCCATTGAATATGAAACATACTTGATTTCTCTGAGGCTCAATTTTTTCCTCTGTAAAATCAGAAAGATAATACCTTTCAGGATTGGTGTTTAAATGTGCTGTGTATCTAGCATAGCAGGTGCTCAACAGAAGTTAACTCCTTTATCCCTTCTAATCGTCAATTCTCAGTCACTTGTCCAGCTGTGTTTATTCAATTATATAACTTAGCATTATTATGAGAAGATTGCAGTTGATTTTATAGTGTTGAAATTGATATAACAGGAATAGGAATGTGGAAAGAAGGTCACACGCAAAGCACATCCTTGCTTTAAGGAGCTTACAGTCAAGTGGGTGAACAAAAATACTTCTTGCATGTTTTAAATAAAATAATCAAGAGTGATTTTATGGAATTTCTAAATATGTTTCTAGAGTTACACGTTAATAATACTTCTCCTTCTCTTAGATAACTTTAGTGGGGAAAAAAGAACAATAGGGTTTCCTCTAAAAGGACCTTCCCATGAGCCTCCATAGTTACAGTCAAGAGAAAGTCAATGAACAGATTTGTAGTTTCTCATACTTGGAACATAAGTTTTTGAACAGAAGATGAGAAAAATGAAAATAAAAGTGTATTAGTTAGCTATTGCTGTTATATAGTTCCATGATAAGCCATCTCACAACTCCCTTCAAATAAAGTAGTTTCTGTATGGATCCGTAATCCAGCAGCTAAAGCCACATACATTCCAAATTCATCATTCTGAGTTTCAAGACAAACCTGGATACTTCTATCTCTCGACAATGGCCTCAGTGGCCAAGGCACTGACTATATTTGCCTTGCCCCCAAAATGCATCTTTGCTCTACCTTCACATGGGTGGAACTGTCTTCCTCATGAGATAAAGCAAATAAGAGGCATTTGGGGGAGACCTGAAGACTCAGAAATCTCAATATTATTTCCACCTTGGGTTTATTTTTCTGCCTTTGGGGCATAGAATTTACATTCATCTAGCCTGCAGGTCTTCAAATTACTATACTCTTAATAAATTTATATTGTAGTTGACAGGCAGAAAGAGCCTCTTTTAGAAAGTCATATTTTCTTTCTTTTATGCATTCAGATATCCCAGAAGCCCACAATTCTGCAAAATGTAGCCAGCACTCTCCAATACAGTTTTACTTTTTACTAAATAACCAATACTACAGCCTTGGACAGCAAAGTTTAAATGCCAAGAAACAATAGTTCACAGTTTAACTAGTTGCTTTGATTCTGTATAACAAGAATTGTATACTTTCCAGACTAGGATACAAGGTTTCCTATTGCTTTCAATCCTACCTCTTTGACTAGATCCATTTCACACTTCTCTGTTAATTATAATGCCCCACTCCTGGCACAAAATTCTGAAACTGTTATTCTTCTTTTGGTTGCACATGTTGGAAAAGCCAACTAACGGTGGCTTATACACAAAACTAATTTATTATTCATGTAAGTATATTTCCAAAGATAATACTGGCTTAAAGTATAGCTTGATTCAGCACTTAATGAGGACCTGACTTTTTTCTGCCTTCAGCATTATTGGCTTTATCCTAAGACTGGCTTTTCTGGAGGTCTTATAATGACTGCCAATAGGTGCTGGAGCTGCATTTTTTTGTTGCTCAGCTCTGCATAAAAGTGAGCCTTTGCCAATCATTACCAGCAAATATCCAGAGATTCACTTTCTTTAAACAACTTAAATTACATCTCTACCTTGTTACCTACTCTGTGTGCAGGGAATAGATTGTATTGCTTGGCTTATCCCAGGTCATAGGGTGCGTCTGTGGATCTGGAGGTATGGTTGAATTACCCAGAACCAAATGGATTTCTAAACAGTGACTGGAAGCTCTGGTAATGGGAAAGTAAGGAATGGTTGCTAAGGAGGTATGCAACAAATTTCCACTACATTTAAATAGTGCCTTTCTCCTTATTGGATAAAGATCATGTACATTTAGTTCATTATTTTTTTTCCTTAGCAACTAAAACAATGCAATTCATTTCTAGTCTGGGAATGAATATCACCCAAACAGTGTTGTTAATTGGATATATTACACATTAAACACAGACACAGAAGGTAAAACTAAAGTCAGTTTACAAACACAGATAATTTGTAACAGTCTTTACTTCATATTTCAGGATTTTTACACTTGGAATACTCTTCTTAGAAATATCTAAATATCTCACTCCTCCTCTTCATCTTTTTCCCTAAAGGTCCCCTCTTCAGTGAGGCCTTACCTAAACACAAGTCTCTTTGCCCTGCAACATTTCCTATCATTCTTCCCCTTATCAGCTTTATTGAGATATATTTTATATATCACATGTTCACCCATTTAAAATGTAAAATTCTGTAGACTTTCAGCATAATCACCAATAGGTGCAACCTTTACCACAGTCCATTTTTGAACATTTCATCATCTCAAAAACAAACTCCGTAGCCTCTAAATGTCATCCTTTAGCTGCCTCAGCCCTGAGCAACCACAAATCTACCTTCTGTGTCTATATGTCTTTCTGGGCTTTCATGAGAATGAGATCATACAGCACATGGTCTTTTGTGACTGGCATTTTTCACTTAGCAGAATTTATTCAAGGTTCATCTATGATGTGGCATATATCAGTACATATAAGCTCCTTGAGTTACAATGGAGGCATGTCCTGATAATCCCCTTGTAAATTGGAAATATCGTGAAGTCAAAATGTATTTAACATACCTAACCACCAAATATCATCATTTAGCATAGCCTACATTAAATGTGTTTAGAACACTTAAATTAGCCTCCAGTTGGGCAAAATCATCCGGCAACACAGCACACTGTAGGGTATCATTTGTTTGCTCTCATGAGCACGTACCTGACCAGAAGCTTTGACTCACTGCTGCTGCCCAGCATGGGGAGAAAATATTGTACAGCATATTCACTAGCTTGGGAAAAGATCAAGAATCAAAATTCAAAGTACAGGTTCTACTGTTTGTGTATCATTCATTTTTTCATTATTTTAAAGTCAAAAAATTGAAAAGCTGTAAGTCAAATCATTGTTGAGGACTGTCCGTATTTCATTCCTTGTAATGGTTGAATCATATTTTATTATATGAATATACCATATTTTGTTTATTCATGGGTCCATTGATGGATGTTTCTGTTATCTCCACCTTTTAGCTATTGTGAATATTGCTGCTATAAACATTTGTATACAAGTTTCTATGTGGTGGGGGACACATGTTTTCATTTCTCTTGGATATATTAGTAAGAGTTAAATTACTGGGGTATATGGTATCTGTAAGTTTAATCATTTGAGAAACTGCCAGACTGTTTTCCAAAGTGGCTGCACTATATTATATTCCCATTAGTAGTGTACGGAGATATTGATTTTTTTATATCCTCACCAACACTTGTTATCTAACATTTTTATTCTAGCCATCTTAATGGAGATGTAAAGTGGTAACTCCTTGATTTACCATGGTTATTATTTACATTTCCCTGATGACTAATGATACTGAGCATCTTTGCATGTACTTGTGAGCCATTTATATACCTTTCTTGGAGGAATGTCTATTTGGATCTTTCACCTATTTTTAATTGTGTTATTTGTCTTTTTATTATTGAGTTGTAAGAGCTTTTTATATGTTCTGGATACAAGTCCCTTATCAGATATATGATTTGTAACTATCTTCTCCCATTCTGTGGGTTGTCTTTACACTTTCTTGGTGGTGTCTTTTGAAGTATAAATTTTTAGTTTTGATCAAGTCTCATTTATCTAATTTTTATTTTGTTGCTCATGTTTTTGGTGGCATCTTATACATTCTTTGCAAATCCAAAGTCATGAAAATTTACCCTTATATTTTCTTGTAAACATTTTACAGTTTTCTGCTTTTACATTTAGGTCTTTGATCCATTTAATTTTTATGTATGGTGTAAATTATGATCCAACTTCATTCTTTCACATGTAGATATCTAATTTTCCCAGAACCACTTGTGAAAAGACTATTCTTTCAGCTTTGAATGGTCTTGGCATTCTTGTTTAAAATCAGTTAACCATGGACGTATGTGTTTATTTCTGAACTTTTGATTCTATTTCATTGACATATATGTCTATCCTGGGGATAGTATCATACTGTTTTGATGATTGTTATATTGTATTTAATCTTGAAATCAGAAAATGAGGGTCCTTCTATTTTATTCTTCTTTTACAGACTCGTTTTGGCTTTTCTGCATTCTATATAGATTTCAGAATCACTTTTTCTATTTCTAAGAAGAAATAATCTGTGATTTTGATAGAAATTGTATTGAATCTGTAGATCAGTTGGGGTGTATTATTAACAATGCTAAGTCTCCCAATCTATAAACATGGTATGCTTTCTCATTGGCTTATATCTTCTTTCATCTCTTTCAGTAATGTTTTGTACATTTCAGAATATAAATTTTATGCTACCTTTGTTAAATATTTTTAATGTATTTTATTCTTTTGATACTACTGTGAATTAAATTTTTTATTTTATTTTCTGTTCATAGCAAGTATGCATCAATGCAATTTTTTTGTACATTGGCTTTGTAATTCTGTTCATTTGTTGAACTCATTTATTCATTTTAATAGTTCTTAGTAGATTCCTTAGAATTTTCTCTACACAGGATCACACATTCAGTTAATTGAAACAGTTTTACTTTCTCCTTTCAAATTTAAATGCATTTTATTTCATTATTTACCTAATTTCCCTGGCAAGAGCCTTCAGTATAATGTTGAATGTAAGTGCTGAGAGCAAACATCCTTGTCTAGTTCCTGATATTAGAGGTAAATTGTTCAGTCTTCCAGTGTTAGATATGATGTTAGCTGTGGGTTTCTCGTAGATAGCCTTTATCAGATTGAGTCCTTCTATTCTTATTTATTGTTTTTATTAGGAAAGAGTTTTGAATTTTGTCAACTTTTTTTGCGTCTATTAAAATGATTATGTGATTTTAAAATATTGATAATATGTATCACATTAATTATTTTCAGATGTTAAGACTAAATCCCACTTGGTCACATGTGTAATTCTTTTTATATGACACTGGATTCAGTTTGTGAGTATTTTGCTGAGGTTGTGTGACTCTATATTCATGAGTCATTGTTCTGTAGTTTTCTTGTGATATCTTTGGTTTTGATTAATAGAATGAGTTGGGAAGTGTTCTCTCTGCTAATTTTTGAAAACAGAACTGGTATGAATTCTATTTTTTAAATTTTGGGTAGAATTTAATGGTCAATCTATCTGGGTCAGGGCTTTATGTTGTGGATAGTTTTGTTTTTAATACTTTAATCTCTTCACTTATTATAGGTTTATTCAGATTGTGATTTCTCCACAAGTCAATTTTGGTGGTCCATAACTTCCAAGGAATGTGTCCATTTTATCTAATTCAGGGGTTCCCAACCCTGGACCACACAGCAGGAGATGAGTGGAGGGCAAGGGAGCATTACTGCCTGAGCTCCTCTCCTGTCAGATCAGCGGTGGCATTAGATTCTCACAGGAGTGGATCCCTAATGTGAACTGTGCATGGGAGGGATCTAGGTTGCATGCTTCTTATGAGAATCTAACTAATGCCTGATGGTCTGAGGTGGAACAGTTTCATCCCAAAACCATACCCCACCCCCAATCTGTGGAAAAATTGTCTTCCATGAAACCAGTCCCTGATGCCAAAAAGGTTAGGGACTGCTAATCTAATTTATTTAACATGTGGTGTACAAGAGTTCTTAGTATTTCTTCATAATTCTTTTTGTGTTTCTAAGCTTAGTAGTTTGTCTCCTTTCATTGCTAGTTCTAGTAATTTGTGTCTTCTCTCTCTCTGTCTCTCTTCTTGGTCAATCTAGCTAACGTTTTGTTAATTTTATTGAGCTTTTCAAAAACCATTCCTTGGTGCCACTAAATTTCTCTATTGTTCTCCTGTTTTCTTTTTCATTAATTTCTGCTGTAATCTTTATTATTTTCTTCTTTCTGTTTGCATTCTGATTAGTGTGCTCTTCTATGTTTAGTGTATTAATATGAAAGGTTAGATTATTGAGGTCTTTCTTCTTTCTTAATGAAGTTTTCAAAATAATTGAAGAACACTTGTAACTTAATTGAAAGAGAACACCAAGTACTCATTAAATGAATTTTTAAAAAATAATACCCAAACAAATGTATACCTCATCATGAGATCTGCGTACACCAGAGATAAAGAGAAGTTCTAACATCTTACAGAAAGAGGAAATAAAGAACAAAAACACAATGTGAGAATCATAAATAAAAATTTAATTATATTTCTTAATAGTGTTACTGGAAGCTAAAAGGTATTAGAACAAGGCCTTCAAAATTCTGAAGAAATTGATTTTTAGTCTAAAAAATTCTATAATCACAAACCTAACATATCTAACAGAAGAAAAGCAATGTCTTCACATATTAAAAAAATCTAAAAACAAATTAAAGGAAAAAATACAGAAAGCCTAACTTCTAATCCTACATTTCCGGAAAAGTTGCTGTAAATATGGCTACAGCATAGTAGGGAGACTGTGTGTATATGGGGGCAGGAGTATATGGGATATCTCTGTGCCTTTCTCTCAATTTTGCTGTAAACCTAAACCTGTTCTAAAAATCATCTTAAAACTTTGCTTAGGAAAAGTGACTTAGCCTTTATACATTCCACTGGAAGGTTAAAAATCCATCCTAGTAAAAAGAATAAACCACTATAGTTTAAAGGGCTCATATCCTAGTAGAAATATTTATGCTCCAACATGCCTCAGATCTTGCTAGTAAGAAAAGTTTGAAGCACCACAAAGTTGACCTTCTTATTAAGGTCCTTAGAAGAGATAAGCTGATGCACAAACACCTTTTAGTCTTTGTCTTTGTCAGAATAAACTTCCTTCCTAGACAGATGGCAGATCGCAAAATGTCAGGTTAGCTTTGAGGCCAGTTAATTCAGATGGTGTCAACATAAATAGCTGTTGACTTGTTGTGGAAAACCAAACTCCAAAACAAGACCCAAATATTTTATTATATGCAATTTTGCTTTCAGATCATATTTCCTGTGTTATTCCTGCACCCTGTTTTTTTTGTTATTACTACCAATATTTGCATGTAAACAGGATCTCTGTTGCTTAGCAATTCATTACTTCTGTTTTTTTCTTCTCAGCTGAAATTGTCTTATTTTTGTAGTAGAGAAGAGAACTGTCTGATTTCTCTCCCATCTACAAAGTTTATCCCATTTTGAAATCTGAACATAAAGTTTGTTTGTAGAACAAGTCACTCAAATGTTCTTCAGACTTTTGTTTGTATTTCAATTCTCACTGGAAAGGGATTGAAAATATCATTGCTTTTGACTACTGCTGCTTTCTGCCAATTTTATGGTTACTCTATACCTACTTCAGTCAGTGAAGATCCCTGAAAGGGCATTCATTAAAATATGTTTAATGATTGGGAAAAATTAGAAGAAAACAGATTCCATGAATAGGGGCTAGATAAAGATGTGTATTGAATCCATGATACAAATGTCCTATGGAACCATTGTAAAGCTATTAACCATGAGATAGAACTACATGAATTAAAATGGAAAAATGGCCAGAATATATTTAAAAGTAGAGAAGTAAAAGCAAGTGGAAATACAAAATGTATAGTATGATCTCACTTATATATGTAAGTTGGGTGGTGAAGGGACCTGTACAGACCTGTCTTTTATTTCATACTCTGTGTCCTGTTAAGAGTGTGTGTGTGTGTGTGTGTGTGTGTGTGTGTGTGTGTGTGCGCGCGCGCGTGTGCTTTTCCTCTATAATGAACTTGTATTGCTTTTATAACTAAAACAAAAAATACCCAATACAGTCACTGACAGGCTCTTATTTTCTATCTTTCTGGGTTTTGATAGCTGTCATGACAGCAGCAGAAACAGCAAACTATAAAGTTATGGGAAGTCATTCTTGGCATCCTACAGAGTAATAGCCTCAAGGAGATTCTTTGTCTCTCAACAAGTCTCACTGACACATGAATATCTCATCTGCAAGATTCCCCTGGAAATGAGAATCCAAGGT
Organism: Homo sapiens; assembly: GCF_000001405.40. NCBI lineage: Eukaryota > Metazoa > Chordata > Mammalia > Primates > Hominidae > Homo > Homo sapiens. The sequence goes on from NC_000011.10 coordinate 128,272,622, forward strand.
TTAGAATATAACCTCTTATGTTATAGAGTATACTTTCAAATGGCAGTGAACACTGGCTTCAGTACTGGCAAAGGGAAATGACGAACAAGATACCTACTCTTCAAAAACTATACATGCCCTCCTGTTTCCTTTCATGTTCAAATAAAATAACATTTTTAGGCATCTTAGATAATATGTGAAAATCAATTGCTCAACCACTCAAAAGAAGTATCCTTCCCCACAAACCCAAAGAGAATCAACACATCACGTTTGCTAGTCTGAATATTTTTGTCTCCACAAAATGCATATGTTAAAACCTAATCCCCAAAGAGATGTGTTAAGATCACTTAATAAGAAGTGATTGGGCCTTTGGGAGGTGATTAGGTCATGGGGGCTCCTCCCTCATGAATGAGATTAGTGCCCTTATAAAAGAAGTCTAAGGGGACTTGTTCATACCTTCTACCATGTGAGGACACATAAAAGGTGCAATCTCTTAGAAACAGGCCCTCACCAGACATTAAATCTGCCACAGCCTTGATCTTGGGCCTCCTAGCCTCCAGCACCGTGAGCAATAAACTTCTGTTGTTTGTAAGTAACCCAGTCTAAGACATTTTTTTGTTATAGCAACCCAAACAGACTTAGACAATGTTCAAGCAGAAAAATTTCTGTGCAAATGAACTCAGCTCAAGCTAAGCCAAGATCTTTATCTAGCAAAGTGACACTGCAGATTGATTCCCAGTGTTACTTTCCAATATACGGACCCCTTCTGAATTCTAAGCTGACATAAATCGGCTGGAGGTATAAACACTACCATGACCATTGTACAACTCTCTGGTGTTCTTTGCATTTTGACAAATGAGGAAATGAAAATTATAGTTGTTCTTTATAATTAACATTTTTTTTGAGATCCTCAGAGTGAAGTTTATATCACTGGGCACCTGCTGAAGAGAAGGAAGGCTTTGTGGTGCTGGAGAAAAAAGTTTGGACTAAGAGTCAAGTGAAATAAGTTCTCCTAGCCTTACCAATGTGAGTGAATGTGAACTAGACATTATTTTCCTAGGCCTTAAGAATTTTTCATTTGAAAAATGTGGAACTAGAACAGATGATACTATATGTTCCTCACAATTCTAGAGAAACTTGGTTCATGAGATTTCACATGGTTTGTGTTGGTTGCACAAAATCCCTTACATATAGTCTATTACTTGGTGGAATGCCTATGTGACATAGCAAAATTTCTACCCCACCCTCACTCTGCTTATCTTTTAAAGTTAGGACGCTTGCTATGAGACGTTCCCTTTGTACTCAGACCAGTTGAGACTGGTTAGAACCAAGATAGCTAACCAATGACTTCAAAAAACCTCAGACTTCATTAGAATCTCATTTCCATGCTAAATGACACTCCCCCACCCACCACCATGACAATTGACAATCACTCATGACAGTGACTGGAAGAAGCTGTGAAAGAACAAAAAGGAAGGCAGCACTATTGATTCCAAGAAGTTCACTGCCTATTCCTGGAAAATACATGAATATTCTTCCCCTCATTTTTAATGTCCAACCCCTTCATTAAAGAAGCCATATCTTTAATTTTTTAATTGTTTTTATTTTTAAACTTTTAAGTTCAGGGGTACATGTGCACATGTGCAGATTTGTTACATAGATAAACTCATGTCACAGGTGTTTGTTATACAGACTAGTTCATCACCCAGGTACTAAGCCTAGTACCCAATAATTATTTTTTCTGATCCTCTCCCTCCTCCCACCCTCTACCCTCCAGTAGGCTCCAGTGCCTGTTGTTCCCCTCTTTGTGTCTGTGTGTTCTCATCATTTAGTTCCCACTTATAAGTGAGAACATGCGGTATTTGGTTTTCTGTTCCCGCATTAGTTTGCTACAGATAATGGCCTCCAGCTCCATTCATGTTTCTATAAAGGAAATAATCTCATTGTTTTCTATGGCTGCATCGTAGTCCATGGTGTATATGTACCACATTTTCTTTATTCAATCTGCCGTTGATGGGCATTTAGGTTGATTCCATGTTTTTACTATTGCGAACACTACTGCAAAAAACATAAACATTCATGTGTCTTTATGGTAGAACAATTTATATTCCTTTGGGTATATACTCAGTAATGTTATTGCTGAGTTGAATGGTAGCTCTGTTTTTAGCTCTTTGAGGAATTGCCACACTGCTTTCCACAATGGAAACTGTATATTTTAACCTATTCACACTTCACTAGTCGAGAAGTTGATTTGTGAGCCACCTTCCCGCTTCTCCATTCTCTGGCCATCAAAAAAAACTTGCTCTTACTGACATTCACTTTCAATTTTGTGTATTGGCTCTGCAACACTGAATGTGGAAAGATCCCACCTTTTGGAGCTACCAAGCTTCTGGTAACAGTACCATACCCAGCTCTAGTCTCCATGGGCAAGGTACTGGTGGATTCAGGACATGCTACCCAAAATCTGGCATCTGAGAAAACAGTAGAAGGGTAGCTTTTACCTTCCCCTTGCCCTTCTCCCCTGAAGCAGGTTATAAGCCCTCTTCAAGTGGTACCCTCCCTATACCCAAAGGAAATGAACAGCCTTATCTCTGAAGACACAGGGATACAAGGAAGAAACTGAACAAACAGACTTTGCTGAGTTCCTCCCAGCATATTATCATTAGATTAGACCCTTTGTCCTCTGTCACATTTCCCCATGACTGCCACTCTTCATCAAACACTAAAGAAAACTTTAAAAGTAGACTTTAAAGTAAGACACCACCAGATTTGAAGAGGGATTCTCATAATAATAAATGGTTAGTTCAAAAGGGTTTCAAAGGAGTCTCAAGTAAATTATGAGAATTCATATGTCATGTTTTTGTTATGCCCTTTTAATAAGATTTACTGTTATAAATTTACTTCTTTCCCAAATTAACAGAGCCATTATGGTCCAAAAACAAAAGTAATCTTAAAATTATTTTGAAAATCTAATGTCAAGAATAACAAAGCCACTCCTTAAGAAGAAATAAGATTGGCCTTCTGGGTACCAAGGTATAAAGCCAGGTATAAAACAAAATCATTAAGATAATTGGCCAAGGAACAGACAATGGAACAGAACTCCAGAACACATATATAAACACTTAAATATAACTAAAATTATGTTACAGATCAGTGAGAAAGTTTGGATAATTCAATAAATGAGGCTAAGGTAATTGCTTTTTTATAAAGGAGAAAATAAAATTGGATATCTAATTGATACCATACATTAAAATAGATTCCACGTTTCTTAAAAGTTTAAATTTGAAAGTCAGAGCTTAAAATCTTTAAACATTGGAGAATATTCTTATTATCACAGGGTTGAAGATAATTTTTAAGACACATAATCTGGAAATCTATAAGACAATATTAATATGTTTGCCTACATTAAAATTTAAACATATTCATCAAAGAGGCCATGAGTAGAGAGGAAAGATAAGCCATAAACTTGGAAATGTTTAAAACACATATAACCAAAAAGAGACTTTTTCCCAAAATAGATTACATTGAACCATATGAAATTGCCTCCTTTGTCTATCTAAAATGATCGAATATTGCTATTTCTTATGGTTCAACCTAACAAAAGAATTTCTATGAATCATTCAGAAAAAAGATAGACCAATAGAAAAATGAGTAAAAGAGATAAACTAGCTCTTCTGAGAAGAAGAAATAAATAGCTAACAAATATTTTAATGGATGCCAATTTCACTAGAATGATAGAATTGTAAAATAAACCATAATTACATATGATTTCACATCCACTAAATTGACTAAATGTATACAATCTGACAATGTCGGGAATCCCAGTGTGTTCTAAGCATTGTCAATGATGTGAGGCAAAAAACATTGCATTCATGCTGGTTTTTCTTCTTGGAATCGCACAGGATTAAGTGTGCCCTGTCACTCTCTCAATGTCCTCTCTTTTCATTACAACAGCACACAGCTGAGAGTTTTCCTGGGTAAGGTATTTACCCTTGTGAATTTGAGCCATGTCTACATTTGCACTGTAAACTTTCATCCCTGGCACTCTTCAATCCTTCATGCAAATCTGTGATTCCAATGAATATCATTCTTCTTCAGCTGGAAGAACTTCCTTTGATATTCCTTTCAGTACAGGTCTGCTGGTGATTAATTTTCTCAGCATTTTTTGTTTGTTTGTTTGAAGACACCTTTATTTGCCTTTGTTTCTGAATGATAGTTTTGATTGATATGGAATTGTTACACGACAAGTTTTTTTTTTTCTTCCAACACTAAAAATGTGGATCACTATGTTTTGGCTTGCATTATTTCTGATGAGAATTTCGCAGTCATTCTTATGGTTTTTTCCCTATAGGTAATGTGTCTTTTTCTCTGGCTTCTTTTAAAATATTCTCTTTATCATTGGCGTGTCTTTCATTCACACAAATTTTTGGTCTGTTCATTTTGTTTTTGAGAAAGCTAACATTTTAATTTTTCTATTGTTATGATTTATCTATTAATTCAATAATTTTGGAGCAGAAGCGGGGAATCTCAAAGTATTTACTTATTAAGCCACCTTGCCTGAAGTTGTAAGTACACTTGTGTTTTCACCAATTCCATACTACTTTAAGTATTACTGCTTTAGATAAATCTTAATATTTGATAGAGTTGGTGAATTCTGGTTATTCCTCTTTTTCAAAAATCTTCTTTAATTATTTCATCAAATTATTTTTAAATAATTTTTTAATACAAAAAGCCTTAGGCTGAATGTTTTTGGAATCATACTATATATCCATAAATTAATATATGGATTTGATATATTTGAGATATTTAATCTTTATTCCCAGAAACATGGTACATTTCTCCATTGATTCCAGGTTCATCTAGAACAGTTAAAAACACATTTATGTGGATTCGTACCCAAGTGCTTTTTGTTGCTGTAACAACCTAGATCACATAGTAAATGTCTATGGTTGCCCAATGGTTTGTCGCAGAGCCCTTCCCACAATCTTGTTCTTTTTAATAATTTTACCAGTTTATCAGAAATCAAAAATAATTTTAGGTTTATCAAAAAACATAAAAGATGTGTGTCTGTGGAGGAATAACTAATATAACAAATTACTAATCACTTTCACTATGGTGAAAATCTTGGTTTCAGGAAAAAGAGATCTGGACTTCAGCAATTCTTTTCAGTAAATGGTACCCTGTAGAGGGCAAAAAGGCTATTTTATCTAGTAAATACTATTTTCACTCCAAAGATCCATCCCACCAGAGAGGTGGAGAATCAGCATGAGTCATTGTTGGGGTTTCCTTCAATCTTCTGGGTTATGCTGAGGCTCTGGGGTCTTATTTAAGACCAGGGTGACATTAAGACCTCTTTGTGCATCCATCCATAGATTTATTCCTGAGTTCCCATTATTCCTGTATGCATATTCGTTTGAGGTTTGTGTGTTGTAAGCTCTCTGCCAACTTAGGGCACTGAATGTTTATCTGGAAAGAGTTTCTTTAGTTAATTTGTGTGTCTGCTAGAATTTTATTCACCTTCATTTTTAAAGTATATTTTTACTAAGTTGAGAATTCTGAATAGCAAGGGTTTTGTTTTTGTTTTTCCTTTCAGCACTTTAGAGGTCTTATTTTATTGTCATCTGGATTTTATAGTTCAGTTGGCATGTTCACCATTGTCCTTAAGGCTGTTCCCTTAAAGATAATGCACATATTTGTAATCTGTCTGCTTTTGAAATTTTCTCTTGGTCTTTGCTTTACAGAAGTTATAATACCATGGCATAGAATATTATGAATAGGGCTTGCTGAGTTTCTTGAATATTTTTCTTCATGTCTTTAGTCAGTTTGGAAAATTCTCTGCCAGTGTTTCTTCAAATATTGCTTCTGTTTCATACTCCTCCCCCTCTCCTTCTGGGACTCTGAGAACAGATATGTCAGTCTTTTTTTTTCTCTTTCCACCATGACTTACATATCTCTTATGCTCTTTACTTCAGTTGCCACCCTGTCTTCTTGCTGGCATTCAAACTGTATACTTTCTATTATTCTGTCTTCCAGTTTAAAGATCTTCTGTTTTTGCTGTGTCTAATTTTCCATCAGAGCCATCTATTCTTAACTTTGTTTATTATGTCTTTCAATTCTAGAATTTACATTTGATTTGTATTCATGGATTGAAGTTTTTGCTGGAATTCTCCATTTTACCCTCCATTTTTTTAACGTAATCATCATAATATTTCATAGTCCCTGTCTGATAAGTCCAATCCTGGATCTTTAGGGGTATGTTTCTATTGCTTTAGATGGTGTTTTCTTCCTCTAAAGAGGGCTTTATTGTTTTGTCTTGATTTTGTTGTCATTTGTTTGTTGGTTTGTTTTTCTCGTAGGCAGGTAGAGTACGTACGGATCACTTTAACCCTTTTTATAATGGTAGGCAAATATAGTGTGAGGGGTGCCGATCAGCTCAGTAGAGACTGAGCTGATTTAAGACTTCATATTAAATTTAGTAAGGCTAAGCCTATTTCTAGCTCACCTCTTTCTTATGGTGTTAATCGGGGCTTTTAACCAAGAGCTTGTGTGTTCACCGGGTCTCCTCTTCTGGTTAGATTTGTCTTCTCTCATTAGCAGAGTGAAATCCTCTCCTTTTTAGAGGTTTCTGACTTGGCTTTTTAGTGTTCCATCCCACACGGCTTTGTAATTCAGTGTCCACATCAACGACTAGTCTAGATGTGTGTTTTAGGCACCTCCGTCTTGTCACTGTAGCCCAAAGCTTCGATAATTACTCTGTCTCCAGCCATACGTCACTTCCCTGACTCAAGCCCAGGGTTGCTAGGAAAAAAAAAAAAAATACAGAATACCCAGTTAAATTTGAATTTCAGGTAAACAACAAGTTTATCTGCACCAGAATCAGAAACTACTTCCCAAAGTAGCTGCAGATGATCAACTCACCTCCCTGCAATTCCTCCTCTCCAGAACCTTCTTCTCTGACAGCTTTGTTGCATCCACAGCTCCCTGCCTTTAAATGTTTTTTTTATTTTAATCTGGCTTTTTAAGTTATAATTTATTAGAAACATTGCTTTGCCATTCATTATTCCACTTTACTGGAAGTTAAAATTTACCCTTACATTTTTAACTTACATACTCGTATACACATTCTTTTCCTAACAACACGTTTTTTGATGTCTCTGTCTATCTCTGACAATAACAGAAAAATTAGCATGCTTCATATTTCTCTTCCCCTATCACATCCTTGTTGCCTAGCAGTATGGGGTTTAAGCCCATGGAACCCCTGGGACTCCCTTCAAGAAGCAGAGTTTATATTAGCAGTTCACACACACTGTTCCATTGTGATACTGGTGAAATTTACAACCTAGTTCATGAGCCAGAGAGCAGCTGACAGTGACTGTCTTCCCATTCCTATGCTTAAGTCATAAACAGCAAATAGAGCTATTTTTATTCATTCTTCTTTCATGAGCTTTTTGCCCCACCTCTGCTGTTAAATCCTAAGCAATGCTCTGGCATCCACAATGCATAGGGCAATCGCAATCCCCAGAACCCCAAATGAGCTTTAAAAACACAAAGAAATGTTCCCACTCCACCCCATGCTGTCATACACAGCAGACTTCAGACTTCAGCCAGGTCACTGCTCATTATTTTCTCATTGATTTCTAAACTCTCTTTATACATGTTTATTCTGCTTTCTCTCTTTCTTGTTAAGCTATTTTAATTTTATCTGCTACTGCTAAGTGTTAGCAACACAGAAGGTTTCTTGAATTATAAAATAACAGTATGTTTTTTTGTTTGTTTGTTTGTTTTAGGCAGAGTCACTCTCTTGTTGCCCAGGCTGGAGTGCCATGGCACAACCTTGGCTCATTGCAACCCCTGCCACTCTGGTTGAAGTGATTCTCTTGCCTCAGCCTCTTGAGTAGCTGGGACTACAGGTGCCTGCCACCACGCCTGGCTAATTTTTGTATTTTTAGTAGAGACAGGGTTTCACCATGTTGGCCAGGCTGGCCCCGAACTCCTGACCTCAGGTGATCCGCCCACCTCCACCTCCCAAAGTGGTGGGATTACAGGCATTGAGATACCATGCCTGGCCTAAAATAACACTAGATCTTTTTGCTGTTGTTCTTCAGAAAAAAAAAATATTTTATTATAGGAAGAAACTATTTTTAAGAGAAAGTGTCTCATTTAAACAGATACAGCTATTTATGGGCAGTGCCAAGACCAGAGCTGGGTCTTCTGACTTCTAACTCCTAGTCTACTGTACCATGTAATAGGGCTGAAAATAACACTACATCTTGACTGGAAATTCAATAGAGTTTTCTTTACTTTCTTTTATTCCTTTACTGACTTGAAAGACATACATTCTACTTCTGTTTTGTTGGAGTTTACATTTTTAAAATTAACAACTGGATCTTCTACTTTTTCTAACAAAAAAAATTGTTTTTTATCTTCCTTGTGAAGAAAGTAGTGACTTTAGAGTACATTAATATTCCCCCTAAACCCTCTCTTTGCGTCTTCTAAGCTGTATCTGTCTAATGTTTTCTTTCAATTCTTATTTTAAGCAGAAACCATTATTTTTACATTCTATACAAGTTTAGATTAATTAATGTTTAACCAATATTTTTATCTACCATTTCTCTATGCAATCCATTTTTTCTCTTCCTAATTTACTTTCTTCTTGCCATAGTATAACTTTAATAGTTCTTTAACTGAAGCTTTATTAATTTTTAGATGTCTAAACATTTCTTTATCTTTTTCTCATTTTAAGGCTCAATTAGGTAGGTATATAATTTTAGTTTCAAAGCTATTTAATACATTAAACATATCCTTTCCTTTTTTTCTATCACTCAGAGTTCTTTAGGAGAAGTTTTATATTCTCCCTTTATACGTAATATTTCTTTTCTCCATTGTAGTTTTTAATACTTTGTTTATCTTTGATATTCTTATATTTTATTGTAATGCCTACGATGTGGACTTTTAAAAATTTGCCTCTATACTTTGGGCACTTTTTAAATGTGAATATTCATGTGTTCAAATCTGAAAAATTCTCATTAATTAGCTTATCAAATATTGCTTCTTCACTATTCCCTGTGCACTCTTTCTGGAATATCTATGAAAGAAGGTTGGATTTTCTATACTATGTATTTCCTAACTTCTGTTTCATTTAGGAAAACTTTTTGATATGCATTTTCTATGATCTCTTCATGTCTATCATTTAACGCTCTAATTCTTTTTCAATATGTAAAAAGTCTCCATTTTCTAGCCCATCTATCGAGTTTTCACTTTCGATGACAACATTTTCCAACTTTAGTATCTTTTCGGTCCTTTTCTATATTTGTTTATTCCATTTTATAATCTTGTTTTATGAATTATATTTCTTACAGCATTTTTGATTTATTATAAAGTCACATATCTCTAGGTCTTTGAATGTAAATTATTCTGTTTATTGGATCAGTAGACTGTAGTATTTTCAGGCACGGTCATTCCCTGTTATTTGTGTATTCATATTTGTGAATTCGTCAACTCATTAAAATTTACTTGTAACTCCAGAGTCAATCAATATTAAAGGCAGTTTTGCTACGATCCATAAACATGTGCCTGTGGCACGCAGTGAGAAATGGGAGTCGCCTGACATCTTTGCTCCCAGCTGAAGTCACAAAAGGGGCGACGCTCTGCCTTCTTGTTTGAGCTTGCCTACTGCCAACACATGTCCTTTTTACAGAGTAGTTAGTTCCATCCTGTTTGCATTTTGTACTTCTTGTTAGTGATTGCTCTGTTTTAAATGGCCCTTAGTCTGTGCTGAGGTGCTGTGTAGTGTTCCTAACTCAAGAAAGCAGTGATGTGCCTTATGGAGAAATATGTGGGTTAGAAAAACTTCCTTCAGGCATGAGTTAGAGTGCTATTGGCCATGTGTTTAATGTTAAAGAATTAAGAGCATATATTAAGTAAGGTGTCTTTAAATAGAAACATACATAAAGCAAGGTTATGTATTGATTGGTTGACCAAAAAAAAAAAAAAAAAGTGACCAGCAGCTCAGAGTAACAAACCCTATATTTCCCCTAGGGGCAATAATTCAGTATTCAGTAATGTGGTGATTGTGGCTACTTCATAGAACATAACTAGCATGACTGGTGGATAAAGAAAATGTAGTGTATATATATACAATGGAATACTACTCAGCCTTAAAAAGGAATGAATTAATGGCATTTGCAGCAACCTGGATGAGACTGGAGACTATCATTCTAAGTGAAGTCACTCAGGAATGGAAAACCAAACATCGTATGTTCTCACTCATATGTGGGAGTTAAGCTATGAGGATGCAAAGGCATAAGAATGATACAATGGACTTTGGGGACAGGATGGGAAGGGAGTGAGGGATAAAAGACTATAAATTCAGTTCCGTGTGTACTACTCAGGTGATGAGTGCACCAAAATCTCACAAATCATCACTAAAGAACTTACTCACGTAACCAAATACCACCTGTTTCCCAAAAACCTATGGAAATTAAAAAGAAAATAGCTACATTTAAGACTTTAAAAAAAAAACTAGCAAGAATAAAAAGAATCAACTGTGTTAGATTTCTGTATATGTGTTAAGGGTTTTTGCCTAAGTGCTTATCTTCTTTTGGTGCCATCTTTCGTAAGAGTCATGTAGAGTCCCAGATAGTGATGATTCCTTAGGAGACACTTTTACAGTTTTCCTGGGCTGGGTCTTTTGTATTTCAAGAGACCTAGACCAGTATTGAGGTGAGTTTCTCAGCTCAGACTTTCCCCACCTCAATATTATTGTGAATTTGGGCCTTAAATCTTCTCATAATACAGAAAACAGATTCTGATTTCCCATGAGTGGTTCTATTTCCATCTGTGGTCTGGAATGGGTGGCTTGCATCTCAGCTAAGCTTTCAGCCCAGGTCTTAAAGATATTTCAATCTCAGTTTACAGACAAGCCAATGTTTTACCTTCTCCTGGTTTTATTCAGAGAGCCAGATTCAGAATTCCTGCCACATGAGAGATCTGTGCTTCAGCTTTCTTTCCGGATGGGGGTTTTCACTCTGGCCCTTAGTGGTATGCAGTCCATCTGGCTTTTCCCCTTGGCTGTGTAGCACCAGCTTCCTCCCATCACTGTCACAATGGATTTGTTCTTCTCAACATGGAATTGTCCACTTTTGCTTATAAGGCCAGTTACATTATATATTTAAAACTTTAAAAAATCTGGCAATGCCATAGCTTTGGAACAGAGTCAGAGAGATTTCTATATCTGGTTAGTCTAAAATCTGTAACAAAAGTCCTGTAAGGCACTTAAAAAATTCCATAATCAGAGATCAATTATCTGTCTTATATGTCTTCCAAAGTACCATGCCAAAAGCTCATATCCTTTCAGGTCATGATAGCTAATACTTTTGAGGGCTTAAGCACCATTCTAAGCATTTTATGTTCTTATTTATCTTTACAGTAATACCATGAGGTGGACTTTACTCTTGTACTCCATTTTACAGATGGGAAAGCTGAGGCACAGAAGGTTGAAAACCTCCCCAAGCTTACATAGTTAATAAGGAGTGGTTCTAAAACAACCCATGCTTTTAAACTGCTAAGCTACCCTGAAAATATATTTTTCAGCTTATTTTTCTCTCTTTCTGTAGTATCAGTCACCCCAATCTGTCCTCCCTGTCTTTTACTCATCTATTGAGACCCATCTCCCTGTAGCAAATGTCACATTCCTCTGCAACTTAAAACAGATACTCTCCACCTTCTCTGGATTCTATAGTTCTGTGTTCTATTAATCATTTTATATTGTTATTATCTACTTATAAGTTTGTTTTCCACATTAAATGTTGAATTCCTTTAAGGCATGGACTTTTTTTTTTAATCTCCTTTGATTGGCAGTGGTGATACGGTGTATGGCCATAGAGTAAGTCTTTGGCAGATCTTAATTGGATAAATAAAGTTCTGGAGAAGCAGCTTGCTAAGCCATTTTTACAACCATATTAAATTATTTTAACAGTTCAGGTACAAGTTTTTGTGTGACTATCAACATAATAATACTATATCGCAGCTAAATGTGCTAGGAAAAACACAGATTTTTGGAATCAGGCTGATCCAAATTTTGCTTACATTGACACATTGATTTTTGCTCCATTTCTGAGAGGCATGGATTTGGGTAAATTAAACTCCTGACAGAGTATCAGTTTCCCATCTGCAACACGAGCCTCATATGACTCCTCATGTGTGGGAGTCAATCTGCGAGACGGTCCCCAATGGCCCCTACCTTCTGATAATCATACCCCGTGTACTTCCCCTCCCTTCAGTGTTGGGAGGACTTAGGGACTTGCTTCTAATGAATAGACTACTGTACCAATGATAGGAAATCACTTGCAATATTTGGTTATAAGAAAACCATGCCTTCAGTCTTAGGTTCTCTCTCAAAACTCTCTTAGATCACTTCAGTTTGGGGGAAGCCAGCTACCCTGCCCACTTGGCATGCAGTTGAGGGCTGCTAACAGCCACGTGTGTGAGCTTGGAAGTGGATGCTCTCTGAGTTGAGCCTTGAAATGACTGCAACCCTGGCTAACATTTTAGTCGCAACCTTTTGACAAGACCCTATGTCTGAACGATGAGGCTAAGCCAATTCCAGATTCCTGACCCAAGGAAACCCACGGAGAAGAAGTGTTTGTTGTTTTCATTCAACAGCTAAGGTAATTAGGGGTAATCTGTCCCATAGCAATCAATAACTAATAGACTATGCCAGTGGTATTCTTATTCAAAACCTATATGCTAAGCCTTTGAGACAGAAAAAGCAAAACAAAACAGAAAGAAGCAGGCCTTGGGAAACTTACAAAATTAGAAAAGAATACAAACACCAATTTATGTCAATTTAGAAACATACTTATTACAACTTGCTTGTAGCTCATCAGTTAGCGAGGTGCCACCCCACTCTATGTGTGGGGTTTTAAGAGGAAATGGCAGATGTTTCTGTTAAGATTTCCAGGAGAGGCTGAACTAAAGAGAATGCCTAACTACATAGGACAGGATGGTTATCCACTCATTGAAGGACTGATTACCTCGGAGGGTTGCCCAGTAGGTCATCTGAGGTCCTTATTGAATCTCTCTTAATTTTATTTCCACTTTTAAACTTGCATGAATAGTTCTGATGATAATTACCAAATGTTGATATGTATGGAAAATCAGCATTCCACAAATATCCAACTTGGGCAGCTTTCATACACGTGTGGCTGCTTGAAATTCAGCAAATTTCATTAGAATCACATGTTTGCTTAGAGAAATAGTAGCCAAAAGCTGTGCTGGAAACACACACACAAACACACACACACAAACACACACACACAAGCAGTGCAAAAAAGAAGAAATCTTAGGTTGAACGTGTGCGAATTGCAAGCTTCAAGCTGGATCTTCTGAGGTCCCTCTCTGCCACTCTCTTAGGTTGTAAAATCTTGGATCAATCCCTTAATACTCTGCCTCCATAGTTACTGTATTTAATACTTTCACCTATTGTAAGGTGTCTCACTCCCTACATTTGATTTTTGTATGTACCTGTGCTAACAAGCACTTTGCTCAATTGCCAAATATTGTAAATATTGTTAAGGAAATATATTTAATTTCTATCAACTGCTACTATATATGGAGTCTACCTCCATATCCCTTTCCCAATTATCCATTATCCACTAGCCTTTAGGATGTCATCAGGACATTCAACCCTTGTTCCTTGCAATTTCAATTCAAGTTTATTGTTTTAGTTTTGGATTTTTCTTCTCAACTGGCATCCTGCCCGCATCTGTAACAACCTCAAGACATTGAACAAGAATGACATTTATGATTCATATTGCAAGCTAAGGTTCTTTACTCTTAATACTCTGACCTTAAAACCCTTTGGCCTTCATCTATGCTCTCTTTGTGCCTAGAACCATTTCCAGGACCAGCATTTGACATCTTCATGTGGCAAAAGAGAATTCCTGATTTTCTATAATGCCAATCCTCACCCTCACCCACTTCAAATCTGCTCCTCTGTAGTCTTTCTCATCTCTGTAAACAGGACCTGCAGTTGTTTGAGCCAAAAGTTTAGAAGTTATCCTTGATGCCTCTTTTCCTTTTATCCCCCAATGCTAGAGCATTTCTTGTGATCTCTTATCACATGGTTGCCTCTATCTAGTCATTCAGGTGTTGACTTAGCTGTTCTTTGAGACCTTCCTTTCCCAATTAGTGTATGGTAACCCCAGCCACCTTCAGTCACATCACTCTGTTTATATCATCATCACCACCTGATATTTTCTTTACTTATTTTTTTCATATTGTCTGTTTCTTTCTGCCTCCTGCCATTGCTATAGATCACAGCTCCATGAGGACAAGGAGCTCGCATGTCATATTGACTATTAGGATCATAATAGTGAGGCGCAGAGTTGGTAAGCAAAACTCACATGCATTCATGCTTTTGGAATTCACCTTAATATCAGGCCTCCTGCCTTCTGATCACAATAAGGCCACAGCAATTTCTCACCCTTCATTGTGATCTGTTGTCCCTCAGTGAATCCCTGATTTCCCATTTTCCTGCCCACTTCTGGTCCTGAGGTGGCCTTGTCAGTGCTTCTCTCTTTCAAACGCTGGAATCCTCATGTGCTTGGCTGTTCTTCTTACTTCTAGTGCTAGCTTCTGCCTCCTGTTTTCTCTTTTCCCACTCCCCAGCATCCAAGAGTAGCTCAAGAAATTCATAGCATGGTGCTGATTTGATCCATAATAAGCACATGTTATCTAAGGACCTTCTTCGTTACGCTTTGTCAGCTCTTGTTACTAACAAATGAACTATCTTCAGACCTTCCTCTCACGGTTATCCAGAAAGAGGATATTTATGGTTCTGGCCTCAATTGTCTTACTATCAATTCATTCATTGACACCTGGCTGTTTTGTTTTACAAAAGCCCTTGACTATTTTGGGTTCCTCTAACCTTGGAGTTCTGGCTAAGTCTTGCCTGATAATTTTCTCTAATGTTCTGGTTTGAGTCCACTTTCCTTCCTTTTTCTCCCCTTGATATTGTGCTCACCCTGATGGCTTCAATTACTTTCATTAGAACAATTCCAAAATCTATATGTGTCACTCGGACTCTCATCCTTAATCTCAATACTATGCTTACAACTCTTCATTATTTTATTAGGAATGTTCCTCAGATATCTTAAATTTATCAGGCTTCACTCCAGACTTACAGTCCTTATTTCAAAGCTACCTCTCATTTTTCCTATTTTTTTGTCATTGTTAATGATTCTCTCAAATTCTTGTTCAAGTAAGTACAAAACTTGGGAGTCATCATTTACATCACTTTTTTTTTTCTTTCAGCCTCCTGATCCATCATGTTTTCAGGTAAGCCTGGAACATACAGGCTGTAAAATGCCAATCTTAGAATAATATCAGACTTGTATATAATGGTTACTGGTCTGTAATGCAATGACAAAAATAAGACAGTCCAGTGGGTTAAGCACAAAACTAAAAACTTATTAACCTAGAGGACTGCCCTTTGTAGCGAGATTATGTCTTGTCTGCCTTTTCATGTGTTAACACCGTCTCATTTTCATAAAGCAGAATTGATGGTAGTGTTCATTTGTTTTAATGTCCTCATGGGACAAAATTACACAGGGTTATTTTTTAAAATAATCAGTTAAATCTAAAACTCAGGTGAACTCTGCTGTAAATTTCTATTCGCAGTTTCTCTCATTAATCCTTTCTTTCCATTCCCACTGCCATCACCCAGCTCAGGCTTTTATTGCCATTTTTCTTGATAATTACACAACCTCTTAACCAATTTCTTGGTTTCCATGGCTTTGCTCTTTTCCAATATCCTGCAAACAGATCACTATCAAAAGAAACTTATAAAACCATAACTTTGGTCATATTACTGTCTTTCACAACATCCACTGCCACCAGCACCGGGGCCACCACCACCAGTGGCTATCTCTTGCCTGCTATGATCCGAGATTCAGCTAAATGCAAGAGCTGGCACTGAGAGCTCTCCATGGTCCCTGCACTTTGTTCATGCTGACATAGTTACTCCCTTGCTCACTACCTTGTGTTAGTGTCTTCATAACATTATCACTATCAGGAATACTCATGTATTTGTTGCTGTGTACCATCCGTCCCTGTTGTACACATATACCAGAATACAAGTTACTTGACGATAGGAATTTATCATTGTTCGCTATTGATCCCCAAGGCCTACGCCACAGTTTAGGTGTGCTATAATTGTTGAAAATATAAACAGAAAAAAAGAAAGAATAAAATCTCTCTCATTCCCAGTACCTCTCCTTAAGTCAGTGGTTTTAAACCAGGAATAATTTTGCCCTCAGGGTAACATAGTATATAGGTCTTCCTTTCTACTGCAGCAAAGGAAAACAGACCAATGCTTCGGGGAAATTAGCACCGACATGTTCTTGGTGACAATCCACTTTAGAGGACAAAAAGTATCATGTACTACTCATGTGCCACAGGGAAACCAGCATTCTAGTCTCCCCATCAGTGGTTGCTGAAAGTTGGATAAGCTGTGGGCAGAAACATACAAAAATGGTGAACGTGAATACAGAGAAAAGGGCTGTCAGAGACGAGGCTGTTACTCTGGAAAACCAACCGCTCCTTCCGCAAAAGAACTCATAATGAATCAAGTGTCGGTTTAGCTGAACTCTTTGTGAATGGAATGCTTTCTGTTGAATGAATGCAGTTCTGTCATGTGCAAAGCCTGACTCAAAATGAGCTGAGATATGAGCATGATTTAACTGATTGATGACTTCAAGCGTTTTCCCTCTGGTCACCCACAGTCGTTTTGGTTTTAGTCTGCAGCTCAGTAACACCCAGGTTGTAGGAGAAATCCAGTCATTTATGATATGACTAGATCATTGTCCATTGACTATTTTCCACACTGATAAGCTCTGCTAATCAGAGGACTAACGTCTTCAGGCCAGTGACAATCTTTTCATTTACAGTTTTCTTCCAATCAGAGAAATGGGGCTGGATTGTAGAATCCTGGAATTGAGAAGGAAGGTCTACAAAAAGTCATTGCATTTTGTTCTGTTGTCATTTTGTGATTGTACCAAATTCACTAAGAAATATAATGATTAGAAATATGATTACAACTTTCAAAGAGAGACACACTTTGATGCCTCTTAGGTGTTTCTGGTCTCTCAAGTCTTACAATCAGAAGGCTTTATGTTGTTTTGTTCTGTTTTCTTGCCAACATTAGACTCACAAGTCCCTCTTCTAATTTGTTCTTCCTTATCCCATCCACTTATTTAGGAAAGTGATACATAGTACAAAATTACATGTAGGTCTTCTGTAGGGAATAAGTTTTATATAATCAAAGATATCCAGCAGTTTTACTATAACATCTCTTTTTCAAAATAGAATTTTATTCATCAACCCTTGCAGGGATAAGACAATGATGCAGAGAGTTTGTCCTATTAGTCTTAACACATGTTTGTACCTGTAAACTTAGGATTAAATCTGTCCTTACTTGGCATCAAACTAGAAGCCTAAATGTCAAGTAAAATTGAGTTATCTCAAATATCCCGGCCATTATAGAATATGGTTATTAGTCTGGGTCAAGGCAGTGTCATGTCTTCTAAAATCATGCCGCTAGAGGGAGTAAAACCCAGCAGTCTGCAAACCATCCCAGGCCAAAAGAGCAACGTTGTCTGTTTCACCTTTCTCTTTAAACAAATGATCCTCAGCTTGGTTGCCCCAGAAAAACACCAGCATCTGGTGAGTGGTGTTTATTCTGAGGTTACTCTTTCTAAAAATAGTTTTCTGAAAACTCGCCCTGGTCGGCTGGGAAGCACACAGGCGGAGTGGCGAGCCAGTGAATGGGAGGCTCTCCTGCAGCGGGGGCACCTTAGAGGCTGGTTGTGTGGGCCAAGAATGCACTCGAAGAGCAGGAACAGAGTTTGCAAGGGGGGCTGCCGGTGTCCACGGGAACCGTGGCAGGCCAGACACACCCATCCCTGGAGAAGCAGAAGGTCGGCTAGGAGCTATGAACATCCTTGCTGAGCCCCAGAAGTGAGGAGCAACAGGGGAGGAAGGAGGCTCCTATCTTGAAGCTGTTGGGCACCTACGCAAGTGGCACAGGGAGGGGCAGGGTGTTGGCTCCGAGTGAGAGATTTGCTTAAGCCAGATGGTGGCCGATGAAGGAGGCCCAGGCAACCCCTTCTGGTCTTCCAGACAGCACCACAGGTTTGTGTGGGTTGGAGGGGTGCTATCTGTCTGTCCATCCACAAGCACATGCCAGAAAGAAGAGGATGGAGGAGGTGAAGATTTTGGGGGGTTCTCATCATTTTCCCTTTCCAAGTTTCATCCTTATCCATGCTTCTAATCACATGGAGACCATTACCACTGGGGGAGTCATTTCCATTTTTCTTTAGATTCCATTCTAAAATCCCCTAAAGACCTAAAGTAAAGAACGTCAGCAGTGGCATTTCTATTCCTCTAAAGGGTATTTTAGACAATAATTTTGGATAGCCCCACACTGCATGAAGCAGGGAACTGCATGCCCTTCCTGCTCGGGAGCCCAGCCCTGCCTCCAGCAGCTCCAGCTTCCTTTCCTCTCTGTCATGGTGCTGCCTTCTGATGAGCAAGAAGTTAGTCCCGACTGGCCCTCGGCAAGCTGGGGCTTCTAAGAGAAGAAGGGCTGGGCTGCCCCCTGCAAATCCTGGATAATGCCACTCAGGGAACGGGAGAAGCTGATGCGCAAAATATGCCATACCCCGCTGCTTTCCTCTCACTCAGACCCCAAGTCAGGTCGGAAGCAGCTCTTCCAGACCTCCCCCAAGGCAAGTTGCTAGAGGATAAGGCTTTTATGTGTTTCCTGATAAATGTGTGGGAGAATCCAGCCTCCCTGGATACTGGAGAAGTCTCCTATCTGGAATTGCAGTGTTACTGCTGATCCAGCCTCCCTGGATATTGGAGAAGTCCCCTATCTGGAACTGCAGTGTTACTGCTGATCCAGCCTCCCTGGATATTGGAGAAGTCCCCTATCTGGAATTGCAGTGTTACTGCTGAAACATGTAGTTTCTGAGCCTTTGTGTTAAGGCAGAGAAAAATAGCAAACTTGGTATTAAGAGAATTCTGAGTTCTCATGCTTGCTCTATTCACAGCAAACTCTGATTTCAGACAATTCATTGCACTTCTCCAGGCCTCAGTTTCTTTGTCTATAAAATAAGAATGTTAGACAAGACTTTCTGTGATGGCTTTTCTGGTTCAAAATGTCCATGATTTCTGTCTGGTGAATGTACATGGGGTTTTATTGTTGTTCGTTTTTTGTTTTTTCTTTAACTATGTCTAGCCTACTACCCCACCTAAAAGTCAACAGAGAGAGCTCTGGGGTAAAGTGCATGCCAACCTCAGAGTGCATAGCCATACTGTGTAGGAGGAAGCAAATTTAGAAGGAAACAGGCTTCATTTATTCTGCCTGATATGGTTATCTCTCTGAGGCTTGTGCCCATGCAAGCGAGATGAGAGTGCGGAGGAAGGCGGGGGGACACGCTGTCAAATGTCAAATGTTTAGCAAAGACTTTGAACTCTGACAATTGAGTCTTCCGGTAACTTGTGTCTCTACTTTTGCAAAAATGGAAGACGGGGGAAAGAAAAAAGAGAGAAGGAGAGATAGGCAGAGAGAGAACAGAAAATGATTAAATATGACACCATGGTCATGTAGGTTTCATGCAAAAATTAGGCAAATAATATCTAAATTACTTGCAAGTAATTTCAGCCTCTTTTCTTTGGCTGTCTTTCAGAAAATCCCTGATAATAGCTCTGAACTAACACTGAATTCCAGGTCATCATGATACTCTTCCCAGCACATAGACATGGGGCCACCGCGCTTGTCCATGTGCTGAAAAGAGGCACAAATGTCCGAACCTACTGAGAATCATGCCAGTGTAGGATGAGAACATTCCTAAAGCCTCAGCCCTCGAGGGCTACATATTTGTTTAAGGAAAATAAGGCATGTGCATACACTAATGAACAATAAAATGGAACAGTGCAAGGTATGATTCGGGGCAATATTTTATAAAGGTCAAGTACACATAGGTGGGAAACACATCTAGGAACTCTCATGAGCAGGGTGGGAATTAAATGTTAAGGTGGGTGTGAGTTTATATATAATACAGAGGGGGTGTATTTTGAAGAAGAAATCATGAAAAAAATCACATTTAGCTGTCAGCCACCTCCTCATCTGCATGTTTTGCCAATCAAGGACATAAAATCTATCATTCTGTGCTTCAAGTCTCCACATAGTAACTAGAAGACACAGAAAATTCTTATTCATTTTGAATTCTGATAATTTAGTGCAGGAAATGGGTGATGGCAAACTGATTATGTATGAAGAGCCCTCATTTTGCTGGTGAAGCCTGGGTATGCCCAGCTACTAATAACAAGTGGTCAGGCAACCATGACAGCCTCCCTATGTGAATATAATGCTAAATGTATCTAAGCGAATTTAGGACCACCTGTTCTGATTTATTTTTTAATCCTTCAAATACAACATGGAGTTAGATGGCTTCTCCATCAAGACTTCAATCTCAAAGGGCAATACTGTGCGGCAAAAGAAGAGCTGGCTCCTGGAGGACTTCTGGGGCCCCAGGCATGGATCAATGTTTGCATCAGAAAAGAAAGCCTGTCAGCAATGGAGGTGCTGGAGGATTTCTGGAAGGGGGGGGCCTCATTCAAGACCACCAAGGGACTGCTGACTGTTCTCGTTCATGACGCCTCTCTTCAAGGAAATTGACCCTCCCAGAGTGCAAGACGGAGAAAAAGGTTCTTAAGAACTTCCCCTGGAAATCACCACTGAATGGATGCCAGGCAATTCTAGAATCTCCACTCTTTGGTTTTTTGGGCCCTTGGATGGATGAGAAGTGATGTGCAGATCTGATGGGAAAAATGGCAGAGACCACAGCTTCTCTCCTAAACCCTCATTCATTGCCCATCGGACAATTCTCCTGTTTCCGATCCTGTAAGGTCACAAGGATTTCTCATTTCAGGTAGACCAGAAAAGAAGCCACTGATGGAATGCTGCAAGAAGGGGTTTACCATGCGGTGTGATTTCTGGGACCCCTTCTTCCCTGTTGAAAATATTTCACAGGCCCCCAGGACCTCCCCCAAAAGACAAGGGCAGAAACCAAAGAAAATGCACTGTTCCAATTTTGTCCAGGCTGCCTGTGGAATGAGAAACCCATGAGAAAGTTATTGAGACTTCAGTTTTCTATTCCTCTCCTTATCCGGCCTCATTACCTCCCCAACCCCTGAGAGAAAAAATAAATAATTCACAAACAAAGGACGAGGGTGTGGTGGATTGAGAGCAGGTTTGCTTGGTGACAGGAGGACTCTGTAGAGGGGGTCTGTTGGGAGGTGAGCAGGAGGGAGTGGCTGCTCCAGAGCCCACAGTTCTGTCCAGAAAGGTGGAAGTAACACAGGCATCATGAAGGCTTCTGGAGGCAGGGGCTGAGCCCTCTCACCGCAAGGACCACAGAAGCCAGGGCTGGACTCCTGGCCCGGGAAGCTCCAGTCCCATGGACTCTATCCCACTCCTTTGTCTCTTTCTCCCTCCTGTGCCTGCCCCGCCTGCCCCTTGCTCTGTCTTCATCCTGGGAAGCCAGCTGCAGCATGTAGGAGAGAAGGGCTCTGTCACGGCTGTCTCTAGTGTGTTATTGTTAGTGTTACATTACAAATCCCGTTTCCATGCCAGGGTCCCTCGGGGGTCATAACCAGGAGAGGCCATGACCCTGTCAATAAACAGAACCCCAATCCTTAATGTAACCGTTTTGCATTCACTGAGCCGGCTCCATGGGTTTGTATACCAGATTCCGCTCCTAGGCAGGATCACTTCAGAGAGGCTCCCGTGGAAGTCAAGGTAGAGGGCACGTGGAGGTAGACCAGATGCTGCTCCTGCTGGCAAGAGGAAGTCAGGCATAGGTTTGGCTTGTGCTCCTCCAGAGCCCCCAGCTTTTCAGACCAAGGTGCTTTAGGGGTTCAACCATCACTCTGAAGTCTCTCTTGCTGCTCCCTTGCTGAAGTCTCTTTTCCCTTAGAAGACCCTCAGCAATAGAGAGGCCTTTGCTGATCTGTCAGATGTTTAGCCCTGGGGATTGTAAGTAAGACCATTGAGCAAAGAGGAAGCAGGGCAGGGAATGACCTGGCACACATTACTCAGCCAGGAGACATAGTTGACTTCAGCCCACTCTCAATTTTTTTTGTTGTTGTTGCAGATTAATCTGCCCAATATAGTGTGCTTTCCTTCCCAGTGCAGAGCCAGCTGATGAATGATGGGTAGAACCAAGTAAAAAGAAAAAAAAGAAGAAGAAGAACAGAAATAGAGTCTGCTCACTCATTCAACAAATATTTCTTGAGTACACAGTTCTGCACATGGATACCAGACAAGAAAAAGAATTATAGGGCAGTTTGATTGGCGCTATGGGTTGAGAAGCAATTTCTTTTTTTCTGTCTTGCATCTAACAGCCATGTATTTCAGAAGCTCTTGATGCCAATACTTGGCCTTCATAGCTATCACTCTCCATAGATCCCCTCTGCTTGGCCTAAAGATAAAATATTCCTGGGTGTCTGTTGTAGGGACTAAAATATTCACATTTGGAAAGAGATAGTAGTGTTAGACTTTGCCCGTCAAACACAGCCTCAAAGTTAATTACCATTGCCTGGCTTGTTTCTAAAACCACCAAGTGTCTATTTGAGTGTCTGGGGGAAGAATAAGAGAGTTGGGCTAAATGAGGTACTATTATTTCTGCTGAATTAATTAGACTCAATTACAGAGTTAGATGGGGTCTTGTAGCTCTAGGGATCAGCCCTTGTTTCCTAAATATGGGAACCAAAGCCTGGAAGGAGAAAGATGTTTGTCCCTAATCACAAACACAGTTCCTGGTCCTGGAAAAATGTGACCTAGGTGGAGAAAGAAACAATAAAAAACAGAAAAGAAGGAGGCAAAAGAGGAGCCAGTGACCAAAGGCAAGCTTCACTTATTTATCCTGGGTCTGCCCAGGAATCTAGCATCAGACAGTAAGAGCCAACATGGAGACAAGTCAGGCCAGTGACCTCAGAGGCACGCGGCCACTAGAAAGAAGCCCCCGATGGCATGAAGCTTTGTTCTCTGACATAACCTATGCATCTAGCACTGTGCCTGCCTACAGGAGGTGCTCAGTTACTAGGAAATTAACAAAACTGCCTTGCAGATCTTTCCTGGCTGAAGATGAGGAGTGAGGGAAGAGAAAGAAGACAACTAAATTAGGCCCTCAGCTCCTATTTCCAGAACAGTTCTGAGAGTGTCTGTTTCAGAGTTTGAGTTTCCACAACTGCCTTTGTTAACAGGAGGGATCTATAAAAAACCAATGGTCTGGACCAGGGGCTCCCACTCTGAAAGTCTGTGACTACCAGGGGCAGTGGAGTTCTTTCACGATTCGCCTAATGTTGTTGTCTTAGAAATAATACCACTTATACAAAATACAAAACCAGCAGGACTATTTCCCAAATAAATGTAAATGAGACTGGAATTAATAAAGGTAAATTCATTTTTTAAAATTACAAAATACATAAAATCCTTTTGCTATTAAGTGTCAATGAGCCATCATGAGTATAAAAACTATAGTATGTTTTATGACTGTATTGATATTTGGAAGGGATTTCCCTGTTCATAATGTTTGGAAACCACTGCTCTGGACCTGTCCCCTAATTTCATAGATAACATCTTATAAACTTCTTCCAGAGGGGAAGAAGGATGTGGCCAAAGCCACTCAGCCTTCTGGTAGCAGAGCTGGGTATCAAATTCAGGTCATCTCTGTCTTTTTCTTTACATCACATTTCCTGAGGTGGCATTTTCTAATACCTTGATCCAAAAGGACCACTCAGTTCAACTCAATTTATTTCCCAACTGGTGATGTTGGTAGCCTAAATGGTGTGCCAGGCACTGCATCCTCTAAGTGTATTATTGTCACCACCCTTACATCACCTCAGTGAGGCAAGTCCTATTATCATTCCCATTTTAAATGTTAAAAAAAAAAATGGGGACTCAAAGAGTTAGACAGTTTTTACCAGGCCACATGATCAGCAAAGTGCAAAGCAAAGCTCAAATTCTCTGACTCCAAAGCCCAGGCTCTCATGCACTTTACTGCACACGACTTAAGGAACACATTTATAACAAACACTGGTGTCCATTGAAATAAAATTTAAGGGCATTAAAGGCAGCCCTCGGCAGTGTCAGCGATGACCCCACAATGACTGCTGTGGGCAAGGAGTGGCAGGAGGCAAGAGGTCCCAAGAAATGCCCCTAGAGAGGCCGTTTCTCAAGTGGAGAATGTGGACCCCAAGACCAGAACCACCTGAGTGTTTCCTGAGAATATCATATCTTAGATTTCATCCAGAGCAGTTCAAACAAGATCTCATGAGTGGATCTGGAGTATCTGCAGTTACTACAAAAACCCCAGCTGCCTTTGAGCTCACCGTAGTTTGAGAATGAGAGGGCTGAGAGACCCCAGGCAGGGTGTCAGTGTGAGGAGATGAAGGAGCAAGAAAGTAAAAGTCAACAGCAGGCCCAGCTCCAGCTGCAGAGGAGCCTAGTTGAGCCTCAGACACACGCTTGATGCTTCACATAGGGCCATTCCCCACAGCCTGGCTTTCTGCAGAGGGAGGAGGGGTGCCTTTCATGGTTCTGGGTGTGCAGAAGGTTTGCGTGTGTTTGTTTAGAACAAAGCCTATACTTAACTGGCACAAGTGAAACAGATTTTATAAATAGATGTGAGCATGAATGGTTTTTATGATTAGCTTGTTTTTAATCACCATGCTTGACCGGTGTCTGTGTTCAACTAAGTAAATATTTCTATGGTGATAGTATACACAATACAATGGCCATTATTTAATGTTAATACAAGTACCATATGGGAGGTCTTATCATGCGAGAGCCCCAAAGCATAATAAAAGCAGATAGGAATAGATAGGCAAGGGTGGGCCTTGCTGTACAGCTGGCTTGATAAAACATCTGCTCTTACAAATGTTGGCCATGCAAGTATTTATGCAAGATGGTTCTCCTGGGGGATTTTGGGGACAAGATCAGAAAGCCATGGATTCTGCGTTTTCTCTGTTACTCATTTGGTGACCTTGGATAAGTCTCTATACTAATTGTTTAAACATTTGTGCTTTAATTTCTCAATTCTTAGGTCTTTGCCTGCCCTCCAGAGACTAATGAAGATTAATTAACACCTGGCAGAATCCTTGAGTTATATTTTTAGAACAAAGAAACAGGGAAGGGTGGTGCTGAAATAATGCCTCATTATTTTAACATATAAAAGGGAGACAATCCAGTACATTTTTCACTTACAACTGGAAATTTGAGAAAACTTGAAGCTTCCTGAGATTAGTAAAGCAGCCTTGTCATGAACAAAGCCTCTTAGGAAATGTACTAGGTTGCAAACCTCGCCAGATGACTTTTCACTCAGTAGGAACAACTAAGATGATAAAGGGCATGAAACTAGAATGATTGTCTCCTGAAAAAGGGCAAATGGGAAGGTTAGAGCTTTTAGTGTCGTGGAAAGGGACATTTGCCTGTTCACAAAGGCGTTACTCCTCTGATTTGCCTTTCATTTTTTAACTTGATGATACTACAATGTTTAGTGCAATCCAGTGCTCCTAGCCTGTTTATGTATTATCTGGCATCATCTTCAGCACTAGCTATGAATAGATAAGAGTGTTCCATTCTACGCCTTAGTCTTTTGCATCTATATGTTCTAATGAAAAGTATCAACAAGAACTTTTCATATTTGTTTTACACTTCCTGTCTGTAATATGCATTTGCATTCATGATGTCATTATAGGAGATGGGTACTATGACCACCCACAATTTAAAACTGAAATGACCTCCAAGAGGCGATTTATCTAAGTGCAGGGTTTAGTTGGTGTAGAACTGGAGCTCAGACCCAAGACCTGTGCTCTCTGAGTGCAATGATTAAGGAGACTCTGCTTATTTGTGAATTAGAAACTGGAATTTGGCCCCAGGAAGAGGAGCTCTCCTGGGTGGTCAGGCTTACTATGGGGAACTCTCAATTAGATTTGAGGGTGTGGGCTAGTGCATGTTTTCCTTCTGGAAGTGAGGGCCTCTCGCAAGCACCCCATCATCTCCCTGACCACTCTGGCAAATTAACAGAGTGTTAATTTGTTTCATTTACTATCAGGGTGCAAGTTAGACGTAGGTGAGAAGAGACAGTGCCTGACAAATGCTTAAGGAAAGAGATGTGAATTCCCAGCTGTGTTTTCTAAGGTAATAAGATTCTTTCCAGTTGATTTACTACAGTGACCATAAATCTAGAAACAATATGTTCTTAAATATATTTGGAATGGCCACTGGGGAATGGCTGGTTAGCGTAGTACATGGCATGTGGGCTGAGAAGGGAATTATACATATCTAGGTGGGTAGATGACTAGGTTAACCAACTGTTCTGCCTCATTCCCCGGCTTAAATGTACTAGTGAAAACTGAGAGAAGGGCAGGGAGGTGTCCACGTTCCAGGCAACATCATGGTCCAGTCCCTGTTCTGAAGACGTGTGCCTCATGCTTAGTCCAGAGCCTGCAGTCAAGAAAATCACCCTGTCTGACCCAAGGAAACAGCTCAGCCTGGTCAGAAACAGGCACTCCTTTAAGTGGCTGTGAGAATCATGTGTGCTTGTGTATTCACATGCTTGTGGCTCATTTAGTCCCAGAAGGAAAGAGGGGGTGGCAACGCAGGTTATTAACAGGATAGGCTGAACAGCAGGACCGGTCTGTGGCTGATTTCTGCTCTTCTCTGCCTTCTTGACCCAACCTCCATGCATGTTTCTTATTATGCTGTGGATTTGTTTTGCACTGATGGGTGGGAAAAGACCGGTGAAGCAATAATCGTGTAAGTGAAAGCAATGACTCTCTGGTGTCCTCTACAAATTTCCCACAGTCTTTGCTAAGGCCTCAGGGCCCTTCAGGGTTTAGAATTACAGCTTTCAGTAAATCTCCTTAGACTCACACTCACATGTGCTGTAGTGAGACAGCACCAAATCTGTCCTGACAATTCTTCACAAAGCCAGAACCAGGCCCTCTGTCCAAACACTGATCGGTGATGAGGAGTAACTGTGACAATAGCAGCTACCATTTAGTGTGCAGGGAGTGCATGGCAGGCCCTATTCTAACCCCTTAAATGGATTCACCGATTTAACCCTCACAACAGTTTTTGGTAGTAAGTGCCATCATTATCCACCTTTGACAAATGAGGAAACTGAAGCACAGAGAGAGGTGAAAGACTTGCCAAAGCTAGTTATCAGAAGAACCAGCACTCAGGCCTGGACAGTCAGATCTTAACCTATAAGCACCACCACTTTTCAGGGACCCAAGAATGAAAAAAGGACAAGAGTTTGGAGTTATTTCACTTCAACCTTAATATCACCAATTAAGGAAATGAAACATTCATTGAATAAGAACAAGAATGTTTTCCTTTACCAATGGAGACATTTTAAAGTAAGAATTGCACTTAGTTTCTGTCCCAATAGGGTTGCCAGCCATAAGTTTATGGTGTGGTTATCATATTTCAAAAGATTTTAGTGGAAAGATCTATGGGAAAACTGTTGAGTGGAGAAATCAGCTGTGTTTTGCCTATCAAGATGACACTACTGACCCAATGCAAGTTAGGCTTCTATGCTAAGTAATTTTTCTAGTTGTGTTGACAAGTTGTCTTGAACCATCCAAGCCTCATCTTTTCTTCCCTGTTGATTAGTTGGGGATGAGAGACAGATGATCTTGGTCTTTGGAGAAGTGTTTTATTTTCTTGTATTCAAAACTAAATAACCCAAATGAGGCAGCTTTGCCCTCACTAATTTTGTGTTTGTACCCACTGA
Organism: Homo sapiens; assembly: GCF_000001405.40. Taxonomy (NCBI): domain Eukaryota; kingdom Metazoa; phylum Chordata; class Mammalia; order Primates; family Hominidae; genus Homo; species Homo sapiens. The sequence continues at coordinate 128,300,470 of NC_000011.10, forward strand.
ACCATCCTCTTGCTTTCATAGGAATGAAGGAAAAGAACAATTTTGTGATGGTAGCTGGAAGCCTCCCAGGTATGGAACTTGAGCAAAATGCTTCTAGGAAGCATTTGGAGAAAGATAACAGCAGGTAAAATGCCAGTTAGAGGGTCCACTTATAAAGAAGAAGTCACAATTTTGATGTTTTCACCCAGCTTTTCTGTGGTCTCTTTTTAAAAAAATAAAAATACATACTTTTGATAACTTACTTTCTCTTAAGTGATAAAGTTCATGTAACTCTTGATGAGGTAAAATATATCCTAGGATAATATTATTCTAACCTGATTCTAAATCGTATGTTTTTTAAAAAAAATGTTGTAGTGTTAGTCAACTTTGGAGATCTAATCAATATAGACAGCTCTGAGGAGTAGATCACTTCCCCTACATTTTTCTTATTTTTTTTAAGAGCAAGTGTTCTTAAACTATTAGGAAGGTGTGTGTCATGTCATTTTTCATCTGTAGCCACATTTCCTTTGAAATTAAAAGGAGATAAAAGTCCCATCTGTATACTGCTAGCAGAAAAAAATTGCCATGAACTTTCCCCAAAGACATTATGAAAAGCCTTAACAACAAGCATACGTGAGAAAACAGCACACAAAAACCTTGGAGTCAACCTAAATGTCCATTAATACATAATATGTATATAAATAAATACAATAAAATAATATATAGCTGTGAAAAATAGAGAATAGTTAAATAACATAGAAACATGGCCATACTGCACTGTTGAGTGAAATAGCAACTTGCAAAGCAACAATATGTTAGCCCAGTTTATAAAAACAAAAATACATGTGTGTATATTTGTGTGATATGTGTTGTGATACGTGTAGAGAAGGACAAACTCAAAAGATTCATACAAAGCATACCAAGACAGTTTTTTCTTGGTTGTAAGACTGTATGATTTTCAGGCTCTTTTTTGTTTTGCATTAAATTTTGACTATAAAATGTAAAATAAATCCTTGAAAATCAATATTTTAAATTTTATTTCGCAGTACTTGCACTTCACTGTAATTCTTGGTGTTGCTATAAAGCTGGTTATATTTACTACTATAATTGATTCTCAACATTCTGTCCCATATTCAATTCTATGTAATGATTCTTATTCTGACCAGGCCTTTTAATAAAGATGGTTGCCATCTGGCCAGTTGTATCATTTAAGTTTTATCTTCTGCTGCTGATCATCATTAAGCTTTAAAAACCAATACTTTCATTAATATTTATACTTTTTTAAATTTTTTCAAGGTACAATAAATCATTAATTAGCCCATCTTCACGGTATGTTTTCCCATTTCCTGGGCTATGTGATTTCAGTCTAGCTGCAGTGTCTTCAAACTGCACCTCCTAAAAGCAACAGAATGATTCAACTGAACAACTATTCAACTATTACTTGACTATCCACAGGTGCAAAACATGACACCAGGAAGAGTGGGAACGACACCAATAAACAAAAATGAGCCCCTGATGTCAAGGAGCTCAGTCTAGGGAGCAAGAAAAACACAGGCATAAGTAATCCCAATGCAATGATTTGAAAAGCAGTAGACAAGCACTCATTCCAATTCCTAAATGCATTCTGCACCTCTGCCAACTTCTTACAAAATGCCCATTTGCTTTATTCTTATTGACATATTACAGATTGGAAATGTCTCAGAAAGGGAAAGCATGATACTGTACATCTTCAATAGACATAAATGCTCAGAAAGCAGGGACCTGCTTATATTTTCCTATGATGGTGACTTATTAACTAAAATCCAACCCACCCGTTTGGGAACCAAATTAGATAAGTTATCTCTTTGTGTCATCCCAGTTCACTGGCTCACCACTCTCTGGACATATAAACACTCTGTTTTATTTCGCAGATGAGGAAATTAGAAGACGGGGGAAACTGCAGCTTGTCCTTTTCTCCTCAAAAGCCCATTTCAAAGTCCACATTCGATTGCGGGATTACGCTTAAGAGGTGGGCTTCAGATCTTCAGTTACTTATCCAGCTGCAGGATGCCCTGCACTCCAGTAGGTGTTTAGAGTTTGAGACTGGACAAGTGAAGAGTCTCAAGGCAGAGCTGACTCCACCTACCGTTACACTGTTGAGCAGATGAGAAAACCAGGCTTAATGTTTGTTACCAGTGTCTCTTCCTATTTCTTACTGTGTGACAATGATCGGTATCTGGTTGCCTTAGAGACTGTCAGACCTGGCATCTCTGCGTATCTGCAGAACACTCAGTGGTTTCTGAAAACAGGTGTGGCCTGGTTGAGTGTAGCATAGCCACAAGTTTTTTTTTTTTTTTCTTTTTTTTTTTTGTTTAGGTTGCTTTGACTCTGGTGGCTTTTACCAACTTTCCAAATGTCACTCCCTCTACCTCAGGGGCTATTTGTCAAAGTTATTGGTAAACTAGTTTCTTACCTGTTTTTTCTCTTTATTTTAAGAGATAAAATACTAGATAGAAAAAAAAAGCTTACTGAAGCAAAAACTGGTTTTAAGTGACAATTGTGTGTTCGTTGTGGCTTGCACTTTGACAATTAGTTCTGGTCCTCTTGCTGATGGTGTGGCTTTTGAGGTAAATTGCATGAAGAAAACCAGTTCTCATTTGGTAAGCTCCAGTGGGTTGCAGAGTTGAGGGAGCTGATACTATCACCCACCACCATATATTTGGCCTTACTGGTATAGAGCTAATGACCAGTAAAGGTATTGAAAGTACATGGGTCAGATTAAGTAGGAAAAATAGACCCTATTCAGCTATGAACATTTCTCCAAAAAAAAAATGTACAAAAATGGAACTATTTGTAGAAAGTCTTAAAAATCAATGAATTTAGAAAAAGTTGGAGAAGCTGGGTATATTTTGAATAGAGAAGAGATAGTTTAAGGAAGTCAAGAGAGCTGACTTCAAATATTCAAAGAATAGCATGTGAATGCACAAATAACCATAATCTTTCAGGCCAAAAAAGTGGGCTGACGGCTTAAAAGGGGAAATAATTTGATCCCAAGAAGGCAATCCATTCTAACAACAAGAGCACATCTCACAGCAGTGGAACGGGTACCTCGAGACAATGAAAATTCCCATCTCAGGAGCCAACACCAGGTGGTGATTTGTCAGGCTTGCTAGGGAAGGATTCTTATAGCAGGAGGGAGATTGGATGAGACCTCTAAGGTCTTTCCCAAGTATAAGATGCTATCTATCTAATTAATTGTCAGTCAGACTCTTAGGGATTGTCCTGGGCTCTCATCTCTGTGTCGTTGAACTATAGATTCGCTTCTTCCTAACTGTGAGATAATTGAGTGGATTCACATCTTTAAGTCAGCATTCAGCAGAAAGCAGTGATGGTGGAGAGATAAATCCCCAGACTTTCCATCTGATTAATTGCTGTCCCAGAGCCTTGGTTTGGGAAGATCCAGGAGACCATGAGGTTCATCAGAGTTGAGAGTTAATCCCACATGAAATCAACCACTTGCTTCCCCTGAGAAAAAAATAATAATAATTTCCTTTTATTTTCTGGGTGTTTGGGTTTGAGAATGGGTTTGATCTTTAGTGTTTTTTTGTTTTGTTTTATATTTGTCTATGTTTGGTTTTAGGTCTGGAGTTCCAAAATGCAACATAATAAACACTTGCATGTCCAAAGCACTTTTGTCTGTTTTGCTGGTGAGAGTTGAAAGCAGACAATCTGCAGTCAAGTTTTGGTGTCAGATCAGTCCCCTGTGTAGCATGTAGTCTTGTGCATGCTGCTTTATTTTCTGGGTCGCCATTTTCTCATTTCTGAAATGGAGTAAGCACCGTTTTATAGGTTTATAAGAATCCAATGAGAAAATACATGTCAAGGTACTTTCTATGCTTTGAAGCACCTTTCAAATTTTAGTTAGGGTTATTTAAGTTTTCTGAACTGTGTGTTGTGGTCAGTGTAAGATATAAAAAGCTCTCTTCACTCCTTGCATTAGACATTTTTTTTTTCTCAGAAGTGACATTTCTTGATCTTCCCATAGGTTCTGTAGAAAAACAAATGATTGATTAGAACCATTGTTTTGGGTCTGCACTTGTAAGTAAAACAGAACATGAGTGAACACCTGGAAAATTATGTCTTTCTCAAACTTTCAACTCTAGGTTGGTATAAAATGACCAAATAGGCAAGCAGCAGGAACTATTGAGTTTCATTAAGCAAGGCTAACAACTAAGGTAATAAGCCTGGAAATTCACAGGAAAAGGAGATTCTCTCTATCAAACCCAAAGCTTTAAATCTTAGTGTTTATTAATGATTAGGATTTGACACCCCATAATTATTTTTGCTCTAGAGGGAAAATGTTCATAGAGAGTCCCTCGAACACCAGGCAGCAAAAGGAAACTCCCCCAGCAGAAGACAGAAAGCATTTCACAGAATGGGCTTAGCAGAGCTTCTCACGTGCTTGTGGAAAATAAAATGTGTGACCACACTGTACTAATAATCTCTACAAATAAGTATGTTGTTGCTTGATTCAGGCCTTGTGTGCATAACATTGTCTATATGTTTTGTTTTCTTTAAACAGAATCATAGAAGATAAGGAGCCACAAAGGTTCACTCTGTTTTCAAAGGTGCAGTCAAAATGTTACACTTCTAAACTGTGGCAACGAGACACACCCTGAAGAAAGAGAGCGTTACACCTTCACAAGAAAACAGAGAAACCAAGATACCTTGTGATGTCTTGTACATACCAAGAAAAATATGTCCTAACCTTGAAAGCCCATTTTGGGTGTGAGTGGAACCACATCATTACAAAACCAAAAAGCTGTATCTTTCTCATCCACTATACCCCTTCTTTTCCAAATGGACACCTGAGACTTTGAGCTACTTCATACAACAGAGTTTCACACTGGGACCTCCCACGTCTACCTGCATTTCAGGCCCGAATCTTTCCTGGCATCAGATTTATCATCAAGAACCTTTCTGTGGTTCATTTCTTGGGGCACAATTCTCTCGTGATGGGGACTAATCCCGTCAAATCATCCATTTTTGTTAACATTAATTGTGATATCCATTCCAGGTATCTGCTTTGTGTATAAAAAGGAAATTTCTGAAGATACAGCTTTATGTGAAAAGGAGTGATTTTAGTTGCAGAGGTTTCATACATAATGGGAGGCTGGTGAAAAAGATTATTCCTTGCTGAAAAACTCTGGAAAAATCATGCCATACAGAAAGCTGTCCACATGGCCTATGCATGGATTCAGTGCTGTGGGGGAAGGACATACTCTTTACACTTTTACAACTTCCTGATGTGAGTGGTTCACTCACAGGAAAAGGGGCAATGCCTTTGTACTGACACTTTCACCCCAAGTTTCCAGCCTGTGGAGTGGAAGGTAAAACTAAAGGCGGGGTAATCAGGCCATCATGAACAAAAATAGAAAATAGTGTCTTGGCATGCAAATACTGTGAATTTCATTTCTCTCTCTCCCTCTCTCTCTCTCTCTCTTTCTCTGCCCCCCATCCCCCAATCTTTTGAACAGTTCCAATGTTACTAGTATATAATTATGACAACTGGGCTTAAATTGAATACTAAGTTAATGCATTTTGACACTCTATTATTCATTAACTAAATTTCAGTTATTTAAGCATGAGATTAACAAACACTTTTGAGCATCTACTATATACTAGGCATTATGATGATTACTGGGGATATAGAGAGACCAGATGTGGTCCTTTCCCCAAGGAACTTACAGTCTACTGGACAGATAAAAATGAACAGTAAATGAAAATGCAGTTGCCCTGAACTCAGGGTACTATGGGAACTTATGGCAGAGATATCCAGTATAGTCTCACAGAGTCAGGAAAAGCTTCATGGAAGGCCATGATGTATGTGTTGAATCCTGAAAGAAACAGAACAGGAAAACCTGCAAAGAAAGACCAAGGATTTGCATTCTTGGCAATTAACCAGCCTAAAGGTAAGAGATATCAGGGTACCTGAGGGGAACTGTGAGTTTCCAGCTTGACCAGACACAAATAGATGAGGGAGAATTGAAAGACAAAGTCTGGAGAGAAAAGCACAGGGAAGATTAGATCAGATTTTGCATGTTTTTTGTATCATTTCCAGCCAAATGCCTGGTCGGATAGACCTTCTCAGAGGGTATGGCTTGAATGACTAAGGACACAGAATTATAATATTGTAAGGAATTTAGAAATAACTTAGTATTAACACCTACCCTCTGTGCATAAGTACTCTGTACAACATCCATACAGGTACCCAGAGCCTCTTCATTACCTTTGGAGGTAAATACCTCCAATGAGCAGGAACACACTATTTGGCAAAGCAGCGTTTTCCCTCCCAGTCTAAGAGCCTGTGATGTAACTGACCTTTCTTTAAGGAAAGATGATCTTATGGTCCCTGCCCTCAAGATGTTTACATTCTAATGATTGTGTGGCTTATCCATTAATCTGAAAAGAATCACAGATAAAGTAGATAATAACATAGACTAGGAATTAGCATTACCAGGTATTTCAGATTTGGGGATTTATTTCATCTTATTTCTGTGACTTAGGATATGATAGAGGACCAGATACAGTCCCTGCCATCAAAACCCTTACGATACAAAGGCCAAACATATAAGTAAGCATGTAGGCTGGGTGCGGTGGCTCATGCCTGTAATCCCAGCACTTTGGGAGGCCGAGGCGGCTGGACTGCCTGAACTCAGGAGTTCGTGACCAGCCTGGGCAACACGGTGAAACCTGGTTTCTACTAAAATACAAAAAAAATTAGCTGGGCATGGTGGTGTGCACCTGCAGTCCTAGCTACTTGGGACGCTGAGGCAGGAGAATTGCTCGAACTCAGGAGGCGGAGGTTGCAGTGAGCCAAGTTCAAACCACTACACTCCAGCTTGGGCGACAGAGTGAGACTCCATCTCAAAAAAAAAAAGAAAAAAGTAAACTTGTAAGGACACTTTATATAATTGATGTGTGTGAACAATATGAATGCATGTGGACACTGACCAACTAAAGTAAAGGTAGTTCAGAAATCCTGGGCAGTTCCCATTAGGGCTGCCTGAACGGAGGCTGGGAGCACAGAAAGGAGATGGAGCTACAAAACACATAAATGTAAGCTACACAGAAAAAGGGTCAATTAAACAAATCTTGTTGACTCTGGAGTCTGGCTCTGCATCCCTTTTAAGTGAAGGCCAGGGGCTTCCCACTGGGTTTAGGTTGGAGCTGGCCTGCAGGATAGATTGTGTACTGGATATCATGCAATCAAATCCTATCTGGAGACCTATTAACGGGCCTCATGTGGTGTTTTTCATAAGGAAAATCACCCTCTGTTATTTAATGGAGGTCTGTAGACTTTGAGTCTGTTTTATAGTGGGGATGTTCTTTGTAGATGACAACTACAGGGATTGGAGACATTACTTTAACCCAAACACTGTGGCAGCTGGGAAAGGAAGATTTTTGGAGGAAATGAGACTTGGAGAACACATCACATCTCATCATATAAAAAGCTGTTCATAGATTCTGTTCTGCACCTTCCTTTATTCTCACGTTGCGTATAAGTTACTTGCGGATATTCTCCTCCAGATCCATAAATTGTAAGTCAACTTCCATTTTAGGTTTCTCAGACCAAGTTTGTGTGGTCAAAATTAGCATGGAGTTACAAGCTCTTAACTCTGTACTTCTGCCTCAAGGGAACATGTTTTTCTGTAGATATTTAGAAAACTCAGCACTCAGTTTGTGCTTCACATTATGGGGTTCCCTTTTCTTCTCAGATAATCCAGGTCTTCCACCTTGGTGTTTCAGGACTATCATTATTTATACATTTTAGATTACACTGCCAGACCCTAAGGTTGTTCCAAGAGCTCTTGGCTGCACTGGACATTGTATTCTTTTCCTAACAGTGCTGTAAGAAATGGCCAAAAATTAGTGTTTAAAGCAATGTAAATTTACTATCTTCTAATTCGGAGTCAGACTTTCTAAAATCAGTGTGTTGGTATGGCTGCATTCCCTCTCAGTGCTCTAGGGGAGGACCCATTTTCCTTCCCTTTTTAGGTTCTTGATCCTATGTGCATTCTTTTGCAACCCTTGACCTGTGGCTTCTTCTTTCATCTTCAATGCCCACAGTGTATCTTCTTCAAATTTCAAGTCTCTTTCTCTTCCTTATTGTCTCTCATTTTTATAAGGCAAACAGTAAAAGCATATGGTCTCACGCCTTCCAGCCAAAACATAATCATTCTGAAGGGCAAAATATGGCATACAAATATTTTACATGTGGCCTCATTCTTTGGCTCGGTGGCGTCTTTTCTTCAACTTCAGCTTCTTCAGGCCAATCTGTGGGTATTTCTAGACATCTGCAGGAAAGCTCTGGAATTCTTGTATGTTGCACAGTGTTCCTAAAGATTGGTCATGCTACAGATTGTGCAGATTGTTTCTGTACCAGCCAGTCAATCAGCCAACAGATAATCAAGAAATATGTATTAAGTTTCTATTATTATACCAGGTACTCTGCTGCATGTAGGGGATACAGTGGAGAATAAGACAGATGTTCAAGCGTTATCAACAGACAGCATCAAAAAAGCAAGCAGAGTAGCAGAAACTGAATTACGGCTATTTACTAGGCATATCTTCAAGAGCAGAATAAGCAGAATGCAAACTAACACAATGCAAAGGAGGAAAGATTGGAGTCTGCGTCTATAATAAAACTGCACTGCACTAGTTGTTCAAGAATAATAGATAAAAATTAAAAGACTTAGATCCTGCATTCAGAAAGTTTTCAGTGTAAGTGGGCAGACAGAATATTATACATAAAATGATAAAATAAGTTAGCCAATTATAAATATAAATCAAGAGCAGGAGCAAGGGTACGGAAGGAAGAATTGTCTAGCAAGGTGAGGGAGCAATGAGCTCAGACCTGAGGGACTGTTGTGAACAGTCATGGAAGGAGGCTGGAGGCTGCCACATGTAGTGGGAGTAAAGAAAGATTTGGACTTTCAACAAAGCATTTTCAACGCTAAGGAATAATCGCTGTTGGTAGGGCAAAATCATTCTGTAAAGTACATCTGCACGGGTGTTGACAAATCTAGATGAAAGTTGCTACATAGATATCAGGTGTGGTTACAAAATCTAAGCTCCTTGATGGACGGGACTTTGCTTTATTCACCATTCTACCCATAGAACTCAAACTACTGCCTGGCACAGAGTAGGCAGTCAGTAAACATTTGTTGGTGGATAAGTGAGTGAACAAATGCAGAGACAGAGGAATGAGCAGAGAATTGCACTTTGGACCAAGGACAGTAATAAATAGACCCCTCTAGCTTACCTCTCTGGAATGCAATACTAATCACCCAAAAGCAGGTTATCATCAATTTCCTTTGCCTACCTGGAGAGCCAAAGAAATCAAGGCCAGACATGGAGGGTCTTAAGTCACAGACACAGCTTGTCCCTGCACACCGGAGCAGGAGTGGAAGCTGGGAGGTCTTTTTATTACATACATCCTATAACAGTTCTCATGGGCTTGGCTTACAAATCCTACAAAAATAAGAATGAGTAAAAGAACTGGGGAGTATTTCTAGGAACTCCCTTGTTCTTCCAACACCCTACTCTTGTCTCTTTCAAGTGATCTGCTCCAATGACTGCCCCATGTGGCATAAGTCCCCCACCCCAGCACTGAGAGCCACAGTGTCGCTATTGGAGGAGAAACCTGAAGACAGGGGAACTGACAGAGACAAGTGCGTTAGACTAAATCCAGCGTCTAATGAAGTTCCACAGCAATTACTTGCCATGCTGTTTATGGAAACAGTTTCCTGTCTCCTTCATGTGGCCTCAGCAGGCCTTTCAGTATCTCATGCTTTGCAGAGTCCCTGTGAAATTTTCCCTCAGCCTTTCTCAGGGTGCTCCCATACACCTTGGAGTTTCTTTTAGCCAACATCTCAATCAACTGGGGCTTTGAAGATGGATTTTTGTTAATAAAGTGAATTATGTGACACTATTCTTCCACAGGACAATTTTTCATCTATCAGGCCAGGCCCTTGATGCAGGAGAAGGTGGCAGTGAAGGATCTGGAAGGGGCGTCTTTCTGTGTCTCAGCTGTTTCCTGGAAGTTTGCTCCTGGGCACCTCCACCTTTTCTTCACCTCTACCTTCCTTCATTAGGAGAAACCAGAATGGTCCCCGACTTCCCAGAGCAGGTCCCCAGCAAGGAGCAAAGAAACAAAATACAAAGTAAATAAACACTGGGACAAGAGGGCATGCAGAGTAATGATAATGTTGTGAACATGAAAAGCACTGTGGCCTCACTCCACATCTGATATGTTCGGATATTTTATCCCCTCCATTCGCATGCTGAGATGTGATCCTCATGTTGGAGGTGGGCCTGGTGGGAGGTGTTGGGGTCGTGGAGGTGGATCCCTCATGAATGACTCGGTGCCCCCTCATGGTAATGAGTAAATTCTTGCTCTGTGAGTTCACCCAATATCTGGTTGTTTAAGAAAGCCTGGAACTTCCAGCTCCCTCTCTCTTGCTCACTCTCTCCCTCATGTGACATCCAGGCTCCCCTTAGACTTTTCACCTTGACTATAACATTCCTGAGGCCCTCACCAGAAGCAGATGCTGGCACGATGCTTTGTGTGCATCCTGCAGAACTGTGAGCCAAATAAGCTTATTTTTGTTATAAATTACCCAGCCGCACATATTCCTTTATAGCAATGCAAATGGACTAATGCACCATCCCCAGTGGCCTCCTTCCAATCCACAACCTGCTAGCCAAGCAAGGGTGGTGGAGGCAGATTTGAGGGTGAGCCCTGGGATATGAGGCAACTCTCATGTGTGACTGGCTGTGGCCTTGAAGCAGCTGCAATGATTTTCATCTCCTGGGCAGACTGAGGTTAGGAGTTTAATCTATGCTACGGGGTGAGGTCAGAACACCTTCCCTTGTTTTGATCTCATTGGGCTCCAGCCTCCCTTATAAAGGTCCTATTAAAAGGGGCTATAACTGCCTCTGTCTTGGCCTGCCTACTCTATGGGAATTTTCCTATAATTTTGAAGTATTTCAAATCAAAATTTAATTATTTGGAATGGTTTATTTAAAACCCTTCTGAAGGAAAGAGGAAGGGCTAAATGAGGTCTTTGGCATTCTCCTGTACTGCTACTTTCAGTGGGGCTCTTTCTGCCCAAGGCTCTTTTTCAGTAAATTGCCCTGGTTGGCTAAACCCAGTGGGTTTCTTCCTATCACCATATCCCATATACTCTTACAGGAATTTCAGAAGAATTACTCCTTTTTGTTTCCTGAAATGAGCATTCTATGAGCCTATGTTTTTAAATAAAATAGCCTGGAACCATTTTCATTAAAAGATAGTACAGCAGTACAGTGCAAACATTTAACTTATGAAAACTAACAAGCAGATGAAACAAAAAGAGTTGAGGGCACTCAGTGAGGAATGCTCACTATTGAGGTGTTAGTCGTGAAGCACTGAAGAGAGTTTGAGAGAGTTCAGGGAGGTGTTCTAAGCACATCTGCCCTCAGCATGTACTGTTTGTATAGGATGTGAGGTTCTGGACCAAGTCTCAGCAAGGAGAGAAAAGGAGTGGGGAATGCAATGAGGTCTCTCTCCTCATAGTGCTCAGTCCAGGGGAAACCTAGAAAGGAGTAAGTCAGGGTCACCCTACAACTATTTTTGAGGCCACAGTTGCACAGGGCACCCACTGAACACCATTTCAGTTCAAAAGACACACTTGCTTATGAGCCTCATTGAGGGTAACTCATCTTGTATTCACCAGAGAAAGGGGGAAACCCACTAATCTAGAAGTAAAGGGACCTGTAACACAAGAGCTTCTGTATGACACTGCCAAGGCTCTGTACTGACTTTCAAAAACAAAACAAAAGTAAGAAGTTTATAATGGTAAGAAGAATTGAAACCTGCAAAGCAAGTTTATCAAAATATAAGGTTAAAGTGGGGATTCCAAATTGTCCAATATAATATGACGCTAAGTCAAAATTTCGTTACCACCTTGAAACTTTTCTTCATGAGAATTTTGTTCCATCTGTGTCTCATTAACATGTTCACTTATGTTTACTGTCCTATGAAGTCATTACATAGCCTCTTTTCTGAGGGCTCAGACCTCTAGACAGTCCTTCCTCAAGTTCACCTGAGAGTCACACCTGGCCTGAAACCTTTAAATCTAAGAGAAAAACTCACCTATACATTTCAACAATGTTTACTTAAAAATCCAAGTTATCCAAGGTCATAATTTTCATGGAATATTGCCAGAGGGTCTTTAACTAAATGTCACCTTTTAATTAAGAAGGCAACTGGCAACTATTTCTAAAACTTAGATTGCCGTCTCAACATTCTCTATTTCTCTTTACCTCTCCTTATTTTTTCCTTAGCACTTACCACCATTTAACCTAGATTATATTAAATGTGTCTGGTTTGTTGTCTGTGTCACATAGTAGAATGTTAGTTCCATAAGGGAGTAAATTTTGACTCTTATTTACAACTATAGTCCCAGTATCTAAAACAAAGCTTAGAACACATTAAGAACTTGATAAATATTCATTATCAAATTCTACAGCTCAACTTAGCACCACTAGACCCATTGACTCTGATGCTGATATCTTCTCAACAAAATCATACATGACATAAGAAAAATAAATAGCTTCTTCTCATATGATGGGTTTTCTAGACCAATATTAACCAGTGTCTACATGTGACTGTTGAGCATGGAAATGTGACTAGTCCAAATTGAAATGTGAGTATGAAATACACACTGGATTTCAAAGAATTTGGATAAAAAAAGGATGGAGAATATCTCAGGAATCATTTTATATTGATTGCATATTGAAATGATAGTATTTTAGATATATTGGGTTAAATAAAATATATTATTAAAATACTTTTTACCTGTTTCTTGTTTCTTTTTTAATGATGCTACTAGAAAATTTAAAATTATATACATGGCTTATATTATATTTCTATTGGAGAGCACCTCTTCCAGAATACAATTTTCCAATGCCTGAAACACTTTTTTGAGGAAATGCTAGGATGCAGACCAAAATGTAAAGAACCTGACCTCTTAATCCTCTTTAGAGGAATTCATATTATTTGTGTACAGTTGTCCCACCTCATCAGGGGAGGTTGAGCATTCTGCAGTTTCAGTTACTCAGGGTCAACTGAGGTCAAAAAACAAGTGAGTACAGTACAATAAGATACTTTGAGAGAGAGAGAGAGAAACAACATTCATATAAATTTTATTACAGTATATTGCTATAACTGTTCTATATTATTTTCAGTTATTGTTCATCTGTTTCTGTACTAACTTATAAACTTTAGCATGAGTATGTATATATAGGAAAAAACATAGTATATAAAGAATTCAATCATATCTGTAGCTTTAGACATCCAATGGAAGCTTTGGAACACATCCCTTTAGGATAAGGTGGAATTACTGTATAAGGATAAGGATTTTAGAAAATAAATTCCCTTCTACATGATGGTTTTAATCTGTTTCTTTCTCAAACATGAAACAAAGGAATTTTGGTAGAACACAGAGTGAACTAGGGCTCTTAAACTCAAGTAATAATAGAAGTATTACTTGTCTGTTATCTGGCATATAATCATGTATTAGTCTGTTCCCACACTGCTACAATGAACTACTTGAGATTGGGTTATTTATGAGTAAAAGAGGTTTAATTGACTCACAGTTCCTCAGGATGTACAGGAAGCATGACTGGGAGACCTCAGGAAACTTATAATCATAGCAGAAGGTGAAGAGGAAGTCAGCACCTTCTTCACATGGCTGCAGGATAGAGAGAAAGCAAAGGAAGAAGTGCCACACACTTTTAAACCATCAGATCTCATGAGAATTTACTCACTATCATGAGAGAAACAAGCGGGAAATTCACCCCCATGATACACCACCTTCCACTAGGCCCCTCCTCCAATTCAACATGAGATTTGGTTGGGGACACAAATCTAAACCATATCATTCTGCCTCTGGCCCCTCCCAAATCTCATGTCCTTCTCACATTGCAAAATACAATTATTCTTTCTCAACAGTTCCCCAGTCTTAACTCATTTTAACATTCACTCAAAAATCCACAGTCCAAAGTCTCATCTGAGACAAATTAAGTCCCTTCTGCCTATGAGCCTGCAAAATAAAAAGCAAGTTCATTGCTTCCAAGATACAATGCGGGTACAGGCATTGGGTAAATGCTCCCATTTAGGAGAAATTGGCCAAAACAAAGGGGCTACAGGCACCATGCAAGTCCAAAACCCAGTAGGGCAGTCATTAAATCTTAAAGCTCCAAAATAGTCTCCTTTTATCCCATGTCTCATATCCAGGGTATGCTGATGCAAGAGGTGGACTCCCAAGGCCTTGGGCAGCTCCACCCCTGTGACTTTTCAGGTTACAGCCCCAGTGGCTTCTTTCATTGGCTGGCATTAAGTGTTTGTGGCTTTTCAAGGTGCATGGAGCAAGCTGCCAATGGATCTACCATTCTGAGGTCTGAAAGATGGTGGCTGTCTTTTCACAGTTCTACTAGGAAGTGCCCCAGTGAGGACTCTGTGTGGGAGCTCCAACCCCACCTTTTCCTTCTACACTGCCCTAGTAGAAGTTCTCCATGAGGACTCCGTTCCTGCAGCAGACTTCTGCCTGGACATCCAGGCATTTCCATACATCCTCTGAAATCTAGGGAGAGGTTCCCAAACCTCAACTCTTGCCTTCTGCATAGCTGCAGGCCCAACATCAAGTGGAAGCCACCAGGCTTGGGACTTACACCCTAGGAAGTCACAGCCTGAGCTGTATCTTGGGTGGCTGGGATGCAAGGTGCCATGTCCCAAGGTGAAACCATATTTCCCTCCTAGGCCTCCAGGCCTGTAATGGGAGGAGCTGCCATGAAAGTCTCTGAAATGTCCTGGAGACATTTTCCCCCATTGTCTTGGCTATTAACAAATTTCTGCAGCTGGCTTGAATTTCTCCCCAGCAAATGGGTTTTTCTTTTCTACTGCATGGTCAGGCTGCAAATTTTCCAAACTTTTATGCTCTGCTTCCCTTTTTAATATAAGTTCCAGTTTCAGATCATCTCTTTGTTCATGTATATGAGTATACACTTTTAAAAACAGCCAGATTGCATCTTGAATGCTTTACTGCTTAGAAATTTCTTCCACCAGATACCCTAAGTATTCTCTCTCAAGTTCAAAATTCCACAGATCTCTAGGGCAGAGGCAAAATGCCCCAGTCTCTTCGCTAAAGCATAGCAAGAGTGACCTTTACTCCAGTTCCCAATACGTTCCTCATCTCCATCTGAGACCACCTCAGGCTGAACTTCATTGTCCATATCACTATCAACATTTTGGTCAAAACCATTCAACAAGTCTCTAGGATGTTCCAAACTTTCCCACATCTTTCTGTCTTCTTCTGAGCCCTCCAAACTGTTCCAACCTCTGCCCATTACCCAGTTCCAAAATTGCTTCCACATTATTGGGTATCTTTATAGCAGTGCCCCACTCCCAGTACCAATTTTCTGTATTAGTACGTTCTCACACTGCTATAAATAACTAGCTGAGACTGGGTAATTTATGAAGAAAAGAGGTTTAGTTGACTCACAGTTCTGCAAGCTGTACAGGAAGCAGGAAGTTCCTGGGAGGCCTCAGGAAACTTACAATCATGGTGGAAGGCTGAAGGGAATCAAGCACCTTCTTCACATGATGTCAGAAGAGAGAGAGCAAATGGGGAAGTGCCACACACTTTTAAACCATTATGTCTCATGAGAACTCACTCACTATTATGAAAATAACAAGGGGGAAATTCGCCCCCATGATCCAATTGCTTTCCACTAGACTTCTTCCAATTCAACATGAGATTTGGGTGAGGACACGAATCCAAACAGTATCAAATCATTATTCTGATTTTCTCAAGTTTAACTGAATTCTCAAATGATACTGACAGATTTATCTTAAAGTTTATATTCTTTTCATGTCTCAAAGTTATATTTCTCTTGAAACAAATGAATATAGGTTCTTTAGAGATGGTATCTGCATTTTATAGTCTGTACTAAAAAGCTTATTTTCTGATGGGCCACTCATCTAAAATGAGTGTGTTAAATCATAAAAGGAAACAGCTGGTCAAATTCACCAGTAAGCATAGCATAAATGAGTGTCCATGTAACTAGTGAATGGTGATATACTCAACACATTTGATAAATATTTTCTACATTGGTCAGTGGAATATTAAGATGATAATATGTTGAACCTATCTTCAAAGAGTCTGTAGTTTTATGAGGAAGATGACACATAAGCAGTTTATTTCAACATCATGTGGTAATTTTCTGATAAACAGCAAAACTGGGTGCAATAGGTGAACAAAAAAAGGAACGAGGCCCAACTGGTTAGTGTGTGTGTGTGTTTGCAGATGCATCATGTAGTGAGGTGATGGAAGAGATAGGGAGGAACAAATGTTATATCTCCAATTAAGAATCAATATTATTGATTATTGAATAGTTAGACTTTTCTTGTTTATCATCATCTTGATATGCTACATTAGTTTGAAAGTGACCACTTCCTTCTTATCGGGACTTTCACTATAACTGTCCAGAGTCTTCTTGTGTTAATAAGGAGTAATGAGATCAAGTAGATAAGACAGCTGTGATGACATTTTCTGCATTTCTTTACTTTCTAAGAAATGCTCTGCCATCAGAGAAGGAAAGACAACTTCTTCCTTGCTACTAATGGCACGTTTCTACTCAGTTATCCTGGCCAGGTCTGTACGATCTTGCTCAAGCCCCTTCCTGAGCATTCCATCAAACCCAAGGAAGCTTCCTGAGAAAGTCTCAATCCTGCCTGTAGGATTGCCCTGGGACTTGTCTTTGGAAGAGATGGAAGAGCTTATGTTTAGGTGAAAGAAGAGACCAGCCTTCTCAAATGTCAAAATATCCAAAGTGGCTAATATGCAGGTCTGGTATCAAAAGCTTATGGAAATTCCTTCAATTGAGAAGCAGTTTATGGATCCTGCTGGAGACTCGAAAGTCAAATTAGGGTATTTCAACTGCAGTCATAATCATAATGCTTATTCATAGATAAATGAATTTGCGTTCAAGGAAAAGAAGTTCAAGGTATTCTAAATTTAGTGATTTCTATCTAACTAGACTATCAGAAAGCAACAGGCCTACTCCCCTTCTCCCGATGCAAAATGTCTCATACCCAATATTTGATACAGTAAAAATAAAAACATACAAAATTATTCTACATGTATAATTAAACCATTTTTAAAGAGATAGTTTATTGTGTGTCATTATGTGGTTCAATGACTCTTTGCAGTACATAACTAATCCAAAAATTTATTTACAACTTAGAATCTAAAAAAAAATGATAGGCTTATATCTGGTTAAAAAACAATAGCCCATCATGTTTCTCTAATTTTCTTGCCTGCCAAGAAGCTCAGGAAGTGGTACTGCTCAAGCAAGTAGCTCAGTGTTTCCCAAAGGGTGCTCCACAGAGTTCTACTGCACGATGATTTTAAAAACATTTGTTTAATGACATAAATGTGAGAAAATAAATGTACAATTCCATCAGTATATTAACAATTCTAAGAGATCTAATAATAAATGTTTATATTTATGTATTTGTTTATTTTTATTTCAATAGCTTTTGGGGAACAGATGGTTTTTACATGGATAGATTCTTTATTGTTGATTTCTGAGATTTTGGCGCCCCTGTCACCTGAGCAGTGTACACTGTACCCAATGTTAGACTTTTATTCCTCACCCCCTTCCCACCCTTCTCCCTGAGTCCCCAAAGTCCATTATATTATTCTTATGCCTTTGTGTCCTCATAACTTAGCTCCCACTTATAAGTAAGAGTATACAATGTTTGTTTTTTCATTCTTGTATTACTTCACTTAGAATAATGATCTCCAACTCCATCTAGATTGCTGTGGATGCCATTATGTTGTTCCTTTTTATGGCTGAGTAGTATTCCATGGTATACACACACACACACACACACATATGTATTACATTTTCTGTATCCACTCATTTGTTGGTGGGCTGGTTCCATATTTTTGCAATTGCAAATTGTGCTGCTATAAACACAAATGTGCAAGTGTCTTTTTCACATAATGACTTCTTTTCTTCTGGGTAGATACCCAGCAGTGGGATTGCTGGATCAAATGGTAATTCTTCCTTTAGTTCTTTAAGAAATCTTCATACTGTTCGAATTTGTTTTATCCAATCTTTCCTAAACTTATCCGACTGTAGAATTCTGCCTTTGCATAATATCTGCTATTTCAAAGCTCACAAAGTTGGGAAAGGCTGACCTAGGCCGTTGACTGATTTATTTCCCTCTTCCTTCTAAAGGTCCATTTTGTTTTTCTCTACTTCCATGCCTATCTTCCATATATGGATTATAAGGCACAGATAATAAACTGTGAGTGGGGGCAAGTCTGTATGTATATGTAGTAAACACACCACAAAAGGTGTACGTTCTGCTCTGCTTCTTCCCCCGCTCCCCCCTTTAGCTATTGAGCTCAAGCTTGTTCCTGGCAGGACCTGCACATAGCAATATAGCCTTCTAGGGAAAACCCAAAGCCCTTCAGGAAGTGGTATGCGATGATGTACTATAGTAGCTGGTATGTTTCCTTCTGAGTCAGGGCTACCACAAGGGGGTCCCCAGGATTTGACACCTCTCTGAAAAGATGCCAAGATGCTGGTGCCGAGGTCATGACTGCCTCTCCCTTTGTTAAGGGCCCTCTAGGGCTTTTCCCAAGTCACTGAGATTAATAGAATCCAAACCAGATTTCAGCCCAGGCCCTCCCCTCTCTTTGAATTACCGTTGCTTCCTTATTTTTTTCTCTTCTTTTTTTTTTTTTTTTCATTGAGACAGAGTCTCGCTCTGTCACCCAGGCTAGAGTGCAGTGGTGTCATCTCGGCTCACTGCAATCTCCACCTCTCGGGTTCAAGCAATTCTCCTGCCTCAGCCTCTTGAGTAGCTGGGATTACAGGTGTGTGCCACCATGCCTGGCTAATTTTTGTATTTTTAGTAGAGATGGGGTTTCACCATGTTGGTCAGGCTAGTCTCGAACTCCTGACCTCGTGATCCGCCTGCCTTGGCCTCCCAAAGTGCTGGGATCACAGACGTGAGCCACCGTGCCCTGCCTGCTTCCTTGTTTTAATGCTTCCTTGGAGTATCTTCAGTCTCCCGTTTATGGTTTCACATCCTTCTACCATGAAAGGCACACTTCAGTGCTGCATCCAAAGCAGCGTCATAAAGATGTTCCCATGGGTTCATTTCGCATTTGCTCCCAAATCTTCCACATGAGAAGACTAACTTAAAAGGGTTCCTGAAACATACCATATGCCTGGAGCAGTATTAATAATGCCGTTTCACATGTTTAGAGATCTTTAACTCTTCTTCCCTGTGCTGGTCAGTGCACGTCTTCAGAGGCTCAGTTCTATAGGGCTCTGTCAGGCTGATTCTTACAGAAAAATACTCCCATGCTCCTTATATAAGGAATTAACACTACTGTGAAAGAATCCTAGAACCATTGCCATTTAGTTGAAATCTTGCTTCTTTTATGCAAATTAATAATAATATAATTATTAAGAGAGTTCAGAAGTGCTAGCCAGTTTCTCTTTTGTCAGCAGCTGTCTGGAAAGCTTTTACCTAGAGAACAACTTTACATTCTAGAGCTTCTTTTCTCTAGAAGACTCCAGATAATTCTCAAACCATTCTCTTTGAAAGATGGAGAAAACTAGGCCCAGTGGAAGGCAGTGAATCTCCACTGGCTGCTTTCGAACCTGTTCCAGATTCAGTGTACAGAACCTCAGTCCTAGGTCAACTTTCCAACATATGGCACTGCTTCCTGGACACAATCTGTCATTTAAAAAATAATGTTTATAAAACATTGATCTGTGAACCAGAATCTCCTGGAGTGCTTATTTTAAGATTAAATTTTAGTGGAAAAATTGGTGAAATCTGAATAAAGTCTGTAAATAGTAAGTGAATAGTATGCGAAAATTAAGTGAATAGTAATGTTCCACAATTGTGTATGAAATTAACGTTGCGCTTTTGGGTATTTAACCAAGTGAATTGAAAGCAGGGACTTGAACAGATATTTGCAAACCCAGGTTCATAGCTGCATTGTTCACAATAGTCAATAGGTAGAAACAATACACATATCCATCAACACACAAATGAAGAAAGAAAACGTGGTATATACATGCAATTGAATATTATTGAGACTTACAAAGGAATGAAATTCTGACACATGCTGCAATATAAATGAACCTTGAAGACACTACGTTAAGTGAGACAAGCCAGATACAAAAGGGCAAATATTGCATGATTTCATCTATATGAGGTACCTAACAGAGTCAAATCCATAGAGACAGAAAGTAGAATGATGGCTGCCAAGACAGAACGGAGTGTTATCATTCAATGGCTACATAGTTTCCATTTGGGAAGATAAAAGATGGATGATGGTGATGGTTGCCCAGCAATGTGAATGAATATTCTTAATGCCATTGAACTGTACACTTAAAATAATTAAAATAGTAAATGTTATATTATGTATATTTTACCACAATTTTTTAAATTAAAATTAGGGGAAATGGAATGGAGGTGAAGGGTATACTAAATTCACAATACTGTCTGTGTGACTTTCTTTGTAGCTCTAAAATGATTTCCCAAAATAGTTGATTTTTTTTAAGCCACTAATGGAGGACTAGACGTTCACCATAAACAACAACAAGAAAAATATATTTCTGGCCTCCACACTAAACTGTATCAGAATCTCTGGAGTTGGGAGGTGGGCAAGGCACTTTATTTTTAATAAGTTTTAAAATTTAAGAACCACCTTTTCTTCAAGTTATTTCTAATAATTATGTTCTTTCTTCCTACCTCTTTCATCAATAATGGAATGAAATCTGTGTGTGAATTTCCAGGCCACCAATTTTGTAGGTGGATGTTGCTTCATGACTGTGCTCTGGTTAGGCTTCGGGGCTCAGCGAGGACCACTGGGAGTGTATGTAACCCCAGAACTAATGGTGTCGTCAGGCCCCCACCCCTTCCCCAGATCCTCTCTCTGTGGCTCCCACTTTCTTTTCACTTCCACTTCTCTACCTTAGAAAAAAGGCTCCATTCCTGAGAAACTTAGTAACCATGAGTTGATTAGGTCATGCCCAAGCTCATTTCCCTCTCCTTCCTCACCCTCTTTGAATGACCCCTTTCAAAAAGGGTCAGGGTCAGATTTGTAATGGAATACAAGAACAACAAGCAAGAAAATGTGACAAGAGCATTGAGCTTTAAAACCTTATTGTGTCGATGCTACACTCAATAAAAAGGAAAAAACAGTGGTCATGGGCATGTCAGGCTGGGGACTTGGAGGCTAGAAGTGAGTCCTGTTTCCTCCATGAAAGCCACAGCACTTTACTTCTCAGTGACTCAGTTTCCCACTTGTAAAATGGGAGAGGTGGAAGAGAAAGACTCTAAGGGTTTCCCCATCTTTGAAAGAGTGTGATTGAAAAAAATAAGACCATCCTGACCTGAAGTGGCCACTATCCTTAGGAGCAAACTTGCACAATTAGCAGCTCAACGCTCAACATTTCTTTTCTTATCTCTTTTTTTTTTTTCTTTTTTTCTTTGAGACAGGGTTTCACTCTCATCACCCAGACTGGAGTGCAGTGGCATGACCTCGGCTCACTGCAACCTCTGCCTCCTAGGCTCAAGTCATTCTCCTGCCTCAGCCTCCCAAGTAGCTGGGACTACAGGCGTGCACTGTCTTGTCCGGCTAATTTTTGTATTTTTAGCAGAGACAGGGTTTCACAATGTTGGCCAGGCTGGTCTCAAACTCCTATTTCAAGTGATCTACCCGCCTTGGCTTCCCAAAGTGCTGGGATTACAGGCATGAGCCACCGCGCCCAGCCAGCAGCTCAACATTTCTTAATAAAGATGGAACACTAAGATGATTCAAACTAAACTTCTAAATGTAAGAAGATTATATGACTGAGTCAACTTTTCCAACACCTCTAAAAGAGAGGAGTGTTGGGAGGAGAGAGGCACTGGTGGCCTCTGAGAGACCGTGAGGTGACTCTGTTTTCTGATGTGTATGTAAGTGGCTCCTGTCTTATTCTTTATTGAAGAAAAGGAAACTGTGACAGCAACAAGTTTGGTGTTTAGAAGAAGACAAGAATGTGGGGGCTTGCTGATGCCCCCACGCTCTCTTCTCATTTTTCTCCTCACTCGTGATTTCTGGCCAAGCAAACAGTTCCCTGGAGGATGGCATGACCTTGAGTGGGCTGGTCTAGTCTTTGGAGCTTTGGAAGCCGGGATGCTGAAGTTTGGAGATGGTATGCTTGCTGCTCAGGGTTGGAAGCTTAGGTACTTAATAAAGTCTGAAAGCTGTTGTTCCAACAGGGATAACCAGTGCCCCAAAGCCACTCTGAGCAGCACTGAGTTAGCAGCTCCAGCCAGACTAGAAGAAGGGAAGCAGGTCAACTGAGAGCTGACACAGAGAGCCCAAAGCAGGGTGGGAAAAAAGGGGGCAACACAGACAGATTGAGATGAGAGGGCTCCCTTCTGCCAGAATTGCCCTTCCCGCATGAGCCAGGGTTGTCTAGGCACAGCAGCTTCCTTAAGCATCCCTAAATTCACCTTCCTGGGCTCTGGGGTATCAAAATCTTGTAAGCAGTCCCACAGGCCTGCCAGAACTTTGTCATTCCTCCTGCTGCTTTGACTGACTTTGGGAACTGGATGATCCTTCTGCCTGGTTTGTGGACTCTTGATTTTATTCTTGCTGCCACTAAGGCTGCTATAATGGTTGTCGGATTTCCTTGGAACTTGAAGATGGGCAGAGGGTGCTTTCATAGTTACTGACAAGGTAATGTCAGGAGCACTCATTTCCCTGACTCTGGAGATGAAAGCAAACAAAAACAAAAACAATAAGCAGTTTATATTGGGCCAACCATCTGTGGTTAAGGAGAAAGGCCAAGCAATGACTACAGCTTCCCAGCCCAAACAGGCTCCAGGAAAGAGGGCTCAGTTCACAGGCTGGGAATATGGACAGCCAGAGACACTAAGGCCGGTTATGAGCTTTCATGAATCTGAGCTGGAGCCTCATCTGCCTGTTTTGCATTTCAGACAGGAGGAGGCAGTGTGGATGAGACTGTCAGAACTGGCAGCATTTCCCCTTGCAACTCCACAACTTATTTGCTGAGTGACCTTGAGCAAGCTCCTTAACCTCTGAGAGGCTTCAATTCTCTACCTGTGAAACAGAACCAGCAACATTTCATTAAAAGTTAAGGAACCTGGAGCATAATGACATTTCTCTATTAGAGCTTTCTCGGCTTGCCCCTTGGTAATTTTTGCCTTTCAGCACCTTTCTGGAAAGAAATGAAATGAGTAGTGTCTTCTTGTGAATAGGTGTCTTTTATAGAGTTATGGAAAAAATAATTCCCTTGCCCCGGCACCTTTCTTTCGTTGCTAGTTGTGCCACTGACTTGTTGCATATCCTGGATCCAGTCAGTTTTCTTTTCCTTGCCACTAGACCAACACTAGATCTTATAGCAGCCCCCATATACAAATGATTTCCACAGGATCCTCATGCTGCGTGTTCTCAGGCTCCTGATAGTGAGTGTTGAACCATCAGGCCATTCAGAGTTCACTGAATATGACTTTTGCAATAAAGATTAGATCCTAATAATCCCTGCTCACAACACGATTACTAGCTAATCCGTCCCAGTCGAGGGTTTCTTTTCTCCTTTGAGTCACAAGGAATCCTTATTACATGAAAGATGAAAACATGAAATGCCTATCAGAGATATCACCACATGCACCGCCCCCCGAACCAGGCCGTGGGGTCGGTCAACGAGTTCTCCCTGTGGTTTGGATGCTGACACCTGAGTGACTCCCCTCATGAGCTCAGAAGCAGAGAGAGGGAACTGTTTTCAGAGCAGAGAGGTGGCTTAGAGGAAACATGTACAGGACTTGGCAAAGAACCTGACTCCATGTGAATGCTCACTCCGTGTGAAATTGTTCTTATTATAGTGATTTGTGGGGAAGAAATAACCAAGGAGGGAAATAAACAACCACAGTGACAAGATAAAGGAAGAAACCTAGGCCCTAGAAAGGAAAGTTTTCTAGGCTGATTTCTACCCCTGAAATGCACCCATCGACTCTTCTGGAAACTCAACTGTGCCTCCCACCTCTGAGGTCAGCCCCTCCCGGGGCTAACTGCAGCCCAAGCAAGCCCCCGTGGCAGGAGTGTGGCAGGGGCCTTCAGCTCACCCACCTCTGCTCTCTGAACATGGCACAACGAGCCTGTCAGACCACTTGCAGCCCTGCTATTTGATCTTATCGGGCCCTGTCAGGGAGGTGAAGTGCATGCGTCAAGAAGTTCGTGCCTGTTCATCATTGTGGTTGCCCCGAAGTGGAGCAGGCAAGGTAACACTTGAAGCCATTTTTGCAGAGAATTGCACAAACAGCAGCGGGTGTCATAGACTCAGTGGTTCCACTTCGGATCGAGAAAACACCCACAGAATGGTAGAGGCTGCTAAAGAAACACCACAAAACACAGAGCAACATATACTCATGCACACACACCAGAGCAGTGTGAACCAAAGCCCCGGGCAGGAGGACGTGCTGTGTGCCAACAAAAAACAAAAGGGGAGATGCATTATTTGTTTTGGGGTAGAAAGGTTGCGGGACTGAGGCTCTGCTGCAGACAGATGGGCGCTACACTTATTTGTTGGGTGGCAGAAAAGTTGGGGGACTGAGGCTCTGCTGCAGATGGGTGGGCACTGTATGACTTTCTTTGAGGAAGGCACTTCTGAGAGTGAGAAAAAAAAACAACTGATAGTTCTTGGAGCTTGAAACTGAGAGTTTCTACTATGGAGAATTGAAAACAATTTCCTTCTGAGGGAGAAGGTAGATGGAGCAAGGGAAGTCCAAATTAGGCCCCTTTTGGAGGTAATAGATATTTTCAATCTGCTAAGCAGTGAAGCAGGCAGAAACTGACAATTGTTATAATTATTCTTGTATAAAGTAAATAAGATTTTTCTCAAAGGAGAAAGCACCTGTTGATTTGGCTAAGTTAAGCATTAGAAACACCTGAACTTACCGTTACACATTCTTCAATTTGGCAAATGCAATACAAGAGTGAATGAGACAAACCTTGACTTGTTCTCATATAATTTATTATCTAGTAGAAGAAGACATTAAGGAAACAGACACTGAAATATATAATTATGAATTATGATTTGTGTTTTGAAGAGAGTGTTCAGTGTTTATGAGACAGAATATCTGTTTTTACCTAGAAGTTTGATTGTCTATTCAATACGCATTTTAAAAGTAGTTATTCCATGTAAAATTGTAGGGATATACAGGAATTATTGATATATGATCTTTACTTTCCAAGAGCTCAAAACCTTTTAAGGGACTCAGGCACGCTGATAGATAAATAGTAGTATTTAAAAGTAGAAATAAGGCCAGGCGCGGTGGCTCATGCCTGTAATGCCAGCACTTTGGGAGGCTGAGGTGGGTGGATCACCTGAGGTTGGGAGTTTGAGACCAGCCTGACCAACATGAAGAAACCCTGTCTCTACTAAAAATACAAAATTAGCCAGGCGTGGTGGCGCATGCCTGTAATCCCAGCTACTCTCAGGAGGCTGAGGCAGGAGAAACGCTTGAACCAAAGAGGTGGAGGTTGCAGTGAGCCGAGAGTGTGCCATTGCACTCCAGCCTGGGCAACAAGAGCAAAACTCCGTCTCAAAAAAACAAAACAAAACAAAAACAACAACAAATAAAAGTAGAAATGAGAGATTTATCACGAAATTATTCTAAAACCTACATTTTTTCTAGAAAAAATATGAATAGGCTTTGTGCTATATACTTCTTCCAGTTATCCAGATCTGAGCTTTTTAAAAAAAATATAATTAAGCTTAACAAACACGAAAGATATTACTATTCACCTGGTGGAAACCATCCAACTATGGGCATTGCATTTTACAGCAGTGCTTCTGAAGCTTTAATGGATGTGTAATTATCTGTGGAATTTGTTGTTAATAAAATGCAGATTCTGATTCAATCTGTCTGGAGTGGACCCTGGGATTTCACATTTTTTTGTATCAATTTTGCAGATAATGGGATGCTAGTGATCTACAGAGCACAGTTGGAGTAGCAAGGTCTTAAGGAAGAAATCAAATTCTACAATATTATGTTCAATTAGTATTCTTTCACTCAACATAAATTTATTGCATATCAGCTATGGAGTCTGGTTATATGAAGCCTTAATCATCCCTTCCCTTACAAAAGCAATTAGAAAACAAATTTAATTTTTTTTACAAAAGAGTTCTGAACTCCATATTGGCTTGACTCATGGTAGTGTTGTGTTGGATGATATAAATTTGTATTGACATAAATGTATTTGGCAGAGGTTGTTCTGAAACTCAACGCAACTCACAGACACTCTCATGCGAGCAGAGACCATCCCTCTGGAGCAGAGAGCACAATGTGCCTTCTGCCTCCCTCCCCAACTCATCACCTTCCCTCTCAACGTCCTTCTGCCCGGCTGCCCCTCAGGCAGGCGGCCCCAGAGGCCGTGGGCATGCTGCTGTCCCTCCCCACAGTGATACTCATCACCAAAATGAAACCTGACACCAGAATTGTCATCTTACTGAGAAGATGATAAAACTCATTTAACCTTTCCACTCAATAGGCTGATAATTCCCTCTGTCCTGATGAACGTTGGTGAGGTTCACTGAAGAGACTCAAGTTACCAAGGGCATGCTAATGCAAGGGTTATTCTTTCCTTTTCACATTAGGAGTTCACTTCTACCCAATCATTTTCAAACTTCACAGAAATGGAATTTCCATACTCAGATATGAAGAAAGCACCTTGATTTCCTCCACCTTCACATCATGAAGAACATCGAAGCTGGGATGAACGATGAAAGGAGGTAATATTCTAGGCATAGACAAAGCCCTTTCTCCACTGCCTTCAGGCTGTCAGGGAAGTAATTGATGTGTCTCCCAGAGCACAATCGCTTCACACTTTCAACACCTTTTTGTCCTGCTGCGAATTAAACCTGTCACTTTGTCTAATTCTCCATTGGTAAGAAGCATTCACTGCCAGAGACTTGTCAATGGGGGTGTGATTACTTGCACTGATAGCAACTGTAATATTTAATATTCCCCAAATGAGGGACAACCCTGAGAAGACAGAAAAAAAAAAGGCACATTTTGTAGAAGGAGTAGTTGTTCTTCATTGTGTAACTTCAAGGGAATTACTGTCTACACTGTCGGAACTAACTCGATTCAAATCCAAATTTTTTAATAGGAAGAGCTAGCCAGAGATTTGAGAGACAATTTGAGTAAAATGACTCTAGGTGTGTAGTTGTTCATTCAAGATGCTTATGCACACTTTCCATGGGAAGGCACTATTACAGACCCTTTCCATTGTTTAAGGGGAAAATATTTTGAAAAGGGGGAGGATCAGCTAACAGGAGATATAGGGAATATGATATACATAAAGGAGAATATGATGAGGCTGTGGGTGAGGAGGGTTGGACTCTAAATCGAGTTCTACCCTCAGCAGGCTGTGAGAATTTGAGCTCACCCAGTTCCCAATTGCTCCATTTGTTTAATGAGGAGAACTGAATTCTTGGTAAAGCTAATGTTTCACGACTTCGTTTGATTAAAACCTTCCCATCTTCTAAGGAAATTGTATCTCTCCCAATTCTTCATTTTGCAAGTGATTTCTGGTCTGGTACTAAACCACTCAACATAAGAAGACCTGGGGTAATCAGCCGGGCGTGGTGGCACATGCCTGTCATCCCAGCTACTCGGGAGGCTGAGGCAGGAGAATTGCTTGAACCCGGGAAGTGGAGGTTGCAGTGAGCCGAGATCGTGCCACTGCACTCCAGCCTGGGCAGCAAAGAGAGACTCCATCTCAAAAACAAACAAAAAAAGAAGCCCAGGAGAACATGATACGAACTTCACAGTCAATTACTCATCCTACACTACCTAAAAGGCAAGTCTACATATCTCAGTGGGTGTCTACAAAGGGCACACTCTATCTGCTTTAAGAAAATAAAAACAAGATGACCAAGGGTGAAATAAAATTACATTCTCCTATTAATCTTACTATGAATCAGTTTGGATACTTGGGACAGAGCAGCTTGATACAGGCACCCTGATTTAACTCTGTGCCAGTTTTGGTTTCTGAGTTTAACAGGACAGTTGTGGAAAGAATATAGACATAGCAGAGTAGAGTTAAATGTAGATTTAAATGACATGATGCATATAAATGTTTAACTCACAGCCTGGAGCATAGGAGATACTCAAACTTTATTCCCTTTCCATATATAAAGAGATTAGGCCCATAACATGAAACTGAGAGATAAACATTCTCCCTACAGAATGGAAAGGAAGAAAAGAGCATTGATGAAGCAGCTCGATGAACTCTTGTAAGACCTTTCTCCAAGTGAGTTATCATTCCAAGGTTCCTGTTGTTACTTTCTGAAGGGCTTTGTGCTTATGAAGCAGATAGGGACAGAAGGGCGGGCCGGACCCCATGGTCATCTGGCAGCCTTGCTTGTGTTGGGTCAGCGTGCCAGCATTCATGCCCCTGGGGGTGTGAGCACCCTTTCTGGAATCTTGAAAGGAAATGCAACCTCCCCAAACCCCACTACTCTCTCAAGGAGTCATGGGTGATGAAGATGTTTCCTGCCATTCTCTGCAGGACAGAGAGTTGCTTAACCCTCGTTTCATTATCAGTGGAGGAGCCAGCCATTGGACCCCCACCCCTCAGAGTGAGCCAGCAGCCAGAACTAGCCCTTTGGCATCCCCCGTCTTGATTGCAAGCAAGCAAACCTGTCACCTTCCTGTTTTATCTACTCATGGTGTTTGTTTCCTTTGACGTGGATTCTTACACTTAGGGTGGGAGGGATTTCTCGAAAAACATTTGTTGTATGCCACTGATCCTGGCCCCACAACGCCCCTTTCTCTTTCCTTTTCAAGGCTCCAGGAATTGCTAAATGGCATATCCTGAACACCCAGCACTCTGGGGCTAAAAATACCAGAGGGTGTGTTTATCTAGATTGGGGCTTCCTCTCCAGGGGCTTTACAGACGTTATCTCATTTATCCTTGAAAACACTCTGCGAGGCAGCATGTAGTCAAATAACTTTACCCCAGAAAGGTACGGAAGGCTTGAAGAGGAAAGGTCATCGGTGGAGGTTCTATTCTGAGGCCCAGTAGACAGGCTCAGGTCTTTAATTTCTCAGCTTAAAATTCCATTCACTCTGCATTTCCCCCTTAGAACTGTGGGAATCCTTAAAAAGCAAATACAAACCCACGACTCCTGGCACATAGAAAAAGGCCAGGTTGAAATACCCCCCAGGTTACCTCCTCTCGGTGTCTTCATTACATCTTTACAAATCCGAGATCCCATGGCCTTTGGTCATCTCTTCTAATTGCTCCACATACACAGGCTCCCTCGAGACCTCATTTGCCACCATGGTTTAAACTCTCACCTATCTAAACTGATGGTAGACACTTTCCATATCTCTCACACCCTCTCCATAGTTGATATAAAATAATTACCTACTAGAAGTTGTACATGAATTTGTTACATACACAGCATTTCCCCCTCATTTTGCACATCCTCGATATTCCCTGGCCCATACCCAAAGACCTGAGACTCCTGGCACATTCCATCCCCTCTCTGACTGCCACATGCAAACAGTTACTGAGTTAGCTATCTTCCAGGTGCACCCCCAGATGCACTTTCCCTCCCTCCAAAATGCATGCCTAAGGAGCCTGACTTACAGGCTCCTTCTTTGCCCTCTGGCTACTCCCTGGGGTTGGTCTTTGGTGAGCACTGGCAGGAGAATGGGAGGAGGCAGGAGAGGGATGATGCTGTATGTATTGTCCCATTCTTCTCCCTGTGGGGTTGCCATGGACTGGCTGCATCCTGGATACAAGGTCAGGTCTCATCAGGCATCCTTTTCCACACAGCTGCTTTCCTGGTGGCCATCGGGCCTGGAGGTGGCAAAAGCTGCTGCCTCCTGATGGCATCAATTCCAGGGCACCGCTCAACCCCTGGTGCATGTTTTAAACTCCACCCACACATGCTGTAAATAGCCCTTATATGAAAGTTATTACAACATCCAGCTAGAGTGGGGTCTCCTCTCTTTCTGGATGCTACCCAAACTAAAGTCACCAATTTCTATATTTTACCATTCAATTCAGATGACATTTTACATGTATGTATACATATTTACTTGTTGAATTAGAAAAGCCAAGATGGCATTATATTTTAAGCCAATACATCAGACTTCGATATATGTGTTACTTCCAAACCTCTCTCCCTGTAGTCTCCTCACCATTGTTCAGATTGTCAAAGTGTCATTTCCAAATACCTGTGAAATTACATTAATCTTGCATAAGTTCATCAGAGGTCCCAGTATCTTTCAGCATATGATTCACTTTTACTTATGTCTGTCTTTCTAGAGTAAGTCTTTTATCTCTACTTCCAGGACATCCTCAAATGTTTTTCAAACATTTATCAAATAGACAAACACTGAATGGAACTTTAGGTCTTAAATAAGTGTAGCTATTTCCTTTTACAATATTATTTTCTTTTAAACTGCAATTTCTTGTCCTACTGAATAAGTCCTCCTTACGTGGCTACAGGAATGCAAACACCTGGGTATAATGTGATGACTTTCTAACTTTGCAGAACTGTTATCAATGAGGGCTTAGACTGTGATGTAAAAGTAAGGGCTCTAAACTAGATTCCCTGGATTCCTGATTTCTCTGCTAGTCCCGCAACCTCGGGCAACTTACTCAACATTCTATGCCTCCATTTCCTAACCTATAAAATGAGGGTAGTAATATCATCTAACTCATGGGTTTGCTGCAAGAATTAAAAGAGTTAACACACACACACGGAACACTTAGAATAGTGCCTGGTGAAAACACAGTAGAGTTAACTGTTATTTCTTAACTCATTCTTAGTTTACCACCATCATCCTCAGGCTGTTTGCCTGTGGTTTGTTTAGCTCACCCTTTCTTGAAAACAGACCTTTACCTGAAAACATTCTGATATCAAAACCCACAATACCTGGCATTTGTGACCATGAGCGCTTCACTGGAAGTTGGTGCATGGACTTCCTTCCCTTAACATCTGCTGAAGGCATTCTGCATGAACGCTCTCAGCAGTTTCCCCCTTCAATGGTTTGTCAGAAGCCAGGGAAAAAAAAATATGAGTACTTAAAATGTCTTTGTATATTATGTTTATGACTCCCCATGATTTTTTCCAAAACAAAAAGAAAATTTCCTTCTACATGCCTGCACCTTTGTCTTCTTCTCTCTTCCCTTTTTTTTACTTTTTGAAGAGACTCACTCCCAAGTCTTCATTCCTTGCAAAAATCGATAGAGTAACCTAAATTTGGAATTTCAAAACTAAACTTACTGAGCCAAAGTTTTACATAGTTTTTATTAACTGATTATAAAATACATGTTTATTATTAGAATTTTAGAGAAAGTATCAAGAAAAAAGAAGAGAACTGCCATTCCAACACCCTGAAAAAATCATCACTAATGTTTTACAGAATCGTTTCCAGTCTTTTTAAATTTACATGTATTTTATCATTGAGAATATAGCCTATATGCAATTTTTATGCTGCATTTTTTCATTTTGTCAAATAATATCACTGATCCAAATTATATATAAGTGATTTTAATGACACCATTAATTTAACAGTGCCATCATTATATTCTGTCATTTGTTTTTAATTAAATATCCTGTTATTAGAAAAATTTTCTACTTTTAAAATTATTTCTATAGAACTGGAATATGATAAACCTCTTTAGTTATAAATTGTTGTCCAGATTTTTATGAAAGTTTCCAAAAATAAAATTGCTGGGCTGAAAATACAAATATTTTAAGACTTTTGATAAACTGTAATAGAAAAAATTGCTTGCTTAGAAAGTATAAGCATGAATTTCATTACTGGGTATATACCCAGAGGAATACAAATTATTCTACCATAAAGACACATGTATGTGAATGTCCATTGCAGCCCTATTCACAATAGAAAAGACAAGGAATCAATGTGAATGCCCATCAGTGACAGACTGGATAAAGAAAAGGTGATGCACATACACCATGGAATACTATGCAGCCATAAGAATAAGATCATGTCTTTTGGAGGGACATGGATGGAGCTGGAGGCCATTGGCATTAGCAAGCTAACGCAGGAACAGATAAACAAATACAGTGTGTTCCCATTTATAAGTGGGAGCTAAATGATGAGAACTAATGGATACAAAGTAGGGAACAACAGACATTGGCGGCTACTTGAGAGTGGAGGGTGGGAGAAGGAAGAGGAGAAGAAAAATAACTATTGGGTACTAGGCTTAGTATCTAGGTAACAAATTAGTCTGTACAACCAATCCCCGTGAGATGAGTTTACCTATATAACAAACCTGCACATGTTCCCCAAACCTAAAATAAAAGTTACCAAAAAAAAAAGTATATGCCTGTTTATAGTTTCACCAGCAGCATATCAAGGTTAAAGATAGAGTTAGGGTGCCCTTAGTAAGATCTAAATTTACATATTGGTTAATCTTTTCTCACTGAAAGTCAAAGCCTATGTCTTTTAAATATATGTTTTAAATAATAAATATTAAAATAAATATAACGTGGCTTGCTTAACCTCCATTTGAGTTTCCTATGTTTTATTTCACTAAATGGGACTTCGAATGAGACCGCACTTTATCATATGTGCCATGGGATACAGAAGGAACAGCGCCTCCCATCAGAGACATCCATGGCATGGTGAGCCCTACAGTCTTAGAGGGCACCCTGAACATGCATCCGTGGTTAAACAGCCCTGGAGGACCATGCTCAGACCCCTGCAATACACATGCACCCCAGATCCCAGCTTCCAGCTGGCTCCTTACAGAGACTGCATATAAAACAGAGGCACTTAGAGAGCATTCGTTCTCCTGCTCACTCACTCAATACCTACTAAGGGCCAATTCCATGGGAGAAACTATGCTCAGCACCAAGGAAACCATATCAGTAGGAGAGGCTCAGGGCCTGCCTTTGTAAAGCTTACATTTTAGAGAAAGAAATGACTGTTATGTAATTGATTACCTAATTAGATTTTTAATCATGTTTATGATGAAGCACTCTAAAACAGAATAATAATTGATACAAGGAACATTCAATCTGGGGAGTTCATAATTTCTGCAAAAGGTATATTTTATGTCACAAATATCTTTGTACATGGAAATCACCCTGTAACTTAGAAACACCTGGTATGCTTTAACATGAAGAAATGGAGCACATGCCAGCTCCTCTAACTCAGTCTGTGTGTCAGGGTAAAATATATATTTCCAGTGCTGGGCAAAGATGGAAAAGAAAAATAAGTTGACCTAAAATCTTTCTGTTTCTGTAAGTTTAGCGTCTCATAGATCCTCAGTGACCAACCCCATGTGGTGAGGAAAAATGAAGCCTAAAGAATTTCAGTCGTCTATCTTTTGCATAGCTAATCGTAGAAAGAACTAGGAACTGTCCCACAAAAAAAAAAACAAAATAATAATCTAGGTCCTTCAGGCAGCTTTGCAAATAGCCACTTACTCACCTGCTTAACCAGCAAGTAATAATTCATGCTGGACAAGTGACGAAGAATCCCACTTTGGTTTATTGCCTTTCCCATAGCTCTTCAAATGTTTGATCTCATTTGCAAGGTTATATTCTGAATACAAAAATGCATCTCTCC
The DNA here is from genome assembly GCF_000001405.40 of Homo sapiens. Lineage (NCBI taxonomy): Eukaryota > Metazoa > Chordata > Mammalia > Primates > Hominidae > Homo > Homo sapiens. The sequence goes on from NC_000011.10 coordinate 128,334,212, forward strand.
CCACGGCCAGTGAAGGGCGGCATACTAATCTTCCATTCCCATCCACACACCAAGTGAATCTGGGGAGACTAAACCAAAGTTCAGCTCTGGGGCATTGTTTGTTTCCCTGCAGATCCTCTTTCCCTTCCTTTGGTGCCTATTTGCTTACCAGGGTGAACACAAGGCAGAAAATGCAGCCCTGAGCCCACTGTCACCACCGGTGAGGAATGGTGTCCTCTGAACACTCAACTAGCTTCCACCAGCTTCCGGTAAGTGAAGCAAAACAGAGACCTTTGACATGTAGAGACCAGGGAGAGGTTCTTGAAGGAACAATGGGACATACTGTGGACTGTTTACAGACCCTGCTACCCTCTGTTGTGGCTACTGAGTCACCGGCAATTTGTATAGTTTGATTCACAACCCCCAGGCCCCCCTGGACCGCCAGCGCCAGTATCTGCTTCTGCTCCATTATTGTCACTGATGGACTCATCCTGGCCTTCCCCACCCCCCACACCCACTGCCGCCATCATCATTTCCCCTATTGTTTGCCGAGCCTGGCCCTGACCCCTGGGTATTTATAAAGGCCACTTCCCACTGCATCATTGTGTGCTCTGTGGCCCTCAGCTCCCCACATTTCCTGACAACGTGGGGGTGGCGGGGAAGGGCTTGTTAACAACCCGAGTCCAGCTCCCAACTTCCTCCATGTCCTGTTTACTGCACTCTGCAAGCATCTCCCTGGCCACTCCTCAAGCAGAGTCCGCAGGCTCTGACTTATCCCAATGTGGGCTGCAGTGAGGGAAATCCTATTTCAGCCTCGCAGTTTGCCTGCAGTAAAACAAGCCAAAGAGCAAAGGGCTTCTTGTGTAATGGAATGGGACTCAAAAGGTGTTTCTGTCTCTGGATTAAACCACTGGTGTTTTGAGTCCAAGCTGGAGATGTCGGACTTGGAGAGTTACACATGCAGCCTCTTTCCCTGTGTTTCTCAGTGTATGGAATTGCTGACAATTGCAGTCTCCACATTACCTCTTGGGTTCTCTGGAGCTTGGAGCCTGAAGGTATACACTGCCAGGGCTATCATACATTTAGACAAAAGTCCTGCCCTGTGGGCAAACGTGAGGGAAGGTAGACAGAAATACGGCATTTCTGTATTTTCTAGAATGTATTTTCTTTTTTCCTCCACCTTTTCCTTGCTTTCCATTAGAAGCGTCATCCGCTTTTGTGGAATGATGCATTACATTATACACATTGGTAAATGGAACGAAGAGTTGCTTTGTGCATCTGTGACTATAATCTTTCAACATTTGTTTTTTGTTTGTTTTCTGACTTAAGTTGATAAGGAGCTCCTTTCATTTTTCCAAACCAAGATGAAAGAAACAGGCTCACTCAGAGAGTTTAAAAACTCACTTAAGGTCATGAGCCAGTTGCAAAGCCCCTTCCCTATCTAAAAGCACTAGGGCTTATAGCTTTGGTCATTTGCTGTTTCTTCCCTTGGTGCTTTGCTGTGCCCGATCTGCCCATCCGTCCTTTCACCATTCATGTACTCTTCTGGGAGCGTGATGGGATTCCTGGGGTTACATCCACCAAAAGCACAAACTCTGTTTAGAAGGATTCATGGCTGAGCCCTTGAGACTCCCAGCTGTCAGAGAAGAACTTTCAAGGCTCAATCCACTGGGATGAGCTTCTCGTCAAATCAGGCGCTAGCCCAGGCCGGCTGTTGTGATGCGTGGTCTCTCCCACTGTGCAGCCTCTCAGCAACTGAGATTTCGGCTGCCCCATGTTGTTTATTATTGCAGTCAGAGCTCTGCCTAGGGTGGGAAACGAGCAAAAGGTGACTGGAGCCCCCATCGTACCCTCCAAGACTACTTTCATCCCTGGATTGTTTGGTTGGGCAAAACCACGATCTTTTCTCAGCATCCGGGTACCAATAGCCAGACACTCTTCTCCATACATTCATTTGGCCACTCTCTCTGTCCCTGATCATCCACACTTCCTTGGGCACACAGCTGAATATGGATGAGTGTTTGGCCTGAGCTGCCTCATCCTCCCGGTCCAATAGCCTCCACCCCTGCCCTCTCTCTCAGCACGCTTCCTGTTTCATTCCCAGTCCAGCGGCTGTGCCAGACTGTGAAGCTCCCAGCAGGCAGCAGGCCAGTCTCAGGACCATGACAGGGTGAGTAATGCACAGGCCAGCCAGCAGGTCAGAGGGCAGCCGCTCCTGGAATTGCATCTCCTTAGATGAGGAGGCCGGTAACTGTGATCACCCAGTGGAATTAGTTCCCAGAGCTGATGGGCAAGATAAAGCACATTAGCAAAATGTGTCCTCTCTGACTTTATACCACAGGGGGCAGGGCCTTGCCTGGAGGATCTGGACTCACCATTGACTCTCCCCCAAGCTCCCGCCACTACATGATCATCTTATCAGCACCATCGTAGTCATGTAACTCTAGAATGTCAGAGCTAGAAGGGGCCAGACAAACCCCTTTTATAAATGAGGAGACAGTGCCCTAAAGGGCTCAAGCAGCTTCCTGAAACTTGCACCCCACTGTCCTGTCCATCTCAGTGACCCCTTCACTACATTTTGCCACCATGACTGTGAGAGACCTCCCCAGGGTAAAAAGAGCAGGTTGGGAGTATGAGCTACAGAGGTGAGGATGTCCCTATTTCTCAGATTAGCTTCAAAAAGGGAAATGCCAGGAAGGAGCTCCCCACCCCACAGACATATCCTTACTTGCAGGCAGGGGGAGAGATGGTACACTGCAATCGCCAGCCCTAGAGACCAGCTTCTTCTCCATCCATCACTCTAACCTACTCCATGTAAAGCTAAAGTCATACAGCCACAGAGAAAAATACTAAGAATAGTAAAGAAACATGCCAAAAAAGACAGCAGCATCACCAAATAGCCTATAAATGTGCACAGACTTGTGTAATCAAGCAAACACCATCCAACTCAAACTAGGTAGGTACCAGTTTCTGATGTATAAGCATATTCATTCATTCATTCATTCAATCAACAAAGACATATATGAAGGTTCAGTCTACACTTATTCATATTTTATGCCAGCCACTAAATAGTTAGCAGGATAATTCATCTGTGCAATAGTTATATTGGTGCCTACAGTTTGGTAGGGGTAATAGATATAGTAAAAACAGTACAGCCTGATGTAAGAATATATCAAAAAATACACACACACACACACACACACACACACACACACACATCCATAAAATAGAGATGTGCACAAAGAGATTAAGCTTGCTTGGGATGGATGAGGAGAACATCAAGAATGTCTTTGCAGAGGAGATACTATCGGAGCCAAATTTTGAATGATGACACACTCTGGGGAGTAGACTAAGAATTGAGCAGGCATAGCAGACAGACAACAGCAAAGAGAAGAGGACACAGGAGCCTTAGGCTGTTCAGAGAGTCATGCAGCATAACTGGAACGGGAGGTAACCATGGCTCTGTGTGTAGAGCTCAAATCACAAAAGGCCATATTTGCAAGAGCATGGCCTTGATGTTGAAGGTACTGCAGAGCCATTAAAGACTAGCATAAAAAGAATGACAGAATTAGGCTTGCAATGAAGAAATACTCTGCTTCTCAAATGAAAAGCAAATTGAAGGGAGGTGAGGCTGATGGTCAGGAGGCTATGGAGCAGTCCAGATGAGGGCTTCCATTTGTAAAGTGCCTGATCATACCAGATACTAAACTCATCACTTTTATGACAACAAGTATGAATGAGCAGATGCTAGTTTCCAGACACTGTTCTGGGCAATGTAGACACAGTGGCTGATAAGCCTGACAGAGTCCCTGACCTTGAGCAGCTTACACTCTAATAGGGGGAGTTAAATACATAAGACAATTTCAAGGATGGATAAATCCTAGAAACTGATCATCTCATTATGTTACTTGCCCACAATTATATGGAAAGTAAGAGAAAGAGCCAAGATTTGAGCCCAGAACTGAATCCTCAGTCTATGATCTAGCCCACATGGACTTTAGGATAGAAGAACAACTTGGGCTCAGATGCGGTGGGAAGAAGGTGCAGAGGAGCTGGGGAGATAAGAGTCTGGATGATCCTAACGGCAGACTCTTCACAGTGTGCTGTTTAATCAGCTATTATTGGCTGTGGGTCAGCTAGCTGAGTAAGTTTATAATTTGCTATAAGTCTTAGAATTTTCGTTAACTCATTTATTCACTCATTCACTAATGAACATTTACTCTGTTCTTGGCGCTTGATCTCTAAGCATGGAGGTAAATATAGAGCCTTTCCCTTTAATTTGTTCATAAAAAAGTGGGAAATCAACCAAATAAACAGAAACATAGAGAAAAGCAGGATAGGTGCCCTTAAGATAGTTAATACTGTACTGAATAGCTGCCTGCCAGATGCGGCATTACATGAAATATGGCAGGAAATATCAAAAGACATCTCTGTTTGTTACTGTTACTTTTTTTTTTTTTTTTTTTTTTTTTGAGACGGGGTTTCGCTGTTGTTGCCCAGGCTGGAGTGTAATGGCGCGATCTTGGCTCACCACAACCTCCACCTCCCTGGTTCAAGCAATTCTCCTGCCTCAGCCTCCCGAGTAGATGGGATTACAGGCATGCACCACCACACCCAGCTAATTTTGTATTTTTAGTAGAGACAGGCTTGCTCCATGTTGGTCAGGCTGGTGTCAAACTCCTGACCTCAGGTTATCCGCCTGCCTCGGTCTCCCAAAGTGCTGGGATTACAAGCGTAAGCCACTGCACCCAGCCTGTTACTGAGTCAGGCAGAGAATGGCAATCAATCCAAGAAGAATGTGGGAAGGCCAAGATATGTGTAAGACAGTGTGAGAAAACATTGAGGCCTGAGAAACTTAAGGAAGATGTTTAGACTCTAGAAATATCTGTCATTCCAAATGGCACTTCCATGCATACAGAAATGTAGCTTATTTCTTATACAGAGTTTTGTTTTCCAAACCAGAAATGCCAGAATAAACCAGCTACATAAGAGTTTTCCTCTTAAGGAGGTCCATTCTGTATTTGGTTGAATTGTGTTCATATTACATAAAAGAGTTCTAAACCTAATCTTTTAAAATTGCCCCCAAAGCCTGAAGCACATTGTCCCAGATATCTTTTCTAGTGCTTCATTTTTAGTCCTTCAAATATAAATTTGATTTATAGAGACAGTCTAAATCTGTTAGAGCCAGGTGTGAAGAATACTAAGAACAATTTTGTGGGATGAATAATGTTTGATAAAAAAGAAGAGCAATAATTATAATCTAAAATTCACCGAGTGCTTTCTCGGGGTCAGATGCTGTAACAAGTGACTTTTGTTCTCAAAAAAATCTATGATATGGATATAATTATTTTTATTCCTACTTTATTGGTGAGAAAAAGATCTGAGAGGTAATGAACTTGTCCCAGGTCATATAAAGATTCTGAATCAAAATCTGTGTCTGAATCTAGGACTTGAGTTTTTAACCATTATGTCATTCTATTCCTCTGCCATACGAGATTCTAAAATGAGGGCTTATAAGTTAGACAAGCAGCAAGACCATTTTATAAAGCTTCTTGTAGCTTAACATTCTAACTTTTGGAGACTACACATCATAATACATTACACATATGACATATTACACATATGACGTACGTGTAATGTACCTATATTTTGAATAGATGTGGCTTACAGATAGTCTCTTGAAATGGCTAACAGATAACTACATAAACAGGTACTCAGCTTTACTAATCTTTAGGGAAATACAAATGAAAACGGCAATGAGATATCATCTCATACCTGTTAGGATGACTATTATCAAAAACCCGAGATAACAAGTGTTGGTGGGGATGTGGAGAAAAAGAGAACTTTTGTTCACTGTTGGTGGGAATGTAAATGAGTACAGTCACCGTGGAAAACAGTCTGGTGGTTTCTCAAAAAATTAAATATAGAACTACGCTATGACCCAGCAATCCCTCTTCTAGGTATATATCTAAAGGAAACAAAATCAGTATCTCAAAGAGATGTCTGTGCTTCTAAGTTTACTGCAGGATTATTCATAATAGCCAAGACATGGGAACAACCCAAGTGGTCTTTGGTGGATGAATGTATAAACAAATTGTGGCATATGTATACAAAGGAATATTATTCGGCTATAAAAACGAAATCCTGACATTTGCAACTACATGAATAAAACTTGAGGGCATTATGCTAAGAACAATATGTGTAATGACACAGACAAATTCTATATGATAAGAGAAAGACAAATACTGTATGATCTTACTTATATGTGGACTTTAAAAAAGTCATATTCATAGAAACAGAAAGTAGAATTAGAATAGTGGTTGTCAGGGGCTGGGGGAAAGAGAAAAGGAGAGATGTGGTCAAAGGGTACAAACTCTCCGTTACGAGAATAGGTTCTAGAGACTTAATGTACAGCATGGTGACTATAACAATACTATATGATATAATTGATTTTTTTTTTTTTTTTTGAGACAGAGTCTTGCTATCTCCCAGGCTGGAGTGCAGTGGCATGATCTTGGCTCACTGCAATCTCTGCCTCCCGGGTTCAAGCGATTCTCCTGCCTCAGCCTCCCAAGAGGCTGGGACTACAGGCACGCGCCACCATGCCCAACTAATTTTTGTGTTTTTAGTACAGACGGGGTTTCACCATGTTGGCCAGGATGGTCTTGATCTCTTGACCTCATGATCTGCCTGCCTCGGCCTCCCAAAGTGCTGGGATTACAGGCGTGAGCCACCACACCTGGCCTTGAAATATTTTTAAACAGTAGATCTTAACTATTCTCACTGCACACATACACAAAAGATAACTATGAGGTTATGGATCAGTTAACTTGTTTGTGGTAATCATTTCACAATGTATACATCTATCAGAACATCATGTTGTACATGATAAATATACTCAAATTTTATTTGTCGATCATACCTCAGTAAAATAGGGGGAAAAATAATCTGTGTTGAATTGCTACAGTCTCTGACAAAATTATTAATAAGTTAAATATGTATTAATTTTTATTTACAGCTTTATTTTTACATTTTGGGCCCAGTCATTCTTTTTTCTAGTCTCATATTTTGTGAAGGCATCGAAAAACATGCTGACCGTAGGGGCACCATGGCTATAACGACTTGCCTACAGTTTGTTTCCAAGGAAAAGCCGTAGAAAGGATTAGAATCTCACAGTTGGATTATGTCTGTAGTCTCTTAAAATGAATACTGTACTGTGCCAAACAACCTTTAGTCTCCTTGCTTAAAAGCCTCAAGTCAGATGTATGATCTCTCTTACTCTGAGGAAATGCAGGGGCGTGTCCCTGGTGATCATCTTGGTTGAGTTTCCTGTCTTGGCTCCGTTGCCTGAAACCTCATCCAATGTCACCTTTTAGTGAATCTAAAAGCCACTCAGAAAATAGGCAGAATCTACCTATTACTCTGAATTATTCGTGGGCAGGGCATAGCGTACCCATCTCCCAAATCACACTTCAGCTTTAGGATTTCTACGTCTTACCCCCATAGGTATTTTGAGGAGCAGGGCAGCCTCTATCGTGGCTTCATTTATTTTGCTTTCGGAAAAGTGGAAAGAGATTTCCCTAAGCACTGGAAAGAATCTGAGATAGGAAAGAGAAAGCCAGAAGAGAAACAAACTTCAGACAGCAGCGTGGAGGAAGGAAGTGGAAACAGAGACCAGATGAATTCCGCTCCCCAACTTTCAACCCAAAACTGCCTCCTGAGCTGCGGGGTCCCAGAGGCTCCTGGGTCCTCCAGCAGGAATCAATGTGCACATTTCCATATCAAAGAAACAAGCTCCCCGCACAGGACCTCAGTGAAAGGAGATCTGCACTGAGAAGAAAGCGAAGTTAGGCGCCTCGGCAAGCATTTAGAAATAACTTTAAGCACCAGCAGCTCAGGCCTCATTTTTGTAATGCTCAATCACGGATCACCTATCGACCAACCCATCAAACTCCCCGCCCCCAGCACTTTTATTTCTCCTCTTTAGGAAGTACACTTCAGTATCTTTGGCACAGTGCATGAGCACGACTAAAGTAAAACATCGCAGAAAACATAGCTTTAGTCTACCCTTCGTGTCCTAAAAGGAAAACCAGTAGCTTCCCAGGCCACCGGAAGGGCAACACATGTCCTCTGCAGTTTCTGCACACGGGAAGGTAAAGACAGAGAGAGGACCTACTCCTCAACACAGAAACATTTCAAAATCTTTCCTCGCCTGCAACCCAAGCTGAAGTCATTCTCCCCAGAAATAACAAAAGTTGGAAGAGAAGCCGGAGACAGGATAGGTGCAGGAAGCCCACACTTTGAGGGCAGCACTCAGACACCCTCTCCTGTGTGCAGGACGTGCCGAATGTTCAGGTGCAATGAGAATGAGCCATGCTTGGCTTACGAGGGCAATCTGGCCCATCAAGTGGCCTTCGCCTCTGGGAGTAACAAAAATGCACTTCAAAATAGCTTCTGTAATCAAGCTGCATGGGTGGAGTACTCCCCAGCTGACTCCAGGAAGTTCTCTATCCAAAGCTATTCATTAGGCCAGAGCTGTGCAAATAATTAGTCACCCACTTGCTCCATAACCCTCCATGACAGCCCAGGCATTGAGTCCAGGTGGGACCATCAAGCCATGCTCTGGTGGCTCATGCATTATCATAGAAATGGGAGGCTTTATTTATTTTACTAAAAAGAACAAAAACAACAGACTGCTGTCCTTTAGACAATAGGATCACGTCATCTGAGCCCTCTGTGCCCCAGGTGACAAGCCCAGCCCCAAGTTCTCTTTCCTCAGCCTCCCCACACATGTTCTGGAGGAGATGGGCCCAGCAGGCTGCTCTGAGGCCTGGCTGTCTCATCCTGAGAATGCGTCACCGTGAAGTGCCCTTGCAGATGTTTCCTGGGCTAAGCCTGACAAGGCTGAGAGCAGAGACTTTGGCAGCAGGAGGCCAGGGGGAAACAAGAGGCAGCCCTGAACTCAGCCTTCACGGCCCTCCCTAAACACATGGGCCAGCCACAGGGAAGAAAAAAATGCCCTGTAGCACAGGAATCTAAAACATTGCTGTTGTTCTAGTTAATAAAAGGACTTAGAGATTGAAAAGAAGTACCATCTGTATGGCTGGCAACAGACAGCATGATTTTGATGACTGACTCTGGGGAGATCTGAGAAAACAGTACATAATATGTCCTTACCTCTGCTCCATCATTCATGACCCAAGCTCCTGCCCTGTCTTCTCAGGAAGATTCTTACAGTAACTCCAGTTTGGAATTCCCCTTTCATATTTGAAATAACAACAGTAATAGTGACCACTAATGCTTACCGAGTGTCCACTCTGTGCCAAGCATCGTGTTTTTATCATCTTTTTTGTTAGGCACTGTACATGGATTAATACAATTACAACCCACCACAACCCCATGAGATAAGTACTTGTACTATCCTCATTTTATGGGTGATGATACAAGAAACAGAAAGGTTCAGCAACATGCCTAAAGCCACACAGCTACTATGAGGCAAAGTCTAGGTTTGAACTCAGAAATTCTGACTTCAGACTCACTTATCTTATTATACTTCACTTAGTATCTCCCATTAATTAATTCATTCATTCTTCCTTTTATTTGTTAATTCACCAAATATTCTGGGAAGCTACTTGTCTAGACACTGTATGAAAAATGAGAATGGATACAAAGCAACCTCAGACATGAACTCAAGGTCCTTACAAGCTTAAACGTATATGATACATTTCCAAATAGCAATACTATGAGGACAGCTGATACTCACAACATAAGTCTTGGTGGTCACAGGAGATCTATCATAGGATTTCACGAAGAACCTGACACTGAAAACCAGAACTTGAGGGAAATAAAACCAAAATAGAAAGCATTGCTCACAGAAGCACGTTCAAGCGTAGCCCAGCAGAATGCATGTTTATAGACAGCAATTTTCTAGATTGGTAATTATGACATATGCATGAGTAGCACCATGAGTGATAAGAACAAGACTGGCAGGTTATGGCCAAAAAATGAAGATTACTGAGTTTAGGTTTATTTGTAGACCAAGGGGAGTCCATGAAGGTATTTGAACAAAAGAATGATGCAATGAAATTGTGCTTTGGGAAGATTAATCTGCAGTGTACATCGTGACTAAGTTAGAAGGGAGAGAAGAAACAGAGGATGAGTTGGGTGACTATCACAGAACAGGCAAGAGATAATGGCAAGTTAAACCAGAATGAGATGGCAGTGGTATAGAGTAGAGCTGCTGGGGAACCCGCAGGGAAAGTTCAATGAAAGGACGTGTTGGCCTTCTGTATATGAAAGCCCATGGAGGGGAATTGTGCGTAACTAGGGGGCTGGAGGAATATTGTTCTATTAAGAAAGAGAAGAATTATGAGGATGGTGTAGTTTATGTGAATAGTACCAGAGAGTTTGACTTTGAGCTCCATGTAAGTATGTACATACTTACAAAGCAGAGAACTGAACATCTTTGACTATAGCTTAGGAGAGAGTTCCAATGTGCTGAAAGAAATTTAAGCATCATCCACACAATAGTGGCCATTATAATGGTAGATGGAGATGGAATTGACATAAAACAGTAATTGCAGAATTTTTTAAATTATAGAATGAAAAATAATACAGGCTGGAAGTTCCCTGAAGGTGTCACATATCCCTGATTTATATTCAAGGCCATAGGCTACACAATAGGCTTACAATAAATAGTTATTTGTGGAAAAAATGAAGCCTTGTAGATTCAGGATAAACTAGAAAATTAGTCTGGACAGCTGCGGAAACTTTAACTTCTACCCTGAAAATCATAGTAGTGGACAAATTAAACTAAATTTCTTCTCTAAGCCATTGGTAACTTTCAGCTCTAAAATGTCAAGCCTTTCAGAAGAGTGGACTTGTGTTTCCCATCTCCACATCCCATCCGCAAAATGCGGGCAGAAGTTTCACCTTCAGCCCTAGAAACATCTTTTCAAACTCCACAGAAGAATTTTAGACACTGTTCTAAACTGCAAAGTAATTATTAAATGTTGCATTTAATATTAAAAAAATAAGTCCCTTTTATCAACTTCTTATAAACAGAAGTTGTTTTTAAGAATTGCTCAGCCTGGTTGACAGATTGAAGAGGGTGAATTCTGAGTTAGGGCTCCAGCCAGCTTTCCCCAAATCAAGGATGATGGACATGATGTGTGTACACTTGAGATGGGTCAATATTCAACAGTGGCCAAAAGCACACGCTGAGCGGTAGAATAATTTCCACTCGAATTTTCAGGTCAACCCTCTAAGAGATATTTGGGGCAACATGATGACTCTGCAGTGGTTTTTCTCTGGTGGTTCTGTGTAGATTGAAGGATGGTTGAGGAGATAAACAAGGAGACAAACAGAGTGTTACCACAGATACCTGAATTTGTTTCTTCTCATCAAAAGTTATTTACCACACACTGGTTCTTTTGATCTCTTTCTGGTCCCTATCAAAGACATTGGCTTGTACCTTCACCTAATTCTCAAATCAAACTTTTCAAACTTTAAAATTTAAAAAAAAGAATTTAATTCATTATTTTATTTCATCTTTTTACCCTTTCTGCCATCGTCTTTATATTTCCCATCTCCCCAGGTAGTATATGATGAAATTTCCTCACCTTAGCCTTATATGTCAGGGGAAATGTTGAAATTAGCTATTTCTTGGGACCTAACACTCAAACTTAGATTCATTTTTTTGGTCTTATTTTTCAGACCCAAAGTAAGATCAAAGCCTTAACTAAGATCACCCAGCACTGGAGGGACTGTGGTGGGACATAAAATCTACAGCTTCCATAGCCTGGGAGCTCAGAGCATGAGGAAACAAAAGACCATCACTTCATCATCCTCAGCTTCAGTAAGGCACTAGATTTAAAGGGTTAGAGATAGTAATAAGAACCATTTTTAAAACTAGATTAAAAGGTTAAAGTAGAAATTGGTATTGTCGTCTTTTTGTAAAATGCATATGGAGAGGGGGAAAGGAGCATTTCGGTAATCCATCTCCAGTCTGTGCATTTAGTAAGTAAAACGCTAACCAGCATGTCCGCGTCCACACTTCTACAAACACACTCCTCCTCCTCTCTGCTAGATGTAAATGACTCCACAAGTCAGAAGCATGGAGTCGGCCTGAAATATCTTGCCCCTATTCCCTTTCCCTCATATATAATCAATCTCATTAATCAACACTCCCACGTTTAAAGTCTGCTCTAAAAACAAACACATACATATCTATCTTGTCAAGACTAGTAATATCAAAGGGGAATTTTGCCCCTGAGAGGGATATTTTATATATATTTATGGTGCTATTACAATTATATGATCAAGAATCATTGTTTCTGTATTTTTAATTTAAGGCATGTTTCCATGAAGGATACCCATGCATATGAATAAATGAAACTGTATCTGTTTTTCCACAAAGATGTTTGAAATTCTTTCGTGAATTTCACTCAAGAAACTCTTTCTTGAATGCACTTTGCATTCAAGACCCAGGTTCAATCCACAATTTGGGGTAAAGGTCCCCACAATCAAGTCACAGAATCTTGTTTGAGCTAACAACCAGTTATTCTACCCAAAGTAAAGAGTAACTTAAATTTTCCCATTGTTCTTCCAGGCTGGAAGATGTAAGAAACACACACAGTATAGTGTAGGTTTCCTCCATAGTTAAGTACCCCAGAGCTAGGCTGAAATCCAGTGTTGGATTGTTTCCAACTTATAGTAGGGAACCGCCAATGACATGAAAGAGCATTACCTTACCGGACTGATTCATATTCTACTTCCAGTCATAGTACAAATGATCACATGTCCACACCCACATGTGCTCTGATAAGTAGTCAATTGAGAGGAGTGAGTCAGGGAGCCGTAACTTTGCAGCCAACCTGCCAAGAAGAACTGATGCTTTTAGAAATTCAGCAGCTTTCATTGGCATAGAAGTTTCAGCCTTATAGGCCCAGGGTTTCTCTGAGGCAGAGGCAAACCCTGTTGTTATGTTGTTATCTCAGGATTCTTTTTTTTTTTTTTGAGACAGAGTCTCACTCTGTTGCCCAGGCTGGAGTGCAGTGGCACAATCTCGGCTCACTGCAAGCTCCGCCTCCCGGGTTCACGCCATTCTCCTGCCTCAGCCTCCCGAGTAGCTGGGACTACAGGCGCCCGCCACCACGCCTTTCTAAATTTTGTATTTTTAGTAGAGACGGGATTTCACCATGTTAGCCAGGATGGTCTCGATCTCCTGACCTCGTGATCCGCCGCCCTGGCCTCCCAAAGTGCTGGGATTACAGGCGTGAGCCACTGCGCCCAGCCTATCTCAGGATTCTTAATGTAAAAACAGTTCAGTATGGAAAGCGTACTTATGACAGAGCTGTTGCAGAATGTGAAATCACCCATGTGCCTAAGTGTCTCCCTACTACCTGGAACACTAGACCACATGCAGCAGGCCCGCCTCCACAGGTGAAGGCCTCTGTTCAATTGAAGAGGAGCTTTGACACCTTGGAAACAGAGGTGGAGCCAAGAGGCTGGAAAAGCCTACCTGTCACTACTGAATTTTCAGAACACAACTGTAAATACCCTCTGGGTTTATTTGGGAGAAGAATGTGTATTATAAAGTATAGTTTGTAAATCAAAGCAAAGCACATAAATATGATCTTGTTCACATAAGTGCTAAGAAGGGCTAAATATATTTCCCTAGAATCGGCACGATCCCAGGGCTGAAGGCTGAAAGAAACCCCATCAAGCCCAGAAAGACACTGGTAGGTATAGTGGAAATAGTATTTGTCTTAAATTTAAAAAGCAAAGGTGGAACTCCAAGTTTGCCACTATCTATAAGCTATTTATCCCTTCTATATTCACTTTCCTTATGGATAGAGAGGATTGAGTTAGTTGGCTTTTAAAAATCTTTCTCGCATGAAACTGACTGTAATCTAAGTCCCTTTTCCACTTCCTTTTTATTTGGTTTTTATTTATTCATTCAGTATATTCATTCAGCAACATTTATTCAAACACAAGACATTGCTAGATATGCAAATAGCTGCAACACCTTAAGCCCAACTCATGGTCTCCCGTGGCTTTTCATATGTCTTATTCTCTTTGAGCCTCACAATAATCCTGTGAGTATAGGCAAGCCTGTCATGTCTATTGCACTTTAACATGAGGACACAAGGAATTGGTGAGAATAAATGTTTCAACAAAAATGATATGTCTAAAAATGATAAGAAATGGGGTCAGTAACCATATCTTTTTACTCTTGGATTAAACTTTCATCTACTATTTCAAATTTTCTCACCAAAATAATATTCTGCCCTTTTAATTGGACATTATTCTTTATAAAATACCCTCTGGAAAAAACCTAATTTGATCTTTACAAAACTCATACAAAGTTGTTAGAATCAAGCCTATCTGACACAACCAGACACGAAATAAAGACTTGAGCTATGTTAACTCAAATATAGTCGGCTACTTAGCTGAATTCTCATAGGCTAAATATAAGGAAGATTATAAACCACTCATTTTCTGCTATATATCAGGCAGGTACTATGCTATTTTCTTAACATATGTCTATTTAAAAATACTTACAATAGGCTGGGCACGGTGGCTCACACCTGTAATCCCAGCACTTTGAGAGGCCAAGGTGGGTGGATCACCTGAGGTCAGGAGTTCGAGACCAGCCTGGTCAACATGGTGAAACCCCATCTCTACTAAAAATACAAAAATTAGCCGGGCGTGGTGGCATGCATCTGTAATTTCAGCTACCCGGGAAGCTGAGGCAGGAGAATTGCTTAAGCCCAGGAGGCGGCAGTTGCAGTGAGCCAAGATCGTGCCATTACACTCCAGCGTGGGTAGCAAGAGTGAGACTCCATCGCACAATCAATCAATCAATAAATAAATACAATAACCCTCTTCAGAAGGAATTATCATTTAACAGGAAAAAATTAATGAGGCTCGGTTAAGTAATCTGTATAAGGTCACATAGCTAATAAGTGGCTGGAGCAAAACGCAAATATAGGCATGTCTGACTGCAAAGTTCCAGCTCTTCACACAGTTCACAGGGAGAGTCTATAATTGAAAATTGATAAACTTGGTTCCAGGTCACATCAAGCTATCTAACTGATCTCTATCTTTCAAGAGACAGTGTTCCTAACTTAGATATATCTGGAAGGAAAATCTGAGAGGGTGGAACTAAGAAAAAACACATTTACAAATAATATAATCAAATGAATTGGGTGATACAGATGCCAGGATGAGAAAAATTCTACCACAGTCCTACAGAGAGGGGTTGTGCAGCTAGCGAGCAGTGGTTAGTATTATTTCTTAAATGTATCACAAAGCTCTGTCCAATTACATTTTGAAGAGTTCAGTGCTTGAGGCTGGAAGTGTCATAGTTTTATTTGTCAGGATAATGAGGTTATGCTGCAGGAACAAATCAACCCTCAAAATCTCAGCGGCATAACGACAACTATAAAGTTTTATTTCTCACTATGCAAAGCCTGCTGCAGGTCCAGTAGCTTTCCAGGACAACTCTCTTTTGTGAGGTACATCAGGCTCCACTCTACTTCTCCAATATTTTTCTACAACACGCCTGGTCTTCAGGTTCCCATAGCAAAGAAAAAGACACATGGTCAAGTGCTGTCCCTTTAATGCTACAACCCAGAAACAATATGTGCCAATTCCACTTGTAGCCCATTTGTCAGAACTAGTCACATGACCTTACCTGGCACAAGGGAGCTGCGGAGCACGTGGTTTAGACGTTTGGGAAGCTATAACTATCTCTGCCATATTACTTTTCAAGGACAGTAAATCCCATTCCCAGCACATCTAAAGAGTGGGTATTTGGGGTTTTCCTTGCAGGGGCCTCTATCCTTTTTTACCCTTCTCTGTGCACCGGGAGACTGAACCAGACACATCAAATACACGCCCTCCTCTTCACTTCCTGCACCTCTGACTTCCTCTTGTATTACTACAAGAAGCACCTATGGAAGAGAAAAGTAAGGTCAAGATAATGATTGTTTTTTTCTTCCTGTGACATCTCCAAGGAATGAGACTAGGGCTCTACCATTTTCCACTTTAACTCTCTCTTTCTGGGCTCCAGAAACCATTCCTATCCTTCATCCCTTCAGGGACCCCAGCAACCTATTCTTATGGAGCTGAGGGCATTGCACCATTTCTTGTGATTTCTCTGTACTCTGCCCACATTTTTATAAGTTATCTGTCTACTAAACTCTTTCCAGATTACCCAATTTAAATTCTCCTGGTTCCTGCTGAGATACTGACTGATACAAGGGAATTCTGAAAAAGGATTACATATTTTAACTATTCAAAAGAGCCTCTGTTGGACTCTACCACTTGAGTTAGAAGTGTATTAACCTGTAATAGAATTTACTTATAATAACTGCATAAATTGGTGTTCTCTTTCTATTTCTCTCTGCATTTCTATCCATCCTCAGTATCATCAGAAAAGTTGATTGATTTTTTTGGATAGTTTGTGTTCTTAGAATCCCCTAGTGACCTCTCATTACCATAGAAAAATATCCAAAATTAATAGCCCAGATTTCAATACACTCCATTAATCAGCCAATTTTCAGTTCACTCCAGGTATATTGCTCTCAATTCTCCAGACCAAAGGTTAGTAAACTATAGCGTGTGGGCCAAATCTGGTACATTTATAAATAAACTTTTATTGAAACACAGTCACACTCATTCATTCTATGTGTCAATGAGTGTCACATAGCTAATAAGTGGCTGGAGTGAAACGCAAACATAGGCATGTCTGACTGCAAAGTTCCAGCTCTTCACACAGTTCACAGGGAGAGTCTATAATTGAAAATTGATAAACTTGGTTCCAGGTCACATCAAGCTATCTAACTGATCTCTATCTTTCAAGAGACAGTTATCCTAACTTAGATATATCTGGAAGGAAAATCTGAGAAGGTGGAACTAAGAAAAAACTCATTCACATAGAATGAATGTGAAAGAAGGGTAAAAAAGGGTAGAGTGCCCCTGCAAGGAAAACCCCAAATACCCACTCTTTAGATGTGCTGGGTATGGGATTTACTGTCCTTGAAAAGTAATATGACAGAGATAGTTATAGCTTCCCAAACGTCTAAACCACGTGCTCCGCAGCTCCCCTGTGCCAGGTAAGGTCATGTGACTAGTTCTGACAGGTCACACTCATTCTATGTGAATGAGTTTTTTCACATAGAATGTACTGTCTGTGGCTGCGTTGACAACACAACAGTAGAGCTGAATAGTTAAGACAGAAACTACAGAGCCTACAAGCCTACAGTATTTAGTATCTAGCCGTTCACCAGAAAAGTTTACTACCCTGGTCTCTAGATCACAGTATCATCAAAAGCATTCACATATCACATTGTCGCAGGCCTAGAGTGAGGATAATCTCTGGTATCAACTTCATCTGTAAAAAATTAGACTCAGATACCGTTTCCAATCTTATCCCTTCAATAAAATGTTTCAAAGTTTCCAGCTAGATTTTTCCAGCAGCTTGTTTGCAACTTTACTTAGCATTTCCTATGTTACTTATTATACAAATTTAGTTGCTTTTATATCTGTTTCTCCTTATTAGATTTGAAAGAAACTTAACAAAAATTACATTGTATGCATCTGTATATCTCCTTTGATGCCTACATAGTGTCTGGCAGCTTTAAGGTATTAAATAACTCTATGTTGACTGAATGAATATCTACAGTAGTAGGAAATATCAACTGCTCTTGAAAGGAACATGATCATGCTTCCTGGATTTGCATGAAGAAATTGACATCATTTGATTCCCCAGTAGTCTAAGGGAAGGGAGGAGATAAAGAGAAAAACTGTACCATTCTTCAAGACACAGTAGCTGCTCTTCTCATCTCAGCTCTTCTCATCTATAGTGAGGAGGAAACAACAGAAACCTGTATTTGCACAGATGTGAAAACAACTTATATTAATGTTGAGAAATAATACCAAGATTCTGAGGGGCTGTGTGAGCTGGAATTAGTCAGTTAGGTAACAGTGGGTAACATAGTGGGATGTCCCAGTATATTTTAGTGTACATCATATTTTTTTCATTATCATCTCCCTCAATAATACCAAAAATATTTTTCTTCCATTAGTATGTTTTATATTTCTTATGATACACTTTGAGATTCATTTCTTCCTTTAAGTTTCACAACAATCTTATACATTATGTTTGGTTCTGTTTTAATATTGGGAAATAAATAGAAAAGACCGTTAAAATAAGTACTCAATCATGTTATCTCTACCTAAAAAAAGAAGAAAAATAAAAGAAAATAGACATTGGTCATAATTAGGAATCTCTTGTATATTTCCTTCCTAAAGTATTTGTGGCAGTGAATGGGATTTATCTTCTGAATTTTCAGACAAATTAAATCCCGAAAAAAAATGCAGCTATCTCTTCTCCTTTCCTCAAGCCAACTCAGTTGAAGCCAAAGGAATAGTTTTGTAAGAGCAAAACCAGTGTACACAGTAGGGATGTTATAGATTATTAATGAAGTCATTTGTGTGGTTCTGACATTAGTTCATTTTCAAGCATCCTTATTTTTGTCACTGCAAATCCGTTTTTCAAGATGGTTTTTCTCCCCTCTCCTCCCAAAGACTATATCCAGGGAGAAGAAATAAATAGACGGCAGAAAGATTCTATGAATTGTATAACCAGGTAGAACTTTGAACTATTAACTTGGGTGGTTTTCCACAGCTCTCTCTTATACCCTTCTTCGAAATCCATTGTCTTGATTACAATTCTACCGGTAGTAATAACTTTCATTATATTCTACTCTGTGGAGAGCAATTGATTCAGCTGAAAACCAACAGTCAAATTGAAGGCATTGAGTTTGAAAATCTGTCCCTATACCCATATCAGTAGTAAAATTCTTAAAAGTCAAGACTTTCAAACACATGAACTAAGGTTTGGAGAGAAAGGGAGAAAAAATGGAAAAGAAGGCATTATGATCAATGTTATAGTTAGGATGTTTGTCCCCTTCAAAACTCATGTTGAAATTTAACTCCCAGTGTAGGATGTGAGACCTAAATGGGAGGTGTATGTGTCGTGGCGGCAGATCCCTCATGAATACATTAATGCACCAGGGAGGAATGAATAAATTCTCACTCTGTTAGTTTCCATGATTGGTGGTTGTTAAAAAGAGCTTGGTAGCTCCCCTCTTGCTCTCTCCTGCTTTCTCTCTCGCCATGTGATCTCTGCACATGCCAGCTCCTCCTTCCACTTCCTCCATGAATAAAAGCAACCTGAGTCCCTCACCAGAAGGAGATGTCAGTGCCTTCTTGTACATCCTGCAGAATCACAAGCCAAATAAATCTCTTTTCTTTATAAATTTCCCAGCCTCAGGTATTCTTTTATAACAACACAAATGGACTAAAATCATCTAAAAAACATTTTTCCTACTCAAAAGAAGATAAAAGTGTGACCAAGAGTAGGAAGAGGAAAATCATAGAAATGTGAAGAGAGTTTCAATACCCGCAAGTCTACATAAAGAACACCAATTTTTTGCAACAATGCCCATAGACAAACTAAAAGCCCGGAGAATCCCCAAGAGAAAATCTAGATCCATCTGTCAGGGACAATGGAGGGAGGATCCAGGAGCAGAAGAAAAGATTACTTACTTTCCCAATGTTATAGCCAGGGAGAACTGCAAGACTCCAAAATAGCCAATTATTGGCACCTGAGCTGTAAAGTAGTTATCACTGAGTGTTGGACAAATGGGATAGAGAACAGACTTTCATAATCCAATGCACTGCAGTGGAGTGAGGAGAGCACCCAGACATTTTCATCTGGAATGGAAGTGGCTCAACAGTCACTGGTGGCCCTGGAGATGTCTCATTATGGAGGCAAAATGAATGAGGCATAATCTACAAGGATATAGTATCAGAGGAGGGGAGTGAAGTGTAGGACTTAGGGAAGGCTCAATAGAGACAGGAACTGACAACAAACCAATGGAATTTGCACATCTCAATAGAAACCAGCCTGCGATGTCCACAGAAAGACACTTAAAGACACTTACCCTCAAGGTCAAAACAACTTACCCCCTCCCCAAAGTGAGATTACTTCACAGAGAAGAAATAAAAAAGAAGAAAGAGCCTAAAGAGAGTGCGTTTAAATCCTAGTAAGATGAATTTACATGGGAAGTGATTAGATCTATCGGGCAGAGTAGAGCTTGAGAAGCTAAGTTCAATTACCCAGAAATAAAGGAAAACTTATTTGCACCCTTAAGCACGTGTCTCTGAAAAGTGTGCCCTCTGTAATTGTTTGTAGAGTTCCAGTAAATACAGAAAGAGACAAGAGGTGCCTAATACATCATAAGACGTTAAAGGATACTGGCTAGCATTTACATAGTTCAGAGTGCTTTCCATGTGTTAACTCATGTAATCCTCACAACAACTGTAAGGGATAGATAATGCTATCCTCACTTTCACAACTGAGGGAGTCAAGGCATTCAATAATTTGCCCTACATCAGGGTAGGAAATGGGATTGGAACCCAACCAAGTGCTCCAGAGGCTGATGACTCAATTTCTGCTCAGATGGCCTCTCAGTTGAATTGCAGTGGTGGCAGCACCTGGGCTTCCATTGGTTCTTTCTACCAGAGACATTGCAATCTTTGCCTTCTGTCTCCAGAAATCACATCATCTTTTTGGTCTATATCCTCTTGTCTCAACTCGGATTTTCCTGATTTCTAAGCCCTGGTCTTTCTCCAGCAGAGCCTTTCCATTCATACCTGAGCTTCATGATCCCCACAGTGGGGATCTCTGCCTCCCTTCACTGCCCCAGTGCCCTGGGCTCAATTTTCTGGCTGTCATTGGAAGGAACAGACTGGGGCCTCTGTCTGCCCTTCCCAGTCTGCTCCAGCTGGTCCTTTAGTTCTCTTTAGTTCTTTCTCAAGGAAGAAACACAGCTGCCCAGTCAGCTTCAGTGACCAATGCCAAAGAAGGCCAGGAGCAAAGCTAGGCATCACAGACAGTGAAGCATGAAGTTTTATTGAGAAAAATCCAAATATTGAAGCAACTGTGGCAACGCAATGTTGAAGAAAGATCAAACTTATTTCCAATGGTTTCAGAGGTAGGTCAATTACAAACACATGGAAAGCAGAAGAGGAAAATATATGCGTCCAAAGGGAGAAAAAAATTCTTAAAACTGGAATTAGGCCATAAAGTAATAACTACTTTGAGGGCTTGTGAGCTGCATGTCTAGAAGACATTCACCAAGGTCTAAATGTCCCCCACCTCAAGGGGATGCGGGATGGAGGAGGGAAGGAATGACTAGAGGACCTGTGTAATCCCTAAATTGCTATTATCCTAGATCAGATATCAGCAATCTTTTTTTCTGTACAAGATGAGATAGAAAAGATTTTGGACATTGTTGTTCTTCCAGTTTCTATCAGCTACTCATTTCTGACATTATAGCTAGAAAGTACCACAGACAAATAGGTGTGGCTGTATTCCAAAACATCTTTACAGGCATGTATTGCTTAACAATGGGGATACATTCTGAGAAACATATCTTAGGTGATATAATCATTTGCAAACATCACAGAGTATACTTAAACAAGCCTACTACATACCTAGGCTGTATGGTGTAGACTATCACTCCTAGGCTATAAATCCATACAGCGTGTGACTGTACTGAATACTGTAGGCAACTGTATCCCAATGGTAAGTATTTGTACATCTAAACATACCTAAATATAAGAAAGATAGAGTAAAAACATGGCTTTATGATCCCATGGGACTACTGTCACATATGTGGTCTGTCGTTAACAAAAATGTTATGCAGCACATGGCTGCATTTGTAAAAGAAGGCAGCTGGGTTTGGCCTGCAGGCTGCAGTTTGTTCTAGATAATTCCAAATTTAGGTAACTTAAATCTAGGAAATAAATTTTTCCTGGATAATTTCGGCATCATTGTGAAAGAACTGTGAGAATTATGGGTGTAAAGATCTGAGTGAAGGGAAGAGGAGAAGCTCTACGCAGGATTGGAGAGGCTGGGAAGCATGAAGGCTTTCTCCCACCTTTGGTTTTGCCTCAGGTTGGCATTCCCTGCATAGGTGGCTCCCTGCAGGCCTGAGCGACCAGTGTCAGTGTCATGGATTCCAGGCAGCCTCCAGAGATCCACTGCCTGGAGAATCAAAAAATGTTAAATGTCCATGTTGAAAAACATAAAATTATTATCCAGTGCAACACTTCACTTTGAGAATAGAGATATTAAGGTCCATGGAAGAAAGTAACTTCTCCAAGGACACATTTGAGTGGCAGATCTAAGCCTTAAAATTGCATTGCCCATTTACTTTATTGATGTTTTCCTTGAATGTGACTGAGGGTAGATATTCCACAAATTGAAGAAGTCCTGACAGGTGTCATAGCTGTGGGCTTACGTAGGTGAGACACAGCATGGGCTGAAGATGCACAGATTAAAATAACTCTACACTGGTAAATCCCCCCAGAGAATCGGTGGTACAATTTCTCATTTATTTTCTATATGTTCTTAAACAAGCCCTAGAAATATCTCATAAAATTGGATTATATTTATTTCTCTAAATGTATATTAAGCTCCTATCCAAAACCCACAGTTATACTTCCTCCTGTTCAGAAGTCCTCTTTACTGGTTCTGTGTGCCTCTGCATCCTCCTCACCTTCACTTCAAGCCCAGCCTCCTCTCCTGGGGACAGTAAGCAGAGGCACAGATTATCACTTGCAATAACCAATGCCAGCCCCATGCACATTGCCTAAAGCTAAGCCTAAATCCACCTCACAGAATGGCAGTTATCTAAAGAGCTCATGAAGTACCCCCACCCATCCCATCCTGAAGATTCCACCCATTCTTCCCTTTGCCCAATAACCAGAGTGTTCTGGCAATTAGCTAGTTCAAAGCCCTCTCTCCTCATGGACGCGTGCTATCAGAGAACCCAAAAAAAAGCAGCTATCTTCAGCAGCAGGAATCCAAAAACATCTGGGTTGCATCCCGAGCTGTCAGTCTTGCTAACTTATTAATAACAGAGGGAGATGACCAAAAAACTGGATAAAAGGTTATCAGCTTCTCTTCTCTCCTCTCTCGCATCTTTCTGATGGCCTGATTGATGCCAGATTGCCTGGCACGGGACAGAAATGCTATTTTTAGTTGGCTCTGAATCTGAGGGGCTTTTATTTCTGCTTGTGAACCTTTATAAATATTTAAGAGAAAGAAAAAGCATGAATGGGGGAACATGTGGCTGCATGGATATCCATCAAAGCTGGCTGTGGAAATTATAGATATGTGTGTGTAGCTGGAGAGCTGTCTGGAATTATGGAGCTGCGTGTGCATGAATAAAAGAAAACTCTCAAAGCCTTGGAGACAACTTCAAAGCCAAGAGGAAATCAAGGCTCATAATGTGCACACCCTGGGCTCTTTATTCAACTGCTTCCCTGACCTCAGCCTCTGTTTTCCAGTCATAGTACAGGTGTGCTTACCTTCCCTCTCCTGAAAATGGGAAATGCTGGGTGGGAGAGGGGCTCCAAGATTTGGGTTCAAGCCTTGGGTCTTTCCATGACCACAGGCAAACAAGGTATTTCACCCACTAGGGCTCAGGATCCCATATAGAAAATGAAGTCAGCATGAAGCTCCACATCTAAATTTATACTTGTAAAAAATTATTCTTCATTCTTATGATCTTTATGCAAATTTATTCCTTCATTTCAGAAGAATCTGAAATGTCTTACCTTTTGTTTTCTCGCATGGCACATTAAAAAGTCAATTCGACAAGCATTTCCTGAGTGTCTGCTTCACTAAATACCCAGTGCTGGCCCAGTGTGAGAAAAGAAGTTCTGGGAGGATGGTGTTCTTTGGTAGACGAATGGGCAAGATCCTCTTCAGTTCCCCCGGCACAGCTTCAAAAGGCGGCAGCTCCTTTCAAGAGGGAAGAGCCTATCAACTCCTTTTTTTCAGGGAAAGGGCTCCCATGGATCCAAGTTTTCACCAAGATTTCACTCATTCTTATTTGTCTCACCAAAACTGTGAATGATATATTCTGAAGGGCCGGAAAGGGGAGGGCAACCACCTGTACACTCATGCAATGATTCTTTCAGTAGTATTTATTGAGCACCTACTACGTTAAGTACTGACAATCCTGCATCAGAGAAGGAACCACAATGCCTGCATTGTGGAATTTACAATCCAATTAGGAATTACAGGCATTGAAAAAATCATAACAAACTTGATAGACATGCATAGGATGTCACCGCATGGAAGCCCATAAGGGAGGTGGAATCATCCACTTCATAATGTTCCCTTTAACTGATCTCAGCATGTCCCTGTAGGAAGCCACAGACTATTCTTTAAAAGCCATCACAAGTATCTGAGAGCAGCCCAGGACATTCCTCCTGACTTGCCATCCTCTCCCTGCATCTACATCAATCCTCCTGTAGGTCCCCATGGCTCAGCTCTGTGGTTCCGGCCTCTGTTTTTATCCCTTCCTTGTTTATTATGTTTATGTATTCACTCCTTTGGAGTGGCAGTTCAAGCAGTCACCCCTCTTCAACTCAGGTGAGTGCTGGCAGGACCCCTAATCTGCCTCCTGACCATGCACACCAGGTACAGCTGAAGTAAAACCACCAGCCTCCCACCTTGACCTCCCAGCCCTCAGCCACCCATGGAAGAAGGCAGCATTGCAATGAAGGACAAACATAAACCACTTAGGCTCTGTGTCAAAGACTCTGCCCACGTGGTCAGAATGTCAGTCATCCCTGTGAGTGTGAAGCGCTGAGGGGACGAATGAAAGAAAGAGACTGAGTTTCTCAGCAGCACAGACAAATTAAAGCTGGGACTGTCTGCCCGCTGTGCACCTTGCCAGCTGCCTTTTCTTCCCTGCTCCCGCGTGAAGCCTCAATAAAGCAGGTCTGCTTGAGGGACCACCCTGCAGCTTACCTGTACTTTTATGACTTCCCCACACAGCTCTCATGCCCTTCCCACCCAGAAAATTCCTGCATTTCTGTCGAAATCTGGCATCTCCCTTGAAAATTATTCCCTGATCACCACCTACCACCAGAAGAGATCATTTCTGAGCAGCCTTTCTCCCATAAGACCTTGTACTTCTACTAACATGGAACCGCTCCTTCAACAGATATTTACTGAGCTCCACCTTGCAGGTCCTGTGATTGGTTTTTGGCAGTCTGTCTCTTCTCCATCAGGATGGACAGCCTGAAAGCAGAACCCATACCTTTTGTCTGAGAATAGTGCATACATAAGCCCTCTGCCTAGTAAGTATTAGGCATTCAGTAGGTGCCTGGTCAATTGATGATATACTATGACTTACTTTTTGAAGGAGCTGAGAGACATGAATTGGCAGAGAGAAGACCTGAATTGATATCAAGGGAATTAGACTCCATGAGCAAGATAGAACTAAATTTGATTAAATGGGTCTCTTTCAACATCGTAATGCCATTCCAGAGTGGAAGTCTCCACTTTAGGACAGCTAATCTCTGGTTTCTAAGTTTCCCTAAGGGATCGCAGACAGGAATATAATCTGTTCCACAGGCCCTGTCCTCTTTCCCCTTTTGGCCTCTGATTCTTAGCATTGCAGAAATATTACTCACAGAAATAAACTGACCTTTTGAAAAGTAACCGAAATCATGCATTCCAGCTGAGGACAATGAACTTGATGTTTAAAAAAGTATAAGCTTCTGTGCCAACATAATGAACTTGTTGGCTACTACTATGTTCTTTCAATTTTGGAATAAACATAAATGTGACCCTCAAACACTTGTTTTAATAAAATCATTTAGTGTGTGTGTTTTTTCTTCCTACCTTAGCCAAATGTTATTGAAAGTCCAGTGGGGTGGTTAAACCCTACCTTATCTCCTTAACAGTCACGAAGATCATAGAATTTTTGTTTCAGAACCATGACCACCCCCTGCCCAATGACTTGTGTAATCCAAGATAGATCTGAAGGTGATTGCACATGATACAGATTTAATTCTATGAACATAAGTGTAGAAGTGAAAACACAAAGCCCTTTGAGTTAGATTTATCCTTTCATCATTGATAGTAACAACCTTGGATATTCGCACAGTACCTGACAGTTTACTAAAATGTACTTATTGTTGTCATATTTAATCCTTCCAAAAAAGTAGGAAGGTGTTTTATTATTATTATCATTGCCTATATCTTATGGATGCAGAAACTCAAGTTTGGAAACATTACATGATTTGCCAAAGGCCAAATGTAAAACAGGTTTTAGAAACCTGCGAGGTGTGGAGGAAAGTGTACAGGCTCCAGCCAGACAAAACCTAGTTTGATTTTTGGTTCCTCCACTTATAGCTTTATGATCCTTGACCTAAACAGCGATTACAACAAAATGTATCTCATGCTCACTGTGCCCAGGTCAATGTTCTAAGCACTTAGCTTGTCTTATATTATTTAATCTTCATAAGAGCCTATGAAATAAGTTCCATCATTATTCCCACTGACAGCTGAAGAACCTGAGACACAAAGGGATGGGAAACTTGTCTGGAATCTTCTAACTGATCAGTGGAAAAAACAGAATTAGAACCCATGTAATTTGACATCAGAGCCCAGGCTCCTAAGCACTAGGAAACCCCGTCTCCCTAAGTCAGTTTGCTTCTCTCAGTCACAATATTCTCATTGGTAAAAGGGAGGTAAATGGTGCCTACCTTGCACAATTGTTATTAAAAGTAGAAATAATATCCATCAAGTACCTAGCAAAATTCTTAGTAGGGCACTCTCACCAAATTTTCAGATTTCTCTAACCCACGTGAGATTTTCCATGATATGCTAGGCCAGGATTTTTATTCTGAACCCATTTTGGAGTCCATAAATGAGCTTCAGAGACAATACAACCCTCCTGAAATGGCATCGGTAGGTCTATCTCTGTCTCTGTCTCTATCTCTTTCTAGCTGTGTGTGTTTGTGTGTGTATGTGTGTGTGTGCGCGCATGCATGCACTCATTTTTCTGGGGACACTGTCTCTAGCTTTCATCAGATTCACAAAAATGTCCATGTCTCCCAAAGAAACATTAGCACTACTGTTGGATAATCTTGAAATAAGTCATATACTCTCCAACTCTATTTTTTCATGTATAAAATCATTTAAATATTTTATCCAATCAACATCCTCAGCAGAAATGTGTTTGCCAATTCAACTTACTGTTAATCAAGTTTTAAGCTCATGTTATAAGAAGATCTATTTCGTTTCTTGGATGGGTATAATTGAGTTTGAAGATCTGAGGAAAGAAATGTTTCCTATATCTTGGCCTTCCTCCCTATCAGCTGGCTGTGTTTGGGGCTGAGAAGAAGTCTGCATCAGCACATGTGAGTGTGTGTGTTTACATGGGCCCCAGGGGAAGTGATGACTGTGAGGCAGGCTGTATGCCTGTCCTGAAATGTCTGCCCTCCTCTTATCAGAAACCAATGTGCGTGTTTATTCTATTCCCTCATTAATCTCCTCCCAGCAAACCACAGACTGCCACAAGCAGCTTGATGTCTCAGCACACTTGGCAGCCAGGCAGGTCACTAATGAGTCCTCAGCACCCTGGCCTTGTTTGTTGCTCCCCAGCCCACCAGGAACTGGACTCTGCTGGGCTGATGAGAAGTGGGCGGAAGGGAGTGTACTGGCCCCACAACCAAGGTGCGCACAGGGATGGACAGCCCCAGAGAGTCCCAATCCTCACACCGTCAAAGGACAGCAGACACAACTGATGCCAGTTTATATGAGGTTGACATGAAGTTCAAACCAGCCCACTGCTATTTTTAGTGGAGAGGTTGGCGGTGTGATTGCAGAGGGCCTTATTTAATAAATCACCTACTCCCGGGATTCGAGAATAAACAAACGCTATGAGCAGTGTGAAGCTGCCATCACCCCTCCTGCTCTGCATTTGCTTTCTCACCTTTGCTCGTCTTCTATTTCTGTTTTTCTGTTCCCACTTCTGTACTTCCTTCAGCTGGCTCTTTGAGAAACACAGCTGAGCTTAATGCATTCATTAAGTGGAACTAAATATTCCCGAAAAAAATTGAGTTATGACAACTTTTTGAATAAATATTTCATGGTCCTTAAAAGATTCTAGGGATGTCTCTATAAACCACCTTCCAAACCCTCTTGCTTAAAGGGCTCTTGCCTCATTAGGGCACTGGCATTTCAATGTTGTATGCATTTTAACATTTAAATTAAAATTGTTCTAATTTAATAGCTTCATTCACCACAGCCTCTTATGTTATTATAATCACCTGTAAGTTATGCAATGGTGATAAATGGCATAAAGCTTTAAAGGTTTCA
This sequence comes from Homo sapiens, assembly GCF_000001405.40. Taxonomy (NCBI): domain Eukaryota; kingdom Metazoa; phylum Chordata; class Mammalia; order Primates; family Hominidae; genus Homo; species Homo sapiens. The sequence goes on from NC_000011.10 coordinate 128,362,461, forward strand.
GATAATCATACCTATTTTATTCTCTCTCTCTCTCTCTCTCACCTCCTGAGCTCAAGCAATCCTCCCTCCTCAGCCTCCTAAGTATCTGGGACTACAAGCATGTGCCACCCTACCTAGCTAATTTTTTAAATGTTTTTGTAGAGATGGGGTCTCATTATGTTTCCCAAGCTCATCTCAAACTCCTGGGCTCAAGCAGTCCTCTCCCCTGGGCCTCCCAAAGTCCTGGGATTACAGGTATGAGTTACTGTTCCCAGCTCCTATTTTCTAATCTCCTCCCACACATTCCCCAATCTTTCATAATCTAGGTTCTGCTCCCATCACTGATGGAAACTGCTTACTTAAAAGTGACCTGAGAGCTTCCAAATGCCTCTCCCCTCTCACACCTCTTCCTGCTCACCTGCGGACCCCCATCAGAGGGACCACTTCTACCATGTGACAGCACCCCCCTTACTTTCTGTCACCCAGCCCAGCACTGGTTGCCTTCCACTTATTTAGACTTTTCTATCAGCCCATGTTGCCGAGACTTTCATCTGAATCTTCCCCTTATGTGCAATCCTTATGTTCAGCTTTGGTTTATTCACTTACCTAATAGTGTTATTATTAAGTGCCCATGAATGCCAAAGCCACTTCCAACAACATATCAAACTGATTATCTGAAAACCTTCCAATTACAAAATACCTAGAAAACTCAGTAATTATATAAGAAGTAGTTTAAATAAGGGGGAAAAAACACAACAAGAAACATGAAAGTAGGAGGAAAATTTTTTAAAAGATAGTATGCAGGGTATCAAACAATCCCATCTTTTCTCAAGCAAAATCCAAACCCATATTTTTGACCACCTACTATACAGTCTCTTTTGACTACGCTATAAAAGGCTTAAGCTCAAAGTGGTGAGAAATGAGCTAAATATCTTTCTTCAAAATGTTTCTTCACATTTGTTCCCAGGCTAAGTACACAGAAACATAAATCTTCTGTTCATACATTCCCAGAATTTCTAAGTCATCTTTTACCTACCCTCTCTTTGGTCCTGCTGTAACCTGGAATCCAGTGTACCTGGGAAGAGTCCTGGTACCTATGAGTCTATCTGGTTACTTCCTATTCATTTTCTCCATTTCCTAAGTCCCCGTGGCTAGACTTCCTTACCTTGTGCATTCTCTAAATCCTCTCCTGAGACCAAAATCCTTCTCTAAGAAGCTGGTGTCCTGACACTGTCTAGTTTTTACCAAACCCTTCCGTGAGATCTTCTGTGCCATAACAGCATTACCTCAATGACATTACTGTTATTTGGGGCATCACACTTGACTAAATATATCCTCTGTCACACTGAACCTATAGCCAGATTCCTAGCTTACAGCCCTTAGCTTAAATATTGATCCTGGCAAATTTAGCAACTTGAAAGTCTGCTGTCAACATGCCCTTTGCTCTGTCCTGGAGGAGAATATTTCTTTCATATAGGGATACACCTTGAACCTGAACTAGACAATTACTGGGATGCTGGTATTTCAGGACATATATCTGGGTGCGTAACTGGTGTATTTGAACTTTGCCTACCAGAAGTTTATTTGCATGAGGATCTCATGAGCATCTTGGGAGAAAACACTTCTCAAGAGAAGAAAGAGTTAGGCAGGCCAAGAAATAAAGTCTCAGTCACTGAAAAGAAGGAATAACTCTGAGTTTGATGTGGTATTAGTACATTGGATATCCCTCCAAGTCCAGCAAACCATGGAGTCCTCTATGTGAGCTTTACAAAAATGGTGAGTCGGCTATAAGGCCTGAAATGGAGAAGCATTAATTAGAGGCTATTGGTGCTGTGATAATTACCAGACTGAATTCCTGGCTGCCACTTGTGCATGCAAGAGTGAAAAGGCAGCTCAGGCCTGGGGCCAGTGAGAGGATTAACTGGGGGAAAAGCCACTCATTCTCACAACAATCCAATGCCCCAGAGCCCATGGGATGAAAACTGTGACTTAAAATTCAGCATAGAACACAGAATAAAAAAGATCAGAAGGGCATGAGATGAAGGAAGAACCGGGAAGAAGCAACAGGCACAAGAGTAGTTTCAGGACATAGAATTGGTACAAGTATCTCAGCTCCAAGGAGCTCACACCTCCTCTCTTTTCACCCAGTAGATTTACATTTCACTACGACTTGCCAGCATCACAGTCTCATGCTCCTCTCCATTTCTGCAGCAAGGTAGCTTATGAGCAAGAAGCTGTGGCAGCAAGTGCTGGGGCAGAAGGTCGTGCTGTGACAAACTAGTTTAACCACCCCCTCCCCATACACCCCCAACCACTTTCAACATAGCCTGGTTCAGCCACTGAGGCTTGCTTAATTATAATTAACTCTCCTCATCTGCCTTACATGTCTTCCTTTTCCCCTTTCCTTTATCTTTATTTTTAAGCCATGGTCAAATGCTTGTTTTTCAAAGTCTCTCTCCCTCCTACATGTTAAACAAGGTTAAACAAGAGGCAGGATGTGAAGTGCGCATTCTCATATCTCCTAAGATGACTCTTGAAAAATCAAGTATGACTCTTGAAAAATCAATATTGCCATGAAAACTGTCAGGATTCCCTGCTCCAAATAATGAATAAATGAAATGACTGGTCTAAAGATCAGCAACAAATTGGAGACAGAACAGAGGTGACTCTAAATATGTAATTTATCCCCTTAAACAAAAGGAAATTGATCTCTTATTGAATTATATCCACTTGATACTGACAAAGTAACTTACTGTGTATTTAACATAGTAGAAATGCTAGATCAATAACAGATGGAGTCATATTGTGGCTTCTGGTCATAACTCCAGAGCATGAATGGACCCATATGTTTCTAAGCACCCTGGACAGTTCCTTTGCTCTCATCAGCTCTACCACTTGCATCTTCTCATTGGGATAACTGCGTCATATTATCGCTACATGGGTTTTAAAATCCTGTGTCAGAAATCGTATTAACTGTCATTGGGCTCAAACTCCTTTATTGAGAGGTGAAGAAATTAGGACCCAGAGGGGTATTACATTGTTCAAGGTCACTATCTAGTGCAGGAAAAAAATTTCAAGTCTCCTAAGTCTGATTCTGAAAGTCCTTTCTACAACATACCGAGGTTTCCTAGCTTCCTCCTAATAATTATTTTTTAAAATAAGAGAAGCCAAGAAGCTTATCAGACTTTCAAGATATTTATTTGCCAGAGTTAACTTTCTCTCCTCTCTCACCCTTCGTAATCAGAAACCGTGATCCAGAAGGAACATGTATCATTCTTTCCATGTTTTCCATGCCTAGATGAGGTTTAAACTCTATCTTATCTACTTATATATTTGCGTTTTTTAATATTTCTGTAGATAGTTGGGACATAAAGATGTCAGAAAACCAGTATTTCCAAGTAACGTGCCTCACATACAGGAAATGGGAGCTTACATTCCCTTTAAGACATTATCATAGATGTACAAAAATATGATTGATTCAAAGTATTCTTAACATAATAATACATCTTTGAACGGTAATTGTGCCTTGATTTCCAGCACATATTTCTATCAATAACTTCATTTTAAAATCACTAGGGCCTTCTGTTGTTGTTGCTTCTGAAAGCTGATACTAGAAGTGATGTACTCCAAGAAGCCCCTTTGAAAACTTTGTTATGTAATATTACTTACAACAATCCATCCTTTCCTTTCTGCATTACCACTGTATTGCCGATTTTCCTTCTGCGTCAGTTTTTGTTTATAAACATTAACGCATCACATTTTAGGCTCTGCTAAGGTGAAATGCTGTCAAAATAAATATACTTTTTCAAAACTCATTTCCATTTCCTCTCTTCCCCAATTTCCTATTGCAATAAAGCTCTTCTTCTTTTTTGTTAATGTCCTTGATTTTGACATTGTTTTTCCTAACAGGCTTCGAAAATACCATCTTTACCAATGTGATTATTCTAGAACACATCTATTCTCAATTCTTATATTCTTACATATCTTTTTCCTAGCCCTGCCTTTCATCCTTTTTGGCCAACTAAAGAAGTCCTCCCACCACCCAACTTTTCACGTCATCTGTAACACTAAAACTATTTCAAGTTTTAACCGCTGCTAGAAAGAGGATTTTAACAACCCATGATTTGCCACAGCCATACATTTTATTTGTATACCATCCTGTCCTTTATCTAGAACTAGACTGTCTATCATTTCTTCCTTCAATATGGTGTGGTCATATTGCCAACAATACACATTTTGAGCATCAACCTTACTTAAGGACACAAAAGCTATGAAACATGTTGTATACCACTGAAAGCTACAGGCAGTATGTGATTCAGATGATGGATGCTCCATAATGGATAAAAGGTTCAGAGAAATTCTTCCGGGTCAGATCAAGCTGGAAATGGCAGTGAAGAAAGGGGAGAACATAGCCCATTGGAAAGGAAGAGGAAAATTGTTCCACAGGTTATGCCTTGATTTAATAATTGGTTGTATAATATTGGTAGATATGTAAACATAATTCAATTAAAAAAGACTTCCAAAAAATCTTTCTAAAAGACAAAAATATCATCTATTTATATGCACTGAAGCAAAAATTAAAAAACTTCTTTATATTAGCCGGAGGCGGTGGTGCATGTTGTGAGCCCAGCTACTCAGGAGGCTTAGGCTGGAGAATCATTTGAGCCCAGGAGTTCAAGGCCAGCCTGAGCAATAGTAAGACCCTCATCTCAAAAAATAAATTAATTAAAATAAAGATAGAGATAACTTTATATTAATTTTCTGAATATTAAAAACATAAGCAAAGTAATATATACTTGGCATATATTTATATACTTTAATCAGTTTATTAGTCATAGCTGCCTCTAAAACTGTGTCAGGAGTATTTTTTTGAAGAATATATATTTTATTAAGTTAGTACTGTTATTTTTCAGTTTTTCCTTAAAGTTTTCTACAATCTGCTTAAAAGCTGAATTTTCATTTCATCAACTTGTAATTACTGGCATTATCAATTCTTCTTTTAGCCCATTTTACTTTTTATTGAGAAAACACTGTAAGTGCTTAGGGGAATTAAGAACAAATTCTGCTAAAGAGGGGATATTCTTAATTCTAATTTTTTTACAAGGAAATATGTAAGCATTTCAGCTCAAAGATTCTTAAAGTTTCTGCTTTTGGATTCCAACCAAATTATTTTATTTTATTTTATTTTACTTTTTTACAAGATCTGGCTCTATCACCCAGGCTGGAGTGAAGGAGTGCAATCTAGTCTCAATGCAACCTCTGCCTCCCAGGCTGAAACCACCCTCTCGCCTCAGCTTCCCGAGTAGCTAGGATGACAGGCACGCACCACCACCCCCGGATAATTTTTGTTTTTGTTTTTGTTCTCACTTTCGTTTTCGTTTTGGTAGAGACGAGGGTTTTGCCATGTTACCCAGGCTGGTCTCGTAAGCTCAAGCGATCAGCCTGTCTCGGCCTCCCAAAGTGCTGGGACTACAGGTGGGAGCCAATGCACCCAGCCCAAATTACTTTATTTGACAAATGTTTTATAGGCTCAAACCTTTCAAATAACATATCTCTATTTATAATTTTTCAATGTCTCACAGAATGTAAATGCTGTAAAATTATAAGTCATCTCAACTTAATTCCATTCTTTTAGAGAATATAAGTGCATCTAATTAAAAATAAAAGTTCCATTTAAAAAATCTTCCCCCAAATAGGTATATTTCAAATTTCCATTGAATTTCAGAATTAGAGCTTCTATTTGAGCTCTCAGTCTCATTTGACCAGGTAAGCCCCTGCATTTGTATTCAAAGTCAGTTCCTCTTCTGTATTTTTTATTTTCAAGATATTTCTGCTTGCAAATTTTGTTTTTAGTAATTGCAGTTTTCTAAAATCTTCAAAAGGTAAAGTTTTGTTGTATGCAAATCATTTAAAGTTATGGTAAAATTTAAAAACTTAGCCAGGCATGGTGTCATATACCTGTAGTCCCAGATGCTCAGGAGGCTGAGTCAGGAAGACTGCTTGAGTCCAGGAGTTCAAGGCTGCAGTGAACTTTGATTAAACCAACACACTCCAACCTGGGCCACAAAAGTAGACCCTCTCTCAAAAAAAAAATTTTTTTAATTAAAGAAAGATTCCCAAATGACTTGGACCAAAACACAATTAAATTTCAGAGAACTTATTTATAAAAAACCATGTAATAACTTTATAAGACATTCAGGTCAATTAATATAAAATTTAAACATTTGTAAAATTGATGGCAGGTAGAAAAGGACATCTTTTTATTTATATTTTTTTATATTTAAAATTTATAACAAAAAATTTAAATTTACCTATTAGCTCTAATGCTCTAAGGCATTCATTATATGTATCAAAAACTTTTCTTGTGCACATGAGAATAGTATTCCTTATATACCATCTTGGCAGAATTGAGAAAATATCTCTCAAATAACATTTTTGTCTTCTGTCATTCAGATAAGAAACTTGGTAGAATATACTAATATAAAATTGGCAACATGTAACTGCTAGTGAATATTTTATTCTCTACATGGGGCCAACACAATAGTTGCTATTACTTTGGTTTTTGTATTATGCCTGCAGAAAAACTTGGAATTAAAAACAAAAAGAAATTAAATTGGAAGAACAGCCATTTAAAACCATACATGAAAAGTCAAGCTTCAAGCATTATACGTAAAAAGCACCTTCTAGAACTACAGATACTAAATTATTGTCTTCAGGTACCATCTTCTTAAAATAACTACTAATTTTCTAGGAGATGCTGATGCCACTTCAGCAGATTTGTGTGTTCTTGTTTCTATGTGGTCAGTGAGAGCACCACAGCCTCCGGGGTAGATGGTGCCCCTGGACAAATACTTGGTGCAAGTTACAGAGTCATCACCAACTTTCTTGAGAATGAAAACTTAGTACTTAAACTGTTATTAAACAGGCATTTTGATTATTTTTTAACTTATTTCTGTCAAAAGGGTTTATTGCAAAAATAAAAAAGTATTACAAAGCAATGAAATAGTGGCTATAGATCTATACCATACAATAAGTAGCAAAAATACCATAGCAAAATCATGCACACGACTCACTCCATTCTCTATACGCTGTAGAGTGTACAGGACTGCTTGGCTTCTATATCATGTCCGTCTAATAGAATTTCCCACCCTTGCGGTCGATCCTGCTGACTGGAAGCCTGACAGCCTCACACGTCTCTCAGGCCATGTCACAACTGGCTAGTGAAGCAAGGGTCCATGAGCACAGCAACTTCCAGAGCTTCTCCCAGCTCCACTCACGGCCAGAAAGAATTAGCTACCCCACACTGCTCGTATCTAAACACGCTTTATTATATCATTGAGCATCTGGCATTCCTCCCTTGAAATGGAAGCATTAATTAGCTGTATCCAGAAAGAGGGCCTTAACTACATGTCAAGCTGAGACCTCCTTTCACTATGTGTGAGTCTCATATAGACTAGAAGAGCTCACAGCAGAACCCTTGGGTACAAAGTGGAGGTCTCCCAAACTCAACCCAACAATGTGGTCCTATCAGTTTAGTGCAACCATTAATACTAATGCTTTGTTAGAGAATAAAAAATCCAGAGCTAATGCTAAACTAGCTAGGATGCCGAGCAAAAGGCAAAACCTGGAGACTGTTGAAACTGAGACATATATCACTCCTACTGTATTAGTCCATTTTCACATTGCTGATAAAGACACTCTCGAGACTGGGTAATTTATAAAGAAAAAGAAGTTTAATGGACTTACAGTTCCATGTGGCTGGGGAGGCCTCACAATCATGGCAGGAGGTGAAAGTCACATCTTACATGGTACCAGACAAGAGAGAATGAGAACCACGCAAAAAAAGCAATCCCTTATAAAAACCATGGATCTCATGTGACTTATTCACTACCACAAGAACAGTATGGGGGAAACCACTCCCATGATTCAATTACCTCCCACTGGGTACCTCCCACAACACATGGGAATTATGGGAGCTACAATTCAAGATGAGGTTTGGGTGGGGACACAGAAAAACCATATCACCTACCATAAGCAAACCACAAAAATACATTTTAAACAAAAATTTTCTTAAAATATTTAAATTTCTACATTATAATGTTCAGTAAAGATCATGGTTTTTCTACATAGTTTCTCTACTTTAAAAAATGTCTCTGCTCAGATGAGACTTTGTGTATTCCAGATGGCTTTACAAAACATTAGGTTAAACCGAATGAAGTTGCCCTCTTTGTCATTCAGAAACAGTTGAGTATCACCAAGTTTGTACTGATAATCCTAATATTTAAAACAACCTATAGTTCAGAAGATATGTTGTTGAAACTGAAGAGTAAAAAGAGTTTCGGAGAAACAATAAGAGGACAACATTAAGAAAATATGCACATCCCGAAGAGAATTAGAATGTGGAACATCAAGAGTCATAAAAGTTATACAAAGGTCTTTGCTTTAATTATGTTCCTAAAAATTTATAAAATGTGTTTTGAGCAATGCTTACCCTGAAATATTCTTAAGGGGGTATGAGTTCAAAAACAAAAAAGAAACCAGAGGTTCATAGAGGATACCAGTAATTTGTCTGGCACTTTGCAAAGTGAGAAAGAGAATTGAAAACTGAATGGGACTGATTAGACAAGAAAAGAAAGAAAAGCAAGAACAGATTCTCGGGGAAGAGTGGGCCTTGCCCTGAGGTGTACCAGTCACGCACTTAAAACCCTTTAACATCAAAACCCTGTTTAGCACATGCTAACGCCCAGCTGGAGACAATTTTCAATTCTCCCCTTAATTTTTCTCAGCTGCTGAACTTGTAAGACCCCCCCCCACCCCAACTACATAACGCTCATGTCATGGTTGAAGCTGTCTCACTCTATGCCATAGCATGGGATTTACTGCACTGGTGAGTTACGAGGGAAACTGTCTTATTTTAATTTGGGATGAAAGGGTAGCATGGGGGATTGGGGGACAACTGTACTGGTCTTAGACCTATGATCCACCACAGCTTTGTTACAAACTAGTTGTGTCAACAGACAGTCACTGCTTTTTTCTAGATTCCACAGATAAAGGGGGAGCTTGAACCATTAAACTCCTAGGTGATCTAGAAGTTTTCCTTAAATTAGAATATTTTCCTTAATTTAGAATAATGCAAAATTAGCTGACTGCTACTGTTTCAATATTTGTGTTCTTAGGTGGCTCCCAGAGAAGGGAAAAAAAGAGTGAAGTCCCAGGAATCTTTAATTAACATGGAAAAAGTTACAAGATCAACAGAGACAGAGCAGGGCAAAGTAGAGGTTGGGGGAAGTGGGAATGAATATGTATACTTTCAAACTATTTCTTACCAAACCTGCCTCTGGGAGCCGTGCAAAAGGAACATCATTTAAAGAGTTTATTTTTGCTTCTTGCTGAGATCTGTGTGACTGAAATTCAGCCTTGTTTTTTTTTTATCCTCCTGCTGTTTTTCTGTTAGTTCAGAACTGAGCATTTGAGAGATATTTTGACTCTGAAAAAAAAAATAAACTGCAGGGTAAAGTTCTATGTCTGGACATTTTTCTTATAAAATTTCTGGGGGGTTACATATTTGAGAGACTTCAAAGCATATGTTGTTAATCACTCTTTTGGCATTTCATTAACATTTACAATTCTGACATATTAAATCTAAATGAAATCCTTATTGGAGACATTTAATATATAGTTCAATATGCTATGAGTAGAATAAAATGTCCAAAAGGAGAGAGGAAATGAATTTCCATGTGTGTCTTTCAGGGTAGCATTTTTTTCTTGAAGGATATCCTCCAGAAACTAGAGGATGCCATCGTTAGCTGTTTGCTACCACACCGATAATTCACCTGGTAGTGAATAAAGCTGTTTTAATTACAGATCCTACATGGACCGTAAAATGATAGTCCAATTTTCATTTTTTAGACAGGGAGACTGAAACATTAAGGATATGGGATTCACCAAAGGTCACATGGTGCTTAGTGACATAGTCACGCCTTCCAGCTCTGGCTCTCATATGTATCAGAACATAACATAACCCATCTTATCCCATAGATTAGATGATACTCACTCATGGAAATTTCATTGTCAGTCTTCCATCCCACATTTGCTATATGGCCTTAGGATCCTTACAGCCTAATTTTTCTATTAAGTTGGAGGTTTTCACCTTCTTGTTGAAAGTTGGAAATTTAGAGCAAATAAGTTAGTTCATAGTAAGAATATATTAGAGATATTCAAGCAGGAGGGGCCAGGGAAAGTAGATTTAAGAGAAATTACTCCATCTCTTTTCCTTTAAGTATTTTTTTCTCTGGGAATTTTTCCACTGTTCCTCCAAAGATCAGAACATTGAGAAATATTAAGACCTGATGTTAGCAAAAGTCTGTTAGCATTAATTAACCCAGCTTGGTTTTCACTAGGGTGCCTATAGTGTTTTAGCTTCTATTTCAAAACTCAAAATAGTCTGAAACCCAAAGTTAGTTTTTAGTAAATGAGTCACTGAAATTCCTTTGAAAATAAAACCTGATATAGACTGATATATTTATTTATAGTTTTTATTTATCCTACAAAGTATGAATATTCAACAAATATTGATGCATTTATTTAAAAGGTGTGTCTTCAGACCCTGCTGGGGTGATAATGTAGTGGTAGAGGCATTATATTACATTTCTAAGATTCAGAAAATCTCAAATTACAAGACACATCTGGCAATTTGGGATTTTGAATAAGCAAATGTAGACTTGTATTATATGAAAGTTGTGTGCTTTCAGAGCCTTGGAAAAATTCAATGCATGATTTGTGGCACTCAAATGAGATGATGTAACTCAACTTTAAGTCTTGCAGCTAGGCACTGGGCCTATTTTGAGTGGCAGTGTCTCTTATACGTACAGAGCATATTCTGTACCATACCAAAAGAAATCACATTGACTTTCTCAGAGATCATTTCAGGGAAATTCTTGACTTTCTCAGAGGACATTTCAGGGAAATTATTTCCAAGAACTGAAAAGCACCATAGCCTAGATCCAGAAACAATTCTTGTGCTCTGAGTACACACATAAAAACTCATGAGTTGATGGAACTCAGCAAATGCAGCAGTTAGCAATACGCTAGTGAAAATTTTCCCAAATAATGTTTCACTGTCTTGAGGTGGAGAAAAAGGCTGCAATCAAAAATGTTTGAGAGCCGCTTTCATACTGTGTCCTGCTCTTGGAAACTGACCATGCACATTCGCCTATTACATGCTCTGGAAAATCCTGCAAAAACAATAACACAAAAAAACCTGTTTAGCTCATTGTGACCACAAAACTCATCATTTCTGAAAATACCCCATAATGTCTCAAGGTTGATTAACATTTCCATGAAACAAACACTGAGAAAGTTACCTGCTGCCCATTGAACACTGCTAGCAGCTCTGGGTCTCTGGCATTCCCGAATTGGATGACAGACAGAGAACAGCAACCAAGAAACCAGCTCAAGTAGGAAAGATGACAGGCACTCGAATGGGGAAGATTAGTCGGGAAAATAGATGACTTGGAACTTCCTGATTCAATCACTGATTACTGCCTTCAAATGTTTCAATTAATATCTTAAGAGGTTCCTCCTGTAACCAGAGGAATAAAACAAGGTCCTTCAGATAACATTTTCCGACTGGCATATTTTAGCTGAACACAGTTTTTTAAATTGTGTTAAAATACACACAACATAAAATTGCCTATCTTAGCCACGTTTAAATGTACAGTTCAGTCACATTATGTATATTCACATTGTGCAACCATCACCACCATCCATATCCAGAACTTTTTCATCCTCCGAAACTGAAACTCTGAGACCATTAACAATAACTCTCCATTCCCCACTTCCCTTAACCCTGGAAGCTACCAGTCTACTTTCTGTTTCTATGAATTTGATTATTCCAGGTACCTCACATAATTGAAACTGGACAAAAATATTTTACTTTTTGTTACAGGTTTATTTCACTTAATATAATGTCCTCAAGGTTCATCCACATTGTAGCATGTATCAGAATTTTTTTCCTTCTTGAGGCTGAATAATATTCCATTATATGTGTCTACTGCATTTTATTTTGCCATTCATTCCTCAATGGGAACTTGAGTTGCTTACACCTTTTTGCTAGTGTGAATAATGCTGCTATCGACATGGGTGTGCAAATATCTATTTGAGCTTCTGTTTTCCATTTTTTTTTTAGTATATACCCAGGAATAGAATTTCTGGATCCTATGGTAATTTTTTCATGAACCAGCATACTATTTCCCACTATAGTGACACCATTTTACATTTTCATCAACAGAGCAAAAGGGTTCAAATTTCTCTAAATCCTATATTAGTCCGTTTTCACACTGCTGATGAAGACATATCTGAGACCGGGCAATTTACAAAAGAAAGCCTTATTGGACACAGTTCCACGTGGCTGGGGAGGTCTCACAGTCATGGTAGAAGGTGACAGGCACGTCTCACACGGCAGCAGACAAGAGAAGAGAGCTTGTACAGGGAAACTCCCCCTTACATAATCATCAGGTCTTATGAGACTTATTCACTATCATGAGAACAGCAGAGGAAAGACCTGACCCCGTGATTCAATTACCTCCCACTGGGTCCCCCCCACAACATGTGGGAATTCAAGATGAGATTTGGGTGGGGACATGGCCAAACCATATCATTCCTTACTGACACTTGCTATTTCATCGATTTTTTATTTTTATTTTTTAAATGGTACCTATCCTAATTAGAGTGAAATGGTATTTCATTGTGGTTTTACTTTGGATTTATCTAATGATTAGTGATGTTAAGTATCTTTTCATGTGTTTGTTAGCCATTTGTATCTCTTGTCTGGAGAAATGTCTACTTAAGTCTTTTGCCCAATTTGTATTGATGTTGTTTGGTTTTTTGCTGTTGAGTTGTGTGCTGAAGGCAGTTTTTAAAAATCATTAGCTCTTCCTAAAGGTGGGATTCACTGCCTTTTAGGGAATTATTATGATTTCAGGCATTCAAACAGAAGCTGAAAGTATAGCTCTTTATTAATTTAATTGATTGTGTGTGTGTGTGTGTGTGTGTGTGTGACAGATTTTCTCTCTGTCCCCCAGGTTGGAATGCAGTGGCGTGATCTCGGCTCACTGCAACCTCTGCCTCCCAGGTTCAAGTGATTCTCCTGCCTAAGCCTCCCAGATAGCTGGGATTACAGGCACATGCCACCACACCTGGCTAATTTTTGTATTATTAGTAGAGATGGGGTTTAGCCATGTTGGCCAGGCTAGTCTCGAACTCCTGACCTCAAACAATCCAATCGCCTCAGCCTTTCAAAGTGCTGGGATTACAGGCATGAGCCACCATGCACCACCTAGTTGATTTTTGTATTAAAAATGCTTATTGTCCAGTTACATGCATTAATTGACACTTCCATCTGAAATGCCACTAAATTGGAGTTTCAATCACTCACTTAACAAATATTTATTAAACACCTACCATGTGCCAGGCCTATTCTGAGTACTGGGGATAAAGCAGTGAAGAAAGCAGTCTTTGAAACTGAGGAGCTTATATTGTGATATGTGAAGAGATGGGAAAAGTTTGCTTTATTAGAATCACAGGTAGTCATAGGAAGAGAATTTCAGGTAATGGTAACAGTTGCCAAAAAAAAAAAAAAAAAAAGCCTCAAGGCAATAAAATGCTTAGTATCTTCAGAAAGCAACACAGGCTAGTATGGCTGAGAGCCATGAATATAACAGACCACGGTGGGAGATATAATCTGAGTAGGCAGAGCATGTCATGCCAAGGAAGGAAGTTTGCATTTTTGTTCTAAAGATAAAGGAAACAGTGGAGAACTTTGAGCAGTGGAAGTACATGATCAGATTTAGATTTTGGAAGGCTCACTACTCTGTCTGCTGTGTAGAGAATATTCATAGCAGGACAAAAATGTCACTGCCATAGCAGCTACCACATGGCTCTACAATTGTTTTTTGTTTGTTTGTTTCTGCTTTCTCCATTAGACTCTAAGTTCTTTGAAGGATAAATCCACATAATATTCTCAAAGTCTAATACACAGTAATTAAATAAATTATAATACATTGAAGGATAACTAATCCTTACAATTTTTTGGGATAAGTGAATTATGTTTTAATATCTTCTATTTTAAAGATAGGAAAGCTGAGTTACAAGTGATGATATGTCCCAAACTGATAAGCTTTAAAGTCAAGACTGAAAACTGAGTCCCAGCACAGGAGCCAGATATTTCTTAATTGTGTCGGAAGCCAGGCTTTCCTTTAGTTATTTCTTCAAGTACTCACTGAGCCCTTACTAAGGTCTAGTAAGCTCTTACTCGCCAGGCAGTCTGCTAGACCTTAAGGATTCAGCAGTAAATAAAACCAACAAAAAATCCTACTTTAATGAAATTTGCATTTTAGATAACCTCAGGATTTCTACACTTCTAAGATATTACAATGTGATACTCTAATTCAGGGAAGGTATATCTCTAATTGCATAAAGGGGTAAAATAAAATATCTCCTAGAAATGGAAGAAGAAGAATTAAGGAAAACTGTTTTGTTTTCTTTTTTTCTTTTTTGTGGTTTATTTTATTTTATTTTTTATTTATTTTTATTATTATTTTTTATTACACTTCAAGTTCTAGGGTACATGTGCACAACGTGCAGGTTTGTTACATATGTATACATGTGCCATGTTGGTGTGCTGCACCCATTAACTCGTCATTTACATTAGGTATATCTCCTAATGCTATCCCTCCCCCTGTCCCCCACCCCACGACAGGCCCCAGTGTGTGATGTTCCCCACCCTGTGTCCAAGTGTTCTCATTGTTCAATTCCCACCTATGAGTGAGAACATGTGGTGTTCTTTTTGTCCTTGGGATACTTTGCTTTTTTGTTTGTTTTTTTTTTTGTCCTTCTGATAGTTTGCTGAGAATGATGGTTTCCAGCTTCATCCCTATCCCTACAAAGGACATGAACTCATCCTTTTTTATGGCTGCATAGTATTCCATGGTGTATATGTGCCACATTTTCTTAATCCTGTCTATCATTGATGGACATTTGGATTGGTTCCAAGTCTTTGCCATTGTGAATAGTGCTGCAATAAACATACGTGTGCATGTGTCTTTATAGCAGCATGATTTATAATCCTTTGGGTATATACCCAGTAATGGGATGGCTGGGTCAAATGGTATTTCTAGTTCTAGATCCTTGAGGAATCACCACACTGTCTTCCACAATGGTTGAACCAGTTTACAGTCCCACCAACAGTGTAAAACTGTTCCTATTTCTCCACATCCTCTCCAGCACCTGTTGTTTCCTGTATTTTTAATGATCGCCATTCTAAGTGGTGTGAGATGGTATCTCATTGTGGTTTTGATTTGCATATCTCTGATGGCCAGTGATGATGAGCATTTTTTATGTGTCTGTTGGCTGCATAAATGACTTCTTTTGAGAAGTGTCTGTTCATATCCTTCATCCACTTTTTGATGGGGTTGTTTGTCCCCATCAAGCTACCAATGACTTTCTTCACAGAATTGGAAAAAGCTACTTTAAAGTTCATATGGAACCAAAAAAGAGCCCGCATTGCCAAGTCAATCCTAAGCAAAAAGAACAAAGCTGGAGGCATCATGCTACCTGACTTCAAACTATACTACAAGGCTACAGTAACCAAAACAGCATGGTACTGGCACCAAAACAGAGATATAGACCAATGGAACAGAACAGAGCCCTCAGAAGTAATACCACACATCTACAACCATCTGATCTTTGACAAACCTGACAAAAACAAGAAATGGGGAAAGGATTCCCTATTTAATAAATGGTGCTGGGAAAACTGGCTAGCCATATGTAGAAAACTGAAGATGGATCCCTTCCTTATACCTTATACAAAAATTAATTCAAGATGGATTAAAGACTTAAATGTTAGACCTAAAACCATAAAAACCCTAGAAGAAAATCTAGGCAATACCATTCAGGACATAGGCATGGGCAAGGACTTCATGTCTCAAACACCAAAAGCAATGGCAACAAAAGCCAAAATTGACAAATGGGATCTAATTAAACTAAAGAGCTTCTGCACAGCAAAAGAGACTACCATCAGAGTGAACAGGCAACCTACAGAATGGGAGAAAATTTTTGCAATCTACTCATCTGACAAAAGGCTGATATCCGGAATCTACAAAGAACTCAAATAAATTTGCTTTGTTTTCTAGAAGCAAATGTATTTATGCTTCCTAAATCTGCCCTTTACAGGTTTTTATTGGTCAACAAGCCACAATTCAGAAGAATGGGACATACCACACCCAGAAACCACTGGCCCAGTACGCAATTCTAACATGTACCCTCTCCTCTTGTCCCTCACCCATGCCATGTTTATGCTGGTCTCAGGCTTGTGTTTGTATTTTACCCATCTTGAATGCTCTCTCTTTTTCTTTCTATTGAAATCCTACCAATCTGTATTGGTCAGCCCTGGCTGCCACGACAAAATGCCACAGATGAGGTGACTTAAACAACAGAATATTTTCTCACAGTTCTGGAGGCTGGAAGTCTGGAATCAAGTTGTGGTAAATTCAGTTTCTGGTGAGGGCTCTTTTCCTGGCTTGTAGATGGCCACCTTCTTGCTATGTCCTCACATGGCAGAGAGGAAGAGGGAGGTCTCCCTCTGGTATATCTTCTTACAAGGACACTAATCATATCAGATCAGGACCCCATCTTTATGACCTCATTTAATCTTAGTTGCTTCCTTAAAGGCCCCATCTCCAAATACAGCCATGCTTAGGGTTAGGGCTTCAACTCTAGAAATAGGAATGGCAGGGAGAGGGGCAGAAACATTCAGTCCGTAAAGCCATTGTTCAAAGCTTAGCCCACATCATACCTTCTGGGAAAACCCAAGTCAATCTGAAGCCCTACCAATGATCATCTGTTCCCAAAACTCAACACCACCAAAACTTGTTTTAATAATCTACGACTCTACTACGTACAAGATTTTCTTGTCAACAAACATTGATGCTTTCTGAAGTAAGGTATCATATCTTACACTTCATTGGAATCTACTATGACCTGGCAGTGTCGGGGGTATATAGGAGATAACTAAACAGCACTGAAAAGATGAATGATTTATTACTATTTCTCCAGCTGTGTTCCTATATGATGCTCTAGTAGAAGGATGCAAATGTCTCCCTGTGAAAGGGACACTCTCCAAGGCAATGGCAGTGCCAACACCCACCAGGGGCTGTTGGCCATCTTTCTGTTCTTCTGAAGGAAACATCAAAGGGCAGTTAGTACAGACCCTGCACACTCTTACTCACTCTTGATACCTCAAACAGCAAAGTGCCAGAATGAATCACTTTTCTGAGCCAGGAGGTAAATGTGGCCATTTATAGATAGAAGGAAGAGATTAGGTATGTTGAAAGGGGAAGGTTTTTATGCTTTGCTTTTGATCCCCGTCTGGCACTCCCCAGAGCTGCCATGTGCCCCACACCTGATAAATACTGTTTTATAAATGGCAAAGAAGAGAATTTAAAGCCATAAATCTATCCCCACCCCCCTTGCTTTTTTATGGATCTAAAGGATAATTAAAACCATGCTCTTGCTTTGCAAATGAAGACTTGTCTTTCTGGCAGTCCCCATTTCAAATGAACTTGGGAGCAGTGTCAGTGCAAAGGGCAGCCTTGGGTTGATGCTGTCCAGGCTGGGATGCAACTGTCTCTAACCTTGTAGGTCTCAGGGTGTGTGTGCACCACCCAGGGGCTGCTGCAGTAAGCGAGACCTCTACACAGCTCTGCCTGGTGCTTTGAACTTGGTTAATGCACAGTGCTAATGAGGCCCAGGTCAATATTTAGCTATTTTCAGAGAAAAAAAAGAGAAAAACAATGTCCTTCTTTGGCCATAGACTGCTCCCCCAAGCTTCAACCACTTCTTTCAGGTATTCATAGACACAGGAAAACTGAGAGAAGGAATATGAATGGATCAGGACTGCCAGAGAAACCATACAAAATATTACATCATCATATAAATGAATCATCATAAAGGCCATGTACTGTCAAGGAAAATGTTTTTGTTAAAGCTGTAAGTGGAAAATTAATAATATAAAATACGTTTGCATTATGAGGATAGAAAGTAAAAATAAATTATTTTTTACAATATATTTTCAATTATCAAATAATATGTGTGCACATGGTTGAAATAAAGAATAATAAAAAGGGCTTATACATGAAAGGCCTCTGTCCCTTCCCTCTTCCCCTTCCCCTCCCCAGAGAAAACTCTTTTAACTCTTTGGGCTATTTTTCTGGGAGTTAGTGCCATCTTTCTAGACAATGCATGTTTTTGCCTGCACTTTTAATTTATTCATTTTATACATTATCTTTTGAATCCCCACTATGATAGATTAAGATTTAGTTCACACAAACTCACCCTAAACCCAATCTCGTAGTAAATAAAAATTATGTCATTTATTCTTTAATCTTTTGTAATTACTTATTATCATACTTTTGTTTCTTGTTTTACCAACTAAAGGCAACATCTTTTAGCATCCCTGTCTTTTCTTTCTACTCTCAGCTCTCCCCACCGCACCACCTGCTACCTCCCAATTTCTCACATGCGCACTTCTTTTATATTGTCACAGAGGAGGGAAGGTACATTTTATTCCATAGCCAGCTTGCATCACTGAGCTGATTATAGAAGTTGAAAGTCAACTAACCCTATCCCTGTTATTTTGACTGTGTCAGTATTGCACAAAGCAGAGTAACGTAGTGTTTTCATGATTACAGTTCTTTCTTATAATGCTCTATCCTTTTTCTGAGATTTCTAGATGCCAGTTTTTTAAAATTTTGCCTTTATCACACTTTAGAATTTTATATCAAAAATCCTTCCCACTCTCTTTTTACGTCAATTCTCCTGCCTAGGCCCCTTTGTCCTTCTGCTCTAATCGACAGCTGTGCCTTCAGGCCATGTGCATTCATCTTCCTGGGAATTGTTATTCTTTTCCTGGGTCAGTTCCACCATATCTAGATCCTATATCCTCTTTGTTGGTTTGATCCCTGGTTTGTTGCAGCATTGCAGCAAACACACATCCCTCTTTCTTTCTAACATATCCTACTTTTCATTCTGGTATACCACCCTATGTTAATGATCTTGAACTTCACCAAGTCAATTGTGTCAACGTTTCCCTTCCTACTGATGGGTTGAAAAGTGGACATATTGTCAATTTTAGACAATGAAAGGGAAATTTTGTCATGGAACCTCTGGTGAAGTCTTTGATTTAAAAAATTCACAAAAAGAGAATGTCCTTTATTCCTCTGGTCATTTTCTTATCTGTACATGATATCTGGTTATACAAGTAATCCTCCAATGCAAAGAGAGCTATCTCAAGAATGATGCAACTCACCAAGAACAACAGAAAAGCAAAGCAGGAAGAACTTAAAATGTTGGTAACATAATTGAGTCAACATTATAGCTGTCCATTCTAGACTTCTTGTTATTTGAGATAATCGCTGTCTTTCTGTGTAAACCAGTTGAGTTATAGCTCTCTACTGTTGCATTGAGTCATTTTATCTAACATAGGCATTTCTTCAGGAAGCTTTCTAAAATAAGTGTATAAAGTGAATTTTCTGAGTCCTTATAAGGAAAAAAAAAAAGTCCTTATTTTACCATAACAATTTAGTGATAGTGTAGTTGGGTATAGAATTCTAGGTTGAAAACTCATTTTTCCTAAAAAATATAATGCTAATGCTCCAATGTCTTTTCTCCTGTTCCCCACCACCACCTCTCTCTCTGTGTGTCTCTTTCTTTTTCAGTGGGCTTTTAGAATCTTCTCTTTTTTCTTGGTATTCTGTGAATTGACCATATGTTTAACTATGGCATTTTTTCATTCATTGTGTGAGACATACAGATATCATTATAATTTACTTGTTTCTTTTAGATAGTTAAATTAATAAGGTTTTGTTGTTGTTTTTTATTTGTTTTAGAGAAAGGTTCTCTCTCTGTTGCCCAGACTGGAGTGCAGTGGTGTGCTCACAGCTCACTGCAGCCTCAACCTCCTGGGCTCAAGAGATCCTCCTGCCTTACCCTCCCAAGTAGGTAGGACTACACGTATGTGCCACCACACCCTGCTAATTTTTTATTTTTATTTATTATTCTTAATTTTTTCATAGAGATGAGATCTCACTATGTAGGCCAAGTTGGTCTTGAACTCCTGACCTCAAGAGCCCTCCCACCTAGGCCTCTCAAAGCATTAGGATTACAGGCATGAGCCACTGTGCCTTGTTTTAAATGAATTCTTTGTATGCACTTCTCTCTTTCTGGAAACGTGTTAATCAGATATTTGACTTCCTAGATTAATCAGCTATGTCTATACATTTTGTTCTCATATTTTCTATAACTTTACATATTAATTAAACATTCTTGGTCTCATAGACTTTACTTTCCAATGTGTTATAGAAAAGTATTTATATATTTTATAAATATGACATTTTTTATTTTCTTTAATTTTTGTGTGTACATATTAGGTGTATATATTTATGGAGTACATGAAATGGTTTGAATCAGGCATGCAATGTGATACAATCACATCATAGAGAACAGTGTATCCATCCTCTCAGGCATTTAACCTTTGTGTTACAAACAATCCTATTACACTCCTTTAGTTATTTTTAAATGTACAGTTAAGTTATTATTGACTCTACCCACGCGATTGTGCTATCACAAAATTATATTTCTAAGTAATGCGTTTTTTATTCTTCGATTATTTTCCCTTATCATCGCACTGGTTCTTGTATTATCTTGTATTTTCTCAAATGTTTCTGTTTGTTCATGTTTAATAATACAGACATTAGAAATTGATTGGATACTCAATACTATTGAACTTTGCTTAAGGTACTCATGCACAGACTGGACATTATACTGGAGGTCTCCTAAATGAAAGGGTGTGGAACTCGTTTCTCTAAGATAGTGGCTCAACCAGGGGTCATTTTGTCTTCCAGAGGACATTTGGCAATATCTGGAGATATTTTTATTTATTGCATCTGAGGAAGAGGGGATACCACTGGCATGTAGGGAATGAGGCCAAGGGTGCTTCTAAACATCCTAAGTACACAGAACATCCCTCAACAGCACAGAATTGGCAGCCCAAAATGCCAAACATGCCAAAGCTAAGAACCCCTGCAGTAGGAAAATCAAATTTCTTTACAAAAGAATGCCTCCACCATTGGTTTGTTTTCCGAGGGAGGCAAACATCTGGTTTCTTCAGACTGCATTTACTTGGGAAGAAAAGAGGTTGTTATGTATATAAACTACAAATTAGTTTCTCTGTAGCCTCTGTTTCACATTCTTCCACCACACTTCCAACACCTGAGACTTTCTGTGATCCAAATGGCTGACGACTTCATCCTGGTGTCCTAGTGCATTATCATCCATCAATGCGATAAGCTGCAGCGCCCATCCCTGACTTCATTATTTATCCCTCAGTATATTATAGTTTTCATCTTCTAGAAATTTGTCAAAATCCCCTATAGCCCTTCTCCTGTTCTCTTTATTATTATTACTATTTTATCACAAGTTTAATGTGCTCTGAAGAAACAAAATAGATAAACCCATGCAGTTAGGCCTTCGTCTTTGAATAGAAGTCTTTCCTTGCCTCCCTTAATTCATTTATTTTTCAAAAGCTATGTAACATCAACAATGTACTAGGTTCTGGGCAATGTGGTGGCCATAGGGCATACAACCATATGTAAAACATACGGCCTGCTTGAAAAATCTCTCTTTGGTAAAGAATGTTTTTAAAGGCACAGCACTATAGTGCACTGTAAAGAACATGGAGTGTCAAAAAAAAAAAAAAGTTTGGATTTTAGTTCCAGCTCTGCTTACTGGCTGACTGATCTTTTGCAATGCATTTCAAGCTATATGAGCCTCAATTTTCTCAAAAACAGAATGAAGATAATAATGATATTAACTTTCTCAGAAGAACGCTATGAAGATTTAATGAGATAGTTCACTCAAAAACACTATAAAAAGCTGGTGGAACACAAATTATATCAATTCGTTTTGTGTTCTCCATTTCATTTATCCAGGCTGGAGAAAGAATCTTGACTGCAACCAATAGTTAGCCTTACTTGTTTAGATATTTCTCCTTATGCTAAAAAGTTTCCTTTAATGTAAAGCTTCAGGCAGTTGTTAAGTCTGGATTATTTTCATGGTCCTAGCTGTTTATTATTCACTGAACCCCTTCTGTAATCCACTCTGATGTCTATTTTAGACTGAGCTTGGGTGTATGATTGTCATTTGTATTAGGGCCTTTACTAAATTCCTATAACTGTATCAATCATTCTTCTCAACTACTCCCCCCTCAAAAAAAATATAGGCTAGGGTATTTTTATTTAATGATTTTATTCTACTATTGTTTGACCTACACTATGGAGACACAGACACACTGAAACACATGCATCCATGCATACACACATTTGTTTTAAATTCTCTTCCAGTTTATGTATCAGTGACCTTGAACAAAGTCACCTAGATTCTGTGTTTCAGTTTTCTCTTCTCCAAATAAAAGAAGTTACTTTACATAAATTTGTTGGGATTCAATGAAATATTATTTAGAAATGTGCTGTGTGTGGCATATATGTCTAAAGGACAGAATTAATGGAATATATATATATATATATATATATATATATATATATAGGAATGTATTAAATACTCACATGATCACAAGGTCCCACAATAGGCCATCTGCAGGCTGAGGAGCAAGGAGAACCAGTCCGAAAAACTGAAGGATTTGGAATCCAATGTTCAAGGGCAGGAAGCATCCAGTACAGGAGAAAGATGTAGGCTGAGAGGCTAGGCCAGTCTCTGTTTTTATATTTTTCTGCCTGCTTATATTCTAGATGTGCTGGCAGCTGATGAGATTGTGCCCAACCAGATTAAGGGTGGGTCCACCTTTCCCAGCCCACTGACTCAAATGTTAATCTCCTTTGGCAATGCCCTCACACACATACCAAAGATCAATACTTTGTAACCTTCAATACAATCAAGCTGACACTCAGGATTCACCATCACAATACACACGTATATATATATACACATATATGCACACATAAAATTGACTCCTCTTTCTGCTTTTATTTTCATTCATTTCTCTTAAGAAGGTTTAGAATTTCTATAGCAGAAATATCAAGAAAAATGATTTAGCTTTTGAAGTCCAGAATGGAATTTTTTAGTTATGAGAAAAAACAAATTTTCTTCTAAATTTTTAAGCTTCCACTGATACATCAGTACCCAAGCAACTTAAATATTAAAGTTACCAAAAGCCAAGGGTGAAGAACTCAAGGTGTGTTGATGAAAGGGAAGTCTGGTAGAGAGAAAAGCAAAGCAAAGTACAAATCCCTTCCTTTCTGGTTTTAGAGAAGAAACAGGAGATGTGGGATCAAGAAGTTGCAGTCTGTGTCCTAATTTCCACTCCCTGCCATGGGTGCGGAACCTTGAGCAGTAGATTGGGCCCTATTGGGGACATCTGGATGGTAACACAGACTCCAAAATGCAAGGGCTAATGACCCATCCCCTAGTCCGTGGGAGACTGCAAGTCTCTGGGGCATTTTGGGCTCCCCGAATTGTCTCTATGTGCCCAGACCACTTACAGCATGATGTCTGGACACAGGATTCAGGCATCACTATTTGGAAAAAAAGCCATCTCAGTGGATTCCAATATGGCGCCAAAGTCAAGAACCACTGCTCAGCGGATTCCAATATGGCACCAAAGTCAAGAACCACTGCTCTTTGAGAAGTCAGCTCAAGGTCACATCCAAGGTGGCACAGGAGAGAGAGGGACAGAGCACAGCATTGGAGGAGGCAGGTGGCTAGAAAGGTGGGCTCTGAGGCAGTACTCTGGCCCTTTCCAGAACGTGTGTGTAGAATGCAGAAATCTTGAGGACCACATGTTCCAGGAGGAGAGTGGTGAGGAAGTGGAAGAATATGAGCTTCTCACCCCTAACAAGTGGACAGTACAACCAGAGCCGATGGCTGGCATTATAGACTTGCAACGGGAGCCGGAACAAAGCCTCAGGAGACAAAAAGAACCAGGCTTGCCTCAGTGAACATCAGTCCATGTAGACAACAAGCCTGACCTGTGCAAACCAGCCTCTTCACAAAACAGAACAGCAAGAATCAAGGCCAAAAGGGAGACCTGAGGCTCTTTTTTTCCCCACCACTATGAGGTCACATAAGCATTTCCATACACCACCTGGAGGAGAAGCACAAAAGAGAAAGGGAATCTTGGGAGACCAGGTACTTACCTGAAAGAGAATTTACCAAAAATTTAAAAAATAAAAAATAAACAAAAGATTCCAACTCTTTAAACCAGAATTCTAACGCATTGTTTTCTGGCAAGTGTAGACACACACACACGCAAACACACAAACAGAGAGAGAGGGAAAGAGAGAGAAAGAAAGAGAGAGAGAGGGAGAGATCCTACTAAATGAACAGTGACTCACGCAGAAGAGTAATTGCCGATCCATGAAAATGCACTACATAAATTTGGGATTGATCTACATGTGTGTCTTTATGTACACACATACAACCATGGTTATGCAATAACATAACCTTCCACTGTGCTAACAAATAGGACCAAGCATTTGGGGCTCAATTTGCTTAGAGATCCTAAGAGGCCAATCCACTTTACTTTCAGGAAGAGCAAACATACTGCTACATAAAGCAATGTCCCTTAGAGAAGGATCCTGACAATTGGAAGATTCACCCTTGCTTCTCAGCCAGCAAACAGGTTTTTGTGTCTTTTGTTCCCACCCCCCCACCCCAGTTCTCATTTTTAAAATGTCATTCTACTTCCTGCTCCCCTTGTGCTGTTCCTGATGCCTAACTCTTCCACCCCTACCTGTCACCCACTGCTTCTCCAGGGATATAGGCTGAAATGGTTCCAATCTGTGACACACATATTCTATGCCAGATGCTGTGCTAGATATGTTACATAATAATGGAACTGAACAACCTAAAAGGTTGAATATCTTTATGTTACAGATGACAAAGCCAAGGCTTATAGAGATTAAACATATTCACATTCACACAACTGGAAAGCAGGAGACTGATTGGAACTCAAATATTTCTGACTCCGAAGAGACAAAAAAGACCCAGGCTTGCCTGAAGAGCTAACCACTCCCCAGTACAACTTCTCTGCAACCCCCCTCATTTATTCCTGTGGATGCATTAACTCAGTAAAGCTGTGTTTTCTAGAGAGTATGTGCTGTC
Organism: Homo sapiens; assembly: GCF_000001405.40. Classification (NCBI taxonomy): domain Eukaryota; kingdom Metazoa; phylum Chordata; class Mammalia; order Primates; family Hominidae; genus Homo; species Homo sapiens. The sequence goes on from NC_000011.10 coordinate 128,387,670, forward strand.
AAATACCCTGTACCATTCTCTTTATAAGCACAGTTATGCTGCTCTATGTATTCTCATCTTCAGGTGGAAGAAATCATCTTCTTAAAAGCAGCCCCCAGCCCTGGTCCCAGCTTGTTATACCCTGGGTTTTTGTTTATGTGTTTTTTTTTTATCGTAACCTTACTTCTAATGCAAGAAAAGGCCCCTTTCTAGAGAGAACATCAGCTATGCTATACTTTGGTGCTCTGAAGTTCCTTATCTTTACCCATCTGAATATTTTCAATAGAAGACACTTTTTTTCCATCTTTCTACTTATTTAACTTGCTTCTTTGTTTTCTCTCTTTCCAGTAGACTGCAAGATTCATAAGAACAGAGTCCATAGCCCACATACAATGATCAATGTATATGTATACAGGCCTAGCACATAATAGACACTCAATAAATGTCTATAGGGTAAACAAACAAAAACATGTATGGTCTCACAGCAACCGATATATTCTGGTGCTTACATCCTAAATCTCACAAATAGGGCGAAATTTTCCACAGATATGCACAATGACTAGAGGAGCAATAATATTAAAGCAAATGTGTCCTGTGCAGTCATTCTCGCCCAGCTGTATTTGTGTACATTGGGCACAGAATTCCCTTCCAGCTGCCCCTCCCTCCCATTTTATAGTCTTGTTTGGGTTTGATTTAGTGGGTGTGAAAGTCTGAATTGTTTAGCTTTGCTGTGGAATAGAGACCTATCTCAGTGACCCTTACTGCTTACCTGCAGTCACCCTACCCTCCTTATCTGCAGCACCATGTTTTTGATCTCTGTGATATGGCAATATTTTCCCATAGCCCCCTGGAATGAGAAAACCAGCTCATAAAGTGAAAAGTGATCCGAGCTCAGCACGCCCTGCCCTGATAGGCACCACCAGCAACATCAGACAGCGGGAACTCCCACTGAATAGAGGTTTGGACAACTGCAAGGTTTTACTGCTTTCTCCCCTTCCCCTATCTATTCAGCCTAATGGCAAGCCACTTGGCCCCAGCCCTCTATCCCTGCCACGCCAGTCCATTGGGTTACAAACATGCCCCATTCATCTCCACATTCACATTCCCTCTTCATCTTTTCTCCTTCCAGTGCATTCACTAATTTATACAAAATGCATATCAATCATCTATGAGATGTCAGTCATTGCACTGGGTGCTGGGAATATAATAAGGGCACACACACACACACACTCCATCTTTGCAGACCAGCTCAAGCTCCATCTCCTCCAAAAGCCTTCCCAGATCCTCACAGCTTCCACAGTCTCTTACTTCTGATTGCTGGTGACATTTAAGGTCTGTGCTCCACAACTAGGCACTTAGTCACTTCTTTCAGATGTTTTGCCATGGCTTCATATGGGTGAGGTCTGTATTCACAAATAGAGTATAAACTTTTTGAGATCAAAGCCCACAACCTTCATTCCTAATGTGTTTCCTTAACAACCACTAATATAACTGCAGCGGCCTCCCTTACCCCTCCATCCAGTACTTTTCTGTAGTGAACATGTTTTTTATGCAAGCCCTTTGGCATAAACGATGCATTGGTGCCAAATAAAGGTTCTGCAAAAAAAAGAAAAAAAAAAGAAGGGAAGGGAGAAGACTCTATTCTCTCTCCGTTTTGCTGAAAACAATTCAGCCCTGCATCTAGGCATGTCCCATCAACTCTGACCCAAATGATTGAGTAGAAGGGGGAGAGGATGACAAGGTGGGAAAATACACAGCTGATACAATGCTAATGTCAAGAAGCCTCCCAGAGTTCTGACAATTTGAAGACCTAATGCTTCTAGCAGATTGGATTCTTTCGCTACATGTGCGCGCTGACATTCCAACAGCCAAAGGTCAAGATATGCACATGTGAGTGGCAAACAGGCACTGTCTGAGGGGTGAGAGCAGGCTAGGCTGGCGAGAGCTGAGTGCAGTGGTGCAGAGACAGTCTCGGAGTCTTTAGCCACAGGACGGCTGACACAGGCCCACAGAGTCTGGTCAGGGAGCAGATTGAGGCCCTGGGGATGGGAAGAGAAGAGAAGGTCTCTCTGTTCTGACCTGGAGTGGGAAGAAGGTGAAAGGGGAGATTGCTGGGCCAAGGCAGTGACCCAGAAGGCCCGGCCAGAAGTAAAAACAGATGTGAAACAGAAGCTGTCAATGTCCTGGGGGCCAAGGGGATCTGCCCTGGAGGAGATGACCCCAAGTAAGATGCACTGTTGTTGATGTGTCTTCAGTGGGGCAGGCACTCAGCAATTAGGGCTAGACAGCCATGGTCTTGGAGAACTGGCCAGAGCACACAAAACACATTGTCTTTCTACATCATCAGGGAAAGGAATAGGCCCCTTTAGAGCCTGGAGGAGCAGCCTCCTTCCCAGTAACTTATTCATGTGACAAATCTATGCTGTGTTCACTATCGGTTCAGGATGCCAGGGATGCTGAATTATAAAAGACACAGCCTTTGTCTTCAGATTATTTATTAATCAGCCATACTAGTGCCAAAAGAAGAACTCAAAATCCCTGTCTCTCACCTGAAAATGATACAGAAGACTGGACCTAGGGGTGAGGCCTCTGCAAGCGGGGATTGGAGAAGCCTGACCTCAAATCTAGAAGATCCTATAATTTATATTGCATAATCACAGGTCATAGACTCAGCCACACTGTTGGGCTGTAGGAAAGCATTGGTTTACTTCCAAGCAAAGAGGGATGCCTGTGAAGAGCCAGCAGTCCTTCCATTCCTGATTTTCCTCCTTCTACCAACCCACAGGAACATTCCTAGGCTGCCCCACTCTGAACCCAGTGTTCCTTCTGTAAGAAAGGCCAGATATGACTGTTTATTTTCAGGATGCATGCTAACAGGGCCGCCAGGAAGGTATCTCAGCTTTCATGCCAGAACCAATAGAGTATTCCCCAGCTGGAATTTAGAGTGATCCAGGCCTGAAATCTCACTTTCAGCAATAATTAAAATTTTATTAGTGCTTCAGAATTTAAGATATGTGTTTCTCATTCACCATTTCATTTAATTATCATGACATTATATTGTTATCCCACTTACACAGAAGATAAAACTGGGGTTAAGAGAAGTTATGTATCCAAAAGTCACTGAACAAATAAGTTACAAAGATAATTATCAAGTCAAAATTAGATCCCCTGTTATGCCTCCTTTCTTCTGCACTACTCATTCCCTCCAGTAAGACCTTCCTCCTTTCTCTTGCCAAACATCCACTAATCCCAGGTGAAATACATCCCTTCTGTGAAGGTTTCAGAGACTTTTCCCCCAGTGAGCTGCTCCCTCTTTTAGATGTCCACCCTTATTTGTTTAAAGTATACCGGCTCACAGTGACTCTTAATACATTGTCTTGTCATTTTTTTTTACACACCCATTTTCTTGCTATAAATTTTCTGAGAATTTTTGTTGTGTTTTACCTATCCTGGTGTCTAGCTCAGTGGCTGACATACAATAGGTGCTTAATAAATGTTTATGGAATACAATTCTCTTTTGCTCCAAATCTCAGGTACTTTCCACAACAGTAGACTTCCTCTCTATTTCCAAAGAGAAGGTAGAGAGATAGGTACACCCACCAAATATACTCAACCTCTTCCTACTGACCTAGTTCCTCAAATTGAGGAGCCTAAGTAAAAACAGTGTATCATCCTCCAGGCTCTCATTTAACATTTGGAGTCCTTGGGCAATAATAGAAATGGAGAATCACATACTATAAGTCTAAATATTCAAACGCGACACATCAAGCTAATTGACCATCAGCTTAAAAAAAATCCTATCCTTTTACCTGTCAATTTACCTTCATAACCATCTACAAGGCCTGGCCCAAACTCAGAATTCTCAGTTTCTTATGGATTCTCTGCCAGCACATGGAAGGGTGAAGTCAGCTCACACCTGGCCCACCCACCCGCCATCACCTCTGTCTTCCAGCCTGGAAGTTCATCTCCATCTGCACTCCCATAAAGAGCCATGCCTTGGCAATCCTTCAGATTAAGATGTGCCCAGGACCTGCCTTCCAGAGAACACACACTAGGAAGGGGCACGAGAATACCCTGGAAATGGCTAGAGGCCATTTGGACAAGGAATTCCAAATGTGTGTCCCTGTGCAGCCTCTGGCCCCTTCAAAAAGAAAATATATTTTACTTGGAAATGACCGACAGAATATGGCTGAAACTCTTCTTCCATTTGTGGTAGAGCTGAATCTCTTAAAATGCCCAGTTCTTGTCCCTGAAGAGGAGAGAGAGTCCAGCCTACTTGTCCTGGGGCTAATTGAAGTGAAAGCTGATTAGATTCCTACTGTCTAAACTGTTCTTGTTACTGAGATAACAGGTCTGACGAGGCAGGGAATTTCAAGGGCCAACAGCCCAGGCATGCAATCTGTTTTTCCAGTGTTTTTTCCTGATAAAAAAGAGATGGAAAAAACTTATGTTTATATCCTTGCCAATGAATTTCCATTTGATTTTGGGGGCAAAAGGCAAAGAAAGTGCTATGAATTCAGTCAGCAAAGTGGTAACAACCAGCTGTGTGTTGCTCTGGAAGCTGTTTAGAGCTGCCTCCAATTTTTTTTTTTTTAAGAAAAGTTGTCACTACCTGAAAAATTGCATAAGGGGCAAGAGAGCTTTTTTTGATAAAAGGCTAAAAACAAGACCTGATAGAAACCGAAATCCCACAGAAAGCATTTGAAGCAAGTGAATGCTGAACTGAGGATGGGCTACGCATTCTATTAGGAGATCATCCTGCCCAGGCCCCTATCCACAACCCACAGGGATAAACAGGGTAAAGAAAGGAGGACCAGAGCAGAGGTGGGTGTGGCTTCAGTAGAACTCAGCTTATCCAGAAACCAAGCTGAAATTTCAGCCACACTCTGTGGGTTTCCCCAGAATTTGTCTTCTGAACACTCTATAAATCCCAGAAGACTGAAGGGCTTCCTATTGAATTTCAGTTGTCCCATTGGACTCAATATTTTTATTGAGAATTTAATATTTTTATTGGGTCCAATGGGACAACTGAAAATCAGTATTTTTGGGATATTTTGGGAAACTCATCAGCCAAGGTCCTAAGGCCTGGCCAGGTCATGAGTCCCTTCTGATTAGATGATCGTTACTCACATCTTAGAGACCATTCCCACTTTAGAGAGGAGTAACTAAAGGAATATTTATAGAGTTTTCCCTAGTGGGATGGCAGTTTCATATTATCTATGGAATCAGAGCACTTTAAATTGATTCCCACATGTCAAAGAAGAAAATTGGCAAGATTAATGATTTGGGTAAATGATTGCATTGGATTTCTTCTGTTTTCAGTCTCTTGGTTTGGTATCATACTGCTACGAGGTGAGTGAATTTTCCCTTGTCCACACCCTCTTGAAGCAGATAAATGGCTTGTGTCCCACTATTATTTTAATATTTTATGTTCTTCACATCCTTCCTTAATTTCTGCGTCTCTCCAACATTTGCACTATTAATCTGTGTGGTCTCGATGAATTTGTTGAGAGGGGCAGGTGTGTTGCAAAACATACAGAGTTCTGCTTTTCCTTCTGACTGTTGAGTTGACTTTCAAAAAAAATAAGCTAAGGGCAGAGTGGGTTTTATGTTTCTGTAGAAGCTTTTGTTCTCTGACTCTGGTAAGAGGTGATGTGGGAGAAGATGGTAACGAGAACTGATAGACTACTGGGGAGTTATTAAAGATCCCAGGCCAATTTGGGGATGAATGGAAAATTTTTGAGAGAAATTAACTTTCAAAACCACTTATAAGACTGATTTCATTCACTCCTAAGATATGTATCTTGTGTTTACATGAGGTAATAGACAAAAGGAAAGAAGGCTTAATAGAGAAGCTGAGCTTTGAGCTGGAGTTGGAAGAATGAGTTCAATTTCCATAGCTGGTGAAGAGAATTACAGCCAGAAGGAAGAGCTGGCCTAGAGGCATGGAGGCACCAATGTTTTGGGCACATCAAGAAATATGAAGAGGGAAATGCACCAAGTATTTATGAAATCCAAAGGCTTCTGTCCTTGGCCAAAGTATAGCCCATATGGAAAAACAGTTGTCTGGATGACATTTTTGCTCACTGTACAGCCCTTCCCAATTCAGTCTAAATAATTAAAAAGTCCCTTCATTCTGCCAGCCCTTGATCTCTCACCTCACAAAACTATTTATGTGCATGATCACACACACACACACACACACGCACGCACACCCGCATACATATTGCCCTGTTCTATTTACCTGCCCGGCATACAAAGTTCTGTCATTGTCGTAAATAAAGAGATATGTTTATTGAAGACAAAGCTCAGCTAGCATCTCTTATCCAACTGTAAACTCCACAATCATAAGCAATTGTAAGCACAAGCATATACTTAATAAATATTTGGTGAGTTGAAGTGAATGAGATCAGCCAGCAGGATAAGACATTGTATATGCAAAGCTTTCCCTTGGGATTCTTAGGTTTGTATTCTTGACTTTTCCCCCAAATATACAGAAGACTGATGGGAAGACAGTGTCATCCTTTGTTTCCGTTCAAGAGCAAAGGAAGGAAAATAGCACATGTTGAGTGTCTACTAAATATGTTATTCACACTTATTTCATTTTATTTACCTAAAAATTTCCCTATATTATCAAGAGGTTGGAGGCTCCAAAGGCCAGAGGGACTCTAAGAGGAACACAGCTGGCCTGCAGCAGAAACGGGGTTGACACTCACATCTGCATGATTCCAAGGGCCCCTGCTGCCCCAGGCTCTGCTCCTTCCTCCAATGCTTCCTGGGAATCTGGGTAGTCTTTCATTTTACTAAAATGAAATTCCTAAAGTTCTCCTTTAAAATGAAAGTTTTTTATCTCCATTCACAAAAAGAAAAAAAAAAAGAAAGAAAACATCCTCTGACCAATGGAAAAAATAATCCATTGCTTTGCTTGCTGGCAAAGGGCCCAATCGTGTGGGCCAGGCTGTGAAAGAGAGGGAGAAAGATTCTCATGGAAAGCAACCACTCCACCCACTCATATTTGTGTTTTTCTGAGGTTAGCCCAGGGCCCCCACCACTGACCAGCACATCACTTTGGTGACTGTTCCCACCATCAGCACCCAGATAGCACAGAGGGCTGAGGCATTCGAATCTTATCACCCCTATTAAAAGATAAAACCTAAAATTCAACCCTTATCAATATAAGCTTCATGCACTCCATTCAGCGCTTACAAGGAAAGCATACAATATGTTTCTGATTGTGGCTCAAGTCAGACCCAGGCAGCCTTTGCCTTGCCAGTGCGGCCTTGAAAAAGGTAATTAAAAACAGAGTAGTCTGCTTTGTTTTGATATTGGCCAGACCTTCTCTTTAGGAAATATATGGTAATAAAATGGATGAAATGAGGGGTAAAAAGAATGAAATCAACATCCTTTAGCAAAGTCACCCAAATGCTTTGTGAAGATCCATGTTTCTTCCTCGTGGGCTGTTCACAGTTAATTTGTGATCCCATCTTCATCTCACTCATCCGCCCATTCACTCATTCAATGTGTGTGAATGCCCTCCATAAATTTGTACTGTGCTAGTCACTGAAGTACAGAGCTGAATAAAACAAGACTGCTTCTCTCAAGGAGAGGAGAGGATAAAGGATATAAACAAATAATTATTTTGGAAAGGATCTTAGTCTACCTCTCCAGCTTTTACTAACACCATGATGAACTCTGCCCCCCACTACAGTTTCACGCTGCGTTTCACACTATGTTCTGCAAGCACCTGATGACTTGAAGCCTCACAAAGGCATCATCCTTTGCCTTCAAGATGTGGCCTCTGTTTCTCCTTTCACTACTGGTGTGCTACCCTGCCCTCTCTTCCCAGTTAATTCTTACTCATCCTTCTAGGCTCAGCTCAGGTGTCAGTTTATCCAAAAGGTAACAATGATGTCTCCTCCCCATAGGTTATGTGTCCCTCCCATCAGCTCCCAAAGAATGTCTCAGATTTTCCCAACACACCCTTCACACACTTAACATTGTAATTATCTGGATATTTTTCTTTCTCGTTTACTATATTGAGAAGGCTAAGAGGGAATGGAGTCACGTTACAATTGTTTTGGAGCCTAGCTCAATGCACAACGTACAAGTGCTCAAGAAATGTGGAAAGAAGAAATTAACTGTTTTTGTATAAAGGAGGGAGAGGTCAATTCTGGAGTAGGGAATCAGAGAGGGCTTCACAGAAACTATTGAATTGAATCTTGAAGAATTAACGTAAATTCACCAGATGGACAAGTTTCAGAAAAAAACTTTCCAGGAAAAACAAACAGTACATACAAAACCAAAAAGAAAGAAAACAAACATTCAAAGAAATGTAAGTATTTAACATGTCTGGGGTATAAATTGCGATGATTAAAATTTGGCTATGATTAAGAAGTTCACCCTCACCAATGTGAATGGGCATCATCCAATCCACTGAAGGTCCAAGTAGAACAAAGAGACAGAGGGAGGGTAAATTCTTTCTCTTTTTTAGAGCTAGGACATCCAACTCTTCCTACCCTAGGATATCAGAGCTTCAGGTTCCTGGGCCTTTAGAATCCAGGACTTAACACTGGTGCCCACCCCCCTTCCAGCACTACTTCTACCCCCAGCCTCATTGCCACCCTGGGTTCTCAGGTCTTTGGACTCAGTCTAAATTACACCACTGGCTTTCCTCATTCTCAAGTTTGCAGATGAAATATCATGGGACTTCCTGGCTTCCATAATCACATGAGACAATTGCCCTAATAAATCACCTCTTATATATTTATATATAGCCCCTTGGTTCTGTTTCTCTGCAGAACACTGACTAATACATAGATTATCAAGTGGTAAAGTAGCAAGAGATGAGGTTGGAGAAATACACATGGAGTAAACCATGGAAGGGGTAATACATTTGCATCGTATCCTATAGGCGTGTAATAGAGAATATAATCCTTACCGTTTCCCTCGCCAGCATATGCACAAGAGATAATTCTAATAGTGTGCTAACACAACACAACATGAAAAGCAAATCTACTGTACAGAAAATAATCTATATTTTGAAACTAAATAGGTACAACTTTGAAGTATTCACTAGTTTTGATGATCTACTCAATTTCAGCAACACAGGGGATAATGGGACTTATTTAGGGAAAAAAAAATTGTTTAAGCTCCACCTGAATTAGGTCGTCAGACCCTGAGGTCCAGGCATGCATGTTTTGAAAAAAATCTTCACAAGTAATTTCAGTATGCACACACACACACTAACACACACACACACACACACACACACTACTCAAACAAACTGGGCTTAGGGGAACACATGCTCTCTAAATCCATTGTCCTGTCATTTGTCTTCACTGATGTGTTAGTTCTTTAAAATGCCTGGTTTCGAACTTTGCAAAATGATGCATTTTTCCCTGGCTTACTCTTCGTTCTCAAACTAGGTTTTAACACAACCCATTTGATATAGAAAGAAGCTGTCTGAGACAGACTGCCAAGGTCAGAGCAAACAAATGTAATCCTGAGAACCGAAAGATGGATGCATGTTCAAGGGAGATGTGATTCTCCTTCTCTTGTTTGTGAAGAGCCATTAGACAAATAAACCGTTGGGACAAGTCTAGAGGTGTTGGACCAGGCGCACTCTGCTAGTGTGATGATCAATGACGGACACCAGCCAGCTGTCAGCAGAGGCTGCAGACCAGAGGGAAGGGCTGATCCTCACTCCTTCCTCAGCAGGGACCACCAGCCTCTTGCATAGTCAGGGACTCAGCAAATCAAGTTTTCCTCCATAGGTTAAAGCTAAACTTTAAACATATCTTCCATTGTTGATTGTTCACTCAGTCCCAGGATTAGGAGCGTCCAATATACTTGCAGTATTCTATAGTTCTGAACTCTAATCAAGATAAATAACTGTATGGTTATGAGTAGTGACAGGAACCATCAGGGAAATGCAAATCAAAATCGAAACGAGATACCACCTAACACCCACAAGGATGACTGGAATCAAAAATATAGACAATAACCAGTGTTGGGGAGGATATGAGAAAATTAGGACCCTGATACATCCTAGTGAGAATATAAGATGGTACAGCTGCTTTGAAAAGTCTAGAAGTTCCTTAGAAGTTTAAACATAGTTACCAAATGACCCAGCAATTCCATGGAGGTAGATACCTAAAAGAAACGAAAACATATGTCCACACAAAAACTTGTAAAAGAATGTTGACAGCAGCTCTGTTCATAATAACCAAAAAGTGGAAACAACTCAAAGGTTCATCAACTGATGAATGGACACAGCTTGTGTGGTACAGAAATATATATATATATATATATATATATATATAATATTGTATATCTATTTATTATGTATTGTATATATCTATGTGTATATATAATCATTTGCACATAACATTTCAGTCAATGACCAACCGCAGTGCTCCCATAAGATGATAATACTGTATTTTTACTGTACCTTTTCTCTGTTTAGATACACAAATACTTTCCATTGTGTTACAATTGCCTACAGTATTCAGTACAGTCACATGCTGTACATGTCTGTACCCTAGGAGCCATAGGCTATACCATATAGTTTAGGTGTGTAGTAGGCTGTACCACCTAGAGTTGTGTAAGTACACTCTAGGATGTTTGCATACTATAATATTGCCTAATGACACATTTTTCAGAATGTATCCCTGTTTTTTTGTTGGTGGTGGTGGTGGTTTTTTTTTTTTTTTTTTTTTTTTTTTTTTTTTTTTTTTGAGACAGAGTTTTGCTCTTGTTGCCCAGGCTGGACTGCAGTGTTGCGATCTCAGCTCACTGCAACCTCCACCTCCCGGATTCAAGCGATTCTCCTGCCTCAGCCTCCCAAGTAGCTGCAATTACAGGCATGCGCCACCACCCCCAGCTAATTTTGTATTTTTAGTAGAGACAGGGTTTCTCCACATTGGTCAGACTGGTCTCGAACTCCTGACCTCAGGTGATCTGCTCACCTCGGCCTCCCAAAGTGCTGGGATTACAGACATGAGCCACTGTGCCCAGCCAAATGTATTCCTGTTTTTAAGTGATGCATGACTACTGTATATGTGGAGGTGGGGAGACAGAAACAGAGACAGAGAGAGAGAGAGAGAGAGAAATACTGAGACCTAGAAAGCTTGAATAACTCATTTCAAGTCAAGAGCAACTTAATGGTAAACTTGGATCAAAACACAAAACACTATTCTTTTTAGTCCTGTATTGTTTCCACTATATCACAATACAGTGTTCAATAGTTCTCTTTAAATCACATACCAGGAGCTAAATTTACTGAAGTATTACAAAACCACCAAATGAGCTTTCACAGGAGACCTAAAAGAGGAAATTAAAGATGCAAATAGTTTAAGAAAAATCTGTGTTTGATTCAGAAACTTAAAACCAGTTTCTTCAAAAACTTGTTAAAAGAGAAAGAAACAGGCATTTTTACCCAAAGAAAGAAATACCATATTCTAGAGATTCACTAAATAATTTTTATGATTCTCTATGCTACTTTCAAGAAACTCTGACTTCAGTTATGTAGACTAAGGTGACAAGAACCATTTATGTAATCAACTGTAATTACATGAAATTCTCTCTTTAGCACATGGTACCCACTGAATGTGGCACAAAAGAGGATATGATCAGTTGATTCAGGATGATGTCATTTCCATGATTCTAAACCAAGAATCTTCAAGAAAGCCTGGGCTGCAAGTTCCAGGGTCAAATTGCAGACTGCTTGCAGAGAGTGGCTCTGCTATTCCAAGAACCTCAGATGGCTCACTGGAGTGATCTGCTTTAGATAGTGTGATCATATGTCTTGAAATTTCCATGACAGTCTTGTTTATACATGTTGCTCCAGAATATTTATTATAGTGCTCTCTTTCACAATCAGAGGTGTTCCGCTTTGAATGGTGAGTTATAAAATAGTTACCCTAGCCATGTGGAGTGTGCTCGCTCACTTAACATTCAACATGCAGTAAGCCACTTTCACACATGGCCCTGTGCTCACGACTTAATAGAGGTTATTAGGCAAACCCAGCTTCACTCTGCTAAAGGTATTTTATTTTAAAATTACTCAAAGCCTGTCTGAATTCCACCCTAACTCCATAACAGACATTGGGTGCCTTCAGGAAATTACTTAGCTTCCCTCTGGTTTATTCATGTTTACTATGAAATGGGAATAATTGCATCAGTCTTACCACACCAGGTAATAAATAATGGTCGAGGAAGTAATTAGGCTTAGAAGCTGGATAGAAACTAAGATGCCTAAGTACTAATTAGGAATACAGCTGAGTAGATTGTGGTTGATGGCCGTCCAAATGAATATGTCACCTCTAATTTCTGCCTTGTTTCTTGTCTTATTTTAATTGTATCTATCTTCTAAGTGTCTTATCTTTACAAAGTACCAATCCTGAACCAACGAGGTTAGATGCTTAATTTTTCTCGTGTTTTGCTGGGCATTTGCTGGCTCTAACAGCAAAGGGGCATTAACCTAACCAAAAATAAAATGGTTTCATATCATTATAAAAATTATTCTGTCAGTGTGAAATGCCATAACAAAAAAGCTTGTATATGTTGATGTCATATATATATATTTATATTTATGTATTCATTTATTCTTATTTTACATATATAGTTATTTGTGGATAAGCAGTTTTGGTGAAGAATAGCTAGTATGTTTTTGAGTAGTGTCAAGGCCTATACTTTTGAGCTATTTTCTAACTCCAAACAGATCTAGAATCAATTAACCTTTACCAAGGGCCTGCTATATTTCAGGGTCTGGACTGAACAGACGATTATGTCATTGAATCTTCATTGAATTCCTGCATAATGGATATTCTGATTCTCATTTTGCAGGTGAGTTACCTAAAATTTAGAAAGAAAAAAGTAATTTACTCAAAGTCACATAAGTAATAAAGGAAATAAAATTAAAACTCGTCTTCTAACTTCAAAACTAGTTCCCTGTGCAACTACAGTATATGCCAACAGGCATGGTTGCTGAGAGAAGCAACTGAGGTGAAGAGGTAGCCACCAGATGGACCATGCATATTTTTCATATTAAAATGATTAAATCTCTTGCAACGAGAATGGCCTATAAATAATAAGAAGCTTTTTCTCCATGTACTACTCTATTTGCAGATCCTTAGAAGTCCGGATTCTATTTTTAATTCTTTATGTTTTTCTGGTTACAGAATTCCTATATAATTAAAATGAGAAAAGCAAGGAAAAAAGGAAACTATTCCTTGGAATTTCTTTCATGCTCTGTTCCCAGCCTGTGTGTGTATTTTTTAGTGTGTTTTTAAAAGGTTGCATTGACTCAGCAACAGGATAGCCAGCTACGTGACAGTTCATCTCTGGTTTCTATTACCCGTGATGAATGCCAGGGATCGTGTTTATACTCTTGAGTCTATACACCAGTTATGGTCTTAGGGAATTTGGTTGCGGCTCTGATTAAAAAAAAAAAAAAAAAAAAGTGTGGGGGTGAGGGGTTTGGACAGGAGGCCAAGAAGCTAAGCAGGGAGCTGCAGGCATTTCACAAGCTGTTGGGGTGCAGGGTGATGGGCCCATGAAAGAGTGACTCCCTAGTCCTGGATTCTGAGTGCAAAGTATAGCCTTCTCTGTTCTTGATGCTACCAGACTGTATTCAGGAACACTTAAGAGAAATGATGGAAGTCAGAGCTGAAAGCTGTGTCCTCGCCAGATCAGTGGAAGGGCACGACAATCATTCAGCTAACGAAGGAAACTCCTTGGCTAGCCATGAGTTCATTATAACCAAAAGTGGGAGTGGGCAGGATGGGGTGTTGAGGGATACATGAATTGTTGAGCAACTGCTTTGGAAGGGCACCAAACTTCATGTTTGTTCCCTTGCACACTTGTCCTTTCCATAATTCATAGAATAATTCTATCTAAAGGTTAATATAGACCTTGAAGTTCTCCTAGCCCAGCCCCCACTTCACGTTTGAATGTTTTCTATCACATCTCACCAAACATCATGCCTGGGTAAGTCCAGGAATAAATAACTCATTGCTTCCTGAGCCATCCCAGCTCATTTTGAGGCAACTCTAACTATTTGAAAAACCATCATTCATTTATTCAATAAATATTTATTAAATGCCAACTAAGTGCCCAAGCCTGGTTTTAGATGATAGAAAAAAAAAGTAAACAAACAAGCACCCCGCACGCCCCCACCAAAAAAATCCCTACTTTCATGAAGTTTGCTTTTCTTACACTAAGCCAAGCTAAAAGTTGATCTTACCTAACCTTCTTCCTCACTGAGCTACTTACAACCCTCTAGGTCCTCTCATTAGGCATGGGAAAAGTGCTTAGTTCTTCTCCCATGTAAATATTTAAAGACACTGGTAGTACCCCGTTTGGCCTTGTCTTTTTAGTTCCTACATTTATCCATAGTTACATGTTTTCAAGGCTCTTCACTACACCGGCTCCAAATTTCTGGGCTTGTTCTGCTTCGTTGTTCTTCCTTTTCAAGTGCAATCCTCAGAAGTTAATCAGCTACTCCAGATGAGTTCTGACCAGCACAGAATATAGCAGCGGCATCATTACCTTGTTCTAGTTCTCGGATGTCCATTAATACAATCTGAGTTTAAGTTGCCATTTTTGATTTCACAAATCACTGCTGATGCACATGAAACTCAGCTAATTTTTTCAACCCTGTTATTATGTAAGATACTTACTTAGATTGGAAATAGGTCCACAGCAACCAGCAACAACCACACTGCTCATGAGATTCTCCTGAAAAACAAGCTCAGCCTCCCTCAAAGAGAGCTACGGGACATTTTCAGCCAGCCTGAAGACCACAAGTGTGCCTGGTGCCAGCCAGAATTGTCTTCCATTGAGAGAATTTGCAGATTCTAGTAAATCTCAAGTCTAAACCTCAGCTAAATTATTTAGAAACAATGAGCAAGGGCAGCTCTAACTTGGCCCAATATCTGCAATAATAAAAGTTAATACATTTTGAGCACTGCATACATTATCTAATTTAATCTTCACAACATCCTTTTGAGGTGGGTACTAATTTTACCAGGACCTTGATTTTGGGATGAGAAAATGAAAGCTTATTGAGATTAATCCCTTGCCCAAACTTAGACAGATTTTAAGGGCAAGTAGGACTCAAATATAGATGAGTGGACTCCAAAGCCCATGTACCTAACCACTCTAATCACCAGACTTCTCATTTTCATTGCTAACCTGTCAAGCAATGTTGCTTGAGAGGGAAGGAGATGCATTCCCCCAACACATTATTCTTTCTAAATTTTTTAAGAAATGTTAATAATCAAGCTTAGAAACAAGCAAAAAAAAATGACTCCACAGACATATTAGCTTGGGAGGGATCAAGTTGGTTTCTCCCACAGGTTCTGAGAAGCAGGGAGGCTATCTGGGATCCTCTCATAAAAAATCCTTCTGATTCTGATTCTGATGTCCACCTCACAAGTCAAATGGGGAACTGAGCTTGACAACAAATAGCCGCTTTCTTATTTCTACTCCTTTCCCATAATTTTCAACAGGAGATGACTATGTTTTATCTAATGATCTGACTCTGTGGAGTGGTCTCTAGGTTGCACCCCCCCCCCCCCCGAGTGTGAGCTAATGGAAATGTTTTGGAGACCACTGATCCAACTTGCTCTAGAGTTAGGGCTGGCCCCCTCCATCCAAAACACTCAAGGGCCCTGATATCTTAGTCTGCTCAGTACAAAGCCACACAATCTGACTCTACCCTGCCCAGGCAATAGTGCAGTCCTAAACACTGTCCTCTGACTTCAGGTAGCTCATGTACCAGGGAGAGACCTTTCAAAGACCGGTGAGAATACCCAACTGACCAGTGATTAAGAAAGGGAAATTTCAGATTCTTGCACAGTGAATACACAGTTGAGCCAAGTACAGAATTTTGATTTTCTCCTCTCTGCTTATGGATAATTCATTCTTTTATTTCTTCATCTATATGTGAAAATTTGTTTTCCTTATATTTTCTGTGTTGCTTCTATTCCTATCAGGCTTTCCTGTACACACTGTGTAACTCCAACAGAAACAACCTGAACTCCTAAGGATACAATTGAAACTATTAGTTTGCTATAACTTTTCTATTTGATTTACCAAGATACTCTCCCTATAGCCAAAATAATTATATAGCAATCTATGTTGTAGCAAAAGGAAATAAACAACGGTGTTTCTTAAACACTTACATAGAGAGTTTAGATGTATTTTTTAACCTTCTTTTCTCTTTTTCATCTAATTTAAGGTGAGATTCCAGGATCTTTCTCATGAAAGATCCCCAGAGAATGTGCCTGCTAAACTTGATAGAGTCACAAAGCTAGGTTACAAAAGAGAGCAAATTAAATTTAGACCCAAAAGTGTTGATACCACATATACTGACGCATTTCTTCAACAGTTTTCCTTTGTTTATTTATTCAGGGCACTAGAGAAGGTGCTCTAATCTTTTAATAACAGACTCAATCTGCCATTGTCAAAATTATCAACAAAAATAATAAAATGGGTTAAATACAACCACAAAAATTCACTGTGAGAACCAACATTTCTTTCTACTTGAAAATTCCTTCAATTTAGGTGGTAAAAAATTATCTGGATATCTAGAAAGGTACAACTTTAAGTCACCTTTCAGAGTACTAATCCCAGAGTAGTATTTTATTTTAAGGGAAAGAACCTCACAGGGGACAAGAACGCCACAGGGAATTCACTGCAGACTCCAAAATCTGCCAGTTCCTGGAAGGATGGGTTAGTCCCAGCAGTACTGCAGATGATCTAAGAGCATCCCCGCCTTAGGGGAGCTGAGAGGGTGGCATTGACAGCTTCAGTGGAGTCAAGATGGTCCACAAAGGTACAGTCAATGGTGACAGCAGTGAAGAGTGGTTCAGTTGAGCCATTCACATGTAGCTTTTCAGTCTGAATGTAGACAGCTTTTGACTCTTAACCCATGGGATGCAAGTTCCCTGCAGGATGAGGATGAAAAGATACTGGGGAAATAAAAGGCCATGTGATAAGCATCATGAGAAAGGACAAAGCATGTGCTGAAAGGCTTTCAAAGCCACTTCTGATGAAAGTGATCGGGAAGAAGTAGCATTGGAAATGGATGTTGAAAGATAGGTTTGATTTCAACATAGGGTATGGGGGAGGGGGTCACTCTATACAGAAAGTGAGTAAAGTTGGGGAGTGCAAGAATGTTCACAGCACCTACAATTTGTCCAAATGGTTGAAAAACATGCAGAGAATGAGTTGATGTAAGAAAATGACCAGACCAAGGAAAGAATCACTTGGCATATAATGTTAATTTTTTGAAATTTTATTTAATATATAGGATTTGTAAAGATCTTTCTGTAGCAATTTTTTAAGGTCTTCCTTCCTTCCCCCTTTTATACCTCCCTTTAGGCTATAAGTTGCTGAAATAAAGGGAAATATGTTTTTATCTTTTATACCTTCCTAAGCCTCTAGAATAAAGTTTGGTTTGAAAAAGTCAGTAAAATCCAGCAAGCACAGGTACCAACATTATAAAGATGATTCATACATGGTTCCAGGCTTCCCAACTAGTGGAAGAGGCAGAGCTAGAAACAGATGAGTTCAATGTCATCTTTTAAAATGATGGTTATTCATAGGATGCTTGGAAATGCAGAGGGGCACTAAATATTTATGCTCAATAAATAGTTGTGGCCTCGCTGTGTGGGAGTGTTTGGAGATCTAAAGGTAGCATGAGATGTACAAATGTGGAGTTTAGTTTTAAAGAGACCACCAAGAATTGCTTCATTTATGAGTGGCCCTGGCCCTGCCACTGATTAGCTCCATGAACTTGAGCAAGTAATCCTTCTCAGAATGTTTCTTTTGTTGATAAAGTTAGGAGTTGCATGATAATGATGTCTAAGTTTAAATTTTGAAAAGCTTGAATTTTATGCCAGATGGCTTTATTATTTCCCTGGTTCCAGATCCCTTTCCCTCTTGCCTTTCACGCCCTGTGCCCTAGGGCTGTATGGTGTGTACCCCTATAATTCTCCCAGCCTGCAGGGCAAAATGTAAAAACTTCAAGCCTCTTTTTCAGCAGACAGAAGGGAGGGTCAGGGCAGGATCTCGGTAGGTTTTGTCCAAGCAGTCGGCTCACTCTTAAGCTGGCCTGAGGCAGCAGCACCTCCTTACGCTCATGTGCAGAGATCCAGCCCTCCCAGTGCCCCGCTTTGAGTCCCAGGGCTTTTCTCAGCCCTTGCAGCCAGCTGAGCCACTTCTACCACTCCCACCAGCTTATAAGAGAAAGAGACTTCTTCTGTGCTATGTCTAATATTATCAGGTCCATTTTGAAAATGAGACTAACATAGCCACAGCTCCTCCCTCCAAGGGAGACTCTCATAGCACTATTCAAATTGCATGATGAATCAAGCCCTGCTGAACTGCATTCGTAAATCAACCGGACAATGCTTAGAACTTCAGGAGGAAATATGGAATTAGATGTGGGAGCTCTAAAAATCACCTCACAAGACAGAAAGGGAAAGAGAAGAACCAGAAGGAAGACTCAGAAAAGAGTTAGACTTGAGCTGGCAAGAGAAGCACAGAAACGCTTCTTCTCAGAGCCTAGTTATTGTTGGCAAGCACCAGAGCTCTGCTGCAAGGACCTCCCATGGTGTCCAGCAGAAAGAAAAAATCAAAAAAGATGGGAGCACTCGGGTGTTTTCATTTTAATTAGGGTTATTTATAGGGTAAAGATTGCTGTGTTTACATGGGTGCATTTTCTTTCTCAATGGTCATAGTCAGCTTTTTTTTTTGTTTTCTCATTATAGAAACAGAGAAGCAACCTAGCTGCTTCTGGTTAGGACCCATCTGAGATTCCAGAAACCTCTGCTGAGTCAGGTGGAGATTGAGCTGAGTCTTAAGAAGCAAGAGTTCTGAGACTCTGCCACTTCTGCCCCAGGGAAGATGCAAACTGCTGACCTGCCCAGGATGGATGTCCCTGGGAAGGAAGTCTCTGGTGTCAGTCTGGAATGCCAGCCAGGAATTTGGGCAACAAGGAGAAGCAATTGCAAATAGTCTCTCAATGTGGAAGCTGAGAAGTCTGAGTCTGAAACAACACGAGGAGTAAAGCCCCCATGTCTCCCCCTCAGCTCCTCCAGGGTTTGGAAAGAGGAAGGAAGGACCCCTGAGTGTTTCGCTGTTTATTACGAAGAGGACTAAGTAAAGGATAAGGAGATGTAAATGCCAGTCCCAACTCTACTGTAAGCAGGAGCCCTGGGCAAGTCACTTTCCTTCTCATTCTATAAAAAAATGGGCTTCTATGGACCTCAGTTTCTCTTCTATAAAATGAAGAGGCTTGGACTCAGTGGTCTCTAGGAGTCTTTGCTGTTTGATTTTATGAATCAGGGAGTTCTATAAGAAGAGGTCAGAGCTGCCTCACTTACTATTTCTTCAAAGCATCTTTGGCCAAGGCATTGGATTTCTCAGCAGGCTTTTGCCCAACAGCCAGTGGACTGGTGCCTACTTCTGAGCAAAGGGCTAGGGAAAGCAATGGTAGCTGCTCAAATCTACAGGAGTATTTTCCATACATTAATATGGAAAAGCATGTGTCATGGACTGGGCCCTGAGGAACACCTCAGCCTGGTAATTGACAGGAATAATTATTTTTTTCCACTGCAGAGAGAAGTTCATGTGCCTTGAAAGTTAAGGAAGGTAAAAAACACACTTACCCAATAAGCAGACACTCAAATATATGAGCATAATCAGCAAGGTTTGATGTAGACGGGCAAAAAAACAAAAGAAAAGAATGAGCAGTTGGGGCCCTCCACTCCACAAAAGAAAGCCCCTGAGGGTCCCCCATTTTCTCACCAAGTCCCTTATCCTCTCCACACCCCAACTCTGACTGCCTTGTCCATTAAACAGCCTCGAAATACTCCTTGTGTTTGCCTTGGGTAGTGGCGGAAAAAATAAAGAAGAGAGATAAGGGATCAGAAGGAACAGATCTTGAGAAATTTATGAATAATTAATAAGAATTGAGAGAAGAAAGAGAGTGAAAAAAAATTTCCATGGGAAGAATTCCTCTACCTGGACAGGACAGGAAAGGTAATCTTGTGCCTTACCGAGAACCCCAAAGTAGACTGAGCTTGTCCGTAGCCCTTGCCCCCTCTCACCATGTCTTACCCCAGCCATTCTTCCTTCTCCCATAACCTTTCATTCACATCTCCCCATTCCATTTCTTAGCAACCATGTTAGCAAGTGACTAGTGTCCTCCCCATATCCTTACACAGATGTGAGCAGTTCATACTGTCACACTAACTGCAGACTTCATTCTGCCTGTCTCTTTCAATCTATTTAGAAGGGAAAGACAAAAAGAATGGTGAGAAACTACTATTCTGTGACCCAGCAACTGGCCAGAAGTTTCAGATTTGGAGCAAGGCTGAGAAGAGGTTGAAGAAAGATTAGCAACGCTATAATTAGCTGATGGGTACTGTTGTATACACCCTTACTTATAGCAAAGAGAGCTCTCCATGATTCATTGTGTTATTTCTAGGCATTTGGCTCATACCAGCCAGTTTGCTTCAAGATTTTCTCAAATCTTTTGTGGTTCCCATATGCTGAGAAAGCCATTCTTTAGGAGCAGAGATGTTATCTATTCCTCAAGTTGTGCAATCATCAGTTTGCAAAGCCAAAGCCCATTGCTGCCTTGCCAGATTTCATCTGACCCCAAACAATTAAGGGACTAGTATTGGTCATTTGCATGGCATTTTGAATCCCAAAAGAAATATGAAAAAAATCATTTATCCTTGAAAGGTTGACTGAAACAATCTTGCAGCAATTTTTCAGCTCAGCCCACAGAATGTTTACAAATCTCTTCTGACACTAGGCATAGTCCAGCAATGATATATCTGATAGAAATTGCCCAAAGGAGTTCAATACTAAAGCTCTGAAATTGAACCCAAATTTAAAAACACCACAGCCTGATTTCCTTTCAGTCCAGCCTAATATTTTTCTAGCTTTTCTTCTACTAACCAACTTTGAAACAGCTGGCCTGATGCTAGAATAGGTCCTGTATTTAGTTCACAAGTTGGAGGAGGGGTAGTGTTACCCCAAGAAGCAAAGAGACTCCTGTTTTTAAGGCAAGGCCCTCCTTGCACACAACACTAAATCTGGCCCACTGACCATCTAGATTTCCCTTTTAGAAATATTCTGAACTGGAGACCCTTGCAGACACAAGCCCAAGGACCAAGGGTCATCTTTACCTTTTTTTCTGTGTGGATCAGTACTAAGAAAGCTCTCAAGTGTGCCTTGCTACATTTTTGTTCTTAAGACTTCTACTTATATTTTATACACTTTTTATTGTCAGGAAGCTAGGGGCTTCATTCAACATCTCCCTATTCCTAAGATGGAGGTCTATCTATTAATATACATTCTTCCTCTTTTTTTCTTAGTCCAAGACTTTGTATATTTCTGAATCAGCAGTTGTACACATCTGGCACAAACAAGACAATTTTTTAATTTGTCACTTCCTAGTTTTCTGAAAGATGACAGATTCTGTCAATTTCAGCAATCCCCCTCCTAATTTTTTCTGCCATTGTTCCAGAAAAGAAAAGCTTAGAAAAATATTGTCAAATCACTTTTGCTAATCCTCCTGTAGTAAGAGGATTCACTCCATGATTTAATATCTTCTCAGCTTGGCTCTGTAACACTTCTTTCGGATTCTTCTGCTTCTGTTAGAAAGGAGGCTTTGATTTCATCTCAATGTTGCTAGGATGAAGACGTTTGCTAGCCATTAGCTTTCTCATTGCAGCATCAGTAGCACACATTCTTGATTTGTCCCCTGACGTCCATAGTAGCTTTTGATCTCTTAATAATCTAGAGAGTGGTGAAGTGAAGGTGGCAGCAATTGGAAGAGAACTTCCAGCTGATATTTCTGTTGCCCTTCTGCTCTTTCAGATTTTTCTGTCTTCTGGAATATCTTGATCTCCAGGAAGAATGGAGCCAAACACTCACCTTATGATTCAGCCCTCACGCCTCATGTTTTGTGAAATTATATCTGTGCTGAGACATTGCACACTCATTCCGTTTTCCTTAGCATTGATATTATAATACTATTGCTTCAATCTTGGCCTCCTTCCAACCACTGGGAGACAGAGAAGTTGCATGAAGGATATGTGAGGCTATGTTAAACCAGAATGATGATAACACTGCTTCTCCACACATAAGTCATACCCATTCCCACTACCACTAACTCAAATATCTCTGGTGAGCAGGATAATTTCTAATGCTCAGCTAAATGGCCCTTTATTTCAAGAAGTAGAGAGATCTACATTCAAGGACACTTTTTTAAATGGGCAGATCTTGAGATTGTAATGGAATATTTTCTGTGGATATTATTGTCACCCAGGTGAACTTCCTTCAATTTTTATTTTTACATAATCCCTTCTCTACCATCCCTTGATCCTTTTGGCTAGATTTAAATGAAGAATAAAGGCTGTACTAGAACCTACAAGTCCAGATATATAACCTGGCACCTGTCTATATCTCCAATCTCCTCTTCTATCCGTCTCCCTCTCTTAATCAGTTTTTGATAATGGTGGCCTGATGTTCTTTCCTACCACAGTCCCCAGCAATCTTCACACACACACTGTTTCTTCAGCCTGGGATTCTCTTCACCATCTCTAAAATGTAAGCAGCTCCTACACATCCTTCACTTACAGAGACACCGTATCTTCCACACAGACACTCCTCGGTCATCTCCAGACTAACTCGCTGCTAGTGAGCAACTGCAACTTATGTTCCCATGTATCCATTCAATCTTCTCTTAATAAGCATATTCCCTCATTTCTGGGGGACTCTCTGTCCCTCGCTCTTGAACCACATCTCATTTTGGTGAGGCTCCACATGGCACAGGCTTATGCCAAATGGTGGTTGGTATGAAGATGGGTTCATTACACAATCATACTTTTTCTGAGGATGTTGGAATCAACATCTCACTTTTTCCTACTGTCTTGGAGCTGGGATGTGAGCTGTAATGCCGCTGTAGCTGGAACCCTCTCAAAATGGCATTAACACAGTAGACGCAGAGCTTTGAAATGGAGAAAGAGAAACCAGATATAAATGGCTATGGAATTACTGTTGCCAGGGAAGCCTGAAGGCTTCAACTTATAAAATTCCTCTTCTTCTTCTTCTTCTTTGTTTTTATTTTCGATTAAAGCAGCTTGACTTGAGTTTTCTCTCATTTTTAAAAGAAAAATTCTCCGTTGCACACTTTGAGCACCCTGAGTCTTCTCACATTTTGGCATTCACGACAAGGGTAAGCATTTGTTCAATTTCTATCTCTTTCATACTAGATTGGAAATTCCATGGAAGTTGGAATCCTATGAGTCTTATATATCACTATTTCTCTCGTTTCTAGTACAATGTGGAGCACATAATGAAATATCAATAAAATATTTCTGAATTTAATGAATGAATGAATGGGAGATTCTGAGATCCCAACCCCTATCAGGCCTTTTGTTCCATGATCCTGATCTGAAAAAAGTGAATCTAGTTCCCAGTGCCTAGACTTGCTGTTCTGTTATGGAAAGATCTCTATTAGGGAGCATTCCCACAGTGTTTTCAGTCCCTCACTCCCTTGAAGAGTAACTTATCTTATGCCTTGGCTCTGTAGCTTGGCAAACTCTTCATGCACCCTAACTCCACCACTGCACAACTCCTATAAAGTCTGAACTTTGATTGGAGGTGATGAGGAGAGGAAGTGTTCATGCAATGTAGAGAATCTCTTGAAAGCCCACATGACCTTTGTAAAGCCTTATTTTTCAAGAGCTTCAGTGGCAATAAAGGCAATTGTTTAATCTTCAACCTGTGGAATCCATTGGCTATCCCTTAGCTGGTTATAAACAAAGGTAGGAAAAAAATGGGATACTACTTATTTTCCTTGTGAAGCCCAACATATGGTTGGAAACATTTAGAAATAGAAAAGGATTGGAATTTGGTAAATTAAATGGCATTTTTACCTCAAGGCTTCCTGTGGGGCCTTGATTATAGGCATGAGGCTATAGATTTTAGCAACTAGGTATTGTGGGATTTTGACCCTATGTCACGGGGTTGGTTCCTATATCTGTGTGGCTGGTTTTTAACTAGTGCACTTGTAAAGGCCTTAGCCTTTAGAAGTAAATCATATGGCATTTTGACTTTTATAAGTCACTAGAGTTAACGGCAACTTTGTTTGCAAATGATAACTTTTTGTAACATTCAGAAATCTAAGCAAATGCCAACTAAATGGGGTGAGGGGCTTAGTAAACCTGTGCAAGCCATGTTATTTCTGGCAAGGATCTGATCAAAGGAAAAGAGTCTTCCTGTTACACACATTTAGGCACTGTGGCAGAACAGGGAGGAGCCGAGGGATATCCAGGAAGGGGTGCCGCAGAAGAGTCGTTTGCTGTTTGAACTGTGTTTCTCAGTCAAGAAAGGAGTTCTCTATTTTAAACTTCAAAGGTAGCTACTTTGCGTTTGTGCTACAGAGCACTGTTATATGTGAGATGCTAGCTTTACACTTTTAAACCAAGAATAGTTAGTCCTTGATTAAGTACCCATAATTTTGTTCATTGTTGATATTATTTTGAACCTCTTTTAGAGCCTGGAGAGGAGGTAGGGAAGAAATAACTTTGAATTCAAGTGGTTTATCCACAGATCCAAGAGTCACCACAGAGTAAATTGCTTTAGTTAATTACGTAAGTTTAGAAAAGGGCCTTGGACTTTAGAGTTCCAAGCTACAGTTTTTCCCATGGAAAAGCAGGAGATTGTTTTAGTAAACGAAGAAGAAAAACTGAGGGTCCTTATTTTAAACATACCATTATCTTAGAATGTTACAGAGAAAAAAAATTGATGAAATTATTATTAACCTGAAGGCCAGAGGCAAAATTTAAATCCTAAAATACTTGCTGTCTAGGAATCAAGGCTGCTCAGAGAAATCTAAGAATGGAGTAGTTTGAGAACAAAGAAACAAACATGTTTCACTCACACAAACAGAACAAGAAGAGCAATAAAGTATTAAGAAAAATTATCCAAAAATAGGGGGAAAAAATCAAAGAAGGGTGGGTGGTGTTTCCTTTCGATATCATGCTGGAGCATTGCTTAATAGGCCCACCCAAGGATTCTTTCATTTTCCTGGGGAATTTGCTTATGTTTGTCATTCCTTTTATAATTTTATTAGAGTGCAGACATTGTAAAGTTTCAGGTTAACTTGCATATTTCAGTCCAGTAGAGAAGATAATCCAAAAGGTTATAGTTTTATTCCCCTGTAGAACATTAACCAATTTAATACCTATTTTACTTATTTTACTTAAATGCCTGTAAAATGTCCAGTTCCTCAAAACTTCCCCCTTTGAGTAGCTTTACCATCTTACTGATTCCCTTATTAACAAATGAATGTATATTTGAGAACTAGTCCATCCATATTTGCATGAGAGTACTGTTTTTAACTTTCTGAAAATTAATCTTTAACTGTTTTGAAGGTCCCACTGACCTACCCGTGGAACTCATCTTCCAGAGCCAGTTCAACTGTGTTGCCTAAAAGTACATCTCACAAATTGTTAAAGTCCTGAAATGTCTTTTTTGGGTTCCTGGAGTGATTCCCAAGTGGCACCTACAACTTCACCTGTCTTGACTTTTTCTGGTCTTTTTCTCCTGATTTTGTATTTTCACTTTTGTTTCTTTACTTGACCAAGTTTGGCTCTGGGTATGATTTATCTGTGGCTGATGTGGTATTCCCCATAGACGGCAACAATGATTGAGAATCTGGTTTTGTCATCTGTCCATTTGGTGATCTCTTGGATAACAAGAATCTAGTCTCTCTAAGGTGAGAAACAGTAGATAATGTGGTTAATTAATTTTTGTTTGTCTTTTTGTCTACCCATGAGCTCAAATAAATATTGTATGTCTTCCAAAAAGGATAACAAATCTTTGAGATCCAGCCCGGTGAGTGTGTTTTTGTGTTTACTTTGACTCATGTCTGAAGTTATAGAACTGAAGCCATGGGCTCTCTGTATATCTGTAAGTGAAGAAAGCCTTTACCTCTCAGTACATAAATGTGAAATATTCTTCTACCTCTGGAGTGTATTAAGAAATTATGTCACAAAGTATTTTAAATTATGTTCTATGTTGTAATTAGCTTAGAGAGAATACGTGCTTAAATGAATCTATTATTTTCCCAGAATTCAGAATATTTTCCTAGAAAATAAACTAAAATTTTAATATTTTAAATATATTTTAAAGACTATACTTTAAGTATTTTTTAAAAGTATAAAAAGCCCTTTTTATAAAAATAATTAGCCCAAAAGCATTTTTATGTAAAAATCCAAGTTTACTGAATCAAGGTGAAATTTTTGTTAGGTCAAACTGGTTTGTTTGGCCATTTTGTTTCAAAATAGCCATATATATAGTTCCCCTGATCTTATTAGTGTATTAAGCGTAAGTATATATTTTAGTTTTATAAGATTTGAGGTGTTTCCTGATAAAGTGACTAGTTATTCTGAACTTCCTAAATTTCTTATATTGACTTACTGATCAAATTAGCTAATATGACTTCTACATAATCATGATTGTGAAAATTGTAAAATTATGTTTTCAACCAAATTGAAATACAATTTTAACAAAGTTTTAACACATTCTATAATGTTTCTGCTTAAAAATAACTTCCAAGATCCTTAGTTAATTTTAAGATGGACTAACATTACACCTAGTTAATTAATGGCTAATTGTTGGATGCCTAGATAATTTCCAAGTAAGATAGAATACTCCAAAATTGATCACCATATACATAGTATATATATATATATATATAGAGAGAGAGAGAGAGAGAGAGAGAGAGAGAGAAAGAGAGAGAGAGAGAAAGAGAGAGAGAGAGAGAGAGAGATTGAGAGAGAGTAAGAAACTATATGTACATAGTTTTTTACTTTTATATGTCATGGAGTGGCTACACCTTTCAGTCATGTTAATGAATATGCTCTTTTTTGCCACTTTAGAAAGGATTTGTGTGGCTATAGGGGATTGTATTGTGTATGTCATATCCTTGCAAGTCTGCTAAAATGCTTGTGTATGAACAGACAATTATCAATCACCTACCTCCCAGGTTTTTCCCGTGAAAGTTGAAGATAGCCAATTTAGTTACAAGTTATAGTAATATGGGTGATTAATACTATGCTAGCAGAGATACTAGTGGGAAGATAAGATTATGTTTGCAAAGTGTACTTTAGTTTATCAAGGAAAACATGATAGTGGTTTTATTCTAAACTGAAGTATCTGATGTTTTCAGAATACAACAAAGGATAGTAAAAGAAAAACTTGGATGACCTGAATGTATTTTTAAAAATTG
Organism: Homo sapiens; assembly: GCF_000001405.40. Lineage (NCBI taxonomy): Eukaryota > Metazoa > Chordata > Mammalia > Primates > Hominidae > Homo > Homo sapiens. Next base: position 128,414,974 of record NC_000011.10, read on the forward strand.
AATGCATTTATAAACTTGTAAAAGTTTTCCAGAAATTCAGTTTTGAGTCTTGTCTAAAATAATTGCAAAATTCCATCTAATAACTGCAATAAAATGTGTTAAATTTTTGACAAAGTTTGTTATTTGTTATTCATAAGGTAACTTTTAAAGAGAGCTTGTGCATCTTTATTGCTCACTATTGTATTAATGAAAAACTAGAATTAGGCTTTCATTCTGTTAAAATTATAATTGATCTTTGTACATTTAGTTTTCTCTCAACAAGAGGTAGAAAATAGTCTTCTTTACTACCTATGTACCCTGTCCAGATACCTATGTGGGAAGAGTTGTTAGATCAAAGAATAATTTTATGTTAGTAAAATGTCATTAATATAAATGTTCACAAATTGTTTGCTTTATGGATTGGAAGTACCTGGAGATTTATAATGTCTTCAGTCTTCATGGTATTTTCTTATCCTCAGGAGAAACATTGATCAAACCTTATGAAATAGTTATGTATTGCCCCCCAGTAGAGAATTTTACATTCCTCCGTTTCGATATTATTGATGACTACAATAAATTAACAACACAGCATGTGGTTAATTTAATCTCACCCACAAATATTTTCTACTTTCCTCTGATGCTGGCTACCTGTTCTGTCTTCAGCAAAGGACAATCTTACAGCCTCATACGAAGACCATGCCATGTACTTTTAATAATTGATATTTCAGGGTGAAGAAATTCCTAAGCATGGGCTTCAGAACTTCAGGTTTACAGAGCTTGGGCAATTGTCAGACTGTACCACTGGCCCGAGTGGGGATTTCCAGGAATGGTTTTAGTTCAAAAGCAGATGATGTCATCAACACAGACTGCTACCCCATATATAGCAGCACAAGAATTAATTACAGGGCAGGATGAATGGATAAAGAAGATTTAGTTACGGTGATTTGGCATATTATTTACTTTTCAATATTCAATACTCTGATAAAAATATGGAAAGACCTTTCTTTTCCCTTTAAAATGTATCTCAAACTTTCAATTTAACCAACTCTGGTTTTGCAAACTAAAATTAAACATTTGTGAATGGTAGCTGATTCTCAATGACCACTCAGAATTTAGAAATGATTTTGATGCTTCATAGGCCATATGGTCTCTGTTGCATCTAGTCAATTCTTATGAATATATCTAAATTTTCAACATACTGGAGAGTATATCTAAATACTAAAGTAGCCATAAATTATATGCAAACGAATGAGCATGATTATGTTTCAATAATACTTTATTTATGAAAACAGGTGATGGGCCTGATTTGACCCAGTGGGCCACAGTTTGTCAACATGTGATCTAAAGCATCCTAAAATTTTTCTATTTGCTACCCTGGGACCTTGATTATTTCAGGGCCAACCTAATTTCCAAGTCCAAGGTATATGAAGCATAAGCTTTCTTTGGAGGACTTTTTAATGGGCCTTTGGATTGGTGAAACCATTTTCTTTTACCTCTGTCTAATTGGATATTTTATCTTCTATGTGGTAGAGGCTAACAGGCACCAGTCATCTTCTACCCAAGTTGGAATTAAGAGAGAAACACCTAAGTTAGACAAGTAGGGATTAAAATGTCAGTTTTATTATAGATAAAATCCATTTCAGAGAATCCAGCTGAGGTTTACAGCTAGTGACTATGCAAGTAATTTATTCTGAATTAAACAGACCTGCTCACCCAATCACAAGCACATCTGGACACAGGCCTCTCCACATGGACCTATGTCGGTAAAAGCTAGAGTGCAAAGCAACAAGGATGTGTTCGCTCTGCAGCAATATCTCAGGAGATGAGGAAGGAAGGTGCTGAATTATGCATCCCCAAGTTTATCTCCCAAATTCTCAATTGGAAAATATTATTCCTTCTTCCCTGGAGAGGTTTGAGTTGGGAGACTAAAAAGCCAGGAGTATTTCTCTGCTACAGACTTATCCATAATGAAATACAAACACAGGGTGGAAAGAAAGGTTTCCCTCCAACACCTAAATAACTTCTTACTCTTTTACTCCCTTGATTAAAATGTTAAATGACCCCTCTTTCCTCAAAAGAAAAAAAAAATCAGTTCTGATATCTTATCCTGGTATTAAACATGCTTCACTCTCTGGCACTAGACTACTACTACCTAGTATGACTCTCCTCTCTGGCCAGGTAAGTCTGTTTATAACCTCTGTAAGATGACACTTAAATTTTGCCTCCTTGCCTTTGCCAAGGCCATTGCTTCCACCTGGAATGCACTCTTTAATTGTTTTACTTGATTCATATCTATCTTTCAGCGCCCAGCTCTAGCCTCTGTGAAGCCTTCCTGGATCACTCTAGTTCTCAAAGCCCTCTCTGCCCTTGAACTACTAAAGTCCTTACTGTCTGTATCTTAGGCATTTGCAGTTGGTGTTGTTAATTTTGCATAATTATATCCTATCTCCAAATTGAGATGTTCAGTTCTTTGAGGATCAGAAACATTTGTTAGGCATCTTTATACCCTCAAAGCAACTAGCACAGTGATTTCACATAATGTAAGGGTTCATATGTTTGCTCATGTGTTATATACCCTTTAAAATAATTTATTAAATAATTATTTAATTACTTATGTTATGTTATAAATATATAACAACAACGACTTCTCACTAATCCAGACTAGCTCCATTAGTAAAAGTTAATGAGGATGTGCTCTATTCAGAATACGTTTCATGTGTTTTTGTGCTGCTGTTGCCTAGAACCATGAAACAGATTTGTAGTTGGTTGTTTCCAGTCCTGAGGAAATGTGGGCTTGCTGAGCTTCTGAACTACATCCTTCTTGTGAGCAGCTTAGATTTCAAGGTTACGTGCTTCCAGAAATAGAAAGGGAGTATTTAGATTCTTTCCTTCCCTGTCAAGAAACTCTGTTGAATCATCTTTTGGCAATAATGCCAAAGTAATTTGTAAGCGTTAGAACATTTGTGCAGACAGCATAAGTTCCTTCAAATAATGCAGTTGCATAAAGCAGTAATGTTAATTAGTCAAAGCAACTTTTTTAAAATCAGTAGTTCTATGCACATGTGACACCACCTTGGTAAAAAGAGCTTTAGAAATTTGAAGAAAATTTTGAGTTGTCCCAATATCGAGAGGGGATGCCACTGTCACTTATTGTGAAATAGCTAGGGATGCTAGATGTCCTGCAACGTGTAAGGCATTCTCATGCAGTGAAAAATTGCCCCACATTCTAACTGGTCTTCAAATGTCCCTCCATACATTTATGTGGATGAAAACTATTTAAACTTATCTGAGCCTAACACTTAATGCCATTTACATATAAACACCTAGGATCTAGTTTTTGTACAGTTTAAATACATGATTTTGTACAGTTTGAATTTTTGCAACTGTTATGTAAATCAAAGAAAGATTACGTTTTGTCTCATATGGAAATTTAACAAGCTTCATTTATCATTGTGAAAAATCATGTTACCAGTGGAAGTACCACTTTTGGTATTTGAATACCCATTGCAATACACCCATCAGATGTGGGACTATCATCTCAAATATTTCCTCCGTAACGGATTTTCCAGAAAAACCTTTTCTCCAGATGTGTTCAAACCCTAGTCTATCCTGCTTCCATAAACACTAAATACAACCTCAATTACACTTATCAACTTGGTTTATAATTTTTGTTTATATATTCATGTCTCAGCTTTTAAACTGAGAACAACTTAAGAGCAAGGACTATGCCCTATTTATTCTTATATCTTTAGAATCTTAGACAGTACCCAATATATAGAAGGTATTTTATAAGTGTTTAGTGAATCCATTCATTCATTCTTGCTTTCATTTTATAAAAAATATTTATTTTGCACTTACTATGTACAAAACACAGTGCTAGATGATAAAAATATTGCAGTGAGCAAATCAGATATGGATATTAATCTTATGGAGCTTAAACTTTAATCAGGAAGAAAAAAAGCATCAGTTACCAATTTTTAGCTTCTATAGAATTATCCTAAATGCCACAATTAATAAGTACAAGATGTCCTTTTCGGGTATGAATGAAGAAATGAGGCCTAGGCTGGAAGAGAAATAGAAAGCGATATTTAAGTGTATCAGGTATCTATTGCTTCATAGTAAGTAGACCTCAAAGTGGCTTAAAATAACAACGATTTAATTATCATTTACAAGTCTGTGGATCAATTAAGAGGTTCTGCTGATCCAACCCCAGCTCTAATCTCAGCTGTGCTTCCTTATGAGTTTATGGTCAGCTGGGAGTTGGCTGGTCTGGGACAGCCTCAGTCAGGATCCTCCAGCAGACTAGCCTGGGCTTTCTGGGTAATGGTGGGGTTCAAAGAGAGTAAGCCCAGGCCTGCAAAGCCTTCTGAGACTCAGAATTGGCACAGTCACCACTCTGCAGCATTTCATTGACCAAGGCAAGTCACAAGGCCAGCCCAGATTCACAGGGTAGGAAAAGAGACTTCACCCCTCGGCCATGGAAGGAGCTGCAAAGTCACATTTTAAAGAGGGTAAGAGTGTAGACACAGGAAGGGGTGGCCATTGTTGTAATCAGCAGCACCAAGTTAAGGCGTAAAGAAGGGATAGGAGTCAACCAAACAGTTAGCTGAAGAGAACTGTGGTCAGCATGTCAAGGCCCTGAGGCAAGAAATAGCATGCAGTCGTCCAGAAGGCTAAGAAAGCCAGAGCGGCAGCATGCTGAGAGTGAGGGGTGAGTTGTACAAAATGAGGCTGGTAAGAAGGAAAGGGTCAGATGTTGCAGAGCCATGTAGTGTGGGCCTTGTTGCGATTTTCATCCTTTATCTGAAGAAATGTTTTAAGCAGGAGAGGGAGATGATTAGTTATTTAAATTTTCTCCAGTGATACCAATGTGCAACCAAGGTTGAAACTCTCTGTGTAAAAGAAAGGCACAACTTAGGAAGTTGTTATTACTTGTTATCCAGGTGAAAGACGACAGTAGCTTGAATGAGTGTAGTTACTTAGTGAATGAATGAATAAATAAAATTAAACTCCAAGGGAGAGATTTAGGATCCACAGGAAGACTGCCTTGTTTCAAATCACAGCTCCAGCACCCACTAGCTGTACTTGCTGGGGAAACCTCAGTACATTCTTTCATCCCTTTGTGCCACAGAGCCTTCTTTCCCAAAACGGAGATAGCAATAATACCTACCTTAGCAGTGCATTATAAAAACTAATGCATTAATGCTCATAGAGCAGTTATCATCATGCCAGGCAAATGATAGGCACTCCATAAACGTTAACTACTGTGATTGTTGTTAAAAGGATGATGTCTGAGGCAGTACAGTATCTCATGCAGAAAAGCTCTCATCCCAAAATGAATCTCTATTCTAATCCCAACTATACCCTGTAGCTCTGACTGTGCTCATGTGGTTGCAATTAAGCCAAAGCCCAAGGTGGGACCAGATACTGTCCATTTCATCTCGGCTTGTCATCCATCCTCCTCAGGTCTGCCTGGTGCTCTGACATCTGGCTTCCACTCATCTGGGGGAGGACAGGGAGAAGCCAGACAGCCATGAATCCTGCTGTCTGCTCACAAATTCGCAGTCTAGGGAGGGCTAGGGGGAGTTGCTGTCAGGGGATATGTGTAGCTCAGTAGCAGAGGCTGATGCCCTTGGGCTGTGCCAGGACTGGGGGTCAACTAAAATCCTTCCGGAGACTGCAGAACCCAGTCGTGGCCTGGCTTTCCCTAAAAACTCCCCAGCGACTAAAGGTGAAACACCTTAGAAGCAAGGAGGGCCATCGGAGCCTGAACCTGAGCTGTTTCCATGTGTGCGTACAGCCTTGTGGGAACAGAGGGAGAGCTCCGTTCTCAAGAAAGGCCATCATACGTAATGAACTGTTTTGACCAAATTACATACTTAAAATATGGCCTAGAACAAAGGCAGAACACTAATGAATCAGAGTGGTGAGGGTCTTTGAGTGGTAGAATTAGAAATGCTTTTACTTTTTTCTTTTTTGCCTTTTTGATAATAAGCATACCATTTTAACAATCAAAACAGTGGAAATTTACAAATGAAACTCTAAGTATGTCAGGGAGTTCCCCTCATTCTTAGCCCGTGAGTTGCTTCTTATAACCCTATAGTTTAATTCCAGAGAAAAAAGGTTTCAAGTAGAGCCAATCTCAGTTTACTTCACTTAGGGAGATTAGACACATACGTGACCCCAGCCAAGCCACCACAAAAACGCCCCCAGCTCTTGCCCCATATCTCCTACACGTCAGCTCTGGCCACTTAAAATTTCTCTTGCCTATTGCTTAGGACAATTGGCCAAGATCTCACTGGTGATGTAAAAGTTGAGTTGAATCTTAGATGAGACACAGAGTGCTACTTACTACATATAAAGTACTTAGCATAGTTCCTGACTAAAGAGAGATTTGAAGAAATGTTATTAGCAGGATTTCAGTCTTTCTCGCCAGAACACACTTGATGTTGACTGAGATCCCTGAGCTCTGGTCCTCTGCCTGATGTGAAACATAAACAAAATTAAAAGGAAGTCAGATAATAAAAACAGACCCTTGCTAGAATGTCCCTTGTTGAAGTCACCTAGGTGCTATTGGTAGATACAAAGTGTTTTATGAGCGATGCTGGTAAGAGCTCTTTTCCAAGTTATCTCCCCAGGCACCTCTGCCTGAAATTGGTGGTGGTTACAAGCAGAGTTTTGAAGAAAGACCTGGGTCTGGACCCTCTCTCCCCTGCTTACAGTTGTGGGATTCCAAAAAAGCTACTGTCTCTGTTTCTTATCTGGCGCTGGGGCAATGACTCCTGCCTTACACAGCCATTGTGTGAATACTAATCCATGATGTCATACCGCACATGCCCAAGAGCAGGCAGGAGGCCCTCTCCCTCACTTCTTCCAGGCTCTGATGGAATGGCAGCTTAGTAACAGCCTTGCTGTAGTCACCCCGTATTCAGCAGAGGCTCTCCTCCAGCCCAACACATATGCACAAAGGCTCTCCCCAGCCTCCTGCCCTGCTTCACCATTCCCCAGTGTCTTTATCTCCACCTGAAGTTTCACATGTACTTGTCTGTCTCTCCGAAGAATTTAAGTGCCACGAGGGCACGGTGGTTTATTCACCTCTTTAATAGTAGCTGGCATGCAGTAGGCACTCTGTAGGCATTTGGAATTAATGAATAAGTAAATACCTGGATTAATTAACTAGTATTTCAAGGGAGAGTGGGATCCTTGGGAAAGAAGGATAGATTACACCACAGTTTGCTATAGAAGGATGCCTAAGATTGGTCTTTGTCAGTTAATTACTCACTGATATAACATTGGCTAGTCAGTTGCTCTTGAGCCTCAGTTTTCCATATCTAAAAAAGAGACAATGTCACTTACCATACTTACCTCAAACAGCTAGATGGAGGATAAATCTCAAACATGGGAATAAGTCTGCTTTGAACACTGTAACTCACCATGTAAAAATGAGAATTTGGATTTTTTTAAGAAACTTAGCAGTTAATTTCCTGGGTAATATCCTAATAGAGAAATGTCCCACGTGGTATGGGACAAAGGAGAATGCCTCATTTGGATCCACATCTGATTTTAAACCTTGCTGCATCAACCTGACCCACCCAACACAACTTCACTCCCTTGGTCCCAGATTGGCAGGCACACAAGCCCTGAGGACAGTATGGCTTCAGGTCTCCCATCCGCCCTGTCAAGCAAGACGCGCAGCTTGGCACAGCCAGCCCTGTAGCCAGCCCAGGCCTCGTAATGGGATACAGAGCTCGTCGCTAGGTGCAGCAGAGTTTGCATCAGGCGTTGTCACTGTCTGGTGGTTGCCTGGTGACCCTAATGGAAAATGAGTGGAGGCAGCCCCTACCACAGAAACCACTCCCTCAGCTGGCAGGCTTGTCGGAAAGCCCAGTGCCATGGGAGGGGGAGGGGCTGCCACAGAGGAGCTGTCACCCAGGCGCCCTGTGTAGGTGGTGGCAGGGACGGGGAGAGAAGGGCGCAGAGCCACAGGAGGGCTCAGCAGTGGTGTCTGCTCTCCCTTCTGCATGAATTGTTGCTCATAAAAGATGGGTGAGCCCAGCACAGTAACTAATGCTTATCCCCAGGCCCAAATTTAGGTAAAAGCACACAAAAAGTCTCATCAGTGGTCAATGCTCCACAGCTCCAAACACAGGAAGGTGCATTCTCAAGCTGTTATGAGAAGCTCACTCAAGCTGATGGTATTGACAGCCACAGCCCCCATGCAGGGAAGGCTGGACCCGACACCTGCCCACGAGAAGCAGCATACCTGGGACTGGAGGGACTTCCTGGCCTATAAGAAGAACACTAAGAGGGGAGGAGGACTCGGGCTGATTGGGAAAACAGATGGTGAGCTCCATCCGTGGGAAAATAAATGACAGCGTGCATTTAAGAGGTTGAGCCCCAGAGCCAAGCCTGCTGAAATGCCAGCTTATCAAAAGCACAGGAGCACTGTGTGCTAGACGCTCTATCATACTCTCTTCCATCCTGGTTTCTCTTAATCCCAAGATAATGTCTGTAGGCATTGGAAAGTCTTGCTTGAGAGACGAAGAAATGTAGGCTCAGAGAGGTTGAACAGTTTGTCTGAGGTCACACAGCTACTCAATCACAGGATTTAACACAGGCTTTTCTGCTTTCAAGTCTAACATTCCTTCTCCTAACATCGTGGGAGAAAGTGATTTTCCACCAGCATACCAACTGTCTTTCTCTCCTCTATTCCCTTTCCCGAATATCTGGCAAGTAACATTCCCCAATTCAATATTATCTTTTTATGATCTTGAGAAATCAAGAATTAAGTTCATTGATTTATTTGTTTGTTTATTCATTTATCCATCCAAAAACCTATTTATTGAGTAGCTACCAATTCCAGGCACCAAGCTAGGTGCTAGGGAGTCCACAGTGAACAGATGTGGTCCCAGTCCTCAAGGAAATTGGAAGATATTTATTTAGCCCTCTAAAAGATAGTTTACAGAATTGTGAAGCAGCTTAGCACAAAAGATATACCAATTACCCACCTTTGTACTGTGTCTCCCCATCACTATTCCTCCTGTGTTTAGAAAGAAACACGATCTCCATTTTATTCCATTCTCCTCTATTCAAATCACTTCCTAAGCAGCATGTCAGTGACATTTCCAATCCTGCTAGTGATTAGTGTCTGTCCAATGAAATGGTGATGAGGTTATAAAAAGTAACAAATAACTAATATTGTGTAAATACTGTGTGTGTCTATATATATATAGACACACATATATATATACATATATATACATATATATATATAGACACACACACATATATATATATATGCCGAAGGTCATTCAATGAATTTGTTACCGTCACTACATAATGGGTTGAGTGCAACGAAGAATGGCTGAGGCTGCAGCTGAGCTCAGTCTCATTCATGAGAGCCTGAGTCCTGGAGGCCCTGCCAGGAGTTGGGCCCTCCCTGTCTGCCTCCAGGCCTCAGTTTGGAGCGGTCCTCAGGTTTCTGGGTGCTTCACTTCATTTGTACTTGGCCGAAGACAGTTTCCTGTTTCTAAGAAAAGACTGCTTGGATGTCTTTTGAGGGCCTTTGGACAGCAAATCCTGCTGGCCTGGGAGGGGCCGAGGGGCAGCACCAGGGGGAAGGGAAGCCACCAGGGAGGGCTTGTTCTCATTAACCCCTTCCAGCCCGAAGGTGTCCTGGAACTCACAGAGTGAGGCGATTGCAAACGTTTGTCAGATTGGATGAAAAATGAAGACAAGTTTATGCTTGGGCCAAATATGCCTGAATTATTTGAAGAACATCTGGATTTGCTTAGCCTAAATGAAAAGATCTTACATGACAAGGACTACAGAAAGGGACCTGTGCGTCCAGCACCTTGGAGCATCCGGAGAGACCCTGCCCTTTCTCTGTCTCCCGCTACAGCTCTCTCCAACTCTGCCTTTTCCTTCCAGCTTGGAGTCCCACAAATGGCTTTTCCAGTGATATCACACGCTGTTGCCATGGAGGCAGCTGTTATGGCCAAACAAAACTGTGTGACCTTCACCCTATGGCTTGCAACCTGTGGCAGAACATGGAAGGGAGTCACTCTGTGACCACAGGCCTCAGTGGAGCTCTCTGGGTACAAATACAAATGGAACTGCTGGGACACACTGTGGTGGGAACGGAGACCCTGTGACGGAGCTGGGAAACGCTTGGGAGGGTGGAGCAGCGCAGCCTCCTGCGGCGACAAGGCCATCCAGACCCTGATGTGAACAGCAGCTGCCTCTCCTCTGCCACTGCCAGTCCAGCCCCACCCACGCTGGACTCTGCTCCCCTCTCATCCAGCTCTCTCCAAGCCTTGGTGAGCCACAATTAACAGCAATGCTGGCAGTGGCTTACACAAGCTTTTGATGGGAGAAACGCTATGCTGAAGGTTATGAAAGCAGGTTCTGGAACCCTAGCCACCTGGGTTCTAATCTGGGTTCCACGACTCAACAGCAGTGTGGCTTTACAAAAGCCACTCGGGATCCCTAAAGCCTCAGTGTCCCAATGTAAGACACGTCAGCCCTTGCAGGGTTATGATCATCCATTGAGATCATGTAGGTGGAATCCTCCTAACAGATCTTTCTGTGTTCACTCTTGCCAAAAAATGAATCTGATCATGTTGCTGCCCCATTGAAACCCTCCAACAGTTTCCCACCACCAGGAATAAGATCCTAACCATGGTCCACAAGCCACACCCGCTGGCGGCCCATAAAACTCAACTCATGGCTGGGCGGGGTGGCTCATGCCTGTAATCCCAGCACTTTGAAAGGCCAGGGCGGGCAGATCACAAGGTCAGGAGATCAAGGCCATCCTAGCTAACATGGTGAAACTCTGTCTCTACTAAAAATACAAAAAATTAGCCAGGAGTGGTGGCGCACGCCTGTAGTCTCAGCTACTCAGGAGGCTGAGGCAGGAGAATCGCTTGAACTCAGGAGGCAGAGGTTGCAGTGAACTGAGATCACGCCATTGCACTCCAGCCTGGGCGACAGAGCAAGACTCCGTCTCAAAAACAAACAAACAAACAAACAAAAACAAAAACTCAACTCATGCCCTGGTCCACTGGTGGATCTGCTCTGACCACCCACCCTGCCAGGCCCTCTCTCTGCCTTCCAGTGTGCTCTGTGCAGGAGTGTCAGCCTGCTCTTCTCTTCTCAGGGAGACCCCCACCCCCTATTGTCAAGTCTTCTGTCTCAGCACAAGTCACCTCCTCAGCAGGGAACCATGAATCTAAAGCTGCTGTGTTCCCCACCCCGGGACTCTCTAGCCCATTTTCTGTGTAGTATTCTTTTTTCCTTTCTTTCTTTTTTATTATACTTTAAGTTCTAGGGTACATGTGCACAACATGCAGGTTTCTTACATATGTATACATGTGCCATATTGGTTTGCTGCACCCATGAACTCGTCATTTACATTAGGTATTTCTCCTAATGCTATCCCTCCCCCAGCTCACCACCCCACGACAGGCCCCAGTGTGTGATGTTCCCCACCCTGTGTCCAAGCGTTCTCATTGTTGAGTTCCTACCTGTGAGTGAGAACATGCGGTGTTTGGTTTTCTGTCCTTGTGATAGTTTGCTGAGATTGATGGTTTCCAGCTTCATCCATGTCCCTGCAAAGGACATGAACTCATCATTTTTTATGGCTGCATAGTATTCTATGGTGTATATGTGCCACATTTTCTTAATTCCGTCTATCATTGATGGACATTTGGGTTGGTTCCAAGTCTTTGCTATTGTGAACAGTGCTGCAATAAACATACATGTGCATGTGTCTTTATAGTAGCATGATTTATGATCTTTGGGATCACTGGGTCAAATGGTATTTCTAGTTCTAGATCCTTGAGGAATTGCCACACTGTCTTCCACAATGGTTGAAATAATTTACACTCCCACCAACAGCATAAAAGCGTTCCTATTTCTCTACATCCTCTCAAGCGTCTGTTGTTTCCTGACTTTTTAATGATCGCCATTCTAACTGGCATGAGATGGTATCTCATTGTGGTTTTGATTTGCATTTCTCTGATGACCAGTGATGGTGAGCATTTTTTCTTGTGTCTGTTGGCTGCATAAATGTCTTCTTTTGAGAAGCATCTGTTCATATCCTTCGCCCACTTTTTGATGGGGTTGTTCGTTTTTTTCTTGTAAATTTGTTTGAGTTCATTGTAGATTCTGGATATTAGCCCTTTGTCAGATGAGTAGACTGCAAAATTTTCTCCCATTCTGTAGATTGCCTGTTCACTCTGATGGTAGTTTCTTTTGCTGTGCAGAAGTGCTTTAGTTTAATTAGATCCCATTTGTCTATTTTGGCTTTTGTCATCATTGCTTTTTGTATTAGTCATGAAGTCCTTGCCCGTGCCTATGTCCTGAATGGTATTGCCTAGGTTTTCTTCTAGGGTTTTTATGGTTTTAGGTCTAACATTTAAGTCTTTAATCCATCTTGAATTAATGTTTGTATCAGGTGTAAGGAAGGGATCCAGTTTCATCTTTCTACATATGGCTAGCCAGTTTTCCCAGCACCATTTATTAAATAAGTGCTTATTATTTGAGACAGAGTCTCGCTCTCTTGTCCAGGTTGGCGTGCAGTGGCACGATCTCCATTTCCTCACTGCAAGCTCCACTTCCCCAGTTCAAGCAATTCTCCTGCCTCAGCCTCTCGAGTAGCTGGGATTACAGGCACCCACCATCACACCGAGATAATTTTTTGTATTTTTAGTAGAGCCAGGGTTTTACTATGTTGGCCAGGCTGGTCTCAAACTCCTGACCTCAAATGATCCACCTGCCTGGGCCTCCCAAAGTGCTGGGATTACAGGTGTGAGCCACCAAACCCAGCCAATTTGCTCTGCAATATTCATTAATGTCTAAAATTATCTTAATTATTTTTGTGATTTTTTTGTCTGTCTCTCCCAGGAGTAAGTAGGTCCCAGGAGAGCAAAAATCTTGTTTCTTTCAGTTTCTAGAACAGTGTCTTGCACACAGTAGGCACCATATGTATATATATGTTTTATTAAAGTATTTAATGTGGTATCTAGTAAATATTAGCTGCTTATGTTATTAAGTAATAACAATTAACGTATATTATTATTTAAAAACATACTACTATGGTTTTTTGTTTGTTTGCTTTTTTTTTTTTAAGTTCTGGGATACATGTGCCGTACGTGCAGGTTTGTTACACAGGTATACATGTATCATGGTGGTTTGCTGCACCTATTAACCCATCCTCTAGGTTTGAAGCCCCACGTGCATTAGATATTTGGCCTAATGCTCTTGCTCCCCTTTCCCCTCACCCCCCGACAGGCCTGGTGTGTGATGTTCCCCTCCCTGTGTCCATGTGTTCTCATCGTTCAACTCCCACTTATGAGTGATAATGTGCAGTGTTTGGTTTTCTGTTCCTATGTTAGTTTGCTGAGGATGATGGTTTCCAGCTTCATCCATGTCCCTGCAAATAATATGAACTCATTCTTTTTTATGGCTGCATAATATTCCACAGTGTGTATGTGCACATTTTCTTTATCCAGTCTATCATTGATGGGCATTTGGGTTGGTTCCAAGTCTTTACAACTTTGTTTTAGTAATAATAGTCACCTCTTACATGAGAATAATTCCTTACCATTTACAGGACATTTTGAATCAAGTGAGATCATGATTCATGATATTACACTAGCCTATGAAATGGCCAGCATTATGATTTTTGCTTGGTAGATGGAGCTAGGGGAGACATGGCAGTATGCTGGACTGGAAACCAGGCCTCCAAGTGACCAGACCAGACTGGAGCTCTTTGAACCATCCATATTCTCTGCCTTCAATTCACATCATGTTTCAAACCAGGAAAAAAATATGCCCACCTCTTTAGGAGCCCCCTGGAGAATGATGGGAAATGGGGATTCCAGCCCCGTAGCAGGCTGTGGTGGGAGAGCCTGGTCATCTTCAAGCTTGAGTTCCTGACTGGTGTCATCTTGGCTGACACAGATTCCCTCCACTTCAGCTGCTTCATCTTCTGAAGATTCCTCCTCCCCGGGCCTCATTCAGTTTAAGGAGGTGGAAAAGATATGCAAATCAGACATGCTCCCAGAGAGCCCACTGTGAGCTCTGAGCCCTGAGAAAGAAAAGCTTGCCTAAAGGTCACAGCTGCAGAAAGAGGCTTTGGAGCCTACTCACCCACTCGTTTCCTTCTCCTCCCTCCAAAATGTCAACAGAGCTTTCCCCATCCACTTGGACTTACACAGCATTGGGGACAAAGGAAGAGAGGAAACCACAGATCTAAAGCCCATGTGTGGGTTGAGGGAATGGGACATCCCTCCTCCAAAGCACAGGATTTGTTAATAAGCACAGTCCAAATAAGGAGAATGGCAGGCCCTGCACAGGGATAGCTGACTATGAGCGGCCCCACTGGGCTCTCAAGGTACCATGAAGGATCCAGTTCCCCTCTGGCTGAGCTGTTTGATCCTAAGACATCCCTGTTGGTTGGCAGGGACCATTTTGTCACTGTTTTCTGTCATGCCTTGTTTTCTCATTCTTTCTGTCACATATTTCTAAGTGAGAGGGAAAGTTAAAGCCACGGAATCGCTTATCATCTCCTCCCTCTGCCTTTGGGTTTACTCAGAGAAAGTCATATCTTGACATTCCCAGGAGTATTACTATGCCTTTACCCATTTTCAGTAGTAATAATAACCAAGTTCCCTTTCCCATTTCCACCTACATCCAGCCACTGAAATGGAATTAACAAGAGTACCAGAACTACATATATTGCCAGCAGTTATTCCTGGGAAGATGGAAGAAGAAAAGTCCTAAACATCCAACTCCTGGGTACCTGCTTGCTTGAAACTCTAAACATCAGTCTTATTCGCTAGTTATGGAAGTAAAGATATGTTAGGTGATACTCTGAGAAAGCTGTGAGCTAAAAGTTGCCTTACATTGCAGAACTCTCAGTTTCCAGAGAAGCAGCAGACAACACAGATTATAGACTCTGCAGTCAACCAACCAGTCCTGTTAAGAACAAACTCAGCCACTTAGTTACGTGAATTTGGACACGTTGTTTAATCACTCCCCATACTTGCCTCAGTTTTCTCATAAGCAAAATAGGCATATTGAGAGTACATTGCTCTTAACATTGTTGTGACAATGAAATGATATAATTTATGCAGAGTGAACAACACTATGCCTGACACATAGCAAGGGCTCTACAAATGTTAGATGTTGTTGTTGTTACTATTATTCGGTATACTGGATAATACTGCCAGATTCAACATGTTTGTGCATTTCTCTCAAATTCGCGGTTGAAAGTATACAAAAAACAAAATCAAAAAAATGTCTATTTCTCTTAGCCCTGTGGTGTCTCTGGCACAACTCGTTCTAAGAAAAGTTAGAGCTAGGTATGGTGAATTGTCCCAACAACAAAGCTTTCATCAAACAAAGCAGCAGGGAGATTCTCAAGTCTCCTTTTATTATTATTATTGTACTTTAAGTTTTAGGGTACATGTGCACAACGTGCAGGTTGGTTACATATGTATACATGTGCCATGTTGGTGTGCTGCACCCATTAACTCATCATTTACATTAGGTATATCTCCTAATGCTATCCCTCCCCCCGCCCCACACCCCACGACAGGCCCCGGTGTGTGATGTTCCCCACTCTGTACCCAAGCATTCTCATTGTTCAATTCTCATGTGAGTGAGAACATGCGGTGTTTTTTAATGGGCTTTCCACCTTTGTCTGTAGCGGGGGCAATGTTATCTATTCAGTTCAGTTCAGACACACAAGTGGGCTCCCAACTTCCCTCAGGCTCCAATATTAGCCATTTTCCTCTTAGTGTGAATTCCACCAGAATATTATCATTCCCCCACTGTAGTAGTGTGGAAACACTTATACTCAGTGTCAAATGGAAATTTGGGAGCAGATGTGCAAGCACGAAGTTCTTCCAGGGAATTCTAAAAGACAAACAGGGAAGGCACTTGTATATGGGAACCTCAAGTGCTCGGTTGTCAAGTAGAGCCTCAATTCAAATCATCTCATTTGTTATTTTCATAAACCCTCAATGTTTTCTGGAAACTATATTTTCCAGGATGTTTCTCACACTTGGATGTAGCAAGGAAATCATTTTTTATATCATGTGAGTCTCAAATTTAGTCCATGAAATTGAGCAAATTCATTAATGGAAAGACCCTTGGACTGAGAATTTATTCTACTGTCACTAGAGGACTTTAATGGGCTAAGAAAGAGAAGAAATTACAGATAATATCCAAAGCCCAGCACGATACCATAAAGGCCCCTCCCAGATGAGTCCAAGACCTCCAGAAAGAACTACCAATGCCTGAAGTTCCAGTAAAAACCTCCCTCAAGAATGATCACATTCATAACAGAAAGTTATTACTACCATCATCCCTGGAGAATCTCAAAGCAAAATCTATTATCCTAATACAGCATCACTTGAATTATAAAGTCTGATGAAACCAGACTTGGAGGCTAAATGATGTACACAGAGTTGCGGCATCTATCAGGGAGCTCATCCTAGAACTTGATTGTCATAACAGGTTCATTGCAATTTTCGCTGCCTGTGGAACTTTGTGCCATAACCTGACTCTCCAACCAAATGTGAATGTAGCTTAATTAAATAGAAAGCAGCTTAAACTTAAAAGGCAATATTGGTATACAGAAGTGAAGTTTTACCATCTGTGCTGCAGAAGCTGTCTAGTAGATGACATTTCCTATTACCTGGTTCTTAGGATCTCACAGCCTCCTCTGCCTGGTGCAGCTCCCACTACAGCCAAGTCATTTAGGCATCCTCTCCCAGCCCCTGTTTCCTTTCCTGTGAAGTCTGTGGGTGGCAAGCGCAGAGCCCCGAGGCAGATATGGCATTTACGGAGACTTTATCATGGAAGCACAACAGCTTGTCCTCAGTGGAATACAGCAGGAGATCCCTCGAAGATCTGTCAGGCTTGGCCATTTAGAGGCTTGGACCCCTGACTCCTGCCAAGAGCAGTAAGGAAGCGTGGGGGCCAACACCTGTGCACATACTCTCATGCCCTCACTCTCCACTCATTGTGCAGAGCAGAAACCAGACTCAGAAGTGCTCCAGGCCAGGCTTTCTTCACCAACCTTCACCAGCCTCTGCTGGATTTGGCCGTTTGCAGTGAAAAATGAGCCTGAAAGCCCTGGAGGCTTCCTGGTGATTTACCGAGAATTTTACTTCCACATGGGCTTTCCAGCTGCAGCCAACCCCAAGAGGCAGAGGTAGGAAGAGGAAGAAAATCATAAATGGATAGTAAGATGAGAAACAGATGTTTGGAGGCTTCACTGGAAGGGAATTCTCCACCTCTACTCCCTTTCTTCATGAGATGAGAAGGCTCGGGCCCTAATGAGCAGTTTCTCACTATACCTGCAATTCATCTCCTTCCCCCACCACCAGCTCTCTCAAGTGTCACTTTTCAAGGGTCTTCCTGGTCCTGCCACATGGGCATCAACTTTGTTGGGTGATTTGTTTCTGGTTTTAGCCAAAATAAATGAATGCTAGGTGCTCTGACCATAGACACATGTTAGACAATCTCCTGCCCTCAGGGTGCTCACCAGCCGGAATGAATAAGCAGGTGCAAGCGTCTGCCCCCTGACAGAGGCAAGGACTGGACCCTGAAAACCCACAGGAGGGGCAGCAAACCCAGCCTTGGCTCAAGGAGGCACTGGAGGGTCAAAGGAAAGCTCAGCTGAGTTGTAAAGATGTTAATCAATTGAAAATGGATAGAAGTCACTTTGGAGGTATTAACCTAGCAGGCTTCAAGAGAGTTGTATATTTATTCAGTGTAACACAAGGGTTGAGAGCAACATCCCCAAAGCTAGGCTGCATGAGCTTGACACCCAGCTCTGCCACTTATTTTGGTATCACCTCAAGCAAAGTACTTCAGCTCTGTGCCTCAGTTTCCTAATTTGCAAAGGGAGGATATGAATGCTTATCCCATAGGATTGTTACAAAGAGCATGTGAAATAATACTTGTAAAGAACTTAGAATAGTATCTGGCACATAGTAAGTACTATATGTGTTTTTCAGAAAACATGAAAAATGAAAGAAGTATTTTGAGCCCACAATATATCAGGCAATATGCTAGGCCATGTGGATACTCAATTGAAAGCCATCATTACTCTTTTTGAAGAGGTCATGACCAAGTGTGATTGAATTATCAATGAATTATGATGCAACATCTTAGATGGTAAGATTAAAGATTAGAGACACCCCCTCCTTTCCACTTGTAGATGCCCAATCCTAAAATCTAGGAGCAAGCATGGGCCTTCCCAGCTCCCCTATCTCCCACATTTAGTCACTGTATCCCAGCCTCTACCTCTCCAAGATCTCCTGAGCCCCTTCCTTTTGCTCCTCTCCTGTTGTCACTGCTTGCTCGGGTCCCTTGTCAGCTCCCACATGGACTGGTGCACAACCCATCTCTAGCCCCCAGCTCTCTCTCACCCCCGCTGAGTCAGGTTCTCACTGCTGTTCACATCATATTTTTGACGCCCAAATTTTCTCATAGCATTCCTCAATTTAAGATTCTTTTGTGGTCCCCCATTGGCTATTGAAAAGTAACGGAATTCCTTAATGTGACAGATCCCTTTGTGAATCGATTCTTATTTTCCTATCCAGTCCCAGCTCTGGACACCCTCAGTGCCTCCACCCAGTGGATGTATTCTTCCGTGAAACCACTGTGCTCCTGCTGTGGACACGTTGTCTCCCATAACAGGAACAGTGTCTCTGTCCTGTCCACCAAACACTCCGACTTTTTCCCTAAGAATTTTCACATTGCTTCGTCTGTGACAACGTCTGTGATTCCTTTGGGTCCCCCTTTCTCAAGTTCCTTGTGCTCTGCACCTGTCTACATGAATGATGGGGAGGGTTGGAAGGAGCAGAACATATTAATAGCACTCTCCTTTTCTACCCAAGCTCTGCAAAAATTAAGAAATAAAAATAAAAACAAAAAACAGCATATGAGACAGGATACCAAAATATGACCCTTATTACTGATGAAGCTGATGTAACAGCGATGAGTTTACACCTAAGGGCAATTGGACAAGGGAGCTTCCTAATGATATTTCCAGATTAGGCTAACTTACACTCCCAAATGCAGGCTCAGATGAACAGGTCACCTTTCCCCACTCGGGGGCCTATACCAGTATGAGAATTATGGCATGGCCTAACAAAAACAAATATAAATCCCTCACGGGCAGGACTAATTTCTTCTTTCAAAACCCACCCATTAAACATAGTATTCCTGGGAGGGGAGCAAGCAAGGAGCAGAGAAAAGCTGGGAGTGTCACACTAATGGAGCTCCTTCCACATTAAAGGAAACACCAGGAGTAAAGAAGAAAAGTGCCAACATGTTATATAGTATTTTCATTTTTGTGTCTCTTGATGAAACTAAAAGCTATTTGTAGGCGAGAATAATGCTTTTTCATCTAATATTTTCATCCTATACAAGTCAACTACTTATACTTGACACAAAGTACGTGTTCAACCTATTTGTTAAATACTAAAGAGTGAGGAGTCAAAGTGTGATGGGTTCACATAGAAAGGAACTGCTGTACCAGTAGAAGTGGAAGAGGAGGAAAGATTTGACGAAAGCCTGCGTAGAAGAAGAGGTATTTGATCCAGATGTTGGGGAAGCAGTAGACTCTTGCCACATGACCCTTAGTACACAGAAGAAATCGACTCTTGCTACACAGAAAAGACAAAGGCAACAATAGTTGCTTAAGCCCAGAGGCATGAAATTGTACAGCAAACCCTGGGTGAAAAAATTCTGCATGAAAAAAGTATAGAATATGAGAGATGAGGCAGGAAAAGCTTGATGTACTTCTTTACCTTGGAATACTTAATAGGGATGCCTGAAAATGTAAAAGTCAAAAGAGTGACTGTCTCCTTGAGTTTCATTGTTTTCTTTGAGCTTAATTTTGGTTGTTAATGTAGTAAGAGTAATATTTTAAACTGTGGGGAAGCCTCTTCTAGACCTGTCTGCTTACCATTCCTGATCCTAATTCAACTCATATTAAGATCCTTTCACAACTGGGAACACCCAGAGTGCTAATGTCCCTCCAGCAGCATGAAACAACAGGGAGGTGAAGGCCATAAACCTTTGCAGCAGACGAGTCACAAGCTACGTGTCCATGTGAAGAAAATGTGGGTCTGCAAAGGCTGCTGGTCGCTGGTGGTGTGATTTTCTGTCTAAACCAAAGACAGGAAGATAGAATGATGTATCCTTTTCCATTTGTATTATTTTCACTTTCAAAAAAAATTATCTTGTTATTTTTTAAAAATATTGTTATCATTTTTATTATTTTTTCATCAAATAATTATATAAAAATTTCCAGCATAAAATTAAGCTTTATTTACTCAGGAAATCTATATTTGAACTGAAAGCTCATCAAAAAGATACTGAATATTTCCCAAATTCTGGTAACTGATAACATTTGAATTTCTTTCTCTGATGTTTCAATGATTCAGCTAATGGCCTCCTATGGAGTTTTCCTCTCAGACCCTCTGTTTTGGAAACAACACATCCCACCTATAGGGACCAACAGCCATTCATATTTCTGCTATGTGACCCTCACCCTTGGCCATACCTAACTGATCTAGAAATAGGTACATGACCCACTCAGAGAATTTGGAATTGGGGCTAAAAGAGTCAGTTATCGAATATGACTCAAATGTAAAATCTAAACTTGGGATCTGAGGATCTAACATTTGTTGCTTGCCTGTAGACTGAATTACAGAGAGAGGTGGCAGGCAAAAAAGAAACAAAGACACCCGGCCGGGCACGGTGGCTCACGCCTGTAATCCCAGCACTTTGGGAGACCGAGGCGGGCAGATCACGAGGTCAGGAGATGGAGACCATCCTGGCTAACACGGTGAAACCCCATCTCTACTAAAAATACAAAAACTTAGCCGGGCGTGGTGGCGGGCACCTGTAGTCCCAGCTACTCGGGAGGCTGAGGCAGGAGAATGCTGTGAACCCGGGAGGCAGAGCTTGCAGTGAGCCAAGATCGCACCACTGCACTCCAGCCTGGGCGACAGAGCAAGACTCCATTTCAAAAAAATAAAAATAAAGAAAAAAAAAGAAACAAAGACACCTATGTATATGACCAAAAAATCTTGGTAAGAGATTGGATATAGCCAAGGAGGGAAAAGGAGAAGTCGAAGTCGATGTCTCAGTTTCTGACCATAAATATTAAAAGAATGTGTTATTAATGACATAAGAGAAGAGCAGTTAGATTTTGAAGATCATTATTACAAAAGTGCTAAATGAAATTATGAGAGCTGGTAAACCTCTTGGGAGAGTGGCTGGGGCTGAGGGATGAGCCTAGCTCCTTTGAGGCTGCCCAAAAGTAGGGGCAAAAGGGAAGGAGATGTTAAGAAAGGAGTTTAGGCAGGAGTTTAAGATGTAGAAGAGATGTTTTGCCTTAGGAAAAAGACATAACATTAGATTCTCCCTCTCTAATATATTATTTACCTTCATTGATGATTACAGTTGAAAGACTTGAATGTAATAGAGCAGACTGGAGAGATGTTATAGAACAGACTGGAGAGATGTTATAGAACAGACTGGAGAGATGTTATTTTTATTTAGAAACAGCTGCTCACATATACCATTAGTAGAAATATAAAGATAAATCATTTTGGAGAGAAATCTGGGAATATACATTAAAAGTGTGGCTCATGCCTGTAATCCCAGTACTTTGGGAGGCCGAGGTGAGTGGATCATAAAGTCAGGAGTTCAAGACCAGCTTGGCCAAGATGGTGAAACCCCGTCTCTACTAAAAATACAAAAAAAAAAATTAACTGGATGTGGTGGTGGGCGCCTGTAATCCCAGCTACTCCAGAGGCTGAAGCAGGAGAATCACTTGAACCCAGGAGGTGGAGGTTGCAGTGAGCCGAGATCA
Source organism: Homo sapiens (assembly GCF_000001405.40). Lineage (NCBI taxonomy): Eukaryota > Metazoa > Chordata > Mammalia > Primates > Hominidae > Homo > Homo sapiens. The sequence continues at coordinate 128,436,863 of NC_000011.10, forward strand.
TGCCACTGCACTCCAGCCTGGGCAACAGAGGGAGAGTCTGTCTCAAAAAAAAAAAAAAGAAGAAAGAAAGAAGAAAGAAAGAAAGAAAGAAAGAAAGAAAGAAAGAAAGAAAGAAAGAAAGAAAGAAAGAAAGAGAAAGAAAGAAGAAAGAAAGAAAGAAAGAAAGAAAGAAAGAAAGAAAGAAAGAAAGAAAAGAAAAAAGAAAAGAAAAGAAAAGAAAAAAAAAGTATTATGTGCATGGACTTTGACCCAGTAGAGTGGAAACAGAGTTGCTTGCCAGGCACTCTGTTCTGGACCCTGTCTGCCCACCCTCAAGAGAAGCCCCCAGTGATGGGTGTCTTTCCCCACAGCCACAGCTACATAGGCAGGAGTAAGCACTGAGCCCCGTCCTCTGGATTTTTAAATTGTAACAGAGAAAGAGAGAGATTTGGCCTCTTGTTATGTAGCTGGACCGATGATGCATAAATTCTGGAATTGCTGCAAGGTCATGCTTCCTATCATGTGGAACAAGAAAAACAGTGGAAACTTGCCTACCAAGAGAGAGAAGAATGCCACAGATGCACAGACAGGAGAAACAAGAGATGGAGAGGAAGTTCTGACAGTTTTTCAGTTCCTGGCTCTGGAACCTGCACAGTTCCAGCTGCCTTCCTGACAATCACAGAGGCCCATCACTCACCTCTGAATCTAGAAATTTTTTTTTTTTCCCAAGGAGAGCTCAAGATGCTTCCTATTACTTGCAACTAAATGAGTCTCAACAGTAATTCCATTCCTAAGAGTTTTAGCCTTAAGAAACAGTTTCAGACACACAGTTGCATATGTAAAGATAAATACCATAGTATTGCATGTAATTTTGATAAAATGATCGATTTGGATATTAATGTGACTCTTGTCAAACAAACCATCTTAATAGTAGAAACATATTAATATCATTAATTAATGCTTAAGCCTTACTTCATATTCATTTTGTCTCAGGGGTTGGATTTTGTGCTTCACATACATCTATTTTAATCCTCACAGCAGCCCTAGAAGATGGGTACTATTACCTTAAGATAAACATGTAAAGTGTTTAGCATATTGTTTTGCATATAGCAGGACTTGCAAAATAGCTAACTACTATTATTCCAATTTCTACAGATGAGAAAATTAGAACTTTTTTAGCTTTATAGCCAGAAATTCCAAAGGTGCTCAGATAAATGTAGTGGGAAAATGTAATGATGTGTGGGAAAGTGAGACAGGCAGAGCACCTAAAAGGTACCCCCTCCTACCTATTGATCTTGACAGCAAGTATCAGATGGCTGTACTTAGATTGAGTGTTAGAGGCTAATACAGTAATTCAAGATGTGTAAAAGTCAACAAAAAGAATTAGTTATCAAACAAGTTACATTCAAGGTATGGAATGAACTATACACAAACGGTCAACAGACATGCAAACACACATGCACTTTTCTACCAATAACAGCAGATATAGCCACACGTTGGGCAGTTAATACCAAGTTTTGCTTGTTGGCTAAGGGAACTTTCAGTATCCTAATTCTGATTCCATTTTTTTTTTCACTGCCACTAAGCTTCTTCTGTGTCTCATAATGATCATCACTAATGCTTGTCAAGATGGTCATTTCTTTGAATAAGGCCGTACTAACTGCAAAAACTTTTTGGCAAGTGCTCAAAACGAAGACTGATTTTTCTATTCTTATAAGCCACTACAGAAATATGAGCAAGTTCTAGAAAGGTAACTCTTCTCTGAGAACTCTTGAGTATGCCCACTGTGATTGCTTGTTTCTTTTATTAATGCTGCAACTCAGAGCTGGAGGTTTTTAGTTTTGGGTGAATATGTTATACTGAGTTAGACCGTAGGATCTTCCTTATTTCACCAAATATCATCACTTAATGGTTATTTCCCATGACTTGTTATGAAAAAAATCTACACTGCCACCAGAAGCTGGATTTTTAAAACATCAAACTGGCTACATCCCTGGAATTTTGTGTTTACTATTTTATGTACACTTATGTGTAAGATACAAAAGTATCTTCAAATTCATGAAATAACATGCAAATAGTAGGTATTAACATATCACATGCTACATACTCCATTATTGTATTCTTGGCACAACAAAAATATTTGTCCATCTTTGCACTAAATCTGTTCGTGTTCTTACATTTGTAAGTATAAGAGACTAATTTTTAATCAGTGCTTTTAATCTATTTGGTAGTATTTTGAGTAAAAGTCAGAGGATGAAGGGAGTTCAAAAGGCCACTGGGAGTGCACTTCATTTTTCATCATACAAATGATATCCAAAAATTATCAATGGCCCTAGACATTGCAATAAAGGCCAAAAAATGAAAAAGAAGATGTAATAATTGAAAAGGAAGAAGCAAACATGTTCCTGTTTGTGGATGATATGACTTTTTATGTCAGTAAAAGCGGAGGAATTTTAAAACTAATGAATAAATTTAGCATGATTGTAGGATATAGGGTTAACATACAAAAATCAATGTTATTCTTATACAATAACAGCAAACAATAGAAAGTATATATTTTTAAATTACATTTACAGTGTTGCCAGAAGATATGTCTAATAATAAATCTAACAAAAGATTCCCAGGAGCTCTACACTGAAAAGACTAAAATGTTCCTGAGAGAAATTAAAGACTAAAATACATAGTAAGGTGTACCACACTTATAGATAGGAAGACCAAATGTTGTTAAAATTGAAATTCTTTGCAAAGTGATCTATAGGTTAAATGTAATATCAATCAAAATTTTATCAGGCTCCTTTGTAGAAATGGACAAGTGGATTCTAAAGTTTGTATGGAAATGCAGAGGGTCAAATCAATTTTCATTAAAACAAAAGAAAATACATACACACAAAGTTGGAGGATTTACCCTACTGAATACAAAAGTTTACTATAAAATGACATTACCCAAGATAGTTTGGAATTGGTGAACAAAATAGACAGATCAGTCAGAGGACTATATAGACATATAGATCAGAAGAGCATAAAAGCTTCAGAAATAGACTAATGCATATTTATTCAATTGATTTTTGAAAAACATAATAAAATCTTTTCAACAAATGGTAGTAAACCAATTAAATATCTGCATGCAAAAAATTAAATTTGATCTGTACTCAACCATACACAAAAATTAATTCAAATGAATCATAGACCTAAATGTAAAACCTAACTCTTTTGTAAGTAAACATAGTAAAACTTTTATAAGTAAACATAGTAGAAAAAATTTGCATTAAGCAAGATATTTCTAGATATAATACCAAAAACCTGAACCACAGAAGAGAAAACTAATAAATTGAACTTCATTAAAATGAAAAGAAATTTGTTCTTCAAAAGATACCATTAAGAAAATTAAAAGGCAAGTCACAGACTGTGAGAACATATTTATGCACATATATTTGACAAAAATAAAATAAAAATATATTCAAAAATATATCAAGGAGAAGACAATGGCAAAAGGTTGGAACACTATACAGAAGATATAAGAATCTCCAATCAGCATATGAAAAAGTGCCAAACATCATTGTAATTAGGAAAATGCAACTTAAAACCACAATGATATCATATTCATTACAAGATCTAAATGTAAAAATGTTGACCATGTCAAGTGTTGACCAGGATGAAGAGCAACTGGAACTCTTGAACATTGCTAGTGAGAATGTAACATGGTACTACTACCATGGAAAATGGCATACAAGTTTCTAAAAATTTGAACGTATATTCTAAAAAACTGTATAACCACAATTTAATCATAAGAAAAATATCAGACAAATCTCAATTGAGAAACATTCTACAAAATATCTAATCAGTACCCCTCAAAATAGTCAAGGGGATCAAAAACAAGAAGAGTCTGAGAAATTATCACAGCCAAAAGGAGCTAGAGACACATGTAATGAAGAATCCTGGATTGGACTCTAGAACAGAAAGAAGATACTGAGTAAAAACTAAGGATATCAGTTGCGTATGGATTTCAGTGAATAATAATGTATCAAGATTGGTTCGTTACTTGTGAAAAACGTACCATTCTCATGTAATACCTTCACAGCAAGAAAAACTGGCTGTGGGAGTATATGTACTAACTTTCAATTTTTTTGTAAACTCAAATTTATTCTAAAATGAAAAATTAATGTCACAAGAAAAATTAAACACACATCATCAAGCAATTCCACTAAGTATTTATCCAAGAGAAACAAACACATGTCTGTGCTGAGACTTTTACGTGATTGTTCATAGCCAAAAATTGAAAACAATTCAAATATATATCAACAGATAAATGTGTTGGGAGGGGCGGGGGGTATCTATTCTTGGTAATAAAAAGGAACAAATCATTTATAAAGGCACTTAATGAATCTCTAAATTATTATGCTCAGGAAAAGAAGCCAGACAAAAAAGAATAAATCGTGTATTATTTCACTTATACAAAATTCTAGAAAATGAAAACTCATTGATATGGTTTGATTTTGTGTCCCTACTCAAGTCTCATGTTGAATTGTAATCCCCAATGTTAGGGGAGGAACCTGGTGGGACGACATGGATCATGAAGGTGGATTTCCCCCTTGCTTTTCTCATGATAGTGAGTGAGTTCTCACAAGATCTGATGGTTTAAAAATGTGTGGCACTTCCTCCTTTGCTGTCTCTCTCTCTTACTCTCTCTCTCTCTCTCTCTCTCTTCTGCTCCTGCCACCACGTGAAGAAGGTGCTTGCTTCCACTTCACCTTCTATTGTGATTGTAAGTTTCCTGAGGCCTCCCAGTCTGCTGTACAGGTTGTTTCCTGTACAGCCTGCGGAACTGTGAATCAATTAAACCTCTTTTCTTCATAAATTACCCAGTCTCAAGTAGTTCTTTATAGCAGTGCAAAAACAGACTAATACACCAATCTATGGTGACAGAATTCAGATCAGTTGTCTGAGGACAGGAGATGGAGATGGGGGGCTGTGTGGGAGGAAGGGATTACACAAGGCTAGAGGGAACTTTGGGTGATGTGTTCATTAGCGTTAATGCGGTAATAGTTTCACAGTGTACAATAAGTTAAACCCTATCAAATTATGCGTTTTAATTTGCACAGCTTATGATGTATCAATTATACCGCAGTGAAACTATTTAAATTTTATTTAAAAGAAGGAAAAGGAAGAACAGATATTTAGATGCCAAGAAATGACATGAAAATATTTATATGTACTTATGTAAGTAATAGTTACTCTTAATGTGTCGATTAATTTGGTCTTTAATGTTAAGAGATAAAGTGAAATACAGAATTAAGTGGGATTAGTTAGAAACCATTTTAGAGAAAACAAGAAACAGTGCTCACCATTGTAAACCAAGAATCTGGTAAGATCCATCATCTGTAAACAATTTACTCCGAGAAATTATTTTTTCCTTGTAGTGGTTATGGGTTTCCCTGAGCCATTCACACTCTAACCCAATGACCTTAAATTTTAGGAAAATAGAGGTGCATTTTGTTGCTACTGGGAATAGAAAAGCTAACTGGGCTATGAATGACTTGAGCTTGTGGTCTTGGCCTCATTAACACTGGACAACAACCAACTGAGCTAATCAGCCACTGCTGACATTACAGAGAAACTTTATTGAGGTATAATTAAAGTACATTAAACCATACATGTATAAAATGTACAATTTGATCAGCTTTTGAATACGTATATACTCATGAAACCATCACCACAATCAAAATAACAAACATTTAATCAACTCCAGAAGTTTCTTTGTGTCCCTTTATAATCCATTATTCCTGCACCTCCATCCTCAGCAACTGCTGATCTGTTTTCTCTCAGGACAGAATAATTTGCTTTTTTCTAGAATTTTATATAACTGCAATAATACAGTTTGTACTATTTGGCTTGTTATATTTTAATATCTTTAGAAACTAGATATGCCCCCTCTCTCATTTTTGATATTGGTAGTTTGTCTTTTCTCTTTTTGTGCTAATAAGTCTAGCTAGAAGATTATTGATCTTTATGAGTTTTGCAAGGAACCATCTCCTGATTTCATTGATTTTTTTTCAATTGTTTTTCTGTTTTCCAGTGCATTTATTTTGGCTCTGATCATTTCATGTCTTTTCCTTTCTTTGGGTTTTATTTGCTTTTATTCTTCTAGTTTCTTAAGGCAGAAGCTGAGTTCATTGATTTGAAGATGTTTTTCTTTTTTAATATGAAACCTTTTTGTTCTATAAATGTTCCCCTAAGTGCTGCCTGAGCTACATCTCACATATTTTTTGTATTTTGTTTTCATTTTCATCGAGTTCCAAATACTTTCCAGTTTCTCTTTTGATTTTGTCAATGATCCATGAGTTATTTTAAATATTATCTTGAGACTACTTGGGATATCCCAGATATCTTTCTGATACACTCATTTCTGATTTAATTCAATTGTGGTTACTGTAGGACAGATTTTCTATTACTTGACTCCTTTTAAATTTACTGGGATTTGTTTTCTCATTCAACATATGGTCTCTCTTGGGAAATGTTTCATTAATACTTAAATAAAAAGTATATTCGGTGGTTGTTGTTGTTGGGTGCAATGTTCCGTAATTGTCAGTTAGGTCAATTTAGTTAATAGTGTTATTCAAATCTTCTAAATACTTATGGACTTTCTGTCTATATGTTCTATCAATTACTGAAATCTCTGACTATAACTGTGAATATGTTTGTTTTTCCTTAAGTTTTGCTCCATGTATTTTGATGCTCAGTTATTATATGTGTAAATATTTAGGATTGTTATATCATCTTGATGAGGCGACTACTTTATCATTATTAAATGGCCCTCTTTATCCCTGGTAATCTTTGCTTTAAAACCTACTTTTTAATATGAATATAGCCTCATTAGCTTTATTTTGATGAGTATTAACATTGTATATAACTTTTCATCTTTTTATTTTAATATGTTTGTATATTTAAAGTGCATTCCTTATAGGTAACATATAGTTGAGTCTTTCTTTTTATCCAATATGACACCTCTGACTTGACTTTGAAGTGTTTAAACTTTTTGTATTTAATGTGAATATGTATATGATCGGTTTTAAATTTACCAGCTGGCTAGTTTTTTCTGTTTATTCCATCTATTATTCTTTGTTCCCTTTTTCCTCTATGCTTTCTTTTGGGTTAATTATACTTTTAAAAATATTTCGTATATCCTTTGTTGTATTATTTTAGTGGTTGATATAGTGTCATTGATTACGTCTTTAACTTATCACAGTTATCTTTCAAGTAACATTATACCACTTTGTACATGCGTATTAGAAAACCTTGCAACAATGTACTTCCATTCTCTGTCTCCTGAATTTTATACTACTGTTGTCGTCATACATATTATTTTTATTTCTACATATGTAATAAGACCTATATTACATTGTTTCTGTGTTTGCTTTAAAAAACCAAGTTTTCAATGAAATGTTTAAAATGAGAAAATATATTTGTCTACATAATTTTTTTTCAAGGCTCTTAATTCTATCCAGTATATCAGACTTCTATCTGGTATCATTTTTCTTCTGCTTGAAAGATGTCTTTTATCAGGGATGCCCTCTCTTACCACTCCTATTCAACATAGTGTTGGAAGTTCTGGCCAGGGCAATCAGGCAAGAGAAAGAAATAATGGGTATTCAATTAAGAAAAGAGGAAGTCAGATTGGCCCTGTTTGCAGATGGCATGATTGTATATTTAGAAAACCCCATCATCTCAGCCCAAAATCTCCATAAGCTAATCAGTAACTTCAGCAAAGTCTCAGGATACAAAATCAATGTGCAAAAATCACAAGCATTCCTATACACCAATAACAGAAAAACAGAGATCCAAATCATGAGTGAACTCCCATTTACAATTGCTACAAAGAGATTAAAATACCTAGGAATCCAACTTACAAGGGATGTGAAGGACATCTTCAAGGAGAACTACAAACCACTGCGCAACGAAATAAAAAAGGACATAAACAAATGGAAGAACAATCCATGCTCATGGATAGGAAGAATCAATATCGTGAAAATGGCCATACTGCCCAAGGTAAATTTATAGATTCAATGCCACCCCACCAAGCTACCAATGACTTTCTTCACAGAATTGGAAAAAACTACTTTAAATTTCATATGGAACAAAGAAAAACCTGCATTGCCAAGTCAATCCTAAGCAAAAAAAAAAAAAAAGCTGGAGGCATCACGCTACCTGACTTCAAACTATACTACAAGGCTACAGTAACCAGAACAGCATGGTACTGGTACAAAAACAGAGATATAGACCAATGGAACAGAACATAGGTCTCAGGTATAACACCACACATCTACAACCATCTGATCTTTGACAAACCTGACAAAAACAAGAAATGGGGAAAGGATTCCCTTTTTAATAAATAGTTCTGGGAAAACTGGCTAGCCATATGTAGAAAGATGAAACTGGATCCCTTCCTTACACCTTATACAAAAATTAATTCAAGATGGATTAAAGGCTTAAATGTTAGACCTAAAACCATAAAAACCCTAGAAGAAAACCTAGGCAATACCATTCAGGACATAGGCACGGGCAAGGACTTCATGACTAAAACACCAAAAGCAATGGCAACAAAAGCCAAAATAGACAAATGGGATCTAATTAAACTAAAGCACTTCTGCACAGCAAAAGAAACTACCATCAGAGTGAACAGGCAACCTACCGAATGGGAGGAAAATGTGGCAATCTACCCACCTGACAAAGGGCTAATATCCAGAATCTACAAAGAACTTAAACAAATTTACAAGAAAAAACAACCCCATCAAAAAGTGGGCAAAGGAAATGAACAAACACTTCTCAAAAGAAGACATTTATGCAGCCAACAGACACATGAAAAAATGCTCATCATCACCGGTCATCAGAGAAATGCAAATCAAAACCACAATGAGATACCATCTCACGCCAGTTAGAATGGTGATCATTAAAAAGTCAGGAAACAACAGATGCTGGAGAGGATGTAGAGAAATAGAAACACTTTTACACTGTTGGTGGGAGTTTAAACTAGTTCAACCATTGTGGAAGACAGTGTGGCAATTCCTCAAGGATCTAGAACTAGAAATACCATTTGACCCAGTGATCCCATTACTGGGTATATACCCAAAGATCATAAATCATGCTACTATAAAGACACATGCACACGTATGTTTATTGCAACACTGTTCACAATAGCAAAGACTTGCATCCAACCCAAATGTCCATCAATGATAGACTGAATTAAGAAAATGTGGCACATACACACCATGGAATACTATGCAGCCATAAAAAAGGATGAGTTCATGTCCTATGTAGGGACATGGATGAAGCTGGAAACCATCAATCTCAGCAAACTATCACAAGGACAGAAAACCAAACACTGCATGTTCTCATTCCTAGGTGGGAACTGAACAATGAGAACACTTGGACACAGGGCAGGGAACATCACACATGGGGGCCTGTCATGGGGTGGGGGCCAGGGGGAGGGATAGCATTAGGAGAAATACCTAATGTAAATGACGAGTTAATGGGTGCAGCAAACCAGCATGGCACATGTATACCTATGTAAGAAACCTGCATGTTGTGCACATGTACCCTAGAACTTAAAGTATAATAAAAATAAAAACAAATAAAAAAGTAAAAAAAAAAAAAAAAAAAGAAAAAGGTTCTCCAAAAAAACATGGGACCATGCAAAAAAAAAAAAAAAAAAAAAGAAAGAAAGAAAGAAAGAAAAAAAAAGATGTCTTTTATAATCTTTTTGTATATTTCTGCTGGTGATAAAAGCTTTTAATATTTTGTGTCAGAAAAAGTCTTTGTTTCAAAAGATTATTTTCCCTTGGTATAGAACTCTAGGTTGCCTGTTTTTTTACTTTCACTGCTTTAAAGATGTTATGCACTGTTTTCCTCCTTGAATTGTTTTTGACAAGGAATCTGTTATTTTTTCTTTTGATCTTCTGTATGTAAAATATCTTATCTTTCAAGACATTTAAGAGTTCTTTTAAGAGTTCTTTTTTATCACTGGCTTTAAGCAACTTGATGTACTTAGCATATTTTTTTTCATGTTTCTTGTGCTTGGGGTTTGTGGGGCTTCTTAGATCAGTGAGTTTATAGTTTCAATCAAATTCTGAATAGTTTCAGCCATTAATAATGCTTCCATTTTTTTTTTTTTCTATCACACACCCTGCCTCTCTGGGGACTCCAACTGGATGTTTATTCAGAGACTTAAAGCTGTCCCACAGCTCACTGGCACTCTGCTCATTTTTCTTTGCACCCTTTATTTTATATGTGCTTTATTATGGGTCGTTTCTATGCTGGGACTTCACAGTGTTGAATCTGCCATTAATCCCACCCAATGTATCTTTCATGTCATATGTTATATAGCTCTCAACTGCAGAATTTTGACTTAGGTCTTTTGTATCGCATTTGGCATGTTTGGTCTTTTCTCTAGCTTCTTCAACATGTGAAATTGTTACTCTCTTTTAATGTCCTTGGGTACTAATTCTATCGTCTGTGTCATTTCTTGGAAATTTTCAACTGGCTGATTTTTTTCTTCATTATGGGTCATATTTTCCTGCTTCTTAGTATGCCTGGTAATTCTTTATTGGATGCCAGACATTGTGGACTGGGTGGATATTTTTGTATTCCTAAAAATACTCTTGAGTTAAGTTACTTGGAAATAGTTTGACCCTTTCGAGTCTTGCCTTTAAGCTTTATTTGGCAGGAACAGAACAGCATTTACTCTCGGGCTAATTTTGCTTTACTATTGAGGCAAAACCTTTCAGTACTATACCCAATGCCCATAAATTATAAAGTTCAAGAACAGGCAAAACTATGCCAATAGAAATCAGAATAGTGATTGACGGTAGGGTGTGGATATTGGAATTTTCTGGGGTATTGCTTACACAAATGTACCTATTAAAATTCATCAAACTGCTCAAAATCTGTGCATATCACTGTATATCAATTTTACCTCTATAAAAATCATGTTTGGTATCAAATATATGTGTACATAATTAAATGCTGAAAAGATTTATACTAAAATTTCAATAGTGAAGAATATCAGGTAGTTTTCTAATTGGCTTCTGAATATTTTCATGTTATCTAAATTTTCAATATATATAACCTTTTAAAAATACATAAAACTAATATTTAATGAAACAATTTAAGGGGGACTCTCTACCTTGTAGAATGGATAAAGGAGAGGAAACAAATATTTATTGGGCATTTGCCATGTATCAGGTCCTTTAAAAGTCACTTTATTACATGATTCTATTTAAACAATATAACAACTCTATCAAGTAGGTATTATCCCATTTGCAAAAGAGAAAACAGTGATTCAGACTTATGGTTATGTGTCCAAGGACCCTCAACTTGATCTTAGGTCTGCCTGCTTCTGAAGTCGGTATTTTGATTCTAAGAGAATTAAGCCCTCAAGACGGATTTCTGAAATTCAGAGAGTAAAGAATGCTTGGTAGGATAGAAGAATCCCAGAAATACATTACTGTCTACGAGCATAGGAATTGGCACATTGGACTCTGGGAGTTAACTATTAAAATGGGAAAGTGAATTATCCAAATGTCAGAGTCACAAATCAAGCACAGTTAATCTGAAACCCAAGAAAGTCTGACCTGAGACAAGGAAAGAGGTGGGTGGCTCAGAGGAAAAAAAAAAAAAAAAAAAACAAACCTAAGACCAAGTATGGCAGCCGGTGGGAGAGGGAAGAAAAGTGTTCCTTCCTTATAACCTGTAGGCAAGTTATAAAAACAAGGGTTGTTTTGTCCCCTGTCGGAGTGAAACCTCAGAGACCAAAGTTCAACGCTTTCAGGTTACGGGAATGGAAATGGTGAATTCCCTGTATCAGCTGCCTCCAGCCCAGGCAAGCCTGACTCACAGGTTGGTCACCTGTTTGGAATGGGCTGTGGGAGAGCACACCCATGAGGTTGCTCAGGGAGCAATGGGCCACAGCAGTTTTCCCTGTGAATTGTGTTCAGGTAAGACCCTGCAGTCAGACCAGCTCACTCCTCCTTTGCTATTTCTTTATATATAGTCTCTTTCCATTCCGAAAATGTACTCTGAGCCCTGGCCTTTAACAGCTTCATTTGTTTTCCTTCATCTCCCAGTTTACAACTGTGAAGGAAACATTCATTGATCAAGTTCTTTCAGCTTGGAATGGAGTCTCTGACTCCCAAAAATCTCTCCCAGGACCAACTGCAAGGGGGTAGTGGATCTAGGATTAAGGCTGGAGCCTGAAGCACTGCTGAGAATGGGGAGTCTGACACGTAATGACCTCCATATATACAAGCTGGTCAGTGCTCTCTCAGAGCCTGCATGTGGCTTTGTCCAGAGAATATGAATCCCAGTTTGAGCAGCAATATGGATCAGAGTTGGTAGAGAGGAAGATTGAGGCTCTCACACTAGGATGTCTTCAGCATCCTTCTTGTATCCTTGTGTGCAAAATGGGAGCCTGGGAAAGGAACTAGAAGAACTGAACCCCATCCCTCTGATACATACACATTGCTTTTTTCCTTCTTTATAGCATAGCTTGGCTGTCCAAATGTTCTGGCAGAGACCAAGCTCCAGGCTCAGTGGGGGGTTCTAATTTTCCATGGCTCATTCACTTCTGAGAACTTTGGCTCAGTTGCATAATGGGGGGCTACTTCCTGCCAGTTGTGGCCCTGTTGTGTGATACCTTCTGACACATACGTTTTTTTGAAAAAAGATTGTCTGCTGGGAACTGGACTGAAACCAACATATAACCGTTTGTTTCATACTGGTTAGGAAGCCACCAGGAAGGCCTACCCAAAGTGGTTTTAAATACATACACACACAGTCCTCTCCTCTTAGAGCCAAGAACAGGCCATTAGTGATGTGTTAGAAAATCCAGGCTGACCTTCTCAGTCATGAGGGAAGCTCCCTGGGCCCACCAGCAGGCTTTTGCCAAGAATGGGCTCCATCTTGAGCCCACAGCTCTTCCCTAGCTTCCCAGCAGAAGCAAGGGGAGAGTGGAGAAGTCAAACACTTCTTGAGCATTGCTTACTATATGTCAAGTTCTACCCTGGACCCTCAATAGAAAGTATTTCACTGATCCTCACAATAGATCTGTGGGGTAAGTGTCACTATTGTTATTTTGAGGAAACTGAGGCTCAGAAAAGTTACATGTATTCCCAAAGTCACATAGTAAACTGAGTGTGTAAACTTGAGTGGTAGAGTCAGAATTTAAACACTGATTTTTATCTGTTGCAAATGTTGGGCTTTTCCCACCACCAGCAGAAATCTTGCTGGCCCTCAGCAAATATTCCTTTACAGCAGTCATTTCAAAACTTTTCTGACCCTATACTCCCATCAGTAAACATTTTTAAGAACCACCTTCAATACAGACATATTTATTTATTTATAAACTCCACGCACTAGCTAATATCTGTTAGCATTGCCTGGTAATATAATACCCCAGAGCACTAATCATCATTAATGACAATAAATATATATCCATGTTTAATGTAGTCTTCATGACTTGGAAAACTTTTTGGCCAGATCTTGTGAAATCTAATTAAATTGCTTTTGTTTTAGCTTCAATACATGGCTGGCAAATAATTTGTTCCAGGAGTAGAAGAAATGATATGGCATTCTTCTTACCTTCTTGGGCATGAGTTGCTCCTGCTGTCAACAATCTCCAGTTTCCTTACAGAAGAATTTTTAAGACACTTTTCCATTTTTTAAAAGTGATTCGGTTAAAATGGGATAATATGGTTTGTAAATCGACTCACTGTGTTTATGCAAGACCATGGAATACTATGCACCCATATAAAGGGATGAGTTCATGTCCTTTGCAGGGACATGGATGAAGCTGGAAACCATCATTCTCAGCAAACTAACACAAGAACAGAAAACCAAACACCACATGTTCTCACTCATAGGTGGGAGTTGAACAATGAGAACACATGGACACAGGAGGGGAACGTTACACACCGGGGCCTACCAGGGGGTGGTGGGCTAGGGGAGGGCTAGCATTAGGAGAAACATCTAATGTAGATGATGGGCTGATGGGTGCAGCAAACCACCATGGCACCTGTATACCTATGTAACAAACCTGCACGTTCTGCACATGTATCACAGAACTTGAAGTATATATATATATATATATATAAAACACCATAATATGCTAAAAGAGAAATCAGGGCACCAGTAGGACCTCCCCCACCCACCTTGCAGAATTTCACTTTCCTCACAGTGCTTCGCACGGATGCAAATGACTCGTGGGAGTCTGAGGGTACCGGGGTCCATATATACATTCAATATTAGTACATAGAAAAGTAGTTCCCATTTTTAGATTGAAAGTACCTATGAATAGAAGCTCTAATGGTTTCTTCCCTTATCTCGTGTTCTATTCTGCGCAATTCCTGGAGCGGGCAGTCCCCGCCTTGGAGACTCCTGCCTTACAGGAAGGGGTCACATATTCCTGAATTGGACCCCACTCAGATGCAGAAGGCTAAGAGTTTGGATGAGAAAAGCGGGCCAGTGAACAGGAGAGCCGGTGGGTGGGGTGGATGGAAGGAGGTGCCCACTCTGGAGGGCAAGAGAAAGGCACGAAAGCATGGGGCCACATGAGCGCGGCGTTCTGGGCCATCCCCGGTGGACTCCTGCCTAGGGGAGGGGTGCGTCGGCGGCGGCAGCCCAGTTTTCTGGATTTCTTTATTTCTGAGTCCAGGTCTTTCAGAAGCCTCTCTCCTAAATGCTCAAATACCAGAGTAAATGAAAACACTCTGCGGCACAATGATCCCTTAAGGTTTGTTTTCCAAGATGGAAAAGAAAGGCATTTCAGCCTTTTCACGGATAAAAATAACTTGCTGTTGATTTTGAAATCCCTTTCATTTGTCTCCCACAGACCAGCCCCATACAATGGTACTTTGTGCAAGAGCTCTCTGCATGGGCCGGCCGGGCCCCCTTCCCTCCGCCTGCCAACGGGAGGAGACGCGAGGCGCTGGGAGCTCCAGAGTGGGCGAGGACTTCGGGCAGACCCGGCGTTGCTGTTGGACATCATTCAGAAGTCCCCGCTCAGCGGGGGCAGCCCGAAGAGCAAAACAAACAGAGCGAGGAGTAGTGGAAAATGCTGAGTCCTGGAGCTGGCCGGAACGGCCTTCGCCTTTCCACGCCCAAAGCCAGCCGCTCTGCCCACCTGCAGCTGCAATAGCAAGCAGGGCCGCAGCAGGCAGGGAGGCCTTGGCACCAGAGCCCGTCCAGGGCTGGGAAGGCGGGGAACAGACACTCCTCTCTCTTCAGACAGGCCCTCCAGAGTCCTCACCCTGAAGGCTGAGGTCTTTTTCTTGTTCCAGGAGTCCAGTGAAAAAATAGTTCTCAAAAACGGAGAAAAAGACTTTCTTGAACTGCAGTTTCAGATTTACTAATAGAGTCCATTTACATAGCACTTACTAAATGTCAAGCACCAACACAGATGAATTGGCAATCACCATGTCAGTCCTGCAAGGTTGGTACTTTTATCCCCATTTCACAGATGAAAAAAGCCAGGCACAGAGAAGTCAAATAACTTAACCCAAGTTCACAATGCTCAACAATGGCAGGGCCAGGATTTACCACCTGGTTTAAAATTTAAAACGTAGGATTTAAAACCTACTTTACAGTCTTAAAGGTGACTGCCTTTTCTCTTCAGCTTATTAGATTTCCTCTCTAGGAATACAAGATGTGCAACACAAAGAGAGGAAACTCAAGATGGAGAGTAAAGGGAATGAATGAGAGACAGGAGAATCACCAAGGACTAGAATAATACAAAAGATTTATTTAAAAAGCAGGTGGCCATCGGCCCAGGAGAAGGAGTGTGAGACCAAGGTACAGAAGTGGCAAGAAATGCTGAGCTGGGGCTGGAAGGTATGACAGTACTAGTCAGACAGGCACCTGTTCTGTCCAAAACAGGATTCCAGAAGTAATGTGAAGAGGTCACTTGGCAAAGGGGGCTCACACAGCTCTAGGGGGAAACTGAGGATCAGCAGCTGGAGCAGAGAAATAGAGAAATGAACACCTTCTTTCTTTCCAATTACAGCCGCAGTGGAGGCAGATGCCCAGGGCTCCTAGGAGAGACAGATCGCGATTAGAAGAGAGGGCCTATGGCTGTCATGCAGGGAGGTCTGTCCATTCCTCTAAGCCAAGAGCTCTTGTCCCCAGAGGAAAGAGGAGAAGGAAGAAAGGAACAAACAAATGAACAGAGGAAGGAATGAAGAGAGAGAGAGAGAAGGAGGGAGGAAGGGCTGGAAGGAAGAAAGGAAGGGGCTGTTTTTTTTCTTGTGTTTGGAAGAACAAGCTGCCAACCCTCATTAAATGCATAGGATTGGCTTTAGAGTTACTACACCTAAATTCTAATTCTGTCTCTGTCACCGGTTAGTAATGTGATCTCATGGAAATCACTGAAACTCCCTTAACCTGAAACCCCATGTCTATACAATGAGGACACTGGAATTCACCTCTAAGGTTCTCTCTGGATCTAAAATCTACACTCTGATGATACTGAGACCAAGGACAGGGACTTTGATTGTTGCCTTTTCATGCCACCCAAGGTCTACATCCTAGCACAGTGCCCACCACCCATCCACACCGACCAGACACCCAGGGCTAGTGATTCTGTGTTCTCAACACCTCTCTGATGTGCCATAGCTGCTTCTCTTGCATGCAACTCTTCTGAGCATGAAACAGTTTTCCAACTGGTCTCCCTGCCTCCACCCTTGTCTGGCTCTGATTCATGTTCTGCTCCACAGTCAGAATGATTTTCCTAAGCACAGGTCGGATCATGTGACTTAGCCTGCTGGAAGAGCCTCAGGACTCCACGTCACTCTTCACACAGCCCACAGGGCCCTGGATCATCTCCACACATTCTTGCTGTCCTCTCCTCACACCCACACTCTTTTGCACTCTGTGCTCTAGATCCATAAAACTACTTCCAGTTTCTCCATCAGTGTACACACTTTCTCACCTCTCAGCCTCTGGACATGCATTCCCCACCACTGGAACCTCTTTCCCTCCCCACTTAACTAACTGCTACTCACCTGCAGGCCACACATTCCTTCAGGTTAGGTTCCTCCTATGTGTCAAATCATATTGTTACTTCACTGGATGGTGTTCCCCTTTATTTGTCTATAAATTGTAATTTACTGGAAGTAGACGGAAGGAAAAAAAAGTGTGTTTACCTTCTTCCTTATGGTTTCCCTTGTACTGAACCCAATGCCAACCACACGGCAGGTGCTCAAGGGATGTTTGTTATCTGAATAAATTTGCTTGGTGGCGTCACTATGTAGGGCACCTTCTAGATATAACATCCTATAGTTCTGTAAAGTGAGATGTCAGTGACTCTGCATTTTCAGTTTCTAAAAACTGAGAGAGATAAGGCCTTCCACCACCCAGTGATCCAACTTTCTTAGTCTCCTGTTCCCAGCCTAAGCACCATTATTTAGCAGATTCTTGTGTCCATCAGAACTAATAGAAATGATTATCATGATCAATACTGAATCAACTGAAATCGGCTTTAAATCAGGATGCATTCCCTAGAAATCGGATGAAATTTAGTACAGTGTGGGACTAGAGACAGGGCTAAGGGTATCTGGGAAGAGAGAGATCTGCATTCTAGTACCAGTTCTGTCATTAATGAGGTGACATTGGGCAAGTCCTCTGGCCTCTCTAAACCTTGAATTCATGAATGCCTAATTGAAGAGGTTGCACCAGATAATCTTTAAGGTCTCTTTTGACTCTAAAATGTAGAATTTTAGAATTCTGGCATTTGCTCTTCTTCTCATCATCCTCTAGGCCATTACTGGGTTTAATGAGGAGACTGTATAAAGTATCGTACGACCAACAGGAACTGCTCTGAGTAATTATGCCAGGACAAGGGATGGACTCTGAGACTATTCCAGGTACACCAGAATGTGTGCTCACTCTTATTTTAATTGTCTTTCTTGACTGGGCTTCAGGTTTGGGGCTGTTACTTGTAGTTGCAGAGAGAAGGCTATTTGGAATTTATGATCAGGGCTCTGATCTGAGATTTCACAGAGGCCACACTCATGGGTTCCTAGAGCAGCTAACACATGCCACCATCATGCACATGGCACACCTGGTCCCTTCCTGCTCTAAATGGGAAATCTGTGCCCAGAGTTAGCACCGCCTTCCATCCATACCCTGCTGAGTTCATACACTCACCTCAGCCCACCCGTGTTCCATGATTAGCCAGTGAAGCAAATAAATCCGCTTGGGCTCTCGTGCACAGCTCTGTGCTATCATGATGAAAACGTGGCCATGGAGAAAACAGATATTTGAATGAAATATCTGTTACCCCTAAACACTGGTCACACTAGTCATTGTTTTCACCGTCATTCTTACCTTGCCTCAAATATGGATAAGCCTCTCACATTACAGGTGCACTGGCTGCACTGTATTTGCAAACTTCCTTATTCCCATGGAAGGCAGAACAAATGGAACAAAGTTGGTCTACCTGAGAAGTAGATTGGCAGAGGGAGTCCCCCAGTTCAATCACACTTGGAGTTTTGAACTTGCCTTCCCCTGAGATCTGTAAGAACAATGACTATTTCTGATGAACACAACACAGTTCCAAAACCATCTGGAAGCTCCCAGTCCCATCTCTTCTTCTAAAGTTAGGAATATCCTTGTTTCACAGAGGCAATCCCAGACCAAACCCAGTACTCATCATTAGCTTTTCAGGTTTGCAAAGACAGTTGCCACTTCTTTGAGTATACCTGTACATGTGCTATTTCTAGGTACATTTGGGGGACAGCCTTTGACAAGGTACAAGGAGAGTCACAGCTTAAATTACAGGTTTGCCTATAAAAAGGTTAAAAAGAGCCTGTTACTGCCCAGGGCCAGTGGCTCAGGCTGACCATGTGGAGTGGAGAGAGAGAAGGTAGTGACTCTATCTTGACCCTCACTAATTCCCACAAGAGGCTGCTGAAAACATCCTTGTGCCGCTAAATTGTATCACATGGAATGACCAGGGCTGACCTGACATCAAAGCTCTGTAGAAATGCTGTCGTCCAGAGAGCACGAGAGTCTGAGTGGCAGGGCAGAGAGATTAGAGATAGGACTGTAAACTCAAACGGGCTTTGGGGATTTTGCAGCCTGCCACAAGCCTGGCCTTTGTTGATTCCCTAGGTTGCTGTGGGCAGATGATCATCGCCATCATTACTTTGGATGTCAGGACATTGAGATACACCAGGCAATCTGATGCAACTGGCTTTCCCAGGGCAGAAGCATTTGCCAGGAAAGTGGAAACAGGGAAAGGGACTGGAACATTGAGTAAATCAGGAAATAGCACTGACCAAGGGACAGAGAGGCCAGAGCCACTTTACCCCCTCATTTGGGGTTCTAAATTCTTATCAAATTTTTTTTCCTCAAGTTCAAACCTTGTGGCATTTTCACCAATTGATCAACAACTGCCTTTATCAGACTCCTTGAATCTCTGCCTCACTGCAAAAAGTGCCAGGGGAATGCTTTTCTCTTCTATTATTTAGGTGAGGATTCTCACGGCATGGAGGGATCTCACAGAGTAGTGAGATGCCAGCAGCATGCCGAGCCAATATGCCCATAAATGCAAGGGCCAGGTCCTTAATCCAGCCATGAGGATGGTCAAGGATCCCTGTATACAAGCCAGAGAAGGGACTTTGTACAACTAGAACTGAGTCGCAAACCATCTTCCAGAGCAGCCCCTGGGGAAAAGCAGAGGCCAAACAGCAGTATGGAAGTGAAAAGGCTCACGTACTGAAAGAAGACTTTGTCCTTGTCCCATATTTGATGTGTGAAACGTACCCCTTAGTAACCAGGCCTGTGGCTCCCAGAGCTGGTGAGCCATCAGCCAGCATCATCAAAAGAGACTTTTCAGCGTTCTATGCCAGCAATACGGCATCATGGAAAGAACAGGGCTTAGAAGTCAGATGGTTCTCTGATGAACCTGATGACCTCTTGTACTCTCTTCCACCGTAGGCTCTAGAATAAAATGAGCTTCATGCCAAGTAAACATGGAATGTGGATAGATATCTACACAGGGGTCACAAAATTAAATTCTACAGGGACAAGGCAGGAATGTCAATGTGTGGGCCTGACCTATGAGAGTTAAAATAGGGGACTGATATGCACCTAAAGGAGGCAGCTTCAGTTCAGTGCCCATGGTGGTTGCTATGAAGGAATATGCTAGAATCCAAAGACATCCCATTAACCTACTACGGTACATTCTTCTTTTGGGTTGCGTGGGGCAAGGGGTTCCTACACTGTGAAGGCAAAAGTGCACATCTCTATGGCATGGAACCAGCCTGAGTGTGACCTCTAGTTCACATTGTTTGCCTCATTGTACCCAAAGCACAAATCACAATCCTTTTCCTTTTTAGGTTTAAATAGTTACATTTCATTCATACACCTCTGCCGATCCATTTGTTTTTCTTTTCTTTTTGTCTTGGGTGCTGCAGCTTGCTCCAAAGTTATAGCAGTCGAGTCAGAGTAGACTTGGTTAATTTTCTTATCCCATCACCTTCTGAAAGCTGTTCAAATCTACAGAGTGTGACCATCACCTCCTCTTTCCCTTGTGTCTCCTTCTATCCTCACCTTACCCGATCCTCCCAAATTCTGCAACTGCTTTTGAAGATACTGTCTCCTCTACAGACCCCCATCACTGCAGCTTCAACTGTGGTCTCAGCAGTATTGTTAAGAGGAATCACCAAAGCCCGGTTGCCTGAGGGCTCCTCATCTGAACTCTGGCTCCTAGTGGGAGAAGCGTAAGCCTAAGCTGAATTATTCAAGTACGTCTTGTATCTTTGACCCTGGTGAGCACTGAGTCGGGTACTTGGAGGGATAACTGCAACTTGGCACTGAAGAAAAGCTCTCTGGTTGAATCCTTGACTGAAGCAGAAACCTATTCTCTGTGTGCTGTTTATTCGGGAGAAGAGTTCAAATGTGGCCTCAGGTTGGCTCAGGAGTTGTGGCTTTTCCCAGGTTTGCAGCTGAAAACTAAAAACAAAATATAAGGACCTGAAGCCATTTTTCCCAAAGTCTCCCAGTGAGTGGTGGTGGCTTGACCAGGATTGAGGGGCTGAAGCCTTCTTCGCGGCCAGTCCTGCTCCCTGACCACCAGACCACACAGTCCGTGCTTAACATGTACTCAGCAAACCTCAAGCTCCAGGCCTGAAGAAACAGATTTTCCAAAAACAGAGCTCTCTTTGTGAACAATTCAGCAAAAATTCTCTTTCCAGCTGTGAGCTGGGATTCATGTTGCAAATGTTGGTGTTAATTAAAAACATCCACCTTCTACAGTTTCAGCAACAAGGAAAAAGCACCATGCATGAGGTGTTCCTAAGCACTCCCCTCCAAAGCACTTATAAACATGATTTTATTTATGGCATGTGTTGCTAGGGGTTCTGACAGATATTATTATTCCCAATCTTCAGCCCCAGTGAAAGAGTTGGGGCCAAGGAGATGGATGTGAAGGGCCCAAATTGCCATAGAGCAAAATTAGTATCAGTGGTGGACACAAGAATACTGTTCATTTCCCACAGGATCCACTAAAGATGTTCAACTTTCTGTATTCATATCAGGAACGGTACGTAGCTGAAATCAAATGTTTATCTGTTGAGTCATTAAACGTTTCCTTCACATGGCTCTTAGTCCTTCGGACATGAAGAAGTGAGGTCTGACAAGGCCAGGGACATTCCACAAAGGATGACACAATATATTCAAAGATTGGGATGTTCGATGACTTCCCTATATTCCTGTTATATTTCTCACCTTATTAGGAAATCTTTATCTCCAATGGTCCTGAGCTAGTGAGATCAGAAAGACTAAACTGCATCCCTCTGTGCTTGCCTCTGGTTGGTTGATTTGTCCTGCTTTAATACATGATCCAGACAAGAAAGAATCAAGCCAAAGCCACAGCATTATGAATGAAATTCTTTGTTTTTAATTTCACACAGTTTAAAATACAATATGAAATCAGGCTACAGTATATAAAAAACTCTCCAGCAAAATGATGTGCCAGCATCAGCTACTAAAATAAACAAACAAAAAACTCCGCCATAAGAATTTTTTTGCATTTTTTTTTAAAAAAACATCGACACTTACATCGCTACATCTCTAAGCTACCTCAGTTCTGATTTTTAAAAAGCACCTGCTTTTCCTTTTTTTCATCTTGCTTCTAAATTTTCAGCTTTTAAAAAATATAAATTATATGAAAATACAAGTTGGAAAATAGTCAAACACAATATAACATCTTTTTCATCCCTATACTTCTCAGCTTAAAAAAAAAGTATTCTTAAAAAAAAAAGTTCAATAACTGAGGCAGTATTCCTGATAATTTTATTTTAATATATATATTTTATATATGTATATGTATACATATATTTATGGTTCCTTGAAACTTCTTTGGAATGTAGGTAAGAGTTCAACAAATTTATATAGACCCCAACAGAGTAAGCGGCATGCACAGCATGACTAGAAGAGAGATGGTGTATTTCTCACCATGAAGGTTAGGCAGGTTAATGCTGTAAAACCCAGAGTGTTCATCTCCAAAGTGAGGAAAAGCACATCTGATCTTTGAATGCTACCTCCAATCCCCACAGCCACAAAAATCAGGGCTCTATGTAGGGGAAGTCCCTCTCCAGAATGGAGAAGGGAACAAAAGTGACTCTGAACCCTAAAGCCAAAACCAACAAAGGTTAAGGCATCTCTGGGAAAATAAGGGTTTCACCCAGCTAGACCAGATTTGCCCATCCTTCCTCTGAAGTTAACGTGTGTTTTTAAAAAGCATAAACGCAACATTTCCAGTGTATAAACCACCCACCACTCTTCCTGGGATGGTCTCTGGCCTTTGGACAAAGGAGAAAAAACATCTGGCCAGATCGACAAAGCTGTCTTAACTAATACACTATCTACAAATCTTGAAAATGGTGGACTTAGAGAGAAAGGGAATTTTAGCAAACAAGCGGGCGGAGGAGCACTAGGAGGCACTTTCTTATATCTTATCTGCTATAGGAACTGCAGGAGTTATACTCACAGAAGGAGAGTTTCCGGCATAAATTTAATAGGAACGGTGGATGATTTGAGAAAGTGATTTTATGCCTGGTTGCAAACAGCAAGCAATAATTGATACCCGGCCCTGGTTCTACTCTTACCCATTATTGAAATGTGGAAAGACTTACCTAGAAATCTAAGGTATTATTTCAGCTGCAGTTTTGCATGTCTGCAAACACACACACACACACACACACACACACACACACACACACACACAACATTCACACACATGCACACATTCACACACACACCTTTTGCCAGTGCCCAACAAAAATCACATAATCTAAGAGAAAACAATGTAGTCCAAACAGTTCCACCCAACACTCCCTGAGCAGCTCCTAAAATATTTTGAGAGCTTCATTAAGGCACCTGCATCCAAAAGATCAAAATAATACAGCTGGGATAATTCTGCCTTTGCTTTCCATATGGATGCTCCAATTCATCAGTATGGGGACACTCATGAATCACAGAGCTATGTTCCTGATAATTCTGGGTCTGCAAGAGGATCTGGGAGTAAATAACAATCAATTTTCTTAAAGATATGCTAGAAAGTAGTTAGTACTTCCAATTTCTCATCCAAATCCCAAAAAGGGCCAGCCCTGAGAAGCTTACCTGAAATATTTCTTTCCTTCTCTCATGGAAGTCCATAAAAGCCACCCCTCCTCCTTATCCTTTCAACTGGGCAACTATAGAGTGAGGGAGATTCTAATTGTATTAGGCACTTTTCCTCACTAGTTAGATGTTGACTTTTCCTCTAAAACTCCATTTTCAGATTCCCCCTCACAACCAGCAGAAAGATGACTACCTTGCTTGACTATGTTTGTATTTAAACCTTGGGGGAACTAAAAATCTATTCAAATCTCATGGACAACCTTATTTTCCTCACTGAACCTCCTTCCTTAGTTTCCTTTGCCTTCAAGTCATTCCTCTCTTCTGGAATTAACCTTCACTTACCCTGTGCCAAGACATCAGACCCAAGCAAGAGGCCCTGGCATCACCTGTGCCATTCATTTTGCATACACAGTCTCACCTGACATCCTACCGGACTAATTTAAATTCTTCAAAGGAAAGCCTTGCACTTCTCTTCCAAAGACAGCCAAGTCACATTTTATTGAAATGCTCTCTTAATTTCCATCACTTCTAAAACTCAGCAAGTCTAAACTCTTCAACTTAGGTCGTGTCTCAAGTTACTTTTTCACTCACCAATCAGAAAGCCGTACACTTCTCTCTACTGAATAACAGAGTTGGCGGTGAGGGGGTGCAAAAAATGGAGGACTCTTGGAAAATAAGACATAAAAGAAAAATTACAGAGTGTTAGTTTGGAACGACATGCATTCAGGACTTATTTCTTAGGACCTGAGGGGTAATGCCCATGCATACAGCTTTTATTCCAAGTCATCTATGCTACAGATATAGGACTAAGAAAGAACCAAGTCAATCTTCCTCCTTCGATCTCCCTTCCAGGACTTCAACAGTGCTCCTACGTTTACTGTCGTCCAAAACCAGGGATGCAAAATACATTCAGTTCAAAGACTTAATGCTTCTTAGCTCAACATTAAGTCCAAACCCCGAGAATCCACTGATAACAAGTAAGTAAAGGGATGTGCTAATTTTTTTTAATTGTAGATGACATTCACACACATAATTCCCCTGTACCCAAATCAGCATTAATTGTCCTTCTTATATAAGTCCCATGAATTTGGGATCCCTGATCTCAGTGAGAGCGTTTTGCTTTTCCAATGGGGTCTATATAAACAGTTTTCTTTCATTGTGACAGAATCCTCAGCCGGCAAATAAAAACAAACTTACATGATATTGCAATACTGAGACCACCTTAGAGCTTAAGACGATTTTTAAGAAAAAAAATACTGGCACAAAATTTAATAAAATAAATTTTAACACAACAACGGTTTTGGCCCCTCCCCACTGAAGTCCATCTTTGCTTCAAAACTAGAGTGATAGGTAAATAGTTCTCAGATTTTCAGTGCATCCCCCCCCAAAACATGTTTCATCCCACCCACCTCTTTTTTGCCCTCCCAGACCTAAAAACAGAAGCAAATTAATTGCCTTACATCAGTTTCATGAGTTCTGATGTGACAATGTCACTTGCTAATGGGTCCACAACTCAAGACACTTTTTCATGGATGATTTTTAAAAATGATTGGACACATTAGTCTCTTTCTCTGTTAAGCCAGAGCCTTCAAGCTTCTGAGAAGGCCCTTCTCCCTCTCCTGAAAATTTGCTCAAGAATTTCTGGTCCCACCCACCCCACAAGTCCTGGCTTTCCTTTCCCAACTGCGCACAATTGATTACAGCTGCAACTGACTTAGCTCCCACCCCTGAAGGTAAAAAATGAGTTCTGGAAAATAAAAAATAGAATAACAATTCAAAATTCAGAGTCCAACCAACACGGCTGTCCTTGGAAGGTCTCAGCAGGGTTTCCCCAGCCCCTTCAGTGCCATCACTCGTCGGCATCTGGCTTGACGTCCAGCATGGCGTGCAGCTCCTCAGGGGTGTACCCCAGCAGGCTCTGCAGGTCACACACAAAGCGGTACACGTAGCGTTTCCCCGCTGTCTTGTGGATGATGTTTTTGTCGTAATAGTAGCGTAGGCCACGGCTCAGTTTCTCATAATTCATCTTAGGTTTGTTTTTCCTCTTTCCCCATCTCCTGGCCACCTGAAATTTAAAAAGAAAAATAAAGGAGGAGTAGGCAAAAATCTACAAGACAGGCCAAATATATATGTTTCTATGCCTATGCTATACCCATTCATGGTGACCCATGATGCTCAAGTAAGATGATTTGAGATTCATGTAGATATAGAAAATATTTTTCGGGCCTATCTCCTGAATTCCATTTTTCATGGGTTGGGCAAGGATGGGAGTCACAATGATTCTTTAAGTTGATGAAAACACAGTGACCCTGAACTAGGATTAAATATGTGACTTTAAAAAACAAACAAAAAGCCACACTATACATTCTCCTCTTTCCGCATATTATTAGTAAAATCTCCTTGCTTTGCAAGCATGAAATCTAACAGGGAAGTGTGAAGCGGAGGAGCTGAGCTGCAATCATACCTGCCTTTCATCAACAGGAAGTGTTTTTTTTCCATACCAGGGCACAAATATTTTCTCATGTCTGCCAGAACAAAGATGTTGTCTCTCCTGTTCATTGTTTTTTATCCTCAGAATTGGGCATGGCACGGAACCACTACTCCATAAACATGTGTGTAATGAAATAAGAAACTAATGAGCCAATCTCCCAAGGCCTCTTGAACTGTCTGGCCCCTTTCACACTCACAGAGCCACCGGGCTAGGAAGAGGCTAAGTCACAGGAGGCAGCTCTATGGGTGATAACTGACCTACTGCCAGGCACGTTAATGCCTTCTATCAGCTAATCCTGTAAGACAAATGGGGTAACATAGATCTTTTCTCTATTTTCCAAATAATGAACCTGGAGCTCAGACAGGCTACCTAGCTTGCTCCGGGTGGCAAGTGGCAGAGCTGGGAATCCCAATCCTGGAACACGTCATTCAGGCCCACGCCACCCCTTCCAGGAGTTTTCTCTCATCCTTCCTCAACACAGTACTCGCAAGCCCCTCCTTCCTTACCTCATCTGGGTCAGAAAGTTTGAATTCCCAGCCATCTCCTGTCCAGCTGATAAAAGACTGACAGGATTTATCAGTGAGTAATTCCAGAAGAAACTGCCATAGCTGGATTGGTCCACTGCCTAGAAACACAAGCCATTGTGAATCATTACACCAGATATTCAGCACTCTACGCAGCTAATCCCCACACACGGCACTCCCACATCCCTCTTCTCTCAGCCCATCCAGCCAGGAGAAAATGAAGGCAACAGACAGTGCACATGTCGGAGGAAGTGTTATGAGCTCGAACAGATAGAAAAGACAAAGGCCTCCCTATAAAACAAAAGCATGGAAGAAAATGTGTCAAGTGCTTTATTTTGATTAACTTAAGGATCGGTTCATTTTTATTGCTAAACAAATTCTAGAAAGAGAACACTGTGCCTATCCTCTGGGATATTCTAAGGCAGCATAATCTTTTACACCTGCAAAAACTAAGTCATTATTTTTGCCTTCAGAAGTAAGAAACATATTAACGAAGGAATGAATGTCTTTGCCAGTTCCAAACACAAGTTATGGCTCATAAGCACTGCTCTGTAGTAGGGAGCCTGTGGCCCCTGATTTGTGAGTAAGAAGGATCACTATCCTCCGGCCCTCTTACAAGGAAATAGATGTTAAATATCTGTTCAGTCATAATATTTCTCTCCACTGCCACCACCCTGCCCTTCCAGTCCACTTACAGGAAAGCACCCAAAGGAAAAAAAAAAAAAAGCATCATTACTATTTGAGGAATTAACGTGCCACCCAGAAAATCCTCAGGGGTCAGATGAGGACTGTCAGAAATTCTGCATAGGTTCAGTATATTCTAAATTAGACACACACACACACACACACACACACACACACACACACACACTTCTCTGTCTTAGCCATCAACACTCTGACAGTCAATTTATTCTATGCTAAAAGGTTTATATCACACCGATTTCCTTTGAGGATACTTTTCTCATCTGAAATGACAATGCCACCAGTGATTCTTAATTTATAGGTGTCGGTGGAGAGACAAATAGGGGTTCAAAAGTCCATGCTTCTTGTTACACTGCCCCTTATAACATAAACAAACTGGGCAGAGCGGGACTGGGAAAGACCCAGTCCATGTCTCTGGATACAGCCCAGGAAGCACCAGCTCCTACAGGAAAGCTTTGCTCACTAAGGCTCTAATTTTTCACCGGAGTTGCAAATTTGTCTGATCCAAAGTAAACTGAGATTTAACAGGAAACAAACTTTAAGTTCCCTCTCAATCTAAAAAAGAAATTGCCTTCATAATCCATAAGGGTAATGTCTTGTTGTATCTCATATTTCTACAAGACATTTTCACATGCATCGTTGTGCTTGCTCCTAAAATCCACACCCAACCCTCTGCTGTAAGGAGAGGCACAAGTGGTCTTACGGCTTCCTTTCTAATGGTGCAGAAAAAGTGCTCAGCAAAGTACTGTGACTTTGCTCTGAGCCACGGTTAGCGAAATGGTGGTTCTGGGTCTAGTACCCAGGCCTTTAGACTCAAAGGACCAGGGCAACCTCCAATGAAGTAAAGAAACAGCTACTGACACGAGCTATCATCCCACAGCCAAAGGAAGTCCTCCTCCAGTAACAACTTCCTAATGGTGGTTTCCAAGGCTCCTCTCAGCACTTGCCACGCTAAATATGAAAACATGAAATAGCTCTACCTCCTCTTTCTGAGAATGGACCATTAGCTCTTTAAAACTATCTTGCAAGAAATACCTTACATGTATTCCACAATAAAATGGCTCAGTGAATGCCTATAAAATAAAGTAACATTCGAACAACAGCCCAGAGGGCCGCACTGGTAAAGCCGTAGCTTCCTCTGTTTCTACTTTCATTCAATAAAAACCGTTTCGTATTCAACTCAGGGACATTTGCAGGTTTCTTGGGAGTTGCCTAAAGTCATGAGCTACTTGTTTTCTGCCTGGGCTCACAAAACTAACCGTGACATTCTCAGAGGAATCCACTGAGAAGCCATCCTAACAGGCACAAAGAAGTAAAACAGCAAATCGCTCTCAAGAAATGCAGCTGCCAGAGCCCTGGTCACAGAATAGGTTTCTTGGAGAAACTCACGATAACTATAGAGACTGAAGAGAGACATGAAGAAAACCATTCTATCCCAAAGCTATGTAAAAGAAGCCTCGGAGGAGAGGGGGTTGCCTTAGACCCTGACAGAGAAAAACTAATGAGTGCTATGCTTGACGGTGCACCTACTACGCCGCAGACACTGTGAGTGACGCTCTACACTCGTTTCCTTCATTCCTCCCAATAATTCTGTGGGGTGGATGCAACTGTTGTGCTATTTGTTTCTACCACTTCACAGCAGAGAAAACTGACACACTGCAAGGCCATTTAGATCAGCAGTGGAGTAGCCGGGACTGGAACCCATGCAGCCCATCCCCAGGTTCTTCATCTCAATGCTACGTTGCCCCTGGACAGGACCAGGCCAAAGGCCTGGCATCTAAACTGCCTGACTGAGTGCAATGTTCCAAGGGATAAGGGGACCTGACTTGAAAAACTCTCTCCCCTACTTCTCACAGCAGTTGCAGGACACGGGATAGCCAGTGGTTCTCCCAGTCATCCGACCACCAGTGGCCGTGCCAGGCCCCGCCATGGCATCCACCTCCACAGGAGATATTTCCAGCATCCTCTTGTGGTAGCCATTATGTTACATTACTTCATTGTTTCTCCTTCCCAATGTTCACCTTTGAACCTCTCTCCCACTATCTGAAAATCTCTTTGGGGCACGGGGTCTCATGACACCAAGCCGAGGAAAGGGATGGGAAGATCGAGATCCTTCCCCCGGATGAGTCTTTGGCAGGGAGCTGTCAGCACATCTGCTGGTGCTGGAGAACAGGGCCCAGGAGCACACTGCAGTCTCCTGCCCTTGGGACTTGGCAGCCACAATGCAGAGAAGGGACCTTCAATTCCCGTGGTTTGCACCAGCTCCCAGAGGACGAACCCTCTGACGGAATGGTTAGTTTTCCTTTTCTACCAGTGCATTTTCCAAACTGAAATGTCAAGCAGTCATAGGCTGTAGATGCCCTGCCCTGCCCTTTCTCTGTGATGTCAGCATACGGGACCCGGTGAGTCTGGGACAGGGTGAGTACTCGTCAGAGGACTTTTGTCCTCATTGTGACTTTTCCTTTGTTCAAAAGGAATGAAAGAAAAAAAAATTAAATTCAGGCCCTAGAAGCCCAAGTCCTAGGTGCAGAGCTCTCTAACTCTTTTTTTTTTCTGTTTACACCCAAGGAAAGAGGGAGGATAGATAGGAAAAGCAGATACCTAAAGAAATAATGGGAATATGAATGGGAAGAAATCTCTCCCGTTGGCTTCATAATAGGACAGTCAACATAACAGAGATGTCAGTTCCTGGCTCCCTCCCCCGATTCCTGTAGAGAAACCCCACAGGCGCACTCCAGCCTAACTGGTGCACACAGGGCTCACCCTTCAGAAAGCCCACATTTTTGTACCAAGTGAGAGGAGTTCATGATGGCCGCTGAAGCGTCCCCTCTAGCACCTTTTTGCTGACTCCTAAACTGCCTTTTTGTTGTGGGGAGCAAGAGAACTAGGAAAGACATGGAAATGTTCTTCCAGCCAGAAACACTGGGCCAGGGTGGGCGCAGTTCCTGGCTGGGCCCGTGGATGGTCTAATACAGGAGCCTGTCTCCACAGCAATGCATCACCCTCACTTCAGGTCTGGGAGGGGACTTCAGGGCCACTTGGAAACCCAAAGCTTAGAGGCAGCTCTGGGGTTGGAAGGCACACTGGCTACACAGATCCACCAGCGACACCCACATCCAGGCCCATCAGAAGTTCTCACACCCAAGATTGGTGCAGACAATGAATGAGTCCAGCACTCCCAGTTACGACTCTTCTAGAGGGTGTTTCTGTGTGCTTAGCGGAGGTCTGCCCAAATCCACAGGGCTCCAGGACCCCATCCCTTGCCCTTGCTCCAACATATCCTAAACTTGTAAAGCCTCTTCCTCCATTCCCCCTGCAACTCCCCCTTATCCCTGTGCCCAGCCTCTTCCACCTACCCAAATGGACTGTGGTCTCAGTGACCTTTGTCCCCTAGAGCAGAAAACGGTACTAATAATAGCGCCAGTCATGGGAAGGGGAGCTCACATGTTCAATGTGACTCATAATGGTGTCCCTGTCTGGGATCTCCAAGGCAGTCAACAGCACCCTTCACGATGCTGCCCGGGAGTGTCACACATCAGGAATCCAGTGGCATCACTGGGAAAGTATGCTTCTCAAGTCGAAGCTCTGAGCCACAACAACAGAGGGGTCCCTGTTAGAAGGAGGTCTCTTTCCAGAGCCATGCGGGCGGGAGAGCACCACACACACACTCCACACACCCATCTCCCATGGCACGGAGCCTCCACACCCCCTGCTGTCTGCTCCCTCTCCACCCTCCCTCTCAGGCGGCTGCAGGGGAATTTCCTTCTACTGCTTTGTTCTTCTCAGCCTCTGGAGAAGAGGACAGTTCTTACTACACACTGACAGGTCTGATTTGAAGAACGTGCTACAAGCTCTGAAGAAGAAATACCAGGTAGGAACTTGGAGAGCTCCCAAGCCTACAAAGCAAATCACACCAAGGATGTTCACCCCCTAAGGGGACCCCCAAGGCTCCTCAAATCTAAGGCAACAATCTCACTTTTTAAAAAAAGTAAAGCTTCAAGTAAATTACTGCTCATTTGGGTCATATTTCCTTGTCTGGGAGCTGCAAGGCCCACTATCTGTCTCAATGAGGAGCTGGTTATTAAAAATCCCCTGCTATTCTGGTCCCTTGCCCTGAGGCTGAGAACTGAGCAGCATAAATACATATATAGCAATGGGCTAGGACAAGGTGTTAGTAACATGCTCTTGATGGAAATCCCTTCCATTTCCCGATTTGTCAGTATCATTCTTCTCATTTTCCAGATCTGGGAGTTGCCTGCCTGTGACAAGGACATCCTCACAGCAAGTGAACAGGGTCAGGTTGAACTTCACTTTTTCCTTCTACTCCTTCCTCATTTCCATTTCAACCACAAGTTCTCACTCTTGTCACCTGTGCTCTGCTGAGAGGAGAACACAGGAGTTTTCTTCCAAACAGAAGGAGGTCAACGCTGGGCAGGCACCTTCCCAGGCAGTCTCCTCATATTTCCATAGTACATGGCTTACACCAAGACCACCCCATTGGTTTGGTCTCTGTCCATTTCTCCCATCACTAGAATATATGCTGTAAGGACAAGGACTTTGTTTTTTCACTGCTTCAACCCAAAGCCTAGCACAGTGCCTCACCAACAAACACCAACAAACAAAAAATTCTTTGCTGTTGAATGACTGTGTCATTTGACATGTTCTCCCTGAGAACACAGACTATATCTTACTGAGCCATATATCCTCAATGCCAGGTATGATAGCTTGTCTTCAGCAGGTACTCATTAAATATTTTCTAAATTACATTACTGAAACAAACCTCCTCTGAAGAAAGGCATATGGATTAGAAAGTCCGCTCAAATGGCTTCTCTCTATTAAACAATATTTGGGGCCAAACAATATGGGTGACCCTCAGGCTGCATTTCATCAACGTGTTCCCAAAAATGAAAATGACTACCTGTCCTTTGGGAGTTAATTTGCTACTTTAAGAAGCTAATCCCTTTAGCTCTATTCTAAAAGTCAAATCAAATACCTCGGTGTGGGCAGGACACCACATTTATTTTAACCTATGAAACTCTCATGGTTGGTCACCCTTGCAATAGGGCTGACTCTGCCCTGATAGCACACATCTGGCAGGTGGCCCTAAAACAGAGGAACAGGCCTGCTGGCCCCTCCCTTCCAGCCAGGTGTCTCTACCCACAGCCAAACGATGATGGCAAAAACAGAACATTCGAATCCAGAAATGACCCATCTGTTCACAAGTGTATCAATCTGCCTTTCATGCTACCACAGGAGGACGCACCTCTGAGGGTGGGGTGGGTGACTCCCCAGTCCAAGCATCACCCCTTTCTGTCAACCCTCTTCTAAATCACCATTCACAAAGGCCCCTAAATCTCCTGATTTCCATTAAGTTTAAGGACAAAACAGAAAACATCCTGACAGTTTCTTGGCCTCTGGACCAAGCTCAACCTGAAGCTGCACAAAGTCTTGTTGCCTGAGGATGAATAACTCAAGAAACTGTATTGCTGGACTGACTGGCAATCAAGACCCTGAGAAAATTATTTTAAGAAGATTAAGGGCCAGGAGTGCTTGATATTTTGGCTGAGTTCTATGTCTCTCATTTCTTCTGAGTTGTATATTTTCTTTGCCCCACCCTGACCCAATCTTATCTCATCTCTAACACACTCCATGTATAACATTCTATAACTGGCCAATACGGCCGTGGTTTAAAGACTCACTCTGTGTCAGTATATTCTATAAACGTGTTCCTGTATCAGTGGCTAATAACTCAAGGGCAGTGATTGGGAATATAACTTCCAATAATTCAACTCAAACAACAAAGAACATTCTGACAGGTGTTTGGAAAGCATACTTGCTGAACACGATGATGAACAAACAACAACTTTATAAACTTGTATTTGTTGCTGAGATAGCCAGTATCTAACCATGAAAAAGAGTGAGAAAACAGCTCTCAAATCAGTTAAAACCAGTCTTTGACTGCCGAGTTCATGTCTCTTGCATGTTAGATCAAAAACGAAAGGAGGAGGAGTGTCAAAAAATTTAAAAATAAAAGCCATTTTACATGTCAGGCAGTGGAGTACTGAGTGATGACGGCATCCTATAAAATTAAAATATATGATGCCTGTGGGAAAGCCCCGGGTAGGGAGTTGAGGGTACGAGGCTTTGATATCAGTTCTTACCTGAATCACCATATGCAATCTTATGCAACTCATTTAATCTCTCTGGGCTTTACTTTTTCCTTTCCTAAAATGGAAATAGTAATCTCTGCTTCTCTTTAGTTTATAAAAATGTAAATTAAGTCCTTATTACAAAAATCTGCATATATACATATATATAGACAGAGAGAGAGAAAGACACTTAAAGAGGTGAACAATTTAGGAGCAACTGAATATACAATAATGGAATTACAAAGAAGAATGAAACAACAGAAAATATATTTTTAAAAACAATTTTCAGTAAAAAACAAGAAAAAAGATGCATTTAAAAAAAATTGTAAAAGCACTAGAAAAAATCTAATTAGACTTCCAAGGATTAAATTGGCCTTCGTATGGCAACTTTGAAAAAGTAGAAAGTTGGAGGTTAAGGAAAAAAAAGTTACAGTATACGAATGTAAAAATTTTTAATATTTTCAATGAGAATAAGCATTTAGGACTTTTTTAAGTTAGGGAAGACTCTGAAATCCTTGTTCCCATGTTAAAAGTGCACACGCACCAAAAGAGACAGCAGATGCAAACTGCTTTGCAAGTGAAAGTATCACAGGCATATATGGTTTAGGGAAATCTTGGCCACAGATGGACTTAGATCCTCTTTTCCCGATGCACCTTTTTCCTTAGTTATTCATGTCCCTCACCAAGTATTCTTCACCTAAGTATTGTATAGAGCTCACCTAGAGCAAGTTCAACACCGTTCCCCACAAATGCCAATAGTTTGGGCCCAAAGAGACGGGTCCCACCAGCATTAACTGGGGTTCAAGCAGAACCTCTTGTCCAGCCATCAGGGCCCAAGACAGGCTTGACAGCAAGACCAGGTGGCTGGCAACTGGCCAGTGGAGTCCTCCCACCTGGAACAGGGTTAAGTGAGGCTTATTTGGCCAGTCTGACTTGGGTCTGAGAACAAGACAGTTACACATTTTTAGGGTATGAGGGAAAGACCTTTGTTTTTGCTCTGGCTCTGCACACCTGCAAGTGCTCAAGTACACATGTGTGGGGGCGGCAGCAGGAGAAAGGGGACTGTTCCTCTCTTAAAGGGGCAGTCTCTATTCAAATGCAACCACCTCTTTCTTCTAAACCCATCAGTAACTCTGTCTAACACATTCAAGCTAACACTCAGACACAAACTTGGACAGTGAGCCAGTGAAGCTCAAGTCAGGAAGTGGGTTTCTTTATAGCTCTTTCCTCCTGATGTCTTCTAGGTAACCGGTTCTTTTAAGAAGTCACCAGAGATGGGTTAGGTTTGGATTTGGGGGAAGGGGATAAGAATTTTGTTATAAACCAAAGAAAAGGTTTTTCCAGCCACTATAAATGTACAAAGAAAAATCTTCCTAAGTGTGTAGGTAATGAGAAGAAAGAAAGATATGTTCACTGATCAGGGTTAGAAAACAGGACTTTAGAAGTCTGAAGATTATAGTCTTTTCTCAGTAGGATTCTCAACTTGCTCTCTGGAATTTATTTTATCCTAGGGGTTAAGTTTTCCCTGCATGTCAACAATGAGAGAAATCACTAGTTAGGTATAATAGAATCCTTGGAAGGTAGTTGAACTAGATCCTAAGTGATCATTTGCACACCGAATTTTGTAAGCATTTATCCAGCATATAATCTCTGAACACTCCTCAAACGTAGCCAGAGTGTGTTGAATAGCAAAACACAATATTAACAACTGCATGGAGGTAGCGGAACAAGTACTTTTTGTTTCACCATAACGTGATAAGCTGAAAGTGTCCTACCTACGCCTTTAAAGAAAAAAAGAACAGAGAACCTAGCCTTGAGAGGCCTCCATAAGAAACTCCACCGCCTCAGCTCTGAATGTCAAACACCTCCACAGACCTGTGCCCTGTGAGCATCTCCAACAAAGCAAGTCCCATCCTTGTTTCAGAGTTTAAACTTTCACATTCAATCACTCTAGGAGAACTTTCACTCTCATTATCTCTCAGGGAGAGGTGAGTCATACAAAAGACAATAAAGTTTGGGGAGTTACAGTCAACAACATGCATTGAACTCAGAAGCCCATCACGGACTACTGAGAGTGTCGGGACACATGGTCTTGAGTCCTGCCACATGGAAAAGCTGTGCTGGTCTCAACAAGCCATGTTTACAGCTCAGGTCCCTGCAGCTGTCACACTACCTGTTCTACTCAGTTCTCCTGCTTCAGGGAACATAATTGACTGGCTCTACCATGTCCACACCAGCACCCCTCATCCTGGGGACTGCTCCAGCCAGGGACTGAGCACAGTGAGGGCATGCAGGTCCACCCCTGTGAGACACAGAGCTCCTCCAGCAGACGACCTTGACCCAAAGATCCCCTGGGCCCAGCCAAAGTTTTCTTAGAATGGAGCTGCAGTTGAGGGCTCTTTCTACCCAAATCTCCTCCTTCCAGACCTGCAGCATGGTCTGAAGGTTCCGCTGCCTTCTCTTCGCTGCCTTTTTTTCCTTCATAGATGCTCCTTCCGTAAACATCTTGCACATCTAATCATGTCTTGGCACCTGCTTTCCGGCACACTCAAACTAACACAGTATTTTGAATATTTTCTGACATGTGAAAACCCTGAAAGTCATCTTATTTGTTGTTTGCTGTGTAACATTGGGCTAGACCTCCTCCTCTAAAAAGAAAAAAAAAAGTCTCGATTCCCTCATTTATACAATGGGCATAACAGAAACTTCCTCATGTGATATTTGGTGAAGGATTTAAAAAGTCAGTGTATATGAAGGAGTCTAAGCACACAGTAGGAACTTAATACATCTGGGATTGAGCTAAATAATTGAAAAGACCTAATTATTATTAAATGCCTGCTACGCCCCATGACACTGCCAGCAATTACTGCAATTCTATAAGTAAAATGCGTTGTTCCCTGGCCTCAAGGAACTTAGAATTATACTGGAAAAATAAAAGGTTTGGAGAATACTATGGAATGTAGGTGACAGCTAGCACTTAGAGCCTAGCTTCCTGTATACCCAGCACTGCTCCAAGTGCTCTCCATAAACTAATTCATTAGTTCTCACAACAAGCCTATGGTATAGAAACTATTATTACTGCCATTTGCAGATGAGAAAACAGATACAGAGATGTTAGCTTGCCAAAGGTTACACAGCTGCTCACTGGCAGGGCCTGACTCCATGCTCTCAATTCTACAGGGATGGCCCCTGAATGTTGCCCTTGGTAAAACTGCATGGGATGACCACTCTTTCTTGTGTTTAACTTGGACTTCTCTACCTGCAGGCATCCCCAAGTGACTGATGGGGTGCTGATGAGTGCTCCAACCTGCAGGCATCACATGCAAGTCACCTTAGGGAGACAGGAAGGGCAGCGCTTCTCTTGAATGAGCCTCTACAAAGAGCAGCAGCTGCTCACTCTCTGCAGCAGGGGAGGCCGTCCAGAGAAAAGAAAGAAGTGCCAAGGGGGCAAAGGCAGGGTCATCTGGGACACCTGGCAGGGCCTTTCCCAACAGAGGTGATGGGGAGTTTCCGAGGCCTGTTGTTTAAAGGCAATAAAGACTGGTGTGGATGTCTCAGCAGCACGCTGGCTGCATTCTGCTCAGTGGAAACATTTTGCTTCCTCCAAAGGTGGAGCTTCAAACTGGAGACAGAGTGGAATTCCAGAACAGTCACCACCCAATTCCATTATTTGTAGTGAGACTTTATTAAAGAAACAGTGACCCCAAAAATCTAAGACTCAGAGACTCTTCCTCTAAAACAGGCAGTGGGCTATACCCAGAATAGAGGGGTCAACCCGTGAGTCTCCTGGTATCCAAAATCCAGGCACCCTCAAGACCTCAGAGAGTTGTAAACAGCACCAGGGTGCAGGATGTATTGTACAGTATGAATAGATCCCTTCTGTCCAAAGACTGCTTGCAAGGTATTACCGCAGCTGAATCAAGACACTAAGATGCTTCAGCCAGTTGTGGTCTTTGAAAGCCATGACAGAAATAGGCAATCACCACTTTCCACGTTTTTTAAAAGACATTTAGAAAAAAAAAAGTTCATAGTGAGGACGAATCTTTTTACCATGTGATCTTTTTCTACTGGTAGCAGATGATTAAGAAAAATTCATACAAAACTAATTAGATAGGAGGCAGAAACAGTGGAATTACTCACAGGCAATAGAAAAGAGCTTTGCCTCCCAACCAGTTCAAATCTTCCCGGGAATTTTCCTCCTCAGTGCTCCAAAGTATTTTCCCGTCAATCACATAACTGAGCAGCATGTGAGTCTATTACTCCACTGAGATCCCCAGGTCCACGCCAGGCACCCCTTTAGGATCCACTGCTAAACCCAGCACCGTGAATGGAATCCCTGCCAGCATCTCAGCTGCTGGCTGACAGGAAGGCTCTATTTAAGCTGAGGGGGCTGCCAGCTTCCTGCAACTAGTTAATCACAACAGCCTCTGAGCAAGAAAGGGAAGACACTCTGTTTCTGCCCTTCTCATTCCCAAGCTCTTTTCCTCTTATCCAATCAGGTACTGCCCAAGGATGGTCTACATTGAGACTGTGATGGCTTCAGCAAGCCTGGAAGCCAGCCCCAGCTTTGCCTGGCCTGCAGACCTCAGTGAAATGCCCTAACTTCTCTGGGCCTGACTTTAGCCAATTCACACTGTCTTACACAACAGCATTTACATGGAGAGACTTTAGATTCCAGAGCTTCGCTCCTGTTATCTCCCCAAATTAAAAGGCTCTACGCTGTTCCTAATCACATGCCCACAGCACAAATTCACACTGCACTAGTAACCTGCTTTTACTCTTTCCTTATCACTAACTTAGGCTCATACCAAAAGTTTCCTCAGTTGTTGTTTGTACCTGAATACATTGAGATTATTTTGCAATCGAGCCTTCCTTCAGAAAACTGTGATTTCAGCTAATGCTGCCAAATCTCAGGTTTCATTCTGAACTGAAGGGCTTTGAAGCACTTCCTTTTGCAGTAAAGTTGTTTATTTTCAAAAACATGTTTTAGCAGTAGTTTTGGGTTACTGATCCCTAAAACTCAACTACGAGCCAGAACTCTAAGGTTCTGGACTTGGCCCTGGGACTTTCTTATTGTGTGACTTTAGACTGGCTCTAGAGTCATCTATGAAATGACAAGAAGAGGATTTATTTCAGGGCAGAATCAACTTGAGAGGACCTAGAGGAGAATGCACAGGGCTTTTTTTTTTTTTTTTTTTGAGACGGAGTCTCGCTCTGTCACCCAGGCTGGAGTGTGCGATCTCGGCTCACTGCAAGCTCCGCCTCCTGGGTTCACAGCATTCTCCTGCCTCAGCCTACCAAGTGGCTGGGACTACAGGCGCCCACCACCACGCCCAGCTAGTTTTTTGTATTTTTAGTAGAGACGGGGTTTCACTGTGTTAGCCAGGATGGTCTCGATCTCCTGACCTCATGATCTGCCTGCCTCTGCCTCCCAAAGTGCTGGGATTACAGGCGTGAGCCACCGCACCCGGCCCGGGGCTTCTTTTCCTGCAAGACTAGTACCTTTGTGTGTGTGTGTGTGTGTGTGATGTCTCACACACACAAAAAAATTTGGAAGTTGAATTCCAGATAGTCCCAAATTTAGCCTTAAGGAAACTGAAGGACTGCCTACTTATAAATCTGCATAACACCATAAAACATAATTTCATTACAGTTAGTGAATGGCTTTGGGTTTAGCCTTTTTCAGGCTCCTAGAAAACAAGAAAATCACTTCATTCATAAATGCAAATCAAAGAGTGAGAACACACCTAGACATTGATAAGGGCATTACCACCAGACCTGCTCAACAACAGCTGCAGAAGTGATAGGACTCCTTATCTGTGGCTATGTCTGACAATCTGGAATGAAGTTCAATAAAGGTGATTTATAGGTCAATAATTCTGGACGGAAGCCAAGGCCAGCTCTCTTCCCTCCCACATACCCCTAACCCACATGCATATAGTGTTCATTAGTGACAAGAGGGAGATAAGGTCCTAATCAGTCTAGGCAGGCAACTGCAATAACCAAGGAGTACTCTCATTATCTAATATGAAGAAAAGATTTTCTATTCAGGTGAGACATTTGGTGCTTAAGATTCAATTCAGAAGCTACCTCTGTGCAGAATGCAATTACATACATGGCCTTGAATAAGTCATTTTTTTGTGCCTCAGTTTCATCATCTATGAAATGGGACTAGAGGGGTTGAGAGGAAGAGAGACTACTATGTGACAACCCATTATATTATTCTATACCTACTGAAATGGAGAAGCAAGAGGAAGAAGAGATGCCTATGTTTTTCAAGGACTTGGAAAGCGTTTTGCTTAGGTCTATAAAATGTATATAGAAAGCATTGGGCTACTTCTCTAGGACTGTGTTGTAATTAGAAGGGGTTCATAATGTATCTTCGAACAAAAGAAAATGGAGCTTTCTGATGGTATCAGTTTGATAACCGTAAACAGTTCACAGTAAGGTAAGAAGGTACATTTTGGCGGAAGCCAACATTGCATTTGATGTATTCTTAACTCAGCTAACAGGCAGGCTTTCAAGCCACGTTATCTGCCCCCGCATCTTGACCTCATTTAACAAGTTGCTATGGGAGCCCAGTGAAGGTTGATGCAATTTTCTTATCTTTGGAGGAAGAATGTAACTGTGCAGGAGAATGTGAAAATTCAGTTTCTAACTGGCTTCCGCACTTACAGTGCAGTAAGAAAGACATCCTATCAAGAAGTAAAATGTATTCCTTTGGACGTGATAGGGACAAAGACCCAGACTCCTGGTGAAATGGCAGGGAGATGGATTCTCTTCCCAGCTTGGAGAATCTAAGCATGCACCCTTTAGTTCAGGCCAAGTAATAGTGACATAGAGCTATGTGTACCCCTACTGTGTGGCCAAACATACTCTGGAGCAATCAAATTTTAAGGGAACAGACAGAAAAGTTGAGCAGAACCTGAGAAGGTGAGTGTGACTTTTACAAGCAATAAAATGTATTGCCAACAAGTCTATACAATGATTTCTGCTTTCCAAAGTACTTTTGCAAATTTCAGCTCATCTTAACATGTCTGCATAAAGCTAGACAGCCATTTATAGGCACTCTAGTGACTGCCTCAGGTGGTGGGTGAGGCTGTATGGGCACATTTCATCCGCTTCCCTATTCCCTAGGACGCATCTTAAATGAGGTTGGCGGGGGCACCATGAGGGTGTGAGATCACCCTCAGAGGGTGAGTCTGCAGTACAGGCAGGAGGTGTTCACCAGGTATCAATTACAGGGAAAAAATAAATACTAAAATGTGGGCTGCTCCTCACATACCTAACAAATCCCAACTTTCATTCAGACCACAACAATAGGAGAATCCAGTTCAAGTCTAAGGATATTTAAAATATCTTGAATCCAAGGAGACAGTGAGCCCACATACTCGCTTTTCTGCACTCAATATGCGCTCAAACATTTGCTGAAATAATTGAATTGTTATAATTGAGGGTTTTTTTCTCTATGTCTAGCACAATGTCTAGCATTCATTTATTTAATTAGTTGATTTAATTCAATTACACTTTCACAGATTTCCTGCCACCAAGATAAGAATGAACACTTCTACTTCACTAAAAGTAGAAAAGGGTACAAGGTAAATTTGCCTAAAACCACACAGTGTGTTAGAGTTGGGAGGAAACACAGAGGACTTCTGTTTTCTGGACTATTATTCTCGCCATCACATGAGATAGTATGAAAAGTGAAATTGCAATTGTCAAGGAGAAAGAATTAAATGGTAAGAGGCTTCAAAAATGTTTTTTCATTAAAATGATTACTTCAGACTTTGAGACTTTTAAGAGATAATCACCACCCCTTCTCTTCTACTCACTAAATGTTTTACTCCCTTATCCCATTTCTGAAGAAAGAGAGAGAGAAAAGAAGGAAAGGAGGGAGGAAGGGAGGAAGGAGGGAGGGAGAGAGGGAGGGAAGGAGGGAAGGAAAGAAGGAAGGAAGGAAGGAGGAAGGAAGGAGGAAGGAAGGAGGAAGGAAGGGAGGGAGGGAGGAAGGGAGGGAGGGAGGAAGGGAGGGAGGGGAAGGAAAGAAGGAAAGGAGGTAGGGAGGGAGAGAGGGAGGGAGGAAGGAAGGAAGGAAGGAAGGAAGGAAGGGCAGAAGAGAGGGTGGGCAGGCAACTATCAATCTATCCAAACATAACTCAGACCTAGAGCATAGTTTTCTCTGCACCACAAAAACAGAAGCAAGCACTGCCAATTAGAGATAATGTCTACCTCCCAAGGCCACAAAGTCATTTTAGAGCTACCTCTGCCTTTCCTTTCTCTTCCCAATTAAGCAGCACATCTCCCTTCCTTTATCACTATATTCAACTGCAGTCTAGTTCTTTAACCCCTAACAGGTATAACTGCATGAGCTGGCACTCTTGTACTTCCTGAGAGTGACTTAATACACTTTTCCTCATCCCAGACGTTTTTAATGGAAATGGATATACTTCCTAATAATCTCCTTTCAAAGATGGGAAAGGACTCCCTTGAAAAGTACTAAGTTCCTACATGCTAGCCATGTTCAAGCAAAGACCACCAGGGTATTGTAGAAAGAATAAAGTAAGGACCTTTAAGTTCCATTCCTGGCCTTGACCTTGTTGCTACTCCAACATGTAGACATAATTCCTGAGCACTACTCATGCAATGAACTGCACTAGGAGCTACATGGAATGCAATATAAGAGAGATACTCCTGATCTTTGAAGGAGGAGTAAGTTTTCAAGCATTTGAGTTGTTCTCAAAGGTCACTGGTT
Source organism: Homo sapiens (assembly GCF_000001405.40). Lineage (NCBI taxonomy): Eukaryota > Metazoa > Chordata > Mammalia > Primates > Hominidae > Homo > Homo sapiens. The sequence goes on from NC_000011.10 coordinate 128,479,130, forward strand.
TTCTTCATAAAAGACCTAAGGCTTCCCTGAATGCAAAAATAAGGATTCAGCATACTCTAAGGATCAGAGAGACACCTCAATAGAAACACAGATCTTGCTGTTTGTCATCATCCACACAAAGGGTCCCTACATGAAAACATATCCAGGGTGGAGAGAATTATAAGAGAATAAAGGCCTAGACCACATCTGAGTAATCAAAGCTACTTTAAAATAAGCTCTACTCACAACACACTTTCTAATTTTTAGAAAACACTACAATCTTACAGAGAGATCTGATGATTAACACATTAATGCTCCTTGGCTATTTCTCAGATATACTCTCCACATGTTTTTCTGGTTAAGTAGCATGATATGCTACAACCCATTTGAAGAAAGCATTGTTTTGCTCTACTACCAGAGTCTCAATCAAAGTTCAAGCTCTCAACCTACATCTTCCTTTCTCTATGGCCTTTCTTCACCCATCACTATCATAACTATAGCTTTCGCTCCTGGAAGAAAACTGATAATAAAGCCGAGTAAGAGAAGGGGCATTCTCTATAGGCCAGGATGGATCTGGACAGGGCGTAGTGCCACTGAGGATACTGTTCCCACATTTGAACAGCTGGCCTAAGGAGAACCGTGCTGCAGAAGAGTCCAGTGCGGAGGCCATTCAGTTGTGCCTTTGAGAGATGCTGCTGCTGATTTTGTATTTAGAAAGACCTCCCAAGAGCAGACCAGGAAAAATCCCCTGATGCCAGGCCACTAGATAGAGTTTCCAGGAACACCAGATCATTATAGTTCCCTTCCCCCAGACATGGAAAAACACCCAAAATGTAAGTTTCCTACCATTCTTGGAAATGATCCCTTTGAAGAGAATGATACTATTTGCTTCCAAAAATCAATGGCTATTCACAAGCAGAGTGGCTGGAGAGAGACTAAAGAATTCTTAGAGAGACTTCTCCCCCGTGCCCTGCAAAAGGGAGTCTCTCGTCGTCTCTGGTCAGAGGTGCAGAGTGCCTTCCAGGACCCCACCCACAGAAACGTGCAGATGGAGTTGGCCTAAGCAGCGGGAGGGCGCCTACCTGTGTAGCCAGCTAGGGCAGCAGCAGGAATGACAGGCTTGTCCTTATTGAGGTCAGCACGGTCCCGCACATAGTCCTTGAAGGTGCCCTTGGGCTTGTGGTTGGGCAGGGCAGCCGGATAGTCCTCTGAGTCGAAGCTGTCATAGGAGGGAACACGCTGCAGGCTGTTGAAAGATGACTGGCTGCTCCAGGACTGGGTGAGGCGATCACAACTATCGTAGCTCTCTATGCTTTCAAAAGAGTCCTGGCCCCCGAGTTTACCTGGAGGTAAAGGAGGAGGTAGGAAGAGGACAGGGGGAGGAGGGAGTGGGAAAAAAAAAAAACTGTAAAAACCCTCTTATGGAGGACAGATTGCTAATCAGATCTGCAGGAAGGACGGAAGAAGGGAGAGGCGAGTGGGAACAGAAGCTTCAGGGGTCATGGGTTTACTCTGAGGAAAGGGGCTGCACTAGGCCACCATCCGAGGGTCCACGGCCACTCTGCTGCCTGGTTTGAGAACTCCAAGTACAGAGATTCAGAGTCAAACGTTGCTCACATCTGTCGGAGTAGCGTTTGGGTCCTCAAGAGTTCTAAAGCCAGAAATCTAGAAGCTGAGGATCACACATGTTATGATATGATTTCTGGCTGATGTCGTAGGCCCAATGAATAAATGAAGAAATCAGAGCAATGTCAGGCTGAATTCCCCACTCCAGCTCAAGCCAATGAGATGACTTCAAAAGGCCCAGTTTGGAAAACATTTTGGTCATAAGAAAAAAGAATCCCATTAGACTAAGAGCAGATTAGCCTGTTTTGACCTTGGAACTAAGTGCTATTTTTTAGCATTTTTCCCAAATACTATTTTAATATGAAATACATGTACTGACCCTATGCCTTTTCAAATAGAGTAAGATGGTGTAAGATGCTTTTCCCAAGAGATTTTTTAAAATCACACACACTATCACTCTTCTAAACAGAAAACCATATTCTTTATCCTCTCCAAGTAAAATTATGTACTTGAAATTTAAACTTCATTGGAAAAGTGTAGGCAATATTTAAAAGGTTTATTAAAGAGTTAAGGTCCACAGCAGTGTCAGAAATCCTTTACTGTGTGAGTTGCTTAAGGCATTCTTAACTGACCACAAGATCATGCAAGTTCATTAATTTCCCAAACCAGGTTATAAACAGCTGCTATGATTGCACAATAGCTCCTGGAGAAATTTCCATTGGCAAAAATGCCACTAAAAAGGAGGCTAGCAAAAAAAAAAAAAAAATAGTTTTGGAGGAAAACAAATGAATCTAAGAGCGAAAAAGGCTCGCAGGAATGGTTTTTATATGCAACTTTCAGATACTTTTCAAGTAACCTAAGTTAAATCATAGGAGACTAGATGGTCACCTCAATTCAGCACAGGCCAAAAGGCAAAGGGATGTGACAAATGTTTACGGAGAAATATCCGTAAGTCAACTCTTAATTGTTCAGGGGTGGTTGATCTATAAATTTCAAATCCCAGAATAAGGCTGACTTATACAACTTCATATTAGTGTGCCTCCAGTGTATTTTTCCCTCCATGACAGCGGAGATTGGTTAAAACAATAAACATCAAACATGAACAGATGCCCAAACCTAAATTAAATATATAGGAAAATATGTTGCTCCCAACATTGTTTAAAGATCCGGATAAAATGTATTCGGTTGAGTGTGTACTTTTTGTAAAATCCACTGCTGTGGGTTTTCTCTACATCCTGACCCCCTCTGGAACTGCTTTAAACAGAAAGGTGGTGTCATCCGTTTCATCTCATTCCTTCCTCCACTCATCCATTCAGAGGAGGGTAATCTCTGGAAAGCAAACTGAAGAGCTTCATGGAGTTATCAGCCCTGCCCACCCAGTCCACTAGCAAAAGGGCACCTCTTCATTCTTACTAAAAATGAATATATATTTCTTTATAATTCTTAAAAATTCTTTCCCATTTACCCACCAGAAAAGTCATCTTTTTCACCTTTTTAGAGATCATTTAATTTTCTTTCAAGAAATTCACACTAAATGATTTAAGAAAACAGCCTACAACCAGAATGTCAAAGCCTTGTTTTAGCAGAACAGGAAATTCTGTGGCGTCTCATAAAAAGGTATTTGTTCATACCAGCTACTGATCTTCATGGTCACTTATTTTCTCTTTGAGACAAACATACCAAAAGCCTAAGAAGGAGAATTTATATTTTCATCAACACCGCACCAAGTCGATAGTATTTATGCTAAAGTCTCTCTGAAATGATTCCATTTCTATCAGCCAATTTTATACTTGGAGAAAAAGGACATCAGAATTTTCACAAGCAAGATAGTAGAGTTTCCAAGGAGTCCCACTAAGCAAGGGGACTAAACCAAGCCAGAACCAGTCTCTGGCAACCCCCCAAACATGAGGCAAATGCAACCCTGTTGAGAGTTGTGGTTTACAGCGGTAGGCAGCTTTCATTTTAGCTCGATTTCACAACCCTGGTGCTGGGAACCTTCATTTACGGGTATTTTCTCCAAAAATGGGTAGAATCCAACTGGATTAGATACTCAGTTATGCTGCTGCGCTCATGTAGGGAAACCTGTGTTCTCTAAACTGTCCACTAGCCAGCCTTTCTGAGAAGGGCCTCGGCGAGCTCCTTCCAAAGCTATCTGAGTCCACCAAACAGACCTCAGAGCACTCAAAACAGAAGATGCGGCAGCACCCAGCCACCCACTGAGTAGACTCGTACAAAGACAGTCCTTAGGGCCCAAATAAGTGGGGCATAGAAGCACTCTGTACGCTGTAATGCAGCCCGTGAATACTGTACTATGGTTAGTATAAATAACAATCAGCTAACAGTAATGCTTTCGGTCTAGACCAATCACAGCATCTCAGAATCAATTGGCCCTTTGCATAGGCCCTGTTTGCAGCACTTCTAACATGCAGAAAACAGCCCTGCACAAAATGGTCTTCCCCTCAAGTTTCTGTGGCCTGAACTTGGAGGGAGGGAAGAAGAGTGGAGCCAGAAAGAAATACCTCATGTCTCCTTGTAAGGGTCACTTTTGGTCCACAGTCATTAGTTTGGGGTTGGAGGGGTGGTAGGGACCAAAACCAAGAATGAAGAAAAGGAGAGGGAAAGAGACAATTACACAAATGCAAAGCCAGATGCAATTTCAAAACAATGTGACAGGAGATCGACCCAAAGTTACAACATGGCTGAGCCCAAACCCACAGGCTTGGCCTCACTGTGTAGATGTACAGAAAGTCCCACAAGGAAGAAAGTCGTTTTAATGCTTTGACTCGCCTGATAAAAAAGAAACACATGTACACACACTTGTGTGTATGTATTTAAATAGACATGCACCCAAAAATAAAAAAGAGCCAGAAAGGGGAAGGCCGACTGGTCCCACCCATCCCCTTCGGTCTGAAACACTAACACCCTGGGGCCTTAAGAAGGAAGATTAGGGGTTCTGATTTTGCAGGGACTTTCCCTCTGCAGGGCTTGTTGGTGATCCCTAGGCCTGCTAGGAGGAAGTGTGAGTCTGAATACTCGAAGAAGACGACAATGGGCATGACCCATGATTCTTCAAAGTAAAGGTACCATTGGGCTCTCCTCCAAGAGCCTCACAATAGGCACCGCATATGGTCAGTCATTGAGCAGAAATCACTAATAGGCCAGCCCCAGCCTGACATCTGACCCAAGCCCCGCTTGATCAGCTTTCTCCTGTTCCTCTTCCCATTTATAATTCTTTCCCATTTACCCACCAGAAAAGTCAGGTTTTTCACCTTTTTAGAAATCATCTAGCTCTTGCTAAATAGACAAACCCTTTCTTACAATAGATTGCATTTTTCTCAGAAACAAAACAATCTGGACACTTTACTAGGTAGGCTGTACCTCTGAGTGTTTATGTCCTGTTCCTAAAAATTGGGTGCATTTTACCTTTTTTGCTTTATGTCACCCAGCTCTATTTTTAAACACTTTCTTCCCTGACAGTGAATATTTTATCACTATTATAATAGTCACGTTAACAAAACTACCTTCTTTTGGAAACCCCTGGCCACCTCCGTCCCTGGTCCTCTAGCTAAATACACACTTCACCACACTGCTGATGACTGGTTCCAAATAAACCGTTGGTTAACCATCTTGTATCTTCCCAAACCGAAAAAGTCACAGGAGGCTAAAGATCCCAGGCTGGCCAGCAGAGGTCATTCCAGGTACCCAGCTAGGATCTACAGTCAGACCCAGGAGTCCTCTGGGAGGAGCACCAGGACACATGCTAAGCTTAAGGGTTTTCCAGGGTGGCCACTTGAACCATTTTTACTTGATTATGTCCTCCTCAAGGAAAATAGAGCATACCTTTCAAAATGACCAAATTCAACTAGAGTTATTGAGTAAAACATTTTGCCCAAGTAAGATATTTAATTTCTTAGATTGCCTGATTTTGATTTCACTGTGGACCCCATGGCCTTTGTCATAATAATGGACTTGGCTAAAACACCACGATGGAAAGTTCTTAGTATCTGGACACTCTAAGATGGGAAGGCTGAAACTGAGGAATCTACAGGTCTAATAAATAAGAAAAAAAAAATGGAACCTGAAAAAAACTCACAAAGTCAGGTAATTCTTGTAAACCCAAGAGCTTTTAGAGAAGAAATATGACCTACCACGACTGGTCCTCCCCATGCACATGTTGTCTGGGGTGACGACTTCTTGTTTGATAGCAAAGTAGTCATTCTGCAAGGTGTCTGTCTGGAGAGGGTCTCGGAGAATGACCGAGGGGTAGTCATTCTCATACTTGAGGGAGAGGAGCTCTTCCGAGCTGATGGGATGGAGCGTCTGATAGGACTCTGTGATGAAGCTGGGCTCTGAGAACTCCGATGGTGGAACACACTGGGCATGCTCAATACCATAGCCTGGAAACAAAGGGTTTGCAAGTAAAGAGAGGAGAGATTTGTACCTAAAATAAGCAGTTTTCACCATCTACAGGGCCCTATGATGTGGGACAAGCTCCTTAGAGAATAAGGGAAAATACTTTAAATCAGAAAAGCTTGCATTTTTAACCTTGTCCACTACTAAACAGCTTTAGCCCTTGACAAGGTAATTGATTTCCTGACTTCATATCCTCATCTCTAAAATGGGGGTGATTGCGATTTTTCCCGGAGCACTGTGATGAAGATGAAATGAGGATAGAGGTCAAATGCCCACCAACATTCCCCACACAATAAGCTCTTGACACAGAGTAGTTAATATCATTGTGTCACTGGAATAAAAATTGTAATAACGTAAAAAGATAAAACGAAAAAAATAAAACCTGTTTCATATTCCCTGTAAAAGCACAGCCATCAGATAAGATGGTCCTATATCTCAGAGCTTACATTAGTGCAACAGGCCTACATTCATTGTTTCCCTCAGGCCATCTCTTCAGTATGGTTGGGTATCTTACACGAAAAAGGAGAAGACTGTATTTCCTATAATAGAATTTGAAGCTGCATAGCACACTCTTAAAGAAGGATTTTGGAGGAAATGCTGTTATCTCCACTAGTAAAAAGGAAAGAACAAAGACCAAGATCAAATCCCTAACCCAACCCTCTTTTGGCCATCGTAGTGCACAGTATCAAATAGGAACAAAAGTTTAGGGGTCTAGTTGCAGTCTCTCTGCATGACTTTCAGGTGAAGACATCAGAGAAGGATCCTAGTGTGTAGGAACTTGGTAGGTTAATGAAACATATATATAGGTTGAAACTTTGTGCTTTGTGGAAAATAATAAAATAAAGTAACAAAGAAGAGTCTACATCTAAGAAGATATTATTTTTGATAGAATTACCATGAAGGAGCCTGAGATTCACTGAGATAGGGGTCTTTTCCTAGTTTGCTATTATCATGAGAGAAGAGGGGTAGAAATGAACTTACTAATGAAGTAATCCGAGGTATAGCGGGATTCTGGATAGGCTGGGTTGACTCCATTAACTTGATATGGTTTCACATCCTCTGTAATGAACAGATAGGGAAGGAACAAAGAGGTCAATATTCAAGTCATGCTTGGCCTAAAAGGATCTTGGATGCAAAGACCACAATGATCTCAACCCCTTTTCTAAGAAATCTGCATACTCATTAACTGGGTTGGTATCTGAGTCTGTCCTGACTGTGGCCTTGTCTAAAGATGAGATCAAAAAAATATGACTAAGGTTATTATTTCAGTAGCTGCAAAATGGGATTTAGTATCTTGGAAAGAGAATCCATGAGTAATCTCTAAGGGCTCAGAAGGCATTCAGCATTCATTCTCAATGCATTCGTGCTGCGTGTATGTCGACCACACTATAGCCAAAGGCTTGAGTACATCCCAGGTTAGCAGGATCAATCCCCAACCCCCAAACTAATCAATTTCAAAATTTCTCAAAAATATATTGCAGTCTTTAGGCCATAGATTTTACGTTCTCCATTTCCTCTAACAGATGTCTGGTTTTTGTTTTGTATTTTTCCCATTGCCCTCAGGTTTCAAGTTCAGGCCCAGACAAGAAGCAGGACACTGGTAAGGTGACTCCATTTGGTGAAATGCGACTGCGCTTGTGTCAAGGGAGAGAAGAGCAACCCAGTCAAGCTCCTGCCCAGATGCCAACTCCCCTAGGAAAAGGAGAGGAAGGGAGACGAAGTGCACCTGCGGACAGAAAGCTCTGAACGACCCTGCAGTAAGCCTGGGATCCTCTAATTACCCTGGAACAAATGCCATGGCTCCGATTCTTGTATGGAGTAGTCTGATTATATTTCACCATAAGAATCTGACATAGAGTATGGGTTTGGGTTTTTCCTCAGGTATTTGATAGCTTGTTAGGAGCAAAGTCTGATGGGAAAACAAGTTTATGCCTGCACAGAAAAACAGTTCCCAGTTGAGATAAAATGATTAAACTTTGCTTTAGCAGTTTATCAGATTGAAACATCCCCGTACCTTTCACCTTCCACCCCACCCCAAACAGCTATGTTCTTTTGCTGCTGTGTTGCTTTAATTACAGAACAAAAGCTGTAGCCTCAGCACAAACATCATGCTCATCTCTTCAAGTAACTGAACCTGAAGAGGGAGAATTCTTTCTGCCTCTCTCAACAGAATATTGGGTGGGAAGATATGACTTTTGCTCTCAAACATACTGACTTATATCCTAATTCTCTTAAATTTTCTTACATTATTCCTTTACCCTAAGTGAGGCCAAACCAGTCTTAGCGGCCAGAAGGCCCCTGTGAATCCACATTATTATACAAAAAGCACAGGATGGGATGTTAAATTTTAAGTTAAATAAAAATATATTGAGGGCAGGCGCGGTGGCTCACGCCTGTAATCCCAGTGTTTTGGGAGGCCAAGGTGGGCAGATCACGAGGTCAAGGGATCAAGACCATCCTGGCCAACACGGTGAAGCCCTGACTCTACTAAAAATACAAAAATTAGCTAGGCATGGTGGCATGCGCCTGTAGTCCCAGCTACTCAGGAGGGTGAGGCAGGAGAATCGCTTGAACCTAGGAGGCGAAGGTTGCAGTGAGCCGACATCGCGCGACTGCACTCCAGCCTGGGTGACAGAGCAAGACTCTGTCTCAAAAAATAAATAAAATAAAATAAAATAAAAATATACTGAAAGTTGAAATAAAATGAAGAAAAGGAGATGAGTGATACTGAAGAAATCGCCTACCCTGAGCTTCATTTTACAGACAAGGACAATAATAGGACTTGTCCTTACTATCTCACAGTTATTTTGATAATCCAAAGAGAAAATGTATTTGAAAGCACTTTGGAAACAGGGAGACATGATAGAGATATTAATTGTAACTACAATCAGAGATGGGCTTAGATAGCCCAAAACACCTAGCAGCTCCATTTTGATAAATGGAGGAAAACAGCCTCTTAGTAGAATATACTGGGTTACACAGTCTGATTGAATCTGCTATTGTGTTTAGAAGTCAACAGTCAAATCAGATCTGTTAGGAGCCTGCCGTATCGTTTCCCTCTATAAACAGGTCGCTCATGTCAACACCTATGAGTGGGTGTCTGTGCATGGAGAACATGCCGGTGCTTTGCAACTGCCTGCCATCCTCGGTAAAAGCAGCCACAGAAAGACTCACCTAGTTCTTTCCTGTATTCCTTTATGTCTTATTTTTCAACAGAAAGTGAAAAGAAGGAATAAAGATAACATTTTTGAGCACAGAGAAATCTAGTTTGGGTCTCTCTTGAGCACTGCAGAATGGAATATATTCTTAACCAAAGGAAGGTATAATGCGGGGTAAAAGTGCTAATCCTGAGTTTTGCTCCCCTCCCCCAGCGTCTGTGCCAAGGGTTAGAGCTGATGACCACAGGGAAAGGATGGGCCTGGGTTAGAGAGGGCAATGGGCTTCTAGGCTTACAGTCAGCTGAAGGGCACTGCTGACTGCTGGTAACTGCAATTTATTTTAAGAAAAAATTCAAAAAAATAAGCACAAAAACACCCAAGTTTGCCGCCTGCTGCTGTTTCTATACTCAGCCAGGACTGTGGTACATGAGTCACTTGGTCCAAAAAGGTTGGAAGAGGCTGTTAGGGGAGGCCATGTCATTATAAGGTTGCAACATAGCGTCCTGATATAACCCCAGTTCCTGCTCCAGATGTAAAAGGTATGATGCACTACTGCAATTCCAATTCAGTTAGTGGGCAGAGAAATCTGTCTTATTAATACGGTCTCAGACGCTAAGCTTTCCCGGGATGTGATGAGGTATTATGGGGCATGCATCAAGGCAGTGTGTATTAAGATTGCAGAAAACAAAAACAAAAACAAAAACAAAAACTATTCTTGGGTTGGCTGTGGGCACTGCTTGTTCAACCAGGGCATGGGTTTGAGATAAGGACCTGGATTAGAATGTTGCAATCCAAGAAGCTTCAGTGGTACAATCTTGCTGAAGATTAATATCTGAACCCCCAATATGTAGAAGAAAAAGAAATTACACTCATCTAAGAGTACCTGCTGTATGCTGAGCAGTGTACTAGGCACATTCCCACATACGTCCTACAGTAGGACACCCACAGATAAAGGCATTGACGTCCCACCATTGGGTGAGCCCCCTACCTACTCTCACAGCAACCCCACATAACCTCCACCTCTCTCTGTTTCCACATATTTACCTTTCTGCAGGATCTCTAGATGTTCCCATAAGATGTCCCCAACAAAGTCTGGGGCCAGCTCGAGAAAGCAGTCTTTACCCAGGGCGCAGAGGGCTGCTCCATTCATACAGAACTTCTGGAAGTCTACACCTTTCAGGCTGAATTCATTCACAGCCCACATCACCCAGTCCCGAACATGGGTTTCTGTCCACTGCCGGGGGTCTGAGGAAAGAGATCAGATGAAGATCCAGCAGGTCGGGCTTTTAACTCCTATCCAAGCCTCAGAGAGGACACTGAAGGAGCTGAATTTAGCTGAGAATGCTATCTTTATTCATCGAATGAGGAAGCATCAGCCTAGCCTGCACATCATTGAGTGCCTTCCATAACCCTCCCCTCCATATTCAACATCTCCGCCTTCTCTATTTCACCAGCTAGGAGGTCACTACTGCCAGCCAAAAAGTACCACATGAGTATTCTCTGTCCTTGCAGGCAAAGATTTCCATGAATCTCCTCTCTCACTGCCTTATTCCCATTGGACTTTTTTAAAGCCCTGAACAGAACAAATGGCTTCTTTAATAGCAATAATAACAAGAGATTGCTCATGCCTCTCCCTGCTCTTAACTATAATATACTTGAGACTATTATTCTCGATTATTTTTTATCTTAGCCAATTATAGTGGTAACAATTGTAGCAATTAGTAGTAGTCATTCATTCAAATGGCACTTGGTAATAACATTATTAGGTGCCTGTATTATACCAGATACTCTGCAAAGTCTGTACTTATCATAAGCTATAGCTTGAGTAGCACTGTAGTATTGATAACATGCAATCTTCATACATGACCTGAGGTTTAACCTGGCTACACCCACCAATGACACTTAGAAGTTCAGATGACAGCAGGTGTAATGCCCAACATCAGAGCTGTTCCAAGAGATCCAGAAGTGATTCTAGTGTGCAGGCAAGTTTGAGGACCACTGTCTTCATACCAAGATGGCAAGAACAAGCCCAGGAGACGGGGCAGCCTCAGTATGTGTGTCATGATTGTCCTAACAGATGGCAGCCATGGCCCATAGCTGCTGACTCCAATGTGGTTAGTGTAACGTCTGCCTCACACACTCCAGGTGAGAAAATGTGTCTTCCCAAAGGGTCTGACCCCAACCACTCTTTTTCCAACTACAAAACCATACCTTTTGGGATCCCCAGTCGTTGCTGTTCTTTAGTGAAACCACTGAAAGTAGCTTTTAATGCTTGAGACATCATTTCTTTGCTGCTTGGAGTTAATAGTGGGACATCTGCACATTCCATATCTGCATGAAAAAATTGCATATGAATAACAAAAATTACATAGGTAATGAACCAATCATAAAACATTACAAATGGGCTGTAAGAAGGCAAGCTGAGAAACAACTGTGCTAGCATCCTCACCAGAGCACCAGAGCAGGCAATTTTTTTTTTTTTTTTTTTTTTGAGACGGAGTCTTGCTCTGTCACCCAGGCTGGAGTGCAGTGGCGTGATCTCAGCTCACTACAACCTCTGCCTCCTGGGTTCAAGCGATTCTCCTGCCTCAGCCTCCTGAGTAGCTAGGATTATAGGCATGTGCCACCATGCCCAGCTAGTTTTTTTTATTTTTAGGAGAGACAGGGTTTCACCATGTTGGCCAGGCTGGTCTCGAGCTCCTGACCTCAAGTGATCCACCTGCCTCGGCCTCCCAAAGTGCTGGGATCATAGGCATGAGCCACTGTGCCAGCATGAGCAGGCAACATTTAAGGGGCTTTCCACATTGTGCTAGGTCTAAAATGTCCTGCATCCCTGACAAACAAATATGTTTACTCTTCCTGAACACCTCTACTAGTTTATACACAGTCCCTGCTTATCTTTCACATTTACCGAGAATATTAATGTTACTACATACTTTCAGTTACCTATGAAAATGAAATAACAATATTCATTCATTCAACAAATGATTATCTAGCACTTGCTTTGTGCAAGGAATTAAAGAAACAACAGTGAGCAACACAGAAATAGTCTCCACAGGAGCTAGCTATCTGATTCTTGCAGTAGATTCAGCCACTAAAAATCTATCTACACAGTTAAATGTTCAAATGCAATGTCAATAAGGGCTTCAAAGGAGAAGTACATGATGCAACGTTAATGTGCAACAGGAATTCCTGGAAGTCTGAAGGAAACAGGAAAGGCCTCCCTTAGAAGATGAGAGATGTTTGACCTGAATTGTGAAGGATGCATGAGAATTTAGGAAGAAAAGAATACTCCAGATCAGTGGTTCTCAAAGTGTAGTCCTCAGAGCAGGGACATCAGCATCAACTACAAAAAGATCATTTTGTTTTAAGATCACCTTATCCGTTCTGTAAAGAGTGATTTAGGGGTGAGTATGAATGGATGAGCAAGACATTTTAGAAAGTTATTGCATCAGTCCTGGTGAGAGAGGATGGTGGCTTTGACTACAAAAGTGGCAAGGCAGATAACATAAGTGAACATGACTTCAAGTCAACTTGAAGTGCATACAGGACGAAAAATCTATAAAGCTTGGTTAGTGTCAGTAGTGAAGAAGAGTGAGGCATTACAGCCTGCAGATTTGCAAATGTATCATCATTTGCCACACCCACATGCACCTTAATCTCTGCTATGTCCATCCAGATCCTCCTGTATTTGCAGACCATGTTCACGATGTTGGTACATAAATACAGCTGAACGTAAACATCTTCTGAATTAACCTCAGGCACAGTTTCCCACAAAAAGTGAATAAGCAAAGAAATGAGCTGAGAATCCCTACTAGCTTTCCTGTTACCTTTTGACAGTGATACACTTTACCAAAGTGATTTCTAGAAACCTGAATCTTCAGTGTATCCCATGAAACTGACTTATAAAATGACTAAGTTCCAGGCAAGGCTACTACAGAAATTCTTCAACTGGCCATTTCTAAACTTTGCTTCGTTAAAAAATATTCCCCGGACACAAACAATGTGTTATGGGCTGAATGAAATTAAGCATAGGATAAACCTCTGAAGAAAGGAGCAAATATATTGCCTCTGAATGTCGAACTAAGTGGAGATTACACTGCATAAAAGAAGGACAGGTGGCACTTTCTCTCTTGTTTGCTTTTAGTGATGCTGTCAGGAAACTGCTAGAGTCCAGGCTGTGCCCTGGAAGAACAGAAGGGCTCCCTAGCTGCTCTTCCAGGCCTTGCCAATGACGAGGAATCTGAAGTTCCAGGGAGTGGTAAGTTTGGGTTGCCCTGGGACATGCCCAAAAAAATCTAGTGGAAAAAATCAACATGTCTCCAGGAAGGTTAACAAAATGATGGAAAATCCCAGATTGTTAGGGGGAAGTAATTGGGGGAGGGGATAGAATGTTGATTACATAACATCCAGCCCTTCAAACAATGGAGTAATCATCAAATGAGTCACTAAGAAACACATGGCTGCTCCCCATCCATCCCCACTCTACACCTCCAAGAACAGCTAAGCGGCAGGTCCAGAAATGTCTTCCCTTAGAGTAGAAATCAGTTTTACTTTAGAGAAAAGGGCTCTCTAGTTAACCAGAGAGTATTGCTTCTGAGAGAAGAAACAACTGTAGCAGCCCCAGCTCCCAGCACATGGCTAAACACACAAGTCAATCAACAAATGTTGAGTGAATTAAATTTTTCCAAATTTGAAGCAACTTTCCTCCCTTCACCCCCATCCAACACAAATTCATTAACTTGAACTGTGTGGGTTTTGTTGTGTGTGTTTGTTCCCTCCATTAGATTTATGACTTGATGAAAAGGACCTTACTGATGGCGGAAATTGGCCAGGACAACACATGTGGAAAACACAGGCCAGGCCAAATGGACAAGCAGTGGTTCTGCTGTAGCGGGAACTGAAGAATGAGACTGACTAGGAGGCCCCCAGAATCTTCTCAACATGAAAGCTGGGACAGTGGGATGCCAGTGTGAGGTGACAGCCAAGGACGACAGCAGAAAGCCTGAAAAAGAAGTTCCTTGAGTCTGCCTCCCATAACTACACAAGCCCTGGCAGTGTGGTCTGGACAGGACTGCTGAGCTGACAATTCTCCACGTAGGTTTCTGCTTCCTGTCAGGGGGCAGGCACTTCTGGGTTCTCACTTGTTCTCTCCCAGGAAAGCAGCTAGAATTACTTTTGCCTTTCCACCTCAATGCCATCTCCACAAGCCCAGTCCACGTGCTGTTGGGGCCCCATCAGAGGTGCCTGGCTCTGCCCCTCTGGCTGTGAGACTCAAGTGCTAGATCTCTTTAAAAAAAGGGTTCACATCCCAGCTGGGGGAAACCATCCCTGTCCACTTAGGACACTTGCATTTGGACTTGATCAGCTCCAGAGAAGGCACAGCATTGTCTTTGGAGCCAAAGGATTCAGATGTAAAAGTCAGAACTTTATCCTATAAAGTGTGGAATTGTAGTTTAAAAAGAAAAAAAAAGTCAAACTCCCTTCTATAACTAAGTGAACAGTTGGCAAAGATTGTCTTTTTCGGTTGTGTGAGCATTGCTCTTAAGTGATGACTAATCATGCTCAAAAATGTATATTAAATAGAAAATAAACTCACCATATAAAATACTAATTCAAAAATTCTCTTCATGTTGTTTGCAGATTGTAGCAGTTCTGTTCAATATACTCATCAAAAACAATGACAAAATCATTACACGGGTGAAAAATCTGACATGACTTAGCCTAAGCAGATATCGCTTTACTCTTAAAATACTTTACTTCATCACCTATTATAATATTTTTACATTAGGTACAAAATATTTCTAATTTTAGAATCAGTGTCTGAAAGTTAATCACTACCTCCATAGACATTAACTAATTATATTTTATGGAAAAATACTGAAATCTCCTTTGTGCTAATAATTACAATATCTTAAATTCAAATAACGTATTTGTTTCAAAATGCTGAGAATCCGGCCTGGAGAAACACTACGCCAACACAGTGGAGATTCTAAACACAACGCACTGGAAAATGAGGACATAAATATATTGCAATTATATTAGATTTCCTGCCCACTGATTATTCCTTGGGACCCCAAATTTCAGTTAATATTTATAGGAATTCCCCTAGACCTCTGAAAGGACAGTTGTGCAGAAGCTGGTGATTAAATAACCATTGCAGGAGATTGCACAGTATTTAGACAGAAGTGAGCAGGTAGCTTTCTCTGAATCTACAGAAGAATAAGCTAGTGGCATTTTGAATGCAGGGAAACATCTGCTCATTTTTCATTGTGGCCTAACCCTGAACCACCTCATAGATGTTTCAAGTGAAATGTAAAACAAGGGTTTCCATTCACTTACATGTAACTCAAAGTTAAGGGCTGTTCAGTTTCCAAGAACCTTCCAGGGTGTTTCATGTGTCTTTTCATACCACTCTTTTCAGTTCTTTGAAACCGAATGGCTCTTACCAACAATGGTACACAGAATCTAAACACTAGGTGGCTTTTGTTTGGCAAGAAGTTCAAGACATCTGGCCTTACTGACCTCACGAGTTTATGCTCTCACTATTCTCAATCAATGATCATGTGAAGACTGGAGCGTCTGGGATCCTAGGGTTAGGAGATGAGGGATACAGCCAAGGACAAGAAATCCAAGGTGCATGTCCCAGTTTTGCATGACCATTGAACTGGGCCCAACCCCATCAGATTATGATACCAGTCATGTGTGTTGGGTATGGTCACACTCAATAGCAGCATGAAAGAAATACTAAGAGTGAGTAATATGCCTTATACCTGAGAAATGCTTTACAGTTTGCCAAGACTCTTCACATACACTATTCCAAAATATCCTCTAAACATAAAACTGGAGGGGCCTGGAAAGGTATCACAAGGTCCCCATTTCACAGATGAGGAAATCAAGGCCCTGGGAGATCAAGAGCTTGACCTAAAGTCACAAGGCCAAGAGGGACCAGCTGGGGCTAGAAGCCAGTCTTCTAACTCTTAAAGTTCAGGGTCTTTCTCTCTATTCCACTGCAAACAGAAATGGATCAGATATCCAGGAAAACTAACATTTTTCAGAGCTGAGAAAAAAAAAATGGGACTTTTCCTTTCTTATTTTGAAAGATTTTAGGAGTGATTAAAAACTTAAAACTATTCCAAGAAACCCAGGGTTTCATACAGCTAGCCCCGTAAGAACATAATTAAGAGCCATTTACAGAATCAACTATAATCTTTTCTTTTCCTGGCACTCAGGCAACTGAGGCTTCCTTCCATATGAAGCAAATGAGTTAAGTGAAAACCTGGCTTCCTTCTCTGTCCAACCCTGACTCAACCTAATGGGTAACTTTGCATATAACAGAAGTTTAATTTGTTACATAAAGGCTTACTGAAATATATTTTTTAAAGTAAAAGTAAACCAAGAATAAACCTTCTGGTCCACATGGAGAGGATAAAAGAACAGTTCTCCAAACTGAAAGATAGGATTCTAAAGACAAAGAAAAAAGAGAGAGAGGGGCGTGCATTGTTGATAACTTGTTGATCAAAATCCATAGGTTCTGATTTCACATACGCCATTAGTGTAGACACACTGGATAAGTCACTTACTCAATTCACTTTGAAAAGAGGTCTGTTCATAGGTGGTGTCTATATCCCTCATAGAGTTTTACATTTTTTATTTGGCAATTTTCAAACATACATAAAAGTAGAGAGAAACTCTACTCAAAATTTATCAATACTACCCGTTTTTATTTCATCTTCCACACACATGCACACCCATACACACACGCAGAAGAATTATACACCTAATCCCAGAAAACAAGTCATTTCACCCACAAATATTTCATTGTCACAAGGATATTTTTTAGATAAAGGGAGATCATAGAGTTAAAGTTCAATAAGAGGCAAATAAACTCAAGGAAAAAGAAAAAAAGCCTTCAAGTTACTTTCTCTCATGCTTAAATCTAGGTCTATATTTCATGCATTGGCCCACTTGAACCACAGAACTTCTTTCAAAGCAACACTGTCATGATCTGGAAAGTGCCAATGTTGGATCACAGAGATGATTTCAAATCAAGATGGTAAGCCAGTTCCAGGGACTTCCATTTCCTACAAGCAGAAGGCTGCAGTGATATTTCCTCTTAATGGTCAACATCCTCATGAACTTACAACTGTAACTAAAGTGTACAAAACAAATAAAAAGGCTCGGAGTTCTGGCCAGCACAGAAGGGCAGTGTGAAAGGTAATATCATTGCCAAACTGCCGACAACAAGTCCCAGTTTAGGAGATAAGGTGCCTTTACCCCTTCAGACCAACACAAATAGAGAAATGGCTGCAGCCACACTGACGGCTCTGCTTCTGAAGTTGATGACCCCTGGAGGGTGGTCACTGGTCTACAAGAGGATTCTCCTGATAAAAAAGCTAATGATCTCAGAAGAATGTGCAAAGGAATCTCAAAGAAAGACAGTCTCTATTGCCCTCTCTCATTCATATAAAGGCAGGGTTGAAGTAGAGTAGAAGGGAGTGGTAAGTGATTCCTGTGATAGGCACTAGAAACCGGGCAGGCAGGACTTCCAGCTTAGGGAGGTACTATAATCCACAAAGCTTCTGGCTAAGGTTAATGCAAAGAAGGGAGGGAAGTGTCCCTCCTCAGCCCCTCGGCTGTATTTTCATAAACCCAATGATGTGACAACACAATGGGGGACACGCAGGACTCTTGGCTCCAGCAAGAGTGAAGCAATAAATGACTCAGTGCCCATGCTGAGGCCACCCATCCCAACCAAACCGTCTATTATTGTCCCAAACAACAGGACACTATGAGACCTGGAAGAGACTCATATGAGTTAGGAAACATACAACTGGGTTTCTGAACTTCTTTTAATACCTAACCCTTTCGAAGTCACCAGCCAGTAAAAACCACTGCAAAGAAGGGAGAAGAAGCTGCAGAGAAAATCCCCAATTCACCCTCCAGTGACCTGACTGACCAAAAATGCAAGCCAGTCTCAAGTTACAGTATCTCGGTTTGCTGCCAATGCACACAGTCACTAGGGAAAGCACGCTCTTTGGGTACAATGTGCCAACTCAGAGGAGATGCCTCTCCCCAGAGGGAAGCTGCCCTAAGACAAAAGAGATGGTCTCCTGCAAGGCAGCTCCAAATTGCATGGAGAAGCTGGTTTCAGGTCCTGCAGCCAGGCCTGAGAAAGAAGCCTGTAGAGAGGGCTCAGCACACTGAACATCTGTAGGAAGTGACCTCAGACTTCTCCCTCTTCCCTTCATCCACCTCCTGCCCCATCCCCCAAAAGGAGTTTTAACACATTATTACCACTGAAGTCCTGAGGATTTGGTGACTCACCAGGCTCACACATGGTTCCAATGAGCCCTTGACCATTACATGGTAGGGAAGCAGGAAAAACAAATGAAAGCAGTTGTAATTCGGCAGCGCCGGAGTTCAGACCTGCCAGACAAAAGGGATTGCAGGCATGTTCCCAAATTCGTTCAGGCACCTGACATGCACAAGCTATTTTTAATCACTGGATTTATTTCTTTCCTACCTCCTCCACCATCCTCCACCTCAGCAAATGTTTCGAAGTCAGAGCAAAACCCAAATCAATTCCAGGTGTTCAGGGAAACCCAGAGAGGCTCTTCCGTTCCAGGATCCCAGCCAGAAAGCAGAACTGCCCCCTTGGTCCTGTAGCTAAATTTTCTCGCTCATTCCTTAGACTAGTTCAAATCTCCCACCCTAAACATTGGGCAAATGGCCTAAAATAGGAAATACATGAATGAATGTGTCCTGCTGGAAAGGCTTTTAAATATGTGTTTTTCTCTAGCAGCCTGGCAAGTGAAGGTACATAAACCAGGTCTCAAAGCCCCTCAGATGAAGCTCGCTTTCATTCTCTAGGATGCTCTACCCACCATGCTGTGAGGATTAAGTGGACTATGTGTGACAATGCCAAAGCTTAAGACATAGTAGGTGCTCAACAAATCATTGGCTACTTGATTATACTGAAAAGCATCTTATAAAATATAAAGACTTAAAAAAAAAGATTTTATTTCCCAATGCTTACAGAAACATCAAGAAGGAATCTGGCAATTTCTCCAGGTACAAATAAGCGACTGAGAAAATAAGAAAAACAAACGCAAAAATCAGATTCTGAGATATAAATGGAAATTGACATCCCCTGAAACTGGCATTTTTTTCTAACAGAATAGACTAATTTCTTACCTATTCTGCATCCTCCAATCTGCTAACGGGAAATACTTTTTGCAGCAATAAGCATCTAAAATATGTTTGCCGTGACACTTCAGAACTACATGAATCCAATGCACCTAAGATGCCTTTTGGTTGCAAAAACGTCCTAAGAGTTCCACTTTAGAATCAATATGGCACAAAGCAAAAGTATAATTTTATGCTAAGAACTCTTTTCTATGTGTTTGGAATCTGCCAAAACCCAAGCTGCGTTTTAATTGTCATTTATGGGCCTCTAAATTAACGACACTCAAGCAATTTAAAAGGAAGTTTTAGCTATTGAGATTATGATTCCTGTGTGCAAGGACCACCTCCATAGGGTACATTAAAGAATCATTTAAGCTTCTTAAATGATCATTTCAAGCCATTTACAAAGTACTTCACATGTTTCAAAGCATTTCCTGCATAGATAATTACACCTGACTCCCACCACATGACATACTTTATAGTTCCTAAATGTCCCAGAACAGTGTGACTTCTTTATCTGAAAAACACAGAGCCATGGTCTCTACATTACTCAGGAGGAAAGAATGAGTTGGGCTCTTTCGTCTCCATGGCTTTGCAGAGAACCACATTGCATCCTATTGGTTCTTCCCACATCTTACACTTCTGAATGAGGAAAACTCCTGCCCTGCCTTCACTAAAATTCTCATGACAGGATCATACGGCTTTTGGTACCAACATGACATAGGATAACCCCATCCAGGAAGACAATGGAGAATATCTGACAACTACATCTTGCTATAATCCCAGCTTCCACTAATTCTGGTTTACATAATAGCCTTTGAGGCCTCATCCTCTGAGATCTTGCAGATGCTGATGAATTGGGCTAACCAATTTATTTTAATTTCACTTAACTCCCACCTATAATTATCATTCCTGCTATTTGACTAGAACTGTATCTTTTAGAAAGCATTTTCTTGAATATTCTCATATGATTTTTCAAAACAAGCACTTGTAGTTATTATCTTTATCATGTAGGTGAGGAAACTGAGGCTCACAAATGTTTCTTAAGTGACTTAACTAAGATTATCAAACCAGTAAAGTGATATAACAAGGATTCAATCCCACATCTTCAGACACGCAAGCCACGTGTTTTCTCCCTGCACCTATTCACAGAATTAAAAGCAAATGAGGCAAAAATGATGGGGCATGATAACATTTCTTTTTTCATTTTCTCCAACATTTTCATTCTAGAAAAAGCTCTTTCTGTAGCAGGGAAGAACCTCAATCCCCGAGACTCTCTACCGACAGCAGGCTCCATTGCACGTCCTACCCAGAACTGGCCTGGTCAAACCTCGGCTCGGGGCCCACTTGGCACTTGGTCGGGGGGTAAAACAGGCATCGGGAGAGTGGTGCTGAGAATCACCAAGAAGGCCAGGCTGGGCAAGGTGTACGATGAGGAGTTTTCTCCATGGGCAAATGAAAAATCTGGGCAAACAAATGGAGTAGAGCCCGTTTATTTAGGCTGGAAGAGGTAAAGTTTTTCTGCACTTTTGAACTGTTTTCTCAAGGCCTGCCTCTCCCTCCCACGCAGGAAACAAACACAGAGACAGGCCTCTTCCAGTGAGGGCTTCAGTTGTTCAAAGTTAGCCCGGGAAGGGCAGAAGGAAGAAAGGCTTAGAGAAAGGAAGGAGGAACGGGGGCTAGGAAGGTGGTGCAGTGGCCATGGGGGTAGCCGCCAAGGGAGAAGGCTGGAGCTGGGATCAGACAGAGGAGGAGAGCTGGCCAAGAAGGGAGGAGAGAGGGAAGAAAGCAGGAAGCAGAGAAAGGGAATATTGGAAAATTGTAAACCAGAACAAAGAAACAGAATGCAGAGTGGCAATGGCCTGGGAAGAGGCAACAACCGACTCCCAATTAATGATGTTCAGAAAGCAACATTTTTTCATCAATTTTGAAAGGAAATTCTCTCTCAACTTTCTTATTTATTTATACATTATATAAATACATTTTTAAACCAAAAAAGGACCGTTTTTCCAATGGGAAAAAGTCTTGTTTGAGATGAAAGCCAGTCTTCAAAAACTTCTTAGAGGAAGCTGAAACCCCACATGTCTCGGTGCTACAGAAAGAAAAACAAAGTGGACATTCTTCCTGCGTTCTAAGGCTTTTTTATGCAGATGTGTTTTTCTTTTAATAAATAAATCTGGACTGAGAAGGAAAAAGCATACTCATACACATTCACACAGTGCAACTGTCTGTTTTCAACCCAGGGAAACCACAATGAAAAATAAGAATACGCAAGTCCATTTTCCCAGTACATCAGACAAGGATTCTCAATATTGGCAGCCACAGGCACTGAAGCAACACAGTATGCGTGCACACCCTGCTCCAGCTTCCAGATCCACAGAGGAGTACTTGATGATGAGTGGTCATGAGGGGCAGGGCAGGACCTGAAGAACGACCACCATACTTCCCCAGAAGTCTTCTCACTTAAGACATTTGGTTGCCCCATCCTTTTTGAGCTACACAATTTCACTTATAAGCCAAAATGATTATTTAAAAATGATTAGACACAACGAGTTTAAATCTGCCTTCTTATGAATTCTATCAATAGGCCCTTGCTTTGCTTGTTGAGAGATCAGCAGCACAAAGCAAATTTGTCCTTATCTGGCAGCTTTTCCCCTGCTTTCTTCCTCCTATCATCACTTCCGTCCAGGTTTCCAAACTCCGTGGTTCCTTCAACCATTCATGTTGGCATGGTTTTTGGCCACTCCCCTCGCTCCACCTAGAAGCATTCCTCTAAGCCTATGTTCCTGAAGAGCATCACAAGCATTCATAGGTGAACATCGTGCTTCTCAGAAGTTAAATGGGAACAATGAGATGATCATCTTACTCCATAAGCTTTGACTGGTGCAGACTAAGACAACACTGATCTAACAGCCTAACTACAAAAGCCACTCAAAGGACATTGCCAGGACCTCTCCATAGAAAGTGATACTGAACCAGTTCTGTACCTATTGACTGAATTTTATTAACTTCACAACAGGGCTTCACATTTATCCATATTAACTTCACTTTGTTTCGATCCATGTTTCTAAGAACTTTTTTATACCTTGAATCTGTGCTCATCCTATTAGCCATCATTCTCAGCTTTGCACCATCTGCAATGCACTAAGTGTGCTTTCTGTGTCTTTCTCTATTCTAAGCCCCTAATAAAAATGTTGAAAAGGCAACCAGCAAGTACTGATCCCCATAACATAACATCAGAGACCATGCATTACTCTGACACTGACACATTAATCAAGACCCGTTGGGTATAGTTGCTCAACCAGTTACAAATCCTCCTGACTTTACTATCATTAGATCCACATATCTTTGTCTTGACCACAAATATATCATGGAAAGACTCAGACAAAAGCATTACTGGAATCAAAATATGAGGTTACAATATTCAGTTGGTCTCCCACTTGTGGAGCCAGTTCTCCCCTCGAGTTTCTAAGCATCTGGCAAGTGAAAGGTGGCTGATAGTACAAATGGTTGAGCTGGAATTCAGACCCCTGTACAGTGAAATAAAGAAAGACAGAGAAAGGGGGTGGGGTGGAGAGAGAGAGAGAGAGAGAAAGAGAGCTGCAGCCACAGCATTGCTTTGCTTCTAGAAACAATGGGCAGTTAGAGAACAATGGCTACAGACAAAGTCTTGGTCTATTTATATCTGCCACTGTTAGTCCCAGACAGGAGGAACTGGAAGTCTGCCCTGTATGCACAGCTCCAACTGGACCCAAGTTGGGAGGAAGATGAGGTCACCAAGAAGGCTGCCTGCTTAGAAATGGGCTTCTTTTTTCTTCGTATAGTTGCTTCTTAGCCTAGAGGTTCTCTTAAGCTTGCTTGCCTTCTGCTAAAATACAGCCACTGCTGAGAAGGGAGAGATGAGAAAAGTAACTGCTGCTCTGCCCAGCCCAAAGCAATTAAGGCCTCTCTGTACAGAGGTTGCAGGAAGGTGGGAACGCCAAGGAAAAAATAACCAATCGATGGAGGTCAACTCTATGGTTTCTGAAACAACAGTCTTATTAGGTCTGTTAATTATACATGTTTAGGAGCACTATAAAGGAGCTTTTCCCTGGGAAAGTTCCCTCCTCATTTCTTTGGAGACAAATAAAGAGGCCAAGAGCTGAAATTCACAGATATGTATGCATTACATCTCAGGGACAATCTCTTCTTCCCTTTATTTCAGCCCCTTTTTGATGGTATCTCTATTTTCTGGAATTTCATCTTTTGCTCTAACATGGCTTTGGAGAGATACTCAATTTTAATCCTTCCCAAACTGTGTTACTTGTATCCTTAATCCTCCTACAGCCTTACTAAAAAGAGCCACCAGTAGATTAGCCTGTGACAGACACCAAACTGAACATGAGGAGAGCCTGGGCTGGGGAGGAAGGAACAGGGAGGGAGGCACAGGCCGTGAGCCCCTGCAGGCATCTCCTCCTGCATGCCTTCATTGTGAGTTTCCACCGACAGCCCTTAGCATTAATGCGCAACCAACAGTAAGCAACTGCACCCTCTGGATCCAGTCCAACCTTATAGCCTTAAGAATCCCACGTGCAAAGCTGGAATCTCCCAGAGGCAAGAAATTCAGGGCTCAACAAAGAGATCCCCTGAGCAGTAACTTCAGATTTCCACTCATGCCTCAAGTTCCTGTCACTAACTTCCCACCTTGTTCCTGGAAAACCAACATGTAAGGAGATATACAAATCTAAATAAGATTTTTTTTCTCTTTTTCCTTTAAATAGCTTAAAATATTTTACAGACAACATCCCAGATAATGTCAACCCATTGGGAGGGAACTAGTAGCAAACAGTTAAATGTTTTATAACTTAAAATTTTAAGCACAGAGCAGGCACATGCTGGATACTGCTAGGGCCAACGAACCCTAGGAGCCAAGAAATGGTTAAAAGGGATGCATCACGTTCCTTCCCCAGCCCCACATGCTCTTCATCAACTTCATAAGTGTGTCAAGATGCTCAGGGTCCAGACCATCTGGAGGGTGCGCTCATAAACTTGAACTACCAGGACAACAGATAATGTGCACAAGCCCATAACAAGCAAACATACTAGTACATCTTTCATGCTATGCAAATGGTGGAGACTGAAATTCAGATGAAACATTGGACCACCTAAAATAGACCAAACTGTGAAGATCTAAGTGAGTGATCTATAGGTCACCTGACCTGGTACGGTACTTCATTCAAACACTGCTTCCTTGACTCCTCCCCTATCCCCTGCTCCCAACAGACTAATTATTCCCTTCTCTAAGGGCCCTGCTGAATCATCCCAGTGTAATTCACAAGAGCCACATGGGAACCACATGGTAGGAGTCAGGAGAAGGCAGAGAGACACACATTCTTACCCTAAAGCAAGGCTGACATCAGAGAAGATGCAGAAATCCCCACCCTGAGCATGTTGGTAAGCACATGAGATGGCCGTCCCTCTGCCTATCACAGGCTCCAAAAAATACCAGCACGCCAGCTAAACACACCAAAAACCGATGGTGCCGCCCCAACATGGCACATCTAATGGAATTCAGGCCCCACACAGTGCAGTAAATCTAAATATATGTCCCTAATGAGGAGTCAGAAATCCTGAGACTTCGGGGATTTAGGCAATAATTGTGGGGACCCAGCTCAAGTTTCCTGCACTAAAAAGGAGGGGCCTAGAGAGATAAGCTTTGAAGGGAGCATGCTTATGCTCCCTAAACCATTACGCTCACTGCTAAACCTATCATACGAGCCTACTCCAAGGTTTGTGTAGACCTACCTAATCTATAATTTTGGCCTCTATATCTCTTTGGCTTTGGCCTTTTTTATGGCCTGGAGCAATAACTATCAGCCCGAGTCCTCTCCTGGTGTGTTCACACATTTCCCTGCCTCTGTCCCTCTATCCCGCCCTCACTATAGCTATAGGATGCATAAAGCCTTATCCAGGACCAAAAAGCAGAAAAGAGGAATTTACAGAATTTGCTATAAAACTTTAACAACTCCTTGGAGGGATGTTCTCTTTCCTTGCAACCAGACATAGTTATAAAATGGATGAAAAGTGGAGAGAAGGAGGAGCCAAGCTCTGCCACTGGTCAGGGGTCTTACACTATTCCTGGAATACAGAATTAGAAGACGCTTTCGATGTCATCTAGTTCAAACCTTTTCTTTTACTGGTGGGTAAAATGAAGCTCAAGGTGACATCAACTTGCCTTAAGTCACTGGTTACTAATTCTAGAACTCTGGCTCCCTCTCAGGATTTTTTTTTCCTCTACATCATTGCTGTTTACTTACAACAGTGGACTGGGAGGGAGAGGCTTTCTCCTATATCTTCACTACTATCAAGTCCTGGTTCATCATTCTGGATAAACACTACTCCTCCCCAAGTTATTAAGAATCACAGAGGAATGAGCCATCCAAAGATCTAATAAATATGATGGGATTTTACAGATTCATGATGCTATCCACTCCTATTTCAGGTTATAAGTCTGGAATACCAATGGTCAGACTCTAAGGTGGAAAAGCTTCCTCCTAGCAAAGATCCTTGTTGCATACCAGGGATATTAAGCAACTTTCAACAGTCAACTCCGATAGCATGATACCATGGTGTCTGATGGCTCTGAAATTTGAGGGTGCTATTCCTGTCAATCCAGAAAGAGTGAAGACTGCAGTTAACTTCAGTGATCTATGAACCTTTATCTAAAAAGCACTGAAAGGCAGAGTGCCTCATATCATTTAAAGGTTTTACACCACTACCCTTCTAGTCCTGCTGGTATTCCAAATAGGGTCACTGAGCCATGGTGATAGGGTTGAGGGAATACAACAAACCCCACTGACAAAGCCAGAACTTAATATCAGGGGCACTGGCCAGTAAGTTGAATCTGATCTATCTAATTAATGAAGCTATCTGTTGACCCCCAGAAAGGCCATGGCCTGAAGTAACACAAGCAGCTCTAGTTGTGAAGGCAAATGCAGTCGGAATGCAGAGACCTAAGGGTTCCAGGAAAGATCCACCTCATTGTGATCTCTTCTAGACCCCACAGATTTTTTTCTTCTCCTTCCCAATGGGCTTCTCTTTAATGGCCCCAAACACCCAATCTTCAGCATTCTATTGTTCCTGCTGCTGCCCCAGAGTCTCGCCCACACGGACCCAGGGCAGACAGCCTCAGACGCCTCTCCCAGTAGCAAGCCCAAGAGGGTGGTAAGTCGCCAGGCAGACCCAATCTCCAGATCAATGGGCGAGACCAACCAATGGGTGGCGAGCAGACAAAAAGTGATCAATGCAAAAGGCGGAGGGAGCTTAAGCCACTCTCCATCTGCCTGGGTAGGTGAGAAAGGGAGAGACTGGGATGTGCAGCCCTCATCCGCTGCTAATAAATGGCTCTGCCTCATCAGGAAGCCATTAGGAAATTGCAGCCACCACAGCCCCAAGCTCCCCGGACTGAACTGTCTGCATGCAGCTGGTGAAAGCGCTCATTATCTCTGTCCAGACGACACTAGCTCACTACACAGTGGAGCCTAACCAATGAGCCCTCAGAATAAACCCTGGGCTTGAGTGGTGAGGAAGGAGGGACTGAAAAAGTCCCTTGAGATTGGGGAGATGCAGCGCTCCCCCAGGTGTGTGCTCCAAGCTCCAGATCAGGAATACGAGCCCTTCTCCTCACATCCCAGCTGGACAGCATTCTTTTTTTCAGAAAGAGCTACTGACTGCTCATGAGCATGGGGCTTCTTTTGGGAGTGATGAAAACATTCTGGAATTAGACGTTGATGATGATGGCACAACTCTGTGAATGTACTGGAATGCACTGACATGTACACTTTAAGATGGTAAATTTTATGTTATATCAATTATATCTCAATTTAAAAAAAAGTAAATGTTAGAGAGAGAAAGAGCTACTGGCCCACTGCTATGAGCCCAACAATGAATACCTTGGTGATAGATCCCTCAGGCAGAGTTTCCCTCTAGTGGGAGAAGCAAACACCGCCTAAGTACAGAAGCAATAGCTATATGCTCACAACAGACGATGAGTGCTGGGATCACGGCTGAAGCGGAAGGTTTTGCAATGCAGAGTGAGTGAACTAGCGGGGTCCAGAAGCACTAGGGGAGGGGGTAGGAAGGAGTGCACGTAAGATGTCCTGGGTGTAGGGCGTGAGGGACAGAAGGCGGGCAAGGTGTCCAGGATGGCGCCCCTGGCAGTTGGTGGCATTACTGAAAGGGAAGACGAGAGGATGAGATCTCCCACAGCCACCTCCGCCACCTGGAAATCCTTGTGAGATGGAAGCCCCGCGATGCTCACTGGGAGACCGACCGTGGGAGAGGCTGGGCACGGGCCATTTCCAGAGGCAGACACCTGGTAACTGCAATTTCTGGGACCACTTATGTGAGGACTAAAGAGGAAGGGCCACAGGTTCTAGGAGACGAACAAAATCCCTCAAGTTCCCTACCCTAAAGATGCTCCCAGAAAAGGCTGCCGAGTGCTCTTTTAAAGTGATATGTGCATCTTTATACTTACATACAAAAGATTCTCAAGGGGAAGAAGTCTCCATCAGACAGGGCTCTTTCGCCCTCCAGTCCCTGGTGGGGGAGACAGAGGAAAAGCTGATAGGGCGGTGGGGTGTGGGGGCGGTGAAGGCTCACTGCACAGGAACTGAGGAAGGTGCAGTCACAACACTGTGATGCCAGGGATCTTTTTGGGAAATTCTTTTCCAAAAGGGATCATGAATTTTGGCCCCTGGAATGCCCCAGAGCACCTCTGATTGGTTCCCTGGCCCTGACTCAGATCGAGCCGGGCTCCACCCTCCATGAGTAAATAAAGGCAGGGACGGAGGGAGGGAGAGGGAAGGAGAGGGAGCGGAGTGGGCAGACAGGAACCAGAAGGCCAGCGCTGGTTCAGGGAACACACCAGATGAGATTTCAGCGACGGGTGGTGTGGCAGAATTCAAGACATAATTCTCTGAGCCTTACACACCACTCCAGTTGGGATTCAGCCCTGCCTTGGCAGCCGGCTCAGTGCTGCTTTATAATATACTGAATTAGTCACTGGATTAGCAAGCACATTTACACACAGTGGCGCACAGCTGTTTAAA
Source organism: Homo sapiens (assembly GCF_000001405.40). Lineage (NCBI taxonomy): Eukaryota > Metazoa > Chordata > Mammalia > Primates > Hominidae > Homo > Homo sapiens. The sequence continues at coordinate 128,507,523 of NC_000011.10, forward strand.
GACGCAGGATCCCCTTTTCTAGGTGCCAGATTCTGGCTATAAATCAACCATTGCAATCAGCAACCAGCAAACCCCAGAGGTGCATGGTTCCTGCAGACATCTTCCTTAGGGGAAGCCTGCTAGAACTGCGATGGCCATTTTCTGGGGACAGGAGGGACATCTGTGGCAAAGAAGGAAAGGTCGGTGGGCTTTTTCTGTCTTGAATCTTATTATCTTCAGGGGGCTGCCAGGTCTTCACTGACCTGGACCTTCCCGGCAGCAGCCTAGCTCAGGAAATGACGCCTGGGAGAACAGGAGTTCTAATCCTGCCTGGCTGTATTATCAAGTACAGAGTTTTTCTCCTAAACCTTGAATGGCTGGGTCACCTCCCAGAAAAGAAAAGACTCCAGGGCAAAGAGGACAGTACTTCAGCAATTAAAATAATTTTAAATCCTGATAACATCAATTCCAAAAAACTGCCTTGTTGAAGTGGCAAGGGCAATGTCTAAAAATAATGCTTTAGAGTTGGAATCATAACTCAAGCCCTAACTCACGTTCGGTAAGAATGCGTGAGAGGCATTTGAAAATAATTGAACTGGCCACAGGGACGGCTCTGGCCCACTTGGTTATGGAGGTGTCAAGTGGAAAATTTTCTGTAACCAGGTTAATAGTAACCACAGTTTTAACAACCGCTGAAGTAATAACAGCGACAGCAGCAATGAACTTTTGTACAGAATTTAGTGACCTACAAGATAATGGTTTATTGAGCTCCTGTGGCAATGAAAAAGTATAAAAGTTTTCACAGGAATTATCTCTAATCCTAACAGCCCTGAAAGCTCTTTATTATTACCTCCTTTGTAAGGATCAGAAAAGAAAGGTTTACAGAAGTTAAATAATTTGTCTAAGGAAAAATTAGTAAAGATCAAGCCTGAATTCAAACCCAGGGCTGTCTTACCTCAAAACTCTGCTCTTTCAAGACATGGTGCTGCCTCCAGTGAGGAATATCATTATAACCAACATAATGAAAGGGACGCTGTGTGATTCAGGGACTCAATTACTTACTATCAAGCACCCTAAATGTAAATCCCTCTCCTTTGTCTTAGAGGGCTTAGGTACCCAAAGAGAAATAGGGTTTATCTAAACTCTGTATCGTAAGATCATGGTAAAAAGCCTGTGGCATAAATAAATCCACCTGACAAATATAAGAACCAAGAACCAATTACTAAATAAGGCGAATTTCATTTAGGCTCCTCTAGAACAGGAATTTAGAGAAGATTCGTAAAGAGATTTGTGACTAGCTCGTGTAGGCAGAGCCTAGTGTGTATTCTGCACCAGCTTTTGGAAATTCAAGTATTACTTCCTTAGAACTTGTTTGCCCATAAAAACACTGAAAATATTTTCTTACGAACCAAGGCAGTCGGGGGCAACTGAAGACTTGCATCATCTTTGCTCATCACTCTCTGCCTGCACCATGCCACTAGGCAGATATTTTGATCAAAGCCAGGAGAAACCAGCGGCAAGTCACCCAGGGCCCAATCTCATTAAAAAAACTAAATCGCTGTTCGGTTCACCCAGCACCCCAGATCCTTTGGAGACTTTGCAGTCAGCCTGAAATTTCAAAGTTCTTTCATCAGATCATCCATTACAGAAGAGGATGGGTGGAAGGCATGGAAAAGCCACAAAGCTCCCTGCAAGAGAGACCTTCAGAAATCCAGAAATAGATTCTTTATTTTTAAAAATCTCCAATTGAATCAGAGGTTAACATTATGTCCACCGTGGAGATGCTGATTCATTCTGTGTGTGTGTTTACTTTTCTACAAATGTCCCTCTTGCATCAAGTAGCTTCAAGCCCTAGGCTTGTGCCTCTGAACATCCCCTCCCTGGAGAACTCTCAAGCTGGGGTGGAGCTCTCACTTCATTCCTCAATTGTCTAATCTGGAGAGTGGGGGCCAAAGCACCAATTCTGTACACAAGTTTAGTAAATTTGGCTAGCCACCTTTCATGTGTCTACTTTGGATTTGAAAATGCACCATGGAAATCAGGTGAAAATTTTTTTTTTTTTTTTTTTTTTTTTTACTTTCCCACTACTAACACATCCCAATGGTAGATATGTATAAGTGAAATGAGTGCGTTCTTCCTGCCCCTATAATGACAAGCCTGACAGAGAACACATCACACAGAAGAATGTGCCAAGAATCAAGACCTCTTAGAAGAATGTTAGAAAGTTTTCTCTCCAAATGGATTCTGTCTAAGTAGGAAGGCCTTGGCAACTAGAAAGGTCTAAGATCAAATTTATGACTTGAAAACTCTATGGCTTTGGGCAAATTATCTGAACTTAATTCTGGACTCAATTTCTTATCTACAAAATGGGAATTAAGGCATCAACCTCAAAGGGTTGTTTAAAGAATGTGATTATGTATTTCTGTAAAGCACATTGCAAAGTATCTGACACATAGTAGGTACTCTCTGTAAATATTAGCTTCACTTCTCTCACTCCTCCAACTGAACTGCAGTTATGTAAAGAAAAGCAAGCATCCAGCAGTTTTGAAGAATGTTTGGTTTCCATTAGGAGGCAAGGGAGGTGTAAGATTGAACTCTTGATCTTATATGAAATAAGGATGCATTTCCTGTACACATACACATGACTCACCCTTGGGGAGCTCATATGTATTTAGCATCCCCACTCCGTATCATATCTCCCACTAATTTAATAACACTCCTTGAATCACCAAAGACTCCAGAGTACTTTCTAAATGTGAACTCATTAACTTTCCCACTCTCTCTCAAAGAAAGGCAGCTCACTCACTAGGAGCATCCTTCTTGGAGAAGAATACAAAGATAATGCAGACATGTGTCCATATCTGGTGGCTTAAGGTAAAGCCAGACTTGGGTATCCTGATTCTCACATCAGGCAACAGAAGGTAATAAGATGACCACCTATGCCACCCTGCCCAGTTAACAGCAGAGAAAATATTCAAACCGGGCAAAGCTAAGACCAAGGACCCCTTAGGCCTGACCCAAAACTATTGGTACATGGAGGGCACCAAGCCATAGTGCTGAACCCCAATTGGAGGAGGAGACACACTTCGTGACCTCACTAGGATTTGCTTTACAAGATAAGATTTTCCTGGCAAGCATTGAAGTTAGTGCCCAGATTCAAAACAGCAAACTTAAAACTATTATCTTCATGCTTGCTATAATCAGGTGTACCGCCCAACTTCCCATCCCTACCTCCCCTTCCCTAGTAATCCAGAGGTACTCAAGGTCACTACTGGCTACTTAAGGTTTACATCCACTCCCAAGGAAACACCAGCAACCAAAAGAATACTTCCCAGATGGAAAACCCGTCATTTGACCTTGGAATGCTCTGCCTCCCATAATGACCAAAATAAGGTCCGGCCAGAGGGGCTTACGTTTTTTGGTAAGGAACAACACATTGTTTTAGAGAGATAATCTGACATAACTCTGCTAAGCTCTGAGTGTCTATGCATGGTACCACAGCAAACACCCTATGTCCCAAATGGAAACTAGCAGGGTGAAAAAATTGTTCATCTAAGATGACATTAATCTCTGTATGCCTCCTTGGTACAGTTCTTTTCCACAACATGCAGCTTAAGATTCAACAATTTTTTCATTGTGTTTTGTGTTTCCTGAAGCATTCCTCCAGCTACCTGAAGCTCTCACTGATTAAAATAGACCTCCTTTACTAAAAGGGGTAAACTGAGGCACAGAAGAACAAAGCAATGTGCCTTATAGTTCAGAATAGGTAAACAAAAATTGGACATCTATTATTTTCAAATCTCTTTAGATTAAAAGAAAAAAAAATGTATTTCTCAAAGTCCAAAGTCAACCTTCTCCAAAGGGAAACTGCATGTCTGTCTAGTAACCTATAGGATCATTCACACTTTTTTTTCCTTGAGAAGGAACTAACTTGCCAGCCTACCAACAATTTTGCCAGTGCCTTGGCATCAGGCATATCTGCACAACCTTTCCAGAGCCTATATCATAGTGATCTGTTCAAGCTGCTCAAAGCTCAGTAATCATACTAATCTGTGCATAGTGACCAGTGCTACCTGCTCAAAGCTCAGTAATCAGCCAGCTATGTGGGACTTGTTATAGATGCATAAAATATGTGGGTGAAATCTACCTCCACCAAAAGAGAAAAGAATGCCTTGTTGACACTTTGATCTCAAGCTAACGTTTATTAATAACATCATTATTATATTTAAGTGAATGTACTAGATACTCATCGAATCAAAGAAATGTTTAAAATCCATGTGGCTGAACTCAAATGTCAGGGGATTTGGAGAAACTGACTGGAGCTTCATGTTCTAACTCTCCGCTTATTTGCCCTGGAACCTTGGGAGGGTAACTTGGCATCGGTGCACTGCACTTTCCTTATTTGTAAAATATTGGTAACTCTAAGGATTACCATGAGCTCAAATGTGGTGAAGTCACATGGCAAACTGTAAAATGCTACCAGATATAGCCAAGTATTAAGATGAACTAGCAAACAATATGCACAAACGGACCTTAGTATTTCCCCCAAATTCCACAAACACCCAAATATTTCTGAGAATTCTGAAAACAACAGACATGGAATTTTCAAGTTAGCTACAGCTGGGTTTGAATCTGAACTCCTCCACTCAGCAGCTTTGCAACCTTGGGCAAGTCGTTTAATCTCAGTTTCTTCATCTATGAAATGGCAATAATAATGCTTCACTATTGGGGCGAAATAATGAGGATACTGGCACAAAGTTTGCGCCCAATAACTATCAGAAAATAAACAGAACATGAGGAAAAAAGAAAAGATGGATGGAGATGAGAAGTGCTTACACAAGCACCAGTAGATAAACTCTACACTGTCATCAATGATCGTTTTCCTTGTTTTTCCCCCAAAAACTGGCATGCTGAACTTAGGTCCCTGCTTTGGAAAGAGAAGGGTAACTGCGACAGACCTTTCTCAAAATGCAGAAATAACATCAATCAGATGAGACTTCAGATAACCCCCATGTGCGGGCACCGCTCTTCCACCGCCGCCACAGCCCAGTACATTTGTAGCTTCCGGGGTGGCTGGGGAAGCCAAGGCAGGTGGTTTCTTGTCCGGCTCCAACTCTGCTAAGCAGCGTGTGTCCAGTGAAGGATCAGCCGGTGGCCACCTAGACACCATTCTGTGGGCACCCAAAGCACGCAGGCCTGGCCTTTCCCTCTGTGCAAACAGCAGGCCAGGGCCCTGACTTACTGGGCCTGTCAGGAAGAGGCACTGCCGTGGCTAACAGCAGATTGCATTCTCAAGGCAGGAGGGACTGTTTCTGACCAGAGCAGCCTATCAAGAAGAGGCAGATTGGATGAAATAAGCTCATCACTCAGCCCACAGACTCGGCCTGCGGAAGCAGCTGGACTAGCTGCTTCACCTACTGAATGCTTGACTTACATCTCCCTCCTCCAGGTGAGAACCTGCACTGGAGCTGCCTTCCGCTGCAACTGCAGCAACGGCTCATGGAAAAGGGAAGCTGAAAGGAAGACCATGAGGAAGGTATGACTCTTGGTTCAGTGCTACCCAAGACAACATGCCTCCATTTCCCCAATGGTGAGCTAGGCTGGCAACAATTTCTAACATCTCTGTTTCTCTGTGGAAGTAGCCCTTTACCAAAGCACCCAAAATTCCTCAATGATTAAGTTGTTATTAACAGAATTTGGGGATTAGGATGCAAATCCCCATGTTGCCTACCTCTTGAATGGCAGTCTACACTCTCTCCAAGCCTTGGCTGTTTTAAATGTTACCTAAAGTCATAAGATGTCACTGTTAGGAGAAATCTGACAGGTCGTCATTCCAATGAATTTATTTGACTGATGAAGAAAATGAGGTGCATAAAAATGCAATGACTTGCCTAAGGTCACACAGACAGATACTGATGCAGAGCTGTGGCTGGAGACCAACACTCCCGACTCTCCAGCCCACATTCTCCTCACAGAGTGGATGCTGTTTATTTCATACACAATATTTATTCCTACTGGTAAGGAACAAATACGGTAAGGTCTTCCTTATCATCTGTGATTCTTCATTGCATTCTGTGCATTTATTTCGTGTCTTAATGATGTGAGACAACTGATGCATAAGGTATGGAATTAACTTAAATTTTTGGCAAAAGATATCAAATAGGAGAAATGTGTAGGTACTAGAAGTACAAAAGTCGGTTACATGGAAACTCTTTCACTGAAAATTTCCTGTGATAAATTTCTTAAAGGGTATTTCAAAATCAGACTTGGGCAGGGGCAGTGGCTCATGCCCGTAATCCCAACATTTTAGGAGGCCAAGGTGGAAAGATTGTTTGAAGCCAAGAGTTTAAGACCAGCCTGGGCAACATAGCGAGACCTCATTTCTACAAAAAAGAAAAAGAAAATCAGACTCAACAACACATTTTTATTCTGAACATGAATGATACTAATGCATCACACAACTCTAAACGCATCACACAACTCTAATTGCACACAAAAAAAGTAATTAATTGAGAACAGGTATAACACCTGGCACATAGTGGGAGACCCTAGATACTTCAAAAAACCCGTATCTACAAACACTCACCAGGCTTAGCAGATTCCTGTGCCTGACCGAGGTTATTTTCCATTTGTACCTTGAAAATATGTACCTGATTGATTTTGTCATCTTCTCTGAGGTTTAACGCTTATTCTGATAAACTGATACAGAGGTTTTAACAACAGTATGAGTAGGAGGAAAAGTAACCAAAAAAAAAAAGTTACCTATCTCATAAGCTTACTCAATAACTCTGCTCTACCCTTAAATATTCCTACTTTCAAAGGCAAAATTCATCCTGAGGTTCAAAACGCTCTTTGGGTCCTGGCCTCCTACTTCCTTCCTTCATCCCTTTCTACAAGTAAGTTTTTTTTCCTTCATGTTTATCTAAGCATCTCTTTCATTCCAAACTTGCAGCATTCTTCCCACGCTGCTCTCTATATGGAAAATAATCCTTTCCCTGTTCTTACACCTCCTTCAAATGCTTCAGAAGTGCCCCTGTTTCCCATGAAGCTGACCTATGAAACTAACTTAACACTGTTGCAAGAGAGAGCTTCACAGACACAGAAAATACCAACAGTCATTGATCCACACATATTTTCATAAATGTAAACACTGGTCCTCCTGCATTTTTTGCCATGGAAGCACCTGGAACCCAGGGAAGACTTCATCTGAGTTGTCCTGACCACCCATCTACCCATGAGGGATTTAAAGTATTCAGAAATGACCACAGGCAAGGAGTAGAAACAACAGACCCAAAACTGCCCATGGGGCCACCTGAGCCTGGAATTCCTAACCAGGTGTAATGCTTGGCCCAGATGAAAGCTTTTCCAAGAATCTATGTAATATCACTTAAATTCGTTCATCTTTAGTTTTACAATTTCCTTTCATTCATTCTTTCATACTTTCTTACTCTTCCTGTCCTCATTCTTATTCTTGTCTTTTTTTAATTCAAAAAGAATTTTGCAATTGAATCCACCATTCCTTTCCTCCCCTTCTAAAGAATTGAGGGCTTGTTTTTTATTTTTGCTTTTGTTTTTGCCCACTTTAATGGTACAAAAAGAAAACACAACATTTTTTTTGCCCCTTTTCAGCCCAAAGTAAAATTTCTTATCTTCGATAAACATTTAAACAAAACAAAACAAAAATTGCAATTGTCTTCACTTGTGTAATGAAGACACGTCCCTCTACTTCAAAGTTCATTTTATCTCTCTGTCACACACACACACACACACACGCGCGCGTGCACACTACATGCAGAGTTTACAGTTTCTCCACAGAACCTTGCAAAGCAAAAATAAATGGCTTATCACAGCTACCCAAAGCTACCAAGAGGTTTCAAATGCTTGAAGTGAACTTGTCTGAGGTTGATTTGGGTTTCTCAGACACTGAGAAACAAATTTAAAATATAATCCATGTTTGGGGGAAAACCATACTAAACTTAAAGGGCTTCAAACTCTTAATCGTGCCTTATTAGCTTACTTAGATGGTCTAAACCCTGAAATTGGCAATTGAGAGAAGATATTCTAGAAAGTACGATTGACCAAATTTAGTGTCTAACTCGGGTGGCCCTCATCTGTGGGGAGAGCCCCAGTTAATGTCTGTCATTCTGATGCAATTATTAATAGTGCCCCTTTACACTCTCAAAGGTATCCCAGTTTGGGTGGTAAATTATACGATTTTCTATCTCTACACCATTATGATCTGAAGTCCAACAGCCTTAAAATTTCTAATATTACTTTGGGTCTAAAAGCACTATCTGGGTCAATATTCCACAACTCTTAGAGACAGTACTAAATGCTACAAGAAAGAACAATTGAGAAAAGTGGAAGGGGCAGTAATAAGCCACATTTGAAGTGTCAAGTGACAGGCTTGCACCCAAGCAGTAGACACTGGAAAGCACCTGGGAAATATGACAGCGTTGGCCAAGTGATCAATAAAATATTTACGGCTTGAATAGCAATATTTTGAGCGTGTCTGTTAAGCATGGCTCTCTGCCAATGAAACCAGACCTACCACAATCCACCCTGCAGACCTATGTCTTTCTGTATCTGCATGGAGATTATACATTATACAATCAGAAGGAAAAGGGGGTGCAGATAGGCGAAGGCTTCAGAAAAGCAGCCAAGTAGAAATAGCCTGTTTATGCAATTTGGAAAACATCCACTGAAGTTTTGAAAAAGATATCATCAACCCGACAGAAAAAATAAAGCAGAAAGTAGCTAGAGACACATGACAAGTAAAAATGATAGATTTGGGAATAGCCTTGACATTCCTAACCCTGAGTTAAGAACAGCTTAACAGCTGTGAGCGAAGGGTAGACCTAGAATACTGCAAACATAGAGGCAAATGCTATCAGAGGTTCCTTGTGAGCAGGAAAATGGAGCCAAGGTTTTCATTAAGGAGCAGCTAAATAAAAACACGGAGATGATGTTGTTCATATACAAATTCCTCTCTGCGGTGACAGTGTGGGCCCAAGCATACTAACTCTTCGGGAAAATGCTCCCCATAATGCAGTAATAAAGAAACCAATGCCTTAACCTTAAACAAGTGGCAGGGGAGTGTGCCTGTGTGTGAGCCATGGGCTGGGACAGCTGGCAGGTCTGCAGGTAGACACCTGGGGCTGTCTTGTGCCAGGACAACTCCAGACCATGTGCCCTGACACATGGAATGGACTTTTTTAAAAAAAACTAAATTTTAGGGGAAAAAACGAAATTTATATGAGGCATAGGCAGCAAATGCAACTCAACTATCTATGGCCTCTCTGCAAGCAGGATAATTAAATTTTAACTGCCTTAAGAAAATGAACTAGTTTGCCAAGCTATGTCTCATCATCCTGATTATGAGAGATTCAATGCACAGCAACATCAGTGATGAAGGGGAAGAAATGGGCAGAATCTGGAGGCTCAGCGAAGGACTGACCTTGGAGGTGAACATAATCACCTTCCTACCTGTGAGAGAGCCAAGGCCATATGGAAGACGTTGCAAAAACAAGAATCCTGGTTCTCTGCCTTTCATTCTGAGGTAAGCATTGCTGGAACTTTCAAACATCTTTCTAAAGCAACACATCTGGACTGCCAGGCCTGGGGACAACCCACAGGATGGACCCTTTCCCCAAGCCGTATGAAGCACTGAGCTAACAATGAGGCCACCTGATTCAGCTCAGGGGGCTCTTGCAGAGATAGCAGGGAGCCACTGTACCTCCTGAACCCCCAAAGCACCGACCAGCATTGCCTTCTCACCTGCCTGTGTTCTAATTTCCAGAGTTTTTGAGAATAACTCAAAATTTTAGGTATAAAATGCCTACAACATCTCATCAGTTTCTAAATTTCTAGAGTGTGGCCTTAGGCCAAGTATGCATCTCTCAGAAACTCATTTTCCTCATCTGAAAAATGGAGAAAATAATACTTCCACCACACCTCAGAGTAAGTGTGAAGCATAAAAGTGCTCTTTTATCTGGCTGTGCCCAGCACACAATGCAGGCTCGATGTGTGCTTCAGAAATATCCCAACAACTTTTGAATGACAAGAACCTACCACCTTCAATGCAAGCTCATGGAATTCCACCACAGCCATGGATTATTCATTACACAAACCAGAGAGACATCTGTAATTACACTGTCACTGTAACCATTGCAGAGTTATCTGCTGTATTCTGAAACAGGGAGACTCTCCTGAAAAATCCTGACCTACACTAACCAGCTCTCAGTTTGCAGAGATTTGATGGAGCCCAGAGAGACCTGGGCTCCGGGAGGTTGACCACGAGCTGGTTTGTCTCCTGGAGGGAGGCGATGCTCCTACAGGGTGGTCTGGCCTCTTTAAGAGAAAAAAAAAGTTACACAGACAAAAAAACAGCAACACAAACCAACCAAAAATGCCAGGAATGCAAGCTCTGCCAACCAAATAAATAAATAAAATAGGAGATGCTTTATAATAACTGGACATGATGCATTTCTCAGCCCTGCATAATTGAAAACTTGACTTTTCCATCAACCCTGCAAATGTTCCCCTTGCCTCTAGACTTGGTAGCCTTCCTGCTCTGAGGTAACAATGACAATCTCCATCACCCAAAGTAACTGGCAACCCCCTCCCTGTGCCTCCAACAGTGAGAGCTGGACTTCAAGACACTCTCTGAAAGTTACCTCTCACTATTTGCTCCCTGGAGAACAGAATGAAGTTTCACGGGCATGGGATCTCAGCTAAGCAGGTGAAAAGGTCCTCCTTAACTTTACTCTTCTTTCCCTCTAAAATAATAGATTATCAGGAGGTACATAACACAGCCACCTTATCTTCTAACAAACATTCAAGGGCCTCTGAAAATTCTACACTGATCAGGATCATTTTTTGTTGACTTGCTCTGTAGTTAACTGCTAAATAGTATTTATTATGGATCAGGCACTGTTTTAAGATTTTGCACATATTCATAGATTTAATCCTGATATTCATCCTATGAAGTAGAATGATTGTACTCATTTTATAGATGCAGAAGCTGGAGCACAGAGAGATTAAGTCATTTGTCCAAAGTCACACAGCTGCTAAGTGGCCGAGCTGAGATTCAAATCCAGACAGGCTGGCTCCAGAGTCTCTGCTCTGAACCATAGAGCTCTTTAGTCTCTAATGGAGTATGGTCGGCGGGGATCTGGGAGCACAGTGAGCAAGTGATCTAATAGACTGGGCAGCTCTGCCCTTCTTTCTTGTCTACACTGATGAAGAAACAAAGACTGACCAAGCTGAGCAAGGACAAAGCTTCTTCCTATCTCTAAGTATAACGCATGTTCCCGATGGATGTACACCCTCTGCTGAGGGCGGGTGGGGTGAGAGGCTGATCCTTTTATTCTTATAGAACAGCAAGTATCCAGGATTAGAGCTCCTGCTCTTATCTGGACATTAAGCTCACCTCACCAAGAAGGTAGAGCAGAGTGTTGAAGGAAAGGAAAAATTAAGTGGCTTGGGAATGTGTTGGCTTTGGCACCTGGCCCCTTCACAGCAGGCTCCACCAGGAGAGAACCAGGAGTGAACCCAATGGCTATATTTGTTTTTAAGCTATTTAAGATCCTTGCAATCACACTGTTGCAATCAAATAGCATATCCCACCTTACTCTTACACTTGCAAGGAAAAGTCAATTCTACTGTTATTTCAGAGTATATGTTAATTTAGCACTTAACGCTGTCAAACTCCTGTGAAGTCTCAAAATAGAATAAAAGTGCATAAAGGTTCTTGGTCAGGTCCTAGCCAGGAAAACAAATAATCCAGGTCTTGCGGCTCCTGTTTGGACACCCCACTTTCTTACTGCCTCTCTTTGGCACTCATGAATTTGGGAGGGGGTGGGGAGAAAATTCTGGTTTAATCATTTAAGCCAGATAAGATCCCACACTAGCTGTCTCCACACATAAGAAACTAAGCAACCCAAAGAAATCATTCTGACAAATATTTAAGTCACAGCTGTGGATAAAAAGCTACGCTGTGAGAAGTTAAACTTTAAACACATGTCCTATATGGTCTGATGGGCAAGGCAAATCCGCACTTAGCCAATGTCTTGTCCTTCCACTAACAAAAGCAGACAGCCCTGGCCAGAAACACCGTTTCTCCCATCCTTGCTTTGCACCTGCAAGTTAAGTCTCAGCTGAGGTTTCTTTGCTGAGCTTTTGGAAGGTATCTTGCAACATTACTCAAAGCAATATACATTGCGAAGTTAGAAACAGGAATTGATTGTACTTCAGCCACTGGCTCACTACATATTTTTATGTCAATTATTTACCTTTCCTGTGACTCTATTTTCCTCTCTGAGGTATGGGCATAATGTTCGCATATAAGCAACTAAAGGTCCAGAAAAAAAAAAGTTGATTATAGTCTATATATTTTTTCAAGTTTTTGTCTTTATTTTTTCCAAGATAATAAATAATGGTGCTAGAAATCAAACCTCTTTACAATGAATGGCAGAAGACTGCCCAATTTCTTTGGCCAGTTGAAATTTTGTTGTATCGAAGTTCACATACAAAAGATGACCAATGGCTTGGAAATCTTTTTTGAAAAAGAAAGCCATTGCAAATATGCTTATTATAATGGACGCTGACTGTAGCGTTAGGCCTTATTGTTCCCATTTTACAGAATAGAAAGCTAAAGAAAGTTACTTGCCCAGAGCTTATTTTTAATCAGTAACTGAAATGACGGCACCATATACATTGTCTCTAATATTTAATATTAAATTACCAAAAAAATTGCCTCAGCTGTTCACTGTGATCTGAAACATGTGTTGCCAGGGCTCTTTTTCATTCCCAGGATGAAAGATCCCTTGTAGGTATGTGGACTGACATATCGACACGATATTTCCCAGATGACCAAATCTGTCTCTTCCCCCATAAACACCCATAACAACACATATAAACAAGCTGTTCTTAAGGAAAGGACCTATTAGTTGAGTTTATATCTTTGATGTGAACTATCTTTTCACTTCTATATATGGTTTCAATCAACTGACAAACAGAACTCATTCTAGCTTCCTCGAACCCCCAAACACAACCATCATAGAAACAGCATTTCTGAATTGTAGGCCTAAGTGCCTTAAATGTCTCCATGGTTCCAGCTGCGCTCTCAGCATTGCTCCCACCACCATCATCCTTGCGAGGAGACAAAATCTCAGCCTTCTGTGCACAGCAGCCCTGGAGCTGAATGTCAGGGGACCCAGAGGGAGGGGACGTGACCTACATGTCTTTATTAATATTTCTGAAGGACCTCAGAATGACAAAACATCAGTATGGTTGTGCTGAAAGTTTAAGCAGCGTAAGAAAGGGTTAAAGTAAGCAATAAATTATGGCAGAGGCAAAGAAGTGTTAACCACAGGGGGCAGCAACTAAACTTATTGATAATCAGATACAACAGAGGAGCCTGTTCTTGAAATTAATTATTTTCCAGGGTGCACTGCCTTCTCCCTAGATCTTTCTATATACTTTCACCTCCAAAATCACTCATCTCTAAGGATAGCTGGCAGTGCCTTATCCTAAAAGAAAGCATCTTTCCCTCTCAAACTACATTTGTTTCAGAAATTCTGTAAGGCCAGACTCTCTTAAGTTGCTTAGCACCAATATTTGTGTCAAAGACAAAAAAAAAAAAAATTACTTCCTATCCTTCTCTTCTTCAAATGCATATAAATGAAAGAGTTGGACAACACCATGTACCAAAGACACAAAGTCACATTTGGGTGTTTGATGCTTTCCTTCCAACGGACCTTTGGTACCAGAAGAAAAATTTATGGCAGATTAGAAACATGGGTAAAGTAAGTAACCTACATGAATAGGGTCGGACGTTTCTCAAAGTTAAGAGGATAATTTCAATTCTCCTCCGATCTCCTTACCCTCAACCCAGAAAAGAGGGGCAAGGCATGTGACAGGGACGCTTGGGGAGGCAAGACCTTATTTGAAAATCTGCCTGAAGGCCAACCCGTTAGACTGCCCGGGGCCCTCCACCCAGCCTCAGTTCTATGGGGGACGTGGAGTCAGGCGATGATGTCCTCTGAGGCAGCGTCCATCTCCCCTTAACATTAAGGAATAAGGCCAGAGGGTTCTCGCTCATTTGGGAAAATAAAAAAAGCAGGAATGGGGCGCTGGAAATTCTATAAGCTTTTCCCCACCACTCACAAAAACACAGCTGTGAAAATAAATACCACCCCCCAAACCAAGGGTCTAGGGCCACCAACAGTCCTCCTCCTCCTCCTCCTCCTCCTTCTCCTCCTCGTCCTCCAGATCCAGCTGCCAACAGCATCCCCCGCTCCTGAAGAAATGCACCGCCCAGAAGGGAACGGCGAAAGGGGGAAGAAGTCCAGGGGACCCCCGGCCTCTGGCCGAGAGCTTGGGTGGGGGCCTCGGCCGTCGCCACTCACCCGGGGAGGGGAAAAGCTCCAGATCGACTTTTTCCGTCTTGATGATGGTGAGAGTCGGCTTGAGATCGACGGCCGCCTTCATGGTGCCAGGAGTGGGGGACGTACGGGATGGTAGCAAGTTTGCAGTTACTGTTGTTTTTCTTTTTAATGAGGATTAGTAACAGGGGGAAGGGGACGGGGGAAATCCGACTTTCTTCCCAAAAATCTCAAATTCCCGCTGCCTTTCTTTCCCCCGCGCCCGGACGGTGCGCGCCCGGCACTCCAGGGGAAGTTGGCACTTTGCGGCGAAGTGAGCGCGCTCGGGTCCCAGCCTCGCCCGCGCCGCGCCCGCTCCTCCTGCCCGGCCCTCGCCCGCTCCCTCCTCTCCGCCGGCGGCTGCCTCGTTCGCTCTCGATCTCCCGGCCGCTCTCCCTCCCTCTCGCCCTCCCGCGCTCTCCCCTCCTCTTTAGGGCGTTTCTCGCGGCGCCGCGTCTCGGCCGCTGGGTCCGCGCGCCCTGGGCCGGGCGATGTCCGCTTGGGGGAGCGAGGGGCGGGGCGTCGGGGCAGGGCGGGGAGCCGGGGGCGGGGCCGAGCACCGCGGCCAATCTCCGCCCGCGGCCCAAAGCGAAAGGAAGGGCTGGCGAGCGCGGGGCCGGGCCGCGACCGCGGAGGAGCAGTGCGTGGAGCCCCGGGCCTCGGAGCCCAGGCAGGGGCGGGAAGGGCCGGGAGCGGGTGTGCAGGCTGGGTGCACAGGCCGCCTCCACCGTTTCGGGAAAGTCCGTCTGATTCTCCACGCATTCTTGAGGGCTTGGTCACCCGCTCTCGCCCCCTCCCAGTAGCAGCATAGTTTTCCAAGTGCGTGTACATCATTCATTCACAAAGACTGACACACAGGACGTGAGGCATGTGGATGAAGGCGAGCGTGCAGGCAGGCGCAGGGGATTCGTGAGCCCGTGTCCTCAAAGGGCTTTAGGAGTATTGGACTCCAGCCGGATCTTGAGTCAGGGCGTGTGTTTCTGAAGGAGGCTTCAGTTTTTCAGAGCCCACCCATGTAATGCTCCTGCGTTGGCAGGGGAGTCCAGAACGGGACCCCAAACTAGAACCCAGCCATGAGCTTCCGTAAGCTTCCAATTTACCTCCAGCAGTGGTTGGGTTGAAGGGGAAGTTATGATTTATTTCTAATTATTCTGTTCCTCTAATTATGTCACCATTGGCCAAAGCTTTGTCTTTCCTTTCACAGACTCTCCTCTTTTAGATAAAACTAACAACCCTCCCACGACCGCCACCAAAAAAGTGATGCAGAGGCTCTGTGGTTTTGAATTTCTGGAGTACATCATTGGCAGCCATGACAGAATCACAATGCACAGTTTCTGTTCCATTTGGGAACCCCCAACACTAGAGATAAAACAAAATGAACCCGAATAATTCATGGTTTGCCACTAATACATTGGTTGTAATAGAGATAGTTTGTCCTAATTAACAAATCAACCAGTACATGTATATATCTAAATACATAGCTAGAACCAGGCACTGAGCTCCATCTTTGATTAACAGAAAGATTAAACATAAATCTTCCTGAGCAATCTCAGAGAAAGCTATTTTTAATGTTTCCTGATTTCTAAGCACATTTGAACTCCCAGCATTTGACTGTAACTGTAACCTCTGCCTCTGGTAAGTTTTGACACACAGGCTTACCTTCATCTAATCCCAGTTTTGTGCCCTTGAAGCCTTAGTAATTTGCAGATTTCCCACAGCAAATCGGGGAGGAAGCCAGGAACAGAAAAATCTGTGGCTCCTGGTCTAAACTCCAGATTAAATCCCTCCTTAGTGACCAGAGGAAAATATTTGTATGTGATAGTCCTAATTTTTGAAAGAACAAAGACTGTTGCAATCCAGCTGTGTTTCCACAAGGTATGAGAAAACAATGCTGGCCTCCAGATGACAAGAACAGACCCTTCTGGTCCTGGGAAAAGCCTAGAGAAACAGCTGATGAATGAATTGTACATTTACACGTCCAAATGAACCACAAAAAAAAAAAGGTTCTTGAATCAATTCTGCCTTACTCACTATGAATTCATCAGGAGAAGAAGTGAACAAATCTAGAGTTGCTTTGGGGAATTTTGTTTTGTTGATGTTGTATTGAGAAAATGTTGGCATTTTTTAATCCAAGTGTGAGTACTTCTCTATTTTCAAATGCAGATTCCTCAGAGCAACTCCTTTCTCTCTTCCCCAGTTTGCTCCTCAACTTTCTTCCCCAGACTAGCCTAAACACTGCTGCTAACATCCACCCAAATTAGATACTAAAAAAGCCCACCATGATTAAACTGTAAACACTTTCCACTCTAGCAATGAGGAAAATTATTCTTTCTAATTCTTCCATAGTGACAACTCAGATAGTCAATCATCCGTTTCCTAATCCAGTCCTGAAGCACAGAAACAAAATGAGTGAATGTCCAAATCAAGGAATAGGGTTGCGTAAAGCAGCAGTTTGGAGAGATAGCCAGGCGCCACCACAGGCTGCCAGGAAAGTTACCTCCAGATGATATTAATTATGAATATTTATGCCATCAGAAGTTATGCATCGAACCCTGGATTTGGATGAAGAGCACTAATAAGGTCATGTTAAAATATTTTTTACATATTTAAGATATAATAATCTGATCAGGTCTGCCAGGGTCATGTTTCATTAATCTAATCAATGTTGATAAATGAAATTTTTATTCATTCTCTTTAGGACACAAGTAGATTTTTCTAAATGTTCATATGGACTTTAAATGATATTTCTATGTTATCATACGCTAAAACATTGATGCCTAGCCTAGTGCCTAAGACATTACAGAGCTCAATAAATATGTGTTGAATGATGAACTATCAACTTTTTGGTCACTATGGGCTTCCTAATTCAATGATTAAGTGAGTTTGATATGCTCTGGCTTGTGAAGATGAACTAAAAAGTGTCAGAGGCTGTGCCCTTTTCCCTTCATAGTAGAGCAGAACCTCTATCCCCAGCACTCACGTCCACTCGGTTACATGTATGCCTCAGTGTCCCCACCAGCCAAACAACAGCAGCCAAGCGTTGCCTTTCATCCACTTGGGCAAGATACTTCAATACCATATCTGGTTTTTAAGGCACTCAGGAAAAAAAAAAATCAATCAAATAAATACTTCTGTGCTTGTGCTTGTACTGCAGCAGTCTGTTCCTCCTGCATTTGGGAAAAAACAGAATTGTATTTTTAAGCATTCCTTAGACTTCGGCTAATTATATCCTACCAAGTGCTGAATTGCCTTACACTAGGAACGTGAAGTCAATAAGGGCCAAGAAAAGTCCGCAGGAGTTGGGGAACAGAAGAGTGGAGCTAGACAATAATATTAAGAAAATAGTCACCTTCATACAGGAATTCCTCAAGCACATGGAGTATGTAAAAAGCATACTTTCTTTTTTATTTATACTCCTCCCTCAACTCCACCCCAACTTCAATAAAAAAGAAATATAAATATACACTTAATGTTGAACAATCATGGAAGACAGACTTTCCCTCTCCAGAAGTGTCCTAGCATGTTATCTACTCCTGAGTCTTGAACTTCAACAAAACAAAGAATCTCTGAGTTTTGAGCTAAAATATGCTTTACTGAAGGTAGGTACAAAAACATTCAGACCACTAACGGCTGATCCAGAACCAGTTTATGACTCACAGATGTTGATTTACTGGTATAAATGTAAGATTTAGAAAAAAAAAAAAAAAAAAAAAAGCCCTCAATTAACAACAACCTGTCTGAGCTGCATTTGTGGTCTCATTTTTCTCTGAGAAAAGGCAACAGTCTCTGTCATACACAGAAACAAGCTTTGAAAGCTTACTTCTAAGGCAAGTGGTTTCTATGTGAGAAGTTTAGTCATTAAAAGTCACACTAGGGAAGAAAAATGCCTGGCACTTCAATATCTACATTATCAAGCAGCAATAAAATGGAAAATTAGAGATAGGAAGGAAAATTAAAATAACTCTCTTAATTAAACTTGGATGCCAAAAAGCCTTAGGGTCAGTTAAGGGACCCAAGCCAGGGGACTCAGATGGTACTGTTGCTGACTGCAGGCTGGCTCTGTGACCTCACCAAAGCCACTTAACCTTTTTGTGTCACAACCTCATCTCTGTTTCAGGGAATAAAATCAGCCCTAGCTCTCCCTAGAATGGAACACAGACTCATTGGCTATTGTTTAGAAGGCACAATAAACAATGAGGGTAGGAGGAGCTGCAGTCAGGAGGGAAGAAGGGAGGGTGGGGTGGGGTTGGGGGAGAGGGGAGGACTTGGGAGCCTGTTTGCCCTGGAAAGCTCAATATAAGAAAACAAAGAGGATAGTAGTGTGGGCTTTGGAATAAGACTCAGGTTCAAATTCTTACTCTACCAACTAGCCAGCTGAATTGCCACAGGTAAGTCATTTAAACAATCCCGAACCTCAGTTCCTCCATGTTTCAACTAGGGATAATAGCAGCACACACCTTTTAAGGCTATTTGAATGATTAAATGAGATAATGTATGCAAAGAATTTAGCACAGTGTCTAGGTGAGAATTAGTATTTGATTATTGTTATTAAGATCTAGTATACGGTAGAATATGTGGGAAATCACATTAAATGTCTGTCTACAGCCATCTCTTTGCAGAATAGCTTGGATGCTCAATTTTCCTGAACGATCTCCAGCGAGAGATAGAACAACTATCACCACATTTCATTTAAAAATCTCTTCAAGACCCTTCCTCAGTTCTTAAACTGGCAACCTGCCCAGCATCAGCCTCACTTGAGAAATTCGAGAACTACCTGATTGGAGAAGAGAACTAGATTTATATTTGTTTTGAGTCACAGAAAAGTGACAGTTTAAATTCTGAAAGAAGATCACATTTGTAGTGCCTCTTTGGAGACAAAACCTTAGGTCTTGGATTTGTCACATGTTAGAGCTCAATGGGAGTTTATCAGTGCTCTCCAAGTCCAGCACTCCTATTTACCAGAGGTGAAAAATGAGTGTGAGTGAGGAAATTATTATTTCCAGGGCCACACAATCTAAAAAAGTCAGTGTCAGTACTAGAACCAGATGCCCTGATAGCAGTTCTCTCCCTGGCATCTCCTTGCATTTACTTTGCATTTCACTTTGGCAGGAGAAGTACCAGACACCCTTGAGACACAAGACAGGATACAATGGACATGGGAGTAGATAGATGAGCAGACTCAATTTCTAGAAATCCAACTTCTCTACACTGGATGTATTGTCTTTGGGCAAATACATTGCAGGATAACCACACTATGGTTCCCTGTGGGAGACAGCTTGGCATGGGCTGTCAGGAGAGAAAGGGCCTGGGTTGGCTCTATTGCTGTCTGCAGTTTCTTTAGACTATAATTATGAACCATTCAACTGCATCTGCAGCCCCAACAATGTGGGGTGGATTGGCCTAATCCACAGACCAAGCGACATTTTAAAATCCAGCAGTTTAGACACGTATTCCTCTTGCAGCAAATCAAACATGGCTCAGACAGGAAGAGGTAAGGAGCTGCCCAAGGTTAGAGGGTTCTGAGGTCTCATCCACACTCAGTGTTGTGTGCTTCCCTGAAGCAGGCTGAGCATGTTGCCTGGAATTGCTGCAAATGCAGAATGCAGGCTACTCTGTGAGCCTTTGGGGATCATGTAATTGGGATTCCAATTTAAATTGTCCTGAATTGGACTCTTGAGGAGGTAGAGGGATAATGGCAATAGCACAGATGGCAAGAGAACCAACATCCTTTAATAATATGAGAGAAGAGGACAGCCAGTCTCCTAGAAGCTCTGCATCCCAGGGCTACAGGATTTCACCCACTGTCCAAGGCTGCAGGTGGTTTCATCCTGGTGGAAGGCTAAGGCCTTCCTCTGATCTTACTCTGCTTTTCTCTTGGGTTACAAAGACAACATCAAACTTCAAAACAGATGTTCTCTGCAGTTGTGGTTTGAATCTTACATTAAGACAATTTCACTGTGGAATCTTTTCCCCTCTCCCCACTACTTTCATTTAAAATGCCAAATCAATTGCCCCAAAAGACTAACATTTACCACCCCAGAGATCAAGAAGCAGAGATAAGTGGAGCACAAAAAGGAGAAATAGCCCTGAAAGGAAAAGGGACGGTGGTACAGGAGGAAGTAGTGGAAGGGAAGTCCTCTGAGAACAATGGAAGTGTAAGTCGAGGACAGAGAAGGGGAGGAGATGAGGAGGTAGAGTCACAGTGATTTTATGTTCTTGTCGTTCTGGGACTTCAGTCCCCAAGATTTCAAAATGCAGTTAAGACCTAGTAAAGTATCCCATACTTTAATTAATTGTCTTGCATGGCCAACAGTCATGGAACTACAGAAAACAGATCAATGGGAGGTCCTCATGCTGGAAGAGATGCAAAGGATCCAGGATAGAATGGAGGTGAAAGGATCTCAGGAGGTCACAGAAGACACAAGGGAAGGTCAAGCTGACAATCTAGGCAGAATATAGAGTGTGTTTCTCAGTCTTTTCCTCACATGGACATTTGCAGTACACAAAGAATTTCCCTCACAGAAGCTGTCACCCCACCCCTGCAAGTTGCCACTTTTCTGCTCAGCTCAAGAGCACACTCCTAGTACATATTTGAATATGCGTGTCAGTCTCCTACACTCTTTAAAGGCAGCAACTGAGGTTCAGTCATTATTACACTCCATGGTGTTTAGCTCAAGGTAGTAAGAGCCCCATAAATTATGTTCATTATTTAATTAATGAACAGTTAACTTCCTAACATCCCCGTAACATTTTTACAGAAAAATGAAGCTCAGATACCAGTTTTGTTTTGCCTAGTTCGGTCTGAAGTGAGACTCAAATTTGCCCAAAGTTTAAGATTAAAGATCCAACCAACTGACTCATTTCTAACTAAAAAGGTCTTCGTAAAGTTTTATTCTGTTCCTCCCATTCCTCCCATCCCCTTAAAGGAGAATGTTGCTAAGATCACAATATTCATTTTACTTTTTATCTAATTTTTTATTCTGAGACTTCATGTAAAAAATGACATTTGGCTCACCACGAAGTAAATCAGTTGTTTGATTGTCAGCCTGGACGTTTTATACATCACGCTATTCATATTCTCAGATGGCTGCTCAGAAGCAGTCTTCAGGAATTTCCGAACTTCGAGTTGAATCTTTTATTTCACTGGCTTCCACAAAGGTAAGATGTACAACTGCTATATACATTATTTGTAAGATAAGGGAAATACATGAAATGAACTCAATTTCCTCCATCTTTATGAGAAAGAATAGACTGTTACATGCTTTATGGTGAGCCAGGGTGCTTACTACAAATCCCTTTCACCTTCTCAAGTTTAATCTGTCAGGACTCCAGAAGCACTGTATTTTGAAATATATCTTCTGGCTATACAGGTGATTCTATATTGAGGAAGGGTATGGGTTGGAAGTAGAAATGGGGGGACATGGGGATGGGCTGAGAGTGAAGATGGGAATGAAAAGGACAGGGAGGATCAAATGGAGCTGCTACAATCTAGCAGGTGGCACAGAAATATAGAAAGCAGCCCTAACCACTTTTGTCGAAGTAGAGTATTGCTCTCTGCACTTTGTTGTTTGTATCTACTAATGGGTAATCAAGATGTTGGAACAGAAAAGGCAGCTGATCTTAAAGCCTAAAAACCAAGGAAATATTGGATTTGGTGAGGGCTCATGATTTCTCCTGAGTTCTGAGGGGGAATCATGAACACACATTATTTTACATCACTTCTTCCAGAACCAGTTCCGTATAAGAGCCCCAAGAAAACATTGATGTGTCACACTAAGAACAGCCTGCTTAGCCAGTAAATATAACATTCTTTGAGTATGTCACTGCAGTCATCCACAAACATTTTACTCAAGAATCTATGCCTATCTTACCTTAGGCATCCTTCAATGAGCAGCATTATAGTGTCATAATGAATTAATATGAATCCTAGCTTCACCAATGCTAACTCTACCAACAGAGGAAGTAAAATGCATAGCACTTTTTAAGTTCCCATGCTGCTTTAAACCTCTTTTCTGGTATGTACTCTCCTGAAAAGGGTGCACAGAATCTGAGTTTCATAAATATGCAGGAACATAAATTCATTAAAACAACTTTAGGGTGTCCAGTGTAATTATTCATATTTAGAATTTACTGAGCATCAAGCATGCCAATGATGTAAAGTTGACAGATTTGAATAAGAAGCTCAAAAAGGGACATGTCAATTTCTCCAGCGTTACAGCTCACATTTGATTCTCAGCTCTTAAGGACCAAAAAGAAATGAAGTCTTCTTTAATTTGCAAGCAGCCAGCTGTGCTCACTCCACATCTTGCATCAGCCCTGTGAAGGAGTCAGAATGTAGTGGATGGTCCTGCCCATGACTCATGAGGTGGAACAGACCCAGCTCACATCTCATCTATCTGGATTGGCTCCCATACAATAAAAATCTTTCTTCCGTTGAGTTGGTGAAAAGAAGAGAAGCAAAATGGGCATGTGTGACGTGTAAGAGGGCGCCATTTAATCAGACAGGCCTGTGAAACACTTTCAAGAGTCCAGGGCTGGCAGTGAGAGGTAATGACAGGTAACGTGCAGAATGAAGAAAGCAGAAAGCATATAGAAGTTGCTTCTTAATGGAAACGTGTTTCATCAGAATGATCAGAAACATGTGTTCTCCCCAGATTGGGAAACCATCTTGAAAGACTTCATCACAAAAAGGCCTTGGGTGGGAAGTACCACAAGGGACCCATCCAGGAGGGGTGGGAGGAGGTGCAGCTGGGTGGGAAGCTGGCAATGGACTGTGAGAGGAAAAAACAAAGGGCAGTCAGCGCTCTCATGGCAGATTCCCAAGAGAGAACCCTTTCCAGGAATTTAAAATTCTGAATAATTGTTGAGAATTTCTAAAAATCAAGAAGATTATAAACTTTTCTTTCAGGGGATTCCACAGCATTGAGAGAGACCAGATGGCTGGCAACAAAATTCCAGATCCAGGAAAGGTCCAGCATCTACATATCCATCCACTTTTAGTGAGCTAATGCTTTCTCCTACAGAGTGTATTTGTCTAATTGAATTGAATTGAATTGAACTGAGGTGTGGAGGTAAAAAGGCTATTGCAAATAAGTGTTCCTGTTTCCAAATAGTCCATACAAAAACCTGCAGTTTCTTGCCAAGCAGAAACTACCAGGCTTTGGTTTCCTCACTATAGAATAAATTTAAACTCTAAAATAACCAGGGAGGCAACATAGTAGAGTGGGTTAAGAGCACAAGCTTGGCAGTAAATAGACGAGAGTTTGAATTTTAGCTTGGCTGCTCTCCAGATGTCAGTCTTTGACCTCAGAAAGCCTCAGTTTCTTCATCTACAGAATGGAGATGCGGAAAGTGCCTAGTTCACAGAGTTGAACTGAGATGAGATGAGATGAATGGGTGCCAAGTGCTTTGCACTGTGCATGATGCAGAATGAAGACTCAGTAACCCTTCACTGCTATTATTGATTTTAAAAATCAGAATTGTGACTTCGGATTTAGTGAGCATAAAATTTTCATGAATGTTAATCCAAACTGTAGTATATAGTATTCTTATGAAGAAATGAGGACACAGTGTCCTATCTTCATGTGCGCTGTTAAAATCATGACATAGTGACAAAGATAAGTTTTGGTCTAGGTATGCAAATCATGCAAATCCTTGACACCATCCCTCTTGGATGAAAGGGGATTAATTCCCACTATATAGATGTGAGATACAATTATGAAAGTTCTAATCATATACTCACAGCTACATTACAAATTAGCAGCAAAGAGAATATGTACCCTCTTGAATTTCTTCCAGTATTGGGTTCTCCACTCTCTGGATTGCACGTTTGATAGCCAATGATTTTTGCAACCTAAACAAAATAAGACCTTCTTAAGCAACTGGCCTCAGCATTTGACTTTCAATCTGGGAAGAATCCCACATGCTATTCAATATGCCCCCATAGCACTCTGCCTAGGTACTTCCCAAACTAGCACCCATTAGGCAGCACCTTACTGCACTCACTTCACAGAAGTCTTTTTCTATGTTATTGCATCTTACATTTTCCTCGGCTGTCTCTTTTCCTGCCAGCCAACAGTTCTTGTTGTTTTTGTTATTTTGTTTTTTGAGACAGGGTCTCGCTCTATCACCCAGGCTGGAGTGTGGTGGCATGAACGGTTTAACTTGTGCTATAAACCTAAACCTCTATCTATCTCTAATTGTGCCATACACATACATTTTAGCTACAGAATTCTGGACCTAGATAGCACTCCCTGCAAGCTTGGACTTGCCACCTGGAATTCAGAAAAAGTATTCTGCTCCCTGGTGTTAACTACCTATGCTGACCAGTTGCCCAAAAGAACCTTAGGGAAAGGTTTCTCTTATTGCCCCTTGGGCCACCAGTCAAACCATCGGTGCTCTTAGGACTGCCCTCTAAAAACACAGAATTTGCCATTTACATCAGCTATGTAATCTGCATTCTGGCACTACCATTGCCTGGCACCCAGCCATTAAGCCTGGCAGCAGAGAACAGTCATAGTCTTCTCGCTAGTTGCCCGCTCCATTTTGGCAAGATGAATGCTGTATCATTGGGAAAGCAGACTTAATTGGTTTTCTGGGGGTGTTTAGTTAAGTCACCCCACCTCAGCTCCAAGTTGATGGAAGTGTCACTTTGCCCTTTCCAACAACCAGAGCAAATAAATGATGGGGACATACTCCAAAATGTACATGGCTGAGTCCTCTTGCTCTCCTTTTTTTTTTTCCCCAGTGACTTTGGGGAGGTTTGGGCAGTGATCCTGCATACACAATACTGTTCTTGTTCTTCTTTTCTCTTACAGAGCAGCCTTGAATAGCTCTGTCTAAAATTATTAGCAGGGGCAGCCCTAGGCTCCAAGAGATCACAGCCCTCATGCTGGGCCTGAACAAAGACCCTGCTTTTTCCCAACAATTAGCCCTGCAAAAAAGGACATCTATCTCCCTCTATTAAAACCACCACGTGCCTTCAAGTCAGCCCATTGTAAAGCTAATTAAATAACACGCCTCTCTCCCCATGCAGGTCTCCTGATTAGCTTTCCTCTGTCAGAAACCTCTGCAAAGAGCCTAGTGATAGACAAGCCAATGTTCCACTTCTCCTTAGCCCCGCTCCCATCGCCAATTAGCCGTCGCCTTTGAAAAGCCATCCTTATCAATGTTGGTGAGTTTGTTCACGCTCCATATCCATCCAAAGCCCAGACGCTAGTCACCTCCACCTTAAAGGAATGGATAAGGTTCATACTGCTTTTAAAATAAATTATTTGGAAAGGCAAAAGTTTTCATCACAGTGTAAAATCTTTGGCCAGCATTCCCCACATCGCAATACACAAGGGCTGCCGCCGCCATTGCAGGAGAGTGTCAGAGAAGGACTTTTCTGAAAGTCAGAGAGCCTGGGCAAGATGCAGCCAAGGTGGCCATTTCTACCAGATTTCTAAAAACAGGATGCAGAAGACCACCCTTTAGGTTAAACTCCCTTAGATACTCCTCACCGCCAAACAGATAAAATCCAAGCACAGTCCAAAAGGCCAAAATTGGTCCTCTTTACCTTTTGACCACACCTCACCTTCTCCCCCACATAGGGACCCTGCTCTCTGACAATCCTGGACTTGTGGCAATCCCTTGAACACACTCTAGTTCTTCACTCTTTTATGCATTTTTACAGGCTTT
This sequence comes from Homo sapiens, assembly GCF_000001405.40. Lineage (NCBI taxonomy): Eukaryota > Metazoa > Chordata > Mammalia > Primates > Hominidae > Homo > Homo sapiens. The sequence goes on from NC_000011.10 coordinate 128,533,607, forward strand.
TTTCCCTTCTGGAAAGCCCTGTTCTACCTGCCCAGCACCTCTGTCAAGACTCAGCAGTAAATCACCTCCCCCATGGTTTCCAAGGCCTTGCTAGATAAAATCAGGCACTTCCTACTCTGTGCTCTCAGCAGCACATATAGGTTTCCAATGGGGCGCTTACGTTACCAAAAATAATCTGAGCCCCTCAAGAACAGCAATCATATTCTACTTAAATTTGAATTTCCAGTTTAAACACAAGGACTTAGTGAATGCTTAATAAGTGTTGGAAGAATAGATAACTGAGTAACTGAGTAAATGAAATGAGTAAGTAAAAGAATGACTAAATGAATGAATAAAATAACCACTTTATACCAAATGTGATCTAAGATGGTACATTCAGGCCTACTTCCAGCTTCGCTACAGATGGTCTTTGTGCATAGTAAAGGGCGTTATTATTTTATGACATGGTTTTCTTTGTTTGAAATTGTCAGATCTCCTACACATGCACACATGTTTACACATGCACTTTTTAAATACAATTTTTTAAATGATAAAAATGGAGGGAGAACAGGCCAGCTATTTTCTAACTCTGCTTAATAGTTCTAGAGCTTAACTTTTCAAACTAGTCTTTGAGGTTTCTAGCTGATTTAATCTTTAGACCATAAAAAATTTCCTTCCAAGTGTTTTTAGGAAGACTCACCAGTCTTCTTGGATGTCCCATACAGATGAGTAGATGACTAGACTATAAAGAAATCCCATATACAATTTAAGTTTTCCATGAAATGCTCATAGACCTCAAAATTAGCAATGAAAACAAGAAAATTTTTTCCTTTTTTAAGAATATTTTATTTTAAGGTTCAGATACACGTGCAAGACATGCAGGTTTGTTACACAGATAAACATATGCCATGGGTGGTTTGCTGCACCTGTCAGCCCATCACCTAGGTATTAAGCCCTGCACATATTAGCTATTTATCCTGATTTTCTCTTTCCCCGTACCCCTCCAACAGGCCCCAGTGTGTGTTGTTCCTCTCCCTGTGTCCACGTGTTCTCATTGTTCAACTCCCACTGATAAGTAAGAACAGACAGTGTTTGGTTTTCTGTTCCTGTGTTAGTTTGCTGAGGAGAATGGCTTCCAGGTCCATCCATGTCCCTACAAAGGACATGATCTTGTTCTTTTTTATAGCTGCATAGTATTCCATGGTGTGTGTGTACCATATTTTCTTTATCCAGTCTATCATTGATGGGCATTTGAGTTGATTTCCTGTCTTTGCTATTGTGAATATTGCTGCAATGAACATACGCGTGCATGTTATCTTTATAATAGAATGACTTATATTTCTTTGGGTATATACCCAGTAATGGGACTGCTGGGTCAAATGGTATTTCTGGTTCTTGATCTTTGAGGAATTGCCACATTGTCTTCCACAATGGTTGAACAAATTCACATTTCCACCAGTAGTGTGAAAGCATTCCTATTTCTCCACAGCCTTGCCAGTATCTGTTGTTTCTTGACTTTTTAATAATCGTCATTCTGACTGGCATGAGATGGTATCTCATTGTGGTTTTGATTTGCATTTATCTAATGATCAGTGATGTTGAGCTTTATGTCATATGTTTGTTGGACACATAAATGTCTTCTTTTGAGAAGTGTCTATTCATGTTCTTTGCCCACTTTTTAATGGGGTTGTTTTGTTTTTCTTGTAAATTCGTTTAAGTTCCTTGTAGATTCTGGATATTAGACCTTTGTCAAATGGATAGAGTGCAAAAATTTTCTCCCATTCTGTAGGTTGTCTGTTCACTCTGATGCTAGTTTCTTTTGCTGTCCAGAAGCTCTTTCATTTAATTAGATTCCATTTGTCAATTTCTGCTTTTGTTGAATTGCTTTTGATGTTTTTGTCATGAAATCTTTGCCCGTGCCTGAATGGTATTGCCTAGATTTTCTTCTAGGGTTTTTATTGGAAAACAAGAAAAATTAAAGGACTTGGCAAAATAGATTTTGAACTCTGCCAAATCCCAAACATTTAAAAACAACCAAAGTCAATGAGTGGGTCTCATCCCTGACACATCAAGTCTTATGGCAAAAATCACTCACTGCCTGATGAATCCTGTGTACCTTCATGTCTATGCATGATGACATTTAGGGCCAGCTCTTTCCTTGCTATTTTACCACCACAATCTCAACTTTTGAAAAGTTGTGTCTTTCTAATATTCATGGGCACCTTCCAGATAGAAAGAGAAATTAAGACACAAAGCAACAGGAAGATTCCATGATCTTGTAGTTAATCAGTAATTGTATCAGTAAGAGTTTGCAACCTCCAACCTGAGATGAAGCAAGCAAACATTGTCATTCATTTGGCAGTCACTTTGTTCTGGCAAGGTTCCTACTTGTTAAAGTGGAATGCTCACTTTATAATGATCATAATGGATTAAAAGCTGTAAAATTAGACTCTGGCTGGCAGTAAGTTCTTTATTACTCTCCCTTACCACAGTGTGCCTCCATTCTCAGATGTTTCCTTAAAGAAGAGTAATCTAAGACCTCTAAATACATAAAAAATAGGATAATAAGTAAAGACAAAGAGACCCTCATTTTTATATAGATTTGTCTCCTCCAGATGCAGCTTGGCATGTATACATGTATACAAAGCAGCCATTGAGAATTAAGCATGTGAAAATCACACCTGTTAATTTGTCAAGGACAGACCAAGTAAACTATAAGGCAGAAATAAAACTGTTTCAACAAAGATAAATGGAAAACATGGTTGAAAAAGAAGAATGATTTGGAATGAATGTCATAGTATTAATCAAATAAAAATATAAGATGCATATAGTCAATATAATTTATTCAAATAGTAAGAAGAGAAGAAATATGTATCATAAATGAACATTATCATGAGATATTGGGTACAAGAATTCAATACATTGGGTAAACAGACTGTAGAGATCTTAAGAGCTTAAGATTTCAGAGAATAGCATACATTCTGTGGTCTAGAAAAAGCTGTTTTCTGATCCAATTGAGACTGTGAGCAATGTTAAGAGGCATAACAGCCAAATCAAGACACACAAGAAGCCTCTCATTAGGAGGAGAAAGAGCTTGGAATTGGTTGAAGGGAGCAGCCGTGTTGACAGTTCATGTCAATACATTCCAGTTAGCAGGTTATTTAAGCAATGACTTCAGGCTAAGCTGGCCTTGTAATTCTGCAAATCAGATCCCATAGAAGAGCAATTAGCAGACATTCATTTCATACTCTCTTCATAAAGTTTGGGTCATTTTAAATTTTTTATGTGTCAAACTTCAGAAGTAAATATGAATACACATCACCTCTTTCCTTTGATTAAAACAATAGGGATGCTTTACCTTATTTAGCATGAAAGATCACAAAATAATTCCAACATCACCTCACAGCACCTCTGAGAAATGCCTAAGAGGTGGGAAAGGATCCCAGCCTCACTGTATGCAGTATCTGTCCAGGGTACAGAGACTCTCTCCAATGTTTTGCACAACTTTGATCCAAGTCAGCTGTGCAAAATACTGAAGATGCATATTAGCTCAACTCTTTCAAATCATTCATGTGTCCAAAATCACTTTCACCTACCAAAGTCCTTAAAATGTGATTTTCTCCTGCCAAGTCTTTAGTCGTCATTTGTTGGTTTTTTTAATTAGACCTTTTATCACTATGTACCATAATTTACCTGAGACATTATTTTCCCACTAACACAGAGTGTGTAGGGGGAGAGGGAGGGAAAGCATGGCATGGTGAATAAAGAGACTATTAATCCACTAATTCCTACTTGTCTCCACTCAGAGTCGGAATAAGCAAAGCTGTCATTGGGAGGTGGATACAGTAGGATCCCAAGTGATGTATCTGCCTGAGTTCAAGTATGAACTGGAGGAGGAATTAAATCGCAGTTGGGAATTAGGGGAAAGGAAAGGAAAGCAAGGGCTCAGCTCCCTACCCCTGGGAACTAAGGAGCAAGGGAAACTGACATGAAATAAACTCCTGCACCCAAAACATTCAAAGTCGGGTGCACACCTTCCTAGCAGCTGCAGCAGGAAAACACTGGGAAACCTACTAAATAAGAGCAGCTGGTCACGGAACATATATTTCTAATTGTGCTTTTTTTTTACCACTTATACGTGTATATTGGAATTCTGTAATAACATGTTCCAATAGAGACTTCAAGACAAATAGGACATAGCATTACAAACACAAAAACAATACATTCTGGGAAATATTCCATTGTTTTAAAGCTATATATCCCAAATTCTTCACCAAAGGCCAAATAAGCACCTACAAGAAGGGAGAAGAAGTAATGAGATGGGGAAGAGGACTTAGAAGATGACTTCAGGAATAATATGTATTGACACCTTCAATATAAGAGGTATTTCCACTTTCCTTGGATTCACAGTATTTATTCCCTCAAATTGAATATATTCATTTTCTTAAAAGTCTTGTATATGGTAAATTCAGTAGATTTGGGATGTTTGCCACACAACTATTAGTGACTTTCTTTGAAACTTACCGAAGAAAATACAAGAAAAGTGAAAAAAAAATTAATGTCTTAAGCAGAAACACTCGCATTAAATGAGATTTAAACAACTGATTAATAAAAGTATGATGAAATTATCCTAGAAAAGTCTACTGACTTATTTTTCCTTCTTAGAGTTCAAACACACAGAAGTAACTTGAAAATTAAATACTTTGATTGTAATTCAGGAGGTAAGGGGGGGCGTTAACCTTCCTATTTAGAGATGAGGAAATTGATAGCCATTTAGCATAACTAGATTTTCAGATCTGCATTCTTCACAAATTGCGCACATAGTGGCTGCTTTATGTTGCTTTTCCTGGTTACTATTATTTCACATAACATGCCCAAGGACCGGTACAGTGTTTCATACCAGGCTACAGAGTCAGGCTGACCTGAGCTCAAATCTGGGGTCTGTCACTCACAAAGAGTGTAACTTTTGGCAAGTTATTTCAACTACATAAATCTCCCTGCCTGAAAAATTTACTTGTCTGTAAAATGGAGTTAATAATTCACAGAATCTTTGGTAAGATTTAAACAGGGTAATGTATGTAAAATATATGGCAGTGCCTGGCTAAAAGTGAAGAATGAATACTGGTAGTTTTATTCAGGTGAAAACACACACACACACACATACACACATACACACACACACACACACACACACACACACACACACCAAACCAGGTTTGAACTCAGGTATCCTCAAAATACTCATGCACTGTAGTGAGCAGTATTGAGGAACCACTTAATACAAATAATTATTTTGCCATAGATTAAGGAGGTAGTTCGTAGGTGACATATGTATTTAAAAATCTCTATCCACGACAGTGGACAGACAATGGAGAAAGAATACTCTTTTAACAAATAATAGGGGAGAACCAGATACACATACGAAAAAGAAAGAAACTAGACCTTTGTGCATAAAAGTTAACTCTAAGTGGATCAGAGACATAAATGTAAGAGCTAAAGCTATAAAGCTCATATAAGAAAAAACAGGATTAAATCTTCATAACCTTGTGTTGGGCAATAATTTCTTAGGTACAATGCTAAAAGCACTAGAAAAACAAAGAAAAAATAGATAAATTGGGCTATATCAAATCTAAAACCTATGGTGCTGCAAATTCTAAACATCCAGAAAGTAAAAAGACAACTCACTTTATGGGAGAAATATTTGTAAATTATATGCCCGATAAGGGCTTGTATTCAGAATATGTAAAGAACTCTTACAACTCAACAATAAAAAGACAACCCAATTTAAAAACGGGCCAAGGATTTTAATAGACATTTCTCCAAAGAAGGTATAAGAATGACTGGTAAACACGTGAGAAAAGCTCAATATCATTAATTATTAAAGAAATGCAAATCAAAACGACAATGAAATACTACTGCTCATTCACCATGAGGATAAATTGGAACCCTCTTACATTGCTAGTAGGAATGTAAAATGAAGCAGCCACTTTCAAAAACAGTTGGGCAGTTCCACAAATAGAGTTACCATACGACCCAGAAATTCTACCCCTGGAGAAATGAAAACATATTCACACAAAAAACTTGTACATTAATGTTAATAGCAGCCTTATTTATAATAACCACAAAGTGAAAAGCACCTAAATGGCCATCAAATTATGGATAAATAAAATGTGCCATGGCCATATAATGGAATATTATTTTGATGATAAAAGGATATACTGATGCCTGCTACAACATGGGTGAAACTTGAAAACATTATGCTTAGTGGCCAGTCACAAAGGTCACATATTATATAACTCTACTTATGAGAATTCCAGAATAGGCAAATTTATAAAGATAGAAATTAGACCAGTAGCTGTTGAGGTGTGGAGACAGGAAGAATGAGAAAGAATGAAGATCGACTGCTAATGGATATAAGATTTCTGTTAAGAAGAATAAAAATGTTGCTGGGCGCAGTGGATCATGCCTGTAATCCCAGCACTTTGGGAGGCCAAGGCGGGCGGATCACCTGAGGTCAGGAGTTGGAGACCAGTCTGACCAACATGGTGAAACCTTGTCTCTATTAAAAACACAAAACATTAGCCAGGTGTGGTGGCAGGCGCCTGTTATCCCAGCTACTCAGGAGTCTGAGACTGGAGAATCACTTCAACCCAGGAGGCGGACGGAGGATGCAGTGAGCGGAGATTGTGCCATTGTACTACTCCAGCCTGGGCAACAAGAGAGAAATTCCATCTCAAAAAAAAAAAAAAAAAAGAAGAAGAAGAAAAATGTTCTAAAATTAAATTGCAATGATAGCTGCACAATACTGTAAATACACTAAACAGAACTGTACACTTTAAATAGGTGAATTGTATAGTATGTGAATTATATCTCAATAAAGCTCACCTCAATAAACCGTTTAAAAAAAAAAGTTGGTTTTCTGGAGGTGAAGGCAAGACAAAAAAAGAGGGAGAATTTCCTATCATCCAGGAAAGCCTGCCCAGTGGGGTCTATGAACATCATCTTAAGACCATATGCTTCACCAAAGTTCAGTGGAAAAATGTCTAACATTTCCATGACCTTCTTTTCTAAACTTCCTAAGTGGCTTAGAGAGAGGCTGCCCGGGAAACTCCAAATGGAATTTAAAAATATTATCTCCTGGCTTTATAAACAGCAAGGAGCACTAATGAAGTGAGGGAGCAGCGGTCCCAGGAATGGGATATTTCATTCAGATTGGGAGCCCCGTGTGGAGTCTAAGCTCATCTCTGAAAGCGGCAGGAAGGCCACGGAGAGGCCAGACCAGGGTGAGGGAGGTGAAAATCAACACAGGAGAGAGAAGAAAGAATAACAACGCTCAAGGATACATAAAGCAGAGCCGGAGTGGCCACTCTTCCAAACACCAGTAAAACAACCCCTTTCCAAATCGAGCTCTGTCCTCATTCTGCCAACTAAGTTTGGATGAATGAGTGCTCCTCAAGGCAAACCCCCTCACCCTCAGTTTCACGTGACTGGGAGGCCTCAGGAGGGTCTCTCCATAATTCTAGTCTCAACAGGACCATCCCTCTCATCATTCCCAGTCCCCTGGTGCTCACCAGCTCTGCAGCTTGGCTGTGTCCGTCTCAGCACGGCAGCCAGGTTGCGTGATGTTCCTTGAGGATGAGACTGAACCACACTTCATAGCCCCAACGCCTCATGAAGAACAAGGGCTTAATAAATATGTGTTGATTAATAGGGGACAAAGTAAAGATGCTCTAATGTCACTGACACCCTAAACCAGTCAGTAACTTGGAATTACCCATGATCTAACTGAGGACCAAGACACCAACCATCCCTCCACTAGCTAGGACAAGTTTGGACAACCAGGATACAAATATTTATCAAATCCTCTGCTCTGTGGCAAGTATTAGGCTAGGCATTGAGGATACAGAAATAAATGGTGAAGTCCTTTTGCCTTAGAATGAGAGGAACCATAACACAAAAAGTCTTCTGAGCTGATCTTTGGGTTTTATTCCAAATTACTGCAAAGTTTGTGTTGTTTTCTTTTGTTTTGTTTTAATTTTTGTTACTTCTTAACCAATCCTTATAATCTTGGGTAGTACCCACAATGATCCTGACAGATTAATTTAATAACCTGGTTTGATTCTCCACAGACCTTAACTGAGTGTCCGTGGCAATTTAGGCACTCTGCTAGGTACTAGAAACATGACAAGGACAAAGCCCCTGACCTCAAGCTGTATATAGTCTCAGAGGAAAGACAAAACAATGATTGCAATATGGTGCAATGATCTCTACAATACAGGTATTCACCAGTATCATGGGAACACAATTGGGGTCTCAACACAGGTATTGATTATAATAAGGGCTCCACACGAGAACAATGTGGAAGATAAAGTCAATGGGACTTGTGACTGAATATGAAAATAGAGTGGCCATCTGCTGCTTTTCTATCTGTAGTCTTTTCCTTCTTTTTCCAGTACAGGACCCCCCATTTTCCTTTAGGAAACTGTCTCTTTTTTACACAGTATAGTTCTGGTGGAACTGCTGATCACAGTACCCCCTACACCTTCTATTCACAGAGGTGGTACATGTCTCACATGGTGAATTAGAATGCCCCAGCCCCATTATTTCATTCATTGCCTTGGGGATGGGCACACAGACCAGGAATTTTATATATAACCATTATGAACAAGGCATTCTTTGATGAGGTCTATGACTATGGACTTCTCTTCTTCCACCAAAGCAGATGTGAGCTAGAATGACAGAAAAGGAAAAGGGGAAGAGGGAGGAGGAAGAGCAGGAAGAGAAGAGGGAGGAAGAGGAGGGTAAAAGAGAGACTTTAGAAGATTATTGGATTCCCTGGAATCACCAGGCTGACTCTTCTACTGGACTTCCCATCTGTTAAGTCAGGAATTTCTTTCTTACACTGAAGCTAGTTTGATTCAGGTTTCTGCCACTTAAAAACAAAAAGATCCTTCCTTAACCAACACAAGTGTTAAGGTATTAAAAAAAAAACAAAACAAAACGGGAGAGGGAGTCAATAACTACCAATTCCTTAGCCTGGTGATTGGTAGCTGATAGTGACCTTCATCAAAACAAGAGAGAAGATAAAGACAGCAACAACCCCTCCACTAGCTACAGAGTTACAGGTTACAGAGTCAAGAGAAAGCAGTGAGCTCAGTTTTAAGTCTGAGGTATCTGTGTGTGACTCAGGTGAACACTTGTCACAAAAAATACCCATGGAACACACCCTCCATGTATTAACCCTTAAGTGATGACACCAAAATGCCTTTCCTCCCTATTATTCTTTGATTTATAAATTTTCTTTAGGCCCAGCGTGGTGGCTCACACCTGTAATCCCAGCACTTTGGGAGGCCGAGATGGGTGGATTACCTGAGGTCAGGAGTTCAGGACCAGCCTGGCTAACATGGTGAAAACCCGTCTCTACTAAAAAAATACAAAAATTAGCCGGGCATGGTGGCAAGCGACTGTAATCCCAGCTACTCGGGTAATCCCAGCTACTCGGGAGGCTGAGACAGGAGAATTGCTTGAACCCTGGAGGCGGAAGTTGCAGTGAGCCCAGATCGTGCCATTGCACTCCAGTCCTGGCAACAAGAGCGAAACTCTGTCTCAAAAAAAAAAAAAAAAATTATTTAAAGAGGTATTTTTTTATAATAATTTATTTTTCAAAATAAACTGAATGTGATATATATGCACATAGAAAAGTACTAGTTCATAGCCAGGAAGAGCGAAAAGATTATGCATTTCAAAGCTACCAGAACAGCATAGATTCTCTCCCCCATCTTTGCAGCAGAACTTTCCCTTCTGTTAAACACAGGGAAAAATGATCACTCTCTACCTGCCCATTCTGACATAGACATTGGGAAGTTTGGAAAATGAGAAAAGTAAGTGACCAGTAACTATGGGGGAGGTGCAGAAGTACATTTCAGACCTTCCCTCCTTAGCCCCAAAAATCTACTGGTTGAGTTTTCATATCAGCATGCCCAGCTCATGCCTCCTTTTTGTCTCTCTCACTGCAGCAGAATTAAAAGATTACTCTCACACTCAACGTCTCTCCTTTCACATCTGGCCTGCTCTTTCCCACTCAATAATTTCCTAAAGCATTCCCTTAAGTTCCTTAAGTTCCCTTAAAAGGTTGTGAAAATTTTATCTTACGTGATCGAACCAGAAGGATAATAATAAAAAAATTACTCATACTCCTTCTGAAATATCCTGAAAGATATTTGAGAGGAGAGGTAATTTATAAACTCTAATAATGGATTTCAGAGTCATATTTTCCCCTCACTAATCTAAATCCCTGTTTTTCCATTTAATCTCATTGTGTTCTTAGTCTTCAGTGGATCTAAAAAACAGCTGTTGACTCCCTGATGACATTTTAGGAAGAGTTAAGTCTACACTTGTATTTAATCTTAATTAATTTTATACTTAATTCCAACTCACTGCTCACCTGAAGCTCAATGTCTATGAAAGATAAATGAAAACTCTGAAGAGGAAAAGTCAAGCAAGAGATGTGTGGATACATGTTCTAGCAATTAATGGTATGGTACTATTAAAGCTGAGTATGTCCAAATTATGGAAACTGCCCTAAATGTCATAAGAAAGTCAGTTCCTTGTATACTTTATAATTTAAATTATATTAAAAGCTCTTTGAGATAAAAATAGGCATAGAGCAAACTGTTTCTTCAACTGCTTTAAAAACCTGTGAGATCAGAAAGGAATTTTGAAAGGGCAGATGAAAAAGTGATTAATTGTTTACTAATATATATATATATATATATATATATATGGAATTTCCCTCTTCTGTAGCCCAGTTAGTAGGGCTGAGAGATGCAGGCAGCCCTAGGGAAATGTAGGGAAATGTGGATAAATGTACTGAAGCTACAAGCCTAATCCCTGAGCCCCTCACCCCTGCCTTCTCCCAGTTCTGCTCAAAGACATTGCAATTCCATTCTTTTCCAAGGCTCTCCCTCTCCCCGTCTCCAGAGCAGCAGCTCTGCATCACATTGAGTTTAAAATAAAGAAATGCTTTTCCTAAAGAATTCGCACACAAATAATCTCATTACCCCAGTGCTTAGGTTTATACAGCAGACGTCTTCTGCCAGGAAAAGGAAAAAAAAAATGCACTCTACACTCACTCACACGGAACAGCTGCGAGGAGAGAAATGGTATTTAATTCATTGTGAAATATTCAACAATGGCTACACTGCACTTTTAAAAGCCTTTTGATAGTAAAACCCACAGGGAACAGCCCATCCTGTGTGCTGAAAAGCAGCTTCCCCACAATTAGTCTCTCTATTCAGAGGTCTGGGAAGTCTGTGTAAACTTCAGCACGTGCTGTGTACACTGTGGGTAGCTTCAAGGGTATAACCTTTCAGAAACTTCTTAGGGTTTAGTCTTGCTCAGTGACTCTGTCTGCTCACGGAGCTGGCTGGTTGGGGGTGGGGGGGGCAGTGTAAGGGGACAAAGGGAGTATGATGCTTAGGTGAAGAGGTAAGCAAACCCTCTAGACCCTAACTGAATGCCCAACAAAGGAAAAACCATTCTCTGGAGGAGCTTTGCAAATTATCAGGCTTCCTTGTGCCCTTAAATGACCAATATGGGACTCCAAGAAACCACAGAGAAGATATAAAAGAAATCAGGTAACAGTGTCTTGTTTTCCCTTTTACATCCCTGTGGAATTTTCATGGGTCTCTGCTTTGTGGGAAAGCTGGGAAAGTTTATCGATTCTTATCCCGGAGGTGGGCAATTGTCACAGCAATGAAGATGTGAACAAATGTTTGGGCAGGCAAAATGTGTATGGTGGTTAAGAACATGCACTTTGGAGGAATATTTACATTTAATTACCAACCTGCCTCCCAGAATTAGTTAGGCTTCTTTGGGGAGGTAAGTTGACCTCTCTGAGTCTTATTTATCTCATCTGTAAAATGGGAATAGTATCACCCTCACAGGAATATTGTAAAAGCAAAAGACCACATATGTGCAATCCTCGGCATACAGAAGGCATTTAATGAATGGTAACCACTGTACCTCTCAAGCAGCTCTAGAAGAACAGGCCTTCTTTTGGACTTTCTGGAATAAGATTACTAGAATTAGAAAAGAATGGGCTATGAACTATTTTTCATCTCTATTTTAATTTACAATTGATCAGTTAAGAAGCAACATAGAAATATGCACAGATATCTAACAGGAAGTTCCGAGGGATCTAAACCATGTTAAAAACACAACAAAAGATTACAATTCAAGAAAATGTGGCATCATGGTGGTTGGTTTTATTGTTCAGAAACTTTAAATTCAGAGTTTTTAAAGCCCAAAGTATTGATGAGATGTCCAAATATTTCAGGTATGGTTGAAGTGAGCACAACAACTTTCTGTTATTTCTAATCTGTATTCAACTCTCCAGGAACAGCCCACAGGCATTTCTGTCTCAAGGAGCTAGCCACTTTCATTATAAAACCCAAAATTCAACCAGTGAACATTCACCAGGACGCAAGCTCTAAGCCCTGCTCAGCTAAGAATATCCACCTGATATATTGACCAAAGATGAAAATGCTAAGACATTGCTGGGAAGTTCAAAGTAGTTGACTTGGGTTGGGTAATCTGTCTAGACTGGAGAAGTCTGAAAATGGCCTCCTCTTGTCTAAGTGAGTTTGTAGCAGTAGATGTTAACAGTCAATGGTTCCAACAGAAGCTAATGATCAGAAATGAGGGCTAAGACTCCAAAAGAATGACCTTGGTTCAGAGGCAGTGCACTGAAAGAGTCTGTAGCATCCAGGAGTTTTTCTGCCATAGTCATTCCTGTATACAGTCTCTTGGCCATGAGGGATTGGTTCCAGGAAAACCCCTTGCCTAAGATACCAAAATTCATATACGCTCAAGTCCCTGATATAAAATGGTGTAGTATTTGCAAATAACCTATGCACGTCCTCCCATACACTTTAAGTCATCTCAAATTTACTTATAATACTTAATACAATGTGAATGATATGTAAATAGTTGTTATACTGTATTGTTTAGGGAATAATGACAAGAAAAAGTCAGTACATGTTCAGTACGGATGCAAATATTCTTTAAAAAAAATTTTTTTTTTGCTCTGAAGTTGGTTGAATCCATGAATGCAGAACCCATGGATACGAAGAGCCAAGTGTACATTGTTTGCAGGGGGGAAGGTGTTAGCTCTGAATTTCTGCACCCCTATCCCCTTTAGGGGCACTATTTCTACATCTTTTCTTCCCTATATGACATAAGGATGCTGGGGAAAATCTACTGTGCACTAGAAAGGCCATGAGACGCAGATCATAGTGTGACTTTTCTGTGGTGCTTTGACACAGACTGAAGCTCCCCATCCCTACCTCCAGCTCACTTTAGGGAGGTCCCAGGTCCACAGTTTTCCTGGGGTGTTTGCAGAGATCATCCTGAGGAGCATGAAATAAAGAAATATGTTAAAGAAAAAGGAGAGATCTGGCTAGACTTTGGGCAAGGCTGCAATGCTTCTGTCTCAGAGACAATGGAATGGAAACAACTTCCAGATTTAAATACACTCCCTTGGGACTGACCAGAGCAGGGAGAAGGGATTTATAGGAAGGAAGTTTATACCAGAGAATTCATCCCAGTTCAACAAAATGTGCACTGCGTACTCTAGAAGTACAATGTGCTAAGTGCCGCAGGAAGGTACAAATGTACCTTTCCCTTGGAACAGTAGTTTTTAACCTCTTTGGGAGTCTCAGACAACTTTGAGAATCAGAGGAAAGCTACAGATCCTTAGAAAAATTTCTGCACAAAATTTCAGCAGGATCACACTTTCCTGAAACTCTCCTGGGCAAGAACCCCTGCTCCATGAGAAACAGCAGGTCTAAGACATGGCAGAAAGTTGTCAAGATTGATGTTTTAAAAATGTATGAGGTATGTAAGATAGCCAGTAAAAATGGCAAAGGCAACTGGAACTCTGTAGCTACTTAAATCACTGGTATTTCTGCCTCTCAGGCACTACTTCAGCAAGTCTCAGGAGGTATGGAAAAGACTGATGACACAACTTTGAAAATTGGTGGCTTTGTTTTTTTGGTTTTTTTTTTTAATCCCACCTAACAGAGATCCCAAAGTCCTGTTTTCTTAAATAGCAAGAAAGTTTGAAAGAGGCAAACAATTCTTCAAAGGTCATGAGGAATCTAACTAGGATGTCCAGGAATGGAGTGGGAGAAGCGTATCCCTATTTTTAAAAAATAGGGATGATGGGGAGGGTGTGGCCAACTGACTAGATCAAGATGTGGGGCAGGGTCTGGACTGAAAGCTGAGGGGCCACTCACACTGGCAGCTTTGGGGACAGCCAAGGTTGCCCCATGCTTCAGTGGGAAGGTGATTTTTCTCAGAGTGCAACTACATTTCATGTTTGACTGATGACCTCTGTCCCATGAGCTATTTATGCTCTTCAGACAGCAGTCAGGGAACAAGACAGTGAAGATGGAACCTGGAGGCATTCAATAGGGAAAAAAAGAGAGAAAGAAAAAAAGAAAGAGCGAGGAAGGAAAGGAAAGGGAAGGAAAGGAAAGGAAAGGAAAGGGAAGGGAAGGGAAGGGAAGGAAAGGAAAAAGAAGAGAGAGAAAAAGAAGTGGGGGAGTGAGAGACGAAGGAAGAAAAGGAGGGAGGGGAACCCCGGGCAATTACAGTAATGTATGAAAAGGTAACCTACGAAATCAGAGTTAAGAGCCTTCTCCACGCCATGCCTGGTGCTTTGCCATTTCCACATTCAATACGTTTTTTTTTTTTTAATTTCTTCCTTCACAGTAATTCTGTGAGGTGGGCACTATTATATTACAAATGAGGAAACTGAGGCTCAGAGGGTTCAGTGATTCGTCCAGGGTTGCACAGCTGGTGGGTGGCAGAGCTGAAACCTGTGCCCCAAACAGCCCTACCCAGCTCTCTTGATCCTTTGTTAAACGGTAACGACACACACTCTTACCTATCTCTCTATGTCCCCAACCTATCTGGAACTCCCTGTAACCTCTTGCAAAACTAAATCTAAGCCCAGAATCTCTTCTGTTCCAACCGTCTATTTCTTAAGCCCCGCTTGGGGCCCAGGCGCTGCCACAGGCCGAAGGGCGAGGTTCGGGCCGAGGCAGCCCACGCCCGTCCTCTCCTCCCTCCTCTCCTGGGAGTGGAAAGCTCGTCCCGGGACGCCCCAGCTCCGGGCCGGCTTCGCCTGCGCCCGCGTTGCTGGCAGCGCCGGGGTTAACCCTCCCGCCCTGCGGAGCAATGATTTCTGTTTTATTTCAGCAGGGGAAGTGTGTGCTGCCTGATTAGCCTGATGGTTTCCTCTTTTCCCATAACCTCCAGACCCCCATGGCCCAAGTGTTTACTCTCTGAAATAAAAAATCTGCTGGTGTTTTTCTTTTTGTGTGCTCGTGTATTTTGGGAGGATTGCAGGGGAGGAAGGCGGGGTGGGGTTAGGGACCGGGAGGCTGGGGGAGGGGAGCGGGCCGCCTCCTCCAGCTGCAGGCTCCGGGCTGAGACCCCTGGCTGCAGTGCAAGAAAGCAACTTATTAATGAGGGAGCTGGGTCTCCTGCCTCGGCAGCTATAAACACAGTGAACATCTGGAGAGAGAGCCCGTGTCTCTAGGCGGCCAGACACAGCACTACAGGCTGTCCCTGCGGCGCAGCCCGCCCCCACCCTCCACTCTCACGCGCCCCTCGCCCCTCGCCCCTCGCCCCTCGCCCCTCTCCTGGGCTCCGGCTCCCACCTCATCGGCCCACCCGAAGATGTCCATTCACCCAGTGCCGCGGCCGGAGCCGAGCGGGGCCTGACGCCAGCCGGCGGCGTCCACCGTCCCACCCCCGTGCGAGGAGTTCCAGGAGAGGGGTCAAACTGCTTGAATCGCATAAGAACCCGGTGCCCCAGGGACCTTTTCCCAACTCGGACCAAATATTTGTGGTTTGAAAAAGTTGAGAGAACGTTTTTTCTCTCCGCAGCCCCCTGGGAGTCCCAGCGCAATGCTGTTACTTCCTAGGATGTTCGAGAAGCTGCGAGTTCGAGGGCGGGCCGGCGGAAGGCTTGCCTTTCCACTGTCACTCCACGAACCCAGCCCAGAGGCTTCGGTTTGTCTGTCTTGGTTTCCTTCCTTCCCGGGGACCTAAAGGGGTGATTTACATTTGTAAAGGCCTTTCCAAGCCCTCCTTCCTCGGGGCTGTTGGGGTCACTCCTGAGAGCATGGGGTCTCTGGTCTCTAACCTGGGTGTGCAGCTCTTTCTGGCCCTCACCAGGCTGGCCTCTCCTTTGGCTGGTGAAATGAGGCACAGTGGGCAGATGCTAGCACATTAGCCTTGAGCAAGATAAGAGTGGGCAGGACTCAGATGTGAGTGGGCATCTGGTTTCTTCGATTCACCTAAATCCACACTCACACCATGGCGAAAGGAAAAAGAAGAAAAGCAGCGTTTATTTATTGGTCCCCTGCGATAGGCCACGACCTTTTAACTATACTACCCTCATGCAGTGGACACAAGAACTCTTTGGAAAGAGTGTATTTCACCTGTGAAAGGTGAGGGTTGGGAAGCTCAGTGGACTTAGCCAAGGCCGAAGGCCTGTACCGGGATGTGCTGCTGGGGTCTTGAGGCATAGGCTGGCTCTTCCCACAACACCAGGCCAAACCCTCTGCTTAGACTTAACACTCTTCAATTATACTCAAAATGTATACCAAAAGACCTTGTAATCTGAATATGAAATAGTACCAGCTCAAAAGCTACCAAGGCAGCAGGAGGTGGGAGGAAAAAGAAAGAGGCCATGTAGGAAGCAGGAGCAACTTCAGTCCACAGCTGATCAGAGGCATGCCCTCCACTTATGGAGAATAGGGTCAGGCATTTGCAGAATCTCAGTATCAGATGAGCAAACTGACAGAGCGAGTGTGCGGGAGATATTAGGCATGTGGACTCTCCCTAGCGGACTGCTTGGGCTAGGCTGGCCTTGCTTTCCTTCCTCTTTCCCTGGCCCTCTCAGAGATGGGATGGGGATATATGGCAAGGCTGTTCCTGCATCAGGCTTCTCTCAGTACTCTCCCCTGGGAGTAGCTTGTCAGGGCAGCTAGGCCCCAACCTCGGCCTTCTGTGAAAGGCTGGAACCTCAGGTAGGGTTACAGCTTGCTCCTCCCAAACAGCACAGCCATCCAGGCAGAATCCAAAAAGGTCCATGTTTCCCCATCTCCCTTAATGTTTGGACTTTATTTAAAGACAGGAGTTTAATTCCCTAGTCTTGTCCTAGAAAATAGTTGGGCATTAGCATAGACAGTTCCTCACTGAGCTAGAAAATTGAAAGAATAAAATAAAATAAAGAGACTGGAGTGGCCCAGTTGTGTTTCTAATTCACTTTGCCTGGACTCCCTGTAAGTCTTCTCTAAGAAGAACCGTCCAGCCTTTTCTCAGGGACAGCATTAGTCCAATATTGTAATCGTCCAATGTTACAACATCCCTAAAGCACACACACTCTCAGGACCGTTCTGTTCTGAAGAACAAAGAACCTGACACACACCCTTTAGAAAAGAAAAGCACACCCTGAATGAGGAAAGAAGAGAGGGGTGCAGCAGATGATAGTCTGAAACACCATTCTGTAAAACCACAGACCTGCCATAAGAATAAACATTTCAGAGCAAGGTGAGTCTCCATTTAACAAGTCTCTCTGGCACTCCCTCAGCGCTCTCAACACTTAAAAGCCAAATTGGAGGCATCTGTGCTTCCTGCTGAGACATCCCACCTGGTTGTGGATAGCCCTTTCCAAACACTGGCCCAGGTTTGATCTCTCCCAGCCGCTAGGCCATATGAGAAAGCCCCAGGAGGGACTATGAACTCGGAATCTCAGCGTATCTCCCACTTGAACTTCCAAAGTTTATTTGGGAAAGACATTCTTTAGTTCCACCATTTTGTTAGTAAATTTGTTTTAGAGATTTTAGTGAGATCCAAAGCCACACATTAATACTGCCAAACTTTATGTCATAAATAAGTGTAATATTTCACATGGAAACCATTTGCTCTAGCATGTAAATGTACACCCACACACACACTTGCATAGAAGTTGTTTTAAAGGAGAACTGAGGCTTCCCCTTTTCCATGTATTTTCTCAGTATCCCGGGCATGGCACTGGTCACCAAACGTGTTCAACCAATCAGTGGGTCACTCTCTGACTCAATGAAACCCAGTTTGGACTCCCAAAATGCACTTTGGGTCAATGAGTCATAATAGCAAATATTCATATCAGGCTTGCTAAGTGACGGCACTGTTTTATGCTTTACACATACTAACTTAGTGGTTCTCAAAGTGTGATCTCTAGACCAGCAGCATCAGCAGCACCTGAGAACTTGTTAGAAATGCAAATTTTTGAGCCTTAGCCTAGAATCACTGAATCAGAAACCCTGGGGGTAGAACTCCATAACCAGTGTCTTAACAAACCCTAAAGTGATTCTCATGTACCCTGGGAGTTTCTGCTTCGATAAGTCTGGGGTACGGCTCGAGATTTTGCATTTCTAACAAGTTCTCAGATGATAGTGATGCTGCTGGTCTGGGGACCATGCTTGGAGAATCATTGGTATAGATCCGGAAACTGGGTTACAAGATTAAGTTGTCTAAGGTCACACAGTTATAACGGAAGAGCTGATGCAAACACAAGCAACCTGGGTCCAGCGTCTGGGTTCTTTCCTACTACACTAAATAGATGTCCTTTCTCATGAAGAATGGGAAGTGGCAGATAGGCTGTGAATGTGGTTGAGTGAAGGTTTTACTGTGTTCAGTGACCAAAGACATAGCAAACTGCATTCTACAAGAAAAAGTATTGTCTTGTTTCTCAAATCAATCAAAGACCATGGTAATAAGACTATAGGTTCCTCCTCATGAAGGTAAGTTGTGTTTCCTATGTTCTCTAGCTCCAGGCTGCTTCCCAGCTCTAAGCAAGTATTTTGCAAAAGTGTACTTTGCTCACAACATCACATCCATAAGTTTGGCTGATTTCAGACAAATCCATCCTTGAAATGAAAAATAATTTGATACTATAACACTTTGGAAGAGTGCTAAGTAAGCATCGTATTTTCTGATATGAACTATGACCATTCATGAGCATCATAAGGGTGAAGTTGAAATCAAATATGGACCGCTGGCATTGATGGGATGGACGAGGTCTTGTGTCCTGTGTGCTCAGCTGGGTCTCTGATGTCGGTTTTGGAAAACAGGCAGTGTCTGACTTCAGCTAGGTCTAGGCACCACTCTGAGGCTCGCTACCGTTACCCTGTGTATCCAACAGGACTGTGGGTAGGAACCAGTCATGACAGTTAATGACGGTAAAACGTCAGTGAGCTCTTAGAGACAGGAGCAAGAAACTGAAACGTAAAAATGATTCTTGTTATGGTGGTTGGAGAGAAAGGGCTGAGGTTGAGGGACAGAATAGAGGAAGGGAGCAGAGAGGAGGCAGGGTCAGTGGCTCCACTCCAGTCAGACTATAAACAGCAACAGACATTTCAGCCGTGTCTTGTGTAAGAGGCTCCATTGATTCACAAGGTTCCCTAACAGAAGGATGACGAGAAGCTGAGACAGAAAGGGCCCATTCATTCATGCAGAACACCAGCACTCAGCCCCATTGGCTCTCGCTAATGGCTCCAGGCTGATAGGGAGGAGGGGGAAGAGGCGGACGGTAGGAGGAGGTAGAAATGAAAGAAAATGATGACTACAAGATTGTTGTGAAGAAATGTACAGCTGCACAGGCAATTGCATGCAAATGTGGCTTCCCTTTTTAGCTGTATAGCTAATGTCCTCAGATTCATCTATTTTTCTCTTTCATGTTATCTTCCCCTCCTGTTCTTGCCTTGTCTTTTTCTGGGCTCCCCACTTTTTTTCCCTTTCCCATTCATCTTTCATCTTCCTTTCCCATTATTCCCTACCATGCTACTAATATCCACCTTTATTTTCTGTCCATTTTCACACATCTCTTCTTTCTTCCACCATACCCGCTTTATCATCTATTTTGTCCAATCGATTCCCGACAGACCTTGGCGCTTTAGTATTCTCTCCCACTCACCTGATAAGTCTTTCCCTCATTCATACTTTCTCTCTGCTTGATTCTCTCTTCCCCTTCCCTCCACACTCCCGCCACCCTCCTCCTCCTCCTCCTCAGCCTCTGCCCCTTCGTGAATAGGAACAACATTCTGAAAAGGCTTGCTCATTCCTTGATGGCCCCTCCTGTCAGTGTTCTCTGCACTGACAGATGTGTAGTCCTTGGAAAAGAAGTTCATTCATCCCTTCTGAGAGCATGAACGTGAAGGGGGAGCAGTGGTGGGCAGTAGCCATGAGACGGAGGACGGGAAGGAAACTGAAGTTATAAATAGGATAAAAGAAGATGAAAAAAATGTCGAGTATTTTTTCTCTTTCTTTATATTCAACACATCTCCAAGGAAATGTACCACAGCTGGAGAAATCACTGGTTGGTCTATGTCTTCATCTCCCTTCCCTATAACCCCACAATCCCCGTCCAAACAACACCCATCGCTGAGGAGAGCTGGACCACAGCCCAGAAATAATCCCTCCAACTCCTTCGTCTGGGAAGCTCAAAAGTTAAAGGAGGGGCTAGAAAGGCTCAGGGTTCTTGCCAAACATTTCCATCAGAGGGAGTATAGGACAGTGGGAACTACAACCATCACATTTGTGAAGAGATTGCCCCCAACTGGTAGAGGCCACACCCCGATGGAAGCTGTGTACCATCTCTGAGCTGCAGTTGATGGCAACCCAGGTCATTCTAGGAATGGTTATTATATGCCCCAATCTTCTCAACCTACCAAAAGCTGGGGTGACCCCAGCTTCCTTCTTGCAACTATAAACTATGAGAAGAAGATGATATTACCCTGCTATAAGTCCTTGCATTTTAAAGCTGTTCTTCATATGCTTCCCAGACACTGTCTCATAGGCCATGAAATAAAAACATCTTTACCTTTGAGAAACTTGACAAAGAGCAGCATGAAAAATCATCTCCACTTGGGAGTTTATGTACTTCAGTTTAAGGAAAAGGAAGGCCATGTCTCTTTGCTATGAAGAAGAGACATTCTGATCTTCAGGCTATGAGCAAATGGAGAAGGCCTCAGATGTTAATAAGATGTAACTTGTAGCAAGCAGAGACCATCGAGAGCTGCAAGTGTTAAAGCAAGGCAGCTTTAATCTCAGTTGCATTGGGAGATATAAGACTTAAGCCTTGTGGCATTAATAGGATTCAAGAATTATACAAATATAAATACAGCCATTTTGACCTTTTGCTTATACAAACAAAACCTATTTTGTTTAGAATTTTAAAGGATCACTTTTCTCATGTCCTCAAATTTTTAGTCCTTAAGTCTGACGTGTGAGCAGGTACAAAATCCTCCTGGCTCCCTTGTGAAATGGATAGGTAGCTGAGACATTTGTATTTATGCTTAGAAGAACTGAGATACCAAGCAGAAAGTGACAGCATAAATATTATTATGTCTACAATCCAGGACAGTGCCAAAGAATACCTCAAAGATCAATGGCTATTGAGTCAAGGGAACATGGGACACAGGAATCTATTTCATTCTGCCCTGGAGAGAAACCAGGCAAATGGAAAGCTACTCCCCATGCCTCCTCACCCACCATACACACAGCCCATGGAGTGCCACAGCATCTTGCCCTGCGTCTGTTTATTCCTGATGAGCAATAAAGCATGGGCAACAAAGCAAACATTTATTTTACTTCTCCACTGTTATTTAAGTAATTGACCAAAGAATGTTGTGGGGTAAAATAACACTGAACCAAAAAGTAGCCTTCAAGTTAGTGACTCCCCCTGCCATGCCCTGCCCAGGTCTTTCCCCAGAATTACATTTTCCCAACATGTAAGAGTAATGACATTTTTATGCTAAGAATTCATCCTGGGAGAAAACACAGATTTTGACTAGCTATTTGGTATTCAAATATGTTATCATAACATGGTCTCATGTGAAAGTGAACTTAATATCTGAATTGATCATTTCAAAATTCCCAAATTCAAATTTAATGGTTTTTGTTTAAAAACAAAACAAAACAAACAAAAAAAAAACACTAGCTGGTAAACCAAGAACTAGTGGAATTTGTGAGAAACAGAGTGTCTCCTGAAAACAGCATGGAGATGAGGACTTCAGATTCCTGAGGTCCCTGGGAATGCAGATCCATTGATTTGAGAGTTCTCTGGAGGAGACTCCCACTCACCAGAGGGCAGCACTGCCACCAGCAAGTGGAAGGAGAGAAGGGAGAGAGAGACAGAGGAAAAAGAATTGGGATCCAGGTGGGCATGGACAGAGAGGCCAGGAACAATGGAAACAGATGATCATCGAAAGAAAGCATGTTCTCTAAGAAGGCCGAGCAATTCACACACCTCTGTTTATCCAGCTCAGACTCTGTGACTGCAAAACTTCTAGGCTCTCTGACAACAGCCAAAACGGGTGTCAGGAAATGCAGGATAGGCAAAACTATTTGCAAGGTGAAGACCTAAAGCAACCTTTCTTGGGCCCATTCCTAGAGTTTAGACTTCCTGTCGGGGAATAAAGTAACCCAAAATTTATGGAGAAGGCCCGGGACTTTCCATTCAAGAACAATAGCATCTGTACCCGCATAAGCCATGGCAGCTGTTATTTGAAAGAATGCAGCCCTCATCACATTTCCATTGTCCTTCAACTCTATCCTCATTCCCAGCTTTTGTTTATGTTCCTACCTGAGACACAGTGTTCAAGACCAGTAGGAACTTCCTGAGTTGCCATCTCATCCCAAAAGGGGTAGCAAGGTCTTTGCTGGTGATAATTGGACTGGAAACCACAGTTCATTCGAGGATCTTCATAAGTGTTGCTAGGTCCTTGCCTCTGTGCAAGAAAAAATAGAAGAAAATATATTAGGAGGAAAATCTCTGTTGTTTAGCCCTAAAGAACTATGACTTCATATTATCCAATCACATGTAAGTAAGAATCATCTATAGATGATGACAGAACAGAGCCAACTCTTGTTTTCTTCCCTTATCCCCCCACATAAAGACGCAGGGAACGAGAAGAATTTCTGACTCAGACTATGTATGAATTTATCTTCCTCCATTTCTTCAAGTGTTTAAGGACTACCTTTTCTGGCCTTCAAATAAGAACCCATGGTTAACAGCAGGGCCGAATGCTGACCATCTTGAATTTATACACTCCTGGCTTATTTTTAATGGTACCTTACTCTGTAAAAACGTCATGAAAGGATATTCTTACAAGGCTTACTCCACAATCATACAACAAGTAAATGATACATGCCAAAGGAAAAAAAAATGGACCTATGTAATAAAATTCACCTCATTTTTTGGTTAATCAGTGTGTATAGGCTTTAAATACATTGGTTGCTAGGCAGAAATTGTCCATTTGCCCCAATTTTCGAAGACTTGTGCCACACTCTTAGTAATTTTATGAACTCCATAAAATATACAATCCCAATCTACATAGTACTCTCTAAGGAAGACAGATGTGCTGTGTGGAAGGTCATGTTTTGCTGTGTTTAAAACCCTAGGCTTTGAAGCCAGGTATACATAATTCAAATCCCAGCTCTATCACTTACCAACATGGAGCCTGGGCCTGTTCCTTAATCCAAACCTTAGTTCATGCAATTGTAAAATGAAAATAATAGAAACTGGAAACATGTACATATAGCTCTAGCTACTCGGGAGGCTAAGGCAAGAGGATCACTTGAGCCCAAGAGTTTGAGGCTCAGTCAGGGCAACATAGCAAGACCCAACCTCTAAAAATAAAGTGAAAGTAATAATACTTACTTCATGAAGTAGGACGATTGAATGAAATAATGTATGAGAAAATTGTATATAAAGCAAATTAAAATATAAAATTGCATTTAATAAAACTATATATTGTATGAAATGCATGTGATAAGTATGTGAGGCCTGGTCTTCAATATAAGTTAGGCATTATTTTAATTTAAGAGATCCTTAACATTCCTGGAAATGGCCACATAGGTTAAAAACTAAGACACAAAAGGAAAAGTAGCAAATTCACAGAAAGAAGATTTCCTGAGACCAGGATTCTAATCGACACTGGCCCATCCTCAACTTTCTTTTTTTCTTTTTTATTATTACTCTCTTGGGTCCCTGCACCTTCATAAAAACCCCAACTAAGGAAACCAAACTCTGCTAGAATTTAATATGGTTAAATCTATTGACATTAAGGTCTCAATAAAGGTAGCTCATAAGATGGTATTCTCACCCCTGAAGACTAGCTTGCAACTCCCAGAAAGATTCTCCAACTGGAGAACTTACGTCTTCTCTTCTTCTGAGCATACAAGAATTCAGTACTACTATGTTAGATTCAGTTGCCCACTATCTGCTCCCTTTCCCAATTTGCAATGGCCCATTCACTTAAGATCAGTAAAAATAACAGAAGAGAATATATTGACACAGAGAAAAATGACAATGAACCCAAAAGGCAGAAGAAGGTTCCATGCACATGATATTGGACCTGGTGTTCTATAATATTCATAAAATCATTCAAATTAGAGCTGGATGAAGTTTACTTTGGGGCTGTTTATCTTCCAACTGCATTAAAGGTACTGAGGATGTAAGTGGGACTCAGTGGAAATGTCACCAGTTGTGTTGCATCGAAGGCTAACATCCTTAGCCTGCTGTTGCCAGGGGCCTTGATGAGCACTGTGAAAATGTACAATGGCAGATTTGCCACCTATATGTGTGTGGGGCCAAGAGACAGGGGAACCATCAGCAAGAATACACTACTGAGCATCAGTCAGAAAATGTTTCCTGGCCGGGCGCGGTGGCTCACGCCTGTCATCCCAGCACTTCGGGAGGCCGAGGAGGGTGAATCACCTGAGGTCAGGAGTTCGAGACCAGCCTGGACAACATGGTGAAACCCTGTCTCTACTAAAAATACAAAAATTAGCCAGGCGTGGTGGTGGGCGCCTGTAATCCCAGCTACTAGGGAGACTGAGGCAGGAGAATCGCTTGAACCTGGGAGGTGGAGTTTGCAGTGAGCCGAGATCGAGACCGTGCCACTGCACTCCAGCCTGGGTGACAGAGCAATATCCATCCCAAAAAAAAAAAAAAAAAAAAAAAAAAAAAAAAAAAGAGAGAGAGAGAGAAAAGAAAAGAAAATGTTTCCTTACTTTTGGCTTCAAACCATTTTGCTGGAATGTTATTTAATGCTATATGCTCCTGAAGCAGCTACATTAAATACTTCTTTTGGATTCCCAACAATAAGCAGGTCTTTAACAAAACTTTGAAACTGAATCAGTTCAAAACACACTTCCTAGTCTTATAAATCAAGCCTTGTGCTCTCAATATCATCCTCATCTTTTTCATATTCCTTTAGAGCCTTTTTTCAAAATTTAATGTCAAGTATCAGAGTTGTAGGAATAGGGTCTTGAGTGAGAAAATTTTGATTCTAAATGCTGTGAAGAATTCTAAGTTACCCACATCTGTCTTCTTTTGGGACAGCATGCATGGTTTGCCAAAAACAAAAGATCCTCGTAAAGTGGTAGTAGGTAGTTGGTTCTTTTAAGTAGGTAGACAGGTAGTTTGTTACAGGCCCTGCTAGGGTGGTGGGAACCTAAGAACCTGAATTCGGATTTAAAAGTTTGGGTTTTGTCTGCTAAAGAAAAGCCACTTGAAGGCAAGGTGACATTGGCAAAGAGGGGATGAAGAAAAGTGACCTGGGAACAATGTGCAGAGGACAGAGAAGGTAGATAATCGGTAAGTAGGTAGGGCACAAAATAATGTGGGTCCACACCTGGGTGATAACAGGGTAGCCATATTGTAGGTCAACTCACAGGCTTTGAGTAACAACCATGCACAGAATCAGCTTGATTTTATGTGGTTGGTTTTTTTCCTGGAGTCTCTTCTGCCCACAGCTGGGCTCTTGGTCAACACGTTTTTTATTTTATAAATGAAACCCTCTGTATATTTTTAAGGCATAGTTCCTCTGTAACTGTCCTCCGTGGAGCCACTGGATCCTATTTTTAAGAATGAGAAGGCAATAATGTACAAAAACTACCATTAACCACGAGAATCTTTACCAGGGGATGCTCCTGAGAAGCCTTTCATGGTTTTGTTATCTAGACACCTGCCTGTTTATTAGACATTTCATGAACTGACTTAATAACTATTTCATAGAGTATGAAAATGATATTTTTACTCAAGAGAACAACATCACCAGTTCCAATTCATTATGAAACTGCCTCAGTTGAGGAGAAAAAAAGCAGGTTATTAACAGGTCAGAAATCTGGGCAGCCCAGCCCCCACCTCATTGCTTGAAAAGATCACCACACCAAACAGGTCCCTGCTTATTGGGCCTCTTCATTGGCATCTTCCTTTCTTGGCTGCAACTGGAGATGAGTCAACAAGATGCAAGCAACACTCCCCATCTCTGCCACATGTTTAAGAAAACCATCTGACAGGTTCTCACTCACCCATCCCACAGGTGATTGCCGAAAGGACCTAACAAACATCACACATCTGTTCAGTGCCCCCTGGCACTCTGCATCAGAGATGGTCTCCTTTTTTTTTTTTTCTTTTGAGATAGAGTCTCACTTTGTTGCCCAGGTTGAAGTGCAGTGGCGCAATCTCGGCTCACTGCAACCTCCGCCTCCTGGCATCAAGTGATTCTCCTGCCTCAGCCTCCCAAGAACCTGGGATTAAAGGCATGTGCCACCATGCCCAGCTAATTTTTGTATTTTTAGTAGAGTCGGGGTTTTATCCTGTTGGCCAGGCTGGTCTCGAATTCCTGCCCTCAGGTAATCAGCCTGCCTCGGCCTCCCAAAATGCTGGGATTACAGGCGTGAGCCACCGCGCCCGGCCGAGATGGTCACTTTTAATCCTCACAACAATCCTGCAAGATTAGTATTTTCATCTTCATTTTACAGAAGAGCAAACAGGTTTTAAGAGGTCAAGTAAATTTCCCAAGGCCATGCAGCTAATAAAACAATGGAGACAGAATTCTAACCCAAGTCTATTTGATTTCAGATTGTCTTTTCTGCTACGTGCACAACATGCAGCTTGCATGGCTTAAGTACAAATTGCTCAAGAATGGTGGTTACTGTTCCATAATAGGTACTTAATGAATTATGGCAATGTGCATTCATGGACTAATATATTTGGTGCACCTAGTCTATGACAAGTATTATGTTAGATGCTAAGAATGTAATATAAGCAACAAATAAACCATGGCCTTAGGAGCGTACAGACAAGTAAACAGGAAATTACAGTGAGGGATGGGACAGAATTAAGTACCAATGTGTAGGGGGAGGGGAATAGCAGCAGGGAAGGCTTCCTGCAGGAAGCAGACTAAGGTAATAACTGTTAAGATTGAGTAAGATTTGCCCTGAAACATTTGATGAAGGGCCACATGAGCAAAAGAAGAGGAAGATAATCCATCCAAAGGTAAAAAAGAACATATACAGCTATGTAAGGAGGAATAAGAAAGATTCAGGGAGGTGTTATAGAGAGAGAAAGACGGTGTTGTTTGGAGGTGACAAGCAGGAGGAAAAGGTATGCCCTTGGGCAATGAGGATGGTAGGAGTGGAGGGTAAGTAGTAAAACTTCAAGCCGGAGGGCAGGGTAAGACCACAGTGTAGAGAGCCATGCAGGCCAAGCAGGAATCTGGCCTCAGGAGAGAGCCACTAGAGGCCATGCTAGAGGCCTGGGACATGGTGAAGCAATGCCTTCAAGAAAGACTCATTTGATGGTGCTGAGTAGGACAGACAGGGCAGGGCAAGAAGGCGAGGAGGCTGACACAGGTCAGGAGGAGAGCTTTGCTGAGCCACATTGGGAAAAATCAGTAATACTGATCTTGACTTTATTTAAAATTTTGATTTTTTTCATAATAATGTTTGCATTAATTCTGATTTTTCAAAGATATTACATTAAGATATTATTCAACTTGATTACTGAGTTTGGGGGCACCCCATGTGGATGCCTCACTCACCTCACTGTAGTCCAGTTCTGAAGAAAGAGTTGGGCCATGGGTGTCGAGGGGAAGAGGAAATAAGAAATATTGGATGTGTTTTAAAGGAAAAATCGACATGATTTTATGACTGATTGGTCATAGGAGATGAAGAGAGGGAAATCCAAGATGCCACTTAGATTGCTTATGTTTATGCAGTGAAAATGGTGAATCTACGGGACGGACATAAATAAGGAGAGTGGAAGACAATGTTGCCTTTGGTTGAGTTCAGATGGAGTGAGGGCAACTTGGTGGAGGGTCTCTAAGGTGAATGCATGATGGGAGAAGGCAGGAAAGAGTCAAGCTAGACCTAGCAGCAAAAAGGATGGAGGTAGAGCACAACTCAAGGAAAATGGCAGTCAGGACAATAAGGGAAAGAATTGAAAGTGGATCTGTAAAGCTGCTGACAGTTAAGAGGAGAAACAAGGGAGAAAAAGCACAAAGAAGTACTGGTTGAAGACGTAGGAGGAAAAACAAGCAAGTATACAGGATCATGGAAGCCAAGAGCAGAGCTTTAAGCACCAGGGGTGGTGAACAAGAGGCCACTAAGAAAAGGGTGGTCTTGGCCGGACGCGGTGGCTCACGCCTATAATCCCAGCACTTTGGGAGGCCGGGAGGCCAAGGCGGGCAGATCACAAGGTCAGGAGTTCAAGACCAGCCTGGCCAACAAGTTGAAACCCCGGCTCTATTAAAAATATAAAAATTAGCCAGGCGTGGTGGTAGGCACCTGTAATCCCAGTTACTCTGGAGGCTGAGGCAGGAGAATCATTTGAACCCGGGAGACAGAGGTTGCAGTGAGCCGAGATCGTGCCATTGCACTCCAGCCTGGGTGACAGTGTGAGACTCCATCTCAAAAAAGAAAAAAGAAAATAAAAGAGTGGTCCCCAGGCAGCCATGGAGGAAGGGATTCCCCTGGGCATCTTAGGAAAACACACACCTCTTCTCTGCTCGTCATATGCAGTGGTGAGCCGTGGAGGAAACAGCATGGCTCTCCCTGTCCTCTTAGAAAGAGGCTACCAGAGGACATGAGCCCACAGCCTGAATGCTCCACCCATCTAATCCTGGGAATGAAATGAAGCCCCGGAAGCCTGGAAACTAGTTGGACAATGGACACACCTTGGTCCTGCTCTGCTCTGAGGTGAGCCAGCCCTAAAGCCACCACCTGGGCCGACCACCACCACCATTCCTGCAAGGAAGCACTCATTGGTTTGTGACCCTTCCCTAGCACCACTTCCCAGTGCTTCAAAGTCAGGAACTTGGATCTTGCTAGCCCATTCCCTCCTCCACTGCCCACAGTCATCTCCCT
Organism: Homo sapiens; assembly: GCF_000001405.40. Classification (NCBI taxonomy): domain Eukaryota; kingdom Metazoa; phylum Chordata; class Mammalia; order Primates; family Hominidae; genus Homo; species Homo sapiens. The sequence continues at coordinate 128,562,863 of NC_000011.10, forward strand.
GGAACTGCCTATTCACCTGTCCCCTCCAGCCAGCCACATCTTAAAGCCATTCCTTTTGCTCATAGCTTTCCCTGTCTCCATGCCCCAAAGTCCCCAAAAATTGAAAAAAAAAAAAAAAGAATAGGAGAATATATTTTTACAACAGAAAATCATGAACATGAGGAGTCTGTGTCTGTGGAGTGGGTGATCTATTCTTTCGGTCTTCTGTCTTTAGCAGAACAGTCTTCAATGTCCACATGCGATGAGTAACTCCCTAGTTGCTCACCTTCTGTATGTGTTACTTGGAGCCTAAACTCCATAGGAGCAAATCTGTCTTGTCTTTGCTTGACTTCAGAATCCTAGGGTTTAGCCTTAGTACAGGGTCATAAACATGTAAGACACTATACATATTTCTAGATGCTAGTGCTTTCTAAAAATATTTTAAACCCAGAAGCAAGGCTGAGTCAACACTGGGTGGATGGGCACTATGATTTGCCACCATGGAAATAACTTTGTATTATTTTTCTAGGAATGTCATAGATGCTCATGCACTTTAGCAGAAAGACACAAGACTAGAAATCAAGCAGCCTGGGTTCAAGTCCTGCTGTACATCTAAGGAGCTGTGTAACCTCTGGGCTATTCCTTAACCTCTCTGAACCTTTGCTTCCTGAGGAGTTCGGCCTCCATGATCTCCAAGTTCCTTGCCAACTCTGTGTCATTTTTGCTGATCCATCCACATTCTTTCTCCTGACCTTACGACTGACAACCTTCATTGGATAAACAGCCACACCACGGTGGGCGAGCCTGCAGAGCCAAAAGTTATCGGAGGTATAATGTGGGTCTGTGACATACAATGTGCCCTTGAACTGCATGAAAGGTCTTACATTGTTTGTCTTCATTCTCTCCCGAAGCCCTGCTCCAACAGTTTTGTCACCATCTGCCCCACATTTCAGTAGAGAACAGTGAAGCTCAGTAAGAGTCTTGCTACTGAACAGTTATAGGGGCTCTCACCTGGCAGGTGCTCAATTAAAGTGTGTGCAATACCTAGGCCATTTCTCTGCTTAAACCCTTCCTCCTGGTTGCATGTAGTTGCCCTTGTGCGACTCCATGCACTTCTGATAAAGTCTGGACTTCCTCATCCTCAGAAGACGCTTTAGCACCTCCGTACCCTCCCAACCACCCTACGGATAGGCTGTTTGGCAATGGTGAGGAACAGTTTTGGTCAGAGGTATTTGGCCTCAGAAGGACATGGGCAAGGGCGTGGTTTCTGGGGCACATCTGTTCAGAGGGCACGTTTGTTCTGCTCCCTTGAGAGGTAAAAGGGAAGGAGGCAAACAGAACCACTCCCCAGCTCTCCGGAGTTTGCTGATCAAGCCTGAGGGTGGTGAGGGGGTGCAGCCACCAGGAGAAGCAGGAACAGGCAAAATAGGAAACTCTCAAAGGGCAATTTAATTTTAGACTCAAGGCCAGGAAATTCTTTTTAAAACAATAAGAGTAATGGGCTTGGGCCTTGGTGAAAGTGCAGGCCTGACACGCTGCAGGTTTCTGCAGAAAAAATTCTGAAGCACAGAGGGTTGTAGAGAAGGGGATGTCTAATTATGCTCTTAATGCAAAGCTGTGCTTAGCTTCCCTAGGGACCCCCTGGGGAAGCACACAAAGTCGGAGGTAGTGCAGCCAACACCAACACTACAACTCATACCAGCCTGAGACCAGGACAGCCTCCACTCACAGCCAACACTCGCTGAAACAGGCTGAAGGACGGGGAGGGGGTGGAACTTGAGACCACAGTCCTGGGGACCTGCAGTTGACACTCTCTTGCTGAGAGGTCTTAGGTGAGAGACATTTTATTTGTAAGCTTCTAGATCTGCAGGTTTCAAGTTGCCCCTCGCTTAGCATGAAGCCTTCAGAAGCCCAGTGGTACCATGGGTGACAGCTTTAGGCATCTTGTGGTATGGAGATGGAGACTGAGGCTGACTCAAAACCTGGTTATGGACACGGTTGGTGGAACTTGCCATGGCCAGAAGACTATCCAGTAATTTCAATTTGCTCAGCAATCTACACAATGGAGTTTGGGTTTTTTGTTTTTTTTTGTTTTTTCCAGAATCAGGAAAAACTAATTTTTCATAAACAAGGCATACAAATACATGAATGAAAATACATTATAAGTTCTTACATATCACCAAATATCAAATAAATAAATAAATAAATAAATAAATAAAATAAATGTGTTTGTAAGGAGTTGTTATGGATGTGTTCCCCCAAATTTAGAAGTTGAAATGTAAAACACCAATGTGATAATATTAACAGGCGGAGGCATTATGAGGTGAGTAAGTTGTCAGGGCAAAGCCCTCAAGGATGGGACTAGGACCCTTTAAAAGGACCTGAAGGAATGGGTTTGGCCTCTTCCCTCCCTTCCGCCACTGAGGACACAGCGTTCATCCCCTCTAGAGAATGCAGCAGGAAGGGTCCATCTTGGAAGCTGAGACGGGACTCTCACCAGACACAGAGACTGCCAATGCCTTGATCTTGAACATTCCAGCATCCAGAACGGTGAGCAATAAATTTCTATTCTTTTTGAATTACCCAGTCTCAGGTATTTTGTTATAGCAGCACTAATGGACCAAGACAGGAGTGCTATAACAAAATACCTGAGGAAACTCCAGTAATTCATTTAACCTCTTAGGATCTGAATTTCCTGATATTGCAAGATGGTCTTTACATTGTGGTCTGACTCTGAAATTCTCTAGCTTGTGATGATTGAACCTAGTAGCTTACAGAAGCCCCACAGTCCAAGATGCTGGAAAAATATAGGTTATTTTCTTCTTTCCTTCAATTTCTGTGACAACCACTAAGAGTTATGAGCATAAATAATTTCCCTAAACATTATGTTTCAGCAGTCTCATTCCCACTTTGGTTTTAAATTTCTTTTTGTGGATTCCCACTTCTCTAGTACCAAATAATTTGTCCATTGCTCTCCAGGATTCCCAGAGAGAAGGAAAGGGTGTCTTCACTAGGCTTCATGGTAGCAAGCACAATCACTGCATAAGAAGTGCAGGGACAGCAGAGTGACCCTTCTGTGAACACATCCAATGACTGGAGTCCGGAGGCCTATGGGCTGGAAGTGAGTGTGCCAACAACCAGAGCCCTGGGTAAGAAGGGAACTGCATCGCAAGGAGGCCCAATTAAACTGCAATTACTCAAGATAAGAAAACGAGGTCTGTTTACACAATGGGGTTGTAAACCACCGGCTGTGACAAGAGAACTTTGATCTGGTGGCAAGGGAGCTGTTTCTCATGCAGGGCAGTGATGAAACAAGGAGGTTTCCCAATGAGGATGTCTCCATCTTCACCCCAGTAGCCCCATCTTCTTCTGGTAGCACCCTTGCATGGACAAGCGGAAATCCTCACCCCTTCCCAGCCCCAGTATCCACCTAACACAATCAAAAAGTGAAGAATAGAAAGAGATGAGATAGTGACTAAAAGGAAAAGAGAATTGATGGAGGTCATCTTTGTGGAGGCGCTTGACAAGCATGTTCTCACTGAACCGTCACAGTGACCTTCCACGTACCTTATACCATGCCTATTTTACAGATGAAGACACTGAGGTTCAGAGGAGGTAAGTAATTTGCCCAAGATCAAATAGCTAAAGAGTACCAGACAGGGCCGGGCGCAGTGGCTCACACCTGTAATCCCAGCACTTTGGGAGGCTAAGGTGGGCAGATCACGAGGTCAGGAGATCGAGACCATCCTGGCTAACACAGTGAAACCCCGTCTCTACTAAAAATACAAAAAATTAGCTGGGCACGGTGGTGGGCGCCTGTAGTCCCAGCTACTCAGGAGGCTGAGGCAGGAGAATGGCGTGAATCTGGGGGGCAGAGCCTGCTGTGAGCCGAGAGGGCGCCACTGCACTCCAGCCTGGGCGACAGAGCAAGACACCGTCTCAAAAAAAAAAAAAAAAGAGTACCAGAGTACCAGACAGAATTTACTCCAGGTCTTTCTGATTCTAAAACCCAAGTGCTTTCCACTAGAATTTGGCTGGGACCCATTCCACAGCTGCCTGGACCAGGAGTAAAGGCTCTATCTCATGTCTGGTGTCAAGAAGACAGTGTAAGGTGCGTTGGCTTCTGCCTCACCAGAGGGCCTGAAGGTGGAAATAGAGTCCTGTGGATCAATCAACCAGTCGATCAATCAATTACGGAAGGAAGAAAGAAAATGTACAAAAGAGGAATTGCCCAAAAGGTTTTGTGACAGGGAGCTGCTCTGAGGGCCGTGGTTAATTTGGAGCTCTTTTTCTGCAATGCACTTAGCTAAGCCTCATGGCAGGACTACCCTCTATGCTGGTACCAACTAGAGATTCAGCTGACCCCCCAGGTACCCATGTCCCACTGGAACTGCACAGGAGGGACGGAGGCCAATGCCCAGAGCTGGCAATGACTGACAGCCTCCCTGGGGTCCCTCCCAAGGTGACATCCAGCATGAACTCAGGCTTATTTCCAGTGCCCTGTTCATTCAGTGCTCGTACGTCTGCAATACCCTTGATTTCACAATATTTTATTCTGTATAGTGAAAGAAATTAAGTGTCTAATAAATGGGATCCAATTTATACAACATTGAAGGCTTTCATGGCATAAATTCACAAGTCAAAAAACAGTCTTTTGTTGGACAGTTTCTGAACCCCTGTTTTCATTGAAACAACATAGGGACCATGTTTTAAGAGAATCACATTTGATTTAGGGAGAGTGAAAGAGTGGCAAGTTTTTTGTTTTTTGGGTTTTGTTTTTGTTTTTGTTTTTGTTTTTGTTTTTGTTTTGAGACAGAGTCTCACTCTGTTGCTCAGGCTGGAGTGCAGTGGCATGCTCTTGCCTCACTGCAACCTCTGCCTCCTGGGTTCAAGCGATTCTCCTGTCTCAGCCTCCTGCATAGCTGGAATTACAGGCGTCCAATACCACACCCGGCTAATTTTTTGTATTTTTAGTAGAGACGGGGTTTTATCATGTTGGCCAGGCTGGTCTCGAACTCCTGACCTCAGGTAATCCACCTGTCTCGGCCTCCTAAAGTGCTGGGATTACAGGTGTGAACCACCGCGGCCAGCCAAGAGTGAGGAGTTTTTAATACAGTTACTTCACCCTCAAATTACCAGGAATGTCCCTTAAGCCCAGAGTCTTATCATAGGAAATTCTGGCACTTGGGGATATGTAGTTAGCCTCTTGGGCATAGGTGCCTTCCCTGAGGTGGAGCACAGTGGGCCACTCCTGCCCGAGCATGTTGTTCTATCTCCCAAAGTCTGTGGCTCTGGGAGGAGGTGAGTGGGCAGTTCCTTTCCTCTGTACAGCCCAAGGTGTTTCCTAAAGCCCGCATGGCCAAAGGGGTCACTAGTCCCCCAGGAACTCCTCCGCACATCCTCCTTGCCGGTGAGACATCCCAGGCTGGGCCATGTTTAGTCAAAACTGAGAGCAGCCCAGCCCGCTCATTCCCGCCACTCTCAGCTGGGCCAGCACAGTGCTGTGAAGGGGAGAATGACGCATGAGAGGACAAAAGTACTGGGCTTGCAAGGGACTTCCAGGCTCACAGCGGGCTTGGGCTTGCAGAGGCAGCATAACAGGAAGGAGCACTTCCTCCCCATGGATGAAAGGGTCCCTGACACACAGCCCATAGAAGTACCTGGAAAGGTCATCCCTCCCACACAATGACCAGACAACTTCCCAAAGTGTTGCTTCTCCACCTCCCCACTGTGACACCACCTCATTCATTATGGCCTCCTGAAGGGCTGACCTTACGCATGGGGAAACCATGAGTCCTGCTTTTGAGAAACTGACGCTGAGGCAGAGAATGTGAATTCTGTGCAAAACCATGATTACCTGAGGCTGGCATGGATTTTAACCACTGTGGCTCCCATGGTTTCCAGGCATTCTTCCGCAGCAAATGACCAGATAACGTTAATGTGACCTCTAATTTACAAGCAAGGACTCCGAGACTTAGCTATCTTCAGGCGCAGAAAATACTGACATCCTATTTTCGAAGAGATTGTTTCTTGGCCAACTAATGCAGCATGCTAAGTAAGAGCCCCTCGGAGCAGGAACACAGTCTTACTTTCTTTTGTTAGATTTCCCTTTCTAAAGCAATAATTTACTAGTAACCAAGACCTGCTTAGAGCAGTCTGTACACACAGTCCCATTCTGCTTTCAAGTTTGATCTGTGGCTACTCTAGACCAGGTTTCTCAACGTCAGCACTATCAGAATTTGGGGATGGATAATTGTTTGTCATAGGAGGCTGTCTGGTGTACTAAAAGATGTTCAGTTACATCCCTGGCTTCTACTCTGATGCCAGGAGCACCTCCTAAATTTTAACAATGAGACACATCTCCAGGCATTGCCAAATATCCCTTTGGGGGACAAAAGCACCCCCTACTGAAAACCCCAATACTCTCATGGTTTTCTTTTCACTCTGAATTTACCATACATGGGACAGAGTTTCTTCTTTTTTTTTTTTTTTTTTTTTTTTGGTGTGTCAGACTAACTAAATCAGAGACTAGGGCACCAGGTAGGAGGACTTGGATTATTGGATTAAGCACCACGGGTTGAGCTCTGGACAGGGAGGCTCCAACAGAACCGAGAAGACTCTGGTTGCCTGGGGCTCTGACTTTCTTATCTAGGAAAGTTAATGAAGCTATGCTTACCCCTCCAGGGTATCTTAGATTGCAACTGAATGTGAGGTTTGTTTGCTGGTGTCTCTAGTGCCAATGTCCTAAGGTTATATTTTGTAGACAATTTACAGATTCTCTGTTTATCACAGCCCAGTCTAAAGTTAGAGGTTATGGTTTGAGTTGGTTTACTAAACTTGAGTTTATACCAATAAGTGTTATTTACTTCTTAATTTTTATTAGAGAAAGAGTATGTGAAAAAATTAAAGGGCTTCTTTGCTTGCTCTGGAAGGTTGCCTAAATCGTTTCAGGGACAGAGAAACTGAGGCCCAGAGAGAAGTTAGGAGTGAAAGTGCAAGAACAATAATTCAGCAGCTCTTTTGTACAACCTTCTGCTTTTACCCAAGCAACTTTGAACTTTTTAGTGAAAAGGATCTCACATGTTAATGTTTTTCAGATAAGGCTGTCATGGGTGGGAGTAAACGGATTATTTGGTTTGAAACCAATGGAAGCCATTCAAAATTTATTTAAAATATCCAGGGTGTTCAATTGCAGGGAGGTGTCTTTAGTTGAAATTATGCACTTAGAGTTATTTGGTTTGGGATTTTTTTATTCTCCCACAATTTTGAGATACCCTGCCTAGGATGACATTATATTATATCTGCAACTTTTATACTTATAATAGGCTTTTTATCTCAGTGTCTAAACTAAGTACATATTTGTGTGACATTTCTTTCTTTCTTTCTTTTTCTTTTCCTTTTTTTTTTTTTTTTAGATGGAGTCTTGCTCTGTCACCCAGGCTGGAGTGTGCAATGGCACAATTTCAGCTCACTGCAACCTCCACCTCCTGGGTTCAAGCGATTCTCATGCCACAGCCTCCTGAGTAGCTGGGATTACAAGGCATGTGCCACCACACCTGGCTAATTTTTTTTGTATTTTTAGCAGAGACTGGGTTTCATCATGTTGGCCAGGCTGGTCTCAAACTCCTGACCTCAACTGATCCGCCCGCCTCAGCCTCCCAAAGTGCCAGGATTACAGGTGTGAGCCACTGAGCCCAGCCATGGCATTTCATTCTTAGCCAAAATATTAATCTGTTTTAATTTGATTATAGTACCTGTAAATAGAATTAACATGGACTGGCTTTTAAATCTTATTTTTCAAGTCAATGACACATTTTGCTCTGAAATCACAATATCATTATTTATTTTAACAAATTTCTACAATATCGTCTTTAAGGAAATTTTAATGTCATTTGTGTTAACTTTAAATAATGACCTCTATGTGAGGAAAAGGAGGAGGAGCCCTTTTCTGGCAACTTCTTCAGCCCTCGATATGATCTTAAACTGCAAGTCCTTTGGCAATCGCTACTAAGCAAACTCGAGTGACTCCTTGCCTGGACTTGTCGTGTAGTGGAGTGTTGGGGAGTGGGCAGTTTAAACATATTTCTGATATATATTATCGTCTAAACCTTTTTCTGATTCTAATTTTTTGTAAAAGTAAACGGTGCTTACATGAACACAGAAGCCATTTTAAAAAGAAGAAAAATGTGGTAAAAACAGCTACTGAAGAGAGATGTCTCAATCATCCTTAAAATGTGTCTTTTCCCTTGAACAGAATAGCTACTGAGAGTTTTTGGTTTTTTTTAATGCTAAAAAAAGAACTTCAGGCTGGGCGCGGTGGCTCACGCTTGTAATCCCAGCACTTTGGGAGGCCGAGGCGGGCGGATCACGAGGTCAGGAGATCGAGACCACGGTGAAACCCTGTCTCTACTAAAAATATAAAAAATTAGCCAGGCGTGGTGGCGGGCGCCTGTAGTCCCAGCTACTCTGAGAGGCTGAGGCAGGAGAATGGCGTGAACCCGGGAGGCTGAGCTTGCAGGGAGCTAAGATCGCACCACAGCACTCCAGCCTGGGTGACAGAGCGAGACTCCGTCCAGCCTGGGCGACAGAGCGAGACTCCGTCCAGCCTGGGCGACAGAGCGAGACTCCGTCCAGCCTGGGCGACAGAGCAAGACTCCGTCAAAAAAAAAAAAAAAAAAAAAAAAAAAAAAAAAAAAAAAAAACTTCAAACAATTCAGGTCTTTTAATATACAATTACAGTGAGAGGTCACAGTTAACTGTGTCATACTTAACTTTAATCAGTGTTAAAAACTATACAGAATCTCTGGCAAGACAGTCAAAGACAAGTCAGAAATGCGTTCTTGTTTATTGGTGTTAATTCAGATCCATAAATGTACTGGGAAAAGTTAATAATAATAATAATATAATAAACTTATTTGCGACTGGGCTCAGTGCTTCACGCCTGTAATCCCAGCACTTTGGGAGGCAGAGGTGGATGGATCACCCGAGGTCAGGAGTTTGAGACCAGCCTGGCCAACATGGTGAAACTCTGTCTCTACTAAAAATACAAAAAATTAGTTGGGCGTGGTGGTGGGCACCTGTAATCCCAGCCACTCGGGAGGCTGAGGCAGGAGAATCGCTTGAACACGGGAGGCACAGGTTGCAGTGAGCAGAGATCAAACCACTGCACTCCAGCCTGGGCAACAGAGCGAGACCATCTCAAAGAAAGATCACTTGAGGTCATGAGTTCGAGACCAGCCTGGCCAACATGGTGAAACCCCTTCTCTACTAAAAATACAAAAATTAGCCAGGCGTGGTGGTGCAGGTCTGTAATCCCAGCTACTTGGGAGGCTAAGGCAGGAGAATTGCTTGAACCCAGAAGATAGAGGTTGGAGTGAGCCAAGATTGTGCCACTGCACTCCAGCCTGAGTGACAGAAAAAAAAAAAAGAAAAAGAAAAAAATAAATAAAATAAACTTATCTGTCCGTATTTCACTGTAAGAAAAAAAAAATTCAACATTTATGATGGCTATCTTTGAATAAAAACGTAACAGAATTTAGAAAGAATAATTAATGACACAGCTGCTGATATTAGTGTCTTTTAATACTGGAACTGATCAATATCAACATTATAAGATCCTCACGCAATACATTTTTGAGAAATTTGTCAAAGCATTTCTATTGATCAGCATATAGCTTGGGCAAGGATCTTCTCACCTATGGACAAAAAACTTCATCCAGTCCTATTTTAAAGTTTCTTTGTCCCCTCTTATTCTAGGATTTATGAAATTTTTCCATAAACTTATTGTCATATTCCATTTTCACTTTTAAAGTCTGTGATTAGAAAACTTGCATTATTGGCTTTTTATGTCTGAGGCCAAAAGTAAGTTCAATTATAATATGTATAGGAATAAGGTACCTCAATATGTAAAAAATCATCAAATGAACTGGGCAGTGAAAATCAACTGGCTTTAACTGTTCATCATATTTGAGTCATTTCTCTCAAACTCAAACATACTAAAACTTCTTCAGCAAATCCATCAGTATTTGGTTTTCTTTTATATGCTGATAAAATCATAGATAATCTTACAATTGACATCCTCCAAAAGATTCAAAGCTGATTCGAACCTTGGAGTTCAGGTTCCTGGCTTCTCTGTCTACTGGGGGTCAGGATACAGGAAGCACAAGGAGGAGGGGAGAAGATTGTGTGGGCAAAGGGGCAGGGAAGGGGCCACCACTCACCACCACTGCAGGACGAGGCGCTGAGTAAGGGACGGGGCTGCTCCCAGCAGAATCCACAAAGTAGCTCATTCTGCTCTCAGCACCTGTGTGAGAGAAGGCGTTGGCTGAGCCTCTGGATGCTCACAGGTTTGTGGATTAGAATACACAAGGAAGACACGAACCTTAGAACTAAAAGTCTCCTTAGGAGCCAACCAGTTCACTTCTTTGCATGGCAGGGAAAGCAATGGAAATTCAGAAAGATCAGTGACTAACCCCCAGCACCGGTAAGAGCAGACCTCAGACAGAACCAGTTCCCTGGTTGCAAGGTAACATGGATAACAGACCATGTCTACACACTGCAGACAGCAAGCAGTAAACCAGTGCACAAGAGGCACATTTTTGTAGGGTTTCTGAGCAGGAACCAGTTCTTGTGTGTCTCCCCCACCCACAACCAGGCCTGGCAGATAAGTAGGCATACAATACACAGTTGGGGTGTAAATTAATTGATAAAGGAATAAACATAGAAAGGATTGGAGAAAGGAAGGATGGAAAAAGCTCTCCTGAAGAGGTATGTCACCCAGTAACCCAAGAAACAGATAAACAGAGAGAAACCCTGCAAAAGGGATTGAGCATTATTGATCTTGAAAAAAGGAGAAGGGCTATTAAATAACTTGTTGAGAGCTATTTTCTACATTGGAAGTCTGAGTGTCTAGAATGCTTGAGCAATTTTCTGGCTGAAGGGATTTTCCAGTTAGCTACTGGTCATCATTACATATCGAACATCTCTGTTGACCTAAATACTTTCGAAAGTTCATTACACACTTTCATAAACTTAATACTATGCATTTAAAAAGTCGTTCTTGAATAATCTCGAAGATTAAATTCCTAGGCATACCAATCAGAGGCCAAATTCTTATTGTTAGGAAGTGACGCTTTAACTTCACTGCTTTCCAGTTTGTATTTGTCTGCCCTTTTCCTTAATTCTACATTTAAAGCAACTGATACATTTCAAGAAAAATCAAGTAATAAGAAATGTCTTATGTTCAATTTGCAGTTTGGTTCACCATCTTGATCCCTTTTTTCATATGAAATGTATTTAAATGTTTAAATGATATAGTTAAACAGGCTTGGCAATATAAAACTATACTGCCTAAGGGCTACAACAACAAAGCTACTAATATCATATGGTTAAGGGATGTAAGCTACAAACCTCCTGAAGTCATAACTTATCCTAGAACTATACTTTGTGTTTTTAACTAAAACTTTGCCTTTTTCTTATGTCTTTTCTTCCAGATGTAGAATGCAGTCAAAATAACATTAGTTTTAAAAAATTAACTAAGGGTCTGAATAGCTAGACTATGTTAATCAAGATTTTGTCCTTTAGTTTTTTAGGAAATTGATCTCCACTACAGCAAAACCACCCCAGGAAGAGCTCCTCATTGGTGAAGATGAATGGTAGGAAAAGCTCAAAGTACCCTAGGCCAGGGACATTGTTAACATCTGCGTCAGGGGTCACTACTCAGTGTTTGTTTCCAAGAACAGTGAGTACCTATGATGGGTCTGACTCTGTACCAGGCACTGAGCATGAAATAAGAGTAAGATGCATGTCACGTGGTTTAGATATGCCTGTCCTGACCATACACTGTGAGGATCATCTCACTGAGCTCCATGGCTCCTTTCCCACCAAAGTGTTCCTCGTTTTTACTCTTAGAATCAAGTTTTAAAGTCCTGATGAATCATCATCAAACCATATATCCCACTTCAAAGTTTTTGATCTACTTTGAGATCTTTGGTTGAGACATAAAAGTTAACAACATTGATTGTGTCATATGATAATGGCTTAACCACAATCAAATTCCCTAGGGAAATGTTGATCATCCCTCCAGGGTCCTGCAGGGCAACTAATACCTTCTAGAAATGAATACTTTTTGGAATTCCCCCCAGTGATGTGGGAATGCTGTTTCATGTAAACATTCAACCCTCTGATTTCCTCCAAAAAAAGCCCCAAGGATCTCCTGAGTCCTCACAGACCTCAGTTACAGTAGTCTCCCCTTACCCAAATAGGATTTGTTCCAAAACCCTCCAGTGGAGGCCTGAAACCTCAGATAGTACAGAACCCCATACATACTATGTGTTTTCCTATACATACACACCTATGATAAAGTTTAACTTATACATTAGACGCAGTAAGAGATTAACAACAATAACTAATACATGACTAGAACAATTATAACAATATACTGTGATAAAAGTTATTGAATGTGGTTTCTCTCTCTCTCTCTCTCTCAAAATATCTTACTGTACTGTACTCACCTATTTTCAGACCTTGGTTGACGGAGAGTAACTGAAACCTCGGAAGGCAAAACCACAGTTAAGGGAGTACGATTGTATTTATCCAACAATCATGTAATAGGCGTCCTTTGTTAGTGGCTTGTTTATTCATTTGGTAAATAATCACTATGCACCACTATGTGCCAGACACGGTCCTGGGCACTTGAAACACACCAGTAAACAAGGATTCCTGACCTCACGGCCCTTAGATTCTATCAGACTCAGGAAAAATCTGAGAAAGACAGGATCTCTATCTTCAGGCAGTGGAATCGACAGGCTCACACATAACTATAGCATAATGTGATAAGTAGTTGGCCAACAATATGGAAAAAGAAATAGGAAGCAGTCAGTTCTGCTGGGTGCAGGGAATAGGAAATTGTGAAAGATTGCATAGAGCAAGGTGTAACCACATGGCCCTATAAATCATCCCTAGAGTCCCACAAGTGGCAAAGGACCTTCACCTTTCAAATGCCTATTTTACTTACGTATTTCTAAGAGAAAGGACTTTTGGAATTGGCAGCCACATCCTGAAGCCCACCTCAAAGATACCAAGGGTTTCTGTCTGCTGGCCAGACAACACTCCCCCTCATAGCAACACTCCTGGAAAAGGGGTCAGTGGAAATATGTTTTCTCTTCTCATTGACAGAGTGAGAGAAGAAAGCTCTGGCCCAACATCTGGTGCACTCTGTGCTGGACTGTATTCTTGAAGCTATGACTGTATGAATGACACTTCCCTTGGGGAAAAGCCCTTTGCCCAGAGAGGAAACTGACAAGAGGGAGTTGCCAGGGCTCTCAAGGGCTCTCGTCTCAGGAAATAACTCTTGGACAGAAATGGATTGCTGCTTTATTATTTTTTTGGAGAAAGAAAAAAAGAACCCGCCCTTTTTCCACTTGTAGATTGTGACACAGAACAGCTGCTAGAGACGTAAACCTTCTCAGAAGAAGTAAATGAAGTGTTTAGGTAGTTTTTTTAGTAGCGTTTGTTTTTTCTTTTCTTTTTTGGCTTTTTGGCAAAAGAGAATTCCCTCCCACAAGACAACTGCTTGAACATCAGCTGCACCAACTTTTTTCTTAGCATTGCACACGTTTATTGCATAAATACAAGCAATTGTGGCATCTGAAGATTTACTCCCCAGCGAAGAAGCATCCATGAGACCTGTTTGGGTGCAAAAATGATTTGGACGCTGGGTAACAGAGGGTCTTGCAGAGCTGAGTTTATTTTTCTTGAAAAGGACCTGCGCCACCTGAGCCGCAGGATAAGTGGGTCAGAAAGGAGGCTGCCCTGCTCTGGACTGTGGCTTGCTGTGCCCCCCCATGCTCCCTCCCACCTCTCCAGCCCCCTCTCGCCGTGACCCCTGCACCCTCCACTGCAACATGGAACTCTGTTGTTTTCTTAGGCACGCGTTGCCAGGTCTCACTCCCCTGCCCTTCTCATGTTACCCCCTCTGCTAGGAATGCCCATCCACCCTCAAGATGAGTGAACCCTGCCTCCTCAGGGTTTTAGGCTCAGCTCAGAGGTTATTGCAGCCTGGAATCCTTCCTGAGCCACGCTTCACCCCAGCCAGGGTTAGCGGCTCCTTGTTTATGTTCCCAAAGTGTATTTCTATCACGGTGCTTATCACATTGTTTTATTACCATCTGCTTCTGTTTGTCTCTCCAGCTAAATTCTCATCTACTTGAAGGCAGGCACCATGCCTTTTTCATTTTTGTCTTCAGCACTTAAGACAGACCATGGGGCATAATGGAAACTCATTGTTTTTTTAAATCAGTGAATGAGTAAATGAATGAATTGGTCTCACAAGACTAAAAATGTAAGAGGTAGATCAGATGTGAATATATTTGTTCCTCAAAATAGAGAATCTGAATAGATTGCAGGTCTAGATAAAGAACCACTTGAAATAATCAGTTTGTTTCATGATCCATTTCTAAGGGAAAACCGTTTCCTTCTATTCACATAGCTATTTAATGCCCCCTCATCTAAGAAGGCTTTTCCCATCACCGCATATGAATAGCAGCGCCTTTCTCCGTACTCTGACACCTAGGTGTTTGTTCGTTGTCTTCTCCAAAGTCCACTCTGTTAGAATTTAAGCTCCCCAAGGGGGAGATTTAGTTCATTTATTCACTCCAGATCCCTGGATCCTAGGCCAGTATTGGAAAGTAGCTGGCACATAGATAACTGTTAAATACAATAGTGTAAGTTAGAAAACTTGTACACACTTTTTCAGTGTAAACCCCTCTTTTTACAAATGAGGAGAAAGACTAAGGCGATGCTGCTAATTGGCCAAGCTGAGACCAGACTCCTGGTCTTCAGCCTCCTCCTGTGCTTAGAGAAGATGCTTCTCTAGACCTTTGTTACCCAGCGTCCAAATCATTTTTGCACCCAAACAGGTCTCATGGATGCTGCTTAGCTGGGGAGTAAATCTTCAGATGCCACAGTTGCTTTGCATTTATGCAATAAACGTGTGCAATGCTAAGAAAAAAATTGGTGCAGCTGATGTTCAAGCAGTTGTCACGTGGGAGGGAATTCTCTTCTGCCAAAAAGCCAAAAAAAAAAAAAAGAGAGAGAGAGAGAAGATGCTTCTCTAAGCACCCTCATCACCCTGGATGGCGAGGACAGAAACAAGCATGAGATGGAGAAGACAAAAAAGTCAACACTTTGGCTTATGTGGGTGTCTCATGTCCAAAAAATCACTTTAAAACTATGGTTCTGCTTGATTCTAGAGAGTTCTATTCTTCATAGAGCGAGTGACCACTTCTCCAACTTCCCACCCTCCCCAAACTGGCAACCCGGCCAGGACCTGTAGGCTCTCACTTCCTTTCACCCAAAGCTTGCCAGGGCAGGGCAGGGCAGGTTGAGAGACACAGAATAAAGGAAAAATTAGGGAGGAGAGGGACTGTTCAGGCCAAGGCAGCAGAAGAACAAGAAATCCCAAAGAGACCAGGCTTGAATCAAGGCTGAATCCAGTTCACATCAACTCTGACCCTGCTTGGCTGTATTTCTAGATAACTTTGACATCAGTTAAGCCTTTTTCATTTGGGGTTATGTATTCCTAAAAGAAAAACTACGCTTTTAGGTAAATACCAAGTAAATTACACTTTAATTTTTTTCTTTTGAAAACAAAATTCTTTTGAAATCAGCAGTTTTTGCCAAACTAATACAATGTTACCGCAAAAATTAAAATACAAAAAAGTAACAGATGGATATTAGAATCACCTGAAACCTCACCATGTAGAGATAATTATACTAATAATTTGTTCAATATTCTTCTGGGTATTTTTTAATCTATCTAAACGAACATAGATGTCACACACACACACGTGATTACAATTTTACCTTCATGAGATTATTCTCCACATGTTCTTTTGTAACCTGCTTTGTTCACTGACATTTAACATAATGCTATGGACATTTTTCTCTGTTGATAAATGTGGCTGTCTATCCTAAAGATGATGACTGCCAAGTATTCTATTGTATGTATATATCATACTTTTAAAGAGCCTCTTATTATCGTATAATTAATTTGTCCCCAATTCTTTGTCATTATAAAAATTCCTAAAATATTTTACATTCCCACTAAATGCCGAAAAAGAGCATTTTGGGGACAAAGAAAATATGCATTCCATATTTGAATACATATTGACTAACTGCATTCTATAATAGACCAGCCAAAATTAGACTCCCACTGACAAAGGCATCATGTTTTAAATTTCAACTTGCCCTCTCGTCTTCATGTTAGCTTCATAGGCAATGAATTATGGTTAAAACATATCCTGGGTATGAAGATGGCACATGGGGAATTCAAAAGCACAATAAAGCTGTGGCAGAAAATGTAGATTTCTCCCCACCACCCCTCACCCCAGCCTTTCCTCTTTGAAAACAATGCAAAATTTGAATAGATTTCCAATGAGCATTTATCCTAATGTCAATAATTTAGGATTCCTATCAATTCAAACAAAAAGCATGTCCTTTTGGCTTGGAATACAGGAGACAAAGAATTTGGCTTCCAGGGCTGGGCTCGGTGGCTCACGCCTGTAATTCCAGCAATTTGAGAGGCCGAGGCAGGCGGACCACCCAAGGTCAGGAGTTCAAGAGCAGCCTGACAAACATAGTGAAATTCCATCTCTACTAAAAATACAAAATTAGCCAGGTGTGGTGGTACATGCCTGTAATCCCAGCTACTTGGGAGGCTGAGGCAGAAGAATCGCTTGAGCCTGGGAGGCAGAGGTTGCAGTGAGCCGAGATCTCGCCATTACACTCCCACCCGGCAACAAGAGCAAAACTCCATTGAAAAAAAAAAAAAAAAAAGAATTTGGTGTCCAAAACAACTAACCATGTAAAAAAAACTTGCTCCAAACAACAGCACTTTTGCCAAACTAAAGGCAACACCTGGGCTACCAAGGCAACATCTTTAATCTACAATGTATAGAGTTTTAATTTCTTTTTTCTGAATACTATAGAAATGTATTTTTGAAGACTCAGAGTATCTCCTCTTTCAGGAAGCTTTCCCCTCCCCCCTACCCTCTTTGGCAATTGCATGGACCTCCTTGATGCCCCTCCATGGGATTTACTGTAACGGTGTAACAAAGTTCATGACACTTCCTGTATCTATGCCTGTTTCTGCTCCTGAATGATGAGTAACTTGAGAGTAAGGATGGTGTCTTTTCAGATGACACATAGTAGCCATGCAACAAGTGTCTGTTTACTAAATGAGGGAAAGTACCTAAAGTACTTGAAACAGAGTTGGTGTGTACAATCCTTGTGCGTCCTGAGCTTATCCAAGAGAGTAAGTTATCGTTTGGACATTAAAAAAAAAAAAAAAAAAAAAAAAAATCCCTGTGATGAAGTGTGTCCTTGTGTGACCCTGAGGTTAGGCTTCTCAAGAGTTAACTACAAGCAAGATGGCACTTTTCTCTAAACTATAGGATGTACCAGATTGATGAGTTCATCTATACTCCTTCAGTGTGTTCTTTCTGATTCTCATGAGTAGCCCACGTGTATTTCCCAAATCATTTGAGTAGATGTCTTCCCTGACCTGTCACTGTAACAAAAGCTCCCAAATCCAATTCTCTAAGAACTCAGGTTTAAGATCCATCATATCTAGGAAAGCTGAACATTCCTTACTCCCCATGGAAACTTTGTGGTTACAACGCATAGAAAAGAAAAAGGATTAGAAGAACTGAAGATGGTTTTTCTGTCTCACTACTAAATCTACAAGAACCTCATTTGCTTGACTAAGTAATCCAACATTACAGTAGTAGTGAATATTCCTTCTTATTTTAAGTAGCCAGCACTGACAAATGAAGGCTGTGTTCCAAATTATGGGCTACTGTCTTCTGTGTCTTAAGCTAAGTGCATTTATTCTTTCACTAAGGTTACAGAGCAGCAACTCACAGTACAATTAACATCTCAGTCTTTGTTTCTTCACAACTTCACTATAATTATTCCGCCAACCCTTGCTTAAATGGAAATGAGTCATATCCATCTCCTATTTCTCTAAAAATAAACCCATCTCCTAATTAAGCATAACACTTTCAAGTCCTGTATGAATTGACATAGCTCAACGAATCCTTCTTAGAATATTAAAATGAACTCATGTCATTATAATTTTAAAGAGTATATTGTTTTACCCTTCCTTGAGGAGTAACTCGCTACTATCTCCTGAAAAAGAGAAAGACTAGAAGATGTTTTACTCTGGTATACCATAGCAGTTAAGAAATAAGGAATGCTTCATAGATTATTTTATGCATTTCCTTCTCAGTGGAAACAAATCCCTCACCATACAGTACTGAAATGGCATTGTCAACAATGGACAGAAAGGTCTTGCTTCTCCTAGGCATCAAGGAAATACATTAAAACCTGCCGACTCTTAGGTCTAGGAATCTAACTAAGAAAATGCCAATTCTAGTCTCTGAAACCTTTGAAATACTAACAATCTACACTTTCTAGTCAATCATACTTCTGTCAGAACATCTTCCTGAAGATCAAAGGTAATATTCAATACACTGCCTTACCATAAAAGTGGCCATAGCCTGTGTACAAATGCTATGCCTCAAATCCTGTATTTTACCATGAAATTCAACAAATGATCACACTTGGCCTTAGGATGTACTCCTGAGCCAGAAGCATGGTAAGTACTCATAAATAACTGAATAAATAAATAAGGATTGTGTTTTACTTCGAACCTCAAAACAAAAAAAGAATAAGCTGGAGGAATAATGTAGAGTACTCTTTGCTTTCCAAGAATGGTCGTAATAGAGGCCATGGAATAAGAGATTGTTTTCCAAGTCAAATGCAAAGAAGGGCCACGAGATTAAAAACGTCAACTCTAATCCAATGAATGCTGCCAATGAAACCTCTGAAGAGACTAGCATTTTAAAGAATTACATTACAGACTCTTAGCCTGTGAAGCATGTCAGACATAATCTAGAGTTTAGACTTGGCTCTGGCTCTAAAGGAATTCTCAACAAAACTGAGAGGCACCATAAATAGAAAGAGATATTACAAGAACAATGAGAGGGGACTGGATAGTTGCAATAATGCCCCTTTAAAATTGAACTAAAAGATACCAGCTGCCTTAGATCTCTCAAATCCAGCAAGCAACTTCTTGGACTATGTCTGATTGTGATTTTCATGGTGGAGTTTCATTTGTTTTATTACCCGAAATGTAAGGTTCCAATTTCTCAGTATAATGCTAAACAGCTTGCTAGCATTCTTATATAAAGAGGGATTGTGCAATTCCAGTGAATTTTGGAGTTGGAAAAAATTCATCAATCTTCTCATTTATTTCAATGAACTGAGTCCTAAGAGGTTACGTGTTTAGCAGTGATCAAGAACCCTGGAGTTACATACTATGGGTGAACGTAGAACTGCTTGCTGCGTGTATGGCCATGAGCAAATTTCTTAACCTCACAATCAGTTTCCTCAACTATAAAATGCAGGTAATAATATCAACACTTTCAGGATTATAGAGGAGGATCATACAAAACACAAATACTTAGCAGCATGCTGTATAAATAGTAAAAATGGTCAATAAATAATAATTGTTATTATTGCTATTTTATCAGTAGTGCCTGGCAATTAGTAAGCATTAGTAAATGCTTACTAATGTCACTAATTAGTAACACTACTGTTTTATATTAATTACTTTTTTCTACTGCCCAACATGGCAGAGGTTATTTAAGTGTTAGAGCTAGAACATGGATAGCTAAATCTCTCATCTCTTTTTCTAAAGACTTGTATTCAAGTCATGAAAACAGGATTCCCTTTCATAATCATAGGTTGAGTAGCATTAGTCAAGAATTTTGCAGGAGAAAAGAGCCACAATTTCTGTTTAATGGTAGTCTGTTTGTACCATTGTTATGCATAAAACCAAGAAGTAAGCATTTTTCTTACAGTGGAGAACTAACTCATTGAAAGATTGCATAGCACAAATGGTGAAATATTGCAGCTTCCTGAGTTAAACCAACATCTTTTTGATATAATGTCGATCTTTTGTGGACTTACGCTTTAGCAACTAGATACAAATATAAGGAAGTAGTAAAGCACTGCGGAAAATAGTGCAAGATTTCTTGTTTGTTCATTTTTTTCATTTTTGCTTTTTCATTTGTTTTTGCTTTTTCTTTAGAGCAGTGCCTCCCAAACTGTAATGTGCATATGAATCACCCGGGGATCCTGTTACAATGCAGTCTGCTGCAGTAGGTCTGAGGTCTGGCCAGACATTCCACATTTCTAACAAGCTCCCACGTGGTGCTGATGCCGCAGGTCAGAGGACTTCACTGTGAGTAGCAAGGCAGCGCTGGACTAACTTGGTTGAACTCATGAGTGATTATAACAAGGTAGGTGTTTAGGAGGCAGAGCCCAAGGAGGAACAGGCAAGACTTCTGTGCCAAGGCTGAGCAGATGCTGGTAACCTCAGGTGCAATACAAACCCGGCTGGGGAGAATTGAGTAGCTCAGGACCTGTCAGTGTCTCAGGAGCCATATGCCAGATGCACATCTGCCAAGACTTCTTGCTTTTCCTAAGAAGACATGGTTCTAGTTATTTGGTCCCTTTTATCAAGAAACTGGCAATGGTGCTTTCTCCCATCAACAGAAGTCATTTGGATTAAGGATTACAAGAGGTGCCAAGAGATAATTTAAAAGAGTTATTTGCATTATATGTTTTTTTTTACAATTGTAAAAGACTCACATGTTTTGGAAACTTTTTGTACATTGTTTTGCAAACTTTTATGCATCTGGAATTATTTCAAAGTGAAAAGTTTTTTTTAAGTCTCTAAAAAGACTAAATCTCTTTTAAATCTCTAAAAAGACCAAAATTCTGGAGTTTTCTACCTTTCCACATCTCTTGAAAATTTATATATTTTTTCCTCCCCATTGAGAATATTTTCCTGACATTTGCACTAAATGTTTGTTGCTTACTCTCATGCTAGTAAGTACTACCCAGCCTGTTCCCTCTAAGTTCTGAAGGCAGCTCCAACACTTGATTACTGGAATATGAAATCTATCCTCTTTTGAAAAAAAGGCAGATCAGAAACATCCTTCCCTCACTGCTCTAGATACCATTTTTTTCTACCTGAACTCCCAAAGCATGTATAGGTTATACTACACTACTTAATAATTATATTGTCTTTCATTTTTATCCTCTTTTCTAGTAAAGATTATTGTGTTAATTTTAAAAATGGAGTTTACATATTGTTTCTTCTGTGTTTGGTATGGTCTCCAGCACAAGGCTGGGCATGGAGTAGAAATAAAACTGATATTTGTCAGGGAAGGGACTGACTTACTTACCCAGGAAACTAGGCCTGGGTAGTCTTTCTTCAAAGTCAGTATCTTCATAACAATGAATAAGTAATCCACAGATACCACTTCAGAAAACAGGCTTAATCCAGTGTTCTCCTAGATAAGCAAATCAGTCTAAGCAGAAAAATCTATCCTAAATTTGTGTAAATGTCTTAGAGTTACTTAGATTCCTATGACATGCAGTTCCAATCACAAGCTCTGGGTTCACATTCCATTGGCTCTAATCAGGGTCCACCATGAGTTAACACGGTCATATGACTGAGCCTCAGAGTCCCCACCTGGTAAATGGGGATGACGAGAGTGGAGTGCCCACCTCAAAACTTCATTGTAGATTAAATGAAGCAGTCCCTGCAAAGCACCTAGCAAGGATGTTGGAACATACCAAGTGCTCAGTAAACGTTAGGGCTGAGTATTCCTCCTTAGGTGAAATGAAGAAGAATGGATATGATAACTAGAAAATCATCTACATTAAAAGGTGGAGTTCAATAAGCTATACTTTCAGTACAGCAGGGATAAAGGAGATGAGGAAGCAAAAAGTAAGTTATGTCTTCACATCTAATTTTTCCCAGGATTGAAGAAACTTAAAAGATTTGCCTGAAATGCCACTAAATTGCTGCATACCACATTAATTTTGCTCAAATGCTAAATACTTTATCATTTCCATAATGAAGAAAGAAAGGGAGGAAAGGGAAGGAGGAGGGAAGAGGGAGAGAGAGAAGAAGAAGAAAGGAGGGGAGAGAAAAGAAAGAAAGAGGAAGAAAAAAGAGAAAAGAAAGAAAGAAAGAAAGAAAGAAAGAAAGAAAGAAAGAAAGAAAGAAAGGAAGGAAGGAAGGAAAGAAAGGAAAGAAAGAAGAAAGAAAGAAAAGAAAGAAAGAAAGAAAGAAAGAAAGAAAGAAAGAAAGAAAGAGAAAGAAAGAAAGGAAAGAAAGAAAGGAAGGAAGGAAGGAAAGAAAGAAGAAAGAAAGAAAAGAAAGAAAGAAAGAAAGAAAGAAAGAAAGAGAAAGAAAGAAAGAAAGAAGGAAGGAAAGAAAGAAAGAAAGAAAGAAAGAAAGAAAGAAAGAAAGAAAGAAAGAAAAAGAAAGGAGGGAGGGAGGAAAGAAAGAAGGAAAAGAAAAGAAAGATAGAAAGGGAGGGAAGGGAGGGAAGAAGGAAGGAAGGAAGCAAGGAAGGAAGGAAGCAAGGAAGGAAGGAAGGGTCCCAGCTCGTGGGACGTAATCATTCCCTTCTGCTGTTTGATGTGAACAGTTGGGAATTTTGAACTGGTAATTAGAAAATGATAGTCACTATGGAAAACAGATCTATTCACCAATAATTAAAATCACAAGGTACATCAGAACCTCAGTTATCAGTAAGAAATTCACCAGTGCAATCAAAGAGAGAAATCTGTTGATTATTTGTTTGCAGTGTTTTGCCTTCTGCCTCACCCTCCCCTAGGTGAGAGGACCTGCACCCACACACCCAGTTTGTTGAAGTATTACTTCAGACAGTCCTTGACCTCACTGGCACTCTGATTTTTCATAGCCCTATGCTGTTTACTTCTATTCTCTCATATTTGTAAACCAGGCGGGGCGCAAATGATTGCTCACCTTTTAGAGATGAAGGGAAGAAGGCACAGACACGTTCAATCCCTGTTCTCTGTTACAAAGCTAATCACTGACATAATCCAAGTGCACAGCCACTTTCCCTTCTCCGACCCAGCGCTGGTTCAAGTTCTGACCCCACTTGCCTTTGAACTCCATTATCGTCCGGGACCGGCCACTGGCCCAAGTCGGTGCTCTGGCCACAGACTGCCAGATGCCAAAGGATCCCACCCCTCTACCAGCTTCCCCCAGGCTCTGCCTCAGGACATCCTTTCACAGCCAGCAACTAGCACCTCCGTGTAAGGAGCCTGCCGGGCAAAGATGCCCCCTCCATAATTAGGCTCTCGGCTTGGCTTCCCACATCCTCAGCAGCGGAACCAGGACGGAAGAGGCTGCATGGATGCCTGAACTGTTTGTTATTTCACTATTGAGTTGGCAAGGATGGAAGTAGTTGATTTACAATTAGAAGCAGCATGCTTCTTCAAATATTAATATTAATAACTGCACTACTGAACACATGAAAAGACCTTTTCATCTTCAAAGCACTTTGCAGACATTAACCCATTAGCTCTCCCTTCCCTCCATTCAGGAACAACAGGTGAGCAAGACTCTCAACAGCAGCAGTGGCCACCCTGCAGCCCTTGTGCACAGCCCACGGCCCCTGAAGAAAAAGCGTTTTCTCTTTGGATAAAAATAGGCCACCAAACCCAAAACCACAACTGATGAAAGAGTTATAGTATCAGTAATTTTACAAATCAAATGGAGCTGATGGAGTTATCATTTTAGAATTGGTATTTCCTGCTGTTTAACAAATACTTTTTTCTCAGTTGCATGGCAGTGGTCTAAAGTAAGAAGGAAAATGGACTTGAGATTAAAAACAAAAACTTACCCAAAAGGTGATAAAGAAATCCTGCAATAGAATGCATTGATTTCAGTGACCCAGCACCCTTTTAAGTTTGCCTGAAGAAAATACTACTTTAAAAGTTGGTAACAGAGACCTTTAACGGTGGGTGAGGAGTCACATACAAAGTGTCACGGCCAGATAAAATCACCGGATGCAGAGGAATTGCCATCGACATCTCCTGCCACTGAGTCCAGCTCTACCGTGGGGACAAGAAATACCTCCCTAACTCTGAGACAACCGCGGCCCACACCCACACCATGTCTCAACAACAGACTTAGGAACTTGTAGATCTTTGGACAACTGCAGGTCAGTCCCAAGACAGAGAAAAACACCAAACAGGCTAGTTTGGCTAGCAAGATTCAAACCTGTAGCAATTTCCTCTCTATTAAAAGCAATTCATTAAACTACTAGCAGGAGAAAAAAGTAAAACAATAGATTTACTAGGAGTGAAAGAGAATAAAAAGAAATTTATATATTTAACTACAGCTTTATTTCTTTGGAAGTGCTCCAATTTGCAAAAAAAAAAAAAAAAAATCAGGGTTTCTGACAAGTAATCTACGGGTATCTAAAACGTGCATGGTTTTACTTTTGTGAAGCAGGGAACATTTTTAAAAACATAGTCTTGCTTTCAGACTATTCTGACGAGGTTAGGAAGTATTTTTGAAAATTGTTAAACAATTAAATGGGAATATAGAAAGACGTGAAAAGAGAAAGAGAAAACTCACTTGTATCCTGAATCTCCCTACCGACTTACTCTTTAATTCCACAGAAATTTTTTTAAAGCAGGAAAAGGAAAATGGACTGAAAAGTTTTAGGCAGAAACTGACACACACCTCACTTACTACTTTGCCGGAGAGCAGATCCTGAGTGAGCTTCCCTCAAAGTCTGTGGTCTCTTTCCAACTACCTGCGGGAATCCTCTGCTCCGTAGCTTAAGAGGATGCAAAGACCATAATGTTTCTAATAGAGCTGCCTCCTTAAATTGGGGGGTGTGGTCAAGCCAGGGAAAGCTGGAAAAAAGGCAGTCTTCCTCTTGCCCCTGGCACCAGGACAGCAGCCACTGGCACAGGCACAGCAGTCTAGGTGGAAAGCACTGTTGATTGACAGTGGTGGCACCAAATCACACATTATTTCGTATTCTTCAAATTGTGCTTCAGCTGAATATAACTCAGCCTTGGAGAGTAACAGGGAGGGAGATGAGCAAAAGGGAACTAGTTCAGTGGGATAACACTGTATCTCACCTCATCATTTGCTGATGCATTTACTCTCTGCTGAATATGTAAATATTCATGCTTCATGTTCCTTGACTTTCTCAATGGAGCCCCCATTAACCTAGGCAAGGTCTCAGGTGAGGGAAAGGGATTGCTTTAGAAACACAGGACGTCCACCACCCAGTCACCTGCTCAGGCTTCCCGTTTCTCTCTAATAACTTGATATGAAATGTGATATTTTCTAAAGAAAAGAAAATAATTTTGTGGAAGAGAGCTGACTGGATATGGACTTGGGATTTCTGAAAAGTAAAGCTAAAAATCCCCTTTTCATATAAGTCTGGTTTTAGGCAATCTCTAAAATAAGGATACTTTTAGCAGCCCTGACTCATGGTCCGTGGTGCAGGAATAAAAGGGCAGAAGTGTTCATACATTTCTCATTTAGGGAAAATGTAAACAATATGAAAATCTTACATCTGTCCTAAGTGAAAATACACAGCATCTTTTATTCACATATTCAGGACTATGGTAAGAATGTTACAGCATAATCTCATTTCTATGAATGGAGTTATTACAATTTTTTTTGAGAAGTCAGTATTTGGCTGCTTAATCTAAGACTTTTATCCTAAAAGATTCCATCTTCTTTGAGTAGGAGGTGGGAGTTAAGATTTGTCATAGTTGGCTTCTTTCTCTTTTTAATAAAGATACAAACTTAGAAAATCCTTGAAAATCTAATAACTGTCATTTGGAGCCATATCATCATCAGCCTTCATTGTATAAAGCTGGCAATGCAGTTAAGATGACATTGTAAGTAAAGCAAGATTTTACTGCTCATCTTCTGCCTTTGCACATTAACTTGGAAGTAAGGAAGAGGTAATGCTATTGGTTCACTTTAGTTTAATAAATTGCCTGTGCCAGGCACTGTTCTAGGCACTAGAAAGATAGCAAGTTTGCATTGTAGTGAGGAGACAGACACATAAATCAACGATCTCCCCCCAAAAATGTAATACATGCTACAAAAGAAGTCTATGAAGAGAGCTAGGGAAGCTTCAGCCTGCCCCTGTAACCCAGTCAATTTCAGCACACTGCCCCATTTAAAGAGCCCACGGTCAATTATACCAATCATAACTAATTACAACTGTATTCACTATGTTTGCAGGATAATTGAAAAAAACAAAGTTGAGAAGACTTGGATTCTTGCTCTATAAGGGTGTACAGTGTGGCTGTCAAGGGGTTCTGAAGTCTGGAGTTGTCTATGCTGAGTTTATATAGAAAGCAACTCTTCAGGACCTTAGCTCCCTCCTCTGACACGGCCTTTTACGGTGTGGAAGAACATAAACTAGAAATCTTAATAGTGCAAAATAAGCCACCACTGTCATAAATTGCCTAGAGAATGCCCAGGAAAACAGTAAGTTTTGTTTTAAACAGTATTTTCAAAAATATAACATTAGATGGGTATCCACATATAAGAGCATGACATTGGACTCCTACCTTACACCATACTCAAAAATTAACAAAAATCTATCAAAGATCTGAACATAAGAATGAAAATTATAAAATTCTTAGAAAAAATCAAAGAAGAAAACTTCATGACATTGGATTTAGCAATGATTTCCTGGGATATGACAGCTTATCCCAGGAAAAAAAACTTGGGCAACAAAAGAAAAAATAGATAAGTTGGACTTTATCAAAGTTTTAAAATGTTGTACATCAAGGGGCACTATTAAGACAGTGAAAGGGAAGTCCACAGAATGAGAAAAAAAATTGCAAATCACATATCTAATAAGGACTTAATACTCAAAATATATAAAGAACTCCTACAACTCAACAGCAACAACAACAAATAACCTGATCTAAAAGTGGACAAAAGACATGAGTAGACATTTCTCCAAAGATGCAGAAATGGCCAATAAACACACGAAAAGAAGGGCAACATCATTAATCATCAGAGAAATGCACATTCGAACCACAGTGAGGTACCTCTTCACATCTATTGGGGTTCCTATTATCAAAGAAACAGAAAATAATGGCAAGAATAAGGAGAAATAGGAATAAGGGTGTGTTGCTGCTGAGAATGTCAAATGGTGCAGCCACTGTAGAAAACAGTGTGGTAGTTCCTCAAAACAATTAAATATAAAATTACCATTTGATCTAGCAATTCAACCTCTACATATATAGCCACAAGCATTGAAAGAAGAACTCAAAAAGATGTCTGCACAATATTGTTCATAACAGCGTTATTCACAATAGCCAAAAGGTAGAAACACCCCAACTATTTATCCACAGATAAATGGATAAGCAAAATGTGGTATGTACAGAAAATGGAACATTATTCAGCCTTGAAAAAGAATGAAATTCCAATACATGCTACAGTATGATGAACCTTGAGGACATTATGCTAAATGAAATAAACCAAATACAGAAAAGACAAATATTGTGTAATTCTACCTGTATGAAGTACCTAGAATAGTAAAATTTATAGAGACAGAAAAAGGGATAGAAGTTAACACAGGTTGGAGAAAGGAGAATGGGGAATTCGTGTTTAATGGGGACAGAGCTTCGGTTGGGGATGATAAAAAAGGAATGGAGATGGATGTGGGTGATGGTTGCACAACATGTGACTGTACTTAATGCCCCTGAATTGTACACTTAAAAATTGTTCAGATGGTAAATTTTACGTTACATGTATTCTACCACAATAAAAGAATATGTTGTCCCGAGGGAAAAAAAAAATATATATATAGCATTAGAAGTCAGTAGGCTTCCGCAGAAGGAATGCTTTCTGATCCACATGGATAATATAGGACAAAAGAAAATGATGCTCTAGAAGAAGAAGGTATGAAATCCCTGGAGGATCCCTCCACTGCACGGTGGTGGCTCCCCAGCCCCTCCCTTATGCCGGCTCTTGAAGAGGGTGTAGTAATACCAGCCCAACTTCACAGGGTTGCTGAAATCACCATGCGATTAGATGACTGTGTAAACAGTAGAAGCAATGCTTTTCTTTCCCATGTCCATAGATAGCTCTATGAGGAAAGACCTCAATTGATAGGGCAATATGACCATTATGATTCTCAAGGAAAAAATTAAAACTCAGTGATCCAGGGACATGGGTACCTTTTGATCCCATGTAAAAGGGATATGCAAAATGAGTTGTTTGCTTCTTTGAAGGAGTATCTCTGTAGCCTCACCTAAACAATCGTAGTCTCAATATAGTTTGGATACAAGTGAGACAGAGCATGAAGGAATTTCTAGAATAGCTTTTCTTACTGTAAGGAAACCTTTTTCCTTTTCTCAGTATAACAAGTTACCTTGTAAGTTAGTATGTCTTAAGAGGAAAAATGGAAGTAAATTCCCAGAATCTTAGCTCTGCAAAGGTCTTCAACGCTCCCACCAGCAACCTTCCCTCACTGCCACCCCAACTCCCTAAAGTGCAGAAGTCCCCTTCAAAGCAACTTATAATGATTCTGTAAAACCACCCGCTGCAGGAAAAGTGTGAAGTTTGAAATTAAAAATGGCATTAAATTTAAGGAAAAGCAAAGCAAAACATTACACACGTATTGCATTTTCCATATTAACTTTCCTTCCATCTCAGAAAAAAGCCTCGTGATAATTCAGAAGACTTCATATGTGCAGAGAACCAGTATCTAAACAAACTACCAAAACCAAGTAGAGTGAAACCCAGATACTATTACAAGCGTGGTTATCACCAAATATTGAAAAGAAAAAGAAAATATGCTGAAAATAAAGCAAAGAGCAGAGAACCATTGTGCATTGCCACTCCAGCTCTGGAACTTCTTAGCCTGTACTTTGCAATGACTCTCTCTCCTTCCCATGATCAAAAGCAAAGCCTTTGTCTTGAGCCACAGCTGAGACTGCAATGGCACACATACGTGTGCACACATCTGGCACACAGGTGCTCATCCTTCTGTGTGTGCCAGAGAGCCTATGGAGACCCGGATTTCTTGGCGTAGTCTTCCCACAACCCCTGATGTGCTGCTCCATTAGTCCTTGCACCAACTTTCTGGTTTTTTCTTCCTCTCTAGAATGTAGAATGAGCTGGGCACAGGCCCCCAGGTAGACTCCCTGCAAAGTAGCTTAGCTAATGTCGGTCAAAAATTCTTCTCCATCCTGGTTCCACTGGGCCTGCTAAACATCCTGTGGACTCCACAAACTCAGAGAGTTTCAGCAGAACGGACCCTTCTGGGATGTATGATAGCCCACTGAAAACCCCATATCTTGCCACCCCCTCCTTCCACCCCCATTCCTTTCTATGTACTTTTTGTCACTCTGTCTCCCTGGTCCCTTCTCCCTCAAAATACTTCTCACTTTTTCTCTCTGTCAGTCTAACTCCTACAAAGTTATTTTTCAATCTCAATTTAATTACAGGATGAATATGCGGTTGTAGCATATTCAAGTCATACAGAAGGGTATGAATTCAAAAATGAGAATCACCACTTCGGGTCCCCTTCCACCCAGTCTCACACCAAAAAGCTAACTACTATTTAGGGTTTGATATCCAGCCCTCCAGTCTTTCCTCTATTCTTATACCCATACTGGGCCTTTTTAATGGGATTGTGTTCGATGTATTGTTCTGGGACCTTCTACCATGCATCCGGCAGTATGTTCAGCAGCTATGTCTTTCCAGATTGGCCCCTTCGGAGCTGCCTCAATCATCTCAGCCAGCCCCCGTAATCCCCTGTGACATCCCTTAAGCTCCAGCTCCAGTCCTTTCTTTCTCTCCCTGTGCTTTTCCACGCAGCTATTGTCTTGCTCCTGCGTTGTCACAATGAGCTATTTAAGTTCCCGTATCTCCTGTCCACGTCTTTCCTGCCTTATCTTCCCCACTAGAATGTGATTCTGGGGGTGCAGGGTCTGTGCCCTTGACATTTCCTTATCACCAGTAGTCATATAAACTGCCTCCCCAGCACACTCCCTTGAACATACTATGGACTGGATAAATATAAAAAGTTAGAGCTTGACAGCTCAA
Source organism: Homo sapiens (assembly GCF_000001405.40). Lineage (NCBI taxonomy): Eukaryota > Metazoa > Chordata > Mammalia > Primates > Hominidae > Homo > Homo sapiens. The sequence goes on from NC_000011.10 coordinate 128,592,849, forward strand.
AATACATTGTGTACAGCATAATGCCATTTTTACAATCTAAAACCATAAATCGACTAAGTATTGAGAGGTTATTTCTGGTGGTATGGAAGATTTTTTGTTGTATTTTTGTTATGTTTGTGTTTTCTGATTTTTATACAATGTTGTATTGCACCTGTAACAAGAATAAAAAACCAAATTTTACAGTTAAGTACATGACTTTATCGGTCCAATGAAGACGACAGGCTATCATAGTGTGATAGCACAGCCTCTGAGATCAAACTTCCCAATTTAAATCCCAGCCTTTGTTCTTTCTCAGTTACCATGGACATTTTAAGATTTCCGATTTTTGGTTTCCTCATATATAAAATGAAGATAATGGCACTGTACACCTCAGGGATTACTGTGAGGATTAAAGAGGTAGTGAGACCTAAGTATTTAATTTAGTGATTAGAACAGACTTTATACTCAATAACTATTGACTGCTATTATCAATGGCATGGCCGGGGTGGACCCAAGGCTCCCATTTCCCAATTCAGAGTCATTCTCACCACAATCCATAAATCTTCACAGGAGAAAACCCCAGGGGCTGATTGTCCCTTCTACTTGGAATGCTGGTTTGCTAATCCGGAGAGAAAAGACTGCTGCAGTCCCCAGTAATGTAATTAGCACACACTTGCTGGAGAAGGGTGTCCTGCTGAGTCTGTGGAAGGACAGACCACTGCAGCTATGTCTCAGTGACTCACACCAAGTCATGCCGACTGCATTAATTTTTCCTTATGCAGCAGTCCACTGATTACAGATGGAACCCAGTCTTCGAGTCAAGCCCTCCTCCCCAGCACAACTGCAATAGAGCCAACCTTTTGAGTTTCCCCAAGCATGTTTTCTAGTCCTAATTTTAGAAGGCGGCCCACTTTCATTGGAGGGACGCTAAAACCATTACTATATTTCCTGACCTATACCAGATAAACTGGTCTTAAACTTCCCCTCCTACATGTGTGGAAGGCTAGAAGGGCTTCTGGGAGGTGTCTGGGCTCCGCTTTCTCCAAGGTGCACAGGAAGCCACCACCCTAGTTCCAGTTTCACAGTATCTGTGCCTTGGACTTTTCCATGCTTGCCCTGCACCTGGACTAACTAACTCAGTAGCTTCTGCTCAGATAAGATACGTTTTCCAGGGCAGAACATCATGACCAAGAATTCTAGAAGCCATAGTTTGTGAGCTGGGAATAATCGTTAGGGATTCTGCAACATCATCACCTTTCAGATAAGCAAAGAGAATCAGGGAGATTAATCTCTTTTCCCTGAAGGGAAAGTGGATAAATCAATTTGCCAAATGTCATCAACACTAAGTGGTTAGCCTGTTGGTGGGACTGCATATTGAGCACCTTCCGTGAGTCTATTGGTCTATGTTTGGGACCAGGGTAACCATACTAAAGAAGCAACATTCAGATTAATTGACCTGTCAAAGGAATAATCCTCCCATTTTCACACTAAATGTCTGAGGCTCCAGGGGATAGCTCAGTCCCCGGTAGACCAGGAAGAGGAAAGAACAATACAATGTACCACAAAAAATCCTCATGGATTTTGCTGTTTCAAAACATGCCTAGGGCCAGAAGTCCAGTAACTACAGTCAGCTGCATCCATGAATGTGGTGAGGGATTTATAGAAAGCCACATTCATCAGTTGTTAATGTACTCATTATATTGGCCTGATGCTGATGAATGACTGGAAATAGAATGGTGTGTTTTTGAGCCTTTTTAGGACACCACTTCAACCAAATGCCAGGTTTGCTGCTGACATCTTTATCCTGGATACTTCCCTTACTCCCTCAACATAGCCAAGACTATCTGTGTACTCAGAGGCTCAGGGAGACAAACTAAGAAGATCCAGATGTATCAATCATACATCTGGTTTTGACCTGTATTCTACCTCTACAAGGAGGTTTTCACTGACTATCCCTATCTCCCTCTTCTCACTAGATTCTGTCTTTCTACCATATGTTTCAGTAGTGTACTACTGTCCCTTTTGTAGCAAGAATTACATTGTAATTATTTGTGCATTGTCCTTTCTCTTTATTTATTGTAAAACCATGGGGGTAAGGAATGGATCAGCTTTGTTTGCCATTGTTCCTGCAACACTTACCACAGTGCATGAAACATAAAGTAAAGGCTAAATAAATATTTGATGGATAGATATATGACTAGAATGATGGATGGATGGATGAGTGGATGAATAGATGAATGGATAAATAGATGGAATGATGAGTGAATGGGTAAAAATGGATGGATGAAGAGATGGATGGATGGATGGATGGATGGATGGATGGAGAGATGGAAAATAGATATTTGAATGTTGGATATATGTGATCTAATTAATCTAACAATTTCTTAACTTTTGGTTCTTCAAGCACTCATCCTTTCCCCATTGTTCCTGCTGGTGTTCCACAACATAATACCAAAATGCTGGCACCTAACTCTGTCTCTTTAGTACACATCACACAACTATTTTAGCGTGAACTTTTTTCCAGTCAATACAAAAATAAATCTGTCAGGGGAATAATTTATCTTTTACGTAGCACAAAGTGAAGTGAAGAGCTGACAATTAACCAGAAAATTCAGGCTGCATAAACAGACAGAATGAGTCACTACTTCACACCAGATTTCTTTTTGTCTGTTATCTGGGTAATTCAGTCTACATCTGGTGTCTTTTTCCTTGACTATTTGAGTAGTTGTCTCAATACATCCCTCATTTTATTTTTCCTCGAGGAGGAATAAAATAGAAAAAAATTAACTTGTGATTTCTGGACTGAACCTAGACTTCAGGGTTTTATTTCCCACCTAGTTTATTTTCCAAGAGTTTCAAGCCTGAAAAACACCTGAAATATGTTACTCATTCTTATAAGTGGCTGTCGGTTATGGGAAACTTTTCACATTGTACAGGTATGTAGAGATGGGATGCCAGTCCTGATTTGGAACAAGCGTAGAGTATGGCAAGAAACACTTTGGTTTCCAGTATTTTTAACTGGAAATGTCAAAAAAAAAATGCGCACATTTTTTTTAAACCAGCTGAGAAAATCACATAAACTTGAACTCAACCTTTGCACCAACCAGAAAGCATCCGGAATAGCCAGAGATGCTGACCTTGTTCCCAAGGAGCAGCTTGTGCCTGGAGAGAATCTGGCTCATTATCTAATGGAATTAAACTGCCAATTAAGACTGTTTTTTGCAACTTGCATCACAGCTCATCCCTGGCCAAAGCACAACATGATACAGTCCAGTACTTCTAATCATATTTGGTGACATTTCAAAAAATAGTTTTTAGAAATTCTGGGTGTTTGGATAATATATACTTTTAAAGAGGGCCACTGGGGGCTGTGGTTCACGCCTGTAATCCCAGCACTTTGGGAGGCCGAGGCAGGGGGATTGCTTGAGCCCAGGAATTTGAGACCAGCCTGGGCAACATGGTGAGACTCTGTCTACAAAAAATGCAAAAATTACCCAGGCACGGTGCCTCTCAACTGTAGTTCCAGCTACTCAGAAGGCTGAGGTGGGAGGATCCCTTGAGTCCAGGAGGTTGAGGCTTCAGTGAGCTGTGATGGCACCAGGGCAATGGAGTGAGACCCTGTCTAAAACAGAGAGAGAGAGAGAGAGAGAAAGAGAGCCAAAGGAACAGAAACAGAAAGAATAAAAGTGAAAAAGGTATTGTTGCTCCTTGCTTAGAGTAGAGCTAAATCTTCCAATGTGTAAGAGGTTCAGAAGGCTGATATTTGTCTAGATTGTGAAGAAAGTCAGCCCTAAAGGTGATCAAAATTCAAAGAAGCGTAGGATGAATAATTTATATTGAAATTACACACTTCCTTTAAAATCACTTTCCAAGACTGAAATTTAAGGACTTCAATCTTGAATCCAAAAGCAACTCTGCCTTCTATCTCTTTATCCAAATAGTCATTATTCTTCTTTAACTTAAAACTAATACACTTCAATTGTTTAAGATTTGGGAAATATGAAAAAGTCAAAACAAGAAGATTAAATTCACCCATAATTCCCCGCCCAGAGGTAGCCAATGATAACATTTTAATGGATAGTTTCTTTGCAGTCTTTTCTGTGCAGATAGGTATTTTTTACATTATACAAAATAAAATAGGTTATATCATACATGATATTTTAACCTATTTTTTTCTTATAAGGCCATTAAATGGGTCTTCTGCAGTGTATTTTTATATAGCTGCCTGGTATTCTCACATGTATTCCTACAATTCAGAAATTTAGCACAGGACGGAGGCTTCATTTCATATTAACTTTTCTAGTAACGAGAAGAATCATCAGCCCCAGATTTAATTTCTAGTTTTACTAACTAGTTGTGTGTTTGGGGACAAGGTTTCCTCATCTGAGAAGTAAAGGATTGCATGGTTAATTTCTTGAATGTCCAGGAGGAGTATCTGACACATAAATCATATAATGCACAGTTGCCTACCTGCTCAACTTTGCCTCCATGTCTGCTCCATATGAGAGGGATTTCCTCTTCCCCTTCATCCTTTGATTTGTTTTCTCTTTAATTTGTTCTACTTTCTTTCCCCTGAAACAATGAAATGTGATGCCTTTTATCTTTCATCAGAAGATGGGTGATTGGCTTCTTCTTCTACTGCTTCTGCAAACTCCGCCCCCATCTCCTACTGAAAGCGAGGAGCCTGTTTTGAGCCCCAGGGATAAGCAGGTACTTTTACATGTGCTCCTGCACCAGACTCATCTGACCTGTATGCTGCTGGTGTAGAAAATTGACTTTTGGAGGTTTAAGCAGGTCTCTACCTTCTTGAGGGCTCCAGCCAGAGGCAGACTAGGAGGAAATATAAAAGGCACACTCAAACAGAAATGTTGATTTTTCCTCTTTTAAAAAGAGCAGTAGGATTTTGTGTTCTACATCAAAGAGACAAGGTTTTTCCACTGTAGTCTCTAAAAATGGATAGAAGACTCAATTTGCTCACAATTTGGAATATAAAGAAATTCCTTAGGTCTGATACAGTAGTTCATAAAAACATTTATGGGGTTTTCTAAAACTTCCATATGCAATCCTGCACAACTGGATTATTTTTATTTTTATTTTTATTATTTTTGAGATGGAGTTTTGCTCTTGTTGCCCACGCTAGAGTGCAATGGTGCTATCTCGGCTCATCACAACCTCCGCCTCCCGGGTTGAAGCAATTCTCCTGCCTCAGCCTCCTGAGTAGCTGGGATTACGGGCATGCGCCACCAGGCCTGGCTAATTTTGTATTTTAGTAAAGACAGGGTTTCTCCATGTTGGTCAGGCTGGTCTTGAACTCCTGACCTCAGGTGATCAGCCCGCCTCAGCTTCCCAAAGTGCTGGGATTACAGGTGTGAGCCACCCCACCTGGCAACAACTGGATTCTTGAGAAAATTTTCAAGCCAGTTGCTTGAAAGAAAGGATTCTTCCCTGCCCCCAGGCTAACTAAGCTACTAATGCAACTGGTTTGAAACTAACAAAGGCCGGGAGATTAAGTACACGTTTGAATTTTATCTCTGCATATCTCTGGAGTCTGTCAATTTGGGTGTCTCAGAAAGACTCAACATCTCTCACCGGAGTCTTCTGAAGCACATCCACAGGGAAGATACAAGAAGCTTCTGATGTTTTATTTTATCATGAATTCCATTGGCCCCAGAAACCTGTGATTCTGGTGTAAAATAGGAGGGGAGTGGGAATAGTCCTGGCTATTTAATTATCTCAGTAGGTGCTGATATTCCCACATATCAGCAAGAAGTATTCCAAAGAACGATGACATCAGATCACTGAGTGTCTTCTGAGACATTTTGTTCTTCATTACTTCTCTCCCCTCCTTGTCACTGTTACCAAACACAGCAATGACACTCATTGAACTAGGCACCACTCCCTACTGTTGGCCTGTGCTCTTAGCATAAGATCTCTTCTCATTGAGATGGTGAAAAATAAAATGAGAAAATAGAGAGAGAAAATGCTTTGAAAGAAGAACACTTTGCATATGAAAGAAATTGGAGATTTTGTTTATGATAGCTCAGATGAATCCTGCCTTGTCTCATTGCAACAGCCTGTTATAATATTTCATTGTTGGAACTGAAATTGCCTCATAATAGACAAGTGTCATAGGACTTGGATCAGTAGATAAACACTACAGGGAAGCCTATTTCAGATCAAAATGGTGAAGTGCTTTTGAACATTTAGAGAGCTTTTGAATATTTGGAGCCATTCAAAAACAAAATGAGTGCCTGGAAAGCACTGAATAAGTTGAAACAGAGCTATAAGACCAGCTAGCAGAGATGCTGTAGAAAAGTTTCTTGCACTGGACCAGACAACAGCTAACATTCTATCCCAGTAAGAATCTGGGAATTCACTACAATGATTTTTAATGCTGCTTTTAAATAGGTGAAGGGCTGTAATGTAGAAGAGGAAGTGTTTTCTTTCAGATTATCAGACTAAGCCCAGTTGATGGAAAGTATAAGAAGACGAACTTTGGCACAATGCAGCCAATGCAACAATATTCACAATATTCATGGCATTTAGAAATGCCATATAATTAATTTTTTCAAAGTCGGGTAGATGTGAGAATAATCTGACCAAAGCTAATCCACCAGTGTTAGACCTCAAACTTTAGATTCTGCATCCAGTTCTGAGTTCCATGTCTCACATACCCCTTCCAATCTAAGGCCACACATACTTGGCAAATAGTCTTTTAAAAATTAGAGGAAAGCCATACGTTAGTGACCATTTGCTGACAGTCCTTATCCGATCCTACTCCCTTATAACTGCTTCCTTTCTCAGACTCTCTCTCAGGGGGAACACTAAGTTATATGCCTGAGCTCATCTCAGGCCTCCAGAAACTAGATTGAATGGAATAAAAACTCTTAATGAGGAATTTTTTCTTGTCATGGGGGTTTTACATGTCTACTACCATCTAGGAAGCCCTCTCCAACTTGATCCTATAGCAAAATCTTTTTTCAGCCTCTGTCTCTTCTGCACTTAGAAATTTTTCTGCCTAACTTCACCCTTCTGAGAACCACCAGCAGCTCCACTGTGGGATCAGATAGTCACATTCTTGATGACCCTATAGATAAATCCAATGAGCAATTGCTGCCGTGCACATTACTTAATTGTTTACATTCAGAGTGATGACTATGTTTTACTCATCTTCATATTCTTAGCATTTTGCTTGGTAACTAAGTTCTTAGGAACTTCTCAGTATAGGTTTATTTGGTTGAAAATATGGATATGTTTTGCTTTATTTTAGAGCTGAGGTTAGTTACAGATGGATTCTATGACATCCTCAAATGCAACAAAACGTGAGTATCTTTAAAACTGTAGATATCGTTAAGAATCTCCCAAGATGCCATTTTGGGATACTATGGAAAAGGAGCACAGCGTAAGGAAGCTCTTATCTCAAGGTCTTTATACTTCTTCTTCCAGCTGCAGTTCCACATAGTTCTCTCCCTCACTTCATGAAGGTCACATGAAAATGTTAACTTGTCAATGAGGTCTTGCCTAACTATCTTATATAAAATAAAGCCTCCATCCCCATCCATAGCACTCCCTACCCACCTTACTCTGCTTTATTTTTCTCCATAGGACTTATCGCCATTTGACATACCATGTGTCTGCTCACTTATTTGTTCACTGTGTGTCTTCCCCCTCATTGGGCAGAAAGAGACTTTGTGGGTTCACTCATTGCTTTTTCCCCAGGTCTAGAAGAGTGCCTGGCACATACCAAGAAGCAAGGAAGAGCTCAACAAACATTTACTAAACAATTGAATGATGAATAAGAGAATTATTGAAACTAAAAAACATAAAATTGCCCAATAAAAATTCAATAACACGACTGAAAAATATGTCAAAGAAGTCTCTTGGAACAAAGAACAAAAGTTTGCAATACAAAATGTGAAATAATGTAAGCTGAGACATAGAAGATTAATCCAGGATAGCCAACATTTACTTCATGAAGTTTCCAAAAAAGAGAGAAAATAAAAGGGAAAAATATTAGAAGAAAATTTATGAGAGCTGAAGAAAGTCACCAATCTTAAAACTGAAGTTTCAGGCCGGGCGCGGTGGCTCACGCCTGTAATCCCAGCACTTTGGGAGGCCGAGGCGGGCGGATCACGAGGTCAGGAGATCGAGACCATCCCGGCTAAAAAACGGTGAAACCCCGTCTCTACTAAAAATACAAAAAATTAGCCGGGCGTAGTGGCGGGCGCCTGTAGTCCCAGCTACTTGGGAGGCTGAGGCAGGAGAATGGCGTGAACCCGGGAGGCAGAGCTTGCAGTGAGCCGAGATCCCGCCACTGCACTCCAGCCTGGGCGACAGAGCGAGACTCCGTCTCAAAAAAAAAAAAAAACAAAAACAAACAAAAAAAAAAACTGAAGTTTCAGCCAAGGATAAGAGAAAATACAAAAAGCTTTTAGAGAAAAGTTAGAAAGTCACCTACAAAAGAATGAGAATAATTAGATTGGCATTAGCCTTTACATTAGCAGCACTGGACACTAAAGGGTAAGACAGTTATATCTTTAAATTTTTTAAGAAAAATCATTTTGAACCTAAAATTCTGTACTTAAACCATCAATCTAGTATAATAAAATGCAAACATTTTAAGACCCACAATGAATATGAAAGTTTACCTTCCATAAAGTCTTTCTAAAGAAATAAGATGATGTTATTTAACAAAATGAAAATAGAAACAAAGAAAGAAAAGAAAATGAAATCCAGATAACAATGAACCTTATCCAGGAGACAGATATACAAGAGGCATTAAAAGAAGTCATCCAAATTAGAATAGCAAATTGTCTATTATCTTTGAAAGAAGGTAGATTATCCCATAGCAAATAATTATTAAAACGTTAGATGAAAGGTGAGGTCATAAACTGCTTCAACTAACAGGAAGAAGAAAAGCTATTAGAAACACCAGGGAAAACAAAAAGCTATGAAAGAAAATGATATGAAAAAAACTAGAATGTGGTCTGATTTTAACCAATTCATAATGTATAAGAAAGAGAGTCCACTTGACCTTAAAACTTGGAGTATTTTTTATCAGTACACAAGTTTAGTGACACATATTTATACCTTATTCTGTAAAGTCTAGTTATACAAGTTGGTTCTGTGGTGAATTATCTTAATATGAATACATAATTATCTTAAATGAGATTTTAATCTTTAGAATCAACTTAAAGTCAAAGTATGAATGGCTTAACTTAGGTTACAAAATGAAATGTAAATCTAATGTTGATGATATTAGTAACTGGAGATGTATGTAAAAAAGTAGAAAGAAATATGGGGGTGCTAATTTCTACATTTTACATGACATGAAATCAGATATATTATCTAAAGATGATGGATCAAGAAATAAAAATTAAAGTATATTATTTAAAGTTATAACAATAGCTAAATGAAAACTAAAATTTTTAAAAATAACTTAAAGATTTGGAAATTGATGGGGGTGGGTGTAGAGTAATTGAGCTACATTTTATGTCTTGTACTGATGGTTCATTGATATGGTTTAAAGTAATTATATCAAAAAGTATATATAAGTATATATTTCAAGAGGTGGAAATACATAAAATATGGAATTAACTACTAAATAATAAAAACAGAAAAGGTTTAAGTGGTTACCTTTTGAGAGTGGTTTAAATGGTTTAAGTGGTTACCTTTTGACCAACTGTAGTATGGGAATGTTAACTTCCACATTTTCATAATATTCTGTTCTTTTTTTAATTAAATAAATTTTATATATTTTTTAATCTGCTTTTTAAAAGAAGAGATTATTTGTATTGGAAACTGCTGGCCCATAGCCACTTCTCCTATGACACTTGCTATGTTGGGATGAGACAAATCAGACCACAAAATTTTTTTCATGAAAATCTGGCTTTCTTTTTCTGAGATGGTTTACAAAGAGGCTATGAAGACCTTTGGAAATATTATAGAATTTGGAATCAAAAGAAACAGGATAATTGCATAAAAATCTTTTAATAAATTTTTATGCCTCAATTTTCCTACACTTCAATGGGCTTCTTGCCCATAATTTTGCTCCTTTGAGTCCCAAGGAGATGAGGTGTTCAAATCCTGAGCTATAGGAAACCCTGCCAGTGGTCGTTTTCTGTCGATAAGCCAGGAGTTACGGACAAGAGCCGGGCAGTTTTTACACATTTCTGGCATGCAAATAAATGTGCCAAATGTTTAAATTACTCTGTATGATTTCTAAGTCAGCAGCTTCAATGCTCCCTATGGTAGAATCAAATTTCTGCATGAAGATCTTCTGAGGAAACTGCTGACTTACTGAACACTCTGTAGCCAGACACCCACACAACTCACAGCACACCTTGAAAACACCAAGGTGGCAGGGTGGAGGATGGGGAGCCTTCTTTGCAGAGGCCTAAAGAGCCAGCCTCATCCTCCATACACATGGCTCTCCTTTCTTCTAGACAAGGGCCACCCCGGTTCCTCTACCCTTGCAGTGATGTTGTTTCCATGGGTTATATTGGGTTGGGGAAGTGGGTGGATAGGAAATATACAGAAAATGCAAAACAAAACTGATTTGTGCAAATCCTCATCTGGGAAGCCTGCATTCCTGGTTGCCTGCATTTATAATATTAAGGGGGTGGGGGAGGAAATTACAAATAAGGCAGTCAATGAGTTAGTATGAATCGGATCTTTGTTCTTTGGCAAACCCTGCCTGGAAAGCTGAGTGCAGGCTTCTCATTGACTTGCAGCATCAGTTTTACCGAAATGGCTTTAAAATCTGCCCAAGGTCCATTCTCCTCCTGCCAGGCCAGAAAGAAAAAGAAAGGTGACCACACAGCTGGACACCCTGTGGTCAGTTCTTATGAAAGGGGCAAACTCTGTGCAGTGCCTATACACTCCATCAAAATATGGGAAAGGAGCTGGGGAAATGGTCCCATGGAGAGACCTGGGAACAGAGAAAGGGAGCCGAAAAAGAAATAATTCTCCTGGCTCTGTTCTATGCCACCCACAGCAATGGGCTAGATACACTCTCTGAATGCCAAACTTGTGCTTCCCAGGCACCCTGCTGCCAAAATATAGCTGGAGAAAGCAGCCAGAGAACCCCATAGTCAAGGCAAGCACAAGAGCTTAACTGGAGACAAGACTGTGGGGTTGAAAGGGAGGGAGATGAATCCTCTTAGATGTGTGTTGACTCCTTCCTAAGTTCAAAGCATTTATGCTTTTAAATCATCTCTCCTCCAAGTAAATTTGTGGGACAAGCTGTATTTTCTCCACTTAATAGACGATGAAATTGAGGCTCAGATTTGATTTGGATCATAGCCAGTTTGCATAGATAGCACCAGATTCTATTCCTTGGCCTTCTCACTTCAGGGACTTTTTCCTAGACCACATTACCAGTAGATGTCATTCTTTGACCAGCAGACAAATGCCAGAGAGTAGAAATTCTAGCCACTTGGCTGAAAGTTCAGGTTCAGGGAGTATCTTCAAGAGAGGGAGGGACTCGAGACCAGTGTGCCCAGCTCCTTCGCCTCTGCCCCACCCAGAGCTGAGGGCCTGGACCTCATGTGCCCTCCCCACACGGTGCCTACTTTCTCTTTTACAGAGACTCTGTGACCCCTCAGGGCCCCCAGATCCTCAATCCCACTGAGGCTTTGCCTCAGGTTGGGGGGCTACATGTTTCCTCCAGACTAAAATATTATTCCAATAGCTTTATTTTTATATTATTATTATGGTTTGTCTTTTGTTTTTTGTTACTTATCTCCTCTGGTCATGAGTCGCTGCATACCCTAGACCAGGTGGGTTCAAATTTCCCCTATTCTAATTTTAATTTCCACATGATCAGAATAAACATGGCTGCCTTGAGATCTCATTTTCCAGTGCTGCCAGAAATGAAAATTCCACATAGCCTAGTGGACCTTCCCACCTCCTTTCACTGGACAGCTTGCTGTTTAGAGGCTCCTGCCATTCTTAACACGGCAGCTGTCACAGCAGTTAGCCATGGAAAGACCCATTCTCTCATTTGATCCCATCTCCCTGCCAGGACAGGATATAGGCCTTAAAAGTGCTTCCTGGTGTAAGGACTGAGTCGGGGTTTATTTATCCTAGGTTACAGCAAACATTACTTCAAAAAACAGGAAAGAGAGTCTCATCTTGTTGATTATGATACCAGTTATAGCAATGAGGTGGAGGCGTTGTGGAAGTGGAGCTTGCATTTCCATACAAGGCTACCTTGGAATCTCATCTATTGTTAGGGAGCCGAAGTGTGTCGCTGTGACAACCCTAATAGAACCTTAGGAGTACTGGCTACTCCTGCTCTCATGTTCCTTAGGGCCATCAGAAATAAAAACAATTATATCAGCTTGTGACTTTCTTAGATTGGTCCTAATTTACAAATCTCCTTATGGGCAAATTAACTGTCCCATTTGCCTTTCACTGGGATCAGCTCTAAGATACACTCAATAAAATGTTTAATTAAGACTGATGGAATACTAGAACTCATTCTTTCTAAATGCATTTTTGTAAGGAAATTATATCTAACGATAATTTGTTGTATAGTTCAAAACGCCTAGAAGAGAAGAATTATAATGTTCCCAACACAAAGAAAAGATAAATGCTTGAGGTGCTGGATATCTCGATTACCCTGATTTGATCATTGCACATTGTATACATGTATCAAATTATCACATGTACCCCAATATCTGAACAATTACATAGCAATAAAAAGCAAAAACAAATAAAAAAGACAGATTGAAAAAGAGCCAGTTGATCAGGAAGGGAGGGAAAGAGAATGTGCAAAGGATTCCTGGGCTCATTTGCATGGAGAAAGCAAAGTTGAATAATGTCTCACCTCAAATTCAAGAAGTATTTCCCTGCTAATAGCTGCATTGTTAATAATACTAAGAGCTAACACTTATTAGACGCTTACTGCTTGTCAGGCACTGAGCTAAATATTCAACAGGCATCATATCATTTAACAACACTAAGGGAAGTGGTGTTATTATTTCTATTTTGTTGAAAGAAAAAAATGACTGTACAAGCAGTTAAACAATTTGCCCAAGGTGACACACAGGTACGGATACAAGTAAAGGGCAACCTCAATTCAAATTGGAATTAATCTGACTCTTGAGCCTGTATTCTTGACCACATGCCATACTGCCTTTCTGCTCTTGGTTTATTTTTGGAGAACCAGTGCTGTCAGAGAAGAATAGTGAGAATATTGCTGTTATTCACCAGGTAATTTTAACTCTGCCTTTATTTGTGAGAGATAGTTGTTTTCCTTTTCCACCCTCCTTGGTCCTCAACCGACCCACACCTTGTCCTCCATGGCTCCCCTCTCCCACTTGATCTCTTTAGCCTCTTTCCCATCAGAACATTAACTGATGGTTGAACTAAGAAGCATCATGACCAATGACCTTGGATAACTCCACTTTCTTACAGCCCCTGCCTCAAACAGGGATTAAGGAAGAAAATAATCTCTGGGATGCTACCTTCCATGAATCAGGGTCTAGCACCAACAAATATTTGGGTATGATTCATCCAGCATCTTCACTCTCATTGTCATATTTGATGTGTGGGACAACTATATGAATTAGGCCAGTCAGATAATACTACTTTACAGATAATACAACTGAAGCTCAGAAAGCAGGTGCAGTTGAGAGTTGAGCCAGATCCGGTTTCAAATCCTATCTGTTTTCTATAAAATAATGGCAGCCTCTTCTGAGAATGAGAATCTGCCCCATTCATGCCACCCTAAAGAGATGGTTTGCTTTACCTGGGACTTCGAGCTCCACCCTTGTGGCACAGATGTCATTCGTGGAGGTTAAGTGTTCTTGGCGGGCAGAGGTTTCCATGAGAGCTCATTTATGTTGGCTACAAGACTGTTCTTCTCCTAGCATGTAAACCACATTATTTTGGTTTTCTTTAGTTGTTTGTCTTGCTTTAAACATTGTCTTGATAGAAAAGGAAATATAATGTCTTAGGTGTCAATGTAAAGTTTATCAACAAGTCTACATAGAAATATGCATCTATAAATCCAGACTATAAAGAGCAATGACAAATGAATCAAAACACCTGGACTCCAGCCCAGACCTCCCAGTGAATTTTATGAAGCTTTGAGAGAGCCACTTGCATTCTCCAAGCCTCAGTTTCCATAAAGGAAACAATGGTGGGCTAGAGGATCCCTACAGAGTAGCACTTTCCCGGTATTAAAAACCCATGGTTTTTAGGATCCTTAGCCCTGCCAATGGTTATCTGAGCAGGGGAAGCATATTTGTTTTAAGCAACTGGGAGTGTAGAAGACATGGGTGCTTCCTTCCTGGGATGGCCAGGCAACAAGAGGCATGTAAGAAGATTTCCAAGGAAGAGAAGGCAAGCCATGGGGCTGAGTGGGAGCAAGTTGGTCTGCTGGGAAGGAGCAGAAATACTGACCACCTCAAGTCCTGAACACCCAGTGGAGGTCATGCCTTTCCATGGGTGGTCTCCAAATTCTGGGCATGCTTTTTCTTCCTGTTTCCAAATAGCTTAGCAAGCTTAATCCATCCACACAACATGTAATAAGCTCTTCTGTGTTCCAGATATTTGATAAGAACTGAAAATAAATGATAAAGCAAGATTCTGTTCTTAAAGAGCTTATCAGAGGAGTAAGTAACAAGAAATGGTGTGAATTTTTAGCAGAAGCTTGTAAAACATCAGACGAGAAAAACACGATATGTGTGTTCTATATGGATTGGCAGGGTACATTATTTTATACCAACTCATGACGTTCCTTACCCATTTGATGTGTGTTAAATCCTAGTTCCCCAAGTCCATAAGGAGCTCCTTGAGGGCAGGATCAAGACTCATGTTTATTTGTTCAACGATACCTCACCCAGCATTAAGCACATCAAAAGTTGTTCACTAATCTGGACAAGTTCTTCCCCTATCTGGACATGTGGTAGAATCCCACTCCCTGCCCTGTTGAAATTGGGAGTGGTCCTAGGATGTGCTTTCACTGATGAAATTCGAACAGGGTCACTTGGCAGAAAATTAGAGGACCACTGAAGAGTTTCGGCCTTTCTGTTTGTCTCTCTGGCACGTGTCAGGTGACAGCTGCTTATCAGCTAGGGCCCGGAGTAACTCTGATACCATGGAACAAAACCCCCTGCCAGCCCAGTGTTCATGCAGCATGAGTAAGATGTGTTGCTTCAAGCCACTGAGGTTTGGCTCTTGTTACCACAGTGTAACCTAGTCCAGTCTGCCTGGTACAGAAGTGTTCCACAAATATTTGCTGATCTCTGTACTGATGCCTCGATTATAGCAGATAGGTAAGGAAGTAAATAAAGTAAGTTGGTAGCAGCCCTAGGAAAGTCTACCTCCACTGGAAAAATACTTTCCCAGCTCTTTCTAATATGCCGTTGTTCATATTTCTAGCAAAGCACCACAAGAGGCCATTGACATTCCATCTCTTTCAGCATTTCTTCCACTTTGAGGCTGCTTTGTGGCTGCTCAAACTCAGATTTAAGTTTGCTGTGAACCTTAGCAGTGAATGCCTCTATCTTTGCCTCAAGACTTTTGTAGTCAGAATAGGCAATGCAATAAGTAGTCCTAGATAGAGAATGGTAGACAATTTAGGGAAGAGTTAAATGAGAGATTGTCTGAAAAAGTGTGCGAAGATTGGAAAGGAAAAGTTCCACCGAGACAGAGCTTCCCAGGGATTGCAGTCAAAAACCACTAGGAAATTGAGATAGATGGTGATGCCTTTAGGAGCTTGGCCTCTGGCATCAGGCAAACCCGACCTTGAATCCCAGCTATTCACTCACCTACTGAGTGACTGAGCAATTTACTGAACCTTTCTAACCAATTCAGTTTCCTCATCTGTCAAACAAGAGTAAGGATTGAGCTCAGCTCTTAGGGCCATTGACCACATAGGAAAGTAATTTTCCTTAATAATAAGGACACATTTTTATATTATGTGCTTTTAAAAGGAGCCTTAAATAAAGAGAAGTGAGATCATTTTCCAGTGCACTTAGCATAGTAACGACAACATAGAAAGCGTTAAAAAAAATGACAGCTTAAGAAAGCAAAGGATGTGGAAACACTCACTGAAGGGCCATGGAACATGAAAGAGGGCTCTGCCTGGGCTCAGCTTCCAGGAAACTCTCAAACTCTTGCCCAGAGCATCGTGATGTAGCCATTGGAACCTCACGCAGGCGATGATGATCCTTTTACCAGATATCAGAACTTACCTAACCTTCAGCCACTTAAAAATGCTCTCTGGAAAGTATTCAACAAGGGCTTGAGAAACCAAGGAGACCCTGATGGAGGAGATGTCAAATAACGTGAGAGCCTTGTTCTGTCTAAGCTAATTTCCGGCACTTTCCAGAGAGTTAGAAGTGATTGGTCTTCGGTCTGCTCAGCTGACTTTGAAGCATTGGCCAAAGGGCTCGGGACAAGCAGGGAGAAGCTGGAAGTCGTCTATTGCCTCCACCTGGGACTGCCTCAATGTCCTTTTGTTCCAGCTGGATGTAGCCCCAGAAATAGCAGTAAAGGAAAAACATGTGATTTGAGTTTCCCCATCTCCCTTTTCTGTGCCCTCTCCCTTACCAGGGGATTTTTCCTGTGCCCAGGCACCCCATGTTTCTTGAAGTTCTGCCCCAGAGACAATTATTCCCTCCAGTGGAGTGGAGAAAACAAGAGACTTGGAATTAAAAGACACATACCCAAATCTGGATGCTTTCACATGCCAGTTCTTATCTGATTGCCCCTGAGCCTCAGTTTCCTGGAAATAGCAGTAACCACCCCACAGTAGGTAATTATTTTATTATATTATAGTACTTTAACAGATTTGGGTTTGATTTGAACAGCAGAGATAAGAAGAATTAATTTCTGCTCTTGTAGATGAAGCGAAATTTTTCAACCAGGTAAAATTCCCTAACTTGCTCACTCCATTAATTCCTCCAACCATCCATTCACTCAATAAACATGTATTCTGAGCCTACTATTGTGTTAAGTAGCACTAATTGACGAGAGCTGAAAGAGAATTCAGACCTTGGGAATGAGGCTGACAGAGAAACAGATGGTAAAGCAGGAGAGTGGCTGCGGTGTTTAAAGCAGCCCAGCAGATAAGGAAGGGAAGCATAGTGCACCCTAGAGAGCTCAGGAAGAGCATCCTGAGTGAGGAAATGCCTACCCTTAGTGTGAAGTGACGGCTTAGAGTGTAATAGGTAAAAAAAAGGCAGAGGGAAAAGAAGGCAAGGATGAGGCCGGGAGCGGTGGCTCATGCTTGTAATCCCAGCAGGTTGGGAGGCTGAGGCAGGCGGATGACTGAGGTCAAGAGTTAGAGACCAGCTTGGCCAAGGTGGTGAAACCCTGTCTCTACTAAAAATACAAAAATTAGCTGGGCGTGGTGGCATGTGCCTGTAATACCAGCTACTCAGGAGGCTGAGGCAGGAGAATCGCTTGAACCCGGGAGTCGGAGGTTGCAGTGAGCCAAGATTGCGCCACTGCACTCCAGCCAGGTGACAGAGTGAGGCTCTGTCTCAAAAAAAAAAAAAAAAAAAAAAAAAAAAAATTAAATAAATAAATAAATAATGAAGGTCAGGATGAGCTGAGAGGAAAAAAGTTAATTCAGGCAAAGAGAGGCAAGAAAGTAGAGTAAGAAAAAACAGCATTTCTGTGCTGCTAGAACATCAGAAGGTGGAAAATGATGAAAAACATAGATTTTCCTGGCACCCAAGAAACCCTCATTTTAGAAAGAGAACTCTAAAGTCAACCCCTCCTCCCAGAACTACCTCTGCAACTATCTGATCCTCCAAAGATTCCCAGGTATGTTTAATTCATGCTGAAAATGCAAGGAAAAATAAAATGTGATCGTCAAAATGTTCAAAGCTCCCTCCAAGTCTCTCTCCCATTTTCTGTCCCTTTTGTGAGCACCATCCCCCCAATGGTAGGAAGCATTTGTCTAAAAATAGCCCTTCTAAAAGACCCAATCTTTTCTGAGTTTCATAAAACATCTGCTGAACAGTTTCCTATAACTGTTTTTGGCCATTAAATCAAAGCTGGCAAAAACAATGTTCTGTTTCTGCCTTTAAAGCACAGAATCGCCATCAGGCCTTCCTCTCAGACCCAGACGACAATGGGGCCAGAAATAGCCACGGGAGGCTTTGAAACACCTAAAGGCCCGGGTCCAAGCACAGAGTTACTAGTGTCTTGTTTTTCTCTCTTTTAAAGTGGCTGTTCGTCTCCCAAGTACAGAAGAGAAACTTAGATAGGCCTAGCCTCCTGGGAGACGCTCTGCTCCCCCATGCAAATTACCACCTGCAGTGGTGGGGCGGTGTGGTTTGTGCAGCTCAGGGCTGGCAGAGAGCAGAGACCGGTAGAAGTCTCGTCCTACGTTGGCAGGGGCAGCCACACATGTGGAGTGGGCGTGGGGGTGGGCTGGCATCTGGCTGTATGGTTGCGCCTTCTCTATGTTGTGTCTATGCTGTTCACTGGGCTCCTATTTGCTCAGGTGGCACAGAACATGGGGGTTTGCAGCAACCTGTGCAAGTCCAGGGGAAAACTCACAGACACAAGGTCGAAAGATCTAGTAGGTTCTGTCCAGACTGTGCTTCCCACTAGCTGAGTGTCTTTGGCAAGACGTTTTATCTCTCTGACCCTGTCTGGGCTGCAGGCATCAGTGCAAAAACTGCTGGGCCTTGTATACCGCAGGAGGAAGCCAGGGCTTGGTATGATGCAGACAGAGGAACTGCTCAGGGCCAGGCAGTCAGGCACTAAGAGCAGCTCAGTGCTGGAGGTCGGCCGAGGGGCACGCAAGTCAATGACAGTGCTGGAACTGAGACCTCTGTCCGTGTGTACAAGACCCAGTCAGGGGCTGAAGACACATGAAACTGGATCCAGCCCCTGGAAGAAAAGAGGCTTTAGAATGCCTGCTTTCTCTAGGATAAGACTTCAGTCTGTACAGTGAACTTGAGGATTAGGTCAAAAACACCAAGGCAACCTCTTGATGCCAAGGAGTAAGAGGCCAGCACGACAGGTGAAGGGACACACGACTGAGAGATTCCAGAGCACAGGGAGTGTATCTGTGGTGCATATCTATAGGTCTCACATGGCACATGCTTTGGGTCCCAGGACTTCATACTGTCTTAAAATGGGTGACGGGGACAAAGTCATCAAACATTCAATGCCGTTGTCAGAGCTGGCTCAGAATGGAGATGAACCCACCTGTAAGCAAGGTGTGAGCAGACGGGGATGAGAGCAGCTAAGAGTGCAAGGGTGGAAGAGGGCTGGACGCAATGCACTGTGGCCCTCCTCCCCGGTCAGCTCTCCAGGCTTCTGTGCACTCTCTCCCAATTTGTACAGAATGGTCCTCACAGGCTTTGGTAGAAACTGGTTTCCATGTTCCATGTCCGTCATAATCTGTGATAGACTCATAAAACAATGGAGGATGGTCCCTGTAATCTGTGGATACAGTTAGGTGGATACCAGGTCTATAATTGCAAGAGCAAAATGAGGAGTGGGAGTGAACATGTCCTTCTCGTTGTGGATTTTCTCTGAACATAGCCAAGTAATGATCATGACAAGAGAGATGTTCACTCATTTTCTCTTTTTCTTTCCTACCTCCTTCTCTCCCTCTGTCTTTTCCTTTCATCCCTCCGTCCCCCCCCTCCCTTCCCTTCTTCCTTCCTTCCTTCCTTTCTCTATCTCATGCCAGTTTGTATTAGTAGCACTCTGAGAAGAGTTTAATTTAAAGAAAAAAAGATTAATATTTTACCCAAAACAGCAAAGCCAAAAAACTGTTAAGGTAAAGAAAAATATACTAACAGTGAAAAAAACCTTCACTTAACGCTACTGCTACCAGAAGACATGGTGCAAATTTGCTCAAAAAGGCATCATCTAGGAGATGCACGCAACATCTGAGCAAAGGATGCAAAGCCTGCCAACATTTTAGCTTGTTTGTGAAATTATTTCTGCACACTTGTCACTTTTTGAAGCAAAATGTGAGGTCTATTTATAGATCTATATTTATTTGATAGAATAGCATTGAATGGGCTGCTTTAGGGATTGCCTGTTGCAAATTAACTCCGTGTGTGTGTGTGTGTGTGTGTGTGTGTGTGTGTGTGCGTGTGTGTGAACTTGGGATGCAGTAATGAATAGCTTGGGCTGTGCTCATAGCTCCTGCGTTCCCACCCCATTCAAAACCTACCCCTCACTCTTTCCTGGCAGCCACGCACAGACTCCCAGACCAGAGCTTGGACCTGCATAGTGCCTCAGATGAGCACAGCATGTCAGCTACTAGTATAAGCAAAAGCTCAGCCAGGAAGAGGAAAGGAATGGGGCATCAGGTGGGCCAAAATGCTTGCATCCAATATTGTAACTGGGGGGAAAGTTTCACAGATGACCATTTTAAAATGAATTCAGTCAGTTTGCCATTTGGTTCTCATCCTGCCTATCCAGGGAGATGAAAGATCAGCCCCCAGTTTTCAAATATTATATTGGACCATGCAATAACAACAAAGTTGAGTAAGACTCTGGGTTTGCCCAACTTCTGGTCCCAGGCTCCTGTCCCAGCCAGCCCTCCTGCCCAGCCTCTCTATGCTGCTGTGCTCCAGCAAGCATAGCTGTGGCTGTGATGTGCACAAGACACACGTGGAGTGGTCCCTGAACCCCAGGAAGCAGACCAAGCTTCCCTGGCAAGGGCCTGCTGCTGCTCTTGCCGTGCTGTGGCTAGGCAGCTGGAACAGCAGGCACAGCTGGGTCTGGCAGTGGGCTCTGGGCATGGTGTTCATCTTCACCTGTCCTTCATCGGCAGGTTCAGGGCACTTTGCATTTGGCCTGGGAGTGCAGCCCGCTGGGTCCTCCCCAACTGCTTTTAGGGAGCCCTCTTTTTGCTTCTGCTTCACCCTTCCCTTCCTGTAGAAAAGACCAGTCCATTCCTTGGGGGAGGCAGACATGACCAAGACACCTGCTGTGGGTAGGAAGGAAAGGGGAGGACGGTTGGGCCGTCTCAGCTGTGCCCATGGTGGGCTTGCGTGACTGAGTGAGACCACGGCAGCTGTGAGTCCTGGATAGGGATGGGTTCTAGATTCAGAGGGGGCTCAGGTGGCTGTGGGTGCCATGCAATATTAAAATTCACCCAAGCCCTCATGCTGTGTGTGCAAAGGGGCAGGACTTTGGACCCCTCATTCTCTTGGAAGCAATGGAGCTTGTAGGGCTGAGAGGGCAGCAGGCAGCCTGAGACCTCACAGTAATGGGCATCGGGCCCTCCAGAGCAGGCTTCTGTCTGGGCTTAAATCTAGGGATAAGGAGAGAAGGCAGCCACGGACAGCACTCCATAGAGGGGAGGCAGCCTTCTGCACAGTGCAGTGCTGGAGCAAGAGCACAGAGCCTCATGCGTGCGTGCACACACACTCGCTTCCTCACTCACACCCCCCAGTCAGACAGCCCCAGCCTCCAGGCTGGCTCCTCCACCTCGCTTTGTGTCTAAGGGGAAATTGCTCAGCCTCTCTGAGCCTCAGATTCTTTCAACAACAACAATAGCTACAAAAATAGGCATTTAAATAATACTCATTTTACAGGATGGCTGTGATCATCAAATACAAGAGTATATATAAAGTGCTTCCCAGTTAGTGAACAAATATTTACTTAATTCATGTCTATTCCGTGCAGGTCTATGCCAAGCACTAGGAAGACCCTAGAGAATGAAGTAAACACTGTGACTGGGGGTGCGGGTGTAGGAGACGGACAATAAACACGTGAGCATGAGGCAAATGTGCATTCACAAGTGCTGATGACGACCTCTGAAAGATGGTGCTGGGACAGAGCAGTAGGGTGGCAGAGGGGGGGCCGGCTCTGCCCAGGACCGTCCTTGAGGAAGGGACATTTGGGTCACAACCTGAGGGTGACAAAGGGGACAGCTGTCAAAAGTGGCAGTGCTGTGTCCACTCCAGAGCACCTGCCATGTGTCACAAGGCTCTTGAGACTCAAAGTAGAGCTTGCGACCTGGTGAGGGAAGACAGACGACAAACCATGAGCAAAAGAAACTGCAATGGGCATTGAGTAGGGTCCTGGAGTTGGGCAGATGGGAGTTGGGAGGGGCGGAGGAGCATGCTGCCACCTCACAGAGTGGTCAAGGCAGGCATATTGAAGAGCTGGTATTTGAGAAAAGATTTGAAGACGGGGAGGAAAGAAGAGAATCATGGTCTCTCTGCTCTGGCTTCTTTGGAGGACACGCAGCTGACAGGAAAGCAGGAATAGCATCAAGAAGGTATTGAGAAGGGCGACAGAGCCACTGCAGAACTCCCAGGGAGGCAGAGCCGGGGCTCATCCTGGCAGGGGGGCCATGAGGAGCCAGAAGCCGCTGGCTGCCCCAGAGAGTTGTAAGCAGATCCAACAGGCTTCGCTGACGAATGTGAGTTGTGAGAAACAGAGAGGTGTGGAGCACCACCGCAGGGGCGTTGGCCTCAGAAACTGGGAGCCTGGAAGGGAAATTGCAGAGCAGGAGAGGACTGTAATGAGCCGCTGTGTGGCGGAGACCAGGCGTTCAGCTGTGGCCGTGTGAATTCCGAGATGACTGTCCTGTGAGTTCCCTGTGTGTGGAGTCAGAGGGAGTGGAGTTACAGGGGCTGGAGTTACAATGTGGAGTTACTGGCACATAGATGCCTTCTGAAGCCCACAGACTGGAGGAGAAGAGAATAAAGGACAGAGAACCAAGCACACCCCAAAGCTAAGAGATTGAGGAGAAGACCGAGAACCAGCAGAAGGGGCTGAGTAGGGACCAGAGAAGCAGGAGGGAGAGCCAGGGAGAGTGGCAGTCCAAAGGCCCACTGAGGAAGCACAGCAAGAGAGCGAGACTGATGGCATCACCTGCCACCAAGAATAGCAAAACAAGACGAGGACCAAGCATCAACATGCTAATTTCAGAGGGATCCGAGGGTTGCCCAAAGGCCTCTATCTCCAGAAGTTTCCTATTCAGGGGTAATTCCCTCCCTGCATCCCTGAAATTCCTGCCTAGAATTGCTGATTGGACAGAACTGCAAAGGCCGGGCATGGTTTCCAACACCAACCCGCCTCCACCCTCGGATTCACAAGCGCAAAGGGATGTCACCATGGGTCTAACCAAAGAAAAGTGGAATCAACCCTGGAGGGAAGGGGGTGATAACAGGAGTATTGTGGGGGAAAAATGGTCCAGGGAGTAGATACAAGTGACAGCCCTCAACAGTCACACTTTTCAAATAATTTTGAAATTCCCTTCTGATTCCTACACATCTCTCATCTGAAGATGCAGGTTGCTGAGGGCAGCTGGGCACAGGCTGGAGGTCCTGCTTTTGTACAGAGACAGCAGCAGCTGCCGTAGGGGGCCGAGGAGCACACAGGGAAGCCTCATCCACAGGTCCTGAAGCAACTCCCCCATCCCCTGCACTAGTGTTTACGGATAGGAAGGCCTGGGGCTGGGCCATGTGGGGAGGAAAGCCCAGGGTCTGGTCTGCCTGCTGCTGATAAGTAATTCCACAAGACAAGCAGAAGGAATCCAGACAGAGATCTAAGAACATCCAGATGCCCAGCGCAGCGGGCCCAGTTCCTGAGCCATGACAGGCTTTAATGTGCGCCCCAGCTCTTGGGGACAGAGGCCTGGCTGCCGGCCCTTCTGTTCTCTGGCGCAGACCCAGGCCCCCTGACCAGGGGAGGGGAATACTGGCTCCCTCTTCTCCACACTCCGAACACATGGCCCAGGCCCAGGACAGTTTTCAGAATTGAACATGAGCTGCTTAGTATGTACTTGATCATTTAAATGAGGTGTATGTGCAGGACCCTGTGCCAGGTACTTTAGATACTTCAATAGATTTGATCCTCACAGAGGAGCAAGCTGAAAAATAATCTCTATGGTGTCACTGAAAGGCAATCAGAACAGACAAATAAGAAAATGAGGCTCAGAACAATGAAGTACTTTTCCCAAGGCTGCACAGCTAATACACGGCCCTGCTGCATTCCCATCCAGTCCCTGCCACAGCGTCCCTGGGCCTGAGAACACAGCCCGCCACCGACACCAGCTTCCCGGACATCTGTGGAGAAAGAGAATACTCAAACATTAAATGCAATTTTCCTCCTTCTAAAGCATTTTGCATCAAGAAAGAAAGGGAGGGGGATCTAACAAAGCCGCAGACCATGTATCAAAAAGCACAGCCCAAACATCTCTGGGTCCTCACTTCCCTGCATTCTCCTTTCTCCAGAAAAACAGTAAATTGCCTACTTCCTTCTCCTGTGAGTTTGACAGAACAAAGAAGCACAGGACAAAAGCAGGGAAGGATGAAGTGACAACCACAGAACTATGGCTAATCAACTTGCCCCATATCAGAAAGGCAATGACCAAAGCAAGGTCTTTCCGTGTGCCTGGGAAGAGGAGCTGCCCAGGGGAGGGGCTCTCCTTCCTGACTTGAGACCACTCATCATCCTGCCCGGCAGATGGGATAGCAGCACCAGGAGGTGGAGAGAGGCAGAGGGAGGAGAGGAAAGAATGGAGTGATGGTGAATGAGGGAGAGAATTGGGGAAGAAGGGGTAGGTCCAGAAGGCCAGGAGACCAGGCATGTTTACTTTGAAGTTTTCTTCTAGCCCCCAAGTCTATGAGGTCTGGTGATTATGGGAGAAAGGGTGATTAGGGGAGAAAGGGTGATGATTAGGGGAGAAAGGGAGATTAGGGACTCCAGGGCTTTCACTGGGAAAAGCCAAGCATGAAAGAAAAGGAAGCCTCTAGGTCTCTAGGGTTAGGATAGACAAGGAGCAGCTGAGAGAATGTGGAAAGCAGAAAATGGGGATGTGAATACATGAGAGAGGCTCTGAGATGACTAAAAGAGAAAAGTCACCAAAGTCACCAAAGATGGAATAGTGAGCGGAATGGAGGTAGGCAGTGAGATGCATCTATAACTCACCTTATTCCTGTCCTCCACCTCCTGGGCCAAGGCAGGGGCACACGATTCTCCAGCCTGGGACCCCAGCTGCCCCTTTCATAGCCGCAAAATCTCTTTGCAAGCTGTGGTTTGTGGGCCTCTGTAGTGCCTGAGTTCCCCACTAGCCCGAGCTCTATGAGAAAGTAGGTTTGTCTCACGCCCCAGGTTGGCACTCAGGGGTCACTGGTTGGGTGGATGGACAAATGAATGCAGGGGGCTCTTTCATCCAACGTGACTGATCCTCCACAGGTCTCTTTCAGGGGTCCCAACCCTACTCCCCGCCAGGCTCTGTGCTGTGTGTGGGGGGCTGCTTCTCTTCCCTCCTGATTTCCAGCTTTGCCTCCAGATCTGTCTTAGAGATGAGAAGCACAAGGTCGGCAGAGGTGTGGTCTTTGCGTTTGTCTGCTGCCTCCAATCTGTGCCCCGGCTGGGGGAGGCGGGGAGAGGGATGGGAGGTAGGAGGTGGAGAAGGGGCTCTATGAATACTGGAGGAGTAGAGAATTTTAGCCAGAGATTTCTTTTTTATTGC
This sequence comes from Homo sapiens, assembly GCF_000001405.40. Classification (NCBI taxonomy): domain Eukaryota; kingdom Metazoa; phylum Chordata; class Mammalia; order Primates; family Hominidae; genus Homo; species Homo sapiens. The sequence goes on from NC_000011.10 coordinate 128,618,263, forward strand.
AAGGAATGGGAGAGAAGGTAGTGGGACAGCAATGTCTTTTCCAAGCTGACCCTTGGCTCAACATGAAAAAAAAAAAGGCAGCAGTGGAAAGTGATGTCAGGATACCAGTAGTGTGTTTGAAAGGCAGGATCCCTGGGTCCAGTACCAACTGGCCCTGCACTCCCGAATCCAAGGCACTTCTACTGTAGTTTTTCAACAAATTTATATTCTGACCTGAGCTATACTAGATAGTACTCAGTGCTAGGATCAGGGCAGAGAGCAACATAGACCCCCTAGGCCCCCGTCCCAGTGGTGCATATGGCCTGCAGGGAGATGGGGGATTGAGCTTGCGAAAAGCTCTGTGGCAGAAAAGCACAGGAGGCTCTGAGAGCACAGAACAGGCCACCTGGCTCCACCTGGGAGGTCAGGGAAAGCATCTCCTATGAAGTGACTTTCAGGAAGAGGCTGAGGAGCAAGGAGGAGGAGCCCAGAGACGATGGAAAGGGATGGCACGGACCTGGTAGGCAGCCCTGGTTGGAGGAAGCCTGGCCTGCCTCAACCACAAAGAGGCTGCTATGGCTAAAGTGTAAAGATAAGAATGGGCCTAGGCAGCTCCACTGCCAATGAAAAAACAGAAAGGCTGGGGACACAAAGACCGCCCTGGAAGCTGAGAGTGACCGAAAGCAATAGGCCTGCATACATGTAAAGTTGAGGCCTGCGTACGTGAAACCACCTAAGACGTGCAGTGACTCAGGAACAAAATGAGTCGGGCAGAGGAGGCCCACTGTGCCTTAGGAAAGGTGGGGAGTGAAGGAAGGTGGGCACCATGGAAACAGAGCCGGAGGACCCAGCTGGGTGCTGGGAGCAGCATTTGTAGCATCAGGGGATGCAGAGAGCAAGTCCAGGCTCTGCACTCACCATTGAGTTAGGCTGCGTACAGCCAATTTTAGCTCTGCATCCCAGACTGCAAAGATGGCAAGTGTTCAGGAAAAGGAATGAGCTCAAATAAGTAGGGGAGTCTTGGAGAAGGAAGTAGAAAAGGCTGGAGTTGAAGACGACCAAAGGATGGGTAAATGAGGTGGAGGGTATTCCTGGGTGGGGAAAGAAAAGCAAACCTGAGGGAGGGTGCACCCGGATTGTATAGGGGGCAGCTGGTCAGGGAGATGGGTCGGACATGCAGGGCACCGGGCAAGGAGGGCCTTTGAGTTCTTGTCAGGGGACGTCCATGAGAGGCCAAAGAGCACCAGTGGAGGATTTTGAAAGGTGAGCGGCAAAACAGTGTAGGTGGGGGAGAGATTAATCCAACAGTGGTGGACAGCCCGGAAGGGAAAGAGGGGAGGGAGGCAAGTCAGGGGCCGCAGCAGCCTAGGCTGGGCAGGATGGGACTGAGGGGTGCACCGCAGGCAGGGGAGAAAATGCCAAGTCCGAGCATTTCTGAGCAGTAGCATGGACTGGGAGTGTCGGTGGAAAGCTGGCTCCTGGGTCTGAGTGACTGGGTGAAGGCAGGGGCAGTCTCTGCAGAAGGGCAGGCAGGGCTGGGGGAGGCCAGGAAAACAGATGGGGAAGGGGTCACTTTTGAGGAAACCCAATATACAAAATAAATTAAAGGGAGCTGCCCTGGTTTGAAAGTAGAGGCACTATGAGCCCTAGCCCTCAGCCCCCCACCCTCACACTCAGATCTCGAGGACTTCCCAGAACAAGGCTGGAAAGTCCCTGTTAGAGCAGCTGAAGATCATGGACCAACCCTGGGGCAGAGATCAGGGTCAGAGATGAAGATCTGGGGTCACCAGCATGGAGCTGATAACTAAAGACACATATGGCATCACCCAGAAGGACAGAGGCGGTGCAGGGCTGAGCGGTGGGGAGGCTCCCGCTAAGCACCCACCCTGTTTTGCCATTTCAAATGCCAGCTCCACGGTGCCACAGACACCATCTCCTGCTCAGGACTGTCCTTCCTGCACTGCCTCTCCTGTATCAGATTCTGTCTGACTCCATCTCTCCCTCCCTTTCTATGTGCCCCTGGTCCAGCACACAGCCAGCCTCCTTGTCTTCTTTGCTTCTTTCTCTCTTCCTTCTCCCACCTGCACAGGCACCCGTCCATCTGGGCTCCTTGCTTTAGACTCTCTGAAGCTTCCCACCGCCACTGCCCCCTCATCAGGTCTTTTTGGGTGGCATTTCTGATTTATTTTTAGCCCCTGTGCTATCCTGAGGATGTGAACAATATTCCTGAGTCATGATTTTGCACGGAAACAGAGGCAGACACTCCCTGCACATCTCTGAAGATGGCTTATCAACCTCTCGCCAGGCCTACAGGGGAGAGAGCTTTATCTGACAGTTCCTCTTCTGGATGGACGTTTTTCCTTCTTCTCCTCCACCTCCAGCTCAGCCTCCAGCTGCTCCAACCCAGCGGGCTTCAGTCAGAGAAGCCAGCTGTTCTGGGGCAGCAACTTGAGCTAACTTACCCGTATCCACATCACATCCTCAGCAGAGTTGGCTTCAGGAAAAAGGGATTGTGCGAAAGCCTCTGGTGTTTCTGTTATTGAAAACAGAGAGCAAACCAGTTCAGAGAATGAGCAAGGTGAAACTGTTTCTAAAGAGTCCTGTATTGGGGGCCAGAGACTTGGGTTCTAGGCTTGTCACCTTAAACAAATCACTGAATTCCACTCAAGGAGTATTTTCCAAATCCCTCCTCTCTGCGAGGCTCCAGCCTGGGTTCTGGTTTCACTTGAGTAAAACAAGCTGATCCTAGTAAATCATAATAATGGCTGTATTTATTGAACAATTACCACATGCAATGCAACATACTAGACACTCAGAAACACTGACATTTTTCACAGGAAGAAACTGGATCTCAAATTGTTAATGAAGTGGTATGGCCAAGAAATCCGGATTTAAAATCATTTTGGTGTCATCAAATCCCAGGTATATCCACTCCAACTCTCTCTTTCTTCCTGGGCCTCTTCTAGCCCCAATCGTTACCTGCCCCCATTGCAGAAGAAAGAATAACCAAATCTTAGACAATTACCCACTTGCCAGGTGCCCCGGCTGGCAGGGTAAAATTCAGTGTTTGGGGAGCTCAGAATGATGAGGGATTTGGAGATCCTTCACGCTACGGAAAACAGTCACCAAGCAGGACCCCATGCTTGGCTAAGCCTGTGAAATATCTAGACATAAAACATCTCTGCCAGCCAATGCTCCCAAATGGAGAAAAAAACATTTTGTGTCTGTGGCAAGATTTCACCCAATTCTATCATCCAAATTTTTAAAAGTAAATTCATTTGAATTTTGTCATGTAGTATCCAATGCGACAGGATCATCAAGTGTAAGATTACAGTGTCAAACCGGAAAGACCCAGCTTCCTGGCCCCTTCTCCCATGTCCTCTCTCTCTCTGTCAATCTCTCTCCCTCCCTCCCTTTTCTCAACAGCAATGCGCTTCCCCCTCCCCTGGCCCCACACACATACCTTTGGCTGCAGCTTGAGAACCACTGCTTGCCTTTTAGATGCTTTGTGATTTCCCAATAGAAAATATAAAACGATGTGCAAATTACATGGCTGGGGTAAGAGGTGGGAAAGAGAAAGAAGTCCTGAATCAAACTCAGAGACTAGTTTCTTCCAGATGGACGTGAATAATCCCAAGGGTGTTGCTCAGAGAGGGGCCGGTCTGCTGACCATGATGCAAGTCCTGGGACCCGGCTGTTCCCTGTAGGATATTAGTCACTTCATAAAACCTCTAGGCCAGTTTCCCAGGCTGTGGGGCCCTATAGGCAATTTCCCATAGGGTCTCAGAGCCTGAGAACCTGTGCATCTTACTGCCTGGTGGTCGGTTCATGTTGCAGCAGATGTGATTTGCCTCTTGAAACATGACTTCAGCAAATGTCTCAAGACAAAGCTGTAAACTTTCTTAACTTCTCTCGCAGAGGGAGCTCCAGGACCCAACCCAGCATCCCTCCTTCTGGCCATGACACGTGTCGGAGCCTGGGGAAATACAGAGCTTTTGCCTTGAGGAAATGCCACACGTGTGTTTCCAAGAAGCCACACGCTGGGAGTTCCAGGGATGTTCTTGGGGCAGATGAACGGACAGCAAAGAGCTTGGAGCAGGAAGTTCGGTCCCCAAGGCACTTCCGAGAGGAAGCTGAGGAGGGAGAAGCGTGGACTCGTAGGTGGCCAGATTCAGAGGTCACTCAGCACGAGTCCCTCCCACAACACTCCTGTCTTGCAAGCCTTGGGTCTTAGCTGAAACTCCACCTTCCCCTCCCCAGCAACTGATTTCACCCTTGGATTCCTTTCTAGGTTTTAACATTCTTCAGCAGCTGACAATCACATGGCAGGGCAGGGTGGTAGGGATATCTCATCAATGATGGAGTAAGGAAACACACTTATTCATTATTCACTAAGTCTATCAGCCCTAAAGGTTTCTTATTTCCAAACAGGAAGGAATTCAGATTTAAAAGAGGGAGAGATCAGAATGGATGACGATTAGAAGAAGAGAGGAAGAGGGAGGCAATGCAGCCAAGACACCAGACCAGGAGGGGAAGAGCTCCAGGCATCAGATATCTGTGCTGGGCGGCATCGCCCGACCCACAGGTGAGCACAGGTCCAGCTGGGGTCTTATGAAGAATGTTCTTGTGTGGACGTGAACACAGTCAGCGATGCTGTAGAGGTGACTCCCTGGACACACTCCCTTCGGGTGGCCCTGATCACCAGCCACTTGAGTTCTTGTGTCTGTGTCTTGATCTATCCCCAAATGATAATAGCAGCTTAGGATAAAGCTAAAAGCATGCCTCCTAAAAAGCAAAACTGGTATTTTCCTTCTTGATGATGAAATACATAAATGTGTCACTTTGTAGTGAAAAGGTGATGCCTCCGTAATCAGAGAGGTCACCTTGAGGCCTGAGTATGTAGTTTGAGGCTGAGGGCACAGCCGTTTGTTCCAAAAGCTCCTTGCAGTTTTGCTGTTGCTTAGGTTAGGTGGTTGTTTTTACTTTTTTTTTTTTAAACTTGTTTTTGTAGTGGCATCAATGTTCACATTCTATGAACTCTGTCCCCTAGAACCCAGACATCTTTTCTAGAAACCAAGATATTGTTTGCTTCCTTGAATTGTCTTTAGAAGTGCAGAATTTAGGAATTAGGAAAGTGATGGGTGGATGTCACCCTGCCCCTTGTGATTGACTCCTGAGAGTTCGGAGGGTACCACGCCCACCATTGACTTAAGCCGCTGTCTTTTCTTGTGTTTGTGGCCATCATTGCCCCAGCTGTGCTAAGGAGACCTGTGTCAAAACTTACATCCCACATTCCTGCTTTCCACAACCTATTACCTGCAGTGTTAACCCTAAAATGCCCACATGTATTGAGCTGGTCTTCTGCATTTAAGGATTTATCCCCCGTCCCCCAGCACCTCTGTGTGTAGGGGTAGCGTTCATAAACCTGAGTTTGCCTTTGTTTTCTGCCCTTGTTAGACCCTGGTACATGCAACAGACTCAGATTTATATTCGTTGTAAAGTTGTAAAAATATTATGAAGTCATCAATTTTCCTTCCGTCTCCACATCGCTTAACATCTGATTCACAACTTAATGTATGTCCCAAAAAAAGAAAAGAAAAAAAGGTTGGGGGGGAGCAAAGACAGGCTCTTTATCACTTAAAAGCAATAAAACTAGACTGTTCTACATTATATAATAATTAATAAATAAAATAAATAAATGTATCACTTTAGTTGTGAGGCAGTAGTGTCAGCTAACATAAAACTAACATAAAAACCAAATAAGATTTAAAAAAAAAGGAGTCCAGAATCTGGGGCCTTATCCTTTATTCCAACCCCCAAAGTCAACTGTCTACCTGCAGTATGGGCTCCTCAAATCCCTGGGAGGGGCTCTAAACCCACCATTGACCTTTCTTGAAGGTCTACCCAAGAAGCTTGACTCTGAATCAAAGAGTAAAGGTCAGGGCGAAGGAGAAATCAAGAAGCTTGGGAGAAAACAAAAAGAACATGCCCAGGCCATCCAGGGATCTAACTTGCCAAGTTTTAAACCAACCTTCTGAGCTCTAACAAAATGCACACCCCAGGGTATTAGGACTGATTTACTCTGGCCTGAGGTGACTTCCTGTTTTTGAAGAGAAGAGGTGGGTAGCAACTCAGAGATGGGTTCTGGGCACCGGTCGGCTTTGACAAAACAGTCCTCGCTTGACTTCAGCATAACTGGGGCAGATAGGGCGAGATAGGATTACTCCCCAAACAAGAAGTTTCACAACCAGGCAGGCCGCGTGCCTAGGAGAGCGGGCAGCGGGGTTGGGGGGTGGGGTGGGGGGATGCCAATGCAGGGGCGGGGCTCCCGGGCCTGAGAGAGAGGTGACAGGCACCGGTGAACTTGCAGGGTGACTGGCTTCAGTTGTCTTTTTTCAGCAGGAAACCAAAAAACAGTGCTAAAAGAAGGTGACTGAGAATCAGGAAGACATACTAGCTGCTACTGCCTGTTGCCGGCCTTCTTGCACTTACTCCCCCCATTTAATCACCAGAAGGGAACTCACAGAGGGCAGCAGCTCATTGCAGGGACCATAGAACTAAGGTGCACAATCAGCTCAGTAGGGCAACAACCCACACTGAATTTTTTAAGTAAGACCAAGTTTCAAATACCTCAGTCAATAAAAGCCAGCAATTAGACCACGTGTCCTGTTTCAATAACGAGAGTGAGGTTGCCACCACCATGGGCAGCAATAAAGTTGTGAGCTTGGCTCTGACTTTGCATCAGGGGTGCCCCCGGCTCGGCAACCACTCTACATCAAACAGCTCACAGATCCCCTCCTCCACTCACCCTTTTCCCCCCCGCAGGTGTTCTTTTTCTGAATAGCAACAACTACCACACCCCAGCGTGTTGTTTGTTCACTGGTGTTCCTCCATTTTACCTTGAAACACAAGAAAGCATCCAATAAATAATGGCTAAAAGAGTGAGTCAATGTAGGAATCTATTATCTACGTTTTTCCAGCCAAGCTTCTTATGAATAAGGCCCACGATCAGAGTTTTACAATTCTGTATCTTCTCGGTGTCCTGTACCCAGTAGATGCTTTAATAAACACGCACTGACAGATCAATTCCAGTGGATCCTAGGTCTGGATGAAAAGAAAGGAATAAAGGACAGGATCCCAGAGGGCAGGAGGGCCCACACTCGGTGATGCTGGGTGTTACAGAGAATGCGCCTGTCACCAGGATCCCGACACTTAGGGTGCTCACTCAACACCCCTGTGCCTGGACCTTGGCTTGCCTCAGCCCAGAGAATGCTGCCTGGCAGTCACGTTCCTCCCCCACCAACTTCTCTTTTCCTCGGACGCTCTGTTTACAAGCTTTCCCCAACCTACACTCAGTGTGACCTGGTCTCCACGCGGTTTCTGACATTCCCACACCTAAGTCCACCAGACCCACTTGCTCTTGCACCCCATTTAGAGATATGAAACCCTTGGTTTTTACCTAGCAATCAATCTAACTGCAGCTGACTTTCTCCAGGGGTGAATCTCTCTGACTAGGAAAGCACTATAAATTTGAGGGTGGGATAGGAATAAGACTGGAGAAGGGTGGAAAAGACCCAGTCATCTTACTTTTTTGTTCTGTCTAACAATTGCAGGTGCTTTCATACAAACCTGTTGCCCTTAGCAACCATCCCAAGGACTGTAAGTTAAGGTTTCCATTTCCATCCCACAAACAGAGCATGAAGGCACAGAAAGGTCAACCCTCACAGTATGCTGCTGGGGCACAGTCCTTCTGGCCCGGCTCCCACACACAGACTCCCTGTGCAGTTCTGTGGGGTAGTCCAACCCAGCACAGGATCTGGGATCAGAGAGACCTGAGTCTAAATTATGCCACTGCTAACCTTGAAAAATGTATTTAAACTCGCTAAGCCTTGGTTTTTCTCATGTGAAAATTAAAAAAACGAAACATCTAGCTCACAGAGTGTGTGTGTTATTTAAATGAGATAGCAGCAGACACAAAATGCCTGGTCTGCATCTAGGCATTGCAGATATTTGATAGGGCAAAAGTCAGCATGTAAAACTGTTTTTTTTTTTCTAGAATGCCAGGCACAATACCAGGTTCAGCAAAGCTTGCAAAAATAATACTAGCCACCAAAACGAATGAGAAAAGGGAGGACAAAAAAGGAGAAGAAAAAGAATTAAGGTAATTAGTCTATTTGCACTAAAATAATAATTGTAACAGTAAGTAAGCTAGCTGCTATTTGGATGGCTGGAAAGTTGTTAACCACAACATAATGCAGTGATTGCTAATATATATATTACACAGAGGAAGGATGGAGGGACGCTTTCTGTATAGGAAGGCCTCACACAGTACCATCTGAAATGGGTCTTTATGGATAAGTTGGACTCTGACAAGGAAGGAAGAGAAATGTTAGGCAGAAGGACTCACACATCATAAGCCAACACCCTGCGTTTGGAGGGGGGCTGAAGCAGGGGCCGCCTAGGGAAGTGTGCGGGAAAGAGACTGGGAAGGTAAGAGGGGCCATACCATGAAGGGCTCGGTTTGCCTGACTGAGAAATGAGACTTTATCTCTGAGGCCTCAGAGGTTCCCAGTAGCAGGAGGTGGGGAGACATGACCATATTTGCTTTGGAAAGAACTATGGTGGCTGGGTAGGGGACACAGAGGAGGGGAAGTTGGAGCAAGGAGACGATTAGCAGTCACTCCAAATAGGAAAGTCACACATGGATAAATGGCACCATATGGCAAAAACAGTGAAATCTTCAACGTCAAAGGTGAGCCCCAGAATCACTAAAAACTAAATCCTAGGTTGGGTTCCCTGGCCTAGGCGATTCCTCCGCCTCTGTGCAAGAGTCACCATGAACCCTATCTCTGCCTTCCAGCTGCCGTCCAATCCAAGATAAAGGTGAGTAATCCAAAGGAAAGAGCCCCGAAAACCAAAGGGAATATTTATTTTAAGTAGTTTGACGTCTGTAGGAAGGGGGAAAAAAATCTACCAAGGCCTGAATGGGGAGCCATGACATTCACAGAGCCTAGCCATTGTGTAAAGAGAAAAGTTCCTCAAGATTATGTTTGTCCAAGAAATCAGACAGTTTACGGTCCCCAAGTCAAAACACTCAAGGATTGGAAGCCAGAGTTTCCTGGGCTGAACCCAGTTACTAACTAAAGTGAAAAGGAAAGAGTAATGAGATGCCATGAATTGTTGTTAAGCGGGTGGAGTTGGTTGCCAAGGCTTGAATCCAGCAGATGCAACAGCAGAAACTGGGGCTTGCCAGGCCCCCCGCCCCCGCCCGCTGCCCCACCGCCCACCCTGACCTGGCGCTGCTGGGGTCACTGTGACTGGACCTACTCACAGCTGCAAACACCCTCCCGCCATGGGACACGGGGGAGCTTGAGCCTGGCTGAGTCATGTAAGCCAGCCAGATCAGTGCCAGGCTCGCCCCAGAAATCAAAAGAGACCCCTCTCTTCTTGCTACTTGGGTGACAGTCTATACTGGTGTCCTGCAACAAATGACCACCAGAAGGAGCATGCCAGCCCTCCTTTGTCCTTATTGGAGGTGTTGTGAGAGGTGGGGGAGATTTTATCACCTATAGGAGAAGAGGATAAACCCAGGAAAACCGTTCATGTAAGGACAGTAGGGAGGAAAAGGGGAGGAGAGAGAAAGAATGACAGGGAGGCTGCCACGCCCTTCCAGAGCCTGCTCTCCTCCTTCCTCACCTAGCTCCTTCCACATCTACCCTAAATGAGCTCAGGAGCTGAACTTGGTTGCCCACAGAGTTCTTATCAGGACCACCCTGGCTGAAACACTGAGGGAAGAAATAGGGACAGCGATGAAGAAAGAGTGCTGCTTGACATTGCCATGTCCCATCTGTGCGTCAAGTCACTGAATGTGACCTGTTTGCAGTAAGTTAGAATCCAGCTGCCGCCTGAGAAAGAAATACACCAGGCCCCTCTGGGCAGGTTGTGTGTGTCTGGGGTTGCCCAGTGACCCTGGAGATTGCTCAGATGTCTCCCACGTGATCACACCCCGGTGGCCTTCAGAGAGGTATACACTCTGAATTAGGGCCACTGATGGAGTGGCAAGGTGTTTGGGGCTTGAAGATTTGCCAAAGTGTAAGTCTTAAAGATTGTATTTGTGGAGAGATCCTGAAATGTCTCCACATTTGGGAGATATTTGTGTTTGAGGGTTACAGAGCAAAGATTCTCTTATCAGCACAGCACGGGGTACAAGAATGGCAAGTTTAGCTCAGCAGTCAAAGTCATGAGAAATTCAGAGGGAGGTGTGAAATTTCTTCTTAAAACTGAAAAGCAAAAACATTTCACAAACAAACGAAAAAGGAAAAACCACAGCTAAAATCCGTAAACTATTAACTATATCTGTTTATTAACAACAACAAAAAAAAAAGCAGATGGAGAGCTTTTTCGTTAATAAGCTAAAAAGTTCGTGTTTTTGTTTTCTGTAAGCCTGTTTTAAAGAAAGCTCCATTTCTCATGACTGACCTTCTGAGAATAGAATGAGGTGTTTTCTGCAGTGGAGTCTGATTCTTTCATCACTACCGAAGAGCACTGAGTGATCACCCACACTGCATGGCAGAAAACAGAATGTACTGTTATACCGCATTGATGCCATCAAAGTGTTTGTGGAGTGTAAAATTAATATTCGGCTTATGAGGGTAGGCCGGGGGAGAGGGTGGGTGTTGTTTTGCATCCCACATCAGGACACCCTGTATTTAAACACACTTTGTGTCATCGAGGGTGCTTTCAGAACCCATGCACCCAGAACCAAGTTCGGCCGTCAGCCACATGGAAAGGCAGCACCCCATCCCTTCCCCTTAGCACTTCCTGACCCTTCTCCTTTTGCTTCCTACTCCTAGTTTTCCCCCTTCCGCAAAGAAAAGAGTTCTAAACCAGATCACAGTAAGACCTTAGGGATGAAAGTAGCCATCCCCTTCTGAAGGTGTTTGCATTCTACAGAATGGAAGGATTCTGGCCAGGGCTGCAGCAGGTAGTGGTGAGCATGAAGCCAGGAAGGCTAAGATCAAAATCGGGGACCCTGCGGGAGATTGGAGGGGACTTCTGAGTGTACCTCACATTCCATCAGATAGGCCCTAATCATTTTGCCAAAGGGAGGGATTTGAGGGGATCATAGCAAAGGTTCTCTTATCAGGACAGCCCCAGGAAGCCCTGCAAAGGTGAGGAGAGACAGCCAATGAAGGATGAAGCTGTGTGAATTTTAGCTTCAGCCTCAGGTTCTGCTCAGCAAAAGTGGAAGATCTGGTCATTTATAGACTCCTGGACTTAAATCAAAAGAGCCAGAACCTCGACATAGCGACTCCAGGAGCTAGGTGACACTGAAGTCACCTTACCCCTCCATATCCTGTAAAACAGGGATGATCACAAGAGAAAGTTGTGGAGCTGAAATGGGCTGATGCACTCGAAGGCTTTTTCACTCAGAGACGGTCAGAAGACATTTGCCAGATGATTTCCAGATGTGTCAGAATGGGGAGCACTCTCTTTTGAGCAGGATAGCTCTCTCCCACACTTAATGTATGCCTGAGAGGAGAGAGAGAGACAAAGAATGATCAGACTGTACACCATTTGTGGACAAAGGGTCATCATAGGGCTTTGACAATTCTCCAAGAGCACTGGTTCCACATAGAAGCTGGCTTCACAGGCTGGCATTGGGATTAGGCCAGAGGTCAGATAGTAGGTGTGGCAAGGCCCCAGGTGGGCTAAGGCTGGCCATGGAGACAGGTGGGCTTTCCTGTTGAATGCTTCCAGGGAAGTCATGCCGTCTGGAACCTCAGATTTGGCAAATCAGCAAAGGAAAATTGGTCGCAATTATTTTCCAGGGCTTCCATGCTCTCTGATGTGTTAGATCCTTGTTAGCATTAACCAGAGTTAAACATTTGTTTTATTCTGTGGATGGAGAGACAGGTTTTAGAACACCTTCCCTGACAAGGTTAAGGTTGCAGGTTCTGAAAATTATCTCCGGTCTCCAAAGTTTTTGTATTTCAGTGTCTTTGGTGCTTTTTTGTTTTGTTCTATTTTGAAGTAACTTTATAGTTTTTGTTTGTTGTTTTTTTTTTTTAAGTACAGATATGTTGAGCACAGAAAAAAAAAAAAAAAAAAACATTGCAATAACCTTGACTTCTGAAAAGTCCTCTCATTCTTCCAGGGGAGGAATTTTGTTTTTCAGGAACTGTTTTTTCATAAAGACAAAAGTCTTAGCAGTTTGGATTTCGGCCTTTGAGTTTTTCTTTTCATCATGTGTAATTTCAAATTGTACTGAGGTCCTTCCTCCTGGAACCTAGCGAATACAGCTCAATGGCGCCCCCTGAAGGCCAACGTAGAGGGGTACAGTAAAAGAGGATAAAATGAGGAACCTCCAGCCCTCCGTATCCGACCAGCCAAGACAAACCACCATCTAGGCCCAAAGGCAGGTTAGCGTGTGGCAAAACCCAATAGCTGCATTCAAAACCCAGTTCTGACAACAACAAGCTATTTCTGCATGTTCCCACATAGTTGAGAAGAGATTGAGCTTTGGCATAAAACAGGTCAAAGGCCTTGGATTGAATTCCAGCACAGACAAGTTACTTAATCTCTCTAACTCACTTTCTCTTTCTGTATAATGTAGAATACAAAGTGATTTTTTTAATTGCTTACTATGTGCAGGCTTTGTCCTAAGTGTTTAGCATGTGTTAGCTCATTTAGTTCTTGCTAAAACCCTCTAGTTTGTGTGCTATTAGTACCCACTTTGTACAAATAAGAAAACTAGGGCCTGGAGTGAGTCAGAAGCCTTCACAGCTGCTAACTGAAAAAAACAGGGCTGAACGCATGTGGTGCAGTCCGGAGCCTGGACTCACCGCCACATGTCACACTGATGCCCATACTTACCAGGTGGGACCACCGTGAGGACTAGAAAGAGAAATGTCAACCACATAGCCCTGGACTGGCACAGAATAAATGCCCAACAAATAATAGCCATAATTATTCCCATTCTTGGTCGACCACCTTAATAAAAGCTACCATAGAGGCAGGGAATCAGTAAGAAGAGATGACTAAGAGGATGCTTACTGCATGTAGGAAAATCAGTTAATGCTCGTGTGACTGGCTTATTTCCCTTTGCATACTGTCCTTCAGGTCCATCCATGTTGTCACATATGGCACGATTTTCATTTTTTTTTAAGGCCGAGTAATATTCCACTGTCTGTATCTACCCATTTTCTTTATTCGCCCATTGATGAACATTTAGGTTGTTTCCACATCTTAGCTCATCTTGACAGTGCTACAATGAACATGAGCATGTTAATATTTCTCCAAGATCATGATTTCAATTCTTTTGGATAAATACCTAAAAGTGGAATGGCTGGATCCTATATTAGTTCTGTTTTCCTCTTTTTGAGGAACCTCCCTACTGTTTTCCATAGCGGCTATACCATTTTACATTCCCACCATCTGCGCCAGAGTTCGAATTTCTCCACATCCTCACCAACACTTTTTATCTTTTGTTCTTTTGATAACAGCCATCCTCACTATTGTAAGGTGATATCTCATTATGGGGAAAAATTATATGAAAAGGAAGCATCAAATTAATAGGCAAGAAAACCAGTACATAGTATTTGGACAGTTGGCATATTACTTAAAAATTATGTATGAATCCAAAAAATTAATTAACTCTTACTATATTAGTATTCTGATTGTTGACATTAACCTGTAACAATAGGAGAAAAAGTTAGTTCAGGAATCACTTCCCAATTACATCTGTTACAAATGCAAGGAGAAACAAATACAAGGAGAAACTCCTTTGCATACAATATTTTAAAGAAAAGGACAGGTGAGTTTTGGGATGCGAGGAGAGGGGCAAGAAACTGTCTTCTGTGTGGAGAGGGATCTTGAAACATATCTTCCAATGGGAGGCCAAATGCAGGGGGGCATTGCTTTCAAGAAACTAAAGGTCCTGAGTGCCTCCCAGGATAGCAGTTAATGAGCATGAGCTGGGTTTTCAAGAAGTCTGAATCTATTCAACTACAAAGTAGCTTCCTTCAACTGTAGCAGCCTTGAGAACTTGTGTTCTGCACCTACAGAGACCCCTTCTGCCCAAATACTGGTGGTGCAATGCAGCCAACCGCTGCATCTCCCAAAAGATGCCGGGAAAGAGGCAGACACCCAAACCCACCCTGGGCCTGGGCAGACCCCTCTAGCCTCTGACAAGTCCAGGCACTGCTCAGACCTTCACATGCACACCTAGGGCCCCTTCATTATTCAGCAAGCTCTTCCCAGGCTCCCATCTGGCATCAGGCATGGTGCTGGGAGCTGCTGGGCACACGGATGAGCAGGTGGTGACCCTTTTCCATCAGCTACCCAGAGCCAGCTGCAGAACAGCGCCGAGAGCACATGCCTATAATGTGGGGCAGAGGGTCACACCGAGGACTCTCCCAGAGGGGAGTTATTTGAGCTGCTCTGGAGCAATGCAGACAAGAGGGTACAGAGCACAGAGGCCTGGGGTGGGGACTCCCAGGGACCAGGAGAGGCATGAGGTGGGAAGTGGGGAGCCAGGCTAGAAAGGGCCTTGTGAGTCCTCTGGGGGAGTTGCAGCTTGTCCTATTAGCCATGTGCAGGCTCTTTGGTTTTCAGAGAATGAGGATCATTCACAAGGGTGACTGGAGCTCCTGCGGGATGTGCACACCTGGCCTGAGGTTGAGATGACACAGAAAGAGTCACAGGGCCGGGGTCTCCCGCAGAGCTAGTCTTCTGTTTGAGTGTCATTTATCACCTCTTTCCAGAGGACAAGATGATGGCTTTATGACCAAAGGGGCTGGCTATGGAGGCCTCTCTTAATTTCTAATTGAGAGCCCATAATCACCACAAAGAAAAGCCTCTACCACCCAGGACTTCCGGGGAGACTAGAATCCGACTCAGAGGTGTTTTGTAACAAAACAGGGGTGGAGAAGATTAAAAAAAATCAAAAAAACAAGAAGGTTAGGAAAAAAGGCATTACTAAATTCTCCTTCATAGTACATAAGGTTTTTAAGGTAGGTAAATCACATCAGCCCAGCCACACTCAGTGACCTTTGTGATGGAAGAGGTGACCACTGGGCCAGTAAAGAAGTCACAAGGGTCCCAGGCCTGACCTTTAGCATTTCTGTGATTTTTAAATATCCATAAAACAAAGGTCTGTATGAGACCCAATGGAATCAGAAGCCCAAGTCCCAGCTCAAGTGGGGCCTGGCCACAGCAGGCTCTGGCAAGTCTCTGGCCCTGCAATAAGCCCTGGGGGCTTCCCCGGGCTCTGGGCCTTGCCTCCTATGCTCTGGGCAGCCTGGGTCCACGGGAGAGGAGTGAAAGTCTATTTGGCAAAAAGAACCAAACAGAGGGTTGCTCTGCTTGTCGAGAAAGCAGCACCATTGTCCTGAAAACCTCTACCTCCAGATCCCCGGGGATAACCTGAAGCCTGGAACATCACTGATGTCAGCCTCGTGAACACCCTGTCTTCTCCCACAAGCTCAGTGAAGGAAAGTAGATGGCCTCAAAAGCTCCTGTTACCATGCAGGTGCTCCAAGTCAGGTCACAGGCCGCCTCCCCGGGTCCCCATCCCTGGCTTCGTCATAATCCTGGCTGCCCAGTGACAGCTCTCTTTCTGGGAAGGAGCAGAAAATGGGGCTCCCTGATGTCCTGAAGGGGTTTAGCCTCAAAGCTTCTTGCCAGGCTGGGAACAGATAGAGTGGCCACTTATTAGGAGTTAAGAGGTCAGTATAGGTGCAGAACAGTGTTTTTAAAAGTGTGTCAGGAGCCAAGTAGACACATGGAAAACACAATTCCTGATAGTCTCACTTTTTTTCATGAAATGGGAATTAAAAGATTGTTAGAACGGGGACTGAAATAGTAAAAGAAAGCTTGAAGTGAGGGGGTAGAGGTGTGAACTAGGTAGTAAGGGTCATGGAAGAAAAAGCTGACCTAGAACAAGTGAAAGAGTTGGTGAGAAGCTCTGAATTCTAGCTGAGTTAAAAGACGATGAATTTTAGTTGTAAAGTTGTAGTTTTTAAAAAACTACAGTTTTTTTTTTTTAAGTCAGCATGGTTGTGTGATTTGTTTTATCCCTATTCTGCTTCTCAAGGTGTAAGATCAAAAGCAATGACTTGTAGCATTGAGCCAGGCTTGGGAATTCATTGGATGTGTGTGAAATTTATTCAGTTGACAAATATTTATTGTTTTTGCAATGCACTACTCTGAATATGAAGGGTGGAAAAAAGCAATACAAACTCTGCCCTTATAATCCATAGAATCTAGTGAAGAATGGTCATGACCCAAGACAGCCAAGGGTAATGTTGATGGAGTGTGGTCCAGATGATCAGCCATAGGGGGGAAAAGAAGGAAGTGGGGAGACCAGGGGATCAGAGGTACCTGTGAGATCAAAGATCAGTCTTACTCATAAGAAAACTAACAGAGTAAGAGACCAGTCTAAGACTAGAACATCAACTTTGCTATGGAAAGCAGTGATGCCAAGATCTAGGTCAGGACTCTGGGGCTGGAAAGGAGAGGAGCGGAGATGCAGATCATTGGAGCGGGAGGTCAAGACTGGGAAGCCAGGCTGGTAGGACAGGCCATGTGCTGCGATCTAAAACAGGAGTTAAGGTAGAGAAGAAGTTTTAAGACAGGTCCAAACTCTCAACTAATGAGGAAACACAACCTGAAATTTGGTTCACTGGGGAATATGGGCCACAATGGAAGATGAACTTTTATTAAAAAAAAAAAAAAAAAGGTAGAACATCTGGTGGGAGTTCTGGGTACTGAGAAAATATTCCACTCCAGGATCCAGTGTATGTAGATCAGAAAATGAGTAGCCTCCAGCGAGAAAGTGCATTTCCATTAAAACATTTGAGTGGAGAGAGTGGTATATTACACAGGGCTTTCCAGAGAAACAGACCAATAGGACAGAGAGACAGAGAGAGAGAGAGCATTACTCTAGCCTCACACTGCTAATAAAGACATATCCGAGACTGGGTAATTTATAAAGAAAAAGAGGTTTAATGGACTCACAGATCCGCATGGCTGTTGGGGGCCTCAAAATCATGGTGGAAGGCGAAGGAGGAACAAAGGCATATCTTCCATGGTGGCAGGCAAGAGGATGTGTACGGGGAAACTGCCTTTTGTAAAACCATCAGATCTCATGATACTAATTCACTATCACGAGAACAGCACGGGAAAAGCCTGCCCCCATTATTCAATTGTCTCTGCTTGGTCCCTCCCATGACACGTGGGGATTATGGGAACTACAATTCAAGATGAGATTTGGATGGGGACACAGCCAAACTACATCACAGAGGGAGATTAATTTTAAGAAATTGTATCCTGTGATTGTGGGGGCTGGCCTGCCGGCTGGAGACCTAAGAGAGATATAGAGTTGTTGCAATTTGAGTCTGAAGGCAGTATGGAGACAGCAGTTCTTCTTACTCCGGGACTGCAGTCTTTTTTCTTGAGGCCAGGCTTTCTGCTGGTTGCACAAGGCCTCCCCAAACACATCATGAAGGGTTATCTGCTTTACTCAAACTCTACTGATTTAAATGTCAATCACATCTAAAAAATTCCTTCACAGCAACATCTGGACTACAGTTTGACCAACACCCATGCGTTACGGCCTGACTGAGTTAACAAACAAAATTCACCATCACAAGTGGTCTTCGTAATGGTGGAGGATGACGAAAAGCTTGACCGTAGATTCCTAAAACTGCAATGGCAACAGTTGGGGAAGAGCAAAAAGAGGGAGCGGAGCCACAGGTGAAGCAGGGAGAAGCAAGAGGTTAAGAGGACAATAGAGAAAGGGAAATCGGAGGTGGGTGGGGAGAAGGGGTTCCCTGTGTGCAGTGACCACATGTTGGTGGCATAAGCAGTATGGCTGAATATAGCCAACTGCAAATAACTGACCTTTGGTACAAGGTATTTTGGTGCCCAACCTGAGCCAGGATTTAAGACAGAATTTGGACTGGCCTTTAGGAAACAAAAGGGCTGCCATGGCTCCCCCTGTGATTCCCCGCCTTCTCCACATCCTCTGTCTCCTGGAGTCTATTCCAGATGCTCCATCTCCCTGTTGGGAGCAGTGGTGAGAGGCTAGGCTGGAGCTCAGCAAGTTAGGTGCTGAGGGCATGAAATACAGGAAAAACTCACTCTCAGTGCTGTGCAAGGTCAGGTCACACTACCTGCTGCCCTGAAAAATGGCCATGCTAGGTGTGTCAGGGCTCCCTGCTGCACAGAGAAGAAAACAAACATGCCACCCAATCTTGGAACTCACAGGCTAATGCTGACAATATTTTAGTAACAGGCATAAAAGACAACTGAACAGTTATAGGTTGGTTTGTTTGTTTTTATCCAAGATGGCAGATTAGAGGCTTTTAGCATACCTCAGCCACTTGGAAACAGAAAAATAGAACATAAAGATTAACTCTGTGAGCTTCAATTCAAAAAGGAAAATGAGAATCTACCAGAATCATGGACACCCCAGATCTCAAAGAGGAGAATGACAGCAAACAGCCCCTGTGACGGCATCCGGCTGATAAAAGTGAGTGAAGCCCCATAAGTGAGAGGCAGAAAGCCTTCGTCTGTGGCTCATCTTTCCCCTGGGGATCTGAACAACCCAGGCCAAGGGATTGCACTTTGCTTCTCCTAAGCCCTGGAGCTAATTTGGGGAGATACATGGAGGTCCAGCGAGGTAAAGACACCAAGAAAAGCTGTAGACATTTTCTTAGACCTGGGACTGAGAGCAGGACACCATTTTTAATCTGGGTGCATACTAAGTCAGCCATTTCTTGGCAACCCAGCAGTCTGGCTGTGCAGGCATTGTAGTCTCAGGCCAGAGACTGGAGCACCTGCTCTGGAGCAGAGTAGGAGCCTCCACAGCCAGAACTGTGGAAGGCACCTCAGCAGTAGGTGCTGGAATTGTGCTCTCCCTCTTCACAAGCCTGGGGTGGGAGGAGAGCTACAGCTGCAGTTTCTCCTGGATGGTGAGACTTGTAGTCACAGCCAGCTTGGAGACCTGAAACTGATCTGTGTGTGCCATTGCTGGGTCCCCTACCCTGCTCTCCTGAGATCATAGTGCAGTCGGGCCCTTTCTACTCCATGCCCAGACAGATCTCCAGGCATTAGGAGCACTCATTCTCTTGGTTCAGCAGCCTGAGCTGCTCCACCATTCCTGGACATAAGATCTTAGTGCTATGGGGCTCTTTGCTCCTTGCCCAGGCAGGTCTCCAGATTTTCAGAGTACCTGCTAGCTTGATTCGGCAGCCTAAGTTGCCCCGCCCTTACTAGACATAGATTGTGGTAAAGTAAGACTCTGCTCCATGCCCAGGCAGACCTCCAGGCATTCAGAGCAACTTTTCTCCTGGTTCAGCAGTCTGAGCTGCCCTACCCTTCCTATGCAGAGATCCAGGTGCAAGGGAACCCTCTCTGCTATATGCCCAGGAAAATCTCCAGGCATTCAGAGCACCTGCTTGCTTGGTCCAGCAGCCTGAGATGCCCCACCTCTCCTGTTCAGAGATTTTGTTTCAGGGGTACTCTCTCTGCTTCAGACCCAGGCAGTTTCAGGCATTTGGAGTAGTGCTCACCTGGATCAACACCCTAACTAGTCCTATCCTTCCTGTGCAGAGATCCTGGTGCAAGGAGGCCCTCTTTGCTTCGTGTCCAGGCAGATCTCCAGGCATCTGGAGCTCTCACTCTCCTGGATTAGGAGCTTAGGCTACCACACACCCCCATCCCTAAGCAGAGAACTTGGAGCCAAGGAGGTTTTCCAGCTCCATGACTAGACACACCTCTGGGTGCCTGGTGGCTACCCACTGGATTATCCCTTGGCACTGGTGCTTATGCCTGCCATTAGGGGAACTGCAGGAGGACCTGCCTGGTCCAGCCCTACACTTTGTGGCTCCCGCCCCTTCAAGGCTGAGCAGGGAGCTCAGACCACTGGACATTCCACAAATCAGCCCATTGCCTGAGGCAACAGAGAGCTTCTCCCAGTAAACAAGGATCAATATATACCCAACCACATTGCCCGCAGGTGGTTCATACCTATAAATGCCATCTATAGGCTTGTAGGATGAGCTGCACAGCCCAATATAAAACCTGCTGGAAGGAGTGCATATGACTATAGAAACAAAGTCAAAAGACTCTACCCAGAATTCTCTACAGTCATGCCTCCTAGGAATTGAGGGAAAGAGAAAGGGAAAGAAAAAAAAAGAAAAATTGTATCAGTATAGGGTGAGAAAGAAAAAGAAAAATCCTACCTGCACGAAAATAATTACAAAAATTAGAAGTGCCAGCATCTCCAAATGAGAGAAAACCAGTGCAAGAATTCTGGCCCCATGAAAAATCTGAATGTAGTGACCACATCAAAGGATTGCACTACCTCTCCAGCAATGGTCCCTAACCAAAATGGAAACTCAGAAATACCAGATAAAGAATTCAAAGCATAGATTGCAGGAAGCTCATTGATATCCAAGACAAGGTTGTAAATCAACACAAAGAAATTTCTAAAACAATTCAGGAAATAAGAGATAAAATCTTAAAAAGAAATCAATCAGAGCTTCTAAAACTAAAAACACTTGGATTTCAAAATACAACTGAAAGCTTTATCAATAGGCTGGACCAAGCAGAAGAAAATTTCAGAGCTTGAAGACTGGTCTTTTGAACTAACTGAATCTGACAAAAATAAAGAAAAAATATTTTTAGAAGGTGAGTAAAGCCTTTGAGAAGTATGGGATTATGTAAAGCAACCAAATATACAAATTATTGGCATTTCTGAGAGAGAAGGAGAAAAAGCAAACGACCTGAAAAATATATTTGAGGGAAAAATTCAAAAAATTTCCCTAATCTTGCTAGAGAGGTACACATCCAGATATAAGAACCCTAGGTACCTGTAAGATACTATATAAAATGAACATCACCAAGGCATGTAGAACAGAACATCACCAAGAACAGTCACCAGACTGTCCAAGATCAATACTAAAGAAAAAATCTTAAAGACAGTAGAGAAAAAGAGCAGATCATGTACAAAGGGAACCCCATCAGGCTAACAGTGGACTTCTCAGCAGAAATTTTACAAACCAGGAGAGATTGAGGGCCTATTTTCAGCATTCTTAAAGAAAAGAAATTCCAACCAAGAATTCATATCCCACCAAACTAAGCTTCATAAGTGAAGGAGAAATAAAATCTTTTCCAGAAAAGCAAATGCTGAGGGAATTTGATACCACTAGATCAGCGTTACAAGAGATCCTTAAGGGAGTTCTAAACACAGAAACAAAAGAATGATACCTGCTACCACAAAACACAATTAAGTACATAGCCTGCAGACCCTATAAAGCAAAACACAATAGAAACTACAAAGCAAACAGCTGACAACTTCACAATAGGATCAAAACAGCAAATATCAATATTAACCATGAATGTAAATGGTCTAAACTCCCCACTTAAAAGCCACAGATGTCTTCAAGAGACCAATCTTATACATAATGACACCCATAGGCTCAAAGTAAAGGGCTGGAGAAAGATCTACTATGCAAATGGAAAAAAAAAAAAGCAGAAGTCATCACTGTTATGTCAAATAAAATTCAACCAGAAGACTTAACTATTCCAAATATATATACAGCCAACATTGGCACCTCTAGTCCATAAAACAAATACTTCTAGACCTACAAAAAGACTTAGCCATGCAATAACAGTGGGGGACTGCGAGACCCCTACTGACAGTATCAGACAGATCATTGAGGCAAAAAACTCACAAACAAATTCTGGACTTAAACTCGACACTTGACCAGTTGGACCTAATAGACATCTATAGAATACTCCAGCTATCAACCACAGAACTAAGATTGACCACCACTGAAATAATACCAACCATGCTCTCATACCACAGTGGAATGAAAATAGAAATCAATACCAAGAAGATCTCTCAAAACCATATAATTACATGGAAATTAAACAAATTGTGCCTGAATGACTTTTGGGTAAACTATGAAATCAAGGCAGAAATCAAAAAAATCTTTGAAATAAATGAAAACGGAGACACAACATATTAAAATCTCTGAGATACAGCAAAAATAGTGTTGAAAGGAAAGTTTATAGTGCTAAATGCCTACTTCAAAAAGTCAAAAAGTTCTCAAATTAATGATCTAACATAACACCTAGAGGAACTAGAAGAACAAGAAAGACTAATCTCAAAGCTAGCAAAGGAGAAGAAAATAAATAAATCCAAGTAGAACTGAATGAAATTGAGACCGAAAAATCCGTACAAAGAATCAACAAAACCCAAAGTTGGTTTTTTGAAAGGATAAACAAAATCACTAGAATGGTGGCTAGAATAATAAGGAAAAAGAGAGAGAAGATCCAAATAAGAACAATCAGATATGACAAAAGTGACATTAAACCAATCCCACAGACATACAAAAGATCCTCAGAAACTATTATGAATGCCTCTATGCACACAAACTAGAAAATCCAGAGGAAAATGATACATTTCTGGGAGCACACAATCTCCCATGATTGATCAGGAACAAATTGAAGCACTGAACAGACTAATATTGAATTCCAAAATTAAATCAATAATTTTAAAAACTTACCAACCAAAAAAAGTGCCCCAGATCAGATGGATTCACAGCCAAATTCTACCAGACATACAAAGAAGAGCTGTTATCAATTCTACTGAAACTATTTCAAAAAATCAAGAAAGAGAGACTCCTCCGTAACTCATTTTATGAATCTCATAACCCCCTGAGACAAAAACCTGGCAAAGACAGAATGTGAAAAGAGAACTATAGGCCAATATCCCTCATGACCGTACAGGCAAGTATCCTCAACAAAATACTGGTGAACCAAATTCAACAGCACATCAAAAAGTTAATTCACCATGACCAAGTAGGCTTCATTTGCAGATGCAAGGTTGGTTCAACATATGCAAATCAATAAATGTGATCCACAACATAAATAGAATTAAAAACAAAAAACATATGGTCATCTCAATAGACAAAGAAAAAGCTTTCAATGAAATTAAACACTTCTTCATGATAAAAACCATCAAGAAATTAGGCATTGAAGGAACATAGCTCAAAATAATAAGAGCCATCTATGACAAACCCATACCCAACATTATACTGAATGGGCAAAATCTGGAAGCATTCCCCTTGAGAACTGGAATAAGACAAGGTTGCCCACTCTCACCACTTCTATTCAATAAAGTACTGGAAGTGCTAGCCAGAGCAATCAGAAAAGAGGAAGAAATAAAAAGCATCCACATAGGAAAAGAAGAAGTCAAACTCTCTCTTTTCATGAATAATCTGATTCTATACCTTGAAAAACCTAAAAACTCCACTTAAAGGGTCCTGGATCTCATAAATGGCTTCAGCAAAGTTTCAGGATACAAAGTCAATTCATAAAAATCGGTAGCATTTCTATACACCAAAAACATTCAATCTAGGAGCCAAATCTAGAATACAACCCCATTTACAATAGCCACAAAAAAGTACCTAAGATTATATCTAACCAAGGAAGTAAAAGATCTCTACAAGGAGAAACACAAAACACTGCTAAAAGAAATCACAGATAACACAAACAAATTGAAAAATATTTTATGTTCATTCACTGGAAGAATCAATATCATGAATATCATCATACTGCCCACCACCAATGTCATTCTTTACAGTATTGGAAATAACTATTCTAAAATTCATATGGAAACAAAAAAGAGCCTGAGTGGCCAAAGCAATCCTAAGCAAAAAGAACAAAGTTGGAGGCATCACATTACCCAACTTCAAACTATATTATAAGGCTACAGTAACCAAAACAGCCTGGTACTGGTACAAACATAGACATGTAGATCAATGGAACAGAGTAAAGAACCTAGAAATAAAGTCACACACCTACAGCCATCTAATCTTGGACAAAGTTGACAAAAATAAGCAATGGGGAAAGGATGCCCAATTCAATAAATGGTGCCAGGATAGCTGGCTAGTCATATACAAAGGAATGAAACTGTACCCCTACTTTTCACCATATACCAAAATTAACTCAAGATAGATTAAAGATTTAAATGTAAGATGTCAAACTATAAGAATCCTAGAAGAAAACCTAGGAAACATCATTCTGGACATGAGCCTTGGGAAATAATTTATGCCTGTCCTCAAAAGCAATTGCAACAAAAACAAAAATTGACAAGTGGTACCTAAATAAACTAAAGATCTTCTGCACAACAAAAGAAACTATCAACTTCTGCACAACAAAAGAAACTACAGACAACCTACAGATCAGCAGAAAATCTTGCAAACTATGCATCCAATAAAGGTCTAATATCCAGAATCTAGAAGGAACTTTTTAACAATCGAACAAGCAAACACCAAATAACCCCATTAAAAAATGGCCAAAAGACATGAACAGACACTTCTCAAAAGAAGATATGCAAGAGGACAGCAAATATACAAAAAAATACTCATCACGAATCATCAGAGAAATGCAAATTAAAACTACAATGAGATACCATCTCACACCAGTCACAATGACTATTAAAAAGTCAAAAGCAACAGATGTTGGTGGGGCTGTGGAGAAAAGGAACACTCATACACTGCTGGTGGGAATGTAAGTTACTTCAGCCACTTTGCAAAGCAGTTTAGATATTTCTCAAAGAACTTAAAACAGAACTACTATTTGACCCAGCAATCCCATTATTGGGTATATACCCCCACCAAAAAAAACAACAAATTATTCTACCAGAAAGACACATGCACTCATATGTTCATTACAGCGCTATTCACAATAGCAAAGTCATGGAATCAACCTAGGTGCCCATCAACAGTAGATTGGACAAAGAAAATGTATATATACACCATGGAATACTACATACCCATGAAAAAGAATAAAATCATGTCCTTTGCAGCAATGGGGATCCAGCTGAAGGCCATTATCCTAAGCAAATTATCACAGGAACAGAAAATCAAATACCACATGTTTTCACTTACAAGTGGGAGCTAAACTTTGGGTACTTATGGACATAAAGATGGCAACAATAGACACTGGGGGCTGCCAGAGAAGGGAAGGAGGGAGAGGTCAAGGGTTGAAAAACTCACTGTTGGGTAACATGCTTACTACCTGGGTGACAGAATCATTTGTACTCCAACCTCAGCATCACCCAATATGTCCAGGCAACAAACCTGCACGTGTACCCCCCGAATCTAAAAATAAAAGTTGAAAAAAAGACCGTTGTACAAATTTTAAAACAACAAATAGAATTAGCATCATACAAACATATTCTGCTTGTGCCAGGAGCCGAGTTCAGAATCCAGTACATTCCTGCTCAGTTTTCACTGTCCAAAAATGATCTGCATTGTGAGAGCCTGAACTCCCATCAGCTTGGGCTCTAGAATCTACACTGTCACCAAACTCAAGCATTTATTGACTGCCTACCATGTGCCAAACATCGTAATACATCTTGGGTCCATCGTTTCTGGGTTTTCTGTTTAGCAAATCGGCCCTGGGGCAGCCTACTGGCCCTCCTCTATAGGCCTAGACTACAGAAAAGCGACTGCTTACCTCCGACCACACCAGGAGGCACCGCCCAGTGGCCAGGCACTCTGACTGCAATGTCCAATCCCTCCACCACTCAACCACAGGGGAAAGTGTGTCATTCTCAGAGTCCTCTAGGCCACATCTAAGCTGCTGCGCTTTCCTTTCCCTCTCTCCCCACCTGTTTCCATGAATTAGAAGCCACTGAAATGTAAAAGCAAATAAATAACAAAGCTTAGCAGGGACTAAGAAGCTGAGAGGGCCACTGAATGTCCCAGCACTCCGCCTTCCTGCCCATCTGAGAGGCCGCAGGCAGCCAGGGAATCTCACTCCTGGGGCGCCAAAAGCAACAGGAGCCACTGACCAGAATTCCGTTTGCTTTTTCCCCTCCTCTTCTCTCTGGATGATTTTTCCATTCCCTCCTTGCCAGGGCTGCTCTGGAGGACCCAAGAGAAGCCAGGCCAGCTTGCTAACTCAGGAAAATGGCACATGTGGGCCATTTTCCACATGCTTCATGTGGGCTTAAGAAAGGCCAGCCGGGGTTCTCTTGTAAGAAGTCTGATTTTTTTAAGGGAAGTGATAAAAAGAGACACAGATTAGTCCCTGCACCCCCTCCCATGTTCCCTTCTTGGCCCCTAGCACTGACCACTGGACAGGGAGATTCTGTAAGCCTCCTTTTCTTCCCATTGTCTTACAAAGGATGAATCCCAAGGAGGCAAAGATGGGTCCCAGCAGTCCATGCAGAAGGGAGGCTTCTGCAGATCGCACTTAATTTAATTATTGTCAAAAGCCTAGCAGGAAAAACCAAGGAAATAAAACCTGAATTACTGGATTTTGGTTTTAATTACTGTGGTGAATATGTCTCTTCTATTTGTCATATTTTCACTTTGTTTGATCTCTGTGTTGACACAGTCACAGTCTGGAATGAGGGGATTCTCAACAAGCTTCCCATTCTCTCAAAATGCCCACTTAAAAGGAAGTCCAGAACTCCCTTAGGACTTGCTTACCTCCTCAGTACTCTTGGCTTTCACATCCTCCTTTTCATTTCTTCATCCTTCAATTTTATGACATGCATTTAGGAGAAAACTATGAGTACTTTTGATCTGATTTCCACACAATGGAGATGTTTTCTGAGTTTCATCCTGGGCTTTCTGCTTTAACCCCTTCAATGGCTCCCTGCCCTAGAGCAGTGGCTGGACCCCTAAGCGCTGCACACAGAGGCCTTATGCCATTTCTCTAGCACACGCAGGCGAGCTACTTTCCCTTCCTGGCCTATACCATGCTGTCATCCAGCTTTGGCTGGAATACCTGGCCCACCATGTTCACCTGAAAAATCTTGATTCGCCCTTTAAACTCTGCCCAAATGTCCTGTGAAACTGTCACCAGGAAGGGTTTGATGTGTCTCTAACTCTCATGACGCTTTTTACTGTACATTGTGATTCTGTTTGTTCAGTCCTTCCCACTGCATGGAGCTCTTTCTGGGCAAGATTCATACAAGTTCATCTGCGAATGCTCAGAATGTAGAAATAGCATTGCTTGGCTGTGATAGGCACTCACACTCCTTCTTGTTAAATAAATAGACGAATGGATGGAGAGAGAGAGAGAGAGGAGAGAGAGAAAGAGAAAAAAGGAAGGAGGGAGGGAAAGGAAGGGAGAGAACTGGAGTTCTGATGCACAACTTTCTTTATATAAGATTATAAAGGTCACCTTTCTGTACCTACCACCTCTTTGCTGATGTCTTTTGTTCCATTTCCAGATGTTCAAAGCTCACGTCAAAAGAAAACCTCCACTGTCAGTACTCCATCCGCCTCCATCCCTCAGATAATATTCCTCTTTTCTTCAAATCCCTTAGATCCTATAAAAATTACAGGTCCTAGGTCTCATGCCTTCATGACTCTTGAAGGGAGAGGGTGTGAGGGGGATGGCAGAGAAGCTAATTCACACTGTAGTACTGCTGAGTATTACTTATCCCCTCTCATTTAACATTTGAAATTTCAGCAAAGTTTTTATTGCCTTAACCCTAATGAGTGAGAGTTATAAGATGTGGATTCCTCTGCCAGGGGATATATTTTGCAGGGCGAAAGGGAGATTCTGGACCTCTTTAATTACCCATGGATTTTATACTGTTTGTATAATCACACCAAATAACTGCTTTATCCAAAGCTAAAGTAGACCCATGAGGGTCGCTGCCTAATACAGGCCCTTAAAGTCTCCGAAATCTTTATTTGGAATCTACAGAGGAAGTCTGGGGATATGGGGCAAGTGGGGAATGGAGCAGAGAGATAAGGAAAAAGAAGGAAGGAAGCAAGAAAAGAAAGGGGGGAAAAGAAATCCTTTGGGAGTGTTCAGTGCAATTTGTCTCCTCTCTCGCACATGCTTAATCCATGAGCCGAAAGTCTTTACAGGATCTGTCAGTGCTCATGGAAACAGGAAACTTGCAAGGAAGTCTCTAAAGAGGAAGATATGTTTCAGAAGATAAATTAACACTCTGTAAGCCCAGAGATGGTCCTTGGTTGGGCATGAGCTAAGACAAAAGGAACACTAAAGGATTCTCAGAACATAGAGCATGGCGGACCAACAGGAATGGGCACTCTGGAGGCTGTGGTTGCTCCTGCTGCCACAAAGAGGAACACCGAGACAATTGTCTAGATGAATAAGTCCCCCACCCCACCCTGACTGCTATTTCTTTAAATACCTCACATTTCAGGCAGACAATAGCTCATGTCATTATAACCTAAATGAATCTCAACTCCTCACTTCCCTCTATAAGCGTAGAGTCTCTATCACAGTTTTCACTCCACTCTGCTACGAAATAATCTCTGACTACCCAATACTGGGGCAGGGAGCCCTCCTATCTGCTCCCACAGCTCCCAGGATGATGTTACAAAATAAACTGCCCCATAATCACCTGATTACTTGTCTGAAATCCCATACTCTATATACTCAGTTAGAGCAGAGACTAGGCCCTCTTTACTCTGATATCCGTAGCTAAGTACAATGCATGACACATGATAGACATTGTCTTGCCGTCTATCAACCAGGCATAAGGCAGATATTCAATTAATATTTGTTGAATTGAATAAAATATTGGCCCCACTTAATAACAAGAGTAAATACGTATATAGTGCTTGCTGTGTGCCAGGCGCTGATCTCATTTAATCTTCACAATGACCCTCTGAGGTCTATACTAGCATTTTACAGATAAGAGAACTAAGACACAAAGAAATGGAGGTCTTG
Source organism: Homo sapiens (assembly GCF_000001405.40). Taxonomy (NCBI): domain Eukaryota; kingdom Metazoa; phylum Chordata; class Mammalia; order Primates; family Hominidae; genus Homo; species Homo sapiens. Next base: position 128,646,991 of record NC_000011.10, read on the forward strand.
CCCAAGAACACCCAGGAAATAAGTGGCACACACAGACTGTGGACCCAGACAGTCTGGCTGCAGAGCCTGTGTTCTCAACCACTACACAACATTGTCTCTCTTAAACTTTGAGAAACTTCCAATTAACAAACAATTACTCCAGCTATTCCAGATCTGGAGACAGAGAAGGCTAAGCAAGCCATGACTCCTTTTAAAAATATCCAGGGACATCTTGTATTAACCTGGGTCAGGGTTACTCGAAGCATTCATACACCAAGTTATACGCTACCAATCTCCTCAAATGATGTAAAGAGCATGCTTTGCAATGCACTAGCAAAAAAGGCTCTGTGGATCTTAAGTGCTACAGAGACCCCTCTTTCATTCAAAATTCTCCCACTATTTAAAAAGTTCTTCTCTTTCTAACATTGTGCTGAAATCCCCTTTATTGTCATACATGAAAAAAAAAAGAATAGTATAAATATAATCCCCATGTTACAGGAACAAAATGGTTCTACCACTTCAGGAATGCAGGGGTATATTATAACCATCTGATATGGAAATTTCTAATAGATGTTCAGTCTATAAAATGGCCCTGAGACAGTCTCCTTCAGGCACTACACCAATAGCACCGTGATAGCGCAGCTCGGAGTGACAGACCTGCCCTTCACATTCGCAGCATCCAGTTCCAGAGCCTCAGTGGAGGCCAGCACAGCATATGTCTAAATATTTAGAAGTTTAAATAAATCAAGCTAGCAAACTGGTACATAAATATGTTCTGTCCTCCTTGATAAAGAAGCTTTTGCAATGACAATATCATATAAAGCATGTTTAATAGTGTTAAAAATGAGCAAAATATCAAAGACTAATAGAATATTAATTTATCTTGAAGGCTTGTTTGTTCTCTTAATGGACGAACAATGTTTGACTGAGAATAAAATAAAGACAAACATAAAGAATAAATTGTAATATATTTATCCCAAAAACTTTATTTCTCACACTTACATTTTGGCCAAATTATTAATTATATAGTTATAATCAGGATTTTCACATAATTTAGATTCTATCAAAAGTACTAACTTAAAGGTAAAATGTAATTTTACTCAAAATGTAAACATTTTGAATACATGTCACCAAAAACCTAAATTAAAGTGAATATTAAGGGGGGGAAATTAAAATTATTGTTCATATGTTTTCAGAAGTTTTTCTCCTTGAAAATTCTTTAAATTGGGAGAGGGGGGAGGGATAGCATTAGGAGATATACCTAATGTAAATGACAAGTTAATGGGTGCAGCACACCAACATGGCACATGTATACATATGTAACAAACCTGCACGTTGTGCACATGTGCCCTAGCACTTAAAGTGTAATAAAATAAATAAATAAATAAATAAATAATTCTTTTATGTGTAAATTATGTATTAAAATTAAAAGGTCAAGTACAAATTATGGATAATAGATATCAAATTTTAAATAAAAACTGATTATATTAATAAAGGCCGACATCTTAAAATAATTTTTGAACATTTAAGATTGTTAAATACTTTTATAAAAAGGAAGCTCTTTGGAATTCTAACATTTACTGTCTTTTTGACTGCAAGTATAAAGAATCATTATCACACTTGATTCTTGCTGCCTAGGCCTCCACGTGCACAAATGCAAGCGTAATATGAATTGTTCAGTATTGCAAAATGTTCCTGAGGCACCGTGCGCAACTATTGCAAACACCGTGAAAATGTGTGAGTCCCTCCAAAACCACACCTCACAAAGCCAAGACAGGCAAGAAAATGGATTTATACTTCTTGAGGCACGTCTCCCTTGCATTCATGCCATTGGAGACAAAAGACTTGAAACATGCTAAGTTTGTCTTTTCTCTTACCTAAGGTTAATACTTCCTCCGTGCGCATCTGCCCGGCCCTCCCCAGTGTTGGCAGCAGCCCTGACCCCATGCCTGTACAGTTGGTGGACTCAGGGCGGAGAACGGCTTCCCTGGGACCTGCCCGGCACTAGTCACACTAGCAGAAGCACATAGGTGTGGGGGCAGAAATATGTGCCTTTTCTTTTCTTTCCAGAGGACTTGCAACCTTACTTTTGATTTTCTCTTTTAATTAAGGGTTAATCTCAGAGCATTAATTTCCCAGGAGGTAAGTTTTCTGGATATATTTTATTATTTGTTTTTAATTATGGTAGATTATGATCTAATCTTCCAAACAAATTATCTTCTTAGTTTGTCAAGGTTTTCAAGTACGTGATGTATTTTTGTAACTGTTCCTTGAACATATGAAAAAGTATGTATTTTTAAGTTAAAATATGAAAGTATGTACACATAATTGAATATCAAATGTGTATATATGCATAATATATGCATATATGTATATGTAATTAAATTGCATTTATTGATTATATAATTCAATTTACCAATAACCCTACTTGTTTTTGTCTATGTGATATTGCAAGTTCTGAGAAACATACATTGCAGTTTTCTCCTGTAATGTTATTTTTATCAAGTTTTTTCTTTTTATTACTTTTTATGTATGGCTTAATGCAAACATTTATATCGTATATATCTTCATAAATTATGCTTTTTCAGCTTTTCATAACTAGGCTTCTTTTCTTCTTTTTAGTATCTCTAAATGTAAACTTTTATAAGATTAATTTTACCCCTTCTTTCTTTTTATTAGCATTTATTGGGTGTAATGCTTATTCATTTCTTGATTTTAAACTAGTCATTTTCACTTTAAGTGTTTTTCTAAGAGACAGTATATAACTGAATTATGTTCCTTAAATTCCAGTCTGATATCTCTGTTTTTAATAACACAATTCAGTTCATTCATATATATTGCAATAATAAGAATGAGAAAGAGGAGGAGAAGGGAGAGGAGGAGGAGAAGGGAGCAGAGGAGGCTCACTCATCTAATGTTGCCATGTTCTAAGTACTTTATGTGAGTGAACTGCTCAAGTCTCAAGCCCACTAAGGCTATTAATCACAATACCGTATGGCTGCTCAGTTTATGTTTGCTATTAATTTTACTTTGCTTGTTTCTTCTTCCTTTGTCCCTATTTTTTCTTATTTGATTAAGTGGCTATTCATTGCAGTTTCCCTCTTTGTTAGAGTTCTTCTGGAATTTCTTCTCCCTTGAGGGCTAACATTTTTCTCCAAGTGCCCTTAATCCAGCATGTAATTCTGTACTATTGCTTGAAAACAAAATATCAACTATTTCTCCCTCCAAGAGGTTTTTTCCCCATCTCTCTATATTCTAATACAAAGAGATATTTAAAACATTACCTCTTCCTAATCCTGTTTGCCCAAAAAGTAATCTTCACAAAATTGTTCCTTTTCCACTCCACCAGCTCATTTTATTATGATTGTTTAATTCCGGAACAGTATTAGGATCTCCCTTATAGTCTGTATGGTCTATACCTTTATTTTAAGAATTGTCATCTAGCACCCACAGTGCATTTCCAGAACAGCCTACCGTTAATCCATTAGATTTTAGTTTGGATTCACTGGTTGTTACATTATTTGACCATTTCATAATTTTCCCTGTTACAGACAAGAGGTCAGATGCCAGTCTGATTGCTTCTTATTTATCTATAATTTGTTCTTTCTGTCTGGAAAATTTAAGGATTTTTCACTCTAATTTTGAAACTTGGTAATTTTACAAGAATGTGCCTACTAGCATCCAATATTTATTATATGCTGGAAACTAAACAATTTTCATGTATCAATTCATTGAATCCTTACAAGAAAACATAACGAGACAAATACTGTTATTAGATCCATTTGACAGATGAGGAAACTAAGCTCAGAGATTAGGTGCATGGCCCAAGTTCAAACAGCTCATAAGTAGTAAAGCATTGGAGGCTTCAAGTCCAAATGATTTGTCTCCAGAAAATCTGCTGTTGACCACTTACCACAAGTACTTTTTTAAAAATTGAACTTGACTGGATCTTCATGCCCTCTTTGATTTTGTAGACTTAGGCTTTTTTTCAGCTGAGGAATATATCCTTCTATACTTGAGATTTTTTTTTAAATTGACTTCCGTTTGTGGGTTCTTTTGTATCTACTGCAATTGGTTTAATTGTCCCTATATTAGTCCATTTTCATGCTGCTGATAAAGACATACCTGAGACTGGGCAATTTACAAAAGAAAGAGGTTTAACGGACTTACAGTTCCACGTGGCTGGGGAAGCCTCACAATCATGGGGGAAGACAAAAGGCGTGTCTCATATGGTGGCAGACAAGAGAAGAGAATGAGAGCCAGATGAAAGGGGTTTCCCCTTATAAAACCATCAGATCTGGTGAGATTTATTCACTACCATGAGAACAGTATGAGAGAAACCACCTTATGACTCAATTATCTCCCACTGGGTCCCTCCCACAACACGAGGAAATTAGGGGAGCTACAATTCAAGATGAGATTTGGGTAGGGACACATCAAAGCCATATCAGTCCCCCTCTTTCACTCTTTCATAGTACCATGGAGGTACCCCAGTTTCATGTCTACTGAGCACATGTAATATTCTGGTTACTTATATATCTCCACTAATAAACTATCAGTTGCTCAAGGGCAGGTAATTTGTCATATTCACTGATGTATCCCCCTTATCTATTTTAATGCTTGACATATGGTAGGTGCTCAATAAATCTTGGCTATTATTAAATAAATGGAATAACCTCACTCCCAGATGTACTATGCAATGTTGACTAATACTGTAGCAAGTCCTCCAAACTCTTTCCTTCTATCAACCCATGGGTATTTATCTCACGGAGCCAGCTAAGTCTATGCAATGTCTGGTTTACACCTGTATTAGTCCCTTCTCACACTGCTAAAAAGAACTGCCCAAGACTGAGTGATTTATAAAGGAAAGAAGTTTAATTGACTCACAGTTCAGCATGGCTAGGGAGGCCTCAGGAAACTTACAATCATGGTGGAAGGTGAAGGGGAAGCAAGGCACCTTCTTCACCCTACAGGATGGAGAATGAACGAAGGAGGAACTATCAAACACTTATAAAGCCATCGGATCTCCTGAGAACTTACTCACTATCATGAGAACAGCATAGGAGAAACTGCCCTCCTGATTCAATTACCTCCACCTGGTCTCTCCTTTGACATGTGGGGATTATGGGGATTATAATTCAAGATGATATTTTGGGTGGGGACACAGACAAACCATATCAACACCCTATCTTTACAGGGTCACAATCGGCCAGCACACTCTTTTTCCCAGACAATCAGACTAAAAGCACAGTACTGTTTTTCTATACTCACGACACTTCTGACACCAAATTGTGGGTCTATTCCACCCCAAATTATTTCCCAGTTCTCCAAATACCCACTAGGTTTCCTATAATTCAATTCCATTTTCACGTTACCTACCTGGAGTTAGTTAATGTCAGATCCTGCAAGTTACAGACTCAGTCCTACACGGCTGCCCCCACTTTAGATGCCAATCACGGGTCCAGGCCTCCTGCACTTCTGACAGACTAGCTATAAATCAGGGCTTCCCAACAGCCTCTCCTTGAGTTCAGTAATGTGCTAGAATGGCTTAAAGAACTCAGTAAAAGTTTATCATTACCTATTATTATCAATTTATTACAAAGGAGATTTTAAAGGATACAAATGAATAATGGCCAGACTAAGAGATACGTTGAGTGAGGCCACAGAGGGTCCTGAGCCCAGGAGCTTCTGTCCTTGAGGAGTTAAGGTGCACCACTCTTCTGGAACATGGATGTGTTCTTGTTCACCAACCTGGAAGCTCTCCAGACCCTGGTGTTCAGTGTGTTCATGCAGGCTTCATTACTTAGGCACGATTGATTAAAGCATTGGCCATTGGTGATTGAACTCAGTCTCCAGTCTCTCTTCCTTCCCTAGATGTCAGAGGATGGGGCTGAAAGTTTCAACCTTCTAATCACATGGTTGGTTCCTCTGAGAACCAGCTCCCACCCTCCAAGAGTCACCTCCTTAGCATAAAATCTGATATGGCTGAGAAAGCTTTATTATAAATAACAAAAGAGGCTCTGCTCATACCCACCACTCAGGAGAGTCCAAGGGTTTTAGGAGTTCTGTGCCAGGAACTAGCGACAAAGCTCAAATATATATATATATATATATATACACACACACACACACACATATATATATATATATAATTTTTAATATTATCATTATTTGTCATTTCATTTTTGGCCCAGTCTGGTCGCAAACTCTCTGGCCTTAAGTAATCCTCCTGCCTCGGCCTCCCAAAGTGCTGGGATTACAGGCTATATTTCTTATTATGATGCAATATCCCATAGACTCTGCAGCACTAATTTTTAAGCACATTTTAAACACCCTGGTATTAATAGAAAATAAGGAACAGTTTTTAAGAGACATAGGAAATCCCAGAATCCCCAAAGGAAGGAGAGATCTATGCAGCTGGGGGTGGAAGGGGTCTGGAATTGTAAGAGTCTTTCTGACTGCAGCAAAAAGAAATGCTCATTCCACCCGGAGGGTTACACACCCACAAACCACCTGCTGCCTGTCATAAGGCTGGCTCTTGCCATTTCCTCATCTTTGCCAAAAGCTTTATGCTTTTATCTTAATTGATTAAGATTTATTTCTCTGGTACCACCACTCAAACCTTAAAATAAAGGCAAGAAATGGCATCCGGCCTCTGTTTAAGCCCTCCACTTAAGACCCTGCCTCCCTTCCATTAACATTCTTCTGAAGACAGAAAAAGACAAAAATTCCCAACACCAAAAATGAAGCATATTGACAGAATCTGAGAAGACTCCCCACAAACATGAGTCTGATGGAACTTGACTGACGAAAGCAGCCAAGAGCGTGGGGGATGAAGCAAATCTGCTGGTCACCTTCCCATGCCAGTCTGCTCTCCCTCTGCAGTGCAGGCACTTCAATCCAGAGGGTGCCCGTGCCCCAGCCGTCCCTCACACCCTCATCAGGACTTGCTTCCACAACTAATGAGAACCTGAAAAGCCAGGAATACAGTCGGGCGGAAGCAGCGCACTGCCTCCTGGGAGGTGTAGGCACCAGACTTCAGCATGAAAATGCCCTGTCATGCCAGGAGACTAAGCTGGAGGAAGAGCCGCCAGACGCTGGGAAGTTAACTCAGCCCTGAGTGTACCTGACATGTGCCTGTTAACACGAAAAGAGGATTCAACGTAGGCTCCAGGACCCAGAGGACACACAGGAATCCACATGCTGTGTATATTAGCAACCATTGTGTTTGGTTAGCAATGAGTCTTACGGGGAAAAATGCAATAAAAAAACAAGAGAGAGAGAGAAAGGGAAAAAGAAAGGGCACATCATCTTAAAGACTCTTGGAAATATCAGACCTCTAAAGAGGTAATTTCAATAGGATGTCAGGAGATATGGCATCTTTGAAATAGTAATAGGACACCTAAGCAGAAAACAGAATATGAGGTAGAAAGAAAGACAGACAGAGAGAGAGAGAGAGAGAGAGAGAGAGAAGGCGTGGTGGCTCCTCACGCCAGTAATCCCAGCACTTTGGGAGGCCGAGGCAGGCGGATCACCTGAAGTCAGGAGTTTGAGACCAGCCTGGCCATTATGGTGAAACGCCATCTCCACTAAAAATACAAAAATTAGCTGGGCTTAGCGGCAGGCACCTGTATCTCCAGCTACTTGGGAGGCTGAGGTCGGAGAATCACTTGAACCCATGAGGTGGAGGTTGCAGTGAGCTGAGATCGTGCCACTGCACTCCAGCCTGGGAGACAGAGTAAGACTCCATCTCAAAAAAAAAAAAAAAAAAAAGGAAAAGAAAGAAAAAGAAAAGATGAAAAGATATGAGCAAGATAATGGAAGATAACAAGCAAATAAAAAATATAATAGCAGAATTAAGATGTTGGAAGGAAAAAGTAGAATTGAAATTGCAGAAAAAACAATCAGCAATTGGAAAATAGACTTGAAAAGTTCTTCTAGAAAGCAAAGGAAAGGGCCAAAGTGAAAACAAACAGAGGAAAGATGCTAGACACAGAAGGCAAAGAATAAAGGTCTAGTGTGAGCATGATGGCGTCCAGAGAAATAAACCAAAACGATGGAAACCAGAGCAATGACTGTAGTCACAGCTGCACGCTTTTGAGGGGAAAGCAATGTTTTTGAGACCAAAAGTCATCACCATATCCTAGGCAAAATCAGCAACAAGTAGCCACATTCCAGAACTCTATTGTAAGCATGTGGATAACAGGAAAAATACCTTGGAAGTATGCAGGTAGGAAAACCACGTTACTTATAGTGCAACAGAAAATAAGAGGGAAATAATATGCTCACCAATGTTGTCTTCCACTTGTGAAGACAGTAAGAAAACATTCTCAACTATGCAAGACTTCAGAATAGAATGCTGTGTACCCCTTTGGCACACACACAGCAAATGAGTGAGGAGTTTCAGAACCAGATATGAGAGTGTCAAGGTGTCATCATCCTGGCAGGCAGCATTTAAACAAATTCCATGTAACGTTAAACCTAAGTAATTGTTTTAAACCATGGTTACAAAATTAAGTGCAAATGTCAGAAGTGATTTTAAGAGAGTAAATACCGAGCGTAAAAAATGAATATATTGGAACCATTATCTAGACTGAAAACTAAGGAAAAGGAAAAGGGTGTGTGGCAAAGTAAAAATGGTGTAAATGTATATCATCTGTCGGAAATGCTTTAAAAAGCAACTTTCTTCACTTTGGATAATTAACGAAATGTAGATTAAAATAATTTTTTAAAAAACCAACTATCACATCTAGATTTCTCCTGTTAACAATTAAGCATGTTCAGATCTCTACAATCCTTAAAACGTGTTTTCGTAAATTTTCTTTTTTTTTCTTTCTTTTATTTTTTTTTTCAGACCATGTCTCACTCTGTGGCCCAGACTCAAGTGCAGTGGCATGATCTCGGCTCACAGCAACTTCCGCCTCCCAGGCTCAAGTGATTATCCTGTCTCAGCCTTCCCAGTAGCTGGGATTACAGGCATGCGCCACTACCGCCTGGCTAATTTTTCTCTTTCTTTCTTCCTTTCTTTCTTTCTTTCTTTCTTTCTTTCTTTCTTTCTTTCTTTCTTTCCTTCCTTCCTTCCTTCTTTCTTTCTTTCTTTCTTTTTTTGTATTTTTAATAGAGATGGAGTTTCACCAGGTTGGCCAGGCTGGTCTCGAACTCCTGACCTTGAATGATCCACCTGCCTTGGCCTCCCAAAGTGCTGGAATTACAGATGTGAGCCACCACGTCCTGCGGTTTGTGTATATTTTCAACCCCACATCTCCTGCTAACTTGGTGATTGCCAGTCTTGGGTGCATGTCAGAATCACATGAGAGCTTTCTAAAATATCTCAGTGCTTGGGTCCAACTCCCAGAGATTCAGATTTAATTTGTCTGGAGAGAGGCCTCAGCATTGGGATTTTTTTTTTTTTTCTTAGATGGATTCTTGCTCTGTCACCAGGCTGGAGTACAGTGGTGCGATCTCGGCTCACTGCAACCCCCGCCTCCCAGGTTCAAGCAATTCTCCTGCCTCAGCCTCCTGAGTAGCTGGGACTATAGGCACACTCTGCCAGGCCTGGCTAATTTATTTTTTATTTTTTATTTATTTATTTATTTATTTATTTATTTGCATTTTAGTACAGACGAGGTTTCATCATGTTGCCCAGGCTGGTCTCTAACTCCTGAGCTCAGGCAATCTGCCCGCCTCGGCCTCCCAAAGTGCTAGGATTACAGGCGGAATTTTTTCAAAGCACTTCACGTAATTCTATTATAAAAAGTTGAGAACCATGGTTAGCCCTTTCTCAGCAAAATTCCTAGGTTTTCATAAAACCCGTCTCCATTCCCTTTTCTCCTAACCTGCCCTCAAACCACAACCACCAGGTTTCTGCCCCATCACATCTCTGAACTAGTTCTTGCTACACCGAAGGCCCAGCAACTCTAACAGAATTTCCCTGTCCTCATCTGAACTGAGCTCTCAGTGGCTGTAGGCGCGTGTTCTGACCCTCCTTTTCCTGACGCACTCTCTTCCTTTGGGTGCTGTGGCTGCACATTTAGCTTTTTCTCTTATTTCGCAGTGTCCTTAGGAGGGTCACCCTCCCTACCCAGTCAGTACAAGTTGATGCTCCTGAAGTCTGGGTTGCAGACCCTCTTGTAAGAGGGAATCTCACTCTTTTTTTATTTTTTATTTTTTTTTTTTTTGAGACGGAGTCTCGCTCTGTCGCCCAGGCTGGAGTGCAGTGGCACGATCTCGGCTCACTGCAAGCTCTGCCTCCCGGGTTCACGCCATTGTCCTGCCTCAGCCTCCCAAGTAGCTGGGACTACAGGTGCCCGCCACCACGCCCAGCTAATTTTCTATATTTTTAGTAGAGACACGGTTTCACCATGTTAGCAAGGATGGTCTCGATCTCCTGACCTCATGATCCGCCTGCCTCGGCCTACCAAAGTGCTGGGATTACAGGCATTAGCCACCGTGCCCGGCCGGGAATCTCACTCTTAATCTCCTTCATGAAAGACAATCTCCGGCAAGCCATGACCACAACTTCCATCTCGTCTCTGATTATTTCCAAGTGTGTTTCTCCAGCCTGGAAATGTCCTGCAAGCTCCAGGCCACACATCCCACATGCACGTGACGTCCCTTGCCACCTCAGGCTCTCCTGCACCTCTCTGCACTCACGACCCTCTCCCTCAATACACCACTGTCCATCCAGCCACCCAAAGCTAGCAGCCAAGATGTCTCTTAGAGCTCTCCCTCATTTTCACGCTCCACATCCAACCCGTCACTAACTCCTACCCATAGCCCCTCCTCAGCATCTCCTTTTTCAGGCACCTCTGCACCTCCATGCACTGCCACCAACCCAAGCCCCACTGCTACAGTCTCTCCAGCCTCCAGCCCATCCTTGCCTCAAGTAGGTGTTGAGAGTCACGGGTCTATGCTATCAGCCTCCTCTAGATTAAAACTCTCTGATGCCATCCCAGTTTTCTCAAGAGAAAGTACAAAGTCCTTAGCATGGCCCCTAAAGGCTTTCATGGTCTAGTTCTGCCTTCTCTCTAGCCGCACCCCACCATCTCCCCTCACTATGCATTCCAACAGCCACCTTGCAGATCCTCAGATGTGCCGAGCTGCCTCCTGACGTGGCCTTTGCCCATTCTTCTCCCTCTGCAGAAAAGGGTCTCCCCGACCCCACACACCCTCCCTCACTCCAGCTAACTTCTTTCCATTTTTGCCTAATCCACTCAAGCATCATTTCTGCATGGAACACTTCCCTGACTTCACAGCCCACCCTCCTGTTTACCCACAGGTCTAAATGAGTGACTACACCACCTAAACTCGTACACATGTCATTTCCTTTAAAATAATCACCATATTTATAATAATACGCTCATCTTTGTGTATTTCTGACTAAACGTCTGCCTTCTCCACCAGCCAGTATGCTCCACAAAGACAGGAACTCATTGTTCCCAGAAACTTTCAAGGGGCAAGTGCTCAGTAAATGTTTAAGGACAACTTCTTAAAGCAAACTAAATATGGCCTGAGGACCCTGCACCTCTGTATTTGAGTCCTTGTGGATGAACTGCAACTTAACTTCATAGGTAGACAAGATTGAAAACCTAACTTAGGAGTATGTGCCTGTAACAATAGCTGAGTCTTGGCCAATCCCAGCAGCCCTACTTCAACCATACACTGCTGAGTGTTCAAATAAGGCAAAGGACAAGCTGCAACCAATCCAGCTGCTCTGTACCTCACTTCCGATTTCTGTATGTCATTTCCCATTTTTTTTTTTTTTTTGGTCTATAAATCTTCCACCACGTCGCTGCACTGTATGTAGTCTCTTTGAATCTGTTGTGATTCTGGGGGCTGCCTGATTAGCGAATCGTTCCTTGCTTAAGTAAACTCCTTTAAATGTAATTCAGCTGACGTTTTTCTTTTAACAAACTAAATCTAAAAATTGTTTTATATAACACAAGTGATTTTAAAAATGAAATTGTAAGAAATGACAAATACACAAAATGTAAAACTAAATAATGTTAAGTTCAACCATAGCTATTTTGAAAATAAATATAAATGGTTTAAACATGTTGCCATATTCAATGATCACACAAGGACATGTAAATTTTCATGTAATATAATAGTTAAAAAAAATTGTACAAACAAAGCTTAATTTCTATCTCTTCTCCAAGAAACACTGGAAAGGAACCTTTAAAGTGTTAACAGCAGTTATTCTGGGTAGTAAAATTATAGATTATTTTCATCTCTTCTTTATATTTTTCAGAATTATCTATGTCATGTATAAAAAATCAATCTTTTAATCAGAAAAAAGTTATATCTGTCAGTTGTGTTTTCTGTTATAGGTTACAGAAAACTGAATTCAAAGTGAATTAAATAATAATAGGAATGTATGACTAACATAACTGAGGAGGTTGGGTTATGATTTAACCTGCTTTAATTTCCTGCAAATCTCTTGTTTTCAGTCCATTTCTGTGATTAGCTTTATCTCCAGGTTGACTTACCTCATACTGGTAAAATAGCTACAATGGTTCCAGGCTTCCCATCCTCACACCATACCATACAGAAGGAGAGGAGCCATCTACGTGCCACTCTGATTGGACCAGCTTAGGACATGGGCCCACTTCTGAACCAATCACTGTGGTTGGGAGATGCTGCTAGGTGATTTCTCCACAGCTAGAGCTGAGGGTACAGTCAACCTCCCCAGAGCCACATGTATCACCATGCAGAGATCCCGTTCTCTTGCAAATACCTGCAGGGAGCATGGAAGCTTGACAGACATGTCCACTGCAAACATTTTGAAATAAAATACTGCTTACCTAATTTTAAAAATTAAAAGGCACTATGATGCAGTGAGAACAGCATTGGGGCCATTGGGAGGCTTGAGTTCAAAGTCATCTGCCACTGACTTTGACTAGATACAAGATCGTGGACAGTTCTTTATCACTCTGCATGTTTCCTAGTCTGTGAAATGGTGACCCAAGAGACTGTCACAGGAAAGGAGCACTTTCTCCACTGTCATAGGAAAGGAGCAGGGTAATATGGAGGCCGATAGGAATTTGCAGATTTGGTTGCAGGAAGGTAAAGAAGTTGCCTCCTGAGCACTTCTCTTTTCTCAGTGCAGTAGGACGCAAGGTCCTCCTTTGGGCAGGAGGTGAAGTAGGGATGTGAGAGGCTTACAGGGAGTAGAGAAGGTTGAAAATGCAAACAAGTAAGAGAATATTTGAAAAAAATCGAAGCTACACCACAGAGTCTTATGATTTAGAACAAAAACAGCTATGGGTGGGAAATACACTCTACAAATGTGAAATAGAGAGAAGCCATGAGAGAAGCCAGTGGTTAAAAAAGGATTCACTGAGCAGACATTTGCTTTGGATTTTCTAAAATGCAGATACTCTCTTTCAGTAAGACAACTTTATAAAACTATCCACAAGGATTTTCACATGAGTCACAAGTATTCCTACAGAATTCCAACTAACGGCTGGGTGGCGTAAACATTTACCTAACTTTTGAGTGTCATCAAGACTAAGCCATTCATGTTAAATTCAACTCAGCCTGGAAAAGACAAGAGAACTTCAAAACAACAACAGCAACAACAGAGTAGCCTTTTTCCGGAGTCAGCAGGAGGAGCGAGTGATATAGCTTGGGAGTGCAGGATTAGGGATAACGTTCAACAGGTGGCCTACAGAAGGGAGTTCTCTGCAGAGGACGTGGAGACGATATTACTGAAGTCTTCTTTTTTCCCCATCTCAGGCAAGGTGGGGTTATAGGAAGTACCCTTGGACTTTTCTTCAAAGTATCTAAGAGCTTACCTCCCTGCCCCCACCCTTTCTGTTTCAGTGAAAACTTTGCCTGGCATCCCAGCCTTGAGGAAATTTACCTCCGTGGAAAAAATAAATTCTTATCTCTTGTCCCAGCTCTCAACAAGAATAGCATAGCTGTTTCTTGTGAGTCCCAGTCTTGTTTGACAATATAATGAGATCTGGTTAAACAGATGAAAAATGCCTCAACCTGAGTGTTTATCTCAACCCTGCCAAAGCGTTCAGCGCCCCCCGCCACTCCACCCCCAGGCATTCCCATCTCTGCAGAGAGAGTCAGGAACCTTTAATGGCAGCCCATAGTCCTAAACTGGCATCTTGCTACACCAAGCCACTTTTGCAATAGCAGAAGGCAGGAGTTTCTGTCAGTTTGAATTTCCTGGAGTGTACTGGGCTGTGTCACAATCTCAATGCTGTCTGGCGGCAGTTTGTTCTCTCCAATCCCTGGAATAGAATAGGAAAAGAAAGGCAAGACTGCAAGAAAGCAGTAGAAGAGCAGGTTGGCGGTGATACTCAACAGGGTATTTGTCTGGGGATGGGCTGGACCTGTGGGGGCTGGGATCCCACCAACACATTAACCCGATGAACCCTCAAGGTTCTGGGGAGCTAATCACAGGGTATGGCAGAGTCCTCAGTTCAGGCTGACGAGTGGCCATGCCTTTTAAGTGAAGTCTACAGAGCACACAGTGAGAGGGAATTGGGAAATAATCTGATTAATGTATACAAGGTATGTAGCCAATCAGGATGATTTTGGATGAAAAGTGCCATTTGTCTTTTAAATATTCAATGTGAGAATTACTCTGATCCATCAGATGCCAATCCACCCACCTCCCAGAGTTTAGTGTCCAGAGCTTTCTTTATCTTCCTCTGATCTTGAGCAAGGATCTCTAACGCTTATCACACTGTGTTTTAATTGTTTGTTTACATGGCTTTCTCCACCTGACTAAGCTCCTTGAAAACAAGGACTGTCATCTATCACAGACCTTGACACATAGAAGGAGCTCTTTAGATACATAGTAGTTGAATTAACCAGTTAGTTAATGAATAAAATAAGGTAATTAGAGAAAAAAAACCCCCACAAAACTGTATGTGTTAAGGGTAGCACTTTGGGGTTCCCAAGAACCCCTGCAAGAACCAGATTATCATGCATGCCTATGAACCACACTCCAAATCAAAGGATTTCTTTCAGCTCAATGCAGTTTTTCCCAGCTGCTTCAGAAAGAAATCAGCTTCACCTCCACTTCCCGCTCTAGCACTGAGCTACCTGTGCTTCCCATTCAGCTACTGAGCTACCTGTGTTTCTCCAGCTAGACTTGGTTTTATCTAAGGATCAAATGACTTCCAGAAATACTCCTGAAGATGTAGAAAGATGCAAGTGTAACTAGATATTCCAATGGATGGTAAAAGATATTTAAGCAAGTTATTTTTATCTGGTATTTACTTTCTTTCATTGGTTCACTTCATTTTAGAAACACTGTATTGCATTGCATTGCACTGTATTGCATTGTATCATATGGTAACTTTATTTCCATGTGTTGCCTCCTCCAGTAAACTGTGAGTTCCTTAAAGGCAAGGAGGGGCCTTGAGTTTTTACCTACCACAGTGCTTGGCACATAGTAGTTACTCAATATTTGCAGAATAAATAAGTGAGAATCATTTAAGGGTCTAAGATATACCTATCACTTATATTTCACTTTGTCTTCTTTTGACATGGATGATGTTGCTTTTTATTATTTTTAATGATGAACATGGTAATTTAAACATAGAGGAAAACCATAAACCTTAAATGCCTTGTGTGGGTTTTTTGTGTATATTTGTTTTGGAGTTTTGCTTTCTTTTTTAAGCTTGTACAAGTGAAATGAACACCAAATAGTCTAACTGCACAAACTGCCTTCCACAAATGGTGGCTTGCCCAGAGCCCAAGGAATTCTTAAAAATAAAAGGGAAGCCTACAGTGAAGAATGTGAGGCAGGGAAGAGAGGAAGGGCATCAAGGAATGGAACCAATCAGGCAAGCGACAAGATGAACAAGAACAAAGATGTGTATTACCATGTTCCCTTTAGATCACCTCCATAGTGTTAGGCCTGAAATAAAGCTGCAAGTCCTCCTGAAAATTGAGATGTCCCTTTTAAAAATGATCTCTCCAGTTATCATTGGGGCAGCTTGCTCCTTGAGGGGAGGGTCGTTAACCTTCTGCCCTCCCTCCCTAACCCTGGGGCCCTGAGGGGTATCTGTCTAAGAGACTTGTTTCCAGAGGGGGGGGTCAGTATTCCTCTCTTAAGAGCCCCCAGAGCAAATGACTGAACAGATTAGGACGGATTAGACAGATAACAACCCAGACCTTTTTACAAGCACATTTTTCATCCGACACTCAAATTCCCTTCTGTGCCCCACAGTCTCACACAACCCGATGACTGGATAGTATTACTGAAATATCTTTGCGCCAGCCGAGTGCGTGGAACTGTGCAAAGCCAGATGTTCTTGTAACCCTGTTTTACTGAGTTATTTATATCCATATAATATTTGACATTTCCTGTGTTGTTAAAGAGTTGGGGGCCTTGATGTATTTTTAAGAGAACAGTGCCGACTTTTCATTTTTTTTTCTTTGATGCCCAGGACCAGAAATAAGTATTATAAAGAAGGGCTGGTGTATTAAACACATGCCTAGATACCTAAAATCTACTTTATTTTAATGCCTTTCATCTTAAGTGACCTTCGTGAACAGAAAGATGCTAGAGCCATCTAGAAGGAGCATATGAATTAACCCCACCATGCAATAAAAACATGTACCCATGGGCCTAAAATAAATCAGCCAATAGACAAAAATATTTAATAAGTATTGGAAATATAATCCACATTTTTAGGACTAAACTTTATGGAGTCTTAATACATGAACTATATCATCTCTTTGAACTTGATAGATATAGAAACGGCTGGTTAAAGTATTCTCAGACTTAATAAAATATTAGCTGGCATATTTCTCTGGCTAAATGAAATAATGGAAACTTTATAGAGTTGAAAGTATTCGGTTGAACCCAAGTGGTAGTAATATTTAAACTGTAGGTGAAAGTTGATATCCTAAGGTAATCATTCTGTTTTCTTTGTTTATTGTAAGGATCCATTCACAAAATATTATTTTTGTTTTTGAGATTTCCACATTTTTAAAAAGGTTTCCCCTTCATAGGATGTGACAAAAGGGGTTGGGTCCTGATTTACAGCCAAGTCTTGGCGTTTCTGGTTGCTCAACACTGAACACAAGGGCCACAGAAAACAGAAGTAAGATGTGAATTATTAGGGTTCTCTTTAGTTTTCGGAGTTGCTTTATAAGCTTATTCAAAACTACCCATGTTAGAGGGGGAAAAAAAAATTAGCTTTCTTTCCTACAAGCCGAAGAGGTGTGCGTATGTTATTGTGCAGAGAAATTTCCAAAATAGATTCTTTCTTCCACTTTGTGTCTTATTCCTTTGCCCTGCTCCTCGGCCCCGACTCTCCCGCACCCTACGCAACACATGCACACACATTCTCTACCCCTCCTCACTCTCTGAAGCTGAGGGCCCTCCTGACAAATCAAATCCCCCTCTCCCAGTTTGAGAAAACAAGATGCCACAACCTGCAGGGGCCCATCTGAGCACAGCGAGCCTGCCCACTCCAAAGCAGCAATCAAATCCCTTGTAAATCCTCTAAGCTGTGATAAGTCTCTAGTGTTCACATAATAGGTCAGATCCTCTTGGGGCAGATAGGGCAGGACAGCCCTCCAGGGAGCTGGCTTGCTCATCTGCGTGGCCAAGTCCCCAGCTCTTACCACCGGCCATATCAGATTCTGCACTCAATGATTCCAGGGCTGCACCGCTGCAGTGCTTGAAGTGGGGGAGGCAATGGGGAAGGCCAGCACACTCTAACGACTGACAGGTTTTATTCTGGATCTGCGGCTCTCACATTCTTCTAGACCCTCACTAGGCTGCTAGTCTCTGGCTCTCAAGTCAAGGTCTTGCCCCATCTCCTGAATCTTTGATTACTTTTTCCTTCCACTCATGTTTACCTACCATTCTTTTCTTTGAAAGACTCTCACTTTTTTCCCCCACAATATATGTCTTCCGTCTTTGCTTCTTCTCTATTTACTTCAGAGTCTTTTCCTGACTGCCACTGACAACCTCTATGGAACTCCATTGGGGCCACCTGTGATTCATTGGGAGAACAGGCAAACATACCAGGAACCTGTTCCCAATAAGTGGATCCTGGGGTGCTGGTCACAGTGTTGGCGAAGAGGTAGAATTCTGTTTACAATCTTCTTCCATCAGCTTTCAAATCCACTCCTGCAGTATCTTCTCACAGCAGCATTTTATTTTCTGAAATATGAATTGTCAGTACCAAATGCAACCCTCTATTTCATCCAGCTGCCTTTGATGAAACAAAGACTCAAGTTCAAGAGCTATTTTCTCCAGAAAACCTAACACTTTTTTTTCAAAAACATCAATTGTCTCACCTAGTTGGAGCTTATGAAACAAAGGTCCCAAGATATGGCACTGGGGTGGGAAAGTTCATTTTACATGGAGGCTTTCACAGTCACAAGTAATACCATTAGCCTAGCAACTTCTCTGAGAAAAATGGACTAATGGATGTGGATGACTTAAGACAATTGATCAATACCATGCCTAAAACAAGCAATCAAAAATATATAACCCTGGGGCTGGTAACAGTAAAACTCCTGAATGTGAGAACAGAATGTTTAAGTCTAAAGCATGACACTCACAGTGATAATTTAAAAAAAAACAATGGCATTCATTTTAGAAGAGTTAGGGGATATCTCTTCAGAGCATCACAGATTCTCGCACTCGATGGCTGAATGTAAATAAGGAAACACGTGCCCAGAGCCTGCAGTGCCTGTTATCTAATAAGCACTTTATAACTTACAGCAAAATCATTAAGATTATTACATCAGGAATAAGTGGAGTCTCATCTTCAAATAAAGAAATGGAGGCACAGAAAGGAAAGAGTGCCTCCTGCCAGGGCAAAACCACCTCTCCATACTCCTACCCCTAATTCTTATTCTCAGAACCAATGCTGTCTCTTAGAGTGGCCGGCCAGAACAACCACCTTTCAACTCCCAGTTCCCATCTTATCAGCATAACAGTCAGGCATGGTTAAAAAACAAACATCTAGTCACCAGATGTCCCTAACATCTGGCTAAACACATAAAACTATCCTCTATCACCACCACCTCCTTTCTAACTCCAAAGTATATGGGGGGAGGAAACTTATGAAATCTCTGATGTCGTGAAATAAGATCTTGACATATCCATCTTTTTTCTTTCTTCTTTCTTTGTTTTATGACCTGATTCTTTCCTCAACATTCAGAGGCATTCACATGGCCATAAGGAGAATTTCGATTTCCATAATAAGAGGATAAAAATAACATATATTTTAACATTCCATTATTTTTAATATTTAATATTCCATTCATCTGAGCACCTGGGAATCAGAAAGGTCCAAAGTGTACAATGGCATAAAATGTGTGCCAGAACACAGAGGGAGAGAGAATTACAAGACAGGAAAGTGGTCATACCTCTTATCCTAAAGAGACGTGATGATGGCAACCTGGGTTGGTTAGAGGAACAAAAAAGCTGAGGCCAGGACCTTGGAATGTGTCAGTGCCCAACATAATAGAATTAAACCTTGGGGAATGGGACGAGATGGGGGAGCCCTCGTAGAAATAGTCAAGCCCCATCAGCAGCCACTGCACTAGGGACCTTGGTAGAAACAGAATGCAGAAGACCATGGCATTCTATTCAAGAGATGCAGATCAGCTGACCTCAGCTCTATCAGATAAGAGCCTTCTATCAACAGCTTCCTGGAAGAGGCCTCTGTCTCCTGCAATAGAAGCATGCCTTGCTGGGCTCCAAGGCTTTGCTGAGCCCCAGCATGGACACCAATTCGTGAACATCCCAGGACACGCATCTGACCGATAGATCAGGAAGTGTTGCCTTACTCTTAACCAAGCAGAGATGACTTAGAAAGAAAAGCTCAGTGCTGGTCCTTGGATGTGTCTAGACCAGGGTTTCTCAACCTCAGCACTATTGACACTTGGGGCTGGGTAATTCTTGTCCTGAGCATAGGGGGATGTTTAGTAGCATCCCTGGTCTTCACCCACTGGATGCCAACAGCATGCCACCACCTCCTAGTTGTGACCATCAAAACGTGGAGGGGCACAACTGTCCCAGTTGAGAACAATTATCTAGACAGTTAGGAGACCTTCCCATATTACACTGAATCTGTACCTACCTTCAGTACCCCAGGGCAAGTTGTTTGATCCCTTGGCAGCTGCCTTTATGACCAGCAAGACACTGTTTCAGACGTTATCTCAGTAAGTGCCTCTGTTTTAACAGTTTCAAAATATCTGAAACACTCACTACTTTCTTCAATGCTATGTCACACACACACACACACACATTTAGAGTTGTGTGTAAACCAACAGCAGCACAAGGTATTTCTTTTCCTAGTACGGTAATAAATATAGTAGTTAATTTTAAAGGGGAAATTTGTATTAGCTTAAGGAGTTAAGGAGCCATAAGAGGAAGCTAGATAATGAAGAAATGAGTAGTAAAAACCTAAAAATGGGAGAAAGCCTAAAACAGAATTAGAGACTGGCGGCAATTTTTGTGGAATTGACAATTTCTTGAGCATATGCTTAGGCAAGTATTAGGTTGGTGCAAAAGTAATTGCAGTTTCTGCCATTACTTTACTTTGAATGAAAAAAAACCGCAATTGCTTTTGCACCAAACTAATATCATCATCGTCAAATATTTATTAAATATTTATTAGTAAGCTCTACCCCTTACCAGCTGTATTACATTGAAAAAGTTTAATTTTTCTAATGCTTTTTCTTTATCTGCAAAATGGGGACGTAATAACCTACTTTACAGGATTGCAATGCAGGTGAAGTGAGCTAAGCCATTCAAGCACTTAGCTCAGGGTCTAACAAATCATAATCCCTTGATAAAGTTAGCCACTATTGCTATTTTCATTATGATGGATTCATGGATTGAAGCGAGATACGATGGTAATCATAATATTTTGCACAGCATGTTTTGAAGCTTTGACATATTCCATCTTCACTCAGCCTTGTGACATAACACAGTGATCAGTACACCCCTTTAACTGAGGGATCAACTGCCAAAGGTGGACCAGGCTTGCTCCAGACACATACTTAGTACCTATAACTCTAGGCCAGGTCCTCTGATTCCTACTGGAGTTCTCTTTCACTAGGTCACTTTACACCATGCTGGGTCTAAAACCCTAAATCAGTTGGGATGATTCAAGCTGACTCAGATGGCTTAAACAAAAAGTTGTATTTTCTCATATAACTGAGCATCCAGAGACTGGGCAGATTCTAATACCATGAAATCAGGACTCTCCCTACATTTTGCTGAGATTTTCTCCATCTGCTTTTCTCTGGGCATCAGCTTTGTTCTCAGAGTAGCTTCCCCCATGGTCATAAGGCAGCCACAGGTAGAAACTGAGGCAGAGAGGGAGAAAATGGCTACTTACGGTTCCTCGTAAAAGTGAGAAAGAACATTTGCAGAAGCCTCTGCAATCTTTACCTCAAATAGAATGAGGGCAAATGACCACTCCTGAACCAAATGTTTTCAAGGACAAATGTGTTCTGGTTTATTTAGCCAAACCTTACATGCTGGAGCTGAGGATGGCTCCTCCCTGCCTGAGAAACTCAGGCAGTATTGGGGAAAGATGTGCACCATGGTAGGGTTCCCTCAGGAAGAGAAGAAGAGGGACTGGAAGCCAGGTAGGCCTCCAAACCCTTTAGGTGTTCAAAACTAAATGTCTTCTTATCGGGGACATTGTCTAGCTTCTACATTCTTTGGGGCGATCATCCAAAAACGGGAGTTTGAGATGAATCTGATAAAGCCCTCAATAAAGAAGTGAGATTTGAAGGTAAAGGAGGTCCAAGAGAATTGAGGGAATTATATACCCCAGAAGAGATCCTGGAGAACTAGATCAAAAACAGGAGAAGTCACAGGTCTGAATGAAGAGAAGCTGAATGCACAAAATCCTCAGAAAGATGAAAATTCCTCATAGATGAATTCCAAAGTCTTGACCATCCCACCAACTGCTTCATGGTCTTTCCTGTCATTTAATTTGCTCCAAGTAACAAAAAGCAGCCCTGCACCCTCTGTTATTTAACACATTGCAGGGAACTTAGCTCTTCAGCTTTTTATGAACGGTTTCTTCTCTGAAACATCATATATCTGTAGGAGGTCTTTAAGTGTTAGATTTACTTTTTGTTTCCAAGGTTTAGCAGCAGCTCATCCACAGATACTACCTTGTAATGGCCTAAAGACATCCCCTGAGAACAGAGGTGAAGAGCTGAGAAAACCTTTCCTTACATGCCTAGGAAAAGTGACTACAAGGAAATGCTTTCCTCCTGGGTTCAATCCTGAAAGCCACTTCTCTGCAAGTCCTTGCAGAAGGTGGAGAGGGGAAATCCAGTGGAATCCAGAGGGGAAATAACATCCTTACAGGTCAAAGAACAAAAGAGAAGGAGAGAAAGGCATGGAATGAATGAATGGGATTTTGCTACTACACTATTTCCTGAGTGCACACAACTGCCTGCCCAGACCCAACACCAAAAGGCAGGAGGGGACAGCTGCAAGAGCCGTGTGCACCTTCCAGGTCCCCGTGGGACACCAGGACTGCAGTCTTGCGTGCACCCAGCTTCTGGGCTCCATCCATCCTCCCTGCATTCCAGCATAAGGTCCCAGGTTCTCACCCCACTGGTAGGTCAGTGCTAAAAAAGATTATCACCAACAGGAAGGGACAGAAGCCTGAGAAGCCGACCACGTAGTTCAAATGTGTCAGCTCCATGAAGTTCTACCCAAAGTCTCCCAGATGACTCACTGCCACTACCCCCTTGGACACACCCTCTGTTTCCATCACTGAGTGCAGAACAGTTCAACCAGCTTGTCTGTAGCCACAGCCCCTAGAAACTTGGGCACTGATTCAAATCCCCATGAACAAATTCCAAAGTTGGGAAATGGGGCAAAAAACAAACCAAACAAAAAGAAGAGGCCACTTGTTTGTGAGATTTTTCCCAGGCTCACTATTTCATGCATGTGAGGACCTGTGCTGGGGGTCTGGGGTCTTCGCCTAGTGAGAGGCCTTAGGTAGGTTGGCCAACAGGAGATGTTGTTGGACAGTCCGAGCAGAGGTTCCTCCCCTGTCAACACATGTGCTCACTGTTAAAGTGAGCCCCAGCTTTCTGTTTCTGTTTATTTGTCTGGAGTTGTGTTGTTTTATTAACCAGAAACTTGAAAAGGAGGCTGTCTTTGTTGTGTTGCCATTTGGCAGAAGACTAGAGGTTACAGTAGCAAGTGGAGCCTAAACATTTTTTTTAATCTCGATGAAAGTTGCTTCCAGATAAAAAAACTATATCCGATTCCCTGTCTCCCATTGAACCTCTGAAGGACTTCCCACACCTTACCTTCAAATAACAGAACCTCAGCCAACAAAAATGGAAAAACATAAATTTTTCCACGTAAAATGAAAAATCAGAGAGTGCAGACAGGCCTGTGTCAACAGGATATTTTTAGCCATCAGTGAATTTTTTAAATGAAGTTTTAAGACATTTAAAAATGTCCTCTGCACATGGGGCTGGGATGTGCTTTTTAGGATCTTTGCTACCCTTAGCTATCTGACCTCATTTTCAGCAGTGCATCAGATCCCCATTTAAAAGACTAGGACCTAGTGTGGTGGCCCACTCCTGTAATCCCAGCAATTCGAGAGGCTGAGGAGGGAGGATTGCTTGAGCCCAAGAGTTCGAGACCAGCCTGGGCAACATAGCAAGACCCATTCACTTAAAAAAAATTATAAATAAAAAAGACTAGGAAAATAGAGGCCAAGATGAGGGAGAATGATGTACATAAGCTCTTAGTAATTGGAAGGCAGAGGTGAATATCTAGATGCAACAACTCCCTGATAACCACACGTCTTAGGGCAAAGTCTTTATCATCATTCCTGATTTCATCTCTCAATATTCATTCATTGGCTTTCTTCCTAGAACTTAACCATCATCCCTTTATTGTGCATTTCTTTTGTCTTTCTCATCACAGCCTGAGTTCCTTATCTCTACGCTTAAAGAAAAAAAGAAATTAAGTGCAGAAAGAGTCCTCCTGCAAGGTTCTCAGAAACTGTGTCCTTGGATCCCAGCAGAATGGCTTTAAGATAGAGGGTGACCATGATTGATGGGCTCTGGTGCGGCTCACTTGTCTCCAGCCCTGGCCCTTGTGCCAGGAGAGGAGATGAGTGCAGCAGCTCATTCTTCCCTCTATTTCCCCCAACAGTCACGGGTGGCTAAGTCCCAACAATCAAGCTGTGGCAGTTAGAGGCAGGAAATGGAATCAGAGAAGAGAGACTCAAACTTACCCACCATGGAGAACCCAGTGTGCCTCCAGCTCTTCCAGGTCCCAAAGCCCCTGGCCAGATTTGCACCTGAACAAATCCTCTAGGGCTCAGATGGCCTGTTGCTTTTCCTGAACTCCTTTGAGCCTGTGTCTGGATCCCCACTAGCTGGAGCTGCTTAGATTTTTCCAAGGAGCTGTCCTGAGCTTCCTGCATGCAGAAGTGACACCATAGGATCAAGTTGTGCACAAAATTCTGGCCTGAGAGTCAGGCCATGTGGTCCCAGCCTTTCTCCTGACCACATGAAAAACTCAGAAGACAAATTGCTTCACTTTGGTTCTCAGTTTTCACCAACTCTGACATATGATGGATCTGAAAGTAGAAGGACAGAGTCCTATGGACCCAGTAAGAGATGCCTTTTGCCAGCACCTAATATTCAAGAGTTATTTTCTGTGGCTAGTGCTGCCTTTGATCAAATAGAACATGTGTATGGAAGCTGTAGAGATGACACTAACACTAATACCTACATGGTGAATATTGGGGGCTCAAGAGAGGCAACTTTTCCTACACTAATACAGGAGTAAGGAGGGAGTCGGAGACTTTTTTAAGTAGCTAAAGAGGATTGTTTATAAACTGGACTAGATTAACTCCTAAGGCCAAACACAATTCACTTTTCAACATGCCACAATGTGTGTGTGCATGCATACCTGTAAGCTGAAAGATTTCTTACATTAATAAATAGTTCAAGAATACTATTGGGTTACCATGTAGCCTAGCTTGGTTTAAAAGTGAGTCAGCAATCAGTCACTTATACTTTCTGTTTTTCTGATAAATGGTAATTTATGAATACTTCCCTATATGGAGACTGATTTCAATGCAAATAGTTTAGCAATTTTTTTATTAGACATTTTCCTGGTGATGTTACTACTTTTCAGAATAAGTAGACTTTGGCAACTATAGCTACTAAAAGCTGTAGAATTTAGTATAATCATATTTCATCAATTAAGTAAAAGAGGACATTTAAGGCAAAAATATACTTATTAATAGAGCTAATATTAAGGATTAATTTCCAGATACGTGCTAAGTGCTTTAATACAGAACATAATTTAACCTTTATTAGAAACCTTCAAGATGGTTGCTATTACCTATTCTTATTTCAATAGTGAGAAAAATACAGCTTGCAAATGTTAAGTAACTGTCCAGGGTCACAGAGCTCATAAGGAGCAGAACCCTTACAGAAGCCTAGGTCTGTTTGGCCCAAAGCTGGAATCTTCACCACCACACCATATTGCCTCACAAAACAGTTAGTAATGTTAGTTCAATGCTAATTACTGAATCATTCTTTACAGCACTATTAGCCAATCAAGTTTTTGACTCCTTAATATATGTTCAACTTCCTATAGATCTTTTTCAGGGAGTCTTCTAGTGAGAAAAAAGGAATGACTAACTTTTTAATTGCAAATGTAATCGAAATATGGGCACAAATAAGTCTCTGTATGTACAGCATTACATGATTTTTCACATCTCACTTTGGAGACATAGTACCCTTAATTTCTTAATAATCCAGAGGAAATTTATGTTACTTTGTACCTCAATACTGAACCATTTATGTGACATTAGATATTGATATTCGCAGCCCATCTTAGCCATTTGTAACAAAATTAAGCAAAATATCATGACATGATGCATTAATAAACAGCAATGTTGTGCATATAACTTCCTTAAAAGATGCACTCAAACGTTAACATTTTTAAATATTACTGAGGTGTCAACTTTTCTCAGTTTTGTCTACAGATTCAACACAATCCCAATCACAAGTCCAGTAGGTTTTTTGAGATATTGAAAAGGCAATTCTAAAATTTATATGGAAAGGCAAAAGTACTAGAGTATCAAACAATTTTGCAAAAGAACAAAATCAGAGAGCTCACGCTATCCATTCACACTATGGCTTTGAGGCATACTATGAAGTTACCATAATCAAGCACTGTGTTGCTCTTTGAAAAAGGATAAGCATATAGATCAATGGAATAGAGTAGACAATCTATAAGCGGACCCACACAAACGTGGTCAACTGATTTTTGACAAAGTACAAAATGCCACTCAATGGAAAAAAGTAGGCTTTTTAGCAAATCATACTAGAACACTTAGATGTCTGTATGCAAAATAAGCTAAGTAGTTAACTAATAAACCACTACATATGCCTCATACCTTATACAAAATTTAATTTAAAACAAATCAAAGGCTTAAATATAAAACTTAAAACTAGGCTGGGTGCAGTGGCTCACACCTGTAGTCCCAAAACTGAGGCAGGAGGATTTCTTGAGCCCAGGAGTTTAAGACCAGCCTGGGTATCAGGGTGAAACACTTTCTCTTAGAAAAAAAAATTAAAACTATCAAACTTCTAGAAGAAAACATAAGAGTATATCTGCATGGCCTTGAGTGTGGCAAGGCATTTTTAGATATGAGAGCAAAAGCAAGATTCATAAAATAAAGAAATAAAAATTGTACTTTATCAAAATTTAAAACCTTTGTTCTGAGAAAGACACTGTTAAGAAAAGCAGAAGACAAGCCATAAATGATGAAAATGTTAGCAAACATAAATCTGATAAAGTATTTGTTTTCAGAGCATATATTTTTATAGAACCCTCAAAACTCAACAATATGAAAAATAAAATACTGGACAAAAGATCTAAACAAGAGGGGATACATGAATGACAAGTATACCTATTAAAAGATGTTCAGCATCATTAATCATTTAAGGAAATTCTAATTAACACCAAGGGTTGGTAAATATTAAGATTAAGAGCAACTCTGAAATCTGCAGGTGGGAATGCCAAACAGTACAGCCACTTCAGAAAACAATATGGCATTTTTTTGTAAAGTTAAACATTCACTTGCCATAAAACTCAAAAATTCTACTCCTAGGTATTTACCTAAACAAATTGAAAACTTACATATTATCAAAAACCTGTACCTCCAATAGCTTTGTTCATGTTCACCGATTTGGTGAGAAATTGAACAAACAAAATTTGGATAAACAAAATATGATACATCTATGCAGTGGAATACTACTCAGCAATGAAAAGGAACAAGTTATTAATTCATTCACACAACACTAATGAATAATAAATGCATTTTTCTAAGTGAAAGAGCAAATCCAGATCCCAAAGGCTACGTATTGTGTGATTCCATTTACATGACTTTATGAAATAGATAAAACTACAGGGAAGGAAAACAAAACAGTAGTTACCAGGGGTTGTGGGTGGAGAAAGAGGCAGCACAAAAGAATCTGGGGGATGATGGAGCTGTTGTACAAGATGGTGACGCTACACATTTTTCAAAACCTGTAGAACTGTACACCACAAAAAGTAAATTTTATGATATATAAATATTAAATGTATGTAAATATTAAATATATGTAAATATTTGTAAATATTAAACATAACCTCAATTTCAAGAGAATACAAGATGAAATAAAGACTACAGCAACTGAATCTAACTGTATTGTAGATAGCAAACACTTTGAAGGGTTGATAAAGAAAAGAGATGATCTAAATAACTTTGGAAAACAGGTGTTTTGATCAGATGCTGTAAGGCTGAAAACAAAAAGAGCTATGCAAAAACATTTGCATTTCTTTCTCCCAGGAGTATAAATTAGCAATTTTGAAACTACAGGTATGAAATGGTTGAACAAATAAGTAAATATATTGTTGATAGGAAGTGCCAGATTTCTCACTCTTGGGGAAATAGATTACAAATAATCAAAGAGGAAATTCTAGAATGAACACTGTGTTATTGGGTTGGCTTTGGAGGCATCAGCATTAATCCATTTTTAACATATATACAAATTGGTATGTTCTCAATTGTGTCCTCCCAAAATTTATAGGTTGAAAGCCTAATCCCCCGTGTGACTGTGTATTTGGAGTTAGGGCCTATAAGGAGGTAATTCAAGTTAAATGAGATCTTCAGGGTGGACCTTAATCCAGTATGACTGGTCTCCTTATAAGGAGAGGAAGTAATCAAGAAGGCAAGTGCACAGAACAAAGGCCAAGTGAGGACCCAAGGGGAAGGCAGCCTTTTGAAAGCCAAGCAGAAGGCTTGAAGAGAAACCAAACCAACCGATGCCTTGATCTTGGACATCGGGCCTCCAGAACTGTGAGAAATAAATTTCTCTTGTTTAAGATGCCCAATCTGGCATTTTGTTATGGCAATCATAGCCAACCAAGATACAAACAAACACAAAGATATAGAAAAATCTATGTATATATTTAGGTTAGTATACACACATACATTTCCTTGTGGGTCTGCTGAGGGACCTTAGAAGCAGTGGCACCAATTCAGCAATGAGCACACCTAACTCCCAAGTCTTGGTTCCTAAGTACCATTCTCCAATGAAAGAAACCAGAGATTTTGGGGAAAGCAATTGATTCCAGGGCTGGGGCAGGGAAAATACAAGAGGATCCTAGAGTATCTTAAGGCACCAGAAAGTAAGGAAGTGCTAAAGAAAAAAATTGAAAAAGATAGGACACATCAAATGGAAGAAGAAGTCAACCTGGAAGAGCTCTCAAAGAGCAAAGTCAGAACATATGAGCAACAAAATATATTATGAGAGGAATGGATTTCAATCCAGAAAATAAAACAAATATCCATGAGTGAGTCCATACTGATGTTGATAGATTATTAAATAAATAAATAAATAGAGAGAAGGAACAACTCTTCCTTAGAAAGGAATTCCATTACTGAATGTAAAAGGAATTAGTGCAAGCACTCCTAGACCACCACAGTAATTATTGCTTAAGGTAAAATCCACCACTGAATGTTAAAACCAATGAGCAAAAGAGTAAGAAGAAAGAGGATATTTGTGTAGCTTCCAAGTATCTCCCCTCAAAATGCTTTTTAATTGCAAAATATCTTCTCCCAACTTCTTATTAACTGCAAAAGAAAAAATAGCAACTTTACAGTGGCCTCTGGCCAAAAGCAGTTTGATGAAGTGATCAAGGTTAACATCATAATACTAAGATCAATGTCATGTACCCTGATATGGTTTGGCTGTGTCCCCACCCAAATCTCATCTTGAATTGTAGCTCCCACAATTCCCGCGTGTCATGAGAGAGACCTGGTGGGAGATAATTGAATTTTGGGGGCAGGTCTTTCCTATGCTGTTCTCATGGTACTGAATAAGTCTCATAAGAAGTGATGGCTTTATAAAGGGATTTCCTTGCACAAATTCTCTGATCTGCCACCATGTAG
Organism: Homo sapiens; assembly: GCF_000001405.40. Lineage (NCBI taxonomy): Eukaryota > Metazoa > Chordata > Mammalia > Primates > Hominidae > Homo > Homo sapiens. The sequence goes on from NC_000011.10 coordinate 128,676,432, forward strand.
GATGTGTCTTTTGCCTTCCACCATGGTTGTGAGGCCTCCCCAGCCATGTGGAACTGTGAAGCCATTAAACCTCTTTTTCTTTATAAATTCCCCAGTCTTGGGTATGCCTTTATCAGCAACATGAAAATGGGCTAATACATACCCCCCAGCATGAGTGCTGCACATCACCTCTGTGCTGTTCTGCAAAATATGTAACTTTAATCATGAGAAAACACCAAACAAACCCAAATACCCTATAAGGTATTATCTGGCCGATGCGTTTCAAAAATATCAAGGTCTTGAAAGAGAAGAAACGACTGAGGAACTAGCATAGACTAAGGAGACTAAGGACACCTGACAATTAAATGCAGGGATTGGACCTTGGACCAGAATGAAAACCAATGTAGAAAAACTAATGAAATCTGAGTACTATCCAGTTAAATGCATTGTATGAATACTAAATTTTGATCATGGCACCATGGTTATAAAATATGGTAACATTAGGGGAAGCTGGGTGAAGTGTATGCCTGAACTATCTGTCCCGTCTTTGCAACTCTTCCTCCTGAGATGAAAGGAAGAGAAATAACAGGCAAAACTGAATCTTTTAAACTTGGAAAGAAGGAAGAGAGTTATGGAAATCAGTTAATTGGTATTATTAGTGAACAACCTTCACTACCACCTAAAGTGAATGGAAAATCGATCTATTTCATAGGACATGTTGATAGAAACTCAACCAGCAAACATGAGATTAGAAGTTAAACAATGCAAGTGAGCTCTAGCCCGGCCCTGTGGCTCTCCCTGCAAAGTCTGATCAATTACTTAATGTTGCTGGGACTCAGCTTTTTCACATGAGGCTCAGTTTTCACCACATTAAAGATGGTGATAACACTAATGATATCCCTTAGGGAAACAACATATTTAAGCTGTGCCATGGAAAAAGAGGTAATTTCTGTTTGCGATTCTGTTTCTTCATCTGGAAAATTGAGCACAGGTTTCTCTCAGGTCCTGTCTAGTTACATGTACCTCTAAGTGCTCCATAAAATATATTATATAAATGTTGTAAACCTAGATGATGGGTTGATAGGTGCAGCAAACCACCACAGCACATGTACACCTAGGTAACAAACCTGTGTGTTCTGCACACGTATCCCAGAACTTAAAGTAAAATAATAAATAAATAAATGTTGTAATAGAAGAACAAGATCAGATTTTCTATATTCACTCATATCTTTCTTTGACGAAAGTAAAATGTGAGCTTTTTTATGTCCATGGGTGGCTTTTCAATAGCACATGTATTAAAACTTAAGTAAAATTTACTCTAAAGATAAATATGAGAGGTGGAAGGGGACAATTCCCTTTACAAAAGCATTTTTGATTTATAAAGTTTTTAAAATGCTGAACCATGATATTTGTATAACTGTTTTCCAAAGGCAAAAAATGTAACTTAATTGTGATATAACCAATTATTAATTGATGCCACTGATATACTTGATATCAGCTGCATCACTAATGTCAGCTGTGTACCCATGGAACACACATATGGTAAATCTGTATATCTGCATCTGTGTGTGTATATTCAAACAAGTAACTGTGGGATGGAGGTTATTTTATATGTTAGAATATCATATTAAAAATGTGCCTGGAAAATAACCCACTCCTTAGCTCTGACTCACATCATTGTTGATCTTGGTGGGTGCCACTGTCCTACCCAGCAGTTGCAAGGGAGCTGAAGTGAGAGGGCCTAAACACCAGCAATGTGTTCCCTTCATTTCTGTCCCCACTGGGGCAGGCAGGAAATGCCAGCCTCCTCACAGGAAAGCCTGTTGTGGTGAGATTTCCCGATTTACTATATAAATGCAAGAAAGCCAGATACAGGAGGAGATAAGTGCTCAAGGTTGTGAGTGCTTATCATCTCATGGGGTTCTGGGCCCCACAGTCATGGCCAGTTTCTCTTGTAGGGATGCAGGCCAAAATTCAGTTTGGTTCCAAGTGGAAAGAACTGTGCAACTGAAATATGCCAGTCATCAGACGACAACCATTCCAAACAACTTGCTGGCTATTCACCCTGAGTGATATCCTTTCTTTAGCAAATTAAGAGAACTTCACTCTTTGCCTTGACTGCACATCGGGCTTACCTGATGCTGGGGTTGTAAAAAAGATTGCGGTGTCTGGTTCTCTAAGCTAATAGCTGAAGTCATGATACCTACTCGACTGTTGCCTCTGTTGACCTGTGACATTTTCAGTAGGAACACTCTTCTTGGCTCTGATGTTTTACTACTGATGACACTTAAGTAAAACATTTAGTGGAATGAAAAGGATAGAGACCTCAAAAGAACAAGACAGTCAAGCGAGTGGCAAGCTGAGAGAATAAAGGACATGTTGAATTAGCTCAATTTTTAATCAAGCACGCTCTAGGAGCTACCCAGGCCAACTCACTCTCTGGTCAGAGCTTGGGGAGGGGAGTGGTAAGGGTTGGTGAAGGAGAAGACTATTTCTTCAGGGTCCACTTCACTCTACGCCTCCTCTTCTAGTCAATTTCTGTAAAGTAGAACCCCTGATAATTATCACCTAAAGAAGCAGCTTCAGGATGTATATAGACAGGGAACTATAATTTCCTACTCTTTCTGTCTCCACATTACCAATCACTTTGAAGCAATGAAAATTTCAGAGTCAAATACTCAGCTCGTCTGTGTGTCTAATCTTTTAAAAAGAGAAAATAGGATTTGGATAAACATCTATGCCCCTCTTTCCCTCCAACAAAAATCTAGGAGAAACTTCAGCTCACAAAATCTGATTTTAAAACACACTAAGAAAATAAAAACATGTCCTTTACATTTGATCTCTTATCTAGGGAAGCCAGGTTCCCTCAGAGGGACTCTCAAGGCTGTGAGTCCCCAGTGTTTATTGTGTTTAGTGGGCCACATTGTTTCGTGTTCAGCTGTGAAATGCATTGAAGTACTACTGAGTGGTCATGCTGTCTCTCTGGGACCCCACTGTCCCCTGTCTGTCAAAGTTGAGGGTAATAATAATAATCAAACATCAGACATCAGACCAATATTTAATCAGACAAGTATTTATGCAGCATCTTTTCTCTCTAGAAGTTAGAAGCACTTGACCAAACATATCTCAGTTCTCCAAAGACTGTCCTTAAGCACTAGTGCACTAGCATTAGGGATATCATGTATACCTTCTCATTCAACTATCTCCTCATGCTTCACCCCACTCCTACCAGCCCCATTAAGAAATATACCTAAAACCTTTATGTCAAATGTAATTGGCATTGGTGCAGCTTGACTTCTAGCAAGCTTTCTTTCTTTCTTTCTTTCTTTCTTTCTTTCTTTCTTTCTTTCCTTCTTTCTTCTTTCTTTCTTTCTTCTTTCTCTCTCTCTCTTTTTTTTAAATTAAGGTCAGAAAGAAAGGAAGAGGAAAAAGATAATGGCATCTATGCTCTGGTTAACGTTGTTCTCTATTAACCTCAGTGGCTACAGTATGTTTTGTATTTCTGTGGCACTTTTCTCAAAGGTGTCCCAAAGGATTTGGGGTTTTTTCCAACTAACACAATCATCTTCCACCTCAAAGTCTCAATGGGTGGACCAGTTGTCCCACTTATGCAATTATGTTTTGGATCCTTTAAAGTGGCTGATTCATTTCCCATCAAACTGTAATGTCATGCTTTTTCTACAAGGAGTCCCAAACTTTATGCTTTCTTTTAATTCTGTTCTCTTTCCTCCTTTTCAGGGTTGAGTAAGGCCAGATTGATAAAGAAAAGATAGCAATCTTTGCAAATCTTTGCCTTCTCATCAATAGCAAAGTGATATTACTCAGGTCCTTTTCACTCCTTTCTCCCCAGGACACACGAATGAATGACTGATTCCATCAGAAAAAGCATTCCACTCTTAAGAATCATACTGAAATTATTGCAAAGGATTAATTCCATAGTTTTTAAACAGGAGCAGCAATGGAGAATATTTCCCAATAACCTGAAAAAATATATAACCATAGATGAAACTAGCAATGTGCTCCTTAGAATTATGTAATTTTAAGCTAGAATAGGCCTCAGAGATTATGTAATAAAATATAATAAATTAATTGATGTTTATGAAGAGACAAACTTGAGAAGAAAAATTTGCTAAGGGAGTTGGAGGGATGAAAATACAGTACATAAAACTTTGGTCTTAGAACTCCTCTTTGCTTTAATGCATAATCTTATTTGTCCTCCAATAACCTGACCTCTGCATCCTCAATCCTAGGGCACATTACATATGCTTGATTTATGAATGGGAGGAGGGTAAATCTGTTTGCTTGTGGGAGAACTTTTCTGCTATACCGGTATGAATGGCAGATCCCTCGCCCCAGCAGCCCCTCTTTTGCCCCTCCTGCTACCCATCCAAGGATTTTCTTCTACACCTGGGATATGTATGAGTGTGCCTCTTTCTCTCTCTCTCTCTCTCTCTCTCTGCCTGTGTGTGTGTGTGTGTTGGTACATGATGGGAATCGAAGGTCACACACATCCTGGAATCCAAAGCGACCCCTGTCTGATCATTCTTTCCATGGTCCTTGCTCTAGTTACTGCCTCTATTTCCTGAACTTATCTCGCTCACTAGATTTCCCACCCCTTCTCTCTCCCTGAAATGCCCGGGAGCTCAATCTAGGTTTGCAGCCTGTCAAGGGCTACAAGAGGATGCAGATAATGAGAGATAAGGAGGGTGACTCCCTGTTGGCTACCCTTTAAAATCTGAAATTGCTTGTTTGAAGCACAGGAAGTGGCTTTCTTCCTTCACCATCATTAAAAGCAAAAAGAATAGAAAATCCACAAAGGAGGCAGAAACTCAGGGTGGTTTTGGATTTTATGTGGAGTGAAAAGAACCATAAAGACAGGAGCACTGCTTTGCTTTATACACAAAGCCACACATGGCAAAGCAAAACAAACAAAACAAAACACATTGTGGGTTCATAATAGATACTGATCATCAGAGTAGGTTCTAGAAGGGTTGAGTGAAACGAGTCACCATTGTTTATTCCCTTTTACTTACTTGGAGAAACCAAATCATGGCAAAATATTATTCCACAGTTGTATTGGTTTACTAGAGCTGCCATACAGAGTACCATAGATTTCGTGGCTGGAGCATCAGAAATTGATTTCCTCGAAGTTCTGGAGGCTGAAAGTCCATGATCAAGTTATCAGCAAGTTGATGTCTTCTGAGGTCTCCCTTCTTGGCTAGTCGGTGGCTGCTTTTGCACTGTGTGCTCACACGGGCTTTCCTCTGTAATCGCACATGTCTGTGACCTAATCTCCTCTTCTTATAAGGACACCAGTCATAGTGGATAATGGCCCACCCTATGATCTCATTTTACCTTGTTCACCCTTTCTAAGGCCCTGTATCCCATCAGCGTCACATTCTGAAGTATTGGAGCTTAGGGCTTCAACTTGTGAATTTGGAAGTGATAAAATTCAGCCCATAGTGCCCGTCATCAGGAGCACAACCAAGACTGGAACCCAAAGTTCCTAATCCTAGAACATTAATTTGCCTTATGTTCATATCCTTTCCCCGGGCTAAATAATCTTACAGAAGTATAGCATGTTCAAATTTGAAAGTATTTCATGATGATATAATGTAGCCCTCTCATTTGCCAAAGAAGGAAGCTAAGTCCTAATTGTCTTGCTCAGAATGATGGAGTGCATGGATGATTCAGAGGGGCACTGCCCAGATATCTTCTCCTGCTCTCCTACTGGAGTGCCCTTCTTGGATTCCAATCTCTTGCTGCTGTAACCTCCACACGAGAGTCTCTTTCTACCCAGGCTCTGCATTGCAAATCTATGGCCCAGGGAAGCAGCTTGGTATAGGCTGGCGAGGGAGCATAACTGTGGGGCAAGAACCCCCTCCCCACCCCATTCTCCCTTTTGAGGGGTAAGTTGGCTTTAATGAGTCCTCCCTGCCCCCAGCTGCCTCTCTCTTGCTCCTGTTTCATGGCAGCTGTTGCCAATTTCAGCAATTTTCTTCCGGTGAATTGAAGGCTCCAGGTGACAAAGGGAGTTGGCCATATCCTCCTGGAAAATAAGATAGCCTGGGTTCCACTCTCACCCCACCCCTGACCCTGGACTGGGTGGCTAGGGCTCACTTTCCCAGTGAGCATGTCACAACCCTTCCCATCACCACCCCCCACCACATACACACACACAGCAGGCTTCCAGGTGTATGTCCATTTCTTAAACCCTGTTTGAAAGGAACTTCAGATTCTTCCTCAGTTCATTCTCAGCTCATCTGTTTTCCTAAGACCACCAAGATTTTGATCATTTGCCTAACCCTTGGAATGAGCACCCATTCTGGCTTCTAAAATCACAGGAAGAATGGGAAATAGGACACACACACACACATACACACACACACACACACACATGAGTTTCGTACAAAGCCTAGGACACTGGCCTCTCCATCTGTGACCATCTCCCAGGGTGCTTGGAAGGGGCATGATCTCTCTAGTTAAACCATTTATGCACAAATGAAGCAGACCCATGAGCACTGATTTTATGTAACCCTCCCTGCAAAGCAGAAAATGAATCAGTATCACTCAGGTAAAACTTTCCTGTCAGTTTTTCCTTAATAACAATGTGACACTTTTGTTTTGTTTGTTTTATATTTCTGTTATGAGTTATTGGTTAGACAGAAGGGAGGTAGCTTAATAGTTGTTCCACTTCTCTGCCTAAGGATATCAGTGTGAACGTTGGGTGTCTAGCTGTGAACAAAACAAGCTCAACTTTTGCTTTCAGGGAGCTTACAAGGTATTGGAAGGAGACAAACATTAAACAGATACATCTACAAATAAGGATGCAATAACAACTGTGAAAATGTGAAGAAGGAAGAGCTTCAAATCTAGAAGGATGTACCCAAGTGATCTCTTAGAAATCTCTCTCAGGAAAAGAAGGAAGGAAGGAAGGAAAGAAGGAGGGAAGGAGGGAAGGAGGGAAGAAGAAAAGGAGGGAGGGAGGGAGGGAGGGAAGAAGGGGAAAAACTGAGGATGGTGAGATATTCGACAATTTGTTTAGTCCTCACTTTCTCTAATACAGCTGAAGCCTTCATTTTCAAGTCTCCAGGTTTCCTAAAGATAATCTATCTTCAAAATGCATGACATCAGGGTAGGATGCATTATCTGATATAGGAGCATCTACTGTTTTATTTGCAGTTGTTTGGAATAGCATGCTTGTTCCTTTGGGAGGGAAGATGATCTCCCCAAGAATCCCAAGAACAAAAATCTGGGGCAGTGGCTCTAGTCCTTCAGGCCCCCCCCCTCCCCAGGCCCCCTGTCTTGTTTTCCTAAGCAATGGTCAGGAATGTGGGGCGGGGGGCAGCCCAGCCCTCTGTGCCCAGCCCAGGCAGCCCCAGTCACAGTCCCAGGCTGGCCTTTCACCTCATTGCTCTCCCGGCTGCTCTTATTAAGCAGCAAAATGTTTCAATATGTGGAACTCTGGGGGAGGGATGGGAGAGAAAAATCGGGATATTGTTGAGAAGGAAATAACGAATAACCCTGCCGCCAGCCCTCATACCCCCCACGTGGGGAGATCTGGATGATAGGTGTGTTTTCTCCTGAAATGGAATCCTACTAATTGCCTTTTGGTCAGAAATGTCCAGAGCCAATTGGGGAAGGGGGTAGGGGGAGCAGGTACTAAATAAATTTTCTCGAAGGTTCCAGAGCAAAGCAGTCAGGGATCTGGGTACCCAAGAAGGAAGGAAGAGAACGCTTGAGAAACAGAAGCCAACTCAGAGTGGTGCAGGAAGCTGTGGGGTTTGCTTTTGCTAACTGACATACTCCCATCTCCATCCTTACCTGTCACCTCTCCCCTGCCACCCTGCCCCCCCCCCCACACCCAGGTTAGAAACAACTGTGAACAACTCCCTGTTGCCAGAGATCCACAGAGGAGAGTGAGGGGTGGGGTGCCGCCCACCCCAAAGCACAACCAACTCAGCAATGCAGATTCTATTTTGTGGGTAATGGCCCTGGGATTGGGCAGTGGAAAGGGCCCATATGAGCATTGACTCAGAAATCTGAGCCCCATTCGAGTGAAAGAATGAGCAACGTTCCAAATTTTAAGAAAACACAAATTTGACAACCCAGAAACAACTCCTTAACAAGAATGCTTTTAAATGTTTGAGGTTTTTTAAATTAAAACCTCATAATATGGCTATTTCTATGGCATTTGCAATCCACTTTGCTCTTATAGATACTGCCTAGAAAAAGTGGATCAAGAAGAGGTGTATTCTCGGTGGTGGTTGGGAGGGCGGGCGCAATAGGACTCAATAAGGGGAAGGAGTAACCCTTACGAAAGAAAAACATAAGGGCTCAAAAAGTAAAAGATAACTTCACCGATATCAAGTTTGAGGAATGATTACTTGCATATCGATAATTTGGAACTTTCAAAGAATAAATAATCAGCTCAAAGAAGCCTGGGTCTGCATGTCTTCTTTTGGCTTCGCTTAGTTGTATGTCTTTATTTATGATATGCGTTCATGATTTCTAGCGTTCTTTAAAGTTTCCTAGTAACACCGAGTGGTTTCTAGAAAAGCAGCTGGGGGCAAACTGGTGGCTGTCCTGTAAGAATAATTCATCAGACAGCAGTTGGAATATTGATAAGAAAGCGGAAATCAAATTACAAGAAAGGGAAAGAGAAAGGAAGAGGGAGTGGGACCCAGAGAGCTGGCGGGAGGCAGCGAAGGGGAAAGCTTCAGTGCACGCATAGCTCCTGCACAGCGGCTCCTGCAGCCCCCCAGGATGCGCCTGAGCTGAGGCTGCTTGTGGGCAGGCCCTAGAGAGAGGCAAACTTTGACTCCAGGCACGCAGCAGGTTTAACTCCTCACTGGCTGGGTTCTGGGAGCTCTGGGCACACAGGATAGGCACCAAGAACTAACACATCCTGGAGCTGCCCGGAGTTCCGCTCCTGCGGGCTTAGCAGGAAAGGGTGCCTAAGGTGAGTGCCCACTTGCGTCCGATCCTCTGGGGGCGATGCAGGGTCGGGGCGCCTCAGTGTGTCTCGCTGCTTGTTCTGGTTGCAGTCGGGAAATGTGGGACTTTGGGGTCTTCTCCTTTCTCCGGCTTTCTTTTTTCTCCTTCTTTCCTCTCTGTTTTCTTGTAAATTACACTTCGACTTTCAAAAAAAAAAATGTAGGGGACCGGTGGGGTCGCTGGGGTTGGGGGAGAGACTGAAGAAAGTGCGCCTGGGCGGAGGCGGCGAAGGGAATCTCTGGGCCCGAGGAATATACCTTGTCCCTGCACTAGTGTGTGTTCTCTTGTGGCTTGAGGAGCCAAAAAAAAAAAAAAAAAAAAAAAAAAGCTGGAATTTGTTAGTGGGGAGAAAAGTGCTTTATCAGAAACACATTGGCTGCCAGAGAAGCTGTGAGCCGCCACGTTAAAGATGGTTAAGAGAAGGAAGGAAAGGAAGAGGAGAGATACGGCCGCCAGACTGGGCTAAGTCAGGGAGAGACCCACTCACGCAGAGGCACCTGGCAACCTAGGGTGGCTTTTGCGCCTTCCAGCCCAAATTATCAGACCTAAGTAAGACTCTCCTGCCACTAAAAATGAGGACCTGACAGTCATTGTAGCAGTCTCTTCCCAAAAACCTATTTTCTAAGGGGCCTCCACAGACCTCCCTAACCTTGCGTTAGTCTTCCTCCGTCCCCGGGCCACCAGCAGGGAAGAGCAGCGCAGCTGGATGCTGGCAGAGAAAGGGTGGTGAGGAAGTCAAGCAGGTCTGTGCACTGAGGGGCGAGTGTTGGCAGCTCTGTAAGCTTCTGCTCCTCAGCCTGCAAGAAAGGGGAGTCCTACCTCTGTCCTGGTCGCGTTCTCTCCTCAACACGCACCAAGAACTAGAACATCCTGGTTTCCAGAACAAGCTGCGGGCATCCCCAGTTCGAAACTGCCCAGGCCCTGGGGGAGGCGGCAGTCTGATTTCGGGCAGGGGAGAGTAAAAGGACTGTAGGGAGGAGACCCAATGGTGTGAGGTGGCTCTCAGTTCTCACCGTCCCCTGGCCTGAAGCCCGGGGACGGGACTGAGGCGTAGGGAGAGTGCTCAACACCCAACCACTCGGACCCTCCCTCGCCGGACTAGGCGGATCTGAGCTTCCCAAACCCCTACAGTCTCTCCATCTGCATCCCCACTTCATCACCATCCCACCGTCTCTCCCTCGCTCCACTCGCGGGTAACCGAGGCTTCTCCCTCCCAGGCTGGTTCTTGGGCGTTCCCGACCCTTAGCTACCCACGATGTTTCAGACAGTCCCCGACACGTCGTCTTACATCAAGGTAAGACATGGCAGCGTCTTTAAACAGGTGATGACCCCCAGCTTCTACCCCACCCGGGCCTATGGTCCCTTTTCCCTTTCCCCGGGAAAAAGGGGTAGGGGTGGAAGTGGGCCCTACTCTCGGCTCGTGGATCTCAAGCTAGGGCGCTCCTGGCCAGATGAGAGTGGCACAGACCCTCGGGAATCCTAGGTTGAGAAGCAACGCTCCTGGCGGCTAGTGTTTGGGAAACTTGGAGCAGGAGAGCCTGGCGAAGCCTGTGCAGGAAGACCGAGCAGCTCGCCGCGTCAGGTCCCAACGGGTGGGGTGCTCTGAGCGGCTGGCGCACAGCGTGTTCCCTGCATTAAGCGCGTGCGCGCGCTTGTGTGTGAGCGCGTCTGTGCATGTGTGCATGCGTGCGCCTGTTTGCATGTGGGCGTGTGTATGTGGGGTTGTGTGCGGGTATGCGGGCGCCACGCGCTTCTCCTACAGGTGAGACACGCGCTCAGTCCTCGAGCCCACCTTCTTTGGCCCCGCCCGCCCTTCGGAAGCGCAGATTGCTATATTTGACAGCACATCGAAGGGTTTTGGTTTTTTTTTTTCTTTTCCACAACAGTTTCCAAGAATGTAAACAAACTGAAGCTGGGACACCTGGGTTACAAGTTAAATGAAAATCCGCTGGCTGGGTGGGGCGGGGAGTGCGCACCAGGAGGCCCTGCTCATGGGAGGGGCGGTGACTGGGTCCCCTCACGCCATGCAGCCGCGACCTGACGCCCTCCGAGTAGGGACCCAAAGCTTAGGACCATCTGAGTCAGTCCGAGAGCGGAGGAGGAAGGACTCTCCGCAGTGCTGCAAACACCCGCATACTTTTCCCAGATCTCTGCCCCGCCCTCCCCATCCTGAAGCCCCGCCTCCAAGTGCTCCCCAGACCGGTCAGTGAGGCCCAGCTGAGCTCCCTCGAGTGTCGGGCAAATGCCAGGGCAGTCCCTGGCCCTGTGTGATGGGATGCAGACTCTCGGGTCCTGTCCAAGGATTGCCAATTATGCGTCCAACCCTCCTCAGATCTCTCTAAAGGAAAACTTGTCACACGGACGCATCTTCCCGTGTGAAGCAGTCACTCGTCATTTCAGGAAGGGAAGGCCTAATCCTAGAGGCTTGGCCCAAAAAGGGGTGTTTCATTGACAATGCCTGAGTGAGTGAATGAATGAATGAAATACAGTGTAATTCATGTAGCAATAACCAGTGAATGGATGGATAGCAAAATGACTCCCAGGAGGTTACAGAGCATACTTTAAGGTTAGACTAAGGCGCGCACGGATTCGCTGTCCCCAGTTTTCCTGAGAAGTTTAGGAAGAGTACTCGGGTACTCCCACCACTCGGAGTACCCGAGCCCGGCAAGAGGAGCTCTCACTTCTAGCTCTGCACTGAGGATTGTAAATGGCCCCGGGGAGGGGAGCTGCAGTCTCTCTCCCACTCATAGGAACCCTCGAGTCCATACACACCCCGGGACCCAGGACCTCAGGGATGAGGAGCCCTAGAGGGGCACGTGGGAGCCCCGGAACCCGACTCAGGCCACGGGTCAGGGACAAAGCGGAGGCGAGGAGACGGCAGTCTGGGAGCTGTGGGCCGCCAGAGAAGCTGCTCGCTGCAGGAGCTCTTTTCAAGGTGGAAAAATGGATTTTTCAGCAGCCACAAAGTTTGTATTGTTGCACAAAGGGGTGCATTGATGGCGGCGAAAGGTCTGCGTGGCAGGGACAATCTTGAGTCTGTTCCACCGGCTCCCTCCATCGAACATTTGCCAGAGGGGCACAAACAGTTGCAGGCTGCCAAGCCCCTGCCGTTGTCCGGCAGGCACCCGGCTCAGGAGTTGTTGACAAACACCGCAGGCCCAGGCGCCCAGGCCCCATGAGGGAGGAGCCCAGCCTGGCCCCTAGGGGCCAAGGGTGCCGGCTCCACCGGGGTCACGATCTGAACAGTGGTCTGGGCTCTGAGGGGTCCCACAGAGAGGTAAAGGAGGTAATTGCCCACATAAGAGCGCTTTAGGTAGGAAAGGGGCAGGGAAGAACAAGGGAAAGGGAGAGAGGGAAGAGGGTGACACTTGGAGACACTGACATGCAGTAGTTGATGGATAACCGCAACGACATTCATAGCTACCTCTCAGATCTTACCTTCGCCAGCCGCTGCTCTAAGCGTTGTGTCTGTATTAGCTCATTTAATATTAACAACAATCTTAGGAGGTAGTCCATTCTGCAGGCGAGAAACTGAGGCATTGTGAGGTTAATGTGATGTGAGGGGCAGAGCCAAGATACATAGAGTAATGACAAAGTTGTGCTGGCTGCCAGGCAAGTTCTAAAGGCTTATTTCGTCTTTACAACAGCCCTTTGAGATAAGTCCTATTATAACCCCATTGTACAGATGAGGACAGTGAGGCACAGGGAGGTTAAGTAACTTGTTCAAGCCCTCAGAGCTAGTAAGTGTAGAGCTAGAATTCAAACCTAGGTGCGCTAGTCCTCAAACTGGAACTTCCGCTCCTGATATTTTGTTTAAGGATGGAGGCGTGGAGGGACCAGGAGACCCAGTGGAGTAACCCTGACCCGCACCTGCACGATGCCCGCGGAGTGCAAAGCACTTTCTCCTAGCGCGCAGAGCATATATCTGAAAGCTTCTCGCCCGTCCTCCGCCCAACACCCCCGCAGGACTGGCAGGGTCCTCCTTTTTTTCTCCTTGTGTACCCCCCAGGTTCCTTGCTCTAACTCCTTCACTTATCAGCCTGAGGATTGGGCCCAGGCTGCATTCTGAGGGAGATGCCGTCTTCCGCCTGTCCCCCGGACGAAAGGAGGTTGCTAGCCCCAGAATGTTCACAGTGACCCACCCCTAAGGTGGTCTTGCCGGCGGGTCTCGAAGCTGAGTTTCAAGACCACGGATCTGTTCTTAGAATGAATGCTGTTTGGGGCGGCTGGGAGGAGGGGGTGTGATGGAGATTGGAGAAGCTGAACCCACCTTGGCCCCATCCCAACGGCCCCATCTTGGATCCGCCACTGGGCGAGGGTCTGGACACCTGGCTGGTCTCCACCTCTTGTCAGCCTGCTCTCTCTGGTCAGGATTGGACTCCCTCGGGGTTTCCTCAGCGACGCCGCGTGGTCTGGGGGCTCGGAGACCCTCCTCCTCCCCAACCCGCCCGCCCCCGGCCCTCCCGCCGCCGCGGCCTCCCACGTAGCGTTCTGAACCCGCTCAGCGCTAAGGCAAGAACCAGCGTGGGGAGCGGGCCAGGCGAGCAGAGGCTCTAAATCTTCCTTCACTCTGTGAGTAGATGAAGTCTGAGAAACAAATTCAAAGCAGGCGCGCCTGCAGAGCCTTCCTGCAGAAATATTCCCCGGCATTCAAGCGCATCCAGGGGCGGCTTGAGCTGCCTTGTTTGGCTAAGGTCAGACGAGACTCGAGTTCTCCAATAAAAATAAATCTCAAATTAATTATGGCCTCGAGCGAGAGGCCAGACACTTGAAGCTGCATTTGTGCAGTCTGGAGTTTTGGCGCTTGCCCGCCCACCCCTCCGGTTTTCTCCCGCCCTCTCCTCCTCCCCCTTTGCCAGCTCGGATACCCGCTGCGGCCTCGCTGGACCAGAGGGGCATGGGAGGGGAGGACGAAGGACGGAGGGAGAGGAGCGGCCCGAGACATTCTGCCAGGCCTGGCATCCTGCGGAGTTTCAAGTGACGGAGCCACCCCTGGGTCTGTTACCCCAGGGACCAGGCTCAGATCGTCAGGTCCGCCCACCCCAAACCCAGTCTGGGGCCGAAGAAGCCCGGGAAGCCCGTGTCTGGAAAGTCTTGACCGGGTCAAAAGGGCTGACATTGAGCGAGCCAAGACACGTTTCGACCCGCCGCTCCCCTCCCGGGGGAAGCAGGACTTCCGCATCTTTGAAAATACTGTCAAGTGCGAATGGTGCGAGGCAAGTCGTCTCACCAGCGTTCCAAATGAAAATGCTCCAAATCCAAATATTTCCTGAGTATTCACGCCCATGTGCACGGTTTCTGTAAGTGACCCCAGACTTGGAAACATGTGGTGGGCTGTTTTGTTGTTGGGACATTTTTTTCTCCAGTTGGTAGCTTTTGTTTTAAATACTGGGAAGAGCTTCCTTGGCTGTGAGCTGCCTCTGACTTGAAAACCAGCCCCGAGCTGCTGGAAAGTGAGCTGTCGCCGATGGCACTCATACCAGCTCCTGTTCAGCAGCTCTGCCCAGTCTGGGAAAGGGCGAGGCCATTGGAGCCATGGTAAGCCAGGAAAGAGGGTGTGCACAAGTGTGTGGGCAGGGGCAGCCTTCCCCAAGCTGGGCCCAGAGACTAAGGAAAGAGGAAGGAGAGAAGAGAGGAGGGAGAGGAGAGGGAAGGGGAGGTCTGCCCCACTAACACAAGACAGTTTTCATTTGTAGGCCCTCACCGCAGGCTCTCTATCAATTTGTCTCAATGCAAACATTCAAAATATCCCCTTTGGCTGCTCGTGAAAACAATGTGAGCTGCCAGGATCAAACCATCTTTCCAGATGTCTGGTGGTAACCACATTAAACAGGGTAGACTTGTTTACTATTGTGCTTGGTTAGGGCGCTTCCCCCATCCCCTTTCAGGATTTAAAAAAGCAGCAGTAGCAGTGGAGTTGACCATCAAACCCTGAGTTACATAAAAGTGGGGCAAACTGACCTACGGGCATGCCAACACTGGATGGAGGAAATCCGAGATTCCCGCAGGCATCTAGTCAGAGTTAGGTGGGGTCTTCTTTCTGGGTGGAGACCTCTGTGAATGGACAGGAGCTTCTCCCAGGGGGCTGAAAATCGCCAACAACAGTGGCACCAGTGCCAGTCTGTGAGTCCCAAAGGGCCGGGGTGCCTGTGTCTATGCATCTAGTGGTGCCTGTGCCAGGCTCTCCACTACCCCCCGCCCATCTCCAAAACCATGAAATTGCCGTAGCTTTGGAGAAACAGAAAGTGCGATGGAGTTCCACAGTTAAAAACTAAAGGGCAAGTCTTCAATTTAATCTAGTTCCATATTGAATAATTCCAGTGGGGGAGGCAGCTGGTGCTGAAAGGAATTGGGGGACAGTATAGGAATGTTCGGGTGACTACTGATTAATGTAGTGAAGATGATCTGTCACTTGCCAGACCAACAGGAGTTGGAAAGAGAAACCTAGCCATGGTGTCTGCCACAGAGGGACCCTCTAAAGTGCTAGGAGGAGGGTGGGGGGCAGTCGCCACCTGTGGGATGCCATGAACAGCCTCTGCAACTGGCCAGCACCAGGAAGGGGGGCCTCCTGGTGGTGGAGTTGGAGTCCTTTCTGGCTGAATGAGGAGCAATGTGGCTGGGGTGTGCGGGTTTCTGGTGAGGTCCGGGTGGGAAGCCGTCTCTCCGCATTCTCCTGAAAGCTCTGTTGTAGTTTGAAGGTCGGTAGAGCCTGGGCTGAAAAGGAAACAATTTGGGGTTTGAAAGGATGTAATTCATTCTTCCTTTCCCGTTAACCTCTTTCCTCTCTGGAAAGCACGTGGAAACGCTGAAGGGAGGAGTGAGAGGGCAGGCAGCCTGCCGCGGGGAGGAAAGGGTTAAGCCTGATTTCTTTTAATTGAACTCCAGAACTGGTGGCCCCAGGCAAAGGGGGGGACTGACCCCGCTAGCGGTAACCAGATGTGGCGGTCCCAGGGGAGCCCCGGAGCAGACCCCTGGATTGAGAAGCAGACAGGAGCGGGGGGAGTCAGCCCGGCCCCCATCCCACCATCCACCCCACCCCCACCCCCAACACGCACACCAAGTCTCAATTGCTGGCAGGCTGCACCCGCCACTCCAGGTCTGGTCACGTTCAGACCCGTGTCTGTATTCGAACCCAAAATTGGAGCCGAATTGATGAGACTAATTTCTAGAGAGGGAGGGGGAGGGAGGGAGACGAGTGAGCTCTCGGGCTCAATTGCTCCTGAAGAAATAAAGAATTAATAAGTCACCTTTTTTCGCCTCTGTGGACACCCTTTTGAAATTTTTTCTTCCAATTGACTTGGATCTCCTCTGGATTTTTTTTCCCTCTTTCCCCCGTCGGACTCTTAAATAAAAGTGAGCAAGTCCAAAGCGTGGTCCGGAGAGCGTGGACAAGGTAACCTGTTTTGGATGTCCGGGAGAAGGGAGTCCGGCCGAAAGGGCCCAGCCCCTCGAGGCTGCTCCAACTGGGGCGCGCGGCGGCCCAGGAGGGAGGCGGGGAGGTCTCCGGGTTGGGCCGGGGAACGCCGGCCTCCAGGCTGGGTAGGGAGGACGGTCCAGAGCGCGGGCCTCCGGGTCTCACCCCGGGAAAAGTCTGGGTCTGCTCTGCGCTGTTGCGTGCTGCGCTCCTGGGACCTGCTGACTGTCCTAGAGGGAACGTCCCGCGGTAGTGTCAGTTCCCTGGGGACCAGGAAGGGCGACTCTTGCCTGGGAGTCAGTGCTTGGGCCGTCGGGTCCGGGTAAGCGCTGGGGGTTTGGCTCGAGAAGATGCGGATAGGTGGCCTAGGGCGCCGCGGATCTCCGCCCTCTGCGGGCACCGGGAGCCCAGGGTCGAGGCGCGCCGCCCCGAGGGGCCCCTTCTCCTAACAATGCGCCCGGAATGGAGTCCGCGCCCTGACAGCGCGGGTCAGCCCGAAACCGCCCAGAATCCGCTTCGATGAGTGGGTGAGCCGCTCTGGGAGTCTGCCGCGTCTCGGCAGCGGAGGGCCTGAGTGGAAAAATTCTTATTGGATGCACTTTTTAATGGTTGGTTTGCCTCGGTTTTCGTCCGAGTCTTCCCCGGCAGTAGGCGCTGGGTTACCCGCAGCCCTAGCCAACTCTCCCTCCATACCCCCCCTACCCCACCCCCAAAAAGTTTGTCTCCGGCTGGAAAAAGCATTAATGAACGTATCTGTGGGAAGAAACGGAAAGTGAATGAGTCAGGAGGGCCACCTTCGGCCAACCGCCTCAGGAAAAGCAAAGAAGCCAAAGGTCTTTGGCTTTGGATTTTGGGGGAAGGTGATGGGGGGAGGTTCAGACTTCGGGAATCAGGGCGCGGACGCTGGGCGTGGACCCCGTCATTGTTCCCGGCTAGCTCTTATCTCCCAGGAGCAAGTATCCTGTGTGCGCAGCGCATGAATGTGTCTGGGCATCTCCGCGTATATTTATATAGTGTGTGATGCGAAAAGCAGGACCAGCAGGGGAGGAAGAGGGGGTGTGGGGGGGGAGGGAAGACGAGGGAGAGCAGAGGGGAGAGAAGAGAGAGGAGAGCTCGAGGCGAGAGAGAGAGAGAGAGAGAGAGAGAGAGAGAGAGAGAGAGAGAGAGAGAGATAGGACTTCCTCCCCGATTCGCAAAGTGAAGTCACTTCCCAAAATTAGCTGAAAAAAAAGTTTCATCCGGTTAACTGTCTCTTTCGCTCCGCTACAACAACAAACGTGCACAGGGGAGTGAGGGCAGGGCGCTCGCAGGGGGCACGCAGGGAGGGCCCAGGGCGCCAGGGAGGCCGCGCCGGGCTAATCCGAAGGGGCTGCGAGGTCAGGCTGTAACCGGGTCAATGTGTGGAATATTGGGGGGCTCGGCTGCAGACTTGGCCAAATGGACGGGACTATTAAGGTAAGCGGCGGGGCAACGGACGCGGGCGGCGGGGACCGGCCGGGGAGGCGAAGCGGCGGGCGGGTAGGTGCGGGGCCCGCGTCCCGGAAGACGTGGCCTCTCTCCCTTCCCTCCGCGCCCCGGCTTCGCGCCGGCTCCTCCGGCGCTCGGGTGGCGAGTCCTACTCGCGGGCCAGCCGGCCAGGCGCCCGCATTGAGGGCGACCCTCCCCCGAAATCCCAGCCCCCAAAGTGGAGCCCCGGCCCCCCTCCCACCTCGCTGCCCGCCGGGGCTGCAGGAGGGGACGGCGGGAAACCGGGGGACCCCAGGGTACGGAACGGAGTCAAGGGCGAGAGACCTCGGGGTCCACCACTCCCACCGACACCCGGGGCTCCCGTGGCCCCAGCGCTAGGCACTGGGCTTCCTCTCCGCAGAGGCGGAACACGGCGGGGGCGGGGGCTGCAGTCGCCCGGGCTCGGGTCCCTGCCTGGTGGGCCCTGGGGTGGGTAAGTGGCCTCGTTGCACGAGGGTAGGGGTGCAAGTGAGTGTGTCGGGGGATCTATCTGAGCGGGCTCCTCCAGATGGAAGCCCCTGTTTACATGTCAGCGCTTTCCCTTCCTCTCGGCACTCAGTCGCCCGGCTCTAGGCGCTGGAGAGCCGCCGGCTCCGCGGGACTCCTGGGCCGGCCTCGCCGCCTCTCCGGCGGGGAACCTTCCCCAGCCCCCGTCCGCACAGATCCCTAGCGCCCCGAGCCCCCGCCCTTCGCGCCTAGGCGTGCGCCGGCTCCAGGACCAGGGCTCCTGGAGCTGTCGCCTCCGAAAGGGTCCTGCGTCCTTCGGAGCCGCCTCCGTTGCAGGGGCCGGCTGTGAGCCCGCGCCCCGCGCCCGCCCGGCCATTCCCACCCCAGCCGCCGCCGCCAAGCCTGGGTCTAGGTTGCAAAGTGCAACCCAGGCGGAAAGGTGAGGGTTTGGGTTCGCGTCTCACTTCAGAAAAGTTGACTGCTGTCTCTGAAAGGGTTCGCCAAGTAGGGCCAGGAGCAGAGAGGAGGGACACCCCCTAACGTGACGGGCCTTAGAGGACCTAGGGGAATGAATGGGACCAGGGGTTAGCTTCGAGGCTGCCGCGCAACACCAAGCGGGAGTCTGTCTGGAAAAACTATTAGGCTGGCGAGGTGGGGACTGGCAGAGCCCGCCATTCCCCAGAACCCGAAAGAATCGACTCCCTGCTCAGGGCTCAGCAAGAGAAGGCTAAGATGTTGGGCTCAGAGAATTCAAGAGATTTTTATCTTCTGGGTGGGGTCGTGGTTTTTATTTTCTAAGTTTTTTTTATGAAAGTTTGAAATATGCTGACTTAGGTAAAAGACACCAACCGAAGGAACTTGCAAATCTGGAGATGAGATAACTGACTGTGATGGGTTAAAGGGAGCTATAAGAGCCTATAAGAGCCTGGGTTCCTCAAACCCAAAGTGAGTAGGTGAGAAGTAGGTGAGAGGGGATTCCTGCAAAGACCCGAGAGTGGGGGTCATTGGGCCATTTTATGCCTGTTTCTCTGCTTCCTGTTGATGTGTTCATGCAAGTGTCTCTGTATTTCTGGGTTTAGTAATGAGATGCTCCCCTCTAGAAAACTCCCTCGCCCCAATCAGGACAGTTACCACTTACTCTGAAGGCCTCTTCTGATCCAGAAGGGTGGTAAGATGGCCTCAGGGTCTTGATGTGGACACCCTAAGGAAAAGTGAAGAAATATCTCCACACTGCTTAAACTCTACGCACAGGCCCTGAGCAAAAGGAGGAAGCTGTGGTCTGTGTACCCAGGATGTGCTAACCTCTTTAGATACACACAGGGATTGGCATGGCAGGCCTCGAGAACAGGCTTAGAGCAGGAACCTGACACTTCAGGCCAAGGATGGGAGTGAAAGTCCTTCCTTTTTTTGTGGGTGGTAGGAGCCATGAGCTCCTCCAAACCCTCCCTGTGAGCAACCTGTCATTCACCTAAGTTACCTGGCTAGGCTGAGTCCCCACAGAGCTACCTTCAGTCTCCAAGCATTCTGCAAGATTGAGCCTTTAGTGTGTGTGTTGGTGTTTAAGTTGTGTGAAAGCCACAGTTTTCTGTTCGCATGTGACCTCTGGATCTTGGGGTTTCCAGATCCTGTTCCCACAATAGTTCAAATACTGTGCTTGGAGAGGACAGTGGACCAGGAGAGAGGCCAGCATTCTTCTGCTCTCTTGGTGAGAATGAACCGTCCATTAAGCCTGTTTGAGATTCATAGTCATCACAAAAATGAAACAGTGGAACTAGGTTACCTCTACAGTAGTATCTAACCAATCTTCTCAGTGCCTAAAATGTGCTCATATGTGTTTACAAGAACACTTGCCTGTATGTGCACTAAATCCAGCCCTACACTGATCGAGGTTGACGACACTCTAGAGAGAATCTAATTTGTGTACACAAATCCAGGGTGTCCATTTCCAGTTTGAACTGCCTGGAAAAATCAGGTTTGAGTGATTCTAGGATGTGATTTTATGCACCTGCATAGTTCTTCCTCAAATATAAGTCATGTCTATATTTCAAAATACCTGTGGGTCTTGGCACTTAGGTGGTATTTGGTGCAGGAAGCCAGGGAAGTCTGGATTTCTTCACAGAAGCCCTTTATTTTGTGCATAATTTGCACAACTCTATGTGATTACAAAATCCCAATCTTGTTGCCCTCCTTATAAGTCCCTCCATATTATATTCTCTTCTCTTTTCCAAGAACGGCTCCTGGAAAGGCTCTGACCGTCACATTGGGAGAAGCAATATTTGCTGGAGCCACGCTACTCTTTTGTCACAGACAGGTTAACTTGCAGTATTAAACAACACCCGACCCACGCCCCTGCTTCCCACACTGATATTATCAGTGTTAAAAAGCACATGATACTGTTTGCTGCTTTAAGAAATGACCTGGTTTCAAAAACTGCATCTTAATTTTAGGCTGGCTTCAGTTGAATCCAGTTAATTTTATCTATGAATGCCTGACTCAGTGCACGTGGTGTCATTACAGATGGGGAGACAGAGAAGACAGACATGGTGAATGAAGGTGGGAAATAGAGAATGAACAGTGGATTTGGAGTCAGAAAGCCCGGGTTCATTCTCAGCTCTGCTACCTAGTAGCTGTGTGCCTTATAGCAAGGCACTTCTTGTATCTGTTTCCTTATCTAGAAAATGGGGCCAAAGCACCTCCTTGCCACAAGCCATAGGAAGAATTTTTAAAGTCTGCTACCTTAGCTGGATACACATTAAATTAACTTCATGTGCCTTATAGCAAGGCACCTCTTGAATCTGTTTCCTTATCTAGAAAATGGGGCCAAAGCACCTCCTTGCCACAAGTCACAGGAATAATGTTTTAAAGCCTGCCACCTTAGCTGGATACACATTAATTGAACTTTGCTTTTGGGAATGGGCATACCAGGACAGATTGGTCAGAAAATTAGAACACAGGTCCAAATTTACCATCATGCATATTTCATTAATTCAACAAATGTTTATGATGCATCTATTATGTTGCAAGGCTCTGCACTGTGTATTGAGGATAAAACAGGGGTCAAAACCCTCCAGGAATGTAGACGCTAGTGGAGGGAGCTGACACATACAGAGAACAATCTCAGTTGAGTGGTGATATATCTTCTGAAGAACAATAACGCAGGTTAGGGAATGGAAAGTAATGACGCTATATAGCCAGGATGGTGAGGAGAAGCGTGTCTAACAAAGTCACAGTCGGGCAGAGGCACTCTCTCGTCATTAACTCCAGAAGAGTACAGCACCAACCACACAGCCAGTCAACAATGGACAAGCACAGCCCGAAAGAAGGGCCAGGGTTATGGCTGGCTCTGCAAGGCTCTGGAGGGCAGGTTGTCACTGGCAGGGCAGGGAAACATCTGGACAAGGTTTGGAAGAAGCAGCAGAGTGAGGAATACTTGGGAACAGAGGCTTGACTTCTGTCCTCAAGAAGGTGTTGCTGCCTCCCTCTACCACACACACCTTGTAATCTCCATGTCACCTGGATTCACAAGAACTCCAGACAAGATGGCCTCTGTCTATTGATCTGTCCCCGTGACCACACAGAATTGCTCCCCTCAGGTGGTTACCAAGTGGAATCCTGTTTTGTGTGTGAATAATTTCCACCAAAAGGCTTCCTTCCAGTTCCACTGCCATCCAAATTTAAGTTTATAGGTTGGCAACTTTAAAGCTTTAGAGAGTGTTTAGCTTGAATTTCTCACTTTATGGGTGGGGAAACTGAGGTCTAGGTTGTTAAATGAATTGTCCAAGATCATACAGCTAACTACCAACAGAGTCATAGTGAAAGTTCAGGGCTCTGCACCCTTAGGCCAGTGTTCTTTCCACTATACCATGAAAATATCATTTGCTTTTGTTACATTTTTATGAATTATAGAATCGTGGAGGCAGTGTGTGTATGTGTTTGCGTGTGTGTGTGTGTGTGTGTGTGAGAGAGAGAGAGAGAGAGAGAAGTCTTTAAAAGAAAAATCATAAAGAATTTGGCACTTTACACTAAAGACACCTCTGGTATTTAATGAAAAATAAATAAAATTGTATCACTACCATCTTGAATTATTTTTATCCTTAAAGAAAAGAAGAAATTCCAAATTTTTGGATAGAATTTTTATACAACTGTTTTCCAAAATAAGTCCTTCTTTTCCAGCAGACAAAGTAAACAGTCTCCATTACAAGGAGACAACCAAAAATATAGTAGTTTACTGAAATACCCAGGCCCTTCTACAGATCATGGGCAGGTAGACAGACGGAATTCTTATTTCAGCTCCTTTAATAATGGAATATTGGACTATTTAAATAAAATCTATTAGAAGGCATCTTATGGATCCATCAGACTGTGTCATAAGTAGGTCTTGAATAACAATTGCATTAAAAAAGATTTGGGATTTTCATGTCTCTTTCTGTTTGGGGTTAAACAGTTAACTTGGCATTTGTTTAAAAAACAGTTGATTTAAACCAAGCCTCTTTCTAGGTATATAGCATTAGTCTAATGCCAGTACTAAGTTACCCCCAGCCAAAAAAATAGAAAGAAAGAAAAGAGTTGGGAAAATTTTTATATTGATAGTTTTTTTGTTCTGTACTTAAAACATTCCTTTTAAGTCTATATTTTGCTTGTTGTTTTGTAACGAATTAAGTAGGCTAAGGGACATTGTCTGTTACGTACACACAAACACACACCTACACACACAATCTCATAAAACCTTCAACCAGCCACAATAGCTTTTTTCGTAATCTCAGAGTTATACAGGTGTCTTTTCCTCTGCAGAAGACTACACCCTGTTTCAATTTCTGTTGCTTTAATGATTTCATATCTATAGCGTTCTTCCCATTATGTATTAATTGATCCATGGGATGATATCATTAAGTGATGTCACTCTTTGTGTATTACAGTTCTGCCACTGACCTGATAGACCCACCATCAGTTGCCTGTGCACTGAGATGTTTCCCCAGAGGCTATGGATAGGGTTATATGTCCCCACACTATCTGCAGGGCCAATATAGTGCAAATCTGACAAAATTTAGGTAATCTATGGAATAAACCTTTCCTGTGCAAAGCTAGCTGGCCTTATGGGAATTGGTGGTACCTCAGTCTCAGGGGCATCATAAACTGACCAACCATATGAAGGTGATTGCATGTCTGTTAGGCAGGGACTAAACTATGTTCTGTGAAGATAGAACCCCAATGGCAAAAGGGCTCTGCCAGGAGATCTAGCGAGAAGATAAGCCACATATGTGTGCCCTGCAGAGCACAGCAAGTGTTACCATAGCCCTGAGAAAAGAAAGGATGATTTGAACTGGAGAGACAGACAAAGACCTCATGATAATAGTTGTTTATGTAGTCCCTTTCATAAATCTCTTCACAGATCATACAGTCCCTCCACAGATCACTGGCCCACACACTCTTGCATCCCATTCTCACAGTAGCCCTATGGGAGATAATACCATGATGTCTCTACTTCATATGGAAGAAGTTAAAGTTCAGAGGAGTGAGGTAACTTGCCCAAGAGTATAACTAACAGGGGACAGATCTGGGTTTCAAGCCCAGTGTTTCTCATTCCTGATTCCTGCTTTTACTACACACACTGGCCACACTGCCTCTTGGCACAGGTGGATCTAAGCCTGGCCTTGAAAGATAGGTAGGTCTTGCATAGGAAACTATGGTAAAGGGCTTTCTAGGAGAGTGGAGGGTACTTTGGGGAGGAAAGTGTACAGGTGATGGAGAGGATGGGAGTGGAAAGACTGAATTGAACTAGACTACAGAGGACCTTACATACTATAACAAAGAATTTGGGGGTGAGTATGGTGGCTCATGCCTGTAATCCCAGTTCTTTGGGAGACGGAAATGGGTGGATCACTTGAGCCCAGGAATTCAAGACCAGACTGGGCAACATGGAGAAACCTAGTCTCTACAAAAACTACAAAAATTAGCCGGGCATGGTGGCACTCACCTGTAGTCCCAGCTGCTCAGGGAGCTGAGGTGGGAGGATCACCTGAGCCAAGGGAGGTCAAGGCTACAATCAGCCATGAGCGCCACTGTATTCCACCCTAGATGACAAAGTGAATACCTGCCTCAAAATAATAATAACTTGGGTCTTGTAACATGTATAGAAAGGAGGAATGAAAACTTGTGACTAGAGGGATGATCTACATAGCTGTACAAGTCTCTTAGAAACAAATCCTTCGTACTCTCTTCTCCTTAGGAAATGAAGATGGAAGTGGCTCCATCACTTATCAGAGGCCACACAAGAAATGAGCAGCAGTCAGGATTAGACAACCAGAGATAGATTCAGGCAACCAGCAGTGCTGTCTTCTGTCTTCAAAGACACCTGTTGATTAAATATGGCATTAGGGGAGGGAGGAGAAACTCTATTTCACCAGATGACATAAAACTGTGATTATCCTTCTCATCCCTTCCTTCCCAGGGGATTTCACCATGAGCAATCTTTTCAATTGGGCCTTCTATCCTGGGCTACAATTTTAGTTCCTTTTGAGAATGAGTCAGCAGATAGTGCTTGAGAGGAGAAAAAAGAAAAAAAAAAGTCTCTCTAAAACTCAAATCAAATTTCTGTGGGCCTTCAGACAAGTCTGACATTCTTCCATGAGTTGGCTGGGCCGCTGGTCTCAGTTAGGAATACTGACACTTCACCCCAGCAAACCAAAAACGCAGAGACTCATCACCGTCATTCCAAGTAGGATCAGAGATGGAGTGTTCAGACGCATTTTCAGATAATTCAGATCAACTTTACAGTACCTTCAAAATTGCTCATCCCTACAAAAATGAAGCAAACACTAATGTATTTAAGAGATTTGCCATCTTTGGGAAACAATGTGTCTGCCATTTAGTTTAAGATCAAAATCTCAGAGTATGAGAATTTTTCAAATCACCTCAAAGGGAAGGCAGACTTGAACACTGAAATGCTTTCCCAAGAGCAAGCCCCATTTACCCAGCCAGTGCTATGTGTCCAAGGCAATGAAAGATCTTATGTCACATCTCAGTGCACACATGCAAGAGGCTGGAATTACAGGTGCCATGGGAGCTTTAACCTCGAATTTCTAGACATTGTGTGGGTTTCACATGTCTACTGGAATCTAACACTCCAGTAGCAGAATTGTTAGGTCTGAATATATGGGTATTCATTGATGTTATGGGAAAGGAATCGGAGAGTGAGCAATTCTGCAGTACCATTCATGTAGCAAAAGTGTGAAAACAAACAGGTTAATATTAGAAAATTACTCTGCTCATGAGTTGTTTTAAGTTACTGCTGTTACAGTCTATGGAAAAGCGTATGTTTCAATTGAAATTCTCATGTCTACAGAGTCATTTTGTCTTTAGACATTTATGACTGAATTCATACTCATTCATGTATTCAATACTCATTCATGTATTCATTCACCCAAATGTTGAATAATATTACCAGGCACCAATCTCAATAGAGCATTCATGTAAATGAACAAGAATAAGGTTTCTATGCTATTTCTTCCAGGCTTTGAGAGAGTAGACATTTCTCTTCTTTCTGATTTTTAGCTCTGAGTATTGGAAATTCCAAAAGAAGCAATACTCATTGGAGAAATCTTTATTTGTGGCTTATAATCATAAGGATGGTTAGACACATTTTCTTAAAGGTAACAACCAGTTTATATTCTCCATTGCCCCTTCACCCTTGGTGATATAATTTACTGTAAGGATATTTTTGGAAGGCTAGGTCTTCAGCCAAGGATATTTCTTCTTCTGATTCTCCCTTTCTCAGCTTTAGTTCCTCTATTTATATATTAACATGGGGCCAGGCACGGTGGCTCACACCTGTAATCCCAGCATTTTGGGAGGCCAAGGCGGGTGGATCACCTGAGGTCAGGAGTTCAAGACCAGCCTGGCCAATATGGTGAAACCCTGTCTTTACTAAAAGTACAAAAATTAGCTGGTCATGCTGGCGCATGCTTGTAGTCCCAGCTACTTGGGAGGCTGAGGCAGAAGAATTGCTTGAACATAGGAGGTGGAGGTTGCAGTGAGCCAAGATCGTGCCTCTGCACTCCAGCCTGGGCAACAGGGCGAGATTCTGTCTCAAAGAAAAAAAAAAAAAACATGGAGAAAAATACCATAGGTAAGGTGAAAACTAAATGAGAAACGGAGAAAGAATATTTATCATACATAAAGCATAAATGTCCTATCATACAAAGACTACTTACAAATCAATAAGAAAAGACACACCACTTAACAGAAAATAGGCAAAAATGCTATGAATAGACAACACTAGAAAGAAAATACAAATGGGCAATAAATAAATGAAAAGAATTTCAAGCACATGCATAAAGACATTCAAATAAAAATAATAAAATTCCAATGTTTATGACCTAGGAGGACAGCAGAGACTAAAACAGCTTAATGTCTCATGTTGGAAAGAGTAAAGGAAATGTCACTGTCTTATCCTCTTGGTAGGAGTATGACTTGGTATAATCTTTCCACAGAGCAACATCTATTTGAGAAGTTAACTATTTACACAAATTTGATAATGCCAATTCTACAGCTATGTTCACTCAGATATATGTACAATGTGTTTATTGTAGCATTGTTTGTTACAGCAAAAGTTGGAAATAATCTAAATGTCCACCAGTAGGGGACTAGATAAACAAAGGAGGAAAGATTCATGTAAGAAAATGCCATGCAACTACAAAATGGGATAAAATCAATTGTCGTATACACTGATTTAGAAAATTCTCCAATGTATATTATTACATGGAAAAAAGCAAAAAGTTCCAAAATATTGGGCCGGGCACGGTGGCTCACTCCTGTAATCCTAGCACTTTGGGAGGCCGAGGCTAGCAGATAATGAGGTCAAGAGATTGAGACCATCCTGGCCAACATGGTGAAACTCTACCTCTACTAAAAATACAAAAATTAGCTGGGTGTGGTGGTGCATGCCTGTAGTCCCAGCTACTGGGGAGGCTGAGGCAGGAGAATCGCTTGAACCCAGGAGGCAGAAGTTGTGGTGAGCCGAGGTTGCAACACTACACTCCAGCCTGGGTGACAGAGCGAGACTCCGTCTCAAAAAAAAAAAAAAAAAAAAACAAACGTTAAGAGAGACACAGAAACAGACTTGTAAAAAGGTGAATGGGCACCAAGATTTTATCCTGAATGTGCTGGTCCCGGTGACTTTAAGATTCGAAATTGAGGTAAATGCAGGGAGAAATTGGCTGGCCTAGGATCCGGAGACCTGAGTTCCAGCCCCAGCTCTATCCCAAACTAGCTATGGGATGTTAGGCAAGTCACTTCACTTCCTCATCATTCATGTTAAAGGTCTTCTCATATATAAAATGAAGGTATGATTTCAAAATTTGCTTTCAGCTCTCATGTTCATTTGACTCTGATCCTAGACAGGCTTTAAAACATTTCTTATTTGGGGGTGTGGATGATAGAACCTCACGTAGATGTTCTATCTGATCCTGTGTGGCTCTTCTCCCATAATCTCAGGGCTACATTTTGTACTGTGGAGTGACCCTCAAGGCCAGGTGAAGGCAGGGGCTCTCAGCAGGTGCTTGGTGAGTTTCTCCGAGCTGGTTGTTTTTATTGCCAAGTGACACTAGAACTGTGCTAATCCCTTTCCGTTAATGCAAACTAAGAATAGGGCCTGACGCCACTCTGGGGTCTTAGATTCTTTTCCGAAATTTGGTCTCATTTAAAACCCAAAACACTCTTTGGCTCCAAGCGTCTTTCCCGTGGCCTTTAAAAAAATCCTGTTTAATTGAAAGGAAATTGAATTTGTCTGGTTTTGATTCATTTACACTTAACTCTTCTAAAAACAATAATTTGATGTCCAAGGAGAATTTTGAGTCTCTTAATGGGTTTTCTGGAAGGCTTTGTTTCTTCTTGTTAAAACAGGAAGTGGTGTTCTATGGGCAAACACAGTCAACCCCAGAAGGCCCCAATTCAGTTTGAAACTGTATCACCCACCATTTTGCATGGGTCCTCATGACCCCAAGCTAAGGCCTTTCTTTCCCTAGTACTCACCTAAGAGAAAGAGATGCTCATCTTTCATCAGAGGGGGAATAAAAATGAGGAAGAACAATCATAGTTATAAAGAGAATAAGTTATCTATCCAGCTCAAGGTGACAATATCTATTCAAACCTTTAAGACATGCACTTGATCCCTGTAACAACCCTGTGATGTATGTAATATTTCCATTTTGAAGAGATTGGGTAAGTTACTCATGGTCATACAGGTAGAAAATAGAAAAGCAATTATTGGAACCTAATCCTGCTTACTTCCAAATTCCATAAAGCTTAGCCACTGTGATACATCACCAGATTGATACATACATCTCCATATAGTTTAGGCTACGAGCCCATCTATGGGGACCATGTAGGTTTTGTTACTATTTGTTTTATCTCTTTGTCTAAGTGACCACTATCCACAGTCTGCACCGGTCAGATTCATGAAACTGCTCAATTCTTCACAACTCTTTATTCAAGAAGGCCTATTTCCCAGGTAAGAAAGCCTGCCTGGCTTTGTTAGCAGGTGCACTGGTGTGAAACTGACAGGTTCTCTTTTTACATAATGATCCAATGAGTTGATTTTTAAATGTTTTATAGCTCAATAGAGAACGGCATATTCTTTGACCTGCCAAGGCTTCCTCCTCTACCCTTGTACCTTCGTTCTTTCTTCCTTTCCTCCTCGAAATCTTGCTCTCTTCTTCATTCTATTCCACTCATATACACACAAAACTATACACAATTTTTTTTAAAAAACATAACAGATTCAGGAGGTTATATAAAACACAAAGAAGGGAATGTTTTGCGAGGTTAAAAGGAAATCATTGAGTAGGGCTGACTTCAGGCTCCAGTTTCTCTTGAATAGCCTTTCTTGTTATTTCAAGGCTGATTGACTTATAACTGCATCCAAAGCTGCCTCACACCAGTTCCTTTTATCAGACCAAGTGAGACTTCCTGTGGACTGGCCCAGCTTCCTGATATATTTCCTTTTTCCTTTGGCAGAACAAAGAAAACCATAGCTCCAAGGATCCTTGGGAGCAAACACAATTTAGCCCTGAAGAACCTATTATTTTAAATTTTTCATTCTCAATGCGTAGGGCCAAGCGCCTGCCTTTGCTTTTTTTTTCCCCACAGCATTCTGTGTAATGTCCCGATGAACCCTATGTGCAATTACCAGGGGTCGATGAGCTACTTGAATTCATCCTAGTTGTAGTTTGATTTTATTCAAAGTAGGAAAATTAAGCCATTTTCAGTGCACAAGCACCCCCACCTCATACACGCATACACCTTCAAGAGGGACGTGGAACACCTCTCTACATAGGGTTTAACCTTTTGTTACCTGAGCTCAACACAACAGGTGTGCAAGGAAACCCTCTTGTCTAGAGATTTCAACCTATCTGTTTTTGCAGTTCTGACTCTAGAAACATGCGTATAGGAGAAGAAGCTTCAAGGTGTATCCAAAGGATCATCAAAGTCAGTTGAAGAAGAAATTCCAGAAATTGAGTTGAGATCGCTGCTTTTCTCTTTTGCCTGGAGTGTCTCCCACATCACTCCATACAACGTGGCCTCACTATTCACTCTACACATTACTACTGAAAGACCTTTAGGCATGACCCAGGGTAACAAGGGAGCACTGTTAAGAAAGTTGCTTGTTTCTCTGTCATATCTCCCAAAGTACCTATCACACATTGCCAACTTAGGATAGCCCCCTCCCCAGTAGTCTCAAAAAGAAAGAGGCCATTGACGGAGAGACAACTGAGGCTTCAAGATGTAGTGTGTCAAAAGATGGGAACCAGGCAAGAGCCCCTGGAAGCAGAACTCAAGTATTCATGCCCCCAAACACCACGCTCTACAATGAGGGTGTTTTCTGGAGCAAAGATATCAAGGCTCATTTAACCCACAGGGACTCCTGCTTCTTTGTTCATTGGTCCTATTTTCTGACCATTGTCATAATATTTCTGGGTGATTGAAGAGGGCACTTTCCATAGGAACCACATGGGTAAGTGAGTAATCATGTAGCCACCCAAATTTTACTAAAGTAGATTTTTCTCTTTAAAAGGATTGCTGATTTGGAAGAGGGTAAACAACAAAACAAATGTAGCTCTTCTGGCAAGAGGCATTTCTTAGGGCTAATTCAACATGGTTAATTCATAATGATTTTTCCTAACCCAGTTCTCATTGTTATCATGTCTAGTTGAAAATGGATTTAAAGAATATTCACAAAGAAGAAAATAACTCAGAAACTATGTGGCATGAGGAGACTGTGAGGGGGTTATGGGCACGGTTGGTGTGCTCTGCTTTGTATAACCTGCTTGGGCGATAGCAAAGGCAAGGGGTTAAAATGACTGCCCCACACTATGAGCTTAGGATCTTTCTTTTCCCAGCACGATACTCTGTCAATAGCCCTGTACCCAAGTTCATGAACAGTCAGGAATCCTGAAGAAAAGATTCATACATTATCTTAAGCAACTTCCCCCGCCCTGATAACACTGCCTGTAGAGAACCATGCTAACCTGCCCTTCGACTTCTCCATAATAAGAACACATTGGTCGAAGGGCACAAGTCCTCTTTCTCAAATACGGTCTTTGGTGCAACATAGGACTTCCCTAGAGGTGAGGGACTTGAAGGGCACCTGTACTTTTTGCACTTTTCTAGAAAGGAGAGGGAGAAAGAGCAGGTGACTTTTCTAGAAACGTCATTTCAGGAAACCAGCATGTGGAGACTTCCCAGGGTGCCTTGGGGAAGGCATCCAGCCCTGTGGCTGTGCTGCTCTGGGCTTCTAAGCCATTCCTTTTGGAGACTGTGGGTCTCTATAAACATACTGAGTCTGAAGTGTGGTAAAGGAATTACCATGGCTCCCCCTCCCTGCCTTCTTGGAGTTTGCCCCCTGAGTTTTGTAGACAAGCCATGACAGGGCAGTAGGACTGGGTTTAGAGCTCATCAGAATTATTTATTTCTTCCTATCAGTTTGGACAGGGTATGACCCAGACTCTTCTCTGCCCAGAGCACCCTTTTAAAAAATTTAAAACCCTGTGTGTATTTCATGGGAAATTTCACATGCCTGTTTCTGATTCACTTCCAATTAAAGGCTCAAAACACTGGTTTTGTAAGAGCTCTTTGATGATTCAGATTCTTGTTGGTTCATCTTTTTTTCTCTCCTAAATGTCCATAGAAGCTTAATAAATGTTGTTCAGACATTTGCATGCTTAACTGTTGAAAATAATTGGAAACAGGAAAGAATGTTTTGTTAGTGTGCACAGTACAAGCACACTTACAAGGGAAGGAGAGACACAGCCTCAGTGAAGGGAAACTCCTGGGAAAACAGGGGTATCCCTGAAGGTGGGTGCCTTGGTTTCCCCATTGCCGTGCATGGGGGAGGAAGCTTTCAGCTCAGAGCTACCAAAAAGGGAGAGGAGCGTTACATGAGACACAAGAATCCTTCTTACTGTGGTCAGTTACCATCGACAAGCAGTCAGTTGAGTGGTCAGTCTCATCCAAGATGGAACAGGTGGATTGGCATTTTCCATATGCTAACACTACTTTTAACTCCCTTCTGATTGGAAGGAGTTGGTTGTCTGCTATTAGAGCAAGCCTCGTTCTCCACCTCCTTTAAAAACTTTGCTGGTGAAGCTGTCTAGGTGCACCTGTGCCTAGCTCCCCTGAGAGAGTTTTATATATCGGTCCCTCTAAAGTGCTAATGTGGGCACCGGCTTGGGTAGTCTGAGTTCTGTACCTGGTTTTGCCTTAGGCTGGCTTCGTGACATTGGACAAGTTACTCTCCCCTTCTCAGTGGGTCCATTTACCCAAAAGGATTAAGGCTTCTTGATGATCCTCTTCTTCCATGGATTTGGTAAAAAACTGGAGTAGTGAGTTGCTTTGAGTTTCTTCAAGAAAAGCGTGAATTAATTACTACACTTTGACTAACTACTGGGTGGCTCATTGGATGGCTTTCTTGTTGCCAATGTAACAAGATTGCTGTAAATCATGCGGCATTTCAGATTCCGAGCCTTATTTGGACTTTTTACTAAAGAAAGAGCACCCGCCCCGTCTTTTTATTTGTCAGGCAAAGTTCAGTCAGCCAATATTCAGTTAGCCAAAGTTACCAAATGTGACTTCATGCCCACACAATGTAAATATAATGTGTCAATGCTGTGTGCTGTAAGGTGCTTCTTGCCTAAAAAAGGTGAGACAAAACCTTAGGAAGGCTGGCAGTAAACCTCTGGAGTATTTTGCCAGATTACTGTGACAGTGGCAGAATGATTTTGTGAAAGCCACATGCAGTCTGAAGTTTGGAAATCTAGGTTCAGACCCACTTATTAATTGTGTGGTCTTCGGTCAGATAATAACTTCTCCAATCTCCTTTCCTACCTGTAAAATAATAGTAGTACTGGTAGTAATAATGCATAACGTTAATTTTTCTACCAACCTTACTAATAATAAGAATCAAAAGTAGTATGGAAGTAAAAGCACTTTGTAATTGTAAAGTGCTGTGCAACTGCTAGTTGTTATTATCTTAGTTATTATTCTCATTCAAGTCGATGCATGAATATAACAGATAATAAATGTAACTTAAATCTGTTGGGTTGCTTTTTTCTGGCCTTAGTGATTTCAAAGACTTGCTTGCATGTGGTTAAATTCACCAGTTAGTGACTTATTCATATCTCTTTGCCCATGTAGACACCATCCCCTACAAATGCACAAGTACAGATCAAACATCCCATATTCCTCCTTTCCCTCCCACGTATCCGGCCATTGTTCTACTTGTGAAACTCCCATCCCAATCAATGGGGGGTTTACGTAAAAACCGATGGCAGGATATGAGTGTGGCTTCAGGAATTCCAGGCTTGTGCTGCTGATAAAGAGAGTTGTGTCAAACAGAAAACACCAGAGAAACAAATTCTCTTGTCCAACCTATGCTACAGCACTCCCTTGTGAATAGTTTTAAAACATCCGTCTGGCTGACCAAATACCTATGGCTGCCTCCACCCATACATCTACGCCACCTCTTCTATTATCTTCCCCATGTCCTTGTGGTAATACAGTACAGAACCAGGCTAGAAGTAGGTTAATTCAGAGGGAGATACCAGTAGAACTGAGCTCCCTGATTAAGGGATGTGAATTTAATTGGGTTGTGACAGTCTGTATTAAGTGTAAATGCTACTAATAGGTTTAACTGACTTTGGTGTGAGTGAAGGGACAACAGAACAAAAGAAGTAATTTGCCTTGAAGATGATCCTCTTTTAGTGTTGAAGTCACAAGTGATGGAGGCCCTTCTTTCACTTAACGAGGCCAGGAAAGCTGGGTTGGTCTTTATTCTCATCATGCATCATCAATATTTTAGGAAAGGTCATATTGCTGTCTTTCACGGTACACTGCACAACCAAGTATGATTATGTGACCAGAAGTGAAGGGAAGGAGAACATTTGCCCATATTCTACCCACACTGAAGTAGCTCAAAAATGAAGAGATGAAGAAAGGAAAATGGAGTTGACCATTTCCATTTAAGTGCTCATTCAGACATTTAGTATTAAAATGATGAACTTCTTTTGCAATCTTTTTATTGAACGCATTGAACTAGGTATTAGGGTGTTATCCTTGGCCAACAGAATTGGGATTTCAAAGTTCATGAGGCCGAACATTGAACTGCTCAAACACTAGTCTGTAGTTCCTAGGGACCACAATCTAGCTAAGATCAGCCCTACTGCTTTTTCTCCATGACAACAAATCACCACCAAGACCGAGATGCTGTATTGAAAGAGCATGCTGTGTTTTTCCACACTAACACCACAGAGTGAAGGTAAAGAGATTAGAGAGCATCTCAAATTTATATTTCAAATTATGAAGAACATCTGACACAATGAAAGCAAATGCAGCCTTGCAGAAAATTTATTTGTCTATCTTTGTGATGTTGGATTGTATAAAGGGTTTGGACATACTCATTGTCCTACCACCTTAACTACATAAAAAAATATAATCTCTTCAGCTACTAAGTTTCTGATTTTGCATTTGATATGGGAGCAATAGTATTTTATTGGGCTACACAAGGTTCCAAAATCTCTCTTTTGAAGATATTCATGTGTAGGAAACTCTGTAACAGATATAGCTCTTGCACAATTTTTAGGAGAAGAGATTTGGGAAACTTTATCAGTTTTTCTCAACCTTTTTAACTCTATCTTAAAGTCCAAGGAAAGTGAAAGATTAAGAAAACTTTCCTTATCAGGGCTGTCCAACAGAACTTTCTACAAACATGGAAATGTCCTGTTCTGCACTGTTCACTATGGTAGCCACTGTACTCTCTATTTGAGTGGCTATTGAGTATTTGAAATATGGCTAGAGAAAGGAAATGTAAAATTGTGTTCTTTTTTCATTAAGTCAATTAAGTTTAATTAGTTGATTAATCTAATTAATTAAATATGGTTAGAAGCTACCATAGTGGGCAGTACAAGACTGCATCATTCAAGTTAAAAACATCATCTTGAAATCTGAATTCAGTCAGAGGGGCATATTTACACGGATTATTTTGATCTGAGTCAGCAATGTGTTGTCCACATGGAGACTAACACTTCCATTTATTCTTATGACTAACATTAAAGCAAAGCAAAATGAAAAGTGAATGTTCAGCATTATCATGTTGGCCTGGGGCTGGAGCTAAGTTTTCTATCCCGTCTCCTGGCTTCATCATCAATTCTCTGCTGACCTTTAAGAATGTAATACTTTATTTCCCTTTTATCAAATGAGGGCATTTGGAATTTATCAAAAGGATAGTCACGAATCATGATCGAATGTTTATTGGGCTTATCAAAGAAAGGTATGGGCTTTGCCCTATACCTTTTCATTGAAAAATAATCTTGGCCAAAAGGAATCCCTATTATACATAATGGCGATTTCAGTTTCTCCATTTGCAAAATACTGGCATTGTACTTGCTTATTTTTAAGGTCATTTTTAGCTCTAATGCTTTATGCCACCATGAAAATATGATTTCCTATTAGGTAGAGCTCCATACTATTAACAGATGGTTTGCTTTTCTAGTTCCCAGATCCCTATAACCGTTTGTAATATTTCTTCTTAAGTATAAATGTGAACAAAGCACTTTAATTTAGCAAATAACCAGCTAAAGTGGTAGTCTTTGTCTTTTTTTAAAAAAATTTTATTTTAAAACTTACTAGTTAGACTGGTAGTCCTTGAAAGCCAATTTCTCTCCAATGAGTATTCCCTAGGTTTGTATTCAACACAGTTTGGTCGTTTGTCCTCTCCAAATCTCATGTTGAAGTATGATTCGCAGTGTTGGAGGTGGGGCCTGGTGGGAGGTGATTAGATCATGGGGGGCAGATCCCTGGTGAAGGAATTAGTGTCATCTCTGGGCGAGAAGTGAGTTCTGGCTCAGTTAGCTCGCCTGAGATCTGGTTGTTAAAAGAGTCTGGGACCTCCTCCTTCTCTCTCTTGCTCCTGCTCTTGCTATGTGACACGCTGGCTCCCCATTCACTTTCCACCACAATTGTATGCTTTCTGAGGCCTCATCAGAAGCAGATGCTGGCACCATGCTTTCTGTACAGCCTGCAGAACCATGAGCACCATGAGCCAAATAAACCTCTTTTCTTTATAAATTACCTAGCCTCAGATATTCCGTTATAGCTACAGAAAATGGATTAAGCTAGTGCTGTTCTATGGTACACTGTATTAGTCTGTTTTCACATTGCTGGTAAAGATATACCCGAGATGGGGCAATTTATAAAAGAAAGAAAGAGGTTTATTGGACTTACAGTTCCACATGGCTAGGGAGGCTTCACAATCATGGCGGAAGGCAAGGAGGAGAAAGTCACACCTTACACGGATGGCAGCAGGCAAAAAGAGAGCTTGTTTAAAAACCATCAGATGTCATGAAACCCATTCACTATCATGAGAACAGCACAGGAAAGACCCACCCCCAGAATTCAATCATCTCCCACCAGGTCCCTCCCGCAACATGTGGGAGTTATGGGAGCTTTGGGTGGGGACACAGAGCCAAAACATATCATACACTTTCCAAAGATCTATATCCTTGATATCCTGAGACATGAAGCAATTTCTCTCTACCCTTCATACTTCTCACCCATGGATAATAGAAATATATTGCCTGCTACACCTCCTGTGGTTTTAGAATCACTGTGAGGAATAAATACCCCAGGCTTTCTCATGGGGAGATCTGACTTCATTACTGAGGTCTCGCTAATGAGCAGACCTATAGCAGCTTTTTCTTTGGAAGTCTTCAGGTACACATCATTGCGAAGGTCAATCCTGTGTCCATCACTGAATGGCATAAATTTGTGAGGTGAACTGTTTAAAACAAAGATGGGCAGACTCCTCTCAGAAAATGAGGCCATGTTCCTAGAGGTCCAACTCTATGTAATGGTCTTAGGGGTGATGAAGCACTGTAGTCCTGCTTCTCACTCATACCTGCCCTCCAGAAAGGATAAAATTATAAATGTCCAATTAGAGTCTTTATTAGTCTCTTCCTATGTAGAATTTATCAATAGTTTGACAGTTCTGCAGCTCATGCATTTTCAGAAAAATCCTTCTTCAGTTTAAAACATTCCACCATTGTTTTTTGTTGTTGTTTTTTCAAATTGCATTGGGAAGAAGGTAAGGAGTATGTATAGAATACAATTCTGTGAACAAAGTGAGTGAGTTACTTGCTCCTTGAGGGCAGAAACTCTGGCCATTTGTCCTCAAGTCCTCAGTGCCTGACACATATCCATGTATTAATTGAGCTGCTTCTATGTGCCAGGTGCTGGAGTACAGCAGTAAAGCAGACAGGTATAGTTCCTCCTTGGACAGAGGTAATAGTCAAGGCAAAAAAAAAAAACAGTTATTGAGCTTGTTGTTATAAGTGCAAAGGGTTCTATGAAAGGGGAAGTATGGGGTGCCTCGGGAGGGCACAACGTGGGGACCTAACCTAGTCTCAGAGGTCAAAGGCTTCCTTAAGGAAGTGACATTTAGGCCGAACCCTGAAAGATAAGCCTCGGAGTCAGTATGAAAGAGAACAGGCCTTCCAATAAGTCTTTACTGGATGAGTGAATGAATGAAATGGCCACCCGGGGCATTGCTAAATTAAGTACCTTGAGCTTAGTCATCCTAACCATAGTCCCCCCAGGCATTATCTGTGTGGCCATAAGCCATTTTCTTAGCCACTCTCTTCTTCAGTAAAGGCAAGTAGAGTGTAATGAAGAATACTGTGAGAGGACAATTACCTTAGAAGGCATTATCAGACTAATGTTTTACTGAGTGCATAGAGTACATATCTATAGGTTAATATGCCTTTACTATGCAATGCATCCAGAAATTTCAAAGTCAAGAAGATTCTAGGAGGCTGAATTCCACCTTTAGAAATCTCAGCTATGAAAGCTCTGGGTTTCAACTTGATATAACTCTTCACTGGCCAGAAAAAAAAAAAAAAAAAAAAACGGCAACTCTTTGGCAAATAGAGCTCTGGAAGATGCGCTGGCTGGCGCCGACATAAACTGCTATCCTGATCTCCATCAAAGATGTGGGCCTTCTCATGCTGCAGTTTCCTCAACTGCAGAACAGGGAGATTCTTCCAATGATAATTTTACCTCGAAGTGATGTTGTAATAAAGATGGTGGTAAAAGCATTTTGCAAGACCAAAAAAAGAAACACCTACTAAACAGGCATGCTGTCTATATCTGGTGTTTGTTAGAATTTCTGAGGAAACCCTCTGGTCTAAGATTCTAGAGAGTCTACAGAGGTTGATAACTGGGATTGGCTTTTAAGATCTTTTCTGGAATGGCTGTTCCCTTTACCTCATTATTACTTTAAACAACTTTGGCAGGAGATATCAGTAATGCCAATAACAATAATGATGATGATGATGATGGTTACTGAGTAGTTACTGATGAGCCCAGCACTGTGCTAAACACTTGAAGGACCTTTTTTTTTTTTTTTTTTTGACAGAGTCTTGCTCTGTCACCAGGCTGGAGTGCAGTGGTGTAATCTCAGCTCACAGCAACCTCCGCCTCCCAGGTTCAAGCAATTCTCCTGCCTCAGCCTTCCGTGTAGCTTGGACTACAGGCACGCACCACCACGCCCAGCTAATTTTTGTATTTTTAGTAGAGACGGGGTTTCACCATGTTGGCCGGAATGGTCTCAATCTCTTGACCTCGTCATCCGCCAGCCTCAGCCTCCCAAAGTGCTGGGATGACAGGGGTGAGCTACCGCACCCGGCCCTTGAAGGCATTTTAGCACTTGACTTCCACCACAGCCCCAAGGAATCCATCTATCATGACTCGCACGCACCCAGTGAGAAGAACCAAGACATACGAAACTCAAGTGACTTGCCAAAAGTTGTGCAGCTAGCAGGTTCTGTCTGATACCAAAGACTTTACTCACTGCATATGTGAAATATTTTGAGATTTTCAGAATAAGAGCTCAGGGTTGCTAAGTGATTAAACATATACAATTAATTATTCCTGCCCTGGAAGACAAGAGTGTTACCATTAGCAGAAGTTTATTTTTGCAATTCCTCTGGCCTTCTGGTGTTCCCACATGCCTCCACCCCTTTTCCTAACGTATTGCTTGCCTGTTGTTTAAAGAAAACAAAAATTTATTCTCAAACTTGTCCAAATAGAAATGAATTGCATTAAAAATAGTGAAAGCCATGGTGAAGGACTGAAAAAGTTGAGGAGTCAATGACATTTGCAGAGCCCCTGCTGTGCAACTTCCATGGGACTACCAGGACCGAGGCTATATTTTATTAATAAGATCTCAATTTGTAAGGGTCATTTTATTATCTCCGTATCCCCCATCCCACCTCATTTAGTTGGATGATCTAGAGAGAAAACAGCATTTCTACCTTCTTGCAATGGAAACAATAGGCTTTGCTTGTGCCACTTTTATTTTCCCACTGGGGAATCTGAGAGATGACCTGATTGAATTCCACCCGTAAAGGTCATGCTTTGAATTCAAGGCAGAGGAAAAAAAATGAAGAAAACATTTTGCAATGATACCCCACGAGTCCTGAGCATGCTGGGGCCTCTCCTGGTTGCATTGTGGTCTGCTGATAAGGATAACATTAATGACAAGTGGAACATTTCCAGGACAAAGGAAATTCCCTGTTGTATTGTTTAAAGGAAGCCACCATCCACTAAGGAGAGCAAGGTTTGTGATGTAGGCACAGATTTCCCTGCAGGAGAGGCAGGGAGAGCTGCCAAGCTGCCTGTGAGTATGCCTGTCCTTAATTTCATCTGGGGAAGCATTTGCATGGTTAGAAGTCAATAAGGGGTCATGGCAGTTTATGGCATTGGTAGGGTTAGGAGCCAGACTGTTAGAAATGGAGGCACATTGGCTGGGGGAGTAAAAAGCCTGATTCATACAATGCAGCCCATTTAGGAATCATAGCAAAAGCACCAGGAGATTTAGAGAAGTTGATCTGGTTTTGAGTTTAAATTCTGGACCTCCTTCTCTCCCCACCCCCTCCAAGCCAAAATGTCAGAAAAGGGCCTGGTTTCCCTTTATGGAGTGCAAAATAAACAGATCCTCAGCAGCAGGAGAGGGGCCCAGTTCCCCAGCCCATAATGCCAGAGCTGGGGGTGGGGGTGCTGTGGGGAAAAGCAGTTATTCTTCTGTCTGGTTAGTATTTGGCATTGACTTTCATTTTCTCCAACCTCTGTTTTCTAGAAGCCTGCCTGTACGGGAAGTACAGGAATAAAGAGAAGCTGATCGTGGGGGTTTTCTTGCCAGACTTCAAAGGAGGTGGATTTTTGATTTTTGATAGTTTGGAGAGCTAGTTCCAAAAGTAAAAGCTGCTTTGGGGACTTGAACCTAGACACTGGGATCTTAGCCGTGTGCCCATCAGAGCCGCTGCTCTGCTCCTGATGGAATGGAGTGCTCTGGGCTTCCCACTCTCCTCTCCCAGTCCAGGAGGGCTGGAGCTCTGGGCATCTCAGGGTCAGCTGCGGTGAGCCTGGCCACAGGGCTCTGCATTCCTTCTGGGCTTTGCTTGGTTTGAGTGGGTGTGACCGCCAGTTTACTCTGGAGAAAACTGAGACAAAGAGTCTAAATTGGGCAGGATCTTGAATCTAATGACTTGTTTACAGACCCTGTACTTTTTCCAGTGCAGGGAGGAGGAAGAAGGCAGGGCATGCTCGTCACTGTGGGCATGGGCACATTGCTGTTTTCATCCTAAGGAGGTAGGACAGCTTCAGAAAGCAGCAGGGCATCTGCCTGGCAGCCAGCAGGCAAAGTGGCATGCTGTGTAATTTTCCAAGGTAGGGAGGAAGCAGTGGCGGCTTCTGCTTGGTCCTACCGGCTTGGCTTCCGGGGCACACGCTGCTCTGGGGAGAATGCCTGACCCTGCCACATGAAAGGCCTTGCTTCCTCCCACTTCAGCTTCAAGCGATGGGGAGATTACCCTCCTCACCCCTGCTCCAAGTGCATCACAACCCAGAGCACCCAGCCAAGAATGCACACCTGTGATGGGGCTAAGGAGGCCTCACTGGACCTGTGTAAGGAGAGAGGAGATTCCCAGGAGGACCTCACTAATAGAAAAGCACACGCATGATGGTTTTGCTATCGTGTGACATTTATTTCATACTTGCTACCTGTAAGAAATTCCTTGAAAACGAAATAGTATATGGCAAGATTTAAGGACTTGCTCTTCCAGATTCTGGAGGTCCTTCTGGAGCCCAGGGATGCTGTTTCTAAGGCATGTAGGTGCTGAGGGTCTACCCCAAAGGGCAGTTTGGGACTGCAGGGCAGGCAGGAAGTGCCTTTGTTTGTGTGCATGCCAGGCGGTTTATAAACATCCCCTTTACTTCCCTTGCCAACCCAGGAGTATATATTGCAATTACCACATTCTGATGAGGAAACTGAGGCTCAGAGAAGTTAAATCATTCACTCCAGGCCATACATCTGCTAAATGTGTCATGCTACATCCACTTTGCACCTAGTTTGAACAGGTTTACAAAGCAAGTCAGTAACCCCTGCATGCCTGGGTGCCTGAAGTTGAAAAGGGGTGGCTCTAAGATGTGGTCTACTACCTCTCCTGGACTGTTGCAGTTGGGTGTGGCTGATTTGAAATTGTGCTTCAAAAGAATGAGTTCTAGTCCCTGAATAGAGGAGCTCACACCACAGTGCACTGTAGATCTTTGTGATCCAGAAGTCCTCCAGATGTTCCCAAAAGGATCTCTAAGGTGTTGCTGGGGATGTTGTGTGTATAGGGAGTGTTCCCTTGGGGGCCTCTGAGCCCTCCTGGCAGAGAAGCCTCATAGATAATGGCATCCCCAGAAAACTCTACACTTGGAATGGGACCCAAATTAAATACAGCACCAGCAAGACTAACTGAGCCACTACCTGGAATATGTCAAGATACAGCAACTAACACTTACTTTATGTTTGTCATTTGCAAACCCTATCATGTCCGTTAATCCATTCAAATGCTGAGAGGTAGGCAGGGCAGCTATTATGATTCAAAAAAGAGGCCACATCTTTGTGGATTTGGGTTCTAATCCCAGCTCCTGCCGTCACTAGATGTGTGTGGTCTGAGCAAATCCTTCCACTTCTCCTAACCTTAGTTTCCTCATCTGCAACATGAGAAACTTGCTTTCCAAAGTGCCTCAAGCTATGGGAGTGGGGATACGGGAATGAGTCTCCCCAACATTCAGAGGCTCCCCCAGAGCTGGCAGCCCAAGGCACACCACTAAGTGCCACTGCCTTCTCCTCCCCTCTGCTGGCCGGATACTGACCAATGGAGAAACCAGGACTGGGGCGGGAAGGAGTAGGTGGTAAGATTCTTTTTCACTTGTTTCCTGCACCTGGAGACAACAGCAAGACCATTATTTGGATGAGTTATTGTTTAGAGTTTTGTTTGTTTTGGTTTGGGTTTTTTTAGCTTTATGAAAAGAAATGCCTATTTTTCAAATTTCAATTGTTCCTTTCTACTGCCTGTCCAAGCTCACTACTTTTCAAGAGGCCAATCCCTGGGTAAATCTTAGTGAATAGCAGTCGACTGTGTTATTTATCTGTGCCCCATGCTGGAGGTGCAGACTCGGTGAGACCAGCAGAGCAGCTGAGGTTAGACTCAGTGGAAAATCCAGAAGTGCAGATGTGGATCCAAATTGGGCTGAAAAAATCTCATGAGATCAGGCTTTCTTGGACTTCCTGCTTTTAGCCTAAGCACTATGTTCAACATAAACGAACTTTCGGTATTTTGAAACTTCCGTTTCTGATCTCAGAACCTGGAAGTAAAGAGCTGTTGTGAACATTTCCACAAATTTTGTCATGGTTATTCTGGAGGCAGAGTTGAACCCTGTAATTACGGAGCTTTGGGACTCACTACACCCACAGTGGCCTGCCTGGATTGCAGTATGGGAGAGGGGAAGGCATTTTGGTGGAGAGTCCAGGCTTTGGAGACAGGCAGGACCCTGTTCAAATTCTAGCTCTGCCATTTCCGGCCATGTGACTGGACCTGTCAGAGTCTCAGTTTCCTCATCAGTTAGATTAAAAAAAAAAAAAACAGTTCGTAATGTTGTGAGGACAAAATGGTCTGCGTGTGTGTGTACTCTTTCTCCCCTTTTCCCGTGTGTGTGTGTGTGTGTGTGTGTGTGTGTGTGTGTGTGTAAAATCTGTAATATTTATTTACTTATAGCTTGAATAAGTTCCCCTGGGAGTCTCAGGCTGCCTGCCTCTGATAGATGTGACATTGTGAAGTTGCTGAAATCCACCTAATTAGCTGTCAAAGAGTGC
This sequence comes from Homo sapiens, assembly GCF_000001405.40. NCBI lineage: Eukaryota > Metazoa > Chordata > Mammalia > Primates > Hominidae > Homo > Homo sapiens. The sequence goes on from NC_000011.10 coordinate 128,719,523, forward strand.
ATTATACAAAGACAGCGAGGGCTCTGCATTCAGTCTAAGCTCTAAGGACTGGCACGATCTCTGGTGGACTTGAAGGGCAACGGAGACTTACTGCAAATTTTGGGAGCTGAATTACATTCATCCCGTCTACTCATGTTTCTGGGGCCTCATTTGCTTTCCTGGGACAAGCAAGGGCAAGGCGCTGGGCAGGTCAGTGCTGTGAGAAAGCAAGGTGCTCCAGCAGCATGGAGTCACCGGCTGAAATGGACAAGAGCTATGCAGGGCAAGGAAAAAGGGAGGAGAGGGAGTCAGGGCCATGGGAGACAAGGGACATGGAAAACCCACCCAAGGCTGCTGAGAAACAGGACTAAGTTAGTAAGCCCATCCTGCAGGTGCTACTACTTCTTCTCTGTTTCTTGGCTTACTTTTTTTTAAAACTCATTACGTGCATCGTTTAAGTTCTTTAAAATAATGATTGCAGAAGTGTCACTTCATCCTTGTATAAAATTTAAAACGTATAGAAAATTTCAAAATAAGAATGTAAAAGCACGCATAGTCTCACAATACAGAAAGCAGCCGATTCATATTTTGGTGCCCTTCCTTCCGGTCTTTATAATGCAAATATATAGACATATATGTATTATTTTATCTAGCCAGAATCATATTGCTTTGTAACCTCCTTTTATTCTCTTTATATTAAATTACGGCCATGTTCCTGTATCATTAAATATTACACTATATCACTACTTCTGATGGAAGTACAGCAAACCACTAAACACGGAAGTCAAGTCCTGGGCTCTGGAATAGTATATATTATTTTAGTTATGCCCAGCTTCTGGACCTGGGATGGCATTTTGTAACAGACGCAGCCTTATCTCTTTTGTATTTTCATAAAATCTTCAGTATAGGCTCTAAAAAGGAGCCCACGTGAAATGCTGAAAAGACGATGTTTAAAAAGTCACAAAGTCCCCCTAGAGTCATAAAACCAGAAACACTGGGGGGTGGGGAGGCCAAGCCGGGCCTTCGCTCACCTCCTTGTGCCTCTTAATGCAGCCCAGATGGAAGCCCGTCCAAGACCGGATTGCAGGCAAGCCCAGGGCCCGATCTGATAGCACAAAGACACCCACAACTCTGAATTTCCTGCTACCAGGAGGCCTCTTTTTGCATAGGCTGTCTGATTTACACATACGTGGAAAGCAGCCACTAATAATAGAAGGGTTGCCTCTTTTCTTCCGTTGTCAGACTCCGCGGGCCCTGCTCAGTGACTCCCGCGTCTCCAAGCAGCTGCCTGCCTCTCTTTCTGCCCCTCACAGCAACAGGGTCAGCCGGGCTCCTTGTAAGAAAGAGGCCAGGCCCTCTGCGCCTTCTCTGTGTGTGGCGGAGGTGGGGAAGGTGCTTTCTGAGGGCTCTTTGTCTGGCGAGCAAGCCGGACCTCTGTGCAACAGAAGCCGCCTCTGGCCACCCCCGGCCCTTCCCCCTCCACCCAGTCAAGTTCTGCACAGCCAGTGTTTTCTCCTCCAGCCCCAGCTAACCTGAGCTCTCTCAACTAATCCAGAGAAGCTTCTGGAGAATCTGTCCTTGCCAACTAGGGGCTGGCAAGTTCGTGAGAGAGAATTAATTCTCTGTGAGCCCCTTAAGACTAGTAACTATGTGGAGCTCACCCCTGTAGGATGCACCACAGACAGCTGGAATGGTCAAGCCCTTCAGGGATGCCTTCTTCTGCTGCCTTGATTCACATGGTGCCATCCACTCAATCATTCATTCATTCCGCCAGCCTGTACTTGGCACCTCCTATTCTCAGCACGGTGTAGAATATAGGGATGGAAGAATGGAGGCGAAGACAGACGAGGTCCCTGCTGTCACAGAAGAAACAAAGAATAAAAAGAGAAGAAACTAGAATTGAAGAGTCTGTGGTGGGGATTGCAGGGGAGATGCCTGTCAAGTTATAAAAGGCCCTAATACATTTTTGCTTTATGTTTGAAATTGTGACCCTGTCCTTAGCCTATTCCCAACCAGCCTCAAGCATGGTTCAGTCTCACAGTCCAGCTGCTGAGCTGTAGAGAGACCATCTCTTTATACAAGATCAATTATGGGTGCAAGAGCATGCCTGGCTCAAGCACACAGACCCACAGACCCTTGTGGTCAGGGAGTTCCTACATGAACCCAAACCTTTGGGGGCTGGGATGTTTACTCTTGGCACTCTGGGATTTCCTGTTTCTAAGAAAATGGGCCTAGATGCTCAGCTACATTAACCAAACAACATGTTGACACAAATGAATCTGAAGCTTGCCCGCTCCAGGCTCTCTAGAAGGTCAGGTTTGGGAATGAAGGCATTTGGGTGACTTTCCAAACTCTGAATCCCAAGCCCAGTGACTCAGGCCAGGTATTAATTTGAGGGATCTGCTTCCCTCCTCTTCCTGCCTAAGAAGGCCCCACTAAGTGGCTAGAGTCAGAGGCTCCCTGGTCATCTTGAGTAGTGGGAATGCTTCTCCTGTCTGTCTGCAGCTGGTCTTAGAGGGAGGCAGCCCAGGTAGTATGGTAGGATGCTCCAAAAGACCCACCCCGCAGAAACCTCCATCACGTTTCTGTCTGCCTGAAATCCTTGCCATGGGTTCACTCCTTTGAACGTCCAGGAGGTTCATGTAAAAATGTAAAAGTTACCCCCTGACGTGACTTAACCATATGACATTTGACACACGACTATATGACATTTACTATATGGCTGAGCCTAGCAAGGTCCTGGGAATATGGAAAACCTGAAACATTTTGACAGGGTATGGAGGAGAGGAAGGGGAGAAAGCAGAGGAAAAGCTGACAAGGTCAAGGGATGCTTCTCGGAGAAGGGAGAAGGGCAGGAGGAGGATGTTCAGGCAAGGAGCAGAGCAGCCTGGAGATGCCAGTTTGGTGATTATGGACACCTTGGCTGCTTAGCCAGAGGTGGCCCTCACAATGCCATTCCTGCTGTGCCCACTGCCCAGAGTGCCAGCAAACACTGCAGGATTTGCTTGCTCAGACTTCAGGCAATGCAGCTTTGTCTGCTGGGGAGAATCTTACCATTTTTAACCTGTATTTGAACCAAGAGATTTGCGTGACCTCCACAGGAAAGTGCAACTATCTTCCAAAAATGTATAAATTATCAAAGATGTATTCTATAACAAAAATGACAGTCCTTGAGATGTGGTGGATTAATATTGCTAGATCAGGAGCTACTCAGATGAGGTAAAGTCCCTTTGGGAAAGCACAGAGCCTGGGGAATGAGGGATGGAGGCCAGTGTGCAGAAAAGCCGTGCGGAAACACCTCGTGCAGTCATTCTCCTATCGAGCTCTGGGAACCGCGGGGTGGGGGAGAATCCAAACAATCGGGAGGAAAAATATCCCTGTTCTAGCTGTTCAGGCTGCTGTAATGGAGTCCCATAACTGGGTGGCTCATCAACAGTGAATGCTTATCTCTCACAGTTCTGGAGGCCAGGAGTCTGAGATCAGAGTGCCAGCATGATCGGGTTCTAGTGAGGGCTGTCTTCCTCACTGTGTATCTGCGTGGTAGAAAGAGGGCAAGCTAGCTCTCTTGGGTCCTCTTTATTAGGGTACTAATCCCGCTCTGAAGGCTCCACCTCCACGATCAAATCACCCCCTGAAGATCCCACCTCCTATACCATCACATTGTCCGTTAGGATTTAATGTATGAGTCTGGGGAGGGACACAAACACTCACTCCATAACAACATGACAGCTGGCACCATGGCACAATTAAAGAGAAGAGAGGAGCAAGTGGGGGCTCAGGCAGTGTAGGCGGGATGGAAGCTCCCTGTGGGCTTGGACTCATGTAGGAGGGCTTCATGGAGGAGGTACATTGTGGTGCAGGAAGGCCCATCTCCATGGGTGTCTACGTCTCCAGGTGATGAGTCAATGTCTTTGCAAACATCAGAAACCCAAGAAGCATGGTGAGCAGGAACACTATGGGTAATCTTAGGAAATTTGTGCACAAGGATGGAGACATTCCAGAAAAAGAAATAAAAGAGGTGCATTCCTGCTGCCATATATGTGCTGAGCCCCATGAAGCAGTGACATATGGGAAAGAAAGGGGAAGAAGGAGGATAGGTATAGAAAAACCCTGCTTGAGATTCCAAAAGTAGATCAATGCAACCCATTTGTTCTTTCATTAATGTAATCATCCTTTATTGAATACCTACTATCCTGGGCAGTGTGCCAAATTGAGAATGCAATTATGCATAAGACATGGTCCCTGTCTTTGATGAATTTAAGATCCTCTGAAGGAAAGAGGTGTAAATGAACACTCACACTAAAAACAAGTGCTTTCATGGTGCTAGGTGCAAAACATCACAAAAACCCAACCACAGGAGCAACCAGCTCTACTGGAAAGACCCAACAGAGTCAGGAACAGATTTATAGAGGAGGAGGAACAATGGAGTTGATTTTTTTTTTTTTTTTTTTTTTTTTTGAGACGGAGTTTCACTCTTGTCGCTCAGGCTGGAGTATAGTGGCGCCATCTGGGCTCACTGTAACCTCTGCCTCCCAGGTTCAAGCAATTCTCCTGCCTCAGCCTCCTGAGTAGCTGGGATTACAGGTGCCCACCACCACTCCAGGCTAAGTTGTTTGTATTTTTAGTAGAGATGGGGTTTCACCATGTTGGGCAGGCTGGTCTCGAACTCTTTACCTCAGGTGATCCACCCGCCTTGGCCTCCCAAAGTGCTGGGATTACAGGCATGAGCCACCGTGCCTGGCCTGGAGTTGATTTTGAACATGACTCAGAATTTACCAGACAGGGTATTCCAGGGAGAGGGACCAGCACGGAAAGGGTGTGAACATGGGATGGTGCCAGGCCAGTGAGAGTGCCACGGATATGGGGCAGCAGGTGAGGAGGCAGGACACAGGTGAGGCCTGACCCCAGAAAGCCTATTGTGCCAGGCTATAGGGAATTTGGGTTTTCTGTTGTCAATGATGGGAAAATCAGTGCAGGTTTCCAGAAGAGGATGTGACAACTCACATTTTGTTCAATTGAGTTAAATAAGCACTTATAGAGTGTCTACCACATGCAGAACACTCACTGAATCGAGTATGGATGATACAAAGAAAAATCTATCCCAAGCCCTCCTGCCTACACTGCCTGAGCCTCATGGGACCCTAAATAAGTTTGGTAAGGAATGAGTGGTGAGAAAGGGTGAGGAGAAACAAGAGCACACATCGTCTTGATACGGGATCTAAATGGGTGCATGGTTCTAGGAGAGGCACAAGGGTTTATGGAGGTAGAGATTCCCAGTGTCCCAGATTTGTTTCTTCACTCTCAGGTCAAAGCAGGCCTTATTTAGGAGGCCCAGTCATTCCTCATTTCCCTTCCTTGGTAATATCACTACGATTCTCTCTCCTCCCACTGGCCAAAGTGTTTGATTAAGCCTGCAGAGAATGATGGGGTTCAGTAAGAATGCCAGCAAAGAGACGGCATAAAAGCCACCCAGAATGGGGCTGACAGCGTGGCCTCTTGATAGTCCCCCATGCTCTGTCCAGGGGGAGGATGCTAGGCTGAGACTCTAGGTGTTCTCGTAGTTTCGATAAAAACTATAATTGACCACCACAAGTACCAGTGGATGTGTGAGGGTGAGGGGAGAGCTGAAGATGAGTAGTTTGTTCTGATTTCAGTTTATTTTGGGCTCTTCTAGCCTCAAGTCTGTGTTCAGCTAAAGATATATGGCTGCATAGGCAAAGGGACCTGTTAGGTGAGCCTGAAGGTGATTCTTGCATAATTCTCAGAAACTCAATCAAGGTCTTCCTGTATCTCCCGCTTCCTCCCCTTTCTCCTGCCTCCAACCTGCACATGTCAGTGCATCCACATGCACACACATTCAAGCAGGACATAAGGCGGCCGGCCGGTCCACTTCAGATCATAACCAAAAGTCTTGGCCCCTCACCACTCACCTGTCAGCCTCAGGCAGCCAGGGACCCAGCATGGGAGGCACACCTCATGAGAACTACCCCAATGCTCAAGTGCCCGCAAATGCCCACAAACCCTTAAATGTGTCTAGGAACCTTTCACCAACTGAAGCCTGACTGCAAGATGAAGGAAGGACCTTTGGAATGTAATAAATGATTTCTAAAAAGACATCTCATCATCCTTTCTTTCATTCTCTCTCCCTCTCTCTCTCTCTCTGTGTGTGTGTGTTTGTGTGTGTGTGTGTGTGTCTGAGTTGCCTCAGGGCTGGTGGTTTCAAAACTAGCAGCTGCAAACTTATGAAGGGAAAAAAAAACCCAAACCACAAAACCCCGTCTTGTGAAAACTGTGTGCCAGTCTAAAAGTGGCAGTCCGTGCAGGAGAAAAAGCCTGTCAACGTTCAGGGCAGAAGCAGGCAGTGTGAGATCACAGCTGGCTCTTGACAGTGAGGAGGAATTCAAATGTGTCCTGGGCATGGGGACAGTAGGGGACAAGGACAAGGCAGAAGAGAAGCCGGAGGGGACTGAGGAGTCCAGATCCTGGCTGGCCAGGGGAGGCCTCTCTGGAATGGCTCCGTGCTTCAGCTGAGCCCTCTGAAAAATTCAGCTTCCCAGATGCAAATCAGACCAGCTGCTACTATCACATTACTGAGTCTTCTTCCAGAACCCCCGAGGTCCGGTCTCCCCTCTCCATCCACTCAGAAGCTTCTGAAGCATGACTGGCAGACATAAATCTCCCCCAACCGCTGGCTCAGCCCCCCTGCCCTCCCCTGAAGCTGACACCCACCCATGCTCCCCTGTGTAGGCTCACCTTTCAGAACACTCCCGATTACACATTAAGACGCTGCCCCAACCCAGCCCCAGACTCCTACTCTATGGCTAGTTTCAACCTACAACTCAATCCAGGGGTGCAGGGGGCTGGGGGTGCAACCGGGAAGCCCAAGGGAAGATCCACTTGGAGAGAATGAGGGTCCTGCCTGGCCCCAAGGCTGGACAGAGGAAATCCTCAGGTGTCATCAAAGATGAAGACTGGAGAAGGAGAGTTCCTGGAGGGACACTAACCAGCCTGGCTATTTCTCCTGCCACCCTCCCACCCCCCTACCCCCACCCCCGCCTAAGCTCCATACCAATGGCCTCTGGCCAGAACAAAGTGGATACTTGAGTCACTTGGCTAGATAGTTGGGCGGTGCCCTCTTTTGTATAGGAAAGGCAGGCCATCCATAGGCCCACAGACAGAGACAGAGGAGGCCAAGCCCCAGAGACCACAGTGGAACAAGTGTCTTGGGGTGCTTTGCCCATAGGTGCAGCTTAATGAAGGACAGCCAGAGGACACGGTTGTAAAAACAGGGCAGCAGAAATCTATGTGAATATTATAAGTATTTGAGGAGAAGCAAAGTTAGTGAAGTGATCAAAACGGAATGGGGTTAATGACAGAACGCTTCAAGGAGGAAGTTAAGTTCTGAAGGAGGGGAGGGACAACGGCTGGGGCAGAGGGGGGAAGAGGAAGTGTGTTCTGCAGGGGAGGGTGCTGTGTCTTTGGGAAGGGCAATACTGATTGCATGGTGGCCCTGGGAGCTGTGCCACTCTTGAAGGTCCTGCCTGGCGTTAATATTTGGATATATTTTCAAAGAGGGAGAATCCTCTTCTGTATTAGTAATAGGCATGTCCGTAGTTGAAAGAATGTAGATTTTGGAAGGAGCACACTTCAGAATCAGATCTGAGTTGAGATCTTAGCTCTGCCACTTATAAGCTGGGTAACCTCCCAAGCCTCACCTTCCTGAACTATAAAATGAGGAAATTATTTCATAAGGCTATGGTGAGAATGAAACGAGATAACTTACGCAAAGTCCTTAGTTCCATACCTGGCAAACAGTAGCTCCTAAATCAATAATGGCTAGTATTATGTATATACTTTATAGCTTATGGATTAGAAAACCAGCGATAGCAAGCCACTTTAAGTCCTCAAGAGGAAGAGTGTAAGGAGTTGGGTGGTCTAGATGCTGATCTCAGCAAGTCAGGCCCTGTTTCAACCTTTCCGTGAGATGCAGGCAGCCAGGACCTGGACAGAGCCCAAGGGCCAGGTCTAGAGTAGTGGTTGCGGAAAGGGCTGATGTATCAGCTTCAAAGGCTGACTTGCTGCAGCCCAAGACCTTGGTACATAGATTTAAGTCCCATCTGATTGAGAAGGAGGTGCATTCAGCCACATGTGTTCATAAACACTTAACAACTGGCTCTCCAGGTTTGTGTAATTTGCACTTATTTCATGATGCCCAGCTTCAAGCTCCCACTGGGCATGCAGTTGAGAAGAGATGCGTGCAACTGGCTCTCAGGAACCTCATGAGCCAGTTCCAGCACACCACTGCATCCAGCCACCCTGTCCCACAACCACAGCCCATCTCAGAGCAAAAGAGGCACCTGTCCTCTATGTCTGACCTAGCTTTGTCTAAGTGGAGAGGTAAGGAGTTAAAGCGGGGAGAAGAGCAGGCATTCCTGCTCTCTTCTCTGTCCCACACCGGCCAGAAGTAAAGCTTCCCTCCCTGACCCACTTCCCCTCAGGCCAGTTCCATACTGACTAGCAAGTTCATTTTCCTCACAAGCTGAAACAAAACAAAACACAAAACGTGGCCCTCTCCCTTGGGCCTTCAGCAGAGTAGCTCCGCTTTAAGAGGAATCACAGGGTGCAGCCCCAAATGCCATGGAGTCTGATAGTGCAGCAGGCCGGGGGCTAACGCTGTCTCCACCCAGCTCACCACGCAGGTGGAGCGGCCAGGACATGGGCATGCCTTGGCCTAGGCAGTGCACTTCCGGATTCCCTTTGGGAGGCAGCAGGGAGGGTCTGGCCTCATCCTTAATGAACTATCTGGCAGAGGCTGTCACAGAACCATGGGACGCCAGAGCCAAAAAGAGCTTAGTAATCACCTGTGTGTCCCTTTGCTGCGCAATGAGGGTGCTGCGGCAGAGGCCGCACCTCTTAGCTGTGTCACCTCTGGAGCTGGACCGCCCTCTCTGGCCTGCTGCTGGTGGTGCTCCTGCGTGTTGACGCTTGGACACTTTTTGAACAACATTTCTTCCATAACTGCAGTGGCCCCTGTGAGTAAAATCTCCCTGAGGCAGGTTCTATGCCTTCTCTTGTCCATTCCCCTTGGGCACCCAGTATGCCCTGAGTGTCCTTGTGACCAGAGCCACTCCTGTTTTGCAGTAAGGGAAGCCAAACAAGGAGCAGAGTCAAGGCAAACGTTCCAGTGCGTTCTGTATTGGGATTCTTCCCTTCAGGCACAGAAATTCTCATTTGCACTCCCCATTTGCCCTGGTGGGCATCCCAGCTGTACCTGAGTATCAGGTAAACCTGCCTTGGCTACATCAAGTCCAGGGATATGATGAACCATCTAGAACTAACCACATTCAATTAGTCCCCTAGCCAAGGGTGGGGTGAAGGAAATGAGAGGAACCTACAACTTTTTGCAACCTCTACTCCAACCGCCAGAGACACACCCTTCTGCCTGATGTTCTTTGACTCAAGGAGTTGAGAACCACTTTGGGTCTACACAGATATGACACAGCTACCCGTGTCTGCCTCGGTTTAGAAAGAGCTGGCTGAGCTCCTGCGTGAATCCTAAAGACAGGACGGTCATTTGAGTTTCAGCTGCAGGGATTCTTCTGCTAGGCACCTCTGCTTTGTAATCGGATGTGTACGAGGGCAACACAAAGGACTCCCAGCCCGGCTCTGCCAAGAGACTTTGTTGTGCTCCATGGTTCAAAGAAAAAAGGTAGGGGGAGAGATTAATGGAGCGAGAGGAGGCAAGCTTATTATATTTATCAACCATGTTCGCATTTCAAGTGCCCTGATTTATCTCACAGGTGGGAGGGAAGAACTGCTGGCAACCCTTCTCTCAGGGCTGTGAGTTTTGGAACAGGATTTCCTCTGCAAGTTGTCAAAGATCAGATAAAAGTCTTAATCTCAGGCACACACAGCCACAGGCTTTGGCCTCTGCCACTGTGTGTTCAGCTTTCAGTGATGAGACTGAACAATGGTTGGCGATGCTTTGCATTTAAAGAGGTGGGAAAAGAAAAGGATCAGAGTGGAGGTATGTGAGGCATATGGCACTGCCCGGGGGAAACACGAGTGCACCAAGCAGGCTCCAGAATGAACTCAGGACTCAGGACAACTGAGGTCCCCTTTTGCTCCCTTTGGTGTCCTTTTACCAGTCGTCATGTACACTAAATCAATGCACATACCTGTCACCCCTTTTTAAAAGGATGGCAACCAGATCATTCACCTCTCCTTCCCCATTCCAAGAGCCCGGTTCTTGAGAACCAGGCTGGAAGAGCATGTCCCAGGTACTGGCTGGTGGGACTGTGGAGATGGGAAGCATTTTGACCTTGTTCTCCAGAATGATTTTTGCTAAAGAGATGCTTATTTTTTCAAAATGCAATTCTATAACTTTAATGCCTTTTCAGAACAGAAGAACTGCACCTTTTAGGCACCATGTTGATTAAGTGGCCCTGTGTTAGGGAGTGCTCTGAGGAAACTATGTTGATCTGGCATTTGACCTTGAAACATTTCTAATATCAGAACACAAAGTTCATTCATGTTGCCAGAGCTAGCCAACTGAGTTAGCAAGGGAAGTTTCAGGAAACAGAAAAGTCGAAAATCTTGAAATCTGGATTCTTTCTGTTCTCAAGTCCCACTCTGATTTGTATATTATCACCACCTTGACTATGCCTACCTTGTATTGTGCATTTGTTAAGTGTGTACTGTGTTAAAAACTTTACTTATATCCTCTCATTCCATCCTCACAACCCTATTTTACAGATGAAAACTGGAATCTCAAAGAGGTTTCCTAATTGGCTGAGGTCACCCAGACTGCGGGTGTAGGCCACACGTTTACGCTCACCTTTGTGGGTCAGCCTCTCAGTAGCTGCGCTGCTCATCCTATTCATTTCTGTGCTTACTCAATAGGGAGAAGAGCTGGGTAAGGAGCAAATCGGTGCTACTAAAGTCAGGCTCAGTATCAAGAACATGCATTCTATTCTAGAATGCTGATAAATACACTGGCAGTCCCAGAAAGTCACTTCCAAAGCAGTAAAGAAGGGCTCTGGAACAGACACATGTTTTCATTTCTTTTTGAAGGCTTCCCTTTGAGAACAAAGGTGGTCTGTGGTGCTGGGCCCTTCAAGCCCTGACACCCACTCCTTTTGTCTCTGCCTCTTGGGATCTTGGGAGAGCTACACCAAGGGCTGCGTGATGGATACACCACGAAGGGGTGTATTTATTTATTTGCCAGGGAAATGTATTAGGGAGAAGCAAAGACTAATTAATGATTTTCAAGGGAAACTCAATCTATGGAATGAATGGTTTTCCCAATGGGCTGTATTTAGAGGCTCACAGAAATCCTGCATGCTTCCATTGCCGTTTCCCATCCTTTCTTAGCCTTTGCTGAATGTGTCCGGAAATCTTTTGCAAAAGAAAAGGCACCAGTCTGTTTGCCTTGAAAATGAAGAAACCAAAAGGTGTAACATCCTTCTTCCTTCTCAGGTGGAGTAGTTAATTTTACAAGTGCTTCGAGAGGTCCTGAGGAAAAGGCACATGCCATCATGTCCTCTCCCCGTGAAAGAAGTTCATAATAATCTGTGCAAAACAGCACCTTTGGATAAGTTCAATGTGGCTATATATAGACGCTTGGCCGTTTCCTGTTGCTCTTGCAGCTTGCACAGGTTTGAAGGTAGGGTGAGGCTGTGACCATAAGCCACACGGTGACATGTACATTAGCCATGCCCTCTGCTTCCTGTGCTGCTTATGACCTGGGCTGGACTAACCCCAGCACTGCTCAGGGGCAGGGAGCCCTTAGGACCTAAATGTGGGGGGGTTGGTGAGTTTGCTCTCATCTTCTCTGAGCACAGGTTGCCTGGCTGCAGATAGATGGTGCAAAACACACCAGCGAGCCAGTGTGCTTGTCTAACGGTCTGCTCGTGTAACTTTTGCACCACAAAACAAGAGGTCAAGTATGAAAGGGTGGTTAACAAATTGAGCAGCCCTTTTTTTTTTCTGTTAAAGGGGCCGTGTCAGAAAAAACAAACAAAAAACAAAAACAAAACAAAAAACAAAAATAAAACAAAAAACAAACAAAAAAACCCTTCCTGAGTGAACTTGCATGAAAAATCATTTGGCAAAACCCAAAGTTCATAGCCATGTGCTGAAAAGCCATCATGCTAGAAACGGTCATCGTGATTTGACCTCAGAACCGTCTCCTATTTTAAGATTTCAAAATGCTTAAGTAGATGGGGCGCAGCGGCTCAGGCCTGTAATCCAGCACTTTGGGAGGCGGAGGCGGGCAAATCACTTGAGGTCAGGAGTTCGAGATCAGCCTGGCCAACATGGCAAAACCTTGTCTCTAATAAAAATACAAAAATTAGCTTAGTGTGGTGGCACACGCCTGTAATTCCAGCCACTTCGGAGGCTGAGGCAGGAGAATCACTTCGAACCGGGAGGCGGAGGTTGCAGTGAGCCGAGATCGTGCCACTGTGCTCCAGGCTGGTGGACAGAGCGAGACTCCATCTCAAAAAAAAAAAGAAAAGAAAAGAAAAGAAACAAAAATTGCTTAACTAGACATGTCATGCAATTTTGGAGAAGAGATGAGTGGTAAATGTGACTCCAGCTTTACTAAACAGTGAAATAAATTAAGGCACCAAAGCATGCTGAGCCTTGTCTAAAATCCTATAGCAGAAGAGGCCAGAAAAAAATTCACTGGTTCCCTTCTTTCTCCATCCATTCAGCCAATCAGTACCAGATTATTCTCCAGCTATCTTCCCCCCTTCTCATCTAGGACATCTAAGGTAGAACCGTGCATCTTAAAAAAGCTTTTCAGGAAATTCTGATGGGCAGACAGAACCAACGTGAGTCTATGTCATTTTGACTCTCATGTTCTATATGGGCTGCTAAATAAAAACTTTGAAAGTCTTTCATGTGACAAATAGTTTTGGAGTGCATACTCTGCCAGGCATTGTGCTAAGTCCTTGGGGACACAGGTGAACAAAACAGAGGAAGACCCTGCCTCCATTGAGTGTAGTCCAATGGGAGAGCGACACAAATCACACTTTTGCATAGGTGAATATCTAATTATACATGTGGTAGGTATTATGAAGAAAAACTAGAGTGCTCTGAGAAAGACGTTAAGGCCGGATAGATACAAGCCTGGGATTGGAGAAGTCAAGGAAAGCCCCACTTTTTTACATGACATTTACACAAAAATGATTAAGATGAGAGGAATATGCTTCGTTGCTTCCAACACATAACCAAAGCAAGTTATGATTCTAAAAAACCAACTAGTTACCAAAAAAGAAAGAAAAAAGTAAATGATCTCTTGGGCTTGACATGCCCTTGTTTTGCCCAGAGAAGCACACTTCCTTTTACAATTGTTTGGGAGGTTTGTGGCAGAGAAAGAGAGGAAAAATCAGATCTAGAGAAGTAGAGTCCTTCAGCGACTTGCAATAGTGGCTCTTACTAAAGCATCTCATTGCTTCTCAAATGTGTCCAAGGGATGCTCAAAGCTGCTTTCTCAAAACAGGATTCTGTGTTCAACTGAGTGTGGGAAATTCAAAGGAACTTAAACAAGTCTCTTTGCATCAGGACTTATCAGAGCCTTGAATATACTAATGGAGATCCTGAAGCTCCAAGGGAAAGGGCCGCACAATGCAGTCTGCAGCGTTTTCCAATCAAATTTGATTGCAAGAGGTTTTTTTTTTTCACTGAGTACCTAACTCAGTGGCTCTGAAACTTACATCTGCACAAAATTCCCTTGGGGAGTGTAAAGAATGCTGATTCCTCGGCTCCAGCTCCAGAGATTCTAATTCACTGGATCTGGAATGGTCCCGGGAATCTTCATTTTTAACAACACTTCAAGTGATTTTGAGGCAGCAAGTCCAGGATCCACACTAGGAGAAAAACTAGTAGGATTAGTGTCCTGCTGGTGTCCCGGAAGCATCTCAGTAGCTCTACACACTCCGCCATTCAAGCTTTCTCAGCTTCCCCTCACTCTTTAGAACCTGGCTGATGCTGAGTGAACACGGTCAAGTTAGTGGGCCAGAGTAGATAAAAATAATGGAAACATGCAAAGTGAGTCACAGACAGCAAATCCAACCATTGCCTAGAATTTGTTGGGTGTCACAGGTCAAGCTACAAAGATCACATTCGCCATTTGGACTCAGTTGGCAGGAATGTTATGCATGTGTGATATAAGATGCTGTGCGCTGAAAGTCCCTGAAGCTGTGCAAATACTGGATCCAGCAGAAGTTTTCTCTGTTGTGCCCATCTGCCTTTGTCTAATTAGCCAAGGGTCACTTTGGCTGCCTCCCTTCCTTTCACATGGAGCAAAGGTACCCAGAGAGGCACATGTTGATGCATTCATATGCAAAGAAGTTCTTGTCTTTCTCTCTCTCAAGTCATTGTTCAGTGAGGAGTCAGCTCCCACATGCTCCTCCTATCTGGGCTGCAATCAGCACAGTGAGGAGAGGAGCGACAGAGCACATGATTATGACCGGGGCTTGCTGCTGAGCTGCAGGGGTTCAGAGTACTGCTACCTGTGCAATGGCAGCTTCCCCAGAGCGCCCAGGGGCTCCGAGGCCACAGACAGAAAATATCTTTGCTACCACGTGCTGAAAAATATCCCCAAAACCATTTGCCAAAGATTTGACTTGGTTAAAAGCGAGGTGGAGAGGGGTGGTTAAACAGGGGAAGCTATAGAAAGGAAAATGCGAGAAAAAGATGTTTTGCATATTAAACAGCCCTGCTTTGTCCTCCAATTCAGCCAAAACGTTTGGAGGAGGCTGCGCTGTCCACGTCCACAGTGCTCTGAACGTGCCTCATCTGATCTTGGAAGCTAAGCAGGATCGAGCTGAGTACTCAGATGGAAGAAGGCTATTCTCGTGCGTGTGCAGAGACCAAGATCATAGGGAAAAGCATGTCTAAGGTTGGGTTTTGTGTACAAATATTGTATAGGAACATAATTCAACCTGTTTAAAACAGGAGGATGATTGTGGCTGAAACCACGGTGGGAGGAAGGAACATGTTACATTTCTTCAAAGATAACTGCAGATCGAATGCCTTCATCCTTGTGACCCGCGCTGCCTGCACTGTGGTGTGTTTTGCTTGGTTTGCACCAATGCCCTGGCTGGCGGTCACTTGCTCTTGGTGGCCAGTTTCATTTCCTGGTTTTGAGAAAATGTCAGGGAGGCCTGTTGCTTGGGCATACTGTCACTGAGGGAAGTGTGCAGTTTTAAAATGTCAAAGCCAGCAGGCTCATGTCCAGTGCATGCCATCAATCAGCAAATGTCCCTGGACCCCTAATGAGCCCACTGAAAGTTCAAACGGTAAATAACGAACAGATAAAGATCTTGCCCTAAAATCGCCTACCATCTAACCAAAGGGGCAAGATCAAAAGGGAAAGAAAAATAGTATCAATATGGAAAAATAAATGTACTAATTGCTGTAGTGTTTGTGGGCAAAGAATGCAGCTGAGAAAGTGCAGCCTCGTGGAAAGGGCCCCACGGAAGGGAGTCCAGAGGGTTGGCCTCACACTCTTCCCCTTCCCGCTTTATGACCACGAACGTAGTCCTTCAGAACCTTTGTTTCTTCATCAGCAAAGTGGGGGAGGGGAATAATCCTGCCTTCTTCTCCAGTTTATTAGAGTAATTAAATAAGATTATAGATGTGGGAAGGCTCCTATTAAGATCAATGTCTTAAACTATAAAATAATCTACAATTTTCCTTGTCATTATTATTACTGATAACAACAAAATGAGGGGAAATAAGTCTAGAAAATGCATCATCTGCCTGTTCCATTAAAAAGAGACAGAGGCAGAGATGGAGCTGGACACAAGAATTCAACCAGCCTAGGACTTTGTTCTGGCACCTCAGTGTATATTTAAAGTCCTGTATAATAACATAGAAGTAATCATGGTTATCGCTTATTTGTATTGATGGATTTAAGGTGGGCTTTTTATTTCTAAGGTTTGGATACATCTAAGAAAATAGCATACTTCCTAAGATACCATTTGATTTTAATTTTCAGAGAGCTGATCACCAATTTGGGAGAACTTTGTGACTGTATGTTTGGTATAATTCCTTTAGAGATCAATTTGATGATGGAGAAATAATCCTCACATTATCCACATTATCAGATGTCTAGATAAGATAGGAAAGGTAACTTTATCACAGCTGTGTGACCCATGATGGCCTAGGTAGCTGAGTGAACCAGAAGTCTGAACTTGGAAACTAAGTTGTAAAGTTCTTATGAACTTCCTAGGGCTTCCTGAGCCTCCCCCCACCTTTAGATGCCAAGTCTCTTTGCAAATTCATATCATTCCTGCAAACAGAAAATAGTATTTAGAATAATAAGATGTTTTTCAAATTTTCCTTCAAGGGTCCTATGAGCTGGCCTGATAAATTGTTTAACTTTGAAGGGAATTTTGAACAAATAGGACAAGACAATCGAAACACGTATCTAGAATTAGGACATGGTTGATCCCGAAGTTCTTAAATACTGAAACCTCCTTGTGGTATGCAGAGGCCAAATTGATCATCTTTAGGCAGAGATTCCTTAGACATGATCGATGAGGCTATCCATCTAGCGTAACACTGAGACTTTCTTGTGTAAACCCCTCACACCCACTAAACAGGAAATGCAAGCTACTAGAGCTGAACATTCAACCACCCCCTAAGTCCCCACCCTCCACCCCCGCCCAGCATAAGAACATTATTCTTTGCTTTCCTTTCCGAAGAGCTGTAGGCATTCATTCATATATGCAGAGCAATCAGACATCATTAGACAAAGAACACCTGATAATAATTCTCACATTTTGGAATCTTAAGAAACTTCCAATGAAAGGGGTGATACGAGTTGGTAAGCCACAGCTTTTGGCGGTAGCATGAGCCCTCTGGCTTCTGAAACCCTAGAGGCCACAGATAAGATACACTCTTGTAGCAGGCTTGTCATACTTGAAATTCTAACTGGTAGCTTGATATCCTGAGTTGCTTTCTCACTTGAGCAACTTTGGTTGAGAATGTAGGAACCTGGAAAGATTTCTTGAGACATGCTCATTTTAGACACACCCAGAAACATGCCAGGTACAGATGACAATTTCCACTATAGGTAAAACATCTCAAAACAGAAGCCTAAGCTGACAGTGGACCAATAACTGCATTGTTTATTGGTTTCCCAAGGCAAATGTTCAGCAAATTCTGTATATATAATCAACAGAAAATTTTGTTCAGATTCTAGAAAAGATAGCTGCTGTTTTGTATATGTGTGTACTTTCTGCTATAGTAGTATTTGCATAAGTTAAATATTTTCAGTGCAATTTTTATTAGTTTTCAAAATGCACTTTTGTGGGTATCTGTGTGTATGCAGGTGTGTGGGGAGAACCATGAACAAGACAAAGACCCCTTGTCACTGAGGGCAGAGCCTGACTCAGCATCCCAATACAGCCCCTGGTTTGCATTCTTCCCAAAGGAGGCACATTCTAACAAACAAACAACCATGCCAAGCCTCCGACCACAAACCCAACCAAACATTTTCAAAAAGATGTATATATTTCTGTGAAAGAATATGGATATCTTTCAGTGCTCAAGAGGCAGTATTCTGCAGTAGATCTAACTCAAGTGGATAGGGACTTCGGAAAGCCCTTTTTCAAACTGAGTTTGTTGAATCCAGCTAGCTACATGGAAGGGATGGCAGGGCTCAGTGGGAGCAGGACACAGTAGGGGAGGCCAGGGTGCAAGCTCATCCACTCCCTCATCTGTAAAATGGGTTAGTTCCCTGACCACCTCACCACACTATTGTCAGGCCTCCTTCACTGGGAGCTGAAAAAGACAAACGCTGAAGCAGAAAGGAGGGTTTTTACAAACAAGGCTTGAATGATAGACACATATGGGGCATGCGTCTCCCATCACAGCCCCCACCACACCGGAACACGAGCTCTGTTCAACATGGTCCTCCTCTCTAATGTCTATGAGTTCTAGAACTTGAACAAATCTTTGTCAAGAATGTAGTCCAGCTCTGTCTCCAAACCATGAACTCATCTGTGAACAAGACATTTCTATTTTCCTTTATCTTTAAAAATTTATTTTAAATGAAATAAATGATGCATGAATGTATTCTGTAGAAAATTTAAATAGAGATCGAGGAAAAGCCCTCTTGCCTCAGGGTACCCCATAATCTCACTTCCCATCCTAGAAATGGCCATCCAGGGCTTATTGAGGTACCTAAGATAGCTTATGTGAATGATGTCACTTTTAGCCTTAGGAAATGTTCTTTTGGGCTCAGTTCCAGTTACTTTTGTTGTGAGGTTCTTGTGGAAGGTTCACTTTCTATCTACCTGCAGACAAATGCTCGGAGCTTATGATATATAACATCAAGGGCTTGCTTGGCTGTCAGAAGTAGGATTGCTTAATCAAAACCTGTGTGGAAATAGCCTGTTATCTCTATGGACTTAAATGGTCATCAGCAGTTCCCCAAATTCAAGACTCCCATGACAATACCATTGAGTTCTGAAGCTGGAAGGGATCAACAAGACGAGGTTCTACCATTGTTTGAGCCTTAACAAGTCATGGCAAGGTTTTACCTTAATATTGTCATTATTACAGTATAATTTTAGAAGAATGAGTTTATAGGGGAGCAAACATTCTCCATGCTCCCCTTAACGTCACCCTGCTCTCCTGACTTAAGTGCCATCCGCCTTATTTTATAGAAGAAAATACTGAAACTCAAGACCCGCTACCTGGGCAGGGGAGGAGCAGAGACCAGAACCCTGGACCTCTGGCTCCATGCTGTTTCTACTCTACACTCCATCTTCCACATCTGCTTTTTGCTAATATCCCATAGCTAAGAAATAAGATATAAACAATGCCTTGAAATACAAGACAACCAAGGCCTCACCTTTCTCTCATTACTCAAATGATGCAAAGCCCGAAGCCCTCTCCACCTGACTTCATCCACTACCGCCTGAGCTCTCCAAATGCTTCCAGGTGGGACACCCAAGTTCAAGGCCCCTTTGATTCCTGGTTATCTTCTAGCTGCTGAGCCTCTGCATTGTATAGCGTGAACAGAGCCCAGCTTTGCAGCCAGAAAGATCTGGCTTTTACTCCTGGCACCCCACTTCAAGCTGTGTGACATTGGACAAATCACATATCCTAGCTCAGGCGCAGTTTCTTTACCTGTGAACCGTCTGTCCCACCTACCTTAAAGAGTTGCCATGAGGGCCAGACAATGCAATGACTAAGAGCGCTTTGGAAAGGAGAATGCTGGATGCAGGTGTCGTCGTTATTAGTGTCCAGCCCATCCTTTTTATGTGCAGCTCTGTGAAGACATCTTCCCTTGATGTCAGAACCAAAAAACCCAAGCAAAGCAAAGACCCAGGGCTACATTTCTGCTCTGGAGTCTCTTGTATGACAGTATCTATGTTGGGCTTTTCAGTGTGTAAACCGAAACAAAACAAAACAAAAAAGAAGAAAAATCAGCAGCAAATACTGCTTGGTTTTGCATTTTCCCTTCTGTTTTCTGATTAGAGTCTCTATGGCTTATGAGTGCAGAGAGAACCTCAAAAGATCATGTTTGCTGCGGATAAGCACCAAACTCGATGTTTATCAGCACTTATCTCCTGCAAACTCACTCTCTGGAGGCTTCAAAGGCTGAGGGAGATCTCTTAGCCTTGCTCTGAGGAGACAGGCAGGCACTCCTCCCCGGGGCTTCAGCTGCAGGTGTGGCCCAATAGCACTTGCTCCATTCTTAGGAACGTGGTTCTCTTGCTCTTCCCCATGCAAAAAAAGGAAGCAGCAGGTTTACTGAAGGTATGGGGATGAGCTGTGGGGTAGAGGGAGCAGGAGAAGAAAACAAGTATTTTAAAACAAGCCCGGAAAGGCTGAGAAAGTAGGTAGAGAGGGAAAGGGAAAGGCACACTCCTTACGCTCCTGCTGCCCCCACCCCTCAACCCCCCTGCCCCACCCATCTCAGTCTTTAATCTGCCAAACAAGCCCGTGAGCCTTCAAAAGGCATTTTAATTCACTTCATCTGCTCCCAGCTCACCTTCCCTACCTCCTTTGGGTCTGCCCACTACTCTCCATTCCCAAGGATTGTTGGCTGAGAGTGGGACAGTGGGAGGGAGGGAGGCAGTGGTGTGGGCAGGGGGAGCCAGCATTTTATTAGGCTGTTGAATTTGATTTATTAGGGGGGAAAAATCCTTCGCTTGCTTGCCACACAGGTTATTCTCAAAGTGAAAACTCTATTTTACTTCGAAAAAAAAATGGTGAAAGTGCCTACAGTTATGAATGGAGCTCTTTGTTACCTTCCAGATCGACAAGACAGACTGTTTGGTTCATGTCTGTGCACCAGCAAAGGAGTGTGGGGGCCTGGGAGACAGATGTGGCCTTAATTGCATGGAAATATTAGAAGATCGTTAAGGCATTTTGACAGGATTTTCCTCTAGCTGTGGGAGCAAAGGGCCACGTCTGAGCCGCATCAGGCCTGGCCAGAGCCACTGGCAAGGTCTCTCATCCCCACGTGTGAGGGACACATGGGCCTTGGTTCACGTGCCCTAATATTGGTAGGGAATAGATGTCTCCTTGTCACCAACTTCCACCCCACATCTCTGCCCCATAAGCGCAGAAAGCAATCTCCCAAGAAACCCTAAGGCCTGTAGCGGGAGTTGGAAGAGAAGCTACCTAGTGAAATAAATATTTGGGAATGTATACGCACAAGTACATGGACAGAGAGAGATCAGACCATCTCCAACCTGAAAGGTGCACTCCATAAGGCTCTCCAGGGACCCACACGGGCCTGAAAGAGGAAATGTTGTCACGACAAATTATGGTGTCTAAAGACAAAACCTTTTCTATCTATTCACTTCTTCCCTTTCAAAGTAACATTTGGTTACAGAAGTCATGACCCATGAGAGTCCTGTAATTAAGTCAGAGAAATCCTTAAACACTGTTGGCTCGCCAAAGAACGAGACCCCATAAATATGGTCAACCTTGTTTCTCCTAGGCTGGCCTAATCATGGTTCCAACATACTTTTAGCTCCCCACTTTTTCCCCCACTTGCCCTGGTTCATTTTCTGCATGCTCAGAGAATGCAAATATTTTCACATTAGCTTAAATTAAAAATAAGTAGGAGGGTTAGTCTGCTGGGAGGGAGGGAGAAGCCCCGCCCAAACTACAGTTCAGTAATCCCTTTGGGTTATGACAGCAATGTTTTAGATCAGCTCTTCCTCACTTAGATCAGACAATGTTGGCAGTCAGACCAGGAGTAGATTAGTATTATAGGGTCCTCCCTTCAGAGGGGTACACCCCTACAGCTCAGAGGCCACTTCTTAGAGTTGGGGTGGTAGGTGGTTGCTTAGATGATGTTTGGGCCTCAGCCTGGTGCTAATGGGGATGGGGACTAGGTGAACAGAAAGGAAGGCTGGTGGAGAGATGAGGAAGGAGAGAAGGTGCAGCCACAGAGATCCCGTTCTCATGCCAACGTTGTTGTTAACCCAGAGGGAAAAAGGGAAGAGCTCCCAGGCACGTTGGCACGCCAGCATCCCCAGGCTGGGTTTGACATTTAAGGAGCACCAGCAATGAGTTAAGGGGCTAAAGGCCCACAGTCTGCAAGCTCTGGTTTAAAATACAGTCACTCAGCCAGGCATGGTGGCTCATGCTTATAATCCCAGCACTTTGGGAGGCTGAGGCGGGCGGATCACTTGAGGTCAGGAGTTGGAGACCAGGCTGGCAAACATAACGAAACCCTGTCTCTACTAAAATACAAAAATTAGCCAGGTGTGGTCATGGGCGCCTGTAATCCCATCTACTCGGGAGGCTGAGGCAGGAGAATCGCTTGAACCCGGGAGGCAGAGGTTCCATTGAGCTGAGATCGTGCCAGTGCACTCCAGCCTGGGCAGCAGAGTGAGACTCCGTCTCAAAAGTAATAAATAAATAAATAAAATAAGACACAGTCATTCTGCCTACGGTGACTCTTCAGGCCAGAGCCCCCAGCCAGTCCGGATGCAGGGGCAACTTACTGTGGACTCTCTCTCCCGCCTTTCCAGAGGACTCCAGATCTAATGGGTGTTTCAGGACCCTGCAGTGAGAGCCACAACAATGGAGAAAGTGCCACAGTCAAGCCTTTGTGTCCCCTTCTCCTTCTTGCTGTGTGATCTGCAGAGGAGGGGATAAAAGGCTCATCTGAGGTCCTGGCTGGCTCTCTGTGACCAGAAAGTCCCTGAGCCAATGAAGTGTTAATGCCTTTGCCCCTCCCCCCGATTCCTGCTCAGTTCACGGCTTTCCTGTCCTCTGAAATCCCTTCCTTGGTAGCCAGTTGCACCACCTCTTTACTTCAAGTTCTGCCACCTTCTCCTGAGGCAATGGCTCCCTTGCTTGGTTGGTTTCTGGGATGCTGAGTGGGGGAGGCTGGGGAAGCTTGTGCCTGGACTGTCTCGGGAGCTCCCAGTGACGGTGACAATGCACTGCTTCCATTTGTAAATGCCATGTGCTTTCCAGAATGCTTTTGAGGACCTTATTGTTATTTCATCTAAGCTTCAAACATAGCATCGTTCCTACCATATTTAATTCAGACTCTTTTCTCCTTTCCTGTCGTCACTTCCCCATCTGTGTGCACAGCCTGTGTTTACACAGCAGGTTTGCCGCAGCTACTCACTTGTCCAGGGTTACCATGCATATTCCCATAATAATCTGCGTTTCACCCATTTAGCTCACTGTAGAAACTTAGCCAGTTCCATGGAGGAAAAGTCCCACAATTCTCCTAATCTCATAGTCATCAACAACGCCATTAAAATGATGGCATCATTTTTCCATAGACATATTCCTGGCTTTTATCAACAGTGCCCAGCACATAGAAGATATCCAATAAATATTTGCTAAATTAATGAATGCATCAGTGAATGAGTGTTCTTTTGTGTGACAAATCTGTTTTATGGCCCCATTGTGAGACAAGACATGTTAAAGAAATATCCAGAGTGACCTTTGCATGTTTCGAGGAGCACATAGTCTGGTCACCAAACACAAGTGTCCACAGCCTGTGCTCTCCAAGATGGTAACCACTCATAACATGTGGCTTTTTAAATTCAAATGAACTAAAGTTGACTAAAATTAAAAATTCAGTTCCTCAGTCACACCAGACACATTTCAAGTCCTCAATAGCCTCACAAGGCGAGTTGCTTCTGCATTGCATGGTGCAGATTTTAGAACAGTGCCAGCGTCACAGTCATCTCCCCTGGACCAAATCAGAGAATTCAACTTCTTTCTATGGAAATGAATAAGAAGTTTAGGTAAAGGTTTTTGTTTCTTGATCCTGATTTTATTTTAAGATTGATGCTGACGAGTATGCATTTGTTGGTTTTACGTGGAATCGTCAGCACATTTTACAGGCCATTCAGGCTGATGTTATACCTGAGAGCATTTCTGGTTCATGATTAAAAGAAGCAAGAGGACCACAAGGTTCCCCATGGACATTTTGCTCTCACAGTTTCCCAAGAGAGAAAGGTTTGAGAAGGTTGGCTTCACTGGCTTCATTGACTTTGGGTTTCTCATGAACATCACCAACCTATAATGAACATGGGAGATCTCAATCACACAGAAAACCAGGTGGAAGTAGCAGTGCGAGAACTGGGAGCCATCTGGACATGGTGGCTCATGCCCGTAATCCTATCACTTTGGGAGGCCAAGGCAAGAGGACCACCTGAAGCAAGGAGTTCAAGACCAGCCTAGGCAACATAGTAAGACCCTGTCTCTACAAAAAATAAAGAATAAAAAAATAAATTAGCTGGCATGGTGGTGTGTGCCTGTAGTCTCAGCTACTTGGTACTTAGGAGGCTGAGGTAGGAGGATTCCTTGGGCCCAAAAGTTTGAGGCTGCAGTGAGCCGTGATCATGCCACTGCACTTCAGCCTGGGCAACATGGCAAGACCATGTCTCTAAAAAAAAAAAAAAAAAAAAAGAACTTGACCACTTGGCAGGCTTTGACAATGGATCCTGAGGAAAATGGAACTGAACGGGACAAAGGAGCTCAGAAATTTTTGAGGCGGTTTGGGACATCTCAGGGCATGTCCACCTGGTAGGTTAATTATCCATTTCCCACAAGTTTTTATAATGTGGAGATTGAGCCTCCCTGCCCTGAAGACACATGTCCTTGAGACAGACAGACAGGCATGGCTCTGTTGGGCAAGGTTGGCACCTCCAGAAGCTTCCAAGAATAGAACACTAACTGTCCCTTATGGAGTAACTAAACCAGTCCCAAGCCCCCAGGAACTGTCCGTGGGTTTTAGCTGGGTTTTCTGCTCAGCTAGCTTTACTGAGCTTGACAAAGAAAACATCTCCAGGTAAACCCAATGAAATGTTTTCTTTGGAGGACCACAGCAGGACTTGTTCACAAAATATCTACTTTTCCTGTAGATGGATGCCGGGAGACAGGAGACCCCTGTGCTGGACTGTCCAGGCTTAGCACTCCAGTCAAGCAGGATGTAGGCCAGCCCTGTCAGTGACTGTCTCCAGGGTAGCTGCCAATGGAGGGACCAGCTGTGCACCAGAGAGGGAGTCTGAGCTCTGTGATGAGAGGATGCTTGGCTCCTCGTGTAGAGACCAGGCTGTCCTCAGTTCCCCTGATTCCCTTTAGAAGGGAGAGCAAAGATGACAATCAATGGGGCCATGAAGCTCATGAACACTGAGTTATCTGAGCTTACTCGTAGACAGAGTGGCCATATAATGCATCAACAAAAGTGGGATAATTTTGAGCGGGATAAGCATTTCCTGGAACAACAGCATAAAGCGGAACTGTTCCAGGTAAAGGGGCTGTAGAATCACTCCACTAATAGATTTTAGGGTTGAAGACCTGGAAGGGATCTTACGGATCATGTAGCTCAGTCCTTTTATGTAGTAGGTAAAGAAATAAGCCCAGAGAGATAAAGTGCCTTTTCTGTACTATAATTTGTGAATTATAATAAGATGATTACATTTAGGGAGGGCTTACTATGTGATAGGCATGAGTTAGAACACTATTATTATCGCTAGTTTTCCAAAAAGGAAACTGAGGCATGGAGAGATTAAAGAACTTGTCCAAGGTCACAAGACTGGCAAGTGGTAGATGTAGAATTCAGATCCTGACAGTCTGGCTCTGCGGGTAACATGTCAAAGATGACAGACTGTACCTCTCACAAACCAGCAGAATGGAGAGCCCCCTCAACCCTCACATCAAAACCCTGTGGGTGCTGTCATTGTGCCCATTTTATGGATAAGGGGAGAACCAATTCACTCAGCTAGTAAGTGGCAATCATGTCTACAGAAAAGCACAAAGAAAATTATCGTGGGGAATTCTCAATCTAGTAGGAGAGATAGAACATAAACTATGAAAAACAACAATGGAAGGCAATGGTTAAATAAATATAAAAGCAACATGACAAGGCAGTCTAAGATAAAGTGCCAAATTGGTGCCAACAGACTTCAGCAGAATGGAGGTTCTTATGCTGGGCTGGAGTGAGCAGGGAGACTTCCTGGAGGAGGCAGAATGTGAGGTGTTCAACAGTTTGGTGAATGAATGAGATATGATTAGGCAGAGAAGACAGGGAGGCAATTCTATGCAGGTGAAGCTGCATATGTATATTAAATGTACATTAAATATGCCTCCAAAGGTTAAGAGTGCAGGCGAGAAAGAGGTGGGGGAGTCTTACATAACAAGAAGAAAAACTATTTGAAATAGGACCTTAAAATGCAGGAGGTTGAGCAAGAAAGAGAAGGCATGGGAGCACAGGGCAGAACAATTGAAGGTGACAGAGGGAAAATGAACAGAGAACACAAAAGGAAAGGAGGAGCAGAATGAAATAGAGCACAGGAACTGCGCAGAGACGGCCCTGGCTGCCGAGCTCTCCCAGAAAATGGACCTCCCCAGGCCCCACCTCCCTCCATCACTCCCATCCACAAGGTTTCTGCCACATGTCACAGCAACAATATGGTAACCATATGCCCCGAGCCACAAAAGAACTAAACACCTTGGACAGAGCAGTTCACCCAGATGTGCTAGTTGGAAATACTGCACCCTCAGGACCTGCTTCCTGACTTGATGGGCCTGAGGTCACCAAGCATGGCTCAGCCGTGAATCACGGAAAAGAAGCGGCCATTAAGAGCTGGAAAACGGATTCAGGGTCTCCCCTGTCCCCATGCCCTGAGAGGAAACGAAATAAAATGGATGCACGCCTCATCTGTGCGTCGAGTTGAAGCGGCATTCTTTTCTGGCTGCTGCCAGTCACACAAAGCGTCCCGGCTTGTGTGCGTGAGGCAGGACGTCCTTGCTTCGCAAGGCTGATTTTGCCTTCGTCCCCCTGCCAGGCTGCTCTCTGGGTGTTGCTGGAAGGGAGTGAAGCCCCCCCATATGCATGTTTCCTCGTGGGCTCCCTGTGATTGTAAGGGCCCCGGTTACCATGGCAACTGCCACGTGAGGAAATTGTCGGATAAGATCATAGCTTCTAGGAATAGGACCTCAAGTGGTTGTTTGGGGAAAGTGGTCAGTGGCTTCATGTTTAAATTTGAACAAGAAACAGTCACTGGGTGTGGCTGCTTTAAAAGAAAATTAGGCAAGCCTTGGGGGAAGGCTTCATCAAAATTACTCAAAGCGCAAAGATAGAAGGGGTAGTCTGGCTGGTGTGGAGGTGTGGGCAGGCAGGGAGGGTTTGCATTTCCCATCGGGCGCTGAGGTTTTTATTTAACTTAATTCATTGCACACTTCTTAGGTGCCAGGAAGTGTGCCAACAACTGGGGATGAAAACCAGGAATCAGACTGATGAGGTTCTTCTCTTCAGGGTGCCTAACTAGAATTTGTCCTCGAGAAAAAGAATAGGAAAGTTCCCATGACCCCAGGAATCGAAGAGACAACCAAGGGCACATGCCATCCACACTCTTTCCTCTCCTCAAGGCTTAGAAAAACTGCAGAACCTGCCGCCTCCACCCCTGGTGGACAAGCCTCTGCTTCCCCTGTGGGAGCCCATCCTTTAGGATCTGAATGTTCTGACTCCCACCTTCCCTTTGTCACGCAGAGTCCTCTCTTGTCCCTGCAGACCCAGATTGAGATCCTCTTGGTCTAGCTGCCAGGTCAGACCCATAAAGACCAGGCCTCAAGGGACATTCTTAGAAGCCTCTTTCTCAAGCAATAGGAAAGCTCCGGAACTCCATCCTGGCTCCCAGGCTACTATTTCAACCCTGCAGTGGGTGAAATTCACTCCACGAGGAAGCACTGCAGTCACTCCCCACGGAAGCTTTTCTTCCAAACTTTCAGCTCTTGGTGGTCAGGGAAGTCTGACCATTTATCATCATCGGAAAGCATGAAACTTTCAGTAAAGGATGGTTAAAAATGTCCAGGAGCTGGGAGATTAAGTAACTTGCCCAAAGTTGCACAGCCAATAAAGCTCCACATTGACCCAGCTGGTGGCCAGTGCCTTTTGTTAGAACAGATTTAAAGCAGCTGTCCATGAAGGGAAGCAAGCAGTGTGGTGATTGGCTGCCTTTTGACCCCATCTGCAGCCAGGATGGCCAGGGCTCCTCTGCAGGAAGAGGCTGCTCCCAGTGTGGTCCAGATCTTCACCCATCCTCAGGCGGCACCATCACTGGGATCAGGAAACCATTCCCCAGGTCAGGGACAACATTCACATCATGACAATCTGTAAGGCGCGGGCTGCAAGACAGCAGCCCATTGTCTTGAAGCAGGGTTCTGGAGGAGACACGGTGCCCATCACCTGCCCTTTCTTTGTCCCAGAGCAGAGGAGGGAAATGACGAATCTCAGCGCAGCAGCACTTTATCCACCTGTGTGGCTGTGCTGCAGTATTTTTCATGACGGGTACAGCCACTCCAGTGACATCTGGCGGAATAGAGTCCCAGGGAAAAGTATGTGGGACAGCACTTGTGCTGGTGCATCCAGGTGGCCTTCCCAGAAGCAGCCCTCCCTGCAGGTTCTCCCATGCCATGTGGGTTTTGTCGTGGTGGTTGCTGCTTCCATTTTTATCATCCCACCTTTGCTCCAGTGAGGCCTGTATTTAATACTTCCTACCCATCCGGCTAGGTGGGAGAATACTGGCTCCGTCTTACAGAAGAGAACATCTAAGCTGCTTAATGGTAGTAAGTCTCAACATCTCAGTCTGGCTTTGCTTTGCGCTGTCCCTTTGATACTGTGGGACCTACTTTAATGGTCAGGCCACCCCCTACTTTATTCTCTGAGAGGAGCTTCGTCCCGGACGGTCAAGTGTGAAGAATTACACCCAGTAGAGCATTGCCGACCCTTTTGTGGTTCCCACTGCCATCTAGAAAAAGCCACTGGACAGTGGACAGACCCAGTGTAAAGAAACAGAAAGTAAAACACACTGTAAAATGTTCTCTTCGTGGGGTTCAGATGAATGTTCTATCTCCCATCCTGTGAGTTTCCATATTCAGCACTTTTTGCTTTTCAGCAGTAAAAGCATTCTCTGTGGGAGGAGAATTTAACTTTGATCTTTAGAGATGCCCTTTAAATGTGGTTATGGTCAAAAAAGTGACTGTGAACACTCAAAGTCAACAGGCAAAGGTAAATACCACGGGAGACCTGGAGCAGCACTGAACGGGAGGCCCGTGAGGCACAGAAGGCCATGGCTCTGGATTCTGTTACAGGGTACAGTCCTGGGAGGATGCAGAGATCCTCTTCTCTGTGCTCACTTAGGCTATACCCTTCATTTGTAAAACACCATTAAATAAAGTACTTTCGTCTGCAAATAATTGCAATTGCATCTTCTAGGAATTCTTTCTCTGGGTCATCCACTGCTGAGCCCCCTCCCCAGGAAGTGGAATTGTAAGTGAAAGGGGAAAGGCACTTGGGAGGGGGAATGATGTTCAACAAGACTCCTTGAAAAGTCAGCCGGGGTCCAGGCACGGTGGCTCACACCTGTAATCC
Organism: Homo sapiens; assembly: GCF_000001405.40. NCBI lineage: Eukaryota > Metazoa > Chordata > Mammalia > Primates > Hominidae > Homo > Homo sapiens. The sequence continues at coordinate 128,748,393 of NC_000011.10, forward strand.
CAGCACTTTGGGAGGCCGAGGCAGGTGGGTCACCTGAGGTCAGGAGTTTGAGACCAGCCTGACCAACATGGTGAAACCCTGTCTCTACTAATTAGATGGGCGTGGTGGTGGGCGCCTGTAATCCCAGCTACTCAGGAGGCTGAGGCAGGAGAATTACTTGACCCTGGGAGGCAGAGGTTGCGGTAAGCTGAGATCGCGCCTCTGCACTCCAGCCTGGGCGACAAGAGTGAAACTCTGTCTCAAAAAAAAAAAGAAAGAAAGAAAAGAAAAGTCAGCCGGACACTCTGAAGCTCTGTGGCAGATTTGGCTGTGTGCTACGGCCTAAAATTGGAGACGGCAAAGTGGAAACGGTTTAGGGGAGGAGTAGAAGCTTTGCAGTCAGGCCAGCAGCATGGAGACTCATGAGGTGAGGGGCCAGAGGCAAGTAGCAAACCTCTTTAAGCCTCAATTTTCTTTTCAATAATATGAGGATCCTAACTCATATTTTAAAAGGTTAAATGAGGTGATGATAGTAAAAGTTCCTTGGAAACTTCAAGTCATCAAATAATACATGTTCTATTTGATCGTTCTCATTTAAAAATGTGGTCCTTGTTTGGTTTTTGTCTGTTGTTTATTTTGTTTTTGTCGTTTGGAGATAATTCCACTATGTGTCTATCAGAGGACTTAGACTTTAATTCTGAGATCGATTCCCCCCTCACTGTGTGAACCTAGAAGGGTTATGCTTTGTGCCTCAGTTTCCCCACCTGGACAGTCATGGTGCTGATTCCTGCCAGCCAGTGTCAATAACCACAGTGAAAGGATACTCAGACAGTCACCTCTACAGCCTTTGAATATGGGTTTTCGGTTGCTGAGTAAAATGCTCGGAGACGTTCCGGTTACTATGGCTACATAAGAAATTACCCCGAAACCTAGTGGCATAAACCAATTATTAGGCTCATGAGTTTTGTTATCCTTCACTGAAGGCTCGTTCACTCTCAAGTCTGGAGGTTGACGCTGTGGTTGGCTGTGGCCTCGGTTCCTCTCCTGCGGGCCTCTCCATACGGTTGCTCAGCTTGGGCTAATCTGAGCTTCCTCACAGCATGGTGGCGATTTCCACGGACTAGAGGCCCAAGAGAGAACAAGAAGCAGGTGGAAGTCATAATACCTTTATCACCTTGTCCCGGAAGTCACGCAAGGCCATTTCTTGAGGCAATCATAAAGTTCCATCTGAGTTCAAGGGGGAAGAAAATAAGCTCTGCCTTTTGATGGGAAGAGAGAGGCAAAGATAAGAAATATTCTGATGGTCATTTTGAGAAAATGCGACTGTGCCTCATGCAAAGGAGTTTTCAGTTAATGCTTGATGACTGACTAATGTTTCCCACCTTCTTCCTTATCCAACTTTCCATAAAATTTACCTCCTCTTCCCTTTTCCCTCCCTGCCCTTTACGCAGTGGAAATGAGGAGCAAGAAATGCGCACATGTAGAGAGGAGAGAGAAGCAAAAGGCTTGGCCTTGCTAACAGCGGCCACCTGCTCTTGGCACTTCAGATGAGACTTGGAGTGACCCCAACCCAGGCTGATCACCCCCACTGCTGCAGAGCCTGCTGGTTTCCCAAAGCAGAGAACACAGAGGGCTTTGCACCTAAGTATCTTGTTCGCATTTCATATTCTCTCCGACTGGCAAGAGAAGGGACTTCGTGTCATTATGCAAATAATGTAATAAAAAGCCAAAACTAGCGTGCTCCCTGTGGTGACCCTGGGTAATGGATATGCCAGAGATTAGCCTTCCAGAGCCCTGCACTGGGAGCGGCGGAGTGGGCCCACTGAGCAGGGCAGCCACAGGGAACTTGGTCTGGTTGCTTTTGACATTCCTTTCACCAGACACCTCCAGCCAAGCTGGTCAGCCCCAGACAACTGTCCTTAGGAGATTCAGGGCAGAACAGAGGGAAAGGAATGGGAAGGACACAATGGGACATTGGTGCTTCTCAGGCCCCATGTCTTGGGTCATTCTGTGTTAGAAATAAAGCTCAGCCTACGTATAAGGAAGAACAGAGGGAAAGGGTCTCCCACTCATGTCCACTTCTGGCATTTTTCCTCCTCTAACTCCACTGGACTCATAACTGTGAAATATTTGTTCCTTCCCACACACAGGATAATGGCAGAAATTTCTGTTATGTCTTCCCGAGTGAAATGGGGAGATACTCAAACCACCCTCTTCTTCTTTCCTTGCCCCTCTGGAGGCTTTTCCATCTCGGCCTTAGCTAGACTGTTTGAAGATGCAATGGTTTGCTCATCGTTCATATCGGCCAGGCCACTGTGCGGCCATGCTCTGATCACATCCCATCACTCAACTCATGTGCACATGAAAAGTAACATTTGACTTAATCTAAGGAAAACAAATGTTGGAAGACACATTTGTAAGTATAACAAGAAAAGATGCATATAGGCACACATATGTGACAAATTCCAAAATAAGTGAAATTTTTAAATTCGTGAATGCACAGATGTACCCACGCCATTCTTCTGATATTCACTGAGTATGTGGTGTACGAACAACAGTATAAATAGGTGCTAGCCACCTACCATTTTCATTATCTCACAACAGATGCCTCCTCTCCTCATTCACAGGGCTATTCAGGCTATGTAACAGAGCCTTATCTATGGCACCTAGAGGCCTGGACTCAGAAACCAGAGACAGGCAGAGGACTGAGCCTGCAATGGAATGACACCCATGGTTTTAAAGGAAGAGTGGACACGCAGATTAGTGAAATCGGCTCTGTACTCTAGGAGCCCATGGGATTTGCATTTCAGGCTCTATCATCACCAAATCTACTTATTAGTAGTTTAGGCAACTAATCTTTTAAACAATCAACATTCGGAGAAGTAGGTATCGCTCTGGCTTTATCTGAACTCCCTCTTGACCCATCTCCAACCCAATGGTTCTCACGCCATTTCTCAGCATTGGCCTTCATTAAAATTTTTTTTAACTTTTTTTTTTTTTTTGAGACACTGTCTTACTCTGTTGCCCAGGATGGATGGTATGATCATGGCTCACTGCAGCCTCCACCTCCTGGGCTCAGGTGATCCTCTCACCTCAGTTTTCCAAGTAGCTAGGACCACAGACACACCACCACACCTTTTTTTTATTTTTTATTTTTATTTATTTATTTTTTTGAGACGGAGTCTCGCTCTGTCGCCCAGGCTGAAGTGCAGTGGTGTGATCTCGGCTCACTGCAAGCTCTGCCTCCCGGGTTCACGCCATTCTCCCACCTCAGCCTCCCAAGTAGCTGGGACTACAGGCACCCGCCACCACGCCTGGTTAATTTTTTGTATTTTTTTAGTAGAGACAGGGTTTCACCATGTTAGCCAGGATGGTCTTGATCTCTTGACCTCGTGATCCACCCACCTCAGCCTCCCAAAGTGCTGGGATTACAGGCGTGGGTTTTTTTTTTTGGGTTTGTTTTTTTTTTTTTGTAGAGAAAGAGTTATGCCACGTTACCTAGGCTGGTCTTGAATGCCTGGGCTCAAGCATTCCACCCGGTTCAGCCTCCAAAAGTGCTGGGATTATGGGCATGAGCCATTGTGCCCAGCTTTTTAAACAATTTTTTTCTTTTTTTTCTTTGGAGACAGAGGCTCACTCTATTGCCCAAGCCAGAGTGCTGTGCCGCTACATCGGCTCACAGCAAGCTCCGCCTCCTGGGTTCAATCGATTCTCCTGCCTCAGCCTCCTGAGTAGCTGGGATTATAGGCACCCACCACCACACCTGGCTGAGTTTTGTATTTTTAGTAGAAACAGGGTTTCATTATGTTGGCCAGGCTGTTCTCAACCTCCTGGCCTCAGATGATCTTCCCGCCTCAGCCTTCCAAAATGCTGGGATTACAGGCATGAGCCACCATGCCTGGCCACATTTTTAAGTATTTACTTTGTCCCAAGAACTTCAGGTGCTTGATTTAGGTACTTTACTCATATTATCTCATTTTATCTTTATCCAGAATTACCAGATCAGGTACTGATATTATCCCCAACCTACAGATGAGGAAATGAAGTTCTTGGAAATTGTACTAGATGCGTAATGAGCAGCAGATGAAGCTTGGATAGAAACTCAAATCTCTCTGACTCAAGATTTATGCTCTAAGTTACAATAAACACCGGAGTTACACTTAAAGAGCTTATGGTCTAATTGAGAGGACAGAAAATTCACAAGAAAGAACCTGTGAAGAGTAGTGGTTATGTGCTTAGGCTGTAGACCTGAATTTGGATCCCACATCACACTAACTTTCTGTGTGCCTGAGCAAGTTATTTCACTTTTCTGAATTTCCATTTTCTCATCTGAAAAAATAGAATACATCCCTCATAGAATTGCCAGGAGGATTAAATTAGGTTACTCATGTAAACAGTGTTTTGTATTTAATAAGTGCTGTGATTATTACCACTTTTATCTGTTTTCTGTAACGACGACAGAGGGTGTATTATATCATGTACTAAAGGCACCTTGCCCAAACTGGAGGAGAAAAAGTATCCCACCGGTTCAAGTGCATTACTGGTAGCAGGCCCCAGCTGGATCCAGGACCAGGAGGGGGTCGTGGAAAGCAAGCATTTCTATCGGCAAATGTGAGTGATCTGCTGTAGCTCAGATGCCACCCCAAGCAGCTTGCCTTGCCAGAGGTCTCTGGTAAAGGGGCATCATTGGGTACAAATGTGCTGGGGCACTTCCCTGCCTGGAACAAGGGACCCTATGCCACCCTCTGGATCTAGGACTCAGTGGCTCTGGACCCACAGACCCAGCCTTTCCAGCATTCTGCAAAGGAAAGTGCTTCTCAGAAGCCAATGACTAAGCCAGCCCAGGGGTTCCTTTTACAGAGACAATTGTTGGGTCAAGAAGGAACCCCAGAGCTGAGCCCCACATAGGGCTAGGAGCCCACGCCTCCTGTCTTTCTCACTTGGAAGTCAATTTTACATAGCATGGTCTAAAGCCTCATGGACCCCACAAGTCTTTTAAATAATAACTAACTTCTCTTCCCTTGAATAAAATAATCAGCAACAATAGGAGAAGCAAAGTCATGAGAAACGGAAGGAATGTAGTCCCTCTGAGGATGGCTGGTGAATTTGCATGCTGGTGTTCTTCCTACACCCAGCCTATCACCTCAGTTAAGTACTTATTGATGATTTATCCGTGGAAAGTTCTTGAACGCTAGCAACATGCTCATTTCTGTAAAGAGCTTGAAGTACAAGGAAGAGTTTTAAGTTTAAACTTTAAAAAGTTTTAAGAGTTTAAGTAAAGAGCTTTATAAGACACACATGAAGTAGCAACAGCTCCTCATGTGTAACAAGCTGCAAATAAGTGAAATTTCTGCCAGCTCAGCAGCTCCTCGCCTGCAGACAGCAGCAGCCACATCAAGTTGCCCAGACTCATTCCTCTTGTTTGCCTCCTCCGTCCCTACTCTGGTCTTCCCAGAGCAATTTGGAGAGGGCTCCCTACTACCAGTGGCATCATAAAAATGACAGTGTACTTGCCAAGGGCATGGTCTTGGGGTGCTCCTAAAGCTGTTGAACTGCAAAAAGGGGTGCCGTTTATTTGCAGAAGCCACAAGAATGCTCTCCTCCCCAACTCTGCTCTTTCACTTGGGTCTCAAATCAGCTTGTCTGGGGCCTTATCTCCCCAAATCTTTTATTCCACTTAGGGGCCCTCACCTCCCTTCCCTTGCCCATATTGGCTTTTCAAATTCAGCCCAGTGAGCCAGACAGGGAACTCTTCTCCTTCATCTTCTCTCTCTTCACAGCCCCCATGATCTATCTCTTCTTTTCTCTACATTGTAATGGAAAAAAAGCTTTTTGTCTAGCCATGATTGCAAATAGAAGGGGGATGTGTGTGTGTGTGTGTGTGTGTGTGTGTGTGTGTGTGTGTGCACATATGCATACCCAAAGCAGTATTCTCACGAGCTGTTAACAGCTCAAAGGAGTCATAGGTCATCATCAGAAAGGTTTCATGGAAACAGGAAGCTCTCAGGAAGATCTCACTTACCTTACACAATGGCAAAGATAATTGTGCATCAGGGTGAAAGAGTAAAGAAAGGTTACTTGCAGCAAAAGGAACCACAAAATTAAGGCACAGAAGCATACCTGAGTAGGGCTTGTCTAGTGGAGCAGTGAGAATAGTTAGAATTGGACACAAGTTGCAGCAAGAGGAAGTTGTGCAATGTAAGTGTGGCAGGTGGGACAAAGATGACCTTTGGAAGACAAGTGGCTGAGAAGAGATTTGCTGTGGTCCATCTCTAGGGAGCTCTCTGAGGTTTTTGAGCAGATTGTGGCAGGATGACAGCAGTATTCACAACTTGCAAGGGAGCTGGATCCAGCCAGGGAGCGCACAAGGTGTACTGAATGAGGGAAGAGCATGTCAGTGGGTCGTCAGGGAGGGAAGAGTCTCAGAGAGAAATGCCCAGACTGGACAGAAGTGTGAGGCATTCCCGGTGAACCGGGACGCTCTCCTCCTACAATGTTGCCACTTGATTGGAGTTTCCTTGATTGTGAACTACATTCTTAAGGAAACTTCTATTCCAAAATGAGTTCAAACTGGTTTTGTGCCCTTTCTACACCTACACTCTATCTCATCACTTGTTTTTTTCTAGCTGTGTACCACTCACTTCCTTAAGAAGTCTCTCCTGGGTCTGCCTCCAGAACCGCTGGCTTTGTGTTCTCTGTGTATTCTCTTTGCTGTGAGTCTTGATTTTGCCGTCTGCATGTCCCCTTGGCCAGGACAATCCTGTGTTCCCTGTTGCCTGGTCCACCCTCCTTAGGATAATGATGGGAGGAACTTTTTGCCCATCTATGGAGCATCACTGTGCCCAGCCCTGCCTCCCGGGCTTCTTTGCCTCTGATATTCTGTCATCTTCTCCCCCAACCTAGAAGAGGGAAGGGAAAGAAATTATTTTACTGGAAACTCCAAGGTTCATGAATGATAAACTAAGAACGTAAGCCATTCTCTACAGCAGAAGATGCTACCTGATTCCTGAAATGTCATCTGTTTTTGTAGCAGGACTGTGGTACATGTTCTTCACTCTTATCACCAAAAGACACTTAGGGGTCATAGGTGGTAATGTGTCCTCTGCTTCCAGTGCGGAGCTCAAGGAATTTCATGGAGTCAGGGACAGCTGTCTGAAAGGTTGCAATGTCACCCTTTTCAGCTCAGAACCATAATTCCTTGAGCCCAGATAACAGTTCAAAATTTAGGATATGAAGCCAAAGCTGAACTCTAGCTGAAATCAAGAGTGGATATAATAACCAAGAAACAAATGGTTCTGACAAGCACAGCTTTACTCTGAGCATGACTCAAGGGCATCTGGTAGAAAATGAAGAAGGATCCCAGCAGATGTTAGGGCTAGGGAGATCCCCTCGGTTGGGGGATGTAAGTGTTTTAATATTGTGTGGGCAACTCTGCTTTGAATGTATGTCTGGAGGCACCTACACCATCCAAAGCCTTCTGGTGCAAAAGCAGGACTCCTAGAGTATATTCCAGTATTTTTTCCCTGATCCCAGCTGAAAACAGCCATAGAAGAGCCTCCCTTTTTGAATTATGGCTGTCTGTCCGCTGGGGTGGAGAATGGCCCTGGGAGACAAGAGACAGCCCATGGAGCAGGTTGTAATTCTACAGGCATATGAAGAGCATTCATTCTGAAGAAGACATTCAATTCAGGAATGTGAATTACACAAGGAAGGTAGACAAATCCCAGCTTTAACAAGTGCTGTTCACCTATCACTACATTTTCAAGTAAAGGTGGTGTATCCATTTGCTAGGGTTTCCATAACAACATACCAGGGCTGAGTGGCTTAAGCAAAAGAAATTTATTTGCTCAGAGTTCTGGAGACTGGAAGTCCAAGATCAGGGTGCCAGCAGGGTTGGTTTTCCTCAGAGGCCTCTCTCCTTGGCTTGCCAATGACTGCTGTGTCCTCACATGGCAGCCCCTCTGTGCACACACTCCCCTGGGGGCTCTCTGTGTGTCCAAATTCCCTCTTCTTATAAGAACACCAGTCATATTGGATTAGAACCCACCCTATCAGCCTCATTTCACCTTACCTCCTTAAAGGTCCTATCTCCAAATACAATCACATTCTGAGTACTGCGGGTAAGGGCTTCAGCATATGAATTTTGTGAGGACACAAGGCAGCCCCTAACAGGTGGCCTAAGAGAATCTTTGTTTGAATGCTAATAATCATGATACCTAACATGTTCTGAGTGTGACTCACTATGTGCCAGAGACTTCTAAGTACTTTGCATGTATTATCACAACTATTATCACAATTATAGATTATATAATTATTGATTATATAGATTATAGATCAATTATAGATGACTACCATCTTCTCTGAAGACTTACTTTGGTGTAATTATGTGACTGTAGTGAACACTATGCCCTGGTCCCTGACCTTGGATGCCTGTGATTCGATGAGACATGGAATAATGGGAGACTCTTACCCTCATGTTTTGATTGGTAGCAGATCTCCGGAATGTGCAAAGTTTTTTAGTTGTCGTTGTTGTTGTTGTTTCGAGACTGTCGCCCAGGCTGAATGCAATGGCACGATCACGGCTCACTGCAGCCTCTACTTCCGGGGCTCAAGTGATCCTCCCACCTCAGCCTCCCAAGTAGCTGGGCACATGCCACCATATCTAGCTAATTTTTTCTTTCTTTCTTTCTTTCTTTCTTTCTTTCTTTCTTTCTTTCTTTCTTTCTTTCTTTCTTTCTTTCTCTCTTTCTGTTTTTGTAGAAACACAGTTTTGCCACATTGCCCAGGCTAGTTTAGAACTCCTGGACTCAATAGATTCTCCCACCTCAGGCTCCCAAAATGCTGGGATTACAGGCATGAGCCACCATGCCTGGCCAAGGCTTCTTTTCTTAATCCATGATCTCCCAAAGTCACACCCAAGTCAGTGATGGGATAATATGAGTGGGAGGACCCAACAACCTCTTTTGGAGGGTCTTGCCCTGACTGGCACTTCACGTGTCTGAGGTTCCTCTTTCGTCCTTTGGCTGGCTGAGTCATCAACATTGAGATCTACAGGATGCACCAGCACCTCCTAGAGGGCCCTCAGCAAACCACTGAGCATTTCTTACAAGCTACACCCCCACACCAGATCTTCTCATTTAATCCACCTATCGACTCTGTGCTAAAACTATTTTTATCCCTGTTACAAATAAGGAAACTGAAATTGGCCTGGCCACAGCCATGGGCACCACCCTTCCCTTGTGTGACCTTGAGCAGCACACCTAGCCTCTCTGGGTGGATCTCACTGGCCTTGCCTGGAAAATAAATGCTGGATCTCATCTCCCCTTCATTGCTGATGACTCCACTCAGCTCGTAAGAGGCATTTCTGCTTATGCCTGGAAAAATCTAGCATTCACACACCACCACAATACTATATTCCATGCCAAGTCACCACTATTCTTGGCCTCCCTATCCCCACCCTCCTTTTTGGGGGTCCCAGACTACAGAACCAATAAACAAACCCACTTTCATGATTCCTCCATCCCCACTCCACTGCCCAAAGTCCCTCCTCACCCAGGTAACCTGCAAACACCCATCTGGTTTGCATAAGGGCAAACCTGCCCCCTGGAGTGTGAGTCAAACAGGAACTTCCAGACAAGCTGTCCTGGGGCAGCCCTGGGCCACCTTGCCAGCTCAAAGCAAGAGTGTCACTTGCTTGGGTGAAGAGTGACACTGGGCTTTCTGTCTCTTCTCTGGCCCTGCAGGAGGCTCTGTCGGTGGTGAGCGACGACCAGTCCCTCTTTGACTCAGCGTACGGAGCGGCAGCCCATCTCCCCAAGGCCGACATGACTGCCTCGGGGAGTCCTGACTACGGGCAGCCCCACAAGATCAACCCCCTCCCACCACAGCAGGAGTGGATCAATCAGCCAGTGAGGGTCAACGTCAAGCGGGAGTATGACCACATGAATGGATCCAGGTAAGCTCACCAGGCCTGTGCAGGATTGGGGGAAGGCACAAAGTCGCCAGATCTGCAGCAAGTGGCTTCTGGCACTTAAGGTTTTTGCAGCAGATGGGGCTCTAGAGCTGGGCCAGGAAGCCTGTGTCAGTCCCTAGAGAGCTAAGGCAGAGAGGGCCACAGACTGATGATGGGGTGGAGTAGGGCTAGGAAGCCCCCCTGCCTCTCTGGGGCCCACGAAGCCCTCAGAGGCCAGGTAGGAGTCAGGCCCCAAGCGCCTATGCAGACACTCGTGGAACACTTATTTCTTGTTAATCCCAGGCCCAGGTCCAGTCCTGTTGGGGACAGCTTAGCAATAAGCTACTCTTCCCTGTCCTGTTGAAGATACTTAACCCCTCTGGGCAGGTCTCAGCAGAGCAAAGGTGACCAAACCATTCTTTAGTAAGAGTGGAGAAGGGATGAGGAAGGTGTCTACCTTCCTGTGGGGGCTCACTGTGTCTGGGAGGGGGCAGGCACCTGGAAGGCGTGCATGAAGTGGGTACAATACTGGGTCAGTTCGGGCTTTGCTTGTAGAAATGGAGACAGGAGGGTCCAGGGAGAGAAAATCACAGGGTCATGGAAGAGGACAGTGGACAGGCGGCCTCAGTTTTGCGTCCTGCCTCTGCCCCTTGGGCAAGTCATCGAAACCCCTCAGAGCACCAGCTTTCTCCCTTCTCAAACAGGACTGGGATATTCACTTCCTTATGGTCCTTACTCTAGCGTTACTCTGATGCCTCAGGGAAAGGACCTGGGATGGTGCCTGAGACGCGTTAGGAAAGTGCTCTATAGTGACAGTGATTGTTATGAGCAAAGACTTGAAAGACAGAGAACATCAGTCTTATTCACAAAATATCAGATAATCTACTGGGCCAAAGGCACAAAGAGATGAAAATAAAAAGCAACAGAGGGCCCTGAATGGCAGGCTGAAAACATGTGCCATTTATTCCACAGCCAGAGGCTGACTTTGAGCACCGATGTGACATTTAACCCAGAGGCTGACTTTGAGCACAGACGTGACATTTAACCTCATCAGAGCAGTGACTTAAGACTAGCGAGCTGACAGTCCTTGCGCACAGACGGTAGGATGGGAGAGTCAGAAAGACAAGTGAAGAAGTTAGTAAAATATCCCAGATAGGAAATAATGAAGTTCGGAACTAAGTGATGATAGTGATTTTGGAAAGTGAAAAGGACAGATACATAAGGGCGATAGCAAAGAGATGATTAACAGGGCTTAGGTGAGTAAAGTGTGAATGAAGGGGGTGCATGACAGGAAAGAATCAAAGGCGACTAAAGCCTGCACATTTTAAAGGCTGGTGCTGTGAGCAGCCGCAGAAAGGTGGCACAGGAAATGCTTTAGGATGGGATGTCAGTGTTCTCTTTGAGATTCCTTGTGAGCAATGGGTAGAACATCCAGATAAAAACGTCTACTAGGCTTTGGGAACTGAAGCTCAGATAATCTTTCAGGCCTGGAATTTACGTTTGGGCATCATCTCTAAGGAGTCTGAACTGTGAAAGTGGATGAGGTCACCGAGGAAACTAGTCTAGATTGAAGAGAGAGAAGGGAATGAGCATGGTTGGGAGGGAGAACTCCTCCAGAGCAGCTCATGGCCTCAGACCTGCCTGTGGGAACTGCCAGGCCTACCACATTTCAACCCTACTAACCAAAACCAGTGACTGGGATCTCAGCCACCTTTCCAGATCCCAGGATTTCAGGAAGGCTCAGAGGTTCTGAGCCTGCAGCCCCTCAGATGAATCTCTCTCCAGATGTAATTCTGATGGTGCCGGAGCTCCTAACAGTCGAAGGACATGGTGTGTTGAACGTTTTCCCATATTATCTTACCACTTGTTCCTCACCACTATACTAAGAAGTAGTTACTGTAACTTCACTGTTACACAGGAAGGCAAGCAGGGCTTTCAGGGGACAGTGCTTTGTCTAAGGATTTAAAGGAGGCAAAGTTGGAGCCCGAACCCAGGCGTTTGGTTCCAGCCCCACGTGCCATCTGTTAGGCACCTTTCTGCTCCCTCTGCTTGTGTGTCATGCTTTTGCACCACCACCTCATTCCTGCCAACGCCCACCTGGTGAGGAGGCCTATTCTACGATGCCTCCTAAATGGGGCCCTTCTCCAAGGAGCTCCCAATGCTTGTTGAAGATCCAGATCCCACTGGTGGAGATTCCTTTTTTTTTTTTTTTTTTTTTTTTTGAGATGGAGTCTCACTCTGTTGCCCAGGCTGGAGTGCAGTGGTACAGTCTTGGCTCACTACAACCTCTGCCTCCCAGGTTCAAGCAATTCTCTTGCCTCAGCCTCCTGAGTATCTGGGATTACAAGCACATGGCACCACACCTGGCAAGTTTTTGTATTTTTAGTAGAGACGGGGTTTTACTATGTTGGCCCGGCTGGTCTTCAACTCCTGACCTCATGATCCGCCTGCCTCGGCCTCCCAAAGTGCTGGGATTACAGGCGTGAGCCACCGCACCCAGCTTTGTTGGAGATTCTCTGGCCTGTTGTAACCTGAATCTGCCTACTCCTTACCTCCACTGCCCCTGCCTGGTGCAAGCCAGCAGCACCTCTCCTAGGCTTCTGCGGGGGCATCCTGCTCTCCCCACTTCCTCCTGCCTTCCTGAAGTCTATTCTCCGGACAGCAAGCAGCCAGAGCCATGCTTTCCTCGTTTGTAATCCTCTTGCTCAAAACTCTTCAATGGCTTATGACAAAATGCAAAGCCCTTAGTGTGGCCCCACCATCCCTCTGACATCCTCTCTACTGCCCCCTCCCTCCCACTTCTTCCCTCCGCGCCAGCCTCATAAGACTCTAGCTGCTGCTCCTAGACCCCCAGGCACCCTCGTGCCTCAGAATCTCTTCCCCTGAGCTCCTTCATTCTGGAACATTCCTACTCCATCTAGTCATATGACTCTCTCCCTCACGAGTTTTGGGTTTCTCTACCTGAACCTCACCTTTTCAGAGGCCTCCCCTGGCCACCTGATCGAAACCAGCGCCTCCTCACTCTTTACCCTGCTTAGAGTGTCTGTCCTAGTTCTTATCACCTCCCTCACTGACACGTGGGCAGGGCCTGAAACGGTAGGTGCTCAATAAATTGTCGTCAAATAAATAACTGAGAACACATGGCTGAGCAGACTCAAAAGAGAAGGTGCTTGTTTAAAGTTAGGACGCAGATCCAGGTCTGCTGACTCAGCCCCTTCAATGCTGAGCCTGAGTTGATGCATGGGCTTCTGAGTTCCATCTTCATGCTCAATGGAGACCCATGGGTATTTGTGTCTCTGGTGGGAAGGAAGTATGCTGCTCACCACTCCCTCCCCTGCTCTCAGAGAATCCTCAAGCACTTCAGGATACTGATCCTGTGCAAAGAGGGTCCCCCAAGGAAATTGATTTTTCAGAACCCACTTGCCAGCTCATACCTGGCTCCAGTCACACCAAAAGCCAGCTGGAGAGGGCCTGTGTGAATATTCCAGTGAACAGACAGGATATTTACCTGGCTTTGGCTACACAGAGCAGCAACCTCTGCTTTTGAGTTGCTTGTCTTGACCCATACCATCAGCGGGTAACAAAGTAGGTTCAGAAAGACTGATATCTTCTCACCCACCCTGGGCAAGCAGAGACAATCCTGTGGACTCTCAGAGCCAAGCAGCTTAGGCACAGCTATCGCCAGCACCCCACAAATATTCCCTAAGGGCTCACATGTAAGCTGGACTAGTGGCTAGCAGGAAGCAAGGAGTTTTAGAAAAATGTCATTGCTTACAGTGGAACCATGTCAGACCCTATCATTTAATTATGCCAAAAGCAATGACAGAATGAAATAAATGCCAGGCTCTTTAAATCTCTCATCCTGAACACTGTGCTTCTCCTATCCTCTGAGTATTATTGATAATGACAGTTCGTTACTTGCACATGATTTGATTGTTTGCAGTGGTCTAATTCGCCATAACACAAAAAGATAGGAGAGGATGTTATAATGATTCTGAACTTCAGATGAGAAAACCAAGGCAGGGTATAAAATTTGAGATTGCTTGGCTCATGGGCTAGACCTGTGCTGTTCAATGCAGCAGCCACTAGCCACAGGTTGCTACTGAGCACTTGAAATACGGTTAGTTGAAAATTGAAATGTGCTCTAAATATAAACCACATACTGGATTTAGAAGACTTACTATGGAAAAAGTGTAAAATATCTCATTGATTATTTATTATGCTGAAATGATCTTCTTTTGGCTATATTGAGTTAACATATTAATATACTTTAATATATTATTAAAATTCATTTCATCGTTTTGTTTTCTTTTAAAAATCTGGCTACTAGTAAATTTAAAATTATGTAGCTCGGCCAGGTGTGGTGGCTCATGCCTGTAATCCCAGCACTTTGGGAGGCCAAGGCGGCGGATCACCTGAGGTCGGGAGTTCGAGACCAGCCTGGCCAACATGGTGAAACCCTGTCTCTGCTGAAAATACAAAATTAGCCTGGCATGGTGGCGCATGCCTGTAATCCCACCTACTCAGGAGGCTGAGGCAGGAGAATTGCTTGAATCTGGGAGACGGAGGTTGCTGTGAGCCGAGATCATGCCACTGGACTCCGGTCTGGGCAACAAAAGTGAAACACCATCTCAAAAAAAAAAAAAATTATGTAGTTCGCACATGTGGTTCCCATTCTACTTCTATTGGACAGTGCTGGGCCATGGTGGTCTGGACTGTTCTGTGATTCACAGTGCATTTTTTCTGCATTCCTTGACAGCATGGGCTTCTGAGTTATGTCTTCATGCTCACTGGAGACCCATTGGCATTTGTGTCTCTGGTGGGAAGGAGGTGTGCGGTGCACCTGAAGCTACCATGCCCACTTGCTTTTCACCCCAGTAGCAAACCCTCTGGCCCAGGAGCAAAGGGTCAAGTGCAGAGACTGAGGTCTGAGGATCTCAGAGACAGAGTGGCTTGCCCATGTTGAGGGAGTTTTGTGCTCTCTTTCTTCATATCTTCCTGTTGTGGTTGACTCTGTTAGGCTGGGTTGCCTTGAAACAGCATGGCCCATAGGTTCTGTGTCGCATGTAGACTTCAGCAACTTGATCCAAACTGTGGTCTGCAAATAACTCTCAGCTGCATCCTGTCTCAACCACAGGGATAGGGGAAAACATCCCATGAAGAAAAGAATATCAGGTTATAGAGGGAAATGCAAGACTTGCCTTGTGAGCCTGGTATTCAGGACCAGAGTTCAGAGCTAACCTTCCTTGAAATTCCCTGGCCTGGCCCCCAGGGTCTGGATGCCCTGGACACCTAGGGACTCACATTCCACACAGAGAAGGATCAGCTCCTGTTCCCTGGAACTTGTGCCTCTCTGGCTGCGAGGCCCCTTTCTAAACTCTTGTGTTCTCAACCTTGCAGTATGAGACATGTCACACATAACCTGGGTGGGGAGGATACACAGGATCCTGGAAAAGTTAGCAGCATCTACTGTGTATGGGGATGAAAACAGCTAGTGGATTAGGGCGGTGGCTTTATCATAAGTGATGCTTTTTCTTTTCTTGGAATTTGCTTTTAAGTTATTGCATCTCCTTTTCAAAAACAAAAAAGTCACATCTATGTCCTACAGACTTCCTAAAGGCAATACAGATTGTTTAATTTTTGCACAGGGTGCATACTACGCAGGAGTTACACGCCGCGGGTCCTAATGCAGCCATGTGACTTAGGCAGCCCGCGAGGCCTCACTTTGGCCACGTGAACATCAGGTATCCTTTGACAGTGAGCCTGGGCTCAGATGTGCGGGTCTGATGATATACCCAAGTTCAGTTGCTCTGAGTTGACTAGGAAGGTAGAGAAGATCTTTGTACAGCCTAAAGAGGTAATCTTCAGGAGAAGTCTTTGAAATCTCCCTTCATCCAAACACCCAAGATCTTACACCTTGTTTTAAATGGCCTAACACATTGCAAAGCTTTTTTTGGAAACCAGTAGCAATGTTCACAGAACACACACAAACAGAACTCGAGGAGTCAAGAGCTATGTCCAGTGGTGGAAATGAAGGACAAGGGCTACCCTACCCTCGGCAGCTCTGCTGTGGCCTCTGTCGCCCTGAGATGGAGATGTGCTGAGTTATTACACCCTTGGGGCCACCGCCACCTCCCTGCTCTATTGTGGCAGCCCCAGGCTCTCTTGTCACCTGTCCCAGTGCTATCAGCTGCCAGTGGGCCCCAGCCCCATGCTAGCTGTAAGTGCAGGTCTTAATACAAATTAGCAGCAGTGCAGGCAAGCTGAATGGCAAAACCTCGTCCCGCACTCCCCCTCCCTCTTGTTTTCATCAAGCCTTCTTCACAGGCGCCAGCTGCCTCATTAAAGAGCAGCCTTTTATGCTGGGCTTCACCTGTACCCACCCTGAGCGGCAGCCGTGGAGCCCCATGGCCGCACGCAGGGCTTGCGCTGGCTGGAGGAGGCACGGTGCTTGGGAGCTGCAAGAATGGAGGGAGGACTGGCAGGCGAGCGGGCGAGGTATGGCTTTCCTTCTTTCTCTCCCTGAGCAGTGGGAGGAGGGCCAGCTGGGCAAGTGTGGGGAACCAGGATGGTGCCAGCCCTTCTCCCTAAGGACACCCGCCTGCAGGTCCTAGTGCAGAAGCCTGGGACCGAGGACAGGGCCATTTTCCAGAGGAGAAACACCCTGGCGGGCGAGCGGCCAAACCGATCACCTGTCCAGCTGGAGAGCAGGTGTGTGCACAGGGCCGGGGGAGGGAGAGAGGAGGAGGGAAGCGGAACTGGGAGAACTTCTATGGGTCAGTGAATGAGGAGGTTCTGCTCAGGGAATGAGTGGCAGCGGCCACCCCAGCAAGAGAGCCCCCTCCTCCTCTGCGTCCACTTTCCCTTCGTCTAGGTGCCCATGGCTCCTCTCCTTACAAGGTCACGTGTTAGGCAGGTTTGGGGAAATGTTTCTTTCAGCTTTTCACATTTATTTTCCTCCAACCCTGGCACCTGGGACCAGCCCTGCCACCTGTGCCTACCGTACATGGCCATAACCATAAAGGCTCACTCCATTTCAGTGAGTCCTGAGGTGCTGACTTCTCTGCACAGCAAGAGGTCAGTTTTTAACTCAGAAATCCCCAGGGGCCCGGCTGATGTGGAAAAGAATTTTTCCAAATATCGTATCCCCACCGTCCACAAACGGGAGGAGCCCGGGGAGTGTGCCCTCCTGTCCCACCATCCTGCCCCCTGCTGTAGTTCTCCTTTCCGAGAGACCCCTGCCCATACCCTATGCCCTCTTGCTCTGGGGGTCCTCCAAGGGAAGAGCGTGCAGTGTGGAGCCCACCTCTCCCACAGAGGCCGCCTGCCAATGAAAACCTTGCTCACTTGGTTGCAGGCCAACTTAATCCTTCAAACTTCTGCAGCACTTGGACTGTTTCACAACTGACAAGGATGCAGGGAAAGGCTGCCAGACCATGTGCGTGAGTGTGTGTGTATGCACGCGTGTGTGTAATGTGTATGCGTGTGTGTGCACTGTGTTTGCATGTGTGTGCATGTGTTGAATGTGTGTGCAGATGAAGTGTACGTGCATGTGTGTGCATGTTCTCTGTGTTGAAATGTGTGCTTCCATGTGGGTGAAGTATGTGTGTTCCATGTTGGAATGTGTACAGTGCATGTCTGTGCATGTGTGTTGAAGTGTGTCCATGCATGGGAGTAAGCATATGTGTGCACGTGTTCTCTGTTGAAGTATGTGCATGCATGTGGGTAAAGTATTGTGCACATGTGTTCTGTGTTGGAGTGTGTGTGCACATGTGCATGCATGTGTGTGAGTGTGTGCCTGCAGTTAGCCCCAGGGCGGGTGAGGGGACCCAGTGCACTCGGGCCAGAGCTCAGCTCAGATGCAGGCACCAGGGTCTGACTGGGACTGCTTCATCTCAGGCCAGGTCCTTCCGCAGCAGAAGCCAAAGGGCCAAACGCTGGTGAAAAGTCCTGATGTGCTACTGCCTCCCCTCCCCTCCCCTGCCATGGGGACGTTAAACCTTCAGCAATCTGGGACTCTGACGGCTGGTTTTTGGTTCTCTGCCTGGAAAAACAGTAGGCGAATAGTAAAACCTTAAATTCTAACATGTGTGAGTTATACATCTTATTTTCATTTTCAGCCCATGTTTCCCTCTGTAAGACATCAGGAAAAAATTACCGTCTGACTTCTAATATCTCAGTGGAGCATTTATCTCCCAGCTATGATAAGTGATCTTCAATATTTTTTTCCTTTCAGATTAAGAAACAAATTCATTTAATTTTCTTTATTGAATGTGCTCAGGCCTCCCCGCCCTGCCTGGGTCTCAGGAAGCCCTGGGCTGATCTCCCTTCTCCTGGGTTAGTGACTGCCGTCCCTGCTTGTGGGATGGGTGGGTCCCTATCTGGTACGGCCCTGCTCCTCAAGGCCTCGCTGTGGTCCGTTCCTGCGCCTGGCAGGGGATGGAGGACAGTGGCCAGGCCTTTGGAACGTCCGGAGAGGTTATGCGGCCTAGAGTTGGAAGGCTGTAATCTGAACCTTATCTGAACTCCTTGGTCTGAAGGCCTGGTTTGGAGCTCTTGAGAGAACTGGCTGTCTCCCAGGCTGCCAGAACCGATGCTTCCTGCTCAGTATAATGGCGGCTACAGCTTCTCCTTGGCCTTCCCATCGTCTCCTTTGGTCCTGCTGCTGCTGGAGTGGCTGAGCAGCGGGCACTGGGTGTGACAGGGTGGCACCTCCCCCAAGTATGCTGGAGGTGCGTGATGCTGGGCTGGAGGGCATGCAGAGTGTGTTTGCCAGCCAGCTTCAGGGCGCCAGGTGGCCATGGGTGGGACTTCACCCCTCCAGACAGCTGCCCATCACCAGTGCTGCAAAATACCAGGTGCTGATCAAGTTCTGTAGTTCTAGGCTAAGTTGGATGATCTGCTTTCTCTCTTGTGAATGTCCATACTGCTTCCACAGTGAGCTTGGGGCCAGGGATGCAAAATGCCACAGGGCCACCACCTCTCCATCAGGTGGAAGTTCCTGGACTCCATTCCTTCTCCAAGTAGCAACCAGCTCTTTTGCATGTGTGCTTGATAGTGAAGCTTAACACAGAAGACCTGAGTCCTGTTTCCACCTTGACTAGCTGTGTGACTGAGCCAGGCAGCCCCTGTCTCGATTTCATTAACCATGAAAAGGAGATAGTAACCCTTGCTGTGCCTATCCTGGGGGCTTATTGGGAAATTCGAATACAACAGTGCATAAGAAATGCATTAAACTTATATATGTGCAATAGAAATAACTCACTGAGAAAGCATTTGCTGCTCACCTCCTGTAAGAATACTAGGGTTAAACAAAGAAAGTGATGACTATCCTCTCAAGAACTCAGCAGTCAGGGGGCGCAGGCCAAGCTGAGAATCAGACAGTGTGACAAGTCCTTATAACCAAGGCGGGCACCAAGTGCTGGGGGACTGTGGGGAAGGCGTGTCTGGGAGCATGGACTAGGTTGCCTGGCAGTGAGGCTAAAAATGTAAGCTGCAGTCAGACAGGGAGGGCTGCGATGCCACACAAAGAAGCTCAGACCTTGGTCTGAGGGCACTGAGGCGCTGCCAGCAGTTTTTACGTACTGTAATTATAGGATTGGGCTGGGATTTGAAGAAAACTCTGGTGGCAGCATGGAGGATAGAAAGAGGGCATCATCATCATCATGACACCAAGTGTGGCCGGGCAATGGCTCCATGCTCATCATCGGAGCCCTGGGCTCATGATTCAGAGGCTGAGGCAAGCTGCCCTGTCAGTGCTGACCGCCTCTGGGCTTTGTCTCTTCTCACTTTAGGGAGTCTCCGGTGGACTGCAGCGTTAGCAAATGCAGCAAGCTGGTGGGCGGAGGCGAGTCCAACCCCATGAACTACAACAGCTATATGGACGAGAAGAATGGCCCCCCTCCTCCCAACATGACCACCAACGAGAGGAGAGTCATCGTCCCCGCAGGTAATTCGAGAACCAGGCTGCCTGGGCGCCATTCACTTCCCCACTCTCTGGGGGGGCAGGGAGCATCTAAACCTTTATCTGATACTCTATTCCCTGTGGAATTGCAAAATGGAGAAAGCTGCACGCCAGCCGGGAGTGGTGGCTCGCGCCTGTAATCCCAGCACTTTGAGAGGCCAAGACGGGTGAATCACTTGTCAGGAGTTCAAGACCAGCCTAGCCAACGTGGTGAAACCTCATCTCTACTAAAAAAAAAAAAAAATACAAAAATTAGCCAGGTGTGGTAGTGGACGCTTATATTCCCAGCTACTCAGGGGGCTGAAGCAGGAGACTCGCTTTAACCGGGAAGGCGGAGGTTGCAGGGAGCCAAGATCACACCACTGCACTCCAGCCTGGGTGATGGAATGAGACTCTGTCTCAAAAAAAAAAAAAAAAAAAAAAAGCTGCACATTTTACCTGACTTCCTAGCTGCCCTTTAAGGCAGTATCCCAGATGTCACCTGATGTGTGGGTGCTAGAAGCCCCACCCTTAAACAGACCACATCACAGACTCTACATCAATGGCCTGGTCCTCAAGGACGGGCTGCTCAGAGAGCAGAGGCAAGGCCGCCTCCACCCAAAAGGAATCCCGTGAGCTCTGGATGTGGGCATCCCTGCCTGTGAGGAGGAGGTCAGCTGCAGAGGCCAGTCCTTCCCTCCAGGCTCGTACTTCCCGGCATCTACCAGGTTCCACCTTTCCAAAATTACAGCCAGCTCTTTCAGTTTTAAAATAGAAAGAACTATATTTAACTAATGGAGTGCCTTAACATGTGTGCCACAAGTTATGTCATTAGGTAAAAATAGCCTCTTTTTCCTAGGTGTTGGTGCTGTTGGTCCCAGAAAATAAAATCATCGTTCAGTCCTTCAGTCCATTGGCTGGACACTCCACCCCAGCTAGCACCAGCAAGCTCAGCTGCCTGCACAAGAAGGGTGTTTACAAACTGCCACGTGTAGAACTGGTGCCAGGTAGAAGGGGCAAGGATGTCCAAATCTTAAGCAAAGTGATTACAGGGCAGGGATTAAACCTGATCTTACCAAAATAACTTTACCAGAGAGGCAAAACTCCTTCCATTTGTAAAAGCATAAATGTAGTTGCCTCTGAAGTCAAAAGGTTAGACATCTCTTTGAGGTAGTCCGAAGGCATCTGCTTGTAGGTCTAAAGGCAGAAATGTTAAGGGCTGCCTCCTGCCTTGGCCCGTGGTGTTTGTTTTCCCTGGGAAGCTGCATCTCACCATATCCCTGGATTACAGCTGCCTCCCTGTGCTCTGGGCCAAATTCAAGAAGGTGTGAGCAAGAGTGAGGCAGCAGACGGGTGGGGCTTGTAGAAATTTCTCTGTACCCTTTAGGACTTAGAAATGACTCCTAAAGCAATTCTAAGTTTGCTCTTCCACAAGCATCTGACCTAACAAAGGAAGAGGAAGAATCACTTCCATTTATTGAGTGCTTTCTAGGTGCCAGGCACCACGTAAATTGCTTTATCTCCATGGCATTACTTAAAACACCTGTCACAGGAGACCAGCTAGTAATGTTTAGCCCAGGTGTATCGTCTCCCTCCTCACTGAAAGCAGACAATGAAACTGTATTAGAACTGACAGGTGGGAATCTCTTTGTACAGCCCAAAGCAAAGCTGAGCCTCACTGGGTCTTCACTCAAATGGTTTCAAACTCCCCTGCTTCAGTCAAACAGCTCCCAGCCTGGGAGGGAAAGCTTGCTGGACTGAAGGGTTTGGGGATCTGAGATTGTCTTTGAACCAACCTTTGGCACCATCTCATTTTGGTCGTCATTTTGGGGAAGGAATCTTGGAAATGGGCAGAAGTGGCCAGACTGCTATGTCGACCCTCCAAACTTTCTTTGATCAGTGTTGAAATGCTTTCAAAAGGAATAGCAAAACATCAGGCTTGGCTGAGCCAAGTTACCTATAGCGCTGGTGGTGAAAATAAAACAAATTCATGTCAAATGATTTTCAAAGCACTTTCAGGCTATGGATTTACTTCATTATTTTAGCTCCGGCTAGATCTTTTAGGTCCTCACACATTTTGGCTTCCTCCAGGCCAGGCTGTGGATATGAGGGGAAGTCTCATTTGGGCAAGTCCACAAATCAAGGCAATAAAATATTAGTGGAATAACCGATTGAATTTATGATGGGATTTAAAGACAAGTATAAATGTGGGCCCTAGTTAATCACTAGCTCCATGTTCAGATGGGAAGAAACTAGGACTAAATCATCCAGGAAATGCATTTGGAAGAGTTTAGCATGATCCAGAGTTGAAGATTTATAATTCATTGTGCTGTAGAGGGAGAGTAATAATATTGTTGCAGAGCCCAAAGCAAGGGAGGAAATAATAAAATAAATAAAATATATGGTGTAAAATTGAATTTGAGGCCTTGGATACTAAAAGTGAGGAACTGGGAGAAGTGAAGAATGAAATAATATGCTACATAATCCAACTCTCCCGAGGATATGTTTCTCTAGAATTCTGAAAAGGTGCAAAATTATTTCCATTTGCCAATGATCCATGCCTAATTGCTTCTGGAGAGTAAAAGAGCAAGAAATGTATCTGAGAGAGAGAGAGGAAGACATACTTGTACAATGACACTTTAGAGGAGCTCCGCTTTCTGGCTTCAGAGCAGTGTAACTCACAGGTGAGGTAAAGCAGGATGGTGAGAAGAGGAAAGGGGCTTTGGGGGAACCCACCTCTTCAGCTTAGTGAAGTCCTATAATGGTTTCTATTGGAACCCCAGCCCAGATACTTACCAGCGATGGGGCTTTGGGCAAAGGACTTAACCTTTTAAGACTCCATTTTGCATCTGTAAAATGGGGATATTAAAAGATTTCCTTGGTAAGTAAAAATAGGGCTCGCGGAGCAGGTGGCACATAGCACCCACCATCTGAGCCGTCACTGCTCACAGGGCATTAGGTTGTTGGAATGACATTCAGCAGCAGGCTGTGACCTGTGAACCCAAACTCTCCTAACTCCTCCCCTTTGCCAGCTCCTCCACCTTCAGCACAACACAGCAGCCACTCTCGTGCATGGGCAGGGCCTGGGCACTTTACAAAGCAGACTACTCGGGCCCTGCCACCCAGATTCTCACACATAAAAACCAAGGTGGAATGGAGAGTCCAAGGACAGTTGGTGGATGCTTGTGTAAAAGTGCTGGGAAACTTGCCTCTGGCTGCCCAGCTGTGAAGCGTGAGCCTTGCTTCTTGCCCCACATCCACTCCTAGTCATTCAATCCTGGTTCCCTGCTTTGCCAGGAGCCTTCACAGACGCTGTAGAATGAGAGGGTGAGTTGCTTGAGGGGTAGCACAGATATTCCTGCCTAATAAATATGTTAAATCAAACAGGCTCATTAGAAGCCGGAGGCTAATGGCCGACTTACAATAAAATGCCGAGTCTCTCCTCCCCCAGGAAGTCTTCCTTGACTCTCCAAATTTTCACTATTCCCTTCCACTTATGAGTCCTCGAACCACCGCCACACAGTCCATTGCTTAGTAGTGGTGTGCTTGCCTACCTGTTTCATGGGAATGAGTATTTCTTGAAGGCAAGCGTCATGTAATTTTCTTCTATGATAAGGATATTTAAGGTGTTTATTGGACCCACTAACCATTGGTTGCCAAGTGAAGAGATGGGCTTCAGACTGTGATGAGTGATAAAAGAGTTCTGCCTACTGTGGAACCTGCTGGAACTCATCACTTGTGCTGAAAGTGCAACATCCCCACCACACACACACACACACACACACACACACACACACACACACACACACACATACACACACTGAGAAGGAGGAGGAGGTATGAGTGTCCTACCATAGAGATGGCCTCAGTGGTTACCTTACCTGTGTTCACTCAAGAGCTAAAATGTTCTCCCCAACGTCATCTCTCATCTTTGGGTATTTAAATATCTAAAATATGTTTTGGGGATGCCCTGGTAGAAATTTCTACACAGCTGTGCTCAAAAGGAGAAAAATCTAGTTTGGGTTTCTGTTCAAGACTAACACCGCTGGGTTTTTCAACTGCACAGATGGAATTGCAGTAAAAGTCTCTCTGTTTCTTTTCTACAGCCATCTGAGGGATCCGTGTTCTTTCATGAAATCATTAATATTCTTAAAATACAGATGGTTCCCGTTTCCAGAGACATTGGTCCCGGGGTCTGTGAAATTGTGTTTATTTTCATTTTGATGCCACCATTTCTCAGGCAAAGGTTCCAACTGCTCTCCAAAACTTTAAAGAGTGCTCTGTCAGGATACGTAGTGAGGCAGCTAAGCACCTCCCTGGAGTGCTAAGTGGTTCAGGCAGCGCCAGATGCCATGGAGCCTGATGAGTGTTCTAGGGGAACCATGTGGAAGGGAGCTCTCCCAGAGAGAAAGAGAAGGGAAAGAAAGAGGGACAAGGGGTGAGGGAGGCTGCCTAGGCTCTCAGGGAGCCTCTACCTTCCTGCAGTCCTTGCTAACAACGTCTTCTCCTCTGCAGACCCCACACTGTGGACACAGGAGCATGTGAGGCAATGGCTGGAGTGGGCCATAAAGGAGTACAGCTTGATGGAGATCGACACATCCTTTTTCCAGAACATGGATGGCAAGGAACTGTGTAAAATGAACAAGGAGGACTTCCTCCGCGCCACCACCCTCTACAACACGGAAGTGCTGTTGTCACACCTCAGTTACCTCAGGGAAAGTAAGTGCCGCCCAAGTACCCAGGGCTGGGAGGAAGCTTGGCATGGAGCCAACCCAGGGAGAGGAAGTCAGTGCTGCCCGTTCGTGTTGGGCAGATGCCGCCGGAGCAGCATCGTGGGGCCTGTAGTGTTGCCAAGGTCACGTGGGCTCCTACAGACCCTGTGAGGGGCAGACC
Source organism: Homo sapiens (assembly GCF_000001405.40). NCBI lineage: Eukaryota > Metazoa > Chordata > Mammalia > Primates > Hominidae > Homo > Homo sapiens. The sequence continues at coordinate 128,773,160 of NC_000011.10, forward strand.
CAATCCTGAAGTGTCAAAGGAAGTAAGACGAGAAATGGAGAAAAGTAGAGAGCTGTGACCTGGAGGGGTCTGGCAGAGGCTGGTTACACTCTTCCCATGAGACCGCCTTTCCAGAAACTATTCCAATTTGAAAATAGATAGAGATGGGTGGTGCCCTGGCTGGTGTTTTCCTAAGTGATTATTTAAAATTCCTCCAGGAAACTCTAGATTCAAGGCTTTTGGATTTAAGGTGTTGAAAATAATTTACATATTAGCTTCCTCTTAATCTTGGGATACTCTGGCACACCCTAACCCCATTTGACAGGGCTGCTATCTGCACACTTCCTTGATAAGGAAGAGCAGCCAAAGGTGCAGGTGTGTTAGGATCCATTGGAGGCTTTCTTCTGGTACAGCCAAGAAAAGGAAAAGAGCTTTGGAAAGGGCGAGCTTAAGAAAGAAAGCAGGCAGTTGTCCAAGAGATTTATCTAGTATGAGGTACTCTAGCACCAAGCGCCCATCAGTCTGATATGAATTTCATTTGATATGAAATATACACAGAGCAGAAGAATGGAATTATTTTAGTCCTGCTGGTAACCTCAGCCTGAGTGCCCTGCTGGGAATCCAGGCCAGGTGGTATATCAATATCAGTGCTACCCCTAAGTATGGAAGGATTGTCCTGGGGCCTGAAAAGATGGTGCTAGGATCACAGGAACACAGGTTTGGGCTCACACTACGTAAGAGCATTCTAGCAGCCCTGTGCAAAGACAGGGCAGCCTTGAGATGCTATTTGTTGTGAATGGCCAAGGCAGCTGCGAGTCTTGCAGGAGTTTAGCTTTGGGCAGGGGCTTGATGATTTTAAGCCCCCTTCGCAAGTTCAGATCCTTAGACAGCAACTCTGGGACCTGCTTTTCCTGGACTGGCTGGCTCTGGGTTGGTGAGCTCTGTTTGCTCGCCATCGTTCTGTGGACCTTTAACTCCCCATCTTTGGAATCCACTGTCCCTTCAGCGACAGTGTTCCTCATGGGGCAGGGGCAACACGTGCTGGCTGGAGAAATGAAAAATCAAAAAACTGGCTTTGGCAGTTTCCACTGGTGCCTCTGTGCTCTCTGGTCACCTTTCCGAGGCGTCTGGTAACTAGTGCGAGAAAGTAGATGATGCAGTATTTGTTAGCTCCGGAGCAATTACCTCATGTCTGAGTCTTGCTGCAACATGAGGTCAGCCCAAGAAACAATTTCAAAAAAGGGGACAATTTTCCACCCAGTTTTTCAGAGCTTTGGATAATTAGCACTTTCTAATTCATATTTTCAGCTTTTAACTGTTTGTGGAATTTTAAAAAATAAGGATCTTTGAACAGAGTCCTGCAGTGATCTAGGCAGGCCAGGGTGGGTGTGTGGAGGTTAGCATGAGAAGGAGAGACCAGCAAAGCAACCTGATTCCAGCAGGAGTTTGCAGGAACCCTAAGCCCTTTCCTTCATTTGCCAGGAGTAGAGAGGACAACAGTAGCATAGACAGCATGCTCTGAACTGTTAGTTAAAGGGCCCAGTGCTTCGAGACTCTTCGGCGGATGCCCTTGTTGGGAGAATGTTCAAGGCATTCTCTCCATGTGGGGAAAGCCCATTCATGCCATATGACCCCGGGGCCCTAACCAGTCCATAAACAGCCCAAGGTCCCCTAGTACTTCCTGCCACCGAACAATGGGAACACAGATGCTGAAGTGAGACAAATGCCTGAGAAGGTGGTCACTGGTCGCCAGTAGAGAGACCTTCTATTGGAGAAGAGCAGATAACAAGGTTGAAGTGGAGGTGCAGAGGATGGCATTTTGGGGGGTATAGCATGGCAAGAAAAAGCAAATTGCTTCTTTCTTTTTAAGAATATTTATAGACAGAAAGTGCCCCCAAATCAATAAAAATATTAGGTTTCCCAAAAGGGACTTATTAGTGGAGCATATTTCCAGAGTGGAGAGGAGGTGGAATCCAGCTTGTATACTGAAGACATTTGAAAATGCAGGGCAGATATCCAGAGTGGAGGATGGTGGCGAACAGTAGTACATCCACAAGATGGGAAGTAGTTGTTCTGCCATTGAAATGATTATTGGGAAACACCATGAGAAGTGCTTAGGATACAATGTTGGGTGGAAAAGCTCATTATAAAGTGGTCTGTGCACTGATAGAAAAACCATGTCTGCCTGCGAAAGCAAAAAATTAAAATAATCGTGTTAAATTAAAAAAAAAAAAAACTTGCCCCAACATGGTATTGAAATATCCTTTTGAGGAACCTAGACTTAAAATGATCCACTGTCAGGCAAAAGGCTTTTAGATTCATGCTGCTTTTTAATTGGTGTCTACCTTGGGGTTCCAGCCTTGGGGACCCTCTAGTGTGAGGTGGTGGCTGGCTGCTAAGCGCCTGCAGGAGGCCATGGGCTGGCGATCGTGTCTGCTCTGTTTCTGCTCTGGATTGCTGGGAACTCCCCCGTGACAACCAGCACTTTAAACGCTTTTAAAGCCTTCAAACACTTTATTGTTTTTCCAGACTGACTTCCAGTGGATGTTCTGTGCTTAGGAGGAAGGCCAGTGCTTGTGGAGAGTTTGAGGCGATGAGTCAAGGCAAGGGGAGAGGGTGCTGATTCTTTGTGCTTTATCATCTTGTCCTTTCATTGGAGAGGAAGGTGGGGCTCAGATATTTCCACTTTAGCAAGAGATGGATGGAAAATAGCTGAGATCCTTCACTCCGGTGGAGGAAGTACTGCAGGGTGAAGGAAAGTTGATAGAGCAGAATCGGGGACCTGAGACTGTGGCTGGTTGGAAGTCAGTAGAGTCCAAGTTGGTGGCACTTCTCTGATCTAATCTTTCTGGGCTTTATAGAAAGTCTAGAAAAAGGAAAACTTCATAGGATAAGAAGCTTTGGCATCAAATTTACATTTCACAAAAGGTGCTTGACTATTTATTCTGGTGGTTTGGGAGGGGAGCTAGACTTTTACATTTTAAATGCAAATGTATTTTCCAGGGTAGAGAAGAAATAGCAGTTCCCTGTGCCCCTACAGACCCTGTCTGATGGCCAGGCATGCTAGGGAGGTGCTTGTTCTTCACACCTGGGCGTGTCAGCTGTGCCAGAGGAGCTGTGTCACACGCCACACAGGCGCCCACCCCTCCCCCCCACCACCACAGGAAATGCAAGGAGGACTGTGATGGCTGGGGTGGCCACGGTTCTTGGGGGTAATTCCCATGAGTCCTGGGAAACTCCAGGGTTTACACCTGTCAATCCCAGCACTTTGGGAGGCCAAGGCGGGTGGATCACCTGAGGCCAGAAGTTGGAGACCAGCCTGGCCAACGTGGTGAAACCCCGTCTCTACTAAACATACAAAAATGAGCCAGGTGTGGTGGTGGGCGCCTGTAATCCTAGCTACTTGGGAGGCTGAGGCAGGAGAGTCGCTTGAATGCGGGAGGGGGAGGCTGCAGTGAGCTGAGATCGCACCACCGCACTCTGGCCTGGGCGATAGACCGAGGCTCTGTCTTCAGAGGAAAAAAGGTTGCCCCCTTGTGGACAACTATCTACAGTACCCATTTTGAAGCTGAACCCACTGAGGCCCAGACAGCTTCAGAAATTGGTTCAAAGGCATCCAGCCGATTGAGAGCACCTGGCATCTCAGACTAGGGCCTCTGGAGTCCCAGTCCCTGGCCTCGCGTTGCCGACGTTCCCCCGGCCCTGGAGACAGCAAGCCAGCCTGCGCCACACAGGCAAGGCAGCCTCACTCCCGGCCTTCCACGTGGGCAGCCCGGCCACTTCCCCCACAGCATTTTCTGTTGTCATTTGTACCAAGAGATAAATGCTTTCCAAAAACTTTCCTGTGGCCTCCTGGAAGGAGGCCGATTAAGCCAAACCTATCACCACGCTAACTTTGTCCTTCTCTGGGCCTGACTGTCGGCCCCACCAGTATCTCTCCCGGACACACCCCGTGTGGCAGAGGAGCCTTCGCAGCAGCTGCTGCGGGAACGAGATTTGTCCCTTCTCAGGCCAAGGCGGGGAAGGACCTCGAAGAAACGGAGGGCGCCGGGCTGGCAGTTCAGGCTCAGGGCCGCTGGGGGGAGTTTGCGCAAGGCTGGGAGCCCCGAGGCCCCGGGGGAGGTGGGGAGGCAGAAAGAAAAAGAGCCTTTTTTAAGTTTTACAAACAAGTTCGTTTTGTATGTCAATCTGGGTCTGACCTGGAAAAAAAAACACTAAGAAACTGCGTCTTCAAACAGTGGCTGCTCAAAAGAATGAAACTGCGCGACCGGGAGACCACGGAAAGGGTGTCTATCTTCATTCCCATTTTTAATTTAAACTTTAATGGAAAACACATTTTGCATTTTCTGGTCTTTCCACCTGCAGCCTCAGATGGTCGGGCAGAGGTTTTGAGTCTGGGCAATTAAGCTGGTGCAATCTTATCACTTCCAGGCCTGGGTTTGACTGGTGAAGGAGAACAGAATGCCAGCTGAACAAAAGGCCAGGTTTCCCTGGACCCAGTAGTCAGCCAGGATTGTTGTTTAAAGATCCCAGAGCCTTGCACCCTCCCGCTCCTGCACACTCAGCCAGAGCTGTTGATATAGCAGTGCAGCCCAGAGAAAAGAGAGACCTGGATTCAATAGGCTGGCTGTGAGGGGGCACTGGTGAATTCTATGGTCACAGCGAGGCAGGAGACAAAGGCTTTGGCACTGGGACGCTTGCGCCCCCTGGCCCAGGTGTCCCCGATGAAAAGCAGGTTAGGTTGAGGGAATGTGAAGCAGCAGAAACCGTGATTGTTGGGGTTCTACCCCACACCTGCAAAGCCTCACACTGCTCACTCCCCTCTCCTTTCAGATCCAGGTACTGTCTCTAGCAGCACATGGATTCAAACATGGAATGGAAAATGATCTTTTCCCCATGCTTGCACTTTGGGAAGGCCATTCTATTCTCAGCAGGAGCTACTTTATGCTTTTTAGAGCAAAAATGCCCTCAATAAATAGATATATGTATATGCATACACACCCATATACAAATATATACATACAAACACATATACAGAAACTTACAAATAACCAAGTAGGCAAATCTTATACTTCAGTTTGAACTGAAGTACAACACAGAGAGAAGTGCAAAAATCATGAAGTGCGCTACGTGAGACATTATCGTGACGTGAATCCACCCACTCCCATAAGCACCTCCCGGGCCAAGGAGTAGAATTTCAGCCCCCTGTACCCTCTCTCCACCCCACAACCGCTTCCTCCACAAAACTAACCACCACCCTGCTTCCCAGCCCCATAGGTGAGTTTTGCCTATTTCTACGATTTAGCCTGGAGGCAGTGGGATCTGCCAGATTGAGGACAGGTTTTGTGAATAGACCACGATGGGGCTCCTGCCTTCTGCACTCTCTGGCTGTGTGATCCTGGGAAAATGATATGACTTCGCTGAGTGTTGCTCCTTTCATCTGTAAAAAGGAATAAGGGAATGCTGGCTCTGTATGGCTTATGCAAGGATTAAGTGAGAAAATAGATGGAAAGCGTCTGGCACACCGTGCATGTTCAGGGAGCACTGCGTCCCCACCACCACCTTCATCATGGCCTGTTTACCCTGATGTGCTGGCATCGGGAAGGTGGGGGAGCTCAGCAGCACAGGCCTGTGGCAGGGTCAGGCCAGAAAGAGCCTCAAGGCAGGAGAAAGCAGTCCAAAGCCACAGAGAGGGAGGCCAGACTCCAGGAGGACCTGCCTGCATCAGAACAAGTTCCTTAAGAAAACAGAGCCTGGGGAACTAATGAAGTAGAAATCGGAGAAGAGGAGGGAATCTAGGTCCCTTGGGAGAGAGGCCAGATGCCCCCAACCAGCCCCTCCTTGGGGAAGGCAGCCTCTCCTTCTAGGAGTGAAACTTGAACCAAGAACAGTCTTTAGGGCAAAATCCTTTTCCTAGGTTGCCATGAAATATACATTTCATGCAAGCTTTGGAGAGGTCAAATGACCCTTTCTCTCAGCTTTCTGGGAGTTTCCTGTGGAATTCATGTGTGCCCAAAGAAGAACTTTCACCAATGGGGAAATTTAATAAATGTGGTTTATCTAAGGTTCGTGCTTTCGGCTACATCTGCACTAATGACTCAGGCAGTTTGCTCCTCGGAGACCATCATTTTTCTTTATTTGCTCCAGCAGTGAGGTTTCAGCCTGAGGGAGAGAACGTCAGGGACGGAGAGGCAAGCATTCTTGGTCCTACTTCTGGGATTTTTTTGTATTCCCTCCGAACATTTGGTTCCATTTCTTCACTTCCTTCCAGTCGTGCCGGATTATTTCTTATTGCAGCAGAACCCATTCATAACTTTAATCAGAGGACAGGACGAATGTTCAGTAAACGCATGTATAAAGAGAACTATTGTATGTAATTGTGACATCTGTGGGAGAAAGGATGTAAAAATAGTAACGATCATAGCTAGCATTTATGGAACACTTATGAGCCAAGGTCCATTCTGAGCACATTGCATGCATTATTTGATTTAATCTTCATAATGCCATTGAGTGGTGTTAGCCCATTTTACAGATGAGAAACTGCTGGCTCAAAGAGATGAGGGAAATCAGTGGAGGGCACAAAGCTAGTCAGTGATAAGAGGCAGGTCTAATTTTAAAGTCTCCTTTGCTTAATAAACATACAGTCGTGCTTTGCTTCATGATGGGGATAGTTCATCTTCATGTGAATACCACAAAATGTACTTACACAAACCCACATAGCATAGCCTACTACACACTGAGGCTGTATGCTACAGCCTGTGGCTCCTAGCTTACTAAGCTGTATAGCATGTTATTGTACTGAATATAGTAGACAACCGTAGCACAATGGCAAGTATTTGTGCATCTAACTTTTAAAAGATACAGTAAAAATACACTATTACCGTTGTCGTATATGTGGTCCATCTTTGCCCAAAACATCATTTTTTGGTGTGTGACTATTAACAGGAACTTGTCCCAGCCTTACTTTGTCATTGGTATTCTTGAACATGGAATAACCAAATGTAGCTGGCTCTTGGATGTTATATTCATGTGACTGTCTCATTTCTAAAATGGCATCCACATAGCCACACTTTGGCATACAGCGGGCTCAATACCACCCCCGTCATCCCCCTCCTTGTTTTCATCTGGAGCTGCTGCAGAGCTAGAACTAACAGTCATATTCTAGGCAATTGGACAATTCTTATAAAATTCTCTTCCTCTGCCGGGTGCGGTGGTAATCCCAGCACTTTGGGAGGCCGAGGCAGGCAGATCACCTGAGACCAGCCTGACCAACATGGAGAAACCCCGTCTCTACTAAAAATACAAAATTAGCCGAGCATGGTGGCACATGCCTGTAATCCCAGCTACTGGGGAAGCTGAGGCAGGAGAATCACTTGAATCTGCGAGGCGGAGGTTGCAGTGAACTGAGATCGCGCCATTGCACTCCAGCCTGGGCAACAAGAGCGAAACTCCGTTTCAAAAAAAATAAATAAATAAATTCTCTTCCTCATCGTCTGGCTTGGATAGTGCACACATTTTCTCTGAGGCACACAACCAAACGCCCACAGCTGGGTGAGGCGGCAACTCCATTTCGGCATCCCTTCCATGACTGGAGACTAAAAATAGGGGTGTGTCTGACAGCCCATTCCCACCCCTGGCACCCAAGCCAGTCCACTCGGCCACAGGGAGCGGGGAAAAGGGTTGTTTAGAAGAATTTTCTTAGCCTCGAATACATGTGTTGAGCTTATGGTATGTTTTATAAAAGCAGATCCCAGCCCTCGTTTCAAGGGCTCTTTAAGATTTCCTTAGGAGAATCTCAAAGAGAATGGCAAAAATGCCTAAGTTTCACAAAATACAACCTTGAATTCACTTTAAACAAAGGAAAAAGTCTAGTTTTAGGAAAGAAGGGAGAATGTGTTTTACATGTAACAACAAATTGCTTTTTCAAAGTGCTGGGTACAGAAGAGGTATGAATTGAAGTTTAATTTGAAAAGATTGGATATCAGCATTCTGAGATTACAGAAAATTCAACGCGTGACTCCTCAGGTTCAGTGCGTGCTCTTAGACATAGGTGAAGGGAAGCAAAAGTTCCTATTGGAATACTACCACTCACCTCCTTCCCAACTCCCATTGCCCCCTCCACCAGTAACATACCTGTGTACCTTACCCTCACCTGTGAAAGGACCCATATGTACATAAACCCAGAAGATACCACAGCAGGAAGGAGTGATACTGGCTTCTCCTCCAGGCCATGGCAAAGTACAAGCTGCAGGCCAAATCTGGCCAAAAGTGGCCCATGGACAAAGCAAAACAAAAACTAAGAAGACTGTGCAACAGAGATTGTAGTTAGCCTATGAAGCCAAAATATTTACTATCTCCTTTTGATAGAAGAAATCTGCCAACCTCTGCTCTAGTTCAAGAAAAAAAATCAAAATCTAGACATGTCAAGTCACTCACCAACTGTCACATGGTGAGTTAATAACAACTGGAATAGACCCGGGTTTACTGATTCTCAATGCTGTGTTCCTATCATGATTATGGCACAGACCACAGCGCTTCAGAACTATGAATATGGCAGCTTAGGGGGCGTGGTGTTTGTTTCCCCAGAGAGCATTTCATTCCAAAGTATTCTGTCTCTTCACTCCATAAAGCTATTACAGGCCTGTATGATTGTCTCCAACCAAATGGATTCCATTCGCTTTTCCTTTCTTCCTAGGAGTCCTCTGTCCCTCTTCCCCTCTCCCCATCTCTTTCCCTTTCTACTCCCTCCTCATGTCATCTCCTACTCTTGATCTCAGAAGAACATTTTGGTTATAACCTGTTTATGTTTTGCCTCTCAGGTTCACTGCTGGCCTATAATACAACCTCCCACACCGACCAATCCTCACGATTGAGTGTCAAAGAAGGTAAGTTTGTTCTTTTGTGCACTTAAAATTTTCTTCTGTACCAGACATGACACAGGCCCATGCTGTTAAGGTTGTTGCAGAAAACCAGCTTGCGTGTTCCACTCAACTTTTCCTAGCATACAAAGACAAGCCAAAATTTTCGCCACTTGTGCTACCAGTTGCAAAAATACAGTAAAGAAAGTTTTACAGTATCTTGTAATAATATCACAAAGATACAACTTGAAGTTGTCACTCCATGCAGGAAAACATGTTACTTTTAGAAAAAAATGAATGCTGCTTACTTTCAAAGTTGAAAGTTGGGAGTTTTCTCTGATGAAAATAATGAAATGAAGAGTTCAAGGATTCCAGCATGTCTACCTTTAAAGGTTTTTTTCCTAAGAAATTTTAGCAGCCGGTCATGCTGGCTCACACCTGTAATCCCAGCGCTTTGGGGGGCCGAAGTGGGTGGATCACTTGGGGTCAGGAGTTCGAAGCCCAGCCTGGCCAGCATGGCAAAACCACCATCTCAGCTAAAAAATACAAAAATTAGCCAGGTGTGGTGGCAGGTACCTGTAATTCCAGCTACTCAGGAGGCTGAGACATGAGAATCGCTTGGACCCAGGAGGCAGAGGCTGCAATGAGCCGAGTTCGCGCCACTGCACTCCAGCCTGGGCGACAGAGCAAGACTCTGTCTCAAAAAAAATTTTAGCGATGTCAATTCATTTTTAAAGTGGTGGCTTAAGGGTTTGGTCTGGTTTGGTTTGGTTTTGCTGAGAAAGAAAACTTCCTCGGCAAATGATTTTTGCCAGTGAAGATTTTAGTACACGTCACAATAGAATTCCTCAGCGTCTTTATGAAACATCGTGAGGAGTGGTTCAGATACTGTTAGATTTCAGGCATTGAAACAAGTGAATAATTCATAGTACCTGGTTTAAAGGAGGAAAAGATGTGAACAAATAATTATTAGGAACCAGAGAGAGACTGGAAAAAATATTTGCGCGGCATAGCAAAAATTCCACAGAGGAGGGGACTTTTGAATAGGAGCTTGAAGAATAATAAGAGTGTGGCAGGCACTCTGTCCTCCTTGGCTCGCTGTCTGTCCCCAGTTTTTCTTTAACTCACCCTCCCCAAAATATATAAGAAAGGCAGAAGTTCTCAGGATCAGTTACATATAGCACAGCACTGCAAAACCTTTCAGAGAAACAAAGGCTCTTCTAAGGGAAGGACCATTTGGCTTAAAATCCGCATGGGGTGTGAAGGAAACAGAGAGCCAAAGGCACTAGCTGGCTGTCTTGCCCAAGGTTACAACTTTGATCACACAGCACTTTGTGTTTCCTGTTAACAATTTATAATTTAATAATGACCAGAACATTTAGTGGAAGAATTATACAACATAATGAATCCGCTTTTAAACATTTGTGTTTTTCATTTGTTTCCTTCTCTCCTATCCCACCCTGAGCCAGTCCTGTTTCTGCCACTGTTTTTCCTTTCCAAATCAGATTTCTTGAGTTTTGTCATGAACGCTGAATTTCTATGGATTCATTCTACATTGTGAGTCAGATTTCACTTTTTGACCTATTTTAATATGCTGTTGCAAATGTCTGTAAGAGAGAAAATACATTTTAGTGGCAAACGCATTAGATTGAAGGTCAGGGCACCTTTGGCTTCCTGTGAGAAAACCACTTCAGGCCCTGAACCTCAGTTTCCTGCAGAACGAAAGAGAAGAACTCTGTCAGCAAGAGGCCAGCCCTGACTCTGGAGATCTTGGCCTCTAAGGAGATGACAGGAGCACTCACATTGCGAGGGCTCAAGAGCCACTGTCCTTTGATATGTTCTACATACTGAGTTTTATTTCATTTGTGGATAGGGATCCACTTTTTGGAAGGAAGGAAAAAAGAAGGGGAAAAATGACTAGAGGGAGAGAGAGAGAGGGAAGGAAGGGAAGGGAAGGAAGATAGGGAGGGAGAAAAGCAAGGCTATAAGGAAGGAAGGGAGGGAAGGAGGAAGGGAGGGATGGGAGGAACCCTAACCTCTGAACTGCTGAGTTCGGATTTTTGTAAGTTTCTCCAACACTTCAGGCTACAACCTGCTACCAACATCAGAATTAGCCAGTGAGGCTCTGAAGCAGAGCTAATGAAATATTTTCTGATATTGGGCTTCAGATATAGGGTTTAGTTTAGAAACTGGTTTAGCCAAGTTGAAATGTGTTGCTAACCATCTCCTCCTCCTCCTCCTCCTCCTCCTCCTCCTCCTCCTCCTCCTCCTCCTGCTGTCTTATTGTTCAGCCGTGTCCTCTACCTGCCATACACATTTCCTTCCCTTGGCCCTTTTGTGTTTAGGGAGGACATTTGTAACACTGCTGGCTCATTCAGGCTTATTGCAGGAGCAGCTCCCTCTTGCTGGGTAGCAACCCCTCTTCTGAAATGAATTAACTGTAGTATCCAGGCAAACACACGCTGCCAGGACCTCATTCAGGTGGTGCCGGCATTTATCTCCCAACATCGGGCCTGGCCTCTAGAGACGATTAAGCCTGTGCTTTGCAGGTGCATCTTTTGTCCCCAGTAAAGCTCTCCACTTGAGCTGTCTTGCTCCTCTATGCCTTCCCCTTGTGAGGTGGTCTGAATCTGTCTGAACGACCCATCAAGCCACAAAACAAAGTACATTAGCAAGACAAAGCTAAGCAAGCCCTCCCTCTATCCTCCCTGCCTCCTCCCCACCTCTCACTGGCTCTCCTGCTCTGCTCTAATCACTATCTATTAGCTATTAGAAGACATCAGGCAACCTTGGCTCCATCTTCTTTGAATAAGACACACACAGCCCCAAACAAACCCAGAGTTCATCAAGAGCACCAGAGCTGTGTGTGTGTGTGTGTGTGTCTGTGTGTGAGTGCACACTGGTGCAGTCCACAAAGGGCAGGTGCTGGCATCAAGCACAAAGCAAGGAAGTTGAGGAGATGCTGTCTATTAATGTCTTCAAAGCACTTATCAAATTAGAATGGCTTTTTGCTTTAAAATTGTATAATCACCCTTCCAGCTTGTCTCTTGAAAATGGCTGCAATCTCTAGGGGTTATTTGTGCCCAGGAAGTAAGAGTAGATTTTAAAAATTAATTTAGAACAATCTTTAAGCCCCTTTAAATTAAATATTCTATGGACATGGATTGGATCCAGCTAGAGCAGTTATGCTCTACCTTTAGTTTATCAAGGCTAAGGCACTTAAAAAAATAAACTAGGATAAAAGCTATTGTTATCCATTTACAATAGCAGCCACAACTGTCATCTGTAAAGGGTTTTGGAATATATCAGACACCTCCACATGCTTTGCTTTGGAGCCTAGCACTGGGTCTTTGAAGTAGATATTATTATCTCTATTTTGCAGACAAAGAAAGTGGGGTTCAGCACTATTAAGTGACTCACTGAAGGGTACACAGCTACTAGATGGCAGAGCAAGGACTCAAACCAGGTTAGAGGATTAGACTAGAACCCCCTCACTTTCTGACAAATACAGCCTTTCTCTTCCAGCTGCCATTCTGCAAAAGCAATACCTAGCCTAAATGTAACTTGGGCAAAGATGTGAATGTTTTGCATTACTTGATTTCTGTCCATGCAGTTTTCCCACTGTCAGCTCCATCTCCATCCCTAAACTTTTCTCTCTTTCCAAAGATGAACCAATAAACAACTTATGCTTGGCACCAGCCCTTAGTTCTGACAGCACAGAGAATCACCAGGAGATCTTTCAAAATACTGACTCTAGGACAAACATTGCATGATTGCACTCATAGGAGGTAACTGTCAACTTTGTAGAGCCAGAAGGTACATGGTGGTTACCAGGAGCGGCAAGGAGTGGAAATAGGGTGTTAGTGTTTAATGGGTAAGAGTTTCAATTTGGGAAGATGAAAAGGTTCTGGAGCTGGATGGTGGTAATCGTTGCATAGCATTGTGAATGTACTTAATGCCACTAAATTGTACACTTAAAATGGTTAAAATGGTAAGTTTTATGTTACATATTTTACTAAAATTTTGTAAATGCAAAAATTAAAATAAAAAAATACTGATGCCCAAGTGCCAAAAAATGATGCATTAATTCAGAACCTCCAAGGGTGACTCCTGGGCATTGGAAATGTTTTAGAGCTCTCCGGGTTATTCATATAAGCCAAGCTGCAGCCAAGCTAGAGAAGCCTGCTTTATAGAACAGAGACAAACTAGAGAGAAATGAGGCCCATGTTAGAGCTACTCCAGATTTTCTTGGAGACACACTGGGCGGTTGTCTGGACCCAGATTGTCCTAGAAAAGGAATAGCAGGCCCTACTGGTATATTGATAAAGGTATAGGTAAGTGAAGAGACTGTACGATCTTGATTAGTTTTTTGTCATTGTCATTGATGACTGATTTTATTGATGCATGATGTTACTGATTTAGACAACTGTACGTTCGTACATCTCAGAAATTTCTTTCTGACGTGTCCTCATTCAGTCCTCTAAAAAGTAGATATGGTGTTGGTAACGTGATTTTATAGGAAGGATACTGGGGTTGCAGAAGTTAAGTGGCCTTTTCAAGTGTGTAAGAGTCCTGGAGCCAGGGCTACTGACTTTCCACACCTTGTTCTCTCCCGTCCTCCAGGCTGCAGATGTGCGTGTGTCTGCCCTGGTCCCAGGTCAGAGCTTCCCTTTGTTTTTCTGGGCAAACCCTGCCGGAGGCCTTCCCAGCACACTCAGCTGGCCCAGCAGTGTGCAACAATCAGCACATCTCTTCCTCAGAGCTTCTTTGCATGCCTAAGCCCTCATTTCCTTAGTTCCTCATGCTGAATCTGTTTAAATACCTCTGACTTTCCAAAAGACAGAGGATATTGAGTTCCTTGTTTATTAACTCCTGGAACTCATCAACCGGCCAAGGGCCTGTGGAGCACTGAGCTTCTAGCCCCAGCCTGGAGCCTTTCAGGACTGCCATTGAACACGGAAACTGAAAACCACAGCCCCACTGCAAGCGGAATGGCCATCTCCAGCCATTGCCTTGGCTGATGGATAAAAAGTCTGTCGGCTTGCATGCTAAGTATGGAAAAGAGAGGGGAGAAACTACCTTTCTGTGTCCCTTAGAGTGAAATGCCTGGCTGGTGCTGAAGCCCATGTTAACGAGAGGCTGGCTTCTCTCCAGGAGAGTCCTAGGTGGCAGGAGCCATGCACATGGTAACAACAGCATTTTGGCAGCCTGGTAGGGTTTGCCAAGCACGTTCCTATCCATTATCCCGTTTGTGCCCTCTGGTGCCATCACCATGAGATGAGAAGGCTGGTAGTATTATTATCCCCCTTCTATAGATAATGAAAACAAGGCACAGAGAGATTTCAGGGTTCCTTAGAAGGCACCCAGGTCATGAAGCAGAACAAGACTCAAGTCCGGGCCTTTGGTGTGTTCTGTCCTTCCTCTAGGCTGCTTCTGGAATCATTATCTCAGCATACTTGATTCAAGCATCTGACAACATCTTAAGGATTCTTTAATACTCTCAATTTACCGAAGGTGGGCACTGGTCTCCTATTTCAGCATTATAGCATACTGATTAAAAACTTGGGCTCTGGACTCAGACTGTGACCTGGACAAGGTGCTTACATTTTTCTGCCTCAGTTTTCTCATGTATAAATGAGGATAATTGTAGTGCCCCTTCAGGGATAATGTAAAACTCATAAATCAGCACAGTTTCTGACACACCAATAAGTGCTCAATAAAAGTTATAATAAGGATAGTAAATTGTTATTCTAATTTATTATAGTACAAATTCTAATAGTAATTAACATTATTATTGAAAGCTAATTACAATTTTTTTTTTTTTTTTTGAGATGGAGTCTCGCTCTGTCGCTCAGGCTGGAGTGCGGTGGCGTGATCTCGGCTCACTGCAAGCTCCACCTCCCGGGTTCACGCCATTCTCCTGCCTCAGCCTCCTGAGTAGCTGGGACTACAGGTGCCCGCCACCACGCCCAGCTAATTTTTTTTTGTATTTTTTAGTAGAGACGGGGTTTCACCACGTTAGCCAGGATGGTCTCGACCTCCTGACCTCATGATCTGCCCGCCTCGGCCTCCTAATTACAGTATCCCGCTAATTACAGTATTTTTGAGGGTTTACCAGATGTTAACACCGTACCAAGGGTCGTGAAGGATACTATACATAGATAGCCAAGCTGCTTTAAAACTTATTCGGGGGCCGGGCATGGTGGTTCATGCCTGTAATCCCTGCACTTTGGGAGGCCAAGGTGGGCAGACCACCTGAGGTCAGAAGTTCAAGACCAGCTTGGCCAACATGGTGAAACCCCGTCTCTACTAAAAATAAAAAATTAGTCAGGTGTGGTGGCATGTGCCTGTAGTCCCAGCTACCCGGGAGGCTGAAGCAGGAGAATTGCTTGAACCCGGGAGGCGGAGGTTGCAGTGAGCGAAGATCACACCACTGCACTCCAGCCTGGGTGACAGAGTGAGACTCTGTCTCAAAAAACAAAGCAAAAAAACAACTATTTAGGGAGACACACCTAGGAAATATGAAGGAAATATAAAACTGCATGTAATCGAAAAACAACAATGCATGCTACACACAAGATATTTTCTGAGTGTAATGAAGAGATGGAAAATCATTAATGCTCAAGCTGAACATCTCCTCCAAATCCCTTATAGAACAGGAGAGATCTGAGGCCAGAGAAGGTGTGGACCCAGCCATGGTCACACAGGGAGTGAAGACAAATATATACAATTATTCCTATGTAGGCAGATATTATAGATACATGATACCTTAGTCAGGAATTGACCTAAATTCTGTGATTCATGCTCTCCTCCATTCATTCATTTCTTTCTTATGGAGAATCTTCTCTGCATAGAATACCAGGCTGAGCCCTAAAACCATGGTGAACACAGCACACTACCTACCCTCAAGCAGGTTCTAGTCAAACAGAGAGACAGACAGCTAAGTAAGTAAGGAACTACTGTGCTTTAGAGTGAGGGCAATGCACGTATATTACCACGTCTTTCAATTTTCCCCTGCATTTAGCTCCTGTGTGGATGTCCTTTATGATTTTAGAGGTCATAGTAAAAGATGGAGGCCTCTAGCAAGCTGCAGCATGGCAGGGCTGGAAATAGATGTTGAAGCAAAGGGAAGGAGGAAGGCACCAAGGAAACCAGCGTGTTTGTTGGGGTGGGTGTGTGAGTTTTCAAGTTGGGTTTTGGAGACAGGAGCCCAGGTGAGCCCTTGCAGGAATAACTGAGGCCTGGGTGTTTGATGTGGGTTTCAGGAAGACACCCTGGGGTAGAACCTGTGCACCATGGCTTCCTGGTACCTGGAAAACCGGGTGCAGTTGGATGTTTCATTGTGAGACAGGAAGCTCAGCGAAGGAGCGGAGAGCCAGGGACTTGTGTCAAAATCATTTGGCCGGGGAGGGCGGAGTAGGTGGGCATGGAGCTGAAATAAGACTGACCATGAATTCATGATTGTTAAAGCAGGGTGATGGGGCCTCAGGGTTCATTAGACTTTCCTCTCTACTTGTATATATCTTAGAAATTCTCCGTAACTCAAAAAATGCCTCAAGATATCTTTGCCTTATTTCTCCGGGCGAAGAGTTTCCCGAGGAGGGCATCTTTGTCCCTCGCGATATGCACTGCCTGTGTCAGGCTGATGCGCTCCCGGGTGCAGTACTTGGGAAGGCGGGCATTTGGCAGCCTTGTGTGTGTGTCTGTGCAGGAGGGCGTGAGCTGGTGCTCAGTGTGGAGGTGGGCTGTGTGTGTTGCCTTGTAGAGTGCAGCGTATGGGGGCTAGGTCTGGAACATGTGTACCCAAAGGAAAAGGCCTGTAATACTGTGAGGTAATCTCCTGTTATTTTTAGGGAGTAAATAACATCTCTCATGCAGCAGGTTGTGTGGCCCCACAGGCCCCATCTACGTCAGCTCACACACACTTCAAATTGGAGGGTATCGCGGCCTCACAGGAGAGCCTGTGAAGAACATTGTCATTATATGTTCTTCCTTTATGATGAAATGTGCCTAAGCCATTCTTAGCAAAAGCAGGGATGATTGCTGGATGTGTGTGTGTGTGTGCATGCATGCGTGTGTGTGTGTGTGTGTGTGTGTGTGCACGCGTGCTGTTTCTGTGGTCCAAAGGCAAGATTTATGATTATGGGATAGACAGTAGCTTGCTCTCTCTATTTTATTTTTTAAAAACTGTTTTCCTTTGAAATTCCTGAGTTAATGTTCTGTCTGCTTTCTATCTGACCCTCTTCGGAGAGTTGCATTTTTTTTTTTTTCCACGAGAGAGAGATTAAGAGAGAGAGAGACAGAGAGAGAGAGAGAAAGAACGAGGGTGACAGAGAGAAACAGAGATCGGGGGAGGAGGGAGAGCGAGAGAACTGGAAACAAAGACTCGTTGTCTCTAAGCTGGAGCAGGCAGGAAACCCCAATCCCTCGGGAACTTAGCCAGCCCGCCCTGTCCTGGAGTCAGACTCCAGCTCTCTGAATTCAATTTGACAGCTTGTCTGGGACACTTTCTAAGTAACCATTATCCTTCCTTTCTCTAAGTAAAAGGACTGTTATTTCTTTTCGTGGGTGTGCTGTGCGAACTGCTATTGCACACGTGTGGCTCACACAGTGACTAGGACACACTTTCCTCAAATTATTGGAAACAGCCCGTTTCCTAAGACAAGTGTAAATTTGTTCCAGGATAATAAGGCAAAAGACTGAGTATCAGTCCACTGCCTTATTAGAGGTGGGCCTATTCCATTAGAGGAGGAATTTTGTGTATGTAGGTTTTACTTCTTTGAGGATTCTTTTGAAATAGACACAAACAACAATATCTCCCAATGATCATTCTCCCCAGTTTCTGTGTTAATTGATGGATTAATTTAATGAAACGCATCACCATACATCCCACTGTGGAGGGAACTCAGATGTCCTCAAAGCTACCAGAGGTTGTGCAGGCCACGGGCACAACTAGGGGTGACCACCTAGAGTTCAAAGGAGCCTGTCTTCTGCCTGGGAACAGGGCCATCCTGGGGTTTCTTTTAATTACTCAGACCCAGTTGAGTCACCACCATAACCTGAGGGACTGTGAGGTGATCACCTGCCCTTCAATGTGTTCCTATTGGAAGACCATCCCGATTCAGCTCTGTGGGACCGCTAGAGACAAGTTCCAGAACTGTCTGGATCCCCCTGGAGCGTAGAGGTGTGATAGTTTTGCTCAGTAATACAGCTTTGCCCATTTAGGTTCTGACCCAAAGACCTGTCCTTCAAACATGACTTGGTTCCTGTCTACTCTATCTTCAACCACACTTTGGAATAATGTTTCCCCATTCTTCCTTTGCCGGGTATACCTTTCATCCGTCTCAGTCCCCACCCCCAGTCCATATTCTAGGAAACCACACTCACCCTTTAGGGCCGTGGTCAGATCAGACAGCATCACCTCATTACGGTCTTGTGCACCCTTCCCCAGGATGCTTTGCTTATACCCACTGTTTTACCAATACAGCATTCAATAGATTCTAGCCCAGCAGTCTTCTGTCTTGTGAGACGGGAAGCGTCTTGAAGGTAGGGACTATTGGATGGATGGATGAAAATAATAGGCAAAGTACCTTAAACTGTTCCCCAGCAGTCTGGTGTAGAACTAACCCTTTGAGATGTTTCTACAAGGTGGATGTTTTGGCTCTATCCACTGCAGCTGCTGGTGTGGCATTGCCTTTCCTCCCTACCCTGCCCTAAATTTCCATTGCATGGGACCCCAGGGTGGTTCCTTGGAAGCTGTGATCAGTCCCATCCCTGAACAAGGAAGCAAAACTGATAAAGAGCAGATTTCAATCACAAGATGATGGCACCAGAGCCCCTTCTTGGCCCAACCACCGCAGGATCCTGCTGCCAACTGGACTCCACAGGCCCTTCAGGTCTCTGCCCATCAGGAGGAGGCTGAGGACACGCCAAGCCGAGGAAAGGTGACGCTGCAGGGAGAGTGTACCTTCTGCTCAATTCCACCTTCCTTTCTTCACTTATGCCCCAGACAGCCACAATAAGAGCTAACATTTGTTAAGCACCTACTATGTGCCAAGAAATTTCCTATTCATTTCACATTTATCCTTCATAAAACCTTGTTAAGTTGGCACTATGATTATTCCCATTTTACCTGAATCACAGGTATGATGTTAAGCCTGAATCACAAAGCTAGTATGAAACAGAAACAGAAGAGAGCCTGTTCCTGTAGTCCCCTCCCCACCTAGGCAATGGCAAGGGCTCCAAAATGACCCTTTCCTACTTCATCTACCACCCCCATCATGCATTTCCCCCAAGTAGCTGATGTTGTCTAGTTGCTAAGATATATTCATCTATTGACTCCTGCTACCATCTAAAAAATCAGGAGCCTGACCCAGTGCAATCAATCTTATTTGCATTTCAAGAAGCAATCTAGCAATTTAGAATTTTAGAAATTCCACTATAAAGAGGTTGTTTGCCGGGTGGGATGGGGCGGTGGTAATGGAGCTGCAAAGTATATAAAAGAAACATGCTTTGTCCACGCTTATCAGTCAAATTCTTTCTTTCTATCCATCCCTGGAGAGAGAGAGGGAGAGGAAGCTTCTTCCATGCCACATGGAGACAAACGGGCTTCAGACATCTTCTAGTGAAAGACCAACGTATAGGAAGCATCATTTGTGGTGGTTTCACAGATTTTTTTTCATTGTTATGCTTTATAATTTATATAATTATACACATATCCTTTTGTGTTTAATACTACATTTAAGAGGATAAAGGAAAACAAGAGATTTAGAAAACAAAGTATTATATTGAGTAACACTCTATTGATGAGAATTTCAATAAACTGAATTTAAGAAACCATCCAGGCACAGTGGCTCACACCTGTAATCCCAGCACTTTGGAAACCCAAGGTGAGAGGATCACTTGAGCCCAGGAGTTCAAGATCAGCCCTGGCAACACAACTAGACCCCATATGTACAAAAAATAAACAAAAGTAGCCAGGTGTAGTGGTGTGTTCCTATAGTCCCAGCTACTCCAGAGGCTCAGGTGGGAGTATTGCTCGAGCCCGGGAGATCGAGGCTGCCATGAGCCGGGATTGCACCACTGCACTCCAGCCTGGGCAACAGAACAAGACCTTGTTCTCAAAAACAAAGCAAAATAAGAGTGGGGGTGGATAAATTCAATAAATTTAATAAATTTATTATTTGAGGGAAATAAAGTTTCCCTCAAATAATTTCATGGGTCTATCAGTTTCATGGGTAATCCTCTGCCTCTGTAAGCTTCATAAACCCATGGTTCCCAAGGAGAAGAAGGAAGAGATGTCAAAATCAACTTAAAGCATCTTAAAGACACGTCCAGGATGCTCCAGCTGCCCCACCCTGCCCCGTGTCCCTCCATAAATTCACCTGTGCCCTTGGTAGATGAAGGAATGAGGAGAAGGTTGGAGATGAACACTTGTGTTCTTAGAATAATCTCCTTCCATTGCTCTGGAATGCCCCACCCCTGCCCTGCCCCAGTATTGAGAGCCAGGGCTTCATCCCAATGCTTAACTGGAGAAGAAAGGCACCTTCCTGCCACTACAGAGTTCGCCTCTTCTCACCCCTGTGCCAGAAGGCTCCAGGCCAGGCACTGCTCCTGACCACTCAGAAGTTCCCACTTTGCCCTTTCTGCCTTCCCTGGGCTGTCTTTGGTCTTTCTGCTTATCAGAGCTGCCCTTAAATGCACCCTGAATAAATCAAGACCCTCATAGGTGCCCATGTGCTCTGCTACATTAATGATGGTGACAATGAATGCATGAGC
Source organism: Homo sapiens (assembly GCF_000001405.40). Lineage (NCBI taxonomy): Eukaryota > Metazoa > Chordata > Mammalia > Primates > Hominidae > Homo > Homo sapiens. The sequence continues at coordinate 128,793,775 of NC_000011.10, forward strand.
CCTGCTACATTTTAGTAAAGGACGGTGACATTAGGTAAACCTCCAAGTGGGGCAGGGAACTGGTGCCAGGCTGTGGGACTGTTGCTGGGGGTCTCCAGAGCACCCTCCCCATTCGTTCCCATTGGACTCAGCCCAACAATGACTCCTCCCGCACTGCCAAGGAGGGGCTTTCATGACCCTGAGTGCTTGGCAGGGTAGAGCTCCACTACAGTTCTCAGTGGCAGTTCACATCCACTGGGTGGGCCGTTTGGGTTTTGCATGTCTTCTAATTTATCTGCAGACTCTGGGATGTTACTATTTTAGGCCTGCCATCTCTACCAAGTTTCCCCTTGACACTACACGCTCATCCCACTCCAGACGACAGAGCGAGGACTGCAGATGCAGTTGGCCTTGCTTGATGCAGCTTCATTGCTATTGCTTGGTTCACAATAGAAGTTAAAAGTGATCCCCGTTGGCCATTTAGAGGAGAAGGGTCCCAAAATACTTTGGGAAAAAAAAGGACAGGCCTATAATGCTCTGCCAGGGGCCACCTCAGCACAGAGTGTTCCAAATGTGTTGGTTCTGCCTAGTATACTGATTTAGAAATTCCACCACATGGAGGTTATTTGAGGCGATTGGTAGCTGGAAGGTATTTAAAAGAAACTTGTTTCACCAAATTCTCATCAACCAAATTCTTTCTTTCATCTATCTGGAGAGAGAGAGAGACGGAGAAGCTTCTTTTGTGCCAGACAGAGATCTATGAGCTTAGGGCATCTTCTAGTGAAAGGCCAATGTATAGGAAACATCATTTGTTATTTTAATATAAAAACCTTTCTAATCCCTTTTTATAGATTGAATAACTCTCTCTCTTCAGAAGCCCTTATCTAAGATAATAAAGAGCATATTTCTCATGAAATATCCTTGTTGGAGAAAAGAAAGTCCTTGAGGAGGAAATATGGAGGCTAGAAACACTACCCAGGTTGTGAGTGGGCTTTTTCTTTCTTGTCTCAGGGATCTGTAAGATCGAGAAGTTTAACATGGGTCAGGTGTGGTGGCTCACGCCTGTAATCTCAACATTTTGGGAGGTCGAGGTGGAAAGATCACTTAAACTCAGGAGTTCAAGATCAGCCTAGGCAACATGGGGAGAGTCAATCTCTACATCAAATAAAAAAATTAGCCAGGCATGGTGGCACGGGCCTGTGGTCCCAACTATTTGGGAGGCTTAGGCACAAGAATTGCTTGAGCCTGGGAGGTCAAAGCTGCAGTGAGCCAACATTGCGCCACTTCACTCCAGCCTGAGCGACAGAGTGAGGCCCTGTTTCAAAATAAAAATATTAAACAGAGGCTTAACATGCCTCTTTGATAAAGTTTAAATTCTTGTATTTGGCATATTCTAAAGAAAAGATGGTAAAATTAAGTGGGACAATTACTTTATCTGTCAAAATCCAACACACTCTTCAAAACCCGATTCAAGTCCTATCTGCCTCAAGATATGTTTTTCTTCCTCCTTAAGACTATAGTCTCCTCTCGGAGCCTCACCTCATTCACAGGCTATTTATGGACCTAATTACAGATTACCTTGTGGTCTTTAATTGTGAGTTTTCTCCTGGCTCTTTTCTTCCAGCCCTGTATATATTCAGTAAATACCATTGAATATTTACTCAATCCTGCTCCAATAAAGGAAGAACCAGAAGAAATTAGCTTTGGTTGACACAAGAAAAATTAACTTCTTATGTCCCATGAACTAAACTCTGAAAAAGAGTATCAGCTAGAGTTCTGTAGGATGCGTTAGAATATAGAAAGCAATTTTTTTTTTTTTTTTTTGAGACAGAGTCTTGCCCTCTCGCCCAGGCTGGAGTTCAGTGACGCTCACTGCAAGCTCCGCCTCCCGGGTTCACACCATTCTCCTGCCTCAGCCTCCCGAGTAGCTGGGACTACAGGCACCCACCACCACGCCCAACTAATTTTTTGTATTTTTAGTAGAGACATGGTTTCACCATGTTAGTCAGGATGGTCTTGATCTCCTCACCTCGTGATCTGCCTGCCTCTGCCTCCCAAAGTGCTGGGATTACAGGCGTGAGCCACTGCGCCCAGCCCTAGAAAGCATTTTCATATGCATGGTGTCATTTATTCTCAAAAGATCCCTGTGAGGATCCAGTGTGCTATTTGCTTTTCCAAACTCTTAAATTTAGGAATAATCACACCACTCTCTCCCGCCCCTGCCAAGTATCTACCTTTTACAGAGAGGTTCAATAAGAGGTTCAGAGAGGTTAAGTCATTTGCCTCAGACCACACAGCTCATAACTGACAGAGATGAGAGGCAAAGCAAGGAGTTCTGACCCCCCAGCCCAGAGTTCTTTCCTTTGCAATGAGCCATTTCCCTGTTTGGAATGGATTCACGAGAAATTATGGAATTTCTTCCCATGAAGATCTTTAAGAGCCCTTAGTAACACCACCAACAGTCCTATGCTTGATAAATTTTAGGTATCACTCTTCCAAAGAGATGAAAATCATTCTTGGTATCATTTTGAAAAATCTTTGAGCTTAAGAAGTCTTCGGCCTTTTGGGCCTGTCTGCAAAATAATTATCAGCCCTGCCCAATACACTAGAGGAGGTTAGAGAGAGGCAGTTTTTTGCTATGAGTCATAATTTCAATTTCTATTAAAATTCTTACATGGCCACATATGCTACCTCTCAGGCTTTGGGCCTCTGGGCCTGTGCTAATTTGCATGTCTGGTTTAGATAATGTCTGAGGTCCTTCCAGTCTAAAAAGGAGCCTCTGATGCTGTGATATAATAAGTGAGATCACATTCCACCTACCAAGACTTGATGGTTCTTTTTCTTTTAACTACTGTGCTCTGTCTGATGTGTGGATGCACAGCTCAGGGACGGAAGTGTTTCCTGCTCACCTGCCAGGCCACAAAAGAAGGAGTGCTCTTGGCCGGGCGTGGTGGCTCACGCCTGTAATCCCAGCACTTTGGGAGGCTGAGGTGAGTGGATCACCTGAGGTCAGGAGTTCAAGACAAGCCTGGCCAACATGGTGAAACCCCGTCTCTACTAAAAATATAAAAATCAGCCAGGCATGGTGGCAGGCGCCTATAATACCAGCTACTCAGGAGGCTGAGGCAGAAGAATTGCTTGAATCCGGGAGACGGAAGTTGCAGTGAGCCGAGATTGCGCCATTGCACTCCAGCCTGGGGGACAAGAGCAAGACTTCGTCTCAAAACAAAACAAACAAACAAACAAAAAGAAGTAGTGCTCCTTCAGCATGAACTCACCTGTCCACTTCTGCTACACTGAACCCAGAGACTTGTCCTTTCCTGCAAAGCATTTCAGACATAGGTCAAAAGGCAAATCATGGGAATTGTTGGGATTTTACGTTTCTTGATTTGAATGGCCGTTCTAATTCAACGTGAATCCAAGACCACAGACTTGACAATCACCTGATTCAAAATATGTGAAAAGTACTTGAGTCTTTAAAATATGGGGTTCATCTCACCTTTTACTATTCCTCTCCCAAACATCAAAGAGATGCTGTCAAGTTTCTTAGCTAACTTTGCTATCCTACAACATAAAGCAACTCTCATGCATAAAAAACTAATTAAAAGGAATTGGCTTTCCAGAGGGACTTTGAGACCAATGTCAGCCAATCTGTCACTTTTCAAAATAAAATTATGGAACTATGTAGAGCTCTATTTTCATAATGTTAGATCAAGTCTTTGCTCAAATTCTATATTTTCAGAGAAGACCTCCCATCCCTGCACTGCCTACTTCCCTCCTCTGGTTTTCTCTTCTTCATAGCATTCATCGCCTTCTAATATACAATGTAATTTACTACTTGTCTTGAATGTCAGCTCCACAGAGGAAGGACGTTTGTCTAGCGATTGTTGTGTTCTCAGCATGTAAAGTGTCTGGCAAGGTAGTAGACATTCAGTAAAACATTGTTGAATGAATAAATGTGTGGTGGGACATAAGGCATCAATTAAATCCAATAAGTTGGTGATGGCGAGGGGCAAGAATGAATTTTTGAGAGAAACAAAGGTGCTTAAGATACAACCCCTCTTCCTAAAGATGATCACCTAGCGAGGGACACAAGCGTACAAAGAATTACACTCAAAGGCTAAGCAGGACACGGGCAGTAGACACAAGACAACTCACCAGTGAGCCTTGACCTGCAGAACTTTGAAAGCAAAGGACACAGAAGCTGAATGTTACGCAGACCCAAGAGTGTATCCCCTATGGCCAAGGAGAAGAAGGGCAACCTCGCTGTGAACATTGCAACCTATGAGGGTCGGAGCAGGGCAGAGGGCGTTGCGTATAAACTGCCTCTCATTTATCCTCAAGCCTGATTACCTAAGTGAACTGTTATGTTTTCTTCTTTCTACCTGGAATCCTCTTAAACCAGAGGCAGATTTGACCTAAGAAGTATGCAATTTAGTTGCGTCTACATGACCCAATATGGAAGGAAGTTTTGGCAAACACCCAGTTAATCTAGTCAGTATGAATTGCTATTCCACATGAGGCTGGCTCAAAAATCCCACTTTGAGGCCTTATCAAAATAAATAGGTCATTTAGACATCTGTGTCACTTAGACACAGAGCCTGTGGGAGAAATGAAATAGAAGAAGGTCCCAGGTTCAGCAGGGAGCCTCACGTGGCCATGGCAAGGCTGTGCCCAGAGAATGTGCCACTTCACTCTCCACGCTTTTCATATTTAAAAGTCAGCTATTTCTTCCAAGCCTTTTCCTCGTAGGTCTTTTTTTCCCTTTGCCCATCTAATATCTTCAACAGTACCTCCATTATGCTCCACACAGCAGGGTCAGCTCCGAGGCAGAGGGGCTGTTGGATTCCAGGACAAGATCCTTGAGCAAAGGAAACCTGATCCAGGATGTTTTTTCCCTGTGAGTTCCAAGTTTGGGGAAAGCGTTCCCTGGATATTTTCCTCCTTCCAAGGTCTCAGTGGATGCCAAGCTCCTCTGTTGCTCTTTGGGATGTAAGACGCCGCTGAAGTGAAGGTTTAATAGCCCCTCTAGAATGGTGGGATGTAGTGAGGACTTGGTCCTGAGCTTCAAGGCCAGGTGGCCAGTGACTCTGGCACCTGACAGTGGGGGAGGAAGGAGGATGCTGGGTAATGCCTGGGCCTAACAGCCAGGCAGACCACCTGTAGCCATCAGCCCTCTCTGTCTTCTGGGGTGGGGTTTCTCAAACCAGGGTCCAGGATAATAATCCACCTCTTCTTTTAAAAGAAAGCCACGATTTATTTTATTATATTATTATTATTATTATTATTATTATTATTATTTTGCTTTGGAGACAGGATCTCACTTTGTCACCCAGGCTGGAGTACAATAGTGTAATCATAGCTCACTGCAGCCTTAAACTCCTGGCCTCAAGTGTTCCTCCCACCTTGGCCTCCCAAAGTGCTGGGATTACAGCCCTGAGCCACCACACCCAGCCTGAGAGCCAAGCTTTATTTAAATTTGGGAATCACTGTTCCAGGAGCACAGGAATAAAACTGTCCTTCATCCTTTATAGCCCTCAGGCTTCTCTTCCTTTTCAAGGCCTTCCTCAATGGGCTTGGTAATCTCATCTCACCAAGATAAGCATGGTAGAGGGGCAAGCAGGATGGAATAGACTCCATGTATATGGTGTGTATTTTTAAAATCACCATTTATCACATGCTTATTTAATCCTCATAGCAACCGTAGAAAGCACCTGTTATTAATGCTTTTCAGAGAAGCAGAACTGGAGGTTCAAAGCAGCTGAGCAACATGACCAAGGTCACTCCACAAGGCCAATGGCGGAGCTGGGATTTGAATCCCGGGTTAACTGATTCGAAGTCCTATCTCCTAACTGCCAAAATAATCCCCAGGCCCACCAGAGAGAAAGGATACCTTCGTGATGACATCCTAAGCCCTGCATCTACTTTGCCTCAGGGTGGGGCTGAGGGCGCGGACTCGAGCAAAGACTGCAGCAGATGAGAAGCTGGTCCTGAGCTGTGGGTTGGGAAGGTTCGGGCAGTGCAGCAGTTCTCACAGGTGGAGAGCAGGATGAAGGAACGCTTAGAGGAGAGCAGCTTCTGCAGGTTGGTGGCTGGGAGAGGCTGCTCCTCCCCAAAGACTGGACCTATTAGAAGCACAGGACCTCTGATGGAGATGGGGTTTTAGAGGATCTCCTAGTCCAGCCCTCTACCAGTACACGTCATAACCTGTCGGACAGCCCAACAACAAAGACCGCCGCTCACCTGCAGTTTCTTCCCTGTCGGAGTCTGGGAGTGAATCTTCCTCCTCGTGGGCTTGGCTCTCTTGGGAAGTTGAGGGCTTTGGGTCTCAGGTCTGCCATTGATTTGAGCATTTCTCCTGTGCATCCTCACTCTTTCAAGAAAGGAGGTCTGGATCTGGCTACCAAATCCCCCTGCTCTGCTGGGAGCATGAGCAGCCTTGCCCATTGCTCGGCTGAAAGGTCTGCATTCAGAAGCCAGGCTTTCCAAGGATAAACAGGGTTAGGTGCTGCCAGCCTTCTTAGCAGCAACCAGAAATTCAATGAGAAGTTTCAGGGAAAATTCATCTTTTTCCACCCAGTCATTGAGAGCAAGGTTTTATGACACAGAGGATGAAGAGAGAGGCTTTTGTGGGCTGATGTCGCTGTGTTGCTGGCCTCTGGTCAGGTCACAAGGTGGAGCGCTGCATGCCGGCAGGGACGTTTGGGCTTTCAGACAGCAGAGGCATCAGAGCAGAAGCAAATATCTTCCCAAAGATGTTTGGCCATATTTCTAGGACCAGGTTAAAAGCTTCACACAGAAGCTAAGTTAACATTGGTATGTCTATGAGAGGGTCATGTCCAGAAACAGCTTTCGCCTTCCAACAGAGACTTTGCGGAAAAAAATCTCCATGCTCATATTTCTCTACCTCAGGAGGCTCTCCTGGAATCTAAGAGGCCATTTAGTGTCAAATTCAGCCCCACTAAGCATCACATAATGGTGATACTGTTAAGGACATCATATATGTGAGGCTGAATTATCCACAATGGCTGGCAATGTCTTCATTCTCCAGACTGAGGCTCCGGCCTCTTTGCTTTGGCAAGAGTTGATCTCAGGACTGCCTGAAACCAGAAACTCCAGGCAAAGCTCTTTGGGTCACTCTTCTGAAAAGGAATCACAATAATAAGATCTGTTATCTTGGTACTCTGTAAAGCCAAGGTGTCAGCCTTCACGACAGTGAAAAGTTAGTTTGTCAGAACCAGGGTGTGATTGTCTGCTGATTAAGCCATCTGCCACCACAGAAACAGACCAAGATCATCAACTGGTACACTGGTGCCGACGGCCACATTTTTACACACTGGGCCTTTGGCTGCCACCTCAAGTTTGTCAGTTCTCAGGAGGCAGACTCCAGGCACCACATTCGAGAGGGCCTCCATGCACGCTCAGGCTTCTTCTCATAGCAGGCACACCCTGCCTGAGCCCCACTCCATGCGCTGACGGAGAGTCGGGGCAGGAGCTCTCATGCAGCCAGGTGTTGGGCTCTGCAAGGGGGTTTGTGTGGGGATGTGAGCCACTGGGTCAGCTCCCTGGTTCAGGCTTCTGCATTCAGGTTATAGACATATCTCTGTGTGTATGTTGGGGACTAGAGATGACCACACTGCTAAATTCTTCTTGAGTGACTTTTAGTAGGAAAAAAATATGAACCCTCACTTCAACAATGACATTGTTAAAAACACATAAAATGCACACCACTTCACCGAGCAGCATTCAGGCCTTGACTTCCCTGTGGGAACAAGCTTTTAGCCTATGCCTCATACATAAATAGGTGGATTGTGGTCCACTCAGAGGGGACACAGGAGTGATGTAGTCTGTACCCCTCAACACCCCAGATGGAAATCTTTTGCCTGGAGGCTTAATTTCGTGAAGAAGTCAGGGTAGGAGCACTGGGTTCTCTTCAGCTAGTGATATCATGAACAATAAGAAGAATTGTGTGTATGTAGCAAGTAGGAGAAAATATTGGCCAAGTTTATTCATTCAACAAATACTTAGAGTCTACTAACTCTGTGTGGGGCCCTGTTCTAAGTGCTTGGATGTATCAGAGAACACAACAGAGATCCCTACTCTTATGGACCTGATGTTCAGGAGGGAGGGGGATATGAACCATAAACGACAAATACAAATTAATTACTGATTAAATTATGTGATAAGTGAAAATGGAAGAGCAGAGGAAGGAGGATGAGGGAGTTGCGGGGAGGAGGGAATTAATGTGGATTTGGAAGGCTGCCCAACATGTTTCTGGGTCTGAATATTTTTGGTCTGTGACACAAATCGTATTCTTGATTGCTAACATCCACTGAGGCCACCTCTGTGCTGGGCACTATGCTGGGTGTTTACTTGGGTATCTCATTTACTCTGCAAGGCTGGCCTGGTTCTTCATACCCCTAGGGCAGAATGCAAGACTTTAGTTCTTGGCCTTCTGCATCTTCATGCTTTTTCTTTGGAGCAGAAATTGCTCTGAAAATGCTGGGTTTAACTTAAATCTTACATTGACCAGACGTCTCCTCGAGCCCCAGAGCCTACGGAGTGCTTTTGTTAAACCCCAGAGCCAATGTGCTCAGGCTGTCCTTTGTGCAGCCAGGTACCAGTGGGAAGATTTTCCATGCAAATACTTGGGAATAAAAAAGAAATGAGAGGGAGGCCTGTGGTCTTTGCTACTCTGACTCCACAGGCTGCTGGGATGGACGTTGGATGAAGACACCAGCTTAGGGCATGGCCTGTTGCTATTTATGACTCTATTACTTCACAGTGAGAGCACAGTTCAGGCTGACTGCTGGGTGGCCTCTGTGTTTCTGTCACTTCCTTTTTCACCTATGTGAGGACTGTAGCATTGATTGGGACTTCCAAAGTCCTGTTAGCCAAGCTTCTGCCATCAGATGGGCCTGTGGGCACATTGACCCATAAAACTCTGCCTCCTTCCTAAGGCCCTGGGGCACCACAGAAAGATGGGCCTGCCAAGCCACTGCTCTGATAAGGCATGCCTTTAACCAGGCTCCATCACTCAGAGCTACAGGAAAATCCCATGGTCATCCGCCCTCTGTTGGTGACAGGGAATTCCATCATGCATTCAGATTTTTGCATGCCTGCTCTGTCCCTGGAACTAGAATAAGAGAATAGGGAGAAAAGCCGATAAGAAGTCAACGATAACTATAGCCATGGCCATAATTTGGGCTCCAAAAGAAATAATTCTGAGTGGTTACCAGATAGCTTTCAGAGAGGGTTGAAGCCTTCAGTAGACTAATGATTGAGCAGAAAAAAATGTTTAGAAAACTTGAGACAGATTTTATCCATGCAGTAAGTCAGAAGTCAAGTCAGAAGTTCAGATGACATGTACGATTCCCTGGAATTTAGTGATTTTTTGTTTGAATGTGTTACTTCTCTTCTACTTTCTGTTCTGCTCCCACTAGAATTATCTCCTTCCCCCAGGCCCTCAGATCCACCCCACATACCACAAGCTCATTCTTCACCACACCCTGTTTTCTAGCATGGCTGCAAGCGCAAAACCTCCCTTAGTTCCCACCTGCAACGCCAAGGTCCCAGAGTTTGCTGAGCTACCATCAGCAAGACCTTGAACATGCCTCGGCCCTCTCTCCTCTCCCTCCACATTGCTCTACTTCAGTGGTACAGCTCCTCCCATGGCTGTCTCTAGACCTCACCTTGACATCTCACCACCCACCTCTGCCTTGTTCCTACCTGATGCACTCTCCCCTCTCCAAAGAGTCACCTGGCCCTAGTTCCACTCACCTCTCTGTCAACCTCCAGGAACCCTTTATGTGTCCTCCATGCCTTAGGCACATGACCCGTGTTTCCTCACAATCACAGTTACCCTCTCATACTCACATGCAAGGACGAGGAACTTGTTTCCTATTACTTCACACCCACTCCCTGGCCATGCACACAATACAGTGCAGAAGTTGGTCCCAAATCTATTACCAGAGGCCTAAGCAGCAGCCTCCTCCTGCTCAAAGAAAAATGTTCTGCCGCTGCCAACATTGCACTTCCTCTGCAAGACATCTCAGAAAATGCCCATCAGAGCCTTCCACCTCATTCCAAGCTTGCAAGCAAGCTGGTCTTTCATTTGTCTTGTTTGTTTTTAAGCAAGAAGAATCCCTTTAGAGGAGGAATTAGGAAAGAAAAAAAAGTCAAACAGAAACAGAAGGAGTGGAGGTTTGTCTCTCTCTTTTGTCCCCTGCCTTGCCCTTCCTCCCTATCCCATCCCCCTCACTTTCTGTGTTGCTTTTCATGCCAGTTGCTAAAGACTGTAATTTTAAAACTGAACGGGCTTTTCCAGAGCCTTGAGGAATGTGCATCTGCACGTGGATTTTTCCACAAAAAAAGTGTCCCTGTCTTTTGGATCTTCTTAGCCAGAAACAATGAGGCCAGGCAATCAGAGTCCATCCGTCTTCCCAACTCTTATTCTAATTTGTTTGAGAGGCTCAGAAGGGGCTGAAGGGCATGGTTGTGTTTCACCCCGTCAGACTCTGTTGTTTGATGAGGTTTGTGCTCCATTTGTTCGGATGGTTTTTATGGTTTCTTTGTTGTTCATGGAATAACTTTGAAGGTCATAATTCTGTATCCTCAAGCTCCTCTGCTATTCCTGCTCAATGTCTCAATGGGACTCATACCAAGAGAAAGGGAAGGAAGAAGTTTCCAGCTAGTTAGTTAAGCAATTTCTCAACACATTTATGGAAGCATGTGGAATCTTTCAAGAAAGGGGTTACGATCACAAAAGTTCGATTTGAGGAGTATTCTCCAAGACAACTGAGAAGCAAGCCCTTAGTCATGCCCAGGTGGGGAGCAGGTCTCCAACCTCTCATTTCCTGATCCAGCCCCTTTCCCAGCCACATTTCTGGCCTCTTCCCTTTCTCTGTGGTCATCAGCCCAGCCCTCTCCACTATCAATAGAAAAGCCCGAGAGCCCTCAGAGAGCCTGGAATGTGCTCCCACCGCTGTGATGTCATCCCACATCATCCATGTGCTGAAATCAGGGACTGGAGTCGGCCCCCAGGAATGTCATGGCCATGGGCTTTGAGACACTCTTCTTATGGGCCTTTCACCCAATCCAGACCTTGCCTGCTCTTCAGAGCTGCTTGAAGGATTTTGCTACAGAACTATGGACATTTAAGAAATGTCTAACCTTGTGTCAGTTTATATTTGTAGAACGCTTCATAAGGTGCTTTTCCATATGTTATCTCATCTGATCATTTCCACAACCCCATAAGGTAGATAAAACATAAATTTTTATTTCCGTATTAAAATTGAAGCCCAGAGGAGACTTTTGATTCATCCCAGGTTTCACAACAAAGAGTGTCAGGAAGAGAACTTGAACCAATCCTCTGACTTCACATTCAGGGTTCTTCCCATTACTTTGGCTCCCAGATAAGACTACAATCTTCTGAAAGTCAGAGTGTTAATATTCCAACCCCAGGGGGTGAGTACACTTCCAGAATTTAGGGATGCTTTAAAAGCCATTGCTGAATTGAATTTTATTTCTCCTGATCACTACAGATAATGCTCATGCAACTTTTCTGAGAAGCAGGCGATGCTAATGTACCCCTATTTGTTATTGTTCATTAGACCCTTCTTATGACTCAGTCAGAAGAGGAGCTTGGGGCAATAACATGAATTCTGGCCTCAACAAAAGTAAGTAAATGTTTTATAGTTCTTTGGAGGAAAGCATGTTTCTGAGGACAGGATTGGAGAACAGGATCATGAGACACAGGAGAGCAGCAAGCATTTGTTTCCCTGCTTTTTGAGTAGACATCAAAATTATTTGCCAATTTAGGGCCTTTCCATGATACCAGTCCTTGAAAGATGATATGGGATTTTCGTTTAGATTTTTGAGTTTTGTTTTATTGCGCTCGGTTTTAGAACATGGGAAATTTGAAGGTTTTCTTGAGACAAGGTTCTGTACCAATGAATGGTCACTGTCACTGGGTTTTGCTTTTGTTATTTAAATCAAGATAATGACTCTCTATAATTTTGCTCCCGTAACTGTTGAGGCTAAGTCGTACCAATTTCCCCATTCCCCTTGATACTGGGTAGATTTCCTCATATCATCATCTCACCACTTGGTGGAGAAATTGATGTCTCAGAACCCTGCCATCTCCTCAACAGGTTATCTTCTGTCCCTGATGAGGAGATGCCGGGGGGTCTGGGACATCAGGTTCTCCACCAAGTGGTGAGATGATGACATGTCGAAGTCTACCCAATATCCCCCAGTAAGAGAATAAGGGGCAAGAATGACTCATGAACTCCTGTACCAGAAATCAAACTTGCCATGCCTAGGAAGCAAAATATGAAGCACATGAACAGGTGGTAAAGGGAATTCTTTCAAGAAAGAGGTTGGGGTTACAAATTAATGCCCAAACAATAACCAAGACCCCTTCCAATTATGTGTATTAATTATTTACTTACTCTGCACATGACATTTGGCAATATAAGATTCACAAAGATGAATCAGACATGCACTGGTCCCATAAGCGGGAGAGAGAAATCAAGCACACACAGAACTCCTTTCTTCTGGTTGGTATCAAGGAAGGCTTTGTGGACCTGGTAGCACTTGAGTTAGCTCTGGAAGGAGAGGCAGGATTTGGACCTGTGGCGATATGGGCTGGGGAAGACATGAGCTTGGCATGTCTGACAGTCAGTGAGGACCTCAGGTTCCTGGAGCTTAGGATGTGTGATGCAGAAGAAGTCTGGAAAGGTAAGAAACAGAATTGTAAATGATGCTATGAAGATATGCCTTAGTTCTTTAGGCAATGAAGAGTCACTAAGGTTTTGAACACTGGCGTGTATGGTGGGTTGTGGGGAGACAGAAGAGTAATGAGGACACCAGTCAGACTAAGCCAGAAACCATGCAAGAAGCAATACAGATCTGTGATGCAGAAGTGATCATGGGAATGGAAGGGGTGTGTGAGAGATACCAAGGAGGAAACTCACAAGACAGGGACACCAGGAAGCAGCTGATCTTTGCTCAGATGTCACTTTCTCAGTAAGGACTTCTCTAACTTTCCGATTTGAAAATGAAATCCACAGCCTCAGTACCATCAGTGATGCTATACTGTTAGTTTACTTTTTAAAAATTTGAAAATGAAAAGGTGACATTTAAGCAAAGACAAAATTTTAAGAATTTAAAAATGTGTTTATTATTGTCTCTCCCATTGGAATGCGAGTTCTACCAGGAACTGCTTGTTCATTCCTGAATCTCCAGCCTGGAGAACAGGGCCAGCACATAGTAGATTCTAGGTAAATGTTTCTAAAATAAGATGAATAAATGAGTCAGTGGAGAGTGGGCGAAGGAATGAGTGAGAAAGCACATCTGTCAAGACGTCTTGCTCCCCTCGGGGAGCTGGGTCCTACTCACTGCATTTCTTTCCCTCTTGCCACAGGTCCTCCCCTTGGAGGGGCACAAACGATCAGTAAGAATACAGAGCAACGGCCCCAGCCAGGTACCTGCCCAGGATATGTAATCTCTCCTTTGCTTCCTGCACAGTTGTTGATTTCACATGGTCAACTGATGGAGGGTTTAAACAATATACCACATATGTTTTCTCTTATTTCTCTCAAAGAGGGTCTATCTTTGACCCTAATAGTCCTGTGAATGAAGTAACAGGTACTGACATCAAGTAGAGACTTGTTAAATATCAAAGGTGAAAGAACTTGAAGATGAACTATTCCAATGCTTTATTTTGTTCAATAAAGAAACTGAGGCCCGGGGAGGTGAAGTGACTTGCTAAAAACCATACAGCTGGTTAATGAAAGAAATAGGGCTACAATCCCAGATCCCCCAAATTCCTGTCCAAGCCTTTTATGCTTCACCAAACCTTACTTTCAGAAATATCCCCATCCTGTGATGAGTTGGCTTAACAATTAAGGCAGAGGAACTTTGAAAGCCATGGACCTGGAGACTCCGTATTGGAGAGGAACTTGGAGATTTCTGGGTCTATCCTACCCTCACCTCTACCTTACTTGTGCTTGTAGTAAAACAGGGCGTTGACTTTCTAGCTGGGCTCAGTTCCACTATCTGACCCAAAGTCTGCCTCCTGGAATTTCCACTCAAGCTTTTCCTTCTGGAGAAGCCTTCCTCCTGCTTCCTCCGAAATCCTTTGCATATCTGAAGACAGCTGCTGTGCCCAAGCCCCAGCTCCTCTCTCTATCTTCTTATGTGATGCAGCTGAGATGAAGTTCTGAACAAGTCATTTGCTTTGGGGTAGGCAAACATTGTTCCCCATCTCCACAGAAGGCAGAGCAAGAGAAAATCAACTGACATTTCACCTGGAAGGTTAAGAAAAAATTTGCTGACTGTGGATCATAAGTCAGATGTAGAGAGTTTTAAAGACTGTCCAATAACAACAAAATTATGCATTAGTCATCACCTGCCAAAAATAATTATCATATTAATGATGTGGATGAGAAAAGATGGTCTCAATGGGCTTAAGGACTTTTGAAGGTAATTTATGGTTCTAAGTAGAAACCCAAAAATCATAGTGATATTTTTAAAACTGCAATTATAGTTGAAAAATAGCAAAATTTTACAAAATACATGACAATTTTGCCAAGTCGAGACCCAGCTCTCTACCATGATTTCCTCAACTAACAAAAAAGGAGATAAACCTCTCACCTAAACCAGTATTGCAAAGACTTTTTCATGGCTAAATAAACACATACGTTTTGAGGAAAGTGAGATTTTAAGAATAGTCATTTTATAGCTAAAATGTACACTCTGGTTTGTGCTGACATTTCTGGCTTGTGTGACATTTCAAATCACAGAGTGTTATACTAGAAGAAAACTGAGGAATCCAGTAGCCCAACCCACTCATTTGTCAGATGAGAAAACTGATTCCCAGAAATTGTCCAACAAGTTATTTGTTTATCACATAGCTGCTGCTAAAACCCAGGCTGCTTGGTTTCTAGGCATGTGTTTTTCATGCTACATTTAAAAAAAAAAACAGATTAATAATGTTGTTAGTATTAGGTAGAGTTATTAAAGACCAGTAACCATGAGACCTGCTTTAAGCCCATGGAGTCAGCTGTCCGTTGTATCATTGAATATTATCCAGTTCCTTTCCAAATGTTTTCTTTGTTTTGCTTTGGGTAATGACAACATAATCTGCACATTTTAGATGCCAAAATAAGAAAAAGTAATCCTGTTCCTATTCTTTGTTCTTTCTGTAATTATTGAGATGAAGACCACAAATGTCATCAAGATCTTTGAGATCTGCAAATAAAAGCAGTAAAGTTTTCTGAAATCAGTCTTTCCTGTGATCTTGAAATAAAAGTATAAACCCTTATGGTTTTCTTATGGTTGGTACGGTTGTCATATTTTTTAAAAACACTGAAGCAAATTTCCTTTTTTATTTCCTTAGATCCGTATCAGATCCTGGGCCCGACCAGCAGTCGCCTAGCCAACCCTGGTGAGTTTACCTTGGCCTGCAAGCCTTTTTTGCCAGAATGTTTCGTAGCTTTGTGAAATCACAGAGACTTCTGTCCTAAGTCCAGACACCTGAGTGGGGAGTAACATGCACGTCTTTCCTTGAAATGTTCAATGTCTGTTTCTGGAGCATGTGAACAACAGGTCAGGGCTTGTTATGAGGTGTCAAGGTTGGTTAGCTGAGGATACTTCTAGGAATAAACACATCAGCACTGCACATGTGCACTTAGGTGTAGATGAGTAATAAGTGGCACAGGTAGGTAGGCGTTTCAATCAGAGAAAATGGGCAAGAAAGAAAAGAAGACAACTCCACTCAGCTCTCAGTTGTCTCCCGCATGCCAGGCACAAGTTCATAAATATTCCAAAGGGTTTTATTTGTGATTTTAGAAAGTGTTGCCAAGTTATCTGGCCTTATAAAAGAGATGTGTCCTGGAAAAGTTGCAGATATAGTCAATTTGACCTTGTACTTTAAAGATTTAGTATCAAAAATAACTCTCAAGAGGGTCCTTCTAAACCAAGTCCATCGAGATTGGGAGCTAGCAGGCCCTTGTCGCAGTGTGGCCCACTCACCTTCCCATCCCAGGGACTCTGCCTACCCATTCCTTAGTGCCTGGTCATTACTGCCAGAGGAGAAAGCAGCCACCCAGCATATTCTGGGTATTTTTCTCTCTGCACAAGTTCTCTGTAGAACTTAGAGCTGCAAGCCAAGCTCTGGGCCTGCCAAGGGCCAATCCAGGTCCTGTCCATCCAAAAGCTAAAGCTCATGGCGCAGCTTCTCCCAATGACTCCCACAGTCATGCCTTGCCCCTGACTTTTTATTGCTGACAGGGAATTCCCTGGGGGACATGACCACTAATTAGAGATCAGTCAGTGATTCAGGCCTTTCTAGATGAAGAGATTCAAAAGCCTTGCCAAAGGGATTGAGGGGGGATATGGCTCACCCAAGATCACACAGCTAGTTCTGGGCAGAGTTTGCACCTCACTTCCCACATTCCATTTACCAGGCCTTGGGGCAAAGCATCTTAGGATCTAACCTCGCTTATTATACCCATCTCCAAGGCAAGCAGAAAGGCAAATCAACAATGACATAAGAAGGGCTTGTCAAGTCGATCCCAATGTCGAAGGAAACAAAAGGTTTCTTTAAAAGGATGAGAAGCTCCCTGCATTTAGGGAACTGGGTTCTGCCTTCTCTGGGCTGAGGTGTTCTGTTCTCTCCCGTTTGCCTCACGGCGTGCAGGAAGCGGGCAGATCCAGCTGTGGCAATTCCTCCTGGAGCTGCTCTCCGACAGCGCCAACGCCAGCTGTATCACCTGGGAGGGGACCAACGGGGAGTTCAAAATGACGGACCCCGATGAGGTGGCCAGGCGCTGGGGCGAGCGGAAAAGCAAGCCCAACATGAATTACGACAAGCTGAGCCGGGCCCTCCGTTATTACTATGATAAAAACATTATGACCAAAGTGCACGGCAAAAGATATGCTTACAAATTTGACTTCCACGGCATTGCCCAGGCTCTGCAGCCACATCCGACCGAGTCGTCCATGTACAAGTACCCTTCTGACATCTCCTACATGCCTTCCTACCATGCCCACCAGCAGAAGGTGAACTTTGTCCCTCCCCATCCATCCTCCATGCCTGTCACTTCCTCCAGCTTCTTTGGAGCCGCATCACAATACTGGACCTCCCCCACGGGGGGAATCTACCCCAACCCCAACGTCCCCCGCCATCCTAACACCCACGTGCCTTCACACTTAGGCAGCTACTACTAGAAGCTTACTCATCAGTGGCCTTCTAGCTGAAGCCCATCCTGCACACTTACTGGATGCTTTGGACTCAACAGGACATATGTGGCCTTGAAGGGAAGACAAAACTGGATGTTCTTTCTTGTTGGATAGAACCTTTGTATTTGTTCTTTAAAAACATTTTTTTTAATGTTGGTAACTTTTGCTTCCTCTACCTGAACAAAGAGATGAATAATTCCATGGGCCAGTATGCCAGTTTGAATTCTCAGTCTCCTAGCATCTTGTGAGTTGCATATTAAGATTACTGGAATGGTTAAGTCATGGTTCTGAGAAAGAAGCTGTACGTTTTCTTTATGTTTTTATGACCAAAGCAGTTTCTTGTCAATACACGGGGTTCAGTATGACACAGAATCATGGACTTAACCCGTCATGTTCTGGTTTGAGATTTAGTGACAAATAGAGGTGGGAAGCTTATAATCTAATTTTAGGAGGACCAAATTCAGTGGATGGCAACTGGAACATTGATTGTAAGGCCAGTGAAGTTTTCACCCAACTGGAATTTGATGGAAAGAAGGTTTGTGTGTTTAAGACGCCAAGGGCATTGCAGAATCCCTCTCAGTGGACAGTATGCACTCAGCTGACCACTCTCTCTAGAAATAGTCAAGATATGAACTAAGAAATTTTAATGCAAATACATACATTCCTGAAAGACGGGGAATTAAATTACTAATTTTTTTTTTTTTTTAAATGATGACAGTGGTCCCAGAACTTGGAAAAGTTGTAGGGATTTCTAAACTCAAGCAGATTCGCAAGTGCTGTGCGCTTGTCAGACCATCAGACCAGGGCCAACCAATCAGAAGGCAACTTACTGTATAAATTATGCAGAGTTATTTTCCTATATCTCACAGTATTAAAAATAAATAATTAAAAATTAAGAATAAATAAACGAGTTGACCTCGGTCACAAAAGCAGTTTTACTATCGAATCAATCGCTGTTATTTTTTTTAATGTAATTTGTACATCTTTTTTCAATCTGTACATTTGGGCTGTCTGTATGTTTTTATAGCTGGTTTTTAAAAAGCATAATATGCCTATAGCTGAAAAGGAAACAGGGCTGTTTAAGTCACTGACTTATGAGAAAGCAAAGCACTGGTACAGTTATTTAACAGGCATACACAAGCAGGGAAAAGATAATCCATTTAGATCTTTAATGCTTTGGAAATGCGTGTAACAGTACTGCAATAATCACAGCTCTGGGAAAAACAACGAAACTTTCCCTTGTGGAGAGGAGGGATTTTCCTGCTCTATATAAGCAACATATTTTTAGACATTAAAATATATATAATTTTGCAGGTAATTGTTGACTTTTTTAACTATATTAAGTGTTAAGCTGACAACTGTCAAAGAAGACCATGTTGTAAAATAATTTGACTAAATAAATGGTTCCTTCTCTCAGTGCTGAGGACAGTTTTCTTATTTACCGCCCCCGTTAGGTCAAAGGGTTTTCCCTGGGGAACTTTCCTATTTACTTCTTGCACTATCAAGAATTTTTCGAATGTACCTACTGCAGTACAGCAGAAGGTAAAAAATCAGTGTGGTTTTTCATTGTTGTTGATGATGTTTGTAGTGTTTTTGTGTGTGTTATTTAAATCTTCCTCCAGCCTAAAAGGGTTTTATAAAACAGCAGCTAAGGCCATGGATAAACCTGTATGTAAGGACTGGAGCAAAGCGAGCTGGTCTATCCAGACTGGTCTGTGAGATTTAACTCTGCAGCCTCCCCTGGGCACTTCAGACCCAGACGGCCACCTTCTGCCACTCCAGCAAAGAATAAGCGCCCTGCTTCCTTCAGGTCTCAGACCAGGACTTTATGGCTCATGCAGATTTTTAAGGTCATTTTTCTTCCCAAGGAAGAAACTTGCCTCCAGTTCCTTCACTGTTAGGTAGCTTATTTTCATTTTCTCTATTTTACAATGAAAAGAGTGAGACCTGGGAAGTCCTTGATTTGCAAGGAATTAGACTCACAGCATTGGTAACCCTAGAACCTTCTTAGGGTAACACTAAGTACCTTCTAGACAACATGTCTACCTAAATGAAATGGGATGTGTTTCGGAACATTTGTCTCCAGTTTTTTTTTAATCTTGCACCCTGCCATTTAAAAAGATGTGTAAAGCACATATTCTCAACATATGCACATTGATTTATAAATCATATATACAAACTGTTACATTATTCTTCATATTAGAAAACAAATACAAAATAGAACATTTTAAATGGTGATATAAAAATAAATTGAAACTGAAATTCTACTCTTTTCCTCCTATTTTCTCTATATTGAATATCCTCTGCTATTAACTCTCAAAACAAAGATGTTGGTCTTTAGTGAAAAAAGTGTATGCATGTACTGGATTTCTAGTGACTTCCAAGAAAGGAGAAAATTAAAACTTGGTATTAGTGGCCCAAGCATAGAAAGAGGAATGATGAAGGCCAGGTATGTTTAAGAACAAACTAGCTGAATTCTTTGGCAGATCTCCATCTTAGCCACGCAATTTCCCCATCAATTTTGAAATCTGCAAAGTATTCATTAGGGAAAATGGAGGCATATATTTCTGAGTGCTGTAAGAAGATGCTCAGCCCATTAGTTCATTCTTTTAAAGGTTTTCTTTATGTGTCCTACTCAAACACTGGCTCAGGCTCATCTTCTCTACACAGTCATAGAGCTTTAGCCAAATCTCGCCCCCTGAATATGTTCCACAGTGATTTGTCCTATGCCTCAGAAGCTGGCCCACTGGCTGACAGGACTGGGGCACCATTTTCTCCTCATAAGCATTTGTACAGAGGGGGCACTGGCATTTATTCCCCTGCAATGCCCAGATTGAACGTTTGCTAGCTGGCTCCAGGGCATGCAGCGGACTAGTCCCAGAGGACAAACAGAATCTTTGCCCTCCTGTCTGCTAGTCCAGTCTTTTCCCTGCTGGATCATTCTGTGCCTGTGCCATGAGGTTTCTGCCATCTAACAAACAGTGCCAGCCAAGCAAAGCGGGCATGCAGGCCTGCAAGTGGTTCTCATGGAAGCTGTTCCTCCCCACAGTTTGGGACACTGACCAACAGTCCTTTAGCAGGAGGTCGTCTTAGTCCATTTGGTCTGCTATAACAAACTACCATAGACTGGGTGGCTCATAAAAACAGGACTTTATTTCTCACAGTTCTGGAGGCTGGGAAGTCCAAGATCAAGGTGCCAGCAGATTCAGTGTCTGGTGAGGGCCCTTGCCTTGGTTTATAGAGGGAACCTTCTCACTGTGTGCTGATATGGTGTAAGGAGCAAGGGAATGCTCTGGGGTCTCTTTCATAAGGGAATTAATCCCACTCTTGAGTGCTCCACCCTCATGCCCTAATCACCTCCAAATACCTTCACATTGGGGATTAGGTTTCAGCATATGAATTTGGGAGAAGGGACAGACACAGTCAGTCTATAGCAGAGGTCATCTTTTTTCAGTGTCGAAAAATGTTGTTGAGTCCCACACAAAGGAAGTTCTATTTTATTTTATTTTATTTTATTTTATTTTATTTTATTTTATTTTATTTTATTTCTGGAGATAGGGTATCTCTATGTTGCCCAGGCAGGTCTCAAACTCCTGGCTTCAAGCAATCCTTCCACCTCAACCTCCCAAAGTGTTGGGATTACTGGCGTGAGCCACCACACTGGGCCTATTTTCAATATCTGTTATTTTAAAACATTTTTAATAGTCAACAGCCACTAGAAAATGTAATGACACTTAAAAAGATTGTTATTTTACTTAACCAATAACATCTGCATGCAAGTGAGCGATGAACATACACAAAGGGAAATGGATTAAGAGGTTCTCAGATAAGGTTTGCTAGTTTAGACCAAATGAGATCAGGAGGTTCTAGAACACAAGGGAGGAAAGCAGCATCTGTCCACCCCAAGCCAAGTTACTGCCAACCCAAGGCAATGCTTAGTGGATAAATAAAAACCTGAACAAAATGCAGTACTTCATGTGAGAGGTGGTTTCTGTGGACTTGGATTCTTACCGTATTTCCTCTAATATCTGTTCATTACAAGCATCATGTAAACCTGTTGCCTTAAAAACTCTTGAAAAGGTGTCCTTTGGGGGAATGTGCTTGGGGGAAGCAACCCTTAAGCATGGCTGTCTGCTGCCCAGCCCCACTCCCACACCTTGCTCAGAAGTTCCTCCACCATCAACAGCACCACTGAGCTTGTGTCCAGAAGGCCCTCAGGGGGTCGAGGTAAGAGGATGCTTTGTATCAGTGGGGGCAGGGATGGGAGAGGTAATAAGAGCCGGGATGGGGGCCAGGGGAGTGACTGGGTTCTGGTGAGCATACAGAAGCTTTGCTGTTATTCAGGAAGGAATGCAGGTTTTGCAGAAAGCACATTGGGCATTTCATCACGTAGAAAGCTACTGAAACTGACACTACACGCCCTCAGCCAGGGAGTCCCGCTAAGGGATTATGAAAGGCAGGCTGATACCAAAACTACAAATCCCAGGCTCCCCCGGGGGATGGACACTTGTGAGAGGAAGTGGGTTAGCCAGTCAAACCTCCAGGGTTTCAGCCAGTTGAGAAAGGATAGGGAGGGAAGTTTTAAAAGGAATGTGGGCCCACAAGCCTGGGATCTGTCTCTCTCTCTCAGTCTGATGCGGCCTCCTGTCTAATTGTTTCAGTCTGTCCGAGCTGGTAAATCCCTAAGCACATAGTCAATTTACACTCAGCTTAAAAGCTCTAGAGGGAGACAGGAAAAATTTCCAGTGAGACCACTCACTCACCTACAACTGCTAGATTAACCTTCTGCATTTTAACTGAGTTAACTCATATGTTTTCTTAGTGGGAGGAAAGAGGCAATTTGAGTAGACAAATGAAAATGAATACAATGCCAGAAACCCTGGGTTCAAATGCTGGCCCTTCCACCTACTGGGTAACTTGTCTTCATCGATTAACTAGGACCTGAGTTATACCTCCTGCATGAGTTTCTGTGAGGCATCGGACGACAGTGTGGAAAACCCATTGTAGACTGCTGTACAGGAGGTTTATGGATAATCATCGTTGTCTGCTAGTATTGGCTAGTATTTTTCAAGAACATTCATTAAGTCCTTGGTAGCTGGTGGGCACCCTGTTTGGGGAGTTCAGTGCAGGGTCATTTTTGTTTTGTGGTCAGAAAGACATTTTCCAAATGGGTGCAAAGTAGAAATAAGTTGGGTTTTCCAGAGAGTCTTTGCATTTTCCCCATCCACGGCCCTCCCAGTGCCCCACTTGGGCTTTTGCCCTTCCTTGGCTCTATGTGTGCACCTAAAGCCAGGGGAGCGTGTGGCCAAGCTGCAGGATGTTGCAAATAAAATGAGATTTTATAAAGGAATGCTAAAAATGTGCTTTCACAGCAATGTTGGATGGGATTTTTCAATCGGCTAAGAAATAGAGGTTGGGAGCTGGGATTTTATGCCCGGCAAGCTCGGAGCTTGATTTTTCCATCTATAAAATGAGGATGATTTAATAACTGTACAAGAGTATCACTGGAGTTAAGTAAGATAGTGTACATAAAAATGCTCTGTATGTTGAAAAGAACTAGGAAACTGCAAGATTTCCTAGGTATTATTGCCAAGGTCTTACTGTCTTCATCGAGAGGCAACTCCTCTTTACCTTCAAAACTCTGTACAGGTCTCTGTTCCTCTCTGATCTAAGATAGAGTGAAGCCACACTATTCTATTCTATTCTATTCTGTATTGTGAATATACATTGTGATTTTTTAAAAAACTGTAAAATCTTGAAATAGTCACAAACTTCCAGAAAAGTTAGAACAGTACGACGAACAATTTTTAGTGAATCATTTAAGAGAAATTTGCCAACCATGCTTCATCAACCCCAAATGCTTAAGGGTATATTTCATTTAAACAACAACCTTTTCCTACATAGTCCAGTATAATCAAGAGAATCGAATAACTAATGCAAGCGGATTACTCCTATGTAATCCCGAGGCACCATGCACTGTTGGCTGATTGTCACCACTGCAGTCTTTTGGAGCAAAAGGTTCCCATTCTAAAACACTGATTGTGTATAGCTGTCATCTACCATTAGTCTCCCTCGGTCTTTCAGGTCTGTGACAATTTTGAATATGACAGGTCAGGTATTCTGTAGAATGTTCCCCAATTTGGGATTGCTGGTATCTCTTCGCGATTGGATTGAGCCAAGGCTTTTCTGAGAGGACCATCGCAGAAGTCATGCTGCCTTCCTCTCCTGTATTCCATTGCATGGTACATCATTTCAACGTATCCCGTTATTGATGAAGTTCACTCTTTGTTTAAGGTGGTGCCTCCCAGCCTTCTCCTTTGAAAAGTTATTCCTTTACCCTTTGTAATTAATAAGTATTTTGCGGAGGTTTACTTTCAAAATATGTAAATATCCCATTCAACATCAAATTGCAAAGTATTCATTCATTTATTTATATCTCTAAGACTCATGGCTCTCTATTTTATTGAGTGGATATGATCTGTTCTTTAATGATTACATTGTCCCAATGGAAGGATATTCACGCTGGCTTCTGTCTCCTTTGACATGTTCCCATCAGTCTTTAAGTGCTTCCTTACTTTCTCGCACAACAACTTATTTTGGAGTTTCTGCCCTAGCCCTGGAATTAGTCATCTCCTCATGGATTCCTAGTTCTTTTTAGTGGAAAATGCTATTTAGAACCCAATACCTGGGGGATAGATGTGCCAATTGCTAATGGGGTGTCCCTGCTCCCAGGCTCCCTCAGTGTACAGAGCCAGGCAATAGACGTAGATACATACATACACATATATTATGTATGTATGTATGTGACTATATGCACTCACGTACATACATACATATACAGTCATGCCTTCCTTAATAACGGGGATACATTCTGGAAAATGTGTCCTTAGGTGATTTTACAGTTGTGAATATCATAGAGTGTACTTCACACACCTAGATAGAACAGCCTATGACACACCTAGGCTACATGGTACAGCCTATTGCTCCGAGGCTACAAACATGCACGGCATGTTACTCTACTGAATACTGTAGGTGACTGTAATACAATGGGAAGTATTTGTGTATCTAAACATGGAAAAGGTACAGTAAAAATATGAGGATAAAAGTTAAAAAATGGTACACCTGTATAGGGCACTTACCATGAATGGAGCTTGCAGGACTGCAAATTAATCTAGGTGAGTCAGTGAGTGAGTGGTGAGTGAATGTGAAGGCCTAGGACATAACTGCACACCACTGCAGACTCTGTCAACATTGTACACTCAGGCTACGCTAAATCTACAAAACCTTTTCCTTTCTTCAATAATAAATTAACCTTAGCTTACCGTAATTCTTTATAAAGTTCTAAATTTTTTAACTCTTTTACTCTTTGGTAATAACATTTAACTTAAAACACAAACACATTGTACAGTATAAAAATATCTTCATATCCTTATTCTATACACTGTTTTTATTTAAAAAAATATTTCGTTTTACTCCTTGAAATTTTTGTTAGAAATGAAGACATGAATTCATATTTAGCCTATATCCTGCCTGAGGCTGTTTTACAGTTAACTTTCTAAACATGTAAGTAGGCATTATCTACGTATATCTAAAATCTATCATTCTAAAATAATGATAAAAATCTATCATTTTAAAGTAATGATACATAAACAGTAACATAGTTGTTTACTATCATTATCAAGAATTACGTACTCTACACCTGCTAGACTTTCATAGACCGTCAGGGAAGTAGGTTTGTTCACATCAGCGTCACCACAGACATGAAGATTGCATTGCACTTCCACAGGGCATGAGCACCGATGTCACTGGGTGATGGGAATTCTTCACCTCCTTTATAGCCTTGTGGCACCACCATTGCATATGGGGTCTTTCACGGACCTAAACATCTTTATGCAGTGCATGACTGTATATGCTTATACATTTATATCTATATTTATTTCTGCTATCTATATGACTATGCATATACATCTATTTCTGTATTTATTTCTACTACCTATCTATATTGAAACCCTGAGTTCACTCAGAAGCATTCATTTCTAATCCAACACTGGATGTTGATTCCCCTTTTGTGTCTGTAATTCCTTTATTTGACAGTGAAAAGAATGGTTTCCATTAGACATCCTATAAGCCCTTCCTTGTCAATCCTTCTGCATGCACCCGGTCTTCCATCTCTGCTGCACCCCTCACCTCCATGCAACGTGTTCATCTCCCTGCATTGGCCCTAAACTCCCATCCAGGCCACCCCACTGCATGGGCACCCTCCTCACCCCACCCCAGGCAGTGCCTCTGTGTGGATGTTGTTCTCACCCTGTTCAAGCTCTGATGCCCCAACCCAGGCAACGCCTCCACAGGCAAACCCTCCTCAACCAGCTGTAGCCCTGACAGCCAGGACAGGCTGCACGCCCTGCGTCCCATGCTCTCTTTACTCCACTTGGGCACTAACACTTCCCATCAGGACGCGCCACACGGAAGCCCTTCTCACCCCGTTCAGGCTCTGATATCACTACCCCCTGACACCTGCCTTGCTGTGCTGCACCCATGGCTCCTGCAGTCAAGACTTCAGTGGGAGGGGGAGGAAGAGGGAAGGAAGGGGAAGGAAGAAGGGAAGATGCGTGCTTACACATTTACAACAGCACATATCTCATTGGGTGTGTGTATGTGTTGCCCATGCATGGCAAAAAGGGACCACAAGATCCATTAAACTGTAGTTTTGCCTGCTTCCATATTCTCTCTCTCACACACACACACACACACACACACACACACACACACGCACACACCCTTGTGCCTTTTGAGATGCAGAATCTGGCAAGCAGTTAGAGAAAGGAGAGAAAGAGATGAAGGAGTAGTTAACCAGAGAGGCTAACAAGATAATAATAAGGAACGAGGCACAGACAAGTGGAGAAAATGAAATGTTAAAATCTTGTTTTAGGTGTGCAGGGGAGAAATTGGAAGTGTGGCTGGTAAGGATGAAAAAGCAATGTTCTGGGTTATAACGTTAATGTTTTTGATAGAGGCTGGGGTGAAGAATGCATGGCTTTTTAATTATTTTTGGTTGTTGTGTTCTGTCAAGAGAGAGTAATACAAGACCCCAGGATCTATTTGTATCTGAAGTCTGTGTCCTCCATTAGACAATAAGGGAATGAAGGGCAGAAACTTTGTCTAACTCTTTCTTTATAAGCCAGTGCCTGGCTTCTAGAAAGATCCAGAACATGTCTATTTGTCAAACTACACCTACTGGACAAAACGTGTCCAAACCCAATACAGCTGCCCAGAAATTCTGAGGGAAGCATGAGCTGTCCGTTCTGCTCAGTTACTGTTAATTCCGGAAATACACAGAGAAAATAAAAATCACGGAAGATGCAGTTAAAGTATGGAGCTAGACCACTGTTAAAACTTGCCAGCAATTTTTACCAATCCAATCTTTGGTGTTAATTGGTTTCCCCAGAAGATGCAATATCTCTTTCCCCACTGATGATTATATTGCCCAGAGCCGCTGGCTTTCAGAAATGTTTAATCAAGCATTGCATATATTCAAGCAATACTTTCCAGACACCTCAGCTTTTCTTGACAGCGTTACCTTCCTTCGCTCTTTCTTTGTCTCTTTTAGGAACATCAAATCATCCAGTGATTTTCTGCATAACTCAAAGTTTTGTCATTTAGAAAAAAAATCATAACAGAACAGATAACCATTAGGAAATCAATTTGCATCAGACATCCATTTGAGAAGTTTAAAATGTGGGGAATGCAAACTCTACCCATAGGGACTTAGTCTGTAGGGAAGAAATATGAACTTGCCACTAATTTCTGAAAAGCAAAATTAATTCAGTTATAGCTAGATCTGCCTTCATAAGGATATTTCTGATGCTTCTCAGCCTGTTCCTTTTATACTGAATATTTACAAACTTCAGTGATCACCTGATCAGAATCCAAGACACAAAACTCAAATGAATCCAATTTTTCAAGTGGCTTCAACCCAGCAACCAAATCATAGGGCTGCCATTTGTGCTCAAAGCCAACACTCCAAGGTTTTGTGTAGATGAGAATGAAGAGGGAGAAGGCGAGAAAAGAAGCCATTTCCTGCCGGGGGCGGTGGCTCATGCCTGGAATTGCAGCACTTTGGTAGGCTGAGGCGGGTGGATCACCTAAGGTCAGGAGTTCAAGACCAGCCTGGCCAACATGGTGAAACCCTGTCTCTACTAAAAATACAAAAATTAGCTAAGCGTGGTGGTGCATGCCTGTAATCCCAGCTATTCAGGAGATTCAGGAGGCAAAGGCAGGAGGATCGCTTGAATCCGGGAGGTGGAGGTTGCAGTGAGCCGAGATGGCACCATTGTATGCCAGCCTGGGCGACAGAGTGGACTTGGTCTCAAAAAAAAATAAAATAAAATAAAAAATAAAGGTGTTTCCATCCCCACAAAGAGCTATGTCACCAAAGACACAGGCACCCCCTATGACGTCCTGCTCATTTAGGAAACCCATATTCCTAGAAGATCAAAGCCCATTACCTCTGGGGAAGTTTGTTTAATTCCGGGAGGGATATTATGGGCATTTGTGGAGTTTCCAGAAAACTCAAAAGAGCCATAAAAATCGTATTTACATACAACATTCATCTAGGTTAAATTTCTTTGCAAGAAGTGTCTAATTCTCAAGAGATCAGCTATTCAGCTTGCTGGGAGCTAATTACAAATGGTCCCTTAGCTTTGCTCAGTCAACTGGCCAAAAGGCAACGGAGAGGAAATTGGAGTTAAGACAACTGCAGTTGGTCCCTGGAGGGAGCCTATTCTACTGCCAGCATTCTGGCTAATCAGAATGGATACAGATGGACAAGTATCCTTTATGCATGAGGGCCTGCTGGTTTTCCTGGGCGAGAATATGACAGAAAGTCGGGGGGCTGATGCTGGGTTTCCAGGAAATCAGCTTAATGATATTAATGGAAAAATATAGTTTAGCAAGAGACATAGCAAATCTAGGTGAAAACCGTCTCTCACTAAACCCTGAACCATTCTGATCTCTGAGAAAACGGAAAGATTGGCCTAACCATGGAATTTCCTGGTCTTGGTGGATTTATAACTGAAGCTTCAGCAGATGACCCGAGCCATAACTGCTGGCTGCACAGCAAATTCAATTATCCCAAATTCCAACACACCTCCCCTCTTCCTGCCCCTCACCCCTTTCTTATCATAATCTTTTCTGGGCCATCAACCCCCACTGGGTTGGCTGAGCCCAAGTTTAATTTCTCTGCAAGCTCTGAACTAAGAATCGATGCTGAAGACTTCTCATCGAGGAAGAAAGCCACATTCTTCATGGAGAGCAGTGACATAATTTCAGACCCAGCCTGGCCTAACCAGTACAAAGAGTTAGTAAATCAGTCCTGTCCCCTTTTTTCTAGCCATCTCCAAGGACAAAGAAAACAGCATTAGGATACACAAAGTAATTTTTCTAACAGCATGGAGGCCCTTACTGTTAATGAAGGGAAACTTTTGAAACAGTTTTATCTGCTGAGGTTTTAATCACCATAATGCATACCACATACCTATCATTGGTCTCCCCGCTCTCAACCTGGCCACATATGGTCAGAGAACATCCCTTCATTATTTAGAGTGGCTTCATAGAAGATGGCTCCTTTGAGTTGATAGGCATTCATGCAGGCTTCCTGGAATACTGGGAATTTACTGTCAAACAGCCATGGCAATGAGGGAGACAGGAACCTCAGGAGAACAGGAACTCTTGGAGGGACAGCCTCCTGGCGCTGGAACAAAAAAGTTACCAGTGTCCAAAGTGGCAGGTGTTCCTGGGTTCCCATGACTAAGGTCCCTTCTCACAGCTTGCCACTGGTGGTTCATCTCACTATCATCTTGCCTCAATCTCTCCGTATTTCCCAGTTAAAATGTTTGAGCGGGAAGATCTGGTTTGCCTAGAGAGTTACTGCCAGTGAGGTACCCTAATGGGCCAGCCTAGGCCACCCCTATGGCCAAAATCAGGACAGCACCGAGTGAGAGGCCACCTAGGACAGCATCTCCCCAGAGTGGCCCCACTGTCCAGGACTTACAGGTATCCATGCTTCACCCAGAAATCTTATGTTATGGAAAGTCAGCCAATGTCATCTTAGAGAAGGATGCTACATCGCCACTGGGCCTAGGCTGAAAGGCGGCCTTTAGGAACTAACACCAAGTACTATCGATTTTCATTTAACCCTCGTAACAGCCCAATGAGGTGGGTATTGCCCATCCCAGTTCATAGTTGAGGATTCCGAGGTTCTGAAAGGACACTAGCAGGTGGACTTGGAACCTGGCCTGCCGGCTCCACCCCTGAGATGTTTGGCACTAGCAGCACCTTCTGACTCTTGGCCTTTTCTGCCTGCTCCACGGGAGACAGACGACCCCGGCAGAGAGCTGCCTCCACCACAGAGCTGAAGCACAAAGCCCTTCACAGTTTCCAAGGCCTTTCTTTCCTGTAACATTCGTCACTGCCCATCGTACCCACTGGCTTAATGTCTGTCTCTCTCCACTGGAAGGAGGCTCCACGAGGGCACCGCTCTGGTTTTCTTCCCTGGTGATCCCAGCACCTAGAAGGACGCCCGCCCGCTGCCTGTGCTCAGATACATTCTCAAATGAACAGCTCTCCTGTGACAAGGACACGTTCGGTCCCCACTTTACAAGTAAGGGACACGGCCTCTCAGCAACTCCGGGACTGGAGGGCTAGGGCAGTCTGGGATGCCTCATCCTGCAATGGAGTCCGCCTATGACAACGTAGAAGCTCTCTGGGAGGAAAAGGGAAGCGGTTTGGGAGTTTCTAGAAGTCTACCTCTGCAGCAACATTTGGCCAACCAAAGAAAGGTTTTCGATTTGTTTTATTTTGAGAAAGGTTCCTGGAAGACCCCCCCACCCCACCCAGGGTGGAGACGTCCACCTGGCAGCGCCTCGGCCCAGCTCCGGCCTGACCACCCAGGTTCATCTCCCCCTGCCCGCCGCCTCCCACCCCCCGCCAGGCCCCTCCTCCAGCCGTCTGTGAATCCAGCCCATTTAAAATTCCCTTTGAAAAGATCTCTGTTTGGGTGAGTTCCGTGGGCTCTGCCCAGAGAGGGCAGATTATCTGAAAATAGGTGTTATTGATTACAACCAAGTGGTCTTTGTGGAAAGGGTTCCACTTGAACCAAAATAAATATTTGCCATTACAAAGAACAAGCCGGTCCCTGTTGCGGGCGGGGGCGTCCTCGGCCCTCTCTGGCCCCCTCGGCCCAGGAGCTACGCGAGCTCGGATTGTGTTTCCCCGGCGAGGACAGGGACGCGCGCGGGCGGGGAGCAGGGGCCCGGTGGCTCCGACGCCGGAGGCTTGCGGCCCAGGGCCGGCTGCAGGCTTGAAGCCTGCTCGGAGCTTGGGATTGTATTTTCTTTGGCTTTCTGGCGCGCTCCTTATTATTTATTTCTTTTCCCTCTGTTTTATTTTTATTTTCAAGCTGCCGGCCAGGCTGGATGCCGTCCATTCACCCCGCTGCCTTGGAGCGCTGCGCGCAGACAGCCGGAGCCGGCTCGGGCTCAGCCCTGGGGGTGGGGGGCAGCCGAGGGCGCGGGGGGCGGGGTACGCGGGTAGCAGCTCAAGGGTGAGGGGCAGCCGAGAGCGCGCGGGGCGGGGTACTCCGGGAGCAGCTCCGGGTGGGGGGCAGCCTTGGGCACAGGGAGGTGGGGGGAACTCAGGGGGCAGCTCCGGGTGGGGGGTGGCCGAGGGCGTTGGGGGCCGGGGGATACAGGGGACAGCTCGGGAGCAGCCGGGTGGGGGTGGCCGAGGGCGCGGGGAGCAGCTTGGGGGTTGGGGGCAGCCTTGGGCGAGGGAATGTTGGGGGACGCAGGGGGCAGCTCGGGTGGGGGTGGCCGAGGGTGCTGGGAGCCACAGGGGGCCGAGGGCTGGGGAGAACAGGGGCACCGCGGGGTTGGAGGGAGGACGCCAGGCTGTGTGCCTGCCTGGCTGGGGCGACAGGAATCCATCTTGGCAGTGGGTGCCTCCGCGGTCCAGGGATCTCGTGACCCGGCAGTAACAATTTGGTTTTCCTGAAAAGATGATGGTAATTCGGTGTAAGACCTGGGGGTAGGAGGCAGCTGAAACTTGGACCCCCACTGGAGTCCCCTTCTTCCATTCTTTTCTCCCTGCTTTGTGCCCAGGGGGAGCACAGACCTTCCCCTCGAGGGTGCTCGTGGGCGGCATCCCGCGGGAGCCGGAGCCTCTGAGAGGTCTCCTCCTGCCCCTGGAGATCCCACCCTCACCTCTCTGGAGCCACTGGTGGATGGCGGAGTGGCGGGGTGGGGGATCTATGGAGAGAGTGGGATCCCCTTCTCTGTTAGTGTGGAGACTAGAGGCTTTGGGGAGCCACCGTGCCCCCGCCCCCAGCCAGAGTGGATTGTCCAGGGCCCGGTGTGGAGGGCTAGAGGCTGAGAAGGAGGGAGCAGGAAGGCCTAATTCCGGTGGCTCTAGAAGGCAGACAGGAAAAGCTGGGGTCAGAAAGAAGGGAGAGGGGGAAACAAAGAATGTGGAGTAAACCGTTCCTGCCAAGTGCGGATCACCGGAGAGCTGAGCAGCTGGGCTGATGGAGTGGGAGAGGGATGGACAAAGAACTACAGCTACCAGGACCTTGTGTCATACACAGGACCCGGCTTCCCCCGCTGGGCTACAAATCACAAACTCCTTCCTAACCCCAGCTTCCTCTTACATGGCTGAAGAAGGCATTCCTGGTGTTTTTGGCTTTCTGGCGCGTTCCTTATTATTTATTTCTTTTCCCTCTTATTATTTATTTCTTTTCCCTCCGTTTTATTATTTCTCTCTCTGCCTCTGTCTCTGTTTGGCAACTATTTCCCTCCTCCCCAAATCCTGGCAAGATCTACCATCAGCCCAGTGTGCATGGGCAGCCTGCCCCAGGCCAGCCCCTTAGAGCCAGGATGACTTTCCAATGAGAAGGGACCCCAGGGCATGGAAGGACCCTGGCATGGAAGGAGGAGGAAGGACTCCTCTCCGTGGAGGCTTCAACTTCCCCCTGGGAAGTCACTTCCGGTAGGAAAACCTGGCTCCCTTACCCCTGTTTCCTCCAAGCCACAGCTAATGCGGAATAGTTACTGACCTCCCATCCCAGCATGAGGTCCGCCTAAGCGTGGGAAGTGGAAAGTGTCCTGTAAAGGTGGAAACTTGTCAGCAGCCTCAGCAGGCAGAGCAGGGCCTAGGGTTGTGAGGAAGAGATGGCTCTGCAGAAGACGATTGCTCTTTGCAGCTAGGTTCTGGCAGTCCCTGCACCAACCTATGAACACATTGGGTGGCAACCAAAAGCAGATAATTTTAGAGCTAAAAGTGACCTTTAGGGGCATGTAATCCACCGGTTCCACCACTTATTGTAAAACCAGAGTCCAGCTAGATGTGCTGGCTTACACCTGGAATCCCAATGCTTTGAGAGGCTGAGGCAGGAGGATCACTTGTGGCAGGTGTTCAAGGCTGCAATGAATTATGATCATGCCACATTGCATGTCAGCCTGGGCTATGGAGCAAGAGGCCCACTCAAAGAAGCACCAAAAAACCAGAAAACAAAACAAAATAACAGAGACCGATGTCCAGGTCTTTGGAAACCCCCAGGGCACCAGAAAATCCTGACTCCAGGGGTCAGCAGAGGGGCCCAGGGATTGTATCCACTGCTGGGCCCAACGGATATCCCCTGCTAGGCCCGAAAGATACCCTCAGTGGTGAGCTGGTAAATGTTAGCAGCTGGCCCCTGAGGGGGGGCAAACATGGGTGATACAGTTTGGCTGTGTCCCCACCCAAATCTCATCTTGAATTGTAGTTCCCGTAATCCCCACATATCGTGGGAGGGACCTGGTAGGAGGTAATTGAATCATGGGGACGGTTACCCTCATGCTGTTCTATGATAGTGAGTGAGTTCTCACGAGATCTGATGGTTTTACAAGGAGCTTTTCCCCCTTGGCTTGGCAGTTCTCCTTGTGCCACCCTGTGAAGAAGAATATGTTTGCTTCCCCTTCTGCCATGATTGTAAGTTTCCTGAGGCCTCCCCAGCCATGCTGAACTGTGAGTCAACTAAACCTCTTTCCTTTATAAATTACTCCGTCTTGGGTATGTCTTTATTAGCATCATGAGAACAGACTAATACAGTAGGCCCTGAGTGATCACATTTGCCGATTCCCAAGACATAAGCTTTCCGCCACCACTGGTGTCAGGGTGCCAGCATGACACTGAATCCAGAGCTAGGAAAAGATGCACCCATCAGCTCTTTACAGGAATGGTCCCACCCCCTAGGGGCCACAAAACTGAAGTGACAGCTCCTTGGGGACAGAGCCAGGAGAGGATTCTGGATCCAGGGGCCTTCCCCACCACACTGCACTGCTTCCTAGTTAGTCACTGCCCTCTTGCTTAGCAGAAATCATGACCAAGTAGCTCAGGGATGGCCCTGGTCAAAGGCAGGGCCAGAATGAAATCAGGAAGCTGAACAAGAAACAAAAGCACAGTCGGTCTTTCCTTCCTCTTCACTTTGCAACAGAGGCCTCAAGAGTGTGGGTGACCAGGTAGAAGGAGAGAGCCTTACTGCCCACGCTTGTGTTCTCCGAGGGGAAAGTGGAAAAGGCAAGAGAATGATTCTGGGAAGTGGACATAGAGTATTGGCAAAACTCAGAGGCCACAGAGACAGCATTCTTGCCAGCTGGCCTGAGCCGATTCCACCCAGGGCCTTGGAGGTGCGGTGGCAGTGCTGTAATGGGCGTGGAGAAATGGGTGTGGAAAGCAGGGTCAACTTGAGAGAAATGGGGCAAAGAGAAGACTGTGCTTTACTTTTTTGTGTTTCATTCAGAGCCTACCATAAGAAAACCCCAGAAATTGAGTTCACATGAAAACTAGTTAAAAAACAAAAGCTAAGATCCTGCGGAGCTTGGAGGTTCGGAGGTGGCTGCTATTTGGAAACTCCCCTTGCATGGAGTCAGGTGGCTCATTGTTCAGGCTGCCGTCTGTTCTTCCTCACCTGCAGCTCCAGTTCGTGGAGTTGTAGGATGATAGGATTCATTTTAGAGATGAGAGAACCAGAGACCCAGAAAGGTAACATCTTCTTCCCAGATTGCACTGCTATTTACTGGAATTCAAATTTACCAGATCTAATCCAGGCCCAGAATTCCATCTAGCTCCACTACAATGTCCTCACAATTACCTTTTGTCAAAAATTATGATAAAAGAAATGTATTGTCATGATAGAAAATCTGTAAAATTCAGAATATTAGAAATATTAGAAGTATTAGAAACCCCGGGTCTAGTGGAAGTGATTCACAGCATGATCCGGTCAGCTTCGGGTGGGAGCATAGTGGTCATACTGGTCATCTGAGTTGTGGGTTTCTCATTTGTCCTAGCAGAGGATATCTGTTGGGCCTAGCAGTGGATACAGTCACCTGAGAGCACGTGTTATGAAAACAGAATCCCCGGGCCCCTCTGCCGACCTCTGGAGTCAGGATTTTCTGGTGCCCTGGGGGTTTTCAAAGACCTGGACATCAGTCTCTGTTATTTGATGACTAGTATGCTCCCACCCAAAGCTGATCAGATCATGCTGTGAGTCACTTCCACTAGACCCGGGGTTCTCAGGGGTCAGCATTCTCAGAGTCACCAGGAGAGCTTAGGAAAATTCCTGTGACAATCCCAATGCCCAGATTGTCCCCCTACAGCCAATAAGGCAGACTCAAAGGTTGAGGAATGGCAAGCAGCAGTAGTTTCTGAGGCTCTCGGATGATGCCAATGTGTGTCCGAGATTGAAGGCCACTGGCCTAGAATATTCTCCACCCAAGTCTGCATGACTAGGTCCTTCTTCCTATGGCTTGGCCCTCGGTGGCTCCTCCTCAGGGAGGCCTCCCCTCACCACTTGGTCTGAGGAAACACCCTCCCTGTGAGTTGTTCTCCACGTCATCACCCTTGTGTATTTTCTTGTATCGCTATTTGAATTTTATTTTATCTTTTTTTTTTTTGACATAGAGTCTGGCTCTGTCACCCAGGCTGGAGTGCAGTGGTGTGATCACAGCTCACTGCAGCTTCCACCTCCTAGACTCAGGTGATTCTCCCACCCCAGCCTCTTGAGTAGCTGGTACTGCAAGTGTGCACCACCATGCCTGGCTAATTTTTGTACTCTTTGTAGAGACGGGGTTTCACCATGTTGCCCAGGCTGGTCTCAAACTTTTGGGGTCCAAATGATCCGCCCACCTCAGTCTCTCAAGGTAGGACTACAGGTGTGTGCTACCATGCCAGACTATTTTTTCCATTTTTTTTTTTTTGTAGAGATGGAGTCTCGCTATGTTGCCAGGCTGGTCTCAAACTCCTGGGCTCAAGTGATCCTCCTACCTGGGCCTCCCAAAGTGCTTGGATTATAGGCATGAGCCAGCGCGCCCAGCCTGTTTGAAATTATTTTAAATGTATGCATGCATTGCTTATTTTCTGTCTCCCTCCTCTAGGAAGTCAGTCCATGAAGGTGGGCCCTGGACTGTCTTTGTTGTTCTATCCCAGGGGCCTCAGCAGGCCCCAGTGCCACAGGCTCTCAAAACACATTTGATGAGTGAATGATAGAGTGAGTGAATAAGTGAAAGAATGCATTTATGTTTACTTCTGAGTCTTTTTGGGTACACGTATATGCACATATATATGCAACAAAATTCTACATTTTAAAAAACATTTCACACTTAAAACCTTTTTTAGCTAAAAAAATGTTTATAATTTCTGGTACACACTTCTTTCATTTGATGTTTTGAGGACATTGTCTAAAATCATTCCTTATTTTTAAGATGTGGTGTATGGAGTGTTGTGCTCTCACATCCTGAACCTTGGACACATTTCCTCTTCCTGGACTCCCCTCCACCCATCATTTGACTAACTCTTCCTTTTGCTTCACATTTCACTTCCATGTCTTTTTCTCAGAGAAGCTCTCTCTCCTCGGTGCCTCACACTAGGTAAGGATGCCTTGTGCCAATTCTCCCCTCTGACATTGGTGTGCCCTGTCAGCTGCCCCAAGAATATGAGCTCCATGGAGCTCCTAGTGTATTTTATTTTCTAAATGTGTCTGTAGGACATTGTTCAGTGCCCAAATATTTGTTTAAAATAGCAGGCTGGGCGCGGTGGCTCACGCCTGTAATCCCAGCACTTTGGGAGACCGAGGCGGATGGATCACGAGGTCAGGAGTTTGAGACCAGCCTGACCAACATGGTGAAACACCATCTCTACTAAAAATGCAAAAAATTAGCCAAGAGTGTTGGCGCATGCCTGTAATCCCAGCTACTCAGGAGGCTGAGGCAGGAGAATCACTTGAACCCGGGAGGTGGAGGTTGCAGTGAGCTGAGATCGCGTCACTGCTCTCCAGCCTGGGCGACAGGAGGGAGATTCCATCTCAAAAAAAAAAAAAATAGCGTAGCATTTCACACTGCATTAACTGATTTCCCTGTCATAGTACACTTAGGCTTTTCACCCCTACACATAATCCTGCAACAAACATGCGTTTATGTGAATTCATCTATTAGGTGTCTGTGGTAAAAATAATCCCTTAACAAGGAATATGACTTTGTGGTTAATTCTGTGTCATGTGTTCTACTAATTGATCTTCTCAACAGCCACATGGGGTTGGTTTCATTATCATCAGCTTACGAATGAGAAACCCACAACTCAGAGAGGGTAAGCGAGTTACCAAATTCATATGAAAGCAACTGAAAAAGAATTTGGACTCAGGCCTCCGGGAGACAGGAGCTGGCCTGTTCCTGGGAAAGCCCATGAATTTTGACCCAGACTAACCTGTGCTTTCAAAAGTGCCTGTTCTGCTATCTACAGTTGTTACTGGGATTAAATGAGTAGATACTTATAAAGCACTTAAAATAATGTCTGCTCATAATAAACCCTGTATAAATGTTGAATATATAGATACATAGCAGCTCTGCCCTGACTAGCCGTGTATGGACCATGAGCATGCATCTTAACCTCTCTGGGCCTCAGACTTCTCATCTGTAAAATGGGAGTCATGGTATTATGTCAGCTTTATTGTCAGGAAAATGTAAAGCACATGGAATCTCATAGACTCTAACACATGGTAACAACTTCCTCTTCGAGCCAGTCTAATCTCTCTAGAATGATAAACTTCTATATTTAAATCACAATTTAAATTTTTTTATGTCTTTCACGGTCATTTTATCACCCCAGCAATGACTAGAAGGCCCAATATTTTATATATCTCTGTTAAATATTCTAAGCATTATTAAGAGCTTTCTGGGTATAGCCAAGCCCTCTTAACCGTCAGAGGCAGACTACTTTTCAACCAGGTCAGTTTCACTTTTGCGATCTGGAAGTATATGGCGCCACCTGCTGGCCAAAGCACACCTCGCCAACAAAGTGCAGGTTAGTTCAGGATTGCCCATTCTAGTAGGATCCCCCCTCGACCCCTACCCTCCCCTGTCTTCACTTCCACCCAGGGGGAAATCTGAAGCACAGGATGGGTCAGCAATCGACTCTTTCTGAAGCTGGGTAAGACACATTATTCCTCTTGAACAGGCCCCCCTGCAGAAACTTAGGGACCCTAAGTTTCTCCACTTATGAAATAACAGGGTAGGGTCAGGCTTTGCCTAGGTCCCTCTCACCGCTAAGCTTCTAGGATTCTGTGAGTTCACCTCGGAGGCAGGCACAGGGAGGAAGGTGAGCTACTGTGTCTCAGGTTAAAATCAAGCCTGGAAATGGAAAGCAAGGCCAGGAATGTAGGCTGGGAAACGATGAGGCCCAGGACAGAGGAAACGAGGGCACAGCATGGGACCCCCGCTCATCAGCCAGACCCACCCTGCCTTGGCCTTGCCCATCATCGGCAGAATAATCATCATCACTCAAACTACCGCTTATTGGGAGCCTATATCAGACACAGTGCTAGGTTCTTTACATAGTGTTTTGTTAAATATTATTTCATACTATATCTGTACACTATCCCTTTAAGGTAGGTATTATTGTTGTTCACAACTGGAAAAAAGACTCAGAAAGGCTAAGAATTTGTTCAAGCTAAACACAGCCAATAAGTGGGAAATCTGGGATTTGACCCAAATCTGTCTGTCTTCAAAGCCCCTGAACCTTGCACCTTATTTCTTGCCTTCATCCCTCCTCCTTCCTTGCCTACTTTTTTCTTTTATGCTTCATCAGGCTGTGTTTTTCCGAGGCTATCACAGGTTCAGGTTGCATCTGGCCATTGATGTGGGGAACTGAGATAACCATAGGGATAATTGTGGTCTCTACTTGCCATTTTTAGTTCAACTAAAAACAACTTTGCTGGTGGCCTCAACAGCCCACTCATTAGTGATTGCTTACTTTCACTTTGTTGGTGTAGATGAAGGTGCCTCCGTGTCTTCCCTTCCAGTGAGGGCTTCCCAGCTTCCTCAGATGCTAAGTGCAACTGTAGATACACGTGGCCTCTGTGTTCCCAAAAGAAGCAGTGCAAGGGTGCAGGGCTTTATCCATTCCCAGACTCACCTGCCTTTCTGATCCTGGCTACCACCTTCCAGGTGCATTTTCCTTCAGGAACAGTGACTGCCAGGCACAAAGTTTGTGGGTGGCTCCAGGAAAGGGGAGAGGCACAGGAAAGAACGCTGGGCTAACTAGCAGGCAGGCACCCTGGCTTCTGACCCCTGCTTCCCCACTTCACAGCTACATGACCTGGGCAAGTCATAGGGTCTCTGAGACTCAGTTTCCCATCCTGAAAAATGGAAATGACGACACTTTCTCTGCCTCCCTCAAAAGTTAGTTTCTGCCTCTAATTCTCTAATCTGTCCCTCATGCCAACACAAGAGATATAGTCCCAAAATACTTGTTTAATCATCCCATGCCCCCTCAAAGACTCTGGTGGTTTGACTGATCAAGCCAGGACTCAAACTCAAGTCGGCTTGGCACCAAACTTCTGCCTCTTTGGACCATTCCTTCCACGTGGCCATGCTGTGGCCATGTAAAACTGCACGGCACTTCCCAGAGCCCCCAGACACATTCACGCTCCTGTGGCTCCGTCCGTCTGGAACATGTGCCCACCTGGTCACACCTCTCTACCCTTCGCCTTTCCCTCTGTCAAGTCGTAACCACACTTCGAACCTAGATCAACTGCCTTCTCCTCCTAGAAGCCTTCCCCTGCCTCCTTCAAGCACTTTTTTCATACTTAGTTTGTAGCCTTTATTCATTTCATTAATTAACTTCATTTCCATTTTAATATACTTGCGCACAAAATTTTCCACACAATGGTGAGCTCCATGACCCTAACCCCAAAGGGTCAGAGGATTCTAATCAAAAAGGGGTTATCCAGAATGCTCTGGGAATTGAATCCCCCCTCTCCAGCCAAGCCCCCACCCCATGTACTGGAGTGGGATGTCTCTCTTGAGGATACTTCTGATTTTCTACCCAGCCAAAATTCCAGGGAGGTTTGATCCTCAAAGAGCTGTTGGTCCTGGGCAGACTCTCTCCCACTGGGAGCCCGGTTGAGAGCCCAGCTTATTCCCCAGCAGGGTAGGCAGAATCAGCCCTAGAGTCACCCTGCAAAGAGAGGGAAGCTTTCAGGAAGGCAAAACAGAAAAGGCCACCATCTCTCAGGCTCAAAACTGCACAGCAGGGGCCTCTGGAGCAAGATCCCAGCAACTACTGCAAGAGCACCCACGAAGGTGAGGGAGGGTGTCGCATAGATGTTGGTATTATCAGCACTTATCCCTACACAGTGATCTGCAGAACATTCTATTAGGTGAAGAAAACCCTGCAGAATGGTGTTTCTAGAGTGTTACCTTTTGTGTAAGAATGGAGCAGCATGTAAATACTAACATGTCACATATGCATTGCTTACATCTTTCACAAAGAAACCGCCACAGGATACAACATAATAAAGATGCTTACCCTTTATAGAACGGGAAGAAATAGAGTGGAGGGCACAGGAATGGAAGCATGTTTTCTAAACCCTGTTCTGTGGTTTTGAAATTATATAAATTCCTTGCATAATTCATAAAAGAAATGGCGAAATCAAAAAAGGAAAACAATAAACAGACTTTAACGATTGCAAATAAATGGAAACAAATGAACCTATGTCCAGTTGGTACCTAATCACACGGAGAAAAGAACTACTTCAAGTGACTTTATCACTGTGTTGATTGTACATTGTTATATAAAGAATATCTATAGGATGGATGATTTAAAAATGTTTAATCCCAAATACTTTTAAGACTGTAATCAATAGTCTTATTGTTAGCAGTGGAGTCAATATTGTTTTTGCTGAAACTATTATAAGCACATGGCATAAGACAATAAAAAGATTCTCCCCGACATCAGCAGTTTTCCAGTTTAACTCTCGTCCTCTGAACTGGCTGGAGCTCTGGGATCTTTTCTGCAGTAGGCAGGACCCTTGCTTCCTCTTTTTTGCCTCCCCAGTGCCTGGCTCACAGTAAACCCAAAATAAGCATCTCTTGAATTGAAGACAAACCCAAAGCACCAGGATTCTACTCAAATCCCCCCAACTCATAGCCTATCCCAGCTGGGACAGACCCCTGCAGGCACTGTTCTTGTCCCCCAGGCCTCCACTGGTCTCCATCAGGCCCTGCCCTGGGCTCTGCTTTCTTTGCCCTTGAAGCACCAGGCGCAGGGTTTGCTCTGGGACCAGTGTCCTCCCCTTCATTCCTCACCTTCAAACCCATTGCTCCCACCTCATGTTGCCATATGCACAGCCATTTACTTTCAACAGATGGATTTTTCACATCCATTATTTCATTGAATCCCCTCCTTAACTCTATTACAAAACTCCATTCTACAAATAAAGAAACTGGGGCTTAATGAAGTTAAGTCATTTTTCCAGGCCCCTTGACTAATGACTGGTCAATGACATAGGTCAGTCAAAAGCTCATTGGACAGATGTGGGTTTGAATCCACTACTAGCCATGTAGACCTTGAGCAAATCATTCATTGGTTTATTTTATTCATTATAACCATGTATGGATTGTGTGAGGAACTCTGCTGGTGCTAGGAATACAGAGGTGAGTAGAGAACACAGGGGCTGTTCTCCAGGGAGAATGGAGGCTCCACTTCCCATGTCAAAATGGAAATAATATCTGCCTCTACATCAAAGACTGAAATATAAATATGTGTGTGTGTATGTGTATACATACATATGCACACACATAGTTTTTAATTATATATATATAATTAGTATATATATTTAGTGTTTGTGTATATTTAGAGAGAGAAGTATGTGTATTAGTATTAGGAAGATACTTTGCACCAATGGGCTAATCAAATCTTCAGGACACCCATGATACTTCCGTATACTGACCTGGTGGATGACCTAGAGCTCATGGGAAAAGACTGCCTTTTCCTAGAACCTGCAATTCCAGAGATGTTCGTTCAGCACTCGCCAGGGCTCTGTCTTGTGCTGAGCAATGAGTGGTTTCTCCCAAAGTATAAGACGCATCCCAAGAGCATGCGCCAGTCATCCGTGGGTTTCAGGGAAGTGTGCGATGGCCCTGGGGAATCTGCTCAGAGGATGGTCCCTCCTAGGATGTCGACGAGGGATTTTAAACTCATGGGCTTTCAAAGCGGACTGCCCGGGGTTTGCATGCCAGCCCTGCCATTTTCCAGGTAATGTCTCTGGACACCTTCCTTACCTTAGCTGCCTCAAGTGGAATAAAGGTATAATCATAGTCTTGACCTCATAGGATTGTTGGGAAAATTACATGAGGGACTGCATATAAAATGCTGTAAACAGAACCTCGGACATGGTAACAACGTAGTAAATAACTCCTAGTAAATAACTTTCTTCTGCCACTGCACAAGCCTTGGGGTTTCCCACTTGTCTGAAGGATACCGATGTCTTCCAGAACACCCAAGCAGTCGAGAGTGCGCTGGGTAGAGACGCACCCCAGCTCCTGGCCCCTGCAACCGGTGGTGCAAATCTCCCTCTCCAAGGGGCTCAGCTCCAAGGAGTCCAGCTGGGTGCATCTGGCTGGGGAGATTAAATTATTTTTGAATTCCTAACTGAATGTTCTTTTAATGGAAACTTAATGACAGGCATTGAA
Source organism: Homo sapiens (assembly GCF_000001405.40). NCBI lineage: Eukaryota > Metazoa > Chordata > Mammalia > Primates > Hominidae > Homo > Homo sapiens. The sequence continues at coordinate 128,836,059 of NC_000011.10, forward strand.
ATAGATTTCCTCCATAACCCCTCCTCCCACCCCCCACGGCTCTGCCTTGCGCAGTTCCCGATAACCTTTATTCCCTGCCCCTGGACTTTTATCTCCCCAATGACAAACAGCCCTTGCCGGACAGAAAGAGGAAATTCCAGTCATTGTTCTCAAACTTCTGGCTTCCAAAATAAAATGCTCTATCTCCCCTGTCAAGCTTTGATTGACACACACTTCCTGTAATGGCAGGCAACAACGGCCCAGGGGCGGGGCCGGGTTCATTTGCATTCTTTCCATCAGAAGCTGTCCTAACGTTTGTTCTAGACAGGGAAAGATCCCCGTGCTATTCACAGAAGCATCCTGTTGAGGACCCATATTCTGTTTCATGAAAAATCCCCAAGGAAGACACTTCCTCAACCGTCTCTGCAATCCGCCCAGGGAGTTCTTCTGGAAGGTCCAGTTGCACATCCCCTTAGTGATGGATAGAGAAGGACAGTCACCTATCAGCCCATGTCTTAAAAAGGCATGGCAACACAAAAGGATCTTTCCCTTCTACCTTTTCTCTCTTAAGGAATAAATAATTTTTAAACATTTAGTGCTTTCCATTAAAGACAACCTCCCAAATCTTAACTCTTAAATATTGGAGCTTGAGCCAACCTAAGTCCAGGAAGATTCAACCAGGATCAAACGCTCTTAGTCAAAATCCCCATAGCAACAGAGATGAACTGGGCAATTCAAAGAGAATCAGTCTCAAGGAAAATTTTGAATATAATAATGCATCATGGGATGCAGTTTTTCACGAAGGAAATTAGAACAGTTGACATGCTTTTGAAATCAGCAAATAGAATAACCCAGCATCTGTAGCAAATAGCAGTACTGATGTAGTCAGATTCCACCGGGAAAAATGTCACTGCATTGTAATAAAAAGGCTGCCTTTAGCAGTGGTGTTAACCTACAAGCAGTTTGGCCTTCTCAGGCTATTTTTCATTTCTCTTTACTACTTGAGCACCCATTCCCTTGTTACCCCCTTTCTTAAAATGCACAGGAGTGTTATGCGCTTTGGGGTTCCAGCCACTCCTTAGACCTATCAAAAGTTACCTGTTCCAGGCCTCTTTTCCTAGGGGCTTAATTGGATGTACCTGTGTTAATGGTTGCTAGAGGGTCAATGGGAATTTCCATTAAAAAAGAGACTCCAGGTGCAGAGTGTCTTGATCCTAGCAAAGGGATATTTAGAAGCAGATGGGCCTCCACCAAATAACCCAGAAGTAAATACCAATCAGAAAGATGTATGTTGTTCACCTCCCTAAACAATCAAAGGGAATGGATTGCTTATGACCATCTCACTTCCAGCCATCTACATGCATGCTGCCAGCCAGCAGGAGAATACACCAGGAAGAGTGCATGCTGATGGGAACAAGTGTCAACACAGTTTCCCTCCAGTTTATGAAGGGGCTACATCATGACAGTGGGCCAGCAGAGAATTCCAGCTCCCTCAAGCTTGTGATACCTGATTTCTTTTTCCTGTCAGCACATTAAATTGTGGTGCCAAAGCACTCACAGGTACAGAGTGAGAGTTCCACATGGGCCAGCTATGGCCACTGTTATGGCCACTGACAAGGTGTGCAACCCTAAAACCATCAGACTTCCCACTGTTCTTAGTCAGAAGGACCAGAGTGGTGCATGGATCTGTACAAATACAGCCCAGGCATGGAAAAACATAAGCCATCCCTCCCAACAACTGTGGGCAGCTGCCGTTTTATGTGCCAAGACTCACACTGGAGAGGCGTGATGGAGCTGTACCGGAAGGGGTGTGTCTGTGGCCAGGGTCATTTCCTCCTGAGGACTCCAGACAACAAATGTGTCCTATCTGCTTCCTCTCCACTCCTCCCGCCCCTTCCAGGAGAGGGTCCTCTCTGCAAGAGGATTTTCACCTGGAACCTGACTCAGTTAATGCATAGTAATAATAATAATCAAAGTGCATGCACAGTTTCAGAAATTTACTATATTAATCAACACACTGAAAACATTTTGATTCCTAAGCAGCTTTGAGTACCAGTTTTTTTCCAGGACACATTCGGAATGATGCAGGTGGGGATCTGAAGAAGACTTTCACAGTAAAACTTTCCCCTCAAGGTCGAGCCTTCCATAAGCTGGTCCCTTTTAGGAAGATGGGCTGTCAGGGAAAGAAAGACATAGTAACATTCTGACTGTGGGGCTCCATCCCATTCCTCTCTCTTTCCCACTTCTTCTTTAGAAATAGCATTCCAGTACAAACTCTAGGTGGAGGAACACATGAAACTGTTTCTTCTCAGGTGCATTAATGATACATTCCCTTCTCTACTGACTTTGCACCTTCCAACTCCTCATTGCTGTCTTCGAAGAGCAGGAAATGCTCTTTATAAACAGATTTATAGCCCTTTAAGCCATCCAATACAGATTGAAAGAAATATCATCACCACTTTTAACTAAAGCATTCTGTCTTGCAGGAAGGTATCATCAAGATTCTAGTGTGCAGATTTAGCCTCTGTCTAAACGTACCACATGAGAAGCTTAGAGCCTCAAATTGTTCTTTGTGTAAGCGTTTTCTTGTCATTGATTGGTTGGTTCATCTCCCCAAATTAGGAGACAATTTTTCCATGAGTAAAAGTCCACATTAAAAGTGGAGTCATTCTTATCAGTAGAATCAAAATGAGATTATTATTGTCCCCTGATCCTTTCTAAAGTTCATAACTTCTTTAAGGAAACTTTAAAAAATATTTTGTTTGGCCTGTTCATGAAACTTTTGATAATTTTATCTGCTCCAATCCACCTTATATGAGCTCAAATAATCATATTTAAGATTTCAAGAGAGCACCTATGTCTTCCATACACCAGTTTCATATAAATGCATTGCACGTTCTAATACAGTAGCCTTGTGGAGATGCATGTCTTGTGGGATCACAATTGCGGGGCTCAGGGGTCTTTGTGCTGGTAGACTTTGAAGGCTCTCATCCTACTTTCGTACCCCTAAATTGTTGACTGCTTCATAATGCTTCTAGGTACTAGGAGCTTTAGAGACTTTGCTTTACTCCCGTTGAAAAGCCACTGTTACATTTTGGTGTCATCTGTTTCATTGACTTCTGACAAGATGAAGTTGGGGTTGTCATAGCCTCTCTTCATCCTGGCTCTAACATCTTTCTCATTATAAAGGCACATGGCACAGTGAGGGGTCTCCACTTCCACTGTCTTGCTAAAGTTATGGAAATCCACTCGGTATTTCCCTTCCTTTGTCTTGGATACTATGGGAGCAAAACGGTAGCCCCAAAGCACCTCCTCTGGGACATAGGATGTCCGGACTTGGCAGGTAGCACTGGTGGACTCCACTGTGCCATCTAAAAACACCACTAATTCAAAGTCCTGCTGGAGAAGGGTCTCCGCTGCCATGTGGAAGAAAGGGCTGTTGTGATCAATGACATGGTAAATTGTCAATGGGGAGATGAAGAATAAATTTTCATTCCCAGCGTCAACTACAAAGTTGATATTGATCTGGTCCAAAATAATGGTCTCTCCTTCAGGAGTGACTGTGGTCTTCAGAAGCTTTCCATAAATGTGACTGCCAATAAGAAGGCTCTTCCTGAGATTAGCCACTCGGATTAGGAGGCAAAGCTTCCCTCCCCGTTTGCTGATCACTGCGTTCTTGCTGAACGTAATGGTCTTGGCACGTTTTTTGGGCCTGGAGATCTTGGCTAAGATGGCCCCACACATGAAAGAATTGATTATAACTCCAAGTATAGACTGAAAGATAAGCAGAAAAATGGCAGTGGCACACTGTTCTGTCACACACCTGAATCCATATCCAATGGTCACTTGAGTCTCCAGAGAAAACAGAAAAGCTGAGGTCAAGCCATTAATATTCTCCACACAGGGAGTGTGATTGGCAGAAGGATGGAATTCCGGGAGGTCTTTGTGAATGTACGCTACTGCATACCACAGGAGACCAAAGAAAAACCAACTCCCCAAGAAGGCTGTGATGAAAATGGTCATTTTGTATCTCCACTTGAGGTCAAGTACCGTTGTCCAGATGTCCACAAAGAATATAAACCTTGACTGTGCCTCCACATTGCCAAATTCTATGTTGCACCTTCCATCTTTGGAGACTAGCCTTGCTCTTTGCCGAGAATGCCCAAAAAAGCGAGTGACGACCCATTTCCGAAGATGTTTGAACATACTTTCTGTCAACACCCTGATCTGAAAACACATCAAAGAAAAACAAAAAAGGATTATGTTTATAGCAATAGTGAACTAGGTGACCCACATGAAAGACCTAACTACGAAAAGATCATTCAAAATTATCTGGGTTACTAATCATTTGGCAAGCTGACAAGTTTATTCTGGATACCACAATGCTATTTCTGATAGAAACTTTCCACTGGAAGACCATGTTACTCAAACATAAAGAGGCAAAATAATTACAGAGAGCTAGAAATGAAGACAAACTAAGTGATTATATATTCAAGTGTTTCCTGACCTCAATTAGTCTCACACAACCTTAAATATGTTTGTAATAACCAATTATGACCTGTATTTTTATTTATTGAATATTACTTAAATCACCTTCTCATAAGTTTAGCCTTATGTTAAGCAATAATTTCTGAGAAATCACAAACTTGAAGCATTATGTATGTTTTTGAGATATAGAAAAATGAATAACTGACCAATAAAACACTCATCAATATACTACCTAAATCATCTATGTACTTCTATTGATACTCATATATCAAGAAAAATCCTAATTCAATTCTGTTCTCTCATTTATCAAATGAGAAAACTGAGATTTAGAAAATTTAAATAACTTGTCCAAATGCATGTACCTAGCCAGTGGCAGGATGACAACTAGAATATAGGGCTCCCTGCCTCTAGTCTAGGGGAGCTTCTACCACTCCGTGTCTCAGTTATCAAATGTTATATTCTAAAGTCACACTTCCCTAAAATATTTTCAGACAAGTATTGGTCATATTTCTTTTTGTTAAATGCTGAACACTATTTAGAACAGAGCTCAGATCCAACCAGATGGTCTCATAGGGCTTCTCCATAAATCTACAAGCCTGTTCCTACTCTCTCCCCACGGTTTCCCAAGATTCCCAAAAGGAATAGTATGAGAGCCACCATCAACACATCTAACACTTCCTTCCCTACTCCAAAGCTGGAGGACTGGGGAGCACTGATTTAAGTAATACTCCATAAAGACAGACCATACTTTATTCATTCCTATATCACAATTGCTAGCACAGTTGATGAGTGCCTACTGTTTATTCAGTAAACGTAAATGAAATAATTCAGTGAATGAATTACATTTTTCAAAATCCTATTTGCTCAATTGATTTTTTATAGATGACATTACTGTGACTTCCATTGTACAGCAAAATGGTGAAGGGCCTGTCCCATAAACACCTGACAGTGGTGAAACCCAAAGTCATAAACGCTAGATTACCTCCTCCCCCATGCCCAAGAATATCAAGGTGTGCCCACCCTGGTCCGCAATGTCTTCAGGGTATTTTTCATTAAATGCAAATATGTTTTTAAAATAGATTTCAAAATCCCCCTTGAAAAATGTGTTTATTCGTAAGAACTAGGAAGCGAAACCAACTGAGTGATACATTTTAAATAATAGTGATATCCCACAGTGTCTTGTTCAAGGCCTTAACCCAGCTGAAAACACAAGAAGCCAACGCCAAGTCGAAGCGGTGATGAGAAAACCACAGCTGTGGTGATTTGAAATGTTGAGGGCAGGTTCTAAAGACATAAAAAAAGAAAATGCTGCCAAGAGAATAAACAGCAATGCACATAGTCAAGAGGGCCCTCCTCTCATCCCACACTGCCCTCACTGACCTCAAGTCCCCAGTGAGGATTAGGGGATGGTGCATGTGAGGTACAGAGAAGGAAATGGTCTTCTCCTTTCCTTGTACACACATCCTTTACCCTGGTCTACACCCATGTGGACTGACCTCTCTCCCAGGTGCATTCAGGGTCACACTGTTTACCCAGCTCTCCAGAGAGTGACTCTCAGCTCAAATAGTAAATTCTAAAACCAACATTTATCAATTGAATCCACATTCTCTTTGTCATACATTATAATTCCAGAGATGGCTCCTAACACACCAACTTCTGAGTTTTTTTCCCAGCACCCTGCTCCTCTAGCCTCCCTTAATTTCATTTTACTTTTAAAGGTAAAGAAGATTTCTGTAGAGTGAAGAAGTACCCCCTGATTGATCACTTGAATAACGTTGAGTTTCCATGACTGCATTAATGATGAAACATTATCTGCCTGGCTTTCCAGAGAGGTGATTTCCCCAGCCTCCACTTACCAACGTGTCAAACACATTCCGACTGGAAGCATTCATGGCTGGAAAAAGCAAGGAAGTGGTGCTGGTTGTTGGTCTTTCTATGCAGACTGATTTCTTTTAGACTCAGCCTAATTTATTGTAGGCGACAGTCAGTGGACTGACGCTAATTTGTGTAAACTTGGAAACACTTAATTTGATAGTGGAGTCGTGTGATTTAAACCAAGGCAATTGGTTGTTCTCAGACCAAGCCCCAAGCTGAATAGGTATTTTTTCTTTCCAACATCACATGGCTTGAATACCAACATGCTAAGACATGACAAGCCATCAGCTAAGGTCTCTGGGCAGCAGGCATGGATTGGGTTCCAGCATTGCCTTCCTCTCCTTGGCCACGCTCTATCGCTCACTTGTTTCTCCTAAAAGTTGTGCCTAATAACAACTGGCCGGAAACACTTACTTATCATCAATCTCCCGGCCTATTCTCTGAAACCCACTGAAATACTGAGTTTTCCAAGGGTTCACAAAGATGCAGGTGAACATACAGACATAAGTACATATTTACAAGACAAAAGTAAGATCACACCAGGAAGAAACAAGATACCATGTTAATCTCTCCATACAACAGTTATGTAAGAAACAGACTTAAAAGAAGTCTTTATTGTTGGAAGTCTTTATTATTCGGGAAAACCTGGCATTTACTGAAGGTGTTTTTTACATGCACTGGGTTAGCCAATGCTATTGATTTATTTGTTCAGAGTGAGAGGGATTATTCTTAGAGAATGCAATGATACAGGATAAATTCATCCACTAACCAAAACTGTCATTCACATGGCAGACCTATTATTGCACAGATCCTACTTTTTTTAGATAATGGCATTTAATCTAACCACAGACAGAGCCAATATGTATTTTATGAACTCTTAGGTGATTAGAGATTGTCCCTGGTGTCTGGGTTATATAATATGCTCAGTTTTTAGGTTCCTTTCTATTGAAATCAGTAAATCTTAATAGCAAGCAAAGGGCTGCACATTAGCTAATATTTACCAAGGTATTTTTAGTGGCTTGGCAAAACAAGCGGATTACATTACTGCCACTTTTTCTTTAGTGCCTCAGCATTCTTGTTCTATAAACAATCCATTCTCAGAAAATAGACATTTTGTGCACTTCCCAAACACTGATTGTATGCTTGTTCTGTAGGATTTCAAAGACAAATAGAACTCTTCCTGTTCTCAAGGAGTTCATAGTCTAATGGGGAAGTGAACTAAGGAAATCAACCACAACCGAGCATGGTTGGTATAATGCCAAAAAGAATAACTTTTTAAAAAGATCCCCATCAGCTGGGGATCCACCCTTTCTTTGCAAACATACTTCAACTGGCAGAAAACTCATTGCATTTATGTATACATTAATTTATTTATCAATCACTATTCAATGATGATATGTTGATACCCAATGTTGACTGTGTGTGCTGACCATTGTGCTAGACATCAGAGAAGTAATGGACTCAGTCCTTGTTATCATGCAACTCCCATTTCAGCAGAGAGGGTGGTGCAAATGTGTCAATAATCTATGAAATGACCAGTGATGAATGCCAGGATATGAAACAGTGGGAGCACTCTGGGGAGCACCTATTTTGATGAGCAGAACTGTAACCCTGAGGCCAAGCCCTGAAGATGAGTTAGAGTCACATATAGTAGAAACTCTATAAATATTTGCTGAATGATGATAAATACATTAATCAATGAGAATATAAAATCAATGAGCTTACTGTCACTTATATCACATAGTATCTGGTGGCTCCCACTCTAATGGAGATGTCTTGTGTGTGCACTACTAACCACACTACAGGGTAGTCTTCTGTGTGACCCAGGCAGGGGCAACCAAGGAAAGAAAACATGGGGGAGCTGAAAGAAGTTCCAAGTAAGCAAATAATGGAGCATAGAAAGCCTCAGTGAGACACTGGGCTGCAAAGGCAAGCTAGGGCCAACGGACTCTGCACTTGGTGTACCATTTGACAGGTTTTTTTCATAGAACGAAAGGAGAAACTGTTATAAAGAACATTGTTCTAGTTGTGCTTCAGAGAAATCTCATTAAAATTCTAAATAAGTCTGAAGTCTCCTCCATTTAACAGCCCTTCAAATTCTTGAAAGCAAACATATTTTCTTCCTGAATTTCCTTTTCTCCATAAAAATATGTGCTTCATTTTTATGCAACATCTACTTTAATCAGCATGTGCTCATTTTAAGGGAGGGACCAACAGTTTGTGGTCCTTACTGAATCTGATGAACCCAGGTGCAGAAGCTCTTCTTCCACAGACATCCACTTGAGAACAATTCATTCAGAATTTGGGATTTCTTACAGCACTTACCACCCCAGCCTGCTCAGCAGTCAAACAGCCACTATGTCAAAGAGGGGAAAGGGAAAATAGGCATGGCTGTTACCGCTTCTGATTTAGAATTAAAAGTCTATTGTTCCTCTATAGAAATGGAAAAAAAAAAAACACTTATTGCAGTCTGCCTTTCAGCCAAACCTCTCATAGCTCATGCACATCCTTAGGTAACTTTAGGACATTTCTGAGAGTCAGGATTTCAGATTAGAGGTAGGAAATATGAGCTATGTGGCCTGAGAGGAGAAGTCAGATGATTTTCTCTAGTCCCTTTCTAACCGTGATGGAGAAGAAATTCGTTTCTATGAAAAAATTACTGCTTTGTCAACAGTCGATTGAATCTGGAAACATTTCTTGAGGATTTTCCATTGCAATGATTGAATGGGATTATGGGGCAGAGCCCCTTCCTTCTTAATCAATATAATTAAACAAACACATTATTTATTGAGCATCTACTATATACCAGGTGCTATGCTAGGAAACAATGCAAGGTAACAGTCCCTGCTCTCAAGTTGTTCACGAATAAGTAATTCAAGAATTGTAATGTGGCAGGTTTGCTGCCTTGAAATGATTGAGGACACGATGTTAAGGCAGTCCCAAAGAGGAGACCCAGAAGGTTGGGTGGGTGTTGGGCTTGTATTCTTACTCAGCTTTGCTAAGGAAGGAAAACAAGTGCATCTAACTGCTGCTGTGGAGGACTTCCTGTTTTCTATGAAAATCATCTCAAGCTATTGGAGGATCACCACCCTGCTGGATCTGCAAAGGTTCAGAGCCCCGAGAAGCAGTAAACCATCTAGCTCCACAGACTACACTTATCACATCCAGAACCTGTAGTAGACAGAGAGTGGCATTTCCCTTCTGTTCGGTAATGCCAGAGAAGTTATCTCTGATGTCTTTACCACTATCAGGCAGCTCACATGGGAACAGCATGGGCTCTTTTTAGATAGAACTTGGCAAGGCTGGTAGAAACCATCTTTCCTGGCCTCATGGGCATAGAAGAGGGCATCTGAGCTTCAGGACTCTTCCAGGCTAGACTTGGGAATGCACTTCAGGAATACCCTACTTTTTTGTAGGGTGAGCATACTCCTGGGTCCCCACTGCTATGAACCAGAGTGTGTCTGTATCCAGGGTGTGTGTACAGCAAGGGCCTTCCTAGGTGCCTCCCTCCTTCCAGAGAAGAGAGCTTGGGGAAAAAGGGCTGAAGCATCACAAGGTCTGATGGTGTTGGTACTCTCAGGAGGCACACTGTGTTCTGTAGGCGTCTCTGGGCCAGCCATCCAGAGTATCACTTTCTGAATAACTTGTCCTTTTGTGCACAGGGGATCAGGAGAAGATAGGAGATCCTGGCCAGTAATGTTCCCAGAAGAGGTAACAGCTAGGGGCAGCATGGCAGAGTCGACGGGCTTCTAGCTCGGGTTAGCACAGACATTGATTTGAACCCTATCTCTGCCACCCAAGAGTCAGGTGAGCTAAGCAAACCACTGACCTTTGCTGATACAGGTGAGTTTCCTCACCTGTGAAATGGCTATAATATACTCTCAAACATTGTTGTATGATTTAAATGCAATAGCATAGGTAAAGTTCCTAGAAAATAGTAATTATGCAATAAATAGCTACAATTATTATAACTGGTTCCCAAATTTCAAACTAGCATGGCAGTTTAATCAGGGGTCACTGGTCCAGGCCAATCGGGGTCTACCTCCTGGAGCGAAATGGGCCATATTGGAGACTACAGCCAATGGAGGAAAAGGCTTCCGTGAGAGTGATGAAGGTTCTGACAACATATCTGGTCTATCAACTATGCTAGCTTCAGAGCCCATCCTCCCAGTGCGCAACAGAAGATCTGGAAAATACAAACATGTTTTATAAAGGTTTTCTCTATAATCAGGGCAAAAGACTTGTCTTGGAGAGGTGGGAACAGGATAGAGGGAGAGAATTATCCTTGGCAAGGCTGAACAGAGCGACGGTACCGAGGCTTGATGCTGTTCTTCTCTCACCCTAGGATTAGGATTAACTAGGATTGGATCTGTGGAAAAGCAGGCCACTGGAAGGTGACCTCGTACTACCGGCGAGGTCTTGGTTCTCCTGGCACATGAGGCTGGGTCTTGCTCCTGTTAAACACAAGCAATCTCACAAATCATCAGCCTCAGACCAGGCCACTCAGATCATGATGGATTGGGATAAAACAAGGCCACTCTGTAATCATGTCTGAACACCAACAAAACACAAACATTGTCCAAGCCACAAAATGGCCGAATATCCCCCCATCCTGATGAGTGTCTGCTGTTTCTTTCCCCAGAACAGCTTTAGTCTCATGTCAGTCTTCTCACCTAGATAATAAGAATTATCAACATATTTGATCATAGAATCATCACTACTCCCTAACAGCCCCTAATCCAGAGCAAAGCATTGCTTCCTTAAGCCTCCCCCGCCGCATCACCTGAAACATGCCCAGATCCTATGCAAGTCCTTTCCAAAACCCTCTCAGTGAGACGCCCCATGATTGTTTATGGTGCAGTTCTCCATAGCTGCAAAAAGTCCAACTTGCTCAAATACAGGGTACTACTGGTGCTTTCTGACTGGAGGGCACTGACCACTGAAGACCCTAAGAGCACAGGAAATAAGTGTAACTATAACACAACAAAACCACTTTACAAGCCCACTGGTGAGAACCAATTCCATTCCGTGGCTTCCACAAGTCTTACATGCCTATGTGCAATTGGTACATATGTTTGTTTCTGTATGAAGAAGTGAAGAATCAAGGATATAGCCAAGTTAAATAGAAAAAGCCATTAAAATGAGTTAAAAATTTCAAGTTCGGCTTTTGAATTCTATCTAGCTAACTTGTTTCCCAAAGCCATTGGTTATCCTAAGATAACTATACTCTGACCACAAAAACCTATACCTCTTCTTGGCACCTTGATTGGGTCCCAGTGGGAAGCGCTGGAAGCTGTGATGTCCCCACCACTGGGAGCTAGTGAAGCCTGAACCCGGGCAGGGTGTTTGTGAGGTCTTACCAGTCTTTGGTGGCAGCCCACATTTGCTGTAGTCAGAAATCAATGCTTTGGAAGGTGAATGCTTATCCTGTATGTATTTTCTTTTTCATTTCTTTTCTTTTGTTTCTTATTTGTTTATTTATTTTTGAGACAGGGTCTCACTCTGTCATCCAGATTGGAGTGCAGTGGTGCAATCACGGCTCACTGCATCCTCGACCTCCTGGGCTCAAGAGATCCTCCTGCCTCAGCCTCAAAGTACCTGAGACCAGCTGGGCCCAGTGGCTCACGCCTGTAATCCCAGCACTTTGGGAGGCCGAGGTGGGTGGATCACGAGGTCAGGAGATCGAGACCATCCTGGCTAACATGGTGAAACTCCGTCTCTACTAAAAATACAAAAAATTAGCCGGGCGTGGTGGCGGGCGCCTGTAGTTCCAGCTACTCAGGAGGCTGAGGCAGGAGAATGGTGTGAACCCGGGAGGCGGAGCTTGCAGTGAGCCAAGATCGCACCACTGCACTCCAGCCTGGGTGACAGAGCAAGACTCCGTCTCAAAAAAAAAAAAAAAAAAAAAAAGTACCTGAGACCACGGGTGTGCACCACCATGCCCAGCTGATTTTGTTGTTATTATTGTTTTTGCAGAGATGGAGTCTTACTATGTTTCCCAGGCTGGTCTTGAACTCCTGGCCTCAAGCAATCCTCCTCCCTCAGCCTCCCAAAGTGCTGAGATTACGGGTGTGAGCCACCATGCCTGGCCTCTGTATTTCCAATATTGTTTCCTGTTGTTCTTCATAATAGTTTCTTAAGATATTTCAGAAATGCTAGCATGTCTCAGCTGTATGAAGAAAGACCAAAAGAAGCACTTGATCCCTGCCCTGTTCAGAGTTTTAAAGAGAGAGCAGCACATCCTCAGGGGCTGTGAGGAACAGTGACAAGGAGCTGGAGCACCCTAGGGGACAGGAGAAACTCACTGCCACACAATGGGAGCTACTTGGCTATACTAGAGATTTTCTAAGAATTTTTCTCTTCTAAAATTCAGAGTACTGCACTTTAAGGGAAAGTGTTGCTTTATTGGATATAAGTGGATTGAGCCAGGGTTGAGAAGGTAAACCAAGGTAAAAATGGAAGTGCAAGGCACAGATGAATGAAGAAAAAGGCTGGGGCTGATAACAGTCTCCAGAGAGTGTGGAATGGCCATTAAGGCGGCCAGAATGGGCTTCTGTAGTCTGCTGCCCGTTGCTGGAGACACACGCTGCGGCAGTCTCAGTGAACAGCGCCCCCTGGAGCACGATGCCAGCGGTGCCCCTCTGGAGTAGTGGCATTCTGGGCCCCCAAAGGCCTGTAGTGTCATCCGAGGCACGGATACAAAATCTCTTAAAGGTGTTGTTGGATTTAAACTCATGGTAACTCTAGGAGGCTGGGAACTGAGGCTCAGAGAAGTTAAGCAACTTATCCAAGGTCACAAAGCAGAAAGCCCAAAGAGCAAAGATTAGAAGAATCTAGATCTTCCCAACTGACAAGTCTTTGCTTTTAAGCCCTAAAGCATATGTAACACAGTTGGTAAACAATGTAGAGGGAAAGTAAATATTTATTCAGCATCAACTTACTCTGCGCCAGGAATGGTTTTCTATACATTTCCTTGCTTTGTGTGAGTGATCACATGAGAGGGTGAGAGCTAGCAAGGGTCCAAACCTTTTTAGATAGTGAGCATAAAAGGATCAGGAGGGGACAGTTTTCTGGGGTTTTGCAGCATCTACAAAAGCACTACAAGAGGAGGAAGGAGAGAGCTCGATGGAGAGGGCAGCAGGTACCCTGGGTTGGATCTGAGGGTGTGTGTTGGAGGAGAAGACCATAGGCCCTGATGTCATGAGAGGGGCCTGGCAGAGCCAGGCAGAGTTTAGAAATGGTTATGATATCAACAGAATTAAGAAGCAGCCATGAGAGCAGCTGAAGATACACTGTCCAGCATCATACTTTTTTTTGGAAGCTTCTGTGGATTGTCCTGGCATAAGCAAACGGCCTGAGGTTGTGGGAGTGACATTTTACACTTAGGGACATCTGTAGGCCTCTACAGGGTGTTGTTACTTCTTCTATAGGCAGAAGTTTGGTGTGATGACAATGGCTCCTGTGGGAAGAGGAGGCAACACCTCCAACCCCTCCTGCCCGCCCGCCAACCCACCACCTGGTGGATAAGGCAAACCTGCCAGTGACGATGAGCCAGCCCCATACACTCACTGCTCTAGCAGAGGGCAAAGCTCTTGACCTTGGAGTCAGTACTGAGGTCATGTCCAGGAAGCAGACTGGGAATACAAAGGCAAAAAAGGACACATCGGAGGGCCCCCCCGCCTCCAACCATAGAGGCTGGAGCAGGTCGTTTAACCTCTCTGGGCCTACATCACCTGCTATTTCCTCGGCTGGAAACCCTTGGAGCTCTACTCTCCCCCACGCCACACCCACCCCCTTGCCAACTTCTTGACCTCAAGTTAAATGTCATTTCTCAGAAAGACATTTAAATGTCAGTTTCTCAAAGAAGGAAGAAGATCCCCCTCCCCATTTAAATCAAGTTTCCTCTCCTTGCAAAATTTGACTGTATGCTTTCCTTTCATTTGTGGTATGAACAGTAATTTTAACTGATACATTTACTTTTGTGCTGTCTCCTCCACTGCCATGTCCCCAGTCCCTGCCTACCCCAGCACCAGGCAGAGAACAGAGGCTCAACAGGTATCTGTCAAGGAAATAAACAGATATAGGAAGGTGTAAATGACTCAAAGTGCTTGATTTTTGAAAGGGGCTGTGGAGAGAGCAATGCCAGCCTAACACCACTCTCTGATGCTGGTGGTGGGACTCAGTACTTGCAGAACCTGCAAGGGCAAATGACTAGGTCCCACAGCCTTTGCTTAAGAGGCTCTGCATAACCAAATGCTTACCTAGCTTTCTTGTAGCCTGGGGTGTCCAATAGTTGCTTATTGAAAATCAAGCCACTCACCTCTGTCAGAAGAGGTTCAGGAGATGATTTTCAAAACTTCATGTATAAGTAGATCTTGGGGTGACCAGCAAGAGCTGCTTGGTTTGGGATTCCACCTGTGGGGCTCAGAACTTGTCACACTGTCTTTGTCAGGGCCCAGGATGGGGATGAAGGCACAGTAGAGAAGAAACCTGGTAAAATACAACACATATGGCTACTGTCTGGAGACAGAGGACAGGCCCACACAGAAGCCAGGGTGAAACTTCAGTTAGTTTGGACCAGGAACACACAGGACCCTCCACATCAGCAAAGGTAGAAAGGTCAGCTTGGGCTCCAGTGGACTCAACTTTAACCCAAGTTCTCAAACCTCTACCACACACTGAGGCCACATCTCCCTAACTAGCCCATTCTAGTTTCTAGTGAATTTAGGATTGAAAAGTAAATTAACACAATGATCCACAGTCTTTCCTGTTCTCATGGTCTGTTTATTCTTATTACTATTAAAAAGAACACCACTGCCTTGAAAATATCATTGTACACATCTAGATATATAATTCCATATTGAAATCACTGTATACTCTCAAAAGATGTATGTAGACAGAAATTGTGTATGGTGAATCATATTACATATGCATTAGGATATTAGATATTTATAGGAATCCTATAGTGGATTATTTTATAAAGTGAAGAATAATTTTTGCAAATCAAATAATCATTCTTCCACTTGTTTATCCTGTGTGTGTGTTGAGGAGGAGATGGTTGTTCTAAAAACCGGATAAATCTGTAATGAAACTGTTCTTAAGTCTCATATTCAGCCACCCACCTCAAATGGCACTGGAGTTTAATGAAGGAATTCCAGTGTTTATTAAAAAGTTGTAGCTATTATGTGTGCAGAGATCTGTTATTAGTCTGACCCTTCTAGTTCTGTGTGGTTTGGGTTGGTATTAAATCAACTCAGTCTTTCCAGACCAGAAAGGAATGGATTCCATGTGGACGGGAGGCCTGAACATGCTTTACCGAGCGTCTGCAACAAGAATGTACACTTTGTTTTAAAGAAAACATATAGGATGCCCAACCTTGACAATTTATAAAATGGAAAAAATTCAACTAATGTCTTCAGTATGGACACTCGGAGACTAGTATTCATTATGTTGCATGAGGCAAAGAAGGCTGGTGTAGCCCAGCTTCCACAGACACACAAGATCTAAGGCACAGAGCACCACGTGCTTGGGTTTGGAGAGGGATTTGGATGCCTTCTAGGCCCACACCTTAGCGTGTTTGAAGTTTCTCTGTCCCAGTCCCAACAAGTGGCCTATGGGGTAAGATTTAAGAAGTGGGTTTCCAGTGTTTGAATCTGAAATCAGTCACTTACTAGCTCTAACATTGGGTATTCAGTGTGTCAATTTCCTCATCTGAAAAATGGGGGCTTTTATATCTATCTTACAGATGGATGGAAAGAGCTTAGACCACACTTGGACATAGAACGTGATCAAGCTGTTAATACCTTGAGTCATACTACGTGCAACTCCAGTTTCTCCTTCAAGCTCCTGCCATGCATTGAATGAAAGGAGGCAATCTTGTCCCTATCTGTGAGGCCTTTAATCCTGGGCTGCTCTTGCTACTGTGCAGGCTGCAATAGCATCCTGCTTCTCAGAAAGGAGGTGAGAAGAGCCAGGCTCTAGGGGATTAGTGGAAGAGCCAGCATTTCTGTTGACTCCGTTGCTATGCCCACGGGTATCATTGACCCTCAAAGGGTCAATGATTACCAGTTTCGGCTTGGGTTCTGCCAAGCCATCAGAGTTACATTAATGGAGCGGCACGTCATATCACCCACCCTCCCATGTTCAAGTGCTTTCTGGGAAAGCCCTGGAGCCAGAGGGAGCAGAGCCAGCAGCTTCGGTGACCCTTTGTTCCATGCCATAGAGCTGCCCTTCAGCAAATGCTGGAGTCTTCTCACTGGGGCTCTTCTTGCTGGCATTTAGCATGCCCCCATCCTCATTACCGGGCACAGCCCACCCAGGAGCCCTCTCAGAACAGGACACTGCCCGGGAGACTTCCCAGCTGCGTCCTCCAGCAAATGTCTTGAACTGCTCTTGACCAATCCTCGTGTCTGCCTCTGAAACAAGGAAGACAAGCAGGAAGGGGGGCATCCCCCTAGACCTTAGAGCCATGCCAAGGCAGGCAAGCTCAGGGCCCTCACTGAGACCGACCTCTCAGGAGAGGCCGGTGGTACCTACAAAAGGCCTGCTGACGCACTTTCTCTCATTCCTTTCCTTGTTTCTTTTCACTCAGTGGTGTGTATAATGACCTGGAAAAGGTAAAATTAAATTCCACTTTATTTCCACTTATTTGCCATTCTATCAAAATCAAGCCAAATCAAAAGAAGCGTTTCAGTCTCAAAGACGTTCCTTAACCTCTCTGAGCTGCACTTTTCCATACTATATTGATGATTCTAGTGCCTTTGTTGTTATGAGGATTCAGTGAGAAATACACATATCCACGTAAAATGAGTATGTGAATAGCAGGATTATTCATAATAGCCAAAGAGTGGAAGCTTTTGAAACAGTTGATGTCCATCAGCTGATGAATCAATAAATAAAATGTGACATATCCATACAGTGGAATATTATTCAGCTCTAAAAAGGAATAAAGTACTGGTAGATACTACAACATGGATGGACCTGGAAAACATTTGGCCAGTGAAAGAGGCCAGAGATTGTATGATTCCATGTAGATGAGATGTTAGAATAGGCAAATCTACAGAGAAAGAGAGTTAGACTGGTGGCTGCCAGGGGCTGGGGAAGAGGCGGATGGGGAGTGACTGCTAATGGGCACCAGGTTCTTTTGGGGGTGATGAAAATGTTCCGGTATTGATTGTAATGATGGCTGTGCAACTCTGTGAATACACTGAAAACCACCTCTTACACACTTCAAATTAGTGGGTTTTATTTTATGAGAATTATATTGCAATAAAGCTGGGATAGAAAAAACACACATGTAAAGTGCCTGTCACACAGTACAGTCGCGACCGACTTCCCCTCAACTCTCAACCCACTTCCCCATGCCTTTGGGCCCTTGTTGGAACCTCGGCTGAACTCAGCACCTGCCTTCTCTAGCAAGTGGTTACTGTGCTCCTGAAGGCACCACCATCAGAATGATTTTCTCTGCCACAAGAGCTTGGAGTACGGAAAGTATTATTCTGCTCACCCTCACTGCTAAACAGAACCTCTGCTAGTGTGGGAGATGTCTCTTCTCCCAGGGTCTGCAGGAGAAGCTCTTCCCTGCTGCTGCCCAGGTGTGTTTGGGTGAAGCAGTCCAGGCTGGCCCGTGGGCCCTCATACCCACCCACCCACCCATCCACCTGCACCTGGGCTCTGCAGGTCTGAGAACGGTGTTTGGTTACGATCCTGGGTTGGCAGCTCCAGGGTGAAGTCCCTCACACCTCCCAGTGCCAGAGGGCAGGTCTGTGGGATGGGAGGAAACTCACAGGGTCCCTCCTACTGCACCAGCCAAGCAAGAGCTCCTTCTCTCGGCTCTCCTGGGAGCTCGGTTTCTTTTCTCCCTCTTTCTCCTTCTTTCAGCACATCTTTTGTTTGAATGTTTTTGAGCATTTTATTCCTTGCCCATAGCCCTTGTTGTATTCCTGGAGTCAGCAGCGCGGATGTTCCAATTCCCATTTGAGCCAGCCCCTCCAGAGACTCAGCATGACCTCGCAGACAAGCCAGAGGCCCACGGGCCCATTCAAAACCCCGCCTTGCCCCACATTTCCCCCGTGCCACTACTTACCTCTGCTCCCCACCCCACACCACATACACCAAGGAGAGAGAGGGATGGAACGTGACTGGGATGGGGACCTTGCTGCTTTCTTGGGTGACAACAGGGCACAGAGTTGTGTTGAGTCTACATTCAAGGACTCACGGGAGAATGACAGAAACCTCCCACTGTGCATGTCCAGAGGCTGGGCCCTTTCTCAAAGGCAGGGCTGGATGTTCCTTGCGTACTTCCTGAATAAGGGCCACTATCAAGAGCTACAAAGAATGTCCCCAACCACCACCTCTCAACATCCTAATCTGGATTAGCACAAATCGTAATGATCTGTTTGATGACACACCTGCAGGGCCAAACCTAGATCTTCTTAAGTATCATAGATGCACGATGGGTTTGGGGAAAGAAACTGAAGCCCCTGGTGTGCTATGAGTACTAACTCCTATGAAAAGAAACAAGGTGGTCTAGCTGGAGCGCACGTGCAGGCTCCCCACTGAGTCTCTGGCCTTGAAACACGTATCTGGAGTCAGGCTTGAATTCCAGCTCTGCAGCTTACTGGTGCATGACCCAGCAGCTCACCTGGGGATTTTACAGAGCTAATTTCTCAATGTAATCGATTAAGCCTGGAAAACAAACAAAAAATAGTTGCTAAGAAACGTAAGGAGCAGTAAAAACCCTGGAGCTCATTGTGAGCTGTTTACGGTTTTTCTTTCCTTTTCTTTTCTTTTTTGTTGTTTTGGACATACTGTCTTCCTGATTCACTTTTCTTACCCTCCCACATTTCCAATAATTGTACCCATTTTCAGTGATGGGTTTATTCTTTTTCCCCAACATCATTTGAGTCCTGACCTTTCCCACCTTGCCAAGGTCCCCTGAGCTTCACTGGAGCAGATGGAGAAAAGAGGATAGAAGGAAGCCCTCTAGGAATTGTGATGAGATTGACAACTGGGCTTAGTACTAACCAAAATGCTGGCTCCCTGGCACCCAGAGGGTGTGAGGTCCAAGCTGTGATCAGCATTAAGATTGAAGACATTATTGCAAAGAGGCAGCAAATGAGGTTGGCAAAGCAAAGATGGGGCTCCACAGGTGCCTTGAAAATAGTGAGGGGATAGGCTATAAGGCGGTGTAGAGCTGGGCTTAAACGTCACCTCTTCCACTTGTTATCAGAGTGAGTTATTTGGCTTCTCTAAACCTGAACGTTCTCCTCCATGAACATGGAAATAAGGAAATCTGTTTCCCAATGCTGAGATAGGATTAAGTGTGGGAAGGCCCAGTAGAGGATCTGGTATGGGGAAAGCCACAATAAATGCCAGGCTCCTTCCTTGTTTAGCAGGGCTGAGGGGCTCTGATGAAGAGATCAGGACTGGGACAGCCAAAGGCTGAGTTGGCACTTGGGGAAATCAGTTTTAACTCCCAGGTCTGGATTTGGGCAGGCAGCTCTCACCTGCCAGACCCAAGGACGGTACCACTGTGCCTGTGTGAGCTGCAGAGGAAATGCAGGAAGGATGCATAGTCCTGCTCGGGGCTCTTGCCAGGTCTTGGGAAGTCTTCTTTCTCCCTCCCCTCATCCCCTCCTGGAGCCTCTTAAAGAAGGTTCTCCCACCAGAACTTCCGGGCGGGAAAAGACAGCAGGCTCTGAGCTGCTTTCAAGGGGCCTGTCAGAAGCATCTTTGTGTACATGAGGCCCAGAGGGAGAAGACTGTTTATCCGGCTGCTAGGGACAAATTAATGAAGTGGTGAAAGGCTGTGGATCAGAGAGAAAAAGATTGCCCATGGAATGATGAGATTAGGTTAGACGAGAAGGATGCAATTGTGCCAGACCAACTGAATTTCCTCTGAGGTTAGCACGACCAGCCTTCCAGACCCGGAGGCAACCAGGGCACAGGGCTTGGTGATGGATGCCTGGCGTGATCCTTTCTCTGGAAGCTCTTGGCCAGGGTTGCAGGTACCATGGCCACCAGGCTGGGGTGAGAGGTGCATGTGCACCCTCAGAGTGCAGGGCAGAGAGAGGACCGCAGAAGAGGGAGCAGGGGAGGGGCAGCTCCACATGTGATGTACGCTGGGACAGCACATCTGGGCATAGGCATCTTGGACTGAAATTCCTACTCTAAAAAAATGTCCTAGCACCATCTTCTTTTCCTTCTTAGCACTGAATACAACTGATTTCATGTTGGTTTTGTTCAATTCAGATCATCCTCAGCCCTGTCAATGGCACACCCACCCCCGAGTCAAGCAAAACCTTGATTCACCCTTAATTCTTTTCTTCCTCTCACCTCACACGCAATCCATCAGCAAATCTTGTCTGCTCTTTCTACACAATATAGTCAGGACCTGTCTGTCCTCTTCTCTTCATCTCCTCTGCTTGCCAGGCCACCATAATTCCTTGGTTGGGCTACAAAACTCGCCTGCTCCTTGATCTGTCCACCGCCTCTTTCTCCTCATAATAGAGTCCACACCGTCAGAGTGAGGAAGGAGTCCTGAAAATCGGATCATGCTGCTGCCTTGCTGAGACCTTTCTCAGCTTCCCCCTGTTCTGATGACCTCAAGGCCCCATATAGCCAGGACTCTGCCACACTCCACAGCCCAAAGTCATCCCCTCTGTCACCTAGCTCACTATGTTCCCACCCCCTCTGCTCTGCAATGTGCGGCGCAGCTCCTGCCCTGGGCTTCGGCACCTGCTGCTTCCTCCTTCAGGGCTGCTCCGCTCTAGGCCTTCCCATGTCTGGCTGCTCCATGTCGCTAGGGACCTAGCTCCATCACCACCTTCTTCGAGAGCCTTTTAGCATCCAATCTAAGGTAGCACCCACTGCTCCAGTGGGAACTCCATCCTGTCTTGGCTTCTTTCCATCTCTTATCAAGAGTGGCTGTCAGGTTGGTTGTTTATTTCCCTGCTGGTGATGCATTCACTTATTGTCGATCTCCCCTCTACAGAACACACCCTCCAGGACAGCAGCCCGTCTTGCCTTCCTCTGAATACCCAGCATGTGGACCCACAGTAGAGACTCTAAAAATCTTTCTTGACCAAGGTCAGTGCCCTCCCCTGGGCTGGGAGTGCCACAAGTGCAGGGACCTGTCAGCTGCATCCCTATGTTATACCCAACACTGCTCACTGGGCCTCAGGGCTCTCTCCAAATAGAGAAGGCCAGGGGAGAGAGAAGCTATTTTTTTCTCTAAGTTGTAGCTGAGCTAGTTTTTCACTTGCTCACTGAACTAATGACCAAGCAAACATCCAGGGATGGTGTGGACACTGCACATGGTGGATTCATAAGTGCCAATGCTGACAGGTGGCAAGGACGAGTGCCTGTGCAATGGCTCAGGATGCACCTGGGAGCATTGTCCCCATCTTGTCTTTTTAAGTTAAGCTTAGATTTTCTACAGTGAGTAATAGCACATAGATCTCATGTATTTTGAACTCAATATTGTGCCTGAAAACATACATAAAAATGTGTTTCTGGGTATTTATTTACATTTTTAAAAACTACCTAATTTTAGCATTTATTGGCTTAATAAAGGGTTTAAAAGTTTTAAAAAGTGCAAGAGCAGCTAAACCCTGTGCAAGAGCTTGGAGAAACTGAAGAAAATGTAGATAAAATAGAGTGGGCAAAGGGAATGCGAGAAGCTCCACGATGGCGAGAGATGGGGAGGGATGGGGCAGGATGGGGAGGGATGGTGAGGGAAGGCGAGGGTTGGGGAGGGATGGCGAGGGATGGCGAGGGATGGGGAGGGATGAGAAGGGATGCGGAGGCAAAGAACACTGGCAAGTAAGAGCAGCTAAGAATGAAGAGACAAGGAAATGCATGCTACAGACCAAGCAGAAGTGCCCAGAGAAAAACATCCACTCCTTAAGGAGGTTCGCAACACAGCAGTGAGCCCTACCATGAAAAACAGGCAAGAACAGTTAAATGTCAACTCTGCACCACCATATTTGATTGACGATTAACAACTGTTCAAATGGCACGTGTCTCCGTGGCAACAGCTAGGGTTTGTTGAAGGAGTGAATGGAGGAATGAATGAAAAATGGGAAGGGCACATACTTTTCAGAGTTATTTGAAGGTGAGGGAAGACAAGATGTATAAAAGAGACTGGCCAATAATAAATGTTCCATAAAGTTTTCTTGAAACTAGTTCAGTTGGGGTAATTTTCCTTCTCATCCATGGACCAGAAATCACTGACATTAACAGATCTCACTGTGTTCCAGGCGGTCTCCAGGGGTAAACTCAGTAGTTTACGGAGCGTCTATGTCACTCTGTGACATAGACAGCATTACTATTCCCAGTGTCTAAAGGAGGAGATCAAACACCAGAGAGGCTAAGTGATTGATCCAAGTTCACAGAGCTAGAAGGTTAGAATTTAGTCTACTATAGGACTCAGTTGGTAGCTATATGTCTACCTTGGGTTTAATTATTGGAAGAAACTCATTAAAACTCATCCTTTCCCATGTGACTTTGGCACAGACCTGAAAGGTGGTAGTGTATTTGCTACCAGACCCCCATGCCACCAGGCAGGTCACCCCTCTTATGTGATTGAAGGCACATAAGGGGTTGATTTCACTCTACAGGATTGGGGTTAAATGGTTAGTCCCTTCTAGGCATGGAATTCCCACAGGGGAAAAGGAACAGACACTTGTTGAATCTCTGTCACATACCAGCAACTGTGGTAGGGGCTTGGCAGAAATTATTTCATTCAATCTCACAGCGACCCCATGAAGTAGGTCTAATTTTCTCTGTTTGACAAGGAAGGGAACTGAGGTTTAGAGAATTTTAAAAACTCATATGAGGCAGAACTGGGGTAGGAACGCAGCTCTTTTTGAGACAGGGTCTTGCTCTGTTGCCCAGGCTGGAGTGCAGTGGCACAATCATAGCTCACTGCAGCCTCTACCTCCCATCTCATGGGATCCTCCCGCCTCAGCCTCCCAAGTAGCTGGGACCACAGGCAAGTGCCCCACTCCGGGCTAGTGTATTGATTGTAGAGATGAGGTCTCACTAGGTTACCCAGGCTGGCCTTGAACTCCTGGCCTCCAGCAATTCTCCTGCCTCAGCCTCCCAAAGTGCTGGGATTACAGCCCCGAGCCACCGCTCCCGGACAGAACCCAGATCTTAACCTGATGTCTCCACGCCAAGTTCCCTAAAGATCTGGCCCAGAAGATGAGTGAATTCCTATGTCTAAGGCAGGAGGGAAAAGGAAGGAAGGTCTGGGGGAAAGGCTGGCCCTCCCTCCTCACCTCCCTTCCCTGCGTGCCCTCTCCTGGCTAGCCCTCCCGTCTGCGTCTCTCAGGGCATCTGTAGTGGGAGCCGCCTGTGCTGGGCACTGGGGTACGGCCTTCTCAAGACCCAGGGAAGTGGGGGAGCTGGGCAGGAAATTAAAAGGAGCCAAATAAACAGAGTAATTATAGATTGTGATAAGGACTTAGAAAGAAACAGTAACTAGAAGTGACCTTGAAAAGTACCCGTAAGTAGGCACTGGTGCTGCAGACGGCGGGCAGCAAAGCGCAGGCGGGAGAGGAGGCGCGGCAAGGCCCACACTCGCCTCCGCCGGGCCTCCCGCTTACCAGCAGCAGCAGCGCCCCCTGGCGCCTGCCGAGGGCACTGCGCAAGAGAGGTCGGCATTGATTTCAGAAGGGCGCCCGGAAGGACACCTGTCTGGCCCCAGACCGGGCAGGAGCCAGGCCTCGGATTTCTCATCTGTCAGATGACAATGATGCTATCTACTTCCCAGGGCCATCGTTCAGATTAAATGATGCAGTGCTTGGGAGAATCCGGATGGATGAGCGACACTATAGAAACATGACTTGGATTTATGGCAAGAGGGACTTCAGTGAGACATGAAGAACTGTTGACTAGACAGGCCGGCAGGACACTGTGGCAGGTTTCCCGTGAAGAATTCCATACTGACAATGTAAAAGAGAGGCAATGACCGTCTGATATAAGTGCGTGACACTGCACAGGTTTCACTGTGTGAAATGCATACATGAGTTCTTGTAGAAATGAATTGATTTTTTTAAGAAGTGACTTAAGGGAAGGAAGACGTGACTTAAGGAACTCAGGAAGTCTCTGTGCCGTCACTAAGTCAGAGATTCCAGAAGATTCTCTCTGAAGAACAGTCACCAACTGGATTATTGAAAATTAGCCCACTGCCACCTCACGGGTGGGCCTTGTAACCCACATCAGCTGGACCAAGGGGCCTGGAGACGCAATAGCCTGGAAACAGGGTGACCCCAAGGGGCAGGCGGGATGCAAGCACAGAGGAAACAAGAAAATGCTGAAGGAAGCTGCTCAGAAAAGTGGAGGCCAGGTGGCTCTGAAACCCAGGTGTGACCACAGAGGAAAGTGCCCTGAAGGCCAGAGACCCAGCTCCAATTACCAGCTATGTGACAGGGGCACGCCCAGCCCCTTTCCTGATTTTCAGAATTTCCCTATCTGGGAGACGAAGATCATGTCGCCGGGGCCTGCCTGTAATACTTCAAAAAACACAAAAACACTCTATGCACCATGTAGAGGATTATTTTTGTGAACTCCAGGGCAGGGAGCATCAACAGCTCAGAGGCAGCACTGGCATCTGCCTCAAGTGTCCTGCCTTCTCTCCATCCCCAGGCACAAGCAGGGCCCACGAATGCCCAGCATCTGCTCTCCAGTCACTGGTGAAATATGGGTGGCATTCACTGTGTCAGCATTTGGAAATTAGCCCGCCTGTGGTCTGGCTGTTGGCGTCCCTGGGGCTCCCTAACCCACATGGCTACGCAGGCAAAGACAGAAACTCTGGTGCCGCCAGCTTCCGCCCGAGGCGCTTTTCTGCGTGGGGTGCTGACTGAGCAACTGAAGCAGGGCTGCAGCATTCACTGGCAGCTGAGACCCAGGATTGGGGGCCCTAGTGGGGCTGGGGTCAATGGGGATGGTACCATGGAGGGGCATGAGCTGGGACATTTAGAACAGAAAGAGAAACATGCCGAGTGAGGAGGCAAGATGTGAGCAGCAGGGCTAGCGGGTATCCCTGGGACCTCAGACAGAAAGGAAGCTGCAAGGGAGCTTGTACCCAGTGATCACAGGCTCATTTATGGGATAGACCCAGGCAACCTGAAGAAAGGCAGAATCAGAGCAATAGCCAGAGGTGACTGTCGTCAGAAACATACCCCTGCTCCTGGGAGCCACTGCAGAGCGGGATAACTGGGGCTCGCCTCCCTGGTGCAAGCCCAGGAGTGAGGGCCTTGTGATAAGATTTCCAAAAACACCAGCCCCGTGCCCTGCCTGTCGGTAAGCGGCCACCGGAACCCCTCCCAGAAAGATAGATGCAGGCTCCGTGTCTGTAGAAGTTTGTGTCCATTTCCCGCTGAAATGGACTCCTGCCTCTCCACACCCCTAAAACCCAAGCTTCTTCCTGATCTCCAACCCACATCCTAACGGGTGAGGTTGAAGTCTAATTTCCTCTGGCCTTCAGTGAGGATGAGAAAACCAGCCCCTTCATAGATGAGAAAGCAGTTTCAGCCCCCAGCTCTCGGCCGCGCTTCTCCGGTGGCTGCCTATTCCCAGCTTCAGGTCCCAGTGGCCGTGGTCATCCGCGTGGGAAGGGATTTGCCTGCTGTGCGCTGGGTGCCTGGGTCGCACCGCTCATCTTGCTGCAGTGCCATCCTCCCAGTCTCTCCACCCCTTTCCCCACTGCCACAAGATACTTAAGGGGCAACTTTGTAGAAATCCAAATCTGTAAACTCCACAGGCTGGGAAACACCCAGCCAAAGGAGCAGGTGTATCAGTAATAAGGGGAAGAAAATCCGAGTGCGGCACGGGGTTTTCTCCACTCTCTGGCAGCCTCCGTCCCCAGCAGACCTCATCCTGTCTCTTCAGTGGTGAGCATTGCCCAGGCTGGGTGTGAATTCTTATGCACAATGGATTCAAGCAGGACTAGGAGTGAGGAGACCCATGTTGGAAAGGACTCTCAGACCTGGTCCTGGGGAGCGCTCTGGGGGTCTCCTGACTCCCCTTCTCCACTCCCTCTGAGGGGATGGAGTATTGGGAGAGGAAACAGCCCTGTGTCCTACCGCCCCCTCCATCCCCCCCGGGGCTGCCCTAGAAGCAGACTGGGTCGGGGAGCCTGGTTGGTAGGTTAGAACGTGCTCATGCTCTGCCAGTTCGCTGATGTGTCATGCAGCCACTCTTGTACCTGCCATCCCTACTCATCCCCTCACGGGGACCAGAGCTTCTGCAGCATAGGGACTGTGTCATCACACTTCACTAAGGCCAGCACAGCGGGGGCTTCCCAGAGGTCTAAGGTGACCTTAGCCCATGCCTGTGGCTTATCTCTGAACCCGATTCAAGCTCCCCATACTCTGTGCATAATTCATCAGCAGT
Organism: Homo sapiens; assembly: GCF_000001405.40. NCBI lineage: Eukaryota > Metazoa > Chordata > Mammalia > Primates > Hominidae > Homo > Homo sapiens. Next base: position 128,862,804 of record NC_000011.10, read on the forward strand.
CCAACACTTCCCTTAACAGCATCCAAATACCCTGATCCCCAAAATGGTCACATGCACTTTCCAGCATGAGACCGGGATTACCCTTATCTCTCTGAATATCTCATCACTGGACTCGGACTCCAAGGGGCCACACACTTCACAGAGTCTTCTCCTGTGAAAAGACCCACAACAGTTATTCACAGTTGCTGAGTTCTGCTGAGCTCTTCAAGGACAAATGGTAGATCTGGATAAAGCCAGAAAGCTCCTGAGAATTTAATCAAGGGCAACGAACCATGAGACTTCCCCTACGGGTAGTCACCTGAGAGAACTTGGGCTGTTTTAACTCTGCAAAGACAGTATTAACCTGTTGCTTTCAATTGTGTTGGGTTGCATATTTAAATCTGTTCCCTGGGGATATGGTGACACACTGATAGACCCCAATAAATACAATTCCTGAATCCCAGCCAAGAAACACTGGTGTGTGTGCAACTGGAGCAGAGGGAGGGGCAGGGACATTGGGAAATTCTAAATAAATGGAAAAATCTGGCTTGTATTTCAAGGATTATTCAAAAAGAATCTTCCCTTAGAAGCATCAGTGAGTCACACGCATCTAACCAGAATGCAAAGTTTACAAAGCATGGTAATGGCAGAACACAGCACAGGGCAGATACACACATGCAGAGATGGACTCTGTTGCATACTGGGGAACCAATTTTGAAAAGTAACAACAGGCTTCTTCTGAGAGAGGAAATTATTCATCCAAAACAGTGCTGGGAAAATTCAGATTTACATTTTTCCTAGGGCCTTTGAGTTGCATATTTCTGCAATGAGTGAGCTGGATTTGATGAGGCTTTACAATGATTGTTCAAAATTAGTGTTTCAATGCTCTGGTTTTAAATGGAATGCTTTTGGGTTGGGTTTTATATTTGACAGCTAAGGACCTTAATAACAGTTTTTGAGAAGCAACTCCTTAGGGCAGAACATCTTTGGATCCTCAATAGTTTTGAAGCGACCTGTTCTCTGCACTATTTTTGGTTTCTTTCTGCTATTTTTCTAAAAAGAATCCAGGAGTTTCATGTGTAAGAGCATCGTTCTTTTTTCCGTTTGCTCACAGATTCTGACGAGGCAATGGCAAGAAAGGCTGACACTTTGCACATCCTTCACAATCTTCTGCAAGGATGGCTTAGAATCGTCCTGCGTGGAGGAAGGAACAACCTTTGACCTTAAGGTAACTTAAGGTTTGACCTTAAGGTTTATTACTGACTTTTCTTTTTCTTTTTTCTTTTTCTCTCTTTTTTTTTTTTTTTTTTTTTTTTTTTGAGACAAAGTCTCACCCTATCACCCAGGCTTGAGGAGTGCAGTGGCACGATCTCAGCTCACTGCAACCTCCGCCTCCCGGGTTCAAGCAATTCTCATGCCTCAGCCCCCTGAGAAGCTGGGACTACAGGTGTGTGCCACCATGCCTGGCTAATTTTCAAATTTTTAGACAGATGAGGTTTTTCCATGTTGGCCAGGCTGGTCTTGAAATCTTGACCTCAGATGAGCCTCAGCCACCAAAAGTGCTGGGATTACAGGTGTAAGCCACTGCACCAGGCCTATTGTTGACTTTTCTAGGGGTCTATCTTTTATATGTCTCTACACTAATTTTTTTCTTCAGCATTTTTTGAAGATGTTTGTTTTTGTTGTTTTCTTTTTCCAATTTCTGCACACCCTGCTTGTTCATGATGATTTCTGAACCACATAATCGAGCCAACCACTTTTTGCTATTTCACAGCAGTACTAATACTATTCCTGAACCATATATATTTCAGGAGAAAGAGCAGATTGGGAAAGCCTAGGCCCTTTTCTGTATACTTTTGGCTTGAGCCTAGGTCATCACAGTCTTGAATGTGGGAGGGTGAGTGGAAGGAAAAGGGTCTGTGCCATTCAAAGTGTGCTCTTTTTGCGGACTTTGGGAGTCTCTGGCTCCTGTTTCAGAGCTCCACTTCATCCTCGCCTGTCCCCATCACTCTCTGCAGCTGATTGGCCACCAGACTTTGTGTCTTCTCCCTCTTGGTAATCTCCTCCCTGATTACCCGGCCGTGGTCTTACCCTACTCTAGTCCACCTTGCACTGTGCAGGCAGAGCAACTCTTCCACAATGTAAATAAGATCTTACCCCGGTTCTCACCACCTTCCGGACACTGCCCAAGTTCCTCAGCATCACATACTAGGTCCTTCATCGTGGCACCCTGCAGCTTCCCTCACCCCTCCCCTGGCCACCCACCCTCAGCCACACCAGCCTGGTATTCCCTGTGTAAGTCATGCTCTCTCTCATTCTTGCATATTTTTGTAAATGCCATTTCCTTGTTCTAGAATGTTCTTCCCCCTGCCTCCAGTAGGCCCCTTCCTGCCCACCCAGCGCATTTAGGATCATGCTTCCATGAGGTCCTCTGTAGGAAAAGTATGATGTACTTTTCTGTGCAGGCAGCGATGATACTATGAGCTACATTTCTGTGTCACAGTCCCCACTCATCAGGTATCTCTCCCATTAGCGTGTGAGAGCCTGTTTCCATGCACATAGCCCCTAGCCCAAGTACCTGCCCTCTAGAGCAAAGCATTTCCCAAGCCATTCAGTGGTTTCCCAGGACCTAGCATCCAAAACACAATGAGTTCTAATTACAAGCTTGTTGAAAGGCAAATGAAGAAAAAAACCTGTATGTATAATAATAATAGTCATGAGAAAGACAAGAATGAAGAGAAGAAAGACAATAGTCATCACTGGCATCTTAAATTATGGAGCCAAGGGGAGAAACATTTGGGTCACCCTCAGGATCAAACTGCCAGGCCAGAAGCAATTCCACTGAGAGGGCACCAGGAAGCCTTCAATGCATGGAAACCCTGGAGCAAGTAAAAGGCAAAGCATGTGAGTCACAGCTGAATCCCTGGACAATCACTGAGCTGTGACAAGGTGCAGGGTAGACTCATAACCTAGCACAGAAAAACACATTACTGAGGAAAGGAAAAGAACGTGAATGGGGAATTTTGAGACTTAGCTCTTCACAGAAAAGCATGCTTGGCAATTACAAACTTCTTATATTAAAAAAAATCAGGCAAACCAAAAGTCATTAAAGCATTAAAGATTAAGACCCACTCACAAGGAATTCACATACTCTGCTTCTTTACAAGGGCAGTCTTGCACCTACACTGACTTGGTGCACCTCCTTACACAGAAGAAATCCACCTTCATGACTTGAGTATAAAAAAATGCTTTTCTGATGGCCCATACGTTCCCAGATATCTCCACCCCATCATGCTCTTAAAAGCTGAAGCTGACTTAGTGAGAATCCATTTACACTAAACAGTGTAGAGTAAGACAACACAAGCCAAGCCCATGACTGAAGGGAGCCCACAAAGACTGGGCAGCTCCTCCAATGTAACCGAAGATTCAACCAAAGATTCTAACTGCCCTCCAGCCCCAGGGCTACGGAATGGCCCAGGGAAGGCAGCGTGCAGCTCGCAACTAATAATCCAGGTACAACCAGCAGATCAAAAGCATCCAGTGAGTGGCTCTGCCAAGTCCCTGTCCATAAAAGGTCCATAGCACAATCACTATGTTTTGCTCCATTTTGTAAGCCCAGCTAAAAGGAGAAAAATTCAATCATTTTTCCTAAAGATTGCTGGTTGCGAAAGACCAACTCCTTTTAAGCGTCTATGCACCAAATCTGTAAGATACAGATATTGGGAGAAGGGGCTCCATACCTGTTCAGAGCAGAGATAAACAGTTGGCATTCACTGGTATAGAGCAATTGTCACAACAGTCATTAGGAAGCTGAACAAATGTTGAGAAATCCAAATGTATCCATTCAGAATGGTGCAAAATTCCTATAAAGTCCTACATCAGAAAATGAAAGAAAGACATTTGGGTGAAGGTAATCAAAATGTCTGGCTAACTCTTGCCTTTTCCTGATATATGTTTTCCATAATAGACCCCACTAGCACCTTGATCCTCTACCTTAAAGATGGAAACGGCTTGGCAGAGGTTGTGTTACTAGGCAAGGTCTTGCTACAATTGAAAGGATGCCACCAGAGATGAAAACCCTACATACATCTCTGCCACCAAAAGAAGACTTTGGAATCAGGCATGATGCAACCAAAGATTCTTACTGCCCTCCAGCCCCAGGGCTGCGGAGTGACCCAGGGAAGGCAAGATGCAGCACACAGCTAATAATCCACATGTAACCAGCACACCAAAAGCATCCAGTGAGTGAGTTAAAACCATGCTTCTATCTATCCCCCAGGAGTGGACAGACAAGTCTGCCTAGATTTGAGGCGGGGAAAAGAGGTCTAAATTTTCACAAGAATTAACTTCTTTTTCCTACAAAGAGACAATGAGGTGTTTCTCCTCTTACCTCATGGATTGCTGGAGTAAATGTAGAAACAAAAACTCATTTTCTTGGTCTCCAAGAAAGCAACCAGATTCTCGATGTGAGCAAGTCCCTGCACCTTTGATGCAAGAGTTTGGATATGCTAGGTGAGGGTACCCGAGGCCCTGTTGATTTTATGAGTCTGTGGGCCAGCTCAGACCGGCTGCCAACTCATCTGTATGCAACAGTTCTCAAAGAACATAGTTTACTTTATAACCGGATCCAACAAGAGTAGGCGTGGCAGTTAAGTGAGTGAGATACCAAAGGTGTTGAGCTACCAAGGCTAACTAAGAAGGATTTGTTTATGGAACCCTGGCTTGGAACCAGAAGGCCGGTATGCTCATGTCGATGTGTCTAAGTCAAAGGCATGAAGTTGAACACGTGCGCACATGAGGCTGGATGTTACAGGGCAGGGAAGTAGGGGTCCCCAAGGAGCCCCTCACAAATGTCTCCTGTCCTGTGAATCACTCAGTGGCCCTAGAACAGCAGTCCCCAACCTTTTTGGCACCAGGGACCAGTTTCATGGGAGACATTTTTTCCATGGACCAGGGAGGTGGTGGGGGAGGATGGTTTCGAGATGATTCAAACACATGACATTTATTGTGAACTTTGTTTCTACTGTGTTTACTTATAATAATTACTTTACTTCTATTATATTCTATTATATTCCTTATTTCATTATATATTATATTCTAATATATAATGAAATAATATTCTATTACATTATATAATATTCTATTCTATTCTATAATATTATAGAATGAAATAATGAATATGGGATGAAATAATGAAATATTCTATTCTATTATAGAAGGAAATAATATTCTATTCTATTCTATGAAATAATATTCTATTATATTCCTTATTTCATTATGTATTATATTCTAATATATAATATAATATATATTATGTATTATATTCTAATATATTATATAACATATATTATGTATTATATTCTAATATACTCTATAACATATATTCTGTATTATATTCTAATATATTATATAACATATATTCTGTATTATATTCTAATATATTATATAACATATATTCTGTATTATATTCTAATATATAATATATATTCTGTATTATATTCTAATATATAATATATATTATGTATTATATTCTAATATATAATATATATTCTGTATTATATTCTAATATATAATATAATATATATTATGTATTATATTCTAATATATTATATAACATATATTACGTATTATATTCTAATATGTTATATAATATATATTACGTATTATATTCTAATATATTATATAACATATATTACGTATTATATTCTAATATATTATATAACATATATTACGTATTATATTCTAATATATTATATAACATATATTACGTATTATATTCTAATATATTATATAACATATATTACGTATTATATTCTAAATATTATATAACATATATTACATATTATATTCTAAATATTATATAACATATATTACGTATTATATTCTAATATATCATATAATATATATTATGTATTATATTCTAATATATAATGAAATAATTATACAACACCACCATAATGTCGAATCAGTGGGAGCCCTGAGCTTGTTTTCTTGCAACTAGACAGTCCCATCTGGGGGTGATGGGAGACAGTGACAGATCATCAGGCGTTAGATTCTCATAAGGAGCGCACAGCCTAGATCCCTCGAATGCGCAGTTCACAAAAGGGTTCAGGATCCTGTGAGAATGTAATGCCGCTGCTGATCTGACAGGAAGCGGAGCTCAGGCAGTAATGTGAGCCATAGGGAGTGGTCAAAATACAAATGAAGCTTTGCTCACCTACCACTCACCTCCTTCTGTGCAGCCTGGTTCCTAGCAGGCCACAGACCAGGTGTGGGGACTCCTGCCCTAGAAGGTCAGGCTGACCTGACTTTCTCTTGGCCATTCACCAGCCACCCTGGTCCCGGGGCAATGCAGAACTTTACATCACAGACTTTGCACTTCAGTGGTGGGGTTGAGACCCTGCTCTACCAACTGCAAGTTACCTAGCTTCTCACCTCAGAAGTCTACAGTGGGAAGCTCAAGAGATAGCATATGTAATACACTTGTCATTGAATGAACAGGGTTGAAATCCAACCTACTCCGAGTGTCAGCCTTCTGTCTTCCTCCTCAGCCCACCCCCTAGGGCCATCTCCCACTAGGAGACTGAGGGAGAGGAGTCCTTACCCCACACCCCTCCTGAGTTGCTCTCTTCCCACTGTTCCTCACACTTCACAGCTGGTAATCACTTGAAGCATTGATTGGGTTCGCAAGAAGCAAGAGTGGGTGACTGTGGGCTGGCCACATGCCCCTTCACTGCCTGTCCCCTCCTCCACTCAACACCACACAAGATTGTAGGAGGGATCAACCTCAGCTCAAGAGTCAAAGAGATGAGAAGCATCAGAGCAGCAGCGTAGCTTGGAGACCATACACCAGGTTCCTGACACCAGTCCCCGGGGCAGGACAGCTGAGTCTCCATGATGCTCAGAGAAGGGATAAAATGGAAACAGATGCAAAATTTCACGGAAAAGGCACTTTTGCTTTCAAACATTTATAAGCATAACCAGTCATTACAGATAAGGAAAAAGAACATAGTAGGTTGCTATGGTCTGAATGTGTCTCACAAAATTTATATATTGAAACATAATCCCCATGAGATAGTTTTAAGAGGCAGGGCCTTTAGGAGGTGATTAAGTCATCAGGTAGAGCCCTTCCAGATGGGGTTAGGGCCCTTATCAAAGGGCTCGAGGGAGGAGGTTCATTCTCTTCTGCTGTGAGGACACAGTGTTTGTCCTCTTTCTGCCCGTCTGCCTTCCACCATGTGATGCAGTGGTCAAGGCCTCAGCAGACATCAAACCTGCCTGTGCCTTGGTCTTGGACTTCCAGCCTCCATAACTCTCTGTGGTTTATAAATTACCCAGCCTCAGATATTTTGTTACAGCAGCCCAGACAGAACAAGACACAGGTGTAAGTGAAGCCACTTGCAGAAGGGTTCCCATGCGAAGTGAGGTGGGAGGAGACCCACACTAAGGAGCTACAACATGGTGGGGGAAAGAGCAACAGGCGGGGAGTCCACGCTCCTGCTAAATCTGGCCTTCTCCCTTCACAGGTGGCCTCCTGTGGTCACGCCTGTCCCTGCTGCTGCTTGCCGTCCTTGGGTTCACCCCCTCTGTCCACAGGCCCTCCCTTCTGCACCCCTCACTGCGTGGCCCTCTACCTACCTTTGCAGGCCTCCCAATCCCCCCAGTGGGATATTCCCAAGCCTCAGGTTCACCCAACCCTACCCCTGAGCAGGCCTGGGTGTGGAGGCCAGGAGAACACGCCCTGCAGCCCAACGAAACGCAGGGAGAGGAAGTGTCCAAGGCCAAAGGGGCTGCACTCTGAAGGGACTGAGCACAGGAGGACATGAAGGGAGGCAGTCCCCGGGAGAGGTGGGCTCCTCCAAGGGTGCCTTTGGCTGGAGCACTCTTGCACGGCCGTGGAATCTTCCTTAGACTCCATGGCAGTCTAGGATGCATCCTCCCAACCTGCTCTCCCTCCTCCCCTCAGGGTCTGCCCTGAGTCCTGGTCTGAAAACTCCTCAGACAGCCTCCCTCTGACTTTCCTCACCTGGGCATCTCCTCCAACAAAATCTTGGCATTTTTAATCCCCTCTTGGCATCTGCTTCTCAGAGGCCCTGGACTGGTGCATGAGGCTCTTCAGATGGGATGTGAACTGTCAGAGAGCTTGGCAGGAGGCCCTTTGGAGTCCCACAGAACAACTCAGGAAAGGGGGCTTCCCTGACCCAATGTCCAGCGTGGAGGCCCTAGGGGGCAGGCATTCTGAGCCTCCCCACCTGTGTGGGCTGAAGGCGTGTCTTTGACTCTTGTGATCCAGCAGACAGCTGTGGAAATACAAACACATACAGAGAAACATGTGTCTCCCCCAGGTAAGCATTCATCCTCACAGAATAAACCCCAAACAGGGAGAAGTGTTTTTTAACTACTTCATTCATTTGCAAGGCAGGTACCTTTTGCACAATGGAGCCAGAATGTCTCATTATTATGCAGACCAGGGAGTTATCTTACCTTCATCCCCCACTCCTTGCCCCCAATCTTCAAAACTGGGCCCTTTTGGACCTGCTGGGAATGAGAAAGAGGACTGTTGCTAAGCAACAGGGAGGGCAGGGGATGCATTCTCCCTGTTCCACAAATCCTAGTCTTAAAGCACAAATGATAGCGTTTGCCCTGATGGAATCCTACACCTTCCAGTACCCCAGCGGGATGCACTCTCAGTCCTTCCGCCTTACCACTGTCTTCACGGAGAAATTCCGTTCCTGCTGTGGCGCCTGGCAACTGCTTCACTACCTCTGTAGCCATGAGACAGCCTGAGTCCTCCATGGTGGGATTGTGTGTGACAATGAGAAGACAGCCCAACTCCTCTTTCCCTGATGCAGTCCGGCCCCTCTGTGCTGTGTAGCCTCACCAGGTTCCCAACACTGATGAGGTTACACGCCCAGCATTTACTCCTCAGACTGGACCTGGAGCATCCCGCCGCTGGACCTGAGTGAAGACCAGAGTCAACAGACGGTTTTCTCTTTCTCTTAAAGAAGTTTGGAACATTTGAAACATATTATCCTATTCATGACTAATATTCCAACAGGAGTCATTCAGATAAACAAAAAGCCTTTCCAGGTGCTTGTCTGATTTAGAGGAAGGCAGCACATTCCCATTCACACAACAGAGGGGCCAGGTGCCTCTGAAAGAAGAGCTGATGTGTGGGGCTGAAAACAGGATCACTGGTTGAAAGTGCCTATAGGAAACAGACTCCCCAGCCTAGGGTTTGAGGTTGACTCTGGAGAAACCCAGGAAGGGTGTGGATTTGGGTTCTGCATTACTTAGGGTGGGGGGCGAGGCGTGTCCTGGAGAGAGGGGGTTGTGTGAAAATCTGCATACAGGGTGACTGACCCATGACTCCCTTCCTCTACTCAGCACCCAGGTGCCTCATCCCAGCCGTGTAGGACTCTAGGGAAATCCAATGGGCTGAGAGGAAAGACCTCCTAGTACTGATGCCTGAGTGTTCCTCCACCTGGCAGGACCAAATGCAGCCCTCTCCCTCACAGCTTCCGATGAGCTGACTAGTGGCGCTTTCTTAAATGACGGGCAGCCAAGGGTAATCAGACATTTGAGGAAAGGCTTTAACATGAAAAAGAAAGGTCAAGGCAAACAGAGAAAGGAAACCTGGAGTAAGTAGAGGCCTAGCAGGGGGCAAAATAAATGTCTAAAACCCTTACCTACCTTCAGAGAGAAAAGACGATATTATAGATGTCAAACAAGACGCTAGAAAAAAAGACTCCAAGAACAAGAAAGAGCACTTGGAAATTTAAATATTAGAGCAGATAAAATGATCTGAAAACAAAGCTAAGAAAATCTCCCAATAGTTTTTGTTAAGGAACAATAATAGGAGAGAAAAGATAAGGAAAGGATAGAATCCATGCAGGAGAGTCAGCAATCACAGGATGATAGGAGGTGGCAGCCATGAGAATGTACCTGGCCAACTTGCAGCTGCAGCTGCTGAGGCCCTCCACAGCCTCTGCTCCAAGCACACAGTCTGTGGGCTGCTCCTAGTCACTGAGTGAGGCAGAGCACCAAGGCAGGCCAGTTCTTGGAAGAGGTAGGCTCTCTGATGGGGCTTCAGCTCCGTGACAGCTGTCCCCTACGAGGTGCACCCTCCAACCCTCCCTCCCTCTCTCTTTCGCAGGGGTCAGACTTGCTGCCCCAGCCCCCAGCCTCCCTTAGATTCCTCCCCACACTCTCTCACCACCATCTCCCTTAACAAAATCCTCTCATGTTTCATCCTGTCCTGGCATCTCCTTCCTGGAGGACCCAGACTAATACTACAAGTTCCAGAAAGAAAGAACTGAAAAAATAGAGGGGATAAATTATGGAAGAATGATATATATACATTTTTTAGTTTCTCAGAATGAAAGGCCACAAGATTCCAAATTCAAAGAGCCCACTAAGAACCCCAAACAAAAAATGTAAACCACATCAAGGCAATCTCATGAAACTTCAAAACATTGGAGATAAAGCAAGAGAAATATACTGCACATCAATGATTATGAACAATTGTTCACCAAAAGGGCACTTGAATCCCCAAAGCCACACAGGATGCTACGAAAAACAGTGGAGTATTTTCAAATTGAAATGTTGAGGGAAAATAATTCTATACCTAGCCTAACCCTCAATTAAATGTGCAGGTGGAATAAAGACCATTTCAGATACACAAGGTTCAAATTACCTCTTCCACACCATTTCCTAGGACATGACTAGAAGATGCAGCCACCAAAGAAAGGGAAGAATCCCAGATAATGGGACACAGGAAATCCCAGACACAGGGGCTCCTGCACGGGCAAGAAGCAAAGAGTCTTGCCTGGGTGATGGTGAAGGACCACCCTGCAGGACATCTGCCCAGCTGGCCCTGAGAATAGCCAGCACCGAGGGGTGGCCACCTCTCAGGAAAATGGGACAGACTGAGTTGCCCACATGTGTTAAGAGGGTGTTTATGGTTCTGAAGGGGATTTTCAGGATGAATCAGTGATAGACATATAGAGAACTATGTAAATAAGAAAAGGAGAACATTGTTAACTCCACTAAATGCAAGCAACTATAAAGGAGAGAAAATGTACTTATAATACCCTAACTTGGTTGAGCTGTGAACAATATTAGAGTTATCAGAATGCAACATTGAGTATTGATCTAATAAAATTTCTGATCTAGCTACATGGGAGTGTGGAGAGGAATATAGAGGGGATAATGTGAACAAGAGCCTTTTTAAACATTATATGTAGATTACTTTAACAAAAATAAATTTTAAAGGCACAGTCCCTTTTATCTTTGAATAATTTACAATGAAATGGGGCAAGACGAAGCAAACGCCCTGATGGTGGATCTCTATGCCTTGCCCTGACCATGGGTCTCCATGCCATTCAGAAGGAGCATCTGATTTGCCCTGAACCACAGTTGCTCACCTGAACCACAGCTCCTGGAGCCCTGGGAGTGGTAGCCATCCCCCCACACCCCAACACACCCCAAGTAAGAATGGCACAGTAACTAGCACTGAGTGACTCGGGGGTATCTTCTCCCAGCATCCACTTTTGGGTAGGGGGAAAGGGATGAATCCTCTGCGTACAACTGTCACCATCATCTGCATTTTGGCATCTCCCCCTATTTTCTCCCACAAGCCCCTCTAAAAATTTCGCTGAGGGCAGAGAACTTTTTTCAGAAATGCAGCTCCAAGACTAATGCTCATAGTTGGACGGTGTGGTTGTGATTTTTTTCTGGTGGATAGTATTTCCTCTCCTTGACTCCAGCTCCAAGGGAGGGGTGGTCTTGTTTAGTGATGTGGAAAACATGCTTGGCAGCTGCAAGAGTCAGACAGGAAGAGCCAAGCAGTGTCCACTGGCGAGTCTCATTGATACATGACTTCATCACCACAGCCTCATGGGTTTTGCAAAACTAGCTCACTGACATGTATTCAAACACAATGAGACTGAGTTGCATCTTTGCTTCATGCAGCCACAAATCTACAAGCTGTTTCCCATCCATACATAAGGCATCCCAGGCCACTGCTCTCTACAGATTCTGACCTGTGAATGCCCTTCTTTGATTGAGGAAGGGCAGCCATGCAGATGACACCACTGGTAGCAAGGCACATCACCTAACAGGCCCTCCAGCTCCTAAATGGAACAGGACAGAGGGACTCTGCTGGAAGAGGCTCTTCTACCTTTGAGGCCTCATTTTCTTGAAAGCTCCTGTCTGGTGAAAGAGTGATGGTAAAATCCAAATGTGTTTGTGACAGAGGAGAACTGGATAATCCACTGAGATGACAAGAAGGAAAGAACATTGCTATATATTCTCACAAGGGAAAGGTTTTGAGAAAGCCACATGCAAGAGATAAAAATGCTTTCCCTCTGAAACCTTGCCTGCCACTGCAGATGAAAGCATCTCACTCAGTGAGAAATTCCAGGTTGAAGACCTTTTTTTGAAAAAGAAATCGAATTGAATGCAGGGAAAATTTGGATGATTCCATTTAATTCATCCAAAGCTTTTTGAGGGCCTTACTAAATAAAAGGCAGCATGCTAGGCACTTTAGGAGTTGCAACGATAAACAAAACATGGCTCTTGCCCTTTAAGAGTTGAATCTCTTATAGAAGAGAAGACAGTCACAAACATAATAAGGCACAAATGCATAGGAAGGGTTATGAATATACAGAAGTTCTGTCCAGCTGGGAAAATTGGAGAAGCTTCACAGAGAAGGTGCTGTTGGACTGGACACTATAGAAAGATTAAAATTACAGCAGGTGGTCATGGAAGGTGGGGAGTAGAGGAAGGAGAAGCAGCATGGAGGCCAGAGAGTAAAGGGGAGAAAGCCGGGCTTAAAAGAAGATGTGCTGGCAGACAAGGCAGAAGGGCAGGTGGGAACAAGGTGGCAGGATCTGCTGTGCTGGGGAGGGTGACCTTTCATCCTTCCCTAACTGTGGAGACCCCTCCACACAGGCCCTGTGGCCTCCTTCTGGGGCAGGGACCAGCTCTTGGAATGCAGGAGCCAGGGGCCTTTCTGTAGGAGGAAGCTCACCACTTCTCTTTGTTTCTTATTGTCAATCTTGAGGAGTTTTGCCACGTTTTCCCCAGAATTTCATATTTACAAATATTGTTTCATATTTTGACATCCCTAGTAGGTTTTTGACAGATACAAAATGTTTCCTTCTCTAGGATATTGTGCAGACACATCCCATAGCCCAAACTTCACACCCAGAGACACATAGTAGGTTATTCACGGAGCCCTGACACTCACACCAGTCAGAAAGGGCATTACACAAGGAAGAGAAGGAGCCAGAAGCCCTCAGGCTTGGCCTCATTCTGCTCTCTCCCAGGCTTTCTAGAAAAAGATGTGGTCCCTCTGCAGTGCCCTGAGGCCTGCTTGCCTCTCAGAAATGCTCTGGAGACTAAATAGATTCTAGTCAGTTTCCCTGAAGCAAGCGCTTCATCAATGCTAAGCAGCACGGTATTTTTCCATCTCCCCACCCTTAGAGATGAATAGGGTGCCGACGCCGCAGGCTGTTCCCTTTAGGTAGACCGCGTGGAGCGCCCAGTGGACTCGATAGCGCTGTCCTGGGAACAGAACCTTCCCGGACTGTGCACTTTTAACCCTGCAGGTTCTCAGCTGTCTGCCGTCAGAAGGAAAGCATTCACACTCCAGTTCCCAGGAGACTGCAGCCAGGACGCTTGGGTTTCCACCACGGATTCCTCTGCTGAGGGGCTGCTCCGCGGTAACTTTCCTCCCGAGAAGCACAGGAATGAAACGGCGATGAGCCCCGTAGGTGAAGATGATCGTCTGTTCACCTGCAGTTCACAGAACCTTTGATGTTACTCTATCGTCTGGATCTCTTTTGCCTGTGAGGGAGGCAGAGAGGTATTTAGGCATGAGGCAGCAGAGGTTTAGCAAGAGGTGCTCCTGGAGGGCCTTGAACACCCATCCTAAAGGGGTCCTGGTGTTGTCGGTGGTGAGACCAGGGGTCAAGGCTGCACTCAAGCACTAACTCTGTGAACCTGACTGCTCAGTAGTTTCCATAGCTAGGTACCACACCAGCAATCTGAAAAGCCTTGGACCTCCACTCCCCAAGCAGCTGCTTCCTGGAATGAAAAAGAAAGGTTCATAGATTCACAAACTCCCTGCATTGGAAGGGAATTTAGAAGTCACCTCTGGCCTGCCCATATTTCCTGTGCTTTCTGCCTCAACAACATCCGCCCAAACACTCCAGCCTGCAAGAACCTTCTTCACACCTAGCCCTCGGGGCCCAGCCCTCTGGAGGTGCGCTCCCACCTGCTCCAGTGAAATAGGACCATCACCTCCTTCATTCTAGACATCATGCTCCTATTAATGCCCCTTAGAATTCATAGGGTGATTTGTATTGAGCTAGAAGTGACTTGTTTCATTTACAAGTGCTAAAGAACCCGTACATCAGGAGGCTGAGGCAGGAGAATCATTTGAACCGGGAGGCGGAGGTTGCAGTGACCGAGATGGTGCCATTGCCCTCCAGCTTGGGCAACAAGGCAACAAAAGTGAAACTCCATCTAAAAAAAAAAAAAGAACCCATGTGTCTCCCAGCCTGCACCTTCATGGCTTGTTGGCAGTTAACTTGCACAAGAGAACACGGATGATAGATAGAGAACCAGGGCTCAGATCCCAGACTCCACCTCCACTGTGCAATGGAAGCATAAATACTAAGCAGATCATAAAGACAAAATACTCTCTCTCAGTCTTCGAACATTCAAGAATTGGGGTGAGGAACTTGGCAAACCTCAGGGAAGACCTAAAATGTCTCCACCCCAGTGCCTGGGCTTGGTGGTGAAATCACAAGGGCAGGTTGGAGAGTGCCTCCTCTTTTTTTTTTTCCTTTTACATTTCTCTCCTTTTTGACACATTTGGAAAAAAAAAAAACCTGATAAGGTCTACCAAAAAAAATGTGGGCAACTTACTAGAAGCTTAAAGAGTAAATATATAAAAATAAATCTCTGGGAAAGGCTGGTGTGTATATAGGTCGTCTGAGCACTGTGGCAGAGATGGCTGTCTGGTAGGCTGGATTGATGAATACAAATAGGGCAGGAAGACAGGCCAAGAGCCCCACGGTGGCTTCACCACAGAAATTCTACTTTTCATTCTGAAGATGTGGCCTCACTGCTTTCCTGACCTCTGTCCCCAGCAAGCAGAGGGGAGACAGCAGCCTCCCAAAGCCTTCTCCATGAAGGCTTCCAACCCCCAAGTCAGCGGTCACGCCCTCCTCCCCTAACTCTCGCACTCTTGCAGGACTTTGTTGCTACTTCTCAGGTTGCTTTTATCTGTGATCATGGCTTTCTCCTTTACTGGCTTGAAGTCCTAGGAGGAGAGTAGGGACCTCCTCCGAGTCAACATTGTATCTCCCAAAGATCCTCACACTCCAGAGCTCCCAAGAGTGATGCCTGTCCAAAGAATGAATGAAGGATGACTAAAATTGTGTCTTCCCTTTTCTTTGCCTCACCCAACCTGCTAGTCCAGGATGCCTGTTCCCCTGCAAAGTGTCACCACCCTGACCCAAGAAAGTCTTTTCCAAGAGGTGCCCTCTGGGGTCTCACACGTACTCAAGATCAAGGCATGAGGTGCTCAAGGTGTCAGATCCACAGAGCCCACTGCGCCTTCCACAGGGCTGCCAGAACACACAGGAGGCCTGTACTGTGCCATCTCTGGCAGAGTGAGCAGGGGAGGTACCTTTCATTCTGTTTCTGGAGAGACACCAAGACCCACATCTGCAGGGGGTTGGGCTGAGGACAAAGCTGAGTGGCCCCTATACTGTGTGTATAACCCACCCTCTCCGCCTCCTCTCTGAAGACCCACGGTGTTACCAGGTTATGATGGTCTGGCTGATGATCTTCACTGGAGGCTACAATTCCTCTGGCAGCCAGTAGACCCTGGGAGGACCACCCACCACCCCCTCAGTCATGCCCAGACCTGTCAGATTCCCACAGAGCAGGCAGTTCAAGCTGGAACCTCTGACAAGAGAAGCAACAGATGGTGATGGCCCTGCTTCTCACATTCCTCTGTGGAGAAAGGAAATCTGGGCTGGGGAGTTGGCAGGGAGTGAGGCCAGAGAACCATGCCGGGGCCCTTTGGCAAGCTAAAGCCAGGGGCTCAAGGGAGATCCCAAGCTTTACATTGTGGTCCACACTGGCCTGTGTCTTTCTACGGTTCCATACTTCAGCATCTCACTTTGTTCCAGATCCCCAGTTGCCTCACACATGTCCCTGTAACATCTGAAGTCAAAACAAGCAGGTTCACACATTCCCAGCTGGTCAGCCCCTGTGCTCACTGAATGCTGGGGGGAAGTGGGCAGGGGTGGGTAGGTAGCAAATTCCCCTTGCACAGATAGACACTCGGCATGCACCTTCGCCCAGGCTCTGGAAGTCGTCAGCTTCTGCAAAGACAAAGCAGTGCAGAGACCTTGAAGTCAACGCCCTTCAGCCACATTAGATGATGTGATCTGCCCCACTCCCTACCATGCTGCTCAAAGATCCACCCACAGCTGATGCCGTGGGACAGTCTTTTTTGCATGCCCAGGGCCTACGGGACCAACTGCAAACCCCAGGCCTCTCCAGAATGTCCTAGAACTTCCAAAGAGCGGGTCTCACTGGCCTTTTGGCCAGGGTCCCTGCACTCTTTCTGAGCCTGCGGTGCCTTGGGGGCTATGTCATGAAGATTCCATTCAGGGGAAGGAAACGTGCTTTAGAATAAGGGCCCCACACTTCAGGGTGACAGCCTCAGGGAGCTTGGGTAGTAGGAAAAACACTGAACTTGGATCGGCAAATCTGGGCTTGAGGTCCGCCTTTGCTATGTCACAGCAGCCTGACCTTGAATGGTTATATAATCTCTCTGCGTATTCGCTTTCTCATTGGAAAAAGGGACAAATTCTATTTGCCATATACAACGTTGTGTGAATGTGCCCTGCAGCTTCTAAATACTATATAAAATATCATTGCTTGCTATTATTATTATGTGTAATACTAAAGTCAAATATAGCCAGGAACGAGGAAGTTCCAGTGTCAGTTCTGAGTCCTCTACCAATGCACAGCGGAGGCCACGCCGAGCCTTCCCCGGCTGTAACCTGCGGGTAGAGACAGCTGTCTCCAGGGACCCTGAGGGCCGCAGGGGCTGTGGAAATAGAGGGGCTGGGTGGCTGGGATGCTCTTTGGAGATCAGACAGCACAGAAGGCCTGGCCTAGGCTTGGTACTAGGATGCAGGGCTGTACCTGCCCGCAGGCAAGAGAATCCCAACAGGGACTCTGCTCTGTAAAGTGCTGTTGGTCTTGCTTAGGGGACAGTCACCATAGCGACCTTCATTGTGTGGCCCTTCCCACAGCGCTCTGGTGGACGGTATCTTATGAGATCACGTTAGCATGAGAAGGCAGCTGAAGAGGAGGGCGGAGACTGGCCCTGGCCTCCTGGCTCTTGGTCAGGTTAATAATCTTCTCCTGTAAACCCCTTTAAAAAAATACAAAACTATGTTTAATCCTACAAAAAAACCTAAGTGTTTGTTGTGCTGCTCTCCCTGGCTTTCATGGGGGGACTGCAGCCTCCTCGGAACTACAGTCTCACACAGGGAAGGGCTCCAGCCTGCGGGAGGTGGAGCTGCTGGATAAAAGAGCTGAGGCCCTTCTGGTGATGTCCACCAGCCACGAGGATCAGGCGGGGTCAGGGGCCTGGGGACACCAGAAAGGGGAGGGTGGTATGGAGTGGGAGGGTGGGGGCAGGTAGGGGGACTGGGGACAGCAGCTCCCCGACCAAAGCCTCTGCTCAATTGGGTGGTCATGTACCCTGGCCCCCAGAGTGGCCCACCTCTGGCCAGGCTGCCTCTTCCCTGGACGCAGCGGGCAAGTCCAGTGCCCAAGCTCTTGGCCTGCCCTGGTGCCTTGGAGCAGAAGTGACATGGGGCACTTTCATGCCCAATTCCTATTCCCCATGCCCACCTGTGCCACCCACACCCCAGTCCTGCCTTGTCCTTCCTGGCTCAGTAAGCAGAAGCCATGCCCTGCAAATCCTAACAGAGGAGGAAGATCCCATCCTGGCTACTCCCCACCCCCACAGCTCTGGGGCTTGGCTTCTTTTTTTCAAAAGGGCACAGGGGCTAAGGACTGCCAGGTTCTCTGGGGAAAGGGATTCTCTGGGAACAACTGTCCAATACATGTTCCCTGATGCTACTGTGAAGTGAGGCAGGGTGGTCTTTTTCTGTGACCCTCTAGAGCTCCTCAGGCCCCTCATGCAATTCTTCAATTCCCCCAGCAGGTGTGTCCACCAACAGACAGATGTGGGGTGACCCACTTGGAGCCTGCATCTAGTGAGGGACAGTGTCCCCTGACCCAGTAAGATCTGTCTTTGCCAGAGTGTCAGGGGGACAGCTTGATCAGCTGGAGGCAGGTGGGGGAGTCTGACCCCATCTAGAAAAAGTCCAATTCCTTTGTGTCTTCCCCCAATGTGACCTGATGTACCCGAAGGAAAAAAAGGCCTCAGCAGGGCTATGAATCAGGCACTTTCCAGGAAGGGTAAGCCTCATTCAGCAGGCTCCCACAGTCCAGTCCAGTGAACATGCCCTTACTTCTTGTTCAGGAGCCACGAAAAATGGCCATAAGGCATCTACAATTCACGCCCTTGTTGGATTCCAGACTCACCCAGCCATGCTTCAATCAAGATTTGGCTTCCTGTCCAGCCCCCCTGTAGGGAGAGATGTGCTGATCGTGCCATCTTGTGTATTTTGGCTCCCAGCACAGTCACACAGCTAATTAACGAATTCACATTTTCATCTAGATATCAGGAGGCTGAACTTCAGTCGGTGGAGATGGGCGTTCTCGGGAGATGGCTGTGCTTGAAATTAGGTGTCTAAACTTGTAAGAGCACCTCGGCAAATGGTCTAAGCTACATCACCTTCCGGGGTCTCTTGGAAGACAGATGACCCTCATGGAGACACCCAACCATCACCATTAGCAGTGTCCCCTTGAGATTTAAGCTTGTATAGCTATTTATTTATCTGATACCACATAAAATACATATGCCTATGGGGGCAGTAAACACAGCCTTTTTCATCAGTGCACATCAGAATCTACCGGAGAGC
The DNA here is from genome assembly GCF_000001405.40 of Homo sapiens. NCBI lineage: Eukaryota > Metazoa > Chordata > Mammalia > Primates > Hominidae > Homo > Homo sapiens. The sequence continues at coordinate 128,881,877 of NC_000011.10, forward strand.
TTACTGCATAGGAGAAGGTCAAGAATGTTTACAGAATGGGTGATTAAAAATGAATGAATGACTTCAGCATAAAGATGGCAAGTTAAAGAAATGCTTCTACTTTTGCTCCCATCCAAAATCCCAATAAAACAACAGCTTTTTTAAAAAAGCATAAACCCTGAAGGGTGACAAGAACTGGAGAGGAAACAATAGCAACTTTCTTGAAACCCAGAAAGCAGATGCATTCTACACTTGTGCAAGAAAAAAAACAAACCAAGAACCAGTGCAATTGACACTTCAGACTCCCAAAAGGTTTAGATGTCTATGACCCTATCTACCCCTGGAAGTGGGGGGTGAAGGAAGCAGCCAAAAGAAGGGGGAGATGGGTTGAGAGTCCATTCAGGAAGCACCCTAGTTAGACCTCCTGTTCCCCTCCCGGACTCTGCCCAAAAAAGAGACTTCTCCCAGCCCTTCCTGGCAGAAGCCTGGAGATTTGTTCTCTCAAAAGTGGAAAACAAAGGGTCTCTTGACTGAAAAACACACAGAACCATTAAGGATGGGCTTATCAGACCCCCTCAAAGGATGACTAAGTAAACATATCCATACTAGATGTCAAGACTCCCAGCTCTCTCCTTCAACTTGGTTTCAGAAGGCTGGTGGTCAGGACTCAGTCCTCCAAGCAGGAGATTGAAAGAGCTCTTCCTGAGGAATCTGACTTTCCCGCAAGCAAAATCTGATACCAAGTGTTCCTGTAACAAAATGGCCTGCCAGAACACCCTACAGGGAACCCGACAGATGTCAAGTTCACAGGCCCAGAGCCTCCTCTTGCCCGGTTACCAGGCATCTGAGGAAAGACAGAGCAAAAACACAAGCATGAAAAGGCATCTTGGAGGAAACAGGGTCTGTACAGGGAGAAGAACGCTTCAAATAAAGAGGATGCTCCAAAAATCCTTCAGGGAATAGAAAAAAGGGGAGCCCTCGGAAATTAAAATATGATAGAAAAATAAAAATCTCAATGGAAGGGTTGAAAGAAAAAAGTTGAGGAGATCTACTAGAACATACTGCAAAAATACAAAGAGACGAAAGTAGAGAAAAAAGATGAGGAAATGAGAGGCTTCTGAGATCTGACACCTAAGTGAGAGGAATTCCAGGAGAAAACAGAGAAAATAGGAAGGAGGAAATCCTCAAAGAGGCATCGCAAGAAACTCACCCAGAAGGAAAGGCGATGATTAAAAGGGCTACCCAGTGTTCCGTACAGTGGATGAAAACAGTCCCACACCAAGGCACATCGTTGTGAAATTTCACACCACTACTCACTAAGAGAAGATCTGGCTAGTTTCCAGAAAGGAAAAAGAGGACCCGCAAAAGGATCAGGAATGAAACTTGCTTCGGGCTTCTAACAATATAATTGAAATGTGGAAGAAGAAGAAATCCCTCTAACATACCGAAGAAAAATAATTTCCCATTTAGAATTCTACACCTGCCCAAGTTGTCAATTGAATAGAATAGAGATATTCTCAGATATGCAGAATCTCAAAATTGTACCTTGCCCACTCTCTTTCCTAGGAAGCAATGGTAGGACGTGTTCTTCCTAAAAAGTAAGAGAGTGAACCAAGAAAGAAACACGCATGGGATTCAGGAAACAGGGGATGCAATATGGGAGTGAGGCAAAGCAAACAGAGATGCCAGGAAGCCAGCTGTGCGCTAGGCAGAGAGGGCAACCAGGCCAGACCAAAGGGAGCAGAAGGCACCAGGGAGATTTCTCCAGATGGAATCAGTAGGACTTCTGGTGCATCTGGACATCTTGAGAGGAGATTGAAATGGTAGGTGGAAATTTTTGCATTGAAATTGGTGATGAGGCCAGGCATGGTGGCTCATGCCTGTAATCTCAGCACTTTGGGAAGCTGAAGAAGGCAAATCACTTGAGGTCAGGAGTTTGAGACCAGCCTGGCCAACATGAGGAAACCCTGTCTCTATCCAAAATACAAAAATTAACCAGGCATGGTGGCGCGTAACGCACACCTGTAATCTCAGCTATTCAGGAAGCTGAGACAGGAGAATTGCTTGAATCCAAGAGGCAGAGGTTGCAGTGAGCCAAGATCGCACCATCGCACTCCAGCCTGGGTGACAGAGCGAGACTCCATCCCCCCAAAAAAGAAAAAAGAAATTGGCGATGAGAGCAAACACAACTACACAAACCAAACCAAGACAATTAATTAGTCCCTCCAGAGAAGAAAAAGAGTTGTGCAGGAAAGACAAAGCAATCTGGTTTGCTGCATGGATCAGCTACATACAAACAGAACTTTATAGACATAAAAATATTAAAACTGAGTATTCATCCAACCAAAATTGTGACACAGCTCCCTTGCTGGACGAGAAATGGGAAGTATGTGAGCACGTGGTGGGTTCAGGGGAGGAAAGGGAGCCACGTTTCCATCTTCAGTGGTAGAAAGTTCATAGGTCGTCTCTGAAGATGGAAGCATCTATAAGTATTACTAGAAGGGTGTCATTTACAGACAAAAACCAAAGGGAAAAAATAGCCAAAAGAAATGAAAGTGATGACCTCTGCAGATTGGAAGATGGTCAAAGAGGAAACCCAACTGCTTTTGTTTCAAATTATTTAGAAAAATGTGATGCTTCAAATATATTACTTTCATATATCACTTTTTTTTTTTTGACACGGAGTCTCGCTCTGTCACCCAGGCTGGAGTGCAGTGGCACGATCTCGGCTCACTGCAACCTCCACCTCCCGGGTTCAAGCGATTCTCCTGCCTCAGCCTCCCGAGTAGCTGGGACTACAGGCATGTGCCACTACGCCCAGCTATTTTGTGTATTTTTAGTAGAGACGGGGTTGGTTGGCCAGGATGGTCTCGATCTCTTGACCTCGTGATCCGCCCGCCTCGACCTCCCAAAGTGCTGGGATTACAGGAGTGAGCCACCGTGCCCGGCCAATATATTACCTTAATAAAACAAAAACTAAAGATCAAGGTAAGTAAATACATGTGTTCTACCTAGTGTGAAATCTCTTTCAAACACTAGATGGTGCTGTTGCCCCCCTTGTGGAAACCACACCGGGGCAGGGCAGGTGCTTGCTGGTCAGCATGTCTATGGAGTTTTCCACAAAACAGAATTAAGAGAGTTGTTATGAAAAAAGTTAGGAAGGAATTAAAGTTGTTCATTTTCTTTCCTTGCCAAATAGGAGCCCACTTCACTGGATAGGAAGAAAAACATCATTTGCCCCTAGCGGTGCAATAACTGGAAGCTCAGCGCTGGGCACCAAGCTGAGTCCTGGGGCTAAGTGCTGTGCCCTCTAGAAACAGATGTTGACTCGATAAAGTCAACTGTATGGCCAGCTGTGGCAAATGCCTCTCTCAGGCACCTGGGCCTGGACTCAAGAGTGAGAGGAAATTCAGGAACGGGAAGCTTGTTTCAGGGAAGCTGAAGCTACCATTGGTGCTCCCTATGGTCAGAATTCAATGGCATTAAAGGAACAGTGAATTTGGGATCATCCAATGACAAGTGGGAAGCTTATGCACTGGGAGAAGTCAAGGCATCAACATGAATATCAGGCCACTTTCCCAGAGAGCATGTCTGTTTTGAGTTGTGAGATGAATAGGAGGCCTCTTTAACACATCCTGCAAAGTCACTAATGACAGCTTGATGGCCTGGTCAATGATTAGGGGTTTTTTTTCCCATTGGCCCTATTTTCCATGACTTTTCTGGATCTGTACTTACCTACTTTGGACCTCTGCTGTGTTGCACACAGGTTTCATGGGATAAATACTATGAAAGAAATATTCTATTAACGAGGGACGCCGGCACACTGGCCACTCAATTTTCTTGCCACTCTTCCTTTCCAGGTCATTCTGCCACCCCAGCCTTGCTGACCTCCAGCCATCCTGATCACTCCTCTATCTCCTGTTCTGTATCCTTCTCCCTCTGTCCCAGATCTGAGCATAGTTCCCAGCTCTTGCCTCTTCTCCTTCTCTCTCCACCCTCCTCCAGATACCTAAATTATTTCTCAGAGTTTCAGTCTTCTCCTCTCTGCGGATGACATTCCAAAATCTCCACCCCATCCTCAACTCCCCCGTCATCACCAGACATCCATTCCTGCCTCTTCTCAGACAACTCCACTTAGGCAATTAGTGGAGTTGCCACTTTTTGTGGAGTTGCAATTAGTGGAGTTGCAATTAGTGGAGTTCTCACCAACCTTCAGTTAGACATGCATGCAGCATGTCTAGAATCAAACTCAGCAGCTCTCCCGTCCCAGTCACCTACTCCTGCTAATTTTCTCATTCCTGACATCAGGCATGCACGCATTCAATAAACATTTACTTGGGTTTTAAAAAACAAGGTTTACACCCTTAAGGAACTTGTAGATTGCAGGTAGAGGAGAGAGACAGGTCACAGAACCCCCAACACATGTGATCGGCGCTCTATCAGAGGGAAGCGGAGGGGTCAAGGTGTCCACAGAGGAGGGGATCTCAGTGCCTCTGGAGATTCAGGGGAGCTTAGCCCAGCTCAGCTCCAAGCCATCCAGTTTCATTCCTCTTCTCCTTTGGGCTCCTGTTGACCCTTTCTCAGCCACATCTTCTACATCATGCTCTTCCAAGCCCCAGTGTGCATAGTCACCTGGAGAGCTTGTTAAAAGGCAAATTCTCTTTGAGCAGGTGGAGGGTGGAGCCTGAGATTCCGCATTTCATACATGATCCCAGGGGGTGGCACTGTTGCCGCCAGACTGTGCAACCCACTACCCGTCCCAAGGCTCTTTCTTCCTTTGCCTTGTTGCAGCCTTATCACCTCAGGCCAGCACTAGGGCCCAGCCCACGAACGCTCTCCCTGCCTCCAATCCTAGACTGTGCAATACAGTAGCTGCCAGCCATAGTGCCTACTTAAATGCAAATTAATTAAAATTTAAAATTCCCTTTCCTATTCACAGTAGCCACATTACACCTAGGCAGTAGCCACAATGCCACATTATACAGACAAGATATCAGGCATTTTCTTCATTGCAAAAGTTCTGTTGGGTGGCACTGCACAATAATCTCAGCTCCACCTAAACTAACCACAAACTGACTACCAGCCTCACCACACTCTCAGCTCCTTGAAGGCAAGTTCTGTATTTGTCTTGTCATTTTTCTCTAAGTGCAGAACCTACCCCATATCCTTTCTTTCATTTGACAAATATTTATTGATCATCTCCTATGTAGCAGATGCTGTGCTTAGCACTGCTAAGGGGCACCCAGAGGTGAACAAGACAAACAGGGTCCCTGTCATTGCAGAGGTCACAAAGCACGTGCTCCATAAGTCTTCACTGAAATGAATAAATGAATGAATCATACACAGACAACCCCCAGGGAAATCTTCACAATGATTTTCATAATTCTCCCCAACTCAGAAATTCTTAATACTTGCTTTCAATCTGCAGAAGAAAATCCAGATGCCACAGCCTGGGATATGAGGCTCTTCTGAGAGGCAGAGATGCGTGGTTAATGTCTTCGTTTGTTAGGGCTGCCATAACAAAACATCACTGACGGGGTGGCTCAAGTAGAAATTGATTTCCCACAGCCCTGGAAGTTAGGAGTCCAAGATCAAGGTTGTCAACAAAGTTGGTTTCTCCTGAGGCCTCTGCTCGGCTGGGAGACAGCTGCCTTCTCCTAGTGTCCTCAAAGTAGTTCCTCTTCTTATGAGGATACCAGTCAGATTGGATTAGGACTCACCCTAATGGTCTTAGTTTAATTAATTCTTTTTTTTTTTTTTTTGAGATGGACTCACTCTGTTGCACAGGCTGGAGTGCAGTGGCACGATCTTGGCTCACTGCAACCTCCGCCTCCCAGGTTCAAGGGATTCTCCTTCCTCAGACTCCCGAGTAGCTGGGTCTACAGACATGCCCAGCTAATTTTGTATTTTTAGTAGAGACAGAGTTTCCCCACGTTGGCCAGTCTGATCTGAAACTCCTGACCTCAGGTGATCCACCCACCTCGGCCTCCCAAAGTATGAGATTATGGGCATGAGCCACCACACCCGGCCCCTTAGTTTAATTTAATCACCCCTTTAAAGGCCCCATGTCCAAATACAGTCACATTCGGAAGCACTGGGAATCAGGGCTTCAACATCTGAATTTGGGAGAGACACCGTTCATCTCATAACAATTAGAAATATGATCTTGGAAACTAACAAAACTGGGTTCTGCTAGCAGGTCTGAAATTCCTGCCAGTGTGAGGGGACTTGACTTGTCTGAGCCTGTTTTCTCTCCGGAGAAAGGTGCTAAAGCTACCTCCCTCCCGAGGCTGTCGAGAAAATTACAAGCAATTACTTACGTGAAGCATCGAGCAGAGCTCAGCACATAGTAGGCACTGCGTTAATTACAGCCACTGGCATCACCACTTTACCGCCCAGATCCCCCAGCAGCAACCCTTCCCTTTCTTGTGGTCCCTGAGCACCCTGAGCCTTGCCTGCCCAAGCCTTGATTTCCAGCCCGGCTCCTTGACTCCTCTCCCTCTCATCACATTCAAACCTTAGTCTTCCTTCCCTAAGTCCTTCAGACCTTCCTTCTCTGCGTAGCCTTGCCGTCAGAAGTCAGTCCCAGCTCCTCTTCTCCGAGCTGTGTTAGCATTCCTGTCAATTCCACACCAGCTCCCAATTAACACCTAGGAATTAAAATCCTATGCTGTTAATTTGTCTGCTGACTTCCCCCCACCCGCAGACATGCCACCTTCCCTGTTAGATGTGAGACATTTGAGATCAAAGCCCACCATTATACCTTTTGGTCTCTCTCATAGCACCTATCAAAGTGTCTCAAACATAGTAGGCCTTTATCAACCAAGAGAGTGTGTGGACATAAAAATACATACAGTCAACATTCGCTAACTGAGTAGGTGTAGGTGTAGGGGTGTGTGTGTGTGTTTGTGTGTGTGTCTGTTTAGCATTTTAAAAGCCATGGGAAAGAGAAACACCAAACTCAGGTGGCTGGTTCTCTCCTGAGGGAAGAGGAGGTAATCTCACATGGATTTGGCAGTGTTGGCAATGCCTGGTTTTGTTTTTTTAAACTGGGTAGCAGCTACAGTATTATGTTAAATATTGCAAAATAATATGTCCTTACTCGATAGATATCTGCTGTTTATGGACGTATGAAGAATTCTCCTGACATGAGAAAAAATGCTTAAAATATTTGTTTTAGAAGCTATTTAGTTAGGATTTCAGAGTATAACTCAACAAACTCCTTTAATTAATATTTTATCTAAAAGGAAATATTTATGAGACATTACCAGGCTCCTAATGCAAATATAACTTCTATAAATAGGAGAAAAAAATAATTTTCTGCAAGTCTTATATTCTAAAGAGAACATCTTTAATTGTGAACCCATCTCCCGCTCGATGAAAGAAGGTAAGAGAAGCAGATAAAGAGAACAGAAGAAGTGAGGCTGTACTCTAATTAACAGTGATAATACATACACATTTTCTGTTGCTTTCAAGCACCGCCTCAGCAATTTTCAGACAATGAAAGACATACTTAGCACCTTGTACCGCTCCCTGAGTAGTTCTTTTATTGCATTGCTATCCTCAGATGTTGTCTGTGCTCTTTGAGAGGCTTGGGCCTCTCAAAGCTCCTCCAAGTTGCAACAATTGCTCAGGACTAGAATCCCCAAATTTCGCGTTTTTCAGTTCTCAGGTGAGACCTGGACACAAATTTTTCTGTCTCCCGATCCAAGGTCCCATCACTGAGAAAATCTTTGCAAAACAGTATTTCCCAGAGCACCCTATATTTTGCTTTAAAGTCAGTCCAGGTCCCCTGACCCCCACCCCGTAATGGCAAAAGGAATATCATGGTCTTTATACCTAATCCAAAAGCAACTGCTGCCCCAGGACAGAGCCCCTCCTCAGGGCTCAGCAGATGATTATAGTGTGTGTTATCTGGACCTGAGAACTGCACAGCCAAAGCCTCTCCCAAGAACTAGGCAATTAGGGAATTAAGAACTTTCTCCACAATAGTGTTAAGCCCTGAGGTCAAACAACATATGGTGCAGTGCGTGAGCACCTAGGCAAGCTGAGTCCCCTAAGGGGACACAGAGCTTTCCTGTTAGGGCCTGTTGCAGCCACATTTAACAATCACCCCCTCTACAGAGAGAAGAGGGGCAATCAGGAGGCCCACTCTGGCCGGACCGCTCTGTGCTCTGTCCCAGGGGAGGGTGCCTGGGCAACGGGCTGTGTGTACGCTGGTCTCCGAGGCAAGAGGACCCCCAGGCCACTGTTAGAGACTAAGTTTCCCTGTCACTGTCCTTACAGGAGAGGATGGACTTGGTGCCCTCCAGTATTAGTGACAAGCATTTTTCTCATTGCAACGTAATAAACCAGTTTTCTGGTCGTAGACATCATTCACCTAGCACTTGTGCTAGGTGCTAGGGCACCCCACGTTTGACCAGCTGTGTCTGCCCTGAGAGAGGGGGCTGGCAGGGGGGGTGTTGACCCCAAAAGGCTGGGTAACGGAGAGGGGCCAGAAGGAACACCACCGGGTGAGAAGGGCCACCCCGAACAGACCGGTCCTCAGAGGCACCTGCCGGCCCTCCCCAGACAGCAGCCCTCCCTTTCAGCCTGCCCTGGCAGCTGCCTTTCCTACGGCTTCCACGAATTAAAGAACACACTCTGGTCATCATCTGTCCTCAAGGCAGGTAGGAATCCAAAAGGGAGAGCCGGGAGGTGGCGCGGAGGACGCCGGCTCTGCCCACGCCTGGGCAAGGTTGAGCTCCGTTCCCTCCGGGCTGCTCCCGCCTCCTGTCCGTGCAGGGCGCGTTTCCAGCCATCGCCGCCCAGCCGCCGCCGCACGCCGGGGAGAGATCGTCCGGGGTGAGCAGCGAGCCCGGGGACAGCTAGCCTGGGTCCTGTCCCTGGACCTACTCCCCCTGCAGCTGGCGGATCAGGCCCCCGGACCCTCACTCCACGGCGGGAATCAGAGCCGTCGGGCGGGGGATGCAGCGCCCAGACTGTGGCTCCCCCGCCTTCCCAAAGGAATCCCCCCATCTGCTCCATCCCTCTCGGGAAACGGCGAAATGCTGCCAACCGTCCGCTTAGCGCACCGCGGAGCGACTGAGCAGCCCCGCCGAGGCTCCGAGCCAAGATTTCTGCCCTAATAGTTTCTCCCTTCTTTCTGTCTGCTCCACCGCACCCACTAAATACGCGGCGCTCACACACGGACACGCGTGACACGCGGCGCTCACACACAGGCATGGGACGCTCACACGCGCGCGCGCGGGTCTCCGTCCCTGGCACCCCGCAGCAGGGGTGCAGCCGGGGGCAGGGGGAGCCGGGGGAGGGCGCAGGGGGCCGCGGGGACGCGAGCGGAGGGCTGGATGCCTGCCGGGCTCTCTCTCCGCCTTCCTCTTCCCTCCCAGTCCTGCCGAGCTGACGGCGTCCCGGATCACATGGAGCCCCCGCCCCACCCCAGCCCGCCCCCCGCCGCCAACGCCGGTGGCCCTTCCAGTCGCGTTACTACCCAGAGATTCATTTGTACCAGGGACGGAGGGAGAGAGGAGAGGGAGGAGGGGACACACACACACACACACACACACACACACACACACACACACACAGAGAGAGAGAGAGAGAGAGAGAGAGAGAGAGAGATTGTTCCAGCTGCTCTCGCTAGAGAAAGGGAGTGACCCAAGGGGCCGCGAGTGAAGGGACAGGATGGCTTAGGTACCTCTGCCCACAGGACCCCACAACAGGGAGAGGTTCCAGCTACAGCTCCTCCGTGGGGTCATGGCAGGGGCTGGGGAGTCCCCTCAAAAGCCCTGAGCCCCCCTGCACCGCCGCTAAGGGACACCCCAGAAGTTAGCATCAGTGGGACTCGGAAGCTCCGATCTCAACAAGTAAGTTGTCTTCTTTTCCTCCTCCATTTCTCCCCCAGCTCGCGGGTTCTGGAGGGCAGGATGACACCCTCAGGTGTCCATCACCTGGGCAGCAGGCTTTCACAGGGAACCTGCTAGACTGGGAGCCAGGGGGGATAAGGAAAAGCTTAGGGCAGGTCCAAGTTTAGGAAATTGGAGATCTCCGTGGCTGCAGGCTGCCCTGTGCGTTGGGAGCCCAGCCATAAACACCTTCACTTCTGGCACTAGACCAGGGCTACCTGGGGGTGCCCCAGATCTCCCAGCAGTGGTTTGAGAGGCAACAGTGGCCAGGAGTGGGTGGGGTGTGGAGGACATTTTTCACCTGGTAGGACTCTTCCTTCAAATGGGAGCAGGGAGGGCCAGGATGGGGGGCGGTGCCCCCCTCAGCCTTAGATCCCCAGCCTAATCTTGCTTTCTCTTTTAAGTGTGGCCAAACTGGAAACACGGCCTTGTGATTTCTGCCCCCCTCGCTGCCCAAGTCACTTCCTGCGTACCTCCCTATCTCCTTTTAAAGAGCTTTCAAATGGTTCAGAAAGGCCAGGGGTCAAGCCTGTGAGGACAGAGGATAGGGAACAGAGAAGGCCGGCCTTGTCATTGCTCCCCTTCTCTTCAAGTCAGTGCTTCTCCCTGCAGAGCTGTTGGCCCCCTGGTTTTATCTGTGCCTTCCCTCAAACAGGGCTCTCCAACCCCAGGGGCTGTGGAGGGCCTCAGGTCCGGCCCCCAAAGTTCTAGGGCCTACCCTGAACATCAGGGTGAGCAACACCAGCCCAAAACCTGTTCCAGGAGCCTTTTCAAACACCAGAAGAAGATCAACAGGAACACGCCAAGTATTTTACTCTGTTTCAATCCTTTTAATAAGCTGAGATTATCATCCTCATTCTACAGGTGAAAAATTGAAGCCCAGAGAGGCTGTGCAATTTGCCTCAGGTGCACAGCTCATAAAGGGAGATTCTCTCCTATATCTGACTCCAAAATGTGCCTCGTTTTCATCAAAAGCCATATGGTTTATCGGGCTTTCTGGTTCTCAAAGCACTTTTCCATGTGAGGAAAAGGCTAATATTTATGAAACCAAGGTGCCGAGCTATATACGTTTACATGAGTTCATCTTGACACCAGTCCTGTGGGGCAGAGCTTATTTCTTCTGTTTTATAGATGAGAGTAAGGGTAACAGAATTCCAGGCACTAAGTGGCAGCAGCACTGCTATCTCCAAAACTCTTGTCCTCTGGCTTTAAATCCAGGGTCTTTCCACTAACAAAAGCTAATTCTGAAAGCTGCTCTTGTCTTTCCACATCCCTGCTTTTCCTCAAAGCCAGGTGTAAATTGCATCATCTGGCTGAATGAGGCGCTCAGGCTTCCTGGAATCTGAGGAACGAACAGGGCAGAGCAAATGATGTGGGAGTTAGAGGCCCATGGTTGGACTCTGGCATAAAGAGTTTGGTCAGCTTGGCTGGTATTTTAAACTATCTATGGACCCCACCTGAGATGGCACCATTCTGCCTAGAGGCATAAGGCCTTCAGTGGGAGGCCTGGGGCACAGCGTATGTGCTTCTTGGAAGAGCAGCAGCAGGGCCACCATTGAAAGACAGGAAACAACACATAGAGAAATTGCTGGCTCAGGAGGCTGAGGTAAGGGGATTACTTGAGCCCAGGAGTTCAAGACCAACTGGGGCAACATAGCAAGACCCCATCTCAAAAAAAAAAGAAATAAAAAAGAAAAAGAAAGGATAGAAAATTTGCCTATACATTCCACAAAGCACAAGGATTGTCCCCAGAACAACGTTCTAGACCTACTACCTAGCTCTCCAACAGAAAGGGAACCAGCCACTCAGGCATGGCTGTTTTCTGGCCTCTCCAAAAGCTGCTATAAACTGCCGGCATTACTCACAGGCAGCATTTTTTAAGTAGCCTGCCTGTGCTCTATCCAGTGAGCAGTTCAGCTAAAGGAGGAGCCAAGGGTGAGGGGGGGGGTCAAAGCGAACCTGGGCCACATTCACTCTGCCCAGGGCTGTCCCCAAAGCTTAGCTGTCTTCTCTGGGATGAAGTCAGATCTTAGTGGGGTTCCCCACCATGGCTTCCCTGGAGTCTGCTGGCAAGTCCTGAGCAGTGCAGAGCTCTTTGTCTGTGGGTCCAGCAGAGACACGTGTGTGGCCCTGTCACAGCAGTACTCAGCCTCGCTGTCCCTGGTGCCAAGCAAAATCCCTTTGGGGCTTTCTGCAAGCACCTGACTGGGTTTCTTGTCCAGGAATTTGGGAGACTCTGAAGGCTGCTCTAGTCATCCGTGATGAAGTAAACCCCCAAGGAGGGAAGAAACGACTAGAATGCCCATTCTCTGGTTTCCATTTCCCCTTCAAATGACCTGATTCTTCCTGCCTGCGGTGGGCGAAGCCACAAACAGGTGTCCTGTGCTTTCATGTACTTGAAAACTGCATCCACTTCTGCATTGTTTTTTTTTTTTTTCTTGTTCAACAACCATTCATTTGGTCACCTATCATGTGCCAGCAATCATTAATTTTTGAAAACCTTGGAATGTGATCGTTGGGGCAGCGTTATGCTTTTTGTTTAGGAGAATGTTAGCAAACACTCACATTTTCTGAGCCAATACTGATTGACTATTTAGGCTGGAGGTGGAAGGATGGTGGAGAGAAGGCAGGGGTCAGGGAATCCATAGGTAGTTCAAAGGGGCCATTTTTGGATGAAAATGTTCACTGTGTATGAGCTATAGACAGGTCATTGAGGGCTGGCAGTGTTTCCAAGTGCGGATCTGTCATCAGATAACTGTTAAGATAGTCGTCAGCCACGAAGGAATCTTTCTGTGTTTTGTTTTTATTTTCTAAAGAAAAAAACAAGAAGAATGGGAGTTCCAGTTCAAAAGATTGTAGTGAGGTATTTGAGTAAGAATACCTGAGTGTATTTCTCAAAAAGACTTGTGAAGTGGCTTTCCCTGGAATTGTTTTAAAACAGAGTGGACAGCTTCCACTTCTGACATTCTGCCAGCCAGGGCTGGCGTGAGCGGCTGCCTCTGAAGGCCCTGCCTGTGCAGCAGCAGCTTATCTAGTTCCTCCTACCTTGACATTCTGATAAGGGAGCTATTCTAGTCAACAGGGCCCAGGATGGCGGGAACCCTTGCCAAGAGCCGTGCTAAGTTAAATGGTAGAGCCAAAGCTTTAATATGTGACCCTGGAGATCCTGGCTAGTGCTTAAAATGTTAACTTCCATTATCGTTCCAGGCCAGAGCAAGCTGAGGGCAAAGGTCATGGATCATCTGAACAGTTGGCAGGTGGCAACGGCACTTCCTGGTCACCAGGGATCAATCAATAGGGTGGCCAGATAGTATGGGGGACAGGAAAGGGTGAGGGTGGGGGAGAAATGGAGGGGTTGGGGAGGGAAGGAGAGAGCAAACTTGGAGTCTCATTCTCATCCCCTGTGACTTGGCGGTCCGGGGCTGGGTGTACTGCTCACCCTACACCTTCTCCCAGATTTCAGGCACCCGACTTTACAGTCAGGGAGGTCCAATGCCATCATCCTACATTATTTCCTGCTGCTCAGAAAGGAAAATGGGAGTGGGGTGCAGTGCAAGAACCAAGAGGACCTCAGATGCCTCCTGGGACCAAACCTGTGTCTTCCCCTTAGAGTGTGCCCCCACCCCCCCCCCAACCCCAGGGATGACTGCACTGCTGAGCACTTGGTGCCTGGAACCCTGGGCAGTGGGAGGTGCTGCTTCTGCTTCAGCAAGGGGGCTGTCCAGCAGTGCCAGCAGAAGCCATGGGTGTCAGGCCCCAGGAACCAGCCCACTGGACATCACAGTATGAAGGCTTCCCCGGCCAAGTCAGGTTGCTTTGTGAAGTGTCCTTCTCCAGAAGAACTCCCTCAAAAATGAGTAGGGAGCTCCTAACACAGGCCAGACCTTGTGTAGGCACCTGAGCTAGACAGGGGGATCTTCCACACCGGGCCTGCCTGCCCTCTGAGCTCTCAGACCACTGCCTGGGGGCGGGCAGAGCTGCTGGAGAGACTCCAGCATCCGTGCTGCGCGCCCTTAGGGAGAGGCACAGGCATCGCCGGGGCGAAGGCAGGCTGCTCTTATGGAGCAGGGAAGGCTTCTAAGGGGGCTTGAGAAACAGGTTTGCTGGTGAAGGGGTAGAAGGAGCCCAGGGAGGGGTTTGGAAAGGAGGGAGCCAAGGCCAGACACAGGGCAGTAGGAGGGAGGCCTGGGCCTGCGGCTGTCCCAGGGCACCTGCCCCCAGCCCCAACCACCTCTCCTGCATCTCTTTCAATCTCCCCTGACTCCTCCTAGACACTCACGCTTGGTCACATTTTATTTCCTTTCTCTTCCTCTCCCTCTCTCTCTTTCTCAGTTTGGTTCTTTTTTTCCCCTCCATTTTTGTCTTTTTTCACTCATTCTCTTGATCATAAATGCCGTTTAGTGTATTTATGCTTCTTTAACTCAATCTCTTTGTCTGCTGCAGTCATTCTTTATTTTTCCACTAAATGCTTTGATTTTGAGATCATTATAGATTCACATGCAGTTTCAGAAATAATGAACAGAGATCTGCCATTCCCTTCATCCAGTTTCTCTCAGCGGTAATATTTTGCAAAACTGTAGTACACTATCAAAACGAATACATAGCCAATAAGAAAACAACATTTCCATCACCAGGAGGACCTCTTATGTGGCCCTATTATAGCCACACCCACTTCCATCCCACCCCACCCTCTCCTTAACCTCTGGCAACCACTGGTCTGTGTTTGTCATCTCAAGAATGTTATGTAAGTAGAATTATACAGTATGTAATCTTTTGGGATTGGCTTTTTTCACTCAACAAAATTCTCTGGGGATTCATTTAGGAGTGTGCATGTGTGCTTGTTGGGGGTGTGTGTGTGTGTGTGTGTGTGTGGTTTTTTTATTGCTGAGTAGCGGGAATGTACCACAGTGGGAATCGTCCATAGTGGGAAGGTACCATTGCTTGTTTAACCATTCACTTACTGAATGACATCTGGGATGTTTTCACTTTGGGACTATTATGAATAAAGTTGCTATAAGCATTTGTGTACTGGTTCTTGTGTGAACATAGGTATACAGGTTTTCATGTCTCTGGGATAAATGCCCAGAAGTGTAATTGATGGGTCATCTGGTAGTTGTATGTTTAGTTTTTTTTATTTTTTTTCGAAGAACTGTCCAGCTGTTTTCCATTGTGACTATGCCACTTTACACTCCCACCAACACTGTATCAGTGATCCAGTTTCTCTGCATCTTTGCCAACATTTGTTATTGTCACTATTTCTTATTTTAGCCATTCTAGTGCTATCTTATTGGGTTTCATTTTGCATTTCCCTGATTACTAATACCGTTTACCACTTTTTTTTTTTTTTTTTTTTTTGAGACAGAGTCTTACTCTGTCACTTAGGCTGGAGTGCAGTGGTGCAATCTCGGCTCACTGCAACCTCCGCCTCCTGAGTTCAAGTGATTCTCCGGCCTCAGCCTCCCAAGTAACTGGGACTACAGGTGCGTGCCACCATGCCTGGCTAATTTTTGTATTTTTAGTAGAGACAAGGTTTCACCATGTTTGCCAGGCTGGTCTCGAACTCCTGACTTCAGGTGATCTGCCCACCTCGGCCTCCCAAAATGCTGGGATTACAAGCATGAGCCACCACGCCTGGCCTGTTGACCATCTTTTTATATGCTTATTTGCCCCCCATATATCCTCCTTAGCAAAATGTCTTCTCATGTCTTTTGCCCATTTTCTAATTTGATTGGCTTTTGTTGTTGTTTCTGTTGAGTTTTGAGAATTTTTAAGTATATATTTTAGATACCAGTCCTTTGTCAGTCAGATATGTAATTTACAAATATTTTCTCCTACTTTGTAATTTTGCCTTTTCATCTTAACAGAGTCTTTTTCAGAGCAAGTGTTTTTAATTTGATGGAAGTTTAATTGATCAGTTTGTCTTCTTATGGATTGTGCTTTTCTTGTCAAGTCTAAGAACTCTTTGCCTGCCCTAGATCTTGAAGAGTGTCTCCCATGTTTTTCTCTAGAAAGTTTTATTGTTTTATATTTAAGTTCATGATCCATTTTGAATTAACTTTGGTATAAAGTCTGAGACTTAGGTCAAGGTTCTTTTTTTTGCCTAAAAATGTGCAATTGCTCCGGCACCATTTGTTGTAAAGGCTGTCTTTCCTCCACTGAATTCCTTTTGCACTTTTGTCAAAAATAAGTTGGGCATATTTGCAAAGGTCTATTTTTGGGTTCTCTGTTCTGTTCCATCAATCTATGTGTCTATCCTTCTGCCAATACCACATAGTCTGGAGTTTCCTCATAACTGCAGTTATGTAATGAGTCTTGAACTTGTGTAGACTGATTCCTTCCACTTTATTCTTTTCCAAAATTGTTTTATCTATTCTAGTTGCTTTCCCTTTTCACATAAGTTTTAGAATAATTTTATCTATATCTATAAAAAATCTTGTGAGATTTTGATAGAAATTGCATTGAATCTGTATATGAATTCAGAGAGAATCAACGTTTTTACTATATTGAGTCTTCCAATCCATGAATACAGTATGTTTCTCCATTTATTTGCTATTCTTCAGTTT
The DNA here is from genome assembly GCF_000001405.40 of Homo sapiens. Taxonomy (NCBI): domain Eukaryota; kingdom Metazoa; phylum Chordata; class Mammalia; order Primates; family Hominidae; genus Homo; species Homo sapiens. The sequence goes on from NC_000011.10 coordinate 128,898,324, forward strand.
CTTTCTTTGGCATTTTGTAATTGTCAGCAGTTCTTTTTGCTCTGCCATGAACTAATTGTGTCGCCTTGGACATTAGTCTTTCAGACCTTCAGTTCTCTTTCTGTAAAATGTGTCTAATAACACCTACCTTGAAATGCCATGGGAAAGTCAAATAAGTTAGCGCATGAGCAGTGCCCCATGGCAAGCGCCAAGATGCAGTTCCCTTCAGCTGGGTCTCTCATCTGTTCTTTGTTTCCTCCTCCTCAGCTTTCGTTCTAATGCCCACATCCACTTACACTTCACTTTGTCTTTCCTTTTTGTCCTTTGCTTTTTTAAATCCTTCTTTCATTCTCAACTCCTTACTCTGATTTTTCTATTTCTTTCTTTCTTTCTTTTTTTTAGACAGAGTCTCACTCTGTCACCCAGGCTGGAGTTCAGTGGCGCAATCTCGGCTCACTGCCAACCTCTGCTGTCTGCGATTCTCATACCTTAGCCTCCCGAATAGCTGGGACTACAGGAACTCACCACCACGCCCAGCTCATTTTTTTTGTATTTTTAGTAGAGATGGAGTTTCACCATGTTCGCTACGCTGTTCTCGAACTCCTGACCCCAGGTAATCCGCCTGCCTTGGCCTCCCACAGTTCTGGGATTACAGGCGTGAGCCGCCGTGCCTGGCCTTTCCTATTTCTTTCACTTTGTTTTTCTCTTATTCTCAATGGATTTTTCTGTTTCATTTCTTACCCCATGATATTTGTCTATCTCCTCTTTCTTGAATCATTTAAGCATTCCATTTTTGTGGAGTTGCTCAGACACTGAGTGTGAGTCAAGGGCCACTCAGCCTGGGTTCAACTCCAGATCAACCACTTACTAGATTTGGGGCAGTTGACTCACCCTCCTGCACCTCAGTTTTCTCATCTATAAAATGGGGAGAACAGTATCTACCTGGTACCTTTTCTGAAATGATTAAATGAGTTTATACATGTAAAGCATTTGGAATAAAATTGGGTATATGGTACAGCCCCAGTAGGTGACGATAATTACTGGGATTTTACCTGTTATGTCCAGTTTCTGTGGCTCTTTCTCACATTTACCATCCCTCACCATCTCATCCTTTTCACTTGTATATGAATATATTCAAACTCACATTATCTTGCTTTCAGGCTGTTGTCTCTGTGCACTTCTACCTCATCTTCCCTAATCATCACTGATAAATTGGCACCAGCCCAGGAAATCTGTCCCTTGGGTTATAGACAGGAAACAAGTGGTTTTTCATTTTGATTTAATTATTAATCCCTTTTATTATTTAATGTGGAATACATACACTGTGGGGTTACAATGAAGAAAATGGATTATCACTGTGCGGCTCACTTTCAAAGAGATGGCAGGCTTAAAAAGGAAAAGTACCAGACAGACAGAAACAAACGTGGGGAAAAAGCAAAATTAATTAATTTGATTTCCGTGCCCTTTTCATGGCCATGACTTTTCATACATCTTCTGTGAGATCCAGGAGGATGCATGTGGATTTTGCAAGTAAGCCAAGCGAGGTATTAAAGGGAAGGGGTGTAAGGAGTGGCGAGTGGCCCACAGTGGCTCACCAGGGAGGGCAGAAAAATATTCATCCTAAGCAAATGGGAGCCTGGCAGGTTGGGAAACTCAGTCACAAGCTCACGGGCCTGCTCCATACGTACAGTCCTCAATAATGGGCTTGGTCTGTGATGCAAAGCTACCTGAAAGGCACTCACCTATCACTAACCCTTTCGAATCTATATTCCATACCTTGAATCGGGCCTAATATCTGCCCTTTAAAAAATTGCTGAATATATTTAGACTCACTTAGATACACTGGGCAGAGGGATATTTTAAATACCATCAAAATGGTCTTTTTGTCTCTGTATTTTCTCCAAAGAATTGAACTCCCCAAGCAAAATGCCAGATCTGCCTGCGCTCCTTTCAGACTAGAATTCTGTCTCCCTTTAAAGATCCTTACATGAAACACCATTTAATCCTTCTCTCTCTGCCTTTTTGTGTTTATGGTGACCTCTCAGTATTTTGGTTTCTTTAATGACAAAGTAACCATGGAATTAGTCCACAGCATTTCTAGGGTACGTGTTTCTCTCCAGATATCAAAAAATAATGCATGAGGTTTTATTACTTCCTTAGGCTTGTGGTGGGGAATCCTCCAAGGATGGAGTTAAAATGAACAGCCAATACTCTCTCGCTCCTCTGGGCTACCCGAGGCTCTGCAGGCCCCAAACTCACCTTCTGTTGCCCCATTCAGCACCAGCCACCCCCCTTTGTTGTGCAGCCAGAAGCCAGGGCCGCCTGGCAGGCCTATTGCTAAATCTCCCAGTGTTTGTATTACATAAAACTTCACAGTCGGTGTTTCTGTGTCTACAATGCCAGAATCCTGGAAATGAGTTAACCCAAATTTGTGTGCCTTCTGGCAAGCCCAACTATCCAACTACAAAAGGGGACTAATGTGATAGGATTCTCCTGAGCCAACACAGGAGTTGAAAGAGCCCAACAGAGGTGCAAACTGCCATTATGATTCCATGATAATAATTCCACATACTAGGAATACCGGGATTATTTCAGACCTTATATCTGCTCTTAACCTATACCAATCCAATCCAGGGGGGCCAAGTACATTATACCAGTATTTGGTAGGATAGAATTTTTCCTGATAAAATGGCAGAGATGTCATGAACATTAGGATTTCCACAAATATTTCTATTTCTTATATAGGAAAGAGACCCAGGGTGGTAACCTGTAGAGTAACATGTAATGTGGAGCATAGGATGTGGCCAGGAGAGTCAGGGTTATGATTCAGAACCAAGATGGCTGGACTCAAATGGGTGTGAAGTAGGAGGGTGGGAAAGCGTGGGTTCTGAAGTCAGGCCGCTGTCAGTTCAAACCCAGGTTCTGCTGCTTGCAAGCCATGTGGTCTCTGGCAAGTTCCCTCCCTGCTCTGAATCTCAGTCTCCTGATCTGAATAATGGACACATTACACTTATTCCACAGTGTTGCTGAGCTGATCAAGTGTGTTAACACGTGTAAGGCACCCAGTCCAGAGTAGTGCACGCAAACACACACACACACACTTCACTTCCAGAGCTGTTCTGCAAAGAAAAACCAAAAGGCAGTACAAGCTGCTGCAGGCAATGAATTGATGACGTGTTTAAAACAAAAGCAAAAAGAGTGCAAAGGCCATGGAGAATGCGGCACAGACAGGAAAGATGCTCCCTAAAGAGCTTGCCCAGGTCAGGATGTCTCCGAGCAAAACGAGGGACACTGAGTGACTCTGGGAGCAACCTCAGTCCTGCATCCTCGTCAACACCCTGACTGTTCTCAACAATAATCCCACCCATGTGGGGAGCTCCCCTTTGAGGGACTGAGGCAGCCCAGAAAGGAGGCACAGGATGTACTGAGAAGGGGAAACCTGGGCGTCAGTGACAGCTCCCCAGGGATGGTGGGTCTGAGCAACGCTGATGCAGCGGAGCCCCTCACCCACCTGAGATGCCTCGTCCGCCTTCCCAGCAGCTCCCTTCCGCAGAGTGCTTAACAGCTTGGCAATCAGAGAACGCTGTGTGCACGGACAGCTCCGCGGGGATGAAGTGTCCCATCTGACAAAGACTGTTCTGAGATCCGCGCTGTCCCTGCCTGGCTCTGCGTTTCACTGAAAGCCCCTTGCCCTGATTCTAGCCCTCAGCCCCCACGCACAGCCACCGGCGACTCTAGCCACCCTGGATAGTAAAGGTGCCCTTTCTGGGGCATTCTGCTTCGAGAAGAGGCGGAAGAGCTGTGCATGCCTGGAGCCCCTGGGAGCCCATGACAGCCAGGAGCATCCTGGGCATAAAAATCAGCACCTGGGGCCTCATTCCACTCATCTCGCACACCTCTGCAGTCCCTTCCACGATGCCCTCACCGCTGGTAATCAGCATCCATTACATCGGCGCCAGGAACCAGCTCAGGAGGCCACCTGATCCGCCCTCCTGTCCCTCCAGCCCTCCTCTGGAAGGACTCAGCGCTTGCAGTCAGACATCTCTCCCCATTGAGACCATTTTTACTGTTGGTGAACTGGAGGACTATCGCACTGCCCAAGACACTGTTCTCTGCAGCAGGTTTGCACAGGGTGCCAGTTAGGGAGGAGAAGGCAGCGAGGAACCCCGCACTTTAAGGAACAGGGATGTCATAGCAGCCGTCTGCATGGGGGAGGGGGCTGGGGAGCACAGGGCTATTGGCAAGGAGACAGGGCTAGTTAGGACCACCGGAACCAGGCTGATGGGCACTGAGGGGGTAGCCCAGGCGGCCCTCTCTACTATCATGGGCCTTGCAGATTGAGTTCTCCTCTTCCTGCCGGGCCGCCTGCCTTTGTTGTCCTGAGGACTGACAGGTAATGTTTGTGGCAGACCTGTTGGTGCAAACAGGGAGGCTGTGAGAGGAATTCAGTGGCACTACCACAACTCTTAACAGCACTCTCAGCCTAACTCACAACGCAGCCCAACATGTCCATGGGCAGAAAAGGCCTCTCTCCGACTCCCTAGCCCAGAAATACGAACCGGCAGCTGACAGACTGAATCTGACTCACACATAGATTCTCTATGGCTTGCTCACTTTTTCAAAAATTGTTGAATTAGTGGTCAACATGGAAAAAAAATTTCATCTTCAAAAGTTTAATTTCTGGCTTTTCTGGAAAAAGCAAAGGGAGGATCTTGCAGTACTGGCTCCACGGCATGGCAAGGCAATAATGAACTAGAGCCGAGTAGCAGCTGCCGCTTTAGAACTGCGTGTGTGTACAGCTCACCACAGTCCCCACCACCCCCTACCATGTCCCCCAAACCCAGGGCAAGTTTTGGTTGCATTTATCATGGGTTTGTATATGTGCTTTTCCTAAAATAAAGAGAATGCAACATTTTAAATGTTTCTCTACATCAAAATATGAAAATGAAGCTCTAAGACATCCCATTTAAATAAAAATAGGAGAAAGCCTACTAATTGCACGTGACCAAGAAGGATGTAGAGTGTGTCTGTGTTGGAAGAACGCGATCCGGCAGCTGCACTCACCTCACACAGCCACAGCCGTGGGTGTAGACGGCAGAGCTCAGCACAGACTCACAGGTTCTGGTTACTATGGCATGCACATCCTGCCCAGCTGAGAAATTCCAGAGTGAGGAGGTGTTACCCTCACTCCTGACAGAGGCAGACCTGCCTTAGATGAAGGAGAATCCAGTGAAGGGGTGTTAAGAATGAAATCAGTGGCTGCTAGTTAGTGGTCTTGTTTCTACTGCGGGGGCCGTTGTCCAAGCAGACCTTCAGAGAGTGACGGGGCACTCTTGGTGATGATGCCAGAATGACAGGTGTTACCTGGGATGCATGGACATCTTATTTCCTGGGAGCAATCAGGGACCTCTGGGGGCAAGTATTGTGCTTAGAAACACCGAGGAGCAGCTGTTAGATGAGTAGGGAGCATGCTGGAGGGGAGCAGGAGGGAGAGGGAGAACACAGCCCTGGCTGGCGGGAAGTGACCCGAGCTGCCGGGCAGCTTGTGCACAGCGGACCACATGGCAGGAAATCATGAGTTCCTTCCCTGGTGCTCCCCCCGGGACTCAGAACAACCCCATCACACCCAGAGGGCTCAGGAGGAACCAACCTCCCAGGCAGCGGTGGCTGCACTTAGAGCCTTTGGAATCAGACAAAACCTAGCCCGCTGCTTAGTAACTGTGTGGCCTGAAGCAAGCTACCACATCACTCTGCTTTTGTGACCTGTAAAATGAGGCGACTAAAACGGACTTAATAGATCTGTTTCAGGATTAAATGATACAATGCATGAAAAACACTCAGCACAAAGATGGCACAGAACAGGGATTCCATGCTGGAGCTATTATTACTGTTTGCTCCCCTGTTCTCAGGCCCACAAGGCTCTGCCACCTCACCCTGCTCACTGGACGCCTTCCTCACCAGGGCCTTCCTGACTCTTCCTCGCCCACCCCAGACAAGCCAAATTCAGGACTGCACCCTGGCCTCTCTCTCACTCTCTACTGCACTGATTTTTTTTGCCTGTGTACTCCCCACCAGACCAGGAACTCCTTGCGGACAGAGAACGCATCAAGGGTCGTCAATCTCATTACCTGTTGGAGTCACCTGGGGCCAGATTCTGGGACTAGGCATCAGCACGTTGTCCAGCTCCCAGCTGATGGCAGCGTGCGTCCAGGGCGGAGAGGTCGTGCTACTCAGGTGTGCACTGAGGACCAGCCGCGTCAACATCACTGCGGCTTCTTAGCAAAACCGCGGACTCTGGAAACCCCAGACCTACAGAATCAGAACCCGCATTTTAGCCAGATCCCCAGGAAGGGAAAGCACAGGAACGAATGCCAGTGAAGTGTGAGTCGACCTCCTTCTATCCCCAGAGCTCAACATAATTCAAACACCCAGTGGGTGTTGAGTGGGGGTTCGCTGACTAATTGACTGAGTGAGTGAAGCCCTGTGTCAGCTTCCACTGGGATTTCACACCTACTCCATCATGTGCTATGAAACAAACAGGCTCAAAAAGCAAACCCGTAAAACGTTCAGAAATTCAAAAATAGACACAGACCTAAGTTGATAGAACAAATAGCTGCAAAATGGTGCGGTTTTTAAATGAAATACCTGACGGGTTTTTAAAGATTTATTACCACCGGGCTCTGTGCCATTAAACCTCCGAGTACACTAGAGGATAATTTTGTTTTGTTTTAAGGTTGGTAATTGTGAAAAGCTGGGAAACCAGGACTGGCCCCTGGGAGGATCCTGTCCACCGGTGTGGCTTGGGCACAGTCTCTGGGTGGCTGGGGCCGCTGGCCCGCCCTTCCTCCAGGAAGAGAGACCCGCTGGCGGGGAGTCCCCGGCACTGCCAACGGCCTCCCCACGCCCGTTCCCTGGGGACAGGGCCTCTGTCTCCCCTCCGCAGGCCCCTCCTGGCTCTCACCCTCCCACCCCGCATCCCCCAGCCCCGCCTCCTCCGCAGCCGCAGAGCTGCAGCTGGCCAGGGGGCCACACCCAGGCGTCGAGCACCGCCTTATCCAGCCGCACTGGGGGCTTCGTCCCCTGCGGGGTGAGGGGTCTCCCCTGTGTCACCCTCCGAGGCCACGCTAGACGTTGTGGCGCTCAGGGCTCCCGGTTCCTGCCGCGCTGGGGCTCCCCCGTCCCAGCCTCCCTCCCCACCTCTCCCAGGCTCCCCTCCCCTGTCGCAGCCACCCTCCCCCGTCCCAACCTCCTCCCCTTCTCTCGCACGATCCGGCCAAGAGATGGCGGGGTGGCGGGAGGGGCGCTCTGGCGACCCCGGAAGCGAGAAGCAGGCCTCTGCAGGGCCAGGGATGAAGGTGCAAGGGAAAGCCCTGGGACCTGGACCTTAGGCGTGGGAGGGACGAAAGGGAAAGGTCTTAGAAAATTCCTCAGGCGTGGCTTCTGGGGGGGCGGGGCGGGGGGAGGAAAGGGGCACGGGTTCCCGGTCTCGTAGACGCTGCAGCGGAGCAGAGCCTCTAGGCATGCCCTCATCTAGAGCAGCTGCTGCGGAATCCGGGGAGCCTGCAGCACTAGCCGTGCGATTCCGGGCGAGGTTTTTAAACTCTCACCTGTTTTCCCCTTTTGTAAACTGAAGATAATGCCTCTCTCCCGGGAGTGGGAGCACGATGCTGACACACCGTAGGAACTCGGGACTTGCTGATTCTCCTTCCTTATCCTCAAGGCGTTTGAAGCACTCCTGCCCCTCACCCCCACCCCTCCAGCCCCTTTCCCAGCCCTGCCCCCTGGTGGAAAATCCTAAGAGCTACCTCTCAGGAGGGCTCCTGTAAACCAGGCACTGTACACACACCTTTCATTTCATCTTCGCAGCAGCTCTTTTTGGTGAGTACTGTTATCCCCATTTTGCAAATAAAGCAACGGAAGCTTAGAGAAGTAACTTTTCCAAATGTGCCTCAGCTCCAGGCAAAATAGGAACCTAGGTCATCTGATGCCAGAGTCAGCCTTCCTAACTGTTTATGATCCGACTTCCCTTTCTGTACTGGATTTTCTATTTCTGCCATAACAGATGACCACAGACATAGTGGCTGGAAACAGCACCCACTTATCAGCTCACAGTTCTGTAGGTCAGAAGTCCAGGCTTGATGCGACTGTGTCCTCTGCTCTGTTCCCACAAGGCCAAAACCAGGGTGTCAGCGAGGCCAGCATTCTCATGTGGAACTCAGGGCCCCCTTCAAGCTCCTGTGGTTCTGGCAGAATTCAGGTCTTTGTGGTTGTAGGACTGAGGTCCTCACTTTTTTGCTGGCTATCATCTGGGGGCTGCTCTCAGCTCCCAGAGGTCACCCACATTCCTTGCCGTGTGGCCCCCTCCATCTTTAAAACCAGCAAAGGAGAAGCCCCCTCTGTCTAATTCCTCTAATAATTTGAATCTCTTACTTCGGGAAAAGCCCAATCCCTTCAAAGGGCTTGTGATTGGGTCAAGCTCACCCCAGATGAACTTTCTTTCTTCAGTTCAGCTCTGCCATATGACATGCCCCAGTCATGGGAGTGAGGATTTCCTGGGGTTCCTCAGGGGGTGTATACCAGGGGGCAGGAATCACGAGGGTGTGTTGGAATTCTGCCTACTTACAAGTGCCTTCTCTGTCCCCAGCATGTATTCTGGTGTTACATTCAAGTGTAACACCTCGAATGCTTCCTGCTAACCCTAAAGGGCCTTGAGGGGACTGGGGCAGCCTGTTCACCAACCAGTTTGGAGCATTTTCCTATGAGTACAGTCATATATATTCCCACAGAAGAGTATACAAATATCTCCATATGAGACATAAGCACGCCCTCCTCCATTCCTCTTCCTCCAACTTCATCCCGTGTTTCAAAGCTCAGAGAGTGGTACATTTTGATCCAGCATATCTTAGAAAGTAGGAAATTGATAAAGATGCTTGTGATCACAGATAGGGAGACTGAGTCTGTGAAAAGACTCCCAAGCCAGTGGTCTCTCCAGGAAGCCCTGCTGACCCCCAAGCAAGGCTCTTACCAAGTTGTTAGGGCCCTGACTCCTGACATTCTAGACCACGCCATGACACCAAGTTTTCCTCCCTGTGGGTGCGTGATGTTTGACATTCTTCATTCAGAGGTCCATCTAAATGGATGTCACATTCACTAACGCATCATCTGAAATACAACTTCCTTTGATTTTGCCTCTTTTGAGTCTTTCTCCACTTGTGTTTTCCTATCAAAGGGATTAAACCACTTTGCTGGACTTGAAGCTCTGTCTTTTCCAAAAGCTTTCATCATGTCTCAACACAGCTTCCCATTCACAGACACAGGAGAGGATGGAAGAAGAGAAGTATCAGGCTTGATGAGGCTTAATAGGATTTGCTCAAGTCAGTGCCTTTCCCTGCGTCCTGCAGAGAGTAGCTAGGATGCTCAGCTTACCTAGGCCAGCCACAGCATTCCTCCCTGTCTGTCCTCTACAGACAGTTCTGCAAAAACCCTAGCTTCAAAGAGGAAATGCTAGAATATCAACTATGGGAGGGCTGGCTCTGCGTTTATCTTCTTCACTGCTTTATGTCCAGCTCCTAGCACAGGGGTTTGGCTATAGTAGTTCCTCAATTAATGTGTGCTTAATGAGTGCATAATTAATAGAACGGATCTCGAAAACCTGATTAAAGAATTTCATCTCCATTGTCCCTGAAAATCCTTTTGACTTGATAGGCACACAACACTGGAAGCCAGGGTTTCAAGGATGGGGATTTTACTTACCCTTAAAAGAAATCTAAACAGTAGAGGCTGCATGCTGGTCAGCTCAATGCTTGCCCTGCAAATTGCCCACTGGGCCTTTAGCTATTTGTCTTAGATAATCTCTACCTCTCTTTCTTCATCTTTAAAATGGGGTTAATGGGATATTGCATTAAATTTCAATTTGAGGAGAGATTATGAATACGTATGTTTATTTTATTTATACTTATGTTTGTATCATGTATTCTTTCCATGAATCCCTACAATTGGCTCCCAGGGCTGGAGGAGCAGAGGATATTATCTGGGATTTATAGCAGAGTAAACTGAGGCAAAGAAAGTTAAGTTTGTTTGTATTTGGACCACAAAGCTGGTTTGTTGGACACTGAGTCAGAATCCAGATGTTACCCTGGGTTGAGCAAGGGATGACTTCTGCGGATGATTCCAGCGCACAGGAATGCGTCCCAATATCAAATCAAAAGTAAACCACCCTTTCCTATCTGCCAGACGCAAAAAGTTTTCCTATCTGGGCTGAAGTCTCCTAGAAAACATTTTCCCGTTTCTAGTACGGCACAAAGCCTTCGCCTACAAGAATGTATGCAAGTATGTTTAAAAATAAAGAAGGAAACAGTGCAGAAAATCAGCAGCAAGCTGTTTCCCCAAAGAGCTGAGTACAGGAGGATGTGAGCTCCCATGTGCCCCGGCCAATGACTCATTCTTGTGGCACTGTGCCTGCCCTGCCCAACCTCAGTGGCTCAGGGAGTCCGCAGCGGCACCCCCATTGGAAGCCTATCTTGGTTCCAACAGCTGGGGTGTCCAGAATACACGGGGCCTCGGGACAGCAGCATTTTCCATCATCTCTGAGCATCTGTGATTGAGTTTTCAGGATGAAGTCTCCCACTTAAGGCAGAGCAAATTCCTGCTTGGGATTCTGCAAAGATAGCCCCAAGCATTTTCCTCCTTGTCTCATTTATCCTTGTTAACTGCCACATGAAGGAGCAGGAAGCAGGTGGCCCTATGCAGAATGGGAAATGGCCAATGGACATCTGGGACAAAGCCCTTCAGATGACCTTTTGATATGATGTTTTAAAGGTTATCTTGAAATTGCTATAATCACCCAGGCAGCACAGGAAAAGGCCTGCCAGGGTCATCTGACTCCCCAGGACAGCTGGGATCTACCTTGGTTTGCCATTAGGCAGTCAGCTCAGTGGTTGACAGGCCTTTTTCCAGGTTGTTCTACTGGGGACACAGCTTCCCGGTGTTCTGCCTGGTGGAACCTGCAGCTGGAGTCACCCTCAGAATGGTGGCAGGGGAATTCCTGCAAGGGACTGCCCAAACCATCCCCAAATGGGGTCAGTTGAGATTCCAAAGAAGAAATCACCAAGTTCCAAAGCACTTATTAGGGGAACTTACATGTAGAGCGCTGCACTGGTCCTCATGACAGACAGCAAGAAAAGAGGTGCTCCGCTTAAGTATGTCTGCGGCAAGGGCTCTGGGTTATGGAGTTATTTGGCCCAAGGTTGGGCTAATTCCTACATGTTTAGCAACATGTTTAATCTTTCAGTATTTCAGGTAACAACCTAAACAGGGTTTCAGTGCCAGGGAATGTTTCCAGGGCTCAGGCCTGCAGGAAAAGACATGCAGCTGGCCAAGTGACAGAGCAGTCTAGGCATTCTGTGTTTCTCGATCAGGACAGATAAGTAAGTGGGGGTTCCTGGGGGACCCTATACCCGGGAGGGAGGGTAACTGCGAATTCAAGGAAGACTTACTTATAAAGAGGAAGAAGGGTTGAAAGATAGTATCCCTAAGGTGATGTTTCCCAGGGCCAGAAGCTCATAGAACTTTCTGAAGGGAGCAGGTCATCAGCCTTAGCATGAGCCCCGGAGCATCAGTGTCTGCTGGCCGTTGTGTGGTGAGTGCTGTGGGTCAGCCTTTGGGCTGCAGCCAGATAAACCTAGACCCAAAACCTCACTTGGTCACATGCTAAGTGAGCTTCATTCTTCTCTTCTGAAAAATGGGGGGATAATAATGGTATTTATCTAACCATGTTGTGAGGATTAAATCAGCCAATGGATAAAAATTTCCTAGTGCAGTTCCTGGCTTCTGAGTGCTCAGAAATGTTGTCTGTTATTGTTAATTAAAGAGGTCTTTCCCAACTGAATGAGAGTCTTAAAGCTCGTTAAATGGGTTTTGAGGGGACTATCAGACACCTGTATTGCAGGTGTGTGGGTATCTCTTGGAAGTGTGGTAGGCACCCCCACAAACACATTACGCCCTTTGAAGAGCTTTGGGGCCATTAACATCCTGTCCAGTTCCATTTCTTAGAGGACAGGGAATCAAATTTTCTAATGGCGGGCCTACACAGCAATTTGTCATTTTAATAAGCACTCAGATGGCTGCAGACTTCACACTCAGACGGTAGGGGTGACCAATTGACAAATCAGATACATGCTGCCTTTTCCTTTCTGTCTGCTGCTAAAAGACCTCAAGATAAATAGAGACAGCAAGGAATGAAAGAAACAGCACAGGCTTGGGCCAGATGAGCAGGAATCCAAAAATCAGCTCTGCCTGATATTTGGTGGCCTGGGTGTCACTTAACCTCTTTGGAAGCCTGTTTTTTTATTTATCCATCCAATTACTCAGTAAGTACTTTTTGAATACATCCATGTGCCGGGCTGTGTTCTAAGTGCTTGGAATACCAGAGAACAAAATGAACACAAACTTATGCCCCTGTGGAGCTTACATTCTGATGGTGGGAGAGAGACTGTTTGAATTAAGCCTGATTCATAAGCAAACAATATAGTATTTATATAGTGGGGATTCCAATATCTAATGCCAGTGAATTGCTGTGGCGATAAGAAGCCACAATCCACATGTAATGCGTGGGACACAGTAGGTATTTAATAAACTATTGTGATTATTCTTTTTAAATTGCTCCCAGGTTTCTCAAACCCTTTCAACACTTAATGTGTAGTTTGCACCTAGATATTGTTCATTTATTCATTCAACAAACAGCTAGCAAGCATCTATTTTGTGCTAGACTCTGTACTAGGCACCAGGGATACAAAAGAACCCTATAAGAGAGTGAGGCCCCTGCCCTTGAGGATTTCACGCCCTGACCCCTGGATAACAGAAGAGAAGCCTGGGAGAGCCCCGGGGTGGGGGTGGCCTTCCATCTTGTGTTCTAGTGAATCAGAACAGCCCACTTCACTGATGGTGTCTTTTTAACTCAAAGCATCCCAGCTATGGCTGGCGATTCTAGGAATGCCATGAACCAGGACATGGAGATTGGAGTCACTCCCTGGGACCCCAAGAAGATTCCAAAACAGGCCCGCGATTATGTCCCCATTGCCACAGACCGTACGCGCCTGCTGGCCGAGGGCAAGAAGCCACGCCAGCGCTACATGGAGAAGAGTGGCAAGTGCAACGTGCACCACGGCAACGTCCAGGAGACCTACCGGTACCTGAGTGACCTCTTCACCACCCTGGTGGACCTCAAGTGGCGCTTCAACTTGCTCGTCTTCACCATGGTTTACACTGTCACCTGGCTGTTCTTCGGCTTCATTTGGTGGCTCATTGCTTATATCCGGGGTGACCTGGACCATGTTGGCGACCAAGAGTGGATTCCTTGTGTTGAAAACCTCAGTGGCTTCGTGTCCGCTTTCCTGTTCTCCATTGAGACCGAAACAACCATTGGGTATGGCTTCCGAGTCATCACAGAGAAGTGTCCAGAGGGGATTATACTCCTCTTGGTCCAGGCCATCCTGGGCTCCATCGTCAATGCCTTCATGGTGGGGTGCATGTTTGTCAAGATCAGCCAGCCCAAGAAGAGAGCGGAGACCCTCATGTTTTCCAACAACGCAGTCATCTCCATGCGGGACGAGAAGCTGTGCCTCATGTTCCGGGTGGGCGACCTCCGCAACTCCCACATCGTGGAGGCCTCCATCCGGGCCAAGCTCATCAAGTCCCGGCAGACCAAAGAGGGGGAGTTCATCCCCCTGAACCAGACAGACATCAACGTGGGCTTTGACACGGGCGACGACCGCCTCTTCCTTGTGTCTCCTCTGATCATCTCCCATGAGATCAACCAGAAGAGCCCTTTCTGGGAGATGTCTCAGGCTCAGCTGCATCAGGAAGAGTTTGAAGTTGTGGTCATTCTAGAAGGGATGGTGGAAGCCACAGGTAAGGCGCTTTGTCCTCCTCAGCCACAGGTGGCCCTACCTACACTTCAGACTTAGGCAACTGTGACTCCAGAAGATGCAGGTCTGTGCCTGAGAGTCCTGGGGTGGCGCAGGCAACACATTCAATCCCTAAATTGTGGTTTGAGGGGTACTGGTACTCAAGATTGAGTAATAGCAATAGCTAACACTGACAGGAACTTCCCAACTTTCAGGCACTGTCCTAAACAATAAACATCTATCATCTGGCCAAATGTCCTCCCACGCCCTATGAGATATAGTGGGTTATTGTTGTTGTTGTTTTGTTTATTTGTTTATTTTTGAGGCAGGGTCTTGCTCTGTCACCCAGGCTAGAGTGCAGTGGCCCGATCTCGGCTCACTGCAACCTCCACCTCCCGGATTCAAGCGATTCTCCTGCCCCAGCCTCTGGAGTAGCTGGGATTACAGGTGCCCGCCACTGCGCCTGGCTAATTTTTGTATTTTTAGTAGAGACAGGGTTTCACCATGTCGGCCAGGTTGGTGTCGAACTCCTGACCTTGTGATCCACCTGCCTCGGCCTCCCAAAGTGCTGGGATTACACGCGTGAGCCACAGTGCCCAGCCAAGATAGTTTTTATTAAGGTACAGATAAAGACACAGGGACACAGACAGGCTAAATTATTTGCCCAAGAGCAAGCACTTTCGAATGATAGAGCTAGGATGGAAATTGAGACCAGGGACCCCAGAGCCAGCACTTGTTTCCAACAGGACAAACTGCCCCTTCTTGGAACAAGTGTTCTACCCAGAAGAGCTCCCTGGTCAGATAGCTCTGGTAATCACAGGGCGAAACAAAAGCGAACTGGTTTCTTTACAGTGGACTTCTCGCTGTCCTTACCCACTGAGTCTCATCACTGGGAGAGGAGGGGATGCAGAATTTCCTAAACTCAAAAGGTTCTCACCAACCCCTTACTTGGAGAGACCTTTGCTGCAGGGGAAGGGCTTTTGTGGCTGGGCTCCCTCTGGGGCAGCCAGCCCTCAGCATTCTTGCAGAAGGTTGGTTTAGTGAACGCAGGGCAGGTGAGGCTCCTTTCTCACAAAAAAACAGTGCATCCATGCTGAGGCATCAACATCCATGTATGCCCAAGAAAATGCCCTTTGTGTGGCCAGCATGGCACCTCCCTGCTCAGCTACTGACTCACCAGCAGCTGGTAGCCAAGGACCCCCCAGTTCCTCAGCCACTCAGCCATGGCAGACCTCTGTGAGGTGGCTCCAGGGAGTCCAAGGCCTGGGACCGCCTGAACTCTGGCAGAGGACCCTAGTCCCCACCCCACTCGCAGCAAAACCCCACATCCTGCATATTTCATTTCTTCCTCGTGCCTTCCTTTCTCTCTCTCTCTCTTTTTTTTTTCAACCAGGTACAATGAGCAGCTGGTCAGGCCCTAAGGATGGGTTCTAGAAACTCAGTCACGCTCAGAATGATGCATGTCTATTTTTCCAATTCTTGCAAATGACAGTGTAGGGCTGGCTTCAGTCTCATTTTACAGATGTCGAGGCTGAACCTAAAAAGCATTATGTAGACAGTGAGTGTTCATATTCAGCTCTTCCACTTACAAATCTGGAGCTTCTCTCACCACTCTGCCCCACTAAAATACTAGCGGCCTGTCAGGAAGATGGCCAAGCACACATTCCAGCCCCCAGGAAGCTGGCTGCCGGGCAGGGGACTCAGACCCAGACTGCACAAGCCTTCCCATTTTGAAGTTGGTGGAACCAGGAGAGGGCAATGACAAGCTCCAGGGACTGGTGCCAGAGGTGGCTGCTCGGCCATCTGCTGGGGGCTGGAGTCTGGCAGGCAGCATATGGTGGCAGGTGGGCAGCCCCGGGGCCGAGGACAGTCAGGACTCAGGAAGGTTTCCCCCACAGAGCTAGGGGCTTGCAGGTCACCCTGCCCTTGCCTCCAGGGTCAGAATCAGGACACAGGCTGCATTTCAGGGGAAGAACTCCACTCTGAAGCCACAAAAAAGGGATTGGGTGAGAGACATGGGGTCAAATCATAGCACACCTGACCACTCTCCAAGGCCATCCTCACTCCCCAGCCATGCAGCAGGGAGAGCGCCCACAGGCTCGTAGTGGAGGGAGCCAGTGCTATCTGCCCCGCTGCCCCGCTGCACCCCCAACCACACCTCCCTCAAAGTCAGGGGCCCGCCATTCACTTGTCCTCACGGTTTGGCCTCCTTCCCCTCCCACAACCCGGGCTATGCTTGCTCTGTCCCACAAACTGTAGGGGAGATCCAGGGAGATAGGGCAGGAGACCCTGGCCCACATCTGTCCTGGATGTGGGTGGTTTGGTTGTCAAGCACATGCAGCCAGGTGTGGGCTGGGAATCCATGCCTCAGCTTGAGTAGCACAACTCTGCCGTATCCTGCCTGAGCGGGTTTGAGCAAGCTGCTTACCTTGTCAGCAAAGTGAGGAAAATCAATCTCTTAGGGCTGTTGGGAGGATTCAAGATGAAAAGGAGCTGTGCTGATCACTATACCTGACACCTGGGGAATCCTTTCCAAACGTATTGAGCAATGACAGGGACACACCAGGATCTCTAGCTACAGGGCAGCCGCTGCCACACCCCATGAGGAGCAGGAGGATCCCAAAGGGGAAAGGTCCTGCCCATACCTTTCCCAAGGCCCTGGGAGGCTGCAGACGTCTGGCATGGTCTAGGCTGCTCAGGGCCCGGTTTGGGCCTCTCTGCCAAGGCTGTGGGGACAACAAGGGTAACGACTGAAGGGAGAGGCCCGGCCCAGGCAGGCATCACTGAGAGCAGAGAGCAGGCTGTGGGCGCACCTGTGTGGGTGCGCTGGGGCTGAGAAGCAGCCTTGGACCTGGGTCTGCTTTGTATGAGCCCCTCCCAGAGAAAGCCCAAAGTGGGAGCTGGAGACGGTTGCCTTCAGCACCCAACCAACACAGTTAATGCCTTCCTTGGCCAGAAGATTAAATATCAGAAAGCTGCTTTCCTGTGACCCTAAGCACAGAGGCCTCCTCATCCATAAACAAAGCTGCCCTCCTCTCTGGAGAGAAAGCAACACCTAAAAATAGCATAGGCATGGCACGGGCTGAGTAGACAGGGAAACGAGGCATTGGAGCAGCCTCAAATCAAGAAGCCAAGCTCTGTGTGTGCGTCTGCTCCTCTTCCTGTGTGTATGTGTGTGTGTATGTGAGTGTGGAGCCCTCTCTCCGTATGTGTCCGCCCAAAACAATCCCCATATGTTCCAAATGCCTGTCAGATTCTCCGTGTTCATTCATGCTGAATTTATCTTTGCCCTTTCCTGCCTTTTTTCCCATCTTAATCTTCTAGACCTGAATGCTGTTTTCAGGAACGGAGTCCCTACCTTCAACTATTCCAACATCTATTCACTCCAATCTCTAGGAAATGACTTTCAGAATCTTGCATGTCGATTTCTAATTTTCTGCCACCACTACGCCTTGAACTCCTCCAGGGCAAGGACTGTGTCTTATTCAGCTTTACATTTCCACTATGCTTAGCACAAAGTAGATGTTCATGAAATGCTTGATGAGTGATTGGATGGTTGAAGGAATGCATGAATGTATGGATAATTGGATGGATGGATGGATGGATGGATGGATGGATGGATGGATGGATGACTGGATGGGTGGACGATTAGGTAGATGAGTGGATGGATGGATGGATGGGTGATAGGATAGATGGATAGATAATTGGAAGGATAGATGAATAAATAATTGGGTGGATAGATAGATGATGAATGATTGGATGGATGGATGGATGGATGATTGGATGGATGGATGGATGGATGGATGATTGGATGGATGGATGAATGGATGGATGGATGGATGGCTATATCTTTGCCCTTTCCTGCCTTTTTTTCCATATCTGGATGGATAGATAATTGGATGGATGGATGGATGGATGGATGGATGGATGGATGGATGGATATATCTTTGCCCTTTCCTGCCTTTTTTTCCATATCTGGATGGATGGATGGTTGGATGGATGGATGGATGGATGGATGGTTGGATGGATAGATGATTAGATGGATGGATGGATGGATGGATGGATGGATGGATGAACAGATGACTGGATGGATGGATGGATGGATAGATGGATGGATGGATGGATTGATGGATGAATGGATGAATGGATGGATAGATGGATGGATGATTGCATCATAATGCATGTAACTTCCGTTTCCCCAGGCATGACCTGCCAAGCCCGGAGCTCCTACATGGATACAGAGGTGCTCTGGGGCCACCGATTCACACCAGTCCTCACCTTGGAAAAGGGCTTCTATGAGGTGGACTACAACACCTTCCATGATACCTATGAGACCAACACACCCAGCTGCTGTGCCAAGGAGCTGGCAGAAATGAAGAGGGAAGGCCGGCTCCTCCAGTACCTCCCCAGCCCCCCACTGCTGGGGGGCTGTGCTGAGGCAGGGCTGGATGCAGAGGCTGAGCAGAATGAAGAAGATGAGCCCAAGGGGCTGGGTGGGTCCAGGGAGGCCAGGGGCTCGGTGTGAGGGGTGCAGCCTCCCTAAGACCTCCTGTCACTGGCTTCAGTGAACACAGACACTGCAGAGCCTGGGAGCAGGGGAGGGGAATAGTTGAGTGTGCTGTTTGGGGGCTCAGGAGCCATCAAGGCTGTGGGGAGGAACCATAAACCCAGCCCTCACAGCTCCCAGCACAGGGCCTCCCTGAGCCAGTGGCATCCTGCCTGGGCCCCCCATGGCAGTGCTGCCTCTTGTAGGTGCTGGCTAAGGGCCAGGCCAGGATGAGTTTCCCCATGGTGAATGTTACCGGATGGCATCTGTTCTCTCCATGCCCTGGGTCACTTCCTTTTTTGGGTCTCACAGACCCCTCCAGGGGCTGACACCTAGAGAGAACCATCACCTTGTCCCTCATTCCTTCCACCCTGAGGCTTGCTGTGGACTCAGAGAGGAGACTTACCTGATGAGAGCTCAAACCTCTAGTCTGGGATGAGCTCACAGAGCCCTCATGAGTTAAGATCCATCCATATCACATAGGCAATTCCTTTTAAATCAGATACCAACGACCCATTACTGAGAGGTACAGAGCGTACAGCCCTTGGTGTTCTCTGCTGTTATCTGCCAAATGTGTGTGTTTTTCCTCTGCTGTGTTCTGTGTGTCCAGTGTAGCCTATTGGAGAATCGGTCTCATTAGAGTGACTCTTAGAAGGTGGCCTGGGACTAGACAGCCCCTCTGAGCACATGCATAGTGGCATCAGCAGCTTCCTGGCCTACTCCCAATCACACTGTGCCCTGCACCTCCCACCAAGGGGGAACCCCAGCAGCTGGGGCTTTTCGAGTGCTTTTTGGCCCAAGAATCTCAGAGTGCTTCTAATCATCACAGTAGTTTTTGTGTTTTGTTTTGTTTTGTTTTGTTTTGTTTTGTTTTGTTTTGTTTTTTTCACAATCTCAGCCAGCCTGCGGTGTGACCTGGGGAGAAAGTTGAGTGTCAGGGGACATGATGAGCCAGTTGGCCCTGAAACAGGAATGGGGCAAAGAGAAAGGAGAGCCAGGAGCATTTAAAAATCAGCATCTGGGCCAGGCAAGATGGCTCACGCCTGTGATCCCAGCATTTTGGGAGGCCGAGGCGGGTGGATCATGAGGTCAGGAGATCGAGACCATCCTGGCTAACACGGTGAAACCCCGTCTCTACTGAAAATACAAAAAATTAGCCAGGCATGGTGGCAGGTGCCTGTAGTCCCAGCTACTCGGGAAGCTGAGGCAGAAGAATGGCATGAACCTGGGAGGTGGAGGTTGCAGTGAGCCAAGATCATGCCACTGCACTCCAGCCTGGGCGACAGAGCGAGACTCCATCTCAAAAAAAAAAAAAACATCAGCATCTGCCCCAGTTGTGGCCAAGACACTCTGACCTCAGGGCTCAGCACCTTCACCATCAAGTTCAGCCTGAGCCAAGCTCCCAGCCCACTGCTGAAAAGCCCCTGGGCCTCCCTCCACAGGCAGAGTTACAACCGGGAGGGCTGGGCAGGGAGGGCAGGGAGATTGCCTGGGGAAGGCAAAGGGAATGGCTGCCCCTCCCAGGCTGGAAACAAGAGGGCAAGCGGGGTCAGCAGGAGAATTCGGGGGCAGGGTGAGTGTTAAGAAAAAAAGAGTAGAGAAGAGCCTGAAAATCAGCAACTTCCAGGGCTTTTCTGATCTGGAGGCCCAAGAGCAAGGGTGGAGGGGGGCAGATTGTCAGGTCCCGAAATGTGTGTTGACACACACGGGCTTCGGGTTAGCTGGCCTGACATGGAGATAGAGTGCCAATGTTCCCAGGCCACAGAATTATGGAGGCCTCACCCACAGTATTCACAGCTCTCAACTGGCCTTTGAGAATGGAAGCCTTTTCCTGCCCTGGATATGGCGCTTCTTCCTGGGAGAGGAGCAGAGCCACAGAGAGGTAGGAAGTTGAGGCAGAGCAAAGGGAAGGCTTCAGAGCTTAGGCCCGGTTCATCTCAGAAGTGTTTTCTAGGCCTGGGGCTGAAAGGAAGAGGGGTGGGGCAGCCTGGGACGGGAACTGCCTCTGTGGGCTCCCCACTCCCAGGGAGGGGCTCCATAAGCTTTGCTCCTGGGCTGGATCTTGAGAGGTGGGCAGGGTCTTCCCACCAGTGGCAGGGTGTGCAGTTGTGGTCCCAAGCCTTGGAGGGAATGGGGAATGGGCTGGCACCCGGCTCAGGGAAAGCAGAAGCAGACAGTGCCCCAGCAGGGGAGCTGCATGCCCCCAGGAGTCTCAGAAAGGCAGCCCATCACTAAGGCTGGATGCCTTTCAGCAGAGCTACAGCTGGAGCCCTCCGGCTGAGGCCAGCACTCGCCTGGGACTCCCTGGACCCCAGGGTTACTAACAGCAAAACCATTCCACACCCCCTTGCCAGATCTAAGCCTGTCTTAGGACCGTCAGTGCCCCCAGGTTAGAGCTCATGGGGGTCAACTAAGCGAGGGAGGGAAGGCGAAGGCAAAGCTGGCCTTGCACCTGGACAGCGGCCTGGCTCCTCCCCACACCTGCCTTCATTTATGACTCTGAAACATCCCCCACCTGACCAAGGGAGCCACTCTCCAGTTCTCTCACTCCACCAGGGCCCTCCGTGAGCCAGGACCAGGTCACATCTCTCAGCCAAGTCTAGAAGCTCTGGCTAGAGGAGAGGAAGCGTGCAGAGGGTCCTCTGCCAAAGCTCCCTGCCTGGCCCGAGCCCGGGCATGCTGGGATTAGTGCAACACCGCCCCAGTGTGCCTCCTCTGCCTTCTATCATGCCAGTTTAAAAGCAAGAAGACTCCCCCTTCACATCCTGAGGAAATCCCCTTCCTGGTGACCAACTGATGCAATGAAAGTTTGAAAAGTTCTTCATTTTCTAGAAGTTCTTGAATAAACATGGACTTACTAAATGCAGAGTCTGATGATGGACAGAGTTTCAAGGGGTCACTTTCAAAACATTTAATTAATTTATTTATGTAGAGACAGGGTCTCGCTCTGTCGCCCAGGCTGGAGTGCAGTGGTACAACCTCAGCTCACTGCAACCTCTGCCACCTCCCAGGTTCAAGCGATTCTCATGCTTCAGCCTCCTGAGTAGCTGGGATTACAGGCATGAGCCACCACGCCCAGCCATTTTCAAAACACTGCTCCTGCATACAAACCACTCAGAGGCCACTGCCCTTGGTTCTGTGATGGCTCTGAGCCCATGCCATCACATCTGATGGACCCCAGAGAGCTGAGCCGTGGTTTAAGATGGGGTCATGCGCTGGTCATTCCCACAGTCTTGAGTATCTCCAAAATCCCAAAGTGATATTTCACTTTCGGACCCTGAAAGTTTGGAGAGCTGGTTTCTTGCCTTAATTTAAGCTCTCTGAGAATGTCCCCTGTAGGGAGAAGCCTCCAGGAACTCAGAATAGAACTCGTTCCCACTCATTTTCCTTGCTCCACCAATCTGACGCCTGACAGATGTCACCACTGCCTGAAGGATCCTGTCCCCAGGCCAGGGCAGAATGGGCATTGCCTTTGACTCTCCCCTTCAGACTCCCCTCCCACCGGCCTCCTGTGTAGTCAGAGAACCCACTGCCCATCGCCTCCTGCTGCTGCTTTGAGGTTGAGGTCCTGGCTTGAGCAGTTACCTTGCTGGAGAAGAGGAGCCCCTGCCATCTGGGGAGCACTGTCCCTGCTCGTGATCTGTAACAGTGGGGCGCTTTTTCACACCCCTTATCTCACGGCTTGCTTCCAGCCCCCATCAATCCTGTGCCTCATGTGAGGTGAGCCCCAGAGAAACTTAAATTGCTTGTACTGAAGTTGCCAAAAACCAAAAGTTGCCCGTTGTCATTTTTAAGACTGTGCCCTGAACACACCTCTGCCCATGCGCCATGGAGCATGTGTTAGGTGCCTGCCGTGGGTCAGGCACTTGATTCTCAAAACACTGCCGAGAAGCTCTTACCAACGTGACAGTTGAGGCTGAGAGAGGTTCATGAGCTTGCTCAAGGCCACGGGTAGTAATAAGAGGCATGGCCTTGGTGCCAAGTGCCTCCCAAACAAACAGCCGGGGCCGTGGTCCTGCCTAAACTCTCACATCCACGGCACCACGCTGGGCCCAGGCAACAGAGATAAGGAGAGCCCTGGCTCTTGGGATGGGGTCGCGCCGATTCACATGCTGTGCCACGGAGCCCCGGCTTCCATCCATGATGTGCCCCTGTGGCGGGATAATTGGGAAACAACCTTTTTCTGATTCCCAGAGAACTAATGAGCTGCAAAAAGAGATTAGACAGGGAAGAATTGCTTTCGGGGAGAAGCCACTTACTCGGCTCGCCTTGGTTTTTGCTAACAACGTCTCCTTAAACTGCTGTCAAATCTTTTTCTCCCTGTGTAGGATTCATCAATCTTCGTATGCAAAAGAACACCACTGCACTGCACTGCTAAAAATTCACACAATAAAATGGACTTTAACTTGCAGAGCTCTTTCTCATTTTAAATGGACGGCCACTAGTTGCCCGTTTAAACTCATTGCCAGTTGTAGAAACCTTGTCCTTCTTGGTTTTGTTAGCCTAAAAATGTAGTATCAACATCTAGACTGGTTTCGAGGTGGGAGAATGGGCAAAGGTGGGGAGGAGAGAGCCGGATAGGGGCAGCTGCAACCAGGTGTTGGCAGGCAGAGCAGGCGGCAGTTGCGGAAGCTATGGGCAGCATGGGTTCTCACACTAAGTCATTCATGCCACCCCCAAATAACTTCTGTACATTCTTTAATGTCAAATATTCAGAACCCACATTACCTATGTAATGAGTAACTTTAAAAATATCTACTTCAGGGGGCCCTTGGACTAGCATTCTGCTGCCAGGGCATACATTTGCAAAAGGATCGTTCTTGCTTAACAGTGGGAAAGGGGCAGAGGAGTCTGTGATATCTAATGTTGGCAAAGGATCTCAGGATCTTTCGAGAGAAGTCCCAAAGTTTCTGTTGAAAATGTCCTTAGCAGTAGAGGATGTAAGATTGGATTCTCTTCTGCTCTGGTCACCCAATGGCAATATCGAAGAGCCAATATTTACTGAAAATCCCTCAGGTACACCATACTGAAAGGATAAAGTGGCTCACCAGGGCTCTGATTCAAAATGAGAAGCAGTATTTCCAGTTGGGAAAGGCAGAACAGCTCTGATGTGTGTGGGGGCATTTCCCACATCTGGCCCCATGGCCCACCCACAGTAACCAGGCATCAGCAAATCTGTGCGTGGGACTTGGGCCAAAAGCACGTGCTGAGCCTCAAATTCAGCCATGAGCAAAACTACCTGATGACTCTGAGGGTGAATTGCCTTCAGGGTGGGAAAGACCCATGCAAAGGCCAGGAGCTCTGGGGATGGCCCTTGCCTGGGGATTGCACTACAATTACTGCTCAGTGTCAGAATGGAGACATGAGGTCAGGAGAAACGATGAATCTGTGAATTTGCACATTTGTCAGTCAAGCTCGGATTGCAATTTGAGGAAGGAGAACTAGACATATAATCTAATAAAAGCAACAATCTGAATGTTACCCTTAGAAAACCCACTCAGGGCCGGCCGGGCACGGTGGCTCATGCCCGTAATCCCAGCATTTTGGGAGGCCGAGGTGGGCGGATCACAAGGTCAGGAGATCGAGACCATCCTGGCTAACACGGTGAAACCCCGCTGCTACTAAAAATACAAAAAAAATCAGCGGGGCGTGGTGGCGGGCGCCTGTAGTCCCAGCTACTCAGGAGGCTGAGGCAGGAGAATGGCATGAACCCAGGAGGCGGAGCTTGCAGTGAGCCGAGATCACGTCACTGCACTCCAGACTGGATGACAGAGCGAGACTCCGTCTCAAAAAAAAAGAAAACAAAGAAAAAATGAAGAGAAAACCCACCCAGGCCCAGAAGATGCGCTCTGCCGGTTCCAGTCAGAAGAAGACCAACGCCAACGCATGCAGAGCAGATGTCTCCTTAGGCCTTGTTAGATCCCAGCAATAAAGCGTGCTGACTTTCTTATGGTAAATAAATGTCTAGGAAGGAGTTTTGAAAACAGAAACATTGCTGACTTTTTCTCTAAGTGAGTATTTATGTTGACTCAGAAGTTGTTATTCAAATAACCTTGGCTCACTTGGTGGAGGCAAAAATCCTACATCCCAGAGGAGAAATTACTGAGAATTGGGCACATTAACATATACTTTGAGCTTCATTTTTCTACCAAGTAAGCAAAAGTGTAAGTGGAGAGATCCTCGGCTGTGCTGGGTGAGGCTGCAGCAGTGAGCGAGGACGAGGTGACGTGTAGGTTGACTGAGGACTCGTGTGTGTGCACCCACTGGATGCCACATTCCAAATCACCTCTTTTATTTATTTATTTATTTTTTTTGAGACAGAGTCTTGCTCTGTTGCCCAGGCTGGAGTGCAATGGCACAATCTTGGCTCACTGCAACCCCTGCCTCCTAAGTTCAAGCGATTCTCCTGCCTCAGCCTCCCGAGTAGCTGGGATTATAGGTGCCCGCCACCATGCCCAGCTAATTTTTTGTATTTTTAGTAGAGGTAGGGTTTCCTCATGTTGGCCAGGCTGGTCTTGAGCTCCTGACCTCAGGTGATCCACCCACCTTGGCCTCCCAAAGTGCTAGGATTACAGGCGTGAGCCACCACGCCCAGCCCCCAAATCACCTGTTAGATAAACATGCTCATGGAAGAGACTGCAACCAGCCCTGTGTGATCTGAAGCGTCCAGGGAGTAACTGTTTCTTTGCCTCACCATGTAGTTACCTGGGGAAGTGGGAAGGCGTGACCACTCAGGAATGCACCCACCTTCTCTCTCCTTACAGAGGAGAGCCCGCTGGTTCTGGTTCATGGAAACAGCTAAGAAAGGGGGAAAAGCATTTACTGAACCCAGACTGTGCCCTGATGGATGAGAATGTGGCTGTTTAATCTCCTGGTGTCTTTCCCATTCAGTAAGTGCACTGGGAGAGGCTTCACACTCCTCCTCTTCAGATGAAGCACCCCATGGACACACCCTGTCTTCAAATATTAGATAAAATCTTGCAGGGAAGCTGCTCCTGTTTAGGTCTCCCAGAACCCCACAGCAGCAGCAGTACCTGGACATTAGTCCAGGAGCTGATCATCCTGATCATTCCCTTTGGAATCGGTGGAGCTTTGCAGGGCATTCCAACAACCATCTCACTGTGATAAAGGATTAAAATGACATCTCAGAAGACACAGAGCCAACTCCACACAACGTCCAAAGGGTCTCTGACTTTTCATTACTTCAATTTTCCCACACATCCATTATTCAGCAAACATTTAATGAGCACCTACTATGTGCCCAGAGCAGGAAGAGGCACTGCACACTCAGCAGTGATAAGACTGTCTTAGTCCACTGGGGCTGCATTACAAAAATACCTTAGAGTGGGTAATTTATAAAGAACAGAGACTTCCTGCTCACAGTTCTGAAGGCTGGGAAGTCCAAGATCAAGATCAGGCCGCCAGCAGATTGGGTGTCTGGTGAGGGCCTGTTCCTCACAGATGGTGCCTTACATGTGTCCTCACTTGGCGGAAGGGGCCAACAGGCTCCCTGAAGCCTCTTCCATAAGGGCACTCATCCATCACGAGGATCCTCTTCCCACGACCTCATCACTGCCCAAAGGCCCCGCCTCCTAATGTCGTTACCTAAGGGGTTAGGTTTCAACAAAGGAATTTTAAGGGGACATAAATATTTAGACCATAGCAGAGACAATATGATCTCTTGCCCTCATGAAATTTTCTGTCTGGTGGGGACGGGGAGAGACACAGACAGAAAAAATACACAAATCAAAGAATTACAGTTCGCAATAAGGGCTATGAGGGAAACTAACAGGGGGCTGAGGTCAGGAACAGCAGGGCTGCCCCTGGGGAGGCCACAGGGACTGAGGCTGTAGGGGGCCTGGAAGCTGGACTTGAAACAGGAGCAGGAATGAGCTCCTCCGGCAAGGGCTCTGGGGGATCAGCCGTGTGTGAAGGTCCTGGGGTGGAAGGCGCAGCTGTATCCAAAGAACTGAAAAAAGCCCAGGGAAGCAGCAGCCTTGGGGAGGGGGAGCAGGGAGTCAGCCCACGCCTGGCTGGGAGCTAGGGCTGAATTCAGATCTCATGCCAAGTTCAGGGGAAAGCACACCAGGGGGCTTATCCGGGGCGACCCGCTGTGAGTCCAACCTGAGATGGTGTGACCCGTCCTTTCTCCTGTAGGTCACGGGTCATCAGCCACATTGGGGCACGGTCTGACAGCTCTATCTGGCTGTCCTCAACCCTGTCCTTTAAGGTCTAAAAGCCACAGGTCAATCTAAGTTCTTTTCATAAATATTTCCAAGTTGTAAACCCAGGAGTATTTCTGAGCCATCCTGGACAAATCCCTCCTAAGTATTATTGCACATGCCCTCTGTGTCAGAAGCTGGTCAGACTGTTCGAGGACCCTTCCCAGGGTCAGGGTCCATGGCCAATATCACTTGCTCCATTTCTCGCCTGCCTGCACCTGGGGAATGAGCTCAGCCACCCGCCTACGTGGGGTGCCAGGCGGCATGCAGACTCCTTACCAACGTGGAGAAGGCTTCCAGCTCACAGCCCTGACCTTGAGAGCTGCTTCCACATCCATTTCAATAGGCAGCATCTGAAAGAGAAAACCAGTCTCTTTTCAAGGCCCTTAAAGTGTTCATCTTGAAAGGGAAATTGCATTTTGCAAAGCACTGCTCATGCATCTGACATTTGTACATCTGGAAAACTGGGATTGCTTTATGTGGCGCCCAGTGAAATCCAGCTCCCCCTCTGCCTCCCACCCTCTCCCTTTCATGATCCTCTTCCCAGCTCCAATCCTGGACTCCCTGGGCCCTGGCCTCTGCCTGCAGCCCTCCTACCTTCTATGCATAATGCCCCATTTCCCAGCCATGTTAACCATCTTCCTCCGTGTATGAAAATCAGATTGTGGCCGGGTGCAGTGTCTCATGCATGTCATCCCAGCACTTTGGGAGGCCAAGGCAGGCAGATCATGAGGTCAGGAGATCGAGACCATCCTGACCAACATGGTGAAACCCCGTCTCTACTAAAATACAAAAAATTAGCCAGGCATGGTGGCACACGCCTGTAGTCCCAGCTACTCGGAAGGCTGAGGCAGGGGAATCACTTGAACGTGGAAGGCGGAGGTTGCAGTGAGCTGAGATCGCGCCACTGCACTCCTGGATGACAGAACAAGACTCCATCTCAAAAAAAAAAAAAAAAAAGAAAGAAAGAAAAGAAATCAGATTGTTCCTTTAAAAAAACAAAAACCGGCAAACAGACAAAACCCTTTCAGGGTGGAGGGATTTGGGAGCTGATTCTTTTCATGTACAATGAGGGTGTTCCTAGACGCCTTTCCAGGCCATCTTTTTAGGCTAGATGTACACTCAGCAAACATTTGCCAAGCCCCTTCTGTGTCCCAAGCACCCCACCAGGACCTGGGGAAACAAAGCTGACTCAGTCCCTGCCCTTTGGGAGCCTGCAGCCGAGCTGGAAGGAGGGTTCTGCGCTGATTGCTCTGATTCATTGCATAGAATAATTTTTGTTTGTTTAGAAACATCATTCTATTTTATAAAGACAAATGTCCACATTGTTGGACAAGAACCAAGAACCAGGTTCTTGGACAAGAGGCAAGAACTGGGTAAAAACACATGGACACATTCATTAAAAAAAAAAATAGTGAAAGAAGAGACTAAACATGCAGGTGTTGTCAACAAAAGCAATGATTTGCCATCAGGTCAGCATTTATGATTTACACGTTTAAAATCTGCCATCAAAAGACAGTGCCAATTCCAGGCAAAACCTTCATCCTCTCCGCAGCTAGGGCTTGCAGAGCGCGCTCTGTAGGAGACTTCCCCTGAATCTCGGGAACCAGCCGTGCCCAGCACCCTGCCGGGGGCCTTCCTCGCCGCCTCTGTGCGCAGAGGTCTGTCTGCGGAGAGCTATTCTGGATCTCCTGAGGGTTTCCACTGGGCTCCTCCAGGCTACAGCACAGGCATCCCTCTTTCTTAGGTTACAGTGAACACAGTTCCCAAGATGTCTTTCATGCTCCAAGTTTTAAAAAAAGAAACAGAAATGAAAAGGAATCGCTGCCCTTCATCCTCCAACCTGAGAGAGGCCCCTGTGAACCTGAGAGAAACCCCTGCGGACCTGAGAGGCACCTGCCATCCCGCTTC
This sequence comes from Homo sapiens, assembly GCF_000001405.40. NCBI lineage: Eukaryota > Metazoa > Chordata > Mammalia > Primates > Hominidae > Homo > Homo sapiens. The sequence goes on from NC_000011.10 coordinate 128,926,886, forward strand.
TGTGTCCTCTGCCCCACCCTGCTGGCCCCCTGCGCCCTCTTAGCCACATTCCTGCCAGAGACCAGCAGGGGACTGCACTTGCCAACTGGCCATGCGGGACAGTGGCTCCAAAGGGGCAAGAGAAGGCATGCGGGGGCCAGCTGGGTGAGAAGTGATGGCCACTTGGACTGAGGAGGCAGTGGAGCTACAGATATGTAGATGGATTTGACAGTTTAAGGGCAATAATTCGCAGAACGATCGGATGGAGGCAAAGGGGAGCGTTCGGGAGGAGCCCGGGCCTCTGGCTTGCAGAAGCAAATGGACGGAGGCTGCACAATCCCTGAGCCCAGCTGCACTGGAGTAGAATCTAATTTAAAGGAGTTGGAAGGAGAATTGCGTGAGTTTGGCTTTGAGCCAAGCCCCTGCATTTGCACGTTTGCATCTGAGGACCCTCAAAAGCCAGCATTTGCATATACCTAGACCTCTGAAGACAGAACGGTGAAAGTCCTAAGTTTGGGAGTCATCAGGCTGTAAGTGGGACCTGAAGCTGAGTTCCTAGCTAAGACTGTCCTCGAAGGAAGCAGAGCATGGACAGAGAGGAAGGCTGGGACTGACGCTTCAAGGGCTCACTCACTGAATGGACAGAGGCTGGAAAGGAGGATGCCTCTGTCCATTCAAATGTTCTGTCCATTTGCTTCTGCAAGCCAGAGGCCCGGGTTCCTCCCTCACACTCCCCTCTGCCTTGATCCGATCATTCTGCGAATTATTGATTTTAAACTCTCAAATCCCCATAGCCCCGGCCTTCAAGCACTCTCCAGGTGTTAACAGGCAAGACCCTCCCAGAAACCAGCACAACTGCTGCTTCCATGGTCCCTGTGATTCTGGGGGATGCTGAGCAAGGATCCCACGGAAGGGTCATCAGTGGGGAACATGCCAGGGCCAAGCCCGAGGCTGCGCTGGTTTATGCACCTCCTGAGCAGAGCAGCCCTCACCATCCCCACCGCAACCCATCTGCTCCCCGCAGACCCACCATCGCCGAGGACGGCCAAAGGACCTCTCCTGCAGCCCTGGGCTTCACTGACCCCGCTTTCCTCCCCTCTGAGTGCGGCCATGTTGTCTGCTGGCTTGCTCATCACAGGATCTGGGCTGCTCTGACTTCCTCTTAATTAGCTCTTTTCATGTTGTAGCTTTGCAATTTCCCTTGATTTCCACTGTCCATTTAAATGCCTTATTTTCATTTTTGAAGCATTCCTTTAAACTTCCTGTCACTGCGTTGGTTTCTATTGTGATGTCTGACAGGTAGCTGGCTTAAAAGAGTGAATTTCCATATTCTCCTTACAGATTTGCATTTTCCCATCAACTGGAGAAAAGACAGTTGAATCAATGAAATAGCTGGTGGGCAGAAAGGTGTGTGGAAGGAAACAACTGGCTCCTTTTGCAATATGAGATCTCAGGGGGGAATATCTCAGACGCCAGCTGTGGGGGAAGAACTTCGTAGTTAATATAAACTTTGATTCCTACATTCCTACATCACTGTCACCCAATGCACCCCATAGCCCTTAATTTGTGTTTGCCTCTGCCTAGGATAGCCGATTCTGGAAGATAATTCATAAGCAGCTTTGGCTGTAGTTTCAGTGGCATGTCCCATGTGGTTCCATTTCGTCTTATTTGCTACAGGACGGTCTGTGCATCTGAGGAGTCAGTGCCCATCACTTCCGGGTGCCCCTCCCTCCTTACCCTGCCTTTCTCAAGAAAGCTTTCAGTTTCTTTAGCAAAACCCTTCAGCCAGGTTTCACAGACATGTCCGGCAGACTGTGACATTTTCACTCATACATCTACAACATGCACACCAAGACACACCCCCTCCAAGATTCATAGCAATACATTCCTAATTATATAGCTCACTTCTTTCTTACTGACCTTCCAGTGGACTACAATCACCTCTGCCTTATTCACTAGTTTACAATTAGAGTAATACATGGAAAACCTACACATTATATTAATATTCTACCCTTGCATAAGCATATTGCCATCTTCTTCAAACACCACCCAGATGGAGAGCTGCAAGCATTTTCAGCTGCACTTCAAGTGTCCATGTTATCTTGGAAGAAAAAAAGCCTTTTTTTTTTTTTTTTTTTTTTTTTTTGAGACAGAGTCTCACTCTGTCACCCAGGCTGGAGTGCAGTGGTGAGATCTCAGCTCACTGCAACCTCCGACTCCCAGGTTTCAAGCGATTCTCCTGCCTCAGCCTCCCGAGTAGCTGGGATTACAGGCATGCGCCACCACACCCAGCTAATTTTTGTATTTTTAGTAGATATAGGGTTTCACCATGTTGACCAGGCTGGTCTCTCGAGCTCCTGACCTCAACTGATCCCCCTGCCTCAGCCTCCCAAAGTGCTGGGATTACAGGCGTGAGCCACTGTGCCCTGCCAAAAAAGCCTTTTCAATCCGACAGACCCAGATTCAGCCTCTGAGTCTCTTTGTCTGCAGCACAGTGGTAACTACCTCGTGGACTATTACAGAATTAAATAAGATCTCTTGGGCTCGGCTTTACTCAAAGTGGCATCCCTGTAAACATTACCACCTCTCCCCCTTTAAATCGGGGCCATGTGTGGAGAGAGGCCACAGCTCTTCCACTCTTGTCCTCCTTTGTGTCACTGTCCCGGTGTTTTCCCCATCATCCTTGGCTTTCCAAGAACCTGTTGGGCCAAGCTGGCCAGGCATCTTCTCCAGCACCACTCAGCTGTGCTCTTGTTAGTGCTGCTCTGAGAGGGACTTTCCCCCGAGGGGAGCCCCCCCCTCCCCCACACTCTCCCAGGACACTCCCTCCTCCTCCTTTACAACTCACCCAGCCTGATCCTGCATTGATTTGCTGAGCACGTACTAAGCACCTGGCCGCCCTGTGCCCAGCACCACCACACCAGGTCCTGGCTCAGGGGCTTCTGGTAGGCACCCAAGTCAGAGCCAACCATGCAGCCCACATGCTCCACGCAGGATGCTGGGCCAAGGGCCCATCCTGGCTAACAAGGCTCAGCTCCCCTCTGACCCTGTACATGAGAGATCAGATGAGCGCCCTTTCTAGAAAAGCAAGCTCCCCCTGCCCCCTTGGCTTGTGAGGTTTGTTGGTGGGGGAGGGATCCCGCGTTCACATGGGGGAGGAACCCATCAGAACCTTTAGAAATGGGATTCTCTGCCTACTTGCACGGGCACCCAGTGGAGCCACTGCTCATGAAGCAGACGGCTGCTTTGCAGTGATGAATACACTTCAGATCTGAGGGAGACGTGGAATTAGTCACGGTGGAAGGCTATAGCACATTCTTCTAGAGCAGAAGCGCCCCCAGAGAAATCATTTGTCAGGTCATACAGCAAAACAATGACCTCAGCCCCCAGGGCGCTGCAGCCTGCGAGCAGCCGGGCATCTGTCCTGAGAGCTGAGCAGACTCTCGGGGGGCCAGCTGCCCTGGCACCTGAAGCACTTCCTGAGGAGAGCGAGGAACTAGAGAGTGCATTTGGAGGTCAAATTTGGAATTGGCTGTCTAGATAATTCCCTCCCCCGCTCCCCGCTCCCATCCCTTCTTCTCCCCACCCTCCCTGGAGGTACAAGGAGAAAACTGCCACTGAGAAGGAGGCCGGGGGTTAGGGAGGCCTAGGGTTAGGGAGGCCGGGGTAGGGAGGCTGGGGGTTAGGGAGACCAAGGGTCAGGGAGGCCAGGGGTTAGGGAGGCCTAGGGTTAGGGAGGCCGGGGTTAGGGAGGCCTAGGGTTAGGGAGGCCGGGGTTAGGGAGGCTGGGGTTAGGGAGGCCGGGGTTAGGGAGGCCAGGGTAGGGAGGCTGGGGTTAGGGAGGCCAGGGGTTAAGGAGGCCGGGGTTAGGGAGGCCGGGGTTAGGGAGGCCGGGGTTAGGGAGGCCAGGGTTAGGGAGGCCGGGGTTAGGGAGGCCGGGGTTAGGGAGGCTGGGGTTAGGGAGGCCGGGGTTAGGGAGGCCGGGGTTAGGGAGGCCGGGGTTAGGGAGGCCAGGGGGTTAGGGAGGCTGGGGTTAGGGAGGCCGGGGTTAGGGAGGCCGGGGTTAGGGAGGCCGGGGTTAGGGAGGCAGGGATTATGGAGGCAGGGATTATGGAGGCAGGGATTAGGGAGGGCAAGGGTTCAGGAGGGCAGGGGTTGTAAACCTGGCACTCCCTACTCCCCATCCCAGCCAGGCGTTCTCATCTCTGCCTGTTTCCTTCCTGTTCCACTCTCCCTGTCATATGGAGTGGATTTTCTCTCCCCTCCCTCAACCTCTATGTATGTGTTGGACATCGGTTTTTGCCTTTGCTCTGGACTGAATGTTTGTGTCCCCCAACCCCAAATTCCCACGTTGAAACCCTAACCCCAATGTGATGGGATTTGGAGGTGGGGCCTTTGGGAAGGGATTAGTCTTAGATGAGGTCAGGAGGTTGGGGCCCTGGGAGTGGCATTAGTGCCTTAGTGGAAAGAGGAAGAGGCGGGTCATGGTGGCTCATGCCTGTCATCCCAGCACTTTGGGAGGCTGAGGTGGGCATATACTGGAGCTCAGAGGTTCAAGGCCAGCCTGGGCAACATAGCAAGACCCCATCTCTACAAAAAATACAAAAATTAGTCTGGTGTGCTGGCACACACCTGTAGTCCCAGCAATTCAGGAGGCTGAGGCAGGAGAATCGCTTGGGTCTGGGAGGTCCTGGCACCCCAGTCTGGGTGACAGAGTGAGACTCTGTCTCAAAAAAAAAAAAGAACCAAGAGGAGACAAGACTCTTCTCTCTTTGCTTCATGTGAGGATACAAGGAGACGGTGGGCTTCTGCAAACCAGGACGTGAAACTTCACGAGATATCAGATCTGCTGGCACCTTCATCATGGACTTCTCAGCCTCCAGAGCTGCGAGAAATAACTGTTTATTGTTGAAGCCACTCCATCTATGGTGTTCTATGATACAGCCCAAGCTGACTAAGGCAACTTCCAAGGACAGGCAGTAGAGCATTCCTGGGGGCTTATGGCCAATCCCTGTGTTCTCCAGACACACATGATCTTCCTCCGTGTCTCCACCTGTCGAGTTATATATAGCCTGCGGGGTTGACAGCTGCTCCTCCTCCTACCCCTGCAGTATCCACAGAAGATCCCCTGTGCATAACCACATCTCAGTAGAGGCCACCACACTGCATCCATTTCATTGCCTTAATAGGGGTGCTAACTCCTGGGAGTAGAGTTGCCAGATTTAACAAATAAAAATACAGGCTTCCCAGCTCCATTGAAATTTCAGCTGATCAATGACTAATGTTAGAACATAAGTGTGTCCCATGCAGTTCCGGGGACCTACTTATACTGAAAAGTTTTCTGTTGGTTACTTGAAATTCAATTGAATTAGGTGTACTGTATCTTTATTTGCTGAATCTGGGACCTATGCCCACTTTAGCCCATCTGATCACTAGGAGGGAGCAGTTTGACAGTTTATGCCCTTAGGCTGTCCCTACGAGGGGGAAATGATATGATAAATTGATCAGCATATTAGAGTGTTAACTCAAAAGGTTCTCGCTTGTGAGGCAGAGCAGCAGTCACAGAGCCTGAGCCCAGAGGGCTGACTGTCTATCTCACACTCGGTTTCCTCACCCCTGCAATGCAGGCATTTAACCAGATGACCCCTTAACACCCTTCACTGCTGACATCCGGAGCCTCCTTGTGGAGCTGTTGTCAGAGTTTGGAAAGTGTGAGTGTGACCTAGAGAACGCTGGGTGCAGACGTGAAGATCCAGTATGTCTGATGTGGGCCCCGGAGTCTGCATTTAAACATGCATCCTGACCGGGCATGGTGGCTCACACCTGTAATCCCAGCACTTTGGAGTTTGAGAACAGCCTGGCCCACATGGTGAAACATCGTCTCTACTAAAAAAGTACAAAAATTAGCTGGGTGTGGTGGTGCATGCCTGTAGTCCCAGCTACTCGGGAGGCTGAGGCAGGAGAATGGCTTGAACCCAGGAGGCGGAGGTTGCAGTGAACTGAGATGGCACCATTGCACTGCAGCCTGGGTGACAGAGCCAGGCTCCATCTCAAAAAAAAAAAAAAAAGTGCATCCTCTGCCATTTAGATGTTGATGATCTGAAAAGGACAGTTTGGGATACCCTGGTCTTGCGTTTATCCTCCTCTGCAGGGTGTGCATGTGTGTGGGTCCATAGGGGCTGCTTCATTTTTAAAACAGGCCCCCAGGGTGAAAGTGCAACCTAACCCTAGTGAAAGGTTGTCAGGAATTGTCGTGAGGCCACCCATGCTCGGAGCTTCCTCAGGTCCCTCCGATTTCCTTGTTCACTCACCTGTCACCATCTGTGGACCTGGGTGGTGGGGTCCCTGCCCTACCCCATGGACGGGGCAGCCCAACCAGCATCTGCACAGAATGCAGCTGCAGAAGTGAAAACTCAGGTCTGTCCCCAAACAGACAGGTAGGCACAACACGGTAGCCTGGCCCTGGGTAGGGAGCCATCTTTGCGGTAGGGAGGTGGGGTGTGGGCTGCAGCCGCACTGGGGGCCTGGATTCTTGGAAATGATCATGGATACTGATGTGAGCAGAGGGAATTGAGGGAGACCAGTCTGAGCTCACAGAGCTCTGCAATGTCCCCCCTACACAGATGGCCTCAGGCTGCCCTTGCAGATGTGTCCTGCACTTCTCACTGCCATCTGGAGTCAAGCTGGCATCTCCAGGTTTTGGCACTGTCCCACCTGCAGCCAAGACTCCAAGTGCACTTTAACTTCTACTGTTATCAAGAGCCTGGTCTTGCCCACTGCCGGCTCACTCTCCAAAGCCACAAGGGTCAGAGATTCAGCACATGTGTCTTGGAGCCGGCTAACCCAGAAGCAAGCCTTGGATCTACAGCTTGCTCAGTGACCTCATGTCCTTTACTTAACCTCCTTTGCAAAATACAGATAATGGTCTCCCTTCATGACAGACCCAGCCCCAAGGAATGCAATGAGCTGACAGCCTCCAGTGACAGGGGCCTGCACATCAAGGCCATGTGCTTCCCAGGCAGAGCCCAGCTGATGATGACTGCCATGGTGGGCTCCTCTACGGGCAGTCTTGGGCTGGAGCCCCTGTGCCACTCACCAAAAGTTTTCTGAGCAGCCTGCAGTCTGAGGATCTTCCTGCCTGACCCTCCTTCCTCCTCCCTCTCCTTTCGTAGGTGTCAGACCTGCATCGTGACCTGAGGCTCCCTCTGCCTACTTCTGCTTAGTTCCCCATTTTGTTCACAGGCATTACCCCTGTAAATCTCTGGCACGTCTAACGACATCTTGGCATATTCTTCCTGAGGACCCAGCTGATGAATCATCCCATCTCAGGGCCCCATCCTCCCCTATGAGGGCCCTGCTGTTAGCGTGGGGAGTTAGCTGGGGCTCTGCATTCAGCGTCTGGTAGCTCCACTACACATGTGATCAACTCCAGACCTCATTTTCAGTACAGCCTGTCCTCTGTCAGTAGCAGATGAGAGTCATTTTAAATACTGCTATGGAGACCTGTGGCCTCAAAGCGAGCCCTGAGTTGATAGTTGTGGGCTTAAGCCCATCTTTCTGTCTCCATGGGGTTCCTACTGCAATGAGCCAAACCAGCCCACTTCACGGCCATGACCATCCCCGCTGCCTCCATGCCTTTTTGTTGCCAGGGCTGCTGCATGAGCCAGTGTGTCCTTTTATACCTGGACCTCATCTCAAGCCACCACAGGCTTAGTAAGATCTCACCACCCTGCACACCACCAGCCAAAGGGTGTCCAGCAAGCGATCCCAGCTCAGAATTTCATTTTAGGGGCTACTCCGCAGGGCTGCTTCTGGTATCGACTTTCTTAGTTTAGGTTTCCCCGAGGTCAGAGACTGAGACAAGGCCCTGAGTGCACATCATTTATTTGGAAGGTGAACCTAGAATGCACAAGGGAGGAAGTGCAGAGAGAGACCCACAGGGAAGGGAGAAAAGCCAGTGCAGGTTGTGGCATCCAATGTGGGCGATTGAGGTCATGCCCACTGGGGATCCTCGGAAGTGTCATGTAGACTATGGCTCAGCTGCAGCCCACCCAGGGAAGCTGGGGGATTTACACACCAATGCTTTTCCCCCATTGGTTAAGGGTTGCCCTGGGGCTTTCAACTCCCAGAATTTCAGGATGAGGCAGCTCTGCACACAGGCCAGGCAAGCTCTTACTGCACTGAAAAACACAAAACAAAACCAAGCTATCAATGCCGGGGCTTGTGGTAGGAACGTGTCAGCAGGAATGACTGTCCACTGCAGCTGGGGGACACCCAGCGGGGGCCCGGGGCTTGCTGGTTGGCATCAGCAGCATCTGCTATAGATGATCAAACCCGCACTTCTCAAACCGTCCTTGGAAGTGCATACTGGGAGTGCCCTCGGGCGTGCCATAGCTGTGAGACAACGCTTGGAGCATACTTTTCCTTGCAGAGTTTTGTGGAGATGCATCGTTTTTAGTTTTTAGCAAGTGGATATTATAGATTGGAATGCAAACTTCACAAGAATTTTTTTCCAGCTTTTATTTCAGATTTGGGGATACAGAAGGATGCAAAATGAGGCAACCTAGCCACCCAACTGGCCCAGTGGTCAAGGGGGGAAATGAGGTGGCCGCTAGTCAGCGCTGGAGCCATTTCTCGACGGTGCTTTCTGTTTGTTTGTTTGTTTTTGTTTTGAGATGGAGTCTCTCTCTGTCGCCCAGGCTGGAGTGCAGTGGCGTGATCTCGGCTCACTGCAACCTCAACGGTGCTTTTTTCTGATCATAGCTGAGCTCAAATGCTGACCCCAGTGGCCTGTCTCTAAGCACTGTGGCTCCAGGAAGGAAAGGCCTGGAGAGACCTAGACCAAGGCCTCAGTAGGGAGGGAGAGAATTTACTCTTTGCAAAACGTATGGAGTCCTTGTTATTTACCAAATATCATGTTACAGACCAGGGATAAAAACAACAATAATGAATTTCAGTGAATCTAAAACACAATCCATTGTAAGGCACATCATTATTCTATCTCCCAAGACAGGAAAAAAAATCTTTAGATTTCATAGATATCAAATGGGCCAACAAAAATGTATCTTGGAATAAACAAAATATGCTAATGATAACAGTAAGATATGTAGGACATACTACGTACAGGTGCTGTTCTTAGCATTTCATATCTATCATTTTACCCACACAGTGAATCTGTGAGATGGAAGCTATTATCATTCCATTTTACAGACACCTACACTGAGACTCAGGCAGGCCAGTTGTCCTGCCCATGTACACACAGCTCCTAAGTGGTAGAGTCAGGATTTGAACCCAGACCCCGCAGCCTGGCTCCATGCTCTCAACAGCTTTGCAGAAACTAAAGTTGGAATGGAAGACTGCTCATTCCAAATCTGTCCTATTGTCCAGCATCCTATGGCCCATTCCAGAAAGTTCAGTGGGTGTCAATTAGCTTGGCTGTAGTGACCACTCTTAAGTGTACCGTTACCTTTTATTTTAATTTGAGAAATTAAATAAAATACATCCACAGCAGTTTACAACTCTGCCATGATGTCATTTTGTCAGATGGCAAATTTCAGGAGAGGGTCAAACTCAAAAAACCCTATGTCGTTACCTGGATTTATCGAGAGGACATCAAATCACTTAATTCTATCACGGCCCACACCCATGAATTCACTAAGTAATTATCACACACCTGTCAGGATCCAGACAGTTGCTGAGGACCAAGATCCAGACGAGACTGACAGAGCTTCTATTCCCCGGCACCCTCCGTGAACTTGGGCACCCAAAACTAAGGGATCTGAAACCTGAGAGGAAATGGAAGCAGACTGTGAGGCCCTGCAGCGCCGTCTCTTGGATGGTTTATTCTTCTCTGGCAGGTTTTCCCCTAGGTATTCATGGCATCCAGGGGCATTTCACCTCAGCAAAGTGATGACGCTGCCACTCAGGTTCCCATGGAAACCAAACTGGGACAGGAGGAACAAAAGGCTCCTCAAGGTCAGTGGTGCAAAGGACATTAGAGACAAAGACAGAGACAGCAAATCAGCCCAAAGAACAGACATAAACCGGCGCTTCCTCCCTCCCATCACCACAGCTCGGGGCTTTGTCACCCCAGCACACCTGGGCCCTGCACCTCAGACGCTGCGTGTGAGCTTCTGGGGAGAGAAGTGTGGGCCTCCAGGGAGGTGTAGGCGCTCCTGGCTCCTGGCAGACTCCTGGCCCAGGCCTGGCCTGTGTCTGCTTCCGGAGCCATGCGCTGCCTGTGCTGGGATGAATGCATGGCCCCTGCATCCTTACCCCCTCCTCAGAGCCCACAAGCTTCCGAGTGCGTCATCTTCATTATTGGCCACAGGAAACGACTTCTTGGAGTAAGTGACTGGTGCTCCGAGGCCCATCTGGACAAAAGCAGGATCCGGGGTGGACGCAGAAGAGCAGGCCCGGAGCCCTGCACCCCAGCCTTCCCTCCCCATGCGCTCCACATGCGTCCTTTGTTCAGCCTCTCCATTTAGCTCTCACTTTCTGGATGCAGCCAGGCACCACCTTCCTTCCAAAAGCCTTGTTTCTCAGAAAACCTTTCTGCCTCCTAGAAACCCAGGATTCCGAGGAGGAGGAGGGCTGGCCTTCCTCTTGGGACTATTGATCAGGGCTGTCAGTTCCCAGCTCTGTCCAATGCTCTGAACTGGGGACAGTCCGCATGCAGCTCTGAGGACCCAGATGCTGTCACTGGGTCCTGGTGAGTCTGAAAACTTGGGATGTCGGCACCACGGTGAGAGCAGAGTCTGCCCGGGGCTGTGGCAGGCAAAAGACCGTCTCGGTTTTCACTGCAGGGACTTACCCAGCCAGGTGTGTGTGTCTGAGCCCTGCCATTCGGAGGCATCACCGAGAGGTTCTGGTCTCCCCTGCCCAGGCCCTGCCTCCTGGCCCCACTGCAGGAAGCTTGAGCAGATCTGAAGCTCGCCTCAGAGGAAGATCCCATCCAGGGGAGGCCCTGTCTGCAGAAAGCAGAGAACTTGGCTTCTCCTCATTTGTTGTTAGGGCCAGTCCCTAAGGGACTAAAAACAAACAAAACAGGCTATGAACAGAAGCAGTGGTGGCAGCGCTGGGCCAGCAATGATGATTTCTACTGTTAGGGTTTCAGTTGTACTTGGATCTGGGAGGGGGAAGCCGATGCACCCAGAGACCCTAGGGCTGGGCTGTAACCACACACCTGAGGAGATGCTTTGGGAAACTCAAACTGAAGCCATTTGTGCTGAATTTGGGGAAAGGGGGTGGGATGATGGAGTTAGGAGCGTTGTCGTTAACTGGTCATTAATTAGATATTAACTAGGCATTAACTAGACTTTCGGGGAAGCAACAAGGCCTCTGTGTCCACGGTTGTAAGGTGTGGGCTACCCTGATGAGGGGTGCTCCAGCTGTATTCATGATTCACATTCATTCATTACATGCCTGATCTCTATCTCAGAGGCCCGGCCTTCTGTTAGTAAGCTCTCAGATTCAGGGAAAGGAGTCTCAGAGAACTCCACATCCGTGTGGAGTCAGACGGATCAGAGCAGAACACAGAGCTGCCTTCTCTGTCCTGCTCTCTCTCCCACTCACCTGCTCAGAGGTTGCCAGCCGGGCCCTGTCTCCCTCTCTGCCCTCCTGGGTATCACGGTCCCTCAACCCAGGGAAGCTGGTGCCCTCACTTGTCTCCCATAGTCCTGTGTCATCTGGGCTTCTGTGGCCCCTCTCAGCTTTCAGGACCATCCAGTCTTCCCCGTCCCTGTTCTTTCTCTCGCAAGTCCCCGGTGGCCCAGGGTCTAGGGAGAAGCTGCATTCTGAGCTACTGCCCACATCGCTTCCCCAGGGCGGCGGGAGCTCTGGAATGGCAGGCCCCGTCCTTGACAGCCTATCCATGACCTCCAGGGGCAGCTCACAGCAGCGCCACCTGCATCACCCACAGAATGGAGGGAGACAGCGGCTCTCCACACAAAGGCACTGAGAAAAAAGAATACCCTGAAAGCCACACAGGTCTCAGGGCAGCAGGGAGTGGGAGCACTCATCACAGGCCAGAAGCCCAGCAAGTAGCATCAGACACCTCAGGTTAAAGAGAACGTAGAGATTGTCGCTTCCCACCCTCCCCATTCTAGTCAATTCGGACCAGTTTGGTACATGCTGGCCATGTGCGGTGACCACGCTAAGTACTGTGCGTGTACCATTTCTCGGAATACTTCCTGCAACCTTATGAAGTTCTCGCCCAATTTAACAAGCACTAACCAAACTCAGAAGGCATTTACCCAATGCTGCACGTTACGAAAATGTAAAAGAACGAACACGGCTTCAATACCAGGATTGAGCCCAAAGGTCACGTTCTTTCCCTGCGGCTCCCTTCCCCATCTGGTTCTGGGGAAGACACTCTGCACGCAGCCCCCAGGAGACCACAGGCCCTGGACTCCCAAATCCCAGCAGCAATGCAAAGCCACCCCCAGAAGAGCTGCCCAGGACAAGTGATCCTGCGGCCCATTGCTCACTCCCCGCAGAGGCAGGGGCAGCTGACTGCTGTCCCAGATGGACATAGAAGGTCACCATGTGGCCTGCTGGGGTCTGCAGGATAGAAGGCGTGAGGTGAAGAGTTTGAGCTGGTGCCTACACCTCCGTCTTCCAGCCACTGAAAACAGGATTCTCCAGAGTTCACACCTATGCATCTGGTTCAATGCTGGGCATTTTGTCAGGCCACAAGCCAGCAGCCATGCAGCGGATGCACCTGTAGATGATGCACTGCCTTACTGTCCAGACAGAACAAAAGGGATCCCCTTTCCAACCCGAAACTGTCGGATTCTCTAAGAGGTCCGTCACAACCCATCTTAATGCAAGAGGGACTGTGGCTCTTCTGGAAACACGATGCCTCGGTGCCATGAAATGACAGCTGCTTCTTTTGAAGAACTGGGCTATTCCCATGTAAAGCTGGCTGCAATGGATGATGTTTCTGACTCATACTCTGGCTTTAAAATCAAAGTGTTTGTTAGAAAGCAGCTTTGTTTTCCTTCTATTTCCTGTTTGAAAAGTGAAGCGTTAACACGAAGGAGGGTCCCAGCGGAGTTCATGCCGGGACTCAGGTTGCACACGGCCAGTGGTCCCGGGATATCCAGGGAGCCACTCAGAGGGGACACTTCCAGCTGCCATGCAAACTCATCATGCACCCAGCCCCCCCTTGCTCCAGCTCTGACCATAGTGCCCTCAACACAGGGCCCTGGGCAGCTACCCTCAAACACCTGGATGCCAAGCATGAGAGGGAACCAACTTGCCCTCCCTGGTCTATTATCACAAAGAACCTTGGAGCCCCTGCACAGGAACCCACTCCTTAGAGGGCACAAGGGGCCAAGTTTTGTTTGAGACAATGAGCTGGCATTGGAAGGGAGAGATGACAGCTATCCTCTGTCCTGCTTCCAGGGCAGGGCAGAGCAAGCTGCTTTTGGCCCCGTCTCTGAGGCAGACATGAGCACACTTGTCTCAGGCAGAAGCAGCCTTAGATGGTGTTATGGTTTGAACGTGTTTCCCCCGCAAAATCCAGGTGTTGCCAATGTGCTAGCATTAAGAGGTGGGGCCTTAAGAGGGGATTAGGCCATGAATGGAATCAGGTGTCCTGATGTAGGTGCTGTGTGGAGGGAGTACATTCACTCGTTGCCCTTCCACCTTCAGCCATGTGAGGACGGCAGCCTTTGTCCCTTCTGGAGGACGCAGCAGCAAGGCACCATCATGAAAGCAGAGACTGGAGCCATCACCAGGCACAGAACCTGCTGGCACCTGGCTCCAGAGCTGTGGGAAGATACATTTCTGTCCTTTGTGAATCGCCCACTCTCCGGGGTTGTGTGAGAGCAGCACAAAATGGACTGGGACAGCTGGAATGTCAGTTTGCAACAGTCCCCACCCACACACTCAAGGCATGCCACGGCGGCCACGCTGGGTGCCTTTCCGCAGGTGCCCAGGCATCAGGAGCACTGGCCCAGTCTCGAGGGGCGTTCATGTCAGGGAGGTGCCCCCGCTAGTGTCAGCTTCAGCGCCGCCAGCATCAGGAAGTTCATCTCGACAAGCCCGGGCAAGAGAGGAGGCGGTGAGATCACCTCCTACCCATCCAGAGATCCCCCGACTTTGGAGTAGTCTGAAGGACTTGAGACTCCTGAAGTGAGAGGGGACAGAGCTAGGAGAAGGGAGGGCAGCCAGAAGGGCAGGGGTGCAGGGGGCGGGATGAGGAGAGCCAGGCTGGCATTAGCAAGAGCTTCTTCATGTCCTTTTGGCCCAAGGGGGCCGTGTTCTCTGAGGAAATGGGACTTGCTCCAGGGAAGAGGAAGAGCTCAGCATCCACTTTCCCTCTGCCGAACAGCTCCTGGGGAAAGCCCACCACTGTCTTCTTGCCCCGCTCTGTGCCCTCACACAAGCGATTCTCTCCACCTGCGACGTGTTTCCTCTCCCTCCCCTGGCCAGTGTCCATGGGTTCTCTGAGACGGAACAGGAAGTATTTTAAGGAAGACCTCCCTAACCTCCTCCCAGCTGGGTGGATCCCTCCCTCTGGGCCCCCACACATCTCAGTTTCAAAAGACCATTCACATTGTAGTCTAAATTAGTGGATCCCTGGTGTGTGATGTGTGCAGTTATAATGGGTTGCCTCAGCCCCCAACGCACCTTTCATTGCCTTCTTCTGTGATAATGCCCCTGGGCCCTGTACCCATTTCTCCCTTGCCAGCTGGCATGATGTTTAGCCCTGTGCAGAGGCAGGGGCCTCTCCCCGGTTCCGACATTTCTTTCTCTGCTTGCCCCGGCTGCTGGGGGGACATGAGGGACACTTGGCCCTGTTCTCTCTTCAGCAATAATTAGTCCCAGCCCAGGTTCCTGGCCTGCTGCTCCCTGAGGAGGGTTTGCCAGTGCCAGCCCGTGCTTCCTTGTACCAGGACTTGGTCTGCTGGGACCCAGTGGAAAGCCCACGGCTGCCGCCCCCACCCACCTTCCCCTGCTTGCCAGCCACAGTCACCAGCTGTAGACTTGTGTGGCTGTGCTGCGGAAGCAGATCTGGGTGGAGGAGGGCCCCACGCACAGACGTGAATATGAAGGGACCCTCTAGAGGTTGTGGCAAACACAGGTGCCCCGCCCCATGCCCTGTCTGCAGTCACAGCCCTTCCTACATGGAGGGTGCTATCATCAATCTTCTGGGGGGCTGTGGACACTCTGCATCCCCATACCTGTGGCAGTCCTGGCACACGGTAAGCTCTCAGTAAGTGTGGTGAGTCACTGCTGAAGGAACTAACAAATAAACCTCCCACCACCAACCACAGGTAGCTGGGGCAGAACTAGGGAACTGCTGAAAGGAGGCTGGTGAACCCTGCCATGACATGCCCGCTGTGCCCAGGACCCAGGCTCCCACAGCTCGCGTCCTTCCTCTATCCCAGATCCATTCAAAGTGAAGTGGCCTCCATACAGGCTTCCCTAGGGGCCCTGCTCAGTGTCCATGAGGCCACCATGCCGCCGTTCACCAGGGGACGTGAGAAAGGGGCTGGCCTGTGGACCAGGACTGACCCAGGTCTGAGCCCCAGCTCAGCGGTCGGCTAGCTGTGCGAGCTTGCGCAGTAGCTCCCCAAGTGTGGCTCAGGACGCACAGCATCGGCGTCAGCATCGCCCAGGAACCTGTTAGAGATACACATTTTTGGCCCCAACCTGCATCGACCAAGTCAGAAATTCTGCAGTGTGTGTTTTCGTAAGTCCTCCAGGTGACTCTGATGTACTCTCAGGGTTCAGAACCATTGAGAGAGAGCAGTTTAGCTGACCTCCTCCAGGCCTCACCTGCGCATGGTCACGACTGTACTTTCCGCACACAGTCGCCGAGATGCGTGTGAAACCCCAAGCACAAAGCAGAGTGAATCGCAGTGGCCAGAGCATACCTGAAGCACCAGCGCTGGTCCCCTCCCTCCCCCTCTCCTCACCTGCCTCCTAGGAGTCGGAGGGTCCGTGGAAATGGTCTCCTCCTGCACATCTGTGCTGCTGTGACTGGGTGCAGGTCTGAGCAGAGGCTTTCGGAGTGAGCTGAGCAGGCGAGCCCGAGCACGGCCTCTCAGGGAGCGAGCCCATAGGCTGGGGAGCCGTCCCTGGAGATGCCCCTGGGCTCCTTGCGGGGCATGGCTGAGTTCCTGCCTGTCCTTGGCAGGCCCGCAGTGGTGGGGTGGCTCAGGCAGTTACCCTTTTCACAACCAGTGCTGCTGGGGGTGAAGGCAACGGGTGGGTGAGCACGGACAGTGTGAGCCACGTGGCCGGGAGCTGGGCCAGCTCGCTGTATGTGCACATCGTTTCCATGTGTGCAGCAGAAATTGGCGTCTCTGCACAAAGCTGATTTTAGTCTTTCTCACCTTTTCTTGCTCAGCTTAAAATAGGCCTCTCTTCAGGGACAAGGTGGCCTTATACCAAGCCAAAGTGCTGAGGGCGCAGGGAGACCCGCGAGACAGGGCCCCCTGAAGTCCTGGCGGTTTCTAGCCAGCCTCTTGAAATTGACTTGAAGGTGTTTACCTTGCAGATTATTTTTTCCAACTTCCCACACTCTGCTTCCCGCACTCTGTCCTTCCTCAAGGCTGGCACGCTCATCAGTTGACTTCATCTCTCCCTAATGGCAAGGCCTGACCCAGAAAGAAATGCAACTCAGATCCCGGCTCAAATGAGGCTGGGAAAGCTGATGCCTGTAAGACCGACAAAGACGGTGCAAGGTGAGGTGAACGCCGCTGTGTCTGGGTGCCGGGCTCCCTTGTCGAGTTGACCCTGAGTCTGCATCAGCTCAAACGCAGTTCCCGGTTCCCCACTGAGATTCCCACTCCCGCCTGGAGGGGAGACGTGCCTGCCTTTTGAATGAAGCGTTGCACACTAGACATAGTATCACAGGCAGAATTGTCATTTTTAGCCTTTTTACATGTTGCCAACTTTCAGACATACTATTCCGTTTTATCCCTCCAAATTCCTCAAAAGCTGCTTCTATTTTGGAGCTCTTTCTTGCCAGTGCTGGGTAATTTCTCCCTAGCCATGTTTTTATTGTAGAGAATGGAAACCTGATGTGATGAACACTCTGAGTAGAAATCCCTGGGGGCTCGCAGTTAACCGGATAAGACATCTCACCCTGAGAAACGGTCCCAATTTCCTTTTAAAAATTCATTGTCTCTCTGAGATACATACATATTTCCTTGTCTCATTCCAGAATCAAAAGTTCTAATGTTGCAAAGAATAATTTTTGTCCAAATATGTTTTCTTCCTGGTGTTCCAGAGAGTCTGGGATAGCAAGAGGTGTGGAGCTTTGGTCCTCGGGTGACTCTGATTCCATCGTTCCTCCAGCAACCAGGGAGCAATCACTGCTGGGCAGGGAACACCTGCTTCCTCCCTGGGCTTCCAGCCTTCCCCTAGCAATCTTTTTTTTTTTTTTTTTTTTGAGACAGAGTCTCACTCTGTCACCCCGGCTGGAGTGCAGTGGTGCCATCTCAGCACACCGCAACCTCCAGCACACTGCAACCTCCACCTCCTGGGTTCAAACAATTCTCCTGCCTCAGCCTCCGGAGTAGCTGGGATTATAGGCACCCACCACTACACCCAGCTAACTTTTGTATTTTTTAGTAGAGATGGGGTTTTACCATGTTGGCCAGGCTGGTCTCGAACTCCTGACCTCAAGTGATCTGCCCACCTCAGCATCCCAAAGAGCTGGGATTACAGGCATGAGCTACCGCACCTGGCCCCCAACACTCCTTTTTAAGACCCATTTGAAAATAATGACAAAAACCACAATTACTTTTGCACCAAGTTTAACCACAGTTTACCAGTGTGCGGTTACTGTGGCTTGAACATTGTTATCCATGCATGGTACTTCTCTTAAAATTTGCTCCCATGCAATCAGAACACTTCTATACAGCCTGTCTCCTTAGATAGACTTGACCATCCTTCTCTGCTCTTGCATCTACTGCTTGGGGCGAGGGCAGGGTCTGGCCCCTGGGGATAGGCCAGACAGGCTCACCAATTGGACAAATGGATTCAGGTCAGCTTTGTAGACTTGGCCTATTCCCATCTCTTGACACAGCGGGAAAGTCTTGCTTCCTGCCAATTATCCTCTGCTAAGCCATATTCAGCATTTCAGTTTTTATAAGAGAACCATGAATTCAAGGGTATTGGGCTTAGTCTGAGCTACTAACAATGGGTTACTTTTCTTACTTTTGCCTATTAGAGCTTGGGGACAGAGCTCCTCCAATTAGACCCTCAAAGCAACAATGAGTGAACAGCAGGCCAAGATCCAGGCATTCCCAGGCCTGGCCTAATGTCACCCTAGTCCTTGACCCTGCCTGCTGGACTTTAGGACATGAAGGGGTTAGACATGGATGAGGTTAGAGAGGTGTTTGCATGCCAGAAGACGGTGAGTGTCCGGGCCACATCGAGGCGCTGGAACATCCTGCAGTGCTGTGCGTCTTAGAACATGCCCACAGCCCACCTGCCCCAGAGCAGTCTGAGTGTTAAATGTGTTGGTTCTTGAACCGCATTCCGGGTCTGCTGGATCAGAATCTTTGTGGGTGGGGCCCAGGAACTTCCATTCTAGGAGATTCTTGTGCCTACGTCACTGATCAGGATGTTAACTGAAGAATCTAAGCCAAGGGATGGTGTCATCAGATTGGCCACTTTGGTCATGTTTTGTGGGACGGATTTTAAAAACTGGAGGCCAGACAAGCGATTGCTGTAGTGCTGCAGGTGACAGACCTTGATGAGCTGAGCTCAATCATCAGGCGGGGTACAGCGAGACAAGGAGGCCAGGGCAAGTCTCTGGCTTGAGTGACCAAGTAAATAGAGGATAATTAGGGGATTCAGAAACAGGGGCTGAGTTGAGGGGCCTGTGGGATCTCCAGATGGGAGCAGTCCAGCAGGAAGTAGGATCCATGGACCTGGAGCTTAGGAGAAAGTTCCAAGCAAAAGATCCAAATAGGTGGGAAAGGAAATCTTTAAAGTAGATGCAATTTCTCAGGAAGAATGTGAGAGCAAAGAAAAGGCACTGAGGCCAAAGCTTCAAGAACACCAACATTAAAGGGCTAGGCAGAAGGGAAGTTGCCCAGTGCATGGGGGCTTATATGGGAAAGCATGTTTTCATGTGTCTGCTTCAGATAAATTTATATTTCAATAGGACAGAATGTTTTGATGGATAGTAATCAGTCCCTGGAGCCCCATTCAAGTATTGTCCCAGGGCCGGGCACGGTGGCTCACACCTGTAATCCCAGCACTTTGGGAGGCCAAGGTAGGTGGATCACTTGAGGTCAGGAGTTCAAGATCAGCCTGGCCAACCTGGCGAAACTGTGTGTCTACTAAAAATACAAAAAAAAAAATAGCCAGGCATGGTGGTGCACACCTTTATTCCCAGTTACTCAGAAGGCTGAGTCCGGAGAATCACTTGAACCCAGGAGGTGAAGGTTGCAGTGAGCCGAGATTGTACCACTGCACTCCAGCCTGGGCGACAGAGCAATAATCCATCTAAAAAAAAAGTATTATCCCAGGCTATTTAATAAATTTGCTCAGTAATCACAATGAGATGTAGTCAATAACCAGAGTTAAATGTTCCTGTTAGGGGTAGAGGGAGAGAGGACTGAGTTGGGTGGGAGAACAGCTCTACAATCAGTGAGAGTTGACATGATGTGGACATAGCTGTATCCTCTTCATTGAGCCTCCAGTCCCTGCACACTGAGAAAGTGAAAATGCTTTCAGTAAAATTGCCTCCAGAAAGAAATGTCACCAGCTGACCTTTTCAGATGTGAGTATAAGACACATCAAAAAGATATTCTGGAAGGACAAAGAGGAGGGTGCTTTCTACACCTCCCATTTGAGTAGGGGCAGGGAGGGTATGTGCTTTAAATGTCTCTTGGCTGGGAATAAAATGGATTTTCCTCTTTCCCACTTTATGTGGATGTTGTTGGTAATAATTCACAAAGTATACTTCTGTTTATGCTTCAATTCCCCCTGGTAAATGTTTAACCATAATTGCACCTTAAGAACAGCGGTCCTCAACCTTTTTGGCAGCAGGGACCGGTTTCATGGAAGACAATTTTTCCATGGACTGAGGAGGGGGATGGTTTCAGGATGACTCAAGTGCATTACATTTATTGTGTACTTTATTTCTATTATTGTTACATTCTAATATATCATGAAATAATTACACAACTCACTAATGTAGAATCAGTGGGAGCCCTGAGCTTGTTTTTCTGCAACTAGACAGTTCCATCTGGGGGTGATGGGAGACAGTGACAGATCATCAGGCATTAGATTCTCATAAAAAGCATGCAGCCTAGATCCCTCGCATGTGGAGTTCACGATAGAATTCATGCGCGCTCTTATGAGAATCGAATGCCGCCCCTGATCTGACAGGAGGTGGTGCTCAGGCAGTAAGGTGAGCGACGGGGAGTGGCTGTAAATACAGATGAAGCTTCACTGGCTCACCCACCACTCACTTCCTGCAGCCCAGTTCCTAACAGCCCACAGACCCATACCGGTCTGTGGCCCAGGGGTTGGGGATGCCTGCCTAAGAAGAATAAGAATTTATATGGAGTGCTCCGCCATGTGCCAGACCTTATTCTCAATGCATAATGTACACGAACCCAGCTGTTCTGCAAAACATGTCACGGGATAGGTGTTTTTATCCTTACTTTACAGAACAGCAAACAGAGGGCTAGTGAGGTCAAATGACTTAACCAAGCTCACCACACTAGTAAGTAGCCAGCCCTGGATTCACACCCAGCCAGTCTGGCTCCTGGGCCTACTCTCTTGCCTGTTATTTTATACCACATTTATAGGTCCTAGTGGTTATTAATAAATACAACTCTTTGGATTGTACATGTACATTAAAATTTCTCAGAGGAAGCCAAAGGTAGTCAACAACTCCAATAATGCACTGACTGTAGCATTTATGATAAATAAGCAATCAGTGAAGCAGAATAATTCATAAGTGTTCTTTCTTGCTATTAGAAGACTTGGATGCTATAAAATATGTACATTTCACTACACCATCTTATGCATATTTATCACCTTAGATGGTTTCACGTGTCTGCTTTTAGCTAGATTATACATTCTCTGAGGTTAAGAAGTGCACACTCCCAATATTTGGAGCCCTGGCACAGAAAGCCAGAGAAAGCCCAGTGATGCATTTTCATGGCTGAGTCACGTTATGCAGGGGAGCTCAGGAGAGCAGCTTTCAGTTCACAAAAATATTTTTAGCTATTTTCCAAGTTGGGAAATCTAAATCTAAAATATGTTTTGGGGCATTTATTTCTCTTTTAGAAGATATTTAACTACATTTTTATAACTTGAAGAGAAATGTATCCACATAGACACAATTCCAGTTGAAAGAACCCTATAGAATCCATAGTATTAAGAGCCTTTTAAAAATGTATAAAGAAAACAACAAGTTTTTTTTCCTGAGCCGATCTCTGAACCAAAGGGCTGTAACTGAAGTTTGACCATGACCCAAAGTTTCTTCAGAATCTCTTCGCAGCACACTGAATACCCCCACCCCCATCAAGGGTATTCTCAGCTGCAACGCCTGCCTCCTGGACAACGACCTGGTATTAAGTGTTAAAGAATAAATGCTAGTGGTCAGAGCCCTTTTGCTGAAAGTCCCAAGAGAACTTCTGCTCCTGATCGTGCAGAATTCAGCAATTTAGAACAACCTTCCATCTGAGAAGAAATTAAAGAGGTAGATAAGGTCTTCTAAAAATTGCTCTTGAAGGCATTATTAGCTCATTAGTGTGGTAACAAGATAATGATGAATTAGTAGGGAAAGATCTAGGAGTGAGACCAGAGGCCCAGGGAGAAGAGCCAGCAGCCAGGACCACTTTTCCACCCGAGGCCTGTGTGGATTCTAGAGGAGCTGGATGAAAGGCGGGTGGTTGCCTGCGGGGCTGAGTGCACCTGCCTTGGAGTGCAGAGGCCCCTGGTGTAGGGTGAGCCTGTGTGTGGCTGGTGGCCTGATGAACCCTCTTCCTTTTGGGTTGAGATCATGGAAAAGCTGCACCCTAGGAGCAAACTGAACAGAAGAAGACTCCTTTCAAGGCAACTGCAGTTCAGCCTTAAGCTATCTCAATCTCTGAAATTGGAGGAGGGTAACTCCAAGAGTTATCCTGTACCTCTGAAATTGGAAGAGGGTATTTCCAAGGATAGCTTGGAGTCATCCTATGCGTAACTCCCAGTGTTATGCATCCTGAGATGCATGGCAGAAGCAAGCTGAAATCCTCTCTGGAGGAAGGTGATATTACCCTAGCCCTCAAATTGCTTTAATAAACAATGTTTCAAAAATAATGTTCAGCACACAATGAGGAATAACAGGCACACAATAAGAAAAGGAAATGAGCTAAGAGAAAACAGGCAATACAAACAGGCTTACAAGGACTCAAAAAATAGGAGCTATTGGACATGGACTTTAAAACATCTATGTGGCTGGGTGCGGTGGCTCACGCCTGTAATCTCAGCACTTTGGGAGGCCAAGGCAGGCGGATCATCTGAGTTCAGGAGTTCCAGACCAGCCTGGCCAACATGGAGAAACCCCATCTCTACTAAAAATGCAAAAAAAGTAGCTGGCCGTGGTGGCAGGCACCTGTAATCCCAGCTACTCGGGAAGCTGAGACAGGAGAATCGCTTGAACCTGAGAGGCAGAGGTTACAGAGAGCCGAGACCATGCCATTGCACTCCAGTGTGGGCAACAAGAACAAAACTCTGTCTCAAAAAAACAAAAATAAAAATAAACATCCACGTATACATGTTTAAGATGACAAAAGACAGTATTGAGAATTTTGGCAGAGAACTGGAACTATATATGTAAAAAAAGAATATTTCAGAACTGAAAAACTGATTATACTTTTAAAACTCAATGGATGTGGCCGGGTGCAGTGGCTCACGCCTGTAATCCCAGCACTTTGGGAAGCTGAGGTGGGTGGATCACGAGGTCAAGAGATCGAGACCATCCTGGCCAACACGGTGAAACCCCGTCTCTACTAAAGATACAAAAGTTAGCTGGGCGTGGTGGCACACGCCCAGCTACTCAGGAGGCTGAGGCAGGAGAATCGCTTGAACCCAGGAGGCGGAGGTTACAGTGAGCAGAGATTGTGCCATTGCACTCCCGCCTGGCAACAAAGCAAGACTCCGTCTAAAATGAATCAATAAATCAATAAATCTAAAAATAGTTATAGAACTTATAGAGTGATGAAAAACACCCAGAATGAAGCATGGAGAGACAAAATACAGGAGACAGAATGTTAAATTAAATTAAATTTGGGCTGAGGCTGACTCCTTTCTTAAGTCCCTACATAAAAAAATTGCAACCTAACTTAGTATGTAAACAAACTTGCAACTAACTTAGGAGTATTTCATAACAAACAGCTGGGTGTCAGCCAATAACAGCAGCCAACCTTCAGCCAGTCACAGGCAGCCAAGTGATCAGGCCGCGTTCAAATAAAGCAAGTGCCAAGCCATCAGCAATCAAACTGTTACTGTAACTCACTTGGGATTTTCTGTCTATAAAGATTCCCTGCTGACATTGCAGAGTGAGCTCCCTGAACCTCCTCACGTTCTGAGGGCTGCCCAATTCACAACTAAGCAAATCATTCTTTGCTCAGTTAAACTCTGTGAAATATATCAAAAGTTCTTCCTTTTAACAAGAGTAAGAGATAGAGAGGATATAGTAAGAGAATCCAACATACCTATACTTGGAATTCCAGGAAAGGAGAATGAAAATGAAGCAGAGACAAAATCTAAAGAGAATGGCTGAGAACTTTACAAAAATGC
Source organism: Homo sapiens (assembly GCF_000001405.40). Lineage (NCBI taxonomy): Eukaryota > Metazoa > Chordata > Mammalia > Primates > Hominidae > Homo > Homo sapiens. The sequence goes on from NC_000011.10 coordinate 128,950,640, forward strand.
TGAAAAATATTAAGCCACGTATTTAAGAAGTTCTACAACTCTAAGCCAAAAACATTTAAAATATATATATATTTAAATTCATACATATATGTATCACCTCCATATCTATACACATTATAGTAAAAATGCTAAATAACAAAAAACAGAGACAAAGAGAAAATCTTAAATGCAGCTTGAGGGAGTAAAAAAACAAACAAAAAACAATTACCTTCCAAAGAGTAACAATTAGACTTAAATCTGACTTCTCAACAGAAACAACAGAAGTTAGAAGACAATAGAAAGAAAATAAGAGCCAGCCTGTACCTGATGAAAATGACCTTCAAGAATGAATTCAAAATAGAAACACTTTTGGCCAGGCACAGTGGTTCGCACCTGTAATCCCAGCACTTTGGGAAGCCGAGGGAGGCAGATCACCTGAGGTCAGGAATTCAAGACCAGCCTCACCAACATGGTGAAACCCCATCTCTACTAAACATACAAAGGTTGGCCGGACATGGTGGTGCACATCTGTAGTACTAGCTAGGTTGAGGCAGGAGAATCGCTTGAACCCAGGTGGAGGAAGTTGCAGTGAGCCGAGATTGTGCCACTGCACTCCAGCCTGGGCCACAGAGTGAGACCCTGTCTCCAAGAAATAAAATAAAATAAAATAAAATAAAAATAAAATAGAAACATTTTCAAATAAACAGAAACTAAAAGAATTCATTAATAGCAGACCCATACTAAAGGACATTCTAAAAGATGTTATCCATGCAGAAGGAAATGATCCGAAGTGGAAGTTCAAAGATAGACCAGCTATAAAGGAAAAATTGGATAAATCTAAATATTTTAAAGTTAAGACTTTATTCCTTGAAAGACATCACTAAGAGAGTGAAAAGATCAGCCACAGACTGGGAGAAGATACTTACACAACACATGAAATGAACAAAAGATGCCTATCTTTCCTTACATATTCTTAGGCAAAGCACTCCTTGAAATTAAGAGACAAGACAAGCACTGAAAAAATGAGTAACAGGCAACTCACTGAACTTATAGACTGATGAAAAATACCCAGAAGAAAACATGGAAAGATAAAACAATGTAAAATACAGAAGAGAGTATGTTAAATTAAATTAGCGAAGGAAATGGAAAGGGCAATGCAAAGGGTTTTCTGGGTGCGAGAATGTTTCTGTTGATCTGGATGATGGCCACATGCGTACTCACTTTGGAATAAGCCTTACTTGGCACTTTCTCAACATATTATATTCTACAATACAAAAGTTTTTATAAAAAAGAGTGAAACTGGAAAAAAAAGGATAAATACTGGGTTGTGGGAGGGGTTAGAAAGATGAGCTGTTGGAAAAACACACAAAGAACTTCAATTGTTTTAGCTAATGTGCTTGTTTTAAATTGAGTCATAACTTCGTAGTATTCAGTTACTTATGCTTTATAGTTTAACAACTATGCAAATTGCTTCTAGTTATTTGGTTTTTTAATTTAAAAATTAATTTTAAAAAGACAAAATGTTAGAAATACATATAGTCATTTATATCCACCCATAAGTGATTCAAGATGAAAAAGCCGGCAAACTCTGTTCCCTAATCCAAACCCTTAAGAAGCACAGGGAAATCGGATGATGTTCTGCTGAGGCCTCAATCAGGTGGATCAATCTCCACCCAAACTCATAGAAACAGACCAAGAGACAGAATGCATGTGGATTCTAAAGGTTTCTTGTTATTTTTCTGCAGAGCCTGAGGCCTGAGGTAAACCCTGAAAAAATTACTGGAGAAAGAAGTACGTTCAGGATTAGAATCTGAACCCCCAAATTCTTCTCCAAGGGAATGCCCTTTGGGCTGTTGAGAAGGCAGTGGAACTCTGCAGACAGACACAGCAGACACGGTGGACCTAGCCATGAAATCTGCTGAAGTCCAGGGAGTTCTTGCTCTTCTCCCTAGCTGAGGTCTCAAGCACCTTTTCCTGGCTGCTTTGACCCTCCCTCCCTCCTTAGCTGTAATACTTGTGGGTCCCTAACCTGCAAATGTATTAGTTTTTCATAGCTGCTGTAACAAACCTAGTGGTTTTAAAAACACATGTTTATTGTTTTGCGATTCTAAACTTCGTAAGTATAACATGAGTCTCACTGGGCTAAAATCAGGTTGTCTGCTGGCTGTGTTCCTTTCTGTACTGTCTAGGGGAGAATTTATTTTCTTGCCTTTCCCACTTTCTAGAGGCAGCCCACATTCCTGGGCTCATGGCAGTCTTTCCACATCTTCAAAGCCAGCAACAGCAAGTGGAGTCCTTCAACACTTTGACCTGGATCCCAGTTCACATCTCCTTCTCTGTCTTTTTCTGCCTCCCTCTTCCACTTTTAGGAACCCTTGTGATTACATTGGGCCCATGAATAATCTTCCTATTTTAAAATGAACTGATTTGCAGCCTTGATTCCTCTCTCTGCCACATAACCTATTCATAGGTTCTGAGCATTAGAACATAGACATCTTTGGGGGCCATTATTCTCCCTACCACGGCGCTTCACTAGCTAACCAGGCTTGCCTGCTCAACACACCTTCCAGTCAGCTGTGTGTGTGTGTGCGTGTGTGTGTGTGCTTGTGTGTGCATGAGCATGTGTGCGTGCTTGTGTGTGAGGTGTGTGTGCATCTGTGCATGCATGTGCGTGTGTGGTGCATGCATGGGTGCGACAGTGTGTGTGGGTGCGCGTGCAGGTGTACGTGTGCATCTGTGCATGCATGTGCGTGTGTGGTGCATGCGTGGGTGCGAGTGTATGTGTGTGCATGTGCGTGTGTGCATGCGTGTGCATGTGTGTGCATGTGTGTGCGTGTGTGTGTGTGCGCGTGTGCATGCACATGGGCATATAATTCAAATTTGAATTGGTAGCCACTGATTGTCAGACATGAGGAAAGTTTCTGACATACGGAAGAGGAACAAAAACAGATGCAAAGGAAATTAAGGGGAAAAAATGCAGGGTACAAAATAATAGTAATAATTCCCTCTCATATCTCAGAGAGGAAGGTGCTGCCTGGATCCATCAAACAAAACAAGAATATAGAAAAGAGCATCCCAAGATCAAGAACGAATTCTTGGAAATTAAAAATATAGAAGATGTAAACAAATTCCACATCAGGGTTGTTTCATAAATGAGTAAATATCCCAGAAAGTAAAACAAAATGTCAGACATGGACAAAAGGAAAGAAAGGATAAGAGAAATTGAGGATCAATATAGGTTCAGTGGCCCACGAGGTTCCAGCATCCAATTAAGCTGATGTTCAGAAGGCTGAGAAGAAAATACCAAGGAAAGAATTCTGTAAATCCCCAAACTGGAGACCGATTGAAGGGGCCACTGCCCAGCACTATTAGTGCAAAAAGACCCACGCAAAGAAACATCATCATTAAAACACAGAAACACCAGGAAAAAAGAGATTTAAGAGTTTCCAAAGGGAAAATAGTTCACATGTGAGGATCAAGAAACAGAATGGCATCAGACTTCTCCACAGCTAGATTTGCTGCAGAAGACAAAAAGGAGTATCATCAAAATTATGCGGGAAAATGATTTTCAGACTAGGATTCTGTATTAAGCCAAACCATCAAAGAATATAAGACCAGCGGGGTAAAAAGGTATGTTCAGACATGAAAGGTTACAAAAATTACTTCCCTTGCACCTTTTCCCACTATAAAGAGAGAATGGCATAAGACAGAGGAAAATGGGATCCAGGAAACCAGGGATTCCTCTCCAGAGAGGAAAAGGGAACCCCACAGTTATACCAGCTGTGACTCAGGCCCAGAGAAGAGCTACTCTAGATTTGGCAGGAGGGTGAAGCATCAGCAAGCACTCCAGGAGAGAGCTCTCTTACCTGCCTCTAAGAAAAAGAACACGAAGAAACAGATCCCCGATATTGGGCGGAAATGTACACTTCCACAGCAGAGGCTGAGGATGGAGGAACTGGCACACAACAAATACTATTGATTAAAGGGTTCTGGACTAACTAGCATAGGAAAATGGGGATGGGGAAGCCTGTGTGTGTTGGCGGGCTGCGGAGGGCAGTGGCCTGCATTAGTGAAGAGTGTTATCCTCTTCCTCCTTATTAGGAAGTCGGTACAGATCGTCTAACACGGAAAAATCTAGAACTAGCATATTGTCTAGACATAGGGTGGTAAATACCAGAAGAAACATCCAAAAGAGTTTGAAAAGTTTGTCTCTGAGCAATAGAAAGTGAGAAATGGGAACTGCTGTTTTATCATAAGCCTTGTGATTCGATTTGACTTTTAAAACTAATTACTTGCATTATTTTCATTACAGAAAAGCTGTGCTACAGATGGCAGCTGTGATGGTGTGAAAATCTTCAATTCTATGGCACTTTGGACTAATTCTCACATCCCACTGGCCATGGCCTTACCTTCCACTGTGCGGTATTTCACTCTTCTCAGAGCATTTTCTCGTAGGTTACTTGATGCGTCCCTCAACAGCCCTGTGGGAGTCATGACACAGTTTCTATCCCCATTTTACAGATAGAGCGGTAGAGGCTTTGAAAAGAAGTAACTTACCAAGGTCACATGGTCAGCTTCCTCAATTCCATGTGGAATCCAGCAGGTATAAATAGAAGAGTCACATAGTTCTTAATAAAGAAGCTATGACTAAAACCAAAAATTTCTGACACTTAGTCCAGGTTATTTTTAACTAAATGATGTATCCTGAAATGTTTTGTTTTTTGTTTGTTTTGTTTTTTAGATGGAGTTTCGCTCTTGTCACACAGGCTGGAGTGCAATGGCACTATCTTGGCTCACTGCAACCTCCTCCTCCCAGGTTCAAGCAATTCTCCTGCCTCTGCCTCCTGAGTAGCTGGGATTACAGGCACCCTCCATCATGCATGGCTAATTTTTATATTTTTAGTAGAGACAGGGTTTCCCATGTTGGTCAGGCTGGTCTCGAACTCCAGACCTCAGGTGATCCACCCACCTCGGCCTCTCAATGTGTGGGGATTATAGGTGTGAGCCACTGTGCCTGCCCCCTGAAATTGTTCTGAAGAGTTGCTCTGTGAATAAAGTGTTCCTTGATCCCTGCTGTATACTTCCTCTGAGAAAGTACTATGGGATCCCTGCTGTATACTTCCTCTGAGAAAGTACTATGGTGTCGTGTGGATATCTAAGAAATGATGCAGTTCAAAGCAAACCAGTTTAATCCCTTATTTTGTAAACCTATGAGATCATGCCACCTTCTCGGGGAGGGGTGGGGTTGGAGAGATTCCCATTAACACTGAAGTTCCATGAAGTGAAACTTGGATGATTCTGACTGGGGCCACGTTCAAGCCCAGAACCAGTGAGCAGAAGTGGCAGGTCCTAGAAGGGAGACTGGAGGGATCAATCTTCCCCAGGAACAGTGGCTCCTAATGTGCAGATGAAATGGAATCACCTGGGAAATTCTGTTGGCAATACAGGTTCCAGGGCCCACGAAGAGACGACGGTTTGGTGGCGCAAGCCTGGGAGTCTGTATTTTTGAAAAGCTCTGTGTGGGACGCGGAAGCCTCCAGGTTTGGAAACTCTGCTGGGGCTCTGAAGCCCTGCCTGGACTTAGCATCTGAAACTAAAAAGCCAGGGTCTAGATGCTTCCTACCATTTTCTAAAAATGGCAATAAACAACACTTGAGAATTTAAAAGCATGAAATCATCCTTAGAAATCATGGACTCCCATAATGAAAGCAAACCACCGCTTGAGTTCTTCTGATTTTTATCCAACCTGTTCATCTTACCCTTCTTTTTTTCAGGGCAACTTCCAAAAAAAAAAAAAAAAAAAAAAAAAAAAAAAAAGCAGCGTATCAGCTATCCTGATCAGCGTCCAGCATTTGCTGCCTGGTCACTGCCCTTAAAACTACCTTTGTAAAAGTGGGATCAAGAGATGAGGAAGAATCACACCGAGTCACCTATTCCATCCCATATCTATCTTACCAGGAAGCTCAGTGAATCTTTCCAATCAACAGGAACACTGGTGAGTAAAAAGCGTGTCACTAGCACCATCTGGTGGCTTCTTAAAAATACCAATTTCTATGCAGTAGGCATGTTGAGTCTCCACACATGAAGGGACTCCTTGTGGTTACAAAGGACATTCCTTTCCTTTCCAAAGGCTGAGTTTAGGCAAAATAATAAAGTTTGTTAAAGTGACTGTTTCCAGCAACCCCTTCCTTTCTTAGCTTTATGTATGTGTGTATGTATTTAATAAGCAAACATAGGTGAGTGCATGCCATGTGTCAAGCTCTCATGGAGCTTATGAGCTAGCGAAGGGATAGAGACAATTAATAGATAAACCAATAAGTAAAAATACTTCTGAATGAGAAGTTCTGTTTGGAAAATGAAGAGGGTGATGTGATCAAGTGACTACACCAAACTGGGTCATCAAGGCAGGCCTCTGACGCAAGACAGGGAGGAGGAGCAGCCTTGCCTGGCTAGGAAAAGCACTCAAGGCAGAGGGCACAGCTTGCACAGGAACCTGGAAGAGGAGATGAAATCAGAGAGGCAGATCTCACAGGCCAAACTGAACCATTTGGATTTAATTTAAGGCTCCCGGAAGTCTTCGGAGGGGCAGGTGCCAAGAGGAGCGAGAGGGGAGAACGGTGCCCCAGAGGGGAGGAGTTGCGTGCACTGGGCAGCTGGGCAGGCAGCTCCCCTCCAGGCGGCACAGGACATCTCCTTACGGCTCCACAAACATCACACAACCTCAGGGTTGGGAGGGACTTCCAGGTTTGCTCCAATTACCCATTCCGTGTCTCCATCCCCCAACACCACCTTTGCTTGATGGTCACCCATCTCTGATCGCTTCCACCGCTTAAGGTCCATCAGAACAAGCCTAAGTCCTTTTCTTCTGTGAGCCCTGCATATACTTGGGCTGGCTCTCATGCTTTTCCTTTCCCTCCCAAGCCTCCTCTCTTTCACTGCCACATGAGTTATAGGTTAGCTGCATGTGCTGCTGAGGAGCTCGAGAGGTGCCAAAGGAGCTCGTCAGGTGCCTCACTGGACAATATGGATGGCTTTGGACTAGCAGTCAGTCACATTCTCTAAGGTGGGGAACCAAAGGTGCCACTCGTTGCAAGAGGCAATCATACCAGAAAGCCAAGGAGATGACCCAAGAGTGGGAGAGGACATTGTTCTGGAACCTACATCTGTGATTAGTGTAGCAAAGTATTTTTTGAGTCCAATGTTGGATACTTTTTCCTAGCCTCAAGGAAGCTACTCCTGCATGTTTTAGCTTTTTAGGAGAAGGGTCGTAAAAATAAGAGAGCCAGTATAGCCTTTAGGAACCTAATAATTACAAAACACTGGCAGGAACAGAACCATCTCCCACCATAATCAAAGTAAAATACTTGCAAAGTGGTACCGAGAGGAACACCCAGGAAGGGGGGCGTCTCTATTGCAGGACCAGGCAACTGTGAAATTCCGTCATGGCCACTCCTTTCAGAGGGTTATTGTGGCTCCTGGGATTCAAGGGCATATGGGGTATTGGGAGTCCAGTAACTTTATAGGGTGTAGGTAACATCACTGTTGTCTTCTCTAAAACTCACGTAACTTAGAGAAGCAGATCATTCAGGAACTCAAGTTTTCCTAGATTTTACTATCTCTTAGTACATAGATTCTACATGCTTGTTGAAAACGATCCAAACCTTCATTGTTCCTTCTCTTCCGAAGTTGCTACGGCCTGGAAGAGAGTTCCCATTACACCTTCTCAGTTCCACACCCTAAGATGCTTTGTAGGGTAGATGTGAGTACGGGAAGAAAGTCTTTCCCAGACACCTAGAACATCACCCTTCCTCTCCTGCAAGTAACCCCCTTCCCTACTTTCCAAGCACTGCTCAAAACTGCTCTCCTTTTATGACTACTTCTACCAGTGTTTAGTCATCTGGCAGTTGAATTTTAGATCATGTAAGCCTACTTGTCTTTGCTTCTGTGACCAGCAACCAACACCAGTAGTCCCGGTGCTTGTAACATATGAAAGTAAACCAAACAAATGATGGGATTCATCCTTGCTACTGAAGTAAGATGTCCTGTTATATTTCAACACCCAGTACAAAGGGGTTCCCAGCCCCTGCCTTTTACAAGAACTATCATATAAATAGCTTAAGTTTTTTCGTGTCTTATTCTGGGCAACGGTATAGCAATGTTTTTAACAGCAGTAATGAACTATGCTTACTATAGTGCCAGTTGTTGTGAGTTTTTGCATCTGTTAACTCATTTATTTCTCACGACCCATCAGTTTGTAGATGAAACCAAGGCATACAAAGGTTAAACGCTCTGCCCAGTGGCACACAGTGAGTAATCCATGTGGAGCTGAAAGTCACACCTGCACATGGATACTAGGGACCCATCAGCTCACTCCTTCAGGAAAGGTTGGTGCACATATTATGCTATAGTGTTATTTCAGGCACTAGGATTTAAATGAGCAAGACAAAGCTCTTGTCCTCTTGGAGTTCACATTCCAGAGAAACTATAGATAAAAAATAAATAACATAAAGCAAGTAATGGGGTAAGAGTAGTGACATGCTACATGAGATAGGATGGTCAAGGAAAGTCTTCTCTAAGGGGGTGGTGTTTGAGCAAAGACTTGAAGTGCGGGAGCGAACCACATAGATACCTGGGGCCTATGCACCCCAGGGGGAGGAGTGTCAGTCAGCACGAAGGCTGAGGTGGAAGTGGACTTGGCATGTTTACGGGAGGACAAGGAGGCTGATGAGGCGGCAGTACAAGGCAGAGGGAGGGTGGCTGTACTTGACTTCCAGCAGCATTCATGGAGCCCCCCGCCCCTTTGCATATCTTCCATATCTCTGCAGCTGGAACAAGACACACCCTCTCTTTATTTCCAGAAGCTTCTTCTTCTCCAATATATGGTTAGAAGCTTGTGGATGCAGGACCAACCTTCTGCTACCATTATGAGGTCTCAAGAGTGACACCTCATCTGGCAACCTATGCTGCCCCTCAATTTCTTTTGCCCTATAAACTGCCAGTCCTTGAGCTTGTCTTGGGGGCTATAATTGTCGCTCTCTGCTTCAGGAAGCTAGAGCACTCTTCTTCCGCATGCTGCTGCCCTTGTCAGTGACAGATGTCATGGGAGAACCTGAGTCGAGAGTGGAGTGGGAGGTAGATGTCCATGCTGTGCACTGCTCCCAGCTCTGCTCTCCTTCCAGACAGGGGGTCTACTGCCTTTAACTCGCACCTTGCTTGTACTGGCATGGCCTTCAGACTCATTCTATCTGATGAGTTGTGAGCAGGAACGACATGTGTGACTTCTGGACCACATTTTAACTATCCCTGCAAGCTCCTCCAGTGTTCTCCTCCCTTGCCTCACCATCCTAGGAGTTCAGTCTTAGGTGATGGGGGTAAGGGATGCCAATGGCTGCTCAGAGGACTGTTACCCAGGACAGTTGCCTGGACCTGCAGCAGGCTTGCCTTGAGCAGGAAAAACACCTCTTTTCATGTCTAAGGCATTGAGATTTTGGTTGTGTTACTACAGCATAACCCTAGCCTAACCTGACTAATGTGAGGAGTTGTGTTCCCTGCAAATCAACAACAACACAGTGCCCTAGCCTCGCAGGCACAACTACGTTAGGGATTCATGATCTTTGAGGATACACAGTGGGCATACAGTCTAACAGTGGTAAGAACTGCAGGCTCTGGGGTCACAGAGCTTGGGCCTGCACCCCACTTAACCTCAGAGATATAAACTCAGGCACATTACTTAAAACTTTCTAGGCTTTGATTTACCTGTAAAGTGGCAATAAAAGAAAAAATGTTACCTCACGTAATTGTTAGGAAGAATGAGTTAATATTAACATATGCAAAATACTTAGGATAGCCTGGTACATGATAATTGATCAATAAATTTTTAATGATATTAGCTACTATCAGTGCAATTACTATGCTCTTTTCTCTGGAAATGCATTTTGCTTTAACTGATCTTGAACCAGGAAAATATATATGTGTTTAAGAATAATGAGGCCAGAGCCAGTGGCTCATACCTGTAATTCCAGCACTTTGGGAGGCCGAGGCAGGCAGATCACTTGAAGTCAGGAGTTCAAGAACAGCCTGGCCAACATGGCAAAACCCCATCTCTACTAAAAATACAGACGTTAGCCGGGTGTGGTGGTGCACATCTGTAGTCCCAGCTACTTAGGATGCTGAGGCAGGAGAATCACTTGAACCTGGAAGGCAGAGGTTGCAATGAGACAAGATAGTGCCACTGCACTCCACGCTGGGTGACAGAGCAAGACTTTGTCTCAAAAAAACAAAACAAAACTTCATTATTTACCAAGTTTTACTATCCAGAAATGGAGAGCCAGTCAAATCCCTCTCTTTAGCAACTGTTTTGTAGAATACCAGGCCTGCTTTCCCTCATTACTTCTTTTGCAGAAATTCACCATGTTGCTTCTACTCCTGCCATCTCGTGTATTGAATGAGCCTGTGAGTAACTAGGGCAATACAGGAAAGCGATACCTGCAGAAGGCACCATCCACTAGAAGAGAAGGTGAAGCTCACAGAGGTTCCTGGACCACTTCCCTGAACTGGAAAGTTGACAGATGCAATAGATAACCTAGCACTAGACATTGTTCTGAAATGTAGACACAGTTCAGTCGTCATAATAGGTGCTATCTGGATAATGGTTTCCACTGAATAATTACACAAGACTTTTTGGTTGTTATTCGGACTTCATGGTAAGCAAGGACCTTCTCCACTACTACGTCACGCTATAGGATTCCCTGTGAAGTCCCATTTTAACTGCCAGGGCTCTCTTCCTGCGAGATCCAACCATGGGAGAACTTTCCGGTTATTTTTTCAGAAGGGTTGACCCTTAATAAATTCTTAATGATACAATAGAAAGTGGTTAAATACTTAATGATACAAGCACAATATAGCCCTCTTCCCTTCTATTGCTGCATGGTCTTGTGCTATTTCCAAGTAAAAGTTCTGGGTAACTTTTATTTGGCACTTGCTCTCCTGCTGAGCCCTGTACAAACACCTACTATCTAATTGAATCCTCACGGCAACCCTTCATAGGTACTATTATTCCCACTTTAGAGATCAGGAAGTCATGGCTTCATCAGAGTTTTAGAAATAATTTTAGAGGGTTTAGTGGGTCAGTAGAGGTTTTAGAGTTAGTAGCAGTCCAGATTCAACCAGCCAACTCTCAAGTCTGCTTTGAGTCAGTGTGTGCAGGTTTGACTTTCAGCTCCACATGGATTACTCACTGTATGCCACTGGGCAGAGCGTTGAACCTTTGGTTGAGCCTTGGTTTCATCTACAAACTGATGGGTTATGAGAAATAAATGAGTTAACAGACACAAAAGGCTCACAACAACTGGCACTATAGTAAGCATAGTTTGTTACTGCTGTTAAAAACATTGCTATACCATTGCCCAGAATTGATAAAATATGAAAAAACTTAAGTTAATTATGTGACGATAGTTCTTGTAAAAGTTTTGATGAGAAAAGAAGGAACATCACTTGGTCCTAGCTATTTGTTTTCCATGAGTGCAGTATTTGATTTTTTTGTTTGTTGTTGTTGTTTTTGAGACAGTTTCCCTCTGTTGCCCAGGCTGAAGTGCAGTGGCATGAACTCAGCTCACTGCAGCCTCTGCCTCCCGGGTTCAAGCAACTCTCCTGCCTCAGCCTCCCAAGTAGCTGGGAGTACAGGTGTGCCACCACACCCAGCTAGTTTTTGTATTTTTAGCAGAGACAGGGTTTCACCATGTTGGCCAGGGTGGTCTCGAACTCCTGACCTCAGGTGATCCGCCCACCTTGGCCTCCCAAAGTGCTGGGATTACAGGCATGAGCCATCACACCCAGCCAGAGTGCAGTATTTGAAAAAGTTAGCTGTCAAAAAGCAAATGTGAATTAGCTACACTTCCCTAACAAGACCAAATGTCTCAGGTCGTCTTAATATTATATAAGCATATAATAGGAGGCATTAGAGTATTCAGCCAGCAGTATTTTATCTCCTTTTTAAAGAATGCTGCATTTTCTATAGTTTGTTCAGTTCAATTAGCTCTAATTTTTGCATGCCATTGTTATTGAGTCTGGGGCTTAATATTTATACCAAGGGGAGAGAGAAATTAAGGATACATTTCTGTTACCCTATCACCGAAGTGAAGGGGAACCAAAGTGTGAATGGGAAAAGGTGGTAACTTCAATGAACAAGAGACGGCTCCCTCTGCAAGCATATTAAATGTGCTGCCTAGATCTGTATTTCTCAGCCATCTGCACCAGGATTACATGGAGTGGACACCAAAACTAGATTCTAAGTCCAATCCCAGTCGCACTGGATCAGACCATCTGGTGGTTGCTCAAGAATCTTAACTAGCTTAGCTCTCCAGGTGTTCTAAATGGATTCTGAAGTTTGAGAAATACTTGCCGAGTTTAAAACATAACTAGTGGCTGAGAAATCTAGGATGCTTTTCAAAAATTTTTTAGAGAATTAAGAACACGAATTGCAAATGACTCAGTGACAGCTGAAGCTGTCTACATGATATTCTGGTTTCTTAATTGTGGATGCTCAAACTGTCTTCTAGCCTAGCATTCTCCTATGGGGAGAAACACTCTGCAGTTATTAACAGGAGAAATGCCACTGCGTCTAATCACATCGCTTTCTCACAGACTGTCAAATGAAGGGTGAAGTCTTACAGCTTTGGTTTCATTCTCCCTTCTGAGCATCTTATACACTAACATCTCCTTCCTGAGACTCAGCTATCCAAGCCCTTTGCTAGGAGAAAACAAGAGCCTCAGAGTAACAAAAAATAGACAATACAAAGTCCACACGATTCAGGATAACCTTTCAGGACTCCAGTTCAGAACTACTTTTGCTCCCCAGATTAGAATTACAAAGAGAAAAAGGAAGAGGAGGGTTTATAGGTAGTTCTTAGACAGTAACACAAAGTGACAGCAGCAAAGACATACGAAACTGAAAAAAAGGGGTATAAAAATATAAAAAGAACTGGTGTTAAACCACTTGGTATAAACGCAGATCTTTTATCTCAGTGTGCCCCCGAGGATATCCCTAAGTTATGCATGGTGCAGTAATCTATTGATACAAGTGATGAAACTACACTGGCCACAAAATTTGTGGTTGGAAATACATTCTGGAAGTATTTTGATTCAAGGGTCTAAAATAAAATTACACCTTATACTTTTTCAGAGGTACACTGTCAACTGTATGAAAAACATGACCAACTAAAATGTCTTATTTCTGGTGTTTCCAGATGCCCAAGGTTTTACTGGATGGGGAGTCAGTGTTACTTTAAAATGTGCCTCTTCCTGTACAACCACAAATGACTAAAATCTCAACCACCAAGAATGTATGTGTTACTGATTCCTCAGTGATACACATTTTAAGAGGTAGGTACCATATTTTTGTCAGTATAACATAAGTTTGGTGATGAAATAGTTGGCATGGAAAGCAGAGTCCTGAAAACTGAGAAGACCCAGTGGAGCTGCGGCTGTATCTTTTCTTTCATCCCATCTGAGCAGTTTCCATGGGAACACTTATTCAGGTCTGAGGACGCTTACCAAAGCAGATGCTGTATCTTTGCTGAGGTCTGGAGTGTGGTATGCAGGCACAGAAAAGACGGTTGGCTTACTAGGGCCATCTGGAATAAACAGGCAACTTTTCCTATTGCTGGCAAGAAAAAAAAATAGGGCCCTAACACCTCAAAATGAAGAATGATTTGCAACTTGACTCTCAATAGGAAAACCAATATTCAACAGCTGAATATTGAGGGTCCTCCCCGCCTCACCTTTAAGTCCTGGTTGATACTGAAGTATTTATTTTGAGAACTGTGGCAGCAGAAGAAACTCTGGAGCCCTGCTGGGCAGCTGGGCCACTTGCAGTACTTGCTTCACACCTAGAGTCACCGTCTCACTAACACTTGATCTGGGCTTGCTGCGAGCCAGCTCACCACAGGTGGCCTCATCTGCGGCATGATTCTTTTATGGTCATTTCACCCTTAAGAGAGAGAAAACAGGATGTCCAAGATGTTTCCTGGGAATCTGTAAAGATATGGTTTTATTCAGAATCCCCTTTGAAGGATCCTGAGATAAGCTGATTCAGTTTCCTGAGAAGTGCACACTCGGGAACCAGGCTCCAAGAGCGGAGTGTGGACTCCTTCAGGAGCAGGAAGCAGCAAGTCAGCCCAGACTCTCCAGGATGGATCAAGAGGTCTCCACCGCTCTACAGGGAACAGTGTTTGACTTGGGGGAAATTTGGCCAGGCAGCAAAAGGTGGTAAATAGATAACGACAGGAGACACTTAACCCCTTTCCTCAAATAGCGTACCCCTGGGCATAACAGGATGTGTCATGAAAACATGTGTCCTTTGGTCCTAATTCCCCAAATCAATCACCCCCACTATCTCATTATAATTCATATTAGGTCAAAAAGGAAACACATACACAAAGCAGTCTGTTTTAACCTGAAATAATTCTGTTGATATTTGAATCACTTTCAGTGGGACATTTGCTTTAAACCACAAGATATCTCCATCTCCAGGTACAAAAATCCCTTCCTCCCTCCCCTGCCACCCCCCACCCCACCCTGCAACCAAAGAAACAAACAAAACCCAAACCCACAACTCAGCTTCAAATAAGTTTGCAAGAAATGAGACTCTAAATATTTACATATGGGGCAAGAAATAAATCACAAAACTATTTACAAAAATACACAAGCTTATATGCATTAACAATTTACACCAGTTCACAAAAATATTAAGACATAAAAAAACACTATATAAATTAAAATTAAAAACTCAAAAGTATGATCTAAGACTTCCTAGGATGCTTCTCTCATGCAGGTCATGGTTGAAAAATCAGGTTTTGCTATCTCAGAATCTAAACTGTAAAACCATTTTTATTCTTTGAACATTAACAGTACTAATCAGATAAGGAAAAAAGACCCTCTGTGCACACTGACATTATCTTGCACACGTTATAATACACCATTCCTGACATTTCTGTAACACACAGTGCTGAAAATCACATGCCTCTAACCATGTGGAAGAAGTAACTGTCTGACATACTTTTGCTTTCATTATTACTTTCTTACACATTCTGCTCAAGCAGTACTTTGCCAACATCCTAAATGGGTGACTGACAGGGCTGAAAACAGAGAAATGGACTTTGCAGGCTCCTTCTTTAACTAAAGGGGCAAATTTCAAATTTACATCGTTTGCATCTATTACTGCTCCAAATGTGGTAACCTACTCCTCCGTCCCCACTCACGTTAGTTAACAGTCCCTCCTCTCTACAGAATTAGTCCTAGAATTTTTCAACCTGACCCTAAATTTTAAAAAATGCTTTGCCATTGTAAGAAATGTGCAGGCCCTAGTCGTGGGACCATCCCAGGGACTTGCAGGTTTGAAACGAAATTGAATATAGTAAGAAATAAGGCTCCAATGAAATTTATTAATAAGAAAATGGCACCTCTGGGATTGTTAGCAAAATTTTTAGCCAGACGTCCAGGGAATATTTATTTCAATCAGACCAAACTGTGGAATCAGAATTTTGCCAAAAAGATAAAATCTGGAGGCATGGCTATGAAAATGTCAATAGGATTAAATCACGGGTTTAATGTATAAGGCAGCTCCATTTCCTTGATCATAATGCTCCATGTCAAAATTTGAAAGTAATAACATTCAGTTACCCCATTTGTGAAGTCCCCCATTTGTGAAGTCACACACAAGGTGGACTGTGCTGAGGTATCCGGCTCACAGTGATTTGCCATCCGGTTTCCACCCCACAACATTAGAAAGGGAAAGATGCCGGAAAAGTGTTTCAAATAACTGAATCCAAAGTTAAGGCTGTTGCTAGCATGCATTAAATGAAGCAACTCTAGATTTGATCTGAAGTTTGTGTTTCACGCTTGTAACAGTAATTGCAATCATCATTCTGTATTCAAATATTTACCTGATATTTCTAAACCCACAGGACATTTATTAATAAAGAAATTGTTTCGAGGAATTAACCCTACTATTTATAAAATAGGTTTTAGTTTCAGGACTAAACAATGTGTGTGACAACAAATCCACAAATATTAAAACTGGACCGGACTCCCTGGGTTACTTTCTTTAGGCTCTCAGTTACTTAAAGCCGTGTGTATCTCCTGGTCACAGCAGCCCCTCTTCCTAATCTCCATGCTGCTGGTGAGAACTTACAGGGCTGGTGTGGTCTCCAAGGGGCAATGGGTTGCCTACTTGACAAGAATATGATTAAGGTAAAAAAAATTAGTGCCACATATTCACCAAAGGTCATACTCCTGTATGTAGCACCCAGGGTGTTTTTGTGCCAAAGGGAAGTATCCTATCAGGTTTCCTAGCACTTTGACTGTAAAACAGTTGGTTCTGCACTTTTAATGTAGAGGCCTCAATTTCCACAGACCTTTTCACATATGGGTGTTTCAAGGTTTCTACTACAGTTTTTACTGCATCCCTCCAATGAATTCTAAGGGAACAAAAGAAAACCTTATAGAATATTTCCACATATCAATGTGTTGTTCTTGAAACATTTTATTTTTTTCTAAATATAAACCCTTAAAATGCACATTATTTTTTAAAATAAAAACTGGCATGAATCCTAATCTTTATACAATTTCACAGCAATAATAGCAGCATGATTTTAGCCTCTTAAAAGATTTCCTCCTTTGCTCTAAATAAAAATTAATTTCAAGTTCTAAAAAGCCAGAGCAGCAACCATCCAGTAATTGGAATGCAATTCTCCTAGTGTCTTCTACAGACCGAGCATTTAAAATACGTGAATGTATAAAACTTGAGTATTATTAAGAGTTATGGAATGAAATGACAATCTAAACTCGTTTTGTAAACATAGGACTGCCTTGCTAGTCTGATGTATTTTGGGGGGTGGAGGGAGCTGAGAACATAGAATGGAGTTGGGCTAGAGAGTTCCTACTCTAATAAGGAATGCAACTTTCAAAACTCGTGGGTGTTAAACATGTTTTACATGTCTCCAGAGTTATAAAGAGCTATACCTGAAATGCTGGTGTAGATGGTAATTACAAGAAGACTGTGACCACACAAGTATAGAGTAAGCAAACGACAGTAATGCCTTAGGACAGCAATAACTGCCCAGAACTCCACTGGTGAAACGGGGCTGTGAACTAAGCAGTTATTGCAGGAACTTGCAGTCTAATAATAGATAATGCGTAGCTACTTAAATTCCCAGGGACCTCGTACTCTGGTTTAGGAACAGAAACAAACATGGAAATTTATATTCATAATAAATTATGCGTGTCTATCCAGTCAAACCATGCTGGGCTTTTTTTTTTTTTTTTTTTTTTAATGAAAGAAAGTTGATAATTTAGGAAAACCAATGGTATGACATGTTTTACTAGAATTACAATTCACCAAATCTTATTGAGGGGTGGGGTAAGAAGAAAACCTGAAGGCAGGCAATGCATTAAAAGCATCAATAGAGATTTCTGGTGCTAATAAAGTTCACTGACAATAAGAACTTTACTTTCTTCCACCTAAAGAAGTTTCCTTAAGTACTAACTTTTAAAAGTCCATTCTGTCATGATATGAGCCTGTTCACTGAACCGTGAGGAACAAGGATGAAAAATAAGAATAGAAAGAGTATGGTTCAGCCTGAGTCTAAGTGGTCTGGTGTTTTATGATGACTCTACCAAATGTTTAATTTAAAGTCTTAATTTCTTATTTTTAATTATAATGTTGCCAACTGTCTGACTGACCTTGAAGGATCAGGGATTTTTCCACGACTCTAACTGAACACAAGATCCTTCTCAGACGGGGAGAATGAAGTGACAACAGTGTGTCGATCTGCGCAAGTTGTGCAGCTACTGAAGGAGAAGCAGGAACACAACAGGGAATGCAGACGCCTACCAGGAAATCGATGTGAACTGCTCTCAATTATGCAGCAAATACTAAGAAGAAAGGACAATGCTGAATTCAAATTCAGTTAAAGGCAGTCCTCAGGCTCTTTCAAGCTAGCCCTAGATGGCAAGTGTGTCCTGAGACAGGTTTCTCTACTGGGTTTCAGCACGGGGCTTTACCATCCTTCAGATCTTTTCTAAAGACAAAAATGACAAAGTCTATAGATGGAAGAGGGGGTAATGAAGCAGGGAAGGGGAAAAAGATGCTGATTTGTTTACTTTTATTATCATTTTTTAAATGTGGTCAGGGGTTTTATAGTATTTTTTGTTTAATCTTTTTGGTTATTGAAAAAAATAGAACAGTCCACTGTCCAGCAGAGGCTGCTTCAACTCTATTGCTCGCAGGGCTCATTCTGCATGGATCTGTGTTTCAGGATGCTGCAAGGACAACTCTGCGGGCAGGAAGGCCCCTTGACCCAACGCTGTAGCATAGGTCCTGCTCTGTGGATGGGGAAAGCCAGGGGGCACATACGTCCCCATGCCGCCCCCTCCAAAGACTCCTCGCTGGTGCTGAGGCAGGGAGTGGTAATCTTCCAGGTTATCATACTGGGACACAACAGTCACACTGCTCTGGCGCTTGCCGTGTGGTTGGTACTGGTACAGCACACTGGGGTCCCTCTCCACGTTCTGGGTATGATGGAGTTTGAGGCTATGACTCCTCTCTGGTTTAGGGGGTGGGACGATTGACTGAGTGAGGTGTTCTTCCTCCTTGTAGCAGTCTCTGGAGTGTTTCTCTGGGGCAGAAGGCTGCCTAACCCAGGGTCGCTCCATCTCTTTGGAGAGCCTTACCTCTTTGTGGTTCAGTCTTAAAGATTCTTGCCCGGATGCAGCATATTTTACTCCAGAGTTGTGGTAGCTGACTGGCTCAGAAGTGTCTGGAATCCCTTTGGACCCATAATCTAACTGGCCAGCTCCCTGGGGATAAGGGGGCCCATTCTTTGACTCACAGAACTGCCTATGGCTTGCTTCTTGGTGTGCCCTGTGCTCAGGAAGACTGCAGCCCATGTCAGGAAGCTTCCTGCTCCTCAGGCTGCTCTGCTTCTGAGGCAGGGATGGCTTCTCCGGCTGCGTGCTACCATGGCCTCCGTGATGGTGGGCTCTGTCCATCTCTGCCTCGGGATGCCTCCTATAGAAGCGGTCCTCTCCCTCGGGACTGATGGCCTTGGCTGCATGGCGGCTCTCCTTTCCTTCTGCCACTGAGAGAAGTCCAGTTTTCCCAGGATCTGATTTACTACGCAGATGGATGACATAGATCCCACCCAAGTCGTCCTGCACCGCCGGGGTCATGTTATCATATTGGGACATGACAGGCCCTTTCACCTTCTGCCGAGCACGGCTCTCTCTCCGGATGGACTGCATGCGGTATTTTTCCATGTCCTCAAGATCCCATGAGGTGTAGGTGTGCTTCACATCAGCAGCCGGAGGCATGCTGACTACATTATGGTCGTTGGGAGAGAAATAGCCAGTCACGTTGGCCCGGGGACGTGGAGCCAAACCAGCATAACTGTACAAGCTCTTTCCTTGCAGCCTAGGATTGTAGAAAGCAAAGTCTCGATTGGGAAGGCGGTGAAGGGGTCTCAACTGGACTGTGCCATAGGCATCCACATCACACAGGGCCCCATCTGGACTGTAATAGGAACTAGAAGAACTGGAATATGGGCTATACCTGTAGTGGACCCGGCCATTCTCAAAGTAAGGCTGAAGCTGAGTGACATGATAATCTGAGCGGGCCTGGGAGGACTGATATGGCTTATATTGGTACAGAGGTCTTGGGCAGTAGGCTGGCTCATCATCTGGGGGAACTTCTGTCCGTGAAATGGGAACAGAGCGAATCATGGAAGACGGCGGAGCATGGAGAGACTGCACTCTCCGGATGGTAGGGTACGGTGGAATGTCTTCGGGGTAACAGGTATTCCTGACAGAGGAGCTCAAAGAAGACACATACTCGACCCGGCTGCATGGCTTGGAGTGGTGTCCAGATGCGTTTCTTCCTGGGGCCACATATGTGTTATAACGAAGACCCATGGAGGCTGGTGGCTCTGACCTGGCACCATACACTTGGTGCTGCTCCAATTTATTGTGATGGGGAGGTACACTCTGGGGACGGTACTGGCAGTTTGGAGTCATATTGAAATGCAAACAGTTATCTGGACCAAAGGGTTCAGTGGTGACATCGGGCCTAGCAAAGGAGGAGTAAACTGTTTTCTGAGAAGCATGCTTAGGTTGTGGGACAGGAAGTGGTAAAGGCAATGCATCGTCCACAGAGGTGGATGAAGCAGTGACAAAGGAATGATAATTTGAACTGCTGGTGGCATCTGCACTGCTGGAGTGTATGGCAGCAATCATCTTACTCTCCATCATCCTGGTGGGGGGCAGTGGTGCAGGAAAGCCACAGGGATGCGCAGGGACAGACTCGGCGCGCAGGTGCAGCAGCGGGACCCGGGCACCGTCCCGCACTTTCTCAGGCAGGCCTGGCTGGACAGCTGTAGCCATGGGACACTGAGCAGCAGCAGCACCACTGTCACTGATGAAGGCAGACGCAGGGTCATCCATGGCTCGAGGTTCAGGTGGCCTCTCTGGAACTGGAACTACTCCTTGAACCTATTGAAAGATGATAATACTATGGGTCTATTTTTTGTTCCCTCTATGAATCAAGTACTATTAAATTTGTAACTCACAAATTAAGGCTGGTTGGGTAGCAGCTTGAACTTTCCCAAGCCATGTGGTTGCAATGAATCTGTACCCATTTCTAGGAAAAGAAGGCTTGTGCTGCTATTTTGTACAACACCCAGTATTATCTTTGGAGAACCATTCAAAGTTTTCTAATTTATGAGAGGTTTTAAATGCGAGATGAGGTTGCCTATGGCATAATTTTAATATACAAACCAAAAGAGAGGTTTAGTCAAGTAATGCTGTAGAGCTTAAAAATACATACCCGGTCTATTAGTCTAGCTCAGTCTCAACACAAAGGACATCTTGTTAAATTAAGAGTTAATTCTATCATCTGGGGAGACTTTTGAAATTCACAGTTGTACACAGTTAGCAGTTTTAGGGCTTCAAACATAGGGAAAGGCAATATTCAAATCAGAAGCTACTGCCTCTCTCCTACCTTTGATTCCACCTTAGTCTGGCCAAAGATAATCCTCATACTGAAAACATGCTATCCTTGAGAAGCAGTAAACACAGCATCCTCCACTAAGGTCTAAAATCTTAAGTCCTATTAATAGTTCAAGGTGACCATATAGAAGAAAAACAACCTGTGGCACTTTCTTAAAATATGAGGAAATTCAGGAAGAAACCTTAGCATTCTGCATACTACATTCTCTCATTGAAACAGGCACCTGACTATGGGACAAACTGCTGGTGAATGCTAGGAAAGTAACAAAAAATCCCAAGGCACTATAATCTCTTATACTTCCAAAAAGTCTGCAAGGCAGACAGTCTTACGAATGTTTTGAGAATGAAGTATTTTCATTGTGTAACTGTGAATAATTGGCAGAGGGTAGGTAAATGACTTGCCCAAAGTCACAATGAGTCAGTGATGGAGTTGGAAAAAAATAAGAAAAAGCAACCCACAACCGTAAAGCCCACTTTGTCTCATTTGATCCTGATCTCTTTGTGTTACTGGAATAAACTACCGAGACACTTTAGGAAGAAAAGGGAGCAGGTACAGTTAAGCTATAGTCATCTAGGAGCTACTCCTTTCCTGGGGAAAAGCCAGCATCAAGGTAATGGCAGACTCCAACCTCAAATGGGAACTATCTCATGGAAACCAGCCACAGGGCTTAAAAGTAATTGTTGTGTCTGACTCAAAGATAACAACACACCCTGCTGAAAAGTGACATACCTTTGGTAATAGTATATTTCATCTCACTGATATCTTCCCCTTCTTACCTTGTGGGAATTATTTAATCCTATATTGGTTGCTGCTTGTACCTGCCCCACAACTGGTGGCTGCTCTGCAGATCTCTGGGAAGGCGGAGGGGGAAGGGGACGATTAGTTCTGTGCGTGCGCTGAAGTGTGGCAGCAGCAAAATCAGCAGTGGTGGGTTGTTCAGCCACATCCCAGCTGGCTTCCTTGGTGCTCATTTGGGCTGTTGCTGGAGTAGTTGTCATGTAAGTCATGGTGGCTGTGCTGGTATTCTCTTCGGGGGACCCAGAAGGAGGGTAGATTTTATCGCTAGGTAAATTAGGAGGTGTGGGAGATTTGTCTGCAAATTCTAAAGGGTGATGGAGTTTATCCACACTTGCACCAAGATAAGAAGGAGGCTGATCTCCACTGTAGAAACGGGGTGGAGACTGGTCCTGATCCAAGAAGGAGACAGTTGGCATACTGTTCTTCCCAGACTGGTCTTCAGGGAAACTTACATGATCATCAGACTTCTCTGAGTCTAAGGGAACTGAAGTAATTCTGGCCTTTTCTGGGTCCCCAGATAAATATGCTTGATGTGGCTGATTCCCTGTTAAGTCTACTTGGTGATGTTGCTCCCCAGATTCAGTTGTGTTGGAATGGGTAGGATCCCCAGTAGCTGTTGTCTCTGGTAGAGGATGGTCACAGTTTCCTGGTGCATTATTCTGGAGGTGGAACTGCTCTGCTGGTCGATCGGTTTGGAAATAGGCCTTATCTAGAGCAACTGCAGAGTAAGAACTGGACAGATTATCTTCAGTTGTAGCCACCGCTATGTCTCCATAATTTGTATACCCAGCCTGAGAGGTCCCTGGTCTCTTCAATGACTGAGTTGAGGCTTGCTGTGCGGACTCAGCTAATGCTAGCGCCAACATTCGGGCAACATTTTTCGGAGGCGGTGGTGGTGGGATAAGAGAGACTGAACTGACAGGAACGGAATCCTGAGGGGGGTCATGGGTAACTGCTCCTAGTGGGAAATTGGGAAAAAAAATGAGAGTGAAAAGGTAGCTTACGTTATCCTAAATGGAAAGCCAAACACTCCCCATGTGATCATTAAAAAATAGGTGCCTTCCATATTTCAAAATGGCAATCCATGATCTTCTATCCCACATGCAAATGCTGTTGAAAACACATCTGGTTCAGAAGGAAAACTAAAACAAACAGTGTATAAAGACTGCAATCTCTTCTTGAATTGTTACAGAGATGGGGGGGAAAAAAAGCATGTCCCTCACCTGGCTCAGAAAAGATTGCTTAGAAAACAAGCTTCAAGTGCTTGTAGACTGTTATTATGAACAGTTTTTACATTTGATGGTGTAGCTGGCTTGTTAACTTGGAAGGCTACAATAAAGATATTTTATTAGAAGAGAAAAACAGAATCAAGAGCTACGCAGTTGTGCAAAAATTATCCACGAATTCTCACCGTCCAAAGAGATAAGGGGACTTTTGTGAAGATTTGAAGCAGGACCATTGGCCCTTTTGGGGAGTTTTGTTGGACTGCTTTTAATTTAGGGCTCTGAGCCATCAGCACCACCCAGAAAAGCATTCTCTTTGATTAAAGGCTAGCTGTGGACAAATTTCTCTCTTAAAAGGCACAGATGGCACACAGGATTGAAGATCCCTCTTAACTTAAAGAAAGAATGGAGGAAAACAAACGGTACCTGTCTGAGTCTGTCCAGAAGCTACAGCCTTACTCTGACTGCTTGAGACAGACTGATCCTCTTTCCCTGGCAATTCTACTTCTTCAGCAGCCACCTGGTCCAGGGGCTGGACTTCAGATTCATATGCTTCTTGGGCAACTGTCTCATTTGTTTTCATCTTTACTATCTGGGTGGGGGATCTATTTGTGGCATCCCTTTCTTCAACGCATTTGTCCCAGGTTGAAGATGATGCATTCTGAGCTGTGGTATTTGAGACTGTACCAATGACTTCTGACACCCGTGGTGGTAGGGTCACTGAAATTGGCTCAGATATGCTCATAGAAGGTGATTTGCTTAATTTCCGTCCTATCTTCGGAGAGAAAGCATAGACGACCTTTTCAGTAAAGGAGGATGGCTTAGATGATTTATCTTCAGTTGGGCTCAAGTCCAGGGTAAAGAATGGACTCAGTTTCTCCTGAAGAGGAGAGACAGGTTCAGAGCTTGCTGTGCTTCCTGGAGTCTGACATTGGCTACTACCTGTTTCTGCATCCTTTTTATTGGCACTTGGTTTATCCTTGGAGTATCCTGGTGAATCTAAAAAGGAAGCACCACTCTCCAGACATTCTGATTCGGCCTTAGGAGGACTACATTGAAATGACATTGGATCAAAATCCAGGCTGGCTACTCCAATGTCTGGTGGGCTCAAGTCAACATCCTCAGCTGAATGAGGAGACATAAGGGCTGGGATATGAAGCAGCCCTCCTTCCTCCTCACTCTCATTGTCATGAGGCAGATTATCATAGGAGTTACAGCGGTTCCCCAGCATTTCTCCATTAAAAGAGGCAGACAGTGCATCACTGGAAGATCTGGGTCTTCTGGGTCGGAAGAGCTTAGAATCACCTGGAAAAAATGAATAACAGTGTCAAAGTAAGAACATCGTAGATACAGAATGCTGTGGTAAGTCACCTACTCAGCACAGCAGTAACTTACTATCTAGGTGAAGGAAGTGTTACTTCTCATTTTCTTTCTGAAAATTCTTTCAGTGCACACAGATCATTTACACTTGAGATAACAGAACTCCAAAACCAAATGCTAAATAGCAAACATGTGATAGAATCAGAGGGCGAATGCAGTATTTCATGGTCTGGAGAGGAAAAGAACTCAGAATGCTTGGATTCTATTACTAATCCAACACTGATTCTTGGTGTGACTTTGGGCAAGTTTTTCATTTCTTTGTGTCTTATTTTATCACTGGCCTCATATGACTTATGAGGTGGAATTAATCACTTTGAGTGGCATTTTGAATCTATAATAGCAAAATGGATGTTTTTTTTGTGGGGAAACATCCTTACAATATTCAAATTTCTAAATAAATTGAACTTCTCAATTAAAAAATCTTCATAATCCCATAAAGTATTTACATATATTTAGTAAAAAATTCCTTTCAGATACTAAACAAGAACTTCATTTTTTTCTTTAAGAATAGGTTTTAAGTTTCCCAAGCAGTCTTCAAGAGTGGCAGAGAGTATTACATAATTTTACGATGTTGCTAAATATCCAACTGGTAAAAAAGAAACTCTCTATTCTATTAGGATTATTTTAATTGCCATAGTTAAAAAGTAATTTAAAGAGGCAGAAACTATCTTAATAAATATAAATATATTGGCCGGTCACAGCGGTTCATGCCTGTGATCCCAGCACTTTGGGAAGCTGAGGTGGGCAGATCACCTGAGGTCAGGAGTTCGAGACTAGCCTGGCCTAAGTGGCAAAACCCCGTATCTACTAAAAATATAAAAACTGCTTAATTATACACTTTATAAAATTATGCTCCCGGGCATGGTGGCGCATGCCTGTAGTCCCAGCTATTTGGGAGGCTGAGGCAAGATAATCACTTAAACCGGGAGTTAGAGGTTGCAGTGATCCAAGATTGCGCCACTGTACTCCAAACTGGGCAACAAAGCGAGACTCTGTCTAACATATATATATATATATATATATATTCACAAATGTATTGATCACCCATAAAATTAATTCCTTACAAATATCTTCTGCTTAACACTAGTATCCACCTAGCTTGCTGCATTGTTTTGTAGGTTATCTTGACTAGTTTAATTGAAAATCTTGGAAAACTCTTATGCTCCCATTGTAAAATCTAAAGGAAACAGTAATAACACAAGTTTTCACTAGATATTAATAAATATAAATAGTTAACTTGAAATATTTTGGCTACTTTTATGTAAACTGAATAGCAGTCATGCCAAAAATGAAAAGATTAAAGACTGCTTCCATGTGAAAGCATCAATGAATTTTAATCTGAATAATACTAAATAGACACTAGTATTCCTAGGAAATGAGTTAATAGCCTATTTATTAAGCACAGATATATAAAAATATACTCAATTGCAGTATTCCTTTATGCAATATATTATAGAATAAAATGACTGATGCTTTTAGTCTTACCATCAACTGCATGGAGAGATGTAAGAGACTCCTCACTTTTAGCTGAACGGAGGGTTCCTTCTGCCCTGCCACCTGAAGAATAAAAAACACATAGTGTGAAGATTTCTTATTTGTTACATATGTGGTTAATGGGATCGGTGTTTTTCTTGATACATTTAAACTTTTGAGAGTGATTAGCTGTACATTTTGACAGCAATTTAGTACTCTATTACATAATGTGTTATACTGCACATTTTGACAGCAATTTAGTACTCTATTATATAATGTGTTATACTGTTCTCAAATGGTTTCCCGTGTGAAAAATCTCTTTTCTAAAGGATTATGAATTTGAGCAGAGAGATTAACTAAGATGCTTCTTTCTTTTACATTTCCTAAAGACCAATATGATATCTTGAATGACATCATACTGGATTTAGAGTGGGCCCTACACCCAATGACTGGTGTCCTCGTAAGAAAACACAGAGATGGCCATGTGGAGATGGAGGCAAAGATTGGAGGGATGCTGCCACACATCAAGGAATGCCAGCAGCCACCAGGAGCTTGGAAAGGCAAGGAAGGATTTTTCCCTGGAGCCTCTGGAGCAAGCACAGCCCTGCTGGTACCTTGACTTCAGACTTTGAGCTTCTAGAACCATGAGGGAAAAAAATTCTGTTGTTTTTTACCACTTGACTTGTGGTAATTTGTTATGGGAACTCTGGGATACTAACACAGGTAACTTTACGTACATATGTGAATCTTATTCGCTAAATATCTTCATCCTCTTTAACCCCTTGGCAGCACTACGAACACTTTCTTTTTAACCCCCTCCTCCCCTGCTGAGGATAGCATGCATCTCTTTTTTTCTCTGCCTACCTTTGTAATCATTTCTTCTTACTCTCCTCTCATGACAATTCTTCCTTTCCCACCTTTAAACATTGCTTCTCTCCAGCATTCAGCCCTCAGCTGGCTTCTTTTCACTCTGCTCCCATCTCCTGAAATACCATTCTTAGTCTCCTGTCAGTTAGGTGAATCCCTACTTCTCCTTGAAAACCCATATCAAAGGTTGTTATTTCCTAACCACTAGTCCCTCCTCTACAAGAGTTGACAATTCCTACCACAACTGTCTCATGTAACTATTTCTTTTATTTTTTAAGAGACTATGTCTTGCTTTGTCATCCAGGCTGGAGTGCAGTGGCACAACCATAGCTCACTGCAGCCTCAACCTCCTGGGCTCAAGTAATCCTCCTGCTTCAGCCTCCGGAGTAGCTAAGCCTAGAGGTATGTGCCACCAAGCCTCGCTTATTTGCAATTTATTATTATTATTATTATTATTATTATTATTATTATTATTATTTTGTAGATGCAGGGCCTCACTTTGTTGCCCAGGCTGGTCTTGAACTCCTGGCTTCAAGCGATCTTCCTGACTTGGCCTCCCAAAGTGTTGGGATTACAGGTGTAAGCCACTGTACCTAGCCTAAACCACTATTTCAATAACTATGATTCTGCACTAAAATTTACTTTCTCACACGTATGACTTCCCAATTTGACTTGGAAGGCAGAGGTACTACCCTAATTTTCTATCTGCAGAGCCTGCTATCAAAATAGCTAGCACATGCTCTACATGATTGCAAACTGAATGACGAATTAAATGAATTGAACATTATACTTCTAACATTATCTAAGAAGTACTACTATCCTTCCTAGATTCAGAAGTTGTTAATATCAATAGAATATGGCTTTTAAACTATTTTTAAAAGAGTACTTTTTCGACAGTAATAGATTTATTTGATCTAATAAGATACTCTATTAATGAGACATCTAATAAAAAATACCTTCTTTAGTTAAAAGAGTTATAAACTTGAAAGTTATGTTGAAACAGTTTTGAAATTTTTTAGATCTGTAAAAATACAGATCAATAAATTTAGATACCATAGCAGTATTTATTTACAACAATATACAAGGTATATGTGAATTTAATCACATTTACACTATATATAATCTATATAGTTTCCTTAAGAAAAGAAATTGCATACTTCTACATATTTATATATAATTTATGTTACTCTTCAATTTAGGAATAAAGAATCGGTGAGAGAAGACACTCTGTATGTGTGACACAACTGTGAACACGTTATGGAAGCAGATCATAACAATATGTGAAGAACGTGCCCAGAACAACCGAAGACCATCATGACAGCAGCAGAAGTGAGAATCTCCCAGGCACTCACCTTTCAGAGCCATGGCTTTCATCTCTGAAGGCTCACTCTCATTCCGCTGCAGCTTTCGTTTAGAAACAGATGATGATTTCCCCAAGTTGAAAAAGGAACGCCAGCTACCCACAGGAGACTTTTTCATCTTATTTTGAGGCCTCTTTCTATGAAAGAGAAAAAATAATCAACATTAAGATAGCCATGGGTCTGTCTTTTCTTACAGAAAAGAAATGAACACATGACAGAAAGAACCAAACAGGCTGGAGAAGCATAAGTGAAACAGTAAGCAAACATCCACCTTCCAGACAGCACACTCTACACAGTGCAGCCAAAGCAGAAAATGGATAGTAAACATGCAGATTTTAGTACTAGTAAATATTTTCACAAAGATCATTTTTATATATATCTTCATATTTGGATCCAACCTCACAAACTGAAAAATAAGTGAAAATAAGACGTATCTGGGAATAGGAAATATTAAGTGTCCAAAAATAACACAGAGTTAAAGAAAATGATTTTAGGTGTGAGTAGAGAATAAAGGCAAACAAAGAAGACAAGGATTAAGAATAATAACAAACATATACTGAATGCCAGGCACTGTGCTACCTGCCTTATATGTAATATCTCCTTTAAATCAGATACAACCACATGAGGTAAGTACTATTATTCTCATTTTGCAGCCAAGGAAATTATGACACTAAGAAGTTCAAATAACTTCTTTAACATTATAAAACTATTAAATGATGGAGTCAGAATTGGAACCCAGGCCAATCTACATCCCAGTATCTACTCTCTTAACTACTACTCCATAAATAAATCTTTGAGTAAATTATGGAACTAGAATATAAAATCAAGATGCTAAAGACAAACTCAGGATGACAAAGTAAGAGTATGTTCCAACTTTTTGCTGATAGAATGTTTTTAGTCACAGGAAGTGAAAGGAAGTTAGAGGAGTATACTAAAATACGGGAAGAACAAATTCTAAAGTTATATTAGTACTACCCAATCCAGAGAATCAAAATCCTTACATTCATGTGTAATAGCCAAAGGAGTAGCAGAGACATCAAAAATAACTTTTACATACATTAGTCTTCCTACTATAACCTAGTAAAGAAGATACAGAAACCATGTTATTATCATTTCTTTAGAGTAATAGAATTTCAGAGCTGGAAGGGACATTGAAAGAGTGAACTGCTGCAGTGGTTCTCAAGTCCTAGCAGACATCAGAATCACCTGGAAAGTTAGATGAATGACCAGTTGCTGGGTCCCACGCCCAGGGTTTCTGATTCAGCGGGTCTGGGGTGTGACTGGACGACTGCACAATGTGCACTTCTAGCAATTATCACCAGGTGATGCTGATGCTGTTGGCTGGGAGACCACACTATTAATCTCTTCTAACCTTAATGTGAAACCAATGTCAAACAAGTCACTGTCCATTCCTGACTTTCTGAACAAACTCTTCCAACACAGCTTATTTCTAAACAACTTTATAAACAACATAGTTCAGAGAGCAAAATCAACCCATATAGTGACAGTATATCCTTATTTTTCCAAACAATTTTCCCTATACCACTGATGTTCTTCTTTTATAAAATTACATGACATTGTAAAGCAAGAATCATTTGCATCATTCCCCATGAAGCGGTAAGTATCATCCATATTCGAATAAACAGGTTTCTCTGGGACTAGCCTAGAATTCAATAGAGTAATACTAAAATACAAAATTAAAAGCAAACTAAAAGAAAATAATAGGACATAGCTATGAAAATCATATCCCAAAATAGGATTTAACAAATTTTACCTTTCAAGTGGGAACTCAATTATGGTATGAAATTTCCCCTGAAGTGCAGCAGGTCCTTCTCCTACTTCGATATATTTATTTTCCGTCACAATTGGAGAATTGACCTGAGCTTGTGTTCGTGCCTGGGCCTCTTCCAATGTCAGCAGTTTGGTGGATGGAGAGGATACCAGGAGGGACTTGGGCCTTGATAGAGAAGCTTCAAAAAGAAAAGGAAGCTGATGAAGAGAGTCAACTACGTGAGTGTATTCAATTTGTTAGTATCTATCTCTCCATCTATCTACCTATCTGTTGTTTCAAATTTTCTTCAAGTATGTTAAATAGCAAAAACCATAGTGCTTTATATTAAATGAAAAACTGAAGGGGACATACCAGTGGCACACATACATACATATAAAACCCTTTAATAACTGTTTTCCTTTCTTAAAAGATATGAGAAAAGCTTTATATTAAATAAAAAACTGAAGGGGATACACCAGTGGCACACATACACACATATAAAACTCTTTAATAACTGTTTTCCTTTCTTAAAAGATATGAGGAAAGGTGATCAATCACTCAGATATTTTTAGTTTTGGAAGCAATTTTTCTTCTTCTGTTCCACTTTATACTTTAATACACATCAATAATGAACGACAAGTTTTTTAATGTGTCATGAACTTAGATCACAATAGGTCTCATATGTAGT
The DNA here is from genome assembly GCF_000001405.40 of Homo sapiens. Classification (NCBI taxonomy): domain Eukaryota; kingdom Metazoa; phylum Chordata; class Mammalia; order Primates; family Hominidae; genus Homo; species Homo sapiens. The sequence goes on from NC_000011.10 coordinate 128,981,238, forward strand.
ATTCACTATATACACACAAAATAACTGTCAAATTGTGCATTTTGGTAAGCAGCCATACATTATTAGCTGCCTTATACCAGTGACACGTTTTTGTTGTTGCAATAAGAAATGCATGGTTTGCTACTCCTCTGGAAGCTGAGACACACCCTCCTGGTAGGAAGGGCCATCGGAGCCGTACCTGCCCCCTCTTGCATGGCCATGCTGATTCTGCCGCTGAACAGCACATCAACGTGATTCAGGATGAACTCAACAACCACAGACTGAATCCTCACTTCCATGAAAGCTGCTGTTCCACTGAAGCAGGCAGATTCTATCTGTTTTGATCTGTGAGGTAAACATTTTCATCACAGAGTTGTAAAGATAGCAGTCGTCAAGGGCCTCTTTTTTTAAACGTGTAAATCTCAGACAAACAGAGGAAGAAATCATACTTTTACTGTCCCTTAGCTAAGGCCCAGTTGCCTGTTTTAGGGAGATGCAAATAAAAAGAACAGATTTGTTTAATCTTTTAAAAGTTTCCTTAAAGAACACTGATGAATCAGCCTTTTATTTAGGATTAGTTCTACTAAAATTAATAAGTGAAATGCAAATTACCTTAACAGGTTTGGAGCCCAAACAATTGCTAGATTTTTTGCATGCATATTTGTGATGGAACAATAGTCAGCTAGAAGAGACAAGTGTCTCATCAGGAACTCCAGTGTTCTGGAAATAAAATACAACATATTAACAGAAAGAAACATGATGCAGCAGTATAGAACATAAAAGCCTGCTAATTAATTCCTAAGTTTGCAATAGCAAAATGAAGAAAGGGACCATACAAACCCAAGAGAACTTTTTTTTCCTGCTTAACAGGTTGAAATATTACTATTAGAAGTGAATCTTCCACCAAAGCTAGTTTCTGGAACAAATAATATTTTGAAGTTATGCCATTCTACTTGCAGCAGACATACTAACAGGAAAGGATTTCAACACTTCTATGAAAGAAAACAGTAATGTCTCAAAAGCCTTAAAACAGTTACAAGAAAAATTCCAATAGGCATCAAGGGGAGAATATTTGAGCAAAGGATATGCTTTTGAAATAAAGAGCCTAATTCAAATCCTCATATTCTGGTTTATCTTGACTACTTAAAATTTGCTTTACTTAAACAATTCCACATATATTGTGATTAAACAATAGGGAAGAGTACTTTTGAAAACAAGACATGATCACCTTAAATGTAAGTTAAACCAGGTAAGTGCCGTGTGTGTGTGTGTGTGTGTGTGTGTGTGTGTGTCTGTGCGCATGCACACACAGAGGTATTATCTATCACCTAGCATGTCTCAAAGCGTCCTACCTAATAGTGCCCAGAGTAAAACTACTAAAGACAACGGGCTGGGTGTGATGGCTATTGCCTGTAATCTCAGCAGTCTGGGAGGCTGAGGCAGGCAGATCACTTGAACTCGAGAGTTCAAGACCAGCCTGGGCAACACAGTGAAACCCCATCTCTACAAAAAGTGTAAAAACAATTAGCTGGGTGTGGTGGTGCATGCCTGTAGTGCCAGCTACTCGGGAGGCTGAGGCAGGAGGATTGCTTCAGCCCAGGAAGGTTGAGGCTGCAGTGAGCTGTGATCATGCCACTGCACTCCAGCCTGGGTGACAGAGTGAGACCTTGTCTTTAAAAAAAAAAAAAAAAAAAAAAAAAAGGACAATGAATGGGAGACAGAAATATAAGGCTGTATTATATGAAACAGTAATGAAAGATAAAATGTGGTCTACATCCGAGCCACAAAGATTCAGATGGGCCTAACATGAATTTGAGAGGAAAAGGAATATCATAGTTAGACTCGGCATTAGGCATTGTTCAAGAGGCTTTTACCAGCAGTCTCATTTAATTCTCATAATAGCTCTAACAAGCACAGAATTACCATTCCCCTTGTACCGAGGACAAAGTCAAGGTTGCTGGGGTTCCACAGACTAGCAGTGGCAGTGCTGCATTTCAAATCAAGGTCAGAGTGGCTCCAAAGTGCCTGCGCGTTCAAGGGCATTGTAGTTGCTTTACAGTTAAAATGGTAATTCTCTGTCTCTGCTGTATATAATTAAGAGAAGACAAACCGAAGTGAGGCTGGCCTGGGTATGACATAGAGGTGAGAAGCTTGAGAAACGTATTTAGATCGCAAGGACAAAAAACCAAACACCGCATGTTCTCACTCATAGGTGGGAATTGAACAATGAGATCACATGGACACAAGAAGGGGAACATCACACACCGGGGCCTGTTGTGGGGTGGGGGGAAGGGGGAGGGATAGCATTAGGAGATATACCTAATGTAAATGACGAGTTAATGGGTGCAGCACACCAACATGGCACATGTATACATATGTAACAAACCTGCATATTGTGCACATGTACCCTAAAACTTAAAGTATAATAAAAAAATAAATAAATAAAATAGAATAAAGCCAGGCTCCTCAGCCAAAAAAAAAAGAAAACCATGTAAAATTTTATTACTTGAGGAAGGTGAATGAAGGGAATGATTAAAGGACTTCAGGAATGTATTTTATGAGAATTGCAAATTTAAAAAACCAAAGACATCTATTTGGTTTGCCTATCTGATTATAAGGATGTCTTTAAAAGTTAATGTAGAATTTTAGTCAGGATTCCACAAAATGAGCACTTTTATATTCAGCAGATGAGAGTGTGAATTGTATAAAACTTCGCAACCTGGAACGTAATTTGGATATTATTGTCTAATATTGAGAATAATAATTTAGATTTCCAGAATTTCACTGCCAGGTCATTATCCTGTAATAAAAAACATAATCTAGATACCATGTAAAAGGATGGCCCTCATAGTAATATTCAAAATTGGAAAAGGAAGGCCGGGCACAGTGGCTCACACCTGTAATCCCAGCACTTTGGGATGCTGAGGTGGGTGGATCACCTGAGCTCAGGAGTTTGAGACCAGCCTAGGCAACATGGCAAAACCCCAACTCTACCAAAAATACAAAAAATTAGCTGGGCATGGTGGTGTGTGCCAGTGGTCTCAGCTACTTGGGGGGCTGAGGTGGGAGAATCACTTGAGCCTGGGAGGCAGAGGCTGCAGGGAGCCAAGATTGTGCCACTGCACTCCAGCCTGGGTAACAGAGTGAGACCCTGCCTCAAAAAAAAAAAGGAAATAGAAAACACCCCATACCACCATATATGTAGATTAAATATGCAAATTATGAAAGGTTAAATAACATGGCATATCCAAATGAGAGAACATGATGGAAAATTACGCTTTTCAAGAACATCTAAGGAATTCAGAAATGTTAATGTTAAAATTTTGGATAAAAAGTCTATATCAAAAGATATACAAAGTAGGAGATACACACACATATAAGTTATAGTGAAGAAAAGAGTTACACAAGATATTGTATACATTATAAAGCAGGAGATATACATGTACATATTAATAGCAGGCAAGGTATGAAATCCAGGTAGGGCATACATGGTAAGTAATATAATATATATTAGAAGACAGGCAAAGTGGATAATATTAGGATATATATACATATAAGTATCTATAGTCAAGCTATAAAATAGTGTGCAGAAGATATAAAACATATATGCAGTGTATATTATTGAACATCTATCTGCAAGACTCTATTCTGGAAATACAGTGATAAACAAGACAGAATTCATGACCTCAAGTACCTTATGTTTTAGAAAGATTGTATACAGATAGTCTCCAACTTACAATGGTTCAATTTATGATTTTTTGACGTTTATGATGGTGCAAAGGTGATAAACATTAAACAGAAACCACAATTAGAATTTTTTTTTAAATGGAGTCTCGCTTTGTTGTCCAGCTGGGGTGCAGTGGCATGATCTCGGCTCACTGCAACCTCCACCTCCCAAGTTCAAGTGATTCTCCTGCCTCAGCCCCCGAGTAGCTGGGATTATAGGCGCGTGCTACCATGCCCGGCTAATTTTGTAGTTTTAGTAGAGACGGGGTTTTGCCATGTTGGCCAGGCTGGTCTCAAACTCCTCACCTCAGGTGATCCACCCACCTCGGCCTCCCAAAGTGCTGGGATTACAGGTGTAAGCCATGGCGCCTGGCCTATAGTGCTGATTTTTGAAATATATACATAAGCAATGTCATTTTGAAAAAAAAAATTAAATTACTTAATTTGCATATTACTAGAACATCCGCTGAGTTTAATTTCTTGTCAGTAATTGGAATTTTAAAATGTATCTTTTGTTTCTTTGCATACTGGAATCTAGTTTCTACTGTTGTCTTTTTCTAACTGGCAAAGTAACTTTCAATTTTATTCTGGCTTTCTCAGACATAACCATAAATATTTCCAACACTCCAAACTAACACACAAATCAAATTAGGTTTTAAAATGTAGCAACAACAATAAAACCAAAGAAGAAACTAAAACAAACAAACAAAAAACCCCCAAGTTTAGTCAGCCATCCCTTTGTCCATCCATTCATTCATTCAACCTTTAAGTACCTATGGAATGCTAAACAGTGTGCCAGGCCCTGGGGATCTAAGGACAAATGAATATCTATACATAAACATATACATATACATATAGGTACACATACATATAGTGTGTGTGTGTGTGCGTGTGTGTGTGTGTGTGTGTGTGTGTGTATATATATATATATATATATATATATGAAATGGAAGTTTAATTAGAACTCCAAGGAAGTTTAAATAGAAATCCAAAGGAAAAAAAAACGTTTACAGGTCAACCGACTTCTACCTCTGCCTGGTATTTACCCACTGTGGCTGACCTGTAGTGTGGTGGGGGGAGCTGCTGGATGACATCGTGGATTTTTATCAGCCTTTCTTCATCTGTTGCTGCTGAAACTGCATCCTAGAAGAGTCACAGTACAAAATAAACTAGTGAGCTCTGTTAGTAAAAATGAAAGTTCACTTACAATTCAGTTTTCACTCTGAGATCAACTTGCTTTGCTCTTGGATGTGAAATGGCGAGGAAACACAACATTGTATTCAGGAAGTAAACTGTTTCCACACAGTGTGAACACTGAGATCTACGAAACTAATTTTAAAAAGGCTTGATGGTCATCAGTATTAAGTGTGACAAGACTAGCAGCTCAAAGTCAGAAAGCACAAGAATGACAATGTGAAAACAGCAAAGACCACCGACTAGCTGGCAATATTTGTTTTTTTAAGGAGTCATTTCAGTCACAGAACTATTTCTTACATGTGACCAAACCAAAGTTCATGTGTTTTGAACAAAAGCACAGCAAAGTTCCACAAAGAATTAGATTCAAAAGTAGCCTGTACTCACAGAAAATTTCTCATACAGCTGGTAGGTAAGCAGAGGGTTTGGGAGTTCCCGGAAGTACAGCTTACATAGGGAACCCACAGAATGGATGTCCTGAACATACGGTTCTTTCGTCAGGTCGGGGACGTGCTCAGAGTCAAATTCATGGCTGACGTAGACAGAAGAGGACAAGCAAATCATTTGATTGAGGAGAGCAAATATGTGTCTTAAAAACAGAAAGCATAAGCTCCAAAAGTGTTCAGCTCTATCTCAGTGAGTTGCTATTATCTTCCATTAATTATATTTCATTTAAGTTGTGTTTGGACTTCAGCAACAACTGGATGTCTTAGTACAAGATAGATGTCTTTCTATGTGGAAATTAAGGGCACAGCTTTAATATTAAAATGGACAATAGCCTCTGAGATACATATGAATGAACAGCTCTTATAGTACAACAGTCTGAAAACAGGACTCCTAATTGCTAATGACTTGAATATCCAATATTTTGGCAATTCCAGAGACTAGTGTTGAATGGCAATTGATCTATGAACAATTATGAGCAGAAATTCCTCAGATACAGATTGTACAACACAGAAATGCTTTCCCGAAGCAGGATAAAAAAGTCAGAAACAACATAAAGCAATTCCTAGCTAACAACAAATTTTAATAGGCAGGAAAATCTGTATCATTAGAATGAGTAAAATAAAAGTTGTACGCAGAATAGTAAGGCAGAGTAAGCTCACTCTCCAGGAGGTTAATTAATATTCATCCACGGGCATGAGACCACTTATCATCTACCTAGAGGATTAATGTGTGTGTACAATATGAGATTTACTTTGTCTTAAACTGAAGACTGAAACTGTCTTTAGTACAAGGACTAATTTATGTATTTTTCAAGCATGTATTTCCCAAAACTGAGATGGGCTCTATGATCTGTTAAAGTATTAAAATCTCTACAGAATAATGGCAGTTATCATGTACTACAGTAAAAAAGAAAGGGTAATGGCATGTCAAGAATAGTCTAGAATCCAAGAGATTAAGCAAAAATAAAATATTGCAGGCACAGAGTTTGTCACTGTTTTTGTCTCAGAGAAGATTTGGGGAGGATGTGAAATATGTAGAGATGCATACTTGAACATAAACACAGAATCAGGGTCAAAGGAGATTAGAAAATGTTCCATTCCCATCCATTTTAATTAACACCTAAAGAATAATTTTATTATAATGCAAATTTCCTCTCTCATGGCTGTCATCGGTTCAAACTCAATTTGTTAAAATCTTCAAACACTATAAAGAGGCAAAATACAAGTACTGAAGAGATTAAGGTGCATGGTTCTCTGATACTACAGATGAAAAAAATGCCATTTAGAAAAGTATACAGAGACAATAACATGTATATTATTTCCTATTTTATCTAAATTATCTTTAATGAAAATAGGTTATCAAAGTAAGTGAATCTGTTTTAAAATATTTGCATTTTAATTAGTTAAGAAGGAGTGAAAAAGTGCCATATAAGATTTTACCGTAGTCTCTGGATATTGGAGGCAACACCAGAAAGGCGATAGATTCCATCCACGATGCCATATCTCTCAATGAATGCTGTGCAGCTTTGAAGAACCTGCGGCACTAAAGAGAATTTGTAAAGAAACAGATGAAATTGTAGTATTCACTGGAACCAAAGTTGCCAAAAAATAAGATTGTCTTAGTTTACAAAAGTAAAATAAAATTTGTAAATTAAAGTTAAAAGGAGCAAAAATTAATCCACTACAAAAAATGATGAGGGTATATTTATTTAATTGCCCACCTAAATTAGATAACTAATTCCTGAATAATCAAGACTGGTTCTATGTCATGATATTTAAGTGAGTAAGAGAGTTCATACATTATTAGGACAGTCTTTCTTCTGCAGTAGACTCATTTAGATCATGTTACAGTTACACATTACAGCAAAGTGAACTGTTTAGTCCTAACACCATGCCAGATTTTTAAGAAATACAGCTGTTCAGCTGACTTTCATATATAGCAAATGAATATATAAAGTTAAATGCTTGTCCCAACAACATAATTACTTGTAAGTGCTACAAAGTTTTGCTTCTAGAAAAGGATCTTCTATATTTTCATAGTTAATGCAAATTCTGACTTTATTCAATCAACAAAACACCAATATAATGCAAAGCCCAAGGCAATTTCAAACAGATGGAATCTTGTAATTTCCTGGCCATATTTACATTAACTTTATTGACATTTTGACTTTATATTATCAGCTTGTAATACAGGGCACTCTCTCTGGTTAGCTCTATGAATATACACTGGACAGCTATGCTGGGGCATGCAGTATAAAACAGAATTTTCAAAATATATGATAAAGCATTTTATAACCATTCAAACATTTACAGCAGCTGAGAATTTAACAATAGTTGTTTTGCAATGCAGATTGATGAGTTTACAGACTTTAGTATGATCATTTGATAGGGTTAATTAAAATCCTTGAAAAGAAATGCTTGGAAAATTTGGTCTGCAAAGAGCTACTATACTAGAGATGAAACATTCAGAGTGGCAAATGAAACAAATAAGGCATTTTAATAAGATAATTTTAGTGAATGTATTTCATTAACAGTATATTGTCATTCCTTTATTATTATAACCAACTTTTCCTTGGTTTTCCTGACTTTTATTGTCCTTCATGCAATCCATCTTTAAATTCTGTCAGATCCTATAACAACATTTAAAACTTAACCTCATCTTTGATTAAAAAAATCAAAAAACAAAAACCAGCAGCTGATAGTATTAAGTACTAAATATATGCCAGGCTAAGTACTTTACAATGCATACTCTCTGATTTTCAGAGATATCCTACAAGGAAAGTACTATATATTCCCAATTTTTACAGAGAAGAAATTGTATCTTAGAGAGAGTAAGTTTTACCCAAGGGCAGGCAGGAAACACTGGCAGAAGTGAGAGATTCCAACTCAGGCAGTCCAAGTACAGAGCCAATGCTTTTGTTTTGTTTTTTATTTCACACACACACACACACACACACACACACACACACACACATACATATATCTTTTTTTATTATACTTTAAGTTCTGGGGTACATGTGCAGAATGTGCAGTTTTGTTACGTAAGTATACACATGCCATGGTGGTTTGCTGCACCCATCAACCCATCATCTACATTGAGTATTTCTCCTAATGTTATCCCTCCCCTAGCCCCCCAACCCCCCGAGAGGCCCTGGTGTGTGATGTTCCCCTCCCTATTCCATGTGTTCTCATTGTTCAACTCCCACTTATGAGTGAGAACATGTGGTGTTTGGTTTTCTGTTCTTGTGATAGTTTGCTGAGAATGATGGCTTCCAACTTCATCCATGTCCCTGCAAAGGACATGAACTCATCCTTTTTTATGGCTGCATAGTATTCCATGGTATATATGTGCCACATTTTTCTTTATCCAGTCAGAGCCAATGCTTTTGACTACTGCAATATACTGCCTGGCAGAGAAGGCCTTTCATAATTTACATTTAATTATTATTGTATTTCCATATTCCACAACCCTAGGCCAAGTGAAGTGTTACCTTTTGCCATACAAACCAACCATGCTATGACTTCTTCACAAAACAATTTCCTCTAGCTGGACTCTCTCCCATAACGCTCTTCGTATAGAAAAAATTCTTGGCTATTGTTCAAAATCCAGGTAAACTATCACTCTTTAGCGAGCCTTCATTGAATACCCACAAGTAGAGGTGGCTGAGCACTGTGTTCTATGTGCTCATAGAAAAATATTTCAAAATTATCATTTATTTGTTCATACAACTATTACCCTTTTCTGACTGTGGGCTCTTCAAGAGCAAAACCATGCATCGTCCATCTTTGTATATTTAAAACTCAGGAACACCGTCCTGACACAATGTATAAAATTAGCAAGTGAATTAATTTACCAGTGCCCTGAGAGCCTGAAATGGTCATTATCTGGTCAAGTTAGCAGGGAAGGAACCTTAGTTTTCATATGAATACATTTTCAACTACATGCTTTCTACCTCTAAAAATATTCAAGACTTTCAGTAACAAGAAAAGGTTATGGTTATGTAGTAAAGATGAAGGGCAGGTAGAATTGCTGGGTACTTCTTGTGGATTTAATTGATATTAGAAGCAACCTCTGTGTCGAAATGATATGCAAAATACATAGCATCTTTATAAAAGCTTGGGTTCTATTTCTCACATTGTCCCACCAATGATAAACTTGGTGTCTTAGGTTTCAATTCTAAAAACTGGAAGTGGAATAATAAAATTTGGGGCTACAAAATTTCAGTCTTCTGCTTCAAAGGGAATGTATTTAGAGATTACTGGGATAATTAACATCATTACTTAGGAAAATAGTTAAAATTCTTTCCTGTAAAGCACTGAGAAGATGCTTCTCATTATATATGCTCCAAATGAGCATGCTGATTCACCCAGGTACACAAAAGGTTTGTCTTCAAGAAAAACCCTTCAGAGCACAGTATTTTATTTCCATATTATCAGGCTCTCCGAGCACACATAAATTTTTCATAAAAATAAGCTACCATTTATAAAAAAAAGTATCGGTAATTTTCATTGGATGTGTATATCTGTGTGTTATTAGATTCATATCTGTTTATTCTTCCAAATAAGTAGGAAAACATTGAAAATATGGAGAATTAGAGGTCTTTTCCTGATAATATGTCCAAGTCTCTACACACGTAATACTTCATGGCAAGCATCTGAATCGTTTTCTTATATTTTGTGTTCCCTGAGTAGAAGGACTGAATGTCTACACAAAAATCACATAATGAGCTTAATAAATAAAATTACATAACTATTACTTATAAGTTTAAGGGAAACAAATGAGTCATTTAATACAAATAGGTGGCAAAATGAAAGAAAAGCATAAACTTGAATCTTGAAGAAAAGGAGCAAAAACTGAAAAACAATGTCAGAAGAAAAAAGAAGAAAAGATCTGTTTTATTTTTTCACGAAAGAGTAGGAAAGCAATATAAGAAATCCAATATATTTTGTAAAAAAAATCCTAGTTTTAAAAAAAGGCTATTTACTAGCTACCCCCAAACCATCTAACAAACCAGCCAAATGCACAGCGAATAATGACCCAGTCAAAATATAACATTAGAAACCTCCAAAATGCTTCCTCCAAAAGACGGTATGACTTTCAGAATCATTCCCACATTCTCCACATAATACACTTCTGATTTACTTTGATTTTACATTCTTAGTTTTTAAAATATCATCATACGACAACAGAATAAGAAGTACATATTTAAATTAAAATCGATGATCCTTTAGATTAGAATATGGCTAAAAGAAGTAGGAAGTAAGTATGACAAGAATTGATCTTTGATTTTTTTTTCTTGACAGTTTTGGTTTCGTTTCTGCTCTTTTCTCTTCATTCATTCACTCGCTCACTCACTCATCAATCATGTATTTATTAAGTCTCTTCTATTTTCCAGGCATCATGAAAGCATTACAGATACAGACGAAAAAGCTGAGTTCCAGTTTCAGGGAGATGGTTTCCAGGCTAAAGGGACATGAGTACAGTGTGACTTATTAGAATGTGCATCATGATTCTACCTAATATGACTACCAAAAGGATTAATTTCTGGTGTTATCTGGGCCTTGCTTTTTCCTACTGTGCTCTCATTTAAAGTTTTGTGCATATCATACAACACAGAAATATGTTCAGGCAACAGAGAGTCCTCTCCGAGGGTTTCAAAATATTTGTAATATTTTGTACCAAACATAATTTTACCTAGTTTTCTATAAAACTCTCACTATTTTGTTTTAGTGATCTCAATTCAAACTTTTAATGAAATTCAGTTTTAAATATGTACACCAAAAAAAAATACTAACTCTTATGAAAAAAATCAATGATACCAGAAAAAGAAATTAACGTCACATCACCACCACCACCACCACCACCAACAACAACACAACATTTTAAAGCTATAGATAAGGATGCCAAAGTAGGCTGCGGGCAGTGGCTCATGCCTGCAATCCCAGCACTTTGGGAGGCTGAGACAGGTAGATCACCTGAGGTCAGGAGTTCAAGACCAGCCTGGCCAATATGGTGAAACCCTGTCTCTACCAAAAAATACAGGAAAAAAAAAAATTAGCCAGGCATGGTGGTGGGCGCCTGTAATCCCAGCTACTCAGGAGGCTGAGGCAGGAGAATTGCTTGAACCTGGGAGGTGGAGGTTGCAGTGAGCCGAGATTGTGCCATTACACTCCAGCCTGGGCAACAAGAGCAAAACTCCGTATCAAAACAAAACAAAACAAAAGGATGCCAAAGTAAATGACAAATCAGTATAATCTATGCTCAAAAAAAGTACTATGTGGGCAGATTTTTATTTACTTCTTTTGTGGGCAGATTTTTAAACAATCAGTTCTACAAATAACTGTGATATAATGTTTAATACACTCAATTATAAACACCGGTTTGTGATAGCTAAAACTCTATGATAATCCTGATTGAACAGCAGGGACCACACATAAAAGAATAAAAAGACAACTGCCTTGTCAGGCTCCTATGTGATTTCTTACAACACTTTGTACAGAAGACACAGGTCAAGTTTGTCACTTGCTCCAACAGAGAGGTACTCAGAAGTTTAGAAAGTATAATAAGATAATCTCCCTATAAAGCTGATTTTTCACTAGGAAATATTCAGAGAATTAACCATTTAGCAAAACAAAATTTAAAAAAAATTTTTATTTTATATGGAATGCTTCACGAATTTGTGTGTCATTTTTGTGCAGGGGTCACACTTATCTCTGTATTGTTCAAATTTTAGTATATGTGCTGTCGAAGCAAGCACATAAAACGTAATTTTGATACGAGCTTCCTTCTCAGAAAAATCTAGTGCAAGGTTAATTTTATTTAGGGTAAAGACACTATATTAAAGTCTAAACTTTGAGAAAGAACAATTATATATGATATATATCAATATTATATATACTGTATGTGTCTCATCTCTCCTCACAATTATGTATATAATATATAATCATTTTTTCTTCATTTTATTCTAATTATTTTAGAGTTTAAAATATATAATCAATTCTCATTGTTTTAATTTAGACTTTAAAATAGTCTCTATATATATTTGTATGTGTAAATATATACACACATATGATATAACTGTGGTTATAGGTCATGGACAATACATATGAAGTCTTTTTTTTTTTTGGAGATAGGGTCTCATTCTGTTGCCTAGGCTGGAGTGCTATGGTGTGATCATGGCTCACTGTATCCTGGACCTCCTGGGCTCATGAGATCCTCCCACCTCAACCTCTCAAGGAGCTGGAACCACATGCACGTGCCACCATGCCCAGCTAATTTTTTAAAATTTTTTGTAGAGACACTGTCCCTACAAAAAAATCAATGACAAAAAATCAATGATACCAAAAAACTCTGTTCCACTCAAATAGATTTTATCATAATTAGGGAACAGATGAACACTGTAGTTTAACCTGCTATTTTTCAGAAAGAAGTGATATAATAGCCTCTGTCCTCCCCTATCATCCTTATGAAGAATGGAAACATAACTGAAACTTCTAAGTACAACTAAAATTGAATTGATATTTGAAAGCTAATGAGCATGGCAGGACAAATTGGAAAACTCTCTTTCATTTTTTTTTCTTTTTTTTTTGAGATGGAGTCTCGCTCTTGTTGCCCAGACTGGAGTGCAATAGCATGATCTTGGCTCACTGCAACCTCCAGCTCCCAGGTTCAAGCAATTCTCCTGCCTCAGCCTCCTGAGTAGCTAGGATTACAGGCATGCACCACCACACCCGGCCACTTTTTGTATTTTTAGTAGAGACAGGGTTTCACCATATTGGGCAGGCTGGTCTTGAACTCCTGACCTCAGGTGATCCACCTGTCTCGGCCTCCCAAAGTGCTGGGATTACAGGCATGAGCCACCCTGCTGGGCCTCTCTTTCATATTAATGATCACATCTAAGCAAGGTTTAACATGTTACATGGTGTTAAACGTGCCATGTTGCCCAGGCTGGTCTCAAACCCCTAGGCTCAGGTGCTCTTCCCTTCTAGGCTTCCCAAAGAGCTAAGATTACAGGCATGAGCCACCACACCCAGCCCCCTATGAAGTCTTAAAATCTGAAAAAACTGAAATTCCTCACATATTCATTAAATCAAAGACAAACTACTAAATCACTCAGCTATTAAAAAACCATTTTATTTCCTAATTTTTAGTTAATAAACTTCAAAGGTTTCCCTTCTCCTGCTAATTTAGGCTTCATTTGAATGTTCAAATGAATATCCTTCTTATGAATATTTATTCATTTCTTACCAACCCTGATGAAACAGGAAATTATTTTAATATGCCAAGTATAATATATCTGGCCTTGGTCTTTGAGGTTTCTAGCTCCTAAAGTTTACTGAATTTCAATTACACTTTAAGGTCACAAGTTAATTTTTTTTCTAGTCATTTGAGTTTAACTTGGCAAAGAGGGATTAATCTTCCAGGATTATTAAATTCATTTCTAATATTCCTCTAATTTTTTTAATTGAAAAAGCAAGACAACTAAGAAAAAAAAATCTCAACAATATTCTCTAATACTTTAATTATATTCATTTCTCATATCACCTAAGTATCCAGACTTTCAAAAGTTGTATCTACCATTTATAGATAATATTTTTCAGGTTCCTACACTGTATTCAAACTTATTTTATTTATTTATTTAGAGACAGGGTTTTGCCTTGTTGCCCAGGCTGGAATGCAGTGGCAAGATGATAGCTTACTGTAGTCTCCAACTCCTGGGGTCCAGCAATCCCCCGACCTCAGCCTCCAAACTAGCTAGAAGTATGGGTGTGTGCCACCATGCCCAGCTCGTTTTGTATTTTTTTCTGTATAAATGGGGTTTTGCTATATGCTGCCCAGGCTGGTGTAAACTCCTGGCCTCCAGCGATCCTCCTACCTTGGCCTCCCAAAATACTAGGATTACAAGCATAAGCCATCTCACACAGCTCAAACTTAAAATTTTTAACAGCTTCAACATTTATAGAACATTCCCCTGTATGGGTGTGGTGGCTCACGCCTGTAATCCCAGCACTTTGGGAGGCCAAGGTGGGTGGATTGCTTGAGTCCAGGAGTTCGAGATCAGCCTGGCCAACATGGCAAAATCCCACCTCTACAAAAAATACAAAAATTAGCTGGGTGTGGTGGTGCATGCCTATAGTCCCAGCTATTCAGGAAGCTGAGGCAGGAGGACAGCTTGAGCCCAGGAGGCAGAGGTTGCAGTGAGCTGCGATTGGGCCACTGCACTCCAGCCTGGATGACAGAGTGAAACCCCATCTCAAAAAAGAACATTCTCCCAAAGTTGGGTATTTCGTTTTCTTTGTTCTCATACATTATGCTATGATGAACACTTTTATTTCTATTTAATTATAACATTAAGATAAGTCCCTAAGGATGGATTCATTAGATGAAAGGAACACTATAAAGTGTCTTGCTATGAAATGTCAAATGTTTTCCAAAAAGGTAGTGCTAACTCAGAACCTTCTGAAACCAACGATTCTGAACCTATTGGTAAAAATCACTACTATATTTATGGCACTGGATATCATAATTTAGAAAAATAGCTTTGTTATTTTAATATTTACCAAAGTAAAATGGTATTTCAAAATCGCCTAAAGATACATTTCCATGATTACAAATAAGGATAAACATTTTTCTGTATTTTGTTTATTATTTATAGCCCTGTGACAGTTTAATGTTTGTATCTATTCTCCATTCTTTTACTCAGTAATTAAAATTACTTTAATTTTCTAAAAAGTCTGAAATGATATTCTCATACACTGTAATAGCAGCATTTCATCATATCCAAAAAATGATTATATTTCCTTGTCTATGGTACCTCTCCCTCTACACTGTTATTTTTCATTATATGAAAAGTATATATATATTTAAGTCATCTCTTCATGTTTTTTGTTTAAATCTGAGAAAGCTATTATTTATTTTATCTCAAAACAAAATCAATTCACATTGGCAATTTTGTAAGTTTAAAATGGTTAACTTATACATTTGAAGTTTATATTCAGTATGATGAAGTGTGAATTTTTTTCAAAACTGCTATTTAATTATCTCAGTATGTATTATAAATAGCTCTTCCATGTGACATGGTTCTAAAACCATACTTTTTTCTCACAATGGATTCTTATGTACAGTAAGAACTATTTCTGAACACTGTAAGCTGTTTCACTCACATTTCATTCTCAGCACAAAACTCTGCCTTTAAAAAGAAAATTTTTTTTTTTTGGAGACAAGGTCTTGCTCCGTCGCCCAGGCTGGAGTGCAGTGGCGTGAAATCAGCTTACCGACCCCCACCTCCCAAGCTCAGATGATTCTCCCACCTTGGCCTCTCAAGTAACTGGGATTACAGGTGCGTACTACTATGCTGGCTAATTTCTGTATTTTTCGTAGAGACCAGGTCTTGCCATGTTGTGTAGGCTGATCTCGAACTCCTAGGCGCAAGCTATCTGCCTGCCTCAGACTCCCAAAGTGCTGGGATTGCAGACGTGAGCTACTGCACCCAGTGAAAACTCTGCTTTTCTAGTTTTGAATATTGTTTTAATATATAGTAAAACTAGATGTCTCCCATCCTATTACTGATTTTTTTCTTTGACATTCTCACTGGTTGAGTTTTCCATGTGCATTTAGTTGCAAAAGTAATCCTCAGGGGTTTTTTTTGTTTTTGTTTTTTTAGGGATCTGCATTAAGTTGGTATTAATTTGGGAATAACATCTGTTTGAAATAACATTTTGTCTACTCTCTCAAGAAACATGGTACAGTTTGCATTAAATTCCTAAGTCCACTGATATTCTTTAAACAATGAGCAAGACCTTAATTTGAACTTGATACTATCAACTCAGTATTATTATTATTACTTTACCATTGTTTTTCACTAATGGTCTTCTCAAAAGGCACAATGGGTATTTCCCATACTAATTTGGAATTTCATAATCACCTATTTCTGGTACTTAGCAACATCACAGGTAGATCCTGCCTTCATCTTCTGGCATTTCTGAAAGAGATGCTAGAGGAAAGTGCTATTTTTAAATATAAAAGGAAAACTCCTTTTTTTCTTTCCCTCCTATCCATCCCCCCATCCAACAACTAAATTCTTGATTCATAATTTAATTTATAAAGAAAGGAATATAGATTCCTATAAAAAATAAAATACAGATTCTCTACAAAAGTAAAATGAAAAATAAAAATTAGCCAGGTGTGGTGGCACATGCCTGTAGTCCCAGTACTCTGGGAGGACTGCCTGAGCCCAGGAATTCAAGGCTGCAGTCGGCTATGATCACGCCACTGCACTCCAGCGTGGGCAACAAATCAAGGCCCTGTCTCTTTAAAAACAAAAAAAATTGGAAGATTGATTTTGGCATTTTATGTCTCAAAACTCTGACAGTTTTTTTTCCATAAGAAGAATTAGATAAATATTTTAGGATAAAATGTGGGTGGCAAAACTGGCTGAAGAAGCTATCTAGGGAGAAATAGAAACTCAGGCAAAATAACAGGGTGGTTGTAATATATTTTGTGTGAATGTCCTACTCTTCCCGAATAGAACACGAACATCTCTAATGCCAAAGTGCATTCTTAGACTTTTCATTCTCAGCTCCATCCAGAACTGAGTACCTGAGAAAGCTTAGTACATGCATTGAACTGAAATGAAACAGGTATCATTTGACTAAATCTACTCCATAATTGGTTATAGCAAACCAATATGGAGAGGTCAGAAACTCAGAGTATAAGCTTGCACATTTTATTTTTACCTTCAAAACCAGAATTTAGAAGGTGTTCCCCCAGGTCACAACCAAACACCCTCTCTTTCAAGATTCCCCGCTGCTTCAGCTTCTGTTTTGTTGGACGAGACTTCATGAATGTTCGTAAGAACGTAATGAGCTTGCCGTGCTTTTTAGACACTAAAAATCAATAAAGAGAAAAGATCTTAGTTGTGGCAAGAGGTTACATTTTACTTAGCATAAAAACAAACATATCTCAAGAGGCTGACAGCAAAATAATCTATTATGAATATACTTTATAATCTTTAGGAAAATGTCAGTACAAGTTTAAGCTAAGAGTTGTGTTATAAATAACATCATAATTTTGTACTTTCTTTTTGTTGCAGGAAGTCAGGGACCTTGAATGGAGGGACTGGCTGAAGCCATGGCAGAAGAACATAAATTGTGAAGATTTCATGGGCATTTATTAGTTCCCCAAATTAATACTTTTATAATTTCTTATGCCTGTCTTTACTGCAATCTCTGAACGTAAATTGTGAAGATTTCGTGGACATTTATCACTTCCCCAATCAATACTCTTGTGGTTTCCTATGCCTGTCTTTAATCTCTTAATCCCATCATCTTTGTAAACTGAGGATGTATGTCACCTCAGGACCCTGTGATGATTGTGTTAACTGCACAAATTGTTTGTAAAACATGTGTGTATGAACAATATGAAATCTGGGCATCCAAAAAGAACAGGATAACTGCAATTTTCAGGGAACAAGGGAGATAACCATAAGGCCTGACTGCCTGTGGGGCCGGGCAGAACAGAGTCATATTTCTCTTCTTGCAAAAGCGAATAGGAGAAATATCGCTGAATTCTTTTTCTCAGCAAGGAACAGCCCTGGGAAAGAGAATGCATTCCCAGGGGGAGGTCTCTAACATGGCCGCTCTGGGAGTGTCTGTCTTATGCAGTTGTAGATAAGGGATGAAATACGCCCTGGTCTCCTGCGGTGCCCCCAGGCTTACTAGGATTAGGAAATTCCTGCCTAGTAAATTTTAGTCAGACCGGTTCCCTGCTCTTGAACCCTGTTTCCTGTTAAAATGTTTATCAATGACAATGCATGCACAGCGGGACATGAAATTTTATCAGCAATTCTAATTTCGCCCTGGTCCTGTGATCTCGCTCTGCCCCCATTTGCCTTGTGATGTTTTATTGCCTTGTGAAGCATGTGATCTCTGTGACCCACACCCTATTCGTAAACACCCTCCCCTTTGAAAATTGCTAATAAAAACTTGCTGGTTTTGCAGCTCAGGGAGCATCACGGAACCTGCCGACATGTGATGTCTCCCCCAGACACCCAGCTTTAAAATTTGTCTCTTTTGTACTCTTTACCTTTATTTCTTAGACCAGCCGACACTTTGGGAAAATAGAAAAGAACCTACATTAAAATACTGGGGGCTGGTTCCCCCGATATCTTCTCACCACCTTACCTTATGAGACTGTCAGCAAATTTAAATGTTGTAACCCATGACGTTTGAATCAAGCTTGGTAAACCAGTCATCTTCCCAATGCATACTTAAGGATGTTACAGGATTATAAGAGGAACCTGAGTTTTACTGTAATATATTACTTTGGAGATCTTTATAATAAGTAAGACTTAAAATGGTGTAAAAGCGGTTTGCATTTCTTGTCAATTTTTAAATTATTTTACTTGATGGTTAGAAATTTTCGTAGCACTTGTAATCTGTTGAATATAACTGAAAAAAGAAAACTCTTTCTCATTTTGCAAAGAGGACAATCCCATAATGACACAGAACACACTTGTCAACCTAATGGCTATATAAATACAAAACACACACCCACACAAGCATCAGATAGTCCATTAACATTCGTCTATAATATACTAAGTACATCATCTTAAATCCTTTATAGATCAAGGAAAAAGGTGAGTAAATTAATATTTGAAAAAATAATTCCACCGACTGATACATTAGAAAGACAACTAAAAAAACTGAAAGTAAATCCCTTAAAAATGACTTTTGCTGAGAAGTGCAGCTTATAGGGATAATTATGCTAAAAGTCAACATACAACAATATCATGAGCTCAAAGATTAGCTGTTAGATAGAAGACTAAGCCAGATGGCCTAAATCCCCCTACTAAGTTTGCAGATGATTACTGAGAGTCTTACTGAAGCCTACTATACATTTAAAAAAATTTTCATGGGTACACAGTAGGTATATATATTTATGGGTACGTATTTTGATACAAGCATGCAATGTGTAATAATCACACCAGGGTAAATGGGGTATCCATCCCATCAAGCATTTATCCTTTGTGTTGCAAAAAGTCCAATTATAGTATTTTAGTTATTTTTTAATGTACGTTTAAATTATTTTTGACTGTAGTCAGCCTGTTGTGCTATCAAATGCTAGGTCTTACTCATTCTTTCTATTTTTTGTACCCATTAACCATCCCTATTCCCCACCCCCCCACCATTGGCTTATTACCCTTTCTGGCCTCTGGTAACCATCCTTCTACTCTCTGTCTCCATGATTTCAACTGTTTGGATTTTCAGATCCCACAAATAAGTGAGAATGTACAAAGTTTATCTTTCTGTGCTTGGCTTATTTCACTTAATATAATGGTGTCCAGTTCCATCCATGTTGTTGCAAATGACTGAATCTCATTATTTTTTTATGGCTGAATACTACCCCATTGTGTATATGTACCACATTTTCTTTATCCATTCATCTGCTGATGAACACTTAGGCTGCTTACAAATCTTGGCTATTGTGAGCAGGGATACAACAAACATGGGAGTGCAGATATCTCTTCTATATACGAATTTCCTTTCTTTTGGGTATATACCCAGCAGTAGGACTGCTGTATTGTATAGTAGTTCTATTTTTAGTTTTTTGAGGACCCTCAAACTATTCTCTATAGTGGCTGTACTAATTTACATTCCCACCAACAGTGTAAAAGGGTTCCCTTTTCTCCACATTTGTTACTGCCTGTCTTTTGGATAAAAGCCATTTTAACTAGAGTGAGGTAACATCTCATTGTAGTTTTAATTTGCATTTCTCTGATGATCAATGATGTTCAGTATCTTTTATACACCTACTTGCCATTTGTATGCCTTCTTTTAAGAAATGGCTATTTGGATCTTTTGCCCATTTGTTAATCAAATTATTATTTTCCTTTGAGTTGTATGAGCTACTTATATATTCCAGTTATTCATCCTTTGTCAGATGGGTAGTTTGCAAATATTTTCTCCCATTCTGTGGGTTGTCTTTTCACTTTACTGATTGTTTCTTTTGCTGTGCAGAAGCTTTTAAACTTGATGTGATCCCACTGTCCATTTTTGCCTTGGTTGCCCATGCTCGTCTGGTGTTACTCAACAAATCTTTGCCCCCTCTAATTGTCCTGGAGATTTTTCCCATTTTTTTTTAGTAGTTTTATAGTTTGAGGTCTTAGATTTAAGTCTTCAATCCATTTGGACTTAATTTTTATATAAGGTGAGAAAGAGGGGTCTAGTTTCATTCTTCTGCACATGGATATCCAGTTTTCCCAGCACTATTTATTGAAGAGACTGTTATTTCCCCAATGTATGCTCTTGGCACCTTTGATAAAAATGAGTTCACTGTAGGTGTGTGGATTTGTTTCTGGGTTCTCTATTCTGTTCCGTTGGTCCATGTGTCTGTTTTTATGTCATGCTGTTTTGGTTATTGTAACTCTGTAATATAATCTGAAGTCAGGTAATGTGATTCCTCCAGTTTTGTTCTTTTAGCTTAGGATTGCTATGGCTATTATTTAGTTCCATATAAATTTTAGTATATTTTTTTCTATTCCTGTGAAGTATGTCATTGGTATTTTGATAGGAATTGCACTAAATCTGTAGTTTGGTCTGGGTAATATGGACATTTTTAACAATATGGACTCTCCGAATCCATGAACGTGGAATACCTTTCCATTTATTTGTGTTCTCTTCCATTTCTTGCATCAGTGTTTTATAGTTTTCATCATAAAGATCTTGCATTTCTTTGGTTAATTCCTAGGTATTTTATTTTATTTGTAGCTACTATAAATGGGATTGCTTTCTTGATTTCTTTTTCAGATTGTTCACTGTTGGGATACAGAAATGCTACTGATTTTTTCATGTTAATTTTGTATTTGCCACTTTACTGAATTTGTTTTATCAGTTCAAATAGTTTTTTGGTGGAGTATTTAGGATCTCCAAATATAAGATCATATTATCTGCAAACAAGGATAATTTGGCTGCTGCTTCTTCAATTTGAGTGCCCTTTATTTCTTTCTCTTTTCTGATTGCTCTAGCCAGAACTTCCAATACTATGTTAAAGAAGAGTGGTAAAAGTGGGCATCCTTGTCATGTTCCTGATGTTAAAAGACTTCCAAATTTTCTCCATTCAGTAAGATGCTAGCTATGGGTCTGTAGTATATGGCTTTTATTATGCTGACACATGTTCCTTCTATATATATTTTTTGAGGGGTTTTATCATGAAGGGATGTTGATTTTTTTTTTTTTTTTTTTTTGAGACGGAGTCTCGCTCTGTCACCCAGGCTGGAGTGCAGTGGCGCGATCTCGGCTCACTGCAAGCTCCGCCTCCCGGGTTCACGCCATTCTCCTGCCTCAGCCTCCCGAGTAGCTGGGACTACAGGCACCCGCCACTACGCCCGGCTAACTTTTTGTATTTTTAGTAGAGACGGGGTTTCACCTTGGTCTCGATCTCCTGACCTCGTGATCTGCCCGCCTCGGCCTCCCAAAGTGCTGGGATTACAGGCGTGAGCCACCGTGCCCGGCCAAGGGATGTTGAATTTTTATTAAATGCTTTTTCAGCATTAATTGAAATGTTCATATGGTATTGTCCTTCATTCTGTTGATATGATGTATCGCATGTATTGATTTATGTATGTTGAACTATCCTTGCATCCCTGGGATAAATCCCACTTGGCCATGATGAATGACCTTGTTAATGTGTTATTGAATTCAGTTTGCTAGTATTTTGAGAATTTTTTGCATCAATATTCATCAGTGATATTGGCCTGTAGTTTTCTTTTTTTGATGTGTCATTTGTTTTGGTATCAGTGTAATATTGGCTTTGTAGAATTCGTTTGGAAGTACTCTCTCCTCTATTTTCTGAATAGTTAGAGTACAATTGGTACTTGTTCTTCTTTGATTAAATGTTTGGTAAAATTCAGCAGTTAAGCCATTGAGTCCTGGGCTTTTCTTTGCTGGGAGACTTTTTATTATAATTTTGATCTCATTATTTGTTATTGGTCTGTTCAGGTTTTGGATTTCTTCATGGTTTGATCTTGGTAGGCTGAACATGTCTAGGAGTTTATCCACTTATTCTAGATTTTCCAATTTACTGGCATATAGTTGCTCATAATAGCCACTAATGATCCCTTGAATTTCTGCAGTGTCAGTTGCAATGTCTCCTTTTTCATATCTGATTTTCTTTATTTGGGTCTTCTTTTTTTTTCCTTAGTCTGGCTAAAGGTTTGTCAATTTTGTTTAACTTTTCAAAAAATCAACTTTTTCTTTTGTTGATCTTTGTTGTTTTATTTTCAGTTTAACTTGTATCTGCCCTGATCTTTCATTATTGCTTTTTCTTCTACTAATTTGGGTTTGGTTTATTCTTGCTTTTCTAATTCTTTAAAATACATTGCTAGGGTGTTTTTCTTGTTTCTCATGTAGGTACTTATAGCTATAAATTTCCCTCTTAGTACAGCTTTTATTGTATCCCATAGGTTTTGGTATGTTGTTTCTGTAATCATTTGTTTCCAGAAATTTTTTCAATTTCCTTCTTAATCTCTTCATTGACTCACCGTCTTTCAGGAGTATATTATTTAATTTCCATGTGTTTGTATAGTTTCCAAAATTCCTTGTTACTGATTTCTAATTTTAGTCTGTTGTGGCCAGAGATGCCTGATATCACTTCAATGCTTTCCTTTTTTTTTTTTTTTTTTTTGAATACTTTCAGATTTGTGTGACCTAACATGTGGTCTATCCTTGAGAATAATCCACATGCTGAGGAGAAGAATATGTATTCTGCAGCTGTTGGATGAAGTGTCCTGTAAATATTTATTAGGTCTATTTAGTCTATAGTGCAGATTAGGTCCTATGTTGATTTTCTGTCTGGAAGATCTGTACAATGCTGAAAGTGGGATGCTGAAGTCTCCAGCTATTATTGTATTGGGATCTATCTCTCTCTTTAGCTCTAACAATATTTGCTTGATATTTCTGGGTGCTCTAGTGTTGGGTGCATATATATTTACAGTTGTTATATCTTTTGGCTAAATTGACCCCTTTATTACCATATAGTGACATTCTTTGTCTCTTCTTATAGTTTTTGTCTTGAAATCTATTTTGTCTTATGTAAGTATAGCTACTCCTGCTCTTTTTTGGTTTCCATTGACATGGAATATCTTTTTCCATCCCTTTCTTTTCAGTCTCTGTGTATCTTTATAGATGAAGTGTGTTTCCTATAGGCGACAGGCCACTGGGTCTTGTTTTTTCATCCATTCAGCCACTCTATGTCTTTTATTGAAGAGTTTAGTCCATTTACATTTGATGTTATTATCGGTAAGTTCAGACTTCCTCCAACCATTTTGTTATCTGTTTACTGGTAGTTTTGTGGTCTTCTTTTCCTTCTTTCCTTCCTTCCTGTCTTCCTTTTAGTAAAGGTGATTTTCTCTGGTGGTATGATACAATTTCTTACTTTCTACTTTTTGTGTATGCATTGTATATTTTTGGATTTGAGTTTATCATGAGGCTTGCAAATACTACCTTATACTCATTTTTAAGCTGGTAACAACACTGTTTGCATAGATAAACAAGCAAAAAGAAAACTAACAGACTGTATGCTTTAACTTCATCCTCTGTTTTTAACTTTTTGTTGTTTCTATTTATATCTTATACTGTCTACATCTTGAAAAGTTCTAGTTATTATTTTTTATTGGTTTATCATTTAGTCTTCTACTTAAGAGCAGTTTACACACCACAGTTAGTGTTATAATATTCCATGTCTGTGTACTTACTATTACCAGTGAGTTTTGTATCTTCATATAATTTCTTATTGTTCATTAATGTCGTTTTCTTTCTGACTGAAGTATTCCCTTTAGCATTTCTTATAGGACAGGTCTACAAGCTGAAATTCCTCAGCTTTCATTTGTCTGGGAAAGTCTTTACTACTTCTTCATGTTTGAAGGATATTTTCACCAGATATACTACTCTAGGGCAAAGTTTTTTTCCTTTAGCACTTTAAATATGTCATGCCACTCATTCTCTCTCAATCTGTAAGGTTTCCACTGAAAAGTCTGCTGCCAGATATACTGGAGCTCCATTGTATGTTCTTTTTTCTTGCTGCTATTAGTATCCTTTCTTTATCCTTGACCTTTGGCAGTATTATTATTAAAATGTCTTGAGGTAGTCTTTTCTGGGTTAAATCTGTTTAGTGTTTTGTAAACTTCTTGTGTTTGGATAGCGATATCTTTCATTTTGGGAATTCTCTGTTACTATCTCTTTGAATAAACTTTCTACCCCTATCTCTTTCTCTGTCTCCTCTTTAAGGCCAGTAACTTAGATATGCCCAATTGAGACTATTTTCTAGATCTTATAGGCATGCTTAATTCGTTTTCCTTTTGTCTCCTTTGTGTATTTTCAGCCTGTCTTCAAGCTTACTAATCTTTCTTCTGCTTGATCAATTCTGCTATTAATATATTCTGATATATTCTTCAGTATTTCGATTGCATTTCTGAACTCCAGAACTTTTGCTAGAGTCTTCTTAATTATTTCAATCTCTTAAACATATCTGATAGAATTCTGACTTCCTTTTCTGTGTTACCTTGAATTTCTTTGAGTTTCCTCAAAATGGCTATTTCGAAGTCTCTGTCTGAAAGGTCACACACCTCTAGGGTTGGTCCCTGGTGCCTTATTTACTTCATTTGGTGGGGTCACGTTTTCCTGGATGGTCTTGATGCTTGTGGATGTTTGTCAGTGTCTGAGCATTGAAGAGTCAGGTATTTATTGTAGTCTTCAGTCTGGGCTTGTTTGTACCTGTCCTTCTTAGGAAAGTTTTCCAGGTATTCAAAAGAAGTTGGGTGTTGTGATCTGCATCACAATGCAAGCTGTATCTGCATTAGTGGACACCCCAATTCAATAATGCTGTAGTTCCTGCAGATTTGTAGAGGTACTGCCTTGGTGGTCTTCGATAAGATCCAGAAGCATTCTCTGGATTACCGGTCAGAGACTTTTGTTTTCTTCTCTTACTTTCTCCCAAATAAACAAAGTCTCTCTCTGTCTCTGTGATAAGCTACCTGGAGCTGGGGTGAAACAAGCACCCCTGTGGCCACCACCACTGGGACGGCACTGGGTCAAACCCAAAGCCAGCACAGCACTGGGTCTTGCCCAAAGCCCACTGTAACTGCTACCTGGCTACTGCCTGTGTTTGTTCAAGGACCTAGGACTGTATAATCAGCAGGTGGTAAAGCCAGCCAAGCTGTGTTGTTCCTTTCAAGGCAGTGAGTTCCCCCAGGCCCTAGGTGGGTCCAGAGATGTTGTCCAGGAGCCAGGGACTGCAGTCAAAAGCTTCAGAAATCTACCTGTTGTTCTACTATATTGCAGCTGAGCTGGCACTCAAACCATGAGACACAGTCTTTCCTACTCTTCTCTCCCCTTTCCATAGGCAGAGGAGCCCCATCCCATGGCCACCACCACCACAGGGCCACAGGGAGTACTGCCAGGTTACCATTGATGTTCACTTAAGGCCCAAAGGCTCTTGTCAGCTTGTGGCGAATGCTGCCAGGCCTGGAACTTATCCTTCACGGCAGTGGGCTCCCCTCTGGCCCAGGGCGGGTCTAGAAATGCTGACCAAGAGCCAAGGCCTAGAATCAGAGTCCCCAAGAGTCTGCATGGTGCCCTATCCCACTGTGGCCAAGCTGGTACCTAAGGTGCAAGACAAAGTCCCCTTTACTTTTCCCAAGCAGAAGGAGTCTTTCACCATAGCCACCACAGCTAGGAATAAGCTGGCTTTCACTTGAAGCCAGCATATCTCAGAGTCTCACCCATGGCCCATGGCATACTACCCAGGTATCACTGCTGGTTATTCAGGGTCCGAGGGCTTGTTAGTCTGCAGGTGATGAGGCCTGCTAAGACTGAGTCCTTCCCTTGAAGGCAGTGGGTTCCCTTCTGGCCCCAGGTGTATCTAGAAATGTGGTCCAGGAGCTAGGCTAGAATGGGGGCCTCACAACTCTCACCAGTGCCCTTTCCTACCATGGCTGAGCTGGTATCCAAGATGCAAGACAAAGTCCTCTTTAATTTTCCTTCTTCTCTTCCCAAGCAGAAAGAAGGGATCTGTTTTGGAGTCACAAACCGTCCTGCCTAGGGTAAGGGGAGAGGTGGCACAAGCACTCCCTTAGCCACCCTGGCTGGTGTCTCAGTAGGTCATGTGCCCCTCAAGTCCATTGGCTCTGGGCCCAGTTCAGCATTAAGACTTGCCTAGGAGTTGCAGTCCTTGCGGCCTAGACTGCTTTTCAAATTTATTCAAGGCCCCAGAGCACTTTAGCTTGCAGTGGTGAGGCTTGTTGCAGCTAAGTTCTGACGGCTGGGACAGATTTCCCCTCTGTCTAGGGCTGTCTAAATGGCCCCTCCATGGGTAGGCATCACCTAAGTTCAAGCTGGTTTTGCTTTCCACTGTGACAGGGCAGCACTGGATTCAAGGCAAAGTCCCAAAATTCCTAAGTTCTCCCTCAAGAGAGAGCACAGATTCTCTCTCTGTGCCACAGGGCCACTACCAGGGGATGGGGGAGGGGGTGGCAAAGGTGATTTAAGACTGTTTTTCTTACCCTCTCTAGTGCTTCTTTCAGCAATAGGAAGGTAAAATCAGGTACTATGAGTGCTCACCTGATTTTTGGTTTCTTTGAGGGTATTTTTTTATGCGTATAGTTGTGAAATTTGGTGCTCCTCAAGGGGAAACAATCAGTGGAGCCTTTTATTTGGCCATCTTCCTTTGCCCCTCCCCTATTATACAGTAGTGAGTGAATCCAAACCTTAACATTCCTGAACAGATGAAGACTCCTGAGGGAACCTTGTGTGCCTAGAGTAACTTATGGCCTAGATAGAACACTAGATGGGCTATTCTACACAAGATTAGACATCTGCCATCCATTTCTTTTCATTTTATGGAAAACATTATTTACAGACATTAGTGTCTTTTTTATAGACTACACAAGGTGACCAACCATCCTGGTTAGTCCATGACTGACAAGTTTCCTGAGACATGGAACTTTCCAGGCTAAAACCAGTAAAAGTCTTGGACAAAGTAAAACAAAGCAGTTATTCTAGACCGTAACACAGATTAAATGAAAAAAAATTATTATTTTCTATACCACCTGTTAAAACTTACTTGCAATCTCAATATAATGTTGATGCTATCTCTGACATGTATGCTCTGAAACTCTGGGTAAATTACAACCTCTGTTGTATCTGAGATTCCTCACAGTAAAATTAAATTACATGCTCACTTTTCTACTAATGAGACATTTATAGTATAGTTGGTTAACTTCAGAAGTTTGTCACATATAATATCACTATATTAAAAGTTACAGGCTGGTGTAATTATTCTCCTCTAGTTGCTAGCAGATTGTGTATTATGAATCTTTGTTATAGAGTGGCCATCAAACCATTTATGTTCATTTTTAGACATCTTCCATATGAACTTTAAAATAATTTTGACAAGATCCGCAGAAAACTAATAAGTTTGGTTTGCAACAATTTAACATTATACAATAATTTGGAAGAATTTTAATTTCTATAATATTCAATATTTCTACATGGAAAGAGTATGTCATAATTTTTCTAAATCTGTTATTATCTCTCAAAAGATTTTTCTAATTTTCCTCATAAAGGACACATTCCACATATTTCTTATTAGGAATATTGCTAGGTAACTTAATTTTTTTTTCTGCTTTAGTAGAATAACACCTTGCTTCAATTATGCCCTTAACTGGTAATTACTAGTATGCTGGAAAACAATTTTTTTTCTTCAACTTTTATTTTATGTTCTGGAGTATATGTGCAGGATGTGCAAGTCTATTATATAAACATGTGCCATGATGGTTTGCTGCACAGATCATCCAATCACCTAGGTATTAAGCCCAGTATCCATTAACTATTCTTCCTGATGCTCTCCCTCCCCGTAACTATCTCGACAAGCTCCACTGTGTGTTGTTCCCCCCATGCATCCATGTGTTCTCATTGTTCAGCTCCCACTTATAAGTGAGAACATGCAGTGTTTAGTTTTCTGTTCCTGCCTTTGTTTGCTGAGGATAATGGCTTCTAGCCCCAAACATGTCCCTGCAAAGGACATAATCTTGTTCCTTTTATGGCTGCATAGTATTCCATGATGTATATGTATCCCTTTTTTTTAATCTAGTCTATCACTGATGAGCATTTGGGTTGATTCTGTGTCTTTGCTGTTGTGAACAGTGCTGCAGTGAACGTACGGGTGCGTGTATCTTTAAAACAGAATGATTTACATTTGTTTGGGATTGCTGGGTCAAATAGTATTTCTGCTTCCAGATCTTTGAGGAACTGCCACACTGTCTTCTGCAATGGTTGAACTAATTTACATTCCCACCAACATTGTAAAAGTGCTCCTTTTTCTCTGCAACCTTGTCAGCATCTGTTGTTTCTTGACTTTTTAATAATCGCCATTCTGACTGGCGTGAGATGGTATCTCATTGTGGTTTTGATTTCTATTTCTCTAACGACCAGTGTTGTTTGTTGGCAGGATGAGTGTCTTCTTTTGAGAAGTGTCTGTTCATATCCTTTGCCCACTTTTTAATGGGGTTGTTTTTTTCTTGTAAACTTAAGTTCCCTGTAGACTCTGGATATTAGACCTTTGTCATATGGATAGACTGCAAACATTTTCTTCCATTATGTAGGCTGTCTCTTCAGTGTGATGATAGTTTCTTTTGCTGTGCTGAATCTCTTTAGTTTAATTAGATCCCATTGGTCAATTTTTGCTTTTGTTGCAATTGTTTTTGGTGTTTTCGTCATGAAATCTTTGCCCATACCTATGTCCTGAATGGTATTGCCCAGGTTTTCTTCTAGGGTTTATATAGTTTCGGGTTTTACATTTAAGTTTTTAATCCATCTTGAATTGATTTTTGTATAAGGTGTAAGGAAGGGGTCTAGTTTCAATTTTCTGCGTATGGCTAGCCAGTTCTCCCAATCCATTTATTAAATACGGAATACCTTCCCTGTTGCTTGTTTTTGTCAGGTTTGTTGAAGATCAGATGGTTGTAGGTGTGCAATCTTATTTCTGAGTTCTCTATTCTGGGAAAACAATTTCTTAATGCATAGCTCACATCTGATCATTTACTAAACTCTCAATAATTTTAGAAGGATATTAGTTGATTCTTTTGAATTTCATGGATATGTAACTGTGTCAAAGTAAATATGGCCATTCTAGCTTTTGTCTGATAGTAAAAGCTTCTGATTTCTGTTTCAGATTTTGTCCAAAACTTCCAAAATACATGTTAACAGTAGGCATTTATATTTTGATGCTGAATCTGATGAAAATAATTGTCAAATTTGGTAACTGCATATGATGTATATAAGAAAGCATTCTTTAAGTAACATATTTCTAAGAATGTTTCAAAGGAATGGAAAGTGAATATTAACTATTAATCATTTAGCAACAAATGAGTAAGTGTCTGCCATAACCTAGGAACTGCTCTAAGTCATGAGATTACGATGGGGAACAGGAGAGACAAGGTCCTTGCTGTCACAGAGCTTACTGATGGCAGACAATGAATGATTAAATAGTAATACGGATATAGCCAGCATTTACTTTACACTTAGTATGTGCAAGTAACTACCTAAGTGTTTATATTTATTAATCATTCATTTCTCACAGCCCACTATTAGGAAAATATTTATACCCATTTTTAGAGGAATAAACTGAGGCAGAGAATGCTAAGTTAATGTGCCCACTGTCACATAACCAGGATTCCGAATCAGGGCATTTAGCACAGAGTCCAAACTCTTATCCACTAAATGATACTGCCTAAATGAAGGCAACAAAGTAATATCAGATTATTTATAGTGGCTAATAAAAAAATAAACAGGGTGACGTATTAGTGACTTGAAAGAAACTGCATTAAACAGAGAGTTAAGGAACAGTTTCTCTGAGGAAGTCATATCTGAGCTGGAAGCCATGAGAGGGGTAGGGAGCCACGGGACAGTGGTATGAAATGAGGCTCAAGGGGTATGTAAAGGCTGGGAGCATAGGCCAGAATAGAGAGTTTACAAATAAACAATTTTAAACATTTCAAAACATTTTAAAACACTGGGTTCCTTTAAAAATAACCAAATATGTTTATCAGAAACCCAAAAGAGCATTAATAGGGAATTGGTTGAATAAATTATGGTACATCTGCACAGAGGATTATTGGTTGGCTTTTTTTTTATTTTTAAGGAGGATCTCTACCTACTGATAGGGAGTAATCTTCAGGATACATTAAGTCAAAAAAGCAAAGCAGAGAACAGCATATTTAGCATAAGAAAGGATGAGGAATACACACATCACACACAAATTCACCCACACAAATATGCATGTACATGTGAGCTTATTTTTGCAAAAAGAAATACTAGAAGGATAAACTAGAAGCTAATAAAAATGGGTTAAAAACAACAGGTGGGGAAAGGGTAAAGGGTAAGAATAGGATGTGAAACTTCCCTGAGTGTATCTTTTTTATATAGCTTGACTTCTGAATCATGTTAATGTTCTTTCTACATGTTCAAAACTAAATTTAAAATATTTAAAAAAGGACCACGTGCTTAGTGGGATATATTCTAAGGACCAAAAAACTCCTGCAAAGTAATATTTAACTTCATCCAACTCCTTTACTATTGGTAATAATATTGGTAACAACTTTATACATATTGTGGGACAAAACAAAGATTTTCCATGTGAGAGAAAATGAGATACAATTATAAGATCTAAAAGGTTAAGAAGAAAAACCTGTAATGTCAACTTTGACTTGGAAACATCAACATGAACTCATGATTAAAACACTCACACACTTTCCTGAAGCTCTATCCACTTTAAAAGGCTTAGAAATAATGATATATTGGTTGCAATGAAGACCTCTGGTCTCAGATCTTGGGTGCTAAATAAAATTCCTTATCAAAACAAACCCAGAATGCAAGTCAGAAGCAGGCAAAGCAGAAGATGAGAATGGAAAGCTTGTCACAGAAAGCAAGGGGATGCCCACAGCTGAGGGATCCCTGAGTCAGACTCTTGTGGACACATCTGGGACGATCCACACATCATAAAGAATGGTTATAACTGATCATAAAAGATCAAATAAATAAAAATCCTGAGTCAGTAGTAATAGTATCCAAAAGAAAGAAAGGGAAAAAGTGACCATTTTCAACACAAATGAAGGGAGAACATTTTTTAAACTGCAGCAGTAGTCTGCCATATTGAACTAGGCTTCTCAACAGTAGAGAAAAGAACACATTCATTTCCTTCACATCGATTAGCAATTTTATAACTGGAATTATATACTGACCAATAAACATACATCTTCACAATTCAGTGGTAAGTCAACGGAAACATATTTATAGTTATGATCCTCCAAACAAACTCTACTACACAATAACACCTCACTAGTCAAAAGCAGTCTGTGCACAACTGGACTTCCCAGGACATTAGGTAACTGACTCTGCTTCTTGGTTTGGCAAGTTTAGATCAGGAACAAGGAAACGTGGCTATCTTTTCCTGTTAGGGTAAAGAGTATTCATGTTTATTTTTCCTAAATAGTGACACAAGGCGCAATTAAGTAAGAGTTGCAACAGAGCATAAAATTAAGATAATGGAGGGTGTCACTGGCAACTCTGTGCCCCCATTTGGCACTCCAGGGCTCTGGGAAACTGTGCTGACATACGTGCAGCTCTGGCTTCTACTCTGAATGGCCACTTTGCATTGTCACCTTTCCACAAAACATTGCTACGTAGATTAGAACTTCACATCTAAACTGGGTGTGTGAGTGGGAGGGGTGGATATGGTCTCTTCTTGCCCATCTACATCCCAATCTGAGACACTGAAATAATGGATATTCATAATGGTGACTAGTCATAAAGTCTTACGTGATTCCAAAAGCCTTCAAAGGAAGATTAAACTATGTTCTGCATAGTTTCAGCGCTGCTGGTGATGTTATTTTAATTGGACTCCTCTTCATTGTGGTAGACAGTAAGAAGTTCTGGCATACATAATTAAATAATCAATTATTTATCAAGATAGATTAATTTCCCTGCCTTGGAGATTTAAATAAAACTATTCAATTTAATTATACTCAAATTTGAGGATCTAGTAACACTTCCAAATATAAATCTCTTAAATTAGTTTTCTTCATTTTAAACTTTCTTCCCATTTCTTAGACATTAAAGTAACCAAAAAGAGCTTATTTGGGACACAAGCACTGATCCCCACCTGTTGCTTTCCTGTTCAATATTACTAGTTACTACCTTTTGAGGAGGAAAGTATCTAATACTGTTAATTCTATCAGAAGATTTCTACTGACGAAGGCAGGATGTGGGGTTAGATGATTAAGTGCTTACAAACCCATTTCTACAGAACACTGGCAAGCAAGGCTGTGAGGATTAAGGTCCACCAAACATCCTGGATTAGAGACACTAAAATGATACCAATGGTATTTCCACAGATAAAATATATAAAAAATAAAATGCAAACAATACTTAGACAAAAGCAAACCATACTACTTTGTATTCAAATTTCCTACTTCAGAGCTAAAATACAACATGTGCCACAATGTTATTTAGACATGACACACTTTATATTTGCAATCTTTTTTTAAACCAAAGACAAACCCTACCAGGCCAGTCTTTCCAGTAGTTAAAAGCCTTTGCAGTATGACACACGACCTAGTATCTCCAAGGTAAATCTTTATGATACCAATAACCAGTTTATAGAGAGATACTAAAAAACATGCAGTTCGTTAAGCCATAGTGAACCTTGGCATGGAGAGGCAGGGCAGTGCTGTTTAATTACACCAGCGTAATACTTCCCCAGCAATCCCAACGAATTCTTGCTTGCTCATAATACTTTCTCTAAAGTTCTAGGAATTGGTTCCCAGAAATGTTCTAGACTGACTTAAGATAAATCTGGGCTTGGATTAATTTCTGAGGGTGTATAGGAAAATGGTCTGTCCCAAGATAATGGCCTCAGCAGTAAGTTTATTTGATTATATACATCAAATTTTAGGAAAGGTAAAAAATTCACAACGTCAAGGAGACAAAATTAGAATGTAGTAGTGGGAATATATTAATACCTGTGCAGATTGTTCTGATTAAACCAAAGGTATAATAAGGTATGACTGTAATGTTTAACATGTCCAGTGGATTTTTACAGATTGTATATAATATCCTGTCTTTTATTCAAAGTTCCCAAACAGATTAGATAACCACTGGGTAGAAATTTAAGTGAGGAGAATACAAATACAGGCAACTGGATTACATAATGTTTAAGGTTCTCTTATAATCTCACAAATTCTATCATTCTCAGTCTCTGTTGCATACCTTAAAGTACTTTATGTTAAACAGATATTAAAAGATTTGAATTTTAATTTAAAATTCCATAAATTGCTTTTATTTAAAGCACGACAATATATCTATTCACGCTAATGAATATGAAGAAAGAATTTTTCTCTAGACAACTATCAAATCCATTTAATGAACTAAAAATGTTCTGAAAATTCTGCTCTTCAAAAGAAAATATAACAAATGTTAAGAATTGGAAAAAAGTGCTGAAACAAAACTCCTATTGTATTATACCTAGTTTTAACCTGACTACTATTTAAAAGCCTACTGGCTTAATGCTTAATCAGCTTTGTATTCACATAAGTCTCTAGAGACCAGTTTTAGGATACACTAACTGGAAAACACGACCAGAAGACACAGGCCTGGGGTATGACTGCCCTGGAAAATCAGGAGCTAACGTACTGATAGAAAGTATTAGAGCCCAATGTCAATGTACTTATTTTTAAAAATTGCTCAATACTTTGATTATACAGAAATATTTAAGAGAATAATATGATAAATATC
Organism: Homo sapiens; assembly: GCF_000001405.40. Taxonomy (NCBI): domain Eukaryota; kingdom Metazoa; phylum Chordata; class Mammalia; order Primates; family Hominidae; genus Homo; species Homo sapiens. The sequence continues at coordinate 129,015,428 of NC_000011.10, forward strand.
CATGTCCTCATCATGCAGGTTTTTCAAATCTTAACATTGTGCCACATTATTTCCTCAGATTATTTTCCCTTAAGTATAAAAGATAGAGCTGAAGCCACTGTTTCCGCAATCCTATTCTCCTACAGAGAGAACCTGTATCCTGAATTTAGCATTTATCATTTCCATCCATGTAACGACATACTGTAACGACATGTGTATGTAGCCATAAACAATACTAACATTTTGCATGTTTTTCAAATTCAGAAATGGAATCATCTGATATCAAACTTTCTGCAAAACTGTGTATTCTGAGATTTATCCACGGCACTTGTGGTTCAGTATATCACTTAAACTACATTACAATATTCTCTTTTAAGTATATACCACAACTTATATTTCCATTCTCCTGCTGTCAGAGTTTACAAGTGTTTGTTCTTACAATCCTGACTACACTGTATAATCTGGTAAGTGTCTCCCTGGGCACAAGTGACAGGACTTCTCTGGCACTCACGTTTAGGAGGAAAATTGTTGGGTTATAGAATATGCTACTTTTCAACCATATTTCAACTTTGCTAAAATATTATCTAAAATGATTTATCAATATACACTCTAATTAGATGTATTTTTCAGTCCTCATTCTTCAAATCTTTGTTCTACTTAGCTCTGTCAAATTTCTGAAATTATATTTCACTTTAATACGCATTTCTGTGACTGCTAATCAGAATAGGCATTGTTTTCATATGTTTCATATGGCCATTCAGTTTTCTTCTTCAGTGAAATAACTGATCATATCCTTGCCCATTTTTCTATTTTGTTGTCTTTTTCTTACTGATGAATAAGAATTCTTCACATAATACAGAAATGAATCCTTTACGTATTATAAAGACTGACTCCAAGTCTATGGTTTATCTTTTATTGCACAAATTTTTAAATGTCTTTAGGTACAGAAATCATTCTGTACTTCAAGAGATTTTCCTTATAAGTCATAAACATATTGCCCTATTTCTTCTAAAAACTTTTGCTTTTTCATGTTTTTTAGGGAGAGATATATACTTTTTTCCATATGTATAATCAACTATTCTGCCATCTTTAATCGAATAACCTTTTTATCACTGAATTGTAAGACTGATTCTATCTTACGTGAAAAATGCATATAGCATGTAAGACGTCTGTTTCTGAGTTGTCTCATTTCTCTCTATCAATACCTCACTTTCTTAATTTGTAAGTCTTAACTGGAAAGATGAGTCCCTTCATTCACTATTATTTTCTAAAACTGCCTTATTTTTAGCCATTTCCCATTTCACATAAATTTTAGAATCAGCTTGTCAAATTAGAAGGAGAAAAAAAACTTTTTGGAATCTCATTGAAGCTGCACTGAATTATAGATTATTTTGGAGGACAGACTTCTTTATGATACTGAGCTTTCTTTTCCATGAACATAATAGATCTCTCCACTTATTTACAATTTGCTTATGTCCTTCAATAAATTGTTCAAATTTCCTTTCATAAAAGTCTTACGAACTTTTGTTGTAGATAGTCTTAGGAACTTTATGACTTTCTTGATGTTATAAAATGGTGTTTTCTAAATTACATTTTCTAATCATTTATTATTGGTGTACAGAAATGCAATTAGCATGGTTGCAAAGGGTAGACTCAGGAGTCAGACCTCTGGGGTTCCAATCTTGCCTCTGCAGCTCCTAACGGTATGATTATGGAGAAATATTTAAATTCTCAGTATTTCATTTTCCTCATCTATGAAAAAGTTTAGGCCAGGCATGGTGGCTCATGCCTGTAATCCCAGCACTTTGGGAGGCCAAGGCGGGCAGATCACAAGGTCAGGAGTTCGAGACCAGCCTGGCCAACATGGCGAAAACCTGTCTCTACTAAAAATACAAAAATTAGCCGGGTGTGGTGGCGGGCACCTGTAATCGCAGCTACTCAGCAGGCAGGAGAATCATTTGAACCTGGAGGCGGAGGCTGCAGTGAGCTGAGATCGTGCCATTGCATTCCAGCCTAGGTGACAAGAGCAAGACCCGGTCTCAAAAAAAAAAAAAAAGAAAAAGAAAAAAAAAGTTTAAAATAATAACTACTGAACAGCATTATTGTGAGAATTAAATGAGTTAAAATTATAAAGCACTTAGTGCTAGACAGAAAAACTTAATAAATGTGCTATTGTTATTTTTGTATTATTTATCTTTTATTCAGCAACCTTGCTGAACTCTGTTATTATTTCTTAAAATTTGACTGTAGAATCATCTGGATTTATAAATCTGCAAATAATACACATTTGATTCTTCCCTTCCAATCCTTTTAATTCTTTTTGTCTAACTTCACTGGACCTCCAATAAATGCCTCTCTTGTTCCTGACTTTAAATAGATTATTTCTTATGTTTCACCATTAAGAATAAAATTCACTTGGGTTTGTTGGGTAGAAACCTTAAATATACAGAAATTACCTATCCCCAATTGCTAAGATATATAAAAGGAACAAGTGTTGACCTTTATCAAATGATTTCTCTCCATCTATTAAGCTGATATTTTAGTTTGTCTTGTTTAAGTTTTGAATGAGGTACACTAAATTTGTAACTACTTTCTTTTCTTGCTTCTGACTTTGTTTTTTATTATTATTTTTATTTATTTATTTATTACTATACTTGAAGTTCTGGGATACAAGTGCAGAACGTGCAGAAGGCTTGCTTTTATGCTTTTATATTTTTAAATACTTTTATACTCCTACTTTCCTTGTATCCTTTGCAGTGACATAAATGAGTGCAATAGACTTGAAAAGGCAAGTGGCAATTTAAAAAAATAACAGCCTTAAGCCAGGGCAAAGTTCCGTCTTAGCAACTGTAATAAATGTAAGAATACTGTAAACATATTAGATGTGAACTTCTAGTAAAGGAAGACAAACACAGAAGAACTGTATTGGGTGAAAGCACCAAGAAAGAATGGAAAAACAACAATAGGCATCAGCAAATACCTTAAATAGCAGCAAAGAAAAATGACATCGATTTACAGTTAGAGTCTTAAGTAAGTAGTTGAAGTGAACTGTGTACTTAGTATTTTCAAATTTATTAAAAGGAATATTGCCAAGAGTTGTAAAACTAAACTTATCTTTAGCAAGCATTGTTATATGACCCAAAAGGATCTTTAGGCAACTGAGAAAGTTTCTGAAAAACTTTAGTTCGCATTCATCTTGGGAAATATGTGATATGAATCTTACTCAGTCTATAGCCTTGATTATATCAGTTAAATTAGTGTAAGCTTAACCAACAAAGCTTTTATTTACAAATAACTGGACTCAAATTAATCTGTGATTCACTAGAGTAATAACTCTACAAATCTTTTAAATAAAAATTTGTAGGTAGTTGGGCAAGATTTCAATATGCAATGTAAATATTAAAGGAACTGAACAAATACTTTTTCCAATAATACAGAAATATTACAAGTATTCTATAGAAAAATATACCCTTTTGAAACTTTTCCTTTTTATAACACAAAAAGACTTTAACATAAATAAGGCTTTCATATCATTATGACTAATGATATAAAAGTTCTTTAAGCCAATGACTAAAAATACACATGAATAACTCTGGCGATGTGTTTTTCCAGTTTTACAAAAAATATCATTCAAATCAGAGTAAAGGGGTTTCTTGCAAAGTAAACCCAGCCAAGTTTTGTTTGATGGAATAAGGACATGCTGAAGAAATTCTGTCACTGACTATTCCTATCTCTGTGAATCTTCTGGTCTGTTTTGTGATAGCTCTGCCCTCTCTCTGGCACCACCCACTGACCTGCTCCCAGTCCTACAAAGGCAGTATGAAGGAAAAGGTAAATCCTAACCCAGATAGTCAACAAAAATTGAAGGAAAATCTAGATGCTACAGTAATACCATAACGATAATTATTGTATACATAATGATTATTGAGTGCTTACTATTTTACTGTGTGCCAGGGCTTTACATGTATTAACTAATTTAATCTGTTTGTATTAACATCACATTCAAAATAATTCACATTCAAAATATAAACAAGTCTCTAATCATCCGAATTACCTCCTTAAAAGTTGATATCAAAAGAACAGGTATGTTAAATAAATTCTAATTATCTCCCATCACATTCTGTGTAATAACTTAAATGTAATAAGTTATCAGAATTACAAAACTTTATTCCTTTCCTCTCTTCTATATATCTATTTCTAATTATCAAGATAATTTATTATTCATATTTCAATTCATTTTCTTTAGTTTATTCGGTAATATCCTATAATATCTAAATACACAGTTGTGTGTGTGGTAAAAACATGTAGTAAGCATAAAATGTTAGCAATCCTATTTGAAGATTTAAAAATACATCCTTGAACCAATGACCTAGTCATTGAAAGCTTTTATTGTTTTCCAATAATAAGACATATAGTCTAATTAAGGTCATCCATCCAATCATGACATCATTGGCTAAGGTATGTGCTAGTGAAAAAGTACCAGACCAAGAATGTGGAGAGACAGTTTTAATCCCGATTCTGCCAATAACTCACTATAAGATTTTAGAAAAGGAAATTAAGCAGTTTAGACCTCAGATTAGTAATATGAAAAATGAGAAGTTTAACCAGACAATACGATTCTAGATTTTAATGAAAATACCTGAGAAATCATAAAGTACTCTGAGAATGTATGAAGTGTCAATAGCATACAAAGCTCTAAAATCTAAGAAACATACCTTTAGTTTAGGGAAATTTATCAGGAGAAAAAAAGACATCATTTAAAACGTCATTGGAGAACTTTGTCAAAAAAAATTAGGTTCTCTAAATCATCTTGGAAAAAGGCTGGTATAAAAATTTAAGATAAAAAAATCACTGTTAAAGGTTATTAAGCATATTAGGTTTAACACTTTTTAAATTAATTTTAATTATTTAGTTCCATGAATGCTTAGTAGTAATAAGGAGTCCTTACATAACTAATTTACATAACATGCTTATAACTGTTTCTTGGACTTGATGCTTGTACTACCTTTAATTGCTAAGGACATTCACAGTTGCTGGTCATGCCATATGGTATACTGTTGTTTACTTCTTTATTTGCTTGCAAGTCCTTGGTCAACAGTACAATGGTCACTTATAATATTCTTTGTATTAGAAAATGCCACATACTTTATAAAAATTATTTTTTGACATAGGTTTCAAGAGTTTACTGCAGTAAAAGAAAAATAAGGTAAATATCATCTGTATGTTCTGAACTTCTGAAAACTTATAATCTATCAGGTTGACGCTCACAAAGCAAAATTCTCAGTGTCTCTCTAGGAACCACTTTTTAAAATCAGGAATATAACAGTTTTTCAGCCTTGGGCTTCATTCCCCACTCCTATCCCAAGTATATGTCAAAAATTTTTTTTAGATAAATTGAGTCTTGAATTTTAATGTACTACAAAGCTATTGTAGAGTAGGAAAGTACAGAATCACTTTTGATCAATATATCACAAACAACTTTGGAAGTAAGAGGAAAAAAACACAGTTCTTTAACTGATGTATATAACAGCTGCAAGGGCTGTCTCAGAAAAGCTATCTGGGACCGGATCAGGAATTAAATGAAACAGTTTGCTATTCCAACCTCAAAGGAATAAAACCAAGTATCTCAGAAATTCATATACATGCAAGGCCACATTTAAAATAGCACCACTAGTAATGGCTCTTGACTGAAAAATGGGAAAGCTACTAACAGTTATATAATTCAAACAGGGTTCTATCTAATTATGAGAGAAGAGTAGACATTTCAAAAGGCATTACTGACTGGAATGCAAATGAATAACATTAAGGGATCTAGAAAATAAATCTGTAGTAGATTTTAGAAAAGAATCTTTTAGACACAGAAGAGGTAACAACAATTCACTGAGAGAAAGAGAGCAGAAAATGGGCCACAAACTGCTTCTTCAGAATATCCAGCACAACTCATGTTGAATGGCATACCAATGGTTAACTAAAATATTGGGATATTTGAATAAAACTGTATCTCTTCTCCAGGGTTAAAGATGAAACCAAAGCAACATCACTATGCTGCTGCCCTTCCTAGAGGAGTACACAAACTGTTACAACACAGAACCTGCTCATGCTAGACCTTTAAAAATCATAGTTCCCTTGGGAAAATGGTCATACGGTTAAGATAAGACTATTATTATCTACATTACACACTTACTTTTCTAGAAGCTACAGATTTCAGTTATAAATATCAAAGAAGGTTCAAATTTAGATTATGTTATTTTAGGTTGATATAAATAAGTTACACCTTTTTCCTGCTAAAAGTGATACTAATTTTTATTTCGAAATTTAAATTACAAATTTAAAATAATAAATACGATTGGTTCTGTTTCTCGACTTGGTACAAAATCAAAGTAAGAAGTATTTTTAACTTGCTGACTTTACCACCTCGGTTATTATATAAGAGACTATGACTAATTTCATTTCTAAAAACAGAAAAGGAAGATTTGCATTTTACCAGAAGCAGGAGGAAAAAACATGAAGTAGATATAAATTCCTGACACTTAAAGTATTTTAAAATTGGAATGGGATATTATATACAGAATATAGATTTTAAAACCTGCTAAGAAATTTTAAATTGTCTGGGCTCTTATTTTTCCAGGATGAACTAGTACTACTTGATAAGAAGCTTAAAAGCTAGTACTATCTCAGGAAGACATGCTTGTGTATTCTTACAAAAATTAAATATAACACACACAAATTCTTAGGAATTCAGGTACATCAAAGGTAACAGGACTACCAAAATATACATTAGTTCTAGAAATTGGAAAACTTAGAACCTTAATTTTAATGGTGTAAAAACTCTCTTTTGAGATAAATTTTTGTCAGATTAAATTGTAATCACATGTACTTTAATGTCACAGTCCTCTGCACTTTATTAAGCTATGAAGTTTGGTGTGGAACTTTGATACTATCAGAGGTGGTTTTTGATTTTGTGGGTTTTGTTTTGTTTTGCAGGAAGTAGAGGGGAAAGTTTCTATATTTGGTGAGTATGGAACTGACAATGAGTTCTTGTTAAAGAAATAGGCTTTGGAATCAGACCAAAGGGTTATAATTCAGTCCCTAATCACTTTCCAGTTGCAAGATCTTGAGCAAATTACCTATTTAAGTCTCAATTCTTTCACTCACAATGGAAATGACCCTAACAACAGCTCTCACTAAGGTTACTATGATGCTTACATGAAGTGTATGTGCCAAACATTAAATTCTGTGTCAATCAATAGGAGCTATTATTACTACTACAATTTCTTGTTACATTTCATCTGAAAACTTTGAGAATCCCTGAGGTACAGGGCTAACCAGAAAACTGACTCAGCTTTCCAGAACCTGGAATCTGGCTATCTATCCTGGAATCAGCACTGAGAACATGGCATCACTTTCTAGTCCTTCCTGCTCTAATTTTCTTAAATATAAACTTAACCTAAGACATTTTAGATTTCTATCTTCCACTAAATGCCATATAGCATTCTTTTTTAAAAAAAGAAATCATAGTTCAAACCATTATTATATGAGCAGTAGATGCTTTTTTAAAAAGCTGACTATGAAAATGAGCTCTAAATTCTGAAATTCCCCCATTTATGGTTTTAAAAATTAAAATATTGCTGTCATTTAAGCACTAGTGCAACAATCCTGGAAAGAAAAATGTTCAACCTCTGTTAAGAAGTTGAACATACTAATCAGCCCTATTAAGGGCTGATTTGTGATTCAGAGAAAATTCTGGTCTCCATGTTATTTTAATGAAAGGCATTTATTACCGAGGTCTAAAGAAACACCATATACATACGGAACACCACCTTAGTGGTAAAATCTCTGAGATTTAATACAAAATATTTTATGGATGGAGATGGTTATCCTTACCAATGCCAATACCAAAGAGGCGGGGAAGAACCATACTTGAAGGGAAAAGGCCAGAAAGGTTACTTCTTCGTGCAAACTTGAGGAGCCTCTTTACACAGTCTACCAAATTATTTTAAGTGCATTAGCACTGCCCATTTCCATTAATCAATAATTGAAATATTATTAACCCACCAGGAAAAAAATTAAAAAGATGATATAAGCTGGCTGCTTAAGAAATAAAGGCAGGTTCTTTTAATCATAAAAACTTTTATTATATTAAACTAATGTATAGAAAACAAGAAATAAGCTGATTGGAAATAGGAGAAAAAAAGATATTTCTTGAAACCGACTGGGAACATCTGTGTTGTACAATCAGCAAAGCCTACTTCAAAAAGTATAAACTTTTTGACAAACATGACAAATACTAATGTTCAAGTGCTGAATTTCTAGATAATTAAATAATTAACCATTTACCTAAGAGAGCAACCAAGGTAACATGTGCCCAAATATAATCTAAACATAGTTTCAGTGAAAAATTCTGAATGTTGCTTGAGTCAAATATTTAAATGACTGATTGAGATCTCCTTACCTCTTGTTGTGGTACAAGTTTTAAGATCAATACTTAAAATTATTCCAAATGACTATATTTAGCAGTAGATTCATCAGGATACAACAGCTCTGCATTCCGTACAAGAGTGTAGAAAATAAATCATAATCCAACTGGTTCCAACCTCACCACCACAGGTTAACTTCAAGTTAGGTCCCACATCACTGCCGGGTTCCAGCTGTTTTCAGGACCCCCTGCAGCAGCAGTTTTCTTGGCCCTGTTTTCAGTCCAGTCAGTGGAGCCCAGCAAGCCAGCAAGTGTGTGGGAGAGCTCTGCCTCCAGGAGCTTAATCCTCCTCTCTCAGCACATACTGCTTTGCAACACCACAGAAACGCCCCAGCCTAAACTCACACTTGCAGAACAGGCTTCACCAGAAGAGCTCCACCCATCAACCCCACACAGGTGAGCACTTCCTGCTCAGAAAACACCAGTATGAAATTGATATTAAATTATGTCTTTTCTCTTTTTAAAAGTTAATTGCTTTTCAGTTGTTTGCTAAGTAGGTGGGAGACAGTGTATCCAATAAAAATGATAGCACTTTAGGCTCCTTTAAAATAAGAAAAGTAATTGATCAAGTAGGAAGTACTGCCAGTAAAAGGCTGAATCACTAAAACAACAGGATAGGCTGAGAAAACAAATCTTTTAATATCTTTGCTGATACTGAGCTAAGATTGTTATTCTACTAACACATTTTTTTAAGTATCAACTTACACAGTCTCTGTGTGAAAAATTCTAAGACAATCTCTTATGCAATTATTAGGGAAAAAAATAAAAAAGGTTTCTTCAGAATGGGAAATCCAGAATTAAACAAGTTTTCCCAAGTACAACCTTCTCCTTCATACACTACACAGATGTTAAATATGTAACTCTCCTTCACCCATGGAGTCCCAAGGTACTTCTTTTCCTCTACCAGAGACATTCATTAGCAAAAGTGAAAATCTTTGGCAACTATTATCAAACTGACAATCAATCTCAATTCGTGACTTTTTAAAGCTTTAAAGATTCTTATTAGTTATTTGCATAAATACAATATAAATACTGAGATTCAATACTTCTACTAAATAATAATACTGAACTGTGTTAACCCAATTATGTATTTATTGAAGAAACAAATGAATTGGAAAATATTTACATATTTTCCATTCCAATGACTTTTTACTAATATTAATGTAAATTCTACCCTCAGGTATTTTTTAATTTACAAAATAATGTTATAGCACTTACTATGTGCCAGACACAATTCTAGGTATTTAAAAACATTATTTATCCTAATCTAATGAAGGCAGTTCTATTATTATCTCATCTTATAGATGAGGAGACTAAGGCAGAGAGATGAAGCAATTTGCCAAGGTCCCATAACAGTAACTGGCAAGAGATGAGATATCCAGGGAGGATTCATCATGCACCATTCCAAAATCTTCTGCTGTTGATTGAATTTATTCTTTCCTTCCTCTTTGAACATAGCTCTGAACATAGAATTGTTGATAAATGGTAGTCCACAATAAAAAACAATAAATTTATGTGATTTTAAAATAAGAAAGATCATAGAGAATTCCAGTATGTGGCAGGAACAAAACATTTTGATCTTTACCAATGGGACATCTGCAGATTATTGAATTTAGCTGAATAGGAAACAAGGCTCTTAAAATTTACTCCTATTGGAGAAGGCAAAGCCACTCTTCTTTTCTTTAATTTTAAATGAATAACATCTCTCCCTCCCAACCTCTTCCTTAGTACTAAAGACAGCAAGGGAGGGCAAGGGAAAAACAAAAGAGAGAGAGGAAGAAAAAAGAGAAAGAAGAGAAGGAGGGATGAGGGAAGAGAGTGAGAAAAAAGAAAGTACATATTTTTACTGTAGAAAAGCCATTTGGGAATACTTAGAACAATCTGTAAGCCCCATATATTACTTAACTTATAAACATCCATGTTTATGTTATGTAATATATATGTTAATATATATTATTTTATCATATTATATATAACATATTATTTAAGTAATATATGTTATATTACTTGACATATATATTTAAGTAATACATGTTATTACTTGACATATATATTTAAGTAATATATGTTATATATTACTTAACATATAAACATTGATAGGAATAACTGTATTCCACAATCATTGGCCTGTGTGTGGGAGATTAATGATGATAATTCTCATCTGAAACCCAAAAAGCTGTACCCTAATGCCATATAAAAATACATGGTAAGAAAAAGAGTGCTGCCAAAGCTGGTGAATTTGGAGTAAGGTCTGCATCTAGTTAACTGTATTGTGACCATGTTGTTTCCTGGTTTTGATAATGTACTACTATATAGTTATGTTCCAACTAGGAGAAATTGAGTGATGAATCCAGGGGATCTCTCTGTACTATTTTTGCAACTTCCTCTGAGATCAATTATTTCAAAATAAAAAGTCAAAAAATATAATTGACTGAAAAGATGCTGTGCCATCTAGTGACTGTGTAGGAGAGGTCACTTGTTTTTCTCTCATATTTAACAAAATGTTTGGTGACTATCCCCCTATTTTGGACTAGGATGTATCTTTGCATGGGTGGGAGAGGCAAAAGGAGAATTCACTGGAAAAGGAATGGCTTTATTCTAATCATTCTATCATAAAAACTACTTGAGTGGGGCTGGGCACAGTGGCTCACATTTGTAATCCCAGCACTTTGGGAGGCCGAGGCAGGAGGATCACAAGGTCAGGAGTTTGAGACCAGCCTGGCCAATATGGTGAAACCCTGTCTCTACTAAAAATAAAAAATTAGCCGGGCATGGTGGCGCATGCCTGTAATCTCAGCTACTCAGGAGGCTGAGGCAGGAGAGCAGGAGAATTGCTTGAACCCGGGAGGCAGAGGTTGCAGTGAGCCAAGTAGCGCCATTGCACTCCAGCCTGGGCAACAGAGTGAGACTCCATCTTGGAAAAAAAAAAAAAAAAGGCCAGGTGCAGTGGCTCACACCTGTAACACCAGCACTTTGGGAGGCTGAGGAGGGCAGATCACAAAGTCAGGAGATCGAGACCATCCTGGCTAACACAGTGAAACCCCATCTCTACTAAAAATACAAAAAATTAGCTGGGCATAGTGGCGGGTGCCTGTAGTCCCAGCTACTCGGGAGGCTGAGGCAGGAGAATCTCTTGAACCCGGGAGGCGGAGCTTGCAGTGAGCCGAGATCACGCCACTGCACTCCAGCCTGGGCAACAGCGCAAGACTCTGTCTCAAAAAAAAAAAAAAAAAATTACCTGGATGATTCAATCCCTTCACAGCATGTCTGCAAATTCTGCCAGCTCCATGGCCAAAATATATCCAGAAGCAGATCACTTCTCATCACTTACACAGCTACCATACTGGTCTAAGTCACCATCATCTCTCACCTGGCTCATTTCAACAGCCACTGCCAGCCCCTCTTCTTCTACCTATCTCTGCCTTTCCTCTTAACACAGCAAGCAAAGTGATCCTCTTAACAAGAACCAAACAAAAACTGCTCAAAGTCTTCCACTGCCTACCCAACTAATTCTGAATAAAAGCCAAAACCCCTATGGTGACACCCAGGCCCCAGAGAAGATCTGATCCCTCTCCCCTCTTGACCTCATCTTATGTCTTCACCCACTGCTCTAGCCAACCTGGCCTTCCTCCTGACCCTTTACCAAGTCTGACACACATTCAACTCGGTATCATTACACCTGCTGTTCCGTCTTTGGAAAGCTCTTCCTCCAGATTACATGCAGATCTCCCCTCCTCATCTCCTTCAGGTCTTTGTTCAAAAGTAGGTTTCTAATGAGCCATTCCCGGACCACCCTACCCTCCCTTGAAAATTATAACCCCACATAAGCCACTTCTCAGCATTTCCTAGTCTTGGCATCCGTCTCTCAGGTTTATTTCTCTTCATTGCCCTTATCTATCATACTATATTGTTTATTTATTTATTTACTGCTCTCCTTCTAGTCACACGTGAATACAAACACCAAAATGGTGGAATTTCTGTCTGGTGTGTTCACTGTTTTAGCCATAGCACTTAGTATGCACTCGATAAATTCTTGATCAATTAATGAATGAATATCGGAAATGGCCAAAAGCGGAAAAGCCTCTTTACTCAGGGCAAGAAAAAGACTGATTAGGGGGCTACTCCCAGCACTGACTAAAGGGCATATGGGTTTAGGAAACATTTTTGGTAACTATAATGAAAACTGTTCATGCTTATAATTACCAATCAAGAACTGTTTTGGAGCATCCATATAAAAGACGCAAATTACTATAAAATACAACATCTGCCAACAAACAAAACCACGCAGGTGGGGAAAAAAGACATATAGAAAGTGAAGTATCAAACTCAAAATTTTTTTGAGAGAAATGAATGTGAACTCAGGTGGGCTGAATGCAAATTCAAGTTTGTCAAAGAGTGGCCTAGGGAACCTTCACACAAAAAAATGGTAAGTCAGTCACAAGCGAGGGAAGGGGGAAGCCCAGAGTACCTTGGGAAGAGAGTAAGGAAACACGTTAGTGAAGCTGAATATAGGTAAGAAATGGGGGGAAAAAATGGCTGCAAAGATAAGTTAGTTCCACTATTTGTGAAACACCTTCAATTCTACACTGAAAATTTTGTATCTAATTCTGGCATAGAGGGAGGATTCACCCAAATATTCTGAAGATAAGAGTTACATGATGAAAGCTGTACTCCAAAATTTTAATTTGATAGTAAATACTAGGATGGATTAATTCAACAGGCATTCGTTGTGTAACCACTACACACACAGCCTGGGGAGGAGATGAAGATGAATGACATGTTTGTCACTTATGAAGAAAGTACAATTTAGTGAATATGTGAAATAACTGCTATTAAATTTGCACTAGTGGACTAGTGGTGGAGAGGAGATGGGATTAGGGAGAGGTGGGTCAGGGAAGCTTTCATGGAAGAAGTGGATTCTGGCCTGAGTCTTGAAATATAAGCAGGATTTCAACTGGCCAAAATGGGGAAGGCATTTCAGGGTGTAGGAACAGCAGGAGCAAAGTGAAAGCTATGAAGCCACATGCCATGTTCAGAAAACACAAGGAGATTCCAGTCAAGTACACAGGGAGAAATACTATACTAAGAAAATGGAAAAGAATGACTGGAAATGCTACAATGTAAGAGAGTTTGGGGATATTTTTTATGCATAGTGAAGAAAAATTAAAAGATTTTTTTAAATTAAAGTGGCATTAGGAAGGGACGATGACTGAAAACAAAATTAGCAAATTAAGTAGGTTCCTATAAGCAATTCTCTTTAACCTCAATTCAGCCCATCTTTTGCCCTAATTTCTGTTCTGTTTATATAGGCCTTATAAAAATGTAAACACATTTTATTTACTCCTATTGTAGTAAAAGCAAAAGGAATTAAATTTTTGTTTTGACAGAGAGAACAAAAATCTTTATGTCTATTCAAGGTTCTATAGTGGGCAGAATTCTGGGTTTTGCATTAACTACCTGCACACAAGCTAGTTAACCCATGTCAGGTGCATGGCACAGGGCTTGGTGCGCAGTCAGGGATATGTAAGCGCTGGCTGTGATTACCATCAGGTGTCAGGAGATTTCAGCAAATCCTACTTGTGAAGCCTCAGGCAGGTGTCTTAAGCTTCCAGTTGCTCCATTTGTTAAAAAAGGGTAGGGGCCGGGCACGGTGGCTCACGCCTGTAATCCCAGCACTTTGGGAGGCCGAGACGTGTGGATCATGAGGTCAGGAGATCGAGACCATCCTGGCTAACACGGTGAAACCCCGTCTCTACTAAAAATACAAAAAATTAGCCGGGCGTGGTGCAGGCGCCTGTAGTCCCAGCTACTCGGGAGGCTGAGGCAGGAGAATGGCGTGAACCCGGGAGGCGGAGCTTGCAGTGAGCCGAGATCGCACCACTGCACTGCAGCCTGGGGGACAGAGGGAGACTCCGTCTCAAAAAAAAAAAAAAAAAAAAAAAAACGGGTAGGAAGGGGAGGGGATGGAAATACATTCCCTATCCCTAGCAAGCTCACAGGGTTGTGACCAGATTCATGTCCAGTTTAAACAATGGAAATGTAAGTATTCATAAACCCTAAAGCACTTTATAAATACATGGTATTATAAATTTTCTGTTTTCCCCTGATACAGAGTGAGAAAATATTATCTTGATCTATCCTTTGCAATGTATTTGGGGAGAAAGCTTCCCAAGGCACTTTAGCATTTTAGTACTCCTTTGACTCTTTCATCAGTGCCTCTGAAGGTAGGGATTTTAACAATCTGATTCTTAACACACTTAAGCATTTGTTCAATGGGAAGCATATTCATATTCGGTGCAACACTCCAAATAGAGTAAGTAAAAACCTGGACCTCTTTTAGTTGACATATAAATGTGTGGTCACTTCTTACTAAAGTGACATGCAAAGAAACATGGCTACAAAAGAGCAAAAAGTGTTGGAAACTGAAAAAAGAAAGAAAATAGAAACAATCCAGGAGCAAGCAAGTGAAAATTTAGAACAAAACAACTGGAATTAGGTAATACTGAATGTAAAATAACATAAAAAGCAAGATACTAGAGGACTGGTTTCCTGAAACAACACTACAAATAAAAGCCCGGCTGGTCCAAAGTTACTGAGTTATCTCAATAGATTGTACCCATGTCAGTTACAGATCTATTTCCCTGTTCTACTCTTTTCTGTCTTCTCACACATGCACTTAACTAGTCTTAAAGAAAAAAAAAAGGTCTCAGCTTTAATGTATATCTGTTAACAAAAAAAAAGTTATCTTCAAATAAAACAGAAATTTGTGATGCAAATTCTTAGACCATTCAAAGAAGCTCCTTCCCCCACCATGGTTCTGTGAAAACTACTGTAATGAATGTTTCCTTCATGTACTGTGATATAGTTTAGATATTTGTCCCCACTCAAATCTCATGTTCAATTGTAATCCCCAGTGCTGGAGGTGGGGCCTAGCAGGAGGTGTTTTGGTCACAGGGGCAGATCCCTCATGGCTTGGAGCTGTACTTGCATAGTGAATACTCGTGAGATCTGGTTGTATAAGTATGTGGTACTCTCTGCCACTCTCTCTTGCTCCTACTCCTGCCACATGAGGTGCCTGCTCCCACTTCGCTTTCAACCATAAGTAAATGCTCCCTGAGGCCTTTCTAGAAGCCGAGCAGATGCCAGTGCCATGCTTCCTGGACAGCCTGCAGAACTGTGAGCCAATTAAACCTCTTTTCTTTATAAATTACCCAATCTCAGGTATTTCTTTACAGCAACGCTAGAATAGACTAACACAACTGTGATATCTTGGCATGTAGATTTATATCAATAAATAGTATCTTAAATAAGTATCTATATAAATTAAATATAGTTTCTGATACTCATGAATTTAAATAACATAGTAAATAAACACAAATCAATAAATAACAGTTGACATTCACTAAGTATCCAGGGGTCTTAAGTACCTTATCCATAATCTTTGAAATAATAATCTTGCCTCACTTTTCAGTTATGGAAATTGAAAATCAGAGAGGCCAAATGTGTATACCCAGACAATAAAATGTGGCATAGGGATTGAACCCAAGGTTGCCTGAGCTTTTGTCCCTTTAACCCTGCTGCTTTTCACACAGGTATATAAATTTAACACCTGCATTAAATCTAGTGTCACTAGTGTCCATTTTATGGGGTAGATGCATTAAGAAGGATCTTAGAAATTACCTGTTTGGGCAGGGTAGAGTTAACAGGAGATTACAATCTATTTCTTCATATTCTGCAAAATAATACATGCTCATTGTGATACGGACAGGAGAAAGGGAAACACTGGGTAGAAGAGGGTGGTCCCTGGCAAGGGCCACACTCTCAAGCCTGGACCTATGACCCAAAGTGAGAACATGCATTCCTGTTTCCCACCCCTACAATTGTTGCCTTTTCCAAAACCACCTTGGCCTGACCCGCTCCTTATCCTGTGCCCATAAAAACCCCAGGCCCTGCCAGCAGAGCAGTAGAGCCGTAGAGCAGCAGAGAATAAGAGAAGCAGCCGGACGTTTGAGAGAAGCAGACTGACTTCAGAGGGAGGGCTCGACGGCAGGACTTCAGAGGAGAGTTCAGCTGGGCATGGTCAAACTCCAGGGGAGGACCACCTTTCCACTCCATCCCCTTTCCAGCTCCCCATCCCTCTGAGAGCCACTTCTACCGCTCAATAAAATCCTCCACATTCACCACCCTTCAATTCATTTGCGCATCCTGATTCTTCCTGGACCCCAGACAAGGACTTGGATACAAGTGCAAGAGGCTGTCACACTGACCCTCCACTGAGTTAACATTTGAGCCACCCATGGATGGCAACGGTAAAAGAGCACACTGTAACACATGCCCTCTGGGGCGCCAAGGGTCGTGGGTAACTTCTAGATGCTGCCATGGGCCTGCACAGAGTTCTGCTCCTACCAGTTGCCCAGAGGTGCTCATCCTTGCCTCTGCACCCACTCACCTGCGTGCTGCCCCTGAGCTTTGAATCCTGCAAAGGGGCCAAGGGAACTATTCCATTTCAATTATAAAAAAATTAAATAATACACAACCAAATGGAGAAAAAATGAAATGTTTCTTACTGTCTCCATAATCCCATTCCCCTTTGCAGTTACGTACATAGCCTTCTAGATCCTCTTTCTATGAATTTATAATGGGATTTTACTGTTCTGTGATTTGCCTTTTCATTTAACAATATATCAGAGAAAAAGTTCTCTGGTTTAGTACATAGGCTTCTACTTACTTTGTGGTGGATGCAAAGTAATTTACAGTATAAAAGTACCAAAAGTATTTTTTGAAAATATGATTTCCAACATTTGTGTATTAAAGCAATACTGCAAAGAATATTCATCTGGATGGAAAAAATATTTTTTAAAAATGCAAAGTGACCAATTCAAAAATAGAAAGAGACTTAAATAGGCATTAATCCAAAGAAAATATACAATGGGCAATAAGCACACAAAAAGATGCTCAATATCATGACATTTCCGTATAATTCCCACCTGGATCAACAGAACATTACCAGTACTCCAGAATCCTCTCTCCTGCCCATCCCAATCACTGACCTTCTCTTTCCTCTCCAAAGGTAACTGCTATCCTAAGTTCTAATACCACAGAGCAGTCTTGAACTCTTAGGATTTTGAACTCTCTACATGTATACATGAAACTTTACAGTGTAAGTGTGTATATCAGGACATTCAATACTATTTTTTGTGAGATTCAATCATGTTGTTGCAAACAGTTTTAACTCATTCATTTTTACTGGTGTAGGGGAATTTACTGTATATATCTTCATTTATTCATTCCACCATGTATACACCCATAAGTTTTGCCAGTTTTTAACAAATGGAAATAAAGCTGTTATCAACATTTCTATGCATGTGTCTTAGTCTGTGTACATGAATCTCTATATACATCTAAAAGTGGAACTGCTGGGTTACAGTTGTGTATCAACTTCAATAGATAATGCCAATGATTGTCCCAAATTAATACTCCCATCATCAGCATATGAGAATTCCTATTAATGTATATTCTTGCCAACCTTAGATATCATTATCCTTAAATTTTAATTATTCTGGTTAAGTATGTACTAAAGAGTCAATAAGGCTTCGATCTGCATTTTCCTAAAGACTCTTTACAACTCCTTTGTCAGATACGCATTCTGCAAATATCTTCCCACACTGTAATCTGCCCTTTCACTGTCTTAAGGGCATATTATGATAAAGTTCTTCCTTTTAATTGTTTAATTATTAAGCTTTTCAGTTATAATTAATACTATGTCTAAAGCCAAGGTCATAAAGATATTCTATAGTATTATCTTCTAAAAGTTTTATTGTTTCGTCTTTCACATACAGATTTGTAATTCTCCTGGAATGGATTTTTGTGTATGGGGTTAAATAAGGATCAGGCTTCTCTTTTTTTATATTCAGATGTCCAGCTGACTCAGTACTCTTTATTGAAATGACTGTTCTTTTGAAACTGCCCTCCAATGCCACCTTTGTCATAAATCAAGTATCTATATAGACACAGGTTTGTTTCTGGACTCTATTCTGTTCCATTGATCTATTGGTCTATCTGTACACATCTATACCAACGTCGTAATTAGTGAAGCTTTCACAATATATCTTGACATCTATTACAGTAAGTTTCCCACTTTTTTGTTCTTCTAAATCGTCTTTGGTATTCTTGGCTCTGTATTTCCATATACATTTTAGAATCAGTCATCAATTTCTACATAGATTCCAACTCAAAGCTTGGGGCATTTTTCAGCAACTCTGTCTTGATGGGTTCTGACCTCCAATTTTTGTTCCCCTAGCACTATGATGACCTCCTCTACTCCATCAGCAGATATCCTAGGGGAATAATGTCTCCATATGCAGGGGTCACTCTTCAGATTTCCTTCTGTTTCATCACCTTATCACAATAATTGCTTACAGTTTTATTAACTCTCTAATGCTTCAAAGATATGTTTTTATACTTCTGTCAAAATTTTTTAACTGTCCTCAGAGGGAAGGTTGCCTAAATCACTAGTCTTTTATTTCCAGAAGTTAATGCCTCAAAATAAGCTCTGCTTGCTTTTCTTCTCTGTTCTCCATTTCTCCCACTCTTTCCCTCTTCTCTCTTCTATCCCCCACCCCTCCTCTTTCTTTCTTTCTGGTGGAAAAGGTGGATGATGCAAAAAGATGGGGAATTCCAGCATAGCAATTATTGTAAAAAGACCATTTAGCTTTATGCGAGAAAAGAAAAATACGAGAATTGAAGAATGTGTTAGGTGGCCTTAAGAGAAGACTGACCACACATAGCAGAGTGAGGAATCACTGAACTTGATGATAGGACAACAGAAAGTATCCAAACTGAAAACAAAAAAAAAAAAAAAAGAGAGAGAGAAAAAAAGAAAACAGGAGATCGTGCCACTGCACTCTGGCCTGGGAGACAGAGCGAAACTGTCTCAAAAAAAAGAAAAAGAAGAAAAAGAAAACAGAGTAAAAAAAAAAAAAGAAAAAACAGAGTCTGAGATCTGTGAGACAATATCAAATAATGTAACTGATATGTAAAGGAGAGGAGAAAGAGAATTCGGAAAAAGAAATATCTGAAAAGAGAATAGCTATGAACATAAAGCCTTCAAGAAAAGTGTCAGTAAATAGCTCCTCAGTGACTTGCAAGCAAAACAAACACAAAGAAAAACATGTGCTTCCCCTTCCACCTTTCCCCACCTAGACCTCATCTTCCACTATATCATGCCCTAGGGTGACTGAATAAAATGACAATTTCTTATAGACAAGCTTCCCCCTCTTTTGTTTCCTCTCCTCTCTCTCTCTCTCTCTCTCTATCAAACTCTTACCTTCTTTTTCCTAAGGTACCATGGGTACTTTCTATCTTGGTCAGGATATGGTGATTAATTTTCTGTACACACAAATAATTGAACATATTAATAACATTTAAGAACAGATTCAAAGAGAATATTTTTCCTATGTTACCCTTGTTGTGTAATAGTATAGGAACTTGAAATTTTCAGTCTCAAACTATAGCTGTATCTTTCAGATTTGGCATCTAACAGTGACAGATGGCAATGTTAAAAATAAATAGAACATTCAAGTTGTTTATACCGTAGGCAAAGACAGTTTTAAAGTGTGAAACAAGCCCAAGGCTGACAGAATTCACATCATCCTTTTCAAAATGTATTAAGAATGTACATTTTGGCTGGGTACAGTGGCTCATGCCTGTAATCCCAGCACTTTGGGAAGCCAAGGCAGGCGGATCACTTGAGGTCAGGAGTTCGAGACCAGGTGGTCAACATGAAACCTCACCTCTACTAAAAATATAAAAATTAGCAGGTCGTGGCGGCATGTGTCTGTAATCCCAGCTACTCAGGAGGCAGAGGCAGGAGAATTGCTTGAACCTGGAAGGCGGAGGTTGCAGTGAGCCGAGATCACGCCACCGCACTCCAGCCTGGGTGACAGAGCAAGACTCCATCAAAAAAAGAAAAAAAAAGCACATTTCCTTATGCCAACTCTGCAATGCTGCTCACAGAAGACAAAATACTAGCTTTTGAAGGTACGCTAGGTTTTTCTTGGTCATTCTTAATTTAGAAATAACAATGCTATGCAGGTCTACAAATACAAACCTGTTTTCCAGAACTATCAATAACTGATTAACTTTCCCAATGCTAAATGGTTCTGGAGGTTATCCCTACTTGAAGTGTCATTTCTCCATTCAAAACATGAGAATGGGCCAGGCACGGTGGCTCACACCTGTAATCCCAGCACTTTGGGAGGCTGAGGTGGGCGGATCACCTGAGGTCAGGAGTTTGAGACCAGCCTGACCAACATGGAGAAAACCCGTTTCTATGAAAAATACAAAAAGTTAGCCGGGCATGGTGGCATATGCCTGTAATCCCAGCTACTCGGGAGGCTAAGGCAGGAGAATCGCTTGAACCTAGGAGGCGGAGGTTGCAGTGAGCTGAGATCGCGCCATTGCACTCCAGCCTGGGCAACAAGAGCGAAACTCCGTCTCAAAAAAAAAAAAAAAAAAAAAAAAAAGAGAGAAAGCACTTGATTGATACTAACACAGTTTATTTTAATGCCAATATTAGGCTAAGTTTTAAAAACCCAATTTATAGTACATCTGAGTCAATACTATCAAAGATGAGACATAATAACTAATATAAGTTAAGCTTACACCACAGAAAGATGGATAAAAATATGTGCAGGAAATTAAATGTTTGATGTTGAATTTTAGTAACTTCAAAATAATGACCATAAAAACCCATTATAATCTCAACAGATGAATAAAAGCCTTTGGAAAAATTCCTGCACTCTTTTAAACACTTGACACACAAGAAACAGAAGGGAACTTTCTCAACCCTGATAAAGGACATCTATGAAACCCCCACAGCTACTTAATGGTAAAAGACTAGATGATTTCCCCTAAAATCAGGAACAAGACACGGATGCTTGTACTTGAGATTTATATTCAATATTGTATTAGAGGTTCTCACAAGGACCACTGGGCAAGAACAATAAAAAGACATCCAGATTGGAAGGGAAGAAGTAAAAAGTGGCTACTGTAGATACCATAATCTTGTATATAGAAAATCCCAAGGAATCCACTATGAAACTATTAGAACTAATAAACAGTTCAGCAAGGCTTCAAGATATAACATCAACATACAAAAATTATATTCCTATGGACTTGCCATGAACAATAAGAAAATGAAATGTTAAAATTCCCGGTACAATAGCATTAAAAAGAATTGAATATATTTATAAAGAAATTCAACAAAAGATATATAAAACTTATACTCTGAAAACTACAAAATATTGAAATAAATTAAAGAATGTCTAGACTGACTGGGCCTAGTGGCTCATGCCTATAATCCCAGCACTTTTGGAGGCTCATGCGGGAGGATCACTTAAGGCCAGGAGTTCAGGACCAGCCTATGCAACACAGTGAGACATTGCTACAAAAAACTAACAAATTATCCTGGCACAGTGGCACATGCCTGTAGTACTAGCTACTCAGGAGGCTGAGGTGGAAAGATGCCTTGAGCCCAGGAGTTTGAGGACTTGTGAACTATGATCACACCATCGCACTCCAGCCTGGGCAACAAAGCAAGACACTGTCTCCAAAGAAAAAAAATTAAAAATACAAAAGAATATCTAAATAAATGAAAAACATCCCTTGTTCAGGGATTAGAAGACTTAATACTGTTAATAATATTTCCCGAGTTGATCTACAGGTTCAATATACTCTCTATCAGAATCCCATCCTACTCTGTAGAAACTGACAAGCTGATTCTAAAGCCATAAGGAATTACAAGGGGCCCAGAAAAGCCAAATCAACCCTTAAAAAGAAGAAAAAAGTAGGATGACTTACACTTCCCCACTGCAAAACTTACTACAAAACAACAGTAATGAAAACAGGGTACTATTGGCATAAGAAAACACATATAGAGACTGGGCACGGTGGCTCATGCCTGTAATCCCAGCACTTTGGGAGGCCGAGGTGGGCGGATCACGATGTCAGGAGTTTAAGACCAGCCTGGCCAACATGATGAAACCCCATCTCTATCAAAAATATAAAAATCAGCCAGGTGTGGTGGCACACACCTGTAATCCCAGCTACTCCGGAGGCTGAGGCAAGAGAATTGCTTGAACTCAGGAGGCGGAGGTTGCAGTGAGCCGAGATCGCACCACTGCACTCCAACCTGGGTGACAGAGCAAGACTCTGCCTCAAAAAAACGAACAAAAAAAGACATATAAATCAATGGAAGAAAACTGGAAATTCAGGAATAAATCTAGGGTCAACTGTGTCTAGGGTCAATTGATTTTTCCAAGGGTATCAAGGTAATTCAACAGGAAAGAAATAATCTTTTCAACAAACAGTGCTAGAACAATTGGATAACCTCATGAAGTTGGACCCCTGCCTCATCACCATACACACAAATTAACTTTAAAAAATGGGTCATAGACTAATATGTAACATCTAAAACTGTAAACCTCTCAGAAGAAAACACAGGAGTAAATCATGACTGTGGGTTAGCCAAAGCCTTCTTAAATAAGGAATCAAAAGCATAAATGACTAAAGAAACATCAAAAGTAAAAACTTGTATGCATCAATGGATACTACCAAAGAAAGTCAAAGACAAACCACAAAACAGGTGAAAATATTTGTAAATCATTATTATCTGGTAAAGAATTTGTATCTAGAATATATGAGCAACATTTACAACTCACTAAAAAAAACACAAATAACCCAATTAAAAACTGGGCAAAAGTGGGAGGTTGAGGTGGAAGGATCACTTGAAACCAGGAGTTTGAGACCAATCTGGGCAACAAAGCAAGACCTCATCTCTACAAAAAATTTAAAAATTAGCTGGGCACAGCGGCATGCACGTGTAATGTCAGTCATTCAGCAGGCTGAGTCAGAAGGATCATTTGAGGCCTGGAGTTGAGGGCTGCAGTGAGCTATGATCACAACACTGCACTGCAGCCTGTGGTGACAAAGAAAGACCCTGTCTCGAAAAAAAAAAAAAAAAAAAGAAAAAGAAAAAAGAATAAGCAAAGGATATGAATAGATACCCTCCAAAGAAGATGAACACATAACCAATAAGCACATATAAAATGACTAAACATGATTAGCCAAAAACAAAATGCAAGTCAAATCCACAGTGAGATACTACTTCACAATTAAGAAGGCAATAATCAAAAAAATCCAAATAAAAACAAGTGTTGACAAGGATATGGAGCAACTGGAAGTCTCATACACTGCTGGTGGAACTGCAAAATGGTACAGTTACACCAATGGTGCAGCTGGCAGTTCTTCAAAGATTAAATATAGTTACCATATGACCCAGCAATCCCACACCTGGACATATACCCAAGGGAAATTAAAACATATCCACATGTAATATTGTACATGAATATTCAGAGAAGCCAAAAATGGAAACAACTCCAAATGAATAAACAAATAAAATGTGGCATATGCATACAATGAAATGTTATCCAGCTATTTAAAAAGAAGGAATTAAAACAGAAGTACTGATACATGCTACTGCACAGGTGAATCTTGAAAACACTATGCTAAGTAAAAGAAGCCCATCACAAAAGACCACACATTATATGATTCCATTTATACAAAATGTCCAGAATAGGGAAATCAATAAAGACAGAAAGTAGACAAGTGGTTGTTTAGGGCTGGGAGCAGTATGAGGGGAGCAGTGTCCGCTAATGGATATGGGATTTCTTCATGAAGTGATGAAGGTGTTCTAAAATTAACTGTGGTGATGGCTGCACAACCCTGTTACACAATTTAAAGGGTAAATTGCACGATATGCGAATTTTATCTTAATAAAGCTGAGTTTTCAAAAAGTTAAGTTTAAAATAACGCCGTATTTTTAAAAAGAATGAAATCTACAGTTACGAATGAAGATTTACCAAACAAGTACCCACTTAGGAGCTTTTTAAAAAAGTTTACCCAAGAAGGATAAAATTGCTTCAAAAAGAACTGAGAATCCTGACTCAAGTAGAACTGCAGAAAACACTGTTTTGAAGCATTTTCTCTACTGAACAATAAAGTTAGTCTAAAATAAACAAATTCCAATGAGAGAAATGGGAACAATGATTCCCTAGTCTCCTGTGAAGAAATAAGCTTTGAAAGG
This sequence comes from Homo sapiens, assembly GCF_000001405.40. NCBI lineage: Eukaryota > Metazoa > Chordata > Mammalia > Primates > Hominidae > Homo > Homo sapiens. The sequence goes on from NC_000011.10 coordinate 129,040,027, forward strand.
TATTATTAACCTTTACTTAAATACTATTAGCAAAGATTGTTGGATGTAAGCTTTGGGAGCAGAAGTGGGAAAATACCAAAAGAGTAAAGAATAACTGTTTTTTTTTTCTTAACTCTTACATACAGGTCCTAAAACTAGAAAATACTATCATAAGGTAAACAGTTCAAATTAATTCTGAGGCCCAGAAATTTTTTCTTCTCCTTTTATTGGGAGGTGGGAAAGGACAGAAGAAATGTAATATAGCTAGGAAAAATAAGTTGGATGACTCCCTCTTCTCTCCAAAGCTTTTTAGACTTTGTTTGAATTTTTTTTTAATCGACATCATCAAAAAGTTTCAGATGAGGCATTCTGTTGAATCTTCCCAAAACTAAATCACCTCAATAAACACCGAAATTCACATTTTCTTGATTTTTATCCCCTTCAACAATGCTTTATTTGTAATATATTCTAGATATTTATGCAGCACTGTAAGTATACTGTATAAGTAATAAGAAATGCTGTTTAAAATAGTTTTGATGTTCATATGCCCTGTTAAAATATACTTACTTTTCATTTATTAATTTTCAGTTAATCCTACAATTTCTATGTTAGTTCTTTAAACCTATTTTTTAAATCATTTTATTCATTAAGTTACAATGCTATTATGCAACTATAAAAGTAAATAATGACAAAGCTTAATGGAGCAATTGCCTAAAAATTTGAGTGCATGTAAACCTTTTCAAAATGATCAACAGAGATATAAGAATACATTTAAAAATCAAAACCATATAAAATTAAGAATGTTAATTATTATGCCTATAAATGCAAAACTAGCAAAACAAGCTAAATACTTGACTGACAGAAAATCTGTGTCTTCAAGCAGTTGATAAAATAACTACACTAGTGAAAAAAGTGTACTCACCTGGTTTTGGCACTGAGTTGGTCACTGACTGGGGAACTTTTTGGTTAATTAACTCAACACAGTGTCCAGGGAAGAGTCCCACCTGATGAAAAGCAACAAAGAAAGGATTCTAAACCAGCAAACAGACCAATTATGTGAACACTGCCAACTGAATTCCAGTAATGTATTCTACAGTCCCTCCCAAATGATTCTATTATTCCAAGACTCTAAATAACAGATGATGCCAATTACACAAACAAATAATAAAACAATCTGTTGCTATGAGTACATAAAGTTATCTGTTTTATTTGTCCAAATATCTAAGTCTGCTTTTTTCCTTTTAGTTTTTAATTTCCCAATCTTTTTTTACATGAATTAAAATATTTAGTCTGACAATGAGCTATGCATGCAAGTAGGTAAAATTTTATAATTTAATAATGCGCTTTACTGAAATCTCAATCCAGTTATGTTGATACCTCTGTTGCCAACTTATGTTTATTGACTTCTCTATGGGTTTTTTAAATCAACACTAAGCCACAACTCAAACTTTTTGTGAATTTTCTCTTCACTCTCTCCCAGGTTTCATAAAAAAAAAAAAAAAAAGACATGACTAAAATAAATGTGTAAAATAATCTCTCATTTAAAATCCTGGTATTCACTGCTTTTAAAAACTAGTAGCGCATGGAAAAGAGGGAAAGTAAGAGAGAAGAAAACAGCCAATCTCAGCAGTGTCAACAGACTCTGGCTTTGAGGAACACACCACAGTGACCTAGTAGCAGAACCGCAGGCATTGCTTTTGGCATTGTAACAAGCCGTATTAGGAAAATGCTGAGTTCCAGATCATCCAGAGATACTGTATAGCCAAAAGGATAAATACCGAGATAAACAGCCTGGAAACAAAAGCAAAGAGGAAATCTTTATCAATATTTATAGATGTTTCCTTAGATAAAAATATAAATGGGCTGCCATGCAGCAGATGTTAAAGCTGAAATATGAAAGCTCCATCACTTTGTGTATCCCTCTGTTGACAGACTCTGGGGAAGAATGGAATAGTTTTCCAAGGGTATGATTCATCACCAAGTTCTGAGCTGTATAATTTCCATCTGTGTGAAATTATTTTCACATACTCATTTGCTACATTCTTATTTCAATTTCTAGATCCATATTCTATGGTAGTTGTTAAAATTGTGAAGATATAAACCAGTTATCATGAGCTGAAAAGGGGTATTAACAGATTATCAGTTTTTTTGTTTTTTGTTTTTGAGACAGGGTCTCATTCTGTCACCCAGGCTGGAGTGCAGTGGCACAATCTAGGCTCACTGCAGCCTCGATCCCCCAGGCTCAAACAATTCTCGCACCTCAGCCTCCTGAGTAGCTGCGACTCTGGGCATGCACCACCTCACCTGGCTAATTTTGTTTATTTTGTGTAGAGATGAGGTATCATTATCAGACTATCAGTTTTGTTCACAAGATGTGAATTTGGGATTCCTATGCACTGCCTTCCAAAATGATGCTTTAGGTATTTGTTTTACTGGTGAAATTCTTTAATATATTCTACTCAACTTCCTATTTTACGGAACAAGTAGAAATGCTTCCAAGACTGATTAGAACCAGGTAAGAGTCAACTTAAAAAAATCTTCATTTTTTTTTCTTACACAAGTCAGTTATGAGAGGGGATATGGGACATGGTTAACAGCGTAGCCTCAAGTAAGTGTTCCACCCTCCATAAAAGGGTTTGGAAAGCGATTATAAAAGTCTCAGGTCGTAAATTAAACAAATGTATACAAAAATGCATTTGTAAATAATCTTTGTTTTTACAAGTCTTTGCAATAAACTGTCAGTTTGGTCTCCAGCAGAGAGAGCTGGAGGAGTGGAGCTTCCAGATGTAGTCTCCGGTGTGAGTCCCAGCAATGGAGACCTTGATGCTATGAGCTCTGGAGACTCTCATGAAGAGGACTTGGGGGGATGAAGAAGTGACTGGGAAACTGCTCATGCCGAGGAGATGGGAGGTGCCCTGGAAATAGCTGCTTCAGGATCTTAAGCCATGACGGATAGAATGTTAAAAGTCATTCCACAAAGTGGTGTGTTTCAATGCAAAGGCTAGAGAACTGTAAAAAGGTGGTTACCAAGGCTGGGAAGATACAACTATTTCAAGAGTGACTCTGAAAAAGATCCTGATGCCTTGAGGTACCCTTCTGAAATTCAAGTAACAATGTACAAATATCTGCCTTGTTTCAGAATTTATGGAGTATACAATTCATGTTTCTAAAAGAGCCTACCTGCAGCTGGTTTCCACATCTGAAATTATAGTGCTCTCCAAGTCACATAGCTGGAAATTAAATGTTCAAGTTCTACCTTGGCCCCAATTTGATGTTTGGTGCTCTCTGGATTGAGTTGAATTATGTTCAAGCTTTGCAATTTCACTTGTGGTAAAGGCTCTAACATTTTCTCTTTCTATGCAAATTTCTTTTTTTCTTTTTTTTTTTTTTTTTTTTGCGCAACGGAGGTTCGTTCTTGTTGCCCAGTCTGAAGTGCAACGACGCGACCTCGGCTCACTGTAACCTCCGCCTCCCAGGTTCAAACGATTCTCCTGCCTCAGCCTCCCAAGTAACTGGGATTATACGCGTGCGCCACCATGCCCGGCTAATTTTTTGCATTTTTAGTAGAGATGGGTTTTCTCCATGTTGGTCAGGCTGGTCGTGAACTCCCAACCTCAGGTGATCTACTCACCTTGGCCTCCCAAAGTGCTGGGATTACAGGCGTGAGTCACCACATCCTGACTCTATGCAAATTTCTTGAAGGAGAATTGCTTGCATATTTCTTCTCTGCCTTCACAGAAGGCAGAGTTTCTTTCAAACTTAACTGAGGCATCAGTTGCTCTTTGGCTGTTTCTTACCATGATTATTAACAATAAGTTTGTGGCTTGGGTTTGCAAACTGTACTGTTTGTTGCACTGATCTTCCCATATAGTAATTTTTAGTTGGTGAAAAAAATTAACCCTCATCTGAAATTAACATATCAGTTTTTTTAACTAGTCTCAGATTTTAAAACTTGCAATAAAGTGGAAACTCATTGGTTTTTCTTGCCCTTTCGAACTCTTGTAATTGAGTTTTCATCATGTTTTATATTAAAGTGTTTTATATTAAACAAGTTTTCATCATGTTTTATATATAAAGCTAACACATGGCTACAAAAAAGAAGTATCTGGGTTCAATCTTAAGTCTGCCACTCACTAGATTAGGTTTGTAACTTAGCCTCTTTGTGTTTTAGTTTCTTCGTCTAAACATGGTAATAATAATGCCTATCTCATAAGGGATGTTATGAGAATTAAATGGGCTAGTATAAATAAAATGCATAGAGTAAAATGCATTGATTTGTTAACTAAATGGTCTAGTAACAACATGATCTATTAACTACGGCAGCCTGTTTCGTACATTATTCTTTCTGCAGCCGTGGCAATTTCTAAAGCTTTAACCCATTTATGGCAGAGGTTGCAAAATTTTTTTGTGAAAAATCAGAACTTGGCGATGACCTTGAGCAGTAAGATATAAATAACTCCCACAAGCTTAGCGTTCCAATAATGGAACACTAAGCATAAATGGGTTAATGCATAAGTAAATGCTATTATTATCCCAGTATTTGGCTACCAGAACTGCTAGAGGGCTCTAGCTCCTCCATCAAATGGATATTACACAAAATGCCACCTTTTGGATATATCTGCTGAAGTTTCCTGACTCTCAAATATCATTCTTTCTAAAACATTCTAATTCATTTCAATATATAAAATCTGCAACTGCCTGAGAGAAAAGTCCAGATTCTAAACTTGGCTCACCCATTTACTAGGTTCTGTGATCTATGGCAAACTGCTTAACATCTCTGTCTTAGTTTCCTAATTTGTAACGTTAGGGATAACACTACCTATACCTCAAAGAGTTTATGTGAAAGTAACTGCCTAGTTTCTAAGTTCGAGTATCTTTTGGCAAAAAAAAAAAAAAGTTTTCCATCACTTCCCACAAAGACTGAACAAAGAGAGCTTAATGCACTTCTCAGGGAACTATATCACATACATTAGTTACATTTTCACCTTTTAAATTCATCACAATGAATTAGGTTTAGGTATATGGGGAAATGCCACTGCATACTATACAGAGGTAGATCTACAGTAGGCTCACCTAATACCTAACTCCAATCCCTGCCCTCTTGTTTTACTTTATCATAAGTGTAATATCACTAACTACTAGCTAAACTAGACAGTTTCCCAGACTCCCTATATTCAGGCAAAGCCGCAACACATGTAAACACAGCTCTGCTACTATCCTGTCTCCTCCTCTGTGCCGTGAGCACAGGTGTCATGACTAGATCTGTCGTGGTCATCACTTGACCATAAGTGAAAAGCTGAGAGAACCTTAGAGACTCCTGCCTGGCATCATTAAGCTGCTGACTCAGCACTAGAAATCCATCATCTTTTCCGCTCAGTTTTTTGTTTCTTGAAGCCAAAATCACTCCTAAACATCAAGGAGTCTTTTAAAAGAGTCAGTTCTATGAATTTGTGAAAGGCAAACAGATTCCATTTTACCATCACAAAATTTTCATGATAAAAAATTGTGTTCTCTTGAAAATATTACACACGAGAATGGAACTAACTTTAAAAGTACAGTTAATGAACACTTATACTTTTCTAATGAATACTTCACCTAAGATTTCACCAAATAGTAACAATTTTGATAAAATGTCAAATGGTAAAAAGTGACTGGAACTCTGAAAATATGATCTATTAGCTATGTCATCTTGTTCTGTATCTTATTCTTTCTGCAGCTGTGGCAATTTCTAAAGCTTCAATTTACATGGCTGGAAAGGGAGAGCAGAATTGGGTATATTGGCAGGGGTCAAAATGAGATTCAACTCCAGGAAGAGAATGGAAGATGGAGAAAAAGCCAGCATCTAGGGCCCATGACGGTAAAGAAGTAGGTAATAAAAACACAGTAATAGAAGGAAAAGAACAATGTAGAGACAGGGCTGGAACAGGTTAGGAATGGTCTTGAAAAGAGGAGACCTCCCTGTTGACTGTTTTCACTCAAGTCTTTGAAATAAAGCAAAAAGCCACCAGACATGCTAATCTATACCATGGTGTGCTGGTAAATGTTTAACAACTAGCTCTCCACGGGGGAAAGGCCTTCATTTCCAGTGTTTTCCAGCGCCCACCGTATACACACTCCCATCATGGCTGGTTTCAAGCTACCAACTTGATACAACTGAACACAAAATTGGAAAGAGAAGCAGAAGGGCACTCAGTTATACAGTATTGAAAGCATACAGATAGAGTAGCTGGAAATAACTTCAAGAGCATAAATGGTAAAATGTGGTAAAATAATTACAAAATATATTTGATTATTACCTTTGTTTTTAATACAATTCATTTCATTGTAAATATATATACCTTAATTTTTAATAATGGCTGTTTTTAACAACTGTCCTACAAAATTTCACAGTTGGCTCCAGCTGACCACTGATGTATATTCATACACTTCGTCCTGCGCCTATCCACCTCTAACAGCTTCTGATAATCAGTTTCTAGTAGCTTAGCAAGCATATGGCTCACCCTCTGACTCTAGGAGAACCAGGAGAGATGTAAAGGGAACAGACTGTAATCTGGTTCTTCTGATCTTCTTCTACCTTGGGGAATACTCAGACTAAAAAGAAAACCCGGTTTGGCTTCTAAAGTGAGTGTATGTGCTGAAAAATACTTTGGTGTAACTTAAAAGGAATATTAGAGAAGAAACTACTGCAATAAAATAAGCCTGGAGCTTTGGAAACAGTAGAGTTAACAACAGAACCTAATCCTAACTATAGTCTCTTTGAGGCAATCAACAAAAACCTAAAAAGGAATTCAGCATAACGATCATGTGCTTATCGCTGACTTAAAAAAAAAAATTCTTGGCCGGGCGCGGTGGCTCACGCCTGTAATCCCAGCACTTTGGGAGGCCGAGGCGGGCGGATCATGAGGTCAGGAGATCAAGACCATCCTGGCTAAAATGGTGAAACCCCGTCTCTACTAAAAAAAAATACAAAAAATTAGCCGGGCATGGTGGCAGGTGCCTGTAGTCCCAGCTACTTGGGAGGCTGAGGCAGGAGAATGGTGTGAACCCAGGAGACAGAGCTTGCAGTGAGCAGATATCGAGCCACTGCACTCCAGCCTGGGTGACAGAGTGAAAGACTCCGTCTCAAAAAAAAAAAAAAAATTCTCTTCTATTGGTTTATTTATTTAATTTATGGCTAGCGAATCTTTAGCACTGTTGGCGTAGCCAAACATTTTTCAAATTAAACTTAGTAGAAGCACTGCTCACTCCTCAAAATATATCACAGATTTTTCAATTGGAATTATTTGGCCTCAGAGTGTTAAAACTCCAGTTTTTCATTTTCTGACTACAACTTCCTATCCTCTCAGGTCTCTAGTGTTGATATTCTATAACAACAAAAGTACAAACAGAGACATCCCATCCCCTTCACATTTCCCCCCAAGGTACTTATCCCCACAATTCCAGGTTTTTTTTGTTTTGTTTGCTACCCAATATGGACCCTGTGATTGAGCATTTGTTTTAAATCAGTACCCTTTAATTTCCTTGCAATATTAACTTCCTGCCAAACCAATCCAGCAAACCACCACAACTAAATCAATTCACTACCATACTTGCATGTCTGTGTACTGCTGGAGAAAAAAAAAAATCACATCACTAAGGAGATTTGAACCAATACAAATTCACAGGCTATTGTCCAGAAATGCCAATTATTTTCTCCCCACTCCCGAAACATGCTTAAAGAACCTAATCTTCTTTAGAGTCTCTGCCCAGTCTGACTACCATGGCCTGCCAACACCATCCCAGCACAGTTGATCAAATAGACGGTAAGTCAATGAGTCAATTAGTTTGTCTGCTATGATTTTGGAACTAGTTCCAAATCTTCAATGATCTCCATTGAATTGTTAGAATTAGGAAATATTTTTCCAAACAAAGAAGAGAAGAGACAAAGAAACAACAGTTGCTACACACCAAAGGAAGCAAAAACCAGAAATAAGTTCCTCAGGTCCTTACTTTTTAGCTCTGGTTCCATTTACTTATAGCCTAGTAATTCTTGTATTGGGCTCTTTGAGATATTCCTACCAATTCCCCCACCCCCCACTCTCCTTGTATGTCCCCCAAAAGCACAACATTGCTTCTGGTTTCTTTGCCTTATTTATACTGTCCCCTTGAATGTCAACTCCCTAATTTCCATTTAAATAAAAAATTACTCTTGCAGCCGGATATGCAGGTTTGAGAGTCAAAAACAAAGCTAAAGATCAGGACATAAATCTGAGAGTTGGGCATAAATATGGTTTTTAAAGTTGAGAAAGTGAGTAAGATAGCAAGGGACAAAGAGTGTAGAATAAGAAGGCAGTCCAACACCAAACGTCAGAGGTCTAGTAGAGGAGGGTGTCCTGGCAAAGGAGACTGTGTCAAGTCAGTTAAGAGAAAAAAGTCTCTGGAAAAAGAAAATCAGATACTAATGATAGTTTAAGTAAGGAGTAGTAAAGTATCTATTTTTTTTTTTCATTAAGCCAAACAGAGACCACTAGTGATAAAAGAGAAGAACCAAAGGGTGAAGGGTTTAAGAATATATTTGTGACAGGTGAATGTAATCAAGGCTCTAGAATCTACACTGGAAAAGAAGGATAGTAAAGGCAAGAAGTAATTGATGGGCAAAAACTGGGAGGAACAGTGGAATGATAATACTAAGCATAATACTGAATATTGAACATAATTGTTTATTGTACAGCAAGTAGCTGAGGGGATTAAATTTCTTTTCCCAGTTGCCATAATACAATATCAAATAAGACAAACTAGATTACGGTTGCTTTAAAGTTTTAATTAATTTGTAATACCTTTCAGCCTTGGAAGGAGTAAGAAAAGGATAGAGTAGGCATTGTAAGTGGAAAGACACATAGAAAAAAAAGACACAAGAGTAGAAAAAAGCAACTTGTGTACTAAGAGGGGAAATAATAGTTACATCTGGCAGAACATCCAGTTTCTAAAACAGAGCAGTGCAAAGTAAGACTGGTAAGTGAGAATAAAGTCGGAGATCCTGGATGATCTTGTATACCGTCACAAGGAGTTTTAAGTTCCTTCTGTAGGAAATAAAAGTGACACATTCTGAGCAGAAGCAGCACAGGAACAGGCATGTTCTAAAAGGAAAAGCATTCGCCTGTATACCTTTCAAGCTGGAAGGAAGGGAGGAAGATAAGAAGCAGTACACCACTTCAGGAATTTGCAAAATAGGCTAGGAAAGAGAATAAAACCTACAGTGTATGACAACAGCATGAAAAAGGAAGGACAGTATATGAATGTAAACGACACAGAGGTAGAAGAGACAGATATGATCAACTGGATTGGATGCATGAACAACATGAAGTCAAGAATGCTCCTGCAGTTTTTGCTTCCACCTTAACTGAGGTATAGTTAACCCAAAGTAAACTGCACATATTTAAAATGTACATTTTGATAAAACACCCATGAAACTATTACCACAATCAAGATTATAATATATCCATCAACCCCAAAAGTTTCCTTATATCTCTTTGTAATCCTTCCTTCCCCCTATCCTCCCATCACTGCTCCTCGGGCAATTACTCATCTACTTTTTATCACGATATATTACTTTCCATTTTCTATAATTTTACATAAATGAAGTCTTATGTAATATACTCTTTTTTGTCTGCCTTCTTTCATGCAGCATATCTTTGAGGATCACTCATGTTGCTGTATTTATCAACTGTGTATTCCTTTCATTGCTAAGTAATATTCTATTGTATGGACACCACCATTTGTCTATTAATCTGCTGTTGACAGATATTAGGGTCGTTTCCAGTTTTAAACTATTACATATAAAGATGCTATGAACATTCATGTATGAGTTTCTATATGGACACATGCTTTTTCTGTAAACAGTTAGATCGTGTGGTAAGTGTACAGTAATTCCTCCCTTAACGTCATTGATGTTCACATTGGAAACTGTGAACTGACTTACTCTGTGCTGTGGGAACTTAATTCTTATTTATATCAACTAGCCAATGATAAAATTGGTTTCATTAGACAGTATGTCATTTTGCTTAAAGTTGCAGTTTCCAAGAACCAACCAACAACATTAAGTGATGACTTACTGAGTGTTTAACTTGAGAAACTGCTAAACTGTTTTCAAATGAGTTGTGACATCTTAAATTCCCACCAGCACTGTATGAGAATTCCAATTCTTCCACATCCTTGCAATTTTAATAAGTATGAATCAATACCTCATTGTTGTTTTAACCTACATTTCTCGAATGACTATTGATGTTGGATATCTATGTATTAATTTGCCATTCACATATCCTTTTGATGATATCTCTTCCAATCTTTGCCTATTTTTTAAATTGAATTGCTTTCTTCTTTAATTTTGAGAGTTTTTGTTTTTTAAAAAATAGCATCTCAGTATGTTGCCCAGGCTGGCCTCAAATTCATGGGCTCAAGCAATCCTCCTGCCTCAGCCTCCCAAGTAGCCGGGACTACAGGCACATGCTACTGAGCTTGCCCAGTGAGAGTTCTTTGTATGTTCTGATACAAATCCTTTATCAGATATAATCACTGCAAATATTTTCTCCCAGTCTGTGGTTTGTCTTTCTGTACTAGTAAATATGACTTCCAAAGAGCCGAAAGTTTTTTTAAAAAAATTAATTATTTCTTTATTATACTTTAAGTTCTGGGATACATGTGCAGAACAGGCAGGTTTGTTACATAGGTATACATGTGCCATGGTGGTCTGCTGCACCCATCAACTTGTCATCTACATTAGGTATTTCTCCTAATGCTATCCGTTCCCTAGTCCCCCACCCCACAACAGGCCCATGTGTGATGCTCCCATCCCTGTGTCCATGTGTTCTCACTGTTCAACTCCTGCTTATGAGTGAGAACACGTGGTGTTTGGTTTTCTGTTCCTGTGTTAGTTTGCTGAGAATGATGGTTTCCAGCGTCATCCATGTCCCTGCAAAGGACATGAACCCATCCTTTTTTTATGGCTGCATAGTATTCCATGGTATATATGTGCCACATTTTCTTTATTCAGTCTATCATTGATGGGCATTTGGGTTGGTTCCAAGTCTTTGCTATTGTGAACAATGCTGCAATAAACATACATGTGCATGTGTCTTTATAGTAGAATAATTTATAATCCTTTGGGTATATATCCAGTAATGAGATTGCTGAGTCAAATGGTATTTCTGGTTCTAGATCCTTGAGGAACTGCCACACTGTCTTCCATAATGGTTGAACTAATTTACACTCCCGCCAACAGTGTAAAAGCGTTCCTATTTCTCCACATCCTCTCCAGCATCTGTTGTTTCCTGACTTTTTAATAATCGCCATTCTAACTGGTGTGGGATGGTATCTCACTGTGGTTTTGATTTGCATTTCTCTAATGACCAGTGATGATGAGCTTTTTCTCTTATGTTTGTTGGTCACATAAATGTCTTCTTTTGAGAAGTGTCTGTTTATATCCTTTGCCCACTTTTTGATGGGTTTGTTTTCTTGTAAATTTGTTTAAGAGCAGAAGTTTTAAATTTTGATGAAATTAAATTATTTTTATGAATTGTTCTTCTGACGTCACATTAAAGAAATCTTTGCCTAATCCAAAGCCACAAAAGTTTTCTCCTATGTTTTCTTCTTGAAGTTTTACAGTTTATACTTTATAAACATTTAGGTATATTGGCTGGGCGTGGTGGCTCACGCCTGTAATCCCAGCACTTTGGGAGGCTGAGGCAGGCAGATCACAAGGTCAGGAGATCGAGACCATCCTGGCCAACATGGTGAAACCCTGTCTCTACTAAAAATACAAAAATTAGCTGGGCGTGGTGGCCTGCGCCTGTAGTCCCAACTACTCGGGAAGCTGAAGTGGGAGAATCGCTTGAACCCAGGAGGCGGAGGTTGCAGTGAGCCGAGATTGGGCCACTGCACTCCAGCCTGGTGACACAGCAAGATTCTGTCTCAAAAAAAAAAAAAAAAAAAAAAAAAAAGAGACATCTTCACCTAATCCAAAGCCACAAAAGTTTTCTCCTAAGTTTTCTTCTTGAAGTTTTATAGTTTATACTTTATAAACATTTAGGTATATTATCTATTTTAATTTTTGTAGATGGTAAAATAAATAAAGTTTACTTTGGAGACGTCTGGATATCCAAGTGTTCCACTGCCATTACATCTCTTCACTGAACTGACTTTTGAACTTTGCTGAAAATCAGTTGTCCATGTGTACAACTGTATGTATGTATTTCAGGACTGTCTATTCTTTCCCACTGATCTACTTATCTATCTTTCCACCAATACCACACTCTCTTGAAAACTGTAGCTTTGTAGTAAATCTTCAGTTAGTGTTAGTTCTCCAACTTTGTTCTTTTTCAAATTTGTTTTGGCTATTATATTCCAGGTCCTTTGCATTTCCATTTGAATTGTTTAACTTGCTTGTATATTTCTACACAAGAGCCTGCCTGGGATTTTGACTTAGATCAATATGGGAAGAAACGTCATCTTAAAAAATATACAGTCTTCCAACCCATAAAAACAGTATATCTCTCCATTTATTTGGATCTTCTTTAATGTCTCTTAGCAATGTTCTGTAGTTTTCAGTATATAGCTCTTTCACATCTTTTTTTTTTTCAGATACAGTCCTAAGTATTTCCTATTTTTAGTACTATTATACATGGGTTTTATACATTTTCTGACTGAAGTGAATGCTGCAAGTCTGTGGACTACATTTAGGATAACAAGGTCTTCACATAGTTGTCCCAAGTATTTATATTTAAAAACATACTGTGTATTTTAAATACATAAATTACTTTCCTTTTATTTCTCCTTTATATCTGAAAATTTATGCTGACTTTTTTGAAAGTGTATATTAATGGAAGTAGTTAAATAATTTGTAAATTCCATTTTAGAATGACAAAAAAGGATTTTAGAAAATACTTGTCATAAAGAGGGGGTATTAGGGTTTAATAAGATTAAGAACTACTGCCACAGCCATTTTGTCAATAATTTCTATAAAATTGAGTTTTTACATGTATACATATGTAACAAACCTGCACATTGTGCACATGTACCCTAGAACTTAAAGTATAATAAAAAAAAGAAAAAAACTAAAAACAAATAAAGTGTTCTTTAATGCTGATTTAAAAAATTGAGTGTTTAAGCCTCGGTTGGTAAGACATATTCTGATGTTATAAATTAACAAAAAGCTATCAAGTAGGAAATTTATCTCCAACATCAATATATCTAATGGCACTAATAAGAAAAAGTAGCAACAAATAAAACATAAATTAAGAAAATGTATTTATTTCTATGTCCCAAAAGGAAAAGAAATACAAAATTAAAAGTCATCACGCTTGTATTCTGGTCCTGGCTATACCACGTACTTACTGTCTTTGTGAAACAGAAAAATTTATCTAAATTTGTCTCCAGATTTCTACCATTTTAAAATGATAGTTTAGAACCAGATGGTCCACTATCATCATCCACTATAGAAAAATCTATGATTCACACAAGTAAACAAGCAGAGCCACTATTATTCATTAAATTATTACCATGCTCTGTTATATGCCTAAAATGCATAGGCTTCAACAGAAACTCTGCAATATACAGTGTAATGACAAAGGGCTAGTTGTTTAACCCTTTATGCTTTAGTTTCTTCATCTAAAATGAGATCATTATAGTACCTTCATGGAGTTGTGGAATTAAAAGGTTAGTGGTAAGCACTTCGAAAAGCACACCTAAGTACTCAAGAAATGTTAGCAATTTATTTCATTTGCATTATCACATAATTCCCCTTCTCTTGAAATTATGTCACAGATGAAAACTCACAGTATAATATGATTTCCCATTACTTAACTGGAGAGTAAACATTTTGCTCTATTTGATTTTGAATAATGAAAAGATGCAGCTTTGGATTCTAGGATATTACATGAATATGATAGTTTTTACATAAATAAGCAGAGAAATAAGCAAATCCATTAAGCTACTATACAAGATAAGGTTTCTGAATATCTGCCCCTTGAAATAAAGATGATTTCTCTAAAACTAAGTTACCTGGAGCCACATTATACTCTTGAGGTAAAAAAAAAAAACTGTGCTGTCCAAGAATCGCTTCTCTGATACTTGTGCACGAAAACTCACAATATTTGGGGATAACTATGAAAAACGAAATAGGTGATCCTTGATCATCTCATGGAAAACCAAGAGAACATGGGGTATATAAAATTCTGTCACTCTCTAAGTGAGATTCTAGCCATTAGATTAACTGTGTCCCAGATGTGCTTTACGGAAGATTTTCTGAGGGGAGGGAGAAACAAAACACAATTTCTAAACTGTGTCTGATTGCTCCCTTTACCTGCACACAAGATAAACAGTGCGAGCCTACATCAGCAGTTCTCATGTTCTGTGCATAATAATCATCTGAAAAACCTGTTAAAATTCAGACTCCTGACCCCATCCCCTGAGATTCTGATGATCAATACCCATTTTTATCACGTTTCTCTCATTCAGATACCAATGGCTCCTAGCTAAAACTCTGAGAGACACTGCACATAACAAACAATCCTAAAATATATTAACATGTTGTATTTGTGTAATGCCTTTACCTAGAAAAAAGGGTTTTCTGAGGTATCACCTCATATTTCTAACAATCATTTACAGACAAGAACACAAATCTATTAATAATGCCAGTTAGTTTAAAAATAAAAAAAAGGGAAGAGTTTTTACTTTTACTTTCTGAAGTATATTATATGATGAAATACCTCAGACAACAAAGATGAGAGATTCAATATACTCCTTAGGTGACAAATAAAAAACACAGATTTCAAAATTTCAAATTACTGTAGTTAATATAATTTCACACTTCCTACTCCCAGAAGTTTAAGAAAAGAAAGAGAGTCACAGTATAATTTAAACACATGGATGAACTTATCCTTCTGTTCCCACGGCTAAATTATGGTCTGGGCTAGTGCAATACTTAGAATAGAACTTGGCAAAATGCAGGTGAGTAGCAGAATTGACCTGCAGCACACATGGACCAAAATAGTCTTAGATCCTACCCCACAACGACTGAAACGAACTGTAGGGCTTAGGCCCTGGGATTTGATATTTAAACATAGCCTCCTTTAAACATTCAAGTTTAAGAGTCAGTGGCAAAGGGAGAATAAAAAGAATTACTGGTAACAAAATGAAGAGAGCAGAACAGCACCCTTCAATACATTTGGTAAACACTATTCCTCAAACTAACTTTATGTGTTGGACCTATTAGAATGGCTATTTTTTTTAAACTGGCAATTATCAAATGTTGGTGAGGATGTGGAACAGCAGAAACTCTCATTCACTGCTAGTAACAATGCAAAATGATACAGGCACTTTGGCAGACAGTGTTGTGGCTTCTCACCAAATTCAACATACTCTTACCATATGATCCAGCAATGATATTCCTTGGTATTTACTCAAAAGACTTGAAAACTTATGTCCACACAATAACCTGCACATAGATGTTTATAGCAGTTTCATTCATAATTGCTAAAAACATGAAAGCAACCACAAGGTCCTTCAATACTTGAATATATAAACTGTGGCATATCCATGACACTGAATATTAGATAGTGATTCAAAA
The DNA here is from genome assembly GCF_000001405.40 of Homo sapiens. Lineage (NCBI taxonomy): Eukaryota > Metazoa > Chordata > Mammalia > Primates > Hominidae > Homo > Homo sapiens. The sequence goes on from NC_000011.10 coordinate 129,055,607, forward strand.
AGAAGCTATCAAGCCAGAGAAAGACACAGAGGAACCTTAAATGCATATTACTAAGTAAAAGAAGCCAGTCTGAAAAGGCCACATACTATACGATTCCAACAATACGGATATTTTGGAAAAGACATGACAGTGAAAGATCACAGGTTGTGAAGGGTTCAGCAGGAAAGGAAAAATAGGAGAAGCACAGGAGATTTTTAGGGCAATAAAACTATTCAGTATGAAAACTATAATGGTGGATACATGCTATTACACATTTGTCAAAACCCAGAGAATGCACACCAAGAGGGAACTCTAACATAAACAATGGACTTTAGTTAATAATAGTATATCAATATTGATTCATTAATTATAACAAAAAGTAAGCCCCAAAATTGTTTCAACAGTTGCAAGGTATGATTTGAGACTGTATTTTTTTCTGTGTGATTCTGGCCCTGGTGCTCCTTAGACCACTCTTCTAGAAACAGTGCTCAGTCAGTGCTGTAGGTAAACTCAGCTAATCAGCTGATGGTTGGTAAAGATCAGCATTTTGCTGATTCTATTCAATGTACTGTAAAGCAAATGTGAATGACGGGAAGGTATAGGTGAGGGGAGTGGGCAGGGGTATTACATGAAACTCTGAACTATCTGCTCAATTATTCTGTAAATCTGTAACTATACAAAAATCAAGTCTATTGATTATTATTTTTATTTTTGACAAGGTCTGGCTCTTGGCTCACTGCAACCTCCACCTGCCAGGCTCACGTGGTCCTCCTGCCTCAGCCTCCCAAGCAGCTTAGACTATAGACATGTACCACTTCGCCTGGGTCAGTTTTATAATTTTAGTAGAGATGAGGTTTCACCATGTTGGCCAGGCTGGTCTCAAATTCCGGGGTCCAAGCAATCTTCCCACTTTGGCCTCCCAAAGTGCTAGGATTACAGGTATGAGGAACCACATCCAGCTCTATTTTTAAAATATTAAAATCACAATACCACCACTATATAGCATGAGTTCACAGCAATATTAAGGAAGGACCACTGCACAGAGACTTGTGCCTTCTCATGCCCTGACAGCTGGCCAGAAAGGAGATCACACACACATAGTGTGACCTTGACAAAAGAAAACTGGAGTCCAGATCACATGCCATGAACACATCGAGCTGAGCAGAGCTGCAAATGCAGACATATCGGGCCTGGGTGTCAACAACGAGCTTCAGAAAGTGTTGCAGCAGCGCTCAAGAGGGTGACACCTCAGCTCACTCAGCCTCCATCATGGGAAGCAGTAGCCCACATCCTTGCTCCTCTTCCCTTCTCTCCTGAGAGAGGCCTGCACTAAGTCATCTCAATCCCTAGGAAAACCACCGGTGACAGCCAACACCAAGACGAGGCCCTCGTTTCCTTTACACTGCTAGGGAAGACACTGCCACCTCTGTGACGCACAGCCTCCTCCGTGTTCTGCAGCCGGAGCCCAGTTGACAGGGTTCACATGTAACCAGAGCCAGGCGAGCTGGCTGACCGAGGTGCATGCTGTTCCCCGCCTGGCCTGTGCACCTGCTGACAGAAGCATCAGTGGGTCATCGGACATCCTCTCGGCAGAAGACATATGCAACACTGTGCTCCAGTGTAACCTCCTCTAGGAAGCCCTCCTGCACCTTCCAGGGAATCCTGGTGAGCCCTACTCCCTACTCATCAGAGAGACCCCAAGGAGAGTACTGAGGTCTGCTAGTCCTCCATGTCCTGCCTGCCTTGAGCCTGAAACCAGCCTGGCTCAGGTAGGGACCTGTTCCCCACCAAGTCTATGTAAGAGAGTCCCTCAGGTGCCTTCAGGCCAGCCCTAAAGGTGGCTCAACCAGCTTCTCCATTCAGGACTGGTTGACATCTATTATGGGCTAAAAATTGTGCCCCTCTCCCCCAAAATTCATAATGTTGAATTCCTAACCCCCAGAAACTCAGGATGCGACTACAGTCATTTCTCAACATAGCTGGGGGATTGGTTCCAGAACCCCCTCATATAGCCAAATCCACACATACTCAAATCCCACGTCATATTCCAAAAGCCTGCCCTCCATATATGAGGGTTTCACATCCCACAAATACTGTATTTTCAATAGCGTTTGATAAAAAAAAAAAAAAAAAAATCTGTGTATTAGTGGACTCGCAAAGGTCAAACACACGTTGTTCATGGATTAACTGCGTATTTAGAGATGGGAACTTTTAAAGAGGTAATTAGGTTAAATGAGGTGGCCCCTAACCTAATCTGACTGATGTCCTTACAAGAAGAAGGGATTAGGACACAGACAAACACAGAGAGGAAAGGCCATGTAAGGACACGCAAGAAAGTGACCATCTGTGAGCCAAGGAGAGAAGCCTTTTGAAAAAAACTAAACCTTCTGGTACCTTAACTTCTAGCTTCCAGAACTGTAGGAAAATATATTTGCTATTAATTTTTAAGCCACCCAGTTTGTGGTATTTTACTACAGTAGCCCTAGCAAATGAACACAGTACCTAACAGACCAATTAAGGGATGAATAAATCCTAGAAACAGCTCCCACTGGCAGAAGTATCAGTGGGTCATCTGTTATGCCCAATAACAGAAAAAAAAATATACACACACACACACACACACACACACACACACACTCTCTCTCTCTCTCTCTATATATATATATATCTCATATACAATCATATATATGTGATTATTTGCCCCCATCCATATCAGAATATATGAATATATGATATCCCCCATCCATATCAGAATATATGAAGTACCAGGAATTCAGACATAATTTACATTAGAGAAATTTTATAACTCTAGATATTATCCTTCTAACAGGAGTCATGAAAAATCTTCTTATAAAGAACATGTTTCCCTATTAACTTTAGACTGTTGGCTGGCTTTTCAAAATTAAAATTTTAAAATAGCTTTTGATGTATCTACTACACAAAGTGAGGTCCACTAGTAAGCTAAACTCATGGTTTTCACCCCTACTGAGGCCCCTCAGGGCTGCTGCAGAAGGCCTGAAGGAGGCCAGCCAGGTGGGCTGCATGGGGATAAGGCCCAGCGTTTCCCACTTAAACCAATCAGGGCAGCTCCATGGTTACTTTTTCTTGCACTGAGGTTCTGCGCATGATTCTGTTTGATTAGTAATTCCACTGGATTAAAAGAAAAAGTATAAAAACCACCGAACTAAGCTATTATTTCAGTTAAACTTGAAAATCAGGATGTGGAAAGATGTCTGATGTACAGTTACCATGATTGTCTTCCTCTCTCAACAGAGTGTCTCCCAGGAGGAGCACACGCTTACAATTTAAAAATACCTAACAAAGGTAGGGGACATCATGAACAGTCTGAAGAGTTTTTCTCCAGCATACAATTGATTAATCATCACACAAAAACATAACACGCAGTAACAGCAATGTTCCCACCAGTAAACATGTATGCTTTGCAGTCCACAGTTGGCTAATCTTTACACTATATTTCTTGCTGGTTGAGCAGGAAAGATGTTCCTTTCCATATGGTAGAAAACTGACATGAAGAACGTTAATAATCTGAGAGTGAATGTAAAAATCATGCTTAGTGCTCTTCAGGCAATGAGATGGAGCAGACTTAGATCTCAGTCCCTACTCCCTTCACTTAACTGACTTAGCATCCTGACTACTTATTAAACCTCTCAAAAACTGTTTTCTCTCCATAAAAATGGAGGACAGTAACTACCTAGAAGCTTTGTGAAATTAAAGAAAACACTGCATGTAAAGTACTGAGCTATACTTTGCAGGTAACAGATGCTCAACATGTCTCCTCTTTCACACCTTTCCCTGCAATTAACCATGAGTGCTCTTAGAAATGGACTAATGTGTAGAAACAGCAAGGAATGCTGAACTGTGGATTCCTGCCTTAAAATACTGATTTGCAATTTTTTTTTTTTTTTTTTTTTGAGGTGGAGTCTTGCTCTGTCACCCAAGCTGGAGTGCAGTGGCATGATCTCAGCTCACTGTAACCTCTACCTCCCGGGTTCAAGAGATTCTCCTGCCTCAGCCTCCCAAGCAGCTGGGATTACAAACATGCGCCACCAAGCCCAGCTAATTTTTGTATTTTTAGTAGAGATGGGGTTTCATCATGTTGGCCAGGCTTGTCTTGAACTCCTGACCTCATGATCCACCCACCTCGGCCTCCCAAAGTGCTGGGATTACAGGTGTAAGCCACTGCCCCTAGCCTGAATTTCTTTTTAAAAAAAGTTTGACAGTAACATTTAAAGACTTGTTCCTGGTTACACGGGCACCCCCCACATCAATACCTCTTCTCACAGGCACACTCCAACATGATCCATGGAGATACGATTGCCTTTCTAAGACCAATCAAGATGAAAAATAGCATTCCTATAGGAAAGATTTTTCATTATCGGTTACAAATCAATCTTTGAAGTTAGAAATTTCGTTTTTGTTTTCAATAATTTGTTTTGGCAATAAACTGATGTTTAACTAGTTTTAGACTAGTTAATTTATACTCACTTTGAAAAGAATTAGTTTGTTTAGGCAATGAACTAATTGTGTGCGTCTCAACAAAACTTTGGGGTATAAAGCTATACACTTAGCACACAATCAGTACTGAATAAATATCTGTTACATAAACAAAGGGAAGACAATCATAGAATTTAAATGTTGAGAAGGAATAGAGAGATTTTAAGTGAAACCCTCTGATTTTAAGAAGAAACTCAAATCCAAAAAAAGCAAATGACTTCCCTAAGGTGTTACACATAGATAGATAGATAGATAGATAGATAGATAGATAGATAGATAGATAAGATAGACAGACAGACAGACAGACAGAAGAAAGTTAGTAGTAACATCAAGACCACAACATAACTATTATTTTAAAGCCAAATTAATCTTTTGATCATCTTTGAGACCCTTAAGTCTATTGTTCATTTCCACTAACATGAAGAACTGACTCCTTAATAGGAAAAAGATAACTGTAGTCTTCTATTTAGTTTTATATTTAATCAAAAGCACTTATTCATAGCTGGTAAGAAATCAGAGCACAGATGGAGGGGGATCCCAATAGCACAAACAAGAAGAGTTCTGGGGTAATGTGATAGGGTTTTTCTGGTCTTAACAACCAAATTAAATTACTATAGATGCTTTCATAATAGGGAAAGGGATAGATAAAATTAAACTTGTAAAATAAAAACCAGAATTCTTTAAATTTAAAAATCAACACTTATTGATTAAAAAAAAATTATACATCAGACCTGGTCTAATAAGCATGTTCTATTTTTATTCTCACATATTTAATCTTCAAGATAATCATGTGAGGTAAACAATAGTCCCATAATCCCCATTTTACAAATGAGGAAACTGAGACACAGAGAATTAAACAATTTGCCCGAGACAACACAGGATTAAAACCCAGACAATCTGGAGCCAGAGCCCACTCTTATCCACCATCTTATAATGTTTTAAATTGTATTATTATGTTTTAATAAAAAATATATTTTATAAAAAGCTAATAATTCATTTTTATTTAATATGTAGTTAGAACTCAAAGTATTTATACAATGCTTATCAAATTTCTAACAATATAGCAGGAGCATTTTATTTATGTAGTATTTAGTAACACTTGTATAAGTAGACCACAAAAAACCACAGGCTATATGTTAAGGATACAACTTTAAGGCATTTTCAGAGACTCCTCATAAAAAGTAGTTGCTAAGTCAGTCTAATAGATGTTATTATCAGGTCTCAAAACTGTTTAGCCATAAAGTAGTCCCTCCTTATCTGCAAGAAATATGTTCCAAGACCACTCAGGGAATGCCTGAAATCACAGATAGTACCAAACCCTAGGATACTTTTTCCTATACATGCATACGTATGATAAAGTTTAATTTATCAATTAGGCACAGTAAGAGATTCATTACAATAACTAATAATCGACTAAAACAATTAAGTCAAATAAGGATTACTTGAACACAGCACCTTAATACCTCAACAGTCAACCTGATAACTGAGAGGGCTACTGAATGACTAATGGGGCAGGCAGCATCTACAGTGTGGATATGCTGGACAAAGGGATGATTCACGTCCGGGGTGGGACAGAGAGAGATTTTATCACACTACTCAGAACAGCATGCAGTTTAAAATTTATGAATTATTTATTTTTGGAATTATCCATTTAATGTTTTCGAACCTTGGTTAACCTCAGGTAACTGAAACCATGGAAAGGGAAACCGTAGATAAGGGACTACTGAATATAGAAAAAGAAATGAGATTGCTTTAGATTCTGTTGTTCTGTAATTAAAAGTAAGTTTACATAACAGTTACAATGCCTTTTTATAGAGAAATATTAATCAAACTGACTTAATTCCAGAGAGGAAATATATGTGAATCCCGATTAACAACCTGTATTAAAAGCAAGGTCACTCCACAGGCCTTGTAACCTAAAAGTGGCCATGAGGTCTGAGATGCTATTCACATTTTGGCTTCACCACCATTTAAAGATGAAAAAGGAGATAAGAAACAACCAAAATAGTAATTAGAAAAGGAAATCTAAATCTATTATCATTACTATCTGCATTTTCTATCGTTGCAGACAAAATTTCTGATGACAAAGTCCATTACCAGCACATGTAAACAAAAGTATTACTGAATCATAAAAAAACTTTCCTTTGAATTTTCCCACACCTAATTTGCTGCTGCCTACCTGGAATCCGTGCTTGCCTCTCCACCATGTGCTTAACACTTTCGGGGGCATGTCAATAACAGAAACAATGTCTCCCACCTAGGAGAATCAAAATTTTAAGCAAAATGGTTTTAGTTAAATTTTAAACCAATTGTTATACCTAGAATTTAAATCCGAACTGTATGAAAAGGTAAAGTACTATTCATGCTCTGGCCAGTAATTTCCAAAAAAAGTACCATTTCTTTTTAAAAATCATTTAATTATCTTATGATTTGTTAAAGAGAGGTCTACAAAAAGTTAAGCAGCACAAAGACTGTGATTCAACTAACACAGGTGCAGTAACTTCAGAAAGCCAGATTCATAGCATAAGATTTTTAATGCTAGGCATCACACCATTATCATCACTTCTGTTAAAATACTGTTACTGCTGTCACTGAGAGTGATCAGATTCACTTATAAAAGATAATTTTAAATATTCATGTTTAGAAACAGTAACAGATTCCCTTAATATTACATTTAGTGAGTGCTTACCATGTGCCAGGCACTGTACTGAGCTCTTGACATATCTTATTTAATCATACAGAAAAGGGCCTAGGATGGGTTATTCTTAGTAAGTATAAAATTTGATGACAACTACACTTCTTTCAATAGATAGTAAAATATAATTATATCCACTAAAGAGCTAACTTTCTTCACTGTAAAAGAAAAACTACTGAGTTTAAACTCATATAAAATCATAAATATAAAAATTACAATAGTTTTTAATAATATATTCAATGGAAGTTATATTCTTCAATCAAAAGAAATGCTGATATCTATGATAAAACATAGTTAAGAACTTCAGAGCAATGTTACTAACATATACTATAGAGCTTTAGGAATTTTTCTTTTGTATATTCACAACTGATCTTACATATCATGTATAAGCCATTTTGTAAAGCCATATATGCTAACATCATCATTCCAAGACCTACATTTCTTTCTGTACAGAACCTAAAAGTTTGAAAACAGTTCAGATTCTATGCAGTAAAAAGTTATACTGTTATTTCTTAAATTTAGTAACTGTCAGCATTTTTTTTCTCTCATTAGCCAATATATATCTTTAGAGGAAAAAATTTAATTCCCCTCCTTTTATATGTGGTAGCAAGATGTGTTCATTTCACCTTTTATCTGTTCTTTAACTCAATCTTTCAACAATATGTGAAAAAAAATGTATCATTGGGTATTGTTTTTAGGTACAAAAACACAAAAAGACAGACCTTGCTTTCCAGAAGCTCAATGAGACAAAGAGGAGAACAATCATGATTAAATATAATAAGTGATATATCAGCAATAAGCCATGAGCACAGTTCAGAATGACATTCAATTCAGGTTTTGGGGGGTATGTATTTGCATGGAGTGAGGGGAGGGAGATCAAGAATGACTTCCCAGACAAAACAGGAGACACTTAACCTCAGTTTTCAAGGATGAGTACTGTCACTTAAACAAAAATAGAAGATATTACAGGCTGAAATATAAAAGACTATGGAAAAACCTGGTGCTTTTCATTTTTTTAAAAATTAAGGAAATGGTTAAGAACAGTCAAAGATGAGGCCAGAAAGTTAGCAAGAACCAAATAACAAACAACCACTTTAACTATTTACCTCTAAGGTCAGTTCGTCAGGGGCCCGAGCAGTGTACCTCTTGATAACATGGGCAGCACCGACAGCAGGAGTGTTGATGGATGACTCCTCATGAACCAAAAGGTGATTTCCCTTATTATCAATCTATCACAAAGAAAATGTACTATGAGATAAAGACACTGGACTTGCAAATGCTTCTTTGACTATCTATAAAAGAAATTCATTTTAATTTAGAGATACAATAACCCAAAGAGTCTTAAAAAAAAAAACTACCATTTACTGGGTAGTAAAAATATGCTAGTCATTGTGCTGTGCCTATAACATATACAGTTTAATTTAATCCTCATAACTCCAAAAAAAAATACTTATCATCATTTAAAGGTGAGATGCTAAAGATGAAAGAGGCTATGTAATTTACAAGAGATTCAATACTTTTTCCAAGATCTCAACGCAGGTTGGCCCATAGTTCTATATTCTTTCCACTTTCCATCTTGCATTCCCAATTTCCAGTGGGAGGAGAAAACAATATAACTCTACATATGCACATTAAGAATAAATATGTAATCTATTTACTGAATAATGTTTCACTCAATACTTACTCTTAAAAAGGACCCTTTAAAAAGTTGTCCCTTGCTAATAACTGAAAAATATTTTCAATTACTAAGTCAACTAAAAAAATGTACACCTTGCTGAATATATACATTAGTATACTAAACACCAAAATAACAGGTATCATCGAGATTCATAAAATATATTAAGATTAGTTTCCAAGATTATCAAAGAAAGATTTGAGATGAAAAAATATTTCGTGTATCACGTATCTATCCTCCCAGATGCTGAGAATATACTTCATTTCTTTGATTCCTGAAGCTCAATAGACATCAAAATTATGTTAATATCAAATTTCTTAAGTAGATAATTTAAATATACATTTTTCATGAAAAGTGAATTAGGAAATACCTCCATCCAGGTAAGGGCGGGCCCACAGTTGATCTTGTTGCCAGCGATAGCTGAAAGGCGTGACAGGTAAGCCATAAGCATCTGAGTGACCGACTGAAAAGAAAAAGATCAGTGTAACTCTGAGTAAAGATACTATGCTCTCTGGCAGGGAAAACTGGATGGTTTCTGGAAGAAAAAAATCTATAGATCTTTAGGCATTTTAATAGTTACAGAGGACTCTTCACAGAAACTTACCAGTAGCACTATGGGCACTTACATAGCAAGTCAGCCCCTGTCTCATGCAGAGCTTCAATTTCTAGCCCCTTATCATCAGCGATCATACTATTCCATGGTTTCTAATTTTGACACTTTCTATTTTTGTACTGAATATGCAAAAAGATAACTATAGCAGATACATATTTGGCTTTTCTGCCTAAATTTCCCCCTACTACTCAGAAACCCTTTTCCCCAAGACCCACTGTAATCTTCCATGCACATGGCCTGTGGCAGGAGCAGCCATGTTCATACGTGATCCTATACCATGGTTCAGCCGATTGGTCCAGGAATATGCCCCAGTATTAGTTGGACCAATCAAGAGCTAACCCAGGAATTAGGAATTGTGACACAGATTCTAGCTCAGTCTGGCTGCTCTCTTAAAAGGGGATAAAAACCTGGGACCTCTTGGTAGTGGCCATGTTTTAGGATAATCTGAGAGAAAAAAATGAAACAGAAAAAAAATGAAATGAAGCAGAAATGGGAAATGCAGATAAAGGGACTTTCAGGTTTTCTATGGTACAAAGAGATCCGTGTTTTAAGACACTCCTGAGACCCTGCTGCAGTGTCCGTTATATTTTAGCACTTAATGAACCCACTGAATCTCAGAACATCACTTTATTTAGATCTGGTAGGGGGAGTGGCTTACACCAATTTTTAATTATTTCCTTGCATCCACTCTCTCCTCCTGTAACTCCCATCAGTAGAAACCTCTCTGGACCTATTCTCCATGACTCCCAACTGTTCTCTCACAACTTTTTAACTTTCCGTCCCTTCCAGGGGTTGTATTCTTATAAATGACTTGGCTTGATCATTCAACTCCCTGACTTTCTCTTCAGCTGGGTACATTCTGTATGGAGTCCAGTTACTCAGGTTTGCTCTTACTAAATTAATTTAAATGATCCTATATTCGTTTACAACATCTCTGATTTTAGTTTATTTAAATCCATTTCATGAATGTGACAGCTTCACTTTCTCTCAGAGGATAGTAATCATCCTTCGAAAAGCCTTGTTTGTACCTCTCAGTTATTTTATTTATTCAGTTTCTATGTGTAAACTTTCTAGTTTCCTTGTGTTTTGCGGTCTTGTTGCACTTACATGTTTAGGCTATATTTACTTTTCCCCATAAACCTTATCCCATCTACTTTTTAAGATTCCTTACAATTTTTGATTCCCAATGGTACTTTTGGTTTAATGATGCTATAAAGAATCTCTGTTTAGAAATCTTTTACGTTTTTACTATTTATTTTTTTGTAGGGGTGAAGGTAGGTGCATACACACAGCATGCTGTCATAAACTACTCAACACTGTTAATATGGATCCCTTTGATCATGAAAGGCAATGTTTTTCCATATTTTTGCTTCCACTTTTATGTGCTCTCTGGAGAATGTTTTGCTCATATATATTGCTTGTTGATATATTGTTATGAGTTGTTTTCCCTTATAAAATTACACACTGAACCTACTTTCATTCTAAACATTATATTTAACATTACTAACTTTTCAGTTATGAAACAGGCAAGTAGTCCCAGGAATCACCCTGCGTGTTCAGTATAAGCTTTTGTTTAGTATACAGACAAAAACTTCTGCAAACTCATATATAGTGATTACCTCTGTACTAAATGTACTAAATGCTTACCTCTGGACTGTCCTTCAGGGTGTCAGAACGGGGAAGTTCTGAGAGCTGGGAAAATCTTCGGTCATAAATACACAGATGAAGATGTTTATCAAGTACCCGAAAATCTTCATAACTTCTTTTAACAATCCAACTTTTTCCCTATTGGTAGAAAAAAGAAACTCATATAATTCACCTCTATTGGGAAATACTTATGAATCAGGCCATATTCTATAATGTGATTTTATTCATGAGATTTTATATTTTCTAATGAGAAGTTTCTATTAACTTGATAGTTAATAGCTAAAACTGTGAAACACTCTAATAAGTTATATTACATTAAAAGGCCAATAATTGAAAATAAGATAGAACTCTCCACCATCCCTCTTCCTACTGCTGGTCAAAATCCACTGCCTCACTTTCAGAACAATAACTGCTAAATGGTTAAAATAACATGTGATTTTAAATCTACCAAAAAGAAAAAAACCATAGGTAGGAGAATATTAACTGAAATTAAAGAAAAATAAAATCAGGTTTTGATTTGTTACTACCAACATTTTCTGTGACTGAGATCGGAAATATACTAAAAAACCAAAACTACTGAAGTCTTCCTCTATAAATATTTGATATTCATACAGCATCTAGAAACCTCAGCTCTCCCTGCCTCTCAGGCCTTCCTTTCTTTGCCCAATCTCACAAGCTCATTTTTTAAAATTACACTCATAAAGGATATTTATTAGATACTATCTTCTAATCTTCTCTTGAATCTATCACTTCTTGTTCAGTCCTATAGCCCAAGCTTCAGTAAGAACCATCATCATTTCTTACCTGAAATATTGCTAATGTGCCTTGCCTTTGAACTCCTCCCCTGCACCCCCAACTACAAAATACAGAGTTTATCAGCTCACACCGCAACAACAACAAGTCCTTCAAAAGCTCCTGTGGTGAGTAATGATGAGCAAATCCCGACTGTATAGCATATAGTTTTGCAATGTAATTTAATTTTTATGTAGAGCCTTTTGGCTCATAAAAATCTGGAGGGTCTGAAAGAAAAAGCCTTCAGAGACACCAGTTCCTCCATCTGCCCCAGACAACTGGAGCAGAAACAGAGGGTATCACCTCATGAGAGGGTGCTGATTTCTAATCACTAGTGTCTCAAAAATTAACATGATAAACTTGCATAATCCCACTTTGGACTGTAATCCTCCACGACATAGACAAAAAGTCATTACCAGCTCCCTCTTTCAGAGGGTTCTAAGAATGAAATAATAGATGTGGTCAAGACTTCTACACTTGACCTTGGCTGAAAGGCAGAGAAGCAATGTGACTGAGACTTTTGAAGAACAGTGTCCTGGTCCCTATTCTAAGAGATGCTAATTCACTAAGTCTGGAAAGGGATCCAGTTAGTTCTGACGATCAGCCTGAATTGAGGGCCACTGGTCTACAGGATTAAACCCAAACTATCCCCACATTTCACAGCTTTTATCATCTGGGCCCTGTCTAAATTTCCAGACTGATCTTACTGGCTATTACTCCATGCCCTTTCTTGGCTTCCAGTTATATTGAATGATTTGCATGTATTCGATTCATGAGCTGAATGTTCCTTTCCTTGCCTTCATGATTCTGTAAGTGCTGTTTGTTCTTCCTGTCATGTTAGCTCTTTCTTTGATGCTTTGCTCAAGCAAACTCCTTTATTTTCTCAGTTCTATCACTACCTTCTACCCAAAGCATTCCTGGGAACTGCCAAGTTATGATGTACAAGCATCATTTTATTTCAAATTTGCCAAAGTGGTAACACCAATTTATTCACCCAACAGTAGCATATGAGTTCCCACTGCCCCCAAATCCTTGCAATTCTTGGCATCATCAGAATTTACAGCACTGCTAACCAGATAGAGTTGAAATGGTATCTTCTTTTAATTTACATTCCCTTGATTATGAGTGAAGCTTAGCATCTTTTCATTTGTTATTAAGATTTCTTTTTGTATGAATTGCCTATTACTACCAAAATCCTGTTCATTTTCTCTATTACAATGACTTTTATGTATTGACTTCTAGAAGATTTGTTTACTAATATATTGGAAAAATAATCTTCATAATTGACATGTATTGTAAAACACTTTATCCAAGTCTGAGACTGTCCCCTCAATTTGCAGTATCTCATCAAAAAGAAGGAACATAAAACTTTATTTCCTTCTTTATGAATATAATCACAGATTAGGTAGTTTGCTGAAATTTTCACACAGGTATGTGAAAGAACAAGTATGAAAATAAGTATCCAATAAAATAATTTAAATTTTCATCTGAAAGAGAAGGCCTTACAGCCATCACCCATAGTATTTCAAATTTATCCATTATATCTTCTGATTTGGGTGTGGCCTACAGTGTTTTTAGAAACTGCATTTGAAAACATTTAGGTACAGCACAGCAAGCACAAGTTTGCCAATGTCATTACCACACCCAGCCATTTTCCTTAACTAACATTACCTATACAGATGCTGAATATATTTAGATTTACCAACTCCTGAAATAAATACACAGCTAATAGCTTGGCTCTAGGACCACAATGTCCCAATTGTGAATCCTGGTTATTTAAGAATTAAATCAAATAAATCAATGTAAAGTGCTTAGTAGTAGGCAGATAGAAATTGCTCAATACATGCTAGCTATTACTCTCTATTAATTTGGAGAACTTACTCTGGGCTGAACCTACCAAAAGTAGAAAACAAGGTTTCCAAACAAATTCTCAGGATATTTAGCAGAACAAGCAACCAGTCACCAATGTTCAACAACTCAAAAGACAAAAGAACATTCTTAACAATTACTTTTTAGTGCATCAGGGTTTCAGTCAGCTAAAAGTTAATATATCTTTAGAGATCAAAGGTTGCTTTCCATATTGGCTGAATCATCAGCTTCAGCTTTGGAGAATAAAATCTCAAATTCAACATTATTGTTTTGGAATAATTCAGCATGCCCTGGTGATCATTCACTTATGTTTTGTTTTTCTGCTCCTTTTCACGAGAAGATGTATTAGGCTTCAACTCCAAACATGTGTACAATTATTCCATGGTATTAAAGGTGAGGAGAGAAATGATCTGCAATTTGGTAGGCTCACATTTATTACTCCTTTGGAAGAAGTGGTCAAGATCACTGAAATGTAGTCCTGCATTTTTTGGTGCCTGGTGCTTGTAGAAGAGAAATTGGCTTTGCTTCTAATCCTTTTTCAGCCAACACTCTTTAGGAAATAGAGAGTGTTCTGGTGTATTATAAGGTAATCTTTGCTAGTTGGAATATCATTTTCCCTTGTCTTACATAATAGATTTCTAGAGCTACATAAGTGTGAAACAGAGGGAAGAAAGAAGAAAAAGAGAAAGAATGAGAACAGCAGCCAGTAATTGAGAATGCAAGATCTGAATTTATACTACCCTAGGCTATGTGCTAATCACTTGACCATATATAACTATTCCACAGTTTCCTCATCTGTAAAATGGGGAGGCTAATAGTAACTGGGGTTGTCAGAAGAGTAAGTGAAATAATCCACGTAAGGTGCTTAACAGACTCCCTGGAAACCATTCATTAAATATTAGCTATCACTATTGGTATTTTTCTCACTGTTAAAGCTGTCTGGAATAAAAATAACTTTTGCATGCTATATTGCTCATGCATCTATCATGCATGGAGTATAGCAGGCAAATATTAGTTTGGTTAAATTGTTAACATGCCCAGCCAGACACTAGAACAATGCCTCCACTAATAAAGACTGATTTTGAAAAAGGTGTTTAAACTTCCAAACTGACAGATTTGGGAGTTCTAAGATGACAGTACAATAATTGATAACAAGATTATAAATAACACATTTGTATTTAAGTTTATGTTGCAATGTCTTATACTTTCTTAGCATTAATTCCTAAAAATGTGACATTAGCAGAAACTGGGTTAAGGGTAAATAGGATATTTCTGTTCTATTTTTATAGCTTTTCTGTGAGTCTAAAATCGTTGTGAAATGAAAAGTTAAAATAAATACATACAAAATTCCTAAAAATTGACACGTTGTACCAATTTTTACTGCTTGGGTCTATTTCAAATGCATCCTCACAAATACTAAAAATAATGACTTAAAAATTTTCCAGTAGGTGAAAAACTGTATCTTCTTTCATTTGCCTTTTATTGACTTAATGAAGCTAAACACAATTTCATATTTCTCAGTCACTTTTATTTCTTCTTTTATAAAAAATTCATATTTTTGCCAACCTTTCTACTGAGTATATTGTATATTACTATAACATATCATCAAACTACAGTATAATTGTATGTTTAATCAAATTATTTGATGGAACTATTAGCCTTTTGAGAGCTGTAACCTACTTAGGCCTTTGAGAGCTGTAACACTCAGTGAGTTACAATCAAGAAAATTCCTTGAATGTATACTGATGTTATTTATTAAATGGTTTATTACACAATATTGAACTTTCTGCTTAAAAGATCTCAAAGAGAAATTAGTTAGTCTTGAATGGGATTATATCAAACTAAAAAGCTTCTGCACAGCAAAGAAAATGATTATCAGGGCAAAGAAAACCTCCACAGATTGGGAAAAAATACATCTTATAAGGGGTTAATATCTGAAATATATTTTAAAAATTCAAAGAACTCTACAGAAAAAAAAAATAACCCAATTAACCAATGGGCAAAAGCACTGAACAGACATTTCTCAAAAGATAACATACAAATGGTCAACAGATATTATGAAAAAATGCTCAATATCACTAGTCATTAGGCAAGTGCAAATTAATACCACAATGAGATATCATCTTGCATCCGTCAAAATGGCTATTATCAAAAAGGCAAAAGATGGTGTCGGCAAAGCTGTAGAGAAAAGGAAACAAGGGACTCCCCATACACTTTTATTGGAAATATAAATTGGTACAGCCATTTTGGAAAACTATATGGAGGTTCCTCAAAAAACTAAAAATAGAATTACCATATGACTCAATAATCCCACATCTAGATATATATCCTAAGAACTTGAAATCAGTATATCAAGAAGATATCTGCTCTCCTTGGTTCACTATAGCCTTATTTACAATAGCCAAGTTATGGAATCAACTTAAGTGTCCATCACTGGATCAGTAGATAAAAACAAATGTGGTATACGTACACAATGGAATACTATTCAGCCTTAAAGGAAATCCTGTCATTTGCAACAACACTGATAAATCTGGAGGACATTATGCGCAATAAAATAAGCCTGGCAAAAAAAGACAAACATCACATGGTCTCACATGTAGAATCTGAATCAACTGAATTCATAGAAGCAGAGTTGAATGGTGATTAACATGAGCTGAGGATAGGGAAAGTGAAGAGATGTTGGTCAATGGGTACAAAGTTGTAGTTAGGAGGAATAAGTAATAAGTAGTTAAGGTAGAAAAAATAAATAACTTCAGAATATGAATCACTAAAAAAAGAAATGTGTTGGTCTCATTTGCTTCAGGCATTCTTCCCACAGAGGTATTTAAAATATATTTTTAAAAGAGGTATTAAAATATTTTTTGTTATACGCTTTTTATTTGTTCTGCCAGCTCAACTTCTAGTTCATTTGGTTTTGTGTTACCAAGTACCACATGGAAATGACAGGCCATACAAAAATACATTCATGATACAGTTCCATTTCAGAAGTGATCAATGTCCGTCTAGTTACAAAGTAATCACTGGACTTCTGGTTACTGGTCTGCTATGTAAGGAGCTCAGAAGTCACTGGTTAACAAGTAAAAAGCTGAACAAAGTGAAAATCAACAGATCTTTCTTAGATCTGTTACAGAAGTGGGGTCACGGAACAAATCACTATCCCCCTCCCAAATTAGAGGCAGACAGGTAAATACAGAGAATTGCACTTACCCACAGCAGAAATCCACACGCAGAAACCTCTGTGGGAACCAGTGCTAGGGTAGGAAAACTTAATCTATAATTGATAAATTGCTAGAGGCTCAGGGATGACAAGTCTGAGCAATAAAAACTCCCAGAGAACCCCGTCACGGGAGCCACACACTTTTGTGAGCTCTACTAGGTCCTCACAGTAAATATCTGAAAAAAATCTCCTTGTGCTCTTAAGAGGGACAGGAGAAAATAAACTTCTGAAACACACCCAAACACTATGTTTTCAACAAAGTCTGCCCTCAGGAAAAACTCTTACCACAGCCTCATTTTCTGGAGTAAGAAGAAAATACAGCTCCAGCTTCTTCAAGCTTTCCACTGGGGAGAAGAGGAATACCAAACTCCAGCCCACTCCAGTCATCGTGTCCTACCTAAAGGTGCAGGATGGAGGGCTGTGAACTGAGATTCACGTGTGAAGTTCACAGTTCAGAGGCACAGGCTCACAAAAAGACTGAGACCTAATCACAGGATTATGGAATGCTTCCCCCTACACACACACCTTACCATCACATTACTAACGGGCTATTTAACATACTTCTTTGACCCACCTTATGTCCACCTTCAACAAAAAATCACAACGTGAACTAAAAGGAAAAAAACACCGTTTAAAAAGACTGAAGACACATCAGAAAAAGAGTCAAAGATGGCAGGAATGTTGGAATTATCAGACCAATAATTTAAAAGAACATGATTAATCTGCTAAAAGCTTTAAGGAAAAAGTAGACAATATGCAAGAACAGATGTAAGCAGAGAATTGGAAATTATAACAAAGAATAAAAAAATGCTAGAGATCAAAAGCAGAAATGATGAATGTCTTTGATGGATTCATTAGTTGACTGGACACAGCTGAGGAAAGAATTGGAGCTTGAGGGTATCACAATAGAAACAACCAAAACTGAAATGCAAAGAGAGAAAAGACTAAAGAAAAGGAACAGAACATCTAGAAATTGTGGGAAAACTATAAAAGGTATGATACATACATACTGAAAATACCAGAAGGAGAAGAAATGGAGAAAGGAGCAAAACCAATATTTCTAGCAATAATGACCGAGACACCAAATCACCAGTCCTGGAAGCTCAGAGAACATAAAGCAGGATAAATTGCATCACCCTCCTCAAAAAAAAAACAAACAAAAAACAACAACAACAAAAAAAAACCTTCAGCAAATCCAAGATAAAGAAAATATCTTGAAAGAAGCTGGGAGTTTGCGGGGGAAACACCTTACCTATAGAGGGTCAAAATCGGAATTATATAACATATTCTCAGAAACCACAGAAGCAAGAAGAGAGTAGAGTAAATGTTTTAAGTATTAACAAAATAACCCCTACCCAGCAACCTAGAATTCCATACTCTGCAAAATTATCCCTCAAAAATGAAAGAGAAATAAAGCTTGTCAAACAAAAATTGAGAAAATTTGTGGCCAGCAGACCTGCTCTGTAAGAAATGTAAAAGAAGTTCTTTAAAGAAAAAGAAAATGACACAGATCAGAAACCTGTAGCTACATAAAGAATGGAAAAGTAATGGAGAAGAATAAGTGAATGTAAAATACAACTTTGGTTCCTTATTCTTAATTGATACAACAGATAACAGTTTGTTCAAATAATAGCAACAACAATGTACTTGACTATGTGTGTTTTACATATATATGTGTATGGAGGTATGTGTATATGTATATACTTATGTATGATTTCTATATGTAAAATGAATGATAGTAATAATACAAAGGATAGAGAGGAATTACAAATAATTTTTATTACAAGGCACCTGCACAATCCATGACGCAGTATAATTATTTGAAAGTGAACTAGGATTAGTTGTAATGTATATCACAACCTGTAGTGCAACCACTAAAAAAAAAAATTTTTCTTCTTTTTTTGAGATGGAGTCTCGCTCTGTTACCCAGGCTGGCGTGCAGTGGTCTGATCTCGGCTCACTGCAACCTCCGCCTCCCAGGTTCAAGCGATTCTCCTGCCTCAGCTTCCCTAGTAGCTGGGACTACAAGCACCTGCCACCATGCCTGGCTAATTTTTTGTATTTTTAGTAGAGACAGGTTTCACCATGTTAGCCAGGATGGTCTCGATCTCCTGACCACATGATCCGCTCGCCTTGGCCTCCCAAAGTGCTGGGATTACAGGCATGAGCCACCACACCCGGCCTAAAAAAATTTTTTTTAATGTAATTGATATTCTAAGAAAGGAGACAAAATGGAAACATATAAAATGCTCAATTAAAAACAAAAAAAGAGAATTGATCATAAGTGTTCTCACCACACATGCAAAAAAAGGTAACTGTGAGGTGATGGATATGTAACTCAGCTGCAGTCATCATCGCACAACGCATACACATATCAAAATATCACATTCTACACCTTAAATATATGTAATTTTTATTTGACAATTATATATATCACAATAAAGTTGGAAAAAAACACACAAAAAGGAGACAAAGTATGGAAAACAAAAATAGGAACGAAGAACAAGGGCAATAAACAGCAACAATGACAGGCAGATATTAATCCAACTACATCAATAATCACTTTAAACATCAGTGGTCTAACATACCAATTAAAAGACAAACTGTCAGAGTGGATCAAATACAGGACCCAACTGTCTAAAAGAAATCAACTTTAAATATAAGATAGATTAAAATAAAATGATAAAGAGATGCCATACTAATTTTTTAATTAAAAAAGCAAAAATAGCTATATTTACTTCAGTCAGAGCAGACTTCAGAGCAAAGAAAGTTATGAGGGATAAATGGGGCACTCAGTAATGTCAAATGGATCAATACTCCAAGAAGACATAAAACAATCTTTAATATTTATGTGCTTAAAAACAGACTATGAAAGTACTGTGAGGCAAATACTGATTAAATTACAAGGAGAAATAATTACAGTTGTAATTATTTAACACCCTCTATAAGAAATTATTTAACACCCCCCTATTAGAAATGAATAGATCCAGTAGGCAGAAAATCAATAAGAAAATAGTTGACTTAACAGTACCATCAATCAACTGGATATAATTGATATTGATAGAATACCTTAACAACAACGGATTACACATGCTTCTGAGGCTCATATGGAACAGTCACTGTATCTTGGGGACCACATTCTGGGGCATAAAACATACCATAACAAGTTTTTAAAAAACAGAATTCATAATATGTCTGCTCACAGAGTGTCAGAGGTGTTTGAACCAGAAGGACTCCATCTTGAAGAGGTGCTGAGTGAAATGAGGCTGAGACCTACTGGGCTGCATTCCGAGGAGGTTAGGCATTCTAAGTCACAGGATGAGACAGGTCGGTACAAAATACAGATCACAAAGACCTTGCTGATAAAATAGCAGGCGGTAAAGAAGCCGGCCAAAACCCGCCAAAACCAAGATGGTGATGAAAGTGACCTTTAGTCATCCTCACTGCTCATTATACACTAATTATAATGTACTAGCACGCTAAAAGACACTCCCACCAGCACCACAACAGTTTACAAATGAGATAACAACGTCAAGAAGTTACCCTATATGATCTAACAATGAGACAAACCCTCAGTTCTGGGAACTACCCACCCTTTTTCCCTAGAAAACCCATGAATAATCCAACCCTTACTTAGCATACAATCAAGAAATAACATAAAAATAGCCAACGAGCGGCCCATGCTGTTGCTCTGCCTATGGAGTAGCCATTCTTTATTCCTTTATTTTTCTAATAAACTTGCTTTCACGTTATGGGCTCTCCCCAAATTCTTTCTTGTGCAATATCCAAGAACCCTCTCTTGGGGTCTGGATCAGGACCTCTTTTCAGTAATGAGACCACAAGGAATTAAACTATTAGTCAATAATAGAAAAAATTTCCACAAGGAATTAAACTATTAGTCAATAATAGAAAAAATAGTTGAAAAATACCAAAAAATTTGGAGATTAAATGACACACTTCTAAATAAAACATGGGTAAAAGAAGAAATCTCAAGAGAAATTACTAAATATTTTGAACCAAATAAAAACAAAAATACAACTTACCCAAATTTGTGGGAGGCAGTGAAAGCAGTGCTTAGAGAAAAATCCATAGCATTGAACGCATGCATCAGAAAAGAAGAGAGGAGAAAAATGGTGGCTAGGAGGCAAGACTAACTTGCAGATCCCACTCGGACAGACAGAACAGCATGTGGAGGCTCACATCATGAACTCTTCCTCCCAAAACCATCCCAGGAACATACCAGGAAAACCAAAAGAAGTCACAAACCGTTGGAAAAAAGCAGTTGGCTGCTGCAAACTCCATGAGACAGCTGAAAAACTGTGAGTGCCCCAAGTGTGAAAGGGGGAAAGTCTGCCTCTGAACACTCATCCTCACTGGGGAACCCGAAAATCCAGATCATGGAAGAAAGATTTAACCTTACCTAGAGCAGAAATGAATTTAGAGAGCTGAGTGAAATATAAAAGTAGAAGCAGCAGCTGGAAGAGCCCTGTAGACACTTTCCTGGGCACTTCCTGGTCCCTAGAGAGGCCCAGGGAAGCCATTTCTGACTTTATCTCACAGGGGTTCTTTGGGAGGGATGCCAGTGGAACTGGGGATAGACCACAGGAAAAAGGAAAGTTCCAGCTCAATTCTGTAATAACTTTGATGAAGCGCAAATTTTCCTACGCAGAATCCAGGTTGGGTTGGGAGGTAAACAGGAAGCACAGATAGGAGTACAGAAGACAAGGTAGATGGGGAGGGGTGAAGCCTGAAAGCCCTGCGTGTTTTCTCAGCAGGGAGGCTTGTAGCCTGGGGCAAGATTTCAGTCCTGCTCACCAGCTGACAGGATATAAACTTGGTGCTGTTGATGGGGGACAGTGGGAATGAGACTGGCCTTCCTGGCTGCATGGGAGCTGGATGAAACCCGTCACTGCCAACTTTCCCCAACTTCCCTAGCGACCTGTATGATGCAGCAGAAGCAGTCATAATCCCCCTTAGATCATAACTCCAATGGCCTGAGAATCACACCCCATCCCCCACAGCACCTGCAGCAACCCTCACCCAAGCTCAGATCCGCCTAACGCTACCCCCACCTGATGGTCTTTCTCTACCTGCCCTGGTAGCTGAAGACAAAAGACATAATCCCTTGGGAACTCCATGGCCTCACCCTTCACCTGAGAAACCAAACTACTTATCCAGGAGACCTTAGCCAAGCTTGTATCCCCTCTATACTACCACAGCTGATGCTCTTCAAAGCGCCACCGCCTGGCTGGAAGCAAACCAACTCACGCCATTACAGCAACTCATTAAAAAACTGCTCTAAGAAAGGAGAAAATGACAGCTAATTCCACAACCTGTAACATCCTGGCTAACCACAGGACCTGAGTCTGTCCACCTGACAACTTCACTGCTAGCATAACAAGCATTCAAAAAACCCAGTATGCTAAACAGAACAACCAAGGACCCTCACAGAGCCCACTTCATTCCTCTGCTACCTCCACTGGGGCAGGTGCTGGCATCCATGGCTGAGAGACCTGAAGATGGATCACATCAGACACTCCCCAGCACCAGCCCGGAGCCTGGTAACTCCACTGGGTGGCTAGATCCAGGAGAGCAATAACAATCACTGCAGTCCAGCTCTCAGGAAGCCCCATCCCTAGGGGAAGGGGGTGAGCACCACATCAAGAGAGCACTCTGTGGGACAAAAGAATCTGAACAGCAGACCTTGAAGCCAAGATCTTTCCTCTGACATAGTCCACCCAAATGAGAAGGAACCAGAAAAAACAACTCTGGTAAGATGACGAAACAAGGTTAACACCCCCAAAAGATCACGTCAGCTCACCAGCAATGGATCCGAACAAAAACGAACTCTTTGAATTGCAAGAAAAATAATTCAGAAGGCTAATTATTTATTAATTTTTTTGAGACAGAGTCTCACTCTGTCACCCAGGTTGTAGTGCAGTGGCACGTTCTCAGCTCACTGCAACCTCCGCCTCCTGGGTCCAAGTGATTCTCTCACCTCAGCCTCCCGAGTAGCTGGGATTACAGGCATACACCACCACGCGTGGCTAACTTTTGTATTTTTAGTAGAGACAGGGTTTCACCATGTTGGCCAGGCTGGTCTCAAACTCCTAACCTCAGGTGATCTGCCCACCTCAGCCTCCCAAACTGCTGGGTTTAAAGGCGTGAGCCACCGTACCCGGCCAGAAGGTTGATTACTAAGCTTCTTAAGGAGGCACCAGAGAAAGGTGAAACCAACTTAAAGAAATTTTAGAAATAATATAAGATATGGACAAAAAAATCTCCAGAGAAATAACATAAATAAAAAAAAAAATCACAACTCCTGGAAGTGAAAGACACACTTAGAGAAATGCAAAATAGACTGGAAATTTTCAACAATAGATTCAAACAAGTAAAAGAAGGAACTTCAGAACCCAAAGACAAGGCTTTCAATTAACCCAATCCAACAAAGACAAAGGAAAAAAAATTAAAAAATGAACAAAGCCTTCAAGAAGTTTGGGATAATGTTAGATGACTAAACGTAACAATAATTAGTATTCCCAAGAAATGAGAGAAATCTAAAGGTTTGGAAAACATATTTGAGGGAACAGTCAAGGAAAACTTCCCTGGCCTTGCTTGAGAGCCAGACATCCAAACATAAGCTCAAAGAACAACCAGGAAATTCATCGCAAAATGATCATCACCTAGGCCCATAGTCATCAGGGTTTCTAAAGAAAAGAACCATAAGAGCTGTGAGGCAAAAGCATCAGGTAACCTATAAAGGAAAATCTATGAGATTAACAGCAGATTTCTCAGCAGAAACCTTACAAACTAGAAGGGACTGGAAGCCTCTCTTTAGCCTCCTGAAACAAAACAATTATCAGCCAAGAATTTTGCATCCAGAAAAACTAAGCTTCGTAAATGAAAGAAAAAAAAGTTTTTTTCAGACAAACAAATGTTGAGAGAATTCACCACTACCAAGCTAGCACTACAAGAAATGCTTAAAGGAGTTCTAAATCTTGAAACAAAACTTCAAAATACACCAAAATAGAACCTCCTTAAAGCATAAATCTCACAGGGCCTATAAAACAGTAACAATGAAAAACTAACAAATAAGGTATTCTGGCAACAACTAGCATGAAGAATAGAATAGTACATCACATCTCAATACTAATGTTGACTGTAAATGGCCTAAATGCTCCACCTAAAAGATACAGAACACCAGAATGGGTAAGAATTCACCAACCAAGTATCTGCTGTCTTCAAGAGACTCACCTAAGTACAAGGACTCACATAAACTTAAGGTAAAGGGGTAGAAAAAGATATTCCATGCAAAGGGACACCAAAAGTGAGCAGGAGTAGCTATTCTTACATGAGACAAAACAAACTTTAATGTAAGAACAGTTTAAAAAGACAAAGAGCGACATTATATAATGATAAAAGGACTAATCCAACAGGAAAATATCACAATCCTAAATATATATGCACCTAACACTGGAGCTCTCAAATTTGTAAAATAATAACTACTAGACCTAAAAAATGACAGATGGCAACACAGTAATAGTGGGGGACTTCAATACTCTCCTGACAGCACTAAATAGGTCATCAAGACAGAAAGTCAACAAAGCTATAATGGACTTAAACTATACCCTAGAACAAATGGACTTAACAGATATTTACAGAACATTCTACCCAACAACTGCAGAATATACATTCTTTTCATCAGTATATGGATCATTCTCCAAGACAGACCATATGATAGGCCACAAAACAAATCTCAACAAATTAAAGAAAATCGAAATTATAACATGTACTCTCTCAGACCACAGTGGAATAAAATTGGAAATCAACTCCAAAAGGAGCCCTCAAAACTATGCAAATACATGGAAATTAAATAATCTGTTCCTGAATGATTGTTGGGTCAACAATGAAATTAAGATGGAAATTTAAAAATTCTTTGAACTGAACGATAACAGAGACACAACCTATCAAAACCTTTTGGATACAGCACTAGTGGTGCTAAGAGGAAAGCTCATGGCATTAAATGCCTACATCAAAAAAGTCTGAAAGAGCACAAATAGATAACTAAGGTCACACTTCAAGGAACTACAGAAACGAGAACAAACCAAACCCAAACCCAGCAGAAGAAAAGAAATAACCAAGATCAGAGCAGAACTAAATGAAATTGAAACAAGAAAAAAAAATACAAAAGAAAAATAAAAGAAAAAGCTGGTTCTTTGAAAAGATAAATAAAATCACTAGACCATTGGCAATATCAACCAAGAAAAGAAACGAGAAGATCCAACTAAGCTGAATTAGAAATAAATGGGAGCTATTACAACTAAAACCACATAAATAAAAAGATCATTCAAAGATATTATGAACTACTTTAAATGTGCATAAACTAGAAAACCTAGAGGAGATGGATACATTCCTGGAAATATATTATACAACCCTCCTAGAGTAAACCAGGAATAAATAGAAACTCTGAACATACCAATAACAAGCAGCAATACTCAAATGGTAATTTTAAAAACTGCCAACAAAAAAAAGTCCAGGACCAGATGGATTCACAGCTGAATTCTATTAGACATTCAAAGAAGAACTGGTACCAATCCTAATTCACACTATTCCAAAAGATAGAGAAAGAGGGAATCTTCCCTAAATCATTCTATGAGGCCAGTATCACTCTAATACCAAAACTAAGAAAAGATATAACAAAAAAAAGAAAACTACAGACCAATATCCCTGAAGAACAGATGTAAAAATCCTCAACAAAATACTAGCTAACTGAATCCAAGAGAATATCAAAAAGATATTACACCATGATCAAGTGGGTTTCATACCAGGAATGCAGGGGTGGTTTAACATAACCAAGTCAATAAATGTAATACACAACATAAACATAAAAACAAAAGTCACACAATCATCTCAATAGACACAGCAAAAACATTTGACAAAATCCAGCATTGCTTTATGATTAAAACCCTCAGCAAAATCAGTATGGAAGGGACATACCTTATAAAACTCATCTATGACAAACCCGCAGCAAACATTATACTGAACAGGTAAAAGTTGAAAGTATTCCCCCGAGAACTGGAACAAGACAAGGATGCCTCCTTTCACCATTTCTATTCAACATAGTACTGGAAGTCCTAGCTAGAACTATCAGACAAGAGAGTGAAATAAAGGGCATTCAGACTGGTAAAGAGGAAGTCAAACTGTCGCTGTTCACCAATGATATGATTGTATACCTAGAAAACCCTAAAGACTCATCCAGAAAGCTCTTAGATGTGATAAGTGAATTTAGTAAAGTTTCAGGATACAAAGTCAATGTACACAAATCAACAGCACTGCTATACACCAACAGCAACCAAGCTGAGAATACAATCAAGAATTTAATCCCTTTTACAATAGTTGCAAATAAATAAATAAATAAAATACTAAGGAATATACCTAACCAAGGAGGTGAAAAATCTCTACAAGAAAAACTATAAAACACTGCCGAAAGAAATCATTGATGACATAAACTAATGGAAACACATCCCATGCTCATGGGTAGAATCAATATGGTGAAAATGACCATACTGCCAAAAGCAATCTAGAGATTCAATGCAATTCCCATCAAAATACCATGATCATTTCTCACAGAACTAGAAAAAACAATCCTAAAATTCATATGGAACCAAAAAAGAGCCCACATAACCAAAGCAAGACTAAGCAAAAAGAACAAATCTGGAGGTACCACATTACCCAAATTCAAACTACACTATAAGGCCACAGTCACCAAAACATCATGGTACTGGTATAAAAATAGGCACACAGACCAACGGAACAACAGAGAACCCAGAAATAAAGCCAAATACAGCTAACTGATCTTTGACAAAGCAAATAAAAACATACAGTGGGGAAAGGACACCCTATTCAACAAATGGTGGTGGGATAATTGGCAAGTCACATGTAGAAGAATGAAACTGGATCCTCATCTCTCACCTTATACAAACATCAACTCAAGATGAATCAAAGACTGAAATCTAAGACCTGACACCACAAAAATTATGGATGATAACATTGGAAAAATTCTTCCAGACACTGGCTTAGGCAAAGACTTCATAACCGAGAAGCCAAAAGCAAATGAAACAAAAACAAAGATAAACAGATGAGACTTAAACTAAAAATCTTCTGCAGAGTATACAAACAACCCACAGAGTGAGACAAAATCTCCACAAACTATGCATCAGACAAAGGACTGATATCCAGAATCTACAAGGAACCCAAATAAATCAGCAAGACAAAACAACAACAACAACAACAACAACAACAACAAATAATTCCACCACAAAGTGTGCTAGGGGTATAAACAGTTATCAAAAGAAGATATACAAATGGCCAACAAACATATGAAAAAATGCTCAACATCACTAATTATCAGGGAAATGCACATCAAAACCACAGTGTGATACCTCCTTACTTCTGCAAGAATGGCCATAATTTAAAAATAAAAAAATAACATGTTGGCATTGATGTGGTAAAAAGGGAAAACTGGTGAGAATGTAAACTAGTACAACCACTATGGAAAACAGTGTGGACATTCCTTGAAGAATTAAAAGTAGATCTACCTTTTGATCCAACAATCCCACTACTGGGTATCTACTCAGAAGAAAGTAAGTCATTATAGGACACTTGCCCACACATGTTTATAGCAGCACAATTTGCAACTGCAAAAAATGGAAGCAGCCCAAATGCCCATTTATCAATGAGTAGATAAAGAAAATGTGGTATACCATGCAATACTACTCAGCCATAAAATGGAACAAAATAATGGCATTCACAGCAACCTGGATGGAGTTGAAGACCATTATTCTAAGTGAAATAACTCAGGAATGGAAAACCCAACATTGTATGTTCGTACAATGTGGGAGCTAAGCTATGAGGACACAAAGGCATAAGAATGATACAATGGACTTTGGGGACTTGGCAGGGGGATGATGGGAAGAAGGGATAAAAGACAACACATTGTGCACAGTGTACACTGCTCAGGTGATGGGTACACCAAAATTTCAGAAATCACCACTAAAGAACTTATCCATATAATCAAACACCACCGCTTCCCCAAAAAGCTATTGAAATAGAAAAGAAGAAACATCTAATAACAATAATCTAAGTTTTACCTTAGGTAACTAGAAAAAGAAGAGCAAATTAAATCCAAAGTAAAGAAAAGAAAATAAATACTAAAAATTAGAGCAGAAATCAACAAAACTGAAAACAGAAATTACCAAAACCAAAAGTGAATTGCTTGAAAATGTCAATAAAATTGAGAAGCTTCTAGCCAAACTAACTTAAAAAGACAGAGAGAAATACACAAATTACTAACATTACATATGAATAAGGACCGTCACTACAGATCACATGGACATTAAAAGGACAATAAAAAATATTAGGAACAACTCTATGCCTGTGAATTTGTAACACAGATGAAACTGGCCAATTTTTAAAAAGATACATCCACCAAAACTCACACAAGAAGAAAAAGATATAGGCCTTAAAGAAATCTAATTAACAGTTAATAGCTTTGCAAAACAGAAACCAGTAAGCCCAGATGTATTCACTGGTAAATTTTACCAAACATTTAAGAAAGAAATTATAGCAAGTCTCTATATCTCTTCCAGAAGACAGATGCAGAGAGAAGTGTCTAACTTCTTCTGGGAGGCCAACATTTTCCTAAGACCAAAACCAGACAAAGACATTCTAAGAAAAAAGAAAAAAAAAAAAAAACTACAGACAAATATCTCTCATGAACATACATGCAAAAATCATCAATGAAGTACTAGCAACTATAATCCAACAATATATAAAAACAATTACATGCCACTACCAAGTGAGATTTATCCCAGGAATGCAAGGCTGGTTCAACATTTGAAAATCAACTAATGTAATCCATCACATAAACAGGCTAAAGAAGAATAAAAATCACATGATTTCACCAATAAACACAGAAAAAGCATTTAAGAAAATCCATCACCCATTCATAAAAAACTCTCAGCAAACCAGAAATAAAGGGAACTTCCATAACTTGAGAAAGAGCATCTACAAAAAACGTACAGCTAACATCATACTTAATGGTGACAAACTTGAAACTCTCCCGCTTGGATCAAAAACAAAGCAATGATGTTCTGTAATCAATTCTTTTCAAGATAGTATCAGAATTCCTAGCTAATACAATAAGAAAAGGAAACCCAAGGTATACAGATTGGAAAGGAATAAAACTTTGTTTGCAGAAGACAGGATTATCTATACAGAAAATCAAAAGAACTGACAAAAAACTCCTGGCACTAATAAATGATTTATAGCAAGGCTGCAGAATATAAGGTTAATATACAAAACCTAATCAGTTTCCTACATACCAGCAATGAGCAAGAGAAATTTTGTTTGGTTTTATTATTTTTTTTTTTTAGAGACAAAGTCTCACTCTGTCATCCAGGCTGGAGTGCAGTGGTACAATCATGCCTCATTACAGCCTCAATGTACTAGGCTTAAGCGATCCTCTTGCCTCAGCCTCCTAAGTAGCTGAGACCACAGGCACACACCACCACACATGGCTAATTTTTAATTTTTTTATAGAGATGAGATCTCACTATGTTGCCCTGATCTCAATCTCCTAGCCTCAGTCGCCAAGCATTCCTCCTACTAATCCTTCCAAAGTGCTGGGATTACAGGCATGAGCCAGCACACAACAAGGGGAATTTGAAATTAAAAATATATTAATGTTTATAGTAGCACCCAAAAAACAAACTACACAGACAGCTATATATCTAACAAAATACACCTAACAGCTATATAAGGAAAACTACAAAACTCTGGTGAAAGATGTCAAAGACCTAAATAAATGGAGAAATGTTGCATGTTCATGAATAAGAAGGCAATATTGTCAAGATGCCAGTTCTTCCAAACCTGATTTACAGATTCAATACAATTCCAGTCAAAATCCCAGCAAGTTATTTTGTTGATACTGATTCTAAAGTATTATGGAGAAGCAAAAGACCCAGAAAAACCAAGACAACACTGAAAGAAAAGAAAAACAAAGTTGGAAGGCTGACACTACCAGACCTCAAGACTTATAATAAAACCATACTAGGCTGGGTGCGGTGGCTCATACCTGTAATCCCAGCACTTTGGGAGGCTGAGACGGGCAGCAGGAGCTTGACACCATCCTGGCTAACATGGTGAAACCCTGTCGCTACTAAAAATACAAAAAAATTAGCCAGGCGTGGTGGCGGGCGCCTGTAGTCCCAGCTACTCGGGAGGCTGAGGCAGCAGAAAGGCGTGAACCCGGGAGGCAGAGCTTGCAGTGAGCTGAGATCATGACACTGCACTCCAGCCTGGGCAACAGAGCAAGACTCCATCTCAAAAAAACAAACAAACAAACAAACAAAAAAAAAAAACAAAAAAAAGAAGCCATACTAATCAAGACAGCATGGTGTTGCCAAAAGAACAGACAAATTGATCAATGGAGCAGAATAGAGAGCCCAGAAACAGACCCATATAAAAGTCAACTGACATTTGACTAGGGAACAAAGGCAATACAATGGACACATGATACAGACTTGTTAAAGGGTGTTGGAACAACTGGACATCCACATGCAACAAGAAAACGATTCTAGACACAGACCTTACACCTTTTACAAGAATTAACTCAAAATGGATCACAGACTGAATGAATGTAAAATACAGAACTATAAAACTCCTAGAAGATAATAAAGGAGAAAATCTAGATGACCTTAGTTACAGCGATGATATTTTTAAAAAACACAAAAGGCATGATCCATGAAAAAGATAAATAATAATCTGGACTTCATTAAAATTTAAAACTTCTGCTCTGCAAAAGACAATGTCAAGAGAATGAGAACATAAGCCATAAATCGACAGAAAATATTTGCAAAAGACACACTGATGGCCGGGCATGGTGGCTCACGCCTGTAATCCCAGCACTTTGGGAGGCCAAGGCGGGCGGATCACAAGGTCAGGAGATCGAGACCATCCCGGCTAGCACGGTGAAACCCTGTCTCTACTAAAAATACAAAAAATTAGCCGGGCGTGGTGGTGGGCGCCTGTAGTCCCAGCTACTCAGAAGGCTGAGGCAGGAGAATGGCGTGAACCCGGGAGGCAGAGCTTGCAGTGAGCCGAGATTGCGCCACTGCACTCCAGCCTGGGCGACAGAGTGAGACTCCATCTCAAAAAAAAAAAAAAAAAAGACACACTGATAAAGCACTGTAAACCAAAATACACAAAGTATTCATAAAACTCAACAGTAAGAAAATGAACAACCTAATTAAAAAACAGGCAAAAGATTTGAACAGACATCTCACCAAAGAAGACAGATATACAGATGGTTAATAGCATATAAAAATGCTCAACATCATATGTCATTAGGGAATTCCAAATTAAAACAATGAAATGCTACTACATAACATATTAGAATGGCCAAAATCCAAAAACACTGACAACAAATGCTGGCAAGGATGTAGAGCAACAGGAACTGTCATTCATTGCTGCTGGGAATGCAAAATGGCACAGTCACTTTCAAAGGCAGTTTGGCAGTTTCTTATAAAACTAAAAACACTTTTACCATGCAATCCTGTAATCATGCTCCTTGGTGTTTACCCAAATGAACTGAAAACTTATGTCCACACAGAAACCTGCGTGCAAATGTTTATAGCAACTTTATTCATAATTGCCAAAACCTAGAAGCAACTGAGATGTCTTTCAGTAGATGAATGAATACATAAAATGTGGTATAACCAGACAACGAATATTTTTCAGTGCTAAAGTGAAATGAACTCTCAAGCCATAAAAAGACATGTAGGAAATTCAAATGCATATTACTAAGTGAAAGAAGCCAATCCAAATGGCTATATACTGTATGAATCCAACTATGTGGTATCTTAGAAAAGGCAAAAACTAGGGAGACAGTAAAAAGATCAGTGGTTGTCAGGGGTTAGAGAAAAGGGAAAGATGAATCAGAGGGACACGGAGGATTTTTATAATACTATTCTGTATGATACTATACTGGTGATACATGTCATTACACATTTTTCTAAACCTATAGAATATACACCTCCAAGAGTAAACCCTAATGTAAACTATAAAGTTGGGCGATAATGATGTAACAATGTAAGTTCATCAATGATAACAAATGTACCACTGTGGTGTGGGATGTCAATAGTGGGGGATGTTGCATGTGTGTCAAAACATGGAGCTTATGGGAACTCTATATTTCCTGTTCAATTTTGCTGTGAATGTAAAACTTGTCTGAAAAATAAAAAGTTATTAATTTTTTGAAAAATAATCATCTTCCATCTAAGTAGTGTTACTCAAAAAAATAAGTGTCAACTGCCAACCACACAAATGCCTTCGGGAGCTTCAAAAAGTTAAGGCAGGGAATTAGATTTCAAAATGTAGTTCCTCATATATTCATGAAGTGATTTCTTTCAACTTCTTAAAAATATTTTTAGGCCAGCAAAAAGTCTAATCTTTTATATACATCTCCATTTATAAAATTAAAACTCTAACACATAATTTGCAAATCATCTAAAACTACGTTAAATTCACTGAGTAAAATTATAAAACTAGTAAATACTTTGTATTTTCAGCAGATATAAAACAAGAACTTTAAATGTAAAGTACTTTCATATGTAAAAACATAGCCTTGATTGGCTGGGCACGGTGGCTTACACCTGTAATCCCAGCACTTTGGGAGGCCAAGGTGGGTGGATCACGAGGTCAGGAGTTCAAGACCATCTTGGCCAACATGGTGAAACCCCGTCTCTACTAAAAATACAAAAATTAGCTGGGCACTGTGGCATGTGTCTGTAATCTCAGATACTCGGGAGGCTGAGGCAGGAGAATCACTTGAACCTGTGAGTTGGAGGTTGCAGTGAGCCGAGATCACACCACTGCACTCCAGACTGGTGACAGAGCGAGACTCCTTCTCAATCAATCAATCAATCAATAAAATAGAGCCTTGATCAACCAATTTCCAAACAGACTGAATAAACAATCAGAGTATTTTTAAAGTTCAATGACTTTGTAAAGGAATAAATCAAAATCTCTTCCTTATATACTCCTGCCAAAATTTTAATTTGCTAATTTTTCATCTTAGTAATTATTGCTACCAGCTGGGCACAATGGCTCATGCCTATAATCCCAGCACTCTGGGAGGCAGAGGTAAGTGGATCACTTGAGCTGGTTCATGGCCAGCCTGGGCAACACAGCAAAACCTTGTCTCTACAAAAAGTACGAAATTAGCCAGGTGAGGCAGGAGGATCACTTGAGCCTGGGAGGTCGAGGCTGTAGTGAACTGTGATCATGCCACTGTACTCCAGCCTGGGTGACAGAGAGAGACCTTGTCAAAAAAAAAAAAAAAAAAAAAAAGAGCAAGCATTACTACCAATTACTACCAACTACTACTATCCAAGCATGACAAAAATCAACAATTCTTGATAAGGCTGAGGATGCAGAATGAGAAAAAAATATCCCAACATATGTAGGATCAGATTTCTATGATAAGAATTTGTTCTTCTTTCACTCATTTATTCACTAGCTATTTACTGACCACTCACATGGTGCTAAGCACTGTAGTAAGCACTAGAGATGCGATACAGAAATGATAAACAATAAACCTTTGACTTCTTAGAATTTGTTTCTAGTGAGGAAAACAAATACTTTTTAAAGTAAACAAACACATAAATAAAATGATAGTTTCATACTCTGAAGAAATAAGGAGGGATCTACTTCACATAGGGTCAGAAACAGCCTTTCTAAGGAGGTGTTATCTAAATCAAGTCCTAAAGACTGGGAAGCTACCAGATGTAGCAAGAGCACAGTGTGAACGGAGTCATGGGATGATCAAAGTACAGGAAAGAACTCAGGCCCTTTTACAAACTGCCCGAAAGCTGGTGTGACCACAGCATGCGAGTGAGGAGGGATGGTCCTGACATGATGTAGAAGAGGCAGGGATACCCAGATTGTGTAGGACCCTCGTAGACCTCGGTAAGCAGTTTGGGTTTAGCTCCACATGCAGTGGGAATCTATCCAAGAGTTTCAACCACGATACTAACAATATTTGATTTACATTTTATACCATTCTGGCAGTTTATAAGGTTATAATAGATTATAGGATGCAAACATCAGCCCAAACAAGAGATCATGCTTGAGCTAGCTTGGTAACAATAAAAATGGAAAGAAATGGACAAATTTTAGAAATAACTGTCATTCTAAGAACAGTCTTTGCTTATGTCCTTGGAAGTCCCTTTGTCATGGGATTATCTGAAAAACAATGGATGCTATCAATTATCTTTTTAAATGGATGAAGTTCAATGAAAAGAGAGAGAGAGGGAGAGACTTAAATCTCAGCCTGGCCCTATCCTAAATACAGAAATGTATGCAAGTTACTCAACATCAATGAACAGCACGTTACTCATCTATGAAATGGGAATAAATGACACCTACCTTTCACAGAAGCATTATGAGGTTAAATAAAAATCCTGGCAATCTGCCTATATATTTTGTTCATGCACATATGTTCTATAAATGTTAATATTTACTCCCACTCCTGTAGTTAACAGCATTTTCTAATGCCCTGAATGGAAAAGGAGTTACTTAATATCAAGGAATGCATTTTTGATGATGGAATTTCAAGCATGAGAACATTAGAGCACAGGAGATATTCTGAGGCAAGGAAGCATTCCCCTGAAACCAAGTGATTAACCCACCTACCATGACACAAGAGCATTCAGATTACTGTATATATTTATAAAATACTTGATCTTCAGAAAAATCAAACTATTAAATATTGATGAATTCTGCTTAAAATACAAAGGTAGTTAATACACTCTTAACTTGAATAGGAACCATTAATATCAACTACTATAAAGCTGACAGTGAAACATTAAAATCCTAAGTATTTTACTAAGCAACAATTATTCTTATACCAACAAAACTAGATTTACAGAAGGAAAAGATCAAAACAAGACTTTTATTACAGCACAGGTAGAAAAAAACGCCCACCACAGATGGGCTTAAATTTGCCATTTTAAAATGAACATTTAAAAGCTGATGCTTATTTGCTAAAGAATAAAGCACTAAAAGACAGAATACTTTTAGGACCTGGTAACACTGATGTTAAACTCACAAAACGTTTTATTCTGTGTAGTGGGGCTCAATATAATTAGTGTCAGGGTTTATCTAATTTTGGCCTTTTAAAATTATTAAATTTTATATCTACTGTGACATATTCCTGAGATTACTAGAATTTTTATTAATTTCCATTAATTTCAAACTAAATACATTAACTTTCTTGAGAAGGTTCCTCATCCACAGTAGCTGATCTGTTTGTTCTCTCAACAGACACCTTTGTTCGTTTACTCAGAGAACAGAATAAAAAGATAAGGGAGGGGATATCTGCAGCACGACATGTAATTCTAATTAATTACTATGAAAGGGAGGGAGTTGTGGGCTCACCACAGCATCACAGACCTATTATTCAAGACATCTTAAAAAGCATTTTATCCATGGCTAGTATTCAGCTAAGACACACCAATATGGGTAAATGAGATCGGTATAACTAGTATCTGTTCTATTGCTTTGGGTCCATGCTGTATCAGCTGTTTAAATATTTTTACTATCACTAAGATTACAGTCCCCAGTTGGCCTGGGTGCTCCCTTAGGGGCTCTAGATTTGAAGGTTCCAAATGTAAACTGGAAGACAGTTTACAATTCTGGGCTCACAATTTAGAAAGAAATAAAAACTTTTAAGGGCAGGCACAGACACATTTCAAAGTTTCCAAGATAAGACTGAAAGAAATCAGTATCACTTAACTTACAGAAAGAAAAAAGATCACAGCCAATCAATCTGTCACTTTTATAAGCTAACAGAATAAGAGAAGAAAGGGTTAAGATGAAGGACCAAGAATTTTGGTTAAATAAAAAGAACATCAAGTGATATTATTAAAAAGTAGAAACTGACAGAGATATAAAATTTGTAAATAAGTAGACTCTGAAACAGATTACATCAGTGTATAATGGTGGTCTTATCTGAAGATTAAGCAGTTTCTCAAATTTGTTATAGAGTGAAATAGACACAGAAAAAGGTGGCAGTCAAGAAACTGAAATCCTTGTAGTCCCCACTGCTAACACTCTGTATAGCTTAGGACACCAACTTCAGTAATTTGGACCTCAGTTTCCTCACTTGCAAAATTAGAGGGTCTAATTGTATGTCTTTTTCTCTCTTAGTTATAAAAAAGTATGATTCTAGGCTAATATGGGTTATGGCTAACACAATATGTCAAGAATACAGGAGTAAGCCATGGGAATATATCAATGATTACATACAATGAGGCAAAGAACAGGTGCAAATGCATTATTACAATGCACTAAATTACTACTTTGATATAACAAATGGTATACCAAGTAGTATGAAATTTTTTAAGAAGCTTGACAAGATACTTATACCAGGAAACGAACTATCTATCTAGGTCACTAATACTGTACATGAATATAAAAATCAAGTAACAATTATACGTTATAATATTTGGTACCAAAATACCATGCTTGCCTTCTGAAGGTCATTTTAAAAAACAGCACAGATTTTTTTTTATTTTTTTCATGTTATGCTTTGTTCATAAGAAAAAGAACATTTGCATTCTCGAAGCATATGGAAATTAACAGTGAGAAAAAAGAGATGCTAAAATGTCTTAGGTTGTAGAGGGATTAAGAAATTCATTCCTGACATACCAACGATGTACTCTAGATAAAAAAGATATGATTTTCATCCATCTATTAGTAATCACTTATCATAAATGCACTCAATATTTTCACTTAAAAATTAACTCACCAAATGGAAGCATTTTATGAAATATGACATGAAACTTAGTAATTAAGAGCTTCCCTACATTCTCAAAGAAGCCAAGGTGACATGCAATAAAACATATATAAACAATACGTGAATTTGGCCATCTTACTTATTTATATACAAGCTAAAATTTGATTTCCAATCCTATACTCTGACACCTAAAAAGAAACGCACTTAATTCTGGTAAGTTTTCCTTAAGGTGACCACAACTAAAAACTTCAGTATATCACACACGATGAAAGCATTGGACTTTTTTGGATCATTTAGCTTCAGGTACATGATTAATACTTTTTGAGAAAAAATATAAATGCCCATATCTTACTCTCTCCCAAAGATAGCTGAAAACTTTGTATAGAAGAAAGCTTTCCTCCTAAATGCTTTCTTTACAATGACTAATTCACCAGTAGGCAAAAAGCTCAAAGAATGTAGAATAAGTGAATAAAAGAACTATACTAAGTGCTTACATGATGGGGGAAATAATCAATGCTACAAATGACATATTTTAAGTCTCATTAAGAACAAGTCATGGTCATTACCTTCAAAACAGTTCCAATATTAAAAGTCAAGAAATAACAAGCTACAAAAACATGCACATATCCTATTGTTACACCGAAGAGAAACTTAATGTCTCAGTTAGAAAAAGTGTGCATCTGAAGCAGAGATAACATAATCTACTCTTTTGCCATAATATGTGATCAATAGCTGAATCATTTAATGTAGTGATCAATAAATATCTTTCCTTTAGTCTTAATAAAAGTATTTTCACTTAAGGGTATAGATTAAAGAATGAAACAAAAAATCTTGATTACCACAGTCATTGTTATTTACTCATAAGTGTCAAAAGCCTTAGGAACTTTCTAAAAGTGCAAAGAGGAGACATGCAAGTTGCAATGCTCAACTCTACATTCCATGTAGTATTGTATGAATACACTTATTTCTGTTTTAAAATAATACCATTTATTTTCTTACAATAGTCATTATTGCACAATCTCATTTCAGTATTATATAAGTATTTTTCTGTGGATTATATCCTTTAGGCAAATCACGTTATAGAAATAAATTTAATCATCACTCAACCTAATTCTTAACTTCATATGAAATGGAGAATACATTCACAAAATCACCTGACAAGCAATCTGCACGAGGTAGACCAGCTCTTTAGATTCACAGCCATTTTTCATTACTTCATTCTGTTCTTCTGAAAGTGAAAGCTACATCACAGAAAAAAAAGAAGAGGGGGAAAGAAAGTCATGATTAGTAAACGAGAATAAACTAAGCATTCATAATACCTGGAGCATCATCTCCGGGTGAGCATCAGCTTAATGTGAGACATATCTTATATGAGAACTTCATTGCTTAAGGCAGATGAATGAAGGACTTGGTGTTTCAGATAAAATATATATCTGTATCTGTGTAGCTTACGTATAAGGGTCTTCACTTCCTTAATCTATTTAGTACATACATGAAACTAAGCACTGAGAGATAGTATGACATAACAGTTTAAAAGAGTTCAGACCTTATTACATAGATTAAAAACTGGCTGCAGATAACAGGTTGGGCCTATGGACGTGTTTAATTTCAAAATCACCATGTAGTGGGGTGGGGAGGAGGTGGGGATGGTTAATGGGTACAAAATAAACAGAAAGAATGAAAAAGACCTAGTATTTGATAGCACAACAAGGTGACTATAGTTAATAATAATTGTACAGTTTAAAATGACTAAAATAGTATAACTAGATTGTCTGTAACACAAAGGATAAATGCTTGAAGGATGGATACCCCATTTTCCATGATGCTATTATTACACATTGCATGCCTGTATGAAAACATCTCATATACCTTATAAATATATAAACCTACTCTGTATCCACAAAGATTTGAAATTTAAAATTTCAAAAAAAAATTCACCATGTAGGTCTGCATACTGGATTTTAGTTTTATTTAAACCAGCTACCGACATGTAGAAGCTAAGAGGTTTCATGTGAAAAATACAGATTTCTGGCTTCTACTGAAAAATCAGAAAATTGGGAAGATTGGACCTACATTCTCACACGGGCAACAACTAGCTACAGCTGAGAAATGACCATCACCTTTAAATGAGGTGTATATTCCCCAAGAAAGTTTGTCACAGAACTGACTACCCTGTAGTTTTTTTGCCAGTATCTAGGCTGAGTATTAATTGTCATTCATCATGCTACTTGCTTTGTTATTTTTCTTATACCCCACTTGCTTTACTCACTTATGTTACACACCTGCCCCATCTTTGGACGTCAATTTGCAAACGCGGTCCCAGAGATGGACAACCCTGAGTTCAAATGTGTTTATAATTTGCAATGTAATATTGACCTACCTGCTTAGGCTCTCAACTGGAAAATGAGGATGATATAATATTATGTATTCTCAAGTTTGTGGGTATTAAATGAGATGATGCATGGACAGTGTCCACCCAGGTAACTAATACTTAATAAATGTAATGTACCATTATAATTCATACTATATGAAGTACAAGGTTGATGAAGATATATTCTCTATTGAGGAAAGTGGTATCACAAAGTATTTTTTTAAACTTCAGATATTAAGTACAAGTTGTTCACAAGATAACAATCATTTTCCCATTAGCCCAAAAAAGCCAGGTTAATGATAAAAGCATAGTTTAAAAAAGAAATAAAATAATTAAGGGTGAAAAGAAACCTACATGAACTAGTTTTCAGAAAGTGACAACACTTTCATGAGACAGAAGTGACTCAAAGATGTGCTTGGACGCCTGGCAGAGATACAAGAGAAAAAAGAATCTATGTTAGACAGGGTAAGGAGAAGCCAGCCAAACCTTGAGTAACTGCATATAAACTAAAGTGATAAACTAAAATTACACTGTAGTGTAATCACTAAAGTGATAAACTAAAATTACAACTCTCTGTAGCAGAGAGTTGACACTCACCCATCAACTGATTCCCACAGGTACTCACCAGGGATATCGGGTGAGTAAACCAAGGCTGCAGGAGAGGAAGAGAACTGAGAGAATGAACCTGTGAAGTATGGGAAGCCTCCCCAAGGACAAGGCAGCTAACCTCCCTTGACTGGGAGCAGGGCAGTGAAACAGAGGAAAGGAGAACTGGAAGATACCCCTCTGAAGGCACTCAGGACACTCAACAACTGAAGGATGGAGGTGGCACAGAAAAGCTGGGAGAAACTGCAGGCCTTCACAGCTACCCTCAAAGCTCTTGCATAGGGCAAGGGGAAGAGTGCTCTCCAGAGGCACAAAATACTGGGGGAAAGAACTGGACAGACAAGAGAATAAGCATCCAGGCTGCAAAGCAGAGAAAGAGAACATGTTCTCCCTCAGTTCAGAAGATCTGGGCTTCATAGCAAAGCACAAAGATACCTTCAGCATCTCACCACTCTTCAGTTTTCCTTGTGAAAGAAATCTCAGAACCTTAACTTCAAAATATTTAAAGTAGTGATAAACTCAATCAAAGTAAAGCTGTCATAAAAGACCAGATCTTATCAAATACAGATCAGCCTGATGCAGCACCTCATTTCAACAGACTGAAAGAAGAAGAGATAAGCCCTTTCCTGGAGGTAAGTTTACTGACTTTAGTCTCAGCTGTTTCTTATATATTTCACATTAAAGAATTACAAAACACACAGATAAGCAAGCAAATGTGACACATGGTCATGAGAGGCAAGGGTAAAATAAAGCAGACACAGAATTGGGCCAGATATAAAAATAATAAGAAAGAGAATGTAAATTAAATATAATTGAGATTCTAAAATACAGTTCAACAGGCAAACAACACGCAAAAGCACACGAGAAAGAGAAGATTCTGGAAAAACGGCAGACTCACCAGGAATCGATCTTTCCACCTAGACAATAACTGCACTGGCAGAATCTGTCCGGTGGATAACTATTTTGACAACTCTGGTATCTACTGAAGGCCTGCTACTTCCAAGGGAAGGCTTGGATGGGAAACTGTAGTTCATTTTGGTCAACATCAGCACTTAAGAAAGTAACAGCTCCCTATACCCCCCCGGCCCCGCCCCGCCCCTGCCACCCCTATAGCAGGCAGCTGTGCACATACTCCTGGAGCAGCATAAACATACCTTACAAGAGTCAAGACAGACAAAAAGAACACTGCCTCCAAATTTCAGAGATCTATGCTGTGGCTGCGGATCACTGCTTTGGATTGCAGAGGTGCAGACAAATAGCTATGTGTCCATTACACCTAGCTCCACTGTTTGCAGGCCCATGCTCCTCTGGCTAAAGTGACTGGCAGCAGACATAAAGGGCCAACGCCCTTTTCCTTCCCTGTCCCCCTTGATTTTTCTCTTTTTCCTCCTTTGGGAAAATATAATAGACTAGGGCATTCAAAAGCAACTGACCTATTCAAAAGACTTACAGAGAAAATTAGAAAGTGACTGCACACTCTCAGAGAAAGGTACAGACTTAGGAAAGACAAAAGAAGACATTAAGTTCCAACTCAGGCTGATCTTTGGCACAGAGACGGACAAGAACAATAAAAAACAAACAAAAACAATAAAAACAGCAGTCCCTGGGGAAGAAGGAGAATCTGGTTTTCAGAGTTACCACATCATTAGATTCAAATGTCCATTTTTCAAAAAAAAAAAAATCACAAGGCATATAAAGAAACAGAAAGTATGAACCTTTCAAAGGAAAAAATGAATCAAAATGAATCATGGTGGCTCACACCTGTAATCCAGTGCTTTGGGAGGCTGAGACAGGAGGATAGCTTGAGGCCAGGAGTTCAAGTCCAGCTTGAGCAACATAGAACACCATCTCTACAAATCTACAAATTTTTTTAATAAAAATAGAAATAAAAAACTGTTTCTGAAAAAGATCTGATAGTAGGTTTACTAGACAAACAACTATCTTAAAGATGTTCGAAGACCTAAAGGAAGTTGTGGAAAAAGTCAAGGAAACATTATATAAACAAAATAGAAATATCAATAAAGAGATAAAAAGCCTAGAAACCAAAATCAAATTTTGTAGCTGAGAAGTATAACAACTGAAATGAAAAATTCACTAGAGGGATTCAAAGGCAGATTTGAGCAGGCAGAAGAAACAATTAGTTAACTTAAAGATAAGACAAAAGAGATGATTGA
This sequence comes from Homo sapiens, assembly GCF_000001405.40. Taxonomy (NCBI): domain Eukaryota; kingdom Metazoa; phylum Chordata; class Mammalia; order Primates; family Hominidae; genus Homo; species Homo sapiens. The sequence continues at coordinate 129,097,618 of NC_000011.10, forward strand.
GTAATAGGAAGAAAAAATAATTGAAGATAAGTAACAAGAGCCTAAGGGACCCATGGGACACCCTCAAGCAAACCAACATACACATGTAGGAGTACCAGAATAAAAAAAGAGAGAGAAGGGACAAAGAGATTATTTGAAAAGATAATGGCCCCAAACTTCCCAAATTTGATAAAAGACATGAATATCAACATCCAAGAAGCTCAATGAACTCTAAGTAAGATAAACTCAGAGAGACCCACACTAAGACACCCGATAATCAAATGTTCAAAATACAAAGACAAGGAGGCAATCTTGAAAGAATCAAGATAGGAGTGACTCAACACCTGCAAGGGATCATCAGTAAGACTGGGAGATTTCTCATTAGAAACTTTAAAGGTCAAAAAACAGCAGGTAAATATATTCAAAGTGCTAAAAGAACTGTCAACCACTAATTCTATAACCAGCAAAACTGTCCTTAAAAAGTAAGGGAGATGTTCCTAGATTTTAAAAATCCCAACTTCAGATGTTCCCAGATAAAGAAAAGCTGAGGGAGTCAGTTACCACTAGACCTGCCAAACAGAAATTCTCAAGGGATACCTGCAGGGTAAAATAAATTAAAACACATACACACAAACACTACTAACTCAAACCCTAATGAAGAAGTAAGAACTCAATAAAGGTAAATATATGGGCAATTATAAAAGCCTGTATTACTGTACAATGATATGTAACTCCACTTTTTGTTATCTAAATGATTTAAGAGACTAATACTTAAAAGAAAATTATTAGTCTAAAGGCTAGCATTATTTATTTTTCTTTTTCTTTTTTCTTTTTTTTTTTGAGACGGAGTCTTGCTCCATCTCCCAGGCTGGAGTGCAGTGGCGCGATCTCGGCTCACTACAAGCTCTGCCTCCCGGGTTCACACCAATTCTCCTGCCTCAACCTCCTGAATAGCTGGGACTACAGGTGCCTGCCACCATGCCCAGCTAATTTTTTGTATTTTTAGTAGAGACGGGGTTTCACTGTGTTAGCCAGGATGGTCTTGATCTCCTGACCCCGTGATCCACCCGCCTCGGCCTCCCAAAGTGTGGCTAGCATTATTTTAACTTTGGTTTTAATTCCACATTCTTTCCTACATCATTTCAAAGGCTAATATATTTTAAAAATTATTTATGTTTCAGAGCAGAAAAATGTATAAAGATGTAATTTTGTGATAATCAACAACCAAAAGAGGAGACCATGGAGCTATTACAGGAGCAGAGTTTTTCTATGTTAATAAATTTAAACTGGCATAAATTCAAATTTGAATGTTATAACTTTAGAATGTTAAATGTAATCCTCATGGCAACCACAAAAAGATAGCTATAGAATGTGAACAAAAGAAAATAAGAAAGAAATTTAAACATTTCACAATAAAAAATCAACTAAACACATTTAAAAAGCATTAATGCAGGAATATAGGGAAAAAAGCTATAAGATATAAAGAAAACATATAGAAAAATGAGAGAAGTCCCTCCTTATCAGTAATTACTTTTAATGTGAATGAAATAAACAGTACAATCAAAGACAGGGATTGGCAGAATAACAAAGTAACATAATTCAATTACAGTGATGTGCCACCATAACAACATTTTGGTCAATGACAAACTGCATATATCACAGTGGGCCCATAAGATTATAAAACCACATTCTTACTGTACCTCTTCCATGTTTAGAGACACAAATGCTTACCATTGTGTTACAACTGCCTATAGTATTCAGCAGATTAACATTCTGAACCAGTTTGTAGCCTAGAAGCAATAGGCTACACCAGATAGCTTGGGTGTATGGTAGGCTATACCTATTCTAAGTATGTTTTAGAGATATTCACAACTACAAAATCACCTAATAATATATCCCTCTGAAAATAACCCTGTTAAGTGATGCATTACTATATATGGTGGTTACAGGAGATACACTTTAGACCCAAATACACAAATAGATTGAAAGTGGAAGGATGGAAAAAGATATTCCATGCAAATTGAAACCAAAAGAGAGTGGAGGTGACTATACTAAAAATAAATAAAACAGACACTAAACCAAAAAGTTTAGAAACAAAAAAGAATAGTATATGATAATAGAAGGTTCAATACACAAAGAAGATACAATTATAAGCAGTGGGGGAGAACAAGGTGGCTGACTAGATGCAGCCAGGTGAAACAGCTCCCACTGAGAGACCAAGATGACTGGCGTGCTTCTAACAGATCTTCAGAGGGAAGGCACCCAGAGTGTACACAAGGAAGACACAGAAGCTAGGCTGAAGGGGGAGAAAGCTGGGAACCCTGCATGGGGCTACTGTGCACTGCACCAGGACTCGTTCCTGGATCCCAACAGCTCCCGGGGAAGAGGTGAATTGAACTGGCAAGGAGCAACCTGCACTCGCTACAGGCCTCTGAAACCCTGGCAGGCAGAGACCCCCCTTTGACCACCATGGACACTTGAATTGGCAGGGAGAGCTTCTTAGAGAAGTGGTAGGGGCAGCAATCCAGTTGATGTGGAGCCCAGAAGGTTTGATGCAGGAGCATCCATAGCAGAGCACATTTAGGAGTGGTCATGCCCATAAGCTCAACTTGCAACCATAGGTGGCTTTACTTCAAGGGGAACTGCTAGACCTGATCTCTGCAAGATGGTCTTGCCCATCAGATGGGGCCAGTTCAATCTGACCATCCCTTGGTGTGCTGGCCTCTCCCAAGGACCCAGCCTGGCCACACATGCTTGCAGGGCAGCCTCACATGTCCTGGGAGCTATATCACAGCTTCTGCAATGGTGGACCATGCCTGACCTGTGGAGAGCTGCAGAGGGGTGGCATCTATGACCATGCATCAGCCCAGACTCCCTCCCCATATGTCAGCTTCCCCTGAGGCCATGGCAACTCCACACATCACTTTGCTGGCACATGTCAGTATGGGCAGGTTTCGCTTTCCTTTCTCCACCAGTGAACAAGAGTGCAATCCACCCTACCTCCACCTGCCGACCACCACTGTAGACGGAGCCTTGGTGGGCAGAGCCAGCCAACCCCAACCCTGCCTGCACCCTGCCCTTATACTAACACTGCACAGAGAACAGCGAATCCTCTCCCACCCTGAGTGACCACTTCTGCTTATGTGGCACAGAGAAGGCACCTAGACCTGCGCCCACCAGCTCCCAAGCCAACACCACCTCCAGCACAACTGTGTGCACAGTAACCAACAGAGGGCCTCCACCCACCACCCAGCTGCATTGCCCCTGCCACTGTGGTGAATGCCCATAGGGAGCCAAGCACCCTGGCACCCACTAGCACTCTGCTGCAGCTGCTGTTACAAGGATGGACCCTGCTATCACCACACTATGAAATGCTTTGACTGTCACCACCCATTGGAGTGTAGTGACCAGCAGTCCAGGAGCACTTTGGTCCCCACCAACACAGTGGATTCCTAACCTCAAGGAGACAGAGAACAAAGTCTGGATGTAATACAGTTGGGAGCAGAGCGCTGGTCCCCCCAAAAATTTCCAGAAATGAAGCCAATCAGCTGAATCCCCTTCATAACACAATCAAACCCTAAAGGTCATCAAATAGGATAAAAGGGGGAAAAAAAACATCCAAAGGCCAGCAACCTAAAAGACTGTACATAAGCCCACAAACATGAGAAAGAATCAGCACAAGAACCCTGAAAACTCAAAAAGCCAGAGTGCCTTCTATTCTCCAAACAAATGTATCCTCTCTTCAGTAAGGGTCCTGAACTGGCCTGAAATGGAAATAGAATTCAGAATATGCATAGGAATGAAGATCACTGGGCTACAGGAGTACACTAAAACCCAATCCAAGGAAGCTAAAAAGCATGATAAAACAATACAGGAGCTGACAGACAAAATAGCCAGTATAGAAAATAATGTAACCAACCTGATAGAGCTGAAAAACACACTACAAGAAGTTTATAATGCAATCACAAGTATTAACAGCAGAACAGACCAAGCATAGGAAAGAATCTCAAAGCTTGAAGACAGGCATTCTGAAATAAGACAGACAGACAAGAATAGAGAAAAAAGAATGAAAATGAACAAATAAAACCTCCAAGAAATATGGGATTGTGTAAAGAGACCAAATCTACAACCCCCTGGTGGCCCTTAAAGAGGTGGAGAGAATGGAACCAAATTGGAAAACGTATTTCAGGATATCATCCATGAGAACTTCCCCAACCTAACTAGAGAAGCCAACATTCAAATTCAGGAAATGTAGAGAATTCAAGTAAGATACTTCACAAGAAGATCATCCACAAGACACATAATTGTCAGATTCTCCAAGGTCGAAATGAAAGAAAAAATGTGAAAGGCAGCTAGAAAGAAAGGTCAGGTCACCAACAAAGGGAAGCCCATCAGACTAACCACAGACCTCTCAGCAGAAACCCTACAAACCAGAAGATATTGAGAGTCAATATTCAACACTCTTAAAAAAATTCCAAGACAGAATTTCATATCTGGTGAAACTAAGCTTCATAAGCAAAGGAGAAATAAGATCCTTTTCAGACAAACAAATGCTGAGGGAATTAGTTACCACCAGACCTGCCTTACAAGAGCTCCTGAAGGAAGCACTAAATATGGAAAAGAAAAACTGTTACCAGCTGCTACAGAAACACACTGAAATAAGCAGACCAATGATACTATAAAGCAACCACATAAACAAGTCTGCAAAATAACCAGCTAACATCATGATGACAGGATCAAATCCACACATATCACTACTAACCTTGAATGTAAATGGGCTAAATACCCCAATTAAAAGACACACAGTGGCAAACTGGATAAAGAACCAAGACCCATTGGTATGCTGTCTTCAAGACACCTATGTCACATGCAGTGAGAACCACAGGTTCAAAATGAGGGAACTTCTATCACCTAACAACAACAAAAACAAAAACAATTTAAAAATGGGCAAAGTACTAGAGAATAGACATTTCTCCTAAGAAGATATACAAATGACCAGTAAGCACACAAAAAGATGTTCAAAATCACTAATCATTAGCAAATGCAAATCTAAACTACAATGAGATACCACTTCACATACATAAGGACACCTATTATCCAAAAACAGAAAACATCAAGTGCTGGTTTCAAATTAGAGTGACTAAAACCCTTGTACATTGTTGGTGGTATTCGTACTGCCACTGTGGAAAAGAGAATGGTGGTCCTCAAAAAGCTTAAAAGGAGAATTATTATATGACCTAGAAGAATTACTATATGACCTAGCAATTCCACTTCTGGGTATACACCCCCCAAAGACAAAACAGAGTCTCAAAGAGACATTTGTAAACCCATGTTCACAGAAGCATTATTCATCATAACTAAAAAGCAGAAGTAACCCAATGCCCATCAACAGATGACTGGATAAACAAAATGTGGTGCACACATTTACACATGTATACAAACAGGCAAAATGAAATATTATTCAGCCTCAGCCTTTAAAAAGAAAAAATTCTGACATATGCTACAACAGGGATGAACACTGTGCTCATGTTAAATATACCAAACACAAAAAGACAGATACTTGATTCTACATATGTGTGGTACTTACAGCAGTCAAAAGAAAATATGGGAAATCCAGCAGAGATTAAAACTATGAAAAAAAGTTCCATAGAAAATGCGAAAAATGATTTTTTGTATCAGATTTTAAGAGCAAACTGGCAACAGTAAATGAAAGGAGCAGTGAACTTGAAAACAGGTCAATGAAAAGTATCCACACTGAATCACTAAGAGAAAAAAAGAATAAACAAAAATAACAATACAGTTCAGCTCCCTAAGAGAATGTCAAACACATATAACCATAGATATAATTGGAGTACCAGAAGGAGATAAGAGAGAATGAAGCAGAATATCTCAGGAGATACCAGATGAGAACTTTCCAAAATATGTGAAAACATCAGCTTCAAAATCAAGAAACTCAGTGCACCCCAAACTAAATGAATAAATCAGTACTAAACATATCATAATTATAATTTTGAAAAGGAAAGATAAAGAAAAAACTTTCAATCTATAAAGAAAAAAACATACATGACTCATGGTGGAAAAGTATAAATAACAGCTGACTTCTCATCAGAAACAAGAGAGGGGAGAAGACAAAAAGAAAACATCTTTTAAGTGCTGAAAGAAATGTTGTCAATACTATTAATATAATTCATGCCAATAACCATCAGAAATTAAGCAACATAAAAATATTCACAAATAAAAATAATCTGAAAGAATCTGTCTCCAGTAGACTAGTCCAACCAAAAAACTAAAACAAGTTCTTCAGGCTAAAGAGAAATGGTACTAGACAAAAACCCAGAACTGCAGGAAGGAATAAACAGTTCCAGAAATAGGAAATATCTAAGTAACTATAAAACACCTAACATCTCAACAGTAACAGATGGAACGGTTTAAGAATATCTTTTAAGTTCTGAGAAAAGAGATTTACCAAGATGTTATTCATACCTAAACTATCATGTAAAAATAAGAGCCAAAAAAAGCATTTTCTGATGAACAAAAACTGAAGAGTTCCCACCAACAAAACCTCACCAAAAAAAATTTCTAAAATATGTACCTCAGAAGAAAAGGGATTCTAAAAGAATAAACTGAGAAGTAAGGTAGAAATATTGAACAAGAAATTCAGGAAATAAGTTTATAAATCGAAACAAATTTAGCTATATAAGAATAGTATTTAATTATGAAAGATGAAAAGTTAGAATTATCATCCTGAACAACACTAACATGGAGGAAAGAGTGATCACAGTTAAAATATTCTAAATGCTGATACTTTATGACAGAATCAGAGATACCAAAAAATTTAGCCTTTAAATTAGGTTTTTGAGTTATGATTTTAATTGCAGCCATAAAAAGAATAGAAAAATGATACATATTTTCTATTTTCTGGTTTCCAAACCAAAAGGAAGAGGATAAAATTTTTAAATGTCAATAACCTTAAAAGAAATTAAGACTAGAAATAAAATTAATCTCTCTAGGAAGAAATGGGGAGGAAGGCATAAGGAGAGAGAACATTTCAGAAAAAAAAAAGCAAGGAGATAAGAAGAAAAGAAAAAACTAAAAGAGAAAGAAGATGGCCAAATGGTGTCAATAAAATGGTAAAGTAGGTGGCTACAAGCTTCAATCCCTCCAAAAATCACAAAAAACAAGCACAATCTCTCAGAGTCAACTTTCTCAGTACTCCAGAAAACAGTAAAGGGTTTAGAATAACCAAGAGATCACTGAATCAAGGAAAAAGCCACTTCAAAATAGGAAAGCTTTGTGGCATTTTTACTTGTGCTTGCCCCAAACCTCTCTGGCTCAGCAGTAGTCTTAATGATGCCAACCCTCACCGGGCCTGAAAGGAATAGACAGACCCTATTCACAAACTATTGTTTGTCTCTTCTAACCTGTCTAGAGGCTACCTGAAGAACTGATGCAAGGTGCTTACCTACATTTCACCTAATATGGAACTCATTCAAGGAGGAAAACCATTAAATATTGCTTAAAAATACAGTAAGGCAAACAAAAACTCTACAACTATCTGGAGCAAAAAAATTATATTTGAGACATAAAGTAAACAACCTAAAATCTAAGAGGGAAAGCTGAGTAGAGAGGTCTCTGGGAAATGACAGCATTCAAAAGTGCCTGGGTATATGGAAGTATTTTGAAAGCCATGCACACGCACAGGGTAGGACACATACTCACAAAAAGCTAAGAAGTCCCTAGGTTTTCACCTCCAGCTGACCTCTAGGATAAGTGTAACATGAAGGGAAGACGAAGGCAGACCTGTAAACAGCTTCGCTAGGTGTTGAATGAGTATTCCAGTACAGAAGCAACACGTAAAGACCGGAGAAAGTGGCTTTTTCATTGATTTTTATTTTTCACTCCTGGCATTCAAAAAAATCCCTGACAAAACACTACCTAAACACAAGCTAAAAGAAGAAAGACTTTACTAAATACATATGACAAGGAATACAGTCTTCACTAAAACAGTTTGGAAAAAAAAATCACCAAACAAACCGCAGCCATGAACAATGAAAAAAATCAAACTCTTAAGGATAGACGAAAACCCAGTTTCCAGAGTTACTACACTATAATATTCAAATGTACAGTATGCCACACAAGCCACAAGTTATACAAAGAAACAGGAAAGCACACATTCATCAGAGGAAAAAACAAAAACTGTACCTGAGAAGTCTATATATGGGACTTAACTAGACACTAAATAAACTGTATTCAACACATTCAAAAAGTTCAAAGAAACCATGGACAAAGAAATAAGGGAAATCAAGAAACTGATGTATGAACATATGAGAATATTAGCAAGAAGTTATAAAGTATTAAAAAAACAAAGTCTGGGGCCAAAAGGTACAATAACTAAAGTTAAAATCTGACTAGACAAAAGACAACAGATGTTGGTGAGGCTGCAGAGAAAAGGAATTGCTTATATACTGTTGTTGGGAATGTAAATTACTTCAGCCATTGTCGAAAGCAGTTTGGAGATATCTCAAAAGAACTTTAAAAACAGAACTACCATTTGACCCAGCGATCCCATTACTGGATATATATACAAAAGAAAACAAATTGTTCTACCAAAAAGACGCATGCACTCACTTGTTCATCACAGCACTATTCACAATAGCAAAGACATGGAATCAACCTAGGTGCCCATCAAAAGTGAGCTAGATAAAGAAAATATGGTACACACATACCATGGAATACTACACAGCTATAAAAAAGAAAAAACCACGTCCTTTGCAGCAATATAAATGCAGACAGTGGTTATTAGCCTAAGCAAATTAACACAGGAGCAGAAAACTAAATACCAGACGTTCTCACTCATAAGTCGGAGCTGAACATCAGGTACTTACGGAAATAAAGATGGTAACAATAGACACTGGGGACTACTAGATAGGGGAGGGTGGCAGTGAGGAAAAGATTTAAAAACTAACTTTTGGGTGTTATTCTCAGTACGTGGGTGATGGGATTACTTGTACCCTAAACCTCAACATCACACAATATACCCAGGTAATAAATACACTTGTACATGTACTCCCTGAATCTAATATAAAAGTTGAAAAAGAAAATAAATATTCACTAGATAGCTCAACAACAGATTTGATCAAGAAGAAGAAAGAATCAGTCACCTTAAAGATAAGACAAGTAGATAAAATGTAATGAACAGAAAGAAGAAATAATTTTAAAAATTAATCAGTGCTTTAAAAAACCTATGAGACCCATCAAGTGGACCAACTCTCGCATTATGGAAATCTAAGAATGAAAAAGAGAATGGGGCAAATATTATTTTTTAAAATAATGGCTGAAATCATTCCAAATTTGATGAAAGACATAAATGTGCACATCCAAAATCCAAAGAGTTCCACACCAAGACACACTATAATCAGATTTTTCAAAAGACAAGGTCAAAGAGAAGCTCTTGAAGGCAGCAAAAAAGAAGCAACTGGTCACATATAAGTGATCCTCAAAAACATTATAAGCTATTTTCTCAGCTGAAATGTTGAGGCCAAAAGGTGGAGGGATGATACATTTAAAATACTGAAAGAAAAACCTAGTCAACTAGCAATCCTATATCCAGCAAAACTATCCTTCAAAAATAAAGGAGAAATTAAGACATTCACAGATTTCCCCCAAAAAATAGAACTGAAAGAGTTGACCAACACTAGACCTACCCCACAAGAAAGGCTAAACAAAGTTCTTAACATTGATATAAAAGGACACTAGACAGTAACTTGTAGCCATATGAAAATAAAAAGATCTCCAGTTAAGGTTAATACATGGGCAAACACACACCAGTAATACCGAAACTCTGGTTTAGAACCCCACTTTTTGCTTTCTATGTTATTTAAAAGACACATTCATAAATGTATGTTATTGGGCACATGATATATAAAGATGTAATCTGTGACATCAATGACTTAATGATGGCGATTGAGCTGTATAAAAGTACAGATTTTGGGCCGGACGTGGTGGCTCACGCCTGTAATCCCAGCACTTTGGGAGGCCACAGCAGGCGGATCGCCTGAGGTCAGGAGTTCGAGACCAGCCTGACCAACATGGAGAAACCCCGTCTCTACTAAAAATACAAAATTAGCCAGATTTGGTGGCACATGCCTGTAATCCCAGCTACTTGGGAGGCTGAGGCAGGAGAACTGCTTGAACCCAGGAGGCGGAGGTTGCAGTGAACCAAGATCATGACATTGCACTCCAGCCTGGGCAACAAGGGCAAAACTATGTTTCAAAAAAAAAAAAAAAAAAAAAAAGTAGAGCTTTTGTATAGAATTGAAGTTAAGTTGGCATAAATTCAAAATAAACTGTTATAGTTTTAAGATGTTCTATGTAATCACTGTGGTAACCATAAAGAGAACAGCCATATAAAATATACAGAGGAAAAAATGAGAAGAGAATCAAAATGTCACTAATTCAATTAAATAAGAAAGAAGGCAGTAACAGCAAAAATGGGGGCAAAAAATATAAGACATATCGAAAACAAACAGCAAAATGGCATAAGTCCTTCCTTAAGAGTAATTACTACAAATGTAAACAGAGTAAACTCTACAATCATAAGGCAGAGATGGAGAACAGATTAAAAATAGACACAATCCAACCACTTGCTTTCTACAAGAGACTCACTTTAGAGCCAAAGATACAAATATGTTGAAAATGAAAAGATGAAAAACTATATTCCGTGTAGATGACAACCAAAAAGACCTGGGTAGCTATACTAGTATCAGACAAAATAGACATTAGGACAAAAATGAACATTATATATTGATGAAATGAGAAAATTCATCAAGAACATATAACAATTATAAACATGGAGGCCCCAAGCAAAAGAGCACCAAAATATATAAAGCAAACATGACAGAAGTGAAGGGAGAAATAGGCAGTTCTACAAAAGCACTAGTTGAGTTCAATATGACCTTTCGATAATGTATAGGCTAGAATATTTTCATATGTTTGTTGATCACCTCTCTATCTTCTTTGGAAAAATATCTGCTCGAGCCCTTTGCTGATTTGTGAAGTGGGTTGTTGATATTTTGTTGTTGAGTTGTAATAGTTCTACATTTAATTTGCTTCAGATATATGACTTGCATTATTCCCATTCAGTGGGTTCTTTTCACTGTCTTGATAGTGTCTTTGAATGCACAATTTTTAAATTGATACATAATATTTTACATATTTGTGAGTTACATGTGATATTTTGTTACAAGCACAGAAAGCGTCATTACCAAATCAGGGTATTTGGGGTTTCCATCACGTTAAGTATTTACCATTTTTATGTACTGGAAACATTTCAAGATCTCTCTTTCGGCTACTTTGAAATACACATACATGGTTGTTAACTATAGTCATCCTACTCTGGTATTGAACATTGTAACTTACACCTTCTATCTAACTGCATGTTTCTTCCCATTAATCAAACTTCTTCATCATGTTGCCCCTTCTCAGACTGTTATTCTACTCTCTACCTCCATTAGATCAAGTTTTTTAGATCCCACATGTAAGTGAGAATATGCAATATTTGTCTTTCTGTGGCTAGATTATTTCACTTCACATGATGACCTTCAGTTCCATCCATGTTGCTGCAAATGACAGAAATTTCATTCTTTTGTGGCCAAATAGTATTCGATTGCATATATATATATATACCATACTTTAACCATTCGTCTGTGGAGAGACATGTGGGTTGATTCCATATCTTTGTTATTGGATTCCATATCTTTGTTATTGTAAATAGTGCTGCAATAAACATGGGAGTGTGGGTATCAATCCGATACACTGATTTACTTTCCTTTAGATACATATGCAGTAGTGTAATTGTTGGATCATATGGTAGTTCCTTTTTTAGTTTTTTGAGAAATCTCCATACTGTTTTAAATAGTGCTTGTACTCATTTATATTCCTGACAACAGTGTTTAAGAGGTCCCTTTTCTCTGCATACTCACTGGCATCTATTATTTTTTGTATTAAAATATAGCCATTCTAACAGGAGTAAGATAATATAACTCATTGTGGGTTTTGATTTGTATTTCCCTGATGATTAGTGATGTTGAGTATTTTTCATGTATCTGTTGGCCATTTGTATATCTTCTTTGAGAACTCTATTCTTATCCTTTGCTCACTTTTTAATGAGATTTGTGTTTTTTTATTTTTTGGTTTTTGTTTGTTTTGTTTTTGTTTTTGCTGTTGATTTGTTTGAATTCCTTGTATAACTCCCTTGTGGGATATCATTTACAAATATTTCCTCCCACTCCACCAGCTGTCTCTTCAGAGACTCTGTCGATTGTTTCCTAGCTGTGCAAAAGGTTCTTAGTTTAATAGAGTATCATTTGTCTATTTTTGTTTCTGTTGCCTGTGCTTAGTTCTCAGCCATAAAATCTTTGCCAAGACCAATATCCAGAAGTGTTTCCCCTGTTTTCTTCTAGTAGTTTTATAGATTCAGGTCTTACATTTAAGTCCTGAATCCATCTTGGGTTGATTGTTTTATATGATGAGAGATAGGGGTTTAGTTTCATTCTTCTACATGTGGACATCCACTTTTCCCAGCAACATTTATTGAAGAGGGTGTGTCCTTTATCAATGTATATTTTTGGCAACTTTATAAAAAAAATTTGGCTGTAAACACATGGATTTCTTTCTGGGTTTTGTATTCTGTTCCATTACTCTACATGTTTGTTTCTATACCAATACCATTCTGTTCAGGTTACAATGCCCTTGTCATATTTTGAAGACAGGTAGTGTGATGTCTCCAGCATTGTTCTTTTTGCTAAGGATTTCATTGGCTATTCAGGTTCTGTTTTGGTTCCATATAAATGTTAGGATTGTTTTTTCTATTTATGTGAAAAATGGCATTGGTATTTTCATAGACATTGTATTGAATCTACAAATTGCTTTGTACAGTATGGTCATTTTAACAACATTAATTCTTCTAATCCATGAGCATGGGAGGTCTCCATTTGTTTGTGTCCTCTTCAATTTCATTCATCAGTGTTACACAATTTTACTCATAGAAATCTTTCACCTTCTTGGTTAAATTTATTCCTAGGTTTTTTGTTTAGTTATTGTAAATACGATTGCCTTCTTCTTTTCATTTTCAGCTATTTCATTACTGCTATATAGAAATATTACTGATTTTTGTATGTTAATTTTGTATCTGCAAATTCACTGAATTTATTTATCAGATCAAAAAGTTTTCTGTGAAGTCTTTAAGGTTTTCCTTAATGTAAGATCATATTTGCAAAGAGGCACAATTTAACTTCCTCTTTTCCAATTTAGATGCTTTTTTATTTTTCTCTTGCCTGATGGCTCTGGCTATGAATTCCAATACTACGTTGAACAGGAGTGGAAAAGTTGGCATCCTTGTCTTGTTTCAGTTCTTAGAGGAAAGGCTTTCATCTTTTCCCCATCCAGTATGATGTTAGGTGTTGGTCTGTCATATATGACCTTTATTATGTTGAAGTATGTTCCTTCTGTGTCTGGTTTGTTGAGAATTTTTATCATGAAGGATTGTTGAATCTCTCAATTTTTTTCTGTGTCTTTGAGAGGAAACGATGGTTTTTGTCTTTCAGTCGGCTGATGTGATGTATCATGTTTATTGATTTGTGTATGTCAAAACATCTTTGCATCCCTGGAATAAATTCCACATGATCATGGTGTCTTATTTTTTGATGTGCTGTTGGATTCAGTTTGCAAGTACTTTGTTAAGTATTTTTGCATCTATGTTTATCAGGGATATTGATCTGTAGTTTTCGGATTTTGGTGTTATGCTAATGCTGGCCTCATAGAATGAGTTAGGGAGAATTCTCTCCTCTTCAATTCTTTGAAATAGTTTGAGGAGAGTGATGTTAGTTCTTTGTAAGCTTGGTAGAAATCAGCAGTGAAGCCATCCATTCCTGAGATTTTCATTGTTAGAAGACTTTTTGTTACTAATTCAATCTCATTACTCCTTATTGGTATGTTCCGGTTTTCTAAGTCTTCCTGATTCAATTTTAGTAGGCTGCACGTGCCCAGAAATTTATCCGTTTCTTCTTGGTCTTCCAACTTCTTACTGTATAGTTGTTCATGACAGTCTCATGACCTTTTGTATTTCCGTAGCATCCATTGTAATGTCTATTTTTCTTTTATTTTTTCCCCCTTTCTTTTTTTGAGACAGAGTCTCACTCTGTAGCCCATGCTGGAGTGCAGCAGCATGTGATCTCAGCTCACCACCAACTTCCACTTCCTGGGTTCAAGCGATTCTCCTATCTCAGCCTCCCAAGTAGCAGGGACTATGGCACATACCGTTATGCCTGGCTAATGTTTGTATTTTTAGTAGAGATGGGGTTTCACCAGGTTGGCTAGACTGGTCTCAAAACTCCTGGCCTGAAGTGATCTGCCTGCCTCGGCCTCCCACCTGAGGTCAGGAGTTCGAGACCAGCCTGATCAATAAGGTGAAACCCCGTCTCTACTAAAAATACAAAATTTAGCCAGACATGGTGGCTTGCACCTGTAGTCCCAGCTACTCGGGAGGCTGAGACAGGAGAATTGTTTGAACCCAGGAGGCAGAGGTTGCAGTGAGCCAAGATTGCACCACTGTACTCCAGCCTGAGTGACAGAGCAAGACTCAAAAAAAAAAAAAATTTCACCATTAGTCTGAGGAACTGATGGAGGTTCCTTTATAAGTGACTAGATGCTTTTCTCTGCCTGTTTTCAGAATTCTTGTCTTTCACTTTTGTCAGTTTTACTATGATGTGCCTTGGCCTTTTTGAATTGTATCTATTTGGGAATTTCTGAGCTTCCTGTATCTGCATATCTAAATCTCCTGCTAAAACTAGAAAGTTTTAGTTAGTTTGTTTTTTTTTTAAATTAGTTTTCTATCCCTTTCACTTTCTCTTCACTTTCTGGGACACCAAAAATTCAAATATTTGGCTGCTTCATGGTACATTAAAAACTTTCCATGCAGATATCCTTTCTTCTCAGTGATTTTCTTAAAGTTATCTGGGAACTCATCTGCTGCCTCTTGGGTGACAGAAGCAGGTTCTCCTGTTACCCTGACATTTTTAAAGCCAACCTCTTTCTAAAATTACCAAACCATCCTTTGCTGGCATTAAATTCTCCAGCTTTAGACTCTTCACCTTCCTTTTACTTTACATTGTCAAAATATAAATCAAAATACCAATCAAAAGCAAATGACTGCTTTTCTCAAATCATATTATAGTCTATAAGTATGCCCTTCTTATAGCAATCCTGCACCGACATAAAAGCTGCATTTTCAATATGAGATAAAAAGGTATTTCACAAAAAGTGCAAGATGTTCACACCTACTGCTATAGCTGCAATAACAGCTTCATTAATTTTCTTTTTTAAAAAATAATAGTCCTTACAACAGATTGAAATGGCAGACAAATGTGGCTGTAGACCTCATTTATAGTTCATATCAAGCAATTTACCTCTTATTACAATGTCATGACTTTTCTCTGCTTCTTGGGAGCATTTCCAGCATCACTAGTAGCATTTTGTATGAGTCTCGTGGTGTTATTCAAGGTTTATGGTATTGCACCAAATACAATGAAAAGTATGGAAGAACCATAAGAGATCACTTTTTACTGCAATACACAATGCACATACAGAGATGATTAAGTATCACACAGTGTTTTAAGTGGATCCTTGTAACACTTGAATTCACAATAGCAACAGGAGGTGGCTACAAAATTATTACAGTAGTACAGTATGTACTACATTAAACTGTATGCAGTTATAATTTAATACTGCACCTTTATGTTTGTTTACATTCCTCTTGATTAGGAATCGCACCATGTTCAGTCTGTGTTTATGTAAGTCTTGATAAATTTTAACTTTTTATAATATATTTGTGTATTTTATGGTAGTAAGCTATAAAATAGACTAGTATTTATATATATATTTTGCATTCATGACATACCTTTTTCTTAGTTTTTTTCCAGATTTCTAGGCTGCATGGTTCATCTGCAAGTTTTTTCAAATTGCTGCAAAACTCTAAAAAAATTTCCAATATATTTATTTTTTAAAATTCACATATGAGTGGACCCATACAGTTCAAACCCATGTTGTTCAAGGGTCAGCTGTACCTGAGATTTAAGTAGGGATCGCTATGTATTTAATGAATAAACAAACATTGTCTTCTCCCTGAAATATGGTGCTTAGTTTCAAAACTGAATTCGTCATCTTTCCTCACATATTCTCCTCCTCCTCCTGAATTCACAAAACAAACTGTACTACTATTCACCCAGCTGACCAACCTAATCGCCCTAGATTCTGCTACTTCTCCTCCTTTCCACACATGCTCTCTTTTTACATTTCCAGGCTCAAGGTCTCATTTTTCACCTTTGATTCTTTAGTCTCTCATGTCTGCTAACACTTATCTCTTACAGTCATCCCCTTTTTTCCTACTCCCCACTGCTAATTCCCTGGTTCTAGGCCCCCTTACATCTGGATAATTACAACAGTATTTCAAATGGTCTCTCTCCATCTCCATCACACATTGATCATGGTACTCCCTTCTCAAAATCCTGCAATACTTTCTCAGTTCTTACTAAGAAAGCAATTGATGGTCTCACTTATAAGAGGGAGCTGAACAATGAAAACACAAGCACCTTTGTCTGTACTATTTTTCCTTGGCTGAGGGTTCTTCACTTCTATCTCTGCATATCCAAATTCTATTCAATCTTCAATAAAGATGAAGACTTTTGAATGCCACAGGACATAATCTCTCTCACCACTGAATACCTACAAGCACTTTTATAACATTTATAACATTGTTTTTCTCTTAAACTTATTGGTATATTACTTGTTTTCTCTGAGGAAAGATTATCTGCTTCATCAGTGGTACTCACATAGGTGGCTAGCACATACAAGATATTCAATAAAACTATCCTAAGAGAACTGTGGGTTTTAATACACCCTATACATGTCTGAATATTAATGTATTTTATGCAGTACCTGAACTACATGTACAAAGACTATACACTATGAAGGACTGAACTATATTTGCCTGTAGAAATTTATGACAGCAACTCAGTGATTTAAATAATTTTCACTTCTCAATTTAATAATATTTCAGTCCTTCATCTATTAGAAATGGCAAACAGGATTTCCAAATCCCACATTTCTAAATTTCTTCCAAATCTATCTTTGGAGTTATTTTTCCTGTATTGAGTTCACTTTTCTATCACCATGGAAACCAATTACAATTAGTGTTGTTAGGATCTTTAAAAATACAACTCTATTCAGCAAGTCTTCAAATGTTCAGAAAAGTTCTTTCTCCATATGGAGAATGGAAATCAGTAGCATAGAGCAGGGTAAAAATATACCACCCACCCACAGAAGAAACCATTCACCAAAGCCTAATCAACGGATTGCAAATGGAACACGGAAAGAGTTCTTTTCTTTTATTCATCTTTTGTAGTTCTATAATGGCTGCAATTTCATGTGTCATACCTATGGGGTTTGTAAACAAGTTTTCTTTCACCTCACAGCCTGTGTAGCAGACGTGGAGACACAAAAAAATGATTTCTGTTGTATAATATTATGTGGTCCACCCACCCTACCTTCAACCTCCTAATATTTGACACTGAAAATACTACTTTAAAACTACTGAGTTCAGGACGCCAAGAGGAAGAATAATTCTACAGCAGAATTACATCTTACATGGTTAATAAGTGAAATAAGTTCTAATTCCAGCACATAAGGCGAAAATCAATAAAAGGCAAAATTACCCTTCAGATTTACCAGGAAAAAGCTAGAGACCTACAAGCATCTTAACAGACCTAAGAGTTTTTCTTCCCAGAATGGGAATAGAGCACTGTTTTCTCAGCTGAGTATCTGATAAAGTAACCGATGTGCTCATCTTTAAACACTAGAATCACCATCAGTTCACTGTGATGCCCATCATATGAAGAATACATGGAAAATGAGACCAAATAACACGACAGCAGAATCACAGCCCTCATCTTACTGATGCTCACTCAAGAACATATACTTGTCAGGAAACTGCTTCATACATATTTTCACATTTCAGCATGGTCAGGGCTTTCTAAGCAAAGAGCACTGGCACCTGGGCTAAGGGACTGAACTTAACCCAGTAACCCTAAAGATGGAGCCCTCTAGAGATAAAAGTTTTCTCTCTCCCCCAAGCCATGTTTACATTCCAGAGTGTTTGTGAAATACAGATCCTTGCTTCTTTTTCCCAGAGATTTTGTTTACATTTCAGAGCAAAGGTCTCTCTCTCTCTCCATCTCGAGAAAGGAGAATGGGCAGGAATGCCAGCTATCCTGTATAAGCTTCAAGTTTCATAAGTGCAGAGTTCTCTTGTGGTACCAAATCCCACTTGTAAACACAGGATATCTCTGGTTGTCACCATATCACTTTATGGAGAACCAGGGCCTAGGGAACCAACATAAGTTACTTTTCAAGTAAACAAGGGCTTAATTTCTGGTCCAGAGACTTGATGTTTCTGCTGGGGGAAAGGGAGGCTACAGAGAGACAGAGAAAGAGAGAGTGAGAATGTGTGTAGTGTGTCTGTAGTTGTGGGAAGCCAACTTGTTAGCTTACTAGTAGGAAAACATCTCAGACTCTTCACAGTTTCAGACTCAACAATACTATAAGTAAACTGCCTGTAAATTATGGCTGACTCCACTATAGATATATTTTTTCACAGTCCAACCACTTTTACACATCTAATTCTTGGACTGAATAATCTCAAACGAGATACAGTGAAAATCCAGTACTTAGATGACAGTGGAACTGATGACTCACTATCTGAACATTTCATTTCAAATTCTCTCCTGAAAGGACAATGATTTCCTTGTATAAGAGGGAGTATACTGCAGAACATGCAGAAAAGTAAGGCTAAGATTTTTATTTCTTTTGAGGAAAACTAAACTTTGTGGCCAGGGTGAGAATAAAATTAGCATGGGTTTTATTTCAAATGATTACACATGTAGTAACAGTACTTCTGTATAAGATTTTTTTAAACTGAAAATATGTACAAGTTAATTTTTCAAACTGCAAGTGTCTTAACAAAATGGGGAGAGATAACCTTTTCATTAATTTATTTTTATTAATGATGAAGGCTTAACTGATAGGAAGTACTCAGGTGAAGTCAGTATCCACTGCCTCAATCCTGACAACACTGTCCTTGGGTCATCAGGACAAGTATGACTTCCCACATTTTAAAGATGATTATTTGACTTTACCTAAGTGCTTCCCTAGAACTTCTGCCTTTCTCTAAAGCCCTTTAAAATGTACTGCACAATTATTATGTCATTTAATTCCCATAATACTTTATGATATAGTTAGAATAGATATATTTGTTTCTATTTTACAAATGAGGAAACTGACGACCAGAGACATTAAGAATTTACTTAAGATCACAATGGAAATTACTTAAGGTTACACTGCAGTATTATGTATCATACTTTTTAACCTTCAACTACATTAAAGATGCGAGATACTCTAGAACCATCATTTACTCCTTTTTGTTAAAGTATTAGTTGAGTCAGTCTATTCTTTTCTAGCAATACAAAAGAACATGCAGAATGGCTCTAGTGTCAGGCCGCCTTGATTCAAATACAGTCCACAAAACGGTTTAAGAACTTGAGTAAGTTCTTAAACTCTTTTTACCTAAATTTCTGTACCTGAAATTGTTGTGGAGCGTAATTGAGACAATGTGGAAACAGTATTTGATATAATGCCTGGCTCAGACAAAACATTCAATAAATATTGGCTTGTATTTTTATTGTAATTCTGATTACTACTTTTTAAATGAAACTTCAGGCTTTTAAAATTGTTTGCATTATTACCCCTCAATATTCCTACACTCAGGTCAAACTTTACTACTTCTTTCCGCCTTCCCAGCATCAAGGCAGAAATGCATGTAATGATAGAAAGCCATGACAGCATTTTCAAGTCCCTTGCAGGCAGCTTGCATATAGAAAGCTCGAGACACAGATATTAAATTCATACTTTTCCTATTCCTTATTTATACAAAAACCTGAACTCTACCATTCAGGTTAATTTAACTTAATGTTTTGTATGAAATTGGATAAAAAGAAACACATCAAGTGATAACTTCAGATAACCAGATGATAAAGAAAATACAAATCAAACATATCCTTTTCCCCCCCTACACACTAGATGGCGGTACAACACAAAGCACAGCAGGAACAGCGCTGCCTCAAACTCATCATTTCTTTGCGTGTTACAAGAGATTCCCCCCGCTTCTTACTGAAAAATATTTTGTGAAATGTGAATTAACCTTTGTTTTTGGACTGCAGAATAATACAACAGGGAAAATAAGTGCAGTAACAATAAATTTGCAGAATTTTAAACTACATGTGGCTTTACTTAAAACAAAAAGCCCCTTCTAGTAATTATTTTTTTGTGAAATTTAAATTTCTCTAAACTAAACATAAGACATTTATGAATCAAAACCTGTAGAATTTGGCCAAACTACTATTCACAGGAAAATATCCAAACTTAAATGCACTTACTAAAAAGTAATACCTAAAAACAAATGAATCATTAACAATACCTGTTGCATTCTATTTCTCTAAAGCAGAGATTAAGTAGTATATGTTGTGTAATATTAATATTTGACAAAGTTGGTTTATGACGAAGCTAGTTTTTGAGAGGCAAATCCTAGTAGGCAATACGCATTATTCTCAACTCTTTTCTGGAAAAAAAAATATAAGAAAAACTAAACTTTCAATTCAAGAAACAAAAGGAAAGTTTATGCTTAGAAATTAATGGTATGAAAAATACAGAAAAAAAAATTTGGTTGATCAGTAAAACCATAAGCTGGTTCCTTGATAAGACCAAGATTTAATAATATCTTGTGTACAACTTATAACCCATGAATTTAAAAAGCTAAATTAAATGAACAATTTTTAAGAAAATATAAATGATAAAAATTGATCTAAGGAGATACAAAAGAACCTAATGAGCAATAATCAAATCATAAGTTGAAATGGTAAGTAAAGATGGCAAAGATTAAGTCCCCAGTTGGGAACCAGTTTCAAAAGGTTTTAACAGGAAAATTCTACTAACCCTTCAAAGAACAGGTAATTCCCATTTACACAAACTATTCCAGTGCATTTATTTAAAAGGGGTGGAGAATGGGATAGGGGAGCAGAAATTCCCCAGACTTAGGCTAGTGGGACAAGTATAGCACACAGGTTAACTTCACCAACAAACACAGATGCAGAAATTATAAAATCTTAGTAGAGTGTAAAAAAGGAATTTGTTTTTAAATATATATATAACTCAGCATAATGTGTCTCAGGAATATAAAGATGTTTCAACAAGCTACTTCTATTACATGAGCAATTATCTGTACTAATTTTTACAGATATTAATAGCTTATTCAAGCTCCATGGAAGTAGACTAAAATAAGAATATGGCATGGTACAACCTATCCTCCCCCGTGCTGTTATATCTCTGTTCCTCTCCACCTTATCACAACCTCAATCAGAACTCATAGTTCATCTACAATTTCTTAGCTTGAAGGAACATTAGCTGTCACCTAGTATTCTAGGGTATCTAGGAACCGTACTTCCTTTTCAGTGTGAAGATAAGGAAAGCAAGACCAAGGCTAACTGCACCAGCTGGTCATACCCATTCTACACCACACCAGCACCTTTCTCCTCAGCATATTATCTCTCCTATACTACACATTACAACTGAATGTACCAAATTGAGACTTAAACAGGATGGTTACATAATTTGTTTTATAATAAATACTCATAAGGAATATATATTCTTATCATATAAGAACAAATTTAAAATGATTAATAAAAACAAAATAGTAAAACAGCATTTTAAAAACCAATTGTATCTCTTCTTCAAATATAAACTCATTCATCCATTCATCTCATTCATCTATTATTCATTAAACAAATATTTATTGAGTAGTTTTTATGTGTCAATCACTGTTCTAGATGTTGAGGGGAAGAAAATAAATAATAAAATATTTAGCATGCCGAATGGTGTTAAGTGGTATGGAGGGAAATAAAACAAAGAGAGGGAGATGAGGAATGCTGGTGACTATAGTTGCAATCTTATGTAAGGAAGGTGCAGTCTGGGAAGATAGCACTGGAGCCAGTACTTTTAAAAGAGGAGGTAGCAAGGTGTGTGGCTGTCCTAGAGGAGCATTTTAAGTAAAGGAAACAAAAAGTACCAAGGCCCTGAGAAGGGGGTGAGCATACTGGCAGAAAACAAAGAGGCTACTGTGGCTGGATCACCCTGTCTGAGGGGAAGAGAAGAAAGATGAGGTCGGAAAGGTAAGGGTACACTCTGTAAATCCTTGTAGAGAAGTTTCAGAAATCTGGCTTTTACTCTGAATAAGATGAAAACTAACTGGAGAGTTTTTAAAAAGTGACATGATTGGACTTACATTTGAAAAGAATCATTCTTGCTGCTGTGCCAAATATAGAAGGCTATTGAAATAATCCTCCCCAAAAGACAATGCTTTAGTGTAAGGTGATAGCAGAGAAGCAGGTGGGCATGGTTAGATCCTGGATTTATTTTAAAGATGGAGCCAAAAAATCTGCTGATGGACTGGATGTGAGGACTGACAGAAAGAAAGATGCCCAAGATGCTCCACGGTTCTTGGCTGGCCTCGGGAACTGAAAGGATAGAGTTGCTATTTACCAAGATGGGAAGTCAGCAGAAAGAGCAGGTCTGAAAGACTGTTCTTGGCACGCTGCAATGATTGAGGTGTTATTAGGCATCCAAGTGAAGATGCAGGGAAGTCAGTTGGATATACAAGGCTGGAATTCAAAGAAGAGATCATAAAATTGTCCTTTGTACATTACATATCATTATATGGTAATGATAGTACTGACCCAGTAAAAGTACTGACATGTCTAAATTGTTTTTTAAGCAACTGTGTCTTTCAGACTAAATAAAATTGATCATTGGAATTTCTAACATATAGGATTAAAAATAACTATTTCATTCCAGAACTAAAAGCCAGAAAGTTAAAGATTATTTTGTCTGGATTTTTAAAATGTAGAAGACGTTAACATCTCTGTCATACTAGGATATGATGGCCAACTGCAATTATAAACTTTCAAGATCTGAAGAGAAGAAAGAGCTATAAACATAAAGACAATGAATCTGTAAATCTAAGAGAAATTTCTAAGATCAGAGTGAAAAAGAGAAGGTATGTCACTGCAGAATGTCCCAGAATTGGTACATATTAAAAAGCAACAACCAAGTTGGCCAATTGACAGTATGAATAACCTACTGATTTATACTAGAGCTGCCCAGCATACAACTGATGATCTATTATTGACACATTTTACTAAGTTTTCTTACTTGTTTTCTCTTCAGAACATATTCCAACCTTATATTGAAAATAAAGGATTCATTTCCCATAAACACGTTTAGAATCAAATGTGCTAATTTTTACCTATGTAAAAAGCAAGATGTTTATAAAATGATAAAGAATAAGAACTGAGACATAGGAACTTTATTTTAACTGCCTGTAGCAGATAGAACATAGGATTGTTTAGAGGTTAATATGATTGTTTTTTTTTTCTTTAAATGGCATTCAATCAGTCCATCAAAATGTAAAACCTTATACTAGCCAAAGAGAGAACAGCAACCCAAGATAAAAAACATAAGCATGTAAGTCAAGCCAGGATGCTATTATAGTTCTTTTGCTACACAACTTAGTTAATGGAAACTAATGTTTTCCTCCTGATGGTATCTAACATGGGTTGAATTCAACCAGAAGCAGAAGGCAAGCAAAACTGGTAGATGTGATATGTAGAGGCCAGTCTCCAAAGACACAGAACAGAGGCAGGACAAAACTGGGCAGGAGAGCTGTGCCAAGTAGAGGACCATAAACACAGAAAGAAGATTCTGGTGTGGACTGGCAAGGTGCAGCTGGGCTGGTTTCCTTTGAACCACCCCTATCTTCCATACTCCAGGCCTCCTGGTCAATCAATACAATCCTGAAACATCTCACTCATACACCTCATACAAGCAGGGTCACAAACTGAGTTAGTATCACATCTTTTTTTCCTTCTTCTGCCTGAGTAATGGAATTCTACAGGGTTGAAGTAAGTGCAATGGGGAAAGTGAAACATGGTGTGTAATCTAAAATGAAGATTACAGGTCTGTTCATTGGTAAAAGTCTACCAAATGTGTTCTCCCATAAAAATTAGACACAGTCCTCCAATTAAGAGGACTGGACTCTAATAACCAGCATTTAACAAAATCTCAGGAGAGCCAAACGCAGCTGAATAACAACTGTCTATTCCCTACCCACATCTTCAATGCAGCCATTATAAACTCTTTAAATATAAAATAATAAAAGTTTAGAACTATGATACTATTTAGCACAACCTCATTCACCTCATAAAGGAAATAAAACCAAAGAGGCTAAGCTACTTGCCCAAGGTCATAAATTTCCTAAGAAGCAAAAAGAAAATTAGAATCTATGTTTGTGAACTAAGGCCAGTGCTTTTTCTATTTCATTATACAATGTTTACCATTAACAGTTTTGTTTTTATTTTAAATCAGATGCTTTAGAGATTTCCTAACCTTTCATATAATGTTAACATTTAAATATTCTTTGGACTGTTTTTAGATCTCTAGCCTCCTATTTCTTTTCAATTTGCTAAAACTCCTCACAATGTTTACTGCCCCCAAAAGAGTTCATTCAACCTTGTAAAGATTAAAAAAAAAAGCAAAATAAATTAAGTAGAAAATAATTTACCTAAATTGCAAGCTGAGTAAACTAAATCACTCAAACAGATATATCAAATGCTTAACAGTCACAAAATGAAAAATGTACTCATTACTGTTTTCTTAATCAGTTCTTCCTGACCTAAGAAATTTATCATGTTAACTGCAATCTCAAGGATATACACACTAATGGAACAAAATATCCTTTGTTTGATGTCACAGCATTATAAATCTCTAGTGCTATTTTAAACTGTCAATTTATTTGAAATAGAAATGTCCTTCACTTTCATAAATCCTATAGATCAAATTCATCTCACTTGTTTATGAAATAAAATTACAAAAAGTAGCACACTGTGACACAAATCAGTCATGTCTCAGGAGTTTTCTTCTGGAGAGACAGTGGTTAGGGCAAGGACAGGAAGTGGACTACCTCTACATGTTGTGTGTAGAAATCAAGACTTTTTTTTCTATTAGCCTAATTTGAAAGACAATGTAAAGGGTGGCTTTTGTTCCCCTGGGGAAATATAATTTTTTAAATAACCACAATCTAGCTATTTTTTAGGTTTTTAATAGTTTTTTCACATTAATATATATATAATGTACAAAGGACATTAAGCTGCCAATGATATAAGAGCAAAGTATGTAGGTTGATGTCAAGTTAGATTCAATAATTTGTATGTGAATGAAAAGGCAGTAACAGTAAAAACATTTCTGAAAAAGAAGAATAAAGTGAGAACACTTTAATCTACCAAGTATCAAAGCTCACAACAATTAATTAAGACAAGTTTACATAATTTCAGAATAGAAAGTCACTACACAAAGCCATGGACATATGGACATGATACAGGAAAACGGAGGGGGACAGGACTGATTTTCCTTAACTGATACATGTTAGTGTGATGGTTACTTTCATATGTCAACGTGACATCAAGTATTTGTCAATAGAAGAGAAGAAAGATTTTACCTCAACCAATAAGACATCAATTAAAAAAAAAACTACTTCAAAGTGTCATCTATTAGATACAGATATATAGATAAGCATCTAGATATAAAGGTAAATGTGTAAATCTTAATTCAAGATGTAAGAAATATTTCAGTATACCTGTATGCTGCCGAACTCAACATTCTCATAATGGAAATGCGCACATTCAGCCATCTTCGGAAAGTGACCTTTAGTGAAGGGTAACCTGAAACACATGAAATAAATAAGAAACGAGATAGTGAAACAGTAAAAATTACTAAGTTTAAGGGAAAAATACAGTGGATTTAAGAGCTCATGCAAGCAAAAATATTTCGTAAGCACATGCGCATGAGCCACACATATCCGCACAAATCCTCTTAAAAATACACTGAGTCAGATGAGTATTACATTTAGTGTACAGATCAAAACCCAAAATAAAAAAAGCATCACCGTTATCTCCTAATTTTGACCCGAATCAATGTCCATAGAAAAACTGCTATTTTCGGCAAATGTTATGGAAACTGTGGACAGCCAGCTTCTAACCAGAAGCATTCCCAACACAAAGTAGAAAACCAGATTTTACCTGTGAATGTTGTCACAGCCCATCAGTCCTGGAGTGGTGGACCTGAACGCAGAATGAACATTTTTATCCTTGTCTTTCCTCTACTTACACATGAAGCATAACTATCTAACTCTACTAAGTGAAAAGATGGTTTTCCTCTTTAAAACTGATTACTTTCAGGTACACGATGAATAGTCCTTGTTCAAAATGGCACAGAGACCAGAAGAGTTTTGGATTTCAGATTTTTTCAGATTTTGGAATATTTGCATATATCTATGGGATATCTTGGGGCTGGGACCCAAGTCTAAACACAAAATTCATTTATATTTCAAATACATTTTATACAGAGCCTGAAGGTAATGTTATACAACATTTTAAATAATTTTGTGCATGAAACAAAATTTTAACTGTGAACACTCACGTAAGGTCAGGTGTGAAATTTCCCATTTGTGCTGCCATGTTGGCACTCAAAAAGTTTCACATTTTGGAGCACTTTGGATTTCATAGCTTCAGATTAGAGATGCTCAACCTGTATTTCACTTAACAGTCAACTCTTGGCATCTACTTCATGCTCCTCAAAGGCAAACCTGAAATCTAATAATCTCATAACTCAAACAATAAAGCTGATATTTCTGAATGAATGAGAGCATGCACTAAGGGTACCAAGAATGACATGGTTAGACTGTTCCTATCAAACAACTGTAAAATAACAGAAAATGACATAAGTTGCTTCAAGAACAAAAATAAAGTATATTTTAGAGGAGTGGATAATCTATAGGCCTATTCCACTGACTGCTGAGTCATAATTTAAGGATTAGCAGTTGCACAGTAACAGCATATTTTTGTAAAAAGTCTAAATAAAAGTTTTAAGAGAATTGAAGAACTGATTTCCATTCGTAGGAATTCATTTAGAATCCACTGTAAAGTTATACTCACTTTTTCACATGCTTAACCTTCATACTGGCTGTACTGCCACACGTCTTAAGAGTAAGATCTCCAGGAATCTCTGGAACATCTGCGCCTCTTGCCTTAAAAAATAAAGACAAAATATTTATGGCTATTACTTTAGTATTACACTTTTTTAAAAAGCAGGTTATAATTTATGTTAATAGTTCTGCTGACTTTTTACCTACAAAATATATCTTGGTTTAATAATCTTAAAATTACTGAGTTTTAATTATTAAGAATATAAATTATTCACCTGATTTAAATATTCAGCTTTACTGTATAAGGGAAATTTTTCTGTGAGAATAAGAATTTTCATGCTTTTGTAATCAAATTTCAAAACCAGCTATTATATACCTCAATACGAATTAAAATTTCCCCTGGAAGTTGTTGGAATAAAATAACCTTTGTTAAAATAATTAATAAACATTAAAATGCTAATATAAAAAAAGAAATTAGGAGATTAAAACATGTATTTCTCACACCAAAATCTGAACATGACATGTATATAATACTTCCAAATTACTCCTTAGTCTGTCACAGTTTTCATAGTGGTGAATTCTTAACTTCAGTGATACAATCAAGTATATCATTTTTTAAAAAACAAAATGAAAAATCAAAAAGTTCTTAACACTCTGGACAAAATAAAAGTCAAGTCCAAATATCTATTTTAAAAATAAATTTGTGCTATAATACCTATGACTTATAATTTTAAAAAAACTTAAGTTGAATTATGATAGCCCATGCCACATGATTCAATAGGGGCGAATAATGTGAGATAAGCAGTTAAAGTAAGTTGGGAGGAGAATCACAACCTTAACTTTTGCAATGTTTTCTTGTGAGAAAACAAAAAAGCCAGACAGTTTACATACTTTTTTTTTTAAATAGGACTTTTCAAAGATATGAGGTAACAATGCATGAACTTATGAGAATTAAACCTTGTTACATCATCACAGTGTGCTGGGTTCAATTTTCCTTTTTGAGGGTTTTTTTTTTCTTAGCAAATTTAACTATTTATAAGGGTTGGTATTTCATGATCAAGACTTCTTAGATATATTTTTACTCCTTCTTAGAGGTCTCCCAAAGAAAACAGAGTATTACTAGATTCTTTAGTAATGAAACAGAACTCATTCCATCTTGCGGCTACCACACGGATTCAATGAAACTTTTTATAAATATGAGGTAACATCTTGTCTTATTTTTCCTCTATCTTGAAACAAAGTTACTTCATAATCCTAGGTATTATTTCATCAGTACTCATCATCATTCAATTATACCCTATCATACTAGAAAAAAATTTTAAGACTAAAATAAAAAGTATATTTTTAAAAAGGGAAAATGAGATAATATCCTAGAAAAAGCGTTGACAAACTTCTTAAAGAGCCAGGCGGTAAATATTTTAGGTTTGTGGGCCACATTATCTTTGCCACTATTCAATTCTGCTATTGCAGTGTAAAAGTAGCTACTTATAAATGACCAAACACAGCCATGTTCCAATAAAACTTGATATGCAAAAACAGGCATCCAACAAGGTAAAGTTCGCAAACCCCTGTCCTACAAAGTTGATGCCACAGTGAAATAAGTTATCATTCAGTTTTTATACTGTGTTGCCTAAACTGCCTCATCTTCAAGAAGGTATTTAAAAAGCTTGGAGACACCATCTTTCTAGTCTGCATTTCACTTTCATTTAATATATTCACTAATTCAATAGTTTTCATTTTCTTTCACTTATAGAAAAGAGAAAAACACTGACAAAGAAAGATACCTTATAATGAACAGATACATGAAAAGGTGGGTACAAAGAGACAACAGCACTCTAGACTCTAATAAAGACGGCAAAACAACCACGTACATGATATATCAGACTAATTATAATATCCTAGATGAATATAGTATTGAGTATTAAGAATTGAGTGAACAATATATTTCTAAGGACAAAAAAGGAAATACAGTATTCTCCAGTTGGTCATTCAACTGAAAGTACTTTTTCATGCAATATTCTGCGACAACCTGGATCACCTGGTTTTGCCATTAAAAAAAAGTGAAAGTGTGACAATACTCTTTCATCTTTTATGATGTTTGTGCACCAAAATTTACTTAACAGGTTCGCCAAGCTTAGATTCTTACTAAAATTTCTAATAAAGTGGCTTTTCACTACTCTGTATTGTTCATAAATTGACTTAAAAATATAAAAGAATAAAAAAGAATCCACTAGACTGAGTTAATAAATGGTGATGACTTTATTTGGTAGACTGGAAATTGAAACGTTAGCTTTCTTTTGAAAACAAGCTCTTTGTGCTAGCTGGGGAGGCCACTGTTCCTAAATACATCTCAAGAGAAAACGAGAAAACCTGCCCAGCCTATAATCCGAATGAGGGAGGAACATCATGTACCACACACCTCTGCAACCACAACTGACTGGACTGTAGATGGAAACATGACCCAAAGGTAAATCCACAGGCTATGCAAAAGGGCCTGACGGGAAAACCTCTGCCTAAAAAGACAAAATGATAATAATTAGGCCAGTGAACCAAACAACGGTCCAAAAAGCTTCAGAGGATTCAAGAAAATATGTTTGAACCAATAGTTCAACTAGTCTGTGCCCATGTATGTTCTGTCCAGCAATATTTTCCTAGAGCACAGAAAAGTTCCAGGAATATCCTAGCCTCTCAGTATATTTTTGTGAATGAACAAATACAATACACTTTAACATAACAAGGTTTTGTCATTTACTCTTTCAAGATGAAGCCAGTAGAACTGAAAGGAAAATACTGTACTATTATTCAATCACCTGATGAACTAATATTTTCACCTACATATTTTAAAAATAAAACAAATTATCTTAAATTTCTATTGAGAGCACATAGCTTGAGTTACTTATTCTGTTGCTCCAAACCAAAGATTAAGAAAGTTCTTTTTTAGAAAATAGTTCATTAACTGATATTTATTCATAAAAATAACAAGTTTTCCTATTTTCATGTTATAATTATCACTTAATTATGCTTCTAAAATAAGAGTTTATAATATCATCAACACAGTAACAGCATCATTCATCAACAGAACATTCAAAAGACCTCAAAAGGCAACTGAACATATGTTCATAAAAGCACGCACCATTTACATTTAAACTCTCTATGTGTCTATCTCTAGCAATTAACTGGCTTCCTGGAAAATTAGACAAAAACATTAAGGAAATTAATGGATTCAATAACAATTTTTATTTCCTCACTCTTCCCTACTTGTTTACACTATATAATTCAACATGTTCATTATCCCTGCCTATACAACCCTGTCCCCAAAATCCAATTCAAATCCACCTAGTCTGTTTAATCCTATACCGATAATTTTGCCAAATGCTGATACTTTCCTTCATTAATCTTTCAAAGGATTTATCCTGTATACAGTATATTGGGGCATTTCATTATATTTTTATTCATCTTTTAATGCAAATTGCCATGTAGTGTTCTCTAATAAAAGACTTTTCCATTCATCAAGAGGATAAATTCCTTGAGCATGAAGCCAATGGAATAACATGTGTACATATTTTACTAGTATTTGACATCCACAATCCCCATTAAAACACTAAAATTTAGCAGCCTTCAAGGAAAACAAAGAAACTGAGTATTGTTAACTACCCTAGAAAAGCACATAAAGATTTTATCTCTGATTTTTAATTCCCCTAGATGACATTATTATCTATGAAAGTCTACAGTTAACAAAGTCATTTTAATAGCTCTAATTTTATGATTAAAAATATTTCCCTCCCCTCCCCCTCCCCCTCCCTCTCCCCGGTCTCCCTCTGATGCCACCAAAGTTGTGAAAGCCGAGGCTGGACTGTACTGCCGCCATCTCGGCTCACTGCAACCTCCCTGCCTGATTCTCCTGCCTCAGCCTGCAGAGTGCCTGGGATTGCAGGCCCGCACCGCCACACCTGACTGGTTTTTGCATTTTTTGGTGGAGACGGGGTTTCGCCGTGTTGGCCGGGCTGGTCTCCAGCTCCTGACCGCAAGTGATCTGCCTGCCTCGGCCTCCCGAGGTGCCGGGATTGCAGACGGAGTCTCGCTCACTCAGTGCTCAATGTTGCCCAGGCTGGAGTGCAGTGGCGTGATCTCGGCTCGCTACAACCTCCACCTCCCAGCTGCCTGCCTTGGCCTCCCAAAGTGCCAAGACTGCAGCCTCTGCCTGGCCGCCACCCCGTCTGGGAAGTGAAGAGCGTCTCTGCCTGGCCGCCCATCGTCTGGGATGTGGGGAGCGCCTCTGCCCCGCCGCCCCGTCTGGGATGTGAAGGGCGCCTCTGCCCGGCCGCGACCCCGTCTGGGAACTGAGGAGTGTCTCTGCCCGGCCGCCCCGTCTGAGAAGTGAGGAGCCCCTCCGCCCGGCAGCCGCACCGTCTGGGAAGTGAGGAGCCCCTCCACCCGGCAGCTGCCCCGTCTGGGAAGTGAGGAGCCCCTCCACCCGGCAGCTGCCCCGTCTGGGAAGTGAGGACCCCCTCCGCCCGGCAGCTGCCCCGTCTGGGAAGTGAGGAGCCCCTCCGCCCGGCAGCCGCCCCGTCTGGGAAGTGAGGAGCCCCTCCGCCCGGCAGCCGCCCAGTCCGGGAGGGAGGTAGGGGGCAGCCCCCGCCCAGCCACTGCCCCGTCTGGGAGGTGGGGGGCGCCTCTGCCCGGCCGCCCCGTCTGGGAAGTGAGGAGCCCCTCTGCCCGGCCGCCACCTGTCTGGGAGGTGTACCCAACAGCTCATTGAGAACGGGCCATGATGACGACGGCGGTTTTGTCAAATAGAAAAGGGGGAAATATGGGGAAAAGAAAGAGAGATCAGATTGTTACTGTGTCTGTGTAGAAAGAAGTAGACATGGGAGACTCCAAAAATATATATATATATTTTACCCTTACTGTTTGAAGCACACTGCTAAATGATCTTCCAGAGGGCCTGATCTAATTCACACTGCTACCAAGTATGCACAAGAGTGCCTATTTTCTGACAACCTCACAAACATTAAATATTATTCAATCTTTACTTTTTTCATTCTGATAGTTACTTCTTCACCTTTCTTTTATAATTAACAAAAGAGTTGAACATAACTTCACATTTTGGTTGGTATGTAGTTATTGGTATGTGTAATACTGTTTTCAACTTATATTCTCTATCTTCAAGATTTTTTAAAAATTAAGTTAAAGCTAGTCATATTTGTATGACATAATATGCCAACATAGTTAATAGCTTTCCATTAAAATTATAAACCTCGAAATTGGAGGCCTTACTTAGACCTTCTAATTTCAAGACTTATTATAAAGCAATACTAAGTAAGACAAAGTGCCACTGGAGTTAAGGATAAACAAATGAATGAAATATAATGCAATCCAAAAAAGGCCCACACGTATACGATAAAAGTTTATTTATGACACAGGAGCCAATGCAATTCAAAAGAACAGCATTGTCAATCAATCAGAACAGTACAGTTTTTAAAAGTATGCAAAAATTAAGAATAAAACTTCAATCTTCTCTTAAATAATATACAAAAATTAATTCAGGATGGAAATTCATTCATTATGAAAAATAAATATTCTAAAAATAAACACAATAATAAATCTGAGGTAAGTAGCAAGAAGCAAAAAAAACTCATAAGCAAAAAAAATTAATACATTCAACGACATCAAAATTACAAACAAGGAAGTTATACTCAACATATATAAAGAAATCCTTGTAACAAAATAACTAATAATCCAATTTTTAAACTTGCAAAAAAAAAACCTCAACAGTTATTTCACAGAACAGAATACTAATAGCCAATAATCAAGCTACTCAGTGTCATTATTCATCAAGAAAAAGCAAAATAAAATCACAATGAAGTAACAGTGCACACCTGCCAAAAAGCCCAAATTAAAAATAAAGTAGAATAGGGTACCAGTGTTGGCAAAGATGCATTGGTGGTTAGAGTATACAACAGCATAGCCATTTGGGAAATTGTATGATAATTAATTGGTAATTCCTACTAAGCATACTCCATGATCCTATGACTACACTCCCAAATATGTATCCCCCTAAATTATTTCACATGTACAACAAAAACTTGTACATAAATATTAACAGAAGCTTATTCATAACCACTAAAAATAGAAACATTACAAATACACAAAGAGCAGAATCAGTGAATAAATTATGGCATACATATATATGCAATGGAATTCTGTGATCGAAAAATAATTATTAATATATTAAACAACATGAATAAATCTAACAGTTGTTATAGTACATGAAAGAAGACAGAAGAAAAAAATCTTGCTGTCTTATTACATTTATATGAAGTTCAAGAATAGGTAAAATTATTCATAGAAATAAGTGTTACAACTGGCTGGTGAGAAATACGAAAAAACCTTACCAAGAACTGTTTTATATCTCGGTGTGGGTGGTGGTTTCACAGAAGTATACAAGACATCAAATGGACAAACATTAGTGCATTTTACTCACTTATGTGTGTGTGTGTTAAACTTCAATTAAAAATTAACAGTAAAAAGGTCAAGAGGAATTTTTATAGAACTTTAGCTGGTTCTACATTCGTCTGGAATAGTTATGATAACTACGGAAACAATGAGAAATGAGAGAATAATAATATTCCATAGAACTGAAAAAGAATGATGTCTTTCACACTCATTTTATAATACCAGTTAACCACAGATATCAAAACCACCCAAAGAAAACAGGACAAGCAGCCTTGGAGAGCCAGAGAATGTGGGCAAAGTCTCCAATAAAAAACCACCCAAAACCACTTTTAAGCAACCAGATCTCGTAAGAACTCGCTCACTATGACGAAAACGGCAAGGGGGAAATCCTTCCCCATGATCCCATCACCTCCCACCAGGCCCCTCCTCCAACTTTGGGAATTATAATTTGACATGAGATTTGGATGGGCCCACAAATCCAAACCACATCACCAGGTGAGTGGTGGTATGGGTACTTAAGAGCCTGAGTGAAAACCCATTTTTGAGTAGAGAAACAATAAAGGAAGACCCTACTGTATAAAGTCTGTGGGGATAACCCTTGGTATTATTTTCTCTCTCTTCTTGCATTACTTAGACCTGACAGCAGCCCAAATCAGGAAAAATAGTGCAAGACAAGACTTTTTTGTTTTTAATTTTTATTTTTAAGTTCTGGGGTACATGTGCAGGATGTGCAGGTTTGTTAGAGGTAAACATCTGCCATGGTGGTTTGCTGCACCTGTCAACCCATCACCTAGGTGTTAAGCCTAGCATGCATGAGCTATTTTTCCTAATGCTCAGTGCAAGAGTTTTAAAACTCTTAAAGAATTTCATCTTTCTCACGAAAGAAAACAAGAAAAGCAGTCTTGGAGAGCCAGAGAATGTGGGCAAAGTCCCCAATAAAAAACGGCAGGCTGGGCGCAGTAGCTCATGCCTGTAATCCCAAGACTTTGGGAGGCCAAGGCAAGAAGATCGCTTGAATCCAGCAGTTTGAGGCCAGCCTGGGCAACAGAGGGAGACCCCATCTCTACAGAAATATTTAAATGTTAGCCAGGCATGGTGGCATGTGCCTGTAGTTGCAGCTACTCAGTGGGCTGAGGTGGGAGAATTGCTTGAGCCTAAGGTTAAGGCTGCAGAAAGCCATGATTATGCCACTGCACTCCAGCCTGAGCAACAGAGCAAGATCAGGGGGAGAAAAAAAAAAAAAAGCAGGATAAGACCACAGTGATCCCCATGAAACTGAACTGATGTTGAAAACACCACCTATAAAAATCTAGATGAAACTTCAATCTGAACCCAGCCAGGCTGCTGTCTAATAAAGCACAAATCAACACTCTCCAGAGGATTTCAATAAGGAGTCAGAGTCTCACAGCATAATATTCAGAATGTCCATGACATAATTAAAAATTACTAGCTATATCAAAAACCAGACAAATATGAGCTATTTCCATAGGAAAATACAACCTAGAAATGTCAAATCTGAAATGAAACAGATTGGACTAATCAGACAAAGACTTTAAAACAGGTATTATAAACACACTGCATTAGATATTGGAACCAATGGAAAGACTGAAATTCTCTTACAAAAAGAAAATAAAAACTATAAAAAACCCAAATATAAATTTTAGAACAGAGAAATGTAGC
Source organism: Homo sapiens (assembly GCF_000001405.40). NCBI lineage: Eukaryota > Metazoa > Chordata > Mammalia > Primates > Hominidae > Homo > Homo sapiens. Next base: position 129,132,929 of record NC_000011.10, read on the forward strand.
ATCCCAAATAAAAAATACTGGCTTAGCTTAATAAAATACCCTGAGACTGGGTAATTTACAAAGAAAAGGGGTTTAGTTGGTTCACGATTCCACAGGCTGTGTAGGAAGCATGACTGGCGAGGCCTCAGGAAACTTACAATCACAGCGGAAGGCAAAGAGGAAGGAGGCACGTCTTACATGTTTAGAGCCGGTGGAAGAGTAAGCAGGGGGAAGAGTGAGCAGGAGGAAGAGTGACAGAGAAAAGAGTCAGTGAACCTGATAACAGACAAAAAATCATGCAATCTGAAGAAAAGATAGTTAATTTTTTTAAAAGACTGACAAAATATGAACAGACCTATAGATAGCTAACGGACAATATCAAAAGCTCTAACACTCATGTCTTCGAAGTCTCTGAAGATGAGAAAAAACACAATAATACAGGAAAAAAGTGAAATTTCTGAAAACAATACAAATTTATTGAAAGATATATATTTACAGATTCAAGATCACAGAAAACAAAACAAGTAACATCAAAGAAAACTACAAACCAAAACATCATAATCAAGCTGTTGAAAACCAAATATAAAGGAAGTATTCTGAGAGCATCCAGAAACAAAAAAGATACATTATGTATTGGTATGGAGTAATAAGGATTTAAATGACTGTGGATTTCTCATCAGAAACCAGAAGACAGTGGAGCAACGTCTATACAATTCGGAAAGAACTCTCAACCCAGAAATCTGCATCAAGTGACAATATCCTTCAGAAATGATGTAAAAATAAGAACATACTAAGATAAGAGAAAACTAAGAGAATTTGTCACCAGTAGATAGGCTCTAAAAGAAATGCTAAAAGAAGCTCTTCAGGGAGAAGGAAAATAACTCAGGTTAACTGAAATTTGGCCCTTCCGGCATGAAGAGAGAACAACAGAAATGGTGAATAATTAGGCAAATATAACAGATTATTAATCTCCACTTACATGCTTTAAAATATATGTGCCAGTTGAAAGCACAAATTATAAAACTGTCTGATGAAAGTTTATGTGATCTATATAAAAACTTTAACATAACGATGGTAGATAAGGGAACCTCGATGGTGGTAGGATTTCTACATTCTACTTGAAGTATAAAATAATAATTTTAAGTATAATATGAAAAGTTTAGTAAATTGGAACCAAGAGTATGTAAAAAAGATAAAAACACTACGATCAAACAGATCATCCCAAGACTGTAGGGGAGAAAATAATCATATAGTCATCTCTGAGGCAGTAAAAACATCTGAAAAAATTCCAAACCCTGTTCATTAAAAAAAAAGAGAGCGAGAACATCCTTAATGTGATTTTTGAAAAAGTATCCAGAAAGAAACTAAAGGTCTATAGTACTTAATGATGAAATATTTAAAGTTTCAAATTTGGTACCAAGAACAAGAGAAGGATGTATGTACCACATCTATTCATCATTATTCTGGAGTGCCTCACCAGCGTAATCAGGAAAGTAAAAGAAATAAAAGACTGTGCACATGTGAAATTTGAAGAATTCACAAACTCAGAATTAATCAAAGAATGTATCAAGGTCTCTAGGCATAAAGTAAATACACAAAAATTAACTAGATTTGAAACATATTAGCAATAAACATGCAGAATATAAAATTTTAAAACCAATTTTAAAATTCCAACTATAATAGCATTGAAGAAAACATCAAATACCTAGGAACATTTCTAATAAAAAATGTGAAAGACCTTGCTATGTTCTGAACATCTGTGTTCCATCAAAATGTGTATATTAAAACCTAACGCCCAAGGTGAGGGTAGTAAGAGGTCAGGCCTTTGGGAAGTGATTACATCATGATGGCTCTGCCCTCATGAATGGAATTAGTGCCCTTATAAAAGAGGCATGAGCTGTGGGAGCCTGTTTTGTCTTCCACCATGTGAGAACACATAAAAGGTGCCACATCTAAGAAAGAAACCCTCACCAGACACTGAATCTGCTGGATTGATCTTAGACTTCCCAGCCTCCAAAACTATGAGCAATAAATTTCTATTGTTTATAAATTACCAAGTCTAAGGTATTCTGTTATAGCAGCCAGAACACATTGAGACAGAACTCTACACTAAAAACTACAAACATTGTTCAAAAATTAAAGACAATCTAAATAGATATATTATACATGCACATGTGCCTCATTTGCATAGATTAGAAGATACAATAATGTCAAGGCATCAATTCTTCCCCAATATTATCTGTAGACTTATCTGCAGAAATTGGGAAACTAATTCTAAAAATGTATATAGAAATGCAAAAGACACAGAAGTACCAAGATAAGAAGGGCAAAGCTGGAAGACACTACTTATCAGATATCAAGTTTTACTGTAAAAGTATAATAACTAAGACAGTGTGGTATCTGGTCTAAGTCTAGAAAAATGGACCAAAAGATCACAATAGAGAATTCAGACAGCAGCCAACAATATGGTTATCTGACTCATGACAAAGGCACCACCGCAATTAAGTCAGAAAAAAGATGGCCATTTCAATAACTGTACTAAGTCAATCTGATTTCTATATGAATAAAAATGAACGCTGGCCGGGCGTGGTGGCTCACGCCTGTAATCCCAGCACTTTGGGAGGCCAAGGCTGGCGGATCAGAAGGTCAGGAGATCGAGACCATCCTGTCTAACACAGTGAAACCCTGTCTCTACTAAAAATACAAAAAATTAGCCAGGCGTGGTGGCAGGTGCCTGTAGTCCCAGCTACTCAGGAGGCTGAGGCAGGAGAATGGTGTGAACCCAGGAGGCGGAGCTTGCAATGAGCTGAGATCGCGCCACTGCACTCCAGCCTGGGCAACAGAGCGAGACTCCATCTCAAAAAAAAACAAACAAAAAAAGAATGTTGACCCAAACCTCACATCATGCACAAAAATCAATTTTAAATAGTTCACAGACCCAAACATAAAAGGTTAACATGTTCTTCTATAAAGTACCTTCATGACATTGGGATAGGCGAAGATTTCTTAAAAGGACACACACGGAAAAAACAATTATTCCGACACCCTACCGAATTTAATAAAGTGGACTTCACTAAATCTAAGCATTTCTGATTACCAAATGATAAAATTAAGCATTCAAAAAGATAAGTCAGAGTCTAAAAGAAGAAATTGGAAGATATGTCTCAGATAAATGACTAGTGCCCATAATAGATAAAGAACTTCTAAACATTAACCTAAAAAAAGACAACCTAACAGAAAAAAAAGGCAAAACTTGAATGAGCACATTACAAAAGAGGATATCTCAAGGGTCAATAAGAATATGAAATGGTGCCAAACATAAATAATCATCATAGAAATAAGGCCCACGTAAGATTCTATTACACACAGAACCCTGGCACAAAAACTACATATTGCAGGATTTCATGTATAAAAACAACGATTACCTTTGGTGGGAAAGATAATGACTGAGAGGTACTCAAGAGAGATTTCTGAATTTCAGGAAAAGTTCTATGTTTAAATCTGGGTGGTGATCACATAAGAAGAAAACATAAGCAAAAAGTCATAAAGCTGTAAGATAAGGTTTGTGACTTCTCTGTATGTAAGATATACCTAAATAACAAAGTAAATAAAATTAAATGGGAAAAACAGACAATAGCAAGGAAGTGGAAAATTATAGGCTAATCTCATTAAACACAAATGCAAAAAACATAAGCTAAATAGAATAATAAATCAAATCTATCATTGTGTTAAAAACATACATCATAAGTGAATTAAATTTGTTTCAAGAATGCAAAGATGGCTTAATAGAACATCTATTAAGTCTTTAATTAAAATTAAAATGAGGAAAAAGCATTAGATTATTGCAATAGATAACAGAAAAATTGTCTGATAAAACTCAACACCCATTCATGATAAGAACTACCTAGCAAGACTTCTGGTGCAGAGTAGTAGATTGAAAACATATTTACCTCTGCTCTTTCTTGTATCTTACCAAACTAACACTGATTTTTTTAAACCATTTTCTTCTTATACTGACAAAAGTACAAAATGCCATATGCATCCATAAGTATAAGGTTATTCTCTGCAGGACTGTTTCTAGTAACTAAAGGGTGAGAACAACCTAGATGTCTATCAATAAGAAAACAGTTTAATACACTATATTGCATCCACACAATGGAATAGTCTTAGCTATAAAAGGAATGAGGAATACTTCAATTTATTGCTATGAAGTAGTCTTCAGTATATATGAACTGAAAAAAAAAAGCATGGTACAAAAACAGGTTACCTTCTAACTAAAAGACTGTAAATATAAAAATATATATATGTGTTTTCTTACACTTAAAAAAAATGGGAAGATAAACTAAAAACTAATTTAGATGCTTACCTAGGAGGGAACAAAGAGATAGGGATGGAAGATTTTTCTGAATGTCTCAGTTTTGTAGTTCAGATTTTGGGGTCATGTAAGTGTTATAAGTATTTGTAAAATTAAATTAAATTAAATTAAAATGGGATGAAAGGGCAATCCCTAAGATCAAAAAACAAATAAAACAAATGAACTTAATTATAAGTTGGTACCTTAAGCACACAGAGAACAATTACCTCAAATGACAGTGAAGAAAAGTACTAATAATATATTCCTAGTGGGATATGTCCTAGAGATGAAAGGAAACAAACTGTTTGGGAATAGTGACATTATCGTTCTGAAACTATTAAAAGAAGACGATTAAAGCAAACAAATAGTTGTTAATGTCACTAAAAACTAAGGTTTTAATCATAAGAGATACAAATATAAAATCGAAGAAATTAAGGAGAAACCCATATTCATTTCTTTTTTGAGGGTGTGTGTCTGTGTGTTTAAATAAGGCAGCTAGACTGACAGTGGACAGTCACATGCAGATGATGTATTAAATCTTGATTATGGCACAGCATATAGTGTTTTATGATACACGTGTGTAAGATTATAAAATGAGAATTCAATACTAATACAGTTAAATTTGAAGCTGATTAAATACTAAAGAATGTTCAGTGTCAATTACTGTACATTAACATGCAGCAGGAAGGAGGTAGAATATCACAGGGCTTTTTTATTCTTTTCTTAACATTTTAATAAAAGCACATTAAAATATATGACATACATTTATCAAATTTATAGATAAAAGAAAACTGAAATGGACATTCACAAACTGAGTGACAGAATTCAAAGAGATTTTTAAAAGCTGCCAAGACAAACCAAATGAATGTGAAGTTTATCAATAATAAAAACTGAAGCCCTGAATTTAAATTCAAAATTCAATTATATAAGTATGGGGATGGGGAGCAAACTGTTTGACAAGAATTCATGTAACAAGATCTGAGATCTATAGTTTACCACAAGCTTAATATAAGCCACAAGTATACCCTTACTGGTAAAAAAAAAAAAAAAAAAAGAACAATGCCGTCTTAAAAAGTAGAGCATCTCTAACAAGGGAAATATTTGTATCCCTATAATCTGAACCAGTTAAACCACATAGAGAACAGTTCATCCATTTCAGGAAAATACAATTTGATATGGAAAACTTGCAAAACTAGGAATTAGCAATGTTTTATTCTGTCTACTTCACTGTTTCCTAATCCAAAAAAATATTCTACCATTCCTCCACTGTACAGACCCTTTAAAGAATCTTTCAAATAGCTTGTTATCTTGGTCCCATATTCAAAGTGCTAATATTGACTGGGTAACTGTAAACTGACTTAAAAGTAGTTTAACACACTGTGTTCTGATACAGAACCACAAAGCTGGCTACTTCTACATTCAGCCCCACCACAAGCCCATCCTCTCCATATTATTTATGTGTCTAACCCTTTCAAAACACTATAAACTCCATACTGACAGGTATTAACAGAACACCAATGAGTATTACCAATTTTTAACTAAGAAAACAAAATAGCGTATTGAGAGATGTTCAACATAATCACAGAGTTGAAAGATAACTCATTTAGACATTCCACTGTAAAGAGGAAACTGAGACCAAGAAAGAAGAGATTTGCATAGTGTGTTAATCACAGAATTTGAACTGGATTTTTATCACAAAACCTACCATGTCTAAAACAGGCATATAAAAAGTTCAGAAACAATGAAGTTTTAAAAATAAAAAATTAGAACAATGAGAAATAGCTTTCCTCTTATCAAAATTTTATATTTTAAAACTTTCTAAGACTGAAAACAATGGCACAAAAGTCGCTAAACATTACTTATTAGAATATGAATTAATAAAACCCTTTTGGCAAGTAATTTGGGAATCTCCATATTAATTAGTTAAGTAATTCCCTATAAAATAATAGTAAAAAGAAAAAGCAAAACTCATCATAAAGGTATTAATCTAAATGAAAAATATATAACAAAACTCAGTCTTATTAATTAAACAGCAATAATATGTCCTATTACTGTATAGTCATTAAATATGTTTATCAACATTTTCATTTAACATCAACAACAACAGATTATATATATGCTTCCCCTGCCCAATCGATTTTATGGTATATTAGTGAAATTAAAATTTCTAAAATATCTGTAATTTCCATTGACAAATGTCAATTGATATCGTTTGACTGTGTCCCCACCCAAATCTGATCTTGAATTGTAACTCCCACAATTCCCACATGTCATGGGAGGGACCCAGTGGGAGGTAATTAATTGAATCATAGGGGGCGGGTCTTTCTTGTGCTGTTCTCGTTATAATGAGTAAGTCTCACGAGATCTGACAGTTTTATAAAGAGTTCTCCCGCACAAGCTCTCTCTCTTTGCCTGCCGCCATCCATGTTAAGACATGACTTGCTCCTCCTTGCCTTCCGCCATGATTGTGAGGCCTCCCCAGCCATGTGGAACTGTAAGTCCATTAAACCTCTTTTTCTTCCCAGTCTCGAATATGTCTTTATCAGCAGCATGAAAACAAACTAATATATCAATGTTATCACGTTAAATATATTATGAAGTATAAATACCAGAGAAAACATGTAAGACTGTGGTAGGCAAAATTCTAAAGAGGGTCTCCCTTGCCCCCCAAGATTCCCACCCCATGGTTGTTCAATCAATCTAGGTACTGCTGAGAATAGAGGGTGCAAATGTAATTAAAATCCCAGGTCAGTCGATCTTAAAATATAAAAATTATCTGGATAGGCCTAATCTAATCACATGAGCACTTCAAAAGTAGAGTTTTCTCCAGCTGGTAGCAGAAGGGAAAGTCAAAGATTTGAAGCACCAAGTACCACCCCTGGCTTTGAAGCCTGAGGGGGTCACATGAGAGGGAATTCATGCAGCCCCTAAAAGTTATGCCACCACACCTCCCACAATGACAGCCAGCAAGGAAACAGGGACCTCAGATCTACAACCATAAGGAACTGGATTCTGCCAACAGAATCTGCAGATGAGAACCCAGCCCAGCCAATACTTTGATTTCCGCTTTAGGAGACCCTGAGCAGAGAACCCAGTTAAGCCTGCCCAGACTTCTAACATGCAGAACTGTGAGATAATAAATGGGTATTCTTTTAAGCCCTTAAGCTTGTGATAATTTCTTATACATATTCAACAAAAAACAAATACTAACAACATCTAAGACCTTAGGAATTTCTGAGTGCTCTCAGATTTTATATGCTCCTTTATCTCTCATGGAAGTAAAACTCTTTCCCAGGACTTGGGATGTAAAGCCTCAGAAGCTTTTGCCTCCCAGCACTCCCAGGACCCCATTGAATGCAATGACTTCAGTACCATCCCAAACCACCTTCTTAAGGCTTCCTCAAAGGAGTAAGCTATGCACTTGAAGGCAAATCCTAGAGGAAGGAGCAAATTCTGCAGGTGAGATAGGTAACTGGAGGGAGGTACACAGATCTGACACAGTTCAATAACCAGCTCTCCTATCTCCCTGGCAATCTTGCATTTTAAGTGTGAAGTCTACAATCTGTTCCACATCCCATTCTGCAGTTCTCAAGACAACACTCTTTCCCCCTAAAGGGAGGAAAATTTAATTCCTTTCCCTTTCCATGGCAACGTTTTTTAATTCCCCCTTCCAAGGTGTCTACCACTGTGTCCACTAGCCAGTCTTTTTCAGAGATATTTTCCTTCCAGTGAAACTGCCAATTCCTTTACCTATGGCAACTCCCATAATATACAATAGGGAATATGAAGTTTCACCTGCACTGCACAGCACCTTAATAATCAGGTAGAATGCTTATGTTTAAATGGAAAAGCAAGGAAATATAAAATTGTATATTGTCCATAATTATTTTAAAAATCATATTCCCAGACATGATGGGAAAGGAGAATATATCCCAAAGCAATATTCTTTGAAACTAACCATTTGAAGACATTTGTATAAGGAAAAATGTGCTTATACGGATGTTCTGTTAAAAAACTCTCAGCATTGCCATAAAAAAGGATGAGTTCATGTCCTTTGTAGCGACATGGATGAAGCTGGAAACCATGATTCTGAGCAAACTATTGCAAGGGACAGAAAACCAAACACTGCATGTTCTCACTTATAGGTGGGAATTGAACAATGAGAACACATAGACACAAGGCAGGGAACATCAGACACCGGGGCCTGTCATGGGGTAGGGGGATGGGGAAGGGACAGCATTAGGAGAAATACCTAATGTAAATGACGAGTTAATGGGTCCAGCAAACCAACACAGCACATGTATACCTATGTAACAAACCTGCACGTTGTGCACATGTACCCTAGAACTTAAAGTATAATTAAAAAAAAAAAAAGAAAGAAAAAATGGTTAAGATGGTAAATACTATGTGTATTTTATTACAATTAAAAATAAAATATATAAAATCAAAAAAAAAAACTCTCTGCATTGTAAAAAGCCTATACCAAAATAATCTCACCACCATGGGAAATAGGATTATGGGAAAGCCTCTTTTTTTTTTCTTTTCACTTTTCTGTATGTTTTATTTTTACAAGGGAAAGGGCAAAAGAGATAAAGGGAAAGAAAAAGGAAAGAGAGAAAGAGAAAGTCACAAGCTAGCTTCTTCCTCCTCTGCGTATTACTTACAGCAACCATTTGCAAATGTAAAACAACCTGTCATAAATCAATGAGATTAGATAATCTATATAACTACAATGTGCAAAGCTAGGCATTCATATTTATGGTCAGGAAAGAACAAGAATAAAAATGCTTCTATGAAGAAATTTGCCCATGTTATAGTAGTAAAAAAGATTTTTTTGTTAATCACTGAACCAAATTATGAGTTATCTGATATAAGCTATCTGAACAGTAGTGGAGACCCCTCTCAAGGCAGAAAAAGAGAGGAAGAAATACCCCGGCTCTTCCCCTCTTTCCGCCCTCCTGTCTTCCACGTGTGCTTCCCATTTGCCAAACCGAGCCAAAAGCCTGCTGGCAAAGGAGCCTGAGAAATGTTATTTGCCAGGATCGGCCTCCTACAGTAGAGAACAGAGCAGACAGAAGGTAGGATGTCCCAACTCCAGATCTATGACATTAATTACTGAACAGTACAGACATAATTACATATACAGTACAGGTTCATTTACATAAAACGCTCTCATACTTTGACAAGGCACCGTAGTCAAATAACATACATATGTATATTTATATACATGAGATCAACTGAATAAACAAGGTTTCAATACTAAATTTGTACTGTCATGAAAGGCAAACTACTAATCAAAATGAGTAGTTAATAATTAAGAACAATAAAACATCTGAAATTGCCATGGAAAATCAGAAATAATATCACCCAATACACATTCATAAAGGACATCAAAATGCAATCAGTGTTAAGTATATGCTGCTATCAAAGTGGACCAGGATTGCTCTTTTTCTTAAAGGAAAAAAAAAAACCACTAAAATATGCATGGGGAAAGTATAATAAGACTTGATCAAAGTGTTCTTTCTGTATAAGGCTAACAAAAAGCATCTGAAAATAATTCTGAGGAAAAAGTGACTTTTTGCCACTTTTCACTTTTTTTAACAGATTCAAATTTTATTTATTGTATTATCTTTATCATTTGTAGTCAGAATTTGACAGAGGTCACAGAAGCTTTAGATTAATGTTATAAATATTTCTTGAAATGGTGACAAAAATATCATTTCTGCTTAAAATATAGTGATGAAGGGGAAAAAAATTTGGCCTCTTAAATAGAAAAAAAAATAGCAGCTGTCTATATGCTGGTAAAACTGCATATATATATATATATAATCAACTGAATAAACGAGATTTTGATACAAAATTTGTGCTGTCAAGAAAGGCAAACAGGACTGCCAGTTTCCTGCAGTTTAACCATAAGAAACACACATAATGAATTTCTGAAATGACATGTTTTAGAAGATTTTACCATTGGTCTAAGTATTGTCCCCTTTCTTAAAAAGAACAGAGACAATGTAGGGGAAATCCAATAAGTAGTCCTCCTTTATCTGTTATTTCACTTTTCACAGTTTCAGTTACCCATGGTCAACCTCGGTCAAAAAATACTAAATGGAAAATTCCTGAAAAAAACAATGTATAAGTTTTAAACTGCATGCAGTTCTGAGTAATGTGATGAAATCTCACACAGTCCCGCACCGCCCCACTCCGTCCCGCCTGGAACATGAATCATTCCTTTGTCCAGTGCATCTACACTGTGGACTACCCGCCGGTGACTCACTTGGGAGTCATCTCAGTGACCAGACCAACTCTCATGGTATTGCAGTGCTTGTATTCAACTCACGCTTCTTTGACTTAATAATAGCCCCAAAGCACAAGAGGAGTGATGCTGCCAACATGGATATGACAAAGAGGAGCTGGAAAGTGCTTCTGTAAGTGAAAAGGTGAAGTTCTCAACTTAATAAGGAAAGAAAAGAAATCATACACTGAGGCTGCTGAGATCTACAGGAAGAATGAACCTTCTATCCATGAAACTGTGAACAGTATATCATTATAACTGTTCTGTTTTATATTAGTTATTGTAAATCTCTTACTGTGCCTAATTTATAAATTAAAGTTTATCAAGTACATATGTACTAGAAAAACCACAGTATATATAGTGTTCATTACTATCTGCAGTTTCAGGCATCCACTGGGGGTCTTGGAACATATTCCCCTTGGATGGAAGGAAACTATTGTACCATCAGAAAGATAGATTTATTAAAACTGTGTTATATTATTTTGAACAACAATGTTACTAAAGTGATTCTTAAAAAATAAGTATGTCACAAGGAATTCAAATAACTGAGTTACATGTGTGAATATCCGCAAAAGAATTTTGATATAACAAAATAGACTTAATGCTAAAAACAAACTACAATTTTCTTTACTTATTCAAAATTGTTGCAGGTCCTTAGAAAAATCATCACTGTACAGTACTAAGGAAAAAAATAATTAGGCTTTTACATGTTTATATATTGTGAGTTCAGGTATGAGTCTCCACAGAATATGGCAATAATTATTTAAAATACACAGACACTTTCTAAATCGAATCTGTGAATGCTGTTTAGTGGTTTCTCTCAAAATTCTTTTCAGCGTTATGCACCTCCATCAGACTTGATAACAGCCTAGCAATTTTACTAAAAAAACACTTCACATATAAGAAAACTCAAGAGCTCTGAACTAAAAATAGTGCTAAATGGGGAATATTTCCTAATGTCTTAATATCTGGGCACCACAGACCAGGCTCAGGAACACATCCTCCCATGTGTTATCTAGCACCACCAATGTGGAAGTGCCAAAAACCAGAAACAGGAATCAAAGAAGGTGACAGGTAAATTTCAGTAGCTGGTAATTCACAAACACAGAAATAGCCATCAAATAAGCCCCAAGGGTAAATTGTATCACTATTCTTATTCAATTCTCTATTTTGAGTGGGAACAACAGGATGAGAAGACTGAAGGAAAAAACATGATTTCTGAAAGTGATTATAAAACTAGCTCTTCTGCAGCAAGGGTGTTGCCTTAAACTTCACTTCTAGAAAATATCTCCTCAGAGAGCCAATTAACCACAGGGAAAAATTATTCGGAGGCGATATTTAAAATAATTTGGAAAAAACTATTAGAAAGCACCATTAGCATAATAATCACAACTCCTCTGCTAGGCAACAGCTGGTTAATCAACCTAAAATTAACACATTTACATATTAGCAAAGCTTTTAAATGTTATACTTTTCTATAACTGAGATTCATCCTTTCCTTCATCTCAGTCCCTTATCATTAAAGATACTCCTAAATTCAGAAGGCTCGCTAAAAATACAGGGTTCCAACAATGTATATAATTTTACCAGACATTTTATACAAAGGTTCCTATGAAACTCTAAGAACTTTACCTTTACAGGTACTTTATTATGGTAAGTTATTGTCAGTCTTCAGCGCTGCTAGAAAATGATACTGATCTCTTTCTACACTTGAATTCTGTGTACATTAGATTTACTAGTAAAAATGTGCATGCAATATTTAAAGATATATTATAAATATAAATGATATAAATTCTGGGAAAAGAGTATGAATAGAAGAAGGGTAGAAGAAAAGAAAGACCACAAACTAGATGTTTATTTTGAAAAATTTCTAATAAAGGAAGAAATAGCAAGATCCTAGACCACCATGACACTCCAAGTAAGACCTAGAAGAACCATTGTCCCTCCACCTGCATGTTTCATGTAGTTTTTTCCTTGAATATCTTGTAAGTTTTAAAAATTTTTTGAAAGGCTATACAACAAATCATATCAGTAAAAGCAACATCCAGATCACCTAACAACTTAAAGAGCATGCTTGAAATATAGTTTTCAGTTTAATGATTAACAATAGTCACATGCTTAAGCATTGGTTCAACAATTCAAACGGTTATAGGCCTTACGTTATGAAACTGCCAATTGTTAAAATTTTGACCTATAAAATTATCAATTTCATAGACTCCAACTATCAGAGTTCTCAGTAACGTATTAAATAACTTCAATAATTAATACCACTTGATTCATGCCAGAGAAGTCACAGAATCTTTAGCCAGAGAAGTCATAGAATCTTTAGCCAGAGAAGACGTACCACGGGAGAGGATAGGATAGAGACAGACTTAACAGTTGTTTACTGAAGAGCTCCAAACAAACTGGCAAAAATTCAAAACCTGGGCTTTGCATATTAATCAATGGTTACATTTGTGATGGTTCACAAAGCAACATAACATAAAACATTCCGCTTTTAAAGACTGAGATGATAAACATCACTAGGTCCTCTGAATTAAAATTCACTCATAAATCAAAATAAACAGTTAAACATCACACAGGAATAAAAGAGCTAAGGATACTGATTTAAAAAACATTTGCAAATACTTTTTCTTTTATTCAAATTGAAAATGTTTTTACAAGTTGATGGGTTAAAAAGAACCAGTCTAAATTTCACCTTATCTATGATTTCAGTTATCCACAGTCAACTGCAGTCCAAAAATGTAAAATGAAAAATTCCAGAAATAATTCATAAGCTTTAAACTGTGTGCCATTTCGAATAGTGCAATGAAATCTTGCAGTATTATGCTCTGTCTTGGCCAGGACATGAATCATCACCAGCATATCCACATTGTATATGCTACACATACATTAGTATATACAGGGTTCAGTACTCTCCGTGGTTTCTTTCTCTTCATAATTTTAATATCTTATTTTCTGAAAGAGCCTAATATTTAATTGATAAACAATCTCACTGTAAACTGTAAATATTTTACTTTTAGTAATTCAGAAAAACTATAGCATTTTATTAGATTTCTTGAAATACTGAATCTAGTTACAGATTTATGAAGAGTACATAACCATAAATTACAAAAGGATAGAGCCCCATTTTAGGTTTTTACCATTGTTTTGATTTTTAAATGACTATAATAAATATAAAACTCCTTAAATTTTTAAGTTCCAAAATTTCCAGCTCCTTTTTAGATATGTTTATTAAAAAACTAATATTCTGATGTCATAACACAAATCAATAAAAATGTAATACTTAAGCCCTTTTATCTCTGAAGTAATTTAAAAAATTAACCAAATGGAATTGAGTGTAAATACTCCATAAAGGGCTCCCTAAATAAAAAATTTCACTCTCAAAGTTATATTTCACTTAGATTATTATTGAGAAAAAAGGGTCCCTAACTTACTTATTGCTTAAAATCAGTATGATTTTTGAGAGAAATGGTAGTAAAATTGTGGCTCTAATCTCATTTATACTGTTTTCATCATTCACTACACACTTTTGCAACCTAGCATTGCACTTATTTATTCAGAGTGATGCTTTATTTTTTTAAATAGAAGAAAGATTATGGCACCTGCCCTCAAGGAGCTTACACATAAAGAAATTAATAAGAGTATAAAATAAGAATATAATGAGATGTTAAAATGTATTATATAAATAGTATTTTCCATAAGTGCTTAGACAATTCACTGTGGATTCCAGAAGTGAAATCAGTAATTTCATATGTATACAGCATATGACATTTTAATACAGAGTAAACAGACCATCACATGAAATACTAATGTCACCTTTGTTCCATTCAGTAAATTCAATACAGATTTACTGAAGATTTAAAAATTGTAGGAAAAGTAGGGGATTGAAAAAGAGGCAAAAAAAGTTACTGAATGTTCTTTCCCTGGAATGCTGGCACCTCTGAGGATTGCCTGATTCCATAGGCGTATGGGATTTTGTTTGTCTTTTGATTCAGCTATTTTACAACTCTGCAGAGATGGAACTTGCCTTATAGAAAAATGAGAGTAATACAGATCATTCCTATCCACAGAAATGCAAACTGTACCCAGTGAAACAGAACAGTTTTGCCAGATTTACATCCATATGCATGCATTTTAGAATGGTTGCTCTATAAGAGTATGGTAATTTTTGAATTCTCCTTTGAACCACTTTTAACAACTGACTTGTTCTTTCATTAATAATGAGTTAAATATCTTTGGCTTGTGCTCATTCTATATTTCTATGAGAGTCATGATTATATCCTCTTTTAAACTTTATCCTTCAATAAAATGAAAACAAGATGACCCCTACCCTTCCTCAAAGAGCTCACAACCTAGTAGGGAGACAAAGACATTACTATTCAACTAGATTAATACAATAAGGAAAGCATCATGATACAGATAGGAACAGCATACTATAAGAAGTGAAATAAAACTATTTCCCATCTGAAACTTTTAGGAAAGCCTTACATCTTAAGTTACTTACATGAATAGACTTAGGGACAAGATAGATGGTGGATAGCAGACAATGCTAACGTGTAGCTCCCACTTGGACAGACAGAACAGTGTGTGGAGAACACCATGATCTTTACCATGATCTTTTGCTCCAAGAACCACCAAAGAAATGTATCAGGAAAATCAAAAGAATTCAAAGATCTTTGAATGAAGCAGCATGCCACTGCAAATTGCACAGGACAGGCAAAAAACTGAGTTCCCAAAGTATGAGAGGGAGAAAACCTGCCTCTGAACACACAACCCCACTGGAGAATCCATAAATCCAGATTACAGGAAAATGATTTAAACTTACCTAGAGCTTAAACAAATTTAAGGACTCATGAAAAACATAAAAGTGGAAACAGCAGTGAGAGGAAGTGACTTGCATGTACTCCCAGTCTCCAGCTCAAGCCCAGGGAAGCCATCCCCAACTATACCTCACAGGGGCCTTCAGGGAAGGCAGGCAGCAGAATTAGGGAGGGATCACAGGACAGAGAAAGCTTCCTACTGAAATAAGTAGTAATTCTGACTGGGCGTGAATTTCCTTGAGCAGAATCTGGGAGGCAAACAGGAATTGCTTCAGATACAAACGTAGGAGCCACTGGTGACAGACAGGGAGGGGCAAGGTGGGAAAGCCATGCTTGCTTTCTCAGCAGGAAAGCTCACAGCCTGGGGCAAGTTCTGAGTGGGGCACTGCAGGAGCCAGGCCAGCCTCACCAACTATGAGGGAGTTGGGTAAGGCCTCTTGCTACAGCTATCACCCATTTCCCTGAGAAACTATATAGAACAACAGAGGCAACCAAAAGCCCCTCTGGAACATAACCCCATTGGCCTGAGAACCACCCCCTCAATCCCCTACAGTGGCCACAGCAAGCCTCACCCAAGGAAAGTCTAAGCTTGGACCCACCTAAACCAGCCCCAACCTGATGGTATTTCTCTATTTTCCATGGTTGCCAAACACAAAAGATAGAAACTCTTGGGGGCTTTATGGCCCCATCCATCACCTGACAAACTAAAATCCTTATCCTGGCCAATGCAGGGCAAGCACAGATCCCCCTACTACTACTATAGCTGATGCTCTTTTGAAAATGCCACCCACAGGCTGGAGGCCAATCTACTTGGGCCATAACAGCAACTTATGACAGAATAATCTTGCTGCCAGGAAGAAGAAGACAATAGCTAATTCCACTGCCCACAACATCCTGGCTAACCAATGGTCCTTAGTCTCTCCATTTGACAACTTTACTGCTAGCATAACCAGCATTCGAGAAAGCCAGCACACTAAACGTATCTACAACCAAGGACTGGGTCTACCTCACTCCCCTGCCACCTCCATCCAAGCAAGTGCTGGCATCCATGCCTGGGAGACCTGAAGACAGATCACATCACAGGACTCTTTGCAGACATTCCCTAGCACCAGCGCAGAGCCTGGTAGTCCTGCTGGGTGGCTAGACCCAGAAGAGAAATAAGATTCACTGCAGTCCAGCTCTTAGGAAGCCCCATCCTCAAGAAAAGGGGGAGAGCACCACATCAAGGGATCACCCCATGGGACAAGGAAATCTGAACATTAAGACTTGAGTTCCACACCTTTCCACTTAAACAGACTACCAAAATGAGAAGGAACCAGAAAAGTAATTCTGGGAATATGACACAACAGGATTCTACACTACCACCAAAAGATCACACCAGCTCCCTAACAATGGATCTGTACCTAGAAGAACTCTCTGATTTGCCAGAAGAAAAAAAAAATATCAGAAGGTTGATTGTAAAGCTAATCAAGAAGACACCAGAAAAATGTGAAAACCAATGTAAAGAAATTTTTTTAGAAAATACAGGATATAGATAGGAAATTCTCCAGAGAAATAGGTATCATAAAGAAAAAACAATCACAAATTCTGGAAATGAAAGACACACTTACAGAAATACAAAACACCCTGAGAAGTTTCAACAATATATGAGAACAAGGAGAAGAAAGAAGTTCAGAGCTTGAAGAAAATTAACCCAAATTAACTTTTGGCTTTCAAATTAACCCAATCTGACAAAGACAAAAAAAAAAAAAAAGAATAAAAAAATGAACAGAGCCTCCAAGAAATTAGGGATTATGTTAAATGGCCAAACCTAAGAAAAATAGGTGTTCCTGAGGAAGAAAAGAAATCTAAAGTTTAGAAAACTTATTTGTAGGGTTAATTGAGGAAAACTTCCTTGGCCTTCCTAGAGATCTAGACATCTAAATACAAAAAGCTCAAAGAACACCTGAAATATTCACCGCAAAAAAATCACCTGCACACACAGTCATCAGGTTATCTAAATCCCTCATAGTTGGTGAGGCTGGCCTGGCTCCTGCAGTGCCCCACTCAGAACTTAAGACGAAAGAAAGAATCTTAAGAGCTGTGAGATAAAAGCATCAAATAAGCTACAAAAGAAAACCTATCAGATTACCAGCAGATTTGTCAGAAGAAACCCTGTAAATCAGAAGAGACTGGGTTCCCATCTTTAGCCCCCTTAAACAAAATATTTGTCAGCCATGAATTTTATCTCCAGCAAAACTAAGCCTCATAAAAGAAGGAGAGATAAAGTCTTTTTCAGACAAAAAAATCCTGAAGCAATTTGCCACTACTAAGCCAGCACTACAAGAAATGCTAAACAGAGTTCTAGATCTTGAAACAAAACACTGAAAGACACCAAAATAGAACCTCCTTAAAGCATAAATTTCACAGGGCCCATAAGACAATAACATAATGAAAAACAACATATTAAGGCAACAATTAGCATGATGAATAGAACAATACCTCACATCTCAATACTAACAGTGAATGTAAATGGCCTAAATGCTCACTTAAAAGACAGAGAATGGCAGAATGAATTAAAAAAAAAAAAAAAATTCCACCAACCGATTATTTGCTGTCTTCAAGAGACTCCCCTAAGGTGACAACTCAACAAAACTTAAGGTAAAGGGGTGGGAAAAGATATTCCACACAGATGGAAACCAAATGCAAGGAGGAGTAGCAATTTTTATACCAGAAAAAAACAGACTTTAAAGCAAAAACAGTAGAAAAAAGACAAAGAGGGACATTATATAATGATAAAAGGATCAATCTAACAAGAAAATATCACAATCCTAAATATATACGCACTTAACACGAGGTCTCCCAAATTTATAAAACAATTACTACTAGACCTAAGAAATGAGATAGATGGCAACACAATAATAGTGGGGAAATTCAATATTCCACTGACAGTACTACAAAGTACAGAAAGTCAACAAAGAAACAATAGACTTAAAACTAAACCCTAGAACAAATGGATTTAACAGATATTTACTGGACAGTCTACCCAACAACTGCAGAATATATATTCTTTTCATCAGTACATGGAACATTCTCCAAGATAGACCAATGATAGGTCACATGTCTCTATAAATTTAAGAAAAATCTAAATTATATCAAGTATCCTCTCAGACCACAGTAAAACAAAGCTGGAAATTAACTCGAAAAGGAACACCCAAAACTGTAAAAACACACGAAAATTAAATAATCTGCTCTTCAATGATCTTTGAGACAACAATGAAATCAACATGGAAATTTAAAAATTCTTTGAGCTGAATGATAATACTGACATAACTTGTCAAAGACTCTGGTATACAGCAAAAACGGTGCAAAGAGAAAAGTTCATAGCATTAAATGCCCATATCAAAAAGGCTAAGAGTGAAAACAGACTATCTAAGGTCACACCTCAAGGAAACAGAGAAACACGAACAAACCAAACCCAAACTCAGCAGAAGAAAAGAAATAACCCATATCAGAGCTGAACTAAATGAAGTGGAAACAACAACAACAAAACCACACAAAAGATAAATGAAGCCAAAAGCTGGTTCTTTGAAAGAACAAACAAAATTGATAGACCATTAGCAAGATTAACCGAGAAAAGAGGAGGCAAGATCCAAATAAGGTCTATTAGAAACAGGAGATAATACAACTGATAACACAGAAATACTAAAGATTATCCAAGGCTACTATTAACACCTTTATGTGCACAAACTAGAAAACCTAGAGGAGATGGATAACTTCCTGGAAATATACAACCCTCCTAGATTAAACCAGGAAGAATCAGAAACTCTGTACACACCAAGTAGTCTGTTCAGAGTTCAACAAGTAGTGAGATTCAAACAGTAATTTTTAAAATGCCAACAAAAGAAGTACAGGACCAGATGTTTTCACAGCTGAATTCTATAAGACACTGAAAGAAGAATTGGTACCAATCTTAGTGAAACTATTCCAAAAGACAGAGAAAGAGGAAATCCTTCCTAAGTCATTCTATGAAGCCAACATCACCCAAATACCAAAACCAGGAAAGGACATAACAAAAAAAGAAAACTACAGACCAGTATCCCTGAGGAACACAGATACAAAAATCCTCAACAAAATACTAGCTAACCAAATCCAAAAGAATATCAAAAATATGATACAGCATGACCAAGTGGGTTTCACAGCAGGAATGCACAGATGGTTGAACACATCTAAATCAATAAATGTGATACACCACATACACAAAATTTATAAGAAAAAATCATATGATCATCTCAACAGACACAGAACTAGCATTTGACAAAATCCAGTATCCCTTTATGATTAAAACCCTCAGCAAAACTGGAATAAAAGGGGCATACCTCAAGGTAATAAAAGCCAACTATGATAAATCCACAACCAACATTATACTGAATAGGGACAAGCTGAAAGCATTGCCCCTGAGAACTGGCACAAGACAAGGATGCCCACTTTCACCACTTCTATTTAACATAGTGCTACAAGTCCTGGCCGGAACAATCAGACAAGATAATGAAATAAAGGTGTCCAAATCAGTAAAGAGGAAGTCAAACTGTCGCTGTTTGCTGATGATATGATCATATACCTAGAAAACCCTAATGACTCATCTAAAAAAGCTCCCAGATCTGATAAATAGATTCAGTAAAGTTTCAGAAAACAAAATTAATATACATAAATCTGTAGCACTGCTGTACAACAACAGCAACGAAGCTGAGAATCAAATCAAGAACTCAATCCCTTTTACAACAGCTGCCAAAAAAAAAAAATTAGGAATATACCTAACCAAGGAGATGAACTATCTCTACAAGGAAAACTGCAAAACACTGCTGAAAAAAATCACTGATGACACAAACAAATGGAAACACATCCCATGTTCGTGGATGGGTAGAATCAATATTGTGAAAATGACCATACGGCCAAAAGCAGTCTACAGATTCAATGCAATTCCCATCAAAATACCAGCATCATTCTTCACAAAACTACAAAAAACAATTCTAAAATTTATATGGAACCAAAAAAGAGCCCACATAGACAAAGAAAGACTAAGCAAAAAGAACAAACATGGAGGCATCACATTACTCAACTTCAAACTATACTACAAGGTTATAGTTACAGAAACAGTATGGTACTGGTATTTAAAAAAAGGCATGTAGACCAATGGAACAGAATAAAGAACCCAGAAATAAAGCCAAATACTTATGGCCAACTGATCTTGGATAAAGCAAACAAAAACATAAATTGGGTAAGGGATACCTATTCAACAAATGGTGCTGGGATAATTGGCAAGCCAAATGTAGAAGAATGAAACTGGATCCTCATCTCTCACCATATACAAACATCAAGTCAAGATGGATCAGACTTAAATCTAAGACCTAAAACCATAAAAATTTAGAAGATAATATCAGAAAAACTCTTCTAGACATTGGCTTAGGCAAAGAGTTCAAGACCAAGAACCCAAAAGCAAATGCAACAAAAACAAAAATTAATAGGCAGGACCTAATTAAACTAAAAAGCTTCCCTACAGCAAGAGAAATAATCACCAGAGAAAATAGACAACTAACAGAATGGGTGAAAATATTCACAAATTATGCATCTGACAAAGAGCTAATACCCAGAATTCACAAAGAACTCCAACAAATCAGCAAGAAAAAAAAAATCCCATCACAAAGTAGGCAAAGAACATAAATAGGCAGTTCTCAAAAGAAGATAGACAAATGGCCAACAAACACATGAAAAAATGCTCCACATTACTAATTATCAGGGAAATACAAATTAAAATTACAATGAGATAACTTCTTACTTCTGCAGCAATAGCCATAATTTAAAAATCAAAAAATAATAGATGTTGGCATGGATGTGGTGAAAAGGGAACACGTTTACATTGCTGATGGGAATGTAAACTAGTACAACCGCTATGGAAAATGGTATGGAGATTCCCTAAAGAACTGAAGGCAGAACTACCATATGATCCAGCAATTCCACCTCTGGATCTCTACCCAGAAGAAAAGAAGTCATTATATGAAAAAGACACTTGCATGCACATGTTTATTGCAGCACAATTTGCAACAGCAAAAATATGGAAACAGCCTAACTGGCCCTTGACCAACAAGTGGATAAAGAAAATGTGGTATATATACACTACAGAATACTACTCAGCCACAAAAAGGAATGAAATAATGGCATCCGTAGCAACCTGGATGGGTTTGGAGACCATTATTTTAAGTGAAGTAACTCAGGAATGGAAAACCAAATACCGTTATGTTCTTACTTATAAGTGGGAGCTAAGCTATGAGGACACAAAGGCATAAGACTGATATAATGGACTTTGGCACTCGAGGGGAAGGGTGGGAGGTGAGTGAGGAACAAAAGACTATACATCGGGTACAATGTACACTGCTAGGGTGACAGGTGCACCAAAATCTCAGAAAACAACCACTAAAGAACTTACCCATGTAATTAAAAGCCACCTGTTCCCCAAAAACTACTGAAATAACATTTAAAAAAAAATTGTATGATAAAGAAGGAGTTGAAAATCAAGAGTCAATCCAGTCCATCACCTATTTTGTATAGCCCTTGAGCTAAAAGTAGTTTTTACATTTATAAATGTTTGGGGAGAAAAGTCAAAAAACAATGACTACTGACATTTGAAAACTAAATGGAATTCAAACATTGGTATACATAAATAAAGTTTTATTGGAACACTGTCACACTCATTTGTTATGTATTATTTCCAGCTGTTTTCACAATAGAATGGCAGAGGTGAATAGCTGCAAAAAGACCACATGTGGCTCTCCCATCAATCCCCACTGCTACGTGGCACACTATACAGTATCAAATTACAACTGAACAGCATTTCAATTTCCACGTGTATTATCATACCACATTTTTTAAAATTACCAATACATATACATAGGAATAAAAATAAGAAAAGAAGAAAGAGGTGGACTTTGAGTGTCATACTTTTAAGGCACAGGTGAATATCTATTATTTTGTTATCAAATTAGATCACAAAACATTGTGTTTATCATACAATGACACCACAGCTGTGCTAAAATAATGGAATATACATTGACACTACCAAACTATGCACTCATTACAATATTCTCAACTCACAGGAAAGTAACACTCTGAAAAATTAGAAAATTCTAAAACTGAGTACATCACCACACAGAATTTCTTCATAAAAAATAACAAGATTGCAACCTAAGTACATTTCCTAGTAGTTCATTTATCAGCAAGCAAGGAAAGTCATTTACCAATGGTGAGTTTATCAAATCACATTTGATTGCAGCAGTAAAAGAAATGTGTCAAAAAAAAAAACAAATTGGTTTAAATCTACTGGTGAGAATAGTTGCTTAAAGAGTTGATTGAGGACACTGGGAGGTGGCTGGCAAGATGGCCAAATAGGAACAGCTCCAGTTTGCAGCTCCCAGCGAGATCAATGCAGAAGGCGGGTGATCTCTGCATTTACAACTGCAGGACTCGACCCATCTCATTGGGACTGATTAGACAGTGAGTGCAGCCCATGGAAGGCGAGCCAAAGCAGAGTGGGGCGTTGCCTCACCTGGGAAGGGCAAGGGGTCAGGGAACTCCCTCTCCTAGCCAAGGGAAGATGTGAGGGACTGTGCCGTGAGAAGACTGTGCCGTGAGAAACGGTGCATTCTGATCCAAATACTACGCTTTTCACATGGTCTTCACAACCTGCAGACCAGGAGATTCCCTCAGGTGATTACACCACCAGGACCCTGGTTTCAAGCACAAAATTGGGCAGCCATTTGGGCAGACACCGAGCTAGCTGCAGGAGTATTTTTTTCATACCCCAGTGGCGCCTGGAATGCCAACAAGACAGAACCATTTACTCCCCTGGAAAGGGGGCTAAAGCCAGGCAGCCAAGTGGTCTAGCTCAGCCAATCCCACCCCCAAGGAGCCCAGCAAGCTAAGATCCACTGCCTTGAAATTCTTGCTGCCAGCACAGCAGTCTGAAGTCGACCTGGGATGCTCGAGCTTGGTAGGGGGAGAGTCGTCCACCATTACCGAGGCTTGAACAGGCAATTTTCCCCTCACAATGTAAACAAAGCCCCTGGGAAGTTGGGACAGTGCAGAGCCAACCACAGAGCCACAAAGCCACTGTAGCCAGACTGCCTCTCTAGGCAGGACATGTCTGTAAGAAAGGCAGCAGCCCCAGTCAGGGGCTTGTAGATGAAACTCCCATCTCCCTGGGACAGAGTACCTGTGAGAAGGTGGGGCTGTGGGTGCAGCTTCATCAGACCTAAACGTTCCTGCCTGCCAACTCTGAAGAGAGCAATGGATCTCCCAGCACAGCGCTGGAGCTCTGCTAAGGGACAGACTGCCCCCTCAAGTGGGTCCCTGAACCCCATGCCTCCTGACTGGGAAACATCTCCCAGCAGTAGTCAACAGACACCTCATGCAAGAGAGCTCCAGCTGGCATCTGGCGGGTGCCCCTCTGGGACGAAGCTTCCAGAGAAAGGAACACACAGCAAACTTTGCTGTTCTGCAGTCTCTGCTGGTGATACCCAGGCAAACAGGGTCTGGAGTGGACATACAGAAAACTCCAGCAAACCTGCAGCAGAGGGGCCTCACTATTAGAAGGAAAACTAACAAACAGAAAGGAATAGCATCAACATTAACAAAAAGGACGTACACACATAAACCCCATCCAAAGTTACCAACATCAAACACCAAAGGTAGATAAATCCATGAAGATGAGGAAAAACCAGAGCAAAAAGGCTGAAAATTCCAAAACCAGAACACCTCTTCTCCTCCAAGGGATCACAACTCCTTGCCAGCAAGGGAAGAAAACCAGACAGAGAATGAGTCTGACGAATTGACAGAAGCAGGCTTCAGAAGGTGGGTAATAACAAACTCCTCCAGGCTAAAGGAGCATGTTGTAACCCAATGCAAGGAAGCTAAGAACTTTGAAAAAAGCTTAAAGGAATTGCTAACTAGAATAACCAGTTTAGAGG
Source organism: Homo sapiens (assembly GCF_000001405.40). Lineage (NCBI taxonomy): Eukaryota > Metazoa > Chordata > Mammalia > Primates > Hominidae > Homo > Homo sapiens. The sequence goes on from NC_000011.10 coordinate 129,157,376, forward strand.
ATAACATAAATTACTTGATGGAGCCGAGAAACACAGCACAAGAACATCGTGAAGCTTACTCAAGTATCAATAGCCAAATTGATCAAGCAGAAGAAAAGATACCAGAGATTGAAGATCAACATAATGAAATAAAGCGTGAAGACAAGATTAGAGAAAAAAGAATGAAAAGGAACAAACAAAGCCTCCAAGAAATATGGGACTATGTGAAAAGACCAAATCTATCTTTGGCTGGTGTACCTGAAAGTGACGAGGAGAATGGAATCAAGCTGAAAAACACTCTTCAAGATATTATCCAGGAGAACTTCCCCAACCTAGCAAAACAGGCCAACATTCAGATTCAGGAAATACAGAGAACACCACAAAGATACTCCTCGAGAAAAACAACCCCAAGACACATAATTGTCAGATACACCAAGGTTGAAATAAAGGAAAAAATGTTAAGGGCAGCCAGAGAGAAAGATCAGGTTACCCACAAAGGGAAGCCCATCAGACTGACAGCAGAGCTCTGCAGAAACCGTACAAGCCAGAAGAGAGTAGGGGGCCAATATTCAACATTCTAAAAAGAATTTTCAACCCAGAATTTCATATCCAGCCAAACTAAGCTTCATAAGCAAAGGAGAAATAAAATCCTTTACAGACAAGCAAATGCTGAGAAATTTTGTCACCACCAGGCCTGTCTTACAAGAACTCCTTAAGGAAGCACTACATATGGAAAGGAAAAACCGGTAGCAGCCACTACAAAAACATACCAAATTGTAAAGACCATCAACACTATGAATAAACTGCATCAACTAACGGGCAAAATAACCAGCTAGCATCATAATGACAGGATCAATTTCGCACATAACAATATTAACCTTAAATGTAAATGGGCTAAATGCCCCAATTAAAAGACACAGACTGGCAAACTGGATAAAGAGTCAAGACTCATCGGGGTGCTGAATTCAGGAGATTCATCTCACATGCGCACATAGGCTCAAAATAAAGGGAAGGAGGAAGATTTACCAAGCAAATGGAAGGCAAAAAAAAAAAAAAAGCAGAGAATGCAATCCTAGTCTCTGATAAAACAGACTGTAAACCACAGAGATCAAAAAAGACAAGAGCTAAAGGGATCAATGTAACAAGAAGAAGCTAACTATCCTAAATATACATGCACCCAATACAGGAGCACTCAGATGCATAGAGCAAGTTTTTAGAGACCTACAAAGAGACTTAGACTCCCACACAATAACAGTGGGAGACTTTAACACTCCACTGTCAATATTAGACAGATCAACAAGACAGAAAATTAACAAGGATATTCAGGACTTGAACCCAGCTCTGGATGAAACAGACCTAATAGACATTTACAGAACTCTCCACTCCCAAATCAACAGACTATACATTCTTCTCAGCACCATATCGCATGTATTCTAAAACTGACCACATAATTGGAAGTAAAACACTCCTCAGCAAATGCAAAAGAATGGAAATCATAACAGTCTCCCAAACAATAGGCAATCAAAATAAAATTCAGGATTAAGAAACTCACTCAAAACCGCACAACTACATGGAAACTGAACAATCTGCACCTGAATGACTACTGGGTAAATAATGCAATTAAGGCAGAAATAAATAAGTTCTTTGAAATCAATGAGAACAAAGACACAACATACCAGAATTTCTGGGACAAGTGAAAGCAGTGTTTAGAGGGAAATTTATTGCATTAATGACCACAGGAGAAAGTGGGAAAGATCTAAAATTGGTACCCTATCATCACAGTTAAAAGAACTAGAGAAGCAAGAGCAAACAAATTCAAGAGCTAACAGAAGACAAGAAATAACTAAGGAGCAGAACTGAAGGAGACAGAGACATGAAAAACCCTTAAAAAAAATCAGTGAATCCAGGAGCTAGTTTCTTGAAAAGATTAGCAAAATGGATAGACTGCTAGCCAGATTAATGAAGAAGAAAAGAGAGAAGAATAAAATAGACACAATAAAAAATGATGAAGGGGATATTAGCACTGATCCCACAGAAATACAAACTACAATCAGAGAATACTGTAAACACCTCTACACAAATAAACTAGAAAATCTAGAAGAAATGGATAAATTCCTGGACACATACACCTTCCCAAACTAGGAAGACACCTTCCTAAACTAGGAAGAAGTCGAATCCCTGAACAGACCAATAACAAGTTCTGAAATTGAGGCAGTAATTAATAGCCTACCTACCAAAAAAAAAAGCCCAGGATCAGACGGATTCACAGCCAAATTCTACTAGAGGTACAAAGAGAAGCTGGTACCATTCCTTCTGAAACTACTCCAAACACCTGAAAAAGAGGGACTCGTCCCTAACTCATTTCATGAGGCCAACATCATCCTGATACCAAAACCTGGCAGAGACACAACAAAAAAACTAAATTTCAGGCCAATATCCCTGATGAACATCAATGTGAAAATCCTCAATAAAATACTGGCACACCAAATCCAGGAGCACATTAAAAAGCTTATCCACCACAATCAAGTCAGCTTCAACCCTGGGATACAAGGCTGGTTCAACATATGAAAATCAATAAGCATAATCCATCATAACAGAACCAATAACAAAACAGAACCAATGACATAAACAGAACTAATGACAAAAACCACAATTATCTCAATAGATGCAGAAAATCCCTTTGATAAAATTCAACACTGCTTCATGCTAAAAACTCTCAATAAACTAGGTATTCATGGAATGTATCTCAAAATAATAAGAGCTATTTATGACAAACCCACAGCCAATATCATACTGAAAGGGCAAAAGCTGGAAGCATTCCCATTGAAAATCAGCACAAGACAAGGATGCCCTCTCTCACCACTCCTATTCAACATAGTACTAGATGTTCTGGCCAGGGAAATCAGGCAAGGGAAAGAAATAAAGGGTATTCAAATAGGAAGAGAGGAAGTCAAATTGTCTCTGTTTGCAGATGACGTGATTGTATATTTAAAAAACCCCATCGTCTCAACCCAAAATCTCCTTAAGCTGATCAGCAACTTCAGCAAAGTCTCAGGATACAAAATTAATGTGCAAAAATCACAAGCATTCCTATACACCAATAATAGACAAACAGAGAGCCAAATCATGAGTGAACTCCCACTCACAATGGCTAAAAGAGAATAAAATACCTAGGATGATAAAATACCTAGGATGATGATACCTATGAGAATAAAATACCTACAATGAGAATAAAATACTTACAAGGGATATGAAGGACCTCTTCAAGGAGAACTACAAACCACTGCTCAATGAAATAAGAGAGGACACAAACAAATAGAAAGATATTCCATGCTCATGGATAGGAAGAATCAATATTGTGAAAATGGCCATACTGCCCAAGGTAATTTATAGATTCAATGCTATCCTCATCAAGCCACCATTGACTTTCTTCACAGAATTAGAAAAAACTACTTTAAATTTCATATGGAACCAAAAAAGAGCCTGCATAGCCAAGATAATCCTAAGCAAAAAGAACAAAGCTGGAGGCATCACGCTACCTGACTTCAAACTACACAAGGCTACAGTAACCAAAACAGCATGGTACTGGTGCCAAAACAGATATATAGACCAATGGTACAGAACAGAAGCCTTAGAAATAACGCCACACATCTACGACCCTCTGATCTTTGACAAACCTGACAAAAACAAGCTATGGGGAAAGGATTCCTTATTTAATAAATAGTGTTACGAAAACTGGATACCCATATGCAGAAAATTGAAACTGGACCCCTTCTTACACCTTATACAAATATTAACTCAAAATGAATTAAAGACTTAAACATAAGACCTAAAACCATAAAAACCCTAGAAGAAAACCTAGGCAATACCATTCAGGACATAGGCATGGGCAAAGACTTCATGACTAAAACACCAAAAGCAATAGCAAAAAAAAAGCCAAAATTGACAAATGGAATCTAATTAAACTAAAGACCTTCTCCACAGCAAAAGAAACTATCATCAGAGTGAACAGGCAACCTACAGAATGGGAGAAAATTTTTGCAATCTATCCATCTGACAAAGGGCTAATATCCAGAATCTACAAGGAACTTAAACAAATTTACAAGAAAAAAAAAACCATCAAAAAGTTAGCAAAGTATATGAACAGACACTTCTCAAAAGAAGACATTTATGTGGCCAACAAACATGAAAAAAGCTCATCAATACTAGTCATCAGAGACATGCAAATCAAAACCACAATGAGATACCACCTCACACTAGTTAGAATGGTGATCATTAAAGTCAGGAAACAACAGATGCTGGAGAGGATGTGGAGAAACAGGAACACTTTTACACTGTTGGTGGGAGTGTAAATTAGTTCAGCCATTGTGGAAGACAGTGCGGCGATTCCTCAAGGATCTAGAACCAGAAATACCATTTGACCCAGCAATCCCATTACTAGGTATATACCCAAAGTATTATAAATCATTCTACTATAAAGACAAATGCACACGTATGCTTACTTCAACACTGTTCACAACAGCAAAGACTTGGAACCAACCCAAATGCCCATCAATGATAGACTGGATAAAGAAAATGTGGCACATATACACCATGGAATACTATGCAGCCATAAAAAAAGATGAGTTCTTGTCCTTTGCAGGGACATGGATGATGCTAGAAACCATCATTCTCAGCAAACTAACACAGGAACAGAAAACCAAACACTGCATGTTCTCACTCACAAGTGTGAGTTGAACAATGAGAACACATGGACACAGTGAGTGGAACATCACACACCGGGGCCTGTCAGGGGGTGGGGGCTAGGGGAAGGATAGCATTAGGAGAAATACCTAATGAAGGTGACAGGTGGATGGGTGCAGCAAACCACCATGGCACATGTATACCTATGTAATAAACCTGCATGTTCTGCACATGTACTCCGGAACTTAAAAGTATAATAATAAAAAAATCTAAAATAAATTACACATAATAATATTTTTAAAATGTTGAGGACATTGGAAGCAAATCAATAGTCACTTAAAAAACAAGGCAAATGATTTCAGTGGTTTTCCTTGACTCTTGGTAAGTCAAAAAATGGAACCAATATTGCTATTGTTGTTGAGGAGTCAATGTTGAGTGTGAAATGACTGAAGAATTAGCTCCTATGAACAGTCAGCATGGGACAACTACAGGCAAGAATATTCTCACATAACTTGAGCAAACATTAATTCAGTAAAACCTGAAGTGGAATCTACTAAGATACATTATAACCAATTTTGGTAAAAATATGTGTGGAATACAAAAAGGCTTTAGATATACATATTTTTGACATTTATTACGGAACACTAAATGACTTTGCTAATCAGTTTTTACTGCAGACTTGATGATATTTCTTGGTGAACTTAATGTACAATTACAAGAGAAAACATAGCTTATATATAAGAAACACTGACGATAAAGTCATCTTAATGACAACTAGTATTCTGAGAATCACAAGTAATCACAAGCTACTGTCCATGCATCCCAAATTATCAAATATTAAAACAAGAAGGGAGATTTCCATTCCCATACAAATGTGTAGTGAATATTTTTTTCTGAGCTCAAACTACAGGTCCAGTAGGGTTTTTCAGATCACATGAAAATGCAAAGTAAATTTCCATACTGCAAATTCCATTTAACTGTGCAACTGAGAACTTCCACCTAATCTTTAATTGGAATTGATTAACTGACAATAACATGCTAAAAGGCAAATATCAAGAAGAGAATCTAACAGAATTCTATAAATGCCTTCCTAGTGACAAATATGTTCAATTAAAATGTTTGTGAATTTATGTCAGTATTTGCTGTGCCTGAGTGAAAGACATTTTCAAAAATGAAGTAAGTAAAATATCATTACAGATCAGCACTGATAGATGAATGTTTCCATTTTATTTTGACAGAGAACACTGACTCTTAACCACAGTTAAGTAAAATGTCCTCTCCCACAAAAGAAGAATTTCTTCATTCTTATTAATAGATCTGTTACAAAAAGTTTTAATAAACTAAATGAGTATCTCAAATGTATTACGTGAAAAACTACACTGCTGATTTTTCCACCTATCCCCCAACAAAAACTGCTTTTCCAGCATCTCAGTACTATAAATTCCATTCTTCAGGTTGACGAAGCCAAAAAACTTGAAGCCATTCTTAATATATCTTCATCTCATACTCTTATTACCCATTCATTGACAACAGCTGTCTTTATCAGTAAAACTATAGCATCTAACCAATTCTCACCATATGTGCTATCATCCTGGTTCAAGCTACCATCACTATTTACCTACTAATTATAACACACAGATTCTCTTTACTTCTTTTGCCTCCTCCTACTCACAGTAACCTGAGACTTCTTTAACATTTTAAGTCAGATTGTGTCACTGCTCAGCCAAAAATCCTCCAATGGTTTCCCATCTCACTAAGCATAAAAAGCAAAAGTCTTCATCAATAAAGTACAAGAAACTGCACGATCTGCTTTCCACCCACCCAAACCACTTCTCTGACCTCATTTCTTTCTCATCCAGTTTCAGCCACACTATCCTATTTGTGTTTCTTCCGACTTGTTCTCTAATCCTATGCCACAGCCTGTAACTTGTTCTTCCATTGCCTAAAATGATGTGTTTCCAGATAAACACACTACTCACTCCCTCACCTCCTTCAGGTCTTTGATCAAACCTCATCTTCCCACAGAGGCCATCTGTGACTACCCTATATAATTAGCACCTATCCTTTCACACTGTATTTTTACCACTCTGTAACCCTATTACTCTGCCCACAGACTCTACGACAGTGCCAAGTATACAGTATTCACTCAATAAATATTTCCTGAATAAATGAACAAAGCAACAAAATTTTTTGTGTAATGTGTCCTCAGTTCCTTTTCCTTATATAAGTGCTATATATACATATATATGTATATATGAACAATTGTATAAAACTGATTTACCATTGCGCTAAGAGTTTCTTCCCAATCAGGCCGCTCTCGAGGGTGTACATTTCTATGTAGCTCTGGAACAAAATCATCTTCTTCAGAATGTACTGAGGACTTCATCTTCCTAGAGATCAAAACACGAAAGATTCTGATAAGAATTTCCAATTCTATGAAAGCCTTCCAATGATCACAATTGAAAGAGCAGAAAAACTACATGTCAGATTTGAAGTTTAGCTAAAAGAGCTTAACTGAATAGCAGTGATCCTTTATTTCTACTCTGGCTTTCAGAGGTCTCTCCTAATGTACCAAACACCTGCTTTTATTCCAGAAGATAAAATAAGGTTTACAGCTAGTTAACCTTTATGGTCCATGGTTATTATATAAAAACTGATTTTTATCAGTTCAACACAATTTGAACCTTGAAAAGATTTGCAACAGCAATTAGTTACTCTGAATCAATATTTACAGAACTGTGCTAAGCATTAGTATCATTTCAGAATAAAGAAAAGATATGGTATTTCTGGTTCCAATCAATGGAGCAGAGTGCAGCAAATAAGCATTTTCAATGAGAACAACTATGAATGTTGGGCAAAACATATAAAACAGCTTGTCTGAAGGCAACAGAAAGCAACCAATACAGATGGGACATCCAGGGCTACAAGCTTTGAGATAAGGAAAGCCCAATCAAGCAATTTCCACATTTAATCCTTCTTTCTGTATAAGATAACTTTTCAAATCAATCATGGGAAATAGAGCCCAAGATAATAACTGTAATCTTAGTGGGATGAGAAGGCAGAGGTTGGAGGCTGGGATTACCAAAGTAGGGAGGAATTCAGGATGCAAAATGCCCCCAAAAAAGACCTAAAGAGAAAGAGCCCAGAAATCTACAGCAAAATTCACCTCAAATTATTAACTGAGTCCTAAGCTTACAAATATGTAGGACAGGATGCCAAGAAACCCAAAACAAACCAAGTAAAGAGGCAAGTAGACATTTTGGCAGCCCATCAATGGTGAGGAGATGGGCTGGCAAGCAAGCACTGCCAAGATGGAGGAGCACTGAAAAACCCCTGAGCTCTTATGTGTGACTCTAAAAAAGCCATGCCTTAAGAGTATGGACAAAATAGCAATAGAAAAATTCTAACAAAGCCCCAAACCAAGCCTTGACAGAATCAGAAGTACGAGAAGAAAAATTAACTGTCTTTGGAGGAAAAAACATTCTCCAGACTCTCTGCAAATCTTTCGTTCACATTATCTAGTATCCAGTAAATATTATGAGGCATGCTTAAAAAAACAAGAACTAGTGAAAATTGAGAAAAAAAATAGTCAAACCAGAAAGACTCACATTTCATTCAGATCTTAGCATTATCAGAAAGAGACTTTAAAATGGCATTTGTGATTTTCTGCCTATGATGCAGAAAGCTGTAAAGAGCATCACCCCTAGCCTAGTAATAATAAAAAAAAAAATAGATAATCTGAAAATCTTAACTTTTCTAGGACACAACAGAAAACTGAGGTCTCAGGGCAACCAACTAGTTTAAACACTATGGAAACACAAGCCTCTCTGAGATTAGATGGATGACAAGCAGTTACTTTTCTGAACACAGTATGGGGAGAAGAGGAATACATAAGAAGAATTTAGTTAAATTTTTATCAAATTGCTAAAAACATTTATGATTTATATGTTCAATTGAATGAAAGTAAAAAATAAGAGAGAAATGATGAATTTCAACAGAGAATTGGAAGCCATAAAATCAAATGTTCATTTTAAAACTGAAAAATACAGTATCTGAAATTAAGAACTAACCAGATACATTTAGTAGAACAATAAACATAGCTAAAGAGAGGGTTAGTGAACTAGAAGATAGTTTAGTAGAAAATATCCACATTGAAGAACACAGAGAAAAAAAGGAACAGAAAATACACAAAATAGTATAAAGGATGAGAGACTTGGTTTAAAAAAAAAGATCTCAAATATGTCTAAATTGATGACAGAGATAAGGGAGATAATTTTTTAAAACAAGAGAATGTGACAAAAGCAATATTTGAAAACAAATGCTAAAAGTTTTCAAAACTGATGAAATCATCAAACTAAAGATTCAAAGAAATTCTATAAACCTCAAGCAGAATTTTTAAAAATTAAAACCATAGGTAAATTACAGTCAAACTGCTAAAAACCAAACACAAAGAGAAATCCTTAAAAGCAGCCAGAGAATTTTTTAAAGTTGACTTCCAATAAGCAATAATTACAATGGGAGAAGACATTTCAATGGAAAAGAGAAAATAATGAAATTAACCTTCAGTGTGCTAAAAGGAAAAAATATTTCCAACCTAGAATCTTCTGCCTCACCAAAGTAACCATTTTGAAAGCAGGTAAAACAAATTATTTACAAATGAAAGCTGAAAAAAACTACCACCAAGAGACTGCAATAAAAGAAATAGTAAAGAGAATTCCTAATTGAAGAAAACTGATTCCAAAACTACAAAAACACATGAAAAGAATAAAGCACAAAAGTGGGGAAATATAAGTAAATACTGTATAAACATAAAAATAACGTCTTATGAAGTTAACAATATATACACATTAAAAACACAAAGGATAAGAAATGTACATTCAGTCAAACAGTTTAGGATTTCTCTATTGGTTGAGAAGTGAGAAAAGCTCTATTTTATGGAATACTGTATGTAAGTCAAATATATGTTGCAGTCTCTATAGTGAACACTAGAAGAACGAGAAATAAATGTATAACTAAAAAGCTGATAGAGGAAAAGATTTTTGAAAAATAAAACATACATATTAATCTAAGAGAAGGCAGGAAATAAAGAATAAGAGAAGAAATAATAAAACAAGGCAAATAAAAACAAATATTAAAATGGTAAACTTAAATTCAAGCACATTAATAATTTGGAAAGCAAACAGACTAGCTGGGAAAGATACGGAGAAATCACACCCCTCATTCATTATTAGAAGGAATGTAAAATGGCACAGCCACTGTGGAAAAGACTGGCAGTTTCTCAAAATGTTAAAACAGAGAATTACCAAATGACCAAGCAATTCTACTCCTGGTATTTAATCAAGAGAAATAAAAACACGTCTACCAAGAACTTGTACATGAATATTCATAGCAATATTATTCATAATAGCCAAAAAGTAGGGACAATCAAAATGCCCAGCAACTGAAGGATAAATAAGCAAAATGCACTAGGTACACATAATAAAATATTATTCAGTCATTAAAAAAGAATGAAGTGCTGATTCATGCTACCACAGGGATAAACATTGAAAACATTATGCTAAATAAAATAAGTCAGAGGCAAAAGACCACAAATCATATAATTCTCTATATATGAAATTTTCAGAATAGTCAAGCCCATAGAGACAAAAATTATATTAGTTGTTTCCAGAGGCTAAGGAGATGGAAACATGGAGAGTTCTACTAATAGGTGAGGGATTTCAGGTGAGGGATTTCTTTCTCAAATGTTCTAGAATTAGATAACAGTGGTTTTCGTATAACTTCATGAATATATTAAAAACCACTGAATTGTACACTTTAAAAGTGAATCACATGGCATGTGAATTCTTTTAGTTAAAAAAAGTAAATGGACTTAAAGATCCCTATTAAAATACAAAGACTATAAGCAGGGATTTAAAAACCAACAACTGCTGGGTGCAGTGGCTCACACCTATAATCCTAGCACTTCAAGAGGCCAAGGTGGGCATATTACTTGTGCCCAGAAGTTCAAGACCAGACTGGGCAAGACAGTTGGACCCCATCTGTAAAAAAAAATACAAAAATTAGCCAGGTGAAATGGTATACACCTGTGGTCCCAGCTTCTCCACAGGCTGAGGTGAGAAGATCACCTGAGCCCAGGATGTCGAGGCTGCAGTGAGCCATGTTCACACCACTGTACTCCAGCCTGGGTGACAGAAAAGCAACTTGTCTCAAAATAAAAAGCAATAACTATATCCTAAGAGACATACTTTAAATATAACAACACCAAAAGGTAGAAAATGGAAGGATTACAAAAACTGATACCATGTAAACACTAGCCAAAGAAGGCTAGCGTAGCTATATTACATCAGGCAAAGTAGACCTTAAGCACAAGGTATTACTAGAAATAAAGGGAGACGTTTCATAAAAGCATCAAATTAACAGGTTAACACAATTTATATGCAATAAGTTGTAAACAAAATTTGTATGCAAAAAATAACAGCTTCAAAATACATAAAGTTGAAAGAACTAAAAAACAGATAAATCCACTATCACCGTTGTAGATTTTAGCAAATCCCTCTCAATGGCTGATAGAATAAGCAGACAAAACTGTAAGTATATGACTTGAACAATTCAATTTTCCAATGTGAACTAACACAGAACACTAAACCCAACAACTACAAAACTCATTTTTTCTTTCACATTCTTTTCAAGCATATATGAAACATTTACAAATAGACTAAATGCTAGAAGACAAAGTCTCAACAAATTAAAAAAATTTAAATCATGAATCACGTTTTATAACCACCGCAGAACTGCACTAAAAAGCAATGACTGAAAGATAACTAGAAATTCCTCTAAATGTTTGGAAATAAAGAAACACAATACTCAATAACTCATAAATCAAACATAAAAATCACAATGGAAATTAGAAAGTCTTTTTATGTGAATGATAATGAAAATACAATAGATGAAAATGTGTGGGATACAACTAAAGAGGTATTTAGCAAAATTCATAGCTCTAAATGCATGTTACTGGAAATTAGACAAGTTGAAAAATTACTACTTCTAAGCTTCTATCACAAGAAGCTAGAAAAAGAATAGTAAATTAATTCAAGGAAAGTATTTAAAAATGTTTAAATAACAAATCAATAAAATAGAAAGTAAATGCATAAAAAAGAAAACAAAGCCAAAGGTTGATTCTTTAAAAGATTAATAAAATGAACAATCCCTAGAATAAGTCTGACCAATAAAAAAATGGAGAATCTACAATATAGATAATAAAAAGGGAGCCATAAACAGAAAGCCTGTGAACATTAAAAAGATTCTAAGGCTGGGCTGGGCATGGTGGCTCAAGGCTGTAATCCCAGCACTTTGGGAGGCTGAGGCGGGTGGATCACGAGGTCAGGAGATCAAGACCATCCTGCCTAATACGGTGAAACCCCGTCTCTACTAAAACTACAAAAAATTAGCTGGGCGTGGTGGCGGGCGCCTATAGTCCCAGCTACTCAGGAGGCTGAGGCAGGAGAATGGCGTGAACCCGGGAGGTGAAGCTTTGCAGTGAGCTGAGATCGCACCACTGCACTCCAGCCTGGGCCACAGAGTGAGACTCTGTCTCAAAAAAAAAAAAAAAAAAAAAAAAGATTGTGAGGCCATTATGAACATTTTCACTGCAATGCAGTTGAGAATTTAGTTGAAATGAACAAATCCTCTGAGGAACCCAATTCACCAAACCTGAAACAATAAACAAAAAGATTTGTACAGTCCTACAGCTATTAAACAAAATTAATCTGTAAGGAAACTCCAAGCCCAAATGAATCCATTGAACTCTTTTAAACATACAAGCCAAAGATAATAAAAATTGTATAAACATTCTTCCAAAGTATAAAAATAAAAGGAACACTTCCCAATCCATCCAATAAGGCCAAGCCAGAGTTTAGAGCAAAAGCTAGACATTACTAGAAGAGAAAATTATAGGTTGATATAATGAACACAGTTATAAAACTCCTAAACAAAATATAAAATCAAACCCAGTAATATACAAAAACCCAGTAATATACAAAAAGGATAGTGACCGAATGAGTTTTAGTTCAAAATGCAAATTGATTAAACGTTCTAAAATCAAGCCCTATAATTGATCACACTACACTATTAAAGGGAAATATATATATATAATTTCTTTCTTTTTAATTTCTTCAAAAAAAAAAAAAAACGGGATACATATGCAGAATGCGCAGGTTTGTTACATAGGTATACATGTGCCATGGTGGTTTGTGGCATCTATTGACTCGTCCTCTACTTTCCGTCCCCTCCCCTCACCCTCCACCCCACAACTGGCCCCGATCTGTGTTGTTCCCCTCTCTGTGTCCACCTGTTCTCAGTGTTCAACTCCCAATTATGGATGACAACATGCAGTGTTTGGTTTTCTGTTCCTGTGTTAGCTTGCTGAGGATGATGGCTTCCAGCTCTGTCCATGTCCCTGAAAAGGACATGATCTCATTCCTTTTTATGGCTTCATAGTATTCCATGGTGCATATGTACCACATTTTCTTTATCCAGTCTGTCACTGATGGCCATTTGGGTTGGTTCCATGTCTCTGCTGTTGTAAACAGTGCTGCAATAAACATATGTGTGCAAGTGCCTTTATAGTAGAATGATTTATATTCCTTTGGGTAATGGAATTGCTAGGTCAAATGGTATTTCTGGTTCCAGATCGTTGAGGAATTGCCATAGTGTCTTCCACAAGGGTTGAACTAATTTACATTCCCACCAACAGTGTAAAAGTGTTTGTATTTCTCCACAGCCTCGCCAGCATCTATTGTTTCCTGACTTTTTAATAATCGCCATCCTGACTGGCGTGAGATGGTGTCTCACTGTGGTTTTGATTTGCATTTCTCTGATGATCAGTTATGTTGAGCTTCTTTTCATGTTTGTTGGCCACAGAAATGTCTTCCTTTGAGAGGTGTCTGTTCATATCCTTTGCCAACTTTTTGATGGGGTTATTTATCTTTATCTTGTAAATATGTTCGAAGTTCCTTGTAAATGCTGGATATTAGACCTTTGTCAGAAGGGTAGATTGCAAAAATTTTCTCCCATTCTACAGGTTGCCTGTTCACTCTGATGATAAGTTTCTTTGGCTGTGGAGATGGTATTTTGTTTAATTAGATCCCATTTGTCAATTTTGGCTCTTATTGCAATTGCTTTTGGCATTTTTGTTATGAAGACTTTGCCCATGCCTATGTCCTGAATGGTAATGCCTAGGTTTTCTTCTAGGGTTTTTATGGTTTGGGGTTTTACATTTAAGTCTTTAATCCATCCTGAGTTAATTTTTGTATAAGGTGAAAGGAAGGGGTCCAGGTTCAGTTTTCTGTATATGGCTAGCCAGTTTTCCCAGCACCATTTACTGAATAGGAGATCTCTTTCCCATTGTTTGTTTTTGTCAGGTTTGTCAAAGATCAGAGGGTTGTAGATGTGTGGTGTTATTTCCGAGGTCTCTGTTCTGCTCCATTGGTCTATATGTCTGTTTTGGTACCAGTACCCTGCTGTTTTGGTTACGGTAGCGTTGTAGTATAGTTTGAAGTCAGGTAGCGTGATGCCTCCAGCTTTGTTCTTTTTGCTTAGGATTGTCTTGGCTATATGGGGTCTTCTTTGATTTCATATGAAATTCAAAATAGTTTTTTCTAATTCTGTAAGAATGTCAATGGTAGCTTGATGGGAATAGCACTGAATCTATAAATTACTTCAGGCAGTATGGCCATTTTCACAATACTGATTCTTCCCAACCATGAAGAAGGAATGTTTTTCTATTTGTTTGTGTCATCTCTTATTTCCTTGAGCAGTGGTTTGTAGTTCTCCTTGAAGAGGCCCTTCACATCCCCTGTTAACAGTATTCCTAGGTATTTTATTCTCTTTGTAGCAATTATGAATGTGAGTTCATTCATGATTTGGCTCTCTGCTTGCCTATTGTTGACAAAAAGGAATGCTTGGGATTTTTACACATTGATTTTGTATCCTGAGACTGCTGAAGCTGCTTATCAGTTCAAGGAGTTTTTGGGCTGAGATGACTGGGTTTTCTAAATATAAAATCATGTCATCTGCAAACAGAGACAACTTGACTTCCTCTCTTCCTACCTGAATAACCTTTATTTCTTTCTCTTGCCTGACTTCCCTGGCCAGAACTTCCAATACTATGTTGAATAGGAGTGGTGAGAGAGGGCACCCTTGTCTTGTACTGGTTTTCAAAGTGAATGTTTCCATCTTTTCTCCATTCAATATGATATTGGCTGTGGGTTTGTTATAAATAGCTCTTATTGTTTTGAAATATGTTCCATCAATATCTAGCTTATTGAGAGTTTTTAACGTGAAGGGATGTTGAATTTTATCAAAGGCCTTTTCTGCATCTGTTGAGATAATCATGTGGTTTTGTCTTTGGTTCTGAAGTCTACAGAACTCTCTACCCCAAATCAACAGAATATACATTCTTCTCAGTGCCACATGGCACTTATTCTAAAAACGAACACATAATTGGAAGTAAAACACTCCTCAACAAATGCAAAAGAACTAACTTCACAACAAACAATCTCTCAGACCACAGTGCAATCACATTAGAACTCAAGATTAAGAAACTCACTCAAAAGCACACAATTTCATGGAAATTGAACAACCTGCTCCTGAATGACTCCTGGGGAAATAAAGAAATTAAGGCAGAAATCAGGAAGTTCTTTGAAACAAATGAGAACAAATAGAGACAACATACTAGAATCTCTGGGACACAGCTAAAGCAGTGTTAAGAGGGAAATGTATAGCACTAAATGCCCACATCAGAAAGCAAGAAAGATCTCAAATGGACACCCGAACATCACAATTAAAAGAGCTAAAGGCAAGAGCAAACTAATCCAAAAGCTAGCAAAGCACAAGAAATAACTAAGATCAGAGAAGAAATGAAGGAGATAGAGACATGAAAAACCCTCCAAAAAGAAAAAAAAAAAAATCAACAAATCCAGGGGCTGTTTTTTTGAAAAAACAAACAAACAAACAAACAAACAAAAAACCACTAGCTAGACTAACAAAGAAGAGAGAGAAGAATCAAACAGACACAATAAAAAATGTTTAGGGACACCACTGACCCCACAGAAATACAAACTACCATCAGAGAATACTATAAACATCTCTACACAAATAAACTAGAAAATCTAGAAGAAATGGATAAATTCCTGGATGCATACACCCTACCAAGACTAAATTAGGAAGAAGCTGAATCCCTGAATAGACCAATAACAAGTTCTGAAATTGAGGCAGTAATTAATAGACCAACCAAAAAAAAAAAAAAGAAAAGCCCAGGACCAGACGGATTCACAGCCAAATTTTACCAGAGGTACAAAGAGGAGCTGGTACCATTCCTTCTGAAACCACTCCAAACAATTAAAAAGGAGGGACTCCTCCCTAACTCATTTTATGAAGCCAGCATCATCCTGATACCAAAACCAGAAAGAAACACAACCAAAAAAGAAAACTTCAGGCCAATACCTCTGATGAACATCGATGCAAAAATCCTCAATAAAATACTGGAAAATTGAATCCAGCAGCACATCAAAGAGCTTATCCACCACGATCAAGTCGGCTTCATTCCTGGGATGCAAGTCTGGTTCAACATATGCAAATCAATAAATGTAATCCATCACATATGATTTCAATAGGTGAAATTTAATACCTATTCATAAATTCTTTAAAATATTTTAATGAAAATTATTGAAAAACACAAATACAGCTAAGCATCACACTTAACATTGAAATACTAAATGATTTCCCACTGAGATCATGAACAAATCAAGAATGTTGTCTTCTATTCAACACTGTACTTGAGGTCTTATTCACTTGGGGAAAAAAAGCAAGAAAAAATGTAAAAATTGGAAAAGAAAGAGGAGCCAAGATGGCCAAATAGGAACAGCTCCGGTCCACAGCTCCCAGCGTGAGCGACGCAGAAGACGGGTGATTTCTGCATTTCCATCTGAGGTACCAGGTTCATCTCACTAGGGAGTGCCAGACAGTGGGCACAGGACAGTGGGTGCGCGCACCGTGCACAAGCCAAAGCAGGGCGAGGCATTGCCTCACTCGGGAAGCGCAGAGGGTCAGGGAGTTCCCTTTCCTAGTCAAAGAAAGGGGTGACAGACGGCACCTGGAAAATCGGTTCACTCCCACCCAAATACTGCGCTTTTCCGACGGGCCTAAAAAATGGCGCACCAGGACATTATATCCCGCACATGGCTCGGAGGGTCCTACGCCCACGGAGTCTCGCTGATTGCTAGCACAGCAGTCTGAGATCAAACTGCTAGGCGGCAGCAAGGCTCGGGGAGGGGCGCCCACCATTGCCCAGGCTTGCTTAGGTAAACAAAGCAGCCAGAAAGCTCGAACTGGGTAGAGCCCACCACAGCTCAAGGAGGCCTGCCTGCCTCTGTAGGCTCCACCTCTGGGGGCAGGGCACAGACAAATAAAAAGACAGCAGTAACCTCTGCAGACTTAAATGTCCCTGTCTGACAGCTTTGAAGAGAGCAATGCTTCTCCCAGCACGCAGCTGGAGATCTGAGAACAGGCAGACTGCCTCCTCAAGTGGGTCCCTGACCCCTGACCCCCGAGCAGCCTAACTGGGAGGCACCCCCAAGCAGGGGCAGTCTGACACCTCACATGGCCGGGTACTCCCACAGACCTGCAGCTGAGGATCCTGTCTGTTAGAAGGAAAACTAACAAACAGAAAGCACATCCACACCAAAAACCCATCTGTACATCACCATCATCAAAGACCAAAAGTAGATAAAACCACAAAGATGGGGAAAAAACAGAACAGAAAAACTGGAAACTCTAAAAAGCAGAGCGCCTCTCCTCCTCCAAAGGAACGCAGTTCCTCACCAGCAACGGAACAAAGCTGGATGGAGAATGACTTTGACGAGCTCAGAGAAGAAGGCTTCAGACGATCAAATTACTCTGAGCTATGGGAGGACATTCAAACCAAAGGCAAAGAAGTTGAAAACTTTGAAAAAAATTTAGAAGAATGTATAACTAGAATAACCAATACAGAGAAGTGCTTAAAGGAGCTGATGGAGCTGAAAACCAAGGCTCGAGAACTACATGAAGAATGCAGAAGCCTCAGGAGCTGATGCGATCAACTGGAAGAAAGGGTATCAGCAATGGAAGATGAAATGAATGAAATGAAGCAAGAAGGGAAGTTTAGAGAAAAAAGAATAAAAAGAAATGAGCAAAGCCTCCAAGAAATATGGGACTATGTGAAAAGACCAAATCTATGTCTGATTGGTGTACCTGAAAGTGATGGGGAGAATGGAACCAAGTTGGAAAACACTCTGCAGGATATTATCCAGGAGAACTTCCCCAATCTAGCAAGGCAGGCCAACGTTCAGATTCAGGAAATACAGAGAACGCCACAAAGATACTCCTCGAGAAGAGCAACTCCAAGACACATAATTGTCAGATTCACCAAAGTTGAAATGAAGGAAAAGATGTTAAGGGCAGCCAGAGAGAAAGGTCGGGTTACCCTCAAAGGGAAGCCCATCAGACTAACAGCAGATCTCTCGGCAGAAACCCTACAAGCTGGAAGACAGTGGGGGCCAATATTCAACATTCTTAAAGAAAAGAATTTTCAACCCAGAATTTCATATCCAGCCAAACTAAGCTTCATAAGTGAAGGACAAATAAAATACTTTACAGACAAGCAAATGCTGAGAGATTTTGTCACCACCAGGCCTGCCTTACAAGAGCTCCTGAAGGAAGCGCTAACATGGAAAGGAACAATCGGTACCAGCCGCTGCAAAATCATGCCAAAGTGTAAAGACCATTGAGACTAGGAAGTAACTGCATCAACTAACGAGCAAAATAACCAGCTAATATCATAATGACAGGATCAAATTCACACATAACAATATTAACTTTAAATGTAAATGGACTAAATGCTCCAATTAAAAGACACAGACTGGCAAATTGGATAAAGAGTCAAGACCCATCAGTGTGCTGTATTCAGGAAACCCATCTCACGTGCAGAGACACACATCAAAATAAAAGGATGGAGGAAGATCTACCAAGCAAATGGAAAACAAAAAAAGGCAGGAGTTGCAATCCTAGTCTCTGATAAAACAGACTTTAAACCAACAAAGATCAAAAGAGACAAAGAAGGCCATTACATAATGGTAAAGGGATCAATTCAACAAGAAGAGCTAACTATCCTAAATATATATGCACCCAATACAGGAGCACCCAGATTCATAAAGCAAGTCCTGAGTGACCTACAAAGAGACTTAGACTCCCACACATTAATAATGGGAGACTTTAACACCCCACTGTCAACATTAGACAGATCAACGAGACAGAAAGTCAACAAGGATACCCAGGAATTGAACTCAGCTCTGCACCAAGCGGACCTAATAGACATCTACAGAACTCTCCACCCCAAATCAACAGAATATACATTTTTTCAGCACCACACCACACCCATTCCAAAACTGACCACATACTTGGAAGTAAAGCTCTCCTCAGCAAATGTAAAAGAACACAAATTATAACAAACTATCTCTCAGACCACAGTGCAATCAAACTAGAACTCAGGATTAAGAATCTCACTCAAAACCGCTCAACTACATGGAAACTGAACAACCTGCTCCGGAATGACTACTGGGTACATAACGAAATGAAGGCAGAAATAAAGATGTTCTTTGAAACCAACGAGAACAAAGACACAACATACCAGAATCTCTGGGACGCATTCAAAGCAGTGTGTAGAGGGAAATTTATAGCACTAAATGCCCACAAGAGAAAGCAGGAAAGATCCAACATCGACACCCTAACATCACAATTAAAAGAACTGGAAAAGCAAGAGCAAACACATTCAAAAGCTGGCAGAAGGCAAGAAATAACTAAAATCAGAGCAGAACTGAAGGAAATAGAGACACAAAAAACCCTTCAAAAAATTAATGAATCCAGGAGCTGGTTTTTTGAAAGGATCAACAAAATGGATAGACCGCTAGCAAGACTAATAAAGAAAAAAAGAGAGAAGAATCAAATAGACGCAATAAAAAATGATAAAGGGGATATCACCACCGATCCCACAGAAATACAAACTACCATCAGAGAATACTACAAACACCTCTACGCAAATAAACTAGAAAATATAGAAGAAATGGATAAATTCCTTGACACATACACTCTACCAAGACTAAACCAGGAAGAAGTTGAATCTCTGAATAGACCAATAACAGGAGCTGAAATTGTGGCAATAATCAATAGCTTACCAACCAAAAAGAGTCCAGGACCAGATGGATTCACAGCCGAATTCTACCAGAGGTACAAGGAGAAACTGGTACCATTCCTTCTGAAACTATTCCAGTCAATAAAAAAAGAGGGAATCCTCCCTAACTCATTTTACGAGGCCAGCATCATCCTGATACCAAAGCCGGGCAGAGACACAACCAAAAAAGAGAATTTTAGACCAATATCCTTGATGAACATTGATGCAAAAACCCTTAATAAAATACTGGCAAACTGAATCCAGCAGCACATCAAAAAGCTTATCCACCATGATCAAGTGGGCTTCATCCCTGGGATGCAAGGCTGGTTCAATATAAGCAAATCAATAAATGTAATCCAGCATATAAACAGAACCAAAGACAAAAACCACATGATTATCTCAATAGATGCAGAAAAGGCCTTTGACAAAATTCAACAGCCCTTCATGCTAAAAACTCTCAACAAATTAGGTATTGATGGGACATATCTCAAAATAATAAGAGCTATCTATGACAAACCCACAGCCAATATCATACTGAATGGGCAAAAACTGGAAGCATTCCCTTCGAAAACTGGCACAAGACAGGGATGCCCTCTCTCACCACTCACTCCTATTCAACATAGTGTTGGAAGTTCTGGCCAGGGCAATTAGGCAGGAGAAGGAAATAAAGGGTATTCAATTAGGAAAAGAGGAAGTCAAATTGTCCCTGTTTGCAGATGACATGATTGTATATCTAGAAAACCCCATTGTCTCAGCCCAAAATCTCCTTAAGCTGATAAGCAACTTCAGCAAAGTCTCAGGATACAAAATCAATGTACAAAAATCACAAGCATTCTTATACACCAACAACAGACAAACAGAGAGCCAAATCATGAGTGAACTCACATTCACAATTGCTTCAAAGAGAATAAAATACCTAGGAATCCAACTTACAAGGGATGTGAAGGACCTCTTCAAGGAGAACTACAATCCATTGCTCAAGGAAATAAAAGAGGATACAAACAAATGGAAGAACATTCCATGCTCATGGGTAGGAAGAATCAATATCGTGAAAATGGCCATACTGCCCAAGGTAATTTATAGATTCAATGCCATCCCCATCAAGCTACCAATGACTTTCTTCACAGAATTGGAAAAAACTACTTTAAAGTTCATATGGAACCAAAAAAGAGCCCACAACGCCAAGTCAATCCTAAGCCAAAAGAACAAAGCCGGAGACATCACACTACCTGACTTCAAACTATACTACAAGGCTACAGTAACCAAAACAGCATGGTACTGGTACCAAAACAGAGATATAGATCAATGGAACAGAACAGAGCCCTCAGAAATAATGCCGCATATCTACAACTATCTGATCTTTGACAAACCTGAGAAGAACAAGCAATGGGGAAAGGATTCCCTATTTAGTAAATGGTGCTGGGAAAACTGGCTAGCCATATGTAGAAAGCTGAAACTGGATCCCTTCCTTACACCTGATACAAAAATCAATTCAAGATGGATTAAAGACTTAAATATTAGACCTAAAACCATAAAAACCCTAGAAGAAAACCTAGGCATTACCATTCAGGACATAGGCATGGGCAAGAACTTCATGTCTAAAACACCAAAAGCAATGCCAACAAGAGCCAAAATTGACAAATGGGATCTAATTAAACTAAAGAGCTTCTGCACAGCAAAAGAAACTACCATCAGAGTGAACAGGCAACCTACAAAATGGGAGAAAATTTTTGCAACCTACTCATCTGACAAAGGGCTAATATCCAGAATCTACAATGAACTCAAACAAATTTACAAGAAAAAAACAAACAACCCCATCAAAAAGTGGGCGAAGGACATGAACAGACACTTCTCAAAAGAAGACATTTATGCAGCCAAAAAACATATGAAAAAATGCTCATCATCACTGGCCATCAGAGAAATACAAATCAAAACCACAGTGAGATACCATCTCACACCAGTTAGAATGGCAATCATTAAAAAGTCAGGAAACAACAGGTGCTGGAGAGGATGTGGACAAATAGGAAAACTTTTACACTGTTGCTGGGACTGTAAACTAGTTCAACCATTGTGGAAGTCAGTGTGGCCATTCCTCAGGGATCTAGAACTAGAAATACCATTTGACCCAGCCATCCCATTAATGGGTATATACCCAAAGGATTATAAATCATGCTGCTATAAAGACACATGCACACGTATGTTTATTGCGGCATTATTCATGATAGCAAAGACTTGGAACCAACCCAAATGTCCAACAATGATAGACTGGATTAAGAAAATGTGGCACATATACACCATGGAATACTATGCAGCCATAAAAAATGATGAGTTCATGTCCTTTGTAGGGACATGGATGAAATTGGAAATCATCATTCTCAGTAAACTATCTCAAGAACAAAAAACCAAACACCGCACATTCTCACTCATAGGTGGGAACTGAACAATGAGAACACATGGACATAGGAAGGGGAACATCACACTCTGGGGACTGTTGTGGGGTGGGGGGACGGGGGAGGGATAGCATTGGGAGATATACCTAATGCTAGATGACGAGTTAGTGGGTGCAGTGCACCAGCATGGCACGTGTATACGTATGTAACTAACCTGCACATTGTGCACATGTACCCTAAAACTTAAAGTATAATAATAAAAAAAAATTGGAAAAGAAAACATTTTTCTTTATTTGAAGACATAACATGTAAATAAACAATCTAAAAGACTCTATAAGCAATTTAGAATTAATACATTAGCAAGATCACTGGTTTACATGGTCAATATATTAAAAAAATCGTGTATTTACATATACCACTATATACAATTATTTATTAAGAGAAAAAATAAATCAACAATACTAGTTTTAATATTTTTCATACAATAGACTACTACTCATAAATAAAAAGGAATTTGCAAAAAGTAGATGAATCTCATAAATGTTGTGCAACAGAAGTCAGACATTAGAGTACATGCTATATAATTCTATTGGCATTAAGTTCAAGAACAGGCTAAATTAATCTATTGTGACAAAGTCAGAATAAGTTACCTTTGGGAGAAGTACTGACTAGAAGGGACAAAGGTTTTGTGTGTGCTAGAAATAATCTATACCTTGATTGGGTTGTGATTATCTGGGTATATATTTTGTATAAATTTATCAAGCTGTACATTTATGATTTGTAGACTTTATTATATGTGTTATACCTCAAAGTGTAAAAGTTTATTGGTAAATGTTACACAGTTTAAGAGGTATAAAAATTATATTTATATATACATTATGGGCCATGCAATGATGAACCAACTCAATAAGAAATTTAGTATCCATTTATTTGACTCTCTTGTTCTATGCTTTTAAAATTATGGACAAATTTTATGCTTAAAGTGTTTGATTGTAGTTTCATATCTAACAAAAAAGCTGTAGTTAAGGGCTGCCAACCATAATACCTAAGTAACCTACTGCTGTATTTTTTACCAGAGTTTTCTGTAAAACATCTTCAGACTTAAACCTGAATGCATTCAATGAAAATGAAAAATAGGAGAGAAAACTACTTCCCCCAAATTGAAAGATTATGGGAACCAGCCTTATCATCTTGCTGTTTCCCTCACTAAGAAATTATGTAAATATCTGTCACATATTCACTTTATTTGTATGAGATTCTTGCTCATAACTTATGAAAAATTACACTTGACAATGTTGAAGTTCCACAGAGAAGTCCAAGCGGATTTCCTTCTCAAGACAAATATAGCATATTACCCAGGAACTGCACCTCAGGGACTGTTCACTCCCAGGAATATCTTTTCTTCATCCCTGGAATAAATTCCAAGCAGGATATCTTTCTCTTTCTATTCTTCCGATCGGTTTTTGTTTATTTCTTATTCTTCGCCAAATTTGGTTCTGGCTCTGCAACAGTTGTCGCCAGTTACTATCCACTGGTGGCAACAATGGCTGGAAGTCCATTTTATGGTCAGACCATTTGATATCTACTCTCTATTAGCAACAGAGAATTTGGTTTGTTAGTCAATTTTTGTCTGTCTGTGTACAAATATGCCTCAATTCCACTGGAGAGAACAGCTCTTTGAGATATGTCCGAAGTGCTCAGTTTGGTGTTCTCTATTCATTTTACCCACGGCTGATGATATAAATCTGAGACTACCAGCGTTCTGTGTGCCTGGAACTGATAAAAGTCATTATCTGCTTATCATAGGGTGCAATAAATTTTCCTACTTTTCAAAGGATATTAATAAATTAAATTGTAAAGCCTCTTAAAATACAGGAACTCTGTTCTGGTTAGCCTATGTGGACTAATAATCACTTACATAAATCTAATATTCCCAGAATTCCTAAAAAATAAAGAAACTAACCCTCTAACACCGATGAGGACAGTTACATTGGTGGTGACTATGGAACAGAGGTTTGCTGAAGCCAGTTGGAATTCAGTTTTGGTCACTTCCCACTCAAAATGTCTTATATACTATAATTCTTCATATGTATTACAATTGAACCATACACAAATCAAAAAGGCATATAAAGAAAAATTATTCCCATCCCTGTCTCCAATCTGCCCAATTCCAACCCATTAAATTCTCTACCTGCCAAGGTAATCAATTTCCAATAGAGTCTTCTAAACTTTATTACTATAGCTGCATATATTCACACATAAATTATTCATATGTATGAAAAAATACAGCCACACAGAGTATAAAAGCAATGTGTAAATATGCTGCTTCTTAGTAGGTTTACACATTGTTGTATACCTTGTTTTCCTCTAACTTTTCCTGGAGACTTTCCATATCAATACATAGAACTTCTTTGCTGTTTTTACAACTATATAATGTTCCCCTGTGTAGCTATTCCTTAATTTATTTAACTAATCCCCTACTGATGAGTACTTGAATAAATTCTTTCCAATCTACTGCTATTACAAACAATGCTACAATAAGTTTGTGCATTTATATGTCATTCTATATATGTACAAATATATCTGAAAAACAAATTTTCTACAGTAAAAAAAATATTTTTATATATTAGCCCATTTTTCTATTGGGTTGTTGGACTTTTTCTTAACCATTTTTAGTTCTTTGTATATCAAGGAGATTAATCCTTCATCTGTAATATGAGTTTCAGGTATTTTTCCCAGGTCGTCATATGTCCTTGCTTACTTTGTTTTTTGTAATGCAGATGTTTTATATATTGTAATGTAGATATTTTATGTAATGTAGATGTTTTTTGTTTTATGTAGCCTCATTTCTCAACCCTTTCCTTCATGGCTTTTTCTTTTACTGCTTTAAATCATAGTTCAAAATGCCTTCCTATTATAAAAAAAAATTGTGTTAATTCTCTATGTTTTCTATTACCTTTTTTTTTTTTCTGGAGACAGGGTCTCGCTCTATTTCCAGGGCTGGAGGGCGGTGGTGTAATCGTAGCTTACTATAGCCTCAAACTCCTGGGCTCAAGAGATCCTCCCACTTCAGTCTCCTGAGTACCTGGGACTACAGGCAGGTACCACCATGCCAGGCTAAGTTTTTTATTTTTCTTTTGTAGTGACGGGGTCTTGCTATGTTGACTAGGCTGGTTTCAAACTCCTGGCCTCAAGGGATCCTGCCACTTTAGCCTCCCAAAATGCTGGGATTACAGACATGAGTCACTGCACCCGGCCTTAAAAAATTTTTTATGTTTTCATTTAGTACATTTAAATCTTTGATCATTTGTAATTCATCCTTGGTATGAGGTAGGATTCCTATTTTCTTTACTTCCACAGGTGAATATTCAGTTTCTCCAAAACTATTTACTGAATAGTACATATCATCTCCATTAGCTTTTGAGAAGCCATCTTTACCATACCTAAATATTCCTATGAACGTGGGTATATTTTCTAGGATTTCCATTCTACCCCATAATACTTCTCTTCATGTCCCACAACCAATGGGTTTTAATTACTGAGACTAAGACTTCACAATACAACATCTAGTTGCAAAAGTCCTCTATATCCACTACCCTTGTTCTTTTTCTTTTTCCTACAAAGTTTCTTGGTTAAATTATTTAGCCAAGATCAATTTATTTAGTTTTTTAAAAAGGATTCTTATCATCACATTAAATTTATAAATTACCTTAAACTAACATCTTTATGGTGCTGTGTATTTCCAGTTATGAAGAAGACATATTCTTCAATTGTTCCAAACTTCTTTTATGTTCTTCAATGATGTTTTACATTTTTATCATGTAGGTTTTAGAGTTTGTTGTTAAGTTTATTTCTGGTATCTCATCTTTGTTGCTCCTGAAAGTGGCACTTTTTCTTCCATTGTATCTTCTAACTAGTTATTGTTTGATATACTATTTTAAGCCCTGTTTTGCAGATAGGAAAAGTGGAATGCTTGACCATATCTTCATCATTCCTGATGTGGTAAACTATTTTTTTCTGGAAGACCCCACCTGCCAGCTGAAGAAGACACTGAAGCAGCCATTCACACTCCTAAGACCCACCAAATTGCATGAAAGGCACCACGATTCTGCCTCAGTGAATGTTCCCTGCAGAAAAGTTTCCTCTCAAAACCTATGAAAAAAACTTCCCAGTGGACTTCCAATCCTAGACTGCATATATGTGAGGAAGCAAATCTCTCCTTCTCCAAGTGTCTCAAAAATCATTAAGTTAAATAGGAAAAAATAAATCCTTAACAGAATGGTATGAATGGCACCAGAAGGCCAGAGATCAGACTTTGATACACTTCTGAAAGACTAAAAGACTGAAAAACTTAAAAGCAAGTGGTATCATACTGACCTAAAGAGAAAAACAGAAGTTCAAAGGCTATACCCCACCCCTTTCCACAACAAGAGAGATGCTTGCCCCCAGGGTACTAACAAAAACTGGAAAATTACCCTGTAAAGTAATTTAACAACTGACCAGAAGGACTAGGGCTCCTAATGTGGGTGTGTGCACCTAAGACAAGCAAGGCAGAGCCATATGCATCATGGGGGCTACTGAAGAAAACACAGCAGGGGAAAGGGCAAAGAAGCGCAGATACTTTGCTTAGCAGCTAAAAGATAGGTTCTGAACAGTCAGAATAAAACAGAACATGTACACTGAATGAATAAAGCTCCAAAGCTCAAAAAGAAAGAAAATAACCTAAATTTATTATAAAAATACCTTGTGTGTATGTATCTATACGTGAAGAACCCTTAAAAATAATTTATCTACTCAAATTGAATTTGAACAATTAAAAAAGAAGATGAAATTAGCTAAGAGAACAAGTACAAAAAAACTTCAATTCACAAAGTAAAATGTAAAAAGAAATATATCATAAAATAAAAGATTAAGGGGACTTAATAGAGGCAAAGGCAATAATAGGAAACAAAAAAATTTCTTCCCTAACACAAAGGTTTGACTCTGTAGACTGAAAGTCACTAAGTTCCAAAATAAAGAACTCACTAAGCTCCAAACTAAAGAACGGGTAACAAAATATACATAACAATAAAAAAGAAACTCTTAACAAGTAGTCTGGCAAAAAGAACATGTTACCTACAAAGGAAAAGAAAAAAACAGATTGGCATTTGAGCTTATACAAGAAATCAGAGAATATCACCCAGAGAACTTAACTGAACAAAAATACTTAAGAACGTATCAGGCAAATACAAATGATCCAAAACTGATACATTAAGATAGAATGTGATACAGAGAAGAAGCAACATAAACACTAAACAATGACACACTGTTGGTGGGACTGTAAACTAGTTCAACCACTGTGGAAGTAGGTGTGGCAATTCCTCAGGGATCTAGAACTAGAAATACCATTTGACCCAGCCATCCCATTACTGGGTAGATACCCAAAGGATTATAAATCATGCTGCTATAAAGACACATGCACACGTATGTTTATTGTGGC
Source organism: Homo sapiens (assembly GCF_000001405.40). NCBI lineage: Eukaryota > Metazoa > Chordata > Mammalia > Primates > Hominidae > Homo > Homo sapiens. Next base: position 129,185,169 of record NC_000011.10, read on the forward strand.
ATTATTCACAATAGCAAAGACTTGGAACCAACCCAAATGTCCAACAATGATATACTGGATTAAGAAAATGTGGCACATATACACCACGGAATACTATGCAGCCATAAAAAATGATGAGGTCATGTCCTTTGTAGGGACATGGATGAAGCTGGAAACTATCATTCTCAGCAAACTATCACAAGGACAAAAAACCAAACACCACATGTTCTTACTCATAGGTGGGAATTGAACAATGAGAACACTTGGACACAGGAAGGGGAACATCACACACCAGGGACTGTTGTGGGGTGAGGGGAGAGGAGAGGGATAGCATTAGGAGATATACCTAATGTAAATGACGAGTTACTGGGTGTAGCACACCAACATGGCACATGTATACATATGTAACAAACCTGCACGTTGTGCACATGTACCCTAAAACTTAAAGTATAATAATAATAAAAAAATGACACAAATAATTAAATCTGAATGAAAAGCAAAAAACATTAAACTGACGGAGGCAGAATGGGTGAATAAAAGAGTTTCAAAAGTCTCATCTAGAAGTATGAGACTGAGAGAAGGAGGAAGTTAAAGTTTCCTAAAGATCTTATTTTATAAGGAAGAGAAGTAGAGGAGAAGAGAGAACCATGATTTAAAACACAAACATACATACACAGAAAGAGAGAGAGAAAACCTGGGTGAAAGAAATCATTTTATTTTCAAATAGAGAAAATACATGTATGATTATGAGAACATGGAAATGGAAACTAATCATTAATGTAAAGAAAAGTATAGCGCAACTTCCAAAATTAAGTATCTGGGAAGGTTTTGCCTGCTCTGAATATCATCTTGCTAAGCTAGTCACTTGACATATTTAATTTAAAAAAAAAGAAAATTAACTAATTTATAAATAGAGCTTTAAATGTTTCAGGGATTTCAATTTATTTTTGAAAGTCCTATTGACTATTTAAGAGAGTTCAGTGCCAAAGTGAAATGCAAGAGTTAGAAAAATTAGGTTTGGGTTTAAACTTTTTAACTTCAATTAAACAACCTAATAACCAGGAACTTTTATACAGGTCTATATCGTTTGTGTACTCTAGGGCCTTTCTTGAACATCAAAATACTCATACAGATAGATACAAGAAAGGCCCACCTTGGACTCCATCCCAAAGGGCTTAATTACTAAAATACCAAGAAAGTCTTGTACTGGCATGCCTCACGGTTAAGACAGATTCATTTCACAGATTATGAAGACAGCCTAATGGCTAGACTCCATTACTGCCTAAAATGTTCTGAGATTAAGGGATGTTCATATCAGACTTTGCTGATTACTATTAAATTCACTGATGAGAGTATGTTGGGTGAATGTTATACTTACTGTTAAAAGAATATTTTAGAAGCTTCTACACAGCAAAGAAAACAATCAACAAAGTGAAGAGACAACCCACAGCAAGGGAGAAAATATTTGCAAAAAGGGATTAATTACCAGAATATATAAGGAGCCCAAACAACTCTATAGGAAAAAATGTAATAATCCGATTTAAAAATGGGCAAAAGATTTGAACAGGCATTTCTCAAAAGACGGCAACAAATGGCAAACAAGCGTAGGAAAAAGTGCTCAACATCACTGATCATCAGAGAAATGCAAATCAAAACTACAGTGAGAGATCATCTCACCCCAGTTAAAATGGCTTATATCCAAAAGAAAGGCAATAACAAATGCCGGCAACAATGTGGAGAAATGGGAACCCTCACACATTGTTGGCAGGAATGTAAATTAGGCAACTACTATGAAGAAAAGTTTGGAAGTTCCTCAAAAAAACTAAAAATAGAGCTACCATATGATCTAGCCATCCCACTGTTGGACATATACCCAAATGAAAGGAAATCAGTCTACTGAAGAGGTATCTGCACTCCCATATTTGTTGCAGCACTGTTCACAATAGCCAAGATCTGAAAGCAACCTAAGTGTCCATCAATGGATGAATGGATAAAGAAAATGTGGTACTTATACCCAATGGAATACTATTCAGTCATAAAAAATAATGAGATTTAGTCATTTGCAACAACATGGTTGGAGCTAGAGGTCATTATGTTAAGTGAAATAAGCCAGGCACGGAAAGACAAACATCACATGTTCTCACTTATTTGTGTGATCTAAAAATCAAAACAATTAAACTCATGGACACAGAGAGTAGAAGGATGGTTACCAGAGGCTGGGAAGGGTGGTGGGGGCATAGTGGGAGGCTGGTGGGGATAGTTAATGGGTCCAAAAAGTAGTTAGAATAAATGAATAAGGCCTAGTATTTGATAGCACAATAGGGTGACTATAGTCAATAATAATTTAATTGTACACTGAAAAATAATTAAAAGAGTATAATTGGATTGTTTATAAAACAAAGGGTAAATGCTTGAGGGGATGGATATCCCATCATGAGGGGATGGTTACCCCATCTTCCATGATATGATTATTACACATTGTGTGCCTATATCAAAACATCTCATGTACCCCATAAAAATATATACCCACTATGAACCCCCTAAAATTAAAAATAATTTTTTAAAATAATATTTTAGGGGCTAAACTAAATCCCAGATGTTTCTTCAAGGTTACAAAACAATATAAGTTGTAGCTTTTTGGGCAAAATATACATCTTTTTTGACATCATAAGTAATAGGTTATTAAAGATGTGGTGCCTTTGAAAAGCCACACAGTATAAAATGGGCCTGGGTGTGATATGGTATTTATGGACATACAGTTAATTGGGTTTTTTTGTTTTGGTTTTTTTGTGTGGTTTTTTTGTTTGTTGAGGTTTGTTTGTTTTTGAGATGGAGTCTCATTTTGTCACCCAGGCTGGAATGCAGTGCCGTAATCTCAGCTCACTGCAATCTCTACCTCCCAGGTTCAAGCAATTCTCCTGCCTCAGCCTCCCAAATAGCTGGGATTACAGGAACCCGCCACCACACCCAGCTAATTTTTGTATTTTTAGTAGAGACAGGGTTTCACCATGTTGGCCAGGCTGATCTCAAACTCCTGACCTCAGGTGATCTGCCTGCCTCAGCCTCCCAAAGTGCTGGGATTACAGGTGTGAGCCACCATGCCCAGCCTCAGTTAATTGTTAATACTACCTCTCTGTACTTCCAGGATCATTAAAACTGGCTGGGAAGCCTGAAATCAAGAATTTCTGCAGAAGATAAAAGAACAGGCAGAGTAATAAAAACAGAAAATCTTGAAATTGTTTTATGGGCTTCCAGGGGAAATGAGCCATTAAAAGAAATCATCTAGATCTGATCTGATCGCCTGGGCCTGGGAGTTCAAAGCTGTTTTGAGCCTAGAAGATGTACAATACCACAGTCAAGACCCTTACTACCTACTTAGACTGCCACAATAGCTTCTAACTTGTGGCATCCTTCCAAATAAGATAACTGGTCCACGGTCCAGGGGTTGGGAACCCCTGAGGTAGAGGATGAATAATGCAACCAACCAACGAGTCAAGTGCATGAAGTATCATTAGTTCTATAATGCTATAAATCAATAAAGGCATTGTCCCCCCCAATTAAAATATGTTCACCAAATCATCCAGTTTAACTAAAGTCAGAACTTTCTCGTCACTTAAAATGAATTGCCTTAATAATGGAGATATACGTGAAGATCAGCGATCTGGGCATCTACAGATCGTGATCAAAAATATGGTTCAATTAAGCACTATATCATCTCTGTAGCTGCTTCAAATTATATGTCATATTTGCCAGGCTGTCTATCAGCCCATAACGTGGTATTAGGGAAGTCTAAACAAAATCATATGATAAACATTTCTACCTTCAAATGCCAAAGAACTAGAACCTTTCATGATTCCTAGGTGTCCTAGAGGTCACATTTTTTAAAAGTCACATTATTGTGTTCATTACTTCATTTTTATGATGGTCACATAATCTATATGTCATTGATGCTCATAACCTCCTCAAAAAAAAGGAATTTCAAAACTTGAGATATCAGCTGTAGCCTCTTATAAGTTATCACTTAGCAGAAAATAGCATTTAGCAGAAGATAGCCCCAAAAATCTTTCATTAAAGTCTTCACTTTCAAAGTCAGTTACATCTGGGTTCAAATTTTTGTGCTACCACTTGCAAAATTTTGCTCCACCATGACAAATGTGGGCTGTGTGACTCTCTGAGCCATAAATTCCTCACCGAGGAAATAGGAAAAATGATACCTGCTTTATAGGAGTGATAAGCAGTTAACTGATACACTGTATAAAGCATATATATGGCCTAGTACATTACATATAACAATTTCTAAGTAAAGTTTTTCTTTCTTGATAGAATTAAAACATTTATGTTTTTCCTTTTCTGCCTTATATTCCTCCTTCTTATCCAGGGATGGATTTTTCTAATCATCTCTAGGAACTATTTTATTCTAAGGACTAAATATTCTAGTCTAATAACTATTTTACCACAGTGACAAGGTAGGTAATAATACCGACTACAAATAAGAAATCAGAAAATGAAAGATCTGTGAGTCAATGGCAGACAAATTTAAACTACCACCATGAAGGAGACCGGCAACTTCCCATAGTGAAAGAGTGTTAATAAAAAGGATCCTTTCCTCCAACTGAGTCCAAAAATAAATGCTATTTCAAAAGCTACTGGACAAACATTAACTTGTCTCTGAGACTACTTCCTCCTAAAGCAGATGGCACCTGGAAGCACCAGAAGCCTACATTCTAGGTGTGGTATGACTTTACTCTCTTAGCCATGGTGCCTTAAGTTACACAAGAGCAGGCTTTTAAGAGTGCATTTAAAATGTAGTTTACAAGCTATTCAGGGAAAAAGAAAAGTGCACAATCTTTTGCCCTCATCTCAGCTATGTGTGTGTATGTGAATGGAAATGTAACCAATACGACAGCTTGATGTCACATGTATTTGCAGAGATTTTTATAAAAACACAGTAAGACATTTTTAAAATTATTACATTGATTTTACAAAAACAACTGTCATACCACACTGAGTCTACTATTTGGTCCTCCCAAGGTTACAGCTGCAACTCCTATCCGACCCTTCCCCTTCCACACCCATGCCTCCATTTTCCTGTAGGGCATCTCGGCAGGAACACCACCACGAGGTTGTGAAACCACTCTGCTGCCACATTTCCTCATGCCTCACTGCTGAATGCGTGAGAGACACTACATGAAATTGGGCCTTGCCCAGACCTCTTTGTTACATTTGTAAATAAAATCAGATCAAATCACAAAGATATAATTGATTTAGGAGAGCCATGGTGCTATTCAGATAGGAAATATAAACAGAAGAGAAATGCCCTATGGTATCATAGTTTCCTTAAACAACACATCACTAGCTCAGTTTCTCAGAGTGAAAATGCTGTCACATACTCCCAAGGAAAAGAAGAGCTCATCCTTACACAAATTTGCTTTTAACTGTCAAAAGAAAATCCCAGAGAGACGCCCACTGCCTTACAAGTAAATCTAGGATTACAGTACCAAATCTGTTATAAAAACAACAATGAAATAAGTTCCAAGTTGTTTCTTCCTTTGACAAATACCCAAATAACTTCCATAATTTGAATACCAGGTCAAAAAGTTTTATTACAAGCAAAACAAATACTTCAGTCCTACTCATTGTTAGCAAGACACAAACCATATTAAAAAGCAGAACATGTGACTAACAATTAGCATACCTTGGAAGGGAAGGGACTTACTCAAATTTGAAAGGCTAGATAAAATTATGGGAAAATGAGACAAAAGTTCAGACAAAAAATAATCATATGCTAATAATTCATTTTTATACTCTGAAAATTATTCTTTTAAAATTTTAAATATACTTCTCATTTATTTGAACCCCAGAGTAAAAAATTTAGTGAGGGTTATCAAGAGTTCCCAATATTCAATCCCTTCCATCATTTAACCTAGACTTTAAAAAATAAAATTTGTGGATAAAGAAATCCTTTGACTCGAGAAAAGGAGAAACTCTTTTTCAGCATTAAACACAAAGACAGTATCTGATGAAAACAGTATATTCACCTATCCAAGTTCTCATAGGTAAACTTATAAAAGATGTTTAATTGCACATGTGAGTGGCAGTGATAATATGCAGCAACAAACTTCAAACTTCATCAAGAGATTTTTGTGATACTCAAAGGTATTACATCGCTAACTCTGAAAGAAAAAGAAAAGCCAGAATAAAGCCCCCTAAAATTTGCAACAGTACAACAGAATGAATGAAACATTGGTTCTGTTTTCACAAACTGGTTAAGACATCTTTCTTCACCACAGACACTAAACTGAGAGCTGCTTCATCAGGAGGCATCCTCTAAAAACTTCAATTATGAAGTTACTAATACTACCAGAGATTCAAAAACCAAGAGAGATTTGGGGGAAAGGGGGCATGAGATACAAGATCAGAGACAAGGGTAAAGATCAAAGCCACAAAATAACCAATCTGTACTTAATCGGAATTTTTCATACCCATGCATAAGGCAAACAAAGCAGGCAGGCAGGCAGGCACGCACACACACACACACACACACACACACACCACATTCCAAGAAAAAGAGGAAGAAAAATCTATTAGATACAAATTCAGATCAAATCTATTTGATACAAATCAGATACAGGAAGGGGTAGTAGTTCATTATGAGTGTCTACTTGAAATTCCTGAAAGGCTACTACAAAACCTGTCTAACACCTTCTCCTCCTGGCGTTCTAACAAGTCCTTTAAAATGCATTTTACAAGTTCAGGGCAAGTTGTGGAATGAGGAGTGCTATATACAACTCAAAACCTGCTCCCTTGAGCTCCAAACCTTCCCCCAGAAAACAGAAAGTCTTATTGGAAAAAAGACCGAAATGCAGAGAAGAAAAAGGGGTGCGGGTGGGGGTAGGGAGTGGACAGGACAAAGGAACTGTGAATTCCATAATCACCTGAACTTCTCTTCCCTTTCTTCCTCTTCACAGTCAGTCACCTGGATTATAACTTCAGACTCCAACCAGAAGACACTGTCATCCCCTAAAGTGCTACTCTCACTTTCAGTCTCCATCTTGTACTTAAAAAACAAAAAAAACTAAACCTCCAGGCATGGAATAAAAAGCACCAACATTCAGGTTGTTCAGCTCTACTCATGTATACTCAGATGTGTGTCTGGTGCCCTAGTGACAGGTACTGGTGCTGGTTTAATTACAGTCAGGGTACAGACAGGAAATCACAGGCAGCACAGTCACTGCGTCTGACTGCCATACTGGTGACACCTAGACCCTCCCACTGCCTTAGGCTGCGTGACCTACATAACCAAAAGCAGAATCTAAATGAAGGTGATTTTTTACTAATTATTCTGTAATAATGACTCTTCTCAAAGTTTCCACTTAATAAGTTAAAAATAGGTATTTTCAAAATGCAGGCTTTATTTGTATCCTTTTTTGATCTCGGACTCCAGAAAGGTAAATAGAAAACTAGAAAGAATAACACCATCCACTGGCCAAGCACATGAGAAGCACAGTTATAGATCTCACAGTTAAGGAGGCTCACAATAAGTAGAGAAGATAAGTATGCTCTAGGGACCTGCCTAGGTTCATGCCTTCCAATATTACACCCATCTTTCCTTCCTCTCAGTAAGGACTGCCATATGCATCTCTGCTCAAGTATCCAGAGTGAGACATAAAAGCTGGGCTTGTCCACAGTCCTTGAAAGAAAAAAGTTTAAGTGTCCCAAGTTCAAAGATGCTGACAATCACATCAAATAAAAGCATGCAAAGTTTTACACATTTAAACTGCAAACAGTCATGGTGGCAATAAAATGACTTGCTGGGAAATGAGTGAAAGGTATAGCATCTATGACTGTCAACAACACAACTGTTACTTAGAAAAGAGCCATGTTGACAGAAACTACTGACCTGCTGGATATTCATGGCTATTTGTCTTTTACCAAGCAGCAACAAACTGCAAAGCCCTGACTTTCCACTGTATCTGATTTAATCAAAAATTAAGAAGACATCTACTGAAGTCTTCTTGAATTTTCATATTTGAAAAATAAAGAGCCAAGCACAGTGGCTCACGCCTGTAATCCCAACACTTTGAGAGGCTGAGGTGGATGCATCACTTGAGCTCAAGAGTTCAAGACCAACCTGGGCAACTTAGCGAGACCTCATCTTTATGGGGGGGGGGGGGGGGGGGCGGGAAACAGCCAAGTGTGGTGGTGCACCCTGTAGTCCCAGCTACTCAACAGGCTGAGGTGGGAGGATCGCCTGAGCCTGGGAGTTCAAGGCTGTTGTGAGCCATAATCACGCCACTGCACTCCAGCCTGGGCAACACAGCAAGACCCTGTCTCAAAAAAAAAAAAAAAAAAATATATATATATGCAGGTCCCTAGAGCATATAATATATATATTATATATAATATATATATATTATATATAATATATATATATTATATAATATATGTTATATATAATATATAATATATGTTATATAATATATATAATATATGTTATATAATACATATACAATATATATTATATATAATATATAATATATATTATATAATATATAATATATATTATATATTATATATTATATATAATATATATTATATAATACATATAATACATATATAAATTTTAAAAACTTTTCAAAAAAAATTTTTTAAACCAAAAACAACAGAACAACATTATAAGCAAAGTCAAAATGCAAACAAGTTGAGAAAAAAATATTTGAAACATATCACAAAGGGTTAATTTATTTAATATATAAAAAGTTCTTAAAAACTTCTAAGACCCAAGAGCTCAAAAGATAAATAGGCAAAGAGCAAAAATATAATACTCAGAGATAAACATAAAAGAAACTTAAAAGATGTTAAAAGTAACTTCACTGATAACAGAAATGTAAAACAATACATAATAAGATGACTTTTAAAAAATCTATCACATAGGCAAAGCTTTTAAAAGGTTTTAACAAACTGAAAGAGGACATGGGAAAAGAAACATGCCTGTCAGTGGGAGTTTAAACTGGTACAACCTGTGTTCAGGGCAATTTAGCAAAATCTACCAAAATTCAAAATGCACATCTTTTTGGCCCAGCAATTTCTCTTTTAGGAAATTATCTCACTTTCACAAGTAGAAGTAAGAGGCAAACAGGAACATTCATTCTGGTAGACATTATAGTAGCAAAATAGGATAGCAAAAACAACCTAACTTCCTGAGGAATAGAAAACTAGGCAAATTACAGAATACCCATAGAATGGAATGCTACACAGTGAGTATATGAGAAAACAAGGCAGCCCTACAGGTCACAATACGGAACAAAGCCTAAGGAATACTGTTAAGGCAAAGAAGAAAGGGGTAAAAGTATAGGGCAGTATGTGCAGTATGCTATGCTGCCATCTGTGTTTTCAATGAGGAGTTAGGAGAAACAAATGCAGACTATCTATGGAAGAAGAGGATCAGTACTAGTACCAGTAGTTGTCTCCACGGAGGAAAACAGACAGCTGGAGAAGAGGAATAAAAGAAAGACACGCTTGAACCCGGGAGGTGGAGATTGTTGCAGTGAGCCGAGATCACGCCATTGCACTCCAGCCTGGGCAACAAGAGTGAAACTCCGTCTCAAAAAAAAAAGAAGAAAGAAAGATAGTTTTTCACTATGTCATGCACATATAATCCTTACCAAAATATTAACTAATTTTAAATAGAATCTTTCATGACCTTCAGTAAAGAATTGGATTTTTAAATATTATTTCATTAAGAATCTAGTTCTTTTTTTTCTAAACAACTCTAACTCCTTCAAAGTGTTGTTTTTTTGTGGGGGGGGGGGTTGTTTTGTTTTGTTTTGTTTGTTTGTTGAAACAGGGTCTTGTTCTGTCACCTAGGCTGGAGTGCAGTGGCACGATCTCGACTCACTGCAACCTCCACCTCCCAGTTCAGGCAATCCTCCTGCCTCAGCCTCCCAAGCAGCTGGGATTATAAGTGTGTGCCACGACACCTGCTAATTTTTGTTGTTGTTGTTGTATTTTTAGTAGAGATGGGGTTTCACCATGTTGGCCAGGCTGGTCTCGAACTCCTGATCTCAAGTGATCTGCCTGCCTCTGCCTCCCAAAGTGCTGGGATTACAGGTATGAGCTACTGTGCCCGGCCTCAAAGCGTTTTCATGAATCCTATTCACCTTTTCTTTTAATCATTCTTTTGTTCTTTCATTATGATGGTTGATTTCCCTCACTTCGAGCCTTTCAAAAGTGAAAACGTGAACTGTGAGTGGTATTTTTACACAGAATACTGAAGGACAGTTAAATGTGCACATCTTCCGAGGCTTGTTCTGTTTTGACTCTGCCATCACAAGTTTTTTAAAAATGTTTTTCCTGCCTCAGCTTCCCGAGTAGCTGGGATTACAGGCACCCGCCACCACACCCGCCTAATTTTTTATTTTTAGTAGAGAAGAGGTTTCACCATGTTGGCCAGGGTGGTCACAAACTCCTGACCTCAAGTGATCCACCCGCCTCGGCTGGAGGTTGCTGTGAGCCGAGATCACGCCATTGCGCTCCAGCCTGGAAGACAAGAGCGAACCTCCGTCTCAAAAAAAAAGGAAAAAAAGTTTTTAAATTCAAAACCTACATGTGTTTCTGTTTTCTGTTCCCTTCTCCAGTAGTAAATGAAAATCCAGCGGAATCAACAGGTGATGGTTAACAGCGGGGGCAGGGATGGAACACAGCCGAGTCCATCACTCTGGCTACCAGTGTGTGAGAGAGACTAGATACTGCTGAAGACCACAAGGTGGTTTTAACTCCTTTTCTTCCTGATTTGTTTAAACCCTGATCAGCCTTCACTTTCCCAACAAGCTTTTATGGAGCTGAAGTCTTTGACTGAAACCACAGGAGTCACCAGCAGTAATTTCGAACTAGCTGGTTCTCATCTTCTACCTCCAAGAGGTAGGGAACCTGAGGGGAAGGGAAATAGCTAATCCCACAGCAGCAAAGAGAGAAGCATTCTTACAGCAACAATTTAAACACTGCAAGTCAGAATGAATTTTTTCGAAGAGAAACATTGTTAAAAGTGCTGACTTTCCTAGTAGCAGTGGTAAGTAGTAATAATCACAGCAACAGAGTTGGCCCACAGGTTCCGTATGCATGGGTTCTGCATCCATGAATTCAACCTCTTGGTTGAATCAAAAATACTCAGGGAAAAAAGAGGGATGGTCCTATCTGTATTGAACATGTACAGGCTTCTTCTTGTCATTATTCCCTAAACAATACTGTATGCCAACTATTTACATAACATTTACATTGATAGTTATTATAAGTGATCTAGAGATGATTTAAAGTATGAGAAGATGTGCATAGGTAATACGTAAATACTACAACATTTTATATAAGTGACTTGAGTATCTACAGATGTTGGTATCCACAGGGTGTCCTGGAAACGATTTCCCCATGGATACCAACTGATGACTGCATATGCTGAGCACTGACTCTATATGCCAAGCATTGGATTAAGGCCCAAACATAACGAATTATATAATTCTCCCAACCACCTCATGAGGCAGGAGCCATCATATTACAGGTGAAGAAACTGAGACTTAGCATCATAATTTCTCCAGGATTATCCAGTTCATAAACTTGCATTAAAAATACTTTTCAGGCCAGGATCAGTAGCTGATGCCTGTAATCCTAGCACTTGAGAGGCCAAGGCAGGGAGATCACCTGAGGTCTGGAGTTCGAGACCAGCCTGTCCAACACGGTGAAAACCCGTCTCTACTAAAAATATAAAAATTAACCTGGCTTGGTGATGCATGCATGTAATCCCAGCTACTTGGTAGGCTGAGGCAGGAGAATAGCTTCAGCCTGGGAGGGAGAGGTTGCAATGAGCCAAGAGCGCGCCACTGCACTTCAGCCTGGGTGACAGAGCAAGACTCCATCTCAAAAAAAAATAAAAATACTTTTCAAAAATCCAAACCTAACCACACCATATGAAATGTTACTTCTGTGGGAAGACTATATGGTTTGCATTTTGGTCCACATTCCACTTATTAGCCTAGACGTCTCTGATCTCACAGTTTTTTATTTTCTCCTTTTTGGGGGATGGGCCATGATACTGCTGAAATGCTGACCTACATCTAATTCTATATCCAATACCCGTTATCTACATGGCTGAATGCAGTATACATTTGGGTTCACTATCAGGGGAGGGGTATGGACAGGATATCACACAGCAAAACAATAGCAAAGCAGTAGAACCAAGATCTTGATGCTCTGACATCGTTGTTCCTGTTCTCCCATCATAATAATTGTTTTTTTCAAAACTGTTCAATACAGTGCATGGCACATAGCCAAGGGGTCAATAAATGTCTCCTTAATTGGGCACCAAGCTTTGTCCACAGACTGCTTCATGAATATGAATATAAATATAAATATAAAATTTCTCAGAAAATTTTGTATTCTAAATGTGAATAATGTGTGCTCTGTGTAATATATATGTATGTATCATATAATTGTATCAGAAAGAAAAATTAAGCAAGAATCCTTCTAAAATATTTCCAATGACTGAAGATTTTCCTCCAAATGTATGGAGCACAATATATATAATGTAAAAATGTCATTCATCATTATTCATTTTTATACTATCTATACATTCATTCAAAATTTAGATTTTTTTATAACAATCATTTTTGTAGGCGTTTCCTCCACTGAAATAATTAACTTTGAAAAAACAACTCTTTCCTTCTTTATTATGGAACACTGATGTATTCTGGATCATTATATATACATTGACATTTGGTTTAATTCACAATGGTATCTAAAGAGGAAACAATTCTTATGCATACTATGGCAACTTTATTTCATGAAAATATCAAAAATAAAGAATCCAGTTAATTTAATATGATTCTCTACAGGTAACTTTAAACATAACAGAAAAGGTCTACTTGAATAGAAAACTGACAATTTCATGTTAGAGCAGATTTTGCTTCACTAAACACATGTATTCAAAGGGAGATCTAACTTTCAACTGTTCATAGAAGCTAAATGATATTTCTATAAAAAAGTTAAAATGGCTATCTTAAAATACATCATCACCATTGCAAGGATATATGAATAAAAATCACTTTCAAAAAGCTGTTCTTATAAAACCAGAAAAAATAGAAATGGAGGTACTGTATTTTGAAGTCAAACAAGCTCAGACTCAAATATCAACTATGTCATTTACAAATAGTGTGGTCTTAGACAAGTGATAAGGTTTGGCTGTGTCCCCACCCAAATTTCATCTTGAATTGTAGCTCCCATAATTCCCATGTGTGGTGGGAAGGACCTGGTAGGAGACAACTGAATCATGGGGGTGGTTTCTCTTAAACTGTTCTCATGCTAGTGAATAAGTCTCACGAGATCTGATGGTTTTATAAGGGGCACCCCTGTCGCTTGGCTCTTATTCTCTCTTTGCTGGCTGCCATGTAAGATGTCCCTTTGGTCTTCCTTCATCTTCTGCCGTGATTTTGAGGCCTCCCCATGCATGTGGAACTGTGAGTCAATTAAACCTCTTTCCTTTATAGATTACCCAGTTTCATGTATGTCTTTATCAGCAGTGTGAAAACAGACTAATACAGTAAACTGGTACCAGTAGTGTGGGGCACTGCTGCAAAGATACCCGAAAATGTGGAAGCAACTTTGGAACTGGTTAACAAGCAGAGGCTGAAACAGTTTGGAGGACTCAGAAGAAGAAAGAAAAATGTGGGAAAGTTTGGAACTTCCTAGAGACTTGTTGAATGGCTTTGACCAAAATGCTGATAATGACATGGACAATGAAATCCAGGCTGAAGTGGTCTCAGATGGAGATGAGGAACTTGTTGGGAACCAGAGTAAAGGTGACCCTTGCTATGTTTTAGCAAAGAGACTGGTGGCATTTTGCCCCTGCCCTAGAGATTTGTGGAACTTTGAACTTGAGGGAGATGATTTAGGGTATCTGGCAGAAGAAATTTCTAAGTAGCAAAGCATTCAAGATGTGACTGGGTTGCTGTTAAAAAGCATTCAGTTTTATAAGGGAAACAGAGAATAAAAGTTCAGAAAATTTGCAGCCTGACCATGCAACAGAAAAGAAAAACCCATTTTCCAAGGAGAAAGTCAAATCAGCTGCAGAAATTTGTAAAGTAACAAGGAGCCTAATGTTAATCACCAAGACAATGGGGAAAATGTCTCCAGGTCATGTCAGAGATCTTTGTGGCAGTCCTTCCCATCACAGGCCCAGAGGCCTAGGAAGAAAAATGGTTTCATGGGCCAGGCCCAGGGCCCCCTGCTGTGTGCAGCCTAGGGACTTGGTGCCCTGTGCCCCAGCTGCTCCAGCTATGGCTAAAAGGGGCCAAGATACAGTTTGGGCCATGGCTTCAGAGGGTGCAAGCCCCAATCCTTGCCAGCTTCCACAAGGTGTTGAGCCTGCAGGTGCACAAAAGTTAAGAACTGAGGTTTGGGAACCTCTACCTAGATTTCAGAGGATGTATGAAAACACCTAGATGTCCAGGCAGAAATCTGCTGCAGGGGCGGGGCCCTCCTGAAAACCTCTGCCAGGGCAGTGCAGAAGGAAAATGTGGGGTTGAAGCCCCCACACAGAGCCCCCACTGGGCACTGCCTAGTGGAGCTGTGAGAAGAGGACCACCGTCCTCCAGACCCCAGAATGGCAGATCCACCAACTGCTTGCACTGTGAGCCTGGAAAAGCTGCAGACACTCAATGCCAGCCTGTGAAAGCAGCCAGGAGGGAGGTTGTACCCTGCAAAGCTAAAGGGGCAGAGCTGCCCAAGACCATGGGAACCGACCTCTTGCATCAGTGTGACCTGGGTGTGAGACATGGTGTCAAAGGAGATCATTTTGGAGCTTTAAGATTTGACTGCCCCACTGGATTTTGGACTTACATGGGCCCTGTAGCCCCTTTGGTTTGGCCAATTTTTCCCATTTGGAACAGCTGTATTTACCCAATGCCTGTACCCCCCATTGTATCTAGGAGGTAACTAACCTTCTTTTGATTTTACAGGTTCATAGGCAGAAGGGACTTGCCTCATCTCAAATGAGACTCTGGACTGTGGACTTTTGAGTTAATGATGAAATGAGTTAAGACATTGGGGGACATGACTGGTTTGAAATGTAAGGATACAAGATGTGGGAGGGGCCAGGGACAGAATGATATGGTTTGGCTGTGTCCCCACCCAAATCTCATCTTGTATTGTAACTCCCATAGTTCCCACACGTTGTGGGAGGGACCCAGTGGGTGATAACTGAATCATGGGGGTGGTTCCCCCATACTTTTCTCATGGTAGTAAGTAAGTCTCAAAAGATCTGATGGTTTTACAAGGGGAAACCACTTTCACTTGGTTCTCATTCTTTCTCTTGTCTGCTCCCACATAAGACATGCCTTTCATCTTCCACCAAGATTGTGAGGCCTCCCGAGCCACATAGAACTGTGAGTCCATTAAACCTCTTTTTCTTTATAAATTACCCAGTCTCGGGTATGTCTTTATCAGCAGCATGAAAATGGACTAATACAACAAGCAACTTAAATTGAGTCTCAGTTTCGTAATCTCTAAAATAGAAAAAATAATACCTTTATGATGTTAATGTATAAAATAGAAACAATGCATATAATGAAACTATAGTAGTATACAGTACAAAGTCCTCAATAAATTATAGCCATTGTCATCATTATCATCCCTGAACCATAAAATGTTTTCATTACTGTGATTATAGAAAAATTGAAAAAAAATCTTAATCTGTAAATCTCTGGCTTTTAAAAAATATAATCACTCTGTAATTTTTATTATTATTTAAAAGAGAGTGCTAATCTAAAAAATAAGAAAAAAGTCCCTATTAAGCCAGTAAGTTATTTTCTAATTATCTGAATTATTTCCATGAATGTGAAGTATGGAAAATTAACAACTACAACAGAAACCCATATTCTTCCTTCATCACATTAATACAAGGATTACAAAGAACATATAAAATCAGATCATAAGACAATTCAACATGTCATTTCCAGTGTTAATAAGGGATATTAAGTGGAAATTTCATAACCGTATGAATAAGAACTCTCAAAATTCAACTGACATGGTCTTCTGTTTTTGAGTCCTGTATCTTTCACTGTAATAAGCAAAGATTATAAGTATACTTTCTGGTATTCAAGTTTGAAAAGTATGTAATGTTTATCGATGTAGAAAACTGCTTTCAACAAATACATAATCTCAGCCTATGGTTTCACTGGATCACTAACTTTTCATTATTATACATTCTATAATCATCATCTCATGTAAATATTGTAGAAAAATACTATAACGGTATACCTAACTAGATCCCCTCCAGACAATTTTTAACCACTGTTCTAGAGCCTGATATCAGTAACCAAAAAAATAATCAGAAAACCCTACAGAGTGTGATTCTACTATTTATATCTACGGATAAATCAAAACTACTGTATATAATTGTTAAATAAAATCTGAGGCCAGTGATGATTTTTCTAGTAAAAGTAAACAGCCACTAAAATACAACATTTACATGTAGTGGTTACATGAAAACAAAAAAAACAAAAACACAGCCAGGTGCAGTGGCTCACACCTGTAATTCCAGTACTTTGGGAGGCCAAGGCAGGAAGATCCCTTGAGGCCAGGAGTTGAAAACCAACCAGAGCAACAGAGCAAGACTCCATCTCTATAAAAAAACTTTAAAAATTAGCCAAGCATTGTGATGCACATCTGTAGACCCAGCTACTCAGGAAGCTGAAGTGGGAGGATCGCTTGAGCACAGGAGTTCGAGGCTACAGTGAGCTACAATCATGCCACTGCACTCCAGCCTGGGCAACAGAGCAAGAGCCTGTCTCTGTCTGTCTGTCTGTCTGTCTGTGTCTCTATTTATTTATATATATATGTGTGTGTATATATACACACATATACATATATATATACAAGTACATATACATATACATATACACACATATATATACTGGTAATAAAAATAGTATTTTTAATACACACATGCAAAGAAGAAAGTTTGGAAAACTAAATAACAAAGATAATGCAGATGATTTTTACTTCCTTAAACTTATTTACATATTTTTAACTTTCTAACATAAAGATGTATTCACTGTTTAACTTTTTAGTTTTAAAGAAGTTAACAGCATGAGTTAAAAGATCCACTCTACAGTTTCTTCTCTTGAGTAGGTGGATGCTGTTTTTCTACCCTGTATACCACAGAAGTCAATGAAAATGTTTACTGAATAAATACATAGGATTGAACGACTGAAAAATCTAGGTCCCAGGAATAGGAAATATAAGTTCAAAAATAAATGAAGGCAATGTGCATAAAGAAGGCAATATTCTTATACTGACCAAGATAAATCAAAAATAGAATATGAAAAAAAGCAAAGACAAGAAGTAAAATCATGTATGCGATATAAATAAGAAAACTTAAACAGATTCTTTTCATATCAAGATCTCAGAATCATGAAATAAATTTATATATCAGGAATTAAGTCAATTTCCCTTCTAAATGTTTCCCATCCTAACCTATGAAGAACCAAAATCAATGGTATTTAAACCACATTAATAAAAAGATACAATAACCACAATATCTACAAGTACAAGGATTGCACCAACCCAATATTTACTGTTGAATTCACACGCCACATCACTTTGTCTCATTGCTTCCTTTCTCAAAAAGGTCACAAAAGCCAACTCAGAAATACTTTGTTCTAACACTAAAGAGCTCAAAGTGCTCTTGTGCAAGGGGGGGAAAATAAAAAAAAGAAAAGAAAAGAAAAACACGCTACCAGCGTAGCAGATTCTACTGAATGAAATCAAAGCAGTGCTTGCTTCAGCAGTACATATACTAAAATTGGAACAATACAGAGATTAGCACCGCCCCTGCGCAAGGATGAAATTCAAGTAGTCAGAGGCTAGAGAGAACAATTCATACACCTACCTAGCTATGGGCACACGGAACAAGCAAGTTGTATCAACTTCAGAATTCCACTGGCAGACTCAACAAATAACAAAAACACTTGCTTTATCAGATACATTCGAATCTAGTGATCTTAGGAAATCCCTCTCACTGGCTAAGCAACCATCTTATCAGTCTAAGTGACGACCCGTTTTTGCCTTCAATCTACAGATAAAGTAAATCAAAACTATTACATATATTGGCTAAATAAAATCTGAGGCAAGTGATAATTTTTCTAGCAACTTATTCAACATGTGCAAGTAGTAAACAATAACAAAAAACACCAGTAAAGTAACACATGAATAAAACATATCAGAATCAGTCATCTTTTTAAATGAACACTGGATATTAAAAAAGTATCTCTATCTGAAAAGGAATCTATAGGACTGAAAGAAGAAAACAGGCTACAGTTAATTAAGGTAAAAGTATAGTGTTGAAAATTAGGGACTGATTTAGTAAAAGATCTTGTAAAAATAATGAAGGTTGAGAATTCTTAAACATAATGTTGAGCCAGGTGTGGTGGTTTACCCTGCAATCCCAGCACTTTGAGAGGCTGAGGCAGGAGGATCCCTTAAGGCCAGGAGTTTAAGACCAGGTTGAACAAAGTCTTGTCTCTACAAAAAAAAAAAAAAAAAGAAAGAAAAAAGAAAAATTAGCTGGGCATGGTGGTGCACGCCTGTAATCTCAGCTACTCGGGAGGCTGAGGTGAGAGGCTTGAGCCCAGGAGTTCTAGGCTGTGGTGAGCTGTGATTGTGCCACTACACACCAGCCCAGTCGACAGAGTGAGACCCCCATCTAAAAAAATTGCATATATATATAATTGCATACATAATTATATATAATTTTATACATATATAAATTATACATATAAAAGTACATATATACATATGTATGTATAATATATATTTATACTATATAAAATATATAATTACATAATTTATAAAAATAAAATATATATAAGATTGAATTAAAGGAAGTAATATTTCCTGAGTTAAAAATTTGATTGAATATGCTATAGTCCATGAGATACAGAAGGCATCAGCTATATTACACATTTTAGGACCTTAGAAAATTGTGGTCTTATCATACATATAAATTGTATACATATAAAAACTATACATATATAACCATATTCCTGCTCACCGCTGTAACTGGACTTCCTCCTAATGTTAATGATACTGCAAATAAAAACTCTAAATATAAATTGAATGCATAATCAGGGGAGAAAGCAAATGGTCTAAGTAGACTCGCCCTCAGTGACAAGTCTGGGGAGAGGTCAGGAAGAGACTAGGATGAAATCAATAGGGGTAAGGCTATGCAAAAAGAAAAGAAAAAAAAGTTGTACTAAGTTTTCATGCTTGAAAAGCTCAAGGTATTGCACACATTCAGTAGAGTTTCTCCCACGAAACTAGTTGAAGAAATAGAAATAAATCCAATGTTTTCAATCTGCCGTTTACTTACTGGTATCCTTACCTGTATAGTTCACTCTGCTTTGAAGTTGGTTTGAGACTGAAGTAATTTTAGCAACTTGCTACTTATCTTATTCTGACTGCTCCTCTGCTATTTCTCAGAGAGGGTTGTAAGAGTAAAAATGAGAATCAACAATGACTAGTTTACTTAAAGTACTAGAGACCATTCAACTACTTACAAAATTACAGGCATTTTTCTCAAATCACAAACATCTTATCCTCAAGTAACAGAAGCTAAATGCTGTACTTTTAAACTTTAATTTGGGGTATCTTATTTTGATTTAAAGTAAGTGTACTACTATTCTGGTATCAGTAATTCTTCAATTTTATTTTCCTAGGAAGGAGAATTTAAGTTCCTGCCTGCTCATTTATTTCTGGAAACAGAGAAGCATTTTTCCCATTATCCTTTCTTATTGAAATTTGTTCTGCTAAGTTTTATCCACTGCAAAAATAAAGTTAATCATTTGAAGAATAAAATATAACAGGGAAGTAAAAAGAAGTTTAATATATGCAGCTCTTTAAAAGATACACAGATTTATGTTTAAATTTGAATGATGCATAAATTAGGAATTTAATATCTGTCTACTTCTTCTGATTTTGCTAGAACCAGATATCAATATTATCATCTCTGGGGCTTTTTATGTTATATTTTCAAAATGAACAATGAATACAAAGTACATTTTCTGATGCCTCAAACATTACTTGAAAAATAATAAGGCTGTTTTTAAGTGTCAACTGAGAATTTTCAAGTTACATCACTGTTCTGACTTTGCTTACTGATATACAATTCATTAAGTTACTTTTTCACTATTACAGGTACTATTCAAGTTACAAGATACACAGCAATTGGAAACAACAGTATTATCCTTGAGTATCCATGGTTTCCATTTAGAAATAATGCTGGATTTTTAAATTTAAGAAATTTGGGCTCAGACAATTCAAATTCCTTCTGTGCCACTTATTACCTATGTGAACTTGCACAAGTCACCAAAAATCTCTGAAGATCAATTTCCTCTTCTGAACAGAATAATCATACCCAGTCATATTGTTGAAGTAATTACATGAAACAGGATAAAGTCCTATATAGATGTTCAAAAAATGGAAGGTATAATATAACAATAAAAGAAAAGTACTTGGTGAA
Organism: Homo sapiens; assembly: GCF_000001405.40. NCBI lineage: Eukaryota > Metazoa > Chordata > Mammalia > Primates > Hominidae > Homo > Homo sapiens. The sequence goes on from NC_000011.10 coordinate 129,205,711, forward strand.
TCTAGGTTTGGATCTACTAAAATGTTTAACTCTTCTGGAAAAGGAAACAAAATTCTCATTTATTTAACTTACTACTTTAGTTTTTCAATATATATGCTAGATACTATGATGCTATCCTTCAAAGCAATTACCACACTCCTAAACACTTAGTATGTACTCAAATATCATTTAATTTAAATATTTTAACTTTTTTATTATGGGAAATTTCAACCATATACAAAAGTATATATAATAGAATAATGAACCAATAGGTATCTATTACTCAGCTTTAACAATTAACAAGGGCAAATCTCATCTCTACTCCCCACCCCCATCTGACTGGATTATATGTAAGCAAATCCTAGATATCATATCATTTCATTCGTAAATAATTCAGCATGTATCTCTAAAATATAGTATTTTTAAATAAAAATATTATCTTACCTTAGGAATCCACTAATCACTCAATTACCACAAATATCCACTCAAGGTAAACTTTTCCAACTGCCTTGAACCTTCTTTTTAATTAATTTATTTACTGAAACATGGTCTCACTCTGTCACCCAGGCTGGAGTGCAGCAACACGGTCATAACTCACTGCAGCATCAACCTCGTGGGCTTAAGGGATCCTTCTGCCTCAGCCTACCAAGTAGCTAGGACTACAGGAATGTGCCACCATGCCTGGCTAGTTTTTAAATATTTTGTAGACATAAAGTCTTGCTATGTTGTCCCGGCTGGTCTCAAACTCCTGGTCTCAAGGGATCCTCCTTGCCTGGGTCTCCTAATCTGCTAGGATTACAGACGAGGGCTGCCACACCCAGCCATTGATTTTTTCTTTTTTTAAATAGCTCATTCATTTGAATCAGAAAGTCCACACATGATATTTTGGTAAATAAGTCTCTTAAGTCTCTTTAAAGTTTCCCCTTCCTCCATTTTTTATTATCATATATGGTTGAAGAAAACAGGTTCGGTATATTCTCTGACAGTCTTTATCTTGCTGATTATGTCTCAGTAGTGTTGTTCTATGGGTTCCTCTAGCTCTTATATTTCCTGTAAGCCATTCTTTTTTTTTTTTATGAATATACTTTAAGTTCTGGGGTACATGTGCAGAACGTGTAGGTTTGTTACATAGGTATACATGTGCCATGGTGGTTTGCTGCACCCACCAACCCATCATCTACATTAGGTATATCTCCTAATGCTATCCCTCCCATAGCCCCTCACCCCCCAACAGGCCCCGGTGTGTGATGTTCCCCTCTCTGTGTCCATGTGTTCTCACCGCACAACTCCCACTTATGAGTGAGAACATGTAGTGTTTGGTTTTCTGTTCCTGTGCTAGTTTGCTGAGAATGATGGTTTCCAGCATCATCCATGTCCCTGCAAAGGACATGAACTCATTCTTTTTTATGGCTGCATAGTATTCCATGGTGTATATGTGCCACATTTTCTTTATCCAGTCTATCATTGATGGGCATTTGGGATGGTTCCAAGTCTTTGCTATTGTGAACAGTGTTGCAATAAACATACGTGTGCGTGTGATTTATAATCCTTTGGGTATATACCCAATAATGGGATCGTTGAGTCAAATGGCATTTCTGGTTCTAGATCCTTGAGGAATCGTCACACTGTCTTCCACAATGGTTGAACTAAATTATACTCCCACCAACAGTGTAAAAACGTTCCTATTTCTCCACATCCTCTCCAGCATCTGTTGTTTCCTGACTTTTTAATGATCGCCATTCTAACTAGCATGAGATGGTATCTCACTGTGGTTTTGATTTGCATTTCTCTAATGAACAGTGATGATAAGCTTTTTTTCATATGTTTGTTGGCTGCATAAATGTCTTCTTTTGAAAAGTGTCTGTTCATATCCTTTGGCCACTTTTTTATGGGTTTTTTTTTATATAAATTTGTTTAATTTCTTTGTAGATTCTGGATGTTAGTAGCCCTTTGTCAGATGGATAGGTTGCAAAAAATTTTCTCCCATTCTGTAGGTTGCCTCTTCACTCTAGCTTTACTGAATGGCTTACCCTGATGTTTTCTGCCATTTCTACAAGCCTTCTAAAATAAATATTAATCAAAAGAATAACAAAAATGATAAAATAATAGAAAGTACAAAGAAAAAAACAACCAATGGGCCAGAAATAATCTGTTCTTGCAACATATTAAGAATGTATACATGGGGCAGCTATCCAAGGCATGGCACATTTAGAGGTTTTGAATGTTTCTCTTGTAACCAAAATGGGCTCTTTTGTCCTCTCCCACCATCTACAACATTTCTACGTCCTCCCACACAATCCACTAAGAAGAAGGGCATTACCTGCACACAACTGAACAATCTATGACTATTACTAAGATTCCACCTAGTATGTTTGCCACTCTGATTCATTCCTACCGTTTTAAAAGAATAATATAAAAGCTATGTGAACTTCGAAATATCCTTAAAGTAGAGGACAGAAACATTACAAGCACTCCTATTTGGTCAGGAAAGAGGAAACAACTTATCTTAGAATGAATTCATCAGTTTCATAAAATGCAGGAACATCCCATTCTAGTCTATTAAACTTCATTCTCCAACTCTAGAGATCAAGAAAAGATTTAACTGTAACAGGCTGCACACCTCAGAAAACACAGATTCATGAGATGATATTAATGCAGAGAAACAGACATTAATAAACCTTGCTGAGCCTGGGCGTCCAGCATGTTAGTTCCAAGTAATGTAGTTTTGTCAAGGAGAACTAGATCTCCTCCCACCGACTACCCAACAAGAAAACATACTATTTGGCCAGTGTACCAGAACCTTCAGATCAAACAACAGTTAAGACAATAAGAGATTCTGAAAGGATCAAATATATCCACAAATTAAGGAGGAGTTCTTAAGTAAACAAATGGAAAAGACAATTAATCATGCATTGCTTGTTTGGCCACCTTCAAACAACCGGACAGTGGATGACCATCCATTCTGTCATTTTCTTTTCTTTTTTTTTTTTTTGAGACAGAGTCTTGCTCTTGTTGCCCAGGCTGGAATGCAGTGGAACATAAATTACAAAATACATACCAGCATAATAAAAATACCACCTTAAACTAATATCGCAGTTTACTATTTTCAAAGCAATTTGACATACTGCAAAGAAAACAAGTGACAAAAAAGAGTGGAAATTTTCCATCTAAAATAGAAACTTTAGAGTTCTAAACTTTCCAAAGAACAGAAAGTATTCAGAATTGAATTCACTATAATCCTTCAATAACTATATAGTCTAACATTCAAGAGCTTAATAACAAAAACAGTTGTAACACATTCCAAGATATGAGTATGCCACAAGAAAGAATGGTAATTTAAACAGCATTGTTTTCCAAGGAAAAACTCTTAAGACTGTTTCTTCAAAAGCATGGCTTTAGAAGAGAGATTCTCAACATTTTTTCTCTGCCCCAAAACAGTTCGAGGATACACACAATCTCATTAATAACAATGACTCATAACCTATTTAGAGATTTATTTTGATAAACAATTTTAAAAGCAAATTATCTTTGAAAGTGTCAAGCTGGTTGAGCATTCAAACCTTAAGGTGAAAATTATTTTAATTAGAACTTAATTTAGTTGAAATCTGCAGCACAAAAGAAGTTAGAGAGAGGCAAGAGAGGAAAGGGGCTGGATGGCACGGAGTCTCTGGTCAGCTAAGGGCAATAACAAGAAGACGGACAAAGAAGAAAAAAAGTAGGATTCTAAATACAAAAAAAAAGTAAGATATATAAAAAAAAGTAAATATAAAAAAAAGTAGGATTCTAAATACAAATAGACAGCACTAAGGATTTGTCTAGGCACCTGGAAGGGTACCTTTACTGCACATGCCTTGACAGGAGCTGAATTCTTATGTCAGAAATGGCTTGGAAGACTGCAAACGGAAAACACCCACTAGGCAAAGCCATCATTTTTCTCAAAACTGAAACACTGGTTCTATTCCTGGTTTACAAATTTTGCAAAAAAAAAAAAATTGTAAAAAGTTCTGAAAAATGTAATACATGATGGCAAAGAAAGTAAAGATTTTTCTTCTCTAACTCTTAAAAGCACAAAACTGAAGATCATAAAATCAATTCAGTGTATGAATGTTTTATCAAATATAATAAACTTAGAACACGAAGGATACCACTTAAAAGCTGAAAAGTTTTGTATGTAACTCTAAAACTTCACAGATGAAATCGACATAAATCATAACCAGAATGTCGGGGGATATCAGTAAGGGTACCAATATGCTTCCTCAAAATATTCTTGAAATAACACCAAGGTGACAGAATGCTCAAGTGCACGAACTCTGGTTGTGAATCAATGTGGGGGTAATTCTTATGCTGTTATTCACAATTTTGTGAGGCTACCATCTCTGAAATTAGGAACATTTGCCTAACAGCTGATGCAGATGTCTATGACAATAAAGAAGAATTAAGTCAATGGCTACGACTGCTGAAAAGAATGAGAAGCCAGAGAAGCATTCATGTCAGAAGACAAACACTTTAAACTACTATTAGCATTTACCGGGATTTCATACATTTGACTATTTCCAAAGGGAGAAGAAACCTTGAAAACAGTCTATTCTGAAGTCAGCTAGGAAACTAAACTCTAGAAATTCATATTTGTTTCTTCTACCTTACAACTGTATGGGAAATTTTCACACTGTATTTCACTTTAATTCTGATAACCAGAAGAACCTAGTGATGTGATAAAATAAACAACACTGTCCCTGTATTACAGCTGAGAAAACTGAAGCATGCCCAAGGTCACACAATTTACAAGTGGTAGTTGCCTTTTAGTTTATCTTTGAACAAACATTTTAAATGTCTCCTCCTCTGAGAAATTTTCAAATTATTACCCAGTCCAAAGCATTCTCCTTTCTGCTTTCCCACAATACTTGCAAAAATACCACTCTCAAATACTTCCAAAAACACAAAACAGACAATGAGACATTAAGCGATCTGCACAAGGACGTACTGGTGGAGCTTTGAGTCTGACTTCAGAGATTATGCAATTAACCACTCAACTATTTCCCGAAATGATCACTAACCAAGTATGATCTTTTCTGCTATAACTCCTTTGCATAAAGTGAATTAGTTCATATAAGCTTAGTAAATGGGGTATGATGTTAATATAACTCAGATTATATATAACTATTTTTCCCACACTTTTTGGCCGTGTATGTCCAGCTTAACACGAAGTTCACTGACACAAGCCAATGCAGTGAACTGCACGGGACTGCTGCACTGTTCATGGCGCTCATTCATGCCACTCTGTTGCTACTTCAATTTGGTCACTTACTATGTCCTGGTAGGGCTTTTTGCATAGCACTTCCTCATTTTTTGTGTACTTTGTCCTAATCTTCGGCAGTCTATCAGCCTCAAACCTTCAATGCATCCCTTTCCATCAGCAACCACCACCTTTAAAGATAAAATCCTATATTTACTGTAATATTTCTTTACTTATTAGGACTCTGACATGTTTTTTAACTAACTGTTTTTAACTAACTGTTTTACTAGACTGCTATTGCTTTTATTAGTGATCTGGATATAATGCTGTATAGATTTTGAGTGATTTGTGCAACTCCATTTTTCCCAGACCTTTAATTTCTAGTATATGATGGTTACAACCACAAGATTTCTCAGAAATGTATCACAATTATAGCAAAAACAATTGTATAAAAATGTTTTTGAACCAATATCAATATTTACTATATATTCCTTTAGAGCCAGTCAGATCTTTCAAGTTTTTCTGCAGAATAAAATTGCTTCCATCAAAAACGCTGGGCATCTAACACAATAGAACAGTTATTCATTCCCTACTCTTTTCAGTGCCTTCTATGCAAGCCGAAAGTCAGGAGTTCCTCAGAAGGTTAGAAGAGAAATGCATAAACATGCTATGACTGGCTCCTAAACTTGACCAGGCATCACCCACCCACTTGTGTAACTTAAAGAAAATACAGGTTCCCCTGCCCTCACACAGACCTCCTGGATTTCCAGAGACTGATTCCAGAATCTACATTTGAAAACTTCCACAGTTGATTGTGTTTAATGATCAGGCATTTACATAAGAAAGAAAAATGCATAAAAATTAAGCCCCAAAAATATGCTTTTACTTTCTGCAATGACAAATAATTCAAGTGAAAGAAATATCATTCCTAAATGTAAAGTACTAAAATTGGCCAGGTGTGGTGGCTCACACCTGTAATCCCAGCACTTTGGGAGGATGAGGTGGGAAGATCACTTGAGTCCAGGAGTTTAAGACCAGCCTAGGCAACATAGTGAGACTTGGTCTCCACAAAAAATATAAAATTAGGCAGGCATGCCTGGTGCATGCCTGCAGTCCCAGCTACTTGGGGGACTGAGGTGGAAGGATTGCTTGTGCCTGGAAGGTCAAAGCTGAAGTGAGCTATGATCACACCACTGCACTCCAGCCTGGGTGACAGAGCAAGACCCTGTCTCAAAATATGAAAAAAGAAAATAAAAGTACTGAAATCGTATAAATGCCCATTTTTAATCATGTATCTCAGAATGATCAATTCAAATATGGAAGGTCTGTTCATTAGCCATATATGATTAATAAGAGGCTTGAATGAGTGGAAATAAAAATGTAACTATCAACTGTATTTTCCAACTAGTTGCCTAATATGAAAATAAGGCTCTCACTGTGGGAAACAAGCAAAAATATTGGTGTTTGTGATATATGCACATACAGAAAGTTTTATTTCAGCTCTGTCAATCTGAAAGATGGCAAGTCACAATCATCTTTTGACTTTTTTATTCTGGAATTCTTCAGTCTGCTGGAGCAAATTATTCTTATTTAAGCCGTACCAATATCACTATACTAACTATACTGCTTAATTTACCTCAACATAATTTATGTTTTTCCCAGTAATATTTCCTAAATACTTATATGAATCTACCACAGTTGGCAGAATGTTATTGCTCCAATAGTACATAGTCTAGTACAATTGTAATGTTTTAGATGGCAATTAGAGCAAGTTACACTACATAAATGAAATGGTCTGCAAAACTTCATAGCATAACTTGTTGTGTACTTAAATATTTGTGATCCAATTTGATCATTAAACATTGTATGCATGTATCAAAATATCACATGTACCCCATAAACATGTACAACTATTATGTATCCAAAATAAGTTTTTTTTTAAATTGTGATCCAGAATTCTTACAAGACAACAAAATTTTAATGTAGGTGCAAAAAAAAAAAAGCTCAATTTTCATATAAATAAACAAACCTTATTTGGGCTACCAAACATGATTAATTTGAGTCTCAAATTATATGTGTATCTGGCCTTTGCCTTGTTGTCCCAAGAATATATATACTTTATTATTCTCCAAACCACAAAAACTTATCTTTCATAATATTATATTTCAAATAAAATATAGTATAAGACATATGCATTTCCATTTGTCTAGCCTCATACTTTTGTATTCACTTCGTAGTTCCGCTATCTGAAATTTAAATGATATAAACTAAGATACAGCGTAATCAAGAGATGTCCCCAAGTCACTAACAGGCTGCAATGTTCAATGAAACTCACCTTTCACCGAAAATGGACAAAATCACTGCTTCCTGAGTTAAACCAGAAAAATACTCAGGAGGTATTTTAACTGACACAAGGAACATAGCTTGCCACCTATAGTAGTTACATTTTAATCTTCCATTTGTCAGAACTACTTGCCAAAGGCAACTGACAGCCGGTAATAATATGAGATTCCCTGCAACTGGCAGCAGGTGCGTAACAGTAATGGAGAAAAGTCACTGATACATGAGTCCAAGATGTCATCACAGTACCCTTATAAGGTACTGCAGGACATGTTAAAAATAGTGTGGCCAATCTCAATTACAGTAAATGAATGCTATCTTATTAATATTATATGATAATATTAAATGATGTTAGTAACATTTAATGTAATATAAATAGACAAAACTGAAAATGTCAGCTTCCCTTATCTTGAATTTTGATGTAGATAACATTTTTAATAGTGCAACATTTTCATAATGCTACATAAGCCATTTTAAAACACTTCAAATAGACACAGTGCTCTGTGACAGCCAAAATGACAAATCATACGAAGACACTACAGGGATAATAAATTGAGGCATTAAATGAGGTCAGGAAGAGACAGGAAAGGAGAATAAATAGTTTTGTAGGGCGAAAAGTCAGTGTTTTAAATAATTTTTAATAAAAATTATAAAAAATCCTGCAGGTAAGAATGTTTGTTTTGTTTTCTTATACCTCAAGTAGTAATTTTTAAAAGAGAATTGCAGACCCCTCCGGAAAACCCGTAACTCCAGTCTAACCATGAGAAAAAAAAAATCAGACAAACCAAGACTGGGGGACATTCTACACAATAACTGACCAGTACTAGTCAAAATCGTAAAGTTCATCAAAATCAAGGAAAGTCTGAGAAACTGTCACAACAAAAAGAAGCCTATGGAGAAATGATGATTCAAGGTAATGGCATCCCAGATGAAATCCTGGAATAGAAGAAAAAAGTATGAAGAAACTAAAGAAATTCAAATGAAGTATAGACTTCAGTTAACAATAATATATCCATATTGGTTCTTTACGTAAGATGAACGTACCACACTAATGTAAGATGTTAACAGTAGGGGAAATTGGATATGAGGTCAACGAGAAGTCTCTGTTCTATATCTGCAACTTTTCCATAAATCTAAAATTATTCTAAAATAAAAATGTTTTTTAATTGCTATTTTAAGTGACAGAAAACATAACTAGAACTGGCTTGAATGAAAATAAATTTATTGATTCATATAATGGAAACTATCTAAGGGGTGGTCTCACTTTCAGCACAGAGAGATTGAGGGGATTCAAAGGGCTTCCAGGAAGGTGTCTCTCCTTTGTTGCCTTCACTCTGCTCTCCAGAGGTGGACTACAGTCTTAAGTTCCATGTAGAGACAATATTGCCACAACATTTGCTTTGAAGATGCAAATTTGTTTCAAATTGATACATGAGGGAACAATGTGAACACAGCATGAATTCAGCATTTGCTTACGCGTGACTTCATCTGACAAGAGCACTAGGTACGGTCAGCAAACTTTTTCTGTAAAGGGCCAGATAATAAATAGTTTAGGCTTTGTGGACCACATGGTCTCTATCACAGCTGCTCAACTCCATCTTCGTAGAAGGACAGCAGCCACAGACAATAGCAAATGCATGGGCATGGCTGTTTTTCAATAAAACTTTATTGACCAAAACAAGCAGGACAGTTTGTCCATCACTAAACCAAGTGAATTAAGAAAACTGCATGCAGCTGACCCCAGCCGCTTAGGAACACTCAAAATGGATATACCTCACAAGACAATGAGCCACATCCTCTACTCAGGTGTTAACAACTTTCTCTCCTCTTTCTGAGCAGCCTCCTTCCATCACTTCACAGTAACTCACGTGCTGCTATTCTTACAACCACAGGGTGACCACAACCCCCAGCCCTCATCTCTCTTTAATTTTACCCTTTCTTAAACCTAGGGTTAAGGTTTCCTTATGATTTGGTTAGGATTAGGGTTTTGGTGCCTCAGTTTAGCAATAACAGTTCCTTTCCTCATAAGGTAATTGTCAGAACTAAATGAGTTCATGTATGTGCTAGAACACATCCTAGCACTCAGGGCATTCTATATGTATTAATTTCTGCTTTGATCATGGTATTAGTTTCCAATTGCTGTTGTAACAAGTCACTCCAAATTCAATGACTTAAAACAACAGAAATGTATTCTCTTACAATTCTGAAGGTCAGAAGTCCAAAATCAGTCTCAGTGGGCTAACATCAAGGTTTCAGCAGGGCTGGTTCCTTCTGGAGAGGGGAGAATCTATTTCCTTGCCTTTTTCAGTTTCTAAAGGCCATTTACATTCCTTGGCTCATGACCCCTCCCTCACATCACTCCAACTTCTTGCTTCTGTTATTACATCTACTACTCAGCCTGACTCTCCTGTCTCTCTGAGAATCCGTGTGATTACCTTGGGCTCACCCAGATAATCCAGGATAATCTCCCTATCTCAAAATCATTAGCTTAATCACATCTGCAAAGTCCCTTTTGCCATGTGTGGCAAACCGATATGGCTCCCAAAAATACCTCCATGTCCTAATCCCTATAAGTTATAAATGCTACCTTATTTGAAAAAAGAGTCTTTGCAGACTTGAATAAATGAAGAATTTTGAGATGAGAAGATAATCCTGGATTATGCAGGCAGTCTCTAAATGCTCGTTAGAGAGAGGCAGAGGGGGTCTGGACACAGAGGAGAAAAGAGCGATGTGAAAACAGAGGCAGAAATTGGAACGACAGGAATGTCAGCAGCTACCAGAAACAAGAAAAGGCAAGGAAAGAATTCTCACCTAGAGCCTCTGGAGCGAGCACAACCCTGCCCACACCTTATTTCAGACTTCTGGTCTCCAAAACCAGAAGAGTAAGTTTCTACTCTTATAGCCGCCAAGTCTGTGGTAATTTGTTGCAGCAGCAACAAACACACCATGCAGAGTAACATACAGGTTCCAGGGATTCGGATGCGGACATATTTGACAGGCCACTATTCAGACTACCAGTCTTTATTCAAATCCTCCTCTGTTCTCTTTGAAAAATATATTTTGATATTCTTTTTCTCTCTCCTTGAGTTACATGGGTAATTCATTTATTCTAATTCTTTATTAATATGTATATTTAAGGCCGGTGGCAGTGGCTCACTCCTGTAATCCCAGCACTTTGGGAGGCCCAGGCAGGTGTATTACTTGAGGTTAGGAGTTCGAGATCAGCCTGGTGAAATCCTGACCTTCCTAAAAATACAAAAATTAGCCCAGCATGGTGGCTGGTGCCTGTAATCCCAGCTACTTGGGAGTAAGGCAGGAAAATCGCTTGAACCCAGGAGGCAGAGGCTGCAGTGAGCCAAGATTGCGCCACTGCACTCCAGCCTGGGCGACAGAGTGAGACTGTCTTTAAAAAAAAAAAAAAAAAAAAAAAAGACAATCTTTCAGATTTTAGCTGAGTCCCCATAGGTTCTAATACATTTTATCATCATTTTCTACAATTTTTAAATTCTTCAACTCAAAAATTTATTTAAAGATTCTTAATTGCCCAGTGATAGTGATTTGTTTTTATAAGTTTTTTTCTAAAATTATTAATTTCTACTTTTATTCCACCTCAACTATTTCTATTTTGGGAAATTTACTGAAGTTTTTTTTTCTAAATGGCCCAATATATAATCAGTTTTTGTAATGTTCCAAGAGAACTTGAAAATAAGGTGTGCTCTGTTTATTGAGCATAAAGTTAAATATATTTTAACTAAATATACCTCACATTAATCAGGTTGTTCTAAATCTTTACTTAATTTTTGGCTACTGCTTTGTCCAATAATTTATTTTTCCTTATTTTTTATAGTTTTGACTTTATGTTTGTTAATGCTATGTTATTTGGAGCATGAATAATCAGTGTGCACTCTTTATTACTGTAAACCTCCTTCTTTGCCTCTTTAAATCTTTTCTGCTCTAAATTCACCCTGTCTGATATCAAAACCTGTATGTCCCCCTTTCTTGTTAGCTATTGTTATAAGTAATCCAGAAACCTGTGGTCTATGCTCTGAAAACTAAGCTGCCACCACAGTAACACAAACCATATATAAGGTTAATGAAGAAACTGATACACAACAGTAGTGCAAGATAGGTCACCCTGGGGCCATGTCATGCCAAGGGGTATGCCTTGCCAAAATCTAACACTGCCTAAGTGGTAGGAAGATGTTAAATCCCAGGCAGTATTTATTTTTTAAAAGTTCAGTATAAAAGATATCTCTCTTCTATGAGCATTTTCTAGAGCTAACTTTTATAACCATGTATATATATACTCTGTAATTTATATATCATGAATCACAGAACTGCCTGAGATGTCTTTATACCTCCTCTAGAAAAATATACTCAAAGTAAAAAGCTCAGTACTGTCTATTCTCCATTTCTGATTTCTGAAGATTTTTATTTAAGAAATGACTAAGAAAACAAGTTTTGAAATACTCCTCAAGGATTATTCTAATTTTTGAAATAAATACACCAGTCAAAGAAATAGACATATACACGTCACTGAAGTCAGCTTTGCAAAATAGTTAAAAGCACTAGCTTGGTAGTGAGTTTAAACCTAAGTTCAAATCCCAAACGTGGTGATTACTGTGGGACCCTGGGCAGGCTACTTAACATAGGCCTCAATTTTCTTACCTGCAAAATTGGACTAATAGGAACAAACTGAGAAGGACACTGGGAGAATTAAGCGTGACAATGTACACAATGGACTTAACACAGTACCAACTACACAGTGCTTGTAAGTTGCTCTTGTCACTGTGCAGACTCAGGTAAAACATCAAAACCAACTGTGATATCTACTTTTAAAATCTGTTGACACTTAAGTCATTAGCTTTATGCAAATTCAAAACCTTTTAAATATCATTTCATGACTTTAAATATACTGTGAAATATTAAATACGTTAAATAATATCTGTTTATTATAAAGCTGATCCTGAGAACATAAGACAAACTTATCGATAGTAGCCCACTGCTAATGAAGTGCAAACTTCCTCAAATGATAAACATGCCCTGGTCCTTCTATACTTAACATTGTTTCTTCTGTCAGTCATAGGAACTGTTTATAACTCTCCACGTTTATCAAGCTGTTTCAAGTTCTTTAGAGAGATGGTTCCCTACACCTTCAATGCATTCCATCTCCCACTGCAGCTAATCTCACACACACACACACACAAAGCCCCCTACACAAAATCCTACTTGTCCTAAATTAGCTCAAGTGTCATCTCCTTTAAGAACCCTTCCCTGATCTCCTCAGATATAAATTGATATTAATATAAATGGCAATGTCAGAACTATAAAAGGAGGCAGGAGAGATGAGACAGAAAAGGGACAGAATACATACCAAAGGAAGACAGAACGGGGGAAAGGAGCCTGAGTAAAATATTTTCCAAATGAAAGCGTCTGACGCACTGGAGAACTTCCACCCAGTGCTGAATGTAAAAAACAACAACAACAACAAAACTATTCAGGATGACAATGCCTAGCCAATGAAAAAGTAAAACCTTATAGTAACACAAGGTGGATACTGCAGGTTAGATTCTCCAGGAAGCAGACTCTGACACATTTGTCAAGTAGAATGTTAATGAGGGAGTGCGGGTGAGAAGAACATCTGTTGTAAGGAGGAGAAGAAACAGGAATTGAGCAAAGAAAGAAGTTGAACAGATGAACTTCACTGCAGACCCAATGAGAGCCACGGCCAACCCTTCAGGGAGCACTAAAGTCAGCATGGCCCTTCAGAATTGAGAAAGGGCAAGAGAGACAGCCACCCTACATCAACCAGCCATTGGGCCACATTGGGATGAGGTGCTGCATTCAATTAGATTTCAACCTCAGATTATGATCTTGAGAACCTGATCGCTGACTTTTTAGAATTCTTCTCCCATTTGGGGCATTATTTCAAATAGAAATACCTTTATTTTGAAAGGTGTGCTTTTTTCCTATCAGGAAATAAATACAAATTTCAGTTGCAAGTACCTAGGACTATATATACAAAAATCATTCTCTCATTCTTTATCCATGCTATTGAGATAGTTGTAATTATCAATGATAAAAATGGTTATGAATTTACAAAGCATATCTTTTCCTTCCATTCTGTTTTACTGAGTTCAAGCTGAGACACCTTTTTGGTAACTTTTCTAGTATTCCTATCCTCACAAATGATAAACGAGAAAATTTAAACTAATGTTTTGGCTGTTTCTGAGATCTGTCATGCAATTTATGCTTCACATAAGCAGCACACAAGAGTAGAGAACTAAAGTCTTGCAAACCAGCAAAAATCACACTGTCTGGCAATCTCTCAGACTAGCTGGTCATAGTCTCTATTTTTCTGGCCCAGAAATATTTCTACAGTAATTTTTCAAACTTTTCTCATTTTTTATAATTTCAGTAACATTAGCATACTATGCATAAAGATAAGCACTTAAGACTTCTTGCCTGACGCTTTCACAAGAGCACTTTTTCTGCCACACAATTGTCTCCCAGAGTGAAAAAAGTAGAGACATGCTCCTACTTACAAACAAAAATAACATCTGGAGGTTATTAATATTCACATTAACTACACACATACACACACACACACACAATGTTCATTCTCAATCCCACATAATTAGTCTGCCAGGCTTCAAGCAGAATAATCCATAACCATCTTGACATGAAAAAATAAAACCTGGCCATACAGTTTTCAAACACATTTCTCTACCCTAAAGCTCAAGGACAAAAAGTGAGAAGAAATTCTACTTTGGGCAAATGAGGTTCCTGAAACTATAGCACTTGCATAAATTACTTTAGAAAACTAGATCAGACAGACCAGATCACTTAACAATGAATATGTTTTCCCTATATCTGAAACATTCTCCAGAATGGATCAACTTTTTTTAAACCAGAATATCATTAACTGAGATAATGTAGCTTAAATCCCTTCAGTATGTTTATTCACCATTTGGAGTGTCCAGGAGCACAGAGAATGTGGGAGGAAAAAAAGATAAATCAACACAGTTAAATTTTAAGGCAAAAGGAAGGGTCTGTATACGGCACAGAACTAAGAATTTTTCTAAGTGTGACTGATACTAACAATGAAAATCCGTGAATAAACTTTGGAAGCAAGGGGGAATGGAAAAATACATATATTTTAGCTTTAATGCATCAGTACAACAGAAAACAAAAGGTCACTCAAAAACTGTCCAAAACCTAAGTAGAGTACATATTCCCCAAGTACAGGAGAATACATAAATTTTTACTTGCCATGGTCAAGTTTTCTCAACATGAGAAGATACAGATTCCTCAATAAACACATACCCTCTGATTAGAATCCAGTTTGGTTTGATGCAGTGGATTGTGAACCATCTGCATCACAATGACCTGCAAAGCAATTAAAAATGCAGGTTTCTAGGCTCCACTCTAGAACTAGTAAACTAGTTAAGACTCAGAAAGCCGCACTGTTTAAGAACTTGTAGGTGATTCTCTTACATTAAAGCCTAGTAACTGTTTTTGTGTAGACTCTGTAATGGTAACATATTTGCTCCAAGTTATATTTTATTCATTTTTACAACTATTTTACAGGTTAAACTCAATTCAATGGCACAACAGTTCTGAAGTCTAACTACACATTACAATTCCCTAAGGAGCCTTTAAAACATACCAAAACCTGAATCTCACCAACTACACCAGATTCTCTAGGGATAAAGAGAGGGTATCATTATTTATTAAAAGCTCCCTTGGTGATTCTAATGTGAAGCGATGTTTCAAATACAGCTCAGAAGATGCTATATATTCTAACTAGGAAAAAAAAAAGTCTACAGAAAAAAATGAAAGAAATAATGTCTGGAAGCTGAGGACACCGATATTTTCAGACACATAATTTTCCCAGTATGATATAAAGAAAACTGGAAAATGATACTGCCCGCAAAAATAAAATCTATGCGAAGCCATGAAGTCTTATTTTAAGGAGGCAAAGTTTCTAGCAAAGACAATAATAAGATAACCACCATATCCATTTTAATTGAATAGAACTTTTAATGTCAATTAAACATCACAAACTTCTATTTATTAATGAATAAGAACAAATTTAAAAGAAATCAGACAATGAACTAGACTTCTAAAGGAAGGGGTGGGCTGAAATATGCATTTTAATTTTGCTCCCTCCTAAAACCCCATTACAATCGAAACAAGCTTTGTAATTGTCATTACTGTGTGTGTGTGTGTGTGTGTGTGTGTGTGTGTGTGTGTGTGTGTGTGTGTGTGTTTATGGTAAAAATTCATAGGCAGCAGAGATGAGTGGAACCAATCCCAGTCCTGAGCTGCGCCCCAGAAACTCCAGGGCTCTCTGCACCCATCCTGCAATGGTGAATACTGAAGAAATGAGGAAGAGTACAAGCAGTAGAGGACAAACAGGCTTTCCGGAGGAGAGCCTCAACCTAAAGCTGAGGCCAATAGTGGGCAAGGGCAGGAGGTCCAGGCTGCTGTGGGCTATGATCACACCCCTGCACCCTAGTCTGGATGACAGAAGAAGATCTTGCCTCTAAAAAAAATTTTTTTAAATAGTAGGCAATGGGACCCTATGCTCCAACCCTCTTCTTTCTTTCTGCTCCTCCTGGACGTACCCACAGTATGTTACTTGTGGACACTCGAATCTTCTCTTTCCTTCCAAGACCTCACTGAGTCACTGGCCCTCTTTACTCAGGGACATTGTGAATATGCAGGACCCAAAGAATCCTGCAGATAGGCACTGTGGGACCAATTACTTCTGAAATATTGACAACTATAGCTACTATTGGAGTTTACTGAGCAACAGGATGAAGAAACAGCAGCATCTGAAGCATTCATTTACCTTCAGCATTGATCAAATATTTTAAGCAGTACTGGTCTCTTTTGCTACTCTAAAGCATATTCCCTCATCAAGAAGAAACGTGACAAGTGAACCTAAGAGTTACAGAACCCTCAAAGAGACCAAGTGATAATTAACTTGGTCCAGTTTTACCAGCAAGTATATGAAAGCTGGTATCTTAGTGTTTTTTCTTCAGTGTCCAAGTTCAGACAGGTTAAGCAATAGGTTCAGACAGGTTAAGCAACTTTCCCAAGGACACAACGCTACTAAGTAAAAAAGCCGGAGAACTTCAACCTTGATGTTTTAATTGCCAAAAGCTATGCCCTGCTACACTACAAGACACAGGAAGTTTTCTCAAATTTTAAGTAGAATTACACCCTAATTAAGTGTAAAAATAATTCACAGGAAATAAATTTCTGCATGGTCCAGAAAGGTTATATCCAGGGAATAAACTGATATAGCAAAAGGGAGAAGAGAAAGATAGTTACCCTCGTTTCCAAGAGTTTAAACAGAAATACACCTGGGAAAACCTGTTGTCACTGTTCTCATTCACAACCTACTTTTTAGTACTCTTTAAGTGCAACCTCTCTGGTAACTGATTTTATGCAAAATTTTTCCTGTAAATCTGTTCATCCTGCAGCAATCTAATAGTGCAATACTTCTTGTTTGCAAACTTTTAATGTAAAAAGATATCACATGGGGATCTTACTAAAATGCAGATTCTGACTGAGTATGGCTGGAGTCGGGAGATGCTGTATTCTGGGGGTAGAAAAAGGATATTGCAGTATCCCCTTGACTAGCAAGGATCTAGTGCAGTGCTGTGTCATACTATAGAAATAATGCAAGTGGTATATATTGTTTTAAATTTCTTAGTAGCTACTTTAATAAAACTTTTTTAAAAGGTAAACTTAATTGTTGTAATATATTTTGTCTAACTCAATACATCCAAATCATTATCAGTTCAATGTGTAATCAATATTCTAAAATTAATGAGATTTTACATTCTTTCTTCATACTAAGTCTTTGAACACAGCTTGAATTTTCCACTTACAGTACACATTTTAATTCAGAATAGCAACATCCCAAGGGCTCAATAACCACATATGGCTAGTGGCTTCCTTACTGAACAAATATAAGTAGACTGAATTTTAGCTACTCTGTACCTCTAGCTTGCTTGGAATGTTTAAACAGTTCAAAATTTATCATTAGCCAACTACATAAAGCTTAGCTGTGGTACCAGTGGAATTGAAGAGTGCTTTTATTTGTTTCTTACATTTTCCTTTTGTCCTGACAATTCATGACTGAGTGCTGCAGCACAGGACGGATATAATAGGCAGTGAAATAGACTCTAGGGAGGGGTGGCAGAAGGCTGGGTGATGGCAGGAATGGTAGTGGGAAAACAGAAAGTTAGTGTATTTTCAAGATATAATCTTGGCATAGTTTAGGAGAAAAATGTGGAAAAGATGTTTGCTTACTTTTATGAATACAGATGTTTTCACTAACCTTTTAAAAATCTAAAATAAAGATCTGGTTTAGATACCAATTTAAATACCAAATATTCATTTTTAAAAAACAGCTAAAGAAGTAAAAGACAGCTGATCCACAGCAAAACAAAAAGTAAATTCAATACTCCTGTCAGAGAGAGCCAAAGAGATTTCTACATGCCAGGATTTCCCAAAGAACATTAAGCAATTAAGATGAATAATGTCTATGATACTCACCAGAAACAAAGTTTCAGCCAAAGAAAGAATCCACTAGACATCTGCCCAGATAAGATACTTAAATCACATTTTGGGACTACTTGAAGTAAATATGAAGAAGCAGTACCAGAAACGTCAGGGTGGAAATAAAAAGATACCAACTCAATTCACTTGTTGGCTTTCTTCTTGAGTACAAGTGAAGAGCTGATAGGCTCCATGGTGATGACGAAATAATGAAATAAAAACCAAGAAACAGCTGATCTAAGTGCACTGTTGTCCATTAACTGAGGTTTTGCATTCAGACAGGAAAGCAGTAAAGACAACAGATGTCAGCACCAATGTCCTATGCACTACACCATCCACATTCTGTCATGGTTGCAGAATTCTCAGAATTGGGCTGGAATATATGGCAAGAGATTCAAATTTCAGAAGGCTTGTAGGATCTAAATCCAGATTGTAAAATATCTAAAACAGAATGGTCATGTATTAAAATCTTGGTAGTTCAAACCAATGACAGTGAAGGAAAGGAACCTACATTTATTGAGGTTTAAGTAACAGCCATAAGAATTACATCAGTGAAAACAGTAGAGTGAGTACCTCTGAAAATTCTCTCCTTAACTTTTTCAAAATTCTGGAAATTAACTAAAAGCTTGCAGCAATCCATGGAACATTTTTTCAAGAAAAACAGCTGAATCTCCGTAAGAACAGCAAATTTAATGGTATTTCAACTTACCCTATTCCTTCCCTCTGATCTGCAGCTCCACAGTCACCATGAAAACCAGCAACACATAATACCACTGAAAGCCAGGAGCCTGGCAGCCACCAACGGATTTTAAGTGCCTTCAAAGCCTCATTCCCAGAGAACTGTCATTATATCAACCTATCCGGTGACATCCTCAAACACGCTACTTGGACTGTCTTTATTTGACCTGACTCACAGCTTGGCTAGAGCAAAAAAAAAAAAAAAAAAAAAAAATCTCTTCCCCACAAGCATTTGCCTAAAATATTTAGAGGGCCAGGTGGGGTGGCTCATGCCTGTTATCCCAACACTCTAGGAGGCTGAACCAGGAGAATCATTTAAGGTCAGGGGTTTGAGACCAGCCTGGACAACATAGCAAGACTCTATCTCTATAAAAAATTAAATATTAGCCAGGTATGATGGTGCATACGTGTAGTCCCAGCTACTTGAGAGGCTGACACAGGAGGATACCTTCAAAGAGTTTAAGGCTGCAGTGAGCTATGATCATGCCACTGCACTCCAACCTGAGTGAAGGGTGAGAGCCTGTTTTGCAAAGAAAAAAAGTATTTTGAGGCAATTATTTAATGTTGTGGCTGCCTGAAATGGTAGAAAGCAGTAGGACAAAGATAAATACACTAATGAAAAAGCTTAAAAGAAAAAACTGAGAAGTAAGATGCCCATGGAGACTTTGAAAAGTTTAGACATATTCCTGAAAATCTCAAAGTCTATTCACATGTACAGGGCTGTGTGTATGCTCAGAACTGTGTACATGCTCAAAGAAGTCCGGACAAGACTGACTCAGAGGCTCTGTGCAAGAAGGAAGTGATGGCTAAGCAAAGTTATCAAATGTCTGGATGACTGTTAAAGGAGTGTACCAACACACACAAAGAGCCTCTCAGCAAAAACTGGGAAAATGACTGGTCCCAGGAGTTTAAGGAAATCTGTACAATCACTAGCTGACCACAAAGCCATTTGAACAGACTTCTGTGGCCATGCACAGAGAATACAAACTTTACAGATTACAGAAAAGTCACCTAACAAATAAAAAACAACAAACAGCAACAATAAGGATCCTGGAGCCAAATATGATTTTCAAAGTTGCCACCCCACTATATTATATAAAATGTCCAGTCTTCAACAACAACAACAAAATTACAAGACACGCCAAGAAATAAAATAGTATGGCCTATACATAGAGGGAAAAACAATCAATAGAAACTGACCTTAAGGAAACCCAGATGTTGGCTGTATTAGACAAATATTTTAAATCAATTATCTTAAATACGTTCAAAGAACTAAAGGAAACTGTGCAAAGAAAGTATGAGAATGATGCTTCACCAAATAGAGAATATTTTTAAAAAGCTATAAGAACCAAACGGAAATTCAGGATTGAAAAGTACAATTACTGAAATGAAAAATTCACTAGAAGGGCTCAACAGCAAATCTGAGAAAATGGAAGAAAAATTCTTCAAATATGAAGATAGGTCAATTGAGATTATCTAATTCTTCAAATATGAAGATAGGTCAATTGAGATTATCTAATCCAAAAACAGAAAGAAAACAAAATGAAGATAAAGGACCAATGCCTAGAGAACTGTAGGACACCATCAAGCACACTTGCATACATACAGTGAGAGGGGAGGAGAGAAAGGAACAGAAGGACTATTTAAAGAAATCATGGCCAAAACCTTTACAACTTTGATGAAAAGCATTAAAATCTGTATATCCAAAACAAACTCCAAGTAGGATAAACTCAAAAAGATCCACACCTACATACCATAATCAAACTATCCAAAGACAAAGCAGCAAGAAAAAAGTGACACATCACATACAAGGGATCCTCCATAAGATTAACAGCTGGTTTCTGATCAGAAATCATGGAGGCCAGAAGGCAGTAGAATTACGTATTCAAAGTGCTGAAAGAAAAATGACTGTCAATCAAGACTTGTGAAACAATGTCATTTTCCCCCTTTCTTCCCTCCATTATGGCATTCTTTTCTGTTAAATATTTTCCAGTACAAAAAAGGGAAAAAAGAAATTGTTAACAAGACACATAAAAAACTAACAGCAAAATGGAAGAAGTAAATCCTATCTTATCAGTCATTACGTTAAATGTACATGGATAAATATTCCAATTAAACATTCCATTGACAGAATGGTTAAAAAAGAAAAAAACATGATCCAAGTATATGTTTCTACAAGAGACACACAACACACTATATCCACCAAATATGATGAAATTAAGACATTCTCAGATAAACAGAGACTAAGAGAATTTGTAGTTAGAAAATCTGCCCCACAAGAAATAATAAAGGGAGTCCTTCAGACTGAAATAAAAGAACACTAGATTAACTCAAATGCAGATGAAGAAATAAAAAGCACAGGTAAAGCTAACTACATAGGTAAGTATGAATGACAGTATAAATGTATTTTTGCTTATATTTTATTTTTCTTTTCTTCTTCTACCTAATTTAAAAGACTGTTGCACAGAGCAAATCATAAATTTGGTTAACGGGTACATGATGTATAAAGAATAATTTGTATGAAATAACAGTACAAAGGAAGGGGAAGGGAAGGCACTATATGGGAACAAAGTTTTTATATACTATTGAAATTAAGTGAGTATTAATTCAAACTAGAGTGTTATAAATTAAATTTTCAATTGTTAATTATAATCCCCAGGGCAACCACTAACAAAATAACTCAAAAAATATACTAAAATACAAGATAAGGAAATTAAAATTATGCACTGGAAAATATCTAACAAAAAAGAATGCCATAACGGAGGAAAAATGGGAAAAAATTACGTAAGACATAGAAAACAAATGGCAAAATGGCAGAAATAAATCCTATCTTATCAGTAACCACATTAAATGTACAAAGACTAAATATTCCAATTAAACATTACATTGACAGTTTAAAAAAAAAAAAACTGAACTAAACATGATCCAAATATATGCTTTCTACAAGAAACACACTTTAAATATAAAGACATGAATAGGTTGAAAGTGAAAGGATGGAAAAGCTATTTCATGAAAACAATACCAAAAGGAGAGATGAAAATGGCTACACTAACATCTAACAAAATAAGACTTTAAGAAAAAAACTGTTACTAGAGACAAGGGATACTTTAGAATGATAGAGGTAAATTTGTAGCAGACATCCAACAACAGACACCCAAAATACATGAAACAAAACTGACAGATTTCAGAGGACAAATAGACAATGCAACAATAATAGAGACATGTATCCCACTTTCAGTATTGGATAAAATAATTAAATGGTCAACAAGGAATAGAGACCTGAACAGCACTGTAAATCAACCTGACCTAACAGACACCTACAGGGTATTTTACCCAACAACAATAATATATACATTCTTCTCAAGTGCACATGGAACATTTTAGGATAGAACATGTGGTAGGTCATAAAACCAATCTTGATACATTTAAAAGGACTGAAATCACACAAACTACGCTCTCTAAAAACAATGGAACAAAATTAGAGATTAATAACAAGGAGATCTGAGAGATATACAAGTAAGTGGAAATTAAACTCACTCCTAAATAATAGGTCAAAAAAGAATTCAGATGGGAAATAGGAAAATACTTTGAGACAAATGAAAACAAAAACACAATCACCAAAACTAATGAGATGTAATGAAAGCCACACTTAGAGGAAATGTATAGCTGTAAATGCCTGTATTTTAAAAAGTAGAAAGATTTCACATCAATAACCTAAAATTTAAAAACTGGTAAAAGAACAAACTAAATTCAAAGCAAGCAGATAAAAATAGTAAAGGTATCAGAGCAGAAAGAAATGGAGAACAGAAAAAAATAAGAGTAAAATCAACAAAACCAAAAGTTAGTCCTTTTAAAAGGTAACAAAATTGATTCTTCCTTTTAAAAGACAACAAAATTAACTATTTTTAACCCATTTAAAAGATAACAAAATTGGAATACCATGTAGCCATAAAAAGGAAAGAGATCATGTCCTTTGCAGGGACATAGATGGAGCTGGAGGCCATTATCCTCAGCAAACCAACACAGAAACAGAAAATCAAATACCACATGTTCTCACTATTAAGTGGGAGCTGAATGATGACAACACATGGACACAGGGAGAGAAACATCACACACTGGGGCTTGTTGGGGAAGTGGGGGAAGGGAGAGCATCAAGATAAGTAGCTAATGCATGCAGGCTTAATACCTAGGTGATGGGTTGACAGGTGCAGGATACCACCATGGCATACGTTTACCTACATAACAAACCTGCATGTCCTGCACATGTATCCCAGAACTTAAAAGTAAAATTAAATGTAAAAAAAGATAACAAAATTGGCAATAAACTCCATTAAATAATACACGTAATTTTATTAAATAGTCACAACCACCTATGAAGGTACATTTGGCTATGCCCAATTCACATAAGGTTGTGAGTTATTACATCACTTACCCTAGGACGCAGAACAAGGGGAAAAAAGTTAAAATTTAAGCCTTATGTTTTTTACAGAATGCTGTACCACCTGGACAAGTTTCTGGATTTACAAAAATCTAAACTCTGTATTTTAAAGAATACAATTATCTTAACTGAACTTGCTTTTGTCAAATATAGGCTTTTAATTATACTATTCTTTTGGCTTAACTTGGGCATTATTGCAAAACATTAGTCTTCATTAACTTACTAACCTCACATACTTATAAAGTGTGTACTGACAGAAAACCAAAGGGAATTTGTATAAACAGATGCAATTTATTTATAATTAAGGCAGAGGTCACATGTAAATATTTGAAATATTTGAAAAAATATATACAAATTATATTATTTAAATAATTTTCTGGAAGTTATGTTTATATTAATTAGTGAACCTTTGAAAAAACTTTTTCCCCTAATTAAACTTTTTACTACTCGCTCAATTATCAAATGCTACCAATTATCAAAGAGCTAATTCATATCGTTTTTACACTATGTTAAGTCTATACCACCACTATCACCACTACTGTGCAATCCCAATGCTGCCTTAACTGCAAATTTAAGGCTGAAAAGTCTATAGAGCTCTAAGAACACAAAAGGTAGCGTAGTGGAGAGGCTATCGACTAGGCTAGGGGCCACAGGAAAACCACGATATATCTGAATCCCTTAAAATGAATCAATGTTTTTAAAAATCCAATTACTTAAGGATTTTCACTTGCATCACTTTTGGTAGAACAGTCTGAATATTAAGATATATATATGCATAACATTAATATGGCCCAATTCCAAGCAACAATTTTTTTGGGGGTGGGAGGCAGGGTCTCACTCACCCAAGCTGCAGTAGAGTGGCGCGATCCCCTCACTGCAGCCTCAACCTTCTCCGACTCAAGTGATCTGCCCACCTCAGTCTCCCTAGTAGCTGGGACCACAGGCATGCCACCACACCTGGCTAATTTTTGTAATTTTTATAGAGACAAGGTTTTGCCATGTTGCCCAGGCTGGTCTCAAACTCCTGGGCACAAGCGATCTGCCTGTCTCGGCCTCCCAAAGTGCTGATTACAAGCACGAACCATTGTGCGCAGCCTTAATATATTTTTAAGCTGCTAAATGAAAAACGAAGTTATATGCTACTGAAGAATTGGGACATTGGGTGGCACTCTTGTAAAAGAAATAATTACTGTAACATACAGGTTGAGAAAAACCTAAAGTTTAACATTATACTGCTTGGCCAATCCAAATTATTTAATAAAATCTACTTTAAAAGAAATTACTTGTTTCCCAAATCCACCATCCATGTCTTTGAGGAAATGTTTCAGATGTTATTGAAAAAAGTAGTTGTTTTTGGACGTGGATAAAAGTCAGGAAGCATTTGTCTTTCCTCTCCCTAATCTCTCTCATTTGAGTTTACAGTGAGAATACAAGCAGAAACATACAATGATGCAATTATATTCCATAACATATTTACTGTTTTATTCTACTTACTTTTTTAAAATTTGGTTATAAAATATCTCACAATATTTTGTTAAATATGGAAAAAGCAAACAAGTTTAGTATAGGCATTGTGTCTTCTCCAAGCTATATTAGTGACATCAAATTAAACTAGAATATATTTTTAAAATATTATTTCTCATGTATAATATTTCACAATAAGTATGTGCCTGAGAGTAAAACTTTTTAAAATATCTTTGAGCTAAATTATTTCAACAGGAACCATATCAAACATCATACATCAAATCAATAACTGGTTAACTTGTAAAATATAAAAATCCATAAAAAAGAGCCCAAAATTTAATATATTATCCAATACCATAAAGTAATCATTTTGGCCAGGCACGGTGGCTCACACCTGTCATCTCATCACTTTGGGAGGCCAAGGTGGGCGGATCACTTGAGGTCAGGAGTTCGAGACCAGCCTGGCCAACATGGTGAAACCCCATCTCTACTAAAAATACAAAAATTAGCCGGCCATGGTGGTGGGTGCCTGTAATCCCAGCTACTCGGGAGGCTGAGCAGGAGAATCGCTTGAACCTGGATAGCAGAGGCTGCTGTGAGCCCAGACCACACCAGTGCACTCCAGCCTGGGCAACAGAGTAAGACGCCATCTCAAAAAGTAGAAAATTTAAATTTAAAAAGTAATTTTTCATTTTTACATAGCACATACTTTGTGTTTCTTGTGCAAATATTTACTGTTTGTTATTGTTACGGTTTTCTATTGAGACATCCTGCCCTATTTTTGACAGCTATTAAACATGTGGCTAATAATTTTGTTTTCTGATTACAGATGAAATCTCAGTACAGACGCACTTTTTTGTTAAATACACTAACAAGGAAGTTAGTGTATTTCCAAAGAAAATGCAAAATGCTTGGAATATCTTCAACATTCTCAAATGTAAGTATGATGTGTGACCGGCAAACAAATTATATACAACTTTAAATTTTTAAAAAACCTAGGGAAGTCCTGGTTCCAGTAACAGTGGAGTAGCTTGTATTTCTCCAACAAATTCTAGTTCTTCAATGGATTCTAGCTCTCCGACATCTTACAAAAACTGTCAACTGTGGACAAAACATTACACAACCACTTAAGAAAATCAGAGGCCAACTATAAAAGTAGTACACCTAATGGGATACTGTATAAAGGTTTGTCAGTCATCCCAACTGAAGACAACTTTGAAGGGCCATCCCAATTCAGAATTCCCTAGAGTCAGCTAAGGCCTTTCTTAAGACTGCCTCTCATGCCGGTAATCCTAGCACTTTGGGAGGCAGAAGCAGGCGAATCACTTGAGCCCAGGAGTTCAAGACCAGCCTGGGCAACATTGAGAAGCCCCATCTCCATAAAAAATACAAAAATTAGCCAGGCCTGATGGTACACACCTGTAGTCCCAACTTCTAAGGAGGCTGAGGTGGGAGGATCACCTGAGCCCAGGAGGTTAAGGCTGCAGTGAAGTCATGATTGCACCACTGCATTCCAGCCTAGGTGACAAAGTGAGACGGACTCAAAAAAAAAAAAAAAAAAAAAAAAAAAGAGACTGCATCACACTCAACTTCTCCCTCTACTCACTTCTCTGTTCCCATTTCTTCCTTCCCACAGGTGTTGATACCAGTATTATCCTAATAAACATCCTTTGTATTAATCTTGGTCCCATAGAGTTTGAGAACCACACTCACGGGTGACATTAGTGTAGCTACAGATTATCTACGTATCAGTTAGACAGATATTCTGGGTGATGAACTAGGAAACAGGCATAAAGCACTTTACACTTTATACAACAGAGGGCTGTCTCCAAGAAAAGCACCTGAGTGACTGAACTAGAAGATGAGTTCATCTAGCCCCACTTTTCATGGCATATTATTTCTATTTGAAAGAATGGTAGACAAATTAGGGTTACTCAAATGATGATATTTCCTTAAAAAATGAAGTGAGCCAGTCATTTCAAGGAAAACAACTGGCGTTATTGTTGAAAATGATAAAATTTGAACTTTCAAGTAAAAGTCAGATTCTGGAGAATTTGTATTTGATACTAGGAACTTGATAGCTTGATGAGATCAGTAATGATGTTAATGATATTAACTAGTGATCTTACAAGGCCATAAAAAAAAAGGTGTCAGCCAAGATTGACTCTCATCTGAAGGCTGGGGGGAAAAATTTCCTTCCAAGTTCATGCGGGTTGTTGGCTAAATTCACTTCCTTGCAGTTGTAGGATGAAGGTCCCTTGCTGGCTGTCAGACCAGGGCCACTCTCTGCTTAGACACTGGCATCACATGTCCCCTTCCTATCTTGGAGACAGCAATGCATGACCAGTCCTTCTCATGCCTCCAATCTCTCTGACTTCTCTTTCCGCTACCAGCCTGAGAAAACTTCTCTTTTACTTCCCTCTCTCTTCCACAAGGGTCAGGCCTGCATAGATCTCTTCCAGTTGCAGATGGAATTGTTCTCTAACTTGATTGGGGTATGGATTACTTAAACATATATATTTGTCAAAACTTTTCACACTGTACACTTAAGACATGAATTTCATCATATTCCAATAAAGTATTTATTTTTACTGGAGTATAATGCTATTTTTATTGGAGTATAATATTATACTCCAATGAAAACAAGTAATGCTAAAAAAAATGTAACCATTACTTTAAAAAAAGAATCCTGATCTTTTAGAGATGTGCACTGAAATAGCAACAGATGATATGATGTCAGGGATTGGCTTTGAAATAATCATGGGTGGTAGGAGTGGCTTTGGATAAAACAAAATTGGTCACATATTAAAGACTTCTGAAACTAAGTGGGGGGTACATAGGAGTTTATTATATTCTACATTTACTTTTGTATATGTTTGAGAATTTCCATAATAAAAAGATTTTTGACCTAACCAACTCACAGCAGGCGATACAAAATGACAAAAATTCTAATACACAATTGGTGTGAATACAAAATAATAAAACCTCTTTAAGAAAGGGCTCTGTCTAACTCTACCAATGCTGAAATGGCACACACCTTTCAACCCAGCAACTCACTTTTCGGATGCCTTAGAGAAGTCATGCACACATGCACAACTGAACGTGTACAAGACTGATCAATGTGGCATGGTCTATAATATTAAAAAAAAAAAAACCTGCAACAATCTAAATGTTTTGGGGATAATGGAAAAAGTAACTGCAGTATATTCATACAATGAAAATATATGTAATAGTTAAAATGAACTGTATCCATGTATTACACGGAATAAATGAGAAAAAAAGCCTGCAGAGTGATATACTTTTTATATAAGGTTTTAATATACTAAAGTTTTAATATTACATGATAATATACAATATACAGTCTAATACTATGCAATATACAGTTTTAATATTTATCATATAATGCTATATATTTTTTACGGATAGACATAATAGAGGTCTCAACAAATTCAGGATAACTGTTACTTCTAGGTAAAAAGAAAGGAAAATAATATCAGGGGTTCAATTGTATAATATTTCATTTTAAAAAAACCTGAAGCAAGATGGTAAAGCAAAAGGAATTAATGGAGCAAGTATGTTGGTTCATGTTCCTTGCCGTACTTTCCTGTTTGTTTTTAAATATCTCAAAATTTTTTTAAAACAAAAAAACAAAGGCTATTGCAATAATTCAAAGAAGAGATTACTGACAAACTATCTAACATTAAAGTTTTTAAATAAGATTTCCTTTTAAGAACTTCATGCTATTTCAGAACTGTAAACTATTACATTTCAAAATACCCACAGTTAAATATTGATCTGAAAGAAGTCCTCCTGACAACACCAATAATGTATATACTATAAAAAATGACTAACTCTCAAAAATGTAGTCTAAGCATTGTGCCAAATATTTTGAAACTATAAAAATATATATGTAAAATAGTCTACTATATATTTTTCCTTAAAATATATATCCTAAGGAAATATGAAAAATGTAAAATTTTATTAAGTTTAGGTGACGAGCACATGAGTGCTAAGACCTATTATCTTGTACTTTTCTGTGTATGTTGAAAACACTGACAAAGTTAAAATATATCAATATAATCTATATATCTGCAAGAAGAATGGCAAAAATACATATACTGTTTTCTAGGTTATTTTTCCCAAAGATCTCCCTACTACTTACTCAAAAAGAAAATCATTTACTTATTTTTAATCTGCCACCTGAATGAATCTGGCAATTTTTAGAGAAACAAAACCACCCCTCCAGAGTAGGGTGGGGATACTCAGCACAGGAACTATTTATTTAAAGGGGCGTCTCTGTCAGGACAACTAGGTTTTTAGCAACAAAAACCTAGCAACAGAAAAAACAAACAAACAAAAAAACACAGGTAGTTGTTCTTCTATTTCAATCCCTATTTCACCATTCCCTTAGTTTACCAGGCTTTTAAGTAGGACTTCACTGGTTTTGACCAGTGGCCCCCAAAAAATATATATCCACATCCTAATACCTGGACCCTGTAAAGACTGCACTATTTAGAAAACAACTTTACAAATTTAAGTTAAGGATCTTGAGATGAACTCATCTTGCATTTCAGGTGGGCTCTAAATCCAACAATAATTATCCTTATAAGAGACAGAAGAGGCACAAATACAAAAGAGAAGGCCACGTGAAGGGAGTGTGGCCCTGCTGACATCTTGATTTCGGACTTTAGCCCTTCGGAACTTAAATAAACTTCTGTAAGCTACCAAGTTTGTGGTCACCTGTTATCTTACCTTCTGAAACATTTCCCTACCAATTCAACTAGCTACCTAACACAGCACCTGCCACGAGCTCTACCTGGTCTAGAATTTCACCCCACGTTGACTTTACCTGCTCTAGAATTTCATCTCACATTTACTGGGCTCCTCCCTACACTCTTGCCTGAGCTCCTACCCTTAGGTACTATATGTATAAATATGTGTAACCTAGTCTAAAATTGTCATCATCTGTAGCAAAAGTAAGTTTGCACCATTTTTGGTATTATCTGCTCAAATACAAGAACTGGTAAAATGACAGGGCAGCATGGACACAATTATAGGTCCATAAAAACACAGCATTACTGAGCTTGGTCTTCATATAAGAGAAAACAGGTGGCGCTTGGTTACATGAATAAATTCTTCAGTGGTGATTTCTGAGACTCTGGTACACCCACCACCCAAGCAATGTGCACTGTACCCAATGTGTAGACTTTTATCTCTCCCCCTTCCCCACTACTCCCCGAGTCCTGAAAGTCCCTCAAAGTCCATTATATCATTCTTATGCCTTTACATCCTCATAGCTTAGTTCCCACTCATAAGTGAGAATATAGGCTATTTAGTTTTCCATTCCTGAGTTACTCCACAGAGAATAATAGTCTCCAATTCCATCCAGGTTGCTGCAAATGCCATTATGTCATTCATAAACACACACACACACACACACACACACACACACACACACACTCACACACATTTTCTTTATCCACTCATTGGCTGATGGGCATTTGGGCCAGTTCCATATTTTTGCAATGCGAATTGTGCTGCTATAAACATGCATGTGCAAGTATCTTTTTCGAATAATGACTTCTTTTCCTCCGGGTAGATACCTAGTAGTGGGATTGCTGGATCAAACAGTAGATCTACTTTGAGTTCTTTAAGGAATCTCCACACTGTTTTCCATAGTGGTTGCGCTAGTTTCCATTCCCAATAACAGTGTAAAACTGTTCCCTTTTCACTGCATCCACGTCAACATCTATTATTTTTTTATTTTTGATTATGGCCATTCTTGCAGGAGTGAGGTAGTATTGCACAGTGGTTTTGATTTGCATTTCTCTGATAATCAGTGATGTTGAGCATTTTTCCATAGGCTTGTTAGACATTTGTATACCTTCTTTTGAGAACTGTCTATCCATGTCCTTAGCCCACTTTTTTGTGGGATTGTTTGGTTTGTTCTTGCTGATTTGTTTGGCTTCTTTGTAGATTCTGAATATTAGTCCTTTGTCTGATGTACAGATTGTGAAGACAGTCTCCCATTCTGTAGGTTGTCTGTTTGCTGATTATTTCTTTTGCTGTGCAAAACCTTTTTTGTTGCATTCACTTTTGGGTTCTCAGTCATGATGTCTTTGCATCCTGAAACTCTGCTGAATTCATTTACCAATTTTAAGAGCTTTTTGGATACGTCTTTAGGGTTTTCTAGGTATACAATCACATATCATCAGCTAACAGGGACAGTTTGACTTCCTCTTTACCGATTTGGATGCGCTTTCTTTCTTTCTCTGATTGCTCTGGCTAGGACTTCCAGTACTATACTGAATAGAAGTGGTGAAAGTAGGCATCCCTGTCTTGTTCCAGTTCTCAGAGGGAATGCTTTCAACATTTCCCCATTCAGTATAATGTTGGCTGTGGATTTGTGGTAGATAGCTTTTATTACCTTAAGGTATGTCCCTTCTATGCCAATTTTGCTGAGGGTTTTCATCATAAAGGGATGCTGGATTTTGTCAAATCCTTTTCTTGCATCTATTGAGATGATCATGTGATTTCCATTTTTCATTCTGCTTATGTGGTGTACCACAATTATTGGCTTAAGTATGTTAAACCATCCCTGCATTCCCTGGTATGAAACCCACTTGATCATGGTAGATTATCTTTTTGATATGCTGTTGGACTCAGTTCACTAGTATTTTGTTGAGGATTTTGGCATCAATGTTCATCGGGGGTACTGGTCTGTAGTCTTCTTTTTTTGTTCTTAATATTTTCTTATTTTCATTTTGCCTACACAGATCAAAATAAATGTTGATGTGAATAGTAAATCTCACATTTAAAGAAATACAAATTTCCCTTTGTTTATAACTCATTCATCAGTTAAACAAATATTTACTGGTCATTTGTTACATCCTAGCTGATGAGAAAACTTCAGAAAACAAAATCTTTGCTCCCAGGGACTTTACATTCTAGTGGGGATTACAAATGTTTTTAAAGGATTATTTATTGGGTAGTGATAAGTGCTTTAGCGTGTTAAAGGAATGAAGAATGCTCAGGACTGCTGCTTTAGATAAGGCTTTCAGAGAACTCCTTCCTCTGTGAGGTGGGGACATGAACAGAGGCCTAAATGAACTGAGTGCATTACGTGGATCTAGGCAGATGGGTGCACAGCTGCAAAGGCCTCGGGGTAAGAGCACACTTGTGTCCAGTGTGGTGCAACAGTACGGTGAGGGCAACAAAGTGATAGGAGAAAAGGCTCCAGAAATAGGGCCAAACCAGGCAGGGCTTTCCAAGCTATGCAAAGAACCCCTGAAATGAGGAGCTACTGAGAGCCTTTTTGCAAAAGAGGAACATGACTCTCCTTACACTGAGAAGGATAATCTGGCTGCTCTATAAAGACTAGACCAAGTAGGGCAAAAATCACACCAAGAGACCAGTTTAAGGCTACTGCATTGATCCAAAGAAGTGAGAGTGATTTAGACTAGGGTGGTAGCAATAGAAGTAGTGAGAAGTGGCCCAACTGAAGACGCATTTTGATGGTAGGGACAAGGGAGTTTGGTGAGGTAGTAGGTATGGGGCAGAGAAAAAGTCAAGTCACCACAGTGCCAGCGGTTTTTGATGACTCAAGGAAAAATTCAATCTTCTCAATTATAGTTCTGACTAACCCTAATTTCTCTTCTAAGCTTGAGTGAAATTAATTAATCCTGAATCTGCCATCCTAGAGACCAAATATCATGGAATTTATTTATAGTCCTTGCAAACTTTGAGGATACAGAGCACCTTCATATTAAAAGATTTTTCCTTCTAACTCTTATACCCTCCCAGGAATAATTCCTAACCATTAACCCACATAAATGGTGCTTATGCCTTTCTGTGCCCTTTCTTCTCCCCTCTCTTCACACTTCTCATGACCCAGTCAGAGAAAAATGTTGCACAGTGAGGACATGTAAGTGAAAAATCTACCAATGGCCATTTACAATCAGGGATTTCATGCACTACTGGATTTACTAGTCATTTCAGCCTCCACTACCACCACACATCTATAAATGTCAGTAACAGGTGCTCTTATACACTTAAGATTATTCTTACATGCATGAGTAATACATACACTGATGGGATTTAAAATAATCAACTGCAAATTGGGTGTGGTGGCACGCACCTGTAGTCCCAGCTACTTACAAGGCTCAGGTGGGAGGACTGCTTGATCCCAGGAGTTCCAGGGCAGCCTGGTTAAGATGCTAAGACCCAGTCTCAAAAAAATAAACCAACCAATTGCATAATCATAGAACTTATTTTAAACACACACACACACACACACACACACCTCTAACCAAACATAATTAAGACTTCTGATGATGCAATAAAGTGTTATTTTCACAATAATAATTTTTTTTGAAACAGGGTCTCACTCTGTTGCCCAGGCTGGGGTGCAGTGGTGTAATCTCGGTTCACTGCAGCCTCGACCTCCCAGGCTCAAGTGATCCTCCCACCTCAGCCTCCCCAATAGCTGGGACTACAGGCACATACCACCATGCCCGTCTAATTTTGTTTATTATTTATAGAGTATTATTTATACAGACGACGTTTCACTATGTTGCCCAGACTGGTCTCAAACCCCTGGGCTCAAGCAATCCTCCCACCTCAACCTACCAAAGTGCTGGGATTACAAGTGTGAACCACTATGCCAGGCCACGATAATAATTTTTCTAAGCCCTCGCATATTGTACAGCTTATTAAATAGTACAGACTTTCCTATTTCCTATA
Organism: Homo sapiens; assembly: GCF_000001405.40. Classification (NCBI taxonomy): domain Eukaryota; kingdom Metazoa; phylum Chordata; class Mammalia; order Primates; family Hominidae; genus Homo; species Homo sapiens. Next base: position 129,239,223 of record NC_000011.10, read on the forward strand.
TAGTCTTTCTACTTCTAGTCTTTGCCCTTTTCCAGAACATTATTTTATACCTAACTTTTTTTGTGTGAGCACTTACTCTGTTAGAACATGCAGTAAGCATTCTGCAGCATAATCTCATTTATGCATCACAGCAGCGCTGTAAGGAGGGTACTAGCATTACCCACATTTTGCAGATGAGTAATTTTAGGATTGGTCAGATGACCAAAATTACCCAGAATGACAGAGCCAGGAGCTGTCCCAGAAGTGAGGCCTCTAGAAGCTCATTTTCCAAACTAGCATTACACTAACCACCTTTTAGTTAGTTCACCTAGAATAACCCTCCTAAAATAGAAATTGGATGATACCAATTCTGCTAAAATACAATACCTAGAAGCACTTTCGACACCCATAAAAGAGCGTCCGAATTCCTTAGCACATTAGGGTTAGCATCATCTCTAATGGACCCCCTCACTTCCCACATTGCTGCTAATATAGATTACTGGCCATTTTCCAAATATGCTCTATACTATTCCACCTGTGTCTACTCTCACGCTAATCCAAAGCCTTCCCCCTCCATCCTCAATCTGTGCAAACAGCCAACTCTCTAAAATCCAACTCAAATGCCACTCTCAGTTAAATTTTTTCCCAAAACTTACAACACATACACACACACAATTACTTAAAAAACAGACTTTTTGCACCAGCAGATCCCAAATTTCTTCTCCTATCTCTCAGACTACAAATTCTAAGGCAGGAACTGTTGTTTGTAATCTTCATTTCCTACACAGCAACTGCACAGTTACTATGCGCAGTGACAAATTAAATAATTTCCCCTATACTTTTTCATTTTTTTTTTCTGAGACGGAGTCTCACTCTGCTGCCCAGGCTAGAGTGCAGTGGCGTGATCTCGGCTCACTGCAACCTCCGCCTCCTGGGTTCAAGTGATTCTCCTGCCAACCTCATCATACAATATACCCCCACAGCCAAGGGTGACTAGACATATAAATTTCTTGGTAAAGTTATAGCAGTTTAGCAAGATAGCTATTACTGCAGACTTTGGAGTCAGACTGCCTCGGATTCCAATTCCATTTCTAGCACTTACTAGCTATATGACCTTGGGGAAAAAAAAAAATCTGGTCAAACTGAACTACTTGCTGTTCCACAAACACACTCCCAGTAGTTTTCTGCCTCTGTAAATTCTTACTGGAATGACCCTTCCCTAATTGTGCTACCCAGCCTTCAGTAGGCCCATCTCAAGTAATTTCCTTTTCTACAAGCTTTCCCTAGGTCTTCAATAAATTCACACAGTACCTAGTTTACCCTTCTCACAGGATATTTATATTGCCTTGTGGTATACTTACTTTTAGTTGAATTACTCTTGCGGGCCAAAGCTGTCTTGTCTCTGAATTCCTTTAGATACACAACACAAGACCTTAAACAAGTATTAAGTATTTGTGAACTAAGCAAAAAGTAAGTAATCTGATGATATCAGTTTTTCCTCTTCCTTCTCACAAGCCCTAAATGCTTGAGAGTGAGATTAATATTTTCTTTTATATTTTTTGTCATTATATCATAAGAAACCACTGCATAAAGCTTTTCTATCTTTAATATGGTTTGAAAAAAATTTTGAGTCTGCAAAAGCTAATTTTATGTAAATTTTAAAGACTAAGTTTAAAAGTAACATTTCAACAGAGGAAATAGAAAGAAAGGTTCCTGGAGAAATCTGGGAATCCAAAAGAGAGGACAATGTACAGTTTAACTCCGTGGTTAAGAATATGGACTTAGGAATGAGACATTCCTGAATTTGAATTCTTGCTCCACTATTTACCATCACTGCAGCTTTGAGCAAGTTATTTAATTTCCTTAACACTTCATTTTTTCACTCATAAAATGGGGATCTTGGTACCTATGAGATGTAAGGAATAAATGAGCTCACATGTACAAAATGTATATGTCAGTACCTGATACACAGCTTACATTCAATAAATGAAGTTAAAATTTTAAAACAAAAAATATTTTAATTAAAGGACATAGATACATGGTAACTTACACTTCATTAAAACTTCATTAAATTTCCTTTTATTTGGAAAGGTAAGAAAAAATAAAATTTGCATCAAGTGTTATAATAGCCAATTTTGATACTATAAAAACAGACAAGTAGTCCAGGTGCAAGAGCTCATGCCTATAATCCAGTGCTTTGGGAGGCCGAGGTGGGAGAATCACTCGAGCCCAAGAAGTCAAGACCAGCCTGGGCAACAGAGCAAGCCCACATCTCTACAAATAATTTTGTAAAAATTAGCCGGGTGTGTTGGCGCACATCTGTAGTCTCAGCTACTCAGAGATTGAGGTGGGAGAGTCACTTGAGCCCAGAAGGTCAAGGCTGCAGTGAGACGTGATGACACCACTGCACTCCAGCCTGGGCAACAGGGCAAGACCCCATGCAGAAAAACAAGAAACCAAAAACAGGTAAGTAGATACTCTACTGGATTTAGTAAAAACAAAGTCTATGTAACAAGTTCTCACACAGAAGCCCTTCGAAGTCACAAAACAATAATTTTGACTGGATCATTCAGTAATAAAAATCCCAATGACATACTAAATCCAAGATGCTGCCTCTCCAGAAAAAGACAAAAATTTTAAAAAGTATTCAGTAATGTTCAAATAAATTTAGACTGTGTAAATATAATAAAGCAAGAATGACCAATAAAAACATAGTATTTACAAATAGGGTGGTAAATCCTGGTAGGGAGGAAGCTGAAAGAGCTGAAAAACATTGTTTCTATAGAGTAGAAATGGGAGGCAAGCTGGGATAGGGTCAGGAGACTGTTGCTTTTCTTTGAAAGTCTCATGGGAGTATTGCTTTTTAAAATTATGTTTGCAACTTAGTTGATGATAATACAAACTTATTCTAAAGGAATGTTTATTATTATAATTGTTTTACAGGCAGGACCTTGGTTAGGGTGAGACAAGCAAACCACCTATGGTGCAAAATTTTAGGAGTCACCACTCTCAAGGCCAAGTACTTGAACATACTTACTCAACCCCGCAAGTGATACCTCCTCCTAGCCCTGTTCAGAGGGCTAGTGTTTTAGGAACTCAACACAAATGTCATAACCTCAAACAACTGAGGGATTTGAGCTGTTACACTCACTTATGGTATGCAATAAAATATACTGTTCAATACATAACACATTTCTAAAATTACTACCTACAAATATACATAAAAAGAAACCTAGGCCAGGTGCAGTGGCTCACTCCTGTAATCCCAGCACTTTGGGAGGCCAAGGCAGGCAGATCACAAGGTCAGGAGATCGAGACCATCCTGGCTAACACAGTGAAACCCTGTCTCTACTAAAAATACAAAAAATTAGCCGGGCGTGGTGGCGGGCGCCTGTAGTCCCAGCTACTTGGGAGGCTGAGGCAGGAGAATGGCATGAACCCGGGAGGTGGAGCTTGCAGTGAGCCGAGATCACACCACTGCACTCCAGCCTGGGTGACAGAGCGAGACTCCACCTCAAAAAAAAAAAAAGATAAAGAAAAAAGAAATCTAGAATGATCTTTCTGGTTATTAATGACAGTTTTTTCTAGGTAGTAAGATTTTTTTTTTGGACACACCTCTGTACCAAAAGATTTTTTAAATAATGAGCATATGAAATTGTAATAAAGTGGTTCTTTTAAAATAAACAACGTTCAGCTCCCAAACCACCTCTACTAACTGCACACACACACCTACCTGCACATTTTCCCATGACAACTTCATCCACTTCAATGGCTTCATCTACCACCTCTACGCATGCAACTTAAGTACAAATCCATATTCTTCAACTCTCTAGCCACCCAACTCCCTCAACTTTCACTTCCACATTGCCAATTACCCCCTACATAGCACCAAATGAATGTTTCACTGGCAATTCAAAGTCAGTCAAAAATAAACCATCATCTGTCCACATATACTAGCTCATCCTCATTATTTTCCAATGTGCATTAAGACTAATGCAATAAATCCCCAAGTCCCTCAGGTTTAAAACCCAAGAGCTAGTTTTAACTTCCACCTCTCCCTTACTCCATATATAAGGTTTAGAAATCTGTCATCCAACTTCTGTAATTTGACATCTAGTCTACCTCTCATTCCCAGAAACACATTAGTTTCCTTTTCATAATCTATGTCCTGAAATATTACTAACAATCATAAATAAGTAAATATGATACAGTACTATCCTCAATACAAAGCATAAAACATGGCAAAGAACAGGTAAGCAACAAATGTTTCTGAATAATAAGTGGAAAAAAATAGTCTTCCCAGCTCCTATCTCTCCTACCTCCACCAAACCATTCTGCAGATATTCCATCTTCCTAAAACATAGTTCTCATCAAGTCACAAGAACCTTCATTTACCAATGTCACATGAATAAAATAAAAATTCCTCAGCTTGGCATTCAACCATTCCAATATGAGGACTCTTTGTCTCTCCTCCAAGTTACATCCCAATTCTAATCCACTAGATACCTGCTTTGTTTTCCCATCTCTGTCTTTGTTCATGTGCCCCATAAAATGCCATTATCAGAATTTTACCTCTCAGAATTCTACCATTCAAAGCCCAGCGAAAATGTCATCTTCTCCACCCCCACAAGCCCAAAGTAACCCGCACTTTCCTGTATTAGAGCTCTCGTAGCACTGTGACACTTTCTTGTGTCACCATATTGTGATCTGGAATTAAAATTATTTCTCAATATGTTGCATTTACTACCAAATGTATTTTAAGTTCCTTGTGAACAAGTACAGAATTTTTACTTATTTATCTCCTATTATACCTAATATAATGCCTGGCACAACAGAAAATAAGAGACCTGTGCATCAATAATAAAATACAACAGCAGTTGCAGTGGCAAATTTGAGTTCTTTATAAATACCAGATACTATTCAAAGCACTATAACATTATTTCATTTATTCTTCATAACAACTCCATGAGGATGGTACTATTATTTCCATTTTGCAGATAAGAAAACTGAGTCAGAGTGAGAACCCTGTCTCAGAAAAAAAGAAAGAAAACTGAGTCAGAGAGATAATTAACTTTGTCAACATTTAACACTATTCCTCAATTGTATAAATAATTCTGCAAATAATGTATCTGCATATATGGTTAGTTCCATATTTTGCACTATTTCTTTAGACTCTAAAAATTATAACATTCAGTCAAATAGTATGGATGTTGTAATGGTCTTTCACATTTATTTTTTAAACGTTTTCTAAAAGGATTAACCATTTTATAAAGCTATCAATAATGTACGAAGGTAGAAGAAAACCTAGGCATTACCATTCAGGACATAGGCATGGGCAAGAACTTCATGTCTAAAACACCAAAAGCAATGGCAACAAAAGACAAAATTGACAAATGGGATCTAATTAAACTAAAGAGCTTCTGCACAGCAAAAGAAACTACCATCAGAGTGAACAGGCAACCTACAAAATGGGAGAAAATTTTCGCAACCTACTCATCTGACAAAGGGCTAATATCCAGAATCTACAATGAACTCAAACAAATTTACAAGAAAAAAAACAAACAACCCCATCAAAAAGTGGGCAAAGGACATAAACAGACACTTCTCAAAAGAAGACATTTATGCAGCCAAAAAACACATGAAAAAATGCTCACCATCACTGGCCATCAGAGAAATGCAAATCAAAACCACAGTGAGATACCATCTCACACCAGTTAGAATGGCAATCATTAAAAAGTCAGGAAACAACAGGTGCTGGAGAGGATGTGGACAAATAGGAACACTTTTACACTGTTGCTGGGACTGTAAACTAGTTCAACCATTGTGGAAGTCAGTGTGGCGATTCCTCAGGGATCTAGAACTGGAAATACCATTTGACCCAGCCATCCCATTACTGGGTATATACCCAAAGGATTATAAATCATGCTGCTATAAAGACACATGCACACGTATGTTTATTGTGGCATTATTCACAATAGCAAAGACTTGGAACCAACCCAAATGTCCAACAATGATAGACTGGATTAAGAAAATGTGGCACATATACACCATGGAATACTATGCAGCCATAAAAAATGATGAGTTCATGTCCTTTGTAGGGACATGGATGAAATTGGAAATCATCATTCTCAGTAAACTATCTCAAGAACAAAAAACCAAACACCGCATATTCTCACTCATAGGTGGGAATTGAACAATGAGATCACATGGACACAGGAAGGGGACTATCACACTCTGGGGACTGTTGTGGGGTGGGGGGACGGGGGAGGGATAGCATTGGGAGATATACCTAATGCTAGATGACGAGTTAGTGGGTGCAGCGCACCAGCATGGCACATGTATACATATGTAACTAACCTGCACAATGTGCACATGTACCCTAAAACTTAAAGTATAATAAAAATAAATAAATAAATAAATAAATAAAGATCACAACAGAATTATCAACAGATTAAAATAATAATAATAATAATAATAATAATAATAATAATAATAATAATGTATGAAGGTAACAATTTTATTGCCTCCTATCAGCTTAGTATATCACCATTATTTTCCCATTCTCCTGGTTCAAGTAGCCAAAGAATGACATGCATAATTCATTGTGTTAAATAATAGTGCCTTTAAGGTTACGACCAGTGTTTAGGGGTGGTTGTTGCTAGTGTTATAAACAATATCTTAAGAGCTACTATGCCTAAATAATTTATTGGAAGTTATTTCACAGTATTTTCTCAGATAAAAGGAAATCACTTAACCTACAAAGATATTCACTAAACCTTTGATAATATTTGATTCATTCATTTATTCAATGGATATTATTCAATAGATTAGCTATTCATTAAACATTTATTTATAGCTCATTGGAATCAGAAAACTATACTAGTCCCTGGGAATAAATCAATAAAATACAATCCCTGCCTTCAAGGGGAATGAGAATTTTTTAAGCATCAGAGTCATCTTGAGCTTGGGGAAATTGGTTCAAAGATCAGAAACTCATTTAAAGAGGGGTCCCCCTCATGTCAGTTGTAACACAGATTCCAAGAAAAAGTATTCTATTTCATACAGAGAAACGTACCCAAATGTGGCAGAACTAACGAAAGGTCAAAAATTTCAACCAAAGTATCATCAAATAAGGGACTCAGTTAGAAAAAGTAATAGCTGGGATAACACAATCTATAAAAGCATGAATAGTCCATAGACTTTGGGTCATCAAATTCAAAAATATAAATTAGTAAAATGTTTTGATAATGAATAAGATAAGTAAGAAAAAGATAAATTTTACTTCCCAAAGCATGAAATAAAATTATGAAAGCCAATACCTCGAAATCCAATAAAATGAACCAAAAAGGTTCTGGAAAAAATTGACACAAAGCTATAAATCACTAGTCAAAGAACCAGGGCAATACTTAACCTTTACGCGACAATCAGAGATGAAAATCATGCTCTCCCATAGCAGTAGACTATTTTTGACTATAGGTCACTAGTGGCAATTGAATGCTGAGATTAAATCTTTGGTTTGATCCATTTTAGCAATTTCTATTCGACCTTCTATCTCTGTAGGCATTTCAAACTAATTTTGCAGGGTGATCAATTATAACATTGGGGTGGGATTTTAAAAGGGCCTATCCTCTGCCTGTTTTCCTCCTCTCAAACGTGTCTCTACCATGAACCATGCTGTTAAAATAGGTCTTTTAAGAGAAGATGTGTATCATAATATCAGTGTTTCAGTTTGGAACCTGATGGTAGCTGATTTCACCTTCACATTCATTTCAGCTTAAAGGCAGCATTTCCCACAGAGTACCTCTTTTTTCCTCACTAGGTCTACCTTCCACGCTCTATAGTAAATACACTGACATAGTAGCAAGTCTCATTCATCATCTGGCCACAGGCCCAGCCATCCTTTGCATCTAGTAAATTGTTAATAATGTATATTAAATGATTAAAAACAATAAAATGCTTATTCCACAATTCTCAGGAGTAGAAAATTATTACGCCCCCATATAAACAACTCTTGGTTAAAGATCAAGTCTGTTTACATGCTAAAAGTATAAATGATGTGCAGACCCAGTTTTGTTCATCATTCAAAGCTGGATATGAGGCAAGTTGCCAGCAGTGATAAGATCTTAAACTGATTAAGTTCATTCCTATGTCTGTCTTCTCATGTATTCATACTTCCTGTTTCATGACTTCAAAGTAACCAGTAACTACTTTTTTAAGGATTTTAAAGACACCTCACAAACAACATACATCAAAGGAGGAGAAATATACAACTATTCTGACAATACTTCCTCCAAAATAAAAATGTACCAAATTATATTAATCTGCCTTCAAAGAAATTTATCTTAAAAATATGTTTATTTCATCTTCCAGTTTATATTAAAGGAAAAAAAGACTTTCTTTTACATCATATGAAAGGTATGATACAGCAATTTTCCATCCATCTTTTGAAGCACATTTTTAAAACATTAAAACACTGCAGAATTTATAAGCACAACCTTTGCATTCTAGTAGAAATGTTTTCAGGATAAAAAAAACTCTTGTAATAGCAAAACAGGAATAAAATATATGTTTTCAAAGCATTAACTACAAATAACTTAGAATTCTCCAAGTATTACAGGGAGAGGCATGCAATGGGCTGATCCCTCTATGGGTCATAAAATGAAATTCAGTCAATGGAAATTTTTCTTTTACTCATTTATTCTACCTTCAAATTAAATAAACTCTAAATTTATGCAACAAAAAGAAAATTAAAAAACCCAAACATCTTCCCCCTGAATTATTTATATACAATCTGACCAAATCATAGCATCTGATTAAAAGGAAAGTGAGGGCCGGGCGTGGTGGCTCACACCTGTAATCCCAGCACTTTGGGAGGCCGAGGCGGGCAGATCACGAGGTCAGGAGATCGAGACCATCCTGGCTAACACGGTGAAACCCCATCTCTACTAAAAATACAAAAATTAGCAAGGCGTGGTGGCAGGCACCTGTAGTCCCAGCTACTTGGCTGTCTCAAAAAAAAAAAAAAAAAAGGAAAGTGAAAGCTTATCTGATCCAGCCTATCTGACCATCTAGGAAAGATTTGTTTCCTTCTAGAAGTTCTATAAGCTTAACATTCCCTAATATCCAACTCAAAGCATTCTACATCAAGAATGACTTCCTTGCGATGCGATGCAGTGTTTTTATTTATGTCTTGGCTCCCGTTATTTCGATTTAAAATTTTAAAAATTTACTCTTAATCAAAATCTAAGTGAAAATCATTCTATGCTTCACCAACACCTCAACAACTCCTGAACAAAACATCTTTATAAGTAGTGCTCTGTGCCTAAATCACCCCAGCCTCCTTTTACTTAAGCTAACTAGGACATTTTCCAACCTTTTGATTATTCTTTTGTTGTGGTATTGTTTTCTGTGCTGTCTACAGATAAATAATACATATAAACGTCATAACACAGTGCCTGGAATATAAGTCTTTAAAAATGTTATCACTATTATTAGTTTCTCATATACTTCCAAAAACCTGACTGAATCCTCCTCTCCTCCTTTTCCTGTACACGTGCTTCCCCATCAGTACTGCTGATGACTCAAGCTAGAGTTAACTATGACCATGTGTTTTTTTCTGCTGTATTTGCATTTAGCCATAACCTTGTGTACTCAGCTTTACTGTGTGCCTATTGTGTCCCAGGTACTGTGCAAAACATAGTATATAGTGAATAAAGCAGGCATGGTCTCTGTCCTCATGGAGCTTGGAGTCCATTTCCTCTAAACGTGGTCACTTAGCAAACCAAAAGAAAAAGATAACACAATGCCACACGAATTAGCTCTTACAACAAATGGTGCAAATGGTAATGAATTAGATAAAAAGATTAACAGGTTTCCATAAGACAGAGGATACATTTAAAAGAGAATCTTTCTAGAATTCATTAAGAACAGCACAAAATATCCTAGATAACCAATGAGTAAAGCAACTACATGGCAAGTTAAAAATATAAAGACACTACTGAGACACACCAAAAAAAAACTTTGCAGTCTATAAGGTGAAGAGGATTGGGTTTCACTAAAAAAACAGTAATACTCTTTATATACATACAGTATGTATTAAAAAAAGTAATACTCATACATATATATATATACACACACACATACATATATACATACACCAGAGTGCAAATCAACTCAGAAGTATCAATTCGAAAGGATTTCGCATATCTATAAAAAGTACTCTGCACTGGTATTAATACTGAGATTTTTTTATTACCAGTAGATACTTATAAAGACAGATGCTAATGCCAGGTCTCAACTGCAGACTACAATCTAAGACACTGCTGCTGACTCACTGTTACACAATTAAAGCGGTTTCCCAAAGTAGACTCATTTTCTACCACATGAAAATCTATCCCGAACTGTTTTCCAATATGTGGAATTCTTGAAGGGCTGCAATTCAAGAGTGAGACTATAAGAAGAAGAAAGCCATAAACTAGATCAAGTTTATTCACTCAAGAAATGACTAAATAAGGAAACAAATGGAATAACAGAAACATTTGATATCCACCACACCTTAATTTAGTCCTTTAAAAAAGTTTTGGGTTTTTTTAATGAAAACATCTAGAGGCAGCAATACTAGAAACAGCAATGCTGGTACTCTGAAATCCAGTAAATCCAGAATTAGACTCCAACTTTGCCACTTAACTGGTTGTTTGATGTCAATTAATGTTCCCCTTTAAGACTGTGAGGCAGGGCGTGGTGGCTCACACCTGTAATCTCAGCACTTTAGGAGGCTGATGCGGGAGGACCACTTGAGCCCAGGAGTTCTAGGACCAACCTGGGCAACATAGGGAGATCTCATTTCTACAAAAAAAAAAAAATTAATTAGCTGGGTGTGGTAGTACATGCCTGTGGTCCCAGCTGCTCAGGAGGGTGAAGTGGGAGGACTGCTTGAGCACAAGAGGTTGAGGCTGCAATGAGCTATGATCACACCACTGCACTCCAGCCTGGGCAACAGAGCAAGCCTCTGTCAGTGATACCCCCCTGAAAAACAGGGAAAACACAAATTTCTGTATTTTCTGTTATACTTCTGATAAACATGTGTTAAGAGGAATGTAATCACTAACTGCTGTGAAGATTTTGTTGGTGTCTATTTTCCCTAATTATCTTATGCCACTGAACTATAACCTGTGAAATGATAACTCATTTTACATATTGAATTACTACCGCAAAACTTATTATCCTGGAACCCTGAATACTATTATTTCTTAATATTGATAGCCATGATGAATAAGGACAGCAATTTATCTACAACACAACTTTTAAAAAATTAATCAGGTTGAATTTGTGGGAAATTTTTAATAAACCATACTTTGAAAACCATGCTATTGCTGACTAACAACTGGTTCCTACAGAACACTGAGGCTTCATTCCAGCCTCCTCCTACCATCCAAAGTGAAACCTTATACCTCTTTGTTTGGCTCTAATGAAAATTCTCACTTTCTATCCTGTAGCAGAATTATTTCTGAAACTATCATAAGCTTTTCAACAGTCTCATTTTTTAACACATTTGTATTTCTGTTAATAGCTCCATGGTATTTTTCATTCAATTGAAAGAGTTTTAACTATTATGACATTAAAAAGAAAAGCAAGAAGGAAGAAAATTAACTAGCTTACATATGTCATACCTCACACTTAATCTTCGTAGAAATCACACCATTCAGCACACCCATAAGCAGTGTATGAATTCTACTATTTTTGCCTTTTAAATAGTTATTTATCCAAGTAACAAATACTAAAAAGTTACACTGCATGCTAAAATCCAACCTCAAATTTGGCTTAAATCAAGAAAATATCTAAGAATTTAAATCAGCAAGTTGCAATTTCTCAGATACTGGTTAAGAGAATTCTAAAACAATAGACAAGAAAGTAAACGGATCCTATCTTGATGAGGCACCACTAAGTAACTCCAAAGGTGCTGATGATGAGGTAATGAAGTTGGCAAAAATGCCATTACTTTTATCTAGTTTACAGACTCTCCTTTTTCTCAAGCATCTCTTCTCTCTTTCAATGAAATACGATGTGCTCCAAAAACCTAGGCTATGAAATACGATTCTAACTAAATGAGTCATTTCCATCACCCTACATCACAGAACCTTAGAACAGCCTAAGTAGAAATTGTGCCTCTGACTATAAAAAACATATGGTAGAAAACAGTAAACTTCTAAAAATAAGCAGTCTATATAAATATATGAAAATGTATTTAGGAAAACAGAAAATGACATCTAAGTTGCTTAAGCTCAATGTTTAAGTGCAACTAAATTTTAACATGACATATTTGACAGAAATCTGTCTAATGATCATACTGAAACACATCAACAATATATGAATTACATATATTTATAACCACATTTATCAAAGAAATAAAGCAGAAAATACTGAAGGTTAAAAACAACAAAGTACCAGCCCAGCGCGGTGGCTCACACCTATAATCCCAGCTTGGGAGGCCGAGGTGGGGGGATCACCAGATCAGGAGATTGAGACCATCCAGGCCAACACGGTGAAACCCCGACTCTATTAAAAATACAAAAAAAAAAAAAAATCAGCTGGGTGTGGCGAGGTGTGCCTGTAATCCCAGCTACTCGGGGAGGCTGATGCAGGAGAACTGTTTGAACCCAGGAGGCGGAGGTTGCAGTGAGCTGAGATTGTGCCACTGCACTCCAGCCTAGTGACAGAGCTAGACTTCATCTCAAAAAAAAAAAAAAAGTACCATTACCACAAATAAGCCAGTATGATTATGTGCTTCAGCCTTGTATTGTCACCACTACAGAAAAAGTAAATAATAATATCAACTATTATAATTACAATAATTCAAATATAATTTAAATATCAATTATTAAAAGTAGTAATATCAATTTATAGTTTTAGACCAATTCTAAATTAACTTTAACTTTACATCTACAGTATACTTGTATCGTCTTTAACACCTTTACCATCACTTACACTAATTGGTTTATTTCCAATTTTACAGCTTTACTCTCAACTGTAGTCGTGTCTAATTTTGATTAGCAATAGAAGAACACAACAAACTCCTACTCTCGAAAACTGGGTAAGAGGCAAGAACGGTTAGCTAATTAATAGATGGTACTTGTGCTAACTGTACTGTTTTCAGGACAATGGGTATGCTAATAATACACTGTTTTCACTTAACAGTTTATCTGGCAACTTCGGTCCTTGAGAGCGGATTCCAACTCATTAAAGATATTTACTGAACTGGGCAAAATATTGATCACCATTAAGAATTAGCTCTTCTTCTTAACTAAACACACACAAAAGAGTAAAACAGTCCAGTAAAGCATCAATAGAAGCAAGCGATTAGATATAAAGGGCAGCAGAAGAGGTCTTCCAAATTCATCTGAGTAGGAGGGGCAAGGTTCAAGTGTATCTGGATTTGCATACAATTTTGCTACGTGAATTTGCATTAAAGCAAGAATATACTGCCATAAAGTACTACGACTGATGCCAGCATGCAAAGAGGTAAATGACTATTAACCGTAAAAGAACCACAGTCTCGGGGAGGCTACCTCCTTGTTCCAATGGAGCTTGCTGCTGTGGTTCACAACATGAAAGCCTTTGTAAACGCTAATCCCTCTACTCAGCATGGGCTAGCTCCTTTCTGGACTAAACATTAAACTCACTAGGGAATCCCCACCTAGAGAAGCTCCCTGAATCTTGCATATGCATCTTAGTAGTTATTCTGGCTTGAAAATAGAGGAAGAATGAACTGGAATCAGTTAGGTTTTGGCCAAACAGAACAATAAGGAGGCTGCAGCAACAACTGGAGAGAGAATATCTTTCACAACTAGGGTAGCAGCACTGGAGATGGAGAGAGGCAGACAAATTTGAGTGGTTTAAAAGGTATAAAAGTATAACTCTACAGATCAAATAAGCTGAGATATGTTTTGGGGGAAGGAACTGCCAGATAAAGATCCATTAAGAGTCTCTTCCCTACTCTATTCACTATCTTGCTTTGCTTCTTAAACAGGCACTTAGTGATATTTAAGTAGACAAATTATGTCTGTGAATAAGGACATATTTTGTGTTACCAAATATGGTCATAATGTATGGCTAGGTAGGTACACACTCTCACTATTTTTCAATCCTAGCAAAAAGAGTGATAGATAGGAAACATAATACATAAAGAACATGTAGCACATGTTTATTTTAGATGCTCTTGTTTCCACAAGCACTCATAAACAGAGCCACAATATTTTCAGAAAGAATACGCTTTGCATGGAGTGCAAAAGTCTAAATCTAACTAGTTTATACACTATTAACTAAATTACATGTTGAGGAAAAGTAGCCCACAATATGTGAAAATCTGATACTAACACATTGTACTAAGAACCTTATACTTAATTGGAATAGAAAGCCTGAATCCTCATAGGGCAATCAAAAATTACTTATTATTATTAGTATGCAAATTCAAGTAGTACAAGTACAATATGTTTATAAACCTGAGGTATCCAACTCTGGTTGGAAAGTTCTGTGGTAACAGGAATCATATCTATTTTAATTATCTTTATATTCTAGTGCTTACAAAGTGTTTGAAAATTAATATGCACTCCATAAAGGTCTGTTCAACAAATGCTGTCACTGAGATCACTGGGTCACCATATGTACCTGATCCACTAACAGAGGAAAATTTCTGCCCATAATACAGTTATATAAATACACTGTGACCGATATCATAGAAAAGTCGGGTTGGTTAGTTATTCTAACTGAAATAGGATATAATTATGTGGTGTTAACTGTTCAAGTTTAATTCCATTAAAATTACATTATAAATGAAATGGTGCATCTTTATTTGTAATTAGAAGTAAATAAGTGTGATCATAGCTTTAGATGCCTAACTCACATTCAGTTCAAATATTTGACAAGCATGACCCCTACGCCCTTGTAACTCACCATTTATTAATTGAAAGGGGGGGAAATATTTATACAGCCCATGTGCACATAGATCTGTGATCATTAGTAACCTATTTTTAAAAGTAGAAAAAAGGTTCCCCAAAGTTAGTATAGGGATCATATATTTTCAATTTCCTAAGATAGTCCCAATTTTAAAGAATGTATCATATTTGATGACATGTCATATGGGAATCTGGAATACAGTCACTGCATCCCAAAGGCTCACTGCTTCCCTTCCTCCTTCCCATTCTCCACCCCACAAAGAAAATAAGTAAACATGATTTTAAAATGGTCACTTTTGAAGATAAATAGTAACTATTTTACATAAAAACCTTAGCATTTCCTCCAACAGAAGCAATGTGAAATGGAAGGGGAAAGAAGGCAGGGCACTGAGAACAAACTTCTTTAAACTGTCAATATCAAGTTGGTACTAACAAAGATCATTGCCTTTAAATGTCACACACAGATAATTAATTCTTCCAAATAGATTCAGTCTTATTTTTATTTCACTATTCCTGTTTCACCTTTTTAAGCAAACTAATTTCCAAACATGGCATCTACGGAGCTGGTCATAATGATAAAGGAAACAACTGGTTACTTACAAATGAGAAAATTAAGTATCAGCACACTGAAATGCACACATTTGAACTAGATATTTTACTACTGAACACTGCAGTGATTTATGCTAAAAATGAGCAATGATTTTAAATGTGATGTATTGTGTGTACACCAATAAATTATTTTCTGTTCACTCAATAAATCTGAAAATCCATTAAGAGGCTAGAAGTCTAGCTAGGTTCTCTTGATGGCTAACTGGATTAATGCCAGTATTTCAGTCAGCTGGTTGAGGGATGCTGTATGGTCAAAGTTAGAAGACATACAAAATAAATATTAACTCCACCTAACCAGTTGACAATCCTCAGTGTTAGCTAAGGCCATCTTAAGGAAGAATAAAGCTGGATACATTAAAACTAACAGGTAACCAAACGTGTCATAAAGTTATAATAATTGGAACAGCACAGTATTTGCTGAAGGGTAGGAAAAATAACAGAAGAGAATAAACAAAGTCGAGTAACGACCCACACGTATGTGGTTTACCTGATTTACAACAAAGCTGACACTGCAATGCAATTGAAAAGGATCATCTTTTTAATAAATGGTGCTGACTCTACTAAATCTCATGTGAAAATAAGGTACTGTGACCCCCAACTCACATCCTACACAAAAAGCATTACAGAAAAAATGCAGATCTAAACACAAAAGATAAAACCATAAAGCTTTTACAGAAGAAAATAAAACAGATCATCTCTCAGACATTAGAGTAGGCAAAAATCTTTTTTAACTGTATCCAAAAAGCACTAACCATAAAGAAAAACATGATACACTGGACTATATTAAGACCTAGGCCTCAAAAGACACTTAAAGAAACAAAGATGTAACCCAGACAGCAGGAAAAGATACTCACAATACAAGTATCTGACAAAAAACTAGTAGTCAGAATATAAAAAAGACTCTCACAAACAAGACAAATGACCCAACAGAAAAATGGGCAAAAGGCATAAACAGGCACTTCACAAAAGATACACCCACCAGAAGGACTACGTTAAAAACAATGACATCAAGTGCTGATGAGAATGCAGAGGAGCTTAAACTCTCATTTGTTACTGATACCCTATGATCCAGGGATTCTACTCCAAAGTATACATTCAACAGAATGCTTACGTATGTTTACCAAAAGATATGTTGTAGGATGTTCTCAGGAGTAATATTCGTAAGTCAAAACTGAAAACAATCCAAATGCCCACCAACAGTAGATAAGTTGAGATGCAGTCACATAATGGAATGCTATACAGCAATGAGAATGTATATAATTACATATAATAATATGGATAAATTTTATAGACAATGCTGAGCAAAAGACACCAGAGACAAAAGAATATGTTCTGCGCAATTCCAGCATATAAAATAAGACAGGCAAAAACAAATCCATGCTGTTAGAAGCCTGCATGCTGACAACCCACAAGGACAATCAAGCTTCACTTCTTGATCAGATGCTAGTCACATATATGTTCAGGCTGTGAGAAGTCATAGAGTTGAATATGTATGTTCTATGCACGTACTCAACATGTGTATGATACATGAAAAAGTTTAAAATTTTTAAAAAGGAAAAAAAAGACCGCAATTAATTCTGGTATGGAGGGAGATAAGGTCAGCAGTCAAATTCCTGTCCTTGACCAATCCAAATGACCCTAATTGTGCTATAACTACATGGACATTCTCTCCAATCAGAGGGAGCTCTATGGTTTCAATATAGATTATGTAGCAAGATGAAGCCGGGGACTTAAACTGAGAGAGGATGAAATGACAGTGAGAAATGCTACAGGCTATTTTTGAAAGGCAAGAAACCCTCCAGAAGTAACCAACATCCATCCAATTGGATATCCAGCTGGTCCAATCAAGTCTAAAGGAAATAATTCCAAAAATCTCAGAGACTTCTGGATTTGAAGTCGGATAACATCCCTTGTTAAACTGTAAGAAGAATCCAAATCTCCTGAAAGAATATCATAACGGGCATGTAAATTATCATATCAGTTAGGGATAATGTTTAGATGCATGTAAAAAGAAGTCCAAACTATAGTGGCTTAAGATAGGGCTTTATTTTCCTCACGAAATGTAAGTTCAGAGAGAAGCGCTTGCTGACATTGGTTTGGCAGTTCAAGAACATAAGGGCTAAGACTTCCGCGAATCTCTTAGCCTTTCCCTAAAAGTCTCTAGAATACTGCTACAGCTTGTCATCATGTCTAATTTCTAGGCAGGAGGAAAGAGAAATGGCTAAAAGGGCTTTCCCAAAAGCTTCGTCTAGAAATTTCTGCATACATCTCACTGACCAGGACTAGATCACATGGCTACCTCAGTAGGAAGGGAAGCTAAGACATTGATAGTTTTTAAGCTAGGCACAAAAAGCTTTGTGTTTTGCTTCTAACAAAATTTAAATTCTATTAGAAAGGAAAAGGGAAGAAATGAACCTCAGACAAGTAGGAAAAATCTGCTATACCATGGTGTGCACTTGATAATGTTTACCAATATTGAAATATTTTTTAAGTCTAGCAACTTACAAGTTTGTGACTTATGGCACTAGAAGCAATTCTCTGTGGTACAAGTCTGGGAACTATTTTTCTAAAGCATCTTTCATATTATTTACCACAGGAGGAAAATGTAGAAAAGTTCAGGTACTATAAAAGGCAGGGCACAGTCACCATTTCTTCAGTTAGTAGCTATAGAGCAATGTCAAGACTGTTTTCATTTCAGATCTCAATTTTAGTATTTAAAAAAACAACTACAGCCAGGCATGATGATGCATGCCTATAACCCCAGCTACTCAAAAGGCTAAAGCAGAAGGATCACTTGAGCTCAGGAGTTCAAGTCCAGACTGGGCAACATAACAAAACTTTGTTGCTTAAAAATAAATAATTCATTAATTTTTAAAATTACAGAAAACATTGAATAAGTTTTCTAAATACTCAGTTCTTAGAAGCAGTAAGTTAATAATTAACCAAAAAAAAAAAAAAAACAGAACTTCTTAAATCCTAAACAGAGTACTTACTTCCTGACAAATTTTTTTCAGAATGAACAATGAAATCTCAGTCTACCCCTTCTGACCCAAAGCATTATTTGCTATTCATCCAAATTAACTTAACACTGGCCATTTCATAAAATCAAGTAATGTGGCATTTATCTGATGATATATAGTCATCAGAATGTAAACTTTTACTCTTAGAATAGGTGTGAAAAATGCTATTATTTACCTAATATTTTCCATATTCTTCAGTCTTCTTTATCTTTTCCCTTCATAAAACATGTCAATAAAATGAACAGTTCAAAAAAGTCTTATTTTTGTCTAAAATAGCAATGTAATACATTTCATGTTAAGATTTCTTTAAAGGGAATATTCAATTCACTAATGTTATATGGCAATTTTATAGCACTTTGTCAAATATATGTTCTATGCTGTGCTATGGTTTGTTTTTTCTCTATTAAACAACTATCATATTAAAATCTAAACCAAATTCAACCATCAGAGGAGAGAATTTAATCAAAATAAACCAAAACTAAAACTGAGTAAAAGATACATTGATCAACCCCAGGTGGTTGAGTTTAACTTTCTGAATCTGTGAGCCATTTAAAGATTGTCTCCTCCATCAGGTAAGGCGATCTGATGGCTGCAGACCCCGGTGTTCTGATTCCTTCTCGTTTCCTTTAGACTGGGATCTGAAAGGCAGCCTGCTATCTGCAGCAGTATGTGCCTGCCACGTCCCTCTTTTTAACTTCTTCCAGCTCCGAGCTCCCACTCTATCCACCATTTTCCCTACAGCCAAACTTTCTCCTTCACAGTCACAGTCCCCTTCACCCCAAATCTCTGCCTCCACTAAGGAACTAGCCTCCCAGATAACCCACTCCTGGAGGCCCTAGTTGTCTTAGGCATTTAAGACAGATGCACAAAAAGAGCTTAAAGAACTTCTGCCAGTAAATTATTGTATTTCTTAAGAGTAGCTGATAAATCGAGACTCAAAGCTAAACTTCCTAAATAATTTTTCACAGGACTATGATGAACAAATTCTCCAACTATCAACCAGTTAAGATTTTATTTTAAATTTTTGATAAATCAGTATTTTAACACATACTGGAAAGTTAATAGTCAACCACTTTTCTTATTATAACTACTGTACTAATTTTTCCCATCTTACCCCTATCAGGTACCAAGACAATACAGCTAATGAAATCATAAACTCAATCCCAGTGACTCCAGTTAAGCAATATGATGACAGATTTCTGCACTCTATCATAACCTATGAGCTAAATTATGGTGCTAGCCACTAGTCATAAAGAGAACTACCTAAAAGTATATGAAATAATACGCACAAATGCATTACTGATGGGAAAAAGGAACCACTTCAAAACACATGCACTATGTAATGGCAAATTGGTACATTAACTTCAAATATAAACATCTTCATAATTTATTAATCATGTGTAAGACAGGATATGCAACAATATAAACTAGAACCAGCTTTTTCTCCAAAATGGAAAGATTAGTATTGAATACTCAGCTCTTTCTAAAGACAACAAAACTGAAATAAAGTCGTGTTTGGGCCCAGTTTGAACACTGGCTAGGGCAAATAAGAGAACTATATACAATGGCTGCAAAAGAGATACTGTTATTTATGATATTTTCATACTGAGAGATGTTACTAGTTTTTTGTTAAGCACTTTGGAAGAAAAAAAAGAGTACTGCAAATGCCATTATTCCTCTCTCACACACACACAAAAAAATACTTTTCCTGTACATTTATTACTTCACTCATTCATTTGACAAATACAGGTTTCACTCTCAGAATAATGCCCAACATTTAAGCAATGTAAAAAAAAAAAAAAATAAGCTAAGGAATTAGTGTGACCCAGATATAGAAGCATTTTCCAACCATAGAACTGGAAGATAGCTTTTAATAAGAACATAATAAGAACTGCAGAGGAAGAAACCACAAGCACCTACCAGCCTTGTCAATGCATAAAATGGCAGTAATTAACGTTGCCATTTTTGTAAGTGGAGACAGTATTTTTAATGACTATCACTTTGGGATATGAATATCTAATTAGATTTTGCTATGCAGACATGAGATTCTTCTGAGACCAGTAAGAATTTCTTCCAATTAAGCTTTTTGTTTGTTTTGTTTTTTGTTTTTTTGTTTTTCTGGAGTAGGGTCATTCAACAATTCTGTAGAAAACAAGGAGAAAGCATATCCCAAGTCTACTGGCAGCTTTTCCCATTCTCAAACAATCCCTTGTTCAGATGCACAGCCACAGAAGTTCAAAGGTCACTGGCATCTTTGTGCTCAGTTCCATGGTAGTTACAAACAAACTTTTGTCTCCATTCCTTCAATGAAATGGGCTGCAACAACTCACTGATTGAACTTTTACATCTGAGACCGGCATGAGCATTACACAACTGAAGAGCCATAGTATTTCATTTACACTTCAACCATAAATTATTAAACCTCCTTTGTGAAATAAAACAATTTGTTTACGTGGGCATAAAAAACTGATAATTCTAGTCAAACACAAATAACATCACTGGCGGCAATGGTCTTATGATTTCTTATCATAATTATCATACCTCTGATAACATTGTTTTGAAAGCTTTTGTTGACTGTTCTTCAGGGTTTTTCTCACCCTGTCTCTATCTTAAATCATGAAAGATAAAAAGTGAATAAATTTATTACGGGCTTTCATACAGAGTTATAAACTAAAACTTCTTTCTTAAAATGTGATAATAAATATATTTAAATAAGAAATCTCAGTTGTGACATTTATTTTCAAATAGAAAAAAGTCTTAAAAAATAAGCTCCTCATTCTGTAACTGCGAAACACCTTAGTATGATCATGTAAAATATAATATTGTCTTTATCTATATACTTTAATAACTCTTTAAACATAAAAATCAAACATTTAACTGTTTAAGCTGTCTACCTTAAAGCATCCGTTTTAAAAATAAATTCCTACTACTTTCTTGCGCTAAAGGCAACCTCCAAAATCTTAGCACAATAAAATATGTTACAGCTGAGCAATCAAAAAATAATTACTCCCAAAAATATTAGCCAATAATTAATCTAAAAAGGGTTACATAAGCATCTCTGAAATAACTTTTTTAGCAGCTAGGCTGCAAACTCCTACATGAACACAAACCAACTGAATCATGATGCTGAAAGGATCAAACAACTTTGCCAGAACAAAGATAAGAAACAGTTTCCTCCAAACAGAAAACTTTCCATAACTATTTCTAAATAAGGCAAACACTTCTAGAAAGCTGAAAATACTACTTAAAATATCCTGAGCCACCACAGGGTGCTAAACGCCACACTCCTCAGAAAAAAAAATGGGTCCAATCTCCTATTTTTTTTTTAACTTTAATGAGCTTAGAGTGGAGAGAAACACAGCTGAAAGCAGCAAAAAGGAAATAAAAGATCACAGGAATTCAGAAATATTGTTGAAATTGGTATAAAGTGGCTCGGATTAGGTTAAATAAAAGAAAAATGGTCTAAAGGAAAAAAGGAAAAGTTATTCCAGATTTTTTCACATAAAATCAAGTAACTCAGAAATGTTTCCAAACCACTGGTGCCATTATAGATTCAGTTAAACAAGAATTTATTTTTTTCTGCTTTTACTAAAATCCATAATCCTGAAACACTAAGAATATCATAATATTTTACATACCACTAATCTGGGTAAGCCTAATCCAAAGGATTTCTAAAACTTTTCTCCTGTTTTAGACTTCCCCTCCTATCTTTCAAGAGGTCAGCCTAGATGGAATAGGTCCGGTTACATTAATTCAGTTGTCTATGTGTGCAAGCCTGGCCCCCATTTCGACTAGACAGAAATGCTAAAAGAAAGCCAGTAAAAACCAAGCATTTTTTGTTTCCACCTCTCTTCTGTGTTAAACAACTTGGTGCTGAGGAATTCACCAGAGTTTTCAGGAAATACTCTTAAGTAAATAAATGGATGAAAACTGCTTCTTATTGGGAGCAAACAGCTGAAAAGGCAATTTGTTCTGTTAATCAAAGGTAATTTTGACTTAAACATCTCAGTAAATGATCCCTATATTAATGGTGCAACTGTTAAAAAAGGAAACCAAAACATATTAGAATCTTATTTGGCAATAAAATGCAATAGTATATAGAAATCCCTTTGTTGCTGTAACAAGAAAAAAATCTTCAAGTTCTGATGATTTTTACAGCTAAACTTAGAGATGTTTATGTTTAGCGATTACCATAACACCAAATGACACATGAAGGTGGAGTTTTATATACACAGGGAAATAATGTCTGCCTTTTAAAACACACAAATTAAGAGAAAATACGGAAACCTGACAAAATGTTCACGAACAATATTTACTTATGAAAGAATAAACCTGGCATGCCAGACTAATAAAATAGAATTAAAATAGATCTTGCAAACTTTTAATTTTTCCTCATGCGCCAAAAAAAAAGTCTGTATTATCTTCAAATCATTCTGTCTCTCATGTTTTTTTAATTCCTAACAATATAAATGGCATAAAGGAAGCCCCTAATTTTTATTCCCCACAAAACCACTTCTAATAGGTAGTAAATATCTACTGAATTAATGTTGATATATTCATTTAACCCACCTTACAAATAAACAGCTTTAAATATAGCAAAAGCTACTTTTTTTTTTTTTTGAGATGGAGCCCTTGTCTGTCGCTCAGACTATAGTGCAGTGGCGCAATCTTGGCTCACCGCAGCCTCCACCTTCTGGGTTCAAGCGATTCTTATGTCTCAGCCTCCCTAGTAGCTGGGATTACAGGCATATGCCACCATACCTGGCTAATTTTTGTATTTTTTTTAGTAGACAGGGTTTCACCAGGGGGTTTCACATGTCGGCCAAGCTGGTCTCAAACTCCTGACCTCCAGTGATCTGCCTGCCTTGGCCTCCCAAAGTGCTGGGATTACAGACACGGGCCACCAGGCCCAGCCCAAAACTACTATTTTAAAACCATTTCAAAGTCGTTTTATAAGGCCTGGCAGAACTACAAAAATCCTGGGAGAAGACTGCAACACACCAAAAAAAAAACCTCACAACCCTAAAAACCTTCACTTTATTTTACTGTACCAAATATAAATTACTTCAAGGTTAACGAATTCTTTTTAAAAATATGTTAATATTGTCTATCAGTCACACCTCAATGTCAATCACCTCCTCTATAAAATTAGTATGAGTACTAGTATATATAGTCAAATGATTTTCTACAGGAGTGTGAAGACCATTTAACTGGGAAAGGACAGTCTTCAACAAACGGTTCTGAGAAACCTGGATATTCACACACAAAAAATGAAATTAGAGTCTTACCTTATACCATATACAAAAATTAACTCAAAGTGGATCAACGATCTAAACATAAGAGCTATGGAAGTCTTAGAAGAAAACATAGGAGGGAAATGTCATAACACTGGATTTGGCAATAATTTTTTGGACATGACACCAAAAGCACAGGCAATAGGAAAAATAAACTAGACAACATTAATATTAAAATGTTTGTATATCAAAGGACACTATCAACAGAATGAAAAGGCAATCCACAGAATGGGAGAAAGTATTTGAAATTTTATACCTGTTAAAAGGACTGATATCTAAAATATGTAAAGAACTCCTACAACTCAACAACAAAAAAAACTATTTTAAAATGAGCAAAGGCCTTGAACACACATTTCTTCAATGATGACATACAAGTGGCCAACAAGCATATGAAAAAATGCTCACCATCACTATCATTAGGGAAAGGCAAACCAAACCATGATAAGATATCACCTTACCCATTAAAATGGCTACTGGCAAAAAAAAGGAGGAGGAGGAGAAGGAGGAAGAGGAGGAGAAGGAGGAGGAAAATGGGGAGCGGGGAGAGGGGGAGGGGAGAGGGAGGGGGAGGAGAAAGAAGGAAGAAGGAAGGAGGAGGAGGAAGAAAAGAAAGAGAAAAAGAAAGAGGAAAGAGGAAAGGAAAGGAAAGGAGAAAGAAAACAAGCGTGGCCAAGGATGTGAAGAAACTGGAACCTTTGAGCACTCTTGATGAGAATATAAAATGGTACAGCTGCAATGGAAAAAGGGTATGGCTGTTTCTCAGAAAGTGTAAAAATATAATTACCATGTGATCCAGCAATTCCACTTCTGGATGTATACTCCAAAAAACTGAAAACAGGAACTCAAAGAGGTATTTGCATACTCATGTTCATAGCAGCACTATTCAAAATAGTCAAGAGGTGGAAGCAACTCAAGCATCCACTGACAATTAATGGATAAGCAATATGTGGTATGGACACACAATGGAATAGTATTCACCCTTAAAAAAGAAGGAAATCCTTCCGCATGCTACAACATAGATGAACCTTGAGGACATTATGCTAAGTGAAATAAGCCAGTCACATAAAGACAAATATTGTACAGTATAATCCCATGTATATGGGGTATCTAAAGTAGCCAAAATCATGGAAACAGAAAGTAGAATGTGGTTACTGGGCCTGGGAGAAGGGGAAAATGGCAAGTTGTTTCACAGTCATAGAGTTTTAGTTTTGCAAGATGAAAACATTCTGGAGATCTATTGCACAATAATGTGAATATATTCACACTACTAAACTGCACACCTAAAAAATGGCTAAGATAGCGAATTTTATTTTATGTATATTTTACTGCAATAAAAATATCACTATAAGTAACTACCTCATGGGGGCACTTGTGATGATTAAATCAGATAATACATGTAAGGGGCTTAGAAGAGTTCGTAGCATGTCCATAACAATTAAACAGTTAGCAATAACAGTAGCTGTTGGTAATATTAATAGGACAGATGTTTATCATTTGGTGAAACAGAATCCTGAGTTAAGAAGGATTCTAAAAAGGCTCTCCTTGAAGCTCAAGCAAGAGAGTTGAATAGAACCATAGGAGACAGAGAACTTTTGATGGTTCTTGATAGTTTAGAATGACACACTGAAACAAGTTTAAGGAGGTGGGCACGGTAATCTAGATCAAAGGGACATAAAATCAGGTCTGGGAAGGTACTGAAAAGAAATTGGGAAAACTGCTATAATGAGGTTCTGATCATGCCTTGGAACTCAAAAACAGGTGAAAACACAAAGAACCTGTATGAGAATACTGAGCAACCATTCCTTCAAATCTGTGCTCTAATCAATCAACACAACTCTTCATAAGAGTAGGTGGGTTAGCAAGCCAGTACATGAAAGCCAGCTTAACTGCCCATGTCTCACAACCTTTTCCTATTGAAAGTTATCATAAAAATCAGCATGAAAACCTAAAAAGCCTAACCTTCACCATTCAGAAAGTCTCTAACATAAAATCCCTGATTCTCTAGAAACAACACAGAATACAAATGGATAAACATCTTGCTCTACACTCACTGTCAACCTGTTTCCAAACTGGGAGGGAAGTGGACAAATTAAGAATATAAACTATGGAGGCACAAGTAGTTCATGTCTCTCGTGCATTCTAGTACCTATCATCACGGTAAAGAGCTAAAACTGCAAACACAAACGCACTCAAAGTAAAACCTTGACTACTCAGAACTCTTACAGCAGGGTTTCTCAACCTTGGCGCTACTGACATTCTTGACCAGATGGTAATTCTCTGTTGGGAGAGAAGAGAGAGAGGTTGTCCTGTGCAGGAGTAATAGCAAAGAATCTGTTACTCTAAATGTTAAGAATATAAATGTGGAAAACATCCCCTTCTCAACCCGAGTTAAGTGTTCAGAAATCACTTCACATTATTTACAAAGTAGTACTGAGGAAAACACAGGCACTTGAAGGGCAAAAAGACCTGGATTTAAAGTATGAATCAATCCCCCACATAGTTGAGTAAACCTGATCAAGTGACCACAATTTCTGAGGCCCAGTTCCCTTCTATGATAGTACTACTACTAGAGTTACTGGGAGGTTTCAATAAAATAACACTCCTTAAGATCAGTACAAAGTAGGCATTAGATAAAAAAACAAGTGAATTTACATGTAAGCACCAGAACTTTAACTGTTTTACAACAGGAATATTTCTAAAATGTACTGCACACTTTCCTGTCTTATGTAATCTAACCTTATATAAATGAGTTTGAGGTGACCATTTCACACATTTCACACAAACATTACTGTAGTAACTAAATATAATACTAATCTAAAGAAGAGAGCTATAAAAAATGAGTAACACATAAAATCCAGTTTCAAGATGCTCCATCAATTGGTTGAATCTCATAAAAATAATTCTGTTTAGTAGGGATTAAACATAAAACTGAATATTTAGATTAAAAAATAACAATAAAAGGAAAACAATGTAACAAAATTTGGGAGAGAAAAGCTCTAAAAAATGTAATTTCCTACAAGCCCTAGATGAATAAGAGTGACAAGTTATCCCAAAAAAAGGTACACGGAACACAATTTGGGTTAGTAGAGAGAAATACCAAAATAAGTCATAAAAACGGAGTTCTAGTTTCAACTGGCCTACTTGAGTAAGAAAATGTCACTAGATAAGTGACTTAACCTGGATCTATTTCCCTACTAATAAGAAGGGCACAAAACCTACTGTGACACCTCTTACTCTTTCAGGTGGACCAAGTGATAATGTTCATTAAAATATATATATATATGCTCCTAAACCTGCCCATAAAGCACCTGATACTGGTAGCATAGTAGCACTGGTACAGGCACCCTGGGGTAAATAGGTCATCCTGCTGGAAAAGTGATCAGCCTAGAAGCTCTTGCCACTCTACCCCTGACAATCCTGGGAACTAAGGGAATCAGTATTTCTGGCCCATCTGTAACACATTCAGAGAACTGCTGGCACACTGGTTAGGAAGCTCTAACTAAAACATCACATCTAATTTGAGGCACCATAAGAGAGATTGTACCATTTTCCACAATAACCAACTCTAGCAATAGGACCAAAACCAGAGTTTTACTTGCATAGAACAGTACTGCTTAGACCTAAACAATGGCACCCATCCTGGGCCTCAAGCTTTAGAGGGCCTTGCACTGGCCTTCCTCTAACCATACCCCTGACCATGGGGCCAGCTATGCTAAGGGCCTAAAGGATGTGCCCATCTGCAGCCTACGTGCCCCAGCCCTCATCTTGACCGGGACCCCAAAATCTCCCACCTCTTCCAGGGTCTGCTCAGGCCTCTCCCCTGAGTCAGTTCTCCTAAGGACAGATGACCCAACCAACAGTATTTACAACCCTAGGCCAAAGAATGGCCAAAGAGCTGCTGTTTGGAGGGTGTACAGGCTGGAGTTCCACAGACACGCACATGCAAACTTCATAGTTCAAGGAGCCTGGGGAAGAGAAGAAGACCTCAGGTCAGAGGCTGACTCTCTGCACCTCAGCTTGTTCTAAAAACAAACTCAGAGTTGGGAGGCCAAGGAGGGTAGATGACTTGAGATCAGGAGTTCGAGACCAACCTGGCCAACATGGTGAAACCCCGTCTCTCTAACAAAAATGTAAAAATTAACGGGGCATGATGGCACATACCTGTGGTCCCTCAGCTACTCAGGAGGTTGAGGCAGGAAAATCACTTGAACCTGGGAGGCGGAGGTTTCAGTAAGCCAAGATCATGCCACTGCACTCCGCTCCAGCCTGGGCAACAAAGCAAGACTCTGTCTCAAAAACAAAACAAAAAAACAAACTCAGAGGAATCTGAATTCTCTGACTCTGATCTAGGTTATTATGAAGTTTTATTTGATAAAGTCAGCAAATGGAACATTTTCTATTTATCAGTTAACTTGACTGATAATTTGTATAGACATATGTTTCGAGACCCCGTCTCAAAAACAAAACAAAAAAAACAAACTCAGAGGAATCTGAATTCTCTGTTTGACTCTGATCTAGGTTACTATGGAGTTTTATTTGATAAAATCAGCAATGGAACATTTTCTATTTATCAGTTAACTTGATTCATAACTTGCATAGACATATGAACCTCGTCTTAGTCCGTTTAGTACTGCCATAAAGGAACACCTGAAATTGGGTAATTTATAAAGAAGGTTTATTTGGTGCACAATTCTGCCAGCTGGAAGGTTAGGCATCTGGTGAAAGCTTCAGGCTGCTTCTACTCATGGCAGAAGGCAAAGGGGAGCCAGCATGTGCAGAGATCACATGGTGAGAGAGGAAGCAAGTGGAGGGAGGTACCAGGCTCTTTTCCACAACCAGCTCTCTGTGGGGAACTAACGGAGGGACAGCTCGCTCACTCACCCCCCACCCACGGAAGGCATTAATGTAGACAGGAAGGCTCCACTCTCATGACCCAAAAACCTCCTATTAGGCCCCAACTTCAATGCTGAGGATCAAATTTCAACATTAGGTTTGGAGGGGTCAAATATCCAAACCATAGCAGATCTGCAATTTGTATCCCTACCCCGAGTCCCAAAAATGTTAGGGATGGGCCTGAAAAATAATCTAAAAACCTTGTCCTATGAGGAATAGTTGAAGAAAATGAATCCATTGAGCCTAGAAAGAGAAAAGACTGGTGGGAAGATAAAAGAACTAGCCATTTTTCACAGACAGCTAAAGAGCTATCATGTGAAAAATAAAGCAGATCTGTGTGGAGTCAGAAATGCATGGAGTAGTGTTCCAATTTCATAGAATGAGATACATTTCCTAACAATAAGAACTCTTTTTAAAAAGTTAATCGGTCATGTGAATAACTGAGTTTTCAGACAGTAAAAATAAAGAAGCAGAGGGTAAGTACCTCCCAAGGATAATGTAGAAGGAATTCTGATATTAGAGAAAGGCAGATGGCATATTCCCTGGGGGCCTATATAGCGGCAATATGAAGATATAGCTCTATATGCAGAGACTAGTGGTATGAGACACAGGCAAAACCAAAGTTACACCCTGAAGTAACCTTTCTTTCTTTAAAAGTTCCTGTCATCTTGCTCTTTCGTTATTTGCCTCCTCACCAAAAAAAAAAAAAAAAAAAAAAAAAAAAAAAGGTGAATTCCTCCATTCTTCAAAATTAGTTACTAAATAGAAGACCAAAGCAGCCTTGTCTCAATGGATTTTTCACCCTCCAGCAAATCACAACTTTCTCTACTGCTACCAGCTGGATCCTGTGACTTCTCATTATTGCTGAAAACCCTGCTCCATTTCTAAAAGTGACTCTAGCACCTCTCTATCATCAACAAATGTTTATTAAGTAGGAATGCTAGAGATACAGCAGGAGCCTAGACAAAGCCCTCACCCCTTGAGTAGCTCAGAGAGAGGGGGGTTATAAATTAAACACATGGCCGGGCACAGTGGCTCATGCCTATAATCCCAGAGCTTTGGAAGGCCAATGCAGTTGAATCACTTGAGTCCAGGAGTTCGAGACCAGCCTGGGCAACACGGTGAAACCCCATCTCTATTTAAAAATACAAAAATTAGCCAGACGTGGTGGTGCACACCTGTAATTCCAGCTACTTGGGGGCTAAGGTGGGAGGACTGCTTGAGCCCAGTAAGTCGAGGCTTCAGTGAGCTGAGATCGCACCACTGCACTCCAGCCTGGGTGACAAAATGAGGCCCTCTCTCGAAAAATAAATTAATTAATTAATTAAACAAATAAGCAAATAATAAATGAATATGAAGAAGACAAAATGGGATGATATAAAAGAAAGAGGTGGGGGTGCTACATATACAGGTAATCATGATGGTCTCTCTGGGAGAGGACGAAGGCAGCCATGACGAGACTTAAAAGAAGTACATGGCCAGGCGCCATAACTCACGCCTATAATCCCAACACTTTGAGAGGCTGAGGCAGGTGGATCCTTTGAACCCAAGAGTTTGACACCAGCCTGGACAACATAGAGAGACTTCGTCTCTACAAAAATTACAAAAATTAGCCCGGCACAGTGGCACGCACCTATAGTCTTAGCTCCTTGGAAGGCTGACGTAGGAGGATCACCTGAGCCCAGGAGTTCGAGGTTACAACGAGCTATGATCACTCCATCCTGGGTGACAGAGTAAAACCCTGTCTCTAAAAAAAATTAAAAATAAGTCATTTTAAGTAAAAGGAACAGCAAACACAAATCCCTAAGACAGAACGTGCTTTTATTCAAAGGGAAGAAACAATGTCATATACCACACACCCATAAGTATGGCCAAAATTTAAAACACTGACAACACCAAATGTGGACAAGGATGTGGGACAACAGGAACTCTCATTCACTATTGGTGAGGTTGTAAAATGGCACAGCCACTTGGGAAGACAGTGTTGCAGTTTCTTGCAAAACTAAACTTATTCTTAACATATGATCCCGCAATCGCATGCTTAGGTATTTACACAAGATGAAAACTTACTTATTAAAAAAAAAAAACCACACCCAGATGCTTGTAGCAACTTTATCCAGAGCTGCCAAAACTTAGGAGCAACTAGGATGTCCTTCAGCAGGTGAATGAATAAATAAACTGTAGTATATCCAGACAATGGAATATTACTCAGCAATAAAAAAGAAATGAACAATCAAGCCACGAAAAGACAGGGAAGAAACTTAAATGTTTATCCTAAGTGAAAGAAGCTAGTCTGAAGAGGCTACATACTCTATGATTCTAACTATATGACATTCTGGAAAAGGCAAAAGTATGGAAACAGTAAAAAGGCTGGTGGTTGACAGGGGCTGGGGAGAGGGAGGGATGAATAGCCAAATCACAGATGATTTTCAGCAGAGTCAAACTACTCTATAAGATACTATGATGTGGATACATGTCATTATTAATTTGTCCAAATCCATAGAAGGTACAACACCAAGAGTCAGTCTTTTTTTTTTTTCTCCTCTCAGAACAAGTGGGAAAAATGAGTGAATCCTAATGTAACCTATGGACTTCGGGTGATAATGATGTTTCAATGTAGGCTCATCAACTGTAACAAATATGCGACTCTGATGTGGGATGCTGATAATGGGGGAAGCTGCATATGTGTAAAGACAAGGGGTATACAGGAAACTTCTGCACCTTTAGCTCGGTTTTGCTGTGAACGTAAAAATAGTCTACTTAAAAAAAAAAAGGAACATCACTGAGACTGTGGCTCAGTGAACAAAGAAGAAAAGAAGAGAGAGCAGAAGATGAGAGCAGAGAAGCAGCCAGGAGCCATATCACACATTACAAACATTTTGGACCACATAATTTTTTGCTGCTGGGAGTTGTCCTGTGCATTACTGGATGTTGGATGTTTAGCAGCCACTTTGGCCTCTACCCACTAGATGCCAGTGGCAACCTACCCCAATTTGTGACAACCAAGAATGTCTCCAGACATCACCTGAGGGGAAAATCTTCCCTGGTTAAGAACCACTGATATGGAGCCTCATAAGCGACCAAAATGAAGGGTTTATTTCCACGGTAAAATGTTAAGTTTTTGTTTTAGCATTAAGTATATTGGAAAGCCAGTAAGCAGAATGATACGATCTGATTAACGTTTAACATTATTTTGGCTCCCGTGTATGGTAAGAATGAGGGGAAGGACAAGGACAGGAGTAGAAGCAGGGAAGTCTGCTGGCAGTTTGCCAGACGACAAAGCCTACTAGCCTAGCCTAGCCTAGGTTTTTGCCAGTGAAAAAAGTGAGATGTAGTCAGGTTCGGTTTATATTATAAAGGTGGAGGTGACCAGACTTAACATGAGATGAGGAGGAAAAAAAGAAATCAAGGAGGAGGAAGAATCCGGGGTTCTGGCCTGCGCAAGTGGTGGATGATGATGCCACTTACTGAGATGGTAAAGACTTGGGGGAGGTAGAGGAAGAAGTCACCAACAGGAAGAGTAATTCATAGCCCTCCTTTGTTCATGCTGCCTTTGAGGTATCCATTAGACATCCAAGGAGAGGCATGGAGTTACAAGAGTCTAGAGCGCAAGGGGGAAAAAAGTCAGTACTAGAAATAAGAATTTGAGCCTCATCGGCATATAAATGGTATTTGAAACCAAAAATTGGATGAAATCACCTGAGGGACATTCCAAATTTTCAAGGAGTGGGAAAGTAGAGATAAACTGGCAAAAGCATATAGAAAATGAGAATGAACAACTAAGAGGTCAAAACTAGTAAAGTTGGCCACTGTGAAATGCTGGTGAGAGAGGTCAAATAAGATACAAACATTGAACTGACCACTAGCTTTGGCAAGATCCAGGTCACTGCAGTCTTGATTAAAAACAATTTCATTGGAGTGCAATTAAAAAAAGAAATCAAGGATAAGGATGACTCCAGGGGTTCTGGCCTGCACAAGTGGTGGCTGATGATGCCACTTACTGAAATGGTAAAGACTTGGGGGAGAGAGAGGAAGAAGTCACTGGCAGGAAGAGTAATTCATATGATGAGCTCAAATGATCAGGCTAAAGAATCACTGGTGAAGAAGAAGGTACAGCAAATATAAACAACTCTTGAAATTTCTGCTGCAAAAGGAAACAAAAAAAGGACAATAAATGTAAATGAAGGGGATCCCAAGGTAAAGGTGGTTTAAAAGGTGTGATTTATTCATTTAAGGCATCAGTAGCTCAAGAGATAAAACTTTATTCCTCTCTCACCTAACCACCCAAAGATAAATGAGAAGTACAAGGCTAGGAGGCAGTTCTGCTCCACAAGATCATCTAAAAATCCATCTTATTCATCCATCCCCCGCTAAGGTATTGCCCTCACCTTTGCAGGTTGAATAATATGCCCCATCAGTGCATTAACATCCTACACTCTCATCTGCAAAAGGGGATAAAGAGAAAATAGAAAACGATTAGCTTCCTTTCTAAGGCTACAACCCAGAAATCACACATACCACTTATGTCCACATCCATTTAGCCAGAATTTAGTCCACATCCAACTATAAAAGAGAAGCTAGGAAATGCAGTTTCTAGCTGGGCCAACATGTGCCCAGATAAACCCTGAGGATCCTATATACTAAAAGGAAGCCACAGAGAATGGCATTGGGTAGACAACTAGCTATCACTGCTGCAAGTAACAAAAGGCATGGATGCTAACTGAAAGAGGATTCAGTAAAGAGAGAATGATATCTTAGGAAAGAAAACTGCTAGAATAGAAGACCTGTAGGCAAGAAGAAATGAGATCCAGGCACAAATGTACTGCCTCAGGAACAAGCTCACTTTGGTCTCTTGTCACTTCTCGCACGCTTTATTTTTCAGAAGGGTTATCCGTTGATTGCATTTCTAGTAAATTAAAGTAAACCTTTCCTTCCATCTACTAAATCAATTACGCAGAATGTGTGTAAAAATCTGGCTTTAATTGAGCAGTTCTTACTTGGGTTGTCTACCAACAGGTTGATTCAGAGCTGCTGCTTCTCCATCAAAGACAGAATGACCAAATTTCAGAGTTGGAGGGAGTCTACAAAGCCCATTTTACATGTTCAAGGTCACAAGGCTACAAAGTATCCTCTCCAATAGTACATCACAAGTCCTCAAACTGCCAGATCATTCCACTATCTCCTTGCTTACTTATAATATTCCTTTTCATAAAATAGTTTGTCTCCCCATGAAATGAACACCTCCTGAGGGCAAAGACTCAATGACACCTTCTTACCTATCTATCTTCCACTGCTTGAAGCATGGCAGGAGACACACAGATGTACTCAGTGGATACTTGTCAGTTCACAGATACAAAGAGATGTGGTTTCCCTTATCCTACTGTGTCAGGATTGCTATTCCTACTTAATCTGGAGGGCCACTGAATATAAAACAAGAAGGAAGGTCTGTCAGATTCTCCTTAGGTAGGTCAATGGAAACTGGACCTTTGGAGACAGAAATTACTTGTCCAAAGTCACAAGCTGTTTACAACAGAGCCAAGACAAACATCCAGGTCCTCTTGACTCCAGGTTCAAAACTCATTTTCCTGTTAAAAGTTGCTTCACTTTTTTGGTCTGTGTTTGATATCCTGGGTAATTACTGAACTTCACATGATATATTCTGCACAGCTACTGAAGATGCTACTCATCTTAAGAGTCCTTCAACCACCTATATTTCTCCAATGAAAGGAGGAACAGGAATTACTGTTTCCATGCTACACACAGGGAATAAAAGCAGTGGAGTCAAATGGCTTGCTTCACATCACAAGGCTGAAATCCAAATAAGGATTTTACTATTTTTAGGGCAAACTGATAGAATTTTCTAGAAGATTCTCTCCTAGAGTATGATGCTTATCTTTTCAAACAGAGACAAATTGGACATAACATTTCCATAATGAATGGTTCACACATGCTTTTCCTCTCAATGCTTTCCATCTCCACAGCCTCCAATATTATGTATATTATAATCCAGGATATAAAATAAAATAGTAAATAGATACATAGCCGGAAGCAAAAAAAAAAAAACAACTGTGTTTTGAAAGCCAGAATTTTACTTCTATTCTGAACATTCAGATTCATGTTTTTCTCATGAGAAATTAAACCAAACACCCATTTCTCACTTCCTCTTACTTGTCCTACAACAATCTCCTTTAAATACAAGACTAGCCCTCCCTTGTCCAGTAAAACTGAAAATATCTACTTTATAAAATCCTTACACTTTACTACCTTGGGGAATATTCCTGCTCAAGCTTCATCTCTCCAGATAGGAAACGTCTGGTTTGGTTTGTTTTTTAACCTCAAGAGAAAACTCTGTCGCATCTCATCTTCTTTAGGTCTACTTTTTTTGAGGTGCTATAATCAGAACACCTTTCCAGGTGCTGTTCCCTGGTTTTGTGGAAGAGCCCTTCTGCCTCCATCTCACTGTTCCACCGAGGACAGCGTGGGAACATCAGTGCCCTCCCCTGTCTCCTCTGGATCATCTCACTTCACTGAAGCATCAGCTAAGGCCAAGAAACTGTACAGTTTGTAGAACTGCAAGAGCCACAATGACCCCAATTCTATTTTGTTTAACTCAGAACAATGGCCTTTTTTATTTGCTCACTCTTAGTTTGAGATTAATGTTAATAAACCAGCATTTGAAGTTGAGAGGCACACCAAATTTCTCAACTGTAAGATAATTTAAATCAAATACTTCAAAAAGCAGTGTAATATAAAAGTCTCTGGATAGTAAACTAGATCTATTTAGAAAAAAAAAATTAGCTTTTATTATTTCAACTCTGAGAAGCATGCCATAAAGATGTTAATGCAAATCATAAGGAAGACTTTAGAGTACATATACATATGGGGAAAATTATCCAACCCTGGCCTAATCAAAACCGACTTTTCTCATTCATCTTTCTAAAAAAAAAAAAAAGCCAGTACCAGTACCAAAATAGAAGTGGTATTTAAATCCAATTTATAAACTTAAGAACATTATCGGGAAATTATCAAGAATCAGGATCTATAAAAAACAGAAGTATCTTTCCACCCATTCTTAATGATCTGAAGTCAGCAAGTGATTAATAAAAATACACTACAGCATACAGGAAATTTCTCAAGTTATTCCGCTTATCAGCTGTTAACTAAGTTTCAGCAAAGGAGAAAATTCTATAGCAAACAGCATAACACTCAGGAAAATAACTCTATAATCTGGAGGTGATGGTAATATAAAATATTTTAGGCATACTTTCAGGTTAGAGTTTCTAATCATCATCATCTATCACTTACTGAGTGCTTACTGTATGTCAGAGATTGTGTTAAGCCTTAATATGTACCATTTCATTTAATCCTCACTACAACCTTCCAAGGTAGATACTACTGATATTCCCTGGTCACAAAGGAAATCTCTGAGGTCCCACGACATTAATTAGTTTGTCCAGGATCAATGTTTATAAATATCATAGCTGGTATGTGAACTCAAGTCTATCTGGCTCCAAAACAAAAATTAGTACCTTTCCAGGATTCTTAACCTTATAATGGCTATGATAGGAAATAGCACATATGCTAATTAAAGTAAAAAAAAAAGTTAAGTCCTAAATCGGGGGTTGGAAAACTTTTCTTTTAAAGAACCAGATAATAAATACTTGAGGCTCTGCAGGCCGAGCTATGAAAGTACTCCACTCTGCTGCTGCACTGCCAAAGTAGCCACAGACCCAAGAATGAACGACTGTGTTCCTACAAAACTTTACTGAAGGACACTGACATTTGCGTTTTATATCATTCTCATGACATGAAATTTTATCCTTCTTTGGATTGTTTTCAACCATTTAAAAATATAAAAATCATTCTTAGCCATGGGCCAGATATGGCCTGCAGGCTACAGTTTGCCCATCCCTTCCCTAAATAATGCAGACAAATTTAAAATATTTTTTACTAAACAGTTCTTACAAATCATTAACTTGTAACCTCCTTTGGTATTGTGAACTGATACTTTAAAGAAGTTCAAAGTCTTGTCCAGCCTTGGCACAGGCCAGTAGTCCCAGCTGCTCAGGAGGGCAACGCAGGAAGATCGCTTCAGCCCAGAATTTGGAGGCCAGCCTGTGCAACATAGCATGACCCTGACTCTATTAAATTTTAAAAAGCAGCAGCAGCAGTAGCTCACAGTCTCAATAAATTTGATCTGTCTCCAAGTAATTGAAAATTCCAGAGAGTTCAAAATTGCAAGTACTACCGGTGGATTTTCTAAATAAGACAGAGCACAGAATTTTGGAACTAGAAGAAATCTAACACGTTCTCATTCCTTATCTGTTTTTGTTGTTGTTGTTGTTGTTTTGAGACAGGATCTCACTCTGTTGACCAGGCTCAAGGGCAGTGGCACAATGATAGCTCACTGTAACCCCTAATTCCTGGGCTCAAGTGATCCTTCCATCTCAACCTCCCGAGTAGCCAGGACTACAGGTGTGTGCCACTACACTCAGCTAATGGTTTTTATTTGATTTTCTGTAAAGACTGGGCCTCTCTATGCTGCCCAGACTGGTCTCAAACTCCTGGCCTCAAGGGATCCTCCCACCTCTGCCTGCCAAAGCATTTGATTAGAGGTGTAAGCCACCCTGCCCAGCCTTTATATGCATGTTTTTTAAATTTCTGTTACAACATTTAAAAGAGTTTGCTAGGCCAATTTACCAGGTAACATAGGTTAGTAACTAAGTTTATACGTAATGACAATACTTTACATATTTAAAAACAGTTCTGCAGAGCATTTTCATATCCTTTCTATCATCTGATCCTTCACAGCTCTGTAAGAAAAACAATGCAAGCCTTCTGATCCCTATTTTATAAAATGCAAACAAGCTCAGAAATGTAAATAACTTGTCCAAGGAAGGTACGCTGTCACACAGCTACTATGGGGCAGAACTGCAACCACAACCTAACTTCAAGTCCTTGCTGCCTCCTGACTACTTCCATGGACATTGGACTTCACAATCATGGGTTAAATCCGAAAAATTCTCAAGAATATTAGTCTTACTCTTTAAAAGTTCAACTATGTTAAGTTCCTTTTTGTTTCATTCTTCTGCTACCACAGCCTTATGAAGAAAACAGATGCCTAGTCCTTAACATTTATTACATGCGTCTACGATCAACATACAGTGTGCAGATAATATACTCAGGTCAGCTTGGGAAGGAAAACACTTGAAT
The DNA here is from genome assembly GCF_000001405.40 of Homo sapiens. Classification (NCBI taxonomy): domain Eukaryota; kingdom Metazoa; phylum Chordata; class Mammalia; order Primates; family Hominidae; genus Homo; species Homo sapiens. Next base: position 129,277,182 of record NC_000011.10, read on the forward strand.
AAGTCAAGAGAGAACAAGCAACAATAAAAACATCGTTTATATAGCACCGAGAGAGAGAGAAAGTAGAGATGAATGTATTGCCATTAGTGTCGCAGGCCAACTTCAGAAAAGCTTTTGGTGACTGGAAAATGATACGGAGGTTAGGAAATGAACACAGAAGGAACATAACTACTGGAATTCAAACCAACATCAAAGGCTCTAAAGAAGACAGTTGAGCCTGTCTTGCTGGTTCTTAGTCTCTCCCTAGAAAACAAAACAGTTACATAACTGGAGAAGGTTCTTCCAACTAACATTTCCTCTCTGTCCCACTTATGTTTTTCTCCCCCACTACTTCACCCTGTCACCCACCTCAATGTGAACGATCATACAGTAAACTGGGCTTCCACCTTAGCTGTGTCCAGACAAGTCTCTGTCCAAAGTGCTGCTTTATACACGGACTGCTATAGGGACCACGGTACGAAGATAACTGGCTTAAACACAATTCCAACCTGACATTTCCATAGAGACACCTGCTCTATGAAGCATCACCATATATCCAATTCCAAGAATGACTCAGACTCCAGACATTCCTGAAAATGGAAATCACAACATCCTAATGCCTCATCTTCACAAACAGCCCCATTAAAAAGAAAACACAACATTGAGTACTTGAAAAACTTTGAGGTCATGTTGTAGTAGTAATTAAAGCTTCTCTTTCCTTCACACTCAAGTCCAAGGAACAAATATCGATTCTCAGTTAGACTTCAATGTATCCAATAAGGAAGGATATATTGAGTCACAACCATAAATACTCAAAAATATTACAACAAATCCAGTCACTGATTCAAACTAGCAAACTGTGGAGACTCTTAAGAGCCACCGCACTCCAGCACCATTTGCTTTTTCTTCTTCCAATAGAAATACAAACATAGACAATGTTTACAAAAGCAACCAATGTATCAGAAAAGTTATCCCCATTCAGACTGACTTAAAAGGTCTAAATCTGTGCCAAATAAAACTCTGAAAGAATAGAAAATAAAAGAGATGCTGACAACAATGCTATGGCCCAGCTGCCAGCTAGCCATGTAGCATCACGCAGTGCCCCAAGCATTTTAAAGACAGATTGTAACTCTGCATTCAGATCAAAATTATAATTATCCAAATTCTATTTCCTAAAAGATGACTATTAAACTGCATCCCAAGCATTCTGCTTGGGTCTCCTCCTTCCTTCCATCTTCAAGTTTCACAAACAGAAGGTGAAGCTACAAAAGGTCCAAGGTAGACTAAAGCTAAGAAACCAAGTCTGATTTTCTCTCCCTACCGTTTCTTGTGTACTGCTTAAGAAAATCTTTAACATAAATATTTGATAAAGTCAAAAAACGGGAAACCAAGGTACAGGGGTGGCGAGGAAGCGAGGGGGAAAAAAGGCACTAATGCACCACCGTCGTCCAACATGCAGCGGCAACTTCAGTCAATCGGAAAGACGAGGGGGGAACTCCACGGGAGCCTAAGGGAGCAGAGACCTCTGGCCCCGCGGGGCCCACGCACACCTGGGGGCGGGACCCGCGATGTCGCCCGCGGGCAGCGGAGGGAAACGCTCCCGCGGCTCCTCCGGGAGCGCCGGTGTCCCTGGAGCCCCCACTCGGCCGCTCCCAGGAGTCGCGGCTGCCGCCCGCCTTGGGCCCGGGGCGGAGAGCGCTGCGGCAGGCCAGAACGCCGTCCGAACGCCCGGCTCGCGGAGGCCGCGGGGAGCGCGGGGCGCGGGCGCGGGAGGCGGTGGGCCCGCAGCGCCGTCCGCCCCGGGAGGCCGGGGAGATGGGGCCGGGGGCGGGGGGACAACCGAGAGGCTCCTCCGGGAGCATGCGATCCGGAACCCTCACTCTAAAAAGAATATTTTAAGAAGGAAAGAGAGGCCCCCCGCAGCCTTCCCCGCGGGGCCTGCCCACGTCACCGGCGCCCCCGGCCCTCCCGCGCGCCCGCCTTACCGAGCCCCGCGGCCCCGCCGCGCCGCCGCGGCGTCCCTGCGCCCCGCTGGCCGCTCCGTGTCTGCCCTCCGCGGGCCGGGCCCGACGCCCTCCGCCCGCCGCCGCCGCCGCCGAGCGCCGCCCGCGCCGCCGAGCCTAGCGCCTGGCCGCCGAGGGCAGCCGCGGGGGCTCGGCCGGGCGTCCCCCGCGCCAGCGCCTCATCCCGCCTCGCGCCCCGTCAGGCTCGGGGGCGGGGGCGCCGGGCCGCGGCCTCCAAGTCCCCACCTCCGGCACGCACCGCGCTCGCCCTCCCGCGGCGGAGTCGGCCCCCGGGGACGCGGGTCCTCGGGCTCCAGAGCCTCTCACCCTGACGCCTTCGGGCCGCCCCCGCAGCGCCCCCGCCCAGCTGGCCGGCGCGTGCCCCCGCCGGAGCCCGCCGCCCGCCCAGCCTCCGCCTCCTCCGCTCCGCCTCCTCCTGCACCCGCGACGCCCGCAGCGGGGAGAAGAGGCGCGCCGCCGCGGCCGCGGGCACGAGCACGCGCGAGGAGGGCGGGCGGCGGGCGGAGCGCGCGCGCGGCCGAGGGGGCGGGGGCGCGCCGAAGCCTCGCCTGCTGTTGTCCCGGGAGCGCACGTGCGCTGCGGTGGGGCGCCGAGGGGCGTTCGGCGGGTGCCCCTAGGGGACTGGGGGACAGGGAACGCGAAGTGGGTAGAGACGCTGCCTGAGAGGTCCCGACGTAGGCTGTTGCCTCGGCCCCGGCATTGTGCTGCGGTGCAAAAATAAAAAACCGGCCGCCGCCGCAGCAGCAGCAGTAGCACCGGGAAGAGGCATCCTCCGAGACTACGGCAGTGGCTCCTCTCTACTCCCAGCTGACCCCCAGAACACTGTCACCGCGCCGCGGAGGAGAGGGGGCTTTGCCTCAAGTCAGGAAGATCCTCGCCTCTCCATCCCTTGCACATTTGGGTCTAGAATGGACGCGCCCCGGTTATTATTTGGAATCCGGGGGCCTAAAAGTTCCTTCAGTTGGCTTCTTCATTCAGAGTTATGGACCAGAAAATTGAAAGTGGCATGGCAGGGGAGAGAAAGGACAAGAAAGGGTGAAAGAGTGGCCAAACTGAAGGTGCGTGGCTAGACTGAAAAGAGGTTTTGGAGACAAGGGAAGGAGCTCCCTGGGAACCCCCTGCCTGTGGATGGCACTGCCCTTGGTGCTTCCCCTGTTCCTTTTGTTCAGCCCCCAAAGGCGGTGCAGCACTTCCACCTGCAACGACCATCTGTGTCACAGAATACAGGAAAGATATCTTGACATTCTACCGCGTTCTATTTTCATTTTTTTCTTTCAAGCGTGTACCTTTCACTTCTGACTCAGTTTGGTATCTAAATAAATGTTGGGGGTGATTAACCTACAGAATTCACTCTTATTCTCAAGTCTACCGATGCCAAATACTGCATCATCTAATGTCACTGCAGTAATTTGGGTCCACTCAGCATTTAGTCATTTCAGTGGGAGTCACTGAATATAAAACGTGGCCTTGACCGCGATTAGCAGAATGTCAAGGGCATACGTGAAGCAGGATTTCACCACATCCTGGAGAGAAATTAGAGAGTGAACATGCACAATAATCCCACTCTTCCAGCTTCAGTGTAATCAAAGTTGCTTTAAAGAACAAGTACTAGGGAAGGGATGGAATGAGAAGATTTGCCTAGAAGCACAAACTAGGATGGGAAAATTTGAAAGAAGCCAACTTGAAATAAATGCATGGCAGCCCTCTGCTGGAAATAGTCAGGTGCACCTGAGATTCATAAGGGTCTTCATGGATACCTCCTAAGTGCTACAGAAACAGCAAGGTAAAGAACAAAAACTAGAGACCTTCGACTTCAGCATAATAAGGCCATAGTTTAAAACTCTTCTTTCACCAAACTGCAGCAATTCCCTGGGGTTCATCTTTGGGCCACAGAGAGCCATCTCTGCCAGAGAGGGACAGGTATGGATTAGGTAGCTTTTGTTGTTCTAGGGGTTTGTTGAGCATTAAACACAAACATCCTGTGATAGCAAGAGGAAGTCGTGTGGGACAGAAAACCAAGTCACTATGAGAAGCAAGTTTTGCCCAAGGCCCCAGTCTCTTGGCTACTCGATGACAATATGCATTCTTTTCAGAAATCCTTCACATCCCACAGTTTCACCACCGCACCCTGAAAGTCAGCCACAGCAGCTGAATGGATGTTAAATGGTTTATGGTTAAGTGGTGGAGGTACATAATATATAAAAGAGCTAGGATTATGCATACATTGGATGACACAGATATTTTACTTTAGAGCCTCTAAACATTTTGGTAACTTTCTCTCCTTATATGTAGTATATCTAGTTTATAGAAGAGAACAAAGGGATGCCATGTGTGTTTTCCAAAGATTAGAGGTGTTTGAGCAAGTTCAAGGGTGCTGGTGATGCTCCTTAACCTCATTCTGAGCCAGCACTCCCTCTCCTTGGGCCACACTGTCCAAATGTCCTGTGTCCTAGTTATTATTGCCAAACCTGCATATGAACTGGAAGTTGTGATTGCTGGGTAACTCTGCAGCCATCTGCCCTTGGCGTTTCAGATGTTTGTAATCAATTACCTCTGTCCTAATAACACCCTTAATGATTAAATACATAAATCACAAAAAATTGCAACATTCCTTATACAAGAAAAAGTCTGTCCAATGTTAAATAACTGAATGTGTAGCTTATGTATGGTTTGATTCAATATGTACAAGGTGAGGGGTAGGAGGGGAGGGGAAAAAACAAATTCCCCCTCTTGCCGAAGCTATTGGAGACCTCAGGCTGGCCTCCTTTCTCAGTCTTGGCACTGCTGTCTGCCAGGAGGTAGCATCTGGGTTCACTCCTGGCATCTCAGATCTGTTGCATTGCAGTCCCCTCTAGACGCTGAAGCAGCGTCACGGTGCAGACAAGTAGGGCCAGTGACGAGGGCAGCCACACAGAGGACTGCAATACGTACCTAACCTTGAGTTTGAAAGATGGCCTGGGAATTGAGCAAGGGAGAGAGAAGAAGCTTATTTGCATCCCCAAATTGAGAATGCTCAACAGCTGTATTGAGAAAAGTTGCTGAAAGTAGGCCAGGTTTCATAGAGAATTTTAACACAGAATTTTCCCAAAGCGACAATTGACATTGTCTTGCTTATTTATTCTTTCCTGGCCAAAGCGCCAGCTGCATATTGTGTCCCTATTAAAAAGAGATGTCAAAAAAAGATGTGTTGTCTGTCTGTAGCATACTCCTTGCTAATATTGACGCTCGTGAAACAGCCCCTGTAAACATGGAATCCATGCCCACTACCATGGGCAACATTTTAAGGAACACCAGTACTGCTGTTCACTGAGATGTTATTAATCCCTGATGCATTCATTGAAATGATAAACTTTCCATCTTCTCTCCTTTCCCTATCACATTTTCATCATGAACCTCTATCATAGTAATTCAGAACTTTGTGTTATTCTCCTATGAAATTTTTTTTTTCAGTCTTTAAACCTTAACACCAACTCCACCTATTGACATGTCCACTTTTGAATGGGGTCCTTGGCCTCCTCTGTGATTCTATCTGCTGCCTGCCCCAGGGCTCTGACCGTGGGCCCCTCCTGTTCTCTTTCTACACTGCCACCCTAGGCAGCATCCTCCAGCAAGGCTTTAAGTAGCCTCTACTTTTAACCCTGGCCCCTCCCCAGCACTCCACCCTCTTATATCCTGCTGCCTCCAGGCATCTCCATTTGAATATCTCCCACTTAATGTGTCTCAAACAGAACTTTTGATTTCCATATTGTAAACAAAACCCAAAACTGATTCCTCCAAGTCTGCCTCATCACAGGACAAAAAATATCTCTTCCTTTCAATCACCACGTTCATTTTAGCCTACCTTCAAATGGTACGGAAGCCAATCGCATCCTTCTCTCTTAACCACGAACACCCATGTCTGCCCTCCCCGTGATCTTTCTCCTGGGTGACTGGGACAGACGAACCATCACCCTGCTTCCACTTTTTCCCCTCCACGGTCTAGCCTCTACACAGCCACCAGAGAATTTATTGTAAAGCATTGGTAAGATAATGTCCTTGTTCTTGCCCAAAACACTCCAGGGCCCTGTGCTTCTAATCACACTGCAATAAAATCCAAAGTCCTTTCCCAGCCTTTCAAGTCCTTTCAGCCCTGACTCACCAGTTCAGTTTTTTACCTTTTGCCATTCACTCTGCCTCAGCCACACCCACCTCCCTCCTGAGGTTTCTCAGACCTGCCAGGAAGACTCCACCTTCCTGGCTTTTAAATTAACCTTCCTACTACTATATAAAATAGTTCTGCCTTCTCTGTCCCCTTACTCTGCTTCTTTTTTTTCTCATAGCACTTATCACTACATGATTATGTTGTGTAATCAATATTTATTATTGGACTCTGTTCCTAAAATGTAAGCACCATGAGGGCCTGGACTTTGTTTATTCACAAATGGGTATGTTTATGCCAAATGAATACATAAATGGTACTATCAGGGTGCAAAGTCTTTATACACACTTCTTACCTGCTGTTGTGTATTGCCATGGATCTATCTTTATACTTAGTACAAGTGGAAACAATTGCAAAGTGTAACATTATGTAATTTAAATTTCCTGTACTTTCAGCTCTGACCTCTCCCCAGCCCTCCAGCCTCATATATTCCACAATAAAATTATATCATTTGCAGTGCACTGCAAGTCAAATCAAGACAAACTATACTGAAAATCTAAGAAAATATCAAGATTCAGCAGAGAAAGGTACATATTACATGAGGAATTTAGTGCCCGTAGGACAAAATCACAGTCTAACCTTGCAATTAGGTTTTAATATGTAGAAATTAAAGGCACAGAAAAAGCCAAATTATATGAATTGGCTTCTCAATCCAAACTGAAATAATCACCATGGTGAGAAAGAACATAAATTTTAGGAGGACAAGTTTCCCTTTCATTTTTTATCTTATCTCACTATGTAGTCTTGGACAAGGCAATTAACATCTGTTTTCCCATCTGTAAAATGGGCTTGCCCGCTGTCCTCTTTAGTTGGGTATCATAAAGATAGAATGACTTAATTATTATAAAAATGTTTTAGAAGAAAGGAATTTTGCAAGTGAACAGTGATTATTATTACTTTCCAAACTTCTTTGTGTAATATTTTGAAAATGAGGAAGAAATAATATATTTTTTCAATGTGTCTAAAGACTGAAGTGAATCAGCATTTCTAAATCATGCAGCACTTCCAAAATTATCAGAAAAAACTTTTGGAAGTCGCGAAGCAACCTGTAGAGTCACCCAAGTATATCACCTACCATGGGAGGCTCTATATACTGAAGCATTAGGAGGAACAACACGTAATCCATTTTATAGTCAGAGTGCACTATGATCAGGAAGTGAAAGGAATAGCACGGAAATGCAAGCATTTGTGTAAAGTATTAATTCCACTTCTTATCAAACAATATAATGTGGAGATCCTTGAAAGAATGAATGAACAAAGAGGCAACTATAACATTTCTATATATGACATGCTTCAGGGCAGCAAAATGTTTGGAAGGAGAAAGAGATCTAGGGGACTTTTTGAAGCTCTGTCTCCAGCAAGCATGCTGCTTTATTTAGAGCGTATGTTTAATTGAGGTGACTTGGAGGAAGCTAAATCTCCCATTGGTGGCTGTGACAGTGGTGAGAAGTTGCTATTACTCATAAGCGCGCACACACACACACACACACACACACACACACACACTTTACTGTAAACACATTGAATGCTCCACTCCTCCCTCCAAGCTTGGCCTGAATCAGCACTCTACTCAGTGATGCTCCCAACCCCAAAGGCTTTTATTAGATCTAAAGAACTGAAACCAGTGTTGAGGAAATGCATGGGAAAGTGACTTGGGAAAGCTAGAGATCAAAGAGAGGTCACTCAACTCCAGGGTGGCTGCTTTCCCAGGGTGCTCCCAGCAATTCCCCTCCCACGATTTTGTCTTTTATGGCTTCCAGTTTCCAGAACTTAATGCATCTCAGAAGGTCTAAAACATCTGTGTTTTTCTGCTATATTCAAAATACTTGTTGGCGGAGGATTTACCGATGTCTCTGACACTGCATGCAGTGATGTGATGTTTCCTGGGCAACTTAAGAACTGTAGTAGGTAATCCTATAAGGCATTTTATTATTTTTTAAAATCACTTGTACTTGGCTTGGGAAGTTATCTTGTATTTAACTTTAAGCATAGATGATCCCTGGATATACTGAGGGCTAGGGGACATAATGTGTCAGACAAAATAATAAAACTACCCTATCCAAATATTATTCTCCTGTTCCCTACTTAATTTTTTCTCTTATGTATTTCATGCTGAAAACAAACAGCATTACTCCTCAGAGTGATATAAAAGGCCAGTCTCAGGCAGAGCTGATAACAGACTCAAACTGACTCGTTGACTCCTGCTTTCCCCAGTCATGGTCTGATTTTAAAAGTACTTATCTGTAGTTCTTGATTGATTTAAAAAAAAAAAAAAGCAGCAACTCCCTTACTCATGGTAACAGAATGCTCTGTTAAAGAATACTACAACAGTGATAGGTTGGGTCAAATAGTTGAGAAAATTATAATTTAGGCAATGCAGAGTTTTCTGTGCACCTTTCAAAAGAAAACTTAGTGCTTTATCAAATATGAGGCACTATTAATTTTGAGAGAAATTCAGGCACAGAGAGATTCAAAACCTATCTAAAATTCAGTCTATGCTTTATGATAATAAAAGAGAGATATCTCTTTTTTGTAAATATGTGTTGATGGCCAGGTCACACAAAACAAGACGATACTTTTTTAGAGATGGGGGTCTCACTGTGTTGCCCAGTCTCATCTCAAATGCCTGGGTTCAAGCGATCATAGCTTGGATTACAGGTAGGTACCACGGAAGCCAAGGCAAGAGGATCACTTGAGGTCAGGAGTTTGAGACCAGCCTGGGCAACATAGCAAGACCCCATCTCTAAAATATATAAATAAATACAATTTAAAATATTTTTAACGTTATCCGTGCATTTCTGTGCATCACAGGAGAAAGTCCACCAGAAGAGTGCAATCCTTCTCCACTCTCTTTCGTCCCCTTTACTACTGGAGGGGAGAAGACAAAGGGTCCTTACATTTACATTTCCACCACCGCCTCTAGTTACCATACCTGGGGCAGTTGGCTGTAACTCTTTCCATGCCCACAAGAACACAGCATTAAAAACAAAACCACATTCAAGTACAGTGACTCCAGCTAAGCTGTGGCGTGTTGATTAGCCAAACCATTGGCATTTCACATGCCCAGTCCTTGCTGTTCTTTGATGGGCAAGTAACCCCGAAGAAGAGAGCAATTTTTCCATCGTCACCCATTTTATAATTACTAGCCCTGCTTCTGGGCTGGCTGTCACATCCTACACCTCCCCAAATCCTCTGGTGCAACTTTTTGGGAGAGTTAAAACCTCCTCGATGTCACCTTGGTACTATAATGATGTCCTTTGACAGAAGAAACAAAGTCAACCACCATGTTCTCCCTGAGAAGTTCAGGAAAGTTTGATTCTTCCTTTTCCAAAGGAGAAAAGTATCTTCAAGGAGATGACTAAATCTTACTCAGAAGCATCCTTCTTCATTAAGTTCTCATCTGTATGGTACCATGCTGGAGGCTGGGCAAAGAAAAGCAAATAATGAGACCCTTCCATTTCTCTATGCTTTGGGTTTAAGATCGACAAAACCCACAAAAGCTAATCTCCGAGTATACAGACATCAAACAGCTGTGCAAACATTGGACAGATGCATAAATTAAATACAAAAGTAAATAAAGTATTTACATTATGTACAAGTCATGCAGCTGCTGTTACTACACTCCACGAAGGCTCCAGAGGGAAGGAGGGACATTAAGCTGAGCAGATTGTCTTTTTCGGTCGGGGATGGTGTCAGCAGGAAGGAGCAGAAAGGTCACACATGGCTCGAGGAACAAAGACAAACTGTTACATAAACTCTTGTCTGCTGGTGCACAACCTCTAAACGTAGTCTTCAGAATGAAGCAACTTTGTTTCTCAGAAATAACTTTTATATCTCAGACTATGCTTTTAGGAATCTGTGTCAGTAACTAATTTTAAAGTGTCAGGGATGGCCCCATGGCCAGCAACAGCAGGAACCCAATGAGATGACCTAAGAGATCACAAGAACTGTCCTACCTCAAAGACTACCTTGATATTCTACATGTGTCCAGGGTGGGAGAAATAAAATGAATGGCAGTAGCCCACTGCCATTGGAAACTCTGCCTGGTATCCTGCTGCTGTGGAAATTTCCTCAGTCTTCTCTATGGAGGAACACAGGATGCAGCGCAGCTTTGTTTAGCCTAGATTCCCATACTCTACACCTGGAACATAGGACACATGAATGATTGATGAACTACTAAGCAGCTCATGAATCTCTCCTTACTTTAGGAGATAAAAGGGAGGATAGCCTTTTGTGTTTATGTTAAATTAAAATACCATTTTTATTCAGAGTAGCCTGTATAGTGTTCTATATTTGAGGAAAACAAAAAGATTTAAAAAGAGAGAAAACAACACAAGCCCCTGGTTTAAAAAAATTAGAAATGGCAGTAAAATGGAAAAATTCATAACTACAATTCAGAGGTAATCATTATTAATATTTTGGTACATATCTTCTACATGTCTTCATGTACATGGATATATATAAAAAATTTTAACAGAAACAAGATCATACTGAAAATAATGCATGCAATCTGCTTTTTTCCCCTTAATGCTTTTTAAACTTTTCTTGCCAATAAATATTTCTACATTATTTGTATATAATCATATGTCTATGCCATATTTTTTTAGTCCCCTGTTGTTGGACATTTCTAGTGTCATGATTTTTTTTTTTTTTTCTCTAACTTGTAATGGCTGGTGGAGCAATCTTATCACTAAAGGTGTGTGCACAACACAGACTTCTGAGAGTCAGAATTCTTCCCACACCCACCGGCTGATACTTAGAATTCCATGCCTAGTGCCTCAGTCCTTTGCCTTAAGGATTTTGTTTAGTTAAAAAGTGAGTCCCAGGAGAGCTGTTTCTTAAAACACTATCTGACACTGATTTCCCATTTTTCCTTGGGAAGTCCCGAGGAGAGTCGCAAAGACTGGTTTTATGCTGAGGTCTTGGCCCTGGGCCTTGGCTGATGAAACCAGAAAAGTCCCCAAGTTCACGCATGTTCTGGTAGAACCGTTACAATTTTATAATTGACTAAACTCCTTGAGCAGTTGGGAACACAATTAATGCTGGCTGGTACTAATTATTGCCTAAATTCAGTTTATTATAGGAAATAGGTTCAGTTCTTAGCATATTCCCTCAGGACCTGGTCCACATATTCATTAATTTTTACTCCCAAATACTTTATATTTGTATGGTTTTCTGTAAATATAAATCTATTTACCTTGTAGCCTATCTTTATTACTGCATGTTCATTGAATTAAACTTATTCAGACCTCAATTTTTCATTTCACTTCTAAGCAATATAACTGTGATCAGTCATATCCCAGAATTCAGGACTGGTACTGTAATCCCCACAGAGATGGTATAGTTCTTTTTATCTACAAATCCAGGATTTTCTTTAACCCAACACACATGTCTGTGAGGTGTGTTATCACAGTATAACATACCTGGTTACCCTGTGAAAAGCAGAGCCCAGGAAGAGTGAAGGTTCCTGTTTCTATGCAACCATAGGTATGTACGTGTGTGTGTGTGTGTGTGTGTGTGTGTGTGTGTGACAAAGAGAAGAAGAGAGAGACAGCGAGAGAGAGACACACACACACAGAGAGAGAGAGGGACAGAGAGAGAGAGAGAGAGTATTTATCTGGAGAATAGCTGTACATCTCCAGGGACCCAGGATCAGCAGTGTCAAGGTCTACCAGGTGCTTATGAAGTGCTAATTGCGCTGTTACTGAAGTTCAGTTTCCACCAGAGACTCACAGAGCGACCTTGGGGAAATGATTGAATGCTTCCATTCCTCCAATCTCACACCTGAATACCGGGGATGATAATATTGCCCAACTCCTTCCCTTACAATGGCATAAGAATGAAGTAGCTTACAGTTGGTGTTTTGAGAGTCTGTGGGAGCATTATTACTTCATGCTACCTTTTTTATATGTAACTTTTGTGCACTCAACCATTAAGGAGGGACAACTGTGCCACGGATGTTTCTTTTCTACGCTGCTCTCTTGGGGAGAGTGTCCAACTGCTGAAACTTACGTATGAAAAACGAGAGCAAGAGAGAGACAGAGAATGAGAAATCATAACCTCCCACTCACATATATTTGGCATTTCAAGCTTTGAGCAATTAATAACCAACTCCTTGACTTGGAAGCTGTCATGCTCACAATGCTGTTTGAACTGTTCCCACACAACCCACTGAACACACCTTCCTTCCAGAAAAGGCTGTCGCAGACGCACTTTTCAGCCTTGAAAGACAAAAGAGTAGACTTGAGCAAACACGAAGACTTTCATAAAATGGAGTAAGGACGAAAGTCTCTAACTCCAGAAGACCAGTATTTCTAAGCAAATAGTCCAGTTGTTTCCTGCCATTCTGAATGTTTCTGCCGTTCTGAATATGTCTGCCATTCTGAATGTGTTCATCGGGAATTTGAGTGTGGGTTATCTGGATCCCCTTCCTCTGACATGCAGGACCTTGTTGCACCACTGGGAGTTCCACAGGAAAGGGAATGAACAAGGGAGAGTCTTTAATAGAGAATTGTGAATATGTCTACAGCCATACCACCCTGAACGCACCCGATCTCATCTGATCTCGCTAGCAGGGTCGGTCCTGGTTAGTACTTGGATGGGAGAATTGGGAGTAAGAAGAAAATAACTACAGCCTGCACTTCAAAGAGCAGCAAGGGCCAGCAAAAGGAGCCTGAAGGGACCGAAAAGTTGAGCATAGCTGCGGATAGAAACAGAGCCAGTGGGCAGAGACAAGAAAACCAAGGCAGGAAACTGTGGGGTCAAGAGCAATAGGGAAGCCTGTCCCTATTGTGGGTCCTGGGTAACCCTGGGACACATCGACTGGCTCTTCTTTGCTTATAAGGCAGGGTGTATAGGAAGACTCATTACCTAGCGCTAAGGAAGGACGGGTAAGATGTAAATAAACCACGCTGATTTGCAGCCACTCGGGAGTCTCTGGCAGCTAGGCTGGGAGAATAGCATCAATGTTAACAGCTAGGGATGAAGCAGAGTAAATATTTGATGTAAGATAGCAAACATAATCAATAACGTGTATCAAACATTTTCTGCTCCTTCTAAAGGTTCATGTTAATTATAAATATGACAGTATTTGGAACAATTTCAAGTAGATAGAATCATCCCTGCTTTGCAGCCCAGAGAACTGAAGACAAGGGCTAAATAATTTGCCTAACATTATACAGTAACCAGTAACACTGTGTTTTAAACTCAGGTCTTTGTGCCTTCAGAACCCCAGTTCTCCTCAAACTTGAGAGAATTAGGCACACACGTTGCTCCTCTTTCTCAGATATTCTGATTTAGTAGTTCCAGTGTGGAGCCCGGGGGTCTGCACTTTAACACGCATCCCTAGTGGTGTCGACATAGGTGCCCTAAGCCAGACATTCCAAAACACCATCCTCCACCAAAGGCCAGAAACAGCCAGCTAGGAAACAAGGGCAGAAATAAAATTGTAGGAAAAAGTGTAGAAGAACTTTCACCCTTAAAATCGTAGACCTGATACCCTATGGTAGTCCTGATAGTCTACTTATTTTTTTTCTCAAAATACGTGTTTCCAAAAGTTAACTCATTTGGTACCTAGAAAAATCAGGCTTCCTTGGCAGCTTAGGTCCTGTGGATCCTACTCCTTGTTGAACGCTGGGTTAGGACTACAGACAGATGTCTCCGAAACATCTTAGGACTGTACTTTAAAAAGCACTCAGGACAGGAACATGAGGAGAGATCATTTCTCAGATGTGACAGTCCCATTTCACTGGCTCTAACCAGAGTAGAACGAGAGGAAGGACTTGTCTTTCCAGCTATTCCCCAAAACGACTTTTAAACAAAGGGACCCGTTCTCACAATTACCCACCAAACAAAGTGCTTTGATAAAAATCACTACTAGGTTTCCCAACTGGGTGTCATTATCATGCATTAACCCGGCATTTCTCTTCCTTTGGTTAAACTCTTGAATTCCTGTATCAAGCTTGAGGGAGAGAAATCGGTCTTGCTCAAGATGTGTTTTCCCATCTCCCAGGGTCCCACCTTTAGGGCCAATAACTTTCTTTCTACCTAGATTTTCTTAAAGATGTTGAGAGATAGGATTCCAGTAAAACTACAGGAGCTGGCCGTAATTAGTTTCTTTGCAACGTTCATTTCTCCAAATGAGAGCAAAGGGGCCATTTGAATAACTCATTATCTACATTAGCTAGACATGTTCTTGTTGATGTCTTCTTAAACTTTCCTAAGTCTTCTCTAGCCTTTCTTTGCTGCACTTCCACTCCAGTTTGTCTGTAAGCGCCTTTGTGGCCTCCACTGCAGGCCTCGGGCCAAGGGAAAAACGGATTCTTTTCATCTATTCAAGTGTGATCTGGGACAGACAAGCCTGCTCCACAGGCGAGAGGCACAGAAGAGTGCTCTGTATTCAGCTCGCAGCTCCACATAGTCTGTAGTGGGGGCCCTGCCCTTGGCAAGGCCAAAGCAATGACCAGGGCCATTTGGCAGGAACAGGAATGCTGTTTGGCCCCTTCTCTTCACCTGGACAGGGTGCCCTGTCCTGCAGGAATTGTATATCCTATTCCAACTCACTTCCTCTAAGTTCACTTCCAACATTAAAAATCACCTCCTTTTATCTCTCAATCAAAGCAGCATTTTTTTTTTTTTTGAGATGCCGGGTAAATTCAGAGCACATTACGGTTGCTACATATGGAGATGGTTAATACAATAATAACTAATGAAACTTCCTTCCTGTCTCCAATACATAGGGGACTCAAGGCTGGAGATATTGGCAGGAGAAAGGAACTAGGTGAAAATAGAGATGGAGCTAGTAAAGATACCTTTCTCTTGTGTCTAAGTTGCTAAAAATATGCTTTTCCTCCAGTGCCTTTTAAACATTTTACCTCACAATAAGCCTGATAATGTTAAGCAACAGCGCCCACCATTCCATTACTCAACACCGTTCTGAAGGTGCTTCATGAGAAGATAAAGGAGCTACAAATATTGGTGAAGGAGCAGCAAAATTATCATTATTTGATTATAACATTATTATAATCAAATATGGAAATGCTTTAATAAATCTATTAAAAATAACCTAACAATACAGTAAGAAGTTAGGTTATACACACCAAAAAACTTTCTTATATTCCAAAAAATAACCAGTTGGAAAATAAAAACTGAAACAACTCCTATTAACAACAACCAAAAGGTAAGTTACCCAAGAATGTGTATTATTTAAATGAAGGAAACTATAGAACTCTGAGGAGAGGGAAAAACAGACAAGGTGCTGAATAGTTAATGTCAGTATTGTAAAGATGTCAGTTCTCCCCAGTGAAGCTATAAATGGAATGAATTCCAATCAAAATCCCAGTAAGATATTTTTAGGAAAAACATAATCTATTAACAGATAATTTTCAGAAAGGTAACATCCTGACTACCCAGCAAATATTAAGCTCATGTCAAAACTTTTATTCAACTCATTAGTTAATGAGGAAACCAGTAAGGTATTAAGACTGATTCTGAGAGTGTTTGAACAATTCATTTCTTATAAGCAATCTAACAAAGAAATGTTAGGATAAGATTGCCAAATTTGATTTAAAAAAACAAACAAACTGGTTATTGCCCAATAGACCATAACTCTTTGAGGTGATCTGTTTCAAATGACAGAAATTATCTGCATCTCTACCGGACAGAAATCTGCAACTTAGCAGGTAACTTCCGTACAATTTAGCAAGCACTTCACTTAGCAGGTAATTAGTCTGGGACCTTTAATCAATAGTAAACAATGAACTAAGTACATTTCCCTACAATCCTAAGGTGGCCTTTGTTCCCATATGACATTAAAAGGATGTGCTGCTTGCGCTCAACTTATTTCTAGAATTTGAATTTTTCTAAAAATTCTAAATTTCATTGAAAAAAATCAACTTGAGAGTCACTAGGTAATTTTTGAAAAACAACAGCAAACACAAAGGAAGAACAATTTGCTTTACTTATTAAAACAAGGCTGGTAATAAAAGGAGGAGGATGACAGTCTTACCTTCTCGAAATTATTGAAAGTCTGGCATCCGTTTTCAGCAGCCATCCCTGCTTTGAAACTTGGGCAATGGATATTTGCCCGTGCATAGCACGCTCTCATTCTCTCCCTCTCTCTCTCTCTCTCTCTCTGTTACTTAGAACTGCTGCCATCAAGAAAGCTGGCTCTCCTCTCTACCCCTTCCTCTACACCCAGTCCCACCATTTCCAATCTAGCTATCACTAAAGCCCTAATAGGTAACACTTTGGTTTATTACATATAGCCTCTGTTCAAAGCACTTCTACGTGCATCAATACATTAAATACTCAACACAAACCTATGAGGTAGATTAATTGTCATCCCCACTTTACAGATAAGGAAATTAGAACACAGAGTTGCTATAACTTAAGCAAGGTCACGCACCTGGGTTCAAACCAAAGTCATCCTTGCTGTGTATTATTATTATTATTATACTAACCACTACCCTCTGCTTCCTGCAATGGGCAAAATCAGGCTGCCTGCAAAAGTGGCAGATGGGCAAAAGAGTACATTCACATCTTCCCTCATTTCCGCAGGTAACAGAAAATAATGGCAGGTTCTTCCCTGTTCATAAAAAATAACTAGATGAAGTTGCAAGAAAATGTTTCCTGCCTTGAGGTCACTTGGAAGAGCGGTGAGATAAATTTAAGACAGGCTGGGCCTGGTGGCTCATGCCTGTAATCCCAGCAGCACTTTGGGGGACTGAAGCGGGTGGGTCGCTTGAATCCAGGAGTTTGAGACCAGCCTTGGCAACATGGTGAAACCCCATCTCCACAAAGAAATACAAAAATTAGCGGGGCATGGTGGCATGTGCCTGTGGTCCCAGCTGCTCGAGAGGCTGAGGTGAGAGGATCTCTTGAGCCTGGGAGATGGAGGCTGCAGTGAGCTATGATTGCACCACTGCACTCCAGCCTGGGCAACAGAGTGACACCGTGTCTCAAAAAAAAAAAAAAAAAAAAAATTAAGACAAATAGGGCCTTGCATCTAATTCAAAGGATATGTACACCCTGAATTTTACAAAGGCACAGACTGCGATTGAGTAGCACAGAGTAAGAAGGGTGGGTGGACACCGTGCCCCGGGTAGATCTCTGAAAGTTTCACCCTATTAAGGGTGTCCTGCAAGATGCATACAGCTCCACATGGACAGAACCCCTCTGTTTTTGCACTTAGGAGACTTCTGATATACAGACTGAAATAGGGTGTCCACATATCTGTCTTTTTATTTCCCGGTTTATCCCTTACTTAGTGTTGCTCTCTGAGAAAGGATGCATGAGCCTAACTAATGCGTCTGAAATGCCTTTATTCTATACTTACCCTTGAAGGCATAGAATTCTGGGTGGAAATCATTTTCCTTAGAACTTTGAAGGCATACACCATTGTCACCTAATTCTCAAGGTTGCTGTTGAGAAATCTAAAGCCATGCTCATTTCTGATCTTTTGTTTCCTTTCTCTAGAAACTTTTTAGGATTTCTTCTTTAAGCTTGGTGTTTTCATAAATCACGGTGTTGTTCTTTAATGTAGGTTTCCCCCAATCCATCTTGCTGGGCATTCGGTGTATTCTTGAATCTGGAAACTTACATTCCTCTTATGTTTGAAAGTTCTGGAGTTTGTTTTTTATTTCTTTTCTAACTGTGAAGAGAGTTCATGTTGGGGAGGCAAGGGCTCAGAGAATTTGAGGAACGTTTCATGATGGAAGCCAAGAGTCTGAATTAAATATATGACTGGACAGGTGGAGAAGTGGGCATTCCAGATATGCAGAGCTGTGGGGACAGAGGCATATGGTTAAGAATCAACACAGTCCAGGAGAGACAGTGGGGACACTTAAAAATCATGCAACAGGGAGAAACAAAGAGGGGTGTAGTGAGCCTGATAGTGGCTAGCCCTATGCTTAAATGGGTGCCTTTTGAGTGTGTGGCTTCTGATGCATAACGAAGTTTCCACACCAGCTGAGGGGCTCCCACACCTTCTACACTCATAAGGTTTCTCACCAGTGTGAACTCCCTCGTGCTGAATCAGGGTTATTTTCTGATCGAATGCCTTCTTGCAACCCTTACATGCAAAGGGCTTCTCTCCAGTGTGAATTCAGTGATGCTGAGTCAAGGCCGTGCTTAATAGATTCCCACACTCTTTACATTCATAGGGTTTCTTCCAAGTGTGCATTGCTGATGGACAATGAAGCTTGAGCTACAACTAGAAGTTTTCCAATGTTTGTTACACTCACAGAGTTTCTCCCCAGTGTGGAACCTCTGGTGCTAAAGGAAGACTGAGCTATTGCCAAAGGCCTTGCCACCCTCCTTACGTTCAGAGGGCGATTCTCCAGCGTGGATTCTCTGATGCTGAATCAAGGCTGCATCTGAATTTAAACCTTTCCCGCATTCTTTCCATTTAAATGGTTTATTTCTAGTGTGCATTATCTGATGCCAAACAAGTAATGTGCTGCATCTGAAGTCATCCACATTCTTTGCATTCAAAACTTTTCATCACCGTGACCTCTCTGATGTCAGTGGAAGTCTGCCATTTGACTGAAATACCTGTCACATTTTCCACATTCATAAGCTATCTGACCGGTAGGAGTTGTCTGATTCGTAGAGTTGTGTGCTGACGCTAACATTTTTTCCTAATTTCTCACACTTTCCCCTCTCTCATCAGCACAGGCCTCCTGATGCCTGGTGGACCCATCTGTGAAATCTCCCCTCTTTGACTTTATCTTGACCATCCAGTGACCTTGGGGCTGCTCTAGGCTGCTCCCAAAATCTAGGTGCTGGGGAGTATTCTCTGGCAGCCCTCCCAGTGTCAGTCGGAGGGATTCTGTTTCTTTGGACCTATGCTCCTTTGGAATTAGTCCTTCCTTCTCATTTATGGTTTCACTCTGAGATTCTCAGAGATAGGGGTTCCATGGGAGTTCCCCTTTCTCTAGCTAGGAGACCAGAACAGGATAGCTGAATGAAAAAGTCAGGGAAGCCACCCCTGCATAACGCTCCAGCATCACCTCTCTGTATAGGGCCCTCTGCACAGGGTCCTGGCTGGCCCTTTCAATCTGGTGAGGTATGCAAGTGCTTCCTCAAAGGTCACTGGCTCCTAGGCAGAGTGGTCTAGAGTATGGCTGGCATCCCCACCTCACACTCTCCTTTGGAGTTGGGAGAAGTAAGACCGGACCCTGAGTCCATTTCATGGCATCCACTGACCCCATGCGGCACAGACACAAGGAAAGCCCACTGAGGCCCTAATAATGCTTATGCTTTGGCTCCCGTTTAACCCAGTTCTTTGTCTTTATCATTGGCCAGAGCGCTGGAGGTGGGGAGGAGTGAGGGACATTTCTTACAGTCATCATGTTTGTAGCAGTCCTTCTCATCCAAATTAGACTGCTATTTTGAGGATTATTTTGGCATTTTTGGTGAAGTCTTTTCTTCAATTTAGAGACCCGTAGCAAATACCTATTTTCCCTTGCTTCTAGGAGCAAACTCATACCCATCATTCATACACAAAGTTGCAACATCTTTTTTTTTTTCCTCTTCACTTTCTCAATAGCTTTTGACCAAATGATATCCTGGAAGAAAACTGAACTGAAAGAATCAGGAGATCTGAGATTTCACCCAGAATCTGCCAATAATGAGAAAACCCTGATCTCATTTGTGCAAATTAGGATGATTTGCCTTTTCAGATTCCTTTCTGCCCTGGTTCTGTGAGTACTGTTCTCCAGTCACATGTCCACCGATGCCCTGAGCACCGCTAAGGAAGGCACATGATGTTCTCAAAAGCTCTTTTTCCTCCCAGCCCTCCTGCACTTGTTTAATATGGGCAGTGTCCCTGTTGGGAGCTACGTTAGGGATGCCAGTGACTCTCCCCTCCCCAGGGTTCTTGCAAATAGAATAAAAATCAAAATGCAGTCTGAATGGGGGTCAAAGCTCTCTAGTGATAGCTACACAAAGAATTTACCTCATTCTTATTTGGACCAGGGTTGGTTTCTGATTGACCCAGAATCCAAGTCTAACTATTTCCTTACCAAATTAGTCTCTTCTAAAAGAGAATCCTCACATTGCTATTTAGCAGTCTTTCTTCGTGGTATACCACTTCATCATTCAGAAGTCTTAACATTCTTGATAACAATGTGTAGTTATAATACACAAAGGTATTGGCTAATTTTCTCTAGCAATTTCAAATCAGAGATTTCCTCTTGGTCATTTTGTATCTTCTTCAGGTAAAAAAACAAAAACAAAAACTGTATCTCTACCTTGCCCAAATCTCTGTGAGAAGTAAAAGAAAATAATCATTCCAATGTTTTGCTATGAGGCTGACACCATTCAGATGACTGGCTGAAATTTTCACTTTTTTTTTTTTTTTTTTTTTTTTTTGTGAGACAGTCTTGCTCTTCCGCCCAGGCTGGAGTGCAGTGGCGCGATCTCGGTTCACTGCAACCTCCGCCTCCTGGTTTCAAGTGATTCTTGCGCCTCAGCCTCCTGAGTAGCTGGGATTACAGGCATGAGCCACTATGCCCGGCCAGGTTCTCTTTTCAACCAAGTGTTTTGTGTGAGTTAGAGAGGGCTGGAGTTCTTCCATTTAGAATTGACCATCTAAGCAGCACTCCTGCTGTGGCAGGAAAGAGGCTGAAGAGCAACTTGAAAGGTACATGTATCTTGAAGTTTTGAACAGAAATATTAAATATTCAGCCTATCTGTCCTGCAGTCCCTACCTGATTTAGAAAGCAAATTAATACCACCAGATTGACTAGGAGTAAATATCTCATCTGAAGAAATATTATAGTGTGGCCATGGTAATACAATACTTATTTGTAGCAACTAAAATATGTATCCTCTGGTATCCTCTTTGAGTGCTATGGATTGTTCCTAAAAAACCCCAAAAGTATTTTCAAATATTTTAGGTGATAAAAGTTTAGGGCTATGTTTGACTCCACATATTTTAATTCATGTTTGTGGATTTTTAAAATAAACTATTGGTTTCTTTTAACAATTAGTTTTCCTTATAAATATTTTTCATCAAGCATAAAAATTGTTTTACTATTTTAAAAAATAACAGCATACCACATAGTGGTCATTGTATGAAAATGGGCAATACTAAATGGGGGTTACATTAAGTATGCAAAGGAGGAGTCCTAGCATGACGTCTACCCTATACTTCTTGCAGATTCAGACCTGTCTGGGTATGTTTGAATGACCAGCCAAGCAGGTACCCAGAGGTCTAGCTGGCTAAGGCATTGAGAAGCTTACTTTAAATAAAGAGACCTAGAAATGCTGAAGCGGGGCCAGGTGCGGTGGCTCACACCTGTAATCCCAGCACTTTGGGAGGCTGAGGAGGGTGGATCACCTGAGGGCAGGAGTTCAAGACCAGCCTGGCCAACATGGTGAAACCCTGTCTCTAATAAAAATACAAAAAAATTAGCCCAGTGTGGTGGCTCATGCCTGTAATCTCAGCTACTCGGGATGCTGAGGCAGGAGAATTGCTTGAACCCGGGAGGTGGAGGTTGCAGTGAGCCAAGACCGCGCCACTGCACTCCCCACTGCACTCCATCCTGGTCAACAAGAGTGGAACTCCATCTCAAAAAAAAAAAATGCTGAAGCAGGTGACCAGCCCTGTTCTGACACCCCTGTATCATTGGAGTTCTTTTAAGTGCCAAGAACAGAATATCCTTAGAAGTGGTGTAAACAATAGGCAGATGTTCAAAGGCAGTTGGCATCTGGGGCTGGGGATGTGACAGGGAGGTCTGCCAGGCATCCAAGTGCTTCCCATTGATGTCTTGCCATCCTGTCCATGCCACTGACCACAGATGACTCAGCATTTCTAGGCATCATTTCCAGTGAAGAAGAAAGGACATTTGTTTCCACGTATCCCAGTTGCCTTCCGTTATGGTCTCTTTGGACCAGATTAAGTCACATGTCTATACCCTCACCATAAAGGAAACTAGGAAAGTAAGCATGTGGCACTTAATGTCTTTCTCATTAAAGGAAGTCTCCACTAGTAAGAAAGAAAGTCTGTTACAAACCTCTAACCAGGGGTGATATCCCATATCAGCCATAGAAAGTTGGTAAGATGGAAGAGAAGCAGAGCTCACAAGCTTGATAAATGAGCACCACAGGTCTGACCTGCAGAACTACTGGGCTCTCCTTAAGGATGAACAGATGGTTTCCCTATCAGGCTGCCTTTGAACCACTGCAAGATTCTTTGGGAGTACAGGTTTGTCAAAAGCAAACAAATAACAATCGGGATTTGAGTTTGACTGCATGCAGTAAATAACATGCAAACACAGTGGTTGAACCAATTAGAGGGTTTACTCTTTTTATATTACAAAGCACCTAGACAATATCCATGGTGGTTATGGTAGCTCTATTATGTCATCAGGGACTCAGACTCCTTTTATTTTTCTGTTCAGCATTCTTAGAGTATGTGGTCTCCGTCTTGTGATAGCAGCATGGCACCTGTTCCACCTCTATCCTCAGCCATCATGACCACATTCTAAGCAGAAAGAAAAAGGAAGGATAAGGGCATCGGTGGGTGCCAACTGAGTTGTTTCACTTTAGAGAACATTCTTGACCAGGCTGGACAACATAGTGAGACTTCATCTTTACTAAAAAACAAACAAAAAAAATTAGCCAGGCATGGTGTACATGCCTGTATTCCAGCTACTTGGGAGGCTGAGTGGGAGGATCGTTTGAGGCCAGGAATTCCAGGCTACAGTGAGCCATGATCGTGCACTCCAGCCTGGGTGACAGAGTGAGACCCTGTCTCAAAAAGAAAAAGCAAAAGAAAAATAGCATTCTAGAAAGTCTTACACCATATCTGTGGCTTTTATTTTAATGGCAACAACTGTCACATAGACTTCCATCTGCCAAACAGACTGGGAAAGGTGGTTTTATGGCTAGACCCATGCCATCCTGGATAACGTCAAAGTTCTGACTGTAAGAAAGAAGAAAGTAAATTTTGGTAAAGCAATTAGTCATTTCCTTTGCAATGTAGGGTTTTTATGTGGAAAACAGAGAATGCAAAATAGTATAGTGTAACAGTGGTGGGTAAGAGTATTTCCCTGAATTCATTTAATTTTGGTGGCTCAATTATGGGAAAGAGACGAAAAAAGAAGATCAGTGTCTTCTAGGAACCTTGTTGTTCAGGTAATGAGCAGGTGGTTGTTGAAAGGTCAATGAGGACAGCACCTTCTGGGAACAGGCTACAGCTCTGCAGAGAGTGCCACAGATGCTCCTGGGATCCACCTCATATTTTTACCTCCACAAACTCGAAGTCAATAAAGATATATATAACCAGTGAGAGAGAGAGTTTGTAAGACTGCCTGGTTATGTATTTTGCAGATGTAATGCTTGTTATGTATTTCTACTATTGGTGAAATCTTTCTTATAATCCTATAGAAGATTGACTCAAGGTGGTAGGTAAGACTACCTGGTGCATGTATCTGATTTTCCCACAAGAACTTGGGGAGTGTAAGTCAGATGTAGGCTGTGGTCCAAAACTAGTGACCTCCTGGAAGAATGAGGCTAACCAAACACTATACATCTTATTTGCCCAATTTCTCTTTTTTGGAAACAACATGGAATATAATAGAGTTAAACTGAATAAAAATAAAACCCCCAAATGTGATATATGTAGTCAAAATTAGGAGAGACAAGTGTAGGCTGGAGTAATTAGAGAGGGATTCATGGAGGAACTGGTTCTTAAGTTGTACCTCACAAAATAGGAGGAATTTGGATACTTAGAAAGGAGTTGGAGAAAATTCTATTGAGGTGCGTAGAAAACTCTGATGAGGCCAGGTGCATTGGCTTATGACTCTAACCCCAGAACTTTGGGAGGCAGATCACTTGAGGTCAGGGGTTTGAGACCCACCTGGCCAACAGGGCGAAACCCCCATCTCTACTAAAAATAAAAAAATTAGCTGGGCATGGCGGTGCATGCCTGTAGTCCCAGCTACTCGGGAGGTTGAGGCAGGAGAATTGCTTGAACCCAGGAGGTGGAGGTCGCAGTGAGCTGAGATAGTGCCACTGCACTCCAACCTGGGTGACAGAGCAAGGCTCTGTTAAAAAAAAAAAAAGAAAAGGAAGGAAGGAAGGAAGGAAGGAGGGAGGGAGGGAAGGAAAAAAGAACGCTGTTGAAAAGGAAGGAAGTGGTTCAGGGAGAAAGTTCAGAGTAATTTCCTGTAGCAGGTTCTGGAACAATTTGAAAGGAATAAGGAACACAGGACAGGAGAGGAGAATGGGAGAGGGAAATTATTGAGGAGGGGGCCAGGAAAGTCACAGCTCACCTAACTCCTTCCTACCTTTCTTTTGTTAAGATTTCCAGTTAATTGCTCCACTATACAAAGACTTAAGAAAATCAGTAAATCAGCTCAAATAAAACTTTGGTGAATAATATCAAGAATGTGACATGGATTGTTGGTGGGAGTGTAAACAGGTACAACCACTTGGAAAGCCATCTGGCAGTACTTAATGAAGTGAATGTACATATGTGCTATGACATCAATCCCACATATATAGATAGGAGATATACAACATATATTACATAGAGTAATAATCATATATATGTATATGAAATTATCCTGGTGTCCACAGCAAGGGAAACATTTAAATAAAATATCAGGCATGCATACTATGGAATAATACTCTGCAATTCAAAGCATTGAACTAGATACACATTTAGTGACCTGGATGGGCATTAACATCATAGTTTTGAGTTTCAGAAGCAAGAAAGAGAATGAGATGTAAACACAATGTCATTTATGTAAATTAAAAACACATACATATTGAATTCTGTATTTATATGGATCATTTGCAAGAATTCATAAGGGAAGAGAATGAGAGCAGAGATTGGGGATGAAGGAAGAAATCAATCTGTCAGTCAAGAGAGGAACCCCCCATACATTGATTATGATGCGTGTGCTATGAATTCACATCTCTCTACCTAAGTTTGCCTCCAGCCCTCCTCCCACAAAATAAACCTTTAAGGGAAAAACATTCTTAGATCTCCAAATATTTTTAAATGTGTGAGCAGCACTAGAACATGTAATTCTCTCATGCATAAAATGGGGATAATAATAAGAGTCTTACAAGGCTGTCAAGAAAATTAAAAGAAATCATATATTAGATACCCAAGTGGAGACATACCCAGATGCAAGGTGGTTGACTAGGCTCCCTAGCTGGTGAGGTGACTCACTGTGAACTTTCTGCCACTCTCACAGTGTTTGTGTTCAATCCCTGCCTCAGCAAAATGATAAATCATTACATCAGGGACTTTCAAAGTCAAGCAAATAGTCAAAAACATACGCAGTAGGTTAAATCCTCAAATGCAAGAGTATACAGTCCTGCTCCCTGTTGACTTCAGCCCTACGGAGAAAATAATACCTCTGTTGATTTCAGCTTAGAGAAGCTTATTACCAGCAATATTATTCCCTACAGTCAGTGTTAGCCCAACTCAATGCCCCTTTCTGAACAGTACTCACCAGAGAAGACAGTCCAGCCAACTCAGTGATTACCAAGCAGCATGCGCTGGGTGGTGAAGGCTAAAGTAGCCAACTGACACCGTAGGGAGGAGAGAACTGGCCAAAGTATAATGACCTAAACTGGCATTTGGTCAGATCATGGGGATTTTCTGGCCCTTTGCTCAAACGCCTGGCACTGCACGCTTAGGTCTTTTGGAAACAATGTCATGCAATAGCATAACCTGAAAGAGTAATTTAGAGCAGTTTATTGGAGGTGATGCATTGTTAGTAGCCATATTTACAAAGAATACTGGCCTGAGAAATATTACAGTGTCCACTCTTAGATACCTCTTTGTGGCTAAGGACACAATCTTACTAAAATTGAAATAAGGTGTTACCAAAATACTCTTTGCTACCAAACTGGTGTATATGC
Source organism: Homo sapiens (assembly GCF_000001405.40). Taxonomy (NCBI): domain Eukaryota; kingdom Metazoa; phylum Chordata; class Mammalia; order Primates; family Hominidae; genus Homo; species Homo sapiens. The sequence continues at coordinate 129,303,270 of NC_000011.10, forward strand.
AGGAGGAAAGCAGTTTACCTTTCCACCTTATGAAGAAACTTTTTGGATATCTTGTCTATCATCATTATTCATAAAATCTGTGAATCACCTACTACTTAGCTTCAAAAAGGTGGGACATCTTAAAGGATTTGATAAACTAAAAGAATTCTCACCTAGTTACTATGGAGGAAGTCTGGCTAAAATCCAGAATTCCACATATGATCCCACAAGATCTCTTCCCGGCCTCAGCTAAAAGATTATTTAGGCTATGAATAAGGAAAAAAATTACAATTCCATAGTTGAGAATTTCAAGGGATCGTAGAGGTCTTCCAGTCTAACTTCTTTTTATCTTTGTAGGAATTATGGCTCAGAGAGGATAACTTGGCCAGTGTTGAGCAGCCAGCTCACTTCCATTCAACATACGTTTACTGAATAACCACGAGATCCCAGGCATCCTATTCAATACTGGAAATGCAGAAAAGTGTGAATAGTAAAGAAGTGAAGAATATGAGTTAGGCATGCACGCTAGGGCCAGTCTCCTTGTATTCAGTTTTACATTCACTGCTTCCTAGCCACATGTCCTTAGGCAAATTACTTAACCTGTGTATGCTTCAGTTTCACCATCTGCAAAATAGGGTGAGGATGGGTACACACTCACGGATTGTCGTAAGATTTAGAAGAGTAATATACTCTAAGCACATAGAGCAGAAAGGTGCTTGGCACATAGTGAGAGCTCTGTAAATATGTGCTAATTAAAATACCAGGTTTCTGCCCTCTTGGAGCTATCTATTCTTTGTTTAGTCAGAGAGCACAGCATATCGGGGCTACTAGCCCTTGCCCCAGTGTGCTGGGCTGTCTGACTAAACAAATCTAATTGAATTAGTGTTATATGCAGCCTGAGGCCACAGTCTTAACTAGTTTGTCCTTGAGTCTCCCCACTCCACCCCACAATGCCTAGTACATTGCCTGGTACATGGTAGATTCTATCAGTATTTGATGAATGAATGAATGAATGAATGACACACAAAACTAAAGGGTCAAAGAACAGGCATCCCAAGAAATATTTGACTAGTTTCTTCAAGAATGAGAAGGAAGAGGCCGGGCACAGTGGCTCACACCTGTAATCCCAGCACTTTGGGAGGCTGAGGCGGGCCGATCATGAGGTCAGGAGATCAAGACCATCCTGGCTAACACAGTAAAACCCCGTCTCCACTAAAAATACAAAAAATTAGCCAGGTGTGGTGGCGGGCGCCTGTAGTCCCAGCTACTTGGGAGGCTGAGGCAGGAGAATGGCATGAACTCGGGAGGCGGAGGTTGCAGTGAGCCGAGACGGTACCACTGCACTCCAGCCTGTGCGACAGAGCGAGACTCCATCTCAAAAAAAAAAATAAATAAATAAATAATGAGAAGGCAGAGCAGCACTTCTTCACATAGAGAAGAGACAACGGATTCTAGGGAGCTGAAGCCACGAGAGCAAAAGCTTGGAAGCGTGAAGGTGACTAGCTTTCTCCCCCTACGTATATGGCCTGCTCTTCTCACTTGCTTTATTTGAGGGACTTGGCAGTTAGACCTAGGTGTTCTGGAATCTGCTGTGCTCAGCTTCTGATGTATTACACAGCACCATTCTGATGAAATCCAGTGCTAATTAAGATGCTCAAGAGGTTATCAGCTGCCCTTCTCTTTAGCACATGTTCATTCAGAAGGAGCTGGCTGATTTCAGAAATCCAGCAGGAATTAAAGTACCGAATGTGTATTTTTTTTTAGTCCATCTGTTCATTGTGAAAATTTGATTACATTTTATTGTTGATGTAATAGATATTTTCCTTTTGTTGGATCCTCCTCCATCAGAAGCTGGATTGAATTATTTACCTGTGGGCATTATAAGTCACCTGGTGGTTCTTATGTCAGCGATATGTGGTTGTCACCCAATATCCGTTCTTCCCTTCTCCTATTGCAAGAGCATCCCCAATTTTTTTTTTTTTTTTTTTTTTTTTTGAGATGGAGTCTTACTCTGTCACCCAGGCTGGAGTGCAATAATGCCATCTTGGCTCACTGCAACCTCCACCTCCTGGGTTCAAGCAATTCTCCTGCTTCAGCCTCCCGAGTAGCTGGGATTACAAGCGTGTACCACCATGCCCAGCTCATTTTGTATTTTTAGTAGAGAAGGGCTTTCACCATCTTGGTCAGGCTGGTCTCAAACTCCTGATCTCAAGTGATCCACCTGCCTCGGTCTCCCAAAGTTCTGGCATCACAGGCGTGAGCCACCACGCCCGGCCCAGCATCCCCAATTTTTATCTGGGCACAGGGACACTCAGAATAAAGACAACATTTCCCAGCCTCCCTTGGACCCACATATGGCCAAGTGTCTAACTAGACTTGGTATGTTCAACCTCCAAAAAAATGCGTTTTAGAAGAGACATTCTCTTCGTCTTTCTTTACATCCTCTACTCTGGGTGGAATATAGATGTGATGGTTTAAGTTAGAGCAATCATTTCAGATCTTGCTCAGTGACCTTGGGAATGGAAAAAATCCACAGGGAATAAGTAGGAGAAGCTTGAGTCTCTGATACCCCAGGGAGTGCGATATGGGGATGTCTATCTCCAGACTTTTATCTGAGAGTGAAATAAGCTTCTGTCTTTGTTTAAGCTACTATAAGTTTGAGTTCATTGTTGTTTTTGTTTCTTGCAGCCTCATGGAATGCTAATTAAAGCAGCTTCCTATTGTTACCTACTGTACCATCTCCTTTGCAACCGCCAAGTCAGTTATTACTACACAGAATGAAACCCAAAATTTGATAATCGTCATTACGATTATGAGGATGAATGCACTGCAAAAACTTTGCCTCTTCCTTCCCCATCCAAATGATCACACTGTGAATTTCATGAACATTTTTATTATTTTTGGATTACCTCATTTGCATTCTATGAATGTCGATGATTAAGAGTTGGTCTGTGAGTAGGAGAGGAAGTAAGTGATAAAATATGTAGAAAAGAAGTAGAAATGTTACTGCAGCAATTTCAGTAGAAGAAAATAGTAGACTGTCTAACAGTATATAAATCATGGTGCTGTCATAATGCAGTGCTATGCAATGATTAACAATTGTGTTCTAGGCTGGGCGCGGTGGCTCACACCTGTAATCCCAGCATGTTGGGAGGCTGAGGCGGGTGGATCATGAGGTCAGGAGTTCTAGACCAGCCCGGCCAACATGGTGAAACCCTGTCTCTACTAAAAATACAAAAATTAGCCTGGCATGTGTGGCATAAGCCTGTAATCCTACCTACTCAGGAGGCTGAGGCAGGAGAATTGCTTGAACCCGGGAGGGGGAGGTTACAGTGAAATCGCACCACTGCACTCTAGCCTGGCCGACAGAGCAAGACTCTGTCTCAGAAAAAAAAATTAAAAAAATTGAGTTCTAGAATAGTATTTATTGCTTTGAGAAAATTAACAGAATATTTTGTCAAATAAAAAAGTAGGTTGTGGCCAGGCGCAGTGGCTCACGCCTGTAATCCCAGCACTCTGGGAGGCCGAGGCGGGCGGACAGCTTGAGCCCAGAAGTTGCCTTGGCAACATGGCAAGACCCCATCTCTACAAAAAATACAAAAATTAGCCGGGTATGGTGGTGCATGCCTGTAGTCTCAGCTATCTCAGCTACTCAAGAGGCTGAGGCGGGAAGATTGCTTGAGACCAGACAGTCGAAGCTGCAGTGAGCTGTGCTCACTCTATTACACTCCAGCCTGGGTGACAGAGAGAGACGCTCTCTTCCTCTCTCAAAAAAAAGTAGGTTCTACAATAATATGTAAACACACATATAAGTTTATGTGCATATATACATAAATTTATATTTCTATATACATAGAAAAAACATGATGTGTAGACATGAAAATGTTAACAGTAGATAACTCTGACCAAGAGGATTATAGATGATTTTTACTTTCTTCTTTTCTGTTTATTTGTATTTCATAATTTTCCATAATAAACACATATAATTTATATACATTTTAAGTTTTTAGGAAAGCAATTCTTGGGTGTGGGCAGATGAAGAAATAAACCCTTGCACATGTTTAAGGTTTGTATATGGCATTAGTCAGAGCAATGTTAAGCTATGCTGCAATAACAAACAAATCCGAAAAGCTCAGTGACTTAGCACAACGAAGTTACACTTATACTTCTTATTTATGTAGAATCCAGTGTGGGTCTGCAGAGACAGCCTTCCATCTGATAGCTCAAAGATCCATCTCCACTTGTAGCTATCAAGGTCACTGCAGCGGGAGAGAGGGATGAAGAAGATACTTACAGCCATAGTTTACATCACCTAACTGCAAGGGAGGCTGCTGGGACATTGGAGGACGTGTACAGGATTCGATTGCACAGTCTCTGCCACATACACCTTCAGTGATTATGTTTTCTCAACCAAAAATTAAATTTATGGGAGGATAAGCAAATAGTTGGGTTTAGGGTTCATTTTTTTAAATATGCATATAACTGAATATATGGTTGCATATTTGCTACAGGTTTTTATTTATTTATTCTAAGATGGCGTTTCACTCTTTTTGCCCAGGCTGGAGTGCAATGGCGCGATCTCGGCTCACTGCAACCTTGGCCTCCCGGGTTCAAGTGATTCTCCTGTCTCAGCCTCCCAAGTAGCTGGGATTACAGGTGTGCACCACCATGCAAGGCTAATTTTGTATTTTTAGTAGAGACGGGGTTTCACCATGTTGGCCAGGCTGGTCTTGAACTCCTAACCACAGGTGATCCACCTGCCTCGGTCTCCCAAAGTGCTGCAATTACAGGCATGAGCCACTGATCCTGGCCGCTACAGGTTTTTAAATAGTCAAAAATGGACTTGTCCATGAGGAAGGAGGAGGAAATTGGGCTGAGATGAGGCCAAAACTAAAAGTTGCCCTCTTCTCCCTCCTGACTCTTTAAGTTAAGCAACCTACCCATGCATCATGCTCCTGTTAATGCACAAAAGTAGGTTTCAAACCATAGTGGGAGTTAGAAGATGGAAGACCGAGGACTGAGACATGACAAGGGCTGACCAGAAGAAGAAATGAGGATTTCTGAGGGGCCAGGAAGCATGATACAGACCTCTCCCCTGAGACAGTGAGAATACCAGGAAGAACGGTGAACCAGCCAGAAAGTGGGGAGGAGAGCCAAGGTCCAAAGAGGACGGAGAAAGGAAGACTGCCAGATTTGGGCAGTGCCAAAGGCAGGAATTACAGTCAGAATAGATAGCCAAGAATGTAGGGTGTGGATGGAAGTGGGATTCGAGCAATTTTTTTCTCAAGAAACAGCAGGCTGTGATGTGTAGTCAGTTTGATTTAAATGATCATGGGGTAAGACAGCCAACAGAAAGCACCCCAGCAGTACCATGGCCCACAGAAAGAGCCCACAGTCTAAACTAGGGAGCAGCGCTGCATGGAAAATCCCCGGCTGAACTGGGCATAAATCCAGACATAAACTGGGGACAGGCAGTGGAGACATGCTGAAGATGGTTGACATCAGGGAGGCAGCAGGTATTCCAGATGATAGGAATGGATGAATCAGGATCTCAGCAAGGGGGCTGGGGGTGGCGAGAGCAAAGTCCAGCCCCTCGAAAGAAGGATCTAGCAAGAGATACTGTGATTGGGGCCCCACTAAAGGACAGGGCTTCACAACAGGTGGCGCTCCAGAAGTAGAACTGGTATGAAAACGAGGAAAATAGTCATTTTAAGCACGTAGGAAGAAGGGAAGGAGACTGTAGCCTTGGGGATATGTGGTTGCCTGGGGCCTCACCTCTGAGAAAGTGAACGCCAAGACTAGGACAGAAAGACCTACAATTTTTCTCTTGCCTAACTTGGTCTGCACTAGCTTGAGAATGTAGTGTTGAGCCTATGGATTGAAGGCATCAGTGCCTGAAGCAAAGCAGGTTTGGTGAGGCTGGATGCGGAACTGCTAACAGAACTTGCACATCATTTGAGAAAGGCTTTCCTAAGACAGCCTCATAAACAGGTACACGGCTCGCCCACCTGCCCTTTTCTACTGGGAAAAGCAGTGTTCAGGTGCACAGGTAACGTTAGTTAGTGACGCAGAGAAATAGGATGGGGGAAACACCTAGATTAGCCAAGTGTGTTAGTCGGTTTCCATTGCTATAAATATCAGCTATTCCACTGAATACCTGAGAGAGAGTAATTTATAAAGAAAAGAGACTTATTTGGCTCATGGTTCTGCAGGCTGTACACAAAGCATCATGTCACCATCTGCTTCTGGTGAGGCCTCAGGAAGCTTCCAATTATGTTGGAAGGTGAAGGGGAGCCTGTGTGTCACATGGCAAAAGGGAGAGCAAGAGAGAGAGGGAGGAAGTTCCAGGCTCTTTTTTTTTTTTTTTTTTGAGACGGAGTCTCGCTCTGTTGCCCAGGCTGGAGTGCAGTGGTGCGATCTTGGCTCACTGCAAGCTCTGCCTCCTGGGTTCACACCATTCTCCTGCCTCAGCCTCCCAAGTAGCTGGGACTACAGGTATCCGCTACCACGCCCGGCTAATTTTTTGTATTTTTAGTAGAGGTTTCACCATGGTCTCAATCTCCTGACCTTGTGATCTGCCCACCTCGGCCTTCCAGGCTCTTTTAAACAACCAGATCTCACGTGTACTCATAGAGCAAGAAGTAACTCATTACCAGGAGGATGTCCCCAAGCCATTCATGAGGATCTGCCTCCATGATCCAAACACCTCCCACCAGGCCCCGCCTCGAACAGTGGGGATCACATTTCAACATGATATTGGAGAGAACAAACATCCAAACTATATCACCAAGGTATTGGGCCCCTTGGGTGAAAACTCAAAACCCCATGTTTTGCCTCCTTGAAATGTGTTTCAAAACACAGAGAACTTTTAGAAAAAAGTGTGAACTTTTTACCGTTGTAGCTAAATGCATCGTTTGTGTATGGATGCTGGGTTTCAGTGCCTCTGGGAGCATTAGTATGGAGGGAAAACTCTAGAATAGGAGTCAAAGATTCCAAATTCTAATATGGCTTCACTGCAGCTCAAATAAAGTGATTAGGAATGTGCCTTAAATATCCCGAAGCAATGAAAAATGAGATTGCATGTATATATCTCCCCATCTAGCAACTTTGCAGAGCTGGGATTGGGGTGAGACAAACGAGGTGTCTAGGGTGTAAGCTTTAGGGGTTGCTCACTCTCAGGATTATGCAAAGTACCCAGCCAGCAAAATGAGAGCTGTGCACAGCAAGACCAGTGTGTCTTTCACAAAAGCTGCCCTTGTCTGATACTCAAGGAGGAAGGTGGAAGATGGGGGTTGTCTGGAAGGGTCAGAGTTTGAAAAGTTTCCCTTCCAGAAGCTGCTGAGAACTGAGGTCGTTGGGATGCTGTGAATAGCCCATCACCTGTGTCCCTGTCGTTTGGCCCCCTGGCAGCAGATTAAGATATGCCGGCCAGGTGCGGTGGCTCACGCCTGTAATCCCAGTGAGAGGTGAAGCCAGCTGGACTTCTGGGTCAGGTGGGGACTTGGAGAACTTTTCTGTCTAGCTAAAGGATTGTAAATGCACCAATCAGCACTCTGTAAAAACGTACCAATCAGCGCTCTGTGTCTAGCTACAGGATTGTAAATGCACCAATCAGCACTCTGTAAAAACGCACCAATCAGTGCTCTGTGTCTGGCTAAAGGATAGTAAATGCACCAATCAGCACTGTAAAAATGCACCAATCAGCGCTCTGTGTCTAGCTAAAGGATTGTAAATGCACCAATCAGCACTCTGTAAAATGGACTAATCAGCACTCTGTAAAATGGACCAATTAGCACTCTGTAAAATGGACCGATCAGCAAGATGTGGGTGGGGCCAAATAAGCGAGCCAGCAGCGGCAATGTGCTGGGGTCCCCTTCAAGCCTGTGGAAACTTTGTTCTTTTGCTCTTCAGAATAAATCTTGCTGCTGCTCACTCTTTCCTCCGCACTACCTTTATGAGCTGTAACACGCACTGCGAAGGTCTGTAGCTTCACTCCTTAAGTCAGCGAGACCAGGAACCCACCAGGAGGAGCAAACAACTCCGGACGTGCCACCTTTAAGAGCTGTAACACTCACTGCAAAAGTCTGTGGCTTCACTCCTGAATTCAGCGAGACCATGAACCCACTAGAAGGAAGAAACTCCAGACACATCTGAACATCAGAAGGAACAAACTCTGGACACGCCATCTTTAAGAACTGTAACACTCACCGTGAGTGTCCGCAGCTTCATTCTTGAAGTCAGCGAGACCAAGAACCCACTGGAATGAATAAATTCTGGACACACCAGCACTTTGGGAGGCCATGGCAGGCAGATCACCTGGGGTCAGGAGTTTGAGACCAGCCTGGCCAGCATGGTGAAACCCTGTCTCTACTAAAAAATACCAAAAAGTAGCCAGGCATAGTGGCGGGCGCCTGTAATCCCAGCTACTCAGGAGGCTGAGACAGGAGAATCACTTGAACCCAGGATGTGGAGGTTGCAGTGAGCCGATATCCCGCCGTTGCACTCCAGCCTGGGCAACAAGAGCGAAACTCTGTCTCAAAAAAAAAAAAAGATGCTAGTGAGGTGAGGATGGGAAAGGTGGGGTGGTTAGGAGCCGAGGTCTTGCCTACCTTTCCAGCCCAAGAAACCCCTCTCTGCCTTCAAGCCACATCATCACTGGCCTTAGCGGTGAACAGCACTGCCTGACTCCCATTCCTTTCTGATCCTTTCTGATCCCAAGGAAAACATTTCCTGTGGGCCTGCAAAGGGTTTCCATCTTTTGGAGGCTGCTTTTCAGATGTGATAGGAGGCCTGGCAAAACAAGTCAGGCTGGGCCCTTAGGGCCATTATCGGCTGACACCCTATCAGAACTGCCTTATCCGTTAACACCCCTGTAGGAATTAATTAGCTGAATGTCAGCTGAAAGTAAGAACAGACCAGAGGAGTAAGAGGAAATAGGTGAAGAAAGTTTCTTTATAGTGACAAGTAATGGCATCGCAGTGTGCCCCGTGCAGTTTTGCCTGTGTCGGCCTTGAATATCTCACTGAAAGTAGCTCCCACTTCCCCTCCCAACCTATGAGGTTATTTCATTGTCATTGTAATTTGTTGATGCCTAAAATTACCCATTTGCTAAGGATTCCTGATCCAAAAAGGTGCACTAAAAATTAAGGTATGTCAATTGGCACTGATACATGTCCCTATTCTCAGAGGGACTGGGTGCTGGGGAAATGGAAAAGTATGTACATTGTACATAAGGGAAGGAGAATGTCTAAAGAGTTTATATGCCAGGGCAGATTCAACCAATCTTTATGAAGCTCCTACTATGTGCCAGGTATATATTATCTTATTTTATCTTACAAAATCCCTGCAGTAGAAGTTTTACTATCCCAATTTTGATTCCCAGGACATTGCATTTGGATTCAAGCCCAGCGCTCTTTCTTCTAGGCTGCGGTGGGGAGCGGAGGGAAGAAACATAGGTGGTACATAGAATGAAATACAGAAACATATTTGTGAGTCACTGACACAGTTTGAGTCAGCCATACTTAAGTGTCCCATATTTGGGAAGAGTGGCAAAGATAAAAGCTGAGAAAAAGGAATCGACTGCAGAGACGGGAGGATTTGAAGCAAGGTGGAGCCGGCCTGAGGTTTCCGGGATGAGGAGAGGGTGTGGCGGATGATCCAGAGAGAAAGGCTGTGGTGTGGCGGAGGGGTGGTGGGGACAGGAACAGCCTGCTGTCTGAAATAACAGAGACAGTGAATCAGGCGATGACATCCTTTGCATATGTGGTGAAGGGTGGGTGGCCTAGGCTCCTGGACGCAGGTAACCAAGGAACACAACTGCAGGTATAGCCGCCTGCACCCGAATCAGCCTCCAGCAGCAGAGACACCCAGTTACGCAGCGGCGGTGTGCTAATTCCAGCCCAGACTGGCAGACAGCAGGGGCTCTGTCTGGGGGAGGAAAAGCTCTAGAGCTGGGGACGACACATTCTGAAGGAGGGAAATAAGCTCTGAGCTATATTTAGTGCTGCATGGCTGTGCGTAGCGGACTTATGGCAAGCGCGTGCATGCGAATTCATCAGATGGAAACACAGGCATGTGTAGCCTGCGCTCTAACTTCTTTTCCACCCCAAAGATTCTTTTTTTCTACAGCCTAACCTGTCGGGGCATCATTTCCTACCCGCTGTTGCGTACTGATGCTCTGCTGGTCAGCTTCCTAGGGCCTCTGCTGACGATAAGTACAGCTGTGAGATGATGACAACGGCACATAGCAGACATTGATTAATCAGCAGCTAGCTTTGGTTTTTTGTTTTTTAAACGGACACATCTTAGACAAGGAATCAGCAGCTTTCGACATCAGAGGAAAAGAAAGTTTCTTGATTCCCAATTTTTTAACAAGTGTCAGACACAAGTTCAGCTTGGTTGGAAATAGAAGCACAATGGAATTCAGTCGAAACTTAAATGAAGCCACAGACAATTTTTCCTGAGCTACAGTGGAAACTCTACACCTCACAATTAACTAAGAGCTTTCCCACCAATACAATTTGTTTGCAAAGCATTACATCATCAGAAAAAACTCTGATTGGCTGAGTCTATCCTCAAGGAAAGACCCATTTCTGGCAGCAAAAACTTTTCCAAGAGCCTTTTTGGGCACCAGACACCATATTTAGTTTTCCCCTTTTAGTGCAATACTTTAGTACAATAATGAGCACGCGGGGCCTTTAGGAGGCTGCTGCTGTTGGAACTTCTGTCAACAACTCTGAGGTTGCTTGTTCCTGAACAACAGAGGAGCCACCCCTGTGCTGGAAGTACCCTGCCTCGGTAGGTGAGGAGACACCACAAGGCTTAATGAGGAAACTATTACTCCTTCTGTCACTGGCCTTCCAATTACACACAGCAATGGTGATTTTGAGCAGCAGCCAAGGAATGTCATAACAGAGGCTACTGTGGAACCAAATTACAGGAGCTCAGGGAGCAATGAAAAGTCTTCAAGTTGGAAATGTTTATTAATTGCTTGTGTGCAATGTATTAGGCTGGGCAGGTGGGCCCTTGCCTTCCAGGAAGTCACAAACATGCATTCAGGCTCTCTTGGCCTATGTGTTATTCACATTATGTGAAGAAATACAAATAAAAACCTGAAACACTAGGACAGCAGAGCAAGTAATACACATTTCCTAATACATGAACAAAAGGCAATCATGGAGACTTGTACCAATTGGCCTTTGCCTGGGAAATAAGTAAAAGGAAATGTACCCCCACTGCTTCAGCCATGATTCTCCCTTCCACTTCCTTTTTCTTGGCTGTATTTAGTCCCTGTTCCTCATTCATCTATAACTGTCTAACTCTCAGATGAAAGCAGCAACTTGAGAAAATGTGGACACGTTATAGTTAGGGGGCGCTCCATGACCACTGTCTTGCACCTTTTTATTCTTCCCCAATTTCCTTCCGGTCCTTTCCCTCCCCTTCCCCTCCCCTCCCTGCCTTCCTTTCCTTCCCCTCCCCCTCTCTTTCCCCTTCCTCTTCCCCTTCCCCTTCCCCCTCCCCCACCCCCTCCCCTTCGTTTCCCTTCCCCTTCCCCCTTCCCCTCTCCCTCCCCCTCCTTTCTTTTGCTTTCTTTGTTCCCAAATGAAAATAGATGGCCTAGGTTCCACGAGAGACGATTGGAGGAGAAGAAGTAAGAGCTTCAATTTGGTGGCTGCCAGAGACTCTGCCTGCTGCTCCCTTCTTCCCTGTGGCTGCATTCTTACCTAACTCTGGCTGTGGTCAAGAAAGAGCTTTGCTAGAGATCTGTGCTAATCATTCCTGAATTAAAATACCTCACAGAGGTCCCAGGGTGGGGAGTGGAGTGGGGCCATTTTCCCAGGACACCCATCAGTGGGTCCTAGCCTGCTCTGGATGGCATGTTTCCTCCAGGGCTGTTTTTGGGTCACCACGGTACCCTCCACAATGGGCCTTTCCTCCAGGTAACAGTTTCCTAAAGCTCAGTGTCTAAAGGTAGACGAGAGAATGAGGTTGTAAGTCTCCCCCCATCTCCGAAGGACAAGGTGAATTACATCACTTTGGGTAGAATGAGGGTATAATGTGGATTTTCATGTGGTTAAAATTTTGTTGGGTTTCTGAACAGTGAAGATAATAATAGAAGGATGCAAGTTTCCTGTGATAGAGAAGAATAGCACCAGGAGGTGGGTGAAAATCAGAGGGTCACAGGGACAGATGGAGCAGGGGTGGCTGCATGAACGTGTGCATCCCAGGGGCTAAGACAGTGGAAGAGAGTGGGTGTGACTGAAGCCAGCCCCGATGTCTGGAGAGAGGCTCTGCAGTATCTGGTCAGGTCTTGTTCTTTTAAACTGGACCATCCAAGATGACACCAGGAAGTTAGCCTTTGGTAAGAACGAATGTTGCCCAGCCTTGTTCCAGCCTTCCTCCTGGGTCTTCACTCCCTTGAGACTTCCTTTCCATCTCCTCGCTCATTCCTGGTCCCACAAGCTCCTGCCCTCTGTCTTCACATCCTGTGATGACCTCAGGTTCCTGCAGGACTGATCTCAGCTTGCCTAGCTTAGCCCACGACTGGCCCTTCAAACACGGTCAGCTCAGCAGGCCCAGGCTGGCAGAGAAAAGCCTGTGGCAGACAATAGTGTTTATTCTAGGCAGTTGTCCCAGATGGGTCACTCCCAGCTTACTCCACACCTGCTGCTGCTTGCTGTTTTTCCCAGGATCTGAATTCCTCCTCCCCAAGCACTGGCTAGGGGGCTCCCTCTCGCAGCCCTGCCCAGAGTCACTCAAGGGGCTGGACCATCCTCAGTCCTTTAGCTGAGAGAGGAGAATGTCATCAGCAGGCCAGACATGATTTACAGCTGTCCTCTCATTCGCTTCTGCTGCCCCAGGTAACAGAGGCTCCGGATCAGGGCCGTCGCTGGGCTCCACCCCAGCACTAACCGGCTCGGCCAGGTTTACCTCACCCCCTTCAAAAAGGATGGTGTGAGGAATGCATGTCCTGCCCCAGGAAGACGGATCTGTTCAGGAAGAAGAGGACAAAGGGCAGGACTTCAAAGCAATTTGGGCCACAACACTGGGCTTCTGGCTCCTGTGTTGAGGGGAAGAGAGTGGGGAGAGGTCGGACCAGCATTCAACTCACAGGCTCTTCCCAGCTTCCATCCCCTTTGCCCTGGAGCTGCAGAATTTCCTGACCCTGGAGAAGGCACCTGCCAGTGCAAATCCCCAGCACAGGTTCTGGAAGCCATGCTGCTGTTTGCCCTGCACAGCCTGAGCCATGGCCCCTCTGCCTAGGGTGGGCTTCCGGGGGAATGAGGCCTCTGAGCTCCCCCCTGGGGCCTCCACCTCCCCACTTACTCAGCCACCCTTCACCTCCTCCCTCTCTTGTCTCATTGAGACCCCTTTCTTTCCTTTCCAGGGATGATTATTTTTCAATCACGTAGACTTGGAGATAAAGGAAGAGTAAGGGCAGAGAAAGGCTGGGGCATGAGCAGCTGAGGGCAGGGGTTAAGAAGGTGGCAGTAACAGAATAAAACCTGAGTCTGTCTTTAAACCTCCAGGCCTGAGGCCACGTTTGGAGGGTGGGGGTCTCACTTCAGTTTTTCTGTAAGTTTTTCTGAAAGTCTGATTATTCTGTTCCACCCACAGCAAGACGGGGAGCTTCAATCCCAGACGCTTGTGGCGATGGGAGTGGGGAGGAAGGATAGGACTTAGGAACTTCTTGCTGGGCATTTGCATCTGTCTATAAGGCGTGGTTATCCCATGTCTCATCTCAGCTTCCTGAAGATAGTGACTGTGACTTGGAGATCCAGGAGTTGGTGTGATGCAGTGGAGTTCCACTGCTTAGTGTCTGCATGGCTGTTAACAAGTCACCTAAGCTTAACGAGCTTCAGTTTCTTCCTCTGTAAAATACAAGCAATACTAACCTTATTTTATAGGGCTCTGAGGACTACATTGAAGAAACATTGAGGCTGGGCACAGTGGCTCACGCCTGTAATCCCAGCACTTTGGGAGGCTGAGGCGGGCAGATCATGAGGTCAGGAGATCGAGACCATCCTGGCTAACACGGCGAAACCCCGTCTCTACTAAAAATACAAAAAAAATTAGCCAGGTGGGTGACAGGCACCTGTAGTCCCAGCTACTCGGGAGGCTGAAGCAGGAGAAGGGCGTGAACCCGGGAGGTGGAGCTTGCAGTGAGCCGAGATCACGCCACTGCACTCCAGCCTGGGTGACAGAGCGAGACCCTGTCTCAAAAAAAAAAAAAAAAAACCACTGAAGCCCTGCCCACATTTTAGATACTTACTAAAAAGTAGCTATTATGATCATACTTCAGTTTCCTCGTTGGTAAATTAGGGGTAATAAAATACCCATCTCACTGAGTTGTTTTGAATATTAACCTAGTTAATATTTATAAGGTCCTTAGAAAGGTGCCTAGCACACAGTGAGCTCTGTGCAAGTGTTACTAAAGAAAATGAATCATCCTGTTCTTTTCCACAATACCTAGACGTTGCCTTGCCCAGGTAAGTGCTTTGTAAATATTGCTGAGATTAGTCCAATGCATATGCTAGAGCCAGGAAACAGACAAGGGTGGATACTCACAAGAGGAAGCTGGTGGTTAGGCTGAGTAGCATACTTCTGTTTCTCCCTTCTCCTTGTTTATTTTCCTATTACCGATTTCTCATTTCGGACCCTGCTGTGGTTTGAAAGTTTGTGTTCCCTCCAAAATTCACGTGAAAACTCAATCCCTAATGCAACAGTATTGAGAGGTGGGGCCTTGAGGAGGTGATTAGGCCATGGCAGCTCTGACCTCATGGACTGGATTCATTCCTTATTAAAGGGCTGGAGGGAACTAGCCCTTTTTGCCCTTCTGCCTTCCCACCGTATGAGGACCAGCAGAGACCAAGACACTGGGCCTGCTGGCACCTTGATCTTTCACCACCCAGCCTTCCATACTGTGAGAAATAAGTTTCTGTTGTTTGTAAACTACCCAGTCTCAGGTATTTTGTTATAGTAGCATAAATGAACTAAGACAGATCCATTTCTATTGGCTCTGTATTCTCTCTGCTCCATAATTCCTCTTCCAAAAAAGGAACAGAAACTGATTCCCAAAGGCCCCACATTTACTAAGAAAGAGTCCGAGCAGACACCATAGCTCTACCTACACCTTTTGTGTCTCTCTCCTAGTGTCCAGCTTCCATCTAAACTTTCTTTTGTGATCTCTGATTGAAAGACCCAGAGAGCTGGGCATGGTGGTACACACCTGTAATCCCAGCTACTCAGGAGGCTGAGGCAGCAGGATCCCTTGAGCCCAGTGCGCCATGATCACACCTGCGATTAGCCACTGTGCTCCAGCCTAGGCAGCAGAGTGAGACCCTGTCTCAAAAAACAAACGAGCAAACAAAACAAAAAGACCCAGTGGTTCCAATGAGTGCAGTGTCTAATCCTAATTAAGTACCTATTCATTAAATGTGTGTGAGGAATTGAAATGTATATTCCAGGGAATAAAGTCCAGCAGGGAAATAAATCCACCAGAAACCATGTTGGAGCAGTCCGGGTAGTTACTCCTATTGCCTTTCTTTCGTCTCAATTCATTCAGTGCCCTAGTTGTTTTAAGATCACAGGTGTTGTGTATTCACTAAGTACTAGGTCTTTGCTAAGCTCTTGCATGCCTCCCCGCAACCCCTATTTCATCCTCGAATTACCTTGATAGGGTAGCTGTGATTATGTCTGTCTTACAGATGAGGAAACTGAAGGCTAGGCCAGTTAAATAGCTTGTCCTAGGTCACACAACTACTGAGTGATAGACGCAGTTCTCAGATCTGACTTGAAATCCTGCACTCATTCTGCTGTATTCACAGGTAAGAGCAAGTTAAACTTGACCCTTCTCTTGGCCTTCTGAAATCGACTCTTTAATATGTAAGCTGTCTTTTCTGATATTTTTGGTTGGAAAAGAAAATGTGTGCATAACTTTCTTCAATCAAAGGGTGTTTTGCATCGTCCTTCTTTTTCTATCTAAAAGCATCTTTTCTGCATACTCTCTCAACAATGCCAGCCCTTCCTACTCTCAGCTCTAAAACCTGTCACTGACTCTAAGAGAGTTTTAACAAAAGAACTGGAACAGGAAGTGTTTTTAAACAGGCTGTCCCTTTCTTTAAATAATTAAAGAAGATGCTATCAGGGAGATCAGGTTTTTATTAGCTCTTCTCAAGTTCACTGTCACTTGCTCTCCTCCAAGGCAGGATTGAAGGTTGGGTGGAGCGGGGCATAGAAAAGTGCTCCAATTTGGACAGCATGTTGGGAGCACTTTGTAGAGGCTGGCCATTCACTGCCTATCTGGACTCTTTGCCAGTGGAATAGTGAGCTTGAATGGCAGGTTACAGTTCTTTAGAAACAAATTTAGAGGAAATGAATGAACGAAGCAATGAATGAAATAATTGTTGGACCTTAATAATAGTGGGTGTATCGTGGGCAGCGAGGCTTTGAGAACGCTAGCTCTCATCCCTCGGCGGATGCAAAGCAATTAGATCAATGGAAAATATGCATCAGGAAAAAAATGTCTAAACTGGGAGCTCAGGAACACAACTCCCATTCAAACATGTCTTCTAAATCTCGGCCCCAGCAACATGTTCTTTGCAATTTCACTCTCTTGGTGGAATAAACAGGCCAGGAGCCCACCCCACCCAACAGGGTGTCTCACAGCAGCCTGCAGGACAATAAGGAGGAAATTGGTTTTCCGGGAAGCAATTTCTCTATCAGCAGAGTAGTTCTGCATTGGCATAGAGGAGAGGTTAGGCTGGCAGTTGGAAGGATTCCACCTGCTCCTTCGAGTCCTAATTTGGATAGCCGCAGTGTTAAAAGGACACCATGAAGAGCACTTTTTAATATTGGGAAGGAGTATTGATGTAGAGATTGGGGGCTTCAAGGCCAAAGGCACTGGCTGGAAATGGACTTGCCCTGAGCCCTGGAGCTGATTCTTTATGCTGCCTTCTTTCCTCTTACTAAATATAAAATGAGGTCAAACGGTGCATGAAGTAGGGGTCAGAAGCAAATTGAAGGCTTAATAATAAACATTTATGGTGCCGAGCTCATTACAGGGCTTATGCAGATCCTTTTAAAATACCTGCCTGTTTGACATTTTGCCTTGATTTACACTAGAATTTAGAATGCCAGGAGGGTAATTAGCTTATATCTTGTCATTTTAGCATCCTATTTCTGGGGGAAAAAAGAAAACCTTAGAAAACTACAGCTACTTACCACAGAGTGCTATGCTTCTGAAGAAAAAGTACTTTAGGTCTCCAAATTCCTTTTCCTTAGCTGCCCAGGCCTGCAAGAGCTGAAGACCCTGAGCTTTATCTGGTTTCATATGTTATTTCTCTGGTGTTTAGGGGACAGCCGCACCCATACGGGATTAAAGCAGGCACTGTGGGGTTAGGTCAGTCCGTGTGAGGGAAGGCGCCCTGGATCAATGGCCCCTTTTTGTCCTCTCCCACCCACGCCCTGTTGACTCAACCTTCAGAGTTGGGAAAACAGAAAACATTTCTGCCTACGACCTCCAGCAAGTCACTCAGGCTCCTTGGGCTTCAGTTGCCTCAACTATGAAATGAGGGGATTGGACTGTATGATCTCTAACATTCACAGCCATAAATCCCCTTTTCTGGGAGAGGACCAATTCACATAATCTGTTCACTGTCCCTGTAAATGTACTTGGGTTTGTCAGGCTAAATGTCCTAGTTTTGGGTTCTGAAAATATGGTCACTGTATTTCTCAGATCACTTTCAGCCACTAGGATTCTAAGTAGGTAATAGCCTTAAGTGACTGTTCTAATTACTAGCTCTATGACCTTGGGCAAGTTGGTTAAACTCTCTGGGATTCAGGCCCTTATGTGCAAAATTTGGGATAATAAAATCTGATCTCAAGGCAGGGAGCTGGACTAGATAGAGATTGCTCTGGCTAAAGTTTTGTGATTCAGTAACTTGGGGCCCATCTGCTCTGGGCAAAGGCAGTAGCTGGCCCCCGGATGTTTAAATGGGTGAGGAGAGGCACCAAAAGTGTCCCTGAGGACAATGTCTCTTTGCAACCTGGAGAGAAACCAGGAAGCACTATCCTAGCTGCCTGCAGTGAAGAAAGAAATTCTTACAGTAAAATGTCAGTGGCCTCTTCAGCAAAGCTTCCTGTGCAATTCTTTTTGGTAACAGAGGAAAGCCTCTTAGGAGGTCGTAGGACTGTCACTCCAAGGCCTTAGGGATGCCAAAGTATTGCCTCGCCTTCCCTCCCATATTTCAATTATCAAAGAAGATTCGAAAGAATATCAGGGGGAATTCGGGGACCCTAGACCGGGGACCAGCCGCAACCTGGGTAATGCTGGACAAATCACTTAACCTCTCACAGTCCAGTTTTCTCGAAAGAAATACTAGAATGTTTGAATATGTCAGTTCCAAGATCTCTTATTTGGAGGTTCTATGGAATCTCTAATGATGGATTGCAAATATCCACAGGGGGATATTTTGGGGCAGAGAGGACTCCTTTCCCTTTCTAATCATAGGTAGGCAACATTGTCTCTCACTGATCTTCCAGGCTATCAGTGGAACAGATTTTTTTGATCAATATATTTTGATGTACTTTATGTATTATGTCTGATTCCTAGCTCTGTGCCTGACATATAACATATGCCTCCTGGTAATTAGGTTTCTGTTTAAAAAAAAAAAAAATGAGATGTTTTGTAAATATTCCTAGTTGACTTTTCATTTGCTTTAAGCAAGTAATTTCTCCTTAAACAGCTCCCATGACAGTTTCTGCCCTTCTGGTAAAGAGAAGGCTATTAGTAGTCTGCAGAATGGAGTTTAGGTTGAAGTACTGGGAGCCAGGTGGCCCATCCAGAAGGCTGCTGTGCTAATCCCACATAAAGCAATGGAAACCTGGAGTAGCACCCAGTTTTCCAAACTGAACACTGGACTGGTTTTGGGGTTGTCTTTCTTCCTTACTCCTCACACCTTATTCAGCACCAGTCCCTGCGGGGTCTCCTTCTGGACCCTTCTCAAATCTGTCCACTTGTCTGTGTCCTCCCGGCCTCTGCCCACATTCAGGACACCATGAGGGCTCCCCTGCAACAGCCGCCTCACACCTTCGCTGCATCTAATCTGTCCCCTCCCAGACCATTTTAAAACAATTTTGGAATATTCCGAGCACAGATGAAAGTTTAGAGAATAGTGAAAAAACACTCAGGAGAAGCAGTAATGCTCACTTTAGAAATATTAAGAGAGGATCACCTTAGAAGCAAATGGCTTCAGCTCAGATTGCTTTCTAGACAGGTTAACTTTGGATGAGCTCTTAACCTCTCTGCTGCTTAGTTTCCTCATTTGGAAAATGGGGATGACAAGAGCAGTGTATAAACCTTATAGAGCTTTTTTTTTTTTTTTTTTTTTTTGTAGAGAAGGGGTCTCACCATGTTGCCCAGGCTGGTCTCAAACTCAAACCCCTGACCTCAAGTAATCCTCCCACCTGGGCCTCCCAAAGCACTGGGATTACAGGCATGAGCACAATGCCTGGCCTCTGATAGGTTTTTGTGAGAATTAAACTTATTCATTTAGGTCTATTTGTGTTAGCCTTCATTATTATCCTTTACCCTTCTCTGATTTTGTCAAATTTAAACCAATCTATTCTGCACTCTTTCTAATCTAATCCTGTCACACATCTTCCTAAATCTGCTAAAGGCTCCCAGTTGTCCTCAGGACAGAGTCCAAACTCCTCAACAGGACTTGCTAAGCCTTCCAGCCTTGCCCGGGCTAACCCTGCATTTGCAGTAAATGAGGCACCAGAGAGATGGCGTTCCAGGCTGGGGACGCTTCGTCAGCAAGGCCTGGAAAGTAGAGATGAGGCAGGTGGATTGCAGGGGCTGATCTGCAGAGGCACGCAGGTGGGAGCTACAAGTGAGTCTTAGTTCTCCAGCCAGAACGCCCAGGTGCATACCATGGCTGTGCCGCTGATTAGCCATGTAACCTTGGGCAAGTTACTGAACATCTATCTCTATATCTCTGTTTTCTTATTTGTATAATTTTAAAGGAATGCACTTACTGCATGAGGTTGTGGAAAACACTGAACGAGGTAATACAAGTAAAGTGCTTAAAATAGCTAGTACTCAAGAAGTGGTCATTCTTATTTTGGGACAAGAGCAGAGGTATATGAGTGCAGATTTTGTGGTATCTCAAAGGCAGAGAGAGGAGAGCGACTGGGTAATATGTCAGTAGCATACAGAATAGAATTCAGGTTGAAGATCCTGAGCTGGCCAGCCAGGCAGGAGGCAGCTGCTGGGACTAGGGTAGCGAGGGCGACATTAGAAGGAAAAGACAAATATGAGAATGATCTTAAGGCCGAATGACAGGTTCCATAAAAGGTAGATTTGCTGGAACACTAAGTCCAGAAAACAGTTCATGAGAGAAGTATCCTTTTACCTAAATTTGGGAAACGTCTAAGCCAGTTGTGGTTGTGAGGGCCTGTGGTCCCAGCCTATGCAGGAGGATTGCTTGAGCCCAGGAGTTCCAGGCCAGCCTGGACAACATAGTGAGATCTCATCTCTATTAAAAAAATAATAATAATAAAACCAATAAATTTGGGAAATACCACATATTTCCCTTTTTGGAAAGTCACACTGTACAGGAGAAGGCTAAAAGAGCCTGGAAGCGCTAGAGTAGAAAAACATGTCAATATTTGATAAATGCAGTGTTTCGGAACTAGTTTGATCACAGGACATCTCTGCCCCCCTCCACTGTTGATAACACAGTTTAACATCTCGAAGAAGCAGCGATCGGTAGGACCCCCTCTGGAATACACTGCCCTGAAGTAACATGTGTGAACTGTATAAACAGAGCTGGAGAGAGAAGAACACACACATACACAGTGCACAATGCGACTATTTTCCTTCTCTCTGTTCTCTGGTGGGCTCGAGCAGTGGGGAGCCCATGAGGATAGTTTAAAATTAAATGCTCATTTCCCTTTCCTTGCCTGGTGTGAATGTGGCCTCTCTCCCTCTCCCTCCTACCCACTTCCTTCTCCGACAGAGTCCGCTTGCCCCAGAGAGAGCCATCTGGAGAGTCGTGTTGCAATATTGACTATTGCAAGGGACCTCCTTCTGGCATTCAGTCTAGTTCATGGTGTTTTACTTTCATCTCTCTGGGTTAGAAAATCATCTGACGTCTCTAAGCGGTTTCTTTGGGCTAATAACATTATTACAATTTTTCCTTTTCTCCAGAATCAAGGCTGTTTTCCCCCCGCAAGGACTTCTTGGCATTTCCGTGAGGTTTGTTATTCGGTTGTGCTTGAAGTATGTGGCATCCTGTTTGTGCTGCAAACAGTAAAATAAAATCCCCCTCAGGATCACTAGCTGAACCTCGGGGACACTTCTGCTGAAGGAATCCCATCTGTCCTGGATCAGATCCTGGCCCTGGGGACAGGGCTGGGACTGGCAGGGAAATTCACTCGCACTGTCAACGCTGACCTTTTAGGATCATGTTTGAGTAGTGACTGTGAGTAAACACCAGCAAGAACGTTGCAGACAGGGCCAGAGGTAATGACATGCCGTTCACCAGGGAGTGTCATGAACTTGGAATGGATAGCACAGGCTGGACCCACGCTCTGGGGCTCATGCATAAAGAAAAGCCTCCAGAGGCTTCCTCTGAAAATCAGTTCTCTTGCCCCAGTAACTGAGCCCAAGCAACCTCAAATGGCAGCAGCCTTTCAGATGAGGTCTCTGGCCAGTTCTTCTGCTGTCAGCGTTTGGCCCTCACTAGTCTTGTACCTTCCAATGAGGCCTGTTCTCTTCATCTCCTCCCATAACCTTCCTTAGCAGAATGGAGTCATTAGTGCATTTCTGCTCGTTTAGCTGCTAACAAATAGACAAAAGAGGCAGGGGCCGGGTGCAGTGGCTCACGCCTGTAATCCTAGCACTTTGGGAGGCTGAGGTGGGCAGATCACCTGAGGCTGGGAGTTCAAGACCAGCCTGGCTAACGTGGTGAAACCCCATCTCTACTAAAAATACAAAATTAGCTGGGCGTGGTGGCAGGCGCCTGTAATCCCAGCTACTCAGGAGGCTGAGGCAGGAGACTCACTTGAACCTGGGAGGCAGAGGTTGCAGTGAGCCAAGATCATGCCACTGCATTCTAGCCTGGGCAACAGAGCGAGACTTTGTCTCAAAAAAAAAAAAAAAAAAAAAAAAGAGGGAGGGACTTGGGGTTATGGAGAGAGATCAATCACTCTTCTTGACTTGAAAACAGTCTAATACATAGCTTAACAGGCACAGGTGCCTTTCTCACTTCCACGCTTCTCCCGCACGATGCCAACATTCTTGGCCCGCTTCTCTAGGGGAAATCAAGTCCTTTAGGGTTCATATTCAGGTACCATGCCCAGTTCCAGGTTAAAACGATGCATTCAGCCCCTAAATTCTGAACGTGTTTTGCCACCCTCAAATTCTCCTGATCGACCTCACCCATGAAGTAGCCTCCCTCCAACCCTGCGCCAAATTCCAAAACAGGCTTACCCCCAGCCGTGATTATAATTCTACAGCTTGCTCTGTCATGATTGTCATTGCCTTCTGTCCTTATGCTCCTTCTTTCCCCTGTTGGTCAGATAAGAAGGCTTTACCCCAGGAGACAGATAAATAATTGCAGATCCTTTATAGGAGGCTAATTTCTAGAATTTAGGTGGGGGTTGAGGGGGCAGAGCGGGTAGGAGTTTGTGCTAAAATAATTTTAGTATATAAAAAGTAAGTTTAGTTTTATTTTGTTGTTATAGGCTGGTGAGGCCAGTGATATATAAGTTATTCATACTCTTGTAAACTGTTGATATCTTTTTCCTGTCTAAGACTGCAACCTGTTTAGCTTTATGTCTCCAGGGCCTAGTCCCCTGTTTGACCACAGAAAGTGTTCAATAATGATTGGATTATTTTCCTCTTCAAAAATAATTCCTCCAGGTAACTAGTTAGCCTTTACTTGATCATCTTCAGCAAAGGGCAGGGTTTTTTTTTTTTTGGTTTGTTTTTGTTTTTTTGTTTTTTGTTTTTTGAGACAGAGTCTCGCTCTGTCTCCCAGGCTGGATTGCAGGGGCACGATCTCGGCTCACTGCAAGCTCCGCCTCCCAGGTTCACACCATTCTCCTGCCTCAGCCTCATGAGTAGCTGGGACTACAGGCACCTGCCACCACGCATGGCTAATTTTTTGTATTTTTAGTAGAGACGGGGTTTCACCGTGTTAGCCAGGATGGTCTCGATCTCTTGACCTCGTGATCCGCCTGCCTCAGCCTCCCAAAGTGCTGAGATTACAGGCGTGAGCCACCGTGTCCGGCCAAGGGCAGGCTTTTGATCCACCCATTCCATTGACTAGCCGATTCCATTAATAGACACTTTTAACATTTTGGGAGACTTTTCTTATAGAGCAGTGGTTCTAACCTTTTTGGCACCAGGGACCAGTTTCATGGAAGACAATTTTTCCACAGACCAGGGGGTGGTGGGGGATGGTTTCAGGAGGATTCAAGCCCATTACATTTATTGTGCACTTTATTTCTACTACTACATACTATTACATACCCACCATAGTGTAGAATCAGTGGGAGCCCTGAACTTGTTTTCCAGCAACTAGATGGTCCCATCTGGGGATGATGGGAGACAATGACAGATCATCAGGCGTTAGATTCTCATAAGGAACATGCAACCTAGATCCTTTACATGTGCAGTTCATGATAGGATTTGCTGTCCTATGAGAATCTAATGCCACCGCTGATCTGACAGGAGGTGGAACTCAGGAGATAACACAAGCAATGGAGAGTGGCTGTAAATACAGATGAAGCTTTGCTTGCTCACCACTCACCTCCTGCTATGTGGCCCAGGTCCTAACAGGCCACAGACCAGCACCAGTCTGACCCAGGGGTTGGTGACCCCTGTTATGGAGAGTTGAAATCTGCCTTTCTGTAACTTTTAAACATTCTCCCTACTTTACCCTCTAGGGTCAAAACAACAAAATCAGCTATGTCTTCCCATGTGATACTTGTTTTCCTAAGTCTCTTATTTTCCATGTTAAACATTTCTAATTCCTTGACTTTTCTCGTAGTTGATAATTTCTAATTTAAATTTAAATTGTACTTGACAAATGATCATGTTATGTATTTTGGGGCAAAATGTGATAGTTTGATATTGTGTACATTATGGAAAGTTTGTATCAAGCTAATTAACATGGCCATCACCTCACATACTTCTCATTTTTCTGTAGTGAGAACATTTTAAATATATTATTTTAGTAATTTTGAAAAATACAATACATTTATTATTAACTTTGGCCATTTTGCTGTGCAATAGATCTGGAAAACCTATTCCTCCTATCCAACTGGAAGCTGATAGACTTTGGTCACCTTCTTCCCATTGCCCATTCCCCAATCCCACCCCAAAATTTTCTTGATGGCTCTCTTTAAACATTTCTTCGTGCTAATGAGCCCATGTCAGAGCACTGTCCTGAAATGACTCCTATTATTACTAAGCTGTATTAGTCCATTTTCACACTGCTATAAAGAACTGCCTGAGACTGGATAATTTATAAAGGAAAGAGGCTTAATTGGCTCATAGTTCCGCATTCTGGGGAAGCCTCAGGAAACTTACAACCGTGGCGGAAGGCAAAGGGGAAGCAAGGACCTTCTTCATATGGTGGCAGGAGGGAGAAGTGCAAGCAGGGGAAATGCCAGACACCTATAAAACCATCAGCTCTCGTGAGAACTCACTGTCATGAGAACAGCATGGGGGAAACAGCCTCCATGATCCAATCACCTCCCTCCCTCAACACCTGGGGATTACAGGCCCCTTCCTCCACATGTGGGGATTACAATTTGAGATGAGATTTGGGTGGGGACACAGAGCCATACCATAGCGTAAGCCTTTTAAGGTGAGCTCCAGGAGTTGCCCTGCATGCTTCAGGATGGCCTGCCCAGGACATATCCCCTCTTTGCTGTGTGCTTTCTGCCTCTCCTGGTGTCCTGTAAGGTCACTTAGGTTCCCAGGAGGCCACCACAGCTGACCACCGATTCTCAGGAACGTAGCCATCCAGAAATGGAGGACAGGGCAGCCTACTTTTGATGAAAGTAGATGAAGAAATCGCTGGGTACTGGATGTTTTGAGGAAAGCAAAGCTAGGTTGGGAATGACAATAGGTGAACAGATGGGAAAAAAGAGCGGAACCCTCATAGATGAAGGGCAAAATGAGGCGTGGATGCTTGGAGGGGGGTTTAGAGGGAGGTTGCTGAGAGAAATGGCATGGGTGCCAGGAAAGGTGAAGGGTGGGAGGTTAACCTTTCTAACTCACAATTTTACCTCGACTTTCCATAGTCCAATGCTTAAAAATTATTTGAAATGGCAGCTTCTGAACTAAATCTAAGACTCAAGTTTCTGAATTTAGCTGTCAAAGAAAAATGATTCCATTTTAATTTTATTTTAATATGCTTCTGTTCTATGAATTTCATCTCAAAATGTTTTACATTTGCACTTATGCAAAATGTATGATTAAATTCAGAATAAAAGTGATATATCTAGAGATATCTGTTAATCTTTTATTCTCTCAGGTCAGCCTATTAAGCAAATTCACTAGTTAAGCAAATTCAGTTTTCAATTTAATTGAAACAGACAAGAATTTTCACTAGCAAAAAGCTGAAATATAAATAAATATGTGTTTTCACATCTATGTTTCTTTTCCAAGTCAGCTGGTAGGAAAATTTGCTGTGAATTTAAATGGTCCCTTTTCATCAAGAGAAAGCTGTTGGGCTGTAATTCCCTAACACTCTTTCCCTCTCCTTTCTCTTGAAAATTTCTCTTCAGCAAAACCTGCCTGGGATGGATTAGTAGAATCAGGCTGCCATGGCTGGAGGAGATATCTTGCAGATCATGGAGTTCAACCCTTATTTTATGCAGATGAAAGAGCCAGAGAAGCTGCTGATTTGCTTTGCTTGCAGTCACACAGTTAGTTGCTAGCCAAGTGTTAATCCCTTAGAGAATGTTCTACTCCTAGTTCTTGGACTTCCGGTGTTTAAGTTCAGGTAATTTGTCTTCCACGCTAGAAGACAGTCCTCCATCTCTCCTCCAGAGCTCCAGTGTGGCCTTCTCTAATTTTCACAGATGTACACACCTTGGCTGAATCATGGCTCTGCCTCTTCTGTGAGAAATGTGAAGGCCACAAGGAGCCCAGAGGTAGGGCCTATTTCTTTTTCTTTTCCTTTTTTTTGAGACAGAGTCTCACTCTGTAGTCCAGGCTAGAGTACAGTGGTGCGATCTCGGCTCATTGCAACCTCCACCTCCCAGGTTCTCCTGCCTCAGCCCTTCAAGTAGCTGGGACTACAGGGGTGAGCCACCATGCCCAGCTAATTTTTGTATTTTTCGTAGAGATGGGGTTTCACCATATCGGCCAGGCTGGTCTTGAACTCCTGACCTCAAGTCATCCACTCACCTTGGCCTCCCAAAGTGCTGGGATTACAGGTGTGAGCCACTGGTAGGGCCTATTTCCAACTGGAGGGGAGGACTGGTGAGGAGGACTCTCAAGAGAAAAAGCCAAGATGAGTGTATTGAGTAGCCTGGTTTGTATCTGGGTGTGCTTTATGTCTCTGGCTATTCTCTTGGTACCTCTATCTGCTGTACACAGCGGGAGAGGAGAGAGCAGGAAGAGGGTAGAATAAGACCCCTGTGTTTTTCATTTTGTTCCTTGGATGACTGGTAGCGAATGTAGTACTGGTCCCATTACTCATCGGTGTTCTCGGCAGAAGGGGCCTTTGGGAATATTGTCCTACCTTTAATCTCCTTGGCATGTTCAGAAATAATACGCTGCTAGCCTCTGACAAGAAAGCATGCAGCCCTGAGTGATCACTGAAGGCTCTTCCTTACTGAGGCCAGGTCTGGGTTGGTTACACTGTGTCAGCCTAAACAGTGAAGCTTAGTATGGTGGCTGCTGGAGTCCTGCTAAGTGAATAAATTAGACTTAGGAAGAATAATTGCATAGGCCTGGTTGGGTAGCATTGCCGTCTGGCTCTATTTATCATCATAGAAAAGTATACCATATGCTATGGAGGTAGTGAAAAGAGCAGACAGCTCTTTCTGGAATGTTGGGAAGGTTTTATGGAGGTGGTGACATTTGAGTTGAGCCTTGGTATAGCAGCTTGTCCTGCGGAAATAGGGCAGGGGTGAGTGCAGAAGTGGAAAATCCATGCAGAGAATAGCCACATAGACAAGGACTCAAAAGAGAGAATGGAGTAGACTCTCTGCTTGCAGTTTTCTTTCAAAGATGGAATAAAAGAAAAATGACCAACTTGCTTGGAGAAAATACATTTTTATGATGCTTTGTTCTGATACTATCCTTAAGCACTAAGTGCATGGGCATGTGTGGAAGGTGGTCTTCGTAAGTCGATGAAAGCTGTTTTTACAGATTAAAGAGTGTATAGAAACATGTATGTGCATATACATGCTGACATCCATGCAAGGAGACAATTGTCCTTTGTGGCTGGCTTGGAAATCATCCTGCTCTTGGTCTTGCAAAATTCAGCCTTGTATTGATTGTAGTGATCACAGATTTTTAGACCACAGAGATGACATAATCCAACAGCCTTGTTTTTATAGCCAATAAGCCTGAGGCCCAGTGAATGACTTGCCTAACGTTAGTATTTCACCCACCTAGTAAGTGGGGGAACCAAGACAAGAATTTGGGTGCTCCTATGGACTGAGTTATGTCCCTCCGAAATTTAGTGTTGAACTCCCGAGCCCCAGTATCTCAGAATGTGACTCTATTTGGAAATAGGGTTTTATAAAAATAATTAAGTTAAAATAAGGTCATTACGGTGGACCCCAATCTTACCTGACTGATGTCATTATAGGAAGAGGAGATTGGTTACAGACAAGCACAGAAGGAAGACCACACGAAGACACAGAATGGAGGCTCTCTCTATGCTACACAGAGAAGTCTCAGAAGAAACCAATCTTGCTGGCACCTTGATCTCAGGCTTCCAGCCTCCAGAATTGTGAGAAAATAAAGTTCTGTTGTTTGTCACCCCATCTGTGGTAGGTTGTTATGGCAGCCTGAGGAAACTAATACAGGTGTCCTAATGGAAAGGCCCATGCTCTCATAGCTGCTTGGCAGCCTCCAGGGTGAGTAAGATGTGGCTGGAACGCAAGCACGCATTGTCTGCAAGTCCTCAGCTGCTGAGGGAAGGCTGGACCTTGTGCTTGGCTGCAGGGTGTGGCCTCTGACACGGAAGCACTTTTCCAGCCCTGGGTGACTCTTGGAGTGAGTATTATCACAGACCATGTCTGCACAATTTACATCCACCAATGAATTAACTTCTATTTACAAGACTTGAAGAAATGCACCAAGGTCGGCTGAATGAAAACTCAACGTCAGTAGCATTTTGTAATTGATGATGATGATGATGAATTAATTTGTGTACAATGACTATCAATACCTATTATCAATATCCATTACTTTTTTGTTTGTTTATTTGTTTTTTTGGGTTTTCTTGTTTTGTTTTGTTTTTTTTTTTTTGCATGTCTGAACTCTCTATCTTGGTTGTAGCCTCATTGTGGACAAGGAGTACAATAACATACTCAATTTTGCATCCTTTGCTGTTAATTAAAAAAAAATCCTCATTCGATAATGAGAAGAAAAATTATCAGCAATTATCTTAACAAGCAGCTCCCCGGCTCTGGCATGAGCACAAGGTCATCTAATTGGTGCCCATTGGAGACGCTCCGTCAGACTCCCCGTTGACATACTGCCATCTGGTGGAGCTGGGCGGGCGGATCAGCTTTCACAGTCTGATGTTGCCTGTGTCTCGACATATGTTTGTTCCCGGTTCCTGCTGATTTTCCTGACAGCTGTCCAAATCCAGGGGCGAGCACCATGCAGGCCCAGGCCTTGGCAGAATACTGAAGGAGGCAAACATTTGCTTCGGTGTTCTGCTGCTTTCCCTATCAGCGATACTCACAGCCTGGTGTGCTTCCTCTTCTGGATGAAATCTTGAATTCTGTTCCACAAATTAACACCTCTTTCCCTGCCCCAAATTTATTTTATTTGCATAGACCTCACAGTTTATACATTGCTTCTGAAACTCCTCTCCCATTTGATAGTCAAACAACTTTTCGAGTGTGCTGGACTAGAATATTAACCTCCTTCAACAAAAATTTATTGAATATTGATTGTACTCAGACTGGGAACTACGGTTACAAAGACAGAAAGACCAGGGCCAACTTAATTCATGGTTACAGAAGGCCCAGTACCCGAAGCCCACAATATTTTTAGAATCCCATGAAGATGTTTTAATTTCTTTTAAAATATAAGAAAACATGAAATTTTAGGTGCAAGAAAAATGAGTATCTTTATGCCAATGCAAATTTTTAACACAATTTTAGTATTTTTAAATTATAACATTTAATATTTTTATGGAGGAAGAAGTCCATGAAGGCAAAATTCTCCAGGACCCACAAAAATTGTAACGCCGTCTTGGGAAAGGCAGGAATAAAATTAGATAATCATGCATATAAAAGCTGCTGCTGGCCAGGCATGGTGGCTCATGCCTGTAATCCGAGCACTTTGGGAGGCTGAGGCAGGCAGATTGCTTGGGTTCAGGAGCTCAAGACCAGCCTGGGCAACTTAGTGAAACCCTGTCTCTCTCTCCATATATATATAATTTTATATATAAATATAAATATATATGTTATATATATATGTCTGAATATTTAGCTAGGTGTGGTGGTGTGGGCCTGTAGTCCCAGCTACTTGGGAGGCTGAGGCAGGCAGATCGCTTGAGTCCAGAAGTTCAAGGCCAGCGTGGGCAATTTGGCAAAAACCCCATCTATATTTGTAGAGATATATATAAATATATATATATATATTTAGCCAGGTATGGTGGCATGGGCCTGTCATCCCAGCTACTTGGGAGGTTGAGGTGGGAGGATCTCTTGCGCCCAGGAGGTCAAGGCTGCAGAGAGCCACGATCCTGCCACTGAACTCCAGCCTGGACAACAGAGCAAGACTCCATATCAACAAACAAACAAACAAACAAACAAACAACAAACAGTAATGTGGGACCATGGAGTGGGAGGAGTTTTAGTTTGTCTCTAAGTAGAGTTGAAATATGTTTGATTGAACACATCAGGAAAGACAGAAAGTAATTGTGTTGGAGCTTAGGAAACTGCTGGAAGGGAACAGGAGCTATGGCCAGTCCTGGGGTTCAGAGGTGCTGGGAATATCTGGTAAATGGTTGTAAAGCCTGTCAGAGATTCATTCCTCCAGGGATAGTATGAAGGGAGTTAGAAGGAGTTTCCTGGAAGAGAAATTATCCTAAGGAAGAAGAAAACAGGCCAGGTGTAGTGTCTCACACCTGTAATCCCAGCATTTTGGGAGGCCAAGGTGGGTGGATCACTTGAGGCCAGGAGTTTGAGACCAGCCTGACCAATACTGTGAAATACCATCTATACTAAAAATACAAAAATTAGCCAGGAGTGGTGGTACACTCATGTAGTCCCAGCTACTCGGGAGGCTGAGGCACCAGAATCACTTGAACCCAGGAGGGGGAGGTTGCAGTGAGCCGAGATTGTGCCCCTGCACTCCAGCCTGGGTGACGGAGTGAGATCCCATCTCAAAAAAAAAAAAAAAAAAAAAAAAAGGCAAGAAAAGAAAAGAAAACAGCCACAGGCTTCACCCTATAAGAAAGCCCTACTCACCCTCCTAATGGGACAAGTAATGTACAGGATGCCTGTCACTTGAATTTATTGCCTGCCTAGTTCTATGAAGAGCCTTAAAGTACCCAGTTAAAGTGGACTTATTTGTGAGTACTTATGAGACCCTCTTTGAACTCTCAGAGGCACTTCCCACAGTGGGGACCTTGTCAGCAGGGCTGTCATCCTAGTGGTGCAAAGTGGCATCTCACTGTGGTTTTAATTCCCAAATGACTAATGATGTTGAGCATCTTTTCATGTGGCTACCTCTCATTTCTGTAACTTCTTTGAAGAAATGTCTATTTAGAATCTTTGCCTACTTTTTAATCTAATTATCTTTTTATTATTGAGTGGTAAGAGTTCTTTATATATTCTGGATACAAGTTCTTTACATTATTTGCAAATATTTTCTTTCAGTCTTTCGGTAAAAGCTTTTAATTTTGATGAAGTTCATTTTATTTTTTTTTCTTTTATTGCCCATGCTCATAGTCTCATAGCTAAGAATCTTTTGCCAAAGCCAAGGTATTATGGTTTGAATGTGTCCCCCAAAGTTCATGTGTGGAAACTTAATCCCCAATGCCACAGTTGAGAGGTGGGCTTTTTTTTTTTTTTTGAGATGGGGCCTAGTATAGGCATTTCAGCTTTCTTATGGTTGTTGTTTGCATGATATATCTCTTTTCTATTCTTTTACTTTTAATCTCTTCATCTCTTTGGAATTAAGGCATGGCTCCTGTAGACAGCATATAGTTGAATCATATTCATCTATCCAGTCTGAAAATCTCTATCTTTTTATTGATTTGTATTTATTTATTTATTTTAATTTTACTTTACGTTCTGGGATACATGTGCAGAACATGCAGGTTTTT
The DNA here is from genome assembly GCF_000001405.40 of Homo sapiens. NCBI lineage: Eukaryota > Metazoa > Chordata > Mammalia > Primates > Hominidae > Homo > Homo sapiens. The sequence continues at coordinate 129,334,802 of NC_000011.10, forward strand.
ACATAGGTATACATATGCCACAGTGGTTTGCTGCACCTATCAACCTGTCATCTAGGTTTTAAGCCCTGCATGCATTAGGTATTGTCCTAATGCTCTCCCTCCCCTGACCCCACCCCTGGACAGGCCCTGGTGTGTGATGTTCCATTCCCTGTGTCCATGTGTTCTCATTGTTCAGCTCCTATTTATGAGTGAGAACATGCAGTGTTTGGTTCTCTGTTCCTGTGTTAGTTTGCTGAGGATGATGGTTTCCAGCTTCATCCATGTGCCTGCAAAGGACATGAACTCATCCTTTTTTATGGCTGCATAGTATTCCATGGTGTATAATGGGATTGCTGGATCAAATGGTATTTCTGGTTCTAGATCCTTGAGGAATCACCACACTGTCTTCCACAATGGTTGAACTAATTTACACTCCCACCAACAGTGTAAAAGCATTCCTATTTCTCCACATCCTCTCCAGCATCTGTTATTTCCTGGCATTTTAATGATCACCATTCTAACTGGCGTGATATGGTATCTCATTTTGGTTTTGGTTTGCATTTCTCTAATGACCTATGATGATGAGCTTCTTTTCATATGTTTGTTGGTGAAAATCTCTATCTTTTGATTGGATTACTTAATCTATTGATACTTAATGTTATGATTAATATAGTTGGATTTATATTTGCCATTTACTTTTGTTTTCTATATATGTCATGCCTTCTTTCCCCTTTATTCTTACTTACTTTGTTCTTTCTCTTTTTACATTAAGTGAATATTTTCTAATGTATTCCCTAATGATTTATTTAGTAATTTTTTCACTTCATTTTAGGATATAGTAGTTCTCCTTTATCTGCAATTTCACTTTCCATGGTTTCAGTTACCTGCAGTCAACAATGGTCTGAAAATATTAAATGGAAAATTCTAGAAATAAACAATTCATAAGTTTTAAATTGTGTGTGGTTCTGAGTAGCATGGTGAAAACTCATACCATCCTGCTCCGTCCTGCCTGGAATGTGAATCATCCCTTTTTCCAGTGTATCCACATCGTATATGCTATCAGCCCATTAGTGTATAGGAAAAAACTTAGTGTATATAGGGTTCAGTAGTATTGTAGTGTCAAGTATTCACTGGGGGTCTTGGAACATATGCCCTGTGGCTGGGCGTGGTGGCTCACGCCTGTAATCCCAGCACTTTGGGAGGCCAAGGCGGGCAGATCACAGGTCAGGAGATCGAGACCAGCCTGGCCAATATGGTGAAACCCCATCTCTACTAAAAATACAAAAATTAGCTGGGCATGGTGGTGGGCGCCTGTAGTCCCAGCTACTTGGGAGGCTGAGGAAGGAGAATTGCTTGAACCTGGGAGGCAGAGGTTGCAGTGAGCCGAGATCACACCACTGCACTCCAGCCTGGGCAACAGAGCTAGTCTCAAAAAACAAAACAAACAAACAAAAAACAAAAAACATATGCCCTGTGGATAAGGGGGAACTACTCTATTTTTTAGTGGTTGCTCTAGGGTTTAGCATGTACATCTTAACTTATGCAGTGATATATACAATTCCAGTGATATATAGAAATGTGACTGCTATATATCTGTCCATTCCCTCTTTTTTTGTGTTATTATTGATATGCTTATTCTATCTATTAATGTTATAAATGTAGCAATACATTGTTATAATTATTACTTTACCATCTGTGGTCATTTTCTTAGTCTCATACAGTTTTGCTTCCTCCATCACCTTTGTGCTGTAGTTGACAGATATATTACACAGGTTAGGTTGGTGCAGAAGTAATTATGGTTTTTGCTATTAAAGGCAATGGCAAAAACCACAATTACTTTTGCACCAACCAATAGATTTTATATGTTGTAGGCCCAACAATACATTATATATATATATATAATTTTATCCAATTAATTTTTAAATCAGTTAATAGAAGAAAGTAGAAAAAACTATGCACTTAAACTCTCTTATAAACCCATAATTACTAAAAGGAAAAACTGTTTCCACTCAACTCTCGCACAACATTTCTGACATCAGTTCTGTGGATTTTCCACACCAAGAGATTCTCCAGTTCTCTATCGACACCAACTAGGTAACTTACAATTCAATCCTGAAGCCAACTTCCTGGAATTGGTACAGACTCCACAGGTTAAGTACTCAGGTCTACAAGACTGAATACTTATAGATACTATTTCAGATACCAATCAAAGCCTGGGCCTTCTGTATAATCATTCTCCACAGGGGATTGGTTCCAGGACCTCCTATGGATACCCAAATCCACTGGACGTTTGTCTCTTATATGAAATGATGTAGTATTTGCAAATAACCTAGCACATCCTCCCACATACATTAAGTCATCTTTAAATTACTTGTAATACCGGCCGGGTGCGGTGGCTCATGCCTGTAATCTCAGCACTTTGGGAGGCTGAGGCAGATGGATCACTTGAGGTCAGGAGTTCGAGACCAGCCTGGCCAATATGGGGAAACCCCGTTCCCACAAAAATACAAAAATTAGCCAGGCGTGGTAGTGCATGCCTGTAGTTCCAGCTACTCAGGAGGCTGAGTCAGGAGAATCGCTTGAAGCTGGGAGGCAGAGGTTGCAGTGAGCCAAGAACATGCCACTGCACTCCAGCCTGGGTGACAGAGCGAGACTATCCCAAATAAATAAATAAATAAATAAATTACTTAAAATACCTGATACAATGAAATGCTGTATAAATAGCTGTTATACTGTATTTTTATTTGTGTTTTTAAAATTGTTGTATTGTTATTTTTATTGTTGTTTCTGTTTTCTTTTCTTTTTTCTTTTTTTTTTCTTGTTGCAAAGTTAAGGGGTAAGACTGATTTCTTAAACTTTGGTTGATTGTTTCCAGGAATGCAAAACCAGAGGATACAAAGGCCTGACTGTATTTCTGATCAACTGGCTATAAATCAGGAGTTCCCACAATCCCCTCCTCAGGTATGATAATTTGCTAGAATGGCTCATAGAACTCAAGAAAACATTTACTTACTATAACTGGCTTATTATAAAGGATATTTTAGAGGATACAAATGAACAGCCAGATAAAGAGGTACATAGAGCAAGATCCAGAAGGGTCCTGAGCATAGGGGCTCCTGTCCCCATGGAGTTGGAGTGCGCCACCCTCCTGGCAGCACATGGATGCATTCACTAATCCAGAAGGTCTCTGAATACTATCATTCAGGGATTCGTTTTGTTTTGAGACGGAGTTTTGCTCTTGTTGCCCAGGTTGGAGTGCAATGGCGCGATCTTGGCTCTTGACATTGTCATGAATCTGGGGAGCAGGCACAGGAGTGGATACTAAGAGAAGAAAACTAAGGATTATGAAACATAAAGTTTGAACAGGCAAAATTGTTAATATGCATTTATTTGCTCAATATTTGATATTTAAGATGTTGTTTTAGGCACTTGAAAGAGGCATTGGCAGTTTGCTAGTCTGGCTAACTGAAGCAGAGGCAGCCCATGGTCAATGAGGTTCAAATGCTGTAGCTTCCCTAGGTTACTGCATAGAAATGTACCTCAACTGCTAATTATGCACGAGTGAGCTGGGGTTTTTGATTCAGTAGATCTGAGCAGTACCTGAGATATGTATTTCCAACAATTCCTATAGGAGTCCATTGTTGTGATTTTGATAAAACCACTCTTTACTAAGAGTGTTGTAAAGGAAAGCATATGAAAGCTTAGATAGAATGTTTGCACAACCTGCCTGTCCATGCACTAATCGCGTGTCCTTGGAAATCCAAAAGGCCACTGTCTTCACTAAAGCATTAAGAATTGCACTGGTAACAAAAGAAATACAAGGCTAGTGATAGTTGTAGTAGGAAGATAAAGGGGGGCATCCCTGGAGAATCTCTAACCGGCCTGTGTACTGGGAGAACAGGGAGGAGCCGTGGGAAATTCGCAGAGGGGAGGAGCCTGGCCTCTTCAGTTCCTACGTGGCGGCCTGGTATTCAATCTGTGAGATGGGAGCCCGCTGGCAGGATCTCCTTTCACTCTGCTGAGAGGTTTTTTTCCCTTTTTTCCTTTTTGCCCAATAAATTCCACTCCCCTCACTCTTCAATGTGTCTGCATTCCTTTTTTTTTTTAATTTAATTTAATTTTATTTTTTTAATGTTTCTTTTTTTATTATTATACTTTAAGTTTTAGGGTACATGTGCACAATGTGCAGGTTAGTTACATATGTATACATGTGCCATGCTGGTGCGCTGCACCCACTAACTCGTCATCTAGCATTAGGTATATCTCCCAATGCTATCCCTCCGCCCTCCCCCCACCCCACAACAGTCCCCAGAGTGTGATAGTCCCCTTCCTGTGTCCATGTGATCTCATTGTTCAATTCCCACCTATGAGTGAGAATATGCGGTGTTTGGTTTTTTGTTCTTGAGATAGTTTACTGAGAATGATGATTTCCAGTTTCATCCATGTCCCTACAAATGACATGAACTCATCATTTTTTATGGCTGCATAGTATTCCATGGTGTATATGTGCCACATTTTCTTAATCCAATCTATCATTGTTGGACATTTGGGTTGGTTCCAAGTCTTTGCTATTGTGAATAGTGCCTCAATAAACATACGTGTGCATGTGTCTTTATAGCAGCATGATTTATAGTCGTTTGGGTATATACCCAGTAATGGGATGGCTGGGTCAAATGGTATTTCTAGTTCTAGATCCCTGAGGAATCGCCACACTGACTTCCACAATGGTTGAACTAGTTGACAGTCCCACCAACAGTGTAAAAGTGTTCCTATTTGTCCACATCCTCTCCAGCACCTGTTGTTTCCTGACTTTTTAATGACTGCCATTCTAACTGGTGTGAGATGGTATCTCATTGTGGTTTTGATTTGCATTTCTCTGATGGCCAGTGATGATGAACATTTTTTCATGTGTTTTTTGGCTGCATAAATGTCTTCTTTTGAGAAGTGTCTGTTCATTTCGTTTGCCCACTTTTTGATGGGGTTGTTTGTTTTTTTCTTGTAAATTTGTTTGAGTTCATTGTAGATTCTGGATATTAGCCCTTTGTCAGATGAGTAGGTTGTGAAAATTTTCTCCCATTTTGTAGGTTGCCTGTTCACTCTGATGGTAGTTTCTTTTGCTGTGCAGAAGCTCTTTAGTTTAATTAGATCCCATTTGTCAATTTTGGCTTTGGTTGCCATTGCTTTTGGTGGTTTAGACATGAAGTCCTTGCCCATGCCTATGTCCTGAATGGTAATGCCTAGGTTTTCTTCTAGGGTTTTTATGGTTTTAGGTCAAACGTTTAAGTCTTTAATCCATCTTGAATTGACTTTTGTATAAGGTGTAAGGAAGGGATCCAGTTTCAGCTTTCTAGATATGGCTAGCCAGTTTTCCCAGCACCATTTATTAAATAGGGAATCCTTTCCCCATTGCTTGTTTTTCTCAGGTTTGTCAAAGATCAGATAGTTGTAGATATGTGGCGTTATTTCTGAGGGCTCTGTTCTGTTCCATTGATCTGTATCTCTGTTTTGGTACCAGTACCATGCTGTTTTGGTTACTGTAGCCTTGTAGTATAGTTTGAAGTCAGGTAGCATGATGCCTCCAGCTTTGTTCTTTTGGCTTAGGATTGACTTGGCGTTGTGGGCTCTTTTTTGGTTCCATATGAACTTTAAAGTAGTTTTTTCCAATTCTGTGAATAAAGTCATTGGTAGCTTGATGGGGATGGCATTGAATCTATAAATTACCTTGGGCAGTATGGCCATTTTCACGATATTGATTCTTCCTACCCATGAGCATGGAATGTTCTTCCATTTGTTTGTATCCTCTTTTATTTCCTTGAGCAGTGGTTTGTAGTTCTCCTTGAAGAGGTCCTTCACATCCCTTGTAAGTTGGATTCCTGGGTATTTTATTTTCTTTGAAGCAATTGTGAATGTGAGTTCACTCATGATTTGGCTCTCTGTTTGTCTGTTGTTGGTGTATAAGAATGCTTGTGATTTTTGTACATTGATTTTGTATCCTGAGACTTTGCTGAAGTTGCTTATAAGATTAAGGAGATTTTGGGCTGAGACAATGGGGTTTTCTAGATATACAATCATGTCATCTGCAAACAGGGACAATTTGACTTCCTCTTTTCCTAATTGAATACCCTTTATTTCCTTCTCCTGCCTAATTGCCCTGGCCAGAACTTCCAACACTATGTTGAATAGGAGTGGTGAGAGAGGGCATCCCTGTCTTGTGCCAGTTTTCGAAGGGAATGCTTCCAGTTTTTGCCCATTCAGTATGATATTGGCTGTGGGTTTGTCATAGATAGCTCTTATTATTTTGAAATACGTCCCATCAATACCTAATTTATTGAGAGTTTTTAGCATGAAGGGTTGTTGAATTTTGTCGAAGGCCTTTTCTGCATCTATTGAGATAATCATGTGGTTTTTGTCTTTGGCTCTGTTTATATGCTGGATTACATTTATTGATTTGCGTATATTGAACCAGCCTTGCATCCCAGGGATGAAGCCCACTTGATCATGGTGGATAAGCTTTTTGATGTGCTGCTGGATTTGTTTTGCCAGTATTTTATTAAGGATTTTTGCATCAATGTTCATCAAGGATATTGGTCTAAAATTCTCTTTTTTGGTTGTGTCTCTGCCCGGCTTTGGTATTAGAATGATGCTGGCCTCATCAAATGAGTTAGGGAGGATTCCCTCTTTTTCTATTGATTGGAATAGTTTCAGAAGGAATGGTACCAGTTCCTCCTTGTTCCTCTGGTAGAATTCGGCTGTGAATCCATCTGCTCCTGGACTCTTTTTGGTTGGTAAGCTGTTGATTATTGCCACAATTTCAGCTCCTTTTATTGGTCTATTCAGAGATTCAACTCCTTCCTGGTTTAGTCTTGGGAGAGTGTATGTGTCGAGGAATTTATCCATTTCTTCTAGATTTTCTAGTTTATTTGCATAGAGGTGTTTGTAGTATTCTCTGATGGTAGTTTGTATTTCTGTGGGATTGGTGGTGATATCCCCTTTATCATTTTTTACTGCGTCTATTTGATTCTTCTCTCTTTTTTTCTTTATTAGTCTTGCTAGCGGTCTATCCATTTTGTTGATCCTTTCAAAAAACCAGCTCCTGGATTCATTAATTTTTTGAAGGGTTTTTTGTGTCTCTATTTCCTTCAGTTCTGCTCTGATTTTAGTTATTTCTTGCCTTCTGCTAGCTTTTGAATGTGTTTGCTCTTGCTTTTCTAGTTCTTTTAATTGTGATGTTAGGGTGTCAATTTTGGATCTTTCCTGCTTTCTCTTGTGGGCATTTAGTGCTATACATTTCCCTCTACATACTGCTTTGAATGCGTCCCAGAGATTCTGGTATGTTGTGTCTTTGTTCTCGTTGGTTTCAAAGAACATCTTTATTTCTGCCTTCATTTCGTTATGTATCCAGTAGTCATTCAGGAGCAGGTTGTTCAGTTTCCATGTAGTTGAGTGGTTTGAGTGAGATTCTTAATCCTGAGTTCTAGTTTGATTGCACTGTGGTCTGAGAGATAGTTTGTTATAATTTGTGTTCTTTTACATTTGCTGAGGAGAGCTTTACTTCCAAGTATGTGGTCAATTTTGGAATAGGTGTGGTGTGGTGCTGAAAAAAATGTATATTCTGTTGATTTGGGGTGGAGAGTTCTGTAGATGTCTATTAGGTCCGCTTGGTGCAGAGCTGAGTTCAATTCCTGGGTATCCTTGTTGACTTTCTGTCTCGTTGATCTGTCTAATGTTGACAGTGGGGTGTTAAAGTCTCCCATTATTAATGTGTGGGAGTCTAAGTCTCTTTGTAGGTCACTCAGGACTTGCTTTATGAATCTGGGTGCTCCTGTATTGGGTGCATATATATGTAGGATAGTTAGCTCTTCTTGTTGAATTGATCCCTTTACCATTATGTATTGGCCTTCTTTGTCTCTTTTGATCTTTGTTCGTTTAAAGTCTGTTTTATCAGAGACTAGGATTGCAACTCCTGCCTTTTTTTGTTTTCCATTTGCTTGGTAGATCTTCCTCCATCCTTTTATTTTGATGTGTGTCTCTGCACGTGAGATGGGTTTCCTGAATACAGCACACTGATGGGTCTTGACTCTTTATCCAATTTGCCAGTCTGTGTCTTTTAATTGGAGCATTTAGTCCATTTACATTTAAAGTTAATATTGTTATGTGTGAATTTGATCCTGTCATTATGATATTAGCTGGTTATTTTGCTCGTTAGTTGATGCAGTTACTTCCTAGTCTCAATGGTCTTTACACTTTGGCATGATTTTGCAGCGGCTGGTACCGATTGTTCCTTTCCATGTTAGCGCTTCCTTCAGGAGCTCTTGTAAGGCAGGCCTGGTGGTGACAAAATCTCTCAGCATTTGCTTGTCTGTAAAGTATTTTATTTGTCCTTCACTTATGAAGCTTAGTTTGGCTGGATATGAAATTCTGGGTTGAAAATTCTTTTCTTTAAGAATGTTGAATATTGGCCCCCACTGTCTTCCGGCTTGTAGGGTTTCTGCCGAGAGATCTGCTGTTAGTCTGATGGGCTTCCCTTTGAGGGTAACCCGACCTTTCTCTCTGGCTGCCCTTAACATCTTTTCCTTCATTTCAACTTTGGTGAATCTGACAATTATGTGTCTTGGAGTTGCTCTTCTCGAGGAGTATCTTTGTGGCGTTCTCTGTATTTCCTGAATCTGAACGTTGGCCTGCCTTGCTAGATTGGGGAAGTTCTCCTGGATAATATCCTGCAGAGTGTTTTCCAACTTGGTTCCATTCTCCCCATCACTTTCAGGTACACCAATCAGACATAGATTTGGTCTTTTCACATAGTCCCATATTTCTTGGAGGCTTTGCTCATTTCTTTTTATTCTTTTTTCTCTAAACTTCCCTTCTTGCTTCATTTCATTCATTTCATCTTCCATTGCTGATACACTTTCTTCCAGTTGATCGCATCAGCTCCTGAGGCTTCTGCATTCTTCATGTAGTTCTCGAGCCTTGGTTTTCAGCTCCATCAGCTCCTTTAAGCACTTCTCTGTATTGGTTATTCTAGTTATACATTCTTCTAAATTTTTTTCAAAGTTTTCAACTTCTTTGCCTTTGGTTTGAATGTCCTCCCATAGCTCAGAGTAATTTGATTTTCTGAAGCCTTCTTCTCTCAACTCATCAAAGTCATTCTCTGTCCAGCTTTGTTCCGTTGCTGGTGAGGAACTGCATTCCTTTGGAGGAGGAGAGGCACTCTGCTTTTTAGAGTTTCCAGTTTTTCTGTTCTGTTTTTTCCCCATCTTTGTGGTTTTATCTACTTTTGGTCTTTGATGATGGTGATGTACAGATGGGTTTTTGGTGTGGATGTCCTTTCTGTTTGTTAGTTTTCCTTCTAACAGACAGGACCCTCAGCTGCAGGTCTGTTGGATTACCCTGCTGTGTGAGGTGTCAGTGTGCCCCTGCTGGGGGTGCCTCCCAGTTAGGCTGCTCGGGGGTCAGGGGTCAGGGACCCACTTGAGGAGGCAGTCTGCCTGTTCTCAGATCTCCAGCTGCGTGCTGGGAGAACCACTGCTCTCTTCAAAGCTGTCAGACAGGGACATTTAAGTCTGCAGAGGTTACTGCTGTCTTTTTGTTTGTCTGTGCCCTGCCCCCAGAGGTGGAGCCTACAGAGGCAGGCAGGCCTCCTTGAGCTGTGGTGGGCTCCACCCAGTTCGAGCTTCCGGAGGCTGCTTTGTTTACCTAAGCACGCCTGGGCAATGGGGGGCGCCCCTCCCCCAGCCTCGCTGCCGCCTTGTAGTTTGATCTCAGACTGCTGTGCTAGCAATCAGCGAGACTCCGTGGGTGTAGGACCCTCCGAGCCAGGTGCCGGATATAATCTCCTGGTGTGCCGTTTTTTAAGCCCGTAGGAAAAGCGCAGTATTTGGGTGGGAGCAACCCGATTTTCCAGGTGCCCTCTGTCACCCTTTTCTTTGACTAGGAAAGGGAACTCCCTGACCCCTTGCGCTTCCGGAGTGAGGCAATGCTTCTCCCTGCTTCGGCTCACGCACAGTGCATGCACCCACTGACCTGCGCCCACTGTCTGGCACTCCCTAGTGAGATGAACCCAGTACCTCAGATGGAAATGCAGAAATCTTCTGCGTCGCTCACGCTGGGAACTGTAGACCTGAGCTGTTCCTATTCGGCCATCTTGGCTCCTCCCTCCAATGTGTCTGCATTCCTAATCTTTCCTGGTCGTGTGACAAAAACCCGGTTTTAGCTGAACTAAGGAGCAAAATTCTGCAACACTAGGTGTGGTGGTTCATGCCTGTAAGCACTTCGGGAGGCTGAGGCAGGAGGATCACTTGAGTTCAGGAGTTTGAGACCAGATGGGTAACATGGCGAGATCCCATTTCTACAAAAAAAATTTTAAAAATTAGCTGGGCATGGTGATGCATGCCTGTAGTCCCAGGCATGGGGACTCCTACTCAGAAGGCCGAGGCAGGAGGATCCCTTGAGCTTGGGAGGTGGAGGCTGCAGTAAGCCCCAACTGTGTCACTGCACTCCAGCTTGGGTGACAGAGTGATACTCTGTCTCAAAAAAAAAAAAAAAAAGTAAAAGAAATACAAGACATGTACTCTGAAGGCTGTAAAACATTGCTGAAATACAGGAAAGAAAATGTTATTAGCCAGGTATGGTGGTGTGCACCTATAATTCCAACTACTCAGGAGGCTGATGCATTAGAATTGCTTCAACCCAGGAGGCAGAGGCTGCAGTGAGCCGAGATTACGCCACTGCACTCCAGTCTGGGCGATGAAGTCAGAATCTGTCTCAAAAAAAAAAAAAAAGAAAGAAAGAAAAGAAAAATAAAGAAAATTTAAATTAATGGAAAGGCATTGCATGTTCATAAATTGGAAGTCCTAATGTTAAAATGGCAACATTCCTGAAATTGATTTACAGGTTCAGTGCAATCCTTATCAAAATCCCAGCTGGTATCTTGGCAGCAATTGACAAGCCTATCTTAAAATTTATACGAAAATGCAAAGGAACCAAAACAGCCCCCCCACCCCAAAAATACAGAAAAAATAAGAACAAAGTTGAAGAATTTACACTTCCTAATTTCAAAACTTACTACAAAGCTACAGAAATCAAAACAGTGGGATATTCATAAGGGTAGACATATAGGTCAATGGAATAGAATTGAAAGTCTTGAAAACAACCCTCACATTTATGGCCAACTGACTATTTAAAAGGGCAGCAAGACAATACAATGTGGAAAGAATAGTCTTCAAGCCAGGCACAGTGGCTCATACCTGTAATCCCAGCACTTTACGAGGTTGAGGTAAAATGATTGCTTGAGCCCAGGACTCTGAGACTAGCCTGGGCAACACAGTGAGATCCTGTTTCTACAAAAATAAAAATAAAAAATAAAAAATCAGCTGGGTGTGGTGGTGCACACCTGTGGTCCCAGCTACATTGGAGGCTGAGGAAGAAGGATCACTTGGACCCAGGAGGTCATGGCTGCAGTGAGCCATAATTGCGCCATGGCACTCCAGCCTGGGTGATAGAGCAAACCCTGTCTCAAAGAAAAAAAAAAATAGTCTTCAACAAATGATACTAGAGCAACGGGATGTAGATAACTGGTAAAAAAAAAAAAAATGAAATTAGACTCCTTCCTTACACGATATACAAAATGCAAGAACTGAAGCTATAAAACTCATAACTAAATCTTTGTGAACTTGGGTTAGGCAATGCCTTCTTAGCTGCAACGCCAAAGGCACATGTAGCAAAAGAAAGAAGTGGATAAACTAGGACTTCATAAAAATTAAAACTTTTTTGTACTTCAAAGGACACTCAATAAAGTGAAAAGACAAATCAAAGAATGGGAGAAAATATTTGCAAAACATGTATCTGATAAGAAACTTGTATCCAGAATATATATTTGAAACTCGGCTGGGCGTGGTGGCTCACGCCTGTAATCCTGACAGTTTGGGAGGCTGAGACAGGCAGATCATGAGGTCAGGAGTTCAAGACCAGGCCAGCCTGACCAAAATGGTGAAACCTCGTCTTTACTAAAAATACAAAAATTAGCCGGGCATGGTGGCACGCACCTGTAGTCCCAGCTACTTGGGAGGCTGAGGCAGAATAATCGCTTGAACTGGGGAGGTGGAGGTTGCAGTGAGCCTAGATCATGCCACTGCACTCCAGCTTGGGTGACAGAGCGAAACTCCGTCTCAAAACAAACAAACAAACAACAAAAAAACCTCTTATAATTCAATAATGAAAAAAGAACAAAATTTTAAAATGAGCAAAGGATTTGAATAGACACATCTCCAAAGATATACAACTGGCCAATATGCATATGAGAAGATGCCCAACTTCATTAGTCATCAGGGAAATACAAAGTGAAACCACAATGAGATACCACTTCATACTCACTAGGATGACTATCATAAAAAAAAAAAAAGACAGATAATAGCAAGTATTGGTAAGACAGTGGAAAAATTGGAACCCTCATATGTTGCTTATGGTATGTAAAATGGTGCAACTTCTCTGTAAAATAGTTTGGCAGATCATCAAAATGTTAAACATAGAGGTACCATATTACTCAGCACTCCTATATGCCCAAGAGAAATGAAAATATATGTCCACATATATTTGGTCGACACCAAAACTTGTATACTAATGCTCATAGAAGCATTATTAATAATTGCAAACAAGTGAAGAGAGCTTAATGTCCATCAAGTAATGAATGGATTAACAAAATGTGGTAGGTATATCCATAATGGAATATTATTTGGCCATAAAAAAGGAATGAAGTGCTGATACATTCTATAACATGGATGAATCTAGAAAACATTATGCAAAGTAAAAGAAACCAGTCACAAAAGATCATACTGTGATCTTTTGAATCATATTATGAAATCTTATCAGGTGATTTCATTTACATGCAATGTCCAGAACAGGCAAATCTATAGAAACAGAAAGTATATTAATGGTTGCCTCTGTCTGAGGTTAGTGGGAAACAGGGAGTGATTGCTAATGGCTATGGGTTTTTTAGGGGTTGGTTGCGGTGATGAGGAAAATGTTCTAAAATTCATTGGGATGATGGTTGCACAACTCTAATATGTTCAAAAACATTTAATTTACACTTTATTGGGTGCATTGTATGGTATGTGAACTATACCTCAATAAGGCTGTTAAAAAAGAAATACAATGGTGTGGGTTACTGCCATCCTTGAGAATCTCTTTAATGACCAGTTGTCCTCTGTAGACTGTAGATGATGTGGGGAGATGCTGCAATGTAATTAGATTTCTTGATCTCAGTGTGAACAATGAGGGTCTCAAAGTGGGAGAGGCCAGTGGAAATGCTTAAACATCAGACTACGTGGACAACTTTACCCCAAAAGCTACACAATCAGAATAGTAATCAGAGCATCTTGTCTCAAAAAGATGTATAGTGATAGCTAACTAATCATGAGACATGTAAAATGAAATAGATGGACAGCCCACTAAGGTACTGCAAGCATAAATGAAAAAACCCTGGGTCTGTTGGGCATAAATCTAACTTGAGTTGCTGTAGTGGGCATTCATTGCTTCTTTCTTGGTTTCCAGGCCTAAACCACTTCCCAACCACCGGAACCCTTTGACTGGGAATTTGGCCAGGTATTTTTGAGAAAGCACTATGTAACCTTCCACAGTTGTGTACTATGAATCTTAAGTGTTTTCCAGTAGGATCGTCAGCCATTTGCCAGGGCAACTGTGAATTAGGGGAAGGAAGATCCAGGGGCTGTTAGATATTGTCTCTGAACTGATGCTAATACTGAGATTTGAAATGCTGCTATGGTCCACTGGTCTGAAGGGGAACTTATTCCAGACAGATAAATGATGGTGTCTTGCCCTAGTCTGTCTCACTGTGAGTCCATTGGGATTGCAGTCCCGTTCTGTGGTTATTTTCCCAGTCCAAGTGCAGTCATTTCTGCATAACGATGCTGATCAACAGCAGACCATATATATGACTATAGTCCAATAAGATTATAGTGAAGCTGCCCTATACAGATGTACCATTAAAATATTTTATACCCTTTTTTTTAACCATACCTTTTCTATGTTTAGGTAAGTTTAGATATGCAAATACTTACCATTGTGTTACAATTTCTTACAGTGTTCAGTACAGTAACATGCAGTATAGATTTGTATCCTGTATGGCTCTACCACATAGCACAGATGTGTAGTAGGCTACTTCATCCAGCTGGTGTAAGTACACACAATGATGATCCCACAACAGTGAAATTATGTGATGACACATTTCTCAGAACATGTCCCCATAGTTAAGCCATGCATGACTGTATGTATAGCATAGGGAGCAGACATACTTAGTAAGTGGCAGAGTCCTCACATGGGTTTCCTGACCCATAGATTCCTGTAGAGTTTCTCTCAATCTAGATTTTGTTGGCTGAATACTCAGGCACAGTTCAAAATATTCCTCTGTTTTCCTAAACATTTACAGCTGGATACAGAGCTTGATCTCCTTCAGGTTTGATCCCTTCAGCAAGGGTACAGGAAGTGTTGTGGTCTTCATGATGAAGACCATAGGGTCTGGTAGTATCCCGTTTTATAATGTTAGCAGTTGTTGATGCTCAAAGATCAGATCTATTAATTCACTGGGTGTGGCTAAATGATGATATTCTTTTTTTAAGTTCTATCTTATTTTTTGAGATGGGGTCTCGCTCTATTGCCCAGGCCAGAGTGAAGTGGTGGGATCTCGGCTCACTGCAGCTTCCAGCCTCGTGGGATCAAGCGCTCCTCCTGCCTTAGCCTCCCCAGTAGCTGGGACTACAGATGCACACCACCATGCCTGGCTAATTTTTGTATTTTTTGTAGAGATGGGGTTTCACCATGTTGCCCAGGCTGGTATTGAACGCCTGAGCTCAAGCAATCCTCCCACCTCGGCCTCCCAAAGTGCTGGGATTACAGGTGTGAGGCACTGTGCCCACCCAATGGTGATATTCTATCGTTTTTTTTTTTTTTTTTTTACTTATTAGACTCCTTTTATAAGGAGACAGTTCCCCTCGTCTACTATCTGTTACCCAGTGACACAGTTGATATATGAAAGGCAGAGCAAATTTTTGATTCTTTTCTTTTATTTACCAGTTTTCAGTATAATGAATTTGTTCTTTGACATGCTTTAGTTTTCTAAAATATCACTTTGAACTTATAGGTTTGAACATAGTTGAGGAATTCCAGACACTTGCAATTATGTATTTTCCTTTTTGAAGCTCTGAATGTACCTTCTTTTGCCGATAAAAGCTTCTTCAGTTTGATTCCTGATTCTTTCCTTGCAGGATCCTAGCAGTACTTGATAGCTTCCTTGCTATGTAGAAAGACAAGATGTTTTAGGCTCCTCTTGTACATTTCCTTCCCTAGATCTGAAATTCAGCGATTTCTCCAAGAAGCCCTAGTTTCTCTTAGTGGGACATGATGTTTTAAATTGAAGTCTAATGCTCATTGCTACAGGTTAGGTGACTGTTTCTAGACTTCTCTAATAGGGCTAAGTAAGCTTTAGTCCACATTATATACTTTACAGTCATGGAATAACAACACTAAAATGATCACCACATATTTAATTACTGAAAACGAGTTGAAAATGTCCTCATATAGCTGTACTATATTTTCACCCATATGTGATGGTTAGTGTTAGGTGCCAACTTGACCAGATTATGGAATACCCAGATAGCTGGTAAAACACCATTTCTGGGTGTGTCTGTGAGGATGCTCTGGAAGAGATTCTCATTTGAATTAGCGCAGAGTGAGAAGCTCTGCCCTCAACAATGTGGGTGACCATCATCCAATCCGCTTGAGGTCTGGGATGGAACAAAAGGCAGAGGAAGGACACATTTGCTGTCTTTTCTGGAGCCGGGCCATTCACCATCTATCTTCCTCTGCCCTTGGACATTACAGCCCCAGATTCTCAGGCCTTTGGCCTCGGACTGAGAGTCAGACCACTGGCTACTCTGGTTCTCCCATCTTCAAACTTAGTTTAAATTACACCACTGGCTTTCCTGGTTCTCTAGCTTGTGGAAAATATATCATGGGAGTTTTCACCTTCCATAATCAAGTGGGTCAACTCTCACAATTAAAACCCCTCTTATCTAGATCTAGATGTAGATTTAGATCTATTTATCTCTCTGTATATATCTTACGGGTTCTGTTTCTCTGGAAAATTCTGACTAATATAGCACATAACCATTACATACTATCCTCTTCCATTCAATCTTCATTTAGCCTTCACTCTGCAAGTAAGCATATGTTTAATGTCGACCACCAGTGCTTCTATCAATGTCTCTAGTCATCACCGTTGCCTGAAATTGGTTTTCTTGCAGGGTCTTCAAGCAGGGCTCATGAGAGTGATCCTCCGTGTGTTCTTGGAAGTGTTAGGAACATCACAATAGTGATGCTGCACTCTTCTCTCTGCATTCCATCAGGTAGCACTTGGTATTGACTTGCTGCACCTCTGGTGGTGTTACTTTGACCCCTTGATTGAAGTGATATCTACCAAGTTTCTCCACTGCAAAGTTATACTTTTCCCCTCTGTACTTAATAATTATTTTGTGATGAGATATTTTGAACCTATGTAAATGTCCCTTTCCTCGTTCAATGTTAATCCATCAGTTTAGGATGTATTGGTGCTTCTTATCTGAATTAATTATTACCATGATGATTCCCAAATAGTGATTTTCTTATTCCGTCATTCCTTCTACATTTACTACTTAGCATTTACCACAAGAAGGGCTTTCTCTTCTCCTTATTTATTTATTAATGTGTATATTTATATACATTATAATGTATTGTGTTGGCTCAGTTATTTCTGTATTATGCAATGGGATGTATTATTTGTTACTATCGTTATTTATTTTGATTCTCAATTTGCCTCAAATTTGTCCAGTGGAAGCCCCTTTGTGCTGGTTTCTGTGCCCTTTTGATGTGTCCCATTATTCTTTTAATTCTGTTACTTTTGATCACAATAGGATGTTCCAGGCTCATCCTGTACTTTTTCTGCCACCGTCCTAGACTTAGCCCCTTCTCCTTTTAGTGGAGAATGGCATTTGGAACCCAATGTCTGGGTGTGCTATGTGCGCTCATTGCAAATTTGGGTGTTGCTGCTCTCACGCAGTCCTAGTGGACAGAGATAGGAATTATATCGATACACACACACACACACACCTGTGTTTGCCTATTCTCTATATATGGAAAACCAGAAGTTCACACCAATACCTCCAATTCCAGTTCAACAACAGAGTATTCCTTCTAGCTTTCCCTCATTACACGTTTATAACTTCTTTCTCTGATAATCAGAAGCCTGGTTCTCACTGAGGTTATTTGCTCAATTGCCCTCTGTTACCAATCTTTGGACCTCACTGGTGTGACTTGACCACCTTCCTCACTCTGTTCCCAGTTCCTGCCAAATAACCTCTCTGCTCAATCTCCTTTGCTTGGGCCTGATGAATGGTTCTCAGACTCAATTATTTAAGAAGGAGGGAAGTTTGTATTGTCTTAAAAATGTCTTTTAACGTCTTCTGAAATAGAAGTTTGCAAGTTTTGACCTCTTTTGTGGATAAGATGTAGCATGTTTTATTGTCTGTGGGAGGTTTTCTTCTGCTCCTTATTCTTTTTTTCTTCGTCAGAATTTCCAAGGATTTGAACTTGATACTTTCTCTGTTGCTAATTTTTATGTGAAATTAGTTTTCCTGAAATTTTGGAAGGAGGCATAGTTCAGAGTGCCTGTTCTAACTTCACAGTAGTGTTCAAATATATGGTGGCTTGCTTTTGAAAATTTTCTTTCTCTCTTTCTTTCCCTCCACTTTATCTGGGACTTTTCTCCCTTTGTCTGTATTATCCCTGTCCTGTGGAATGTGGATTTTACTCTTAGGACTTTCTCCTCAGTGTGGGCCCAGTTCTGGGAGGGGGTCTTGGAGAGCCAGTTTTGAGAGTGACAGATGCTAGGTTGCTGCAGACCTTTTGGCTTTTACCTTGGGCTTCTTGCTCACCTACCACTGGGTTAGGAAGAACTGCTCAGTTTCAGCTGCTGTGCTCAAGTTAGCTCACCACGCTTTCTGGGGAATACCAGTTGCTATTTTGGAGTTCACCTGTTCTCGACTTGTCAAATACCATATTGCTTCCATCTGCATTCTGTCACACATGTGCCCATACCATGCACCCTTGTGCTGTTGGGTTGCCCTCGTCAATTGCATTTTGTAGTTCATGGGGATACCTTGTCACTTAGTTTCCCTGCATATGCTGCCTATGGGTTTTTGGCTTTTCTATTAGTTCTCTTTTAGTGTTTTTTTGTTTGTTTGTTTTTATTTTTGTTTTTTAAGACAGAGTCTCGCTCTGTTGCCCAGGCTGGAGTGCAGAGGCACAATTGCGGCTCACTGCAACCTTTGCCTCCCGTGTTCAAGAGATTCTCCTGCCTCAGCCTCCTGAGTAGCTGGGATTACAGGCATTAGCCACCACGCCTGGCTAATTTTTGTATTTTTAGTAGAGACAGGGTTTCACCATGTTAATCAGGATGGTCTCAATCTCTTGACCTCATGATCTGCCCACCTCAGCCTCCCTAAGTGCTTGGATTACAGACGTGAGCCACCATGCCTGGCCTCTTTCTGTTTTTATGTAGAGACTTAGAAAGAATAAAAAACAATGCTGTCACTACATGTAATATTTTCCAGATTTCCATATCCATTTCAAGCTTTCCTGTTTAGTTCATGCAAGAGTCAGAGGAGTAGTTGAGAATGATTACAGGTTAGGGCAAACTTAATCAGGTAGTGATGTCAATCACGGCTGTGTTTCTGGATCTGGCATCTTTGCCGGAGCAAATCAACATAATCTTTGGCTCCTGGCAGGCAACTACTGACTGTACACATTTCCCCTTTCCTCTCTTTCCAAAAAAGATAATTAGAAGCAATTTGCCTTCTCATTGTGGGAATAACAGCATTACTTTGACCGTCTTAGAGCCATGTCAAGTCTTCTGCTCTGTGGCATAAAATAATCTGGAAAAACTTGATCATCTTATTCTCCCACAGAACATCATGCTGGCCCTTGACATTGATGACATTTTTAAAGTTGCATCTGGAAAAAGGAATTAGCCAGCATGCTGAGTGCCTTAGTAAGACACATGCATGTCAGAGAGTGAGAGCTCAAAAGTCCTCACTGCCTCAGTGAAAGTACTAGGAGTCTAATGGTCTGGGGCTTTTTGGGATATCTTTTTAGGTGAGACATAAGTTGCTGCACCTTGCACTACTCACCACAAGAAAAAGGCACACAGTCTGTGGGCCTCTTTGGATTCTGGAGTGTCGCATATGACACTGGGCTATGCTGCTCTGACCGGAGCCCTGGGTTATCCATACAGTTGCCAATCTTGAATGGGACCCAGCACAAGAAATGTCTTGGTGGAGGTCCAGGCACTGTTTCAAACTGCCCCACCAATTTCATTGTAAAATCCAGCAGACCTAAAATTATGTTAAGCATCATCCAGTGAGTTCTAATAGGAGTCCACAGGAAAAGACCATGCCCTCTCCTTTGGGCAATATTTCCTCCATTTGAAACCAGCACTTGACTTGCTACTGGGCCCTGGCAGAGACTGAATGTCTGACTATGAGACATGAAGTGATTATACAACCTGAACGACCCACCTTGAACTAATTCTTAACTGCTTGACTAAGTTATAACACTGGACCTGCAGAATAGCATGCCACTGTAGGAGGGAAATAGTATCATATGAGGCCAAACCTGAACAGGTCCAGAAGGCACAAGTGTTTTCATTTTCTATTGCTGTGTGACAAACTGTCCCAGAAATTAGTAGTTTAAAATAGTAATGACTTCTTTTTCCTCAAGATTCTGTGGGTCTGGAATTCAGGCAGGCTCGGCCGGGAGGTTCATCTGCTCCTTGTTGTGCCTCTATGTCGCGAGGTTACTACCTTGGTTAGGCTGGGTAGTCCAGAAGGGTTCCATTCACATGCCTGGTGCTCTACCACATGGCCCCTCTCTCGCCACATCGCTGGTCTGGGTCTCCTCCCAACATAGTGGTCTCTGAAGGCAGCTGGACTTCTACATGGTGGCTGGCTTCCAAGAGAGAAAAAGTGGACCTGCCAGTTATCTTAAGTGCTTGGCCTAGAGCTGTGACAGCGTCATTTCTGCAGCATTCTACTGGTCAAAGTGAGTTAAGAGGCCAACACAGACTCGTGGGAAAAAGGAAATAAATTCCACTTCTTGATAGGAGAAACAGCAAAGAATTTGTGGCCACCACAAATAAATTATATGAGCAGGTGGCTTGGATTTCCACAATTCTTTTAGCATCAGCTATTTCCACACTTAGCTTCTCAAAACTTAGTAGCTTAAAACAAGAATCATTTATGCATAGAGGCTGGCTGGTTGGCTGAGGGTTGACCAATTTTGGCTGAACTTGGTGGAGTGACTTGGTTCTTCTCTGCGTGCCCCTTCTTCTCCTTCTGGGAACAGTGGCTTAGCCATATTTTTCTCACGGCGATATCAGAGGTGAAAGGCACAAGTAGAAATGGGACAGGTCTCTTGAGTCCAGACAGACATAGAATAGTCACGGCATGACTTCTGCTTCATTTTATTGGCCAAATTACATTGCTGAGTGGAACAGTACTGAAAAATTACATGACAAATGTGGCATGAATACGAGGAGTGGTGAATAACGGCAGCTAATAATGCAACCTACAATAGTACCTGAAAAATACAGTGGAAGAATGTGAGGTGGGAGATGAAAGCACAAACCACATCATGTAGTGCCTAAGGAGTCTTGATATTATTCTACAGGAAGGATTGAAGCAGGGACTATCTGGACCCTGAAAACCTGACTATATTTATCTCCTACTTTCTGTTCCTTAGCAACACTTTTCATTCGATGCTCTATGCATATGGAACTTCTCCTTCTCTGAGCCTTAGTGCCAAAGCAGGCTGAGGTAACTGACAAACCTTCACTTGTTCATCCATCTCAACACCAACTCTACTTTCTCAGGGGAACTTTTCATGAATTCCCCAGAAGGACATAGGATTCCCTTCACTTAATGCATTTTGTAGAAATGTTGTTATCTCATTGTCTTGTAACTGTCAGTTTACGTGGTGGGAATAGCTACCACTCTTTGAGCACCTTGATTGTACTTGGTGTTTTACCTATATAATCTCCAAACCTATGACCATCTTGCCGTATTCATTTTGTTTTGATGTGTAGCAAATTGCCACAAACTAAACTGCCCCAAAAAGCATCCGTGTATTAGTTTACAGTTCTGTAGGTCAGAAGTCGGTACTCCTATGGAACTATAAGCTAATATGTGGATGCTGTTTTAGGCAGTTAAGTTTGTATCAATTTTCTACACATCAAAAGAAAGCTAAAGCGGCAAGATGGTCATAGGTTTAAAGATTATATACGTAAAACACCAAGTACAATAAAGGTGCTCAACAGGTGGTAGCTATTACCCCCCTCCCCCCAAGTAAATGGGCAGATACTAGACAACAATGTAACAATGTTTCTACAAAATGCATTTTGTAGGTATCACAGAGCTGCAGTCAAGGTGGCAACTAAGTTATTGTCTGGAGGCTCTAGTGAAGAATTTGCTTGCAAGCTCAATTCTTGTTGCCAGAACTCAGTTCCTTGCAGTTGTAGGACTGAGGTCTCAGTTTGCTTGCTGATTGTCAGACAGGGACTTCTCTCAGCCTATAGAGGCTGCCTGCATTTCTTGCCACATGGCCCTCTCTATCTTGAAGCCAGCAAAATGCATTAAATTTTTCTCATGTTTCAAATCTCTGTCTCTGACCCCAGGCCCCAATTTAAAGTCTCATGTGATTTGGCCAGGACTACCCAGGTTATCTCCTTATTTTAAGGTCATCTGATTGGGAATTTAATTATACCTGCAAAATCATATTTGCCATATAATCACAGGAGTAATAGCCCATCATAAGTGCAGTGCCAGGTATACTACAGAGTGTGTATACCAGGGTGCAGGAACCTTGGGGACATCTGAGAAGTCTGTCTACCACACCTGCCAAGGAATATTTTACTTTTTTGTGTCATCTAGTAAGTATTCTTGAATTTATATAATATGAGTCATTTGGTTCTTTTATTTTTCCCCATGCTGTTTTTAGACTTCTCTAAATTGAGAACCTAACACAGAGATCATCAGCAAAGTCAGAAGCAGACAAAATTGAAGTTGGCTCTCCTTTTTAGGATATTTTGCTCATTCTGTAATTTGTTTTAAAAAGCCAATCATTAACTTGTAAGGACATTTAAAAACTTTTTTTTTAGAAAAACTAAATTATAAGACACACAAAGTGCACAAATCTCAGGCATATAGCTCCTTGAATTTTTATAAAAGTATAAATTCATTTAATTTCCATCCAAGTTAGGGTATTAAACATTTCCAGCATCTCAGAAGGCTGCTTTATCCACTGCCTGGGCAATACCATCTGCCAAAGATAAACACTCTTTACCTTATTTCACTATAGATTGGTTTAGCCTCTTCTTTCTTTTTCTTTTCTTTTCTTTCTTTCTTTCTTTTTTTTTTTTGAGACAGAGTTTCACTCTTGTTACCCAGGCTGGAATGCAATGGCGCGATCTTGGCTCACAGCAACTTCTGCCTCCCAGGTTTAAGAGATTCTCCTACCTCAGTCTCCTGAGTAGCTGGGATTACAGGCGTCCACCACCATGCCCAGCTAACTTTTTGTAATTTTAGTAGAGATGGGGTTTCACCATGTTGGCCAGGCTGGTCTTGAACTCCTGACCTTAGGTAATCCACCTGCCTCGGCCTCCCAAAATGCTGGGATTACAGGCATGAGCCACTGCACCCGGCCACCTCTTCTTAAAAATAATAGAAATGGAATTATACTTTGTCAATCAATTGTGTTCAGCTTCTATCACTCAGAACTTTATCTGTGGAATTCATACATGTTGTTTTACCCAACCGTTGTTAATTATTTATCCTTGTTGTGTAGTGCTCCATTGTATGAACGTAATGCCGTTTACATATCCATTCTTTGGTTGTCAAACATTTGGGGTATTTCAAATTTTTTCCTATTAAGAATGATGCTGGCCAGGCCCGGTGGCTCATGCCTGTAATCTCAGCACTTTGGGAGGCCAAGGCAGGAGGATCACGAGGTCAAGAGATTGAGACCATCCTGACCAACATGGTGAAACCCTGTCTCTACTAAAAATACAAAAATTAGCTGGATGCGGTGGCGCGTGCCTAGCTACTCGGGAGGCTGAGGCAGGAGAATGGCGTGAACCCAGGAGGTGGAGGTTGTAGTGAGCTGAGATCGTGCCACTGCACTCCAGCATGGGCAACAGAGTGAGACTCCATCTCAAAAAAAAAAAAAATAGAATGATGCTGCTATAAATAAGACTTGTATCCCCATGGATTTTTAATTTTGGGGGGCGGGTATATACATAACAGTGGAATTTCTGGATCATATGGTAACTCTGGTAACTCTTAGGTTTAACTTTTTGAGGAATTACTAGGCTGTTCTCCACAGTGGCTATGCCATGTTACATTCCCAGTAGCAATGTATGGAGTTCCAATTTCTTCACATCCTCTCTGACACTTGCTATTTTCTGTGCTTTTTTTTCTTTTAATATTATAGCCATGATAGTGGGTATGAAGTGGTAACCTCATTGCTGTTTCAGCTTACATTTCCTTAATGACTAACAATGTTGAACGTGTTTCTATGTGATTATTAGCCATTTGCATATTCTCTTGGAAAAAAGTTTTACTCAAATCTGTCCATTTAGAAAGTAGGGTTATTCATCTTTCTATTGTTGAGTTTTACAATTAGATTGAAATATTTTGATTGACTTCTCTTAGTGGCAGAATAAGAAGACAGAAAAAGTGGTAATGATATAGAAGATTTGAAAAACACAACTAAAATCTAAGTATCTTGACCAAATTTATTATACAGAATAGGGATTGACTACATTTTTCTCTAAAAGACCACAGAGTAATTATTTTGTGCTTGACAGGGCACAGATAGTTTCTGTCACATATTTTTCCCAATCAATACTAGAATCTTATGATTTTTAATTCCATTTTCCCCTTTCTTCCTTATGTTCCTTAAAAGAACATTTTTAAATTATTATTATTATTTTTTGAGATGGAGTCTCACTCTGTCACCCAGGCTGGAGTGCAGTGGCACAATCTCGGCTCACTGCAACCTCCACCTCCTGGGTTCAAGTGAGTCTCCTGCCTCGGCCTCCAGAGTAGCTGGGACTACAGGTGCGCATCACCACTCCCGGCTAATTTTTTGTATTTTTTAGTAGAGACGGGGTTTCACCATGTTGGCCAGGATGGTCTCGATCTCCTGACCTCGTGATCCACCTGCCTCAGCCTCCCAAAGTGCTGAGATTACAGGCATGAGCCACTGTGCCTGGCCCAAAATTAATTTTTAAGTTTTTATTTATTTTTAATTGACAATAATAATTGTGTGTATTTATGGGGGTAAAATGTGACATTTTGATGTATGTGTACATTATGGAATGACTAAACCAACTAATTCACATATCCACCACCTCACATATTTTTTGTGTGTGGCACAAACTTTCAAGATCTACTCTCTTAGCAATTTAGAAGTATACGTTACATTATTATAGTCACCATGGTGTGCAATAGGTCTAAAAAATTTATTCCTCCTGTCTAATGAAAATTTTTACCCTTTAACCAACATCTCTACCACCCACTCCCCACCACCCCCCCAACTCCAGGTAACCATCATTCTACTTTCTACTTTTACGAGTTCAACTTTTTTTCAATTCCACATGTAAGTGAGATGATTTGTCTTTCTGTGCCTGGCTTATTTCTCTTAGCATAATGTCCTCCAGGGTCATCCATATTGCTGGAAATGGCCCAAAGCAGATACTGAAAAGTCTCAAGAATATTTTTGTAGGCTAGATCTTAGGTTGATATTTATCTTCTCCCAGCATTTTAAAGTTGTCATTCCATTGTCTTTTGCCTTTCATGGTTTCTATTGAAAAGTTAGGCTTGTCTCTTATTATTTGCAAGTTTTAGCCTTCTCTTTTATAATGGTTCCTTTGAAAGTAATGTGTCTTTTTTTATTTGACTGTTTTTAAACATTTCTCTTTATCTTTAGTATTTAGGATGTTACAACGACATGCTTAGTTGTGGTTCTTTGTATTTATCTTCCTTTGAGTTCACTGAACTTCTCGAATCTGTGGTGTCATGTCTTTCATCCATTCTTGGTCAGCATTTCTTCATGTCATATGTCTCCTGATTTGAGTATTTGGTTGTAAGACCTTATTTCTAACTTTAAAATACTTTACTCTCTGTTCTAGGAGTTTCAAGCATCAAGGAGCAGAAAAGGAAAAGATTTTTAGATTAAAGGACATTTTTTTCTTCTTTTTCTTTACATTGCAACCAGTAGTGACATGCCTGCTTTTTTCTCCCACTGATTCTCAGTCTGTCTCTCTCTGAATAAGCAAACTGATTAGGTTTGTTTGGTACACATTGCAAAGTTTTTCTGAAGGTTTATAATCCAAGCTTTCTAATTTGAAACAACTTGGACTTTAGGTATGAGGACAAAAAGAGGTAAGAAAGATTTTTCTTCTTATTTAAGCCTTTTCTGCAGTTAGTTTTCTTTCATTAAATATAAAGGAAATTATTATTTACAGTGGTAAAAGATATGGAAAAAATGCCCCTTTTCCCCACAACGTGTTTTTTTCTTTAAATTGCTTTGCTTCCTATATTACCCCTCAGACTTCTTTGTGGATGTCTCTGCTTGCCCACCCCTTAAATATTAATAAAGCTTGAGATTCTCTCCTTGGTTCTTGTATCTTCTGATTTTCATACTCCCCAAATAATTCCATTTACTCTCAGGGCTTTGATTACTATATACATACTGATGGCCTCTGAATTGTACCTCTAATTTAGATTTCTCTTCCAAATTTCAGACACACATACTCAGCTGTACACTGTGCATCTCCATTTGTATGTCTGATGGACATCTCAAATTTAACACACCCAAAATGACCTTACTACTTCCTCCTCAAACTGCTTATTTTCTCACCTTATATTAGTGAATAGTAGCCCCATCGACTTATTTGCCAAGTCAGAAATGTGAGCTCTATTCCTTTTTGTTGTTGCTATTTGTTTGTTTTCTAATGACTTTGTTAATCATTGATAATTTAATGACTTTATTGATAATTTACATACAATGCCATTATTCACCCATTGAAGGTGTACAAATTCAATGTGAGATTTTTCTGGTCTATTATGTTACTGATTCTTAAAATTGTGGTAAAATATATGCAGTATAAAATGTGCCATTTATGCAGTTTTAAAAGGGTATAATTTAATGCTATTAACTACATTCACAATGTTGTACAACCATCACTACTATCTACTTCCAAAACTTTTGATCACCTTAAACAAAAATTCTATAACCATTAAACAATAACTTGCCACTTTTCCCTCTCTCTGGCTCCTGGTAAGCACAATTCTATTTTCTGTGTCTATGAATTTACCTATTCCAGGCATTATGTATAAGTTTAATCATATAACACTTGTCCTTCTGTGTCTGTCTTATTTCACTTAGCATAGTGTTTACCAGATTCATTAATGTTGTAGCATGTATCAGAACTTTATTGCTTTTATGGCTAAATATTATTCCATTGTATGTATATACTACCTCTTATTTATCTAATTTTCTGTTGGTAAACACTTGGATTGTTTCTACTTTTAGCTATTGTAAGTAATGCTGCAATAAGCATTTGCCTGAAAATATGTTTGTTTCTGTTTTTGAATTATTTGGGGCATATACCTAGGAGTCGAATTGCTGGGTAATATGCTAAGTCTATGCTTATTAAGGAGGTGCCAAGCTGTTTCCCACAGCATCTGTACCATTTTACTTTTCTGCTAGCAATGTACAAGGGTTCCAATTTCTCCACATCCATGCCAACACTTGCTATTTTCTGTCTCCTTTAATTATAGCTATCCTAGTAGGGGTGAAGTGATGTCTCATCGTGGCTTTGATTTGCATTCCCCTAATGACCAATGATGTTAAGCATCTCTTCATGTGCTTATGGCCATTTATATATATATTCTTTGGAGAAATTTCTATTCAAGTCATTTGCCCAGTTTTTTAATTGAGTCATTTTTTTTATTAAGTTGTAGGAGCTTTTATGTTCTGGGTATTAAATAGGGTCATTCTTGACTTAGACTTCTTTATTTTCTTACCTCAAAATAATTATTGGGTTTCATGGATTCTAGTTCCTTGAAATCATTTCGGTCTCTCCTTTTTCTTCATCCTATGGCTTCAGAAGTCAATTACCTCTCCCTTGGATTAACATAGAAATACAGTAACTTTTTTTTTTTTTTTTGAGATGGAGTTTCGCTCTTGTTGCCCAGGCTGGAGTGCAACAGCATGCTCTCAGCTCACTGCAACCTCTGCCTCCCGGGTTCAAGCGATTCTCCTGCCTCAGCCTCCCAAATAGCTGGGATTACAGGCACCTGCCACCACGCACAGCTAATTTTTGTATTTTTAGTAAAGACAGGGTTTCACCATGTTGGCCAGTCTGGTCACGAACTCCTGACCTCAGGTGATCCACCCACCTTGGCCTCCCAAAGTGCTGGGATTACAGGTGTGAGCCATCATGCCCGGCCTACAGTAACTTCTTAACCGGTTTCCCTCCTCTCTATTTTGCTCTCCTTGAATCCACACTCTATAACATTATGGCCCGGACTTTCAGAAGCACATCTGATTATGTCACCTTCCTACCATAAATCATTTAGCACTTCTTATTGTTTTCAGAATAAAATATAAATCAGTAACATAGCATAAAAGATGCTTTATGATCTGGCCCTTCTTTCTCATTTTCTCAGGACACTTTCCTCTTCAAACCTGCACTTCAGCCACACTCAAGTACTGCAGGTGCTTCATGAGACACTTTCACTTGCCTCTATGCTTTGGATGTTTTTCTTGTCTGCCTCGAATTTCTCTACCCCTTCCTAACTCATATTCTTCCTTCAGATCTCACCTTATATAACAATTCTTTCTGAAATCCTTCCCTTATTTCTTTTCGGACTGGGCTAAGTGCCCCTCCTTCGTGCTCTTAAATCTCCCAGTTCCTAACTATGGGTGTAGGCACCTGTTGACTCATCTATCTCCACTACAGGTCTGTTACTGTGAGGAAAGGGAGTGTGTGCTGTTCACCACCACATTTCTTGGACCAACACAGTTCCTGGGACAAAGTAGATGCTCAATAAATATATGCTAGATGAATTATCTCTATATTCAATTTCTATACACTTATCTCCACTACAGATTTACAACACGTTGCTACAAGGAAAACAATGCAATGTAATACAAAGAACAAAATGTTGCCATTCAAGAAGGTGGTATTTAAATATCCAGAAATATAACAACATCCTGTTCCCAAACTCAGCTATCTGATTGACTAAACAGTCATTAGAAAGCACCTCAGCCAACTTCTTAATCATTCCCCATAGTTTTGTGGTAGTTTCAGCCTGTCCCATGAAGTGGAGTTTTGTTTTGATTTTTTAGGGGGAAGAAAGGTTTCTAGTTATGTATAAACTTGTTTTCCATACCTGGCAAGACTGACTGGCTCTGTGTGTTCTATTGCAGGCAGGGGGGAAATAAGGAAATATATTTTTATAGGAAAATAGCAAAGTCACTACAAATGACTTTGTATTTGTAATTCATAGAGTCAGGACAGAAAAATCAATGGCAGGAAAAATTGAATTATTTCTATTTCTCTTCTTTTATATTCATCCTCTTATTAAGATTTTACCTTTTACATTTTCCTTTTTCAGCCAGACCCTCCACTCCCTTTACTCAAGAAGGTTTACATCCTAAGTTAAAAGAGACCAGGTGTCATCTATAAATTCAGGGAACTGTAAGTGCACCTAATCCATAAAAGCCAGAAATATTTAAGCATGATCTAGAGCAGGCAAATGTATACTGGAGTTAATGTAAATGCAATATATGAACATAGTGTTGATCATATTCAAGATCTACCACCATAAACTAATTAGATCCCTGAGACCAACTCAGAGAAGCGGAGCTTTTACTCACGGTTGAGGTCCACAAAGCTTGTTTATACTGGAGCTGACTTTGCTCTTAAATGGTGACATCAGGGCACAGTCCTAGATCTTAGAGTTGTATGCTACAGAGTTGCTACCGGTATTATGTGCTGCTTTCAAATCCTCCTTGTTCAATACCCTTATTAATCAGAAGTAGAGCTAAGTCATGTACAACGATTTTCGGTGGAGAATTCAAGTCCTTGATGGTGAGAATGATCAGAACTAACCCTAGAGTGTAGGACGGGCAAAGAGGCTTCCCTGTCCAGTCTAGAGAGTCCCTTGATCTGTTTTAGGGAAGAATAGCAACAGGTGACACTTCTGACAGTGCTGAGGTCAAGGAGCCCCCCAGGTGGCCTTCCCAAGACAATGTTCTGGGACAGTCACTAGCGCCGACGCAGCACCTCTGGAGAGCCTGTCTTTGATAATGTACCTGCTTCGTGCCGATAGAGGGAGACCGGATTCCACAGCACACACGCCATGCGTCCCTGCTGTCCGGTAGAGG
Source organism: Homo sapiens (assembly GCF_000001405.40). Classification (NCBI taxonomy): domain Eukaryota; kingdom Metazoa; phylum Chordata; class Mammalia; order Primates; family Hominidae; genus Homo; species Homo sapiens. Next base: position 129,364,337 of record NC_000011.10, read on the forward strand.
GCAGTAGCGGCCACGCTGCAACCCTGAGAAGTGGCGGGTACCTTAGGATCCTTTCTGATTGCAGACGTGGTCCAGAGCCAAAGCGGCTTGGCTGGGAAGGCTCCGTGAGACGCCGGGGCTTGATTGCTAGGAGGTGAAAAACTTTCGAGAACTCAGAGCAATCCAATGGACAGTCCATGTTCCACATAATTATCAACTCACTTTCCCTGCTCGTGAAATTGCTGTTAATTTTTAACAAGTGATTGGGACTGTCTATATTTAGAGGATTACCTAGTAACCAAAGCTCATGACACATGAGATGGTTAAGTTTTCCTACCAGACCTAACTGTGATATTTCCTGACTTTAATATGTTTTTATGTCAGCCCTCTTAATATTCAGTTTACCTCGGTTTTATCAAATGCTTAGCATTTTTTATGAGGGGGTGGATGAGCGAAAAATAGAAACTCATAAAACTGGAATTTCATTTCTTTTGAAAAATATAACTGAGATCAGTGAAAAAACATTGTCCCATAGAGGGTATGGGAAACTTGGACTCAAAAAACTCGGGTTTGAGACTTGGCTCTGCAAGTGTAGATGTGGCTGTGTGGGGTAACCTCAAGTAAACCACTTTTCCTCAGTTTCCTCTTTCGTAAAATAGGGATAGTAAGACTTGTCTTTTTTCATATATAGGGCTGTATAAAGTTCACATGAAGTACTGCATTTGAAAATTTTCTGTAAATGGGAAATGTTATGCAAATGTAAGATATTGAAGTTCGCTTTTTATTTTTGAATGTAAAATATTATAATATTTTTGAACTTAAATATAATTTGTAGGAAAAAAGATAAATGTCAATTGTAAAACTATGTAAACAATATTCAAAACTACATAGAATAAATTATCACTGGGCTGAGTGCAGTGGCTCACACCTGTAATTCCAGCATTTTGAGAGGCCAAGACAGGAGAATTGCTTGAGGCCAGGAGTTCAAGACCAGCCTGGTCAACATAGCAAGACACCTATCTCTAATAATAATAATACATTTTAAAAATAAATTATCACTGTTAGTATTTGAACATGCTTTTAGACATCTCTATATGCACCTATATACATGTGTATATAAACAATGTTTTGAAGCTGGAATTGTATTGCACATTCTATTATATCAATGACTTTTTCACTCAGCATTGCAGTAATAATAGTTAACATATATTGATCTTTACGTGTCAGTCATTGTCTAAACCATTTATATATATCTTTAGTGTTACAATAACACTATTGGGTATGTACTTTTATCTCAAAGACAAGGAAACTGAGGCTCAGAGAGGTAAAATGACAGATTTCCTAATTTCCTTAAATTTTAAGAATTCTTACAACTAACATTTTTTTCTTCTTACAGCCTGTCCCACTTTTATCATTTTTATCTCTTTGGCAACCTGTTTGTTAAACAGCAGCTAAATCAATAGGACTGCTGGTTTTAAAATGTCAACTGTCACACCTACACATTTCTGGAGGGAGGAAATCTAGGAATGGGCAGTTTTTAAACAAGCACTCCTAGGAAATTATGTGTACAATCATATTTGAGAACCACAGCTTTGGTTTCAATTCCTAGGTTGGGACTGCTGGATCGATTTTGTGTTTGAGATATAATGCCAAACTGCCCTCCAGAAATATCATACCAATTTACATTCCCACAAACAGCTTGTGACTAATTCAGTCTCTTTTATGTGGGTCTTTGCACTCCAAAATATTACCTTGTAAATGACTTCTTAGTTTGTCATCAGGACAGTAAACTACTTGTTAACCTACAAGTATGTGGGGTGTGTATATTCCAAAGCTGAATTCAAGACTGGGCACTTTTTTTCATTTGTGTTAATAATTTTGAGGTTCTTTGGAACCCCAGAATCTGCATATTTTCTGCAATGTCATACCCTCTCCTCTCTTCATGCCCTGCTCCATTTCTGTTCTCCAAGCCATCATATTCATGGAAGTCAAACTTACTTTTCCAAAATTATACTGCATAAATAAAAGCATAAACTCTGCATCATTAGTTCTTACAAAGGAAAAACAAATTCTATTTCTGTCCACAAGAAGTTAACGAAGATCTACCCCTGTGAACCCCCATTTGACCACCTTGGTTTTATCCCATTCTTAGTGCAGGGTCCTTCTGCTCATTCTCCAAAAAGTCTTGATCCTACCGACTTCTAATCTGTCTGTGTCAAAACTAAAATCCTCTTTTGGCTACTTGAATATTATTCTTTACTGGACCCCAGATCTTACTCTTCAGTTCAGTTGAGCTATAGTAAAATTTCTGGCTTTTTTTTTTTTTTTTTTCTTCATAAAGCAAGAGTCTACTCCTACTGAGATTCTAAATAAACCTTTTTCTCTTTTAGAAAAATTACCTTCCTCCTACCTAGAAAACTGAGTTTTTAAAATTTCTTTGTTCTTGAAACAAAGAGCTATTTTCTCTCTTAAAGGAAACAGAAAGACTTTGTTGCTAATTCATTAACAAGCAACTCTTAACAATTAAGCTATAGACATTTAACAAGTTACACACAGACCTCAGCCTAACAGATCATGTACTCTGGAATATTTAGTAGGAGGGTGAGTCACCTCAGACATAATACAAAGTTTATATTATTCAGTTATGACAATAATTGTTCCTAATTATCTCAGGTTTCAAAAAACTTCAAATCTATGTACAGAGAACAAAGTCGCATAAAATTAGACATGGGTAGGTTATTTGTACTTAATGTTGCTCCAAATGAATAATGAAACTGTTTTCTTCTTCCAATATGTTTAGTCAAGTGAGAGCTCGTATTCTAATACAGACTTCTGAACTAAATCATTATTTAGAATGTTTCATTAAAAATCCTCTGATCTGAAACATTGAGTGAGTATGTAAATGCGACAGGAAAAACAGGGTAATAGGAACAGGAGCCTTGCCGGGCTCCTAAATCTCTTCCTCCCCGTCTCTGAGCATTTATTTCTCTTTGGGGCTGTCACTATGTGGTCAGTAAAGATAATCATTTGAAATTTCAAATATCCATCGAAGACGCCATAGAAGAGACTGAAGAAATAATAGGACCGCATTAATTTGATTTTATAGAGCAGCATTTTATGCAGCGGAGGTTCCCGTGAAACACCGTATATTTATATGTATTTGGTAATTCAAATCATGTGTCAGATTTTGTTAAAGTGAGGACATACATCCACAGGAATGCCGGTGGGTTTTAGGCGAAAAGGCACTATTCTGTGATTTCTAGTACTAGTACTTTTATTTTTCAAAATTTAGCAAAAACCCACTGGCTTAATTCTGACTTGGTCCCAACCTTGAGAACATAGGATTCAAATGAGTACAGAATTGTCTCAGAGACGTGATTAAGTCCTTTTCATATCCATTACATTTTGGACTATAGATCTGTCAGAGCACCTCCCAAACACTGATAAATATCACAACCTCCTTCAGGAACTATAAACTGTATTCTGGTTTCAGAAGAGAAAACCAAAACCTTTTGAGTTATATCCATGTACAGTCTACCCAGAGAAAACAACCCATTGCTCTGCCTATACAAATGAGTAATTTGACTAATTTTCCCCCCTGACTTGGCAGAATCTTTTATTGAACTGATTGAAATGACCAGATGTTTTGGCAGCTTCTGTAGACATAATCTAAGCAACTCGATAATTGACTTAAGTAAACGTATCAGGATGTGGACTGGCAATAGAATTGGGGATTCTCTTCTGTGATGACTTCAAATTCAATTTTAAAAGGCAGGCTGCTTGTGTAATTGAAACGCAGAGAAATTGGCACCATATCATTCATTTACTTTAGTAATTTATAGCCTCTTTAGATCCAAGCATCCTAGCAACTTCGGAAAGTAATGAAGGAAATGCCACAGCATTAGAGATCTATAAAAACTGTCCTCGTGGCTGTCTGCTCAAAGTGAGGTAAAATATTTATCTACGTAAAAATCCCCAAATGGAAAAACTTGAGCAAATATTCACTTGACTCAGATTATCATTTTCTTGATGACATTTTGCATTTTCTTAAGTTTTTGAGTGTTTTGCCTAAGAATATTCAATACCAGAATTTTCCATATCATTTTTTGTTTCTCTATTTTGCTTCTAGCATATTTGCTGTGTTATTATAATTTCTGCTGATATAAAAACATTCTTTATAAATAGCTCACAGAGATCAATTTTCTCTTAAAAGCCTACAATTGTAAGAAATATTTCAAGTTGTGGAATATTTCTTAGAAAGGGAAACAGTCTACTTTTCTTTGCACACATGAAAGCCTGCTAACCATGGCTGAGCACAAGACAGAAAGATACTACAAATGTGAAACCTCAGGCTGGACGGCTCCCTCAGCTCTCTTTTCTTTTTTTCCCCCTATGAGACTGAGGATTCCTCTTGAATTTGTTTAATAAACACGATTTTCAAGTGTCTTTCTTTTCCCTTTTTATCACTTCCTTTTGCCCTCTCTTCATTCTTTTTTTTTTTTTTTAAAAGAAGAAGAAGAAAGAAAAGTTATGAAGTATGCACAGGGCGTATATGTGCAGGCATACAGAGAGAGACACACACACTCATATACACACATGTGTCTACACTTTGACCTAAGTAGATGATTAGCACCTGTGTCCAGGAGTTTGTACAAACTTCCTCCTTCTTAAGGGCTTGGAGTGCAGAGACCATTATGTTCTCTGATTGGCATATTGCACCCAGTGTTCTTTGTAAATATTGTTTTGTATCAGCATAGTAACAATTATGCCAGCAGATTTCATTAATCATCCAAAGCTCTCTTTGAGTGTTGTTTTTCCTTCATGTGTTCAGAAGGCAGACTGGCTCTGCAAGTCTTTCCCTGTGCTGCCTGACATGGGAGCCTTCTTGTCCTTGATAACAGTCAATGCTAATGACTGACTGACCGCTTGTTCACTTTGAAATCCTGTCTTGCCGGGTGAGGGAAGGCTACAGAGAAACAAAACCTAACCAAGGACTGCTTGAGGCCAAGGACAGAATGAAAATGCTTTATGAGATGATTTAATGTGCTGTCACCCAGTGGGTGCAGGATCATGGCATTTTTTGGCAGACAGAAAACATCAGCACTACAAATGACCCAGTCCCCTGTGAAGTGCTGGTTAGACTAATCGACACCTGCAAATGTGCTGAGTCTGTGGCTGTGGGGCCAGATGTTAAATAGCACTTAGGGACTCTCACGGCCAGGGCCATTTCCTTCAGTTAACCATAGTCCTACCCTCCTACTCCTGACCCTCTCACTATTTCTTGGTTGATCCTGCATTTTGAACATGGAACCAAACCCAGCCTCACACACTTAAGTATCAGCAGAAGCTGGTTTTGGTACTTTTTAAAATGCAGTTTTATTTTGTCATGGTTTCTGATAGCAAATTGCTTATTTTATTGAAAAAGTAAAGGTGGTGAGGAGACTGGCATTTCATAAGTTAGTGTCCTGTACACAATCTCCCGTGAAATCCTCCAGCAAACCCTGAGTTGGCTGTCATTATCCACATGACATGGTTGAGGACTAGAGGTCAGGGAAGTTACCAAGGGAATGTGCTAGGAATAGAACCCAGGTTTGCCTGACTCAAAAGTTCTTTCCTGTTACCCCAGGCAGCCAGGACGCTGTTCGGTTGTGTTTTTATAAAAGTGCTGTTTCTCTCTTGTGGCAGCTTTCTCATTAGTGAAAGGATATCAGGTGGAAAAAAAAAGTCAAAACCAATGATGCCCCAAACATTCATATTTATTTTCACAATATCATGAGAAACTTAGGAGAGATTAACTTTTATTTTCCTGGCCATAACTGTTGGAATAGTATAAAGACATGGAGTATTAGCAGAAATATGGCTGTTTGATGTCAGGATAGCACAAATTTAAAAGGGAGATACTCAGCAAATTTTAATCTGTATACCAAGCTTCTAATAATTTGGAAACATCTGAATGATTTATTGCATTTTTGTTCTTTGTGCAGATGTTTGGTGCTCTGTAGAAACAGCCATTGCCTTTTTTTTTTCTCTCAATTTAGACTTTTTCTCCAGAAAGATGTTTTGAGAAAGGATAGAAAGATCTATTCATTCCTTTCTTCGCCGGGCGCAGGGGCTCACGCCTGTAATCCCAGCACTTTCGGAGGCCGAGGTGGGCCGATCACTAGGTCAGGAGTTTGAGACCAGCCTGTCCAACATGGTGAAACCCCATCTCTACTAAAAATACAAAAATTAGCCAGGCACGGTGGTGCACACCTGTAATCCCAGCTACTCAGGAGGCTGAGGGAGGAGAATCGCTTGAACCCAGGAGACGGAGGTTGCAGTGAGCCGAGATTGTGCCACTGCACTCCAGCCTGGGCAACAGAGTGAGACTGGGTCTAAAAAAAAAAGAAAGAAAGATCTATTCAGTCCTTTCCAAGCCCATTTGTCAAGTGAATCGCATTTGTGCTTTCTCTTAAAAAGATGGTTTATAGTGTATGAGAGCAGTTTTTGTAAATTAATATCATCATTAAAAACAAGCTGGCCTCCATGTATACCTCCTTTAAGTTGTTATTTGAGGCTGCTGTGCTGAGCTCCACAACAGCAGTTTTGGCATGGCCCTGGGGCCCAGGGGAATATTAACTTACAAGGCTTTCCCTATTTTGCTTTTACTTGTCTGAAACTATTTCAAAACGTAGCGACTGAAATACAAGTTGTTAAGTACACTTTACTAGACTTTAAGAAGTATTTTACCTCCTCTCTACTCTTTGGAGAAAAGATGGTTGGGGAGTGAATTAGTGTACTTATAAGACATGTCCTGGCTGCTTCTGAATATCTATATCTATCGACACATAGCCCAAAATTACACAAGGAGAGTTAAATTAAAAGTCAAGCCAAGATCATCTACACTTAGATCCTAGAAGCAACTTAAGTGTCACCCTAGGATTTTTAAAAACCATTTTGTTTTATTAAACTTCGTGAGTTCTAACCAAGTGGAGATGCCTTGTGTGAGTTGAAATGTTAAAGAGGAAATTCTTTGGTTTCCAGTTGACAGAAAGCAAAGCAACCAAATCTAGAGTTTCCAGTCCTAACTTGGCAAAGATGTCCCTGTCCCCTTCTCTCTGGTTGGGCTGTGTCCCTAGGAATCAGGTGCTAGAATGGGGGTGTGAGTGTGAGGGGCTGGGGGTTTGGAGCTTCCCCTGAAGCTCCATGGAGGGTGTGAATTTTTATCCTTTCCATGTCTGCCTATGTGTGGCTCAGGGCATACCCGCCTGTTCCTCCGTGTGTGGTGTGTCCCCACTCCTCCACCCCAGGGTGCAGGAGCAGACGCTGCCTGGGTACAGTCACAGGAGGCTGGGAAGTGTCTGTAGGTCTCCAGCAGCTGGAAAAGGTTTGAGTCCTGTTGGCAGATGTTTGCTGTTCCAGCCACTTCATTAATGTTGGAAACAAAACCCCTCACTATTCTGACCAAAGCCCCACTTCATGATTGACAGCTGGGGTGTGCTTCCTCCCACAGAAGCCCTTTACAGTCTGAAAGCAGGAAAGAGTGAGTGGGAAAAAGAAAAGGGAGATGGGGGGCAAAAAGGGAATTGGGCTAGATGCCATTGCTAAACACCCGAAATGAGAGAGGCTCATTTAAAGAGAAAGACAAACTGAGTACAACTAATTAAGATTTGATGTCCCATCTAACATATTATTTTCCCATTCATTCATTTATTCATGACTCATTTACTGAGAACCCACTGTGTGCTTTATGGGTATTGGTGATACAAATGAATAATATAACATAGGGCGTAGGCCCACCTGGTCATTGTCCAGTGAGTGAAATAAACATGCAAAAGACAATACAGTATAGGATATGCCACCACAGAAGTAGGAATCGGCAGCCTTGGGGAGTGGGGAGACACTTCACAAAGGAGGTGACATTTGAGATAAGTCTCTAGGTTTTGGGGCAGAGAAGGAGGGGATAGGATGTAAAGGGCATTCCAGTGAAAGGGAACAAACTTGTATAAAGGCATGGATTATGAAAGCCCATCCTTGTGAAGTAGGTTTTGTGGTCACCATTTACAAATGAAAAAACTGAGGCTCAGCTTAGGGAGCAAAAGAGAGCGCAAGGCTCTAGACTCCAAGATCGGGCATCTCTCCCTCTCCACTGCACAGGGGACTTGTGCCCGCAGACCCCTTCTGAGATTTCTTGCCTCTGTAGCGCGAAATAGAAAAGATGGAAAATCCAAGGAGGTGAATTGGAATTTTTACTTCTTCACCTATTAAAACACTGCAGATTTCAAATCAAAGAACTCGTCTGCGGGAGTGTCTGGATTTTGTGAGTTTTGTGCCTGTGGCCGAGTGGAAGCGGAGAGGAGTGAGAGCGCTGGGCGACGCGGCCAGCCAAGGCGAGGCCGGTCCCTCCCGGGCTTGGGCTCTGTCCCTGCGCGTGAGCCGCCTGCAGCCTTCCGAGGGGCAGCACCGCGACCAGGAACACGCGAACGCGAGTCCAGACCCGGGTTTGGAAAAAGGGAAGAAGGAGAGGAGGAGAAGGGAAGTTAAAAAGAGAGAGAGAAAACAAGGATGAACGATGGGGAGAAGGGAGGGCAGAAGAGAGAAAACAGAAGCGGGAAATTCGACAGAGGAGGAGAGGCCCAAAGGGCGGGGAGCAATGCGGGGAAGGGAGAAGTGGGAGGGAAGAAGAGGAGAGGAGTCAGTGGCGGTGGAAGGAAGGGGAAGAACCAGAGAGAAGAAAAGAGGTTAAGGAAAAGAAGAGCAATGCAAAGTCGGGGCCCCGAATAGTGCCGCATTCTGTGGGCACACGCCGGGCAGATAGAAAGTATAGACGCGACGCGCTCGGCCCCTCGTCGGGCGTCGGGTCCTGGTGCTGTCGCTCAGGTGCTGGTCCCCAGCTCCAAGCCCGCCTCGTAGTCGGCGCTGCGGGTGAGATCGCCCGCAAGCACTCAGTTTACTGGCGGCTGCCTACCAGCGGCTCACTTTCCTCGGGGCGCCTAAAGCTCCCCGCCCGGCATTGCCCCGGGAGCGAACGCTGAGCCCCTGGGACCCAGCCCCGACTCGGCGCAGCGGTTTCCCTCTCGGCTTGCGCCCGGGAGAACCCCCTCCGTCGTGGCGTCGGACGGCGATGCCAGGGCTGAGCGGTGAGCTGTCCCGGGTCCCGCGCTTTGACCGCGGACCAGCCTCAGGGTCCCGCCGCGGAAGCAGGGGGCGCGCCTGGGGCCAGCCTGTAGACCCCAGAGTCCGGCGGCAGGACCCCCGGCGCCACCCGGACACCTGGCAGCAGTTCTCGCCTGCCCTGCAGCCGCCTCTGCATGGAGAAAGAGAATGAAAGAAAACAATTCTAGATGGAGAGGAGGGGAGGGGAGGCCAGTTTGCAAATACTTCGGGAATGAAGTTCCTCAAAGACGCGTTGCGGGCCTTGTCTAATGCTAGGCTGTGACTTGGCCTCTTAACATCTATTTTCTCACGCCTGTAATCCCAGCACTTTGGGAGGCGAAGCGGGTGAATCACGAGGTCAGGAGTTCAAGACCAGCCTGGCCAAGATGGTGAAACCTGGTCTCTACTAAAAAATACAAAAGTTAGCCGGGCGCGGTGACAGGCGCCTGTAATCCCAGCTTCTCGGGAGACTGAGGCAGGAGAATCGCTTGAACCTGGGGGGCAGAGGTTGCAATGAGGCGAGATCACGCCACTGCACTCCAGCCTGGGCGACAGAGTGAGGCTCGGTCTCAAAAAAAAAAGAAAAAATCTATTTTCTCTAACAGCCTAATGATTAGTCCTCTGGGCGTGTCCCTCCCTCCTAGTTTAATCACCGGCCCAGGCGCCCTCATTTACTTGCTTCCGCGGCCACCAGGGCCCCCTGGGCAAGCAGCTCCGCAGAGAGCCCGCCGGCACTCGCGGACGCTTCTAGGCTGGGAGCGGGGAGGAAATGTCACCGGCCCCAAACTCGGCCCTAGGGAAGGCCATCCGCGTCTATACTTCTCAGTGTCCCTGTCGTGCGTTTTCCTTCCAACCCCATGCACACTCATTCCAACATAAAGTCGTGGAAACGGGCGTGCACTGGGCTGTTCCCGCCGAACACCGGGCGCGACTCAGGCTGCCGGAGGCTTCCCGGGCGCGGAGGCTCGGCGGGGTCCCCTTTACGCAGCAATTCCAATGAACAACTAAAGTCCGTACAGATTTTGATTGGAACAGACCCTAAGACTAAGAGCCTGGAAAGAAAAAGGCAAATCACCCAATAAACGCCTGTCTTCGCGACTCTCTAACCCGGTCGTATCGCGAGGGATCCGGATATTGAAAGCCCCTTTGCCGGAAGACTCGGGCGCTGGGAGAAGCCCGCATGGGACAGGCTGCCCCAGTGCCCGCCGGCTCCCTAGAATCGTGCAGCTCTGACCCTTTCCAACGAGGAAAAAATGTTTTTATAAACAATGTTTTAAAAAAAACCGCACACTTTTTTAAAAAGTCAGAATCTCGCTCTTGTCGCCCAGGCTGGAGTGCAGTGACGAGATCCCGGCTCACTGCAGCCGCGAACTCCTGGGCTCAAGATTTCCTCCTGCCTAAACCTCTCCAATAGCTGGGACTACAGGTTTCCTCTTGCCTCAACCTCTCCAGTAGCTGGGACTACAGGCGTGCACCACCATGCCTGTTTTTAATTTTTCTTTTGTAAAGACAGGGTCTCCCTATATTGACCAGGCTGGTCTCGAACCTCTGACCTCAAGCTATCGTCTCACGTCGGCCTCCCAAATGTTGGGATTACAGGCTTGAGCCACCGCGCCCGGCGATAACTCACACTTTTATTAGTTTTTCTTTTCTTATCTTTTTTTTTTTCTCAGTTTTTTATGAGGGTAACGGACGGGGCCAGGGTCATTTATGATTTGGGATCTTGGGGCAGTCAAGTTTGCAACTTCAGCTCAAAAGTCTTACGCTCGGAGCGCGCAGGCTCAGCGCGGGCTGCGAGACTGCGAGTGGAGGGCTTGGGAAGCCGCGGTCTTCGGGAAACCGTCCACGCGGGGAAGGAGAAAGGCACGGTGGGTCCTCGGGGGCACTGGCTCTGTGGCCCGAAGTCCCGGGAGCCTAGTGAGGACTAGACTTCTTTCTAGTAAGAGACCTGAACGTGCCCTCCCGCTGGGCTGCGGACACTGGGAGCCGGGCCGGCGGGTGGCAGGACAGGCAGTAAGGTGCTCATGGGGAACACTGCCCCGGGGAGCTACCGGCCTGGGCCTTGGCCGCGGGCTGGGGCGGTGCGCGCTCCCCGCACCGCGCGCACACTCCTGCACACACACCTGGAGCGCGTCCCGGGGGGGAGGGGGAGGAGAGCCAAAACGAGCGTCTTAAAATAGAGAGCCAGGCAGAGGAGCGCGAGACACCAGAGCGGGAGGCAGCGACTGAGAGCCGCCGGGCACTAGGCGCGCAGGTCGGCGCCGGAGTGGCACGGGCGGGCGGGGGCGGGGTGGGCGCGGACGCCCCTCAGCACACACTCCGCACCCGGCCCTGCAGGAAGCTCGCGCTGATTGACAGCTGCGTTGTCCCAAAAAGGCTCAGCGAAGATGCTGATCTGCGGGTGGGTCTAGACGCGCGGCAGGCGCGCCCGCTACCCGCTCTCCTCCGCGCGCCACCCGAGCCCCGCCGCCTCCCCAGCTGCCGGGAGCGGGGCCCAGGCCCCGCCGTCGCGCCAGCCCCGCGGCCCCAGCGGGCCGGGCACTCGCAGCCGCGCTCGGGCCGGCGGACGCTCGCGCCGGCTCACCATGCACTGCCACGCCGAGCTGAGGCTGAGCTCGCCCGGCCAGCTCAAAGCAGCCAGGCGGCGCTACAAGACTTTCATGATCGACGAGATCCTCTCCAAGGAGACCTGCGATTACTTTGAGAAACTTTCCCTCTACTCCGTGTGCCCGTCGCTGGTCGTGCGACCCAAGCCCCTGCATTCCTGTACGGGTAAGACGCTCCGCTAGGGGATAAGTGGGGTTCGGTAGCTTTCACGTCCGTGTAGGTGGCCTGTGCTTTGCGATCCGAGGGCGAGAGGAAGGGTTAAGTTAAGGGATTCTTTTCCTGCGCCTCAGCAAGCGGTGGGCATTGCAAAGGCATCTGCGACGTGGCCGGGAAGGACCACGCAAGGTGTGGATGGCACGAGTGGAAATAAAGGCGGCAGGGCCTTAGGAGTGGGCTGCTCGCGCAACGCCTGATTGTCCTGCTCGGAGGAGAACGCTTCCTCGTTTCCTGCTGAAAGTTCAAACACTTGAGCAGGTTCAGCGTCTAAATCGTTGTTTCAGGAAGTGGTGGTGTGTGTGAATTTCAAACTTGAGCTTGGCGGCCTTGCATCTCACCTTGAGTTAACTTGTCCAGCCTCCTACTGTCTCCACTGTGAATTTTGCAAGTAAATCAGTATCCTGAGGTTCTCAACAAAATCTCGAATTCACTGAGCTTTGCTTACAATGATCGCCCTCTGAGAAAGTAGTTCTGAAGTACATTGTCTTTGTGGCACAAGCCGAAAAGGTCACCCTCGTTTGTCTTAAGTCAAGCCGAAAAGGTCACCCTCGTTTGTCTTAAGTGACCAAAACCAGCAATGGTAACAATGAAAACATTACTCACACCTGGTTTTCTCTCTTCACGGGAGGTAAGAGCAATAGTAAAGATAAAGAGAACTTAATACATATATTGAAAACGTAGTAGAGTTTCTATCGAAAATAAATCCAAGGTACTTTTAAAATTTTGAATGCATTAAGAGAAGATCCAAGTTTCAAAGTATCTCGGCATTGTTAGGATTTAGGTTATGGAACATGGGTATAATAAAACGAAAAAGAAGTAGGAGCACTTTTTATCAGAAAAAAGTTATTGAGTGTGCTTTCCATTAAAGGTAAGCATAAAGTATTTCCAAACCAAAAGAACCTTTGAGATTGTTAGTTGCATGAGAGGCATGAGATAAATTAAATTACACTTAAAATGAAAAAATGAAGGGCCAACAGTTTTGGAAGATATTTTTTGGAACATTTGAGTTGTTAATGCTCAATGCGTGGAATCCTGTATTTTCTCTTGGTTCCATTGATAGTCCCTATATGACAATCAGTAAACATATGATAAATACATACAGTGAAGTTCTTTTAAAACCAAATTGTTCCTACATGTATTTGGTTGTAAAATGTATACTGTATTCAGTTATGCCTTTTTAAAGTTAATTTGTCTGTAAGGTAGAATTAGGCCTGATGTCCCATAACAAGCCTTGTAATACTGAATTTTTAAAACCAAGAAATATATGAAACAAGGAACAAATAAGAAATTTTAGAAACAAGATAGATCTCCTGAGAACTGATATTTTTACATTTGTGTATAGGTGGTTGTGGACCCTTGGACACATACATACTGAATAGGGGTGATAAGTTGAATATTGTTTTGAGCACAAATCATCCTTTGTTATAATAACTCAATTCCCTTCGAGGAAAAAGAGAGGATCTGTTTCAGTCATTAACATTGCGTATGGGACATTCCCAGGACAAAACAGAACAACTTCTAAGCACCTAGGTAGAGCCTAGTGCCGGCAGAATTTTCAGTGACTTTGTGCTGTGTTGACTTGAAGGCAGCTTTTCCTGGCTTATAGGAGTCACAGAATTGGATCATAGAAGAAAACGTGGCAGAAGAGGAGTAATAAATAGCTGCAGAGAATAGTCATTCAGTCAGAGGTGGCTGAGTAAGTGTCGTGTTTTATTGAACCTTGTGTGGGAAATAAATCAGAGGAAAAAAAAATGATTCATATGTAGTTTTGTGAGTGTTATAAGTGAAATGCACGTATTTCACAGACTTAAGTGTTGCTCAGTCTTGTGCTTTTCGAAGTTCACTGATGGTTCGTGGTAGAGGGTGGCTGTTGGCAATGGTTTTCTGGCTCCGTTATTCCAGTACTTTCTTCTTTCGGATTGTTAGTTGAAAATGTGTCGTTATTTTGCTCTAGTTGAGAATTAAAATATAGAAACTGGGATTTGCTGGTGGAATTAAACCCATAAAAACTGGCTACAATAGTTCATACTTTCAGATCATAAGCCTTCAGTGGGTTTACAGTTACAGTTAAAGCCTTACATGTATTAGATCATGGGAATCCCATTAGTGTCTTCTCAGGGGTTTTGCAAATACCATACTTTCAAAGCATTTTTGTTTTTAACAGTTAAGGTCAGGACAAAAATCTTTGATTAGATGAATGTAATCTTTTTTCTTATTAATTAAAAACAACAACAATAAGTTGCTGGCATCCCAAAGGACACTGTAATTTTCTTCTTTTCTTTTCTTTTTCTTTTTTTTTTTTTTTTTTTTGCTAGATGGAACTAAATGTTGAGCACTGGTGGTGGAAGCAATGCATAAAAAGTTCAAGTGAAAGGCATACATTGGAATTAAAGTTACTGAACTTTCTCAGCCTTTCATTTGCTGATTTAAGATTTAAAGACGTGTAACAGAAGTGAACTGTGTCAGGTAAAATAATGAAAACTAAGAGAAAAAAAAGGCCTCAAAATTAAAAAGTTACCAGCATGTACAATAAGTGCATAAAATTGGGATGGAAAGAAAACTACAGCATTAAAAAAAAAAAAAACACTGCATAATGAAACAGTTCATGCTCTGTGGATTTAGTAACCTAAAGGTCAATTTATGGTACCAAATATCAGGCAGAATAGCATGTATTCAAGCAAACTGAGAAATGGGAATAGTTTTCATCTCAGGCAGATAATCACCTGACAGGAATTTATTGTTCGACATTCTAGCCTTGATGGAATCCTCACCTTCCAAAAATTGTTGTTTAACAGACGCTTTCTTATTATAAACACAATAATTTTAGTCTTGGAAAGATGTCTCTAAATTTCTCTCGGTTTCCTAGTACGTCTCGTAAATCATCCTAATAGACACTGCAAAAGGGAATCCTTTCCCTGTAAGCCTCACCACAGAACGGTTTATCATCACATTTAAACTAAAATTTAAACAGCTAAGCCCAAAAGAATGCCTCCATTTGAAAAGAGTTGTGTCATTCAGGCCATTGGTGAGGGGTGGAATATGCTTAGAATTAAGTTAGTATATAAAAAGTTGGTTTTATTCTTAAATCTGTAAACAGTAATCCCTACTCAGAAGGCAGTGTAATGCCATTTAGAAATCAGCGATGAGCTCTCCAACTTCAGAGCATTGACCGTCATTACAAAGGCCAAAAGAGAGGTGCATTTTAGGATATCATAAATACACTTCATTTAGGATGCTTTATTTTCTTTTTCCGGTTGTGATTAATGTTTCTTGGTGGAAAAGCCCACTTGAAGAAAGCTGGTTTCTTGGGGTAGAATAGTTTGTGGAAGCATCGGCGTGGTCATTTTTGAAGCCTCTGCCTTTCTGTCTGATCTTTAGAATCAGGCAGTTTCTAAATTTGAGGCGTGTTGAGAAAAAATGGATAACTTGCTTCACAAAAATAAGGATTGTTACAATTACCCTAAGGGTTTTCACATGAAGATACTGATAAATGAACCTATGGTACTAATTACTTTTATTACAATTTTTTCTACTTAGAACCTAGAATTACCTTACATTTACACATGCACATTTGTGGGGAGGTGAGTGTAGATACTTGGACATTTTACAGCCTGCGAATAGGATGAGACTTTTAATTATTCCACTAACCTATAATCTAATTCTTTTCCCCTTCTCTGGCAGAATGGGTCTGTTGAATCTCTTACCTGTCTGATCTTTGGTGGTTAGACCTACAGAGCTGGAGAGGCTCATAAAATCATAGATCAATATCCTCAAGCAGAAGGTATTTTTTGCAAAGTGCCAGGGTCACGTCAGTGCTTCGTTATAGTTTCAGTCCACTGTATGCCACTCTCCTCCTTGTCATAGTACTCAGAAATCAGGAAGACTTTTCCAACTTGGTTACACACCCGGGACTAACCCGTGCAGTCACACCCAGGGGACAGTCAACCAGCCAGTTAGAAGGGACATTTGGGGAAGGGTGTTTATCTTTTAGGAGGTGGCATCAAGAACATTTTATCCTGTGGTGGATCCAAGAGAAGCAAGTCCTTTGGGGTAGTGTCCTTGGGTGCGTTTTTATCACAAACATTGGGTGTCATCCCAGCAAAAAATTAAATGCGGTGCAGGTATGTATAGTGTCTCGTTTGGGAGTTAGGGAGCTGGCTAGTGCTTCATGGAGTTAGCTCTGGTGACTCTCCAAATCTCAGCTTGGTCTTTTTCAGTCAGAGACCCAAACTCATAGGATCTTAGGAACCTGAGAGTTGGATACTGGAATGTTAATGGAGAAACATAAACCAAGGTCTGGGAAAAATGATCGTTATCAACAAGCATTTGTATTTCTGCCAGAGGCACATAGGCTTTTAGTAGCAATTACTCATAACTGCTTCTCCTGTTCCCATTGTAAGGGTAAATAAATAGAGGGATGCACGGGATCTGGGACTCATCCAGGGTCAGTATATATTTGGAACTGAGCTCTTTTGGGATCCTTAACTGTTATCTCACTACTCTTTTGCTAGAGATACCAAGGGATTCCTTAGGAGTCAGTTTTTTTTTTTTTTCTTCCAATAGCGGGATCTTGGCTCACTGCAACCTCCACCTTCTGGGTTCAAATGATTCTCCTGCCTCAGCCTCCTGAGTAGCTGGGATTACAGGCGCCCATGACCACACCCAGCTAATTTTTGTATTTTTAGTAGAGACAGGGTTTCACCATGTTGGCCAGGCTGGTCTCGAACTCCTAATCTCGTGATCCACCCGCCTCGGCCTCCCAAAGTGCTGGGATTATAGGCATGAGCCATCGCGCCCGCTGTGAAGTCGGTTTTAACTCATGAATAGTTCATTAGCGGTGTCTTCTCTGGCTCTGATTTTTCTCAAAGCAAATGAAAAAACGATTAGAAATTTCGTTCACGGGTTGAAATGCCCCTCCAAATGTCCACTGTTCACTATCATTTAATTCAGTAATTTCATGCAACAAATATTTATATTTGCTTGGTGATGGCATTGTCATTGAGTCTATTATTTTGAAACTTAATCTAACTGTTGACTAGCAGTTAGGGTGTTTAAAAAATCCCTCTCAACTACTTGTAGAACCATTGCTAAGCCCTTCTTTGTTTGTTTTGTTTTGTTTTGTTTGTTTGTTTGTTGTTGTTTTTTCCTAGTGTATGTGAGAGGCAGCTCGGAATTGGGATAGGGGAACATCTAATACTTTTGCTTACTATGTGGAATTTTCTCTTTGAACTCTACCTACAGGGTGTTATCACCAGCAAAACTGTCAAATCAACTTTGCTACATACAACTCAAATGAAACTCTATTATGAGGCTGATTTCCTACAGATATGTTTGTTTTTTGCTGGTTGTATTTCTGGATCCAAGACTGAATTTGTGATAGAAACATGGATAGTATAAAGTTGTTAGTTTTAGCATATCCTAGAAATCAGAGTGGAAAGATTAAATGTAACATATCCCAAAAATCTATATGAAAAGGAGTTAGGATTGCAAAGGATTATTTTATTTATAAAGAGAGATTGAAAGGAAAAAAAAGAAGGGAAGAAGGAAAGTAAGAGTGGGTTTCTTTGAAATTCTTGAGGCTGCACAGATTCAGCCTCATAGCACAGCATTCCTCCGAAGGGCTGTACAGGCAAAACAAAGCTGGCTTGTGAAATTCTGTCGCTCCATGGGTACTAAATGGCTAAAGTTGATTCTACTTAGACGCGTGCTGGGGCCTCTTCAAGGTTGAGATCCAGAGCTTAAGCTCTGCACAGCATTTAGCCTTCGCTCTGGAAGACTGAGTAAATGTTAAACCAGAAGCAATTTTAGGTGTTATTTGCACTTTGTTTTGAGGTCAGGTAGGAGGAGCAGCAGAGATGCAAAGGTAGGTACGTCACATGGGCTGAGGCCTCTTCATTTGTTTTTGTTTTTGTTTTATTTTTTTGAAACAGGATCTTGGTCTGTTGCCCAGGCTGGAGTGCAGTGGGGCGATCTTGGCTCACTGCAACCTCTGCTTCCCGGGTTCAAGCGATCCTCCCACCTCAGCCTCCCTAGTAGCTGGGACTACAGACATGTGCCACCATGCCTGGCTAATTTTTGTATTTTTAGTAGAGACGGGGTTTCACCATGTTGGACAGGCTGGTCTCGAACTTCTGACCTCAGGTGATCTGCCCGCTTTGGCCTCCTGAAGTGCTGGGATTACAGGCGTGAGCCACTGCACCCAGCCGAGGCCTCTTAATTTGTACTGAGCTCGTGAACGTGCATGCTATGGAGCCTGAGGGTCTTCCTTGCCACACGTCCTGCCCACGACTGTAGTTAGCAGACTAGAGTTGGTGGGTCTATGGCTAAGCCCATTGACAAGCTCTCAGCTGGAATATGGTTAGAGGGCTGCAAGGACTCAGGTGGGATGCATAAATTAACACCTCATTTTGCATCTTCTGTTGGGGATGCAGTTCTGTTTTACACTCCAGTCTTGTGGAATGGGTGTTTCTAGTGTGGCTCTAGGGACGCACTCACAGCTGGATTAACCACCTTTTCCCCGAGAACTTGCTAAAGCCCACAGGTGCTCAAAGGATGGGCAAAAGACCACTGTGCTGCAGGTGGCACCCTCTCTTGGAAGCAGCATGACGACGAGAAGAAGAGAAGCATTGAGGGCATTCGTGCAAAGACTGCAAGCGTGGAGAAGCACCTTGGGCCTGCCTGTCGGTGCCTGCCTCCATTTTAGCTGCCTGAGAGGATGGAACGGTAGTTTCTTTCCACAGCACAGATGGCAAAATCAGAATTCACGTTAGGATTTATTAGTAACGGGAGTCAGACCAGGACTTTGTACAAACTTGGTGGCATTCACAAATACTCTCCAGGAAGAGAGGTGTTTTGTTTGTTTGTTTTTTAACCAGAAAACCTTTGCAAACCCTCAGGATTTAATTTATTTTTATTACAGCTTAGTAACAGTTAGAAGAAGGAAAGTCTTGTTAAAATAAATGCTCTAAATAAAAACACAGTTAATTTTCCATTACCATGTCTAATTACTCATCATCACCAGGGCATTTTTATATGGCAATTTAACTTCTTGAAAGTGGAAACTTGGCACACGTTTAAGGAGGAAAGCCATGCACCTAGATAGATATCAGAAGGCGGTATAATTATATTTGGGCTCGAGTTGAATCCTACATATGATTGCTCTGAAGAAGAGAGAAGAGAGGGCCTCTGTCCGTAGTCACTAAGGAGAGACTCTGGTTTCTTGAGTGCCAGTTGAAATTGAATACAGAGGGAGAGAATTCTGAAGATTAGGTGATGTTCAAGTACATCTGAAAAGGGCCCCTGCCAGTCACCAGTTGAAGTTGATTTCAGGGCTAGTTGAGAAGTCTGGAGGGCAGCTCTGTAAGCTTCCTCCTGGCAGAGTGCACACAGATGACACAGCCTTCCTCCATGCACAGGTCAAAAGACGACTGAAGAGAAGCCAAGCTGGGAGGATCTCAGCACCAAACTAACTACGTTCCATGTACAAGCAGACACGCTTGCAGGATTCCTTTTTACCGCGTCTTTCCAGCTTACCAACATGTCCTTAGGAACATATTCTTCTGGGTATTGAGGAAAGATGAGTATTTTCTGTTTTTTGTTTTTTTGTTTGTTTGTTTTTGAGACAGAGTCTCGCTCTGTCACTGAGGCTGGAGTGTAATGGTGCAATCTCGGCTCACTGCAGGCTCTGCCTCCTGGGTTCAAGTGATTCTCCTGCCGCACCCTACCAAGTAGCTGGGATTACAGGCGTCTGCCACCATGCCCGGCTAATTTTTGTATTTTTAGTAGAGATGGAGTTTCACCATGTTGGCCAGGCTGGTCTCAAATTCCCAACCTTGTGATCCACCTGCCTCGGCCTCCCAAAGTGCTGGAAGCCACCGCACCCGGCCAGATGAGTATTTTCACAATGTGCATAGAATAGGATTGGCTGCTGCCTAGGTGATGTCAGATCATTTCTGATCTTTTTTTTTTTTTAAAAAACCAACATATGCATTTGGTAAGTGATATGATGCTTATCCTTTGGTTTTTCTTATTCAAGGATTACTTACCATGTGGAGAAATGGAGTGGTCTTGGGCCTGATGAAATTTCATGAAATAGTGGCTATATTTCTGTCCTGGGAAGTACCTGGTACTGGCAAGTCCCTGATATTGATAACCTGCCAACCTCCACTGCCCACCTTTCTTTCCCAGAGTCCTTTTCACTCGGTGAATTAACCATCACTGAGACTCAGGATGATGGGCTTTTCCCAAAAGAGGTCACAGTCTCGTGTGGATTGAAGGAAGTGTAACTTCCATGCTTAGTTTAAGCAATATCTAAGGGAGCTGACTTTGCACATTTCCTAATGGTAACTTATAGACAATGGAATGCTGATATTGCATCTTCTTATCTTGAGGAAATATCATGGGCAAGAAGAGTTGCTGAGACTCCTTTTTCTGAGTCTTACAGTACTTATCCAAGGGGAGCCACAAACTTGAGAGAAATGCTAGAAATACTTTATACCCTAAACCATATTCATAGACAGGGCAATAATAGTAATAGCGACTGTTTAGAAATTACCTAACATGTAATAGGCACTAGACTCAGTGCTTTTTGATCAGCTTCAAAATATCCCTATGAAATAGGTTTATCATCTCCTTTGGTAATGGTGGAATCCTAGAAGCTAAATGACTTTCCTAAAGTCACAAGATATAAAGAGAGCTCTTATGAAGCAATAAGAAAAATGGGCAAAGGCTACAATCAGGCAATTCATAGAAAGGAAGATCTCAATGGCCAGTAAACATGAAAGGATGCTCAACCTCGCTGATAAGTGGGAACACCCGAATTAATATGAGATACCATTTCACACTCACTGGGTAGCCCAAAATGAAAGGACAAAATCGGTTGATGACAAGGAGATGGAGCAACAGGCATTCTCCACACTCCGGCGGGAGTGCTGTATGGTACGATTATTTTGGAGAGCAATTTGGCAACAAATGGCAAAGCTGCAGACGCACATACCCTAGGGCTCAGCAGTTCCACTCCTGGGTATGTGCCTGGAGAAACCAGTGTATGAGTGTAAAAGGATACCTGTAAAAATGTTCACCTGTGTGTTATGTTAGTAAAAAATAAAAAACAATTTAGCTGTCCTTTCAGAAGGAAAAAGGTTAAAATAATATATGCTATATCCATGCAATGAAATTCTATGCAGCAATTAAAATAAATGAACCAGATACACTTGTATTAATATGGATACATTTTAGGAATACAATGTTGAGAAAAAAAGTTGTAGATTGATACTTACTGTCTGATACCATTTATTTAAATGGTTGAAAAGGCACAAACTAATACTACATATTGTTTAGAGAGGCAGGGGCATGGGAGTGGGGAGTGCTAACCACAGGTTTTTATTTTCCTATGTAATTTATTTATTTATTAAGACAAAAAGGCCTAATGTAAATATGGCTAAGTATTACGATGTGAAGAAACTTGGGTCATGGCTACATAGAAGTTAATGACATTATTCTTTGTACTTTTCCATATATCTGAAATTTTTCATAACATGAAGATTGAAAAGTGATAGCACAAGAGACCGCACATGTCCACAGAACTCTTAATCTTGTGGAACTTTTGATCTTTTTCTTAATAGCTTTTCTATCCTGAAACAGTAGCATTTAAATACAGAGCTTGTTGTACATAGTCTCACAGTGGGAAACTGAGAACACTTTATAACTAAACATATGTACAACTCACACTGAAACAACCACTGTGGCTTCTGAAAGTGGCTTTTGGATCTTACTAACCTTGCCTGGCTGATTGAGGGTATTATTTATCACCAAGATAACTGCTGTTTCTCCAGTAATGCTTTGGCATAGAATAAATAGTCTCTGAGTTGGGTACATGCTCTTGAAGGATGACTAGTGAAGTATTTGGTCCCCCAGTCGTGCAAGAGAGAGTTGTCAGGGTTTTTCTGCTTCTTCTTACTGATGTTTAAAATCATTATAAACTGCCTCTGATTGCACCTTGCTTTTATGAGTATTTGTTGATATGACAATATACTACCCTTAGCATTTCACCAGTGGTCCTTTGCTATTGACAGTTTCATTTACAGAAATTATCTAAGGACAGCTGTGATTGAACCAAATAATCTAAAAATGTTAACGTGTAGCTTCTTAGCAGGAAAGAATAATGTTGATATTGGCATGTTATTATCTGTCCAAGTTCTCTTTATAGTCCATAATCATGATCTGATTTTAAAAGTTTGTTCAATATATGGTATTGGGGACTGTTAGAAGGGATGAATGTTACCATGGTGATCTCACAGAGATGTCTGTTACCAGCAATCAGTGGGCATCCTATTGTTTGGAGGAGTAAACCTGGACCACATTTTACTCCCTAATGACAACCATAGTGGCAGAAACTTTATTCAGCCCAACACCAAAGACGTTTTTCTTTTCTCAGCAAAGTAGTCCCAATTTAGAAATGTTGCTATTAGACATTTTGGCAAAAACGTGGCCTTTTGGGAGCTCTATCTTTCTGTGTCCTTCCAAAGGGAAAGTATTAGTGTGGAGGAAACAGTTTGTACAATCAAGAGTTTGCCAAAGCATTTCCCTTCCTGCCACCACTCCTGTCTGCCTAAACAAATACATAGACAAATAAACAAATTAAAGCTCTGGAGGGGGGCCTCACCCCACCCACAGGATCTGTGGCCAGGGTGGCCAGATTTTCTTTGGTGCTAAGCACGAGGACTGTGCCCAAACTGGACGTGATGGAAAGGATGGTGGCTCTATCAGTTTCATTACCAGGGTTCAGACTTTCGCGGGTTACGGGACAAAGTCCTTCTGCATTTTATTATACGCAGATAGTCGCACACTCTGGCTGGGATCAGTTAAACAGACTGACACTTTTGCTTGTGCCTTACTCTTTCGACCTCCTGGAACTCTCCAGTGAAACCTTATTCCTCGTAAAATGAACTAGCCAGGCTTGGGGCTGTCAATATAGGAAACATTATCAAGGAAGATATTCCAAAGAGCTGCCGTGGGACTACATAAGTCAGAAAAAATGCGGAGGACTTCCTCCTGCAACCCAGGGGAGTCTGTTCACTTGCAACAAATCTGACAGATCCACTTTTGAATCCTCTGTCTGGAACTACTTAGGAAAAGACAAGCAAGGATTTAGGATATTTAGGGTAAATTTTAAATGTGTTTCACTGAAAGAGAGAGAGAGGAAGGTGTTTTAATATGGTTCCAATCTAAGACCTTTCTTTTCCATGACTAAACATTTTACTGAAATAATTGGTAAGTTACCCCAGAGGAGATATTTCGGAAAGGTGTTGTTAATATTGTTATCCCTGGATATCATGGTAACTCATTAATGAACCTCAGCACATTAGACAGCTGTGGCTATTGGAAGCATGTTTTCAATCATCAGTTCAGAGCAAGGCATGAAGGAACATCCTATTGGAGTGCTTGCTTTTTTTTCTACTGGGAGATTGGGCCTTTGCTGGTTAGAACAATCAGGGGCTAAACAGCATATTTCATTTCTTAGGGAGGTGCTAAATAGGAGTAACAACAATAATAAATGGCAACCACGTGCCCGGCACTGTGCTAGGTGCTTGTATACATAAATGTGTTCTAGTGAAATAGTTACTATTACCACTGCTTTTCAGGCAGGGAAAGTGAATCTCAAGGAGGTTAAGAAATGGGAACGGGGTCACACGAATAAGTGGCAGGGTTGAGATTGGAACTTGCATCTGTCTCTTTCAATATAGACTCCAGTACTGGATATGATTATATGAAAATGTGTAAATTAGAACATGTCTGTCTCATTACATATAGGCAACATACTGTGTGTGTGTGTGTGTGTGTGTGTAGATATAAAAAATATATATGGTAAGGTCCAATTAATGCATCAGCTCTGTTGGAACTTATTTTGAACCTGCCAACTCTTTTACACATATTTATACTAATTTAATGTGTGCCAGTTCGTCTTTCATTTCCTGTGGTGATTGGGGTTTCTGAATGATTCCAGAGGGATTCCAAGAGGCGGTGGGGTTTTGCGGGGAAGGGAGGTGATTGGGAGATTGCAGACCTGTTACCATCTGGCTGTGTGACTCTCCACTCCTCACTGCCCTGGGGTCTGTGTCCGTGTCTGTGTAGCATTCGCTACCAATCTCTGGGTCACGGTGCTTCCATCAGCTGTCATTCTTTGAATAAAGCTTTCCTAGGGGAATCAAGGGTGGAATTCCTACTCATTCATTCATTATCAACTAGAGAGAAAGTGCTGAACAACTAAAGCCAACCAAATGCCTTGAGAGTTAACACTTCGGATATTTTTCATGGAATACTCATTAGGTTCAGTGAGAAAAAATGTCTGGTCGTTGATTGGCATCACTTAAAAGAACGAGATTATTTTTTCACATTATATCTGGCTGAGCTGGAGTGGATTCTGGGAATCTCTATTTTTAAAAACCTTTCTGTATGATTGCAATGAAAAGTCAACTCTGGGAACCACAATAATGTAGATAACAGCTTAAATATGAGATTGATGTAATTTGCACCCCACGACTCAAATGTATGAAACCATTTAGTGGAGTAATCCTACTGTTGGGGTTTTGAGTCAGACGGTCCTGGGTTTTATTGTATTTTATTGCCTGTGTGACCTTAGGTAAATTACTTAACTTCTATGACACTCAGTTTCCTCATCTGTGAAATGAAGATAATAATAATCACATAATAGGGTTAGTTGTGGAGGTTAAATGAGATAATGTATATAAAGCTCTCAGTATTTTATTGGCTGTGTGACCTTAGGTAAACTTAACTTCTATGACACGTAATTTCCTCATCTGTAAAATGAAGATAATAATAATCACATGATAGGGTTAGTTGTGGAGGTTAAATGAGATAATGTATATAAAACTCCTAGTATAGTTTGTGGTAACAAAGTGCTTAGTATTTGATAGCTTCTATTAAAAATAATTATCTTACAATAGTAACCTCATCACTGAAGTACAACCCTTTAGGGAAAGATTACCATTATTGGTGAATTAAACTTAAGAAAAATTTAAATCTTGAAAAACCCCACTTTACTCCAGGGCATTTTTCTGGGTTACAGCGACACTAGCTGCTTTTAAGACCCCTTGCAACCTGGGTGGTCTGTGAATTGTTTGAGTTCAAGTCTTCATGAATTAGGTATGTTTCATTCCTCCCACTTTTCTGTTTTGTAATATGAATTCAGAATTTTATAAATTCATAAATGAGTGGCACAAACAGGTCAGCGCTACAACATCACAAGATGTGCTTTGTTACTTTATTTTTTTTTTTAACAAGAGTTTCCTAGGATTCATTGCCCCTAGGAAATGTTTCATCACACAGCTGTAAGAGTCTCAAGAACTGTCCTAGAAAAGTGGCAGAATTTCTCAACACGTTTGATTTCTTTTCTTCTTTCAAGAGTAGAGTTAGGGATAGTCTTTTTTTTTTTTGAAAAAAAATGAAACTATTCTTTTTTTCTTATTTTCGAGCACTGAGAGAGGAAAATAACTCCACTGAGATGTTCTTTTCCAATTAGGTAGCATGGAAAATGGTAGCAGTATGACAACTAATCACTTTCCTAGTATATTATTGGGTCTGTGATTCAGAGTGAGTTCCAAATGAAGTGCCTTTGTGACAGCTTTTAAATTACTGGTGGGGCTAGCTTCTGAATGTATTCTAAGTGGTAATGATGGATGGCTGTCACGTGGAGGAACTGCCTGAGGAAGAGTTCCATGTGGATTTTTTTGGGATTGTGTTTCTCAGCTGGTCACTAGTGTCTTATGAAGTTTAGTATCTGCTGGTGAAATACTTTAATTGATGAATCCCCTCCACGGTGTGAGAAGAATTCTCTTGATGAGGAGTTCTCACCTTCTATGGTGCAAAGGCATCGCCAGTGAACAGGGTGATGCCTCTGTCCAGCCATTTATAATGATGATTCCGACAGGCAATCTCTAGTGGCCTCATCCAGGTTCTGTGGTGGGTGGGGGCCAAGTGGGATAAGACAGGTGGATGTGTCATCACCACTGAGACGGAGTGGCATGTATTTATGAAGAGTGAGAAGGCTGACTTTGTCCCCTAGGGTCCTCAGAACCATAGAGTCTGAGTTTTCTGAATTGTTGAAAATAGGACTCAGTCAGAGACATGGATCGTTGGCATCTTGTTGAGAATATTCTATTCAGCCTGTGGATTCAGAAAAACAAAATGCATATGTTTGTGTTCCAGTAGGAGGGGAGTAGGCAGGAATGGGGTGGGAGTGGAAAAGGAATGTTGGCCAATGGGGAAGGGAGAGTGAGGGGTAAGGAAACAAGTTAGTCCACTGAAACAGGGATCCAAATGCTTACTCAGCATTTGTTGTCTCCAAGAGAAAAACAAATTGAAAAATGAGAATGGAAGATTTCATTTGGAAATGGCCCTGTGAGTACGTGCTTATTTTCAGAGGCGTTCCCCATAACTGACAGCAGTCAATGACTTCTGATTGGGCAATGGCCTGGCCAGCCACACAGGTAGCCCAATCATCATATGTATTAATGGTGCATTCAAAAATTTCATCATCCTGGGTCACAAAAGATCATGACGACTGTATTATAATACAATAATGGTATTCATGCAGTGGCGCACAGAAAATTGTGTGTACTTGACGCACAGGCGGTGTGGAAGCAGGATTTAAAGTAGAACTCCTGTCAAAAACCTTTCCTCCAGAGCCTCCACTGCCTCATTCTGTGATGTTTCAATACGTCAGTTTCTGCTGTTGGTAAAACACATCTTACCTCCCCAGTATGTTGGGGAGCAGTGATTGATGAAGGAGGATTAATTTGCTGCTTTTCGGGAGGGACTCCTTGCAGTCTCCAGGGGATTACATGTATTATGGTGTTTCCACAGAAAGCTAGACCAGGGATTGGCTAAATCTGGCCCACTACGAATTGTTCTACTACCACAAGCTAAGGATGGTTTTCACATTCGTAAACCGAGGAAAAGAAATCAAAAGCGGAACATTTCGTGACCTGTGAAAATTATGTGAAATTCAGACATCAGTGTCCGTACATAAAAATGTTATTGGAACACAGCACATGCACCAGTCTGCGTGTTGTCTGTGGCAGCTTTCATGCTGTCACAGTGGAGGGAGAGGTTGTGACAGACACAGCATGGCCCATAAAGCCTAAAATATTGACTTGCTGGCCCTTTACAAGGAAGGTTCGCCAACCCTTCCACTAGACTGTTGGAAGCAGAGCTCCTCAGTTACGAAATAAGGTTTTTACTGATCCATAAACTATGATGTCATTCCAGGGCACAAAAATACCTCCTTTGATCCAGGGTTCTGTTGTCATCCTGTGACACGAGAAAGACCCGACAGTGGGAGTTTAGTGGGGAATTTTGCAAGGACTCTCTTAAAGTGAGATCAGGCTCTGGGCTTTAAGGATAAATTTCCAGACCTTTCTAGAAGTAACACAGGATTTTCTGCACGGAGAGGGGGGTCAAAAATATTTATAGTAAAGTGGTAGAATTCAACAAAGTATTTTTGGGACTTTCTCTTTGCTGCTGCAGCCCCGACCGGTTTTCCCAGGGGGAATCTGAGGATGGCCCCTGAGGAGAGGCTGGGCGTGTCAGCATCACTGGCATTTTTCAGTTTGAGATTTGGATGACAGTTTATATGCTTCTTAATTGACTTTAACCTGCTGCCCATCCCTAGAAGTAATAGTAATGGTAATAAAAGTTACACAATCACATCGCCACAGCTCTGTCCTGAAGGGCTTGCATAGCTGGATGGAACACTTAATTGGGATGGTCCACTCTGCTGGGGAAGTGCAGGAGACTATGTGCCTTTGGAATTTTCAACTCTTCAGGGTCAGGAACTGCCAGACCTCTCAGGAAGGATGAAGCACGACTCTCTCTAGTTGCTCTCTTATTTACATTGAGGCCCTTGGGTCAGGGTGAGGCTTTGCGTCTCCAAGGTAGCCTTTGAGCTAATGAAACCCACTGTGGGGTGAGAGATGCGAAATTAACCTGATTTGCTGCAACTTCCTGTGCACTGTCGGGCTTACCAGCCAGTAGGCTGAAGAACCCTTGAGATCTGGCCCTTACCATAAAATGGAGAGGAGTGTGCACAAGTGCAAGGTCGATTAATGTCAGAGGAGATGACTGATGTTGGTAGGTAAAATTCCACTTCCAAGAAAAGTATGTGTGGTACAGGTGACACCTGATTTTCTTACTCCAAATCACAGATGATGTTGAAAAAACAATAATAATAACAATACACACACATAACAGGAAACACTGGTATAATACTATGTGCCAGGAACTGCTCTGAATGCTCTTATATGAATTAACTTTTTTTTTGTTTGATTCTTGTTTTTTGAGACAGAGTCTCGCTCTGTTGCCCAGTCTGGAGGGCAGTGGTATGATCTCGGCCCACTGCAGCCTCTCTTTCCTGGGTGCAAGCAATTCTTGGGCCTCAGCCTCCTGAGTAGCTGGGATACAGATGCGTGCCACCGTGCCCAGCTAATTTTTTGTATTTTAGTAGAGACGGGGTCTTGTCATGTTGCCCAGGCTGGTCTTGAACTCTTGGCCTCAAGCGATCCACTTGCCTCAGCCTCCCAAAGTGCTGAGATTAGAGGTGTGAGCCACTGCGCCCGGCTAACTTGTTTAATTATACCACAGTCATATGAGGAGATACTATTATTATTCTCATTTGACAGGTAAAGAGACAGATAGAAGGCCAGAAATGGTTGTTCATGCCTGTAATCCTAGGACTGTGAGAGGCCAAGACAGGAGGATCATTTGAGCCCAGGAATTTGAGACCAGCCTGGGCAACATGGAGAGATCTTGTCTCTACTGAAAATAAAAATTAAAAAAAATTAGCTGAGACCAGAGGATTGCTTGAGCCCAGGAGTTCAAGGCTGCAGTGAGCTATGATTGCATCACTGCATTCCAGCCTAGGCAACAGAGGAAAATCCTATATCTAAAAACAACAGCAACAAAAAGAGTGGAGGAACAGAAGACAAATCCGGTCCTGATCACCCTTTGGGAACTCTATTGTCTAATGTGGCTTAGACTCAAGAATTTCTTATTTTGAAAAGTATGGTGCTGGGTACAGAGTAGATAGATCCTCAGTAATGCTTTCTAAAAATATTAAATATTAAATATTTAAATATTTTCTGATTTTCTATTATTACTGATTTGATTTTCCTCATCTAGTTCTTTCTTTGTAGGCCATATAAAACTATCCCTAGAATGATTAGGATATCCTTTTTTTTTTTTTCCTGGAGCAGTAAAGTTCTTACATAGCTGAAGTTCTAGGGAATGTATTAGTGTCCAAATTTGCAAAGTGAGTTAATGACAGGGACACAGTTCAATATTTTATCCACAACCTTAGGAACTATTCCAGAATGGCTATGATTTAAATGAATTTTATCTTACTGTTAATATTTTTAAAAATTAAATATTGAGTAAGGAAAATGTTTATAAAATATATGTATGATAAAAAGAATAGTAATACAATGAACACTTGTGTCTACCCACCACCCAGTTTAAGAAAAATATTTCAGCTAGACAGGGTGGCTCATGCCTATAATTTCAACACTTTGGGAGGCTGAGGCAGGAGGATTGCTTGCGGCCAGGATTGAGACCAGCCTGGGCAACATAGTGAGACCTCATCCCTATAAAACATTTAAGAAATAAATTTAAACAAAAGAAAAAGAACATTTCTTCTGGGTTGCCTGGGTTCCCCTCCCTGATGCTGTCTGCGTCTCTCCCCCATTAGAGGTCACCAGTATTTCAGTTCTCAGCTTTTCTCTGTAGTTTTGCCATGTGTTATCCCTAAATCATATGTTGTTGAGCTTTGGTCATTTTTGAACTTTATATAGATGGAATCACACTATACTTTTTGTGACTTGCTTTTTTCTCATAGCATTGCATTTCCCAGATTCCTCTCTGCTGTTGTGTGTACCTACGGTTCACTCATTTTCATTGATAGAGTGTCCAGTGTGTACATAAACCATACTGTTTATCTGTTTTGTTGATGGGCTTTGCGGTTGTTTTTGCTGCTTTGAACATGCTTGTTAAATTCCTTTTTAGAAAACTAATGATCAGGAGGACTCACTTAAGTGAAATAGTTTTTCTATGAGAAAAATAGTTCTACAGTTTAATGAAAATTGTAATATCTGCGCCTTGAACAAACAGATGTAGTTTTTATTTTAGGACGCATGCTAACTACCTATGAAGTGGGTTTATTTTTAGTGGCTTTTTTTTGGTTAAATTTTTTTCCCCAGAGTTGAACAATGATTTATTTTAATTTCTAAACCAAATCAAGGCATTTATTGTAAAACCACT
This sequence comes from Homo sapiens, assembly GCF_000001405.40. Classification (NCBI taxonomy): domain Eukaryota; kingdom Metazoa; phylum Chordata; class Mammalia; order Primates; family Hominidae; genus Homo; species Homo sapiens. The sequence goes on from NC_000011.10 coordinate 129,394,604, forward strand.
AGAAAATAAGTCTTCCCAATTTAACAGCATATGTTTTATAAATATTTTAATAAAATGAATTTTAAAATATTAAATAATTTTAGTTAGAATGTGAAGTACTTCTCTAAATTAAACATTAATAAAGCTTTTTCATCCAGAGCAACAAAAGAATTGCATTATATAGGTAAAATGGCCTCTGCCCTACTCACATTTATTTGCGGACTGGAAAAGTAATGTTTATTTCTAACATATTTTTAGCTTCAAAAGACTTTAGAAACCTTTTGAAATAATCTGCAGAGCTGTGCAAAGGCACCGAGGTTTAGGACAGGCAGGAAGCTATAGTCCACTCAGCATTTTTTTTTTTTTTTGACTGGAAAGAAAACCAAAGCCCAGAGTAATTAAATTGCTCAACCAAGATCACTCGGAGGCTTGCAATGCCTTTGAAATACAATGACTCTAAACTAGCTATATGAATCTGTACTACCATTTCTAAATTAGAAGCCACAAGTTGCTTTTTATAATAATATATATTTTGTTGCTTCTGTGCATCTTAATTTATTTTATATAATTTAAAAAACAAAGTCACTAATCAAATCCATAATGACAGTTTGGGATTTGATTTTTAAAATGCTTTTCTCTACCCTGTTGACTGTGCCGAGCCTAGAGAGTCTATTTAGTTCCCGTAGGCTGGTTTCTGGGATTGACAATATTTCCATTGTCATACAACTCTGCTGTCGCCAGTGATGTTCGAGGACCAGCACTACCCTTGAAGGATCCTGCTGTTGTGTCAACAAATAATGGCACAGGCCTCTCTGACAGCTTGTCCACAAACTCTCCTGAGGGTTTCTGTCTGAAGGAAGCAGCAGCTTTGCAAGAGTGATTTTAGTGAGGTCGTTTGGATTAGATTGAGTTAGTGGGCCGTGAGTTCCGTGCATTTAGGGTTGTGTGTGAGGCTTTTCGTGTTCTTGAAATCTCCTCCGGCCCTCCCGGTCACACCCCTCCAGTGCCACGTTCAGCCCTCTCTCTCTGCACCCATCCTGAAATAGCCATGGTTCAGCATGGAAGAAATCCACTCCTCTCATCTCTCAGTGCTGGTCAGCTCTGCATTTGCCTGGGGGTGGGTTTTGACTGTCTTCTCCTTAAAGAGAATCTCTGCACGTGTAAAATCTGTTTCAGGAAAGTAATAGGAAGGCAGCAGGACTTGGAGCCTGATGGTGTGGATTCAGCTTCCAGTTCTGCCGCTCACTGGGTGACCTGGGCAGGCTGCTCATGGTGAAATGGGTATAGCGACACCCGTGCTCAGGGTTTGCTATAGAGATTGAGCGCAGTCTCCTGAATCTCGTGTGGACAAAAGATTTCACCTCTGAAAAATATAGAATCTTAGATGTTTCTGTCTGTTTCTACAGCAGAAAGCCAGGAAACACAATCTGCAAGAAGCTAGGGGTGTAATAATAACCACCAGATCCATCCGTCAGCTGCCCTCTCTCTGTGTGCTCCGGTAGCACCGGCTTATTTAATGCATGACATCGACTGTCTCTCCCATGGGGCTCTGAGCTTCCTTCCAGCAAAGACTGTTCCTTCATCTTGGGGCCCCTCACACCAGCATACATTTTTGCACTTAGTAGATGGTCAAAATAGTATGGTTTTGAACCTTACTAAACTGCTCGTGTTTCTTTACAGCACTTTTCTTCTCTTACTTGATGTAGGTAATATGTTTTCTCTTACTTGACGTCTCCCTGCCCTGGGATTTAGGGATCGCCTTGGCCCCACACCTGTGGCTTTCTGATATTGCCACTCCTCCCCACTCACCTTTTTTTTTTTTTGTCTAAGTATTTATAATATGCAGTTTGTCACACCTAGCTAGTAGACTATATTTTCTGCAGTGATCTCTTCCAGCTTGGGAATTCTTAAATTAAAGGATTTATTTGTAGGTAGTAAACAGTCTACTTTTTAAGAAAACTCTCTAAGTTCATATTGTCTGTACTTCATCATGAGGGATAATGGTTCATTTCAAGTTAATCTACACGACTCAAGTGTAACCCATGTGGTGGGTGGGGGGACGGGGTGAGGTGGCAGCTGTTCAACAGTGCATAGCAACTCTTCACAACAGTTTAAACATGAAAAAGGAATTGGAGTAATAGAATATGCTGGAATTTGATGAGGACACTGAGAGCTACAGGACGTGGGATTTGAACTTGCAGCTGTAGACAATGACTGTGTCTCCTAGAACCCCTGAACTCTTTTGCCCCAAGATGCCCCAGAAGAAAGACTGGTGGAGTTACCAGCTCATGGATTTTACATCCTATCTATTCTCACACACAAATGAACTCCCATAAAGTAGAGGCTGAGTAGTTCTTGTCACCTTAGTGTCCCATAAAGCTGATGATAAGAATAACTAGAAAACCTTTAAAAACTTACAAGGCTGGGCACGGTGGCTCACATCTGTAATCCCAACACTTTGGGAGGCTGAAGCAGGAGGATTGCTTGAGCCTGGGAATTCAAGACCACCCTGGGCAACATAGTGAGACATCATCTCTACAAAAAATCAAAAGTTAGCCGGGCGTGGTGGTATGTGCCTGTAGTCCCAGCTCCTTGGGAGGCTAAATGGGGAGGATCTCTTGAACCTGGAAGTTCCAGACTGCAGTGAGCTGTGGTCATGCCATTGCACTCAGCTTGGGTGGACAGAGACCCTGTCTCCAAAAAAAAAAAAAAAATTCAGAGATGAAAAGTGCTAAGAAACTGAAGTAATTAACAGTGCTGACCCATTTGAAATAAAATTATTCATGAGCTCACTTGCCTCTTTTTGTGCACAGGAGATTGTATAGGTGGCTATGATTATTTTTATAAAAAATTGGATTCTAAACAAGTTTATCAAATACTTAGTATCCACCTTAAAAGCTTTCACGAATTAAATTTAACCCTTAAATGATGCAGTGATCCGCACTGAACTTTCTGATTAAAACAAAGGAAAGCTAACAACACTTATCGTTTCAACTAGAGTTCGTTAAAAAAATATTGTGGACCATTTACGCACCAGGCGCTATGTGAAGACTGCACAGATGATGGTGATGTGAGCGTCAGAGCCCCTGCCCTCGTTCTTGTGGGAGGCACAGATGAGTAAATACGCAGTTACCAGAATCATACGACCAATTCCATGATGGGGGAAGGTGGGTGTGCTGAGGGACACCTAACTGAGACTGAGACTTGGCCGAGCAGTTGGTGAGGGCCCAGGGAGGGCAGCCTCTAAGTTGAGACCTACAAGATGAAAAGGAAGGCCGAGAGGAATGATCTAGCAGAGGCAGAACATTTCTGAAATGAGTTCTTTTTCTGAACACTATGTTGAATACAGCTGAACATTTTCTGATGGTTGAGGATCTCATGACCTTCAGGGTAATTGTTTTTATCACCAATCTTTAGCTATCTAGTGCTGTGGATGTCACTGTATAAGATGTAGTAGGCTATTACTGATAACACGATCTCAACTGCATCTTTAGAAGTTGCATTTTTAAAATGAACCTGTGTAAACTCAACCTAATACTTGTATAATGGAAGCATGATGCAGACTGTGATGGTGACTTGGGTGTTTCTGTAGTTACGTGGTTTTGGACTTACTGTTGCTCCATACGTTTATAGCTGTTTTGTTTTCTTCTCTTCATCATTGCTGCCTTGGAGGGTCAGAGTATGATCCATGTGTCTTGATGAAATTAGGTAGGGCTTTGTGTTTTACCAGGAAAAGAGGCTCACTCGATTAGGCTGGGTTTACTTCTAGTTTTGTAATGCGCCCCTGGAGTAGCATGGATGAGTTGTTTCACTTCTTTTGAACTCTGTTTCTCTTTTTGGACAGAGATATCATGCTAATTGCTGAAGTGCCTGAAGATTCTTAAATATCAAATAAGACACTTAGGAAAACACCAGATATGATTATGTGTAAAATTTGCCTATTCCAAGCACATGCTCAATAAATATTTGCTGAAGTAATTCTAATTGAGAGTTTAAACATTCACAGTTCATGGCAAAGCATTGGAATAGTTGCAACAGGTGAACTAAAAAATAAATCTTGTTGCTGTTCCCATTGGAAATTTAGAACCCTGTGTTTGAGTATTTTCGATTCTGGTTCATCCATCATTTGGTTAGCTAGGTTTATCAAAATTCTGCATGGGAGGTCAGGAAATGTGTTAGCTCACTTTGTGTAGAACACAGTTCAGCATTGTTAGTAAAAGCTAAGTTTGATTTAGTTCCAGTAGTTGGCTTAATAGAACCTTAGGAGAACCAACTAGCTAAGCAGGGCAGTGAGAGAAGGGATCTACGTGGCTGTGTTTGCTTGACCTCAAAAGCCTGGGGATAACTGTGTTTTGTTCCTTTATAATACAGTTGCTCAGAGAAAGTCATGCTGTACTCTTTACCTCCATGAGCACCATTCTGGAATTGCAGTTCAACGTAGGGATATTTTCAGCAAGGGAAAAAGCATAAACACTTTTCTCAATGTTCAAGGAACATCATGACAGACTACCTATATGATGGTCCCCTGGGTCAGCTCAGATTGGCCCAATGGATTAGCCTGTCAGTGGAATATTGAATTCATAATATTTAGAACTTCAGTATTGTAGGCTCTCTGGGAGTGCAGTTAATTAGGCAGCTTCTTAATTGGATTGCTGTTCTTATGGGAAGACCTTCATATTGACCAGAGAGGCAAAGTGGGATGACAAGTCGTCTGGAATGTCAACAGAGCAAGTTTGACTTTAGGTTGGCTGCTGCTTTCTGCTTCTCTTGAATCTAGAGACCTTCTCTCTCTCTCTACCTCTCTGTCTCTCTCTCTCTCTTTTTAAACAAGATGAGGTCTCAGTATGTTATCCGGGCTGGTCTTGAACTCTGTGGCCCAAGCAATCCTCCTGTCTCAGCCTCTCCAGCAGCTAGGATTGACACAGGACAGGTGAGCCCCAGAATTGGGGCTTAGTCTGGGCAGGTTCTTGGCTTTGCCCAGAAAAGAATTCAAGGGTGAGCTGGTGGTGTTAGATAGCAGCTTTTATTGAAGTGGCAGTGTACAGCAGCAGCAGAGGGACGGCTCCCTGCAGAGCAAGGCTACCCCATAAGCAGTGTGCCCAGAATAGCAGCTCAGGGGCAGTTCTACAGTCACTTATACCCCCTTTTAATTATATGTAAATTAAGGGTGATTTATGCAGACATTTCTAGGAAAAGGGTAGTAACTTACAAGTCATTGGGTCATTGCCATGGAAAGGGGTGGTACCTTCTGGGTGCTGCCTGGCAATGGTAAACTGACCTGGCACACTAGTGGTCATGTCTTATGGGAAGCTGCCTCCCACCCCAGACCTGTTTTAGCTAGTCCTCAACTTGGTCTGATGTCCAACTTCCACCTGTGGTGTCTGAGCCCTGCCTCTGGCCTCGAGTCCAACCTCCTACCTCAGGATTCCAGGTGTGCATCACCATGCCCAGCTGAGACTTGGTCGTTGATTAGAACCGTAGACCTTTAGAGCCAAAGGGTACTTATGACTGCTTATCTAGTGAGCACCTTCATTTGGGAGAGGAGAAGTAGAAGTTTAACTCAGCTCTGAAAACATTCGTTGAGTGCTTACTTTTTGCCAGGTTGAGAGGTTGAGGGAGCAGCTATAATGATGCATTATCCTCTCAAAGAGTTCCTGAGTAGTAAAGGGGTACAAACATATTAGAAGTCAATTTAAATACCCTGGGCGGTGCTGTGAAAAAGGTAATAAGCATGGCGGCACCATGGGACCATGAAGGAAGTGGGACTTAGCCCAGTCTGTAGGGGAGGCTGGGGAAGATCTTCTGGATGAGAAAACCTAAGCTGAATCTTAAAGGATAAATGAGAGTTAACCAGGAGAACGAGACTTCTGGAGTGAGGCTTTGGACATTCTGAGAAGAGGGGAAAATGTGACCAAAGATAAAGTGGCTGGAAACAGATAGTATGTGTCTGGGAACTAAGGGTAGGCCAATATTAATAGAATGTAAAGTATACATTCTATACTCAAGAAGGCTTGTGCCGTGGAGATTTTATTCTGTAGGCTCTGGGGAATCACTGAATGGGTTTAAGCAAGAGAATAACATAATTGGATTTGGGTTTGGGGAGAATCATTGTGGAGGATGACGTTGACAGGGATAAGATTGAAGGCAGGAGAGCCTGTTGGGAGGCTTCTGCCATCATCCAGGCAAGAGATGACCCAGGGCGGTGGCAGGCGTGGGTCAAGGATGGAGCAGAGGGACTCCCAGCATATAATGGGCAGGAGAAAATTAGGTGTCTAAGCAAAAGCCTACCCAGAGAGATAAAGAAAGATTAGAAAAGAGAGTCAAGAAGAGAATTTCCAGAGGAACAAGTGATCAGCTGTGTTAAAGGCAGCTGAAGGATCCAATGAGATAAAGACTGAAAAGTGGTCAGAGCCGTGCTCCTTAAAATGTGATTCATGGGCCAGCAGTACCAGTGATATCTGGGAACTTGTTAGGAGTGCAAGATCCTGCTCTTCACTAAGAAACATATTCTGGATATAAAAATGGTTGTTGATGACCCTGACATTATCATCTTCATTGGCATGGTTGAGATAGAATCAACATTGCAGTAAATTTAGGAGTTAATGGGAAATGAGACGGTGGAAATAATATAGTCTTGCAAGAAACTTGGCTAAGGTAGGAAAGAGAGAAATTGTTAGAGATGGATATAAGTTAAGACATAGTTTTAGTATGGCAGAGACTTGACCACCTGTTTTTTAGCTTAAAGCAAAGTATAGACAGTTTGAGGTTTATGAGGAAGTTGGATAATGGGTGATAGTGAGTCCTGGAGGAAACCAGAGGGGTTGGAAAATAGGTAAAGTGGCTTTATTTCTTTAAATTATTTTTTAAAAATTTTAGACTTCAATAATTTAATCATGCAATTTTGTGGTTAGAAAGAGGTTGTAGTGACTATAAATTGACATAGGATATGTAGACACAAGATCAGAAAGAGCAACTAACTCCAGCCTGCAGTTTACACACAGTGGCTTCTGCAAGGTTGATCCATTTGGCCAAAGTTGTCCATAGCACCTTGTAGGTAGAGACTTGTGATAAGTGGATCAAGCATTCAAAGAAGCCGGGCACGGTGGCTCACACCTGTAATTCCAGCACTTTGGGAGGCTGAGGCGGGCAGATCACTTGAGGTCAGGAGTTGGAGACCAGCCTGGCCAACATGGTGAAACCCCGTCTCTGCGAAAAATACAAAAATTAGCCAGGTGTGGTGGCAGACACCTATAATTCCAGCTACTTCAGAGGCTGAGGTGAGAGAATCGCTTGAACCCAGAAGGCAGAGGTTGTAGTGAGCCAAGATTGCACCATTGCACTACGGCCTGGGCAACAGAGCAAGACTCTGTCTCAAAAAAAAAAAAAAGCATTCAAAGAAATGAAGGCCAACTTCCAGAACATGTGGTTGACAGTGGTTTTTTTTTTTTTCAGATAAAATAAATATGCAAAAGACATAAATATCCTTACATAGAAGTGTATGAACAAATATAAATCATCGTAGTGTATGGGATGAGGTGAAATGACTGCCATTTTAGAGGTGTGAAGCTTGGCTTTCCATCCAACTATGTGTCTCAGGGTTTCCTTAAGAGGCATCGCTGTATACCAGCAGAAGCCTGCAGCTTTGGGGGCACAGACCTGGCTTGAATTCTCAGTCCCTTACTTCTTAGCATGTTAGCTTGGGCACATTGCTTAGACACACTGAGCATTTGTTTCCCCATTCCAAAAAAAAAAGGCATACTCACTACACAGGATTGTTATGATGACTAAAAGACAAAGTGTGCATGTAAACTGTCAGGGATATCATACTATTATAGGCCTGATAAGCATCCAACAGCTGTTTGAATGCATAAATGAGTGAGTGAATGTAAAAATCAGTGCATGACTAGGCAGGCCGTTTAATATTCAAATGTCACTGTTTCCCCATCTGTAAAAAAAAGGGCTAATAATGGTGCCCTTTCATTTATAGTATTTTATACAGAGAAAAATGAGCTATTCATGAAAATGCTGTTAATGAAATTTAATGTTTCAGAAATTAAAGCAATCAATCCACTATTTTGTAAATACTGGGGAGACTTCAGTGGTCAGAGGATTAACTGGTTGGTTAACTCTCTTTGTCTCAGGTTCCCAGCAGATCCTCTAAAGGAGAAATCAGTGAATTAATCACTCAGTCAACAACTGCTACTTGAATGCCTAAGCTATGGAAGATGCCATTGTAGACACAGAGGGAGATCCAAACCAAACAACAACAAAAACCCTGGGAGTCCTTGTCCTCAAGGAGCTTAAAGTCTATCATAACATAAGACATTCCAGGAAGGAAGTGATTCAGGCCAAGTGAGGAGCCAAACAGCACACAGTGAAGAAGGTATTCAGATGAGGAGAATGGTATTTGCAAATCAACTCTATATGCAAATGCATATTTGGAGAAGTAGGCATGTAGTAAGACCAGGTGGAATACTAATGGTGTCCTTGAAAGAAGGCTCAGCTGTCCTCGTGTTGCAATGGCCTCACCTGCGGCTCTGCTGCTTTACAGAGCTCCCAGCTCAAGTGGGTTTTTCCAGCCCCTTTGGGTTCCCCAGTCAGGTGGCCACTGTCAGTCATTTACTTTGAAATTGTTTCTTCTACTGCACTCCTAATTGCTTATAAAATAGGTGGTGGAAGAAATTGAAGTGGATATATTAGGGCAGTGTTGCAAACTTAATTTTTATCATGGGGATGAGATGGCCTTGCACTGGCTCATATTTAAAGGCTTGTGTGAAATCTAGATGTCTCTGCATGTTATTCCTAGTTCCTCCAGGAGGCTGCTACTGGTTTCTCAGCCTTCAGGAGAGGCAGCCTTTACTCTTGCACCACCATTTTCCAACATACCGTAGGCCACAGTCCCCACTCGGCACTCTGGGAGTGTTTCCCCAGCTAGAGGTGGTGGTGCCCCGCTTCCCCTTATGACTGTCCATTTTACGTTTGCCATACAACTGGCTGGCATTTCCTACTATAGATTTTATGTGGAATTTCCAGTGCCTGGATGGGAAAACAGTAACTTAGCCCTCATCCTGCTTCTTGCTGAAATAGTCTTTGGTTGCTTTCATTACAATTGGAGTTTGGATCACATGGCAAATTGTATTTTTTAAATATTTTTTAGAGACAGGATCTCATTCTGTTGCCCAGGCTGGAGTACAGTGGTGTGATCATAGCTTACTGCAGTCTTGAACTCCTGGGCTCAAGTGACCCTCCTGCCTTAGCCTCCTGAGTAGATAGATGGGACTACAGATGTGTGCTGCCATGCCCAGCTAATTTTTAAGATTTATCTCAGAGACAGGGTCTTGCTATGTTGCCCAGGCTAACTAGTACTTTTCTGAAAGGCACAGAAAGGTCAGCAGGTATAAGGACACCACCAGAACAAGGGTTTGGAGTCCTGCACTGGAAATCCACTCTAATGAATGATTCTATCAAAGATTTCATGAAAAATAATCCAGTATCTATGTTGTCCTGAAATTTTCAACAAGGACCACTGTGGAGACCCATACCTACACACATTGCTGCACTCATTGCTACACCCATACCTACACACATTGCTACACAGCCATTTTGGTCACGGTTCTGAATGACGTTGCCACGTCCTGAAGAAAACCCCAGTCAGCTTGGAGAGGGCAGCGAGGGAGGCTGCAGGCTGACGGGGTGAACAGTGCACCATCCACAGATTACAAGGGCATGCCTGTCTCATGCGCCAACCAAAATGATGGTGGGACTCAGTATCACTCCATGTGACACTTATCACCTTGCTTTGGGTGATTAGAACCAATTAAGAGGGTGACACATAGCAGAGATGGAGAAAGAAAACACAAGGGCATCAGTTTTTCCCCTTTTGCCCAAGAGAGAAAGCAAGTGTCTGCCATCTGCCCACTTCCTAAGTCCACTTTCAAATTGCTGGATAACCTTTAGTTTGTCAGTTGACCTTTCCGGGCTTTTCCCTGCCTCCCACTTGGTTGATAAAACAACAGTGATGTTACCTGTTCTGCGAGAGTAATGTTGGCTAATAAGCCTGGTGGGAAATTCTTTTCTCTTCTGAGGGCCTTGCTGTTATTTCATGTTTCATTCCCAGGAAGACACAAAGCCTGTCCATTTGGTGTGAGCAGTGAATGGAGGATTCCGACAGGTGCCCTTGCAAGCTTCCTGGTGGAGGAGCCATTCCGAGGGCATCAGTCTTGTTTTGATCTTTTCTCAGATGGAAGACTTGAATGGAGCACTCTCTCAGCCTGTTTAGGGGGCTCTTTGATCTTGCTGTGCCTAATAGGCAGAACTCTCCTCTCTTTTTCCTCTGAGGACAAAAATAAACATAGATGCTGAGTTTGTGAACAGCTGCATAAACAATGCAATTTGGAAGTATGCAAAAATATGTGGGTTATATATACATCCATACGTATAGCCTCTTGATCTGACTTTTGCATCCTTGTGACCACCGCTTGATCTGAGAGACATTTCCATCTGATGCAATGATATCCAGTCCCTTTTAATGCTCCAAGGGATTTAAGGCCTCAGAGCATTTGGACAGAAGCATTTCTTTCCTCTGGATGTGGCTCAATTCTGGGATATCCCGACTACAGCACAATAAAATAACTCTCCTTAATGTGCCAAGAGTAGGCTACTCACACTCTTGAGGGTAGTTGACTTGGGTTAATTTTCTAGAAGGGGTGATGATAGAGTTTGCAAGTCTGAAACCAAACTCATCACCTTTCTGCTACCGCTGCCTCCTAGGGAACCCTTTCTTTTGACATCCATCCCTATTTATTTAATGGGATCCCCATTTGTCCCCTCACATAGGCATGGGGCTCCAAGTACCCTTTATTTATCTCCTTCACTCCTTACCTCTGATTAGTCTTTATAAACTATAGTTCTTTTTTGTTTATTTCTTCATTGATACTTTTAGTTCAGGCCATTATTACCAGCACTAGTATTGTGGCAGTTCCATAACTGACAATATAACTTTACACTTTAAGATGATAGATAAAATGTGATTGTTTGGGGAATACAGATGACAGAACAGAGAGTACTGACATATCCTTTAGGCTCTCGGGAGAACATAGAAGAAATGATGACTTTCAATAGGCAAAAATGGTTTAAAGTTTAGAAATTCTATTTTGCATTCTGACCCTAGTCTCCACGTCATGCATGGTTTTGTATTTGTGCCTCTGTTGCGATGTCCCCTCTGCCTAGAATGCTTGCAATTCTTTCTTCTACCAATCAGAGTTATCTCTGTTACTCAGAGTCCAGATCATGTACCATCTCCTTCCCTGACCACTCCAGGCAGAAGTATTTGCTCTTGCTGCTGATTTCTAGAATGCTTATATTCTTTAGTCCACATTTAAGTGATTGTCTTGCTTTATAGGTACCTATGTATGTTACTTATCTATCTCATTACTAGATTATGAATTCCTGGACAAAGAGGTTTTTTTCTTAAACATATTTGTTACCTACTGAGCATAGCACAGTGCCTCGCCTATGGTAACTCTAAATCAATATTTAAAAAATAATAAATGGATGGTACTAAATCATGATAAACACACATTCATCTGAAATTCCTTGTGCCCATTGTTTTAAACAAACATTTAAGGAGCTCTTCATTCATAAAAGTCACACAAATCTCATTTAATTCTTACAGTAATCCTACAGCAAGTTTCTTTTGTCTTTATTACTTTTGTCTTCATTTTCACAGTTTAGAAAAATGGCTCAAAGAGATTAATTCCTTCAGGGCTACCCAACTTGGTAGTAGCAGAGTCTAAACACAAATTCAGGTCTACCCGACACCAGAGTGCACACTCATATTCCCGGGCTGTATTGTTCCTTGGGTGACCTATGTAGAGATACAAGGTGAATAAGGCACAGTTCCAGCTTCTAAGGAGCCTCCAGCTAGTGGGGAGACAGATGTGCAAGCAACAGTTGTATTGCAGTAACATAGCTAGTGTAGGAGAGGTGGCTGCTGTGACAGTGCTTGGGGAGGTGGAGGAGGGAGGACACTGCAGGCACCTCCCAAGGCTCTGCTCTCTGAGAAGGGACCCTGAAGGAGGTGGACCCCCCAGTCCTGGGCTAACCAGCCTCAACGGTGATTGAGTTCATAACTGCCTCTTTAGTTCAGTTGAGCCTGCATGTCATGGCAAACTAGGACATCGACCCTCAGTTTTTGGATTCACATGAAATAATTGATGATGATGATGTTGATGATGACAGAATGGGAGCAAAGGGACCACTGGAGTAATTAAAGAACTGGTTTTATAGGAATATTTTAAAAATCAGGTTAAAAAAATGCAACTGTGACTTTCTTCTGTTTTCAAGTATCCAACCCATGGAGTTGGAAGCACTTAGTGGGCAGCTAATTAATAAAGCTGACAGTGGTCTACTTTATATCCTACTACGGGAAGGATATTCTAGGATATGTTGGGCACACACCTCTGCTCTTGCGTATATTCCAGTATAGACTCTAAGTCCTACAGCTTGCGAATGGGACCTCAGAAGTCACTTGTTTAACCTCCTGCATGCTGTAGAGCCTTCACCCACAGAGCCTCAGAGCCTCCATGGTGGTCTCAGTCTCTGCTTGAATACGGCTGGTGGAGAGGACAGCTTCCTATAACCCTACTCAGTCACATCAGACCAAACTCCTACATCTTCATGTAACACATTTGAGAAACCTCAGTTGAGCACCTGTTTTGCGTATGATGCTATTTACTAGTGATACAAGTTGAAGAAGACACAGCTTTCCCTCATTAGGGGCTCATTTAGTTCTATTAGCAATTCCTTAGATGACGTTGTTTCCAAACCCATCCCTGCTCTCAATACCCTCTTTTGCAGAGTTACAGGTCATTTAAAACCTGACTTCAAAATTGGACATAACACTTTATGCACAGTCTATGCTTTGCACTTCTGTTGAGACTTGCGCTAGGATCAGCCCAAATCCCATGTTTTACTCATCCCCACTTCACAGACAGCTGTGAAATCAGATGTTTTTCATATTATACTTATTAGTGGATAATACAGTTCAGTAAACTTTGAGTACCTACTAAATATGCAGCACTCTACTAAATGTTGTCTCGAAAATATGATTCTGGACTAAGATGCAGTTTTTGGATTCAAGTTCAGTCCAGTAGGAAAGACATGCATAAACAGAAATTATCCATACAGTGTGGTAGGGGTGTGATAAAAATGCATGCAAGATGCTCATCAAACACGGAGGAAAGGCTCTTACCCCTCACTTGCAGTGGAGGAGGGTGTGGATGGGGTCAGAGAAGCACCCTGGAGGATTTGGCGCCTCTGTTAAAGGTTGGAGCACAGGCTGGGCGCGGTGGCTCACACCTGTAATCCCAGCACTTTGGGAGGCCAAGGCGGGCCGATCATGAGGTAAGGAGATTGAGACAGAGCCAGACTCCGTCTCAAAAAAAAAAAAAAAAAAAAAAAAAAAGTTGGAGCACAGATGAAAGCTAACCAAGTGAAGAAGGAGAAGCGGGCAAACAGAACAACCTCTGCAGGAGTATGGCATGGAAAGGCCTGGGGCATTTGGGGGACTGACAGAAGGACTAGAACAATACATTTGGTGATTAGAGAAGAAGCTAAAGAGATTGGATTCCTGAAAGCCACTGGAAGATATATTCGGTTCTGTTGATGTTAGTCCATTTTAAGCTTTAAAAATCCCGATGATGTCATGCAATACATTACTTTTTTTGTGACATGAGATTTGATAGAATACCTTTTTTGTTTCTAGACACATTTTAGTAAAAATTTAGTAAAAATATTGAAAAAGGAATAATAAAACAAGGACCACAGCCCCTCACAGGCCCTAGAAGATAGCCATTAATCAACCCGCACAGGGATGCTTAGCTCACAGTGCGTCGGTTTTGTTCCTGCATGACCTGGCCCTGCCTGTCTCTTCACTGTGCTTCATCCACATCCTCTTTGCTGTTCCTAGAACATAAGCTTTTCCGTGTTTCTGGCTCTTAACCTATGTTGTTCCACTCTCTGGAACACTCTCTGGCTGGTGCTTTTCAGCCTTTCGATTTCTTCTGAAATGTCTCCTCTTTGGAGACTATCTCGGCCTCCCCACCCTCAGCCTCCCCCATACATGCTCCATCACTGAAGCCTGTTTATTCCTTTCATGGTACAGTATTTACCCCAAGTCATGATTAAATATCTGTTTATATATTTCTTTATTGGATTATTTGTTTATTTTTCTCTCTCTAGACTGCAAGCTCCTTGAGCAGACCATGTTTATTTTGTCTACCACAGGTGCTCAATAAATATTTTTGACTATTTATTACATGAGAAGGTTTCCATGCAAACACCCATTGAATACGATTGAACTTGAACCCTAAGAGATGGGCTGTGACCTTTGTTGCCCTCAAACTAATCAAAGGGGAGTGATATTCACCATCCAGAATCTAGAATAACTTAGACCTTGTGGGCCAGGAGCTAGCTACCCATATGATAATACAAGAGCTCTCAGAGAAATCATGGAAGTTTTGAGCAATCTCTCTCTCCCTTTGCTAATTTACTTTTCAAAACTGAAGTATAATGGAATAACTTCCCCACCTCTCAAATGTCAGCATGCTCTGAAATTTCATGTTCTCTCAGGCGAGCGATTCATGTTTTCCATCCCACCCACCGTTCTCTGCCTTGTGTTTAAGGATGTGAGTGATAGTCTATCTACTAGTCTAGGATGCTACTGAAAAGTAAAGCAACCAAATACTTGCTTTTAGTGAATTCTTCAGTGTGTTTTTTTTAAGGGCTCAAGCACAATTTTTAAACGGTCTGTTCTAGGATCTCTATCATCCCCCACCACATACACATTCCCCCCACCCTCCAGGGGCTTGGTAACCAAGCTGACTAAACCATAGGCTTGTTTCTCTTTTATGAAACAGGAACATCTTTTAGATGACGTGGTGAAAAGTGAATATATTTGATGGGATAATTGCTGTCCATTCACCATTTTTAGGATTGATAACTTTGGAAGAGCTGGTAAAGGTTAAGTTCTGCCTTAGAGAAACTTTTACCAGTAGCTGTTCTTTTATTGTGCTTTTATTGTGATATCAAAAGTGCACGTGGCCTGGTTTGATTTTTTCCCCTCTTTGCAAACTTTTAGGACTTGATTTCCATCCTGTTTCCTGAAACTTTAAAATGATCTGCATTTTGGTGAGTCTTTTTTCATTCATTGTTAAGATGGCCAATTCATCTTATTCACCTGCAGTTAAGAAATATTCTGTTATAGTCTTTTATTTATAATTTCCTCCATTATTTTTTCTTGGAATTTCTACCAATTGGATATTACAAGTCCTAGGTTGATCCACTAATTTTCTTATCTTTCTCTTCCCATTTCTCTACTTTGTATTCTGACTCTGTGTCCTATCTTAGAACCTTGACTTAACTTATATGGGCCTTAATAGCCTCATCTATAAAATGGAATTATTGATGGTACCTTTTTACAAAGATCAAATGTCAATGTACATTTACAAATGAATAGAAAATGTTTATGGAACAGTACCTAGTGTTGTTAATATTACTTTCTACAGATTTGTCTTTGCTCTACTATTGTTAATATTATATTCTATATCCTTGCGTTTTAATCTATTTTTTATTTTTTCCTCAATTTGATCTTCCAGCTGTCTTCTACTTTGAAAATTCAGCTATCATATTTTTATTTTCCAAAAGTTATTTCTTGTTCTCGAATTGTTTCCTTTTTGAAATCACATACTATTTCCTGGATACAGTATTTTTTCTCATCTCTCTGAGGATGTTAATGACAGCTTTCTTTATAAGTTTTTCTTCTACCCCCTGAATTCCCTCTGATTATGCCAGTTTCCTTTTTTCCACCTGTTTGTTTGATTTCTGTCTTTCATGTTTGAGGCTTTCCTCAGATGTTTAGTGACTTGGGCCGTCTCTTTATCTGCAGGAATGAAGCTCTGAGACACTGAATGGGAGGGGTGTGTGGGGCTGTGTGTACATGAATGAATATGTGCACACCCTGTGGGCCAGCAGGCCTCCCTATAGGGTCCAGGCAGGGAGCAAGCTGTTAGTTGGGAGCCTATAAACACCAGAGCCAGTAGGTCATTTACGGTGGCCATTTGGTTTCACTGGAGAAGAATCCCCCAGTTTTCTGCCAGCAGGTGGGGTGAAGATACATGTCTGCTTCTGGGATTGAGAGGGTTGAGTCACAGCAGGGTTCACCCCACAGTTCTGCACACAGCCATCCATTAAACTCTCTGCCCTCTGCTGTGCCTGACTCTGCCTGGTCCAGACCCTCTTCAGATCCTGAACTATTGAGATCATGTTCTCCTCACAGTATACACGGTGCAGCCACAGTATAGCCAAGCCCAAATTATAACAAGATTGTTTCCAAGTACATTCTTAGACAGGCTTGAAATAGGTCTGTAATACACAGATGTCCCAGTCTCTCTGTTGGTGCTATGGTGACACTCTATGTGGAGCAGAGTGTTTAAAGAATAGCAGAGTGGGCCGGGCCCAGTGGCTCACGCCTGTAATCCCAGCACTTTGGGAGGCCGAGGCGGGTGGATCACGAGGTCAAGAGTTCGAGACCATCCTGGCTAATATGGTGAAACCCCGTCTCTACTAAAAATACAAAAAATTAGCCGGGCGTGGTGGCAGATGCCTGTAGTCCCAGCTACTCGGGAGGCTGAGGCAGGAGAATGGCGTGAATCCGGGAAGCAGAGCTTGCAGTGAGCTGAGATCGTGCCACTGCACTCCAGCCTGGGTGACAGAGTGAGACTCCATCTCCAAAAAAAAAAAAAAAAAAAAGAATTAAAAGACTAGCAGAGTGGATATTACTGAAAATAATACGGACATGAAGAAGTTATGCTCAGCAAATAGCACTTTCAGGGGAGCTTTGCTTACATGGCAATTCTGTAAGTGAATTGCGGGCTCATGGGCTGGATGATATCAGGAAGAAAATAGTAAGAATCGGGATGAAGCCCATGTAAAGGAAAGTTAGAGAAAAAGGGTTTACATACCCAAAGACAGAAGCACTGAGAGACTTCATTATAGTCTGCAACTTGCCAATTAGCAAGTCAAGAAGAATTTGTTGACTTTTGATGTGTGCTGGGAGCTGAGCTACTTCTCAGCTCTGGCCACACGGCAGAATCACCAGGCCCGGCCACAGGCCAATTAAATTAGAATCTCTGCGGGTGGGGCCTCAGCATTAATATTTTTTAAAGGCTCACAAGGTCTTTTGAATTGCAGCTGGGATCGAGACTCATAGGAATGGCGCCTCTCTGGAAGAGCATCAGATAGAAAATAGGACTCCTGTCCTTTCGAGGAACTCGGTTGGAGCTTGAAATTTAACATGCAAAATTTAAGCAACATATAAAGTGTTTATAAGTGCCAAAGAAGTAGTTTATGGCCGGGCACGGTGGCTCACACCTGTAATCCCAGCACTTTGGGAGGCCGAGGCAGGCAGATCACAAGGTCAGGAGATTGACACCATCCTGGCTAACATGGTGAAACCCCGTCTCTACTAAAAACACAAAAAGTTAGCCGGGCATGGTGGCGGGCGCCTGTAGTCCCAGCTACTCGGGAGGCTGAGGCAGGAGAACGGCGTGAACCTGGGAGGCGGAGCTTGCAGTGAACCGAGATCGCGTCACTGCACTCCAGCCTGGGCTACAGGGCGAGAATCCATCTCAAAAAAAAAAAACAAACAAAAAAAGAAGTAGTTTATAAAATATAGGTAGATGATTTTGAATAGGGAGTTACTTTGGTACTTGGAATGTTTATGATTCAGGACAGGCAAGACCCCAAATTGGGACTAAGCCTGGGAGGGTTCTCGGCTTTGCCTAGGAAAGAATTCAAGGGCAAGGCAGTGGTATTAAACAGCAACGATTATTGAAACAGCAGTGTACAGCAGCAACAGAGGTCCTGCTCCTTGCAGAGCAGGCAGTGTGCCCAGAGCAGCAGCTCAAAGGCAGTCTGCACTCACATTGATACCCACTTTTAATTATATGCAAATTAAGGGGCAATTTATGCAGAAATTTCTAGGAAGAGGGCGGTAACTTCTGGGTCATCTGGTCATTGCTGTGGAAAGGGGTGGTAACGTCTAGCTGTTGCCATGGCAATGGAAAACACGTGGCACACACTGGTGGGTGTGTCTTATGGAAAGCTGCTTCTGTCTCGGCCCTGTTGCAGCTAGTCCTCACTTTGGTCCTGTATCCAGGTCCCACCTCTTACCTCAGTTAGGGACTATTAATTGAGTGCCAATGATGTGTCTGGCCCTAAAATAAGTTCTGAAGAGGTTCAGAGAATAATACACAGTATATGTTCTCAAGAAACTTCTATTTTAGGTAGAGGAAAACCAAAATATAAAGCTTAAAAAGAACCGGAGAGCTATTTGATGCTAAATTATGTTTGGAAACTTACGTGCAGTGGGAGTTTGAAGAGGAATTCTTAGGTATGTTTGGAAAAAGTTTCTAGCTGTAGGTAGAATTTGAGTTTTGCCTTAAAGAACTGCAAATAATTCATTTAATTTAGTAATTTAAAAAGTGAATAATGGGTACATGCTACTTCCCAGGCACCGTGCTAAGCATTTACATGAATTATCTTATTCTCGTAATATATTTTTGAGCTATGCATTATTATTATCTCTTTTCAACAGGTAGAAAAACCAAGGCTTATCAAACTTAAAGGAATTTGTCAAAAGCCACGCAAGTTACTAAGTGGTGAAGCCAAACTCAAAAGCAGAGCTGTATGGCTCTTGAGCTGGGCTTGTAACCACTATCTGTAGGACCAGAGTCGGCAGCAGAGAGAGGCCAGAGCGTGGCAAATGTATTTCTTGAATACTGAGTAAGTGGCAGGTTATGCTGAGTAGATATTTGGTTGGAAAGGTGAATTGGGGCCCAGTTCAATTTGTCAGGGGTCTTGACTACCATTTCATGGAATTTAACTTTATTTTCTGGACGCTGGAGAGTCCAGAAGGTTTTTGAGGCAGGGGATACAATGTTGGAAAGCATTTTCTAGGAAACCGTAAAGGCCGGAGATAGGGGAACCAGGTAAAAAGATATCTCAGTGGTCAAGGCATGAAGCTTAGGGGCCTGAGAGAGGCGGGTGGAACGGAAAATGGTGGGGAAAGGTGTCATCGGCACCTTGGAGAAGAATCTTCTTTATTTCTAGAGACAGCAGGGATGTGAGAATGGACAGTAGGCCGGGCGCAGTGGCTCACGCCTGTAATCCCAGCACTTTGGGAGGCCGAGGCAGGCGGATCACGAGGTCAGGAGATCGAGACAATCCTGGCTAACACGGTGAAAACCCGTCTCTACTAAATACAAAAACAAAAATTAGCCGGGCGTGGTGGCGGGCGCCTGTATTCCCAGCTACTGGGGAGGCTGAGGCAGGAGAATGGCATGAACCTGGGAGGCAGAGCTTGCAGTGAGCCGAGATCGCGCCACTGCACTCCAGCCTGGGAGGCAGACGGAGACTCCATCTCAAAAAAAAAAAAGAGAGAGCGGACAGTAATAGCTCGGGGATTATTTAGGTTTGATATCAGTTTGAACTTCCTTACATTACCGTGAGGAAGGGAGGTTTTGGAGTTCAGAATGTATTAATACATTCTTCAGAGACTTTTAAGGAAAAGGCAAATTGTGATTTTTTTCTGACACGGTTTAAGTTCTGTCTACATTAGTTCTAGGCTTGTAAGTATTGTATGACCTTTGACTCAATTCAGTTCTGGATATAATTTAGTTTAGGCCCTGTGACTAAGCTGTTTTATATGGCTTATCTAAGAGCTACCGAGATAAAGGATTTACATAAGTATAGTCTTTCATTCTAATGTTGGACTCTGGTAATACTTCTCAGTATGCCAATAAACCTTATTTCCCGTTCCCCTGCCTTCTTTTCTTTAGTATTAATGATAGCCACTAGGTTGGGTGCAGATCTCAAGGCCGTTCTCTACTGGATGAGATTCTCTCCAAGTCTCAGATGAGAAACTTCCATAAATCCTTTCCCTAGGCTTCCATAACCCTATGGTTACACCTAACCCATGTCCTCAAATCCCATATTAGCATTACATGCAAATGACAGCACTGGGGAGAAGCAGGGAGTGAATCAGAGCCTGTTGATGGCTCTGTTTTGATTACAGCCATGGGTTTGCTTAAGAAAGATATTGTGCCTTCATTGTGACTGGCATCAAAGGTATGTGAAGATACTACCTAAGCTAGGTGTGAGAAGCCCAAATACATTATTACTAATGATTTTCATAAGGGCTAAAGAGTTTAGGCCAAAAATAATTAAAGAGAACAATAGTGCTGTCAATAAAACTCCTCAATAATGAGATAGTAATTAATGGACGAATGGCCTCATTGTTCTTTTTGGCTCTAGGCATTAAGCATCTCATTTTAAAAGTTGTGGTAAGTAGTGCAATATTGCTCATTTATATTTTTATTTAGTACTGTTAATTTATTTCACTTTTTATTTAATCTTAAATCTTTTATTTTAATATAAAAATTGGAATGATCCTCTCCTTTCCCCCCATTATAAACTTTACAAGCAAGAGTGGTTTTGGTGCTTTGGAACTTTCTCAGTTCACTCCCTATGATAGGTCCTGTAATCAGGCTCTTACTACATGTTTTGATGGTGTTATTGATGATCATGATGAGTTTCAGGTGCGTTTTTGTTGCCTAATAATACAGATTCTCTGGTGTTCTCTATGACTTCATTGTATGGGGTCAGCCTGGCCAGTTCTCCTCATGGCCCTTTCTCCCTTTAAGCCCCAGAAGCCATCGGGAAAAGCCTTTCACCTTATTTTTTCAGCAAAGCCTGCAGGATGCCATGGGGGGATACTCTTACAGGACTATTCTAGGCAGCAAGTTTTCTTCATACAGTGGTTCAGAGATTTTGGATAAGCAATAAGAATGGTTCTGCTGGGCCCACTGGTCATAACTTGTCTAATTAATGCATGTCCCATTACTTTTGATATGTCTCCCTTCTCCCCAGGAAACATCAGATGCTTGCAAACCATTTTCCATATCACAGAGCACCGGGCCCTGGAATCTTTCTTGGGCCCCTTCTTAAGACTAGATTGCTCAAAGAGTTGTAGGCCAAGGAATGAATGTATCCTGTGTTGCACAAAATACATTTAGATATTTATCAAGACTTAATTTAATGAACTTTTCCTCCCTTGCTCCAACTTTACTTTGTAACCCTCCTCCTGAAGAAAAGGTGCCAACATTCCACTTTAAGTCTAAGCTGAAATCATAGATGATCCTAAGTGTTTTAGAAGTAAATTAGTGACTCAAGTCCCACCAGTTTTCCTCTGTCTTCCAAATGACACTTTTTCCTGAGGCTTCCGATTGGATCCAACGTGACTGGGGCTTTTAGCCCCCTTCTTAGGCTCCTCAGAGTCCATGCTGAGAATGACTCAGCCAATTTCAGAGATATGGATTCCTTTTGAAGACCCCTGTTTCATCTTTGACTTTTATAGGAAAGGTTGGATTGGATGGGCTGGCTGTTCTCTGTGTGGGCACTTGAAAGGTAAGGCCTTCGAACTTGGCCTTCGGGTGTGTTCAGGGCCAGGGACTTGTACACAGAGGAAGTCTGGATGTGCTTTTTAAATCTTAGCACTGTGACTTGAGTTTTGCCATTTCACCTTGCAGTGTTTGGGAATCGTGTCGTAGATTGTTGACCTAGCCTTGACACTCAGTGGTTGTTGAGGAGTGAGGAGGGTGTGGCTAGGGGGCGGAGGTGGGAATGTTGGTTGAGAAAGACTACCAAAATGTTAGTGTGTTGAGAAGTAACAGGAACAGTGCTTGGGCATGGAAAAGTTTGGCATGACAGCCTCTTCCTACAGAAACTTTCCCAGAAATTTCTCAGGAGGAAGGAGTTGGCTCAGGGTTTCCAATGGATTATCTTTGGCTATGATGCCCAAAGAATCTTGACACTAAGGATTTATAGCTTTTACTAGTTCTGAATATTAAGAAATAGTAGAGTCCATTAAAAATGCTTGGAGTTTGTTGATATGTTGGGGGCTGGTCATTTCCTCCTTGAACTCTGACCTGCTAGAAGCTCTAATGAGTCATGAATGGGCTAATGAGTTGTCACCTTTAGTTTATATTTAAATACTACCTTAGAGATGTGAAAACTTGAACCTGACTCTCATAGCTTCATTATGGACCCACAAATGTAACCGACTGGATGGATGGTTTCCACTGAGATTTTGGCCTGGTGTAATTCGGCTGCTGCTTGAGGCTATTTTTGGAGGCTTTTGGAGTATCGTAGGAGTACATCTATCCAGTGTCTTTGTTTTTTTTTTTTTTTAATTTTTATTTATTTATTTATTTATTTTTGAGACAGAGCCTCGCTGTGTCACCCAGGCTGGAGTACAGTGGCGCAATCTCAGCTCACTGCAAGCTCCGCCTCCCGGGTTCACGCCATTCTCCTGCCTCAGCCTCCCCAGTAGCTGGGACTGCAGGCTCCCGCCACCACGCCCGGCTAATTTTTTATATTTTTAGTAGAGATGGGGTTTCACTGTGTTAGCCAGGATGGTCTCGAACTCCTGACCTCGTGATCCACCCACCTTGGCCTCCCAAAGTGCTGGGACTACAGGTGTGAGCCACCGTGCCTGGCCCAGTGTCTTTATTTTTATTTTAAAAGATATTACAGCACTCCTGTCTTCTGCCAGTGCTTTGCTAAGTTGTGGGATAATAAAATGGACACAGCTAGATGGGAAGGGTCACTGCTCTGCCCTGACTCAGCTCCATTCCCCAGGACAGGGAGGCCACGTCCCAGGAATATTTCTTATCTCCTGCTCTCAGCTGTGCGGTGAAGAGGGAAGGCAGATCTTTCCTGAAAGGATCAGGTGGCAGCTGGATGGAGAGTGGTGGGCTTGGGTCACTAGAAGAGAGCTGGGGCCCAACGAAAGGAACGCGTGCCTGCAGGGCAAACTGCATTTTAAACTCTTCTCTTTCAGGGCCTAAAAGTTGCTTTTGTCAAAAATCCTCTTTTCTGTGCCAAACCTGAATAGCAGAGATGAAAGCACGCTACAGCTGTTGGAGGGGTGTAGGTCTGCTGCAGAATCAGAGTCTGTGTTGGTTGTTACACTTGGTGTGGGAACTGGGTTCTCCGATGCTGACTGCAAGAGAGGAGATGTTTGGCGAAGGATTGTGCTAGTCCAGAGTTCCTCTGTCAGATCATAACAGTAGCCTCCATTTGTATGGCCTTTGCAGTTTATAATAGTGCCTATACAATAAAATATGTCAAATATTACATTGTCATTTTCGTAAGTTTCTATTTTCTGATGCAGTTTCAAAACCTTGTTCTGGTACCCATCTTATTAAGTAGGCAGAAGAGATCCTGCAGTTTAAAAATAGATACTTTAAAATTCTGTGCTTTGAAATAATCTTGGTAAAATTCGACACTGCAGCTTATTGACCTTATTTTTCTTTCTGTAGAGAGAATGATGATTTTTGACCCTGTAATCCTGAGCTTAGAACCTAGGGAGAAGAGGAAGCATTTATTTGTTTTTGCACTTTGTTTTGTACCACATTTGGTAGGTTGTTACCAGCTGAGGAAGTAAATTGACTAATCAGGGGAAACCCAAAGCACTATTGATATCTATCTCTAGGCGTAATGGTTGCAAATTCTATAAAAAGGCCTCTCTGCTTCTCATGTGGTCAATAAGGAAATGGCTCATGGAAAATGAGAAAATACCTGAACAGCTGGCTGTAAATCTGAGTTCTCTGCCCACGGGTGTGGCTTGGCTCAGTTCTTTGGACTTGGTAATGGGGTCATTATTTCTGTATTCGATGGATTTCAGAATGTCATGTTATTTCAGCCCAAGCGGTTCCCCAGGAAACACAACTATTTGCCCTCTTCTTCCCAGCACTGAAACTAGAGTGCCT
This sequence comes from Homo sapiens, assembly GCF_000001405.40. NCBI lineage: Eukaryota > Metazoa > Chordata > Mammalia > Primates > Hominidae > Homo > Homo sapiens. The sequence goes on from NC_000011.10 coordinate 129,418,474, forward strand.
TCTTTCTCCCAGTCAGGGAGAAACCTCTCCAAATAGGGCTTCCTTTATCTTGTAGAAGTTGCTTAGCTTTTCTGTATGTGGGAACATACATAGCTTTTTTTAGTGTATACATTTCTACAGTTTGAAATTTTCTACATTGAAACATATTGTTTCCTATTGGGAAGAAGTTGATGTGATCTCTATCACGAATGAAAACATATCCTTTATACTGCCTTTTTCTTTTGGGAATTGGGTACCCTGTCATGAGAATTACGGGGGCCTATTCTCAAGTAGTATAACGAACGCCTGGCATAGCTCATTATTAACACACCCTACAAGGTTTTAACTATGTTGGAATGCACATCAACTGCCTGGAAGACAGAATGTCAGAAAGGAAAGTCTCTGGTAAGTTGTACAGAAAGTCCTCAAACAACATCGTTTCATTCAATGTTGTTTCATTATAACGTTGATGAAAAACATTAATCTTGGCCTGGCCACTGTCCGTGTGGAGTTTGCACGTTCTCTCCATGTCTGCGTGGGTTTTCTCTGGGTCCTTCAGTTTCCTCCCATGTCCCAAAGCTGCGCACATGAGGTGAACAGGCGTGCCTACATGGTCCCTGTGTGAGTGAGTGTGGGTGTACATGTGAGTGCGCCCTGTGTTGGGGGGTGTCCTGTCCAGGGCCGGCCCCCGCCTGGCACCCTGAGCTGCTGAGAAGCTTCTGGCCACCTGCACCCCTGAACTGGAAAAACTGGGTAAATACTTACCCTACTTCATTTTATTAATCATTCTTCAATGTTTATGTAGTTCATATTTATTTCAGTGTTTCATATTAGAAATCTCTTGGCCTTTGTTTGGAAGTTTGATGTTTTTGTCGCTAGAAACGTGCTGTAGGAACTTCACTCTTGTTTATATCAATTGGCCTGTGGGAAAATTGGTTTCTTATATTGGTTTCACTTAAAGCCGAAGTTTCCAAGAACCTTTCTATAATATTAAGTGAGGACTTTATTTTAGAATTGTGGGAGGTAGCGTGATATATACTTAAAGGAGGATGGCCATGAATCCAACAGACTTCTGCTCAAATCTCAGACATGTGACCTCATCATGGGATAGTTTCTGTGTGGAGTGAAGGATGTATGTGCAAAGTCCAGCCCCTAGTGGTGCCCAGTGAGTGTTCCTTCCTTTTGTCCCTCTGTCCTTGGCCTTGAGACTTGTGGGGGAATCTAAAAGACACCAGGCTGATTTAGGTCTTGTGGAGCCTCTCTGCTTGTGGGCGGTTGACTCTTCCTGAGGCCCTCACCACAGGTGCAGCATTACTGGCAATATTATTATTATTATTCTTGTTTTTGAGATGGAGTCTCACTCTGTCGTCCAGGCTGGAGTGCAGTGGCACAATCTCGGCTCACTGCAGCCTCCGCCTCCCGGGTTCAAGCGATTCTCATGCCTCGGCCTCCCAAGTAGCTGAGATTACATGCATTAGCCACCACGTCTGGCTAATTTTTGCATTTTTAGTAGAAATGAGGTCTCACCATGTTGGCCAGGTTGTTCTCTAACTTCTGACCTCAGGTGATCCGCCTGCATCGGCCTCCCAAAGTGCTGGGATGAGCACAAAGGCATGAGCCACTGCACCCGGCCTATCAATATTATTTTTTAGTGAACAAATCAGTGTCAGTGTTGTGGGCCTTTGGGTTGTAACGCAATCCAAGGTCTACTGTTCCTTTCCCCCCTCCTCCTAAACATGTATTAGCCAAATTTGGGGAAATTTTCCAAGCAGAAGCTTTTTGGATTGGCTGTTAATACATCACATCATTAGCTGTGAATCTTGGATACACTCAAGCTCTCCCAAAAATAGACCACATGAAGGAGGAAAATAAGAACCCGAGGCCATGCAAGCACTCAGTATTTGGTGGCTCTTGCCCAGAAAGGCAATACAGTGATGTGAACAGAACACTCGTTTTCTCTCCTCTGGAGGCCTGAGCTCTGTTTCTAGTTCGGACCTCAGCTTTCTTCTGTGTGACTTTGTTTAATGCCCTCTGCCTCATCCATCAAAGACTGGATTAGAAAAAATAATCTCTCTTCTGTTATTTAGTGTGTTATTAGCTATAAATCACCTAATCTCAAAGTCTTAATTGTGCATGGTGCAAATATAGTCTTTTGCCTTTCGTAGTTACAGTCTGGATCACCCATGGGAATATCAGGTAAGTAAATAGTTTATAGTTTATTACTTCACCTCCTTGTGAACTGAGATGATTGAGCAGAGCTGGAGAAGTTGATATGCATGCATTAATATTTTGTTCTTTGCACACGTATTCAACTAATATTTGTTCAGTTGATACCCTGTGCAAAGTACAGGAAGAACACTGTGGGAGATAGAAGTAAAAGGCAAAAACTTTAAATGTGGTTGAGAAATATTAGAGAGACATATTGTTTCCTAGTGTAATATTAGTCATAAAATCATTGTACCTTGGTACCAAAAAGGGACCTTCAAAATCATCTCATTCCCTCATTTACGGATGAGGAATATTCAGAGCAAGAAAGACCTCACTGTGGCCCAGAGGCTGAGCAAGTTTAACGGGGTTGTCAAGGCCAGAGTTCAACCTTCATAGACAGGATTTGGCTCCGTGCAAGGGAAGAGAAAGGCCTTCTTGCTGTAGGGAGCAACTGTCTTTGGTCCTGGTAGCCAGTTGGATACCGTGGTTTGCGAACCGATGTGCATTGTGTTGCAAAATCTTATTGCTGTTATTCCTGTGGTTACCCCTTATTATAGTAGTGTCTTCAAGAGGAAGACTCAAACATGAGTAAATATTGATGTCTCATGTAAAAATTTTCCCTCAACTGTTTGGGGATGCACTGGCTGCCATTTATTCTTAACAGCTTAAATAAAAGAGAAAGGGAGAGGAACTCTCATTCTATCCAACAAAATCCTTCCATCAAACACAGAGCTTCCCTTTCCTCCTTACTTCAACAGGTAGATTCCTTCAAAGTTGGAATCCTTTTTGTAACATAGTTTGATGACCCCTGTGTGCATTGGATGCATAATCACTAAGGATACACATCTATTAGAAATGAATAGAATACCAAAAAGAGAAAATCAATGGGATTCCATAGAAGTCATATAACTGACTGCGTGAGATGGAAACATCCTGATGGAAATGCCTGTATGATGCCAGTCATCACAGTAATGGGAAATCTTCCGATCACTGACTATATTTTGGGGGCCTTGCCAGACACTGGTTTGTTTGCAGGTGCTCCGGTTTAATGACTTGCCTTCATGTTCCAGCAACGAGCTCTTCCTGCTTGTCCTTACTCTGTGGAACCAATTCCAACATCAGAAGTTGAAATGAGGCACAAATGCCTTTTCCTCTATTTTCTCTACTCCTCAGGTTTTTGGTTTTACTTTTTTTTTTGGACAGTTATAATTTGGCAAATTTGTATACTTTTATACTGGCATATCTTAAACTTTTACCTGTTGCTTTATATCATTCAGTTTGGATCACATTGGAATCTCAGCTAACCTCATTCTTAGAATGTCAGTTAAATGCCACTCTTTCATGAGAATCCTGATGGCCTATACTTGGTTAGATCTTCCTGAATACTCTTTTTCCTCCCCTTAGAGATGGGGTCTTGCTCTGTTGTCCAGGCTGGCCTCGATTGCCTGGCTTCAAATGATCTCCTGCCTCATCTTTCCCAAGTGCTAGCTTTACAGACATGAGCCACTGTGCCCAGCCCCTCAACACTCTTTATAGCACCTGAACTACTGCTTTTTAAATCATCTGCCATCCTGGCTAGACCCTACGCTGGACAAGGACCTGGTCTGTCTTTTATGCATTTATTTAATTAAATTTTCTTCCTTTTCCTTTTTTTAGAGATAGAGTCTCACTCTTGACACCCAGGCTGCAGTGCAATGGTGCAATCGTAGCTCACTGCCTCCTCCAACTCCTCGGTTCAAGTGATCCTCCTGCCTCAGCCCCCCAAGTAGCTAGGACTACAGGCACACACCACCACACCTGGCTAATTTTTAAAATTTCCATTGAGATGGGGTCTCACTATGTCGCCTAGGTTGATCTCGAATTTCTGGCTTCAAACGATCCTCCTGCCTCAGCCTCCCAAAGTGCTGGGATTACAGGCGTGAGCCATCGTGTCCAGCCAGGACATGGTCTTCTCGTGTATTGTTTTATCCCCAGTTAGTGTGTAGATCTCTTGTGTGTACAGTAGGGATTCCACAATTTATTTAGTTGAATTGGATTTTATTCTCTTTTTTTTTTTTTTTGAGATGGAGTTTCACTCTTTTCGCCCGGACTGGAGTGCAATGGCACCATCTCGGCTCACGGAAACCTCTACCTCCCAGGTTCAAGTGATTCTCCTGCCTCAGCCTCCCAAGTCATAGGCATTACAGGTGCCCATCACCACACCTAGCTAATTTTGTATTTTTAATAGAGATGGGGTTTCACCATGTTGGCCAGGCTGGTCTCAGACTCCCGACCTCAGATGATCCACATGCCTTGGCCTCCCAAAGTGCTGGGATTACAGGCATGAGCCACCCTGCCCAGCCAGATTTTATTCTCTTTTATCTCCCTTTGTTTTTAATTCTTTGCAACTAAGTCAAGCCATAGAGAGATTTAAGTCAGGATTAGAATGTGTAGGGAGAAGAATGAAATCAGATTGGATTTTTTTTTTTTTTCCCAAGACGGAGTCTTGCTCTGTCACCCAGGCTGGAGTGTAATGGCGTGATCTCAGCTCACTGCAACCTCCGCCTCCCAGATTCAAGCAGTTCTCCTGCCTCAGGCTCCCGAGTAGCTGGGATTACAGGCACCTGCCACCACGCCCGGCTAATTTTTGTATAATTAGTAGAGACAGGGTTTCACCATGTTGGCCAAGCTGGTCTCGAACTCCTGACCCCTTGATCCACCCACCTTGGCCTCCCAAAGTGCTGGGATTACGGGCTTGAGCCACTGCACCCGGCCCAGATTGGATTTTTAAAATTACATATTTTTTTGCATGTAATCAGGAACTTGCCTGTGGACCCAGGGGGCCACATGCAGAAAGGTAATCTCCAGTGGCTTTTTCTAGTAACTGGGTCCAGTGCCCTGACATTGTGCACATCTCCCCAGCATGCCTGGTGGAGATTCCTAAACCAGGGCTATAGTCCACTTCCAGGGCCATAGTCAGAGAAGGGGAGAAAGTTTCAAAACTTATGTGAAAAGGCTAATGAGTAACCTCATTGAATGTTTATCATTCTTGAAATTCTCTTTGGCCATTTTACTAGTCCTGTACTCTCTGGCTTGTGCTGCTGCCTCTTATGCTATATAATGCCTGTCTCTTCTATTGATGATTTCCTCTTCCAGCCCTGTTGATGAAGATGTACTCCAAGGTCCAGTCCTTCATCCTCTGTTTCTTTCTCTCTCTCTCCTTTTTTTTTTTTTTGTTGAGATGGAGTCTCACTCTATTGCCCAGGCTGGAGTGCAGTTGGCTCACTGTAACCTCCACCTCCTAGGTTCAAGCGATTCTCCTGCCTCAGCCTCCCGAGTAACTGGGACTACAGGTGCCTGCCACCATGCCTGGCTAATGTTTGTATTTTTAATAGAGACAGGGTTTCACTATATTGGTGAGGCTGGCCTCGAACTCTTGACCTTGTGATCCTCCCACCTTGGCCTCCCAAAGTGTTGGGATTACAGGCATGAGCCACTGCGCCCAGTCCATCCTCTTGTTTCTTAAATCTTTCTTCTTGGGAGATGAATTCTGCTTTCAACCCTTCAACTTTGGTTTTGAGTGAATTTATGCATTCATCTCAGAGCCCTTCTGGGGAGCATCAGCTTGTGACTGTCTCTGACACTTGGATGTGTGATTGTCACTTCAAACTGTAAGCCTCATGTTTTCTCCCAAAACATTCCCACGTTGCAGACATCAGATTTCTCTCAATGGCCCTAAATCCAGCAGTCACCTCGAGCGTCTTGAGTCTTCCCCTTCCTGTGTGTCTGCCTGTCTTCTCCCCACCCTGCAGGTTGTTTCCAGATACTACTGGATTTTCCTCGACAATGCCTCTGGAATCCATCCCTTCCTTCCCCTCTTGGAACTCAGTTCCTGCTCTTTTCACAGCTCACCCTGTCACCAGGCACTGTACTCTCTAGAATTCCTACACTTCCTACACCACTCAGCCTTTGCCACATGTTTCTTCATTTCCCTCTTTACCTTTAAATAATTAGTTTTTTTGAGGGCAGAGATCAGGAATTGCTTCTCTTCTTGTCTCTACCAGTCAGCACAGAGCTGAGTAGCTGTTCAACAGAGTTCCCTAATGATGATGACAGTGAACCAGAGGATTCCTCCCAGGAAATTTTGTGTGTGGACTTTGCCTCTGTGAATGCCAGGATGTCAGCTAGAAATGATTGAGCACAAGCTATGAGGCAGAGGGATGGATGAGGTTAGCACAACAAAGCAGTGTTGTGACTTCTTAGTGAATAGAGACATCTTTACAATATGGAACATTCACTGGATCTGCTAAGTTGGGTGATTGAAAAAAATCAGTGCCTTTTTTGGAATAGTTCTTCATTGTCTTTCATACTCATTTGCAATGTTATCCCCCAACAAGCTTGTAGAGAAGTATTACTATTGCCTTTTTATAGAAGAGAAAACAGAAGCTTCGAAATATGACCAAGGTCATAGAGCTCAAAGGTGTCAGAACCACATCTCTAGCCCTGAAATCCTGATTCCAGGTAAAATCAATTCAACAAAGCATGGAGTTAAGCACCAGGAAGATGGAGTTTCAAATTTTTTTCCTAAAGAAGTTTTCAATCTCGTGAGAAACAGATGGGTAAACAACATAACTCCTAATTCAAGGTTTGAATTAAGTAAGAGTGAATCAGGACACAAACAGAATGTGTGGGTGCATGAAGGTAGGAGTGAGTGATTCTGTCTTTGTACTAAACAGCAGCTGTTCCTGGCAGCTTTCCGTCAGGGAGTGCTTGTGAAGCATGGATGAAAGCAGGTGTGGGTGTATATGGAAAACAGCATGGCCGGGAGGAGAAAGACCACACCATGTCCATGTGCTAACTGGCCAATGGAGGTGAAGGGTGGTGGAGGCTGCGGGCTGGATGATGACTGAATTAGGTGATGTGACATTTTAGGCAGCATGAGAAAGTCTAGAAACCTACCTGTTGGGCTAGCTTAATCGATCTCACTTAGCTCCAGCATTGCTGAGTGGTTTTGTGGGTGTCTACATTTCTAGTGATATTGCAGGGATAAGGTGATAAGACTTGGCTTGTCTCTGCAAAGTGAAGAATATGAAAAGAAGGTGTGAAGCAATCAGGCTTCCAAGGTCTCTCTGATGTCCTTTGCTTATTTTCCAAACTTTCTTCATTTTTCTAAATCTCCCCAATCTTTTCTCCCCACTCCACCTCTCTGCCCTTTATTTTTAAACCTTTGTAAACTTCTTAAGTTTTTATTTAACTGGAGGGTTATTCCAGAGTCTCTATCATGGTAGTCTAATATGGATTTTAGAATAAATTTATTCCGTGTTTCTAATTCATTTACATTTAACTCACAAAATGCCCTTCCTCCTTTTTTTTTTTTTTTTAATGAGGTAGTTAATGTTGCTAAGACATTTTGTCAGCCTTTGAGTTGGCCTCTTAAAACATTTTCTGTTTTCTTCAGTCACACAAAACTGGAATCTGTAGAGAGTGCATCTGTTTCATTCACTCTTGCTGGACTAGAAACTTGGTGAATCACAGTTAAAAGGCTACTCAGAATCTCTTTGTATTTCCTCCCTCCCTCTGTCCTCCTCTCTCCTAGGCTTACAGATTATGCGTATGGGGACACGGTCATGGAACTTTCACATCTGGTGACCACCAACACTCAGCTCGCTCTCAGCATAAGACAGGGCAAAGTAACTTACTTTAACCACCCTGTATCTGTTTTCCATGCTGGTTTTTTTTTGTTTTTTTTTTGAGACAGAGTCTCACTCTGTTGCCCAGGCTGGAGTGGAGTGGCACAATCTCGGCTCACTGCAACCTCCATCTATCGAGTTAAAGCAATTCATCTGCCTCAGCCTCACAAGTAGCTGGGATTACAGGTGTGCACCACCACGCCTGGCTAATTTTTGTATTTCTAGTAGAGATGGGGTTTCACCATGTTGGTTGGCCAGGCTGGTCTTGAACTCCTGACCTCAGGTGATCCTCCCACCTCAGCCTCCCAAAGTGCTGGGATTATAGGCGTGAGCCACCACACCTGGCCCCGCTGCCTGCAGTTTTTAGAAATTGGCTTTGGTTCTGTCTTGTGACCCCCAACTCCATCCTTCCTTGCCTGTTACTAACCTTGAGAAGGGCTGTGCCTTGGGACCCTCAAACTTTTCTGTGGATTTTTTTTTTTTTAACAGATCTACTAAACCCAAGTAACTATTTGGGGAGTGTTGGTAGTTTTAGGAAGATGTCCAGCCAGGTGAGCCCTTCCTCTGACTTCTCTGAGCTCCCTGGTTGCTGTCAGTCTCGGTATATGGCTGCAAGGGCATTGGAAGACTTCCATTGAGCAAAGAGAAACTGGCCGACTCTGCTACTGCTGAATCTTGCTTTGCATGTGAATGCACAGATGATAAGAAGATACGTATGCATGCTTCACAAGTAGGTGTGCTTTCTTGATAAGAAAATTAATCTACTTTAATTTGGCTCAATCACTGAGCATTATGAAACTAAGTGAAGGGAGAGAAAGAAAGGGAACCAAGTGCCCCCTGGGCACTTCACATACATTAATGCCGTTAATCCTCACGATAATCCAGGAGGGAGAACTGTTATTGGCCTAACTTTATAGGACATTGAAATCAAGAAAGACTTGGTAACCTGCTCACTGTGTGAGTCAGGAATAGAGGCCTTATTTTTTCCACTACCTCAAACTACCAGCCAGTTGGTAGGAACGGGAGCTTAGGGGAATACTTCGGTGTGGGTGATTTTATGTTTTTTTTCTAGGAAACTCAGCTATAGCTGCCCAGTTATCCATGGCGTACATCTTCCAGGTTATCTGCATACTTCTGGACCAGTGTCTTTGTGTGTGCGTTGTTTATGTCCCTCTGAAGCTTTCTGTGTATATATAGGTCACACATTCCTGCAATGTAAATCAGTCAAGCAGGCAGCTTAGAAATTCTTATCCATTCAGACCTTTGGCCTTTGCTTGTGTAAACTGGAAATGTGGGTGTGGAGAGTCAATGTGGGGACTAGAATGTTGGAAGAATAGAAGAGAAGCCCACAGGAGGTGTGTGAGGGCAGAAACTGTACTTGGGGGATTTTGCCCTGAGGTTCAAGTATGGCTGTAGCTGCGGGGACCTGGCTTCTGCCATGAAGGAGGACTTAGATGGAGGAGCTGTGCCAAGAACCAGCAACCCTGGAGTGGGTACATGCCTGGCCCAAGCATGTTCACATGCACGAGTTCACTGACAGCTTTCAGAACCAGCATGACTGAAAATACTCTGTTTAGCCTACCAAATGTTCCACATCTCCCCAAGCTCCCAGGATGTCTCCGGCACCCACCAACCACTCATGTACTCAGGTTTTCCAGAATCCAAAAACAGATTCTCAAAAAGGCCGAACATTTGGCAGGGAAGTATTTCTAGGTAAATGATATGCACAGTTATGTGATCTCCATCCCAGAGGGAAACATTGGCTAAGAGGATTGGTTGAAGAAAAACAACTATTAGAAAATGTGTTCAATGGGGTCATGTTTATGCTCCTTCTGTCAACTAAAACTGTGTGTTTAAACAATGTCTTTGGTTTATTACAGTCATCACACTGTCAGTAGCAGATAATGTGCTTGAATTTCACAAGTGTATGTAAATGATCTAGGGTAGCAGGGCAGCTGTCCCCAGTCAACGTTTTCACATTGTGATAATTCTCAGGAAAGAGAAAGACATACTTAAGAGTTGTACGTTATCTGTCTTCTCAGTAACCAAAGTGTCTCCTAATGTATGCATTAATTTATAATTTGGCACTGTTTTTAAAACCTGGGTTTGATTTTTAGTCAAAATACAGATTTATGGTGGGATTTATTTCACAGTACTTTTTTGCAAGAGTAGGAAATGTTGGAATGCAAGCGCTTTGTGAAATTAAAGCTCTGGGTCAATGCTACTTTGTTGGAAATCAAGTCATATATTAAAATTAGAAAAGACAGCAAGCAGCTGGCTCAAGTATATTTTGTCTCACTTTTCTGCTCCCCATGGGCTTGCTTTTCGGAGAGATCCAGTGGTTTGTAGCACACACATTACCCACCAACTCCCATTCCAGCCGTGCCTGTTCTTCTGAACTTTAGAGACACATATCAAATACCAAGAGCTCAAGACAGTGCCTCATTGCGATTCTATTTGTTGACAATGGTGATCCTTTTAAGATCCTGAAATGTTTCTCAGCATCACGGCAGCTTTGTGTGTGCGCCTCCAACTTCACGGGGGCGCTCTCAGCCAGTGGGGAAGAGTACACTCTTAGAGCGGAATTTGCATCAGAACGTTGGGTCAAGATTGCTGAAACAATGGACTTTGGTGATTAGGATGTTGCTTTAAGTCACTATTATTTATTAGAAGTTGTGTTTTTTTTTTTTTTTCATGAAGATTTTTCATTAGGTTTAAGCTTTATGGAACCAAATTGCCCAAATCTCTGGAAGTCATTTTTAAATAACCAGCAATTGCTTTTCAGCCTACTAAAGGATAGGATCATCAGTAGAATCATTTCTATAAATTAATCTATAAGGTTAGTGTAACTCTAATCAAGTTTTTAATGGGACTTGCTTTCTTTAGAGTCTAACAAGTTGATTTCTAAAGTTCAACTGGAGGCCGGGCATGGTGGCTCACACTTGTAATCCCAGCACTTTGGGAGGCTGAGGTGGAAGGATCACTTGAGGTCAAGTGTTTGAGACCAGCCTGGGCAACACAGGGAGACCCTGCCTCTAAAAAAAAATTAGCAGAGTGTGGTAGCATGTGCCTGTAGTCCCAGCTACTTGGGAGGCTGAGACAGGAGGATTGTTTGAACCTAGGAGTTCAAGGTTACAGTGACCTATGATTGCACCACTGTACTCCAGCCTGGGTGGCAGAGGGAGACCCTGTCTCTAAGGAAAAAAAACGGAAGTTCAACTGGAAAAATAAATTAATGTCAATAGCCAAGAAAATTCTGTAAGCAAAATAAAGGGGGGACTCGTTCTACCAGATAAGAAAACTCCCTAAAACCCCACAATCATTAAAGTGGAGTGATCCTATAATAGGATCATATATTAGTTCAGTAGAACAGGACAAAATCTGGGAATAGACCCATGTATACATAATATAACCCAACTATTTCTAGGGCCCCATATGGCCTAGTGGATGTAAATCAGAAATCTGACTGTGGAAGCCTTGAATATGAAGATCTTTATTTTACTTGTTCCTAAAGGAGTATATTCATGGATTTCACAAAGTATACTCCCTAAAATATTTTCCAGAAATCTTGTCTAAATAGCCTTCACTCTCCTGCAAGGTGCAAACTCACGGCAGCCTCTAAAAATGTGTCCCCATCTCTCTGGTCTTCGTGGTTTTCTAACTTTCTCTTCCCCCACCATTCCCTGCCCCCCATACATTGTGTTCCCAATTTGTGACCACCTCCACAGAGGGCAGCCCTTGGGAAGGGTAGTTTTTTTCCCCAGTTGGCTGCTTTTCTGGAGAGCGGGATATTCCCGGAATTCTGCTGATGGAAATTCCCCAGGAGACTCCCAGAATTCTGATGAGCAAAAATTCCCAACTTCATTTCTTTGGGAATTTACTGTATCTTAACCCTGCCATTTTAAGTCACTGAACTAGTCAATATATGGTGTTAGGGTTTTTGGCTATCCATTCAGAAAAAATGTGACATACTTATATTTTGTAAAATAACCATTTTGTAACTATATGTTTCAATAGATTAATATACATATTACTGGATTTAGGTCATATATATATATGTACATAGGAACAATTCTGTAAGTTTATCTCTAAGATTTGGGGTTGAAAGCAGTGAGGGGAGTCTTCTACTTTATGTAGTTTTGAATTGTTTTAAATTTATTTTGTAGCAAATGTGTGTAACATTTTAATTTTTTTTGAAATTTCCTTTTAATTTATATTTAGTAAAAATTCACTATTTTGGTAGAAGAGCAAGTTTTGACAAATGCAAAAAATTATATAACCACCACCGTGGTTAAGATACAAAACAATCTTAGCACCTCCCCTGGCATCTCCTCCAGTCCCAGCCAGTTCTCCTGTGCTTCCCCTTTGTGGTTAAGCTCTTCCCCGACCCTTAACCTCTGGCAGTCTATTCTCTATTCCTAGTTATGCCTTTCCTGTAATGTCCTATAATAGAATCATATAGCCTTTTGAGTCTGGCCTCTTTCACTTAAGCATAGTCATTTGAGATTCATCCACTATTCATCAAGTTTTTTGTTTTGTTTTATTTTTTTGAAACAGAGTCTTGCTCTGTCGCCCAGGCTGGAGTGCAGTGGCATGATCTCTGCTCTCTGCAACCTTCACTTCCCGGGTTCCAGCAATTCTCATGCCACAGCCTCCTAAGTAGCTCGTATTATAAGCACGCACCACCACGCCCGACTAACTTTTGTATTTTTAGTAGAGACAGGGTTTCGCCATGTTGGCCAGGCTGGTCTCAAAGTCCTGGCCTCAAGAGATCTACCACCTCGGCCTCCCAGTGTGCATCAATCGTTTTATTGCTTTATATTTCTGAGTAGTATTTCGTTGTGTGTCTGTACCAGTTTTTGTTTATCCATCCCCAAATGAGGGACATTTGGATTGTTTCTAGTTTTTGATAATTACTAATAATTCTGCTATAAACATCTGTATACAGGGTTTTGTGTTCTCTTTTCACTTGGGTTAATATCTGGGGGGTTTTGCTAGGTCAAATGGTAAGCGTTTGTTTAACTTTATAAGAAACTACTAATTCTCTTTCCAAAGAGGCCGTACCAGTTTGCATTCTCGCCAGCAATGAAGGAGAGTTCCAGTTGCTCCACATCCTCACCAGCACTTGATATTGTCAGTTCATTAAAAACGTCAACTGTTCTAGCAGCTGTGTAACAGTACCTCTCTGTGGTTTTTAATTTGCATTTCCTTCATTAGAATCTTTTCATGTGCTAATTTGCCATATGTAGAACCTCTTTGGTAAAGTGTCTTTTCAAAACTTTGGCACGTTGTTATAGGGTTATTTTTTAATTGTCAAACTTTGAGAGTTCTTTATATATTCCGGGTAAAAATCATTTGTCAGGTGTGAGATTTGTCAGGTCTCACAGTCTGCAGCTTTTTTCATTTTCTTAACAGTATCTTTTACAGAGCAAAAATTGTTAATTTTGATGAAGACCAGTTTTTTGCCTTTTTATTTTATGCATCATGCTTTTGGTGTCATGGCTAAGAATTCTCTACCTAACCCAGTGTCACAGAGATTTTTCTCTAATGTTTCTTTCTAAAAATTTTATAGGTTTGTGTTTCTACTGAAGGTCTATGATCCATTTTGAGTGAATTTTTAAAATAATTTATGAGGTCAAGGCTCTTATTATTTTATTTATTTTTATTTTTATTTTTATTTTTTGCATCTGGATGTCCAATTGCTCCAGCACCATTTTTTTAAGCAATTATTTTTAAAAATTTTTATTTTACTTATTATTTATTTTTTGAAATGGAGTGTTATGAGTGCAGTGGCATGATCTCAGCTCACTGCAACCTCCGCCTCCCGGGTTCAAGGGATTCTTATGACTCAGCCTCACAAGTAGCTGGGATTACAGGTGCGTGCCACCACACCAGCTAATTTTTGTATTTCTAGTAAAGACGGGCTTTCGTCATATTGGCCAGGCTTGTCTCGAACTCCTGACCTCAAGTAATCTGCCCACCTCGGCCTCCCAAAGTGCTAGGATTACAGGTGTGAGCCACCACACCCAGCCTCATTTGTTGAAAAGACTACTATTTCTCCACATTAAATGATGTTTCTTTTAAAAGAATGAATGTGATTCAAGAACCCAAACATCTTTTGACATAAAGGGAGAAAATTGACATAAAGCGAGAAAATTCTCTAGACCTTTGGATTCTGAATGGGCTAAAGAGCCCCCCTTTCCCAGGAGAACACCCACAATGTTTGTTTTACTAGAAGTGTCATAAAACTAAACACATTTTATACTCAATTTCTGGGATTTCTAGACTGATTTTCTTTGCCTAGCTTTTAGAAGAAGTTTTAACCACTCCTTGGGATCAAGGGTCAATGAAAGATTATTCTTTTTGACAAACTGAACATAAAATTAAACTTTAGAATGGGAATGAAACTTATAACTCATTTAATGTAACTTTCCTTTTTAAAAAATTTTAAAAAAAAGATACGCACCTGTGCAAAATGTGAACAATGCAGAAGTATCATCTAGATTTGGGGATGCCAAGGGACATGGGCTTTCCTACTGCTTCTCTGTCCCCTCCTCAGTGTCTTTGGCCGGCTCGTCTTCCTCTCTGTGACCTGAGATGTTGGCGTGCCCCAGAGTTCAGCCCTTGTATTTCTTCATTTTTTTATTCCACCCACTCCCTTGGTGATCTCATGCAATCCCATGGTCCAATATGCCACATAGACTCCCAGGAATTGTGTCTCTAACCCAACCTCTATCTGACTGACTCCTCAACATGTGCAAGATGTCTAATAGCAACTTACCTAACACAGAAATCATGGTTTTCTCACTTAATCCTGCTTTTTGCCCAGTCTTTCCCATCTTGGTAAAGGGCACCATCCTTCCTCCAGTTGCTAAGACCAAAACGTCAGGCCTCTCCTGGCAACTCTCTCTCTCATACCTGACATTCAGTCCTTCAACAAGTCCTCTCAACCTTAACTATAAAATGCACCCCCTCTCACTGCTGTAGCTGCTGCCTCTGGTCTACTGGCCTCCTCACTGGTTTCTCTGCTCCCACCCTGGCCCCTGCAGTCCAACCTCCTTAGGGATCATTTAAGACATCAGTCAGATCATGTCCTCCCTCAGCTCACATCTTGCCAATGGCTTTTTTAAAAATCACATTTTGAATAAAATCCAAGTGATTTGCCCTGACCTACAGGGCCCTGCGTAATCGGGCTCCAACAGATCTCTTCCCAGTTTTCTCTCCTGTGACTTCTGCCCTTGCCTACTCTGCCTTTCTGCTGGTCTTTCAACCCATGCTCATTCGGCCTTTAGGGCTTTGCCTGTGCTGGTTCTGGGGCTGGGGTGCTTGTCCCGTACCTTCTCCAGGCTCTCCTCTGCGTGGGGGTGCTTACCTGCAGAAGGGTCATCTTCCCACCATGGCCTTCCCTGACTCCTCATCCCCAATACTGCCCTCTGCCCCACCTGCCCCATCTTCACACTTTGCTGTATTTTTCATCATAGTTTATCACTACCTGGCACTATTTACATATTTACTTGTTTATTTGTTTGCTGTCTGCCTCCCCAAATGGATGTAAGCTCCATGAAGGTAGGACTTTATAGTATTCGTTGCTATCTCCCCAGCTTCCAGAGCGGAGTGTAGCCCATAGTAGATGCTCAGTAAATATTCATGGCTGGATTGAATGCAGGATTAGATGCAAATGTGTAGATTCCTTTTCACCCTGTTTTATTCCAAGCCCAGAGGTTATCACTGTTAACAGTTTGATAACTAGCCTTCTAGACTTTTAAAAATGCATTTATAAAGGCAGACAAAAAAAAAATCATAGTTTTAAAGAATAATACAAATGATTTTACATCATATTTTTCTCAATAATATATTAGGTATTTTCTCGTATTAGTTTATATATAGTTTATCCATCTATTCATCTCTCTTTCTCATCAGTTTATATGTTTTTTTTTAAGAGACAGAATCTCTGACTGGGCACGATGGCTCACACCTATAATCCTAACATTTTGGGAGGCTGAAATTGGAGGATTGCTTGAGGCCAAGAGTTCAAAACCAGCCTGGGCAACAGAGACCCTGTCTCTACTTTAAAAAAAAAAAAAAAGTAAGTAAAAAAAAAAAAAAAAAAAAAAAAACAGAGACACGGTCTCACTCTGTTGCCCAGGCTGGTCTTGAACTGCTGGCTTCAAGCAGTCCTCCAGCCTCAGCCTGCCAAAGTGCTGAGCCACCACACCTGAACTAGATAGTACTTTTTAATGGTTACATTGTAGTTCATACTATGGATGTACCACAATTTATTTAATTATTTTCCTGTTGAGAGATATTAATATATAGGTTATTTCCCCTGCTCATGATTATAAGCAAGGCTGCAGTGAATATGCTTGTATATAAATCTTTGTACGCATAGACCTCAAATTACGAAATTCCCTGTCAGTGACTTGGTAGATACTGCTTAATTTGTCCTCAAGGATTATACTGTTTTATACTCCCACCAACAATATATGAATGCCTATTTCCCCGTATGCTTGCCAATGCTAGATATTACCACACTTTCAAAATATTATTCAATGTTGGGTAAAAAAATATTTAACTCTCTTACAAAAGAGAAAGGTGATACAAAGCCTTCCTTACAGGTGGATTGTTAGTCATTTCCTATAATGATAAGCTTCTTAGTTTCTAGATTACACATTAGCCTGCTAAAGAAAGATAGTCTCTTTTGAAAGAAGTGACAGACTTAAAGGAGTAAGGTGATTTAAGATGAGAAACATCTTATGCCTTTTTAAGAAGCTTCCAACTTCTTTTCCAAGAAGTATCATTTCAGGATGTGTGCTGTGAGATCCAAACCACAAGCCCACATATCCTCATTTTCTTGCTCTAAAATATCACTCCCAGGTGATTTTTTTTTCTTAAAAAGAATCCACAGCACAAAACATCAAGTGTTGGAGTTGGCTGGAGAGTTAATGGAAGTTGTAGCAAGTGGTGATTTATTGTTATTTAACCACTTTGTGGTTTCTGCTGGGCCTAGCTAGAAGTGTACTCAAAGAATAAGAGAAGCTATTTGTTTTATCAACTGTGACTGGGGGCCAAACAAAGGCATGGGAAGGAATAAGAAGAGAAATGCCAACCCAGAGAAGAGAGCTGGAGCACAGGTAGTACCTGGATGCTTCTGTGATGTTAGTCGGTTTCAACTCAGAGCTAGTGTGAATGTTGGTTGGCTCAGATGCTGGCTGTGGCCTTGAAGTCACTTTTCAGGGCTGGACTGAGTCCCAAAGGGCAGTCCCTGGGTCTTCTCCATTTTCATCAGATATCAAATGGGGAGGATGAGAGGTCCTTTCGTGGCATCAGTATATTAGAGTTTGAAGGATTCTTTAGAATCAGCTAGTTTTCTTACTCACCTTATAGATGATGAAACTGAGAGATAAAATGATTCACATAGGTAATGATCCAGACATTTTAAGCTCTGTGTTGAATAATCAAAGGGAAAAGCTCTTTACTTGAACTTTACAGATTTAACAGATTGTTGGACAGAAAAGAACTCTTGCCTTGAAATTCCTAACGCAGGAGTGGCATATAACTGGTATGTATGCCACCATACCCTGCCCCGGCCACATGCCCATAGCAGACATTGTTAATCGACCCAGCACCTTTTCCTCAGCCAAGCTCTGGCCAGCCTGAGAATCCTCCTTAACATAGTGCTGGAGGCGCCAGTCATACCGATCTGAGCTTTCATGTGATTTAAAATCTGTTTGCCTCCCTCTTCTGAATGATGTATCCATGTGATTCATGATGTGCTGATAGCATGGGACTTCAAGTCAGAAGAACTTGGTTTGACTCCTCCATCTGCTGCTTCCTAGTTACGTTATCTTAGGCAACTCACTTAACCTTCCTGGGGCAATTTACTCCCTCTGAGATGAGAAAGTTGAATTAAATAATCCGAAAGCATCCTGTCAAGCTCTGAAAAATGCTATGCTTCAAGGTACACAGACTTCTCAGGAAGAATTCATAGCTACAAGCATGTCTTTTTATAAAGACCACAGGTGGTTCTCAGGAAGTTTGCATATTACAAATCTATTTCGGGTTTCTGAAATATGTGTCTCTAGCTTTTCCTGACTACTTCTTTTCATCTGCCTGGTCCCATGGACCAAGAATTTAGGGATTCCGAAGGGAGAGAGGGGAAAGATCTGCTTAAAACCAGAGGACTTGCAGGAACCTCTTCTGGGCCGTGGGCTTCATCTTCCCACACAGAGCAGAGCAGACCTCTGTGCCTGCCCTGCAGCTGTAGGTCTTGAGTTACCTCTCCTTCCCCTTCCTCCATCTGTACCTCCTTAAGAGCAGGGCCCTCCCTGTCAGACAGACCTCAGCCAGCGGCCCTCCGCAGGTCCTGGCCTGCTTCCCCACACCGTTCCCTGTGGTGACCTGCCTCCCTGCTTGTTTTCCAGGCTCCCCTTCCCTGCGGGCATATCCGCTCCTCTCGGTGATCACCCGCCAGCCCACTGTCATCTCCCACCTGGTCCCTGCCACCCCGGGAATCGCCCAGGCACTGTCCTGCCACCAGGTCACCGAGGCGGTCTCTGCTGAGGCCCCAGGGGGCGAGGCCCTAGCCAGCAGCGAGTCAGAGACGGAACAGCCCACGCCCCGACAGAAGAAGCCCCGCCGGAGTCGCACCATCTTCACCGAGCTGCAGCTCATGGGCCTGGAGAAGAAATTCCAGAAGCAGAAGTATTTGTCAACCCCAGACAGGTGAGGACGCAGGGAAGGGACTCTCCGCAGTGAAGGCCCCTGGGAACGGGAGACTTGCTCCCATTGTGGGCCGTGGAGCCACAGCACTGGTACAGTGAGGCAGGACACTATGGCGGAGTCCACTCCTTGGCTCAAATCATCTCAACCTTGGTTAACAGAACCCAGCCCACATGAATCCACCACACGGTCCCTGGAGCCTGCCTGCGGCTAAACTTAACTCACCACTTTATCTCCATATTTGAACTTAACTATTTCAGTATCATAAACAAGGTCCAGTTTAGCAAATGGTTGCTCAGGCGGTCAGCTGGGAAACAGGCTTGGTTTTTAAGCCACTCACTCTTAGGATTGGAGGCAGCAGGACTAGATTTGGAATTGGGATTCATGATCTTCTCAATCTTCTCCACAGCCTCCAGCTGATTCCCCACTGACTCAGTTTGCTGGCCTGGCTATTGCTTGGGAAGGACTGGAGGGATCCAGTTGAGGAGGTCAGACATGTTAGTGAATTTGCTGGATGTCAAGTCAGAACCATTTGACTGAGACCCAGGAGGACCTGGCTGAGAGCCCCTTCTTTGAACCCCTCTGAGATCCATGTTGGGGAGGCTGTGACCCTTGCTTTCTTGGAGGCCTCAATGCCTCACCTCCTTTTCTTTAATTTACTATTTTAACTGAAACATATGCCAGAGTGTGTGTCTGGGCCGGGTATTGTGGCCCACACCTGTAATCTCAGCAGTTTGGGAGACTGAGGCAGTAGGATCGTTTGAGGCTAGGAGTTTGAGAGCAGCCTGGGCAACGTTGTGAGACCCCGTCTCTACAAAAATTAAAATATGAGCCAGGTGTGATGGCATGCACCTGTAGTCCCAGCCACTCAAGAGGCTAAGATGGGAGGATCACTTGAACCCAGGACTTTGAGACTGCAGTGAGGTATGATTGCATCAGATTGCATCGCTGCACTCTAGGCGAGACCCTGTCTCCTTAAAAAAAAAAAAAAAATAGCCGGGTGTGTTGGCTCACGCCTGTAATCCCAGCACTTTGGGAGGCCGAGGCAGGTGGATCACGAGGTCAGGAGTTCAGGACCAGCCTGGCCAAGATGGTGAAACCGCGTCTCTACTAAAAATACAAAAATTAGCTGGGTGTAGTGGCAGGTACTTGTAATCCCAGCTACTTGGGAGGCTGAGACAGAGAATTGCTTGAACCCAGGAGGTGGAGGTTGCAGTGAGCCAAAATCATGCCACTACACTCCAGCCTGGGCAACAGAGCGAGACTCAGTCTCAAAAAAAAAAAAAAAAAAAAAAGTGTGTATCTCAGTGTCTCATCTTGTTCTTTCAGACTGACTCTGGAGATGGCT
Organism: Homo sapiens; assembly: GCF_000001405.40. Lineage (NCBI taxonomy): Eukaryota > Metazoa > Chordata > Mammalia > Primates > Hominidae > Homo > Homo sapiens. The sequence goes on from NC_000011.10 coordinate 129,438,397, forward strand.
GAGCTAATAATGTGTGATCCTATTTATTGGGGAGATTTCTCAGGTCCTTCTTCCTCTTCTTTTGCCTGCTGCCTTGGACATACCAGGTTGGACACCAGTCCTATCAAAAAGTAAAGGAAGGAACCTCAAATGAATCTCTTAAGCTGTGTAGTAGCTCTTTGATACAAATTTAAGTGACAGAGGAGTCTGCATATCACCGACTAAAAGGGAATTTAGCTTCTGATTCTGTTAATGAGGCACCGTCAGCTGTTTGGTAAGGGCCTTCTGGGTGCCACTGGGGCACTGTGGCAGGGATTACGGGTCCAGAAAGCAGTCGAGAGAGTCCTGTTGTGACAGAAAGGGATCATGGGGAAGGAACGACTACAGGAACAAAGACGCAGCAAGCCAGGCGCTGGTGCCTGTGCATTGCTGAGTGCAGTAGGAACACAGGATATTGCTGAGCGTGGGAGATGGGGTTAGGGGAGGCTTCTCAGAGGAGGTAACATTTAAGAAGAGCTTTGATTCCAGGAGGGACAGGAAGTCCCGCACTGAGGGGTTGGCACACACAAGGCAAAGAAGCGTGTCTCGCCGGGTATGTGGAGGAAACTGCAAGTAGCCAGGACATCTCCAGCTTAAGGTGTGAACAGGCAAATGGTGGACCTCGTATGCCTGGCTGAAATGTGAACTTGGTTGTTTAAGCAGTTGGCACTGCCTTTATGAGCTGGAGGTGACATGATCAGACTTACATTTTAGAACTGTCTCTCTGGTGGCACCATAAATGATGGATGAGAGAGGCCAGAGACGGAGCAGGGACCAGTTAGGAGAGAATCCAGTGATCATCACGAAGACTTGAATTAAAGGGTGGCAGTGGGAACAGAGAGGCAGGAATAGAGAGGAGGACAATTTTTTTTTTATTATTATACTTCAAGTTCTGGGATACATGTGCAGAACGTGCAGGTTTGTTACATAGGTATACACGTGCCATGGTGGTTTACTGCACCCATCAACCCATCATCTACATTAGGTATTTCTCCTAATGCCATCCCTCCCCTATCCTCCCCACCCCCAAACAGGCCCTGGTGTGTGAGGTTCCCCTCCCTGTGTCCATGTGTGAGAAGAGGACAATCTTGAAGAGAGAATTGGCAGAATCAACATTGCGGAAGGAAGCAAGAAGGGAGTTGAGAATTCTGTGGTTTCTGGACTGGGCCAGCAGGTGGATAGGGACGCCATGAACTGAAGTAGGAAGACAGAGGACAGAGTAGACTTAGGTGGGGAAAGGTTGAGTTCTGTTCTAGACCTGTGCATTTGGAGTGTCTTTGGGCAGATGATGGAGACAGGTCTGTGAACCGGAGGTTAGTAGATGGGCTCTCCAGGTATGACATGGCTGTTTCCACTTCCCTAGCATATAATTGAGAGCCTCATGAACTTGTGCACCCAGTGGAGTGGGCACCTTTGTCTATGGTAGCACGGTGGTATGTCAGACGGGCTTCAGCGTGCATGACTAACATATTAGGCTGATTTTTCAGAAGTCAGAGAATTTTTTTTTTCAGAAATATTAGTTCTTCTTAAACCTCCTGGGGCTCCCTGATACCTGCCCAGGCATCTCTCAGGTCACCTACACAGGATTGATTCACTTATCTGGGAGGACACCATTGGCTGGCATGGAAGCTGCCATCTTCACCTGCCCTCTCAGATGTTCCTCGCCTCCCTACGTGACCAGGGCCATGAGCACTCCCTCCTCCCACAGCTCTCACCCTCCTCCTCTGTGTTTGTTTCTCCAGTTTCCTAGGTGACCCCATTTAAGCGAATATGCAGGGAAGTGAGAATTTGTAACGGTGGCAGGTAATGAGAGAAAGCTGATGACAGTGAAGCATGTTTCTGTAGCCAGAGTGAGTCAGGGCTGCATTTTTCCCAAGTGAGCTAACACTGTTTGCTAATGCAGTTGCAGAGCTGTGAACTGAGCCTTCCATTGACTAATGCACCTGATGGCCTCAGGTGAACTGGGCTCGGGAAGGCACCGCCAGCCAGAACCATGGAGGACCCGTCTCCAGGGAGGCCTGGGAGACCAGAAGTCTGTGGGGTGGCCCCCTGGGTTCTTGGTTCTCAATGAGCGACTGCTTGGGAAGCAGTGCTTCATTTGTGGGAAGAGCCAAGTGCTGTTGGCACTGGGAATTTATTGGCTTTAGCCTGTTAATCACTTTCAATAAAACTGCCAGCTTCTAGTAGCTCTTCTACAGGGATGACCAGAGGGATGTGAGTACTGATTTAAGACCACTTCCAGGGTCCCCTGAAGGAAGACTCTGTGTATTATTGGGGCTTTAAATTATGCAGCCTGGTCAGAGCAGGGCAACTGGGCAGCTGCACCTGAGATCATCAGGGCCGGTCCCTGTGGGCCTCCCTGATAGTTAGATCTCCCCAGGTGGAGAGCTGCAGCTGAAAACCCACACCTGAGACTCCCCATGGAGCAGGCAAGTGAGACTGACTGTGGGCCCGAGATTCACAGACGGCAATCCTCAGAAACCTAGGGCCTTTCAAAAAGTGGGGGTTGCTGCCCAAGCTCTGTCAGGGGTGATTGTCCCAAGCTGCTGCATTCGAAGTCCACACTGCTTTGCTGAGCAGGGCTGGCGTGGCAGTGAGGCAGCTTATGTTGGCTTAAGGAGGTGGCTCTCCAGTTGGTGCTGAGGTAGACCTGGGGTTCTTATCCTATTAGGTCAATGGTTGTTGTCTCAAGGACTGATGTTGGAAGTCTGACTGCAGACTTCCCTTTCTCATTCTACTTGTCCCACCCGGTTGTTTGCTGCTTCCTGGGATGAAGCATCCCTGCGATCCCCTTTGACAGGTTCAACTTGTGCAGATATATTGTGAGTGGGTGTGAGCCCCAATGCAGGAGCTGGTGTACAGGTCAGACATCGTGGGTTTGAATCCTGCCCCACTTCTTAACTCTACGATCATCTGCCAGAGGTCGGTAAAGGTTTTCTGGGCAGAGCCAGACAGTAAATACTTTACATTTTGTGGGCCATATGGTCTGTGACAACTACCCAATTCTGATATTGTAGCACAGAAGTAATTTATTTTTATTTATTTATTTATTTTGACAATGTCTCACTCCATTGCCTAGGCTGCAGTGCCGTGGCGCCATCTCGGCTCACTGCAACCTCCGCCTCCCAGGTTCAAGCACTTCTCTTGCCTCAGCCTCCTTCGTAGCTGGGATTACAGGTACCTGCCACCACACCCAGTTAATTTTTGTATTTTTAGTAGAGATGGGGGTCTCACCATGTTGGCCAGGCTGGTCTCCAACTTCTGACCTCAGGTGATCCACCCGCCTCGGCCTCCCAAAGTGCTGGGATTACAGGCATGAGCCACTGTGCCTGGCCTGTTACAATAAAACTTTATTTACACAACCAGGTAGCAGACAGGATTTGGCCACAGTTGCTGAGAGAGTCTAATCTCTCCAAGCCTCAACTCTCTTATCTGTAAAATGGGAACAATTACACTGCTTCACTGCGTTGTGAATGGGATAGATAAGACAGCATGTCAGGGGCTTAGCATGTACCCTGGGATGCCGTGGTGCTCAGGAAATGGTGGGTGTGTTAGATTTAGCCCCAGAAATGGCTTTGACTTTTAGGACTTTTCAGAAGACTACAGAGAAGTACAGCACCATGATTAGCAGTAGAATGGAAAACAGGAAGGGCTGTGGATTTAATGTTTCTTTTGGAATCTTTATAATATTTATTTATTTATAACATTTTAATTGTTATAACAATTTAGGACAGCTACAGCGATTGAATCAATCCATTAAGAAGTATTTTTTGAGCACCGGTTCTGGATTTAGCAGTGTGATGGGCACTTTCATGGGTAGAAAAGAAGTGGAAGGTATACGCTGCCCTGGCTACTGAGTTAGGGAGGCAGAAATAACACAGTTGGAGTGATCAGAGAACAGCAGGAAACGTGGGACCATCTGGGTGACTGCTGGCCTGTGGGAGGGTGCAGAGGAGACGAGCTGTGGGAGCCAGGAGAATCACCTGCCGGAGGTGGGACCGGGGCTGGGTCTGGAATGATGAGTGGATTCCCATCAGCAACATCTGGCTTTGCCTTTTGTTTCCAGTCTGGACGATGGGCCAGAGGGTCAGAGTGAATGCTCTTGTCAAGCCAGGAAAAGGACTGTGTGATGAGAAGCCCCAGGCATCCTTCTCAGGTCCCTTGCAGACCGTGAATGTTTCAGGATGGGGACTGGCCCAGGTGTCCTCAGGCATGGGCATCTGTTTCTCAGCTTCCCAGAGTTTCCTCTGTTGGATTCTTGGAAGGAAAGAAAAGCGCTTTGGGGAAGACCTCGTTTAATGGGGGAGGTCCGAGCCTTGGTAGCCAGTGCTGGAGCCTGTCTGGAGCCTGCCAGCAGGATCCCATCTCTCCTGCTGCCTCCCATTCTGCTCACCTTTCCTTTGTATCTTGTGCCTTCTAGGTTGGACTTGGCTCAGTCTCTGGGACTCACTCAGCTGCAGGTGAAGACCTGGTATCAGAATCGCAGGATGAAATGGAAGAAAATGGTAAGAAAGGAGTGACTAACCATGATCCCTTCCTGATGGGAAGGACTTTTACTCCAGGGCTGTTGGGAGGGAGGCCGGACCATTTGGCAGTTTGGGCTGCAGAGATTGGAAGGCCTTCTATGCTGCTGGCTTGCGGGGAAGCTGTTGGATCTGTAGGTTGAGCTATTCCTCTTGACCTGGAGTTCCTAAACAGAGGGATATTCTTTTTCTGTTTCCTTAGAAATCAAAGGAAAAAAAGCTTACAGGCTTTTAACTTGCTAGTTTTATTATTATACTTAAGTTCTAGGGTACATGTGCAGAACATGCAGTTTTGTTACTTAGGTATACATTTGCCATGGTGGTTTGCTGCACCCATCAACCCGTCATCTACATTAGGTATTTCTCCTAACTTGCTAGTTTTAACCCTACCTGCTAGCCTTTTCAAACAACTTCCTTCTTCCTCCCACCAAGAGCTAAAAATAGAAGTCAGTACTCTTTGTTTATAATGACGTAGAGGATGCATCTGTTCTTTTGGCTGTGCGTCCTCTAACGCAGTGATCCTCAAACTTTGGTGGGCATTAGCGTCCCCTGGGTAGCAGGTTAAATGCAGAACTCTAGGCCCCCTCCCAGGATTCTGGTCCCAGAGGTCTGGGCCAAGGCTGGGAATGTGCGTGTTAACAAGAGCCCTGGTTATTCTGAAGTGCCTGGTATGATGACCACAGTTTCCATCATCCTGCTCTAGTGCCTAGCTAATGAATATTTCCATCTTTGATTTTTAAGTATTAGAATAGATACATCCCTACGTTGTGAGGAACTCAATTTCATTATCATTTATTCTTTTCACTAAAAAGGGCACTATTAAATCAAAATTTTCCAAAGTAGTTGAGTGTTTCCTTTCTCAGCTTTGTAAACCACTGAGACAAGGTCAAAGCCCAGAGCAAAAGAAAACGAGGAGGGGTGGCGATAAGGGAAGAAGCCCTGCTGTTCTCTGGAGCCCAGGTGCCACCATGCCACCTGCCATAGGCTTCTTACCCCCTCACCAAACGTTAGTGGCTCTTTCTCCTCTCGTCCATGCCATGCCTTCATGATGACATTCTAATTTGCTAACCTGTCTGGTCACAGGCCCTATGTCTTGGTGTTTCAGGGCTAAAATATGATGTTTTTCACAATAATCAAATAACTACGGGGTTCTGCCAACCCCAGTTTTCAGGAAAAAAAAAAAGTCAGTGGATAGATGTTTTCTCAATGTTGTGGTTTTGTCCAATATTGTTTTTTCTTAAGCTTTTAGTTCTTGCTATTCCTTGCTATTTTCTGCTAACAATGAGGAGAAAAAAAAAAACAAAATAAGTAAATTGCAGATGAACATCAATGGGAAAAATTAGGAAAAAAGTCAACAAGCAGCAATTATTATATTCCCAAAAAAGAAATTCCTGGGCAAATCTTGTAATTTCCTCTGGGGGGACCTGACCCTGAAATGAAAGGGTTTTCAAAATGGAGGCGACTTGGCTCATGAAGTGCCCACGAATTAAGACAGAGATGCCAGTTATGTGTTCAAACATATGGATATTGCATGAGTCAGCAAATATATATTTTGTGTCTCTTGTGAGCCATTCCTTGTCCTAGGCACTATAAGAAGTAATTAAATAAAATATCACCCTTGCCTTCATGGAATTTATGATGTAGTCAGAGAAACAAGGCCCAGGAGGTAGCTGCCGAGCATGTTATAATTAAGTGCTGGTTGTTACGGATTTATAAGCCCATCGGAGTTCAGAAGAGAGGTAATGGAGAAGGTGGCCGGGAGAAGTTGAAATTGAAGGAAGTGGCCCGGCACGGTGGCTCACGCCTGTAATCCCATCAGTTTGGGAGGCCGAGGTGGGTGGATCACATGAGGTCAGGAGTTTGAAACCAGCCTGGCAAACATGGTGAAGTCCCGCCTCTACTAAAAATACAAAATTAGCTGGGTGTGGTGTTGGTTGCCTGTAATCCCAGCGACTTGGGAGGCTGAGGCCAGAGAATCACTTGAATCCAGGAGGCAGAGGTTGCAGTGAGCCAAGATCACACCATTGCTCTCCAGTCTGGGCCACGGAGCAAGACTCCGTCTCAAAAAATAAAAATAAAATAAATAAATAAATAATAAAAATAAAATAAAAAACCAAGAAATTGAAGGAAGAATGGATTCGGTTAAATAGTCTTCCAAAAACTCTACAGTGCCAAGCACACATGGACACCTTTTGGGGGATTGGTCTCTAAAGAACTAGACTTGAGAGTGAGAAGCACCCGGCCGTGTTCCCATGCTTGCCCTTCCCTGGCTGATTTTGGGCAAGTCCCTTCACTGCTTTCTGTGCAAGATCCACCACCCACCTTCTTCCTCGTCAGTCATCAGCATTGAAATCAATGCCTCCTAAGTAGCAGAGGCATTGTTTAAATTGGTTATCAGCAATCTTTTCGTGAGTCAGATGATTAAGGAATCGACAGGCAGCCTCCTCTGCCAGCACCGCCCAGTGCCCGTGGGCCAATGCGTGTGCCTTCGTCTCTGACGTCACTTGTTTTTCACCAGCAACAGCGTTGCTGGCATGGTTGTGGGCCAGTTATTGATGGGTATCAATGCCATGTAAACCAAAATGGAAGAGTAACTTAGCAGATCTAACCTCAGAACATTCTGCAAGCCAGTCACCTTCAGGTCCCTTTAGGAGCCAAGAGGCCCAAGCTGTCAGTTCACTTTTGAGATAATTCATTGAGCATTTAACATTCATCAGGCCATGGAGATGCAAAGATAAGACATGAGCCTGTCCACCAGAAAATAAAATTATAAAAAGGTACTCAGTCAAGTGCAGAAGACACATCTGCAAACTGGTATTATTATTTCACGGAGCGGTCAGGGCAGCAGCAGGGAAATTTATAGGATCAGCGCAGAGAGTGGAATAGCAAGGCTGTGTTGTGATCCTGATTGCTTCATCTAGTTTCCCAGTAAAACTCTTTTCAAGGCTATCTGTTTAGGTACCAGGGAGGAAAAGAAAAAGATAATTGAGTAATAAAGATGTCTCAAGGCTAGTAACCTAATTGGAACTGGAAAAAGATTAGCAGTTGATTCTCAGACTTATTCACATGGCTGCCAAGGGTAACTTTGCCAGAACCGAGATAGCATCTCTGACGAATTCTGACCCGTCAGCATTGGTAACCTATAGCGGGTTGGGTAAATTTAATCTTGCATATTTAAGATGGGATGCGCACCCTCTATTCCATGTCTGTTGGCTTTAGTTCCCGCAGGACCCACAGTGTTTTGCAACAGGCTGAAAGAGCCTCATTATTTGGTGGTCTCTTTGAGCTCTAAAATGCAATTCTCTTCCATGAGAGGATCCAAACAGATACCTCCTTTCTCTCCTAGTGACAGAATTGCGTGGGCCCCACACTATTCATGGTCATTATCTTTCTCATGAAAAGTCCCCAAATAGTTAACAACTCCATGAATTGTTACCAGTAGCTCTCTGTGTAATCTTGGGCAGGTTACTTAACCTCTGTGTGCCTGTTTCCTCTCCAGTAAAAGGCCTAACACGTACCTTGTAGGGTTGTGTTATTAACTGAGCTAATCTCTGTAAAACACGTAAATAGGACCTGCCATATAGGATACAGCCAAGAGATGTTATTGCCGTTATTATTATCATTATTAGTATTTTTATTACCTAGCCACAAAATCCATGTCTTCAGAGAATCCAAATATTTGGAGGCCAGGATACATAAGCCAAAAGTGAATTCTATGAGTTTCAGGGACTCCGCACAGCCCTGAGCATTTGTCCTTTCTCAGTCCCTGCTCCCCAGTCATCTCCAAGTCAGCGCCTTGGCATTTGGGGCCTTGCCTGAGGTCCAGTGGAACATCACATCTTCAGGCTGAGAAAGTCAGCTAATGGGAGCAGCAGTGTCTGGGAGGAGATTCATGCTGGGGAATCCAAACTTGTTTCTCAGCTTCATGGAAACAGTCATCAGTTATGTGGCCCTCGCTGCCCTATAAAGCTGCAGAGAGAGACAGAGAAAAAGGAACAAAGATCACCCCCACTAATAAGTCTACTGCCTGGAGTCTGCTGGGAGGTTGGGTAATTGCAAATAAATAACCAGACGTAGAACAGTGGCCCATTTTACATATCCCTCGCGCATTATGCTGAATGCAATACTGCTAAGACTGTTAGACTCAAATGGTCAGGAGGTTTGTGTTCAAATCCCAGCTCTGCCCTTGGCTTGCTCTTTGATACTGACAAACTCTGTCAGCTCAGTTTCCTATCTGAAAAGTAGAGGGAAGGAGAGAGTTCCTTCCTGCACTGACATTCCCTGCCCCCTACCCAGGCTGCTTGGAGGGAAGCAAAAGATCCGGTCTTAACACCCTCAGCAACAGAACATCTGAATACCTCGTTGCAGAGTTTGGAGGAGGGCTGTCACCAGGCACGGCTAATAAAAGTGGATGGTGTCCTAGGTGTTCTTCCGAGAGGCAGAAGGAGGCATGTGACCTCTTAGACAAGGAGCTCTCTGGCTTCTCTGGACCAACGGGACTAAACTGGCTCTAAGAATAAATGGGGAGAGGGCTCCTAGGAGGAAGGCCACAGGGTGCATGTGAATGGGCAGCTCCTGATGGAGAGTGGTTCTGAGATAATTGCATGTCTCAGGTGTGCTGGAAGGCAAGGGGCCAGAGGTTGAGTGCAGAAAGCAGCCAAGAGGGTAGTTATCTCCTAATTATTGCTTGTGCTGGAATGTTTTATTCCATTTAGAAAATGGTCTAATTGTTTTGGGGATTTTTTTTTCATGCAGTAGGAAAACAGCCAGGTGGGGTCCGTCCAAACCGTGTGGGTGGTGTTCTCTAATTGCTGGGCTGGACTTTCTTTTGCCAATTAGGTGGCTTCCATAGACCTGCCCTTTTCTAGTTTGATTACTACATGGGGCAACTTACTTTTGTATAACCTCTTTCATACTGAGTGGATCTGCTTTCAACATGTAAATTCCATCTTGGCACAATTGGGTGCTTTCAAAAGCCTGCACTCAGACTGAAATCAAAATCAGATAATGACTTACGTGAAAAGAAATACAGGGAACGTCTTCTCCCCAGGGTTGGTTTCTGTCAGCATCTCTACCTCGTTAAAGGTCCCCTTAATATCTGTGTGTTAGCTGTTGATGCGGAAAGGACAGTGGTTGAGCAGAGTTTTAGCTAAAAGGAGGTGTTTACTGAGAACTTCTTGGTTTTCTTACTTCATACTCAAAAATTAACTCAAAATGAATCATCATCTAAATGGTGAGAGTGAAAACTATAAAACTTAGAATATGAGTAAGTATCCATGACCTCGGATTAGACAAAACCTTCTTAGATATGACAGCAAAAGCACAAGCAACAGAAGAAAACATAAATTGGGCTTCCTCAAAATTTAAAAATTTTGTGCTGTGAAGGACATCATTAGAAAAATGAGAAGACAGCCCACAGAATCAGAGAAGCTTACATCTGATAAGGGACATGTATCCAGAATATTTAAAGAACACTTACAACTCAATAATAAAAAGACAACCAAATTTAGAAATGGGCAAAAGATTTGAATAGACAATTTCTCCAATGAAGATATACAGCTAGCCAATAAGCACTATGAAAAGATGCTAAACTTCATTAGTCATCAGGGAAATAAATGCAAAGCAGAACCACAATGAGATACCACTTCCCACCCTCTAGGATGGCTGTGGTCAAACAGCCATCAACAAGTGTTGGTGAGGATGTGGAGAATTGGAACCCTCATATGCAGCTGGCTGGAACGTAAAATAGTGCTTTGGAAAACAGTCCTCAAAATGTGAAACATAGAGTTGCCAAATGATCCAGCAATTCAATTTCACTTCTTTCCCATGTTCACAGCCGCTTCATTCACAGTAGTAAGCAACCCACGTGTCCATCAACTGATGAGTGAACGAACAAAACATAGTATATCCATAAAATGGAATATTATTTACTGATAAATGCTACGGCATGGATAGACATTGAGAACATTATGCTAAGTGAAAGAAGCCAGTCACAAAAGTGCACATATTATATGATTCTGTTTATATAAAATGTCCAAAAATAAGCACATCTGTAGAGACAGAAAGCAGACTAGTGGTTGCCCAGGGCTGTGGGCAGATCGGGTAGGGGCTGGGGGAAAATAGGGACTGACCGCTAATGCTATGGGGTTTCTTTTTGGGGTGATAGAAGTGTTGGAAAATTGCATTGTGGTGATAGTTGTACAATTCTGTGACTATCCTAAAAATCACTGAATAGTGCACTTTAAATGGATTTGGCATGTGAATTATATCTCAGAGCTGTATACAAAGTAAGTTATGGTTTTATCCTTAAAATTCAGCACCTGGAGGTCCTCTGCTGCTCTTGAAGGAAAGAGGAACAGTCAGTAAATATTTAGGGACTGCATAGAAGTTAGCTGGAAGTTTGATTCTTGGAGCATGGAGTAATGGAGAGAAGCAGGGTTTGTCTTCAAGGAGCTTATATACAAATATAGAAGACAAGAAGATTAGGCTAGGTTTATAAATAGCGAAAATATCTCCCACCCCTAATCATCTGTGCTAATCCAGGTCCTCTGGAAGCCCTTCTCACTAACTGCCCAGAAAATCAAGAACTATGCCAAGCCAGTGGAGGAAGGAGTGTCTACTACATTCCAAAGCAAAATATAAATATTTTTAAAATTATCCCTGTCTGCCTCCTGGGACTCTTGTGTGGGTCACAAATTGGGATAATAAGGGTGCCAGGCCTTTGAAGTCAGCCAAGGCCATTTAGGGTCCAGTTATTTGGCTTGCTTTATATCTTTTCTCGACTCTAGGGAAAGGTTTGTTGAGAAAGCCTAGTTCATTTGGTAACAGTTGTCAAACACCTGCTATGTGCAGGGGCTGAGTGAGAGGGGCAGCAGGTAAACATGCAGTGACCATAGTTTCTGAAAAGTGCTCTGGCCAGAACAGTAGAGGCTGCTCCTAGGGCACACGGCAGAGGGCATTTAACCTAGACCTGGGGGATGAGGAAGGCTTCCAGGAGAAGTTAGCCAGGAGAAGGAGGGCGGATGGTATATATATTCTGGGCAAAGGAAACCTACCATTCAGGTGCCGTTCTGGTCCTTTCATACACATTATCTGTTGGTCACCCTCACTGTCACCCTGTAATACAAGGTATTATTATTCCCATTTTACAGATTAGAAAACGGACACTCAGGGCCTTTAAAGGACTTCCCAAAGACAAAGATGATAAGTGGCAGAGTTGGAATTTAACCCAGTTTTTCTACTATCAAAGCCAAAATGCTTTTTAAACTCTGCTGTACTACTTCTTCGAACGCTACAAGACTACATGTTTTATAACATATTTTTTCTGATTACAGAAATACTTATGTTTGATCATTGTTGAAAGTTTAGAAAATATAGAAAAAACAAAGATTAAAAATGATTCATGATCCTGCAAACAAGGTGGTGTACAGATCACTGCAGACAAGGTGGTGTATAGGTTGTCTAGCCTCCAAACTGGATTATGCTAAGAATCTGTTTTTTACAAAACTATATGAATAATATTTTCTGTGTTATTAAACATTCTCCTATATAGTAATTGTAATGGTTGTCAAGTATTCTGTCTTTGGGATTTACTATAATTCTACCCAATTACATGGCTAAACTTTTAGGATATCACCCCCCTCCAACTTTTGCTGTTATAACCAATATTGTGATGAATATTTTTGCAGATCAATCTTTGTCTCAGTCTTAGATAATTTTTTAGAATTTAGCCTAAGGACTTTCTGTGTCAAAAAGCCATGCACATTTTAAGGCTTTTGACTTGAACTCTCAGGTTGTCTTGAAAAGTGTGTAACAATCACACTTTCATACAGTGTGTTTTTTTTCCTGCTTGCTACAAATATTATTGTTGTCTTTTTAGCTTGTCAACTTGATAGTTATTGCATTAACATTTTAATTTTCATTTCTTTCCTTATTGTTGAAGTTGAATTCTGAAGCTGCCTATGATTGTTGTATTAAATGCCAAAATATATAATGTTGACCAAAAATGCGTTGAGCATTTAAAAAATGGAGGTGTCTTTGTAGACCAGAGGTGATGGGTTGAGAATATATTTTGCCAAATCCTGCAATTTCACTGCTGGAACAGATGGTTTAGATGCAACGTGAGGTTATACTGGGAGTGGAAAGGTGGAGGGAAGGAATTATTTCTTAGATTCAATAACAATTTTTTACTCACGTAGGTTCTTAAAGGTGGACAGGAAGCACCCACAAAACCCAAAGGTCGCCCCAAGAAGAACTCCATCCCCACATCAGAAGAGATTGAAGCTGAAGAGAAGATGAACAGCCAGGCCCAGGGTCAGGAGCAGCTGGAGCCCTCTCAGGGGCAGGAGGAGCTCTGTGAAGCACAGGAACCGAAAGCACGTGATGTCCCCTTAGAGATGGCAGAGCCACCAGACCCGCCCCAGGAGTTGCCAATACCCTCTTCGGAACCCCCACCATTAAGCTAAAGTAAAACCCTTTTGAGGGAAGAGGGAGACTGGGGAGAAGGGAAAAGAGAGAAGGCAGGGAGAGTAGGGAGAGAAAACCTTCCAGCAGCCCAGTAAACTGCGGGCGAAGAGATCTACCCGTCTCCCTCCCTCCCACAGTTACCATTGGCCTTGTCATCGCAAGCATTTGACAAAGACTTGCTTGTCTTGGGCCTGTCACCTCCTGAAAGGCTGCTTTAGCTGTGGATGCCCTTGATTAAGGGAGAGAGCGCCTAGGAGCTGCCTGCCCCAGCTGGGGTGACGGCTGTAGGGCTGGGTCTATGTTGCAAGCCCTATATCCTAGCATGCAGTGGAAAGTGCTTAGCTCTCTCCCTCCTGACCTCTGGGCAGCCAGTCATCAAAGCAGAGAGACGTGGCGGCATGTGGGCAGCATGCCCAGGTTCCTTGCTGACTCAGCACTTATTTCTGTAGTTTTAAAAAAGAATTTAATGTTTTTGGTTGTATTTTTTTGGGGGGGTGAGGGTGGGCAAAAACATGGGGGTAGTTCTGAGTTGTTAGAAATGTTTCTGAATCAAGTTTGTTTGAAGACACGTGTGCCTTTGTACCCATTATAAGATGGTCATAAGACCCAAGAACTGATAAGCTTTGGTTTTTTTTTTGTTTTGTTTTGTTTTTTGCTTCATTTACCCATTCATGCCTAGGGTTCCATTATTGGAACCCTAAGCTTGTGGGAGTTATTTCTATCCTACTGCTCAAGGTCATCACCAAGATCTGATTTTTCATAAAAAACATTTGTGACCTTCGGCATAAATGGGTTAAGGTGCCATCCCTGAAACTGCAATGCAGATATGTTCAGATAACTTTTATTTTTTAATTAAAAATAAATCTTTCAAAAGGATTGAGTGTTTTGTGTCTTCTGAGGAGTGTATCTAACCCTTCCTGAATGTGTCCTATGGGAAGAGAGATCCAGAGAGTGAACCAAACTAGGGGGGCCACCTTTTCCCCATCTATAAAACAAAGGATTGGGCCAGGCCATTGGTGTCCAAGTGCTGAGAGCTGTGGGAGTGGAACCGAGCCTCCGGGATGAGGACAGGGCAGAGTAGCTAGGCTCTCCCTTCCACCTCTCCCACCGCCTTCTGCCAGAGCAGCTCCCTTCTCAGCCGCTTCACATTTGGGGCGTCCAATGGTCTTACTTTTTTAAAGAGGTAAGAAATGTATATGCTTCAAAAGTCAAAACTATAAAAAAAGAAGTCTTGGGCTGGGAGCAGTGGCTCACGCCTGTAATCCCAGCACTTTGGGAGGCCCAGGCAGGCGGATCACCTGAGGTTGGGAGTTCGAGACCAGCCTGACCAACATGGAGAAACCCTGTCTCTACTAAAAATACAAAATTAGCTGGGTGTGGTGGTACATGCCTGTAATCCCAGCTACTTGGGAGGCTGAGGCAGGAGAATCGCTTGAACCTGGGAGGCGGAGGTTGCAGTGAGCCAAGATCATGCCATCGCACTCCAGCCTGGGCAATAAGAGCGGAACTCTGTCTCAAAACAAACAAACAAACAAACAAACAAAAAACAAAAAAAAACTTGCTTCCACCCTGCCCTCTCCTCCCCTGAATCCCCGGTAGGTAATTATTTTTATTGGTTTCTTGTTCATCTTTCCAGGGTTTCTTGACTAAGTATTCATTTGGATGATGGGCTCTGCAACTTTTAACAAAAGAAGACCTGAGAACTACTTGACTAGATGTGCTGGGTGATTTTAAATTTAAAAATTGTGTTCCACGTTAATTTAAGACCAAAAAGAAGGAGGCTCTAGATTTCCTAGCAGGAGGACTCTGCCTCTGTTTTTTTTTTGTCTGATTCTCATGCATTCTGGCCCAGAGCCTGATCTCAGAGGGGTCACCTTTATGATCACTGCCCCAGCGTGCTCACCTGTGATGGCTTACAGGGCCGAGTGCCCATTTAGTGGACTCTCAGTTATTAATTACACACAAACTCTGCCCAGTTGCAGGCTTGGAGAATACCAACTTTCAACAGTGGCCTCAACAAGGAAGCCAAATCTGTTACTACTTCTGTAAAACAATCACATAATTCATTTCAAAGTTAAACAGGAAAGATCCGCGTGTTTTCCATCACCTGGCAGGCCGCCTGCTTTTCTCCATTAACAATCAGAAAGTGACTGCAATTTTGACTTTGCCAAGGCAGTGCCTCATCCCCTTTGTTATTGAGATCAACAGAGAAAGCAGTCTTTTTCTTAACTCTTGTGAATAGACAAAGGAGGGGAGGATTTGGCTTCTGAGAACCAGTTTGAGCAGACCACACCTAGCTGCCTGTGCGAGGTTGCTTGCACCAAGCAGGCAGAACGCTGTCTCCTCCACCTGTAGCCCACCCCATGGTACAGTTTTATGATCTGCCTACCAGGTGGTGTCACAATGAGCCAAAGAATGTGCACAATGGCCAAAGTAAGCCGGTGGGTCAGTGTTAGTTCTGTGTCAATCCTAAGGAAGTGTTCTGTCCCATTCGCGCCACCCCAGAGAGGCCTCCTGTCTGGATGCTGGCTTCCCAGGATGGTGTTCCATCTCTTGCCCTGGGCTCCCATGATGTCCTTTTCTTTTTTTTTAAGTTCAGGGGTACATCTGCAGGTTTGTTACATCGGTAAGTTTGTGTCATGGGGGTTCGTTGTACAGATGATTTCATTGCCCAGGTATTTCAGCCTAGTACCCATTAGTTATTTTTCCTGATGCTCTCCCTCCTCCCACCGTCCTCCCTCTGGTAGGCGCCAGTGTATTTTTTTTCCCCCTCTATGTGTCCATGTGTTTTCATGATGTCCTCTTCTGAGGTGCCTGACAGTGACTGTCACCGCACAATATACGTGTCCATACACAGTGGTATTCCTGAGCGCTGGGTTCTGGGAGCTATTTCGGACCTCCGACTCTCACTCCTTGGCATGTGACCTGTGCTTTTGTGTCTTGCCTGTAGGGGTTGAATTCATTGGTGAAGGTAAGACCTCTGATGATCTTTCCTTGTGTTTTGGAGGGTCCAAGCCCAAGACTTGTCTTCCAGCCTCAGTTATGCGTAGCTTTGCCTGGTGACCCAGAGAGGCCAGGCTGGGCCTTTTAAAATGTTATTTTTTTAATTGACAAATAAAAATTGTGTATATTTATGGGGTATAACATGATGTTTTGAAACATGTATGCATTGTGGAATGGCTAAATCAAGCTAATTAACATATGCATGACCTCACATATTTATCTATGGTGAAAGCACTTAAAATCTACTCTCTCAGCAATTTTCATGTATACATAATTCACAATAGTCACCATGTTGTACAATACACCTCTTGAACTTATTTCTCCTAACTGAAATTTTGTACCCTTTGACCAACATCTCTCCAACCTCCCTCTACCCGCTACCGCTGGCAATCACCATTTTACTCTTTGCTTCTGTAAGTTCAGCTTTTTTAGATTCCACATGAAAGTAACCTAAACGCCCATCAATGATAGACTGGATGAAGAAAATGTGTTACATATACACCATAGAATACTATGCAGCCATAAAAAAGAACAAGATCATGTCCTTTGCAGGGACATGGATGGAGCTGGATGGAGGCCATTATCCTCAGCAAACTAACGCAGGAACAGAAAACCAATTACCACATGTTCTCACTTATAAGTGGGAGCTGAATGATGAGAACACATGGACATATGGCGGAGAACACCACACACTGGAGGCTTTCAGAGGGTGGAGGGTGGGAGGAGGGAGAAGATCAGGAAAAACAACTAATGGGCACTAGGCATAATACCTGGGTGATGAAATAATCTGTATAACAAACCCCCATGACGTAAGTTTACCTCTGTAACAAACCCACGCTTATGCCCGGAGCTTAAAAGTTAAAAATAAAGAAAGTGACAATATGAGATATTTATCTTCCTGTGTCTGGCTTATTTCCCTTAACATAATGTCCTCCAGGCCATCATGTCACCACAAATGACAGGATTCCCTTCTCTTTAAAGGCTGAGTAGCATTCCATTGTGTATATAGACCACATTTTTTCTCTCCATTCTTCTGGTGATGGACACTTAGGTTGTTTCCATAGCTTGGCTATTGTGACTGCGGCTGCAGCAAACATGGGGGTGCAAGTATCTCTAACACGCTGATTTAATTTCCTTTGGTGTACACCCAGGAGTGAGATTGCTGGGTCATATGGTAGTTCCACTTTTAATTTTTTGAGGAAAGGGCTGGCCTTTTGAATGTGAATAGGGACCCTGCTGTCTGAGCCCTGCTTAAGAGCCAAGCCCTGCTCCTCCAACTTCATCCTTCCCTTTTTTCCCCCGGTTCCCAAGGCTTGTGACTGGCAACCAGAAACCAGCTTCACAGCTTTGCTCTGAAGCATGTTGAGTTGGAGGCAGTCCTGTGTGGGTCTGGAGCAGGGCTACGCAGCGATCTCCAGCATGGAGCGCACTTTCCTCTCTCAGCTTCTTTCTCTGGGTGTCTCAATTTTTGCTTTCCCACGGCCATTTACCTTTCCAGGCCTTGACAAACAAAAGCATCCTCTCCCTTTTCCGGCATCCAGGATAGTGGCCCCTGCAAGTTCAGGGTGTTACGCAACACCCTGCTGCTGTTTTGAAGTTTTCCAGAAAAAGGAGAGAGCCATGACAAGTTCTCAGGAATCTGACGTGGAGAAGCTGACCTCTTAGGGACTTCAGCTCTCTCCTCTAGAAGTGTCTCTCCTCTAGGAGGCTTGGATTGCACTTACACAAGCACATTGCCCTTCTGCAGCCCCCTTGGGCTTTGAAATGGGCTGTTACCTCCAGTTTTATACAAACTCATTAATCACAGAGAGCTTAATGTCTTTCCTGGGGTCCTATGGTTACTCAGGGGCCTTGCTGGGAACTAAGGTCCCAGGCCAGACTCCCTGCAGTGAGTCTTTGCCATTAGCACGCCTTCCCTCCTCCTGGAAACGCTGCAGTGGAAAAGCTCCCTGCACCCAGTTTTCTTCCCAGTGCAGGGATTTGGAGGTGGGGGATTCCTGCCTCTGCCTCCGCGGTGTGCATCTTAACTGCTAAAAAGCGAAGAATTCCTGGAGCAGGTCCCAGACTCCAAGTCTGCGCGTCTGAGTTCCTGTTCTGGATCACTGTGCCCTCGGTTTGCTTACACAGGTTCTGCAAAGTTTTGCGAAGACACAACAGCAGCCCTGTTTTTTTTTTTTGAGACGGAGTCTCACTGTTGCCCAGGCTGGAATGCAATGGCATGATCTTGGCTCACTGCAACCTCTGCCTCCTGGGTTCAAGCGATTCTCCTGCCTCTGCCTCCTGAGTAGCTGGGCTTACAGGTGTGCGCCACCACACCCGGCTAATTTTTATATTTTTAGTAGAGACGGGGTTTCACCATGTTGGCCAGGCTGGTCTCGAACTCATGACCTCAAGTGATCTGCCCGCCTCAGCCTCCCAAAGTGCTGAGATTACAGGCGTGAGCCACCGCGCCCGACCCCAGCAGCCCCACCTTGACAGCCAGTTACCACATAGGTCTCATGCTATGAGCCATGAGCCCTCAAACTCGTCTGAACAGATCTGTCCAAAACCAGCCTTTCTGAGGCTGGCTTAAGGTTTCTCCGAGTCTGGCCAGTTCTAGAACTGTCTTGAAGAGGGGGTATGAGGGCACTGTGAGCCTTTTCTCCCATCCACAGAGTGCTTAGAGTTCAGCCACCCTTCTCATGACCCTTGAACTTTATTCCACCTCAGCCTTGCCCCACGACCCTGGGCTGGGTCTGGCTTAGAACTGGACTGGAGGCTATGAAGCTCTGTCCTCCTTAGAAATACTGTTTTGTTAGCCTGGCCTAGTGTCCGCTCAGCAGAAAGTGAGCAGGGACTTAGCAGTCACCTGGCTGACAGTCTGCATTAAAGACCATCCCAAGGGCTTCCCCCCACTCTCTCTCCCACCCGGATCAACGCTAGCTGGTAGTCGGATCGTCTGGCAGTTTTCCATAGGTGCTACCTAAATCTTCCCCCGCATTGTATTTGAAAGGAACCTTTGAGGGGCAGGTAGTGTTGGGGTTAAAGAGCTAAAACATGCTTTGCACAAAAACTTGTTTCTCAGGATTTCTACGCATTTAATTGCCTGTGTTTGCCTACAGCCCTGAGTGTCTCTGTTGCTCTTTGTGTAAATATCTCCTCTTCCAGTCCCCTCCTACTCTCCACGTGGTAGCCCTTGTTAGTGCTGTGTCCCTTCCAGGCACAGCAGTATCTCTCCTCCTCTTTTGACTCTGCCCTAGAGTGCCCTGTGGCCAAGGGTCCTTTCTTCTGGCCACCTGGCTTGCCTCTTTCTTAGGCTTCTCAGCATAATGGTTTGAAGTCACCATTCCCTGCAAGTGTTCTTAATTAACCTCACCTTTTCTCCAGTCTATTCTGTTAACTCCTGCCTCATCTCTTCCTCTTAATGCCCCATTTGTAATTATCATTGCGGTCCTGACATATTTCCAGGGGACATGGATTAGTTTTTTTCCCCGACTAGAGTGTAAATTCCTCGAGGCGTTTTTTTCAGTTTATATGTTCTGAGTTCCTTTTGCTGTGCTGAAGTCTCCAAAGCCCAAAGACAGGACTTAGAGGATCTGGATTCTCGTGGTCTCCAGCTGACTTCTGTCTTGGAGGCTTCTCCAGGAACTCAGCTTTCAGGATTGGAGCCAAAATCTCAGAATAAGCAGCAGCCAGAGACATCCTTTCCATTTTGCAGAGGGGTAAACTGGAAGAGATGGCAACGACTTGAGAGAGGGCCTCAAGGCCAACCAGGACCAGAGCCGGTGCAGCCCTGCCCTTAGAAAGCAGTGCCTGGGACCTCCTACCACCAGAAGCTCGTCAGCCACCATCCATGCCAACAAGTATTTCTTCAACATTTATTTTGTGCCTAGCCCTGTGCTAATACTATGGGAGGAAGGTGGGTGGGAGGGGGAGAAGGGGGCAAAGTAACCTGTTCCTTCCCTCAAATACACTAAAATCTTGTTGGAGAAACTTATAATCTAGTGAATTTGGGGGTGGGGCCAGGGATTCCAGCCAAGGTTTTATAATATTTACACCTCCCCTTACGCTGCACGATGGCGTTCTTTCTGGGCAAGAAAGGTGATTCATGGAAGATGCATTCCTAAGCACATCCTCACCAGGCTAAGACACTAAGAGAGGGTTCATGCCTTAGGTAGGCCTCTTGTGCCCCTGGAAGGGTGATTAACACTGGAATAAGAGGTGTTTGCTAAATTCACCTGAGTATGCCTCTAATCCCAGGTTGTTAACCAAATCCTGGGTGGAGAATGGTTTGGGACAAGCAGGCAGATCCAGATAATACTGTCTGTAATCTGGGCACCGATCCTGAGGAAAGTGGCTGCCACCAGCCTGGTTTCCCTGCCTTGCACTTTGCCTTTGCCTTACCCATGGACAGTGGATGGGGCAGCCTTCCTGCCTCCTTTTCCACTCTGCTTGCACTCCATCCAGGTGTGCTCTGGCACTGGCCTCCACCTGCTGCTCTGTGCTGTCAGCCTCTGGCATCTGCAGGTCAGCCACGGCCAGGAGGGGCCGGGGCGGAAACCGCCTGCCGAGGGGTGCTGTGTAAATCACCATGACAGGCTCCTTTCATGCCTGCCGGCCTGGCCTCCTTTCTTTCCCAAACCCTCTTCCTTTCTGTTTATTTTTGTTGCGGATTTATTAGACACACAGTTAAGTGCCCATTTAGCTCTGCAAACTGTCATCATGCCTGCTTCATGATTAAGATCATTCACTCACAAAAGCCTTTAAACATTTTTTTTAAAGAGGGTGGGGGAGGCATGGGGGACAGGAGAGGAGGAGGAAATAGTGCCCCAGGTTAGTGAGGAGGCCAAGAACAACCGAAACCCAAGCAGCGGCCTCTCCTGTAGCTCAAGAATGTAACAAGGGCCCTCACAGTTGCCCTGAATTTACCCTGTTTGTCAAGACATGTATCATCGCTCCTGCAGGATTCTGAGGTCTAGAGTTCTTCTTTGTCTGGGCTGCCAGAGAGCAGACGGTGTGGGGCGGGTTCAGTGGCTGCTGTGCACCTGCTCGAAATGGTTCCCAAGAACCTCTGGGCATGTCAGGCCAAATCTGTGCCCCTTTGGGATCCTCAGTCAATTTCCTCAATCCAAACTCTCTTGGTTTTCCCAGGGCTTCCCTCCTTCTGGTGGCATCTCTTCCCAAGCACCTGGCTCCTTAAACACACAAATTGCTCAGCTGAAAGTAGCAAGAGTCCTAAGTGTGGTGGCTCACGCCTGTAATGCCAAACACTTTGGGAGGCTGAGGTGGGAGGACTGCTTGAGCCCAGGAGGCTGAGGCTGCAGTGTGCTGTGATCATGTCACTGCACCCCAGCCTGGGCAACAGTGCAACCTTGCCACACACACACAAAAGGTAGCTAGAGCCTGGTCCAGTGTCATTTTAATGCATGTAGACTATATATCAGGCACCAGAACAAGGAAGTTCTTTATATCATCACGTTTCATCACCTCAGCAGCCCTATGCAGTAGGTCCTATTACTGTCTCCATTTCAGAGGTGGGGAGACTGAGACTTAATGTGGCTAGGTAACTTGCAGAGTTATCAACACAGCTGGGAGGTTTTTTATCCTTATATTGGGCCTGTGCTTACCTCCAAGGAGTCTGAGTTGGCCAAGCCTGATCTCAGAGCAGAGTGCCGAGGCAGGCTGACCCTGCACCCCCCAGCATGGGTGGGTGCCCCTGCCCCTACACTGCTGTAATGGGGCCATCTCTCACAGCCTACTCTCACTGTTTAGGGTGCAGTCCTCCCCTCGAGTGTGAATGATCAAGCCCTCCATCCACTCACCTGTACTAGCAACAAGTCTGGGTTCCCCGCCACCTCTTTGGTTGTGTATCAGGGGGTCAGGAACATTTGAGGGCATTGGAGTGTGTTGGCACGTGCACTGACCTTGGGAGGGGTGCCAGCCTCTGGAGGAACTTGGAGGGTGAGCCCCCATCTGAAGCACAGTAACAGGACAGCGTCCTCACTGTGGTGCAGCAAGCCTCGCTAGGGTACATGGCTTCCCACATCAGAGCAGGAGGGGCACAAGTGGAAGTTTGAACCTCAGTAGATGCTCCTGGAATGCCAAGTCCTCTGTCCAAGCTGCAGATGAGGATGCTGCCCCTTCTCAGCCATTGTCGCAGTGACCGCTGAGGTCTCAGTAGCCTTGGGGCCCTGGCTCTGGCCCCAGGATCACTTGGCTTCTGCTCCTTAAAGGCCCGGAGCTACTCTTCCTTTCGCTGCTCCCCCATCTCTTTTTCTTCTCTGGTTTCTCTTTTGGCATTTCTTTTTATTTGCAGTGTGTTTTCAATGCAAATAAAGTCCATAATATGAAAAAGTTACTATGAACAGAGCATAATTACACACATACAATGAACAGTCAAAACAGATGTTCCACAAGCAAATATGAACCAAGAAGGAGTGTTCATTCACCCATACAGAAGCTTGGGATGTGTTGGAGCTGGTTGTTTTGTATTGCTTTCTAAGGATGGCAAATATTTGCTTTTGTTATCAAAGGTACTATGCTTGCTGGGCCCTGGAACACCAGTGCGTGGTCATGGGAATCAGAGACTTCAATGGGTGCATATTTCTAAAGGCTTTTGCCCTCGGAGGCAGCTGTAAAAAACTTTCCAGAATTGAGCCAATTCTAGACTTAGTGGCAGGATCTGACTATTTAAAGCATCAGCTGATATAGAGTGCTCCAAAGACAGCTAACTTTATTCATAAAGGTGAAAAAAAGTATTTATAGACATAGCATACCAGAATTTTTGGGAGGTGAGTTTCCAATGTTCAATTTACTTTATTTTTGACATTTTGAAAATTAAATAAATCTTTTACAATTTTACATATATTTTACATATGTTGAAATAAAAAGCTCTAATTTAAAGTTATTTGGGGTCATATTCCTGTAGCTAAAAGAATCCAGCCCTCTTTTGGTGAATGGGGATGTGTGAAAGGAAATATCTAACTTTTGACCTTTTTAACACATAAACCAGATTTAATAACTAGCCTTAGACTTTGAGTAGCTTCCAGTCCATCATTGCCCTGGCACATGTCAATTACTTACAGCAAGTTAAATGCAAAACCCTAGAAAAGACAATTTAGTTCCCAAGAGAACAGTAAAGGCTTAGCAATGGAAAACTTTAGAGCACATGAGCACTAAATTAGCATTGCTGAAACAATATGAAACATGGAAACTTTTCATATTATCTAAGACTTTTATAAAGCCTTATAGATTTCATAAGCCAAAGTGAAAACTGAATCTCCATTCCACATCCTATTCTTTTACTCTAGATCAGAGGAAGTCTTCTGATTTTTATTCCCAAGACAGAGCATTTAGATGTCCAAATTTCCTGAGCCATATTTAATAAATTTACATCTCCTTTCAGTCTTGAATGAAAAATTCCATTTGCCTGATTTGTCATAGGCATCCACCATCCAATTAAATCCCTCTCCAATCACATTTGGGATTCTCAATATTTTCCTAATCATATTTATGTCAATAAAATTAAAGTGTGTGACGCCTCCATCTTTGTTCTTTTTGCTCAGGATTCCTTTGGCTACCCAGGCTCTTTTTCAGTAGCAAACGACTATTAGGATTGTTTTTTCCATTTCTGTGAAAAATTTCATTGGTATTTTGAGGGAGAATCTATAGATTGCTTTGGGTACTGTGGTCATTTTAATGACATTAATTCTTCTGATCCATGAGCATGGGATGTCTTTCCATTTGTTTGTGTCCTCTTCAATTTCTTTCATCAATGTCTTGTAGTTTTCCTTACAGAGGTTTTTTTTTTTTTTTTTTTTTTTTTTGCCTCCTTAGTTAAATTTATTCCAAGGTATTTTATTTTATTTTTTGATAGCTATTATAAGTATTGTAAGTGGGATTGTCTTCCTAATTTCTTTTTCAGCTAGTTCATTATTGGTGTATAGAAATACTACAGATTTTTATAAGTGAATTTTATATCCTGCAACTTTACTGAATCTGTTTATCAGTTATAAGAGGTTTTTGGTGAAGTCTTCAGGGTTTTCTAAATGTAAGGTCATGTCATCTGCAAAGACGGACAGTTGCCTTTTATTTCTTTCTCTCATCTGATTGCTCTGGCTAAGATTTCAAGTACTTTGTTAAATAGTAGTGGTGAAAGTAGGCATCCCTGTCTTGTACCAGTTCTGAGAGGAAAGGCTTTCAGCTTTTCCCATTCAGTATGTTGTGTGCTATGGGTTTGTCATATATGGCCTTTATTATGTTAAGGTATATTCCTTCTATGCCTAGTTCATTGAGTTTTTCTCATAAAGGGATGTTTAATTTTATCCAGTGTTTTTCTGCATATATTGAGGTGATCATAGAGTTTTTGTCCTTCATCCTATTGGTGATGTATAACATTTATTTATTTACATATGTTGAACCATCCATGCATTCCTGGTATAAATCACACTTCATCATGGTGTATTATCTTTTGATGTGCTGTTGGATTTGGTTTGCTAGCACTTTGTTGAGAATTTTTTTTTTTTTTTTTTTTTTTTTGAGACAGAGTCTCGCTCTGTCGCCCAGGCTGGAGTGCAGTGGCGGGATCTCGGCTCACTGCAAGCTCCGCCTCCCGGGTTCACGCCATTCTCCTGCCTCAGCCTCCCAAGTAGCTGGGACTACAGGCGCCCGCCACTACGCCCGGCTAATTTTTTGTATTTTTAGTAGAGACGGGGTTTCACCGTTTTAGCCGGGATGGTCTCGATCTCCTGACCTCGTGATCCGCCCACCTCGGCCTCCCAAAGTGCTGGGATTACAGGCGTGAGCCACCGCGCCCGGCCGAGAATTTTTGTAATCTGTTTTCAACAGGGATACTGGCCTGTAGTTTTTGTTTTGTTTTTTTTCTTGTGTCTTATCTGATTTTGGTATCAGGGTAATACTGACTTTGTAGCATGAATTGGGTAGAATTTCCTGCTCTTTAATTTTTTGGAATAGTTTGAAGAGAATTGGTGTTCTTTATATGTTTGGTAATTTGGCATTAAATTCATCTGGTCCTGGGCTTTTCTTTAGAGGGAGGCTTTTTTATTACTGATTCGATCATTACTCATTTGTTCAGGTTTTCTATTTCATTCTGATTCAATCTTGGTAGGTTGTATATGTCCAGGAATTTATTTATTTCCTCTAGGTTTTCCAGTTTGTTAGTTTGTAGTTGTTCATAATAGTCTCTGATGATCCATTATATTTCTGTAGTATCAGTTGTAATGTCTCCTTTTTCATTTCTAATTTTGTTTATTTGGGTCTTCTCTCTTGGTTAGCCTACCTAGCGGTTTGTTGATTTTGTTTATCTTTTCAAAAAGCAATCCTGAGCAAAAAGAATAAAGCTGAACACATCACACTACCTAACTTCAAAATATGTTACCAGACTATCGCAACCACACAGCATGGTACTGGTACAATAACAGACACATAAACCAATGGAACAGAATAAGGAACTCAGAAATAAATCCACACATTTACAGCCAACTGATTTTTTACAAGGGCACCAAGAACATGTACTGGGGAAAGGACATCCTTTTCAATAAATAGATGGTGCTGGGAAAACTAGATATCCATACACAGAAGAATGAAACTAGACTCCTATCTCTCATTATATACAAAAAGCAATTCAAAATGGATTAAAGACTTAAAGATCTGAAACTATAATACTACTAGAAGAAAGCACAGGGGAAACACTCCAGGACATTGGTCTAGGCAAAGATTTTATGACTAAGATCTAAAAGCACAGGCAACAAAAATAAAAATAGACAAATTTGACTATATTAAACTAAAATCTTCTACACAGCAAAGGAAACAATCAACAGATTGAAGAGGCAACCTATTGAATGGGAGAAAATATTTGCAAACTATTCATCCAACAAGGGACTAATATCCAGAATATACAAGGAACTCAAGCAACTCAAGAGCCAAAACCAAATAATCCCATTTAAAAGTGGGCAGAGTAGCTAAATAGATATTTCTCAAAAGAAACAAATGGCTAATAGGTATATGAAAAAATCCTCAACATCACTAATCATTAGGGAAATGCAAATCAAAACCACAATAAGATATCATTTTAATCCAGTTAGAATAATTATTATCAAAAAGACAAAAACTAACAGATGTTGACAAAGATGCTGAGAAAAGGGAACTCTTTTACACTATTGATGGGGATGAAAATGAGTATAGCTCTTATGGAAAATAGTACAGAGATTTCTCAAAAAACAAAAAAGTAGAACTACCATATGATCCAGCAATTCCACTACCACGTATCTATCAGAAAGAAAAGAAATCAGTATATCAAAGTGAACCTGCACTCCTGTGTTTATTGCAGCAGTATACACAATAGCAAAGATGTGGAATCAACCTAAGTGCCCATAGATGGATGAATAGATAAAGAAAATGTGGTACATATACGCAATGGAATACTATTTGGCTATAAAAAGGAATAAAATCCTGTCATTTGCAGGAACATGGATGGAACTGGAGGTCTTTATGTTAAGTGAAATAAACCAGGAACAAAAGGACACACATTGCATGTTCTCACTCATATGTGGGAACTAAAAGAATTGGTCTCATAAATGTAGAAAGTAGAATGATTGTTACCAGGGTGGGGATAAGTGTGTGTGGGCAGGATGGGTAAGAGAGGTTGGGTAATCAGAACTAACATATACTTAGAAGGAATAATTTCTAATGCTTAGTAGCAAAGTAGGATGACTATAGTTAACACGAATGTATTTTCTATTTCAAAATAGCTAGAAGAGAGGACTTAAAGTGTTTTCAACACATAGAAATGATAAATACATGAGGTGATACGTATCCTAAATACCCTAACTTGATCATTACACATCATGTACTCCAGAAATTTATACAAATGCTATGTAATAATTTTTAAAAAATTGTAAAAAGGTAAAATTTTAAAAAATTAAGGAGAAAATTTAATAGATTTGGTAAGAACATTTTGTAGTTCTTGATTTCTTTTATTGCCATTCTGGACTTCGAGAAGTAGCCTTCCCAATTTTGGAAAATGGGTTAGTGAAGCATGATGGCTTTTGGCTGGGGCCAAGGACTTAGCCTGAGCTTATGAGCTGCTATTTCCCTTAAGTCTCTTTTCATCCACAGGTTTCTCTTCCATGTCTTTCCCCCATCTTGTAATTTTTTTTGGAAATTGAATATATTGTTCCCATCAAATTTAAAGTCATTGATATCAGAATGAACCCATGATGTATCTTATATTTTTAAAAAGTGTTTTCTAGCATGGTTCACTCAGTGGCAATGAAAACTCCTAGCACCTAGATGATAGTCTCCAAATTCTACTTCCCACTAAAAAGAACCAAGACTTCTTACAGGAATGGATCATCCAGATCTGGGGCAGGCCTTGTGTAAGTTTTGCTTGGAATATCTTATCATGCCAGAAAGCAGTGAAGCTATCAAACACTACTAGGTCATGTCAAAAGGATGTAGAGGACAGAGGAACTAACTTGAAGAGGCTTCTGTCAACTTAAAGTGGAACAATGCAAGTATCAGTAAGAATACTAATTGTAATGGATTATAGCACATCAAATATGTAAAAATCCATGCGTTCAGAATTTTAAAAATAAAACAAAATCCTTATCTTCAGAGAGAAGCTAGGAAACCAACTCATGATTTTGAAAACTAGTAAATAAAGGTGGGAAACTTGTCAGAAGCAAAACAGAGTCACTTACATCAAACCATAACACAATGAAGCCAAGAGGCCATGAAGAAGGCAGAGGGCTCACACACAATTGCCTGATAATAGAAACTATCCCAGGAGACTTTGCTGAACTGCAATCTTTTTGCTGAAGGCCACTTAGAAAAAGATACCAGCCCAGCAACTGCCTGTTCAAGCTTGGACAGATGCCACCCTTGTTATTAATTGTAGCCAAGGATAATTGTTTCAAAACAATGTATGTAACCCTCCTCACTTTGCCTTTAAAAGTCTGCCCTACCCAGCCTCTCCAGATATGCCTGTGATCCATTATGGCTTGTGTATCCAAACTGTCATCCTCATCACTCCCAAATAAACTTGTATGTTTTTGGAGAGCCTCTCTCTCTGTCATTAATTTAGGTTGACAAAGGGAAAGCATCAAGCATATACTCTATATAACCTGTGCCTGCAGGTAACTAAATAATTGATGAGGGGAAGTTTCTCTTTATAGAAGACAATAAGTGAACAAGAAATTACTGATTTAGAATGCTACCTTTAGGAAACTTATTGAATTAATGAGTCTAGGTGATGTCAGTTATTATGTACATCCCAATAAAAGTACACACCACTAACCACAAAGGAATCTTGCAAAAAAAAAAAAAAAATCAAACCTGGGGGTTTCCAGGGCAAGATGGCCTAATAGGAACAGCTCTGGTCTGCAGCTCACAGCGAGACCAATGGAGAAGGCGGGTGATTTCCACATTTCCAACAGAGGTACCTGGTTCATCTCACTGGGACTGGTTAGACAGTGGGTGCAGCCCACAGAGGGCGGGCAGAAGCAGGGTGGGGTGTTGTTTCACCTGAGAAGTGCAAGGGGTCAGGGAACTCCTTCCTCTAACCAAGAGAACCCATGAGGGACCCCGCAGTGAGGGACGGTGCTATCTGGCCCAGATACTATGCTTTTCCCATGGTCTTCACAACCCACAAACTAGGAGATTCCCTTGGATGCCTATACCTCAAGGGCCCTGGGTTTCAAGCACAAAACTGGGTGGCCATTTGGGCAGACACTGAGCTAGCTGCAGCAGGATTTTGTTGTACCCCAGTGGTGCCTGGAACACCAGTGAGACAGAACCATTCACTCCCCTGGAAAGGGGGCTGAAGCCAGGGAGCCAAGTGGTCTTGCTCAGTGGAACCCACCTCCATGGAGCCCAGCAAGCTAAGACCCACTGGCTTGAAATTCTTGTTGCCAGCACAGCAGTCTGAAGTCGACCTGGAATGCTTGAGCTTGGTGGGGGAAGGGGCGTCTGCCATTACTGAGGCGTGAGCAGGCAGTTTTCCCCTCACAGTGTAAACAAAGCCCCACCAGGAAGTTCGGACTGAGTGGAACCCACCACAGTGTGGTAAAGCCACTGTAGCCAGACTGCCTCTCTAGATTCCTTCTCTCTGGGCAGGACATCTCTGAAAGAAAGACAGCAGCCCCAGTCATGGGCTTATAGATAAAACTTCCATCTTCCTGAGACCGAGCACCTGGGGGAAGGGGCGGCTGTGGGCGCAGCTTCAACAGACTTAAACGTTCCTGCCTGCCAGCTCTGAAGAGAGCAGCGGATCTCCCAGGACAGTGCTAGAGCTCTGCTAAGGGACAGACTGCCTCCTCAAGTGGGTCCCTGACCCCCGTGCCTCCTGATCTCCCAACAGGGGTCAACAGACACCTTATACAGGAGAGCTCTGGCTGGCATCTGGCAGGTACCCCTCTGGGAAGAAGCTTCCAGAGGAAGGAGTAGACAGCAATCTTTGCTGTTCTGCAGCCTCTGCTGGTGATACCTATGCAAACAGGGTCTGGAGTGGACCCCCAGCAAACTCCAGCAGACCTGCAGAAGAGAGGCCTGACAGTCAGAAGGAAAACTAACAAACAGAAAGCAATAGCATCAACATCAACAAAAAGGATGACCACGCAAAAACTCCATCAGAAGGTCACCAATAGCAAAGACCAAAGGTAGATAAATCCATGAACATGAGAAAAAGGAGCGCAAAAAGGCTGAAAATTCCAAAAACCGGAATGCCTCTTCTCATCCAAAGGATCACAACTCCTTGCCAGCAAAAGAACAAAACTGGACGGAGAATAAGTTTGACGAACTGACAGAAGTGGCTTCAAAAGGTGGGTAATAACAAACTCCTTCAAGCTAAAGGAGCATGTTGTAACCTGATGCAAGGAAAATAAGAACCTTAATAAAAGGTTAGAGGAATTGCTAACTAGAATAACAATTTTAGAGAAGAACATAAATGACTGATGGAGATGAATAACACACCACAAGAACTTCATGAAGCATACACAAGTATCAATAGCCGGATGGATCAAGCAGAAGAAAAAATATCAGAGATTGAAGATCAACTTAATGAAATAAAGCATGAAGACAAGATTAGAGAAAAAAGAATAAAAAGGAACAAACAAAGCCTCCGAGAAATATGGGACTATGTGAAAAGACCAAACCTACGTTTGATTGTTGTACCTGAAAGTGACAGGGAGAATGGAACCAAGTGGGAAAACACACTTCAGAATCTTATCCGGGAGAACTTCCCCAACCTAACAAGAAAGGCCAACATTCAAATTTAAGAAATACAGAGGACACTACAAAGATACTCCTTGAAAAGAGCAACCCCAAGTCACAAAATCATCAGATACACAAAGGTTGAAATGAAGAAAAAAATGTTAAGGACAGCCAGAGAGAAAGGTCGGGTTACCCACAAAGGGAAGGCCATCAGGAAGCGGATTTCTCAGCAGAAACCCTATAAGCCAGAAGAGAGTGGGGGCCAACATTCGACATTCTTAAAGAAAAGAATTTTCAACCCACAATTTCGTATCTAGCCAAACTAAGCTTTATAAGTGAAGGAGACATAAAATCCTTTACAGATAAGCAAATGCTGAGGGATTTTGTCACCAACAGGCCTGCCTTACAAGAGCTCCTGAAGGAAGCACTACATATGGAGAGGAAAAACTGGTACCAGCCACTGCAAAAACAAACCAAAAGGTAAAGGCCATTGACACTATGAAGAAACTGCGTCAACTAATGGGCAAAATAACCAGTTAGCATCATAATGATAGGATCAATTTCACACATAACAATATTAACCTTAAATGTAAATGGGCTAAATGCCCCAATTAAAAGGCAAAGACTTACAAATTGGATAAAGAGTCAAGACCCATCGGTGTGCTGTATTCAGGAGACCCATCTCATGTGCAAAGACTCACATAGGCTTAAAAAGAAGGGATGAAGGAAGATTTACCAAGCAAATGGAAAGCAAAAAAAAGCAGGGGTTGCAATCCTAGTCTCTGATTAAACAGACTTTAAGCCAACAAAGATCAAAAAAGACAAACAAGGGCATTACATAATAGTAAAGGGATCAATGCAAAAAGAAAAGCTAACTATCCTAAATATATATGCACCAAATACAGGAGCACCCAGATTCATAAAGCAAGTTCTTACAGACATACAAAGAGACTTAGACTCCCACACAATAACAGTGAGAGACTTTAACACCCCATTGTCAATATTAGACAGATCAACGAGACAGAAAATTAACAAGGATATTCAGAACTTGAACTCAGGTCTGGACCAAGCAGACCTAATAGACAACTACAGAACTCTCCACCCCAAATCAACAGAATATACATTCTTCTCAGCACCACATAGCACTTATCCCATAATTGCCCACATAATTGGAAGGAAAACACTTCTCAGCAAATGCAAAAGAATGGAAATCATAACAAACAGTCTCTCAGACCATAGTGTAATCACATTATAACTCAGGATTAAAAAACTTACTCAAAATAGCACAACTACATGGTAACTGAACAACCTGCTCCTGAATGACTACTGGGTAAATACCGAAATTAAGGCAAAAATAAATAAGTTCTTTGAAACCAATGAGAACAAAGACACAACGTACCAGAATCTCTGGGACACAGCTAAAGCAGCGTGTAGAGGGAAATTTATAGCACTAAATGCCCACAGAAGAAAGCAGGAGAGATCTAAAATCAACACTCTAACATACAATTAAAAGAATTAGAGAAGCAAGAGCAAACAAATTCAAAAGCTAGCAGAAGACAAGAAATAACTAAGATCAGAGCAGAACTGAAGGAGACAGAGACACGAAAAACCCTTCAAAAAATCAATGAATCCAGGAGTTGGTTTTTTGAAAAGATTAATAAAATGGATAGACCATTAGCCAGACTAATAAAGAAGAAAAGAGAGAAGAATCAAATAGACACAATAAAAAATGATGAAGGGGCAATCACCACTGATTCCACAGAAATACAAACTACCATCAGAGAATACTATAAACATCTCTACACAAATAAACTGGAAATCTAGAAGAAATGGATAAATTCCTGGACACATACACCTTCCCAAGACTAAACCAGGAAGAAGTTGAATCCCTGAATAGACTAATAACAAGTTCTGAAATTGAGGCAGTAATTAATAGCCTACCAACCAAAAAAAGCACAGGACCAGGTGGATTCATGGCCAAATTCTACCAGAGGTACAAAGAGGAGCTGCTACCATTCCTTCTGAAATCATTCCAAACAATAGAAAAAGAGGGACTCCTCCCCAACTCATTTTATGAGGCCAGCATCATCCTGATACAAAAACCTGGCAGAGACACGACAAAAAAAGAATATTTCAGGCCAATATCCCTGATGAACATCGATGCAAAAACCCTCAATAAACTACTGGCAAACCAAATCCAGCAGCACATTAAAAAGCTTATCCACCATGATCAAGTCGGCTTCATCCCTGGGATGCAAGGCTGGTTCAACATAGACAAATCAATAAACATAATCCATCACATAAACAGAACCAATGACAAAAAACACATGATTATCTCAATAGATGCAGAAAAGGCCTTCAATAAAATTCAACACCCCTTCATGCTAAGAACACTCAATTAATTAGGTATTGATGGAATGTATCTCAAAATAATAACAGCTATTCATGACAAACCCATAGCCGATATCATATTGAATGGGCAAAAGCTGGAAGTATTCCCTTTGAAAACCAGCACAAGGCATGGATGCCCTCTCTCACCACTACTATTCAACATGGTATTGGAAGTTCTGGCCAGGGCAATCAGGCAAGAGAAAGAAATAAAGGATATTCAAATAGGAAGAGAGGAAGTCAAATTGTCTGTTTGCAGATGACATGATTGTATATTTAGAAAACCCTATCGTCTTAGCCCCAAAACTCCTTAAGCTGATAAGCAGCTTCAGCAAAGTCTCAGGATACAAATTCGATGTGCAAAAATCACAAGCATTCCTATACACCAATAACAGACAGAGAGCCAAATCATGAGTGAACTCACATTCACAATTGCTACAAAGAGAATAAAATACCTAGGAATACAACTTACAAGGGATGTGAAGGACCTCTTCAAGGAGAACTACAAACCACTATTCAAGGAAATAAGAGAGGACACAAACAAATGGAAAAAAATTTCATGCTAATGGATAGGAAGAATCAATATCATGAAAATGGCCAAACTGCCCAAAGTAATTTATACATTCAATGCTATTCCCATCAAGCTACCATTGACTTTCCTCACAGAATTAGAAAATACTACTCTAAATTTCATATGAAACCAAAAAAGAGCCCAGATAGCCAAGACAATCCTAAGCAAAAAGAACAAAGCTGGAGGCATCACACTACATGACTTCAAACTATACTACAAGGCTACAGTAACCAAAATAGCATGGTACCGGTACCAAAACAGATATATAGACCAATGGAACAGAACAGAGCCCTCAGAAGTAACACCATACATCCACAACCATCTGATCTCTGACAAACCTGACAAAAAGAAGCAATGGGGAAACGTTTCCCTATTTAATAAATGGTGCTGGGAAAATTGGCTAGCCATATGTAGAAAACTGAAACTGGACCCCTTCCTTCCACCTTATACAAAAATTAACTCAAGATGGATTAAAGATTTAAAAGTAAGACCTAAAACCATAAAAAGCCTAGAAGAATACCTAGGCAATACCATTCAGGACATAGGCATGGGCAAAGACTTCATGACTAAAACACCAAAAGCAATGGCAACAAATGCCAAAATTGGCAAATGGGATCTAACTAAACTAAAGAGCTTCTGCACAGCAAAATAAATTATCATCAAAGTGAAGAAGCAACCTACATAATGGGAGAAAATTTTTGCAATCTATCCATCTAGCAAAGAGCTAATATCCACAATCTACAAGGAACTTAAACAAATTTACAAGAAAAAAACAACCCCATCAAAAAGTGGGTGAAGGAGGCTGGGCATGGTGGCTCATGCCTGTAATCCCAGCACTTTGGGAGGCTGAGATGGGCGGATCACTAGGTCAGGAGTTTGACACCAGCCTGGCCAATATAGTGAAACCCTGTCTCTACTAAAAATACAAAAAAAATAGCTGGGCGTGGTGGCAGGTGCCTGTAATCCTAGCTACTTGGGAGGCTGAGGCAGGAGAATTGCTTGAACCTTGGAGGAGGAGGTTGCAGTGAGCTGAGATGGTGCCACCGCACA
The DNA here is from genome assembly GCF_000001405.40 of Homo sapiens. Taxonomy (NCBI): domain Eukaryota; kingdom Metazoa; phylum Chordata; class Mammalia; order Primates; family Hominidae; genus Homo; species Homo sapiens. The sequence goes on from NC_000011.10 coordinate 129,472,624, forward strand.
CCAGCCCAGCTGGCAGTGCGAGACTCCATTTAAAAAAAAAAAAAAGTGGGTGAAGGATATGAACAGACACTTTTCAAAAGAAGACATTTAGGCAGCCCACAAACATGAAAAAAAGCTCATCATCACTGGTCATTAGAGAAATGCAAATGAAAACCACAATGAGATACCATCTCATGCCAGTTAGAATGGCGATCATTAAAAAGTCTGGAAACAACAGATGCTGGTGAGGATGTGGAGAAATAGGAACACTTTTACACTGTTGGTGGGAGTGTAAATTAGTTCAACCATTGTGGAAGACAGCGTGGCAATTCCTCCATCATCTAGAACCAGAACTACCATTTGACGCAGCCATCCCATTACTGGGTATATACCCAACGGATTATAAATCATTCTACTATAAAGACACATGCACACGTATGTTTATTGCAGCACTATTCACAATAGCAAAGACTTGTTACCAACCCAAATGCCCATCAATGTTAGACTGGATAAAGAAAATGTGGCATATATACACCACGGAATATTATGCAGCCATAAAAAATAATGAGTTCATGTCCTTTGCACGGACAAGGATGAAGCTGGAAACCACCATTCGCAGCAAACTAGCACAGGAACAGAAAACCAAACACCGCATGTTCTCACTCATAAGTGGGAGCTGAACAATGAGAACACATGGACACAGGGTGGGGAACATCACACACTGGGGCCTGTTGGGGGGTGGGGGGCTAGGGGAGGGATAGCATTAGGACAAATACCTAATGTAGATGACAGGCCGATGGGTGCAGCAAACCACCATGGCATGTGTGTACCTATGTAACAAACCTGCACGTTCTGCACATGTATCCCAGAACTTAAAGTATAATAAAAAACAAAAACAAAAACAAAATACAGACATCTAAGCCTCCTCCTCCAACAATTTTAATCTGGACAGTGGGGATAACTGGCTGTTACACCTGCTTTTACCATGTTCCTCAGTGATTTCGGAGCCTGTCTAAAGTTGAAGACAGTCATTCCTTCCTGCCTTCAATCACTCGACATATATTATTGAGCTTCTGTTTAGAGCACACAAGAGTGAGTGAGGCAGACATGATCCCTGCCCTGCAGAGCTTTCACCCTGGTCAGGGAGACAGACTAACCAGTGCTTTAAGTTCATAGAAAACTGAAAAGCCTCCTCAACTTGGAGTTTCAGAAAATCCCTTCAGAATAATCAGGGAGAGGGAGGCTTAGTCCAAGCCAGTTGCAATCCTAAGGTGTAAGGATCCTTTCCAGGCCAATGGAATCTCCATTTTCCAGTTCTCTACACGCGAACCCTTCCAGCTCTCTACTAGTCTCCCGTTGGTTTGGGGTTGTGATTTGAATCTATCCTTTTAATACATAGGGCTCTGATTTTTTCTTTCTGCTTTGCTGTTTCATTTGATCTCCATTTCAAATCTGCCTTAAGCCTGCGAGTATCATGGTATAATTTGAAAAGAATTCCACAGGGGGGTGGGAGGAAGGAAATAGTGAAATGGCTCTCAGTAAATTCCTAAGAAATATAAAATTCAAAATTGAAAAGGCCTCATTTCTCCTCCTGCAACTGTGTTCACTTCTATGGCTCTTTGATAGTCCTTATAATCTTATCCCTTTTCTTTCAGTTCTGAACAAACCAGGTAAAAAGACACACCACGAAACTTTATGAGGGCCTCATGAAGGTGGTCTGTAAGCCGATGACAGTACCTGGTTAAGTTTCTGAAGTCCTTGCTGTACCCAGTCTACCCTGAGGCTTGGGTCTCTAGAGGCCAACTTTGAAAGTGACCGACTGCCCCTTTTTAATGTGTATATTAGCTATAGTGACCTCTAGTTCTCACCCAACATTAGGACAGAAAGAAACTGCGGAAGATCATTTCATTTGACTTCTTCATTTTGACAGATGTGGACAGTGAGGCCAGAAAGATAAAGAGTGACCTTACTTTACTGAATATGTTTCCTCAAGACCTGTGTGCAATCAACTCCTTCTCAGTTAAGTATTATTATTCTCTTGACTTTAGAGTGTTAGGGTTATCTTATTCTTTTATATTAGTGTACAACCCCTAAGCAGTAACGACACTTATGGTGGCCCAAGGGTCATGGGAGCCTGGCTGTACCTGGTTACCTCCATAACACCTGTAGTGCTCTTCTGGCCATTAGTTGGAAAGGACAACCTCAAGGAGGGCAGCCAGTGCAGGTGCAGGACACACTATGTTTGCTGCTTGCTATTCACTTATGGTACATACACAGTCAGTCGGGGAGTGAAGGGAGGAACCTTTTTGTTCCTCTTTTCAAGCTTTGCTGTTTCCATAACAAACAAACAACATCAGGGAATTCTGTCTTTGCTGCTACCTCACTCACTCTCTCTCACCAAGTAGCCTTCCAAAAACAACTGGCTTTTCTTCCATACAGTCTCCTCATTTAACCCTTTCTCCATCTTCTACATGACTGCTATCACCTCCTTTTCACAAAATCTCAAATTCCTGTATAGGTCTACTTTGAAAGCCATCTCCCCTTGGCTCATACCATGTCTTTCTCTTGCCTCAGCATTCCCTCACTTTCTGTAGGAACTGAATCAACCATTGATCAATATATATACATGTTATGCCTCTTCTTCCTCCCACTTCTAATTTCTTCACCTTTCTAGAAGGTTCATATCTGAGCCTCATTTATTCCATCCATGTCATTCTGATTCCTAGTTACAGAAAAACAAACTGTTAGAGCTGGAAGGGAGCAAAGAGATTAGCAGGCCCAACCCCCTTAGTTTACAAACGAGGAATCTGAGGCCCCAAAATAGTTCATAACATATCAGGCACAATTCTAGGCATGTGATTGGTGAAAGCAAGACCGACATTCTGGTGTATGTCTTGACTGTCACTCTGCCCCAGGCTTCTTTCTTCCCTACCATGACTGGACTTAGAATGAATGTCCCATTTATTTATTCATCGTTCTCCTGCCTCAGCCTCCCTAGTAGCTGGGACTACAAGTGCACGTCACCAAGCCCGGCTAATTTTTTTTGTATTTTTAGTACAGATGGGGTTTCATCATGCTGGCCAGGCTGGTCTCGAACGAGTAGGAGTGATTTTTAACATTCATCTTTGTTTTCCAAGAGCCTGTCTTGGGGCCTGGAAATGTTGAATGAACATTTTGTTTTAGTTACAATATGTTGCAAAAATCTTTTTTCCAGTGTGTGGCATTTCTTTTTCACTTTGTGTTTTAAAAGTTCTCTGTATCTTCTTCTATAAATTTTAAATGTTTCCTTTGAAAAAATTAATATCTCTGAATTCTACTTTTTTTGTATGGTATGAGGTAGGGATACATTTTCTCTGCCATATGGATAGATACCATTCGTTAAATACCCAATCCATTTTTCATAGATTTGGAATGACACCTCTGTCACATACCAAGCTTCTATATATATTTAGGGCTGTGGGTGGGCTCTCTGTTCACTTCATTTGTCTTTTGTCTATTCTGGTGAATAAACACCATGCTTATTTTATTATCTGCTTTTCTAGTGAGTCTGTCTGGTGAGATTAATTCTTCTTCATGCCTCTTCATCTACATAATTGTTTTGGATATTTTTAAATATGAAATTTAGATTAGCTGAACAAGTTATATGGGGAAAAAAACCCTGTTGGTAATTTGACTGAAATTACATTAAATTTGTACATTAATTTGGGGGAATATAGGGTTCTTTTAAAATTCTTTAAATTCTTTAAGTTCCTTTTAATAATTTAAAAATATTTTCTCTCCAAATGCCTTGTGTATCACTGTTAGAATTATTCCTAAGTACCTTATATTGTTGATATTGTTTTTAAAAACTTCTTTTTAAAATTACATTTTCTATTTTAAAATTGTTGGCCTATTAGAACACTGATGAGTTTTGTGTATTGATTTTATATACAACTTTGTTAAGTTGTCTTATCAGAATTACGGATACTCTCAGGCAGTTTGGGTGAACAATTATATCCTCTGTGAACAATGACAATTTTCTTTTATGCTTTCCAATTTTCTCCCTCCCTCCTTTCCCTCCTTCTTTTGTATTAGTGGAAAGGATAAGATCACAGTGGAATGTGGTATTAAAGTCATGATATCAGGAATTCTTGCTTTATTCCTGACTTTAAAGAGAATATTTCTACCTTTTTAGCATTAAGTATGCTGGTGTTTGTAGGTTTTTGGCATATGTGCTTTAGCAGATTGAAAGGTTGTGTTCTATTCTTATTTGCTTAGAATTTATAGTTTTTGTAACCATGCATGGATGCTGTATTTTATCAAATACTTCTGAGTGTGATCATATGACTTTATGACTTTTCCCCTTTCATCTGTTAAGATTTTCTAATATTAAACCATTCTTGCATTCCAGAAATTAACCTACTCGATATGATTTATTTCCACATACATTGAGAGATTGGATTTGATAACATCTTATTTGGAATTTTGTATTCATGAGTGACATGTATGAGTAACATGAGCTTACATATCTTTTTTTTTTTTCTGAGACAGAGTCTCGCTCTGTCACCCAGGTTAGAGTGCAATGGCGCAATCTCGGCTCACTGCAACCTCTGCCTGACCTGGTTCAAGTGATTCCCCTGCCTCAGCTTCCCGAGTAGCTGGGATTACAGGTGTGCACCGCCACACCCAGCTAATATTTTGTTTTTAGTAGAGACGGGGTTTTATCATGTTGGCCACGCTGGTCTCTAACTCCTGGCCTCAAGTGGTCCCCCTGCCTCAGGCTCCCAAAGTGTTGGGATTTCAGGCATGAGCCACAGCACCCAGCCGAGCTTACGTATCTTTTTGAATTATTGCTAATTTTTGGAATCGAGGTTATATTAGCCTCAAAAACAGTTATATCACCTTCCCACTTTTTCTCCTCTCCAGAAATTTTTATGTAAGATAGAGATTATTTCTAGAATATTTGGAAAACTTTTGTGCATAAATTCTAATCACTGAATCAATTTTGACAACTATAGGTTGATTCATATTCTCTGTCTCTTCTTGAGATAGTTTTTATCATCCTATTTCCCTGGGGAATTTTCCAATTTGGCTAAGATTTTTTTTAATTTGTTGGTTTAAAGTTTCCACAACATATTCCTAAAATTTTTTAAATGTTTATTTGTAGTTTTTTTACATTTAAATCCTGATATTGCTTATGTATTTAAATTTTTTATAGCATCAATTTCTGCTCTGACCTTTACTATAATTTCTTTTTTTCTCTCCTGTATATGCCTATGTGTATGCAGCATCCTTTGTACCATTTCTAACTTTTTGTCTATTTAGCTTTTTAGTGTCTAGAATATCTTTCACTTAAATATATACATGTTAGGCTATGAATTTCCTTCTAAGTGCTGCTTTATCAGCACCCTATAAGTTTTAAAATATGCTAGTTTTTATTATTTAGTTTTAAATATTTTATAATTTCAATCTTTATTCACCTTTGACATGAATTATTCAGAAGTACGTTTTAAATATTAAACAAATACTTCTAGTTATGTTATCAATTTCAAAGAAATACTGATCAGGTAAGATTTTCATAACATCAATTCTTTGGATACTTGTTGATATTTGCTCTATAGTATAAGGGTGGTCAATTTTTAGAAAGATTTTGTGTGTAATTAATAAGAAGGTATTTGTCTAATTGTTAGGTGCTATTTCTTACATGTCTAACTTGTTAATTGTGTTATCCTAAACTTCTCAAATTGTAAATTTTTTTTTTCTACTTGATCTCAGTACAGCTATGTTAAAATCTCCCACTATGTCTGGGAATATCTCTATTCTTGTAATTCTGTCATTTTTAAAAATGCATTTGAAACACACTGTGATGAGCCAAATTGTGTTCTCCCCAAATTCATAAGTTGAAATCCTAATCCCCAGTACCTCAGAATGTGACTGTATTGGAAATAGGGTCTTTAAAGAGGTAATTAACTTAAAATAAGGTTAATTACATTTGGCTGAAAAACAGATACCAGGCAAATAAAATAAGATCATTAGGGTGAGCCTTAATATGACTGTTGTTTTCATAAGAAGAGGAAATTGGGATGCAGACACACACATAGAGGGAAGACCACGTGAATACACAGGGAAAAGAGTCATCTACAAGCCAAGGAGAGAGGTCTCAAAGGAAACCAAACCTGCTGATACCTTCATCTCAGACTTCTAACTTCAAGAACTGTGAGAAAATAAGTGCCTGTTGTTTAAGCCTCCCAGTCTGTAACACTTTGTTATGGAAGCCCTAGAAAACTAATATACACATGTTGTTAGACTCATAGAAGCTCAGAATTGTTAGACTTTATTTCAGAACAGTTGCTTTTTCATTCTTAAGCCCTTACCTCTTTCATCCCTTATTTTTTTTTACAGAAAGTTCATTTTTTGCAGTACAATTTGTAAATATATACTATATATAGTGACATATCTATACAAGCTTATTTTAGTATTTACCTAATATTTTTCAGCCAAATGTTAATTTTAATGTTTGTATCTTTATGATTCTGATGTGCTCATATATATATAATATATACAAGAATATAAATACATATAATATATAAGTATATAAAAATATATATTTGGATTGTTGAAATTATATATTCTTATATATTCATACGCATAATTGTAAAAATCCAAACTGACAGAAATCTACATTTAAATGAGCATATATTTTTCAGCCAACTTTAAATTTAGTCTTCCTCTGGCCTTACGGTTCAGGTAGGTTTGTTAAAAAGAATATATATACAGGCATAATAAGCATATATGCCTATTATGCCTATTACAAATAGGAAATTTGTCCATTAATACAAATTTAATCGTTTTACATTTATTGTGATTACAAATATATTTCAAGGTATTTCTCACATTTTTGTCATATTTTCTAAGCATTTGCTTCTTTCCCTCTTCCCTTTCTCTGAGCTCTATTAAATTGATCTAATTTTATCTGCGTCTGGCCCCTAGAGTCTCTGTTTCGCTGCAATGTGTACCTTGACACAAGACCTCCTTTTCTTTTTTAAATAGTGAATTGTGTGGACCAATGATGATAGTGTGTTCTTAACCAAGTATTATTATTAACCAAGCTATGTGCATAAAATAATATAAAATGTAACATGTAAACTATAAAATATAATAAACACCCATGAATTCACCACCTAGCCTAAGTAGATTGCGTCCACTGTGTGTTCCTCCCCTATTCCAATTTCTCTTCCTCCTCCCTACCCTCTTCCAGAGATTACTATCCTGAGTCTTATGTTTATCATTCCTTTTCTTCAAAAAATGCATAAATATGTATGCCTAAGCATATAATTAAATTTTGCTTTATTTGAGCTTTATTAAAATTATATCATACTCTCTATAGGCCAAATGAAAAGGGACTTGCCTTTTCATTCAACATATTTTTTCTAAGATGTGAACATTTTGTAGTGCTTAACTGTAATTCAGTTATTTTCACTACTACATGGGAATTACCATTATCTTCTATCCATTCTCTCGCTAGTGGATATCTGGGCTGTTTTCAATCTTGTCTGTTCTGCCTCTCATCCCTAGGGCCTCTGCTCTGGACCATCACAATGCAGAAATACAGTACTCAAATTTAATGAGGGCCTGAGACCAGGGAAAGGAAAGAAAGTCAATGGAAGGCAAATTTCTTCTGTCCAAGTGTCAAAGAAGTTGTGCACATTACTTCCACTTACATTTGACTGATGCAAAACTTAAGTCATATTGCCATAACTAGCTGCAGAAGAGGCTGGGAAGGGTGGTCATTGCGAGGCTACACACCCAAAAACTCTATTAATGTGAAAGAAGTGTAGAAGGAATTTTGAAAGAAAACTACCACTCTCATCTTCCTGACACCAAAGACTTTGCTCTTCACATTTACATACTACAGCTTCTTGACTATACAGAGCATTGAATAACCTAGGAGCTATATGTATTGGTTGGTTGGTTGACCTGACATGGTTGCCAACGAATTGACTCAAGCTTCTGCAGAACATCTTAGAGAATTAGCATAACTCTATTTGTCCAAAGCTTGTATACTGTTTTGCCCAGCGAATCCATTTTTGCTTTGATTTTGCTGTGAGGGTGTCAATCAGCCCATGGGGATTTTTCCAAATGGAAATGGAGGACATCAAATTAGAAAATGATCTGTCAAGACATTTTACCTAACCACAATTTCCATTTTGAAAAATTCTAGCCAGTACCAAGGAACCTGTCCCCTCCCCATCCATATTCATAGAAAGATGGCAGTTTTAAAATATGAGGAATGAAAAATATGATGAGGAAATTTAGGATATTTAGCTTGAAAAAGGAAAGACAGTGGGTGGGAGCATGACAGTTGTCTTCCAATGTCTGAACAGCTGTCAGGTTAAAAAAAAAATCTGAACATTTTCTGTGTATTTCTAGAGAGCAAATCTAGGCTTGATATGTGGAAGGGAAATGGATGCTCACGAATTAGTGAATTTATTGTGAAGAAGTGAATTAGTCAGGGAAGGTCAACTTGCAAAATAAACCTTTTAATTTCAGTATCCTGATGATAAATATATGTTTTATTTCTTGTTATGGCAATAGTTCAGTGGGCTATTCCTGGCTAGGCTGCTACTGCACCTCTCCTCCCGTGGAGTTGCAGTGACCCAGGCTCCTTCCCTTTAGTAGGCTGTATCCCCAAGGGCTCCAGAGTCCTCTAGGAAGAAATGCAGCTGTGGAGGATAACAGGTTTAATGGGCCAGGCTTGGAAGGGATATGTGTCAGTTCTCACCACATTCTATGGGATAGAACACAATTGTGAGGCCAACCCCCAGTTGCAAGGGAGATTGCAAAATGTAATTTAGTTGTGTGCCAAGGAATGAGAGGAAATCTATTCATTCTGTTTCTACCCAATCTCTGCCATGAACTGCCCTTACAGACACCAAATACTGTTTTATTCTTCTTCCCACACATAGAATATACTTCCTGCTTTTCAAGGAAAATAGCCACAAGTCTGGCCCAGACTTACTAGATCGTGTCTAGCTCAAATCCAGTGTTTCTGAGTATTGCATAGACCTCTCTCTCAGATTCAATTGATGCTTCTTGGGGTGTGAAAACCTATGAATTAAAAAGACAAGTTGTCTGCCCACTTGCAATACCCCAACATTCACACACACACCTAACAGACTGTGATGGAGCAGTGGCTGGATAACCTCAGTAGGTCATCCTATTTACAAAGAGAAGAACAGGGGACACATAGCAATCTTTGGTCTATAGTATTTGTAAAAGCATATTGGGCAGGCATTACAAAATCCCCCTATTAAGGCGGGGAAGAGGGTGAGAGAAAAGCTTTTTGATTAGACCTTGATTCTACTAAGGGAGAGACACTCTTGTCCATTATTCTCTATAGTCCTTGAATCCACTCACTGTAAGGTTCTTCCATCTTTATTTCACTATATTGAAGTGAGTATTTTGGAGTATGCCTCTTTGGGGGCCAAACAACCTTAGTAGCTAATCCATGCTTATGTAAGTTTTGGGGCCCAAGGATTATTTTGATGCTTGAACAGTTAAAAATGTTTTAGGTCCAGGCACGGTGGCTCACGCCTGTAATCCCAGCACTTTGGGAGGCCGAGGCAGGTGGATCATGAGGTCAGGAGATCGAGACCATCCTGGCTAACACGGTGAAAACCCGCCTCTACTAAAAATACAAAAAAATTAGCCAGGTGTGGTGGCAGGCACCTGTAGTCTCAGCTACTTGGGAGGCTGAGGCAGGAGAATGGCGTGAACCCGGGAAGCAGAACTTGCAGTGAGCCGAGATCACGGCACTGCACTCCAGCCTGGGCCACAGAGCAAGACTCCGTCTCTAAATAAATAAATAAATAAATAAATAAATAAATAAATAAATAAATAAATAAAATTGTTTTAGTATGGGGTTGTGGGGGCTTTTTTGGTAATACAATAGTCTTAAAATTTTACTGGGATTCTGATCTGTTTGCTTCCAGTTGGTTCCATGTACAAGTAACTATACCTTAATTTCTTTAATTTCTTTCCCAAGCATAATTCTCAAACTTGATATGTTTCTTTGCTTCCTCACCAAGCTTATTGTTCCTTTGAAGCTAGCCAAGCTAATAGGTTTGGGTGGGAAGGCCACACTCCTCATCTCATCTTTACTGGAAGACCTTTTTTTTTTTTTCCTGAGGTCATGTCCTTCTTGTAATATGTACCCATTGCAGCCAATAGTAGCCAATACACACTGACACTAGAATTATTTCCAACACTTGCCCTAAAGTTACACACTCAGTGTGCATGGGGCCTCCTTCCACATTATTGTAGGCAATATTTTTACCAAATACTTTGCCATTGCAAATACCTTTCCCAGCAGTAGTTTTGCTGCCCATCCTCTTACTGCTAAGCCAATGTCACATATTTTAGTCCTTTTTTTTTTGAGATGGTGGTACTCTATTTCAAGGCGCCAAGTTTTGTGCACGTCAAAGCATACTAACTGCTCCAAGAGACAACCTTCAAATTGCTGTCCCTTAACACAGTGAAATCTATATCTTGCTCCTGCAATAGTCCATTCTGTATATTCCTAGTCAGGCAGTTCTTCTATGTGGTTTTCTTCCAAGCTCTGCCATCCCAATCCTCTCTGAATGCTCTGCATACAGCTGGCAGGTGAGGGCAGAGGATGCAGTGGAGGACACGGTGAGGGGAGCTTAATGTCCATGCCTACAAGTGGGATACATTCTAGAACTTACTCACATGCCACATCTACTTGATGGAAACGTGGGAAATGTCATCTAGCTGTGTTCGCAGGAAGCGGAAATAGGTTTGCTGAGCAGTTAGCCAGTCTCTGCCAAATTAAGGATGCTTTCTTAACAACTATAGCTATCTGAAAATGAGAGCATGCTGTCACTGAAACTTCTCAGGGCCCAACAACTGTCCATTTGGTATCCATCCTGTATTGGGTAGGAAGTTAGATTAAATTATCTTTGAGGTCCCTTCCAGCTTCATTATCAGAGAAGACTAAAAGTCAACTAATAGCCACATGGAGAAAAGATAATTAACATGTTCATAGATACTGATCCTGTTTACCTTTTTTTTTTCTTTTTTTTTTTTTTAAATACAGGGTGTTGGTCTGCTGCCCAGGCCAGAGTGCAGTGGCATGAAATGGCTCACTGCAGCCTTGACCTCCTTGGCTCAAGCAATCTTCCCACCTCAGCCTCCTGAGTAGCTGGGACTATAGGAGTACACCTCCATGCCTGACTAATTTTGTTTATGTTTTGTAGAAACCAGGGTCTTACCATGTTGCTCAGGGTCTCGCCATGTTGAATCCCTGGGCTCAAGCAACCCTCCCACCTCAGCCTCTCAGAGTGTTTAGATTACAGGCATGAGCCACTGTACCTAGCATATTCTTTTTTTAATGGAGCTTTTACTGCACTATGGTTTTACTTTATTTTCCCTCAGCTTTATTAAGGTATAATTGATAAGTAAAAATTGTATTTATTTAGGGTGTACAACTTGATGTTTTAAGATATATATATTAATACATATATCGTGAAATAATTAAATCAAGCTAATTAACATATCCATCACCTCACATACCTCACATACTGTAGCATTTTTTGTGGTGAGAACATTTCATATCTACTCTGTTAGCAATTTTCAAGTATTTCAATTATTATTAATCATAGTCAGCATATTGTACAATAGATCTCCAGAACTTACTCATCCTGTCTAACTGACACTTTGTACCTTTGACTAACATCTCTTCATCTCCCTGCTCCCACCTCCTAGCCCTTAGCAACCACCATTCTGCCCTCTGCTTCTATGTGTTCAACTTTTTAGATTCCACATATAAATGAGAAAATGCATTACATGTGTCTCTGTGCCTGGCTTATTTCATGTAGCAAAAATAGCCTCCAAGTTCATTCATGTTGTAAATTACAGAATTTCTTTCTTTTCAAAAGCTGAATTGTATTCCATTGTATGCATATATACCATATTTTGTTTAGCTATTTATCCTTCAGTAGACACTTAGGTTGATTCCATATCTTGGCTATTATGAACAATGCTGCAATGAACATGGGAGTTCAGATATCTCTTTGACATACTGATTGCATTTCCTTTGGATATCTATACCCAAAAGTGGGATTACTGGGTCATATGATAATTCTATTTTTAAGTTTTTGAGGAACCTCCATGCTATTTTCCACAATTGCTGTATTAATTTGCATTCCCACCAACAGTGTGTAAGCGTTCCCTTTTTTCCCCATCCTCACCAATACTCATCTTTCATCTTTTTGATAATAGACTTTTTTTTTTTTTTTTTTTTTGAGATAGTCTCGCTCTGTCGCCCAGGCTGGAGTGCAGTGGCGCGATCTTGGCTCACTGCAAGCTCTGCCTCCCGGGTTCACGCCATTCTCCTGCCTCAGCCTCCCGAGTAACTGGGACCACAGTCGCCCCCTACCGCGCCCGGCTAATTTTTTGTATTTTTAGTAGAGACGGGGTTTCACCGTGTTAGCCAGGATGGTCTCGATCTCCTGACCTCGTGATCCGCCTGCCTCGGCCTCCCAAAGTGCTGGGATTACAGGCGTGAGCCACCACACCCGGCCTTGATAATAGACATTTTAACAGGTTTCTTATTGTGGTTTAATTTGCCTTTCCCTGATGATTAGTGATTTTTTCATATGCCTGTTGGCCATTTGTATGTCTTCCTTAGAAAAATGTCTTTTCAATTCCTTTGCCCATTATTTAATTGTAGTATTTGTTTTGTTGATATTGAACGCTTTCTAACACATTTTTTTACATACTTCTATCCTTTTACCAGACTGAGAGCTCCTTGAGAAAAGAACTATGTCTTACTCATGTTAAGCTGTAGTGTCTAATGTACTCTAAGGCTGGCACAACTAGAAGTTTAATAAATATCTGCTGGATGACTGAAAGAATTACTGTTCTTCATAATTTAGATGGCCCTCTCCCAGCCCTGTGTGATTTAGGACAAGCCCGTTCTGCAGAGAAGGAGAGAAAGTTAGGGGGAGTTCTCATCCCAGATCCTGTTCCAGGGGCTTCAGGGCAGGAGTGCCCCCCCGTCACTCCACCCCACCTCCCTCCCCCTCAGATCGCTGACAATATTTTGGGTATTAACCTCTTATCAGATGTATGGTTTGCCAATTTTTTTTTACCATTCTATAAGTTGTCTGCTCACTCTGTTGTTTCCTTTGCTGTGTACAAGTTTTAAGTTTCATACAATCCCATTTATCTATTTTTGCTTTTGTTGTCTGTGCTTTTGGGGTCATATCCAAAAAATCATAGCCCAAACCAATGTCAAGAAGCTTTTCCCCTATTTTTTCTTCCAGTAGTTTTGTGTTTCAGGTCTTATATTTAAGGCTTTAATCCATCTTATTTTTTATGTGCTGTGAGAAAGGGTTCAATATCATATTTCTGCATGTGGATATGCAGTTTTCCTATACAACTTATTGAGGAAATTGTCTTTTTCCCGTTGTGTGTTCTTGGTGCCTTTGTCAAAGATCAACTGACCATAAACGTGTGGATTTATTTATAGGCTCTCTGATCTATTCCATTGGTGTACATGCCTCTTTTTATGTCAGTACCATACTGTTTTGATTATTGTATTTCTGTAGTATATTGTGAAATCACATATGTGATGCTTCCAGCTTTGTTCTTTTTGCTCAAGATTATTTTTGCTATTTGCAGTATTTTGTCATTCCATATGAATTTTAGGATTTTAAAATTTTTATATAAAATGTCATGGGAATTTTGATAGGGATTACATGAATATGTAGATAGCTTTGGATAGTATGGATATTTTTACAATATTTTTCTAATCCATGAACATGGGATATCTTTCCATGTATTTTTGTCTTCTTCCATTTTTTTAGATTAATGTTTTATATTTTCAGTGTACAGATCTTTCACATCCATAAACTTATTCCCAAGTATTTTGGGGTTTTTTTTTTGGATGCTATTATAAATGGAATTATTTTCTTGATTTCTTTTTTAGATAGTTTATTGTTAGTATATGGAAACTCTACTGGCTTTTTTGCATTAATTTTGTACCCTGCAACTTTATTAAATTTGTTTGTTTTATTCTTAAGATCTTCTATTCATAAGGTCAATTAGTTACCTAAGTTAGGCTCTCACTGTGATTAGAGACAATAACAAATGTTTGGTGAGCTTTTTGAATGCAGACAAACTCAAGAAAATGTGAGTACATTTTTGTTTATTATTATCTATAATTAGGCCAAAATATTTACTTAAGTGACTAATTGCCTCTGGGAATGAAAGTATAAACTAAAGCACAGTGAATACATTTGCTAACTGCCAGGCTTTGCTGAATCTTTAGCCATTACATTACTACTATCTTTATGAGTGGAACCTGCCTTAATATAGCAGTCTTTATATTAACCTGTACTTACAAAATGTAAGGGTTCTCACAAATCGAAAGATCATCTTTCACCACCTAAAGATTCAAAGGGCTTCTCTTATTTAAGGGAAGGTTTTATCACTACAGTCTTCACTCTTACTTCTCATTAGTAAACTTCCTTTTGCATGGAAAAAGTTGGTTATTAAAGACTCAGTCAGCCATAAAGAGTGCAAGAAAATTCTGCAGAATGAAGTGGAAACAGTTATTACAATTTGTATAGCGTTTTACACTATATATTTTATATAAATTATATATCATTTGTATATTATGTTACATAATTTATATAGTATGTATATTTAAAAATATAAAGTATTATTTATATAATATGTATATGTAATTAATATACAAATATATTTTTATATAATTATAAATATATATAATTATAATACATAACACATATCTATATTATATCTAATACATCTAAATTATGAAGAACAGTAATTCTTTCAGTCATCCAGCAGATATTTATTAAACTTCTACTTGTGCCAGCCATACAGTACATTAGACACTACAGCTTAACATGAGTAAGACATAGTTCTTTTCTCAAGGAGCTCTCGGTCTGGTAAAAGGATAGAAGTATGTAAAAAAATGTGTTAGATATCACTACACAGTAGAATAGGGAATGAAGGGCAAAGTGCTGATGTCTAACTAGGGGATCCCAAGGTTGGGGTCAGAACAGATTTATAGAAAGGGTAGTGGTTGAGCAGAGTCACTTGTCTAATTACAACAATATCGCTGAGAGGCAGATGCTATTCCAACCATTCACATGAAGAAACTGAGGCTCAGTGAAGCCAAGTGACTCATCCTTGCAGAGTTAGACATGGAACTTCCCCCAACCCCCTAGACCCTACCTCTGTGTCTTTCTGCTCTACTACACTTATACCATAAACCTTACACAGGTTGCTCAATTATAGGTACACAGCAGAGTTACAGAACCCAATTTTAGAGTTTAGTTGATAAAGCTGATCTCTGCTTTTAGTTCCCCTCATCATCGGGTTAAGTTCTTTCTCAGGACAAAGCAAATTAAGTTCTCTTTTGAGAAGACAGACTGTTTTTTGGCTGGTAATACTCATCTAGGCCACCCCCTACATTCACAATTGGCTCCTTCTCCTCCCCTTCTTGGGTGTTTTCATTCCAAGGACTCAGTTGGGGTTCCACCTTCCTGGTGAAGTTCTCCCCCAGACCCCTGTTCCTAAGAGCCAACTCTTGCTCCCACCTTCTTAGCACATCTTGAAATCACTTTGAATTGTTCTTCACTGGAAAACTGTTACCCTGTTCCCCCACCCCTCCCAGGCCATTGGACCCTCAGGGAGGGACTACCTTATTGGGTTCCCTACTCTCCAGTGCCAGGTCCAGGGCTGAGTCCATACACAAGACTCAAAGTAATACTTAAGGGGTGACAGCTTTATCCAGGAGACATAAAGAGCAATTTCCTTTTCCTCTGATGCTTTATAGTATCCTTACTGAACAAAAAAATAAAGTGGCAGCCTACAGTGAGCTCCTCAATCGTGTGTGTGTGTGTGTATGTGTGTGCACATGCACATGTAAATCTTATTGATTGTGAAATACAAAAGTCTAGAAAGTGGTTCCTAAGTCTGCAGGACATAAGAACAATTTGGGGCAATCAAAATACAGATTCATGGGCCTTATCCCAGAACTAAGGAAGTGGGAGATCCCAAGAACCCAGGGAATCTGTTTTCAACAAACACCTGCTGATTATTCTGATGGTGGACTGAATTTAAATTATGCCTCAAACAATCAGGAGCATTTGGGGTAGATAACAATTGTGGGGAGGTAGTGGCAAAAAGAGGCTCTGTGAGCATGAACATTGTGAGCAAAGTGGAGAAACAAGCTCTAGGAATGCTGAGTGAACCTAATGGGATAAACAACTCATAAAAGGGAGTCAAAGGGGTTCTAGTCAAGAAGATAGATGGTGGCTAAATTGTGACAAATTTCAACCTTGTGCTGAGAATAGTAGACCCTCCAGCAGAAGATGGGACAAAAGAAAGAGAATTACTGAAATCCTAATATGCAACAATCACTGTCTTTGGGCAGAACAAATAATGTCCCACTCAAATATGTATTATTTAGAATGATGTAGATGCTGCTTGGATTAATAAGATACGACTTAATATAAAAGATTTCCTGAGTTATAAGTAGCTTTTTGTTATTTTCATAACCAAAAGTACAATTTCTATCATGATTATAAAAGCACAATTTCTATTATGTGGGAGGCTCTGAATGTTTTTAACCAAAAGGTTGAGAAACACTCTTGGAAGCAGAGGGAGTCCCTGAGCAGGAGAATAATGGGTCCTTGGGGTGGACTGAGGAAGGGCGCTGTGGAAGGTGGAGACACAAGAGATGAGGCTGTTCAAATAGCTCCAGAATGAGGTAATGAGGACCTGGGTGGAGGTGAACAGCAATGGGTTTGGTGTCAGCATCATATTTTGTGGTCTGCCTATGAGTCAGTTGCTCCCTGCTCTCCTTTGTCACATGTCTGCCCTTTAAAGACCTGTCCAAGACCCCATGTCTGGGTTGAGTTATATGCCCCAGATGCAGAGGCTGTGCCTCCTGCTGCTTTTTCCCAGAGTCCTGGTGGAGCAAGTGGTAAGAAGGGATTTGATGGATGTGTCTTGCTAATAATGATCTTTCCACATACCCTTACTGGCTTGAAAAGACTTCTGAATCCGGAGATCTTTTTCTCTGGACAAAATTATAGTCCTGAATGAATGATGGCAGAAAAATTGGCAAAGAACAGCCTACTAATAACTCTGAGAGAGATCAGATTTAAAGAGGCAGCAATCCTTTAATCCCAGGTGATATTGCTTCCGCTGCAAACCCTGGAGTCCACATCACCACATAGATGAGCCCTGGCTGCAGTCTTCAGCCACCCGATCCCCAGAAGCAGGACAGAACATTAGCTATTCCAAAAGTGGGCATGATGGGCTGGCTACTGGGGGGTCAGGTGGGGCTGGTTACTGTAATTTTAGCCACGGCCAGCCTCTGTCTTTTCTGGGAGCAATTGATGTAACCAAGATGCAGAGAACCCTAATCCTATCTTGGCACAGAGGCAGCCTGACATTCGCCAGGGCTCTCCTACCCAGAAATTCTGCTTTATAAATAGAGGAACGAGTGTGCAATATTGTAGCAAGGGTCACTCAGGTATATTGTATGGTGACGGAGTGAAGGAATTTCCAGGAGGGTGGGGCGCTCCTGGCACCACATCTAGTCTTCCTGTCTCAGGCAAGACTGCTTTGAGGGCTACTTTGGCTTCTTTTCATATCCCTCGCATTTCCACTTAAGCAGAGAAAAGTAAACCCAAATGGAGGCTTTTACTGATCTTCAAAGTTCAGAGATTTGGGGCAACTAAAATTGTGCATCTCTGTGTATACATACAAGTGTACTAAATTATAAATGTGCACTATGGGTAACTGTGGCTAAAAATTCCACAACTTTAAACTTCTTACATTTTGGTAATCTCCCATATTGTGAAATCTGTCTTCCCAATGTAGAAGCCAGAAGATGCACAATTGCAGACCTTGTGGAGCTAGGTACAGTCAAATGATCCAAATTCTGGCAATCAAACACACCTTCATGAGACCTGGATTTGGAAACAAGCAATATGATGAAACAGCTTCATGTGAATGATCTCAAGTCTTCAAGCACGTGTGGTGGCAGAGGTCTCTGGATCTTTGGGAGTGGCAGAGGTGGAGTTTCTCATATCCAGTAAACTGTTATGAGACCACATAGTTGGACACTGTTTCTGGCTGTTTACCTTCAGGGTTTGGCTCTTCTGGCCTCCAGGAGATTCTAGGAGTTACTTAATATTCTAAAATCATTTTTTTTTTTGCTTAAATTGTCAGAATAGATTCTACTGATTTCATCTAAAGACCTGACAGATGTACTGATTGGTACTTAGAATGGTTACTAGCAACAGATCCCCAATAAAATGGGGACTTGGTGGTTGGTTATCCGACATGGTTGAGTTTGAAGGCAAGGTCATGTTTAGTTAGTTAGTACTGAAGGATGGGATTCCGGCAGCCCATGACACAGAGTGATGAAATAATTACTTACATTATCCCTGATCTACCTACTTAAGGCTTTGGGGGCCTCCATGACACGGGAGGGGCTGAGGAATGCAAGTAGTATGGACTGAACTTGCTGCTTCTAACTCAGTTGGGGGCTTTAAAGAAAGAAGATGATAAATCAGAAGTTAAAATTTTAAGTTTATTAGACTGTCCTACAAACAGATAGTTTCTATGCTATCTTTTGCAGCCATAGGGCTGATGTAGCTGAAAAATCAAACTCACAGTGAGATGCTGAATTATAAAATAGGTTGAATTCACAGCCTTAAGAGGATTCTTATATGGAAGTTAGGGTACTGACTGAGAAAGACTGAAACATGGAGAATCAGTATGGGCCTTTTTTTTTTTTTTTTTTTTTTTTGAGACAGAGTCTTACACTGTCATCCAGGCTGGAGTGCAGTGGTGCAATCTAGGCTCACTGCAACCTCTGCCTCAAGAGTTCAAGCGATTCTCCTGCCTCAGCCTACCGAGTAGCTGGGATTACAGATGCGCGCCACCACGCCTGGCTAATTTTTGTATTTTTAGTAGAGACGAGGTTTCACAATGTTGGCCAGGATGGTCTCGATCTCTTGACCTCGTGATCCACCCACCTCAGCCTCCCAAAGAGCTGGGATTACAGGCATGAGCCACTGACGCCTGGCCAGTATGGGGACATTTAAGAGCATGTCAATTTCCAAAGTCTCAGCAGGAGAAACCCTTCCTTCCTTCTTTATTAAGGCTTTTCCTGCCCTGATTTATATCTGAAATTACCTCGCTAAAGGACGTTATCTTAGTAGTAGAAATTAATATTTTCCTCATGTACGGTTACCCACTTCTCATTGCCTCATATCTGTAATAAAGTCAGACTGCAAGATATGACCAAAGAGGCAATTACAATGTCATTCTGGCAAAGTGAAGCAAAATAACAAGATTTTGCTAATTTATATAGTCAAAAACTTGGAAATATGCATTTTAATAAATGATAGGCTACATGAGAGTGGATCTAAACAATTTTAGATTGGGTCAAATTCATTATTATGTGTTCACTTAGTGAAGATTTTGGATCTCCACTAGTGTGCTAGCTCAAACAGTTGGGGGTAATTCTAATAATTTCTTGTTTGGTTGGCTAAAACTTAGTCTCAGCAGAGATCTATACCAAACGGAAGTTGAGATGCTAGACGGTGTTAGAGAAAATGTAGAGATGAAGAAATTCCAAGACTTTAGAAGGAAAAAGAATGTTGGAGTGAATTTAATATGTGGTCCATTCACACAACCAATAAATATGTCCTTGAGACAGCCCAAAATATACTCCATTTTCCAAAGCCCTAAGATATAACATTAGTGAAGGGAGCACCAATGGATTGGTGTTGTATTGTAGCAGCTATTTTCTGTAGACTGGGGATGCATGTGGAAGATGTTACCATTGAAATTATCTCTCTGACTGAATAAGGATGACAAAGGTATTATGGTAGCAGAGGTCAAGCAGAATGTATCCAACAGAAGCAAGGTTGACATAAGTATCAGTCAAGGATCAATGGCAGATAATGAGGACATTAATGTCTGGTCAGGATGGAATAGCAGGGACTAAATTTACCCTCTCACCTAAAATATCGAAAAAACAAAACAGAATATAAGAAACAATGGTTTTAAAAATGAAAATCTGGTAATAAAGAGACGTATTCCCCAAGAGATGAGAAACAAATGAGGGGCCCCTATGATTGTACCAACTTCCAGTCTAGAGAGAGTTTCTGGGGAACTCTCACTTGGTTCAGGGAGGGGGAACCCAAGCAGTGTTTGGTGACATCCCTAAGTTGAGGAGACAAAGATAGAGATGTAGGGAGAACACGAAAATTCAAGTTTGTAGAGCAAAGGACCAAGAAGAAAGAGCTGCATGGACTGAAAGACCTCTGCATATCTACAAAGGATCCCTCTTGAGTCCTCACCAGAGAAAAGATTAGTAAATGCATGTGAGGAAGCTACCCAAGGAGAGGGAAAGAATCACATTAAAGGATTAGAGTGAACAATGTTTGGAGCTCACACCATGCTGACAATAGCTGCTATTCTCATCTTCCAGAGTGTAAAATTTCATCATTCATGAAACATCGGACAGAATATTCAGAAGGGCTTTGATTCAACAGTGGAGAAAATTTAGTCCTAGATTAAATGCTGCTCTGATGTCATCAAACTAAATGTAAAAGCAAGACTTGAAAGAATAAGAATGTTTACAAGCAATTTAACTGAATTCCAGAACAAAGCCCAGAATATTTATTGGTCTATAAAAATGTTCAGCACCAAATAAAGTAAAATATACAACAACTAACATACAGTCAAAACTTACCCAACATACACATGAGCAGTAAAATATGACTTGTGATATGAAAAAAAAATCAGTTCAATGGGAGGGCTTCCAAGATGGCCGAATAGGAACAGCTCTGGTCTGCAGCTCCCAGCAAGATCGATGCAGAAGACAGGTGATTTCTGCATTTCCAACTGAGGTACCTGGTTCATCTCATTGGGACTGGCTGGACAGTGGGTGCAGCCCATAGAGGGCAAGCTGAAGCAGGGAGGGGCATCACCTCACCTGGGAAGCACAAGGGGTCAGGGTATTTCCCTTTCCAGCCACAGGAAGCCATGACAGACTGTTCCTGGAATACACTCCTGACCAAATACTGCACTTTTCCCACAGTCTTAGCAATGGGCAGACCAGGAGATACCCTTCCGTGCCTAGCTTGGTGGGTCCCATGCCCACAGAGCCTTGCTCACTGCTACTGCAGCAGTCTGAGATCGACCTGTGAGGCTGCAGCCCGGCAGGGGAGAGGGGCGTCTGCCATTGCTGAGGCTTGAATAGCTCAGGCTTGAGTAGCTCACAGTGTAGACAAAGGGGCCAGGAAGCAAGAACTAGGTGGAGCCCACCACAACTCAGCAAGGCCTACTGCCTCTATAGATTCCTCCTCTCGGGGCAGGGTATAGCAGAACAAAAGGCAGCAGACAGCTTCTGCAGACTTAAACGTCCCTGTCTGAGAGCGCTGAAGAGAGCAGTGGTTCTCTCAGCATGGTGTTCGAGCTCCGAGAACAGACAGACTGCCTCCTCAAGAGGGTCCTGACCCCCGTGTAGCCTGACGGGGAAATACCTCCCAGCAGGGGCTGAAAGACACTGCAAACAGGTGAGTGCCCCTCTGGGACGAAACTTCTGGAAGAAGGATCAGGCAGCAGTATTTGCTGTTCTGTAGCCTCCACTGGTGATACCCAGGCAAACAGGGTCTGAAGTAGACCTCCAGCAAACTCCAACAGACCTGCAGCTGAGGGACCTGACTGTTAGAAGGAAAACTAACTAACAGAAACAAATAGCATCAACATCAACAAAAAGATCATCCACACCAAAACCCCATCTGTAGGTCACCAACATCAAAGACCAAAGGTAGATAAAACCACAAAGATGGGGAGAAACCAGAGCAGGAAAGTGGAAAACTTCAAAAAACAGAGCACCTCTTCGCCAAAGGCTCGCAGCTCCTTGCCAGCAAGGGAACAAAACTGGACGGAGAATGAGTTTGATGAGCTGACAGAAGTAGGCTTCAGAAGGTCAGTAATAACGAACTTCTCTGAGCTAAAGGAGCATGTTCTAACCCATCGCAAGGAAGCTAAAGTCCTTGAAAAAAAGGTTAGATGAATGGCTAACTAGAATAAACAGTGCAGAGAAGACCTTAAATGACCTGATGGAACTGAAAACCACAGCATGAGAGCTTTGTGACACATGCACAAGCTTCAATAGTTGATTTGATCAAGTGGAAGAAAGGATATCAGTGACTGAAGATCAAATTAATGAAATAAAGCAAGAAGACAAGATTAGAGAAAGAAGAGTGGAAAAAAAAAACTGTTAAAGCCTCCAAGAAATATGGGACTATGTGAAAAGACCAAATCTACATTTGATTGGTGTACCGGAAAGTGACAGGGAGAATGGAACCAAGTTAGAAAACACTCTTCAGGATATTATCCAGGAGAACTTCTCTAACCTAGCAAGGCAGGCCAACATTCAAATTCAGGAAATACAGAGAACGCCACAAAAATACTCCTCGGTAAGAGCAACCTCAAGACATAAAATCATCAGATACACCAAGGTTGAAGTGAAGGAAAAAATGTTAAGGGCACCCAGAGAGAAAGGTCAGGTTACCCACAAAGGGAAGCCCATCAGACTAACAGTGGCTCTCTCAGCAGAAACCCTACAAGCCAGAAGAGAGTGGGGGCCAACATTCAACATTCTTAAGGAAAAGAATTTTCAACCCAGAATCTCATATCCAGCCAAACTAAGCTTCACAAGTGAAGGAGACATAAAATCCTCTACAGACAAGCAAATGCTGAGAGATTTTGTCACCACCAGGCCTGCCCTAAAAGAGCTCATGAAGGAAGCATTAAACACGGAAAGGAACAACTGGTACCAGCCACAGCAAAAACATGCCAAATTGTAAAGACCATTGAGGCTAGGAATAAACTGCATCAATTAACGGGCAAAATAACCAGCTAACATCATAATGACAGAATCAAATTCAAACATAACAATATTAACCTTAAATGTAAATGGGCTAAATGCCCCAATTAAAAGATGCAGACTGGCAAATTGGATAAAGAGTCAAGAGCCATTGGTGTGTTGTATTCAGGAGACCCATCTCACGTGTAAAGATGCACATAGGCTCAAAATAAAGAGATGGAGGAAGATCTACCAAGCAAATGGAAAGCAAAAAAAAGTAGGGACTGCAATCCTAGTTTCTGATAAAACGTAGTTTAAGCCAACAAAGATGAAAAGAGACAAAGAAGGCCACTGCATAATGGTAAAGGGATCAATTCAACAAGAAGAGATAATTATCCTAAATATACATGCACCAAATACAGGAGCACCCAGATTCATAAAGCAAGTCCTTAGAGGCCTACTAAGAGACTTAGACTCCCACACAACAATAATGGGAGACTTTAACACCCCACTGTCAATATTAGACAGATCAACGAGACAGAAGGTTAACAAGGATATCCAGGACTTGAACTCAGCTCTGCACCAAGTGGACCAAATAGACATCTACAGAACTCTCCACCCCAAATCAACAGAATATACATTCTTCTCAGCACCACACCGCACTTATTCCAAAATTGACCACATAGTTGGAAGTAAAGCAGTCCTCAGCACATGTAAAAGAACAGAAATCACAACAAACTGTCTCTCAGACCACGGTGCAATCAAATTAGAACTCAGGATTAAGAAACTCCCTCAAAACCACACAACTACATGGCAACTGAACAACCTGCTCCTGAATGACTACTGGGTAAATCACGAAATGAAGGCAGAAATAAAGGTGTTCTTTGAAACCAATGAGAAGAAAGACACAACATACCAGAATCTATGGGACACATTTAAAGCAGTGTGTAGAGGGAAATTTATAGCACTAAATGCCCACAAGAGAAAGCAGGAAACACCTAAAATCGACACCCTAACATCACAATTAAAATAACTAGAGAAGCAAGAGCAAACACATTCAAAAGCTAGCTGAATACAAGAAATAATTAAGATCAGAGCAGAACTGAAGGAGATAGAGACACAAAAGAAAACCTTCAAAAAATCAATGAATCCAGGAGCTGGTTTTTTGAAAAGATCAAAAAAATGGATAGACCGCTAGCAAGACTAATAAAGATAAAAAGAGAGAAGAATCAAATAGACGCAATAAAAAATGATAAAGGGAATATCACCACCGATCCCACAGAAAGACAAACTACCATCAGAGAATACTATAAACACCTCTATGCAAATACACTACAAAATCTAGAAGAAATGGATAAATTCCTGGACACATACACCCTCACAAGACTAAACCAGGAAGAAGTTGAATCTCTGAATAGACCAATAACAGGTTCTAAAATTGAGGCAATAATTATTAGCCTACCAACTAAAAAAAGTCCAGGGCCAGACGGATTCACAGCCGAATTCTACTAGAGGTACGAGAAGGACCTGGTACCATTTCTTCTGAAACCATTTCAATCAATAGAAAAAGAGGGAATCCTCCCTAACCCATTTTATGAGGCAGCACCATCCTGATACCAAAGCCTGGCAGAGATACACAAAAAAAGAGAATTTTAGGCCAATATCCTTGATGAACATCAGTGCAAAAGTCCTCAATAAAATACTGGCAAACTGAATCCAGCAGCACATGAAAAAGCTTATCCACCATGATCAAGTTGGGTTCATCCCTGGGATGCAAGTCTGGTTCATCATACGCAAATCAATAAATGTAATCCATCACATAAACAGAACCAACAACAGAAACCACATGCTTATCACAATAGATGCAGAAAAGGCCTTCAACAAAATTCAATGGCCCTTCATGCTAAAAACTCTTGATAAACTAGGTATTGATTGGATGTATCTCAAAATAATAAGAGCTATTTATGACAAACCCACAGCCAATATTATACTGAATGGGCAAAAACTGGAAGCATTCCCTTTGAAAACTGGCACAAGACAAGGATGCCCTCTCTCACCACTCCTATTCAACATAGTGTTGGAAGTTCTGGCTAGGGCGATCACGTAAGAGAAAGAAATAAGGGGTATTCGATTAGCAAAAGAGGAAGTCAAGTTGTCTATGTTTGCAGATGACATGATTGTATATCTAGAAAACCCCATTGTCTCAGCCCAAAATCTCCTTAAGCTGATAAGCAATTTCAGCAAAGTCTCAGGACACAAAATCAATGTGTAAAAATCACAAGCATTCCTATACACCAATAATAGACAAACAGAAAGCCAAATCATGAGCGAACCCCCATTCACAATTACTACAAAG
This sequence comes from Homo sapiens, assembly GCF_000001405.40. Taxonomy (NCBI): domain Eukaryota; kingdom Metazoa; phylum Chordata; class Mammalia; order Primates; family Hominidae; genus Homo; species Homo sapiens. The sequence goes on from NC_000011.10 coordinate 129,497,898, forward strand.
AGAATAAAATACCTAGGAATTTAACTTACAAGGGATGTGAAGGACCTCTTCAAGGAGAACTACAAACCACTGCTCAATGAAATAAAAAAGGACATGAACAAATCGAAGAACATTCCACGCTCATGGATAGGAAGAATAAATATCGTGAAAATGGCCATACTGCCCAAGGTAATTTATAGATTCAGTGCTATCCCCATCAAGCTACCACTGACTTTCTTCACAGAATTGGAAAAAAGTACTTTATAGTTCATATGGAATCAAAAAAGAGCCCACATAGCCAAGACAATCCTAAGCGAAAAAACAAAGCTGGAGGCATCATGCTACCTGACTTTAAACTATACTACGAGGCTAAAGTAACCAAAATACCATGGTACCGGTACCAAAATTGATATATAGACCAATGGAACAGAATAGAGCCCTCAGAAGTATCACCACACATCTACAACCATCTGATCTTTGACAAACCTGACAAAAACAAGAAATGGGGAAAGTATTCCCTATTTAATAAATGGTGCTGGGAAAACTGGCTAGCCATATGTAGAAAGCTGAAACTGGATCCCTTCCTTACACCTTATACAAAAATTTACTCAAGATGGATTAAAGACTTAAATGTAAGACCTAAAACCATAAAAACCCTAGAAGAAAACCTAGGCAATACCATTCAGGACATAGGCATGGGCAAAGACTTCATGACTAAAACACAAAAAGCAATTCCAACAAAAACCAAAATTGACAAATGGGATCTAATTAAACTAAAGAGCTTCTGCACAGAGAAAGAAACTACCATCAGAGTGAACAGGCAACCTACAGAATGGGAGAAAATCTTTGCAATCTACCCATCTGACAAAGGGCTAATATCCAGAATCTACAAGGAACTTAAACATATTTACAAGAAAAAAACAAACAGCCCCATCAAAAAGTGGGTGAAGGATATGAACAGACACTTCTCAAAAGAAGACATTTATGCAGCCAATAGGCATATGAAAAAATGCTCATCATCACTGGTCATCAGAGAAATGCAAGTCAAAACCACAATGAGATACCATCTCACACCTGTTAGAATGGTGATCATTAAAAAGTCAGGAAACAACAGACGGTGGAGAGGATGTGAAGAAATAGGAACACTTTTACACTGTTGGTGGGAGTGTAAATTAGTTCAACCACTGTGGAAGACAGTGTGGCAATTCCTCAAGAATCTAGAACTAGAAATACCATTTGACCCAGTGACCCCATTACTGGGTATATACCCAAAGGATTATAAATCATTCTACTGTAAAGACACATGCACATGTATGTTTATTGTGGCACTATTCACAATAGCAAAGATTTGGAACCAACCCAAATGTTCATCAGTGATAGACTGGATTAAGAAAATGTGGCACATATACACCATAGAATACTATGCAGCCATAAAAAAGGATGAGTTCATGTCCTTTGTAGTGACATGGATGAAGCTGGAAACCATCATTCTGAGCAAACTATCACAAGGACAGAAAATCAAACACCACATGTTCTCACTCATAGGTGGGAACTGAACAACAAGAACACAGGGACACAGGGCAGGGAACATCACACACCCGGGCCTGTCATGGGGTAGGGGGATGGGGGAGGGATAGCAAACCAACATGGCACATGTATACCTATGTAACAAACCTGCATGTTGTGTACATGTACCCTAGAACTTAAAGTATAATAAAAAATCAATTAAATGAAATAAACTCAGAAATGACACAAATGATGAAATTAGCAGACAAGGTTGTTAAAACAATTATTATAACAGTCATAATGTCTGAGATGAGAAATTCACTAAATCAGATTAACAGCAAAGTAAACATTGCGGAAGAAAAGATTTAGACATGGCAATAGAAACTATCCAAGAAGAAACATAAGAGAAGGCTGAAAAACAAAAACAGAGCATCAGGGAGCTGTGGAAAAACTTTAAACAGTACAATATATATGTAATCAGAGCTCCTGAAGGAAGGAAGGAGTGGGTGGGTAACAGAAAAAAAAATATTTAAGAAATAATGGCCAGGTGTGGTGGCTCATGCCTGTAATCCCAGCACTTTGGGAGGCCAAGGTGGGCAGATCACTTGAGGTCAGGATTTCAAGACCAGCCCGACCAACATGATGAAACCCCATCTCTGCTAAAAATACAAAAAATAGCTGGGTGTGGTGACCCACACCTGTAGTCCCAGCTACTTGGGAGGCTGAGGCACGAGAATTGCTTGAACCATGGAGGCGGAGGTTTCAGGTTGCAGTTAGCCTAGATTGGGCCACTGCACTCCAGCCTGTGTGACAGAGTAAGACTTTGTCTCAAAAAAAAAAAAAAGGAAAAATAATGGCTGAAAATGTTCTAAATTTAATGAAAATGTTAAGTCTACAGATCCAACAAGTTCAGCAAATCCCAAACCTAAGAAACATGAAGAACACTACACTACAGCACAAGTCACATCATTGTGAAATTAATTAAAACACATGATAAGGAGAAAATCTGAAAAGCAGCCAGGAAAAAAGATACATTACTGTACAGAAGAACAAAGATAATTACTGCCAATTTCTTCTTGGAAACATTGTAAGCCAGAAGACAGTGGAGCAATATGTTTGAAATACCAAAAGGAAAAGAAAACCCTTTCAACTTAGAATTTTACACCCCTTAAAACTTTCGAAAATGAAGGTGAAATTGACTTTTTTCAGACATTCAAAAGCAGAAAGAATTTATCACCAGCAGACCTATTTATTCTTCAGGCAGAAGAAAAATGAGAAAAATGACAGAAATCAGGTTCTACACAAGGGAATGAAAAGCACTGGAAATGGTAACTACATGGATCAATACAAAATAATTTTTATTTGTGTATCTTTAAAAGATAATTGATAATGCATATAAAAATAATATCATGCCTGTAAGCCACTCTTCACCAAAGCATTAAGAATTGCATTGGTAACAAAAGAAATTCAAGACCAGACACCGTGGCTTACACCTGTAATCCCAGCATTTTGGGAGGCTAAGGCAGGAGGATCACTTGAGCCCAGGAGTTCAAGACCAGCCTAGGCAACATGATGAGACCTCATCTCTACAAAAAATAAAAAAATTACCTGGACGTGGTGCATGCTTGTAGTCTCAGCTACTCAGATTGTTGAGGTGAGAGGACTGCTTGAGCTCAGGAGTTCAAGGCTGCAGTGACCTATGATTACTGTTGCACTCCAGCCTGGGTAACAGAGTGAAACCCCATCTCCAAAACAACAACAACAACAATAATAATAATAGGGGTTTTTATAGCATGTGTATATAAAAGGTATAGATACCAGATAAAAGTTTGAATCTACACAAACGATTAAGGAGACTGGAAATGGTAACTATGTGGATAAATATAAAAGATTTTTTCTCATTTTACAAACCTTTTAAAAAGTAATTATTTAAGCAAAAATAATAATAACAACACATTGTAGAATTTCCAACATGTGTAGAGGAAAAACATATGACAATAATAACTCAAAGGCTAAGAGGAGAGAAATGGAAGTATATTGTAGTAAGGCTTATGTAGTAAGTTTTATGTGAAGTACTATAATATTATTTGAAGATAAACTGTGATAAGTTACAGATATATACTATAAACCTTAAAGTAATCTCTAAAATAGTTAATAATACATATATTAACATATCATATACATGATACAGGTTGAACATCCATAATCCAAAAATCTGAAGTCTAAAATTCTCCCATAAGCATTTTTTTGAGTGTCATGTTGACACTTAAAAAGTAGATTTTGGAGCATTTTGGATTTTGGATTTTTAAATTAGGAATACTTAATCTGTATATATAAAAATTGTATTTATACATAGTTAAATGTAATATATGTGTAGGTGTTTATCAGCTATTTTATTAGGCTCATGAACATGTAGAATTTTTATATCCTCTGTTGAACTGGCCATTTTATCATTATGAGATGAACTTCATATGGAACTATAAAAATAATCTAGAGCATCACAGGAGGAAAAAATAAACACAAGTGGAACAAATTGAAAACAAATAGCAGGATGAAATATTCGAGCCTAACAATTAAATGTAAATGGTCTCCACCACCCCAATTAAAAGGCAGAGATTTTAAGATTGGATTGAAAAAAATAGCAAGATCCAACTATATGCTGCCTACAGGAAACCCACTTCAAATTCAAAGACACACCTAAGTTCAAAGTAAAAAGAATAGAAAAAGACATACCATGCTAACACTAGTTAAAGGAAAACCAAAGTAATATATTATTAACAGACTAAGTAGATTTCAGAATAAAGAATATTACCAGGGATAAAGAGGGTTTGCTCATAATGATAAAACAGGCCATTCATTAGAGGACATGACAATCCCCAATGTTCATGCATTTAATATAACATAGCATTGACATATAGGAAACAAAAACTGATAGAAAAATAGACAAATACACAATTATAGTTAGTGATTTTAACATGCCTATTTCAATAACTGATAGAGCATATAGACAGAAAATCAATGAGAATACAGAAAACTTTAACAACACTAGCATCCTGACATATTGGCATTTATAGAGCCCGCAGCACATTACACATTATTTTTAAGGATGTACAGAACATTTACCAAGATAAGGTATATTCTAGGCCATAAAACAAGTCACAATACATTTAATTCAAATCCAAGTATGTTGTCTTTCCACAATAGAATTAAATTAGATATCAATAGCAAAAAGACACTAGGATAATTTCTAAATATTTGCAAACTAAATAACATACAAGTAAATAACTCATGAGTAAAAAAAGAGACGACAGAGGAAACTAGAAAATTATTTTAAACTAAATGAAAATTCAACATACCAAATTTTGTGAGATGCAGCTAAAGTAGTAGATAAAGGGAAATTTATAGAACTAATACCTATGTTAGAAAAGATTAAATGATAAATAACAGAAATCATCTATTTTCAGCAGAAAGAGATTAAATACCGGGAGTTAGTGCTTATGAAAATCTTTGGAAGGGCTGAAGAAATGAATTTTAGGACGACACTACTAAACTTGCCAGTCAGAGAAGGGAGCTTCCTGCTTACCTTACCTTTTCAAGAAGCAGGAAAATTGGGAATCAAGAATCCACCACTATAAATGATGACTCTAGAAATACACCATTTTATCCACCATCCACACCACAGAAAGCCACCATTATGCAATAGCAAATTCCATAATCAAATGATGCTTCCTAAATCCAAACAGCAAAACATATATGCTCCCCTAATTCTGCCTTTTAACAACAATAAAGCTAAGGATTGGATAGTAGGAATCCTGCCAACTCTAACCAAAGAACAAAAAATCAAAACCAAAACCAAAACAAGAAAAACAAAGCACTTACACACATACACACCCCAAACTTCAACACAACCAAGACTAGCTAGGAGAATCAACAGAGATAACTAACAAAAGCATGGCCTCCACCTCAATTCTGCCTTCCAAATCTTACGTAGGAGCATGGGATTGGTGAATCCTAAATTACATCCTGAGTCATAACTGCAAAGGTATCTGAGACATGTTTTTAGTTTTCTAGACTCTGTTGTACAAGAAGGGTAAAATGGATAGCCCTTTCTTATCGTGGCAGCCAGCATTTTAAAATATCCTTCCTGTATTTTTTCAGATCTCCTATATTTTAAGACTACTCTTCTAAGGTAGAAGTCAACTAACTTTGCAGTCATGTGATCTAGGTTCTATCAATCAGATCCTTGCTGTTAGGACTTGAATGAAGAAGTGAGCTATGTGAGGAGGTGGCCAGATATGGGGGAACAAGTAACTGGTAGGCATTTTAGTGGAAGGTGGATGTTTCAGCAGAGGTGGCACTGGTAGTATCTCTGGCATCTGGCTCCAGGCATTACAGGTGCCAAACAGCATTTGTAGAGATATTTTTGGTGGAGAAGCTCTTGAGTGTGGTTGCTACTCAGCTTCAGAATATGTCTCTCTGGCTTTTCTGGAAATGCTGTGTACTATCTACCATACTTTAACAAATTCCTAACATTCCTTTTTTAAATAAACTAGTCACGGTGGATCCTGTTTGCAAACACAAACCCTAACTGATACAACAAATCCTCGGGTATGCATTTTAAGCAGGTTCCTTAGTGGAACTCTAGTTTCTTTCACAATAAAAAGAAAAAACAAAAGAAGAGAAAGATCCTCAGAAAACAAATGTACAGTAGGAGTTAGGTAATAAGGAGTTTTCGGATTACGTTTTGGATTCAGTAGATACTTAATGTAAATTTTCAGGCCATCTACATAAATTGGGCTTACAGTGAAATCATTCAGTGTAATGCCACTGAAACTCTGTAAGATCCTCTACCATCAGAGAGATATGGGGTATAATTCTTTTGTCAGATGTATGCATCCTGGAAACATTTTCTTCTCATCTGTAGTTTGCTACAGTCTAGCAAATCTAGTTTGTAGATTTTCCAAATAGTATCTTTATTGGGTAGTAGTTTTAATTTTGATGAAGTCTAATTTATCAAATATTTCTTTTACAGTTATTGCTTTCTGAGTCTTGTTGATGAAACCTTTACCTACCACCTTTTGGTTACAAAGATATTCTTTCTGTTTTCTCTTAAAGAAATTTCATGTTGGAAGAAAATAATAATAGGTACCATTTAGTAAGCACCAATCATATGCCAGATGTTTTATCTACATGATACTGAATGGCTACAGCAACGCTAGGAGGAATATTAATATTCCCATTTTACAGATGAGGAAGCATTCTCGGTTAAGTTAAATAGCTTGCTAAGATCAGCAATCCACCACTATCCACCACATTAGCGATATTGGGCAGTCAAGATTTGAATTCAGATATGGCTAGCCAAAAAGTCTATGGTTTTTCCGCTATATTACATTTTCTCTCTTCCCTTTCCCCATCAAGATGAAGACAAAGAGATGCAAAAAGTTTCTGGAGTCAGGAAAATTTCTAAAGAACACTTCAAGCCTGGAACTAAATGTAAACCTGAGTTAAATTTTCTGTTTTTGTTTTTTAGCTTGACTAGTATATATTTTTGTGTGAAGTGTTGAAAGAAAAAGTTCAGAGGTGCCACACCTCCCCAACAACCTCCACCTCCAAGAAGGACCTCTTGCAAAGTTTGTCGGGGGGACCTGAGACCAGGAGACAAAATGACTTTCAGAGAGCTCTCTTGACCCTGACATTGGATTTAGCTCTCTTCGTGTGGCCACAGGAATGGGCACATAGGTAGGAATCACTGTCCGTCACCCCCTGGAGTGTCCAAGCTCCTCACACAAGCAGGCAGGTGATACATTTTTCTGCATCTTTGGATGCCTAGAACCTTACACAATACCTGGCACTGAATTGAAAGACTGAATGAACAAATGATGATTTAACTTTACAGGCGTATTTCTGAAGCTGCAAATGCAGAAAGGACATGTGGCTTCTTTTAGGATCAATAGGTTATACTACTGAACCCATAACTTTTCAGCAGATTCCGTTGCTTCAGCAATAGGGAGGCTACATAGTACAGTGGTTAAGAACACATGCTTTCTCATCAAATAGATCCAAGGTCAAATTACTGGTTCTTCCACTTGCTGAGTGAACTTGTACAAGGTTACATAAGCTCTCTAAATTGCTTAAGGATTAAATTAGAGAGTGCATACAAAGAACTTGAACAATGCCAGGCATAGAGTAAGTGTTCAATAAAGAGGTGCTATCATTACAGAAGCTATTTCATAGTTCCTTGTTGTCTAAGCACAGGTTAAGTTCCTTTTGCCTGCCCCTTAATATTTGACATGCACTTATTAAAAAAAACCTTTCTAATAAATAAACATTTTTAATTTTGAGAGAGTTGTAGATTTACATGCAGTTGTAAGAAATAATACAAAGAAATTCTGTGTAGTCTTTACCCAGTTTTCCCTAATGGTAACATTTTGCAAAATCACAATATCACAACCAGGATATTGACACTGATAGTCAGGATACAAAAAAATTTCCATCACAAGTATCCTTCATATATCCTTCAAGTATTCTTCTTTTACAGTCCCACCCACTTCCTTTCAGCCACCACCACCATCCTTAACCCCTGGCAATCACTTATTTGTTCTTTTCATTTCTATGATTTTGCCATTTTAAGGATGCTGTATAAATGGAATCATACAGTATATAAACTTTTGCAATTGGTGTTTTCTTTCAGCATATTTCTCCGGAGATTCGTCCAGCATGTTGCATGGATCAATAATTTGTTCTTTTTTATTGCATGATTATTACATGATATGAGTGTGCTACAGTTTGCTTATCCATTTACCTGTTGAAGGACATATAGATTTTATAATTTGGGGTTATTACAAATAAAGCTGCTATAAACATTTGTTTGTGGTTTTTGTGTAAATATAAGTAAACATTTATTTGGAATAAATGCCCAGGAGTGCAATTACTGGGTCATGCGGTCGGTGCATGTTTAGTCTTTTAAGAAACTGGCAAACTGTTTTTCAGAGTGACTATTCCATTTTACATTCTCAGTAGTAATGTATGAATGATCCAGTTTCTCCACATTCTTGCTAGTATTTGGTGTTGTCATTATTTTTTATTTTAGCAGTCCTGGTAGGTATGTGGTAATATCACACTGTAATTTTATTTCCCTAAGGTTAATTATGTTAAACATCCTTTCATGTGCTTGTTTGTCATCTACATAACTTCTTAAGTGAATTATCTCTTAGCTACGTTCTAATTGGCTTGTTAGCTTTTTTACTATCGAGTATCTAGATACTAGTCCTTTGTCAGATATGTGGTTTGCAATATTTTTTCACATTATGCTTTTCCATATTTTTAACATGATCTTTTGTAGAGAAAAAGTTTTTAAATTTGATGAAGCCCAATCTATTTTATTCCTTTTATGGAACATGCTTTTGGTCTCAAGTCAAACTCTTTGCCTAGTTCTTTATCCCAAGATTTTTTCTTATATTTTTTTCTAAAGGTTTTATACTTTATGTTTTACATTTAAATTTGGATAAGGTGTAAGACCTAGGTCGAGGTTCATATTTTGGCCTATGGATTTCCAATTGCTCAGAACCATTTGTTGCTTGTTTTGAATTGCTTTTGCAAAAATTAGCTGAGCATATTTGTATGGGCTTATTTCTGGGTTCTCTATTCTTTCCCATTGATCTAAGTGCCTTTCCTTCTGCTAGTACCACAGTCTTGAGTTGTGTAGCTATATAGTAAGTCTTAAAATTGAGTACAGATGCTCCTCAACTTATGATGGGACTGTATCACAACAGACCCATCATAAGTAGAAAATACTGTAAGCCAAAAGCACATTGAGCACATTTAATGTACTGATGTATTTAATGTACATAAGTACATTAAATGTGCTCAATGTGTTTTTATAATAATAATATAATAATGTAATTTTATAATAATAATAATAATAATGAAACATCACTTAATGTAGCCTACTTTAAATGTGCTCAGGATGCTTACACTAGCCTGAAGTTGGGCAAAATCATCTAACATAAAGCCTATTTTATAATAACAAATAATAATAAGGCCTATTTTATAATAGAAAATTATTTATTATAATAATAAAGCCTATTTTATAACAAAATCATCTAACATAAAGCCAATTTTATAAAGCCTATTTTATAATAATAACTCACATAATTTATTGAATATCATACTGAAAGTGAAAAACAGAATGGTGTATGGGTACTCACCATTAACATACACAGCTGAAAACGACATTGTAAAGTTGAAAAATCATGAACCATTGTAAGCTGGGGTCCATCTGTAGGCTGGTTCCTTCCACTTCGTTCTTTTTCCAAGTTGTTTTAGTTATCCTACTTCCTTTCCTTTCCATAGAAATTTTGGATAATCTTGTATTAATAAGTATCTACCAAGAAAACCAAAAGCTTGCTGGGATTTTGATAGGAATTGTGTTAAACCTGTATATCAGTTTAGGAAGAATTTACATCTTTACTACGTTGAATCCTCCAATACATGAACATGAAATGTCTCTCCATTTTTTTAGATTTTCTTTTATTTCATTCATCAGTGTTTAATGTTTAACATATGTTTTATTAGACTGACATCTAAATATTTCATTTCTTGGGGTGATTAAAATGTTACTGTAGTTTTAAATTTGGTGTCCATTTTTAGTGTCATCACTAGTATATAGAAATACAACTGATTTGTCGGGCCAAGTGTGGTGACTCATGCCTGTAATCCCAGCACTTTGGGAGGCCGAGGTGGGTAGATCGCTTGAATCCAAGAGTTCTAGACCAGCCTGGGCAGCACAGCAGAACCCCATCTCTACTAAAAATACAATAAAATTCGCCGGGCACGGTGGCATGGGCCTGTAGGCTCAGCTACTCAGAGGGCAGAGGCAGAAGGATTGCTTGAGCCAGGAGGTAAAGGCTGCAGTGAGCCGAGATCTCACTACTGCACTCTAGCCTGCCCTGTCTCAAAAAAATAAATAAATAAATAAATAAATAAATAAATAATAAAAAGAAAAAGAAAAAGAAAGAAATGCAATTGATTTTTATATGCTTATCTTGTATTCTCTGGCCTTACTGAACATAGGAATGTTTTTTTGGATGCTTTGTGATTGTCTATGTAGAAAATTGTGTAATCTGCAAAAAGGGACAGTTTTATTTCTTCCTTTCTGATATTTATTCCTGTTTTTTTTTCTTGCCTTATTGCCTGGCTAGAATATCCAGCACTATGTTGAATAGCAGTGATAAGGGCAAATATCCTTGCCTTGTTTTCAATCTTAGAAAGTATTTAGTTTTTTATCACTAAGTAAAATGTTAGTTGTAGGGTTTTTGTAGATGCTCTTTATCGGGTTGAGGAAGTTCCTATTTGTGTTTTTCTGAGATGTTTTGTCACAAATGGTCAAATACTTTTCTGCATATAATCATGTGTTTTTTCTTCTTTATTAAAATGGTAGATAATATTGATTAATTTTCTAATATTGAACTAGCCTTGCACCCCTGGGGTAAATCCCACTTAGTTATGACGTATAATTTTATATATATATATTTTTTATTATTATACTTTAAGTTCTAGGGTACATGTGCACAATGTGCAGGTTTGTTACATATGTATACATGTGCCATGTTGGTGTGCTGCACCCATTAACTCGTCATTTACATTAGGTATATCTCCTAATGCTATCCCTCCCCGCCACCCCCACGCCACAACAGGCCCCAGTGTGTGATGTTCCCCTTCCTGTGTCCAAGTGTTCTCATTGTTCAATTCCCACCTATGTGTGAGAACATGTGGTGTTTGGTTTTTTTGTCCTTGCGATAGTTTGCTGACAATGATGGTTTCCAGCTTCATCCATGTCCCTACAAAGGACATGAACTCATCCTTTTTTATGGCTGTGTAGTATTCCATCGTGTGTATGTGCACATTTTCTTAATCCAGTCTATCATTGTTGGACATTTGGCTTGGTTCCAAGTCTTTGCTATTGTGAGTAGTGCCGCAATAAATATACATGTGCATGTGTCTTTATAGCAGCATGATTTATAGTCCTTTGGGTATATACCCCATAATGGGATGGCTGGGTCAAATGGTATTTCTAGTTCTAGATCCCTGAGGAATCACCACACCATCTTCCACAATGGTTGAACTAGTTTACAGTCCCACCAACAGTGTAAAAGTGTTCCTATTTCTCCAAATCCTCTCCAGCACCTGTTGTTTCCTGACTTTTTAATGATTGCCATTCTAACTAGTGTGAGATGATATCTCATTGTGGTTTTGATTTGCATTTCTCTGATGGCCAGTGATGATGAGCATTTCTTCATGATGAGCATGTCTGTTGGCTGCATAAATGTCTTCTTTTGAGAAGTGTCTGTTCATATCCTTCACCCACTTTCTGATGGGGTTATTTGTTTCTTGTAAATTTGAGTTCTTTGTAGATTCTGGATATTAGCCCTTTGTCAGATGAGTAGATTGCAAAAATTTTCTCCCATTCTGTAGGTTGCCTGTTCACTCTGACGGTAGTTTCTTTTGCTGTGCAGAAGCTCTTTAGTTTAATTAGATCCCATTTGTCAATTTTGGCTTTGGTTGCCATTGCTTTTGGTGGTTTAGACATGAAGTCCTTGCCCATGCCTATGTCCTGAATGGTATTGCCTAGGTTTTCTTCTAGGGTTTTTATGGTTTTAGGTCTTACATTTAAGTCTTTAATCCATCCTGAATTAATTTTTGTATAAGGTGTAAGGAAGGGATCCAGTTTCAGCTTTCTACATATGGCTAGCCAGTTTTCCCAGCACCATTTATTAAATAGAGAATCCTTTCCCCATTTCTTGTTTTTGTCAGGTTTGTCAAAGATCAGATAGTTGTAGATGTGTGGTATTATTTCTGAGGGTTCTGTTCTGTTCCATTGGTCTATATCTCTGTTTTGGTACCAGTACCATGCTGTTTTGGTTACTGTAGGCTTGTAGTATAGTTTGAAGTCAGGTAGCACGATGCCTCCAGCTTTGTTCTTTTGGCTTAGGATTAACTTGGCGACGCGGGCTCTTTTTTGGTTCCATATGAACTTTAAAGTAGTTTTTTCCAATTCTGTGAAGAAAGTCATTGGTAGCTTGATGGAGATGGTATTGAATCTATAAATTACCTTGGGCAGTATGGCCATTTTCACGATATTGATTCTTCCTATCCATGAGCATGGAATGTTTTGCTATTTGTTTGTGTCCTCTTTCATTTCATTGAGCGGTGGTTTGTAGTTCTCCTTGAAGAGGTCCTTCACATCCCTTGTAAGTTGGATTCCTAGGTATTTCATTCTCTTTGAAGCAATTGTGAATGTGAGTTCACTCATGATTTGGCTCTCTGTTTGTCTGTTATTGGTGTATAAGAATGCTTGTGATTTTTGCACATTGATTTTGTATCCTGAGACTTTGCTGAAGTTGTTTATCAGCTTAAGGAGATTTTGGGCTGAGACTATGGGGTTTTCTAGATATACAATCATGTCATCTGCAAACAGGGACAATTTGACTTCCTCTTTTCCTAATTGAATACCCTTTATTTCTTTCTCCTGCCCGATTGCCCTGGCCAGAACTTCCAACACTATGTTGAATAGGAGTGGTGAGAGAGGGCATCCCTGTCTTGTGCCCGTTTTCAAAGGGAATGCTTCCAGTTTTTGCCCATTCAGTATGATATTGGCTGTGGGTCTGTCATAAATAGCTCTTATTATTTTGAGATACGTCCCATCAATACCTAATTTATTGAGAGTTTTTAGCATGAAGGGCTGTTGAATTTTGTCAAAGGCCTTTTCTGCATCTATTGAGATAATCATGTGGTTTTTGTCATTGGTTCTGTTTATATGCTGGATTACATTTATTGATTTGCATATGTTGAACCAGCCTTGCATCCCAGGGATGAAGCCCACTTGATCATGGTGGATAAGCTTTTTGATGTGCTGCTGGATTCAGTTTGCCAGTATTTTATTGAGGATTTTCACAATGATGTTCATCAGGGATATTAGTCTAAAATTCTCTTTTTTTGTTGTGTCCCTACCAGACTTTGGTATCAGGATGATGCTGGCCTCATAAAATGAGTTGGGGAGGATTCCCTTTTTTCTTATTGATTGGAATAGTTTCAGAAGGAATGGTACCAGCTCCTCCTTGTACCTCTGGTAGAATCGGCTGTGAATCCGTCTGCTCCTGGACTTTTTTTGGTTGGTAAGCTATTAATTATTGCCTCAATTTCAGAGCCTGTTATTGGTCTATTCAGAGATTCAACTTCTTCCTCGTTTAGTCTTGGGAGGGTGTATGTGTCGAGGAATTTATCCATTTCTTCTAGATTTTCTAGTTTATTCGCATAGAGGTGTTTATAGTATTCTCTGATGGTAGTTTCTCTTTCTGTGGGATCGGTGGTGATATCCCCTTTATCATTGTTTATTGCATCCATTTGATTCTTCTCTCTTTTATTCTTTATTAGTCTTGCTAGCAGTCTATCAATTTTGTTAATCTTTTCAAAAAACCAGCTCCTGGATTCATTGACTTTTTGAAGGGTTTTTTGTGTCTCTATTTCCTTCAGTTCTGCTCTGATCTTAGCTATTTCTTGCTTTCTGCTAGCTTTTGAATGTGTTTGCTCTTGCTTCTCTAGTTCTTTTAATTGTGATGTTAGGGTGTCAATTTTAGATCTTTCCTGCATTATGATGTATAATTCTGTAATGTATTGTTGAGTTCTATATGCTAATATTTTCTTTATTTATTTATGAGAGTGTCTCACTCTGTCACCCAGGCTCGTGTATAGTGGGATAATCATGGCTCACTGTAGCCTCAACTTCCTGGGCCCAAGTGATCCTCCTGCCTCAGCCTCCCAAGCAGCTGGGACTACAGATGTACACCACCAGAGCCAATTAATTTATATTTTTTCTAGAGATAGGATCCTGCTATGTTGCCGAGGCTGGTCTTGAACTCCTGAGCTCAAGAGATCCTCCTGCCTTGGCCTCACAAAGTGCTTGGATTACAGGCATGAGCCACCATGCCCAGCCTGCTAATATCTTATTAAGGATTTTTTGTGTCTATGTTCATAAGGAATTAGTCTTTGGTTTTCTTCTTTTGAGCAGTTTTGTCTGGTTTCTGTATCCAGGTAATACTAGCTTCATCAACTTGGAAAGTGTTCCCTCTTCTTCAAGTTTCTTGAAAAAAGTGGTAGAATTAGTATTACTTCTTCTTTGAACATGTGGTATACTTCTCCAGTGAAACCATTTGGGCCTGAAGACTTTTTATTGGAGGGAGTATTTTAATTAAAAATTCAGTATCCTTATTATTTATAGTGATATTCAAATGGTCTTTTCCATGTTGGGTGAATTTTGGTAGTTTATGTTTCATATGGAATTGGTCCATTTCATCTAAGTTGTAAAATTTATGTGTATAGAGTTATTTGTAGTATTCCTTTATTCCCTTTTTGATATCTGCAGGGTTGGATAGCATTCTTGACATTGGTCATTGGGATTACAGGCATGAGTCACCACACCCGGCCTGACAAATCAGTTGTATTTCTATGTACTAGTGATGACACTAAAAATGGACACCAAAATTAAAACTACAATAACATGGTCTTTTCTTCCTTTATTTTTGTTAGTCTTACTGGTGGTTTGTCAATTTTCTTAATCTTTTACAAGAATCTTATTTGTTTTATTTATCTCTGTTGTTTTCCTGTTTTCAATTTCATTAATTTCTGTTATTTATTATTTCCTTCCTTCTTCCTGTTCTGAATTTATTTTGCTCTTCATCTTCCAGGTCCTTAAGGTGAGATCTTACAATGTTAATTTGAGAGGTTTCCTCTTTTCTCATGTATGTATTTAGTGCTATAAAATTTCCTCTCAGTACTGCTTTAGCTATGTCCCATGAATTCTGATACGTTATATTTTCATTTTCATGCACTTTATTACATATGTTTTTTATTTCCCTTGAAACTTTCTTTTTGACCTGTGGATTATTTCAAAATGGGTTGTTTAGTTTCCAAGTATTTGGAGACTTTTCTGTTATCTTTCTATTATTGACTTCCACTTTGATTTCAATGTAGTCAGAGAATACACTTTGTAGGATTTTCTTTTACTTTTTTGATGTTTGTCTTATGGCTCAGGATATGGTCTATTTTGGCAGGTATTCTGCTGTAGTTTGGTGGAATGTTGTACAATTGTTGATTAGATTCTGTCGATTGATGGTGATCTTGAATTCTTCAACATCCTTGTGGATTTTCTGTCTAGTTGTTCTACCAGTAGTTGAAAGATGGATGTCAATATCTCCACCTGAAATTGTGGGTGTGTCCATTTCTACTTTCAGTTCTATCACTTCTTTCACATATTTTGCAGCTCTGTAGTTTGGTGCTAGAATTGCTATGTCTCCCTGGATTGACCTTTTTTGTCATTATATAATTTCCCTCTCTGTCTGGTAATTATTTTGGCCCTGAAATCTACTTTATCTGATATTAATATAGTCACTCCTGCCTACCTGCAGTTAATGTTTGCCTGATATATCTTCTTCCATCCTTTTTCTTTCAACTTGCCTGTATCATTATATTTGAAGTGAGTTTCTTGTAGACAGTATATAATTGGATCATAGTTTTAATCCAGTCTGCCAGTCTTTGTCTTTAAATTGGTGTATTTAAAAATTTTACATTTAATGTATTTATTGATATGCTGGGGTATAACTTTGCATTTTCTTTTTCTTTTTCTTTTTTTGCATAGAGATCTTATTCTTTTTTTTTACTTTAAGTTCTGGGATACATGTACTGAATGTGCAGGTTTGTTATGTACGTATACGTGTTCCATGGTGGTTTGCTGCACCTATCAAACCATCTAGGTTTTAAGCCCTGCGTGCATTAGGTATTTGTCCTAATGCTCTCCCTTCTGCTTTCCCACCATCCCCTGACAGGCCCCAGCGTGTGATGTTCCCTTCCCTGTGTCCATGTATTCTCACAGTTCAGCTCCCACTTATGAGTAAGAACATGTGGTGTTTGGTTTTCTGTTCCTGTGTTAGTTTGCTGAGGATGATGGTTTTCAGCTTCATCCATGTCCTTGCAAAGGACATGACCTCATTCTTTTTTATGGCTGCATAGTATTCCATGGTGTATATGTGCCAAGTTTTCTTTATCCAGTCTATCATTGATGGGCATTTTGTTGGTTCCAAGTCTTTGCTATTGTAAATAGTGCTGCAATAAACATACACATGTATCTTTATAGTAGAATGATTTATAATCCTTTGGGTATACACCCAGTAATGGGATATTACTGGGTCAAGTGATATTTCTGGTTCTAGATCCTTGAGGAATCGCCACACTGTCTTCCACAATGGTTGAACTAATTTACACTCCCACCAACAGTGTAAAAGTGTTCCTATTTCTCCACATCCTTGCCAGCATCTGTTGTTTCCAGACTTTTTAATGATTGCCATTCTAACTGGCATGAGATGGTATCTCATTGTGGTTTTGATTTGCATTTCTCTGATGACCAGTGATGATGAGCTCTTTTTCATGTGTTTATTGGCCGCATAAATGTCTTCTTTTGAGAAGTGTCTGTTCGTATCCTTGGTCCACTTTTTGATGGAGGTGTTGGTTTTTTCTTGTAAATGTAGGTTCTTGTAGATTCTGGATATTAGACCTTTGTCAGATGGATAGATTGCAAAGATTTTCTCCCATTCTATAGGTTGCTGTTCACGCTGATGATAGTTTCTTCTGCTGAGGAGGAGCTCTTTAGTTTAATTAGATCCCATTTGCCAATTTTGGCTTTTGCTGCAATTGCTTTTGGTGTTTTAGTCATGAAATCTTCACCCATGCCTATGTCCTGAATGGTATTGCCTAGGTTTTCTTCTAGGGTTTTTATGGTTTTAGGTTTTACATTTAAGTCTTTAATCCATCTTGAATTAATTTTTGTATAAGGTGTAAGGTAGGGGTCCAGTTTCTGTTTTCTGCATACGGCTAGCCAGTTTTCCCAGCACCATTTATTAAATAGGGAATCCCTTCCCTATTGCTTGTCTTTGTCAGGTTTATCGAAGATCTGATGGTTGTAGATGTGTGGTGTTATTTCTGAGGCCTCTGTTCTGTTCCATTGGTCTATATACCTGTTTTGATATCAGTACCATGGTATTTTGGTTACTGTAGCCTTGTAGTATAGTTTGAAGTCAGGTAGTATGATGCCTCCAGCTTTGTTCTTTTTGCTTAGGATTGTCTTGGCTATACAGGCTCTTTTCTGGTTCCATAGGAAATTTAAAGTAGTTTTTTCTAATTCTGTGAAGCAAGTCAAGTGGTAGCTTGATGGGAATAGCACTGAATCTATAAATTACTTTGGGCAGTATGGCCATTTTCACATTATAGATTCTTCCTATCCATGAGCAGGGAATATTTTTCCATTTGTTTGTGTCCTCCCTTATTTCCTTGAGCAGTGGTTTGTAGTTCTCCTTGAAGAGATCCTTCACGTCCATTGTATGTAAGTTGTATTCCTATGTATTTTATTTTCTTTGTAGCAATTGTGAGTGGGAATTCATTCATGATTTGGCTGTCTGCTTGTCTATTATTGGTGTATAGAAATGCTCGTGATTTTTGCACACTGATTTTGTATCCTGAGGCTTTGCTGAAGTTGTTTATCAGCTTAAGGATTTTTTGGGGTAAAATGATGGGGTTTTCTAAATATACAATAATGTCATCTGCAAACAGACAATTTGACTTCCCCTCTTCCTATTTAACTGGAGTATTTGGCCCATTTACATTTAAGGTTAATATTGTTATGTGTGAATTTGATTCCGTCATTATGATGCTAGCTGGTTATTTTGCACATTAGTTGATGCAGTTTCTTCATTATGTCATTGGTCTTTATATTTTGGTGTATTTTTGCAGTGGCTGGTACCAGGTTTTCCTTTCCTTATTTAGTGCTTCCTTCAGGAGCTCTTATAAAGCAGGACTGGTGGTGACAAAATCCCTCAGCATTTGCTCTGTAAAGGATTTTATTTCTCCTTCACTTATGAAGCTTAGTTTGGCTGGATATGAAATTCTGGGTTTAAAATTCTTTTCTTTAAAAATGTTGAATATTGGCCCTCACTCTCTTCTGGCTTGTAGGGTTTCTGCAGAGAGATCCACTGTTAGTCTGATGGGCTTCCATTTGTAGGTAACCTGACCATTGTCTTTCGTTGCCCTTAACATTTTTTCCTTTGTTTCAACCTCGGAGAATCTAATGATTATGTGTCTTGGGGTTGCTCTTCTCGAGGACCATATCAGTGGTGTTCTCTGTATTTCCTAATTCAAATACTGGCTTGTCTTGCTAGGTTGGGGGAAGTTCTCCTGGATAATATCCTGAAGTGTGTTTTCCAGCTTGGTTCCATTCTCCCCTTCACTTTCAGGGACCCCAGCCAATCGTAGGCTTGGTCTTTTCACATAGTCCCATATTTCTTGAAGGCTTTGTTTGTTCCTTTACAGTCTTTTTTCTTTAATCTTGTCTTCATGCCTTATTTCG
This sequence comes from Homo sapiens, assembly GCF_000001405.40. Taxonomy (NCBI): domain Eukaryota; kingdom Metazoa; phylum Chordata; class Mammalia; order Primates; family Hominidae; genus Homo; species Homo sapiens. Next base: position 129,516,832 of record NC_000011.10, read on the forward strand.
GTAAGTTGATCTTCAATCTCTGATACCCTTTCTTCCACCTGGTGGATTCGGCTATTGATACTTGTGTATGCTTCATGATGTTCTTGTGCTGTGTTTTTCAGCTCCATCAGGTCATTTATGTTCTTGTCTAAACTGGGTATTCTAGTTAGCAATTCCTGTAACCTTTTGTCAAGGTTCTTAGCTTCCTTGCATTGGGTTAGAACATGCTCCTTTAGCTCGCAGGAGTTTGTTATTACCCACCTTCCAAAGCCTACTTCTGTCAATTTGTCAAACTCATTCTCTGTCCTCCAGTTTTGTGCTCTTGCTGGAGAGTTGTTCCAATAATTTGGAAGAGAAGAGGTTTTTGGAATTTTCAGTATTTTTGTGCTGGTTTTTCCTCATCTTCATGGATTTATCTACCTTTCATCTTTGAGGTCGATGACCTTTGGATGGGGTTTCTATGTGGAGGTCCTTTTTGTTGATGTTGATATTATTGCTTTCTGTTTGTTAGTTTTTCTCCTAACAGTCAGGCCTCTCTTCTGCAGGTCTGATGCAGTTTGCTGGAGGCTCACTCCAGAACCTATTTGCCTGGGTATCACCAGTAGAGGCAGCAGAACAGCAAAGATTGCTGCCTGCTCCTCCTCTGGAGGCTTCATACCAGAGGGGCACTGGTCTGATGCCAGCTGGAGCTCTCCTGTATGAGCTGTCTGTCAACCCCTGTTGGGAGGTTTCTCTCAGTCAGGAGGCACGGGGGTGAGGGACCCACTTGAGGAGGCAGTCTGTCCCTTAGCAGAGCTCAAGCGCTCTGCTGGGAGAACCCTCCTTGTCAGGATCCACTGCTCTCTTCAGAGCTGGCAGGCAGGAATGTTTTAAGTCTGCTGAAGCTGCACCCACAGCCACCCCTCCCTCCAGGTGTTCTGTCCCAGGGAGATGGGAGTTTTATCTATAAGCCCCTGACTAGGGCTGCTGCCTTTCTTTCAGAGATGCCCTGCCCAGTGAAGAGGAATTTAGAAAGGCAGTCTGGCCACAGCTGCTTTGCCATGCTGTGTTGGATTCCACCAAGTCCGAACTTCAGGACTCCATAGCACTGTGAGGGGAAAACCGCCTACTCAAGCCTCAGTAATAGCAGACGCCCCTCCCCTGACCAAGCTTGATCATTCCAGGTCGACTTCAGACTGCTGTGCTGGCAGTGAGAATTTCAAGCCAGTGATTCTTAGCTTGCTGGGCTCCATGGGAGTGGGACCGACTGAGCAAGACCACTTGGCTCCCTAGCTTTAGCCCCTTTTCCAGGGGAGTGAATGGTTCTGTCTTGCTGGAGTTCTACACACCACTGTGGTAAAAAAAAAAAAAAAAAAAAAAAACTCCTGCAGCTAGCTCAGTGTCTGCCCAAACAGCCGACCAGTTTTGGGCTTGAAATCCAGGACCCTGGTGGTGTAGGCACATGAGGGAATCCTCTGGTTTGTGGACTGCAAAAACTGTGAGAAAAGCATAGTATCTGGGCCAGATAGCACAGTCCCTCATGGCTTCCCTTGGCTGGGGGAGGGATGTCCCTGCCCTTTGCACTTCCCAGGTGAGGTGATGCTCCACCTTGCTTCTGCTTGCCCTCCATGTGTTGGACCCACGGCCTAACTAGTCCCAGTGAGATTAACTGGGTACCTCAGTTGGAAATGCAGAAATCATCCACCTCCTGTGTTGGTCTTGCTGAGAGCTGCAGACCGGAGCTGCTCCTGTTCAGCCATCTTACCAGATTCCCCTTTATTTTTCATATTCTATTTGTTCTTTTACATTTGTTTTCTTTTTGTATTGCTCTATGTTACTTGAACATTTTTATATTTCATTTTGATTTATGCACATTGTTTTTAGTTGATCTCTTTTTACAGCTTTCTTAGTGGCTGCTCTAAGTATTACATTACATACACAAAATGTAACACATTCTACTGGTGTTTTCATTTCATGAGTTTGAGTGAAGCATAGAAACTTTGCTTCTCTTTATGTCCCTTTGTCCTCCCCCCATTTATAATATAGTTATTTTGAACATTTCCTCTACATACATTTAGAACCACCTCAGATAGCATTATGATTTTGTACAAACTGTCAAGCATGATTTAGAAAACTAACGAGGAAAAGAAAACCTACTGTATTTACTCATACTTTTGCTTACCATGTTTTTTCTTTCCTGATGTTCTAGGATCACTTTTTAAAATTCTTTCTTTTTATTTTAGAAAGCTTCCTTCAGTCATTCTTCTAGGGTATGTCTGCTGGCAACAAATGATCTTAATTTTCCATCATCTGAGAACGTCTTGATTTCCTCCTTATTTCTGAAAGATATTTTCATTGGGTATAGGATTCTCAGTTGCCAGCTTTTTCTCTTCAGCACTTGAAAGATGTCATGCTACTTCCTTATAGCCTCCATAGTTTCTGATGAGAAATTTGCTATAATTATTAATAGAATCGTTTTCCCTGTATAGGTAATATATATTTTATTTCCTATTGAATTCAAGACATTTTCTTTTTCTTTAGTTCTCAGAAGTAATTATGATGTATCTTGGAATTTATTTATTTGGGTTTGTCTTGTTTTGGGCTTTGCTTTGCTTCTTTGCTGAATCTGCAGGTTTATATTTCTAAAAATTTGGGAAATTTTTACATCATTATTTCCTTGAGTACTTTTTCAGCCTCACTCTCTTTCTCCTCTCCTTCCAAAACTCAGGTAATAGGAAGGTTGTTAGATCTTTGGCTATTATCCCACAGGTCCCTGAAGCTCTGTTCTTTTTCTCCCCCTAGGCTATTTTCTCTGTTAGAATCCGTGTTGCTCAGATTGGTTAATTTCTACTGTTGTATCTTCCAATTCACTGGTTCTCTTCTTTGCCCCTGCTATTCTGCTGTTGAGGAAGAGCATTCCACTATGCATTTCGATTACTTTATTTTTCAACTCTAAAATTTCCATTTGGTTCTTCTTTATATCTTCTATTTCTTTGCTGAGACTATTTCTTTGTAGAGGCTTCATATTTTTAAATTTGTTTTAAGCATATTTGTAATTTCTTGAAGAATTTTAAAATCTTTTGACTTAATTATTTTCTTTTTTATTATGCTTTAAGTTTTAGGGTACATTGACATATTTATTTTCTTCACAAACACTGATAGTACTTTTGCACACTGGCTTTTAATGTTACAAAAAAATTTAACAGTAGTATTCCATTCTAATATATATTAGTTTACAAATGATGTAGACTTTAAATATATCTATTTTTATACAGCATAAAAGCTAATATTTCTCATTATAACCTGCAGAATTATTTAGTTTCTTGGCTATTAAATAGGATAGATTTGGTTTAAATGTGAAATTTGTATTTTAATAATAATAATTATATATCAATTACAAATTCAAAACACTTTTGAGTCAGGTAATTGCTTCTGAAGAAATAATTAACAATGACTCACTATTCCTTGTTGATAATCAATAGCTGAAACATTTTTATCATGGCTGCCTTATAAACTTTGTCAGATAATTCTAATATGTCTATTTTCTCAATCGTCTATTATCCTGCTTTACAATCAGTTTGAGATATTTTTGGTTTTGAGCATGACAAAAAATTTTCAGTTGAAATCTAGACTTTTTTGCATTATATTCTGTGACTCTGGCTCTCGTTTCAACCTTCCATTTTAGCTAGATTTTTATGACATCACTTTGGAGGGGTGCTGCCATTTTGTCACCAGGTAGAGACAGAAATCCAGGTTTCCTACTTGGTCTCCATTGACACTTGAGGGTAGGGATACCTCTTTGAACCTCTTGATGTGAATGGGAGTTCCAGTTTCCAATGTGGTTTTCACTGACACCATGGTGGGGGTTGCCTCATTACCACTAGTGGTGGTAAAAGTCCTGACTCTTTATTAGGCCCTCCTACATCTCGACTACATCTCAGTCAAGAGAGGGAGGAGATGCCTCACTACTGCCAGCTAGCAATGGAAGTCTGACTCCCCACATGGTCTCCTGGTCTCCATGACTTCTTTTCAGCTGATGAGGGTGAAAGTCTCAGTTATCTACTTGGCCTTCCCTGATATCACCCTGGCAGGGGTTTGGGGACACTTCATGACAGAGTTGCAAAGGTAGACATCTAGAATCCCCAATCTCCCTTTGCTGGTGTGGATGCAGGATGGTGCCTGTTTTTTTGTTTGTTTGTTTCTTTGGTTGGTTGTGTGTGTGTGTGTGTGTGTGTGTGTGTCTGTGTTTTGGTTTGGTTAGAGTGTAGCAGTTATTGTCTAAAAGTTTCTTCTTATAGGCTTCCCCTTTCCTGGTCCTTTGGCCAGAAAGATCAGACTTTTGTTGGGGCTTCTTTTGGTCTGTACCCATTGGCATTTCCAGGTTGCTGGCTGTCTCAGCTCCATCTCTGGGATACATCAGGCAAAATAAAACAAGGAACTAATTCCTCTGGCCCCCAAATCCCACGGGTTTGTCTTCTTTCCAACTTTTAGAGTTTTCTTCTGATTTTGTTTATATGTAATGCTTGGGGATTTTATTGGTACTTGGCAGAAGGAATAGGAAAATTATATCTACTCCATGCTGCCAGGAGTATAAATCTCCATTTGCTTTTTAAAATTTTTATTTTTGATATGACAAACAATAATTGTATATATTTATGGGGTACAATGTGATGCTTTGGTATATGTATACACTGTAGAATAATTAAATAAAGCTAATTACTATATCCATCATCTCACATACTTATATTTTTATGGTGAGAACATTTAAAATCTATTCTCTTAGCAATTTTGAATCATATGTTATTATTGACTGTGTTCACCTTGCTGTGCAATAACTTACAAATTTATTCCTTCTGCCTAATGAGAACTTTATACCCTTTGGTCAATGTCCCCTCATGCTCTTACCCCACCCCACCCTCAGCCTCTGGTAACCACCATTCTACTTTCTGCTTCTTTAAGTTTGACTTTTTTAGATTCCACATACAAGTGAAATCATGTAGTATTTTGTGGGTTTTTTTTGTGCTGGAGTTATTTCACTTAGCATAATGTCCTCCAGTTTCATCCACATTCTCACAAATAACAGGGTTTTCTTCTTTTTTATAGGCTGAGTAGTAGTCCATGCACTTATTTCTGTACTTTGTTTTTGTCGTATGGTGTAAGGAAAAGCCTGATTCACATAGATATAACAGTTGAAGAAGGCAAAAGCTTTAACAATATAACTTTCAGTCTCAAGTTATTTGTCTTGTGCTTTACTGATTTTTCCTCCCTTTAATTTAACCCCCTCCCTTCCTTCCAAGACAACCAGATATGTGTTTAATTGTTTTTAGAACATAAATCACTATTTTCATAAGCAGAAACAATGTGTTTCTGCCCTTCTGCCTTCTCTGACACCCTGAGCTCTTTCCATATCTCTTCCCCAATACGTCCCAATCTCAACCTGAGTCTTCTTCTTGAGCCAGGTAGTTCTGTATATTTCAAAGGCAACATCAACAATAAATGGAAACATTTGCTTTGGTTTATCTTTAGCAGAAATTCACACAATCAAGTTGTAAATTTATTTATGTATTCTAATAACTTGATTACTGTATGTTCTTTTGTCTAATCCCTTAATAACTTAGGTTTACAAAGATTTCTCATACACCCTATGTTCAATATATATTCATTTGATAAAAGAGATCACTTTGCCTTGCATTGGTAAAGATCATGTCAGTGATGGTGAATATGATTTAGCAAGCATCTATTGAGCACTTGTTATGTGCCAGGCATTGAGGTTACAAATACATACAAAAAGACATAAATTCAAGAAAGGCAGAGGATTTGGGGAAGGTGGCAGTGGTGGCCCCATAGTTTAAATATATCAAAATCATCAATTTAAACCTAATTAGAAAATGTTAGAAGTGAAATTATTGGAGAAAGGGAGATAAAAAAGACATTGAAAAAGAAGAATTTGATAACATAAAATCATTTCAAAAATACAGGCTAAACTACAAGGAACAAGAGCAAATAAACTCAACAACAATTCATAAATGAGATTAAAAGGTTTTAAGAGGAAATGACAAATATAGAAGACAAGCAAAGAAGAGCCAACATACAGATAATAGAAGTCTCTGAAAAAGAAAACCAAAACAATGAAACAGAGCAAATAATAAGATCATAATTTGCGAAAGCTTTCCTGAAATTAAAATATTTGAAACTACATACTGGAAGAGCACATTATGTACTTATGAAAACTGACCCAGAACAGTCACCATTGAGGCTATTGGACTTCAAATTTTAAAAAAAGTTTTGAACAACTAGGTAACTTATTTACAAGAGTAAGAGGAACAGATTGTCATTAGACTTTTTGAAAGCAGCACTTTATGCAAGAAAAAAATGGAGTAACATATTTAACATACTTAAGGAAAGAAAATGTGAGCCAAAGATTTTATATCCAGCCAAAAAGACTTTCAAATATAAGGGCTACAAACTTTTATGAATATGTAAGAACTCAGGAAAATATTATTCCTATGTGACCCTCCTGAGGAATTTACTAGAGAATGAGCTTTAGACAACCAAGTAACTGGAGGAACATTGACACAAGGCTAGTGCTCTGTGAGAAAAACAAAGCTTCAGGTTTCTGTTTTCTTCCCAGCAAGTGTCTCAAGGAAAAAAATTGTTGGAGAAAGTCTGATTCACACTAATGTATTGCCTTCTCTCAGAAATGTTGGCCCCTTGAATCATGTTTGACTTTGCTTTTCTCCAATGCCATAAAGCGGTTTTCTTCATTTCAAATTTAACTTTCACAGCTGGTTTTCATGAAATAGTTGCTCTGATATAAGATACTTCATCATAGCTGAACAAAGAAGTGTAGTCTGAATTTGGATTAGAAGTATGAATTTGAATTGTGATATATTTTGTCTTAAAAATTATTTCCTAGCACTCCTCACCAAAACGACCTGGAAACAATGACCAACTCCGTATTAATGGGCACCCTAGTGTCCAGGTTGTAATTTCTAAATACTATTTCCAACTAAAAGGAACCAGGGATCATAGAAAAAATGGCTTGTCCAAGCCTGCAGCATTATATATACAAGATGAGCCTGGGATGTTTTGTCACACCAGAAAGCCAGAACGCTGACAAATACTAATTGTGTCAAAAGGACTCTAGAGCCACCGTGGAGCTCCCACTAATCACAAGTGATACAATCTGACTGTAATGGATTGAAACATATCACATATGTTTCAATCCATGAGTTCATAATGAAACAAACAACTTTTATTTTCAAACAATTATTTGAAAAACCGGTAAATAAAGGTAAAGCATTAAACATTTATCTTGCCTTTCTTTCAGAATTGTGCCTCAAAAAGAGTCAACTAGAGGAAAATTCTCTTTGTAGAATTATGAGGACTAATAAATGAGGAGAGAAAACAGAATTAGAATGGAACTCTTATAGAAGTAGTGTACCTACACAGTAATCACAAAACATCACAAAAAATACCGACATTACGTATCTCATGAAGGAAGATTACATTTTCTACAAAACAGTCTGACAAAAAAATCAAACCTAAATTTGATCAAGCCTCTAAGATATAACTAGCAATTTACAAGAATTTCAGGGGAAAGAGAAACATGGTAAATAATACCATATGACTTCATTCTTTCATACAACAACAACAAATTGCAAGATAAAAAAGAAAGGAGTTAAGAGAGACTTAAAGAGCATATAAACCATATTTAGGTCTTGATTCAAGCAAACCAACTAAAAAAGCAAACCAACCAATAAACAAAAAACAACAACAAATTATAATGTGGACACTGATAGAACATTTGATGATAATTGAGGAATTATTTTGAACTTTTTGGTGTGATAATGTAGATGAAATATTTTATCTTAAGTTATTTCCTAGCACTCTTCACCAAAACGACCTGGAAACGATGACCAACTCAGTATTAATGGGCACCCTAGTGTCCAGGTTGTAATTTCTAAATACTATTTCCAACTAAAAGGAACCAGGGATCATTGAAAAAATGGCTTGTCCAAGTCTGCAGCATTATATATACACGATGAGCCTGGGATGTTTTGTCACACCAGAAAGCCAGATGAAATGTTGTGATAATTTGGGTTTTCTCCAAAATAATCCACTGGAAAGGTAGTGCGTGTGTAACAGATGAAGCAAGATTGCTCACAGGTTGATCATTGTTGAAGGCCAATGATGAAGGCATGGGAGTTTATTATACGATCTGCTTGTGCATATGTTTGAACTGTCCTGTAGTAAGAAGATGAAAAAGGAATATAATTTTCTTCAGAGTTTATATTCTACATGGGGAGATAAAAGTATAAGTAAATTACTTTTTAATGCAGTTAAATATATTTTATAATAGAAATGTACATGGAGAATGCTTGGGGAACCCTGAGGAGAAAAGAAAAGTGGGCGGATGGGAGGAACTAACAATTAATGAGTGCCATTCCATACCTGGTCCTTCCCCTATGTTACATATGGCAGAAATACTGAAAGTGGAGAATATACAGTTAGTACTTTATAATAAATAACTTTTAAAAATATGCTCATATTAGGTATTTTAGTTGCACTTTTATAGATGAGGTGCAACTAAAGATTGAAGCTCAGAGCAGATAAATAACTAAATAATAGTCATAAGAATGCGTGTCAGGCACTTCACATACATTATTACATTTAATTCTTATAATCCTGTAAGAAAAGAATTACTCTGCTCATTTTGAAGATTAGAAAGAAAGCTTATGGAGGTTAAGTAACTTGCTAAATATTTCACATAGCTGGTAGCTGGAAGAAGTGAGATTTGAACACAGGATTCTCTTATGCTAATCCCCAACCCTTTCCATGAATTGTTACAGCAGGAGGGGAAAGAGGAGGCTGGGGGTCCTTCACACACAAATGCTCTGTAAGCTGGCCTTTGATATTTCAGTAAGGTTTAGTCTATTTGAGAGTAAGTAGGAGTCAGCTTGGGAGGCATTCCAAGAAAAAAAAAAAAAAACAGGGTCAGCAAAAGATTGAGACACAACACAGTGTGTTTAGGGAATTGGAAACAGGGACCCAGTGGCTGGATTCTAGGATGCGAAGAAGGTGGTGTTGGCAGATACGGCCAGTAGCACCTGTTGGGATTGGATTGGGCAGGTCCTTGGAAAGCACAGTCTTTATCCCAGAGACAATGAGTAGCCATTGGTGGATTTCAAGCAGACCAGTGTGGAAGCTGTGTGGAGAGTGTATCGGAAGCAAAGGGGAGTGATACCGGGGAGAAAGCCAGGGGATTACTGTAATGAAGAATGTATGCAGAAGACAATGCTGGTTTACATTACTCTGACAGGATGTTTTTACACGGCCAGAGTGGATGTGGATGCTTCTGAGAAATGAAGTTTGGGCTTACCCACCCATCTTGAGAGTTCTTAACTGTGTGTGCCAATATGCATAGGAATCTCCCTTTACAGAAAAATCCTCTAGGAAAAGCAGCAAGAGGTTTGGGGAAAGAAGAGAGAACATTGAGAATGGTTGAATGGCCTGACAGCTGTCTGTGGACTAGTTTGGAGGCTCTGTGGAGAAAGTAGCAGAGGTAAAAGGTAAAGGAGGCATTTCCATGAGGACCTATGTTAAACTCCACGCACAAGCGGTGGCTGAGTACGGCACAGTGAGCAGAGGGACATTCTCCCCAGTTCTGCATAGGACTCAGCACCCTCAGGGCAAACCCTCTCGGCTCATGCCCTTATGGAAAGCATGAGCAACAGAGCTGGTGGGGAGAAGCGTGTCTTGATGAGGAGACTGCATTTGTTACCAGTTCACGGGACAGACCTGAAGAATCCTAGACACCTGGGGCGACTTTGGGAAGGGCTGGGTTTCCTTGTGTCAGGTGAGCATTCAGACCTGGAAAGAGTAAGGTGTCCCTTCATTTGTATTTACAGACTTGTAACGCCTCAGGACCATCCACTGAGGTGGGGCCAGTAAGGGATGAAAAGTTGGGAATGGAATAATGAAATACTTCCACGGCTTAGCGACCAACTGGATGCTCCTATTATCCAGATTTGGCCAAAGGTTTCAAAGCTTTCCATATGGTGCACAGTACACGAAGTACGGCCCATGGACAGTGGCCATGGATGTCCACGCCTTGGTCTTTTAGGCTGCCTAAATTGTTGCCTGTTACCTCTTTTGGATCTTGGACTGGCCTCATTTCCAGACCCAAGCCTCCCGCTGGCTCTTGCTATAATTTATTGGATACACATCCCCAAAACCCATCTTCCCAAAGGACCATCAAACTGAAGTAAATCTTTTCTGCTCTAGACAACAAGATAACAAAAAGACCAAGGTCTGTAAAAGAAAGGAAGAATTATAAACCCAACAGATGTTAACATGAAATACAGTACTCCCACCCGGTGTGGTGGCTCACGCCTGTAATCCCAGCACTTTGGGAGGCCGAGGCGGGCGGATCACGACGTCAGGAGATTGAGACCATCCTGGCTAACACGGTGAAACCCCGTCTCTACTAAAAATACAAAAAATTAGCCAGGCATAGTGGCGGGCGCCTGTAGTCCCAGCTACTCAGGAGGCTGAGGCGGGAGAATGGCGTGAACCCGGGAGGCGGAGCTTGCAGTGAGCCGAGATCGCACCACTGCACTCCAGCCTGGGTGACAGAGCGAGACTCCGTCTCAAAAAGAAAGAAAAAAGAAATACAGTACTCCCTCCTTATCCTAAGGGAATGGGATCCAAGACCCCCAGTGGACAACTGAAACTGCAGATAGTACTGAGCTCAATTGCTATCACAATACGTTTCTGTTCATGTCTTCCACAAATTTAACTGCTTTTCCATCTTAACTAGGCACTTGTCAAAAACTGTGGCTGTAAGTTTTACAGTTTGAGGTGTGACAGCAAAACTAGCCTGAATTGCTTTTCCCTTCTCTACAATTTCACAGATTGAAGATTCACCCTTACCACAAATATCAGCAACCTCAGTGTATTTTTTTTTTCCTTTCCTTATTAGGATGAGAATGTTTACCTTTTCACTTAAAGGAGGCACTTTACAGTTTCTCTTTGATGGATCCAAATTGCCAGCATCACTACTCTTGTGCTTTGAGGCCATTATGAAATCAAATAAGAGTTACTCAAACACAAACACTGAGATCCCATGGCAGTTGATCTGATCACGAAGATGGCTACTAAGTGCCTGGTGAGCAGGCAGCATCTACAGCGGGAGACACTGGACAAAGGGAAGATTCACATCCCGGGTGGGATGGAGTGTGATGGCATGAGATTTCATCATGCTAGTCAGAACAGCATGCAATTTAAAACTTACGAATTGTTTATTTATGGAATTTTCCTTTCAATATTTGCTGACTACAGGTGACCACAGGTAACTGAAACCACTGAAAGCAAAACCATAGATAACAGAAACTATAGTAGTCCCCTGCTTTTCTATTTGTTTATTTAAAAAAAAAAAAAAAGAACGAGGAGAGGGCACAGGATGAGCATTTGGCTATTTCATGCCACCCAGATGGTAAAGTAAGCTGGCTCAAACACCTGTCATGCTTAGCCCTATCTGGAGTGTAAGGGAAGGAGGGATCAGAGCTTCATGCCTGGCATGGCATGCATTCATGTTCTTTTGTTCTGGTCGGACTCAAGCTCAGTTACATGAGATTGCATGTACCCAGCAGCAAGTCACCAGCCCTCACCAGCCTTTTTTCGGCATGTTCATGGTCTGACCTCACTTGGATGTCTCTGTGCTGTCTAAGGTCAGAGCAGTTGGCAAAGCTCCCTCAGCTGATACAAGCTTACACTGCAGGTACCTAGGACACCAAAAACAACAATCTTAGCTCCTACCACTAGGATTTCTCCTACTAACCCAAACATACACCAAGCCTTGGTTTTGTCCTTGGCTCTAGAGTTATAAGAGCAATGGTTTCTACCCTGAAGACGCTTACCAATGAGTTGGGAGTCGGTTATGGAGATATGACAGGTTGACACAGACTTAAAGAATATTATAGTCAGAGGCAATTTGGAGGTCATCGGTCCAACTCCCTCACTGAAGATGAGGAATCCGAGTCCCAAAGAGGAGCAACTTGCCAGAGGCCATAGAGCCAATAAGAGGCAGAGTTCAGACTTGACCTGGGCCTGGACAGTACAGAACTCTTTAATTATACCAGCTACCACTTACTGAAGAAGAAATACCAACTGCTAAATACTTTATAACTGTATTACTTCATTTAATCCTCACAACAATCCCTTTAAGTCATTATTACAAATCCTATTTTATAGATGGGGAAATACAGTTTAGAGAGAGGTAATTGAACTTCCCAAAAACCTTCTGTCTTAGTCCATTTGGGCTGTTATAAGAGAATACCATAGACTGGTGGCTTATAAACAACAACCATTTATTTCTCACAGTTCTGAAGGCTGGGGAGTCCAAGGTCAAGGGTCCAGCAGGTTCAGAGTCTGAAGAGGACCTGCTTTCTGGTTTCTAGAGTGCTCCCTTGGTGGAAGGGGCCAGGGGCCTCTCTTGGGCCCCTTTTGTAAGGGCACTAATACCATTCATGAAGCCCCTACCCTCATGACCTAATCACCTCCCAAAGGCTCCTAATACCATTGCATTGGGAGTTAGGATTCCAACACAGAAATTTTAGGAGGACACAAACATTGAGATCATAGCACCAACCAATGAATAAATGACAGTACCCAGATTTGAACCCACTTAAACCATCTTTTAAAGTTCATGCTCTGAAACGCTCCTCTATGCTGCCTTTCATACACTGGCTGCCTCTTTCTGTTCCACCTGACAGTGAGAACTCACACGTGATGGAGAATATAATACAAGCTGGGTAAGCTCCCTGTCCAGAGCCTTTCTCGCAGCTGGTTCTATCCGTACACTAGCCTGAATGTCACCATGTCAGAAGTTCTCAACCATGCCTGCCTGGAAAAGGGGAGTGATGTGACCTGGACAGTGAGAGCCTCTGTTTAAATGTTCTAAAATACCCCAGGCTTTCAAAAAGACAGAGTCCACTGGGCTTGAGCACTGGCACTCAGGCCATGCATGAACACTGAGCATTGCGAGGAAGCAGTACAAGGCCTGAGAATGAACTCGAACTCTCCACTGGGGACTTGAAACTAAAGTAAGTGATTCTAGAGTACTGTGTGGACCACAGAGAGCTTGATGTAGTAGAAAGAGGACAGGAGTTTGAATGAGTCCTGGCTTTGAATTTGTCTCTCACCCAAGCATGCACCTTCTTTTGTGTAGTCAACGATCTATGAAATGCCCCAGGAAGACAAGAATCACATGCATGTCAGCTCTAGAGAATGCCCAGTGAAGATACAATCTGAGCAGGAGTGGAAATAATCAGGAAAGCTTCCTGTATGGTGTAGTCTTATAAATGACTGAAAGTGCTAGCCCACTCTCCCCTGGGAAACACACAGAGGCCAGGGTTACCCTGGAGGCCACCAGCAAGTCCCCATCCATCTGGCACCCCTCACAGAGGCCACCATCCCATCTGGACTCAGCCTCCTTGGCTCCCACTGCAGGGCTTTGGAGAGAGGTTGACATTCACTAACAAAAGGATCCTTTGAGAAGCCCAGGAGCTCAGAAGGAAAAGCACAGGCTGAACGCTTGATCTGCCTGCTTGGCTGTTGTGCAAGAGCTGGAGGGGGGAGAGGAGAGGCAGGGCAGGGTGGCTTGCAGTGGCCACCATCCCTCCCTAGCTGCGGAGGAGCCAGCTCTGATGATGGGCTGGGCCCCTCCCACAGATTTTCCCAGGGACTAGACAAAAGAGGAATAGAGAGCAGGACAAGGGTGGAGGCCTCAGATAAAAATTAATTAACACTATTTTTCTTTCTTTTTAAAAAGGTAATCTCTTAATCCTAAGCACTGGGATTCATGTGTGCCCTTTGGTCTATAACCACAAAGGAAACGATCAGGAAGAATCCAGGTTCACGGCCTTACCTTTAGATTTCCTCTTCTCAATGGTTCTTTGTGTGGCAATCTCCTGTGAAGTGAGATAGGCCTTCCAACCAAGCTGCGGCAACCATGGCCAAGGTCAGCCATCACCAGGAGGGTTTTGACGTGGAGAGACTGGGAACTGCAAGGACGCTGCAGGTCAGGGTTTGAGCTACCAAGGGGAAAGGAGGCTGGGGCCACAATTGTTTCCCAACGGCTGTCCAAATAACTTCCTATTCCATCAGTTGATTTTTCTCTAACACAATCCATCACCCCCCACCCTTCTCTCTACCTCCATCTAGTCACTATTTTAGGAACAGAGAAATCAAGAGCCTTGAAACTAGAAGATCCTTTTTGAAGTCTTTTTGTCTATACTCTTGCACAATAAAGACAGGAAAGGCTTTGCTGTCCTGGTCTCCATCCTCTGGAAGTTGGGGGAAGGGAGAAGAAATGGGATGACAGGAAAAGAATATAAGAGCAATTTGAGACCAATTAGAAATTGGGGAGTTATTAGAAGTTATTCTTTATTCTCTACCCAAGTTACAGCACTACCAGCAGTTGCTCAAGCCAGGCACTTGGGAGGACATCACCAATCTCTCTCCCTCAACTCATCTATGTTTACAGCCCGTGATCTAGGCCATCATGATCTCTTTCTAGGATATTGGAATGTTCTTAACTGATCTCCTGCTGTAATATATTATTGCTCTTCGATCCAAATCACAACTAGAATTTCCTTTCTAATGCACAACCTAATTATGTTTCTCCCCTGCTTCACTGGCTTATTATTGCTTTCAGAATAAATTCCAAACTCCTAAGTACAGCATTCACAGCTCTCCATCGGCAGGCCCCTGCCTCTGTCCCAGCTCTCAAAGCCTATACTGCACTGGTAGGAAATGTTCTAACTTGCCTCCTGGACATGGTACATTCTTCCTGGATCATTCTTTTCCCACTCTGGACAACTTTTGTCCATTCTTCAGGTCCCAGGTAGTTTGCCTCTTGTTCTAACAGATGAAGAGCCCGCCTACATTCGGTCAGGTACCTCTTCAATGGGCTCCTATGACTTTTGTTCTTGCCTGGATTATGAAAACCATCCCCACTGCCCATTAGCAATCTGTCTTCTGGATGAGGCTGTAAGCTCTTTGAAGGGGCTTGTGGCAGTAGAGTGGAAAGACCATCTTCCTGTTTTTAATTTGCATAAATTTAATTGTATGAACATATTAAAAAGAGAGAGAATTAGAGAGGGAGAGAGAGAAATTACAATCTCTGTGATACAAGCAATATTGTGTAACATTCTACTTGTCATCCATTAGTCCACATGTGACCCTACATGGTATTCTGGTGAGATGAACTTGAGTCTGTGCTTTATGGTTTTGTTTGTTTGCCTTTGTTTTGGTTTGTATCATATGGCCACTAGACAGATCCATGGGCATCACCTGCTGTGGAAGCAGTAGATTAGGAAGCGACAATATGTTTCAACACTGGAGGAGACATGAGCAGCTTCAGACTTGTTGACACACTGGGTTTTATTCTTCAATTTAGTGCATCCTTTAGGGGATTGTTAAAGGTAATACATGCTATATTTATTTTTTTCTATGACTTTAGAATAAGTAGCCCTGTAAAATACAACTCTACTTTATCAGCCAAGTTTTCCCTCTTTCTCCTGGTGACAGCATCCTCAGCCCAACTGCATGGCTATTACAAGAGCTGTCATGTTCTCACCTGACCCAAATGGGCCAACAAATATCTTATTCTCTAAGATTATTAAATCTGATATCCAGGTGATTGAAGCCATTTCCACTCTTGTGGGTGGAAGCTGTAAGCGGCAAAACTAAAGGGTCATATCTTCCAGGACATGGCAAGACCCAATCTGCTGAAAGGAATAGACAAGAGGGGACCTGAATGGGAAAAGCTGATCAACAGGTGTGTGCTTCTGGCCACTAGGGTCCGTAAGAAAGGGCTGGGTGGAGAGGACCAGGGGAGCCACTAGCTGGATGTAGGCTTCTGTGGCACTGACCTCAGGCATGTGAAGAGAGATGGCTGCACTGATGAGCTTTAAGCCTGTCCAACCCTGAGTTTGTGTGATTCAAAGGAGTGTGCAGGTAGATGGGGCTAAGTAAATGTCAAGAATGAGAGCTGCCTTGGGAGGGAGAGGAAGGCAGAGAGAAGTAAGAGTGAGTGAGGATGGGAGAGAATTGAGGTAGCTAGAATAGGAGAGTGAGTGAAGATTGAAATATTTAGCCTAAGAGCTGGCCTCAGCTGGAAAGTAGGAAAAGGAGGAAATTGAGCCTCAGAGTAGCTAATGACCCCTCAGCAAAGCAGCTGCAAATGTAGCAGAGCCCAGATTTGAATTGAGATCTATGTTATTCTAAAGTCTATGCTTGGTTTAATCCCTTCTTATAACAGATGAGGACAATGAAGCTTTGAGAGATAAAGTGACTTGCCCAAGGACATCAAGATACTTCCAGTAAAATCAATTCTAGAATCACCAAAACCCAGTCAAATATTCCATCCAGGACACTGGTTTCTTCCTACCATAATCAGAAAAAAAGAGGGAAATCACTGAATCTCTGTAAGGCTCTGGAAGAGTCTCCTCTCTTACCTGTGCCCCTGTCAACTCCTTGGTAAATTCAGGAGAATATTGACAAGGTGTCACAGGGAGTGTGATGCAGTCAGAAAATACAAATCCTTCTATTAGGGAAATCCAAGCAATTATTTACTTGTCAATTTAGGAGGGTAGGGCAGGATTAATTTGAGCTAAAGGGATTAGGGTGAAAATAAAGGTGTAATTACTTTTATAATAATGATAATCATTTACTAATCTGATGCAGATATTACTCCACCCTCAAGTAGCTTACCTGTTATGATAGGAAATAAGCCAGAGGTGAAGGTGGGGTTGGGAAGGAGAGAGGTAACTGGTACAGGGAGGGGCAGAAGGAAGAAAATTATACTGGAGAAAAAAACATGCTGTTTTGCTAGTGATGGAAGGGTGGAGATAATCTGCCAGGACAAACAATTTGAGTAAGTCAGACACTATTTGTATTAGGGAATATTTTAAAACACAGTAGAGCCCACATTTCTAATTTTTCTTATTAGAAACTAAAGACAAGAAATGTTAAGTGAACTACTTGAGATCACACAGTTTGTTCCAGGCAGAACTTGGACTAGAACATGGGTCTTTTTACTCTTAGTTCTGTGCTGGTCAAATAACAACCCACATGAGTGTTGGAGAAAGCAGCAAATTGGGAGAAAGGAAAAAGACCAAAGGAAAGATATGGGGATCTAGATCAAAGGAGCCAGCCCAGCAGGACCAAATGCCACTCTCTACTCTCCATCCACATCTCCTCACCTAATGCACTGGAAAAAACATAAGAGGACCCAAGTGTGAGGAATAGCTTTTAACCTCCACGTCTGGAGCTGATGTAAATCCAACTGGCTTGTGGGAATGGTGGAGAGATAGTAGTCCACATTATGTTGGCTCATTATAAGATAATGAGGTATTACCATTTGAGTTTTTAATTTTTCCAGAAGTGAGAATCCACATAAATAAAAAAAAGTAAAAGACACTATGAACAAATGCCTTCTAGTAGTTGTATACGTACAATATACTAATTTCACACAATTTCTAATTGAAATCTCACAACTCCACTCATTCCACAAACATTTATTTGTGACCTACAATGTATCAAGTACTACGCTGGGCCCTGGGGTTTTACTGCTAAGCAAAATAGACATGATCCTTGCTCTTACAGAGCTTCTCACCAGCAGGTAACGTAAACACCAAATAAAAATTATGGAATGAATTAACTAATTGCAGTAAGAGGCTATTAAGGAGAAATACTTAAAATATAGTGAACATTCTTTTAAATGCATAGCTGAGCTTGCTTAAAAGAAGTAGAGAAATCTTCAGGCTCTTGTGGCAAGGAAGAAAGTGAAAAACAAGATTGTAAAGTATAAACCCACTGCCTGGGGCATGAGGTGGGAGTAGGGTACAGAAGTTGAAAGAACATAGGTTGCCATGTTGGTGACCATAGCTTAGACTGAAATGCCCATGCTGGTCAGGAAACAGAATTGTAGACATTTTTTCAAGGGTAAGGAATCAGAACTGAGACCTTCATATAACCCGGGACTCTCATAGGGCTACATTATCAGTGAAAGAGTCAACTTTAAAATATCTGCTGGCAGGTAAAGGGAAATGATGAGGGCATTTATTTATCTTAGCATGAGTTCTGGGAACACTTATTTGCATTAGGCGGGGTTCTGGTGGAGGGTAGTAAGTCCCCCTGAAAATTCATAACTATAGATCTTATGAGAATTCAGGGTTTAAGTAAATACTCATAATCTTCTTCCTTGGGGAAAATTAGCAAAAAAGTGGCCCCAGGCTGATATCCTTGGCAAAAACAAAAGCATAAATATCACAGGATCTTCCTTTGACATTTGCATAAATATAGACCTAATCCTGTCTTCCACAAATTTCCACAAATAAAGCCACAATAAAATCACTACCAAAGATGAGTTTACAATCCAAAATTGAAAAACAAAGAAGCAAGTTATCAGAGGCAACACACACACATACACACACAACCCCAAAAAACAGAAAAAAAAAAAGAAAATTACACCTAACCAGCAACATAATTGGACCCTTAAAAACTTCAGTATGTGCTGAAAAAGCCTATAAGATAAATATATTTTAAATGATTGAAGACACAAAGTGAGGACCGAAAAACATGAGACAAAAAAGATGCTTTCCTAAAAAAGAGGTAAGTAGAATGTTTAGAAGTAAAAAAATACAGTCACTGAGAATAAACTGAACTAAGTAGATTAGAGGTTGCTGAAGACAGAATTAATAAACTGGAAGACAGAGCCAAGTAAATTGAAGGGAATGAGGTTCAGAAAGATTAAAAAAATGGAAAATTGGAAAGTGAGGCTAATAGATCTGGAGACTAGATTAAGAATGCCAAGTTATATCTGCTTTGGGTTTTAGAATGAAAGAATGGAGAAAATGGGGAAGAAGCGATGTTCAAAGATGATTTTCTAGAATGAATAAAGACACGAAATCTCAGATACAAGAAGCACAATGAGCACTTAGCCTGATTTTTAAAAAACTTAAAATGCACACCCAGACAGAGTATACTAAAATTATAGAACACAAAAGATTAAAAATATTTTTTAAACAACCAGAGAGAAAGATAGGATACCTTCAAGGGAATGGCATGTAGGATTCTAGGTTTGTGATGATTTTCCTTGTCACTTTGAAGATGGAATTTCCTTGCCAATGGTATATGTTGTAAGTCAGTCTACACTGTAGGTAAATATGTTTTACACTGATTACATAAAACAAGAAATATTTAATGGTTAGTTGTGCAGGATATAAAAACAGTGAAACTGAAGTATTGGGCAACAGTGACTTATATACTATGAGAAGGTGCTGATGGCAGCTAAAGTATTATATTCATATCAAACATTGATATCATTAGAGTATATAATTTATAAATCAGTAGAGTTATAGGAAGGGAATAAAGAAAACTGCATCAATTCAACAGATGGCAGAAAATGAGGAAACAAATCTAAAGAATGGATAGGAAGAGTCAGCTTGGGGTTTGAGAACACACGAAAGAGAGATGAGATGAGGGTGAAGAGACAGGATGGTCCAGATCTTGTAAAGCAGATTTTAAAACTGTGACTCTAAAATGTAGGTGCTCTTTTCTTTAGAAAAAAAAAAATGTAGACATGGAGTCTCAGAAAAGTTACTAATGTATTTTAGTTTATACAACTTCATCAGAGACAGAGCTGCATGGTATGTCCTTCCTCATTCCACTGTGCCTAGCTGTAATTGCTATGAAGACACTCCAAAACCAGAACATCTGGCTCAGCTCATTGACAGAACTAACAAAAACAATAAAAATCAGCAACGTTTGCTAAGCACTTACTAGCTGCCACAGACCACAGTACATGCTTTATGTCAATTAATCCTCACAATTATGAAAGAATCATTATTATTATCCCCATTTTACATATTTGAGAAGACTGAGGCTTAGATGGTTAAATGACTAGGCACGTGGCAAAGCCAGATGCGAACCCAGATTCATCTGCTTTTTTAACCTCCATATAATATGGCTGGAATTTCTGGCCCTTCCCCCAAATTTAGAAAGGATCTGTTCATCTTTTCCAGAAGGCATTTCTTAGAACTAAATATTTTTACAATAATAATGATGTGAATTTTAAAAGAAAATACTCAGCTTTCACCTACCCCACTGACATAGGAGTTTTTACTTTCCTCTATTCCTTCCTAAACTTTAAGCATATGTACACATTGTGTAGCTATAACCATATAGTATAACAATTCTGTGTTTCTACTTTCTGTGCATGCAAAATATTCCATTGAGGTGAAGCACATTACTTGCCTTATTTCTGTCTTATTGGACATTCAATTTCAATCATTCCCCCTTTTTTTTTTAATAACTTCAACTTCTCCCTATTTGTTAGCCCTTTCATCTTGGCATATAAACACACTCTCTTCTCTTTTGTAGTACAATTATATCCAAACACTTCATCCAATCTACCTACTATTCTATCTCCTTCCTTCCCATTTCTGTCAAGTTTTCTAAATAAATATTCTTGGCTTAGAGACTCTACTTAATCACTTCTCATTTCTACCTCAATCTACTTCAATTTGGTTTCTTCCATCCTCTTGTCCACTCTCCTTAGGCAATCTCTTTTATGTGCGTATTACAACTACATCTTTGCTGGTGACCCACACCCAGACTTCTGCAAAGAATAGTCCAGGGATCAGGGGGCTGGGCTGAGGCTGGGGACCATGAACTTGTGGTGACACAAGTCTAAATGACCTGATGACTTTCTCCAGCAGTGTGCAACAGCTGAGGAGAGGTGGAGAAGAAGGTATGGCTAGAACTAATATCACTTTGGGCTTTGATTAACATAAGGAAGGACAAAGCTGGAGGGGAATTGAGAGTGTTGAGGAGTATGGGGAAGAAAACCCAGAATACAAGGTCATGATCAAAGAAAGTGGTGCAATGTGGAGATACGCCATTCTCAGTAAGCTGGAAGTGAAGGAAGGGAGGCTAGTAATGGTTGATTGGGAGAAAATGAAGGGTTCACAAAGAGCCTTTCTGGCAGTGATGCCCTCATCACAAGAACATGCCTCTCACAAAGGATCTCCTTCATCCCTCTCCAGAAGACAACAAGAGGAAACACACGAAGAAGTGCTTGGGGCAGATCCCTGGTTCCTGCTTCATGGATGTGAGATGTCCAGGATGCTCTACAGTCACAATGGCCTTTTCCTACGCACGAACAGTAGTTTCACATGTTGGCTGCTCCACTGTCCTCTGCCCACCTACAGGAGGAAAAGCAAGGCCTACAGAAGGATGTCCCTTTAGGAGGAAGTAGTGCTAAAAGCACCCTGAATCAAGATGAGTGGGAAATCATCCCAATAAACATATTTTTAATTTATTTTTGAAAAAAGGACAAGATTATGAGCAAGTGAGAAGGATAGAAGATTGTATTCAGAGAGGGGAGTATGATGTTTGAGATCTGACATGGGGCTCACAAGGACAAAGTGGATCCATGGGGGCGAGTAGCTGAGCTGAAGTGGAGTTACGGAGATCAGTGATCCACATAGGGTGACAGTGTGACCTGAAGGAGAGAGAAAGACTGGGCCACAAGGAAAAATCCTCAACAAATATAGGGAGGGATCAAGAGGTGAGTCAGCTCAGCTGCGGTGAGTGATAAGGCAGGATAGTACTATGGCACAGACAGAAGAGTAAACTTCAGAGGCACAAGCTGTACACAAAGATGAAGAAATACTGGTTTGCATTCAGGAATGGGGAGGGAGGCAGAAGAATGCTGAACCTCCCTCTGAACTCTGGGGTCTCCTCTTAGTCCACACAGGGAACTCCTTCCAGCTTCTTGAACATTCCATGCTTGTTTATCCCTGGTATTTTCTAGCACTCCCCATCTCTGTAAGGATCACCATTCCTTATCCACTTTCACAAGGCAGAAACCAAGGAGTCATCCTGGACACTTTCGCTTGCTTCCCCATCTGATCCATCAGCTCAAAATCTGTTACGTGTCTCTGGAATCCATTGATTTTTCTCCATCTCCACTATCTCAATACCAGCCCAGGTCCCATCAGCTCTTGGCTGGACTGCTGCAATGATAGCCTCTGCCTGGCCTCTCTGCTGCTTCTCTTCTCTCCCTCAAATCAGGTCTCCACTCAGCTACCATGGTGTTTTAGTGTTTTCACGTAGCTGATAAAGACTTACCCAAGACTGGGAAGAAAAAGAGGTTTAATTGGACTTACAGTTCCACATGGCTGGTGAGGCCTCAGAACCATGGCAGGAGGTGAAAGGCACTTCTTACATGGTGGTGGTAACAGAAAATGATGAAGAAGCAAAAGCAGAAACCCCTGATAAACCCATCAGATCTTGTGAGGCATATTCACTATCACGAGAATAGCACTGGAAAGACCAGCCCCCATGATTCAATTACCTCCCCCTTGGATCCCTCCCACAACATGTGGGAATTCTGGGAGATACAATCCAAGTTGAGATTTGGGTGGGGACACAGCCAAACCATATCATTCTACCCCTGACCCCTCCAAATCTCAAGTCCTCACATTTCAAAACCAATCATGCCTTCCCAGCAGTCCCCCAAAGTCTTAACTCATTTCAGCATTAACCCAAAAGTACCCGGTCCAAAGTCTCATCTGAAACAAGGCAAGTCCCTTCTGCCTATGAGCCTGTAAAATCAAAAGCAAGCTAGCTACTTCCTAGATACAATGGGGGTATAGGTATTGAGTAAATACAGCCATTCCAAATGGGAGAAAATGGCCAACACAAAGGGGTTACAGAGCCCATGCAAGTCTGAAATCCAGCAGGGCAGTGAAATTTTAAATCTCCAAAATGACCTCCTTTGAATCCAGATCTCACTTCCAGGTCATGCTGATGCAAGAGGTGGGTTCCCATGGTCTTGGGCAGCTCCACTCCTGTGGCTTTGCAGGGTGGAGCCTCCCTCCTGGCTGCTTTCATGGGCTGACTTTGAGTGTCTGTGGCTTTTCCAGGCACATGGTGCAGGCTGCCAGGGGATCTATCATTCTGGGGTCTGCAGAATGGTGGCGCTCTTCTCACAGTTTGACTAGGCAGTGCCCCAGTAGGGACTCCGTGCGGAGACTTTGACTCCACATTTCCCTTCCACACTGCTCTAGCAGAGGTTCTCTATGAGGGCCCCACCCCTGCAGCAAAACTTTTGCCTGGGCACCCAGGCATTTCCAGACATCTTCTGAAAACTAGGTGGAAGTTCCCAAACCTCAATTCTTGACTTCTGTGCACCTGTAGGCTCAACACCATGTGGAAGCTGGCAAGGCTTGAGACTTCCACTCTCTCTGAAGCCACAGCCCGAGCTCTACGTTGGCCCCTTTTAGCCATGGCTGGAGTGGCTGGGACACAGGGTACCAAGTCCCTACACTGCACACAGCATGCGGACCCTGGGCCTGACCTACAAAACCACTTTTTCCTCCTGGGCCTCTGGGCCTGTGATGGGAGGGGCTGCTTTGAAGGTCTCTGACATGGCCTGGAGACATTTGCCTGTGGTCTTGGGGATTAACATTAGGCTCCTTGCTAACTTATGCAAATTTCTGCAGCCAGCTTGAATTTCTTCTCAAAAAATGGGTTTTTCTTTTCTACTGCATTGTCAGGCTGCAAATTTTCTGAACTCCTATGCTCCATTTCCATTTTAAATTGGAATGTTTTTAACAGCACCCAAGTCACCTTTTGAATGCCTTGCTGCTTAGAAATTTCTTCCACCAGATACTCTAAATCATCTCTCTCAAGTTCAAAGCTCCACAAATCTCTAGGACAGGGGCAAAATGCTGCCAGTCTCTTTGCTAAAACATAACAAGAGTCACCTTTGCTCCCATTCCCAACAAGTTCCTCATCTCCATCTGAGACCACCTCAGCCTGGACCTTATTGTTCATATCACTATCAGCATTTTTGTCAAAGCCATTCAACAAGTCTCTAGGAAGTTCCAAACTTTCCCATATTTTCGTGTCTTCTTCTCAGCCCTCCAAACTGTTCCAACCTCTACCTGTTACCCAGTTCCAAAGTTGCATCCACATTTTCAGGTATCTTTTCAGCAATACCCCACTCTACTGGTACCAATTTACTGTATTAGTTTGTTTTCACGCTGCTTTCACATGTTAATTGGACTTACAATTCCACGTGGCTAGGAAGGCCTCACAATCCATGGCAGGAGGCAAAAGGCACTTCTTACATGGCAGTGGCAAGAGAAAATGAGGAAGAAGCAGAAGTGGAAACCCCTGAAAAACCCATCAGATCTCATGAGATTTATTCACTATCACTAGAATAGCATGGAAAAGACCAGCCCCAGTGATTCAATTACCTACCTCTGGATCCCTCCCACAACACATGGGAATTCTGAGAGATACAATTCAAGTTGAGATTTGGGTGGGGACACAGCCAAACCATATCACATGGCAATATGCATCTCTCCTTCAAATGCAATTTTTAGTTTGGTCGCTCTCAACCCTTGACTTACCATATTTCCTTTCTTGAAACTCTTCAATCAAATTCTGTTGTTCTGGATGGGCATGGTGGCTCACGCCTGTAATCCCAGCACTTTGGGAGGCTGAGGTGGGCAGATCACTTGAGGCCAGGAGTTTGAGACCAGCCTGGCCAACACGGTGAAACCCCATCTCTACTAAAACTACAAAAATTATCTGGGTGTGGTGACACTCACCTGTAATCTCAGCTACTTGGGAGGCTGAGGTGGGAGAATCGCTCGAATCCAAGAGGTAGAGGTTGCAATGAGCTGAAATCTTGTGCCACTGCACTCCAGCCTGGGTGATAGAGTGAGACTCTATCTTAAAAAGAAAAAAAAATCTGTTGTTCTAAGGATAAAGGTCAAACCTCTACATGCCCCAAAGCCCCTCTTGGAATGGTCCCCACCTTCCCCAGTCTCATGCCACATCTTGCCGCTCTTTGCTCTCTAACTCTAGCCTCACTGGCTTCCTTTCACTTTCCTGAATGCATGATGATTCACCCTTTGCACATACTATCCCCTCTATCCTAAATACTGTTCTCTGCTCTCAGAGAAAGCTCCAGCAGGTCTCCCCTTTACATATTCTTACGGTCACATGTACCTCTTCTTGGTAGCACTTATCACTGAAGTGAATTTATCTGTAGCTGTGGGGTTAATTATCTCCCCCTGCTAGACTGCAAGGGTGGTGAGGACAGGGACTCTGTTTGACTTTAGTAACCACTTTGTTTTTTATTTCTAGCATGGAAATATGGGCCATATGTTGTAGTTAAGAAGACATAGCATCCAGATACTCTTTCAAGGAAACAATTGTTTCCTGTCTGCAGGGAACATGGTCATCAGACAGTCTTCAGCTGTCAGCAACTTTAGCAGCAGCCTCAGTTGCATAGAGCAGTATCTCTGAAGGTAACCCTTCTTGAGGCAGTCCACATTTGGTACAGTAAAGCAGAGTTCAGTGGGTTTAATGGTGGCCCCAGAAAGACAGATCCATGTCCCAACCCTAAAACCTGTGAACGTGACCTTTTTTAGAAAAAGCGTTTCTGGAAATGTAATTAAGAATTTTCTTTTTTTCCAACTTTTAATTTAGGTTCAGGGGGTACCTCTGCAGGCTTGTTACATGAGTAAATCGCATGTCACAGGGATTTAGTGTACAGATAATTTTGTCACCCAGGTAATCAGCATCATACCCAATCGGTAGTTTTTTCAATCCTCACCCTCCTCCCACCCTCCACCCACAAGTAGGCCCCAGTGTCCATTGTTCCCTTCTTTGTGTCCACGTGTACTCATTGTTTAGCTCCTGCTTATAAGTGAGAACATGCAGTATTTGGTTTTCTGTTCCTGTGTAAATTCAAATACCCTCCAGTTCCATCCATGTTGCTGCAAAGGACATAATTTCATTATTTTGTATGGCTGTGTAGTATTCCATGGCATATATGTACTGCATTTTCTTTATCCAATCCACCAAGCTAATAATCTTGAGATATGATCATTTTGGATTCAGGATGAACCTTAAGTCCAGTGACAGATGCCCTTACAGGAAAAAGGCACAGGGATGTCAAATACACGTTATTATATATTTGTCTAAACCTAAGAATGTACAACACCCAAAAGTAAACCCTAATGTAAACGATGAGCTTTTGTGATGACGATGTGTCAATGCAGCTTTATCAATTGTACAAGTGCCCACTCTGGTGGGGGTGTTGATAATGGGGAGGCCGTGCCTGTGTGGGGGCAGAGGTACATGGGAAGTCTCAATATGTTTCTCTCAATTTTTCTGTGAGCCTAAAATTGCTCTAAAAAAACAAAGTCTTCTAGACACAAACTAAATAAAACAAATATGTAAAAGGCAAAGGGAGATTTGAGACAGCCCACAGAGAAGGCCAGGTGAAGACAGAGGCAGAGACTGTAGTGATGTGGCCACAAGCCAAAAAATGCCAGGAGCCACCCAGAGCTGGAAGAGGAAAGGAACGGTTCTCCCCAGAGCCTTGGAGGGAGCACAGCCCTGCCAACACCTTGATTCCAGACTCTGGCCCCTAGAACTGTGGAAACACAAAGTTCTGTTGTTTTGAGCCACGTAGTCTGTGATAGCTTGTTATAGCTGCCCTAGGAAACGAACACACAGGGGCATAAAGACCTCATATTTGGGCCACGGGGGATGACTCTGATGAGCAGTTCTGGCTCCAGAGCTCACTGCTGGGTTCCTGGGATTCCATCAGGCCTGCATCAGGGTTCAACTTCTGCTGCCCATTTCTGCTTTCTTCCTTCTTCCTTTCACAGGCTTTGACCCCCAATAAACATCTCGCACTCCATACTGACTGCTTCTAGTGAGCCCAGTGTGGCACACCATAATAAGATTTTTGTTAAATAAATAAAGTAGACAGTAAATTCCTGGAAAGCAAAATCCATGTCTTATTCATGTTTACAACCTTAGAGCTTAGCACAGTACTTCACACATAATAGATGTCCAACAACAATTTGTTAAATGAAGGAAAGAATGCATGAACATATAAGTGGATTATGTTGAATCTATAGATTGAAATGTATTTTAGTTAAATGTTTTCATATATCTCTTGTGAGCCTACACTGAGGGAGGGAGGGAAGGAGGGAGAGAGGGAGGGAGGGAGAGAGGGAGGAAGGAAGGAAGGAAGGAAGGAAGGAAGGAAGGAAGGAAGGAAGGAAGGAAGGGAGGGAGGGAGGGAGGGAGGCAGGGAGGGAGGGAGATTGTTTCAGGCTGTGTCTTAAACTCGTCTAAGCTCTGTCATCAGCCTCCTATAAGGGTAGGGCTGGAGAGGATACAGTCTCTAGAAAGGACAGCTCTTCCCCTTGAGGGCAACATTTTTGCCCTTGCAGAGCTAAGACTCTTCCTATCAACATGCAGAAATAATTCTACCACCCTGCCCCCAGCCCTTCTCACATAAATCCTAAGGATAAACATTTTTAATGTGAGGAGCAAAAATACAACAGAAGGAACATGCTGCAACAAGGCGGTGGATTGTGCATGAAGGAGAAGAAGTCGCCACTATTTTTAACAGTGGGAAAGACCCCATGAAGGAGATGGGATTTCACACTGGCTTTACCTCACAGCATGTTTCAGGGGCACAGGACCTTAGAGGTGACCTACTGCAGTGCCTTCTTTTATAGATGAAGAAACTGAGGCTCAGAGAAAGAAGTGATTTGCTGAAGGTCTTACTACCAGGCTAGTAGCAAAGATGAGGCTGGAGCCTCAGAGTTCTTTTCTATAAATCTTACCAGGGTACTAGGAAGGGAAGAATAAAAGGAGAGAAGGGGGAAGTGAGACAGAAGTGGCAAAATGAATAAGGTCTCAGTCTCTGTAGGGGGAAGGAGATAATCAGCCTCTGACTAGATACTTTAGACAGATTGTATTAATTATTCCCTGCAACGACTCTGTGAAACAAAATGTGCTGTCTTCATTTTATTATCTAGGATAGTGAAATAAGAAATGCTGGGTGAGTTGTCCAGGTAAACGGTGGAGTTAGGATTCAAACCCTGGTCTGTCTCACTCCAAAGACAGTACTTTATCCAGGAGAGCATGTTATAAGGGAGAAGGGTGGAATGAAAGTAGGAAGTGGAATGAAGGGATGGTGATGGGCAGGTTAACTGGGGAACACTGCCAAGGAAAACAGGAGGGGGGTTTGAGTAGCCCAGAATCCCCAGAAGAAGACCATAAAGCTCAGAGTGGTAGAAGAGGACAGTGAAACAGTTCTCATCTCCAAATGCCTAAGAACAAGGGGGAGATGGCAGGAGTGTCTACATCTGGAGTTTGAGTCATGGGTTTGTGTTAAAGGTGGAACCCTGGGCAGGTAGAAGGGCCATCATTATCCCTGCAGGAGGTAACTACCACCCAGATGCATGAAGGGCATGACTCTGGACATGGTGAGAAATAGAGAGATATGGAAGATGAATTAATGAAGGGGTGGGAACAGTTGGGATGGACAGAGCAAGGGGCTGCATGGAGTTCTGAGTGATGACTGAGAAGCTCCCTCCTTGAGAAGCACTTCAGTGGACATGCTGCTCAGGTCAACAAGAAAGCTGCACCTGGGAGAAGAATCCCAAGTGGCCAAGAGCAGCTCTGCTCTGCTCTCATTAAAGTGAACTCAAGGGACTTTGGCTTAGCGATGTCACTTCCATGTCTCATTGCTTTGGTCCAGGCCCTGGTCATCTTGCATGGCGACCTTGGAAGAATTTGTTAACTCGTCTCTTGCCTCTTCCAGTCTAGTCCCCTCCTCCAAACAACCCTCTTATTTTTTCCAAAATGGACCTTTGCAGGTCACAAGTCAGATTTGATCACTACCCAACCTTAAACGCTCAAAGATTAAAAACTCTTGTGCGCTGACCCAAGCTACTCATCTCCTACCTCTCCTCACCATTCCCCATACCAGAGCTGCTTTGAACTTAACACTATTCTATCAACAGGATGCAGTCTTTCACAGTGCCATGTTCTGCAGCTGCTTCTTCCTCTCTCTAGAATTCTGCAATCTCCATCCTTCACCGCCAGGTTTGTACCTGGCAAACACCTTCAGGATGATGCTTAAAGCCTTCCATTTAAATTATCCCTCTTACTTTCAAAAGAGAGCAGTGGTTCTCAGAATCTAAGTGTGAATCTGGGGAACTTAAAATATACTCATACATGAATCCCACCCCAGAATTTCTGTTTTAACTGGTCCAGGATATGGGATTGGCCTGGGCATTGGGATTTTATTTTATTTTATTTTAGAGATGGAGTCTCACTCTGTTGCCCAGGCTGGAGTGCAGTGGCACAATCTCGGCTCACCGTAACCCCCGCCTCCCAGATTCAAACGATTCTCCCGCCTCAGCCTCCTGAGTAGCTGGGACTACATGCACATGCCACCACGCCCAGCTAATTTTTGTATTTTTTAGTAGAAATAGGGTTTCACCATGTTGGCCAGGCTGGTCTCAAACTCCTTACCTCAGGTGATCCACCCGCCTCAGCCTCCCAAAGTGCTAGGATTATAGGAGTGAACCACCGCGCCTGGCTGGGATTTTTTTCTAAAACCCTGGAATTCAAATGTGCAGCAGACATTGAGAAACCATGGTGTAGAGTTTAAACTGCTTAACATTTTAAATGAGATCCTTCATCAGACCTGCTATGAGAAACATGATGCTATTTTCAATTAATGTAATCAGCGTGACAAGAAACCTAAAGAGAAGAGTCATAAATTATAATGACCACAGCTGTTAGTGACTACAGCTCTTACTTAAGGAATCAAGGGGAGTGGTTCTGACTTGTAAGTATTATAGGAATTTAGAGATGGAGAGTTTTTGTCTACATAAATAGGATAGTAATTAAACCGAGCCTTGAAGAATGAGAAATTCAACTTTCCACTACTTTGAATGGATTAGTGGAAAAAGGGGTGAACATTTTCATTAGAGAAAGGGCAGAAGGTAAGAAGATATAGGCTGAAACAAGGGTGAACACATTCAATCCTGGGTGCTTTCAAAATACTTTGCCTGTATGAACTTGTTTAATCTGCATAGTATCCCTAAAATATCCCCATTTTATACTAATACTAATATCTCCATTTTATAAATAAGAAAACTGAGGTACAGGGAGTTAGGTAATTTGCCAAAAATCACACAACCACCAAGAGAAAATCATAGTTTAAAGAATGAGTGAAGGATCTCACCCAACTGATGTAGTTTGGATGTTTGTTCCCTCCAAATCTCATGTTGATATGATCCCCAATGTCGGAGGTGGGGCCTAGTGGGAGGTATTGGATTATGGGGGCAGATGCCTCATGAATGGTTTAGGACAAACCCCTTGATAATTAGTAGATTCTCACTCAGCTCACAGAAGATCTAGTTGTTTAAAAGAATCTGGAACCGGCCGGGCACAGTGGCTCACGCCTGTAATCCCAGCACTCTGGGAGGCTGAGGCAGGCAGATCATGAGGTCAAGAGATCGAGACCATCCTGGCCAACATGGTAAAACCCCGTCTCTACTAAAAATACAAAAATTAGCTGGGCATGGTGACATGCACCTGTAGTCCCAGCTACTTGAGAGGCTGAGGCAGGAGAATTGCTTGAATCCAGGAGGCAGAGGTTGCAGTTAGCCAAGATTGTGCCACTGCACTCCAGCCTGGCAACAGAGTGAGACTCCATCTCAAAAAAAAAAAAAAAAAAAAAAAAAGAATCTGGAACCTCCTTGCTCTTGTTCTTGTTCTCATTCTCACCATGTGATACACTGGCTTTCCCTTCACCTTCTGCCATGATTGGAAGCTTCCTGAAGCTCTCACCAGAAGCAGATGCTTGTATCATGCTGCCTGTACAGCCTGTAGAACTGTGAGCTAATTAAATCTCTTTTCTTTATAAATTACCCAGTCTCAGACATCTCTTTATATCAATACAAGAACGAACTAACACAGAAAATTGGTACTGAGGAGCGGTGCATTGCTATAAAAATACCTGAAAATGTGGAAGCAGCCTTGGAACTGGGTAATGGGCAGAAGTTGGAAGGGTTTGGAGGACTCAGAAAATATGAAGACAAGGCAAAGTTTGGAATTTCTTACAGAATGGCTAAACGGTTGTGACCAAAATGCTAATAGAGATATGGACAGTGAAGTCCAGACCGACAAGGTCTCAGATGGAAATGAGGAAGTTATAGGAAACAGGAGTAAGGGTCACTCATATTTCACACTAGAAAAAAGCTTTGCTGCATTGTGTCAAAGTCCTAGGGATCTGTGGAAGGTTGAACTTAAAAGTGATGACTTACCGCATTTGGAAAAAGAAATTAATAAGCAGTAAAGCATTCAAGAGGTGGCATGGCTGTTTTTAACAACCTATGATCAGATGTAGAAGCAAATAAAAGTTGATACTTATATTTAAAAGAAAAGCAGAGCACAAAAGTTTGATAAATTTGCAGGATGGTCATGTGCTAGAAAAAGCAGCAGCATTTTGAGGGGAGGAATTCAAGAAGGCTGTGGAGTACTTGCCAAAGAGACTAGCATGACTGAAAGAGAACCAAGTGCTAATATTCAAGCCAAGGGGAAGAAGGCCTCAAATGCATTTTAAAAGTCTTTTGTTCAGCCCCTTCCAACAGAGGCCCAGAGGCTTAGTGATAGAGGCAGGAGGCAGACAAATGCCTAGGCAGATAGGGGCAGATCCCTGGTGAAACCCCACCTTCAAGCTGGAAACTGTCCCAGGTAAATCCTCAGACTGGATTGAAATACAAGCACAACAAGGTTTTAAGGCACTAGTCTGATCTTTAACAAAAATTTATAAAGGGTTATAAAAGGTTTATAAGAATCTCACCTCATGGTCAAACTGGTTAAGATCAGACAAATTATCTATAAGGTTTCATTTAAAAATTGGGGTTGACATTAATAGTTGACTAATACAAGGGTAAAGTTTGCCTTTCTCTCCCTTGAACAAGATTTTCATGTAATAGTAAAGGACAATGAAAGTTTTTTGCCTTTAAAAAAAAATTCTTGAGTCATCATTTTGGCTAAATGACTTGTGGTAACCCGGAATTTTATTTCATATATCAAATGCTTTGAACATCTAACATATTTAAGAGGCTTTCCAAAATTGAACTTCAGCTTCAAAAATTGTTTTTTCTGACCCCTAGCTTTTGGATGCTATGCAGGACCCCTGGAGCATCCAAAAGAGAGGTAAATAGGATTATTTGACATGTTTAGGTACATGAGATTGCCAAAGTGATGTTTAATCTTCTTTAGGTTATATTTTAGTGAATAATAATAATATGTGTTCCAAAATTGTATGGGATTTCTAAAATCTAATGTCTGAGTATATGCTATCAATCATAATTAAGATTATTATGTTAAGTTATTATAAACCATAGAAATCACCACATTTATTTGTCAATCATGTTTGACTGTAACTACCCTGGATATTTTGTCATTCACAGACGGTTGTTGTCTTGCTTTGATCCTTTTCAAAAGATGGTTTATAATCAGCTATAGGACTTTGGCAAGTGCTCTCAAATGCAGGTTTCTGATAACTTTGGACATTGTGACACTGGAATAAAGGAAAAATGTACAGGACTCATGAAGAGCTGAAATGTCCATGAATATCAAGCAGAACAAGAGTTAACAGAATGGACTGAACTAATAGAAAACTGAAGTAATCTTTTCAACCTTTTGCTTAAAACATTGCTGATTCTTGTTTTGTTTTTCAGAATCAAGGAAACTTCTATTTTGAGCTATTTACAGTCTTTAATAATTGAGTAAGGTATACTCCTGTGAACAAAATTTGGAGCATATTTGTTTCTCTCTGCCTGGCTTCTCCAGAATTTGGAAACTATCTGTGAGTATTCTTAACCTATGGCAATATAGTTATTAGCCTCAGTGCAGTAGGAATCCATTTTCTTTTGCAACAGGACACAATTGGAGAAACTGATTGTTTTACCAAAGCTTTGACTGGAAGGATGTGCTTCCCTTTAAGGAATCTAGATTGACTTGCAGAGCCAATAAGAGCTCCTTGGGAAAACTGGCCTCATATCTCATCTATACAGTCACTGTACAGGGTTCTTAACCTGTGGTGAGTAAAGAATGTCACTTTCTAACAGGCCCAGGAGCCCCATGTTCTTGGGACCTCAAGAAGAGAGTAATTTAACCAATTCATAGGTATTTGATAATACAAACCCATGGCTGGGCTCAGCTTTAAAAGGCCTTATCTGAGATTTCTTGTGGAACAGAGTTCCACCAAAACCAATTTAAAAGCCTATGTGAAAAATAATTATTCTTGCTGCACTTTATGCAAATAATCAGGCCAAGTATAAGACTAAAGTCTATTTTGCAAACAACTCAGTCTTATCATGATTTGCTTTTGACAAAAATGAGGACTGGAGAAGAGAAAAGTTATGTTTCAAAACTTATCATACATTTGTCATTAAATTCTAATTTCATTAGTTGTTCTTAAGTTTTTGCCTACATTTTCAACTAAGCCTGCTTATCCCTCTGAACCAATCAGTGACCTCCAGCTGCAGCTCAGAAGAGACAAAAGGGAGGGTTAATATAAAAAATCTAGATCAATATTCTAGTTCTGGGTAATTATCCTGCAAATCCTGCCAGGTGATAGGAGTAAATAGGGTCCCCATAACCCAGGAGTTTCTTTGTTTGGAAAAATAAGACCAATGGAGCTAACCAAAGCCAAGCCCCATGCACCCAAATCTTAGCAGGCATAGCTATAGCCACCAGTTATCTGGGTGTGCTGGCAACCTTAGGATTTTTTAGCTGTCCTCACTAACCTTGTTTTGTTTTGATATGTATCTTCTAATAACCCAGTTTGTCTCTTCTTGCCTTCAGGCCATCAAACGCCAAACGGTCATGCAACCAGAGCCTCAGACAATGGCTCCCTTTTACCACAGACCCTTAGATAGGTCTCTGAGGGAGCTCTGACTGCCGTCTTCCCAACATAGTGCCCCCTGTCAGGAGGAAGCAGTTAAAATTGGTCTTCATCCCTATTCTAATGGCAGTAAGATGTACCTCTTCGGAGCAGGCAATGATAGAGGCAGGAGGCAGACAAATGTCTAGGTAGATAGGGACAGGTGCCTGGCCAAATCCCACCTTCAAGTCAGAAACTGTCCCTGGTAAATCCCAGGACCAGATTGAAAACCCACCTTCCCATTTGGTGCACTTTCCTCTGATTGATGCCCATCCTTCCCCTATTTTATGATTACCTACCCTTTCCTAATTTGTTTTCTACACTATTGTGCCCACCTTTGTGTATTGTCTTCACTTTAACCTTTCTTGCATACTCACAAACCAATCATCATGCACTCCCTATTCTGAGCCCATAAAAAGCCCTGGGCTCAGCCACATTGGGAACTCTCCTGCCTTTGTGTAGGAGGACCACCCTTGCATCCCTTTCCCATTAAAGGCTGTTTCATCACTCAATAAAACTTCCCACCTGACTCACTCTTCCAGTGTCTATGTGCATAATTCTTCCTGGTCATGAGACAAGAACTCAGACCTAGCTAAGCTACAGAGCAAAATCCTGCATCACTAGGAGGAAAGAATGGATTCAGAGGCCGGGCCCAGGGCCCTACTGCCCTGCCCAGACTCAAGACACTGCTCCCCATATCCTGGCTATTCTGGCTCCAGCCTTGGCTCAAAAGGGATAAGGTACAGCTTAGGCCACCACTCTGGAGGGCACAAGCCATAAACCTTGGCAGCTTCCATTCAGTGTTAAGTCTGCAGGTATGCAGAGTGCAAAAGTGAGGGAGACTTGTCAGCTTCCCCTTAGATTTCAGAGATGTATCAGAAAGCCTGAATGCCCAGGAAGAAGCCTGCAACAGGAGTGGAGCCCTCACTGAGAGCACCTACTAGGGCAGTACAAAGGGAAAATGTGGGATTTGATCCCCCCAACACAGTCCCCACCAGAGCACTGCCTAGTGGAGCTGTAGGAAGGGGGCTGTTGCCCTCCAGACACAAGAATGGTAGAGCCACTAGTAGTCTGCAACCTCAGCATGGAAAAGCCACAGGCGCAGAGCTTCCCAAAGCCTTGGTATTGGTGCCATTGAAAAAAGCAAGTTTGGCCCAAAACACCAGTGTGCCCTGGATGTGGGACATGGAGCCAAAGGAGATTATTTTGGAGCTTTAAGATGGAATGTCTGCCCTGTTGTGTTTCAGACTTCTGTGGAGCCTGTTATCCCTTCCTTTTAGCCAATTTCTCACTTTGGGAATGGAAATGTCTACTCAATGCATGCACCACCATTATCTCTTGGGTGTAAACAACTTGTTTTGATTTTACAGGTTCATAGGTAGAAGCAATGTGCCTTGAGTCTCAGATGAGACTTCGGACTTTGATGAGTTAAGATGTTGGGGACTATTGGAAAGGGATGATTCTATTTTCCAATGTGAGAAAGACATGAGATCTGGGGAGCCACGAGTGAAATGATATAGTTTGGACGTTTGTGCCCTCCAAATCTCATGTTGAAATGTGATCCTCAGTGTTGGAGATGGGGCCTAGTGGGAGGTATTAGATTATGGGGGCAGATCTTTCATAAATGGCTTAGTACCATATCCTTGATAATGAGTGAGTTTTTGCTCAGTTATTTCGTGTGAGATCTGGTTGTTTAAAAGAGTCTGGAACTTCCCCTCTCTTGTTCTTTTTCCTGTTCTCACCATGGGATGCATCAGCTCTCCCTTTGCCTTCTGCCATGACTGGAATCTTCCTGAGGCCCTCACCAGAAGCAGATGCCAGCAATATGCTTCCTGTACAGCCTGGAGAACTATGAGCCAATTAAAAATATTTTTGAAATAAACCACCCAGTCTCAGATATTTCTTTACAGAAATGTGAGAACAGGCTAACACATCAAGAGGTACGAAAGACTCATATTGGATATTTGTGGAAAACGAGTTTGAGTCATTAGAATGGTTCCAGGGGAGGAAGGGCCTGGAATGGGAGAATAGTGTGTTTAAACTCAGCATGTTGAGAAATAGAAAGACACTGACAGTCACAAAGCAGCAGACCAACTCAGTAAAGTAATGTTTCAGGAACTTCAAGAGCCAGCAGGTTGTGAGGATACTTTCATTTCCAGCCATGACGGAATAGGTGTGTTGTAGTAGGCCAACACACCTGCTGAGAACAAGCAGAAAAGCCAGACAGAACAAATTTCTGCGTGAAAGCACTAGAGATCTGTAAAACAACTAGGATTTGAAGGACCAGATCCTGTAGAGAGAGAACATTTATTGAAGTGAACCCAACTCTCCATACACTGCTTTTACCTATTGGCATTTGTTGCTTATCAGTATGTGGCAGGAGGCCAAGAAGTTGGGCAGACGAAGCTGCTAAGAATCAGAAGAACTTCATGAGGCAGAAAGATACAAATGGAAGTATTTCCAAGGCAGCCAAGGTTTGAAGGCTAAAATCCCAAAGAGAAATGAGCCTAATAGTCAGCACTGATATTTGAGACCAGCTATGGTTTGAATATTTGTCCCCTCTAAAACTCATGTTGAAATTTAATTGCCATTGTAACCGTATTAAGAGATGGAACTGTAATAGGTCATTTTCCCAATGCACAACCATTCAATATAAAGAGACATTGGAGATCGTGGCAGAGAAAGGGTTTAATAATTGTAGGGCAGCCAAATAAGGAGATGGGGGTATATCTAACCCACCCTCCCAAGGAATTTGGGTCTAGGGATTTTAAAGGGGTTAGAGTAGGCTGAAGTGTGGGGATCATTGATTGATCAGAGTGCAGAGTGAAGTCATGGAATGGGGAAATGAATAAACTACATTCTTACACTCATTTGGTTCCACTGTGGGGAGGGCAGGGGTCTTTAACCTGGTTGGTATCAGCCTTTCCACTGGAATTCAGGATATGAAGAACATCTTAAGCAATTCTTAAACAAAAAGTCTTATGATTCTAACATGAGTGGTCTTACCTATAGGAACAATGGGGGTGCAAACCCCCAGGGCCAAAGTCACAGGTTCTATTGCCATGTGACTTTGGGTTACAAGGAAATTGGCCAAACTGCAGCCTGAGTTATGCTTGATTATAACTATATTTTTGCCCAGAACCTAGCATGTAATTCTTGTTAACCCTGTGAGGATGGTTTCGGACTTTTAAGAGGTAATTAGGCCATGACGGCTCCACCCTCACAGGAGGGATTGGTGCCACTGTAAAAGAGTGAGTTTGGCCCCCTCTCACCCTCTCTTGCCCTTCTGCCTCCTGCCATGGGATAACATAGCAAGGTCCTCACCAGATGCTGGCCCCTCAATCTTATACTTCCCAGCCCCCCATAATGGAAAAAAATTTCTGTTTGTTATAAATTACCCAGTCTCAGATATTCTATGATAGCAGCACGAAACAGATTAACACAGAAAATTGGTACCACAGAAGTGCGGCTGTTCTTATAGCAAATACCTAAAAATGTGAAAGTGGCATTCAAACTGAGTAATGGGTAGAGGCTGCAAGAATTTGGAGGAGCAGGCTAGAAAAGATCTCAATTGCCATGAAAGTGGTGATAAGGGTGATTCTGGTGAAGGCTTATAAGAGGAGGAAAGCTGTAGGGAAAGTCTGAATCATCTTAGAGATTCCTTAAGCAGTCACGATCAGAATGCTCGTAGAAATATAGATGATTAAGGCCATTCTGATGGCCTCAATTTCAGAAGGAAATTGAGGAAAACATTATTGGAAACTGGAGGGAAGATGGTCCTTGTTATAAAGTAATGAACAACTTATCTGAATTGAGTCCATATCCAAGGCCTTTGCGAAAGGCAGAATTTTAAGAGCAATGAACTAACGTATCTGGCAGAAGAAATGTCTAAACAGCAAAGCTTAAGTGTGCTGTGTGACTTCTTTTAATTACATACAGAAAAATACAAGAAGTAAATGATTTAAAGATAAAATTTATAATTAAAAGGGAAACAGAAGTTAGGGATTCTTAGCCTGACCATGTGGTAAAGAATGAGCGATGATTTTCAGGAAAGAAATAAAAGGTATGGCCAAGCATCTGTTTGATAAGATTAGTTTGGGTATAATGAAGCCAGAGGCTATTTATCAGGATGATGGGAGCATGTCCCTGAAGGGCACTTCAGAGATTACCTCTCATCACAGGCCCAGAACACCAAGGCCTGGGGTAAGAAACTACGGCAAAAGAGAGGCTTAGGGTCCCCAAGGTATCTTGGGGTCTTGCTCCCCACATTCCCCCATTAGTGCTCCTTGGTCACCCCAGACGTGACTCAAGGGAGCCAAGGTGTGGCAGCTTTGGAAGGTACAAATAGCAAAGGTTGGCAACATCATCTTGGCAGAATCCATGGGGTGTTAAGTCTTCAGGCACACAGAATGCCAGAGCTTTGGGGGCACAGCTTCCTCCACCTAGATTTCAAAAGATGTTGTGAACAGCCTAGGGTCTCAAGCAGAGACCTGTCACAGGGACAGAGCTACTGCAAAGAGCCCTCACTTGGGCAATGCCCTGTACAACTGTGGGGTTGGAGCTGCTGCAGAGAGTCCTCAGTAGGCCTAGTAGAGCCTTGGGAGTACAGTCACCTCTGAGCCCGCAGAACAGTAGAGCTACCAGCATGCAATGCATGCAATGCCAGCCTGGGAGAGCCACAGACATTAACTGCAACCCATGAGAGCAGCCATGTAGGCTGCAACCAGCAAAGCTATCAGGGTGGCAGGGTGGAGCTCCCCTGGGCCTTGGAAGCCCAACCCCCACACCAGTATGTTCAGAAGTGGGGGCACTGGTTCAAGGAAGATTATTCGGGAGACTTAAGGTTAATGTTGTTCATCTTATTGGGTTTTGGAGTTACTTGAGAATAATTATCCCCTTTTTCTTGCCTATTTCTCCCTTTTGGAATAGGAAAGTCTATCCTATGTCGGTCCCACCTTTATATTTTGGAAATAGATAATATGTTTGATTTCATAGGCTCACAGCTGGAGGGGAATGTACCTCAGGATGAAATGTGCCTTTAGTTTCCCCCAAATCTGGTTTAGATGAGATTCTGGACTTTCGACTTTTAAGTTGGTACTGTATCAAAATTAAAACTTTTGAGGCAATTGGGATGGAAAAAATGTATTTCATATGTAAGAAGGACATGGTTTTGAGGGTCCAGGAGCAGAATGCTGTGGTTTGAGTGCCTGTCCCCTCTAAACTTACATTGACATTTTATTACCATTGTAACAGTATTAAGAGGTGACTGGGCCATGAAAGCTCTACCCTCATGGGTGGTATTGATGCCATTATAAAAGGGTGAGTTTGGCCCCCTCTCGCTCTCTTGACCTTTCACCTTCTGCCATGGGAGGATGTGACAAGAAGGCCCTCACCAGATGCCGGCCTCTCAATCTTAGACTTCCCAGCTTTCAGAATTGTGAGACAATAAATTTCTGTTCACTACAAATTATTCAGTCTCAGGTATTCTATTATGGCAGAACAAAGTAACACAGGCTTTTATTAATCAAGCTGTGCAAAGCAAGAGACTAACAAGCTAAACAGAAAGAGGCTGAAAAGAAGAGCAAAGCTTTCACGAGTGTCTCAGTATGGGACAAAAATTGGAATTAAGTACCCCTTCAAGGATGGGGGCAGAGAGTTTCTAGAAAATACCTCAGGATCTCAGGACCTTTGAAGATCCACATACTAGGAGTGAGAGCAAACCAGCAATAAGTAGAGCCTTGCAAAGACTGCAAACTTGCTTCAACTTATTTCACGTTGGATTGAGGTGATCAAATCCTCTTTACTTGCCAGAGGAAAAAGTGAATCTTCTCTAGAGTGAGAAAGCTTCATTCAGAGCTTCTACAATATTATAGACACAATATTCAGCACCAATAAATAACTACAAGACATACGAAGAAACAGAACTAAGAAAAAAACAACTAATGAATATATATGCATAGGTGACACAGACAAGAATTATCTGACACAGACCATAAAACAACTATGATTATATTCAAGAAAACAGATAAGACCAAAAATTTCATGGTAGAAACAGAATCTTTAAAAGGTTAAATAGAATTATAGGACTGAAAAATGTAATAATTGAAATTATGAAATCAGTAGGTTCAAAGAGCAGATTGGACACCACTGAAGAGAAGATTAGTGAGCTGGAAATAAATCTAGCTAGAGATAGACAATAGACTAAAGTACAGATACTAAAAAGAATGGGAAAATACAGAAAAGAGCACAGTTGACATACAAAAGATGATGAAAGTTCTATATATACATAATTGGATTTTATAAGGAAGAAGGAAGACAGAATGGGAAGAAACAATACTTTAAGAGAAAATGGCCAAGAATAATTTTTTAAAACTGTCTAAAAACATTAAAATATAGATGATAAAGAGGAAAAATGAGATTAGGGACAAGATGGCCAACTAGACGCAGCCAGAAAACACCTTTCCCACTGACAGAAACGAAAATATCAAGGAAACCATTGCACTTTGAATACACCTTTTGAGTGAAAACACTGAAAGTAGATAGAGGCAATGCAGACACAAAAGCTGGGATGCCTGCGTGGAGTCACTGAGTGCAGGGATCAGCTGTTGGTCCTGAATGGGCCTAAGGAAGCAGCGAGTGAAGAAACTCCCAGGCACCACACTCCCACAATGGGCCTCTGGGATTCTAGCTTTAAGAGACCTCACAACCCCTATAGACATTTGAATTGGCAGGAGGAAATTCCAAGAGAGCCGGCAGAGACAGAGCTGGAATCTACACAGATTACAAAATGTTTTTTGTGTGGGGCAGCTGCAGGGAAACACAACAGTAGGCACCCATGCCCCACAGTCCTCCATCTTGCCCTGAGCAACTCTAGCTGCTGCCGACTGCCAGGCTGGGGGAAACCAGGGCTGCCTTTCCCAGAGGACCAGGGTGCACCTGACCTGCAGGTCCCTTGTCCACTGGCCCCTCCCAGGGACCGTGGCTGGCTGTTCCCAAAGGAGAGTGCACAAGGCACAGCCTCCACTACCCCGCCTGAGTGTTCAGACAGTGGCCTGAGAGCAGGTTGGTACCCTTGGCACAGCGAGTAGGGGCCAGAGGACAAAGTCACAGGCCAAGTTCCCACTCCCTACAGTTTGAGCACACATTGAGCTGAGACCTGTGGCCTGAGCTTGAGCAGGGGAGGAGCCCCCAACCTCAGAATGCTGAGAAGTGAGGTGCAGGTTCGTGTACTGGCATTGGAGCTGGGTGCCCCTCCCTCTATAAGAGCAGTCCAGGAAGGGTGTGGCCTGTTGGCCAGCCACAGCTTCTATCAGAGGGGACCCCATGGCCCAGAACACCTGTAACAGTTCAGTGATCTGGATGCAGAAGGCTTGGGACAAAACTAGCCTGCTCCCATGGCAGATACTGAAGAGAGACCTGGTTGGGAAAGCGTGAGCCGGGTGGACCCCAAAGCCATCTACTGGGCAAAACACCCCAGGCTGCAGGCATTATACCAGCTGAATACTCCCGACACCACTCCCCCACCCAGGGATCCCCCGCTCTTGACCCACTGCATCACCAGACTGCTCATAGACCATGACCAGCTCTGACTCTGCCAAGCTCAGAGGACCAGCGGCTCCCTGGGGAATTGTGGGTGCCCTCGTGACCTAACCTTCAGCTAGGACTGCCCCTAAGGGAGGGGGAAGTGCAGCCCACCAGGGCCCCGCTCATGGCTAAGGAAGCATCTGCATGGTGCTAGTGATTGGAGAGGACTCACCCAAGGCCTGAGAACAGACTTGGTGAGGTGGTC
Source organism: Homo sapiens (assembly GCF_000001405.40). NCBI lineage: Eukaryota > Metazoa > Chordata > Mammalia > Primates > Hominidae > Homo > Homo sapiens. Next base: position 129,558,456 of record NC_000011.10, read on the forward strand.
ATCTCACTCCCTGAGTCTCCCTCTCCCCAGAGCTCTGCTGCAAATGCACTGAAATAGGAAAGAGGCATGTGGTTGAGTAAGAGTCTATCTGCAGGCCCCTACTCTTAAAAGGCATCATCTATTGGATTGCAGCCTGAATTATACCACCAAAAATAAATAAATAAATAAACAAATAAATAAATTCACACATTACCTGTGAAACCCAGTACAGGAAACTAGCCACAAATAAGGAACCAGTATAGAGCCTTGGCCCTCTGAAAGCACCCAAATACAAGGCCAAATGACTACACACAACATACACCACAGTTAAACCCTCAAGGGAAATAAAGAATGTAAAAACAAAAAGCCCCATCTAAACAACAGCAACTTCAAAAAGATAAAGAAACACCAGTCCTCTCAGATGAGAAGGAATCAGTTCAAGAATTCTGACAATTCAAAAACTCCGAGTGTTTCCTTATCTCCAAACGTTTGTGCCAGCTCCACAGCAATGGATCCTAACTAGACTGAAATGGCTGAAATGGCAGATACAGAAGTCATAATCTCAAGGAAGCTCAATGATATTTAAGAGAACATTGAAAGCCAATCCAAGGAAGCCTGGCAAATTATCCAAGAGCTGAAAGACAACATAGACATTTTAAAAAGGAACCCAACTGAACTATTGGAATTGAAAAATTTACTGCAGGAATTTCAAAATACAATTGAAAGCCTTGACAATAGACAAGGCCAAGCTAAGGAAAAAAATTCAGAGCTTGAAGCCCAGTCTTTCAAATCAACCCTGGCAGAAAAAAAAGAAAAAAAGAATTTTTAACAAATGAACAAAATCTCTGAAATATATGGGATTATGTAAATAGACCAAACCTACAACTCACTGGCATTCCTCAAAGAGGAGGAGAGAGAGTAAACAACTAGGGAAACATATGTGAGGATACAGTCCATGAAAAAATTGCAATCTTGCTACAGAGGTCAACATGCAAATTCAAGAAATTCAGAGAACCCCTGCAAGATACTATGCAAGATGACCATCCCTGAGGCCCATAGCAATCCGACTTTCCAACATCAACATGAAAGAAAAACTCTTAAAGGTAGCTAGAGAAAAGGGTTAGATCACTTACAAAGAGAACCCCATTAGACAGAGTTCTCAACAGAAACCTTACAAGCCAGAAGAGACTGGGGGCCTATTTTTAGCATCCTTAAAGAAACAAAATTCCAACCAAGAATTTCATATCCCACCAAACTAAGTTTCATAAGTGAAGCAGAAATATATTTTTTTGAGATAAGCAAATTTTAAGGGAATTCATTACCACTAGACCAGCCTTACAGTATATCCTTAAGTGAACTCTAAACACGGAAATGAAAGAATACCTGCTCCCACAAAAACACACTTAAGTACACAGCCCACAGAGCCTATAAAGGAACTACACAATTGAGACTACAAAGCAATCAGGTGACTGCATCACAACAGTATGACAATCGCACACTAGCAATGTGAATCTGGAAATATAAGTGGCCTAAACACCCCACTTAAAAGGCACAGAATGATAAGTTGGATTAAAGACTAAGACCCAACTGCCTCCTGTCTTTAAAAGACCCATCTCACATGTAATGACATTCATAGGCTCACAGTAAAAAGATGGAGAAAGATCTATCACACAAACAGAAAGCAAAAAAATAGTTACCCCTGGGTCACTATTTTTGTATCAGAGAAATGTTAAACCAACAACTTTAAAAAGGGACAAACAAGAGCATTACACAATGATAAAATGTTCAATTCAACAAGAAGACTTAACTCTCCCAAGTATGTATGCACCTAACATTGGTGCACTCAGATTCATAAAACAAGTACTTCCTGACCCACAAAAAGACTTAGCTACATAAGAATAATTGGAGACTTCAACACCCCACTGGCAGCATTAGATCATTGAGGCAGAAAAGTAACAAAGACATTCTGGACTTAAATTCAACACTCAACCAGTTAGACCTAATAGACACTTCACACAACAACAACAGAATATATGTCTTTCTCATCTGCACATGGAACATGCTCCAAGACTGATCACATGTTTGGCCATAATGCAAGTCTCAATATGTTAGAAAAAACAAAATCATACCAAGTATACTCTCAGATCACAGTGGAATAAAAATTAATAGCAAGAAGATCTCTCAAAACCACAAAATTACACGGAAGTTAAACAACATGCTCCTCAATGACTTTTGGGTAAACAATGAAATTAAGGCAGAAATTAAAAATTACTTTGAAATTAATGGAAACAGAGACAAAACATACCAACATCTCTGGGATACAGCAAAGCAGTATTAAGAAGCAAGTGTATAGCACTAAATGCCTAAAAATTGTACTGAGAAGAACTAGAAAAATAAGAACCCCTAAAGCTAGCAAAAGAAAATAAATAACCAAAATCAGAGCAGAAGTGAATAAAATTGAGACCCAAATATTCATACAAATGACCAAAGCTTGGTTCTTTGAAATGATTAACAAGATTGATAGAGTGCTGGCTAGAATAACAAAGAAAAAAAGAAAAGATCCAAATAAGCACATTAAAAAATGACAAAGGTGACACTGCAACCAATGCCACAGAAATATAAAAGACCCTCAGAGACTATTATGAATACCACTTTGCACACAAACTAGAAAATCTAGAGGAAATGGATAAACTGCTGGAAACACACAACTCTCAAGATTGACCAGGGAAGAAACTGAAATACTGAACAGACCAATAATGAGTTCCAAAAGTGAATTAGTAATAAAAACTACCAACCAAAAAAGCCCTGGACCAGATAGAATCACAGCCAAATTCTATCAGTTGTACAAAGAAGAGCTGGTACCAATCCTACTGAAACTATTCAAAACAATCAAGGACGAACTCCTATCTAACTCATTCTACAAAGGCAGCATCATCCTGATATCAAAATCTGGCAAAGACATAATGAAAAAAGAAAACTACAGGCCAATATCCCTGATGAACATAAATGTAAAAATCCTCAATAAAATACTAGCAAACCAAATCCAGCAGCACATAAAAAAATTAATTCACCATGGTCAAGTAGGGATTATTCCTGGGATGCAGGGTTGGTTCAACATACACAAATCTTTAAATGTGATTCTCCATATAAATAGAATTTACATATGATATGATCTCAATAGATACAGAAAAAGCTTTCAAAAAATCCAACATCCCTTCATGATAAAGACTCTCTACAAACTAGGCATCAAAGGAACATCTCAAATAGTAAGAGCCATGTATGACAAACCCACAGCCAACACCATGCTGAATGGGCGAAAGCTGGAAGCATTATCCTTGAGAACTGGAAGAAGACAAGTATACCCACTCTCACCACTCCTAGTCAACACAGTACTGGAAGCCCTAGCCAGAGCAATCAGGCAAGAGAAAGAAATAAAAAGCATTCAAATAGGAAAAAGAGAAGTCAAACTATCTTATTTCACTGACTATACGACTGTATACCTAGAAAATCCTAAAGATTCTGCTAACAAGCTCCTGGAACTGATAAGCAACGTCAGTAAAGTTTCAGCATACAAAAATCAATTGTACAAAAATCAGTAGTATTTCTATACACCAATAACATTCAAGCTGAGAGCCAAATCAAGAATATAATCCTATTACAATCCCATTTAGCCACACAAAGAAACAAAATACCCAGGAGTACCTCTAACGAAGGAGATGAAAGACCTCTGTAAGGAAAACTAAAGAACACTGCTCAAAGGTATCAGAGATGACACAAACGGAAAAACATTCCATGCTTATGGATTGGAAGAACCAACATCATTTAAATGGCCATACTGCCTGTAGCAATCTACATATTCAATACCATTCTTCTCAAATTACCAATGTCATTTTTCACAGAATTAGAAGAAACTATTCTAAAATTCATATGGAACCAAAAATGAGCCCAAATAGCCAAAGCAGCCCTAAGCAAAAAGGACAAAGTTGGAGGCATCACACTACTGGACTTCAAGCTGTAAGGATACAGTAACCAAAACAGCAAGGTACTGATACAAAAACAGATACATAGACGAATGGAACATAGTAGAGAACCAGAAATAAAGCCACACACCTACACTCACCTGATCTTTGACAAAGCTGACAAAAATAAACAATGTCGAAAGGACTCCCTATTCAATAAATGGTGCTGGGTAACTGACTAGCCATATGCAGAAGAATGACATTGGACCCTTAGCTCTCATCATATGCAAAAATTAACTCAAAATATATTAAATGCTCAATACCCCAAATTATAAAATCTTAGAAGAAAACCTAGGTAATATTCTTCTCGACATCAGTGTTGGCAAAGAATTTATGGCTAAGTTCTCAAAAGCAGTTGCAACAAAAAACAAATATTGACAAGTGGCACCTAATTAAACTAAAGAGTTTCTGCACAGCAAAAGAAAATGTCAGAAGAGTAAATGGACAACCTACAGAATAGGAGAAAATTTTTGCAAATTATGAATCCAAGAAAGGTCTAATATCCAGACTCTATAAGGAACTTGAACAAATCAATGAACAAAAAAAAGAAAAACATTTAAAAGTGGGCAAAGGACATTAACAGACACTTCTCAAAAGAAGTCATACCAACATCCAACAAATATATGGAAAAATGCTCATTATCGCTAATCATCAGAGAAACACAAATCAAAACCACAGTGAGATACCATCTCATGCCAGTCAGAATGGCTATTATTAAAAAGTAAAAATATAAGACATGCTGGTGGGGCTGTGAAGAAAAGGGAATGCTTATACATTGTTAGTGGGAATGTAAATTAGTTCAGCCACTGTGGAAAGCAATTTGGAGATTTCTCAAAGAACTATTAATAAAAGTAGAATTACCATTTGACCCAGCAATCCCATTACTTGGTATAAACCTATATTAGTCAGGGTTCTCTAGAGGGACAGAACTAATAGAATATATATTCTACAGAATATATATATTCTATTCTACATATATTCTACAGAATACATATATTCTATTCTACATATATTGTACAGAATACATATATTCTATTCTACATATATTCTACAGAATACGTATATTCTATTCTACATATATTCTACAGAATACGTATATTCTATTCTACATATATTCTACAGAATACGTATATTCTATTCTACATATATTCTACAGAATACGTATATTCTATTCTACATATATTCTACAGAATACGTATATTCTATTCTACATATATTCTACAGAATACGTATATTCTATTCTACATATATTCTACAGAATACGTATATTCTATTCTACATATATTCTACAGAATACGTATATTCTATTCTACATATATTCTACAGAATACGTATATTCTATTCTACATATATTCTACAGAATACGTATATTCTATTCTACATATATTCTACAGAATACGTATATTCTATTCTACATATATTCTACAGAATACGTATATTCTATTCTACATATATTCTACAGAATACGTATATTCTATTCTACATATATTCTACAGAATACGTATATTCTATTCTACATATATTCTACAGAATACGTATATTCTATTCTACATATATTCTACAGAATACGTATATTCTATTCTACATATATTCTATAGAATATATTCTATTCTACATATATTCTATAGAATATATTCTATTCTACATATATTCTATAGAATATATTCTATTCTACATATATTCTATAGAATATATTCTATTCTACATATATTCTATAGAATATATTCTATTCTATATATATTCTATAGAATATATTCTATTCTATATATATTCTATAGAATATATTCTATTCTATATATATTCTATAGAATATATTCTATTCTATATATATTCTATAGAATATATTCTATTCTATATATATTCTATAGAATATATATATTCTATTCTATATATATTCTATTCTATATATATTCTATTCTATATATATTCTATATATATTCAAATATATATATTTGAGTTTATTAAGTATTAACTCTCACAATCACAAGGCCCCACAATAGGCCATCTGCAGGCTGAGGAGAAAGGAGAGCCAGTCCCAGTTCCAAAACTGAAGAACTTAGAGTCAGATGTTCAAGGGCAGGAAGCATTCAGCATGGGAGAAAGATGTAGGCTGGGAGGCTAGGCCAGTCTCTCTTTTCCATTCTTCTGCCTGCTTATATTCTAGCCCCACTGGCAGCTGATTAGATGGTGCCCACCCAGATTAAGGGTGGGTCTGTCTTTCCCAGCCCACTGACTCAATTATTAATCCCCTTTGGCAACATCCTCACAGACACATCCAGGATCAATACTTTGTATGCTTCAATGCGATCAAGTTGAGACTCAGTATTAACCATCACAATACCCAAAGGAAAATAAATCATTCTGCCAAAAAGACATAGGCAACTGTGTGTTCATTGCATCATTGTTCACAACGGCAAAGACATGGAATCAACCTAGGTACTCATCAGCAGTGGCTTGGATAAAGAAATATGGTACACATACACCATAGAATACTACACAGCCATAAAAAAATGAGATCATGTCCTCTGTAGCAACATAAATGCAGCTGGAGGCCATTATCCTAAAAGAACTACGGCAGAAACAGGAAACCAAATATAGCATGTTCTCACAAGTGGGAGCTAAACACTGGACACACATAAACATAAAGATGGAAACAATAGACACCAGGGACTCCTCCCAGGAGGAGGGGGCAGGGGTTAAAAATTCCCTATTGGGTAGCATGCTCACTATCAGCGTGATGGGTTCAATCACACCCAAACCTCAGCATCATGCGATCTACCCTTGTCACAAATCTGCACATGTACCCCTTGAGTCTAAAATAAAAGTTGAAGGAAAAAGATATACACGAAGAAAAACACACTTACACATCAAAGTAAAATCACTGAAAAGCAACAATGACGAGAAAAACAAAAGCATCTAGCAGAAAAAAGACAAGTTCCCTTCAAAAGAGCTACACAGACTGATGGCTGACTTCTCAATCCACACAGTAACGGTCCCCCCCAGAATGCAAGTACTGCAGACACCTATAAAGCACTGAAAGAGAAAAAAAAATCTAGAAGTCTTCTTTAAAGTGCCAAAAGAAAAAAAACCTGTCAACCGGGAATTTTTTCACAGTTAAAAATAGTCTTCAAACGTGAATTCTTCCATGTCTTTCATAACATAGAAAGATACAGCTTCTACATCAAAATAAAGACACTTACAAGCAAACAAAAAGGGAGAGAAGTTGTTCCCAGAAAGCCTTCACTGAAAGAAATTAAAGGAAAATGATGCCAGATGGAAAAAGAGAAATGAAGAACAATGTAAATAGCAAATATGTGAGTAAATTCAAATTAATATCAACTTTAAAGCAATAAGAATAATATCATCAATTTTAAAAAATGTAAAAGTCTGTAATCATAATTAATAACAGAAAAAGTAAAAGGAGGGTAAGTGGAGTTAAAGTATTCTAAGATCCTAACATCATCTGGGAAGAAGTGAAAATCCTAATTTATTTTAAGTTCTAATATGTCCCAGATGCATGTTATAATCTCAAGGGTAATCACTAAAGAATAAATAGTAACAAGATATTAGAGGGTTAGAATAGGAAAACAAGAACTGAATAATGTAAATGAGGCATGAACAGAGAAAAATGAATAGAGTATAGGTGGGGCACATAGGAAATAAGTAGTAAGATGGTAAATTGAAATGATAATTATATTAAATGTAATGATCTACATACTGAAATAGAAGGTAAAGATTTCGAGGCTGAACTAGAAAAACAAAAAGCAATTATATTCTCTTTACAAGAGACACGTCTTAAATATAAGGACACAGAGTTTAAAGTGGGAGACTAACATACTTCTATCAGTAATTGATACAACAAGCAGACAAAAAAATCAGTAAGAATAGAGATTTAAACTACATGATTAATAAACTTGACCTAATTGATATATATAAAACTCTATACCCAATAATCTCAGGATATGCATTTTTTAAGGGCACAGGGAACATTTACCAAACAGATCATAAGCTGGGCCATAAAGAGATGTCAATGAATTTAAAAGGATTGAAATCATTCAGTGAATATCCTCTGACCACAGTAGAATTGAGTTAAAAAGCTACAACAGAAAGATAATTGGAAAATCTGAAAATGTTTAGAAACTAAGCAAAGCATTTGTAAATAATTTATAGCTCAAGGGAGAAATTACAATGGAAATTAGAAAATATTTTTCAATGAATGGCAAAAATAGAACATATCAAAACTTACAGCATGAAGCTAGTAATGCTTACAGAAGAATTTTGGCTGTAAGAACAAATAGTGGGAAGGGGAAAAAGCTGAAAATCAACCATCTGAAGAAGTAAAAATGAACAAAACCCAAAGAAATCAGACAGGAAACAATAAAATTAAGAACAGAAATCAGTGTAACAGAAATAAATGTACAATTGAGAAAAATCAACAAAACCAAAAATTATTTCTTTGTTAAGATGAATACAATTGATAAGACTGATGGAGAACAAATCCACAAATGATCTACATGAACAATGAAAAGGAGACATATTACTATTTATTGATGCTACAACACTTTAAAAAATTGTTTAAATGATACTAAAGGCCAGCCACAGTGCTTCACGCCTGTAATCCCACCTTGGCCTCCCAAAGTGTTGGGAGGATCACTTGAACCCAGGAGTTCAAGATCAGCCTGGGCAACATAGGGAAACCCTGTCTCTACAAAAAATTAGCCAGGCATGGCTGCTCGCACTTGTAGTCCCAGCTACTCAGGAGGCTGAGGTGGGAGGATCGCTTAAGCCCAGAGGGTCGAGGGTGCAGTGAATACTGATCGTGCCACTGCCCTCTGGCAGAGACAGACCCTGTCACCAAAGGAAAAAAAAATTGGCCATTTTATCTTCAAGACTTTGGTGTGTGCAAAGACTATCAGGACTCAAAAAGGCAAATATAGATACATGGGACTATGTCAGTGTTTTCCAACCTCTTAAAATTATAGCCCCTAAGAAGCCTTTTAAATTTTTTTCTCCTAATCTCCATACCCCCTGCCTCATAAAATTTTAATACCATAGATATACTGTGTATCTGTTTACGTATTGTATTCCTTTGAAGGGTCACAAACCAATTCCAACAACTAAGACTTTGTTATGCCCCCCAAGACCAATTTATACCCCATGAGGAAAATATAGCCCCGTTAAGAATCTGTGGACTACATTAATGTTAAGAATGCTGATTTATTAGAAGACACCATTGAACAAGTGATAGAGGAGAAGAAGATATTGACAATACATAAGATAGTTATAAAGAATATATAAAGAAATCCTAGAAACAATAATTAAAAGATAGACAATACCCACCCCAACCCCTAAATGGGCAAAATAATTGAACAAGAAATTCACAAAAAAAGGATTTATCAATTGCCATTAAAATATAGAAAGAGGCACAATCCCGTTAGTCACCAGGAAAATACAAATTAAAATCACCATGGAGTCCTACCACATACCCACCAGAGTGGCTAAAATTTAAGACTGAAAATATCAAGCCCTGGCAGAGATATGGAGAAAGAGGAACTCACACACTGCTGGTCTAATTGAGGCAATAACTTTGGAGAACTGGCAGTATTTACTAAAACTGACCATGATCATACCATATAACCCAGCAATTCCACTCCTAACTTTTTATACCCAAAAGAAATGCTACATATGTTGAAATTCTTGTGTAGTTTAGCCAGGTTGCTGGATACAGGAAAAAAAAAAAAAAAACATGGAGAAGAATGTTCACAGCAGCGCTATTTGTAATCAGCCAAAACTAGAAACACTCCAAAGATCTATCAGAAATTGAGTCGACAAATAAATTGTTGCATAATCATACCATGGAAAACTCCACAACAATGAAAATGAGTGAACTATTGCTATTTGCACAATGTGAATCTTACATATGATGTTGAGTGCAAGAAACCAAACACACGTGCAAAAATACATATACCATTATTTAATTTATACAAATTCCAAACACAGGTAAAACCAAATAATGATGATAAAAGACAGTATTATGTTTGGGGAAGAGGTGGGTAATGACTGGGAGTTGGGCGTAGGGGGCTTCTGGGTTCTAGTACTGTTCTGTTCTTTGACCTGGGTGGTGGTTACATGGATGTGTGTGAAAATGCATTGAGCTGAACAATTGGGATTTGTGTACTTTTCTCTACCTATGTAATGCATACACAAAAAGTTCTCTTACAACAAGGCTGGATGGACTGGAGGAAGAAGGCTTGAGACAAGAGTTTCATGGGAGAAAATTTAAGAAAAATTTATGTGAAAAATGTATTAGTTTTGAAACTGTAGTGGAAAGAGTCCTGTTAAGAGTCAGGAAACCTGAGCTCTCATCTGTGTAGTGTTGAACCATCATCAACTCTCTCCGGCCTCAGTTTCCTTATCTGTAAAATGGCTGTGCAGGTTCCAGATTTGAAACATGATTTTATCACAAACTTGTGTGTGATAAGTAGGAAAGCTTTGGTCTCTCCTGCCATAATCCATGCCCATACATCATGTGTCATTATTTGTAACCTCACTTGCCAATGGCATTTACATTCTAGGAAATTATTAACACCCTAGAATCCCATGTTGTATCCTTTTTTCTTCCTCCCCCTCCAAAGGTATCCTGATGTCTACCACCCTCAATCAGCTTTGCTTGTTGGCAGGTATCTGTCTTTACTCTTCCAATCAGCCTGCTTTCTGTCCGGGGTCCTTGTAAAACCTGGAGTGGAGTGTGTGGAAGCAGTCCACTCTCTCACTCATAAGGCACCTGCAGGGCTCTTCCTTGTCTTTTTCCTTTCCTGAACAGTTTAATACTAACAGCATTAGGAGGGTTTGGGAGGTAGGTATCCGTGCAATGGTGGGGGTAGGGACAGGAAGTAGTGAGCTGCAGTGGCTCAGAGCAGAGTCGGAGCCTGAGCAGGGTAAGGAGGGTGCCCACGTAACGAGAGGTGACCTAGCACAGGACGGCAGAGTCTCAGTGGGGCGGAAGGGCATTTGCATGGGAGAGGAGAAGGGGCCACAATTGGAGACTGGTTGCATACAGAGGGACTGACCAAATAAAACAGTACATTAAAGATAGTGGGAGACAGTGTTTTCACTGTTGGAGAAGGCAGCTATGAATATGGAAAGGAGAAAATGAGAATGAACTCTATGGTGTTGGACTGAAGATAGTGGTATTGGAGTGAATTCATGGTCACCGATACATAGACAGATGTAGAAATACAGATATAAGTGTGTGTGTGTGTGTGTGTGTGTGTCTGCACATGCACATGTATGCACGTCCTCTCCTCTGTCTGCTGAGAAGGCCTGAGGGCAGTGACACTCAAAGGCAATGAGCACACTTAGCACCCAGATCTTGGTGACTAAATACCACACATCAGTAAAAGAAACCAGGGCTTACTGGAGAAATGCATGATTCCTGGGGCCAGGAAAGTACAAGAAGAACCTGGAGCGTCTTGTGTCAGAAAGTCAGGAGGTACCCAGTGAAGAATGAGGATTCGTCTAAAGGACACAGGAACCATATTGAAAAGGTTCCCGCTAGCCAAATCTGGGACAATTTGTGCATAAAATAAATAGTAATAGTGGTTGGGCCCAGAAAACAATACCCCAAAGTGAAGGCCTCAGATTCAGCCTCAGAAGGAAAGTTTCTCTTTGACCTTCTCCTGCCCATCTGTCTCTCACCCCTCATCCTCCCATGAAGCAAGCCATGGAAATCAGAATTCGTCTTCCTCAAGGCGGGTTATAGAAGCCAGAACCCCTTTCCCCTAAAGCCAGCCATAAAGCCTGAAAATATTACTCTAACCTTTCCTACCTTTCTATGTAACAGCTGTCCATGAAGAAAGTAAAAGCCTCATTCCAGAAAAGTCCTACCCCATATCTAGGAGGAAGAAATGCTACAACAAAGAGGCCAACAAGAATCCAGACAGGCCCTGCTGGGTTCCCCCACTGTCTGTGACAATCAGCTCATACCTCACATTTCTACACAGCTGTCCTTGCTTCATCGAACCTAAGCATAAAATCACACAGCTTCCCTTGTACCTTTGCATCTTCATTCTTGTGTCCTTTGTCACATAAAACTATGGCCAAATACATTTGTTATGCTTTTCTTTTGTTAATCTGTTATAGGGGTGTCAGCAGTGATCCTTATAATGGGGAGGAAAGGGATCTTGCCCTTTCGACCCCTACAATAGTAATCATTTTAACCTGGGGGGAAAAAGTAGGAAACCTTGTATCCAAATGGATATAAATAGATAAAGGAATAAATGTAAAGTTTGATGAGGAATGGGATACTGATAGTCTCAAATCCCTTCTCCCCATTATTACCTACAATAGGGAAAAGAATTACTTCACACGGAGAAGGCTGGCAGATACCACCTTAATCAAATAATCAAAAGAAACATCATCAGAAATGAGACATATTTACATTTTTGTCACTCTGACAGGGTTTAATAGGAAGGACCCAGCATCCTACCTTCACATTCCTGTCAAAGATGCATAACATGAACCCCAGCGAGAGGATCCATCAGGCAAACCCAAACTGAAGTGCATTCAACAGAAAAATTGGCTTGTAATCTTCAAAAGTGTTAGATAATGGAAGTCAAGAAAAAAACTAAGGAATTGTTTCAGAGTGAAGAAGAGGAAAGAGATAATGACAACTAAATGCAAGGTGGGATCCTAGACTGGATTCTTTCTTAAAGAAAGGACATTATTGGAACAATGATTGAAACTCAATTGGTGTATAAGGAGTAGACAACATCTGTTGTAATGCAGCAATGCTAATGTCCTGGTGTTGATTGTGTTATGGCTGTGTGGGGGAATATCCTTGCCTGTGGGAAACACTGAAGAACTTGGGGTGATGGGCCTCAGATGGTTCAGGGGAGAAGCTCTTTGTATTGTACGTGAAACTTTCCATAAGTTTGGGAAATTGTTTCAAAAGAGAGAGCATCACCGGGGTGCTTAATTTATCTCTACATGTATTCAGTGCAGTGTGGAACACCTGCTATATGCTGGGTACCAGGGATGCAAGGACACATTCCTGGTTTAAAGAGCTCATGGTCTGAGCAGAAACTCATTTTCAACATGCATTCAACTAGTACTGGTTGAATACCTGCTCTGTGAGCCAAATAAACATCCCTGCTCTCAAGGAGCTTATAGTCTACCAGTAGGTTAAAATATTTGTTGGGTTAGACTCGATATATGCTCTAGAAGGATCCAGACTTGAAACCAGATGAACCAAATTGCTTTTCCAGCATTACTATACTCAATGGCTCTGGGGTCTTGAAGAGATCAGTGAACTGCCCCAAGGCCCAGTCAGCTTGTCTATGAGATAAAGTCTGTAATTCCTTCTTCATGGGATTTGGTGTGAAGATGGAAAAAAGATGTAAAGATACTTCATACAACAACATGTAAATGCTTTTTGGCGGTGGCCTTCTGTTCTGAGTTATGTAAACTTTGGGGTCTAGCTGGGAAGAATCTCAGTGCACCCTCTTTCAACAATAGGCAGAGCACGTGCAGGAACCACCAATGCTTCCCCAGCCAGGGTATTTTGGGGCCAGGAACTCCAGGTGTGTGGGGAGAGGGAAGGAGTGGAAGTGTCCTGCCCCTACACATCCTGGATACCCAGTTTGCTAGTCAGCACTGGGCTGGGGTCAGGGTGAATTGGCCTGTGCTTCTGGTAACAGCCCCCTACCCCTGCTGGACATGCAGGGGCTGCAATGCCCTTTAGTCTCTGAGGTTTTCACAGTCCACACAGGCCCTGGATTCCTCTTGGGCACAACTTCAGAAATAATTTTGGCTCCACGTCTTTTTTTTTTTTTTTAAGATTCACAAAAACTACTTTATGTCTTAAATATATTTGTTCAGTTTTAATATCAATATTTGAATAATATATTAATATGATTCATATTATTCAATGAAAGGTATATCTTCCATAGTCACCCATCTCTCCTCCCAGGAGTTAACCAGTATTATATTTTCTTATGTATGCTTCCAGAGACTTTTCTTTTGTTAGTATACTTTAAGTTCTAGGGAACATGTGCACAATGTGCAGATTTGATACATATGTATACATGTGCCATGTTGGTTTGCTGCACCCATTAACTCATCATTTACATTAGGTATTTCTCCTAATGCTATCCCTCCCCCCTCCCTCCACCCCTCAACAAGCCCCAGGGTGTGATGTTCCCCACCCTGCGTCCAAGTGTTCTCATTGTTCAATTCCCACCTATGAGTGAGAACATGTGGTGTTTGGTTTTCTGTCCTTATGATAGTTTGCTGAGAATGATGGTTTCCAGCTTCATCCATGTCCCTGCAAAGGACATGAACTCATCCTTTTTTATGGCTGCATAGTATTCCATGGTGTGTATGTTTGCCTCCACATCTTAACCAGTCATGGCCGTGGCAATAGTTCCAGACAGACTTGGATGAGTTTTGCCCCGGTCCAATCTGATAGGGCCTCGCCTTAGGCCTGCACCTGGAACTTACACTACCTACCCTGCACTCACACGTGGGCAACCCGGAGCACGGGGCATTCAAGCTCATCGGTCAAAGCCTTGACCAATGGGAGACAGGAGCCAATGGAGAAACGCTTTGCATTTTGCCCCCTGGTGGACCCTTTTTTTTTTTTCTTTTTAGACTCGGCGGACTCTTTTTAGACATTTCATGAGGCTCCTCTGAAGGCCACAGAGGAATGCACTCCAGTTACCTTGAGCAGCCGCCAACCCCTAAGACACTCTTCCATCAGGGTTCGCTTCTCCCGTTTTACTCCCCATCTGTCTCTCTTGCTCGCTGAAATCTCATTCCTAACAACTTGCATGCAAGCTTTGGTTTCAGGCTGTGTTTTGGAGGTGCCCAGGCTAAGATGGGATGAGCTCTGGTCACCCAGAGATCACGGCTGCAGCCTGGGAGGGGCCGGTAGGCTGGCTCTCGCTCGGTGGCGGAGCTACACTCACCTCACTGCAACACTGAGGGAACAGGGGTGTCCTCGGAGTCTTCTCCAGTGCCCTTCTCTCAAAGCCAAGCACTGTTGATGAATCCATCTGTCTCAGGACGGACCTCTGGGCAAACTGGCACCTTCAGCCCCGACCCCCGAGCATTTTGGCTAGAACAGTCAAAGGAAGCCAATCTTAGGTTATTTTAAACCAGCTGTGCGGGGGCATGAAGCTGCACCAGGAATGTCTAATTTAATTAAATGTAGATAAGATGTTTTGAACTGCCTTACTCTCTTGGGGACACCTGGGCTTGGTGAGCCTCCCCAGCTGCAGCTCATCCTAGCCTCCACCTGATGATGCTTGTGGAGGGTGGAAATTTAATTCAGAAGTGCGTGTGCTAAGAATGTCCTATTACCTTATTTCCTTAAGTCAAACCCGATTTGGAGGGTCCATCCTGTTAGGTTGGTGGCGGTGCCGTCCCCGTCACTGTGGGCAGCAGGGTGTGTAGTGAGGGGTTCGCGCTCTTGCCTGGCCACTTGATTTTGGGCTCCAGCTCTACCCCATGGCAGCTGTGTGGCTCTGGGCAAGTCATTTCACCTCCCCTTACTTCGGCTTCCTCACAGTGACTGGGGATAATAATAAGGTCTCTCCTTGGGCTGTGCTAAGGATCCCACGAGGAGACGCAAGGGCTTAGAGCATGGCCTGGGGTTTTAGCCGCATTATCTTGGGTGAGGTAGGGTGAGGCCAGATGCAGATCAAGAGAGAAACTGGAATGAGTTTTACAGTTTTTTTATACTCACGGGTCCCTGGGGGCAAACAGAGGACACCATGTAGGGCCACTCGGGGAAGCATGGGGTCAGTCACGAGGATCGGGGCAATCAAGCACCTCAACTGTGGCCACAGGAGGGAATGGTTAAGGTGAGGTGGGCGGGGCAGGCGGGTGTAGGATTGGGCTGTCCCTGGTTGTCAAGGGCCTGGCTCTGGGGCAGTTAAGGCGGGCACATAATGGCCAGGGCTGTGAGAGCCCAATAAGGGAAGTGTTGAGGTGTGGGAGGGGAGCTGACCAGCCTCCAGCCAGGGCCTCAACACCAGGTCAGAAGAGCATGTTAAACATCATATTACACCTGGCACCAGAAAGCTCTTAATAATGTCGACTCATAGGCGATACGATTCAGAGTCAGCGGTCGGCAGGAAAGTTCTGGCACTCGCCCTGCAGTGCACGGAAATCATGAGGACTCACGTGATGCCAGAGAAAGGAAGAGCCTGTTTCCTGTTCCACCAATGTATGAGTTTCCTGTGGCTGCCGTAACAAATTAGCACAATGTAGTGATGTACAACAGCACATATAATCATCCTCCGGTTCTGGAGGTCAGAAGTCTAACATGGGTCTCGCTGGTCTAAAATCAAGGTGTCCGCAGAGCCGCATCCTTTCCGGAGGCTCTCCAGGACGTTTCTTCTCTTTTCCAGCTCCTCCATTCCCTGCCCATGGTCCTTCCTCCAGCTTCAAATACAGCAGCTGAGTTTTTTTTGTTTTTTTTGTTTTGTTTTTTTTTTTTTTTGAGACAGAGTCTCACTCTGTCGCCAGGCTGGAGTGCAGTGGCGTGATCTCAGCTCAATGCAACCTCCGCCTCCCGGGTTCAAGTGATTCTCCTGCCTCAGCCTCCTGAGTAGCTGGGATTACAGGCAAGCGCCACCACGCCCAGCTAATTTTTGTATTTTTAGTAGAGACACGGTTTCACCATGTTGGCCAGGATGGTCTTGGTCTCTTGACCTCATGATCCGCCTGCCTCGGCCTCCCAAAGTGCTGGAATTATAGGCGTGAGCCACCGCACCCAGCCAGCAGCTGAGCATCTTTAACTCTCTTTGTGACTGTGATTCCCCTGCCTCAGACTCTCACTTATAAAGACCCTGTGATGATCTTGGCCCTACCTCGATAATCCAGGAATATCTCCCCATCTCCACGTCCTTAACTGAACTGCATCTGCAAAGTCTCCTTTTGCCATGGAAGGTAGCATATTCACAGATTCCAGGGATTAGGACGTGAGTATCTTTGAGGAATAGGGGAGTGTTGTTCTGCCTACCCAACACTGTAACCCCTGGCATCTCCATCATGTAAGTCCCCATGGTCCCTTGGAGTCAGGTGGTCCTGCAGCTTCCACACCATGACTGGACCTGAGAATCTCCATGGAGGCTGGGATCCCCATCCTCCCCAAGCACCCCAAAGCCATTGGTTGCTAAGGTGCTCCTGCCTCCCGGCTCACCTCCACTTGCAGTTCTCACAGAGCTCCACCAGCTTCCCATCCTGGGGGTACCCCCACCCCATCTCACAGCTTTTGCCTCTCTCCCATCCTCCCCAGTTGAGTCATCCAAGAAGTTCCTCTGGCCTTTGGAAAACAATAGACAGGGAAAGCATGCTGTGGTTCACTCAGCAACAGGAGCTTGCCCCAGAGTGAGGAGGAACCAAGCTGAAATAAAGATGCATTGAGTCCTCCCGCCAGACTCATCGGCCTTCGCTAGGGCACTCATTTCATGTCTGTCTTCCTCATTGGACTCAACCTCCGGACGTCAGGGAGTGACGTGCTACCTGAGTCCTAGCACAGAGCAGACACTCAAGGAAAACACCCCTGGATGCCTTCAACTCAAACAACAGGTTCTAGTCTTCTATTCCATTCTTACTACTGTTTTTATTCTGGAAGGAAAGTCACTCTAACTGCCCCATCATTTTGTCTCTCGGTACTCCTGTTCCCTGTCTGAGATGATAGATTCTGCACCAGGTCAGGAAACTGAACTGGGGATATTGGGAGAATTTTGTCCCCATCCTACAGTTATGGAAGCCAAGGTCCAAGGAAGGCACATGCTCTGTGCAAAGCTACTTGTGTGCAACTTAGAGGGAGGAGCACTAACAAAGGCCTCCATCCCTCTACCCATCTCTCCCCTCCATGCATCCAACATAATTAGTATCCTCTATGTGCAGAGGGGGGCAGAAGGAGAACTGGCATCTATAGAGTACCTACTATGTGCCAGATACTACGCTGTGCACTTTATGCATGTTATAACCAGAATTTTGTGGCAAAGCACCATTAATAGTAGCTTGCATTTGATTTGCTTGGTTTTTATACTGTTCAAAGTGCTTTCACATCTATTATCTTACTTGAGTTTCATGAGTCTATGTGAGGCAGGCATGACAGATACAAATCATCCACATTTAGGAGGGAACAGGACTGATACACAAATAAAGGGCTGTGCAGAGTCGTGTGACTAGTTGTGTTGAAGGCAGGAACCTGGGGTTCTGCTCCAGCACACCTTCCTCCTACCCTGTGCTCTTGGTGGGTTCACAGCCTGCACTTCATATGCCCCACACAGCCTCTCTTCTACATAGAAACCTTGATCCATTTCCAGGCACTGCACATACATGAGTTCCCACAAAATGTACACACCCACATATGCAAAGGTCAGCACTATTTGCACACAAACATACACACACGTGCACAAATATCTGCACACACTCACACACATATGGGTGTTGAGGGGTGAGCATTCAAAACTCATCTTAAGCTGCCAGTTGTTCAGAGAAAGTGAGAGACAACGCCCCATCAACATTTTCACATGTTTGTATGTATGTTCCAGGCTTTCTGAACAGAGTGCTGGTAACCTGAGTTAAAGGATGATTGAATGGTTAAACATGGCTTGCAAGTTAGAGGTAATGAATTGCTCTGGGGAAATTTAAGGGCTTTTTCCCCCTGAAGCCATTTGCTTACATTCTACTGATAACAGACCTAGAGACCTGGCCCAGAGAGAATTCTTCAGAAAGAATTTGTTTATATTTCTGGCTGGGTGCAGTGGTTCACACCTGTAATCCCAGCACTTTGGGAGGCCGAGGCGAGCGGATCACCTGAGGTCAGAAGTTCGAGACCAGCCTGACCAACATGGCGAAACCCCATCTCTACTAAAAATACAAAATTAGCCAGGTTTGATGGCACATGCCTGTAATCCCAGCTACTCAAGAGGCTGAGGCAGGAGAATTGCTTGAACCTGGGAGGCAGAGGTTAGAGTGAGTCGAGATCATGCCATTGCAGTCCAGCCTGGGCAACAAGAGCGAAACTCCGTCACACACACAAAAAGAATTTGTTTATATTCCTGAGAAAAGATCTCTCCCTCTTCAACTCCATGGCAGCTGCCTCATATAAGCTCTAAGTCTCCTAATGTTGGGAATCCTCTCTTATGGTGTAAACTTCACTGCACGGGTAGGTAAACATCTGGCCCTCAGTCATTGTCTCATGAGGAATTGGGGTACAGGGAACAGGCATTACTAACACGCACTGTGCATAAGTAAAACTTCTCTTCTCTGGCCAGAGATCTTGTGTCAGGATAGACAAATAAACACAGATATAAACACCTAAACAATTTATCTGCCCTAAACCACTACTGTCTGTCTTACAAGTTGTGTGCACCAATGAGTATAATAATATTATTATTGTTAATAGCCGCATCTGTTGAGTGCCTACTCTGCTCCAGGCCCAGGACTAAAAACTGTAATTTCTCCAAGATTGCACAGCTGGCCAGAGGTGGAGCTGAGAGTAGGTGCCTTTGCCCAGGGTGGCTGCGTTTGGCCGGCTGCTCCACCATGGAGTAACGTAGCAATGGCTGTTTTGGACAAAGCACAGGTGAACAGGTTTAGTTGTAGGCAGGGGTGCTGAGTCACAGATGGAGGAAGACTGCAGAAGGGAGAGCTTTCTCTGCGGGGCATAATTTCTCCACTGGCAAAGCTGATGGCCTTTCTCATTTTCTTGCCATGGGGTTCCCTGTGTTGAGACTAATTACTGTCTCAACCCTCCATTTGCCAGCATGATGAACCTGCCAAGCCTGCCAGCTGGTCTACTGTGCATTCCTGGATGCTCCAGACCATTCACAGGTTGAAGTCCCATTAGCAAGAGCCACACACGGAGCTGGCCCCCCAGCACTGGGGCCCAGTGTGGGACCTCAGCCTGGCCTTGGGGTGGGTGAGTGGAGTGTGACATAGAGAGGAGATTGAATGAAGCGACCTCCCCTCCTTGCATTTCTCCACTCCTCCCTTTTCTCCTCCTCCCAATGCCAGCAGTGGAAATGCCTCCTGGAACTGAACTCAGCAAGAGTGCACTGAGCCCACGGCCCTGTGCTAGGCAGTCACTCTTCTCAGCACGGGTGGCACTCGGTCTGGCCTCTGCATTTGCCCTTGCTGCGCTCTCCAGGAATGCCTTCTCCCTTCCTCTACTCTATCCCGAATTGTGCAGGTCCCTCTCAAGTCTTATCCCCTGGGTGAAGCTCTCCCTTCTCTGAATTCTCTAGCAATTGACCTCTGGCACAAAGTCCAACAAAGGTCGAACTTCACAATCTAGATTCCATTCAACTCTTCAATTTATACCGTATTAGTAAGTGCCCAGTCAGTGTTATGCTAGGTGTTGATGATAGGGCGGGACGTAAAACTCAGTCCCTGCCTCCTGAAGTTTGTGATCTAGCAGGGAAGACAGATTAAACACAGAACTGGAAGTATGATAGATGAGTGTTAAGACAGGGAAAGTAAAGATTCCTTGGGTATTGCCGGGCGCGGTGGCTAACATGGTGAAACCCCATCTCTACTAAAAAAAAATACAAAAAATTAGCCGGGTGTGGTGGTGGGCGCCCGTAGTCCCAGCTACTCGGGAGGCTGAGGCAGGAGAATGGTGTGAACCCAGGAGGCGGAGCTTGCAGTGAGCCGAGATGGCGCCACTGCACTCCAGCCTGGGCGACAAAGTAAGACTCCATCTCAAAAAAAAAAAAAAAAAAAAAAGATTCTTTGGATGCAGAGAACAAAGGAACTTCTAAATCAAGAGATCAAGGAAAGCCTGCCAGATTACAATTTTTCTTACTCTTCAGTCATTTTGTGAATGTAAATCTTGTCTTCTCTACAAACTGCATTTACTTTGAGTCCAAGAACCACACCTCATTTAGCCCTAATGTTCTTCCTAAGTGTGAGTCCATGAGAAATCATTAGAAAACCCTGGCTACATTGAACAACACCAGTGTGAGCAGTGTCTGCAAGGGATCTGCCACCCTCTTCCTTGACTAACACATTCATCCCCACATCCTTCTTGTGGAATGCACCAAAAGGAAAATTTAGGAGAGAAAATACATGTTTCTTTAAATTTTGTGTCCCCAGTTTTTCTGCCCTGCTTCCTAACTCAGTATTCTCTCTTTGAGCTGCCCTGGGATAGGTCTGGTAGTGATCCTAACTCCAAATAAAAAGTGGGTATGGAGTCTACATGGGCCTGAGTGAAGGTCACCCAAGAGAAAAGGGCCAGGACCCTAAATCCACCAGCCAAGGTGGGAGGCAGAAATGCAACCTTTCTTCCTGAGGAATTCCATGATTAATTCACTTTCATAAAATAAATTTCCATCAACATTTATGAAAATCATACCGTGTGCTAGGAAGTGTACAGTCACCAGGGAGGCACACAGGTGCCTGAGATGTGGTGAGCCCCTCAAGGGGCTTACAGGGAAGTCAGAAAACTGATCTATTCAGAAAAAAATCATGCAGATGGCAGTTCCTGGTGAGTGGTTGTCCTCCAGGTGCCAGGTGCTGGGGGCTCGTGTCCCTTGGCTTCGTTCTACCACAGCCCTCCAGGTAAGGCATTAGGATTCCTGATTTTAGGACGAGGAGATTGAAACTCAGATTTTCACTTGTCCAAGGTTGCAGCAGGTGCGATGATCCGAGTATCTCTGTAAAATTTATATGTTGAAGCCCAGCCCCCAAGGCAAAGGTACCAGGAGGTGGGAGGTGATTAGGTCCTGAGGGCAAAGTCCTCAAGAATGAGATTAGCCCCTTTATAAAAGAAGCCTGAGAGAGACCCCTCACCCCTTCCACCCACCACGTGAGGCGTGAGAAGACGCCCTCTATGAACCAGGAGGCGGGCTCTCCCCAGCCTCCAGAACTGTGAGAAATATGTTTCTGTTGTTTCTGGTGCACCCAGTCTATGGTGTTCTGTTACCGCACCCTGTGCAGAGTAGCACAACAGGCTAGTTCCGGGCCGGGATAGGAGGCCAGTGAGGGGCCGGGGAAGGAGGCCAGTGAGGGGCCGGGATAGGAGGCCAGTGAGGGGCTGGGGTAGGAGGCCAGTGAAGGTCCAGGATAGGAAGCTAGTGGGGGGCCAGGTTATGAGGCCAGTGTGGGCTGGGATAGGAGGTTAGTTCGGGGCCAGGGTAGGAGGCCAGTTAGGGGCCAGGGTACCAGCCCTGCTGCTTTGTTTAGTTCTGAGGCCTGTGTTTGTATTTTCTTTTCGTTAACTCATGCTGCACGCAAGTGAAAATGCATCTGTTTTGGTTTTGTTTTTTGGATTCAGAATGATCCTTAAAGATCAACTAGTCCAGCATTTCCTAGGTGTTATTCTGTGGTACAAGATATTCTGTTAAAATGGGTATGTGTGTGTGTATGTGTGTGTGTGCATGTGTGGTGTGTGTGTGTGTGTGTGTGTGTGTGTGTGTGTATGTGCATGGTTTTAAAAGCTAGGAAAGGTTGCAAATCATTTCACCCTCTTGGTGGCTCACAGTTGCCATACTGAAGGCTCTGAGAAGTCCTGTGATTCACACGTGTAATCCCAGCACTTTGGGAGGCCGAGGCGGGCAGATCACGAGGTCAAGAGATCGAGACCATTCTGGCCAATATGGTGAAACCCCGTCTCTACTAAAAATACAAAAATTAGCTGGGCATGGTGGCACGTGCCTGTAGTCCCAGCTACTCAGGAGGCTGAGGCAGGGGAATCGCTTGAACCCGGGAGGCAGAGCTTGCAGTGAGCTGAGATTGAACCACTGCACTCCAGCCTGGCAACAAAGCAAGACTCCATCTTAAAAAAAGAAAAAAAAAGAAAGAAAGAAAGGAAAAGAAGTCCTGTGACAGGTAAGCCTGTTTAATCTAGTGATTCCAACATGTATTTAACCATGCTATGCTCTTTTGAAAACCCCTGCGGTGATGTCAAGGAAATCTCCCTCGGAATAGGCTGATAGTCCAATCCCGTCATTTTACCAGGACAGAAGAGCAAGGCCAGAAAGGGTCTGAGATCTGAGAGAGACAGGAGTCAGACCTGGGCTGGCACATGGCTCTTTCCGCCCCACAGACTGGGCAGTGCTGCGAAGGACATGCAGGTCTGGACAGCCACGGGGGCCTGTGTGAATAAGCGCATGGAGGCAGGGAAGCAGCCCTCCGGTTTGGAGAAAGGTGAATAGCCTGGCTTGACCTCTGTGTAAAGTCCTGAGGAAATAGGAAGATGATACAGCCCTACGGGGGTGGCATGGGGGCCGAAATGCAGGGCAGAGGCAAAAAGGGCACTGCGCATTAGATAGGCACCTCCCATTGCAGAGGTGAGGACATCCCCACTGCAGAGGTGAGGAGACTGAGGTGGAGAGCAGGAGGCACCCAGCCCATGTGACATCGCCCACCTTAGGAGGGCCTACAATTGTTACATTAATGACAATATACTGATTTTAAGTTCTTATGATAATTTGCTACTTTTTATTTTTAACAATTTCTTTGATAAATAAGTCACATACATACAATTCACCCATTTAAAGTTACGATTCAGTGGCTTTTAGTATATTCACAGATATGTGCAAGAATCACCTCAACAAGAGGCCCTGCATCCTTCAGCTGTCACTTTCCTATCCCCCATATGCCCCAGCCCTAAACAACCACAAATCTGCCTTCCCTCTCTACAGATCTCCCTAATCTGAATGTCTTCTACTAATGGGATCCTGCCACCTCTTGTCTTTTGTGACTGGCTTCTTTCACTTAGCGTGATGTTCTCAACGTTTATCCATATTGGAGCATGGATCGGTGCTTCATTCCCTTTAATGGCTGAATAATATTCCACTGTACAATTATACTAAATACCTCTTGTTGATCCATTCATCACCTTTTGGCTCTTACCAATAATGCTGCTATAAATATTCATGTACAAGTTTTTTGTTTGTTTTTGAGACAAAGTCTCACTTGTCACCCAGGCCAGAGTACAATGGCACAATCTCGGTTCACTGCAACCTCTGCCTCCCAGGTTCAAGTGATTCTCCTGCCTCAGCCTCCCGAGTAGCTGGGATTATAGGTGTGTGCCACCATGCCCAGCTAATTTTTATATTTTTAGTAGAGATAGGCTTTCACCATGTTGGCCAGGCTGGTCTCGAACTCCAGACCTCAGGTGATCCACCCCCCTCAGCCTCTCAAAGTGGTGGGATTACAGGCATGAGCCACCGCACCTGGCCATATTCATGTACAAGTTTTTATGTGAACAGAAGTTTTCATTTATCTTGGGTATATATCTGGGGGTGGAATTGCAGGGCTGTGTGGTAACTGTATATTGAACATTCTGAGAAACTGTTTGAAGAATCAAGCTGTTTCCAAAGCAGCTGCACCCCTTTACATTCCCACCAGCAATGTCTATGCGTTCCAACTTCTCTATATCCTCACCAACATGTGTTATCATCTGTCTTTTTTATTTTCGCCATCCTAGGTATCTCGTGGTGGTCTTGATTTGCATTTTCCTGGTGGCTAATGATGTTGAGCATCTCTTGATGTGCTTATTGGCTGTCGCCTTCACTTACTTCACAGGCTTTCAGTAAGGAAGCACTGTGGACAATCTGGGCTGGCTGGCCACCCCTGGCCTGAGGCATGGGCATGGTGAGCAATGCCCCCACCTCTCTTGCTGCCCAGAGAAGCTCCCTGCACCCACAGGGCAGCAAGCAGTGTACAAGGCAGGTACAAGGGTTTTGAAATAGGAAATGGTTCATTCTGAGCCTAGCTGTTTGCTCAGCCGATTCCAAAGGAATCTACCTATTTCTTTTAGTCTAAGACGGGTAATACACAGACCCCTCATTCTGGATCCTTGAAACCTTGATAAAGGCAATCAAGTGACAGAAAGGGTAGCATCCTGGGAGATCCCGGCAGGAGCAGTCAGCCTATCTGATCTGCACTTTGAAAAAGGAGAGGGAAGTTTCCCGGAACTGATGCTGCCTCCCAAGTGTCGAGGAAACACCAGCAAGGGGCGTCCAGGAGCCTGGGTGTTTGCTGGGGCTTCTGGGGGTCTCTGCTCATTGAGAGACCCAGCTGTCCTCTCAGAGCCTCACACTGTGGCTACACAGAGAAAGTGTCCATCATGAAACCGCCTGGGTATCATCTGGCAGTGCTGCATCCCGACCAAAATCAGTTGTGAGAGGAGGTATGGAATGAAGGTCTAGCTGCTGCTTTCTCTGTGTGAGGATGTCATGAGCCCATAGGGAAGCTGTTGGCTTGAGTTGCCAGGGTTGATCAGAAGCTCAGTGCTCTTGATTTATATCCTCTTGGGCACATATTGGTGACAGAAAGTGGGTGTGCAAGGAGAGGGAGCAGCCTCACCTGACTCCACACTGGAGGGGGACTGGCTTCTAAACGGAGCGCAGCTATGTGGGGAGAGACCAGGGGAGTAGACTTGTTATGCCATAGAGATCTTCAAAATCATACCTCATTTGGAGAAAAGGAGACACAGGAAGCTATAAGAACTGTTGGAAATTGCTTAAAGCAAGCTGTTAAATGGAAGAGGAACCAGATTTTGGGTGTATGTGACGTTAGAACTAGGGTTGATTCATAGAAGTTTCATTGACTTAGAACTTTAAAGGTAGGAATAATCAGAAAACAGAACTGACTGCTTTGTAAGGTGATGAGTTCCCTGACACTAGAGGTATTCATGCAGAGTGTGGATAACTGTTTATAGGGGATGATATAAAAGGCATTCAGATGTTTGGAGGAGGGCCTGATGCATTCTCAAAAAACCTCCAACTTTGAAATTCTCTTTCAGATTGCGCCATATGAAATTCTTCTCTGGCCAGTTACGTCTTTTTAATATGAGAATACTCCAGTCAATTCTTAATCATCTGCACTAAAGGAGGGTCATAAAATGCATAAAATCCAAACTACTGTAATAGCAATTTGCCAAACACACTGATCTTATAGTATGTTTGGTTTGGGAGCATTTCATGATGCTTTATTTAGACTGATGGTTTAGATATGTTTCTTACACTGTTGGATCTGTGCTGTGTACTGTATTACAAGAGACAGACAACTCGCTATTGGCAAGACCCTCTGGTGTTTCTGGCAACTAAACCACGTGGCTTAGAATTGGAGACGGATCTGTAGGGGGCTGAAATATGAGCTAAAGGGAATGTCTCTGTTAGGGAAGGATATATGCCAAGGGACCTCTGAAAAAGATGAGGCAGATTACGCGAAAGGCCACCCTAGAAATACGTCTTGCCAGATTGGAACCTGTGAAATTCTTCAAACCCTATAGGAGGGGAAGGTGGAGCTTGAAATCCAAGGCCCACAAGCATCTCTTTCCCAGATGTTATCCTGGACTTGGGTCAGGGTCCCTTAGTGAATGGTAGTATCCCAGTTGCACAGCCTTCCAATGCAAAGGCCTGCTGCATGGAAGGGTAGAATAGAAAATAGAAAAGCAATGTACACACACAACTTTGCATCACTGGTGATTTTTGAAATAGAAATAAACTTGATGCATAAAAATAACAAAAAAAAATTCAGACTAAAAAAATAGCACATCAACATAAAAAGCAAGTTTTGACTGAAAAAGATACATTTCCTCCCTCATTAACCAGCACTGCTGCATCTTTGGCATGGCACAGGGAGGCTGAATCATGCAATAGTTAAGAGAGTTGGCTCTGGGGTCAGACTTCCTGAGCACAATCATGGCCCTGTCACTTACGAGCAGTGTGACCTATGGCAAGTTACTTTACCTCTTTTTTTTTTTTTTTTGAAATGGAGTCTCACTCTGTTGCCCAGGCTGGAGTGCACTGGCATGATCTTGGCTCACTGCAACCTCTGTGTCCCAGGATCAAGCGATTCTCCTGCCTCAGCCTCCCGAGTAACTGGGATTACAGGCACCTGCCACTATGCCCAGCTATTTTTTGGGTTTTTTTTTAGTAGAGACAGGGTTTCACCATGTTGGCCAGGCTGGTCTCGAACTCCTGACCTCATGATTCGCCCGCCTCGGCCTCCCAAAGTGCTGGGATTACAGGCAGTGGCACGATCTTGGCTCACTGCAACCTCTGCCTCCCAGGTTCAAGCAATTCTCCTGCCTCAGCCTCCCGAGTAGCTGGGATTACAGGCACCTGCCACTAAGCCCAGCTATTTTTTGTTTTTTTTTTTTAAGTAGAGACAGGGTTTCACCATGTTGGCCAGGCTGGTCTCGAACTCCTGACCTCATGATTCACCCACCTCAGCCTCCCAAAGTGCTGGGATTACAGGTAGTGGCACGATCTTGGCTCACTGCAACCTCTGCCTCCCAGGTTCAAGCGATTCTCCTGCCTCAGCCTCCCGAGTAACTGGGATTACAGGCACCTGCCACTATGCCCAGCTATTTTTTGTGTTTTTTTTTTTTAGTAGAGACAGGGTTTCACCATGTTGGCCAGGCTGGTCTCGAACTCCTGACCTCAGGATTCGCCTGCCTCGGCCTCCCAAAGTGCTGGGATTACGGGCGTGAGCCACCGCGCCCGGCCAGTTACTTTACTTCTCCGTGGCTAAGTTGTCACATCTATAAAAAAAGATGAGCATGATAATAGTAGTATCTAACTCATGGGTATTGTGAGATTGTAAAGCATTTGGAATGATGCCTATCATATAGCAAATGCTCAATAAATGTTATTTCTTATGGTTACAGCCTTCATAACAGGTAATTTTCTCACAACAGAAAATCAAATCCCAGGCCAAGGAGAGGCAAAGTGGGATGGTGACGGTGGATTTTTTTGGCAATTTCAATGAGAAAGATGGAAAATCGAGCTATTTGATCAGAGCTCCAGCTTTCAACACAGTGCTCACTAGAATCACATGATGAGCTGTTTAAACAAATAAAGACTAGCTGTACCTAGACCAACTAAATAATATCTCAGCAGTAAAGCTCAGGCCCCTGTATTTTGCTAAAGCTCCCCAGGTGATTGAACCATGTGGTCAGTGCTGAGAATCACAAGACTAGATTCTTGCTGCTTAAAGTGTGGTTCAGGGATCAGCAGCATGGACACTACCTGGGAATATGTTGGATCTACGGAATCTCAGGTCCCTCCTTACCTGCCCAAGACTTGCTGAATCAGAATCTGCACTCCAGAAAGATTCCCCCAGGGACCCATATGCACACGGATGTTTGAGAAGCACTGAGTTAGATGATTTCCAAGGTCACTTCTTGCTCTAAAGTAGGTGTAAAAGCAATGCTAATTGAGATAATGAGGACAGCCAATGTCCCAGAAGAGTCTCAGGCAGAGAGGCTTTCAGAACCTGGACCCACAGAGATACTGTTGGAGCCAAAGGCTGATGTTTCCCCAGGCATGGAAATCTTGACAAGAACACACCTGTGCTCACAGGTCAAGGCAATTATTTAGCAGGGTGCCCCTGGCACTCAAGCCTTGGCGCAAATGGAAAGCAGTGATGGGAAGTGACACAGATTGATAGGAACCAGAGAGACGGAGAGTAGGGAGATAAGATAATGTTATTTTCCTGAGATATCAATGAACCTAGATATTGATGGAATTACAGTGCTGTGGATGGCTCTTATGAGTCATTCACATTTGGAACTGGCAGCCTCCAAGAGGGTGCACCCCCCACTTACATAGGAACCTTAGTTCCCGCTTACTGTCTCTCTGCCCGCTGACCTCTTTCCCTTTGAGCCACTAGAGCATGGCTTCACACTCCTACCAACCCCCATGATTTCCGTCCTCTTCTTCACCCTCCAAATTCACCTCCTCTTCACCCGAGTCCTATATCACCGAATCACTGCCTCCTTCTTGTGCTGTTCAGCAAGGCACTTTTCTGTGTGGCAATGGATGTCAAGAACCACGGATAACTACTGTATAAAAAAGTATTGAAAATTCAAAACCAAGCCCAGTGTCAATATCCCTGGACTCTACCTATTAACTGTGCAAATGGGAAGTCACCAGACCTGATGAAAAAGTACAATAAACAAAGGATTAGCCGGCTTCCAGAACTTAAACAACCTGGTTGAAGAAGCCCAGAAGACGAAACCAGTTTCTTTTGTACAGGGATTTAGTCCTCCATAGTTTTTATGGTGAAATATAAATTTCAATATTTAAATATAACATAAAACTTATCATTTTAACTATTTAAAAATGTATTAGTTCTGTGGCATTAAGTACATTCACGTTGTTGTACAATCATCACCACCACCATCTCCAAAACCTCTTTATCTTCCCAAAGGGAAACTGTAGCCAATAAAAGATGACTTCCCCAGCCCCCTCTCTCCTGGCCTCATTCAATGAAAGTAGAAACCATTATTCTACTTTCTTTATGAATTGGACTACTCTAGGTACCTCCTGTAAGTGGAATCATATGATAGTTGTCCTTTTTTGTCTAGCTTATTTCAATTAGCATAAGGTCCTCAAGGTTCCTCCATGTTGAAGCATGTGCCAGAATTTCTTTCTGATTTCTACCCAACATCTTGCCACTCTGGCAGACAATGAAGTCATTTTTGTAGTCAAGGGCATCTTACATTGTGAGGAGCGGACATAGGGAGGCATGCAAATTGTCTCTGCCTCATCAACAACAGCAATCAACACAAGAAAAAGAATCATCATGGAGGATGGTCTTTGGCTATGGATGGAATTGGAAAAGGTTGAGAAGGAGTGGAGTCCGTAAGTAGAGGGTGGGACCGAAGACCTAGAGATGGACAGGAGGCTGAGGACTCTGTGTGTGTGTGTGTGTGTGTGTGTGTGTGCGCGTGTGTGTGTGTCTGTGTGTGTCAGCCTCCTGAAGCAAGCTTAGCTTTCTAAATTTCACCATTGTAGTTGAGCCCATAGGGCTGCCTCTGGTAGCCCCATTTGCTCTAGAGCCCTGGCTTACAGAATGTGCTCCAGCACCACAGACTGTTCTTGGCCTTCCCACGGGCTGTTGTCAATGTGTCTGCAGCAGGGTCGTCGCTGACCCCAGCAAACCAAAGCACAGCTCAGGACACAGCTACAGCCTCAGACTTCAGGGAGTTCACATCTCAGGAGGGAGCAAAAGCAGGGAGCATGACTCTTTCACTTAGCGTCTCAGAAGAGAATGGAAAGAACCTCGGTGGTGCTGTGCCCTCATTTTGATCTAAGGAAACTGAGCCCCAGAAGGATGCTATAACTAGCCCAAAGTCACACAATGGAGCTAAGACAAGAATTCAGGTATCTGCTGTTTCTCCAAGACTCTAAGTCCATGATGACTTCAACAACTGTGAATTCTCCTCCCCATCTTCCCACTCTCCAGGCCTTCAATACCCACTTCTCCAGGGGCTGATGGTTAGAGAACCCATTTCAAAATCATCCCCTGATGTCCCCTGAGTCATCACCCTCTAGGAGTCTCACTCTCTCCACGAAGGTCCAGGGCGTGCCTCCTCCCTCGCCCTTCAGGACACCCCTGCATTTCGTTCTGATTGTTTACTTTTTCAGCAAAACTGCCATGAGGCCTTGGACAAGACTCTGTGGAGTGGAACCCCAGCTAAAATGAGAAAGGATTAAGCAAAGTGAACCTTACCATATAGGGCTTGAAATACCTTTGCCACCTGAGAAGCCAGCCTCGGCCCCCACCCTGCACCTCTCTTTATACACTTTTGTTTCCAGGGGCCCCCTCAACTGTTCTCTTATTTCCGTAAAATGATTGAAATGCCCTGAAAGGGACAGTTTAAGATTTGAAATCACTACTATATTGATTCAGGCAAGTTCTTACTGTAGGAATTTTGGACGGATCTGGGCAAAAATGTTGGAAAGTTCCAACACACTGACTTTAATCTCATTAGTGCAAATTCAGCTGACAGGCACTGAGCCACCCTGGGGGGGCTAGGGCCTGAGATGAGCAGACACTTACAAGGGGCAATTTCCTTCACACCTGGAGATGAGAAATCGCAGTTGTCAGCCCTTGCTTTGAAAGACAGGAAGATTGGTGATAAAGTCAGAGTTGCCCCCAAGAGGCTCTGCAGGAATAAGGACACATTCCATTCCCTCCCAGGGAGGGAGGAGCAGCGGATGGAAATAGCTAGGAGAGGAGAGGAGCACAGAGAAGGAGCCACAGAGTGAGCCTCTCACAAGAGAGGACAGGGATTAAAGCCACCGAAATCCATCAGACTTCCTCTCTGCTTTGCATTTTAAAAGCACCCGTTGCAATCATTGGCCACATCTGCTATCCTCATCAGCAGAAAGCAGAAATTATTTAGAAGCTCCTCACCTGTCCCCCTGAGTTAAATCAACGTTGCACTTGCTTGTTATTTCCATGTATTTCAATAGCTCCCAGAGGAGTAGTTCCAAGAATATGGACCTGGAATATTTCCTCTGACATAGAATTGCCAAATCTGTATTTTGTCAAGTAATGATGTTAAAAGAAAACAAAATGAAATGAGAAAACAAATAAACATCAAGCAACTGCTATTATCACCATGATTTTTTTAAGGGGGCATTTTCATGCCAAATAAATAAATGAAGCTCTTTACACAGCTCTTCCTTTTCTGATTTTGGCATGGTCTTTAGCTGTGGTCCCAGGGGATAAGGACCTACTGCTATTGGATAAGGAGAAACTATGTTTCTGACTCCATTTCCTACCATTGTCCCTGATCTGCTTCCCTCCCCTAAAAGACACCCTTTAGCCCACCTCGATACACCAGGATGTACTGCATCTTCTCACCCTGTGCACACTGCACAGAGCCCACTCCTGCATCTACCTGGGAACGCTTGCTCCTCCTTGAGCTGGCAGAAGCCTTCACCTCCTCTCCACAAAGGGGACCACCCTCCCCCATGCCATGGGAATAGTATTCATCATATTACTCTGCAATTGGTTACATTTACAAGTCTCCTTCTTTCCCTCCGCAAACTCCGTGAGGGCAGAGGTGATATCTTACTCACCCTTATAGACCTAGGCAACCAGAAGAAAACCCCCTCCCCAGAGGTGCTCAGCCACCCAGGGAGGAGGGGGTGACCCACGCAGCGTCCCCTCAATTCACCAAGAATATGCCCAGGACTGTGCTGGCCATCACTGAGGCAACACCAAAGTAGACAACGAGGTCCTTGCCCTTGGGGAGTTTACTTTTAGGGAATTTGTTTAAATCAACCAGAAGTCAGTGAGACAATACAAACCATTTGGAAGCAGTGTGAGTCAACCGCGGGCATAATAGCCCAGGGAATTTAAATGGAAGGGAAATCATCTCAGGGCGGGGTTGGCCAGAGGTGGTTTCATGGAAGAGTTGAGTTTTCATCTAGGCCTTGAAAGAAGTATAGAATTCAAATTGGCAGAAGAAAGCAAAGATAAGTCAAGGAAGGTAAGGAGTGGGAGTGAAGGCTTGAAAGAATTACACAGTGGCAAAAACAAGCAGGGCACCAGGGTTAGAACCATGCTGTAAGAACTAAGGAACTCAGCAGGGGAGCCCTGAGGGGAGGCAGGTTGGAAAGATAGACTTGAACTGAATGCCAAGCAGAGTAATATAATTTTATCGCTGGAAAGATTAGGCATCTCCAGTCCAATCCACCCATTTTACAGCTGAGAAAACTGAGGCACAGGGAGAGTGACTTCCCAGGAAAGTAGGAGCAGCAGCAGCAAACATAAAAGCAATGGCAGACATCTGCAGGACTCTTCCAACACGTTGGGCATTGCGCTAAGCACTTTATGTGCATATCTCATCTAATTACTACAACAACCCTAGGAACTAGGCACTAGATATAACCCCATTTTGCAGGTAAGAAAGCTAAGAAGGCAAGCAGCTGGCTCAGGGTCACAAGGTAACGTGGCCAAGCAACAGAGTCAGCACTTTGGAATTGCTCTCACAGGGTGCCTGTGCTCCTGGAAAGAAGGTAGGACTTGAAATCAAAAGACATGCATTCAAATGCCGGCTCCACCTCCAGAGTCATATGACCTCGGGTGAGTTACCTAACCCTACTGACCCTCTGTTTCCTCATTGGTACAAAGGAGATAATAATTCCTACCCCACAGGATTTCTGTGGGGATTAAGAAAGCTTAGAAGTGTCAAGTTCTTGGCCCGTAGTATGAGCTCAGTAAACGTTACGCCCATCCCCTCCCCTTCCCACCATCCCCTTCCTTCCATTAGCCTTGACGCTACCTCTACGGTCCTGCAGCTGCAACTCCCCACCCCTGTCCCACAGATGCAGGCCTCCTCTGTCCCTGGACACTGGACTTCAGGCTGAGGTGTCCTGCCTTGGAGGTAACTGCATGGTGGAGGGGAGAGGAAGGGAGGAGGAAGAATCTGGTTTTTCTCATAGCTCATTTGGCCCTAATGATGTTACTGGCATGGGAGGGAGAACAGATCTGCTGCCCTACTTGGAGTGAGGTGTGCAAAGCCCCACAGTGAACCAGTGGAAAGACACAAGTGGACCGTTGTCATAGAATGACCTCTGGCTCCCTGGTTTCTTGAGTTCCTTGTTCCCTTTCCACCCTCTTTACTAAAACTCTCCAACACAGTGAGTTGTCTGCTGCTTAACTGTTCAATTCGAGGCCTCCAAAAACATGCATAGAGAGACAGTTGGTAGGGACCCAACAACAATAACAAGAACATTGCTCAAACTTGGTTGTCCGCAATGGAGAGAGATGCAGAATTTTCATGCCTGGCTAAGAGGTGGGACAAGATGAACATCCTCCTTGTCAATTTTAAGTGTTTAGAAAATATAACAGCTTCTTGGCCTCTTGAATGGGGGTCTGCTTGGTTGCAAACCACCAGCCAACCCCTCAAGTGTTAGCAAGCTTGAGCAAATCTGTGAAATTAGTGTTTGGGGGCTACTGAACTGAATTAACTGGGTTTTCAAGGCACTCTGGAGAAAAGGTCATTTTAGGTGAACCATGAGTTAATAAGGCTGCGTATTGTAGATGATTTCTATTGGAGTTAATGCAGGTGATGGATGACTCGGGACAGACATCGGGGTGGAATCTGACACTTTTAAAGTACCCAGTGTGTGCAAGGCACCATACCAGTGCTTCACGGGTGCCGTCCTGCTCAATCGTTCCAACAACCCTACGAAGTGATGAAACCAGTGCTTGCAGTTAGCCAGTTCTGCGTTTCATTCACAGCCCTGCTTTCTAGTTGTGTAACTGAGGAGCATTATTTAACTTCTCTCAGCCCTGATTTCCACAGCTGAAAAGGACTCACCTCCTAGAGGAGCTCAGAAGGTTGAAAGAAATTGTATGTGAAAGAACACGCCAGCTCCTGGCTCGGGCTGGTGGTCCTAAACAGTTGACTATCACTGAGAGCTGGGGAGGTTAGAGGGCTTCAGGAGGCCGTGGGCTCACCAAACCCCAAAGCTTGGGAAGGCTTTGATTTTGTCTTGTTACATCTAAATGCATTTTACTCTGTTGAAAATGAGGGTGAGTGTATTGGTTGATTCTGGAGTGTTTTTGGAAAGTGTGAGCGAGCCCCAGCATAGAAGTCAGGAGTCTCATGCAAGTTTCAGGCCCTCAGTTTCCCACATCTGTAAAATGATACCACTGGACGTGGTGATCTCCAAACTTCCTCCTGCTCTGTGAGTCTCCAGCACTCAGAACCTTCCGCTGCAAAACACAAACCCATTTGTATAACCTTAACAGCCTCAATCCGGCTTTTCACATGTGACAGGCAGCTTGGGAGGTACAAGAAAAATAACTCAAATAATTTCAAAACAAAACAAAGCAGGCTATACTCACTGCCTCTGGATTGGATACGCTTTCCATTTCTTGCCCTGTTCACCTGCACAAGGAACATAAACAAGATTATTATTTCTTTTAATAACACACACATTGTCTACCTGGCTTTTCATTTGGGCCCTGTGCCAGCCATGTGGATAAGATCTTTCAGGAACTTTTATAATGTCACATACTTATGCAAATTGGCCAAGTGTTTATAGCAACAGGCACCACAACAGGTTTCAATTAGCGAAAAGCAGCCAGGCAACCTAAGCAGCTTTGAGCACTGTGGATGCAGGAGCAAAGCTCTGGTCCTGGGAGGGTGGGGTAGATTTGTTGAAAGGACAGATTCTGGAGCACTTCAGGCTTCATGGCTGCTGCCTGGTTAAACCACACTGGTCAAAACCACTCCAGCTCTTGAATCTGGGTTTCCTGTTTTTTCCAGCAACAGGGTGTGACTGTCCCATTGCAATGGATTCCAGAGGGTGTGACTGTCCCATTTTATGGGTTGCTGAGGGCCATACACTAGGTTGGCTGCCTATGGATCCAATTCCACCCTCCATCATATAAACTCCTGAGGGGTGGCCATGCCTGAGCAGCCCCTCCAGTGTGAAGCCATGTGTGAACTCAGCCTACGAGCCACAGGCTCATGTGTGCGGTGATCAGGAGTGGGACCTTTAAAGTTAGACAGACCTGGGTACAAGACTTGGGTTCATGGCCCAACTCCACTACTCACTAGCTATAAGACTGGGCAAAATACTTACCTTCCTTGCATCTCATTTTCCTTATTTGTAAAACAGAAATAGCCAGACCTGGGTGTCAATCAGTCTCACTTTCTAGGTATGGGTAATGCCACCCATCTCACTGGGTTGCCTGAGAGTTAAATGTTATTAAGTGTTTATTTCTGATGTAGTAAGTGTTTGATCAATGGGCCTCATCATCATCATCATATCATCATCATCATCATTATCTAGGACATTTCCCAAGCTGTATTTTGGGGGAGGTATTAATAGGCGATATTTGAACAATGGCTTCTGTGGTCAAATTAATTATGAAAGTACTAACTAAAGAGCACAGGTAGACAAGCTTCCTTCCTGCAAGACTTCTCAGAGCCTAATGAGAGCTGTACTTTCTGAAAGGCGGTCATGGTGCTTGTTGTTTCTCAAACCAATTTGTTCTTAGAACCTCCTTTAGTTGTGGGCCATTTTGGGGACTAGGGATCCATGAAAATACCTTTGGGAAATCTTAACCAAGACCTAGAACCGGGGAAAAGGAATCTCGAAGAAGAAGTATGTGGTGAGAAGTGAAGAGCAGGACATTTGAAAGAGGAGTAAAAATAGGGCATGAAGAGAAGGGGGTTGGACATGGCCAATGAGTTCTGAGAAGCCACCAAACACCCCACAACGTCCGCTTCCAGCATTGCCCCACTTCTGAAGAGCTCTGCTTCACATCAATGTGTCTTGCATCTCTAGAGAAGCCATCTGGGGAGCCAGGGCAGGCCTTACTATCCCCATTTCTCAGATCACCACAGTCAGGTGCTGACATGCCAGGACCACAGAATCAGGAGGTGGTGCCTCTGAAATGACAGAGCATTTTCCCAATGTCACATTCTAGAGTTTTCTGTGGGAGTGAGAGGAAGGTTGATCTAGATTCTAGATTACAGATCATTTGAACTCCACTTAGCCTGAGATAGTTAGGTAATTCTGATTAATTCTGGCTTATTTTTGGCTTTAGGTATTACCGACTTGTTTTCATTTGTAGCCTCTTTCCAACTTTTACATTTGGAACATTGTAAAAATCTGCTCTGTCAAGAAGCATAATTGGAATTTTCCCACACAAATGTTTAAATGAGGTAAGATTTAGAAGAATCAAATTTCCTCTTCCTGCCTCTTTTCTGCCTTAACCCCATCCCTATCTTTAAAGCTCAGTAGCCTTGGGTTTAATCTCCCAGGCTCAGGTGGCCCTCCTAGCACCCTATGACTTCACCACAGAAATTGCTGAGGTCCACATGTTCCCTTCACAGTCCTTTGGGATAAGGAAAAATCCCAGGGGCTTGTAAATAGTGCAAGAAAGAGCACCCCACCCAGCACTCTATTTAGCTTGGATGAAGAATGCACGCAGTGACATTGCAAAGTGCCCCAGGCAGTGACGGGACCCAGCGCGGCTCCCACACCTCATCACCTGCTGATTGATGACAAGGCTATAGATAGAGCCACATCTATAGTGTGGGTTAGACGTGGTGCTGCATGTGCTGTATGGGGGCTGTTGTTTTCCCCTTTCACACTTGCTGCTTTGCTGAACCAGGGACTCCTCCCTGCTGAGGAGTAGGCAGAAGCAGTAAACATTTTGACCAGATGGAGGTGATCAATTAATTAGGGACTGAGTGGGAGTGTGCCTGTCTCACTCAAGCTTCTCAAAGCCAGCTCTGGGCACCTGGGAATGCATGTGGGGAAAGGCCTTTCTCTTCTGTTTTGATGTCTGGCCTTTTGTTTTTCTTTTTGTTTTTACTAAGAAAGCAAATTCAAACAAAGCCAAAAGGCTTGTCTTAAGTCTAAGACCCTGAGAACAGGAACTCTTTCCCTAACTCAGCCTTCCAAGATCATTTATGAAGTCTTGGCTGTGTACCAGCGCTGTGTATGGAATTCCTGGAAGAAACTGGGGTAGGAGCTCCCAGGCCAGCTGAAGTGACAAGATTCTCAAACCTCACAGAGGGGAGATGACAAGAAGAGATAATGTCCTAGGAGGCTGTGTTATCGACATCTGCCAGTTTTGTCAGCTCTGTAGGTGAGCCACCGTTCCACAAGGCAGAAGTCCTAGTGGGCTGAAACCCCCATGAGAAGTGTGAATGAGTGAATTAAGCCCTTTTGCTACTGAGGATTCTCATTCGCAGTAAGGTTGCAGAGGGACAATGACGGTGTCCAATGGTAAGGTCTGTGACCTCTTGTTACTTAGACGTTTGGGGCCATCTTGGTCCTTCAGCTTCCCAAGGCTTGTTTTTTCAGTTGTCTCTCTTCAATTCCATGAGCTACTCAGTATCCAGTCCCCTTCCAATATATTCTCTTTTGCTTCAATTAGTCAAGGTCTACGTTTATGGTTGAAAACAAAGAATGCAAAGAGCTATGACCTTGACACCAGAAGCCCTGGTTCTGGGTTACAATATCAGCTCTGCCACTTGCCTATGGTGTAATGCCCACCTTGGACAAGTCACTCTTTGAGGCTAATCCATGAGATGGGGACAATAATAGCCAAGTGTCTTCCTCTTCAAGATGATAGATATCAAAGTGCCTCATGTAAGTATGACATGTTATCATTGTTATTAGCAATGAATGTTTGTAAGACAGGTGCCAATGGAGAGTGGGTAGAGTGATCTTCAGGGAACCAAACTGATGAGAGAAGAGTCAGTAAGGCAGGGAGGAGCAAAAATGAGTTTGAAGTGCTGCAGCTGTACAGGGCATGGCAGGATTCCAGGGCTCACAGTGGAGGCCTTGCACACAGGAAGAACGTGCTGAGCACAGTGGCCCTGTTGGCGATCTTCTGGGTAGAAAGGAGAGAGGAAAGCTTAAGAAGCAAGATCAACTTACAGAAATGTGAGGTACATGCACATTCTGATCCCTATTCTTCAGCCATAGGCTTGAGACAACCCGTAAGTGAGGCTCGAGGGTATGTTACTGTTGCAATGCATTGATTTGACACTGCCAACCATTCTAGATTCTGCTACTAGAGTCCAGAAGACCAAGAAAGGGGTTGTGGTAAGGAAGCCTAAGCTAGCTGGAGACAAAAAATGGAAGGGTAGGCATAAATCAATGGGAGACAATGGAAGAAATGGTGTCATTTGTTAACTTGCAGGTGAGGAGCAGTGTTAGGACAGAAAAAAGGGTAACACATTTGTTGACTACCTCCTCTGTGTCACCTTTTATGTAATCCTCTCAACTACCCTGTGAGATAAGCTTTATTATTCCCATCTTATCGATGAAGAAACTGAGGTTCAGAAAATGTTTAATTCCCCAAGGCTGCTATGTGAAAGAACTGAGCCTTAGGACCAGCTCTGTCTGGCTCTATGTTCTTTTTCACACCGTCACATTAACCTTCAAGAAATAAAGTAGTGAGGCCCAGAGTTTACCATAGGAACCCCTCAGTGGATCTGCTGATGCCAAAAGATGAGCTGAAATATGTTATCATAAAACTTAGAAGGGGGCTGGGCACAGTGGCTCACACCTATAATTCCAGCGGGCTGGGCACAGTGGCTCACACCTATAATTCCAGCACTTTGGGAGGCCAAGGCAGGCGGATCACTTGAGCTCAGGAGTTCGGGACCAGCCTGGCCAACACGGTGAAACCTCATCTCTACAAAATATACAAAAGATTAGCTGAGTGTGGTGGTGCACACCTGTAATCCCAGCTACTCGGGAGGCTGAGGCACGAGAATCACTTGAACCCAGGAGGTGGAGGTTACAGTGAGCTGAGATCACGCTGCTGCACTCCAGCCCAGGAGACAGAGTGAGACTCCATCTCAATTTAAAAAAAACAAAAAAACCTTAGAAGGAAAAGAAGTCTCTGAAGAGAGCTCCAACATAGCCCTTGGTTTCTGCTAAGGAGCAACAGTGGAGGTAGCAGCCGTGCCTTATTCTTCTGTGCTCCCAGGTGCCTTGCACTTGTTTATTGAACAGTCCATGCCATTGTTTCCCTGGAATAGCATAGTGATTAAGAGCACGGGCTTTCAAGTTGGACAGATCCAGATTTAAATCCTGCCTTCACTGGAAAAGGTGGTTTTTTATTATACATGGAAATAACTGAAAATGGATCCCTATCTCATACTGTCAAAAATCAATTCCAAATGGATTAAGAATCCAAATGCCACAGCAAAATTTAAAACGTTCAGAAGATATACATATAAGCAAATATCTTTATGACCTGGGAAAGGGACCAAATTCTTCATCGAGACACAAAAGTTACTAGTTACAAAATAAAAGATATATAAATTTGATTGTAATAAAACTAAGAATTGAACGGATTTTTGGAGTGGGGCCAAGATGGCCAACTAGAAGCAGCCGTGACTGAAGGCTGCCATCAAGAAGAACCAAAGCAGCATATGCATCCAGCACTGGTAACCAAGGCATCCGGGTTCTCTCATCACGACTGACTAGGCAGCTGGTGTGACCCACAGAGAGGAAGGAAGAGCGGTGTGGTACAGCGGGCCACCTAAGAAGCACATGGGGCTGGGGAGCCCTTGAGTCAGTGTGCTACGCAGCCTGGGAAACTGTGCTTTTCCAATGGAACTGTGCAACCCACAAATCGGAAGATCTCACTCGTCAGTCCACACCTCTGGGGCCTAGGGTCCTAACCATGGAGCCACACAGATTCTCAACATCCACTCAGCTAGAATCTGCTTAAGCCTGCTGAGTTCCCCAGTGGGGAGGGGCAGCTGCCTGCTGTCTAAGCCATCTGAGCTCCTTGGGGAGGGGCAGCAGCCAACACTGGGACCGCTAGCTGCCTAATACACTAAGCTCCCAGGGCGGGAGAAAGGGTGGCAGCCATCTCTACAGCTCCCAGCCGGGCTTTTCCCTGCTGGAGCCAGGGAGACTGGATGGCTTGGTCCCAAGAGGTATTCCCCACAGCCCAACACACCAGCTGTGGCAGACTGAGGCCAGAGTGTGTCTTCAGGCCTGACCCTGACCCAGCCCTCCTCACTGGGCAGGGCCTCCCTGCAGGAACTCCAACTCCAGCCAGGGACTCAGGGACAAAACTCTGATCTCCCTGGGCCTGAGCCCCTAGGGGATAGGGTGGCCATAGTCTCCACAGACCAGCCAACTTAGTGATCCTTCCTGTTAGTTCTGATGAATATAGGCAACCCAGATGAGTGGGTTTTCCCCCAGTGTGGGACACCCCCCCTCCACCAAGGCACAGTCAAAGTGCTTCATTAAATGGGTCCTGCTCCCCATGCCACCCAACTGGGTGAGACCCCCCAACAGGAGTGTCAACACCCTATACAGGAGTGTTCCTACTGGCATCAGGTTGGTGCCCCTTGAGGTCAGAGATCCCAGAGGAAGGAGCAGGCACCCATCTTTGCTGTTCTCCAGCCTCCTTGAGTGACATCTCAGGCATGGGAGCAATCAGATGAATAGGGCCCGAAAGTAAACCCACAGCAACCCTACAGAAGAGGGACCTGACCATTGAAAGAAAAACAAAAAAACAAACAGAAAGGAACAACAACATCATCAACAAAAAAAGTCCCACAAAAACCTCATCCAAGGGTCAGCAGCCTCAAAGACTGAAACTAGACAAACTCATGAAGATGAGAAAGAATCAACAAAAAAACACTGAATTCCCAAAAGGTCAGAGTGCCTCTTCTCCAAATGATCACAACAGCTCTCCAGCAAGAGCACAAAACTGGATGGAGGATAAAATGGACAAACTGACAGGAGAAGGCTTCAGAAGGTGGGTAATAACAAACTCTGCTGAGCTAAAGGAGCATGTTCTAACCCAATGCAAAGAAGCTAAGAACCTTCATAAAAGGTTAGAGGAGCTGCTAACTAGAATAACCAGTTTAGAGAGGAACATAAATGACCTGGTGTAGCTGAAAAACCCAGCATGAGAACTTTCTGAAGCATATACAAGTATCAGTAGCTGAATCAATCAAGCAGAAGAAAGAATATCAGAGTTTGAAGACCATCTTGCTGAAATAAGGCGGGACAACAAGATTAGAGAAAAAAGAATGAAAAAGAACAAACAAAACCTCAGAGAAATATGGGACTATATAAAAAGACTGAACCTATGATTGATTGGAGTACCTGAAAGAGATGGGGAGAATGGAACCAACTTGGAAAACATATTTCAGGATATTATCCAGGAGAACTTCCCCAATCTAAGACGACAGGCCAACATTCAAATTCAGGAAATACAGAGAACACCATTAAGATACTCCACGAGAAGATCAACCCCGAGACACATAATCATCAAATTCTCCAAGGTCAAAATGAAGGAAAAAATGTTAAGGGCAACCAGAGACAAAGGCCAGGTCACCTACAAAAGGAAGCCTATCAGACTAACAGCAGATCTCTCAGCAGAAACCCTATAAGCCAGAAGAGAGTGGGGACCAATATTTGACATTCTTAAAGAAAAGAATTTTCAACCCACAATTTCATATCTAGCCAAACTAAGCTTTATAAGTGAATGAGAAATAAAATCCTTCTCAGACAAGCAAATGCTGAGGGATTTCGTCACCACCAGGCCTGCCTTGCAAGAGCTCCTAAAGGAAGCACAAAATATGGAAAGGAAAAATCAGTACCAGCTACTGCAAAAACACACCAAAATATAAAGACCAAAGATACTATAAAAAAAACTGCATCAACTAGTGTGCAAAATAATGAGCTAGCATCATGATGACAGGATCAAATTCACACATAACAATATTAACCTTAAATGTAAATGAACTAAATGCCCCAATTAAAAGATACAGACTGGCAAATTGGAT
This sequence comes from Homo sapiens, assembly GCF_000001405.40. Lineage (NCBI taxonomy): Eukaryota > Metazoa > Chordata > Mammalia > Primates > Hominidae > Homo > Homo sapiens. The sequence continues at coordinate 129,600,540 of NC_000011.10, forward strand.
AAAGAGTCAAGACCCATCAGTGTGCTGTATTCAGGAGACCCATCACACATGTAAAGACACACATAGGCTCAAAACAAAGGAATGGAGGAAAATTTACCAAGCAAAGGGAAAGAAAAAAAAAAAACAGGGGTTGCAATCCTAGTCTCTGACAAAACAGGTTTTATATCAACAAAGATCAAAAAAGATAAACAAGGGCATTACATAATGGTAAAGGGATCAATTCAACAAGAAGTGCTAACTATCCTAAATATATATGCACCCAATACAGGAGAACCCAGATTCATAAAACAAGTTTTTAGAGACCTACAAAGAGGCTTAGACTAACACATTTTAACACCCCACTATCAATATTAGACAGATCAACGAGACAGAACATTACAAAGATATTCAGGACTTGAACTCAGCTCTGGATCAAGTGGACCCAACAGATATCTACAGAAATCTCCACCCCAAATCAACAGAATATACATTCTTCTCAGTTCCACATGGCACTTATTCTAAAATTGACCATGTTATTGGAAGTGAAACACTCCTCAGCAAATGCAAAAGAACTCAAATCATAATGAACAGTCTCTCAGACCACACTGCAATCAAATTAGAACTCAGGATTAAGAAACTCACTGAAAACCACACAACTACATGAAAATTGAACAACCTTCTTCTGTATGATTCCTGGGTAAATGATGAAATTAAAGCAGAAACCAAAAAGTTCTTTCAAACCAATGAGGATAAAGAGACAACATACCAGAATCTCTAGGACACAACTAAAGAAGTGTTAAGAGGGAAATTTATAGCACTGAATGCCCACATCAGAAAGCTATGAAGATCTCAAATTGACAGCATAACTAAAAGAACTAGAGAAGCAAGAGCAAACAAATCCAAAAGCTAGCAGAGGTCAAGAAATAACTAAGATCAGAGCAGACCTGAAGGAGATACACACAAGAAAAACTCTTAAAAAAATCAATGAATCCAGGAGCTGTTTTTTTGAAAAAAATTAACAAAGTAGATAGATTGCTAGCCAGACTAATAAAGAAGAGAGAGGAATCAAATAGACACAATAAAAAATGATAAAGGGGATATCACCACTGACCCCACAGAAATAGAAACTACTATCAGAGAATACTATAAACACCTCTATGCAAATAAACTAGAAAATCTAGAAGAAATGGATAAATTCTTGGACACATACACCCTCCCAAGATTAAACGAGGAAGAAGTTGGACCCCTGAATAGGCCAAAAACTCTCAATAAACTAGATATTGATGAAATATATTTCAAAATAATAAGAGTTATTTATGACAAACCCTCAGCCAATATCATACTGAACATAGCTAGAGGCATCACGCTACCTGACTTCAAACTATACTACAAGGCTACAGTAATCAAAACAGCACAGTACTGGTACCAAAACAGACATATAGACCAACGGAACAGAACAGACACCTCAGAAATAATGCGACACATCTACAGCCATCCGAACTTTGACAAACCTAACAAAAACAAGCAATAGGGAAAGGATTCACTATTTCATAAATGGTGCTGGGAAAACTGGCTAGCCATATGCAGAAAACTGAAACTGGGCCCCTTATTTACACCTTATACAAAAATTAACTCAAGATGGATTAAAGACCTAAATGTAAAACCCAAAACTGTAAAAACCCTAGAAGAAAACCTAGGTAATACCATTCAGGACATAGACATAGGCAAAAATTTCATGATGAAAACACCAAAAGCAATTGCAACAAAAGCTAAGATTGACAAATGGGATCTAATTAAGCTAAAGAGCTTCTGCACAACAAAAGAAACTATCATCAGAGTGAACAGACAACCTACAGAATGGGAGAAAATTTTTGCGAACCAGGCATCCAACAAAGGTCTAATATCCAACATCTCTAAGAAACTTAAACAAATTTACAAGAAAATAACAACCCCATCAAAAAGTGGGCAAAGGATATGAACAGACACTTCTCAAAGAAGACATTTATGTGACCAACAAACATATGAAAAAAAGCTCAACGTCACTGATCACAAATCAAAACCACAATGAGATACCATCTCATGCCAGTCAGAATGGCAATTATTAACACGTGAAGAAACAATAGATGCTGGCGAGGCTGTGGAGAAATAGGAATGGTTTTACGCTGTTGGTGGGAATGTAAATTAGTTCAACCACTGTGGAGGACAGTGTGGCAATCCCTCAAGGATCTAGGACCAGAAATGCCATTTGACCCAGCCATCCCATTACTGAGTATATACCCAAAGGAATATAAATCATTCTACTATACAGACACATGCACATGTATGTTTATTGCAACACTATTTACAATAGCAAAGACATGGAACCAACCCAAATGCCCATCAATGACAGACTGGATAAAGAATATTTGGCACATATACACCATGGAATACTATGCAGCCATTAAACGGAATGAGATCATGTCCTTTGCAGGGACATGGATAAAGCTCTAAGCCATCATCCTCAGCAAACTAACACAGGAACAGAAAACCAAACACCGCATGTTCTCACTCATAAGTGGGAGGTGAGCAATGAGAACACATGGACACAGGGAGGGGAACAAAACACACCAGGGCCTGTCAGGGGGTGGGGGGCGAGGGGAAGGAGAGCATCAGGACACATAGCTAATGTATGCGGGGCTTAAAACCTAGATGATGGGTTGATAGCAAACCACCATGGCACACCTATACCTATGTAACAAACCTGCACATTCTGCACATGTATCCTGGAACTTAAAGTAAAATAAAAAAAAAAAAAAACTAAGAATTTCTGCACAAAAGTAAAACTACAAGCTACAAACTTGGAGAAAATATTTGAAACACATATAGCTAACAAAAGATTAGTTTTAAAAATATATAAAGCACTTCTAAAATAAGAAAAAACTCAATAGAAAAAATAGGCAAAAGCCACAAAGAAGCATTTCATAGAACAAGAAACACATACAACTAATAAATCTATAATTAGATGCTCACCTCACCAATAATCATGAAGAGGCATTTCATCACCATGAAATGCAAGTTTACACCCATTTAACAAATCCAAGAGGTTTGACAAAACCAAATGTTGGAAATCAACAGGGTCTCAAACATATTGCTGGGGGGAAACTGGAAAACAATTTGGCATTATCTATTAAAGCTGAACGCTGGCATACACACGAAATCTATTTGATGTATTCCCTATTTCTCTAGGTATACACCCAAGAGAAAATTTAGTACATGTATGCCAGGAGACACATATACAAAGAATAATCATAGTTGAACTTGCCAAAATAGCAAAAAGCTAAAACCAACCTAACTACCTTTTGAAAGGAGAATGCATAAATAAATAATAGTGTAGTCATAAAATGGAATATTCCACAGCATAAAGACAAAAGAGATACAGCTGGACTCTTTCACTTGGGTGAATCAAAGCAGCATCATGTTGAATGAAAAGAAGCAAATCACAGAAGACTGCATATACAACATGATACACTTTTTAAAAAATTTGAAAACTAAGCAAAATTAAAACAAAACTAAGCAAAACTGAAAAATATACAACTTAGGAACACACATTCCTGTTAAAAAAAAAAAACCTTTTAAAAGAGGCAAGGAAATGCTAAGCATAATATTCAAGAAATATTTATCTCTAGGGAGAAGATGGAAAGTAGAAAACACACAGGGAGCTATAAGTTATTGAATATTCTGTTCTTGGTTTGGACAGTGGGTTCTAAGTGTTTATTATGTTATTTAGTGTATATACATAAAGTAAAAGAAAAGATGGCTTTCAATGGATCAGTGGAGATAATGTGCCATGAATGGGTGTAAACGGGCGATAATGTGCCCTGAATAGTTCATTTTGATTAATCTAATTCTGTGAACCAAAGAGCCAGTCAGTCAATAAATAAGAAATCCCGGATCCCTCACATGCTAATTTTATGAAATTTTCTTGACTATGGGGAAATAAAAACCATAGACTATTATGAGGATTAACTGAAAGAGAAATGGGAGCTGTTTTGTATCAGCTTTATTGGGATATAATTCACATCCCATACAATTCACCCATTTACAGTGTATATAATTCAGTGGTTTTCATATGGAGTTGTGCAACCATTACCGCCATCAATTTTAGAACACTTTCATCACTCCACAAAGAAACCCTGTACCCATCAGGAGTCATTTCCTATACTCCCCAACCCCCAACCACCAATCTATGTCTTTATAGATTTGCCTACTCTGCACACTTCATAGAAATGGAATCATAGAATATGTGGTCTTTTGTGATGGGAGCTAATATTTTTATTATCTTTTCCTAGGGCAGAAGTTACTAGAGTATGGTGATGTGAACCTCTACTGGCCTACAAATATCTGCAGCTTAGCTGCCCATATAAATGTTAGCTGTAGTTGTAACCATCAAAATCATTTTGTAAATGATTAAGCACTGTCTATTATCTAGACACTGCAGTACACTGTCTTAGTTTTTTTACACAAGTCTAACGACGCACTATCAAGCAGGCATAGAGAAGCCAGACAACTTGGTCAAGGTCACATGGGTACTTCAAAACAGGGGTTTATACCCAGGTATGTCTGGATTGAGAATCAAGGATCTTAATCACTACCTGATAATGTCTCTACATACGATGAAAAGCTATTCCCATTTTTTTTTTTTTTTGTGGAGGGGGGTGCTAATTAGCTAAATTTGTATATGCTTTTTATTGTTGTTTCTGTCAAAGTTAATTTGCAGTTTTCATTGCAATCAAGTAGGGTTAATGGCTTGAGTTATTCTTTGCCCGGCTAAAGTTATCCAATATTTAATCTTTTTTTTTTCCTAGAAAAACTTACCTGTGGGAAGAGTAGCAATTATCACTCAAGAGAAATGTGCCAATGAATGAGTAGCACATTGTTGACTTAAGGGTTAGTAAAACATAAAGAGCTCCCTAAGTCCTTAATTATTGGTGTTCAGTTAAGGATGCACCTGCCTGTTCTGAGGTTCCTGTGGGTATAAGGTCAGAGTAACAGGAGCTGTTATTTTATGGGCATTGGGACAGACTTTCTCTGAGTGTCTAGCAGTGGTCACTGCATATGGGAAATAAATGACAGATGAAAAAGACATGAGGTTGGGGAAACAGTTAAACCTAATCTGATTTAGTTTAACACATGGAAATTTCAGAATTTCTATAAAGGAGGGCTCAGTGTTTTTCTTGGAAGAGGGCACTCAGGAGGGTAATTTTGTGCTAGTTTTACAAAGCAGAGAACTCTGTTTTGTTGATTATACATTTATCTGGAAAAAGGGTTGTTGCTTTTGGAACATATACATTCCCACAGAAAGACATAAAATTCATGGCCCCTTCTTCCCTATTTAGCCTCAAGGGAGCTTAACATGACCTGATTAAGCAAGGAAAGTCATCAAACTTTCTTGGACAGCTCAGAAATCCCTGGGGTTGAGTTGAGTTTTAGGTGAAGGGTTCACAATGGTGTTAAACCAGTTTGCCCCATCTCATCACTGTCTACACTTGACAAGACTGCTGTTTGCACTACACTCACACTGACAGCCAGGACACAAGTATTCATGCTTGAGACCCAAAAGAGAAACACCTGGCTATGACTACCTGCAACTATATAGTTTCTTTTTTTATTAAATAGCTGCATGATCTATTTCCAGGGGAGCAGGAACTTCCAGTGGAGCCCAGGCTGTAAGGGCGTACCTCTCTGCCCTCGTCTCCTGGCCTCCTTCCCACCATCTAACAGCAGGGTTCCAGGTTTTCCCTCTTTTCTGAGCACCTAGGATTCCTTCCTCCCCTCCCTGCCCCCATCCCTCCAATGCAAAAAGGCAAAATAAAGCATAGAGTTTTGTGCCAGCTTCATCCCAAAGTGGTACAGTGATTCTCAGTCTGCCCCAAAAGCCAATTACAGGGAAGAGGGGCCTGAATTCTTACTTAATCAGGGAAATATTGCTTCCACTCAGAAAAAATGAAATCACCTTAGTAGGGGAGAAAACTCTTTCTAAGTTGGCTAGTCCCTGACAATAAGAGAAAATCACTAGTGGCTGGTATGTACCTATGTCTGTAGAAGGCCTAAGTTGCCTCAGTTTATTCTTACCCAGCACAGGATGGGCTGGTGATTGGATGGTAACTTAAAGTCATAAAGATGAGGGACATGAAAGAGCTATGTTAAATCTAGGATGACCCAGATTCTTCCCGAAACTCACTAGAACATAAGCTCTGTCAGATCAGGGGTTTCTGTTGCTTGCAACTGCCAAGGCTTTCAACAAATTATTAAATGAATGTGTGAAAGCCAAAGTGGATGGATGATGTGGGTCACTGACAAGCCTGTCTCCATCTGCGGATAGAATTTCTAGCAAAGGGAAGAGCGGAGAGGTCAGCCCCTCTCACCCTACCCCTAGGGATGTTGCTATGCCCATCACACCAGCACCAAGCCCCTTCATTCCCTGGCAGTATTGCTAATAATACTAATTATTCTATGCCAGGTGATTGACACTCATATTAAAGCTAAACTTCACAATAACACGGTGAGGTAGGTGTCAGCATTCTCATTTTATAGATAAGGAAACTGAAGTTCACAGAGGTTAAGTAACTCGCTCCTCATCTCAGTGAAACAGCCAAGTAGGAATTTTAATATAGACCTGACTGACCTCAAAGCTCACTGTAGATTATCAGGATGTGAAGGGATGGGTGATATCTACTTGTGTGTTATAATGCAGAGGTTCTAAAAGGACACCATGTGCCTCCTATGAGGAAAAGCCATCCCCAGTCAACTCCAACACAAGTCAACCATTTCCATCTTAATGTTATTATTTAGAGGATTGATGTTATTGGTTACTATTGTGTCCTATCGGAATTCAACTAAAGTTTGTAATACATTTGGATGGGTTCTCACTGATTTATATATAGTGCGAGGCATAGATACCCCATCTTCCACAAGAATGAAAGCCATGTCTTTTAAGAGATGCAGGCTCTATTATACTTGGAAAAACATTAGCCATCATTTGAATATTCATAGAAAGACCAAGAACCTGGCACTAATCTCCAGACACTTAAACACCATTTAAATAGTTCCTTGATGCAACATTCTTACTGGTTAAGTATTATAAACAATTGTGAATCGTATTGTGCCTACCATAGAAGTGATGTCACTTCACCATAAAAATCACAAGATTACATTATTACACACAAATCAGACATTCTCAATGATTTATGTAGCCAAATGCCAGACTTCTAGAAAAGAGCTGATGTGGCACTGTAGACAGGCATCTAGTATGATATGGTTAGGAGTCTCCTTGGTCTGCTAAAGTCTGCAGAAGATATTGAAGTAAAAATGACCACATCTGTCACCATTAAGTAAAGGACAGAAGGCAGAACTGGGATGGGGGCTCACGGACAAGGGCTAATGGAAAGAAAATGAAAACCACCTTTTCTCAATCTCCTCTCCTGGCCTTGGACTAAGCTCCCAAAATATGTGGCAATGGCCTCCATAGTTTCTTAAGTAACCAATTAACAAGTCAAGTCAATTTTTAAACAACTGACTTGCACATTTTCCTCTATCTCTCTGATCACCTTTCTAACAAAATTCCTCAAAAGAGTTGTTGATATGGACTATCTCTCATTTCTCTTCTCCAGTTCTGTCTAGAACCTTTCAAACTGCCCTTGACAAGGCCACCAGTGACCTCTGTGCTGCCAGATTCTGTGGTTGGTTCTCCAATCCTTGACCTTTCAGCCACATTTGACAGTCAATCACACTGTCCTTGGATGGAAGGCTGGAGTTTGGGGCTATTTTGTTCACTATTGTATCCCAACTTCTGGAACAGTGCCTAGTGCATATAGGTGCTTCATAAATACTTATTGAATAAATTGTTCACTTCCTGGAGGAGGTGAACATAAAGAATAGGTAAGAACTAACCAGGCAGGTGAGGACGGAAGAGAATTCTGGCCAGAAGAAATAGAAGTTCAAAGCTACAGAGGCCTGAGAGGACTTGGCAGATTCAGTAACATCCAAGTAGTTCTGAATGGTTCTGAAGGATGCTCTCCATTAATTCCCATCTCCATTCAGGGATCTCTTGCAAAGTGGGGCCCCTTCATCCCTAGGGCGATTAGGCCATTTCCTGGCTTGTTTCAGAGAGAAGCTCTTGGAGCCTGAGACTCATTGCCCCCACTTTTCCAGCTCAGGTGCTCTCACCTGAGGGGCAACAGCTGCAGGTGAGGGCAACGGGAAAGGAGAGAGGGAAGAGAGAAGAGAAGGGACAAGCTCTCAGATTAATCCTGTGAGTTCATCACACCGGAAAGGTGGATCCAGAAAAGCCACGTTTGGCAGGTAACGGGCTCTGCCTGTGTGACTCAGCAGCCTCCAGCATGGCATCCAAGCTGAGCTGGTTGAAGTAAGCCTCGTTCCCCAAGGCCTGATGAGTGAGCTTGTAAAGGGCTCGCTGAAATGCCTTGCAGAACCACTCACTGTTCCAGCAAGATGCTTTAAAACCAGGCTCAGAACTAATCCAAAAAGAAGGAGTCTTGATCCAAGTTCACAATGCATGTGAATAAGTCACCCAGCATCTGCCAGCAGGGTTTAGTTCCACGTAAACTGGGAATCAACAACATTCTGTTGGGTGTGCAGCCCATTAGTAAAGGGCCACTAGTTCTCAAAGACTCTGGGATTGAGATCCTCAGCCTCCACAACAGGGCCGCTTCACGCGCCTCTTGCTTTTCTCACCAAAGCATCTCAGAGTGTTTTCCCAGGACGGACGATTTATCCCATTCGGTAGATGAGGCCCAGAGAAGCTAAGTTCTGCCTGCAACCACCCAAGTCAGCTCCTGGGGTCAGAATTGAGACCTAGACCTGCCAGCCCTGTTGTGGCCATTGGATGGCATCCTCTGAGGGACTCTAGAGGACAGCAGAGGCCACGGGGCAAGCCTTCTTGCATGGAAACTGGTGGGCAAAAGGGATGGGCAGGTGTAGGGGTGGAGCACTGAGAACCTCTCAGCACAGCAGAAAGAACAACTCAAGCACATGTCCTACCTGAGGTGTGCCAATGCTATTTTCTTGATAAATAAAGGACATCGTGCTGAGAGTAGTTGTATAACCATAAAAGGTTGAACTGGAAGGGGCCCTGGGAGAGCATCGATCCAACTTCTTTTGTTTCTTGGTGAGGAAATGGAGATCCAGAAGGTCTGTTTCAGTTGCTCAAGGTTGCACAGTTGATTTATGCTGGTGCCAGCTTTGGAAGGCTTGTATCTTCAGCACAGATCCTGTGCTCTTTGCAAATGCCAGTCGTTCTCACACTAATTCTGTTTTTTGACATCGCCTTGAAACCAGGTGAATCTCCCCCTCTAAAACTTTAGGTAGCTCCTCCTCTCTGCTCTTCTGACCTCTGAACTGAAACCACAGAAAGACATCACAGTTAAAGTGTGGGTGGGCCCTGATCGGCATTGGAATTGAAGATTTAAAACCTCTCGAATCTTCTGCTTATTTGGTCTTGGAGCCAAAACTAACACAGCCTGAAAAGAAATGCTGGGAAACCTCCGAGACACTCTTGGAGAGGCAGCTTCTGGGAGCTGGTGAGCCTGGTTTCACTGACAAGGTCAGGCCCACTCTGGGGCATGTGTGTGAGGGAAACATGTTTGGAGCCGTGCTCTCAGCCTACTTGCCTGGGCCTTCCATTCCACTAAGTGACGATCATGGCTCTCGGCAGGTCGGCAGCTGCCAGTGGGAGGCTCTCCCATCACTCACTCACCCACCAGGTGTTCTTCCCAGCCACCACAGCAGCTTGGCAGGGAGTGCCACCGCCAGGGTGCTGATGGGCAAGGCGGTGCAGTGCTTGCCCCTCTGCCGTCCAGGTGTCAACAGATGGGATATGGATCTGCCCTCCCTTAACAAATAAATAGAACTTTTACAGGCTGAGTAATCCCACATGGGATAAACCAGACTGCCAGTTACCCCAGGTTTTCCAGCCAGGATCAAGCCTCTTTAGTCCTGGATCCCAGAGCCCATCAGAATTCTTACGGAGTGGTATTTCCAGACCGCTCGTTATCCACCGGGTAGCCGTGAGGCTGCATGTCCCTCACACTGGAGTTGCAGGGAGCCAAGTATTCCTGGAGTTCCCTTTGGCAAATGTCCTACCTCAGTTCCCACAATCTATGTTCATGGTTCTGTGCAGATGCAATCAGTTCCTCCCAGTCAGCCCCAGGAAAGAGTGAAACTGCTGATGAGACAACTTAAGGAAGGGGCACTCTCTCTTGCAGGGAAAGACATCCACCCCAAACTTTTTCATTCTTCTCCTAGCTGCTTTCTGACCTCAGTGAAACGGGCAGGGAGAAAAACTCTTTTCATCTTTCTGCTGATTGGCTTCCAATGCCAGGCCTCCAGTGAAGCAGGTAGTCTGGCTGGGTCCTGACAAGTGAAAAGGGGATGCTGGCAAGGTGGACAGAGAGCAGGCTGGAAGTTGAGTCCTGGAGTTCCACAGCCACCTAGGATAAAGCTCACAGTGTTAACGTAGTAAGAGCACCAGGCTAGGAACCAAAAGTCCCGGGGTTTGAGATGCTTGCTTAGGTGTCGCTTAACTTTCTTGAACCTCAGTTTCTTCAGCCGTAAAATGGGGATAGTAATACCTTCCCTGCTCACTCCACCTAATTATGAGTTAGAATAAATGAAAGCTTTTGGAAAGCCAGTGAGTACTCCCCAGAAACAGGTTTTCACTTTGCCCTTGTTCCTTGGTTTTGGTTTTTGTTTTTTGCTGTTGTTGTTTGTTTTGGAGACAGAATCTCGCTCTGTCACCCAGGCTGACTGCAACCTCCGCTTCCAGGTTCAAGTAATTCTCATGCCTCAGCCTCCCGAGTAGCTGGGACTACAAGCACGCACCACCATGCCCAGCTAATTTTTTGTATTTTAGTAGAGACGGGGTTTCACCATGTGCCCAGGCTGGCTGGTCTTAAACTCCCTTAGCTCAGGCAATCTGCCCACCTCAGCCTCCCAAAGTGCTAGACTTACAGGTGTGAGCCACCGCACCTGGCCCACTTTGCCCTCGTGAGCAGTCACGATGTTCCCGCCTACTGGCTGGTTTAGCCACCTTGGACCATTGCTGAGTGAGGGGTGGGCTCCCCTATGAAAGAGGGCAATGTAGGTCAGCCCCTGGGGTTATCATTTGTTCCCCTCCTTTCTGTAAATTGTCTACAGGCACTGCTCAAAGAAGAAAGGGACACCATCCCTAGTTTCAAGGCGCGACTTGTCCTGCCCCTGATGGCTGTGGCTGATCCACGAGGAAGTAAACTTGGACTGGGAAAACACAAACTGTCTCGGCCTGCAACATACATCCCATTGATAAATGTATTGATAAACCCTAACATCGATAAGACATCTGTCTGGACCTTTCAGGTCTGAACAGACAGGGCAGCTGCTGAGAACCTGGGGAAACTGACAATCCGATTCCTCTCTGTGTCTGAACCTTCCCTCTTCTCACTGCACCACCAGTGCAGGCCTCTTTGACTCACACAAGACCGTTTTTTTAGCACAAGGTCACCTCGAGGTCAACCGTCAACCCCAATGCTACAGAAACTCACCTCTGACTGCGAACCTCCAGGTTTTTTTTTAATCTACCAAGCAATGAATTGGCACTTTTCACTGAGGAATGACTACTGGGCCCTTTAGAGCTGTTTTAAGCTCCGTGACTTAATGAGTCTCCTGTTTAATGGAAGCAAAAGCCGTTTAAGTGGTCACAGCTGCCAGGAACTTTGCTAAAAGAATGAAACTTTCTGAGCAGGTTGGGCAGTAGCAGCGCTAATCTCTGAGCCTGCCACCCCTTGCCCGCCCTTATCTCAGGCTTGTTTTGACAGCACCGGGAGCTGGTCCCACGAGAAGAGCAGCAACCTCGCTCCTTTCCCTTTTCATGTCTTCTGCTGCACCCATGGTTTGCTGCAGGGGGGAAAGAAGAAACAATGAAGCATTGTCTTATTGGGGACCGGTGTGTCAGGGCCTCATGGAATAAATATTATTTGCCTGGGAGGGGAACTGGCTGGAAGACAGCTCACAGTGTCAGGTGTGGGCTGGGGCGGAGGGGTGGGAGGGCGGTGATGTTTGGGTTTGGTTTTATTATTAGTTTAATCTTTTTCTCTCTACTGCTGTGGATTTGTTTCCCCCCTGACAGGCCATTAAGCATGAAGCTTGTGTCTTACCCGGCCTCTGCCAGGAAGAAACAAAAGAGATTTTCCAAAGGATGTGCCCTTGTGTCACTGGGGCTCCTCAGTCAATCCCTGTCCAGCTGTGCACGGCAAAGGGTGCACACTGCAGGACCTCACAGGGTGAAAGCTCCTCTGGGAGCCCTCCGTCTGCATCTGCAGCCCTGGCAGCCCCAGATGTCTTACCTGATGGGTTCGCGGCTCTGTCATTTTGTCCCTCAGGCAAATACTGAAAGGACAGCAGGCTCCTTTGTAGGTCTGGGGAAACTGGGCACCCCCCACCCTGGTATGCCGGTCAGTCAGCACTTATTGAGTTCTTTTTTTTATTTTTTATTTTTATTATATTTTAAGTTCTAGGGTACATGTGCACAATGTTACTGTATGCAGGTCACTAATAGCTCTAGCCTGCACAGTTCCTTCACCTCTTTTGCCTCAGGAAAGCCACACATCTCTCCAGAATAAAGAACTAAAGACCAGTGACTAAGAGACAGACACTTGAAGGATTGCTCCATAAAGGCTGAGCCCTCCTTATCTCAGAAGAATGAGAACATTTTCTTGTAAGGAAAACAAGAGCCCTGTAGCCTTTCCACAGCCACAGAGCAGTGGAGTAGGGAAAGGGCGCCTCCACTGTGCAATCAAGGGTCTTCTTTCTGGCCAGGCACGGTCTCTCACACCTGTAATCCCAACACTTTGGGAAGCCAAAGCAGGAGGATCACTTGAACCCAGGAGTTCGAGACCAGCCTGGGCAACATGGTGAGGCCCTGACTCTACAGAAAAATTAAAAAATTACTCAGGGATGGTAGCATGCACCTGTGGTCCCAGCTACTCAGGAGGCTGAGGTGGGAGGATTGCTTGAGCCCAGGAGGTAGAGGCTGCAGGTGAACCATGTTCTCTCCACTGTATTCCAGCCTGGGCAACAGAATGAGACTCTACCCCCCCACCCCCTAAAAAAGTGTTTAACCATAAACCTTTCCCTCATCCCTAAATCCATTTTGGGTACAAGCCATCTACCCAATGGCTGTAATAATAGTTATTGATGATTGAGAATGTACAGTATATGTTGAGCACTTGCTAAGTGCTTTCCGTATATTATCTCACCATGTGGCAAGCCTGGAGAAAGCTTGCAGAGAGTGAGGAACTGCCCAAAGTCACACAGGTCATCAGGCTTCCTGAGAATGGCACCACGGCCTCGGCTTTACAGGCATGGCACTTGAGTTCACCTTCACGTGCTGGGGATCCTGTGTTCCCAGAAGGCAGAGACCCTATCTGTGTCCTTCTGTTAATTATTTTTGTGTACAAAATAATTCAGTCCTGTGCTCAGTGCCATGAACTATTAGGGATTTAATACATGCTTTTTGAGGGTGATAATGATCTCACCATCCCAGTTAGTGAAATAAACATTCCCTCCCTTCTCTCAAAGAGAAACAAAGGGCCACAGCAGGCCAAGCCACCCCAGGCACACTGCAGGGTGTGTGGAGATGGCACCAGCAGGTGAGTCCCACAGACCTGGCTTTGGATCCCAGCCTGGTCACCCACGGCCTGGCCCCTGGGGTGCACCAGCTAACCTCTCCAAGGCCAAGTTTCCCCAAACACGGGAGAAAGTCACAGCACCTACCTCGTAGGGTCATTGTGAAAATGAAGTGAGAAAATGCCCACGGTGTTCCCAGCAGCCCTGCCTGGTGGAAGGCAGGTGTTCCATGTCAGTTTCCTTACTCAGCACCCAGGCATCTTCTTCCTCTCGTGGAGCTCTCAGCACTCAAGAGCCCCTTCAGTAAGACCTGGAATGCAGTTTGTTGACCAAAGGAGTGCTGGCAGGGAGGATCTCCACTTGGGTGGCCGTATCTCCTACCTCTGCTCTTGGTCCCCCTTTGCCTTGGGGACATTCCCACCAACACACGCCACTGGCAGCGCACCCTGCTGACCAGCATGCACTGCTGTTCTTACTTACCCCAAAAGCCCAGACTTGAATACCCTGTTGTCCTCAGTGGCGCGGCTGAGACCAGGCTGGAGCTTTTCAACAAGATGTAACTCAAGTGGGGAATAACATGCAAGTAACCCTTAAGGTGACTGCCGCACCCTGTGGCCCACACAGAGAGGCTCTCTGCCCAGCCCCACTTGTCTGCAAAGGATATCCTCCAGCCTGTCTAGAGTCCACAAGGTCCAGGCTGGAGAGAAAGAGGCCAAGGAGCCAGATGTCTCTCTCTCACCCACGACCTACTTTCTGAGATCTTACTTCCATACTGAAGACAGGCCTCCTTCCCAGGGGATACCAGAAGTCAGAGTTCCTTTCAGTGGGTCTTGCCTTATTATATTCAGTAATGTGGCCCAGCAAATAAATATGTCAATTCAACAATAAACCCTGTGTCTATACATGCAACGCTCCCTGGAACAGCAGGGAAAGGGAAGAGGAGGGGAATTTGATTACAAGTGCTTTATATTTACGCTGTCTCATGAGATGCTTCCAACAGGCCTATCAGATATTTTAGAACCATCATTCCTAATTTGCAGATAACAAAATTTTGGCTTGGAGAGGTTAAGGGAATGACCAAGCTAAGCCCAGTTCTCCTGTCTCCCTCCCTTGAGTTCAGGATACCAACCCAATCACTGAATCTTCCCCAGGAACGAGCCTGGGGCCAGGGTGAGAAAGGGGCTTCCCGGAAGTGCTGAGTTAAATCGGCACTGGATGCAGCCACGGACAAGGGGACATGGTGGTTGTCCCTCTCTCTGCCAAGTTGTAGGTCAGGAGACCTGGTTCAAGCCCAGGCTTTGCCACTTGGAAGACTGTATGGTCTGAAATCATTCTTCTCAGTGCCTCAGTTTCTGCATCTGTGAAACGGTGAGGAACAAACCAATTAATACACATAAAGCCCTTAGTGCCCTTGATGCCTAGAACATGTAAGTATTTAATAAATATCAACATTTTTATTAACATTGTTATTGTTACTGTTATTCCCTTCCAAAGTCTTGCAAGAAGTAAATGGGATGACAGATGTGAAAACACATTATAAGCTATAGAGGTAAGAAATGACCACTCATGTATGCTGAGAAGGTAACAGGAAAAAGGGCTTGGCCTTAGATAATGTCATTGAACAGCCTCAAACTTTCAACAGAAAGCACAGAAATATTCCAAAAAGAGTACTCCAATAATTTGAAACCAGGCCACCGAGTCCAAGTTCTTGCCACAGTTCCAGGGCCGAGGCTGTTTCCCAAGAGCCCTGTAATTGCTTTCAACCTGTGCCTCACCCAAACACCACGGCTGGCGCAGGTGGACACCTTCCGTCTCTTCTCCTTCCAGGCTGGGCCCCAGAAAGAAATACTCCAATAATTCACCTTGTGGTTTTCAACTTTAGACCAGATTGTTTGTTATGTATATAACTGTTTGCATTTCACTTACTTATCCTCAATCGTCACATACCTGGGAGGGAAGGAGGCTGCACAGAGCCCCCGGAGCCCCAGCCCCACGTGGTTACACCTGCCCACGCTTCTGGTCTAAGTAGTCCTTGGGTGCCTTAGTGTGAACGGAGCATACAATTAAGCTCTGTCTCTCTTTCTCAGCTAACTCAGGTGCAATCCTTCTTGACAGTCTGGAGGAACCAGGCAGGCTGGCCACCAAGTGAGGGGAAGTTGCTGCTAGCTCATTAATGGTTGAAAGCCCAATAGTACCACCCCTCACTGTCTTGTAGCAAAGACCCTTGGCTCATGTTTAGAATGTTAGCCAAATAGGAGTCACCGAGTGCAACTTTATGGCAGCACTCAGCTGGAAACAGTGGGGCATCTAGGGGAAGTGTCCGTGCTCGGTCCCTGCCCTTACACGGATCAGTCTGGCTGATGGAATGAGACGAATGAAATGGAAACAATGAGCAAATCATAAAAGGCAGTACTGTCATGAAGAGTTTGATTTTATGGCACAGAATGCAATTGTTAGAGTTAGAGTAGGGAGAGATGGCCAAGAGCTAGAGTGGGCAGGGAAGGTTCCTGTGGGAAGAGGTTAGCTGGGCCTTTCAGGTATGCAGGAGTTGAACTGGTGGGAGGGAGAGTGGCATTCCAAGTTGGGGAAGCTATGTGAGAGAATCTAGGAGACAGAAAAGAACAAGGGCTGTTTATAGAGCAGAGGCCAAACTGGCATGACTAGAGTAGAAGGAGGGCATCCTAATTCCCAGCCTTATCCACCGCTTTGCAAGAACCAGGAAAATGAATTCCTGTTGGCCATAAAACTAGTTGCAGGTGATGTAACCCATCCTATTCGGCCTCCCATATTTACAGCTATACAGGAACAACTCTCTGAAACTCAGTCTCCTCACCCGTAAAATGGGATGGTAATACGTGCCCCTGGGAGCCAGCGAGAATTAAAAGGGATAAGATGCACTGGCTCCCAGGGGCAAGCACTAGCAGACAAGGAATAGGGCAGTCCTCCCTTCACACTCCACAGAGAAGAAATGTCCTCCAACTCTCCCAGGAGGCAGAGCCCAGCTCTCCTTCCAAACAGCCTTGGAGTTGCTTGGCCTCTCCACTTCTTCAACGAAGTTGTGGGCAGAAGACAAATGCAGAGTTCTCTTGTACCTGACAAGGAGAGAGAAGCAGACCCTGTGTGAGTCTCTTGCTGTTGACGTTGATCCACAGGGGGTGCAGGATGGGACTGAGGCAGGCCCACCTGCCTGGAAAGCCTGCCTGTACCCTGACCCCATGGGGCCCTAACACACACCCTCCCAGCCACAGGGGCTCTGCAGAGCTAAGCCAGCTGTCCTATGGAGGTGGGGACCCTCCTCCTGCCCTGCCACTCTCTCTTTCTCCTGGAGAGGACAGGCAGGTGGGCATGGCCACAGGAGAACTTCTCGAAGGTGCTAACTGGCCCAGAGAAAGAAAGGTGGCCTGGTAGGGAGTTGTCTACCAGAGATTGAGAGAGCATGGGAGAAGTTGAGAGGGAGGAGGAAAGTGCACGCCATCCTGCGCGCAGCCTCGCCTTAGGGAAAGCATGTGTGAGAAGTGGTGGTAGGCGGTTGCTAGCCTTGGAAACAAACAAACAGCCAACCAAAAGGCTTCGGAAGGAAGGAGTGTCTAATTAATCAGCCCCGAGGGACAGGTCCGCACTGCCTGACTGTGCTCCTCAGCCTGGTTTCAGGCCACCGAGTCCAAGTTTCTGCCACAGTTCCAGGGCCGAGGCTGTTTCCAAAGAGCCCTGTAATTGTTTTCCACCTGTGTCTCACCCAAACACCAAGGCTGGCGCAGGTGGACACCTTCCCACTTTTCTCCCTCCAGGCTGGGCCCCAGAAATCAGTAGAGGAGGGAGGAATCAGTCAGCGTGGCCATGCCTGGGAGGAGAGGCCCGTGTGGGTCTGTGGGGCTAAGAGGCAAAGGCGGGTGGCGGATGTGGGCCAGCGGGAGCCTGGAGGGGTTGACACCGCCTGCTCCACCGCAAGCCCCTGGAGGAAGAGCCCCGCTGTGCCCGAGAGCGAGCGCGGGCAGGTGTAACTACCCGGGGCTGGGGCTCCGGGGGCTCCGCGCAGCCTCCTTCCCTCCCAGGGACACCGCCCAGCTGCGCCCCGCGCCCCGCCGACTGCGCGGGCCTTGAGACGCTGGTGGCTGCCTCGGGGTTGGCCTGCTCCTCGCGCACATGTTCAGGGTCATCCGCGCTGCGCCTCTGCTTCAGGTGCTTGGCTAGAGAAAGGGCGGCAAGACGGGGCAGTGCGTGTGCGCGCGCGGGCAAGTGCATGTGAGTGCACACTTATGTGAGCGCATGTGTGTCTGCGCTTGTGCGTGTCCAGGGGAACCACAGGGAGCACCCTCATTCTAAGCCTCCAGAGGACTGCCTGAAGCCGCTAGATAGAAACTCCCCTAGAATGTAAGCTCCGGGGGGGAGGGAGCTTTGTTTGATGGCTGCTGTATTCCCAGTGCCCATTGAAGTACTGGGGACACATTAGATGCTTAATAAACAGCTGTTGAGTTAATCAACGGACTCTAGGAATGGAGGCAGACCGGCCCTTCTGGAACTGGAGAAAGGACAAGGCCACATTTCACCGTCTCCTCTGTTCTTGGTACCAGCCCTGGCGTCCCCGGCAACGCCAATCCTTCTCACATCCAGCTTGTGCCAAGTTTTCCTCCCTGCTCGTGTTTACACCTTCTCCCCTTTGTCTCTGTTTCCTGCTGGCCCCTGTGTGTAAGCACCCCAGCAGTCAGAGTGAGAGGAAGACGAAAGAAGCAGAATTCTGGAAATAGAGAGCTACCAGGGTGGCCTCTTCCTTCTGGAAGGACACGGAAAGATGGGGTGAGACTGGCGCTCTTCTTCAGCTCCTCCCTTTGGGAATTGGGACTTTGAGCTTCAGTTTCCTCACTTTGAAATAGCAGCTATTCCACCTGCCTCGCAGGATTGTTGCAAGAAGTCAGGCAGGAGGCTGAAAAGTTCTGGAGCACATGATAGGTGCTACAGAAACGTTCGTTTCGTCTCCTGACTAGCATCCAACAGTCTGGGAGTGCCCCAGGTGTGGCTGAGGGTGGTTATGGTTTGATAACCACCACCAGAACACCCCTCCTTTTTTCACAAAATGCCTTGAGGAGAATTTAATGGCTGTCGAAAATTAAGGCAAGCTTCATTTCTAAAACATTCAGGAGTCAATATGTTGTGAGTCATGTATTCCGTCGGGGCCTCCACTCACTCCGGAGGGAGCTTTTCCAAGTAATTAAACAACGATGTCGTGATCAAGCTGAAGTCCACCAGCCCCAGCCTTTCCATTCGGGACCTTCTCCTGCACATGCTGCAGCTGCCTCCAAGACTACTGCGATGGAGATGAGCAGATTCTTCCTTCAGTTGTAGAGGGAGACACTGCGAAAACCTAATGCTGTCAATAACGCTTTTCATCTCGAAAGGAAGGATCCGATTTCACTCTTTTCAGCCTGATTTAAGGACCCACCAGAAAAAAACAAACTTCATGGGGTAATTAGGAAATTATCCTCTTACAAATTGGTAGATGTCGTCTTTTTTTCCTTGGGACAAGACAGAAAGGACATTGTTTGTCTTTTACCATGGTGAAGCTGCTGCGATTAACCATGCCACCTGGGGAATGGTTCACTTGTGGGTAAGCTGATAGCCTGCTGTTCCAGGGTGCGCCTGCCAAGGTACTCCAGAATAACATGTTACATCCTCTGTGCACCCCTTCCCGATGAAAGGAAAACTTCAATCACATTTAGTTAAAGGAGCCCTTTAAACCTGGCCTGTCAATATCCTGGAGGTGGAGAATTACACCAAGGTTAAGAAAAGGTTTCCCAGAACTGGCTAGACATGTATTTGTTTAAAGGGATTAGGTGCATTCAGTCTGGGCCTGATCAATACTGCCTGTTTTGGGGTTTGTGGAAAACAGTGCAAATATCCAGAGAGAGCCTAGGAAGTCCCTAAAGACCCAAGGAAGGATTTTTTTTTTCTATTTGATAACAAGGAGAAATCCCTACTGTACAGTTTCCAAATCCTGACCTGTTTTAACTTAGGAATCTTGTGAAAAGTTATTGTAAATATAGACCAAAAGGCCAATGCTAAAATTGGAATTAACATCAACCTCCGCCTTTCACTCTGACATATTCTGTCTCACTCCTTTCTTACCTCTCCTGCTCTCTGTCTTACTCTGTCTCTCTGTGTCTCTCTGTGTGTCTCTCTCATACACACACAAAGCAACAACCCAACAGGCTTGACAAACCTTAGATTCATTAAGAGTCTTCTGAAGTTTTCAATATGCTAAAAGATGTACCGTAAGAATATATGTGTGTATGCGCATATATGTTAGCATTTCTGTTTAGCACTTGGTATACTCCAAAAGCTCTTACACACATTTTCTCACTGTGGCAGGTGTTATTATCCACAATTTTACCAAAGAGTAGACTGAGACTGAGACTCGGGGAGGTGAAGTGACTTGGGTAACAGTGTGCCGTCAGGGTACGGTACAGCCAGGAGTGAATCTGCCCTCCCAGCACATTAGAAATGACCATCATCTCATGCAGCTCTGCATGAAAAGACTCCCATAGTTAAATTACCACTCTATAGTAAAGCCCTGATTGCAGTTTCATCTGCGTCCCCTTCCAGAAGTATTTGCAATTCATTATCCAAATGAGAAAAGCTGTTAGTAAAAATTTCAGGTACCAGTAACAGGCTAAATAAACAAACATTAGGGTTTAAGATGAGTCAGGGACTCTTGAGTTGCGAAAGTTGGCAGGAGTTTTGTTTCTAGGAGCCTCTACAAGCCTCCTGGATGCCACTCTGCCTTCAGCCTCTCCCCTTCCAATCTGCTCTATGCGGTGCGGACTACTTGCCTCAACAGACCCAGACATACGAGCATCAGAAGGGAGGACTCCCTAGCGCAGTGGCTCCCTGAGTGTGGTCCCAGGACTGGCAGAAGCAGCATCACCTGGGAGCTTAATAGAGATGCCAATCCTCAGGCCCTGCCCCAGTGCTGCTAAATCAGAAACTATGGGAGAGGGGCCCAGCGATCTGTGTTTTAACAAGCCTTCCTGGTAATGCTGGTACACACTAAAGTGTGAGTACCACTGACTATTGCCTACAAGAGAGTGCCCAGACACCTCCCAGACCTCCCTAACTGAACCTAACAGGTTCCTCTCCTCTAACCACACTCACCTAACACTCACTGTTCTCTGAACATTTCTTTTTCATGTATCTTTGATGCCCTGTTCCTGTCATTTTGAATGGCATTTCCTTCTTCCCTGCCTGACAAACTTGTATTTATCATTTAAAGCCCAATTCAAAGATCTCTCCCTCTCGAGACTTCACGTGTTTTCTCTCTGCTGAGTTTTAGTTACTCCTTCCGTACCTCCCCTGATGGCACCCGTGCATACCTCAATAGCATCACCACATCGCGTTCTTTGGCATGAGACTCATGGTGGACTGGAATCTCAAGGTAGCCCCCGTACGTAGTGTTGTGCCAGGAATGTAGTAGATATTTAATAAATCCAGACTGATTAAATGAATAAGTGAATGCATGAGCTCAAGTACAGTCATTCTTTGGTGTCCCTAGAGGATTCATCTTAGCACCTTCCCAGGATACCAAAATCCACAGATGCCCAAGTCCCTGATATAAAATGGCACAGTATTTGCATATAACCTATGCACTTCCTCCATATACTTTACATCATCTCTAGGTTACTTATAATACCCAATACAGTGTAATGCTATATGAATCATTATACCTTATTGTTGAGGGAAAAATGGCAAGAAAAAAGAGTCTGTACATGTTCGGTACAGATGCAACTTTTTCAACATTTTCCATCTGAGGTGGGTTGAATTCATGGATGTGGACCCCACGGAGAGCTGTATTCTATCAGGCCTCATTGAGTACTCAAAATAGGCAACTGGCCTGTGAGCACATGGCTGGTTACTTCAGAGCCTGATCTGACCTCCAGGCATCCTGACTCCTAGCCAGGGTAGTCTGTGAAGTTTTGTTTGTTTCACCTGGGCGCCATGTCTTTAGGTTATGTAACTGTTAGACAGGAGTCATTTTTGGCTACTTTGTGACAGATAAATATATCAAATGCTCAAAACAGGTACAGTTCTTCCCTTGCAGCTGTGGAGCTGTGACTGTTGAGGCCACAGCCTGTATTGGTTATCTTCGCATCTCTCTGTGTTTGTAGTTGTAAATGGCAGCGACCTATCGCAGTGGTATCTAGACCAACTATTAAACCATTTATAATGCCCAGAAACCAATTTGTAGCATCCAGCAATTAGTTCCATTCATGTTTTTAATTTTTTTCCTTTGAAGTTTAATAGACGGTTATTATGATGTAGTCTTCACTGCCTCCAAGTCTGCAGGCTGTGTGCAGCCTCAGTCAGCAGCCAGAGAAAATTAGACTCTACAGAGAAACGATGTAACCTAAAGCGATGCTTTGGATTCCATTTCTGAGCCTGTTGCCCTGCCCAGGTCATTGTCCATGAAGAGAGTTAGGACGAAAGGAGATTTGGAATACATACATTTAGCGAGCCTTACTATGTGCTGGGCACTGGGGCCACACAGAGAGCAAGAGTTGGTACCTCCCTTCACAGAGCTTCTAGACTGGTGGGGGAAGGGAAGAAAGGTTGAGAAGACGAATTTGCAGTCTAGTGGGCTGTGTGCAATGACAGAGGAAGCTCAGGGCAGGGAGCTCAAGGGTGAGGAGCAGTTAGCCAGCTAGACATGCGGAGGGAGACTGCTCTGGGCAGGGAAGCTGGGAGGTGAGAGAGAGGTGGTGCTTCTGAAGAACTCAAAGTCGTGCACATGGCTGGGCTTAGCACGGCAGACTCTGGAGCTTCTGGAGCTACATCTGGGGTGTGATGCCTTGAAGTCCTCATGCATTTACCCGAAGAAGATAATGCTGGTTTCACTTTAAAATGCCAGGTCATGAAAGGCTGAGATAAATGACAGTCTGGTGCTAGGACAGAAGGGGACAGGAGGGGCATAATTTCTCAGTAGTGCTGTCCTTGTGGATGACCAGCACAGGCAAAAGTTTGCCCAAAGTGCACTTTGTGTCAAGGAGAATGTCTCTTGAAGCCATCTGTGGCTTTGGGGACTAAGGAGGTTGGGGAGGCAGGGCGCTGTGAATAATAGGATTATAATTTACCATTAATTGTCAACCTTTCTCTTTCTACTTGTTCCTTCCCCAGTGCTTATAAAACATACTTAAAAGTCTCTCATTCTTAAAAAAAAAATCAGCCTAACTAAATATAAGCCATCCTTCACCTCGTTATGCTTGCAAGATCTCTCTTTATCTCTTCCCTTCCTTTGATAACAAAGTTCCTAAAAAAAAAAAAAATGTACACTCACCTCTCCTTTCCTGTATTTTTTTTCATAGACAGTGCCAGGCTTGTGTCTACACTCCACAAAGCCACTATGACAACAGTCACCAGTGCCCTCCATGGCAAGTTCCAATGGGCTCATTTGTTCATTCAACAAGAATTACATGTAACTACTGTGAAGCAGGCAGTGTTCCAGGCATGGGGATGTACTGGTGTAAAGGCTTCTTGGTGCTTATGTTTTCAGGAACTCCTTTTAGTTCTTAGGTATCTATAGCATTTGCCATGACTGGGCTTCACCTTCTGGAAACACTCTCATATCCCATGACAAAATGTCCTGTGGTTGTCCTTCTGTCTTTCTTATTGTTCCTTCTCAGTCTCCTTTGCAGATTCCTCTTCCTCTACCTATTCATTAAAGCTTGGTAGTAAGTAGGTTGTAGGCTCAAGACTAACCCTCCAAGATTTTATCTTTCCTTGACTTTTCCTTGATTTTAGTTCTCAAACATGTATCTCAGGATCCATATAAACAGCTGCCTGTGGATGTATACTCCATGAACAGCACCTCAATGTCAACCAAACCAAAGCTGAGCCCCCATCTGCTTCTTCTCCTGAGTTTCCCATCACTGTGAATACTCTGTGCATCCAGGGAAGCTGGGAGACATCTTGGACTCGTCGTTTTTCCTATCCCCATGCTCCCTATGCCCACAGCCTCGGTCCTAGTTTAGGGCCCTCATCACCTCTCCTGGAACATTGCCATAGTCTCCTGCCCACAGATTGATCCCATTCAACTCATCAGCCACTCTGTTGGCAGAATGCTCTTCCTAAATTGCAAATTTGGCCATGTCCTTTCCTGATAGTCTCCATCTTATCTAACAACAGTTCTCAAAGTATAATGTGGAACCCCAAGACACTTTCAGAGGGTACCTGAGGTCAAAACTATTTTCATAATAATAATAAGAGATTATTTAGCCTTTTCACTGTGTTGATATTTCCATGATGGTGGAAAAGCAATAGTGGGCAAATCAGTAGATGCCTCAGCACAATTTAAGGCATAGAACAAAACTATACTATAACCTAGTGTTTGTATCTTTACCTCATGCATTTGCAGAAGAAAAAAAGCTAGTTTCACTTAAAAATGCCACTATGAAGCAGTAAAAATATTAACTTCTTAAAATCTCAGCCCTTCAATGAGTACCTTTTAAATATTCTGCGTGTCAAAATGCAAAGTACTCATAAACGATTCTGCTACATACCAAAGTACAGTGGTTGTCTCGGAAAAGCATTTGTGTGATCATTTGAGTTGCAAGCTAAACTACCTTTCTTTTCTTCTACCTAACATCATTTTTACTTGAAAGCATGACTGACTGACAGACTGTGGTTATTCAGACTTGGGTATTTGGCAGTTATAATCTCAAAAATTAATAAAGTGAGCTTGTCACTTCAAGGAAAACAACTAGCAGTGTTTGTTGCCAATGATAAAATGTGATCTTTCAAGCAAAAATGAGAATTTTGGAAAACATGCATCTGTCACCATAAGCATGACAGCTTCCCAACACTTAATGACTTTTCTGATGAGATTGGTGGTGATATTAAGAAACATGTGGAGTTTGTTTTGGGTCTTGTAAAATGAGATGCATTAACATTTGGAAGACTTACATAACTCAGCCAATATTTTCCAAATAACTAATAGTGGATATTACAAAATCATGCACACATTTAAAAAAAAGTCTATTCAGGTACACGATGGACCAATGGATTTTAATGTAACAGATTTTGAAACACTTGTTAATACGGCTTCAGATTCCACATTGCAACTAACTTTTGAGAAACTACCAGTTATCCAGTTTTAGTATGGTATCAAAGAATATCCATAATGATCTAAAAAGTCTTCTCCCTTTTCCAGCTTTCTATATGAGGCAAGCTTTTCTTCATACACTTCAAACAAAACAACATATTGTAAAAAATTGAAATCCAGCTATCTTCTAGCAAACCAGACATCTCTTACATTTTTTTTATCGTGGACAATACAAATATGTTATCTATATTAACATGTCATGGCCTTATTACTATTACTTTTAAATAAGTAACAAAATACTTAATATCCCTGGTTTTAATTTTGAATATAATAAATATCTATATAACACACATGAACACAAAATCCTTTGGGTCTCCAATAATTTTTAAAAGTATAAAGGCATCATAAAGCCCAAAAGTTAGGAAATTACTGGCCTGCAGGATTGAGGTCTCAACTTCACTACACAACATTCATTCTTTGGCCTCTGCACCTTTCCCGCCCCAGTCCTCCATCATACCCCGTCACCCCTATAGCGTCACGACCCCTCCTGCTTCTGCCTCAGCAGTACTGCCAGCCTCCCCAGGTGCCAAGCTGGCTCCAGGCTTTACACCTTTGCTCACCCTCTGCTAGGCTGACATTTCCATATTTGTTTTGTCTAGTCTTTTTTACCGTCATTCAGACGCCCATTCATTCTTCAAACACACTCCCTCCTTGTGTGCCCTCGACAGTTCTCTTCAAGCACCTGCAGCACGTCAGTGCTGGTTCTCCTGTTTGACCTCCAGGCTTGCCATGGGTAAAATTGTGGACATTTCCCTAAGACAGGTGAGGGTTGTTTCTCATGTTTTACTGTTACTAACAAAGCCACCTTAGACATGCTCGTACATGTCTTTCTGGGCACTTGTGCAAGAGGTTCTGAAGGAGATCCCTGGAGGGGGAATTACTGGGTCAGAAGGTTTGTGCAGCTTCACCTTTACCAAGCATTGCTAAGCTGTCTCCAAATTGATTATACTGGTATATACTACCATCAGCAAGAAGTCAAACCTGAATTCTCTATGTTCTTGCCGACACTTAATGTAATCAGACTATTTTTTTTTTCTAAACTGACAGCTATAAAATTTCAATGATCTTTTAGGTAACTACTAACACAGAGAAAATCATTCTATAATCCACTTGGGTTTCCTGTTCTGTGAATTGTTCAGAAATATCCTGTTTGTTTTTCTTTTGGGTTGTCCTTTTCTTACTGACTTGTAATTCTTTATGTATTCTGGATATTAATCTTTTCCCTGCCCTCTGCACCTCAAATTTCTCCTCTCTGTGTGTGGCTGGTCTTTTAACGTGGCCTATGGAGTTTTCTATTGTATAGGAGTTTTACAATTTAATACAACCAAATTTAGCAGTCTTTTCCTTTATAGCTTAAACTTTTTGTGTATTGTCTAATGGATTCTTCCCCATCCCAAGTTCATAAGCTATTGCATATATTTTTGTGTAAAACATTGAGAGTTTTACTTTTTACATTCAGGTCTTTATTCCTGAATTTATTTTTTGGTAAGGTGTAAAGAAGAAATCTACTTTTATATTTTCCCACATTATAATCAAATTGTATAAATATTCACTTTGTGGATTTGGCTCAAATCCTTTAGCTCTCATCGTGCCTATGTGTCACAGGTTTGATTGCTACTGTTTTCACTGTTACTATTATAAATACTTTCTAACACCCATTATGATTTCTTTTTTGAACTAGGGATTTTCTAGAAGTGTGCTTATATTGTCCAAATGTAAGAGGGTAGAATGGTTTGTCTATTTTTTATTGTTAATTCATACCTATGAAATTGTGTATTGTGCTTGAACAATCTTGTCTAATTATATGAACTGGGATTTTTTTGGTATTTTTTGAAACTTGCTTTGTGGTTAGTACATGGTAAAATTTTATAAATATGCCAGAATGCTTGAAAGAATGTATGTTCTCTAATAGTTGGAAGCCAAGTTATGAATTCTTTCACTTAGACCAAACTTATTACCTATACTATTCTATCTTTTCCCATAGGATTATGGATTTCTCCTCATAGTGCTGTACATTTTTGGTCTCTCCATATGCATATTTAAGGCTAGGTGATTGCATACTACTGGGCTTTCTGAGGAGGTCTCCCACAGATAACACCCTCTTTCCTGCCTGGGTCTGAACAAATTGAGAAATAAAACAAAAAGTAAAGATACAGCTTAAAATATCACCTTTACTTTTAACTTGATTGTTGAAAACCTCCTCCACAGTGAATGCTCTCTGGTGTTCACCCTATAAGTAACTGTCCTTAGGTCAACACAAGCATACCCCAGAATTATTGCAGGTTTAGTTCCAGACCACCACAATCAAATGAATATCACAATAAAGTGAGTCACTTGAATTTTTTGGTTTCCCAGTACACGTAAAATTATGTTTACATGATACTGTAGTTTATTAAGTGTGCAACAGCATTAGGTCTAAAAAATAATGTACACAGTTTAATTTTAAAATAATGTATTGCTAAAAGAATGCTAATCATCATCTGAGCTTTCAGAGAGTCACAACCTTATTGCTGGTGGAGGGTCTTGTCTCAGTGTTGACAGTGGATGACTGATCAGAGTGGTGGTTGCTGAAGGTTGGGGTGGCTGCGGCAATTTCTTAAAATAAGGCAATGAGGTTTGCCACATTGATTGATTCTTCCTTACATGAAAGATTTCTCCGTAGCATGCAGTGCTGTTTGATAGCATTTTACCCACAACAGAACTTCTTTCAAAACTGGAGTGAATCCTCTCAAATCCTGCCACTGCTTTATCAACTAAGTTCATGGGATATTCTGAATCCCTTGTTGTCATTTCAACAATATTCACAGCATCTTCACCAGGAGTAGATTCCATCTCAAGAAACCACTTTCTTTGCTCATCCATAAGAAGCAACTGCTCATCTGTTAGTTTTATCATGAGATTGCAGCAATTCAGCCACATCTTCAGCCTCCACTTCCAATCCTAGTTCTTACTATTTCCACCACATCTGCAGTTATTTCCTCCACTGAACTCCTGAAGCCCTCAAAGTCATCGAGGAGGCTTGGAATCAACTTCTTCCAAATTCCTGTGAATGTGGATATTTTTGCCTTCTCTCATGAATCACACATGTTCTTAATGGCATCTAGAATGGTGAATTCTGTCCAGAAAGTTTTCACTTTACTTTTCTCAGATCCATCAGAGGAATCACTATTTATGGCAGCTATAGCCTTACAAAATGTATTTCTTAAATAATAATATTTAAAATTCAAAATTACTCCTTTATTCATGGGGTGCAAAATCAATGTTATGTTAGCAGGCATGAAAACATTAATCTCCTTGTACATCTCCATCAGAGCTCTTGGATGTCCAGGTGCATTTTCAATGAGCAGTAATACTTTGAAAGGGATCTTTTTTCTGAGAAGCAGGTCTCAACAGTGGGCTTAAAATATTCATCAAGCCATGCTGTAAACAGATGCACTGTCATCCAGGCTTTGTTTTTCCATGTATATAGCACAGACAGAATTGATTTAGCATAATTCTTAAGGGCCCTAGGATCTTCAGAATGGTCAATGAGCATTGTCTTCAACTTCAAGATACCAGCTGCATTTGACCCTAACTAAAGAGTCAGTCTATGCTTTGAAGCTTTGAAGCCAGACATTGACTTATCCTCTGTTTCTATGAAAGTCCTAAATGGCACCTTCTTCCACTAGCAGGTTGCTTCATCTGCATTGAAGATCTGTTGTTTAGTGTAGCCACCTTCATCAATTATCTTAGCTAGATCTTCTGGATAATTTGCTGACGCTTCTACATCAGCACTTGCTGCTTCACTTTGCACTTTTATATTGTGGAGATGGCTTCTTTCTTTAAACCTCATGAACCAACCTCTGATAGCTTCCCACTTTTCTTCTAAGCTTCCTCACTTCTCTGTTTTCATAGAATTGAAGAGAGTTACAACCTCGCTCTGGATTAGGCTTTGCCTTAAGGGAACGCTGTGATCAGCTTGATCTTCTATCCAGACCACTCAAACTTTCTGCACATCAGCAATAAGGCTGTTTCACTTTATTATCATTCATGTGTTCACAAGAGTAACATGTTTAATTTCCTTCAAGAACTTTTCCTTTGCATTCACAACTTAGCTAACTGGTTCAAGATACCTAGCTTTTGGCCTGTCTTAGCTTTCAACATGCCTTCCTCACTAAGCCTAATCATTTCTAGCTTTTGCTTTAAAGAGAATGTGACTCTTCCTTTCACTTGAACATTTAGAAACCATTGCAGGGTTATTAACTAGTCTAATTTCAATATTGCTGTGTCTCAGGGAGTAGAGAGACCTGAGCAGAGGAAGAGAGATGGGGGAATGGCTGGTCAGTGGGGCAGTCAGAACACACACATTTATTGATTAAGTTCTTACATGGTGTAGTTTGTGCCTCCCAAAAACAATTACAATGGTAACATCAAAGATCACTGATCATCATTACAGAATAATAATAATGAAAAAGTTTGAAATATTGCAAGAATTATCAAAATATGACATGGAAATATAAAGTGAGAAAATGCTGTTGGAAAAATGGTGCCAATAGACTTCAATCTGTTAAAAACAGAATACCTTAACTTAACTGTGAAGCACAGTTAAGTGAAGCACAATAGCACAAGGTAGGCCTGTATAGATTCGTACCTCAAGCCATCTTTCCTTCCATACAAAGGGGAAACCAGATATATTCCAGATGTTCTGCCCACTGGGGTGACTTCCCTTTATCACAGTTCTTAAGGGCATTCCTGGGTAGAATTGCATTGCCACGCAGGTGTTATCCACTTCCAGCCAGCCAGCACCAACATACTATGCACATCCATTTTACCACTGGGCCTGTGATTATTCCTTCTCTATTAATTGGTCATTAAAAATGTTCCATAAGGGGCCAGGCATGGTGGCTGACACATGTAATCCCAGCACTTTGGGAGGCCAAGACAGGCAGATCACCTGAGGTCAGGAGTTCGAGACCAGCCTGGCCAACATGGCGAAATCCCCATCTCTACTAAAAATACAAAAAATTAGCCAGGCATGGTGGTATGCTCCTGTAGTCCCAGCTACTCGGGAGGCTGAGGCAGCAGAATCACTTGACCCTGGGAGACAGAGGTTGCAGTGAGCTGAAATCGCACTGCTGCACTCCAGCCTGGGCGACAGAGTGGGACTACATCTCAAAAAAAAAAAAAAAAAGTTGGGTAAGGTTGTAGATATGGGTTGAGGGTGTGGTGGCAAAGGAGTAGTAACTGATACCATGGGAGTCTAAGCCACCTGCTCATGGAATTTATCTGTGCATTCTGGATCTGCCATATCCATTTAACATACTGCCCATGTCCAATTTTATTATTTAGAGGATCAGAGAATATCCAGTTCATGATGGGTGTTTCAGATCACAGTTACGGTATCTTTTGGTCAGGCATTCCGTTTCTGCAGAGCATGTTAGCAATCCAAGAACTGATTTTCATAGTTATTAGCAAAGATGGACAGGCTTACTCCAAATCCCTAGGGGTCTGTGCTGTAATTCTCTCATTGGGTCCTAGTAGAGTTTCTATAAAGCATCCCTGTCTGTCAGAAACATTTTAGTTGCCATTGGAACTGATAGGTCATAAGGCACATGTGTCAGGGTAGCTTACACAGTGGTCTGGGTCTGTTTTATAGTTTCTTGCTCCAGGACTTATTCAAAACTGACAGCTTTATAAATTACCTGGTAAATATATTAATGTGGTAGATATTTGCCTGCAGTATCTAAAGCAATACATCAAGTACTATGCTTCTTTCTTCATGGCGGGCAGTTCAACATACAGAGTCTTGTCTCTCACTTATAGGAGGATATCCTGACGTAATCTAGGCCCAGGGCCTTTTTTACTGATTTTTCTGTCTTCTGAAGTTTTATGGGGCTTATCTCTCATCTTCTGGCATGCATATGTCTTATTAAGACATTTAAGGTATGTGATACTTCCTGTCCACCAGATCTAATTAGCATAATAACCAGAATAATGTTCTGTAGAATATCAAGATGCTCAAGATCCCGCAATATTATATTATGACAGAGAGCAGGAGATTGACATGACTCTGAGGAAAGACCGTGAAAGTGCACTGCTGACCCTTCCAACTGAAAGCAAACCTTCTGATTTGTTTCTGATTATCTTTATTGATGTATATACAAAAAATTAAAAAAACTCTAAAACAACAATGTGAATGTAAATTGTGCATTTTAAAATCATTAAAATGGTAAATTTCATGTTTAAAAAAAAAGAATAGAAAATATCTGCTAGGTCAATAGCTGTATACCAGGTGCCAGAAGTTCTGTTGACTTTCACCAGTAAATATTCCACATTAAGAACAGCAGCTTGAATTGGAGTTACCACATGATTAAGTCTGAAATAATCCACAGTCATCCTCAAAGACCCACATAGCTCTTTCACCAGCAAAACATGTTCATTAAAGGGTGATGCCATAGGAATCACTACCTCCTGCCTTTTAAAAGTTCTTAGTGGAGGAAATATATCTGAAATTCCCCTATAGAAAGTCAGTTTCAAGGACCCCTTTTTGGTGCTTCTTAACCTAACAGCTCTCACTCCACAGATCAGAGAACCAATATGGAGATTCTGCTGGTTACTACGCATTTCTAAGTTACACTATACAGTCTGGCGTAGGAATGACAGTAGGTTAGGTTCCTTAATTTATTGAGATGAGTTTGAGTCAGGAGTCCATCTATCACCTAACATTCATAAGTCTTCACTCTTGCCAATGAACTCCGAGGCATTTATGGAACTCTAGAGATTAGAATCAGCTCAAAGTCACTGTCCAAGAATACCCAAATGTTCTGCTTATTTCTCTGTCATCAGTGCAGTCACTCTGGTAAATGGATGCTGGTTTCTTGGGGAAAGACATGAAGAAATATTTACAATATATACATGTGATAACACTCAAGCACCCTTTCCCAAAGGGGCTCAACTTTCTCCTCAATCGGGAGACTCCAAGTCTTTTTGAACAGACTTACGTCTGATAATTGGGTAAGAGACTATGAAACCCTATTACAATGTCTTGATTTCTATTTTTGTCTACTAGACTTAGAATACTTCCACTTTTACATTTCAATTAGCACTTTGGCAGACTGCCTAGCCATTCTATTCCTTTGCGTCCTTGATCTATTTGCCATCATTTAGATCCATGTGAGTAAAAATATAGATCACCCCATCTTAGTCCATTTAAGCTGCTGTAACAAAATTATACAGACTTGGTGTCTTATAAAAAACAGATATTTATTTTTCATAGTTTTAGGGGCTGGGAAGTCCAAGGTCAAGGTGCCAGGAGATTCAGTGTCTGGTGAGGGCCAGGCTTCATAAACAGCTCCTTCTTTCTGTGTCCTCACATGGCAGAAGAAGCCAGAGGTCCTCTCTCAGGCCTGTTTTATAAGGGCACAATCCCATTCATGAGGACTCCTCCCTCATGACCTACTCACCTTCCAAAGGCCCTACTCCTAGTACCATTACCTTGGGGGCTAGGGTTTTAACATTTAAATTTTGAGGAGACACAAACATTCAGACCATGGCAGCCTTTATTCCAGCAGCATATAATGATAATTTTGTATAAACATGTTTTTGATGGCTAAGCATCACCACCAGGGCTCTACCATACCATCACCCATTATTTCCACTGAAATCAGGGAACTCAACTTCATTGCAACATCTGCCCACCATGATCTCTGACCTATGGCAGATAGCCACAACACTTTCAGTAATTCTGATGCTCTCTTGAGCAATGCAGTTTTATATCTTAATGAAGGGGATGTCCTCTAGGACTTCCTGGGGAGATGGTTAAGTAGTGGCTGAGCAAGCTGCTCATGTTAAGTCCATTCCAACAGTCCCGTCTCCGGAGCCTTTAGACTCCTTTCTCTACATTATTGATTTTAGGGTTTTGCTACTTGAGTATGATCCATGAATTAGACCTTGTTTGAAACACACAACCCCAGGCTCACCGTAGTCCTCGAGAATCAGAATCTGCATTTCAACAAGATCATCAAGTGATTCTTCTGCATGTTAAATTTTGAGAAACCCTGTTGTAGGTCATTGTTGAATCCAGGCTTCAGTTAAGTATCACTTCATAGTCGTCTGAGTCAATATATTAAATCTAGAATCCCAGGTGACTGCTCCAATATTAATTAATTCTGCCTGATCTAATCTTTTATTCCATCTTCCCGGGTCCCACTCCTTCAGAATCTACTCACATACATTCTTCCTAAAGGGAAACAAACACATTAAAATATGACCTGGCTGGGAGAAAGCTAGGGGCAGAGTCACCCATAGGGTTTGCAAGGTACTGGGCAAACATATTTTGTCTACATAAACAATTCTGTTTAAAAATATATTGTGAAATTCATGGGCACATGTGAGTTGAAATAATTTCTAATATATGCATAACTCCTTGGAACCTGTTTCCATTGAAACAACATAGATTTCCCTGCCTCTGCAGTTCCCTAAAACCATTTATCAGTTAACACAGGTTGCATCATTACTCATGGCATTGCATCATTTATCATACTGCCCATGAATATTGGCTTCCAATGACTCTCAAAGTTGCAACTGTGGGCTGGGCACAGCGGCTCACACCTGTAATCCCAGCACTTTGGGAGGCCAGGATGGGCAGATCACGAGGTCAGGAGATCAAGACCAAAGACCATCCTGGCTAACACAGTGAAATCCCATCTCTACTTAAAAAAAAAAAATTAGCTGGGCATGGTAGCGGGCGCCTGTAGTCCCAGCTACACGGGAGGCTGAGGCAGGAGAATGGCGTGAACCCGGGAGGCGGAGCTTGCAGTGAGCCGAGATCGCGCCACTGCACTCCAGCCTGGGCGACAGAGAAAGACTGTCTCAAAAAAAAAAAAAAAAAAAAAAGTTGCAATTGTGTATCATTTGTGATGACCAAAAATGCAAGCTCATCCAGTGTATGCAAGATGTGAATGATAACTTGTTTTCTGGTCATGTTAAGCTTACCATTCAGAATTTAATAGCAAAAACATAGAACAGGGCTTCCTCCAATCATGTCTTGAACTCTTTAGGGCACAATCACTGCAGCCTGAATGTGGTCTCATTCAATGTTGAGCGCACCTCTGCCCTCAACACAGCATCACTGGGGGGAGAACAGGTTCAAAAGACCTACGGGAAGAGTGAGAAGGGGGGCTCTCTTTGTGCATGAAATATCTGTTCCTCCATTAGCATTTCTTAATACTGAGCTGAAGAGCACAATGACACATTTTCCTAGATGGTTATAGAAACCTCAGCTTAATTCCTGATCTGAAACTGCATCATCCCTGCAGACTCCCTCCCCACAAGCCCTGCCCTGGCCCACAAGCTGCACTTCAACTTCAGTGCTTATGGCTCTAGCTGTCAGGGTCTTTGCTTATCTGTGCTACCTAAAGCCTTCTTTGTTGTTTTCTTCTGAATTCAACTCTGTTTTTAAAGTTTTTACTGTATGTTATCTAGAATTCCCAGGCAATTGTCATGGAAGAGATGTATTGTCTCAATCTACCAGGTTTCCAAAACCAGAAGTCCTCACTATCTTTCTATTTCAAATAAATTCAATTTAATTCATCTCAATTTATCATGCATATATTGAGAACCTAAAATGCGTCAATTCATTGCTAGACATTGGAGATCAAGAGCTAAGACTCAGTTCCTGCTTTTAAGAAATGTGCAGTCTCGTGGAAAAGGCAAGCATATTTTAAAATTATAACACAATTTGTTAAGTTCACGTCCATTTTACAGAATAAGCAGTGGGAGGGTTAGACTGAAAGGAGACATGGCAAGAGGCCAGAGACCAGTATTATATAGTGATTATTTGACTAAGACATTACAGGGTCTGTAATACTGTTTCCATGCGGGACTTCTTTCCTGACATTTCTCAAGAAATTTATATGTTTTTCTAAGTTCCAAATTTTAGAAAAATCAGTCAAGAAATCAGAAACATGAAAGTATTATAATTCTCCTGTGAGAATTAGAGCTTAACAATTAACAAAGAAACATTACTGGCTCAAAGGAACCCAATGACATCAAGCCAAAAGTAAGAACAGGAACCCTGAGCCACAGAGACAAGTATTAAGGTTGACATATCTGGAAACGGGGCAGAGGCATGTAAGACAGAAGCAGCCACAGCCTAATCAGTCTTTCTTAGGGCTGTGGCCATGGAGTCAGTGTGTGTTGGTAGCCCTGTCTGCTGGTAATCAGTTACTCTTGCAAATAAAATAAATATTAATAAGATTATACATTCAGTAACTGTTATATAAGTCCTATAAGCAGTGTGTCAAGAAATACAAGTTTCGGAAGCAAAATAAATCCCTAAATGGACAATTTTGTCATGCAAATCCACAGGGGTGATGGTAACCTTGTTAGAAGATATGAATGTCATGTTATTTGAGTATTGCCCGAATTGTTGGCATTTTCTAGTGTTTAAATATCTGCTATTCACTGAAGTTCTTTCCAAGTATGTTGACCGCCCAACAAAACTACGAAGAGAATAAATTAATGTTGTTATATAATGTTCTAGTAAGCCACCCGAAACTGACCTAAAATCTGAATTAACAAAAATAGTATATTTTTCAATGGACAAATGAAAACCAGAATAAGCAGATAAAATATTTTCATTGCTAAAAAAGGAAATGAACTTATTTGAAGCAACATGTTCCCTGACTCCCAATTTGAAGATGCTTTTGAACACATCTTTAATCAATCAATTCAATTAATGTAACACAAGATGAAAGATATTTTTCTACATTTGCAATATTTGTCCTAATATTGTCCAAAACTATTTGACAGTGAAATTCATGCCTATGTGTCTTACAATTTTATTAAGGATAATTTTAAAAATATTTAATATTTGTTGTATTATCACTCAATGTACTAATAATCTTTACTTGGCATTGATTTTGTGTTTATTTTCTCTTCTAATGTTTTCTATTATCAAATGTGTATATTAGGTAGAGGCCATTTTTGCATATTATTGAAATATATAATTGTGTCATAGTGTTTCGGTTCATAGCAATAGTAGCAAAGCATTTATTATTATCTCTTTTTCTTTCTTTACAGAAAGCCTCTCAAATTTTTAGTATAACCCTGTTACAGAAAAACTCTTCATTATTTATGATTATGACCAATTTTTATTATTTTAAAAACACGTAAGTAATAAGTCACACTAAATATAGAATAATTTATGAGTTTGCAAATTACTGGGCATTCCATTTTCTTGTTTCTGCATCACAAAAATTAATATCCGTCAGGAATTTGGAAGCAGTGGCCAGTACTAAGACAACCACAGTGGAAATGAAGAGGGAAGAAAAAACTAAAGAGGTATTTAAGAGATAGGATCGCCAGGATTTACTGGCTGACGAGATGTGAGGAATAGGAGAGAAAGAGGAATCTAGACTAGCTCCTAAGCATCTGGTTTTGTTGACTTGGTTGGTACAGGTTTCAGGAAAAAAGGCTGGGGGTGGTAGCAATAGTAGTAGTAGTGGTAATGTTGCTCTTTTGAAATCCATTCTTGATCCTACAGCCAGAGGGATGGTAGCGAGGGGCCTTAGCTCAGCTGAGATTGTCACAGCACATAAAGTTTAAGGAGCCCGGGTTACTTGGCCGGGGATGTCCTCGGGTGTTTGGAGCTCAGCGCAGGGGTTTGTTCAGGAGTGGGAGGCTTGACATTCATCCACAAATAGACGGGAGTTACAATCACGGACATGTCAGTATTTGTTTCCAACTATTTCAGACTTGTTTAACAGATCTCAAGTGTAACAGAAAAGGTGGGTGTTTAGGAGCAATATGGGATAATTATTTTACAGCTTTCTCAGCCTTACCCATTATCTTAGTCATTTTGGCAAACAAAACGTGACAGCTGGTTGTGGCTTTTACCCTCTAGAACTTCCACAGCTACAGATATACATACTGTAAAAAGTAAAGGAGAAATGCCTTCTGTTTTTACTTTAGCTTGAAACCAAAATTTTAGTGAGAAGGAGAAATCTTCTTCTTTCCCCACTCCATTTTCCTTTAGTTACAACAACATTTACACACACACACAGGGAAAAATTATGAAAATAAGTTAAATCAAGTAGAAAAAATACAGTACAGATATGACAAGAGATGAAGAGAGCCCAGCAGAACCACTCTGTCACATTAATACAAAACAGTCAACTTGTGTGACACAAGGACCTCATCCTAATGATTTTTTAAAACTTGAGGCTTCGTGGCCTGTTCTGGTCCATACACTACAGAGCTTAGAGGTAAAGTTGAAGGCTCTAGAGTTGACCGAATTGAGGTTTGAATCCCAACTTCACTGTTCCGGGCTATGTGACCTTAGGTGAGCTATGCAATCCCTCTAAGCTTCAGTTTCTGTATATGTGAAATGAGTCATCCTTGACTTCTCCCATTCTCTAACCTCTCTGTCAGTCATCGACTAAACATTTCTTGTATCTGCTAACTTCTCTCCATCCCCACTGCCATGTCCAAGTTATGGACATCTCGTATGTGGACTGTTACAACACTCTCTAGTTGTTCTCCCCACATCCACGTTGCTCACTGAAATCCATTCTTGAACCTACAGCCAGAGGCATCATTTGAAATCATAAACCTGATCATATCATTCTGCTACTTAAAACCCTGCGATATCTCCCCATTGCCTGTGGAGTTTACCACCACTACCACCTGACAATGGGGTGCCTACCAGAACAGTCTCTGAGCTCCCTCTTCAACCTCCATCTCCTCTACCCCATGCACCTTGACCATTAACCTCCTTTCATCCTTCAAGTCTCAGCTTAGAAGCCACTTTCTCAGGAAGTCTTTTTTCCTCCCCACCCCACACCCTACTTCCTGCCTCTAGGTGTTCCTACAACACGATGTACTTCTCTCATCATGACACGCATCACACTCAATGACAGTTGGCTATTCACTTGTCCATATTCCCAAGTAGAGCATAAGCACCTCAAGAGCAGTTACCCGTTTATCTTGTTCTTGTTGCATCCTCCACCATTTAGCACAGTACTTGGGGTAGAAAGTGCTCAAAAATATTTGTTGCATGAATAAATAAGTGAATCAAACTTCTAATTTCCTGTTTCTAGCTGGGATGTGTTCTTTCATCCTGGCCTTACTTCCTGCTTGCTGTGCTCACTTCATGCTTGGTACTAATCGTGTGATACCGAATCTAGATTCCTAGTTGTTATATATATATCATATATATTTACAGATTAAATATAATATGTACATAATAGATAAATTATAATTACATAAACTTAATATTTAATATATTTAATTGATTGTTCTATAATTGATTGATTATTTGAATGACTTTTATTTATTCATTCTTCCATTTGATCAGCCTTTGACCATCTTATTTTTATAGTAACCATAGCCCACTGGCAGTTTATTTTAATCTATGATTTATGCATTCTACCTTTTCTAATTTTTTATTAATTTTTAAATAATTACTTCTTATATCAGCCACGTTTTTATCAGGAAAATAGAAGCCACTCTGTGTCTTCCAAATATTAATAGTTTTAGACAAGAAAGTGAAGCTTCTGCAACTGTTAGGGAAGCAAAGGTCAAGGAGGCCATTGTTAACACTCTGCTTGGAGCACTGAAGCACACGATTCCCAGGAGCTCACCTGGAAAACTGCAAAACTTGTGAGTCGAGAGATGCTCTAGACATCTATCCCCTCTCGTAGCACAAAAGGCAATTCTCCAAAAGTTCATCTGAAAGCTGCTTTGAACCTTACATCTCTCCATGCGTGTGCCTACAACTGCCACTGGAGAATACTGGCCTTGCCTTCCTCCTTCCTCATACAAGTGCGTCTTCCTGGATGGTCTCTCCTGAACCTCACAGAGAAGAGAATTCTGCAAATTACAACTACAGTCCTGATTTCTCTTCCATGGAGCAGGGAGACATTAGAAGGGGTGGCAGGGATGTTCAGTTGACAACAAATAGCTCCACACACTTGTTCTACGCTCACTGAAAACAGTTATATTAATGACATTGATGACAATAAGCTTAATAAATATTTTGTTTGTCCACTGGGTACCAATGCCCACTTTCCTGTAAAATAACAAAAACTAAATGGTAATGCCCATTCAGTATGGTGCATACAATGAACGTTATGACTGACGCTGAGCTGTCTGCATTACTGTTTTATGACTCTTAAGTGGATAGATGAGTCACATCCTTGTGTCCTACACACAACCCATTAAAAGCAACAGGCCTCTGCAGACCTGGGGAAAAACAAGGCAGTCTTGCACTCTTAGATTTCATTCCTGGCAAAGGTGCTATAAGTCAAAATGATGTAAGCTGAATCAGATTTTCCAGTAGAAACTAAGCCACATTCATTACCAACAGCTTAAAGACCAACCTCTTTATAGAAAATGACCACAGACGTCACAATTAGCTAAATGCAAATGGTATATCTGTAAACAAGTCAATGTAAGCCTTTACAAAACATATAGATACCGAACAGGGCAATACAGAAGTCAACCACCGGATTATAATCGCTATTTAAAATGCTGATATCTTCTAATGATTTTTGTTATATTTACCAAAATGAATAGCATTTGTTCAGGGACTCTTTGGGCACATTCTGAGAGTAATCTTTAAAAAGATCTGTGAGGAAAATTAGGAATGTGCGATATGTTTTGAGAAATAAATCCAGGGATGTGTGCTCCTTAGTGTCCGTCTGCTTATAGTCCCCAAATGTACAAAGCAAAGAATAATTGGCCATTGGGTTTTGCTTTCTGAACTGCTGGCACATAAGTACTAGCTACTTACTACCTTATACCTAAAAATTGCTTTTAAAATGCACAACTTAACCTCCATTTTCACTGAAATTTCTGACATTTTATCCCCTATTACACTATTACAAAGTGTCAGGAGCTCTCAGTTCCTGACCTAGAACAGAAGCCAGGTCCACTAATATATATCAGTGGGTCTGACTCATTAGACTGATTATAAAGGTTGATTTGATTCTGACTCCAGAAATAATTCTTTTGCAGCAGTAGTAGAATTGAATCCTCTAATGGAAAAATGTTACTTTCCAATTAAAAAAAAAAAGACTCCGAAAGAGTGACTATTCAGAATACTTGTAAGTTAAAAGCACTTTCTTTTCCCCCATAAGTGTACTGGAATGTAGAGATCCAAATTCACAGTCTTCTCTGAAAGTCATTATTTTGCTCTAAACCTTTCTGGGATTTCTGTGTGTGAACTGCCTTTTAAATCATCA
Source organism: Homo sapiens (assembly GCF_000001405.40). Taxonomy (NCBI): domain Eukaryota; kingdom Metazoa; phylum Chordata; class Mammalia; order Primates; family Hominidae; genus Homo; species Homo sapiens. The sequence goes on from NC_000011.10 coordinate 129,640,548, forward strand.
TAATCCAGGTGATGTGATCTATGTCAATCACTTTATGTTCACAAGACAGTTTTCATTTGTCCACGGCCTTTTTTTTCTTCCTCGGTCCCTCTCTTCTCTCCTCCACTTAATCTGCCGGAAATCCAGATCTTCCTTCTCTGTTACCTTCATGCTGGAGCCAGACAGGAGACATTCTTAAGTGCTGGGAGTGGGTACTGGAGCAGGGATAGTGGAGCCCAACCGAGGCTACCTGGGCAGGAAGGAGCACATCATCAGGAAGCAAACTCCAGGCCACGTATACAAAGCATCGCACTCAGAGGATGTCTGTATTCCCAAAGTCATGGACCAGGCAAGTTTTACCAAGTCTCTGGGAACATCCGTGTTCCCATCTGTGAAATGAGTGAGTGGGAGGAGTTAACCTTTCTTCCTTCTCTAACATTGTCTGGCTGTATGGTGTGTATTGTTTGCCTGCTGAAAGAATACAGTAGATATAACTTACTAAACCACTAAAATGGAAATAGTTGCCAGTGGCCGGTGCAAATTTAGATAGAGCAAATTTAACATGTTCGTTTAAATTCTAATACCATATGCAAAGGTGAAGAGACTGGGTGTAATCAGATGCATCCTAGGAAGTGGAATTTCCAGAGACATCTGAATAATGAGAGAAAGAGAGTGAACTTGGCAGTGCCTTAATTCAAGTGGCCAAGTACTGTACGGTTCTGGAAAATGCTGGTCCTCGTTATGTGAGCTCTTCCCATATGCCTTTGACTTCCCCCTGCACCACCTGCCTCCTCCCAAATGCCCTGCTACTCCCTGTTGACCTCCTGGGATTCTCTCCAGCGTGGAACCTTTCCTAACCGACTGGCTACACATTGTGACTTTTCCTGCTGAGAGCACTGGTCAGGTTCTAAACCCATAACCCTTGACCCCCCCCAAGTACACTAAAAGCCATTAACCTGAGGCCAAGATGTAATCTCAATATTTGATTCAATTCTCTTGAAAGCTGCCCACAATTTCCCATTATCAATGTATGCTGTTTAATTTAGATTATAGGCTCTTAGAGGGAAGGGACCACATTTGTGTATTTCGTCTGATTTGGCGCTGAATTTCTGCATTTAGCAGGTAATCTTTGGATTAACTCTCAAGAGAAAAGATGGCCTCGGGCTTAATAAAAGTTGATCCCAGCTCATATCATGTTCCAAAATTACAGTTGACAGATGATCACCACAGACGTTCCTGCTGTCATACTCTGTAAATGTAAGGAGGACCAAGGTCACCTGTGGACGGGTGGGTGGAGCTGCCTGCCCAGGGTTGTAGTCCAGGCTCCTCTGTTGGAGCTGTTCTTCATGGTTTTCCTCAGAAGAAATAGGGCATCCGCCTGTATTCATATGGGTCTTCCTTCCCAGCTTTGGCTGTGCTTTGGAGATTCTTCAGAAAGGGATGAACCCAATCACCTCTCCTGTCTGAGAAGCTGAGGGATGTACTAACCTGCTGGGGATGGATGAGTGGGTAGATAGATGGAGCTAGCAGGAGACCTCTGTCATTTAGGCCAACCCCTTCATTTTATAGGAAACTGGAATCCAGAGACAAGTAGTGACATGCTCTCTTATGCTACTGAGAGTCTCACTGTTTGAATTCCATGTGATCTTTTGTGCTTCTGCTAGAAATACAGTTAGGTTAATTCTTAAACAACTTTCCTTCCAGAATCCTAGAGAGCCAAGGAACTGTAGGACCACTGTTACTAACCCCAGAGCCACTAGTACCAGTCCCACCTCCAAAGTCCCAAGAAATTAAGTAAGCAAATAAACACACAAGTACATTTCAGCTAAACAGATAATCACAAGGTATATCTTTTAAATTCCCAGGCTGATGAGGTCGTTAAATAATCTAGAAGGAAGAAACTAAGCCAAAACAAATACTATAAAATACAACTGGAATAACTGACTAAGAAAGATAAAAGAATCCCAGATTTCATATCCATAAAACCCAGATGAGTATCTCATTGATGTAAACAAAGTATGTGTGTGTGTGTGTGTGTGTGTGTGTGTGTGTGTGTGTGTGTGTGTAGATAGATAGATCCTCTTCTATAGGTGTTTTGAGTCACCACTAGAAAGAATACATGTGGCCACTTTGGGAGGCCGACGCAGGAGGATCACAAGGTCAGGAGATCGAGACCATCCTGGCTAACACGGTGAAACCCCGTCTCTATTAAAAATACAAAAAATTAGCCAGGTGTGGTGGCGGGTGCCTGTAGTCCCAGCTACTCGGGAGGCTGAGGCAGGAGAATGGCTTGAACCCAGGAGGCGGAGCTTGCAGTGAGCCGAGATCGCGCCACTGCCCTCCAGCCTGGGCAACAGAGCAAGACTCCGTCTCAAAAAAAAAAGAATACATGTGGCACTCCAATATCCTAGGGAAGTGGGCTATGGTTACATTCACGGGGCGGACTGTCTGAGAAAATATTGTAGTAACCGAGGTGCTTGTGCTGTTGGGGCTAGGCTGTAAAAATTAGACTCTCCTCCTTCATACCATTAAACATCACAATGCCTAGTACTGACAGAAACCCCCTAAAGCTGGGTGACAGACAGCAGAAGCTATTATGAAACTCCCCCCAGTGATATCAAGACTTCTTCCTGGAAGAAGACAGTGACTGATGTGACTCTTCATCTGAGTCATCTCATGGTGTACAGAAGCTGTTTCTCTCTGTCCTGCCTCTTAGGAGGGCACGCTGCCCATTGGAAACTGACTCCAGGCAGTGTGAGGAGTAAGGCCAGCTCATATTGTTTATAGGCACTTTAGAACCTCGGTCATCTCCTAGTGATCTACAGTGTTTGGTTTCTTCCTGGGACAGAGGAGTGCTCTGTAAATCAAGCCCTTCTTGGTTCGTCAGCCCTCTGTCAATGTTTGCTGAGTCCTCAAGTCAAAGGCAAGTCGGAACAGTGTGGAGACTTTGGCAAAGGGCTTGTTCCCCAGTGTTCAACCTCTCCATTTTGATGAAACAATTCTAGGGTGAGGTTGGCCCTAGGAATTATTTCTCTGACTCATATTCCCTTTCCTCTTTTCACACACTCAGAATGCACCATGCTGAGCACCTCATAGCCCCGAGCAGAGAGAGGCCAGGGTTGGGGCAAAGCCCTACTGGGGCCCACTCCCAAGACTGAGAAGACAAACAGGGAGGCGTCTCTCCCAAGCCAATTTCTTTCATCACCCAAAGCTATTTAGGGACACCATTGCCACACACTTCATGAAGAAACCCCAAACTGGTTCTAGCTCTCAGAGGTGGGAATAGACCTACTTAAGTTCTATGAACAAAGAATAGAGAATTAAGCCAAGCAAAGAGATAGGCAGTAGGTTTGATATCTGCCTTTCCTGTCGGGAAGAGGAGCAAGGGGCCGCTGCATCTTTAGAGACTTGAGCTAACGACAGACACAGATCCTGGCCCCGAAAAGCAGTTGGACTGTTTGTGGGCATCGTGTTCCATGCTTCATCTTTCATCATCTGATTCAGCAGACATTAACTCTGTTGGCTCTTAGAGTGCAAATGATGAAGACAGAACACCAACCTTCAAGCAATCCACAATTTAGAAGGGAAGGCAGACACGCAAACAGTTTCCATATAATCGGTAGGTATTAAGGCAGACTTATGCATAGAGTGCTATTTTGCTTTTCCCAAGGACACAGGTGGTAACACACACACACACACACACACACACACACACACACACACTCTAGAACATAAGCTCAGTATTGTTATATGTCTCCACTCATGATTGGAGTCGCAGGAATATTTCAGGTGGAGCAAGAGAAGCTCTACCAGCACTGAGAATTGAAAGTCTGCACAAGGGCCTCCTGTGTTCTACCACTGTCTTGAAGGTGCTCCCACTCTCAACATTTCACAAGCACTAGCTCACTCCGTCTGAAACAAAAAGAGTGAGTATACAAAAAGCCTGTAAAATACATAACACACTGCCTCCTTATGGGAGGCGTCCTGTGTCTCACACTCTCTGGAGAACAGAGAAGATGTGGTTGTCAGCTATCCACAGATCTGACCTTGGCTGACCTTCTGTAACTCTGAACAAGGCTATGCTTTTCTATACTGGGAATCCTTTGAATAGAATAAGATGTTTGAATAGAAATGAGGTTTTATCGGAAAGTGAAGTTGGAGAGTATTAAAATGATGATGAAAAGTGTCATTTATTCACTAATTTATGCATTCATTATGTCTGTTCTTCACAATTATATTTGGATGTCTGTTGTGTGTTAATACGTTGGTGCAAAAGTCACGTATGTGTAGGAGGTAAAGATGAATAAAATGTGCCTGACCTCAAAAAGTTACCCTCAGTGTGAGAAACTTGAGTTCATCAATTAACAAAAATTCAAAGAGGAATGACACAAGTGCTCTAATAGAAATGTATCAGGGTTCCAGCTTTGGTTCTGTACCTAAGAAGCTTAAAAGTTGTCATTCTGCAGCAACAAGTACAAATTTGAACAAACTAAAAAACCAACAACTCTTCTTAGATCTGTAAGAGAAATGAGGTCACAGGGCAAACTGCTGCTCTCAAAATTGGAGAGCTAGACAGGCAGATACAGAGAGTCACAACTAACCGGAGCAGAAACCCATGAGCAAACCTCTGTGAGATCCAGCACCTGGAGAGGAAACCATGAATTGCTGGAGGCTGAGTATGGATAAGTTTAGGAGTTAAAAACACCAGAGAAACCCAGTAACAGGGGTCGAGGTTGGGGGCACACTTTTGTGAGTTTTACCTCCAAGAGCTTGACCAGTTTCTCATGGTGAATACTGGGGGGAAAATCTCCTTGTGCTCCTGGCAGAAGGAAAGAGAGGAATCATTTTGAAATATGCCAGAGCACTCTGTTCTTTTTAACAAGATATGCCCTCAGGAGAAACTATTTAACTAGCACCTAAACTGCAGGGGTTTTATCAGAGTCTTACTGACCTAGGGGAAGGAAAACACCCAACTACAGCTAGCCCTAGCCTTCCCCGTGGGAGAAGGAAAATACCCAACTCAAGCACACCCTAGTCATTCCTTCCCACCTAAGGGGAGTCCAGAGGAGACTGAGAAATATTTGTGAAGTTCACAGTCCAAAGGCGTAGGTTCCCTAAAAGACTAAGACCTAATCATAGACTATAGAATGCTTCCTCTACCCACGTACCTTACCATAACATTACTAAAGAATTATTTACAGCAATTTCTTTAACCCAGTATATCACGTCCAGCTATCAAGAAAAAATTACAAGGCAAAAGACATGGTTTGAAGAAACAGAGCTCCTGCCTCAGCTTCCTGAGTAGCTGGGACTACAGGCAAGTATCACCATGCCCAGCTGAGGCAGGAGGACTGCTTGAGCCCAGGAGGTTGAGGCTGCAGTCAGCCATGTTCTGACACCACTGCACTCCAGCCTGGACGACAGAGTGAGGCCTTGTATCAAAAAGAAGAAAAGAAAGAAGATGAGGAAGAAGAAAGAAGAAGAGAGAAGAAAGAAAAGAAGAGAGAAGACAGAAGAGAAAGAAGAAGAGGAAGAAGACCAAGAGGAAGAAGAAGAAGAGGAGGAGAAAGAGGAGGTGGAGGAGGAAGAAGAAGAAAAGAAGAAGGAGGAGGAGAGGAGGAGGAGGAAGGAAGGAAGGAAGGAAGGAAGGAAGGAAGGAAGGAAGGAAGGAAGGAAAGAAGAAAGGAGAAAAGGAACAAGATAAATATTTGAGCAATAGTTACTGATAATTTTCCCAAAATTGATATCAGATACCAAACCACAGATCCATGAAGCTCATGAAACACCAAACAGAATAAATGCAAAAAAAAAAAAAAAACTATACCTAAGCATACCATATTCAAACTACAAAAAAAAAAAAAAAAAATCAAAGAAAAGAGAAAATTCCTGAAAGAAGCCAGAGGAAAAAAACAACTTATCTATGGAGTAACAGAGGTAAGAATTATATTTGACTTCTCCTCAGAAATAATTCAAGTAGGAAGAGAGTGGAGTGAAAGTTATTTAAAGTGGAGAGAGAGGGAGAGAGAGAAACCCCACCAACCTAGAATTCTGTGAAGGAGAAATAAAGACTTTCTCAGACAAATTTGAGAGAATTTGTTGCCAGTAGACCTGCCTTACAAGAAACGTTAAAAAGTTCTTCAGAGAGAAAGAAAATTATGTAGATCAGAAATTCAGATCTACATAAAGAAAGGCAAAGCATGAAAGAAGGAATAAATGAAGGTAAAATAAACCCTTTTATTTTTCTTCCTCAATTGATTAAACAAATAAGTTTGTTCAAAATCACAATAGCCACAAAGTATTTGACTATGCATGCTTGTGTGTGTGTGCACATGTGCACGTGTGCTTATGTACACTTATATATAAGTGAAATGAGTGACAGCAATGATGCAAGGAACAGGGGAGAGAAATTAGAATTATGATTTTCTTATTATAAGGTACATTATCCATTAAAAAACAGATTGTTAGAGTAGAAACAAGACCCAACTATATGTTGTCTATAAGAAACCCACTTTAAATAAAAGACACATATAGATTAAAAGTAAATGGATGCCAACAGATGTACCATGCTAATCCTAATCAAAAGGAAGTAGGAGTAGCTATGTTAATTTCAGACAGGACAGACTTCAAAGCAAGCAAAATTATCAGAGATAAGAGGGGCATTACACAATTACAAAGGGGATAATTCTGCAAGAAGACATTACAATCCTTAACTTGTAGAGCACCAAAACAAGAGAGCATCAAAATATGTGAGGCAAAAATTGATAGAACTACAAGAAGAAATAGATCAATCCACTATTATAGTTGAAGACTTCAACACCCCTCTATTAGAAATGGACAGATCATGTAGGCATGAAATCAGTAAGGACAGAGTTGAATTCAGTGACACCATCCATCAGCTGGATACAATGGAAATCTGTAGACTGCTTCATTGAACAACAGCAGAAGACAAATTTTTCTGAAGCTTACATGGAATGTTCATCAAGATAGATCACCTTCTGGGCCATAAAACAGACCTTAACAAATTTAAAACCATAGAAATCATCAACTATGTGCTCTCAGATCACAGTGGAATTAAATAAGAAATCGATAACAGATACTTGGAAAATCTCCAAATACATAAGGATTAAATAACACACTTCTAAATAACACATAGATCAAAGAAGAAATATTGTGAGAAAGTTAAATACATTTTCAATTTGTGTTTCAATGAAAATGAAAACACAGCTTATCACAATTCATGAGATTCAGTGAAAGCAATTCTTAGTGAGAAATTTATAATACTAAATGCATATATTAGAAAAGCATAAAAATCTAAAATCTAAGCATCTATCTTCATAAATTAGAAAAATAAGAGCAAATTAAATCCAAAGTAAGCAGAAGACAAGACATAATAAATTAGAGCAGAAATCAATGAAACTGAAAACAGGAAACCAATAGAGAAAATCAATGAAACCAAAAGTTTATGTTTTTTCAAAGATCATAAAATTGATAAGCCCTTAACCAAGGTAACTCAGGAAAAAGAGGACATAAATTACTAATAGTAGAAATGAAAGAGAGTAGAATACAGGAATATTACAAATAACTATGCCCACGGACTAAATAACCTAGGTAAAACAGACTGATTCCTTGAAAGGCACCATTAGCCAAAACAAACATGAGAAGAAATAGACAATCTAAATAGGTCTTCTCTATTTAAAAAATTGAATCAATAATTAATAACCTTTCAAAAAGGAAAGCACAAGGCCAGATGGGTTAACCTGTCAATTCTACCAAACATTTAAGAAATTATCCCAATTTTCCACAATCTCTTTCAGAGGACAGAAGCAGACTTATTTATGACTTATTTTATGAGGCCAGCATCACACTAATACAAAACCAGACAAAGACATTATAAGAAAAGAAAACTACAGGCCAGGAACATGAATATAGATGCAAAATTCCTCAAAAAATATTAGCAAACTGAATTCAAGATGTATAAAAAGTACACACCATGACAAAATGAGATTTATCCCAGGTATGCAAGGCTGGCTTAACATTTAAAAATCTATTTATGTAATTCATCAAAGCAATTCACTGCAGAAAAAAAATCAGAAGATCATAACAATAGACACAGAAAAAATATTTGACAAAATTTAATGCCAATTCATGATTTTAAAAAACTCTCAATCAACCAGAAATAGAGAGGAATCTCTTAATTTAACAAAGAATATCCACAAAATACCTGTTGCTAATGTACATACTGGTGAGAAACTTGAGACTCTGTCAAGAGAATGAAAAGCAAGCTGTAGACTGGGAAAAAATATTTACAAAAGACACATCTGATAAAAAGACTTTTATCCAAAATTTACAAAGACCTCTTAAAACTCAACAATAAAAAAACAAGCAATCCAATTTTAAAATGGGCTAGAGACCTCAGCAGATACCTCATAAAATAAAATATACAGATGGCAAATAAGCATATGAAAAGATGCTCCACATGTTATCAGGGAAATGCAAATTAAAACAACGAGATACTACTACACACCCATCAGAATGGCCAAAATCCAGAACACTGACAACACCAAATGCTGGTGTGGACACGGAACAAAAAGAACTCTCATTCATTGCTGGTGAGAATATAAAATGGTACAGACGCTTTGGAAGACAGTTTGGAGGTTTCTTACAAAACTAAACATACTCTTACTGTACAACTCAGCAGTCACACTCCTTGGTTATTTACCCAAAGGACTTGAAAATATGTCATAGTAGTTTTATTCCCAGTTCTCAAAACTTCGAAGCAACCAAGATGTCCTTCAGTAGGTAAATAGATAAACTGTGGTACACACAACAATGAATGTTATTCAGCACTAAAAAGAAGTGAGCTATCAAGCCATGAAAAGATGTGAAGGAAACATAATGTATGCTACGAAGTGAAAGAAGCCAGCCTAGAAAGCCTACATAATGTATGATTCCAAGTATGACATTCTGGAAAAGGCAAAACTACAGAGACAGTAAAAAGATCAGTGGTTGCCAAGGGTTAGGGTGGGAGGGAGTGACAAGTGGGTGGAGCACAGAGAATTTTTAGGGAAGAGAAAATATTCTGTATGATATTATAATAGTGGATGTATGGCATAATACAATGGTCCAAATTCAGAATGTGCTACATCAAGAGTGAACCCTAACGTAAACCATGGACTTTGGGTGATAATGATGTGTCAGTGTACGTTCATCAAAACAAATGTGCCACTTTGGTAGGGGATGTTAGTAACAGAGGAGGCTGTGTATGTGTGGGGACAGTGGGTATATAGGACATCTCTGGGACTTCCTCTCAATTTCACTGTTAATCTAAAACTACTTTTTAAAAAACCAAAATAAAGACATTTGAAAATATGCAGAGAATTTATTTTTTTTTATTATACTTTAAGTTCTAGGGTACATGTGCACAACGTGCAGGTTTGTTACATATGTATACATGTGCCATGTTGGTGTGCTGCACTCATTAACTCAACATTTATATTAGGTATATCTCCTAATGCTATCCCTCCCCCCTACCCCCACCCCATGACAGGCCCCAGTGTATAATGTTCCCTTCCTGTGTCCAAGTGTTCTCACTGTTCAATTCCCACCTATGAGTGAGAACATGCGGTGTTTGGTTTTCTATCCTTGCGATAGTTTGCTCAGAATGATGGTTTTACAGCTTCATCCATGTCCCTACACAGGACATGAACTCATCCTTTTTTATGGCTGCATAGTATTCCATGGTGTATATGTGCCACATTTTCTTAATCCAGTCCATTGATGGACAGTTGCATTGGTTCCAAGTCTTTGCTATTGTGAATAGTGCCACAACGAACATACGTGTGCATGTGTCTTTATAGCAGCATGATTTAAAATCCTTTGGGTATATACCCAGTAATGGGATGGCTGGGTCAAATGGTATTTCTAGTTCTAGATCCTTGAGGAATTGCCACACTGTCTTCCACAATGGTTGAACTAATTTACAGTCCCACCAACAGTGTAAAAGTGTTCATATTTCTCCACATCCTCTCTAGCACCTGTTGTTTCCTGACTTTTTAATGATTGCCCTTCTAACTGGTGTGAGATGGTATCTCACTGTGGTTTTGATTTGCATTTCTCTGATGGCCAGTGATGATGAGCATTTTTTCATGTGTCTGTTGGCTGATAAATGTCTTCTTTTGAGAAGTGTCTGTTCATATCCTTAGCCCGCTTTTTGATGGGGTTGTTTGATTTTTTTCTTGTAAATTTGTTTAAGTTCATTGTAGATTCTGGATATTAGCCCTTTGTCAGATGGGTAGATTGTAAAAATTTTCTCCCATTCTGTAGGTTGTCTGTTCACTCTGGTGGTAGTTTCTTTTGCTGTGCAGAAGCTCTTTAGTTTAATGAGATCCCATTTGTCAATTTTGGCTTTTGTTGCCATTGCTTTAGTCACGAAGTCTTTGCCCATGCCTATGTTCTGAATGGTATTGCCTAGGTTTTCTTCTAGGGTTTTTATGGTTTTAGGTCTTACATTTAAGTCTTTAATCCATCTTGAATTAATTTTTGTGTAAGGTGTAAGGAAGGGATCCAGTTTCAGCTTTCTACATATGGCTAGCCAGTTTTCCCAGCACCATTTATTAAATAGAGAATCCTTTCCTCATTTCTTGTTTTTGTCAGGTTTGTCAAAGATCAAATGGTTTTAGATGTGTGGTATTATTTCTGAGGGCTCTGTTCTGTTCCATTGGTCTATATCTCTGTTTTGGTATCAGTACCATGCTGTTTTGGTTACTGTAGCCTTGTAGTATAGTTTGAAGTCCGGTACGTGATGCCTAAAAATATGGAGAGAATTTCTAGCAACACAGCTGCCTATGCTGACTTGGGCTTTCCTCTTATTTCATCTACACACAGAAATCCTAACTAAACAAAAGAACAAAGAAAAAAACTCAAATTGAGAGATGGTGGAAAATGGGAGGTAATACATTGGCCCAAGAGTTTTTTCAGCTGGCAAATAAGCCCCAGGGACTGTGGACTGTTTTTTATGTTTACACTGGCATAGGATAACTGGTCTTGGACATGCATAAGTTTGAAAACTAATTGAATCCTCTTTATAAATCTCAGAGACACAATCAATGTGCTTCTTCCCAGTTCCTGGAAAGGGAACTTTGAAAACTCCATCCATCAGGCTGGGCACAGTGGTTCACACCTGTAATCCCACTGGCACTTTGGGAGGCCAAGGCGGGTGGATCATGAGGTCAGGAGATTGAGACCATACTGGCTAACATGGTGAAACCCTGTCTTTACTAAAAATACAAAAAAATAGCTGGGCATAGTGGTGGGCACCTGTAGTCCCAGCTACTCGGGAGGCTGAGGCAGGAGAATGGCGTGAACCCAGGAGGCGGAGCTTGCAGTGAGCCGAGATCACGCCACTGCACTCTAGCCTGGGCGACAACCTGTGGAAGTAGCAAGGAAGCTGATGGAGTTAAAACAAAACAAACCCAAAAAAGTAATTTATGAGAAGTTAAAACTCCAGGCCTGTACCATGTAAAGGTGTAGAGTCTAGAAGAACGCTGCACGAAGATACAGGAATCCCAAATCAAGGCAGCTGCATAAACATACATCCTAAAACCACTGAAATTCTGTGCTCCAATAAAAGCAACTGAAAAGTTACTTTGTAGAGGCACTTAAGTCAGAAAACACAGAATTCCCTCAGAGGAAAAAAAGTCAGGCTTAAAACAAGCTCACAACCAAAATTATAAACCACATAAAGAAACAAACAACCATGGAGTGAGGGAGTATATATGAGTGTTAAGAAGATACAACAAACAGACTTGGCACCTCAAGCACTGAAGATAATTACACAATTTGAGAAGACTTATATGGACACGTAAGCTGATTAAACAGACAAATGGAAGAATAGAAGCCACAATATCAATAGAAGAAAGTTTGGAAAAGTAAAAAGCAAATTTGATTTTAAAAACTACATAGGTCGGGCATGGTGGCTCATGCCTGTAATCCCAGCACTTTGGGAAGCCGAGAAGGGCAGACTGTCTGAGGTCAGGAGTTCAAGGCCAGCCTGGCCAATGTGGCAAAACCCCATCTCTACTAAAAATACAAAAAAAAAAAAAAATTAGCTGGGCGTGGTGGTGGGCACCTGTAGTCCCAGCTACTTGGGAGGCTGAGGCAGGAGAATTGCTTGAACCCGGGAGGCAGAGGTTGCAGTGAGCCTAGATCATACCACTACACTCCAGCCTAGGTGACAGAGCAAGGCTCCATCTAAAAAAAACAACAACAACTACATAATGCTTTTACAAGTGAAAAGCATTGTCATTGAAAATTTAAACCTCAACTAACAGGTTAAATAGCAGATCCAACCACCTAGAAAAAGAATGCATTACTATTTTGAAAAGTTGAGCATTCACATATTCTATGTCTCAGCAATTCCATTTCTTGGAACATAACCAAGATAAACCCAAGAAACATGAATAATAATGTTTGTAGTAGTGCTGTTCACAATAGCAAAAACCTGGAAACCACTCAAATGCTCATTGACAGAAGAGTGGATAAATAAACTGTGATACAGTCATGCAATTGCAAAATGAAACATTCTAATACAGTCAAAACAAATGAATTACAGCTACATGTAGCAATTGGGATGAACCTTGATAACATTATTGTGAATTAAAAAAAAAGACGATTTTCACCACTTTTAAAAGGTTACAAATTTTTTAACTTTTTTTAACTATAAAATGTGCTTTTTCGTAATACATATATTCTTAAAATATGAGAACTATAAAATGTGCTTTTTTGTAATACATATATTCTTAAAATATGAGATAAAGGGTTTTTTTGCAGTTAAGGAATAATAAGCACAAGGTTCACGGAGTGGTTACCTTGGATGAGAGGAAGTATTTGAACAAGGTGGGGAGGAAGCACATGGGTAGATATACATTATTGTGAGCCCTCTAGTCCCTAATTTTTCTATGCTATTAGTAAATAGATACATACATGAACACATAAAAGAGGGTCATGCATGAACAAATGGCAAAAGTATATAATGAACCAAAGATTTAACTTCAGTCTAATTCTGCATACCTGAGATTTTAAAATATCTGTAGTCGATCAGACATAGCTAAAGATGCTACCAGTGAACTACAGGATAATTGAATTTGAAATTTCACATACAGAGATAAAGAGATTAAATAGAGATAAAGAGAGAAATAAAAGGATGGGAATACAAAAAAGCAGCTGATATATGGAGAATAGAATGAACAGGAGCAACATTGGACTAGGGCCTACCTAACATTCTGGAGAGGCATACCAGAACATAAAACACAGAGAAAGAAATAATTGAGGAGACTATGGCTGAGAATTTTTAAGAATTGAAGAAAGAATTGATTTATGAAAAAAGACTATAAGAATAGAAATAAGGATCAGGCAAGATGACCAATGAGATGCAGCCAGGTGGAACACACCTGCCACCAAGGGGCTGAGATGATTGGCACACTCCCAGCAGATTTTCAGAAGAAAGGCACTGAGAGTGGACAGAGGGAAGACACAGAAGCTGAGCTGAAGGAGGAAGAAGCTGGGAACTCTGCATGGGGCTACCATGCACCAGGACTCATTCCTAGCCCCCACAACTTCAGGGGAACAAGTGAGTTGAACTGACAAGGAGCAACCCACTCTCACCACGGGCCTCTGAAATCCTGACAGGGGGAGACCCCTCAATCACCACAAACACTTGAGTTGGCAGGGAGAGCTGCTTAGAGAAGTGGCAGGGGCAGCCCAGAGGGTTTGGTGCAGGAGCATCTGTAGTGGAGCATGGCCAGGGATGGCCATCCCCTTAGGCTCAACTGGCTCCCATAGGAGACTTTAGCCCTAGGGAAACTGTTGAACCTGAACTCTGCAGGGCAGTCTTGCCCATCAGATGGGGCCAGTCCAACCTGATCACCCCTTGGTCTGCTGGCCCAGGGCCCCAGCCTGGCAGTACCTGCTTGTAGGTCAGCCTTGGGTTCCCGGGGGGCTTCATCATAGTTTCTGTGCTGGCGGACCATGCCTGACTAGTGAAGAGCTCCAGTAGGGTGGCCCCCATGGCCATACACCAGCCCACCTGCTCCCTCTCCACACTGCAGCTTCCCCCTGGCTCACTGCAACCCCTCACATTGCTTTGCAGGCATGTGTGTGCATGGGCAAGTTTTGCTTTCCTTTCCCTACCAGCACTCATGTGTGCACGCATCCTGCCCTGCCACTGCTGCTACAGGAGTACAGTCTTCCCCCAACCCTGCCAACCACCATTGCAGTCTGGGAGCTTTGAAAGGCACAGAGCCAGCCAATCCTGCTGCCACCAGTGCACTATCCTTGGGCCAACACTGCCAAGGGAAATAAAGTAGGCATGGAGAACAGCAGACCCTCCCTTGCCCTGAGTGACCACCTCTGCATGTGAGGCACATATAATGCACAAAGACCTGTACCTGCCAGTGCCCCCAACACCACTACCAGTGTGACTCCACAAACAGACAACATCAGAGTCCCCCAGAAGACTTCCCAGCAGAAAGTCTACAAGCCAGAAGAAATTAGGAGCCAATATTCAACATTCTTAAAGAAAAAAAAATTTGAACCCAGAATTTTGTATCCAGCCAAACTAGGCTTCATAAGTGAAGAAGAAATCCTTTTCAGACAAGGAAATGCTAAAGGAATTTATTATGACTAGACCTGCCTTACAATACCTTCTGAAGAAAGCACTAAATATGGAAAGGAAAAACCATTACCAGCCACTAGAAAAACACACTTTACACAGAACAGTGACACTATAAAGCAACCACAGAAACAAGCCAATATAATAACCAGCTAACATCATGATGAGATGATCAAATCTACACATATCAATACCAACTCTGAATGTAAATGGGCTAAGTGACCCAATTAACAGGTACAGAGTGGCAAGCCGGATAAAGAACAAAGACCCAATGGTATGCTGTCTTCAAGAGACCCATCTCACATGCAGTGACACCCATAGGTTCAAAATAAAGAGATGGAGGAGAATCTACCAAGCAAATGGAAAACAGAAAAAAGCAAAAGTTGCAATCCTAATTTCAGAAAAACATACTTTAAACCAACAAAAATAAAAAAAAAAGACAAAGAAGGGCATTACATAATGGTAAAGGGTTCAATTCAAAAAGAGCTAACTATCCAAATTATATATGCACCCAACAGTCTCACACAGATTCATAAAGCAAGTTCTTAGAGACCTTTGAAGAGACTTAGACCTCCACACAATAATACTTTAACTTTAGACTTTAGACACAATAAGACTTTAACACACCACTGACAGTATTACACAGATCATCAAGGCAGAAAATTAACAAAGATATTCAGGACCTAAACTCAGCACTGGATCAAATGAACCTGATAGACATCTACAGAACTCTTCACCCCAAAACAACAGAATATATGTTCTTCTCATCACTACATGGCACACACTCTAAAATCCATCATGTGATCACACATAAAACACTCCTCAGCAAATGCAAAAAAGACTGAAGTAATAACAACCAATGTCTCAGACCACAGCACAATCAAATTAGAAATCAAGACTAAGAAAATCACTCAAAACCATACAATTACATGGAAATTGAATAACCTGCTCCTGAATGACTTTTGAGTAAACCATGAAATTAGGGCAGAAATCAAGAATTTCTTTGAAACTAATGAGAACAAAGATATAATATACCAGAACCTCTGGGACACAGCTAAGGCAATGTTAAGAGGGAAACTATAGCACTAAATGCTCACATCGAAAAGCTAGAAAGAGCCCAAGTTAACAACCTAACGTCACAATTAAAAGAACTAAAGAACCGAGAGAAAACCAACCCCAAAGCAGAGGACAACAAATAACTGAAATCAGAGCTGTACTGAAGGAGCTTGAGACATGAAAAACCATTGAAAATATCAACAAATCCAGGAACTGGTTTTTGGAAAAAAATAATACAATAGACTTTTAGCTAGACGAATAAAGGAGAAAAGAGAGAAGACACAAATAAACACAATTATGAATGACAAAGAGGATATTACCACTGACCTCACAGAAATACAAATAACCATCAGAGAATACTATTAACCTCTCTATGCACACAAACTAGAAATCTAGAAGAAATGGATAAATTCCTGGACATATACATTATCCCAAGACTGATCCAGGAAGAAATTGAATCCCTGAACAGACCAATAATGAGCTTTGAAATTGAATCAGTAATAAAAAGCCTACCAATAAAAAAAAAAGCCCAGAAACAGACAAAGTCACAGCAGTAACAGCAGAATTCTGCCAGATGTACAAAGAATAACTGGCACCATTCCTGCTGAAACTATTCCCAAAAAGTGAGGAAGAAGGACTCCTCTCTAACTCATTCTATGAGGCCATCATCCTGATACCATAACCTGGAGGAGACACAATAGAAACAACAAAAAACTTCTGACCAATATCCCTGATGAACATCAATGCAAAAATCCTCAACAAAATACTGGCAATCCAAATCCAATAGCACATCAAAAAACTTATTCACCACAATCAACTAGGCCTTATCCCTGGGATGCAAAGTTGGTTTAAAATACACAAATCAATGAACATGATTTATCACATAAGCGGAACTAAAGACAAAAACTGTATGATTATCTCAATGGATGCAAAAAAGGCTTTTGGTAAAATTCAACACCCTTCATGTTAAAAACTCTCAATAAACCAAGTATTGAAGGAACACACCTCAAAATCATAAGAGCCATTTATAACAAACCCACAGCCAACATCATACTGAATGGGCAAAAGCTGGAAGCATTCCCCTTGAAAATCAGAATAAGACAAAGATGCCCTCTCTCACCACTCCTATTCAACATATTATTGGAAGTCCTGGCCAGAACGGTCAGGCAAGAGAAAAAAATAAAGGCATCCAAATAGAAAGAGAGGAAGTCAAACTATACCTATTTGCAGATGGCATGACCTGTATCTAGAAAATCCCATAGTCTCAGCTCAAAAGCTCTTTAAGCTGATAAACAACTTCAGCAAAGTCTCAGGATACAAAATCAATTTACAAAAATCACTAGCATTCCTATACACCAACAGCAGTGAAGCCAAGAGCCAAATCAGGAACACAGTCACATTCATAATTGCCACAAAACGAATAAAATACAGCCAAGACGGCCAAATAGAAACAGCTCAGGTCTGCAGCTCCCAGAAAGATGAATGCAAAAGGCAAGTGAATTCTGCATTTCCAATTGAGGTACCAAGTTCATCTCATTTGGACTGACTAGGTGATTGGCACAACCCACAGAGAGCAAGGAAAAGCAGGATGAGGCGTTGCATCACCCAGGAGCTGTGCAGGGCAAAGGGATTTCCTTCCCACAGCCAAGAGAACTGCTGAGGGGTTGTGCTACCCACCAGGAGTACCAAGCTTTTCCTACAGATTTTTGCAATCCATGGATCCGGGGATTCCTTCATGAGCCTGCAACATCAGGGCCTTAGGTCTCAAACACAAAACTAGACAGACAAATGACAGCTGCTCCCGTCAGTGGCTGTTCAGGCAGGCACTGAGCTGCAGGAATTTTTTACATACTTCAGTGGTGCCTGGAACTCCAATGAAGCTGGAGAACTGTCCATCCTATGGAAAGGGAGCTGAAGACAAGGAGCCAAATGGTCTTGCTCATTGGGTCCCACTCCTACAGAACCCCACAAGCGAAGACCCACTGGCTTGAAATCCCCACTGCCAGCACAGCCATCTGGAGTCTGCCTACGACAACCAAGTTCCTGGGGGGAGGAGTGACGACCATTATTTTGGCTCTAGTTGGCGGTTTTCCCCTCCCAGTGTTAAGGATACTGGGAGGTTTGAACTGAGCAGTATTCCCCACAGTGCAGCAAAGCAGCTGTGGCAGATCGTGGCCAGATTGCTTCCTTAGGTGGGAGCCGGATCCATCCCTCCTCACTGGACAGGGCCTCCCTGCAGCAATTTCAGCAGCTCCGATCAGGGGCTTACAGACAGAACTCTCATGTCCCTGGGACAGAGCACCTGGGGGAGGAGCGGCAGCAGTCTCAGGTTCAGCAGACTTAATCTTTCCGGCTTGCTGGCTCTGAAGAGACCCACTGATCCAGACGAGGGGGATCCCCTCCCCCGCACAAAACACCAGCTCCACTAAGGGAGAGTCAGACTGCTTCCTTAAGTGGTTCCCTGATCCCATGTCTCCTAACTAGGTGAGACTTCCCAACAGGGGTCGCCAGACACCTCATACAGGAGATTTCTGGCTGGCATCAGGTTGGTGCCCCTCTGGGACGAAGCTTCCGGAGGAAGGAGCATGCAGCAATCTTTGCTGTTCTGCAGCCTCCACTGGTGATACTCAGGCAAACAGGGTCTGGAGTGGACCTCCAGCAAACTGCAGCAGATCTGAAAAGACGGGCCTGTTAGAAGAAATACAAACAGAAAGCAACAACAACAACAACGTCAACAAAAAAGACCCCACAAAAACCTCATCCAAAGGTTGACAGCCTCATATATTAAAGGTAGATAAATTTCATGAAGTTTAGGAAAAACCAACGCAAAAACACTGAAAATATCAAAAGCCAGAATGTGTCTTCTCCTCCAAATGACTGCAACACTTCTCCAGCAAGGGCACAGAATGGGGCTGAAGCTGAGATGGATGAACTGACAAGAAGTACTTCAGAAGTAGGCTTCAGAAAGTGGGTAATAACTAATTTTGCTGAGCTAAGGGAGCATGTTCTAACCCAATGTAAAGATGGTAAGAACCATGATAAAAGATTACAGGAGCTATTAACTAGAATAACCAGTTTAGAGAGGAACATAAATGACGTGATGGACAGAAATCAAGAAGGCCTTTAAAACCAATGAGAAATCTCTGGGATGCAGCTAAAGCGGTGTTAACAGAGAAATTACAGCACTAAATGCCCACGTCAAAAAGCTAGAAAGATCTCAAATCAACACCCTAACACCACAACTAGAAGAACTAGAGAGCCAAGAGCAAACAAACCCCAGAGCTAATAGAAGACAAGACAAAAACAAGCTCAGAGCAGAACTAAAGGAGACAGAGACACAAAGAGCCCTTCAAAAAAAATCAATGAATCCAGGAGCTGGTTTTTTGAAAAAAATCAACAAAATAGATAGACCACCAGCAAGACTAACAAAGAAGAAAAAAGAAGATTCAAATAAACACAATAAGAAATGATAAGGGGGATACCATCACTGATCCCACACAAATACAAACAACCATTAGAGAATACTATAAACACCTCTATGCAAATAAACTGGAAAATCTAGAAGGAATGGATAAATTCCTAGATAAATACACACTTCCAAGACTGAATCAGGAAGAAGTTGAATCCCTGAATAGAGCAATAACAAGTTCTAAAATTGAAGCAGTAATAAATATCCTACCAATCAAAAAAAGTCCAAGTCCAGATGGATTTACAGCTGAATTTTACCAGAGGTACAAAGAGAAGCTGGTTGCATTTATTCCGAAACTATTTCAAACAACTGAAAAGGAGGAACTTCTCCCTAACTCATGCTATGGGGCCATCATCATCCTGATACCAAAACCTGGCATAGATACTACAAGAAAAGAAAACTTCAGGACAATATCCCTGATGAACATCGATGCAAAAATTCTCAACAAAATATTGGCAACCCACATCCAATAGCACAACAAAAGATTTATCCGCCGGCCGGGCGCGGTGGCTCACGCCTGTAATCCCAGCACTTTGAGAGGCCGAGGCGGGCGGATCACGAGGTCAGGAGATCGAGACCACGGTGAAACCCCGTCTCTACTAAAAATACAAAAAATTAGCCGGGCGCAGTGGCGGGCGCCTGTAGTCCCAGCTACTGGGGAGGCTGAGGCAGGAGAATGGCGTGAACCCGGAAGGCGGAGCTTGCAGTGAGCGGAGATCGCGCCACAGCACTCCCGCCTGGGCGACAGAACGAGACTCCTTCTCAAAAAAAAAAAAAAAAAAAAAAAAGATTTATCCGCCACAATCAAGTAAGCTTTATCACTGAGATGCAAGATTGGTTTAACATACACAAATCAATAAATGTGATTCATCACATAAACAGAACTAAAGACAAAAACTACATGATTATCTCAATGGATGCAAAAAATTAAGGCTTTCAGTAAAATTCAACACCCCTTCATGTTAAAAACTCTTAATACACTAGGTATTGAAGGAACCCATCTCAAAATCATAAGAGCCATCTATGACAAACCCACAGCCAATATCATACTGAATGAGAAAAAGCTAGAAGCATTCCCCTTGGAAACTGGCACAAGACAAGGTTGCCCTCTCTCACCACTTTTATTCAACATAGTGTTGGAAGTTCTGGCCAGGGCAATCAGGCAAGAGAAAGAAATAAAGTGTATTCAAATAAAAAGAGAGGAAGTCAAACTATCCCTGTTTGCAGATGACATGATCCTGTATCTAGAAAACCCATCGACTCAGCCCAAAAGCTTCTTAAGCTGATAAGCAACTTCAGCAAAGTCTCAGGATACAAAATCAATGTGCAGAAATCACAAGCATTCCTATACACCAACAACAGACAAGCAAAGAGCCAAATCATGAATGAACTCCCATTCACAACTGCCACACAGAGAATAAAATACCCAGGAATACAGCTAACAAGGGACACAAAGGACCTCCTCAAGGAGAATTACAAACCACTGCTCAAGGAAATAAGAGAGGACACAAACGGAAAAACATTCCATGCTCATGGACAGGAAGAATCAATATCATGAAAATGGCCACATTGCCCAAAGCAATTTATAGATTCAATGCTATTGCCATTACCATACCATTGGCATTCCTCACAGAATTAGAAAAAAAAAACTATTTTAAAATACATATGGAACCAAAAAAGAATTCATTTAGCCTGGACAATCCCAGGCAAAAAGAGCAAAGCTAGAGGCATCATGCTACCCAACTTCAAACTATACTACAAGGCTATGGTAACCAAAACAGCATGGTACTGGTACAAAAAAAGACACGTAGGCCAATGGGACAGAATAGAGAACCCAGAAATAAGGCCACACAACTACAATTATCTGATCTTTGACAAACTTGACAAAAACAAGCAATGAAGAAAGGATTCCCTATTCAATAAGTGGTGCTGGGAGAACTGGCTAGCCATGTTGCGGAAAATTGAAACTGGATCCCTTCCTTACACCTTATACCAAAATTAACTCAAGATGGATTAAAGACTTAAATGTAAAGCCAAAACTATGAAAATCCTAGAAGAAAATCTAGGCAATACCATTCAGGACATAGGCACAGGCAAAAATTTCATGTCGAAAACATCAAAAGCAATTTCAACAAAAGCAAAAGTTGACAAATGGGATCTAGTTAAACTGAAGAGCTTTTGCACAGCAAAAGAAATTATCAACAGAGTGAACAGACAACCTACAGAATGGGAGAAAATTTTTGCAATCTACCCAAAGGTCTAATATCCAGAATCTACAAGGAACTTAAGCAAATTTACAAGAAAAAAACAAACAATCCCTTAAAAAGTGGGCAAAGGATATGAACACACACTTCTCAAAAAAAGACATAATGTGGCCCACAAACATATGGAAAAAAGCTCAACATCCCTGATCATTAGAGAAATGCAAATCAAAACCACAATGAGATACCCTCTCACGCCAGTCAGAATGGTAATTATTAAAAAGTCAAGAAACAACAGATACTGGTGAGGTTGCAGAGAAATAGGGATGCTTTTACACTGTTGGTGGGAATGTAAATAGTTCGACCATTGTGGAAGACAGTGTAGCAATTCCCCAAATATTTAGAACCAGAAATACCATTTGACCCAGCAATCCTATTACTGGGTATATACCCAAAGGAATATAAATCATTCTGTTATAAAGATACATGCATGCATATGTTCACTGCAGCACTATTCACAATAGCATAGACATTGAATTAACCCAAATGCCCATCAGTGATAGAATGCATAAAGAAAATGTGCTACATATACACCATGGAATACTGTGCAGCCATTAAAAGAAATGAGATCATGTCTTTTGCAGGGACATGGATGAAGCTGGAAGCCATTATCTTCAGCAAACTAACAGAGGAACGGAAAACCAAATACTGCATGTTCTCACTTATAAGTGGGAGCTGAACAATAAGAATACATGGACACAGGAGGAGAACAATACTCACTGGGGCCTGTTGGGGGAGGACGGTGAAGGAGAGCATTAGGGAAAAGAGCTAACACATGCTGGGCTTAATCTAGGTGATGCGGTGATAGCTGCTGCAAACCACCATGGCACACGTTTACCTATGTAACAAACCTGCACATCCTACACATGTACCCGAGAACTTAAAAAAATTTAAAAAAAATACTGAGGAACACAGCTAAACAAAGAGGTGAAAGATCTCTATAAGCAGAACTATAAAACACTGCTCAAAGGAATCAGAAATGACACAAACAAATGGAAAAACATTCCATGCTCATAGATAGGAAGAATCAATATCATTAAAATGGCCGTACTGCCCAAAGCAATTTATAGATTCAATGTTATTCCTATTTAATTACTATTGACATTCTTCAAGAGTTAGAAAAACTATTTTAAAATTCATATGGAGCCAGAAAAGAGCCTGAATAGCCAAGGCAATCCTAACCAAAAAGAGCAAACCTACCCGACTTCAAACTACACTACAGAACTACTGTAACTGAAACAGCACGGTACTGGTACAAAAACAGACAAATAGACCAAAGGAACAGAATAGAGAACCCAGAAATAAGACCTCACACCTACAATTATCTGATCTTCGATAAACCTGAAAAAACAAGCGATGGGGAAACAATTTTCTGCTCAATAAATGATGCTGGGATAACTGGATAGCTATATGCAGAAGATTGAAACTGGAATGCTTCCTTATACTGTACACAAAAATTAGCTCAAGATGGATTAAAGACTTAAATGTAAAACCCAAAACTATAAAAACTCTGGAAGAAAACCTAGGTAATATCATTCTGGATATAGAAATGGGCAAAGATTTCACGTTGAAGATGCCAAAAGCAATTTCATCAAAAGCAAAAATTGGCAAATGGGATCTAATTAAACTAAACAGCTTCTGAACAGCAAAAGAAACTATCAACAGAGTGAACAGACAACCTACAGAATGGGAGAAAATGTTTGCAAACTAGGCAACTGACGAAGGTCTAATATCCAGCATCTATAAGGAACTTAAACAAATTTACAAGAAAAAAACAACCCCATTAAAAAGTGGGCAAAGGACATGAGCAGACAATTTTCAAAAGAAGATATACATGTGGCCAACAATCATATGAAAAAAATGCACAACATAACTGATCATTAGAGAAATGCAAATCAAAGCCACAATGAGCTACTATCTCACACCAGTCAGAATGGCTACCATTTAAAAGTCAAAAAATAACAGATGCCGGCAAGGTTGTGGAGAAAAAGGAAGGCTTATACACTGTTGGTGGGAGTGTAAATTAGTTTCAAACATTGTGGAAGACAATGTGGCAATTCCTCAAAGACCTAAAGACAGAAATACCACTTGACTCAGCAATCCCATTACTGGGTATACACCTAAAGGAATATGAATCGTTCTATCCTAAAGACAAATGCACACATATGTTCACTGAAGCACTATTCACAATAGCAAAGACATAGAATCAACCTAAATCCCCATCAACTGTAGACTGGATAAAGAAAATGTGGTACATATATACTACGGAATACTATGCAACCATAAGAAAACCAAGATCATGTACTTTGCAAGGATGTATATGGAGCTGGAGGCCATTATCCTCAGCAAACTATGCAGGAACAGACGACCAGATACCACATGTTCTCACTTATAAGTGGGAGCTGAACACTGAGAATGCATGGACACATAGAGGGGAACAATACACACTGGGGCCTATTGGAGGGTGGAGGGTTGGAGGAGGGAGAGGGTCACAGGAAAAATAACTAACGGGTACTAGCACAATAGTTGGGTGATGAAATAATGTGCACAACAAAGCCCCATGACACACCTTTACCTATGTAACGAACCTGCACACGTACCCCTCAATTTAAAATAAAAGTTCTAAAAAAAGAGAGAGAGAGAGAGATAGGGGAGTCCGGACCAGAAGCCAAGCTAACCAAATCATAAAGTTTAAGACCTAAATGAAATTACCTAGCTCTAGTTCAACCTTTTTGGTTTACAGGTAAAGAAAATGAGGCCCAGAGGACAAATAAGCATTTACTATTTTTTATAATATAATATTATTATAATATTCATTATTTAATAAGTATTATCCTTTTCATATATTTCTGGATTTCATGTGGTAATATGTGTTAAGAGTTTCGGGGTTTATATTCATGAGGAATATTGCTCTCATTTTCCTGTAATGTCTTTGTCTAGTTTTGGTCAGGGGATTCTGGTCTCATAAAGTGAGTCGGAAACTGTTCCCTCTTTTTCCATTTTCTGAAAAAGTTGTCCTAAATTTGTATTATTTTCCCCTTAATCATTTGTTAGAATTCATATGTGAAGTTATTTGGGCCTGGAGCTTTTTATGGGAAGTTTTGAATTACAGTTTTAATTTACTTAACAGTTAATGACCGTTCAGATTTTCTATTTCTTTTGTCAGTTTGGCAATTTGTGTTTTTTAAGGAATTCGTCCATTTTATGTAGGTAATCAAATTTATTTTGATAAAGTATTTTTAATATGTCTTATCCTTTTACTATCTCTAAGATCTTTCTTTCACAATATTGGTCATTTGTGTCTTTTCCTTATCAGTCCAGCAAGAAGCTTATTAATATTAATCTTTTCAAAGAAATCTTTTTTTAATTTCATTGATTTTTCTCTTTTTTCTATTTCATTAGTTTTCTTTTTTTTAAGTTCAGGGGTACAAGTGCAGGTTTGTCACATAGGTAAATTTATGTCATGGAGATTTGTTATACATACTATTTCCTCAATCAGGTATTAAGCCTAGTGCTCATTAGTTGTTTTTCCTGACTCTCTCCCTCCTCCCACCCTCCATCCTCTAATACGCCCCAGTGTGTGTTGCTCCTCTCTGTGTGTCCATGTGTTCTCATCATTTAACTCCCACTTACAAGTGAGAACGTGTAGTGTTTGGTCATCTGTTCCTGTATTAGTTTGCTGAGGATAATGGCCTCCAGCTCCATCCACGTCCCTGCAAAGGACATGATCTTGTTCTTTTTCACGACTGCATAGAATTCCATGGTGTATGTGTACCACATTTTCCTTATCCGGTCTACAGTTGATGGGCATTTAGGTTGATTCCATGTCTTTGCTATTGTGAATAATGCTTCAATATTTCATTAATTTTCACATTTTACTATTTCCTTTCTTCCACTCACTTTTGGTTTACACCTTTTCCCCTTTAGCAAGCATCTGAAGTTAGTTTTCTTGTAAGTACAGCTTTAGTGACATCCCACAAACTTTTATATGCCATGTTTTTATTTTTATTTAGTTAAAAAATGTTTCTAGTTTCCTTTATGATTTTTTTGACTTATGGGGTATTTAGAAGTCTGTTATTTAATTTTCAAATATTTGGGAAATTTTCCAAATATATTTTTAGCATTGAATTATAATTTTAATTATACAAAAATCAGAGAACCCAACTTTAGTTCTTTTAAATATATTAAGAATTGTTGCCAGGTGCGGTGGCTCACACCTGTAATCCCAGCACTTTGGGAGGCCAAGGCAGGCGGATCACATGAGGTCGGGAGTTTGAGACCAGCCTGGCCAACATGGTGAAACCCCATCTCTACTAAGAATACAAAAATTAGCCGGGCGTGGTGGTGCACCCCTGTAATCCCAGCTACTCAGGAGGCTGAGGCATGAGAATCGCTTGAACTCAGGAGGCAGAGGTTGCAGTGAGCTGAGATCGCACCACTGCACTCCAGCCTGGGCAACAGAGAAAGACTCTGTCTCAAAAAAGAGAAAAAAAAAAGAATTGTTTTATTGTTCAGCAATATGATCTACCTTGATGAATATTCCTCATGTGTGTATTCTGCCATTGTTGGATATATTGTTTGAAAAATGTCTAACAGGTTAAAGTAACTGATAACATTTTCAGGGCTTCTATATTTTTAGTGACTTTCTATTTACTTGTACTATCAATTACTGAGAGAAGAGTTTTACAACCTCCAACCATAATTGTGGATTTATCTATTCCTCTTTTCAGCCTCTCAGATTTTGCTTGATGCTTTTTTGAAACTCTGTCATTAGGTGCATAGACACTTAGAATTATGTCTTGTTTTATTAATGTACCCCATTTAGTATTATAAAACATTTCTCTTTTTCCCTGGTAATATTTCTGTTCTGAAATCTACCTTTTCTGTTATTAATATAGCCACCCTAGCACTCTTATGATTAGTGTTTGCATGGTATATATCTTTCTATCTTTTTACTTTTAATTTCTTTTCATTATACTTGTAGTACATTCTTTGTAGGTAACATATGGCTAGGTCTTGAAATTTTAACAAGTCTTACAACTTGTCTTTTATTTGAACAGTTCAGACCTTTGGTCTGTGGGGCCACAGGGAAGGAAGGGTGCAAGTGTCTGTTGATCCTGCACTGGCTCATCTTCCCCAGTCTGCACATGAACATTTCTAGCACTTGCTTTTTATCCTGAGAATTTCTCAACATGTATAATATCCAGCTGCATAATCCAATCTGCCCTAATGACTGATTTTTCTTTTTCTGGATACACTGGGCCTTAGAGGCCCCAGGAAACATTAGCTATGGATTGTCAGCCGAGCACATTCTTGTATCTATCTGGTGCAGAGAAAGAGACAACAGCCTGGGATCCTCAAGGCTAAGAGGGGTTCTGCTTCTGGCCAGCTATGGGCCCCCTGGCAAGTTTCTGACATTCTAGGTCTCACTGTCCTCAACTATAAAAGGAGGAGGTTGCACCAAAGAACCCCTAAAGCCCCTCCCACCTCTAATCTCCTATGGGACTGTCCATTCTTCTTAAGGATCATTATAGACACACAGCAGGGAACATAAACTAGACAAATTCTGAGAAACAGCTAAGAAAAGTACTACAGACCCACCAGAATGGGAGTATAAATTGGGCTTCATCTGCCCCATTGCAACCTAGGCTTCCTTTGCCTTATGATTTGGCTCAATGGCATCTGTGACAAGGTAGCTTGAAGTTGACACCAGTGCATCTCTGGAGATTGGATGGGCTGGGCTCAGAATCCCATACATCCTTTTTTTTCTCACCCTATCGGTACCCTCACCCTACTAGAATTATGCATGCACTTGTTGAAAACAGCCCTAGCAAAGTAAATCTAGGCTCCTTAGGCCATGATTAAGGCCCCTTGAAGAAGTCAAATTACCTAAGAAACTCTAGACATGCACCCTCCTATATGCAAGCCACTAGTTCGTGTCTACTGAGCTCCTGAATTGTGGCTAGTGCTAATGGAGATGTGCTGTAAGCATGAAATGCACACCAGGTGTACAAGACTTAGTATGAAAAAATATATTAAAACCTCATTAATATGAGATTATTTTTATATTGAAATAATAATTGTTAATATTGGGTTAAATAAAATATAGCATTAAAATTCATTTCTCCTGTTTTTACCTTTTTAATGAGTCTACTAGAAATTTTAAGTTTATGACTATGGCACACTTTACCTCTACTGGACAGCACTGCTATTTAGAGTATCAAAATTTGGTATCTTTTGTGATAATAATAAATCATTTATCAAGGAGAAATACCCTAGAATTGGACACTCATCACCCATTATGTAACTTCAGCTAGCCTCTTGGTTTGTCCTCCTCTCTCTCACAGAATTAATAAAGCAATCTATCAGGACAAAATGAATAAATATTGTCTTTTCTTTTTCATTTTTTCAAATCATTGGAGGTATTTGGGGGAAAAGGTGACAGCAGGACACTAGGTGTGTTATGAAAGCATGAGCCTATGGGCAAGTTTGGATATGCTTGTCATCCATGACAGGAAATTTTGGCCAGGAGTCAGTTACTCGCCTAGAAAATTAATTGTTAATGTACCTGTGTACTCTTACAGCTTCCACAACTGCACTTTGCTGAAATTACACACACACACACACACAGACACACACATTTGATTGTCACATATCAATGTTAGGCAGTTTTCCTCCTGGGTGTCTTTCTTTATCATTATTATCATCATTGGTATTGTTTCTCCTTCACTTCTGTCTCTTGCAAACCAGATATTTGTTTCCCTCACACAGCACCTGCTTTAGAAATAAAATAAATTACAGAGAAGGAATTAGTAAACTAGATTTGCTCCTTGAAGTGTATAAAAGTTGAGTGTATAAAGGATGGGAAGGTGAGAGAGTTTGCTATGGTTTGGATGTGGTTTGTCACCACCAAAATTCATGTTGACATTTAAATGCCAGTGTGGCGGTGTTGGGGGTGGGGTCTAGTGGGAGGTGTTGGATCATGGGGACAGATCTCTCATGGATAGATTAATGCCGCCTCTCGGGAGTGAGTTTCACTCTTACAGACTTGGTTAGTTACCATGACAACAAGTTTTTCCTTCTCATGTTTCATCTCTTTGGACATTCCCACTCCCCCATCCATTTTCTGCCATGAGTTGAAGCAGCACAAGACCCTCAGAGATGGGCTGCTCAGTTTGGGACTTCCTGGCCTCCAGAATTGTGAGCCAAATAAAATATTTTTTCTTTATGAATTACACAGTCTCAGGTCTTCTGATATAGCAACATAAAACAGACTAAGACAGGGTTCTCTAGGGTATGAGAGTATGAAGAAAAATTTCTAATTTTCTGGTTAAAGAAGTATTTTGGGCAAGAATAACAGGTATCCAGAAAGAACTCTTGCAATGAGAAGTGTTGGCTGTCTTTCCTTTTGTTCAGGGGCACTGTCTTTGGGGACATATTTGATTCCCAGTAGAAGGAAATGGCAATAATGTATAGTTGGATGACACTATCTTCTGCTCCTTCATGCCCCCTTAAGATGTTGTTCACTCTTCCATTTCAAACATCCAGAACAAGGCAAGCATGGACTTCCTAGGTCTAGGAGGAGAGAGAAAGGTACTGGTTGCTACCTAATACCATTGAATATCTCAGAGCTGGGAGAATTTCCACTGAGTCTATGTCTGGAGACAGAAATGACTGCTCCATGGTGGGAAGCCAATCTTAGCTCAGGTTCTCGCCATATTTCTGGGGGACTACTGCAAGAGCCCCCATCTGGTCTCTCTACCTTCAGATTAGCCCAATCTGAACCACCCTTTACAGTGCACTCAGAGGGATCTTCTAAAATGTGAATCTGATGACATCCGCTTGAAACCCTTTAACTAACCTTCTATACTTTTTAGGATAAGATTTGAGACCCTTAACATGCCAAACAATGCCTTCCATGTGTGATTTTTTTGTTATTTCTCTAGCATCATTTTTCACCCTACACTTGCTGCCCCCAGAGAGACACCTATATCTATTATTTTGGCACTTTAACTGACATTACTTCCCACTATTTGTTAAGTTCAATCCTACAGACATTTATTGAGCATTTATTATGTGTCAGGCATTGTTATGAGGCTACCGAGATGAAGAAGACAAAGTCCCTGACCTCAAGAAACTTGTAACATGTGGAATGTTCTTTCCTACCCCATTTTCTGGATGAACAAACTGGCCATCTTTGAAGGCTCAGCCTAAGTGTTGCAGCAGCCTTAAAGGCCTTTCTGGCCTTGCCAAGACAGAACTGTACCCTGTGCCTATTTCTATAACATCTAGAACACTGCTGCACAAAGCCAGTATGAGATAAAGGAGCTCGTTCCAGAATTTAAACCAATGCACTGCTTTTTTATAATAAAGAAAGACTTGGTTCCAAAAATAATGTCAGCTAGACTAAACAATGTGCTTAATGGTGCTTGCTTGTAACAAATACTTTCAGACCAACAGTTGGCCTCTGGACAGCTGAAGGAGAGAACAAATAGAAGGGTAAGATATAGAATTTTCAATATATAGTTGCTGAGAATTGAGAAATTTAATAATGCAAAAGAAATTTATAGCTAGTAAGCCAACAAAGAAAATAAAATGGGGGCATAAAAGAAATACATATAGGCCAGAAAAGAAAAGAAGAAGGAAACAAAGAGCAGATGGATAAATAGAAAACAGACAGCAATGTAACAGACTTAAACCCAAACAGATCAATAAATACATTAAGAGTAAGTTACCTAAACAATCCAATTAGAAGACAGATACTGTCAGATTGTATGAAAAGGGAAGATTCAACTATATGCTGCCCACAGGAAAACCTTTCTATTTTTTAAATTTTAGATTCAAGTGCTACGTGTCCAGGTTTGTTACATGGATATATTACATGATACTGAGGTTTGGGCTTTCAACTGAACCCATCACCCAAATAGTGAATTCAGAGCCCAGAAGATTATTTTTTAATCCTGGCTCCCCTTCCTCCCTCCCCCGTTTTGGACTCTACACTGTCCATTGTTCCCACCTTTATGTTCATGTGTACCCAGTGGGGAAAGCTACTTTAAACATAAAGACATAAATAAGTCAAATTAAATAATAACAAAAGATATACCATACCAACATTGATCAAAATAAGGCTGAAGTAACTATATTACTATCAGACAAAATAGATTTTCCAAAGCAAAATATATATATTACATTATATATTATGTATAATATATTACATTATATATTATGTATAATATATTACATTATATATTATGTATAATATATTACATTATATATTATGTATAATATATTACATTATATATTATGTATATTACATTATATATTATGTATAATATTTAATACATAATATTAAATTAAATACTAAATAATATAATATTACATTATATATTATTAAATTAAATTTTATATATCATTAAATTTAATTTAATTTATAATTAAATTATATATTATATATAAATTATATGTATTATATATAATAATATATTATATATAATATAATTAATATATATAATTATATATTATTTATAAATTAATATAATTTAATTATATATTACATATTAAATATTAAATAATATATTACATTATATATATTTATAATATATTATATTAAATAATATATTACATTATATATATTTATATAATATATTAATTATATATTTATACAATGTAATATATTATATATTATATATATTTTATATAATATATATTATATATTTATATAATATATGTTACATATTATATATAATATATATGTTACATATTACATATAATATATGTTACATATTATATATAATACATATTTTATATATTATATATTATACATATTTTATATATATTATATATAATACATATTATATAGTATATATTATACATATTTTTATATATTTTATATATTATACATATTTTATGTATATATTTTTTATATATTATATATTATATATACATTTTATGTATTATATATTTTTATATTATACAATATAAAAATATATAATATATATATTTTACATCTATGATATATATTTTTATATTATATATAATATATATCTTATATATTTTTATATATTTTATATATAATATATTTTATAGATTATATATATAATATATTTTTATATATTTTATATATATAATATATATTTTTATATATTTTATATAATATATATTTTATGATATATATATATATATATATATATATATATATATAAAACCAGGGATAATAAGGATCACTTCACAGTGATAAAGGGGTTAATTCATAAAGATAAGATAAAATCCAAAATGTTTATTCCCCTAATAACAGAGCCTCAACATACACGAAGAAAATAACTGAATTGCAAGAGAAATAAACAAATCTACCATCATACTTGAACATTTCAATACTCCTCTTTCAATAATTGATATAACAAATAATTGATATAATAATTGATAGAAAGTAAGAGTACATTCAATTTGAGCAATGCTATCAACTAATTTGATCTAAATTGCGTTTACAGAATACAGCTTCCAACAACAGCAAAACACACATTCTTTTCAAAAACATTTACAATGTTATACCATATTATTAGCCATCAATACATTTAAAAGGATTCAAGTCATAAAAAGTATATTTTATGACCACAATGAAATTAAATTAGAATTAACAACAGAAAGTTCTGTGGAAAAATCCCTTAAATATTTGGGATTTGACTAACGGATTTCTAATAGCTCATGGGTTAAAATAATGGGAAGGTAGAAAGTATTTTAAATAAAACAAAGATGAAGAAACAACATAACTAAAGAATAAGATGCAGCCAAAACACTACTTAGAGGGAAATATATTAGAAAAGAGAAAGGCTGCTAATCAATGATCTTATTTGCTACTTTAAGAAACAAAAAATAAGAGCAAAGGAAAACCAAAGTAACCAAAAGACAGAAATAATACTTATCAGAGCAGAAATTCTTGAAATAAAAACAGAAAACAATAGAGAAAATTAGTGAAATTAAAAGTTGGTACTATGGGAAGATCAGTAAGATTGACAAACCTCTAGCTAGACTGGTTAGGGGGAAAAACTCATCGCAAATTACCAATATCAGGAATAAGAGAGGTACCTTCACCACAGATTCTTTAGATTTCAAAAATATAACAAGGGAATGTTAAGAATAACTTTTTGCCAATCAATTTACAATTTTAAATAATTAGGCAAATTTTTTGAAATAAAAGAATTACTAAAACTCAAGAAGAAATGAAAAACATAAATATCCGTATATAAATAAGTTTTTTTTTTTTTTTTTTTTTTTTTTTTTGTAGAGAGGGTCTTGTTATGTTGCCCAAGCTGGTCTCAAGCTTCTGGCCTCAAGTGATCCTCCTGCCTTGGCCTCCCAAAGCATTGGGCTTACAGGCATGAGCCATCACATCATGCTGATAAATTAAATTTTTAATAAAAAACTTTATCTCAAAGAAAACTGCAAATTCATTGGAGTAAAGAGTACATCACAATCACAACTTCTTTGTGATGAAGATAACACTGATGCCAAAACTAAAGATACTTCAGGGATAGAAAACTAAAAGGCAATATCCTCCATAACGAGAGATGCAAAAATTCTTAACAAAAATTTAAAAAATAAAATCTAACAATATGTAAAATGGATAATGGTTGAGTTTAACCCAGGAATGCAAAATTAGGTTAACATTCAAACATCAGTCAATGTAATTTACCATATTGACAAGTATTTTTTTAAAAAACAACCATACAATTAACATACACAGAAAAAAAATTATGAAATCTGACATCTATTCCTGATGGGTATGAGTCTATCTTGTGTGTTGATGGAATGTGGAACAAACGAGGAGAGAGTAGCAGGAGATAAAATCAGAGAGATCGCAGGGGGCCATATCATATAGAATCTTGTAAAGACTTCCTTTTTTTCTCTTAGTGACATGAATGACATTGGAGGGATATGAGGAGAGGAGTGA
This sequence comes from Homo sapiens, assembly GCF_000001405.40. Classification (NCBI taxonomy): domain Eukaryota; kingdom Metazoa; phylum Chordata; class Mammalia; order Primates; family Hominidae; genus Homo; species Homo sapiens. Next base: position 129,673,928 of record NC_000011.10, read on the forward strand.
CATTGATTTAATTTAGATGTTAACCAAATTGCACTTTTCGATGTATTGATAACAGACTTGAGAGGTCAAGGACAGGAGCAGACACTCCATTTGGGAGGCAATTGCAATGATGCATGGCATTTGCCAGACGGTAGTGGTTTGGACAAGGAGTCACACTGGAAATGACAAGAAGTGGTAGGATTCGGGATTATAGTTTTTTCAATTTTGAAGAATTGAGTTGAATGTGACACCTATGAGAAAAACAAGCCAAATATTTTTCCAATGTTTTTGTCCTGAGCAAATGAAAGGATGGTATTACCATTAACTCTGATGGTGAAGACTACAAGAGGAGCAGGTTCAGGGGAGGAGAGGTACTGGAGATTGATATTGAACATATCAAGTTTGAGATGTCTATTAGACAGTTACATATAAATATTTTGGTCTTTCTCCCCAGTTCCTGGCGTGGAGTGCCTAAAACCCTTGTATCTCCTGAGCTCAGGACTCTTCCTTATCTCCCCCACGTACCTCTTCATAGGGCTATCTGTATTTTAGCATAATCTTTATTAAATAATAAACCAGTAAATATAAGTAAGCGTTTCCTTGAGTTCCGTGAGCCATCCAGCAAATTATCGAACCTGAGGAGGGGATCCTGGGAAGCCCAATTTTATAGCTAGTTGGTCAGAAGTATAGGTGACAACCTGGGACTTGTGATTGGTATCTAAAGTAGAGGAACAGTCTTGTGGGATTTTGCCCTAACCTGTGGGATCTGCAGTAACACTAGTTAGTGTCAGAATTGAACTGGATTGTAGGGCACCCAATTGGTACTACTGGCAAATTGCTTGGGAAACACCCACACATTTTGGTCACGGCAGTGTTCTGTGTTAAGTGTGAGAGTAGAAAAAAGTTTTTTTCCTATATATTATGGATGTCTATTAGACACTCAAGCAGCAATATTGAATAGGCAGTTAGAAATACAAGTCATTATATGTGCATGATGCTAACACAACAATAGGGAATGAGATCCCATGGGAGTTAGTGTGGATACAGGAGAGGTCTGAGGATGGAGTCTGTGGGTACTCAACACTTACAAGTTGGGGAAGAAGCTAACAACATACTGACAGGATCAAATCAGCATATATTAACCTTGAAAATAAACAGGCTAAGCACCCCACTTAAAAGGCACAGAGTGGCAAGCTGGACAAAGAAGCAAGATACAACTGTATGCTGTCTTTAAGAGACCTATCTCACATTCAATGACGCCCATAGGCTCAAAGTAAAGGGACAGACAAAAATCTACAAAGCAAACAGAAAACACAAAAAGAGCAGGGGTTGCTACTCTAACTTCAGATAAAACAGACTTTAAATCAGAAATCATCCAAAAAGACAAAGAAGGGCATTACATAATGATAAAGAGTTCAATTCAAAAAGAAGACTTAACTATCCTAAATACATATGCACCCAACACCGGAACACCAAGATTCATAAAACAAGTTCTTAGAGACCTACAAAGAGACTTAGATAACCACACAATCATAGTGGGAGACTTCAATACGCCACTGTCAGTACTAGGCAGATCATCAAGGCAGAACACTGACAAAAATATTCAAGACCAGGCTGAGCACGGTGGCTCACGCCCGTAACCCTAGCACTTTGGGAGGCTGAGGTAGGCAGATTGCTTGAGCTCAGGAGTTCAGGACCAGCCTGAGCAATGTGGAGAAACTACGTCTTTCTAAAAAATACAAAAATTAGCTGGGTGTGGTGGGTCACGCCTGTAGTCTCAGCTACTTGGGGAGCTGAGGTGAAAGGATCACTTGAACTTGGGAGATTGAGGCTGCAGCCAGCTGAGATCAGACCACTGCACTCCAGCCTAGGTGACAAAGTGAGACCTTGAAAAAAGATAAGAAAGAAAGAAAGGAAGGAAGGAAGGAGAAAGAAAGGAAAGAAAAGAAAAAGAAAGAATGAAAGAAAGAAGGAAGGAAGGAAGGAAGGAAGGAAGGAAAGAAAGAAAGAAAGAAAGAAAGAAAGAAAGAAAGAAAGAAAGAAAGAAAGAAAGAAAGAAAGAAAGAAAAGAAAGAAAGAAAAGGGAAAAATATTCAAGACCTGAACTCAACTCTAGACTCAATGCACCTAACAGGCATATACAGAACACTCCACCCATCAACAGCAGAATATACATTCTTCTCATCTGCACATGGCACACACTCTAAAAATCCATCACATAATCAGCCATAAAACAATTCTCAACAAATTAAAAAAAAAATCATACCAACCAGACTCTGGGACCACAGTGCAATAAACAGAAATCAATACTAAGATGTCTCAAAAATCATATAATTACATGGAAATTAAACAACCTGCTCCTAAATGACTTTGGGGTAAACAATGAAATTAAAGCCAAAATCAAGAAATTATTTGAAACTAATGAAAATAAAGATGTGACATACCTGAATCTCGGGGACACAACTAAAGCAGTGTTAAAAGGAAAGTTTAGAGTGCTAAATGCCCATATCAAAAAGTTAGAACGATCTCAACAACCTAATATCACACTGAGAGTAACTAGAAAAATAAGAGAAAACCAACCCCAAAGCTACCAGAAGAAAATAAATAACCAAAATCAGAGCTGAACTGAATGAAATTAGGACACAAAACACCATACAAAAGATCAATAAAACCAAAAGATGGTTCTTTGGAAGAATAAATAAGATTGATAGACCGCTAGCTAGACTAATAAAAAAATAACAGACTATCCAAATAAACAAAATTAGAAATGACAAAGGGGACATTACCACTGACCCTAGATATACAAAAACCTCAGAGACTATTATGAACACCTTTATGCACCCAAGCTGGAAAACCTAGAAGAAATGGGATAAATTCCTGGACAAAGACAACCTCCCAAGATTGAATGAGGAAGAAACTGAAACCATGAGCAGATCAATAACAAGTTCCAAAATTGAATTAGTAATAAAAAGCCTAACAATTAGAAAAAGCTTTGGTCTGGCCAGGCACAGTGGCTCACGCATGTAATCCCAGCACTTTGGGAGGCCGAGGCAGGTGGATCACAAGGTCAGGAGATCGAGACCATCCTGGCTAACACAGTGAAACCCCGTCTCTACTGAAAATTCAAAAAATTAGCCGGGTATGGTGGTGGGCACCTGTAGTCCCAGCTACTCAGGAGGCTGAGGCAGGAGAATGGTGTGAATCTGCAGGCAGAGCTTGCAGTGAGCCAAAACTGTGCCACTGCACTCCAGCCTGGGCAACAAAGCGAGACTCTGTCTCGAAAAAAAAAAAAAACAACTCTGGTCTAGACGGATTCACAGACAAATTCTACAAGGTATATAAAGAAGAGCTGGTATCAATCCTACATAAACCATTCCAAAACATTGAGGAAGAAGGACTCTTACCTAACCCATTCTATGAGGACAGCATCATTCTGATACCAAAACCTGGCAGAGACACAACAAAAAAAGAAAACTTCAGGCCAATATCCTTGACGAACATAGATGCAAAAATCCTCAAGAAAATACTATCAAATTGAATCCAGCAGAACATCAAAAAGCTAATCCACTATGATCAAGTAGGCTTTATCCCCGGGATGGCAGGTTGGTTCAACATATGTAAATCAATAAATGTGATTTATCACAGAAACAGAACTAAAAACAAAAACCACATGATCATGTCAAAAGACACAGAAAAGGTTTTCAATAAAATTCAACACAGGCTGGGTATGGTGGCTCATGTCTGTAATCCCAGCACTTCGGGAGGCCAAGGTGGGCAGATCACTTGAGGTCAAGGGTTCAAGACCAGCCTGGCCAACATGGTGAAACCTTATCTCTACTAAAATACAAAAATTAGCCGGGTGTGATGGCAGGTGCCTGTGATCCCAGCTATTTGGGAGGCTGAGGCAGAAGAATTGCTTGAACCCAGGAGGTGGAGGTTGCAGTGAGCCAAAATTACACCACGGCACTCCAGCCTGGCCGACAGAGTGAGACTACATCTCAAAAACAAAAAACAACAAAAAAAAAAAACCAACATTCCTTCATGTTAAAAACCCTCCCCAAATTAGGTATTGAAGAAACATACCTCAAAATAATAAAAACCATCTATGACAAACCCACAGCCAACATCACACTGAATGGGCAAAAGCTGGACACATTACCCTTGAACTGGAACGAGACAAGGATACTTACTCTCACCACTGCTATTCAACATAGTACTGGAAGTCCTAGCCAGAGGAATTAGGAAAGAGAAAGAAATAAAAGGCATTCAGATAGGAAGAGAGGCAGTCAAACTATCTCTCTTCACAGATGGTATGATTTTATACCTAGAAGACCCTTAGTTTCTGCCCAAAAGCTCTGAGATCTGATAAAGAACTTTAGCAAAGCTTCAGGATCAAAATTGATGTACAGAAATTCGTAGCATTTCTATATACCAATAACATGCAAGCTGAGATCCAAATCAAGAATGCAATCCCTTTCTCAATAGCCATAAAAAATAAAAAAATACCTAGTAATACAGCTAACCAGAGAGGTGAAAGATCTCAACAATAAGAATTACAAAACACTGCTGAAATAAATGAGAGATGACATAAACAAATGCAAAAACATTTCATGCTCATGAACAGGAAGAATCAATAGTTTAAATGGCCATACTATCCAAAGCAATTTACAGATTCAATGTCATGCCTATCAAATCACCAATGACATTTTTCACAGAATTAGGGGAAAAAAACATTCTAAAATTCACGTGAAACCAAAAAAGAGCTCAAGTAGCCAAAGCAATCCTAAGTGAAGATAACAAAAGCAGAGGCACCACACTACTCAACTTCACATTATACTACAAGGCTACAGTAACCAAAACAGCATGGTACTGGTACAAACACAGACACCTAGACCAAAAGAACAGGTTAGCCAACTCAGAAATACAGCTGCACACCTACAACCATCTGATTTTCGACAAAGTTGACAAAAACAAGCAATGGGCAAAGGACTCTCTATTCAATAAATGGTGCTGGACTTCAATGTAGTATCTCAGACTATAAAAACCCTAGAAGAAACCCTAGGAAATATCATATGGACATTGGCCCTAGCAAAGATTTCATGACGAAGACACCAAAAGTAACCACGACAAAAACAAAACTTGACATATGGGACCTAATTAAACTAAAGAGCTTCTGCACAGCAAAAGAAAGTATCAACAGAGCATATGACCAAAAAGCATATGAAAAAAATGCTCAACATCACTAAGCATCAGACAAATGAAAATTAAAGCCGCAATGAGATAGCATCTCACACCAGTCAAAATGGCGATTACTTAAAGGTTAAAAAATAACAGATGCTGGCAAGGTTGCCGAGAAAAGGGAACACTCATCCACTGCTGGTGGCTGTGTAAATTAGCCCAGCCATGGTGAAACGCAGTTTGGCAATTTCTCAAAGAATTTAAAACAGAACTACCATTCAACCCACCAATCCCACTGTTGGGCATATGCCTAAAGGGATATAAATTGTTCTATCGTAAAGACAGATGCACTTGTATGTTCACTGCAGCACTATTCACAATAGCAAAGACACAGAATCATCCTAAATTCCCATCAAGAGTGGACTGGATAAAGAAATTATGGTACATATACACCATGGAATTCTATGCAGCCATAAAAAAGAACAAGATCATGTCCTTTGCAGAAACATGGATGGAGCTAGAGGCCATTATCCTAACTGAACTAACACAGGAACAGAAAACCAAACACTGGATTTTCTCACTTATAAGCGGGAGCTAAACATTGAGTACACATGGACATAAAGAAGGGAACAATAGGCACCAGGGCCTACTTGAGGGTGGAGAGTGGGAGGAGGGTGAGAATTGAAAAGCTACCTGTCAGGTACTATGTTTATTACATGGGTGATGAAATAATCTGTACACCAAACCCCCATGACAAACAATTTACTCATATAATAAACCTGAACATGTACCCCCCTGAACCTAAAATAAAAGCTGGGGGGAAAAAAGAAATTGGAGAGAAGAGAGCCTCCCTTCCTGAAGATAATAGCCTTCGTGTATGCCAGACACTGTTATAAGCATTTTACACATTATGGCTCATTTAGTGCTGAACCTGTATATAGGATGTAGGTTGACAAAACTGAGGCACAGAAAGCATAAGTAACTTGCTAAGGGTAAGAAAGATTGTAAGAATAGAAGCAAACACTACTGAAGGGAAGACAACAGGACTCAGACACATTGAGATGAGGACCAAGTAAAATTGATTTACACCATATACAGGCAAATGGGATGCGCTGATAGAGCTCCTTTTATTAAAAATTCTGCAGGAATAAAAGAAAATTCATGGCAACTATGCAGAGAGGTTAACACAAAAAAGAAGAGGAAATATAGTATAAACGGGAAAGTGAAAAATCCATCCTGAAATCTAATATAAGCCTAAGAAATAGGGAAAAAATCTAAGACAAGTATTTTGTATCTAGAAAAAAACAAGGAAACATGAATTCATTGAAACAAAAATAAATAAATACTTAGATGAGACAATAAAATAAGATGGAAAAATGGTAGTTACAGAGCTAAGGAAAAATTGCAGATCAAAACAGCAATTACAGAGTTAAGTAAATTTGAAAGAGCAAGAAACAAAATTAACAGTCAAATATTAAATTCATCACATTCAAAAAAGCTTGAGATAATCATAGAAGGAGTGTAGGGAAAAGACAATAAAGTCGAAATGGTTAGGATGAAGATTAAGCTATGAGGGATAGATAATGATCTACCTATGGGTCCTTGTTTCCCCAAAAGAAAGACTACAATGCATGAAATACAAAAAATATCCACCAGTATAAAAGAAAAGAAAGAAAGAGCTGGCTAGGAAATTGAAAGGGCTCTCTGGATTCTGGGAAGAAGTGATAGTGCTGGCTCAACTCTGAGACATACTTGATGAATTTACTACACTTCAAAGTAAAAGAAAATGGTCTCATGTATCCAAGAACAAAAAGCAATCCACTTACAATGGTGGGGTAGGGCTGGGAGAGGACCCTGAGAATCAGGCAGCATTTGATGGAAGAAAATGATAAAACAGTGAACACAAAGTTCTGAGGAAAAGAAAGTGGAACATGACAATTTCCTACCATACAAGTTCTTGTTAAATCAGATACAGCAGTCAAACATATAAACACTGAGAGAACATAAAACCCGCGAGCCCTTCTTGTAAATGAAAATGAAACACACTGACCCAAGAGATGAATCGAAGTAGATTTCAGAAATGGATTGGTGTTGGCATCAGAATTCTTCTCATAGAGGGCATTTTCCTTAAAAAAAAAAAAAAAAAAAAGAAGCTTTGATAAGCTTCTGGGGGTAGTACAGAGTTCCATACCTTCAGACTTTTCCATATCTGTATATTATTCCTCCTGTTATTTAGTTAATATGTTTCTTTAAACTAACTCACTTTTTAATTTAGATTCATATGTTTACAAAGGAATCTTGCAATCACAAGCCTAAAAGAAAAATTGGCATCACTTATGGTAAATAGAAGGTAGCCAAGCATAAAAATAAATTCAGCGAAACCAAAACAATGTTATTAATATAACCAGATATCATCGCCAGCTTTAAGAAAGCCAAAGCTGAAGCTTGCTTTCTCTTTCATAAAAAGAGAGTTTGGTACGTGCTAGATGTTATATGCTTATTCTCACCAAACAGACTGTCTTTGACTAATTCATCTTACTACTAAATAGAGTGTATTGTGCGATTCAGTGAAATTTAAAGCTGTGTTCTTGCATCACCTTAAATCTCACTTTGGGTGCTGTGAGTGGAATTTTTGTGTGTCTTTTCCCTCCTTCAAATTCATCTGTTAACACCGTAACCGCTAATGTGATGGTGTTAGGATGTAGGCTGTTTGGGAGGTGATTAGGGAGCAAGAGTGGAGCCCTCACGAGTGGGAGTCGTGCCCTCATGAAGGGATTTTAGAGGCTCCCTCACCCACCTGCCATGTGAGGACGCAGGAGAGGATGCCATCTGTGAGCCAGGAAGCAGCCCTCACCAGACACCGAATCTGCCAGTGCTTTCATCTTGGCCTGCCAGCCTCCAGAGCTGTGAGAAATACATTTCTGACGTTTAAGAGCCACCCTGTCTATGGTAGTTTGTTATAGCAGCCCAAATGGACCATGACGGGGGAAACACAAATAGAGGGTAAGACCCTATAAACACAGAAAATGGAAAACCACCCTGCATGGGACAGGTTTGCTCCTCCTAAGGAAAAGATGAGGAGCTAGAAAGGGGAAAGGGGAAGGGGTGCATCTGTTTCCTGGGCTTACTGCAACAAATTACCACAAACCTGCTGACTTTAAATGACAGAAATTGATATTCTCACAGTTCTGGAGGCCAGAAATCTAAACTCTGGGTTTCAGTAGGGTGTGCTCCCTCCAAAGGCTCTGAGGGAGAACCTTCCCCTGCCTCTTCCTGCTTCTGGTGGCTCCAGGCGTTCCTTGGCTTGCGGCTGCTTCACTCCAGTATGCTGGTACTCACGAGGTCTCTCCTGCTTCTCCTTATGTGTCTCTTCTCTGTGTGTCTGTTATAAAAACACTTCTCACTAAATTAGGACCCAAAGGTCCTTTCTCCAAATAAGGTCATATTCACAGTTTCAGCAGGGGTTAAACGTACACATATCTTTTGGCAGGGGTAGCGCATGATTCAACTCACTAACGATGGGCAAGAGGATAAAAGAGCTTTTAAGATGGAAATTTATTTGGACGAAATTCCCTAATGGATAGTCACGATAATGATCATTTGAATATGAGGATGCCATTTGAAATTATTTAAACTTCTGGAATATAAAACCTTCCTCTGTGTTCCCCTAAATCTTATGTCAGGCTGTTATAAACACATCTATACACACTCACACACAGGACTTTTCAACTCTCCTGCTTATACACACGCGTGCACATACTTACGTAAGTATGTCTATTTTTACCTCAAGTGCACTCTTTTAAGTAGATGGTTTCTTCCTTTCATGAACTGCTATCATTTTTGCTCCATGCAAAATCCCATTTTGTCTTATTCTGTACCTTTTTTCACTAAACATTATATTTTTTAGACCTCTCCACATTATTCTCAAGTTTATGTATCACAAATGTACTACTTCCAAATGATTGACTATATTCCATTATATGGATATGTGATGTAGATATCACATACATACATATACATATAACACATTTTACTTTACTATTAGTAGGTTCCTCTAGGTAGACCCCTAAGAAACTTCTGTCTCTTTGCTACTACAGCAAGTGCTGTGGTAAGAATGCTCATGCCTGTAATCCCAGCACTTTGGGTGGCCAAGGTGGGCAGACCGCCTGAGTTCAGGAGTTCGAGACCAGCCTGACCAACATGGAGAAACCCCCGTCTCTACTAAAAAATACAAAATTAGCCAGGTGTGGTGGCGCATGCCTGTAATTCCAGCTACGTGGGAGGCTGAGGCTGGAGAATTGCTTGAACCCAGGAGACGGAGGTTGCAGTGAGCCGACATCGTGCTATTGCACTCCAGCCTGGGCAACAAGAGTGAAACTCTATCTCAAAAAAAAAAAAGAATACTCTTGATGTCTCCTTCTGCACTCATGTGGTAGTTTTCTATTGTAGAATTGCCTGGTTGTGGGGTATGTGCACACTTTAGATACAATAAAGCTAGGTCTCCAAAATGGCTATACCAATTTACACTTCTACCAGCAATGCAAGGGGGCTCCCATTTTTTCCCATCCTTGCCAGCACTTAACATCATGTGACTTCCTAATTTTTGCCATTGAGATGAGTGTAAAATATCATTTTTTTAAGTTTTCAATTTTCTGGTTATTGGTAATAGTAAGCATCTTTCCATGTATCTATTAACTTGTCATTATTTCTTTTTTGTGCATTGCCTACTCATATCTTTTTCCCAGATTAATCCTCGTTACTAAGAGTCATTGTAAATATCTTCTAGTTTATCAGCCTTCTGTTCATGTCTCATGGCATTCTTTCTTGAACAGAGATATTTCATTTTAATATGTTCATGTAAATCAATTTCCCCCTTTATATATTGTTTTGATGGTCCTTCCCTAGCCACAATGTCAAAAAGATATTCTTCCACTCAATTTCCTCTCATCATCTTTGGAGTTTGAGCTGTTTATCCCATACAGACTATTGATTTTCCTATATGATGTCAAGTAAGGTTCAAATTAATCTTTTGCCATATAGAAAGCCAATCTTCCCAATACTGTTAACCAACTGACATGTTATAATTTTTTTTGTTTTTGTTTTTTGTATTTTTTGAGATGGAGTCTTGCTCTGTCACCCAGGCTGGAGTGCAGTGGCACGATCTTGGCTCACTGCAACCTCCACTTCCCGGGTTCAAGCAATTCTCCTGCCTCAGCCTCCCAAGGACCTGGGACTATAGGTGCCTGCCACCACACCCAGCTAATTTTTTGTATTTTTAGTAGAGACGGGGTTTCACTGTGTTAGCCAGGATGGTCTCGATCTCCTGACCTCGTGATCCGCCCGCCATGGCCTCCCAAAGTGCTGGGATTACAGCATGAGCCACCACGCCCGGCCATTATAATGTTTTAAATGTTTGTTTTTTCAAAGAGACTATGGTGTTTTTAGAAAACAGTTTTTACTCATAAATGACTAAGGAAAGAGAGAAAGGGATGTCCTCAAGCTCAGCAAAGACACGAATTAACAACAACAACAACAAAGAAATCCCAAAGACTAAAGAATATACCAAATTCACTAGTAAAAAAATAATAAAATTAAAACCACAATAAAACATCACTCATTTCTCAAATTGGCAAAGATTTAAAGAATGCTTGGTGTTGGTGAGCAGATGAGAATGAGTATTCATAATCTATTGGTGGAAGACTAAATTGGTAAAAATATGTTAGAGGGTAATTTGGCAATATTTAATACCCTTGACTTGTGATTACATTCTTGACGTATGAATTCCTCTTGTATGAGTGGGACCTATGGAAATAATCATGGCAATGTCCATGCCATCATGACATGGTTCCTGCACTCAGGGATTGGTGAAGAGAGAGGATGCTGAACTTCGACATTTAAGGAAATCTCTATCAGGATGCAGGCTAACTGCAGAGATAATGGAACAAAAACTTCAGTGACTACACACGACAAGTGAAAGACACCTTGCAAAAATGGTTTGGAAATGTCACTGTACAAAGGGATGACTGCAGCCTCAAAAGCAGTCCTAGAGGAGAGGGAATCTCATTTCCAGAGTTATCACATTATAATGCTCAGAACATTCAGTCTCAACAAAAAATGTTACAAAACATACCAAGAAAAAAAGAAAAAGAAAAAGAAAAATATGGGCTGGCACAGTGGCTCACACCTGCAATCCCAGTACTTTGGGAGGCCGAGGCAGACAGATCACTTGAGGTCAGCAGTTCGAGACCAGCCTGGTCAAAATGGTGAAACCCCATGTCTACTAAAAATACAAAAATTAGGCGGGCATGGTAGCACATGACTGTAATCCCAGCTACCAGGGAGGCTGAGGCAGGAGAATTGCTTGAACCCAGGAGCTGGAGGTTGCAGTGAGCCTAGATTGCACCACTGCACTCCAGCCTGCTAGGTGACAGAGTAAGATTCTGTCTCAAAAAATATATGTTAAAAAAATTGTTAATATGGCTCATTCACTGGAAAAAAAAGAATTTGACAGAAAACTATTCCTAAGAAAGCCCAGACATTGGAATTACTAGTCAAAGATGTTAAATCAACTCTCTTAAATATCCTCAGTAAGTGAAAGGAAACCATAGACAAAAACTAAGTAAATAAAATTGGGAAAACAATGTATGAACAAATAGGGAATGTCAAAGGATGTAAATTATCAAACCACACAGAAATTCTGGAGCTGAAGAGTATAACTGAAATTTTAAAATTCACTAGAGTGATTCAATGGCAGGTTTTGAGCAGACAGGGAAAGAACTGTCAAACTTGAAATTAAGACAACTGAAATTATCCAGTTTGAAGAGGTGAAAGAAAAAGAATAAAGAAAATAAACAGAACCTGAGGGATCTGTGGGACACCATCAAACACACACACACACACACACACACACACACACACACACATAGATATATAAAGATATAGGTTAGATATAAATATAGATATATCATGAGCACTCCAGAAGAAGAGGGAAAGGGGCAGAGACATTATTTGTAAACTAATGGCCCGGAATTCCCCAAATATGATAAAAAGACATGAAAATATACATGTTCAAAAAGTTCAATGAACTTCAAGCAGGATAAACTCAAGGAGATCTACACCAAGACACATGAGACTAATTGTTGAAAGACAAAGACAAAAAGAGAATATTGAAATCGGTGAGAGAAAAGTGGCTCATCACCTACAAGTGATTCTCTATGGAATTAACAGCTGATTTCTTCTCAGAAACCATGGAAGCCAGAAGGCAGTGAGATGATGTATTTAAAGGACTGGAAAACACAAACTGTCAACCATGAACTCCATATCTGCCAAAATGATCTTTCAAGAATGAAGGAGAAACTAAGACATTTCCAAATAAACAAAAGCTGACGTAATTTGTTACTAGTAGACCTACTAAAGGACATACCTCAGGCTGAAATTAAAGGACATTAGTCAATAGCTCAAAGCCATATGTAGAAAAACAGAATGCTGTAAAGGTAACTACAGGGGTAATTATAAAAGCCAGCACTACCGTACTTCTGTAACTCCCTTTTATTTCTATACGATTTAAAAGTTAGGGTCACAAAACAATAATTATAAATCTGTTAATAGGCACACATGTACAATGATATAACCTGTGACAATAACAATACAGAGGAGGAGGAATCGATGTATAAGAGCAGAATGTTTTTATACCACTGGTATTATTCACTAGGGTATGGTAAGTGTAAGTAAGAAGTTAATTGCAATCCCCAATATAACCACTGAGAAAATAACTAAAACATATACCAAAAAAGAGACTCAAAATGATACACTACCAAAAAATTCAACTAAATACAAAAATGGCAATAACGTAGGAATGGGGAAAAGACAGTCTTTTCAAAAACTAGTGCTGGGAACTTTGGGAGATGGAAGCAGGCAGATCACTTGAAGTCAGGAGTTCAAGGCCAGCCTGGCCAACATGGTGAAACCCTGTCACTACTTAAAATACAAAAAATTAGCAGGGCGCAGTGGCAGACGCCTGTGATCCCAGCTATTGGGGAAGCTGAAGCAGGAGAATACCTTGAACCTGGGAGGTGGAGGTTGCAGTGAGCCAAGATTGTGCCACTGCACTCCGGCCTGGGCAGCAGAGGGAGACTCCGTCTCAAAAAAAAAAAAAAAAAAAAAAATAGAGGGAGCCTGCCGTGACCATTCCAGGTATTTTGCCTGGGACCAAACTGTCGCTTCTTACCTAACTTCTCCTGACCACCCAGCCCTTATAAGGAGTAGCCCTAGGGAATATGTGACCTCATCTCCCTGTCCATAGTTGATTAGATCAGAGGTTGATGACAGACTCATAGCCTGGTCCTTAAGTAACTAAGCTGGACCAGGGAGAGCTCCAAAGAATCTCATCAAAAATGCAGAAATTTCAGACAAATGATGGGTGGCATTTGGATGAGGGTCACGGAGAATTTGGTCAGGACCACCGCAAGTAAAGCTGTAGGCAAATTCAAATGATGTGTGCTCAGCAACCATGAGGGCATGTGGATATTCAGAGAGGAAAATGCAGTGGGGGTGCAGAATGAGTGTGCTGGTTGCTTTGTTTTCTGTTGTGCTGTATCTCCTGGCCAGCTCATCTTAGCTTTACCTTGGACATGAACATAACAACGTGACAAGGCCATTAGGATACAAGAAGGAGTACTGAATTTCTCAATGGGAAAGTCTCCATTGAGAGAACTGCCCCCCCGGCCCTTAATGGTTCTGGCTCCAGATTCACGAGACCTTTTGGTACTAGCACCTCTGAGTTATTGATTAGGTATCTTAATGCCATATTCCAAAATTTCAAAAGAACTTCATTGGCTCATTTCATCTTTCAAACCAAGCTACATTGCAGAGTTGCTGGATGGCAAGGGTCCTATCAGCTATGCCCATAGGTGACCCTACCAGCCATGACCGTAGGTGAGGCATGGTCCCTCCTCCCAGTGCTGGAACAGCGAATGTCAGGCGTGTCTGGTATACAAACTCCTGCATGAATGTATACTTATTTATGTATTCACTGGAACTTTCACTTATGTAATAAACATTTATTGGGCACCTCAAAAAAACAAAAAAACTAGTGCTGGGAAAACTGAGTATCCAAGATGAAAAGAATCAAGTTGGATCTTTGTCTAACACCACATACAAAAAATCAACTCAAAATAGATCAAAGATCTGAAATATAAGAGCTAAAACTATAAAAGTCTTAGAAGACAATATAGAAAAAAAACTCTGTGACACAGAATTTTGCAATAATTTCTTGGACATAACACCAAAAGCACAGGCAACAAAAGAAAAAATAGCAAAAGAGATTTCATCAAAATTAAAAACTTTTGTGCATCAAAGGACACTAGTAAGAGAGTGAAAGGACAACCCACAGAAAATATTTGCAAATCATATCTGTGATAAGAGCTTGATATCCAGAATATACAAAAACTTCTGTAACTCAATAACAAAAAAACCCCACAAAATAGCTTTCAAAACTGGGCAGAGAACTTAAATAGACAATTCTCTAAAGAAAGTATATAAATGGCAAAAAAAAAAAAAAAAAGCACATGAGAAAAAAAGATGTTCAACATCATTAGTCAACAGGATGCATTAGGATGCAATCAAAACCATAATGAGTTACCACTGCACACCTACTAGGAGTGCTATAATTTTTTAAAAAAGGAAAATAAGCGTTGTCAAGGACGGGTAGGAATTGGAACGCTTGTGCATTGCTGGTAGGAATAAAGATGCAGCTGCCATGGAAAACACTATGGCAGTTCCCTAAAAAGTTAAACATAGGATTATCATATGACCTGGCCATTCCATTTTTAGAAGTATACTCAAAATAATTAAAAAACAAGGGCTGAAACAGATACTTGTATGCAATGTTCACAGCAACATTATTCACAACAGCCAAAAGTTGACAACAACCTAACTGTCCAACAGATGACTAGATAAACAAAAAATGTTGTACATGAACTGCAGAATATCATTCAGACATAAAAAGGAAGGAAGTTCTGGTACATGCTACAACCTGGATGAACAATGGAAACATTAGGCTAAGTGAAAGAAGCCAGACACAGCAGGACAAATACTGCAGATTTCACTGACATGAAGTATCTAGAATAGGAAAATTCATAGAGACAGAAAGCAGATTAGAGGTGCCCAGGGACTATGGGAAGATTATTCCCTTAGGCTTGGTGCACCCTGTGAGAAGGTGGGGGGCTTAATGCTTATGAGTACAGAGTTTCTGTTTGGGGTGATGAAAAATTGTGGAAGTAGGTAGTGGTGATGGTTATACAACATTGTGATTGTAATTAGTGTCACCGAATTGCATACTTAAAAATTGTTAAAAGGACAAATTTTATGTTTTATGTATAATCCCTCTATATCCATGGGGAATTGGTTCCAGGACCTCCAGTGGATACCAAAATCCACTGTGCTCACGTCCCTTCTATAAAATGCCATAATATTTGCATATAACCTATGCACATCCTCCCATATACTTTAAATCATCTCTAGATTACTCATAATACCTAATGCAATACAAATGCTATGTAAATAGTTGTTGTGCTGTGTTGTTTAGGGAATAATGACAAGGGAAAAGAGTCTGTACAAGTTCAGTACAGACACAATGTTTTCCAGAGATTTTTGATTCATGGTTGGTTGAATCAATGGATACAGAACCCATGAATATGGAGGACTGGCTATATTTTGCCACAATAAAATATTTAAAATAAAATAAGTAAAGTGATGGACCTCCACAGCAATGAAAAGGGAATTACTGATACACATAATGACTAAGGTGAATCTCAAAAACATAATGTTAACTGAAAGAAGACAGATGGAGGACAGTTAGAGAAAAGGGAGAAAATGATCCAGCAAAAATACTCTTAGCAGGCCCTGTGGGCTGAGAGAGAATTAAATGCAAAGGAACACAAAGAAACCATTTGGGCTGCAGCCTGCAATGTTCTTTATTTTATTTTATTTTATTTTTTTAATTAATTAATTTTTTTTGAGATGGAGTCTTGCTCTGTTGCCCAGGCTGGAGTGCAGTGGCGCAATCTCGGCTCGCTGCAATCTCCGCCTCCTGGGTTCAAGTGATTCTCCTGCCTCAGCCTCCTGAGTAGCTGGGATTACAGGCGTGCGCCACCACACCCAGCTAATTTTTGTATTTTTAGTAGAGACAGGGTTTCACCACGTTTGCCAGGCCGATCTCAAACTCCTGACTTTGTGATCCGCCCACCTCAGCCCCTCAAAGTGCTGGGATTACAGGCATGAACCACCACACCCAGCTAGTGCTAGCAATGTTGTAAATTTTGTCTGTGCAATGGCTACATGACTATCTACATTTGTCAAAACTCATCGAGCTGTGCACCTACAAAAGATGAATTTTACTCCATGTAAGTTACACATACATGAACTTCGTGTTTATAAAATGCTCCTTGCAGAAATGTTGGCGTATGTTGCTGGAAATCCACAAACCCAGAGCACAGTTCAGTCTCAGCAGTTAACCTGTTTCTGCAACTTGATGCTCTCCTCTGCAGCCTCAGCAGCCATGACCGTGGAGAGCTGTGAGTTGGAAAGCCTTGGCTGGCTGCTGTTTGTTACATTTCCAACAATCTCTAGCATTGGGTCATTTGCAGCTCTGGAAACCTGGCTAGTAGGGACCTGCGAGCCGGCAGGAGGGGATGGAGGAGGAGTGGTGGTGATGGTTCCTTGGAGGGTAGAGGTGCACCAAACCCGAGGCATGGATGGCCCGCCAGAGCTACGAGGCAGAACTGGGCAGGGGGCCGGGTGGGAAATGGGGAGCGCCCCCCATTTTCCCTTTCATACTCCTCTACCCCTGCCAAGAAAAAGGAAGTCCTCCTGTCTCCTTTTTTCATTTTTTAAATTATTTTTCAATGACAATTAATAATTGTGTATATATGGGGTACAATGTGATGTTTTGATTTATGATATTGTAGAAAGATCCCATCAAGCTAATTAATATATTCATCACCTCATCAACTTATCGTTTGTTTGTGGTGAGGACCTTAAAGATCTATTCTTCTAGCAATTTTCAAATATACAGTACATTGTTATCCACTGTGGTCTCCGTGCAGTGCACTAGATCCTCCTTTCTGACAAGGCTGCATTGAGAGAGCGTTTGGCAGCTGCTGCAGCATCAGGCATGGGAACGGCTGGGCCACCGGCTGCAAGCTTGTCTCCCATGACCCCGGGGTAAAACGGGTGCAGTTCTGGTAACAGGCAGGCCCTCCCCCAGCCTCCTGCTCAGGGCTGCCACTGACACTGCACCCGAATCCTGCCTGCTGCCCAGCAAAGGACATGCCTGCCACATCCAGCTCTCCTTCCAGAGGCACCTGTCACTTGCTGCCCTCTCCTTATCCCAGTCCCACCAGCCCAGCAGGGTAGAGGCCAGGGCTCGCCTCGCCACGGGAAACTGCTCCACTGCTGATCCCAGCCAGGGAAAAACTGCCTTGGGAAGAGTGTGCTCAGCTCCCTGTGGGGGGGCAGGGAATTCCACCATCTCCCCCACAGCCACTTCCAGATGTACCTGGAGACCTGGGTTTGCCTCTGGGGCGAACTGGAAAATTGACAGCAAAGGAAATGAAAATTCTCCAGGGAGCCAGAGACTTTTGGGGGTAGATGGAGAAATGGATGAGTTTGCGTGCCTTGCACTGCATGTGACACCCAGAGTTGAGAATGGGCCTTTGAACTAGCCAAGCCAGCCAGCTGGTCTGACCTCCAAGGCAAGCGCGGCCCTGAGAGGCTACCTGATTGTACCAAATGTCAAGGCCAGTGCTGAGCAGAGCCAGCACTGGAATGAGTTCTCCTGAGACCCAGTTCCCTCAAAACCCACTAGTTTTTCCCCTTCCCCACCCCTGAGACCCAAAGCTGAAGAGTAATTATGGTGACCTCCAAGGCCCCATGTGATCTGCCTCCCCACCCCCAGAACCTATCTGATCTCCCCTTGTCCTTCTCCCCTCACTCTCTGCACCCCGGCACACAGCTGGTCCCTGAGCACCCCAGCCATGCTACGTGTTGGCCCTGACATCAGCATCACTAGTCCCCTCACCTGCTTCAAGTCTTGGCCAAGTGTCACCTCACCAAGGTGGAGTCTCTGACCATCCTATTACTACCGCTGCGGCCTGCCCCGCCTCCTCAGCAGGCCAATCTCCCCTCCAGCTCCACTTTTCTTCTCTCTCAGGACTCCCACCTCCTAACATGCCCTTTATCTCTTTATTTATTATGCCTCCTGCTGATGGTCTGCCTCTACCACAAGAATGTCAGCTACACAAAGGGCAGAGACCCCATCTGTTTCATTCACGCTGTAACCTCCGTATTAAGAGGGGGCTCTAACTCAACCAATATTCACTGAATGAATGATGAGATGAGCTTCTTTAAAGGGTACTTGTGCTATATGTTTACTTGTCTTTCCAGATCGCCCCCAGAGGCTTAATATCAAATGCACCAAATGATATACCCGCTTTTTAAATGTACCCCCACAAAAAAGGGAAGCCTGAAATCTAAGCCCCTCTCTCATGCCTTGCAGTCCCCATCTGGGACCTCAGGTGAATGATGAGGCACTGCATGTGGGGTTAGAAAGACTTTAGTCTTGGCATTGTGGGAATGGGAGTAATGCCTTTTTAGAGAATTAAGGTATCCTGGTGTCATGTGCTGGTGAGGCCCAGTGGCCCTGCCACAGAATGGGCAGTACCTCCTCACCCACTCCTTCTGGAGATGGCACTGGTGGCTCAGTTGCATATTCAAGCAACTATTGTCAGGCCAGGATTTGTGATGTATCCCAGGATCCAATTAAAATTGTTGTTGTTGCTGTTGTTGTTTTGGTCTTTGCACGGACAATATAGCAAGTCTGGTAAGTTTCTCTGATCGGCAGCAAGCAGCCTCGGGGAGAGAGCTACAATTATTGAGCACTGCGCCTTGGTTTTTACGTACATCACCCCTCACCATGCTCCCAGCAGTCCTGCAGTGAAGATGTTGTACCCGTTTTGAATTTTAGGAAACTGACGCGCAGAAAATGCAAGGGACTTGCCTGGAGTCACACGGCTAGAGGGGATAAGGCCAAAGATTCAACTCCATGCTCTTTCTAACACACCAGGCTCCCAATAAGCACTTATTACAAGAATGAATGATCCAAGGCACAAGGACTGAAGCAGAGAATGGGTATGTTTTAAGGGAGAAGAGGGATAAAAGAAAGGTCACGGCCAGGTGCAGTGGCTCACGCCTGTAATCCCAGCACTTTGGGAGGCCGAGGCAGGTAGATCACAAGGTCAGGTGATCGAGACCATCCTGGCCAACATGGTGAAACCCCGTCTCTACTAAAAGTACAAAACAAAAATTAGCTGGGCGTGGGGGCGCATGCCTGTAGCCCCAGCTACTCAGGAGGCTGAGGCAGGAGAATCTCTTGAACCCAGGAGGCGGAGGTTGCAGTGAGACGAGATCACGCCACTGCACTACACAGCCTGGCAACAGAGCGAGACTCCACTGAAAGAAAGAGAGAAAGAAAGAAAGAGAAAGAAAGAGGGAAGGGAAGGGGAAGAGGGAAGGGAAGGGGGAGGGGAAAGGGAAGGGAAGGGGAAGGAAAGGGGAAGGGGAAGGGGAAGAGGAAGGGGAAGGGGAAGGGAAGAGAAAGAAAGTTCACAGTGTAAGGCCAGGCGCGGTGGCTCACGCCTGTAATCCCAGCACTTTCGGAGGCCAAGGCAGGTGGATCACGAGGTCAGGAGATCGAGACCATCCTGGCTAACACGGTGAAATCCCGTCTCCACTAAAAATATAAAAAAATTAGCCGGGTGTGGTGGGGGGCGCCTGTAGTCCCAGCTTCTCGAGAGGCTGAGGCAGGAGAATGGCGTGAACCCGGGAGGCGGAGCTTGCAGTGAGCCGAGGTTGCGCCACTGCACTCCAGCCTGGGCAACAGAGCAAGACTCCGTCTCCAAAAAAAAAAAAAAAAAAAAAAAAAACTTCACAGCATGGAGAGCAGGCCCACTTGGGACACAGAATGGGCATGTGTCAAGGGCCCTGGGAGGAGGTGCTGGAAAGGGACAGTGGAGAAAAGGGGGGGACAGCCGATCAGTCCCCTGGGCCATTCTGCTTGCCTCCTCACTAAGAATAGTAGCATCTCCCCTCGCTCCCACTGCTTTCTGTGGCTCTCAAAATGCTTTCGCATGCATTTTCTCACTACAGCCTCAGAACAATCTTTAGGAGTAGTGTTATCTTCCCCATTTCACAGATGAGAAAGCTGAGACTCAGGGAGGCCACATAACTCGCCCAAGAACACATAGCCAATTAGTGGCAGGTATGGGGCTCCATTTAAGTATATGACCCCGCTCTGGTTCAGTATTCTTATCCCCACCCCAAATAAAGAGAATCACACGACCTTATTGTGATAATAAATAGCAACTGTAGTCAGAGGGAGAGAGGCCCAGGGAGGAACAATAATCTAACTAAGACGCTTGACATTGGAAACTCCTGGAGGGCAGGGCAGAGATCATGCAGGAGATTTAACAGCACCCAGCACAGCTGCCCACGCGGAGGTGCGTCTATGCTGAGCTGCCACAGCAAGGCTGCAGTGCCTGGCCCGGAGCTTGGTCACGCTGACCTCCACGGCAGGAACTGAGAGCAGCATCTACTCCCAATCCTGCATAAGAGGTCATAGAAACACCCTACAGCCCAGGGGGGAGCCAGTCCCGGCCAGGAGGTGGCGTCACAGTTCAGAGAGGTGCCAAGTGAGCAGAAAACAGCTCCTGGTCTCTGTAGCTGAGAGAGACAGAGCTGGACATCCTGGCCCGATGGAGCTCTGGGTGTTGTTCCCACAACAGCAACAGCACAGAGCGCTGAACACACACCCCACAGTTCACTGTCCGTGGCCAGGAGGCCATTCAAAACGTGATTGCTGGTTGTCAACTCCAAGAACTAACAGGAGTGAAAACTCACACACACACACCCCCAAGAATGCAGGCTCTGCCTGGCACGCAGGGAAGTCTGCCCTCGTGCCTGGGGTTCCTTCCTCTGTGGGCATCCCATCTTCAGAGCCTTGGCTCTCCCTTCCCCTGAGGGATTACTCACCACTTCCCTAACACTGCCGGGCTGCCCTGCTTTGCTGCCATGGAGTCCAGTCATCAGGCAGATTCATTCACATCTACGCGCCTGAGTGGTACTGGCCACCACGTAACGGAGTGGACATCAAACAGAGAAGTGGGCAACCTGGAATTGGGTGCCAGTCCTCGAGTCCCTCATCAGCCAAAAGAAAATCATCTCATGAATGCCTACCCTCCAGAAGTGTCACGGGGAGACCATCAGGTGTGTACCAGAAGCACTTCCTACGCTGCAAAGCAGCAAAGAAAGGCAGCCTCTATAGCGGTTTGTAAAGAGTGCCTTGCAGAGAGGACACAGCCTGGCTGATGAGTTTCCAGCAGCAGAGCTTTAGGTATGATTGAATCTTGGAGAGGAAGAGACTTTGGTTCTGTTGAGCCTGCTCCATGTTTCTCAAAGCACACACCACCCACTCTGCCAACAGGTAAAGCTTCGGATGGAACCTGCTGTGTTCTGTCCTCTTCCAGCTGAGCCAGGCCCGCGGGCCCCCTCCAGGAGCTCCGGGCAAGCAGCCCCTCATGGCCCGTGGTGGAACTGCACCCTCAGCACTGGAGAGGGCGGTCGCAGGAGCCTGCGAGGAAGGTGGGGTCTCAGTGCTTTCGCACAGGGCGAGTGGAGCTGGAAATGCAGCCCCCAGTAGTTTCAGTTATTCCATGTATGGCTTTTCTCTCTCACCTTGCACCTTTAGACCCTAATTTCCTGTGAGCAATGTGCTGGGAAAACTGGCAGCAGCTCTCTGGCAACCCTGGGGGAAAGAAGCGAAGTGGGGTAGAAGCGGAAGCCAGGGGCAGAGGCTGGGTCGGTCCAGCCAGCCCGCGAGGGCTCCCACGCAGCAGAGGTTCCACTGAGAGGAAGCCGGGGCTGGCCCGGCCGGGAGACTCCCTCCACGCCCCGTGTGTGGAGTGCCCGGGCACCCTATACCCTCAAGGTGGCCTTGACCTCTGGAGACAGGTGTTGGCTCCTTGAGTCACCAACAGCAGGGACCAGACCGGGAGGTGTTTCTGGGCGGGAAGGGCTGGGCCAGGCCAGGCTCCAGCAGGCCCCCTTGTGGTCAGAGGGGTTGCCTGCAGGATGATCGGCTTGGGAACCAAGGCAGCCACTCCCCACATGGGAGTTGGACCCAGGCTTGAAGGACACATTGTCACATCGATTCACTCTCCTGGGAGGCCTCCTTGTCACACAAGATGTCCTGGCCCCGGTGTTTTTCTTCACCATATTTCTCCCAACTGTAATTGTGTAGTTCCTGGGGCGCTTATCTCTCAACGTCCATCTCTGTGAAAAAAGCCGTGACCCTCCAGGATAAGGTCTGTGCGTGAGACCCCCTGTGTGGAAAGGACGTATGAAAGTCTCAGGACTCTACCTAAGAGCCAGGACCCGGCTCAGGTCGCAGCTCCACTGCACCAATGCCCCTCAGCCCCAGGAGAGACTGAGATCTCTGTAAACAGCAGAGATCAGCAATACAGGCCTTGCCCTGCTGAAACTTCCCTCTGAAAGGAAGGATAATGCTTTCAGCCAAGTGCCTGCCCAGAGCTCTGCAGGTGTGTGGCATGGAGGGCCTGGTGCCCCAGGAGGAGCTCAGCCTCCTGCCCCACCAGAATGGCCCGGGGCTCCCCAGGCTCCCTGCGATCCTGGCTCTCGTCACACCACTCTCCAATCCCACATTTGGTCCTCTGTCATGTCCATGAGGCTGTGGGTGCACCCTGTCATTGTTTGTATCCCCTGGCGATTAACACAGTCCAGGCAGAGAATCAAGTCAACAAGAATGAAGGAGAAAGTGGATCAATGAATGTTGGGCCCTATTTAGGGGCTGAGGACACAGAGATAAATAAAATTCTATCTCTGCCCATGCAGGGTTCAAAGTCAAATTGGGGGACACAAAGTAATAATCACAGTACAGTGAAATTCATGTGTAGAGTGAAAGTCATGTTTAAGGAAGCTTTATTAGGGCACATGACAAAATATCCATGACTATGTTTTAGCTGGTCAGGGAAGGCTCCTTGGAGGAGGTGACTTGGAACAGTCTTAGAGGAAAGTAAAAATTCCAGGCAGGGATGAACAGGGCTCCCAGGCAGGGCACCTCATGTGAAGAGGTACAAGAAGCCAGAGTGGAAATGTGCAGAGCTTACTGTGGGGACCTAAGGGTGGCACGTACACCGTTGGAGCCAGCGCAGGAGCTGGCCTGGGGTGCCAGAAGGGATGGAAGAAAGGTTCCCAAGGGGGTTGGAATATCAAGCAAGGGATAAGTTGTGGGGTGGCGAAAGGATTGTAAGCAGAATGCTTGACTCCCCAGGGGTTTTTTTCCAACAGGATTCTCTGACGGCATTATAGAGAGAGGAGAGGAGGGGAAGAGCCTCAGTCAGGAGGCTCTGTGGGATGCTGTTGCCTTGGTCCAAGCAAGAGACAAGGCAGGCCCTGAGCAGGATGTGGCGGGGGGCTGGAGTGGGAGGACGGATTTCAGAGATATTTAGGAGAAAGAACTTGGGGCGCAAAGGAGAGGTGGGGAGAAAAGAGGGTGAAGGAGAAATAAGGTAAAGGGGAACAGAAGCCAAGCATCAGCTTCTCCTGCCTCTTCTTCTGCAATCCTCACTCCCCAAGCACGGACCAGCCAAGGACAAAGACCCAGCTCACTGGTCAGCCTACACATGTCTCAGCTATTCTTCTCATGAAAGAGGATGTTTTAGAAACCCTGACCTGAGCTGGGTGGTCTTATTTGTAACAATATTGTAGATGGCACATAGAGGCACTTGGATAAATACTGAATGAGGCCGGGTGCAATGGCTTACGCCTGTAATCCCAGCACTTTGGGAGGCTGAGGAGAGCAGATCACTTGAAGCCAGGAGTTCGAGACCAGACTGGCCAACATGGAGAAACCCCATCTCTACCAAAAATACAAAAAAATTAGCCAGGCATGGTCGTGCATGCTTGTAATCCCAGCTACTTGGGAGGCTGAGGCAGGAGAATCACTTGAACCCAGGAGGCGGAGGTTGCAGTGAGCCGAGATTGTGCCACTGTACTCCAGCCTGGAAGACAAGAGTGAAACTCCATCTCAAAAAAAAAATAAATACTGAATGCATGATTTAGCAAGTGAATGAGTGAGTGCATGAATGAATAAATGAATTCTTCACAACTTATCCCAGGACAGACTGACTAGCAGGTTTATCCTTGCTCAAAAGAGGAACCCCCAGGTTCCTCCCTGCTGCTGCTTTGAGTCCACGTGCCCAGGGCTTGCTGGCTGCCCAGGCTCAGCTGAGACTCACAGTTGTTTGTCTAAATCTTCCTCTTTTGGAGGTCAGAACTGCAGACCTGGGAAGGGGATTGAACTCCAGAGCCTGCTTTTTCTGTGCAGGGGCTAGAAAGATTGAAAGATACAAAGATGGAAACCTCTGGATTTCTCACCAGTTGGTTGACTACCCTGAAAGAGACTGTCAAAGTTATGCCTCCTTTCCAAATGATCTCACCCACTGCCAGGAGATGATCTGCGTGACCTACAAGCAAAGGCAGATAGCAACCAAGAGCTGAAATTAAAGTAGTGGAAAGATTAATTTCCCCATACAGGGCACTTCCCCACCCCCCAACCCTGCTTTTTGTTTTTTCGTTTTTTTGGGTTTTTTTTTTTGCACAGGCAGCAATTCAATAAATAATTAATGCTTGCTAATCTTTTAGCTATTTCTCCTGTTGTAAAAAATTAATTGGTCTTCAATCATCTATTGCATTGTAATATGGAGGTATTTGGCCCTAGTCCACCACCCTGCTGAAACACGCCCCTCCTGATGTTCCTTGGCATATGTCAGTGACACTGGGCAGTCATGCCCAGCCTCCAGGTTCAGGACATGAATGGGAGTGCACAGCCATGTGGCAGACAACTCCAGGGAGCTTCACACAAGCACTGCCTCTTTCTTCCAGCACGTTTGAGGAGTTTGCAAATGCTCATTCTCACAACACCTCCTCCCTAGTTGCTGAGACTCCTATTTTGCAAAAGAGGTTGAACAAGATTAATGATGGGGTGGAGAAGCAGCACCATCTCTCTCCAGGCCTCTGACTAGGGACATCACATGTCCTGGGATCTCTTTCTGGCTTTTGCCACTGAACTTGTGCCTCAGTTTGCCTAAGCAGGACTATCAGATCCACAGGAAGCAAAATGGGGAGGGGCGGTGGGGGAGGGAAGATTTCCAGATGTCTTGGTTCCTGCAGCCTCAACTACGACATTTTACCTCTTTGAAATCACAACTCAATCATACCACCTCCTCCAGGAAGCTTCCTAGATTAAACCAGCCTGGTTATCCCCACCCCAGTGCCTGACTTGCCCTCCCTATTCAGTGCCCTTTAGAGATTATTCTAATGACAAAGTTCAGTGGATGACTAGTTTGCCTACTATTGTTTTCTCATATTAAAATTTAAGCCATGTAGGGTGGTAATCATGTTTGCTCTTCAGTAAATATTCCAAGAACTTGTGTGGCTGCAAAAAGTCTTACAGAAGGGAGGAGAGGGGGTTGTCAGCAGGAGCAGCCCAGGAGACGCTCATGAGAATACGCAAGGGTCTGCACCAGTCAGCACTTGGAATTGTCCCTCCTGGGAGAGCCATGTAGCTAGCCGGTAGGTTCAGAGGACAAGCACCATCAGGGGCTCATGTCTGAGTCCCGCCCGGCTCCTTCTGCCACTTCTGAGTGGCATCACTTAATCTCTTCCAGCCTCAGGATCTCATCTGAAAAAATGTCTCCCTCATAAGGTTGTTGTAGGGATTACGTAAGATGGTGAATGTAGACAACGATTGCAAACTGGGGAGCACGAGGTCGATATGAGCACTGATTGCTGCCCCGCTACATGGTCCTCTTGCTCTGCAACCATCTTCAGAGGCACCATCCTGTGCCTACCTTGGAAACAGCCTGAATTCCAATTCCCTGACTTGCATCCCTCCCTCTGGCCTCTTAAGGTAGTTTGAGGATAGCATTCTACAATGTCAGAGCTAGGACAGATCCTTAATGGTCACTTTGCAGGTAGAAAAACAGGTCCAAAGACCAATGCAACTGACGTGGGCTTGCACAACTGCATTGGGCAGCTCAGTCCCAACCCCACGACGCCTGACTGCCCACAAGGGCGCTCCTTACTAATAGAGTTTTGATTGGGTACTTCCTTGAGCCAGGTTCTCTGCTGAGCACCTAACATGGGTTACCTAATTTAATCCTCACACAACTCTGTGGGGTCAATACAGTGGTCATCTTCATTGTTTAGACAACATAACTGAAGCACTGAGAAGGTCACACAACTAAAATGGGTCAAAGCCAGATTCTAAGTCATTCCAGAGCCTGTGTGCAAATATACTACACTCGCTACCTCGCTGCACGATTCCTCTCATAGACTGACTCTCTAGGAAAAGAATCAAGTAAGAAATACCCTCCTAGTCACAAGATTCACTGAAGAGTAAAAGCGGAATCCTTGCCTTCAACATTTTATGGTGCGTCTCTTCCTCTGCTTCTTCCTTTCTCTCCTTTTCCTTTCTTCTTCCTGAACAAGTCAGTCCTAAATCCCTGAGTGGGGCTGAGCAAGCTGGGCTTCCGTGCAGGAAGGCGCAGGTGCAATGGCCCAGAATGGGTTGTCAGTGCTCCAGCAAGGTGAGAGCACCTGTGCAGGGGGCTGTCTGGGTGGAGGGCATCCCCAGGGGACAGCCCAGATGAGATGTCAGAGCCCAAGCTGTGTAAGGAGAGCATCACCCAGGGGCAGACCAGCAGAGGATCTTGAACCCCAGACAGAGAGAGGAGGGATTTGGCAGGGAGGGACAAACCAGCACAGGATATCAGAGACTGAGTGGGGTGCAGTGGGGTGTGGAGGGCATATGTGTGTGGGAGGGGGTGGCACTGCTAGGAGATAGGTTAATACGGAACACTGATCAAATCAGCAAATATAGTAAAGAGCATGGGAGTCTTTCTCTCTCAGTAAAAGAAGTTAAAAATGTGAAAACCAGCCAATGATTGCAAACTGGGGGGCATGAGGTAAATATGAGGACTGATAAATCCTCAGATCAAATAATTAATTATACTTAACTTTGACAGATCCTCATATCTAAAAGGTAAATATGAGGCTGGGCGCAGTGGCTCACACCTGTAATCCGAACACTTTAGGAGGCCATGGCAGGCGTATCAATTGAGGTCAGGAGTTCGAGAGCAGACTGGCCAACATAGCGAAACTCCGTCTCTACTAAAAATACAAAAATTAGCTGGGCTTGATGGCGCATGTCCCAGCTACTCGGGAGGCTGAGGCAGGAGAATCACTTGAACCTGGGAGGTGGAGGTTGCAGTGAGCCCAGATTGCACCACTGTACTCCAGCCTGGGTGACAGAGCAAGACTGTCTCAAAAAAACAAAAAAACAAAAAATGTGAAAAGGGAGAAAAATACAGTAAACCTTGTGGTGCTGGGCTGGAGTTGGAGGTGCCAGTGTGCAGTCTTGCTTAGCAGATGGTGGCTGTATGGGACACTGCTTCCTCTGGGGCATCTCTTTCGTCCCAGGGGTATCAGAAGTCTAGGTTCGGGGAGAACTTCACCTATGTATCCTAAAAGATGGTAGACAAATGGGTCCCGTGGTTCCTTCCTGCTCATCAGGGACGGTGCAGAGCAGACAGAGGGAGCAACACTAACACCTTCTCTCAGCTCAGCACTGTCCTCCAAAGGTCACCGGCACCCCTTCATGGGTGTGGCTGCGTGCTAGTTCCTGAGAGCTGCCTGCCCTCTAATCCATAGGCCTGTGGTTCCCCAGCCTGGGTGAGCACTTGAATCACCTGTCCTGGGTGCCTCCCCAGAGCCACCAAATCAGAATCTCCAGGGTGGGGCTTGGGAATCTGGATGCATAACAATCTCCCAGGTAATTCCTGTCCAGTCAGCCCACCGGTTGTGGATCAGGCCTGGGAGTCACTCACTAGATAATGGTGTAGACACTTCATAGGAATTGCGATGCTAAAGAAAAAAAGCCTTCATTCTCAATTAAGAGGAAAGGAAGAGGAAAAGGAGGGGAAGCAAACAGCAAATTGACATTAATTATGGCAACTCCCTTTAAACGCCACTGATAATATGCTGTCTGAATTCCCTTCCCATCAACCTCTGGATCTCACTATGGGTTGGGCATCCCCTAAATGGCAGGATGGCTCCAGGCTACAGCACAGAGCCCTGTGTTTCAGATGTAGGGAAAGTAAAGTGAACAATAGAAAAATTCCACATGGCCTTTGCAGGCCTCATACCGCCATTCCACACCACCAGCAGAAGTCAGCTCTGCCACCTAAAACCTTTGCCCATCCCTGAGAAAGTCCTCAGCATCCTAAGGCTACAAAAGTCTAATTGGTTGTACCAAAGTGGATAGAACCTTTTCCAACAAACCCCACCCAAACCTGCACCCACAGCTATCTGTTGTCCACCCACTATTTGTAGAGAAGTGCATTAAGAGTTTCAGGATATTATGGGATTTTTAGATGTCCCCTTCTGGCTTGCAGATCACTATCATTACACTCAAGATGAAGAGGAGGGGGACGGCAAGGAAGGCAAAGTGCAGTGCTCAAACAGAAGCATGGAGTTGGAACGAGAAGCTGAGTCCATGAGACAGCAAATAAGGAGTCCACGTTGGCCAAAGAACAGGGCAACACACGGGACTTTGCCAGGCATCTTTGAGAGAGAATGGAATGGGAGGAATCAAGACACTGAGGGCTAGAGACATGACTGTACCCCTGGGAAATGCTGCCACCCAGCACGGCACGGAAGTCATGGAGACATTCTTCAAGGCTGCCATGGGCCAAAGACTCACAAAATTCATCATCTCTTCCACCTCCACCTTGCTTTAATTAGGGCTTTGCTGAAGACAACGACTTAACCTAAAGATCGAGTCCACGGTGGGAGTACTGGGCTCCAAGTCAGGGCAGTGAAGGCGCAAGGTAGTAGACTAACACCCCTCCACCTGCACTGGCACATCCTCCATGCATTTGGCAATCTCATCAAACACAGGGTCAAGGCAGCTGTGTTCCAGCCCTGGCTCTGCCACTTGTTTGCTGTGTAGCTTTAGACACACCACTCACCTTCTGTGAACCTTGAGTTCCTCATGTGTGAATCAAGATCACGGCATCTCCCCTGCTTACCTCACAGGGCTCCTGTGGATGAGGCAACGTACAAAGTGCTTTGTCAACTATAAAGCATTGATGAAACATCAGGAACTGTTGTCATCGTTCCAGGTAGGCACAGATGTCCTCTATTTCTGCCTCCTGCCCTTTGCAGCTGACCACATCCCCTTCTTTCCATGGGACACTCTGAGGGTCTCTCTCCTCTGCAGTGTCTGCTCACTGCCCTGTCTGTCTGAGTCAACCACAGCGAGGCATCTAGGGTTAGGGTTAGGGTTAGGGTTAGGTTAGATAACCTAACTTATCTGGGGCCCCTGTCCCAGAATACGGACCTCCCACGCCCCTTGGGTCAGCGCACACGACAGGGGAGACACCTTGGTCGTATTTTTACATATTTTCCTCTTGCTCAAAACCACAGAGCCAAGCAAACTGCAATAGGAATAAAGTCCTGCTCAGTGAATTTCATTTTTTGCCACTCGTTTATTAGTGGTAGGTGCTGTGGCCACTGCTGAACTATTGTTTATCCAGCCTATTAAGATTCTGTTTTCCAAAACACATTTTTCTTGTACTCCAGCCAGAAGTGACTTGCCCAGAGCCCAGCACTGCTAAGAACAGCTGGGCTAAGCCAAAGATGAGTAGATTAAAGGAGAATCAATACCTCGTTGCTGAGTGAGAACAGAAAGTCAGTTCTCAACCATCTCCCCTCTCAGGCCCCATGACCGAGTTTCTCTCTTTCTCCCAAAGAGGAGATCATGGATTGTGAAATACCTTAATGGAAAAAACAGCCACAGGGCACTGGCTTGGCGGGATTGTATCCAAAATCATTATGTCATAAAAAGTTTCTTCCCCCAAGTACACACAGGCTGTTTTCCAGCAATTATCCCAAATAATTTTTTACGGGGAGATGGGGCTGCGGAGGAGGGGCGAAAAGGGTTCAGAGCCAGGGAGATGCACAATCCCCCGATTCATCTCTTCTGGCTCCCAATCACCTCACATGAATAAGGGGTGATTTCCCTAGCCCCAGGGCTCTGTGCTCTCCTCTCGTCTGCCCCCTTGCCATCAGCCCATTTTACTCATTAGGAGGGATTTTTGACATGCTACTTGCTAAGTTGGCATTTCTCATATTTCACAAAGCCCTACCTGGAGTATGCCCTCTAAAGCTGGGAATGAAAATAATTTTATCTGTGTTTAGGATAAACAATAGGTCAGAGGGCCCCAAGATGCTGGGAATGAAAATAATTTTATCTGTGTTTAAGATAAAAAATAGGTCAGAGTGCCCCACGATGGGGTAATTCCACCAGGAGAGAACAGTGTAACATAGTGGGATGAACGCCACTCTGCGAGTTCTAGTCCCAGCTCCATCATGAAGTAACAGGCCACTTACAGGATCTACATGAAGCACCAAAGTGATCTCCCTAGTCCCAACCCATAAAAAAAATCCAGTGAGTCTCTGGAAGGATGGCGCCGTGCTGCTGCCAGTCTAACCAGGCTGAAAGAGTGCACTTTAGGCATGGTGGAACATGCAACATTGTTGAGGTGACAGAATTTCATTAGTCTTCATAGAGGAGCGGTAAGGAATGTGACTGGAGGGCAGCATGGGGGAGGAGTAGGTGTAGGTGCAAGGAGAGGCAGGTGCAGAGGATGGGAGAGGGTCATTTTCTGCAGATGATTTGGGAGACAGCCAGCCCAGGGATTGGCCATCCAGTTTAGGGGCCAGTTTAAAAGGCCTGGAGCTAACTTATCAGAAGCTCAGGAAAGGGGAGGAATCTGAAGAATGAGGCCACCACCCACTCACCTGTGGTAGGGAGGCTCAGTGGTGGGGAGGGGCTCCGAGAGGTCTGTGGGGGACAAGGCCAGCCTAGGTACAGAGCAACATCCCTGAAAAAGCCGTCTTTGAAAAGCTGGCAAAGAAGCCTCCTTTGACTGCCTCACCAAAGTGAAGATTGTCAGGTTTCAGCAAATGCCAGTGTATTGTGTTTGATGCTCGGTTCATTTTTTAATATTGCGAAGGAATTTATAAATACAAAACAAATATCGCTTGATGGTGCACACCTTTGAGAGGCAAGGATCTGACCGATGAGTACTTGCCTGTGCAGACCACAGCCTTAATAATCTTCTAACCCATGGCGAAATCCTTCTGGGATGTCTATGGCGGTGGGGAATTCCCATGACTGACTCAACCCAGCCTCCTCATAATGATATTAATGCCTATGTTGATATGATACAGATATCATTAATAAGTTTCCTGATTTCAACATTCCAGCGAGGATAGGGAAAGTCCCAGGCGCAAAGCAAAGTTCAACTGCTTCCTCCCACTCTCATATTGTTCTTCCAATATTCCTTGGCATCGCCACCTTGAGAACCCAGGCTTCCTCCCAGGGACCCAGAGAGGTCAGAGGACTTTCCACACGGAACGGAAGGTCTGGGCCTCCTGAAGGGGGCCAGAGTTCCTGCAGGACCCGAACCAGGAGGGAACTGAGTCAAACAGTTAAAATAGCGCTAACATTTTAACGTATAATTTCTACAAACAAGGACATTCTATGACATAGTAATGACACGATATAAAAATCTGGGAATTAATCCTTATATATTACTAGCATCTAATCCCTACGCCATTCCAGTTTGGCTAATTGTCCCGATAACACCCATTGCATTTAGCTGTCATGTCTCATTCGTCTCCTTTAATCTGGAACATTCGCTCCATCTGTCCTTGACCTTGATGGTGAGTGTGGCACCTCTGAGGGTCTGTGATTGAGAGTTCCTTTGTAGGCTGTTCCTCCATTCGGGTTTGCCGGGTGTTTCCTTGCAATTGGATTCAGATGATAAGTTTTTGGCAGGAACACCACAGAACTAGTGTGGGGCTCTTGCTGCGTTCTGTTTGATAGTACGTGATTCCTGTTTGCCTAATGTCACCTGATGTGAACTTGGATCACTTGACTAAGGTGGTGTCTGCCAAGTCTCCCCACTCTAAAGTCGCTCCTTTTCTCCTTGTAGGTATGAGACTGTTTGAGACTAAGAAAAGACACCAGTCCTCATCAAACTTCCCCCACTAGACTTCACAGTCCTTGATGTTTCTTGGCTGAACTAACTATCATGATGGTTGCCCAATGGTGATTTTCTAATTTCATCATTCCTCCTCAGTATATTAGTTGGCATTCTGCTGTAAGGAAACGCTTTCTTTTCTTTTCATTTATTTATTCACTTACACATTTATATCGGTACAGACTCATGGATTCTAATGTATGCAATGGGATAGAATTCGTTACCAACATTATTCATTTTTATGTCTAGGTTACACCAGATTTGACCACCGGGAGCCCCTTTAAGCCAGTTCCTGTGTCTTGTTGACATGTCTTCATCATTCTTGGAGCACTTCCTGACTTTCCATACGACAAAATGTCCCCGGCTCTTCTTGTACCTTCCCTGCCACACCCATGGAATCAGCTGTTTCTCCAAAGAGTCCTGGCTCTAAGCACTAAGTCTGCACATTGCTATTGAGTGTCCCTGCTCCCAGGTGCTCTCCGTGGAGAGGACACACGAACGTATGCGCTCATGCACACACACACACACACACACACACACACACACACTTAATCTACAGTGACAGAAAGCAGATCAGTGGTTGCCTCGGGATAAGGGTGGTAAGAAAAGGTGGAAGACAGGAATTACAAAGGCAAGGGCCACAAGGAAACTTTTGGGGAGATGAAGATACGTGTATATCAAGATTTATCAAAATATACCTTTTTTTTTTTTGAGACAGAGTCTCACTCTGTTGCCCACACTGGAGTGCAGTGGCAGGATCTCAGTTCACTGCAACCTCCACCTCCCAGCTTCAAGCAATTCTCCTGCCTCAGCCTCCCGAGTAGCTGGCATTACAGGCATGCACCACCATGCCAGCTAATTTTTGTATTTTTAGTAGAGACAGTGGTTTCACCATGTTGGCCAGGCTGGTCACGAACTCCTGACCTCAAGTGATCTGCCCGCCTCGGCCTCCCAAAGTGCTAGGATTACAGGCATGAGCCACCGCACCCAGCCAAAATTTACATTTTAAATATATGCAGTTCATCATATGTAAATTACACCTCAACAAAGCTGTTAAAATTTTTGACATCCCTGGAATCATCACCATGCAAGGAAAGCAATACTCTGTGACTGTCTAACACCCTGGCTTCTGAAGTATTGGTTAAAGAAAAGTAATAGTAGAATTTTACGATCAAGAAATTCCTCTTAGGTTCAATAAATATAAGGAGGAATGATTTTTAAAACCCTCTAAACATTTTTATTAAATTAAGATACAGAGTATAGGTTCTGGGTTTCTTTGGAACGTTACAAGCTTGTCCAACCTGCCTTATTGTGTTGTTTTCTGTTTTGTTTTGTTCTGTTTTGTTTTAGGCTTTTAGCAGCCTGAAACCATGGTTTTTAGTTTCTGTCTCTAGCGATAAGCGGAAAAGTGGGATGAGGAAGGGGCTTTACTGGCCTAACCAGAAACAGAAACTAAGAACCCATGATTGAATTCTCTCCCCTGGACACCCATTTATAAGGTATGCTTAATAGATGCGACTGTGGCTGGGAGCAGTGGCTTACGCCTGTAATCCCAGCACCTTGGGAGGCCGAGGCTGGCGGATCATGAGGTCAGGAGTTCGAGACCAGTCTGGCCAATATGGTGAAACCCCATCTCTACTAAAAATACAAAAATTAGCCTGTCATGGTGGCACGCACCTGTAGTCCCAGCTACTCGGGAGGCTGAGGCACGAGAATTGATTGAACCCAGGAGGCAGAGGTTGCAGTGAACTAAGATCGCACCACTGCACTCTAGCCTGGACAACAGAGTGAGACTCTGTCTCAAAAACAAAACAAAACAAAAAAAAAAGATGCGACTGTGTTCTGAATACAGATGTTTATTCTAAACGTAAGGCAATTCTCTAAAACAATGATAATGAGTGAAATCAGTAATAAGCACTCATTTTCATGGATGAAAATCATTTACCAATTTTTTGTAAACTTTTTGATGAAAACATATTTTTTAAGTTTCTTTTGTAAACTTTTTGATAAAAGAAAACCCTTCGACCCAGTAATTCTACACCTAGTAATTTATCCTAGGAAAAAAATCAGGACACACCAAAAGCTGTATGGATAACTATGCTCATTACATTGTTATTTATAACATGAAAAATTGTAATCAACCTAAATGTTTGACAAATTAAGGAATAACAATACAATAAAACTCAAAACAGACATTAGGCTATAGTGGAATATTTAATGAGATAGATAAATGTTCATTTTATACATATAAGTGAAAAGGTGAATTTAATCCTGTTTCTCTGGAGGGGGAATAAGCAAAAATAATATACATGTGTTTGTATATTTTACATATATAAATATATACAAGATCTTTGATATATGGTGCAAATGGTACATATACCAAAATGTTTGTGGTTACTTCTGAATGGTAGGATTATGCATATTTTTCTTGGTGGTTTTCTGTATTTTTCAACTTTCATCCAATTATATGTATGTATATGTATCTGTACAGGCCTATATTCCTTATCTATAATTCAGAAATCCAAAAAAAGCTTTCACAATGGACATTTTCCATGAAGTTAGTAAAACTCATTTAGCAACAAAAACTTGGTCTGAACTGGCATGAGCCTTTACATAGTGTATAATTATGAGTCTTTCTATAGTCTGCATTTGTCCCATGTCTTGTGGACACAGTTCTATTTCACTGCAGATGTACTCTGCCCCAGAATTCCTAGAGGTTATATAACATTCAGTCTATGTGCTATTCTAATACGAAAAATCTTCTGGATTCTAAAGCATCTACCTTCTATGGTTTCAAATAAGGAATTGTGGATAATATTTTAGGTTGTTTTGTATTGGTTTGTTGATACATGGTCTCACTCTGTCACGTAGGCTGGAGGACAGTGGGGCGATCAGAGCTCACTGCAGCCTCAACCTCCCAGACTCAAGCAATCCTTCTGCCTTAGCCCCTGAGTAGCTGGGACCACAGGTGCCTGCCACCATGCCCAGCTAATTTTATTTATTTATTTATTTATTTATTATTTATTATTTAGAGATAGGGGTCTCACTACGTTGCCCAGGCTGGTCTCAAACTCCTGACCTCAAGCAATCCTCCCGCCTTGGCCTCCCAAAGTGCTGGATTACAGCCGTGAGCCACCGCACCTGGCCAGATAATATTCTGTGATGAGGGGGAAATGAGAAGGAAGGGAGGGAGGGGAAGAAGGGAGGGAGGGAAAGAAGGAAACAGTTATTATCTTGGCAGAATAAAAATGGTGCAGAGAGGGCAAAACTACATGTAACACATGGTTAGAATGTAACTTTTGCTTTTGTTTCTGTCGGTCTTCTCCAGCCAAGGCCGGCCAGGAACACACAAGTTGGGCTTCTTACTTGCTGCAGGACCACGAAGGAACCATGCGTCTCACTAAGGAGGTGTTAGAAGCACTTACGTCAAGAATTAGGCTTTTATTTGTGATGCTGGGGAGAGTCTAAGGAAGTGGGGCTTCCCTCTAGATTGGGTGCTATCAAAAAGTAGAGGCAATTCCATGTTGGCATCTAAGTCATATCAGCAGGGAGGAGACACTGGAGCCAAGACACAGCCCTAATCGGCAAAGAAGTGGCAGAGTCGTTTCTCAGCCAAGTCAGCTGTGCGGCACGGCGACCTTGATTTCGTCTGTGTTGAGACACAATTACGAAGTGGCTTCACTGGCTTTCAGTTTTCATGCTCTCGGGAGTATTCTGAGGCTGAGGCTGACGCTCTGCCTGGCTGTTCACACCCGTACGAGAGTGGCACGACCCAGCTGTGGGTGCCAGCCCAGCTTCTGAATGTTGGGGCTGCCTTTTTCTGATCTCCTCTCTGTGTCAGCTGTGGCCTAGAGCTATGGGGGAAAGGGTGTCAGCAGCCCCACACTCTAATGAGGAGTGACAGCACATCCATGCAGAACCTGGTCAGCGTGACCCAACTACCAACCTGGTGACCCTGAGCCCATCACCTGCTGGAGGATCTGGAAGGAGAGGCTTGAAGATTGGTGCACACAGACCGGAGAGTGGATTTCTTCAGAGAGCAGACTGTCACGGCATTGTGCTATATTGCTCATGGATGAAGGAGGTGCCTTCACCTTAGCCACAGACCGTGAACACATCCAGGCAAGAGGTTGGCCAGCTCCCTGGCTGCAGCTAAGGGAGGGAAGGAGAGACTGGACTTGCCCTAAGTGCACCCTGAGCAAGGGGGTTCCACCTTCAGGACATCTTGTGCTGTGCTCAGATCACAGGGAGCCCTGGGCTGTGGTGGTCAAAGTGGTTAAACACAGAGAGACCAACCTGGACCCAGGAACCCAGGAAAGCTCTGCCTTCCAGACAGCCAGAAATGGGACAGCAGCCCTCCCAGAGGCCACCGAAGCCAGGCTGCACCTGTACCCTTGCCTCTCTCACTTCCTCTCCTCCAATTCCACAGGAGCCAAAAGCAGAATCCTGAGTAGAGAAGGAAGAGGGGAAGGGCAGGAAGTGACATAGAGGGGAATCCTCCCATTTCCCTCCTTCCTTATTGCTGGCCTCACCGCCAGAGGCAAGCCAAGGCTGAGGGAGGGGGACAGCACTGAGCACTGATTCAGGTCAGAGACTGAGGCTTAAATAATTAAATAAACTTGATTGACTTTTAACACCTCCAGGCAAGATTTCTTTGATACCTGAGAGGGACAAGGAAAGTTACAGGATCTACCAAGGTTATCAATAAGGAGAGGAGAGACCCAGACAAAGCAATGATATGAAAGGATAAAGTTGCTTTCTGCTTCCACCCAAGAGGCACCACTGGTTCAATAAGGCATGACATGTAAAGAGACGTGCTGGTACATATTTAAAATTTATAAACTTTATTTTTAGAGCAATTTAAAGTTTACAGAAAAAATTGAGCAGAAAATACACAGAGTTCCCATATACTCCCTCTCTTCCCAGCCCCACAGTTTTCCCTATTATTAACATCTTGCATTAATGTGATGCTGATAAGCCAATATTGATATATTATTATTGACTAAAATCCATAGTTGACTTAGGGTTCACTCTTTCTGTTGTACAGCTCTTTGGGTTTTGAAAATGCATAGTGTCATATATCCACCATTACAGTATCTTACAGAATTATTTCACCACCCTAAAAATCCCTGTGCTTTACCTACCCATCCAATTCACTATTACCCACCAGGCCCTGGAAACCACTAATACTTTCCCAGAGCTTAGGGTTTTTTTCAGCATGTCTTATATTCGGTATCGTACAGTACGTAGCCTTTTCAGACTGGCTTCTTTCACTTAGCAATATGCCTTTCAAGTTCCTCCGTGTCTTTTTGTGGCTTGATAGCTCACTTCTTCCTGTCACTGAATAATATTCCACTGTACGGCTATACCACCATTTGTTTATCCATTCACCTACTGAAGGACATTTTAGTTGCTTCCAATTTTTGGCAATTATGAATAAAGCTTCCATAAACATTCACATGCAGGTTTTTGTGTGGACATGTTTTCAATCCTTTGAGTAAATACCAAAGAGCACAATTGCTGGAGCATATGGTAAGAGTATGTTTAGTAGTGTAAGAAACCTCCAAACTGCCTTCCAAAGTGGCTGTACCATTTTGCATTTCCACCAGCAATACGTGAGAGTTTCTGTTACTCCACATCCTTGCCAACATTTGGTGTTGCCCATGTTGGATTTTAGCCATTCTCATGGACGTGCAGTGGTATCTCATTGTTGTTTTGCCGACAAATGCTTTAATCTGACTCTCCAGCAAAGGAGAAGCCCCAATTTGTTTGCCAATTTTCATGGCATAAATACCTCCACCATGTGAATATAAATTGATACAGCTATTATGCAAAACAGTGTGAAGGTTCCTCAAAAAGTTAAAAATAGAACTACCATATGATCCAGCAATTTCACTTCACGGTATATATCCAAAGGAAATCAAATCACTGTCTCGAAGAGATATCTGCATTCCCATGTTCACTGCAGCATGTTTTACAATAGCCAAGGTATGAAAACTACCTAAGTGTCCTTTGATGGATGAATGGATAAAGAAAATGTGGTATCTACACACAATGGAATATTGTTCAGTCTTTAAAAAGAAGGAAATCCTACCACTGGAAAAAAAGCATGAATGAACCTGGAGGACGTTATGCTAAGTTAAATAAGCCAGACACAGAAAGACACATACTGAATGATGTCACTTACATGTGGAATCTTTAAAAAGCCAAACTCGGGGTGGGTGAAGCCAAGATGACTGAATAGGAATAGCTCCAGTCTACAGCTCCCAGCGTGAGCGACGCAGAAGACGGGTGACTTCTGCATTTCCAACTGAGGTACCGGGTTCATCTCCTGGGGAGTGTCGGAAAGTGGGTGCAGGACAGTGGGTGCAGCGCACCGAGCATGAGCCGAAGCAGGGCAAGGCATCGCTTCACCTGGGAAGCTCAAGGGGTCAGGGAATTCCCTTTTCCAGTCAAAGAAAGGGGTGACAGACGGCACCTGGAAAATCAGGTCACTCCCACCCTAATACTGCGCTTTTCCAACGGTATTAGCAAATGGTACACCAGGAGATTATATCCCACGCATGGCTCAGAGGATCTTACGCCCATGGAGCTTCGCTCATTGCTAGCACAGCAGTCTGAGATCAAACTGCAAGGTGGCAGCGAGGCTGGGGGAGGAGCGCCCACCATTGCCGAGGCTTGAGTAGGTAAACAAAGTGGCCGGGAACCTCGAATTGGGTGGAGCCCACCGCAGCTCAAGGAGGTCTGCCTGCCTCTGTAGACTCCACCTCTGGGGGCAGGGCATAGCAAAACAAAAGGTAGTAGATTCCTCTGCAGACTTAAATGTCCCTGTCTGACAGCTTTGAAGAGAGTCGTGGTTCTCTCAGCACGCAGCTGGAGATCTGAGAATGGACAGACTGCCTCAAGTGGGTCCCTGAACCCCAAGTAGCCTAACTAGGAGGCACCCCCGAGTAGGGGCAGACTGACACCTCACACGGCCAGGTACTCCTCTGAGACAAAACTTCCAGAGGAACAATCAGGCAGCAACATTTGCTGTTCACCAATATCCGCATTCTGCAGCTTCCACTGCTGATACCCGGGCAAACAGGGTCTGGAGTGGACCTCCAGCAAACTCCAACAGACCTGCAGCTGAGGGTCCTGACTGTTAGAAGGAAAACTAACAAACAGAAAGGACATCCACACCAAAACCCCATCTGTACATCACCATCATCAAAGACCAAAGGTAGATAAAACCACAAAGATGGGGGAACAAAAGAGCAGAAAAACTGGAAACTCTAAAAATCAGAGCACCTCTCCTCCTCCAAAGGAATGCAGCTCCTCACCAGCAACGGAACAAAGCTGGACAGAAAATGACTTTGACAAGTTGAGAGAAGAAGGCTTCAGATGATCAAACTACTCCAAGCTAAAGGAGGAAGTTCGAACCCATGGCAAAGAAGTTAAAAACCTTGAAAAAAATTAGACGAATGGCTAACTAGAATAACCAATGCAGAGAAGTCCTTAAAGGACCTGATGGAGCTGAAAACCAAAGCACGAGAACTACGTGACAAATGCACAAGCCTCAGTAGCCGATGCGATCAACTGGAAGAAAGGGTATCAGTGATGGAAGATCAAATGAATGAAATAAAGTGAGAAGAGAAGTTTAGAGAAAAAAGAATAAAAAGAAATGAACAAAGCCTCCAAGAAATATGGGACTATGTGAAAAGACCAAATCTACATCTGATTGGTGACAGGGAGAATGGAACCAAGTTGGAAAACACTCTGCAACATATTATCCAGGAAAACTTCCCCAAACTAGCAAGGCAGGCCAACATTCCAATTCAGGAAATACAGAGAACACCACAAAGATACTCCTTGAGAAGAGCAACTCCAAGACACATAATTGTCAGATTCACCAAAGCTGAAATGAAGGAAAAAATGTTAAGGGCAGCCAGAGACAAAGGTCAGGTTACCCACAAAGGGAAGCCCATCAGACTAACAGCTGATCTCTTGGCAGAAACTCTACAAGCCAGAAGAGAGTGGGGGCCAATATTCAACATTCTTAAAGAAAAGAATTTTCAACCCAGAATTTCATATCCAGCCAAACTAAGCTTCATAAGTGAAGGAGAAATAAAATACTTTACAGAAAAGCAAATGCTGAGAGATTTTGTCACCACCAGGCCTGCCCTAAAAGAGCTCATGAAGGAAGCACTAAACACGGAAAGGAACAACTGGTACCAGCCACAGCAAAAACATGCCAAATTGTAAAGACCATTGAGGCTAGGAATAAACTGCATCAACTAACGAGCAAAATAACCAGCTAACATCATAATGACAGGATCAAATTCACACATAACAATATTAACCTTAAATGTAAATGGGCTAAATGCTCCAATTAAAAGACACAGACTGGCAAATTGGATAAAGAGTCAAGACCCACCAGTGTGCTGTATTCAGGAAACCCATCTCATGTGCAGAGGCACAAGTGGGCTCAAAATGAAGGGATGGAGGAAGATCTACTAAGCAAATGGAAAACAAAAAAAGGCAGGGGTTGCAATCCTAGTCTCAGATAAAACAGACTTTAAACCAACAAAGATCAAAAGAGACAAAGAAGGCCATTACATAATGGTAAAGGGATCAATTCAACAAGAAGAGCTAACTATCCTAACTATATATGCACCCAATACAGGAGCACCCAGATTCATAAAGCAAGTCCTAAGAGAGCTACAAAGAGTCTCAGACTCCCACACAATAATAACCGGAGACTTTAACACCCCACTGTCAACATTAGACAGATCAACGAGACAGAAAGTTAAAAAGGATATCCAGGAATTGAACTCAGCCCTGCACCAAGCGGACCTAATAGACATCTACAGAACTCTCCACCCCAAATCAACAGAATATACATTCTTTTCAGCACCACACCACACCTATTCCAAAACTGACCACGTAGTTGGAAGTAAAGCACTCCTCGGCAACTGTAAAAAGACCAGAAATTATAACAAACTGTCTCTCAGACCACAGTGCAATCAAACTAGAACTCAGGATTAAGAAACTAACTCAAAACCGCTCAACTACATGGAAACTGAACAACCTGCTCCTGAATGACTACTAGGTACATAACGAAATGAAGGCAGAAATAAAGATATTCTTTGAAACCAATGAGCACAAAGACACAACATACCAGAACCTCTGGGACACATTCAAAGCAGTGTGTAGAGGGAAATTTACAGCACTAAATGCCCTCAAAAGAAAGCAGGAAAGATCTAAAATTGACACCCTAACATCACAATTAAAAGAACTAGAGAAGCAAGAGCAAACACATTCAAAAGCTAGCAGAAGGCAAGAAATAATAAGATCAGAGCAGAACTGAAGGAAATGGAGACACAAAAAACCCTTCAAAAAATCAATGAATCCAGGAGCTGGTTTTTTGAAAAGATCAACAAAATTGATAGACCGCTAGCAAGACTAATACAGAAGAAAAGAGAGAAGAATCAAATAGATGCAATAAAAAATGATAAAGGGGATATCACCACCAATCCCACAGAAATACTAACTACCATCAGAGAATACTGTAAACACCTCTATACAAATAAACTAGAAAATCTGGAAGAAATGGATAAATTCCTCGACACATACACCCTCCCAAGACTAAACCAGGAAGAAGTTGAATCTCTGAATAGACCAATAACAGGAGCTGAAATTGAGGCAATAATTAATAGCTTACCAACCAAAAAAGTCCAGGACCAGATAGATTCACAGCCGAATTCTACCAGAGGTACAAGGAGGAGCTGGTACCATTCCTTCTGAAATTATTGCAATCAACAGAAAAAGAGGGAATCCTCCCTAACTCATTTTATGAGGCCAGCATCATCCCGATACCAAC
The DNA here is from genome assembly GCF_000001405.40 of Homo sapiens. NCBI lineage: Eukaryota > Metazoa > Chordata > Mammalia > Primates > Hominidae > Homo > Homo sapiens. The sequence goes on from NC_000011.10 coordinate 129,716,192, forward strand.
GCCTGGCAGAGACACAACAAAAAAAGAGAATTTTAGACCAATATCCCTGATGAACATCGATGTGAAAATCCTCAATAAAATACTGGCAAACCAAATCCAGCAGCACATCAAAAAGCTTATCCCCCATGATCAAGCGGGCTTCATCCCTGAGATGCAAGGCTGGTTCAACATATGAAAATCAGTAAACGTAATCCGGCATATAAACACAACCAACAGCAAAAATCATATGATTATCTCAATAGATGCAGAAAAGGCCTTTGACAAAATTCAACAGCCCTTCATGCTAAAAACTCTCAATAAATTAGGTATCGATGGGACGTATCTCAAAATAATAAGAGCTATCTATGACAAACCCACAGCCAATATCATGTTGAATGGGCAAAAACTGGAAGCATTCCCTTTGAAAACGGGCACAAGACAGGGAGGCCCTCTCTCACCACTCCTATTCAACATAGTGTTGGAAGTTCTGGCCAGGACAATCAGGCAGGAGAAAGAAATAAAGGGTATTCAATTAGGAAAAGAGGAAGTCAAATTGTCCCTGTTTGCAGATGACATGATTGTATATCTAGAAAACCCCATCGTCTCAGCCCAAAATCTCCTTAAGCTGATAGGCAACTTCAGCAAAGTCTCAGGATACAAAAACAATGTGCAAAAATCACAAGCATTCTTATACACCAATAACAGACAAACAGCCAAATCATGAGTGAACTCCCATTCACAATTGCTTCAAAGAGAATAAAATACCTAGGAATCCAACTGACAAGGGATGTGAAGGACCTCTTCAAGGAGAACTACAAACCACTGCTCAATGAAATAAAAGAGGATACAAACAAATGGAAGAACATTCCATGCTCATGGGTAGGAAGAATCAATATCGTGAAAATGGCCATACTGCCCAAGGTGATTTATAGATTCAATGCCATCCCCATCAAGCTACCAATGACTTTCTTCACAGAATTGGAAAAAACTACTTTAAAGTTCATATGCAACCAAAAAAGAGCCCACATTGCCAAGTCAATCCTAAGCCAAAAGAACAAAGCTGGAGGCATCGTGCTACCTGACTTCAAACTATACTACAAGGCTACAGTAACCAAAACAGCATGGTACTGGTACCAAAACAGAGATACAGATCAATGGAACAGAACAGAGCCCTCAGAAATAATGCCACATATCTACAACCATCTGATCTTTGACAAACCTGACAAAAACAAGAAATGGGCAAAGGATTCTCTATTTAATAAATGGTCCTGGGAAAACTGGCTAGCCATATGTAGAAAGCTGAAACTGGATTCCTTCCTTACACTTTATACAAAAATTAATTCAAGAGGATTAAAGACTTAAATGTAAGACCTAAAACCATAAAAACCCTAGAAGAAAACCTAGGCAATATCATTCAGGACATAGGCATGGGCAAGGACTTCATGTCTAAAACACCGAAAGCAATGGCAACAAAAGCCAAAATTGACAAATGGGATCTAATTAAACTAAAGAGCTTCTGCACAGCAAAAGAAACTATCATCAGAGTGAACAGGCAACCTACAGAATGGGAGAAAATTTGTGCAATCTACTTATCTGACAAAGGGCTAATATCCAGAATCTACAATGAACTCAAACAAATTTACAAGAAAAAAACAACCCCATCAACAAGTGGGCGAAGGATATGAACAGACACTTCTCAAAAGAAGACATTTATGCAGCCAAAAGACACATGAAAAAATGCTCATCATCACTGGCCATCAGAGAAATGCAAATCAAAACCACAATGAGATAGCATCTCACACCAGTTAGAATGACAGTCATTAAAAAGTCAGGAAACAACAGGTGCTGGAGAGGATGTGGAGAAATACGAACACTTTTACACTGTTGGTGGGACTGTAAACTAGTTCAACCATTGTGGAAGTCAGTGTGGCGATTCCTCAGGGATCTAGAACTAGAAATACTATTTGACCCAGCAACCCCATTACTGGGTATATACCCAAAGGATTATAAATCATGCTGCTATAAAGACACATGCACACGTATGTTTATTGTGGCACTATTCACAACAGCAAAGACTTGGAACCAAGCCAAATGTCCAACAATGATAGACTGAATTAAGAAAATGTGGCACATATATACCACGGAATACTATGCAGCCATAAAAAAGGATGAGTTCATGTCCTTTGTAGGGAAACGGATGAAGCTGGAAACCATCATTCTCAGCAAACTATCGCAAGGACAAAAAACCAAACACCGCATGTTCTCACTCATAGGTGGGAATTGAACAATGAGAACACATGGACACAGGAAGGGGAACATCACACACCAGAGCCTGTTGTGGGGTTGGGGGACAGGGGAGGGATAGCATTAGGAGATATACCTACCGTTAAATGATGAGTTAATGGGTGCAGCACACCAACATGGCACATGTATACATATGTAACAAACCTGCACGTTGTGCACATGTACCCTAAAACTTAAAGTATAATAAATTTTTTAAAAAAGCCAAACTCATAGGCACAGACAAGAGAACAGGGAAAGGGCTGGGGCTTGGGGAAACTGGGAAGATGTTGGTCAAAGTGTACACACTTGCAGTTAAAAAATGAATAAGTTCCGGAGTCACCATCCTGACAGCATGGTGACTATCCTATAGTCAATAATAATGTATTGTATACTTGAAATTCACTAAAAGAGTAGATCTTAAGTATTGTATTTCCATTACAAAGAAAAATAGTTGCTATAATGGTGATGGATGGGTTAATTAGCTTGATTGTGGTAATCATTTTACAATGTATACTTATATCAAATCATTACATTACACACCTTAAATATATACAATTTTTATTTGTATATATATGTCAATTATATATGTAGATGTCAATTATATATGTATATATTACATACATATATATGTATTGTCAATTATACCTCAATAAAGCTGGAAAAATATACATAAATTTTTAAAACTCCCACCATGGCCAATTTCAAGCAACCACAGTGAGGTCACTGATGCAGAGTTCGGCAGAGATGTTCCCAGTTGGCTCTCATGAGTGGGTGTGAGCCGCCCCAGCTCACCACTGCCTACGCAAATGCTCAGCACAGAGAGTGGGCTGTCATTCTCCACAAACCCTCCTGGAATCTTCTTAATGTAGTGAATTGAAGAACTTTTCTAGGTATCTTTAGACAGGATGACCAGTACTTGATGAAGGGTGGATGTCCTCAGACCCAGAGTAGGGAAACCATGTAAGCAGCTTCCCACACAGAACCCAGGTTGAACTGGGCTAATTTCTGTCTTAATGACAAGGATGCCAACAGTGGCAGGTGGGTATTTGGCAATCACTGAGCCACCCCTATCAATGTACTGGTGCTACAATAGATCTCCCAAGCTCTGAAACAGTACGTCAGAAAGACCCTGCCACCCTATCCTTTCCGCCTCTGTCGTTCACCTCCTTTTAAAGAGAGCTGTTTGGGGGAATCTCCTAGTTCCCTTTTCTTCCTCACCTTTCCTCATTTCTCTTGTCTTAGGTGAAGAATTGAGCTGGTGACCATTTGACAGTGTAACTGAGATAGAGAAATACTGATCTAGAAGGTATGGAAAGATCCCAGCCCTGCTGTCCTACAACCTTCCTGGGGCCAGCCTCTTTGTCTGCATAGCCAACAGGGTTTCCATGGCTTCCAAGAGGACATCTGACACAGGTATTAAGCTTTCTGAAATAAAAAAAAAAGATGTACACACACAGGATTAGCTTTTAAACCCTCCATGAGCGTTCAATGATGTAACCGATCACTCTCTTCCTAGACCTTCCTTCCTAGTCATCAATAAATCAGAGTTGGTAATGATCCTTCGAAGATTTCATGTTCAGTAGTTATTTGATTAAAGCTAAATTTGGCCTTTTTGTGTGAGACTGTGCTTTGAAGGGTGACCAAATGAAACCGGGCTCCACAAGAATAAAGCAGGTGCAGCCAGGGCATCAAAGCAGGGGGTGCAGGGAGCACTCCCGGGTCCTGTGCCCAGTCCTGTCACCTCAGCCCTCAATCCCCTGGCAGAGAGGAAGCCTTAGTACAGTTAGCAGACAGGATTAGGAGGGGTGATCATCCCCATACGTGAAGCAATTTGCCCAAAAGGAAAACAGCTCCCCTCAGCCCTGCAGGCCCAGCCAGCGGCCTCCTCCTGCAGGCATCCCCTGCCTGTCCTCAGCACCCTGCATTAAGCCCAGGTCTAGACTTGGGCAGATTGTGCAACTCCTAAGAGATTAGTTTCCTCACTTGTTACCTGAGACTGCATGTCCTTTATGATGGACAGGTGGTCTGGCTCAGAGGGAACAGCCATAGGCTGGAGACAGGCAACGGGGAATTTAAAACCAGTCTTGTCACCATTGGTGCCATGTGACCTTGACTGAGCAAAGCACTGCACTTGAACCTGTTTCTCTCTCCCCATTAAACAGGGATGAGGAAGAAGATGATGACGACAATGGCGATGATAGCCTAGAAAGTTACAAGATGTCCATTGTAACTTCCTAGTCCACAAACGCCCAGATAAACCTGATCTGATCTCTGCTTCCGTCCTGTTATGAATGTCCCCTTTGGTCTGGCCCTGCACTGCATCTCTACGTCCTCACTTGGACTGAGCCCCAATTTCTTGCCCCATGAGCATCCAAAGTCCTCCTTACAACATCTGTGAATTCTGCTGCTTACCCACTTATGACTCTCCCACCTCCCGGTAGTTCATTTGTGCATCTACCTCCATGCTGCCCCACACTGATCCAAATGTCACCCCAACCCCCGATTACTATGAAAAACTCACATGCAAGCACCTTGTAAATTCAGAGAAACTGAATATGGGGAGGTGGCCAGGGGCTGTGGTCACTTCACGCACCTCACACCCTTCCCCTCTCATTTTTCCTCTCCCCGAAACCCGCAGAACTGAGCACAAGCCCCTCCCCTTGCCATGTCGGGCAATTCCGCCCACGTCCAGGCCCTCCTAAACTTTCCGCTTATGTTCCGAAGCACAGAGCAAAGTATTTCCCCAACAAATCAGCTTTCTCTAAGGGAAATACTGGTACATTAACTCGTCTCCACTTTGTCACAGTTAGAATGACAAATATGAATGCACTTCATTTATAGGGTACTTCAGAAGCCATCTCATCCGATCCTCACAGCCACCCTGAGAGCTGAAATTCTATAGAGGGAGATACTGAGGCTCAGAGATATTACGTGACCAACAGTGAACACCCAAGAAAGGGTGGAGTCCGAGTTTAGAGCCGATCTGACTCCAAAGCCCACGCCTTTCCTTCTCCCACCTGCCCCTTTGTTTCCACTGTTGAGGATCCCCTGGGGACTGCCTGGACGAACACCTGCTCCCTGGAAGACATCAGGAAGCCACCCTCTCCCTGACACGAGGGCAGAAAACTCTTCTTCTACACCACCCTTCCCCCTCCGCTCAGATTCTTCAGCTGTAGGGGGAAAGCCTTGTTCTCTGACCACCAAAGGAGCACAGCCTTCCAGAGGGTCTTTCTCAAGATCAGCAGGAGACAGGCAGCTGAGCGTGGAATTCTGGATGGGAGGGTGACAGGGAGAGTTGCGCTGTCTGGCTTTTCTCCCTCCCCACACTACCCCACTGGTTCCTGAGCACAAGCGTCATAGCTAAGCCCTGGCCTATGTGTGCAACAGAGAGAGAGCGAGAGACAGAAAAGGGACAGCAGAGCAGAAAGGCGTGGAGTCGAGTCCGAGTGAGGATGTAGAGATGCAGTGCAGGGCCAGACCAAAGGGGACGTTCATAACAGGACAGAAGCAGAGAACCTGTGAGTGCCTATTCGATGTAAAACTGCTGTCGACTGGGCACAGTGGCTCACGCCTGTAATCCCAGTACTTTGGGAGGCCGAGGCAGGTGGATCACCTGAGGCCAGGAGTTCGAGACCAGCCTGGCCAACAGGGTGAAACCCAGTCTCTACTAAAAACACAAAAAATTAGCCGGGCATGGTGGTGCATGCCTGTAATTCCAGCTACTCAGGAGGCCGAGACAAGACAATCGCTTAAACCCAGGAGGCACAGGTTGCAGTGAGCTGAGATTGTGCCATTGCACTCCAGCCTGTGCAACAATAGGGAAACTCTGTCTCAAAAAATAAAAAATAAATAAATAATTTAAAAAAAAACACTGTCGAGATTTTCCACCTGATTCTCAGGCACCAAGGCTGAGGAGGAGAGGAGTGGGAGTCCATTTTACCAGCAGATAACTGCACACTCTGACCCCAGGAATTCAGTGTGTCTCTTACAGGACCTCCACTCTGCAACAGTTAGGCTTGAACTGGTCACAAAAAGCTGTGCTAACCTCAGGAGCACACTCTCCACCAGCTGACAGGAGAGAGATGGCAGTGAACGTGCAGGGTGGTCCAGGAAAATCAGCCTTGGATTACAGATATTGGCTATGGATAATATACAACATGAGGACCAGCAAAAAGCTGAGAATTGTCCGTGCTACCTAAAACCAGGCAAGTGTGAAGGCTGAGGGCGGAGACTGCAAGACACTGCACAAACAGGAAGTTTATGTTCAGATCATCAGGCAAGGGAAGGTGCAATTCTTCTAACAGCTTATGGGCATACAGCGCTTTATAGCGTAGCAGCACTTTCATGGACACCGTTTTGTTTAGAGCACTGAATAGGGCAGACTTCAGGGTTAAACAGTCAGTTTCAATGCCAGGACCACTGCATGCTCCTCTGTGCATTCACAGCCATGATCCTCCTCCTACAGCCCATGCTCCCATCTCTACCTTGGATCATCTCAGCAAGGACTCAGTGGGATATCCATTCATTCATTGCTCTACCAGTGATTTTGAGCCTCTCCGACGAGCCAGGCACTGCTCTAAACATGGTGAACAAATGATGCCAAAAGCTTTCTCTTCATGAAACTTTTTTTCTAGAGAGGGAGATGGGTAATCGAGATAATAAATAAGCATGCTGGGTTGTATGTTGCATAGTGATGAAAACCATGAACAAAACCAAACAGGTACGTGGGGCCCCAGTGCTTGGGACCTCAGAGGCACTCAATCCACATTCCCCGGCGCTGCTCCCATCTCACGGCGGCCCTGCGAGGCAGACAGGCTGATAGCCAGCATCTTACAAGTGTGCAGTGTGAGGCTTAGAGAGGTTCATGACCTGCCCAGGCCCACACAGGTGGCAAGGGCCAGGCCAGGACGCAGCTCCCTCCCCAGTGCCCTCTCCTAGCTTCTTCTGCAGCTCTGTGTGGTGGGAGAGGAGACCAGCTGTCGCAGAGGAGAGGTGAAGCATAAAGGGGACTCACCCACGGAGAAGCCACTGTCCCTGCAGCCCCAACACCTCCCTCCCCACCCAGGGAGTTGCCAGCACTTGCCGGGCAGGACACTGTAGAGCAGCTCCAGCCAGGGCTGGCCTGGTCGGGGAGCACCGGTGAGGAGGGCCTGCTCCTGAAGGAATCTCTGGACCCTGTCCCATCTCCTTCCCATCCCATGACAAGGCTTCCCACAGTGCAGAGGCAGTCAGGATGCCAGGGGGAGAAATGCCAGATTGTTATGTTGACTTTCCACTCAGTTGTCTCCTGCAGGTTCGTGCTTAGGAGCCATGAACAGAGGGCAGCAGAGTGGCAGCCTTGGCAGCCCACAGAGACCAGGCTGCCCCGCCACATGGACGCATGTGATGTCCACCTCCTGGAGCCGGCAGGCAGCGCTTCAATGGCCAGGCCTTGCCCAGCAGCTTGTCTGCAAACAGCAAGGGGCCAGACCTCACGCACACACAGCTCAGAAGGGGTCCATCTGGACTAGGGTTCTTGCAGACTTAAAGAGGAAGGCGCCGGGAGCCAGTTTCCATTCCAGGCTGCAGCCTCCTGCCCAGAATCTCCAGCCTTGCTTCTCTGCAGCTGGGGCCATCTGGCTGTCCCTCCTAGGCGCCTAGACACCCCTGGAGTGCACTCGTACACACTGGCCGCAAACACCGTTACCCTCAATACCAGTCACTGTTGAGATCAGCCTGCCGGGGTCCTGCCACCTGCTGTGTGTTTGTGCTGCTGGTGACTGGCTCTGTATATGTCTCCATACCTCAACAACCTGTGGATGCCTCTAGGGAATCCTGATTTCTCATGCACTGGCATCTTGTCTTGCTCTTTCTTTCCAGATTCCTCTCTCATTCTTTCTGTAAACATGTATAAGCACCGGTACATGTATCATCTTTGTCACTGTGACATCTTGACAGTAGTCCAGATGGCTCCACGACATCTTGACAAGCTTCCAGTTGCTGCCTGCCTGCTTTCCCAGGTCTTGGAATAACACAGCCCCTGCTGATAGACCGATCCCCTGAATCCCACATTGGATCATCCCAGTGTGGCTGCCATAGAGGTCTGCCCACCTGATATCAGGCTTTTTCTTGAGAGACAGGAGTTTCCCCCAGGACCTACACAACCTGTACTGTCCTCATATGATTTTTCCCCACTCCAGGGAGAAGAACCAGGTCCAGATGTCAGCCTGCAGCACACCACTGCACTCAACCGATCCCTGCCTGACCATGTTCTGAGAGGTGTGTGAAAGTCTGCACTTGCCAGCTCTTAGAGAACAGTAGCAAGATAGAGTTAGTTACATATTCTGTTTGCTAAATATCTCTTTTAGGATTTTTTATTACAAAAGTTCAAATAATAAACCATGTACAAAGTAAAAATTATAGCTCCCCTATGTCCTCCTACTTAATCTCACTTCTGAGATGCATCCTAAGTTAGGTATGTATCCATCCACTCTTTTTTACACACAGACTCCACAGAGAATTCTTTTGCACAAACGGAAACATACAAATTGTTCTGCATCTTGTTTTTTAATGTCGCAAGTACATTTTTTTTCCTCGGGAAATTTAAAGCCAACCTATTGTTTTAATGCCTACTATAGTATTCATTACATAGATGACTCATAATACATTTTTTTGAGACAGATACTGCTGTTGCCCAGGTTGAAATGCAGTGACATGACCACAGCTCACAGCAACCTCTAACTTTTGTATTTTTTGTAGAGACAGGGTTTTGCTACGCTGCCCAGGCTGGTCTCAAACTCCTGGCTTCAAACAATCTGCCGGCCTCAGCCTCCCAAAGTGCTGGGATTACAGGCATGAGCCACTGCTCCCAGCCCCATAATATATTTAATCATTCACTTATTCATGTATATTTGTTGCCAGTTATTCCCTACTACAAACAACATTGCAATAAATGTCCTCATGTATACATCTTTTTGTACTTATTTTTTTCCATAGGTTAGTTTCCTGGAATTCTTGTTGTCTCATTTGAATTTGCATTTTTGTTATTAAGTGAGGTTAGGTGTATTTTCATCTGTTCTTGGCCCTTTGTGTTTTCTATGAATTTCTTGGCTCAATACCCTGATGTTTGTACGTCGGAAGTGAGATTAAGGAGGAGGTAGAGAGCTTTTAAGGAGGTAAGGGGCTGAATTATCCAGCCTTCCACTTCTATAATCCCTTTTATCTCAACCACCACTAACTCAAACCTTCCATTGGATTAGCCCATAGCAGAATCTACATTTCTCATGACTAGTTTGGCTCTAGTTGGCTATGGTAAAAGCACATCTCCCTTGCAAAACTACCAACCAGAGGATGCAATACCCACCATCCTCCTGCCCACCCATTGCTCCCCTCTGAGCCTTACAGAGCTTAGGTAGAAGAGGACTCCACTGTCATCCAACTGACGATGGAGGTGACAGGCTCTAGAAGATTCAAGGAGGCACCTTATCACATGGGGATCGGTGTCCCAAGTGAAAAATGATGGTCTTAGGAAGGGACTGTGGAGCCACATGACAAGGGACTGGAGAGATGTCAGGAATGACAGCAGTGAAGAGATTTTTTCATGGGACCCTTTGCAAAACCCTGAGTGCTAAGGTCTTGTCGCATCCCTTCTTCCTCTACCCACCACTGGGTGGCAAAAGGTGAGGCATGAGCTAAATAGCATCACCTGTCATGGTTCCCTGATGATGTGCTGCATTTCAATGCTCCCGGGACCCTTATAAAAAGATGTGCTTGATCTGGGGAAGACAGGTATAGTGGTTTTGGGGACAAAGAGGTAATACCCCACCTTAGCAAATACCAGCCCCTCCCCTGTGGCAGAGATGATGATGACGATGGTGATGATGATGATGATGATGATGATGATGACAATGATGATGATGGTGACGGTGGTGATGATGATGGTGGTGATGATGACGGTGACGGTGATGATGACGGTGACGGTGATGATGATGATGATTACAAGCCTGAGATATCTCCTTTAGCTTGTGAGCTGTAAGGCTCTTTCCACTTCCTCCTCCCTGCTTCCCACCAGAAGCTGGTAAAGAGTGAGCTCCTGTAAAACAGAGGGCCCTGCTGTGCAGGTTATATTATTATACTATCACTGAGTATACAAACAGAGGAAAAGAGAAACCCACAGTTCTACCATGCCAACCTCATCTGGCGGCATTTTTAAAACTTCCATCCAGTCCTGCATCATCTTCCTCCTCAAAACTTTTTCAGAGGCCATGAGACGGGCTCTTGCTTTGAATGGCCAACTCTCCTGGGGCCATGGCCAAGGCAGACGCTTGTATAGTGACCTTGGCATTGTTTTTGGGTCAGTGTGAGCAACTTTAGGATTGTGTGTCCTCGTGACTGACTCTCCATCACCTCTTCAGAGTAAACATGTGAACTTCATGCATTAAAAAGTCCCTTTAGATCAAGAAAATATCTAAGGAAAAACATTTGACACACATAGCTGAGCTCCCATGCACCATCCTTAGAATAACCTCGTGTGTGAGGTATCATCACCATCCCCCTGACCGATAAGGAAGACTGAACTTCAAAGACATTAGATCACATGGCTGGTAAGTGGTAAAGTGTGGACTCCAGCCCAGGTCCCCTACTTCCATGTCCAGAACACTTGCATCACACGAAGCTGATGACATAATCTATTGTCCATATTCCAGAGTTGTAACTAAGGACCAAAACTGACCAGTTTTACTTTCCCCACCTCTCTGTTCCAATAAGTAAGCATCCTAAGTGGGCAATGGAGAAGGAATCGGAGGAAGGATGGGTAGTGGCCTGCACAGGAGGGTTTCCACTATTGGAAGAGGGGAATGCCGGCTCACATGGGGATGGAGGGCAGGGGGAGGCACTTCCTCCCCACAGTCCAGCACCTTTTTGAGTGTTCCCTTCACCATCAGCAACACCCTAGAAAGCTGAGGGAGTAGGAAAAGAACAACCAACTCAAACTCAAGTTCAAAAGCAAACAAGTTCAAAAGAGACAAGTTCAAAACCAGCCATGCTGAGACGGGGAGAAATTACAGGCCTCAGTTAGAAAGGAATTCGCCACCTCAGCGCTAAGGCTAAAACAGAAGTCCCTCACTATCCGAGCTTTAGGCTGCTAACCTGCTAACTTCACAAAGGAGTGGTAGGCAGTGGTGTGCTGGGAAAGGCTTAACAAACAGCTCTCCAGGAAAAATGAAAGCCTTACCTTAGCATTTCCTTGACTTCCATGGTATGAATAATACCCCATAGCAGCTTTGGAAATCCTACAAAGGGGGGACCTCAGACTAGGAAAGGGGGTGGGATGGGACACCACACAGAGGGGGAACTAACACCTCGTACATCCCTTTTGGGGTCACATTCTTCTCTTCTGTCCTTCACTGTATGTCCAAGGCCACACACATCCATAGGTGACAAGGCATGTAAATAAAAGAAGTAAGGAGGAAGGGGGCAAAGATTGCACGTTACGAACATTCTCCGTTGTTTGAAAGTACTTTGCAAAGAGTGGCCCTATTTCTTCTATTGTCTTTCTTGTCCCCCTCCCCAAGCCAAAATCTGAGCCCAGCTAAGCTCTAGCAGATGGTAGACCACCTCTAGTGATGGTCCCAGCAATCTACTAGAATCTTTTCATAGAAAAATCTAATTATGTCACTCTCCTGATTCAAATCTTTCCACCCTTCTCGTCTCAACTCACTTAATGCTAGTTTTTCCCACCAAACCCTAAACCTCTTGAGGGCACGGGCCTGGTCTGTCTTGCTCATTGCTGTGTTCTACTACCTAGGATGGAGTTTGGCAGACACTAGCCCTCCGTAAATACTTGATAGATGAATCCCAAATTGCTCCTTAATAATTCATTCATCAAATTATTTTTAAGTACCTTAACAGGCTCACAATGGAACAGGCCCTGGAGATTCAGGAATCAACAGTCATTGTGAATACTGCAGAATGCTGCCCATTTCTCCCTGTAAACCCACGAAGCAAAAACCAGGGCTGGGGGTGAATGCTCCACCATTCTCATGGAGAAGCAGCCAGGTGAGAAGGGGAAGCAAGACAAAAACCATGGATTCCAGCTATAAATTATACAAATGCATGGCATTAAAAAATTATTTTAACACATCAAATATTAAGTCATTCGTATGCTCTGCAATTACTTTATCTGTCATCAGCACACTCAAGCTATTTGAAGTGGTGACAGATGGGAAGGAGTCCGTGCCAATTTTTCCTGCAGGTGTGCATCTGGGCTAGAGGGGAGGGGTCAGTACGTGCAGCAAGGGAGGGACGGGGAAGGGTGACTGGGGTTATGAAACTGGAGCTGATGTAGGAGGCTTGGCAAAAAGTAAAAATTACCAATTTGCATCCTGGAAAGCTGCAGGGCATTGCACTCCCTGGGAACTCAGTAATCATTAACTGGGCAGCTCAAGGGAGGTGAAACAGCAAGCTGCCCACGTCGCAGAAGGAAGAAAGCAAGGCCCAGCCAAGCCAGCAGCCGGACCCAGGAGTCCTGGCTCCTCCTACTTTGTTCTGATCCCCAATCAGTCCTCTGAGGGCAGCAAGCTGGAGAAAGTCAGGCAAATGGGGAAAGTGAGAGAAGGGGGTACAAGATCCTTTAGAGACTAGGACTCCTTAGAGGACACTGGTGGGGATGGAGGGAAGATCATGGAAGGGCCAGACACATAATATCTAACCTGGGCTAGAGAATTTTCTAGAAAATGAACAGCATGTGATATAAGATCCACTCTGGAAGAACCCAAATCATACCTCCAAACCCAGCCTGACGCAGAACTTCTCTGGCTGAATGAGGACTTCCTGCCAGGTGGGAAGACAGATCCACTCATATCCACTGGTCCCTAGCTCCTCCCCTAGATTCTCAGAACCTGGAGTTCTGCTTCAGACACAGCCTTCTCAGCTGCCTTCTGACAAGTGAGACTCGCTGTGGCCTCCTCTGGGAGGGCACGGCTCACCGCTGAGGAACTCATGAATCCCACACTCAGTTACACCACCTCCCATCTCCTTCTCCCACAGTCTGTACTTCCTCCAATCATGTAGATTTCAAATCACACGCTCTTAACTCCCTTAATTAATGCTGACATCAGAGCTCTCCCTTCCTTCCTTCCAAACCCTTCCTCCCAAACCTGGACCATTTAAAATGACCCCCAGGCAGACCGAACCCCATCCTAGACCCCAGCCCAAACATATACACACACTCAGTTGTGATGTGGCCAACCATAAAAGCAAATTCATGCTGCAGGTTTCATTCACAGAAGAAACAACCTACTGGGCACAAGATGAGGCAGGTTTTCTTCCATCTTCTCAGTCAGAACAGGAGGGAAATGACGTAAAGCATGGCATAGAAGAATTGAGTTCATTGAGAGAAATAACTTCCAGCTGGTGGAGTTGTATAGTCTAGGCTTACAGAAGTTTGAAGGCGCCTTTTCCGTGTGACTGTGGGACAGGGTTTTCAGGTCTGGCAAAGCAGAGCAGGGCCTGGCTTAGAAGACGGACTCCGTACCTTCCCCACACCAGGCGCTCTCACTCTGTGATGGGGCAGTGGGCCGCCTTGCAGAAAGCTGATTCCCAAATGACCAAAACCCATCTGACTTTCAGCAAATTGACTAAGCAGGCGCCCCACACGGCAGGGGCCTATGATGCAGGATGGGAGACCGCAGTCCCTACCGAGTACAGTGTGTGTAGACTGAATCAGCATATTCAAACCTCATTGCTTTGATTTGGTTTAATAACAATATTTTATTTATTTTGAAATTTCAATTGCATTAGAGAAAAAGATGTTATGCTTCTTGGAAGAAGATGTAGCCTTTTAAAAATTCACAAACTTTGTTCTTGGATAACGTACATCTCCATTGGAACAAATGATTGACTGAGATTCTTGCTTTATTCATTCCTTCATTTGTTCATATTTTTTAGGAGGTATCCACTCGTTTCCTACTTCAGGCAAATCTCTCTGTGAGGCCTGGAATTCTAAGGATAAATAAGGTCCAGACTCCGGCTCCAGGAAGAGTATAATCAAACAGTGAGGGCCAGCAGGACAGCAAACGACAGTTACCGCGAGGGGCTGGATCTGGGACGCAAGGTACCGTGGGACGAGGATGCAGGAATTGGGCCTGGCATGAGACAGGAAGGCTTCCCAGAGGCAGAAGGTTTTGAGCAAGTTCATGAGGAGCTCAAGAAGGTGAGTTTGGAAACTGATAATCCAGAGAGCTAACAAAATGTGCAAAAGTGTGGAGGCTGAAATGCATCCTGTATTCCAACCATTCCCCAAATAGCCCTGTTACTGAGTAGCCGCAGGAGAGTGGTGGGAGCTGACCTGGAGCAGGGAGGCACAGGGACAAGATAGGGCAGAACCTGTGTGCCAAGTCAAGGTTCCAGGTGTGTTATGTAAGTGACAGGTGTCCACTGAAGAGCTTTAAGGAGGCAAGTGACACAGTCAGATTGAGATCTGGAAAATCACCCTGGAAGATGGACTGGAGAGGAGCCAAGTTGTGCATGGGTCGGGAAATGGCAATGAGGGGGCGACGGCAATAATGCAGGTGATAGGTCCGCATATTGGAATCTCTTCCGCATGGAGATCCAGCAATGCCTCACACAGTTTCATTGCCCGGCACACTGGTCTTTGGGTCAGCAGCCTTCAGCTTCAGAGGATTTCCAGTAGAAAGTGAGAATAAACTTGCAACAAGAATGCAGAAGCTCCCGGAAAGAAATATGCACTGACAACCAGAGAGAATGACTTGGAAGGATAAAAAGCAGCTTTAGGAAAGCACTCAAGGAAAAAACGCCAAGAAAAAGCCGAGCAGAAATATCCCTCGCGTCCCACAAAGAACTCTGTGCTGTATTCCCCAAGGACACTTCAGGACCCTCCGGGTACCTGAGTTCCAGAGACTTCTGGCAGAAGGACCTCCAGTCTCAAGGTCACTTAACACGTTGCCTCAGAAGCCACTCTCCTGTGCGACCCCTAGCCCGCCAGGGTTTTCTCTATTGGCTGGCTCCGTTCGCTCTCCACACAGGTCATGAACAGAACTGACCTCCCTGACTCAGCAGCTCTGACAACATCTCTGCTCCAGAAGGTCAGGTTCCCTGGCAAGCACCAGCACCCTGGCCACGCCTGATGTCAAGAGAGAATGATGCATCCTCCTGAATGGTTTGGGCTGAATTGGGAGACCAAGCCCTTGTCAGTCAAATGCCAACAGGGCAGTTCTGAACCTGCCGGGCTGGGTGAGTCATCACCTTCATAAAACAAAATACCCCAATAATTAATACAGAACAAATTAATTAAAGGAAGTGAGACCATTGCAGCACCCACTGTGAACGGATGATAATTATTTGCAAACACAGGGAGAGGCTCAGTAAGCATCCAGACTCCTGCTTCACTGGCAACGAACTAAGCCCTGAAATCCCACGCATCTAAAGGTCAGGAGGAAACGCAGAGCAGAACCCACCCAGCCAACTGCGAGACTGAAGCAGGTGAGGCCACAGCCCAGGCTTAGCCCTTTGCCTGATCATTTCACCTGCATAAAAATTTCCAGCACCTCTGTCCCTCAGTCATTTACAATTCCAATCCCTCAGAGGAATAACCACAAGCTTCTCCCTACATTTTTAACAGGAGAAGTGAACGTAAAGGGACACTAATCTTACAGAAGCCACGCGTCACTTCAGCTGAGGCCTCCCCACCTTTCCAAGCAGTGTCCTAGCCCTGGGCGACTACCCTCGTTCTCAGACGTAGATCCACCAGTGTCTGGACCAGATCCGAACGGCCTTGAATGAAATGCCCTGTTTACAGATGATTGGAAACGGGAACTATGTCTAACGTGTACTTAATCTGCTCTGTTTTTCCCCTTTTACCATATCCTTCACCTTCTCACATATTACATACATCACTGTACGTATTCATTGGCTCTGCTCTCTCTCTACCCAGGTCATAAGAACAGACGCCCCTGCAACAGCAGGAGGTTAGATTTCTTGACAAGCACTGGCTCCCTGGCCACACCTGGCATCAAGAGAGAGGGATGCGTCCTCCCGAATGGATTGGGCTAAATTTGGGGGTGAAGTCCTTCAAAAGAGTCAAAATATTACATTTATTGTTTGTCAGCTCTCACTATAATGAAACCTCCGCAAGAGAAGGGCTCTTTATTTTATTAACAGATTTATTCCGTGAACCTATTACAGTGCCTGGCACCTAGTAGACACTCAGTACATATTTCATCCAATAAGTCAATGAATAAGGTTATGGCAATCATTTTTCCAGAGTACACCCTGTAAGTTCTATAGAATTTTAAGGGTGCAGCAGCAGCATCAACAGCACCTCCATTTCCTGTCTGTATCACTGCTACACCTATTGCAGTGGGAACTATTGGGAAGGGGAGGAGAGAGGAGAAGGCTCCAGCAACAGTACCAGAGCAGCCAGTGTACAGTCTAAGTCTGGGAGATTGCTTGGTGTCCTTGTGAACTTGCTAGAGCCTGGGAAAGGTAAGAACAGACAGTCGGTCAGATCTGAGTGTGTGACTGCACCAAGCTCTGGGCAGTTCTAGAGTTACAGGACATGAACTCACACCTCCCCGGAGAATCCTAAGACCACATCTCCAGCAAACTCAGGCCCCAGGCACTCTGAGCATAGACCAGCTAATCTTGCACTCCAGCAATGCGGTAAGCAGCATGTCCAGCACCTGGTGGAAAACGCTTTGTTAGAATCCTGGTCACTGGCCCTCTGACACAACACCCCTCCTGGTCTCCAGTTCTCTGAGTGCCTCTGGGCCACCCCTGAGGCCAGAAGCAACAAAACCAGTTCTCCTGCTGGGAGAAGAACACTCACCTCCTCCCAATTCAAGAATCTGAGTGGCAAACTTGCTCTGCCACTATTTTGAGTGGAAACAGCTGGGCTGCAAAAGAAATCAACAGATCACAGATGAAAGTGCATCTTAAATGGAGTCAGAGACTTTCACCACCATTCCCTGGTAATAGACACCATCACATTACTCCAGGTCCCTGGTTACAGCCAACTGGATTTCATCTCTCTTCAATGAGGCTGAAAGTGCCAGAGGATTTTAGTCGTGAAGCACACAGGACTCCTGAGGTGGGGCAGTCGGTCTGTAGGTTACCTATCCACACAGGTACAGCAGTCGGATTCGGTGGAGGAGGAAGTTCCAGTGGAAACAAGTATCTCTCCACATTATCTGTATTGCTTGAGGGGAACAGGTTACTCATTTTGCTCACTTCTCAGTGAAGTCGTAGGTTTGCAAACCCAGTCTGACACCCAATGATCTCGCAGTTCCCTCCGACTGTCTCCACACCATTTCAGTCCACATCATCTCGCGCCTGGAAGATTACGACCACCTCTAACAGCTGTCCCAGCCTACAGTCACGTTCCCTCGCAATCCATTCACCACTTCAGCTGAAAGAGCTCCTCCAGGTCCCTCCCTTAAAGCCTTTCAGGGGTTTCTATGGAGACTGAACTTCCATGAGGAGTTCCATCTCCTTAAGACGATCCAACCCCTCCCAACCACTTTAGCCTTGTTTCTTACCCAATCCTCCATCTCTCACTCAACAAAAGAGCCAGACTCAACTTCTCCCCAACTCCCAAGATGCCACACCTCCATCCCCTCCAGGTCTCCCAGCA
This sequence comes from Homo sapiens, assembly GCF_000001405.40. Classification (NCBI taxonomy): domain Eukaryota; kingdom Metazoa; phylum Chordata; class Mammalia; order Primates; family Hominidae; genus Homo; species Homo sapiens. The sequence continues at coordinate 129,734,082 of NC_000011.10, forward strand.
CAGCGACACCCCACTCATGCCTCCTCCTCTTTCCCCCCCCGCTGCCTTCAACTCTCTTCACTAACCTCTACATACCCTTCTAGGCGGCTGCCTTCAGAGGGCATCTCCGGCCCCTAGACTACATATACTCATCTGTCTGAAAGTAGCTGGCCATGCCCCTCATCCCACCCTATGGCAACGTCCTTGGCCATGACTGGCTTTGCGTGTGGCTGAGAACCCACCCCGGTCTGTCTTCTTTGTTTCACCAACACCCAACACATTCCCAGATCAATAAATGTTTGCTGAATGAAAACATAAACTTATTTTTGAGACAGCTATGAATCTCCACCATTCCACCATCTCCCCAAAACTCTTCCCTAAGATTAGCCTTAGAACTAAAGACTACGTGAGCCTAGAACTAAGGGTCGTACCTGGCACCCTCCTTTTGTTCAATCTCACTAGACTAGTTTAGCTATTCTGCTCTTTCCCCTGTGGAATGTCTGCTGTGGCCACTTTTCCTGATCTCTGTATTAGCTCCACCACAGATTGGTTCCCTAGACAGAAAATTCCATTCCACCTAAGAACTCAGATTCCCAGAAACATTGGAAATGCTGAAGAATTGGCTACGTAACTTTTCAGGACTGCGGGGAGGCCTCGCACACCCCCTAAAGGTGGCATTTAATACCTTCATAAAATCATCTGGGCCTCTTCCTGGTGCCAGCCCTCAATCGCCAGACTTCCTGGCATTCAGTGCCAGTGCATCTGGAAGAAGTGTTAGGCATCCCCTAGCCCAGCGGCCTGCATTTACAGATGAAAAGCTGAGACCTAAAGATGTCATGTGACCTGACAATGGTTGCATGGAGCAAGTCTGAACTCAATTGGACGCCCTAGTTCTGCTGGGAAACATGAATGGCCTTTCAAAATCCCATGGGCTTTCCATAAAATACCAACATCTCTCTCATGCTTTCTGACGGGGGACCCATAGTCAGAACAGGTCTAGGGCCCTCCAATGTCCGTAAGATCCTGAAGAGAAGAGGTGGTGGGAATACTAGTCTGTTGTGCCCTGTCCTTCCCAGCCACCCCTGGTGTTCTAAATCCACTCCACCATAAATTCAAAGTGGGTTGGCCAGGTCACACCTCTGGGGCATGGACCCAGATCTGCTGTCTTTCTTCTCTAACAGAGGTGAAGAATTCTGATTGTCATCAATGAGTTTGTTTTACAGCCAAGGAAACAGAGGCCTAAGGTGATCTCTGTTTCATGGCAACACTCAGGAACTCTATTCCTGAATCTCTTTCGCACAATTGTGCAAGGTGAGGTAGTGTTGCAAAACGTTGTTTTTACCAGGCCTTAACCACCTATATAATAAAACACCCAGTACATTCTGCTTACATTTAGTAATCATATGAAATGAAAAGTAGTTACAGACATTTTTGTGGCATTGTACATAATAAAATGGGTGATATATTGAGTATTTTTCAGAAATCAAACACAGCTCTACCCCACTTCTGCTGAGTCTGAAATGAGATGAACCTATTTCATCATCAATAACATGGAGAAATATTAGGGCTTGAGAAAGATAAAGGGAAACTGTGAATTTAATATATATTAATGTGTAGCAAAATGGTTATTCATACCATGAGAAGTGTGGACATGATTATTCATGGGCAAAAGACTTTCCCACCTGCCAAATTTATAAGACTGTTTTCTCTAAAACAATCCAACTGTTTAGTCAAGACTTAATATTTATGGATTTTGAGCACTCAGTAATCTAAGTCCGTGTTTCTCAAAGTGGGATCCACAGACCACTAAGGAATCTCTAAAATTCTTTCAGGGATCTGCAAGGTCAACTCTATTTTCAAAATAACACTAAGACATTATTTGTCTTTTTCACTGTGTTCGTGTTTATACTGATGAGGCAAAAGCAGTGATGAGTAAAACTGTTGGCGCCTAACACAAATCAAGGCTGTAGCAGCAAACCTGATGATAGTTTGGATACTTGTCCCACTCCAATCTCATGTTGAATTATCTTGCTGGAGGTGGGGACTGGTGGGAAGTGTTTTGATCATGGAGACAGATCTCTCATGGTTTGGTGCTGTCTTCATGATGGTGAGTTTTTGCAAGATCTGGTCATTTAAAAGTGTGGGACACCTCCCCCCACACTCTCTCTCACTTGCTCCTGCTTCTGCCATGAGACATGCCTGCTCCCACTTCATGAGTATAAGCTTCCTGAGGCCTCCCCAGAAGCAGATGCCAGCACTAAGTTTCCCATACGGCCTGCAGAACCAATTAAACCTCTTTTCCTATAAATTACCCAGTCTCCGATATTTCTTTATAGCAATGCAAGAACGGCCTAATACACTTTACTAGTAGTCATCGTGTTCTTCCTTTACATGCACTCATAACTAAAATACAAAAGTATCAGTTTCACTTAAGAATGTTCTTCACGAAACAGTAAAAAAAATTCTATTAAATCTCAGTCCTTGAGTACATACTTTCTAAAAATGTTACACACCGCATGCAAAACACTTTGCTGTGTACTGAAGTACAACAGCTGTCTAGAGGATAAAATGATTGTGTGATTATTTGAATTGCCAGCTAAACTAGACACTTTTTCATGGAATGCTATTATTACTTGAGGGACTGACACGCAAACTGTTTACTTAGATATGGATATTTAGAGACATTTTCACAAAAACAAATAAAATGAGCCTGCCACTTCAATGAAAACAACTGGCAATATTTGTCACCAATGGTAAAATTTGATCTTTCAAGCAAAAATTATAATCTTGGAAAACTTGTTTCCATCACTGAAAACTTGACAGCTCCCCAACCCTTAAAGACTTTCCAGTGCGATCAGTGCTGTTACTAACAAATGTGATTATTTTTCTCTTGTATAATGATATTTGTCAGCATTTGGAGATCTGCATAATTTAGCGGGTCATTATTTTCCAAATGACCAATGCTGATGTTATAAGATCATACATGAGTGAAAGATCCATTCAAATGCAAGATTGGTCAATGGATTTTAATGTAAGTAAGTATGGAGTGCATTGATGTGGTTTCAGAATCCATATTGAAATTCACCTTTAAGAAACTACTTGTCAATTTTTCATGTAGAAAAATATCCACATTTATGTACTAAGCACCTCTCCCCTTTACAACTACATCTCTGTATGAAGCCAGATTTTCTTCATATATTTTAGCTAAAATAACACATCACATTTTATTCAGAAGCAAACATGAGAATTCAACTATCTTCTTTTAAGCCAAACATTAGCAAGAGTTGCAAAAAGGTAAAGCGATACTACTTTTCTCACTAAAATTTCTTTGCTTTGGAAAATAGTTTTCATAAAATATAGTGTTAACATATAATAGGTTTATCGATGTTATTTTTAATTAATTAACAATTTCTTACATTTCTCTCTAATTTTTAATATATAAATGAAAGTATACTTATTTCTCTGCAGCCATGGTCATATAAATCAAGCTATATTGCTCTCCTGCTTAAAAATTCTTCAGCGAATTCCCATTGCAATTAGAATAAAATCTCAATCATTTTCTGCAGCCACCAGGGCACTAACCATGGCCACTGCCCCTCTGCACCGTCCTGTGCTCCCAGCAAACTCCAGGGCAGTCCATGGCTGTCTATGCCCGAGCACACCCACCCAGCCTGCCTTATTTCCGGCCTTTGCATTGCCTGCAATTCCCAGTGTGCAGAATGACTGAAGGCAAGTAATAGGATCTCAGTAAATACTTTTGAATAACTCCTTCCTGTGCTAGCAGAGACTGTGGAAAGGGAGGAAGAATGAAAAATTGAGTGAAAGGCGTTCAGACTGACACTTCGGGCAATGATCAAAAGTCAGTTGGTAACGGTGATGGAAGCGCCTCATAAATTGTTCTGCCTTCAGTAAACAAACATCTTGAAGGGGAACTCGAGGGAAATCTCCTATGACACACGAGCATGCACTCTCCCTTTATCATGCACAAACTCACATGCCCTCCATTCCACAAACGTGCACATACACACATGCACACATGCACGTTCGTAAACAGTGTCCTTTTTAAAATTCTTCCGTCTTCCTTTTTTTGAAACCTGTCATCCCTTCTTCCTGCTCCTTCCAGATTTACGACTTTAAAAAAAATTTTTTTTAATTAAGGATTTTTAAAAATCCCTTAGCTATTCCAGGTGTCAGGTTCATGACCAAATGAACTCTCAGGGTCTCAGGCAATTTTTCACTTCTCTTCTGTCAGCATTCCAGTGAAGCAACCTCGTGTCCACAAAAAGATGTCTTCCCTCCAAGAATAATAATTGGCCTGATTCTATAAAGCATTTTACATACCAATGCAACCTGTCACTGAATACCTTTCAAAGTCAACAAAAGGTGGAAAATTAAGGTAAAAATAACTGAAATACCAACCTGTATTCTCTGTTTCCGCCATCCTTGTATAGGAGAGGCCCCCACAATAAATTGCTGAAGTGTGTGATCATTCATTGATACTGAGGCTGGGATTCAGGAAGTCACCAAAAACTAAAGGCATTTGTCCAAAATAGGTTGCAATTCTTTACCCAAAACCTTTAAAGTAATTTGCTTCTGTTCTGCGTGTAACTGTAGACAAAGAGTCAGGAAGGTCACATAAACGAGAAAATCAGCACAGGGATCAGGCCAGAGACATACCTTGTATGAGTCGGGGGTCTCTACTGAGTTGGAGACCCCTCAGAGACAGCCACCACTTGGGGTCAACTGATTATTCTACGACAGAATGCCAGCTGTGTGTGGCTACACCTATTTTTCAAGAGAAGCTAGATAACCAGATTTGTATGCAAAATTCCCAATTAGTTCATTATTTAAAAGCACTGTGTTTAAAAATATGTCTGCAGGTCACACTCAACCTGACGGTCACCAGTTTGTGACTTTTGTTCTAGACATTTAGAGAACAAAGAAAGAGTACAAAAACCATGGGCAATGGTGGAAGAACAACATTTTTTAAAAAGAAATTATTAAGCTTTCAGCAAAGGTTTGAAATTTCAGGAGTGCAGAGCTGCCCTGGGCTCAGGAGCCATGTGCTGTCCCTGACTTAATTCCAATCTGATCAAGCCCAACTAGGTCTTTTCCAGGCCGCATGGTGAAAAAGAGACATGAATAACTTGAGGCTAGAAAATGAGGCTTATGTGGACTCATAGGAACTTGAATTGGTCAGTCCTAAAGGGCAGGGGAGAAAAAAGCTCAACAATAACTTAATGATGAATTTCCCAAAGCTGGAATATAGAAAGAATAGCCATGGAATGTTGTAGAACATGGAAGGAGACACCTTGATTCCCAAGACTTTGTGGATGGTAAGCAGCAGGAGGGGGCTTGTCCAGACCATTAGAAAGCCGACTTTCCACTGTGGCTCTCACACAGCATTATCTCTGACTCTTCAGGGCAAGGTGGAGGCCAGGCATCTTTTGGCAACAACACATGCACACTGGAGCTGCTCAGAAGGCAGGGAGGCCCCTGGGATGGAATTGAGCCTCAGCAGGCTCGCCGTTCCATCACACGAGGCTGGCTAAGAAGGTTGTCCCAGCCCTATCACCTGTGGCAACTGGAGACTGAATGGCAGCTGAAAATGACTAGGGTTTGGGTGGTGAGTATAGTCTCCACTATTATTTTTTTCCTTCTTGTTTTCTTCCCCAGAGCAGACTTTCCTTACTCAGTGATCTGACAACTTTTCTATCCTTCTTGGATTTTTTTCTAGGAAAAATGAATAAAGAGTGGGGGGTGGAGGGGGGTGACAACTTCAAGAGCAAACACTCGGGAAGGTGAGAGCACCTGCTCCTTGCTTCTGTTAAACAGTCAGCATACTGCCCAAAAGAATTGAAGACAGGTGTTCAACGAGAGTCTGGGCACAAATGTTCACAGTGGCACTATCTTGCCAAATGGTGGCCAAAATCCAAGTGTGCAGCTGGATGAGTAGGTACACAAAATGTAGCAAATCCACACAATGGAATATAATCCAGCTGTTTAAAAAAAAAGTGAGGTATTGACTCATGCTACAACACAGAGGAACCTCAAAAACATCGTGCTGGGTGAAAGAAGCCAGATCCAAAAGGTCACATATTGTGTGATTCCATTTGTATGAAATTTCCAGAAGAGGCAAATCTATAGCATCAGTGAGTATAGTAGACATTGCCAGGGGCTGAGGGAAGAGAGAATGAGGAATGACTGCTAATGGGTACAGGTTTTCCCTTGGTGATGATGAAAATGTTTTGGAACTTGATAGAAGTAATGGTTGCGCAACATTTGAATGTACTAAATGCTACTGAATTGTACATTTTAAAACCAACAATTTCATGTTATGTGAATATTGCCTCAATTTTTTAAAAAGCCAGCATAGTGTTTTGGTGAAATATTGACTGCGTAGTTTTGAATTCTGACCTGCCATATGCCAGCTGTGTGACATTTGGCAAGTTGCTTAACCTCTCTGTGCCTCAGTTTCGCATTTTAAATTTATGATACCGAAACTAGTTTCCTCACACATTGTTATGAGAAGTAAGTGAGTTGATATTTGCAAAGCACTAAGCCAGTACTTGCATATGCTAAGTGCCATATAAATGTTTTCTAAATACATCAATCAGCCCCATAGCCCACTCCAAGCAGGCTGCTCTGACCCTGGGCTATTTTTTCAGATTTAGGTTCTTGGTCTGAAAGAATGGCCTCCGTGGGAGCCAGGACAGAATGGGGGCTGAAAGCTCAGCCGGGTCATGCTCCTGTCTTTGGAGCTACCTGCAGATAAAGTCCTTTTACATATTCCCACACAATGGAAATATGCAACCACTTCCAACTGGGTCCCAAATTCTCAAATGTCCCGACTACAGGACTCTGGGGACACAGCCTCCTCCTTAAGGATTTGTAAGATGCCTGTAAAGAAAAGGAAAATTCATGAACCTGCTCAGAAGAAACCACACAAGAATACTTAGAGGCAAAAAATTACTCAGGCTGACATTTGAGAGGCTCTGGTTCACTGGTTCAGGCCCCCTTCCCAGGCTGACCGGGGTGAGAGGCTCTGGGAGGACACAGTCCACGGGAGCTGTGCCCTTCTGCTAATTCCGTCTAGCCATATTCCTCCACACCTGCGAAGTGGTGGAGAATGTTCTCTGCTTCACTCCACCCACACTTGGGCATTGGAACAATGACTTCCTCATTGGGTTTTGGTAGTTTTTCCATTATGTTTTAATTTTGCCCTTTATATGAAGTGCTTTATTTTGTTTTAGAATAGGCATTACATTGGCTCAAAAATCAATTCACACAGAAAAGTATATGGTGAAGTCTTACTTCCACCCCAGTTACAATCTCCTCCACATATGTGCACAGCTAGTTCATTTTACCAGTATCTAGGGTACCCTTTCCCAGATTTCTTTAAGATACTGCAAACAAACATAGACATTTTCTTTTTTTCTTTTCTCATCACAGGAAGGATAGCATATTGTATACACTCTACTGCACCTTGACTTTTTTTTCATATAATATACCTTGAAAATCAGTTCCTAGAAACTTTCCTCATTCTTTTTTACAGCCGTATAGTATTCCACCATAGGCAAGTACCATAATTTATGAAATCATTTCCCACTTGATGAGTAAGTGAGTGGGATTCCAATCTTTTGCTATTAAAAAACCAGTGGTAACTAATAAATTGTGCACATGTCATCATTCAGGTACGCAATATTTTATAAGGTAAATCCCCAAAGGTGTCATTGCTGGGTCAAGGGTTACATGCCTTTGTAATTTTGACAGATAATGCCAAATTGCTGTCCATTTTACCTGCCAACAACATCAGAAAGTTCCGTTTCCTCACAGATACATCAACACAATGTGTTGTCAAACTAGGATTCTTTCCAATCGGACAGGTGAAAAATGGTATCTTGGAGTAGCTTTAACTTGCTTTGCTCTTATCATGAGTGACGTTGAACATCACTTTTACATATTTAGTGGACGTTTCTTTTGAGAGAAGTCTCGCTCTTATCTTCCAGGTTTGAGTGCAATGGTTTGATCTCAGCTCACTGCAACCGCCGCCTCCCATGTTCAAATGATTCCCCTGCCTCTGCCTCCCAAGTAGCTGGGATTAAGTCGCCTGCCAGCACGCCCGGCTAATTTTTGTATATTTTAGTAGAGACGGGATTTCACCATGAAAAACCAGGCTGGTTTCGAACTCCTGACCTCAAGTGATCTGCCTTAGCGGGCATTTCTATTTTCTATCCTATGAGCTGTCTGTTTATATCCTTTATCCATTTTTATTTTAGGTTTTGGTCTTTTGCTGATTGGCATCTCTGAGTTCCTTATAAAGAATTTAGCCATTTTCTTTTTCCTTTTTTCTTTTCTTTTTTTTCTTTTTTTTTTTTTTTTTTTGAGATGGAGTGTTACTCTGTCACCCAGGCTGGAATGCAGTGGTGCGATCTCAGGTCACTGCAATCTCTGCCTCCCAGGTTCAAGCGATTCTTCTGCCTCAGTCTCTCAAACAGCTGGGACTACAGGCATGTGCCACCACACCCAGATTTTTTTGTTTGTTTTGTTTTTTTGTTGTTTTTAGTAGAGATGGGGTTTCACCATATTGGCCAGGCTGGTCTCGAACTCCTGACCTCATGATCCACCTGCCTCGACCTCCCAAAGTGCTGGGATTACAGGCATGAGCCACCACGCCCAGCCAGAATTTAGCCATTTTCTATGATAAGAGTTGCAAGCACTCTACCCAGTTTATGACATTTGCAAATGGTGTTTTTGCCATGGAGAATATTAACTTACCAGTCTTCTCCAGCTTTTGTAATTTCTGAATTTTGAATAGTGAAAAACACATCACCATCCCGAGGTTGTAAAGGTTTTAACGTGGAAATTCTTGTAAGTTTTCATCTAGTACTCAGATTTTTTTTTAATATTTAATCCTTTCATTCATTTGGAGCTTTTTTTTCTTCTTTTTTCAACTTTTTCTCACACAGGGAAGGGAATTCCTCATGTCCTCTCTCTTTATCCAGCCACCCTCTCACCTCCCCTTTTATCCTAACCTGAACTCGGTCCTGGCCCTTCACTTAGACATTACAACAGCTGCCAGCAATGTAGACTTGAGGAAAAGGCAGCAACCCTCAGGCTCCTCCCAGGGCGATCGGAATCTCTGCATGAATCTGAGCTGTCTGGGATGAAGCGAGGTTTGGAGGAATTGAAGGAGGCAACTGAAAGGAACCCAATGGCAGCGACCCCAAAGACGTTGCTTCAGCCACTTAAAATTCTTGCCAGCGCTGCACCGAGTCGCTTGGAAAGGGAGAGAAACGAACTTAAAAAGCAATTCCAGGGCTCCAACATGTGTTCTTCGTTGGTAGGATTCAGGAGGAGGATTTGGAGGACCCTGTGGGAGTATTCTTTCACTACTCTCCCCTAATCCTCTCCAAATCGCCTGGGCTCTACAGCTGTTGGTTAGCCAGATAAACTATTTGTTCAATTACTCCTGGCCTGGATGGGGCGGCTGGCCTCAAAGGCTTCAGGCTTCATAATTCGGGCTACTTCAATCAGCCAAGGCCCTCCCAGGGCTGCCTCCAGGAGACGGGGCCTGTTTGAAGACAGCAGCGCCCTAGCAAGTCTTGCCTTTCCACTCGCTTTTCATCTCCACCCAGACTGGGCTGCGGCGGCCGACACCTCCCCACGGACCCCGTGTCGGGGAGCAGAGTTAGCTGCGGGAACGATGCCAAGGCAGAGAAGCAAGGCGATAAAATAATTGCAAATGAAAGGGAGATTAGCAGGCGCTGTCGGGACAAATGCTTCCAAAATGGTTCCTGAAATCTCGGGCGGTGCGGTCTCAAAGGAGACGTCTCTGCAGCTGGGGTCTCCATGGCAATGGGGCAACAGACACCCGGCTGGGGGCACTCTCTGCAAATGTCAGCGCCAACAAAACACCAGCCACCGCGAGGAGATGACAGACTGGGTCACCTTCGCTTCATGGAAATGGACTGGTCATTAACACAATTTTATTTTCCCCATTTGTCTGCTCTCCTTCCCCATTCCCTTGGCTTCAGTGGAGTCTTACTAATAAATGGTCGACAGCTGTTGAGAGATGGGTCCAGGCTACCAGTTGCTCTGAGAAATGCGCTGTTTGGGGTTGGATGTCCTAGGCTGCCGGGAAGCTCTGAGCAGCCTTGCCGTGTTCTCTCTTCAGCTGTGTTCTCATCCCGGCTCCTCTGCCCCAGCCACTTCCACTGGTTGCCTTTTCCCCAAAATTTTACTTCAGTTTCTCATGAGATCCTGAGACAACTCTAAGAAGTGGCTTGATGCCGGGCGCGGTGACTCACGCCTGTAATCCCAGAACTTTGGGAGGCCGGGATGGGTGGATCACCTGAGGTCAGGAGTTCAAGACCAGCCTGGCCAACATGGTGAAACCCCGTCTCTACTAATAATACAAAAACTATCCAGGCACATTGGCTCACGCCTGTAATCCCGCACTTTGGGAGGCCGGGGTGGGCGGATCACCTGAGGTCAGGAGTTCAAGACCAGCCTGGCCAACATGGTGAAACCCCGTCTCTACTAATAATACAAAAACTATCCAGGCACATTGGCTCACGCCTGTAATCCCGCACTTTGGGAGGCCGGGGTGGGCGGATCACCTGAGGTCAGGAGTTCGAGACCAGCCTGGCCAACATGGTGAAACCTCGTCTCTACTAATAATACAAAAACTAGCTGGGCGTGGTGGCACACGCCTGTAATCCCAGCTACTAAGGAGGCTGAGGCAGGAGAATCGCTTGAACCCAGGAGGCAGAGGTTGCAGTGAGCCGAGATCGTGCCATTGCACTCCAGCCTGGGCGACAGAGGGAGACTCCGTCTCAAAAAAAAAAAAAAGAAAGAAAGAAATGGCTTGAGATAACTGTACCCAATTTCTACCCCATAGTCTCCATCATGTCCCTAAGACCACAGCAAATCAACAAAATCTAAGTAATCGTGGTGGGTTGCTGTGCAAGAGTGCATTCAACCTCAGTCTCAAGCTTCGTCCTTCTAATGAAAGTGCCACTCTTGAGCAGCTGCCATGTAAGAATTCCAGAACCACTGCTAACTAGCGACTCTACCTAAGGATGATAAGATCAGCGACCCTGTCTTCACATTTCATACCAAGTGGGAGCATATTCTGTGGGGTGGTTTTCCCAGAGGCAGTGGCTTCCTAAATATGCAGCGCATGACCCACCTTGGAAGAATTAACTCATCATCCAGTTACTGACTTGGAGTCAAATAAGCCAGACTCAAATCTCAGCTCCTCCATTCAAAACAAAAAACCTACTATGTGCAAAATTAAACTGTTAAGTTCCCTGAGAGTAGAAACTACATCATTTTTTTAATCTCCAACACCTAGCAAAATGCTCAGCATGAGTGTCAAAAAAAAAATTCTGTAAAGCAGAGTACTCCAAGCTTTCTGAATCATGTTATCATTATCAGTAAGTTTTTAACATGGCACCTTCAGAATATGTATATTTATTTAAATGATATGAGCTATTCGGCCAGGCACGGTGGCTCACGCCTGTAATCCCAGCACTTTGGGAGGCCAAGGCAGGCAGATCACGTGGTCATGAGATCGAGACCATCCTGGCCAACGTGGTGAAACCCTGACTCTACTAAAAATACAAAAATTAGCTGGGCGTGCTGGTGCATGCCTGTAATCCCAGCTACTCGGGAGGCTGAGGCAGAAGAATCGCTTGAACCCAGGACGCAGAAGTTGCAGTGAGCCGAGATAGGACCACAGCACTCCAGCCTGGCAACAGAGACTCTGTCTCAAAATAATAATAAGACGAGGAAGGAGGGGGAGGAGAAGGAGAAGATGAAGGACTATTTTAATACAAGGAGAGCATTATAGAAATATAGAAAAATAGAAACTGAAAAGGGATAATATTAAAAATAAGTAGAAGTTCTAAAACTTCCTTCTTATGCTGCAACGGATCATCTTGTCCTTCCCGTTTTAGACCGCCATTGTAAAGGACACAGTTTCTAGACTCAAGAGGCTTGCAGTCTAGTTGAAAGACTTGAAGCAAAGAATAACCGTGGTACCGCTATAAAATAAATAGTTAACAGTTGAGAGGGGGGTGTGATCACCAAGGGTACAGATGGGCTTCACAGAGCCCATAACCCCCACCAAAATTGAATGCCAATGTGTATAGGTGTGTGCCTAGGTGCATTTTCCTCAGGAAAGGTCCAAAGCTTTCACAGGATTCTCAAATGGATCTAGATCACAGAAAAATTAGAGGAGAACTGGCTAAAAGGGAGAAAAGAACACGAAGAGCCAAAAGGCCTATGCACAAGCATTCTGTCCAAAGTCATCCTGCTCTTGCAGATAAAACGATCTAGACCTAATAGAACACCGCTCCGCCAGTCACCCAGGGAGATTAAGGTTTTCCAAACACTTAATCTCTAGGTTAATGATTTCTTTTTAACTTCTTTTAGCAGTGGCCAGTTTTCAAATGACATCCTACATGGAACCCATGTATATAAAAATAGATCAAAGTGAAGGTGTTCTGGGTGAAACAGGGTTGGTCCCAGGTCATCACCCGTCGTGGTCCCCAGCCTCAGCTTCCCTGCGTTGATGACTCCAAAGCTGAGTTCTTCTTTGAATGGGGCTGTAAATCCCTGCTCTGGGCCTTCTTGAGGCTATGATGTAATTAATGATTTGCCTTAATTTGTGTCCTCGTCATTCAGTTCATAAACCATTCAAAATCACTCCCCCTGCTTCAGCTTCCACCTTTTTTCCTTCCTTTGCCTCTTTTGACAAAGTCGCCAATAGCTCCAGCTAACTGTTCTCTACCACGTCTAGTCCAAGATCACCCTCGCCAGAATCCCCTGGCTTGTGTGTTAAAGACACAGATCCCTGGGCATCATCGCAGACCGATGGACTCAGAACCGCTGAGCACGGATCCCACCATCTGCAACTTCCACAGGCTCCTCAGATGATTCTCATGAGCCGTTAATGGTTAACTACACAAGGCTGTGCACAAAGCCCCACTCAGCCAGCCAACTTCCCACGTGTGGGGTCTTAACCTACTGAGTGTCATCAAAATGGCCTCCACTTTCTTGAGCCCACCCAAAAGCTAAAGCTAGAGCCAGGAGGGGATGAACATTCCGGGCCTGTGTGTCCATGGCTTCAAGGTGAACAATGACTGTGTGTCCTCGGAGGTGAAAATCCTTTCTCCTGTCTGGATGCTCAGAGGCAGGCATTTTTCTTTTAGGCTGGAGTTAAATATAGTGCTTAATGCTTTGCAGACTTCTGGAGGGAAACAGGAGCAGCTCAGAGCAGTGGAATGTACTGGGCTGGAAGTCAGTCATCTACAGCCACAGCGCAGGCAGACATCGAAGCCTGGGGGAAGCTCAACCCCAGAGTCGGACCACTTGCTTTAGGGGTATTTATTCAGAGGAATGGGACAGCCCTTGAACGTTTTGCATTTTTCCTACAGTTTCAAAGGCAGCAGTGGCCTAAGCCTGTGTATAACTTGCCAGGTAAACTGGCATCATGAGAATTTCCCTGAGCTGAGCGGTGACAATTGTTTTTGCCATCTTGATTTAGAAGCCAGAACAATTCAGAGAGTTGTAGATAGTGGGGGGGAAAGTCATAAAATCCGTTCTCCATATTCTGCCCCCTTTCGGGCCCAAATCAAGTTTGGCTTCTTTCATGAAGCCACTCACATCCCCCTGTCTCCTTCTTTTGAACTCCTATGACACTTATATATTAGTGGCATATATTTTAACAAAGTTGCTTTTTTTTTTTTTTTTAATCTTTGAGACAGAGTCTTGCTCTGTCACCCAGGCTGGAGTGCAGTGGTGTGATCTTGGCTGACTGCAACCTGTGCCTCCCTGGTTCAAGTGATTCTTGTGCCTCAGCCTCCTGAGTAGCTGGGGTTACAGGCGTGAGCCACCACACCTAAGTTTTGTATTTTTAGTAGAGACAGGGTTTCACCATGTTGGCCAGGCTGGTCTCGAACTCCTGGCCTCAAGTGATCTACCCACCCCTGCCTCCCAAAGTGCTAGGATTAGAGGTGGGAGCCACTGCACCCGGCCTCTATTTTTATTTTAGGTTCAAGAGGTACATGTGTGGGTTTGTTCCATGAGTATCTTCATGATACTGAGGTTTGGGTTTCTAACGATCCTTTCACCCAAGTAGTGAACACAGTACCCAATAGGAAGTTTTTCAATTCTTTCCCCACTCCCTCCCCTGTTTTTTATTTTTATTACTTTGCTTTTGTCTCCATGTCCCCATATCATAAGCCTCTTGAGAATGGAAACCACGTCTAAGCTTCCTTGTATCCCCCTCAGTGCCTGTCATGGTGCTGGGTACAGGGGCACCAATGAGTACCTGTTGAGATGAACAGGGACCACCTTGAAGGGAGAGGGCTGGGGAAAGGAGAAGGCAGGCACAGTAAGAGCTCATGTCCTCTGCATACTGGTTACATGCTGGTGCTGTCATCGGCATTTAACATGTGCTAATCTGCTTAATTTTCACAGCTGCCTTATGAGGTGAACCCACCTTACAGAACAGGTGATTTAGGCACAGAGATGTTACCTGAATGGCCCAAAGTCACACAGCTACTAAGAGGCAAAGCCAGGATCTGAACCCAGAGAGTCCAGCTCCAGAGTCCATGATCTTCCATGTCTCCCACTACTGCAGAAGGACAGCTATCCCCTGGTGGCATGTGGGCAGTAATCAGGCCAGAGAAACGGAGGAAGTATATACTTTCCAGAAAAAAATAAACCAGACCTAGAATCCTTATCCCAACTCAACTTGCAATGACCGCTAAAAAAGGGTCTCTTCAGCATAAGGACAAGGTGTCTGTCCCCAGGGCCTCAGCTCTGCTTCTAGCTATCAACATGTCCAGAGGACACTGACTGTGGCCTCTGCTCTCTCCCACCTCCCAGAGCTCCTTCCTGCCTCTTCATAGATGAGGGGAGAGATGATGGGAGACAGAGGGTGGCATTTGCCAATGGAGACTAGCCCCAGGTCAGAGAGCCTGGGCTGGCACTTAGGAGTTCCCTGCTGGGAGCGACCCCCAGCCCAGCTGCATGCACCAAACTCCACCCAGCAAGAGAATTCTCACTGCCCTAGAAAAGCAGCTCCCCAAATTTAAACAATCCTGACCCCACCTTCTGCCTCCTGCACATACTTTCTTTGAAATCTTCCAATGCTGAGTAAAGGAAAGATTATTTGATGTCTCTGAGTCTCATCTCTACAAAACCAACCCTGGATGGCCACGTCCAAAGCTACCAGAGGTAACCCCAGTTCTGCTCCAGGGGAGGGGATAAGACAGCATCGACTGCCTTGCAAGGAAGGATCTTGCAACACGCAGCCCGAGAAGAACCTTTCAAGGAGGACAGGGGAAGACTTTATTTTAAAAGTAGTGACTGTTTCAAGGATCTACCTTATGAAGTAAAAGTGAACTTCTTGCTCCAGTAAGTAATTTAAAAGACAAATACGTTCACAGACATACATAGCAACAATGAAGAAACCATAAACCATCACACCAGTTGTCCAAGGCATAAACTGTCAGTGTGGTTCCAAGAGACATTGGCTTGGTTTGGTTTTGATGGAAATCTCTGTATTATCTATTTTTTCCCTAAATGCAAAGTGAAGAGTGTTTTTATCCTTCCTTTATTCACTCAGTGAACACCTACTAAGTGCGACCTCCAGTCCTCAGGCTGCATGCTGGAGATTCAAAGGTGAATATGAACTCAATGAGATGACAGCCCAGAAGACAGAGATGGATAAGTAAATAGTCTCAAGTGCAGTGAAAATTTTGGATTTCTGGGATAGGCGCTATTGATTCTATAAAGGGGACAAACCATGAAGGAAGAGTTAGACGAACCCAAAGGCCATCACGGAGGAGGCAGTGCTTCTGCAACATTGCGAGGAACTGCAAGTAGTATAAAAAAGCAACAGCAGGCGTCGGGGAAAATAGTGAGAATGAACACTGGACATGGATGTGGTGGCACACCTGTGGTCCCAGCCACTCAGGAGGCTGAGGTGGGAGGATTGCTTGAGCGCAGGAGGTTAAGGCTACAGTGCGCAGTGATTGTGCCACTGCACTCCAGCCTGGGCGACAGAGAGAGACTCTGACTCTAAAAAAAAATGAAAATAAAATAAAATATTAAAGACGTAGACAGGAGTCAGATCATGGAGTAAAAGAATTATTCCATTAATGCAGCTCTTGTAAGCACTTCCATCTGACGTAGCCGAGGACTTGATTCAAAATCCTTTCTTTGACCTGCATTGCCTAGAATTCTCCGAGAGAAAACAAGCTTTGCAGACTCTCAAAGGGAATGTCTGGCCATGGTGGAACGCGGGCCCTTGGAGGACTGGCCGGGGCTATGACTCTGGAAGCAGCAAGGGAGGCAAGTGCGCAAGCCTCACCGAGAAGGGAAGACCAGGCTGCTCTCAGCTCTCGGCCGGGCTCCTCACACACCGGAGTGGGCCTAAAGTTCGAGGAGCTTCTTTCTCCTTTTCTCCCCGCAGTGCTTAACGTCTCGGGCCACGGGCTGCCAGCACTCACCTTCTGCCGAGGCCGCCCTGCGGCCTCCCTGTTCTGAGGCCCCTGCCCCTCCCTGATGAAACTTCCTCGGTGCTAACTTGGCAAGAACAGGCAAACGCTGCTGTGCTTCCCTTTGCCCATGAAAAGAATGAGGTTTAGGGGAGGCTCTGCACAGTCCTGTGCTGCCCGGGAGAGCTGAGCAGAAGCTGTTGAAGCCGGCCTCCTGGACTGAGCTTGGTCCAGCAGCCTATCCACGTGAGAGCCCTGGCTGTCTGGAGGCACAGGGAGCGGCTGGGCCTGCAGCGTCCCACCTGGAGGGAAAGGACGCACCGCGACGGAGGCGTGGGCCCTGCGCCGGTGCTGGGCAGGCGGCGGCCGCGCGCCCGGGAGCCACGCTTCTCCGGCGGAACGCGGCGCCCCCTGGCGGCAGAACGCTTGTGGCCGCCGTTACGCTCGTGTGGAAACAGCGCCATCTGCCGAACGTTCTGTCACATTGCTGATTGGCCCACACAGATTTTGTAAGGATTTTTCCTTCTGCTTGCTTAAATCAGGCCGTCCTGAGCCTATTCAAAGTGTACTTTTGAAATGAAAAAAGAAACTGACTGTACAAGATGTTTTGCTCGCTGGAAAAACGAGGATGAAAGGAAAATGGGTAGCGATTATCTGAATAACATGTGCTTCCTGTCTGTAGTGAGGTGTGAACATGGTGGGGCCGCACGTTGCAGAGGAAAACGCATGCATTTTGGAGTCAGGCAACTGCAATCAAATTCTCACTAGCTCCGTGAGCTAGGAAAGTTACTTAGCATTTCTGAGCCTCATTTGTCCTTATCTGTAAAGTAGAAGTACATTTACCTTGCAGCATTGTAGCAAAAGTTAAATAAAATAATGTGCATAAAATGAAAATTAAATGTGTATGAAGTAAATCAGATAATATGTATAACAGGTAGGCTTTAAAGTATAACATAAAAATATCACATAGACATTTTTCTAATTGTTAGAATCGTGAAATATTCCTGAAATGGATTTATCAAATGAGAAGATGGAATCTCTCTGAGGTATTTTTAAATTTTCTCTACAATGGTTGATTCTGACCTTTCTGTAAAAGACGATCTATTTCTGGGCACAGATCCTAGAAGCAGAATTCTGCCAAAGTGAGACTCCACTAACATTTATTGAATGTCTGCCACATGCTAGACACTTTCAAAGATGCTCTTTCATTATCGCCAGTAAAATCTGAAGCTTCAGGATCTATTTCCTCTTCCCAGCAGAAAGTTTTGCCAGGAATATTAGAACCTCTTTTTTACAGCCTCTCAAGTACTTTCAAGATTACTCAGAAAATCCCAAAACTTTGAACAACCCAAATGCCAATTAACAGGAGAATCAATGATAGTACATCCATACAATGAAACATTACTGGGCAATGAAAAAGACAAACAACCAGATAAACACCGCAGGAGGGACTCTCAAATCTGAGGCAAAAATAGAAAGTCAGGCCAAAAATATACTGTATTTGCATGAAGTTCTAGAATATGAAAACCTAAATGATGGAGATAGAAATCAGAATCGTTGTCCACACAGGATAGGGGTGGGGATTGACTGCGGAGGGGCACTAGGCAACTTATGGGGTGATGGGCATGTCCTGAATGTTGATCTAGGTGCTGGTTGCACAGTTATGTACAGGCAGTGGTGTGCTGAAGCCTGCTGGCACCATCAAGAGAGTGGACTGTTAATTTTTCAGGATGTTTGCAAGCCAGTCAGCATCACATTGATAGCTTGGAATCCACCGTGGTGGAAATATTTATACTCCAGAAATTGGCAAACACTACAAAGCAGGGCTTTTTTATCCCACCAGAGAGCCAGTTGTAAAACATGTATGAACACACAACTGTATATATTTGCCAAAGCTCATTGAATTATATATTTCAGATCTATGCATTATACTGTATGCAAATTATATTTCAAACATGGGGGGTGAGTACAAGCTCTCCGCTATCAGAGTGTGCAGAGCACAGCTGGAGGCCCATGCTGAGCAGCTGGGGAGAAAGGTTGGAATCAGTCATTTCTGGAATGGAAAAGCAAAATTTAAGAAGTCTTTTCAGTCATAATGGGTCTAAAGCAAGAAAGCAGATCAAAATACATAAGCCTCAGAATAGAGGTGCAAGACTGGGTCAGCATTTTGATAATGGCTGCACAGATTGCAAATCATCAGCCTCACCTTAGCAAGGAGGAACTGGAGGCCCATATCAGAATCCAATGTTCATCATCTATAATTTTATTAATTTTATTCTTTAAATCATCACACAGGCCAGGCACAGTGGCTCACACACTTTGGAGGCTGAGACAGGTGGATCGCTTGAGCCCACGAGTTTGAGACCAGCTTAGGCAACATGGCGAAACCCCATCTCTACAAAATACAAAAAATTAGCCAGGCACGGTGGCACATGCCTGTAGTCCCAGTTATTCAGCAGGCTGAGGGTGGGAGAATCACCTGAGCCCAGGAGTTTGAAGCTATAGGGAGCCATGATTGTGCCACCGCACTCCAGCTTGGATAACAGAATGAGATCCTATCTAAAAAAATATATATATATATATATATATACACACACACACACACACACATTTTTTTTTAGTGTACAGTTCTATAATTTTTACATATGTATAGATTCACATAAGCACTGCCACAATCAGGATTCAAAATAGTGCCATCACACCCCTAAAAACTCCCTCATGTTTTCCCTTTATAATCACAGCCTCTCCCATTCGTAACTCCTGGCAACCACAGATCTATCCTCCATCAGTATTTTATCTTCTCAAAAATGAGAAATACAGCACGTAAACTTCTGAGACTACTTCCTTCCCCATCCCCCAGCATCATGCCTTGGAAAGTGCTCAGCTGCTGCATGTGTAAACAGTTCATTCCTTTCTACTGCTGAGTAGTATTTCATTGTATGGATATACCACAACTTCTTCATGCATTAACCTGTTCAGTCACCTGTTGAAGGACATTTGCTTGGAGCAATTATGAATAGAACATCAGATAATCACAGAATTATCAACAGAACATTTATATAAAGGTTTTTATGTAAGCATAAGTTTTCACTTCTCTAGGAAGTGGGGTTTCTGGGTTATAAGACAAACACGTTAGCTTTATAAGAAATTGCCAAACTTTTCCAGACTGGCTATACCATTTTTTATTCCCACCCACAATGTATAAAATTTGAAATAGAGCTTTGGGAGGCCGAGGCGGGCGGATCACGAGATCAGGAGATTGAGACCATCCTGGCTAACACAATGAAACCCTGTCTCTACTAAAAATACAAAAAATTAGCCAGGCACGGTGGTGGGCACCTGTAGTCCCAACTACTCAGGAGGCTGAGGCAGGAGAATGGCATGAACCTGGGAGGCGGAGCTTGCAGTGAGCCGAGATCACGCCACTGCACTCCAGCCTGGGGGACAGAGCGAGACTCAGTCTCAAAAAGAAAAAAAAAAAAGAATTGCAATAGAGAGAAGAATCAAACAGATGCAATAAAAAATGATATAGGGGATATCACCACTGATCCCACAGAAATACAAACTACCAACAGAGACTACTATAAAAACACTTCTATGCAAATAAACTCAGAAATCTAGAAGAAATGGATAAATTCCTGGACACATACACCCTCCCAAGTCTAAACCAGGAAGAAGCTGAATCCCTGAATAAACCAATAACAAGTTCTGAAATTGAGGCAGTAATAGCTTACCAACCAAAAAAAGTCCAGGACCACACGGATTCACAGCTGAATTCTACCAGAGGTACAAAGAGGAGCTGGTACCATTCTTTCTGAAACTTTTCCAAACAATAGAAAAAGAGAGAATCCTCCCTAACTCATTTTATGAGGCCAGCATCATCCCAATGCCAAAACCTGGCAGAGACACAACAAAAAAAGAAAATTTCAGGCCAATATCCCTGAGGAACATCCATGAGAAAATCCTCAATAAAATACTGGCAAACTGAAACCAGCAGCATCAAAAACCTTATCACCACGATCAAGTCGGCTTCATCCCTGGGATGCAAGGCTGGTTCAACATATGAAAATCAATAAACGTAATCCAGCATATAAACAGAACCAATGACAAAACCACATGATTATCTCAATAGATGCAGAAAAGGCCTTTGACAAAATTCAACACCCCTTCAATGCTAAAAACTCTCAACAAGCTAGGTATCGATGGAACGTATCTCAAAATAATAAGAGCTATTTATGACAAACCCATAGCCAATATTGGCAAAAACTGGAAGCATTCCCTTTGAAAACCAGCACAAGACATGGATGCCCTCTCTCACCACTCCTATTCAACATAGTGTTGGAAGTTCTGGCCAGGGCAATCATGCAAGAGAAAGAAATAAAGGGTATTCAAATACGAACAGAGGAAATCAAATCGTCTGTATTTGCAGATGACATGATTTTATATTTAGAAAACCCCTTCATCTCAGCCCAAAATCTCCTTAATCTGATAAGCAACTTCAGCAAAGTATCAGGATACAAAATCAATGTGCAAAAATCACAAGCATTCCTATACACCAATAACACAAACAGAGCACCAAATCATGAGTGAACTCCCAATTCACAATTACTACAAATAAAATAAAATACCTGGAATACGACTTACAAGGGATGTGAACGACCTTTTCAAGGAGAATTACAAACCACTGCTCAAGGAAATAAGAGAGGACACAAGCAAATGGAAAAATATTCCATGCTCATGGATAGGAAGAAACAATATTGTGAAAGTGGCCATACTGCCCAAAGTAATTTATAGATTCAATCTATCCCCATCAAGCTACCACTGACTTTCTTCACAGAATTGGAAAAAACTACTTTAAACTTCATATGGAAACAAAAGACAGCCTGCATAGCCAAGACAATCCTGGGCAAGAAGAACAAAGCTTGAGGCATCACGCTACTGGACTTCAGACTATACTACAAGGCTACAGTAACCAAAACAACATGGTACTGGTACCAAAACAGATACATGGACCAATGGAACAGAACTGAGGCCTCGGAAATAACACCACACATCTACAACCATCTGATCTTTGGCAAACCTGACACAAACAAGCAATGAGGAAAAGATTCCCTATTTAATAAATGGTGTTGGGAAAACTGGGTAGCCATATGCAGAAAACTGAAACTGGACCCCTTCCTTATACAAAAAACAACTCAAGATGGATCAAAGACTTAAACATAAGACCTACGACCATAAAAATCCTAGAAGTAAACCTGGGCAATACCATTCAGGACATAGGCATGGGCAAAGACTTCATGACTAAAACACCAAAAGCAATGGCAACAAAAGCCAAAATTGACAAATCAGATCTAATTAAACTAAAGAGCTTCTGCACAGCAAAAGAAACTATCATCAGAGTGAACAGGCAACCTATAGAACGGGAGAAAATTTTTGTAATCTGTCCATCTGACAAAGGAGTAATATCCAGAATCTACAAAGAACTTAAACAAATTTACAAGAAATAAACAACCTCATCAAAAAGTGGGCAAAGAATATGAACAGGCACTTCTCAAAAGAAGACATTTATGTAGCCCACAGACATGAAAAAATGCTCATCGTCACTGGTCATTAGAGAGATGCAAATCAAAACCACAATGAGATACCATCTCACGCCAGTTAGAAGGGCAATCATTAAAAAGTCAGGAAACAACAAATACTAGAGAGGATGTGGAGAAATAGGAATGCTTTTACACTGTTGGTGGGAGTGTAAATTAGTTCAACCATTGTGGAAGACAGTGTGGCGATTCCTCAAGGATCTAGAACTAGAATTACCATTTGACCCCACAATCCCATTTCTGGGTATATACCCAAAGGATTAAACATCATTCTACTATAAAGACACATGTACACGTATGTTTACTGTGGCACTATTCACAAGAGCAAAGACTTGGAACCAACTCAAATGTCCATCAATAATAGACGGGATAAAGAAAATGTAGCACATATACCCCCATGGAATACTACGCAGCCATAAAAAAGGATGAGTTCACGTCCTTTGCAGGGACATGGATGAAGATGGAAATCGTCATTCTTAGCAAACTATCACAAGGACAGAAAACCAAACACCGCATGTTCTCACTCATAAGTGGGAGTTGAACAATGAGAACACATGGACATAGGAAGGGGTACATCACACATCAGGGCCTGTCAGGGGGTGGGGGGCTAGGAGAGGGATAACATTAGGATAAATACCTAATGTAGGTGACGGGTTGATTGGCGCAGTAAACCACCATGACACATGTATCCCTATGTAACAAAACTGCACGTTCTGCACTTGTACCCCAGAACTTAAAGTATAATAATAATAATAAAAAAGAATTGCAATTGCTCTCAACAGCTCTTGGTATTACCAAAGGTTTTCCTTTTTTCAGCAATTCTAATAGGTGTGTTTGGTTTTAGTTTACAAGTCTCTAATGCTTAATGATATTGAACATCTTTTTGTGTTTTATTTGCCATTTATATATTCTGCAAAGTCTTGTGACAGATGCAACTTGCAAATTTTTTCTCCCCAGCTATAGTGTTTTCATTCTCTTAATAGCATCTTAAGTCTTTTAATTTCGATAAAGACCAATTTATCAACTTTTTCTTTTAAGGATCATGCTTATGGTACCATGTCTAAGAACTCTCTTCCTTAATCCCAGGAAGAGATTTTCTACTATGTTCTTTTCTAAACTTTTTAGAGCTTCACTTTTACATTTACATCTCTTATCAATATTGAGTTCATCTGTATACAAGCTGTAAGGTTTCAGTCTTCTGTCTGTTTTGTTTGTTTATATGAATGTTCAGTTGTTCTAACATCATTTGTTGAAAATATGATCCTTTATTGAATTACCTTTGCACCCTTGTCAAAAATCACATGGCCATATTTAAGCAGTTATCTTTCTGGACTCAATTCTGTTTCATTGATCTCTATGTTCCCATGCAATACCATACTGTCCTGATTACTGTAACTTTGTAATATGTCTTAAAACTGGGTAGCATGTTTCCTACACCATTATTCTTATTTTTCAAAGTTGTTTTAGCTATTCTAGTCCTTGGCCTTTCCATGTAAACATTAGAATCAGCTTGTCTGTAACAACAAAATGTCCTCGTGATACTTTGACTGGAATTGTTTTAAACCTCTACATCAGTTTTGGCAGAATTGGCAACTTTTTAAAGTTAAGTATTCCAATCTTCAAATATGGTGTTTCTTTTTATTTGTTTGTATCTTCTTTGAGTATTTTCACTGGTATTCTGTAGCTTTCAGTAAGATGTTCATCTATTTCATTTTTTGGTATTCTATGTGGTACTGGTTTTCAATTTTCCTATCCAATTACACATTTCTGGTTGTGATGGTTGAATTTTTTTTTTTTTTTTGAGACAGAGTCTCGCTCTGTCGCCCAGGCTGCAGTGCAGTGGCGCGATCTCACTCACTGCAAGCTCTGCCTCATGGGTTCACACCATTCTCCTACCTCAGCCTCCTGAGTAGCTGGGACTACAGGTGCCCGCCACCACTCCTGGCTAGTTTTTTGTATTTTTAGTAGAGATGGGGTTTCACCATGTTAGCCAGGATGGTCTCAATCTCCTGACCTTGTGACCCACCCGCCTCGGCCTCCCAAAGTGCTGGGATTACAGGCGTGAGCCACCGCACCCGGCCTTGATGGTTAATTTTATGTGTCAACTTGGCCAAGCCATGGTAGACAGTTTGGGCTCAAACACCAGTCTAGATGATGCTGTGAAGAAATGTTTTAGATGTGATTAACACTTAAATCAACTTTGAGTAAAGGAGATGACCCTCCATAATGTAAGTGGGCCTCATCCAATCAGTTGTAGGCCTTGAGAAAAGAGACTGAGGTTCCTTGGGAAAGAGAGAATTCTACCAGCAGACAGCCTCCAGATGCGAGCTGCAACATCAGCTCTTCCCTGGGTCTCCAGCCTGACAGCCTGCTCTGTAGAATTCAAATTTGCCAGCCCCTACAATCACACAAGCAAATTCCTTAAAATTAACCAATCTCTCTGTCTCGCTCTCCCTCTTTTAAACACACACACACACACACACACGGTTGTGTATCTCTCACATATATACATATGTATATGTGTGTGTGTATCCTATTGGTTCTGTTTCCCTAGAGAACCCTAATATGCTGATGTATAGAAATACAATTGATTTGTGTGTGTGTGTTAACTGTATATCCTGCAAACTTGTTAAACTCACTTATTAGTTCTAAGAGGTCTTTGCAAACTCATTGGGTCTTTGACATAAACAATCGTGTACACTATGAACAATAACTGTCCTCTCCAGGGTGGGGTGGGCACCAGGTTAAGAGTTGGGCATCTCCTTGAGATGTCCTTATTTGCTTAGGTCCTGCATGAAAGCACACAGTGCCCTGGCTCTTTTGAAAAGCAGGAAAATCCTGAAAGCAAGCAACACAGAGCTTTCTCCATTGTGAGGTGGTGAGGAGGGGATTAGGGCACTAGATGAGAAAGGACAGGCCTAGACAATGAAGCAAGGGGCCAGTGGGCAGACGGGTAAAACCACCTGCTCCTCAAAATGGCCAGGCTCTGAGATGAAGCAGGAGTCTGCACTTAAACCGAGGCTGGATCCATCCCAGGGATTCAAGTGAGTCGGCATATTGACAGGAATCCCAGTGGAAGTCTTTTTGTGGAGTGAAGGACGGGGGTGAGTTGCAAAATTTTCTGGACCAGAACTTATTGTAGGAAAAGAAGAATTGAAGCTGGGCATGGGCTCCTGCTTATGGTCCCAGCTACTCAGGAGGCTGAAGCAGGGGGATTGCTTGAGCCCAGGAGGCTGCGGTGTGCTATGATCACACCTGTGAATAGCTGCTATGCTCCAGCCTGGGCGAGAGAGCAAGACCCCATGTCTAAGAAAAGAAAGGAAAGAATTCAGGCACTGTGAGGTGACCTAGGAACAAAGCTTCAAAACATTCTGAGTACAACAGAAAAAAAGAAGTTTTACTTAAAGTCCATAAAATCCTGGGACATTAGCATCCTTTTTTGGAAACCCCTCTCTTAAACTGTAACTCCAGGGAGACAGAAGCTCCCGTAGACCAACAGAGCACATGGTCCCAGTGCCCAGCAGAGCGACGTGGAGCTGCAGAGTCCTGTGGGGGCTAATTTGTACACAAGCACATGAAACACCCCCACAGGAGCCTAGACTTTTCCTCTGTCTTGCTGCAGACTTTGAAAGAGCTAGAGACCCTGTCAAATCATGCGGGTGCAAAATCCCATGCAATTGAGGGGTTTTCACTCATGGTATGCTGTTTCTGCAGGCCTGTGATGTCAAGAGAAAACAGAAAAAGAGAAGCGAATTCCACCTTTGCCCACTGAGAACAAATCTACCCAACTCCTCTGTCACAACCCCTGTGAGAAGATTCTGCCATCTCCCAGCCCTGAAGACTGTGAGGTCATCTGACCACCTATTACATTGCTAAATATGGCAAGATGTCACCTGACTCGACATTAGGCTGCCCGTCAATCATCACACTCCTTTTCTCCCACTTACTTTTCTATCACCCCGTAGAAGGTTCCCAACAGCTGTCCTTAAGTCCTCCAGGCTATAGAAACCGCTCTTGAAACAATATGTCAGCATACCATTAGTGTCCTTCAACTCACACCCTCACTTCCCAGCCCCTCCTCTGTGAACAAAGTCTCTCCTTACCTCTTCCGCCAGCACTAATCAACCTAATGTTCCTTCACTGTTTTCCCCCCTCCCAGCTTCCCTCCAACCTGCACCCCACACCCCCCCATCCTTTCTCCTCTTTCTTTCCAAGTCTCCACACTATGACCGAACACTTGTCAGAAATGGTGCTCCCCCTGGGCCCCTCCACACCTCCTGAAGCCCAATCCCCATCACTTCTTACCACCCCCAGCTCTCTGATGGCCCTGGGCCTCCCTCCCGACAGCTGAGGCCTTTCCTGGATCTCTACACATCACCAAGCTAAGCCAGTGTTCCAAAATAGTCTCCTGAACAATGATGACAACTGCACGGTTATTTTGGAAGGTGAGTGTGGCCAGAGTCCCAGAACAATGCAGGAAAGACAATGGGATGGTGGAAAGCAGGTAGCCTGGCCAGCTATTTGTGCAGATGAATTCAGGAGCCTGGTATTTCTCTGAAGGATGACCAGAGAATGGATGAGCTCTCAGGATCACACTGAGACCAGGTCCCTAATGCTCCTAATCCCTTAGGACACAAAGACCTGAAAGACATAGAAACTGCTTCTCTGAAAATTGGCTTGATTATTCTCCCAAAGTTGACCAGGATCCAGAGCTTAGATTGCAGGAGGTCAGGGCGTATGCTGAGGCCCAGCTGTCTTCAAGCTGCAGTTTCCAAGATAGCCCTGAATAGAGTCCAATCAATATATGGCAATATATTTCTCCTTTGTTTCCTGTAAGTTTTACAAAAACACACATACAGAAATGTACGTAAGTCATAAGTTTACAGCTCAATGGATTTTCACGAAGTGAACACACCCTCAAAACCAGCACCCAGATACAGAGAACACAACAAAAGCAGCAGAGAGCCTACTCACCCCTACTTCCAGCCAATACTCCATCCCCTACCCCAGGATAAATGCAATCCCAGCTTCTAATATTGTGCACTGGTTTTGTCTGTTCTTTGAACTTTCTGTAGCAGAGTTATAGAATATGTACACTTCTGTGATTGGCTCATTTCAGCCAACATAATGTCTGTGAGATTCATCCTTCTTGGATATAGTTCAAGTTAATTCATTATCATTATTGTATTGTATTGTATTCAATAAATATTACTACAATTCATTCATCCATTCTACTCTCCAGCATTTGGGTAGTTTCCAGTTTGAGGGCATAAGTAGTAGAAGTATTGTGAATATTCTAGGACATGTTTTCATTAAACATACATGCAGCTCTGTTGGGTACAGTCTAGGCCTTGGAGTGGAATTACAGTTCTCAGAAACAAAAGAAAATAAATAAATTCAAGTTTGATATAGACTTGACTGCTGCAAGACACAGATTCCCTGACTGCAGTGAACCCGAGGTGGCCGTGAGCAGTGGAAGGAGTGTGCTTGTTAAAAGGGCAGATGTGATGCTGGGAGACATGTACAAATCTCAAGAGATTATTCAGGGAAGCACCAGATTTATTTTAAATGATGGGAAGAGGTGTCAAATGAAGGTTATAAAAACATTCCAGTAAATAAGGCCAATGGTGGGTTGATAATATCTTCAGAGAACATGTTTAGGATCACACGGTTCTTCTTCACTCTTCTCTGCAGAACTTCCTGGCAGCGATGGCAGTGGAACATTAGACACGGAGAGGAACAGGAGGTGGGAAGAGGAGGCTAAGTGCATGTGGGCCTGAAAGTCCCTGCTTTGGGAGTTTTTTAACAGTCCTGGATGGAGGTAAGGAGGCAGGCGTGATTCTAAGATCTCAAGGAAAGGAGAGTCTGTGTCACTCTTCTCTTCCCTTGGCCCTTAGACTGTTTACGAATGAAATAATTTCATCAATTATTTCATTATTTCAATATAGCAGATCCCCTCACTGAGACTTCCAAAGATTTTTATCAACAATTTTATGTCACTCCCACTAACTCTTTGAAAGTAAATGACAGAATTTATTTTCCCGTTTAAAAAACAGAAACACAAAGACCCAGCGGAGTCTGCATTTTCTAGGTTTAGTCAGCCATTCTGGAAGCTGTGTCCTGGTAACCACAGTGTCCCAGCTATGAACTCCAGGCAAGTGTACAGCATCATCTTCCATTCACCATGTGGTTACTGCACTTCTCATACAAACTACCTGCGTCACTCAGTTATCCACTATCAAGGACTATGCCACACTCCCTAGAGCAGATGCAGGGCACTTAGAGATTAATAAAACAGGCTGGGCACAGTGGCTCAAGCCTGTAACCCCAGCACTTTGGGAGGCTGAGATAGAAGAACTACTTGAGCCCAGGAGTTCAAGACCAGCCTTGGCAACCTAGTGAGACCCCCATCTCTACTAAAAAATAAAAAACTAGCCTGGCATGGTGGCACCTTCCTGTGGTCCCAGCTACTTGGGAGGCTGAGATGGGAGGATCCCTTGAGCTCAGGAGGTTGAGGCTGCAGTGAGTTGTGATTGCACCACTGCACAGCAGCCTGGGCAACAGAGCAAGACCCTGTCTCAAAAAAATTAATTAAATAAATAAAAATAAAAATAAAACACTTTTAGAGTTCAAGTCTTAATCGCCATATGGCTTTGAGCAACTTATTTTATCTCACTATGCCTCCATTTCCTAGACCTGGAAACGAAAATAAGAGAGAATGAAATTTAAACAGCTTCTCAGAAGAGTATGTAAGTTAAGCCACATAAAGCATATAAATATCAGTCACTTAGTAGCCACTCGGCACATGGTAATTACAAAGCATGGTGCCATAAGAAGTTGCTGGGGAGGCAGACATGTAAATGAATGCAGAAAATATATGAGGAATACTAAAATAGAAATTAAAGTGTCCTGTGGCTTTTTCGTCCACATAGACGAGTGTCAAAGCTAGTATCTCTCTGGGAGGATCATGGCAGACAGGAGGCAGGCCTAGATTGCAGCTCCCACTCAGACGGACAGAGCAGCATGTGGAGTATTGCATCATGAACTTTTGCTCCAGAATGACTGCAGGAAGAAATCAGGAAAGCCAAGAGAACCCACAGACCCTCTGAAGGAAGTGAATTGCTCCTGCATGACCTGGGAGACACCCCAAATACCGTGAGTGCCCAAACTATGGAAGTGGGAAAGGGGCATCATTCAGTCCCAAACACACAACCTCACTGGGGAACCTCAAGATCTAGATCACCAGAGAAGATTCTAACATTACCTGGAGCTGAGTCAATTTAGAGAGCCGAGTGAAACGCAGGGGTAGAAGAAGCAGTGGGAAAATCCCTGTGGGCTCTCTGGGTGCCCTAGCAAGCCATTTCTGCCTTGCCTCCCAGGGGTCATTGGGGAGGGCTACCAGAGGCACTGGGAAAAGGCCACAGGGAGAAGGAAGCCTCCAGCTGAACTTCGTAACAATTCCAACTGAACAAGAAGTCTCCTGGCCAGAACTACAGGGAGGGCGTGAATCCTGTGTGCAGACCACAGGTGGGGAAGCACGAAGGGTTCACAGCTTTCACAGCTGGGAGGCTGGTAGCCTGGGGCAAGCTCTCAGCCCTGCTTGTCCACTGCCTGGACACAGACTTAGTGCTGTTGAGCAGGGAATGGTGAGAGTGAGACTGGCCCTTTGGGTTGTGTGGGAGCTGGGTGAGGCCTGTGATTGCCAGCTTTCCCTCACTTCCCTGACAACCTGCATGACACAGCAGAGGCAGCATAATCCTCCTAGGAACACAACCCCATTGACCTGCGAACCACACCTCCATCCCCCACAAGCAAGACCCACTCAAGGAGAGTCTGAACTCAGACATGCCTAGCACTGCCCCCACTTAATGGGCCTTCCCTACCCACCCTGGTAGCTGAAGACAAACAGCATATACTCTTGGGAGTTCTAGGGCCCTACCCACCGCCTGATCCCTCCCATACTACCACAGCTGATGCTCTCTGGAAAGTGCCACCTCCCAGCAGGAAGCCAACCGGCTCAAAAATAGTGCATTAAACCACCAAAACTAAGGACCCTCACAGAGTCCATTTCACCCCCCACCACCTCCACCACAGCAGGCATTGGTATCCACAGCTGAGAGACCCACAGATGGTTCACATCACAAGACTCTGTACAGACAACTCCCAGTGCCAGCCCAGAGCCTGGTAGACCTGTTGGGTGACTAAATTCAGAAGAGAGATAATAATCACGACAGCTCAGATCTCAGGAAGCCACATCCCTAGGAAAAGGCGGAGGGTACTACATCAAGGGAACACCCTGTGGGACAAAAGAATCTGAACAACAGCCTCGAGCCCTAGACCTTCCCTCCGACAGAGCCTACCCAAATGCGAAGGAACTAGGAAACCAACTCTGGTAATATGAGAAAACAAGGCTCTTTAATACCCTCCAAAAAAATCACACTAGCTCACCAGCAATGGATCCAACCAAAAAAAATCCCTGATTTACCTGAAAAAGAATTCATAAGGTCAGTTATTAAGCTAATCAAAGAGGTGCCAGAAAAAGGCAAAGCCCAATTTAAGGAAATAAAAAAAAAATACAAAAAGTAAGGGGAGAAATTTTCAATGAAATAGGTAGCATATAATAAAAAGCAATCAAAACTTCAGGAACCAACGGATGCAGTTATAGAAATTCAAAATGCTCTGGAAAGTCTCAGCAATAGAAGCGAATAAGCAGGAGAAAGAACCTCAGAGCTCAAAGACAAGGTTTTCAAAATAATCCAACAAAGACAAAGAAAAAAGAATAAGAAAATATGAACAAAGCCTCCAAGAAGTCTGGGATTATGTTAAATGAGCAAACCAAAGAATAATCGGCATTCCTAAGAAGAAGAGAAATCTAAGAGTTTGGAAAACATATTAGGGTATCCACTACTGGGTATCTACCCAGAGAAAAAGAAGTCATCACACGAAAAGGATGCTTGCACACATATGTTTATAGCAGCACAATTCTCAGTTGTAAAAATGTGGAACCAACCCATATGCCCATCAATCAGTGAGTGGATAAAGAAACTGCAGTATACATATACAATGGAATACTACTCAGCCATAAACAGGAATGAATTAATGGCATTCACAGCAACCTGGATGAGATTGGAGACTATTATTCTTAGTGAAGTAACTCAGGAATGGAAAACCAAACATTGTATGTTCTCGATCATACGTGGGAGCTAAGCTATGAGGATACAGAGACGTAAGAATGACACAGTGGACTTTGGGGACTCAGGGAAAAAGGGTGGGAAGGGAGTGATGAATAAAAGACTACAATTTGGGTGCAGTGTATACTGCTCAGGCGATGCGTCCACCAAAATCTCACAAATCACCACTAACGATCTTACTTATGTGGCCAGGTGCAGTGGCTCATGCCTGTAATCCCAACACTTTGGGAGGCTGAGGCAGGTGGATCACGAGGTCAGGAGATCGAGACCATCCTGGCTAACATGGTGAAACCCCATCTCTACAAGAAATACAAAAAATTAGCTGGGTGTGGTGGCGGGCCCCTGTAGTCCCAGCTACTCAGGAGGCTGAGGCAGGAGAGTTGGCGTGAACCCGAGGTGTGGAGCTGGCAGTGAGCCGAGATCGCGCCACTACACTCTAGCCTGGGCAACAGAGCAAGACTCCGTCTCAAAAAAAAAAAAAAAAAAAAAGATCTTACTCATGTAACCACACACCACCTGCTCCCCAATAATCTATGGAAATAAAATAATTTTTTTTTTAAAAGAAACTAGGCTGGGCATGATGGCTCACGTCTGTAATCCCAGCACTTTGGGAGGCCGAGGGGGGTGGATTACCTGAGGTCAGGAGTTTGAGACCAGCCTGGCCAACCTGGTGAAACCCTGTCTCTACGAAAAATACAAAAATTAGCCGGGCATGGTGGCACACACCTGCAATCCCAGCTACTCGGGAGGCTGAGGCAGGAGAATTGCTTGAGTCTGGGAGGTGGAGGTTGCAATGAGCCAAGATCGTGCCACTGCACTCCAGCCTGGCCGACGGAGTGAGACTCTGTGTCAAAAAAAAAAAAAAAAAAAGGCCAGGCGCGGTGGCTCATGCCTGTAATCCCAGCACTTTGGGAGGCCAAGGTGGGCGGATCACGAGGTCAGGAGATCGAGACCATCTTGGCTAACCGGTGAAACCCCGTCTCTACTAAAAATACAAAAAATTAGCCGGGCGCGGTGGCGGGCACCTGTAATCCCAGCTACTCAGGAGGCTGAGGCAGGAGAGTGGCGTGAACCCAGGAGACGGAGCTTGCAGTGAGTCGAGATAGCGCCACTGCACTCCAGCCTGGGCGAAAAAGTGAGACTCCGTCTCCAAAACAAAAAGAAAAAAAAAAAGAAAGAAAAGAAAAAGAAACTAATAGGGAAAAAAAGCTAGTATCACTCTTACCTGAGATCTTTAGGCATTATACAGTAAGACTGTCTCAATCTCAGTAAGAACTAAGTAAATAAATAAAATGACAATAAGGGACTTTTGTGCATCCAGAACTTTCAGGCAAAGACTGTAAGTTCTCTAGCATCATTACATGCCCAGGTTATATTTCTCAAGCCTTACTTGTTCCTTCCCACACATTAACATTTCAGAATTATATTTCATTTATAACAGGTATTCTCTAGGCTCACTAACCTGACAGGGTTAATATCAAAAAATAAAAACAAAAATAATGGCATTTAAATAAAAATAGCCTCGGGCTTGAGCCCATCCTAGCAACCACAGTGAAATTCCAGCTTCCCCCCAATCTTCTCAGAGTTCTTGGATGGCCTAAGAATGATCCCCACAGCCTCTAGATGCTACCTGCAACGTTCTTTGCAAGGAGCTCCCCTCCTCCTTTCAATTGGTTCCACCTCTGTCTGCAAAGGCTGCTTTCCTGTCTCTCTTATGGCTCACTTTACTGATACTGAACTCCTCCCTTCCCAATATTGAGATCTGCTGTGTCCTGGGGCTGGGGCTATACCTCTCCCGTATCACTCCCCTGCTTTTGTCACCATCACTGCCTCTGTCCTGAGCTACAAGCCCTCAGCTAAGCCACAGCATGCAAGTGCGAGTTTCAGTCCACAGGCAGAGTCGGAGGCCGCTTGCTCCAGAGGAGAACATCCACTTTACTTTCTTACCTTGCTGCATCCACAAGAGGGAGCCTCGTGCCGCTTCTCCAGCCAGAATGGTAGCCCCCAAGGCTCTTCCTCTTCCTCCACCTTCAGGTGCAGCATCCAACAAGGTCAAAATCACAATGTCTTCCATCTAATAAAAAATTACCAGACATGCAAAAAAAAAAAAAAACAGGAAAATATGACCCTTAATATAGAGAAAACAAACATGAAAAACAACCCAGAAATGACACAGACTATAGAATTAGTGGAAATAGTTATTATAATTGTATCCTATATGCTCAAAAATTTAGAAGACTGAACGTGTTGGTAGATATATAGAAGATTTTTTTTAAATAGCCAAATTGAACTTCTGAAGTTAAAACTACAATGTCTAACATGAAAATACATTGGATGAGATTAACAGCAGATTAGACACTAAGAAGAAAAGATTTGTGAACTTGAAAACAGCAATAAAAGCCATCCAAATTGAAATACAAAGAGAAAGAAACCAATGAAAAGAAACAAGAAGAGCATCAGGGCATCGTGGGACAACTTCAATCAGTCTAAAAAATGAAAAGATGCTTCTAAATGTAAAAAAGAATCCTTTAAATTGTCAAACAGCCCATCAGAATTTTTAATAGCTCTATTAGAAAAAAAGTTCATTTTGCTGCTTAAGTTCCAGTAGGCCAATCTTTGTGATGAATCCCTTGGGATGTTGCCAATCCAGACAGGCAGCTCTTAAGGTGACACACCAGTCATCCAGGGACTTACCATCACGTCAGTCATTTTGTTACTGTTTTTAATAATGTAAAATACTTGACCAATGAGGATTCCTTCCGGAAATGCAAGTTATTCAACAATAGGAATCCTATCTACCTAAATCATTACATTTATAAATTAAGAAAACCCGCATGATTTTATGAATGTAAAAAGGTATTTCTCTAATATTTAACAGCACTCTAATAAAAAAGATTAACTAACATAGGAATAGAGAGAAGCTACCTAAACAAGATGAAAGCTGTTTACCAAAACAGAATTCTATTTTTAATCATGATGGAATAATAGAGACTAGATGTACCTTCCCTCCTTACATAACTAAAAGCTGGACAAAATATATGAAGTGAAAGTTTTCAGACATTGGACAACAGGCAGTGCAAGACTGTGATCCCTGAGAGAAAGACAAGTGAGATCAGCCCTGCAAGTACCCCCAGCTCACTGCCTGGAGAATTTCCAGGCTGACCACAGAAAAAAGAAACCAAAACAGAGTCCAACAGTCTCACTGATTAAGGAGACAAAGTTCAGAGTTCCAGCAGGGCAAAATGAGAAAAATTTGTGAGGCAAAGTATCAAAGAAAAAGAACTGCAGAGAGTGAGGGTTCCAGAGATCTGCAGAGCAGTCCCTCAAGACTTTGGCTGAGTACTGCTATGCGCTTGTGTAAGGAGACTACTGAGGCTGGGGAAAGAACAGCAGAGAGGAGTAGGCAGAACAATTTCAGGAGTTCACACAGGACCAGAAATAGTGTTTTCCCTAGCCGGTTTGGGAAGATCTCCTAATACGGTGGGGCATCGGGTACAGTTCTCAAAAGCATATTGCCTCAGTGGGGCCAAATTAGCCCTCAGTGTAAAAGTAAAGTATCTAAAGGAATGTTTAGAAATCCAGCACCCCATAACATAAAGTGTACAATGTCTGGTATTCAATAAAATATTACCTAGTATGCAAATAAGCAGGAACATAAGACCCAGTATTGGAAAAAAACATCATTCTATAGACATAGACCTATATATGACTCAGATGTTAGAATTTGTAGGCAAGGACATCAAAACAAGAATTATAAATTCACTCCATATATTCAAGAAGTGCAAGAAAGCATGAGTATGGTCAGGAGAAAAATGAAATGCCTAAGTAAACTTCTAGAAATGAAAAATACAGTAACTGAACTGAAAAATACATTGGCAGGATTAACAGCAGATTAAATGCTATAGGAGAAAAGATTTGTGAATTTGAAGATATTGCAATAGGAACTATCCAAATTAAACACTGAGAGAAAACATAAGCCAGAAGAAAACTAAACAAAGCATCAATAAGTTGTGAGACAATATCAAGTAGCCTAATATATACATAACTGGAGTATCCAGAAGAAGGGAGGAAAATAATACTTGAAAGAAATGGCCATTTTTTTTTCCAAATTTAATGAAATTAACCCACATGTATTAGTCAGAGTTCTACAAAGAAACAGAAGGAATAGGATATATATATATATATATATAGTATTTATCAGTATTATACTATATATATTTATATATATAAAATATATTGCAGGTGTGAGCCACCATACCCAGTATATGTATTATTTATATATGTAAATATGTAGTATTTTACCAATATAAATATATTGGCAACATATAACTATATTTACATATATAAATACATTAGAGGGAGAGAGAGATTTATATGAAGAATTGGCTCACACAGTTATGAAGGCTAAGAAGTGCCATGATCTGCCATCTGCAAGTCAGAGACCCAGGAAGGCCAGTGCTGTAATTCAGCCAGTGGTTGAGTCCATCCAGAAGCACTCTCATGGACACACCAAAAATTATGTTTAACCTGCGCACCCCATAGCCCAGTCATGTTGACACATAAAATTTATTATCACAAGTCTACCCTTTGTCAACTTGGCACCTATACACATCTCCTCAAACCAAACTTATTCTCCAAATGAAAATAATAGGTCATAATTCCACCTACCTTAATACTACCCTGGATACAATAAAAAACACACAGTAACTTATTTCCCAGATGAGGAGGTAAAATCCTTGAAAGATGTTTACTCTGATATCCTACAACACTTGCCTGGGTGCAGTGGCTCACACCTGCAATACCAGCACTTTGGGAGGCCAAGGCAGGCAGATCGCTTGAGCTCAGGAGTTCAAGACCAGCCTGGGCAACATGGTGAAACACCAACTCTACAAAAAAATACAAAAATTAGCCAGGCACGGTGGTGCATGCCTGTGGTCCCAGCTACTTGGAATGCTGAGGTGGGAGGATGGCTTGAACCCAGGAGGCGGAGGTTGCAGTGAGCCAAGATCGTGCCACTGTACTACAGCCTGGGTAACAGAGCCAGACCCTGTCTCAAAAAAAAAATTAAATTAAAAATACTTAAATAGTACGATATAAAATATTATAAATACATCTGATGTTACATGATAAGGGAATAAGAACAGAAGGATAACAAAGATACACACACAAATGTGTTTATGGCAAAATAAGGAGAAAATAGACACGGCAATTACCATCTTTGTTTCTGTAATTGGCCACATGGCCATGGCTGGTATTTACAACTACCTTTTCCCACTATCCATTCTGTATTCCCGTTGCCTTCAGCAAGCACCTCAGCTTTATCTGGCAGGGTGACTTCAACTTTTATTCCTGAAGGGTTTGAGCCATTTGTAGCCCTGCCTGGTCAGGCTGTAGTTTTCTATTGACATAAAACACAGGGCATGGTAATACTAAAAGATACCCTAAGGAATCTCCTGTATTCTGGATATACTTACTCTTCCTTAACTCCATTGTGGAATAGTAGTCCAATTTCCCCCTTGGTAGTCAGGACCAATCATCCCAGCCAACACTGTAACTCCCTTCTTTACCTATTAATTGAGAAATATAAGGACCCCAAAGTGGCCAGGTGGAAGTCTTTAACTTCCAGTTCTTGGGATCATTATTGTGTCTCCTGGTGGAAATATCCCTTCCTAATGGAAATATCCCTTCCTCTAGAACTAAGACCTCTAGGTCAGCAAAGCATAAAGTCAGGAACAGGAAGCAAAAATTTTGCCAGTGGGTCACTCGGGGTAATAGTGAGTGGTGCCACTCCCACTCTTGTCCTTTGATCTCTTGACCTGTGAGTGCTACTTGCTGTAGGAGAAACAAGATCTTATATTGGACACTGATTCATAGCATATACAGCCTTCTGGGGAACTTCACTCCACCCCTGCAAGAAATTGCCACCTAGCTGGTGTCATAACTGAGACTTCAAAATGCTATTCCACTGTTTTATCAAGCCAATTGCTTCAGGATGATGGGGAACATAAATCAGACCAGCAAATTCTACCAGCATGGGTCCGTTGCTCCATTTCTTTTGCTGTAAAGTGAGTTCCTTGATCAGAAACAATGCAATGTGGACTACTACAATGATGAATAAAGCATTCTATAAGCCCATGGATGGTAGTTTTGGCAGAAGCATTGTGTGCAGGGAAGACAAAAAATATCCAGAGTGTCTATTAAGAACAAACACTGTCCCTTCTATGATGAAAATGTCCCCACATAACCTACCACCAGGTGGCTGCATGATCACCCTAGGGACTTGATGTTGGTCTCTGCTCAATGTTGGCCATATCAGGGACTCAGTGTTGCTCTCTGCTGTTGGCAGATTGGACTTTCAGCAGTGGCTGTAAGCCAGATTGGCCTTGTTGAGTGCAAGTCCACGTTACTTCACCAAGCATAACCTCCATCACTGCCATCATGGTCACTTTGTTCATGAGACCATTAGGCAATGACAGAGGTAGCTGGGAAACAAGGGTGATCAGTATCCGCAGAATGGGTCATCTTGTCCACTTGATTATTAAAATTCCCTTTGGTGAGTATTCACATGGGACACAAATATCACCATGTGTTTTGCGCACTCAGAGAAATCTGTCCATATACCTCTTCCTTAAATTTGTCACCAATTTTCCAATCATGTTCCTCTCAATTCCCTGAACATCCAGCCAAACCATTGGCCACAGTCTGAACTGATATATAATCACAGGACTGGCCATTTCTCCTTCCAAGAAAAGTGCACAATCAGATGCACTGCTCAAAGTTCTGACCCGTAAGAGGATTTCCCTTCACAGCTGTCTTTCAGGGATATCCCAGTAACAGGTTCTAGTACTACAGCTGTCCACTTTTGGGTGGTGTCTGCATATTGTGCAGAACCATCTGCAAACCAGGCTTCTCCTATTGATTGATCATAGGGAACTCCCAGTAACACCATAGGTGCATGCAGTGGGAGAGAAGGCAGTGTTGCAAGAGTAGATACCATGAGCATTTGGGTCACTTTTTCATGTAACTTACATGTGCCTTCAGGGCCTATTCCAACCAGATCATGTATGTACTGCTTCCATTTGATGATGGAGTGCTGTGTATGCCAAATTTTATGACTTGGTGGATCAGGTAACAGCCAGTTCATGATGGGCAGCTCAGGTTGCGTGGTAACTTGGCAGCCCATGGTCAAACATTCAGTCTCCACTAAGGCCCAGTAGCAGACCAAGAATTGTCTTCCAAAAGAAAAGTAGTCATCTTTGGAAGATGTCAGGGCTTTTTTCCAAAATTCTAAATGCTTGCACTGTGATTCTTCCATTCATCCCTATCTGCCACTGACACCTCAAGCACCATGGATCCACTGGATCATATGACTCAAGCAGCAGGGCAGCTTGCACAGCAGCCTGGTCCTGTTGCGGAGCCTTCTCTTGTTGTGGGCCCCACTCAAATCCAGCAACTTTTTGGGTCACTGGGTAAATGGGCCAGAGTAACACTCCCAAATGAGGAATGTTGACTCTAAAATCTTAAGAGGCCCACTTTCTTGGTTGTAGGAGGGGCCAGACACAGTAATATACCCTTCACTTTAAAAGGGTTGTCTAGCCATGCCCCACACCACTTGACGAATAGAAATTTTGCTGAGGTACAAGCAAAATTTGCCTGAATTTTAGGCAAGTCACACAAATGTCTTACCAATAAGTCTACAGTAGTTGTTATTTCTTACTCACCAGGTCTAATCAGCATTTAAAATGCCGGGGGGGGGGGGGAATCTAAAAATAGCATCACTAAGATTAGGACAACATCAAGTTGCCTAACACACATATAATTGAAGTTCCCAGGAAAAAGGAGAAAAAAAAATACTTGAAAAAAGTGGCCACTTTTTCCAAATTTAATGAAAATTATTAATCTAAATATTCAAAAATAGGTTGGGCATGGTGGCTCATGCCTGTAATCCCAGCACTTTGGGAGGCCAAGTCGGGCAGATTACCTGAGGTCGGGAGTTCAAGACCAGACTGGCCAACATAATGAAACCCTGCCTCTACTAAAAATACAAAAATTAGCCTGGCATGGTGTTGGGTGCCTGAAATCCCAGCTACTCAGGAGGCTGAGGCAGGAGAATCACTTGAACCCGGGAGGCAGAGGTTGCAGTGAGCTGAGATTGCACCATTGCACTCCAGCCTGGGCAACAAGAGTGAAACTCTGTCCCCCGCAAACAAAAAAAAAAGAAAAGACATACCAAAAGGCAAAAAACAACTTGAAAAAGTGGAGCAAACATCAGAACGAGACTCAGACATGTCAGGGATGTTGGAATTATCAGACCAGTAATTTAAAACAAACATGATACATGTGTGAAGGGCTCTAGTAAATAGCATGCAAAAACTAATGGACAGGCCGGGTGCAGCGGCTCACGACTGTAATCCCAGCACTTTGGGAAGCCACGGCAGGTGGATCTTCTGAGGTCAGCAGCTTGAGACCAGCCTGACTAACCTGTCTCTACTAAAAATACAAAAATTAGCCAGGCAGAGTGGCGGGCACATGTAATCCCAGCTACTCCGAGGCTGAGGCAGGAGAATCGCTTGAACCCGGGAGGCGGAGGTTGCAGTGAGCCGAAATCACGCCATTGCACTCCAGCCTGGCGACAGAGCGAGGCTCCGTCTCAAAAACAAAAAACAACTGTTGGACGATAGAAGCAGAGAGATGGAAATCCTAGGAAAGAACCAGAAAGAAATGCTAGAGGTCAAAAACGCGGTAATGGAACCAAAGGATGGCTCTGATAGGCTGATTGGTAGACTGGACATGGCTTAGGAAAGAATCTGAGCCTGAGAATATCTCAATAAAAATATCTATAACTGAATGACAAACAGAAAAAAATGGGGGAAAGAAGGACAAAATATCCAAGAACTGTAGGACAACTACAGAAGGCGTACATATTTGTGCTAGAAATACCAGGGGAAAAAAAAGGAGAGAAAGGAACAGAAAATATATTTGAAATAATTATGACAGAGACTCCAAATTAATGTCAGACATCAACCCATAGATTCAGGAATCTAAGACAACACCAAGCAGGATAAATGCCCCCAGAAACAATACCTAGGCATATAATTTGTGAACTAAAGAAGTCAAAGATAAAGAAAAAAATCCTTACATATTTTGGATATTAATCCCTTAAAGATACATGGTTTGAAAATATTTTCTCCCATTCCACAGGATTGCCTTTTCACTCTGTTGATGGTTTCCTTTGCCATGCCAAAGCATTTTAGTTTAATGCAATCCCAATTTTCTATTTTTGCTTTTTTGCTTGCATTTTTGGTGTCATAGTCAAAAAATAATTGCCCAGACGACTGTCAGGATTTTCCTGTTTTCTTTTTTTTTTTTTCCAGATGGAGTCTTGCTCTATCACCCAAGGCTGGAGTGGAGTGGCACGATCTCGGCTTACTGCAGTCTCCGCCTCCCAGGTTCAAGTGATCTCCTGCGTCAGTCTCACAAGTAGCTGGGATTACAGGCGCACATCACCATGCCCAGCTAATTTTTGTATTTTTAGTAGAGACAGGGTTTCTCCATGTTGGCCAAGCCAATCTTGAACTCCTGACCTCAGGTGATCCACCTGCCTTGGCCTCCCAATTGCTGAGATTACAGTCATTAGCCACCACACCCAGTCCTCTGTTTTCTTCTAGTAGTGTTATGGCTTAAGGTCTTACAGTTAAGTCTTTTGAATTTAATCCATTTTGAATTGCTTCTTGTATACAGTACGAGAGTCTAATTTCATTCTTCTGCATTTGAATATCCAGTTTTTTCATCACTATTTACAGAAGAGACTATCAGTAATTAAATAGTAAGGGGAAGCCTCCCAAAACAAAAAGCACCAGGCCAGATTGGTTCACTGGTGAATTCTACCAAACATTTAAGAAATAAATTATACTCATTTCAGAAGATAGACACAGAAGGAACAATTACTAACTCATTCTACAAGGCCCGCATCATCCTAACACCAAAATCAGACAAAGACTTCACAAGAAAACTGTCTACCAGTATCTCTGATGAACATAGATGCAAAAATCTCCCCCAAAATATTAGCAAATCAAACTCAACAATGTATAAAAACAATTATCCACCAAAACAACATATTTATCCTCACTATGCAAGCCTGGTTCAACATACAAAATCAATTAGGTAATCATCACATGGGGGGGCTGAGGAACAAATAGCACGTGATCATTTCAATAGTTGCAGAAAAAGCATGTGACAAAATCCTACATCCATTCATGATTTAAAAAAAACTCTCAGTAAACTAGGAATAGAGGGGATCTTCCTCTACTTGACAAAGCATATCTATTAAAAACCTACAGCTAACATCATACTTAATGGTGAGAATCATGAAGTTTTCCCACTAAGATCAGGAACAAGGCAAGGGTGTTCTCTCTCATCACTGTCTTTCAACATTGTAATGGGAATCCTAGCTAATAAAATTTAAAAAAAGGAAATAAAATATATACAGACTGAGAAGGGAAAAAATAAAACCGTGTTTGTTTGCAGATGTCATGATTACCTATGCAGACAATATAAAATAACCAAGAAAAAAAAACTTCTGGAATAAGTGATTATAGCAAGGGTGCAGGATGCAAGTTTAATATACAAAAGTCAGTCACTTTTCTTTTTCTTTTCTTTTAAGATGGAGTCTCACTCTGTCACCCAGGCTGGAGTGCAGTGGTGCGATCTCAGCTCACTGCAACCTCCGCCTCCCGGGTTCAAGTGATTCTTCTGCCTCAGCCTCCCGAGTAGCTGGGACTACAGGTGCACCACCACACCCGGCTAATTTTTGTATTTTTAGTAGAGACTGGGTTTCACCATATTGGCCAGGCTGGTCTCGAATTCCTGACCTTGTGATCTGCCTGCCTCGGCCTCCCAAAGTGCTCGGATTACAGGCATGAGCCACCGCGCCCAGCCAATCACTTTTCTTTATATCAACAATGAACAAGTGAAAACTGAAAAACATAATACCATTTATGTGCTCACTTTGGCAGCACGTATTCTAAAACACATAATACCATTTAAATTAGCACCCTGTAAAATGAAATACTTAGTTATAAATTTAACAAAATATGCACAAGATCTATGTAAGGCAAACTATAAAACCCTGATGAAAGAAATCAAAGAAAAACTAAATAAACGGATAGACAATTGATGTTCATGAATACAAGGACTCAATATTTTTAGGATGTCTGTTCTTCCCAACTTGATCTATAGATTCCAATGCAATCCCTGTCAAAATCCCAGCAAGTTTATTTCACAGATATCAACAGAGTATTCTAAATTTTATATGCAGAGCCAAAGCACACTTAATAGCCAATTCAATATTGAAAGAGAAGAACAAAGTTGGAGGACTGACACACCTGACTCGAAGACTTACTCTAAATCTACGATAATTAAGACAATGTGGTATTTGCAAAAGAATAAATCAATAGATCAATGGAACACAATAGAGTCCAGAAATTGACGCACATAAATATAGTCAACTGATCTTTGTCAAAGAACAAAGGCAATACGTTGAAGAAAAATAGAATGTTTGTTATAATAGACATCCACATTTAAAAAAAAAAAGAATCCAGACACAGACCTTACACCCTTCACAAAAATTAACTCAAAATGAATCGCAGACCTAAATATAAAACACAGACCTATAACGCTCCTAGAAGGTAATAGGACAAAATCTAGGTGAGCTTGGGTTTAGCAATAACTTTTTAGTTGTGACACCAAAGTCATGATCTATGAAAGAAAGAACTGATAAGTTGGACTTCATTAAAAGTAACAACTTCTGCTCAGCAAAGGACACTGTCAAGAGAATGAAAAGACAAGCCTTTGGGAGAAAATATTTGCAAAAGACATAATTGATAAAGGACTGTTATCCCCAATATACAAAGAATTCTTTAAAACTCAAAAATAAGATAACGAGAAACCCAATTTTTTAAATGGGCCAGCAAGCTTAACAGAACCTCACCAAAGAAGATAAACAAATAGCAAACAAACATATGAAAAGATATTCTACATCCTGTGTTACCATGGAAATACAAATTAAAATGATGATGAGATACTACTAACACCAATTAAAATGCCCAAAATTCAGAATACTGACACCACCAAACACTGGTGAGGATCTGTAGCAACAAGAACTCTCATTGCTGGTGGAAATGCAAAATGGTACAGCTACTTTGGAAGATACTTTGGAGGCTTCTTACAAAACTAAACATACCCTTACCATACAATCCAACCAGCACACTCCTTGGTATTTACCCAAAGGACTTGAAAACTTATGTCCACACAATTACCTACACATGGATACTTATAGAACCTAACTTTATTCCTAACTGGGAAATATTAGAAGAAACCAAGATGACCTCTAACAGTTAAATGCATAAATAAACCAGATACATCCAGACAAAAGGGTATCATTCAGCACTAAAATGAAATTATCAAGCCATGAAGCGACACGAAAGAAACTTAAATGCAAATTACTAAGTGAAAGAAATCAGTCTGAAAAGGCTACATACTGTATGATTCCAACTACATGACATTCCGTAAAGGCAAAACTATTAAGACAGGAAAAAGATCAATGGTTGCCAATGATTGGAGTGGAAGGAAGGGTGAAGGTGGGACACAGGATTTTTAGGGCAGTGAAACTACTCTGTATGACACTGAAATAGTGGATGCATGTCATTATACATGTGTTCAACCCCATAGAATGTACAGCACCAACGGTGAACCCTAATGTCAACTATGTCAATAAAGGTTCATCAGTTGCAACAAATAGGCCATTTTGGTAGGGGTTGCTGGTCGTGGGGAGGCCATGCATGTGTGGGTGCAGGTGAATATGGGAAATCACTGTGCCTTTTGCTAAATTTTGTTTAGAAGAGAACAGAACCCAACCTAGTATGTTCCAGTAGTAACAGTTATTCGCATGGGGGCTGAAAACATTAAAAACAGGTGGGTGGGGTCAGAAGCTTACCTGAGAGAAAATGGAAAGGAGATGAAAACAAAAAGGACCAAGGAACAAATGCAATGAATAGAAAACAAATATCAAGACGACGCATTGTAACCAAAGCATATTGGTAATCTTGATATTAGTTATAAATGTACTAAACAATTATAGACTACATACAAGAAACCCATTTTTGCTCATATTTATTTTATTTTGATTTTTTAATGCTGCACAAGACAATATCTATTTTTTCTTGTATTTATATGCTGCTATTTACTGAAAGTGAGAGGGACCTTATGTGGCCTTTTTCTTTTTCTGTAGGCCACCTTAGAGCTTTCTAAATTTGGAATACTTGATCAAGCTGAAAGAAAAAGGGAGTTTCACAAAATCAATGGGGGTGGGGAGGGGAAGGCTGCTTCATTAATTATGCCCTGTGGTGGTTGATTAACTGCTTGTACAATTGTTTCACTTTTAATAAATTACGCTTACAGT
This sequence comes from Homo sapiens, assembly GCF_000001405.40. NCBI lineage: Eukaryota > Metazoa > Chordata > Mammalia > Primates > Hominidae > Homo > Homo sapiens. The sequence goes on from NC_000011.10 coordinate 129,778,825, forward strand.
GCTCCTGCTGATGAAGGCACCTGAGCTGAATACAGTTACATCCGGGGTACAAGTGAAGGGACAGTGGCATTAGTGGCAGTTATATCCACTAGCAGGGCCAATTCTCAGAAAAGTCGCAGCCATGTGGGCCCTGTGGGGCTTGAGAGTAGCATCCTCAGGAATAGGTGATGAGCAAATTCTGGAAAGTGGTCCCAGAAGTCAGGCCTCGGCAGCAGAGCAGGTCTCAGGTGCTTGGCATGCAGTCGGCCTGCTGGCTGACACGATCTTGCCTGGGAAGCATGGGACACAGTTCATGGGCTGCTACTGGTGGGAGCCAGGGTAATGGGGTGCACATCCACCCTCCTGAAACAGGTCAGGGTCACTGTTCTCTTTGTCTAAGGTATTATCTGAGCTCGTGGTCTCACAACCAAGAAAATTAAAGAGCATGGACACAAAGGGTGAGGTTGGAGCAAAAATTTAATAAGCAAAAGAAGAAAGCTCTCCACAGAGGAGAGGGGTCCCGGATGGTGGCCAGGTTACAGTTGAATTCAAAAGCTTTTATAAGAAACTGCTCTCATCTCCGTAACCGTTTGAGTAACTTATCTATAAAACTGTCTGCATAACTCCCCTTATCTATACAGTTGTGGGTATGTCTGTAGGTAAGCACAAAGTACAGCTTTTTGTTTGTGTAAGTGTGGGTTTAAGTAAGCCCCCTTCCCCCCTGGGCAAGTTCCCTTGGAGCCCACCATGTACATGTCTGAAAAGGGGAGAAACTTTTTCCTGGGAGCTCGCTAATCATACAAAGAACAAAAACAGCCTCTGTGCTGGACTGTGCCTGCCTTACCTGTTTATCTGTGGCTTATCTGTACACCTGCAGTCTGAATTTTTTCCAGGCTGCTCTATTTTTGCCTGTAGCTGTGATTTTTCAGGCAGGCAGCGTCACAATTTTTCAGACAGGCAGCTTCTCCAAGGACTAGTCTGTTAGTTGTTTACCCAACTAATTTTTCCATTCCTTCTCCCTCATCCCCACCTTGAGGAGTGGAACCCTTAACTGCTGCTAGGGAGACCGGGTGTTGATTTTTCTAGCTACTTCCCACTGGAGAGGGGCATTGTGTGGGTAACAGCAGCTAGGATTTTCCCAGGGCTGGTTTAAGGGTCCCCAGAAGAAAGATACATTTATGCATGGTTCCATTTGCATTACCATTTGGAGCTTGATAGCCTCTAGGCAAAAAGAAACAATTTGAGTTATTAGAGGACGTGTATTAAAACAAGACAAGGTGGATAAGGACAGCTTTAAAAAATCCCGAGGCTGCTGTCATGCTCTGATAACTGGTGGCTACAGTTATGCCTGTTAAGATTTGGGTGCTTGAACTTGGCTTTGGTTACCTTTCTTGGTCGCACTTTCCCAAAAAGGAAACCTCTGGGTTACGGGTACTCTATTTATTCTTATTACCTGGCAGGTTTGTAGTATAATTGCCCAGAACTGGAATATTGTTCCAGATTTTTACATTGCCCATCCCTTTCTGTCTCCTCTGAGCTGCAGCTTGAGATCGCTGATTGGTTTACAGGAATAAGCAAGGTTTGTTTAAAATATAGGCAAGAACTTAAAAACAACTAATGAGACTAGAAATTAATGACAGCTGTGTGATAAGTTTTGAAACAATTTCTGTCCCTTCAGTCCTTATTTTTATTAAAAACAGATTGTGATAGGACTGAGTTGTTTGCAAAATAAACTTTAGTCTTATACCTGGTTTGATTTTTTGCATAAAGTACAGCAAGAATAATTATTTTTACTTAGGCCTTTCAGATTGGCTCTGAATGTGTGTTAGTATTATTCCTAACATATAACTTGAAGAAGATTAGACTTCGTTTTGGCAATTCCATGTACCTAAACATGTCAAATAATGTTCTTTACCTCTCTTCTGGGTGCTCCAGGGGCCCTCTGTAGCACCAAAAAGCTAGGGGTCAGGAAAGAAAACCTTGAGGCTGAAGTTTGATTTGGGGAAGCCTGTTAAATATGTTAGAGTTTCAAAGCACTTAATATTATGAAACAGAATTTTAGATTATCGTAAGTTATTTGTTTTGCCAAAATGATGGGTCAAAGTTTTGAAAAAGCAAAAAACATTCATCAGCTTTTACTATTACATGAAAATCCTGTTCAAGAGAGAAAGTTCAATTTTACCCTTGCATTAGTCTACTATTGATGTTAACTCCAATTTTCATTTTTATTTTTATTTTTTTTGAGATGGAGTCTTGCTCTGTTGCCCAGGTTGGAGTGCAATGGCACGATCTTGTCTCACTGCAACCGCCACCTCCTGGGTTCAAGCAATTCTCTTGCCTCAGCCTCCCAAGTAGCTGGGACTACAGGCACAAGGCATCACGCCCGGCTAACTTTTGTATTTTTAGTAGAGACGGGATTTCATCATGTTGGCCAGGCTGGTCTCGAACTCCTGACCTCAGATGAGCTACCCGCCTTGGCCTCCCAAAGTGAGCCACCGCGCCTGGCCTAACCCCAATTTTTAATGAAACCTTATAGATGATTCTATCCAACCTTAACCAGTTTGACCAGGAGATGACATTTTCACAAACCTTTTATAACCATTTACATATTTTGCTAAAGAACAGATTAGTGTCTTAAAAAACCTTGTTGTACTTTTACTTCAGTGCTCAATTTACAGAAAAATCGTTTTTACAATTTTTCCCCAATTTGCTTAAACCTAATTTAAGACAGTTCTTTATCCCTAGGCAAAATGTACACTTCCATGCCTTCTTATAATCTTTTACTAAAAACACATTTTACTGTTTTTACACACCTTACATGTAAATATATTCTCAGTAGTTTCAATTACATGTCATAATGGTAATGCTTAGCAATTTTTAACCTGAATGTAAAACCTGGTAAGTTGTTTCAATTATGTGCAAGGTGCAGATTGTTTGACTCCTTCCAACATAGTTAGGGGCATAGTTACTTCCATATGTTCCCGGGCCTTACAAATTGTGAAGCAAGCAAGTTGACAGTTTTTAAAGGCCACAGAAACAGTTCACAACCTTAAAACATTTAGCAAACCTAGCATTTGACCTACATAATCTAGACTACGTCTTTACACCTTGAAGACATTTGTATTTTACCAACAATCCCTAAGTCTGTTCTTTTTTTTAAAGATTAAAGTTATGTAAAATGAGTCATTACAGCTCTTACTTTTCCTTTAAAAATATTTTATCCAAGTGCTTATCCTTTTTTAAGTTAATTAGAGCTCTTTTTATAGACATCATACACATCACACATATGACTATGCAGACAGACAGAAAAAGATCCAGCAGCTCAGGGTGGAGCCCTTTAAGAATAGGGCCAGCAATCAGAGAAATGCAAATCAAAAGCACAATGAGATACCATCTCACACCAGTTAGAATGGTGATCATTAAAAAGTCAGGAAACAACAGGTGCTGGAGAGGATGTAGAGAAATAGGAACACTTTTACACTGTTGGTGGGACTACAAACTAGTTCAACCATTGTGGAAGACAGTGTGGTGATTCCTCAATGATCTAGAACTAGAAATGCCATTTGACCCAGCCATCACATTACCGGGTATATACCCAAAGGATTATAAATCATGCTGCTATAAAGACACATGCACACGTATGTTTACTGTGACATTATTCACAACAGCAAAGACTTGGAACCAACCCAAATGTCCATCAATGATAGACTGAATTTAGAAAATGTGGCACATATACACCATGGAATACTATGCAGCCATAAAAAAGGATGACTTCATGTCCTTTGCAGAGACATGGATGAAGCTGGAAAGCATCATTCTGAGCAAACTATCGCAAAGACAGAAAACCAAACACCACATGTTCTCACTCATAGGTGGGAACTGAACAATGAGAACACTTGGACACAGGAAGGGGAACATCACACACCAGGGCCTGTCGTGGGGAGGCGGGAGGGATAGCATTAGGAGATATACCTAATGTAAATGACGAGTTAATGGGTGCAGCACACCAACATGGCACATGTATACATATGTAACAAACCTGCACGTTGTGCACATGTACCCTAGAACTTAAAGTATAATAAAAAAGAAAATGTAAAAAAAAAACAAAAAAAGAATAGGGCCAGGAAAGCATGTAGTTTCTGCAACCTAACAGACAGGCATGACTGTAAGACAAAAACAGATTTTGAGAGGGATTTATTCACCTTTAATTCCAGGGGTTCCATGATGAAAACAGAGATTTCTCCCAAAATGGGATCTGTGGTGCCTTTTCTGTTCTCCCAAGGAGTTCTATGCCACCAGAACTCATCTTAGGGCCTTTCATGCATGTGCCAGGAGTGTTGAAACACAGTAAAGTAATGCAGTCAACTGAGAAAAAACCTTTTCCAGAAAAAACAAGATATGAGGGGAAAAAATGGCCTTTTAATATACCTATAACTTGGATATCCACTTTTAATTAAGCTGAGCATTCTTTAAGAAAATGCTTTTTATTAATTAAAACTTTACAGAGAATATAAACAGTGATCCTTATTATTCCTTTTACCAGTTTGCACCACTACCCATTCACAATCATGTTCAGGTTCTCCAGTTTCTTCTGGGCGAAAGTGGCTGGGTTCAGGCAAGTAAAGGTTCTTAACTGTAGATCCCTCTAGCAGCAAAGCTTGATATTTGAGGGGCGATTGTCTGTTAGCCAGAGACTCCCTTAGAGGACAGCAGTTCTGCTATACTGTGTGGGGTGCAAACAGTTAAGTTATTCCCCATGGTTAACCTGGTGGCCTCCGGCACCAGCAAAGCCACTGCTGCAACTGCTCAAAGGCAAGCTGGCCATCCTTTAGCCACCAAGTTAAGTTCCTCACTTAAGTAACCCACTGGCTGTTTAGCTGACCTTGAGCCTTAGTTAAAACTCCCAGGGCCATTTCATTCCTTTCTAACACATAGGCACTGAATGCTTTCCCTATGGGAAGATTGAGGGCAGATGCTTGAAGCAAGGCTTGTGGCTGAAATCAAGGCTGGTTAAAGGCTTTTGAGTTTTGGGTTCCCAAGTTAGGGAGCAAGTTTCAGTGCGTTTCTTTCATGAGGTGGTATAAAGAGCGAGCTATTTCACCATACCCAGGTACCCACAGTCTGCAAAACCCTGCAATGCCTAAAAATCCCCTCAACTGTTAAAGGAAATGGGCTTAATCCTTTCCTCACCTGGTGCTCTCGTCTCTTTTGATAAGACTAAGCCTAGATACTTTACTGAAGTCTGACAGAACTGAGTTTTAGATTTTGAGACCCTGTATCCCCTTTTTAGCTAAGAAATTGAGGAGAGCCTCAGTGCCTTCCTGAGACTTCCTCAGTTGGGACACAGAGGAGAGTGTCATTTACATACTGTAAAGTTTCAACTTGAGGGTGAGAAAAAATTAGAAAGATCTTGGACAGGGCCTGTTTCAGCAACTTCCTTTCAATATCAGGAGCTGCCTGAGTAATAAACCTGCTCTTCATTGAAATAAAAAGATTGAGGCCAGGCGCGGTGGCTCATGTCTGAAATCCCAACACTTTGGGAGGCTGAGGCAGATGGATCACTTGAGGTCAGGAGTTCGAGACCATCCTGGCCAGCATGGTGAAACCCCACCTCTGCTAAAAATACAAAAATTAGCCAGGCATGGTGTCAAGTGCCTGTAATCTCAGCTACTTAGAAGGCTGAGGCAGGATAATCACTTGAACTCAGGAGGCAGAAGTTGCAGTGAGCCAAGATCACACCATTGCACTCCAGCCTGGGTGACAGAGGAAGACTCCATCTCAAAAGAAAAAAAAATGGTTGAGGGATTTTCATCTAGTTTTTGATCTATCATGGAAAGCTTGGAATAGTTAATAGGTATGGCTTTAGCCCTTTCAAGCCCTCCAATATACACATTTGAAAGGGTTTCCTTCTCCATTTTCAGATGCTATCATCATAGTCCTATTTAGGATCCTCCAAGGGCACTGCTACTTTCCTCATTGGATTCTCTTTCCCTGGTACATTCTTCCAGGACAGTTTAAATACTTGGGTTAAATCCTGGAAGGCTTCTGTGAGTGAAGTTGAGGCTTGCCCAGAGCAAACTTCAGGGCCTGAGGGTTAAAGGAGATCCAGGTTACACTTGAGGGGAGCGAAGGCTTGAAGATGGGATGTTACCCATCTAGAAAAAAGGGAAGAGGCGACCCAGCGTGGAAGGGAAGGCCAAAAGGGCATCCCCCTTCACCCATTTTCTCCCATCATCTGGGTCCCAGTGACCATCATAGCCACTGCCCCATGGATGCAAGCATGACCTTCATCCATGGATATAGAGGAGCTAGTCAGCAGGATTAGTCATGGTGACCTGCACTAGGCCCCAACCCTTTGCCCTGCTGGTTTCCTAGAACCACTTGGCCCATAAGGCTCCCAGGGTACCCTAGGTGTCCAGGAGAGGTTGTATTTGGGTGAGACCCTTTAAAGGAGGAAGTGTTTCAATACTATCTCTGGCTTCCCTTGCTATGCCCCTAGCAAAACATTGAAATCCCAGAGAGTGGGACCAATTGACTTACAAACATAAAATCCCCTTTTTGTTTAAATGCCAATGGAGGTGGAATGTAGAACAGATGTCTCAAAAGAACATATGAATTGAATAGCTGTCCTCTCAACTGTTAAAGGTGGAGCTTTGCTGTTTACAGATGGGGCATGGAGCCTGGTCCCTAATAGACATAGGAGGCAGATGAATTGGGGAACTAGAGGTTTTGGATGAAGGGCCGATAGGGCCCCCATGGAGAAAAAAAAAAAATCCCATCCCAATAGGTGGCACTGTAGGATATGAAATATTAGGTAAGGCCTCTGACTCCAAATTTTTCCCAGGCAGAAATTAGAAAAAGAGGTTTGAGGCTTAATAGGCTGTCCCCACAGTATGCCTTCCAGCAGAAGAAAATTAACGTGTCTCATAAAGGAACTGTTTAAATATGTTGGGCAGTGCTGAGCTTTTACATGGAGGGAAGAAACAACCCAAATGGAGAGGGAAGATACTCACTTGGTGTATTAATCTGTTCTCAAGCTGCTAATAAAGACATACCTGAGAATTTATAAAGGAAAGAGGCTTAATGGACTCACAGTTCCACATAGCTGGGGAGGCCTCATAATCATGGTGGAAAGGAGAGCAGGTACAGGGGAACTCCCCTTTCTAAAACCATCAGATCTTGTGAGACTTATTCACTATCATAAGAACATCATAGGGAAAAACCCGCCCTCATGGTTCAATTAACTCCCACTGGGTCCCTCCCATAACATGTGGGAAGTATGGGAGCTACAATTCAAAATGAGATTTGGCTGGGGACACAGCCAAATCATATCATTCTGTCCCTGACCCCTCCCAAATACAATGCTCTCACATTTCAAAACCAATCACGCTTTCCCAACGATCCCCCAGAGTCTTTACAAAATCATTGCAGCATTAACTTGAAAGTCCACAGTCCAAAATCTCATCTGAGATAAGGCAAGTCCCTTCCACCTATAAACCTGTAAAATCAAAAGCAAGTTAGTTACTTCCTAAATACAATAGGGGTACAGGCATTGGGTAAATACATCCATTCCAAATGGGAGAAATTTGGAGAAATTGGTCAAAATGAAGGGGCTACAGGCCCCATGCAAGTCCGAAATCCAGCAAGGCAGTCAAATCTTCAAGCTCCAAAATGATCACCTTTGGCTCCATGTTTCACATCCAGGGTGTACTGATGCAAGAGGTGGGCTCCCAGTGCCTTGGGCAGCTCCACCCGTGCGGCTTTGCAGGGTACAGCTTCCCTCCTGGCTGCTTTCACAGGCTGTGATAAACATGTAAGTGCATTTCTGTATTTGTTTTTTGACATCAGTGTATTGTTTAACACACACACACCAAGGATTGATTGAATTTGCATCAGCTCTATGGATCAATTTGGAAAGGATTAACATTATTACTACAGTGAGTCTTTCAAGACATGAACATAATATATGCCTTCTTTACGTAGGTCTTAAGTTCTCTCAATATTTTTTTACAGATTTCAGTGTAGACGTCTTGCACATCTTTTGTTAGATTTAATAATCATTGCCTGTATTAATTGTTTTATTAGGAATTGCCAAATGATTTTCTAATTCTATCATTTACATTCATTAGCTAGAATTATCCTATAAATAAAAACTCTCCCTCGTTCTCTAAGACTATTTAATTTTCCTGATACACCGTTCATACCAAAAAGGTAAGATAAATGCTTATTTCCTTTCAATTAATAATTTTTTAACAAATAATTTGGTGCCTTGGCAATCTCCAAAACTGTCTAGTTTTATCTTTCTCTTTTGAACTATAATGATTTTTATATATTCAATGTTTTTATATATATTCAATGTTTTTATAAATTGTTGGCATATGTTGGGTTTTCAAATTATCCCATCGTTAGACAGAATGTCCCTTCAAGCTAGCTCCTGTTTTTTTTAACAAACTTTTTTTTTTAACCTAGGTTTCCCCAAGTTAGAGCCCAAGGAAAGGACTTCTGTGTAAGCAGTGCCTTTTGGAAAGTGATTCCAGAGAAGGAGTGAATGCCATGGGGAATGCTAGGAAGAGGGGACATGTTTGCCACTGGGAGCCTTTTTCTTTTTTTCTAACTAGTATTTTTTGAGAAGCATTTTAAAACATGTCTCAGAATTATCCACCTAATGGCAAAGAGGTAAAGCATTTATACACTGGCTACTACTCCTCACTGATCAAGAGTAGCCTCCTGGGTATTTATTCCATCCAAATTCCCAGTTGCACATGCATGACCATTAGGTGGGTTCCTACCAAGTTTCTACACCTTTCAAAGAGTCAGATACGCCCCAGGGTGGAAAACAAGTGATCAGTAGCACAACCAGACAGGAAGCATTATCTGTTTATCCCTGTACAAAACCTGTCAAAGCTTGCATGAACAACTGACCACAGCTATGACCAAAATAAGAGGTGAGGCTGGGAAGACATTGAATGTTGCACAAGAGGTGTCCAGTGACTCTGAGCTATTCATGCATCTCATAAGTCTAGTCTATCACAGAACCTCCTTCAACAGTGATCAGCCACAATTTCTGCAAGGATTCCATGTAAGTGGATAAGTTGAACAAATTATAGTTCCCACTGCTCAGCAGGTCCAAAGGCCATGATTGGGATAGTCATCACATGCCACCTTCATCCTTACTTCAGCCTGCAGCATACTTCTGAAAAGAAGTTAATCTCTTCTGAGGGTTTGGTCTTTTTTTTTTTTTTTTTTTTTTTTACCTTTAGTATACATGTGATTGCTATATTGTAAATGCAGGTTCCTGAAAGACTGTTTCTGTAAGCAGAATGACGCCACACAAAGTGAAAAGGTTTTCCTCTTATTCCAGCAGTGTCTTGTCTTCAAAGAGGAGTCCATTACATCTTGCCTTGATTTTTATGGTTGTGTTCTTGGATGGAAAGCTGAAGTGGGTAGTAATTTCCAAATGTTCTTTATAATATCCACCCTGTATATTATAAGCAAAGTTGTTTCGTATTTTGTTGTATCTTTTTCTGTTTAGCACTTTATGGCTTTTTAAGTCTACTGCATTTGAGAATGTAGTTTAGAAATTCTTTCACTGTTAAAGCCATGTGAAAACTAATAGAGGATAATGAAAGTGAGTGTACATTATTTTGTGTTTAACTTCCTGGTTTGTGGTGTGTGTAAACAAAACATTAGAAATATATTGTCTTTTTATAATAATACTCTTTGACCTCATTTAAAGTGATCTGCCATGAGGTCTCAATGATCAAGCTTATGTTTATTCTAGTGTGTTTTATTCTAATACCTAAGGAATTCAGCCAACTTTGTTTCTATCATCGGATAGTCTCAGAAAATAATGTGCTTTATCTATATTACTGCCTCTTTTCAATATTTAAGAGAATAATTGTCTTCTGGTTTCTACTGAGCCTAGTAATAATCACTAAAGACCTAAAAAAAAAGTGAGTAATCTTTTCCTTCCATTAGAGTATTTGAATAGCCCATTCAAGATAATGGTGGTGTGAAAGTAAGTCATCCAAGCTTTTCCGCCACATCTAAATTTTTATTTAATTAATTAAATAATTAACACCCACTTCCAAAGAGTTCAAATGTTGTCTTAAAGCAGTCACTACTAATTTGCGTTAATCCTGTATATTCAGTGGATGCGAAGTCATAACTTGGTATTGTATCAGAAGTCGTGTTAGTCACTGGTCTTGCTCTTTGAACATTATTTTCATTTGTAAAATGAGGGAATTGGTTTGTTATGATGGGAAATAAGTTAATTTTAAGGGTCCTGAGAAAGTTGCTTCATTCATGGCAGTGTTTGGGATCACTTAACTTTTTTTTCAGGTATTTGGTGTCATGTTTTTGGAGTTAATGTTTGGTGCTTACATAATTTTTAATTATTACATAATTTTTATTGGTACATGTTTACAGGTACTCTCACCAAACCAGTGGAATGATAGTCTCTCTTAATATGTTATTGCCTGCAATGGCCAAGTAGATATGCCTGAAAGTCATATGAAAGGTTTTACATGTCTATTAAAATGTGTGTGTACTTTTAAATCTGTAAATGTTATCTGGAATTTTTATTGTGTTAATTTCAGAAGTATATGGGCATTATGACTTTTTCATTGTACAAAAAACATTATTATATTCATAAACATTGGAATACAGAAGTTTCTTGACTGACAATAGGGCTATGTTCCAATAGACCCACTGTAAACTGAAAATACCATAAGTTAAAAATGCATTTAATACACCAAACCTACTGAACATCCTAGCTTAGCCTAACCTATCTTAAATGTGCTCAGAACACTTAATGTTGGCCTATAGCTGGGCAAAATCATCTAATACAAAACCTTTTTTATAATAAAATGTTTAATATCTCAGAAAAAAAAGAGAAGTCAATCTCTTCCCCTGCCTTGTTCCTGTCCAGTCATGTTCCTAGGAAAACTAAGAGGCTGGACATAGTTGTTCACACCTGTTAATCCCACCACTTTGGGAGGCTGTGGCGGGTGGATCACTTGAGGCCAGGAGTTCCACATCAGCCTGGCCAACATGGTAAAACCCCTTCTCTAAAAATACAAAAATTAGCCAGACGTAGTGGTGCACACCTGTAATCCCAGCTACTTGGGAGGCTGAGGCATAAGAATTGCATGAACCCAGGAGGTGGAGGTTGCAGTGAGCCGAGATCATGGCTACTGCACTCCAGCCTGGGTGACAAAGTGAGACTCTGTCTTTAAAAAATAATTAAAAAATAAGTAACCAAGGTAGCTTTCCTTACCTTCCTGTTATGCTCATACATGTAACACACACGTAAACATTTTTTTAAACAACAATGTATATGTGTGTAATATAATCTCATTAATGTGAATCAAATGAACAAAAAGAAAAAAAACTACCAACTCGATCTAACATATCCAGAACACTCTATCCAACAACAACAGAACACATATGCTTCTCAAGTGCACATGGAACATTCTTCAGGAAGACCATATGTTAAGCCACAAATGAAATCTCAGTAGATGTTAAGAGATAAAAATCATACAAAGTATCTTCTCTAACCACAGAAACATGAAGTTAGAAACCACTAACAGAAGGAAAACTTGAAAAATTACAAATTTGTGGATATTAAGCAACACATTCTTAAGAAAACAACAGGTCAAAGAAGAAATCACACAGGAAATCAGAAAATACTTAGAGATGAATAAAATGAGAACACAACATACCAAAACTTGTGGAATATAACAAAAGCAGTGCTGGGGGAGAAAAGTATAGCTGAAAATGCTTGTATTTTAAAAAGAGTGATGATCTCAAATCAACAACTTTACAACTCAAGGAACTAGAAAAATGAGAACAAACAAAACCAAAATCTAGCCAAGGGAAGGGAATAATAATGATTAGAGCAGAAATACATAAAATAAAGAGCAGAAAAACAATAGAGAAAATTAACAAAACTCAAAATTGGTTCTTTGAAAAAAATTAATGAAACTGACAAACCTTTAGCTAGACTGACTAAGAGAAAAAGAGAGAAGTCTCAAATTACTAAAACCAGAAATGAAAGTGAGGATATTACTACTAATTCTACAGAAATAAAAAAGATTTTAAGAGTATTATGGACAGTTGGACTCCAACAAATTGGATAACTGGTATAGTTTGAATGTTTCTGTTCCCTCTAAAATTCATGCTGAAATTTAATCCAAATGCAACAGTATTAAGAGGTGTGACTCTTGGGAAGCAGAGCCCTCATGAATGGAATTAGGGGCCCAAGGGGTTTAACTGAGGGAGTTCACCCCTTTTCCCCTTCCATGCCTTCCACCAAGTAAGGACATAGAGTTCCTCTTCTCCAAAGGATGCAGCAACAAGGTTTTATCTTGGAAGCAGCAGCTGGCCTCTCACCAGATCCTGCTGTCACCTTGATTGTGAACTCCCCAGCCTCCAGAACTGTGAGAAATAAATTTCTGGTCCTTATAAATTACTCAGTATTAGATATTTTGTTATAGCAGCACAAACAGACTAAGACAATAATGAAGATAATTCATAGAACCCACACAACCCATTAAAACTGAGTCATGGCAAGCCAAATCCGACAGCACATCAAAAAGATAATTCACAATAGCCAAAATATGAAAACAATCTGAATATCCATCAAATGATGAACAAAATATATATGTACACACACACAATGGAATATCATTCTGCCTTCAAAAGGAATGAAAATCTGATACGTGACCCAACATGGATGAACTTGAAGGCATTACGCTAAGTCAAATAAGTCAGACACAAAAAGACAAATATTGTATGATTCCATTTATATGAGGTACCTACAGTAGTCAAATTCACAGAGACAGAAAGAACAGTGGTTACCAAGGCTAGGGGGAGGGAGGAATGTGGAGTTACTGTTTAATGGGTACAGAGTTTCAGTGTGAGGTGATGAAAAGGTTCTGGAAATGGATAGTGATGACAGTTGCACAACCTGTGTAAATATACTTAATGTCACTGAACTGTGCAATTAAAAATAGATAAAATGGTAAAGTTTATATTTATTTTAACACATTTTAGAAAGAAAGAAAGGCATTCTATAGTTCAGTGTGGACCCTGCTAAGCCACCCTCAACTTGTCCTTGTTACCTGCCTGGCTCTGTATTGAATTTTTTTTTTTTTTTTTTTTTTTTTTTTTTTTGAGACAGGGTCTCACTCTGTCTCCTAGACTCCTAGACTGGAGTGCAGTGGCACCATCATAGCTCACTGCAGCCTCCAACGATCCTCCTGCCTCAGCCTCTCAAGTAGTTAGGATTACAAGTGTGTGCCACAATGCCTCGCTAATTTTTAAAATTTTTATAGAGATGGGGTCTTGCCGTGTTGTCCAGGCTCGTCTCAAACTCCTGGCCTCAAGCAATCCTCCCATCTTGACCTCCCAAAATGCTAGAATTACAGGTGTGAGCCACTGTATGGCCTGTATCTTGAATTTTCACCTCCTACATGCTTGCCTCTGTATCTTCAATTTTCAGTCATTTCTGGATAGTCTCAGGTTCTGATGAAGGATAAACCACCAGCCCCACAATGATAACTGCCATGTACTGCTGAGAACCTAGAAGCTGAGACTCAAAAGAGATTAACTGACTTCTCCCAGGTCACATAATCAAGCAGAAACAGGATCAAACACCTGCACCTGCCAGGACCCCCAAACCCTGTGTGCACCCCCAAACCCTGATGCAACCATCAGAACTTCATCACAGCAATCCCTTTGTAACAACCTGCCAAGCTCCTGCTGCTGGAGGCACTGGACTCTGAAACCACATAGAAAGAGACATTGGGCTTAAAGTGGCATCCTTACAGGACAAGGCTAGCACTTTCCCATCATTTCATCAAGATTGGGCAAAGGGCCTGGTCTCTTTGCAACTGGGACTCAGGGTGTGATGACAGACCTTCTGCCTCTAGAAGAATGCACTTAGCAGAAGACGGGCTTTCCCAATAGACTTAGAGTTTTGGAGGACTGTTATGGAATAGAAAGAAGGGAGGGACTGTTCTGGATCAGCAAGATTGACCAAAGAAAGGTTGGCACGAGGAACAGCCTAGGAGAAAAGTAATCTGGTGTGACAGGAAAGGTGAGAATGGAAGGAGAGAGGCAGAGATGGCTCAGACTCAAAGTTTGATGAGTGAGAACAGGATCCAGTGAGAAGAGCAGAGAGAAAGTCAAGGCGGATATGGGCTCGGGGAGGAGACTTGCATTTAGGAAAGAGTGGAGGGCATGAAAGTAGGAGGGGGCCCAGTGAAAGGTAGGAGTCTCAGAGCAGGTAGGGAGGAGGCTATGAAAGAGGAGTCAGGGAGGCCCCATAAATGACTTAGTTACCATTTATTCAGATGGGCCCAAATACCACCTAGCTTCTGCAGGGCTCCAGGCCCTCTCATCCTTGGATCTCCCAGTCATGACCCCTCCCCAGGCAGGTTCTTCTAACTACAGGTTTGTGGGCAATGCAAGCACAAAGGTAGCAAGGCCAGCCAGCTGCAACTTTTTAACTTTACCAATGCATCATAACTATTTTCCTGGTCAATAAATATAAATCTAATTCATCATTTTTCAATGTAACACATCACAGAAATACAATAAAAGGCATGCTATATTTAACTACTCCCATGTTGACAGACATTTGCTATCTTGCACAATGCTGCAATAAGGATCTTTAAGATTATTCTTATCTACTAATTCTGTACAGTGGAGTTCCTAAACTGATTATTGGGCAAATTGAATGGTATATTGAGATTTTTCTTTAACCCATCTTTAATGTTTGTTTATTTATCATGTAAAGCAAAAGGGGAGATATTCTGCTTTGGTTAGGATATGGAATTAGCTATATATAACAAAAACCTCAAGTAACTGTGACTTACATAGATATAATTTTATTTATCTTTCCACCTAACAGTCTGGAGGTGGTCATTCCAGGTGGGCACTAGTGGACACTAGTTTAGTAGTCTACGCTAGTAGGAAACCACTGTGTGAAACTATCCAAGAATCTAGCTTCCTCTTGCCCTAACATTGGTCTAAGATGACCCATTACCATCTTCCAGGCAGCAGGAGAGGGGAAAGGGAGAAGATGGGCACACTCTCTTCTTTTCAGGACACCCCTCGGAGGTTGCCTGTATCATTTCCACTCACAGCCCATTGGCCTGAACTTAGTCACATAATTCCGCCTATCTAAAAGGAAGGCTGGTGTGTTAGTCCGTTCTCAAACTGCTATAAAGAACTACCTGAGACTGGGTAATATATAAAGAAAAGAGGTTTAATCAACTCACAGTTCCACAGACTATATGGGAGGCATGACTGGGGAGGCCTCATGAAACTTACAATAATGGAAGAAGGGCAAGAGGGAAGCAGCAAAATCTTCACATGATGGCAGGAGAGAGAGAGCAAAGGGGGAAGTGCCACACACTTTTAAACAACCAGAGGCCTCATGAGAGCTCATTCACTGTCACAAGAACAGCAAGGGAGAAATTTGCCACCATGATCCAATCACCCCCCACCAGCCCCCTCCTGCAACACTAGGGATTACAATTCAGCATGAGATTTGGGTGGGAACACAAAGCAAAACCATATTTTTCCACCCCAACCCCTCCCAAATCTCATGTCCTTGTCACATTTCAAAATCAATCATGCCTTCCCATCAGTCCCCACAAGTCCAAAGTCTTATCTGAGACAAGGCAAGTCCCTTCCACCTATGAGCCTGTAAAATCAAAAATGAGTTCATTACTTCCAAGATACAATGGGGATACAGTCATTGGGTAAGTGCTCCTGCTCCAAAAGATAGAAATTGGCCAAAACAAAGGAGCTACAGGTCCCATGCAAGTCCAAAACCCAGCAGAGAAGTCATTAAATTTTAGAGCTCCAAAATAATCTCCTTTGACTCCATGTCTCACATCCAGGGCACACTAATGCAAGGGGTGGGCTCCCAAGGCCTTAGGCAGCTATGCTCATGTAACTCTGCAGGGCTCAGCTCCCACAGTTGCTCTCAAGAGTTGGCATTGAGTAGGCCTGTGGCTTTTCCAGGCACACAGTGCAAGCTGTTGGTGGATCTACCATTCTGGGATCTGGAGGACGGTGGCCATCTTCTCACAGCTCCACTAGGCAGTGCCCCAGTGGGGAAACAGTGTGGGAGCTCCAACTCCACATTTTCCTTCTGCACTGCCCTAGTAGAGGTTCTCCATGAAGACGCTGCCCCTGCAGCAGACTTCTGTCTGGATATCCAGGCATTTCTATACATCCTCTGAAATCTAGGCAGAGGCTCTCAAACCTCAACTCTTGCCTTCTGTGCACCTGGAAGCCCAATGCCACACAGAAGCCACCAAGGCTTGGGGCTTGCACCCTCTAAAGCAATGGCCCATGCTATACTTTGGACCCTTTAGCCAAGGCTGGAGCTGGAGTGGCTGGGACACAGGGCGTCATGTCCCAAGGCTGCACAGAGCAGTGGGGCCCTGGACCTGGTGCACAAAACCATTTTTCCCTCCTAGGCCTCCAGGCCTGTGATGGGAGGGGCTGCCATGAAGGTCTCTGAAGTGCCCTGGAGGCACTTTCCCCGTTGTCTTGGCTATTAACATTTGGCTTCTCTTTACTTATGCACATTTCTGCAGCAGGCTTGAATTTCTCCCAAGAAAATGGGTTTTTCTTTCCTACAACATGGTCAGGCTGAAAATTTTCCAAACTTTTATGCTCTGCTTCTCTTTTAAATATGCTCTGCTTCTCTTCTCATTTGCTTATGCAAATGAACATAGGCTTTTAGAAGCAGCCAGACCACCTCTTGAATGCTTTGATGCTTATTAATTTCTTTCAGCAGATACCCTAAATCATCTCAAGTTCACAGTTCCACAGATCCTTAGAGCAAGGGCACAATGCTGCCAGTCTCTTTCTAAAGCATAGCAACAGTGACCTTTGCTTCACTTCCCAGTAAGTCCCTCATCTCCATCAGAGACCATCTCAGCCTGGACTTCGTTGTCCATATAACTATCAGCATTGTGGTCAAAACCAATCAACAAGTCTCTAAGAAGTTCCAAACTTTCCCTCATCTTCCTGTCTTCTTCTGAGCCCTCCAAAGTGTTCCAATCTCTGTCTGTTACCCAGTTTCAAAATTGCTTCCACATTTTCAGGTATCTTTATAATAATGCCCCAATTCTCCTGGTATGAGTTTTCTGTGTTAGTCAGTTCTCACACAGCTATAAAGAACTACCTCAGACTAGGTAATTTATAAAGAAAAGAGTTTTAATAGACTCACAGTTCCACAGGCTATACAGGAGGCATGGTTCGGGAGGCCTCAGGAAGCTTACAATCATGGCAGAAGGGTGGAGGATAAATGAGCATGTCTTCGCATTGCGGCAGGAGAGAGAGAGCAAAGGGAGAAGTGCTGCACACTTTTAAACAACCAGATTTCGTGGGAACTCACTCATGATCATGGGAACAGCAGTGGGAAATCTGCCTCATGAGCCAATCACCTCCCACCAGGTCCCTCCCCCAAGACTGAGGATTACAGTTCAACATGAGATTTGGCTGGGGACACAGAGCCAAACCATATTAGCTGGAAAAAATAATAATACTTATTCTGGATGGCTAGCACCAGGATGGCCAAGGAGAGATTAGATAATGAGAAACTCTATGATAAGATCTTCCAAAATAATAGTCAATTATACTAGCAACACATAAACCACTTCCCATTGAATTAAAATGCCATCCTTGCCTTTGCTAAGTTCCACATATAATTACATTCATTTAAGAACACTAATTTTTCTTGCAATATTGGTCACTGCAAGGAAAATCTGTGTGTTTTTGCTTTGTAAGATTTGTGTGTTTTTGCTTTGCAAGCCCAGCACTAGGTTTTGGGAAATGACTGTATTGTGAAAGGAAATCAGAATTCTTTCTGAGCCTCTTTCATTGTCCCTAATATAATGACTTCCAGAAAATTGTGTATCTGGAATCAAAGAGATTTAACAGCAAGACTCCAGGTTTTCAAAATATAATCGCTTTTTAAATGCTCATGTTTTAAAATGTTCAGTTCTTTGGATTAAATGTTCAGTTCTTTGGATGAAAGATGCTATATTCCCTCGGTGTAAATGAATAAAAAGATTATAAAAAGAAACCCACTAATCTGTCCCACTATTATACTAAAACAACTTGGTAATAATTAACTGGTATTATTGTATTATTCTATAATTGATTATTAGTAATTTACCTTTTAACTACTTGATTGAAGATTAACTTGACCTGTAAAACGAACCTAAACAGTCAGACTTACTTTTTCAAAACTGGTTTGTCACCCAGGTGCAGTGGCTCACACCTATAATGCCAGCACTTAGGGAGGCCAAGGCAGAAGGATCAATTCAGTTCAGGAGTTTGAGACCATCCTGGGCAACATAGGGAGACCTCATCTCTATTTAAAAAAAAAAATTAAAATCAGGGAAAATGGAAGCTAGGAGACAGAGCTAATGTGCAGCTCCCACATGGATGGACAGAACAGCATGTGGAGACTCACACCATGATCTTTTGCTCTAAGAACCATGGCAGGAACATACCAGGAAAAGCGAAAAAATTCACAGAGCCTTTGAAAGAAGCAGCACGCCAATGCAAATTTCATGAAACAGGCAAAAAAACTGTGAGTTCCCAAAGTGTGAGAAAGGGAAAACTTACCTCTGAATACACATCCCCACTGGGGAATCCGAAAATCCAGATCACAGGAGAAGAATTTAACCTTACCTAGAGATTAAATGGATTTAGGGATTCACACAAAGTAGAAAAGTAGAAGTAGCATTGGGAAGTGCCTTGGATGTACTCCAAGTCTCCAGCTCAACCCCAGGGAAGCCATCCCTGAGTATATCTTACAGAGGCCCTCAAGGAAGGCAGCCAGTGGAATTGGGGAAGGGCCACAGGGTGAAGAAACCTCCCAAGTGAAATTGGTAGTGGTTTCAACTGGGCACAAATTTTCTTGAGTGGAGTCCAGGTGATGAGTGGGAGGTGTTGTGGATACAAGGTGCTGCCAATGAAGTAGGCAGATGGAGAGAGGCGAGGTCTGAAAGCCGTGCTTGCTTTCTCAGTGGGGTAAGCTCACAGCCTGGGGCAAGGTCTGAATGGTCCACTGCAGAAGAGAGGCTGGCCTGACCAATGGTGTGGGAGCTGGGTCAGGCCTCTTGCTACCAGCTATCTCCTACTACCCTGGCAAACTATATGATACAGTGGAGGTAGCCAAAATCCTCTTGGGAACATAACCCCATTGGCCTGAGAACTATCCTCCATCACTCACAGTGGCTGCAGCAAGCCCCACCCAAGGAGAATCTGAGCCTAGACCCTCTTAACTCTGCCCCAACCTGATGGTATTTTCCTACTTGCCCTGGTAGTTGAACACAAAACTCAGAAACTCTTGGGAGCTTTATGGCCCTGCCAATCACCTGAGTATCCAAAATACTTACCCTGACCATCTTAGGGCAAGCTTAGAGCCCCCTACGACTACTGCAGCTGGTGCTCTCTTGAAAGCACCATCTCCTGGCTAGAGGCCAACCAACTCAGGCCACCACAGTAACTCATGACAGAATAACCCTGATCCCAGGAAGGAAAAGACAACACCTAATTCCACTTCCTGAAACATCCTGGCTAACCAAAGGTCCTGTGTGTGTTCATGTGACAACTTTACCACTAGTGTAACCAGCATTACAGAAAGCCAGCACACTAAACATATCTACAACCAAGGACTTTCATAGAGTCTACCTCACTCCCCTGCCACCTCCACCAGAGAAGGTGCTGCGATCCAAGGATGGGAGACCTGAAGAAAGACCACATCACAGAACTCTGCAGACATTCCCCAGCACCAGCACATAGCCTGGTAGCTCCACTGGGTGGCTAGGCCTAGAAGAGCAGTAAGAATCACTATAGTCCAGCTCTTAGGAAGCCCCAGTCCTAGGGGAAAGGGAAGAGCACCACATCTAAGGATCACACCATGGGATAAGAGAATCTGAACAGCAGGCCTTGAGTTTCAGATTTCTTCACTGAAATAGTCTACCCAAATGAGAAAAGAACAGAAAAGCAATTCTGGTAATATGACAAAACAGGGCTCTATAATACCCCCAATGATCACACCAGCTCCCCAGCAATGGATGCAAGCCAAGAAGAAATCTCTGAATTGCCAGATAAAGAACTCAGAAGGGTGATTATTAAGCTACTCAAGGAAATGCCAGAGAAAGGTGAAAACCAACTTAAAGAAATTTAAAAAGCAATACAGGATATGAATGAAAAATTCTCCAGAGAAATGATGTCACAATGAAAAAAATCACTTCTGGAAATGAAAGATACACTTAAAGAAACACAAAATGCATTGGAAAGGTCAACAATAGACTAGAGCAAGTAGAAGAAAGAACTTCAGACCTCAAAGACAAGGCTTCTGAATTAACCCAATCAGACGAAGACAAAGAAAAAAAGAAGTTAAAAATGAACAAACCCTCCCAACAGCTAAACCTAAGAATAACTGATGTTCCTGAGGAAGAAGTGAAATCTAAAAATCTGGAAAACTTGTTTGAGGGAATAATTGAGAAAACTTCCCTGGTCTTGCTAGAGATCTAGGCATCCAAATACAAGAAGCTCAAGGAACACCTGGGAAATTCATCACAAAAAGATCATCACCTAAGCACATAATCATCAGGTTGTCTAAAGTCAAGAATGTTAAGGAAAGGATCTTACGAGCTGTGAGGCAAAAGTATTAGGTAGCCTGTGTAGGAAAACTTTTCAGACTTCTCAGCAGAAACCTGATAAGCCAGAAGGTACTGGGGACCCATCTTTAGCCTCCTGAAACAAAATAATTTTCAGCCAAGAATTTTGTATTCAGTAAAACTAAGCTTCATAAATGAAGGAAAGATAAAGTCTTTTTTCAGACAAACAAATGCTGACAGAATTTGTCACCACTAAACCAGCACTACAAGAAATGCTTAAATGAGCTCTAAATCTTAAAACAAAAGCTCAAAATACACCAAAATATTAATAGAACCTCCTTAAATCATAAATCTCACAGGGCCTATAAAACAATAATACAGTGGGGAAAAAAACAAGGTATTAAGGCAACAACTAATACGATGAATAGAACATCAGTACCTCACATCTCAATACTAACATTGAATGTAAATGGCCCAAATGCTCCACTTAGAAGATACAGAATGGCAGAATGGATAAAAATACACCAACCAACTATCTGCTGCCTTCAAGAGACTCACCTAACACATAAAAACTCACATAAACTTAAGGTAAAGGGATGGAAAAAGACGTTTTACATCAATGGAATCCAAAAGGGAGCAGGAGTAGCTATTCTTGTATCAGACAAAACAGACTTTAAAGTAACAACAGTTTAAAAAGACAAAGAAGGACATTATATAATGATAAAAGGCCTTGTCCAACAGGAAAATACCACAATCCTAACTATATAT
This sequence comes from Homo sapiens, assembly GCF_000001405.40. Taxonomy (NCBI): domain Eukaryota; kingdom Metazoa; phylum Chordata; class Mammalia; order Primates; family Hominidae; genus Homo; species Homo sapiens. The sequence goes on from NC_000011.10 coordinate 129,800,241, forward strand.
GCATCTAACACTGGAGCTCCCAAATTTATAAAACAATTACTACTAGACCTAAAAAACAAGACAGACAGCAACACAATAATAGTGGGGGACTTCAGTACTCCACTGACAACACTAGACAGGTCGTCAAGACCAAAAGTCAACAAAGAAACAATGGACTTAAGTCCATTTGCACCAAGGTATAGTTTAACAGATATTTACAGAACATTCTATCCAACAACTGCAGAATATACATTCTTTTCTTCAGCACATGGAACATTCTCCAAGATAGACCATATAATAGGTCACAAAACAAGTCTCAGTAAGTTTTTAAAAATCAAAATTATATCAAGTATCCTCTCAGACCACAGTGGAATAAAACTGAAAACTCCAAAAAGAACCCTCAAAAGTATAAAAAATACATGTAAATTAAATAATCTGCTCTTGAATTATCTTTGGGTCAACAGTAAAATCAAGATGGAAATTTAAAAATTATTTGAGCTGAATAATAGTGACACAACTTTTCAAAACCTCTGGGATACAGCAAAAGTGTTGCTAAGAGAAAAGTTCAGAGCATTAAACACCTACATCAAAAAGGATGAAAGAATGCAAATAGACAATCTAAGGTCACACTTCAAAGAACTAGAGAAACAAGAACAAACAAAAAAAAACTCAGCAGAAGAAAAGAAATAACAAAGATGGGAGAACTAAATGAAATTTAAACTAAAAAAAATAAATGGAACAAAAAGCTGGTTCTTTGAAAAGAGAAACAAAACTGCTAGAACATGAGCAAGATTAACCAAGAAAATAAGAGAGAAAAAATCCAAACAAGCTCAATTAGAAATAAAATGAGAGATATTACAACTGATACCACAGAAATATGAAAGACCATTTAAGGCTACTATGAACACCTTTACACACACAAACTAGAAAATCTAGTGGAGATGGATAAACTCCTGGAAATATACCACCCTCCTAGGTTAAATCAGGAAGAAATAGAACTCTGAACAGGCCAATTACAAGTAGCAAGATTGAAACACTAATTTTAAAATTGCCATACAGGCATGGTGGCTCACAACTGTAATCTCAGCACTTTGGGAGGCCGAGGCAGGTGGATCACCTGAGGTCAGGAGTTCGAGACCAGCCTGACCAAAATGGTGAAACCCCATCTCTACTAAAAATACAAAAAATTAGCCTGGTATGGTGGCAAGCACCTGTAATCCCAGTTACTCAGTAGGCTGCGGCAGGAGAATCCCTTGAACTCAGGAGGCAGACATTGCAGTGAGCCAAGGTCACACCATCGCACTCCAGCCTAGGCAACAAGAGCGAAACTCCGTCTCAAAAAAAAAAAAAAAATTGCCAACAAAGTCAGGTGTGGTGGCTCACAGTAATCCCAACACTCTGGGAGGCCGAGGTGGGTGGATCACTAGGTCAAGAGTTCAAGACCAGCCTGGCCAACATGGTGAAACACAGTCTCTACTAAAAATACAAAAAAAATAGCTGGGTGTGGTGGCACGCACCTATAATCCCAAGTATTTGGGAGGCCGAGGCAGGAGAATTGCTTGAACCCAGGAGGCAGATGTCACAGTGAGCCAAGATCATGCCACACTGTGTCCAGAATTGGTTCTTTCCGCTGGGTTCTTGGTCTCACTGACGTCAAGAATGAAGGCGCGGACCCTCATGGTGAGTGCTACAGTTCTTAAAGATGGTGTGTCCGGAGTTTGTTCCTTCAGATCTTCAGATGTGTCTGGAGTTTCTTCCTTCCAGTGGGTTTGCGGTCTTGCCAACTTCAGGAGTGAAGCTGCAGACCTTCGCGATGAGTGTTACAGCTCTTAAAGGTGGTGCGACTGGAGTTTTTTGTTCCTCCTGGTGGGTTCATGGTCTCACTGACTTCAGGAGTGAAGCTGCAGACCTTCGTAGTGAGTGTTACAGCTCATAAAGGTGGTGCATCCGGAGTTACTTGTTCCTCCCGGTGGGTTCATGGTCTTGCTGACTTCAGGAGTGAAGCACAGACCTTCGCAGTGAGTGTTACAGCTCATAAAGGTAGTGTGGCCCCAAAGAGTGAGCAGCAGCAAGATTTATTGTGAAGAGCGAAAGAACAAAGCTTCCACAGCATAGAAGGGGACCTGAGCGGGTTGCCGCTGCTGGCTTGGGTGGCCAGCTTTTATTCCCTTATTTGGCCCCACTCACTTCCTGCTGATTGGTCCATTTTACAGAGTGCTGATTGGTCCATTTTACAGAGTGCTGATCAGTCTGTTTTTACAGAGTGCTGATTGGTGCGTTTACAAACATTTAGCTAGACACAGAGCGCTGATTGGTGCATTTACAAACCTTTAGCTAGACAGAAAAGTTCTCCAAGGCCCCACCCGACCCAGGAGCCCAGACAGCTTCACCTCTCAACAGCACTCCAGCCTGGGTGACAGAGCAAGACTCCATCTCGGAAAAAAAAAAAAAAATTGCCAATGAAAAAAGTCCAGGATCAGATGGATTCACAGTTGAATTCTATCAGACATTCAAAGCAGAATTGGTATCAATCTTACTGAAAATATTCCAAAAGATAGAGAAAGAGGGAATACTCCCTAAATCATTCTATGAAGTCAGTATCACCCTAATTCCAAAACCAGTTAAGGATATAACAAACAAACAAAAAAGAAAGAAAAGAAAACTATAGACCAATATCTCTGATGAACATAGATGCAAAAATCCTCAACAAAATAGTAGCTAACCGAATCCAACAGCATTATCAAAAAGATAATACAGGGGGATTTTGGGATCATGGCAGATGGGGGGCAGGACTAGATTGCAGCTCCAAACAAGGCAGCATGCAGAGGCTTGCATTGTGAATTTTAGCCCAGATTGACTGCAAGAAAAAAACAGCAATCCTTAGAAGACCCAAAGACCCTCTGAAGGAAGCAGACTGCTCCTGTGGGAGCCAGGAGACACCCTAAATACTGTGAGTGCCCCAACTGCATAAGTGAGAAGGGAGATTCTCCTTTCCCAAACACACACCCCCACTAGAGAAGATGAAGGTCTGTTTGCAAGAGAAGTTTCCAACTTTACCTGGAGCTGAGTCAAGTTAGAGAGCTGAGCGAAATACAGGGGTACAGGAAGCACCAGAAAGGCGCTGGGAGCTCACTAGGTCCCCAAGCAGCCCATTCCTGCCTGACACCACAGGAATCCATCGGGAGGGTGGCCAGAGGAGCAGGCGGTTAAACTCCACAAGGAGAAGGAAATCTCTAGCTGAACTTTGTAACAATTTGAAAGGGGTGAGAAGCCTCCTAGCCAGAACTTGTGGGAGGGCATGAATCTGGTGCACAGACTTCACAGGCAAGGGGAAGAACTAAAGCCATTTTCTTTCACAGCTGGGAGGCACAAAGCCTCCAGTAAGTTTTCAAGTCCATCCCGCCCTCTGCCTGGAAACAGACTCAGGGCTGTTGTGGGAGGCACAGTAGGAATGAGAGTGGCCCTTCGGTTTATATGGGAGCTGGGTGAGACCTGTGACTGCTGGCTTTCCCCCACTTCCCTGACAACCTGCATGACTCAGCAGAGGCAGCCATAATCCTCCTAGGTACACAGCTCCAATGACCTGGGAATCTCACTCCCATCCCCCACAGCAGCCACAGCAAGACCCGCCCAAGGAGAGTCTCAGCTCATCACACCAAGCCTCGCCTCCACCTGATAGTCCTTCCCAATCCACCCTAGTAGCAGAAGACAAAGAGAATTTAATCTTGGGACTTCTAGGGTCCCACCCACCACCAGTCCCTCTCCACACTACTACAGCTGATGCTTTCTGGAAAATGCCACCTCCTGGCAGGAGGCCAACCAGCACAAAAATAGAGCATTAAACCATCAAAACTAAGGACCCTAACGGAGTCCATTGCATCCTCCACCACCTCCACTGCAACAGGCGCTGGTATCTGCAGCTGAGAGACCTATAGACAGTTCACATCACAGGACTGTGTGCAGACAACACCCAGTACCAGCTTGGAACTGGGCAGACTCGCTGGGTGGCTAGACTCAGAAGAGAAACAACAATTACTGCAGTTTGGCTCACAGGAAGTCACATCCACAGGAAAAGGGGGTGAGCACTACATCAAGAGAACACCCCATGGGACAAAAAAATCTGAACAACAGCCTTCAGCCCTAGACCTTCCCTCTGACAGAGCCTACCCAAATGAGAAGGAACCAGAAAACCAACCCTGGTAATATGACAAAACAAGGTGCTTTGACACCCCCCAAATATCACAGTAGTTCACCAGTAATGGATCCAAACCAAGAAGAAATCCCTGATTTACCTGAAAAAGAACTCAGGAAGTTAGTTATTAAGCTAATCAGAGAGGGACCAGAGAAAGGCAAATCCCAGTACAAGGATATCCAAAATATGATACAAGAAGTGAAGGGAGAAATATTCAAGGAAATAAAGAAAAAAACAGTCAAAAATTCAGGAAATTTTGGACACACTTTTAGAAATGTGAAATGCTCTGGAAAGTTTCAGCAATAGAATTGAACAAGTAGAAGAAAGAAATTCAGAACTCAAAGACAAGGTCTTTGAATTAACCCAATCCATCAAAGTCAAAGAAGAAAGAGTAAGAAAATATGAACAAAGCCTCCAAGAAGTATGAGATTATGTTAAACAACCAAACCTAAGAATAACCAGTGCTCCTGAGGAAGAAGACAATTCTAAAAGCTTGGAAAGCTTATTTACGGGAATAATCAAGGAAAACTTCCCCAGCCTTGCTAAAGACCTAGACGTGCAAATACAAGAAGCACAAAAAACACCAGGGAAATTCATCGCAAAAACATCTTTATCTAGGCATATTTTCATCAGGTTATCCAAAGTTAAGACAAAGGAAAGAATCTTAAGAGCTGTGAGACAGATGCACCAGGTTACCTATTAAGGAAAACCTATCAGATTAACAGCAGATTTCTCAGAAGAAACCCTACAAGCTAGAAGGGATTGGGACCCTATCTTCGGCCTCCTCAAACAAAACGATTGCCAAGAATTTTGTAGCCAGCAAAACTAATCATCATATATGAAGAAAAGATATAGTCATTTTCAGACAAATGTTGAGAGAATTCGCCATTACCAAACCACCACTATATGAACTGCTAAAAGAAGCTCTAAACCTCAAAACAAATCCTGGAAACACATCAAAACAGAACCTCTTTAAAGCATAAATCACGCAGGACCTAAAAAAACAAAAATACAAGCTAAAAAGCAAAAACAAAGTACTGAAGCAACAAAGAGCATGATGAATGCAATGGTACCTCACATTTCAATACTAACATTGAATGTAAATGGCCTATGTACTCCACTTAAAAAATACAGAACCACGGAATGGATAGGAACTCACCAACCTTCTGCTGCCTTCAGGAGACTCACCTAAAGGTTAAACATAAGGACTCATATAAACAAAGTAAAGGGGTGGGAAAAGGCATTTTGTGCAAAGTAAATGGACACCAAAAACAAGCAAAACAAACTTTAAAGCAACAGCAGTTAAGAAGGACATTATGTAATGGTAAAAGGTCTTGTCCAACAGAAAAATATCACAATCTTAAACATATATGCACCTAACACTGGAGCTCCCAAATTTATAAAACAATTACTACTAGACCTAAGAAATGAGATAGCAACACAGTAATAGTGGAGGTCTCCAATACTCCACTGACAGTACTAAACAGGTCATCAAGACAGAAAAATCAACAAAGAAACAATGGATTTAAACTATACCTTGGAACAAATGGACTTAACAGATATACACAGAACATTTCATCCAACAACCGCAGAATACACATTCTGTTCAACACATGGAACTTTCTCCAAACCAAACCATGTGACAGGCCATAAAACAAGCCTCAATAAATTTAAGAAATTGAAATTATATCAAGCACTCTCTCAGACCACAGTGGAATAAAACTGGAAATCAACTCCAAAAGGAACATTCAAAACCAAGCAAATACATGGAAATTACATAACCTGCTCCTGAATGAGAACTGGGTCAAAAACAAAATCAAGATGGAAACTAAAAAATTCTTTGAACTGAATGACAATAATGACACAACCTATCAAAACCTCTAGGATACAGCTAAGGTGGTGCTAAGAGGAAAGTTCATAGCCCTAAACGCCTATATCAAAAAGTCTGAAAGAGCACAAACAGACAATCTAAGGTCACACCTCAAGGAACTAGTGAAACAAGAACAAACCAAACTGAAACCCAGCAGAAAAAAGAAATAACCAAGATCACAGCAGCACTAAATGAAATTTCAACAAAAAAATACAAAAGATAAATGAAACAAGAAGCTGGTTTGTTGAAAAGATAAATAAAATTGATAGACTATTAGCAAGATTAACCAAGAAAAGAAGAAAGAAAATCCAAATAACCTCACTAAGAAACAAAACAGGATATACTACAACTGAAATACAACAACCACTGAAATACAAAAGATCATTCAAGGCTACTATCAACACCTCTACACACATGTACTAGAAAACCTAGAAGAAATGGATAAATTCCTGGAAAAATACAACTCTCCTAGCTTAAATCAGGAAGAATTAGATACCCTGAACAGAACAAAACACGCAGTGAGATTAAAATGGTAATTTTAAAATTATCAAGAAAAAAAGTCCAGGACCAGGCGGATTCACAGCAGAATTCTACCAGATATTCAAATAATTGGTAGCAATCCTTCTGACACACTTCCACAAGACAGAGAAAAAAGGAACCCTCCCTAATTCATTCTGTGAAGCCAGCCTTACCCTAATGCCAAAACCAGGAAATGACACAACCAAAAAAGAAAAGTACAGATCAATATCCCTGATGAACATAGATGCTAAAATCCTTAACAAAATACTAGCTAACTGAATCCAACAACATATCAAAAAGATAATCCATAATAATCAAGTGGGTTTCATACCAAGGATGCAGGGACCATTTAACATATACACATCAATAAATGTGATACACCACATAAACAGAATTAAAAACAAAAATCACACAATCATCTCAATAGATGCAGAAAAAAATGATTCAACAAAATCTAGCACCCCTTTGTGTCTAAAACTCTCAGCAACATCAGCATACAAGGAACATACCTCAAAGTAATAAAAGCCATCTATGACAAACCCACAGCCAATATAATACTGAAAAGGGAAAAGTTGAAAGCATTCGCTCTGAGAACAGGAATAAGACAAGGATGCCCACTCTCACCACTCCTCTTCAACATAGTACTGGAAGTCTAGCCAGAGCAATCAGACGAGAGAATGAAATAAAGGGTAGCCAAATCAGTAAAGAGGAAGTCAAACTGTCACTGTTTGCCTTGAAAACCCTAAAGACTCCTCCAGAAAGCTCCTAGAACTGACAAAAGAATTCAGCCAAAAGAATCTTGTTTTTGGATACAAGATTAATGTACATAAATCAGTAGCTCTTCTATACACCAACAGTGACCAAGCAGAGAATCAAATCAAGAACTCAACCCCTTTTCCAACTGCAAAAAAAAAAAACCTTAGGAATATACCTAACAAAGGATTCAAAAAACCTCTACAAGGAAAACTACAAAACACTGCTGAAAAAAATCATAGATGACACCAACAAATGGAAACACATCCCATGCTCATGAATGGGTAGGATCAATATTGTGAAAATGACCACACTACCAAAAGTAATTACAAATTCAGTGTAATCCCCATCAAAATACCACCATCATTCTTCACAGAACTAGAAAAAAATTCTAAAATTCATATGGAACCAAGAGAGCCCACATAACCAAAGCAAGACTAAGCAAAAAGAACAAATCTGGAGGCATCACACTACCTGATTTCAAACTATACTATAAGGCCATAGTCCCCAAAACAGCATGGTACTGGCATAAAAATAGGCACTAGACCAAATGAACAGAATAGAAAACCCAGGAATAAACCAAAATACTTAGGGCCAACTGATCTTTGACAAAGCAAGCAAAAACACAAAAGTAGGAAAAGGATACTCTATTCAACAAATGATGCTGGGATAATTGGCAAGCCACATATAGGAGAATTAAACTGGATCCTCATCTCTCACCTTAAACAAAAATCACTCAAGATGGATCATGGACTTTAAGACTTGAAACTATAAAAATTATAGAAGATAACATTGGAAAAACCCTTATAGACATTGGCTTAGGCAAGGATTTCATGACCAAGAACCGGAAAGCAAATGCAATAAAAACAAAGATAAATAGCTGGGAGCTAATTAAACTAAAGAGCTTGTGCACAGCAAAAGGAACAGTCAGCAGAGTAAAAAAACCCACAGAGTGGTACAAAATCTTCACAACCTATACATCTGACAAAGGGCTAACATCCAGAATCTACAACAAACTCAAATCAGTAAGAAAAAAACAGCCGGGTGTGGTGGCTCACACCTGTAATCCCAACACTTTGGGAGGCTGAGGTGGGCAGATCACCTGAGGTCAGGAGTTCCAGACTAGCCTGACCAACATGGTGAAACCCTGTATCTACTAAAAACACAAAATTAGCCAGGCGTGGTGGCAGGTGCCTGTAATCCCAGCTACTTGGGAGGCTGAGGCAGGAGAATCGCTTAAACCTGGGAGGCAGAGGTTGCAGTGAGCTGAGATCTCACCATTGCACTCCAGCCTGGGCAACAAGAGCGAGAGACTGTCTCAAAAAACAAACAAACAAACAATCCCATCAAAAAGTGGACTAAGGACATGAACAGACAATTCTCAAAAGAAGATATACAAATGTCCAACAAACACATTAAAAAATGCTCACCACCACTAATGATTAGGGAAACGCAAATCAAAACCACAATGAGATACCACCTCACTCCTGCAAGAATGGCCATAATCAAAAAAACAGTAGACGTTGGTGTGGATGCAGTGAACCAGTAACACTTCCACACTGCTGGTGGGAATGTATACTAGTACAACCACTATGGAAAACAGTGTGGAAATTCCTTAAAGAACTAAAAGAATTATCATTTGATCTCGCAATCCCAGTACTAGGTATCTACCCAGAGGAAAAGAAGTCATTATTTGAAAAAGATACTTGCACATGCATGTTTATAGCAGCACAATTTACAATTGCAAAATTGTGGAACCAACTCAAATGCTATCAACGAGTGGATTAAAAAAACTGTGGTGTGTGTATATATATATATATATATATATACACACACACACACACACATATACACGTATACATATATATACATATATACGTGTATATATACATATGTGTGTGTGTGTATATATATATATGTGTGTGAGTATATGTGTGTGTGTGTGTGTGTGTGTGTGATGGAATACTACACAGCCACGAAAACGAATGAATTAACAGCATTTGCAGTGACCTGGATGAGACTGGAGATTATAATTCTAAGTGAAGTAACTCAGGAATGGAAAACCAAACATCTTATGTTCTCACTGATATGTGGGAGTTAGCTATGAGGATGCGAAGGCACAGAATGATACCATGGACTTTGGGGGTTTGGGGAGAAAAATAGGAGGCAGTCAAGGGATAAAAGACTACAAATATGGTGCCTTGTATACTGCTCAGGTGATGAGTGCACCAAAATCTCACAAATCACCACTAAATAACTTACTCATGTAACCAAATACCACCAGCACCCCAATAACTTATAAAAAAAATTTTTTTAAAGATAATACAGCAATAGTCAAGTGGGTTTCATACCAGGAATGCAGGGATATACAAGTCAATAAATGTAATATATCCAGTAAACAGAATTAAAAACAAAACTCATATTATCCCAATCAACGCAGAAAAAGCATTTGACAAAATTCAGCATTGCTATATGATTAAAACCCTCAGAAAAATTGGCATGGAAGGGACATACCTCAAGGTAATAAAAGCTATCTGTGACCAACCGACAGCCAACATTATACTGAACAGGGAAAAGTTGAAAGCATTCCCCCTGAGAACTGGAACAAGCCAAGGATGCTCACTTTCACCACTTCTATTCAACATAGTACTGGAAGTCCTAGCCAGAGCAATCAGACATGAGAAAGAAATAAAGGGCATCCAAATCAGTAAAGAGGAAGTCAAACTATTGCAGTTCACTGATGATAAGATTGTATACCTAGAAAACTCTGAAGATTCATCCAAAAGGCTCCTAGATTGGATAAATGAATTCAGTAAAGTTTCAGGATACAAAAATCAATGTTCACAGGTCAGTAACACCACTAAATACCAACAGTGACCAAGATGAGACACAAATCAAGAACTCGATCCCTTTTACAACAGCTGCTATATGTATTATATATATTATATATTATAATGTTTTATTTTATAATATATAATATGTTATTTCAGCATTGCTTTATGATTAAAACCCTCAGAAAAATTGGCATGGAAGGGACATACCTCAAGGTAATAAAAACTATCTATGACACACACACATATATATATATATAAAACCAAGCAGGTGAAAGACCTCTACAAGGAAAACTACAAAACACTGCTGAAAGAAATCACTGATGACACAAACAAATGGAAACACATCCCATGCTCATGGGTAGATTCAATATTGTGAAAGCTGTCAAAAGCAATCTACACATTCAGTGCAACTCCTATCAAAGTACCATCATCATTCTTCACAGAACTAGAAAAAAAAATCTAAAATTCATATGGAACCAAAAAGGACCCCTCATAACCAAAGCAAGACTAAGCAAAAAAAAAAAAAAAAAAAAAAAAAAAAACATCTGGAGGCATCGCATTAACTGACTTCAAACTATCCTACAAGATTTATACCAGTACCAAAACAGCATGGTACCAATATAAAAATAGGCACATAGACCAATGGAACAGAATACAGAACCCAGAAATAAAGCCAAATACTTACAACCAACTCATCTTCAACAAAGAAAGCAAAAACACAAATAGGGAAGGGGCACCCTATTCAACAAATGGTGCTGGGATAACTGTCTAGCCACATACAGAAGAATGAAACTGGATCCTCATCTCTTACCTTATACAGACATCAACTCAAGATGGATCAAACACTTAAATGTAAGACCTGAAACCATAAAAACTTTAGAAAATAACGCTGGAAAAACTCTTCTAGACATTGGCTTAGGCAAAGATTTTAAGACCAAAAACCCCAAAGCAAATCTAACAAAAACAAAAATAAATAGATATTACCTAATGAAAACACTTCGGCACAGCAAAATAATCAGCAGTGTAAACAGACACCTCACTGAATGGGAGAAAATATTCAACTATGCGTCCTACAAAGGACTAATATGCAGAATCTACAAGGAACTCAAATCAGTAAGAAAAAAAGAAATAATCCCATCAAAAAGTGGGCAAAGAACATGAATAGACAGTTCTCAAAAGAAGATACACAAATGACTAACACATGAAAAAGAATGCTCAACATCACTAATTATCAGGGAAATGCAGATTAAAACCACAATGAAATACCACCTTACTTCTGCAAGACTGGCCATAATTTACAAAGTCAAAAAATAGTAGATGTTTGCATAGATGTGATGAAAAGGGCACTTTTACACTGATGGTGGGAATATAAACTAGTACATCCACTGTGGAAAACTTTATGGAGATTCCTTAAAGAACTAAAAGTAAAACTACCATTTGATCCAGCAGTCCCACTATTGAGTATATATCCAGAAGAAAAGAAGTCATTATATGAAAAAGCCACTTGCATCTGCATGTTTATAGGAGCAAAATACACAATTGCAAAAATATGGAACCAGCCTAAATGCCCCTCGACTGACAAGTGGATAAAGAAAATGTGATATATTTACACCATGGAATACTACTCAGCCATAAAAAGGACTGAAGTAATGGCATTTGCAGCAATTTGTACGGGAGTTGGAGACCACTATTCCAAGTGAAGTAACTCAGGAATGGGAAACCAAATATCGTGTATGTTCTCACTTATAAGGGTTTGCTGAACTATGAGGATGCAAAGGCATAAGAATGATATAATGGGCCGGGTGCAGTGGCTCACAACTGTAATCCCAGCACTTTGGGAGGCCAAGGCAGGCGGATCATGAAGTCAGGAGATTGAGACCATCCTGGCTAACATGGTGAAACCCTGTCTCTACTAAAAATACAAAAAATTAGTCGTCGTGGCACGCGCCTGTAGTCCCAGCTACTCAGAGGTCTGAGGCAGGAGAATCGCTTGAACTTGGGAGGCAGAGGTTGCAGTGAGCTGAGATTGCGCCACTGCACTCTAGCCAGGGCGACAGAGCAAGACTGTCTCAAAAAAAAAAAAAAAATACATACATACATACATATATATATATATATATATATATATATATATATATAATGGACTTTGGGGACTCAAGGGAAAGTGGGAGGAGGGTGAGGGATAAAAGACTATACATTGGGTACAGTGTACACTGCTCAGGTGATGAGTACACAAAAATCTCAGAAATCACCACTAAATAACTTATCCATGTAACAAAAAAATGACCTGTTCCCCAAAAACTATTGCAATTTTTAAAAATGTAAACATTAGCCATGCGTGTTGATGCACACCTGTAGTCCCAGCTACTTAGGAAGCTGTGGCAAGAGTATCTCTTGAGCGTTGGAGGTCGAGGCTACAGTGAGCTATGATTGCACCACTGAACTTCATCCTGGGCAACAAAGTGAGCCCGTCTCAAACACACACACACACACACAACAAAAAATTGGTTTTGTCCTGGTACCTGGTTATTATAATTTGAAGCAGAAATTATTTTGTTTAGATTTTTTAATATTAAGAAGCATCTCCGTCGGGCGAGGTGGCTCACACCTCTAATCCCAGCACTTTAGGAGGCTGAGGTGGGCAGATCACCTGAGGTCGGGAGTTCAAGAACAGTCTGACAAACATGGAGAAACCCCGACTCTACTAAAAACACAAAATTAGCTGGGCATGGCGGCGCATGCCTGTGATCCCAGCTACTCAGGAGAGTGAGACACGAGAGTCACTTGAACCCAGGAGGCCAAGGTTGTGGTGAGCCGAGATCGCGCCATTGCACTCCAGCCTGGGCAACAAGAGCAAAACTGTCTCAAAAATAAAAAGTAAAAAAAAAAAAAGCATCTCTACTCACCATTAACTATACAATTAAGAGGTCACACCTTTGTTTCATCATCGTAGACAAGGTAAATATTACTAAAGAAAATGCCTGTCCATAAAAGGGATCTGGTGACAGAGGACAGCCTCTCCCAGAGTAACAGGCATCCAGGACTCCACTCTATCAACGATTTCTAAAACAATGGGTGTGAGCAAGGGCTAGGATGAGATGTGTGATTAAGTTCCTGAGCTGACGGCAAATTTAAAAGATGCCCTCTCAGCTCCTGGCTGCGGCCCATCCTCCCTGTAAGGTGCACGACTCCATGACGCTTTTCACTGACGGCACTACCTCTTGGCCATTACCACCTCCCACCAGATCCCATTCGCTCTGTTTTACCAGGGAAAGGTCTGCTCCAGTTAATGCCTTATCCTTCACAGTGATGTTCTTTGACTTTATAAAAACGGAGCCATTTGGTCAACAGGCTGCCCGTCGGATCCCGTGTCCTTCTGCACTGCTAATATCTAGCTGTGGCCCTGCTTTAAAACCCAAATGCAAACATCTCTTCCATGAAGCCCTTCCTGATTGCCAGTGCCCTCAACAGTGGAATAAGCTGCCAGGCATCTTAGAGATCTAGACCCGTGGTTCTCAACCCCCACTTCCCCAGGCCTCCTGAGAAGCTTTTAATAGGTGCATCAGCCCTGGATTCTTACCGGCAGGACTGAGAGGGAGCCTTAACGCTTGTGTTCTTCTAATAGTGTGCACAGGGTTGACGGGAAACACACACACACACAGTGCAGAACCATTCCACGAAGCTGTGTATCCGGAATTGGTTCCCTCTGAAGAGTTCCTGGTCCCGGTCCTGCCGCGGACCTTCACGGCATTATAGTTCTTAAACATGGTGTGTCCGGAGTTTGTTCCTTCAAATGTTCAGGTGTGTCCGAAGTTTTTTCTTTCTAGAGAGTTCGTGGTCTATGCACGACTTGATGAGTGAGGCCGCGGACCTTCGCAGGGAGTGTTACAGCTCTTAAAGGTGGCGCATCCGCGTTGTTCCTTCCTCCCAGCGGGTTCGTAGTTTCGCCGACCTCAGGAGTGAAGCCACAGACCTTCGCAGGGAGTGTTACACCTCTTAAAAGTGGTGCGTCTGGAGTTGTTTGCTCCTCCCTGTGGGTTCGTGGTGTCGCTGACTTCAGGAGTGAAGCCACAGACCTTCACAGTGAGTGTTATGGCTCTTAAAGGTGGCGGCTCCAGAGTTGTTTCTTGTGGTGGCTTCCTGGTCTCGCTGGTTTACAGGAGTGAACCTGCAGACCTTCACTGTGAGTGTTAAAGCTCATAAAGGTAGTGTGGACCTAAAAGGTGAGCAACAGCAAAATTTATTGCAAAGAGCGAAACAACAAAACCCCAACACCATCGAAGGGGACCCAAACGCAGCTGCCGCTGGCTCGGATGGCCAGCTTTTATTCCCTCATTGGCCCCGCCCACATCCTCCTGATTGGTCCTGCCCACATCCTCCTGATTGGTCCATTTTACAGAGCGCTGATTGGTCCATTTTACAGAGTGCTGATTGGTCCATTTTACAGAGTGCTGATTGGTCCGTTTTTACAGAGTGCTGATTGATGTGTTTACAAACCTTTAGCTAGACATAGAGCATTGATTGGTGCATTTACAATCCTTTGGCTAGAGAGAAAAGTTCTCCAAGTCCCCACCAATTAGCTGGACACAGAGCACTGATTGGTGCATTTTTACAGAGTGCTGATTGGTGTGTTTACAAACCTTTAGCTAGACACAGAGTGCAGATTGATGCTTTTACAATCCTTTAGCTAGACAGAAAAGTTCTCCAAGTCCCCATCCGACCCAGAAGCCCAGCGGGTTTCACCTCTCAGTAGCTTACAGAAGAGGACCCTGCTGCCACAGCACAATACCACAAAGAAAGTCATGCTCTCCTCAGCAGGTAGCCCCCTTCTCCGGGACAGGAACTTTGTTTCCTTCTTAGCTCTATCGCCAGCACCTAGAACAGTGCCCACCTGTCAGATCTGTTATCAGATGGGAACATGGCAGATTTGTTGAATGAATGAAGGAATGAATGAACTATGTGACACTCAAACTTAGCCACCAAACTTAAACTAAAAAAACTGGGTTGTGGTCCCTGATGGACCGTTGGCACCTTCTTCCTTTGCTGGACGGTGATCCGTGGCTGTTTCTGCGGTGTGTTCGCAGTGGTTGCCTGGCTTGGTAACAAACACTCTTCGGAGCCACAGCCTGTTCTCAGGGTCCTCGCCGCCTCCCAGGCCCTGCGATCTCTTTGCATCTCAGGAGGTCCAGGTTGGTTGCAGTCCTCTTGGGTGACTCAGGAACCAGCCTCTCCTGAAGCACACAGCTTAGGGAGTTCCTGAGGCCAGAGACATCTCCACGGGAAAGTCAAAGGCCTGGAGGAAGTGCGGACCTGACGACAGATGCCCCGCACGCTGGCCGGGACCGGGAAGGGCGGTCAAGGGTGGAAAGGGGCTGGCGGCTGCCAGGCCTGGCGGAGTGGAGCGGGGCGGGGCGCAGCGGGGCGGGGCGGGCCTGGAGCTGCACCTGCTTCTGGGCGGACGCACTTGGCGCGCGGCGCGGGCTGCAGACGGCTGCGAGGCGCTGGGCACAGGTCAGACGTCCGTACCCGCAGGGGGCTCGAACCTGGAGGAGGGCTCGAAGGGAGAGGGGGCCCCGCCAAGGAGCGGGGCTGTGATGGAGAGGAGGTTCCGACTCGCAGGGGACCTGCGGGGGAGGGGACGCGGACAGGGAGGGGCTCTGGGACAGGGGTGAAGGCTGCGCTAGGGGAGGACGGGAGGGGATGGAGGGCCCTGGTGTCGCGGAAGCCCAGCTGGGGCCCCCTCCGGGCTGCGGAACCGGTGCGCACACTACTCCCACCGCCCCCGAGTGCCTCTGTCCGGCTGGCCGCGGCCCTGGAACGAATATTGCTCAGTCCCCCGCGAGTCAGGTCTGCCGCGTTGCCCGGTGAGGGGAAGGTGTGAAGCCCCGGGCCTCCGTCTGCCCGGTGAGTCCGGGGACGCGCGCCCCCGGGGATGCCATCTGGCTCCTGGGCTGTGACCAGTCACAGCTCACATAGCTCTGGGCACTGGTACCGACTGCCTTTCCTTGTTAGCTGCGATACACAAATACACGAGCCAGATCCTTTCCTGAGGCCAGGAAGCCTGGAATCTAATAACACCGGGCGGTGGATAAAGTCCCCCGAGCCAGTGCTTAGCTTCCGTTAATGGAGCCATGGATGGAAGCGGATGTCAGGCGCAGTGGGGGAGAAATTTGCGGGGGTGGCCCTGTCTAGGGCCAGAGAAACAACCTCTGAAGCTTTGATCCAGCCCTAGAGGGAAGAAAGATGTGAGTTTCAGCCAGGGAAACGTAGCACTTTAAGAAATAGAAACCCTTTCAAAATTTGAGGGCAGGTAGCTCTCCTAAAAGTTGCAGAAATGGCCACTTCTTTTTTTTTTTTTTTTTTTTTTTGAGACGGAGTCTCGCTCTGTCGCCCAGGCTGGAGTGCAGTGGCGCAATCTCGGATCACTGCAAGCTCCACCTCCCGGGTTCACACCATTCTCCTGCCTCAGCCTCCCGAGTAGCTAGGACTACTGGCGCCCGCCACCACGCCCGGCTAATTTTTTGTATTTTTTTTTTTTTTGGTAGAGACGGGGTTTCACCGTGTTAGCCAGGATGGTCTCGATCTCCTGACCTCATGATCCACCCGCCTCAGCCTCCCAAAGTGCTGGGATTACAGGCGTGAACCACCGCGCCCAGCTAGAAATGGCCACTTCTTTCACGTTCTCTTCGACCGCTTTCTGCGGTGTCTGCCCTTTTCCTCCTCCTGCACCTTTTTGTCTCCTAGGGTCGCATAGCCTTCCAAACAGGCCTGCCTACAGCATTTTACCTGCAATTTTACACTCATTTTAATAGAAAGGATGGCTTATTGTTCATGAGAGACGTGTACTGTTTTTAACCAGATGTGTAATATCTTCAGTATAACCTGGATGTTGTGCAGTGGGAAGTTATGGAAAGAATCAGGACACGTGGTTAGGTAGGGGCCCAGGGGCGTCAGACTTAGCTCTTTGTGACAGTGAGCTTCTTGGTTTAATAAGGATATTGGCTCCCTCTGTTCCTGGGGTTTCTGGGAAAAGATATGGAACTGATATGAAGGTTTTATTGAATATGGCCCACTGATTTTACAAGTGGAGGTGACTGAGATAAGCAGAAGGTGAGGCATGACCTCTGGCTGTGCATTATTTGTTCTGATATTACAGGAGCCAAGCATTCCATTTCCTTCTTTTTAAAGAGCTTTGATTTCCTCTCACATCTTCATGAAGATGGAAACAGTGCCCCCACTTACTTATCCTCAGGCCACACCTGTTCCCATTTATTCCATGAGTTCCTCCCACACCCTTCTGGTTGATGTTGGTTGTGATGGTCGAGGTAATTGAATCTCACATTTGGCACCAGTTATTTCTGTTTCTCATCTCCCCCCTACCTGCAGTTAAACATCAGCTGCTATACTTAACTGTTCAAAGTACAGATGTTACCTGTGTTGGGTGTAATCAAAAGATTATCTCTTTTCCTCAAATGAAAAATGGGTGAGGACAGTTTCACCACACATAGAGTCACTCCCCTAGCCAAAGTCCTTGCTATTGCAAAACTTTTTACTGTAAGAGAATTAAAGTCACTAGTGTGTCATCAACTAATGGTACTTATAGACACATTCCATATTTGTTTCTATAGAAAGATCATAAGACAAACACTAGATTATTCCCAGTATGAGACCATACTGAATATGAACAATTAGAGGCCACAGGTGAGTGCTGTCCTCCTCACACTTTCTTTGAACTCTTAAGCTTCTACTCTTTTAACCAGCTACCCCTCTCCCCAAAACCTTCACTGAGGCTAGAAACAAACACAAATAGACTATTTGAATTTTAGCAAATTTTATCTCTCTTTTCTATTCTCTTGTGTAAAACTTAAATGGCCACAAGCTACACTACTGGAGGAAAAAGGAAAGCTAAAAGGTCTATCAGCCTTCTGTATGTGATGCAGAGTTCAACTGAATATAGCAAGGTACACACCCGCATTCTCCTTGCCAGGACTTAGATATCATAAGCCATTATCTTGCTGGTTGTTGAAATCATAATGGGGCTTTATAGAGCACAAGGCGATGTTTGTAAACAGCACTGTTCAGGTCAGATTAGAATCCGTATTTCAAAAATGAGGAGATGGAAACAGAGATATTGTGTATGTGGTCCAGGGTTAGCCAGTAATTAAATGGCAGAGCCAGAACTCAAACCAACATTCCTTCCAGAATACCACAGCTGCCTCTGGAGTGGTTTTTGTTGTTCTTGTTGAATTTTGTGATGGAAGATTGTGATTTGTTTTTCCCGAACACTTAATATGTTTTCTGACTTGAATTATCAGAATCTAAATTTAGAAACTCTCTCGTTTGGTATATTTCATGCCCATCTTTGTTCCATATAATTACAAAAATATCTTAGAGCTGAGTATAACCTTAAAGATTGTCAAGTCCAATCTTGTGGTTTTTCAAGGAAGAAAACCGGATTTAAGAAAAATAAAGCAAGTACCTCATGTTGCTTCCCCAAATCTACTTCATTGGAGAATTACAGCTAAAAACAATGTTCAGATTTTTGCTCCTTCTGTCATGTGGTCCCTTGAGAATTTGCCAAATGTATAAATCCAGTGACTTATTTTGATGTACTCTTTTGGTTTGAGGTCTGTGACAGCAAACATAACCTCCTTGAATCCCAGCCTCAAATGCCTATGGACCTTCTGTTCTAACTGTTATTATAACTGTAGCCGTTATTATAGTGGCTAAAGTTCTAACTTCTGTTCTAACTGTGCTCCTGGTTCCATGACAAAGAGAGCTTTACTTGTCTTATTCCTAGCACAGTGCCCATAGCAGGCATACATAAAATGTGGTATGTCAGATAAACATCTGAAAAAGTGTGAGATGTCATTAGACGTTCATTCAGCTACAAGAACAGAAAACCCTACTACAGCGGCTTAAACAAGTAAGGAGTTTGTTTTTCTCAGAGAACGAGAAGTCTGGAGGTGAGAAGGCTGGGGCTGGGAAAGGGGTTCCGATATGAACGTCATCTGAGACAGGCTCCTTGTGTCTTCCCGCACCACCCTCCTTAGCATGGAGCTTTCATACTCACTTCCGCAAGTTGCAGCAGAAAGACGGGCAGAGGCATGCTCCAGAAGAGTCTTGTCTTGTCTTTTCTTTTCTTTTCTTTTCTCTCTTCTTTTCTTTTCTCTCTCTCTCTCTCTGTCTCATCTCTTTCTTTCTTTTGACTCAGAGTCTCTCTCAGTGGCACAATCTCGGCTCACTGCAACCTCCGCTTCCTGGGTTCAAGTGATTCTCCTGCCTCAGCCTCCAAGTAGCTGGGATTACAGACGTGCACCACCACGCCCAGCTAATTTTTGTATTTTTAGTAGAGACGGGGTTTCACCATGTTGGTCAGGCTGGTCTTGAACTCCTGACCCTGTGATCTGCCCCCCTCGGCCTCCCAAAGTGCTGGGATTACAGATGTGAGCCACCACGCCTGGCCTGTCCTTCTTTATAATAAATAATAATAATAACAGCTTTTCTGGTAGCCCACCCCAAAAGACTTCTTACATGTCATTGGCCAGAACCATATCACATACACACTGTTAACGGTGACGGAACCAGAGAGAATCTAGTGTTTGAGACAGACACGTTGCCAATACATCAAAATAAGAATTTTGGGCCAGACACAGTGGCTCACGCCTGTAATTCCAGCATTTTGGGAGGTCAAGGCGGGTGGATCACCTGAGGTCAGGAGTTCAAGACCAGCCTGGCCAACATGGTGAAACCCCATCTCTACTAAAAACACAAAAAATCAGCCGGGCGTGCTAGCAGGCGCCTATAGTCCCAGCTACTCAGGAGGCTGAGGCAGGAGAATCGCTTGAACCCAGGAGGCAGAGGTTGCAGTGAGCCGAGATCATGCCACTTGCACTCCAGCCTGGACAACAAGAGCGAAACTCCATCTCAAAAAAATAATAATAACAACAAAATAGGAATTTTGTTAATAAGGCGGGGGGAGAATGAACATTGGGTAGGCAGCTAGCAGCATCTGCCATAGTGTGTTTTATGAGTCATAGATCCTGTCTCTAAATAGGTTGTTATTTGTTTTGGTTTTTTGTTTGTTTTACTAAAAAGCAATGGGTAATGCAGTGGGTCCAGGGGAACTTTTTTAAATGGTAGAGTGCAAGGACCACTCTGAGAACTGCTGATTATGTAGGTCTGGGCTGGGTCTATAATTCTCCATTATGGACGGGCACGCCAGGTCATCTGAGGGCAGGTGGTTGCGGGAATACATTTTGAGAAACACCGAATGTCAGGTAGTTTAGCAAAAGCGACTTTATTTTATTTCTGTTAGCTTTTTGCCTCACTCCTCTTGAGGGTATACTTTATTTTTTAATTATCTGCTTTGGTCAACATAAATCAATGTATAGTCTTAGAAGTCGTTCATTGTAGAAGGTTTTCATTGAGTTTATACTGAGTATAGAACCCTAGCGGCAATTACTTTCAATGCTTTGGGTTGTGTTTTTCTGATATTACCATATTCTAAATAGCATGCAGATACGGGCCATTTCTTCTTCTCTTTTCCAGTTCTGGATGACATCTATTGACATCCTACCAAGAAGGATGAGGGTTTCGCTCCTTTACACCCCCACCCTCCCTCTCACCTTCACATCCCTTTCTTTTAAGTTCCCAGTACGGTTATATCCTAAATTTTTGATATGTCAATGTTTGGTGTATATATTATTCCCAACTAAGGCACATGATACACCATGATCTTTACATTTCCCTTCTTGACCAGTCTTTCCCCCAACCCCCTGGAATGGGGTGTAGGAGTTGCTACATTTTCTTTAGTTGTTTGAGAACTCATCACCAAGAAGTCATTTCCTGGAGCCAAGGAAACTCATGGGGGCCCTCTGAGTGCTGCTAATTGCATGGAGCTGTTGAGTGGGGAGGAAACGCCAGGCCGCCATCAAGAAGCATTTGGGGTAAATTTTCCAAGCACATCTGAAAAGACAGAGTCTAGAACCTCCACGGTCCCTGTCTGTTGTGATTTATTTTCTCATTCTAAATACACACACACTTTTTTTTTCTGTCTAGGCCATCTCTTGTGGAATACATATGTACTTTCATACCCAATTATGTACAGTTTTTGTAATTTTACGCCTTTTTCTTAAAGAAGGCTCCCAAAAGTGTATAAGATTCAGGCCCCATAAGATGCGGTTGCTTTTTGAGCTTGTGCCCATTTGAGATGTCACTTTTCTTCCTTCACACTTGCTTGCTGGTTTGGCTGGGTATGGGATATTAATCAGAAATCATTTCCCGTACGAATTTTGAAAACATTGCTCTATTTTATTCTACTTTCTTACGGTGCTGTTGAGAGGCTGATGCCATTCTAATTCCTGATCCCTTGTATTTTGTTCTAATCTCTGGGCATTTGTAGGGTTTTCTTTATTGTTCATATTCTGATATTTCATGATGTTGTTATTTAATGTTGGGGTGGGTTTTTTGGCGGGGTGGGGGGAATACAGGGAGGTATCCGTCACTGTCCTAAGTATTTTCTAGGCCTTTTCAATCCAAAAAGTACATTCTTCAGTTCTGAGTGGTTTTCTTCTGTTATATAATTTCCTCGTTCTTTCTTTCTGAAACTTAAATTACTTAGACTGAATCTGAAAATGGGATCTCTTGGATCTGTCTTGTAATTTTATCTTTTTTATTTTAAAAAATATCCCATGTTTTTTTAGTTCTAATAAATCTTCCAACAATGCTATTAAATGTTTACATTCTACCATTATATTTTTAATTCTCAGGAGCTTTTATTGGCGAGAGGTGTGGTCTTCTGAATGGTTTTTACAGTATCCTGTTCTCATTTCATGAACGCAGCATCTTCTCTTCTTTCTCCAAGCATATTAACTCAGTACTTTTTCTACATTTTAGAAGTTTTCTTCAGCTACCTACAATGTCTGTGTCTATTTTTAAAGTGACGTTTAATGTTGCTTTTGGCCTGCCTTTCACGTTGGAAGCTTTATACATGTTTGGGGATGGTGTGCGTCATCTGTGAGCATGGCTTGTAGGTTGGCTGGCTTCATTGCAGGGTGGTTAAGCAGAGAAGGCCTTTTTGATGGCTTATCATCATCTGTCTCTAGTGCTTTCTAGTACATATAATGGGTTTCTCTGTAGAAAGATCTCATTTCTAGCCATTTATTCCTGTTTGAGAAAAGTCACATAATAACTTAGATGTATTTATTATGTCATCTGCTTAATAGCGGAGGTTCTTGTTGTAAGGTGGACAGGTGGAGGTCTAGGATTCAAAATGGGAAATGTGTCCTTGACTCCGCCTGCACTTTGAAGTTGCTGATGTTCTCCATGTTTTATTTTCTATTGAAAAAGCTCTGAGATACTAGGGAATGAAAACTCTTTGACTACATGTACAACTAATTTACTTTTTGATAACCATTTGCAAAATATGGATTATATTGGGAAAACATTTTTCTTTTTTTTTTTTTTTTTGAGACAGAGTCTCACTCTGTGGCCCAGGCTGGAGTGCAGTGGCGCGATCTCAGCTCACTGCAAGCTCCGCCTCCCGAGTTCAAGCCATTCTCCTACCTCAGCCTCCTGAGTAGCTGGGATTACAGGCGCCCACCACCATGCCCAGCTAATTTTTGTATTTTTAGTAGAGACAGGGTTTCACCATGTTGGTCAGGCTGGTCTCGAACCCCTGACCTTGTGATCCACCCACCTCGGCCTCCCAAAGTGCTGGGATTACAGGCATGAGCCACCACACCCAGCCTGGGAAAATATTTTTCTAATATCTCTAGAATTTGGGACAGAATTTCTGTCCTTGAAGGTCACCCTCCAAATCCATGCAATTTTTCCCTTCTGCAGCCCCACAGTGATCATCAAAACTTGGAGCAGATTCATGTTTTTTATTTTTTTCCTGGGAAAGTTTTAGATCACGTGAAGGGAACAGATACTACGTTTGATAGGAATCGTTCCTGCTTTAGCTTCTTAAGGCCTCTCACTTGGAAAGCCTGCCCATTAGACCCTGATTTTTTGCTGTTAGCTTTTCCTTCTTAGGCGACTTCAACAAAGACTGCAAACTCCCTGACAGCACAGGCCCAGGCTTGTCACCCCTGCAACTCCATCTCCCAGAACAGTGCCTTATGCATAACAGGTACTTGATAAATGTTAGTTGACTTAAATTGACCCTATTATCTGTTTTAAACTAGCCCTTCCTACCTGTCCCCTTGCTATTTCCTCTGTTTCTGTTAAATCTTTTTATGTCACCACCTCTTGGATGATGCTACCTCATTCTCAAATCTGATGGTATGGAATAGCTATAAGAAAACAAACTTGAAAGATCTCTAACTACTAGGACTCTAAGTAGAATTTCCTGGATTGAAAACTCCCCATATCACCCTACTAAATATCTAATTATTTCTTAGGTTATCACCAACCACCCTGCATCGAGTCCCTCCTGAGCCACAGTTCAGTTTGGATTATTTTTTTCCTCATGTTCCATCCCTTGACTGTAGTGCCCTTCCCTTCCTTCCAGTGTCTTTGATCGGCCTGCACTTTGATCCAGAGCTTCTCTTTGATCTGTTCTAATGGTCATTTTTCTGCCTCCTCCCCTACATTGATCTACAATCTGGCATATTTTATACATTATACAAAGCTCATTGTTGTGCTCATTTCAGAATACCTACCTGTCAATCACACAGACATCTTTTCAAACCTAACTCAGACCCACAATGAAAGTCCCTCTCTTCTGGCCATTACTGAGATAGCTCCTGCTTCGGTCTCACTGGGGCTGTTTATTTCTCTATGGGAGGCTCTAGAACAGTAACTAAACTACAGTGCAAAACAGTGATCTATAGATTACTGTTTCTCAATCGTCAGCACTAACAATAGAGTCTAAACTCCCAGGGACCTGGAGACTTGTCTGAGAACAGCCTGGCATAAGTGCAGTCTCTCTTAATACTAAAAAATATATGCTACCCCACAATATGTCTGTATCTGTTTTAAAATGAAAATCATTTTTCCAGAATCTTTAGGTGAAATTGATACTCCAGGATTATGTTCGTCTTGTGATTTCAGATATCATCTGGGGGGAAAGGATTCACACATATGCCAGTCTGTGAGACACAGTAGTAGAAATCAAGGGACTTACCTAGCTCTAAGAATTGTATGAAAATAGTAACGGTACCAACAATTTTACCAATGGCTAGATTTAGGAGATGGTGTTCTCTTGATTCAAGATGAAGGCTAAGCTGCATCAGTTCAGTTCAGTTTAAGAACTATTATTATGTATCAAGCTTGTGCTAGTTTTTGATGGAGATGATAAGGTCTCCACTCTTGAAGATTCTGTAGACTAATGGGCAAGACATATGTCACTATATAATTTTAATATAACATGGTAAGTGATAAAAAATCATGGTATGTATGAGGTCCTTTGAAAACACAGAGGTGAGGCGCTTAGCCCAGCCTGGAGATTCACAGAGGCTTCCTGGAGGAAATAAGGCCTAAATATGGAAACCAAGTAAGAGGAATGAAAAGGACGTGCAATTTAGAGGGGACAACATGAGCAAAGGGGACACTGTCAGGTTCATGGTGGGGAGAATTGGGAGGTGACACTGGAGAGGAGCCACATTCAGGTATACCCAATGCAAGGGGACGTGGACCCCTCCACAGGCTGCTGGTTAGCCAATGGAACATTTTCCATCCTCCAGTAGTGTAGTCAGATGTACACGGAAGGTGGATGACTGGCTGCGGGGTGGAAGAAGAATTCATGGACAGCAGGACTAGAGGCCTCGCAGTGTTTAGGAAAAAGACAATGAGAGACCAAATGAGATCATTGCTGCAGGCACAGAAGGGAAAGAGAAAATACCAGGATACTTGGGGAAGCGAATTTAGCAGAATTTTGATGTCTTTGGGGGCAATGGTGAGGGGAGAAGAGAGTCCAGAATGACTCCCAAGATTCTGGCTTTCTGGGTGACTGGACATTAAGCCATTAACTAAGTTTGGGATATGAGAAGAGAAGCCGATTTGGTGGGGAAAGAAGATGGTGAGTTCAGTCTTGGAAATACTGACTTGAGGTGTCTAAGAAACATCTATACGTTTATGTGCATGTCTGTCTGTTCAGCAGGTTGTTGGATCTATGAGTCTGAGACTTAGAGACAAGGCCAGAGCTGGAGATGAAGTTGTGGGAGTCACCATTGTGCAAGTGGTGATTAATCCATGGGTGTGCGTGAGAGTTCTTGCAAGGGGAAGAGGAAACGGAAGTAAGGGCTTATGCAAGGAGGACTGTTGAGTAAAGTGGAAGGCCCAGCCTCTGCCTGCTCACTAATGTCAGTGCTGAACAAGCCCACTGGTAGTGGATGCTGAGGGAAGGAAGGAAGGAGTCTGTCTGTAAGCTTGAGCACTTTTTCCAAGAGGTGGAGAAGGCAGAGAGCCCAAGCCTTGAAGAAATGTTCCTTAGTGGCCTGGCATCTTGGAAATTTGACTCCATGACTTTGGAGAGATCTTTCCATTATTATTTTCCTTGAGCGCCCAGAAAGAGAATTCTGAACTAAATGTATTCTTTCCCATGGCTGAGTTAAGGATAGTGTTAATTACAGAAATATATGTAAGGTTTTTTTTGGTTTTTTTTTTTGGTTGTTTGAAAACTAAACCCACCTTTGAAGTCCAGAGATGTCCTTTCACTCTAATGTATGCTGAGGTGGCAACTGGTAACTGCTTCTTTGTAGGTAATAGCCATAGCCTTAGTTTCATCCTCCCTTCTCCATGACCAAAACTTGCTCCAACTTCTGCATTTCGTTTTTGTGATGTATTAATGAGGAGCAAAGACATAAAGGAATTTCAGAATTCAGAAGAGCCATGGAGAGTCCCTCTTCCAAACTCCCTATTTAACAAATAAAGAGGCCGGGCGCGGTGGCTCACGCCTGTAATCCCAGCACTTTGGGAGGCCGAGGCGGGCGGATCACGAGGTCAGGAGATCGAGACCATCCTGGCTAACACAGTGAAACCGTGTGCCTACTAAAAATACAAAAAATTAGCTGGGCGTGGTGGCGGGTGCCTGTAGTCCCAGCTAATCGGGAGGCTGAGGCAGGAGAATGGTGTGAACCCGGGAGGCAGAGCTTGCAGTGAGCCGAGATGGCGCCACTGCACTCCAGCCTGGGGGACACAGCAAGACTCTGTCACAAAAAAAAAAAAAAAAAAAAGGACCCTGAGAGGCTATGTGTCTTGCTCAAGGTCACAGAGTGAATTCCTAGCAGCATTCAGGCTAGGACCCAAGTATTCTGACTCAGTGGCCAGTGTTCTTGTTAGATAGTGAGAAAATAGAATTTAGTCCAATTTGTTTTTCTTTTTTTTTTTTTTGAGACGGAGTCTCGATCTGTCACCCAGGCTGGAATGCAGTGGCGCGATCTCGGCTCACTGCAAGCTCCACCTCCTGGGTTCACGCCATTCTCCTGCCTCAGCCTCCCGAGTAGCTGGGACTACAGGCACCCACCACCATGCCCGGCTAATTTTTTGTATTTTTAGTAGAGATGGGGTTTCACCGTGGTCTCGATTTCCTGACCTCGTGATCTGCTCGCCTCGACCTCCCAAAGTGTTGGGATTACAGGCGTGAGCCACCGTGCCCGGCCTCCAATTTATTTTTCATTCTCGAATTCAGGATCCAGCAAAACTGCCTAATTTTCATGACAGTTTGAAGAAAGGCCCAAATCAAATGCCTCCCGCTCTGTGAGGCCTGCCCAGTTTCTCAGGTGAGAGTTACCCACTTTGTGTGCTATGTGCTAGGACTGCTACCAGTACGTCCCAGGACAATCAGTCTTTCACAAGTATTGTCATGTGGTGCTTAACGACAGGGACATGTTCTGAGAAATGTGTCGTTAGGCGATTTTGTTGTGTGGACATCCTAGAGTGTACTTACACAAACCCAGATGGCATAGCCTACTACACATCTAGGCTATGCGGTGTATACTGTCAGTGCTGAGTATACGCACTGTTAGCAGATGCTGAAGGGAGTCTGTAGGTGTGAGCACTTTTTCCAAGAACTGACTTCAAACCTGTACAGCACATTACCGTACCACACACTGTAAGCAGTTATAGCACAGTGGTAAGTATGTGTGTATCTAAACACGGAAAACATGCATTAAACATATGGTATTATGGCCAGGCGCAGTGGCTCACACCTATAATCCCAGCACTTTGGGAGGCGGAGGCAGGCAGATCACGTGAGGTCGGGAGTTTGAGACCAGCCTGACCAACATGGAGAAACCCCGCCTCTACTAAAAATACAAAATTAGCCAGGCGTGGTGGTGCGTGCCTGTAATCCCAGCTACTCGAGAGGCTGAGACAGGAGAATAGCTTGAACTGGGAGGCGGAGGTTGCCATGAGCTGAGACTGCACCATTGCACTCTAGCCTGGGCAACAAGAGCGAAACTCTGCCTCAGAAATAAAATAAAATAATTAGCCGAGCGTGGTGGTGCACACCTGTGGTCCCAGCTACTCAGGAAGCTGAGGCAGGAGGATCACTTGAACCCTGGGGGCGGAGGTTGCAGTGAGTTGAGATCGTGCCACCGCCCTCCAGCCTGGGCAATAGAGTGAGACCTTGTCTCAAAAAAAAGAAACAAAAAAGTATTATAATCTTATGGGGCCACCATCATACATGCCGTCTGTCATTAACCAAAATGTCATTATGCGGCACCTGACTGTATACAGCTGTCTACTAGATTATAAACTCCTTGCAGATAAAACTATTCATTTCATCATTATCCATTGTATTATTTCCTTAGCACCCAGAAGAATCCTGTATTTAATTGGCTCATATGGAAAATTTTAGAAAGAGAGAGACAGCAGGGCTGAGACTATCTTCTGCTCAGGAACCAAAACGAGCTGGGAGGTAACAGAATTCTTTTTCATAGTAATTGTATTCCATATCATGGTGAAATCGTGCCAGAACAAGCTTCAGACTCTTTCTGGTCTTACTCCTTCTGACCGTGCTGTTCCCAAGAACCTCCCACACAGGAAATAACAATGATGGCAGTAGCTGTCAAATTCTAAAGACGGGGATAGACTCTGGACCTCCTCAGGCCCCTGAGCCCACTGTAGAGCAGGGACGTGACTTAGTTGAAGTTCAGGACTGCGGCCACAGTCACACCACCTGTAAGCAATGGAGGACTTTCAACACAGAACTCTCTGCTTCCCCTGCATTCTGTTACTAAGCAGCTCATAGAACGTGAAGAGGTATTAACCTTGTTATTTGCAGAGTTACAAAAAGCTGAGTCAGGTAGGTTTGGCTGTATTCCAAAGCAAACCCAGACCAGAAGCCACCTGAGAGTTCCTGCCGGCAAGGACAAATTCAGAATGTAGAAAAACGATGAAAATAAATATTCTATGATCACCCTATAACCTACTTCCTTACTGACCAAACACACGTCTCATTCCCATTAACAAGTTATGCTCAGCCACTGCCCTCTCTAGGATTATGTGATGTTAAACAGTAATTCTGCCCATTTAGGGTCAGCTACTCAAAAGCAAAGAACAGCAACTTTAGGTCAAAATATGTTCTTCTAGGAGAGAAGCCTAAGTCTCTCCCCTATTATTGCACGAATAGTGTACCAGCACCAGACTAGAGAGGAAGTTAACACTTATTAAACATGTATTCTAGTCACCTGCTAGACATTTTCAGGTAAGCCTCACAGGATCCCTCCAAGGTGGTATTAATGTCCCTGTTTTAGAAGGAGGAGTACTGAGATTCACAGACATTAGAGAACTTGTCCAAGGTCTTACCAGTAAAAGTGGCAAAACCAGGACTGAACTTAGGTCTGACACTACATAGTTCATATTCTATTATGTGACTATATTCCTCCTTAAAGGAAAATTTAGGAATTCAGTTTCCTTTAGGAAGATGTAGGAAATAGAATGTACTAAAACTAAGATAACAGTTGACTTAAGTCTTTTCTAACTCAGCCTTCCTCAGGCCCATGTGTGAGTTGGTTTCTATCCTTTCCCTGAAACTCTTGGGCACATAGGAACATAATGTCTGTTTGATTTTACTTTTAAGTATATTCTTTTGGTCAGTCCCAATCTGACAAAATTTTAAGATTTAATGCATTCTATCCATGCAAGAGAATTACATGTGGTTTTGCTTGTAAAGAAGGTGGGAATGATATAGGGTAAAGAGAGTAAGTGACATTATCTAGTTCACTCCCACCATATGGATGATTGGCTGCAAGTGCCTCTCAGCCTTTGCATGTGTTATTTGCTCTGACTAGAACTCTGCCCACACTACCTGACTAATGCCTGTGTGTTTTTCCAGGAAGCTTTCATGACACTACCCTCTATAATCTTTCTCCTGTTTCCTCCAGGCTGAATAGGAATCCTCCCTTTGTTTTCATTGTTATTAGTGTTCTCTGTATACTCTAGTAAAGTATTTTTATATGAATCATAATAGTTTAATTAATCAGCCTTCTGATTCACAGTTTAAGCTGGTTATAGGCAAGGTCCTTCTGTAAAGAGTTGATGAAATCTACTTTTAAGAGTAGAAAGATAGACAAGATGCCAAGACAATTCAATAGGGAAAAAGAATAGTCTTATTAACAAATGGCTGGGACACTTGGATATTCACATGTGAAAGAATAAAGTTGGATCCCTACCTCACACCATATACAAAAGTTAAGTCAAAATAGATCAGAGGTCAGGTGCAGTGGTTCACACCTGTAATCCCAGCACTTTGGGAAGCCAAGGCTGAATCACCTGAAGTTAGCAGTTCTAGACCAGCCTGGCCAACATGGTGAAACCTTGTCTCTATTAAAAATACAAAATTAGCCAGGTGTGGTGGCGCATGCCTGTAATCCCAGCTACTCAGGAGGCTGAGGTGGGAGAATTGCTTGAACCTGGGAGGTGAAGGTTGCAGTGAGCCAAGATCATGCCATTGCACTCCAGCCTGGGAGACAAGAGCAAAATTCAGTCTCAAAAAATAAATAGATAGATAGATCAGACACATAAATATAAGAGCTAAAACTATACAATTCTTAGAAGAAAACATAGAAGTGAGTTTTCTGACCTTTGGTTAAGCAGTGGTTTCTTGGATATAACATCAAAAGCACAAACAAAAGAAAAAAAACAGATAAATTGGACTTCATCAAAATTACAAGCTTCTGTACTTCAAGGACAGCATCAAGAAAAGACAACTCACAGAATGGGAGAAAATATTTGCAAATAATATATCTGATAAGAAACCTATATCTAGAATAAAGAACTATTACAACTCAATAATAGACAAGTAATCCAATTAAAATGGGCAATGTATTTGAGTAGGCATTTCTCCATGTGCCCAATAAGCACATGAAAAGATGCTCAACATCACTAATCATTACGGAAACAAAACAACAAAATACCACTTCATACCCACTAGAATGGCTAAATGAAAAAAGACATAACAAGTGTTGGC
The DNA here is from genome assembly GCF_000001405.40 of Homo sapiens. Taxonomy (NCBI): domain Eukaryota; kingdom Metazoa; phylum Chordata; class Mammalia; order Primates; family Hominidae; genus Homo; species Homo sapiens. The sequence goes on from NC_000011.10 coordinate 129,830,807, forward strand.
AAAGATGTGAAGAAATTGGAACTCTAATACATTGCTGGTGGGATTGTGAAAGGGTCTAGCCACTTTTGAAAAGTCTGACAGTTTCTCAAAATGTTAAACATAGAGTTACCATCTGACCAAGTATTCCACTCCTAGGTATACAGTCATCACCCTTTATCTGCAGGGGATATGTTCCAAGACCCCCAGTGGATGCTAAAACCATGGATAGTTAGTTCCAAACCTTATATACACTATATTTTTTCCTAGATGTATATACCTATGATAAAGCTTATATAAATTAGGTATAGTAAGAGATTAACAATAATAGGACTGTATTAGAACTATATGTGTACTAGAACAATTACAACAATATACTGCTCACAATTTCATGGATGAAGATTCATTTTTACTGTAGATCTTGGCAATCTCAGCGTACTAATTTTTTCTTTCGTTATTAAGAACTTTCATGCTTCCACTTAAACAAAACACTTGACAACTTCTCTTTGGCATAATCGAACTGCCAGCATCACTACTTTTTCATTTTGGAGCCATTAGGTAAAATAAGGGTTACATGAACACAAGCACTATGATACCATGACAGTCAACCTGATAATCCAGACAGCTTACTAAGTGACTAATGGTTATGCTGGAGAAAGCGATGATTCATATCCAGGGTGGGATGGCATGAAATTTCCTTATGCTACTCAGAATGGTGTGCCATTTAAAATTTCTAAATTATTTGTTTCTTGAAGTTTCGATGTAATGGTTTTGGACCACAGTTGACTGCAGGTAACTGAAACTGCAGAAAGCAAATCCATGGATAAGGGGAGACTACTGCATATCCAAGAGAAATAAAAACATCTGTACACACAAAAACATGCAATTCTTCACAGCATCATTATTCATAACAATTCAAACGTCCATCTACTAACAAGTGAATAAACAAAATGTGACACATCCATACAATGGAATATTATTTGGCCATAAAAAGGAATGAAGTGGCCAGGCATGGTGGCCCATGCCTGTAATCCCAGCACTTTGGGAGGCCGAGGCAGGCAGATCACAAGGTCACCAGTTCAAGATCAGCCTGGCCAATATGGTGAAACCCCATCTCTATTATAAATGTAAAAATTAGCCAGGCATACTGGCGGATGCCTGTAATCCCAGCTACTCAGGAGGCTGAGGCAGGAGAATCGCTTGAACCTGGGAGGTAGAGGTTGCAGTGAGCCGAGACCACGCCATTGCACTCCAGCCTGGGCGACAGAGCGAGATTCCATCTCAAAAAAAAAAAAAAAAAAAAAGGATCCGGACACAGTGGCTCACGCCTGTAATCCCAGCACTTTGGGATGCTGAGGCAGGTGGATCATGAGGTCAGGATATCAAGACCATCCTAGCTAACACGGTGAAACCCCGTTTCTACTAAAAATACAGAAAATTAGCCGGGCATGGTGGCAGGCTCCTGGAGTCCCAGCTACTCGGGAGGCTGAGGCAGGAGAATGGTGTGAACCCAGGAGGCGGAGCTTGCAGTGAGCCGAGATCGCACCACTGCACTCCAGCCTGGGCGACAGACTGAGACTGTGTCTCAAATAAATAAATAAAGGAATGAAGTGCTGATACATGCTATACCATGGATGAATCTTGAAAACATTATGCTGAGGGAAAGAGGCTGCCTCTTGTATGATTTAATTTACATAAACTGTCTAAATTAGGCAAATCCACAGAGACGGAAAGCATATTGGTGATTGCCAGGGGTTGGGGGGCTGGCGGGAAACGGGAATGACCATCAATTTGTATGGGATTTCGTGGGGGGTTGGTAAAAGCATTTTAAAATTGAATAGTTGTAATTTTTTTATAAAATTAGATAGCAATAATGGTTGCACAGCTGTTAGTAAACCAAAAAATACCAAATTAAACACCTTAAAAGGGTAAATTTTACGGTACGTAAATTATATGTCATTAGGAGTGGGTTTCTTTTTAAGTAGAAGAGTAATGGCAAGAAAGTACAGAGAACCATCTTAGGGTGACTTTCAGAGCCATCAGGAAAAACTGTCACAGAAATAAAAAGTAAAAAAACTTAGTAAGGTTGAAATCTTTGTAGCTTGTTATACACCTGAGAGTTATTTTTCGTATTGATTTAGTAATTAAATCTATGAAAGGAAATGTAAGTGTTAATTGGCCGGGCCTGGTGGCTCACACCTGTAATCCCAGCACTTTGGGAGGCCGAGGCAGGCGGATCACCTGAGGTCAGGAGTTCGAGACCAGCCTGGCCAACATGGTGAAACCCCATCTCTACTAAAAATGCAAAAATTACCCGGTTGTGGTGGCGCACCTGTAGTCCCAGCTACTTGGGAGGCTGAGGCTGGAGAGTTGCTTGAACCCGAGAGGTGGAGGCTGCAGTGAGTTGAGGTTGTGCCACTGCACCCCAGCCTGGGCGACAGAGGGAGACTCTGTCTCAAAAAATAAACAGAAAAATAAAAAAAAAAAAAGGAAATGTAAGTGTGAATTGATGAATGGATAAATAACATATGGCGTTATGGGCAGAATTTTGTCCCCCCACCTCCAAGTGTATATGTTGAAGTCCTCACCTCCAGTGCCTCAGAATATGCCTGTGTTTGGAGACAGGATCTTTAAAGAAGTAATCAAGTTAAAATGAGGTCATTAGGACAGTAATCCAATATGACTGGTATCCTTATAAGAGGAACTTTAGGGCCAGGCGCAGTGACTCACACCCGTAATCCCAGCACTTTGGGAGGCTGAGGCGGGTGGATCACCTGAGCTCAGGAGTTCCAGACCAGCCTGGCCAACATGGTGAAACCTCGTCTCTACTAAAAATACAAAAATTAGCCAGGCATGGTGGCGGACACCTGTAATCCCAGCTACTCAGGAGGCTGAGGCAGGAGAATCACTTGAACCCAGAAGGCGGAGGTTGCAGTGAGCCGAGATTGTGCCACTGCACTCCAGCCTGGGCAACAAGAGCAAACCTGTGTCTGAAATAAAAAAGGAACTTTAGACACAGACACACACCGAAAGAAGACCATTTGAAGAAATAGGGCAAAGGCGGTCATCTGCAAGCCCAGGAGAGACACCTCAGAAGAAACCCATTCTGCCAATGCATTGGTCTCAGACTTCTAGCTTCCAGAACTGTTAGAAGATAAATGGCTGTGGTTTAAGTCCCCTAGTCTGTGGGACTTTGTTACAGCAGCCCTGGCAACCAGTACAGATTTGGGTACCAAGAAATAGCGTGCTGTTGAGCAGACGTGGCTTTGGAACTAAACAGTGAGTAAGGGCTGGAAGAGTTTGGAGGTGCATGTTGGAAAAGGCCTAAATTGCCTTAAAGAGACTGTTGATAGAAATGTGGACATTAGCCGGGCGCGGTGGCTCACGCCTGTAATCCCAGCACTTTGGGAGGCTGAGGCAGGCGGATCACTTGAGGTCAGGAGTTCGAGACCAGCCTGGCCAACATGGTGAAACCCCATCTCTACTAAAAATACAAAAATTATCCAGGCGTGGTGGCGTGCGCCTGTAATCCCAGATACTCAGGAGGCTGAGGCAGAAGAATTGCCTGAACCTGAAAGGCAGAAATTGCAGTGAGCTGAGATCACGCCACTGCACTCCAGCCTCGGCAATAGAGCGAGACTCAGTCTCAAAGGAAAAAAAAAAACAGCAACAGAAATGTGGACATTGAAGGTGATTCCAGTGAGGACTGAGAAAGAAAAAACAGAGCTGTAGAGAAAGCATCTATCAGCTGGGCACCATGGCTCACGCCGGTAGTCCCAGCAGTTTGGGAGGCCAAGACATGTGGATCACCTGAGGTCAGGAGTTTGAGACCAGCCTGGCCAACATGGTGAAACCCCATCTCTACTAAAAATACAAAAATTAGCCAGGTGTGGTGGCATGCACCTGTAGTCCCGGCTACTCGGGGAGCTGAGGCAGGATAATTGCTTGAGCCTGGGAGGCAGAGGTTGCAGTGAGCCAAGATCATGCCACTGCACTCCAGCCTGGGTGACAGAGAGAGACTCCATCTCCACAAAAAAAAAAAAAAAAAGAGAGAGAAACATCTGTCATCTTAGAGAATACATGTATCATCAGGAACAGCATGTTGGCTGAAATATGAATGTTAAACGTACTTCTGGTGAGATCTTGGACAGAAATGAGGAACATGATATTAGAAACTAGAAGAAAGATAGACCTTGTTATAAAGTGGCAAAGAAATTTGTTGAATTGGATTCTCATGTTTCATGGAAAGCAGAACTTATAAATGATGAACTTGGATATTTAGCTGAGGAGATTTCTAAGCAAAGTACTGAAGGTGGCCTGATTTCTTCTTGCTGCTCATAGTAAAATATGAGAGGAGAGAGACAAGCTAAAAAAGGAATTTTTAGAAAAAAAGGAACCAAAACTTGAAGATTTGGAAAATTCTCCATCTATCCATTCTACAAAAAGTGTGAAAGCACATTCTGGAGAAAAGACCAAGGGTGTGGCTGAACCCCTGTCTGAAAAGATGGCCAATGTGATGCATGGATACAGTCAACCAACTCAGCAAGTCGGGAACAGAGATGTGGTTTTCCCAGGAACATCTGTGGAGGGCCCTCTTGTCAAATGGCCTCACCCCCTGTGGATTGCATAGGAGGCCAAGGTTTTTGAGAATTTATACCAGCAGACATTGCCAGTTTGGACCAAAGGAGACAGAAATAGGAAGAAATGAAGGAAGATTGTCAGATTTCTGGAATTCTGCAGGACCAGCCAGTACAGCGATATGGCTGTGATCATGAGTTATCCTTAAAGGAAAGGGAAGAATGACTCTGAAGCCAGTTCAGAGATCTGCCAGGCTGCTACTGCCACCTTGGGCCCAGGCACACAGATTCAGGGGCAGGTCTGGTGCCACTTCCTTGGTTTCAGCAGGCCAGGATGCCCCAGCCCAGGACCAAGGGGTGGGGCCAGCATTTAGGGTAGAGGAATCAGGGTGATGGCCCTGGAAGGCAGGGCCACCCTGTGGACCCAGACAACAGAACACTGAGCCAAAGAGGATTATTCTCAAGCCTTGGCATTGGGCTGGGCGCAGTGGCTCACGCCTGTAATCCCAACACTTTGGGAAGCTGAGGCAGGTGGATGACCTGAGATCAGGAGTTGGAGACCAGCCTGGGCAACATGGTGAAATCCCGTCTCTACTAAAAATACAAAAAATAGCCTTGCATGGTGGCTCATGCCTGTAATCCTAGCTACTTGGGAGACTGAGGCAGGAGAATCACTTGAAGCCAGGAGGCAGAGGGTGGAGTGAGCCAAAACCGCGCCATTGCACTCCAGCCTGGGCGACAAGGGTGAAACTCCATTTCAAATTAAAAAAAAAAAAATTGAACGGAATTTGCCCTACCAGGTTCCAGGACAGGAGATCCATGACCACTTTCTTCTTTCCAATGTCCCACTTTTAAACTAGAAATGTCTATGCTCTGCCTGTCCTGTTTGGGAAGCAGATAATTTCTTGTCTGGTCGTAAAGGTTCACAGCTGGAGAATTTTGCCTCAGGATGAACCATACCTCAAATCTCACCCATACCTGGTTTAGACGATACTTACATGAGATTTGGGACTTAACAGTTGATGCTGATCTGGGTTAAGACTTTTGGCACTGTAGGGATGGGGATAAGTGTATTTTGCATATGAGAAGGATATGGATTTTCAGGGAGCAGAGGACAGGGTGTTATGGGCTGAGTGTGCTCTCTCCAAATTCAAATGTTGAAGTCTTATCTCCCAGTACCTCAGGATGTGACTCTTTTGAGATAAGATCTTTAAAGAAGTAATTAAATTAAAATGAGATCATTAGGGTGGGGCCCAAATGCAGTATGAGTAATGTCCTTATAAGAACACAGACACACACAAGAGGACGACCATGTGAGGACACTGAGAGAAGATGGCCATCTCCAAGCCAAGGAGAGAGGCCTCCAGAACTGAGAATATAAATGGTTGTTTAATCTGCCCAGTGTGTGGTACTGTGTTACCAGCCCTAGCAACCAGTGTATGTGGTCTACCCACACAATGAAATACCATTCAGCCATCAAAAGGACTCAGTGGTGATTCATGCTTACAACATGGAGAAACCTGGGAAACATCGTGCCAACAGAAAGGGCCAGTCACAAAAGGCCACATATTATATAATTCAATTTATGAATTGAAAGGCAAACCTGTAGAAATATAAAATCGACTGGTGGCTGCCTGCTGGACACCCCGCAATGTGCAGGACGGCCCCACAACCAAGACCCCTGTGGCCCAGAGTCTCAGCAATGCCGAGGCTGTGAGATCCTGCTCTCGCCCAGGCCTGCTTCCCAAAGCCCTTTAGTCCTGAAGGGAGAAGAGAACAGGCTGCCTTCTTTCTTTGTTATTGAAATCCCACTTACTCCCTCTTACAGCATGCTCTTCTCCCTTTAAGACCAGCCCGGGCTGGTCTCTACCACGTGTAGATAGGGCTGGGGAAGGAGAAGACTGGTGAGAGTGAGGGGTTTCTTTTTTTTCTTTTTTTTGTTTTGAGACGGAGTCTTGCTCTGTCTCTCAGGCTGAAGTGCAGTGGCGCCATCTCAGCTCACTGCAACCTCTGCCTCCCGGGTTCAAGAGATTCTCCTGCCTCAGCCTCCTGAGTAGCTGGGATTACAGGTGCCCACGACCATGCCCGGCTAATTTTTGTATTTTTAGTAAGAGACAGGGTTTCACTATGTTGGCCAGGCTGGTCTTGAACTCTTGACCTCAGGCAATCTGCCCGCCTCGGCCTCCCAAAGTGCTGGAATTACAGGCATGAGCCACTGCACTGGGCTTTTTTTTTTTTTTTGAGACAGGGTCTCCTCTGTTGCCCAGGCTGGAGTGCAGTGACATAATCATGGCTCACTGCAGCCTCAACCTCCCAAGTAGCTGGGACTACAGGCACGCACCACCACACCCAGCTAATTTTTTTTTTCTTTTCTTTTTGGTAGAAATGGAGTTTCACCATGTTACCCAGGCTAGTTTCTTTTTTTTTTTTTTTTTTTTTTGAGACTAAGTCTTGCTTTATCGCCCAGGCTGCAGTGCAGTGGCTCAATCTCAGCTCACTGTAACCTCTGCCTCCTGGGTTCAAGCTATTCTCATGCCTCAGCCTCCCGATTAGCTGGGACTACAGGTGCCCGCCACCATGCCCAGCTAATTTTTGCATTTTTAGTATAGATGGGATTTCACCATGTTGGCCAGCCTGGTCTCAAATTCCTGATCTCAGGTGATCCACCCACCTCAGCCTCCCAAAGTGCTGGGATTACAGGCGTGAGCCACCGCGTGCAGCCCCCAGGCTAGTCTTAAAGGGAGAAGAACATGCTCTAAGAGGGAGTTAAGTGGGATTTAAATAACAGAAAGAGGGCAGCCTGCTGTCTTCTCCCTTTAGGACTTAAAGGACTCTGGGAAGCAGGCCTGGGTGAGAGCAGGATCTCACAGCCTCGACATTGCTGATACTCCGGGCCACAAGAGGCTTGGTTGTGGGGCCATCCTGTGCTTTGGAGGATGTTTGGCAGTGTCCCCGGTCTCCACCCAGAGAAGCCAGGGCGCCACCACCAGTCCCCGTTGTGAGCCACTGGACTCGAGAATGACCTAATGGCTTAACCTTGTACTATGACAGAGCCCAAGTTGCCTGAATTTTAATGATACAAAGAATTTTAATTATGCTAATTTTATCTTAATTTTTTTGTGAGACGGAGTTTCGCTCTTGTCGCTCTTCTTGCTTGTCTCAGCCAACATCTCATGAAAAACCTTCTAGGACAGCTGGCATACCTCCAATTCATTCTTTTTAACGGTTATATAATATCTCATAGTAAAGATAAAATATAATTTATTCAGTCAAACACGTGGTTGGAACTGAGTAGAGGCCCAAGCTCTCTGGGATATTTGGGGATCTATTATTTTGTGTCTGCCACCACACACTGGGAGACATTTGCTTTAACTCTCCACCTCTGGGAGCAACGTAATGTTAGAGAGTGCTGGTTGCCAAGCCTAGGCACTTGAGGAGAAAAACAAAATTCACTTTCCCCCTTTTTCTGATTCTTCCATTCATGTGGACATCTCTTCCTTCACCATTCCTGCTTTCCCCCTCTAAAATAAGGGAAAATTCCTGCTTTATTTTTTTAAAGCACCATATCAAGTTTTACTTTTAACTACAGCCAAATGGCATCAACCATAATTTCTCCTTTCCTTGGCACCATTTCCTCTCTCTTCTGTGACTCTGCTTCCCTCTGGTTTCCTTGCTCCTCATTCTCCCTTACTCTTGCCTCCATTTTCTCTTTCTGACTCCTTCTACCTTATCTTCTATTTCACTTATCTCAAATGAGAGAGCGAGAGAAGGAAGGAGAGAGGGAGGGAGGGAAGGATCCAATGATCTCCCTAGATATGAAATAAAAAGGAACAGTTGCCCAAACCTCCAGTCTTCTTGGTGGCCAGCTTGGTTGCTATTTTTAATACTAGGCCATAGCAGCAGATCAGCTGGGGATTTAATAGGGAGATTCTGGAAATGAGAGTCATGGAAGTGTTGAGATGAGGTCTTCACACATCCCTGGCCGAGTGGAAAAGCTATGCATCTATAGGGAAGACCTGAGACAGCCCAGCAGAAAGTGAAAGGCAAAGTTACTACCTGTCCAAAACATTCAATCCTCCCCTCACACTCCCATTCTATCTCATGTGAAATTTAAAAAAAAGGAAATATATTGAAATAAGAAAGTTGGGGAATTTGCCTTTGTGAAAGCACTTATTTTTTTCCTTTGGAGACAGGGTCTCACTGTGTCACCCAGCGGTGGAGTGACACGGAGTGTCAGCGGTGCAATCACGGCTCACTGCAGCCTCAACCTCACAGGCTCAAGCAATCCTCCCATCTCAGCCTCCCGAGTAGCTTGGACTACAGGCGTGCCCTTCCATGCCCAGGTAATTTATTTTTAGTAGAGACGGGTCTCACTCTGTTGCCCAGGCTGATCTTGAACACCTGGGCTCAAGCAATCTTCCCGCCTCAGGCTTCCAAAGTGCTGGGATTACAGGTGTGAGCCACTGCACCTGACCTAAAAGCACTATCTGATATTTGTTTTCCTATTTGTAAGTTTGTCCTTAGATTGAAAGGTTTTGTTGTATATTGCCCACACCAGTTGTGTATATTAGGAAACACATTCCTTAAGTACTTTTTTATTTAACATGTATTTTATTTAAATGTTTTTAATGCTAAACCACAGCAGGGGCTTAGCCTATATTTGGAAAATGGGTTATCCAAATTATTTAGAAGTCCAAATTTTTATTGTTCTACTTGAAGTTATTTATTACCTTATTCCTCCTGTAACTAAAACTAACTCATCCTCCATCTCCTCCACGTGTTCCATAATGTAGCTAATCTAATGAACTAATCCATTAATTTGTTATTGGAAGAAATATAGCCCATCCCCATCAAATCAAAGTACTCAGTCTTCTATGAATCATACATAAGTTTAAATAAATTTCTACAGACATGCTGCAGGCCCTGCTGTCCACTGGTGTGAATTTTAGACGAGGTAAAAGGGAAGGGTGGGTCTTGACAAGCTGGTATCAAGTACATAGAGGCAGACAAGGACTCTGCCTTTATTTCAGGTACTGCTTCTGAGAAAAATGAGGAAGTGCAGGGAGGAGGGAAGCCGGTTAGTCACTGTGCAGTTTTGACCTACATTTGCAAAGCTGGTTTTTCTGCACCTTTGCCTAGGAAAATGAAGTATAATAAGCTTGATATTGAAAGGGACCTGTGTTAAACATTAAACAAACATGTAAATTTTTTATGTTCAAAGGAGGGTTTAAAAAGAAAGCGGGCTGGGCACAGTGGCTCACGTCTGTAATCCCAGCATTTTGGGAGGCTGAGGCAGGTGGATCACTTGAGGTCAGGAGTTCTATATCAGCCTGACCAACATGGTGAAACCCTGTCTCTACTAAAAATACAAAAAAATTAGCTGGGCGTGGTGGTGCACGCCTGTAATCCCAGCTACTTGGGAGACTGAGGCAGGAGAATCGCTTGGAGGCAGAGGTTGCAGTGAGCCAAGATTGCACCATTGCACTCCAGCCTGGGCAACAAGAGCGAAACTCCATCTCAAAAAATAATAACGAGGAGAAGGCCTTCCAGTTATGGCAGCACAAAGAGGCAGGCAATTTCTTTCTGTAAAAAAAAAAAAAAAAAAAAAAAAGCAACAAACAACCAAAAAATATATAAAACTAGACAAAATTGTTTATCAAAACCAAGCATTTCAGGGAACTGGAAATTGACAAAATGCAGGCAAAAAATTGAGCAGCATTTATTCTTGAAAAACTACTAGATCTTCAGGCAAGTAGGAGATGGTGGCTTTTTTTGCCTGTGGCTGCTCCCATCACCCCCCAGCTCAGCCAATGACTTTTAAGTAAGATGGGGCTGGCCATGAAAACTGCCACACAAACAGATTCAATTCAGAGCAGTGGCTGGGGGGTTGAAAATCCTTGGCTTTGCTGGCTTAACATGGGAATGAACACTTGGAAATGAGCAGGACAAATCCACAGCTTCGCTAGCTTGAGGTTGCAGCCCCACTTGGGGCAAGCAGCAGGCCAACCAGGAATTTAACAGGGGGATTCTGGAAATGAGAATCAGAGAAGTATTGAAGTGAGCTCTTCACGCATCCCTGGCTGACTGAAAAAACTATGCATATATGGAGAAGACCTGAGAGAGCCCAGCAAGGGAGATAAGGGACTTGAAAACTGGCCTTCTCCAACCCCCACACAGAGGGACTGACAGGGGTTGGAAGTGTAATGGGCTTGAAGTTTTCTTTTGTTTTTTTGTTTTTTTTTTTTTTTTGGAGACAAGAGTCTCACTCTGTCGCCCGCCCAGGCTGGAGTGCAGTGACGTGATCTCAGCTCACTGCAACTTCTACCTCCTGGGTTCAAGTGATTCTCCTGCCTCAGCCTCCCAAGTTGCTGAGATTACAGGCACCCACTACCACGCCCGGCTAATTTTTTGTATTTTTAGTAGAGATGGGGTTTCGCCATGTTTGCCAGGCTAGTCTTGAACTCCTGACCTCAAGTGATCCACCCGCCTCGGCCTCCCAAAGTGCTGGGATTACAGGCATGAGCCACTGCGCCCGGCCTCAGAGAATTAAAGAAAACTGTTCAAGGAATTAAAAGAAAATATGATTTAAATGACTCGACAAATAGGGAATCTAAATAGAGAAATACAAACTGTAAAAAGAATTAAATGGAAATTCTGGAGTTGGAAGGTACAATTTCGAATTCACTAGATGGGCTCAATAGCAGATTTTGAGATAGTGGAAGAACTAGTGAACATGAAAATAGACCAATAGAAATGATCCAATTCGAAAAACAGAAAGAAAAATGAAGACAAATGAACAGACCTTCAGACACACATGGGATGATGCTCAATGTCCCCACATACGTGTAATGGAAGCCGCAGAAAGGGAGAGAGAAAAAAATAAAGAAGTAATAGCTGAAAGCTTCCCAGGTTTGATGAAAGATATTGAATTGCAGATTTTTTTTAAAACTCAACCAACACTGAATTTAAAAAACACAAAGAGAACCACACAGGAAGGACAAAGCCAGAAGCATCACACTTCCTGTGTTCAAATTATATTATAAAGCTATAGCAATCAAAACAATATAGTACTGGCATAAAAACACACATAGAGCAATGGAACAGAATTGAAAGCACAGAAATAAACCCACTCATATAAGGTTAACTAATCTTCTACAAGGTGTCAAGAACAAGAATGAGGAAAGAATAGTATCTTCAATAAATGGTGCTGGAAAAACTGGATATCCACATGCAAAAAAAAATAAGGAAATTGGATCTTTATCTTCCACCATATACAAAAATCAACTAAAGGTGGATGAAAGATTTAAATGTAAGACCTAAAATGGTAAAACTCCTAGAAGAAAATATGCAGGGAAAGATACATGACATTGGTGCTAGCGTTGATTTCTTTTTTGATATGACAACAAAAGCACAGGCAACAAAAGCAAAAGTAAAGGAGTAGGATTGCATCAAAGTAAAAAGCTTTTGCATAGCAAAGAAAACCATGAAGAGAGTAAAGATACCCATAGAATGGGAGAAAATATTTGCAAACCATATATGCAATAAGGAGCTAAATCCAAAATATACAAGAAACTCTTACTACTCAATAGTAAAAAACAAATAACCCTATTAAAAAGTAGGCAACAGGCTGAGTGCAGTGGTGCAATCTCGGCTCACTGTAACCTCCGCCTCTCAGGTTCAAGCGATTCTTCTGCCTCAGCCTCCCGAGTGGCTGGAACTACAGGCATGCGCCACCACGGCTGGCTAATTTTTTGTATTTTTGGTAGAGATGGAGTTTTGCCATGTTGGCCAGGCTGGTCTTGAATTCCTCACCTCAGGTGATCCGCCTGCCTCAGTCAGCCTCCCAAAGTGCTGGGATTACAGGCATGAGCCACTGTGCCCAGCCTATTTTAGACTTTTTGATTGCCCTATGATCTCAGTTCTCAAATGAGTTTAGGAAAAGTTATGATTTTGTAGTTTATCTGCTATCGTTGCTGTTAGGGTGTAATACTCATCCCAGCTTTCCGCATCCTGGATTCTTTGTGTTTTAATAATTGTTTACTATAATCTATTTCATATGTTCTAATGTATACAATGCCAATTGATGTTTGCTTTTATGTATTTGCAGTTTTGATTTCTTCTTTGACCCAAAGTTATTTAGTGACTTAAAAAATGTTTAAGGTGATTGAGATTTTTGTAAAAGAAAATATTTCTGTTGTTATAGCATTGTAGTCAAAGAATGTAGGCAATAAATTTTCTGCTTTGAGAAAAAAAAAAAAAAGTGGGCAAAGGACCTGCATAGACATTTCTCTAAAGAAGACATACAATGGCCAAGTGGTTTATGAAAAGATGCTCAACATCACTAATCGTCAGGGAAATGTAAATCAAAGTCACAATAAGATATTACCTTATACCTGTTGGGATGGCTGTTGCCAAAAAATCAAAACAAAAAACAAAACAAGATTGGTGTGGATGTGGATAAAGGGAACCTTTACATACTGTTGGTGGGAATGTGAATTGGTACATCTATTATGGAAAACAGTGTGGAGGTTTCTCAAAAAATTAAAAATAGAGCTACCCTATGATCCAGCAATTTCACTTCTGTGTATATATCGAAAGCAAATAAACTCCCTATCTTGAAAAGATATCTGCCCTCCCATGGTCACTGCAGCTTTGTTTGCAATAGCCAAGATATGGAAACAATCTAAGTGTTCACTGATTGATGAATGGACAAAAAAAATGTGGTGTATATATATATAGAATGGGATATTATTCAGCCTTAAAAAAGAAGGAAATCCTGCTATTTGCAACAACATGGATGAACCTTGAAGACCTTATACTAAGGGAAATAAGCCAGACACAGAAAAAATGCTGTGTGATCTCACTTATATGTGGAATCTAAAATAATCAAACTGGATATAAACAGAATAGAATACCTGTTACCAGGGTTCTGGAGCAGTGGGGGAAATGGGGAGATATTGGTCAAAGGGTACAAACTTGCAGTTATGAGTAAATTTTGGAGACCTAATGTACAGGAGGGTGACTATCATTAATAATAATATACTGGCCAGGCACAGTGGCTTATGTCTGTAATCGCAGCACCTTGGGAGTTTGAGGCGAGAGAATAGCCTGAACCCAAACATTCAAGACCAGCCTGGGCAACATAGCGAGACGTTGTCTCTACAAAAAATTTTTTAAATTGGCCAGGCGTGGTGGCCTGCACCTGTAGTCCTAACTACTTATGAGGCTGAGGCGGAGGATCACTTGAGCCCAAGAAGTTCAGGGCTGCAGTGAACTATGATTATGCCACTGCACTCCACCCTCGGTGATAGGGCGAGACCCTGTCTCTAAAAATAATAGTAATAATAATAAACCTTATATTTGACATTTGCTAAGAGAGTAGATCTTAAGGATTCTCATTACAAAGGAAAGGAAAGGGTACCAGGTAAGGTGATAACTCTGTTAATTAGCTTGATCATACCAATCATTTCACAATGTATACATATATCAAATCATCATGTTATATACCCTGAGTATATACAATTTTTATTTGTCAATTATACCGCAATAAAGCTGAAAAAATATTAAAGGACATCCTTCAGGTCGAAAGAAAATGAGGTTTTAGAGTTATTAAAATGGACAGAAAGAAATGAAGAACGCTGGAAATGGTAAATATGTGATTAAATATCAAAGAATATATATATATTCATGCTTTGAAAAATGTAAAATTGCTTCAAGAAATAATTGCCACACCATTAGTTTATAACCTAGACTTTATATATTCTTAAATCTTAAAAACTTTATAACAAGCCCAAACATAAATATGATATGTACATATATGTGTACACACACACGCACACGTCTCTGCCTGTTTATTAGAGTGGCTTATTTAGTCCATTCATATATATTAATGGCTTATTTTGTGTGTGTGTATGTGTGTGTGTGTGTGTGTGTGTGTGTATGCATGAAGGAAGGGGTAGGAAATAGAGCTATTATAGATGTGTGTGTGTGTGTGTGTGTGTGTGTGTGTATGCATGAAGGAAGGGGTAGGAAATAGAGCTATTATATATTGGAACAAAGTCACTATATTTTATCAGAATTAAGTTACTATTAAAATAGACCATGGTAACTTCAAGATGCATACTATAATCCCTAGACTAGAGCATGCAGTAGGAAAAAAATATATATAGCTTAAAATATGAAAAAAGTAATTAAAATGGTATACTAAAATTACTTGTTAGACATAAATGACAGCAGGAAATGAGGCACGGAGGAACAAAAAAATGCATGAGTGACAGAAAACAAATAGCAAAATGACAACTATAAATATAACCACACCAATAATTACATTAATATGAATGGACTAAATAAACCGTCCCAATAAAAAGGCAGAGATTGTCAACTATGCAAATTCTCAAGGAATTTCCCTTTTATGCATAGTTTTGGGAATGCTAGACTTATATTAATGGAAATAAGCCAAGAAAGAAAAATAAATGGCATCCAAGAAACAGGGGATCCAAAACAAGGAAAAGCCTCTTCTGGAAGCTGCAGCAAAAGGTAGGGTGGGTGGAAAACAAGAAAAAGGCAAAGGGAATTTGTAAGATGGTGCAGAATGCCCCAGGAGGACAGACAGCCAGTTCAATTTTAAAGAGAATATTCTCAAAACAGGTCTCTAGGAATAAAACAGAAATAAGTTATCTGAGGTTAAAATGTCTAGAATTTAATTTGGTCAACATTTGACAGATCTTTTAGCCCTTTGGAGGAAAAACATAGTGATCAGTATTTGGGAAGATAAACAAGTAAAAAAACAATGCAATTATTAACCCCAGAATAAAACAAAAGTGTTAGGCCAGGTGCGGTGGCTCACGCCTGTAATCCCAGCATGTTGGGAGGTCAAGGCAGGTGGATCACCTGAGGTCAAGAATTCAAGACCAGCCTGGTCAACATGGTGAAACCCTGTCTCTACTAAAAATACAAAAATTAGCCAGGCGTGGTGGCACCATCCTTCATTCCAGCTACTCAGGAGGCTGAGGCAGGAGAATCGCTTGAACACATAGGTGGAAGTTGCAGTGAGCAGAGATCATGCCACTGCACTCCAGCCTGGGCGACAGAGCAAGACTCTTTCTCAAAAAAAAAAAAAAGTGTTAGAGAAAACATAACCCATAATACACTACTTGGATCTGCATTCATTCATTCCACAAGTATTTACTGAGTGCTCACTCTGTGTCTGGCCCTGCGGTAAGCTGTGGACTAACCACAATAAGCAAATAGATCAAATCTCTGCTTTCCAGAGGCCCACATTTTAGTGGATGATGACAGATGCTTAAAAAAAAATCAGTCTGCAATATCAGATGGTGATTCATACTTTACAGAAAAGTTACAAGTCTACATAGATTGAAAAGTGGGGCAGGCCTCTATTGTACATGCAGGAGTCACGGAATAAAGTGGCATTTGAACAGAGACCTGAGTAAAGTGAAGGAGACAACTGTTGGCTGCCTGTGGGAACACTGTTCTAGAAGCCACAGACAGTGCAATGTCCTGAAGCAGGAATGGAGTGTTCTCAGCCATTTAAGGGAATGGAAGGGATCCAGTGTGGCAGGGGATGAGTGCTGGGAGAAATCAAAGAGATGGCTCAGGATCGTATATGGCCTTATTGGCCCTGGTAAGGACTTTGGATTTACAGAGCCATGATAATGAAACTAATGATTTCAACAAACGAGTATAATGCAACTGCTATGAAAATAGCAGGGTGGGGAAGAGGGAGAGGCTGTGAGAGAGCTCCAGGAAGTTGGTAGGTGATGCCTGACAATGATGGATTAACAAATGACCACATGCACAAAGCATTAGGTTGGTGCAAAAGTAATTGTGGTTTTTGCCATTACGTTTGCACCCACCCATTAACTACAATGGTGGAGGTAAATACCGGAGGAAACAGCTGAAAGGGTTGAAAGTGGCTTTGCTGGGGGTGAGGAGGGACAGAACATGAGGCTGTTGCTTTTCACTATAAGTCTTTCATACGAGTTGATTTTCTGAAAACTGTAAGCATTTTTTTAAAAGCTTATGAAGTTATTTTTTTTTATTTTTTTTTATTGATCATTCTTGGGTGTTTCTCGCAGAGGGGGATTTGGCAGGGTCACAGGACAATAGTGGAGGGAAGGTCAGCAGATAAACAAGTGAACAAAGGTCTCTGGTTTTCCTAGGCAGAGTGTGTGTGTCCCTGGGTACTTGAGATTAGGGAGTGGTGATGACTCTTAACGAGCATGCTGCCTTCAAGCATCTGTTTAACAAAGCACATCTTGCACCGCCCTTAATCCATTTAACCCTGAGTGGACACAGCACATGTTTCAGAGAGCACAGGGTTGGGGGTAAGGTCATAGATCAACAGGATCCCAAGG
Source organism: Homo sapiens (assembly GCF_000001405.40). Taxonomy (NCBI): domain Eukaryota; kingdom Metazoa; phylum Chordata; class Mammalia; order Primates; family Hominidae; genus Homo; species Homo sapiens. The sequence continues at coordinate 129,847,734 of NC_000011.10, forward strand.
CACAATTTTTCTTAGTACAGAACAAAATGAAAAGTCTCCCATGTCTACTTCTTTCTACACAGACACAGCAACCATCCGATTTCTCAATCTTTTCCCCACCTTTCCCCCTTTTCTATTCCACAAAACCGCCATTGTCATCATGGCCCGTTCTCAATGAGCTGTTGGGTACACCTCCCAGATGGGGTGGTGGTGGCCGGGCAGAGGGGCTCCTCACTTCCCAGTAGGGGCGGCCGGGCAGAGACGCTCCTCACTTCCTAGATGGGATGGCGGCCGGGCAGAGACGCTCCTCACTTTCCAGACTGGGCAGCCAGGCAGAGGGGCTCCTCACATCCCAGACGATGGGCGGCCAGGCAGAGACACTCCTCACTTCCCAGACGGGGTGGCGGCCGGGCAGAGGCTGCAATCTCGGCACTTTGGGAGGCCAAGGCAGGCAGCTGGGAGGTGGAGGTTGTAGCCGAGATCACGCCACTGCACTCCGGCCTGGGCACCATTGAGCACTGAGTGAACGAGACTCCGTCTGCAATCCCGGCACCTCGGGAGGCCGAGGCTGGCGGATCACTCGCGGTTAGGAGCTGGAGACCAGCCCGGCCAACACAGCGAAACCCCGTCTCCACCAAAAAAATACGAAAACCCGTCAGGCGTGGCGGCGCGGGCCTGCAATCCCAGGCACTCGGCAGGCTGAGGCAGGAGAATCAGGCAGGGAGGTTGCAGTGAGCCGAGATGGCAGCAGCACAGTCCAGCTTCGGCTCGGCATGAAAGGGAGACCGTGGAAAGAGAGGGAGAGGGAGAGGGAGAGGGCTTATGAAGTTCTTGATGATGGGTGGGACCCTCATCTGTCAATGTGTAAGATGTGAAACAGCCCTGACAATGTAGCTGGTGCTAGAGGGACGGGCCTGTGTCCAGGGTTGGAATATGCTGTGCAGACCAGGAATGCTTTACATTCCGGGGTGGTCTTTTCTAGATCACTGTCTCAGTCTGCTTGTGCTGCTACAACAAAATACCACAGACTGGGTAACTTATAAAGAACAAATTTATTTCTCACAGTTCTGAAGGTTTGGAGGTCCAATATCAAGGCACTGGTATGTGGTGTCTGTTGAAGGCTGTAGCCTCACATGGCAGAAAGGGCAAAAAAGGGAAGCAACTCCCTCCATTCAGCCCTTTATAAGGGTGCTTAATCCCATCCACAAGGGAGGAACCTTCATGGCTTAATCAGCTCTTAAAGGCCCCACATCTAATACTATCACACCGGCAACACCTGAATTTTGGAGGGGACCCATTCACACCATAGCATTCCAATCCTGGCCCCCCAGAATTCACGTACTTCTCACAAACAAAATACATTCATTCCACCACAATTGCCCTCAAAAGCCTTAAATCATTCCAACATGAACTTTAAAATCTAAGTCCAGAATCTTATCTAAGTCAGGTGTGAGAGAGACTCATTCACTTTGAGATAAATTTCATCCTGAGGCAAATTTCTCTCCAGCTGTGAGCCTGTGAATTCAAATGAGTTGCGTACTTTGATTCAAATACAATGGCGTGACAGGCACAGGACAGATGTTTCTAGTCCAAAAGGGAGAAACAGGAAGGAAGAAAGGAGTAACAACAGGTCTCAAGTGAGTCCAAAACTCAACATTAGATCTTAGGCTTGAGAATAATATTATCTGACTCCATATCTCACCTTCTGAACACACTGGGGTGGGTGTTGGGCCCCCAAGGCTCCAGGTGATACCACCTCCAAGGCTTCCCTAAGTATTGGCCTACTGGGGGCTCTCTGCAGTGGCTCCACCCCGGTGACAAATCTCTGCTCGGGCCCTGAGGTCAAAGAAATCCTTTCCATCGAGGTGGAGGCGGCCGTGCTCCCACAGCTCATACAGTATGCATACCTACAGAGTCAGCACCACATGGATGCCACCAAGATTTATAACTTGCGCCCTCTGGAGCAGTGGCCCAACCTGCACCTGGTCCTGCTTGAGCCACAGCTAGGGTGACGGAGGAATGCTCTGCTGGAAATGTGGGGAGCAGAGACCTGAGGTGGCCCTAGGCAGTGATCTCTGAGACCCCGCAGGCGCCTGGGCCCTTCCCCTGAAACTGTTCTGCCGCAAGGCTCTAACCCTCTGGGCCTCTAATGAGCAAGGCAGCCCCAAATGCCTTTGGGGTCATTCTCCGAAATGGCTTTGGAGTCATTTTCCGAAATGACTTTGGGGTCATTTTCCCGTTCTCTTGATAACTAGCACCTGGCTTCCTTCTACACATACTAACCTGCTTATCAGTCCTGTGGCCATACCCGTGGTTTTCTCTCCTACACACACGTTTTTCTCTTTTTCATGGCTAGGCTGAGAATTTTTCAGATATTGACCTTTAGCTTTCCTTTTGATGGTAAATTCTGCCTTCAAATTATTTCTCTTTTCTCACGTTTTTTTTTTTGTTGATGTTGTTGTTGTTTTTGAGATGGAGTTTTGCTTTTGTCACCCAGGCTGGAGTGCAATGGCGCGATCTCGGCTCACTGCAACCTCCCTCTCCCGGGTTCAAGCGATTCTCCTGCCTCAGTCTCCCGAGTAGCTGGGACTACAGGCTCCTGCCACCGCGCCCGGCTAATTTTTTTATGTTTAGTAGAGACAGGGTTTCACCATGTTTGTCAGGCTTATCTCGAACTCCTGACCTCAGGTGATCTGCCTGCCTCGCCCTCCCAAAGTGCTGGGATTACAGGCGTGAGCCACCGCACCTGGCCTCTCATGTTTTTCTATAAGCAGTTAAGAGAAGCCACACAGCATCCTGAACACTTTGCTTTCTATCTCTTCTGCCAAATATCCTAGGTCATCATTCTTAAGTTCTGCCCTCCATGAAGTCCTAGGAAACGACATAATTCAGGTAAGTTCTTTACCACTTTCTAACAAGGATAACCTTTCTTCTAGTTTCCAATACCTTGTTCTTTATTTCTGTCTGAGACCTCATCAGAATTGCCTTCACCATCGGTATCTCTATCAACATTCTGTTCATGACCACTTAGGCAATCTCTAAGAACGAGGCTTTCCCCACAGCTCATATCCCACATCTACAGCTCTCCTCTTCTTCTGAGCCCTCACCAGAATCATCCTTAGTGCTCCGTTCATGGCAATCCAGGCTTTTTTCAGCACTCACTTCAAAGCTGTTCCAGCTTGTATTCATTATCCAGTTCCAAAGCCACCCCCACATTTTTACATATTTGTTATAACCCCTGGTTATAAATGTTATAAACTCCTCTGGTACCAATTTCTGTCTTAGTCCCTGTTGTGCTGATATCACACAATACGCAGACTGGGTAATTTATAAAGAACAACAATTTATTTCTCACTGTTCTGAAAGCTGGGAAGTCCAAGATCAAGGCAGCAGCATCTGGTGTCTGCTGAGGGCTGCATCCTCACATGCAGGAGGACAAACAGGGGACCAGCTCCCTCCAGCCAACCCCTGTATGAGGGAGGGCATCTGCTCCTAGTTCAGGAGGGAGGGGCCCTCATGGCCTAGTCCCTTCTTAAAAGTCCTCTTCTCGGCCGGGTGTGGTGGCTCACACCTGTAATCCCAGCACTTTGGGAGGCCGAGGTGGGCAGATCACCTAAGGTCAGGAGTTCGAGAAAAGCCTGGCCAACATGGTGAAACCCCGTCTCTACTAAAAATATAAAAATTAGCCAGGCGTGGTGGCGGGTGCCTGTAATTCCAGCTACTCGGGAGGCTGAGGCAGGAGAATCGCTTGAACCTGGGAGGCAGAGGTTGTAGTGAGCCAAGATCGTGCCACTGCACTCCAGCCTGGGTGACAGAGTGAAACTCTGCCTCAAAAAAAAAAAAAAAGTCCCCTTCTCTTAATGCTATCACCTTGGCAACACCTGGATTTTGGAGGGGACACATTCAAACCACAGCAATCACCAACAACTGGTATTTTTCTCCCACCCTACATATTCTTTAGGTAACCACCCAGGCCAGTGGGGAAAATAATCAATCTACTTCTGAATAAATCCTAGCTATAGTTTCATGCTACTGCAAATGGGATAACAGCAAATCATGCCTGAAAATTTTTGGAATAAGGTGATGTTTACATCGTTATGCTGATTTTTACAAACTGTGAATCATATTGACCAGGTTCATTTGTACTAGACCACCACACCAAAACTTTATAAAATTATTTTCCAGTTGGGTGAAAAATGATGTTGTGCTTTCGTTTGCCCATCTCTAATTTCCGGGAGATTTATAATTTGTTTGTATTATTTTGTGAATCATCCGTTCATGTCTTCTGCCTATTCTTCTACGGTCTTTTTCTTATCAATTTGTAAAGACTCTAATGTAATAGCCAACTGCTACAAGCATGTTTCTGATTTGTTGTTTACCTTTTGATGTTCTTGATATTAAAAGATGCTTATATAGCTGAACGTTTTTCTTTTCTAGTTCCCCCCTTTATGTTTATGGCTTGGAAGTTTTCTCTATCTGAGATCAATAAATATTACCTATCCTCCTCTTTCCCCACCCTCATCCTTTTATTTTACCCACATGTTTAAAGCATTACAGACAGTGGAGTCCAGTTGGTTATGCAACTCACTTTACAGATGAGACTTCAGTGACGTAACATAAGGCTTGTTTTATGAGAATGTGTTGATCCTTCTTAACGTGGCTTATGATTTGCAATCTCAGGCACGTATTGTGTTTCCTGCCAAAATATACATTTGTTTGCTTGCTTCATTAGCCACCTAACAGCCTTCCCCTAATTTTTTAGGTGTCCTGATGGCAAATTTCAAGGGCCACGCGCTTCCAGGGAGTTTCTTCCTGATCATTGGGCTGTGTTGGTCAGTGAAGTACCCGCTGAAGTACTTTAGCCACACGCGGAAGAACAGCCCACTACATTACTATCAGCGTCTCGAGATCGTCGAAGCCGCAATTAGGACTTTGTTTTCCGTCACTGGTAAGAGCAGGGGTCATTTGGTCTAGGGAATCTCCTCATCATACCCAGAACCTTTAATTCATTTTCTGAGCCCTGTGAAATAGATGTTCCCACTGGCAGAGATAATAGGGCAACAATTTCCTGATGGCCACTAGACTATTTTATCGTAACATCCATTGTGTACAGAGCTTTATAATACTAACGGTTGACAGCTCTCACATCATGGGACACTGTGAAAAACTCAAATCAACAAGGACACAGGTATGGAAAGTTGTAGGAGCAAAACACCCACTGTATGAAAAAGATATGACACAAATAAAAAGAGAAAAAAACAAAATAGATTAGGCTCACGTACCTTAGTTGTGACAAAGTAGAAAAATCACCTTTTTTCCTCAATTGTCTCTCCCTCCAGATCCTTACAGTAGTTAACACCCAACCCACTGGCTTATCTTCATCCTCAAGTCTCAAGCGCTTATAGAGAGTTTATGTAGATTCGTAAATTAGCCAGTGGGAGAGAAAAAGCAGCAGAGGGCTGTTGAAGAGGAATTTTCCTTCACTCTGCCCCATTCCAACAAGATCCACCCACTCCCACTGTTTCCTTCGCATCCACTCCGCTCCACTGCGGCCCTCCAGGAACAAGCAGTGATGACAGTAACAAGTGTTCTTCCTCAGGACCAGCCCCACCTGGGGGGAATGAGGGGTCTTAATCTGCAACTGACAATTACCACTTGTCATCAGTGGCCTATGGCTTCTTGGAGAGAGTGAAGCAACATCGCTTCTCTTGGAGGAAGCAAAGCTTCACAGGGCTTTGTTGGTCTCATCCTGCTGAATGTCCCCACTCACCATTCAGGCATCAGAGAGGCCTCCCGTGAGAAGTGACAGGGACCTGTGGCTTAAAGGATCAGGACAGCATCAACCTTGCCTAAATAAAGCTAGGACAATTACAATATTTGGCCCCTTGACTGGGTGAAAATGGTACTCATTCAACAGCTCTCTGGCACTCCTACCACAAGCCAGGAAGTCACTGTTCCAGGCATAGGAGATACACTGGGGAACCACACAGCCGCTGCTGTCACAGGGCTTCCATTCTAGTGTCACTGGGACTTTTCCTGGGTCATTTCCACAACTTCCTGACTCTGTGTGTGGGAATTCAAAAAGGGTCTGGCTTGAGAAACAAGTATCTGGGAAACGGAGTCCAAAATGTCATCATGGAGGATTTCTTCTAGGCTTCCCCAAGAACACTTTGGGTACCAGGCATAAAGACAAATCTTTTGCCTTCCAAATTAGCTGATAAAAGTAGAAGGGATAAGAACTAAGAGCTATCCTGTGTCGCAGTTTCGTCATTTTCTGGCCCACATCCTGGGGCCTCTGCCTTGTTTACCCGGTGTTTTAAAACACACAGCTGGGAGGGGCGCAGGGCTTGCAGAGCTGGCTCTGTGCCCAGGAAGGACACGCACTCAAAATCAGCCCTGCAGACACGCACCTGGGAGCCGCTTCCCTCCCTTGGCACGTACAGGTATCTTCATTACCAGTGTGTCTCTGCTCAGATTCTGCTTTCAGCCTAATTGTTTCTGTCTGGGATTTCTTTCACTGCTCACTTGGCAGGGAAGCCCAGAGATTATTCTATCAGCCACACTCCGACTTAAGTGATGATGTCTTGCTCATCTCTGCTCCTGGACAAACCTCCTGGGGATCTATGTGTGTGTGGTTGTGTTCATTGATTCTTCTACCCTCAACCCCAAACCCCTAAAAGGAACAACAATGGCAAGATGTCTACACAGGTGACTCAGCACACACCCTACTTTATACTGAAGCAGCTGCACCTGAGGCAGCAAAGTAGCTCTGCTGACCCGCGGGCCACCCTCACCTCACCCCATCTCCGCTTCGCTCATGCCTTTGGGTTATTCCTTGCTCCTATTTGTCTTAGAGCTACTCTTCCCTCTAAAACATCCATCCTCATTTCCCTGCAGGGATCCTGGCAGAGCAGTTTGTTCCGGATGGGCCCCACCTGCACCTCTACCATGAGAACCACTGGATAAAGTTAATGAATTGGCAGCACAGCACCATGTACCTATTCTTTGCAGTCTCAGGAATTGTTGACATGCTCACCTATCTGGTCAGCCACGTTCCCTTGGGGGTGGACAGACTGGTTATGGCTGTGGCAGTATTCATGGAAGGTAATTTTGTGGAACGGATGGAGAGGAAGGAGAGCCTGACAAGTCATATTTATGAAGGATCAGAGTACAAAATATCAGAAATGTTGCAAATATAATAACCTCCCCCAGAAAATCCACATCTCTGGACTGCCAAAACCTGAATAGGACCTAGTGCTCTACTCTGGATGGGCCAGGTGACATATTCCCTAAAGTAGCTCATGAAAGCTTTGAGGCTTGAAGGCAGCTACCAAAGCCCCGGCTAACACTGCAGGAGTCCTCCTCGCCTTCCCACTGCCGCCAGCAGCCCCTGCTCACACACGTGCATATTCCTCGGTGTGGACGTATGTGCGCACATACACATGCGGGTACACACAATGCCCCAGCTGGTTGAATGCCACCATGCAGGGGATACACCCCTTTGGTTAAGCGAAACCACACTCTACCTTTTGCCCAGGGAGGTACCGTCTTGCCTCCATCACAAGCCTCAGGAGACCCACTCCACTGCCAGGGGAGCGCTGCCAGTATGACTCACACTGACTGGGGTATGAAAATACATTTTGTCATCTAACAACCTCACTTCTGTACCTCAGCAAGAGTCGAAAAAGGTTGAGGGCAAAACTGAATTTCAAGTATACACACACAGTCTGTTACAAATCAGCAACATGCTTCAGCCGGCCCATCCTATACTGACCCCACCATGGGTTCCATAGAGATTTTAAGATACAATCCCTTGCTGCTTTATACTCCTAACATACTCATGAAATACACTTACTCGCATCTGTTTGCTGCCTGTAATGTTATGTACTAACTGCCTAAATGCTGAAGAACCTAGCTGAGACAGGTGTAGGAGGAAACTTCGGTGATGGTGAAAGCCAAGCGTAGCCCTGACAGCTGCCATCTGGTTTGTGGCAGGTTTCCTCTTCTACTACCACGTCCACAACCGGCCTCCGCTGGACCAGCACATCCACTCACTCCTGCTGTATGCTCTGTTCGGAGGGTGTGTTAGTATCTCCCTAGAGGTGATCTTCCGGGACCACATTGTGCTGGAACTTTTCCGAACCAGTCTCATCATTCTTCAGGGAACCTGGTTCTGGCAGGTGATTTTCCACACCCAGGCCCCTCGCTGGTCTGGATGGAGAAGCCCCCACCGAGCGCATCCCAGAGAAATCCCTGACGAGAATATGGGGTCTGAAAATGCAGCATTAACATGCCATGCAAAGGGGTTTAGATGACCCTTTTCCCCCCATGCCCGCCCTTTGACTCCTAGTTTTATCCATTAACATCCAGAGGATGCATTAGCAATCCAAAATTTAAAGCATGCACGGTGACGTTCAGCTGCCCTCCCCAGAGGATGGGCTGATGCCTTTCACAGGCTCTGCTTGCTAAACTGTCCACTGGAAACGTGGGCCCTGAAGTTCTGTTTTGTTGTTTGTTTTGAGAGAGACTCACCCTGTCACCCAGGCTAGAATGCAGTGGCGCAATCTTGGCTGACTGCAACCTCCATCTCCCAGGTTCAAGCGATTCTCATGCCTCAGCCTCCTGAGTAGCTCAGGTTACAGGTGCCCGCCACCACACCTGGCTAATTTTTTTGTATTTTTAGAGACAGGGTTTCACCATGTTGGCCAGGCTGGTCTCGAACTCCTGAACTCGAGTGATCCGCCTGCCTCAGCCTCCCAAAGAGCTGGGATTATAGGCGTGAGCCACTGCACCTGGACTTGTGTTTTTAAGTAAGCCTATACAACCAAAATTAAGCTGAAGCCTTTTTTTTTTTTTTTTTTTTCTGAGACAGAGTCTCGCTTTGTCGCCCAGGCTGGAGTGCAGTGGCGCAATCTTGGCTCACTGCAAGCTCCACCTCCCAGGTTCACGCCATTCTCCTGCCTCAACCTCCCAAGTAGCTGGGACTACAGGCGCCCGCCACCACGCCTGGCTAATTTTTTGTATTTTTAGTAGAGATGGGGTTTCACCGTGTTAGCCAGGATGGTTTCAATCTCCTGACCTCATTATCCACCCACCTCAGCCTCCCAAAGTGCTAGGATTACAGGCATGAGCCACCGCGCCCGGCTTTTTTTTTTTTTTTAAGACAGTCTCGCACTGTGGCCCGGGCTGGTGTGCAGTGTCATGATCTCGGCTCACTGCAACCTCCGCCTCCCAGGTTCAAGCAATTCTCCTGCCTCAGCCTCCCAGTTAGCTAGGATTATAGGTGCCCACCACCATGCCCAGCTCATTTTTTGTATTTTTAGTAGAAACAGGGTTTCACTATGTTGGTCAGGCTGGTCTTGAACTCCTAACCTTGTAAACCGCCTGCCTCAGCCTCCCGAAGTGCTGGTATTACAGACGTAAGCCACCATACCTGGCCAGAGCCATTTTTCTATGTGAAAAGGCCTTTCTATGCTAACGAAGTGTGGGAACTATGAGGCGGTGGTCACACATGGGCCACTTCGGTGGCCACAGGAGAACGGCTAGATTGCTTCTCAGGACGACCAACCACAAGACCAACTTCTCTCTGTAATCCCCTAGATTGGGTTTGTGCTGTTCCCACCTTTTGGAACACCCGAATGGGACCAGAAGGATGATGCCAACCTCATGTTCATCACCATGTGCTTCTGCTGGCACTACCTGGCTGCCCTCAGCATTGTGGCCGTCAACTATTCTCTTGTTTACTGGTATGTCTGAGACTTCAGTGAAGCTTTTCCTCCTAACTCTAAGCAGGACTGATGTGATTAACTTGCACCATCTGATGAGTGCCGACTACAGGCCAAATTCTGTGCAAGGTACTCTCATGCAGGGAAGGTATCACTACCCTTATTTGCAAACAAGGGGAATGAGGCTTTTCAAAGTTTAATGACCTGAGGGCTTTTCAAAGTCATAGTAACCTGAGGGACCCAGGTTTCAAATGCAGGTCTCACAGATTTTAAGCCTATGGTGTGGTGGGGAATACTGAAATGGGAATCAGTACTGGATGGCAGTCCCCACGTAAAGGGTTCATTCTGGACCCATCATCTTATTTCCAGACCTGCCCTCCCTGCTTCCCAGAAATGATGTGACAGTCAAAAAATAAACCAGAGCAGAATGTTAAGACAAACTGCACTCCACCCCTCACTGAAGGCTCCTTAGAGGTATACAGATAACAGCTATGGACTCCTATGCACTTGCTGCGCCCCAGGCCCAGTGGAAAGCAGCTACACTCTATTATCCCATTTAATCTTCACTGCTTTATGAAGTATGCACTGTTATTTTTTACAGGTGGAGAAAACAAGGCTTCAAAAAGCTGAGTAACTTGACCAAGGTCACCCCACTAATAAATGGCAGAGCCTCTCAGTGCAAGGGTGAATTTTAGCAAATGGTATTACCAGTTCTATTTGCTGTTCGGCTGCCTCTACCTTTTCTTCTAGGTCATTTCTCTAGATCCCAAGCAGAATATTAGGTTGGTGCAAAAGTAACGGTGATTTTTGCCATTATTTCATCCAGAAAGAGTTCCACACGGACCAAAGAGAAGGGAGCTCAAGTCAGTTTCTTTTAGTTCTCCTGCCCAGCCACTGAAACAGTAAACCAAGATAGGCAAGACCTTGGCCTCAATTATGACATTCAGTAGTTTCCACCATCGCCCCTTTATCTACTGATGAATATTTCCTAAGAAGTCTAGTTTATAGACATGTAATCACAGTATTTGATAGAAATATAAAGAAAATAGTTTAAGAATCAGTAGATGCCTTCACATCCTTGGTAATGGATTAAGGGAATCTCTGGCTAATTGGCTCTTACTCTTTCTCTATTAAAGCCTTTTGACTCGGATGAAGAGACACGGAAGGGGAGAAATCATTGGAATTCAGAAGCTGAATTCAGATGACACTTACCAGACCGCCCTCTTGAGTGGCTCAGATGAGGAATGAGCCGAGATGCGGAGGGCGCAGATGTCCCACTGCACAGCTGGAATGAATGGAGTTCATCCCCTCCACCTGAATGCCTGCTGTGGTCTGATCTTAAGGGTCTATATATTTGCACCTCCTCATTCAACACAGGGCTGGAGGTTCTACAACAGGAAATCAGGCCTACAGCATCCTGTGTATCTTGCAGTTGGGATTTTTAAACATACTATAAAGTCTGTGTTGGTATAGTACCCTTCATAAGGAAAAATGAAGTAATGCCTATAAGTAGCAGGCCTTTGTGCCTCAGTGTCAAGAGAAATCAAGAGATGCTAAAAGCTTTACAATGGAAGTGGCCTCATGGATGAATCCGGGGTATGAGCCCAGGAGAACGTGCTGCTTTTGGTAACTTATCCCTTTTTCTCTTAAGAAAGCAGGTACTTTCTTATTAGAAATATGTTAGAATGTGTAAGCAAACGACAGTGCCTTTAGAATTACAATTCTAACTTACATATTTTTTGAAAGTAAAATAATTCACAAGCTTTGGTATTTTAAAATTATTGTTAAACATATCATAACTAATCATACCAGGGTACTGCAATACCACTGTTTATAAGTGACAAAATTAGGCCAAAGGTGATTTTTTTTTAAATCAGGAAGCTGGTTACTGGCTCTACTGAGAGTTGGAGCCCTGATGTTCTGATTCTTCAAAGTCACCCTAAAAGAAGATCTGACAGGAAAGCTGTATAATGAGATAGAAAAACGTCAGGTATGGAAGGCTTTCAGTTTTAATATGGCTGAAAGCAAAGGATAACGAATTCAGAATTAGTAATGTAAAATCTTGATACCCTAATCTTGCTTCTGGATCTGTTCTTTTTTTAAAAAAACTTCCTTCACCGCGCCTATAATCCTAGCACTTTGGGAGGCCGAGGCAGGCAGATCACGGGGTCAGGAGATCAAGACCATCCTGGCTAACATGGTGAAACCCCGTCTCTACTGAAAATACAAAAAATTAGCCGGGTGTGGTGGCGGGCGCCTGTAGTTCCAGCTACTCGGGAGGCTGAGGCAAGAGAATGGCATGAACCCGGTAGGGGAGCTTGCAGTGAGCCCAGATCATGCCACTGTACTCCAGCCTAGGTGACAGAGCAAGACTCTGTCTCAAAAACAAGCAAACAGACTTCCTTCAACAAATATTTATTAAATATCCACTTTGCAACAGCACTGAAATGGCTGTAAGGACTCCTGAGATATGTGTCCAGCAAGGAGTTTACAGTCAAACAGGAGAGACATGCCTGTAGTTACATCCAGTGTGATGGGTGCTGAGAGGCAAGTACAAACCACGATGAGAAAAAGGAGAGGAGGGGAAATGCAGAGCTTGCCCTGTAGAAAAAGCACATCCCAGGTAGAGAGGGTAGCACATTAAAAAATGAAAGCATAAAAAAATACGGAGAACTTAAAAAGATTAAGTTCTACAAACTGATAAAAGTGAGTTAGGACCAAGTTGATGGGCCTTAGAGACCAAATAATACTTTCCGTGTGCATAGTATTTTTCAGATTCTGAGATGCACCCTATCTCATTTGATTCTCACAACCGCTTGTAATGTGTAAGAGCATGAGGTCTTTCAGAAAAGCTGGCTGGCCTAGCAGGGCGCGGTGGCTCACGCCTGTAATCCCAGCACTTTTGGAGGCCGAGGCGGGTGGATCATGAGGTCAAGAGATCGAGACCATCCTGGCCAACATGGTGAAACCCTGTCTCTACTAAAAATATAAAAATTAGCTTGGTGTGGTGGTGAGCACCTGTAGTCCCAGCTACTTGGGAGGCTGAGGCAGGAGAATCACTTGAACCCAGTAGGCGGAGGTTGCACAGTGAGCCGAGATTATGCCACTGCACTCCAATCTGGCAACAGAGTGAGACTCCATCTCAAAAAAAAAGAAAAGTTGGCTGGCCTAAGACCACACAGATGCTAGGTGGCAAAGCCAGTCTTATGACTCCAAAACCAGGCATCTGTCTCACCATTCTAACCCTGCTACGTCACACAAATCCAGGAGAGAGAATTTACATAAAGCACTGCATGCGCTTTGGAAGAAATGCTGTACTTAATTAAGTGAAGGTAACCTCCCAGAGTTAGCCAGCCTTTCAGAGTTGAAGTCACAGCTTAGGGATTCAAAATGAGCTACTAAAAACACTAATTTAGTTATTAGAGAACTCCGGGTTCCACTTTCAGGATCCACCTTGGTTGGCCAGTGGAAAAACACAAGTATTCTTCATTCAACAAGTACTGAAGGACCTATTATTGGCAATGAACGTAACATGTGTTCTTTCCTTGGGGACTGCAGGTGGGCAGAAGGACCTGTTCAGTTTTACTTTCAAAGAAAAGATCCACATTTGAGGTTTCTTTAAGTGTACCATATTTTAAGAAAGAAAATGTACTATTTTCTCCAGAGTGAGGGGCTAAGGTGTGAAGAACAGATATAAAATATTAAAATGTATTCAGATGCCCTTCACACAGCAAGGCTTGTGATGCCTTCATGGAAGTGATCAACCCTATCATAAACATTGTTAGATGTGGTATTAAAGTATAAACTGATGACAGTACTATTCTCCACATCCTGTCTTAGATATGTTTTCTGAATAATTTTACCCATATCTGTCAACCAGAGGCTCAATGGTTGCCACCAGAAGTCCTTTTGAAATTGTTCCCTACAAAACACCCACCATGGCTGGGTGCAGTGGCTCACGCCTGTAATCCCAGCACTTTGGGAGGCTGAGGCAGACAGATCACCTGAGGTGACAAGTTGGAGACCAGCCTAGCCAAAATGGTGAAACCCCATTTCTACCAAAAATACAAAAATTAGCAGGGCGTGGTGGCACGTGCCTGTGATTGATCCCAACTACTCAGGAGGCTGAGGCAGGAGAATCACTTGAACCCAGGAGGCGGAGGTTGCAGTGAGCTGAGATCTTGCCGCTGCACTCCAGCCTGGGCTACAGAGTGAGACTCCATCTCAAAAACAAAAACAAAAACAAAACACTCACCATAGCTGTGCCATTCATCTATCAGAAACCTGAAGCCAGCATATGAAGGAAGCAAGTGTGGCACAAATCCTGGGCTGTCACCGTAAACAGCTCCAGTAGGAAGTTCCCATTCTCCGCTATTGCCATTCCACCCACAGGCTGGATAGTGCCGAAGTTACACTTCTGAGGAGTCAGCATCCTGACGCAGCCTAAACTTTACACTCACTCCCTGCTCTCCAGAATGCACACGTCTGCCTGTGCAAAAACGACAAGCAGAGTCAGGTGACCTCAGCTAACAGGAATGTGGGCAGGGCTGCGGCTGAATGCCAGAGCTACTTTTATTAAATTCCTTGTTAAGTAAATTCAAAAGGGGTTTGTTTGTAGCTGGCAGTAAATACCTAAGACAAGATCTCTGGAATTTCTACCTTTTTTTTTTTTTAATTTAAAAACTGTCACATGGCTTTCTATGTGAAATGTGATTCTTGAAAATAACAGATACGCAAATATCAAAGGATTATCAAACGCAGACACACTCGCCTTTCTCAGGTGGAAAGGCCCATTTCCCCGCACTGCATCCTACCTCTCCCCACTGCCAACCTCATCCCGTGCCAGTCTACTTGCCCATCACAAGCTCAACCTGGGAGGCCCATTCACCTCTGCTCTCTGCAATGCAGGCCTCCCACCTCCTAAGACTGGATCGCCCCCAGGCTCGCCAGGATACATCACAGCCCTCCTGCCCGGAGGAAGGCAACAGAGAGAGACTTGACTTAGAATCAGAAGCTTCTCTTTAACTTCAACTCAGACTCATGTCTTCCAACGGTTAAAGGGGAATGATGACACTGATTTTACAAAATTGCTCTAAGAATTAAACAAAATGTCTGTGAAACAGCTGTGGAGCCAACCAGCCTCCCAGACCCTCCTCCGCTTCGCAACCCCCTAACCACCCAACAACTAAGCCAGGCTGCCTCCATCCCACATCCTTCAGCTCCACCTCTTCAACCCACAAGAGCTTCAATACACTCCAAAAATTAAAGATACTTTTTTTTTTTGAGACGGAGTCTTGCTCTGTGGCCCAGGCGGGAGTGCAGTGGCGCAATCTCGGCTCACTGCAAGCTCCGCCTCCCGGGTTCACGCCATTCTCCTGCCTCAGCCTCCCGAGTAGCTGGGACTACAGGCGCCCGCCACCACGCCCGGCTAATTTTTTTGTATTTTTAGTAGAGACGGGGTTTCACCGTGTTAGCCAGGATGGTCTCGATCTCCTGACCTCGTGATCCGCCCGCCTCGGCCTCCCAAAGTGCTGGGATTACAAGCGTGAGCCACCGCACCCGGCCAAAGATACGTTTTTAATAACTTGGGCTCTTTCAAGAGAAACAGGGAGCACCATCACCTCAGAAAGCCTTTACCACTCACTGCTGCCCCAAAACAAGAGATGCATATATTGTTGACAACCAGTGCTTGAATTAATTACATTTTAAAATATCGTCCTGAGCTCTGCCTGTAGCTGAGAGGCTGAGAAGCGTGAAATAGCCAGGATTAAATGACCTGCAAATCTAGACTGGCTTCTTTTGGGGCTGGTACTGCCAGGCAGACAGATCCCTGTTCCTTGCACCCCCACTGTCCTCCACCATCTCTACTCTGGATCAAGGGTCAAAAAACTTTTTTTTGAGATGGAGTCTTGCAGGCTGGAGTGCAGTGGCATGATCTCGGCTCACTGCAGCCTCCGCCTCCCGGCTTCAAGCAATTCCCCTACCTCAGCCTCCCGAGTAGCTGCGACTACAGGTGCACACCACCACGCCCGGCTAATTTTTTGTAGTTTAGTAGAGACAGGGTTTCACCATGTTGTTCAGGATGGTCTCGATCTCCTGACCTCGTGATCCGCCCGCCTTGGCCTCCCAAAGTGCTGGGATTTAGAGGCGTGAGCCACCGCCTCTGGCCACAAAAACAAACAAACAAACAAACAAACAAACAAACAAAAAACGCTTTTACTTAAAAGGCCATATAGGAAATACTTTAGGCTTCAGGGCCATCCAGTCTCTATGTCAACTACTCAATTCTGCCTTCGAATCTGAAAGCAGCCACAGATAATACAAACACAAATTGGTCTGGGCTGTGTTCCAATAAAACTTTATTTACAAAAACAAATGGCCAGCCCCAAGGGCCTGGTTTGCAACTCTTGCTCTGGAGCAGAGCAGAAGGTATACTCTGAACTGCAACAAAGTTTCTGCTGCAAAAGCAGCACCTCTGCTGTCCGTCCCCTCCTCTCTGTCCACTGGCTCTGGACGTCCATGTGAACAGGCTTGCCAAGAAGGACAAAGTGGGCAGGTAAAGCTGGGGGGGGCGGCCACAATCAAGATCCCAACACCCCTATCTTTAAGAGGCAGTGCCAAGCGAATCCCATTTCAGGGGACCCACTCTACCTCGCTGCCTACGATGAATTCCCATCTTACAGCCTCTCGATTACTATGCAGTTACCAAGCTGGCTACCACCTTACTAAGATTCTTGCCATTTTCTCATTCTAGTCAAAAAAGTAAGTCATCGGTTTAGTGGAGGGGGCAGCTAAAGCCCAAGTTTGTATTTGAGAAAGATGTACAACAGGTTCTTTAAAAAAATAAATTACATAAAATTTTCTGGACACAAAACTCCTATCCAGACCACTAGTCATGGAGAAGACCAGAAGCCAAAAAATACAATCCTCATGGAGAACCAGCCTATTCGCTGTGTGCACTCTGCAACTGGTAAGCCTTCCCTGGGGGTCTTACTCTCAGAACTCTGGCTTGTTGGACGTAACTGGTAATTCCTGCAATTTCAACAGAATATTCTCCTAGATTGGTAGAGAGCAGACCTTGGAACCCTGGAGTGAACCTTTCTCAGGGTGCTCCACTATGGCACGTGGCAGCAGAATCCAGGCCACGAATCCAGGCCACCGTTGCCATCACCCCTCGCCTGGCTGCCTTGAACAGGCAAGCTTAAAACAATGATGCAACCTCCCTGGTCCCTTCTCAGCCAGGACAGACCAGGCATGGTCTTTCACGGAAGCCATCCTCTCTCATAATCATTGTTGCTCAGGTGCCTGTTTAGGAGACGGAGCTGTAGTCACAACAACAGTGGAGACTGCTTTGGAGGAGCCAGAAGCTGTTCCCTGTTGGAGATGGGATGCAGGGACAGTCTGGATGCGCACCTGTTTGCAAAGACAGAAGGTCAGGTCAATGGATTGCAAGCGGGCTCACCAGTTAAGAACAGCAGTGGAATCAGAGAGGAGCCGGATATGGCCAAGAATTTGCCCTGGGCCTTACCTGTGTGGCCTGACCTTGCTGCTGAAGCTGCTGCAACTGCTGAGCAGTGAGGAAACTAACAGGCTTATTGCCAGCAATGAGCTTAGTGCCTGCTGGCATAGTTGTGAGGATGATGTTGCGGCCCAACCCACTGAGGCTGTGGAGGGAAAGCAGGGGTGAGATATAATGATATCGACAGGTATTCTCTGGCCCAGATTTAGGCCATGTATTGAAGGACAACAGGGAGGTCTGTGCCAATGAAAATCCCAGCATTTCAGATTGAAATGGAAACCAACTGCTGAGACCACCTTTCTTCCAGCTTCACCACTTCCCATGGCAGGAGAAGACAGTAATCCCAGAAGACCCCAGTGCTCTGGATAAAATGGCCCTTGGCTCCTGGCCCCGACCAGCAGGAATAGTGGACAGGGCCCCAGAGAGGTGTGCACTTCTGCAAGAAACGCTCCCCCTAATAGCCACATCTCACAAGCTGCCCTGAGACTGCAGACTCATTTCATCGTGCCCTTTATCCCTGTTTAAATTAAGGCCACAGGTGGCCCTCATTCCCTGAACTGCTTAGGTTCAGAGCTCAAATGTCAAAGGGAGGCTTCCCTCACACCTAGCTGAGCCCCATCCTAGCACTTCCCACACCCTTTTCTCTCCAGTATGTATCACCACGCATGTTGCTTTTTTATTATTTCTCTACTTTACAATGTATGCTTGGAGAACAGCAGGG
The DNA here is from genome assembly GCF_000001405.40 of Homo sapiens. Classification (NCBI taxonomy): domain Eukaryota; kingdom Metazoa; phylum Chordata; class Mammalia; order Primates; family Hominidae; genus Homo; species Homo sapiens. Next base: position 129,865,678 of record NC_000011.10, read on the forward strand.
ATTTTCATCTGTTTTAATCACTGCACCTAAAACAATACTGGATGCTCAATAAATACTGTTGATGAGCACAATAAAGCAGAGGTGTCAAAGAAGGGCCCCAGAAAGACCAGCCACTTTGCCACTCGGTGACAAGGACTGGTAAGCCCTGCCTGCCACCTCCACCCCCGAATTGGTTCCTTTACCATGACATAGTACTTACTTGGCTCCAAGGTTGCCTTTGATGATGGGGGCTGTGACCACGCTCTTGCCCTTCATTGGCTGGCTGATCACAGAGAGGGGAACTGTGATCCGTGTAGGCAACTTCCCCTAGAAAAAAAAAGCAGTCAGGTTTTGTAAGACAGGAGGTAAGGAAAACCAGCAAGTGTCACCTCCAGGGCATCAGGAACTGAGAAGCAAGCACTACAGATGCTGTCAGTCCCCAGTACCCACCAGGGTCTCAAGGCTCCTGAGGTTTGGGCCCAGAAAACCCTAACGAACTACTTATATACCATAGTCAGGTGAAATCTGATCTTTTATCATCCTCTTTCATGCCACCAGAAGCAGCAGCAACCCATCTATCTGCTTTCAACAGGATAAAACCTGTATCTAAATCACAAAGGCAGGTGTGTCCTCACTTTAGCACAGTCCAAGATTCTGAGTTCCTTGGAGGACAGAGGCTTATCTCTGTATCCCTCAGTACATGGCACAGTGCTGGGCACACAATCACTATTTGGTGAAATAAATTTGAGGAAGGACAGAGGAGCTCAAGAGTTAATACCTAAAGCGCACAACTACTCATTGGAGTGCAGGGCCACTGGTGAGGAACAAACAGCAGGGCATGCTAGATTAGGGAGAGGCCATGCTCTCCGGTGCTTTCCATTTCTCCCGGAGATAAGAGAGGTTAGCTAGGGGACACTAACAATAAACTCAATCAAGTGAAAAGTCCAACCCCCAAGCTAATAAAGCCTAAGAAGAATTTTTTTTAGAAACTGAGAAGGCCTAGAGTCTTTGGGACTTCAGGATGGTTAAGATAGGTCACTGCATTACCTGTTTTCAGATGGCCTTGATTTTAATGCTTGACTGGTAATAAAATTTCTATGCAGTGAAATCTTATGTAAATTAAATCTGAGTTTTAAAAAATTCAAGAGGGCTGGCTGACAGGATGCTGGGAGAGGGCATCAGCATTCCACAGAGGCAGGCTAACACTAAGGAGATGGGCACTCAGCTGCACAACTGCGCGGCAGGTCCCCGCACCTATCTCCATGGGGTTCACCCACAGCCTGGAGCCTGTTAAAAAAGCATGCAAAGAGGGCAACAGGCAACAGAATACCTTGAGATGGTACCTCCAGATACATTTACTTATGGTTTTGTTCTTCCTCAAAATGCCTTTGTTGCTTAAAACATCTCAGACCAGTACACTGCCTAGAATGATCCCTTCAGGAACTACCAAAAAGCTGACTAGACAGGGGGAAGTAAGCACCATCAATACTTCCTGCCCCACCAAATGCTCTCCAGTTGCACCTACCCAGGTTGATTATAACAGGACAGATGACACTTGATATAACCTTTCTGTTAGAGGGATTCAAAAGAAACAAAAGTGGATCAAGTGAGTGCAGTTTCCCGCTTCCTTATTTCAACTTCTATGATGCAGAAACCTAAGTAACTCTTTTTTTTTTTTTTTTTTTTTGAGACAGAGTCTTGCTCTGCCATCCAGGCTGGAGTGCAATGGCACGATCTTGGCTCACTGCAACCCGGGTTCAAATGATTATCCTGCCTCAGCCCCCTGAGTAGCTGGGATTACTGGTGCCCACCACCACGCCCGGCTAATTTTTCTATTTCTGGTAGGGACGGGGTTTCACCATGTTGGCCAGGCTGGTCTCGAACTCCTGACCTCAGGTGATCTGCCCACCTCGGCCTCCCAAAGTGCTGGGATTACAGGTGTGAGACACTGCGCCTGACCAACTATTTCTTTTTTAACCACACTATGTTAAGATTTTCTGTTTTGGGTATTCATTTGACTTATGTTTATATCCTTCTTCACTGCTCTGGCTTTTATCCCAATTTATGAAGGCTTCCCTATATAGCTTGCTCAGTAAAGCGAAACTGTATTTTATACTGTCCATACACACCCCTCTTCTGAACAATGCTCCTTACCTAGAGGCTGAAGAGTAAACACACATGCATCCACAGACACCTGTGTGGGGATATGGGGATTTGGTTTATGATAAATGCAGCCTTTCAAGCTAGTGGGGGAAGCAATAGTTGATTATTTTGGCAAATTTGAAAACTAGGAAGTGAGATTTCTACTTCATCCTATTCACAAAAATATATTTCAAATGCATTAACAATTATACTTTTTTTTTTTAAAACTCAAGGTATTTTATGATCCTGGGGTAAGGAAGACACAGACACGAAACCTAGAAACCATTAAAGGAAATGCTGATAGATCTAATTAGATACAATTATAAAGATCTGTAGAGCAAAAGACTCCATATATAAGGTTAAAAGATGACAGACTGGAAAAAAATATTTTCTATGTATATAAAGAATTCACATCCACAGATTCCGTATCTTCTGGATGTTATAAAAAGCCACCTCAAACAATATGAAAATGCCAAATACCTCAAAAGGAAAGTGGCAAAGATTTACTCACCAGGGAGCACATGCCAATCTCCAAATGAATGGATACTCAACTTCACTCATATCAGGGAAATGAAATCAAAAAAGAACCCCCTTTTCACCAGTAAGACAGGTATGCGAGGTTAAAAAGACGTGGTATCAGCACTGCTTAAGGTCTAGGGGAAACAGGAGGCGTGCTGATGGGGCACATGTGGATGTGGCCTTTCAGGCGGCACCGCTGGAGTATCTCAACTCTCCATGTGCGCACCCCCAAGGCTCGCACTAGCACTCTCCGCTTCAGAAACGTTCACACATAAGCCCAGACACATTCGCCACTGCCTGGCTAACAGTGGAAACGCATCCTTTAGCAGAGCCCCTTCTACCGGTTACTACACCATTCAAAAGACCCCAGTCAGTATCTGTGTATGGCCTAGAACGACCATCAAGACATTTCTAAAAAATAAATAAAGCGGCCGTGGGCGGTGACTCACGCCTGTAATCCCAGCACTTTGGCAGGCCGAGGCGGGAGGATCATCTGAGGTCAGGATTATCGCGACCAGCATGGAGAAACCCTGTCTCTACTAAAAACACAAAATAAGCCGGGTGTGATGACACATGCCTGTAGTCCTAGCTACTCAGGAGGCTGGGGCAGGAGAATCACTTGAACCCAGGAGGCGGAGGTTGCAGTGAGCCGAGATCGTGCCATTGCGCTCCAGCCTGGGCAACAAGAGTGAGACTCCATCTCAAAAATAAACAAACAAATAAAGCAAATCACAGAATATATAAAGTCTCTCATGGGTGTTTTTTAAACTACGTGTACATGTATGAAAATGCTCAAGAAAAGGACTAGGAGGATAAATGCCGAACTACCAACAGCAATTAGTCTTCATGAAGGGAGAACTGGAACGTAGTCAGGTTTTATTTTGTCTGCACTGTTCTTTACCATTTGAAAAGAATGTATGCAAGTATCATACTTTGATAAATTGTGTTTCAAAGGAAACACAGTCTGACACATAAATTGTGTTTCAAAGGAAACACAGACAAAAGCCTATCAGTAAATAAATCTATTTGGGGTAAACGAGGTGCTTTTAGGGCCTCTAATTTCCACTCCTAAAAAGAAGTTTCCTAGTTTTTAGGGAGTTTCTCGGGTAATGGGCAGTTGAGCCTTGATTAAGTTTTCTAAAAAAGAAGGCCTAAGCTTTACCACTAGTTACTCACAGCCTGGGACGTGGACACAACCGTGGTGCTGACAGGGACCTGCCGCACGGTGGGGGCTCCTGTGCTGATGCTGATGGGGGTGCTTGCAGCCCCAGAAGCCACAGCTACAGTCTTGGACACAGCAGCATTCATACTGGGTAAGGACACCGCTGAAGTATGGACAGTTCCAGACCCACTGGCCACCGAGGCCCCTTGCTTGGCGTGGGTTGCAACGGTGATGGTCTGGCCTGCTTTGGGAGGCATCACTCCCAGTCCCTGCACGATGCGGATCGTGGCAGCTGGTTTTGCTTCTGAAGAGGCCACTGTGCTTTTTCCCTTCTGGTCAGCCACACTCACGCCAAGAGCTGGCATCAAGCGAAAAGCCGAACTTGAGGCTTCTGTTGGCTTGAGGTCAGGAGTCACTTTGACCACAGTGGTACCTGTTGGAGTGGATGAAGGGGCACTGGCTGAACTGGCCTTGGCAGGGCTATCAGCTGCATGTACTGGATTGGAAGTGACGTGTAAGGTGGCAGAGATGCCTTTGCCTGTAGTGTTGCCTCCTGTCCCGAAGAGGTCCTGGGTCAATTTGACTGTGGTAACCTGGGACTTGGCCAATGTGGCCATCATGTCCGGAGTGATTCGCAGAACCGTCTGGCCCTTGGCATCTGTGGTGATGGAAGAGGGCGGCAGACGCAATACATCCTTACCCTGGATGCGGAAGTTAGTGGCTGTGAGTGGAATGCTGTTGCCTGTTTGGGGCTTCACACCAAGCTGCCCAGTGATTGCCACCTGAATGGGGAGAAGCAGCACTGATGAGGGATTCACAATAGTAAACCGGTTACAAAATACAACTAGACAAACTTCCGTTTCATGGGTAGATGTTTTGTATTTTTTTTTTAACTTTTTATTTTGCAAACATTCACAGAAGTAGAGAACAGTATAACAAACCCTTATACCCTTTCACCCAGCTTCAAAAATTAATACTTTGTTTTAGCTATCCCTCCCCACTGTGGTGGGGGAGGGAGGAATTAGAATATATTAAAGTAAATCCAAGATCTATTATTTTACTGATCAGTATCTCTGTATACATCAATAACCTAGAAAAGGACTTTTTGAGACGGGGTCTTGCTATGTCACTAGGCTGGAATGCAGTGGTACAATCAGAGCTCACTGCAGCCTCGAACTCCTGGGCTTAAATTTCCTCCTGCCTCAGTCTCCTGAGTAGCTGGGACTACAGGTGTACAACTGAGCCCGGCTTCCCACCTCCTAAGGCCAATTCCCTCATGTGTAACAGATGCAAGCCTTTTAACCTTACTCAGGGACTTCGTCTCTCTGTGGCATGATCTATCTTCTCCCTTCTACTGGACTACGGCCATCAGAATGCAAACATGCTATAATACTTCCCACCCTAAAAAACAACCAATCCTGGCTAACTCTACACCTCCCTCCACCTACTCCACTCCACATTCAACTCCAGTTCTCTGCTCTCTTCAGAAGCAAAATTCCTCTAAAAACTACCTATATAATCACCCCTTGGTATGTGCGAGAGACTGGTTCCAGGATGCCCCTAGGTAGATATTAACATCCACAGATGCTCAAGTCCCTTACACAAAATGCACTATCTCCATAAAAGCAACAAACATCCTCCCGTGTAGTTAAAATCATCTCTAAATTACCTATAATATCTAATACAATGTAAATCCTGTGTAAATAGCTTCTATACTGTATTGGTTTTTTAATCTGTATTATTTTTTGTTGTATTGTTGTTTTTTACTGGGGTTTTTTCCAAATAATCCATGGTTAGCTGAATCTGAGGATGTGGAACCCACGAGTACAGAGGCCAATCATACTCACTGTCTCCACTTCCTCGCCTTCTCTTTTGAACCCATTCCCCAAAAGCCACCAATCCACTGGCCCAGTGAAGCCCACGCATTATCCTGATCCACCGAGTCTCATCTCACGCTGCCACTACACCTCACACCTTCCCGACCACACTTTTCTCTGTCTTGCAGTCTCCACACCTCAATTTTCTTCTACCTCAATAAATGATGCCACCATCTAACCAAGCGCCCAAGCCAAAGCCATGGATGGGGTAAGTCTCACCTTCCTCCTCTCAGACCCCTACTCAAGCCACCAGCAAACCGCACTGGCTCCCACTTCAACCACATCCAGACCCCACTACTCCCTCCACCTCTGATGAACGGTCACTCCCATCTGCGGCAGCCTTGCCTCTCACCTGGACGACTGCCACTGCCTCCTACAGGGGTTCCCCATTTCCGTTCTTGTCCCCCATTGTTCATTCTACCCAGCAGGTGGATGTTTCTTTAAATGTAAACCAGATCAAGTCACCCTTGCTCACCATCTTCCAGTGGTTCCCCCTCACATTTAAATTAACGTCAAAGTCCCATATAATCTAACTACTGGCAACCTCTCCCATCCTCATCTTCTAACACCCTCACACTTGCTCCCTACACTCCAGCCACAATGATTTTCCTCTCGTTCCTCAATCATATTCCTGACACAAAACATCTGCACTTGCCATTCCTGGGCCTCGAATGTTTTATCTCCCAATCATCACTTCATGGCACGCTTTCTTTCATCTCTTTCAAATGTCACCTCCCCAGAGAGGCCTTCTCCAATCACTGCAGCTAAAATAACACACTACTGCTCTCCACCCCTGAGCCTGCCTACTGATTAGCATAGCATTTATTACTATCTCATACTGAGGTACTCGTCTCTTAGCTCTATGAGAATACGAGTTCCGCGAGGGCAAGGACTTAGTCTGTTTAATGTACCATTAAATCTCCAATACTTAGGACACTCTCTGGCTTAATGTTTGTTGAACAAAAAAAAAACATTACTTTATCGTTATGTGGTTCCATTTCTCCACCTGTAAATAATAAGAGTGCCTACCCCACAGAGCTAAGAAGATTAGACTATTTAACAAGCAAAAAATGCTTAACGCGGTGCAGGCACACAGGAGGCACTCCTATCAGTATTAGTTGCTATACTGCTTACGATTCTTTGAAGTTCGATGATTATTCTTTTATATTCACAACCAAGAAAGTAGAAGCAAATTCTACTTTCACGAGTGGTAAACTGAGAAGCCAATAAAATGTGGCCATGGGAATTTCACTAAATAAACTCATGAACAGTCTATTCTAAATCCAGAAACTCGACTACTGAATGCTGAATTAAACGGAATGAAACAGAAGAAATCTCTTCAGCATCTATCAAAGCTGCACTGCCTTTGCCTTTGGTGGGAACTCACACCTAAGTATCTATAAGCTGAGAGTCGAAGATGACAAATCTTCTTCCCATGGGCATGCAGTCTGGCCAAGAACCTCCAGCTCCAGTGGTCCCTGCTCCAGGATGAAGGATTGAGATCCACGTGGAAAGAGCCCCACCTACCTGCTTGATGATGTTCTGTCCTGTGACATTTTGAATGACGGCAGCCGTGGAGGCACTGGGAGCAGAGGTCCCAGGAGAACTCGTGGCTGGCTTACTCACAGGGCTGGCTGTGGCAGGGAGACTTGTCACCGTGAGCCCTGTCTGCCCGGGTCCAGGCCGCTGCACAGTGGCTGCCGTAGTCTGCGCTTTGACGGGCACAGTGGCCATTACTGTCTAGTTGAGGGCATGAGGCCAAGAGCTTAATTAGACTCTAAGATGCAGACCAGCACTCTAAGCAAGAGTCTCCCTCAGCACCCCGGAAGCATTGCTCTCAAAGAGCTTCTAATCCCACAGTACTTAAGGCACACCACTCTCTAAAATGGACACTGTAAATGTCTCATTTGTGTATATCTTAATTTTCAGAATTTTACATTTAACATCTCATTTTATTCCTACACACTGAGGACAAATACTATCTTACCCCTTTTATAGCAAAGGAAACTGAGACAAAGAGGATACAAATGTTCTGTAAACTCACACAACTAGTTCATGGCGTAGCTAAGACTAGAGGCACAGCAGAAGGAGCCTGAGAGGCAGACTCACAAGGTCCGCATTTACAACCCGCCTCTACGAAGATCCTGATGTTAGGGTCCCGGGGAAACCACCAGACTGCTCTGAAGATCTGATTCCCAACACATAAACACACTATCTAAAAACGCTTACACAGCTCTGAACATTCAGTGGCTTATTCCGATGAATGTCATCACCAGTAGCAATAATCTATGGCTCCCCAGTCCTTACCCAGACACTGCCCATCTGACTCATCAGCCCACCTCTGGGTCTGCATCTCTGCTTCCCAATGACCACGGCTTCCCTGTTTACCTGGGGCACTACTTTGGTCTGTGTGGCAGTGGCTGGAACCCGGATCTGCGGTCCTGCTGGCATCTGTGGCAATGTCTGTGCCGGCCCTCCCGACTGCTGGGGAACAGCAGGAAGGCTAGGCTGGGCCACCACTCGCACCTGAGACAGTCCAGCAGAGCCAGAGTGGCTCACGACCCGGGCGGCAGCCTGAGAACTGGGTGCAGTCTGGCTGGAAGCTGGGGAAAGCATTGTTCCCAGATGTGGCATTGTTGGTGAAGACACCAGAAGAACACTATGAAGAACATCGGGGAAAGACAAAAAACAAAAACTTAGGACATGCATACAAAAGAACTCTAGAACGAAAAAGCTGAAGAAAAGGAGGAACTTACCCCGAGCTAGACTTAGCTGGTTCTGAGACTGTGGAAGGGCCGCTTTTGTTCACTGCCGATACAGGTGGAGGGGAGATGGGAATGGCGGGCAATGCTGGTGTGGTGGGGGTTACAGGTGTGACTGGGGTGGGTGGCATACTGGAGTCACTGAGGCTCATCTGGCTCTGCTCAGAAGGGCCACTGCTAAGGACCTTTATGGAGCTCTCCTTGCTACTGGACTTCTAGAACGGAAGACAAAGAAAACTCACCTGGTGTCGTGAAGATCCCCCTAAAGGAAGGGACACCCCTACAGCTCCTGATGCCCCACACCAAGTGAAAGCCGAGCAGCCACTCTTAGTTGCCTCCATCCCAGAATCCCTAGGGCAGACACTCTCCTGAAGTCACTTACCACCTTGGATGGGGGCTTGGGTTTTTGCTGAAGAGCTTTTCTGGCTTTAGCTGCAGCTGCTTGTGCTTGGTGAATCCGCTCTGTGAACAAGAGGGGCAAGCTTCAGCCAGAGTTTAACCTTAGCAAACTAAAAAGAGGGGCTTTGTTAAAAACCAACACCTTGCCAGTGGACTGAATCCTGCCTCTACCATCTTGTCCTACCTATATGCCAATGAAAAGAATAATGGAATTGGGGTAGAAAGTCAGAACGTATCCCCAGTCTGGTCGGACAGTGCCCAGAGGCCTCACACACCAAACTCTTCTTCACTCCGGTCACGATGCAGGTAGATCCACAGCTTTCGTCCAATGTCGTATTTCACACAGGGATCTTTTTCGTAATGTAGCCGATCCAGTGCACCACTCACTACTGTATTTACCTACAAATCAGACAAAGGGAAATAAGAAACAAGTCAAGCTTAGATAACAGAAGTTATTTGAACTCTAGGAAAAAAATGTCATTGTATCTAAATCACAGCTGATGCAGATTCTATCTCAGCCTAGCTGCGTATTCCCAATAGTTCCCCAAATCGTTTGACGAGACAATAAATGCTGTTAAGACTACTGAGGTATTGATCTATTTTTACTATAAGGATACTGTGAAGTAAGTGACCAGTCTGCCCTTTATCATAAGCTAAAAGAAAGCCTAGAGCAAAATTTGTGTTTCACTAACAGCAAGCGTTTTGATCACTATGCATTTTTCAAGGTATGTTTTTCACTTCATTCAGTTTTTAAAAATTTTGTTATATTTTGTATTTCCTGATAAGTTTTCTTAAATCCATTCTGGAACAAAGCAAAAGTAATCTCTTCTCCGTCCTACCTGAGTGCTGGTGACATCTGGTGCAAGAAACTGGGAGTCCTTAAGCAGTTCACAGATCTCTGCCCGTGTGCCTTCTCCATTAGGCAGTCGAGCCGCAGCGTCCCGAACTGATGACATGAGAAAGCACACAGTCCACAAGTCAGGCAGGGTTCCTACGGAGGTACAATCTCCTGTACCTGCAGTGATGGGCAAAGCTGCCTGGGGTTCCTGCTCCTCTACCTTCCCTGATGCCGGATTAGGTGCACTCTGCCCTCCAGCAGCTGGCAGCTCAGCCACTGGAGTTCCCTATACACTTCTTTTTTTTTTTTTTTTTTTTTTTGAGACAGTTTCGCTCTTGTCACCCAGGTTGAGGTGCAAGGGCGTGATCTCAGCTCACTGCAACCTCCACCTCCCAGGTTCAAGCAATCCTCCTGCCTCAGCCTCCCTAGTAGCTGGGATTACAGCCGTGCACCACCATGTCCAGCTGATTTTTGGATTTTTAGTAGAGACAGGGTTTCATCACGTTGACCAGGCTGGTCTTGAACTCCTGAGCTCAGGTGATCCGCCTGCCTTGGCCTCCCAAAGTGCTGGGATTACATGCATGAGCCATCGCATCCAGCCCTTACACACTTTTAAGAGTCACTTTTAGGTAACACCTTAAGAATTCAGAGGGCCTGTGAACTCAGGTGGGAAGCAAAATTACATCTTAAACTGAAATTAAGTATTTCCTTTAATTATGAACAAAGGGAACAAACCATATACTGCAGTGCTGTGATGGTGTAATAGAAATCAGACATTTTCATATATTACAGCTACTGCAGATAGCTAAGAATATCATTTATACTCATCACTACTTGGAAATTTCAAGAAATGTCAGACCTCCTGCTAGATCTTGTCATATAACATCATAGTAACAACACATATTTCTGCACCATAAACTTGTTTTAACATTTTGATAACTACTTCAAAACAACTGGTCTCTTTTGTAACTGTATTTTATTTCATACATTTAAAAGCATAACTCTGAGAAGGGGTCCACAAGTTCCACCAGACTGCCAAAGGGATTCCTGGCATTCAAAAAGCTAAGAATCCTCACTGTTAAATGAAGCATAGCCTGGAGAAAGCAAATTCCTGTATTTAACCTATTTAGCTGGTCTGGGAGCAACTCCTAAATGAACATAAATGTAAGCCCAGACTTAAGGAAGAAGACTGGGAGCTGAAGATGTCCCCTTCAGCTCCCAAACTGCAATGCTTTGAAAAACTATGCCTTGTTCTCAAAGCCTACCCTGGGTGGAGGGGTAAGGAGAGGACAGAGTTCAGAGTTGGTAAGAGAAAAGCTGCGGGGTGAAGAAAGGGATCTCTGATAATCGACACGTGCCACCTACCAAGAGACAGAATGGTGACGTAGGCAGGCCGGTCGGAGCGCAGCAGGGAGTGCTCCCGAGCCTTGTTGAGCGAGGTCTCCTTGTCAAACACGCCCTTCACTGGCCCCACCACAGACTCAAAGCCGTGCATGCGAAAGGTGAACGCCTTATGGGGTTGGCTATACCTGTAACGCTCCTACCAAGAGACAAGGGACAAGAGTTCTAGGTCAGAATTAGTGGGGTTCTCTCTCGGGCTTCCTTACAATATAAGCAGATCCACATGGAACAATTAAAACAGGAAGGAACAAGTGATTCTATGATTCTAGTAGGAATGTTCAGCCAACCACAGTGGGAAAAGGATGGTTCTCAGAGCCAGTCACTGAGCAGAGGGACAAGGAGGTAATATGAAGGCACTTTGCTACCTGGAAGACAAGATCATCCAAGTATTTCTTACTCCCCTTCCCCACACCGTTTCCACCCCCAACAAGTAATCCCAGCCAACAGAAGGTCTAAGGGGAAAGGTATGAGTTTCTTGCAAGAAGGTAGATGCAGGAGAGTCAGGCTCAGAGCATCTCTCTGCATGGCTCACAGAGGCAGAGACTTACACTGGCTTTTAGGTTCTTACCTGCTCCTGAAAAACCCGTTTCTCCTCCCCCGTGCTGGGACGCACCACATAGTCAGTTCTTCTGGAATATAAAGAATTCTGTATCAACCCTGACAGCTGGCACGTGTGTCAGACCCATTGCCCCTGCTTCAGAACCATTCCCACTGTGACATGGAAAGATGTCCCTCAAGAAGCACTCAATTCTTACAAAGGCGAAGAGCCCACCTTCCAGCTCCTACGAAGTAACTCCTGTTGGTAATTCCAAAATCACTTGATTCTTAGAAACCCAGAAAGGTACTGGGTGGATAGATGGACAAGAGGCTGACATCTTTAACTACTGCTTTCAATATTGCTGTTAAGTAGGTCCGTTCTAAAGGCAACAAACAATTCGGCCTTAGAGGAACAAAGGGCTTCAGGTGTGTTAGATAAGGGTTGTTTTTCTACCTCCAGGGAAAGTACCCGGGGCTTGAGATCTACACCTCTATTACATGAAGCAAAAGTTCTGCCACACTTAGACCGGGCCTCTGTCCTGGTGTCAGAAAACTACCGAACCATGCCAGGGAAGAAAAAGAAACATGGGACAATGTGATATAAAGAGCCTAGGACTAAGAGTCAAGAGATCTAAGTTCTAGCTGGGGTCCTGCTGCTAACCTTCAGCAAGTCACTCAACTTCATGCTTCCATTTACTGGACTAAGATGGCCTAGATGAATAATTCTCAAGTAGGAGCCCAGGGAGGAGTACACATTAAAAAAGTATGTCCACCTACAAAGCAGGTCATATGCCCCTTAGAGGCTCTCCTGCCGTCCCCTCTCTCCACCACAGCCCCTTCCACAAGGAGTCCCGTTCACTCAGGGGGTGCGGCCAAGTCAGGAAGAACCAGGGGACTCCTCAGAGCTCTGAAGCCCATTACAGCTCTAGCATACCAAGAAGTATTAACAAAACCAAGGCAGTATCTGAACTACAGTTTCCCAGGACACCACCCACCACTACAGTATTGTACTCACACCCGAGGGACAGGTGTTGTGGCATCTGAGCTGTCTTCATTTTCTTGCTGGAGAAAAAGAAAACGTTGACAGGTAAATGGACTAAAGAATTTGGGCAAACTTAAGAGCTCTGGAAACCCAGTGAGAAGGATCTGGTATTTCTTAAAAAAACATACCTTACAGAAGGCCTGATCTTTGGTCTCTAGCCATAGCTGGAAGAGGGCAGCTAATTCCTTTTCATTATCTTGGGATTGGCCTATTAGAGGAATAAAGAGATAAAAAAATAAGAAGGTCTAAGGTATTATTGAGAATCCTGCTTTCTCTTTACTAGCTGTAACTACAACACAGAGAGATTCTATCAGGAGCTGTAGCAACAATCCTTCACACATCCACTGCCTTCCAGCTGGCGGAAGTCAGCCTGGACCACCACTCTTGGATGCCACCTAATGAAATCATTCACTCCGTAGGCATTCGCTGAGTATCCACTGTGCCACGCACTGCATGTGACGCTAAGGTTACTCGGTGAATTCAGTCCCCACCCTCATGGGAGTTTATAGTCAAGTGAGGAAAGAGCACATATTTTAAAATCAATTCAAAAAGTGGTAAGCATCACAAAGGATGTCATCATAGCTTATACCAAGGTAATTATTCTATTTTTGTAGGTAAGAAAGGCTTCTGGCTAGTGGGGCACAGAGAAAATTCTATTCACTAGCATAGCAGTTAAGACCCAGGGGCAGGAAAAAGCTTGACTTTCCACAACCCGCCTAGAAAGAGATAAGCCCTGTCTCCTGTGCCCTCTTCTCAGGTCACTCTGTTCAGGCTGTCTGAGACCCTGATGGCACCTGTGTCTCCTGCCCAGCATAGAAGCCACAGGACCATCATCGGCCAGGTCTGCTTATGTGATGAATGCAGCTACCCTTCTCAAAGGGGCTGTTTACCTTTGTTTTCATGGTCAATACACAATATCACTATTTGCAGAAACCTCCCAACAATGGCAGAGTAGCTTCAACTAAAGCATCTGGCCGACAAGCTTCAAACGCTTATTATCTGGCCCTACAAGAAACATTCTGCCAGGCCCAGGTATATGTGCTCCCTCCATGGCTACTGCAGCCTGACAGATGGGGGGAGTGCTTGCAGTCAGCTACCATCATCACCTTCAGCTCACGGTGGCTTCGCCTCCACCGTTCCACTAGAGAATCACGCTCACTGAAAAATTCACAACTTCCTCCATGTTTGCAAATCTTTAGTCTTTATCTTACTGAATCTTTTAGGAACTATGGAGGCAAATGACCACTCCCCACTTCTCAGGCGATCCGGTCTCCTGGCTCCCAAGACTCAGGAAAACCCTGCTCCAGGCTTTCCCCATCTCTATAGTCAACCCCTGCCCCCGCACTCTCATGCTGTCACTCAGCCCCTCTGCCGTGAAGAGCCCTCCTCGGCCCTCTCTCCTCACTCTGTGCTTCCTCCTCAGGTAACAGCATCATCTGTGCCCTGCACCACACACATGCCAACACTCTCCCCCTTAAACTCTCTGGTCTGAATTCTAAACCCACACATCCTACTGTCTATTCAACAACTCCACTGAAATACCTCAAATGCAGCTCTAAAACTAAAGTCAGGCTGGGTGCAGTGGCTCACACCTGTAATCCAGCACTTTGGGAGGCCAAAGCAGGTGGATCACCTGGGCTCAGGAGTTCAAGACTAGCCTGGACAACATGGGGAAACCTTGTCTCTACTAAAGATACAAAAAACAGCCAGGCATGGTTGCGTACGCCTGTGGTCCCAGCTACTCAGGAGTAGGAGGAGGCAGGAGAATTGCTTGAGCCCGGGAGGCAGATGTTGCAGTGAGCCAAGATCGTGCCACTGTACTCCAGCCTGGGGACAGAGCAAGACTCTGTCTCAAAAAATAAATGAATAAATAAATAAATTTTAAAAACTAAACTCGGGATCTCCACCCTCCAAGTCCAGTCCTCCACAGCTGCTACCTGCACAAACAACACCTTCCTCCACCAGCTGCAAATCTAACAGGAGCCATGCCTCACACCATTCTCCTTCATTCCCCACAGCCAAGCCATAACCAAGCCCACCTAAGTCTTTCTCAAACGTATCCATCCTCTCTCCCTGTGTCTAAATTACCGTCAGCTCTCACAGCCCGTGGGTTGTGTGGCTGTTTTAGATCAAATCTTCCCCATGGAAAGGTTCTACCTCCTCCATCTCAAATGCTGCTGCCTCCCCTCTGCCTGTCTGGCTCAGTGCTATTCATCATACACCTCTGCTCAGATGCTGCTTCCTCAGGAAGGTCCTCCAAACTCTGCAAACTACATCAATTCCTATTATCATAAACCCCCATCCTCTCTGGTACTTTTCCTTCACAGAAAGGATCATTTTGTCATTAAATCTAAGTAAGTATTTCTTCCCCAAACAGACCTTAGGCCCTACGAGAGGAGCACACTGTCTCAGAAGCCATTGTGTCCCCCAGCACCTAACAGTGCCTGACACCCAGAAGCTGAATAAATGTAATAAATAACGAATGAATGAGTCTACCGTTTTCATAACCTGCTCTCCATACGCTTCTCCACAGACCACTCAGCACAGAGAAGTGCCTGTGAATTTCAAGAAGAAACCAACACTGGATTTCTCTCTTTTCACCATCACCAGGTAACAGCCTCCAAGTGACTTCAGATGCATGTTATGACAACTTACACACTAAGTGGGCTTTATAAACTTAAAAATAACAACCCTGTTCTTTAGAAACAACTTATTCGGGGCTGCTGCACACTCTCCTCAATAGCAAAGCCCATTTTTAGGAAAGAAAAAATTTATATTACAAATTAATCCAAAGTCATCTGTATGATTAATATAAATGTCGATGCTCTTGCAAAATACCCTTGCAGATTTAAATTTAGCCATCACCAGACTACATCATACAGAAAGGCTATTCCTTCCATCTCAGCTTTGGTCCAACCAGAGGAGTTAGTTAACCCACCTTGAGAGTACAAAAAGGGTGTTGAAGGACTCCTTCACAGAGCAAAATAAGGTCTGATATTGCTTTTTAAAACCAATCTGCAGGACTATATTGACTGGAAGGCAAATAAACTTAGGGGAAGAAATGGGAGAACGAAAACCTGTTGGGGTAGGTAATACGGATCACTTACCAAGCAACTTCCACTGCTGGGTTTTCTCTTTGAATTCAACAAATGGAGAGAAACTGGAAGGAACAGCTGCAAGAAATGGACCACATAAACAAACCATACAGGTGCGTCCCTGAGCTCCGAAACAGCTTTTGAGTGTTCCACAATGTATTAGAAAAGCAGGAACCTTCAAGGCATAGCATTATGCAAAGGCATGATGGATTACACGAGCAAAGCTGCAGTTTATTCTAATAATTAATTAGACAAAAGGGGGAAAAATACTGACCCTACAAAAAAGAGCATCTTACCTCGACTTTCTCCAGCAAGATACTGCAGGGCTGGTAGTACCAACTCAGCCCAGTTGGGGGCCGCAGAGAACCAGCTGTTGAGGGAGCTGGCTGGCGATGACTGCCAATCCAAAACTCGCTCCTCTAGCTGAGGGAAAGCAAAGGCAGAACCCAGTCAGACTTCTCTTCCACACCAGCAATTCCACACAAGTGCCACCACAACCTGCAGTATATGCATCCGGTGTTTGTCCGAATCACAAAGCAAGTTAACTACAGAGCGTTGAGAGGAACTCAGAGTTCCACTTCTCAAGCTATAGACCATTCAGGATTTGAACACTTTGAAAACTCTAATGTACCTCCAACTTTTCCAAAACGCTTACCATAGGAAGGCTAGCCTGACTCTCCAGCAGCAAGATCTCTAATAGAAGAGAGAAGAAGCTGGAAGATATTTCATTGATTCCAAGGCAAGGCTTGAGGTCTTCAAGGGGCCTAATGAGGGAAGAAAAATATAAGAACCAAAAAGACCAAGAACACATCCCTAGATTGATTCAGGCGCCCAAGCCTCCTAGCAGTCATAAAAGAGTTCAAGAAAGGAGCAAACAATATATTTTCCCAGCAGTATCCCTGGGACTTCAGGTCTACAAGTCCAACATACTTACAGCTACGACAAGCCCTAGGGGCCAGGGCACAGCCTATGGCTTACCCATTCACCCTGAGAATTACAGAATCTCTGTTGCTCACTTACTCTTCCTTGATAGCAGGAATTGCCAGCGGAGAGGGGGCCTGTGAGAGAGGTGCGACCCCTTCAGTACTGCTTAGCGGCTCGGCCAGGTCCTCTGCCTCTGATTTGATCGTTTTTATTTTCTTCTTCTTCTTTTCCTCTTTTTCCTTAACCTTTTTTTTAAGGACAGCCAAGTCATATAAGGCTAGAAAGGCAAAGTAACACCAGTCACAGAAATGTATCTCCTACACAGGGAAGTGAGGGGTCTTATCTGCATATTCTTTTCCCAAGGCCCACCAAAGACAGAAAAGTCTCAGTAATAAAACACTCAATGAAACCAAATTCATTGAGTGATTTATAGCTTTATTTTTTTTTGAGACAGGATCTCACTCTGTTGCCCAAGCTGGAGTGCAGTGGTGCGATCATAGCTCACTACAGCCTCAATCTCCCCGGTTCAAGCGATTCTCCCACCTCAGCCTCCCAAGTATACAGCTTAATTTTAATATTTATTAAAGAGCTGATGCTCTGTTGTACTGATTTTACATTCATTTCCCACCTGTTAGCCTGTAAGAGGTAATAATAAAGGTTACCAGCATGAGAGAGGCCATGGTTTCATTTATTTTTGCCATGTTATGGGCTCACGCAACTTAACACCATAGTCAGATGAAGGCTCCTAGAGGGGCCCAGTCATTTACCTGCCAGAGAGCCCTTCCTGCCAGCATTTACTCGAGTCATGATGTCATTGAGAGTCAGGTCCCCTGTCAAAAGGTCCGGGTGATCCTAGATGTGATATCCAGAATTTGGTCATGGAGGCCCAAAAAGGAGCAAAAACTGAGGTGACTTTGCCAATTTATGTAACAATTAGATGTTAGGTACACTTGGGGAAATCACATTGAGTCAAAAATATAGAGAGATAAAACTATTCATTTTTTCCCTATCATATCCCCATTTAATTAACTTGATACTGCTGCACAGAACCCAGTTCCAATCTTTCTACCGTACAGCATTTAATTATAAAGCTCTTCTGCATTCCTTGTCTCATGTGCTTTGCAAACAGTCTTGTTAAGTATTACTATGTTTTACAGAGTCTGGAAATGGGCTTTAGAGAAGTATCACAGTAACTAGAAAAGAGAGAGAACTCAGTACTGACTTCTGATGTGGGGTTCTTCCCATCTCACCTCCTAGTCTTAGAAGGACTGTCTTTTCTTCCCAAAAAGGTATCATCTTTTCTCCACTGAACTCTCTGGCTTGGTGCTAGCTACCTCAACTTGGTAGCATGGAATAATGGAAACAGTAAAAAGTGGGACAAACCCAGGGCCCAACTCCTGGCTCTGCTGCTTCCTGGCTATAGGACCAAGGACAAGCTCCCTAACCTCTTGAGCACTGCTGAGGTGGAGACGATTCCTATACTCGACAGTGTCACTGTAACGATTAAGGCAGACACTACATTCAGCAGGCCCTGCGAAGTCAAAGCCACCGTGCCTCACATCGTTGATGCTAGCTAGCCTCGCCAGCTGCTCCTGTGCCCACAGTGGTAGGGAGGACATACAGACGAGGCAGTGATGCCCCGTGTCTTCCTCAGGACAGCCAATCCTGAGACATCAGGCTGAAAACCACACGGCCGCACGCCCTTCCCATCTTACTGGCTGATGTTTCCGCTTCTCGTGGTGCTTCTTTAACATTATCTTCAGGTCACTGTCCCCCAGTTCTACTTTATCTGAGAAAACAAACCAAACCATATTCACTATCATGATTCTCCAATTTACATCTTTCTGGTCACTTTCAAAAGTAAGATATTTCTGAGTTTCCCTTCTGACACCTGTGAACTACAAGTACCAAAAATCTTTAAAGTCACAGGATCGACACTTCCACTTTTCCATACGTTGGTAATATATGACTTCTGTGACTCAGCTGGTCCTAAAACACACTTAAAGTTCTTAACCATCTTTGCTTCCTGTTCCAAACAAAAACTCTTCTCCAAACTCACAGACACTCTGGAGAACGGCTTGGCTCTGGTTATTCCTTTGTCCGCTTACCGCACTGCCCCTTCGTACTACTGTTTCAAGATTTTGCTTTCTTTAGCCCAAAATATCAGCTTCTGAGAAAAAATTTTAAAACAAAAGAAAAAAGGCAGGCCTATCTCCAGATGTAAAAAAAAGTAAAATGGTACAAAAACTTTGCCAAACAAATCACCTAGTTCTAGGGAGTTTTGTTTTCCTGGTAGGTAGGAATCTGCCCCCACCCACCTCCCTCTAAAGGAGTTTTCAGGTCTCCACCGCAATGTCCCAGAATGGTGACAGCGGCAGCTTGGTTCTCACCTGCAGTTTTCATATCCGTGGTTGAAAGTGTGGGCACCACCCGCAGGGGCACCGCAGGACTAGGAGAACGTGCTGGAGAGCTCGGAAGCCATGAGCTGAGATCTTCAAAAGAAAATTGTTCTTGTAAATCCAACGTGGCTGTGGACTCCAATAGGGGAGATTGGGTAAGTGGCCATTTGGGTTCAACAAGGCTAAGCCAACAACATGGAGGCCAGGGTTCCACAATCCTTTCTGACCCTACCCCAGAGGAGCTGGAGCACACTTAGGTCATCTAACGGCTCTTCCAGGAAGAGAGACTTCAACAGAGTGCTGGGGTTGCATTGCAGCAGGCCAAGAGCCACTACTACTCTCCTGTAAGGGGAAAACAGTTCTCTCAAGTGGCAAATGGGACCAGTCAGGCCCACTGTGGAGAACCCCGTCGTGCAGGGAGTCGTCTGGCGGGCTCTCATCTAAGCTCAAATGCCACATGGCCACAAGGGTGAAAAAGGCCATGGAGTCACTCCCCATCTGATGGCAATGTCTCAGCAACCCAAAGACCAAGGCCTTCTGAGTCCCGCTATGCACCCCAGACCAGACAACTCAAGAGGGTTTCTTTGCTGGGGAGATAAATGGCTACCACTGGCTCCAACCGGACAAGTGGCCGGTATCCATCCAATACCCCAGCTACCCCAAGTGCCCGAGGACACTCACCCTCTTCATCAGATGACAGGGCTGTGTCACCACACTCCTCTTTCACTTCCCTTAAGACCTTCAAGTAGCGCTGCTGGGTCCGCCACTCCCGCTCCTCAGGTGTGCGGGATGGTGAAGGGCGTTTCTGCCGGAAGGGAAGGGCGGGGCCACTCCGCCGGGCCATCTCCAGCAGATCCTAGGTAGAGATCAGGTGGGGGTACAAGTCATCATCCAAGACCTGTTCTGGAACAATGAACACTCTACAAGTCTACATTTTCTTCTCTTCAGTGTTAAGCCCAACTCCCTCCCTCCAGATCACAAAGAAAGATGCACATATATATTAATATATCCGAAGAATCTGTATTGATTACATGAAAAATCCCAAATCTGACTGTTGAAGTGCTCTACTAGGAATGAATACTTTTTTATACTAGACATTCAAGTATTTCTACACCAAAGCTTAAAGGATGACTTAAAATCCAAACAGCTTTGCCTCTAAGAATTTCCAGGCTGGTCCAGACCCAGGGGCTATTGGGCCTGTTATGCTACCATCCATCACAGCATTCAGAGGCCCATGCACACTTTCATATCCATTCCAAGGAATCCTCGTTTCCCTTAATAACCCATGATAGATCCAAAATCCATCTGTTTATCTTCGTAAACACTGAAGCTACTATAATTTCATCAATTTTAAGAAGCACATTTTATGTTTTAACATCTCTGAAATCAGGACACATTTGAAGTTTATCATAAGAAAGGATGGCATAGCTTAACTGTGTCACAGATTAATTGGTAGCATTTTTTTCTTCGTGGCAATTTTTGTGTTTTGCACCTGAATTGCTTCTTGAAGTCATGATACCTGTGACTGCCCACATTTTATATCCAGTTCCCAGCACTACTTACACTCCGGGAAGCAAGAATTTGCTTCAGCAGCCGATGGAAATACTGCTGCTGGGAGTTGAGGTAGCGCTTGTACTGTGACTTGAAGCATAACTGCCGGTACTTGACCACCTCGGGGTTAAAGTGTCCGTCTTAAAAAAATAAAGGTATATATATTTACATCAATCAACAAATATACATCATCAGTCAACAAATATATTGAATGAGTGCTTAACATGGTAAACTCTGTACCACAAAACTTAAGGGAAAAGTGAACATTTAAGAGAATCAAGAAGGAGAACCAAAAGTAAAAGCGTGCTGAGAAGCAATGACAGCTCATTTAAGGCTGATGATCATCACAGCCACAGTAATGCAACTGTCTTCAGCAGCACTAGAACTGACACATGGCATGGGTCAGAGTGGAATATGCAGGAAGTCCTGCCTTGACATTCCTCATCTGTATCCTTACCAGACGACCATACTGTTTCGGGGGAAACATGCCAGCAAAAGAGACAGTGCTACCTTTATGGAAGGTCCCTTACAGAGCCCCTCTAAAGCCAAGTGGGTCCCCAACTTCTGCTCTATCAGAGGAGACAGTGCACCCTCAGCTGTAGTGAAACAGATCTCTGCCAACCATAGAGGGGAATTCCTTTTTACACTAGTAACCCACCAAAGAAGGGAATGTTCATTTTACACCCTTAATATAATGCGATTTCAGGTGAAAAGGCTACTCTCTCTGGTCATTAGCAGCTGTCAAGTTGTCAAGTTTAACAGAATTCCAGATGTGCTGCCCATTCAGGGCCTTGTGCCAGAACAAAGTCACCCTGGAAGGGAAGAGGAAGAGGCTTCCTTGGCTCCTCTCCATGGTCCAGAAAGCAAACTGTAACTTAAAGAGTGGCCCAAAGCATTTTGCAACCCCCAATATAGTAACTGATGCAGTTGAGAATCACCCATGGAAGCAGAAACTACTGGGTAAGACAAAGGCTTTTGGAAAATGAGACTATCACATGATCCATGATCCCAAAGTATCATCCCACACTGCTTCTTAATGATAAAGGAATAAAGTATCCTTACAAGCAAGAGGTACCGCAGACACCCCTTAACCAAGTGAGCAAATGTGGCTTTACCAAAATGGAAAACCTGATACCATGTGCCTCCTGAGGTGACACAATGGGAAAGACCACATTTCCTATATCATATTCCTGCCGAAAGCCTTTAACCCAATCTAACCATGAGAAAACAAAATGACAAATTCCCAAGAAGCAGGACATTTTATAATTCAAGTGTCCTGGCTCTTCGTGTACTGAAAGACAAAAACAAAAGGGGCAAAGCGCCCTACCTAGATTCAAAAAGCTAAAGAGACGTAAGGCCCAAGCACAATGCATGAACCCTGAACAGATCCTGGATTTACACAGCTACTCTAAAGGACATTGCAGGAACAATCAAGAGAATTTGAACATGAAGGCCGGGTGCGGTGGCTCACGCCTGTGATCCCAGCACTTTGGGAGGCCGAGGCGGGCAGATCACGAGGTCAGGAGATCGAGACCATCCTGGTTAACACAGTGAAACCCTGTCTCTACTAAAAACACAAAAAATTAGCCAGGCGTGGTGGCGGGCGCCTGTAGTCCCAGCTACTAGGGAGGCTGAGGCAGGAGAATGGCGTGAACGCGGGAGGCAGAGTTTGCAGTGAGCTGAGATTGCGCCACTGCACTCCAGCCTGGGCGACACAGCGAGACTCTGTCCCAAAGAAAAGAAAAGAAAATTTGAACATGAAATAGCCTATGATATTATCTGCTCAATGTAAAATTCCTTGAGTGTGGTAACAGGGCGGTGATGATATGGGAAAGTGTCTGTTAAGAGACATGGACATGCTGAAGTGCTTGGCAGTGAAGTGTCATATTTTCTGCAGCAAAAAGTGTGTGTGTACCTAAACACACACACACACGAACCTTGATACGTGCAATAAAGCAAATGGCAAGCTCTTTTTAAAATTTTTTAAAGACCAGACATGAAGGGCACCTCTAGTATGCTGGAAATGTTTTATTTTTTTATGTAGATGCTGGTTACAAGCTGATGCTGGTTACAAGCTGAATTCATATTATGTATTTTCTATATAAGTCAATACATTTTTGTTTTTTAGAACACAGCCTAGACAGCAAAGTGTTACACAAAACCGCTCTTTGCTGCCTCAGTATCTGTACATGAAGATAAAAAGAAGAAAAGGAAGAAAGGAATACCCACATAAAGTGAACGTGTGCCCATCCACCACCCCCCTCAAAGAAAGAATACTGAGCTACAAACCTCGGAAAAGCTTCTGGGCAATGTGCAGAGGGTTTCCAAAGCGGAAGTTCTCCCCACTGAACAAGGCTAAGATGAGTTCATTCTGCTGCTCAGCACTGTCTTCAGGAAACTGGGGCAGAAACTGCTGGAGGTGTTCACGTTGAGAATCACTTAACACTTCCTGCCATGTTGAGAGGCTGACAACATCAAAGAAGATCTCAGGCTAGGAGAAATAGGAAAAGTAAACAAAAGTAAAATAAATTTTTGAGTTTTTTGTATGTATGCGTATACAAAACATTACATAATATACATAAGATTTACCAATTTAACCATTTTTAAGTGTAGACTTCAGTGGCCTTAAGTGCATTCACATTTGCTGTGCAACTATCACTACTAATTTTTTACATTTTTTTTTTTTTCTTTTTGAGACCAAATTTTGCTCGTTGCCCAGGCTGGAGTGCAATGGCACGATCTCTGCTCCCAGACTCAAGCGATTCTCCTACCTCAGCCTCCCGAGTAGCTGGGATTACAGGTGCGCACCACCACGCCTGCCTATTTTTTGTATTTTTAGTAGAGATAGGGTTTCACCATGTTGACCAGGCTGGTCTCAAACTCCTGACCTGAGGTGATCTGCCTGCTTCGGCCTCCCAAAGTGCTGGGATTACAGGCATGAGCCACCATGCCTGGCCTAAGATTTTTTAAAATAAACTAAAATTCCAATGATCTTGAGATTAAAGACTACATATGAGCCACAGTCTTGTATCCAACAGTAAATAATTATCCAGAGGAAAATCATTTTAGTAGAGAATCCCACTTGGAAGCCACCTCTGCCAACGAGGGTATGAGGGTGGACATCTGAATTCCGCCTCAACTGAGTGGCAGGAAAAGGTTAACATAGAAGGAATGAACTTGAGGGACTGAAGTCACCAGCTAAGAGTGAGAAGAAACAGGATGGGGTTCATTTTCAACTCCCGAGTTATATACTGGATACCTTCCACGAGCAAAATACTAACTTGGCCTGGCATATATATGGTCTGAGGTGGGGAACAATTAAACATGCAGTTACAATGTAGTTAAAGAAGTGCTGATGTGTATAGAAGCAAACATCCCACATTTACAATGTCAGAGAATGCTCACCAAAAAACGGTTAAGACAGGAGAGGGATGAGGAAAGAGAAAAAAGACGGTGGGGGAGAAGGTTAGAAATCCACAGAGCAACACCAGAAAAACAAAAAAAGAATTAACACAAAAGAAAGGATAGCAGTTACCTGTGGGGGAATGGAGAGGGATAAGACAGGGTACGTGGTGGTGGGCTTCAGTGGTCTTAGTAGTGTCCCTACCCTAACTGAAGGCTACATGCACGTTTTATTATTGTCTTACGTGTGTGTGTGTGTGTGTGTGTGTGTGTGTGTATGCATTTTATATACGCTTCTGTGTGATACTTTTTGGGTTTTTTTGTTTTTTTTTTTTGTTTTTTTAGAGTTCAGGCAATATTTGGCTAGATCAAGGACAGGGAGGGAGGTGGAGGCAGCAGACAGCAGAAAGATGCAAAGGACGGCAAGCATTTTAGGTAGTTGTGACTTTTATCCCTAAGGACAATGGAGACCCACTAAAGGGTTTCAGCAGGAAACAACCCAGAAATCCAACCACCCACTCCAGGCATCTTTGCATGAACGTATCAAAAACACCTCAGTCCCAATGCCCAGGATCTTCCCCTGCAAGCCTATTTTTGCCTACATTTTATTCCTAGCATCTAACTCAGTGTCTGGCATAGAGGCGCCTAATAGAACAAGTGTTTGCTGACTACATGAGTAACATAAAGGGACTGCCCTGAAAGAGTATGCCAAGAAAACATGGATGGGAAGTATATACACCAACTGCAGTACAGTTGTTACTGTAGCTGGGAGGGAGGATCAGAGAACAGCACACTGGTGGCTTTCATTTTATCCATAATGTTTGGCATACGACCAAAGAAGAATGTGAAACAAACAAACTAAATTATCTCTTAAAACTGGGTGATGCATAGATGACTGTTTGCTATACCATGCTCCACACCTGTATGTTCAAAATATGGCAAAACAAAAGAAATATATAATTAAATGAATGTTTTCACGTACATAGTGGCTTGCAAATAATAAGCACTTAATAAACGGTAGCCACCTTAATGATGACAATGACGCATCTTGCCTGTGAAAGTGGACAAAAACAAGCTGGCATCCCATCCCAGGGCACGTACCATTATTGAGTAGAGGGTTACCTTATGGATACAGAAAATACGTGTAGGTTTTGTTTAATGTTCCACAACATGGTAACCATTTTAAACACATATATAATTCTGCTTTTAAAATATACCTTTTAAAAATGTTTATTTATTTTCTATTAGTAAGTGGTCTTATTGACATAACTGAACATAACAATGTATAACATTTATTCATTTCCCACTGAAAGACTTCCCAGTGGAACTGTTTTTGGTAGAAAATAGATCCAGGCATTAAGCATTTCCAGTGATGTTCTACGGTTGAAAAGGTAGTGGTGACCAGAACCAGAGGCCTTGTCCGTGCTTGCAGTGGGACTCAATATTATCCTGCTGGGCAAAAGCAACAGCTAGGAGATGCAATCGTGCCATGACTGAAAAAAGCCAGGAGCACAAAAGATGCCAGCTAGCCCACTGGTTGAAAATCAGAGCAAACGACACTACCTCTCCCATGCACCAATACGCGCTGAATCTAAAATAAGCCCTGGCAGCAAACTAAGAATGACAGTCTATTTCCTATGGTTTATTAACTTTGGGCCCTGCAGATAAAGACCGCCAGAAAAACAGCCATAGTTTAACTGGTCTGGACATTTACTCATCTGAACATAAATAATGATCAGCTCATTCAGATTCCTGGGTCCCTACTCAGTTGTTGGGATGAGGGGAAGCCATGGGGCAATCTAGGCCAAACAGAAAAGGAGTGAACTGGGGTGAACGACCCCCAGGCTGTGATGGATTCCCTGAGTCACCAGGACTTAAGGCCCTACACAGAAATTCCACCGCTAGCCTTAGCACCATTAGCACCACTGCAGTGGCCTCCATGGTACTCCACTGCCAATCAATCCGTAACCACAGTGTACACCCTCTTAGTGACTGCATTTTTAGACCACACATCAAATTATTAATGTAAACCAAACTACTACATTTAGTGATAAACATGTACTTCATAAATATCAGGGAATGAAAGTGTCTCAAACAGTTGAAAAGAACCAAACAAATAAAGGAGCCTACCTTTAAGTTTAAACCAAAAACATTTAAAAGAAATACTGCAACTATTAACTAACAGATTTACTAACACAGTAAGACACTGGGTCAGGGAGAGATTAACTGCCAAATATTTCACAGTGAAGATTAAGTACTCATAACAATCTTCTGGTTTTAGTAGAAAAGATACCCACTGATGTGTTTCTTCATATTTGTTTTCCATAATTTCTTCCTTTTTTTTTTCTATTTTTAATTATTATTTCAATAGTATTGGGGGAACAGGTGGTGTCTGGTTACATGGGTGAGTTCTTTAGTGGTTATTTCTGAGATTTTGGTGCGCCTATCACCCAAGCAGTGTACACTGCACCCAATGTGTATTCTTTTACCCCTCACCCGACTCCCATCCTTCCCCCCAAGTCCCCAGAGTCCATTATCATTCTTATGCCTTTGTGTCCTCAAAGCTTGGCTGCCACTTATAAGTGAGAATGATGTTTGGTTTTCCATTCCCAAGTTCCTTCACTTAGAATAATGACCTCCAATTCCATCCAGTTTGCTGCAAATGCCATTATTTCATTCCTTTTTATGGCTGAGTAGTATTCCATGGTTAAAATACACAACCATTTTTAATGGATGAAAATTATCTTGTTAAAAATAGGGCTTAAATCATGTTATCAAGTTATTCTGGCATGTTATTAAACATGCGGAACGTAGCTTGTTTTCTTCCTTAATCGGATATTAAATAGACTCTAAACTTAAAAAAAAGATAAGAGATCAGGCTGCCTGCAATGTAGAAAATGAACAAAAGGGAGCACAAAAGACTGGAAATGTAGAGTGGAAAAGGTTTCCCACAGCTGTTACAAGGAAGCTGACAGAGAGGAAAAGGTCACAACCGTGTTACTACTCACATCCTCCAGAAGGTCCTCGGGCAGACTAACTCTGGTGCCTCCCAGGAGGCAATCCTCCATGATGCGCGTGCCATGGCCATCTCCACACGGACCAAGTTCCAGAGGATCTGTCAGCATATGGTCTAAGGAATCCATTGTTTCTTCTCCACAGGTACTCTGGACAAAGACATGCATCTTGAGACAGAAAGGCAGAAATTCCAGGGATCTAGTTGATGCTAACACTCCTCCAGGAAAACATTCAACCTCCAGCCAGTTCTTACACCTTATCCTTGCACCCTAATTACAGCTAAACAGCTCTCCTCCCTCCCTTTCACCACAGCATTCCCACTGGAATTTTCAAGTCTTACCTGGAAGAGCTCTTTTCTCAGAATGCTCCTACAGTAACTCCTAAATTCATAAATTTCATATGCCTTCATTTTACAGATGAGTAAAATGAGACTGAGAATAAATGATAAACAGATCACAATCTATAATTTACACTTCCCAGACCAATAATCACTCTCCCACAATGTAATTTCTGTAACAACTGTTTTTTAGCAATTAATTCTTTGTTGTTGGCTGGGTGCAGTAACTCACACCTACAATCTCAGTACTTTGGGAGGTCCAGGCGGGCAGTCCCCTTGAATCCATGAGTTTGAGACCAGCCTAGCGAACATGGCAAAACCCCTTCTCTACAAAAAAAAAAAAAAAAAAAAATCAGCCAGGCGTGGTGGCGCACGCCTGTAGTCCCAGCTACTCAGAAGGCTGAGGTGGGAGGATCGCTTGAACACGAGATGCAGAGGGTACAATAAGCCGTGATCACGCTACTGCACTCCAGCCTGGGCAACAGAGACCCTGTCTCAAAAAAAAAAAAAAAGGAAAGGAAAAAGAGAAAGAATATTGTTTGTTGTTCTTTCACAAAAGAAAATTTGCTGAAAATCAACATACACTAGTAAAATGCAAATGCTAACAGTCACTTTATGAGGGCCTATTAAAAGCCAGGCCTTTCACATATCTCATTTAATTCCTACAACTGTGCAAAGTAAGGTCATGGGTTATTACATCGGAATTAAAACTGAAAATCAGAGTAGGTCAGTAACTTGCCCAACCCCAGAGGCAGTACTGAAACTCAGGTCTACCTGCCTGCAAACCCATGTGCTTAATGCTACACACAATACCTCTTGTATAACCTCGCAACATTTAAATAATAAAAACGAACCTTACTGATATGACTTTATTAGTCCATATAAATTCCTGAGGTTCCACACACCTGACCATAACCACCAGTAAAGTCAATGGCCAATCTGCCTTTAGTTGGTCCATTTGATCCGTATAATCATGTAAATTAATGCTACTTTTCTCCTTCGTGTAATAACAGAACACTGCTGATCACCTTCAGAAAACTACATACCACAACATTTTCAGACTGATGGCTGGGATTAGGGGTCAAGTTGATAGCACAGGACTGCACAATGCTAACAGGACCACAGGGAGCTTAAACTCAATCACTCTACCAACATTTACTAAATCCATCCTTTCCAGCTCCTATTCCTACAAAGTGGGCTAAAAAGCATACTAAAATGAAAAGAAAAAAGGATGTTAACAGTCAAAACACCAGAATTCCATATTCCACATTCCACAAACACCACATTCCACAAATCTTACCACGCCAGGTGTCAATTTCCTTATTTGAGGAAGGGAAGCTGGACCAGGTCCTCCCTCCCGTTATTTCCAATTCTGGAATCCTGCAATGAATAATCTCTAGATGAGTGACAGTGTGAATTACGTAATACAGGTACTTTTCTTTTCCAAAATTCTCCAATGATAAAGAACAGTTCTAGAATAACTATATGTAAAATGAAGCATGTTCCACTAAATTATTTCAAGCTCCCTTGAAGAGATTTCAGATCCATGTAAAGATATAGCAGAAACTTAAGCGTTGAGTCAAGTCACGTGGGTGGTCCCCAAGCAACTGTGCCCCCTCATCACCCTTCAGCACATGGTGAAATGACATCCTCATCATGCCTATGCCTAAATAAGTGAAGCGGGTGAGACAGCACATAGCATGTGAGTTTAACAAAACTTCAAAATAGCACCAAAAAAAAATTGCAGAAGCAACCTGATGCTCAGAATAAAACCTTCTTAACAGAACTGGCATAGAACAGACTATCAACTGCAAAGTCAGTGTCCTACCTGCCTCTTAGGAGGTCTCTATACAACTTGCTCACAAGTTTCTTCAGTGACGGTGCGTGTCTAGCTAAAGTTAATCTAGTCCACTGACAACCTTTGCACTGCCACTATTCTGAACAGAATCTCAAAATACCAAAACCAGGCAGCTGCCAGGGAGTTGGACCCCGGAAGCCAAGGATTTCCAGATCTTCGGGCGTTCTGAACCTCTTCACTAGACCACGAAGGCCTCTCGGCCTCTCATCACTGGCTTTCAGCACCTGGTCTAACTTTCCCCGCTGGACCCTCCCCAACGCAGAAGCTAAACCCTCGGGTCCTTCCAGAGCAACCGCCGGCTCCAAAGCCCTCAACTCTGCAGCAAATTCCCCTCCGGTGCCAGCCCGGCTGGCCCAAGGCCCGGGTCCAATCCTCAGAACTGCACGGCTCGGCCCCGCCCCTCCCCCACGCCGTGCCTAACCCTAACCCCCAGCCTCACGCGTCGCACCGCTCCCCACGCCCCGCTCCCGCTCCCCACGCCCACACGGGCAGCGACCTCGCGGACCCAGCCGCCCGCTCCCGCTCCCTCCACTCCCAGGAGACACTTCAACCCTTTCGCCGCCCCTTGCCCGCCCTCACCTGAACCGCGGGCGCCGGCCCCCTAACCCGCAGCCCTTCTCCGGCCGCGGGCTCCCAGACGCACTCGCTCCCGCAAGGAGTCTGGGTGCGCGCACGCTCTGGGCCTGCGCGGCGGAAGGGGCGGGGCAGCGCGGGGCGGGGCCTGGAGGGTGCCGGGGCGGGGCCACAGCGGGCGGGTCCTGGAGCGGCTCGGGAGAGCGGAGGGTCGGCGAGGGTGCCTGCGCGCGGCTGGGCCTGGGGATGCAGGTTCCAGCCTGCTTGCGCGTCTCACCTGATTTAGGAGCTTCCAGAGGCCCCAGACAGTGCCTGTCTTTGCCTGACCGCGAATCAAAGTTCCATAGCCCGTGAGCGAAGGCACGTCTATTAGCTGACGTTTGCAGAGAGCATACCCTGCCCCAGGCCCTATGCTAAGCACTTTCTACCCACCGTCTTTGTGCTGCAGCCCTGTGAGCTATGCACTATTAGTGCCCATTTTACAGTTGAGGACATGAGTAGAACGCGACCTCAGCCTGTGCTTCCGAGTTCCTTCATTCCTCCTTCCCGTCCCCGGGCCCTCGATGTCCAGAAAGAATGTAAACACATCGAAGGATCACATTTTAAAGTTAAACTCCATCATTTTCCTCTTCTTAGATATGAAGGCCCCTTTCCTGTTATTCACTGGGTTTTGCTTAGTACGGCTTCACACTACTTATTCCAGGTACTCCCAGCAGTGGCGCAGAGACCATCCTCAGTTCTGTGTGTGGATGGGACCAGAGAAGCCGGCCGGCCGAGCTAATGTTCTTCCCTTCCTGGAAGAGAGTAGTTTCCAAACAACCCGATCTCTGTTCCTCTACTGGCTCCACATATGCTCTAAGTTCCTGTTACACTGTTGAGAGGCTCTTGAATTAGAAACTATCGAGTATAAATGGCAGTGGAATATCACTCTATAGTTGTCACCGATATTTCCCTTACCTTGAGATTGTGACAAGACCAGAAAGAGAAAAAGAGTAAAAACAATGTAAACTATAATTTTTGATAGACTTTGTTTTTTTAAAGTGGTTTAAAGTTAACAAAATTGAGCAGAAAGATATTTTCCAAATACTCCCCGCCCCACCTCCCCACATGCATCGCCTTCCCTTTATCAACATCCTCTACCAGAGTGGTACATTTCTTAGAACTGATGAACCCGGCCCGGCCTGGTGGCTCACGCCTGTAATCCCAACACTTTGGGAGGCCGAGGCGGGCGGATCCCGAGATCAGGAGATCGAGACCATCCTGGCCAACATGGTGAAACCGCGTCTCTACTAAAAATACAAAAATTCGCCGGTCGTGGTGGCGGGCACCTGTAGTCCCAGCTACTCGGGAGCTGAGGCAGGAGAATTGCTTGAACCGGGGAGGCGGAGGTTGCAGTGAGCCGAGATTGAGCCATTGCACTCCAGCCTGTCGACAGAGCGAGACAGAGCGAGACTCCATCTCAAACAAAAGAACTGATGAACCTACATTGATACATCATTACCCACCATCACAGTATAATGCAGAGTAATTTCACTGTCTTAAAAATCATCTGTGCTCTGCATATTCATCTCTCCCTCTCCTCTACCCCTGGCAACCGCTGATCTTTTTGTCTCCATAGTTTTGCCTTTTTCCAGAGTGTCATCTAGTTGGAATTACATAGTATGTAGCCGTTTCAGATTGGCTTCCTTCCCGTAGTAACAGGCATTGAAGTTTCCTCCATGTCTTTTCATGGCTTGATAGCTCCTATTTCTTTTTAGTGCTGAATAATATTCCATTGTGTCGATATATCACAGTTTTATCTATTCGCTTACTGAAAGATATCTTCATTGTTTCCAGGTTTTGGCAATTATGAATCAAGCAATTATGAATCAAACAACCCAGAAATCCAACCACCCACTCCAGGCATCTTTGCATGAACGTATCAAAAACACCTCAGTCCCAATGCCCAGGATCTTCCCCTTTGAGAGGCTGAGATGGGTGGATCACTTGAGCCCAGGAATTGGAGACCAGCCTGGGCAATATGGTGAAACCCCATCTCTACTAAAATAAATACAAAAAATTAGCCAGGTGTGGTGGCACGTGCCTGTAGTCCCAGCTACTCAGGAGACTGAGGTGGGAGAATCGCTTGAGCCAGGGAGATCGAAGCTGCCGTGAGCTGTGATTGCACCACTGCACTCCAGCCTGGGCAACAGAGTGAAACCCTGTCTCAAAAAAGTAAAAAGAAAAATAAAACAACAAAGAATAAGTAAGACTTTTCCTTTACCTTCATTATTAAAGGTAATAATGATGTTCTTTCTTTATATAGATCTGAGGTTCTGACTTTTATCATTTTTCTTCTCTCTGAAAAACTTAACATTCTCTCCAAGGCAGGTCTACTGGCAACAAATCCCCTTTGCTTTTGGGGGATAATTTCATGGGCTACAGCATTCTAGGTTAGACACTGCTTTTTTCTCTCAACACCTTAAACATTTCATTCCACTCGCTCCTTGTGTGCACAGTTTCTGAAGAAAAGTCATTTTTTGTTCATTTGTTTTTTGGTTTTGAAGGATTTTTTTGCATTTATCCTGTGTGTCCTCTGAGCTTCCCGGATCTGTGGTTTCATCTTCCATATTGATTTGGGGAAATAATCAATCATTATTGCTTCAAATATTTCTTCTGTTCCTTTC
Organism: Homo sapiens; assembly: GCF_000001405.40. Taxonomy (NCBI): domain Eukaryota; kingdom Metazoa; phylum Chordata; class Mammalia; order Primates; family Hominidae; genus Homo; species Homo sapiens. The sequence continues at coordinate 129,898,156 of NC_000011.10, forward strand.
TCTGTCTTCTGCTAGTATTCCCATGAGGCATAGTTATACCTTTTTTTCATCATCTCACAGTTTTTGGATATTGTTTGTCTTTCAGTTATAGAGGTTTCTATTGAGATATCCTTAAGCTCAGCAATTCTTTCCTAAGATGTGTCTAGTCTACCATTTAGCCTCTCACAGCTACTCTTCATGTTTTTTTTTTTTTTTTTTTTTTTTTTGAGGTGGAGTCTTGCACTGTGACCCAGGCTGGAGTGCAGAGGCGCAATCTCAGCTCTCTGCAACCTCCACCACCCAGGTTCAAGCGATTCTCCCACTTCAGCCTCCTGAGTAGCTGGGATTACAGGCACCCACCACCACGCCTGGCTAATTTTTGTATTTTTAGTAGAAGCAGGGTTACACCGTGTTGGCCAGGCTGGTCTTGAACTCCTGACCTCAAATGATCCACCCACTTCAGCCTCCCAAAGTGCTGGGTTTACAGGCATGAGCTGCCGTGCCCAGCCTACTCTTCATTTTTTATCTCTAGCATTTTAGCTCATTCTTAGGATTTCCATCTCTCTCCTTACATTGTTTGTTATTGCTTGTTGTCTACTTTCTCTAGTAGAGCCCTTTTCATATTAATCACAGTTGTTTCAAATTCCCAGTCTGTGAATTCCAACATCTCGGCCATATCTAATTCTGGGTCTGATGTTTGCTCTCTTTCTTCAAACTTGTGTCTTTTGCCTCTTAGTATGCCTTGTAATGTTTTTCTTGATAGCTGGTCATGATGTGCCAGGTAGAGAGAGCTTCTGTAAGTAGGCCTTTAGCAATGTGGTGGTAAGGTGTTGGGGTTGGGGAAGCATTCTGTATTCCTAAAGGAGGCCTCAGTCTTCTGGTGAGCCTGTGCCTCTGGACTGTGAACTTCACGAATGCTACGCAGTTATCCCCTCTTAGATGAGGGACAATGGCTGGAATGGGCTGGGGCTGGCTATTTCCTTTCCTCCAGGTGACTGAGGTTCTGCTATAACTTCAGCAGGTTCGGTGCTTGTTATAATAGAAAGATCAGAAAGCTCTGGAGTATTTCAAAATGGTTCCTTCTCCCCTTCCTCTGCTGGAAGCATGAGGGAATTTTTCTCCAAATTTCACTGTGAGAACCTAGTCAAGCTCCTGGGGATAAAACTCACAAAAGTGTGGGTCTCCCTTGACCCCCCCTCCAGTGACTGAGTTCCCTGGAGTTTTTAACCTCTCAGATTTCTCCACGCTGAGCCTGCAGCAATTCATCAAATATAGTTCAAGTTTTCCTACCCTGGCGCTGGTTCTCATAGAGGTTATTGATCGTGGATTTTTTTCTCACGGGTTTCTGTTCAATAAGCTATGATTCTCTGTATTTGCCTGTTTGTCTTTCCAATTTTGGGGACAGCAGTTTGTCCTGTGGGCTCAACTTTCTGATGGATCTAAGGAGAGATGTTGATCTTTCCATTTGCTCAGCTTCTTACTTATTGCTAGGATGGAGGGACAACTTCCAAGCTTCCTGTATGCCACGCTGGAAACCAAAAGTTGCAATTCTTCAAAGAAAAAAAAATAGCTCTTGTAGCTTCACACATACAAACATGTTTATTAAAAAATATATTTATTAATTTTTACACCTGCTGCATAGCACAAGACTATTAACACTATAACTCACTGAATGTACAATAAATGTTCACATTTAAATAACAGGATAGGGTCAACATTTTCAACCAGTGGGTCAGCTTTAGCATCTCATGAAGTGCTTTTTAGACCTAGATATCTTAAGAGTTTTTTTGAAAGGATACTTCCAAGTCAGAAAACAAGAAGATCAAAACAATAGGTTTTTCCAGAATAACAGGAATTTTACATGATGAAATGTCTATTTCTGTCGGTACAAATCAATGATAAAAACAAAATCTACATCCAACCTACTCCAAAATACTCACACTGGACTGAATGAAGTCTACAGTGTCAATGTGTCTTGAGAGAGGCCACAATATCCACACTGGCTACATACATGTTTTCCAAATTAAGTTTTCTGATGGCTCATCATTTGCCATCTCTTCAAATCCAGGTCCTTTTAAAAATCTATGACCTTGGAATGAATGTGCAGAATACCTGATCTGAAAGCCATGCGATTTGGCTCGACTGCCATCCGCATCTCTGGCTGATAATATACAAATTAGTTTTAGAGTCTTTATTTCACTTAAGGACCAAAGAAGAAGAAGAAGAAGAAGAAGAAGAAGACAACTTAGAAGGGAAAGCAACAAAGAGGTCCTTCCACAATATTTTCCTCTGTGTATTTTAAAACTTAAAACAACTGCCATAAAATGAACATTCCATTCAGTGATTCTTTTCAGTTTTCCAATAAGTTATTCCTGAAGGGAGGGGAGATACCTTATGGTTCAAATTAAAAAGAACGTAACAGGGCCAAATTTAAGTTATAAAAGCTAAAACTGAACCTTTAGAAAATTCCACTAGTCTTCTCCTAGAAAGTCTTTCTAGACCGGACACTAGGATATTTGTAATCATTACACTGTGGGACTTAGGGAACCCGAACCTGTGTTTTGCAATGCAGGGTCAATATTTTCTGTTGAATATCTTTGTCACAAAGAGAGTCCATTTTCAGTTTCCATATGTTTATGAAGTAATTTTCTCAAGTTCTCTTAGTACTCAAACATTGGGGAACAACTACATGAACGCAGTCTCAGAAATAAAGTGCGAAATCTACACATCAATAAAGTTCTTTTAACAGAATTGTTCACTTTTCAGAAAATTGTCTTTATCATAAAGAAGCTACTCTACTTAATTTATAGAACCAGTTTTTACCCAGAAATGTAAATTAATTAACTTCATTTGAAATGAAGTAAGGTCTTTCTGTTCTGGAGTAATAAATTCTACTATGCAATAATTATTCTGAAAATGTGTTAGCATGTCACAAAAAGTTAAAATATATACTGATTTTTTAATGCCCAACTAATAGTATATTCATAAAGACTGGATTTCTTCCAGATCCCTTATAACTACCTGAATTATTAGAAGTGGCCATCACATTTTAATTTTTTCCCTAAGTGTGAAGTTGACCGTCTTATTAAAAGGTCTAGATGAGTCACAATATGTTTAAAGTTAAAAATGTTAATAAATAAGAAATGCCACCTTCCTGTCCAACTTTAAAGAATGTTCATTTTAAGACAGCATTAAAAGTAATAAAATACACTGAACATGTCAGCAAGAGTTAAATGTACACTTGGTAAGAACAAGGAATATATCCTTTACCAATGAATGATAAATGGATCCTGCAAGGCAGAACAAAATTTCAATACTTTCTCTCTCTCTCTCTCAATAGTTTTGGAAATTTTTCTTGGTACCAATATCTCCTTCTTACCACCACCACAACCACAGAATGGGAGGCAAAGCTTTAATGTAGGGGTTTAGATTCTGCTGACATCAAGCAGCCTTTTCTCTTTCAGGTTGTCCACCTTTGTGAAATAATGAAGAACTATCAGAACATGAGCTTCTGACCTAATCCACTGAGGACCAGCATCTGTGGAAAGCACTACCAACAGCCCAACAATAGTTTTCTAAAATAGGGAAGTTAAAAAAAATCAGCAAGAAAAATTTAGATGACAGTTTTTGCTTCAGAATATCACTGTCAAACTTTTGTTTCATCATTTTAATTTTGTTATTCAGCAGGCTCCCTTTGTTAAATTACTGAAAACTAAAACAAGATAAAGCAGTTCAGACCTAATGCACACCCACAAAATGCCCCTTCTCCTTTGGTGCCATGGCTTGGAATAAGAAGTCCAGTAACCATGAACTTGGCACATCCTGTCTCCACCTTTGGTATGAACACAATATGCCACTTAATATTTCCACAAAGGAAAAGTAAGGCTCGTCAGTATGTTAAAAGACCAGCTCAAGAGCAAGGCAAATTCTCTCCACCTCGAAATCTACTTTCCCCTGAAAGATCTCTGTTCTGTGGCAAAAACCGAGGGTTTGAAGAGTCAATTTGATAAAGATGACCTTGGCAAAATAAACCCCAGTGTATGGATGAGAGACAAAACTGTGGTTTCCGAACTCTTGAGTGAATAATAAATCTTACAAAAGAGCTCTACGTGTCAGAGCTTTCAGACTTATGAGAACAGACATGAGGTGGGTGCTGGATTCAAGCTCCAGGGTGGAAGTCATGGTTTGGTGATATGCACTTCGCTGCTTCCGTTCCCGTTGGTGGTGGTGGTGATGATGTACTGTGTGGTCTGCTGTTGGCTGTTGGTCTGGGGGTCCAGGGAGTCACTGTGTGCAGGTGGCTCGACCTGGACTCCACCAGAGAGGGCAGAAGTTTGCTTTTCTTCCAATTCTGATTGACTTTCTGATAACACATAATGACCCTAGAGGAAGAAGAAAAGGATCCTTAAAAACTTGGGGCCTTAAAGGGAGGGTGAAGCTACTGGGGAAGGAGGGAGATGTGAAGAAATGTCACAAGGGACCCAAAATAGGCATCTATGAGAGATGCTTTGCCTAGGTCCTTTAGAGAGGGTGGATCAGTCACAATAATTGACGACAAAGATAAGCTCCTTAAAGGAGCACCTTAGCAGTTTCACCAAATGATAGAGCGAACAACTTCAGGTACAGTAATTTGCATCATGGTGGTAACATACGTGGCAAAGAAAACATGCCGTTGCAATGCTCCTAATGATTTACAAATTCAGAAAAGATAGTTAACTGTCCATTCGATCTTAAGATTAATACAGAATGGATCCAAGAAGAGATATTTAAAGTCTCCTTGAAGAGGCAGAATGACCCTGAAGACAGGTAGTCAAGTCAATGGTTCTCAGACTTCAGAATTTCAAAAGACCAGCAAAATTTAAAAAAATAATAAATGGAGGCCAGGCATGGTGGCTCACACCTGTAATCCCAGCACTTTGGGAGGCCAAGGTGGGCGGATCACCTGAGGTCAGGAGTTCGAGACCAGCCTGACCAACATGAAGAAACTCCGTCTCTACTAAACATACAAAAAAAATTAGCCGGGCGTGGTGGTACATGCCTGTAATCCCAGCTACTTGGGAGGCTGAGACAGGAGAATCTCTTGAACCTGGGAGGCAGAGGTTGCAGTGAGTTGAGATCGTGCCATTGCACTCAAGCCTGGGCAACAAGAGCGAAACTCCGTCTCAAAATAATAATAATAATAATAATAATAATAATAATAATAATAAATGGTTCCCAAATTTTATTTTGTCAAGTAAGGTCATTTAAAAAAACGCGACCATCAAATAGACATTTTAACACTCAAGAGTACAGGAACAACAGGATCTCAGAATGAAATCCCTTACACTGAATACATTTAGCTTTATGAAAACTTACACATGGTCTTTGTTTTCTTATTTTTCCCCTCATCATGAAAACGTCTTCGTGACGTTCAGCCTGTAGCTGGCTATTTTGTTACATTAACATTTTTAAAGAAATGTGTCTGTCGGTCAGAAGGAGGGTTGGTCAGCTACAGCACAGAGGAAGAGAGACGTCGCAGAGAGACTGTCAGGCAGTAGCCTGTCTGCACTGCCCAGAAAAGAGCCATCGCCAAATACCCATTTGATTCCACTAGGGCCAGATGTTCTGAGTTCACCCCCACCAGACAACGTTCTGATTATGATTGGTTTTTCCACGTGGGGAGGGGGCTGTTTCTCAACCTAGGGTCCATTGACTCCTAGGGGGTCCATAGGTCAGCTGCAAAAAATGCATGAACCCCCAAAAATGGACATTAAATTAGTGTGCACATACACTGTGGCAGGGGGAGAGAAATAACTTTGGCTAAAACCATTCTCAAATGAGTTCCAGGCCAGAAAAAGGTCAAAGTCAATGGGTCCTACAGGGAACAAAAAATGTCCTGATCATGCCAATATGATTATCTCATTTTACATTCGTTACTGTTTTCACTGACAATTAATAGTGTTACTCTGGATTTACAAATCTCTCCTAAGTCTAGTTAATGTGACCTCGTGTGCTGAGAAACAGGTGAGCTCTCAGTATACTAAAAAAAAAAAAAAAAAAAAGGAGAAAAAAAATCAGGTTTTTGAGGCCACAAGACTAGTTAGCTACCCTCTGAAACCTCTTAAGAAAATCTTCCCTTGGTAATATCTCAATATTCCTAGCCATTGAAGAGCATTTTTCCTTTTTTTTCCTTCTAGCTTTATTAAGATATAATTAAACAAATCAACCTGATTAACATATCCATCAACTCATGCACTTACCATTTTATTTTGTGGCAAAAACATTATCTATACTATGTTAACAGTTTTCAAGTACACAATACATTATGAACACAGCCAGCATGCTGTACACAAGATCTCCAGAACTTATTCACCCAGGAGTATTTTTCTTTTTTTTTCTTTTCTGAGACAGAGTCTCACTTTGTTGCCCAGGCTGGAGTGCAGTGGCATGATCTCGGCTCACTGCAACCTCCGCCTCCCAGGTTCAAGCAATTCTCATGCTTCAGCCTCCTGAGTAGCTGGGATTATAGGGATGCACCACCACACCCAGCTAATTTTTGTATTTTTAGTAGAGGCAGGGTTTTGCCACGTTGGCCAAGTTGGTCTTGAACTCCTGACCTCAAGTGATCTGCCTGCCTTGGCCCCCCAAAGTGTTGGGATTATAGGCGTGAGCCACTGAGCCCAGCCAAGAGTATTTTTCTAAATTCACATGTATGTACTCTGTCTTCTAATAACTTAAGAGGCAGGCCAGAACAAACCAGTGAAGATAAAAACAGAAGAAGGAGATACAATCAACATTGTACCTGCCCAACTTAGATAATTTATGGCAATGTTTTTCACTTTCGGGTGGATGAAATGTTTAATACAGCTCCATAATTGATTCATTATATTATTCTCTCCCAACCCAGTTGAGGGCCAATTGTCTTGAGGACTCAATCTTTCCAAGAAGCATATAAAAACGCTCATAAGGGCCAGAAGTGGTGGCTCACGCCTATAATCCCAGCACTTTGGGAGGTTAAGGTGGGCGGATCATGAGGTCAGGAGATCAAGATCATACTGGCCAGCATGGTGAAACCCCATCTCTACTAAAAATACAAAAATCAGTTGGGTGTGGTGGTGCGTGTCTGTAATCCCAGCTACTTGGGAGGCTGAGGCAGGAGAATCACTTGAACCCAGGAGACGGAGGTTGCAGGTGAGCTGAGATTGCACCACTGCACTCCAGCCTGGCGACACAGCAAGACTCTGTCTCAGAAAAAAAAAAAAAAAAAAAAGGCTCATAGGGATGGAGATAGGACCATTACAGTTATTAATTGAACAGATATTTATTGAGCATTTGCTATATCCTAGCCTCCTGGACAGGGCACTGAGGATAAAGTGATAATGCCCAAGACCTAGCTTTCAAAGAATTCATCATCTACTGTGAGAAAACAGAGTAAGCCAATCATTACGAGATAAGTGGTGATAAGAGTTACTATACAGCACCACAGGTTGGACAGGAAAAACCCGACCGAGTAGCGTAGCTTACCGAAGTAACCGCCTTCACCTGGCCAGTAGTAACTGGAGTTGCCACACCACTGTCTGTAATCACAAACTGACCCGGAGGAAGCGTCATCATTTGAATCTCAGATGCTAAAAAACAGGAAATATTCATAGTTCAGTGGTCTCAGATTTTAACACAAGTCTTAGAAACAAAAACATAACCAGTAGCCACAGTCCGCACTGATTTGCTTGCCATGAGAGTCTCACAATGATGTGATTTCTTGGTGCCGTGAAAGCATCTCTGCTACGAATTGAGAAGAGCCTGGTACGCAGATACCCAGTGTCAGAGACAATCAGTGCATTCCCCTTCAAATGTGGCTTCTCAATATCCACAAAGACAAATACTCAACAATTTTTAAAACCTTGAAATACGTCACAAAGAGTTACCTTTTAAATCAATATTTTTATCTTTTATATTCAGATTTGAATTTGTGACACAAATGTATCCACACTTGGCAATTATAATTTAATCCAACTTGAATTTTATTTCACCACCAGTGTTATTAGAGCAAATTAAAAATAAAGCCCACCCTAGCATCTTGTTGATGGTCTCTAAATAACATTTTCTACTAAAAGGAATGAGAGTTTCTTGGGAAAATGGCTGATTCCAGACCTGGGCAGAAAGCTTGTGAGACAGTTGTGGGGCATCGTGTCTTCCCAGCACACAAGACGTGACGAAAGGCTATCGAGGCATGTGAGAATAACGCAGGAGCCAGTTAGAAGAGGCTCCTACAAACCAGAGAGGGGATCACTCGAGCATGGGTAAGGATCACACCTGCAATCGGCTGAAACACACCAGGCGTTGAAATCCAGGGGTCCATAACCACCATAAGACGTGCACACACAACCCTATCACCTTGGATAGCATAAGAAATCAATTCATTTTGTGAAAACTGGTAAACAAAGGAAATGAATCAGGTATTTAAAGTGTTTATCCTGCCTTTCTTGTACAAACTGTAACTGAGAGTAACTTGGTAGTGAAGGTAAAATTTTTTTCTTTATAAAAGTTTTCTAGCTAATTAATGAATAAGGTGCTAGAATCATGGCCAGGCACATGGACTCATTCCTGTAATCCCAGCACTTTGGGAGGCCAAGGCAGGCGGATCACTTGAGGTCAGGAGTTTGAGATCAGCCTGGCCAACATGGTGAAACCCCATCCCTGCTAAAAATACAAAAATTAGCCAGGCATGGTGGCGGGTGCCTGTAGTCCCAGCTACTCAGGAGTCTGAGGCAGGAGAATCACTTGAACCTGGGAGGCAGAGTTGCAGTGAGCCAAGATCGCACCACTGCACTCTAGGCCTGAGTGACAAAGCGAGACTCCATTTCAAAAAGAAAAAGAAAAAAAAAAAAAGAATATCACGACTTTGCAGCCCTAATGAAATAATGGAGCTAAAGAATAAACATCGATGGCTCCTAACATCACAAGAAGAGAGATGCCTGAACATTATGTGCTCTTGATAGAAGTACACACACCAGCTATGAAGTATCAGGAGGAAAAAAACAAACTGCACCTGAGCAAGCCTGTAGCTCAAATTGCCAGTCTATAGGAAATGAAAGGAACAGAAGAGCACATATTCACTGCTTGGTAACATGGGAATCCCACCAGCAAAATCCAGAATGCGGAAAACAGCACAAATGACCCGGTTTCCTCAACACAGAAATTATAACTTAAAAGAGTGAACACATATTAAAAGAAACTCAAAAGTCATCATCAATTGCAATGTATGGCCCTTATTTGGAACCCAATATGAGCAAACCAACTTTTTTGTTTGAGATGGAGTCTCGCTCTGATGCCCAGGCAGGAGTGCAGTGCCGCGATCTCGGCTCACCACAACCTTCGCCTCCTGGATTCAAGCGATTCTCCTGCCTTGGCCTCCTGAGTAACTGGGACTGTAGGTGCGCACTACCATGCCCAGCTAATTTTTGTATTTTCAGTACAGGCGGGGTTTCATTATGTTGGCCAGGCTGGTCTCGAACTCCTGACCTCATGATCCACCTGCCTTGGCCTCCCAAAGTGCTGGGATTACAGACGTGAGCCACTGTGCCTGGCCAAGCAAACCAACTATTTTTTAAAAAATTTCTGAGACAATCATAGAAATATAAAAACCCTGACTGGGTATTTTAAATATATTTGTGGGTATTAAAGAATTACTGTTGGCTTGGCACAGGGGCTCACGCCTGTCATCCTAGCACTTTGGGAGGCCAAGATGGGAAGATCACTTGAGCCCAGAAGTTTCAAAACCAGCCTGGGCAACACAGCGAGATCTCATCTCTACTAAAAAATTCAAAGGAAAAAAGAATTAGCCAAACATGGTGGTATGTGCCTGTAGTCCTAGCTACTGGGAGGCTGGGGCAGGAGGATGGCTTGAGCCCAGGAGTTCGAGGCTGCAGTGAGCTATGATCACACCACTGTACTCCAGACTGGGTGACAGACAAGACCCTCTCTCTTAAAAAATAAATACAGAAAAAATTACTGTCATTTCTTCTTAGGTGTGATAATGTTGCATGGAGTTGTGTTTTTAAAAAATAGTTTTTTTCAGCTGACCATGGTGGCTTATGCCTGTAATACCAGCACTTTGGGAGCCCAAGGCAGGAGGATCACTTGAGCCCAGGAGTTTGAGATCAACTTAGCCAACATAGTGAGATCTTAGCTCTAAAAAAAAGTTCAAAAATTAGACTACACGTGGTGGCTCACATCTGTAAACCCAGCACTTGGGGAGGTCAAAGTGGGTGGATCACTTGAGTCCAGGTCAAAGCTGCAGGAGCCACGATCATGCTACTGCATTCTCCACCCTGGACGACAGAGCAAAACCCTGTCTCAAATGTTCTTTTTCTTTTAGAGGTAGGTACCAAAATATTTATGGATGAGGTGATATGATGGATCATTATCCAGCTGGAGGATGGGAGATCATGATGGGAGCATATATGAGACAAGGTTGGGTGTAAGTTGGTAACTGCTGAGGCTGGACAATGGGTACAGGATGGTTCGTTACACTCCTCTCTCTACTTTTATATATTTTTACATTTTTCCCTAATAAATTTCAGTCCCAGAATCTTTTCTACAGGTTAGAATGCTAGTTCATCCTATTATTATCATGAATATCTTCATCACTCCACTTTTTTTTTCTTTTTTGAGATGGAGTCTCACTCTGTCACCCAGGCTGGAGTGCAGTGGCATGATCTTTCTGCCTCAGCCTCCTGAGTAGCTGAGATTACAGGCATCCGCCACCAGACGTGGCTAATTTTTTTTGTGTTTTTAATAGAGATGGGGTTTCACCATGTTGGCCAGGCTGGTCTCAAACTCCTGACCTCAAGTGATCCGCCCACCTCGGCCTCCCAAAGTGCTAGGATTGCAGGCATGAGCCACCACGCCTGGCCCGCTCCACTCTCTTTCACAGGAATTACACTGAGTACAGAGGTCAGTCTATTCACCAGATTCTAGTGGTAAGAGAGTCCCTGACTGGAAACTAGACCCAGCCCTCAATGTGACGTCCAATGTTTAAGAGTATAGTTTGTGGCCGGGCACAGTGGCTCATGCCTGTAATTCCAGCACTTTGAGAGGCTGAAGTGGGCGGATCACCTGAGGTCCGGAGTTCGAGATCAGCCTGGCAAACATGGTGAAACCCCGTCTCTACTAAAAATACAAAAATTAGCTGGGCGTGGTGGCGGGTGCCTGTAATCCCAGCTACTCAAGAGGCTGAGGCAGGAGAATCACTTGAACCCGGGAGGCGGAGGTTGCAGTGAGCCGCGATTGTGCCACTGCACTCCAGCCTGGGTGACAGAGCGAGACCCCATCTCAAAAAAAAAAAAAGAATATTGATTGTAAAAATAACTAGACGGTAGAGTTTGAGCCTGACTCCATAGCAAATCTATGTAACATAGCCAAGGATCAATCATGACAAAGACGGGCCCCCAAAAATAAATCAACAGTAGAAGAAAGATCAATACCGACCCTTTCCCTTCTCAGCACCTCTTCCTCCTAGTTTCTACTACTGAGGTCTGTTAAAGTCTACTCCTATTCCTTCCACACCTTCCATGAGAAAGGTCTCATACTTCCTGGCCTGCCCCAAAGCTGTTTCCCCACCAAGGGGTTTACCTGCCCCGACCTCTGTCAGCCAGCCTGCTACTGTTTCCACAGCACGAATCTCAGGGCTTTGGAATCAACGACTCTTCTATCTCCCTCCTTTACTAGATGATGGTCAGCTGCACAGTGGGGTGGTTTAGAGTGGACACTCTGAAGCCAAACTGCCTGGGTTCCAATCCTCTGTTTACTAGCTCTTGGAAAAGTGAGTGTGTGGAAATTGCCTTATCTGTAAAATGCAAATAACAATTGTACTTATCTTATAGGTTGTTGTGAATACTGACTGTGATATATATGGTTCGGAATCATTCCTGGCAATGTAGTAAGAGCTTAATGAAAGCTGGTTAACATTATTATTGTGTGGTGTTACCGATACTAATGAGAATATTAATCTTGGCATAGCCAGTGTCTAGTACAGCGATTGATAGACAGGCATTCTACAAATATTGGTGGAAGGGATGACTCAACATAAGCTATATCCAACTATCTTACTATTTAATTTCATAGCTACATTTCCTCCAGCAATATACCTGACGTTTCGAAAATGTCCTATCAGGGTAGCTCTGTGAAAGCGGAATGCTACACCTTGAGTTTTGTCATGAAACCCATTGAAGTACATTCATAGAGAGTGTAAACAATGGCCAAGAGATACTTTAAAAATCTATCACAAGCTGAAGAAATTATGACACATGGCTGGAGATCCCCCACCCCTGACCGACACGGCATCGTCCCTTCTTACTTACAATAGCCACGGAAGGAATTCCAAGCACTGGGCAGGTACGTGTGCTGCACAGAGGAATTCTGCTGCTGCTGCTGCTGCTGCTGCAGAGCCTGCCCCTGTGTGGAAGAACTGCCCTGGATGTGGGAGGGGCTGAGCCCCTGCTGAGCCTGCTGGGCTGAGGGACTCAACGGCTGCCCAGATACCTGGGGAGAAAGAGAAAGCAATGGTAGGGAATTACGAGCTTCTAATATAGTGAAGACTCACAAATAACTGAAGGAAGTACACCAGACTCATATGAATTATAATACTGAAACTATCGTTGCTATTTTTTTTTTCTTTTGAGATGGAGTTTCACTCTTATTGCCCAGGCTGGAGTGCAACGGCATGATCTCGGCTCACCGCAACCTCCGCCTCCTGAGTTCAAGTGATTCTCCTGCCTCAGCCTCGCGAGTAGCTAGGATTACAGGCATGTGCCAACCCACCCAGCTAATTTTGTATTTTTAGTAGAGAAGGGGTTTCTCCAGGTTGGTCAGGCTGGTCTCGAACTCCCGACCTCAGGTGATCCACCCGCCTCGGCCTCCCAAAGTGCTGGGATTACAGGCATGAGACACAACGCCTGGCCTATCATTGCTATTATTAAAAGTAATATTTTAAATAAGAATAAACTCAATGAAAAGCAAGCATAACTATGAAATTCTAATTTGCTTTCAAAGGATTCTCTACCAGAGTATGCAAAAAAATTAATTTCAATCAACTGTTGGAAAGATAAATGAAAGAAAATATAATTACCTACATTCTATAAGTTTAAAAATAATGGGAGGTGAAGTAACTTGCCTGTGTCACAAAGCTAATCTGGAACACAAAATGAAATGAAACCCAAAGTTCATCGTTTCCATTCACCAGTACTGGCAAATCCCACCTGGCTGGTGGAGTTCAGCACAGGTGGGTGAAGAGGCCCACTCCTGATAACAGGATGAGGCCAGCGCTCTCCAGCCTGCCACACTGCAATCCTGCTCCAAACTACCCTCCCAACTTCCTTTCCAAACATCATTTCCTGTGAGTAATCTAAACAGAATAACCCTGTTTTCTATAAATGTACATTTTCCATTGCAGCATGAGCTTCTTCAGATCAGACTGCCTTCCCCAACGACTATGTCAGAACTGTACCCCTCCTTCAAGACCTCAAAGACCACTTCTTCTAAAAAATGTCCTGGATTCCCTCCTAAACCTAATCTCTCCCTCTCTGAACTCTGAGAACTTATCTATGTATCTCAATTCCAGACTCAAGCATACAAACACAGTAACATAAAATATACCATAATACTCCAGAAAGCCACTGTTCCAAATCATAGAAGCCACTTAGCCATTGCATTTAGAATGAAAGCAAAGACCACTGTTGTTTCTAGGATGTCGTACCACAGGACTCTATGAGGGCAGAAGCAGCTAACAGCTTAATATGTGTCCACAATGCCAATATAAAAATTGGAGGCAAAGGTAAGATCCTTTAATAAAAATCCAAAAATAACAGTAGCTGAGGAGACTAGGTCTGAAGAGAATGTCTTCCCTCTCATTAACTCTGATAATCCCTGAAGCCATGATAACACCTCCAAATAGTCTGTGGAGCAGGGTACCTGGGCGGAGGACGGGGCCGAGGCGGTAGGCTCGCTGACCTGGATGTGCTGCACCTGGATGGCGTGCTGGGGGTAGGGCTGAGGATCATGGAGCTGGCCAACATCCACAGTGGACTGCTGTGACTGGTGAGGGGAAGTGGCCTGGAAGGAGAAAAAACAGGCCCAGAAACCAGACATATATTGATTGAAGTTAAGGGAAATCCTTCCAGAGAAAAGGTTCAGTTAAAAACAATATCCTGGCCGGGTGCAGTGGCTCATGCCTATAAACCCAGCAGTTTGGGAGGCCAAAGCGGGTGTATCGCTTGAGCCCAGGAGTTCGAGACCAGCCTGGGCAACATGGCAAAACCCTGTCTCTACAAAAAATACAAAAATTAGTCAGGTGAATGGCCGGGCGCCGTGGCTCACGCCTGTAATCCCAGCACTTTGGGAGGCCAAGGCGGGTGGATCACGAGGTCAGGAGATCGAGACCGTCCTGGCTAACATGGTGAAACCCCGTCTCTACTGAAAATACAAAAAAATTAGCTGGGTGTGGCGGCAGGCACCTGTAGTCCCAGCTACTAGGGAGGCTGAGGCAGGAGAATGGCGTGAACCTGGGAGGCGGAGCTTGCAGTGAGCTGGGATTGCACCACTGCACTCCAGCCTGGGCGACAGAGCGAGACTCCATCTCGAAAAAAAAAAAAAAATTAGTCAGGCAGCAGGGTGCAGTGGCTCACCCCTGTAATCCCAGCACTTTGGGAGGCTGAGGCGGGGGGATCACTTGAGGTCAGGAGTTCAAGACAAGCCTGACCAATGTGGTGAAACCCTGTCTCCACTAAAAATACAAAAATTAGCTGGGTGTGGTGGCGAGCACCTGTAATCCCAGCTACTCAGGAGGCTAAGGCAGAAGAATCACTTGAACCTGGGAGGCAGAGGTTGCAGTGAGCTGAATTCGTGCCACTGGACTCTAGCCCGGGCAACAGAGCGAGACTCCATCTCAAAAAAAAAAAATAGCCAGGCATGGTGGCATGCCTGTAATCCGAGCTACTGATGAGGCTGAGGTGGGAGGAATATCTGAGCCTGGGAGGCGGAGGTTGCAGTGAGCCATGATTGTGCCACTGCACTCCAGCCTGGGTGACAATAGTGAGACCCTGTCTCCAAAAAAAAAAAAAAAAAAAAACCAAAAACAATATCCCAATATATGCCAACAGAAATAGAAGAATGGAAGGGATTTCAGCTCCAATGCTGCACTCGCAGATAGCCCACACCTAGAACACGCCATACAACAGGATAAAAAAAGAGCGTTTAGAGAAATATGCTTCTCACACATAAGCCACTATTAGATTCTGGAAGAGAAGGAGAGAGAGGGAAGATAGTTCCTGACAATAAGCTGAAAAAGAAGTTGTCAGGAATCAAAAATTTCAGTTACATTTAATGATCTACCCTTTATCAATTAAAAGAGATCAAAGAAATTCGTTTTTAGTTTGTCACCATTAACCCACTATGACAGTGGTTCTTAACCTTTTATATATCATAAACATCTTTGAAAAAGTAGCTAAAGTACAGGCCCTTTTTCTAGAACAATGTACCTATACATCATAATTTACAGGCAACTTCAGGGACTCATATAGCTTCCTCCAAAGCCTGAAGTTAAAAACCCTCCATAAGAAAAACAAGACAAAGAATAGTCAACGACAGTGGCAACTTCCAATTTCCTGTCCCCATGTTAGTTTTAAATTTTCAGAGACCAAATGATTTCAAAGCAACAAGTTTGTTCATTTGTGCCTTGGGGACACTTCTCCTCAGTGTAATTAAATGAAACAATAGTTCTGGGAGAATCACTTTCATTTAGTTCCTTAGTCAATAAGAATGAGTTATTCATTATCTGGTAGAAGGAACACAGTTATACCTCTATACTACAAAGGCACTGACTGATATGCAGAGATTGACTCAATTTTTTTTTTTGAG
Organism: Homo sapiens; assembly: GCF_000001405.40. Classification (NCBI taxonomy): domain Eukaryota; kingdom Metazoa; phylum Chordata; class Mammalia; order Primates; family Hominidae; genus Homo; species Homo sapiens. The sequence continues at coordinate 129,914,029 of NC_000011.10, forward strand.
TCCTGTTCTGTCGCCCAGGCTGGAGTGCAATGGTGTGATCTCAGCTCACTGCAACCTCCGCCTCCCAGGTTCAAGCAATTCTCCTGCCCCAGCTTCCTGAGTAGCTGGGATTACAGGCATCCGCCACCATGCCCAGCTAATTTTTGTATTTTTAGTAGAGACGAGATTTTGCCATGTTGGCCAGGCTGGTCTCGAACTCCTGACCTCAAGTGATCTGCCCGCCTCAGCCTCCCAAAAGTGCTGGGATTACAGGCATGAGCCACTGCGCCCAGCCATCAATATTATGCTTTATGACCTCTCTTTGATATAAGACATTTGATACGCAGGTCGTGATTTATCAAACTGGCTCATTACCAAGCAGCCAACCAGGATGGTTAAAGATAAGGATCAGAAGAGGGTCAGAAACAGGTGCTGTGGCTACTGTCCTGCCACAGCACAGGAGGCTTGTATATGCTGGAACCTAAAATTTCCTGACTACTATAGACAGAAATCTCTTACATTGCTAAGGCCAGAGGCCTCATCAGCCTGAAAGGGGAAGGGGCAGTTGTAAAATGCCCAAGGCTCAGAACTTCCACGCAGAAGGACATTACATAGATCCCAGCCCCAGCTCTGAGAATGAGGTGCTAGTGGCAACACGGCATTCATAAGGCAAAGGGAAACCAAGGCACGCAGTACCGAGGCCACTTGAACCACTTGCAGCTGTATGTGCTGAGGCTGCTGGAGGCCAGACGCCGACTGCGACACAGGGATGTACTGAATTCTCTGGTAATCCCCTTGTGGCGTTCGGTAGTCTGTCGTTAAGGTCTGGGACAGTTCTGTCATTGCTTGGGTGAGCAGGTCCGTCGTCACCACAGTCTCTCCAGTGGCGCTGTCTGTAGTCAAAACCGCTGGGGTGGCACTGATCACAGCTGTCGTCAGTGGTGTGTGTATGGTGTTGGAGAGCTGGGCGAACTCTGGATGCTTCTTTCGAATGTGCTGGACCATCTTGGTCTGAAAAAGCAAGGCAAAAAACAAGAATAATTATTAGAATTTGTGATTTTCCGTTTTTCTCATATGTAAATCCTCCAAAGATTCCTAAAGTCTTTTATGTCTTAAAAAAAGAAAAATCAGAGCAACACTGACTCTATGCCTGTACTTCCTGGGGTAACATAATGCTATGAAAGCAGGGAAGAGGGTGGGGAAGAAGTAAAACCTCACCTGACCTCACACCATCAGCAAGGTCTCAATACCCCCCCCAAATAGTACCTGCAGCAATCAATCACAATCCCCCCAGCCAAAATGACCTCCTTTGTAAAGCCACCACGTAACTTTCTATGTGGTGCTTCCAAAAGCCTGAACTCACCAACTGCAAGCACAGAACATTCAAACGTGAGGCCCTCCGCAGGCCAAGGGAAAAGGAAAACAGCCAGCTGCTCGGGCTGCTGTACGGCACTAATTCTGGGGAGGTCCACAGTATCCTCTTTCCATTCTCTGCTGTGCTCTCTGTTTACAGTGACTAGGACAACATCTCTTTCAGTCCCCCGTCAACTCAGAAGGAGCCATCCAGGCCATGTGGATGAGAAGCCACCTTTCCTTAAGAGATTCCTCGCATGGCGGTTTTGACCTTAGCTTTAGTCAGAAACTCCCCCTACCTTGCTGCTGTACTGCTTGGAGCAGTGGGGACAGCAGACGGGAGGGGTGGCGATGGTGCCCGTCAGCTGGGTGTGTGTGCTCAGCATGGGGTCTGGCTCTCCAGGACCAGCGGGTCGGAGCTTCCGAATGCTCGGTGGGAGCTCTGCTCCTGGGTGGTTCTTCAGAATGTGGGCTTTGCGCTTGCTGGCACTTTTATAAACCTGCAAATGTAAGCGCCTTGCCATGAAAGCAGTATACAGTTCCACTTTCTTGCTTAAAGCAAACTAACAATTTCATTATAAGAAAATGAGGAAAAGTATTCATGTAGCCCCAAATAAAATATATTAATATGTATATTAACAGATCTATTGAAGAGCAAGGATATACTACAAATTAGAATAAAATAAGAACATAATGTAGATATGATAGGTTTCTTTCTTTAATCTATAAATCTAAGATAATAACTGTGAAAATACCCTTTATCCTAAAGTTTAAAATTTGGATATGATACACAGACAGAGGAAGATAATTGTTTTTAAGGCCCATCCACCTCATATGAGAGCTGCCTGTGAAAGCTCTCATATGATGTACGCAGCTGAAGACCAGGAGCCAGAGAATCTTCCAAATGGCAACGTCAATAGCAACTGCTATCTATAGTGGGGAATCTATGTTAAAAAATGTTTCTCACTTTTAAGCTGATATAGCTACATTATATAAGGAAAGGATGGCTGGGTGTGGTGGCTCATGCCTATAATCCCAGCACTTTGGGAGGCCGAGGCGGGCGATCACCTGAGGGTGGATCATCCTGGCCAACATGGTGAAACCCTGTCTCTACTAAAAATACAAAAATTAGTTGGGCGTGGGGGCTGGCGCCTGTAATCCCAGCTACTCCAGAGGCAGAGGCAGGAGAATCGCTTGAACCCAGGCGGAAGTTGCAGTGAGCTGAGATCATGCCACTGCACTCCAGCCTGTGTAACAGAGCAAGACTCCATCTCAAAAAGTAAGAAAGGATATTACAGTGGAATAATAAATATATATTCTGTGTCTTTTCTGTAACTACATGAAAATAATGCAATAGTACAAGTAGAGTACTCCACCACAAAGCTTTCCCAACCCCCTCCACCTTATAGAAACCCCAAAACTACCATATATGTTATAGGTCATGATAAATGCTCTCATTTTAGAGCCTAGGAATTTGAAATTAATTCATACACTAAGCACTAGTAATAAACCTCTTCTTGTGTAACAAAAATCACAGAGAGAAGGGACAGTAAGAAAAATGAAGTCAACTATTTCTTAAGAAAAAAATTTGGCTTAAAATAAGGCTGTATTTCTAGTCCTTTCTTGTCTGAATGGAGACTACTGAGAGACAGGTAACCATCTGGTAAGAGTAACAAAAAAATCGTAGTATATATTTATAAATACGGACAAGTCAGCTCTAAGCAGGGAACCCCAGTGGCATACCAATATGAATATTTCCCTTTTACCTTATCGCAATACTGACAAAAGTAATCACGATTGGGTTTTATGATGGGTAGAGTTAACTCTGGCACCTCTTCTATCTTCATGTCTGGGTGTCTCTTCGATAAGTGATTTACCTAAAGGGAAAAGAAAGAACCAATGAGAAAAAGAGACCCCATTAACCAAACAGAAGCTACACGAATGCCTCTGATAATGACCGCCAGAAGCTGGAATTCTCTGAAGCAATGCCCCCAAATAATAAGGCATTTGGCCAGAACCAGGATCACCAGACCCCATCTGATGCCAAAGCACTCACAGTCATGGTTAACAGGAGTTAACAATAATTCACCAAACAATTGAAGGTGACTCACTGTGGTGAATTCAGCCATCAACAGTCTTTGGCTGAAAGAACTACTATTGGAAAAAGGAAAATTACACTGGTATGAATTTCTTTGGTGAGTTCTCCTCATGCAAACCTGTCTTTCATTATTTAATGCCCTAGTCTTACTAAGAACATGGAATGAGATACAGACTAAGGTTCTGAATTTTAAATATTGCTCTATGACTTTCCAGCACCTGGCAGAAATATATTCTGCACCCGTAACAAGGTCAAAATGAGTTGAGAGCAGAGCACTGGCTGTCTGATGCTTCAGCTAACCTGGATGCACATACCCTGCTTTGACGGAAAGCTTCCTTCTACTGCTGTTTGATATCTGGAAAAGAGAGGCATTAAAAGGAAACAGCTGGGGGCTGGGTGCAGTGGCTCACGCCTGTAATCCCAGCATTCTGGGAGGCTGAGGCAGGTGGATCACCTGAGGTCAGGAGTTTGAGACCAGCCTTGCCAAAATGGTGAAACCCCGTGTCTACTAAAAATACAAAAATTAGCCAGGCATGGTGGTGGGCACCTGTAATCCCAGCTACTCAGGAGGCTGAAGCAGGAGAATCGCTTGAACCTGGGAGGGGGAGGTTGCAGTGAGCTGAGATCACGCCATTTCACTCCAGCCTGGGCAACAGGAGCGAAATTCTGTCTCAAAAATAAATAAATAAAATAAAAGGGAACAGCTGGGGAGAAGGCAAATACCCCATTAAAAAAATACATTCAGGGACACAAAAGAGGGAACTAAAATAAGGTGAGAGCAGAGATTGAGATGGGTAAAGAAAAACAAAAGTAGTAATGAAAAGTGATTAAAAAAAAAAAAAGAAAAAGAAAAAGACCTCTTACAAGAATTGATCCAAAAAGCAGCAAGAGAGAGCAAAGGGAGACTAGAAAAGACAGAACTCCAAATTGGGAATCGTTTGCCTCTGTTTCTTCCCCTGGACATTGACAAAACCATTGATCGATATAACTTAGGACACAATGCAACACAAACGTCACCATCATCGACAGCAATGAGGTATGCTGGGAAGACAGAGGAACCCGCAGCCACTGGGCACTGACCAGCATGCCGCGCCGCCGGAAGCCCATCATGCACAGGCGGCACTTGAACGTGAAGCTGTCGTAGTCTGTGGACGTGATGCGGGGCTTGAACGTCTTGGAGCGGCTGATGCGGTCGGCTTTCTTGGCCTCCCTCTCAGGATTATGCATCCTCTGCATGTGTTCCCGTAGTTTGTCTTTTCGCTATTTGGAGAGTATTTTTGAAAACGGGGTAGACACGGGGGTAGAAAATTTTTAACTGAAGGGATCATTTTAAAAATCAATACAAATTAGCAGTCACCACAAGCCTCCAAGAGACATTTGAGTTGCTGGAACACTAGGACGCAGACATGTTAAAAGTGGCTGGGAGTTACTCTGTTCACTAGCAAATATGTGCATTCCAATGAACCTTGGTTTAAAATGACCATTAAATAGGAAAGATACATACCGACTTTTGAGAATAAAGACTGTGCATTTATGTAGAGGAGATTAAAGAGAACACGGAACAAGCCTGGCATAAAAGAACTTCAGACAAATTGATAACAGGTAATATTAGATTTTAGAAGCCAGTGTAGGCCGGGTGTGGTGGCTCATGCCTGTAATCCTAGCACTTTGGGAGGCCGACAAGGGCGGATCACCTGAGGTCAGGAGTTTGAGACCAGCCTGGCCAACATGGTGAAACCCTGTCTCTATGAAAAATATAAAAATTAGCTGGGTGTGGTGGCACACGTAATCCCAGCTACTCAGGAGGCTGAGGCAGGAGAATCACTTGAATCTGGGAGGTGGAGGCTGCACTGAGTTGAGATCACACCACTGCACTCCAGCCTGGGCAACAGAGCAAGGCTCTGTCAAAGAAAAAATGCCATGTGTATACTCAATTCCCACACCTTTCAGCAAACATTATATTTTTCTAAATCCCAAAAGAATTTAAGTAAGAATCTCTATCTTATGGATTTAGAACTTCTCACCTTACAGAATTAGAAGTTCAAGTAAACAAATCCATTGTTCACTATGATGGAGCATGGGGCCCAGGGCTCAGCTCCTGGTTTCACTATTTAGTGACACATGCTGATGTGAGTCCATGGAGAGAATCAGGCAGAGCCCATCCTGAATAAAAACAAAGTGCCAGCTCCCTGATCCAGTGAGGCTTTCTGCTCTGGGACACATGAATAAATTGTTATTAGTCCCATAAAGACTCTGAGGCTTTCTACAAATCCAGTTCTTCCCACCTTTCAGCACAGGGACTTTTTTAAGGACTTCATTTTTCAGCACATTTACTCAACAAATATTCCTTGAGGGCCTACCCAGTATCAGGGAGCAGGATAAGGGCCGAGCTCCAATGCTGGGCCTCCCTCACCCACCTGCCTCTTCTGCTGCAATGCATACGACCCAACTCTTTCTTCCTATCCCACCCGCCTTCATTTCTGGAAAGCCCAGGAGGGAATGTTCAGCGCTTTGTAGGCTACAGTAGGATTTGGATTAAGGACACTGCCCTACGTGACAGTATCTTTCTTTAGTGTGGATACAATGGCAAAGCACTGTTGCATTGCCACTTTTTTTCTTTTCCTTTTCCTCCAACTCCTCTCGCATTCCCACTTTTTTCTAAGCATCAACATTCACTAGTTCCCGTCTATTCCCTTTAAACAACCAACTGACCTTAACCGAATCATCACATAAATTTCAAAGCCTAACACAAATACCACACCATGCTATGCACATCGTGACGGGCACACATTTGTTGGATGCCAAATCTCCATGAGGCCTTTCCATCCTAACATCCCCCAAACCAAATCCGCTATCTGCCCCCACTCCTTCTGCCTAAGTCGTGCTTTTTGGTATCAGCGGTGTTCCCAAACATCTAGCCTCTCAAGCTGCAAATCTCCATTCCTTGCTGTCCACCCTTCCCCCTTCCACCCAAGTGCAAGTTCTTGTCAGCCTCCCATGACGCCTGTCTTGAACATGGCCCCTCTTCTCCACACCCACTGCCTCGGCCTGAATTAGCCCAGCTCTGAAACGCTGGTAAGTCTAATTACTTAGCACAGCGCGCTAGCTTAACCCGCTTCCCTGGCTTCCTCTTGCCACACCCTCCATCAGTCCCCTTCTCCCAATCTCCCGAACGTGGCATCACCACTCCCTGCTGCTCCCTCTGCTTGAGATGCCAATATTCCTCCCTCACTCCTCACCTCTCCCTTTCCCTAGCTGGCAAACTGTTTCCCACCCATGAATGGATTCAAAAGTGTCACCATATCTATGAGGTCTCCCCTATACCCCAAATCAGTGAATCCCTCTCACAGCATTTTTGAGATGGAGTCTCGCTCTGTCACCCAGGCTGGAGTACAATGGCATGATTTCGCCTCACCACAACCTCCGCCTCCCGGGTTCAAGTGATTCTCCTGCCTCAGCCTCCTGAGTAGCTGGGATAACAGTCATGCACCACCACGCCTGGCTACTTTTATATTTTTAGTAGAGATGGGCTTTCTCCATGTTGGTCAGGCTGGTCTCGAACTCCCAACCTCAGGTGATCTGCCCACCTTGGCCTCCCAAAGTGCTGGGATTACAGGCGTGAGCCACCGCACCCGGCCACTTTATTCTTTTCTCTATTCTAGTGTGAGCTCCCTGAAGTTGGAAGGTCCCACCTTGACTTCAATGCTGCCCTCATGGAGCTTATACTTAGCAGGACAGGCAAATGCAATACACAAATGCTATGACAGGGTCACCAGCAAAAGGCCCTGTGGGAATTGGTGGGAGAAGCAGCAGTTAATCCAGGGATCAGGAAATGCCCCATATGAAGTGACATTAGCCAGGTGAAGGAATATGACAGTTTGAAAATGCATTTCAAGTCAGGAGGAGGAGTGAGAGCAAGTGCAAAGGCCCAAGGAGAGAGAGTATGCCACACCTGGGTAAAGCTATGGAGTTCAGGTCACCCTGAGCACACGGGGAGGCAGGAACCAGAGAGGCTGGCAGGAGCCAGATCCTGTAGCATCTTAGAAGTAACAAGAACTTCGGGATTTATCTGCGTGAAGAGCTATTTAAGAGTTTTTCAGAAAGGACATGACATCAGAGCTGTTCTCTAGAAAAATTACTCTGATTCTACTTTGAAAATATGCCAGGAAGGTAGGTGGTAGTGGTTTTGTGCTGGGTCAACTTGGCTAAGGGGAACTACATTTGAAGGGAGTCTTCTTCCCAGCATGGTTCCGAGTTGGGGTTAGCCAAAGAGAAACTCAGACCAGCCTGGAAGGTGGAAAGGAAGCAGCTCCGTGCTGCTCTAGACGGTGTCATGTAGAGGTACCTGTGGGTCCCTACTTATCCTCTCTTTCCCACCCAGCCACCAGCTGTCTTCCTGACTGCCAGCCCTGCTGGCCAGCTCCACATCCACCACCAGATGCAGTGACACAGTCTTTCACAGACCACACCAGCTCTCCTTCCTGGGCCCCTCTGCAGGAGGAAGTGCTTGGTTCCCAGATTCCCAGGTAACTTCCCATTTGACCACCCAGACCAGTACTTCTGTGGGCATACTGCTGACTTCCGACCTCCCAGCTTCTCCCTTCAACCCTCACTTCTCCATCTTCTCCTATAATTAAGTTCTTAGTCCTGTAAGAAAATCTTCTTCTGTAACATTCACAGTGGCTTTGCTTCCCTGATTGAACTGTGGTTGAATATACTGGGTGAAAGTAAAAGAGAAAATGAAAGCAAGCAAAGAAATTTTAAAGAAATATTCCAAGGTGTTAAAATATGGTATCTGGCACAAAATGAAAAATCAAAAAACACTGGCTGGATGGGATGGATGGATGGCCAAACAGTATCGCAAAACAGGAATCCTTTTAGATATGATTTTTTTTAAGAACAGAAAAATCCCAGACCTACTTATACTTTTCACACTGGAGTTCTCTACGGAATTCTAAATTGTGCTGTTATATATTCAAAGCCATTAAATTATATTCTATAACACACTTACCATAAAACCAGCTTTGCAAACTCTATTTCTCTTTAATTTCTTTGCATCTGTTACAAATATACCCTTAGTTTTCCTCTCCTGAATCAATTTCTGATTCTTTTCCAGTTTCTATGAGAGTGTGACCTACAATCATTTTCAGCAGAAGGTCTTCCAGTGACATTTTTGCAGAATCACCTTATTTCCCAATGAAGCATATTTCATTGTTTTTACATTTATTTATTTAACTTTTATTTCTGGGTCCCCTGCAGGGTTTTGCTCGGCTTCTTCTAAGTTCCAGGTGGGTTACGGATACTCATAATGTTTTAATCTTTGAGGTCATTAACATTCTCCAAAGTAGTCTAAGCCTTCTCAGCATTCTTCAGATTTCCCACCTGAATTAGATGAGCGTCCTGCTGGCTGCAAGGCTCAATTACGGGCTCTTATACTTCATCAGTGCTCAACAAAAACCTCCTGATCTGAATGTTAAGTAAAGGTTTTGGTCTGTTAGGAAATCTCAATAGCGATTTAGTTATACTTGTCATTATACATTTGGATTCTTTTAGGAGATGATGCATTTTTACTCTACTTGTTTGGGGATTTGAATTAACTATTTTGAGGAAATGAGTAAGTTTTCCCCCTTAATTTTATAACTAAGTCAAACACAAGGCCCAAAGAGTATCTCAGGTCCAGTTCATCAGAGGTGGGTGATAAACTGATGAAATGAACAGGCATTTACCCTCAGCTTGCTATAATTCCAGTGGCCACGAGAACCACCTTGGGCTGTGCCTTGGTGTCATACCTTAAATTGCTTCCCACAGGTGGAACACAGGAAGTCTTTGCGGTCCGAATGCCGGAGCATGTGGAGTCGCAGTTTATCGGGGCGACAGAAGGCCTTGTCACACTCTGTGCACTGGTAGATCTTTTCTGAGTGGAAGCTGCGCACGTGTTTTTTCACCTGGTGATAAGAACCACAGGAAAATTCAGGGGACGCAGGCACCAAATGAAATGACCAAAGGCAGCTTGTCAACGCTAGAGGGAGCCAAACGCATTACCATGGGTTTTCATCAACCCCGCCGAGGAATCCAATCAGATGTGATAATTGGCCTCAATAACACATACTGTCCCTGTCACAAAGAAATAAAACAAGTAGCCAGAAAGCCTTAGAAATCCGAACCTCCCCGATGACTTGAAACGTGAGAGAGAGAGAGAGAGAGAGAGAGAGAGAGAGAGAGAGAGAGAGAGAGAGTGCTTGCTTGGTCAAAGCCCTGATCACTTGAAGCCCATTTTTTAAAGATAAAAAGCAAAAGTTCCTTTGGGTTTAAATGAAATCTTGCTAAAAAGGATCTATAGGAAGACAAAAACCAATTCTTCCTTACTTTTCTCCGTCTTTAATCTGCACAGAAGCAATTTAGCCCCTTTTGATCCTTTTACATCTTCTTATAAAATTAAGTTCTGAAGAATTAAAGACATGAATGAGTGGATACAGAAGACATTACCGGTTTGTGAGAGCAATATGACGCTGGCGTCACTTCTCAACTGGGACTTACTTCCCTTACTTTTAGATAAATAAAGGAATAGGGCTTCTGAACTCTCTTAGCCACACATATCCAATGAGAAAGAGCTGAGGATGGAAGCTAAGTAGTGAGTCTTACCAAACTATTCCTATAAGATAGTTTGCTTCATTATTTTTGGAGTTTCTTTTGCCATTAAATTATGCCTTAAAGCAATCTTTCTACTAGTTTGTGTGAAGTGAGAAAATTTCCAAGACTCTCAACACTAGCAGAACTAAAATTAAATCCCTAGTCTTCTTTTCCTTTGGTAATTGAAAAAGTGTATTTTTACAAAATGTTTCGTTATTCACTGACTAGCACAGGAAAATCTTATCACTTAAAGTCCAAATGAAATCATGAGTATTCTGAAATTTATCTTCACCCATTTTGCTCCAACAAAGAATACACTACAGGGGAGGAGGCAGTCGGTTCCTGATACAAAAGTATATTATATACCAACTTTCTCTTTGTTTCCTTCCAAAATGTATGGCCTTGGTTAAAGCAAGCAGGAAACCACAGTAGTAGTAGGGAGATGTTCCCAGCCCCTCAGAAACGGGAGTATGTCTTCTACAGGCTCGGTATATTTTATAAGCAATAGACATTGACATGGATTATGAAAGACTTTTTAAAAATTATAATAGATCTGGGTGTTTATTACTTGTAACTTAAACACTTCAATGTCAATGTCTGATCTGGACAATTAAGGGTCATAATAATCTTGTGTATAAAAGTAGTTTGATTGAAGAAATATTGTTCTCAATTGTAAAGTTGTTTCAAAGAAGGGATGGAAATGCAGGTGCTAGGCAGTCTCGGTTTTCCAAAAATCGAAGTTTCTTTTACCAAAAGAAGGAAGCAGACAGGAATCTCAGTAGTAGACACTCACCTGGATAAAATCTGGGAACCGTTTCTTACAAGTTGGGCAGGTGAAGTAGCCATCATTGATATGAATGGCCACATGATCTTTCAACAAATCAAGGCGGTCAAAGGATTCTGGGCAAAAAATGCAAGAGTAAGTCTTCTGGTCTGAGTGGAGCTTCATGTGGCTCTCCAAGGATGTGCTGCTGATGAAGCCCTTGTTACAGAGATCACAGGTCAGTGGGCAGTTCCCCTCCCGCCCATGGAAGCGTAAGTGCTGGTCCAGTTTGTCCTTTTCCCGGAAGGCCTTCCCACACTGCAAGCATTTAAAAGGCCGGAAGGACTTCCGAATAAACAGATGCTGAAGAGCTGCATTCTGAAAGACATACACAAATGTGATCATTTAGTGATGAAATTAAGAGTGCAACTGGATCACACTTTTACAGAGAAAGAGAGGATGATCTCTGCAATCACAGACTTCCCATAGAAGTTCAACTCTAGGACACACACAGTTGAAAGGAGATTTTTCTGGTGAAGACACTGAAAATGAAGCCATCCTCAAAGAAGCTCATCTTAAAGAGATGAAATTTTTTTGTGTTTTGTTTTACATCTATGTATGTGGGTTTTCTTTTGAAAGGGTTTAAGTAACAAAAAAAGTGTTCCCAATAGAAGACTTGTATAATAAAACAAATCCCACAGTGGAACAGGATAAAAATGGAAGATTTGGAGGAAAAGACTTAGGTTAAGTCACACATGCAGGAATCAGGCTGGAGCAAGTCAGTCAAATGTTACTTGTTGAAATCCATGAGAAAAAGAATTTGAAGCTTGATTAAAACATTTAGCAAAAACAAAACAAACAAACAAACAAACAAAAAAACAATAAAAAGAACTGAAGGGTAGTCCTTGCCAGCGGCAGGATGGAGAAGGAAATGGATACCAGGTTTCTTTTGGGGGTAATGGATACCAGGTTTCTTTTGGGGGTGATGAAAGTGTGCTGGAATTAGAGAGTGGTGAAGATTGCACAGCTTCAGAATGTTCTAAAAACCACTTTAAAGGGTAAACTTTATGCCACGAGAATTTCTTGAAAGGATTCAGATTTATGTGAATGGGACATGAGCACATGTCGTAAATGGAATATATGCATTTCATCACTTTCTACTTAGAAAACAGAAGGTAAGGTTCCAGAATAGCTAGTTAGTTCTACTGGTTAGAATGCCATGCTAACAACGTTAAGCTCATCACACTGTTCCTGCCTCGACCAGGCAATTCTGCTCTTTGTTTTCAGGCACAGATTGCACTTGTAATGCTGATTGGCCATCTTGTAAATTCATGCAATTGTTATAGGGCATCCAAGTGGGAGAGTACGGGTACTCAGTGCAAACCCATCGCCACTACTGGAAAATCTACTCATGCTCTACTGACAGCAGATCGACAAAATCACCTCACACAGAGAATGCAGAATCAATCTTTCAGTTATGCTTACAATGAAGACTCATTCATCCGTTCCTCAGAACACTGAGGGAAAGCTCTAGATTGCTACAAGGGGGGGAAATCCTTCAAGTATATCTGTGAATGGCTGTGCCTATGTAGCTACAAATGAACAGTAATTGAAGGATTAATGGAGATCTTAGTGCGATCTTAACTTCAAATTACTTGTAAGCATCAACTTTTAAACTAAATTTAATGTGAAATCATCATGTGAGGAAAACAAAATAATTATTTTTGATTTAGTGGAATTTCTAGACATAATTACTATGTAACAAGAGATTTCCTTCTCAGGGCTTCTCTAACCGGGCTAGGAGAAAGATTTTTAAGCTGCTACCTACTCACTTATCTTGAGTAGATAAACAGCAATTCTGTGATCTTCTTCAGCTGATGGGGCTGCTTCAGGGGATGTATCATACTTTATTCTCCTTTGTATCCAGATCCCTTAATAAATTGCTTAGCTTATAGGAAGTCTTCAAAAGTAGTTTGAGAATCAGTGAAATATATTTCATATGAAACTCAAAAAAATGATTTCAAGGATTTTTCTACAGCATCTGCAGAGATTTTTAAGAATAGGTCTTTCTTGGCTGGGCACTGTGGCCCATGCCTATAATCCCAGCATTCTGGGAGGCTGAGGCGGACAGATCACCTGAGGTCAGGAGTTTGAGACCAGCCTGGCCAACATGGTAAAACCCTGTCTCTACCAAAAATACAAAAATTAGCCAGGCGTGGTAGCAGGCACCTGTAACCCCAGGGCTGTAATCCCAGCTACTTGGGAGGCTGAGGCAGGAGAATCGCTTGAACCTGGGAGGTGGAGGTTGCAGTGAGACTCTGTCTCAAAAAAAAAAAAAAAAAAAAAAAAAAAAAAAAAAAAAAAGCATAGTTTTTTCTCAAATCAGCCACAGGGCTTGCTTTCACTTCTGTGTAGTTCAGTAGCCACCTCATCTTTTTAACTCTGTCTGGATACTAATTTTACATAAAAGCTTTACTATTTTGTCCACTTTCAAAACTTTACGGAAATATTGCTGATGAACCAATACTATTGTGAGGTTCAAAGATGCAAGATTCAGAGCACTTTTGCCATGTAGGAATCTTTTCCTTTATCCAAGTTCATTGAAGTGTCCAAGAACAGACACAATGCACATTGACTGTGGTCCCACTGAGGATGCCATTTCTCCTTGGGTGCCAAATCCAGAACTCAGTTTTGTTTTGGTCCATTATGCTAATCAGTCTTCTGTCATTTCTGATTAGTGTGAGTACCTTCAGCCACTTGATTTAAACTGAGCCACCACCTGGCTCCACTTTCTTGGCTCTATTGACAAACTTTATCATCTTTTCAATTTCCATGGAGCCCTGAACATTGTCTGCACTCAAGAACTAGATTGTATTTCTCTGATCTAATGATACTAATGGGATGGTCATATTACAAGGTCGTAAAAATGCTGAAACTGTCCCCACCCGTTGACCCACTTGCAGGCCATTTCTGTTCTAAGGTGTCTTCTGTAGCTCAGAGCCACAACCCGTACACATTTCTAGAAGAAATCATGACAAATGTCGGAGAGAGCGCACAGATCCACTCTAGTTCTTCTGCTTTCCTGAGTTCGTCAGGCAATCCACCACACTCTACATATATATCAGCTACTCTAGGGATACCAAAATCGTATTGTTGCTAAATTCTGTGATTTGGGATTCAACTCACATTGCAATGAATTCTAAGACAACAGATTATTTGTAGACAGAGATCATAAAATGTTTCTAAAGTTTAGGGGGTTTGTTTGTTTTTTAGAGATGGGGTCTTTCTCCATCGCCCAGGCTGGAGTGTTATGGCATGATCATAGCTAACTGCAGCCTCGACCTCCTGGACTCAAGCAATCCTCCCACCTCAGCCTCCAGGGTAGCTGGGACTTATAAGTACATGCCACCACGCCTGACTAAAATGTTTCTAAAGTTTGATATTAATGGCTAAAAGAACCTAAATTATTGATCAATTTTCATATTATTTTAATCCTGACACAAAAAAGAAATCAAACAATCATGTTTGTTGATTTGGGGTTTTGGGGGGGTTTTTTGAGACATGGTCTCACTCCATTGCCCAGGCTGGAGTGCAGTGGCACAATCACAGCTCACTGCAGCCTCGACTTCCCAGACTCAGAGGATTCTCTCATCTCAGCCTCCTGAGTAGCTGAGACTACAGGTGCCTGCCACCATGTCCACCTATTTTTTTGTATTTTTTTTTAGTAGAGACAGGGTTTCACCACGTTGCCCAGGTTGGTCTCGAACTCCTGGGCTCAAGCAATCCACCTGCCTCAGCCTCCCAAAGTGCCGAGATTATAGGTGTGAGACACTATGCCTGGCAGTTTTGGGGTCTTTTAAACAACTTTCCTTTGGACAATTTTCTGCCCACTTTGAAAGCCTTTGGTTGGCCAGCCCTGCCCAACTCGGCTCACTCTGCACCATCCTTCCACTGCACCCCTGCTAGGGCCAGGCTCATGTCTGCACTGTCCCAACCACAGCAAGAACCTCCTGTGTCTGGGCCTCTGATCCTATGGCTATCATTCTCTGAAACAGTCTACCTTCCTCCTCTCTTTCAAGGGCTAGTCTAAGTCTCACCTTATCCAAGAATTATCCTGACTCCTCTATTTTACTTCAACCTTTCACTCTTCCAAGTTATACTTTTACATTTAACACCTAACTGTAAACTCCCCTACATTAGTATTGATTTCCTACTTAGACTGCAAGCTCAAGTGAAAATTCTATTGTGTACCTAGCATAGTGCCAAATAGACAGTTAGAACTCAACACTATTGCATAAGTCATTCCAATGGTTTTAGCGCTGGAAGGGACCTTGGAGATCACTTAGTCCTACCCTTCATTTTGTATATGAGGAACCTGCAGCCCACAATTTATTCCTTGATCTATTTACAAATAAATTATCATTATTCATTAATTTGCATTTACTGTAGCAACCAAACTGTGGTTTCCACCAGGATTTAGTAAGTACAGGTTGCAAAGAACAGCAGGTCAGGCAAACAAGTAACATTCTGTTATGTGAAACACAGGAAACAAACCTACCTGCAGCTCCAACTGAGCAGGCAGCATTAGAGGAGAGAAAAATAGTTACATTACCAATTGGATTGGAAGACTTCCCTTCAGTTGGTCATTACCAATCTGGATAGAAAAGATGAAAAAATACATAGCCCTACTTTTTAGAATGTGTGAGAGAAAAAAAAACAAAATAGCTCAACTAAGACTGACCTCCAAAAGCCAGATACATATGGCTTTCGCTTTGACACAAGGAACCTTGCACCAAAACCAGTAACCCTGCTCATTCAAAAATGCAAGTACAATTACGGCTGGACTGTGTTTGTGCATCCACAACTTCACTGCATGTGTGGGCTTCGGTTTTTTTTTTTCCTTCCAAAAAAAAAAAAAAAATCTAGCAAGGGTTTCTCTGGACTTAGTAAAAAAAATCAGAATGGCCAAAGCAGAAAATATAGTAATTGAGCAAGAGAAAGAAGTGCAGATTAGGAACTAAAGGAGAAGGATGGATGGGATATTACTTCATAGCTTGTTTTCCTTGCTGGCCTGTATTTCTGTATGTTGATATACTCTTGTGAAATAATATACAGTGAGCTGAGAGTTTCATATGTTTCGATTACAGGGCTCTCATAAAGGCTGTTTAGCCTCAGTTCTTAGAGCCCTTCAAAGCTATCATATGACTACAAATGTTTAAATGTGTTTTTACATGAAGGCATGGACTAGACTATTTTTCAAGGTCCCTTCTAGCCTAGAGGCAAATAAGAAGACCAAAAGAAACATACGCTGAACGATCATGCATGTAGAAATTGTAAAGCCTGGGAAGTTATACAAAATGTCTCTTTCATCTACTGGAAAGTACCAATATGTCTTTATGCACTCAGCTGCCATAAACATGGGTTGTAAGTCATTGGTTTTTATCAGCACAGACACTTATCCCACAAAGCCATATTGTTTTCCACACGAATCCCCTGCAGTTCCTAACTCAGAGTCAAATGCTATTTGTGAAATAATAAGAGAAAACGCATCTGAACTGCAAGTCAGGAAAGCCCTGCAGCCGCATGGTCTGAGGCCAAGACACAGGTCCCGTGACTCAGACACTGACTAACTCTCGAACTGACAGCTTTGGCTCAAGCTATCCGCAGGTGTGTGAACTGTACCTGCCATATCAACTTGGACACAGGTCACTTTACATTGATGAGTAATGACATTTGCCATTCTCCCCTGGGAAGCTGTAGATAAGCACATTTAGTTACCCAAAATCAACTTGAGAGCTATGATTAGGCACAAATTAGCCTGGTTTAAAATATAAATGATTATTATAACTAAATGTACTTATTTCTCCACTTCCAATCTGTGAATTGAGGGATGCAGAGAGCTAGTCCAGGAGCTGCCAACCTCTAGGCCTCTGTGTCGTCACTAAATTGGTCAAATCTAGGACCAGCCATGCCAGCCTGCCATGGGACACAGAGACATTGAGAAATAGTGAACACTTTCTTTCAAAATAAGGGGATCGAGCATGTGACAGGCTAGATGCAAGATTTCAGAGAGGAAGGTGAATAGGTTAGAAAACCACCAGAGAGCTGGTGGTGGGAGGAAGATGAGCGGCTGGTGCCAGGAGCCGCCGGCTTTCCCCACTTACTCGGATGCGCTTGGCTCTGCGCATGTCGTCGGCTGTCAGCGTGCTCTGGGTGGGCACCACGCTCTCTTCATGCTGCGGCTGCAGGTGCAGGGTGTGAGTTTCTGGTTCATGTTCCAGGGAAGACTGGGTTTCCTGTGGCAGCTGAGGGATTGGGATAGTGGTCTGTTCTGGTTGATCCAGCCCATTCAGAGTGGCTGGTTCAGCCTCATCAAATTGCTCCTTTGTGGGAAAATGTAGCAAGTCCTGAAATTTGCAATAACCAGGAATAGAGATCAGTGCCGGAGGGACTGTCAGCTCAGATTTAGAATTGCTGCTTATTTCAGAATGACTAGATTCATAATACTCAGAAAAAATATTCTCCCTCTGGGAAAGTTAATTAGGTAACTATGCACAGAAGGCAAAAGCAGGAGAGGTTCCACACCACTTAACAAGGAAAAGACTGTGATCTGACTTTTCTGGAATATCAATAATTTTAATTGTTTAAACTAATTAAACAAAGTCCACCTCTACTAACTCTGGTCAATTTTATTTATTTATTTATTTTTATTTTATTTTATTTTATTTTTTTTTTGAGACGGAGTCTCGCTCTGTCCCCAGGCTGGAGTGCAGTGGCGCGATCTCGACTCACTGCAAGCTCCGCCTCCCGGTTCACGCCATTCTCCTGCCTCCGCCTCCCGAGTAGCTGGGATTGCAGGCGCCCGCCACTGCACCCAGCTAATTTTTTTTGTATTTTTAGTAGAGACGGGGTTTCACCGTGTTAGCCAGGATGGTCTCGATCTCCTGACCTCGTGATCCGCCCACCTCGGCCTCCCAAAGCGCTGGGATTACAGGCATGAGCCACTGCGCCTGGCCAAGTCCGGTCAATTTTAAATCTTTAGAGCAGCAAAGTTGGGTTTTTGTTGTAGGTAACACTTGAAAATACATTCTTTTCTGGCATTATCCAATCATTCTTTAATTAACAGGCAGCAAGGTCTGATAGGAAAGGTCTACAAACATTGGGAAGGTCTTTGTACTTAGGTCTCGTCAGGGATCTGGCGAGTCCTCCACACAAGCACCTAAGGAGGGCTCCTTCCCGTCCCCCCGTACCTGTGTCCCATCGTCACTCTTTTCCCCATTTTCGCTGGTGATTTCCAGGCGGATAAATTTTGGAGGACGCCCCGGCCGTCGACCTGGACCGAATCGCCTCTTGCCTCGTCCCCTTCCTCTGCCTCTTGTTCTGGGGACAAGAGATTGGGTTACAGGTCGTCATGGTTACATAATACTCCATAACAAGTAGCGACCTAAATGATCCTTACTAACCCCAGAGTTTGATTCCTCTCACCTTATTACTTTCCCAGATTTTCTCCAATAGAAACAACTGTTTTACTAATATACACTTTCTGAATGTCTCATCCTTCCCCTCTATTACAGCTTAAAGATATGTCTTCAATTATTCTGAAGAAAAGAGCTATAAAAATTCAAAGCACTGACAATATTTTGCTTCTGAAATGATGTGAGAAAGGCAGACAGGACAGAACATGCTAAGCCTTTGAGCGTGTTCCCAGGAGATGTCATCTGAGACAAGATTCCCATTATTTCTCTCTTTTTCCCCTGGCCTCGCCTCATATTCCTTCCAAGAAATGTGGCCAAATTCAAACAACTTTCTTGTTTTACTACAAGCTTCTGGAAGGTCAGAACAAATTTCTAATTCAATTGTTTCATAACATGCCTAGTAAACATCAATTAACTTTTGCATCCCCTTTAATGGACTTTTTTTTTTTCTCTTTTTGAGGCTAGGTCTTGCTCTGCTACCCAGGCTGGAGTGCAGTGATGTAATCATGGCTCACTGTGGCCTCAACCACCTGGGCTCAAGCGATCCTCCCACCTCAGCGTCCCAAGTAGCTGGGACTACAGGCATGTGGCACCACGCCCAGCTAATTTTATTTAATTTTTTGTAGAGATGGGGTTTCACCGTGTTGCCTGGGCTGGTCTGGAACTCAAGCAATCCTCCCTCTTGGGCCTCCCAAAGTGCGGGGATTACAGGCATGAGCCACCATGCCTGGCATGAATTGCCAACAAACACAAATTCCTTAATAAAAGAGGCTTAAAAAAGTAGGTTATGAAAGCTTCTTTTAGAAGATATGTATGTGGGAAGTGTACAATGTCAATCAGATCAAATTTTATTCTTCCACTCATCCATTTAATAATTTAACAAATACTATATATTTTTTCCAGGAACTTTTAAAAGACTCTTCATGTTGGAAAATTCTGAACCTAGGTGAATGTAGAGACTAGCACGATGAGCCCAATGTACCCATAACCCAATTCCAACATTTTTCAAACCATGGCCAACATTTTCCATCTATATCCCCACCACTTGCCCACACACATACCCAGTAGATGACTTGGAAGCAAATCCCAGATATCTTTTCATCTCTAGATATCTTGGCATGTCTCTCTGAATCATAAGAACTCTTTATATATATATGACCACAATACCATTATCACACCTGAGAAATATCTGAGAGTTGCTGAGTATTATTATATCTAGTCAAAGTTCAAATCTTCCTAGTTGTCCCAGGTTTCTCTTAACAGTTGGCTAACAAACATATTACCTACTGTGTATCACATACTGGGCTAGGCACTAAGGACATCAGATTACAGGCAACAGATTTTACCCTCAGGGGTCTAGAAAAGGGAGCTGGCATATAAACCAAAAATCACAATATAATATAAAAAATGCTACAATAGAGCCATGAACAGAGTTTTGGAGATTCCCAGGAGTGACTCAAATCTCACTGTGTCCACCCCCTCCTTAGACATTTACCCCTGTGGTCACATTCTAGACCCTGTCACCCTTGTAAGCCTCTTCATGCCAATCCCATGCACTGCCCACTCGGACACTACCCTGGCTCTGTAGTTTACTCCCTCTAGTACCCAGCACTCAGCAACCCTTCAGCCACGCGAGCATCTCCAGTTCAATCCTTCCGGTGCTTTCGTGCAGCTCTGCATCACTGCCTTGATGTTCTCTCCCCTTCTTCCACAGCATACGCTCCAAGGTCATCCACTGGAACCACTCCCTCGTGCGTGCTCTCAGTTCCCATCCCATGGCTGCTCTGTTTTCTCAATGTGTGTTATGAGCACTTGGCAAAGCCACAACCCTGTGTAATTCAATTCCCTGCCTGCTCTGCACCAGCATCCCTGCAGCTGAATGAAGCTGGAGAAAACGCACAGCCATGCTAGTGGGCTCACTTTCATTTCATAACCATGAACCCCAAGTGGGCATTTAATAGAGTGGGCAATTGTATGGTACTTCCCTAGAACATTCGCTTTCCCACTTACCCAACTACCATCTCACACATCTCCTCTCTTTCCAAACCCTAGAAAAGCTGGCAACCCTACATCTGTCCCCCTGGCATGAGCCTACTCCAAACCACCCTCATTCCTCCCCCAAACTATTGTGATAGATGCTAACAGGACTCCTTGTCTTCACTCTTACTCTAATATAAGCTAGTGATTATTTTTTTCCAGGTGTTATTTTTATCCAAAATGGTTTTCAAAAAAAAAATACAATCAACATCACAATACTCCCCGACCAAAACCCTCTAAAGACTTCTCATCACACTTGGAATAAAATCTAAATTTCTTACCATTTCCCATAAGGCCCTACCTGATCTGGCCCCTGCCCACTTCATCCCATATGATTCTCCCCTCATCTGTCTTTTTTATATAGTGGAATTAAACATATGACTTGGTTTGATTAAGTAATTGTACTGCTGAAAAAAGTCTGAAAATCAGAGATGCAGATTATTTTAAAGGTATGTCCTATCTCAAAAATTCCTATTTCGGAATCTCCAATTAAGGGAGATTTACCTAAGGTGAAAGCATCTCCCATTGCTGGGTATTGGTTATGCTGGAAAAGATGGATAATAGTAAATGAGGAGCAGAGGGAAAAGGAGATGACAGGTAACACCGTTCCCTCAGTAGCCCACCTGGTTACCTATCTATACATGACACTCGGAGACACTCATTAGCTAGTGGACAATATAGAAATGATTCTGAACCTTTATGAACTCAGTCTGTGAGCATTTCTCCCTCATACATACCTGCTAAACACATCTAGTTTCTCATCATGAGAATTGAGATGCTGTTGCAACTGCTCCGAGCTTATAAATCGGCGGTTACATTCATAGCAGGGCCAATTCTTCTCTTGCTCTCGAAGAACTACAGTCACAGGAGAGAAATCATAAAGGCTGATGACCAATAGACACCAGTAAAACTCAAAAGTCTGCGATCCCCACCATTCTTATCTTGCTGCAGCCCAAAGAGTTCATAACTATATAGTATCTGCTATTTGCATTACTGTTCTATCAAATCAAAAGCTAAAATTTGGCAGAGAGTTGCTTTTTAGGATCTTATTTTCTAATGCATCCATACAAGACATCAAAGGAACAAGTACCCTCACATCACCCTCTCACAGTCCTCAAAACACACACACAACTTCACCACACCGAAAACACATAAGATGTTACAAAGATCTGTGTTCAGATAACCTAGCGATTCAGACCCAGGTTTCCTAATCTGAGGGTATATTTTAGCACAAATAACTTAAAAGTCAATGCCCAGTATAATTAGTTTAGCAAAATGTTCAGAAGCATCCCCTAAGTTGAATATAGGCATATCCATGACCCAGCAACTCCACTCCTACATACATACCCAACAGAAATGTGCACATATGTTCACTAAAAGACATATAAGAATGCTCACAGCAGCACTCTTCAAAATAGCCAAAAACTAGAAACAATCTCATCATGTAATAAGGAATCTTCCTGGTCTTTGTCCCTAGTTGGTAACCTTTAAGTCACTGGAATTTCCTGAGTAACAGGAGTGTCTTTGTTATTCACGGTGTCCCACCTCACAAACATACCCAAATTTATTCTAATGAGATGCTTCAGAGCAGGGACAGGCCATGCAGGAAAGCTCAACCTTGTAATTAGAAATGTGGGGCTTTGAGCCAGGGGTTATCAGCCTGACCTCATGGAAGGAGGGAGAGAAGGGGGAGCTGGCAGTCAAGCTTGATCACCCGGCCAATCATTGAATCAGTCATGCCTACGTAATGATGTCTCAATAAAAATGCTGGACACTGAAGCTCGGGTGAGCTTCTATGGTTGGGAATCATACATCAATGTACCAGGAGGGTGGTATGTCCTGAGGACATTTTGGGGCCTCCCAGACCTCACCATATGCATCTCTTCATTTGGCTGGCCCTAATATATAAAAATCATACATTTTTATATATTAGCTATATAGATCTATATATTATAATAAATATAAAAGATTATAACAAAATGGCCACCGTTAAGAATAGTCCTTTTTCGGCCGGGTGCAGTGGCTCACGCCTATAATCCCAGCACTTTGGGAGGCCGAGGCAGGCAGATCATGAAGTCAGGAGATCGAGACCATCCTGGCTAACACAGTGAAACCCTGTCTCTACCAAAAATACAAAAAATTAGCCAGGCATGGTGGAGGGCGCCTGTAGTCCCAGCTACTCGGGAGGCTGAGGCAGGAGAATGGCGTGAGCCCGGGAGGTGGAGCTTGCAGTGAGCCGAGATCACGCCACTGCACTCCAGCCTCGGTGACAGAGCAAGACTCCATTTCAAAAAAAAAAAAGAATAGTGCTTTTCCGAGTTCTGTGAGTCATTCTTGTGAATTATCAAACCTGAGGAGCTACTGGGAACCTCCTAACCTGTAGCTAGTTGGTCTGGGGCTTGGGAGCTCCAGAGCCTCCAGCTGGTGTCTGAAGTCAGGGGTGTCTTGACCACCCTGAGCCTGTGAAACTTGACCTAACTCTGGATAGTTAGTGTCAGAATTGCATTTCACAACCAAATCTACAGTAAAATGGATACATCAACTGTTTTACATTCATACACTAGAATACCAAATGAGAATAAATAAATTGTATACACAAATGTGGATGAATCTCACAAATACCATGTTGAGCAAAAGATGCCCAGGCACAAAAAGTGTACATATCATATAATTCTATTATGCACAATTTGTTAACAAGCATATCTTATGTGTGGTACTAGAAGTCAGGAGAGAGTTACGCTTGGGAGTGAGTAGGAATTAGAAGGCAGCACAAAGAAACTTCTAGGGCACAGTAACGCTGTTTCTTGATCTGGGTGCAGGTTACATGGGTGTGTTCACTTTGTGAAAATTTAAGCCATATACTTATGATGTGTGCAGCTTTCTGTATGTAGATTATACTTCAGTGACATTTGCATTAAAAACAAAGCCAATGCCTGCCTTGGTATATCCTCAGAGATGATAAAATCTGGATAGGAATCGTCCTCTGATCTAGGTTCTAATTTGGTATTTGGAAGTCTTCATTATATTAAATATTATTTTCCAGCACACATGAAAGAAATGTAAATGTCATTGTAGTTTGACACTGAATTAGATGGAGATGTGTGTCTCTAAAAAACCTACTGGAAT
Source organism: Homo sapiens (assembly GCF_000001405.40). Taxonomy (NCBI): domain Eukaryota; kingdom Metazoa; phylum Chordata; class Mammalia; order Primates; family Hominidae; genus Homo; species Homo sapiens. The sequence goes on from NC_000011.10 coordinate 129,937,490, forward strand.
AACTTCTGAAATATACTGAGACAAAAAAAAAATTAGAGGTTTCATAAAGATGTGATATATACAATTTAGAATTCATATAGAAAATGTAAAACATAAACGTCTAACCACCTTTCCTTTCTTCCTCAGAAATGTCATGAATTTTCTGGTTCACGAACTCAGCATAGGATGCGGCATACCACACCTGCAAGAAGCAAGTATATCATCAAGAACTGGGGACATCACCAGATGTTCTTTGCATGCTTAAATTATTTCTCCTGCTTACAGGAAACAATTCAGGCTTTTCCACAGCCCATTAACAATGGAAAAAAAGATCATGCTGTGAGCTCCCCTTGCAATACCTTTCCAGCAGATCAGTCAGGAAGTTCATTTGCCAAGACGCACTGCCTGTTTTCTTTTTCAGAAAATGGTTTCTGTTACTAGAATAACTTCACAAGAATTATAATCATAGTCTCTTCAACTAAATAAAACAGCCTCCCCTGATTTCTTATCTATATTTAAACACTGGTTTTTACAGGGTTGTAGTCATAGTGGTTGCCACCAAACAGCCCTTACTGGGGTCACCAATGACACCTTCCAAGGCAACCACCTTCTCCCGCCCACCCACTGGCTACTTCTGCTCACTCTGTTGGCCTCTTTTTTTTTTCTCCCTAACTTCTAAATATTGGTGTGGCTCAAAGCTTAGTCAGAGTGTAGGGACTTCTTATTTTGACCTCAGGTGGCCACATTCATTTCCAACCAACTCTATGCTAATGAATCCCAAATTAATATCTCCATCCCAGACTCTCTCTGTTCCCTCTGAGTGTGTTTGACTGGATGTTTTAGATGTCTCACAAACAGATCAAACTCAGCATGTCCAGAATGGAATTCTCAATGCTTTCCAACTCACACCTCCACCCATCTTCCCCATCTTGATGAATACCTTCCACCCAGTTGCTCAGACTTGAAACCTGAAAGGTGCCTTTGATTCCTCCGCTTGCTTCTATATGCCTTTAGCAAGGACTACCGCTCCCTCGATTGTTCTCCATCCCCGCTTTTGCCACCCTGATGCATGCCAAGACCATTTCTTGCCTGGATGGCCACTTGGCCTTCTGACTGGCCTCTCCTTTTCTCTGCAATTTACACAGTAGCCAGAGTGGTCTCCTCAAATCCCAGTTACCCCAGTTGGATCATTACACATCATATACAGGCATCAAAATATCACGTGTATCCCAAAAATATGTACAACTAACATGTATCAATAAAAAGAACACACAATCAGATCTTGTCATGCAGGCAACGGCTTCTCGTCTCATAGTAAACCTGAAATGTTTGTGATAATCTCCAAAGGGCTCCACAATCTCCCCAACCTGGAAAAGCAAACTCAGCCCTTGTCAGTCTCCCTGACCCACGCTTCAGTCAACAGGGCCTGCTTTCAACTGCTCAAACATGCCAAGTGCTTCACCATCCCAAGTCTTCAGCCCTGCTGTTTCACCCCCACAAGTGCTGGGCTCTTTGCCCTCACCCCTGCCCTAACCCTCTGTAGTGCTGGCCCCATTCCATAGTTCTCAGCCTCAGTAGAGCCTCGTCAGCAGGGCCTTCCCCAACCATCACATCAAAATCGGTCCCTTTCTTGTTACCTGCTCTTCCTGCACCATCTGTTTCCTTCATGGAACTTACCCCATGAGTTATTATTTGCTTGTTTACATCTTTCTGTCCATGTCTGCTCTAGAATACAGGTTCCCTGAACATAGGGAGCTGGTCTATGTTTTCTAGGGTCTCAAACACAGTAAGAGTTCAATATATCAATTACCAAATGAATTAATCATATATGATTTTTACGGATTATTTTAAATATATGGAAATATTTATAAAGACATTTTATTTTTTACTGTGGAATAATAGTCTACATAGTCTGTATTCTATAATTTAATTAACTACGCCCCTGTAGTTGCACTTTTAGATGGATTATCATTTTACTATTATAAATCCTACCCTGATCAATTCCAAGGTGTATTTTTAAATATTTTCACAGGTCAGAAGTCAGGATGTGTTTCACACTCTAGGGCCTTCTACAGTCATGGCCACGATGGAGCTCTTGCTACCTGCTCACTGCTCCTGCACAAACCTGGTCAAGCTCTTTGTACTGTTCTCACCTCATTCAGCTGTAAGCCCACTGACACCCCATGAGTGAACACGTGCCAAGCAATGCAAATGAAGGCCAAAAAGATCTGCCATTTCCTTCAGAACAAACACAAGAAATCTGAAAGCCATGCAAGGCTGGCGTGCATCCTGCAGGGCTTCTCAGTAAGGCATCAGCTGTCAGAAACTTCCTACAGGCTTGATCCAAAGCCTCTCCACTTCAAGGATACGTGAGTCAATTGAGGAAAAAGACACAGATGAGTTCAATCAAATGGGAAAGCACAGTATCAAAACTTGCAGGAAGGTGATCAGTGGCTTGAGGGAACATCCCAGGGGCAACAGCAGAACACTTATTTTTAAAATATTGCAGCTGCTTCACATTCTCAATGGCACAGAAGATGACAGCACACAGAAAGGCACAAACATCCACAATGAAGTCAAACAGTGATGCAGGAAAAAGAATTCAGGCTCTGCACACAAAGTGGTTTATACCTCAACCAATTTATTTTGCTTCAGTGTGTCTTTTTATGAATGCACAAGTATGATGTAATTTTAAAATTATGTCAAAATAAGTCTAAAATAGCTCCTTCTAACCATTTTTTATTTTTAAAAAGCACTGTAATAGGTAGCTTTTTTTCTTAATGGTGCATAAAATAATAGTGCATCCTAAAATCATTGGTATCAGGGTCAGTGAAATACAGTAGAGTCTAGTACTGTCTTCTTTTTATAACTATTTCCTCTGATTAACATTCAATGATTAGATTTACTCAGCCAAGAATATTTTTGCTATATACTTCCAGAAATGTTTTATGAAATGCAATTCTACAATTGACATTCCTATTTTTTCAACATTCACATTCATTGTACTGTATCCATTTATTTTTGCTAATTTAAATATAAATAGTAGCTCATAGTTATTTTGACGGTTTTAAAAATTATTAATGTTGAAAAATTTTTTTAACTTTTTAAAGTTCCAGGGTATATGTGCAGGATGTGCAGATTTGTTACATAGGTAAACATGTGCCATGGTGATTTGCTGGACCTATCAACACATCATGTAGGTATTAAGCCCAGAATGCATTTGCTATTTTCTGTTTTAAAACTTTTTTTTACTATTTGTTTCCTCCTCCAGATAAAGTCAATTCCTGACATTTGTTCATTTGTCCATCTGGGTGCAGTGAGGTCTGTCAGTTTTGAAAGTTGAACCTTTTAATGTGTATTACAAATATTTCCCCCTTTCTGTTGTTTCCTTTTTGTTTTATGGTTGTTCATTAGACTGAACTGTTATATTCTTATTTGTTTCTCTCCAACTTTATAGTTCTATCTACTGGTTTAAAAGAGAAAATCTGCCCTTCACAGTTAAAAAATATTCACCTCAGTTTTTTTTCTAATCAGGAATTTATTGGCATACATGGTATGAGATAGGAATCTCCTTTTACATGTTTTCTTTGGGGTTTATGGATTCTCTAGCTGATGGTTTCAAAAACAGAGGTTCTGCATACCTTTTGAACAAAATCCAGGATTCTTTCTCCCTCAAAAGAGGTATCCATTTCTAATTTGTACCATATGGAGGCACTGTGCAATTCAGTGTTTGTGTACTTATATGATCATTTCTTGCCTATTTTTCATTTATATCAGGAAGCTAAAGAGTATTTTGATCCCCTCTTTTGGCATGTTCTTAATATAAGCTTTATTTTAAAAAAGGAATTTTCATTTAGAATCATAGCAAAATTTTATTATGTCATCAAGAATTATTATTTAGATAAATTTCAATAGTTATTACCCCAAAATATATTTATGAAATCAGAAGTCGGCACATAGGATCCTTTGAGTAAAACATTCATACAAAGAAAAAAATCTTGCCCATACATCTAAACATCTGTTTCCCAACTATGGAGTGTGTAAATGAAGTTAACCGACATCTTTAATCACTCCGTCACAGATATACACGCGTTCCTGTCAATGGTTTGACTTACAAGTTTTTGACATGACGATGGTGTGAGAGTGAGATGCGTTCAAGTAGAAATCGTCTGAGTGCCCATACAGCCATTCTGCTTTTCACTTTCAGTACAGTATTCAATACATGACATGAGATAGTCAATACTTTCTTATAAAATAGGCACGGTGTTAGATAATTTTGCCCAACTGTAGGTTAATGCAAGTGTTCTGATCACATTTAAGGCAGGCCAGGCTGAGGTATGATATTCGTAGGTTGAGTGTATTAAGTACATTTTCAGTTTACAATATTTTCAGTTACACTGGGGCTTATTGGGATCTAACTCCATCATAGGTAGAGGAGCATCTGTACTGGTCTACTCCCCAAAACTACCACCTCCTTACCCCTGGACCTCATGCTTTCACGTTGGCTCTGCGCAATCTCCTGGTTCAAGCGATTCTCCTGCCTCAGCTTCACAAGTAGCTGGGATTACAGGCACCCGCCACCATGCTCGGCTAATTTTTGTATTTTTAGTAGAAATGGGGTTTTGCCATGTTGACCAGGCTGGTCTTGAACTCCAGACCTGAAGTGATCCAACTGTCTCAGCCTCCTGAAGTGCTGGGATTACAAGTGTGAGCCACCATGCCCGGCTTCACATAGGCCCTTTGATTAGCATAAAAGCCATATACTTTTCATTCTATTTACAGGATTATGACAGTGTGTACTACATGGTAGCTACTCAATAAGTATGTGAATAACCAGAAAATGACCCCCCTCCCCCTTTTTTGTTAAACAAACCCACTTTAGGAAAATAAAATTGCAAAAAGCCCTAAACAATCACTCTTGCTAGCAAATAGCAGCACGGGTCAGGCAGCACTGTACCTTCAGTTCCTGCTTGGGCTCCACATTTTTTATGGTTGTATAATACACATGGTGGCCATACTGGTAAGCCACCAGGTTCTGCTCCAGGTGATTCTGGGCTGGCCGTACAAACATCATCCAGTTACAAAGCGTCTCATCAGACAACTCAAACCATAGGTCTTCATGTAAATCCCTTTCTTTCCTGTCCCCTTTATCAAGAGAAACCTGCACGAAAAAAAAGCCACACCAAAAACAAAACAAAACCTTCAATATGAGACACATTTTATAATGTCACAATACGCAAAATATTGCTTCTAAAATTAACTATACATCCTGGCTCTTTCCTTTGTATCTGCAAAAATCCTAGACCTATGACTTGCCAAATGTCAAAGGGAAAAGATACTTTCTGAAGCCTCAACTGTAGGAAAATTAGCTGGCAAAATCTAAAAGTTCATCTAATTGCATAGCTTTAGTTAATATTTCACAAAACATGATAAAAATGCTATAAATATGCCAGAAAATGCAAGCAAAATACTCTCTAGCTCATTACAATTTGCCTCCTTTTGGGGTTTCATTGCATTCATTTATAATAGGCAGCCCAGGGATAGGCATTTCTCTTTACAAAGTAATATTCTTGCTAGGAGATTTTGAGAACACAAAGAAAATCTCCCCATGACAGCAGATGACTTGTCAAAAAACACATCCCAAATATTCACCCCTTCCCACTGCCCTTTCCTAGTTCTCTGGAGTGGTTATCCACAAAGCAAGTAGTAGAGAGGGCTGGGCAGAAACAAAAGGGTCAGCTGTAAAGAGATGACTATAAACATACTTCACCATACAGGGAGCTATTCTTTAACCAGAGTCTACAGGTCAGACCTGTTTCAAAACTACAAAGTGGTTTTCTTGCAAACATTACTGGCACACAGCAGATTACATTAAGCCTACATAATTCTCTTTGCATTCCAGTCAAAATTATTTTAAATAAAGAAAGCAAGCCCCTGTTATAGGCTGAACTGTGTCTTTCTCAAAATCCATGTTGAAGTTCTAACACCCAGTACCTCAGACTGTGACTGCATTTGGAGACAGGACTTTTAAAGGGGTAATTAAGTTAAAATGAGGTCATTAGGGTGGGCCCTAATCCAACAGGACTGGTCCTTATAAGAAGGGAAGATGGGCCAGGAGAGGTGGCTCATGCCTGTAATCCTAGCACTTTGAGAGCCCAAGGCAGGAAGATCACTTGAGCTCAGGAGTTCAAGATCAACCTGGGCAACATGGCAAGACCCTGTATCCATAAAAAATACAAAAATTAGCCAGATGCGGTGGCTCATGCCTGTAATCCCAGCACTTTGGAAGGCTGAGGTGGGTGGATCACGAGGTCAAGAGATCAAGACCATCCTGGCTAACATGGTGAAACCTCCTCTCTACTAAAAACACAAAAATTAGCTGGGCGTGATGGCAGGCACCTGTAGTCCCAGCTACTCGGGAGGCTGAGGCAGGAGAATCGCTTGAACCTGGAGGCAGGGGGTGCAGTGAGCTGAGATTGCACCACTGCACTTCAGCCTGGCAACAGAGCGAGGCTCCATCTCAAAAAATAAATAAAATAAAATACAAACATTATAAATAAATAAGAAGGGGCGATTAGGACGTGGACACATGCAAGCACCGAGGAAAGACCCTGTGAGGACAGTGAGAAGGTGGCTTTCTGCAAGCCAAGGAGAGAGGCCTCAGAGGAAACCAACCCTGCCAACGCCATGATCTCAAACTTCCAGCTTCCGGAACAGTGAGAAACTAAATGTCTGTTGTTTGAGCCTCCCAGTCTGTGGTATTTTACTACGGCAACCCTAGAAAACTACCGTAGCCCCCCAGAATAATTCATATAACGCCTTCAGGCACTAAAATTGCAATCTCGGCCGGGCGCGGTGGCTCACGCCTGTAATCCCAGCACTTTGGGAGGCCAAGGCGGGCAGATCACGAGGTCAGGAGATCGAGACCACGGTGAAACCCCGTCTCTACTAAAAATACAAAAAGAAATTAGCCGGGCGTGGTGGCGGGCGCCTGTAGTCCCAGCTACTCGGGAGGCTGAGGCAGGAGAATGGCGTGAACCCGGAAGGCGGAGCTTGCAGTGAGCCGAGATCGCGCCACTGCACTCCAGCCTGGGCGACAGAGCAAGACTCCGTCTCAAAAAAAAAAAAAAAAATTGCAATCTCCATCTTATTAGTGAGTTTCCATTTAACCAAGTTAAGATAGAAAGAAGAATACTAGCAAACAACTGCTAAGAAACAGGAATAAGAGACTGAGTAGACAACGCAGTGCTCCTTCAAACACTGGTAAAGGACAGGAGTGAAGTGTGATAGAGCATAAATTACCTTGAGGTGAATGTAACAGTCTTTCAGCTCCGAGCCCCTGACGAGAGGCCCCTCCACGGGGCCAAACTGGGTGCGCTTGGGGATGCGCCGCTTGGAGAACACCCCGCCCAGAAACCTGTCTATGTAGAGCACCAGGGGGAGGCTCGCCCTGGCCCGGGTGAGCACCGGCCGGTTGGGGATCGGGTGCAAGGGGCCGTGCTTCGGACACACTGAAGCATGCGCGTTATTGCACTCCTCACACCCTGCAAAAGAGAGACAGTCTTGAAGAAAAGTCCAATTCCTCAGTGTGACTTGATGTGAGGTAAAAAATTCTGACCCGAAAAATCCCCGTCTGCATTTTCAAGCCAAAATTCAATGAACTCCTAATGGCGCTACCCATTCAACGGTAATACATTCTCTCTGGGAGACCAGTAAAAATCCTGTAATTCTCCTCTAAAATCAGACAGAATTTGCTTATGCCTGCCAAAAACAACTAGCAGGCCATGACTGACTTCTTTGCTGGAGAGTCCTTTGAATAGTGGCCACTAAATTTACAAATCAATTACAACATGTCTGAAGAGTAAAAAGAGCGTATCAGGCTAAATGTTGCACTATCTGATGAGACAAAATAGGTGAATTTTATAGTATGCCCATTATCTCAATAAAACTATTCCGGGGCCGGGGAGGAACCCTGACAATACTATTGAATCAATTTTCTCAAAGGGAGTTACAGAAGTCTTATATCTCAGCCTAACTCAAACGGAAAAAGGGTTGTGCGGTCTGAGAGTTCAGTGCATACTGTCTGATTAGATAATGCTAAAATGAACAAATTTAGAATCCCTTCCTTCATTCACTGGGATGACACAACATTTTCCGCCCATTCCAAGAGCACTCGGTTTGCACCAGTCCGGCCACACGCCCTGCCTCTTTGCCAGGAGCACCCACCTGTAAGCTAACCGCCAGAACGAGACAGGTACAGCCCCAAAACGGAGGAGAGCAAATGGACCACACAGGCCATGCCCACAACCCTTAACACACTTAACATGCTTTACCTTACTCCAGCTGCATGGTGACCTGGTTTAGGAAATAGTTATTTTTAATTTCTACAATTCTCAAATAACAGAGCTACTTTGTATTAATATTTTAAAGATAAAGTGATTTTCTGTGCATTTGACTTAGGAGTTGCCTCAAAAATGTAAGAATTTTTCCCAGGTGCAGTGGCTCAGCCTGTAATCCCAGCACTTTGGGAGGCTGAGGTGGGCGGATCACTTGAGGTCAGGAGTTCGAGACCAGTCTCGCCAACATGGTGAAACTCCATCTCTACTAAAAATACAAAAAAAAAAAATTAGCTGGGCGTGGTGGTGCACATCTGTAGTCCCAACTACTCTACTCCGGAGGCTGAGGCTTGAGAATTGCTTGAACCTGGGAGGCAGAGGGCTGCAGTGAACCGAGCTTGAACCACTGCACTCCAGCTTGGGAGACAGACCAAGACCCTGTCTCAAAATTAAAGAAAAAAAAACAAAAACAAACAAAAAGAAAAGAAAAGAAAACGTATGAATTCAAGGAAAACCAAAACGAGCAAGTTCTCTGTTGAACTGGGATTAGATGTGGAGCTTGAACACTGGGCCCAAGCAGACAGATTTTACCACCACCACACAGAAGGACCAGGAGAAACAGGATGAAACCACAAAGCTCTGAAGAGCCTCAGTAATGCAAATCAATGAGTAAGCACTTTGCCACATAAGCAAGAAAATCCACAGAAAGAAACTGATGGTTTCTTGGTGGTGGAATGTGAACCCCCAGCAAGCAGTAGGGTGGGGTGGCTGATCAAGGGCGCTGCCGAGGGGCCAGACTGCCTGAACTGGAGTCCTGACCCTCAAATTATTGGCACAGCCCTGGGAAAGCTACCCACCTCATGGTAGGGCCATGGAGGGCATAAAGGAGGTAGTAGACTCAGGGCACTCACGCCTGGGATAGAACAGCATTCTTAAAAGGCTATCATGGAAGAGGCAAAGCAGCAAGGCAAACTTGTTAAAGCTGAAGTGGCTGAAGAGCGCAGGATCGGGCAAATCTACCATGGTGGTTTGGTAGCTGAAGCTCTGGTGTGAGAGACCTGGGCTTGGCTGCCTGATGCCCCTTCGTCCCTGTGTGACCCCCAGCGAGCTTCCCAATCTTCTGAGCTTGTTTACTCATCAGTAAATCAGAAAACGAAGGAGAGTGTCCCTCAAAGGGCTGCAGTGAAGGCCAGGTGGGATGAAGCAAGCAGAGAATGTAGCACAGTTGGCTGCACACGGAAGGACCTGACGCACGGGAGCTATGTTCACACACACGCACACGTACACAGACACACAAGATGGACACAGCTTCCCTGGGGGAGACCCGTGCCCACACTTACACAAGTCGTGTGGGTCGAAGGGCCGGGGCGGGTCTGGCTCCCAGTCATCCAGATCCGTGTCCTCACCGTCTTCTTCCTCATCTTCCTCAGTGTCCTCGTCCTCATCCTCATCCTCTTCCTCTTTGGCCTCCAGTCTGCCTAGAGGGGTCTGCAGAGTTGCCAAAGGGTCGGACCCATCTACACTCTCGATGGAAGGCAGCACCTGGTTATGAACTGGCAATGAGGCCTGGGCAAAAGTTGAAGGCACAGAGTAAGCAGACATGGACACCTGCTTTTGGTTCGCTGGTGCCTGCTGGCACAAACAGGGCGCAAGGGCTGGCTGAAATCTAGTCTTCCTACCAACTCCTTCCAGGCCCTGGAAAAATGACTTCCATCTACCGGCTGTGAGGAAGAGCTGGCTTCATTTTTGATCTGACTGCTCACAGCCTTTAAGCCTCTGCCCTCCCTCTGCCCCTTCTGTCCCACACCTGGGAGGGCTGCTAAGAAGGCTCAGGTGCTCCCTCCTTTGGCAGCAGTGGGAGAGTCAACACTGGCAAGGCCCTGACCACCTGCGTCCTGACCCCACCCCTAAAACTTAATAAAACCTGGTCTCTTCCTGGCTCATTCAGCCGTTTCACACTGCTTGAGAGGCCTGCCCTGTCTCCCAAGACTTCAAATAGGTAAGCAACAGACCGTTTCGATGTGTGCACATGTGAGGTATCATCAGTTTCCACATCTGAACTAAACCTGGGGTGGGGGTCCCTCTTGCCTTTCCAGAGTAGCCATACCACACTGGAGGGGGTAAATGAGTTGACCTATCCTCAACCACTTGTCTTTTAAAACTAAACACGTCGTGCAACACATGGTTAACAAAGTTCCATAGCTCACAGCTCTCCTTTTAAACAGCTCAGGCAGGCTGAGGTTTTTAAGTAAGAATGAAAGAGATGAGGTGCCTGTTTGTTTCATCATGCTGAAGTCAGTCTCCTGCAAATAAGACACAGTTTGGGTCATGTATTAGGTTAATGCTATCTTATCAAATATCCTGGCAGAAAATAAAAATGGTACCTTAAAAAGTTCTCCTGCCTCCAATCTAAGTGTTATGGGATTATACACTGGCCTAGAATCCCTTTATGCAATCTTGCTCCTCCTGCCCAATTAGCACAAGGTCATACTCAAGCCATGTCCTATTCAATAAATAAAGCAAGTTTTTAAAAATGCCACTCCCTTTATCTTCTCATATGTTGTTTTCCTCACCTAAAATACTCTTTCCTCAGCCACCTTCTAAATCCTACCACATTCCAGTTTCCCAGTGAACCGCCTTTGATGCCTCCAGCCCTCCCTGAGTCTCCTCTGCTCTGAACTCCTGCAGCCCTTGGAGCCATAGAATCCCACTCCACAACAGCACTCAGCATCTGCTTCCACATTTCATGACCTCACCAGGCAGCCTGAATCATTCTGAAATAGTTCTATGACAATTTCTGTGGAGCCCAGATCTTCCACGCTTTGGTTAGGGCCCAGGACTTTCCTCTGGAGGTAGCTAGAATAAGTGTAACCCTTCCGCCACAAGAATCAAATATCTGAAGGCCAAAAAACCCTAATTCATTCAGTCATTTCTCACATGACCAAACTCCCAGCTCCCTAATCATCTTGTTGTCTTCATTTATTTCGCAGTGGATTCCATATTTTTATTAATACAACATCAGGGTGCATTAGTGTTTACGTTGGCCACGTTGCTCTACTGCAGACCCATCCTGAACTTGCAGATAACTAAAATATCTAAGTCCTCTTTTCCCCTCATAGAGTGCTATTAAACCATTTTTCCCCTCATCAGGACTTCAAGAGCTGATTTTTACTTAAATGGGGGATTTTGCATTTATCTCCAGTAAATTTCATTTCACTGCTTTTATCTGTTCTTCCCATCTGCCAAGATCTTTAGACTTCAGATCCAGACATCTCACACATTAACTATCCCCACAGCTTTGCATCCATTGCCAAACACCATCTATTTTGGTGATGAGTATGCGTTTTCACATGAGTCCATCTTGCCTCTCCAACTGCACCTCAGGGAAATAGACTATGGGCTTTGGAGTCAGGCATTTAGAGTAAAATCCTTGCCCCACCCCTTAGCAAGTTACTACACTTCTCTGAACCTCAGTTTCTTTGTCTGTAAAATGGACACAGTAATACATGCCTCAGGTTGTTGTATTAAGTGAAACAATATGTATATAAGGCCAGTAGCAGAGTGTATAGCATTTAGTAACTGCTTAGTATTAATCATTATTATCCTAAGTTCTTTAAGGACCATGATGATATCATATACTTCCTCCTCAAATTTAAAAGATCGCTGAGCATAAAGTAGGTGTTCAATGAAGATTAATTTGTTGAAATATATTTGGCCTTTTGGGAAATAACACCAATCCCTTCAGGCATCTAGAGGAAGTCTTTGCAGTACTCACAGAAACATCCTTTTTCTGCTGTGCATCTTAATCGAAGAACTTATCAAACTCTAAAAAGAGGCTGGGTGTGGCTGGGCATGGTGGCTCATGCCTGTAATCCCAGCACTTTGGGAGGCCAAGGTGCGCAGATCACCTGAGGTCAGGAGTTTGAGACCAGCCTGGCCAACATGGTGAAACCCTGTCTCTACTAAAAATACAAAAAAAAGTAGCTGGGCATGGTAGCGGGTGCCTGTAATCCCAGCTACTCGGGAGCCTGAGGCAGAAGAATCACTTGAACCCAGGAGGCGGAGGTTGCAGTGAGCTGAGATCACGCCATTGCACTCCAGCCTGGGTGACAAGAGCGAAACTCCACCCCCCCACCCCCCAAAAAAAGAGGCCAGGCGTGATGGCTCATGCCTGTAATCCCAGCACTCTCCGAGGTTGAGGCAGGAGGATTGCTTGAGCCCAGGATTTCGAGACCAGCCTGAGCAACATGGTGAAACCCTGTCTCTACAAAAAATACAAAATTTAGCTGGGCAGTGGTGGCACGTGCCTGTGGTCCCAGCTACTCAGGAGACTGACATGGGAGAATCATTTGAGCCCAGGAGGTTGAGGCTGCAGTGAGCTGTGATGGTGTCACTCCAGCCTGGGTGACACAGCAAGGCCCTGTCTCAAATAATAATAAAAAAAGAACTCTAAAGAAACGGTACTGAGTGTGTTTATTGAGGGCCTGACCTGCAACGGCTGTGTAAGAGCGTTACCCAACATTTGAAACACTCTGTCTCCAGAAAGCAGATCAAACCGGTTATCTCAAACTGCATCCGCACACTTAACACATGCTCATTTGACTTTTGCCTGACATTCCACTTCTGCAATTCAGGGTCTTTTAGAAAGTTTTACGGGGGAAGCCAAATTCTGGAAGACGCTTCTGCCTCAGCTTCAATAAAAACAGCATAAAATGCCCTGTGAGGGTGAGGACTCCACAGGGAACTTCTAGCAGTGCAGCTGCTGTGGCCACCTCCCCCTCAACCTCCTCACCAGAACCTGCAAGGAAGTGACTGTATTCCTGCTCCCCATCTCAGAGCACAGCTTACAATACTGCCCCTTGTCCTAAGCGCTTAAGCATTATGCCAGGGTTAGTGATAAATGTTATCACATACTGAACAAACCAAAGCATATGTACACCTCTACTCCTCATAAACTCGCTCTGCAGAGCCAACCTGAAAGAATGAATTCAGCAATTCAGTTATTCTAGTAAAACCGCGATGTATTTTTTTCCCAACAGATGCTGTCAGAAAGACACCGGTTTGGCAACGTGACTGGCTTCTTGCCACTGCTGAGAAAGCTGACATCAAGATAAAACCGGCCTTCACTTCCCCATGCTGGACCTCTTTCCTAACAGACTGTGGCAAAAGGAAATGCTTAAACACTCCAGCAGCATCTTTAGAGGCTGGCTCTAAAAGCGGAGTTTGGATATTTACCAGAAACATGCAAACTGCTGTGGAAAAGGAACGGAAAGAGCTGCTGACCATCATTTCTAGATAAGAACTGTACACTTCTAGACAACACAAACCTTAACACACAACAGGCATGCATTACAAATTTAATGAACCACAAATTCAAATTCAGCTGGTGTTTACTGAGTGCTAGGCAGGTATTTGAATCCCTCTGAGGCCAGGTGATGTTACAACGCTCCTAAGTGGCAGAGATGAAGTCTAAATTCTGACTCTGCACTGCCTTTTCCACTACATCACGATGGCCCTATGGAATTCAGTCTATTCAAGGAGGGCAGCAGAAGCGGTAAACGTCACCCACGCTTTGAATACCTGGGCAACAAGGTAACCAACCACACATGTCCCTGAGGTCATAGCCAGGCGGTAGGTTGGCAAGCAGTGTCTGTCTGTTTCACTTAGAGGAAAGGAGTCTGAAGCAAAACCATTTTAATCCTGTGCATTTTGTCATGTACAATAAAATACAGTAAAAGCAAAAAGAATCTATAAACTTACGGTATACTTTCTCCTTCCCACTTAATACCACTCTCTGTAATTATTTCTGAAAGGACATAATGCATTTCAGGATACAATTTATCTGAGAAGTGAAACATGAAACGACCACGCTGGACAGCAGCACACACAACAGAATGCTTCTTGATTCCTACTGAGACCAATTATCAGGGCAGCATATTTTCCTCTCAGTGTGTGGGGAGTCACACATGTTCATTTTCAAAAACAAAGAGGAGACTATGCCTGGAGACCACTGATGCCTTTCTTAAGGACGGGGGAATGCATACATGAAAAAGGATTCAAGCACATTCTGCCCCCACTAAAAACAACTGAAAATATAATGGGAACCTTTTGGCTAAGAAAAAAACAAAAACCAAAAAAAAAAACCATCCTCTGTGTTCAACCCTCAATCTAACTTTCTATCCAGAATTTATCCAGGTCACCAGATAAACTGACAACCACTGAGGTGTTATAACCAGAAATAAAAACTGTGCTGGTGGAAAGGAAACTACAATGAAGAAAGATGCTAAGCCAATAGTTACACTGTCTTGTAATGTCAGGGTTTGTGGAGCTGAGTACAACTTTCCTTTTGAGCAAAACATGAAACAAGCAGATTGTTTCTGGAGATTGGAAAAGATGAAGGGCCCTTTGAAGTGCAAATGGCAACGAAGCCTTTAATTAAAACTATCCCTTAATATTAAAACAACAAAAATTTGCCTATCGGATTGGCAAAATTTGAAAAGAATGCAAATACTCAGTGTGGCAAGAGTGTGTGGAAATGGGGCACCCTTGTATACTATACTGTTGGTGGGAATACAAATATTTTCAGTGTCTGAAAAGCAATTTAGAAAATCAATTATCAAAATAATTTCACACAAATATCAAATAGAATAGTATTTTATTATACATGAGGTTTATTCCTCATGTATCCATAACTCAGCTCAACAATTATCAATTCATGGCCAATCAACATCTTTTCTTTTAAGAGACAAAATGTCTGTCTGGAGTGCAGAGTGGCTTAATCAGCTCATGGCAGCCTCAACCTCCCAGGCTCAAGTGATCTTCCCACCTCAGCCTCCCGAGTAGCTGAGATTACAGACACGTGCCACCATGCCTGGCTAATTTTTTTAGTTTTTGTAC
The DNA here is from genome assembly GCF_000001405.40 of Homo sapiens. Taxonomy (NCBI): domain Eukaryota; kingdom Metazoa; phylum Chordata; class Mammalia; order Primates; family Hominidae; genus Homo; species Homo sapiens. The sequence continues at coordinate 129,952,702 of NC_000011.10, forward strand.
ATACAGGGGTCTTCACTATGTTGCCTAGGCTGGTCTTTAACTCCTGGGCTCAAGTGGTCCTCCTGTCTCGGGGATCCCAAAGTGCTGGGATTATAGATGTGATTCGCCGTGCCTGGCCAATTCATGGCCAATCTTATTTCAACTAATCTCCTACCTACTTCCTCCCTCATTGGGAGAAGCAAAACCAAGACATTATACATTTTCATCTGTAAATAGTTGAGTACAATGAAATGACTTTTAGATTGCATATCTTATACCTAAAATATTAAAATTAGTCTTTTTTTTTTTTGAGACAGAGTCTCACTCTTATCGCCCAAGCTGGAGTGCAATGGCACGATCTCAGCTCACTGCAACCTCCGCCTCCCAGGTTCAAGCGATTCTCCTGCCTCAGCCTCCTGAGTACTCAGCTAGGATTACAGGTGCCCACCACCATGCCCAACTAATTTTTGTATTTTTAGTTGAGATGGAGTTTCACTATGTTGGCCAGGCTGGTATCAAACTCCTGATCTCAGGTGATCCGCCCACCTTGGCTTCCCAAAGTGCTGGGATAACAGGCATGATCCACTGCACCCAGCCGTCATTTCTGTGTGTTTTGTGTTTTGTTTTGTTTTTACACGGAGTCTTGCTGTGTTGCCAGGCTGGAGTGCAGTGGTGTGATCTCGGCTCACTGCAACCTCCAACTCCCTGGTTCAAGCGATTCTCCTGCCTCAGCCTCCCGAGTAGCTGGGATTACAGGCATGCGCCACCACGCCCAGCTAATTTTTGTATTTTTAGTAGAGACAGGGTTTCACCATGTTGGCCAGGCTGGTCTCGAACTCCTGGCCTCAAGTGATCTGCCTGCCTCAGCCTCCCAAAGTGTTGGGATTACAGGTGCCTGGCCAGAAAACATGTTTTTTAAGAGAAAACATATTATAAGTCCATATTCATATTCCAATTCAAATTTAGAATTCTGGGTTTTTATTTCATTGGTTTGGTTTTTATATTTGTATGTTTTTCCACTTTTACAAAAAATTTGGTTCTTAACTTAAAATACAAATATCTTCTGTCTCTACCATTTGTCTTTGGGGTATTTATCCTAAGGAAATAATCTGATATGATGTCCATGACAGCATTCTTTATAGTAGCAAAAAAAAAAAAAAAAAAAGGAAATAATCTACATGTAAAATAATAAATGAAGTATATAATAGTATATCCTAATATATAAAAATATATATATTATATATATATAATCCATTGCTTGCTTGATGGAATCAATAAGTATTTACAGAAATGAGGTTGGTTTGGGTCAAGAATATACCTAAGTATTATAAAAAATTATTAAAATAAATAACAATTCTCATTTAAGTTCAAAGACCCCATTACATTGCCGTTCACTGCCAGTCATGAATGAATTTAACCCCAACTTATACAAAAAAGGCTCCTAACAAACTTCTCTATATTTCAGATGATATGAATATAACTAGGGTTCATTTTCTAAATTTTAAAATAGAAGCATACAAATCTTCTACCAAGAAATAAAAAAGCAGAAAGTGCTTCTTCTTTTAAATTTTAATTTAATTTATTTATTTTTTTTTTTTTTGAGATGGAGTCTTGCTCTATCACCCAGGCTGGAGTGCAGTGGCACAATCTTGGCTCACTGCAACCTCCACCTCCCAGGTTGAAGTGATTCTTGTGCCTCAGGCTCCCAAGTAACTGGGATTACAGGCACCCGCCACCATGCCTGGCTAAGTTTTTTGTATTTTTAGTAGAGACAGGGTTTCACCATGTTGGCCAGGCTGGTCTCGAACTCCTGACCTCAATTGATCCGCCCACCTCAGCCTCTGAAAGTGCTGGGATTACACGTGTGAGCCATCATGCCTGGCCAGAAAGTGCTTCTTAATGAGAATAATTTAATTATTAATCAGTCATGGCACTCAGTAATATAGACAAATTACAGTCACACTACCTGACATGAAAGTAAACCTATTTGGTTTTTGTTTATTTATTTTTGAGACAGGGCCTTACTCTGCCACCCAGGCTGGAGTGCAGTAGTGCAATCAAAGCTCACTGCAGCCTTGAACATCTGAGTTTAAGGGATCCTCCCACCTTAGCCTCCCAAGTAGCTGGAACCACAGGTGTGCACCACCACACCTGGCTAATTTTTAAATTTTTTGCAGAGATGGGGTCTCACTATATTGCCCAGTCTGGTCTCAAACGATTCTCCCACCTCAGCCTCCCAAAGTGCTGGGATTATAGGCATGAGCCTCTGTGCCCAGCTGCTTCCACACCTTCTTTATCACTTTCACATTCTTGCAGGAAATAAGGAGGAAGTCATCAAAGCCAAGTAGGATATATCAGAAATGAAGGTAATGGGAAAGAAATGTTTTAAAAGAAAACCAAGAAGAACTCAAATTTTTAGAAGCTGGCATGAGGAAAATTGGAACCAAATTTATATGTAATTTAAGCAAGAATTTTTTTTCAGTATTTAAAAATAGAGCAAGTACAAAAGCTATATCAATTTCCAAAAAAAGAGACACTTTTAAACCTCATGATTATTCTTTGGTACTTGAACAAATACCCTGTTTATATGCTTATTTTAAAAAATTTCTCTGACAAATCACTTTCTATTATCAGATTATTCCAGTATATACTTATTGAAATATGTTAATATTATGTTGCATTTTGCTTTGTTTTCATTAAAGGAGCTGGAGAACATTCTTAGTACATGAGAAACAAACATCCAGAGATGGTGCAGTGCAAAGGGATGGGGCATTCCAGGCGCAGTGGCATTCACAGTGTTATCCCCAAACAAGAAAAAGGCAGTTCGTTACCTGCTGAGCTGTAGCATCCTGTTGGACATAAGCTACCTGGCCGGGGTCTGTAAACAGAGTCTAAACAAACAAACGAACAAAAAATTATCAGTAGCTCTTTGGATAGCCTGCCTACACAGAAAAATTATCCTACTGCTAAGCACCAATTTTTAGAAAAGTTAACTCCCATTTTAGCCAGTAATAAGCTTTCATTAATACAGAAAATAAAGATAGTAATCTTAAATTTAGCTAAAGCTTTTCATTCACATGGCTCCAAAGAGATTGTATAAGCTAACCATCCCAATGGCTAACATACTTCGCAATTTTACTCGTAAGCAAAGCCTTTCTTGGGACTGAATGTCACAGTTAATTAAAAAGGCATCTCATGAAAACACAAGAGACATGACATGAACAAGGGTTCACAGGTTCACACATAACACTGCTCACGGGAGTAGACTTGTGATGAAATGAAAATGGATGGAGATAGACAGGCATCTAGAAGAGGATTACATACCCAAGGATTACAGCTATTTCAAATGTAAGTGCATGTTTATTATCAGAAGAGAAGTAGAAGGAAAATAAATTGAACTTAATGTTCCATGAGTTCTTTTCTACATAGTCAGTAAAGTCATAATTAAAAAAAAAAATTAATCATCATAAACTAAGTTGGCTCATGATGCAGCAAAGCTAACTAGAGAAAATTCTTCGAAACTACTGTAGCCAGGGCACCACAGTTAATATCTCTAATCCAGAAAAATGTCAAAATGTCCTTTCTTCTAAAGTTTTTAAAAATCTGGCTGGGCGCGGTGACTCACGCCTGTAATCCCAGCACTTTGGGAGGCCAAGGCAGGCGGATCACCTGAGGTCAGGAGATCGAGACCTGGCCAACATGGCAAAACACCATCTCTACTAAAAATACGAAAATTAGCTTGTTGTGGTGGTGGGTGCCTGTAATCCCAGTTGCTTGGGAGGCTGAGACAGGAGAATCACTTGAACCCGGGAGGTAGAGGTTGCAGTGAGCTGAGATTGTGCCACTGCATTCCAGCCTAGGAGACAGAGCAAGACTCTGTCTCAAAAAAAATAAAAAATAAGTAAACAAAATAAAAATTATCCAAATTCAGACATTTAGTAACATTGTAATAAACTGAAAGTTGGTCACAGGACATTCTTATATAAACTAATCTTATTTTAATATAGGCAGGGGTATTCCAAAAGTACCACTAAGTCTTCAGTGATTTCATACTTATGTAGATTTGAAAGGCACTAATTAGGCGGGCCTCATTTCTATTTGGGAGTGATCTGAGCCTCTTTATTGAATATCAAATGAGGGCAAATTTTTCTTACCAAGATGCTACTATAAAAGTATGGAATTTAGATGTTAAAGATATACATTTCAAAGTACTTTATACATTGTAAAGTGCTAACAATGTAAATTAACATTTATATGTTGGGGGATATTGGTGTCACTCATTTGGAAGCTATACTGCAAGTCACTGGCAAAAAATAAAATAAAAGCAGCTATAATTGTACGCCTTTTGGCAGTAAACATCTTTGCTTCTAGTACAGCCTTGCAAATCAGTAAGTTATTAAGAAGTGGTAGCTAATAAGCTTAGCAGGACCCTTTCTTACATATTTAGCTGAAATAATCTGTATGTTTTCACAGAGCCATTTTTGGCCTGGTTCTTGATACTTAGGAATAATAAATTCATAACCTAGTCAACTGTAGAGAAGAGCTATATACGAACCCATGCTCTAACTCCTTATTGCATTTAGCGTCAAGAAATAAATCACATCTTCCTCTGCCAAGTTGGTTACAAGCTCCTTGAGAGCACAGATCTTTTTTTTTGAGACAGAGTTTTGCTCTGTCACCCAGGCTGGAGTGCAGTGGCGCGATCTCGGCTCACTGCAACCTCCGCCTCCCAGGTTCAAGCAATTCTCTGCCTCAGCCTCCCACGTAGCTGGGATTACAGGTGCCCACCACCACGCCCAGCTACTTTTTTGTATTTTTAGTAGAGACAGGGTTTCACCCTCTTGGCCAGGCTGGTCTTGAACTCCTGACCTCATGATCCACCTGCCTCGGCCTCCCAAAGTGCTGGGATTACAGGCATGAGCCACCGCGCCTGGCTGAGAGCACAGATCTTATCTGAATACGTACTGCATCACCAGTACCTAGCACAATGACTGACAGAAAGTAAACACAAGTAATTGGTTAATTAGTTAATTGACAAATTATCAACAGATAACCCTTCACATGCCTGTGCAGCTTCCACCGGGTGGATGTACACCAGCGTGTGCTCTGGACCATCCACTGATGTGTAGGAGGCACCATCTGCCGTGTACACCACCTGCTGTGGGGGGCGAACCTGGTCATCGGTATAGACAATCTGAGCCACTGTTCCTGTGTCCGGAACAAAGTGCACCTGGCATAAACAGGAGACAAAGAACAAAATCAGTATCAGGAAGGTAAGTGATCAACAAGCACACCTGGGTTTCTAAAAGATCCCCAATGACAGGAGAATGGGGATGGATACACCTTTGTCTACACCGAGGTGGTGACTAGGGGAGGATGCAAGGACCTTGTCATTGATTTACTGCTAAATGTTAGGCAACCGACTTAAATTCCCCTTTGCCTCAAATGGCCAATGCAGATAACTCTTTTGGGGAGTAATAAGGGCGTGGTTAATTGATCCTGGAAACGACACTGAAGATTCCTGCCTGACAACACTATCAGAATAAAACATACAAATTACTCTGTGGTGTGAAAAAATACGTCAAGACTCAAAAGCCAATTGCTGTCAACACATCATAAGAATTCTATTTTATAACTAATAGTGTCTTTCAGCAGACACATTAAAATAAGGTCACTTTTGGCTAGGCGTGGTGGTTCACACCTGTAATCCCAGCACTTTGGGAGGCCGAGGCAGGTGGATTACCTGAGGTCAGGAGTTCAGGACCAGCCTGGCCAACATGGTGAAACCCTGTCTCTACTAAAAAAATACAAAAATTAGCTGGGCATGGTGGGGGGCGCCTGTAATCCCAGCTACTCAGGAGGCTGAGACAGGAGAATTGCTTGAACCTGGGAGGCAGAGGTTGCAGTGAGCCGAGATCGCACCGTTGCACTCCAGCCTGGGTGAGAAGAGTGAAACTCCATCTCAAAAATAAAATAAAATAAAATCAGGTCACTTTCTTTCCTGCAAGTTGTTTCATACACAAAGGACATACTGGAGGCATATCAGTAAATGCTTGCTGAATCAATGAATGGAATAGAACTCTTCCTTGCCGGGTAGGTGAAGACACAGAAAATTCTAATAAAGTACTTTTAGGGGGTTCTGGACAACTATTTCAGCTGTCACCAGGGTAAATAATTTTCTCCCAAGACCTAAAGAACTAAAGCAGAAATGAAGTTTTGTAAAACACTTTCTGAGTGGTCAGCTTTGGAGGATTGAATTCTTGAAGGCCTGAGCTTGGCACATGGCCTGATGCCTGATATTGAAGGTCTGGAAGCAGATGGCCCAAGAACACATTTGGGAGAGAAATAATGTATGTGTTGCTATCGAAGTCACGCACTCTTAGGGTGGAATCCTTGCTCTTATACTGCCTTGGCTTTGGACCTAACTTTTTAATGTCAGTTTTCTCTAGTGAAGGATAGTAGATCCCCAAGATAATATAAACTAATTTAATCCCCAGAAGGAAACCTAAGAGACAAAATGTAATCAAACACCACAGAAATACAACAAACTTCCACCTCTACACGAAATGATTAGTCTGGCTTCTACATAAATTTGATTTGTCTGGAAGATAAAGTTTGTCTATTGGAAAAATTAGGCTCATATTTAAGCAGGCTTAATTGCTATAAGACAATTTTGTGACTTTCGATTTGTTCATTAACATCAAAGCCTTGAACTAGTTTCAGTGCTTAAGAAGGGAAAACATGTTTCCTCCAGACAAGCTATCCAAGCTTTTCTGCTTGGTCTTCATCATTCATTAAATCAGAATTCCCAGCTGGCGGAAGAACCAGTTGGGAGGAAGGAGTGCCACAGGGACCCTGACCTTGGCTATCTACTATCTGGTTACCCACAGACAGGGCCCTGGTCATGCAGTGTCACAACCAGATTTTCTTTTGTTTTGCTTTTTAATGAACTACAATTTTATTTATAAATAAGATATACCAAAATACATAGCTGCATGGAAATGACCTCAAAATGATTTCCAGGAGAAACAAAACAGAATTCTCATATACTCTGCTGAAACATCAGTGGAACTTTTTTAAGTAATCAGACTAAGACTTTATTTATTTTTATTTTTAGTGACAGGGTCTCATTCTGTCACCCAGGCTAGAGTGTAGTGGTGCAGTCATGGTTCACTGCAGCCTCCACCTCCTAGAGACATGACCGCACCACTATAGGCATGCACCACCATGTCCGGCTAATTTTTCTTTTTTTTTTTTTTTGGTAGAGTCAGGGCCTCACTTTGTTGCCCAGGCTGGTCCTAAACTCCTGGACTGAATCGAGCCTCCTGCCTTGCCCTCCCAAACTGCTGGGAATGGCATGAACCACCATATTTGGTCCATACTGAGACTTTTTAATCATACCAGATAACCAATTTTATTTATTGTATATTTATTATATTGCTTAAATTAAATAGAATCTGCATACTTAAATGTTTCAATGTAACTTCTTGATTTTGATACTGGTACTATGGTTATGTAATTTAATGAAACATTACACGTGTATGTTTACTACAATGTTTAAAAATTAAGTTTTATACTTTGGTCACACATAAAACATGGCTCCATATGACTGCTAATCATCCCAAATTCAATTCCATACCAAAAATGCAGAGATTTGCCTTCGCTAAGAACAGCCAAAATAACATGTGGTTGGTTCTAGCAGCAATCTGAAAGGCAAAGGTCATCGATGACAGCAGCATTTGGTCAAGTGACTAACCTCTAAAGTGGCTGACTCATAATGGAACAACTTTGACTTAGAGGTTTACATTCTGAATTTAAAAAGAAAAGAAAAGGCCACTCACTTTATAGACATACCTGTACTCATTACACACAAAGGACCAAACTACTATGGATAACGTAAAAGAAACAAACTATAGTTTGAGGTTTTCAGCAGCAATAACATAAATAAAGCGGGGTAGTAAAACAGATTATGACAGTAAATTGCAGACAAGGCGGAGAAGCCTATAGCTGGTGGTCTAGCTCTCCTAACTCACGGTGAGCCACATCGATGGAGCATTCAAGGGGCCAAAACAGTCCCTATTCCTTGTGTACGAGTTCTTCATGTCGGCTCCTAACGACTAGTCACTACTAGATAGCAGCTGTATTTCTTTGCTGTCAGCAAACTGAGTCCAGCTGAAAACCTCTCAATACCAAGCTGGAAAAGACCAGTCTTCACCTGTGCGGCATTCTGTTCATGCTCTGCAGATGTCGGCCACACATGCGAGCTTTCATCTTTGGAATCCATCTTCTCCCAACTGGACAGCTCCACGTCTGGCACACCTAGAGCAGCACAGGGTACAGGACAGTCATCTGTCTACCACACGTGTGTTCATGAAGGACGGAAAGGTCTGTCTGCAGCATGCCTGAGAAAACACAGAAAAGGAACCAAGACTTTCAGTAGATAAATACATTTTAATATATTATAATTTCAACCACAAATAATAAAAGAAAGCTTTGTCAAAAAGCAACACGCCTGGGCAAAAAAATGTAAAAATGAAGACATTATTTGTAATAATAGTATAGGCCAGGTACAGTGACTCACACCTGTAATCGCAGCTCTTTGGGGTTTTTTTGGGGGGGTGAGGGGAGTTGTTTTTGTTTTTGAGATGGAGTCTCGCTCTGTTGCCCAGGCTGGAGTGCAGTGGCACAATCTAGGCTCACTGCAACCTCCGCCTCCTAGGTTTAAGCGATTCTCCTGCCTCAGCCTCCTGAGTAGCTGGGACTACGGGCACGAGCAACCATGCCCAGCTAATTTTTTATATTTTTAGTAGAGATGTGTTTTCACCATGTTGGCCAGGCTGGTCTCAAACTCCTGAGCTCAAGTGATCCACCTGCCTTGGTCTCCCAAAGCGCTGGGATTACAGGCATGAGCCACCACACCCGGCCAATCCCAGCTCTTTGGGAGGCCAAGATGGAAGGATCACCTGAGGCCAGGAGTTTGAGACCAGCCTGGTTAACACGGTGAGACCCCATCTCTATTTAAGAAAAAGAAATTTTAAAAAAATAATAATATAATGTATTGCATGCTTGCTATGTTCTAAACACTCACTGGGGGTGGGTGTGTGTATATATAATATCTTATAAAATTATATATTTTGCATATATATTTGTGTATACATAAATGTGTGCATGTTTGTCTAATGCAATCCTCATTAAAAATATTAGTTCTAATTAAAATTAGTTGTCGTGAGGAGAATGAGTTTCTCAGATGCCAAATGCAGGCTCTTTCCTTGTAGACACTAACTTCCCATACCACCTTTACTCAAAATGAACAGCAGAATAATAAGTCTCAAGATGAGAGGAAGGCGGCAAGTGGAGGGAGCTACATTTTCTGCGTAAAAAATTTGGTGAATGCAAATACAAACTTTTTTTCTCACATGGTCAGTGTTGGAGTGATTAGCGGCCAAATAAAAAGCCTTACTAAACTTTAACATGCACAATACCTGCATCTCAAAATCTTATTCCTTCCCAAAACAGGCTTTTTAAGGTAGTCAGTCTTCCCTTTTGATGATGATAAAATGTTGGTATTTTAAAAGTCCACTTGACATTTGCTGTGTGAACAGGGCAGCAGCCACAATGCCAGAATAAAGACCAAAGAAGAAAGAAAGAGAAGGTACGTGAACTTCGAAAGTCTGTGCCCAACTCTGGAAAAGAGAGGATGCCATGTCCATCTTCTGAGCCATCCAGGTGCCTGTTCCTGCTTTGCCTCAACATTATCATTCTCATCCCCAAGCTGCAGCACCCCCCACCACACTTATTCACCCTGCATGCGCCCTACTCTTCCAATCCCCATTTGGGGGGGACTTGAAAGAATGCCACGTCCACCAACAGGTGAATGTAAGAAGAAAGGAACACAAGGGAACTTCATGGAGAAATGGGAATATCCTGTATCTTGCATCTGAATTGAGGTGGTGGTTACATAAGGAATATGTGTGTCAAAAGCTATCAACCTATTAAGATATGTGAATTTTATTACATTTAAATTATACCCTAATAAAGTTGATTTTTTTTAAAGCATACCTTCCTTATATAGCAGTACTATTTAAAAATATATACAAAGATATTCAGGGTGAGTTTCCTATGGTATATAAACTATATCTCAACAAAGCCATTATTTAAAGAAACAAAAGGTATTAAGAAAGGAATAGGCTGGGTGCAGTGGTTCACACCTGTAATCCCAGCACTTTGGGAGGACAAGGACGACATATCACTTGAGGCCAGGAGTGCAAGACTAGCCTGGGTAACATGGTGAAACCCCATCTCTACAAAAAATACAAAAATTAGCCAGGTGTGGTGGTGTGCACCTGTGGTCCCAGCTTCTTGGGAGTCTGAGGTGGAAGGATCGCTTGAGTCTGGGAGGCGGAGGTTACAGTGAGCCTAGATCACACCACTATACTCCTGCATGGGTCACAGAGTGAGACTCTATCTCAAAAAAAAAAAAAATGAAAGGAATAAATGTCACCAATCATCTAAAGATCTGTAAGAAGAAAACTACAAAATTGTACAAAAGGACATAAAAGGCTCAGTAATTACAAAATCAGAGCCCGGCGTGGTGGCACACACCTGTGGTCCCAGCTACTCAAGAGGCTGAGGGGGAGGATCCCTTGAGCCCAGTTCAAGGTTAGCCAGGGCAACACAGAGAGACCCTGCTGAAAGAAAAAAGAGAGAAGAGAAGAGAAGAGAAGAGAAGAGAAGAGAAGAGAAGAGAAGAGAAGAGAAGAGAAGAGAAGAGAAGAAGTCATAACATGTTCCATGTAGGAAACTTTTTTTTTAAAGTTGTTTATTTTGAAATAACTTCAGACATAAAAGTTGTCAAAATAGTACAAAGAATTCCTGTGTTTCTTCACTCCAGTTCCCTGCATGTTAACATTGTACCATGTTTACTTTACTATTTCCCCTCTTTCTCTTTCTTTCCCTCCCTTTTCTCACTTGAACCATTTGAGAGTAAGTTGCCAACACAATGCCCCTTTCCCCCTAAATTCCTAAGTGCCTAATTCTTAAAAACAAGAAGATTTTCTTATAACCACAGTACTACTATCAAAATGAGGCTGTTAACACGGTAACAGTAATATTACCTAATTCACAGACCTTATTCAAGTTTTGTCAACTCTAATGAATGTCCTTTAAAAAGAATACGACATTTTTTCTCCTGGCCTGGGATGCAATCCGGTACTGCACACAGCACGCTCAGCTGTCCTGCCCTTCAGTCTCCTTCAATCCCAAACGGTTCCCTGCTCTTTCTTGGTCTGCCATGACCTTGACATTTGTGAAATGCACAGGTCATTTATTTTTCAGAATGCTCCTCAATTTAAGTTTGTCTGATGTTTCTTCATGGTTAGATTCAGGATATGTATTTTTAGCAGAGACACCACAGAAGAGATGTGGTGTCCTTCCGATAGAGGAATTTGAGTGGCTTGTTTCCTTCAGCTTGGCTCACTGATGGCACAAATGCGCAGGCGTGTACTATGCTAGGCACTGGGGTGCTGCGGGGATCGGCAGGTACAGCCCATGCCCTCACAAAACACACACAGCCCAGAGAGTCTTTTTGTCTTTGTTTTCATTTCTAGAAAGGTATACTTTATTTCTTCTATTTTAATTTTATTTGTATCTCTTTTAATAGGTAGTAAATGCAGCTGGCTCAAAATTCAAAAGGCACAAAAAGGTATACAGTGGACAATCTCCCTACCTGGAATGCCCTAGCCGTTCCTCAGAAGCAACCTATATTATCAATTTATTGTATTTTCTTCCAAAAATTATTTTGTGTGCATACACACAAGCATACATATATACTCTCTCCCTCTCCAACCACAAATAGATGCACACTACTGATTCCATACAAGGTAGCATTTCTTCTATATCTTGTTTGTCCCATGTAATATCATACCTTTCATATTGTTCCATATATATACAGACATTCCTCATTCTTCATTACAGCTGCATATTTTTAATCTTGCATTCATAAACGCTTAGGTTATTTCTAATATTTTGCAATTACATGTGACACTATGATGAGAACTTTTGGACATACATTGCTTTACAATGTATCTTGCATTTTATGTGTTAGTATCCCACATTTTTTGGAATCTCTGAGGGAAGATACTAGCGCAGTTAAAGTGATTATCTATCATATGTAAAATGGAGATAATTTTATTGTGAGGGTGAAATGATGTATGTAACAACTCTAGGCACAAGGTCTAGTACATAGTAGGTGATTAAATATATCAATTTTCATATTTCACAAACGAGCCATACAGAGCTTCAGAATTTTCAAAACATTTTATACTCTTTAAAAATCTAACAATTTGGCTGGGCGAGGTGGCTCACGCCTGTAATCCCAGCACTTTGAGAGGCCGCAGCGGGCAGATCAGCCTGAGGTCAGCCTGAGGATTTGTCAGCAAGTCAGGAGGCTGAGGATTTTATCAGCAAGACAGGAGTTGCTTGAACGCAAAAGGAAGAGGTTGCAGAGAACCCAGATCGTGCCACTGCACTCCAGCCTGGGCGACACAGCAAGACCCTGTCTCAAAGAAAAAAAAAACGGAAAGAAAGAAAAGAAATCTAACAATACATTCCCTGTACATGAATATCTTTGATAGTAAGGCTTGTCATATTGATTTTCCTTTATTAATTTTCTTTTTAACTCCACAATGTTTACAGCCCTGTTGATTTTGATTTACAGGAGACAGTAGAAGAATCCCAGGGGCAGGAGCCATGTTACTGCTGTCCAGCTGGCAGGTGCTGACAGCTCTGGTAACCAGGGATAGACTCTCACCCCTCATCTTCTTGCGTCTCCTACCGACCTGAGGGAATGGACAGCCACAGCTATACCTTGTCTAGAAAACAGCAGCCATCTTCTGTCCTTTTCCCCCTGTCCCAAAAGAGTTAGAGATTTCATTTCCAGGAAGAGAATGATATGGTTGCATTTCTATTTTCTCTCTAATGATTGACTTTATTCAACAAGTATTTATTAGTACTTGGTATGTGCCAGGCACTGTTCTAGGTCCTTAAGAAACATGTTTATCAAAAAAAAAAATATATATATACAAAAAAAAAGATCCCTGGCTTCTTGCAGCTTCTAGTCTAGTTGTTTTTTTCCTGAACAGCATTGTACAGTATCTAAAGTGTGAACTTTACAATCAGACAAATCTGGGTTCTGAGCTCCCAAATCTTCCATGTACTTAGTTGGGGCGTTAGTAAGCCAAACACTCTGATCCTCAGTATCCTCACTTAAAAATCCAAATTACCAGCCGGGCACAGTGGCTCATACCTGTAATCCCAGCACTTTGAGAGGCTGAGGCGGGCAGATCACTTGAGGTCAGGAGTTCGAGACCAGCCTGGGCAACATGGTGAAACCCCATCTCTACTAAAAATACAAAAATTAGCCAGGCTTGGTGGCGTGTGCCTGTAGTCCCAGCTGCTCGGGAGGCTGAGGCGGGAGAATCGCCTGAACCTGGGAGGTGAATGTTGCAGTGAGCCAAGATCGAGTCACTGCACTCCAGCCTAGGCAACAAGAGGGAGACTCCATCTCAAAACAAACAAACAAACAAATAAAAAATCCAAATTACCTGCCCTGCATGGTTGCTGTAAAAATTAACTACATGTTATGTATTTCATCGAGTCTACAAAGTACGTTCCCCCCATGTTTTAACATTTCTGAAATAGGGATCTATTTTACAATCAGTGGCATCTTGCAGTTACTGTCATCCAGGTGGCAGTCAGGACATAGGGTCACTGCCCACTCATGTGTGATCTCACTTCGAATGAGTCATGTGCACTGTTGACATACTGAGCCTAACTGCCACTTTAAATGTCTTCAAAAAGATGACACGATAACTTGGTATTAAAACCGAAAGACATGGGAACAGTAGCAGGGCATAAATTTTATTAGAGAAGCAAATATCTACCATTGGAAAAATGACCTTAACCAACCGAGGCCCTTACAGAACCTGGGTATAAAAGACAGCCCATGTGGATGAAGCTGCATGATGTGTTGTTATTACTGAGATTCACGGGGAAAAAATGGCCTGAGGTTGAGTGAGAAAACAGCAGGATTAAAATTTGCAGAACAGGTAATAGATGCTTAGAGGAGATTCCTGGAGACAGTGGTGTGCCCTCTGTTAAGAAACGCCACATCAACAACGCTCTTGGTGGCATAGAGAATGATACTGTGTGGAAAACCACCCACATGAAGAACTCCGAGTCCAAAAAGATTCTGAAGAATCAGACTCTTGGAGAAATTTTAGGAATATCTTAGTCAATCTATTTCTCTTTATATTTTCCCTCTTTTGTATGCCAAAGAGTGATATGATAAAAATCAATGTCTAAACGAATCTAGAAGAGCTCTTTCAATAAGTATATAATTAAAATACTAAATGACAGAAAGCACTTGTGAAGCCGGGCGCGGTGGCTCATGCCTGTAATCCCAACACTTTGGGAGGCCGAGGTGGGTGGATCACGAGGTCAGGAGTTCGAGACCAGCCTGGCCAACATGGTGAAACCCCATCTCTACTAAAAAAAATACAAAAATTAGCTGGCGTGGTGGCATGCACCTGTAATCCCAGCTACTCAGGAGGCTGAGGCAGGAGAACTGCTTGAACCAGAGAGGCGGAGGTTGCAGTGAGCTGAGGTTGCGCCACTGCACTCCAGCATGGGTGACAGAGTGAGACTCCATCTCAAAAAACAAAAAAATAAACAAAAAAACCCACTTGTGTCAGAAGTACAATTGGCAAGATTTTTTCTTTCTTACTAATGTGTAAAATCACTGTGTATCTTACCATCAACATCTTAGGCTCAATAAAATATGGCAATATTTGTGATCACATAACAACGATGAACATTCAAGAAAGGGTAGCAATTTTTTTCATGCTTGGTGAACATCAAACACATTTTTTAGTACATGGCAAGCACTGGGGAGAAAAAGGTGAGCAAAAATCTCTGCTCCCAGAGAACTCACAATCTAGTTGGAGAGATGACACCCCACTTTGCAGCTCACCCCATGGCGACACTTGCAGGGTGAGAGTGACAGTGATGAAGAGTGAGGGGAATTAGGAAGGAAGGATAAACCCCTACTTTTCCAGCTAGTTCAGCGATAAGGCTGGGCAGGCGCCAGACAATGGAGTATCCCAGTGTGCCAGCCTCCACCATCACCTGCCCTCCTAGGAGTCCTGAGTTCCCATCATGCCCTTCACCCCACAGCCCTACCCACTCACCATCCACCAGCCTCCCCGACAACATCACTAAGCCCTTCTCAGCTAAACCCAACATCCAGAACTCCCAGGGACTTAGGATGCAGGAGCTCCTGCCTTCATCAGCTGCACACAGAGGTGGAGGAAGAGGCCCAGATTCAGCTTCAAAGGTAGATGAGTACCTGGAATCCCAGGCTGAACTACAAACACAATTTCACTTAAAATGTTGTGACACACAGTGGTTAAGTTCCACAGCACTGTTGGTACATTATTAACCTCAGACACATTAAGAAGCAACAAAGGTTTCTGTACTGGCCTCGCACCTCAAATGCCAGACACGTCATTATTGATATGGAAAGAAGTGTACCACATTCCAGACAATGCACTTACAAATAAACTTTTCCGGCTCATTATGAACTAACTAGCACAAACTGTGGGCTCTCTCCCTGAAATCCAACTCTAGACATGCTATGGAAAGAAGTTATAGGGAGACTGATGAGCCTGCAAGATGAACATAAAAACTGAGGACAAAAACGGAGGAGGGTGAGTGCCAGTCTGGGGAGGGGGTTGTGGATGGGACCAGGGAACAGCCCAGACAGACGGGGACCAGGTTCCACAGAAGAGAGGGGGTGGTGGAAGCAGAATTTTTCTGTTGTTCTCTCTCTGATATTACCCTGAGCTCCCGCCACCCACCCCGCAATCCTACCCCCTCACTACCCACCAGCCTCATTCCTAACATCACTAAGCCCTTCTCAGCTAAAGCCAACATCCAGAACCCCCCAGGACGTAGGACTCAGGAGCCTAGTGTGCCAGCCTCCACCATCGCCTGCCCTCCTAGGAGCCCTGAGTTCCCATTGTGCCGTTCACCCCACAGCCCTACCCACTCACCATCCCCCTGCTGGGGTAAAATGTGGCAAAAATTAAGCAATATCTGCTGATGCACCCATCGACACTGCAATATAGAAACATAGCAAACGATGAGTGCAAAAAATCAAATCATAACAACATCAAAAAAATTAACACAGCAGCCAGCTCTGTGCTGCCTGGCAGTGGAAAAACCTCAAGGCAGCAAAAAAGGCTGGGTAGGGTGTAAATAGCAGATGCCAGGAGGCTGGCAAGGTGCTGGGCACTCTCCTGCCACACACTCCCCCGCTGCACAGCTAGCAAAAACATATGTTCAGACAGGAAGCTTCCTCTAGGGGAAAAGGCTTAGCTGACCCAGAGACTCTGGCCTGATACACAAGCAATTGCTCATTTTTAAAAATTTAATATTTCACCTTTCTTTCAACGAATATACACTAGCTATATGATGATTTTTGCTGACCCAAGCATAAAAAGAGTATTCTTCAGGAATATTTATATAGCAATTAGTCTCCATTTAAAGAAATGATACTTGGGCTTGGTTTAAGTGAGTTACCATAAATACTACAGGCCTTGGGCTGGATTTGCACATATTTGTATTAGAGTCGTCTTTGGAATCAGACAGCCTAGCTCCAAAGCTTGGATTTACCACTTACAGCTTTTGGCAATTTGCTTAATCTCTCTGAGCTCCACCTTCTTCATATATAAAGATAAAGAACTAAGAATATTAGATATTTAACAAATAGGAAGGCCTGGCACAGTGGCTCATGCCTGTAATCCCAGCACTTTGGGAGGCCAAGGTGGGCGGATCACTTGAGGAGAGTAGTTCGAGACCAGCCTGGCCAACATAGTGAAACCCCATCTCTACTAGAAATACAAAAAAAAAAAAAAAAAATTAGCCGGGCGTGGTGGTGCGTGCCTGTAATCCCAGCTACCCAGGAGGCTGAGACACAAGAATCACTTGAACCCGGAAGGCAGAGGTTGCAGTGAGCTGAGATTGTGCCACCACACTCCAGCCTGGGTGACAGAGTGAGACCCTGTCTCAAAAAACAAAAACAAAAACAATACAATGGTAAATTGTGCATAACACAAAACACCTGTATGTCAAGAAACAGAAAACACACCTTCTAAACTCATACTTAAGATTAGATTCTACCTGGTAACTAAAAAAGTAAGTGATTTTACTCTGTGTATAGAGAAAACACATCTTAAGATACTGAGTTATAAAAAAGAGGAAGAAAGATAATAGGAAATCAAATTCTATGGCATAGAATAACGGAACTAATTTCAGAATTAGAAGAGAAATTCTAGGCCCACAGTTCTGAAATATGTTCAGATGACAAGGACCCTGAAGACATAGCACCATGAAATATTAATAGCTGACATGTTATGTTATAATAGCATTTGTTATGAACCAGGCATGTTCCCTAAAAAGGAAGGGAACTCTGGCACATGCTTCAACAGGGAGGAATCTTGAGGACGTTACACTAACCACACATATTGGTTCATTTAATCCTCACAATAACTTCTGAAGTAGGCACATTATATCTCTACTTTACAAGTGATGGATGGAGACAGAAAGAGGCGAAGCGACTTTGCCTGGGTAACAGAGCTAGGAAGCAGAGGAGCTACAATGTAACCTGGGCACGAGGCCGCCTAGCCCACATGCTCAGCCACAAATCTACACTGCTTCTCTTCCCACAAACTAAGAACACTGGACCCTGCATGATGATTCCAGTATAAATGACTCCACTAATGAACCATGTAACAATCATACCCAACCTTTTTTTTTTTTTTTCTCGAGATGGAGTTTCGCTTGTTGCCCAGGATGGAGTGCAGTGGCACGATCTCAGCTCACTGCAACCTCCGCCTCTTGGGTTTAGGGGACTCTCCTGCCTCAGCCTCCTGAGTAGCTGGGATTATAGGTGTCCACCACCATGCCTGGGTAACTTTTTGTATTTTTAGTAGAGACGGGGTTTCACGATGTTGGCCAGGTTGGTCTCGAACTCCTGACGTCAGGTGATCCACCCACCCTGGCCTCCCAAGTTGCTGGGATTACAGGCATGAATCACGGCACCCGACCCCCCTTCTTTTTTAAGTGTTAAATGAAGCAAGATTAGGTAGTCCAAAGTTTTCCACCAACTTTTTTGCCAGTTGTTCACTTGTCACATCCTAAAGCTGACTAAAATTGTGTCCGAAATTGGTGGGTTCTGGGTCTCACTGACTTCAAGAATGAAGCCACGTACCCTCGCGATGAGTGTTACAGCTCTTAAGGTGGCACGTCTGGAGTTTGTTCCTTCTGATGTTCAGATGTGTTTGGAGTTTCTTCCTTCTGGTGGGTTCATGGTCTCGCTGGTTCAGGAGTGAAGCTGCAAACCTTCGCGGTGAGTGTTACAGCTCTTAAAAGCAGTGTGAACCCAGAAAGAGCAGTAGCAAAATATATTGCAAAGAGCAAAAGAACAAAGCTCCCACGGTGTGGAAGGGGACCCGAGCGAGTTGCCACCGCTAGCTCGGGCAGCCTGCTTTTATTCTCTTATCTGGCCCCACACGCATCCTGCTGATTGGTAGAGCCCAGTGGTCTGTTTTGACAGGGTGCTGATTGGTGCATTTACAATCCCTGAGATAGATACAAAGGTTCTCCACGTCCCCATCAGATTAGTTAGATACAGAGTGTCGACACAAAGGTTCTCCAAGGCCCCACCAGAGCAGCTAGATACAGAGTGTCCATTGGTGCACTCAAAAACCTTGAGCTAAACACAGGGTGCTGATTGGTGTGTTTACAAACCTTGAGCTAGATACAGAGTGCCCATAGGTGTATTTACAATCCCTGAGCTAGACATAAAGGTTCTCCAAGGCCCCACCAGAGCAGCTAGATACAGAGTGTCGATTGGGTGCACTCACAAACCCTGAGCTAGACATAGGGTGCTGATTGGTGTGTTTACAATCCCTGAGGTAGACATAAAGACTCTCCACGTCCCCACCAGACTCAGGAGCCCAGCTGGCTTCACCCAGTGGATCCCGCACCGGGGCTGCAGGTGGAGCTGCCTGCCAGTCCCGTGCCGTGCGCTCGCATTCCTCAGCCCTTGGGTGGTCGATGGGACTGGGTGCCGTAGAGCAGGGGGCGGCGCTCGTCGGGGAGGCTTGGGCTGCACAGGAACCCACGGAGGGGGTGGGAGGCTCAGGCATGGCGGGCTGCAGGTCCCGAGCCCTGCCCCGCGGGAAGGCAGCTAAGGCCCGGTGAGAAATCGAGTGCAGCGCCAGTGGGCCGGGACCCAGTACACCCTCCGCAGCCACTGGCCCGGGTGCTAAGCCCCTCACTGCCCGGGGCGGCAAGGCCGGCTGGCTGCTCCGAGTGTGGGGCCCGCCAAGCCCACGCCCACCCAGAACTCCAGCTGGCCCGCAAGCGCCGCGCGCAGCCCCGGTTACAGCTGGCGCCTCTCCCTCCACACCTCCCTGCAAGCTGAGGGAGCTGGCTCTGGCCTTGGCCAGCCCAGAAAGGGGCTCCCACAGTGCAGCGGTGGGCTGAAGGGCTCCTCAAGTGCCGCCCAAGTGGGAACCCAGGCAGAGGAGGTGCCGAGAGCGAGCGAGGGCTCTGGGGACTGCCAGCACGCTGTCACCTCTCAAAATGACTGGCAACAATAGCAACAAAGAGTTAACAAAAATTTGTGAGACTGAAAATTCAAAATTAAACAAATTCTATCCTTGATTTCTCTTAAATGAAAGACACCTCTGTCCAGCTCTAGAACACTAGTGTTTTAGGGAGCATAGTTTGAGAACAGATCATCTAGAACAACTTCTATTTTATAAAATCACGTCAAGTTCACAGCAAGCAAAAGGAAACACCAGAATCAGAGGCTGAGACTTCTAACACTCTTACCCCAGGTCACAGTGTGGCCACAGGACTGATCATGGAAAGGATTTAGAGGAGTCTTCAACAAGAGATTCCTGATTCTGCATAACACTGTTTATCTTAGCTTTGTCTTTCTTTCTTTAAGCTTGTGGCCCTTGACTGCCCGCTTAGAGAAACAGTCCTGCACTCTGTAGCCCAAGTCAAGGAAAAGTGCTTTACCAGCCATCACAATAGTCCAGCAAAGTCAGCAGCCTCTGTTTAAGAGCTAATGAGATTCGAGAGGGCAGTGATCTGGACATAAAACTCGTCCTTCAAAAACCCAGGCCTTTGAAGGTGGTCCCCTGGCAAGAGACGAGCCCTCCCTCCTTGTTACAAAAATGTTTTTCACTTTTTTAGCGCCTTTTTCTTCCTTTATTTGTATTTTCTCTTTCTTTCTTTTGTCTAAGATAAAAGTTCTAGGATACAAATTAGCTCATTACAAAATACCCACTTTGAAAATTTTAGAGTAATCCTATGAGATTATAAAAGCTCCGAATAACAACCACATATCAAAGAAAAGCTTGATGCAGAGTAGTGAAGGAGAAAAGCAGTGTCACAGGAAGGCCCAAATTAGCAACCTGCTAGGGTAAAAAGTGGTGAAAATTAAGCAATGTCTGTTAACAGTTCTATGCAAATGTTCAAGGTCTGTGAACCAAAACCAGTGAATTAAGTTAAGCTAGTTGGCAATGAATGAGGACCTGCATAACTGAGCTAAGGAAACCAATGAGGTAAGAGGCACCAAGGTAGAACCTTCCCAGCAAGAACTGGCACAAGACAAAAGACAACTTAGATATGAATTAAATTCCAGATGCAGATTTTAATTTATTTGATGACATTTTGAATGTATACTCCCTTTAAAACTATGTTACACACCATCTTTTGATTCCCAGAAAAATAGAAAAGCATATTTACTCATAATTAAATTGAAATAAATTACGCTGAAATAAAATAAAAATTTAAGCAACCATCTGTTACAATGTCGGTGATTTAAAAAAGCAAGGAAACAAAACTAAATGCATTTAGACATACCAATTACCCCTCTGTGAAATAAGCTCATCAAAGTCCCTTTTCAGCTCTATAATTGAGATGAAACGATTTTTTAAAAAAATCATGGTACTTGAAGAAACAGAACAGTGTAAGATAAAACATCGATGAAGACTCTTATGTAGATATAAAGATGAGACTTGTATCCAGAAGACTTGCATCCAAAATTCTAAACATTTTGGAGCTAGGTAGGACAAGAACTATGTTTGATTTGACTTTGAACTACAACATTCCTCTGCCTTGCCTAGCTCAAGGCATTCCAGCATTCTGCATTCCCAGCGCGCTCAGCAGTGCAGAGTGGAGGGGCCAGGCACCCACTGGAGCCACCCAGCCCGGCTTCCAGCCCCGCCTCCAGCTCACCAGCAGCTGACCTGGTACGAATTGCCCAGCCTCTCTGTGGCTCAACTCTATCACCTGTAATATGGAGACAAGAACAGTATCTCCTTCATAGAGGTGTAAACAGGACTAAATGATATATTATTTGCAAAGTGCTGAGAACAGAGGCTAGACTATGGTAAGCACTTATATATGTTACATGAAAGAAATAATGACCAGGGTCATTTCTGAGACACAAATTTTAAATGGTAGAGCAAGAAGAAACTAGGGGAAAGAAAGGAATACAAAAGGAAAGAGAAGAAAAGAGAGGAAAGCAATGGAAAAACAGAAGGAAAAAAGAGTATTCCAGAAGAGAGCAATAACATTTAGAGGAAATGACATGAGAGGACAAGAGGAATAAATGGAGTGGGAGTGGGGAAGAGTCTAAGAAAGAAGGAACTGGATAAACAGTGAACAGAATAAGTAGAAGGTGAGGGGGAGGGAGAGAAAGAAAAACTAAAGAAAAGAGAAACATGAATCAGATTGTTCTGAGCTAACTAGATAGGAATTAGAAGTGACAGTGGAAGAGTCTAAAAGATCATTCCCATGAGCAAGACCTCCTGAGTTGAAATCCACTCCACAGTTACATCTGAGGACCAGGATATGGGGACACTTGCTGGGCGCCCACCATTCTCAGACGCCTGAAGACACGAACGGCACCTCAATAAAGTACCCGATATGCTGCTCTTCAAAATGCCAACGGTGCCCATCCATTGAGGAATGGGTCAACAAACTGTGGTCTGTACATACAGCGGAATATTATTCAGCCTTAAAAAGGAAGGGAATTCTGGCACATGCTTCAACAGGGAGGAACCTTGAGGACATTACGCAAAGTGAGATAAGCCAGACGTTAAAGGGTAAGTAACGTATGGCTCCACTTACATGAGGTAACTGGAATAGGCAACTCCAGAGACAGAACGTAGAACAGTGGTTACCAGGGGCCAGGGCAGGGGAACAGGGAGTTATTGTTCAATGGGGATGGAGTTTCCTTGGGGTAAAAGACTTTGGAAAATGGGTGATGGTGATGGGTGCACAACAATGTGAATGTACTTAATGCCACTAAATTTTACACTAGGCCGGGCATAGTGGCTCACGCCTGTAATCCCAGCACTTTGGGAGGCCGAGGCAGGTGAATCACCTGAGGTCAGGAGTTCGAGACCAGCCTGGCAAACACAGTGAAACCCCATGTCTACTAAAAATACAAAAATTAGCCGGGTGTGGTGGCAGGCGCCTGTAGTCCCTACTCGGGAGGCTGAGGCAGGAGAATTGCTTGAACCTGGGGAGGCGGAGGTTGCAGTGAGCTAAGATCATGCCATTGCACTCCAGCCTGGATAACAGGCGCGAATCTCCATCTCAAAAAAAAAAAAATTTACACCTAAAAATAGTTAAACGGTAAATTTCACTTTCTGTATATATTTTACTGCTATAAAAAACGTAAATAAAAACTGCTGGAGATGGCCCTGGTAGTAATGACCATCCCACTCCCCCATGGTGGGAATGGGACTTCACTGGCACCTTTCCCATCATGACAATGAATAAACCCTTGCCACCCCAGGGCCACTACTGCCCACATTCAAGGCAAACCCTGCCTCCCACTGGCCCTTCCTCTGCCCAGCCACACTGACACCATTCCCTTCCTGCCACCACTGCACTCTCTCCCAGCTCAGGTCAGCAGAGCTGGTCTCCAACCCACCGCCCTCGAAGTGCTGGGAGCCAGTCACTGCTCCTGGAACAGGGTGGCTGCACCAAGTGCCTTCCAAGGTGCCTGGCACATAGGAGGTGAACAATCAATAGCAGTGACTGCTGTTATTGCCAGTGTGCTATCAAACCCCAGTCTCACTATCCCACTTCCTAAGCTGGTGTATTTAGTTGTACTAGAGGTGGGGTCATGGGGAAGAGGCAATGATATTTGGTCTCCTACAGTACCTCATCCACGCATGGTATCTCCAAGGTTTCTCAGGGTGAAGGGAAGCAGAGCAACTAGAGGGTGACATGGAAGGTCCTGTCCAGTTCACCAATGGGTCTCTTCCTGTTAGAGGCCTGATCAGCACAGGCCATCCTGTGGACTATTCCAGCTGCTCCTCTTCTTCCCCACCCCTTGGCTTCCTGAGCATAAACTCTCAGGCTCTGATTCTAGGTTTCCTTCTTGGATCTCTGACCCGATTCACCTTGGGTGTTGCTCCATGCCCTTTATACAAGATTTGTGAAACTCCATACCCCACTGGCCAACTAGAACCCACCATCAAGCAAAGGCTGTCGCTCTGGCACTGTGTCCTCAAGCATGGCCAAGGGGAAGAGAGTAGGTACAGGACCCATCAGAGGGACGGGATGTGAGGACAGCCAACATGCACTGAGTGCTTACCGTGTGCTAGGCCCTGGTCTAAGCAGCTAACATTCATCAGTTCAGTCCATTTAATGGTCACGACAACTCAATGAAGTTGTTTAAAACTTATGTTCAGAAAAGAAATGACAGCACAGAACAATAAGCTAGTGCTCTACTCCGAGCAGCTGCTGATGACCACATGACTGAGAGATGTCACATTAAATCACAGAGCTACAAAATCAGACCAAGAAGAATGAAAATAAAGAGCTTCTATTATGTTCATTCACTTGGAAGGAACGTAATAGAAGGAGAGAGTTTCCATTTAACTGATTGCTGGAACAAATAATTTTAGAACTCAGAAAAGAAAAAATAATGGACTTAGTTCTAAATGGTGAATAGAAACTGGCAGCAGAATTAGTGATGAACAAATAACAAAATAATACAAATTCCAGCACAAATCCCCATATGAGATGGGGAAGCCCAAATCCTCCATAACATGTTTCTCAAATTTTAAAAGATTAACAACCAACCATTAGCACTCCTGAGAAAAGATAAAAATGACTAGTTATGAAAAACACAACTCCCTTGACCTTGCCTGGCAAGGTTCGTTCCAAGAGCCCTCCCAGATGCTGTTTCACGTGCCCCTCACCCCCACCACGTGACACAGCCAAGGTGGCCTTCTTCTCTACACCTTACAGAGAAAGAAGACAGCAACGTCACTTGCTCATTCCACTGTCCAGGGTCTGGCCAGCCTGAGTCCCTCCAGCAGACAGAGCACAGTGCCCCTCTTATCGTACCACTGTGACCCCAGCTAAAGAGCTACTAAAGCCTAGAAATTGGAGCAGAATAACATGACTAAAATACACACACACACACACACACACACACACACACACACACACACACATTGAGATGCAGTCTCACTCTGTCGCCAGGCTGGAATGCAGTGGCGCGATCTCGGCTCACTGCAATCTCCGACTCCCTGGTTCAAACGATTATCCTGCCTCAGCCTCCCCAGTAGCTGGGATTACACACACCCGCCACCATGCCCAGCTGATTTTTGTATTTTTAGTAGAGACTGGGTTTCACCATGTTGGCCAGGATGGGCTCGATCTCCTGACCTCATGATCTGCCCGCCTCGGCCTCCCAAAGTGCTGGGATTACAGGCGTGAGCCACTGCGCCCAGCCTAACATTTTTTTTAATTCCACTAAGAAGTAAACTAAACGTACCTTTAGTTAGGGGAAATATGCCTGAGGAACTGAAGTAAAGAAGCAGGGAGGCCAGGCACGGTAGCTCATGCCCATAATCCCACCACTTTGGGAGCATGAGGAGGGTGGATGACTTGAGCCCAGGAGTTCGAAACCAGCCTGAACAACATGGGGAAACCCCACTTTTACAAAAAATGCAAAAAACTAGGCAGGCATGGTGGTGTGCACCTGTTGTCCCAGCTAAGTCGGGAGGCTGAAGTGGGAGGATCGTTTGAGCACGGAAGGTTGAGGTTCCAGTGAGTGCGGTGAGATCGCACCACTGCACTCCAGCCTGGGCGACAGAGTGAGAGACCCTGTCTTTAAAAAAAAAAAGAAAGAAAGAAAGAAAGCAGGAAAACCAGGCTTTCATAAAGGATTTCAACAATTTTTTTTTTTTAAGAAAAGCTAATAAGCCTTTGATTAGGTTCCAAATAAAATTGTTTTGCTTTTCGGTTAAGCCATTATGGATGTGGGGTATTTCTACATAAACAGAGAGGTCTGAAGATAAAGATAAAAGAAATGAGGCTGTGATAATGCTGGGACACTCCAGGCGTGTCTAGGGGCCACTCACATTGACCAGTTGTTTCAAGTGTGGACAGTGAGGCACATGATGGAGCTCTGGAAGCTCCAAGGCACAGGACTCCTCCAGATGATGTGAGTTTATGCCACTGGGAAAAAACTCCAAAAAAGCCTTCAGAAACTGGGTGAGCAATGGCAGATACATTTCAGAGAAAGTCATGCTTCTGATATGAGACTGAGCTATGTGTTACAGTCTAAAACCTAGTGTGTAGCATGTCCTAAAGAAATGTTCCTGACTTGTCTCTGGCTGTCATCAAGGAAGATACTGTATAACCAGAAGAGAACTGAACTAAGGTTTCAAGGCTTCAAAACCAACCAACCGGGTGAGAAAACACAGGATGACAGAAACAAGTCCAGCAGTGAAGCCCGTCGGGCAGGTCTGAGACGGTGACCTCCGCCTGCTTCTCCCTCTCCATGAAGTGTCCCTTTGCCCTGCCACTTCCCATGCAGAAATCTTCACACCAGGCAGTAATGCCTCCTACTTTCCTTGTGCACAAAGGGCTGCAGAGACTATCAGCTCAGGTTTCCCATCAGGGTGTGGCACACCTTTCTTCATGCCTCCAAGTAGGCACGCAAGCAAATCTTTCTTCATGTTCACCCAAGAAATGTGGACTTTTCCCTAATTCAATTAAGAACTTTTCATGTACCAAAAAACAAAGACCGATCCTCCCATCCCATTTGAGAGTTTGTTAGCGATGCATCAGGGCCCCATCAGGTGCTTCAAAGGGGCTCCTGCCATTCACTCAGAACGAAGAAACATGAGGCTGAGACACTTGTTGGGGGTCCTAGCCCGACAATCCTACATGAAAATCCTTGAGAGTTCAAAAGGAACCAACATTCAGTGCGAGTTCTAAAGAATGATAAACCTTGATGTTTGCCTTTTTCTTTTTATAAAGAGTAGCAGCTGGTTGGCTGGTAAAATGTGAAGGTAATTTCACAAAGAAATCTGTCAGGAGTTCTCTGTTCTATCCTCACAAGATAGTAGGTGGGAACCTCAAAGCACCAGAGTGCAGCACGTGCCTGCAAAAAAACTGCACAAATCCTAAGCGTCCGACCTGAGAGCTGCTCTCAGAGGAAATGCCTCTGGCTCGAGGAGCAGAACTCCACTAACACCCAGAAGCTCCTGTGCCCTCTCCCCAGGATACCCACCATCCTCCCCAGGATCCACCCAGCCTCTGGTGGGCTGCAGAGGGCAGAGCAGCGCAGTTCGGAGCTCACCTGAGGCTGGTTTGCAGTCTTTCTGACTGTAAGACTCAGTCAGCTCCAGGGTGTGACCTTCCAGGGTTGCAAGGGAGACTGTGAGGTGCATCCTAGAGGTCCCTCTCCTTGGTGGATCTTCTACTCCAGTTCCTGTCTCCCCAGCAACTTGAAACTACTGAAAACCCCGCTCTTCTATCCCACTGTGTTTTGACTTGTTTTTTTGACCAGCACAGTCTGGTAAGCAAAGCTCTCGAGGAGAAACCAGTGCTGGACTTGAGGCTCACATCCTCATCCCTTCCCAGCCTCGGATTCTGCCCCTCCTGTTCTAACTGCACGTCCCCATCCCTTCCTGGCCTCGGATTCTGCCCCTCCTGTTCTAACTGCCTTCACAGCCCTTCAGGCCCATCCTTTACCTCCTCCGCCCCAGGAGATCACCTGGAGCTCTGCAGGCTTCTCTGCCTCTCGGCAGCCCCTTCCGACCTTCAGTTCCTTAGGCATATGTCCCCTAACTAAAACTGTGTTGATTTTACTTCCAAATGGAATTTAGTTGCCAGGAAAATGTAAATTAAAGCCACAATGAGATGCACTTTCCATGCACTAGGATGGCTTGAATCAAAAAGTCACATAAGTGTGGCCAGGATATGCTGAGATCAGAGCCCTCACAGGCTGCTGGTGGGAAGGTAAAGGGTGCAACCACTTTGGAAAACAAGCTGGCAGTTCCTGGAACAATTAAACATCATAGTTACCGTACGACCAAGCAATTCCACTGCTAGGTACAGACCCTGGAGAAAGGAAAACATGAATCTACACAAAGACTTAGACACAACGTTTATGGCAGTGTTATTTATCATAGCCAAAAGGGGGAAACAACCCAAGTGTGAATTAATGCAGGAGTCTCCGACCTTGACCCCCGGGGCCGCACACAGGTACCAGTCCTGTGGCCTAGGAGGACAACAGCAGCGGTGGACTCTCATAGGAGCAGGGACCCTGTTGTGAACCGTGCATGTGAGGGATCAAGATGCTCACTCCTTTTGAGAATCTAACTAATGCCTGATGATCTGAGGCATTAGTTAGATTCTCAGCTTCATCCCAAAACCATCCCCAACCCCTTGTCCATGGAAAAATTGTCTCCCACAAAACAAGTCCTGGTTGGGGACCGTGGCATTAGTGGACAAATGCATAAACGAAATGTGGTATATCCATACAATGGAATATTTATTATTTGACCACAACAAGGAACAAAGTATTGATCCATGCTACAACATAACTGAACTCTGAAACATTATGCTAAGTGAAAGAAGCCAGTCATAAAAGACCACATATTTTATTTTTAAAGTCCAAACCAGGGAAATCTATAAAGACAGGAAGTAGATTAGTGATTTCTTAGGGTCAAGAGAGGATGGGAAGATGGAGAGATAGCTAAAGGGTATGACATTTCTGGTTTTTTTTTTTTTTTTTTTTTTTTTTTGAGACAGAGTTTCACTCTTGTTGCCCAGGCTGAAGTGCAGTGGCACGACCTTGGCTCACTGCAACCTCCTCCTCCCAGGTTCAATTGATTCTCCTGCCTCAGCCTCCCGAGTAGCTGGGATTACAGGCACGCACCACTAGGCCCAGCTAATTTTGTATTTTTAGTGCAGATGGGGTTTCACCATATTGGTCAGGCTGGTCTCCAACTCCTGACCTCAGGTGATCCGCCTGCCCGGGCCTCCCAAAGTGCTGGAATTACAGACGTGAGCCACTGTGCCCGGGCTATGATGTTCCTTTTTCAGGTGATGAAAATGTGTCAAAATTGTTTGTGATGATGGTTGTACATACCTATAAGTACGCTAAAAAAACAGTGAATCGGGGAAAAATTCTGACAGTACAGAATTGTTTGAAATAAAAAGTAAAAGTTACCCTCTCTCCCACCCCAACCCATTCCCTAGATATTGCCATTGCTGACGTTTTAGTGTCTGTCTTTCCACTGATCTATCATATATAAACACAACACACATAAACTAGCTGTCTTTATATACAAATGTACTCATGGAGAAATGTAATCATACTTTTTTTTCCATTATCTTAAATATAGAAATATACTTTAACTTAACAGTATGCTGTGGACACCTTTTCAGACACTGAAAGTCTCTGCAGTAATCTCATTGCTTTCAACGTACAGATGTGCCAATCATTTATTTAAATACTCCCCTGATGGGCCAGGTGCGGTGCCTCATGACTGCAATCCCAGCACTTTGGGAGGCCGAGGTGGGTAGATCACCTGAGGTCAGGAGTTCAAGACCAACCTGGTCAACATGGCGAAACCCCGTCTCTACTAAAAATACAAAAATTAGCCAGGCATGGTGGCGGGCACCTGTAATCCCAGCTACTCAGGAGGCTGAGCCAAGAGAATTGCTTGAACCTGGGAGGTGAAGGTTGCAGTGAGCCGAGATCGCATTACTGCACTCTAGCCTAAGCAACAAAAGCTAAATTCCATCTCAAAAAAAGTATAATAAATAAATAAATATTCCCCTGATGGAAATTTTCTTTTTTATCCTCATAAAAAAATTATAAAATATGGCCAGGTGCAGTGGCTCACAGCTATAATTCCAACACTTCTGGAGGCCGAGGCTGGTGGATCACTTGAGCTTGGGAGTTCAAAACCAGACTGGACAAGATAACAAAACCCCGTCTCTACAAAAACTACAAAAATTTAGCTGGGTGTGGTGGCATGTGCCTGTGATCCCAGCTACTCCGGAGGCTGAGGTGGGAGGACTGCTTGAGCCTGGGAGGTCAAGGTTGCAGTGAGCTGTGATGGTACCACTGCACTCTCCCTGAGCAACAGAGCAAGACCCTGTCTCAAAAAAATGTGTGTGTCTGTGTGTGTGCGCGCGTGTGTGTGTATACACAGACTGGAGTGCAGTGGTGCAATCTCAGCTCACTGCAACCACTGCCTCCCGGGCTCAAGCAATTCTTCTGCCTCAGCCTCCCAAGTAGCTGGGATTACAGGTGCCCACCACCTCGCCTAGCTAATTTTTTGTATTTTTAGTAGAGACGAGGTTTCGCCAATTTAATTATTTATGATGTAGAAAGATACATATACATTCACACACAAAGAAATGTCTTAGGGAAGAGTCACCAAAATGTTAACCACGGTTACCTTTGAAAAGTTAAATTTGAGTAACTTTACATCTTTATAACTTTTGATGGTTTCTGAATACTTTTCAATGGTATTCAAACTGTATTTTCTTAATAATCAAAAAGCTATTTTTAGCCAGGAGCAGTGGTTCACGCCTATAATCCCAGAACTTTGGGAGGCCAAGGTGGGAGGATCACTTGAGCTGAGGAGTTCAAGATCAGCCTGGGCAACATGGCAAGACCTCCCCCCAACCATCTCTACAAGAAATACAAAAATTAGCTGGGCATGGTGGTGCACACCTAGTGGTCCAAGCTACTCAGGAGGCTAGGGTGGGAGGATCACTTGTGCCTCACAGGCAGAAGTTGCAGTGAGCTGAGATGGCACCACTGCACTCCAGCCAGGGCAACAAGCAAGACCTTGTCTCAAAATAAAAGTCTTTAAAAAATTTTTTTTTTCTTTGAGACAGTGTCTCATTCTGTCGTCCAGGCTGGAGTGCAGTGGCACGATCTCAGCTCACTGCAACCTCCGCCCCCCAGGTTCAAGTGATTCTCCTGTGTCAACCTCCCGAATAGCTGGGATTACAGGTGCGCACCACCACGCCCAGCTAATTTTTTGTATTTTTAGTAGGGACAAGTTTTCGCCATGTTGGCCAGACTGGTCTCGAACTTCTGATCTCTGGTGATCCACCTGCCTCTGCCTCCCAAAGGGCTGGGATTACAAGCATGAGCCACCACGCCTGGTCTAAAAATCTTTTTATTTCTCCTTTTTTTTTTTTTTTAGACGGAGTCTCGCTCTGTCACCCAGGCTGGAGTGCAGTGGCGCGATCTCAGCTCACTGCAAGCTCTGCCTCCCAGGTTCATGCCATTCTCCTGCCTCAGCCTCCCGAGTAGCTGGTACTACAGGTGCCCCCCACCGCGCCCAGCTAATTTTGTTTTTGTATTTTTAGTAGAGACAGGGTTTCACCGTGTTAGCCAGGATGCTCTCGATCTCCTGACCTTGTGATCTGCCGGTCTCGGCCTCCCAAAGTGCTGGGATTACAGGCGTGAGCCACCTCGCCCGGCCTAAAAATCTATTTTTATTTTGACAAAATATTACACTGTAATGGTTCACTCCTAGTGAGGTAATTTTTCCAGAGTTAGCTTAGTGTATACAGGAGAGGAGAAGGCTTAGGATGGAATAGACTAACTGAAAGGAGTGAAACTGAAGAGACCTTTGTTCCCACTTCCTAAGTATGGCACTAGACTAAACTATAAGAAGAACATACTCCTCAAGGTAGCCTAGAGGAAAGCAACATGAACATTGCTATTGAATCAGATTCCGAAGTCCGCCATTATGTTCCCTCCTGTGACCACTGTCCTCTCACCGACTCTCTGCCATACCCACACCGGAGGGAACCCGACATGAATGCTGCCGGATCTCCCTTCAAATTCAGGACCACTGATCTCAAAGCAGCACTCAACACTGGCTCCCACGCCCATTCTGCCTTGGAATGAACTTTGGATTCTTGTCTCCAAAAAGGACTACTCCTTTCCCTCCTCTTTCCCCCTAGGCTTCCCCTCCACCATCCTGACTCCAGCTGATGCCTCACGCTTCCCTGGGAAAAGAGAGCCCCTCAGGCAGGTATTCCCTCAGCTCCCACATCAGCACCCTGTCCTCACCGCACTCGCTCAGCGGAGGTGGCCTTCCCACTGGGTGGCTGGCACCAGGCCTTCTGGGACCCTCCAGGCCTTCTCTGCGCACCAGCTAGCATGTGCTAGAATCTATCTTTATTAGAATAAAAAACTGTGTACTTTTCTAGACTTATATTTCAACAAAATCTTTACATTAAACAAAACCTTCCCTTGAGCCCGCGTTCCTGCTCACCTACCTGCCATCTGTCTGCTCTTCCCCACATGCACTGAGACTCTGCAGCACACACTGAAACTCTGCAGCGCGGCCTGCAGTCCAGCCCCACGGCCTCACTGTCCCCTCCCTGCCTCGGCCTCGGCCCACCCTACTCGGGCTTCTATCCCCACCACTCCCTGAGACGGCACATTCTAGAGTGTCTACTGCAAAATCCAGCGCTCCCCCACAGCTCTCATCCTCCCTGACCTCACATGGCACTCACACCCTCTGCAAATCTCTTCCCTTCATTCCTGATACTACGCCTTCCTGATTTTTCTCCCATCTCCCTGGCAACACCTCTGCAACCTCTTCTGGTGGCTTGACCTCCACAGGTCGCGCTGCTGGGCTCTCTTGGGTCCTCTTTCTTGTTTTTGGCTTCAAACTCTCCTTCCGCTCATCCAGCCTTTAGGGTGGCAACAGCCATCTCCTCTGCGAGGATGCTTTCTCCGCCACTGTCCACCACCTACCTCCTTCTCATTATCCAGATCTCAGGGTCAATGCTACCTCCTCAGTAGGCTTTTTTGATCATCCTTTCTCATGGGATTCTGCTGTAATACTCTGCAAAGCATTTACCGTCAGTTAGGCGAGTTCAGTATGTGTGCACTACCTGTCCTCCTGCTGGAAGGCCGCTGCAGGAGCATCACCTCACTGGAGCTGATGAGGGAGTGTCCCCAGCACCTGCAACCATGACCGGCCCAGGAGGCCATCTGGAATGAATATAGTGCAGTCTTCTGCTTAGGAGCTAATTTGTTACTTCCCAAAACCCTCTTAGGATGAACTCTCATGAACAAAAAACAGTATTGCCATTAAAAATAATGGTATTTAACTGTTCCACAGCTAAGAAAGTGTGTGTGTGTGTGTACATACATATATATAGATATGTGTATATATATCTCAATGTTTATAACTGAATTTTAATGAGCTGAAAAGAACAAACAACACTATGGGGGGAAAATGCAATTGATAGATGACATGATCTCGTACAATACAACTGTCAAGGGACATGGAACTCAGCTGCTCCCAAGCCACACAAAATCAAAACCAGTCTTTGTGAATGCAAAGAACGCACTGTAAGTCAAATATGGTATTGGGCAGGGCACAGTGGCTCATGCCTGTAACCCCAGCACTTTGGGAGGCCGAAGTGGGAGGACTGCTTGAGCTCAGGCGTTTGAGACCAGCCTGGTCAGTAGGGCAAGACCCTGTCTCTACAAAAAGTTAGCCAGGTGTGGTGGCATGCATCTGTAGTTCCAGCTACTCAGGAGGCTGAGGTAGGAGGATCACTTGAGCCTGGGAGGCAGTTTGCAGTGAGCCGAGATTGTGCCACTGCACTCCAGCCTGGGTGACAAAGACAAACCCTGTCCAAAAAAAAAAAAAAAAAAAAAAAAAAAAAATATATATATATATATATATATATGTATATATAGTAATAAAAGAAATTCTTTAATAAGTCCAATTCTTATAACCCAAGGTATAGATCTTGAGGTTCATATGTAGTCTCTGAATATTTTCATATTCATGAGCTGTGGCCCTCCCATACCAATGCTGCAAGATTAGTCCCAGTGCTTCCGTTCTTAGTGTACACAGAGGTGTTGGGCTCGTGGTGGATTAACAGCAGGCTCATGGTGGTGTGGCAGAGTCTGGGGTGTGTGGTTCTGCAACCAGAATGTAGATCTCCTCCTCGCCCTGTGCCTCCAACCTGTATTAGTTAATGGAGGGGGCAGAGGCTTAGGATGGCAACAAGAATGGTTGGAAATCACACATAGTGCTCCCTTGTGTAGCAGGCTGTGGCAAGTCCTTGTGGCTTAGGATGGCAACAAGAATGGTTGGAAATCACACATAGTGCTCCCTTGAGTAGCAGGCTGTGGCAAGTCCTTATGTCATAGCTGGGGCCTTAACATGACCTTCTAGCAGCCTGCTACTGACCAGACTTGCTCCTCCCCACCTCTAACGCTGTTGTGTGAATTTCGTTTGCTTTGGGTTTTTTTTCGAGACAGGGTCTCACTCTGTCGCCCAGGCTGGAGTGCAGTGACACAGTCTTGGCTCACTTTCAAACTCTGCCTCCCAGGTTCAAGCAATTGAACCTCAGAAACACGAGTAGCTGGGACTACAGGCGTGCAGCACCATGGCCGGCTAATTTTTTTGTATTTTTAGTAGAAACGGGATTTTGCCATGTTGGCCAGGCTGGTCTCGAACTCCTGGGCTCAAGCGATCCACCTGCCTAGGTCTCCCAAAGTGCGTGAGCCACTGCACCAAGTCTGCTGCATGACTTTGCGTGGAGGGCAACAGATCTCTAGGGTCGGGGGCCTGGATTGAGACTCCTCAACTGCCAGCTCCAGCTCCATGACCCAGGTGAGGGAAGTTACTTTTCAAGGCATCAAGACTTCATCTATAACATGGTTACAGCAGGACCAATAGTTCCAATTCCCTAAGGTAGAACTATGAAATAAATGAAGTACACTGTGCAAATGAAAACCCACACCTGGCCCATAGGAACACTCAACAGTGCTCATTGTTGTGGTTTTTGTATTTATTAATATATACTTATTAATTCTCCCTATCAATTCATGTTCATTCCCAGGGTTAAAAGGAATAAGAATAGCCAAATGAAAATAAGCACCTCAAGTTCTTGTCTGCTATTGTGC
This sequence comes from Homo sapiens, assembly GCF_000001405.40. NCBI lineage: Eukaryota > Metazoa > Chordata > Mammalia > Primates > Hominidae > Homo > Homo sapiens. Next base: position 129,987,062 of record NC_000011.10, read on the forward strand.
AGTCAAAATATACCTGAAATTCAAATCACACAGATTATAAACTCTCCACTAATAGGGAAGGTTTGTCCAGCTAAGAAAAATTACAGCATATTGTAGCTTCAGAATAATACTTTTATTGGCCTCAATTTCAGCAAAATATTGATCTATATCCTTTATTGTTTGGAGAGCTTCAAACAATAAAGGCAACAGCTTTCCTGCCATGTCAACAAACCACACAAAACTGCCTTTATTAATGATACTCTGGTTTCTATTATGCTTATTTTTGTAGTGCCTTTTCATCTTTTCAATTTCATTCAAAATTCTGATATGGCAACAGATAATAACCACTGTGGGTAAGGATGAGGAGAAACTGGAACCCTCATACACTACTGGTGAGAATGTAAAACACTGCTGCCAATATGGAAAACAGCCCGGCAATTCCACAGAAGACTAAACATAGACACACCAAATGACTGAGCAATTCCTCATCAAGATGTAATAAACCCAAGAGAAATAAAAGCATATGTCCCTAAAAGACTTGTACATGAATGCTCACAGTGGCATTATTCATAATAGCTAAAAAATGGAAACGATCCAAATACTCATCAACTGATAAGTGAAGAAAATATGGTATATCCATATAATGGAATATTATTTGACCATAAAAAGGAATGAAGACGCCGGGTGTGGTGGCTCACGCCTGTAATCCCAGCCCTTTGGGAGGCCGAGGCAGGCAGATCACGAGGTCAGGAGATCAAGACCATCCTGGCTAACACGGTGAAACCTCGTCTCTACTAAAAAACACAAAAAATTAACTGGGCGCAGTGGCAGGTGCCTGTAGTTCCAGCTACTCGGGAGACTGAGGCAGGAGAATGGCCTGAACCCAGGAGGCGGAGCTTGCAGTGAGCCGAGATAGCGCCACTGCAGTCTGGCCTGGGCGAAAGAGTGAAACTCCGTCAAAAAAACAAAAAAGGAATGAAGAACTGGTACATGCTACATACAACATGGATGAACCCTGAAAACATTATGCTAAGTGAAAGAAGCTAGTCACAAAGAAATACACATTGAACAATTCCATTTATGTAAAATATTATATGAAATATTAATTTGCAGAATAAGCAAATTAATAGACACAAAAAATAAACAGTGGTTGCCTAGGGATTAGGAGGAGATAGAAAAATTAATGGTGACAGCTAAATGGTTCAGGAATTCTTTTGGAGGTTATAAAAATGTTCTAAAATTGATTGTGGTGACAGTGACAGCTGCACAACTCTTTGAATGTATTAAAGCCATTGAATTGTACATTTTATTTTTAAATTTTTATCTATTTATTTGAGACCGGGTTATGAGACTGGCAATTTTTATATTGTGGGTAGAGACGGGGTTTCGCCATGTTGCCCAGGCTGGTCTCGAACTCCTGGGCTCAAGTGATTCACCTGCCTCGGCCTCCCAAAGTGCTGGGATTACAGCCATAAATCACCGCACTTGGCTGAACCATATACATCTTAAATAAGTGAACTGCATGGTATGTAAATTTTATTTCAGTAAAGCTGTTCTTAGAAAAAAAAAAAAGAGGAGATGTTAAGTCAATGCAAACTTTTTTTTTTGAGACGGAATCTCGCTCTGTTGCCTGGGCTGGAGTGCAGTGGTGCAATCTCGGCTCACTGCAAGCTCTGCCTCCCAGGTTCACGCCATTCTCCTGCCTCAGCCTCCCGAGTAGCTGGAACTACAGGCGTCCGCCACCACACCCAGCTAATTTTTCGTATTTTTAACAGAGACGGGGTTTCACCGTGTTAGCCAGGATGGTCTCGATCTCCTGACCTCGTGATCCGCCCGCCTTGGCCTCCCAAAGTGCTGGGATTACAGGCGTGAGCCACTGCGCCCGGCCAAGTCAATGCAAACTTTCTAGAAATATCCAGAGGCAAGAGAAACTGAGGGCATGCTTAGGGACCAGTAACTATGAGAGAGACAAGCCTCAAACAGTAGTAAGGATGGGGCTATAAAAGACCACAGGGAAAGTAGAAGAATTTAAACTTTATTCAATTGGTCTACAGTTCCCACACTTCATGAACTGGTTGCACCAGAGTAACATAGAAAGCTAGGTGAAAGACAAATTCCAGGCCAGCACAGTGGCTCACTCTGTAATCCCAGCACTTTGGGAGGCTGAGGGGGGATGATGGCTTTAAGCCCAGGAGTTCGAGGTTGCAGTGAGCGGTGATCATGCCACTGCACTCTACCCTGGCCAACAGCAAGACCCTGCCTCTGGGAGGGAAAAAAAAAAGTCATTGAGCATGCATGTTTCTCAGCTATGAATAATGAATTTAGAAAGCTTCAAGCACACATCCTCCAGCTCCCTTCTGAACAGCAGTATTCGGTCACAAGACAGCTGGTGGGGGATACAGATACAATGTAAAACCCTGTTTCACCCATGCACCCAACACTATTTAGCCCCAATATCTCAAGCTCTTTTATTGAATTAGCCAGTGCAGTAATTAAGTAGGAGACTTTCAGGTGGGTCTTATGTGGCCTGAAAAGCTTTCCTTCCAGATGGTTCTGGGTGGTACCTATGACTCAACAAATCACAAACCCAAGTTGTTAGGATAAACTCCTGGTTAATGTATAGAGGCACAATCTTAAGTAGTAAGCTGTTTCCTCAATAAACCCATGTGCTTTAAAATGTTTTAACTAGGGAAAACTTTTTAACTTATTAAAATTGCTTAGAGGAAAATCATTCTAGAGCATAATTTTCATAATTTAACACTACAATATGTAATATAAAACAGTGTAACTACTCGTTCACTCTACGACTCCTGAAACATACAGTCTTTAGTTCAAACAGACTGAACCAAGCCTCAGACACAAGATTAAGAAGAAAACTCAGGCCGGGCACGGTGGCTCATGCCTGTAATCCCAGCACCTTGAAAGGCTGAGGCAGGTGGATCACCTGACATCAGGAGTTCGAGACCAGCCTCAGCAATATGGCGAAACCCCATCTCTATTAAAAATTCCAAAAACTGGCCAGGCATGGGGCGTGGTGGCTCACACCTGTAATCCCAGTACTTTGGGAGGCCGAGGCAGGTGGATCACAAGGTCAGGAGATCAAGACCATCCTGGCTAACATGGTGAAACTCCGTCTCTACTAAAAATCCAAAAAATTAGCCAGGCATGGGTGGCGGGTGCCTGTAGTCCCAGCTACTCGGGAGGCTGAGGCAGGAGAACAGCATGAACCCAGGAGGCGGAGCTTGCAGTGAGCTGAGATCGAGCCACTGCACTCCAGCCTGGGTGACAGAGCGAGACTCCACCACAAAAAAAACAAAAAAAAATTCCAAAAATAAGCCGGGCGTGGTGGCGCATGCCTGTAATCCCAGCTATTCAGGAGGGTGAGGCCTAAGAATCACTTGAACCTGGGAGGTAGAAGTCGCAGTGAGCAGAGATGGTGCCACTGCACTCCAGCCTGGGTGACAAAGTGAGACTTTGTCTCCAAAAAAAAAAAAAAAAAAAAAAAGCAAATTGATACCATACTGGTTTGAAGTAATTCCCTTTATATCCAATTCACACTCCCTATAAACACGTTAATGTGGTCCTCACCTGTTTTTATTATCATTATTTTGTAGAGACGGAGGTCTAGCTATGTTGCCTAGGCTGGTCTCTAACTCCCGGCCTCAAAGTGATCCTCCCACTTCGGCCCCCCAAAGTGCTGGGATTTATAGGCATGAGCCACTATGCCCGGGTCCTCACTTTTTCCTCACTTTTTTTTCATTTTCAGTTTCTCATACCTTTAAATATGAAACACAGATGGTAGAAAAATAAGTATTTTATTAAAGACAGTGAGCTCAGATAGACAACATACTGACATTTTATTGCCTTCATAAAAACTCCGTCTCACTGGCATATAATGAAGACCTACAAGCTACCAAATTTCAACCTCCTCCATCTTAATAAAACCACCACCGTAGGACTATGTTCACTGGTCTAGGATTCAAAGGTACCTTCCATTAGCTGAGGCATTTCTTGAAGTGGAAAAAGAATGTGAAGGCAAGCAAATCACAGGCTCACTGCTAACATAAAGTGGGATAATGTCTGTTACAATGTGGCTCAATAGTATAGAGTATAATGCAAATGTTAATAATTATTTAAATTGTGAGGACCATAGGCTGTTTTAGATCATGAAGGTGTCTCATCCAGAAAAGACTTATTCTCAATTAAAAGATATTTTAATACATTTTCATTATTAAACAATTGTTTTGGGAATAGATCACTCTTAACTGCAGGCTTGGGTTCTCTCTTAACTGATGTATTTCACCAGAAAATATGTAAAGTTCAACTTCAAATTGACAAAATTTTAAAACTATGTGATTAGCAGCTGGGCGCAGTGGCTCACACCTGTAATCCCCGCACTTTGGGAGGCCCAGGTGGGCAGATCACCTGAGGTCAGGAGTTCCAGACCAGCCTGGCCAACATGGTGAAACCCTGTCTCTACTAAAAATACAAAAATTAGCTGGACATGGTGGCGGGCACCTGTAGTCCTAGCACTTTGGGAGGCCGAGAGGGGTGGATCACCTGAGGTCAGGAGTTCGAGACCATCCTGGCCAACATGGTGAAACCCCATCTCTGCTAAAAATACAAAAATTAGCTGGGCGTAGTGGCACGCGCCTGCAATCCCAGCTACTCGGGAGGCTGAGGCAGGAGAATAGCTTGAACCTGGGAGGAGGAGGTTGCAGTGATCCGATATCGCGCCACTGCACTCCAGCCTAGTGACAGAGCGAGACTCCATCTCAAAAAAAAAAAAAAAAAGTAACCGGCCTGGTGGCGGGTGCCTGTAATCCCAGCTACTCGGGGAGCTGAGACAGGAGTATCAGAGAATCGCTTGAACCCAGGAGGCAGAGGTTGCGGCGAGCCAAGATCACGCCACTGCACTCCAGCCTGGTGACAGAAAAAATAAAAATACAAAAATAAAAACTATGTGATTAGCATTTTCTTCCGCAGGAGACACAAAATAGAAGCATTCCTGTTTAGAAATCTTAGCCATAACTATTCTTTGTAAACGCTTAACCAGACCATTTCACTCAGGTGTACCTACAACATGTTAGCTTCATTTGCAAATTCCCTGAAGGAATTAAAGACCACAAAAATAGAATCCTTTAACAGATGCAGCTCTTTATTTTAAAAATCAGTATAATCATAGTCCACCTGATTCGAAATGCATTCTGTGGAAATTCAATGTTACTTAAGTAAACAGCTAGTGGAACAGTAATAATTATAGCTACAGGCATTTATGGAGCACCTATCCCGTGCCAGGCACTGTCAGATGTCCTTTAAATACCTGATCTCAATTAACCCTCACCACAACCAAGAATGATTAATTCTCCAAGGTCACAGTGCTGATAAGAGGAATTTAAGCCCAGATTCCTTTTACTACAAAGCTTGAAGCTCTTTCCCCTGTTTGCCACAACAGCTTTCATCCTAGGCAAAGTGGCCAGGACCCGAGCATGGTTTCCACCTGCTGTTGTAGCCGTGCTCTCCCACCAGATGACGCAATCACCAGGTTAGACTTGATCTCGAGGGAACCAGAGGAGGTTGTAATTCACTACACCCACAAACAGATTTAACTGAGCAAATTACTCAACAGCCAGAGTTGAGGTAACTACAAAGCTGTGATGAAGGGCTCCCATTGTAAAAATTCAAATAATTTTTTAAAACACAAGAATACTTATTAAATGCCTATTCTGTTTCCAGCATTCTTTTAGGAACTGAAGAAGACATTGGATGGACTATATAAACATTCAGCACAGAAGGAAAATATAAATAACATTTATTCACCATTGTTCTAGAAACAAAGCTACCTGTGTGTTCAGAACACAACACAGCAGTCCTGAAATAGTAATTGAATCAGTATTATGAAAATAAATTACTCCAAATACTTTTTCTAGTTCTCTCAGGCACATGCATTTCTCTAATATTGGAACTGCTGGTCATTAAAGTATGCATGTTTTGGACTTTCTTGATAATACTGTTTTCCAAGGTAGTCATATGAATTTATATCTGTACCAGCCATCTATGAAAGTCCCTACTGTTCAACATCCAACTTTAATTTAGGTATACAGTGTTCTGGCACTGTGGCTGAAATGTGCATTTCCTTCATTAACATGGTTGAACACCTTTTCATGTTTATTAGACATTTGGATTTCTCCTTTTCTGAAGTGGCTGTTCAAGACTTTTGCCCATTATTCTATTAGTGCCTGTAGCATCTTGTTTAAGAAATGTTTCTCTATACTAAGGTCATGAGTATCTTCCTATATTAATTCTAAAAGTGTTATTGTTTTGCCTGCCTTTCTGCCATGCCTCCAGGTCATAAATCAAGTGTCTGGCTATGCATAATACTGTTTCTGGACTCCATATGGTGTTCTATTGGTCCATCATTATTAGCCTACCCAGTGCCAATATTACACTATCTTTTTTTTTGAGATGGAATCTCGTTGTGTCGCCCAGGCTGGAGTGCAGTGGTGCGATCTCGGATCACTGCAAGCTCTGCCTCCTGGGTTCACACCATTCTCCTGCCTCAGCCTCCCGAGTAGCTGGAACTACAGGCACCCGCCACCACACCTGGCTAACTTTTTGTATTTTTAGTAGAGACGGGGTTTCACCATGTTAGCCAGGATGGTCTTGATCTCCTGACCTCGTGATCCACCCGCCTCGGCCTCCCAAAGTGCTGGGATTACAGGCGTGAGCCACCGCGCCTGGCCCAACACTATCTTAATTATTATAACTCTTCTTGATCTCTAGCAGAGGTTTTCCTAACTTTTCTTTTTCAAAGTGTTTTGCCTTTTCTTGGGCCTTGGCAAATGTTTTAGAATCAGCTTGTCTAATTTTTTTAAATGTGGGATTACATTAGATCTATAAATCAGTTTCCAGAAAATTGACACATTTACAATATTGAATCTTCCACTCCTTGAGCCACTGTGCTCTTCATTTATTTAGGTTTTATTTAAAGCCACTCAATAAAGTTTTAGAATTTTCTATATCTGTTATAGTTTATAACCATTTAAAACCATGAATCTGAAAAAAATATATTTTGTAAATGATGTATAAGTTTTTGGTGAGATACCTAGAGCTTGGGATAAGTATATATAAGTATGAAAATAAACTGGGGCTGGGTGCAGTGGCTCACACCTGTAATCCCAGCACTTTGGGAGGCCGAGGCGGGTGGTCAGGAGTTCGAGACCAGCCTGGCCAACATGGCAAAACCCCATCTCTACTAAAAAAAAAGTACAAAAATTAGCCAGGCGTGGTGGTGGGTGCCTGTAATCCCAGCTACTCAGGAGGCTGGGGCAGGGAGAATTGCTTGAACCCAGAAGGCAGAGGTTGCAGTGAGCCGAGATCGCACCACTGCACTCCAGCCTAGGTGACACAGCGCAACTCTGCCTCAAAAAAAAAAAAAAAAAAGAAACGAAACTGGTGGTGGTGGTTTGCACCTGTAACCCCAGCTACTCGGTTGGCTGAGACAGGAGGATGGCTTGAACCCAGGAGTTAGAGACCAGCCTTGGCAACACAGTGAGACACTGTCTCTAAAAAAATTAAAAAATATTAAAAAGTTAACATAAAATTTCTTTTTTTCTTTCTCTTTTTTTTGAGACAGAGCCTCGCTCTGACGCCCAGGCTGGAGTACAGTGGCACAATCTCAGCTCACTGCAATCTCCGCCTCCTGGGTTCATGCCATTCTCCTGCCTCATCCTCCCGAGTAGCTGGGACCACAGGTGCCCACCACCATGCCCGGCTAATTTTTTTTGTATTTTTAGTAGAGACAGGGCTTCACCGCGTTAGCCAGGATTGTCTTGATCTCCTGACCTCGTGATCCGCCTGCCTCGGCCTCCCAAAGTGCTGGGATTACAGGCGTGAGCCACTGCGCCTGGCCAACATAAACTTTCTTAAAATGTATAAATGAAACAAAGTTCATCAAAGTCCAATTACTATGACATAATTTCATTTTAATTCCAGAATTACTGTTTTGTAGTAATGTAACATCTCACACTTCCACAGTACTAAAGTACTTGAGAGAACTTGCATGTCACATAAAGTGGTGTCCAAATATTACCATTCATGGGTCCTTATATTTATCCAGTGATAAAGTACTTACACAGTCCGGAATAATTTTCAATTCATCAACTTCAAGAGAAAAAGAATGAAGGAGAAGATGAATACATGATGGAAGAGACTGAAACCTTATTAATATACATCCCCTGCCTGGGGCTGAGGATACAGACCCTTTTCTCCCATGCGCTCTGACCCCTCTCCCATACTTGCATAATTCCCTGACCTCTACCTACTTTCTCTCCTTTGCAAAATTGGACACGGTTCTGTCAATATTCTGTGTTGAAGACTAAACGTAAACAAGTGTCTCAGAGAGGACAGTTAAAAAGTCAAACAAAGAGCAATAATTAGTTAAAGGAATGATAGCTAGTCCCTATTAGAAGGACATTCTATTAAGACTGCCTGTAATCATGGTTTGTGGAAAGACTGAAAATAACCCCCAATAAATTGGCCTCAAAATCTTCAAGCAATTCTAAGAAAATGGTAGAATTTGCACACAAAAATAAGAATCTTGAAAAAAAAAGGCGGGGGAGAGGGGCAGGGGCCGTAGCGCACGCCTGTAACTCCAGCACTTTGGGAGGCCGAGGCAGGCCGATCACCTGAGGTCAGGAGTTCAAGATCAGCCTGGCCAACATGATGAAACCCCGTCTCTACTAAAAATACAAAAATTAGCCGGGTGTGATGGCGGGCTCCTGTAATCCCAGCTACTTGGGGGGCTGAGGCAGGAGAATCACTTGAACCCAGAAGACGGAGGTTGCCGTGAGCTGAGATCATGCCACTGCACTCCAGCCTGGGCAACAGAGCGGGACTCTGTCTCAAAAACAAAAGAAAAGAAAAGAAAAAGAAAAAAAAAGGGAGGAAAACTTTACAAACAACTTCAAGTATTTTAATTCACTCACTTATCCCTCAAAACATTTTAGAATCCAGTAAGTAAAAGGCACTCATTTATACTGCATTCTACGTGAGGGGGCTAAAAATCACCTGTAGCTTCCAGAAATTTAGAATCTGTTTGGGAAGCAAGAAATAAGCACAAATAATTGGAGTACAATACAACGTAAGCACTGAATGTTACTGTTATAAAGCAGTACAAAATCCTGCAGGACCTTCAGAGACAAAAAGGATTACTTTCAAATGAGATGGTCTTGACACTTCAACAAGGGCGGTGTGGGTTCAGCTTGCTCTGGTACAGGGGATGGCGAGCCACAGCCCGCAGGCGGCAGACACCTGTTTTTGTGCAGCCTGTGAGCTAAGAATGGTTGTTACATTTTAAAATATTTGAAAAGACTCAAAAGAAGACTATTTCCTGACACAGGAAAGTTATATTAATTGAAATTCCAAGGTCCAAAATAGTTTGTTGGAACACAGCCACGCTCTCACACTCCACAGCAGAGGGGAACCGTTTTGACAGAGACCATATGGCCCACAAAGCCAACAACATTTACTACCTGGTCCTTTAAAAAGTTTTCCAGCCACTGCTCAAGAAGGATGGATAGGATTCTGGCGGGCAGAACTAGGAGAGGAGGGGAAGGAGAGCAGAGAGGAAGAAACATTCCACTTGGGAAACGAAGGTGTGACAGCAGAGAGAGAAAATCCCGAATATTTAAGGAACAGTGGGAAGACCAGTTTGACCGAAGTGGCGGTTCCAAAAGAGATAAACAAGTTTTGAACCATTTAGAACTGTGTGCTTTGTTATTGAGCCATTTATACAATTGTGGTGAGTGATTAACAGGCATCCTCACTTGGAATCTATGAGGTTGATTACTGTTATTATCCCTAGTAATAATTAAGAAACTAGTTGAAAGAGTTGATAAGAAAACCAAGGCTTACAGAAGTAACTTGCCCAAGATCACAGCCAGCAAGCTGAGCACAGCAGTGAACCTCTTTGCCCCTGAGGCAACGCTGTGAATACTACACCATATAAAATCTCCACACAGGGCAGTAAAAGGAAAGGCATCAATAAAGGCAGCTTAGGGCAAAACTGTCAACGGTGCAAACGTGGAAGTAAAAAAATATGGATTTTACGTGTAGGTTATGTTTCTCCAATTGTGTTTAAAAGGACAGTTCTCCCGACTGGGTGCAGTGGCTCACACCTGTAATCCCAGCACTTTGGGAGGCAGAGATGGGTGGATCGCTTGAGCCACAGGAGTTCCAGACCAGCCTGGGCAACGTGGCAAGACTCTGTCTCTACAAAAAATACAAAAATTAGCCAGGCATGGTGGTACACACCTGTACTGCCAGCTACTTGGGAGGCCGAGGTGGGAGGATCACTTGAGCCTGGGAGGTCAAGGCTGCAGTGGGCTATGATGGTGCCCCCGCATTCCTGCGTAGGTGACAGAATGAGGGCCTTTCTCAAAAAACAGAAAAGGAAAAAAAAAAGACAGTTCTTTCACGAGCTGGTCCAAACGGTTCCTTCCACCTTTAGAATCAAAGTATTGTGGTCTTTTTCTAAATCACAGGAGAAAAAAATGTAAGTTCAATGTTCTCAATTTCAGGTTTCTCTTAAACATTTGAAAAATGGTAAATTCTAAAAATCAATGTATTGAATAACAGACCAAGTTTGGGAAAATTTAGCTGATTATGCTTAGCTCAACTTTTTTTAATGGATTATGTGCTTACCAATGTCATTTTATTCTTTTAAGTTCAAATGATCCATTGAATACATTAATTCAGTAACAGTTAACTCAATTATCTGGAAGTGGTTTTGAGATTAAGATATTCTTCAAAATAATAATCATGCTTTTGTGAGAGCTATCATAAGCACTAAAAAAACAGACATCTACATATTAGCAGTATCTTTTCATTCAAATTATAGAAACCAAAAAATATTACATCTTAATGCCACCTGGGAACACCCTACCCCTAGCTGACTAAGGCTGCACTTTTCAAAGAAATATGCAAGCCACATACATAATTTAAAATGTTCTAGTATACATAGTTTAAAAGTAGAAACAGGTGAAATTAATTATAATAGTATATTGCATTTTACCCAGTCTATTCAACATATTGTCATTTCAACATTTAATCAATATTTTATAAATTGAAAGATATTATTTTTTTCTACTAAATCTCAAAATCTGAGTGTATGTATTTCACACTTCACAGCACTGGCCATATTTCAAGTGCTCAAAACCACAGGTGGCTACTAGACAGGACAGCACAGGTCTAAGGGATCTGATTTCTAGAAATCACAGCAGGAAAGAAGCTGTGGAGTACAACTTTACCATCAGTGAAAGTGAAGGACATGGGTTAAAAAAAAAGGGGGGGAGGAGGAGGAGCATTTGACTCCAATATTCTCCTGTTTGCAATAAACGAGAGTTTAACTAAAAAATGAATAGCAAACTACAGCCTATGTTAGCAGACAGTAACCTTTTAGCAATCCATATAAGGTTCTAAACTATTGTGCACTATTGATTTTATAATTGTTTTCACCACATTTTAACTAGTCTTGCTGTAACTATACTTAGGGTTACCCATACCTTCCCTCTTTCCACTCCACTTCCTCACCCGCTCCCCATTCCCTAAACTATTTCAAGTTACAGAAGAAGAATCTACCTTCAGGTGCTTTCTACAACACAAATTTAAAATCTACACAAGGATGGTCAATGGAAAGGCACAGAAAAATTTTGGAAGGTGGACAGAAATGGCCAGAGTGCTCCACACAAGTCTTGAAATGGTGAAATGGTGTAATAACTTTTTTTTTTTTTTTTTTTGGAGACAGGGTCTCACTCTGGTTGCCCAGGCTGGAGTGCAGTGGCGTGATCTCGGCTCACTGCAGCCGCTACTTCCGGGGCTCAGGTGATTCTCCCACCTCATCCTCCTGAGTAGCTGAGACTACAGCTGTGGGCCACCACACCTGGCTAACTTTTTTGTTTTTAGTAGAGGCAGAGTTTTGCTATGTTGGCCAGACTGTTCTCGAACTCCTGGACTCAAGCAATCTGCCTGCCTTGGCCTCCCAGAGTACTGGGATTACAGGTGTGAGCCACCACACCCGGCTGTGTTATAACATTAAGAATAAAAAAGAAAAGAGGCCAGATATTCCTAAGCAGTGATTCAACTAAACCACGTGAACAGTTTAATGCTAGAACAGCGAAGAGATAAGTGTCACCAATGAGGGCCAAAATAAGTCACGAAAAGTTCCCCTCTCACCCTCCTGCCTCTACCTATCCCCCAGGAGAATTTGAGTGGGATCATTCTCCAAAGATTTGGTTGTAGCAAACATTTCTTTTTGGCTCTTTCTAGACACCAGATCGAATTCTCCTTCATTAATCTATTAAAGTACCTATAATAAGTTAAAATGGTAGACAATAAATTCTGCTTGTGAAAAACAAATTGCTGGACTGGGTGTGGCTACACTATCTGGGGTGGGATGTGATGGGAGAAGACTATGTATTTTAGTGGCAATAGGTCAAAGTACATCAGTGTTCAAGTTTAAAACAAACTGAACAACTCAAACACTGCAACAACAGGATGTTTAACAGTTTCTTTTTACCAGATATAATTACGCGGTTACGAGGTGTTTACCAGTGCTTAAAATGAAAAATTGAGGAAACCAAAATTATAGCTCAGTACTTCTCAGCCCTTTGATGAATTATGTTTGTTATCCAGAAGCCTATCCCTATCAATTAGATTACGCTTTTAAAAAGTTACAAGAAATCAAAATATTATAATTCTTTTAGTTCGGCGGACTTCATGATGCCCCCTTCAAATAATGGAAGTAATGAAAGTGCCCAATCATCAGCAAAGTCTTTAGACACCTATTTACGTCTTGTTTTAAAAACTAGATATTAAACCAAGATTATGTCGTTTGTACAAATATTTTATACACACACAAAACCAACTTGAAATACACCAAAGTATCAGCAAAGATTATCTCTGGGTAATTATGGGTTTTGTTTTTTTTCACTCGCTTCTAAATTTTTTTTTTTTTTTTTTGAGACGGAGTTTCGCTCTTGTTGCCCAGGCTGGAGTGCAATGGCCCGATCTCAGCTCACTGTAAACTCTGCCTCCCGGGTTCAAGTGATTCTCCTGCCTCAGCCTCCCGAGTAGTTGGGATTACAGGCGCCTGCCATCATGTCCGTCCAATTTTTGTATTTTTAGTAGAGACAGGCTTTCACCATGTTGGCCAGGCTAGTCTCGAACTCCTGACCTCAGGTGATCTGCCCGCCTCGCCTCCCAAAGTGCTGGGATTACAGGCATGAGCCACAGCGCCCGGCTTAAATTTTATGTTTTCTCCAATGATCACGCATTATTCTTAAAACTAGAAGGAAAAACAAAACAGGCAAGCAGAAACTTAGGTAGTGCCAATCAATTTGGGATTATATTGAGTTGTGCTATCCTTTATACCTCCATAACCTCTAAGTAAAAACCATTCAGAGCCCTTGAAGACAGGAACCTTGCTTTTTCTAAAATATATACTCAATTACATTGACATACAATATATGATTAATATGTGGTGGAGCATGCTACAAAATATTAGAAAAACTAAAAATGAATTCTTTGAAAAAGCAAAACAATTTTGCCTTGCAAAACGAGGAACAGCATAGCAGAGTGGGAGCTTACGGGGTAGAAGGCACAAGACATTTGTCTTGATCCAAAACAAACAAAAATGTAATCCTTTCACTAAACGTCCCTGTTCACTTTAAAATGGTTCATTCTGTGTCAACTTCACCTCAATTTATTGTAAAAGTAAACCTAAAGGCCGAGCGCGGGGGCCCATGCCTGCAATCCCAGCACTTAGGGATGCTGCGGCGGTAGGATTGCTTGAGCTCAGCAGTTCGTAACCATCCTGGGCAAAATGATGAAACCCCGTTTCTACAAAAAGTAGAAAAATTAGCCAGGCGTGGTGGTGCACGCCTGTAGTCCCAGCTACTAGGGAGGCTGAAGCAGGAGGATCCCTTGAGCCCGGGAGGTCGAGTCGGCAGTGAGCCAAGATCGCGCCACTGCACTCTAGCCTGGGCAACCAGAGACCCTGTCTCCTAAATAAACCTAGCAAAGTTCCTTTCTAAATACCCCATATTGAATAAACACTGTTTAAACGCTGCTTTGCCCCCAACCAATCCTAATTTTAAAAAAAAATCTTGTTTTCTCTATTCTAGAACAACAAATAAGTACTGCTCATCAAAGTGGAAGCTATTGTGATGCTGGAATGGTAGGAAGATACAAAAAAAATACAATGTAATAATACACCTTCTTGCCTTACAGCGATGGAGGAGTGATAGAAACAAAGAGAACAGGTCAGAAAAAGAGGCCACAAAACAGTCATGAGTGATTCTGCTGTTTTTAATAAAGGTTAAGTACTGCTAAGTTTAGAGAATTTGGGGTGACGAGACAGGCAAGGTTTCAACAGGCAAAGCAGCAGAATTAGGGCACAGGGCAGAGCTGGGTGGGTCTCATCACACATCTAATCCTCGATGACAGCACAAAGCCACCTCTCCTTGTGCTTAAGTGTACACGCACATTGATTGAAAATGCACTAAAATCCAACTCATCCACCAAGCAAGGCTAAAGGCGCGCACACAAATTCAACAGCGCTGCGTTCGCGTGGCTGGAGGGCAGACGGGGAATATTCCATTTTACTTAGTAGAGTATCAACACCTAGCTGCAGGGTTAAACCTGCTTAACAAAAGCTGGCGAGGGGCTGGAGAGGTGCACACCATCAGCCCTCTCCCGAGCGCCGACCGGCCTCGCCCTGCCTCTGCGCTGCACCCTGGGTGCAGGCGGACTGGGGCAGGGCCGCGACCCCGGCCTCGGCCTCCGCCTCCGCCCGGCCAGCCCCGACGCGGTGCCACGGGACAGACCCGCAGGGGCCACCCCACACCCCTGCGGGCCGGCCCCCCGCCCCGGTCCCGGACGCTAGCTTGGGAAGGCAGGCCGGGGGCCCAGCCATCGATGGCAAGTGGGCGGCGCGGCCTCCGCAGACAAAGCTGGGCGCCCCATCGAACAGGACCCTCCGCCCCACGCGCCCGCAACCGGCCAGCCCCGGAGCCCTGCCCGCACTGCCACCCCCAGCCCGGCGCCCGGCCCCCAGCCCCCGGTGCTCGGCTCCCGGCCGGCGGAGACCTGCCCGCCGCGCCCGGAGCGCCCGCGCAACCGCCGCCGCCGGAGCGCGCAGGCCGCCCAACCGCCGTCCCGGCCCAACCAACGCGGGCAGGGGAGGAGAGGTGCGCGCGGCCGGCGGAGCGTGCGAGCCACTCGGGGGTCGCAGGGGGAGGCTGCGCGCGGCGAAGGCAGGGGCGACGAGACGCCGAGGCCGGCGCTGAACGCGGCGCCAGGAGGGCCTGCTGGAGGGGGCCTTGCCCTCTTCCCCTTGGAAGGTGCAGATGGTTTGACCCCCCACCCCGAGTGAGGTGCCTCGTCCCAGCCCCGGCTGGACTGTACCATCGGGCGGTGCCGCCGGGATTTCTCCCCCCCACCACCACCATCAATTCCCCCCCCACCCGGGTCCGCGGTCGGTTGGCCCCGGCCGGGCTCTGAGACGCGGAAAGAGCTGGGCGCCATTTTGGGTGGGACTAAGCAAAGACGAAACACCCTCCCAGTCTATGGGGTAGTCTGGACCCTGGCTTATCTGGTTCCCTTAATCCTTTAGGTACTTACACGACGTTGGGTGAGGGGAGCTGGAAGATCAGCGGGTCCCCGATCCTCTCTCCCTAGGGGTGATAGAAATCAACCCCCCCCGCCACCTCCAGGTGGTTCTTCCCGCCGCAGAGTGGGAGCAGCATAAAAGGCGGGGTCTTATTAGCATAATCTGCCTGGCAACCTGATCTCGACGTTATATGATTGGTTAAACTCTGTAAGCCCCATGCCGTGCCTAGAGACGAGAAACGCTGGGGCGAACTGACAGGCCCAGATTTAGGAGTCATGACGAAGATCCTGAGACGCTTATTCAGTCTGCAGAGAAGCCAAAAGGAGATTCACATAATGGCCCAATGACTGAAGGCCTCTTTATTTCGTGCTCTGCTGTTCGTGTAAAACCCAATCGCAGAGCGGGTCTCAGGCGGCGCTCGCCTGCGTTTCTACTCTCAGCCAATCAGAAAACCCGACTCTTCGCATTGGGGTCAAGCCCCCGCTGCGGCCCGCGTGCTAACGGGGAGGAAGCTTCCAGCTGTGCCTGGGTGTCTCGGGCGCCGAGGGCAGCCTGCGCCCGTGCTAAGCCCGCCTCCCGCGCGCCCGAGGGCCCGGTGTCCCGGAAGACGCGCGGGGGTGAGGCGGCCCTCGCGTCCGCCCGCCCCGCCACAGATTGCCTCCGAAGTGGCCTGGCCGTGGAGCGCCGGCGAAAACCGAACTCCCGCCCGGCTCCCGGAGTCGGGAGCCTGCCGGGGTCTCGCCCTCAGGACCCCCAGGGAGCGGCCGGGCGCCGCCTATCACCCTGACCCACCGCACCTTGAGAGCGCTTTCACTGCGCCTCTTTTTTCTCCTCTACCAATCTGGAAAGGAAGTGAGTGTCATTTCAGACATTGAGAAACATTATTCAACACTGGTTACCCAGTGACTCAGCTCACTCCTTAACCGCAGGCTTCCACATCCTGCTGTCCCTTAAAATTGCCTTCACAAAGGGCAGCCAAGAGCCCAGCTTTGGAGAGATACCCAGCTCCAACTACCCACTGGCAGGCAATACGCAGGGCAGCTAGATGGCAGAGAGACCTTGGACCTTCGGACCTTCGGGGAGCGGTTTTCCCTTCGGTGATATCTACCTTGCTATGTTCGTGATATCTACCTTGCTACGTTATTTTGAAGATTAAGTGAGCTCTTACTTTACCGAGTAAAGTGCTTTGCTTAGCACACTGTCTGGAACTTAAATGAGAAGTACTGACAATATAACTTACAAAAATCCTAAACTATTGCCTGAGAAAAAGAGGGAGACAGGACAGCTAAGCAAAAGACGAGAATAGAAAACACCCACAGCGTGAAAAACTGTAAAATTAACTCAATAGTATTCTCTTTACTGTTTTTTGTTTTGTTTTGTTGTTTTGTTTTTTGATACGGAGTCTCGCTCTGTTGCCCAGGCTGGAGTGCAGTGGTGAGATCTGGGCTCATTGCAACCTCTGCCTCCCGGGTTCAAGCGATTCTCCTGCCTCAGCCTCTCTAGTAGCTGAGATTACAGGCATGCACCACCACGCCCGGCTAATTTTTGTATTTTCAGTAGAGATGGGGTTTCCCCATGTTGGCCAGGCTGGTCTCAAACTCTAACGTCAAGTGATTCTCCCGCCTTGGCCTTCCAAATTGCTGGGATTACAGATGTGAGCCACTGCGTCTAGTCTACCATTTTGTTTCTTTAAATAGCTGGAAACAACGTGGAAAGAAAAGAGAGCTTTTTTTTTTTTTTAAACTTCGTGACAGGGTGCGGTGGCTCACGCCTGTAATCCCAGAATTTTGGGAGGCCGAGGCGGGTGGATCGCTTGAGCACAGGCGTTCGAGACCAGCCTGGGCAACATAGTGAGACTCTGTACAAAAAACAAAAAGATTAGCCAGGCATGGCAGTACACATCTGTGGTTCCAGTTACCGGCAGGCTGTGCAGGAGGGTTACTTGAGCCCAGGAAGTCAAGGCTGCAGTGAGCTGTGATCGTGCCACTGCACTACAACCTGGGTGATAGAGCAAGTCTCTGTCTTTAAAAAAACAAAACAACAACAAGAAGAAACTTCAGACAGTTAACTGCTTTGTAAACAACTTCACATCTAGGCCGTGTCTTGTTCTTCCTTAAACCACTGTACAGGTGGCACTGGACTTAGATGAGGCCGACCTTAACATAGCTAGTGAGAGACACTAGTAGCCCTACTCTGGCAACACAGACATGGAAATCAGTTGCCTAAGGAAAGATCATATTGGCTAAGAGAGTCCCTTGAATGCTCCCTTTTAGTGTTACGAGTAGATGAACAATGCCGCAGGTTGGACAGGTCCTTCTGTGTCCTTGCAAAAGCTGCCACTCCACATACCCCTGGCCTCAGTAAGAACGGCTCACTTTTAGATTTAACATCATTACATCCTTGCTGATGAACTGAGATGGTCCCAACTGAGGTCCACTGACCAGAAACAACACCACAGAACCCAAAAGAGAACGCACCATGGGGAATGGGGCTATTCAAACTGAAGAGCCTGAGTTACTCTCATGGCTTTAGAGAAATGTTCTAAAACTTCTAAGTACATAAATATGTGCAGGGAGATTCCTCCCCACAGAGTTTTTATTCAGAGGGTCTGGAGTGAACCTCAGGAATTTGCTTTTTATGTGGATTTTTAAATGATTTTTAAAGTTTACACTGTAAAATTCACTCACTGGGGTATACAAGAAGTATTTATTGAATATGTACTGTGTGCCATTCATTTTTCTAAACAATAAAGATAGAATAGGGAACAACAGCAACCAAAAAAGGCCCTGCTGTCATGCAGCTTTATTCTAGTGTAGGTAACAAGAAGAAAAGAAATAACTCCAGGTCATGATAAGTGCTACAAAGTAAACCAGGAAAATGCAAAGGCAGAGAACGCTGGCAGTTTAAATAGGGTGCCAAAGAAGTTTTCTCTAAGATACTAACATTTGAGCTGAGCCTTGAGTTATGGGGGAAAAAAAAAAGCCAGCCATGTTAAGATCTTGGAGAACATTCCAATCTAAGAGAATGGCAAAAGTAAAGACCATGAGGTGAACAACAAAAAAATTAGTATGGCGTGCACATATTCATTCTTCTATTGAATAGATATTCATTGAATGCTTCCCAAATGCCAGGCACTGTCTTAGATGCTCTGTGATTCGTCAATTAACACTATAGACAAAAGGAAAAACAACACAAAAATCCATGCCTTGACTGAGCTTTCAGTCTAACACACTTGAGAAACAGTAAGAAGGCCAGAATTATTGGAACACAGGACAGAGTGATACAAGAAAGAGTGTAGTGATACAAGGATACAGTGATACAAGAAAACTTGGGGAAATAGGTCTGGGACAGACCACATAAGGCTTTGAAGGCTATGGTATTGGAATTATTATAGAAAGTGCAACTTAATAGGAGCATTGACTAAGTGTGGTAATTAAAAAAAAAGAAAGAAAAAAGTGCAACTTAAACTAGTTGGAGGTTTTAAGTAAGGTAGTAACACAGTTTTGTCTTTCAAAATAACTGGCTGCTCTAGGGTGCTTATTTTGTTTGGGGAGAGGGCAAGAGACAAGGAGTCTGTGCCAATATGCTCTGAATAAGAAACGATGGCCCATCTTGACTGAAATAGAAGTAGCTTAAATGGGGAGAAGTGTATGGACACCAGATATATTTTGGAGGTGAAGCCACAGAACTTGCAAATGAATAAGTTATGGAACAGAGTGTAAGTTGCTCCTGGTGACAAGGGAGTGATCGAGAATGACTTCTAAGGTTGAAAACTGAGTGGCCAATGAATGTTGATGCCTTAACTGAGATTAGGAACACTGGGAGATAAATGGTTAGAAAATCAAGAGTTGTATTGTAGCCATGTTGAATTGGAAATATCTTTTGGAAAATCCAACTAGACACCCCACGTAGGCAGCTGGAATCCAAAAGAGAGATCAGGGCTGGAAATACAATTATAGGAATACAGTTCATCAGATTATACATTATATCTAAATACATAGAATTAGGTGTGGTCATCTAATTAGGATTAGATGAGAGAGAGTGTGTATATAGAGAAGACAAGTGTATCCAGGACTGAGCTCATGGGAGCTGCTGAATTTAGAGGTGGATGATAGGAAGGCAGCCATCCAAAAGGCTGAGAAGGAAATAACACAGGAGGAGAACCTGGAGAGGATGGTGTCTGAGAAGCCAAGGGAAGACAGTGTTTCAAGAAGGATGTAGTGGCCAGCTGCAGCAAATATTGCTAAAAGCTGATGATAATGACAGTTAACCTGTGGATCTGGAAAGACAGAGGTGGAAATTGCTGGTAACTTTGACAATAGTAGCTTCAAGGGAGAGCTAGGAAGTTTACTGGGAGTCACCTGAAGAAAGCATAGGAGGTGAAGAGTCACATCTGTTGCCAACATATGGCAGATAAGATAGGCCAACGAAAACAACTAATGTGCTGCAGTGAGCTATGATCACACCACTGCACTGAAGCCCAGATGACAAAGCGAGACCCCGTCTCAAAAAGAAAAAAAAAAGTATGTCATGAAAAGCAAAGAAAGCCTGAAAAACTGTTCCAGATTAAAGGAGAATAAAAAGACAGAACTAGGCCAGGCATGGTGGCTCATGCCTGTAATCCCAGCACTTTGGGAGGCCAAGGCAGATGGATCACCTGAGGTCAGGAGTTCGAGACCAGCCTGGCCAAGATGTCTCTACTAAAAATACCAAAAAATTAGCCAGGTGTGGTGGTGTGCACCTGTAGTCCCAGCTACTTAGGAGGCCAAGGCAGGAGAATCACTTGAACCTGGGAAGCAGAGGTTGCAGTGAGCCAAGGTCGCGCCACTGCACTCCAGCCTCGGTGACAGAGTGAGACTCCCTCTCAAAAAAAAAAAAAAAAAAAATAGGGCCTTTGCAGATATAATTAATTAAGATGAGCTTATACTGGATAAAGTAGGCCCTAAAAACCTATAACTAGTGTTCTTTTAAGACGAGAAAACAAAGACATAGATCCACAGGGGAGGGAATAGGAAGGCTAAAAACAGCAACAGAGAGTGACGTGTCCACCAGCCAAGGAATGCTGAAGGTTGCTGGCAACCTCCAGAAGCTGGAAGGAGATAGGAAGGGTTCTTTCCTAGAGGCTTCAGAGGGAACAGGGCGGGCACCTTGATTTCAGACCTCTAGCCTCCAGAGCCAAGAGAGAATACATCTCTAAGGTTTTAAGCTACCTGTTTGTGATACTTTGTTATGACAACCATGGGAAACTAATTTAACATTATTAAGTAAGAAATTATGTGGTACAAGATTGTTTGGGGTTGTCGGGGAGAAGGAGAGAGTGAGGAATTATCTGAATGTGGATAGCTGGGATGATGAGTATTTATAAGATAGCAACAGTTTTGGGTGTTTTTGTTTTTAAGATTTGAATGAAAAACTAGCTGGGGCCAGGTGGCACAGTGACTCACACCTGTTAATCCCAGCACTTTGGGAGGCCGAAGTGGATCACTTGAGTGAGGAGTTTGAGAGCAGCCTGGGCAATATGGTGAAACCCTGTCTCTATTTAAAAAGAAAAAAAGAAAGAAAGAAAAGAAAAGAAAGAGAGAGAGAGAAAAAAGTAGCCTGGCGTGGTGGCGCATGCCTGTAGTACTAGATACTTGTGAGGCTGAGGTGGGAGGATCATCTGAGCCCAGAAGGTTTGAGATTGCAGTGAGCCATGATTGTGCCACTGCACTTTAGCCTGGATAACAGAGTGAGACCTCATTTCAAAAAAAAAAAAAGAAAAGAAAAAAAGAAGAAGAAGAAGGAGAAGGAGAAGAAAGGGAGAAAGAGAGAAAGAAGGAAGGAAGGAAAGAAAAAGAAAGGGAGAGAAAGAAAGAGAAAGAGAAAAAAGGAAAACCATACAGGGAGGAAATCATATAACAATGATAAATGTGGAAAAGCTGCTATTAAAATGTCAAGTCTCATTAGACACCAAAGAAGACATGCTGGAGAGACTGTCCTTCCTATGCACATAAGGAAGGTGGGAAAGCCTTCAGTCGCAAATCACATCTCACAGAGAATGAGAAAAATTCATCCAGGAAAGAAAGCCCGGAATGGAATCAATGTGGAAGTGTCTTAGCTAGAAGAAATACTTCATTAAAGATCAGAACATTCACACTGTAAATAATGAGAACTCTATGAATGTAAGAAATGTGGAACATCTTCAGCCAAAAGGAAAACTTCATTATTCATCAATAATCCATATAAAAAAGAAATCTTATGAATGTAGTAGGTATGAAAAAGCTTTTATTCGGAAGTCAAACTTTATACCAGAGAGGTCATACTGGAGATAAACCCTACGCAAGTAGGGAAGGTGAGAAAGCACTCAGTGGCAAATCAAATTCCACTGGGCATGAGAAAATCCAGATTTGAGGCCAGGCGCGGTGGCTCACGCCTGTAATCCCTGCACTTTGAGAGGCCAAAGTGGGTGGATCACTTGAGCACAGGAGTTCAAGACCAGCCTGGGCAACATGGCGAAACCCCGTCTCTACTAAAAATAAAATATATAAAAACTGAGGTCTCTACTAAAAATAAAATATAAAAACGATCACCTGAGCCTGGGGAGGCGGAGACTGCAGTGAGCCGTAATCACGCCACTGCACTCCAGCCTGGGTGACAGAGTGACACCCTGTCAAAAAATAAAAAGAGAAGAAAAGAAAATTCAGATCTGAGGGGTGCCCTGTAAAGATAATGAAAGTGCAACGATCTTCGGGCAGAAGCTATTCATCATTAAATATTACAATATTCATGACGAGGGCGACACCCTATACTAAGGGTGCAGAAGTTTTCTCTGTAATCATACTGCTTATTGTACATGTAAGAACCCGTAAGTATGAATGTAAAATGTGTGGTAAAGTCTTCTGTCCATTCTTAGCCAATGCTCTACATAAGAGAACCAATACCAACGAAAAAAACTAATGAAATATCTCAAACAGAAGTCATGCCATATTTGACACCAAAGAATTCATACTCATTAAAACCTTATGAATACCTTGGATTTAGGAAAGGCTTTAGCAGGAATTCATATTTCATAGCACATCAGATAATTAAATTTTAGAGTAAAATTCAATTAATATGAGAAAGCCTTAAGCAGAAACCCAAATTTTATGATATTAGAGATTTTTAATAAGGAGATATTTCATCAGTATAATAGAAATTGGGTCCAAAGGCCAGGCGTGGTGGATCACGTCTATAATCCCAACAATTTGGGAGGCAAAGGCAGGCATATCACTTCAGGTCAAGAGTTCAAGATCAGCCTGGCCAACATGGGGAAACCCCATCTCTACTTAAAATACAAATATTAGCCAGGCCTGGTGGCACACACCTGTAATACCAGCTACTCAGGAGGCTGAGGCACAAGAATCACTTAAGCCTGGGAGGTGGGGTTGCAGTGAACAGAGATCGTACCACTACACTCCAGTCTGGGCAACACAGCGAGACCCTGACTCAAAAGAGA
Organism: Homo sapiens; assembly: GCF_000001405.40. NCBI lineage: Eukaryota > Metazoa > Chordata > Mammalia > Primates > Hominidae > Homo > Homo sapiens. Next base: position 130,010,185 of record NC_000011.10, read on the forward strand.
AGAACAGGAAGAGAAAGGGGAAGAGGGGGAGGGGGAGGGGGAGAGGGAGAGGGAAAGGGAGAGGAAGAAAGAGAAGGAGAAGGAAAAGGAAGAACTGGGTCCAAAAAGCCATCACAACAAATATAATTAGTGCTAACTTTGTTTTGTTTTGTTTTTTTGAGACGGAGTCTCGCTCGGTTGCCCAGGCTGGAGTGCATTGGCATGATCTCGGCTCACTGCAAGCTCCGCCTCCTGGGTTCACGCCATTCTCCTGCCTCAGCCTCCCAAGTAGCTGGGACTACAGGCGCCCACCACCACGCCTGGCTAACTTTTTTGTATGTTTAGTAGAGATGGGGTTTCACCGTGTTAGCCAGGATGGTCTCGATCTCCTGACCTCGTGATCTGCCTGCCTCGGCCTCCCAAAGTGCGGGGATTACTGGTGTGAGCCACCACGCCCAGCCAATTACTGCTAAACTTTTAAAAGCATTCCAATTGAATGTCAGGAACAAGTGATGGATGCTGTTACCCTACTTCTAATTAACACGGCCCTGAGAGGTTAACCAATGCAAATAAGACAGAGAAAAAGAACACAAGGATTAGGAAAGAAGAAACAAACTTGTAGGTTTCTGAGGATATGATCTGCTAACATATATTATAAAGCTATGATCATTAAAAAAAAAAATTGGTTGGGCGCAGTGGCTCACGCCTGTAATCCCAACACTTGTAATCCCAACACTGCCGAGGAAGGCAGATCATCTGAAGTCAGGAGTTCGAGACCAGCCTGACCAACATGGAGAAACCCGGTCTCTACTAAAAATACAAAGATTACCTGGGCGTGATGGCAGGCGCCTGTAATCCCAGCTACTCGGGAGGCTGAGGCAGGAGAATCGCTTGAACCCAGGAGGCAGAGGTTGCAGTGAGACGAGATCGTGCCATTGCACTCCAGCCTGGGGGACAAGAGCAAGATTTTGTCTCAAAAAAAAAAAATAATTTAAAGCCAAAGTGGAACTCCTGGGAGATGAACCTGCATCAAAGCTGGCTTTCATCAAGGGATTCTGCAGAACACTAACACCTTGAGTTTCTATTTTAAGGATATACAGGGTATAGGTAGGAGACAGTGATAGAGTCTTGGGCCCACTCAAAATATAAAGCCTAAGAGAAGATAATTTCATCAAGTTGAATGATATAATAAGTGTAAGGGTGAATAAAAAGTAAACTGGCCTTAAAGAGAGATCCATCAGAGAAACTTGCTTCTCTCAACCAAGGGCAAAATAAAAACATTTTCAGACAAATGAGAGTTAAAAGAATTGACTACCAAAATATTTTACACTAGAATTAGTACTAAATGAGGCAAAACAAATACAATCACAGGCGGAAGATTTAAAATGCAAGGAGGAATTGTGATTTCATTTTATTATAGAGTAAGTTCTGAGGATGGGTAGTGGTGATGACTGCACAATAATGTAAATAACTAATACCACTGAGTGAGACCTTTAAAATGGTTAAAATACTAAATTTAATGTTGTGTATGTTTTACCAAAATTAACACAATAATTTTTTTTTTTTTTTTTTTTTTTTGCGAGATGGAGTCTCACTGTCTCTCCTAGCCTGGAGTGCAGGGGCGAGATCTCAGCTCACTGCAACCTCTGCCTCCCGGGCTCAAGTGATCCTCCTGCCTCAGCCTCCCAAGTAGCTGGGATTACAGGCACATGCCACCAGGCCAGGCTAATTTTTGTATTTTTTGTAGAGATGGGGTTTCACCATGTTGGCCAGGCTGGTCTCAAACTCCTGACCTCAGGTGGATCTCCCTGCTTCAGCCTCCCAAAGTGCTGGGATTACAGGCATGACCCTACCACGCCCGGCCTAAATTCTTTTTTTTTGAGACAGAGTCTTGTTCTGTTGCCCATGCTGGGGTGCAGTGACATGATCTCGGCTTACTGCAACCTCCGCCTCCTGGGTTCAAGCGATTCTCCTGCCTCAGCCTCCTTAGTAGCTGGGATTACATTACAGGTGCGTGTCACCACATCCGGCTAATTTTTGCATTTTTAGTAGAGATGGGGTTTCATCATGTTGGTCAAGCTGGTCTTGAACTCCTGAGCTCGTGATCTGCCTGCCTCAGCCTCCCAAAGTGCTGGGATTACAGGTGTGAGCCACCGTGCCCAGCCCCAGCCTAAATTCTTTTAAAGATTATTATTATTTTAGGGTGGGTGCAGTGGCTCACGCCAGTAATCCCAACACTTTAGGAGGCGGAGGTGGGAGGATCACTTGAGGCCAGGAGTTTAAGACCAGCCTGGCCAACATGGCGAAACCCCATCTCTGCTACAAATACAAAAAAAATTAGCCAGGTGTGGTGGTGCACACCTGTAGTCCCAGCTGCTTGGGAGGTTGAGGCATGAGAATCACTTCAACCCAGGAGGTGGAGGTTGCAGTGAGCCGAAATCACGCCACTGCACTCCAGCCTGGGTGACAGAATGAGACTCTGTCTTAAAAAAAATTAAAATTAAAAAGGAATTGTAAGGCAGAACATTAGAAAATATGTAGGTAATTCTAAACCAATACTGAATATATAAAACAATAATGTCTACCTGCAGCATTAATGACACGATAAAACTAAGATACTAGACAGAATAGCACACACTTACAGAGGGGGCTGATCAGGGGTAAAGTATTAAAAGTCTTGAAGTATTTGAGAGAAGGGTAAATACTTCATTTTCTATTTTATTAATAATACATGTTTAATTGGGAGACTGGCAAGCAAATAAACAGGCACAACTTCTAATACAGTACAGTAAAAATAGAATTAAAGAGAAAAATTTAAAATGTCAATCCAAAAAAGGCAAGACACGGAAGAGAAAAAAATGTGGAGCAAAAGAACAGCATGTAATTGTAGAAATATCCAGGTGTGGTGGCTCACACTTGTAGTCCCAGCTCCTCCGGAGTCTGAGGCAGAAAGATCACTTGAACCCAGGAGTTCCAGGCCACAGTATCCTGTGATCATACCTGTAAATAGCCACTGTACTCCAGCCTGAGCAACACAGTGAGATCCTGTCTCTAGAACAATTTTTAATATTTAAAAAATTAAACTAAAAGATATATTAGAGGCCAGGCATGGTGGCTCATGCCTGTAATCCTAACACTTTGGGAGGCCAAGGCGGGCAGGTCATTTGAGGTCAGGAGTCCAAGACCAGCCTGGGCAACATGGTGAAACCTCGTCTCTACAAAAAATGCAACAATTAACTGTGCGTGGTGGCACATGCCTGTAGTCCCAGCTACTTAGGAGGCTGAGGTGGGAGAATCACCTGAGCCCAGGAGGTGGAGGATGCAATGAGCCGAAATCGCGCTACTGCACTCTGGTCTGGGTGACAGAAGTGAAACCGGTCTAAAAATAATAATAGAGGCCAGGTGCAGTGGCTCATGCCTGTAATCCCAGCACTTTGGGAGGCCGAGGCAGGTGGATCTCTTGAGGTCAGGAGTTCGAGACCAGCCTGGCCAACATAGTGAAACCCCATCTCTACTAAAATACAAAATAGCCAGGCATGGTGGCATGCACCTGTAATCCCAGCTACTCGGGAGGCTGAGGCAGGAGAATCACTTAAACCCAGGTGGCGGAGGTTGCAGTGAGCCAAAATGGTGCCACTGCACTCCAGCTTGGGTGACAGAGTCTGTCTCAAAAATAATAATAATAATAATAATAATAATAAATCCAGATCATAATACATGTAAAGCAACTAAACAATACAACAAAAAGAAAAAGATAGTCACAAATAATGTATATACAAACACACACACACCTACAAGCTATTTTCAAAAAGACACCTAAAAAATAAAGACACAGGGCACATGTTTTCAGAACCTCCTGGGCAGGTGTCATGGGTAAAAAAAACTTTAAAAAATAAAAATAAAGGAAAAAAAAAAAGACACAGCAAGGGCTGAAAGTCAAAATATAGAAAAAGACACCAGGCAAACACTAACTGAAGGAAAGCTAGAATTACTGTCAGACAAAATAGATCTTAAGACACAAAGCACTGCCAGAGATAAATCGGGCCACTACAGAAAGATAAAAAAGTTTTTAATTCATGAGAAAACATATACACTGTTTTGTACTATTTTTATATAAATTCAGAAACATTTTGGTAAAGAACTTCTGCTTTCAGCCAAGATGGAAAAATGGGACTGTATTTATTCTCTCACCTAAAACAACTAAGAAAAAAAAATCAGACAAAGTATTTAAAATTACAGTGTTTAAGAAAGTGAACATAAGGGAACAAAGGATAGAAACCAAAGAGAGGAGGCCTGCGCCACAGCTAACTAGAGCTCCAGCTAACTAGAGCTGCAGTACGTACTCTTTGCTCTCTGCAGTAAGCTCTAGAAACTCTCGTAAGCTTCCTGCAGAAAATGACACACTGCAGTGCAGGGTGAAAAACCCTGGAGGAGCTTGGCAGTTTCTCTGAATTGAGGAGACATGACTGGGCTTCCAGGGAGACTCAAGTTTGCAGGGCACAGTGTCAGAAGAAAGCTACACAGAGAGAAAGAGAGCTCTGGAGATGTACAGAAGGCCCCCTTGAATATTCAGCAGAGTAGTGATCAAACTACATATAGGGGAACAAAAGTAAGAACCACACCAGGCTTCTCACTGGAAAAAAACAAATAAACAGACCCCTCACCAAAGGAGATATATGCGTGGTGAATAATCACATGAAAAGATGCTGTACATCATCAGTCATTAGGGAAATACAAATTAAAACCACATGCAGGCTGAGCACGGTGGCTCACAGCTGTAATCCCAGCACTTTGGGAGGCCAAAGTGGGTGGATCACGAGGTCAGGAGTTCAAGACCAGCCTGGCCAACATGGCAAAACCTGTCTCTACTAAAAATACAAAATTAGCCAGGCATGGTGGCGGACACCTATAATCCCAGCTACTCAGAAGGCTGAGGCAAGATAATAGCTTGAACCCATGAGGCGGAGGTTGCAGTGAGTTGAGATTGTGCCACTGCACTCCAGCCTGGGCAACAGACTGAGACTTGTCTCACGAAAAAAAAAAAAAAAAACCCACATGCAATATCACTAATAGGTGTGTACCTATTATTAATAGAATGTCCAAAAATAAAAAGACTGACCACATCAAGAAATAACAAAATGTGGAGCAACTGGAACTGTCATAACTGTTAGTGGGAATATAAATGGTATGAGCAATTTGGGAAAAGCTTGGCAGTTTCCTAAAACATTAAACATATACCTATCATATGCCTTGGTCCTTCTACTCCTAGGTATTTACCAAAGAGAAAATGAAAGCATATGTCCATATAAAAATTTGTATATGAGGCTCATGCTTGCTATCCCAATTTTGGAGGCTGAGGCAGGTGGATTCCTTGAGCCCAGGGGTTCAAGACCAGCCTAGGGAACATGGTAAAACCTCATCTCTACAAAGAAATACAAAATTAGCTGGGCATAGCTGTATGCATATGTAGTCCCAGCTACTCAGGAGGCTGAGTTGGGAGGATTGCTTGAGCCCAGGAGGTTGAGGCTGCAATGAGTCATGATTGCACCACTGCACTCCAGCCTAGATGACAGAATAAGACCCTATCTTACAAAAAAAAAAAGCCTTGTATATGAATGTTTATATTTGGTAATAGCCAAAAACTAGATTGTTCATTAACATTTGAACGGGTAAGTATATAGTGATGATATGGTTTGGTTCTATCCCCACCTGAATCTCATCTTGAATTACCACGTGTTGTGGGAGGGACCTGGTGGGAGGTAACTGGATCATGGAGGCAGGTCTTTCCCATGGTGTTCTTGCAATGGTGAGTGGGTCTCACAAGATCTGATGGTATTATAAGGGGGAGTTTCCCTGCACAAGCTCTCTCTCTCTCTCTCCGTCTCTGCACGCTGCCATCCATGTAAGACATGACTTGCTCCTCCTTGCCTTCTGCCATGATTGTGAGGCTTCCCCAGCCACATGGAACTGTTAAGTCCAATTAAACCTCTTTCTTTTGTAAATTGCCCAGTCTCAGGTATGTCTTTATCAGCAGCATGAAAATGGACCAATAGAAGTGGTATATCCATACAATCTAGTACTATTCAGCAATAAAAAGAACTGAACTAGTTATATGTGCAACAACATGATCTCAAAATAATTATCCTAAGTAAAATAAACCAGACTCCCCAAAAGAGTATTTACTGCATGATTCCATTTACATTAAATCCTAGAAAATGCAGACTAATCTGCAGTGATAGGAAGCAGATCAGGGATTGCCTGGGGAGTGAAGAGAGGTTGGCAGGGGAGGGATTGCAAAAGTTCCAAAGGCAACATTTTGAAATTATATGTCAATTATAACTCAATAGTGCTATTAAAATTGCTTTGGAATTTCTGAAAATTATAATAATCAAAGAACATTTTTAAGTTGGCTAAGAATTTGAAAAGGAGAATTTACTTCTCCCTTTGTTTAAAATATGATTAAGATTTATTATGGTCTCTTGGGTTTTTTTAGGTGAATATATAATTTAAAAAAGACTAAAGACAAATACAACAATAAAGCAATAAACATCAAGGCCAGGCATGGTGGCTCACGCCTGTAATCCCAGCACTTTGGGAGGCCAAGGTGGGCAGATCACAAGGTCAGGAGATTGAGAGCATCCTGGCTAACACGGCAAAACCCCACCTCTACTAAAAATACAAAAAATCAGCCGGGCACAGTGGCAGGCACCTGTAGTCCCAGCTACATGGGAGGCTGAGGCAGGAGAATGGCGTGAACCCAGGAGGCAGAGCTTGCAGTGAGCCGAGGTCCCACCACTGCACTCCAACCTTGGTGACAGAGCGAGACTCCATCTCAAAAAAAAATAAAATAAATAAATATACATCTTGTAAGACAATCTAAGATGCTACCTGTACCATCTCTTCTAGGGACAATGGTGACCTTCTTTACCCAAGTTTTGAAGCCGAGAAACTGTAATTGTAAAAACAAACAAACAAAAACTATAATGAAGACAATAGGCATATTTACATACAGCTAAACAAAAACTTTAGCTATACATACCATAAATAAATTCAATAAACAGTACATTAAAATTTTTGCGATAGAACAAAGAGTAATTTCGTTTTGTTTATTTATTTTTTAATTGAGACAAGGTCTCATTCTGCTGTTCAGGCTGGGATGCAGTAGCACAGTCACAGTTCACTGTAGCCTTGACCCCCCAGGCTCAAGCAATCCTCCCATCTCAGCCTCCCAAGTAACTGAGACTACAGGTGCACGCTGCCATGCTTGGCTAATTTTATTATCTTTTATTTTGTAGAGTTTTGCCATATTGCCCAGGCTGTTCTCAAACTCCTGGGCTCAAGTGATCCACCTGTCGTGTCCTCCCAATTGCTGAGATTACAGGCATGAGCCACTGAGCCAGGCCTATTTTTTGTAGAGAGAGGATTTTGCTATGTTGCCCAGGCTGGTCTTGAACTCCTGGGCTCAAGTAATACACCAGTCTTGGCCTCCCAAAATACTGAGATTACAAGCATGAGCCACTGAGCAAGACCAGAGAACAAAGAGGAATTTCTTACAAATTTATAAGAAAAGGCAAACAACCCAATGATAAAATAGACACAGAATATCAAGAAAATTTTAGGGAAAACAAATCCAAATGCCAGAAGCTGTATTAAAAATGCTCAAACTACATATCAGGAATTATGGAAATTAAAGTAACTATTATTATAAATATCACTTTATGTTCATCAGACAGAAAAAGGGTAAAAAGAACAGTAGCACCTATGATTTTGTATTTTCATACAATATTAGTGGTGTTATGAATTGTTCCAGCTTTTTAGGAAGGGAGGTAGTAACATCAATTAAAATTAAATATGTATAAAGGTATACAGTCCACCCTCTGTGTCTGTAGGTTCCCCATCCATGGATTCAACCAAGCAAAGATTTGAAGTATTTGGAAAAAAGCAATTAAAAATAATAATACTACAATTAAAAATAATACAAATAAGAATCAAGTATATAGTGGTGATATGGTTTGGTTGTGTCCCCACCCAAGGCCGGGTGCAGTGGCTCACACCTGTAATCTCAGTCCTTTGGGAGGCCGGGGCTGGCAGATCACCTGAGGTCAGGAGTTTGAGACCAGCCTGGCCAACATGGTGAAACCCCATCTCTACTAAAAATACAAAAATTAGCTGGGCGTAATGGTGCACGCCTGTAATCCCAACTACTCGGGAGGTTGAGGCAAGAGAATTGCTTGAACCCAGGAGGCAGAGGTTGCAATGAGCGGAGATAGTTCCACTGCACTTCAGTCTGGGTGACAGAGCAAGACTCTGTCTCAAAAAAAAAAAAAAAAAGAATCAATACAGTATAACAACCATTTACATAGCATTTACATTGTATTGTTGTTGAGGCTGATGGTCTGAGGCTACTATCCACAGGTGGAATTTCTTCTTCCCGGAAATCTCAGTTCTTCCCTTCCCTTCTGAGGCCCACCCAGATTATCTAAGATATACTCCTTTACTAAAAGTCTTTGATTATAGATTTTCATCACAACAACACCTAGATTAGTCGTCGATGGAATAACCAGTTGACACAAAAAATTGACCATCACTTTTATGTGGTATTGTAATATGTAATCTAGAAAGGATTTAAAGGATATGGCAGGATGTGTGTAGGTTATACGCAAATACTATGCCATTTTATATAAGGGACTTGTGCATCTGTGGATTTTGGTACCCACAGGTGTCCTGGAACCCATCCTCAAGGATACCAAGGGATGACTATGACTATATACATATTATAAGAGATGTTTGTATAATTGTTTAACTCAAAAGTTCTCCATTCTGGGATTCTATCTTGAGGAAAGAAAATAACCAATATAAGGCATTTAATTCAGCGTTTTCCATAATGGCATGAAACTGGAAACAGTCAAAAATTAATGGCATATCTACACCAGAAAATAGTATGCAGCAATTAAAGTGGATGAACAGTAGCTATGTCAGTGGATTTAGAATAATTTCCAACATATATTGCTGAATGAAAAAGGCAAAATGAGAAAAAGTCTGTTACATCAGTCAGGGCTCAATTAAGAAAACAGAAACAGCAGGAGACATCATAAGGGATTTGTTGAAGGAAATTCAATTACACAATTGATCGATTAATCATCGGGTCTAGCTAGGCAAGTCTGAATCCATAGAGCAGGCCACAAGGAAGGGCAGGTGGCACTCTCTGGCATGGGCTGAGGCTGCTACCCGCAGGTGGAATTTCTTCTTCCCAGAAACCTCAGTTCTACTCTTTTTTTTTTTTTTTTTTTTTTTTGAGACGGAATCTCTCGCTCTGTCGCCCAGGCTGGAGTGCAGTGGCGCGATCTCGGCTCACTGCAAGCTCCGCCTCCCAGGTTCACAGCATTCTCCTGCCTCAGCTGGGCTACAGGCAACCGCCACCACGCCTGGCTAATTTTTGTATTTTTAGTAGAGACGGGGTTTCAACGTGTTAGCCAGTATGGTCTTGATCTCCTGACCTGGTGATCCGCCCACCTCGGCCTCCCAAAGTGCCGGGATTACAGGCGTGAGCCACCACGCCCGGCAAACTCAGTTCAACTCTTAACGCCTTTCAACTGATTGGATGAGGCCCAACCAGATTATCTAAGATATTCTCCTTTACTAAAAGTCATTGATTATGGACTTTAATCACAGCAACAGCTAGATTAGTAACTGAGGGAATAATCAAGTTGACACATGAAGTTGACCATCACATGTGTGATATTTCATTTTGTAAAACAAATAATGAAAAAAAAATCTCTGTGTGTGTGTGTGTGTGTGTGTATGCAAATATATAAACATCTGTGAATATACAGTTACCTGGGTATGTGGATTAGGGTGAAGTAGGCAGAGGGGCAGGAGAAGAGGAGCGTGCAAAGCAAAACGAGAAGAAAAAGACCACAATATGAAAAACATAAAATTCAAGATATATAACATGATTGCATTTATGGATTTATATAAAATATTAAATTCATGTGCATATACATATACAGACAATTTTAAAACTAAAATACATACTTTTTAAAAAATGCATACATTTTAGCAAGCAAGATGCAAAAAACTTATTTGATTAAAGAGTGCTTATTCCTTATTAATTTTACAAAATATCCTAGTCAAAGAGAAGTAGAAATGTTCTCAAATACCTATTTTCAAAGATAAACAATATACGTATTAGTTTCCTAGGAACAAACTACCATAAACTGGAAGATTGAAACAACAGACATTCATTCTCTCCCAGCTCTGAAATCTAGAAGGCTGAAATAAGCTATCGGCAAGGCTGTATTCCCTCAGAAGTCTCTGGGAAGGAATTCTTTCTTGCCTCTTCCTAAATTCCTGTGTTCGCCAGCAATCCTTGGAATTCCTTGACTTGCAGTTTCATCACTTCACTTTCTGCTTCTGCCTTCTTCACCTGCCCGTCTTGCCTGAACTGTATTCATTTCCAGATCTCCCTCTCCCTACAAGGACAACAATCATTGTATATAGGGTCCACCCTTATCAAGTATAAACTCATCTTAACTTATTACATCTACAAAGGCCCTATTCCTGAAGAAGGTTGCGTTCACAGGTATGAGGAGGGGGAGGGGGATTAGACCTTGAATATCTTTTTAGGGGGATAAAATTCAACCCTCTACAATATCCTACTTATGATAATCAACTGAAGCATTCCTATAAAAAAATAGATGATAAAAAGAAAAATAGAGCCAAGCATGGTGGCTCACATCTGTAATCTCAGCACTGTGGTAGGCTGAGGCGGGAGGATCACTTGAGTACAGGAGTTCGAGACCAACCTGGGCAACATAGCGAGGGTAACAAACCTCGTCTCTATTTGTTGTTGTTGTTTTTTTTGAAGGAGGTGACAGCTAGGCGCGGTGGCTCACGCCTGTAATCCCAGCACTTTGGGAGGCCGAGGAGGGCAGATCACGAGGTCAGGAGATTGAGACCATCCTGGCTAACACGGGGAAACCCCGTCTCTACTAAAAATACAAACAAATTAGCCGGGCGCAGTGGTGGGCACCTGTAGTCCCAGCTACTCAGGAAGCTGAGGCAGGAGAATGGCATGAACCCGGGAGGCGGAGCTTGCAGTGAGCAGAGATGGTGCCAGTGCACTCCAGCCTGGGCCACAGAGCGAGACTCTGTCTCAAAAAAAAAAAAAAAAAAAAAAGAGGTGACAACGATGCCCCATATATTATTTAACACTGCCTTGAGGCTGAACACAATGGCTCATGCCTGTAATCCCAACACTTTGGGAGGCTAAGGTAGGAAGATTGATTGAGACCCAAGCATTCAAGACCAGCCTGGGCAATGTAGCTGAGAGGTGACAGCGTGCTGGCAGTCCTCAGAGCCCTCGCTCACTCTCGGGGCCTCCTCTGCCTGGGCTCCCACTTTGGCGGCACTTGAGGAGCCCTTCAGCCCGCCGCTGCACTCTGGGAGCCCCTTTCTGGGCTGGCCAAGGCCGGAGCCCGCTCCCTCAGCTTGCGGGGAGGTGTGGAGGGAGAGGCGCAGGCGGGAACCCAGGCTGCGTGCGGCGCTTGCGGGCCAGCGCGAGTTCCGGGTGGGCGTGGGCTGGGCGGACCCCGCGCTCGGAGCAGCCGGCCGGCCCTACCAGCCCTGGGCAGTGAGGGGCTTAGCGCCCGGGCCGGCAGCTGCTGTGCTCAATTTCTCGCCGGGCCTTAGCTGCCTTCCCGCGGGGCAGGGCTGGGGACCTGCAGCCCGCCATGCCTGAGACTCCCCCCACTCCGTGGGCTCCCGTGCGGCCCGAGCTTCCCCGACGAGAGCCGCCCCCTGCTCCACGCGCCCAGTCCCATCGATCACCGAAGGGCTGAGGAGTGAGGGCGCAGGGTGCACAGCCCCGGTGCGGGATCCACTGGGTGAAGCCAGCTGGGCTCCTGAGTCTGGTGGGGACGTGGAGAACCTTTATGTGTAGCTAAGGGATTGTAAATACACCAGTCGGCACTCTGTATCTAGCTCAAGGTTTGTAAACACACAAGTCAACACCCTGTGTCTAGCTCAGGGTTTGTGAGTGCACCAATCGACACTCTGTATCTAGCTACTCTGGTGGGGACTTGGAGAACCTTTGCGTCGACACTCTGTATCTAGCTAATCTGGTGGGGACGTGGAGAACCTTTGTGTCTAGCTCAGGGATTGTAAACGCACCAATCAGCACCCTGTCAAAACAGACCACTGGGCTCTACCAATCAGCAGGACGTGGGTGGGGCCAGATAAGAGAATAAAAGCAGGCTGCCCGAGCCAGCGGTGGCAACCCGCTCGGGTCGCCTTCCACACCGTGGGAGCTTTGTTCTTTCTCTCTTTGCAATAAATTTTGCTGCTGCTCACTCTTTGGGTCCAGACTGCCTGAAGAGCTGTAACACTCACCGTGAAAGTCTGCAGTTTTTCTCCTGAAGCCAGCGAGACCACGAACCAACCGGGAGGAACGAACAACTCCAGACACACCGCCTTAAGAGCTGTAACACTCACCGCGAAAGTCTGCAGCTTCGCTCCTGAGCCAGCAAAACTACGAACCCACCAGAAGGAAGAAACCGCGAACACATCCGAACATCAGAAGGAACAAACTCCGGACACACCGCCTTTAAGAACTGTAATGCTCACCGCGAGGGTCAGCGGCTTGATTCTTGAAGTCAGTGAGACCAAGAACCCACCAATTCCAGACACATAGCTATACCCCACTCTCCACAAAACACTGAAAAATTAGCCAGGGATGGTAACACACACTTGTAGTAGTAGCCACTCTGGAGGCTGAGGCTGGGATTGCTTGAGCCCATGAGTGTGAGACTGCAGTGAGGTGTGGTTATACTACTGCATTCAGCCTGGGCAACAGAGTGAAACCCTGTCTCTGCAAACCAACAGCACTGCCTTGGAAATTCAAACCAATGCAATAAAATATAGAACAAAAATAAGAGATAATTATTAGAAAAGAGAAAACAAAATTATCGTTACTTGCAGAGTATACAGTTAAGTCTACAAGAGTTTGGTGACTAGACACAAAATACAAATTAATAGTTTTCCATAAAGAGTAACAAAAATCACAGGAAATGCCAAAGAAAAATACAAGTTTATGGTGAACCTACTATGCACTTAACTTGATCCTTCAAAAAATGAGATGTGTGAGATGACTCAATTGTTAGAAATGATTTCTGGAATGCCTGAGGTCAAGGCTTCTGCCCCAGACACGCTTGACTGGCTCCACCACTTTGCCTATGGTCTGTTCACTTGCCAAGCCTAGTTTTGATTATCACTACTCCTCACTGACAGCAGGAAACACAACTGAGCAATCTGCGATTGTCTTTCCTCTGATCACACCAGTTGGTCCCAAGGGAGTTCATGGGTCACAGCCCAGCAGCCCCTTTGTGTGCTTTCACCTGTGTTGGATTGCTACCTGTTTGTTGGAGAAGGTTGCTTTCCAGCCTGTTTTAAACCAACAGTGGCCTTTTGCCATCATCTTCCCCCATGTTTATAATTTGGCTTGATGGCTAGCTGAACAATAATAGGGAAAATGACAAAAGAACATAATAGGGATGGAAGAGAAAAACAGTTGTATACTTTGGGCCAGTGGTTTGCTTGCTTTCCTTACAAACAGGAACAGAGAAGTAGTACTGGGAAGGAAAATGGAAAGAGAAAAACAAAAACAAACACAAAACCTTTAGTAGAGTAGGCTAAGAAGATATGAATGATTCGTGTTTTAAATGACAGCTCCCCGAAAACATTATAGAAAATACTTTCTTTTTTTTTTTTTTGAGATGAAGTCTTGCTCTGTTGCCCAAGCTGGAGTGCAGTGGCGTGATCTTGGCTCACTGCAAGCTCCGCCTCCCGGGTTCATGCCATTCTCCTGCCTTAGCCTCCAGAGTAGCTGGGACTACAGGCGACTGCCACCATGCTCGGCTAATTTTTTTTTTTTTTTTGTATTTTTAGTAGAGACGGGGTTTCACTGTGTTAGCCAGGATGGTCTCGATCTCCTGACCTTGTGACCCGCCCGCCTCGGCCTCCCAAAGTGCTGGGATTATAGGCTTGAGCCACAGCGCCCGGCCAGATAGAAAATACTTTCTAAGAATTTTCACTGATGAAACATTCAGACATCTTTTTTGTTGTTTACTTAAAGCTTAATTTTAAAAACGCAATACAGGGCAAAATATTTCTATCTGGAGTAAAACTCTTCTTTCTGTATAGTGTTCTACAACACACAGAGCCTTCCATATACATGGTCCCATTTGATCCAAGTGAGATTGCAAATATCGTGGCTGACCAAATGGTAAACTAGGGAGAATCTTATGATGAATGGGAGAAAGGAAATGGAAAATTTTTTGGAAAACAAAACCCTAAGCCAAATATAGCAAAGATTAAGATCTACAGGAACATTGTTCTGAATATTTATGGGTAATCCATGAATAATCCTCAGAAATAGATATTGCTCATGCAAATCAGATGAAAAGAATTTGGATGGATTTTTCCAGCACATATGGCAATAAAGCCTGTGAGAAGACTAAAAAGACAGTGACATTCTTTGTTGTTGTTGAGATGGAGTCTTGCTCTGTCACCCAGGCTAGAGTGTGGTGGTGCAATCTCAGCTCACTGCAACCTCTGCCTCCTGGGTTCAAGCAATTCTCCTGCCTCAGTCTCCTGAGTAGCTGGGACTACAGGTGCCCACCACCACGTCCGGCTAATTTTTGTATTTTTAGTAGAGACGGGGTTTCACCGTGTTGCCCAGGCTGGTCTCAAACTCCTGACCTCAAGTGATCCGCCTGCCTCCGCCCCCCCCAAAGTGCTGGGATTACAGGTGTGAGCCACAGTGCCCAGCCGACAGTGACATACTTGAGGGACATGGATGCAAAGTTTTAAACACTGAGAGGAAACTAAGTGCTATTGGTTAGAAAAATAATCCTTCTCTGTTAGTAAAACCACACTTCATTAAAAGAGACAGCAAGAAATGAGGAGAAACTCCACTGTACCCTGATACATACTATAATACTTCATGGTTTTGTTTGTTTGTTAGTTTTGAGACGGAGTCTCACTCTGTCACCCAGGCTGGAGTGCAGTGGCATGATCTCAGCTCACTGCAACCTCTGCCTCCCAGGTTCAAGTGATTCTCCTGCCTCAGCCTCCTGAGTAGCTGGGACTATAGGCACCCACCACCACGCCCAGCTAATTTTTGTATTTTTAGTAGAGATGGGGTTTCACCATGTTGCCCAGGCTGGTCTCAAACTCCTCACCTCAGGTGATTTGCCTGCCTTTGCCTCCCAAAGTGCTGGGATTACAGGTGTGAACCACTGAGCCCGGCTGATAGTTCATGTTTAGATTTTAAGTTGCTTGAGCTTGTTGTTCCCTCTCAGCAAACAGCAAGAGACAGACTGGTCCTGCATGGATTTAATCTTAGGACCTTTTCTCCTCCTTAGCAGTGTTTTTTATTTACTCTACTCATGTGGTCATGGAATGTAAATGTTCTCTTAACTGCTCTTTCTTATCATATTTAAAAAAACCAACAGAGAGCTTGAGAACTGAGTGTCTTCCCTTTCAAGTCTTCTCTTCACATTTCAATATGGCACCCAATTGCTTTTCACTGTAGTCAAGACACAATCAAATTTTTTTAAGTTTACATATTTTATTTCCTCACCAAGAAGAAGCATTAATCACTGATACCTAAAAATGCAATCATTGCTGGTGACTAGGTTTCTAGAAGAAATTTTTTTTTTTTTGAGGTGTAGTCTTGCTCTGCCATCCAAGCTAGAGTGCAGTTGCATGATCTTGGCTCACTGCAACCTCTGTCTCCTGGGTTCAAGCAATTCTCCTGCCTCAGCCTCCTGAGTAGCTGGGATTACAGGCACGCGCCACCACACCTGGCTAATTTTTGTGTTTTTAGTAGAGACGGGGTTTCACCATGTTGGTCAGGCTGGTCTCGAACTCCTGACCTTGTGATCCACCCACCTCAGCCTCCCAAAGTACTGGGATTACAGGCGTGAGCCACCACGCCCGGTCTAGAAGAAATATTTTTAAATTTTGTTTTTTCACACAAAAGTCACATACGCACACGAACATCTCAACTATTCATATTGTGTTCATGACCTACTCGTTCAGTTCATCCACATGTGATTTGTTTAAAAGTGTTCCCCCAGGTTAGAGAATAAAATAAGACCCGAGTTTTTAACATTGAATCCCTCTAAAATGTATGCAAAGTGCTGTCTTCAAATTCATATGTGCATTTCTTCTGAGGAGAGATAATAGTTTCTAGCACATTCTCCCTGAAGAGTCCAAGACCCCATAAAAACTAGAAATTGCAGGCTCACGCCTGTAATCCTAGCACTTTGGGAGGGTGAGGTGGGCGAAGTCAGGAGATCAAGACCATCCTGGCCAACATGGTGAAACCCCGTCTCTACTAAAAATACAAAAATTAGCCAGGCATGGTAGTGTGCACCTGTAGTCCCAGCTACTCGGGAGGCTGAGGCAGGGGAATCGCTTGAACCAGGGAGGCGGAGGTTGCAGTGAGCCTGTATCACGCCACTGCACTCCAGCCTGGTGACAGAGCGAGACTCCATCTCAGAAAAAAAAACCAAAAACTAGAAATCATTGCCTTGGCCAGTGCAGTGGCTCACGCCTGTAATCCCAGCACCTTGGGAGACCAAGGAGGGAGAATCACTTCAGCCCAGGAGTTCGAGACCAGCCTGGGCAACACGGTGCAACCCTACCTCTATAAAAAATGCAAAAATTAGCCGGGTGTGATAGCACGTGCCTGTAGTCCCAGCCACTTGGAAGGCTAAGGTGGAGGGATGTCTTGAGCCCAGGAGGCGGAGGTTGCAATGAGCCGAGATTTTGCCACTGCACTCAAGCCTGAGCGACAGAGCCAGACCCAGTTTCAAAAAAAGAAAAAAGGAAACAATCATTGCCTTATAATTACTGAAAACCAAGGGACTTTTATGTTAATGACATAGGAGTTTTAAAAACTTTTTATTTTTTAGGGACAGGGCCTTGCTGTGTTGCCCAGGGTGGAATGCAGTGGCACAATCACAGCTCACTACAGCCTTGATCTCCTGGCCTCAAGCAGTCCTCCCACCTCAGCCTCCCAAGTAGCTAGGACTAGATACATGTGCCACCATGCCTGGATCATTTAAAAAAAAATTTTTTTTTTTTTTGTAGGTGAGGAGGCTAGGGAGGTGTCTCGCTATGTTGCCCAAGTTGGTCTGTAACTCCTGGCCTCAAGCAATCCTCCCTCCTTGGCCTCCTAAAGTGCTGGGATTACAGCCATAAACTTCCTTAATTGGCTATATAAGTGCTTCCCAAATTGTAATTCGAATACAAATCATCTGGGGATTCTGTTTAAAATGTAGATCGTAATTCAGAAGTTCTGGGATAGGGTTTGAGACTTTCCATTTGTAACAGATTCCAAGGTGATGTTGCTACTGGTCCATGGACCACAATTTAAGTCACAGCAAAAAATATATCACAAACCCAAAGAGGGTATGCAGAGTTCAGAGCATTTCACCCATTAACAAGATTCTAATACCATATTTGTCAATACACCCTAACGTTCAGCAAAGAAAAGACTAAACATTTACTGGCATTGGCTTTCGCCACACTTTTTTTTTTTTTTTTTTTTGAGATGGAATAATTTCGCTCTGTCTTCCAGGCTGGGGTGCAGTGGCGCGATCTCGGCTCACTGCAATCTCTGCCTCCCAGGTTCAAGTGATTCTTCTGCCTCAGCCTCCCGAGTAGCTGGGACTACAGGCATGTGTCACCATGCCCTGCTAATTTTTATATTTTTAGTAGAGACGGGGTTTTACCATATAGAGCAGGCTGGTCTTGAACTCCTGATCTCGTGATCCACCCGCCTCGGCCTCCCAAAGTGCTGAGATTATAGGCTTGAGCCACTGTGCCCGGCCTGCCACACTTCGAATAAACAGTGTATCCAAGAGATGAAAAGTTACAGCGCTCACCACTATTTAGAGGTCTGAAGTTGATTTTTGCCAATGTCATACATCATGGAGGCTCTCTGAATTCCCAATTTTTTGTGTTTATTCCATCCACCCAATTTATAGACTTGATTTGTGGGAATTTAATAAAATGCCATCTGTCCCCCAAGTGCAGACATAGATAGAAAGTGATGATGCTTCTGGCCTTTTTTTTTTTTTTTTTTTTTTTTTTGAGACGGACTCTTGCTCTGTCGCCCAGGCTGGAGTGCAGTGGCACAATCTTGTCTCGCTGCAACCTCCACCTCCCAGGTTCACGCCATTCTCCTGCCTCAGCCTCCCAAGTAGCTGGGACTACAAGCACGTGCCACCATGCCTGGCTAATTTTTTTGTATTTTTAGTAGAGACGGGGTTTCACCATGTTAGCCAGGATGGTCTCAATCTCCTGACCTCGTGATCCACCCACCTCGGCCTCCCAAAGTGCTGGGATTACAGGCGTGAGCCACCGCGCCCAGCCTGGTCATTTTTTTTTAAATGTCATTGTTGTCTTCAAAACTGTGAAATACTGCCTTTTTTTTTTTTTTTTTTTTTTTTTTTTTTGATAAAGAGTCTTGCTGTGTTGCCCAGGCTGGAGTGCAGTGGCGCGATCTTGGCTCACTGCAAGCTCCGCCTCCCAGGTTCACGCCATTCTCCTGCCTCAGCCTCCCGAGTAGCTGGAACTACAGACGCCCGCCACCACACCCGGCTAATTTTTTGTATTTTTAGTAGAGACGGGGTTTCACCGTGTTAGCCAGGATGGTCTTGATTTCCTGATTTCGTGATCCACCCACCTCGGCCTCCCAAAAGTGCTGGGATTACAGGCGTGAGCCACCATGCCTGGCCTTTTCTTTCATCTTTAGGCATGCAAAGCCTTATTATAAACAGGTATCGAAATAAGTAAAACAAATACCTGTTATTATTCCAATAGGGACAGGATCATCATGTTTTTTTTAAAAGTATGTCTGCCTTATTTTTCTTCTCACTTGCTCATTATGATTGACTTACACGAGATTTAGTGATACCTATCAGGAATTTTTGCCAACATCTGAAACTTAACACAGAAAAGTAAACCAACAATTCTCCTTTCTTACTAATATGTATCTTCCGTTGTCCATATAACAACTTTGTGGTCAAAACCTTAATATTTTGTTTGACTCTACATCAAGCTCCACACTTAATCATTTACCAAGTCTTACGAAACCATCCTGTCTATTGTTTCCTAGAGTTAGCCACTATTTCAAATGGGAAACAAAAGACTGACACTAGTTTCTTTCCTTTCAGCTCTAACCAAAACTCGCAGCCTCCCCTCTGAGATCTGAAAGAAAAAGACAGCAGGGGAAAGGAAGAGAAGCTACCAAAGAAGGGAAACAGTAGTATAAAATGTGTTCTGATATTGTTTATACCACACCTTAAGTAGAGAGTAGGACCAAGCCATTTAAAAAATTGTGCCATATACAGGAGAATCACTTGAACCTGGGAGGTGGAGGTTGCAGTGAGCCGAGATTGTGTCACTGCACTCCAGTCTAGGTGACAGAGCGAGACTCCATCTCAAAAAAAATAAAAATAAAAATTGTGCCATATAATGCAAACTCTTAGGGACATGGGCCATGCTGTCCAGATCTACTTGTCCCATTGTTTCTTAGCATTCTTTTTTTTTGAGACCCAGTCTCACTGTGTCACCCAGGCTGGATATCAGCCATGCAGTGGCACGATATCAGCTTACTGCAACCTCCACCTCCCAGGTTCAAGCGATTCTCCTGCCTCAGTCTCCAGAGTATCTGGGATTACAGGCGTGTGCCACCACACCCAGCCAATTTTTGTATTTTTAGTACAGATGGGGTTTTGCCATGTTGGCCAGGCTGGTCTCGAACTCCTGGCCTCAAGTGATTCACCCACCTTGGCCTCCCAAAGTGCTGGGATTATAGGCATGAGCCACCATGCCTGGCCTGTTGCTTAGCATTCTTTTTTTTTTTTTTTTTTTTTTTTTTTTGAGACAGAGTCTCACTCTGTCACCCAGGCTGGAGTGCAGTGGTGCGATCTCGGCTCACTGCAACCTCTGCCTCCTGGGTTCAAGCAATTCTCCTGTCTCAGCCTCCCTAGTAGCTGGGACTACAGTCACATGCCATCACACCTGGCTAATTTTTGTATTTTTAGTACAGACAGAGTTTTACCATATTGGTCAGGCTGGTCTGGAACTCCTGACCTCAGGTGATCCACCCGCCTCCACCTCCCAAAGTGCTGGGATTATAGGTGTGAGCCACCTCGCCCGGCTCTTAGCATTCTTGTGCCTCATTTTCCTCATCTATAAACTGAGGATAACACTGCAGGCTCCCTACCTAAATATCCATCCCTCCTTCCCCTTTATTAACGGAATTTCATTTGGTGGTCTCCCAGCCTCCCTTGCAACTAGCAGTGGCCAGGTAACATAGCTCTCATCAAAGAGATGTTGACAGAAGTCCTTGAAAAGAGATACCCACTGCATTTCTCTCTGGAAGGCAGACATAATGTCTTGAAAAGTTATATTATGACCTTGAAAATGAAAGACATATGCTAAGAATAGCGGAGAAAGAAGACAGAATGAGCCTGGGTTCTTGGTGACCTCTCATGAAGATCACACAAGACTGGCCTCCTTATTGAATGGAAGAAAAAAAACCTGACTTCTTATAATAGGGTTTTCTGTTACACGTAACACAATCCTGATATACCGTTTCAGAGTTACTGAGAACATTATTAAGTGTGATAATGAACATAAAAATGGTTAACACAGGGCCTAGCATATCATAAGCATGTATTTAATGTTAGTAGTTAACACTGCCATTATTAGTAATACTGTTATTATTATTATTATTATTCCCCATGGCTTCTTTGTTCTCCCCTTTCTTAAGCACAAGCTTTTTCCATTCTACTTCATTTCCACACACGTCAGTCAAATTCAGGCACTCATGACATTACCTCTGGATTATACTCTTGGTATTCTAGTTGTACCTTGAAAGATGAATTGTTTTAGATAGGCAGAGAGAAGGGTGGAGGGCCTAACTGGTGAGGATACCAGAAATTCCATGATTTTCTGGAGGATTAGTGGGAGATAAGGTGGAAAGACAAGTTGAAGCCAGATTGTCAGGGGTTTTCTATAAGTGGCAAAGGGCAGGCCAAGGAATTTGTAGTGCATTTTCTTGTAAAAAGATTAGGCCCCCACTTGCTTTTTTTTCTTTTTTTTTGGTGAAGTCTCACTGTGTCGCCCAGGCTGGAGGGCAGTGGTGCAATCTCAGCTCACTGCAACCTCTGCCTCCCAGGTTCAAGTGATTCTCCTACCTCAGCCTCCCAAGTAGCTGGGACTACAGGTCAGCCTCCTAAGTAGATGGGACTAAAGGCACCTGCCAGCACGCCTGGCTGATTTTTGTATTTTTAGTAGAGATGGGGTTTCACCATGATGGCCAGGCTGATCTCGAACTCCTGACCTCAAAGGATCTGCCCGCCTTGGCCTCCCAAAGTGCTGAGATTACAGGGGTGAGCCACTGAGCCCGGCCCACCTGCTTTCTTTTAAGAAAGCTAATGATATGATGAAAGAAAAGTCCAAATACCCCTCTTTTATTTACTTGGTGGTGTTATTCAGCTTCTCTGGAATTTAGTTTGACTATAACAAAGAAGTTAAAACAAATGTTCTCAAAGATCTATGTCAGTTCTAAAATTCTAAGATCCATGGGAAATCATTGAAATAACAGTATCTAAGCTTGAATTAAGAGCCTCAAATTAATATTAGCTCTGACTTATTCTTCCATTCATTTATTCTTTCTTTCAACAAAGTGAATTTATTTTATGTTCCATACTTTTATATAAGGAACCTTGCTGCTACTTCAAGTCTCATTGGAAGCCAACCTGGATTACCCATAACAATCAGAATAATCTTCCTCAAACATTTCAGGAATCTGTAACAGCAAGTCTTGGCCCACCTTGCTTTCTTTTCTTTTCTTTTTTTTAAGACAGGATCTCACTGTGTCACCCAGGCTGGAGTGCAGTGATGCAATCATAGCTCACCGCGGCATCAAACTCCTGTACCCAAGCAATTGTCCTGCCTCAGCCTCCTGAGTAGCTAGGCCTATAGGCACACAATACCATGCCAGACTAATTTTTTAATTTTTTGTAGAGACAGGGTCCCATTACATTGCCCAAGCTGGTCTCAAACTCCTGGGCTCAAGTGATCCTCCCTCCTCAGCTTCCCAAAGTGCTAGGATGACAGGCATGAGCCACTGCGTCCAGCCCATCCTGCTTTCATCCTTTGTCAACAAACTCAGGTCCCTGCCAACCTCCTCTCTCTCCAGTCTTCTCCATGCTTTCACATCTTACACATGATGCTAGACTCAAAGCCAAGCAGAACATTAATTTAGAAATCAAATGTGACATAATAGTACAAATGGCTTAGTAATAAATATATCATGCTTATTTTTAAAATAGGTTTATTGTTTTTCAATTATATTTGTAGTGTCAATCATAAGAGAAAATAGAGGAAATGTTTTAAAGAAATAAGGAGGTAACAACATCACCATCCAATGTGAAAAACAGTAACTTTCGGGGATATTTCTTTGCAAGATTTTTGGATGGCTTTCAAGTAGTTGTAATCATTTTGAATAGGTAATTTGTTTAACTTAATGTCATAGTACAAACTTTTTCCATGGTTTTTTTTTTTTCAGACTCCCAAATCTCTTTTATTGGGGGTAATGGGCCTCTCGGGGGTCTTCACTGCACAGCTTGTTCATTGGCACTGCTTCCCGACTCCTGGGGCTTCATCACGTCGAGCAGCTCGGGCGGGCTGGAGAACGGCTCGATGCACAGGGCCTCAAAGGCGTCGTGTGCCCGGAAGGCCAGCCCCACTGTGGCTGGGGCCTGCGGCCGTGCCGTTTGGCTGGTGAAGCCACACTCGCCCAGTGTCTTGCCATCATCCAAGAGTTGGTAGTCCTTGTACAGCCGCTGCTCGTCGGGCGGCCGCTTGAGGATTCCCTCCACGACGCGCTTCAGCTCGAACACCGTGCTGGACTCCTTGGCGTCAGTGAAGATGGTGGTCTTGTGGCGCCGGATCACGAGGAACACGTCCATAGCGGTTGCTGCCTCTCCCCTCGCTGCGCCGGCGCGGCCGCGCTCCGCCCCGTTCCCTGCAGCCCGCGCGCCGCCCGGCATGCCCCGCGCGGCCCCGCCTCCCCCAGAGAAGACTCGTTTTTCCATGTTATTGTATTGGCTTTCTATGGAACTATTTTATAGCTACATAATATTGTAAGGTTACCATGAAAGATTTAAGACATACTAAAAGATAAAAAGAATAATGGAATGAACATCCATGTATCCCACAGAGCTTAAGAAATAAAACATTATCAGTGCAGCTGATACCCTCTGTGTAATCCTCATTTGCAGCATCCTCCATCTCTAACATATGTAACGACTTTCTGAAATTTGGTGATTATTCAGCCCATGCATTTCTTTATAGTTTTTTTTTTTTTTTTTTTTTTTTTTGTAGAGACGGAGTCTCACTCTGCAGCCCAGGTTGGAGTGCAGTGGCGTGATCCCAGCTCACTGCAACTTCTGCCTCCTGGGTTCAAGCAATTCTCCTGCCTCAGCCTCCCAAGCAGCTGGGACCAGAGGCGCACACTGCCCCGCCAGCTAATTTATTTTGTATTTTAGTAGAGACGGGGTTTCACCGTGTTGCCCAGGCTGGTCTCGAACTCCCAAACTCAGGCAGTCTGCCTGCCTCACCTCCCAAAGTGCTAGGATTACAGGCGCGAGCCACCACGCCCAGCCTACTCTTTATACTTTTACCACATATGTATGTATTGCTAAGTAATATGTAATATTTGCATGTCTCAAGCTTTATATAATTAGTATCATGAAATGTATAAAGTATTCTACAACTTGCTTTTATTTCCTTCTCAGCATTATGATTATGGAAGTTGTCCATGTTGATTCATATTTGCTCAAATAAATATTTAATAAACATCATATCTATTTATATAAATATATCCTCAAATAAATATATAATAATTTATCTTGTGTTCTCCTACTGTTCAATATTCAGGTGGTTTGCAACCATAAATAATATTTTGACAAATGTCTTTCTGCATAATGTATATTTTTTTTCTCATTTAGGATCATTCCCTAAGTATAGATTCCAGAAGTTAAATTACCAAAAAGCATGAACATTTTTAAGATCCTTGCATATACTTACTGCCACACTGGAGGATTGTACAAACTTTATATTGCCACCAAACATATATCAGTTCCTTGTTTTATCACATACTTAGAAGCTTTGGATGATGTCACTAGTTCTTTCTTTAACTTTGGCTAATTTGCTTAGCAAAAACTGGTATACTCATTTCTGGTGAAGTTGAAATTGAATAACTTTTCCATGTTATCTGTTAATCATATTAACTGCTTTGTCTTTTCATGCCTTTTGCCCATCAGCACTGTTGGAGACAGTGTTTTATCTGAATAGCTTTTTTATGTAACACTGTACTAACTCTTGTCAAATTAGCTACAAATATTTTTCCTAGTTTTTTGTACCTAGTTTAATTTCTAAATAATGTCTATATGTATATAATTAAAGGGTCTGATAAAAATTCTGTTATGTCAACTTGCTTATATGGCTGGCATACATATAATAGCATAGGACAGTATGATTGTTAAATCATTACTATATCATTAAATTTACAAATGCATATGCGAATTTGAAATTGGCTAAATTTTTTGATTCTCTTAATAGTCTTGACTCATCCAATTCCCAGAATAGTGTTGACGGAACTGCTAAATGTTGACCTCCATGATATTTGTAAAGAATAGGCAGCCTTCAATAGTCTACGGAGAGCTTTCATTTATGTTTTCTTTCCTTCATTTATTTTTATGTCCTTCTAAGAAAATAATTAGCAATTCAAGTTTAAATGACCATTAAAGCTTTTCAAATTGCATTTCACTAAATTGTCTAATGTTAGGAAAATTAACACTCAGTTGCTATTTCTTTATGAATTTCTTCTAATTGAGGAACAGCAGTTTGTACAATTTCTTTTCCTTTTTTTTTTCGGTCTATATGGAGTTTCACTCTTGTTGCCCAGGCTGGAGTGCAATGGCGCGATCTCCGCTCACTGCAACCTCTGCCTCCTAGGTTCAAGCAATTCTCCCGCCTCAGCCACCCAAGTAGCTGGGATTACAGGCATGTGCCACCATGTCCAGCTAATTTTGTATTTTTAGTAGAGATGGGGTTTCTCCATGTTGGTCAGGCTGGTCTCGAACTCCTGACCTCAGGTGATCCACCTACCTCAGCCTCCCAAAGTGCTGGGATTACAGGCATGAGCCACTGCGCCCGGCCCATTTGTACAACTTCAAAATAAAGATTTGACCTTTAAAAACATTCAAGACATAGGTTGAGTGAATCAGTGAGTCTACTCTGAGAAGAAGAATAAAAATAGGTAGTCATTTATTCACCATTCTCACACCTCCTCTGCTATGAAGAGTGTCCTAGGACTTAGAAGTCTCCTTTGAAGGCTTATGGAATTAATATAGCTGTTAGCAGGTCAAAGCAACTCTCAATCTAACAAGAAATATTTATTGAACACTTGTTCTATGTCCAGGCCTGAGGCAGATGCTGAAAAATACAGGAAGAATGAATAGCAGTCCTTCTAGAAAGAGCAGAAAGGGGAAGAGAATGGTGAAAAACAAAGCTGTAGGTCGGCAAGCCAGGTTATATAATGATCTTTCATGATCTGGTAAAGAATATGGACTTTGTTTCATAGCGATCGACAGCCTTAAAATATTTTTTCTTTTATTTTGCCCATCCCGTAGACCAATAGGCATCTTTAAAATACATGAACATGTTTGGTATCACCTTTGTTATATCTGCAACACCATGAATCTAATCAAATAATAAAATGTCATTGGCCAGGTGCAGTGGCTCATGCCTGTAATCACAGGGCTTTGGGTGGCTGAGGCAAGAAGATTACTTGAGCCAGGAGTTTAAGACCACCCTGGGCAACATAGTGACACCCTGTCTCTGCAAAAAAAAAAAAAAAAAAAAAAAATTGAAAAATTGAAAAATTAGCTGAGTGTGGTGGAGCACACCTGTAGTCCCAGCTATCAGGGGGTGGGAGTGGGGGTGAGGCAGGAGGATTGCTCTTGCCGTGGAGGTCTAGGCTGCAGTGCACTATGATCACGCCACTGCTTTCCAGCCTGGGCAACAGAGCAAGACCCTGTCTCTAAAAATAAAAAATAAAATAATAAAATGTCATCATTTCTTCTTGAATAAAAGATGCATATTAGAAAGATAATTCAAAAGGAAGTGTAGAAAATGGCCTGGATAGAGGAGCTATGGATGGAGGATGACTACTGGGAGACGGATAACAATAGTCCACGCAAGATATAGGAAGAAGGTTGATGTTACACAACGTCATGCTATGCACTGCAGGGAATACGAAGCTGAACAAGACACAGCCCCTGCTGTCAAGGATGGATGAATGAAAATGCCAACTTCATGCTTGTTAACCCTAACATAGTCCCCCTGGAGACAGTGATATAGAAAGATATGGATAAGAGAAGATAGGCTTATATTAAAATCCTGCTGAAGATAAAGATTATAGAAAGCGGCCAGGGACAGTGGCTCACGCCTGTAATCCCAGCACTTTGGGAGGCCGAGGCGGGCGGATTACCTGAGGTCAGGAGTTCGAGATCAGCCTGGGCAACACAGTGAAACCCCGTCTCTACTAAAAATACAAAATTAGCCAGGTGTGGTGACACATGCCTGTAATCCCAGCTACTCAGGAGGCTGAGGCAGGAGAATCGCTTGAACCTGGGAGGCGGAGGATGCGGTGAGCCGAGATCGCACCATTGCACTCCAGCCTGAGCAAGAGTAAATCTCCGTCTCACCAAAAAAAAAAAAATTATAGAAAGCAGTAATTTTTGCTTGATATTTTCAATTTGACTATGTCATTTCCCATGTCTTTATATAATCAATTTATACACCCTGCTGTTTGTGTTTTGGCCAGCCATACAAAACAAGGCAACAGGAACAATGCAGTCAGCAGTTGCCTGGACTTGTTAGCGGATGTGATTTCAGTAACTAACTACTTGCTGACTCAGAGACAGAGGAAAGCAAAAATCTCCTCTCCCTGTTCTGTGGCCAGCCAAGTGATTATGAGGCTGTCAAAGTCCACAGTGATGGGGACTCCTTATAGTGCTCAGCTTGTTCCTTTGCTGTGTCACTGGTTAACCTGGACTGAAGTTTCATTCTAAACATAAAGAGATGGCCGGGTGCCGTGGTTCATGCCTGCAATCCCAGCACTTTGGGAGGCTGAGGTGGGCGGATCACCTGAGGTCAGGAGTTCAAGACCAGCCTGACCAACATGGAAAAACCCTGACTCTACTAAAAAATATATAAAAATTAGCCGGGCGTGGTGGTGGGTGCCTGTAATCCCAGCTCGTCAGGAGGCTGAGAGAGAGAATTGCTTGAATCCGGGAGGTAGAGGTTGCAGTGAGCCGAGATCGCACCACTACACTCCAGCCTGGGTGACAGAGCGAGACTTCATCTCAAAAAAAAAAAAAAGTTAGCTGGGCATGGTGGCGCATGCCTGTAATCCCAGCTACTCGGGAGGCTGAGACAGGCGAATCGCTTGAACCGGGGAGGCAGAGGTTGCAGTGAGCCAAGATCGCACCATTGCACTCCAGCCTGGGCAACAAGAATGAAATTCTGTCTCAAGAAAAAAAAAAGAGAGATAAATGAATTATGTAAATATTGTCGGGGCTTGGTAACTGGTCCAAGAAGACTAGCCCTCCTTCCGTTTCCCCTGGTCACAGGCTGCATTATTCACCTAATCACTCGGGTGCTCCACAGAGTGAGCTGGAAGCAGAGTTGCTGCAGCGCCCTCCCCCAGCCCTATTAATCAGCACAAACACCCAGCACAGAGCCAGTCCACAGTAGAAAAGGATGGGATTTGGAACTAGATAGGGTTGAATACTGGCTTTGTCAGGCTGAATGACCTCCTGCAAGTTAGTTAACCTCTTGCAACCACAAGTTTCTCACCTCTAAAACAGTGGTTATGAAATGCCCACACACATGTATTCAAAATAATAGATGTACAGCACCTGGCACCCTCATGCTTTGCTGGTAGAAACGTAAAATGGTGCAGCCACTTTTGAAAACAGTTTGGCAGTTTCTTAAAAAGTTAAACATAAATTTACCATACAACCCAGCAATTCTATGCCTGGGTGTCTACCCAAGAGGAATGAAAACATATGTCCACACAAAGACTTGTGTGCGAATGTTCATAGCAGCATTATTCATAACTGAACTGCAAAAACATTATGCTAAGTAAAAGAAGCCAGACAAAAAAGATGACATATTGTATGAGTCCATTTACATGAGGAAAGGCAAAACTAGGGAGACCTAAAGTCGCTTAGGTTTGCCTGGGGCTGGGGAACAGGAGAGGAAGAGCAAATGGGCATGAGAGATCTTTTTGGGCTGATGGAAATGTTCTAAAATTGGATTGTGGTGAGGGGTGCACAACCGTAGATCGACTAAAAATTATTGAATAGTACACTTAAAATTGTGACATTATTTGGTGTAGAAATTATACCTCGCTGGGCACGGTGGCTCACACCTGTAATCCCAGCACTTTGGAAGGCTGAGGCGGGCAGATCACCTGAGGTCAGGGGTTTGAGACCATCCCGACCAACATGGTGAAACCCCAGCTCTACTAAAAATACAAAAATTAGCTGGGCATGGTGGCATGCGCTGTAGTCCCAGCTACTTGGGAGGCTGAGGCAGGAGAATCGCTTGAACAGGTGAGGCAGAGCTTGCAGTGAGCCAAGATGGCGCCACTGCACTCCAGCCTGAGCGACAGAGCAAGGCTCTGTCTCAAAAAAAAAGAAAAAGAAAATAAAAAGAAAAAGAAAGAAATTATACCCCAATGAAGCTGTTTTTAAAAACCCACCAGCACATAGGAGGCTCTCAATATTGTAGCAAATAGCTGACATTTAGTACATGCTTATTGGTAAACAAGCACTACTTTAAGCATGCCACATGTGATTTTGCTCAATTTAACTCATTTCTTTTCTTTTCTTTCTTTCTTTCTTTTTTTTTTTTTTTTTTTTTTTTGAGACAGAGTCTTGCTTGTCACCCAGGCTGGAGTGCAGTGACATGATCTCGGCTCACTGCAACATCTGCCTCCTGGATTCAAGCCATTTTCCTGCTTCAGCCTCCCCAGTAGCTGGGATTACAGGCATGCACCACCATGTCCAACTAATTTTTGTATTTTTAGTAGAGACGGGGGTTTCACCATGTTGGTCTGGCTGGTCTTGAACTCTTGACCCTGTGATCCACCCGCCTCAGCCTCCCAAAGTGCTGAGATTACAGGCATGAGCCACCGGCTCAAAGCAGTGTTTCAGAAACTTAAGTCTTTCAAATGCCACTTTCACTATTTTTTTTTTCCATAATGGCTACTTACCACCTGTACAATCAATTGTTAACCTAACGTTTTTATTTAAACCCACTTGGTTTTTAAAAAACTTATAAATGAGGCCAGGTGCTGGTGGTTCACACCTGTAATCCTAGCACTTTGGAAGACCAAGGCAAGTGGATCACTTGAGCTCAGGAGCTCAACACCAGCCTGGGCAATATGGCGAGACCCCCATCTCTGCAAAAAATGCAAAAATTTGCCGCGGGAGGCTGAGGTGGGAGGACTGCTTGAGCCCAGGAAGTCGAGGTTGCAGTGAGCCACGATCGTGCCACTGTACTCCAGGCTGGGTGACAGAGTGAGGCCCTGTCTCAAAAAACAAACAAAAAACCTTACAAATAAAAAACAGATTTTAGGCCAGGCACAGTGGCTCACGCCTGTAATCCCAGCACTTTGGGAGGCCGAGGCGGGCGGATCACGAGGTCAGGAGATCCAGACCATCCTGGCTAACACGGTGAAACCCCGTCTCTACTAAAAATACAAAAATGTAGCCGGGCATGGTGGTGGGCGCCTCTAGTCCCAGCTACACGGGAGGGTGAGGCAGGAGAATCGCTGGAACCCGGGAGGCAGAGGTGGCAGTGAGCTGAGATTGCACCACTGCACTCCAGCCTGGCAACAGAGCGAGACTCCGTTTCAAAAAACAAACAAACAAACAAACAAACAAACAAACAAACAAAAAACACCGATGTCTATGGTAAATGGAAAGTCACTACAGTCACGCGCCAGATAACGTTTCAGTCAACTACAGGCCGCGTATGCGATGGTGGTCACGTAAGATTATAGAGGGGTCTTTCCTTTCTGCGCCCCGGGAGACCTCGGCGTTGCCACGGGCTGCGCCCCCGGTGTTGCTGGAACTGCAAGAACGAATTTGCACCCCAAGCCTCGGTTCCGCTGGGGGCTGGGGAGTGTCCCCGAGGCCAACACGTGTATCTTTGACCTGGGACGGAAGAAGGCAAAAGCCTTCCCCCTCTGGCCACATGGTGAGATCCCTACCTGGTGTCGGATGAACGCGAGCCGCTCCACTCTGCAGCCGGGGAAGCTGCGCACATTTATGTCAAGCGCACGGTCAAAGTGGTGGCCGGGACGCTCTCACCTCCCAGGGCTTCCCCACCCCGTCCGCGTCATCCTCAATACAAGGTCTCGTCCTGCGCTGGGGCTGCAGGCTCCAGACAGGCCTGCAGGTGCCTGTGGAAAGCCCCCGCGGCCGGGGCCAGGTTCGCAGGGGCCGGGTTGTCAAGTCCGTCCGCACCAAACCGCGGAACACGGAGCACATGACTGTGCAGGGCCAAGGACAGGTTCCCGGCGCCAGAAGACCCAGGTGTCGGAGACTGGGCTTTGCCACCTTCGATTCGGATGAATTTGAAGACATGTGGCTGAGAAGCGGCTCATCCCAGATGGCTGTAGGGTCCGATACATCCCCACTCGCGGCGCCCTGGGCAAGTATCGGACTCTGAGCTCATGAGAGATTCCACTGTGCTGTCCCCTCCTAATGCTCATTAATAAATCCTACTTCCTGTCAAAAAAAAAAATTGGCCCAGCGCGGTGGCTTACGCCTGTAATCCCAGCACTTTGGGAGGCCGAGGCGGGCGGATCACTTGAGGTCGGGAGATCGAGACCAACCTGACCAATATGTTGAAACCCCGTCTCTACTACAAATACAACAATTAGCTGGGTGTGGTAGCGGTCGCCTGTAATCCCAGCTGCTGGGAAGGCTGAGGCAGGAGAATCACTTGAACCTGGGAGGCAGAGGTTGCAGTGAGCCAAGATCGTGCCACTGCACTCCAGTCTGGACTACAGAGAAAGACTCCGTCTCAAATAAAAAATAAAAATTTAAAAATTTTTCAAAAATTTAAAAGTTAATGTATTATTGAAGAAATAAAATTTTTAAAATAAATTTAATGTAGCCTAAGTATAGTGCACAGAATGCCCCAGGCCTTCACATCGCCTCACTGCCCGCTCATTGACTCACCCAACTTCCAGTCCTGTAAGCTCCAGTCATGGAAAGTGCCTAGACAGGTGTTCCTTTATAAAAAAAAACTTTCTTTTTTTTTTTTTTTTTTTTTTGAGACGGAGTCTCGCTCTGTCGCCCAGGCTGGAGTGCAGTGGCGCGATCTCGGCTCACTGCAAGCTCCGCCTCCCGGGTTCACGCCATTCTCCTGCCTCAGCCTCCCGAGTAGCTGAGACTACAGGAGCCCGCAACCACTCCTGGCTAATTTTTTGTTTTTGTTTTTGTTTTTGTTTTTTAGTAGAGACGGGGTTTCACCGTGTTAGCCAGGATGGTCTCGATCTCCTGACCTCGTGATCTGCCGGTCTTGGCCTCCCAAAGTGCTGGGATTACAGGCGTGAGCCACCGTGCCCGCCCCCAAAAAAAGTCTTTCATTTGGCATTTTTACTGTACCTTTTCTATGTTTAGATACACAAATACTTACCATTGTGTTACAATTGCCTGCAGTATTCAGCACTGTGCGGTATACACGCAGGAAGGTAGCCTGGGAACCATAGGCTGTATCATACAGCCTGGATGTGTAGTAGGCTGTGCCATCTGGGTTTGTGTAAGTGCACTCTAGGATGTTTGAACAATGATGAAATCACCTGATGATGCGTTTCCCAGACATATCCTGTTGTTCAGCAACGCATGACTGTACAGTGTACAGTGAAAATAAGCACGAGGAAGGCCAAATGGTCTTAGTTTGTGGATGGATGCTGTTGCCTAAAGAAGGCTTGCTCTCTCTCTGAGTAGGGACAGAAAGGAGGCTAAGCGTGAGAGAGGCGGCTTTGCCATACTAGATGCAATCACACTGGAGACCGGGGTCCACGGTCGAGAACAGAGAAGCGCTTTCGCATTTCCCGCTGTTCCGCAGAGCTGAAAGACTGAGGCCAGACACCTCCTCAGGGCTTATCACGGTGGCTCACCTGCTCCTGCGGCTTCATCATCATCCAGTCAGAGTCCGTGGAAGCGGAGCTGGAGATGCTGGGGATAGGGGTTGGGGTCGGGTGGCAGGTAGCATGACGTGGAGGTTCAGTGAGGGGCCTGGGAGAATTGCTGAGAATGGGATAGTCCGAAAGGCGCGGCTCGCAGCCTGTGGAGTGTGAGGGGACCTGGGGAGCCCAGTGTGCACCCCGTAGAGTTTGGATGTGTATGACCCTAATCGTGACCCCTAGGAATGGGAGCTGAGGGACAGTTGAAGTGGTCAAGCCCTGGTGACCCTCCCATGTCGGGGAACTGCACAGCTCACCAAAAAACTCACCCTCACACTGCCATGAGAGTCTGAACTCGGATTCCTGGACAAGCGGGCATCAGCAGCCAGGGAGGGGCCGTGCGGCCCAGAGAGGACCACAGGGCATCTCTTGTGGAGGGGGGCATGTGTTCCCTTCCCCGGAGGAGAAAGGAACCTAGAGGGATGCAGAAGGGCACCAGGCAAACACTAATTTGGATATGAAATTAAAAATTTAAACGACACTGGCTTTTTCTGGTAACTAAAACTGATCAGATATTTATGGGCTCTGCCCAAGAGGTAGTTAAGAGAAACTTACCTTTCCTCAAGTTAATGGCTTACCAAGAATATGGGAAATATTTGGAAAGAGGGAATAATCTTTCTTCCCTACAATGAGAGAGAGATTGAGTATGTGGAAGGTGGTAGTTAAAGAAAGTGAAATATTTCTTTTGCTACTCCATTTGATTCAGACTGTTCAGTCAATTGGGGAGAGAAGGATTAAAACAATTTCAAAATATTTCATTTTTGTACCCTGCCATTCAACTAATGCCTGTTATTGTAATATCTAAAATTATCTTTGATATCTGCTATATTTTGGGAAACTCTGCTCTAGGGGAAGTGAAGAGTTGCTCCCGGCCCCACCCTCCAACCCTGGGGTTGCCAGCGAAGGTACTGAAAGATGTGGGGTAGAATGGTGTCTAACCTGTTTCTCTTCTCAATCTTCAGCAACCTTTGTCTACCTTTTATACTTGACCAAAATGACCATTTTCTCTCCATTTATATTTTCCTCTCTTTTTAACCACAGAGCCACCAGCGTTCCAGCTTGTTATTTCCTCTTTCTGTTTTCCTCATTTGCTCTGTTTCTCTTCCCTCTTCCTGATTTCTTGATGCTTGCCTTTCGTTGGTCAGCAAGGGAGAAGTTTGCCCAACAGACTTTACTCTCCACTGACCGTTCTTAGGGCAAAATGAAAACCCCAGGCTGGAGCTGCCCAAGGCACTGTGAGAGGCAGTGCATCAGCCGGGTGCAAAATCTCCCGCCTGCAAAGCCAGGGGTGAAAGCCAGGCTGTGATTTCAGGTTCAGCCTCTTGTTAACTATTCAGCCTTGGGCAAGTCTCAACTTCTTTTTTTTTTTTTTTTTTTCCCAAGGAAGAAGAATTTTTCTTAGTACAGCACAAAATGAAAAGTCTCCCATGTCTACCTCTTTCTACACAGACACGGCAACCATCCGATTTCTCAATCTTCTCCCCACCTTTCCCCCCTTTCTATTCCACAAAACCGCCATTGTCATCATGGCCCGTTCTCAATGAGCTGTTGGGTACACCTCCCAGACGGGGTGGTGGCCGGGCAGAGGGGCTCCTCACTTCCCAGTAGGGGCGGCCGGGCAGAGGCGCCCCTCACCTCCCGGACGGGGCGGCTGGCCGGGCGGGGGGCTGACCCCCCACCTCCCTCCCGGATGGGGTGGCTGCCAGGCAGAGGCGCTCCTCACTTCTCAGATGGGGCGGCCGGGCAGAGACACTCCTCACTTTCCAGACGGGGTGGTGGCCGGGCAGAGGGGCTCCTCACTTCCCAGTAGGGGCGGCCGGGCAGAGGCGCTCCCCACATCTCAGACGATGGGCGGCCAGGCAGAGACGCTCTTCACTTCCCAGACGGGGTGGCGGCCGGGCAGAGGCTGCAGTCTCGGCACTTTGGGAGGCCAAGGCAGGCGGCTGGGAGGTGGAGGTTGTAGCGAGCCGAGATCACGCCACTGCACTCCAGCCTGGGCAACATTGAGCACTGAGTGAGCGAGACTCCGTCTGCAATCCTGGCACCTCGGGAGGCCGAGGCAGGCAGATCACTTGCGGTCAGGAGCTGGAGACCAGCCCGGCCAACACGGCGAAACCCCGTCTCCACCAAAAAAATACGAAAACCCGTCAGGCGTGGCGGCGCACGCCTGCAATCGCAGGCACTCTGCAGGCTGAGGCAGGAGAACCAGGCAGGGAGGTTGCAGTGAGCCGAGATGGCAGCAGGACAGTCCAGCTTCAGCTCTGCATCAGAGGGAGACCGTGGAAAGAGAGGGAGAGGAGGGAGAGGAGGGAGAGGAGGGAGAGGAGGGAGACGGGAGAGGAAGTCTCAACTTCTTGA
Organism: Homo sapiens; assembly: GCF_000001405.40. Taxonomy (NCBI): domain Eukaryota; kingdom Metazoa; phylum Chordata; class Mammalia; order Primates; family Hominidae; genus Homo; species Homo sapiens. Next base: position 130,044,947 of record NC_000011.10, read on the forward strand.
ATGATGTTTCTCCATCTGTTAGGTGGGATTAATAATAATACCTGCTTCCTAGACTTCTTAGGAAACTCAAATGAGGTGACATGAAAATACACATCATAGATTTCTAGAAAAAAGTTTCCTTTTATTGTTATTATTTTATTTATTTATTTATTTATTTATTTATTTATTTCCAGAGATGGAGTCTCACTCTATCACCCAGGAGGCAGGAGTGCAGTGGTGCGATCTCGGCTCACTGAAACCTATGCTTCTGGGGTTCAAGTGATTCTCCTGCCTCAGCCTTCCAATTAGCTGGGACTACAGACGCAAGCCACCATGCCTGGCTAATTTTTCGTATTTTAGTAGAGATGGGGTTTCACCGTGTTGCCCAGGCTGGTCTCCAACTCTGGAGCACAGGCAATCTGCCTGCCTTGGCCCCCCAGATTGCTAGGATTATAGGCGTGAGCCACCACGCCCAGCCATGCTGGTGGTTTTTGATGGAACGTTTTTTAAAAAATAATTTTTCTTTTTCTTTACTTTTTTATTTTTTAGAGACAGAGTCTCACTCTGTTGCCCAGGCTGGAGTGCAATGGCAAGATCTCAGTTCACTGCAAACTCCGCATCCTGGGCTCAAGTGATTCTCCTGCCTCAGCCTCCCGAGTAGCTGGGATTACAGGTGCCTGCGACCATGCCCCGCTACATTTTGTATTTTTAGTAGAGGTGGGGTTTCACCATGTTGGCCAGGCTGGTCTCGAACTCCTGAACTCAGGTGATCCACCCACCTCCGCTGCCCAAAGTGCTGGGATTATAGGCGTGAGCCACTGTTCCCGGCCAAAAAAATAATTTTTCTTTTTTTTTTCAGACAGAGTTTTGCTCTTGTCGCCCAGGCGTAGTCCAATGGCACCATCTTGGCTCACTGCAACCTCCGCCTCCCGGGTTCAAGCGGTTCTCCTGCTTCAGCCTCCCAAGTAGCTGGGACTACAGGCATGTGCCACCACACCCGGCTAATTTTTGTATTTTTAGTAGAGACGGGGTTTCGCCATCTTGGCTAGGCTGGTCTCGAACTCCTGACCTCATGATCCACCTGCCTCGGCCTCCCAAAGTGCTGGGATTACAAGTGTGAGCCACCGCACCCGGATTTTTCAAAAAATAATTTTTCTAATTAAGATATGTGTATATGTTTTAACATCTTTCAGAAACATAAAATTGAATGAAAAGAGTAATTTGCAGAAACACATGCAATATAATTTATTGTGCATTTTTAAACACACAAAGCAGGACTACATGATGTTCATGTGTGCGTGTGTATATATATATATATTTAAACACACAGACAGGCCGGGCATGATGGCTCACGCCTGTAATCCCAGCACTTTGGGAGGCCAAGGCAGGTGGATCACCTGAGGCCAGGAGTTCCAGACCAGCCTGGCCAACATGGAGAAACCCCCTTGCTACTAAAAATATAAAAAAAATTAGCTGGGTGTGGTGGCGGGTGCCTGTAATCCCAGCTACCCAGGAGGCTGAGGCTGGAGAATCTCTTGAACCTGGGAGGCGGAGGTTGCAGTGAGCTGAGATTGTGCCATTGCATCCCAGCCTGGGCGACAAGAGTGAAACTCCATTAATAAAATAAAATAAAATAAACACACAAAGCATATGCTTCTTCTTATCTATATTACTTATATATATGCTTTTGTAATATATATGTGTATATTACATATGTGAGCATATAATTACATATATACATGCTTTGTGTGTTTTAAAATGCACAATAAATGCATATATATATATACAGAAAATAATCACACACACGCACACACATGTGCGTGGGAAAAGTACTTAGAATGGCAGCTCTTGGGGCAGAATGAAAACCTAAGACCAGGGCTACCTAAGACACTGTGAGAGGCAGTGAATCGGGGTACAAAATCTCCCACCTGCAATGGGTTGGAAAAAAGATAGGAAAACATTCTAAATTCACATTAAAGATTGCTCCTGGGGAGAAAGTGCAATGGCACTGGGGAAGGGTACACAAGGGGCTTCAGCTATAGCTATAGTGTTTTATTTCTTTCTTCAAAAAAGGAAATGTGTAAAACAAATATAACAAACTGTGAACAACTAACTGTTCCATCTTGATGGTAGGCACGTGTTTACTGTATTATTTTCTGTGCTTTTCCCTATTGAAAAAATGTGTTCTTAAGAAATGTTTTAGGGCCATTTGCAGTGGCCCATAATCCCAGGGCTTTGGGAGGCCAAGGTGGGAGGATCACTTGAGGCCAGGAGTTCAAGTCTAGTCTGGGCAACATAGTGAGACACTTGACCCTTGTCTCTACAAAAAAAAAAAAAACAAAAACACCTTTAACCAGACATCCTAGCTGTTCAGGAAGCTGAGGCAGGAGTATCACTTGAGCCCAGGAGTTCAACATTACAGTGAGTCGTGATCAAACCACTGCACTCCAGCTTGGGTAACAGAGCAAGACCTTGTCTAAAAAAAAAAAAAAAAAAAAGTTTCAGCTCAATGCTAAAAATCTGGAGAAAACAAAATGATAAAGGCAATAATAACAATAACCTAACTAAAATAATAGAAATAACAACTATAAACATTTTTGATGTACATACCTCTCATCTTTTGTGTTTATTTATACATACAAGTGCAGTTTTAAAACAATTGAAGCCTGGGTGCAGTGGCTCACACCTGTAATCCCAACACTTTGGGAGGCCGAGACTGGTAAATCTTTTGAGGTCAGGAGTTCGAGACTAGCCTGACCAACAGGGTGAAACCCCCACTCTACTAAAAATACAAAAAAATTAGTCAGGTTTTGTGGCACATGCTTGTAGTCCCAGCTACTCAGGAGGCTGAGACAGGAGAATCGCTTGAACCCAGGAGGCAGAGGTTGCAGTGAGCTGAGATCATGCCACTGCACTCCAGCCTGCACGACAGAGCAAGACTCTGTCAAAACAAAACAAAACAAAACAAAACAAAACAAAACACACACACACACACACACACACAATTGGATAACTGTATTTTGTGATACTTAAGTCACCTGCTGGCAGCTGGGATAGATTGCCAGTGGCCTAGGTGTCAAACAGCAGGTTGATATAAATAAAACCATTCATACCCCTTTTATTATGGAAGCTCCTGGTTTATAAACTTGCTCTTTACAAAAGATCTGCTGTGTAGGGTGTAAATATTTAATTTAATCCACATCCACTTAGGCCTGCCTGGTGTTTGTTTTTCATTTATATTTCACTGTACTACAGAATGTCAAATTCATCTGCCAATTCTCTCCATTCAGTTAAGGGAGAAAAAAAGCAAAATTGTTTGTTGGTCTAGTATAGATATCAAATGTTGAGATGATCAACTACATTTTTCTTTTTTATCTACTTGGTTTAGAATTGTATACATGTCGTCCTTCCACCTTAATAATAGATTAGGGTATTTTTTTTCTCTCCACCCTTTCACTTTTCAGCCACCTCCTTCTTTTACTTTGGGTTCAAGCTCAAGAGTTGGTTAAAGTGAAAGTTGCAGTACTCCACCAGTAAAGAAATTGGGGCTTGGCATCCAGTATCTAGACAAGTCACCTGAAAGTCTAGAACTGCACTGCCCAATACAGTATCCACTAGTTGCATGTAGCTATTTAAGTTAAAATTCATTACAATTAAATAAAATTTAAAATTCACTTCTTTGGCCAAGCACAGTGGCTCATGCCGTAATCCCAGCACTTTGTGAGGCCAAAGTGGGAGGACTGCTTGCGCTCAGGAGTTGGAGACCAGTCTGGGTAACATGTTGAGACCACGCCCCTACAAAAATTAAAAAAGAAAAAAAAAATTTACTTTCTCAGTCACACAAGGCACAAGCAAGTGCTCAATAGTCCCATGTGACTAGTGGCTACTGTTTTGGTGCACAGATATGGAATATGTCTCCACCTTGGAAATCACGATCGGTAGTTCTGGTCTGTAATTACGTGGCAGCAGCTACAGTTATAGCTTTCCAAATTTCCCACCTGCCTCCCAGTTTTGAAAAAACTCTTGGCCGGGCACAGTGGCTCACGCCTGTAATCCCAGCACTTTGGGAGGCTGAGGTGGGCAGATCACCTGAGGTCAGGAGTTTGAGACCAGCCTGGCTAACACGGTGAAACCCTATCTCTACTAAAAATACAAAATTAGCTGGACATGGTGGCACATGCCTGTAATCCCAGCTACTTGGGAGGCTGAGGCAGGAGAATCGCTTGAACCCAGGAGGCGGAGGTTGCAGTGAGCTAGGGTCGCACCATTGCACTCCAGCCTGGGCCATAAGAGTGAAACTGTCACACACAAAAAAAAGAGGAGAGGGGAGGGGACGGGAGGGGAGGGGAGGGGAGGGGAGGGGAGGGGAGGGGAGGGGAGAGGAGAGGAGAGGAGAGGAGAGGAGAGGAGAGGAGGGGAGAGGCAAAACCCTTAGTGGCGCAACTCTGGATGAGGAAACTGGGTAATACATGAGTGTTGAAGACAGAGCTTTTCAGAGGCCTCTCTGCTTTTCCCTGGAGACTGTTCTTTCTGGTCAGCCACCCAAGCTGTCCTGGCCTACACCTCTGAGCTGTTATAAAATCTTTTACTTATTTTTCCATGACCCACCCAAATGAGAATGTTGTAACATCTTCAGATAAAGCCCTCACCATGAGACAGAAGTAGATCCACCCATCTAAGCTTCCTTTTATGTTTATTTGTGAAAGAGTTTAGAGGTTTGAGGCAAATGTCATAGAGAATGCAGTTTCATTCTTAAACTTCTAGTTACTGGATCTATGTGTTTCCTTCTTGGAAAGAAAATTAATGGTCAAGTAATAGATGTAGAGTATAGAGAGCAGGAAATTAGCCAATAGGCATTAAGTGACTACCTAAGGCCAGTGAGTGGTCCAGTTCAGAACGACTCCTACTTTTGTAGAGGACATGCTCTACTGAAAGACACAGCAAGGAGCTATATTGACACTTGCTAATCTTTGAATCAAGGAAAAGCAATTAGCAAATGAAATTTCTGGTGATATGTCTTTTTAAAACCCATGAGACTTCTCTTACAATTCTCCCCATGGTTTCTGTGATCTCACCTAGTGTACCATTATCGAATTTTTCATTAGTTTCATTCTCCCTCTAGATTTTTCCATTTGGCTTTTACTGAGGTGGGCTTTGTGGGTATTCTAGAATGACTCAGTACACCATTTAAACTTTAAATCACCACATTTTATTAGAACATCTATAAAGTATTTATTATTTCAATTAATAAAACTATGTCCTTTGGAATAATTGCCTTGGGTCATAAGTACAAAGTTAAAAACACTGAGCAAGTTATGTAAAACTATAAAAGCCTTTGGCAGATGATAAATGTGTGCTTTAGGCATTAAGCCATTTTAAATAATTATAAAGCAGCTTTCACAAAATAATCTCTTATGGAGAGGGCAGCTGAAGAATGATAGATGTTGGCCAAAACTCTCAAAGAAGCCACACTAGGGGCTTCCCCAGAATTGGAGTGAGGAGAAAGTTATGTAAACAAGAGTTGCCATGAAGAGGCCTCTGCTGTTTCTGTTCCCTCTTCCATTGGTGGAACTGGGAAACTGTAAGGAGACGTGCCCTGCCAGATCTCAGATGACTGCAGCGCTGCAGAGGGAGCAGGCAGTCACTAGGGTAACCAAATCTCAAACCATTGAAGTCTTTGGTAGACATGGTCAATACTTGAAATTCTCCTTAGAAGCAAAGAGGCAGCTTATTCGGGCCCCCTAAGACAACTTTAATCTTATACTTTCAGAGTTTCAGAGGTAAAGGATATAAATCTGTTTCATTTTAATTTAATTTTATGTCTTCTCCTGAATGCCAGGCAAATATTAGCATGGCGTGCTGTCATCATGAGCTTCTCTTAACTCACTAGGGGCTAATCATCATTCCCAGCTCCTCATCTTTGCCTCTTTGTAGTAGCAATAATGAGCTTGCAAGGGGATCTGGGAAGCCTCTTTGATTTAAGTTAGCCATGCAGAGTTACTAGTTACAATAGTATCAGTTGTTGAACATATTATTTAGGGTCAGACTGCCTGTATCATAGTCACATGCTTGTGAAAAAGCATATTCCTGGACTCCACTGATGACCCAGTGAGTCAGGATCTAGGATCTTTGGAAACAGGTGCCAGGAATCTGCATTTTAATAAGCTTTCCTTGTGATTCTTATATACATTAACATTTAAGATGGAATGGATGGAAGAGAAAAAAGAATTTTTTTCTATGCCTTTTGCTATGAAGAAACAAGATGAGTCAGAAATTCAGCTAAACCCCTGGGCCAGAATAGAGAAAAATGAACAATTGAGCAATAAAGTCAGGGCGAAAAGCAGAAGTAGAAGAATTTAAACACTGTAAGTACCTCCAAGGAGTCCAATGACTGGGCAAGTCCAGTGACTGAGAGCCCACATGCCTCCCATTTTTCAAGCTAGTCCCAATTTCACATATCATGTTCTAGTGGTGGAGACCATCAGCAGGTATTCATCTTCTCTTTATTTCCATTTCTCATTTGTAAAATAACAACAGAAGTTTCTGTCCTATATATCACATAATGTTTTTATAAGAATGGATCAGGCCAGGCATGGTGGCTCATATTTTCAATACCAGCACTTTGGGAGGCTGAGATGGGAGGATTGCTTGAGGCCAGGAGTTCAAGACTAGCCTGGGCAACATAGTGAGACCCCACTCCTACAAAAAAAATTTTTTTAATTAGCCAGGTGTGATGGTATGCACCTGTAGTCCTAGCTACTCAGGAGGCTGAGGTGGGAGGATCACTTGAGCCCAGGAGTTCAAGCCTGTAGTAAACTGTGATTGTGTCACTGCACTCCAGCCTGGGTGACAGAGTGAGGCTCTGTCTCTTAAAAAAAAAATAGATCAAATGAGATAATATATGTGAAAGCAGTTTGCAAACTATAAAGTGCTTTTCAACCATCATTAAGTCTAGGGAGTAGTGAATTGTGTTACTCTTTCATTGACTAATTCTTTGTCATTTTGGAAAAATCGGCTACTAATTGGGTCTTCTCTTTAGTGAATTACAGCCATGTCCTTGAATCACGAGTGAACTATATTGAGGCACAATCCATTCATTTATTCTTTGTCTTTGCAATTGAGTTAACAATGTGGTAATTAACACTGATTGTAGAGACACTTAGATAAGATGTGTTACTCAGGGCTCTTCATAAGTTAGACACAATTTAAGTCCTCATCCCTCTGACAATTCTTCTTCATATTCTTTCTTTTCCTTTTTGTTGCTCATTTAAAATTATCTATTTGGGTTCTTAAATAAGTAATACATTTGAAAGAATCAAAAATCAAAAGTATACAAAGCTACACAATAAAAAGCCTCTCTATCCTTCCATCACCTGTTCATCAAGTTCCTGCCTACCCTTTATAGGCAATCACTGTTATTGATTTCATCTGTGTACTTCCAGAGATTTTTTTTTTTTTTTTTAATACACGAGCAGAAATAAATATATATCACTCCTCTTTTTACTTTAACATGATAGTAGCATGTATTACATACATAGTTGAGCACCTTTCTTGTTTCACTTAACAATGAATCTTAGAGATCTTTCCACAACAGAACATAGTTTTCTCAATCTCTTTTACAGCTATAGTAAATTTCATTTTATAGACGTGCCATTATTCATTTAGCCAGTCTCATATTCATGAACTTCTAGATGGAGTCCAATATTTTGCTATTACAAATAATGTAGTGAGTAAACATGAACATTCATTATTTTCCATTTGTGTGAGTAGATCTGTATGATAAATTCCATATGGATTACTTCCTAGCCTCTGAATGTTTTGGTTGAATTTTCGGGACAGTTCCCAAGTTGTGCACATCTTTCTTTAATTAGAGAAACCAAATTTGTACACAATACTCTGCCCAGTGCTAAATACAGAATAATCCGCCCAGTGCTAAATACAGCAGGATTGCTTTTCTATCTTTTTGTTCTTACACATCAGATCTGCCAGAATTGTAAACCCTTTTTAAAAATGGCCTAATGACTGTTGCAAAAAATAAGTTTATTAAAAATAATGATCTAACATTGCTGAATATTAAACATCTGAGCACCATGATTTCCAGTTACTTTACTGCTATTTCATTTTAGACTTTTTTTCTCTTTAATATGTGTGTTCTTTGTTTTGGTTCCCATCTTAATGAATGCAATGCATCTTAGTCCATTTTCTGTAGCTATAGTAGAATACTACAGACTGGGTACTTTATTTTTTAAAAAATAAGCTTATTTGGCTTCTGATTCTGGAGGCTGGGAAGTCCTAGAGCATGGTGCCAGCACTGGGCAAAGGGCTTTCCATGACAGAAGGCAAGAGAGCAAGCAGGCGTGTGAGACACAGAGAAAAAGGGGACTGAACTCGTCCTTTGTCAGGAAGCAACTCCTGAGATACTAACCCACTCCCCAAGAACAGCATTAATCCATTCATAAGGGCTTGGCCAAATCACCTCTTAAAGACCTCACCTTCCAATACTGGTATACTGGTAATGAGTTTTGGAGGGGACATTCAAACCATATCAGAAGGGTTTGATTAAGACCAGGGCTGCCCAATATGCAACAATGAAAGCAATTATGAATAGGGAGTAGAATGGCAAAATATATATATTTTTTCCCCAAGACAGAGTGTAGACCAGGCTAGAGTGCAGTAGTGTGATCGCAGCTTCTGTCTCCTGGGTTCAGGTGATTCTCCTGCCTCAGCCTCCTGAGTAGATGGGATTACAGGTGTGCACCACCACACCCAGCTAATTTTTTCATATTTTTGTTGGAAATGGGGTTTCGCCATGTTGGCCAGGCTGGTCTGTAACTCCTGGCCTCAAATGATCTGCCTGCCTCAGCCTCCCAAAGTGCTGGGATTACAGGTGTGAGCCACCATGTCTGGCCAAAATATTCTTTTAACTGTCAAGTGTGTATGGTGGCAAAACGTTCTGAGTTCAAATATTTCATCTCATTATCAGATCATATGTCTCAATTTTAGCTTTGGAAAATATAGTCACCATACAAATACAGAGTATTTTTGGCCCTGGAGTTTGGTAACTAGCCTGTCAGCATTGAAGGGTCAGCAATTCTCAATTGCTTGAGAATTCCCAGTATAATTTACTGTTGATTAATGCTCAATGATTCAAAGTGACTTAGTAGCAGAAAGAAATTACTACTAACTGTAGGATTTTGAGGTATTTACTGAGCATATACAAGCCAATTACACTGGGTTTGTTTTTGATAAGAGGTGAAGCATAAATAATAAAAAGCCGCAAACAGCTTCCAAAGTTCATTTTAATTACTGAAATTGTATGACCACAATTTTCTCTAGGTCTTAGCTGTCCTTTCTTTTCTTTCTTCACTTCCAAACCCCTTTCGCTGGAATTGCCCAAGCAGGGGTAAAAGGGACTTTAAAAAAATATGTCCTTGGGGCCGGGCGCGGTGGCTCACGCCTGTAATCCCAGCACTTTGGGAGGCCGAGGTGGGTGGATCATGAGGTCAGGAGTTCGAGACCAGCCTGACCAACATGGTGAAACCCCATCTCTACTAAAGATACAAAAATTAGCTGGGCATGATGGTGTGCGCCTGTATTCCCAGCTACTCAGGAGGCTGAGGCAGGAGAATCACTTGAACCCGGGAGGCAGAGGTCGCAGTGAACCGAGATGGCGCCACTGCACTCCAGCCTGGGCAACAGAATGAGACTCCATCTCAATAAATAAGTAAATAAATAAATAAAATATGTCCTTGTATTTCCTCAAGGGAATGGTAAAAAAGGAGGGTGAGCCATTTGAGAAACCAAGGCAGAGATCTTGGATAACACATAAAGTAGATGAATGGTGGAGAGCTGATTTTTTGTTTTGTTTTGTTTTCATCAGACACTGAATTTAAATTAGAATTGACACATAACATAGCGAGTATAGAAAACAACAGAAATCACAACTGAACCCGCCCATCAAAATTTATAAAGAACTAAGCAAATTGTCATATAGATAAAGAATCAGATGGCGACCCATCCTTTACTTGTTCTTGAGGGCAGCAATCCTTGGGTCTGCAAGCCCTGCACATTTTGTCACTGTAAATTCAACCTCATACGTCCTGAAAGCTTCAATCTTAATTTATCTAGGGCAGCAGCCAAGAGCAAGATTAAAAACAACTACTGCAAGAATAACTTCTCCTTGCAAGGATGGGTTATTGCTCCATACATCAGTCTTTATGACTTGAAACTGTTACAATCTTTTTATTTGGTGATGTTAGCTTGATCTTGTGATATTCAAGTATCACTTATCCTCACCTAATATGTCACTTCTTGACACATGTGCTGTATAGTTTATCTTTGCTGTTCTCTGTGCACTTCAGTGTAAATAATTTCTGTTAGCTCTGAAAGGTTGCACATAGAGTGAAATCTCAGTGATTCGAGGAATAGGCATGCATTTTTGAATTGGTGCTTGTATTAAATATTCAATTGTGTCTGCCTCTCATAGTCTGTTTAGGAGCAATATCTTACTCTTTAGTTTCATTCCTAAATACTTTTTAGTATGCATCTCAAAGGGAAAAAAAGAATATTTTATCATATAATTACATCTAACATCATTGTTAGATGATTCTCAAGATGAATGTAAATTCCATAATATTTTACCATGACCATGTAATTTAGTGTGAGACTACCAGCAAGTACAGGTGACAATGACTCTGGTTTTCTGAAAAGATCTGAAGCAAATCTGGCCATTCCAAAATTAGCAGTATCTGAAGGCGTGATGGTGGTGTTAGTCACCACGTAGTGATCAGCGCCTTGCCTCATCTGCAGCTCATCTCAAAAAGGAGTGAAATACCACTTGCTACACTGGATCTGGAAACAACTCAAGTCATCGGCAGCCTCCATCATGTAAATGTAACAAGGGACTTAAAAGCTGATGTTGGGATGAATGTTTCTGGACTGCTGGATGCAGAACTCTTTTTATCTCAAAATAGTACAGACATCATCAAAAGTCCCTGTAGGGCAGGCATCCAGGAGCCGCTTTGAATGCTGCTGACTGTGCTTTTAAGGAGTTGTGCCAGAAATGTGATCATGAACAACTTCTCATAAGAAGTCGGGATAGAGAGAGCCACATGAAAGGGTCTCCAGAATGTGGATACCAAGTCACTCTTTGAAAGTAAAGCTACTGAGAATTTGCATATACTTTTAAAATTTTTTATTTTTATTTTATTTTAATTATTTTGAGACAGGGTCTTGCTCTGTTGCCCAGGCTGGAGTGCAGTGGTGCAATCATAGCTCACTACAGCCTTGACCTCCGGGACTCAAGTGATCCTCCCACCTCAGCCTCCCATGTAGCTGGAACCACAGGCATGCACCATTACACCCAGCTAATTCTTTTTTTAATTTTTTGTAGAGATGTGGCCCAGGCTGGTCTTAAACTCCTGGGCTCAAGCAGTCCTCCAGCCTCGGCTTCCCAAAATGCTGGGATTACAGACGTGAGCCACCATGACTGGCCTACCGTATACTTTTTTCAAGTAATCATCTGCAGAAGTAGTGGTGAAAATGGGGGAAACAGTCATTTCCAACAAATGGACGTAAAATATGTGGTAATGTTTAAGCAGCATGTGTCTAGTCTAGTACGTTAGACAGCCAGTTCTGAAAGGAGGAAGACCTGGGTTCAAATGCTGTTATTTCCACCTAGTTGCTACGTAATGTGAAACAAATTATTTAGTCTCATTAAGCCTCAGAGAGGCCAGGAGTTTGAGACCAGCCTTGCCAACATGGCGAAAACCCATCTCTTTTTTTTTTTTTTTTTTTTGAGACAAAGTCTCACGTTGTCTCCCAGGCTGGAGCATTATTCCATAATGCCCAGCCAGAAGCATTATTCTTAAGAGCCAAAAAGTGGAAACAACTCAAATGTCCATCAGCTGCTGAACAGACAAATTAAGTGTGGTCTAGGCTGGGCACAGTGACTCATGCCAGTAATCCTAGCACTTTGGGAGGCTGAGGTGGGAAGATTGTTTGAGGCCAAGAGTTTGAGACCAGCGTGGGCATAGCTGGGTTTAGTGGCGCATGCCTGTAGTCCCAGCTACTTGGTAGTCGGAGGCAGGAGGGTCGTTTGAGCTCAGGAGATTGCAATGAGCTATGATGGCGCCACTGCACTCCAGCCTAGGTGACAGAGCAAGACCCCATCTTAGAGAAAAAGAGAGAAATGTGGTCTAGCCATATGTTAACAAAAGGAATACTATTAATATTTGTCGATAAAAAGGAATAAAATAGTGATACATTGTACAACGTGGTTAAATCTTGAAAACATTACGCTTAGTGAAATAAGCTAGTCACAAAGACCGCATACTTCTTGATTCTGTTTATATGAAATGTCTGGAAAAGGCAAATCTGTAGATACAGAGAGTAAGATCTGTGGTTGCCTAAGGCTCGGGGAGGGAGCGTTGGAGGGAAATGGGGAATGGTTCCTAATGGGCACAATACTTCTTTTGGTGTGAAGAAAATGTTCTCAAATTTATTGTGGTGATGGTTGCATAAGTCTGTGAATACACTAAAAACCATTGAATTGTACACCTTAAATGGGTGAATCATATGGTGTGTATGTATCAATAAAGTATAGTATATGTTAATAAAGCTGTTATATGAAAAACAAAACAAAACAAACAACAAACCAGGAATAGACCTTGGGGTCTCCCCAAACCTCTTTTACCTTATGAAGCTTTGCCTGAGAAGTAAGCTGGGCTCACTCTCTGGCATTTCTTTTTCTTTTTTTTTTTTTTTTAAAGATGGGGCCTCACTCTGTCACCAAGACTAGAGTGCAGTGGTGTGATCTGGGCTCACTGCAGCCTCCACCTCCTGGGATCAATGTTTCAGTCTCCCAGGTAGTTAGAACCACAGGTGCACACCACTATGCCTGGCTGATTTTTTTTTTTTTTTTTTTTTTTTTGTAGAATCAGGGTCTCACTATGTTACAGCCTTCCTGGGCTCAAGTGATCCTCCAGCCTCAGCCTCCCAAAGTGCTGGGATTACAGGTGTGAGCCACCACATCTGGCCCTTCTTATATTTCTTAATTAAACGAACACCATCAATAAAAATGAAAAAACAATATGATATATTAGTTTGATCTGCATCTTACCTTCAACTCAAAGATTTTCAAATTTAATTTCAAATTTCAAGGTAATTTAAATCTGACGGGTTTCATAAATGCTACTTAATAAACATATATTCAATAATGCACAGAATAACACAGAGAAGCAAAAAATAAGGATGCTGGGAAGGACATTTAGGAAGCAGGGGGAAAGAGTAACTTGTGGCTAGCCTGGCAGTAAGATCTAAACTAAACTGAGTGTTGGGAACTATAGTCATTAACACTGTCTACTGCCCACTTGACACCCTTTCCCCAACTCCCCCTTCCTATTTGATTTTGTTATCCACCCCTCCCACACTCCTCCCACCCTCAATTCCTTGGGAGGTCCCAGTTGGCTGAAGGCATCCAGCGCATTTTGTTTGCGCCCCGTCTTCTTACCTCCGTTCCCTAGTTACTGACTCAGGGGTGAGTATGTGACCCTGTTCAATCAGAGAATGTCAGGACTCCTGTTGGGAAGGCTGGGCGAGAAGCTGTTTTTTCTTCTGGATAATTTCCTGTGCAGATGTAGGATGAGACCTGCAACTATTGTGAATGATCTGCCATCAGCCTGCAGGTGAAGCTTTCCCAGGAGGAGCAAGAGCATCACAGAGCCGTGAGCTGAGGTCCTGACGGAAACCATGCCTGATCCCTGCCCCTTTAGGCTTTTCCAGTTGTGTGGGTCAATAAACACTATTTTTCTTTCGATCAGGTTGAGTAGACATTTCTATTATTTACAGCCAAAAACATCCTGATGAGACAAGTGCTCCCTATAATTCTCATTAATTCATTCTAAATGAGTTAATATCTGCTAAGGCGCTTAGGACAATGCGTGGCATGTAGTGAGTGCTAATGAGAGTTATAGTTACTGTCATCGATAAAAGTGTTACTGTTACAAAATGAAGACAATAATGACTGCCCTGTCTTTTTTTTTTTTTTTTTCTGAGATGGAGTCTCACTCTGTCATCCAGGCTGGAGTGCAGTGGCGTGATCACAGCTCACTGCAACCTCCACCTCCCTGGTTCAAGCAATTCCCCTGCCTCAGCTGCCCAAGTAGCTAGGATTACAGGTGTACACCACCACGCCTGGCTAATTTTTTTTGTATTTTTAGTAGGGACAGGGTTTCACCATGTTGGCCAGACCTGTCTCGAACTCCTGACCTCAGGCAATCCACCTGCCTCGGCCTCCCAAAATGCTGGGATTACAGGTGTGAGCCACTGCACCCGGCAACAAGGTTTTATTTGTTTATTTATTTATTTATTGTTGTGACAGATTCTTGTCTGTCACCCAGGCATCATCGTGCCACTGCAGCCTTGAACTCCTAGACTCAAGGGATCCTCCCACCTCAGCCTCCCAAATAGCTGAGACTACGAGTGTGCACCACTGTGCCTGGCTGTTATTTTTATTTTTAGTAGAGACGGGTCTTGCTTTGCTGCCCAGGCTAAGTTATTGTTGATAAGATCAAGAAAGACAAAAGAAAAGTGAAAGATTACTCCCTCCGTTATAAACGTAACATATATCCATTATAGGAATATTTTTTAAAGAATAAAACAATCACTTATAATCCTATTATCCAGAAAAAAATATGTTGGTTCATTTTCTTTCAGTCGACTTTAAATGCATAAGAGAAATTTTTCCACATATGCAATTCCTACTATGACTTCTGAAATTTTAACACATCTTATAAGCATTTTTCCATAATTTATTCTCATTTGGATTATTTTCCTAGGATGGATTCCTAGAAATGAAATAAGTGAGTTTTACATGGTTCTTTTAAATATGAAAGGAAATGATGGACACAAAACAAATTTGAAAATTCAAAAGCGTCATACAAATATGAGCTTCTCTTTCCCTAAACTTGCACTGCAACCATAAATAACCAACCAGAACTACCTACTGTCCTGTACCAAGCCCTTATTATATGCTGTATGCTGAGCTAAACATGTAAGCATTTTATCCATTATTCCACTTAGTCTTTCTAAGATGCCTGCTAAAAAGCTGATGATATCCCATAGCTGTCAAGTTAAAGGACAAAATCATTGTCCCTTAGGAATCCTCTTCTCTCTCGTCATTCTTATATGGCATCATGCTACTTCCATGTTAATACCCACACAGATGCCTTTGCCTGGCTGAGCACCTGTTCGCCACAGCCACCTTCTTTGTCCAGGTGGCTCCCACCTTTCCAAACTCAGTTAAAGCATGTTTTCCTTTGAGAAGTTTTCCCTGTTATCCTAACACTTTTAAATGCTGAACTAAGAGCCTTTACTAAATTGAGATTAGGAAGCACAAGCAAAGTATATTGAACATAGTAGGTGCCAAATAAATATTGAATTAATTTTTTTTTAAGAGACAGGGTCTGCTGTGTTGCCCAGGCTGGCCTCAAATCCTCAAATTCCTAAGCTCATGCGATCCTCTCACTCCAGCCTCCTGTGTAGCTGAGGCTACAGGAGTGCTACCACATCTGACTCTTTAATGAATTATTATTACATGAACTTGGTGTAGATATCTCATCAGGAAATGTTGGTTACATTATTAATAAAATACACATTGTCCAGAAAAAGAATGAATTTTCTGGGTAGTTTGTGTTTAGTATGTGAAATATTGTGTTCAGTTTTGGATTCTATACTTTTAGAGGCTGATTGGTAAATTGGAATGTATACAGAGATCTAAGGATGGTAAGAATGGAAACAGTATTACAAGTAAAATGGTTAAAGAAGTGAATCTGTTTATTAAAGAAAAGACTTTGTATGGCCAGGCTTGGTGGCTCACGCCTATAAATCTCAGCACTTTGGGAGGCCGAGGTGGGCAGATCACTTGAGGTCAGGAGTTCAAGACCAACCCGTCCAACATGGCGAAACCCCATCTCTACTAAAAATACAAAAATTAGCCAGGTGTGGTGGCGCGTGGCTATAATCTCAGCTACTCAGGAGGCTGCGGCACAAGAATCACTTGAACCCGGGAGGCAGAGGTTGTAGTGAGCCCAGATCACACCACTGCACTCTAGCCTGGGCAACAGAGCAAGACTCTGTCAAAAAGAAAGAAAGAGAGGAAGGAAGGAAGGAAGGAAGGAAAGAAGGAAGGAAGGAAGGAAGGAAGGAAGGAAGGAAGGAAGGAAGAAGGGGAAGGGGAAGGAAAGGGAAAGGGAAGGGGAAGGGGAAGGAAGGAAAGAAAGGAAAGAAAGAAAAGACTTTGCGGGTGATAGTGGGGGTGTGCAGAATGGGGTATGACAGCCACCTTTAATTATGTGATGAAGATTAGTTCAATAAAAAGACAAAATGTCCAGCCAATGGAGCTGTGAACTTCTCTGTCCTTCTATTGTAGTAAATGACTTCCACACCAGGCAGAAAGATGACACAAATACCTTCAAACTCTGATGTGGGGCATGTCAAGAAAGCAGTTTTACATCAGCTTTTCTGAAAAGCAAGTACCATGTAAAAATCACCAACGATAAGAACTTTTAGTATAAGCAGCTCCCAGCGCTGAGGTTTTTTTCACCATTATTTTGTATTTTCTGCACTGAAGGCAGAAGAAATTATTCAAAGAAGGACCAAACAAGAATACCAAACAACGTAGCATTACTACAGGTAGATGAGAAAATAGCCACAACACAGAGGGAGAACAAACCGACTGAAGTACAGGGAATGAGATGGTTTCTTTCAAATAAGGGTTAAGGGCTGGGCGGTGCGGTGGCTCACACCTGTAATTCCAGCACTTTGGGAGGCTGAGATGGGCAGATTGCCTGAGCTCAGGAGTTTGAGACCAGCTCGGGTAACATGGTGAAACCCCATCTCTACAAAAATATAAAAAATCAGCCAGGCATGATGGCAGGCGCCTGTAATCTCAGCTACTCGGGAGGCTGGGGAAGGAGAACTGCTTGAACCCGGGAGGCTTGCGGCGAGCCGAGATCGCGCCACTGCACTCCAGCCTGGGCAACAAAGAAAAACTCTGTCTCAAAAAACAAAAAACAAATAAGACTTAGGAACAATAATAAATGAAGGAAGCTAACTAGGCAGGGCTATATATGAGGACAGTTCCTGCAGGAGGGATTTGCAGCCAGAGGTGGTTTTTCTGCAGAGCTAATGCAGAGCAAGCTTCCAGGCCACTCTTTTGCCCCAGTTTCTTCCGAGGCTGTGGTAGGACCCCAAGCAATCTCGTACTGTTTCTCTTCAAGAGAGCACCTGACTTATGTAAGTTTTAGGACTTGCAAAACCTGTTTTCAAGCCTGTAAACCAGTTTACCACCAAAACAAAACTTAGTATACGCATAAGGTGTTTAAAGATTTTTTTGTAGCATTTAATTTTAGACATGCCCACATACCCGGATTGTAATCAGTTAAATTAATATTGTCTTTGAAAACAAAACATACTCTAGGACCAGATTCTTTTCCATATCAAGGCCCTGCTTTGGCATCGAATCTGGGGACCCTGTATTGATTTTAAATACTTGATATTTTTGTCTACTTGACTTATTTGATAAAAGCAGACCCTTAGTCTAGATCAGTAGGAGGTAGAAGAAAGGCTTTATAAACGATTTAAATCTTAATTACCTATTAATGTGGTAAACGTGTGTATTATATAAGGTTAAACCTGTTCTGCCTCAAGCAACTGCATTGCTTCCCTCTGAGAAGTGATTCCACCTGCTCAGCATCAGCGGCAAACAGAACACAGAAGCACCCTAAAGAGCTGGGTGTGATGGTACGCGCCTGTAATCCCAGCTACTCAGGAGACTGAAGCGGGAGGATCCCTGAAGTCCAAGGAGTTCGAGGCTGTATTGTGTCATGATCATGCCAGTGATAGCCACAGCACTCCAGCCTGGGCAACATAGTGAGACCTCATCTCTAATAAGTTAAAAAAAAAAAAAAGCGCTGGTGTGGTGGCTTACACCTGTAATCCTAGCACTTTGGGAGGCCGAGGCCAGTGGATCACTTGAGCCCAGGAGTTTGAGACCAGCCTGGGCAACATGGCAAAATCCCTTCTCTACAAAAAATATAAAAATTAGCAGGCTATGGTGGCACATGCCTGTAGTCCCAGCTACCTGGGAGACTGAAGTGGGAAGATCACCTTAGCCTGCTAAAATAGAGGCTGCAGTGAGCCATGATTGTGCCACTGCACTCCAGCCTGGGTAACAGAGTGAGACCCTGTCTCAAAAACAAAACAAAACAAAACAAAACAAAACAAAACAAAACAAAACAAAACAAAAGGGAAGAAAAAAAAAATTCAACCTGAGGCTGATTTTTTTTAAGTGTTCTAAGTAGTAGAGAAAGATGCAACAGCTAAATACATTTTTATAAGGACTCTTCTGTTTATTATTAAGCATGTGACTTTACAGACTATCACACAGCCTGAAAATGTAAGGAAAAGGAATGACAAGCCATTGAAACATTTTTATGCATCCATTGAGGGCTGTATCAGACTAATATTTTCCGATATTTGGTAGGGAGTTGGTTAGCATGATGTGATCAGGAGACCATATATTTCTAAGTCAGTAAAACCAGGATTCAGTTTCCTTCTCTGCTAGTACTGGTTTTGGCTATTGACAAGTTATTTAACCTCTTTGAGCCTCAGTTTTCTCATCTGTAAAATGGGTTTAATACACATTTTACAAATCTCAACTGGGTCTCTTTCATTTTCAATTTTTTCCCTTCCACCACTGCCTCCTTATCAGTGACAAACAGGAACAACAACCAAGTTCTCCACCCATACCCTACAAGAGCTACTCTCCTAGTTTTTGCTCTTTCAACGGGGAACTTCTGGGAAGAGACAAGACTGTACTTGTTAGCTCTCCTTCCTCCAAGCCACTTAAACCTTTACATCCTGCAAATAGCTTTTACTCCCTCAAATAAATGACCAGTGACAAAGTTCAATGATCTCCAAGTTCAGTGGTTCTTTCTTAGTCCTCATCCTATTTGGCCTTTTCTAGTTTTCGACTCTATGCTGTGGTGACAAATACTGTTTGAACAGAACAGTAATATATCCTTCTGGTTTCTTTCTACCTCTCCTGTTGCATTGCCTATTGGCTAGCTCATACATTTAACTAATAGCCTTTTGGAAGGTAACTTCCAAAATTCTAATTCTGGCATTTCACATCTTCACCTTCCTCTCATTCCCATAATCTTCTTGTTTTCCCTATTTCTGCCAATGGCATCATCATCACCATATTCTCCCAGGCCCATGTTCAGAGGTTAAAGTTCTCTTTGTCCCTCCTTCCTTCTCCTTGACTCTATGCCACTGACTCCCCCACCCAGTGACTGGCCAAGACCATAGACTTTACCTTTTACGACCATCTCCTTTCTAATTCCGCTCCATCTCCCTTAGTTCTGCCCACATTTTCTCTTTCCCCAAGATCACAGTGGGCTCCTAGCTGCCTCCTGGACTCCAGGCTCTGCCGCATCCCTCAGGTAGCTCTCACACTCGTTTTTTGCCTAAAAGCCAACTCTAATTATGTTCTTGTCCAAAGGTTTCTATGGCTCCTCAGTATCTTTGCTGTAAATCCACCAACCATCCTGCCTTAATTACGGATTACAAACCCTGGGCTCCAATTAAGTGAAATATGACTGGCATATTCTCTTCCATCATGTTTTTCCAGTGCTATGCCTTTGCTTGCATTGTTCCTTCCATGCTTCTTGTCCTCTCCTGACACTGCATGAACACATCCTGTATAGATTCCCAGGAAACCTCAGATAGCGTCTTCTCTGTGATCCTCTCCTGGTGTCCTCACACAGCTGTAACCAACTTCCTCTGCTCTTCTTAAAAAACTTCCCTTCTCTTAAGCCATTTGTGACTTTCCACCTATTGCTATGGTTATGCGCACCCAGGTTTCAGCTTCTCTGACAGACTGTAAAACTCACTTAGTTCTGTGTTCATTCAGCAAGTATTTTTTGAACACCTATTAAGCACAACCACTATGCTAGATTGTGGAGGTACAGACACGGTTCTTCCCCTCAAGGGACTCGTGGTATAATTAAGGAAACTGAAAAGAAAAGAAATAACTAATGCTTAGTTTACACATAGTATGACAGAGGTGGGTACATACAGAATGTTACGGGGAGCAAAAAGGAGGTGCACCAAACTCAGCTTTGAAGAAGAAAAGGAGGAGCAGAAAACGTCCTTGAGCAGGTGACACTTGAACCAAGTCTTAAATACTGAGTCAGCTGTGGATGAGGGGGAAAGGCAATCTGGGTAGAAGGAAGGAGATATTTAAAGGCTATCAGCTATAGGCCAAGGCATAGAATTGATTCATATTTATTTCCCATACCACAAGGGTTCTAACGCATATATTAAATCAGGGCCATTCCATTATAAAGTATTCACCACTCTGATTTGCAATTAAAACAACAACAACAGAGGCAATGTATTAAGTTGCCAAAAAGTTATGTTATCCAATTTTTTTATTTCTTTTTTTTTTTTTTTTTTTTTTTGAGACAGAGTCTTGCTCTGTCGCCCAGGCTGGAGTGCAGTGGCGCGATCTTGGCTCACTGCAAGCTCCACCTCCCGGGTTCATGCCATTCTCCTGCCTCGGCCTCCCGAGTAGCTGGGACTACAGGCACCTGCCACCACGCCCGGTAAATTTTTTTGTATTTTTTTTTTAGTAGAGACGGGGTTTCACTGTGTTAGCCAGGATGATCTGGATCTCCTGACCTCATGATCTGCCGGTCTTGGCCTCCCAAAGTGCTGGGATTATAGGCGAGAGCCACCGCCCACGGCCTCAATTTTTAAATTTCAAAAGATGACTATCCTGACTTTGTTGTTGTTAAATGTTGTTTCTTTAGTGAGATGGTGGTGATAATACAGTTACGTTTTAATTTAATGCATTATTTGGAAAACAAAACAAAACAAAAACAACTGGGAACTTTGTTATTCCACTTAAGAAGTGTTTTTCACAGTCCATGATATTCAAGAATTAAGTAACCACTATGCCAGAGCAGCAGTTCTCATGAATATTAGTGGGTTAGAATTATCTAGAGAGCTTTAAAAGTGTATACCAATTTCTTTCTTTTTTTTTTTTTTGAGACAGAGTTTTGCTCTGTCGCCCAGGGTGGAGTGCAATGGCGCGATCTCAGCTCACTGCAACCTCTGCCTCCCGGGTTCAAGCAATTCTCCTGCCTCAAGGCGCCCACCACCATGCCCGGCTAATTTTTCTATTTTTAGTAGAGACAGGGTTTCATCATGTTGGCCAGCCTGGTGTCGAACACCTGACCTCAGGTAATCCACCCGCCTCGGCCTCCCAAAGTGCTGGGATTACAGGCATAAGCCGCTGGGCCTGGTGGAAAAATGTATACCAATTTCTTGAGGTCACCCTAGCACTAGAGATTTAGAATTTCTGACATTGGGTTTTAAAATGTGCCTTTTAAAAATAAACTCCTTGCTGGGCATGGTGGCTCATTCCTCTAATCCCTTTTGGGAGGCCAAGGCAATAGGATCATTTGAACTCCGAAGTTTGACATCAGCTTGGGCAACATAGTGTTAAAAAAAAAAAAATTAGCTGGGCGTGGTGGTGTATGTGGCTGGAGAATTGCCTGATCCCAGGAGGTCAAAGCTTCAGTGAGCTGTGATTATGCCGCTGCACTCCAGCTTGGGCGATAGAGTGAGACTGTCTCAAAAATAAAATAAAAATACACTTCGTAGTTGATTTTGAAAAGCATCCTGATTTGGGAGCAATTATCCTAGCCAACTGTACCTAGCCTGAATAGGTATTGGATAAATAAGTATCAAATTAATGTGAGGGTTCTCCTCATGTTAAGTATACATTTAGGAAAATCAACTTTGTTTTTTTTCAACAAGGAAATGCACACATCTTAAGTGTGCATAGAAGAGAGCTGATTTAGGAGAAAGTCTGATTCTTAAGAAGGTAGAAGAAACATGAGGTTATTTTATTTTACTTTATGTTATTTTTATTTTTGTGAGACAAGAGTCTCGCTCTGCTACCCAGGCTGGAGTGCAGTGGCACAATCTCGGTTCACTGCAACCTACGCCTCCTGGGCTCAAGCAATTCTCCTGCCTCAGCCTCCGAAGTAGCTGGGACTACAGGCGCCTGCCACCACGCCCAGCTTTTTTTTTTTTTTTTTTTTTTTTTTTGTATTTTTAGTAGAGACAGGGTTTCATCATGTTGGCCAGGCTGGTCTGGAACTCCTGACTTCAGGTGATCCACCCGCTTCGGTCTCCCAAAGTGCTAGGATTACAGGTGTGAGCCACTGTGCCCAGCCAGGAGGTTATTTTAGGTCCTTTTGCTTTTATGCATAAAAGATAATAAAATGAAAACATACTACTCATAAGCCTTGGTCACTGACATGAGCATATTTGGAATGAAAAATTATTGAGAATTGCAAGACCAGGTATGTTCCTGTCAGTGTCATTTAATAAAAAGACCATAACATTTTAAAGTACAGAATGTTGATGAATGGGGCTATCAACTCTTAGTAACGATCCTTCCATAACTTGAAAATGCAAATAAACTTCTTTCAAGACCTAAGTTTAGACTGAAGGCCCTCTAAATTATGTTCCTGTATTTCCTTGTACTATCCCATGATATTAAAGCTCAGTCTTGAAGATACAGTCTCCAAAGCATGAATATCCACGCCACTGAACTCAGATATCTCACTTGCTTTTCCCTGAGTTCAAGGCCCTGATTTTGTAGGTGAGGTAACAGGCCCCAGAGGGGCTACATGTCCTACCCT
The DNA here is from genome assembly GCF_000001405.40 of Homo sapiens. Classification (NCBI taxonomy): domain Eukaryota; kingdom Metazoa; phylum Chordata; class Mammalia; order Primates; family Hominidae; genus Homo; species Homo sapiens. Next base: position 130,067,707 of record NC_000011.10, read on the forward strand.
AGGCTCAACAACTCAATGAGGATTTAGGTAGTCACTTGATACTTTTCCCACATACTTGCAGATGAACCTGCACTTAGTAATACATCGCTTTACCCTCCTACCCCTTACATTTAAGTCACTTCATGCTTTTCACTATTGTACATTCATTTTAAGTTCAATCACACAAAGCGGTGCAGTGAGACAGGTTTTAATATTCACATTTGACAGAGAAGAAAAGAGAGTCCCAAGCGATGGAGGAACTTGCCGGTGATCATGCGGCTGTGTCAGTCAGCTCCGGCTGCTGCAACAAAATAACATAGGCTGGGGGGCTTCAACAACAGGGATTTATTTTTCACAGTTCTTGAAGCCTGGGAAGTCCAAGCTCAAGGTGCCACTTTGGCCCCTCAGTGATGGACCTCTTCCTGGTTTGCAGATGGCGGCCTTCTTGCTGTGTTCGCACATGGAGGAGGGAGGTGAGGGCTGAGGTTGGGGGTAGGGGACAGAGAGTGTGAGAGAAAAGCAAGCTCTTTGGTGTCTCTCCTAATAAAGGCACTCATCCCATCATGACCTGCTACCTCCATGACCTCATCCAAATCCGATTACCTCCCAAAGGCCCCATTTACAAATAACCATCACACTGGGGTTCAGCGCTTCGGCACACACATTAGGGGTGGGGACAAAATTCGGTCCATAGCAAGAGCCAAATTCATGCCAGTTCCAGAACTAGTATCAGCACCCAAGATAACTGGGTTCAATAACACTGGGCAAACATTTATCGAGGACTGCACTGTGAGGGGCACTGCGGCATGACAGACCCAAGTCTTGTCAGTGACCTGAGAGAGGTATGGAATAACTAGGGAGCGAGTGCCACAGTGGGAAACATCCCTCTGAGCAATCAGAAGCGATATTTCAGCCGACTGAGCCGAGGAACAGTGAAAACGCTTCCAACAGGCAGATGTTGGGGAGAGGACATTGCAGGCGCAGAAGAGTGTTAGGAAGGGCTGTGAAATGGAAAGGTGTCGTCTTGGAGGAATCGGGCAGAGCCAGTTTACCCACAGGGAACTGGGCATGTAGGGGAGAGTGGTGCAGAATAAGGCTGGAAAATCCCGAGTTCTTACAGGCGCACTCGTCTACTCCGCGGACAGTCTCTTCCTTTCTATTGTCAGCGTCCTGGGGGTAGGGTTGTGTTATGCATTTAGTTGAACCTGAAGGGACTAGTCCAGGTCTCTCAGAAGGCAGTACCTAACTCACAGGCGACTGAAAGGAAACAAGGCCAGCGGAGCCCTGGCGGTGGCGAGGCTGTGCCAATTGCTAAATGGGGCAGCAGGACGTTTTTCTCTACTGAAGTGGCAATGCCGCGGAGCAGGAAGGCAGAGTAGCAGGTCTCCCGCTAGTGCGTCTCAACCGAAGAAGCGGCGTGATCTCTTCCTAAAACACACGAGGAAGGGGGCCTGGGCTGTGAGGCCGGCGTGGTTCTTGCACCCCTGGTCTCTATCCCTGCCTGGGCAACTGCTGGGAAGGAAGGGTCGGCAAGAGGCCTAAAGACCGGAGGCCAAGGGTGCGGAGCGCGGCCGGACTCAGAGGCGAGGACCCGGCGGAGAGGCCTGGGCGGAGCAGGGCGGGAGAGGCGCGCCCTGAGTAGGGCTCGGGGGAGGACGATGGCTGCCTCCTGCGGTCCTCCCCCTGCCTCGGGGGACGGCCCTTGGCAGACCGTCCCGGACTCCTAATTCATCCTGTTTTTAATAAAACCATTTCCAGAATCAAAAAGAGGGCGGTACCCAAAGGAGTCTGAAGAATGCCCAGCAGGGGCAGGGGAGCGGGGCGTGCCCGTATCGGGAGGCTGAAGGCTGACGGACCAGCGCAGCAGGGACAGATAACCGCGCCGGGGGGCGGAGGCCAGAGCCAGCCCCGCGCCCACAGGGTTGCGGCCCCAGACCCGCCGCGCGCACGCCCCCGCGCCTGGCGGCCACAGGGTCCGGAGCGGGGGCGGGGCCATCCGCGGCCGGGGGCGGGGCCGGGCGGGGGGCGCGCGGTTGGACCGGGCGGGAGGAGCAGGCTCTTCCATCTCCTGATTGGGTCTGGACCGCAAGGGGGCGGGGTCTTGAGGGGTTCTGCGGGCCGGCATTGGGAGCCGCAGAAGGAGGGCGTGGTAATATGAAGTCAGTTCCGGTTGGTGTAAAACCCCCGGGGCGGCGGCGAACTGGCTTTAGATGCTTCTGGGTCGCGGTGTGCTAAGCGAGGAGTCCGAGTGTGTGAGCTTGAGAGCCGCGCGCTAGAGCGACCCGGCGAGGGATGGCGGCCACCGGGACCGCGGCCGCCGCAGCCACGGGCAGGCTCCTGCTTCTGCTGCTGGTGGGGCTCACGGCGCCTGCCTTGGCGCTGGCCGGCTACATCGAGGTGGGGACCGGGCGAACGCCGGAGAGTCGTCTCCTTCGCCCGCCGGAGGAGCGCGGACTGCGGGCGGGCAGCGGGGTCCGCGGCAGGGCGGGCCGGCGGTGCGGCGCCGGGGGTCCGGCTCTGCGGCGGGTCTGGCGCGCCCTCCCCCGCCCGTCCCTGCTTGGCGCAGTGCTTAGCGCTGGAGGTCGGGCTGCCTCAGCCGCCGCAGAGGCCAAATGAAAGGCGTCGGGGCTGCTGGGGGCGGCCGTCCGCCTCGGCCGACCCAGCCCCCAACCCGCCCGCGGCGCCGCCACCTCCTCCGGGGACCCAGTGCCCCCGGGCGCCCGCCCCGCCCTCCCCCGGGACAATGCCAGGGCGCTCCTCTCCCGCCGGAGTCCGCGGCTGGGCTTTCTCCAGGGGCGGCCCCGCGCGGACCCCGTACGCTCCCTCGCGCGGCACCGGGGCCTCGGCTCCGGGCCTCCCACCTGCGAGCGGCGGGCTTCGCCTTTGTTGCCAGGTGGACGCGGCCCCGGCCTTCGCGCGCGGCAGGGATGCTGCGAGCCCCGGGGGAGCTCCCGCGCCAGGCCGCCCGCTGCTCCCTCTGCCGCCTGGGGCCGGGTCGCGGACGCGCATTTTTTAAGTGGCGCTGTTTGCCTGCGTCCGTAGACCGAGGAAACCCGCTCTGGGTGCGTTGACCGCTTTCGTGAGGGTTTCAGTGAGTAGGGAAGGTGCCCGCGAAGGCGTGTAAACTGTTGGAAAAATCGTCCTCTTCGGGTGTCAGAATTCCATCAGTGGTTGTGCTTCGAGGTCGCACCCTGAGCATCCCCGCTGCGAGAAAGGCGAAGCGGCAGGGCCGGGGGTTGGGGAGGCCGCGGGAGGGGGCGGGGGCGGCGGGGTCCGCGGTGCGGGCCGGAGCGGGCAGCCTTGGAGGAGCCCTGCTGTGGCCGAGGGAGACGGCGAGCTTGATCTTTACTTCCCTTCTCGAAGTGGTGCTTGAACTGCTGGTCTGGAATGTGTAGTTCTGGTGTCGTTTATTTCTTCTCCCTCTTCGCTCTTTTAAAAATTACAACTGGTTTCTGCATACTTAGCTAATTTCAGAGAGACCTGAAGACTGGATTTGATTGGGCATTAATTGAGAGCTTTCTTTTAAAGACCTCAGGTTTAGAATATATTTACTTCTACAGAATGTTCAAGTATTTCCACGGGTAAAAATAAATCTAATAAAAAGCCTCTCTGATGGAACGGCTTAACACCTTTGTATTCATCCAGTTTAAAGCTTTGTGACTGTGAGGGTAAGAAAGGAGTTCAGCTTTAAAGAGAAATAGTTAACGTTTATCTACAGAGGATTTTGGATTGCGATTGTTTCAGTGTGTCCACACAATGGTCAGAGTTGTATCTGTGATCCCTGATATGTCGCATGAAAACAGCTAGGTGAGTGAGATGGGAAGAAAAAATAAAGGCTTTCGTATGGAAGATGGGACTTCACTAGTGGGTCGGGTGTCAGAAACCATCGTTCACACTCGCACTCCACTTCCCACTGCTATGACTAATTTGAGGCATTAGTGAATTCACAGTAGAAGACTCAGCAGTTTTAAAGAATTCGTTAATACTTGTGTAGCGGGAAAAAATAATATGAGAATTCATTGTTGTGTGTTAAATTTGATTGTTAGCCACAGCGTTGTTCAGTTGAAAAGTATGGTTGAAGAAAGTAGGAATTAAACATTTCTGAAAAATGGTTTTATGGTAACTCCTGTTCTTTGGAGCTGTATTTTTGCTCACACTTACTAAATGATCTTTCAAGGGGCCTTTTGTCAAGCTATCAGAATTTTATTCATATGAATATAATTTGATTTTGTTTATTTGCTGTCAGGCAAGGGACTGTCGAAGCTTAATTTAGATGAGAGTGGCCTAAATCAGGATGTCTTTGGGAAGGCCCTGATTGAGATTAGCGAAAGGGATTCTGGCCAAATCCCTGATCAAGTTGCTTGGCACAGAATTATTGATTGGCAAATCTTTAGTGTTGCTTGGTGTTGACTGAATTAATCTCTTACACCTGTTTAAAAAGAAAAAGCTCACCTCTGGACTCAGGGTCACTTCCTCTCTTAAATCCGAGACAAGTTCTCCTGTGTGCATGCTCCCATTTGGGACTGAGACAGTATTGTGCTGAAACCCCGCATACTGTGCAGTGGATGACTAGGCTCCTGAGAACCGGAACTTGAGTTTGTTCTGTCACATTTGAAAGAAAGAAGGCCATTTGATTGCCAGTTTTCTGGAAACTCAAACCCAAATTAAAGGATGTCAACTGAGGCAGAGTAGAGAAGGCTTTGTGTTGGTGTTTCTGACAGGTGGTATGGGAGATGTGTAATTGTACCTTGGAGAGAAACCTTGGTGTGCTTCTGATAGGAATATCGTCTTTTTTTTTTTTTTTTTTTTGATACGGAGTCTCGCTCTGTCCCAGGCTGGAGTGCAATGGTGGGATCTCTGGGCTCACTGCAACTTCCGCCTTCCGAGTTCAAGCGATTCTCCTGCCTCAGACTCCCAAGTAGCTGGGATTGCAGGCGCCTGCCACCACGCCCAGCTAATTTTTGTATTTTTAGTAGAGACAGGGTTTCACCATGTTGGCCAGGCTGGTCTGGAACACCTGATCTCAGGTGATCCACCTGCCTCGGCCTCCCAAAGTGCTGGGATTACAGGCGTGAGCCACAGCGCCCGGCCCGTTATTTTTATCATAACTATGTTTTAAAAATCTTTTGATAAATACGATAAACTTCAGTTTTATCAATTAGTTCCTCCTTTTGTAGAGGGAATTTGTTTTACCATCTAAAGCCAGGCTTTCCCAGGGTGTAGCCACAAGCCACATGTGGTTATTGAGTCTGTAGGGTGACTAGTGTGAATGAGGAGTGAATTTTTCATTTTATTTAATTTTAATTAATTTAAGTTTACATTTAAAATCTGATTCAGTGGTTGGAAAACTTTTAACTGAAATAATTTGGTTATGCGAATTTACTTTTAAACTGTACATTTTATGAAATCTAAATGTAGATCAAGTATTTCCTATGAAAATTTAGCTTCTGAATTGAGATGTACTGGAAGTGTAACATACACATCAGATTTTGAAGATTTAATACAGAAGAATTAAAATCTCAATTTTTGTATTGACTAAATTGAAACAATACTTTAGACATGGGCTAAATAAAACATTAAAATTAATTTCACTTGTTTCTTTTCACTCTAATATGGTTCCTAGAAAATTTAATACTATGTATGTGGCTCACATTGTATTTCTGTTAGATGGTGCTGATTTAAAATTTTGCTTAAAGTTGGTCCTGCATATGTTTTTATTAGCAGAATTTTTTAATATGTTCCTATATTTTTCCACATAAAGTCTTGCTGGAAGTTGGCCCAACATGCTCTTAAGTATTTTTGTTAGAACAATTTTGAATGTGTTGATTTTTAAACTTTTTCAATTAAAAATGTTTTACTTAGAAATAACTTTAATCACCAGGCGCGGTGGCTCACGCCTGTAATCCTAGCACTTTGGGAGGCCGAGGTGGGTGGATCACGAGGTCAGGAGTTCGAGACCAGCCTGAGCAACATGGTGAAACTCCGTCTCTACTAAAAATACAAAAATTAGCTGGGCGAGATGGCGTGCGCCTGTAATCCCAGCTACTCAGGAGGCTGAGGCAGGAGAATCTGGGAGGTGGAGGTTACAGTGAGCCGAGATCACACCACTGCACTCCAGCCTGGGCAACAGAGCGAGACTCCATCTCAAGAAAACAAGAATAAAAAAAAGAAATAACTTTAATCTTATAAAAAATGCAAAAATTGTACAATTTTCTTACCCTTTACTCAGATTCACCAATTGTTAACATTTCTTCTAGTCACATTTGCTTTACTACTGCATTTTTTGCCAAATTATTTGAGAGTAAGTTGCATACGTCGTCCCCCATCCCCTTTACCCCTGAGAACTTCAGTATATATTTTCTAAGAGCCAAAGACATTGTCTTACATAGGCTTAGTACAGCCATCAACCTAATGAAATTTAACATTGATACAATACTTGGATCTTATCTGCTGTCGGTTTTCTAGTTAGTTTGTTGACCCAATCATGTTCTTTATAGCATTTGAAAACATGTTTTGTTGTTGTTGTTGTTGTTTTGTTTTTCTTTTTTGAGTTGGAGTCTCACTCTGTCGCCCAGGCTGGAGTGCACTGGCATGATCTCGGCTTACTGCAACCTCCGTTTTTCAGGTTCAAGCGACTCTCCTGCCTCAGCCTCCAGAGTAGCTGGGACTACAGGAGCCCACCACCATGCCTGGCTCATTTTTATATTTTTAGTAGAGACAGGGTTTCACCATATTGGCCAGGCTGGTTCCAAACTTCTGACCTTGTGATCTGCCTGCCTTGGCCTTCCAAAGTGCTGGGATTACAGGCGTGAGCCTCCACACCTGGCCCCTTTCAAGATTGTTTAATTCTGTTTACCCTTACTAAATTTTGAGGCTTTTGGATTTTCTTTCTAAAATAACAGAAGAAGAATTCTATAGGTAGTACATATTCATTGTAAGAAATTTAAAAGTACAGATAACCAATAAGAAGTGAAAAATGACCTAAAATCTTATTCCCCAGGGAAACCTTACTGTAATATTGTATATACCCTTCTGTTAATAGATAGGTCATGTACATAAATTTTATAAAAATGGCACATACTGCATATTGAAGCCAGCACCTAACAATGATTATTTCGAATTATGCTAACATGAACTACTCAAAGAAAATAATGTTTTCCGTGTGACAAAAAGTAGGGGTAAATCTTTGTACAGTAATTGTAGTTTCCATGGAGGGGCCAGTTGAGAGAGAATTCTAAATTGCCTATAATTCAATTTTCATGGGTTGATTTTTAATGAGATAAACTAGATTACCTTGAAGTTTAATTAAATTTAGTGTATTGTACCTTGATTTATGGCCTAAGATGGAAAGTGGACTATGTAGGCACATTCAAGCAGAAATGAGTTCCAGTCCTTTGTGTCAAGTACAACTAATAATTGCTTTTGCTGAGGGAATTTTTCTTACCTAAGCATCGTGAAGTCTTTATTTTTATTTTTTATTTTTTGAGACAGGGTCTCACTCTTACCAAGGCTGGAGTGCAGTGGCGCAGCCATGGCTCACTGCGGCCTCAAACTCCTGGGCTCAAGTGATCCTCCTGCCTCAGCCTCCCGAGTATCTAGGAGTACAGTGCATACCACCACATTCGGCCAAGATCTGTTTTTCAAAATGAGATCTTTTAAAACATAACTAATCTATTTTTTTAAAGATGAAGATTAGAAAATTAGCTGACTTTCATTTGTAATTCATCCTACTAGTATTTATTAAACCTGTTACATGGTTCTGTGCTAGATGCTAAACAGTACAGTAGTAAAACCAAATGTGGATAGTGCTTTTTACTTTGCGAAACACACTCGTGTATGATTTCTAGGCCCTAACCCCAGAGATTGTCGTTGAGTACCTCTGGGATGCTCAGTTTCAAAAGCTCCCCGGATGATTCTAATGTGCAAGGAGAGAAAAACAAAACAAAGTCTTTGGGTAATTTATCTCCATAAGTCCCTAACAGTCTCGTGAATTTGGTATTCTTATCCCTACCTAAAAAGGGAGTCAGTAGAGGCCGAGGGTTGAACATCACCCAGCTCGACCAGGGGAAGGAGTCTGCCCATCCTATCTAAGCCTACTGCTCTGTCCTGTCAGTGTGGTTCATATTTCCCTTTTGGATGCAGATTTCTTTTTACTCATGTCTACCTGTCTTTCCCATTACCAAAACCTGGTATGAGTGTTTCCCTTAAAAGGAACTAATTTCATACAAGTTGTGATATATTATGAACCATTGTAAACCATATGGTTAATAGTGACCCTTTGAAGTATGTAATTACAGGGGACTTTGATGTTTTACATTTTCCATTGATTTATTTTTTTCTTTCGCATCATTCAAATGATATTCACTGATTTTTAAAAACTTTTTGGGCCTTTCTGTTTGTTTGTTTTGAGACCGAGTCTCACTCTGTCATCCAGGCTGGAGTGCAGTGGTGCCATCTTGGCTCACTGCAACTTCCGCCTCCTGGGTTCAAGCGATTCTCGTGCCTCATCCTCCTGAGTAGCTGGGATTACAGGTGTGCGCCACCATGCCCGGCTAATTTTTATATTTTTAGTAGAGACAAGGTTTCACCATGTTGGCCAGGCTGGTCTCGAACTCCTGACCTCAAGCGATCCAGCCGCCTCAGCCTCCCAAAGTGCTGGGATTACAGGCATGAGCCACTGCGGGCCCAGCTCTTTTGTGTCTTTTTATATTATGTGCAAGTTCTCTTTTTTTAGTAGTAAGTTGTGTCATTTTTGTATTCTGACCTAAAGTTTTAAGAAAAGAAGTTACGGTTCCCTGTAGAGATTTTTATCAAAATCAAGGTGCGGGATTATTTGGAAGAGAGAAGGCTGCCAGCACCAGATACTCAATCAGTGGCCAGTGACCAGTGTGATGGGGGTAAGATTGTGGTCCAGAAAAAAACTACTTCGTGTGTGGAGTGGGGCACCTAAAAGGTTGCTTAATTGAGCTGTCCCCACCGCCTTCCTACCCTGCCTTCCTTGGGCACACTCCCCAGTGGTTGTGGAATTAACTCCAGGGGACATGCTCTGATAGGATAATGTCCAGAGGAGGAAGAGATAGTCTCTTCCTGTATATCTCCTTTTAAGAGTGAAGAAACCTTTCTCAAAGCCCACCAGCATAAGACCCCTCAGGTGTCACTGGATAGAAGTGTATCAGATGCTTCTAGCCAAAGCAAGCCTTGGCAAGGGGAATGGTACTGCCTCCACAGGCTTTGACTTCTCAGGGCCTGCTTTTGGAAGCATGTGGCCAGGAGGAGGAGGGTGCAGCCTCTAATCAGGTTGGGCTTATCAGATGGTGATACCTCTTACTAAAAAGAAAAAGTTGGGCTTGGTTGGAAAAGAAAGCTGTGGATGTTGGTGAGAACCCAGTGTCTGCTACAGGGGCATTCCCTGTCTGGGAAGTTATGTAGCTGGGATGGCTGAAAGAGAAAGAAGTAATTTCTTCTGAAGAAATTATCTGTGGGTTAAAAGTTAGCTGGCAAAATGGAGACATCTGAGACATCACAATGCGTTTGTTAGATCTGGGATAATGCTATCATTTTAAAGGGATAATGCTATCCAGAAGAGAATGGCTGGAATGGTGAAGAATGTGAAAAATTTGACATGACAGGTGAGTGGACTGTGAGGGAGATATTTCGCCTAGATAAGAAAATGTGACATTAGTGGTGGTAGTAAGGATCGTTAGTATTTTCACATATTTTATGCTTTGTCTCTGGAAGGCTAAGCATGTAACTTGCTTAGGCTGAAGCAGGCTTTTTACCCGGAGAGGTGAACTATTAGAGCTTTTATTTTACTCTCTTTAATTATGAGCATTCCCCACATAGGATAGTTAAACATGTAAAACAGACCCTTATGTCCAGCCCCCAGTTTTGTTGAATCTTAACATTTCTCATGTATGTTTTAGCCTTAAAAAAAAAAACAAAAAACCACTGGATACGGAAATATAACATTACCAATAAAAGCCTCATTTGAACTTTCCAGAAGTAACTCTTGAGTTAGGAATTTACATTTCCATTCATATTTTCATTACATTTGCTTAGGCTGTTATTAGAGTTGTAACACATATTTATCAACACATAGTGTTAATTATTTGTGCATACTGTGATGATTTTAGAAGGTAAGAATGTCAAGCTGTTTGAGCTGAAAGTAAAGATAGCCCCTTATCAGGAAAGTGCCAGCCACCCTTGCTGCTTCTACCCACTATTGAAAGCCCTTGAGTATTTTTGAGCTTTTCAAAATTTAAAAGTACACAAAAGAAAAAAAAAGCTCAGTGTGTTTTTGTAAATGAAACACTTGTGTAACTACCACTGAGGTCAAGAAATAAAACATGGCCAGTATCTCCTTTCCTTCCTTGCTCAGGAGTAACTGCTCCTCTGACTTTATGGTATCACTTTTTGTATTTCCTTATAGTATTACCTCCCATGCATTCGTCCCTAAACACTGTAGTTCAGTTTTTCTTTCTTTTTTTTTTTTTTTAGCTTCATATAAGTGGAATCATTCCGTATATATTTTTATGCATTTGGTCTCATTCACTAGACACATTTTTGACAGCCACGTGTATTGAGTGTAGCTGTGGCTCACTCATTTCCGTTGCTGCATAGTACTCCATTATATGAATAAACCACGCAGTTTGTTCTGCTGTTGATGGACGTTTGAGTTGTTTCCACTTTGAGGTTATTAAGATAATGCTGTTCTCTGTGTGGTTTGCCTTTTCACTCTTAGTGATGTCTTTTGAAGAAGTTCTTAATTTTAATGTCTAATTTTTTAGTCTTGTCTTTTCTTTTTCTTTTTTTGTTATGGTAGGTGCTTTTTGTATCCTGTTTGAGAAGTCTTTTCCTACCCTGAGGATATAACGATAGTCTCCTATATTGTCAATGGGGAACTTTATTTTTTTGCCTTTCGCTTTTGGAGCTATAATTTATCTGGATTTTTGTGTAGAGGTGAAGTTAAGGGCCATTTCATTTCTGTTTTTTTCCTTATGGATATCTGGCCTGCACCATTTATTGTCAAGGTCATCCTTTCCCTTCTGCTCGGCTCTGTCACCCTTGTAATCAAGTATCTCCCTGTGCGTGAATCTGTTCCTGGGTTCTCCCTTCTATTCCATTGTTCTCTTTGTTTATCCTTGCACCAACTCCACATTGTCTTAATTATTATATAATAAGATTTTATATTTACTAGATCAAGCCCTTCCTTGCTTGTCTTGAATAGCATCTTAGCTCTTCCCTTAACCTTTTTCTTTTCACATAAATTTGCCACATTTTACCAAAACAGCTTCTTGTTAGAATTTTGCTTTTGCTTTGGGTCTATAGTTTAATTGGGGGAAAATTGACATTTTTCAAATACCTAGTTTTCCAATCCGGGAACATGACATGTATTTTTTTTATTTATTTATTTATTTATTTATTTATTTTTGAGACAGGTTGTTGCTCTGTCACCCAGGCTGGAGTGCAGTGGTGCAGTCTCTGCTCACTGCAACCTTTGTCTCCCGGGTTCAAGCGATTCTTCTGCCTCAGCCTTCTGAGTAGCTGGGATTACAGGCACCCACCACCATGCCAGGCTAATTTTTGTATTTATAGTAGAGATGGGGTTTCACCATGTTGGTCAGGCTGGTCTCAAACTCCTGACCTCAGATGATCCTCCCGCCTTGGCCTACCAAAGTGCTGAGATTATAGGTGTGAGCCACTACGCCCGGCCCATGACATGTGTTTTATTTAGGCCCTCTATAATTCTGCCTTCAATGTTTGGTAGATTTCTGCATAGAGATCTTGTGTATCTTTTGTTAGATTTATTCATAGTCATTTGATCTTTTTTATGCTATTATAAATGGCATCTTTAAGATTTTTTGTTGTTGGTTTGTGTGTTTGTGAAAAATACAATTGATATTTTTCAGATTGACCTTGTATCCAGTAATCTTGCTAAACATGTATACTAATTATAATAATTTATCTGTAACTTTAAATTTTTCTGAGTATATTCTGTGAATTGTGACAGTTCTATTTCTTTCCATTCAATCCTTGTAACTTTTATTTCTTTTTCTTGCTTTGCTGCCCCAGCTAAAATGTTCAGATAGAAAAGACAATAGCTAGTGTCTTAGTCTGACTTCTCTCAGAGGGAAACTGTTTTTGCAATTTATATGATACTCGTAGTTTTTTGGTAGATACCAGACCCTTTATCGGATAAGGAAGAGTTTATATTCTAAGTTTGCCAAAGATTCTTGTCATGAATGAATGTTGAGTTTTTTTCAAACATCTTTTTTTGCCAAGTATAAGATGATGATATGAATTTAATTTTGAGAGTGCAGTATGTAGGAAACTTTGCATTCCTGAAATGAACCAAACTTGGTTTATTTTCTGCATTTGGTTTGCAAAAATTTTGTTCAGGAGTTTTGCCTCTTTGCTAATAAGTGAGTTTGACCTGTAATTTTTCTCTTTTTGTAATATACTTGTCAAGTTCTGATTTCAAAGTTAATAGCCTCCTAAGTTTTGGGGGAAGAGAGCATTGCCTTTATTACTATTATAATTTTTTGAGACGGAATCTTACCCTGTTGACCAGGCTGGAGTGCAGTGGTGTGGTCTTGTCTCAACCTTTGCCTCCTGGGTTCAGGTGCCTCCTGCCTCAGCCTCCTGAGTAGCTGGGATTACAGGCGCCAGCCACCATGCCTGGCTAATTTTTGTATTTTTAGTTGAGATGGGGTTTCACCATGTTGGCCAGGCTGGTCTCAAACTCCTGACCTCAAGTGATCCACCCACCTTGGCCTCCCAAAGTGCTAGGATTACAGGCATGAGCCACCGTGCCCGGCCAGACATTTTATTTATACAGGTGCTTACAGACTGATTAATTTGAGGTCTAGGCTAATGTGTGTTCCAGACAAAAATTTTCATTCTACCTGGAGCCTGAGGACACTAGCAATCCAGGATCTTACTGTAAGTTCCTGGACTGTGATGACTGTAAGCTGAACTCTGTGGAGTCCTGTCAGTTTCTGATTTATCTTTCTTTTTTTTTTTTTTTTTGAGATGGAGTCTTGCTTTGTTGCCCAGGCTGGAGTGCAGTGGCGTGATCTCGGCTCACTGCAAGCTCCGCCTCCCGGGTTCACGCCATTCTCCTGACTCAGCCTCCCAAGTAGCTGGGACTACAGGTGCCCGCCACCGTGCCTGGCTAATTTTTTTTAATTTTTAGTAGAGATGGGGTTTCACTGTGTTAGCCAGGATGGTCTCAATCTCCTGATCCACCTGCCTCGGCCTCCCAAAGTGCTGGGATTACAGGCGTGAGCCACCACGTCCGGTCGTTGGATTTATCTTTCTAGATTCATATGCTTTGAGCTACAAACTCCAAACCTTTAAGTTCTCCAAGTTATTACAAAAAATTTAGAAAATACAGTTTTGACCAAAACAAAAAACAAACCCCCCCAAAAACAAAAGAGTAGATTCCCCCTTATGTGTGTATAACCCGTTTTTTCCTTCATTTAACATATTGAATAATTTCCAGGTCATTACATATTTTGTAACGTGTATAGCTTTTTTTGGGATCACACTTGATGGTTTGGGGCTTTTGAACACTCTGCAATTTTAAATGTACAACATTCATCCCTCTAAATAGGTATTCATGCTGTGAATTTGGATTTGAGTAACTAAACTATTGTATGAACATTTTGAGTTATTGCATAGGGATGTTGCCTACTAGCCAGTGATTGGATATTTGCAGTAGTATTGAACTGTTACTTGACTATTTTACCCTCATTTTATAAGGGTGATAAAAAGGAGGGAAAATGTTTATTTTATTGATAAGCACATGGTGATAACTGGTGCTTTTTTGGTGTTTTTCTAGGTAGTTTCTTTGAACTTATATAAATGCTCAGTGGGTTCAATTATGTGGAAAAAAATTAAGGAATGCCTATAAAATGCTGGAAATTTTCAAGGGTGTTTTCCCCCCTAAAACACTGGAAGTAATTGGGATCTGATAAATTATTAGCTTGCTAGTAGCAGAATCCCCAAATAACATGCATATGTTTGTAACTTGTTCATGTTTACAGAAATATACCTTATGTGAAAGTAGAGGACTGCCTATTTTGTAATTTATTTGATTCTTTTATAACTGAACATGTATGTTTCTCATTCTTCTCTAATGTAAACAGCATACTGTGGATATCTTTTAAAAAAAAATCATTGTAGCTATATCCCAAATTGGCATTTAAAAGAACCTCTGGAAAGGACTTGATCTAAAATGGAAGACTTTATGGTAATTGGTTCGTTTGAGGCTTTTCATAGTCATCATTATTAGCAAACATTTATGGAATTGCCATATGTAGGGCACCGTGACAGAACAAATAACACCATAGCTGAAGGCACTGTATGGTTCTTAAGATGATATAATAACTAGAAACTTCTTCTGTTGGAGAGATGGTAGTCAACACTTTTCCAGTCTTCTCATACAGATTTTATTAATTTAGCCTTTTAATTTTTATTACTCAAAACTTCATTTTTTTTTTTGTTTGTTTCTGAGGTGGAGTTCTGCTCTTGTCGCCCAGGCTGGAGTACAGTGGCACGATTTTGGCTCACTACAACCTCTGCCTCCCAGGTTCAAGCGATTCTCCTGCCTCAGCCTCCTGAGCAGCTGGGATTACAGGTGCCCGCCATCACGCCCAGCTGATTTTTGTATTTTTAGTAGAGACGGGGTTTCACCATGTTGGCCAGGCTGGTCTTGAACTCTTGACCTCAGGTGATCCACCCGCCTCGGCCTCCCAAAGTGCTGGGATTACAGGCGTGAGCCACCTCATCCGGTCTCAGTTTTTAATTTAATTTTCTGACTCTGTGCTTGTGCTTTTAATACTTTCACACTGATTTTCTGCTTCTCAATAAGGAAAGCACGTTTGATCTGGTCACAAACACAAAACAAATGGAACCACTGTAGGCCCCGATGCCATGTGTTTTGTTTTGAATAACCTCATAAGAACTCCTGGTCTCCCAGCATGAAGCCCTCTAAGTCAGCCTGGGCACACGCCACTGCAGGTGTTGGTGCATTTGGGACAGCCTAGTTTTGTTAGAGGCTGTATTGTAGGAAAGCCTGTGACAGTATGTCAGACTCATTGCCTATAGACAGCATCCCCAGAAAGAGAGAGGGGGGAAGCTTTTCATATACAGATTTTTAAAATCTAGGTTATCTGTTTTCTTACTGATTTATAGTGTTTCCTTCCAGATGTTTTACACATGTCAGCCACAAGACATAAGCATTTTCTAAATTGAACAGCCTAAAGTCCACAGATCTTTTTGTGTATATGGTAAAATGTACATAACAAAATATATTAACCACTGAAACTTTTCTTTTCTTTTTTTTTTTTTTTTTTTTTTTTTTTGAGACACGGTCTCACACTGTTGTCCAGGCCAGAGTGCAGTGGCACAATCATAGCTCACTAGAGCTTCAACCTCCTGGGCTCAAATGACTCTCCCACCTCAGCCTCCCAAGTAGCTGGGATCACAGGCGTTGAGCCATCATGCCTGGGTAATTAAACATTTTTTTTGTGGAGATGGGGACTTGCTCTCTTGCCCAAGCTGGTCCTGAACTCGTGGCCTCAAGCAGTCCTGCCTTGGCCTCCCCAAGTGCTGTGATTGCAGGTGTGGGCCACCAAGCCCTGCCTTAAAACATTTTTTTTTTGTGGTAAGAACACTTAACATGAGATCTAAATTTTAAGTGCACAATGCAGTATTGTTAACTGTAGAGAAAATGTTATACAGCAAATCTCTAGAACTTATGCATCTTGCAAAACGGAAACTTTATACCTGTTGAATAGCAACTGTTTTTTCCTCCCTTCAGCCTGTGTCAGTGACAGTTCTGTGAATTTGATTATGTTAGATATCCCATATAAGGGGAATCATGCAGTACTTGTCTTTTTGTGACTTGTTTATTTTACTTAGCATAATGTCCTCCAGGTTCATCCATGTTGTTGAATGTGGCAGAATTTACATTTTTTTTAAGGCTGAACAATATTCCATTTTATGTATATATCATATTTTCCTTATCCATTCATCTCTCGATGGACATTTAGGTTGTTTCCATGTCTTGGCTATTGTCAGTAATTCTGCAGTGAACATGGGAATGCATATATCTGTCTGGGATAATGAGTTTAATTCTTTTGCTGTATACCCAGGTGTGAGATTGATAGATCATATGATAATTCTACTTTTAATTTTTTAAGAACCTTCATACTATTTTCTATAGTGGCTGCACCATTTTTTCACCAGCGGCATACAGGAGTTCCGATTTCTCGGCCGGGCGCGGTGCCTCACGCCTGTAATCCCAGCACTTTGGGAGGCCGAGGCAGGCGGATCACGAGGTCAGGGGATCGAGACCATCCTGGCTAACACGGTGAAACCCTGTCTCTACTAAAAATACAAAAAATTAGCCAGGCGTGGTGGCGGGTGCCTGTAGTCCCAGCTACTCGGGAGGCTGAGGCAGGAGAATGGCGTGAACCTGGGAGGTGGAGCTTGCAGTGAGCCGAGATTGCACCACTGCACTCCAGCCTGGGCGATAGAGCGAGACTCCGTCTCAAAAAAAAAAAAATGCTTTTTCTGCATCTTTTGAGGGTATCATATTATTTTTGTCCTTCATTCTGTTAATGTGATATGCCACATTTTTTGGTTTGTATGTGTTAAACCATTCTTGCATCCCAGGGATAAATCCCACTTGATCCAGGTGTATGATCTTATTAATGTGTTGTCTGATTCAGTTTGCTAGTATTTTGTTGACATCCTTTGCGTCTGTGATTATCAGGGATATTGGCTTATAGTGTTCTTTTTTTTGTAGTGTCTTAATCCTATTTTGTTATTAGGGTAATGCTGGCTTCATGGGTGGAAATTAAACACACCCTTGGTAAACAGCAGTCTTAACCATTGAGCCAAAGAAGAAATCAAATGGGAAATTAGATGATGTTTTGAACGAATGAAAACACAACATACCAAAACCCTTGGGATGCAGCAAAAGCACCACTGAGAGGGAAGTTTATAGCAGTAAATGCCTACATTAAAAAAATAAGAAAGATCTCAAACAGCCTAATTGTACACCTCAAACTAGAAAAAGAATAAGCTAATCCCAAAGTGAGCAGAAGGAGGAAAATAATTTGCAACAGAATAAATGAAAACAGAATAGAAAAAAACAATAGAAAAAAATCAAAGAAAGAGTTGGGTTTTTGAAAAGAT
The DNA here is from genome assembly GCF_000001405.40 of Homo sapiens. NCBI lineage: Eukaryota > Metazoa > Chordata > Mammalia > Primates > Hominidae > Homo > Homo sapiens. The sequence continues at coordinate 130,084,894 of NC_000011.10, forward strand.
AAGCAAAATTGACAAACCCTTGGCTAGACTAAGAAAAACAGAAGACACAAAATCAGATATGAAAGAGGAGACATTACAATTGATACCATGAAAATAAAAAGTATCGTGAGACTATTATGAGCAGTTGTATGCCAAAAAATTGGATAACCTAGAAGAAATGGGTAAATTTCTAAAAACGTGCAAACTACCAAGACTGAATCATGAAGAAATAGAAAACTTGAGCAGATCAGTAACAAATAAGAAGATTGAGTCAGTAATCAAAAACCTCCCAACAGGCTGAGTGCGGTGGCTTATGCCTGTAATCCCAGCACTTTGGGAGGCCGAGGTGGGTTGATCACCTGAGGTCAGGAGTTTGAGACCAGCTTGGCCAACATGGCGAAACGCCGTCTCTACTAAAAATACAAAAAAATTAGCCAAGCATGGTGGTAGGTGTGTGTAATCCCAGCTACTCCGGAGGCTGAGGCAGGAGAATTGCTTGAACCTGGGAGGCAGAGGTTGCAGTGAGCTGAGATTGTGCCAGTGAACTCCAGTCTGGGCAACAGAGCGAGACTCCATCTCAAAAAAAAAACCAAAAAACAAAACAAAACAAAAAAAACTTCGAACTAAGGAAAGCTCAGGACCAGATGACTTCACTGGAGAATTCTACTAAACATTAAGGAAGAATTAACACTAATCCTTCTCATAGTCTTCCAAAATATTGAAGAGGGAACATTTTCATTTTAACTGTTTTTAAGTGTACAATTCGGTGGCATTAAGGACATCCACAACATTGTGCAACCATCCCCGCTGTCCATTTCCAGTACTTTTTCATCCAAACAGAAACCCTGTACCCATTAGACACTAACTTTCTATTCCCCTGGATCCCCCAGCCCCTGGTGATCTATGAATTTGCCTATTCTGGGGCTCAAGTAAGTGAAATCATAAAATATGTCCTTTTGAGTTTGGTGTATTTAGTATATTTTCAAGGCTTGTGCATCAGAATTCCATTCCTTTTCGAGACTGAGTAATATTCCATTGTGCATATATACCACATTTTGTTCATTCATCTGTTAATGGGCACTTGGGATGTTTCTACCTTTGGCTACTGTAAACAATGCTGCTATGAAAATTGGCGTACATGTAGATATGGGAGTCCCTGCTTTCAGTTCTTTCGGATATTTACTAAGAAGTGAAACTGCTGGATCATATAGTAATTCTGTGCTTAAATTTTTGAGAAATTGCCAAACTGTTTTCCACAGTGACTTTACTGTTCTCCAGTCCCACTGACAGTGGACAAAGGTTCCAATTTCTCCACATCCTTGCCAACAGTTACTTTCCTTTTTCAAATAATAGCTATCCTAATGGGCGTGGAGCGGTGTCTTATTGTTTTGATTTGCATTTCTCTAATAGCTAGTGATGTTGAGTATCTTTTCATGTTGACCATTTTTATATCTTTGGAAAAATGTCCGTTGAAGTCTTTGGCCCATTTTCGAATTAGATTGTTTTGTTGCTATTGTTGAATTGTTGGAGTTCTTTATATATTCTGGATGTTAATTAGATATGTGATTTGTAGATATTTTCTGTCATTCTGCAGTTTGTGTTTTCACTCTCAATAGTGTCCTTTGATGCACAAAAGTTTAACTTTGATGAATTCCAGTTTATCTATTTTTTTCTTTTGTTGCCTGTAGTTTTGGTGTCATTTTTAAGAAATCGTTGTGAAATATAATGTTATGAAGCTTTTCTCCTAAGTCTTCTTCTAAGCTAAGAGTTTTATAGTCTTAGCTCTTAAGCTTAGGTCTTTGATCCATTTTGAGTTCAGTTTTGTATATGGTTTAAGGTAAGGGTCCAGCTTCACTCTTCTGCAAGTTGCTATCCAGTCTCTGCAACATTTGTTGCATCCCCATTCAATTGTCCTGGCAGATCAATTGACCAAACATGTGAGGATTTATTTCTGGGCTCTCTATTCCAAATGTCTGTCTTTATGCCAATATCACACTGTTTGATTACTGTAGCTTCGTAGTAAGTTTTGAAATCAGGAAGTATGAGTCTTCCGTCTCAAGATTGTGTGATTTCATATGAATTTTAAGATGGATTTTTCTGTTTCTGTGAAAAAACAAAACAAAACCCTGTTGGGCTATTAAGTATTGCATTGAATCTGTAGATTGTTTTAGGTAGTCTTGTCATAACAGTATTGTCTTCTAACCCTCAAATGCCATAGAGCTTTAAAGTTAATTATTGTAAATTAGTAATTAACAGAATACAATTACTTTTAGTTTACACTATGGCTTTTGAGTGTAAGGTGTTTGGTGAATTTTATTCTTTTAGAGTAACTGTCATCAGCGTCCTCACTGTGATACCTAGTACGTAACCTAAAGTTGAGGTTGAAGACCTGCAGTCTGCAGGCAGAATGTGACCTGTCCTTGTGTTTTATTTGGCTGTTACCATTTGACCTTCCTTGTGTCTTAAATTCAAAGTAAATATATTCATTTCCAAAGATCATGGGTTTTAATATAAAAATTCCGCTCTGGTTTTAAAGAAATTAGAACATCTGGCAGCAGGGGCTAAGTAGTGGCAGCCCCGCTTCAGTTGGTGAAGAGAGCCTGTGGTCTCTTCGAGGGGGCTGAGTATGGGTCTCCATTTTGGTCTTACCCTCTAGCTCCCCATTCCCTGTCTGTGATGTAGAGGCAGTTGAGTTTTCAACCTTTGTTGAAAACGAGGAAAAGAGAACATTGGTTTGAAATGATCTTTTGTAGTAAATATTTAACACCATGGCAGGTTTCAAGTGAACCAAAAACCACATTTCATAGCAGAATGGCCCTGCGATTGGTTGGACTCCACCCTGCCCCTTATCCTCTTCTGAAGAGGCTTTCTGTGTAATACTGTAGAATGTTTTTCCGTCTAGCCACTTCCTATTAGAAGAATGATTATTTGCGGCTTGATTAGCTTCCTCAGGATCTACATTAAAAAAAATCCTGCTGGGCTATTGTTTTGCAAGATTAATCTTGTGAATTGATAAAAGTCATTGAAACTCAATGTTGGTTAGTGTTGTTTTTAAACAATAGGAATAGTATTCAGGACAGATTAAAATCAGATTAAAATATTTTAAGTATTGCTTTTAAAAGATTAAATACAGAGCACAGACTCAAGCCTGATAAGCTCCCAGCCAAACAGTTTTTACATGTAGTTTTCCCTGTGTATGTGTAGTCAGTGAAGATGCTGAACTTGTCACAAAATGTGGATGCATGAGGCATATTATTGTAACTTGAATTCAGATGGCCCCAAAATTACCCCATTCACTCAGCATAATTGGTTAAACTTGGTCTGGGTGATATCTGTAAGTCATCAAAGGAAGGAATTTTAGGACAAGGAAAGGATGGTTTGATTGTTCCAGGGGGGAAAAAACCATAAAATTTTAAGAAAATCATTGTTCAGGGAAGGCTGCAAGCACTGGTAAGGAAACAGAGTTTTCCAATAAGTTAACTGAAATCGGGAGTAACAGACCTCTGAAGAGTCTATCTTTGGGAAAATCTCTGACTTCATTCTTGACATGATTGAGGACTTCATGTACAATGAATTAGCAATGCGAATCATCTAGGCATATAAACTGGAAGGAAATAAGAAGGTTTGTAGAGCAAGCAACACCAGATACTCATGCTTGCTCCAGAGAAGTTTTCCAGGAAAAGCAAATGTCATCTTCTCTCTCTGCTTCACTAACTTTAAATTTTGAGACCTCAGGCAGTCTAGTCCATGAAGAAAACACTCCAGAATGACCGAGATACTTAAGTTTTTAACAACATTTAAAATAATATGAAAAATAAAATAAAATGTTGTTAAAAACTTAAGTATCTCAGTCATAATTTGTGTCCTTTTTTTTCTTTTGATATTTGTTCAGAAATAGACTCCCAACTTATAATATTAATAATATACCTGTAGAAAATAGGGACGGCCTTCTTTTTTTCACATTGCACAGTCTCCCCCAGGTGGTTCTGCCTAATCTCTAGGCTTAAAATTCTTCCAGCCTGGTAATGAATAGAAAATCCTTACTTCCAGCTCACGTTACCCTCTGGAATGCCCATCCTCTATTTTTGTCTGGTGGACAAAAAACGCGGCACTTGGTAAGCTGTGAGTCCTTCCAGTATGATGCCACTCAAAACTGAAGTTTATCAGTCTCCAATCCTCAGCCCCCTCCCTACCACCCGTCCAATTTCTTTGGCTGTTAGCCTTGCCATTCTCCCAGTTGTCAGAATTAGAAAGCTGGACTCATTCCAATCCTTCCTTCATGTCCCCTGTCCAAGTATTTCTCATCTGTCACTTTCCTATTCACACTGCTCCTGCCTTTGTTCATCATCTTTTGCCTGGATGAATGCAGTGGCTTCCTAACTGGTCTCCTTTCTATACTTCATCTTTCCTGATCACACCCTCCTACCTTCCAAAGTATGCATAGCAGGGTCATGCACACGCTGGAAGGGAGCCCAAGCACACTTTCCTTGGAGAAGAGTTCTGAAGGCTCAGCCCCTCATCCTCCGTAGCTGTCGCTCTCCTGTGCCAAGTCCGTGCATGCCTCTGTTACAGCTCTTCTCAGTTGCAGCATGCTCACTGTCTCCATGTCCTCACCTCACATTCACAGCGTGCACCTTACATTGTAATCCTGTTTCTCTACATCTGGATCCTGTCTCAGAGTATATATGCTCCCTAAATACACATGTTGAGTCTTGTTTACCCAGTGTGTTTGTTTGCTAGAGCTGCTGTAACAAAGATGCCACAAATGGAGTGACTTAAGCAACAGAAATTTATTGTTTCACTTTTCTGGTTTTCTGGAGGCTAGAAGTCCCAGTTCAAGGTGTTAGCAGGACTGGACTCCTTCTGAAGGCACTAACAAAGGGCCTGTTCCAGGCCTCGCTCTTGGCTTTTGGCAGCGTAACTCCATCTTCACGTGGCGCTCCCTCTGTGTGCATGCATGTCTGTCTGTTCACATTTCGCCTTCTCAGAAGGACACCAGTCATATTGGATTAAGGGCCCACCCTGCTCCAGTATGACCTCCTCCCACTTACATCAGCAGTGACCATATTTCCAAATAAGGTCACATTCAGAGGTATTTGGGGCTAGGATTTCAGTAAATGAAATTTGAGGCCCTATTCAACCTATAAGACCCAGTGGCTAGTGTGTTGACTGACATAACTGTAAAGTAATCAAGTGAAATGATCTTTGAATAAAGGGTCAGAATTTTATTTTCTTCAAAGTTATGTTTATGACAAATAAAAGCTTATGATCTTGGGAATACTTTCCCATCTCTAGTTTTCCAGTATATTCATAGTAGCTGTTGAATTGTTGCGCGTCAAAAGATGCTGGTGGAGTATTCTAGTTCTAGCTCTGTCTTTTTTTTTTTTTTTTTTTTTAAATTTATTTTTTTATTGATAATTCTTGGGTGTTTCTCACAGAGGGGGATTTGGCAGGGTCATGGGACAATAGTGGAGGGAAGGTCAGCAGATAAACAAGTGAACAAAGGTCTCTGGTTTTCCTAGGCAGAGGACCCTGCGGCCTTCCGCAGTGTTTGTGTCCCTGATTACTTGAGATTAGGGATTGGTGATGACTCTTAACGAGCATGCTGCCTTCAAGCATCTGTTTAACAAAGCACATTTTGCACCGCCCTTAATCCATTTAACCCTGAGTGGACACAGCACATGTTTCAGGGAGCACAGGGTTGGGGGTAAGGTCACAGATCAACAGGATCCCAAGGCAGAGGAATTTTTCTTAGTGCAGAACAAAATGAAAAGTCTCCCATGTCTACTTCTTTCTACACAGACACGGCAACCATCCGATTTCTCAATCCCTTCCCCACCTTTCCTGCCCCTCCACTCCACAAAGCCGCCATTGTCATCCTGGCCCGCTCTCAATGAGCCGTTGGGCACACCTCCCAGACGGGGTGGTGGCCGGGCAGAGGGGCTCCTCACCTCCCAGTAGGGGCGGCCGGGCAGAGGCGCCCCTCACCTCCCGGACGGGGCGGTTGGCCGGGCGGGGGGGCTGACCCCCCCCATCTCCCTCCCGGACGGGGCGGCTGGCCGGGCGGGGGGCCGACACCCCCACCTCCCTCCCGGACGGGGCGGCTGGCCGGGCGGGGGGCCGACCCCCCCACCTCCCTCCCGGACGGGGCGGCTGGCCGGGCGGGGGGCCGACACCCCCACCTCCCTCCCGGACGGGGCGGCTGGCCGGGCGGGGGGCTGACCCCCCCACCTCCCTCCCGGACGGGGCGGCTGGCCGGGCAGAGGGGCTCCTCACTTCCCAGTAGGGGCGGCCGGGCAGAGGCGCCCCTCACCTCCCGGACGGGGCGGCTGGCCGGGCAGGGGGGCTGACCCCCCCCACCTCCCTCCCGCACGGGGCGGCTGGCCGGGCGGGGGGCTGACCCCCCCACCTCCCTCCCGGACGGGGCGGCTGGCCGGGCGGGGGGCTGACACCCCCACCTCCCTCCCGGACGGGGCGGCTGGCCGGGCGGGGGGCCGACCCCCCTACCTCCCTCCCGGATGGGGCGGCTGGCCGGGCAGAGGGGCTCCTCACTTCCCAGTAGGGGCGGCCGGGCAGAGGCGCCCCTCACCTCCCAGACGGGGCGGCTGGCCGGGCGGAGGGCTGACCCCCCCACCTCCCTCCCGGACAGGGCGGCTGGCCGGGCGGGGGGCTGACCCCCCCACCTCCCTCCCGGACGGGGCGGCTGGCCGGGTGGGGGGGCTGACCCCCCCATCTCCCTCCCAGACGGGGTGGCTGGCCGGGCTGAGGGGCTCCTCACTTCCCAGTAGGGGCGGCCGGGCAGAGGCGCCCCTCACCTCCCGGACGGGGCGGCTGGCCGGGCGGGGGGCTGACCCCCCCACCTCCCTCCCGGACGGCACGGCTGGCCAGGCGGGGGGCTGAACCCCCCACCTCCCTCCCGGATGGGGCGGCTGGTCGGGCGGGGGGCTGACCCCCCCCCACCTCCCTCCCGGACGGGGTGGCTGCCGGGTGGAGACGCTCCTCACTTCCCAGATGGGGTGGCTGCCGGGCGGAGAGGCTCCTCACTTCTCAGACGGGGCAGCTGCCGGGCGGAGGGGCTCCTCACTTCTCAGACGGGGCGGTTGCCAGGCAGAGGGTCTCCTCACTTCTCAGACGGGGCGGCCGGGCAGAGACGCTCCTCACCTCCCAGACGGGGTCTCGGCCGGGCAGAGGCGCTCCTCACATCCCAGATGGGGCGGCGGGGCAGAGGCGCTCCCCACATCTCAGACGATGGGCGGCGGGGCAGAGACGCTCCTCACTTCCTAGATGTGATGGCGGCTGGGAAGAGGCGCTCCTCACTTCCTAGATGGGATGGCGGCTGGGCGGAGACGCTCCTCACTTTCCAGACTGGGCAGCCAGGCAGAGGGGCTCCTCACATCCCAGATGATGGGCGGCCAGGCAGAGACACTCCTCACTTCCCAGACGGGGTGGCGGCCGGGCAGAGGCTGCAATCTCGGCACTTTGGGAGGCCAAGGCAGGCGGCTGGGAGGTGTAGGTTGTAGTGAGCCGAGATCACGCCACTGCACTCCAGCCTGGGCACCATTGAGCACTGAGTGAACGAGACTCCGTCTGCAATCCCGGCACCTCGGGAGGCCGAGGTTGGCGGATCACTCGCGGTTAGGGGCTGGAGACCGGCCCGGCCAACACAGCGAAACCCCGTCTCCACCAAAACCAGTCAGGCGTGGCGGCGCGTGCCTGCAATCGCAGGCATTGGGCAGACTGAGGCAGGAGAATCAGGCAGGGAGGTTGCAGTGAGCCGAGATGGCAGCAGTACAGTCCAGCTTCAGCTCCGCATGAGAGGGAGACCGTGGGGGGAGGGAGGGGGAGGGGGAGGGAGAGGGAGCTCTGTCTTGATGATAGAATACCACTTAGTTTGCAATACAGTTAACGTATGAATAAACTAACAAAGAACAGGAAGGGAGAGATGCCTATGAAATCTTGAAGATGGCAAACAGACTGAGCCAGCAAATCAGAAAAGGCTGAGACCTCATCTTAGCCGGGAGGAGCCAAGTAAAAGCAACCTCATTTGCAGAGCAAACTCAGATCTGAGAGATAGAAAGCACCAGGGCCTCTGAAGACATGCTGAGGCCCCAGGGGACATAGATGAAACTAAATGTGAGCATTTAGCCCCCTGAATACCCCTCCCTACCTGGCAGTCTAGGAAAAGACTTGAGGTTTACTTGGGGAGAGTGGGCCCAGCAGAAGGTGAGGGACTGAGCAGTGAAAGTCTCCCTAACCAGGCCCGGGGCAGAGAACTGACTGAAGGATTCCTCCCTGGAGAGGCAAAGGCCGCTCTTGACCTTGTGCATGTGCAGGAAACTTCCAGAAACTTCCAACCATCTTCTTAGTGTTCCCTTCTTAAATGTGAATTAGATGGCTTAGGATCACCAAAGACTTCAGGAACACCTTGAACATGAACGAGAACAAAACAAGAAGAAAAAGCAACTTGAAGGCAATGTAGGGAATAGACAAAGACAAGTTCTTACCTCAAAGGAGAGAAGAGGGGGCATAACATCTATGAAGTAATTGTTTGAAATTTAAAGACGTTCAGATAACAAAGGGTTCTTGGAAATTAGAAATGTGGAAGCAGAACTAAGACCCCAGTAGAAATCTTCCAGAAGGAGAAAACAAAAAGAAACTAGAAAAGATAAGTAGAAGGTCAATCTAGGAGGTCTAAGAGATAACTAATGAGAATTTCAGAAAGAGAATAGCAGAAACACAGGACTGTGTGTGTCCAGGCCAACAGGGCCACTGAGAGCTCAGGCCAGTGAGTGATGAAAAGAGCACACCAAGACATGTTAGGTTGAAAGTTCAGAATACCAGAGATTGGGAAAATCTTGGAACTTTTATTTTTTATTTATTTTTTTTTTTGAGACAGGGTCTCACTTTGTTGCTCAGGCTGGAGTGGAGTGGCATGATCTCACGTCACCGCAACCTCCGCCTCCCTGGTTCAAGCTATGCTCCTGCCTCAGCCTCCCGCGTAGCTGGAATTACAGGCATGTGCCACCACGTCTGGCTAATTTTTTTTGTATTTTTAGTAGAGACAGGGTTTCACCATGTTAGCCAGGATGATCTTGATCTCCTGACCTCGTGATCCGCCTGCCTTGGCCTCTCAAAGTGCTGGGATTACAGGCGTGAGCCACCACTCCCGGCCGTATTTTTTTTTTTTTTTTTTTTTTTGAGACGGAGTTTCTCTCTTGTAGCCCAGGCTGGAGTGCAATGGGGCGATCTTGGCTCACCACAACTTCTGCCTCCCGGGTTTAAGCGATTCTCCTTCCTCAGCCTCCCAAGTAACTGGGATTACAGGCATGCGCCACCATGCCCAGCTAATTTTGTAGTTTTAGTAGAGACGGGGTTTCTCCATGTTGGTCAGGCTGTTCTCGAACTCCCAACCTCAGGTGATCTGCCTGCCTTGGCCTCCCAAAGTGCTGGGATTACAGGTGTGAGCCACAGTGCCTGGCCTAATTTTTGTATTTTTAGTAGAGATGAGGTTTTACGATGTTGGCCAGGCTGGTCTTGAATTCTTGACCTCAAATGATCCACTCACCTCGGCCTCCCAAAGTGCTGGGATTACAGACGTGAGCCACCGCACCTGGCCGGGATTTACTTCTATATGTAAAAAAACCCAGACCTGCACAAAGGATTGGGAAGATTGGCTTTAGATTTATCAATAGCAGTGCTGAAAGCTAGAAGACCTCAAATTCTGAGGGAAATTATTTCCAGCCTTTAATTTAGCGTTCATCCAAATTATTGACAAGACGTGTACATAAAATAAAAACCTTTTTGGGATCTGTCATGTTTGAATTTTCCATTCACACACCCTTTCTTAGGAAGCTATGGAGCACTGTGAGCCACTAAAACAGGAAGTTGAGAAAGAGGGAAGTACTGAGTCAAAACCAAAGAAAGGGGAAGGAATTTTCAGGACTCATGAGAGCTGTGCCGAGGCAGAGAGAGTAACTGGTCCAGATGAAGCAGGGAAATGGAGGGCCAGAGGAGGGATGCATTCTAGAAAGGAGGGACTGAAACCAGTGGGTCAGCTAGTGTGTCTGACTACACTGAAGGGAATTTTACTGATCTTTTCTGACAATTTCAGGGAGAATTGGTAGTCAATGCAATGCGTGTGAAACCAAGCAAGTAAAAGAAGATGCAGTTGCTTACTCTAATGGGGAAATAGATGCCTAGAAAGGAATTGTAATCACAGTACGCTTTTATGTTATAATGAGATAGACCAGATGCGTGGTTCACACCTGTAGTCCCAGCTCTTTGGGAGGCTGAGGCGGAAGGATTGCCTAACACCAGTAAGATTCTGTCTCTACAAAAAAGTAATGAAAATTAGCTGGATGTGGTGTGGCATGTCTGTAGTTACAACTACTCGGGAGGCTGAGGCCGGAGGATTGCTTGAGTGCAGGAGTTTGAGACTGCAGTGACCTATCATTGCACCACTGCACTCCAGTTTGGGTGACAGAGAGAGACCTTTCTTTAAAAGTAATAATTACAATGGAAATGAAGTATTGATTTGACCATGGGACAAGTGGGTGGATGGGTGTAGGGTTTGGCAGTTTAAGAATTAAAAACATTGGAGGATAATATCTGGACTGAAAAGATACAGAAATAAAACATGTTGTGTAGAAATGTGGAGATAAAGAGCAGGTGGAAGGCCTGATAGCTGTGGAAGCACAGTCTCTGCAGAGCAGGCTCCACTTGGGTGGAAGCTGTCCTTCTCGTGTGAGCTCTAGCCTTGTACTGTGTGGCTTCTCAAACTGTGTGCTTGGAGTCACTTGACAAAAATTAAAATTAAGAGAATGGAAACTTGCCATCTTGCATAAGTTTTTTTGTCATTTAATTTGTCAACTTTTAGTAGGTCTCCTTGTATGGAGACTAGTACACTGTTGATTTAGAAATACCTGCAGGTTGATACTAGTTTAGTGCAGTATCTTGAAGAAACCAAGAGCATAGACTTTAGAGTCAGTTGTTTACTTGGGTATAAATGATGAGCTACTGCATGCTAGGGGCTGTTCCCAGATAACAGTGGTTAGGAAAATACATGAGGCCTCTCCCCTTGACGAAGTCACATTCTAGTGATGGGAGATGGACACTGCAGATGAATGAGCAAGGTCGTTTCAGATTGCTTGAGAGAGATAAAACCTGGAATGGGTTGGAGGAGAAGGCCTTCCACGGAATGCCCCTTTGAGCAGAGTCCTGAGGGTGAGACCACCACACTTGCTTGGGAACAGCAGGGGAAGGCTTCGAGTTCTGGGAGTTCATTAGAATTCAGGACAGTCATCCTCAACAAGAGAGGACAGTTGGCCTTGAGGTGAGACAGACCCTGGCTTGTGACATCAAGGGTGGTGCTGGACTGGAGGGATGCTGGAGTGTGGCAGGGGCTGCATCATGGTGGGCCTTGCAAGCCACATTAGCCACTCTGAATTCTCTGGAATAGAAGAGCAGTGTGTTCTGCCTTGAGGTGATTCAGAGTGCTGGGTAGAGACTGGATCCTGGAGGGCTCCCAGTGCCCACCTGACAAGTAGTACAAAAGTGCTGTTGAGGCTGGGCCCTGTGGCTCATGCCTGTAATCCCAACACCTTGGGAGGCTGAGGCTGGGGAATTGCATGAGACTTGGAGTTTGAGACCAGCCTGGGCAATATAGCGAGACCTCATCTCTGCAAAACATTTAAAAATTAGCCAGGTGTGGTGCTGCACGTCTGTGGTCTCAGCTCCTCAGAAGGCCAAGGCAGGAGGATCACTTGAGCCTGGAAGTTCAAGGTTATAATCAGCCGTGATTGCACCACTGAACTCCAGCCTGGGTGACAGAGCAAGACCCTGTCTCTAAAAAATACCAAAAAAGGTGCTGTTGTATTTTACACCATGCAGGTTCATGTGTGCTTACACACACGTTTATATTCCTTTTATTCATTCTTTTTACTCGAGGGTAGCTTTTCCTGCTGTCGTTTATGCATTTATTAGTAGTTAGGTGGTTTGAACCCCAGAAGGTTAACTAATAGCCAGTGCAGCAAGCAGTAAATATACTGACTAGTGGCTCATACTTGCTTTATTACTTCAGTTTTTTAAATTGTTGATAATTACAATAATGCACATGGGCATGGGTCCAAGACAGGAAGAATTATTGTCTGCAAGCAGATCTGCTGTAAGCTGGTAATACAGTCTGATTTACTTTTAAATTTAAATGCCACATAAATCACAGGAAAGATGTCTTTTAACTTGCTTTGAATTTGGAAAGGGTAGAGCACTTTCGTATTTTTGTTATTTTCATGGTTTTAATGGGCATTAGAAGTTAAATTGATTTGTTATATCCAGATTGATATCTGAGTGTTGTGTGCACCTAATAAAATGTTTAGCGGAATGACTATAGAAATTTGTATTTAAAGTGTAAAGTTTCTCTCTCCCTGCCCTGTGAAAATCATTTTGGCAAATTGTCAGATTTTCTTGTTATAAGCAAAGATATGGGTTATTCACCCAAGAATTTCATGCCTTTCAGCATAGCAGAACCTTAGAAATTTAAGGACCAGGTATGGCGACTCATGCCTGTAATTCTAACACTTTGGGAGGCCAAGGAGGGAGGATTGTTTGAGGCTGGGAGTACAAGACCAGCCTGGGCAATATAGTGGGACCCCGTCTCTGCAAAAAATGTTTGTTTAATTAGCCGGGTGTAGTGGTGTGTGACTGTAGTCCCTGCTACTTGTGGGGCTGAGGTGGGAGGATTGCTTGATCCTGGGAGGTTGAGGCTGCAGTGAGCTCCAGCCTGGGCGACAGAGTGAAACTCTGGCTCAGAAACAACAACAACAAAATACCCACAAGAAAAACCTAAACCTGTGATTTCCAGTGTTTGGTTTTTATGGAATAATGGAACTAAGAAAAATGTTTTAAATAGATAAGGTTGTTCTTGGTTAATATTACAGAAGAATAATTTTTAAAAAGCAGCTACCTGTTGATTGTTGCCATCATTTTATGAAACCATTTTAATAACAAAAGGTAGAAGATAATGTTAGAATTCAGGACAGTTATTCTTCAGCAAGGACCATTAGCAGTTCTGTACCCTTACGCGTGGATGTGTGCACAACACATGCACACTAGACCTTTCTTAGGTTTCTCATTTTTCAGGGGGGCCACTGGAAACCTTTTGTAGACCCTGTTAGTCCCCTAGTGGATGCTGGGGACCCCTCCCTGCTTTAAAACACTGGCAAAAATCATCATATATATTAAAACATGGATATTTGGCCGGGCGCGGTGGCTCACGCCTGTAATCCCAGCACTTTGGGAGGCTGAGGTGGGCGGATCATGAGGTCAGGAGATGGAGACCATCCTGGCCAACACGGTGAAACCCCATCTCTACTAAAAATACAAAAATTAGCCGGGTGTGGTGGCACGTGCCTGTAATCCCAGCTACTTGGGAGGCTGAGGCAGGAGAATTGCTAGAACCCGGGAGTCGGAGGTTGCAGTGAGCTGAGATCACACCGCTGCATTCCAGCCTGGTGACAGAGGGAGACTCCGTCTCAAAAAAAAAAAAAAAGATGTTTTCAGTTGCATGAATTTGTTTTCTTATTTTTTCCCAGATACGTTAAAGGAAAAGAGATCTAGTGAAGTCAATTTCAGATCTCTGACATTGGTTATTCATGTTTGTGGTTTTAACCTCTTGAAGTCAGTTACAGCATTTCAGCCAAAGCTGGCATGTTGGATAGTTTCTCAACTTAGCCTTGGTAAAATCACTAATTCAAGTGTTTATTTAGTGAAATAGTTGGTCAGAAAAATGGAATATTTTAAAAAGAAGTGTAATTTTTTACAAGTACATGAAATACTCAAACTATGCTTAATCTGATTTTTAGTGACTGGCTTAATGCATATAAAAACAAAGTATATATCATAGAGTACCAGGTCAGCCAGAGGAAGCTTATAATTTCTGAGAGTATTGCCAGGTTTGTGCTTGGATATTCTACAGAAAACCCTTCATCATTTGTATTATTTCTGTCATCTGAATCAATAAGAATGATTTAGAATAAACATATTTTATTATTAATATTTAATGAGTAGTACTTCTGAGTGTTACTTGAAATCATTTCACTCTTTTAAGGTTTAGAAAACATATCCTTCTACATCCCCCCACCCCTGCTCTGCACGTACTAGTCAGCACACTCTTAATAACTGCCTAAGTAATGCTGGCCAGTGAGTTCAAATGTTAAGCCCAACTTCACACCATTTAGATCATCTTATATTAATTCTGAGGCCTCCTGCCTTCCTGACCTCTGCAGTTAGCATGCCTGACAAAGTATGAGAAATGTCTGGTTTGCTTTGGAGTCACAGTGAATTCTGACTTAGTGAGGGAGGCCATCTTCATTTCTAAGCCATGTTTCTCCTGCATGGGGAGTTTTAGGAAAATAGAGTTCCATCTGTTATAGTGTGAAAAAAAGTTAATATTGTAGGTGTCTCATTTAATAACTAAACTTTGAGTAGCACCCTATTTATGTTGCACAAAAGTGAAAACTAAGGTCAAGAGAGATTAAATAACTTCCATGAGATTACATAGCAAGGAAGCAGAATGTCCATCAGGAAAACCAGTTTAGAAAAATAATTTACATAGTGCTCTTCTGATCACAGAAGTGTTTTGATAGTTGCAGATTCATCTTGACTTCACTTCCAAGTCCCGGAAGCTGGGCTAGAGCCAGGAAGTCAGCAACTCTTGGCCATTTTCTTTTAAATGTATTAAATCATTCATCTAAACGTTTGGTGACTGAATTCCCACAAAATATGAAGCATTAATGCAACCTGCTTTCCTCATGTCCATAGTTAATGTGTGAAGAAGGAATGTGCACTCTTTTAAACCCATTTCATGCCATCCTGGATTTGGGAAGGATGGCCAGTCATGTGGGGACTTTGTGGCCTCTTCCCTTGTGCACCTCGGGTTCAAGCCCCAGTTCTGCGCAATTGCAGCCAGAGAGTGGAAAGAGCCAGCCTGATGATGATGGTGATGCTAACGTGCTTGCTCTGCGGCAGGCATTGTGCTCAGTGGTTCTGCGTGTTATTTTAATCGAATCCTCACAACAGGCCTGAGCCGTCGGTATGTTAATAACCCTGTTTTGTAGATTAAAAAATTAAAACCTGGTAATAATGAAAGCTCCCAATGCTTGAAGAGCGCTTCTATGTGACAAACACTTTTCAAACACTTAACATATATTAACTCATTTAAACGTCAGAGCAGCACTGATGTGTAGTTATTATTGTCATTACCTTATAGATGACGAAAGTGAAGCCCAGAGAGGCTAGGTGACCTGCCAGAGTTGGCACAGCCAGTCAGTGATGGAGGTGGAACTCTGTCATGGTGTGTCTGCGCCTTAAAGCCACACTCTTGGTCTTTCTCCCAGGTCAGTAGTACAGTGAGTAGAAGAGTAATGGTTGGCCGAGGCCAGTCCCTAGTGTCTCCATACCCCCTGGAAATAAGTTTCATGGACTTCCTATTTTATAATGGGCAATCAGAAAAAAAACACAGGGACTGATGAAGAACCTGTTCATTTGAGAATTTCAGGTGTGTAAACACTGTTCTGCGTGGTTTTTTTTTTACATGAAAGTATTTTATGTATTTGTATATTTTGAAAAAACTTCCCTTAGCTCTCATGTCAGAGACACATACTGAAAGACAGACCTCTATTAAATCATGATGTTTGGCTCCTTACCACTATAATCCAGATGGACAAATTACCATGTTTCCATAAAAAGCGTTGGAGACAGCCTAAACCATTTTCAATCTTGGAAATGATACCTCATTTATACTTTAATATTTAAAGCTCTAATAAAAGCTGGAGTTATTTGTATAAATTACTGTCTGTGAAAATAATACCTAACAGCCGGCATATGTCACTGTAAGAATAATGTCTTTTTACACTTGGAGTTTTCCCCCTACACCCAGTTCACCAGTTTCTAATTAGAATTAAGTTTAAATGTTAAAAAATCAAAAGACCAAGAATTTTCCATTCATGTAATGCAAACTCTAAATAATAGGTTTTTTCATTTTACTGCTATACAACCGGAAAATGCTTAACAAGAATCCTGCTATTTTATTAGATAGTGGTTTGAAGCTTCACTTCTCTGCTGCTGAAAAAGATACTCTTAAAGTTTCAAACTGTGGTCACTGTTTGGACAGTAAAAAAAAAATGTGGCATTTCTTACACATTAGGCTCTGGGTCAGAATCGTGATAGTCTTCCAATTGCAGAAAAATAGAATTTAATATGTGTACAATGGGGCTTTACTGTATTAGGATGTGTACCCGTGTGTTTTGTTGTTGTTGTTGTTTTTTGAGATGGAGTCTCGCTCTGTCGCCCAGGCGGAATGCAGTGGCGTGATCTCGGCTCACTGCAAGCTCCGCCTCCTGGTGGGTTCATGCCATTCTCCTGCCTCAGCCTCCCGAGTAGCTGGGACTACAGGTGCCCGCCACCGCGCCCAGCTAATTTTTTGTATTTTTTTTTTTTTAGTAGAGACAGGGTTTCACCGTGTTAGCCAGGATGGTCTCGGTCTCCTGACCTCGTGATCCGCCCACCTCGGCCTCCCAAAGTGCTGAGATTATAGGCGTGAGCCATCGCGCCCAGCCCGTGTGTTTAGAATAATACACTTTTCAGGTATTGAGCCTGTTCCGATTTTACTTACTAGTTGTGCTACCTCAAATTGTGTGTTCTCTTTTTGACAGATGAGACTCTTAATATTGAAACGATGCATTCCAGATTGAAATCTAGGCATATAATAAGCAGAATTCAAAAACACTGTATTTTGAACAAATTTTAGACTTTAAAAAAAGTTGCAAAAATACTACAAGAGTTCCCCTATACTGTAACCCTGTTTCCCTTAATGTTGACATCTTGCATAACTCGTAATGCGATGATCAAAACCAGGAGGTTTGCACTGGCACAGCACTGTTAACTGACTTACAGACCTTATTCAAATAATTGCTGCAGTTTTTCCACTAATGTCCTTTTCCTGTTCCGGGATCCTGTCCAGGCGCCTGCATTGCATTTACTTGTCATTTCTGCTTAGTCTTCTCAGATCTGTTGCAGTCCCCGGTCTTTCCTGATCAGCACCCTCAAATGTCTCATTGTGGATGAGATTAATGTAGGTGTCTGATGTGTGTCTCTGCTCTCAAGTAATTGTTTTCCCTTTTGTAGCTAATATCTTTGGGGAGATACCTTGAAAGGATACTGAGAACAGAATTTTTTTTTTTCACTTCGTTCAGTTTAGTAAATCTTTGGTGAAGGTTCATGAACATAAATTTGTTCTAATTTGTGAACCTTGAAGTACTTCAGCGCTTGAACAAATATGAATGAAAATAATATATAGGATTTTCGTATCTTTTAACAGATGGTCCTTTTTTACTGACTTTTCCTTAAAAAAGGTTTTTGAACAAGAGCGTCGTACCTTTCGCTATCAGTAGTTTGCTAGTGGTAACTAGATGCCTCGAAGGCCTGCTTCATTCCGCGTTTATTAGAACTAGAACTGTGTTACATTGCCTTCGCAGGGTGAAACTTGAATACTCGTGTGTCTCATAAAGCCGGATTCCTTTCAAAGAGACCTGATTCTTCCACTAGTGGGATCAAACCATGTTCATGGGAAGATGCTCCCTCTATGGCAGGCACCTTCAGAAGCCCTGCAGCCAGATTTGATCCTGGAATAGTAGCTTCAATGAGGGCAGAGATAACTGGGTGTGCACGTTTGCTTTGGAGTGAGAGGACTGCCTGGTCCTGAGGGCTTTGTGAAGGGAGGTAGGCTTAGATGAGCCCAGGAGTTGCATCACTTGAGGTGATTAAAGGCCCTGATTTAAAGTAGGTTGAGACTTAGATTTATTTAGATTTACATATTTATTTCCTTAAGCCATTTCAGGTTTTCGACCAAGTTACTAGAAGCACTTTTTACCAAGTTGAATTTCTGTCCTTGGATTGCTAAACTGTTCCCCAAGCCAAATTAATAAAATGGAATTTCTTATTAAGAATGAATTATTAAGCAAAATGGAAGTGCTGGGCTAGGGAAGCAGTTGATGCAATTTGTTTTCCAAGCCTTAAAAGTGCTGCAGTATGCATAGATCACAAGGACTGGCTTCAGTGCCAACACATGGGGCATTAATTTTTTTGGTAGAGGATTCCAGGTTTACAGGATATCAGAAGTGCTGACTTGGCAGCAAAATCCCATTTGTAACATGTTAGATTAGGAAACAGATTGATTTATATGTTGATGTAATGGATCAAGGCACAGTCTGTGCTTAAGGAAATGGACAGCACATTAAATAAGGGCATTTTCAAGGTAGAAGTACAAACATTACAGAAAAAATTAGCCTTTTACACCCTAGGTAGGGTTGGGGTATGTTTGATTAGTTGACTCCTAAAACATGGTCCACAGAGGCTTTTTATATTTCCGATGATACCTTCTTGAGAGTCTCTTAAGACCACAAGGATTAATCTTTCTGAACTCAAAAGTGAATCACTACAGCATATTAGCTGTCTGGATTGATTCCAGTTTCTCTGCTTTTTCTTGGTGGTAACTGATGTGAGGATCTGTTGGTGCTTAGCTGCCTCTTCCTGTTGCTTTAACCTCTGGTATTTTAAGATTCTCTTTAGGGAAGATAGTACTGACCATCTCAGCACAGAGCCGAAATGCACTTAGCGCTGATGTGTTGACCTTAGTGGTTGACCCATAAACTGAACATTTATACAGTTGGAACTCTTGCGGTCTTTTAGCCAACAACCATAATGAGTAACATGTGGAACATAATCTTTGGTGCTGATAAATGGCTTTTTACGATGAAATTGACCATTCCACGCTGTGGCTTGGGTGACCTCATGTAACTAATTACTGTTTCTTAGCTATATTCACTTTTGGAATTTAAGGGGTAAATGGTTTCTCCTTCTGCAGGCTGAACTGCTGACAGATTAAATACCACCTGAAATCTGATTTGTTTAGTAGCTGTCTTTAATGTAAAAATATAGAAGGCCAGAGGGAATCTAGGAAACACTGCTCAGAAGCTTTCAGACTTAACTATAGGAGTTCATTCGTAGCAGGTTTAGGAAGCACATTCCTTCCGACCTGTAGATTGGGCTTTTCATATACGTATTTATCATGTCTTCTTGGATTTTCTTCATTTAATTCTATCTGAACTTTCGAAGTGGGAAGCAAAGGATTCGGGGGAGAGCACTGGTTTCAGTACACGAAAATATCCCTGGGGTTTCCTTACCTTTATCTTTGGATATCCCCATTTTTCTCGACACACAATCCAAGTTTCTAGCCATAATCCTTAGATTACAAAAGAACAGGACTTTTGGTACACATCTTTTTTTTTTTTTTTTTTTTTTTTTTTGAGACAGATTCTCTGTCTCTGTTGCCCAGTCTGGAGTGCAGTGGCGCAATCTCGGCTTCACTGCAACCTCTGCCTCCTGGGTTCAAGCGATTCTAGTGTCTCAGCCTCCCAAGTAGCTAGGACCATAGGCACGCGCCCCCATGCCTGGCTAATTTTTGTATTTTTAGTAGAGACAGGGTTTCACCATGTTGGCCAGGCTGGTCTCGAGCTCCTGACCTCAGATATCCACCTGCCTCAGCCTCCCAAAGTGCTGGGATTACAGGTGTGAGCCACCGTGCCGGGCTTGGTATGCATCTTGAACTAAGTGTGAAGATTAAGCACATCTGTCTTGTGCATCCTTTATACCTTTTAATGATTTGTTTGAATTAAGCACCACTAGAGTATTACCTATGAATAGGTGTGTGTTCCTTCCTACACATATCTTTAGGTGTTTTTTCCTTCTTTGGGGGAAGCAGGAACTCATATTAGTCTGTAGCTTCACGTGCATTCATACTGAAGGCATAGGGCCTTCTACTTTAATAAATGAATATTCGTTCCAGCAGGGTAAAGTCAATTCTAGTTAATAAAGGTGCTAATTGTTTGTTGGGTTTAACTGAGGTGTTTTTCAGCCCTGATAGATATTGGCAACATTTTAATTCCAAATTAGCTTTCTCCCAGCTGTCCAACAAGGGTTGGTGCTTCCTTCTCTTATACTAGTAGAAAGCAGGTTCATTTTAATAAGCTTCGAAGCAAAACATATGTCAGATGGTAAATTGGTCCTGGAAAAAGACCATAATATATTTCACAATCAAATTTAAGTTACTGATTAGAAGGATTGTTCATGTCTGTGTAGTTCATCAGCATAAATAAATTAAAGTTTCCTAGAAAATCATACATTTTCCACATATTTTAAAAGTCAGCTAGGCGTAGTATCTCATGCTTAGGATCCCAGTCCTTTGGGAGGTCAAGGCAGAAGGATCACTTGAGCCCAAGAGTTTGAGACCAGCGTGGGCAACACAATGAGACCCCATCTCTACCAAAATATAAATACGTGTATACTGGGTGTGATGGCGCATGCCTGTGGTCCCTGCTACTCAGGAGATTAAGGCTGGAGGATGGCTTGAGCCCAGGGGGTCGAGACTGTAATGAGCTGAGATTGCCCCATTGCACTCCACGTGGGTGACAGAGCAAGACCCTGTCTCAAAAAAAAAAGGGTGGGGGCATCAAAGCTACCCTTTCTTGTTAGTAGGAAAACCATGTCATGTATATGCTGTTTTTGAAAAGAACAACATGGTAGACCATATAATCTAACCCTCCTCCTCTACAAGTTTTAACTTAAGAACTGTTATTTGTTTATTTATTTTAATTTTGAAGAAAGTTTTGCAGTTGGGGACTCTTATGGCTATAACCACGAGTAATGGATGTTTTTAGAGAGATGCCTGTGCTTGTCTCTCTCTTTCTCTCTCTCTCTCCCTGTCTTTCTGTCTGCTTTTTTTTTTTTTTTTTTTGAGATGGAGTTTCGCTCTTGTTGCCCAGGCTGGAGTGCAATGGTGTGATCTCTGCTCACCGCAACATCTGCCTCCCGGGTCCAGGCAGTTCTCCTGCCTCAGCCTCCTGAGTAGCTGGGACTACAGGCATGTGCCACCACACCCGGCTAATTTTGTATTTTTAGTAGAGATGGGGTTTGTCCATGTTGGTCAGTCTGGTCTCGAACTCCCGACCTCAGGTGATCTGCCTGCCTTGGCCTCCCAAAGTGCTGAGATTACAGATGTGAGCCCCCACGCCCGGCCGATGCCTGTGCTTTTCTCGTGCATGTCTGCAGGAGCCTTGCTGTTGTAATGTTACTTCTCAGCTATAGCTTCTGAGCTGTTAATGGTTAGACTGCACATAAAAGGATATGGGCCAAAGACAGATCTTATGGAATAGTTGATTATTTTTACCCAACATGAGAGAAAATTGTTCATGAAATCCCCTTTAGTGTTCTGTGTTTATGAATGATGCCATCACATTTTGAATCATGGGAGCCAAACTTGAACCTTCCTCTTCCTCATCCCTCATATCAGTTATCACACCTAGGCCTATTTTAGGCTCTGTGGTTTCTTGAATCTCTCTATCCACCACTCCACCTTAGCCCAAGCTACCATTTATTCCTCTCTTGGAATGTGCACCTCCAGTGTCCTGAATGATTTCCCTGCATACACTCATTTCCTTTCAGTCGGTTCTTCACCGTGCAACTAGAGAAAGCATCAGAGCTTTGTTATGAAAATAGTAACTTTCTGCTTAAAGCCTCTCAACACTTCAGTGGTAAGGACTGAAGTCCTTTCTTGGTCTGCAGACTCTTGTCCCGGCATGCCTCTCCCACCATCTCTCTGCCTCAAAATCAACATTGCCTCCATATGGGATGCTTAAAGCGCTACTCAGCTGTCACTCTCTTTAGGAAGCTTCCTTGATCAGCTTCCTACCCAAGCTTAGGTCAGATTCCTTTTTTTTTTTGAGATTTGAGTCTTGCTCTCTTGCCTAGGCTGGAGTGCAATTGTGCAATCTCGGCTCACTGCAACCTCTGCCTCCCGGGTTCAAGCAGTTTTCCTGCCTCAGCCCCCTGAGTAGCTGTGATTACCGGCATCCGCCACCACGCCTGGCTAATTTGTGTATTTTTAGTAGGGACGGGGTTTTGCCATGTTGGACAGGCTGGTCTCGAACTCTCGACCTCGTGATCTGCCTGCCTTGGCCTCCCAAAATGGTAGGATTACAGGTGTGAGCCACCGCGCCCGGCCCAGATTCCTTTTTTATGTGCTTTCTCAACACTGTGTTCTTTTCCTTCTTAAGACATTTGGGAATGTGGTCACACTTTTTGTGAGTTTTAACTCTTGCATTAGAGCCCCAAGAAAGCAGGTCATGACTTTTTTGCCCACTCTTATATCCTAAACACTTAGCATGTTGCTTTGCGAAATAGTAGTTGCTCAGAAAATTTTCTTTTGTGGGTAAATTAAGTAAAATTATTGGAATTTTAGTAATTCTCCACTTTCATGATTTGGTGTGTGCAAAGGATTAGAAAGTAGATTAGCTTTTACGAGGACAGACTGCAGTTGGATTATATGTTCTAAAGTTAGAAGTATCCCAGATGGGGATTGAGGGTTAGATTTTTCCTTTGCCTAAGTCTCAGGATACAAAATCAATGTGCAAAAATCACAAGCATTCCTATACACCAATAACAGACAGAGAGCCAAATCGTGAGTGAACTCCCATTCACAATTGCTTCAAAGAGAACAAAATACCTGGGAATCCAACTTACAAGGGATGTGAAGGACCTCTTCAAGGAGAACTAGAAACCACTGCTCAATGAAATAAAAGAGGACACAAACAAATGGAAGAACATTCCATGCTCATGGATAGGAAGAATCAATATTGTGAAAATGGCCATACTGCCCAAGGTAATTTGTAGATTCAGTGCCATCCCCATCAAGCTACCAATGACTTTCTTCACAGAATTGGAAAAAACTACTTTAAAGTTCATATGGAACCAAAAAAGAGCCCGCGTTGCCAAGTCAATCCTAAGCCAAAAGAACAAAGCTGGAGGCATCACGCTACCTGACTTCAAACTATACTTCAATGCTACAGTAAGCAAAACAGCATGGTACTGGTACCAAAGCAGAAATACAGACCGATGGAACAGAACAGAGCCCTCAGAAATAACACCACACATCTAAAACCATCTGATCTTTGACAAACCTGACAAAAACAAGAAATTGGGAAAGGATTCCCTATTTAATAAATGGTGCTGGGAAAACTGGCTAGCCATATGTAGAAAGCTGAAACTGGATTCCTTCCTTACACCTTATACAAAAATTAATTCAAGATGGATTAAAGACTTAAATGTTAGACTTAAAACCATAAAAACCCCAGAAGAAAACCTAGGCAATACCATTCAGGACATAGGCATGGGCAAGGACTTCATGTCTAAAACACCAAAAGCAATGGCAACCAAAGCCAAAATTGACAAATGGGATCTAATTAAACTAAAGAGCTTCTGCACAGCAAAAGAAACTACCATCAGAGTGAACAGGCAACCTTGGGAGAAAATTTTTACAGTCTACCCATCTGACAAAGGGCTAATATCCAGAATCTACAAATAACTTAAACAAATTTACAAGAAAAAATCAACCCCATCAACAAGTGGGCTAAGGATATGAACAGACACTTCTCAAAAGAAGACATTTATGCAGCCAACAGACACATGAAGAAATGCTCATCATCACTGGCCATCAGAGAAATGCAAATCAAAACCACAATGAGATACCATCTCATACCAGTTAGAATGGCAGTCATTAAAAAGTCAGGAAACAACAGGTGCTGGAGAGGATGTGGAGAAATAGGAACACTTTTACACTGTTGGTGGGACTCTAAACTAGTTCAACCATTGTAGAAGACAGTGTGGTGATTCCTCAAGGATCTAGAACTAGAAATACCATTTGGCCCAGCCATCCCATTACTCGGTATGTACCCAATGGATTATAAATCATGCTGCTATAAAGACACATGCACACATATGTTCATTGCAGCACTATTCACAATAGCAAAGACTTGGAACCAACCCAAATGTCCATCAATGATAGACTGGATTAAGGAGATGGCACATACCATGGAATACTATGCAGCCATAAAAAGGTTGAGTTCATGTCCTTTGTAGGGACCTGGATGAAGCTGGAAAGCATCATTCTGAGCAAACTATCGCAAGGACAGAAGACCAAACACCGCATGTTCTCACTCATAGGTGGGAATTGAACAATGAGAACACTTGGACACAGGGTGGGGAACATCACACACTGGGGCCTGTCGTGGGGTGGGGAGAGGGGGGAGGGATAGCATTAGGAGATATACCTAATGTAAATGACAAGTTAATGGGTGCAGCACACCAACATGGCACATGTCTACCTGTGTAACAAACCTGCACGTTGTGCACATGTTCCCTAGAACTTAAAATATAATAAATAAAATAAATAAAAAAGTTTTTTCCTTTGCCTTTCACTTTGATCATACACATCCAGAAGTCACTTTTTATTCTGTTCTAGCTCCTGGGAAAAGGATTTGTTTGTGAAGATACAAATAGTAAATAATTAAGGTTTTTAAAAGATGCATTCTGTCACATAGACCTGAATGACTGTTGCCTCTGTGCTAGCCTTCTTGGAGTAAACCTGCAATTTTTTTCCCTTTGGTAGGCTCTTGCAGCCAATGCCGGAACAGGATTTGCTGTTGCTGAGCCTCAAATCGCAATGTTTTGTGGGAAGTTAAATATGCATGTGAACATTCAGACTGGGAAATGGGAACCTGATCCAACAGGCACCAAGAGCTGCTTTGAAACAAAAGAAGAAGTTCTTCAGTACTGTCAGGAGGTAAGAGTGTTGCCAGTAAGTTGAAAGTGTTATTTTTCTGGGGCAGGGTTGAATCTGTTTACCTTAGAAATAGATATTCTGTCATTCTCTTTTGACCTAAGACCAAGATGCTAATGACTGGAGCCCCAAGCCTTTTGTTTCTAAATGTGTGGCATGACTGAGACCTCTCAAAGGCTTTGCCTGCGTGTTCTGTGAGCTCTCAGTTCTTTAAGGAAGGGATACTGCAGAAGCCTGGCAAGTGCCATGGGAGTGCAGCCTGCTTCTCATCCTCCCACTTGTCTTGGAAGATGGAAAACAAAACATGTCTCCTTACTGACAGAAAGCCACCAGTATTGTAAAGGATCATCTCAGGTCTGATTCAACTCTGTGTTAAAGAGAAAATGATAGGAGATGTTATAACTTGTATTTATTTTTTCTGATAGAGACAGGGTCTTGCTACATTGGCCAGGGTACTCTCAAACTCCTGGCCTCAAGCCATCCTCCCCAGCCTCCCAAAGTGCTGGGATTATAGGCATCAGCCACCACTTCTTACCAAGATGAGCAGACAGGGCCAGGGTCAAGTTCTGTAATTTCATTGACAGATGTTTCCATAGACTTGCCTCACGGAGCCATCAGTTCAACAGCTACCCTACAAGCAAACTTGACATCTCATGAATTTGTTTTGGGCTAAAAGCGTGCTGCTTTTGTTTGTCCTTAAATACATATCCCTTTTGAAAACAGAATGCGTGGAAGTGTTCAGAAATCTAACCTGTCAAAACTAATACAGTATCTTTTTGTTTGATGACTTCAGTTAGAGCCAGGGATAATGGAGTGGAACTTTAGATGTATGTAGGATAAGGGTGGAGGCTGAATAAACTTAGACACTCCATCCTTACTTGCAAGTGTGTGTCTGTCTGCAGATTGATTTATTGTGTGTGTGTTTGTTTTCTTAACAGATGTATCCAGAGCTACAGATCACAAATGTGATGGAGGCAAACCAGCGGGTTAGTATTGACAACTGGTGCCGGAGGGACAAAAAGCAATGCAAGAGTCGCTTTGTTACACCTTTCAAGTGTCTCGGTGAGTGTTCTTGGTTACTTTTCAGGAAGTGCCAGCCCCCTCCCATTTTAAATTTAATTTTCTCTTGGCTCACAGTGAAATATTTACACCTGTTAAGAAGCTGAGTGTGACATGAATTTATTGGGGAGGATTTCTCTTAGGGGTGTTTGCTGGCTTCGAGTGTCAGTGGTTGACCTCCTCTCAGTGATGGCTAACTCTGCCTTCCCATTGTAGACATCCTTCCTCAGGACTGAATAAGGGTGCTACCCACAGAGCAATTGCACTTACGCCCTCACATTGTTTGATATCAGTGGTTTATGGTGATAGTGCTGAGTAGTATTAAAGCAAGCAGCCCCAGGAGAAGAGTCTTCTGTTTCCCTTACTTTCATCCCACACACGTTTGCACCATTTGACCAAATTTCTGCTAGTTTTCAGGAGAAAGAAAAGTGACTTATGGCAGCCTGTGGACAGTCAAGGGTACCGGGGCCAGGGCTTATAGGACCTGCCATTCTGAAGGGTTTGGGGCTGGTAGGGGTGTTCGTGACTCTGTGTTGCTGGTGTCAACATTCAGAGCCAATTTGAGTAAAACGGTAACTGTTTGTTATGCAGAAACAGAGTTGTTGCTTCAAATGCTCAGGGAATATATTCATTTTAACTATTTGTGCCTGATACATTGGAATTACACTCACATATCTGTGGTCTGGTGATTCAGGAACAGATTTGGTCACAGAAACTTCAAAGGGCAAAAAAAAATCAATTTTAGATTAGCCCTGATGGGATTAAAGTAGATACAGCATTAATGTAGACATCCTGAGTGGTTCTGTAGCTATATGTAATTGGAACTATTAACTTATTCTCCTCTCTCCCTTCTGTAAAACCTTTCCTTCTGCTTCTGATGGCAGCAAAATGGAATGTGATACTTTTTCTCATTCTCACGTGTAGCCAAGCCACAGGAAGAAGCGGTGCCCCTGAACAACAGTGTTTAAAATGTGTGGCAGTTAACTTTCTTTTAAAATATTCGTGAGGAGCAAGAGGGGCGTCATGTGTGCTTACCACCGTTTACTTTAAACCTGGGCATCTCAAGGCTGGGAGGCTTGTTAAAAATGTTGTGTGGTGTGGTTTAAGGACGCTTTCTGTTCTGTTTGGCTCTGAGAAATCTCTAGGTATGAGGCTTCATTTGCTCGTTAAAAAAGTTCTCAAACTAAAAGTGAAATGAGATTATCCTGGAATATTTGTAGACAGTGGATAGAAAGTGCTTGAAATCGTTCCTTCTGCATTGCTCCCCCTAAAGACTTTGCAGCCTGATTATCTCCTCTTGTTTGTCCTTGTCACCTTCCAGCTTCACTCCCCACCCAGACATCTGAGTGGGACCTGGGAGACTCTTCGATTCTTTTGTTATCCTTTATCTCCCTGTATGCGGTCAGTTTCTGAGCCAGCCTCATACTTACTTCTTAAATAGGCTTATAGTCATGATTTTCAAACTGTGCGCCGAGGCACCTCGGGGCATTGAAGCAAAACTCACAGGGCATTCCGGGATGTTTCTGATTTTTCAAGGGAAATGTAATGACATCTGTCAGGCATTCTGCAAACTACTAGCTGGAAGTAATTTACAGTTTCATCATGACATCATTTCATTTATTTTGATGACTTCATATCTCTGTGAAGCTGTTTTTAGTTATTCCTGTGATAAAAAGCAAGTATCTTTTGAAAATCGCTGAAAAAGAAATGAGGGTGATGGTGTTCAGTCTGATTGCAGTTGGGGGAGATGTGCAGGGCCCACTGGGCACTAAGGTGACAGGACACAGTACTTATTAAGTTGTTGGGTCTAAGGTGACAGGACACAGTACTTATTAAGTTGTTGGGTCTAACTACTTAACTTTTCGGTACTTTTTTTAGCCTAGGAATCCTGTGAAAAAGTTCCTAAGACACTCAGGGTGCTGTGAGTCGAAAATGTGGTTATCGCTGGCTTGTGTCCTCTTCCTGCATCAGATTCCCACTGCCCTAGCTCAGCCTGTGGTCAGTTCTTGTCTGGGCCGAGAGCAGCCTCCATGCTGTTTCTCAGTGCTGGCTGTCCAATCTGTTGCCTGCAGATTGAAAATGAAGACCAAATCATGTCTCTCATGCACAAAATCTTAAAAAAGAATGTTGAAACTCCTTAGCGTGGCTTCAAAACTCCATGATCTGGCCCTTGCTCAACTCTCCCCTGTTCTCTGTGATGTCATGCTTTAGGTTTTATCAGCATCGACCACCCCAGGGTGGTCGTGCACCATCCAGCTCTCAGCATTTGGAATGGCTTTCCTCTGCTGACTTTGCTTGGGAAGTTCTTCCTGCAAGGCTTACCTCAGGAGTTGCCTCCTTTAAAGGGAGCCTTTCCTGGTCTTATTTTCTATCCATTCATCCAGGTTTCTGTAATACTCCTTGCTGTTGCCATCGCACTTATCACACTGTACCATGATTGTTCATAGACCTTTCTCCAACTATGCTGTGAACACCTTGCCAGCAGCGACCCTGTTTTAGTCTTTTTTGTCAACCTCAGCACCATGGTAGTGCCTAGAATATCGGATATACTGTTTACGATAATTACAACACAAAAATACTACTATAGTTGGTACACAACAGAAATTTTATTTTATTGCTTTATTTCCCAAATGATAGAGTTTAAATTTGTTAGCATGTTACAGAACCAAGCAATAGTATTGTCGTTAATGAAATGCATAAAAGACAGTTTAACCATAATCCATTTGGTACCTTCTTTGCATTGTGGTCACTGAATAAAGCATTATACAATCTTTGGTGTTACTTCAGACGGTTATTCATGTTTACCCCAGCATCCATTTGGACAACTTAGTAACCAGTCGGTAGAGCTATCCATTGATATTTTTACATAAGCACAGTTGCCTGAGCCTAAACGAATAAGGGGTGACATGACTGGAGTTTAAGGGAGGGAGTAGGAAAGACATATTGCAGTTCTCCCTTATCAGTTAGATTTTGATGTCTCCCTGCCCCTTCCG
Source organism: Homo sapiens (assembly GCF_000001405.40). Lineage (NCBI taxonomy): Eukaryota > Metazoa > Chordata > Mammalia > Primates > Hominidae > Homo > Homo sapiens. Next base: position 130,113,652 of record NC_000011.10, read on the forward strand.
CTGTCACCTCCACTTCGAGCACCCAGGCAGAACTGACATCATTCAGTTAATAATGGCCACCACCTTTTCCCCCCATAGACTCCTTAGAAAGCCTTTTGATGATAGTCTTTTAGAGTTGCTATTGCTTTTTTAAATTAAAAAATAATAGTTTAAAAATAATTTCAAATTTACAGAATGGTTACAAAAATGGCACAGAGTTCCTCTGTGTACCCTTCACCCAGATTTCAGATTTTCCAACTGTTAACATTTGATCAATGTGGTAAAAAATCTTATTCTCCCTTCCCAGTACCCCTCACACACATACTCGAGGTTTGTTGTTTTTTGAATCATTTGGCAATAAGGCAAACATGGTATCCTTATGCCTTAATACTACAGTGTGTATTTTTAAAAAGCAAGGAAATTCTCCTACGTAACCGTGGTATAATCATCAAAAATCAAGATTTTGTAGACAATATCTAGTTGATCCAATATCTCATCTACAGACCCTACTCAGGTTTCACCTGTTGTTCTAATAACATCCAGGATCTAATCTAAGATTACATGTTGCATATTTCCTTGTCCTTTGTGACATTGATTTTTTTTTTTTTAACTACAGACCAGTTCCTTTATAGAAAAGTTTTCAATTAGCAGTGATCACGCCTCCGATAAACCTCACTGGCTACGATACTGCCACTGCACAAAGCTCAGTTCCTTTATAGAATGCCTTGCAATTTGTGTTTTTCTGTGATCCTTTTGATTTATTCATTTTTGAGGGGAGTATCACAGAAGGGTTCTCACTGCATCATAGCAGGAGTAGTGCGATACCAGTTTGTTTCATCACCTGGCTAAGATGGTATCTACATTCATTTGTCTTACTATGTACACATTGTCTGCATTTGGCCAGTGGGGGCCCCGTTATGCTGGTTCCTGTGTCCTTATAACATGTCCCTATCATTCTTTGAGAACTTTACTTTCTGATACAAAAGATTCTCCAAGTCCATTCTGTATTTTCCCTACTCCACTCCTGGAGTCTGTTTTCTCTGAGACACCATGGTTTCTTTTAGTGGGGAATGCTATTTTGAAACCCAGATCTGGGCCTTAGGTGATTTGTTTTTTGTTTTTGGTTATTTTTGGACAGAGATTTGGACAGGTAGTGTTATTGCGATATGAAAACTACTAAAGTTCTGATTTAATATCTACTTTGAAAACAAAACTGGTCTCGGCAGCTTTGAGGTGCTGTCTTCTGCATTTGTACCTTGGTCTGTTGGCATAGCTCACTTTTCCATTGCAGGTGTCCTTTTGCAAGTCTTCTAGCCTTTGAGTTCATGACAGCCACTGACAGTTCACCCTGTTCCTGGTGTGGACCCCTGTGCAAGGTGAATGTTCCACTCTCGAGAGGTAGCGTGGATCCTTCACTTCTCTGAACCCTGTTTTCCCTGAAACATACCTGGGGTGACCACCAGACCTCATTACATAAGGCTGTTTTCTCCCACCTGGGTACAGCTTTTACCAGCTCCCTAAATTACATGGTTTTCCTGTTTGCACCTGGAGTGTACTTTTGTAGTATATTTATTATTATTTTTTTAATTTTTAATTTTTGTGGGTATATAGTAGGTGTCTGTATTTATGGAGTACACGAGATATTTTGATACAGGCATATAGTGTGTAATAGTCATGTCAGGGTATGTAGTAGATTTACTTATATGCATGGGTGTTGGTGTTGGAGGCTTCCTCAAGTAGGTAAACAACCTTTGTTATTTATTCTGAAAGGAATTTCAGCAACTCTGAAAAAGCTCTAAAACCTGGATGGCTGCCATAGCACTGCTGGAGAGAAGTAGTAGGAAAGAAAAGCTGAATCACAGGGATGATTAGAAATTGGCGATAAATCCTAACTGCAGCTTAAATGAATATTGTATAGGTTAGGTTTTGCTATATTGCCATATTCATTGATCAGCAAAAACAGTAGAGCTTTATGTTTGTCCAGTGACTTAGGAAATTGTGGCAATTATATTATACTCCGCTGATAAAATTGAGGATGTTACCAGCTTGAATATAAATTACTAAAGTGAGAGCAAACCATTTTCAATGTTCTGTAAAACAGAGTAATACTGATCTGCCTAGGTAAATTTTTTTCCCTAGGAGCTTCTGATGAAAAATTGTAGCAAAGGCAGAGAGTAGCAATGAAATGATAGAGCGGATGCTGGGATTGAAATGTGTTTCCTCTTTCAGTCTACTTTTTAAAAAGGGGTTTATTTTTCAATAAAAGAAGTTTGCATTGGGGGAAGGGGACAAAAACAATTATTTTCAGTTTCTGTACTAAGTTAACTGTGATTAACATTTTGGGGTATAGATGAACATTTTTTTCTTTGGATACACATGGAAATGTATATACTTTTAAATGTTTTTTCCCTAACTGTGATGATACAACGTATGCTCCTCTGTTTAAAGTTCTGTTTATTTTTATTTGGCATTTATTGAGCTTTTATTATCATGTGCTACTTTTAGGGATACATACATCTTTGAATAAAAGATAAGGTTGGGAGAAAAAAAAAAGATAAAGTTGGCCTTAAGTAACTAGCCTGAAGAAGGGGTTAGAGATACGCAGTGGGTTTCCTTTTGTTTGTTTGTTCAATGATTTTAAAAATTATTAAACCACCATGGAAAAATGTCCATGTTAAATATACACATAAGCCATATTTCTTGTAACCCCATACTATTCTGTTGTATATATGTATCATCATTTAATTAATTCCCTCTCGATGGACATTTAGGTTTGTTCTAGTTTTTTGATATTAATAACACTAATGAATATTTTAATTCACTTGCCTAGTTATTTCCTTAGGGTGTGTATCTTTTTCTTTTTTTCTTTTTCTTTTTAAGACAGGGTCGCCGTCACCCAGGCTGGAGTGCAGTGGCGCGATCTTGGCTGACTGCGGCCTTGGTCCTGCGTGTCCCCCTTTCCACCCTGCAGCTGAGATTACAGGCATTCGCCACCACGCCTGGCTCATTTTTACTATTTCTAGTAGAGATGGGGTTTCCCCATGTTGGCCAGGCTGGTCTTGAACTCCTAACCTCAAGTGATCCACCTGCCTCAGCCTCATAAAGTGCTGGGATTACAGGCATGAGCCCCTGCGTCCAGACATCCTTAGGGTATCTTTTTAGAACTGGAATTGTTGAATCAAAGAGTACTGTTAAAAGATATATATATATATTTTTAGGCCAGGCCTGGTGGCTTATGCCTGTAATCACAGCACTTTGGGAGGCTGGGATGGGAGGATCATTTGAGATCAGGAGTTCAAGACCAGCCTGACCAACACGGTGAAACCCCGTCTCTACTAAAAATAGTAAAAATTAGCTGGGTGTGGTGGCGAACGCCTGTAATGTCAGTTACTCAGGAGGCTGAAGCAGAAGAATTGCTTGAACCTGGGAGGCAGAGGATGCAGTGAGCCAAGATTGTGCCACTGTACTCCAGCCTGGGTGATGGTGTGAGACTCCATCTTAAAAAAAAAAGTTAAATTTTAGAATTTAGTTTGTTTTCAAATTCAGTGGTGTTCTTTTTTGATTTTTAGAGATCGAACAGATTGATTCAGTCATGGAATAGCTGAAGATTAGTGGCATTTAATTTTATGGTTTAGCATGGAATTAATTATTTTATTAAATTTTTGGCATTTCCGAAAAGGTTTTGATTTTAAACTTTAATTCTGAAATATTACACCAAGCATCCTGAAGAGATGAGACATAATGTGATGGTTGCTCATATGCTCACCCTCCTGATTTCAGTTCTTCAGTGTTCTGTCATGTTTGCTTCATCTCCATCTTTTTTTTTTTCTGAGACGGAGTCTCTTGCCCAGGCTGGAGTGCAGTGGCATGATCTCGGCTCACTGCAACCTCAGCCTCCTGAGTAGCTGGAATTACAGGTGCATGCCACCATGCCTGGCTAATTTTTGTATTTTTAGTAGAGGTGGGGTGTCACCATGCTGGCCAGGCTGGTCTCAGTTCTTTTGCAACATTTACATGCATCTATAAACAATGTTTTTGTGTTTTAAAATTTACATTAATGGCATCATACTGTACCTGACCTTTTACAGCTTGCTTTTACTTTACATCATTTTTTAGTTTATCCAAGGTGTTGTATAGATTGAGTTAAAGGTTGTATTTCTGACCAGGCGCAGTGGCTCACGCCTGTAATCCCAACACTTGGGGAGGCCGAGGCCGGGGTGGATCACAAGGTCAGTAGATCGAGACCATCCTGGCTAACATGGTGAAAACCCGTCTCTCTACTAAAAATACAAAAAAATTAGACGGGCGTGGTGGCACGTGCCTGTAGTCCCAGCTACTTGGGAGGCTGAGGCAGGAGAATCACTTGAACCCGGGAGGCAGAGTTTGTAGTGAGCTGAGATTGCGCCACTGCACTCCAGCCTGGGCAGCAGAGCGAGACTCCATCTCAAAAAAAAAAAAAAAAATAGTTGTTGTGTTTCTATAGAATATAGATTAGTAGTGAAATTGCTGCTTTAAATTTTTTTGATGTTGCAGTTGCACATTTAAAAGTGAGGTTTTACAAATTAAAGTGCATTAACTGTTGCTTAAATATACATTGCTTTATGAGTATGGTTGAATAGTTCGTATAAAACTAGTTCCTCAAGACTTCACTAACATTAACATCAATAGTGCCTACCAGGTGTCAGTTTCTGTTTTTATTTTAAACAACAAACCCACATGTGGAACAATAGTTTCTGTTCTAAGCTTTTCTTGTTGTATAGATTATGTCATTTAGTCCCCACAAGATAAAGAAACCGAGGGACAGAAAGGTTAAGTAACTTGGCTAAGGTTACTCTGCTAGTAAATGACAGTGCTGAGATTGAACCCTAGCATTCAACCCTGCATATACTTTTCCTTTAGCATCCACTTTTGTTGCTTTTTGTCATAAATGAACAAAAACAGCCTAGTTAATTCAGAATAATCACATTAAACCATGTGAGTTGGTGGTTGGATGTCAGAATTGAAGTAATTTCTACTTAGATTGAGTATCAGGGTTGTTCATTCTCGTAGAGGCAGATTCTAGCTTACTGTTGGTATTTTTGCTATTTTTAAGCAATGCTTTTAAGTCTCGTTGATTGCTAAAGCCTGTTTGCAGGTACTGCCTCCCCTAGAGCCTTTGGGGTCCTCAAGGGTAAGCAGCATGTCAGGCTCACTTTCGCAATCCTGCTTCAGTGTCACATTGAGCTGTGTGATCCCAAAGTCCCTGTGCTAGCAGTGCTGAGAAACCTGACTGCCATTTGTAATGCAGTTTTCATGTGGGGGGACTGTTACACTGCTACAGCTTGTCATGTCAGGAGCCCATCTTCCCCTACTTACACATCAGCAACTCCCTTTCTCTTACCACTGGGGCGGTAGAAAGACTGACTTCAGTGCTTGCGCCCGAGGCCCAAGGCAGAGGATCCTGAGAGACTCATCCATGATGGCGAGGCTGGGTGGGTCTGTGTAGACTTCCCACTAGCTGGGCCCTAAGCCCTTTCTTAGACCACATTACTTTCTCATGATATTTTCAGGGTTTTCCCCCCTTAACCTCAGAGGTTAGTCTGCCAGCTGCATCTTCCTGCCACTGCTTCCTGCATCTCTTCCTGGGCTAAGCACCCTTCTCGCCCTCTCTTCCTCTCCCTCTACACTGTGTGGAGCACATGGCAGACGTATGCCCAGTGTAGATTACTGAGCCTTACCTTACACTACTGATCAGAGTCTTGGGGTGATCATCCAGTGATGTGTTGTATATTTCTAACTTTTTATTGTGGCAAATTACAAACATGGCCAAACAAGAGACGATGATACCGTTCACCCTCACGTACTGGTTGCCCAGCTTTGTAACCACCATCAGTTCATGAGCCACTCTTCCACCTTCTATAGGCCCACTCCCTCACAACCCTGATTATTTGGAAACAAATCACATACCATCTTTTCCCTGTAAATAAACAGCTATGTGTATCTTTCTCCCGACTTTTTGGGACAAGTTTTAGAAAATGTAATAGTGAATATCTCTGTACCCTTTACCTAGATTCTCCAGTTTTACCTGATGTTTTTCTCTCTCTGCATCTTATATGTATATTTTTGTGTTGCTAAACCATTTGAAAGTAAGTTGGGATATCACGACAGTTCATTTCTAAGTATTTCAGCTGGTTTCTCCTAAGAGCCAGGGACATTCTTCTATATATAATGACAATACAGTTGTCATGTTTGGAAATTTTCCTAAGTGTCCAACTAGTGTTTTTTATAGCTTCCTTTTTAAAAGGATCACATACTACATTTCATCTAGGATAGTTCCCTAGTCTTTCTTTAGAAACAAAAACTTTCATGACAATGATATTTTTTAAGAGTCCATGCCATTTGTTTAATGTAATGTCCCTGAGTTTGGATTTGTCTTAGTGTTTTAGCATGATTAGATTCAAATGATAATATATTTTGGCAGAAATACTGTGTAGGTGATATATTATTTTTAGGACATCACACACACCAGTTTGCTCGTTATCAGTGGTGTTAAATTGGTTATCTGGCTGAGGTAGTTTGCCAAGGCTTCCCACCGTAAAGACACCTTTGCCCCTTTGTAATTAATCATTGATTATTCTTACTGGATTCAATTATTACATCATGTTTTGTCTAAAGATTCATCTGTACTTGAGTAGAACACCTGGTTTTAGTTTCTTGGGCATTTGATTACAGAGGTGTGGGCAGGAATAAGGAAGGCAGAGCCATGTGGGGAGAGTAGCTGTGTGTGTCTGAGGCGGGCATGGAGGTGATCCTATTATATTCCCCGTCACGTGTTGCTGTAGCCCTGCAGTGGGACTGCAGTCAGGGGGCTTTTAAAAGGTCCCTGGCATCATGGCTCTGACAGATTGGTGAGTTCTTGTGGCTGCTTGGCTAGAACTGTACCATCCAGTCAGCCTTTGAAGGTACGAGATGTGCATCTGCTCGTATACATGAGACTGCTCCTGGCTGTGTAGACTATCATCATAAACTTCAGTGAGGGGCATTTTCACCTTGAAATCATGGTCAGATCCGCTCTGACAAAGATTCTCTTTTCCAGTGGGTGAATTTGTAAGTGATGTCCTGCTAGTTCCAGAAAAGTGCCAGTTTTTCCACAAAGAGCGGATGGAGGTGTGTGAGAATCACCAGCACTGGCACACGGTAGTCAAAGAGGTAAGAGAACTCGGGGGGAAAGTCAGCTGCTGTTGTATCTGTTAGGAGGGAAGTAGCACTTTTCTCCAAATCTCACCATGCTTTTAAGTTAGTTATGTTTCCCCCATTATCTCCTTAAGGTTTACAATTACTTCTGTCTTATAAGTTAGAAATATTTGGGAGAGAAGTAGGTATTTGTGTAGGAGAGCTCAGTGTTGACAGTCAGCTCCTGAAGTTGAGGATGTTAAGGAGGTGGCTGAGCGAGAATACTGTATGCTGCTGGTGAGGCTCCCAGGAAACCATCCTAACCCTAAGGCCGGCATGGAAATCGCCAGTGATAGAAAATATAGGTCTGGACATATGCACAGGCAGGACTGCATGCCATCTCACTTTTCTGGTGGCAAGAAGTACCCTTTCTTGTCTTCTGTAATTAGGCTGGCTCTGCTCTTTGGTCAGTAATCTTCCTTTGGTCAAATACTGAAGTAGTGCTTGCACCAGTGGTGAGTATCTATTAACATTGACCACCTTATCTGGCTTTAGTCATTATTAGAAAAAAATGCTCTCTTCCTGACTTTTTTCCACATTTGGGATTTCAGTATTTTTGGACCAGATCATGTTTCCCCATTGTAAATTAAAATTTATAAATCTTACAATAATATTATTACAATTTTTTTTTGACAGAAAATGTATGTGTTCATAAGAGAAAGCATTGCTAAGTGATTTGATAAGGGTTTATTTTGGAGGGTAGAGATCGGAGTGTATTTGACCACGTTTACTCTGGAGTATGTTCTGATGTGGCCTGTGGGTTTCTTTTAGGCATGTCTGACTCAGGGAATGACCTTATATAGCTACGGCATGCTGCTCCCATGTGGGGTAGACCAGTTCCATGGCACTGAATATGTGTGCTGCCCTCAGACAAAGATTATTGGATCTGTGTCAAAAGAAGAGGAAGAGGAAGATGAAGAGGAAGAGGAAGAGGAAGATGAAGAGGAAGACTATGATGTTTATAAAAGGTAACTCTTCTACTTTGAACTGTGAAGTCGTTTTGCCTTTTTGTTAGCCCTTCTGTAAAGACGGCTGTTGGCTGCTAGTCCCTCACTTCTGGATAAACTGGGCATTCCTTTGTTCTGCTAGAGTTGATTAAGCTTGCATTTCATTCTAGCCATTGCCAATCACAGGAGTACCTGTGATTTTTGTGTTTACATCATTCTGAGCTGTTATTTTCTGCAGGTTACTATGATATTTTTTAAGAGTCCGTGTCATTTGTTTAACATAATATCCCTGAATTTGGATTTGTCTTATTGTTGTATCATGATTAGATTCAAATGTTCACAAATACTTCCCGTTTGCTGATGTAGCTGGGCCCCAGGGCTTAGTGGCACGGTGAAATGTGCGTTGAGCTTATTTCCTGCCTCTGTTTTTGTGTTTCAGAATAGAGAAGGGACCCATTGTTGTGCTTTGCACATAGGAGCTATTAACCTTCCTTTTTTTCTATTTTGGCCTTCAGTGAATTTCCTACTGAAGCAGATCTGGAAGACTTCACAGAAGCAGCTGTGGATGAGGATGATGAGGATGAGGAAGAAGGGGAGGAAGTGGTGGAGGACCGAGATTACTACTATGACACCTTCAAAGGAGATGACTACAATGAGGAGAATCCTACTGAACCCGGCAGCGACGGCACCATGTCAGACAAGGAAATTACTCATGATGTCAAAGGTAACCCCATGTAGAGCCATGGCTTTGAAATCCATGTGGTAATTATTCACTTAGACTTTTGCATTGCGTCTGTCACAGGTAAGTCAGTCACAGAAGGAAAGGTGTGGTACCTCTGCACTGAAGGTGAGTTCAGCTCTCCAGTGCAGTGATGGGATGGTGCCGTCTTAACAAAGTGGGCAGGCAGGCACATCCAGGGAGAGATGTAGGATTGAATTAGAGAACGGGGACTAGAGAGTAAGAGAGACAACGTAGTCCGCCCTTCAGCAGGATTCTTCCACATTCATCCTAAAATGTTCCCTCCCCAAGGGGAGCTCCCCTCTTCGATACCACTCAAGTTCTGGCCTCCTAGAATAGAAATGGTTTTCTTGGTTTTTCTTTTCCTGCTTGTCTTCTAATCTGTAGGCTGCCCTATTTGTCCAGATGTTTTAGTTGGGAGGGTGAAATTTATTGACCTGCTGGTAACAGATTGGGGCCTGCAGTTTTTTTTTTTTCTCATCTTGCCAATTAAAACACGAAAAGGTTGCAGTAGTTCCAGAGCCATTAACATGCAGCCTCCTGCTGATCGTATATTTGAAACCAATTAAGATGCGAAGAATTATTTAGGACCCAAGTTGGGGGAAATTACTTAACCAGTTGAGAAGTTTGTGATTTGCCTTAGAGAACATAAAAGTGGGAAACAATTGTCCGTTCTAGGTGCTTGTCTTTACTACGGGTATCACCACTTAAAGCAGCCTTTCCACTCACACTGTCTCCTGAATAGACAAACTAGGCAGATACCTCCACTGAACAGATCAGAAATGTGAGGCTCTCGCAGCTGTGAGACAAAGGAATTGCTCTACGTCAATCTAAACTCAGATCTAGACTCCAGAGGGTGCCAAAAAAATATTTATCCCAGTTCCTAAATGTCTCTACTCTGTGGGGAAGCAACTTGTCCTCAGCAAGGCTGGCCTGAGCTGGAGCTTTCGGCCACCGGGCCTCCAGGCTCCGTCCAGTCTCAGGCCTCCCCCAGCCCATCCCCCAGCTCGCCAGCCTGTAGCATTTTGAAGCATTTGACGTCACTGCCTCTGTCCTGCTGACACTCTGACCATTTTCACACAGCTGTCTGCTCCCAGGAGGCGATGACGGGGCCCTGCCGGGCCGTGATGCCTCGTTGGTACTTCGACCTCTCCAAGGGAAAGTGCGTGCGCTTTATATATGGTGGCTGCGGCGGCAACAGGAACAATTTTGAGTCTGAGGATTATTGTATGGCTGTGTGTAAAGCGATGAGTAAGTCCTGCCTCGCGCTGGTCCCGTGCGGCAGCACCGTCCTGTCTGGCGTCCGTCTCCCTGCCGTCTTCGTGGCTGCATCTGTGTGGTGTCCCTGCCCACTCGGGTGTTTGCTGTCGGTCGTCTTCCCCTCATCTTTGTGCTTTCTAGATCTAGGCTTTGCTCTCCTGCCGGCAGTGGTAAGCTCAGTTCTCGTGTCCTGTGCTCACCGTGTGTCTGGTGGTGCTTGGTGGTGATGGTGCGTACCCACCTTGGTATAGCGGGCAGCACAGCCAGGGGCTTGTTCTTTCTTGTCTGGCTTTGGAGTCTGCAGGTCCCCAGGCCACTGTAGTATTGGTGGGGAAGGCAGCTGTCCCCTGGGCTGGCTCTAGCTTAGAGGCACTGAACATTCCTGTCTTTGAACTGCCCTGTCACTGACCCCTGTGATGCATGCCAGCTCATGGGGCGCCTCCTCTCGAAAGGAGTGACAGTGAAGTACTTTGGGCAGTCTAGAATATTGAAATATCTTGCATAATGCACTCTAGAGAGAGCTAGCAGCCAAGTGGTAGTGACTCACTCTGTTTCTTCAATATTTTGCAACCGGGTCACACAGCTTTAGGAAGTGAGAGGATTTCAGTTGGTGTGTGCTTTGGTGTGACAGGAAGGTCAGTGGTTCAGTTGAGTTGGGTTTATGCTGGACGTTGGTAGAAAGAGTTTCTACCAAGAGTTTTCCCTTTTCTCCATGGCTACTCCTTTTTCTCGTTAAGACCTTCAGTCTCTCACCTTGCAGCACTAACCTACACATTAGGAAAATCCTCAGGCCAGACAGTTTTTCTTGGTTCCTACTCTGGAATTTGTTGGAGTAATAATTTGCTATGAAGAATTTGGCTATAGCTTCTGACGGTTTTTCATTCACATGCCTTCATGTTCCCTCTTCCTTCCTTCTACCAAAAGATCTTTCAAATCTTAATGTAATATGGCAGTGCCTTGAGTGCTTCCCTTCCAGCTCCAGGAAAGCTGTTTTTATTCGGTAACAGTTGAAAGGTGAAAGAAAAGGAGGCCTTAGGGAACCTTGGTGAATAAACTTTGCGTTTTCAGGAAAGATTTAGAAATAGAAATTATTGTGATACTTACTGCTTTGTAAAACTTGGACTGAAGCCTGAGGAATCCCACTGAGTGTGGAGGTGGTGATCTCTACCCGAAGGGTCAGCTGGGTGGTGCTGTGAGACATGATGGAGTGGCAGGTCTGTAAAACTCCCGTTTGCTGTGGCTTGGATGAGATTTGCCTCGGAGAAGCTTTGTGTTCATGTTCTTGTGGGGCCTCTGCCTGGAGGGCTTTGCAGGTTGAGAAGCATCAAGTTTACTTCCAGTGGGAGCGTTTTTGTTCTTCTTTGAAGGGGCTGAGGCTGGCGGATGTGCCGGCTTCATGAGTGGGTGATTCCACAGGGACCGAGGGTGTCTTCAGAAAAAAGCATTTCGGCCCGCTGTCCTCTCCACTCTGGTCCCAGGGAGGCTGGAAGCAGCCTGTGTTTGCTGTTCCCTTTTTCCAGTCCAGCAATGTGAACCAAAGGCTCCGTCTCCAGCGCTCAGGCCTTTATAGCACAGGCATGTGTCACTGATCCGCATGATGGACTGCAGTGCTTGAAATTCTCCTCCACTGAACTTGCGAGTGTCTTGGGGAATGGCATTTACCAAGTTATCGATTCTAATTTAGTTAATCTGAAAGTGGGATATTGACACCCTTTTAAAACTTATGTAGGGCTCATATTCTTCATGACTTTAGTTGTCGTTTTTAGGTCTGTTAAATGGGCAAATAAAAGATGCTTCCGACAGAAAAAAGTTGAACTGGCTGGCTAATTTGTAGCTGTATTCATCAATTATATGGTTGTTTTAATGTATTAAAATGATACAATTCTAGAAATTAGGTGAATTTGCTTCTGAATTAAAAATCAGTTGAACCTTGGCATTCACTCTCCACTTAGCTCTGAAATTGTGTCATAATCTATCAAGCAAGTCCACACCAGCTTGGGAAATCTTGCATGAATTAGGCTAGTAAGTGTTACCTTAGGTATGTCTTGAGAGGCTGACTGAGTAAACTTGTCATCTCAGTCCTTTCCCTTATCAGGCTAAATTCCATCGTGCAGAGACTTGCTTGGGCCCCATGAGAGATTATGCCCATCCAGCAGTCGGGGGTGCTCCAATGGGCCTGTGCTCTGGGGAACGCTTGGGAAGCCCTATTGGTCAGTGTCATGGATCAAAAAGCCCTATCTTCATATCGGTGAAAGGTGTCCTTGTCAAATAGAGCAACTCAGTTTTATCCTTGTTGGTTCTGTCACTGATGGTGGGGCTAAGAGTCCTTCACTGATACTGAAAACTCAAAATTATAGCTGGAGTGATGGGGACTTTCTCTACCCAGCGTATATGCAAAGAACATTCACTTGAGCCTGTTTTCTGTTGTAAATTAAGACTCAAAGATAGCCAGAAGAGCAGAGGTACCTGAGTAATAAATTTCTTTAAAAATAAGGAATTGCATAAAAGTGCCTCTACAGGGTCTGATTCCTGCCCTTGTCTCTGTTCAGATGCTCAGTTACGAGCAATAAGGTAGCTATTGTTTAGGTTTCCAGGGTTCGAGCACTGAAGGGAAGGTATAGAAGAAACCACCTCTTTTTCAGCCCTGAGGTCTTAAGTAGATGCCTCACTGGTGCTGAAGCTGCCAATAAATTGCTGTATTAGCGTGGGCTGACATGGTTGATGAATATTGTGTAAGGAAGATTGCCCACTGTAATCTAACCAAGTGAAGTCTTGGCAGATAGCAGCACCCTGCACTTAGAGAATGCCACAAAACAAATTGAGTCCATCCTGCAGGTCCTGAGCTGGGTTTTCTTCCTAGAGCACAGTGCATCTGATCCCAAAGAGAACTCCCTCTGTAATTTTGTTTCAGTTCCTCCAACTCCTCTGCCAACCAATGATGTTGATGTGTATTTCGAGACCTCTGCAGATGATAATGAGCATGCTCGCTTCCAGAAGGCTAAGGAGCAGCTGGAGATTCGGCACCGCAACCGAATGGACAGGGTAAACCTTGACAATTTCTTCATCTTCATGGTACTTGGCTTTGGGTAGCATGGTTCTCATAGCTGAAGAAAAGTAATAGCTTCTCCCTAGATTGTCATGCTGATGTATAAGGACTGGTGAGTCAGGAGAGAGTTACCAGTGGAGCTGCCTTCTGGGTGGACTTCTTCACCACCTGCATCCAGATAATATATAATATAATTATCCTCTGAGCACTTCCTATACCATTATCTGCCCTTTTTTTTTTTTTTTTTGCCATTAACTTGCTTTAAAATTTCTTTATTTTAAAGAAGGAAACTTTATATCACTGTTATCAATAAAAAGCTAGTACCATTTGCCGTGAGAAGAAAGTGACCAACCATACAAATATATTAGATGAAAGCAAACATGTACTAATACATGCTAGCTAGATACTGCTGTCTCTGGAAGGTTCTGAGTCTCAGAGATGTTTCTTTTCCTTTAAAAGGGTTATAAGAGAGCAGCAGGAACACCAAAGTGCAACTTTTCTTCTGGATTTACTCAGGATTGAAGAGAATTGAAAAGGGAATGCCTTGCTAGGCCTAAGCTCCACCCCAAATCCCACACAGTCCCATGTTGGGCTTACAGTTTGCAAAATGCTTATTGTTTTATCCACATCAGCTCTGAAAAGTAGGTATTAACCTCAATTTTTTTGGTGAGGAGACTAAGGCACAGAGACTTTTAAATAACTTACTCAAGGTTATGTAACAAAGAGGTCATGGAATTGAGGCTCCATCTGGGGATAGTTGAGGCCTGGAACCTTCTGAGGCAGTAACAATGCTAAGCTCCTAAGAGATTGTGTGATTGGTTTCCTTTTGCAGTTTCCTGTGAGATTTAGCATCTGACAGTGTTTTTAGCAAATGGAGGAGTTGTTTCGGGGTATTAATCACTGCTGACGGCGTTTTTGACCTTTGTTCTAGGTAAAGAAGGAATGGGAAGAGGCAGAGCTTCAAGCTAAGAACCTCCCCAAAGCAGAGAGGCAGACTCTGATTCAGGTAAGATGCCTTCTCTGGGGACATAGCTTTCAGCCTGACCATTGGAAAATACGGTCAGAGCCCCATTCCCAACGAAATTAGGATTGGACACCACCTCCTTTTAGGTGAGGGCTTACAAGGAAGTTGTAACTGGCCTGTTTTTCTTTTTCACCTCAAGTATTGCTAACCTATGGTAGAAGGAAACCAAACCCCCACCAGAGCACACCTAATTCATGCCAGAAGGTAACCTTAGCTCAGCTGCCTTTCGTTAATTCTGCTTTCCTGGCAAAAGTCCTCTGCCATTTTCAGTCTTAGACTGTGACTTGTTTTTCAGCAGTACTGAATTTTTTTTAAGACTAATTGAAAGTCAAAGGATAGAAAATAAAGATCTCTGATACAATTCATCTCTAACTTTGTAGACTATAACTAAAATCATAGCAGCAAACTGCATTCCCCTTCAGTAGAAGAGTGTTGCTAGGAATAGGGATAGCAATTTCCAGGACTGATTTGGTTTTTACAAAACTGATTTTGTAAATTTTAAATCATTTTATGTTTAGCTGAAATGCCTTTCCTCCTAATGTAACACTTTAATAAAGTGTTAAAAATAATCTTAAAAGGCTTTTTTATTGATCACTTAGAAAATCTAACAGTTTTAATTCCTACAGAAGTCAGTGCATCTTGTTCAGGGAAATGTAGTTCAGCAGGCTTAAACTGTACCTGTAAACCTGGCTGGATACCTCACGGATAACTTGCCCTTCATGACTTTATTGATAGTAATGGCAAAAATCACAATTACTTTTGCACTAACCTAATGACAGGAATACTTCAACAGAACTTACCACATAACTCCCATTGGTCAGTGGTCTCAGAGTTTGGAAGTTAGTGCCTTGCTGCAATGTGGGAAGGACAGTGTTCTTTTTTTATAGTGCATATTGAGAAACCAGGCCTTGGGCTTGCAGGCACTAGCACTTGTAGTTACACAGATACTAAGGAGGCCCTTTGACACTGAGGTTTAACTTGCTCTCTTTAAAGAAGGAAGTAATTCTCCTGATAGAAGTAGAATGAAGGTAGGATGAAGTAGACTTTGGATCTTACCCTTGCTCCACTCTCCGAACCTGTTACTGTCTCGCATGGGCACTGACAGGAGAAGCACTGGGGTCTCAGGGTGCTTGCTTAGGCTTCCTCTGGGTGCCACAAATCATGTGTGGTTCCTGCTTTCTTGGTTTAGCACTTCCAAGCCATGGTTAAAGCTTTAGAGAAGGAAGCAGCCAGTGAGAAGCAGCAGCTGGTGGAGACCCACCTGGCCCGAGTGGAAGCTATGCTGAATGACCGCCGTCGGATGGCTCTGGAGAACTACCTGGCTGCCTTGCAGTCTGACCCGCCACGGGTGAGTCCTGCCCCTAGCACTGCCTGCCCTGAGGTGGTATATGTAGGGGACCAATGTATGACACTCAGGTCAGTAAAAGTGACATTTGTATGACAAGTTCTGGCAAAGCTGAAGCTAAGGAAAGATGATGAGGGAGGAAAAGGTATTACATTCTAATATCTGTGTATATAAGCTAAGCATGACATCGCTTTATGCCTGCGTATACCACCTGTGATGTGAAAGTGTTTTACGCTGGAAAAGTATAACCTCGCGAAATTGATGGGTAATTATCCAGTTATTGAACTTCCTTTCAAAGAATGAAAACATGCTATTCATGAAGACTTTTGAACAAGTTACATTATAAATAAGATTATGAAGAAAGGGGTAAAGTAATTTCTTCTGAAACTCTTGTGTGAGTGGTCTCAAATGATTTTGTCCCTTAACACTAACCTGCCTTGCTTTGGGGGATGGAAAGTATTGGGAGGATATTTGTGTCCTTAAGTAAGCCGGTTAAAGTCTTCTCTCTTTGGGTGACACAGGAGACTATCTAGCTTATAGGTGTCAGAGGCTGAGCCAGGAAAAAGGACAGATCAGAAGAGAACGGGAGTGGGCAGGAGATTCTGGAAAATACTGTATGTTAAGGAGCCAGTATAACTTTGGAACTTAGTTTTGCTATTTTACCTAGACAGTTTTTTTGTTACTTGGTAAGCTAAAAAAGCCTTCCAGTTACAGCTTTCATTCTTGTGCCTAGCTGAGCTTTACATTCTTAAGTGAACTTTTTAAGCTTTTGTTTTCCTGCCTATTTTCAATTCTCTAGTCTCTGGATATTAAAACAACTGTTCTCTCTTGCAGCCTCATCGCATTCTCCAGGCCTTACGGCGTTATGTCCGTGCTGAGAACAAAGATCGCTTACATACCATCCGTCATTACCAGCATGTGTTGGCTGTTGACCCAGAAAAGGCGGCCCAGATGAAATCCCAGGTACAGTAGATGTAGTAGAAATTGCTGCCGTGAGGGCATTTCCAGTGGGGAACATAATGCCTTGACTAATGGTTGACCAGCACTGCTAGTTGCATTTGCTACTAGTCCTTAGAAAATGAGTTTTGATTTCCGAAGACATTCGGTACGTGAACTGGTTTTTGCAAGGTCACTGTTTTTAAAACATCTTTTTAAATACTTTTTTATATTAACTGCTTTATACTTAAACAATTTCTGAATTTTTTATATCATTTATTTCTGATTTAGGGTATTGCCAGAACCAATATTCAAGATCCTTTTCTAGGTATATTTATCAAGCAGATCTTAAAAATTGGTCTCTTGTTTTGTGCAGTATAGTTTTTGTTTAGACAGACACTTTTACATTCCTAGGTTTTGTCCAGCTTTACTTTCATCTACAGAGGTTTGTTTCTGGTTCCTACTTCTAATATTGGTGTTGTTCATATATTAACTTGAGTTTTACTTTTTTGTATTCATAAAAATGAGCTTGCCTACAAGACTGCTAGCTTCCGTTTAAACCAGGAAGTCTCCTAGCTCAGCCTTAGTTTTCCTAGAGGGCCTTATAGTAACAACGCTGATCTTACTTGATTTCCTCTCATATTGTAAATACAGTGCTGTGCTGATTGTGAGTGTCAGGGTACATGGGCTCACTTACTGCACGGGTGCTGGCCTGTCAGCCCAGAAACCCTCCTTCCCCACAGCTGCTATGAGTGTGAAGATGAAAAGGTAATGTGCCTAAAGGCCTAAAGGCCTTTGGAGTATTGGAGCTGAGCTGCTCCATTTGTGGAGCTGGGGGTCTGTCTCAGTGCCAGACTCCACACTGGCATTCAGTGCTGCCGGGTTGACTCCCTTGAGTGCCCTTGAGCAGCTCACACGCTAGTGTAGAGATAATAACTGTAAAGGTGAAGAGCAGGTGTTTTTTTGTCTGTTTGTTTGAGATGGAGTCCCACTCTGTCACTCAGGCTGGGTTGCAATGGCACCATCTCAGCTCACTGCAACTTCTGCCTCCCGGGTTCAAATGATTCTCTTGCTTCAGCCTCCCAAGTAGCTGGGATTACAGGTGCCCACCACAGTACCTGGTTAAGTTTTGTAGTTTCAGTAGAGACGGGGTTTCACCATATTGGCCAGGCTGGTCTTGGGCTCCTGGCCTCAGGTAATCCGCCCACCTCTGCCTCCCAAAGTTCTAGGATTACAGGTGTGAGCCACCACTCCCAGCCTAGAGCAGGTGTTCTTAGATATACAGAGTTCACTTCAGAAGCTGGTTGTTTTGGGGAATAAAAGAACTCAGGCTTCTAAAGAGTGGGAAGAACGTGGAAAGGGGCTGGGTTGGAGACCCTAAGGGGCATCTGGTGTGGGCCTGGAGCTCAGGACTTTGCTTCACGCTGGATGTAGCAGAAGAGGAGAAAGTCCAAGAGGCCTGGATGGAAAACGCATGCATCTTGACAGGGCCTAGGCTCTTGGGGTCTACTTGATTTTTTGAAAAGACTTAATCACTTTCCAAACTTTCTGGTTTAAAATTAAATTATCGTGTTGTATTCTAGCCAGTTTTGTGTGAGAGTAGAAGGGAAGGAGAGATTTTGATCAGTATATTAAATTAATAGAGAATTCCTGCAAGTGAGATCAAGCTTCCACACCAAGTAATGTGGGAAGTAGAATGCTCCCATTTAAACACCTTTGGGGAGAAAACCCAGCTCTCCTGTCTGCTACTTACTACCTGCTCTTAGCTTTAATTCTGGCAAAGCTTACCTTCTGCCTTGTTCCCTATTCTGTTATCTAAACACCAGAAAAATTTGCAGATATTCAGCCTGTTGTAACTTGTGCCATGTCTGCTTGTCTGGATATGAGTGAGATGGTGCTTTTACCCCCATACTATAGCCAATGGTTTGCTGTAGAGACACTAATTTGCAGTCTCCCGCTCTGTGGTTCTTGTCCTCTGTGAGTGTATGAACCTTCCTGTCTCACACGGCTCCCGGTTCCTCTGGGAGGTGTAGCAGGACAACACTTGCTGAACCCGTGGGTGTTGCATTTTGGCTTCATTTGCATTTTTTCTTCAAGGCACTCACTCTTGTGCTTTCCTTGATTGACAGAATGGCAAATATAAAATTAAATTGCTTTCATCCTTGCTTTGAAAGGTCAGAGAGATGTCAGTCTACAATAAAAGCATCTTTCCATTTAGCTTTTTTTTTCATTTTGATCCTTCATGTTAATGGCTTCAGGCCCACATAATTAATCCACTGGTTTCCAGCACCCTCTTTAGGAAAAGCTTGGTAATTGCAGGTCTAACCAGGCGGGGATGACTTAGCTTGAAAAGCTTGTGGGAGCTACAGCAACACACCTCGCCGTGTCATTGGGGTGGATGCTAGCCCGTCACCTTTCACTTCCATCCTGGAAAACTGTAAAAATAGTGACCACTTCTAATGGCCTTTTTTTTTTTTTTTAAATAATGAATAACCTTAGAACTTTTGCATTCAGAAAAGGCAGTGAGCTACGGTAGATGAGTCTTCCTTTATCACCCCCTTAAAATCAGGTTTATTTATACCTCAGCATGAGTTTTTCAAAAAATAGCAATTTAGTTAAATAGGAATAAACTAATTCTTTATTTACCACAATAATCATTTAAGCAATTGCTTCACTAAGCAAAATCCATAATGGTTCCCTCTGTTGCCAAGTCTGCTTTTCAGCCAGTAATTTCAGTCTTTTTTAATCCCATCTAATCTGACCAGTGGTAGAAATCAACTGACTCTTCTTTCACTCAGCAAAACCTTACTGAACATTCGGCATTGTACAAATTAGAGTTCTTTTTTTTTTTTTTGGCTCAATATAATTAGTAGTAAGTGCCTTGTATGAAAATCCAGTAGCTAGTGGCCATTTTTAAATAAATTGTCTCTTAATTTGGAGCACTTTCCAGATAAATTCTCATGTCAGCTGGGGGAATTATACAGTCTTTTTTTTTTTTTTTAAGACAGGATCTTGCTCTGTTGCCTAGGTTGGAGTGCAGTAGCACAGTCATAGCTCACTGTAGCCTAAACCTCCTGGGCTCCAGTGATCCTCCAGCCTTAGCCTCCCAGGTAGCCGTGACTGCAGGCACACAGTACTATGCCTGGCTAATTTTTGTATTTTTGGTGGAGACAGGGTTTCATCATGTTGACCAGGCTGGTCTCAAACTCCTTCGCTCAAGTGATCCTGCTGTCTCACCCTCCCAAAGTGCTGGAATTACAGGTGTGAGCCACCACGCCCAGGCTGAACACGTTCTTATACTTTAGCAGTCAGTAAATATGGCGTGAGGATTAATACATTTCCCCTGACCAGTTGCTTTGCTAGACTCTGTAGAGAATATGCTTTGTAAAGTGGTTTTTCCAGAAGTTGTGTCGATGTTCCAGCTGCAAGTTCCCTCCTGGCCTAGTTGTTTTCAGTCACAACACCTCTCCACCATAACTCTGCTTCCAGGTGATGACACATCTCCACGTGATTGAAGAAAGGAGGAACCAAAGCCTCTCTCTGCTCTACAAAGTACCTTATGTAGCCCAAGAAATTCAAGAGGAAATTGGTGGGTACCAGCTCTTTGTGTCAAGGTCATACGGGACTTCTTGCAGAGGCTCAGGAGTGAAAGCTGGGCAAGAGTAGAGAGAGATGAGCAAGCAAGGCCGGTGAAGTGGGGCATTAGCACATCCTGGCTTCAGAAGCCTGGAGTCCACTGGAGCTTTCATGGCAAGGTGAAGGAGGAACCAAGGACAGGTGCACTGGCTGTGAGCCATGGAGCCTCGGGCTTCACTGACCTTCACTCTGTTAGCGGAAGAATATCTGGGGTGTGAAATTGCAAGAGACTACGAGTTTCCTGTTCCCGTTTTCCTCCTTCGTTCTGATTATTTCAAGCACCTGATTTTATATAAATTCTCACCTCCTCCTCTCCCGGTCTTTATCTTCTTCATTTATTCAACAAGTTTTATTATGGCTGCTGCGTGCGTGTCACAGAGTAAAATGGTCCACGAGCAGATGGTACCTGCTGGAGTTGATGTGTTGATAAGAGAAAAACAGATAGTAAAACAAGAAAATAAGTGTCAGCTGGTGATAGGTGCTGTGCAGTGTGAAAACTCGGGCAGAGTGCTAGAGAGTGGCCAGTCGGGGCGGCTGCCTCTGGGGACGGTGGCCTGAGATCCGAATGGTAAGATCACAGCGGGAGAGCACGTTGGTAGCAGAGGGAGCGGCAGCTACAAAGGCCCCAGGTGGAAGTCAGGCATCACATTTGAGTAGATCAGTGTGGCTACAACATAGCAAAGGGGATGTGGCCAAAGTATGCAGGGACCAGATGAGGAAGAAATTTCAGCAAAATCAAGGAGTTTGGATTTTATTCTAGGATAATGGGAAGCCGTTAGAGGATTTTCAGCTAGGGAAAGACTAGATCTGGATTATGAATTTTTAAAAGCTCACTTGGCTGCTGTGTGTAGTCGATTAAAATTAGAAACCAGCCAGGAAGCGATTTTAGAAATTCAGGAGAGAGCTGTTGGGAGTATGCACTGAAGGGGTGACGGGGTAGGAGAAGGAGCACCCCAGGGACAGCTGGGGATGGTCTGTAGGATGTGTTCTGGTGGGAGTGTGTGGGGCTGCGCCCAGGGCTGCGTGTGGGGTTGGGGGAGCGGCATCAAGAAGTGCACTTAGGGTTCCACTGGGAGCAGCTCGGGGATGGTGGTACCATGGCTGACTGAGGTGGAGAAGGAAATCCGGAGCTCTCTTGATACATGTTAAGATAGAAATTTCTGTTGGATGTTATGTGGGGATGTAGGATTTAGGTGAGGCAGAGGTCAGGCAGTAGGTCCAGGATTCGGGCCTGGGAGTCATGGTATATGGTCAGTATTTAAAACTGGCGTCGGGGAGAAGTAGGTCAGAGGGTATGAAGTGGTAGTTGTAGTTACGTGGGGTGGATACGTCTAGAGATGGGATGGACAGCATGAGGACTGTAGTTAGTAATATCGTACTATATACTAAAAATTTGCCGAGAGTAGATTTGAGGTATTCTTATTTTTAAAAAAAAGTAATTCTGGAAGGTGATGTGTGTGTTTGCTTGACTATGGAAATCATTTCATGGTGTATATGTATATCAAAGCATTATATTTTAGACCTTAAATATGTACAATTTTTTAAACCCCCAAAATCTGTGGAGTTGTGGATACCACTTAACTGGAGTGTGGAGGTGGATGCAGGGGTGCCTGGGACGGCGCCCTGGGGTCCCTGGTGTTGGGGCTCTGTGGTGCCACAGAATCAAGGAAGGTGTTTCAGGCAGGAACTGGGAGCCACAGTGGGGTCTTGGAGCTCTAGAGCATCCTGTGCCTGGACACCAGGCCCTTCTGAAGCCTGCTTTCTGTCCCCTGCCCTGTCTTCATCAGATGAGCTCCTTCAGGAGCAGCGTGCAGATATGGACCAGTTCACTGCCTCAATCTCAGAGACCCCTGTGGACGTCCGGGTGAGCTCTGAGGAGAGTGAGGAGATCCCACCGTTCCACCCCTTCCACCCCTTCCCAGCCCTACCTGAGAACGAAGGTGTGTATGGGCGACGGTGCCACTTCTGGGCAGCAGGGGGAGGACAAAATGAGAGAATTGAAGTCAGTTTTTCGAAAACCAAATTGAGTTGGGAGATGGTGTTCCTGCGAGAGTCAGGGGAAGGGAGACTGGATTCATTGAGCGCCTACTGTGTGCAAGGACCCTGCTAGATGCTTTCAAATCATTGGTGTCAATGTCACCATGAAGTTAAGACTAATTCTCCCATTTCAAGATGGGTGGCTTCAAACCCCCACTTCTTCCAACTTGTGCACTTCCTTACATGGGGGAGGCACTTGGCAGTTGAAACAGCGCCTTCCTGTTATGGTGTTACCTTTGCCCAGCCGTCTTGGGAGGTAGGTGCTGGAGAGGCTGAGGAGGTGACAGGGCTGGCGTGGGTCATATCTCTGACATGAGGTGGGGATAAGAAGCTGTTCCTCTGGGTCCTAGGCAGACGTTCTTTCCTCTATTCCCCTGCTGGTTCTCAGTGTCTAAGAGGATCTCTAAAAGCTGTGAGTCTGCTCCAGAAATAAACAAGTTGCTGAGACCAGTGCCCTGAGAGCCGTCCCCCTCATCAGTTCTGTTTGTTGCTGTTGCTGCTGACAGGGTAATGATAAGAATGGCCCACAGCTATGCCGTAGTCCTTGTTATATGCCAGCTTTAGCTAAGCATCTCAGCGGATGCTCTCCATCCTCACAGTAACCCTCGCAGGTGGGTAGTCGAGTGTCCCCATGTGGGGATTCTGAGGTATAAAGAGATTAAGTAACTTGCCCGAGGTCATGTAGCTTATAAGTGGAGAGTCAGGGGTCGAATCCAAGCTGATCTGGTCCTGCAGTCACAGACCTGACTGGATATAGCACTGGAACAGAGGCCTCAGGAAGGCATCAAATTAGGGGTGGGGGGATGGAGGTACATCCAGCTTAGCCTTCAGACCTTAATGGAAATGCTTTCTAAACTAGCGATCCCAGAGCAGTTGACTCTCCAGAAATAAAACAGGATCTGAGGAAGTGGCAGATAGATGAAAAGGCGCCATGCCACCCGCAAATCTCCGTGGGTTTTTGGGGTGGTAGATGAAGAGGCACCATGCTATCCCCAAATCTCTGTGGGTTTGTCGGGTGGCCATGCTTGGACAACTTCTTATGTGCTTGTTGGGGGTCGGGGCAGCTTGGATATACCTGAACTAGGACCTTATCTCCCTGTCAGCAAACCACAACCAACACTTAACTTCAATTTTCACTTTTTTCTAAGAAAAATAATTATGTGGGCTAAGCTAAATAGTGCAGGCATCTCCCAGTTTCCCTAAAAAGGCACAAGACAGACCTACTTTTTTCTCTCTTATCAAGGATACCCTCCAGTGATTTGCTGTGGCTCATACTGCTGGTTTGTTTATGGGATATTTCAGGCAGGGTGTTTTTAAGGAGGAATACTTTTTGTTCACATTATAGAGAAATTCTAAGATAGAAATTTTAAAAGAAGCCATTTTCTTTTTTAATCTCCTTTTGTGCTATTTTATTTTGTTTTTTATTGTTTTCCTTTCTGCTAGACACTCAGCCGGAGTTGTACCACCCAATGAAAAAAGGTTGGTTTGTCCAAGATGTTCCCTTTAAGACCTTCATTCCTCTCCACTCCCTAGTGTGTCCGAAGCTTCATGTTCTGTTTCATGCCATCACCTGGCTTTCCCCACCTCATTCCTTCTGACACGGCTGTGAGTGGGGTCAGAGCAGCCCCACCTCCATGTTGCTGACAAGCTGACCTGACTCCAGCACTCTGAGGCCAGTTTCCATGGTGTTGGTTACCTCGTGGTCATGCTAAGCTTTCCCTCTGGGATGTCAGAGAATGCACAGCAACCAAAATAGATTTCATGACCCTTTTAATCTGGGTAGATTTTTAGAAGTATATCCAACTTAGGTTGGTTGTGAACTGCTGTCTCCGTATAAATATGCCTTATTTACAGTCAGGTGGAGAGTCGTTCTCTTTTCCCTCTTTTTCTCTGCAATTCCCATTTACATCTTTTCTTTTTGGCTCTCCTCGCCCTTTGTCTGTGCCAGTTGTCTCATGTCCCCTGAGTTGTATATTCCTCAGAACATCGGAAGCCAATGGATCAAACAGCTGGAGACAACCCAGCTCACTGTACTGAGTCTCCAGTTTTCAAAAAGAGTTAACGTTCCGTAAAGCACTATGTGGAATGCTTTGCATTCTTGTCCCCATCTTAGTCCACTGAACGTCCCTGTAGGATGAGTAGTGTTTTTAGCTCTATTTTCTAGATTAGACAATTGAAGAAGTTTCTGAGATGACGTGACTTGCTCTAAGAAGTGGAGGAACCAGGATTTGAACCCAGTTCTCTGTTCCCCAAGCCCATGTGATTTCATTACCTGAGTTGTCGGTGTCACGGGATCCCCCAGGTGGGTGGGTGGCCCAGTCATTGTGAATCATTTCAACATTTCTTGTTCATAATGTGTTGTATGAGCCCACCCTTGGCTTTGGCAGACTTCCTGTTGATGGGCCAAACGGTGTTGCCCGGCTAAGAAGGTGGTGTTCTGGTTTACGCCACAGGTTATTCTCAGAACACAAAAGTGTGATTTCAATCTTCTGAAAATGACTTCGTGTAGATGCTTTATTTTATTCTACTTGGATATGCCTGTTCGTGGGGATGACTGTGCCGACATTCCTTTCAACAGCACAACTGAGATGTTTATAGAGAAAGATGAGTTTTCTAGAAGTTTAACTGGCTTTTGCTTTTGTACTGAACTGTTATGAGTTGGGACAATTTAAACATTAACTTTGGTGTCTTGAAGTCACTTGTTTATGTTAAGAAACGTGGGGGCTATACCACCAAAAATCTATTATAACAGTCTGGACTGGTGGTAGGTTTTTTTTTTTTTTTTTTTTTTTTGAGATGGGGTCTTGCTGTTGCCCAGGCTGGAGTGCAGTGGTGCGGTCTTGGCTCACTGCAGCCTCCTCCTCTGGGGCTCAAGCAGTCCTCCTACCTCAGCCTCCCAAGTAGGTGGGACCACAGGTGCATGCCACCACCCTCGGCTAAATTTTTTTTTTTTTTTTTTTTTTTAACGTAGAGACAGGGTTTTGCCATGTTGCCCAGGCTGGTCTCGAACTCCTGGACTCAAGTGATCCTCCCACCTTGGCCTCCCAAAATGCTGGGATTATAGGCATGAGCCACTGTATCCAGTGACAGTAGACCTTTAGTTTGCTCAGTGCCACATTGCTTTTTGAATAATTCCTGCCTGTGTGACCTTTAAAATTCTGGGAGAGAGAAACATATATATGGAAGGAGCTCAGAATTACAGTTGATTGGGCTTGGTCATAAGCATCCTTGCTGAGGCAATACCCTTCCAGATCCCTCTTTCTCAAATAGTTGGAGTGCAGTATTGCTATTTCATGGGCACTTTGAGACAAAAGCTAGCTCTGATTTAACTAGAATCTAGTCGTGCAAGTCTTTAAAGTTGAAGCTTTAGAAAAATTGCATCATTTTTGGCTGCATTGCATGAGCTAGCCTGCATGTTCAGCAGCTGTGGAAGCTGTTACAAGTTGCTATGTGTTAAGAACAAGTCTAGTTGTGAGGCAGAAGCTCTGCTGTGGTTGTGCCTTGTGCCATTACCTGCCTTTGACAAGCCCAGGGACAGCAGTGCTTTGCATGTCCTCATGTTGAAGTCTCACTTGCAGGTAGTTACCTTAGAATGCCAGATACGCTGTCGGGTTGATCCAGTTATAAAAGGCTCATATCACAGACGTTTATATTGAACTGTATGTTATTATGA
Source organism: Homo sapiens (assembly GCF_000001405.40). Classification (NCBI taxonomy): domain Eukaryota; kingdom Metazoa; phylum Chordata; class Mammalia; order Primates; family Hominidae; genus Homo; species Homo sapiens. The sequence goes on from NC_000011.10 coordinate 130,139,486, forward strand.
ATAAGGAATTCTTATGATAGCTAGAAATCACATGCTTTGGAACTAAAAATAGAGGACTTCCTCTCACGTTCCCTCCCTGGGCCTGTGCTGCGTCGTCGTGCTGCGTATTTGGATACTATCCTTCGGAGCGCCACACTCGAGTGATGTTGCTCAGGCAGTGTCTGACCTTGGTGAGAGGAGAGTTGCTGTTCTTGCTGCTCTGTTTAGAGAAAGGTGCCTTCCATGCTGATATTAGAATGCTTCCTATAGGTGGAATGCACGCTTCCTGTTTATCTTCTAATAGCCACTTAGGATATGAGCATCTAGGATCTCGGCACAGAGGGATTCAGCGTGGTGGGAGATGCGGGAAGAAATCCGTAATGACAGACTGTTGTCATTACTGTTGGAACCTCCCCAGGACCAACTGAAACTTGAAGGGAAAATAAGAGTTTAGGTTGGGGAGGGTATTTGAGGCAGAATGAATTCCCTGTGGGCTAACCTACTATGTCCAAGGCAAACGTGCAGGTTATTGTGAGGATGGGTGCTGTGGCAGCCGGGTGTGGGTAGTAGGTGCTCAGTAATTTCTCCTACGATGGTGTGTATTTCCCATGCTAGGATGCCCCTCGGCTCCGCTTCTATGTGTCTTACAATAAACATTTTCTCTGAAGGCTTGCATTTCATTTTCCCAAGTTGGAGACAAGTAAGCACTCCCTCCTCCTCCATTATACCCATTGGTCTCTGCAAATGCCTGTCTCATTCATCTTTAGAGAGCACAGGGCACCCTCAGACTTGTGAACATGGTGGCAGATGAGTCGCGTGGGGAGGTGCGTGTTGAGGGGCTCACTGGCCCTCAGGAGGGAGTTTGCTGCTTCTGTGCAATGGGTGTGAGATGGGCCATCCTTGGGAACTCAGCCATGATCTCTCTCCACACAGGATCTGGAGTGGGAGAGCAGGATGGGGGACTGATCGGTGCCGAAGAGAAAGTGATTAACAGTAAGAATAAAGTGGATGAAAACATGGTGAGCCTGTTCTTTCTTCTGCCCAACACGCTTTACTTTTGAGACTCATTAGAGCGAGTGACCTGATGTCAGATGCTTCCAGGTGCACGTCTCTGTGTTCGTTTTCCGCACAGTAGAAGGTTGGAGGGCTCCAACGGCTCCCACAGACTGGCTGTGGTGTTTAGCATCTGGGTATGAAAAGGATTAAAAAGCCCTTTTCAGCAGTAGCTCATCTCTTGCTATAGAGTAGGAAAATATATTTACAACTAAAGATATGAATAACCTGTTAGAGGCCATTTTCAAGTGAGTAGAGAGTTAATAACTTGGATTAGAGTTGGGTTTTGTTCTTATACTGCCTTAGGTTTATACCCCCTTTTATTCACCTAGTATTTTCTGTCATTTATAGTTCTGGATTATCTTCAACTGAGTTTGATATTTCAATGTGGCTTTTTTTTTTTTTTTGAAATGGAGTCTTGCTTTGTCACCGAGGCTGGAGTGCAGTGGCATGATCTCTGCTCACTGCAAGCTCCACCTCCCGGGTTCACGCCATTCTCCTGCCTCAGCCTCCCAAGTAGCTGGGACTACAGGCGTCCGCCACCACGCCTGGCTAATTTTTTGTATTTTTAGTAGAGACGAGGTTTCACTGTGTTAGCCAGGATGGTCTCGATCTCCTGACCTTGTGATCCACCTGCCTCGGCCTCCCAAAGTGCTGGGATTACAGGCGTGAGCCACCGCGCCTGGTGTAAACGGGGCTTTTTGGCAGTCTGTTCTGAGATACGTCTCCACAACGGTTACTTGAAGGAAAATGCATACGGGACCAGCTGCCATAATATAGTCTTCCCTCCATACCTGCCCCTTCATTAGGGGTTTGGGGAGTGGATTTGGAAGGCTGTGACAGAACTGGTTGGTTAATGGGGGTCCCACAGGTACCTGCTTCCTTCCATCAAGCAGCAGGTAGCAGAGGAAGGAGGCAGTAAATACCAAACTCCCCGTTCACCCAGTTGCTTGCTGCCGACATTCTCATGACTGTTTCAGGTCATTGACGAGACTCTGGATGTTAAGGAAATGATTTTCAATGCCGAGAGAGTTGGAGGCCTCGAGGAAGAGCGGGTACGTGTTTAGCTCCAGAACCTAAGGTTTCCTGCCAATCTTAGGTATTTCTCCTCTGGACCTTCTCAGTTCAAGTAGAAAACGGGAGAGATGCCTGAGCTAATAAGGGTCCCTCATCCCCAGCTTTCCGTACTTTTGGATAAGAAAGCTAAAATTAAAATCTCCATGGAGATTGGGAAGAGTGGGCGTTCTCCACCTGTGGGTGGTTCCCTGCAAAGCAGGATCTTGGTGCTACTTTGGGTTTTAGGGGCTCGACCTTCCAGGAGCGTGGCCCTCAGTGAGTTACTTGCCTCACGGCTGCCAGATGGTCACTGGGACTTTTTTCCACGTCTGCTTTATTACGTAGGAATCCGTGGGCCCACTGCGGGAGGACTTCAGTCTGAGTAGCAGTGCTCTCATTGGCCTGCTGGTCATCGCAGTGGCCATTGCCACGGTCATCGTCATCAGCCTGGTGATGCTGAGGAAGAGGCAGTATGGCACCATCAGCCACGGGATCGTGGAGGTGAGGAGCTGGGCTGCTGAGGGCCTGCTCTGCACTGTGGGCTGGGTTGGGGGTGGGAACCTGTGGAATTAATAGGCATCTTCACTCCTCGAGTACTGGACATGCTGCTGTTATCAGTTCAGTTACTCACTGGATTCCTAGGTCGTGTTTTTGGAAATCAGCCCCTGCCACAAGGGGCTGTTGCCAACTTTCAACATTAGTTTGGGCCTTGGCTATGAATGTCAGAAAGTCATGTGAACATTTTATGCTACAGAGGGTGAAAACTCTTTTCTCAGATTATTTCCTTAGTGTTCCTTTTTCCAGGTATTTTTTTTTTTAATGGGGGAAAGGAGCAACAGGAAATTTAGAAAGTGCTGAAGCAGACTGTTTCTGTTCTGTCTTCTGCTGGTTACTGAACTTGTCTTGCCACTCACTCCTTAGTGAACAGTGGGAATGTCCAGAGTCCCTTGATCCCCAAATATAAATACAGTAAGGACCTTAATGAGCCCTGGGAAATTAGTGCAGATGCTGGTCTTAGTTATTTGTGTTTTTTTGTTTGTTTTGGTTTTTTGGTTTTTTGGAGACAGTCTCGCTGTGTCGCCCAGGCTGGAGTGCAGTGGCGCGATCTCAGCGCACTGCAACCTCTGTCTCCCGGGTTCAGGTGATTCTTGTGCCTCAGCCTCCCACCTAGCTGAGACTACAGGTGTGTGCCACCACGCCCAGCTAGTCTTTGTATTTTTATTAGAGATAGGATTTCCCCATATTGACCAGGGTGATCTCAAATCCTGACCTCAAGTGATCCACCCGCCTCAGCCTCCCAAAGTGCTGGGATTACAAGCATGAGCTACTGCACCTGGCCAGTTACTTGGTTTTATCTCCTGCTGGAGACTGGCCTAGCTGTAGAATTTCAGAACTGAAAAAGACCAGAGATCCCCTGGTCCCACCGTCTGCTTGCTAGCCTACTGCTGACTGGCTTGCCTTGGCTGGCCCAGGTAGTAAGCAGTGGCGCCGAGCCTTGCTTGTCACCACGGTGCTAGGAAATCCAGTTGACTGTCATCTTCCGTGAGGGCTAAGCTTTCAGGGCTCTCGTTTCGAAAGCATTGCCTCTTTGATCCCCTTATTTTCTTTCTCCTGTGTTTCACCACCGGTTCTCATTTGGCCTGTCCGGTGGGAACGGGCTGCTGGCTGCATTTGGTCCTCAGGGGATTGTGCAGCAAATGGCTCAGGTCTCCCAGCACCCTGTGCAGGTCTCTTCCCAGACACCACAATGACCCTCAGGTTTTGTTCTTCCAGGTTGATCCAATGCTCACCCCAGAAGAGCGTCACCTGAACAAGATGCAGAACCATGGCTATGAGAACCCCACCTACAAATACCTGGAGCAGATGCAGATTTAGGTGGCAGGGAGCGCGGCAGCCCTGGCGGAGGGATGCAGGTGGGCCGGAAGATCCCACGATTCCGATCGACTGCCAAGCAGCAGCCGCTGCCAGGGGCTGCGTCTGACATCCTGACCTCCTGGACTGTAGGACTATATAAAGTACTACTGTAGAACTGCAATTTCCATTCTTTTAAATGGGTGAAAAATGGTAATATAACAATATATGATATATAAACCTTAAATGAAAAAAATGATCTATTGCAGATATTTGATGTAGTTTTCTTTTTTAAATTAATCAGAAACCCCACTTCCATTGTATTGTCTGACACATGCTCTCAATATATAATAAATGGGAAATGTCGATTTTCAATAATAGACTTATATGCAGGCTGTCGTTCCGGTTATGTTGTGTAAGTCAACTCTTCAGCCTCATTCACTGTCCTGGCTTTTATTTAAAGAAAAAAAAGGCAGTATTCCCTTTTTAAATGAGCTTTCAGGAAGTTGCTGAGAAATGGGGTGGAATAGGGAACTGTAATGGCCACTGAAGCACGTGAGAGACCCTCGCAAAATGATGTGAAAGGACCAGTTTCTTGAAGTCCAGTGTTTCCACGGCTGGATACCTGTGTGTCTCCATAAAAGTCCTGTCACCAAGGACGTTAAAGGCATTTTATTCCAGCGTCTTCTAGAGAGCTTAGTGTATACAGATGAGGGTGTCCGCTGCTGCTTTCCTTCGGAATCCAGTGCTTCCACAGAGATTAGCCTGTAGCTTATATTTGACATTCTTCACTGTCTGTTGTTTACCTACCGTAGCTTTTTACCGTTCACTTCCCCTTCCAACTATGTCCAGATGTGCAGGCTCCTCCTCTCTGGACTTTCTCCAAAGGCACTGACCCTCGGCCTCTACTTTGTCCCCTCACCTCCACCCCCTCCTGTCACCGGCCTTGTGACATTCACTCAGAGAAGACCACACCAAGGAGGCGGCCGCTGGCCCAGGAGAGAACACGGGGAGGTTTGTTTGTGTGAAAGGAAAGTAGTCCAGGCTGTCCCTGAAACTGAGTCTGTGGACACTGTGGAAAGCTTTGAACAATTGTGTTTTCGTCACAGGAGTCTTTGTAATGCTTGTACAGTTGATGTCGATGCTCACTGCTTCTGCTTTTTCTTTCTTTTTATTTTAAATCTGAAGGTTCTGGTAACCTGTGGTGTATTTTTATTTTCCTGTGACTGTTTTTGTTTTGTTTTTTTCCTTTTTCCTCCCCTTTGACCCTATTCATGTCTCTACCCACTATGCACAGATTAAACTTCACCTACAAACTCCTTAATATGATCTGTGGAGAATGTACACAGTTTAAACACATCAATAAATACTTTAACTTCCACCGAGACTGCTCGTTTCACTGACTGCGGCATTGATCTGCGTGATGGTCCTACCCCCTTCCTCCAGGAGGGTGATAACTTCGTTCCACGAAGGACCCCAGCTGCACCTCACAGGCGGAAATACGTCTGCTCAAGCTGTGACTCAAGGCTTCCAGCGCCGTTTCGCATTTAGAAAGCAAAGTAAGAGGGAACATCTGCACAGAGCATTTGTCTGGCAAAATTTAGGCTACTGATATTTATTAATATGAGACTTCTTAATGCTACTGGGAACAATGAGTAGGGCTTGTGGCTGAATTTTCAGAGGAATGCTTGCAGCTTCCATTTGCTTAAATAACCTGACACTGGGAGGCCCTGTCACCTCACTGATGGGGGTGTTTGGTTTGTTGCCTTGGCAACTGCTTAGAGGGCTTTCTGCCTGGGCCCAGTTTTATCTACTGAGCTAAGATCTTTTTAATGCCCAGCTACAGGGAAGAGGGTCAATTCAGGGGTAAATCTCAGTCCCTACCCTAGTTTAATGCCAGTTTAAATATACAGAGTAGTTATCAAGGTAATGTCATATATAGCTGTGTGTAGATGTACATGTGTGTACATACGTGACGAATCTTCCCTAGGATACTGGACTAGGGAGTGTTTTATGAGCCAGGAAAGCATTTTGTGAGCCAGGTGAACAGGTTGGTTCTTTATAATGATTACCACTTCCCCATCAGCCTCTCCCTTCTGCCTGCATTGGTCACTGAAGTTGCTGCCAGGAAAGCCCTGAAGAAGAGGGAACTTTTTTGTTTTTTGAAACCAGTTTCTGCTGGAGTGCTCTGAAGAGTGTTATCACCTGACCCTCTGTAGTATCAGCTGGAAACTGATCTCAGGGTCATTCTGATTTCAAAGCTAACAGACCAGCTTCATTGATTTTAGTGCCTGCCATGTACTAGCTGCCTCCAAGTCAGAGGCGCATTTTTGTCTTTTTTTCTTTTTTTTTGAGACAGAGTCTGTTGCCCAGGCTGGAGTGCAGGGGCGCGATCTCAGCTCACTGCAACCTCTGCCTCATAGGTTCAAGCAATTCTGTCTCAGCCTCCCGAGTAGCTGGGACTACAGGCGTGCACCACCATGCCTGGCTAATTTTTTTTTGTATTTTTGGTAGAGACAGGGTTTCACCACGTTGGCCAGGCTGGTCTCGAACTCCTGACCTCATGATCCACTCGCCTCGGCCTCTCAATGTGCTGGGATTACAGGCGTGAGCCACCATGCCCAGCTCCATTTAGTCTTAACCTTTTGAGGCATTCCCCTCTTCCAGAAATGACGCTGAGGTCTTCCACGGAGCAGTAAGGGGTGGAGCAGAGATGCAAACCCAGCTCGGTGGGAGTTCTTCCTTTATTCAGTGTACTTCAGTCCTGGGGGAGGCAGGGGCGGGGGCATGGCAGCCAATACCCATCCAGCTGCTCAGCTCTCGAGTCTCTTACCTGTTACTCACATTCCTGTTGCTGATGGGTTAGAGAGGAGTTTGGGGCTGGTGAAAGTGCAGTGGTTTCTATTTACACGTTCATTACCCAAATGGGGTCATTGCAGAGACAGTCGGGGTTAGCTGAGAACTGGGGAGGCCTGAGAGATGACGTGGAAATGAATGAGAGGCAGGGCTGCCAGGCGGCCTCACCCTAGGCAGGCTCCACTCTGCTCCCTGGTGGCTCACCCACCTCCCGGGAACTGAGAGAAGCTCCTGGTTTCTGCCTTGGTGACTCAGCCTTGACCTCTGGGGAATGTGGCCCTGCCCACCTTGCGGCCAGCCTCAGGTGCTGGTGCTGACAGGTGCGAAGGTCCTCCTACCTGCCTGTCTGCTTTCAGTTGCAAATCAGAGCTCAGCAGCTGAGGTTTGAGCCAGGACATCAGATGCCCTGATCTCTGGTTTCTGTTGCTGTGACAACTGACAAAGCTCTTTAGGAGGTACAGATGAGGATGTAATGAGTCCCTAAGTTTTGGAGAGGCCCAAGGGTCCACTATCATAGGAGCAGGTGAAAAAGTATTTAAAAAAGGAACATGCTGTCTTGCGGTACTTTGAAGTCATGGACATAGACAGAATGGATACAGGGAACTGGAAGGGACCTTATGACTCCTGATTATTTCACAGCTGAAACATGGCCACAGGGTCACACGCTGTTAGGGGCAGAGCCAAATGCTGTGGTTATGTACAATGGACTCTTTTCTGGGGCAAAGGGTAAAGCGGTCCTTATAAGACAAGGAAATGGGTGTCAGCTGGTATCTTTCCTGTTACCGCCTATGAAATAAGGGGAAGTCGTGTCTGTTCTGCCCTCTGTGGTTGCATACTTTTGACAGGCAGTAGCAACCATGGACTTGGTTAGTGCATTTCCACTGTGGAGCAGCCCAGATACCCAGAGAATGTGACAGGAGACATGAGTTCCCCCGCCCCCGGCCCCCAGAATCCTTGAAATGGATGGGACATGACTTTTTTTTTTTTTTTTTTGAGACAGAGTCTCACTCTGTCGCCCAGGCTGGAGTGCAGTGGCGCAATCTTGGCTCACTGCAACCTCCACCTCCCGGGTTCAAGCAATTTCTCCTGCTTCAGCCTCCTGAGTAGCTGGGACTACAAGCGCGTGCCACGACACCTGACTAATTTTTTGTATTTTTAGTAGAGATGGAGTTTCACCGTATTAGCCAGGATGGTCTCAATCTCCTGACTTTGTGATCTGCCCGCCTCGGCATCCCAAAGTGCTGGGATTACAGGTGTGAGCCACCGCGCCTGGCTGGGGGCATGACATTCTTGAGGAATCTGTCAGAGATCTGTGGCCAAGATACAAGATAACCCAGATCTGATTGATTTTTTTTTTTTTTTTTTGAGACGGAACCTTGCTCTGTTGCCCAGGCTGGAGTACAGTGACGGCTCACTGCAACCTCAGCCTCCCGGGTTCAAGTGATTCTCGTGCCTCAGCCTCCAGAGTAGCTGGGATTACAGGCGTGCACCACCACACCTGGCTAATTTTTGTGTTTTTTAGTAGAGACAAGGTTTCACCATGTTGGCCAGGCTGGTCTGGAACTGCTGACCTCAAGTGATCCACCCACCTCAGCTTTGCAAGTGCTGGGATTAAGGCATAAACCACTGTGCCCAGCTTGGTTGAACTTAAAATTTTGAAGTCCCTGCCTCTTTCCGATTAGAGCAGTGCCCTCCATCAATAAAACATTTATAGTGTGTACTATATATACAGTTATTTTAAACTATGTATAGTTATTTTAAAATTATCTGCATGTATTATAAATAGAAACTTGGAAGGCATAAAAAAGATGAAATACTTTTTCCAAATTTTATTTAATAACAGTACAAAGCCTTTTGGGTCCAGTCAAATATTGCTAGTTTTAGTGCAGGCAAAGTGATTGCTTTCATTCTCTCCTTCCTCTCTCCTAATGGAAGTCCATATCGTTGATTCAGATTTTCTTAGTGTTTACCTACTGTCTTCTATTTTTTTTTTCTTTTTTTTCTGAGACGGAGTTTAGCTCTTGTTGCCGAGGCTGGAGTGCAATGGTGCAATCTCGGCTCACCACAACCTCCGCCTCCCGGGTTCAAACGATTCTCCTGCTTCAGCCTCCCGAGTAGCTGGGATTACAGACATGCGCCACCAGGCCTGGCTAATTTTGTATTTTTAGTAGAGACGGGGTTTCTCCATGTTGGTCAGGCTGGTCTACAAAGTCCTGACCTCAGGTGATCCACCTGCCTCAGCCTCCCAAAGTGCTGGGATTACAGGTGTGAGCCACTGCGCCCAGCCCTGTCTTCTGTCTTCTCCCAATAAATGACATTGTATTTAGGCTTCTCTGGACAGTGAAGCTTTCTCAGACTTTCCTTGTTTTGATGATCTTGACAGTTTTGAGGAGTTATTGGTCAGGCATTTCGTAGGATGTCCCACTATGGGGTTTTGTCTGATGTTTTTCTCATGGTAATGCATGGGTTATGTGTTATTAGGAGGAAGACCACAGAGGTAAGGTGTCCTCCTATTCCATCAAGGGTACACACTGTCAACATGACTTACTGCTGTCGATGTTGACCTTGACCCCTGGCTGAGGTGGTGCTTGTCAGGTTGTCTAAAGTTAATCTTCCCCTCCTCGCACTGTCACACTGCACCACGTGCAGCCCGAACTTAAGGGATGGGAGTTACGCTCTCCTGTATCTTATTTTTGTAATCGTGTTTTAGTACTTTGAAATAAAGCAATTAGAAAATCTGGTTCGAAGGTCAGTTTGTTGCAATACTATATTTAATGGCTATCAAAACTGAAAGAGTTCTTGATTGTGGTGATAATTTCACAGGTGTAGATATGTGTCAAAACTTACCAGATTGGACACTTTCAATATGTGCAGTCAATTATACCTCAATCAAGCTGCTTTTAGTTTAGTTTTGTTTTCTGCTGTGTGTGTGTGTGTGTGTGTGACGGAGTCTCGCTCTGTCGCCCAGGCTGGCTCACTGCAGCCTCCGCCTCCTGGGTTCAAGAGATTCTCCTGCCTCAGCCTCCCTCGTGGCTGAGACTACAGGTGCCCACCACCACACCTGGCTAATTTTTGTACTTTTGGTAGAGATGGGGTTTCCGCATGTTGGCCAGGCTGGTCTCAAACTTCTGATCTCAAGTGATCCACTTGCCTCAACCTCCCAAAGTGCTGGGACTACAGGCGTGAGCCATTGCTCCTGGCAAGAAAAAAAAATATTTGTATTTCGTGAGCAGAAAAATCTACGTATATTACACTATGAGTGGAGCTACATTAGAAACATCTGTGCTTTCATCCAAACCTCCCATACTCTAAAGGTGGTTTTTTACTTGTTTCTTCAAATCTGTGTATCTTCTAACAGTATTTACTGACAGAAGAATGGACTATAGTGTTGCCATATCCTTTTCTGTGGTTTTTGTTTGTTTGTTTTGAGACGGAGTCTCACTCTGTCGCCCAGGCTGGAGTGCAGTAGCGCGATCTCGGCTCACCGCAACCTCTGCCTCCCAGGTTCAAGCAATTCTTCTGCCTCAGCCTCCCGAGTAGCTGGGACAACAGGCACCCACCATCACGCCTAGCTAATTTTTATATTTTTAGTGGAGACGGGGGTTTCACCATATTGGCCAGGCTGGTCTCAAACTCCTGACCTCGTGATCTGTCTGCCTCGGCCTCCCAAAGTGCTGGGATTACAGGCGTGAGCCACTGTGCCCAGCCTTCTGTGTATTATTTCAGCCACTTTTCCTGTGGCAAGAAAAAGTGATTCCACCATGGTTTATGGCTTTTTGCTTTTAGCATTTAATGAAGAAATCTCAAGCTGTGCATTTATCATTTCTTAATGAAACTTTGTAAATTACTAAATCGAGTATTGCATGACTTTAAGCACTGAAGAGATTGTAGTGGCTTGTCTTCATGTACTGGGCATTTAAAGTTTAAGTCTCATTAATCACATTGGCCTCATAATATTAGTTAATACCTCAAGACCCAACATACATTTACAGTGAAGAATATCACTATTAATAGTAAATGTAAATCCATGGTCTTAATAATTGAAACTGTTTGGGGAATGACTTCTTAGATGGTAAATGTTTTCAGCTGATGACTGAGCTCAGAATGTAAACAAGGGAATCAGCGGACTTTGATTTTAATGAAACCTGTGTATACCCCACGCGACACCCTGGGCCAGGGAGCAGGCTGGGCCAGAACTACACATATTAGATGGAAGGAGGGATGAACTTGGATGTGCTGATGATGTGGACAGGGCAGAGGAAGTCAGAGAAACACAGAGCATCAAACAAGTGGCCCACAGTGAAATGCATTTCCAGAACACACTCCCAGACTCGACTCACATTTCCGTGCATCTGCATTTACCCAGTTTAGGGACACTCCAGTGTCTCTTGAACAACCCTCTTAGATTTGGAGACTTTCCATCTTTTGAGTCCTGCCTACCTCAGGCAGAAACCAGAACTCTCCTTCTCAGCTCCCTTGTAGGTAGGGCACAGACATGTAACTTAGGATCTAATGAGATGCACTCACAAGAGACTTACTCAAGAGGCCACAAAGAAAGGACGCAGGCACTGCAGTGAGCCCACTTTCTGGTGGGATGCAGGTGGAAGCGTCCTGCTCCTGGGACGGCAGCGGCACTGGTGAGTGGGTCTGGGCTCAGGGGATGAGCTCTGATGGTATCAGCTTGGGCGGGAGCAGTGGGGCTGTCCCTGCAGCCTTGTGGTGTGTCTGGGGCCTTGTTTCTGGCTCTGTTTCCTCCTCTCTCAGCTCTCTGGCCCTCCTAGACATTCTGTGAACCGCCTAACAATTTTAAAATAATTTCCTTTTTTTCCCCTCAAATTAGCTATTCTATTGTTCGTGAGCTGCAAGTTGACAAAAATTCCACTAAGGGCCAACTCACTGAACTCTAATGGGAAAGTTGTACCTGTTGCCTTCATTTGATAAAGGAGACAGAGTTTTTTTTAAAAAAAGTGATGTGAGAACAAGAATTATCAGTGTGAAAAAGAAAATACAGATCTCAGCTCGAATAAGTCAGTACTCTGTGGTCCTAAATTAGAATTGGGAGAATCAATATGAACATGATGGGTGTTTTATCTCTTTCACAAAGTTCTGGCTTTGTCTACCAAAAGCCCCAGAAACAAAGACCAGCTAGAAATGAACATCCCCTTAGAGGATCACTTTTCACTAAAAGCTATTAGGTTGTCTTAAAGAAACAGCTGATTGCATGTGTGGGCAGGAAAAGTACAAGTTGAAACTGCAACATCATACCAGAAAATAAACAAAAAATCAAAGATGACAAGAATTGGGTCAAAAGGACTCAGAGCTGACTTAAAGAAGGTCCCAATGGCCAAAGAGGGTACACTTTGAACATCAGTAAGAATAAAAACAGCAATGAACCCAGACATATCAAATATGTTTGATACCAAGAGTTCATAATAATACAAAAACAAGCAAAAAACAAGTGGTTTGTGAAAGCAGTTTGTGAAACCCCGTCTCCACTAAAAATACAAAAATTAGCCAGGCGTGATGGTGGGTGCCTGTTGTCCCAGCTACTCGGGAGGCTAAGGCAGGAGAATCCCTTAAACCCAGGAAGTGGAGGTTGCAGTGAGCAGAGTTAGTGCCATTGCACTCCAACCTGGGCGACAGAGCAAGACTCCATCTGAAAATGAATAAATAAACAAATACATAGAGACTCGGGCATTTATCCTTCCTTTCCTATACAAACCTTACCACTGGGTAACCAAATAGATGATGAGAAATTTCACTTTCTAGAAGTATTCCAGAAAGTAAATAAGCAAGGAATGAAACATTGAAATCTTGCCGTTACCATTTCCTCACAAATTTAGAATTCAAGCACAGAACTCACAATATGAAACAACCAGACACGTCACCTGTTGAAGAACACACCAGCCCCTGTGAAGTCATCTTCCCTCCCGAAAAAGCAAAGCTTTATCTGCTGGCGCCTCTGGATATGACAGTTTGCGGGGAATACAAAGGACAAGGAACCCATGAGATAGACTACACTATGAGAACACAATCAGCAAAATCCTGACTGCAGGAAAGTCTCCAGAACAAATGATCTGGTTTCTTCAGTAAATAAACTGTAAAGGATGGTGAAAAAGATGAAGTGGGAACCTAAAAATTAAAAGTGACCAGTTGGGCATGGTGGCTCATGCCTGTAATCCCAGCACTTTGGGAGGCTGAAGCGGGTGGATCACTTGAGGTCAGGAGTTCGAGACCAGCCTGGCCAACATAGTGAAACCCATCTCTACTAAAATACAAAAATTAGCCAGGTGTGGTGGCATGTGCCTGTAATACCAGCTACTCAGGAGGCTGAGGCAGGAGAATTGCTTGAACCCAGGGGGCAGAGGTTGCAGTGAGCTGAGATTGTGCCATTGCACTCCAGCTTGGGTGATAGAGCCAAACTCCATCTCAAAATAAAATAAATAAAATAAAATAAAATAAAATAAAATTTAAATTTAAATTGGCCAGTCACGGTGGCTCACACCTGTAATCCCAGCACTTTGGGAGGCTTAGGCGGGCGAATCACGAGGTCAGAAGTTCGAGACCAGCCTGGCCAGCATGGTGAAATCCCGTCTCTACTAAAAATACAAAAAATTAGCCAGGTATGGTGGCGGGCGCATGTAATCCCAGCTACTTGGGAGGCTGAGGCAGGATAATTGCTTGAACCCGGGAGGTGGAGGTTGCAGTGAGCTGAGGTTGTACCACTGCGCTCCAGCCTGGGTGACAGAGCGAAACTCCATCGCAAAAAAAAAAAAAAAAAAAATTAAAATTAAAATGACCTAAAAGACATTGAAAACAAAAAGCAGGCAGAAAGTAAACTATGGTGCAAAGAGAGTCAAGCCTGGATTGTAAAACCATATAAAGAAAAACAAGGAGATGGGCATGGTGGCTCACACCTATAATCCCAGCGCTTTGAGAGGCTGAGGCGAGAGGATTGCTTGAGCCCAGGAGTTCAAGACCAGCCTGGGCCACATGGCCAGACCCCTTACCACAGGGAGAAAAAAATCTTTCTATACAAGATGGCCAAAAAAAACCCCAAAAAGTTAGCTGGGCGTGGTGGCGCACACCTGTGGTCCCAGTAACTCTGGAGGCTGAGGTGGGAGCACTGCTTGAGCCTGAGAGGTCGAGGCTGCATTGAGCCCGTGACTGTGCCATTGCACTCCAGCCTGGGCAACAGAGAGAGACCATCTCAAAAAACAAACAAACAGCCGGGTGCGGTGGCTCATGCCTGTAATCCCACCCAGCACTTTGAGAGGCCGAGGTGGGCCGATCACGAGGTCAGGAGATCGAGACCATCCTGGCTAACACGGTGAAACCCCGTCTCTACTAAAAATACAAAAAATTAGCCATGCGTGGTGGCAGGTGCCTGTAGTCCCAGCTACTCAGGAGGCTGAGGCAGGAGAATGGTGTGAACCTGGGAGGCGGAGCTTGCAGTGAGCCGAGATCGCGCCACTGCACTCAAGCCTGGGTGACAGAGCAAGACTCTGTCTCAAAACAAACAAACAAACAAAGCAAAACAAAAAACCAAGAAAGTAACCACCATCCATGTCAGTAGAGTGGTCACTCTTACTGGGGAGAGGAGGGATTGTTTTGGGAATGGGCCCATGGAGGGCTTGGCATGAGGGTTGGCAAGGTTCTATCTCTTCTCACATCTGGTCTTCTGTTTTCTTTTCTTTTCTTTTTTTTTTTTGAGAAGGAGTCTCGCTCTGTCGCCCAGGCTGGACTGCAGTGGTGCGATCTCAGCTCACTGCAACCTCCGCCTCCTGGGTTCAAGCAATTATCTACCTCAGTCTCCCGAGTAGCTGGGATTACAGGCACTCGCCACCACACCCAGCTAATTTTTTGTGTTTTTAGTAGTTTTGGTGTGAGCCACTGCGCCCAGACTCACATCTGGTCTTCTATGGAGTTGCCTTATAATAATCCAGTAAGCTGTATATTTGTTTTATGCTGATTTCTATATTTCCACCACATTTAACAATAAAAAAATTTGTGACAACAGTCCCGGCACGGTGGCTTACGCCTGTAATCCCAGCACTTTGGGAGGCCGAGGTGGGTGGATCACCTGAGGTCAGGAGTTCGAGACCAGCCTGACCAACATGGAGAAACCCTGTCTCTACTAAAAACACAAAATTAGCCAGGCGTGGTGGCAGGCACCTATAATCCCAGCTGCTTGGGAAGCTGAGGCAGGAGAATCGCTTGAACCTGGGAGGCAGAAGTTGCAGTGAGCTGAGATTGCACCATTGCACTCCAGCTTGGGCAACAAGAGCGAAACTCCGTCTCAAAAAAAAAAAAATTGTGAAAACATTTACTTGCATTTTTCCTTATTCATGTGGTCTTTGAATAATTTAACAAAGACTGGTTGAGTGCATGCTGGGGATGCTAACAGACACTGGTCCATGCCTTCAGGAGTTTTGCGCCTGGAGAGGAAACCATTCTCTGTAACCACAAGGCCTAGAGTGGAGCAGAGAGGAAGGAGAGCTTGCAGGGCTGTGTGTAGCCCACAGGAGAGATGATGGTGGCGTGGAATAGGGACACAGCAGGAGGGAAAAGGAGAATTAGACAGGTTCCAAACATGTTTTAAAGGTAGAACCAACTGATTGGTGATTTGTTTGTGTGTTTGTTGTTTGTGGGTGGGTGGGATAAGGAAAGGAGAGGTCAGTGATGTCTTCTAGAACTGGTTGACTAAATGGATGAGGAAGCCCTTTGCTAAGATAGCTGGATCCAGAGTAGCATAAACAAATGGGTGTTTGTGGCACACAAACCCGCTCTGCTGCTGCAAAAGGAGGGGTCATCTTCTCCCCTATATTCCTAGAACATCATCTTTTGTTTAGAGATGGGGTCTCACTTATGTTGCCCAGGCTGGAATACAGTGGCTATTCACAGGTGTGATCACAGCTCACTGAGGCCTCGAACTCCAGGGCTCAGAGATCTTCCTGCCTCAGCCTCCCGAGCAGCTGGAACCACAGGTGCCTGCCACAGAGCCTGGCCTGCTAGAGCGTCGTCTTTCATCTCAGAGCTGAATGAGCATCTTGCCCACAGAAGTGCTCAGTGCTGGCATTTGAATGCTATCCATATGCAATGCATCAGCTGCAAATTCAGATGAAGAGGAAGCCACGCAGAGGCCAAGCCCTTCCCCCTAGGACCGCTGTGCCGCACCAGCTCATGGAAGTGCAGGAGCCAGGAGGAAGCGTAGCCATCAACTATCACATCAGACCCATTTGGTTTAATCCTCATGAAATTATGATATGCTGGCCGGGCGTGGTGGGTCATACCTGTAATCCCAGCACTTTGGGAGGCCAAGGCGGGTGGATCACCTGAGGTCAGGAGTTCAAGACCAGCCTGGCCAACATGGAGAAACCCCATCTCTACTAAAAATACAAAAATTATCTGGGAGTGGTGGCACGCACCTGTGATCCCAGCTACTTGGAAGGCTGAGGCAGGAGAATCACTTGAACCTGGGTGGAGGTTGCAGTGAGCCGAGATCCGAGATTGTGCCATTACACTCTAGCCTGGGTGACAAGAGCAAAACTCTGTCTCAAAAAAAAAAAAAAAAAGAAAGAAAAGAAAATAAAATAAAAAAAAGAAATTATGGTATGCTTTTGTTTCTAAACTCGGTGAAGAGACCCAGTAGCAGACAGCTTACTTGACGGACACTGATCAGCTCCACAGACTGTCCTCGCTCACTGTCTCCAAACAGCATTTTCAGTGCTCTTATGTGTATCAGGAAGATCAAAATACACTATACCATAAGTCCTAAGTGACGGAAGAGATTAGTTATTAAATTCTGGGGAAAGTTAATCATATTCACTTTGAAACTTTAGCTGAATTTGGATCTCACTAAGGGGAAGGGGCCAAGTCATCGGGGATGGGGTGGGAAGGACCGTGCAGGAAAAAGCAGCATTACCTCAAGGATACTAAACACCTGGCGTTTAGAAAGTGCATTTTCCCCATGAAGCATGTTTGACAGGGAAGCATGAGGGCTGTGCCAAGACAAAAGCAGAAGTGGTTCTAGGTGTCGAATTCATATAAACCTTGTTGTTTCAGAAGGTTTAGGTACATTTATGGATGCCAGCTCCATAACCGGTTCATTTGACTTTATTCTGTTCATTCTCAACCTCTACCACACCTCTTTGCTGTTTGCACTTTTCTTCTTTATTGAAGGAGCATGAGTCGCCTGCAGGCCTGGCACAAGCTGCTCTGGTCTCCCCGCCTTGGATGGTACCAGAGCACTGGCTGTTTCACACTTGGGCTGGGCCTACCTCACATGGCCCTACTGTCTCCCACATTGTCACCAGCTTCAGCCAGTGTCCTTTAGCCTGTGGGCAGGTCCACATTTGCACACCTTCTAAGTGGTCCCGGCCACAAGGACATAGGGGCTTGTTGGACATGCCCTTGAGGGGGTCCCAGGGACACAGATGTAACTTTCCCAGCAGGCAGTCCTGGAACCAGGAAGAGGATGGCTCCCTGGAGAGGAGCGATGACAGCTTTGCAGTGCTGGGGCCGGGGAAGGGCCAGTGAGGGGGTGGTGGAGAAGGCACAGTGGGTGGTGAAGGTTGGGTCATTTGGTCATGAGTCACTCTTTCTATAGCAGAGAAATGACACGGACCTCAAGCCAAAATCTGGGCTTGAGTTGGATTTGTTCCTTGTGAGTGTGAGAATCTGGTCCTGTTCTGGAGGCTGTCTGCTCTTGGGTTCCTTCACTTACCATTTAGGAACAAAAGCACTGACATTTCATAATTTTTTGAGGATTAAACCAAATGGGATTCATGGAATAACATATGGTTACACTGCCTCCTCCAACCCAGGAGTGCACATAGGGTGCATGCAGCAAGGTATCCCCATGCAGCCATCCTAGGGGAAGGGTCTTGTCCTGCATCGCTTTCTCTTCATCTGCACTAGCAGTCAATGCATTGCATTCATACGGCATCCAAATCACGCTGAGCGCCCAGCTCTACGAGATAAAAGATGAGGCCCTAGGAAGTGGGGAGACAACGTGAGTCACTGCGTTTGCAGCAGCACAGAAGGTCTGTGTGTCAGGAGTACCATCTCATTTACGTCACATTGAATTTGGCTTACTTTCCATCACTCACACTAGTTGAAGAATGCTGTGCCATTGGTAATCCAAAGGAAAATTTATTTTTATATATTTTCTTTTTCTTTTTTTTCTTTTCTTTTTTTTTTTTTTTTTTTGAGAGATGGAGTCTCGCTCCAGGCTGGAGTGTAGTGGCATGATCCCGGCTCACTGCAACCTCCACTTCCCAGGTTCAAGCAATTCTCCTGCCTCAGCTTCCCAAGTAGCTGGGACCACAGGCATGCACCACCATGTCCAGCTAATTTTTGTATTTTTAGTAGAGATGGTGTTTCACTATATGTTGGCTAGGCTGATTTCAAACTCCTGACCTCAGGTGATCCACCCACCTCAGCCTCCCAAAGTGCTGGAAGCCAACGTGCCAGCCTTTTAGAAATATTTTCTGTTTAGCTTTGGAATGCTTTATGTGATGGAAGGCAGCAGATTCATTCTTCTTTCAATTAAATTGACCCAATATATTGTGTTAGTCATTGTGCTAGGCTTTGAGGGTGCAAAGGCAGTTAAGACACAGACAGAAAATGCAACGAAATGGTGGTGAGCTCCATGAGAGAGGTACAAACAGAGCTAGTTCTGGTTGAGAGGGAAGGAAACTCCTGGGGAGGAGGTAGCATATCAGTCAGGAAGCGTGAGGTTTGCAGCAATAACAAACAACCCTCAGCTCTCGGTGGCTTAACATCCCAAAAGCTGACTGACTCCTCATTCATGCTACATATCCAGTGTGTGTCATTGTAGCCACTTAGGGTCACAGGTCACAGAGTTAAACCTCTCAGAAGAGAGCAGGGCATTGTGCAGTGCCTCCTTATGCTGCTATGTACAAGTGGTGTGTCCTCTCATTGGACATTTTCTTGGTTACCGCTAGCCATACTGCCATACCTAACTTCAGAGAAGAGAGAGTAACACCCTGGCCTGTGCCCAGAAGGCAGAGAGCTAAAAACATTCAATGAACAACACTAAAAAACCCCATCGGTGTCTTCGACCCAATATGCGGAAGGAGTATGAAGGAGAAGAGCTTCCAGGGGATGAAAAGCTTTATGAAAGCTGCCAAGATCAGAACGCCTGGCTGGAGAGAGGGGCTCCAAACAGGAATGCTTGGAGGCACGGTGTTAAGGGAGGACAGGGCAGAGTGTGAAGCTGGGCTAAGGAGGTTGGATTTGATCCGGGAGACACGGAAAGTCATAAAGGAGCTGTGGTTTCAGATTTACCTGACTGCTTTGTGTAGGAGAGATCAGAGGGTGGCAGCCCAGAGGCAGGAGATCTTTCTTAACCAGGCAAAGGGCTCTGAGGACTCGAATAGCGGTCTTCTAATGCGCAGGAATGGAAGGGCTATGCTTGTCAGCAGAGTCTTGATCAGATTTGGAACTAATTGGATATGAGATGTAAGCAGGGTGGAGAATCAAAGATGATTCCAGGATTTGAGCCTGGGAGAATGCTGCCATTAGAATTAGAGAAAACAGTGGAAAATGGGCAAGTCAGGGAAGGAAGATGGGGCTTGTTGATCTCAAAGCAGGGATTTTTATTTTGTTCACTCCTGTTTCCCTGTACCCAGGACAGTGCTTAGCGCCTAGTGTGTGCTTGGTAATGTTCATTGGCTACAGAATACAGTAGAACATAAATGGAGACGTCCCCAGGCGACCGCTAAGGCAGAACTGGCACTCCTTGGTGGTGTCTGTGCTGGGAGGGAGGTCTTCCTGTCTGAAGTCGTAAGATGAGACGTGCTGCCAAGAGAAAAAGCTTAGAGAAGAAAGGGATGAAACTGAAGGGAGAACTTTGGGAATCATGACATTTAGGACTAGAAAGGAGGACCGGAATCCAGGGAAAGGGGGCATTTGAGGAAGCATCAGATGCTGCAAGTGGGCGAGGGGCGTTGGGATGGCTCAGAGGGCATCTGGTGGCACAGCTCATGTCACTGGGCCTCCCCAGGGTAGCCGGGCGCAGGCCAGCAAGCGCCTCCCGCCTGGAGAACAGGAGGCTGCGTAGCCGACGGGGAGCCTGGGCCAGGGGCGGTTCTGGTTTCTGTTTGGTTTTGGGGGGTTCATAAATGCGATTTAGTCCTGTAGCAAAGTGAGCAAGGTGAAGGGGAGAGACCGGAGGCGCATGAGGGAGGAGGGAAAAGATGGTTGGCATCAAGGAGGTGGATAAAGGGCTGCCCTCCCGGGGCAGGGCCCCTGGAGGGCCGGAGGGGTGGTGAACGCCGTCGTGGTGATGGTGAGGGCCTTAGCGACCACCACCCGAGTGAGGCCCCCTCACCTTCAGGCCCAGAGCCGAGGGGAGGAGCCTCCCCCAGGGCCGGCGGGGGCGGGCAGGTGAGCCGGGCAGGTGCGCAGGCGAGCGCGGCGGGCTGGGCGGGCCGAGGCCACACCCTGAAACTACCTGCGTGGGCCGGGCCGGAGTGTGAGAGCGGAGCTGCAGCCGGAGAAAGAGGAAGAGGGAGAGAGAGCGCGCCAGGGCGAGGGCACCGCCGCCGGTCGGGCGCGCTGGGCCTGCCCGGAATCCCGCCGCCTGCGCCCCGCGCCCCGCGCCCTGCGGGCCATGGGAGCCGGCCGCCGGCAGGGACGACGCCTGTGAGACCCGCGAGCGGCCTCGGGGACCATGGGGAGCGATCGGGCCCGCAAGGGCGGAGGGGGCCCGAAGGACTTCGGCGCGGGACTCAAGTACAACTCCCGGCACGAGGTGAGCGCGGGCCGGGGACCCGGGGCGCTGGGAAGCTCCTGCCCGCCCGACCCTGCAGCGCGGCGCTGGGCTCGGCCGGCTCCCCTGGCGTGTCCGTCGGTGGCCGAGCTCTGGGCGCACAGGTGGAATTTCCTGTTCAGCGGGTGCCGGGCCGCGGGCGGGCGGGGCTGGCCGGACCTTTGGTACCGGACCGGCTGCGCCCCGCCAGGGGGAGGCGGGAAGCCCCTGGGCCTTCCTGCGCCCTCGGTCCTTTCTTTCCCTGAGTTGAAAAAAGGGGCTCCGTCTCGGCCCCTCCATGACTCTCGCGCTGTTAGTGAACATCTGGAAGAAACCAGGGGCTTGGAGTGGGGTTATTTGGGAGGAAGTGAAATTTCAGGAGGGTTTGGAGTCTCAGCCATCCTTGGCCTCTGCAGAAAGTTTCTTTCGTCTCTCTCCTTCCCCGTCAAAAGGCGCTTTGGGACCTCGCAGAGGACAACTGGGAGGCCAGGGCTTTGGCTGCCATACGGGCTGGAGCTAAGAACTCCAGAGTTGGGCTTGCCTGGGCTTCTCGAGAGGGGATGGAGCCCTTTGGGAAGGCGGCTGTATGGGAAGGGATGTGGGAACACACATGTCTTGAGCCTTTTGCGAAGTACCGAAACAGGAAGCTCTTCTTTGGCAGAAAGAACAATGAAAGACCTATTGAAAGATCTCAAAAAGATTACATGTTCCTGTATGGAGTTGGGGATGGGTCGCTAGTCACTTCATTGACGGACCCACCTAGGTGGTAGTGCCCGGGCGGGACCAGCAGCCAGGTCTCTACCCTCTCTGTCCAAGGCAGACCCCCAGGTTTCCTGGAAGGCCAGGGCATACCAGGTCAGGGCGGCGCTGAGAGGCAGGGGCTGTGTGGCAGAGAGTTTTGCTCCTCTGCAAATGATGGCCTCCCTGCCCTGCCAACCCTCACTTTCTCCCCTCCTTCCGGGTGCCCCTGGGCTCCATAGTCTCCGCCGTTGCTCCCTAAGTCAGGCCTGATTTTGGTGCTGTCTCAGATCAATTCCTTTTGTCCAAGCAGCATCCCGACCTAGGGAGCTTGCAGAAAATCAGACGCTGGGGCTTTGGAGGCTGCCTGCACCACAGACAGGACCTGGGGCTGGGCTCTGCTATTTTCTCCACTTTTCACCCTCAGCAAGGAGGAAAGCTTCCAGTGGACCTGAAGGCTTGGGCCCTTCCCCTGGCTGTGCCTGTGCCCTGCTGTGAGGCAGATTCACCTTCTCTTCCTTGCTGTAATTGCTATGTTTGTGTCCTTGCTAATTGCCTACTTGGGGTTCTAGACTCCCTGCCTCTTCAGCAGAGAACCTGCTGTTTGGAATTTGTTATTTCAGGGCAGTCCGGTGCCCCCACCCCAAGTTTGTTCTCCCTGACTTCCCTTTCTAGGACTCTCCTGCCCACACGGGGAAAGCAGGGTCTTCCTGGTCGTGTGGTCCAGCCTCCTCTCTGAGCCATCTCACCACCTGACAAGCAGCCAGGCTGGGGCTCACCTTCCACTCACCCCCAGGATCCCACATTCAGCGGACTTGTCTTGTCACCTGCAAGCCCTGGCTTTAGTTTCCCCCATCCCTGCTCATTTCCTCCTCCTCTGCGAAGCTCATTTGCTCTCTGCGCCCTTGGGCTGTTCCTTCCCCCTCTGCCATTTTCATTCTCTTGGCTTGCTCTTTGTCTTTTCTCCTGCCGAGCTTTATTGAACTAACTCAGTACCTAGTCCCATGGGTGAAGGGAAGGCTCTCAGAGACCAGTAAGATGTGGTTGTTTCCTTTAAAGAACATCCAGTCTTGAGAGCGAAACTAAGAGACGAATGCCAAAGTTAGCTGTGAGGCGGAGTGTCCAGAGGAAATTGGCCAAAGCTCATTTCCATGTCTTGCAGATTCCTCCCATCCCTGGCCTCACCAGAAATCCCAGTCCCTGGGATCACCCTGTAGTGTGTGTTTGCAGCTAGGATGTCCATCCCCGGCCGGGAGGTGTGGCTGCTGCCCCTGGGTTTATTATCTGGGTCAGCAGAGCCTGGCCCACAGGGTGCTGTTGTTTCTGGGTTCCTTGTCCCCAGTTGCATCCATCCGTGCACCCTTGTTTGGTGGTATTTGTATCTGGCTGTCCCCTTCCCAAGGCTGGTGGTGTGGCCCCTGCCCCACCCCTGCTGTTCCCATCAAGTGTTCTGCGTGGCCTTCAGAGTCCTGATGCACGTTACTGCATCTGGGGATGGTGTGAGCCCTGCCTGCAAGCAAGCAGGGAAACAGATGCCACTTCTTATGGCCATTAATGAGAGCCAGGGAGCCTGCCTCCCTGAGGGTCTTGATTCCTGTTGAGTATTTGATGGTGAATATGAAGCTGCCTTGACATCCACTGGTTCCTTTTCCGATCACAATTGCCCTAGGTAAGACTCAGCATCCCTTAGGCATCCAGAGACCAAGTTTGGAAAAATCGGATGTTGTGTGGCCAAAATCAGATGTCTAGGGGCCAGGGTGTACACCTCTGGCTATTCAGAGGGTCACCTGCTTGTTAATTTGTCAACCATTCAGGCATTCATTCACATAACAATATCTGCTAGGTAACCCACTGACTGAGCCTGTGCCAGGTGCTGGGAAATAGCAGTGAGGAAGACCCTAGACTCACAGCCCCTGTCCTTGGGACCACCCAAGGTAGTGTGGGGTACAGGGAACTGAATTCTGACTCATGAGTACTAGCTTCTCGATATGCACTGGGTGAGCACATGGCATCTCTCTAACCCAGGCTGGAAGGGCCAGGTCAGCAAATTAGGGCTGCAGGCATCTGTGATGTGGTGGCAGGAGGTAACATGCAGCCAAGACCCGGGGCCGCCTTGTCTAGCCACGTGATCTCAGAGATGTTACTCAATATCTCTAAGCCTTGGTTTCTGTGGCTATAAAATGGTGATGACATATATGTTCCAGGTTTGTTGAAAGGATTAAGAGGGGTACTTTACATGAAAGCCCTTTGTAAGTTGCAGTGTGGTGTTCAAATGATGCAGCTTGAGTTTTTGAGTTGAAAGGGACTTGAGACAAGCAAGAAGATCGTATAGTATCAGTAGGTCGCCTGTCGAGAGGCTGAGAACCCAGGCTGTCAGTGGGGCCCTGACCTCACAGAGGAGCCATCCTGCCCTGCCAAACACAGGGAAGTGCCCCCAGGATTCAAGGAACTGCTCGCCAGCAACAGAGACCTCTTCCTAAGACCTTCTGATTTTCATTCCCCTGCTTTACCCAGCTTCTAGGAGAAATATCTTTCTATGAAAAGAAAATGTGTGCCAGCTGCATATCCCTTTCTCCTTCTCATCCCCTGCCCCTCCCACCATAGAAAATTAAACTTTTATTTTGTTTTGTTTTTTAGACATGGGGGTCTTGCTATGTTGCCCAGGCTGGACTCAAACTCTTGGGCCCAGGTGATCGATCCTCCTTGTCTCAGACTTCTAAGTAGTTGGGATTACAGGCGTGAGCCACTGTGCCCACATAAAACTTTAGAGAACTGCCTTTTTTGTTCTCTAGAGCATGTGCTGGGCAGGTGTGTGCAGTGGGTGAGGAAGAGGGTTGGGAAGGCAGAAAGCAGCAGGAAGCTAGGATTGTCCTGTAGGTGGGGCTTCAGCTGCTGGAGTGGACCGGAAATCTGCCTTCTCCAGGGGCTTTCTGGAGCCTTCCCTCTGCCTTGGTCCTGAGAACACCTGGAAATTCCTCGTTTAGGAGTTGAGAAAACTGAGGAAGAGGAGAAGATGCCCCTAGTTTGATGGCTGCCTTCGCCTGCTAGCAGTGGAAATGGTCAGAGGGTGGACCTGCTCGAGCCGACTTGCTGGCCTGTTGCCACGTTGTCACCGGCTGCGGAAGGAGAACGAGTCACAGCTCCCTCCCCCTACCTGACCCTCACTCTGCTCCCTGGGAACCAGACTACCAGACTGCCTACTGCTGTGGCCAGTGGCTTCTGTCCCTCGGAACACTGTGGCCCTCAAGTTCCCTGATGTCTGCTCCTTCTCTGGTCTGTGGTTCTGCCAAGGCTGGTGGCTCATGTCTCTTTTAAAAGAGAAGTTGTCTTTGGAAGAGGAAGGGAAACGTGACAGAGTCCCCTGGGAGCCCAGGTCCTGAAGATGATGTTGCTTCTGATATTGTGCAATGATTACTGGAGTGTCTAGAATACTAATAATGATGAACACTAATAATCGTTAGCATTTATTGAGCATGGCTGGCTGCTTGTCTTTTTTCCTGCCAAGCTTCATTGAACTAACTGTGTACCTAGTCCTGGGTCAGGCATGGCTGAAGGGAAGTAAGATGTGGTCTTACTAGTCTTTGAGACCAAGTATTACCCTTCTCAGAGACAAGTGTTGTTATTACTGTTTTTTTTTTTTTTTAGACAGGGTCTCCCTCTGTCACCCAGGCTGGAGTGCAATGGTGCAATCATGGCTCACTGCCACTTTGACCTCCCGGCTCAAGCAATCCTCCTGCCTCAGCTTTCTCAGTAGCTGGGACTACAGGTGGGCACCAGCACGCCTGACTAATTTTTGTATTTTTTGTAGAGGCAGGGTCTTGCTATGTTGCCCAAGCTGGTCTTGAACTCCTGGGCTCAAGTGATCTGCCCACCTCAGCCTCCAAAAGTGCTGGGACTACAAGTGTGAGCCCCCACACCCAGCCTTATTATTATTATTATTATTATTATTATTATTATTTTGAGATGGAGTTTCGCTCTTTTTGCCCAGCTGGAGTGCAATGGTGTGATCTCAGCTCACCACAACCTCCGCCTCCTGGATTCAAGCGATTCTCCTGCCTCAGCCTCCCGAGTAGCTGGGATTACAGGCATGCACCACCATGCACGGCTAATGTTGTATTTTTAGTAGAGATGGGGTTTCTCCATGTTGGTCAGGCTGGTCTCAAACTCCTGAGATCAGGTGATCTGCCCACCTCGGCCTCCCAAAGTGCTGGGATTACAGGTGTGAGCCACCACGCCCGGCCCAGCCTTATTGTTATTACCTTTTTATAGGTGAGGAAAATGGAGCACATGGAGGCTAAGTAACTTGCCTGAGGTCGCAGAGCAAAATAGTGGCGGAATCTAGATTGGAGCCCAGGTAGTCTGGCCCTGTCATATCCTATGTGGGCTGTGACATGCGGAACAGGGCTGTCAGCCCACAGGGTTCAGGAGGGGATGGAATACTAAAGGTTGACAATTCATCAGATTTGGGTAAGAAACTGGATTTCTCTTCTCAGGTTGTTTCTGAGATGCCTGGGACTAAATTATAGAAACCATTTGGTAGGATGGGAATAGAAACTTACAGAATTCTCAGAGTTCTTAGCCTGGCCTGGTTGGCAGTGGTGAGAAGTGTGTTTGGGGTTTGCTCAGAGCTCATGGGTAGTAGTTGCCCTTTTTGCTTTGTTAAGAATCTTTCCAGAAGCAGCTCCCTGCTAAAAATTCTGTCTCAGATGCTCATATTTTCAAAATTTCCCTATTCTGCCTGGACTTAGCAATATTTTGGGATTTTCCCCCGAATCCTGTGATAGTTGGCTAACTGATCAAAATCTTGGATCCTTTGACTCTTTTTGGCCCACGTTGGTGATGCTGAGGTGGTGGTGGGGATGATGATGGTGGTGGCGATGTTGAAAGGGTGGAGAAGAATGTGATGACAGTTATTTCTACCTTTCACTAAATATCTGCACTTCAATTCCTGACCTCACTTTATCCTCACAACAGCTGTGTGGGGGAAAGAATGCCCAGTTCACAGACGAGAATACTGAGGCTCAAAGGGTTTGTGTAAAGGCAGTAAGAAGTAGAGTAAGAATTCAAACTCAGATCTACGCAACTTCAGAGCCTGGGAGCTCACCACCATGCCATTATAAAATTGTGTTCCTGAGATGATGGTGAAGGTTGCATATCCCCAGCAAACTGCTAGAACATGTTATTCACCAGAGAGCTGTGAGCACATAAGAAGGAAGTGGTGATCACCCGGTGCCAGTGCTGGTGTGCTACAAACATCATAGACCAGCTTGTCTGGTTTCCCCTTTTGATGAGGTTCCTTAGCTGGTGGACCAGGAGCACAGCTGGAGTTGTGATTTCAACATGCTTTACATAGACACAGCTTTATGTATTATACATATGATTAAAAATTATGGCGGAAGTTTTAAAATGAAAACCAATTCACCCACCTCTGCCAACAAATCACTTTTCACGCCTCTTTCCCCTCCTTGCTGTCTATGGTTCAATGTGTCTAGTTGGTTGTTGTGCACACACCACTTGTATCCTGGACAAGGTGTTTTATTGGCCTCCTGTCTGCTGGGTGTGGAGCCCTGGGTGTTGGAGGATCGAAGTTCTGGTAGGCTTGTGTCTGATTGAAAGGCTGTGCCTAAGGGGGGGTCTGTTCTTGAATCCACGTCACTTTGGGTGGTGACCTCAGGCTGCTCGTCACCCCTTCCTGGGTTCTGTGCCATTTCTTATTTAGTAACAGCTCAGATGAGGACTTGGGGCATTTGCCTACCAGCTCCACAGATGACACCAGCTGGGAGGGAAAGGCTGATACCTTGTATGACTTGATTATGAGTCAGAGCATCTGGACAGACTGTCTGATAGGCTGCGCTGAGCAGAATGCATCCGTCTGGGTCAGGAGTCAGTGCTTTGCTCACTGAACCACCTCCCTCAACCATGGAGCAGAAACCACGAGACCCAGAGTTCTGAGTTGACAGTGAGCCCAGGAGAGATCAGGCATGGAAGTGTGACTGCCCAAAGTCGAAGTGTGCTTTCTTCCCCCTATGTTTTTATTTGGTTATACCTTTTAAAGTTATTATTAAAAGTCTAATATATACATATTTAAAGAAAACTTAGCCAACTCAGATAAGTAGTAAGAATTTAAAAATGAGGCCGGGTGCGGTGGTTCATGCCTGTAATCCCAGCACTTTGAGAGGCCAGGGCCGATGGATCACTTGAGGTCAGGAGTTCAAGACTAGCCTGGCCAACATGGTGAAACCCCATCTCCACTAAAAATCCAAAAATTAGCCAGGCATGGCGGTGGGCACCTGTAATCCTAGCTACTCAGGAGACTGAGAGAGGAGAATCACTTGAACCTGGGAGGTGGAGGTTGCAGTGAGCCGAGATCGTGCCATTGCACTCCAGCCTGGGTGACAGAGCGAGACTCTGTCTCAAAAAAAATTTTTTTTAATAAAAATGACACAAATACCCCTACAAAGACATTTTAACAATTTGGTATTGCCTATGCATGTTTTCTAAAAAAATTTTTTTCCTCATTACCACATTTAGGAAGCTTTTCTTTTTGAAGTCACACAATATAGAAATGTACAGTGTAAAATGTGAAACTTCTGAAATTCCCTCTCCCAGATTTTAGAGCCTCTATAAATAGTTTTGTTTATATTCTCCCACAAGTCTTGTGTGTGTGTTCTGCTGTTTGTGTGCACACCTATTCTCCTCCAAATGGAATCATCACTAATTCCACTCTGCAGTAAAGATATGATTTTATTAATGAACTTATCAAACATTTATTAGATATCATACCTCATGCTAGATTTGTGGAGCAAGACAGACCCCCTTCCCTCCCCTATCACAGGAGTCTGGGAGGGAGGTGTTGGAGAGGGATCTCCCAGAATTACTCCAAGGAGATGCCTGAGCTGAATTTCGAAGGGCAGGAGTGACTATTTTTTTTTTTTCTGAGATAGGGTCTTGCTCTGTCGCCTAGGCTGGAGTGCAGTGGCGCGATCTCGGCTCACTGCAACCTCTGCCTCCCGGGTTTGAGCAATTCTCCTGCCTCAGCCTTCCAAGCAGCTGGAATTACAGGTGTGCGCCACTGCGCCAGGCTAATTTTTGTATTTTTAGTAGAGATGGCGGTTTCACCATATGGGCCAGGCTGGTCTTGAATCCTGGCCTCGAGTGGTCTACCTGCCTTGAACTCCCAAAGTGCTGGGATTGCAGGCATGAGCCACCGTGCCCAGCCTATTTTTTTCATTTAACATTCTATCTTAGATAGCTTTTCCATGTCATTATCTACTTTTTGAAAAACGATTTTTGATTGCCTTATAAGCTTTCATCGAGGGAACATATCATTCTTTCCATCTTCTTATTTTAATCGTTTTATTGTTTGGGTGTGTTACTTGAATGCATCATTGGACAATTAATAGAAAAAGAGCAAACAGAATGAGGAAGGTAATTGGCAAGCAGACCCTGTGGAGGCCACGCTAGTCAGACCTCTTGTGGGTTATGCTGGTGAATTCTGGAAACGGTGTCTTCAAGGGAAGATGACTAAGGGTGAGATGGAACCAGATGGCCAGGGTTTAGAAAACATTTTGTTTGAATGATCAGAGGAGTTGAGCATGTTTAGCCAGAGGAGGTGCAGACTGAGAGAGCACACGAGCACCGATGTAGAGCTTCCACTGGAGCGTCTCCTGAGTGGGGAAACTAGGCTGGTTCTGTTGCAGTGCTAATTAGTGCAGAGGTGATTGCAGTGCTGATCACACTTGGTGGAAGGAAGAGCTTCCTAATACTCGTACTAAGGAAAATGCTATTTCTTCCAAAAGGATGGTCTCGCGAGGATGAGAGGTGGGTGACATGCCCTGCAGAATCTGTCTCGGCTCTGAGAATCCAATTTCAAGGGTAGATCCAGCAGTTCTCCCCTCGCTTGTATCCTATTCCCCCAGGATAGAGTCTGGTTCTAATAGAGGACACAGACTTCCTGGTGCCCTCCCCTGGGGGTGGGGCCCCTCTGTTTGCATAGTTGGTCCTTTCCCCAAAACAGGTGCTCAGATTTGTAGCCATGGAAGCGTGTTTTAGAACTTACCCAGTTCTAGAGGCTGCAGGCAGGCTTGGGTTTTTCCCACTAGCTTCTGCAGATCCCTGGGTCCACCAAGTCAGAAACAGACTGTGGCACCTCCATGCCATGAAATATGACTCAGCACTGAAAAGGAACAAGCTGATGGATGCAACAACTTGAAAGACCTCCAGGGAATTTTGTGCAGTTAAAAAAAAAGCCAACAGTCCCATACATACCATATTATTTATTTATATAATATAATGGGTTTTTTTTTTTTTTTTTTTTTTGAGACAGAGTCCTGCTCTGTCCCAGGCTGGAGTACAGCGGTGTGATCTGGGCTCACTGCAACCTCCGCCTCCCTGGTTCAAGCGATTCTCCTGCCTCAGCCTCCCGAGTAGCTGGGACTACAGGTGTGTGCCACCACACCCAGCTAATTTTTGTATTTTTAGTAGAGACAGGGTTTCGCCATGTTGGCCAGACTGGTCTTGAAATCCTGACCTCAGGTGATCCACCCGCCTTGGCCTTCCAAAGTGCTGGGATTACAGGCATGAGCCACCACGCCTGGCCTATATAACATAATTTTTGAAATGACACCATGTTAGTAGTAGAGGACAGATTAGCGATTGTGGAGCTGAAGGGGTGGGGGACAGGAGGGAGGTGGCTGTGGTTACAGAAGGCCATGGGCATCCTCGTGTTGGAGCTGTTCAGAATGTTGACTGTGATGCCAGAGACAGGGGACTACGCTAGCGATGACATAGATGGAACTTAATACTTAACGTGAGTAGCGGTGAAACGGGAAGTCTGAATAAGATCCGCGGATGATACTGCTGTTGTGGTATTATGATACAGTTTTATGAGGTGTGACTATTGGGAGAAACTGGGCAAGGATCTCAGTATGATTTCCTACAACTGTATGGGAATCTACAAGTATCTCCATAAAAATGTCAGTAATGAAAGGCACACTAGCTCGTGAAATCAGAATGTGGATTTAATAAAAAGTCAAGAAAACGAATGAAAAGAAGTTACTAGGTGCTGGCTGCACCTCTTGTTTCTCTTGTCGGGTTTTGGGGGATCTGCCTGTTTGTGCTGCTGCAGGCAGATGCTTCTGCTCTGAGTCCGGTGACTTGGGGCAGGAGGAAGGTGGGGCAGCTGGGCCGGGAAGTAGGTCTTTGGCACATAAGGAGAGGGCTGGTGCAAACTAAATGGGATCGAAGAGGCAGAGATGGAATTTTCCGGCTAGAATTGGCAAAAGAGGTTATGTCCTGGTGTGTGTGTTTTGGGGGCGACACACTGAACTGAGGACCAGGAGAGATCCGGCAAAGTCGAACTTTAAATGGGGCCTGAGGACAGTGGGTGGCCAGGCCAGGTCTGACCCCAGAGAGCCTGGGGGACTGTCAGCAGAGCCCTGAGGTGTGGACTGAGTATTTTTTCCCCTTCTTGGTTGAGGGCACTTGGCAACTGGCAGATTATTCCAGCCTGCCCTGGGGAGGCTGCCTAAGTCTGGCTATGGGGAGAGAAGACCTTCCATCAACCCATCAATTAGTCAATCAAGTGCTAACTCTGGGCAAGGTTGAGGGTGGAGGGGGAGGGAGAGAGGCAGTAGGAAGAGGAAACCGGGGCACTGTGACCAGCCAGGACTTCCTGGTCCACCCAGCATGGTGCAGGTTGGGGAAGAGGTGAGGCCCCAGGGAGAAAGTACGGTGGCTTGTTGTGGTCCCGGGAGGATTCCTGGCAAGGCTCAGCTTTGGCCTGTGTGCTGGAGGGCAGGCAGGTTCGGTAGGCGGTAGGGGAGCCCAGCCATTCCGAGCAGGCAGATGGGTTCCTAACCGAGAGGTTAGGAACCTCTTGGTTCCTAACAGGCTTGGGGGCCTTTCTGGCTAGAGCCAACGTCAGAGTTGAGGGAGCCAGTGCCCTTAGACCAATGTTAAAGGAGTGACGACCCATATACAGTGGTGGGCACAGCAGGGGCCCGTCTCTTGGGCCCAAGAAGTGGGTTTTGTAGTAGATAGAGTTTTGCAGAGTGTTCCTTTTTTTTTTGTTTTTGAAATCAACACTGTATTTATTGATTTAGACTACTTTATTGAGGTATGATTGATATGCAAAAAGCTGTACCTTTTTGTGACATTACAGACAGGGGCCTGTGCTAGCAATGACATAGAATGGAACTTAATATTCACATGAGTAGCAGTGAAACGGGAAATCTGAATAAGATCCACAGATGATACTGCTGTTGTGCTTATCACGAATGACAGCAAGATAGTGTCAATTAAGACAGCCATTTCAAGCTACTGACATCCTGCTCTTTTCTCTTGTTTTTTGTTTCTTTTGTTTCTATTTAATGTGTACAACCTGATGAGTGTGGATGTATGGAAACACCAGTGATACCATCCCATAAGTTAGGCTGCAAAATATCCATCACCTTCCAAAGTTTCCTCCTGCCCTCTTTATCTATTATTCTATTTATTTATAATAATAATTACTATTTTGTGATAAGAACACTTAATACAAGATCTCTTATTGAAGGTATGGACCACCTTTTGTGTATCCATTCATTTGCTAAGGAAAATGCTTAGTTTGTTCCCACATCTTGGCTTCTGTGAACAGTGCTGCAGTGAGCATAGGATGCAGCTCTCTCTTCAGATCCTGGTTTCAATTCCTTCCTTTGGATAAATACTCAGAAGTGGGCTCGCTGGATCTGCAGAGCATGATCTCTCTGGGCTTCAGTTCGCTTTTCTGCAATATTGGGGGGGTCTCTTGAGTGGTGCAAGATCAAAGATAACCAGGTCCCCGCACGTTTGTGTCTTTCCACAAGGTCAGACTTTTATTGATGCAATTTCAATCATAAACACCACTAGCCACATGGAGTTCCCAAAAAGACAATTCTCCTTAGTACTTCCTGTTCACTCAGGAGGCAGAGCCTCGGGCACACAGGCTGAAGCCACTCCACAAGTCAGTCAACATTGCAAGCCATACATAATCATATACTTAATATATAAATGTATAGATTAAACATCCCACATCAAAGTAACATTTATCATCAAGAGAAAGGGGTTAGGAAAAAGGGTTAATGAACCAGTCCAGGGAGAGCCACGAAGACAACAAGACCCTCCTGCCCTGGCCTGGGCAGTCTGTCGGTTTCGTGGGGAAGAGTTTCTGATGTTGGCAGAGGCTTCGCTGGCAGATGCTAGGTGCTTATCATGAGTGACAGCAAGATAGTGTCAATTAAGACAGCCATTTCAAGCTGCTGAAGTCTTGCTCTTTTCTCTTGTTTTGTTTTTTTGTTTCTTTTGGTTGCTTTTTTTTTTGAGACAGGGTCTCGCTCTGTTGCCCAAGCTGGAGTGCAGTGGCGTGATCACAGCTCACTGCAGCCTTGACATCCCAGGCTCAAGTGATCCTCCCACCTCAGCCCGCTGAGTAGCTGTGCCACCATGCTAAGCTAATTTTTTTAAAAAATTTTTGTAGAGATGGGGGTCTCTCTGCATTGCCCAGGCTTGTCTCAAACTCCAGGGCTCAAGCAATCCTCCCACCTCAGCCTGCCAAAGTGCTGGGATTCCAGGCATGAGCCACTGTGCCTGGCTGTCTTCTTTTTTTTTTTTTTTTTTTTTTTTGAGACAGAGTCTCAGTCTGCCACCCAGGCTGGAGTGCAGTGGTGCGATCTCGGCTCACTGCAAGCTCTGCCTCCCAGGTTCACGCCTTTCTCCTGCCTCAGCCTCCCCAGTAGCTGGGACTACAGGTGCCCACCACCATACCCGGCTAATTTTTTGTATTTTTAGTAGAGACGGGGTTTCACCGTGTTAGCCAGGATGGTCTTGATCTCCTAATCTCGTGATCCGCCCGCCTCAGCCTCCCAAAGTGCTGGGACTACAGGCGTGAACCACCGCGCCCGGCCATTGCTGTCCTCTTCCTATGGCCACAGAGTCCTCTACTGAGGACAGACAGTGGAGGAGTGTGTATGTCCTTGTCTGGCTGGATGCCGTGTTTATTTATTTGCAAAACATCTTGTCCCTGTTGACAAAGTGAAACATAAGATGAGGTCTTTTTCTAGGATGGAGTTATTTATGTCAAGGGTGCTGTGTACGAGCCTCACGCATCTGCAGTGGGACCCTATAGGAGGGCAAAGAACCAGCTTCAGTGAGGACTGCCTGACACAACTCTCTTCTTTCCTTTCTGGGGAGCTGGTGCAGGGGAGGGTGTGGCGTCACCACGCGAGTGGTCAGGACTGAGAGCCCTGAGCTGCTGGGGCAAATACTTTTCTCTGTGCCTCAGTTTTCCCCCTCTTAAAAGTGGGTTAATAACCACTTACGGCCTTCCAAATAGAACATAATTAGCTAATTCCTGCTAATGACTGAGGCCTACCTACTGTCTCTCTTTGATTTTAATTTCTCCACCCACTGTTTATCCATCTGCCAAAAGCCAGGCAGCCCAATTCCTCCCTCTGGTCTGGTGGAGCAGCTGAAGTTCAGATTCAAACTTCAAAACAAACTGAAAGGCTGGGCGCGGTGGCTCATGCCTGTAATCCCAGTACTTTGGGAGGCCGAGGAGAGCAGATCACCTGAGGTCAGGAGTCGAGACCAGCCTGGCCAAATGGCGAAATCCTGTCTCTGCTAAAAATACAAAAATTAGCCAGGTGTGGTGGCGGGCGCCTGTAGTCCCAGCTACTCGGGAGGCTGAGGCAGGAGAATCACTAGAACCTGGGAGGCGGAGGTTGTGGTGAGCTAAGATGGTGCCACTGCACTCCAGACTGCGTGACAGAGCGAGACTCTGTCTCAAAAAAAAAAAAAAAATCAAACACCCTCCAACAAAAAAAATGAAAGACCTTAACAGCACAAGTCTGTAGTGTGGGCCTTAGTGAGGAGCGACCTGGCAGGTCTTTCCAGGATCCCAGGAGCCAATCCTTGGCTGGCCCACATCTACCCGCCCTTGTCACTCTGTCCCGACCCATGGCTCCAGGAGGGCTCTGCTGCTGTCCCGCTTCTCTGTAACCCCTCTGTCCACTTTCTCTGGGAGAGAGCAGAAGGCCAGCCAGGGTGTCCCTACCCACTTGCACCCATGGGTGGTTTACCCCACAAGACCAGAGAGTGCTGGCCAGGTCGCAGCATGCTCTGGGCCTCAGCTTACACATAAAGCTTCTGGTAGTTTCCAAAAACATTTTTTAAGACAATGAAAACCTTGTTTCAAATACTTTTTTTGCAGAGCCTGAAAATAATGAAACAATTGGCTTGAAGCAGGAGCAGGACACAGAGGGCCTCTGGATCATTCTTTAAGACAAGTTAGGGATTCAAAACCACGGACAGACCCACAGCAGCAGGAGGAGGGAGTCTGCCCACAGGCTGCAGCCCCAGGAGCTGCTTTTCCACCTCTGAGGTCTCCCAAGGGATTGTCCCATCCCTCCTCCTGGGGGCCCACAGCCAGGTGAGGGAGGCGGTGGCCACAGCAAATACACTCATTATTTTTGGACATCTTTGTGCCATGTAGGTGTCTTCAAGAAATATCACGTCCAATTCTTACAGCCGCTAGGCTTCATTTTCAGATGAAAAAAGGGTTAAGAGAGGAAAATTTATCAAAAACCCAGATAGCTGAAAGTGTGGCAGAGCTGAATTTTGAACCCAAATCTATCTGACTCCAAATCCAGTGTTGCTCTCCTGGGCCCTCTGCTGCTTCTCCTGGGGGTGAGGTGTGTGGGTGTGGGGTGGGGGTGGGGGTGGCAGTTATTACCAACTCCCCGTATAGAGCCACCCTTGACATAAGTAACTCCATCTTAGAAAAAGACTTCATCTTCCATTTCATAGGGCACTTTGCCCACAAGGACAAGGTGTTTTGCTTGATAAATTTAAAGACTGCAAACAAACAGACAAGCATCCTCCTCCACTGTCAGTCCTCACCAGAGGACTCTGTGGCCATAAAAAGAGCAGGACTTTGGCAGTTCACCCTCTGCTGTCACTGGTGATAAGCACCCAACATCCACTGCCAAAGGCTCTGCCCACATTACAGACTCTTCCCTGAAAGACTGATGAACCAGCCAGCCTAGCCCAGCCCAGACTTTTTTTGTCTTCGTGGCTCTCCCTGGACTGGTTCATTAGCCCTTTTTCCTATCCCCTTTCTCTTGGTATGTTTTTCAGGTTTTGCCATAAATGTTACCTTATGGGTACCTGATAATTACGCGTCTAGTATATCTTGCATGGCTCTGCATGCCGAGAGAGCATTCATGTAGGAGAACTGCAGGTTAGGTGGTACT
This sequence comes from Homo sapiens, assembly GCF_000001405.40. Taxonomy (NCBI): domain Eukaryota; kingdom Metazoa; phylum Chordata; class Mammalia; order Primates; family Hominidae; genus Homo; species Homo sapiens. The sequence goes on from NC_000011.10 coordinate 130,175,063, forward strand.
CCTAACAGAAGTGTTCTCTGAATTTCATTTATGACTGGAATTTCAAGCGGAATGGCAAATTCATTATATCTATCACGTGCCATCCCTAAGATAGCTGATTTTCTTGGATTCGTTTGTCCTTGTGTTAGATTTTTTCAAGTCCGTCTCCAGATTTTGTTGGGTCTGAATATGGGTGGACAGATCTCCAGGCTGATGTGATCCAGTCCCAGAGGGCTAGAACATATCTTGGCTGATTGGTGGGTTTTTTTTTGTTTTTTTGTTTTTGAAATGGAATATCACTCTTTTCTTTTCTTTTCCTCTCTCTCTTTCTCTCTCTCTCTTTCTTTTTGTTTTTGAGATGGAGTTTTGTTCTTGTTGCCCAGGCTGGAGTGCAATGGCGCAATCTCGGCTCATCCCAACCTCCGTCTCCCAGGTTCAAGTGATTCTCCCACCTCAGCCTCCCGAGTAGCTGGGATTACAGGCATGTGCCACCATGCCCGGCTAATTTTTTGTATTTTTAGTAGAGACGGGGTTTCTCCATGTTGGTCAGGCTGGTCTCAAACTCCTGACCTCAGGTGATCTGCCCACCTTGGCCTCCCAAAATGCTGGTGGGATTACAGGCGTGAGCCACCACACCTGGCCTGGAGTCTCACTCTTTCTTGCCCAGGCTGGAGTGCAATGGTGCGATCTCGGCTCACTGCAACCTCCACCCCCTGGGTTCAAGCGATTCTCCTGTCTCAGCCTCCCGAGTAGCTGGGACTACAGGCGTGTGCCACCACATCCAGCTAATTTTGTATTTTTAGTAGAGACGGAGTTTCATCATGTTGGCCAGGCTGGTTTCAAACTCCTGACCTCAGGTGATCCACCTGCCTCAGCCTCCCAAAGTACTGAAATTACAGGCGTGAGCCACCACATCCAGCCTTGGCTGATTTGTGGTTCTAATGGTTTATGGTTTGGTAGTTTTATAATAGCTCATGACAGTTTCCTGCTCGTGTAGGGATGCAATGCGTTTCTGTGCCTGATAGTGCCGTGGTGTCTGCTGCATTCTCCCACAGATGTAGGGGCCAGTCTGCATCTGTGCTCTGTCTTTGGCAAAAATCTGTTCTCAGTTTCAGTAACTCTGCTGTGGTGTAGTCTCCGTCCTCACTGGTGTCCTGAGGACTGTGATTCTCATAGTTATCATTGGTACCTCTTTTTCTAGTTATTATAGGTCTTGCTGTATATACCCACCCCAAGGGTCATTGTAATGTCCTAAGTTCTCTGCAGGGGGTTCCCTTGGTCCCAGGGGTTCCTCCTTAAAAGTTACCCCTGACAGGGATTTACTTTTCCTTTTTTTTTTTTCTTTTTCTTTTCTTTTTCTTTTTTCAGACAGAGTCTCGCTGTGTTGCCCAGGCTGGAGTGCCGTGGCGCAATCTCGGCTCACTGCAAGCTCCACTTCCCGGGTTCACACCGTTCTCCTGCCTCAGCCTCCCGAGTAGCTGGGACTACAGGTGCCCACCACCACACCCAGCTAATTTTTTGTATTTTTAGTAGAGATGGGGTTTCACCCTGTTAGCCAGGATAGTCTCGATCTCCTGACCTCATGATCCGCCTGCCTCGGCCTCCCAAAGTGCTGGGATTACAGGCTTGAGCCACCGCACCCGACCTACTTTTCCTTAAAATTCCTTGAGCTGGCTCTTTGCCTGTCTGGCGATCTGTGAGATACTTTGCATTAAAAGTACAGGGATTTTTTCTTTTAGGGCTTAACTTTTTTTTTTTTTTTTTTTTTTTTTTTTGAGACGGAGTCTCACTCTGTCACCCAGGCTGGAGTGCAGTGGCATGATCTCGGTTCACTGCAACCTCTGCCTCCTGGGTTCTAGTGATTCTCCTGCTTCAGCCTCCTGAGTAGCTGGGACTACAGGCCCATACTACCGCACCTGGCTAATTTTTTGTATTTTTAGTAGGGATGGGATTTCACCGTGTTAGCCAAGATGATCTCGATCTCCTGACCTCGTGATCCACCTGCCTTGGCCTCCCAGAGTGCTGGGATTACAGGCATGAGCCACCGTGCCTGGCGGGGCTTAACATTTTTAGGGTCCTCAAGTCTGACTGTACATCCTCAGGGGGTCATACAGGGAGTCTTTCTGACTTCCAACTCTATTTGGGCAATGGTTCGATTTCCCACCTTAGCCAACCGGATGAGTAGGGGTTATGCAATAATTGGCTTCCTCTTCTTTCAGCCGAGTTAAAAATTTGTTTTTAGGCCGGGCGCGGTGGCTCACGCCTGTAATCCCAGCACTTTGGGAGGCTGAGGTGGGCAGATCACGAGTTCAAGAGATCAAGACCATCCTGGCAAACATGGTGAAACCCTGTCTGTACTAAAAATACAAAAATTAGCCAGGTGCGGTGGCAGGTGCCTGTAATCCCAGCTACTCGGGAGGCTGAGGCAGGAGAACCGCTTGAACCTGGGAGGTGGAGGTTGTGGTGAGCCGATATGGCGCCATTGCACTCCAGCCTGGGCGACAAGAGCGAAACTCCGTCTCAAAAACAAAAAATTTTTTTGTTTTGCCAACTGCCATCTCCTAAGTTGAGACCATGCTTGCTATGAGCCTTTCTGGCCCCACTAGCTTCCTAGCCTGGCATCAGCCGAGACCTTGTCAGCTCTTGGAGCTACAGGACCTGGGTAAAGAACCTCATCACCTGAGGTTTTCCTCAGGGAGCTAGACTTTCAAGGTGAAGTGAGATGACGTCTCTTTTTGAAGAGGGTGGCAGTTTGTTTTTTCAAACGGCTTGATTTCTAATTTAAGTTTTAGTGGAGGCTTTCGCCTTAGCATCGACTATACCACCTATGCCCAGTAAGCTGACTGTGCCAATTCTCATGAGCGGTGCGAGGTCCTAACCGGGTCCATGCACCTTTGTGTCTTTCCACAAGGTCAGACTTATTGATGTGACTTCAATCACACAAGGCGCGAGCCGCATGGAGTTCCCAAAGAGACAGCTCTCCTTAGTACTTCCTGTTCACTCCGTAGTCAGAGCCTCAGGCACACAGGCTCAAACCACTCCAGTCAATATTGCAAACTATACATAATAATATTCTTAACCAATATATAAAAGTATAAACATTCCACATCAAAGTAACATTTAACATCAAGAGAAAGGGGATAGGAAAAAGGGTTTAACAAACCAGTCCAGGAAGAGCCACGAAGATAAAAAGAGTCTCCTGGTGTGAGCTGGGTCATTTGTCGGTCTTGCCGGGAAGAGTTTCTGATGTTGGCAGAGCCTTCGTTGGCAGATGCTGGGTGCTTATCACGAATGACAGCAAAATGGTGTCAGTGAAGAGGGCATCTTGAGGTGCCGAAGTCCTGCTCTTTTTAAGATGAAGTCTTTTTCTAAGATGGCGTTACTTATGTCAAGGGTGCTCTGTACAAGGCTCCTGGTCCCTTGGGCTGCGTGGGGAGGGCCCTGGGCAGTGCTGGGAGTTGGGACGGGACTTGAAACCTGCAGGAGCTGGCTGCTCCCTGGCAGAGAACCGCTGGGTTTCTGTGTTGACAACGTCCTCACAGCTGGGCTGAGTCAGGTCCTGGGGGACTTTCCTTCAGGCTGTAACCAGGTGTGGGGACTTGTGGTTTACTTCCTTCAGTGGGAGTTCTTGGCCGTGGGTCAGCTTTGTGTTCCCCTGATGGGCTGGGGTTACAGATCTACAGATATTTCTGGATCTTCCTTGGGGCCCTGCAGCCCCACCTGTTTTCCAGCAGCTCCTTCTGGCGGGGCGGCTGAGGGCGGCGACGGGTCAAAGGGAAAGGTGGGCGGGCCGGGGTTTTGGGGTGTCTGCCAGCAGCTGGCTGGGTCTGCAGCTGGCCCTGTGCTCTCCCAGGAGGAGCTGGAGTGTGTATTTCTGGGAAAAGTGATAGCCTCAGGGACTTCTGGGATGATGCTTATAACCAATTGTGGGAGGGTCCCCAGGGCGTGGAAGCAAAGTTCGACCTGGCACAGCAGCTTCCCTTCATCCCAGGTGGTTGCTCAAAATAGACCAGCTGAGACTCTAAGCCAGCTTCTCCTCCTGGTGACAGGAAGGGGTGAGCCTCCTGGAAATGGTGGGTGGAGTTTCTCCAACTTTCAGGTTCCCAAGAATGACCTGGAGCACTTGAATAAAAACTTCCACATCCGAGGCCCTGCTCCTGATGCATGACATCAGCACCTCCAGGGAGAGGGGCTTGGGAATCTGGATGTGGAACAAACACTGCATTTGTTTCAGTTGATTGTTATTGTTCTTTTTCATGACCAGACAAGTCCAGGAAATGCTGGGGGTTGCGATCAATGGGAACCATAGGCTTTTGCAGGTTTCGTGAAAATTGGCTTCTAGAGAGATCGATTACCCCTGGTTGGGGAGTGGGTGGGAGGATTCCAGTGTGGCCTTTCTTTTCCTTTCTCATTTGCCCATCGGTCATCCCCAGATAAGCACTCAAGTGTCCTCTTTTATGAGGCCCCGTGCTGGGCCCTGGACTGCCATGGTGGCAGGTGGGGTGAAGTCCCGCCCTCAGGAGCCTGCTGACCGCCTGCTCTGTGCACAGCTGCTGGAGCTTCCCCGGGGCTGCTGATTTAACTGGGGAGGGCCTGTCTATGTGGGGTCCCTCCTAGCCGGAGACAGGTCCCTTTTATGAACAGCAGCCTGATGAAGAGGCCTTCCTGCAACATGCCTCTGGTATCATTCTCAGCTCAGCATTGCCCAGGGGACAAACACAGAGTTTGTTCTTGGCAGTCATTCCCTGCTGTCATCTCAGGTGGGCTTGAGCCGTGCTGGGTTTCCGGGAAATCTGGCCAGGATCCAGCACAACCTTTAGCCAGTCCGGCAGGGAGCGGCCACGAGGTTGTGCTGGCTCGGTCTTTCCCTTGCAAAGGAAGGCATCTTCGACCTGCCACAGAATGCTTTCTTCCCCGGGGAAACCCTTGCAGGTGCTCGGGCTCTACTTTCCTTTCTCGCTTGAACAATTACAGGGATAGTTTATGGTTCTCATGACCCTGGTGGGGGTGATGACATCATGGGATTGAAATCCGTCCCACCTTGGAGTCACCGAGCGTGTCAGTCAAGAGCCTTGGCCACAAATCAGTGGCACTTGGCAGCAGCACACAAATCCAGCCACCCTGTCCTTGTCTCAGGTCTGGGCAGCACAGCTGTGTCCCTAGCTGGTGGCATCGCCCCTGCCCCTTGACCTTGATCTTCAGCCTCAGAAGCAGGCTACCCATTGTCATGTGACTGCCCTTCACGGTCCCTCCCCAGGATTCCAAGGGGCCTCTTGAGGTTTCCAGGTTCAGCCGCTTCCTTCCCAGCAGATCACACCCAACCTTAGCCACATGAGGAACGATCTTTAGAAAGGGTCTGGCCCGAAGCTTCATTTTTCCCTGTCTGCTTTGGTTGGAATCTTGTGTGGCTTTGTGTGCAGTTGGTAGTATTTTTGTTGTTGGTAAGTGTAGGGGCCCTTCCCCATTGCTTTTCTCTAAGGATAACCATGCTCTGAGCAGCCCATGGCAAATTCTGGCTTTGGACTTGTTGGTCCCCAGAGCCAGTGGGGTCGTGGGCCCTGGAGAGTTTGCACTCAGTGGCAGGTCTTAGTGTGTGTTTGAGGAACCAGGAGAGCGTTCCTCTCAGAGGGAGGATTCTCTGGTTGACTCACACAGAGTTTTGTTGGCTCAGCATTTAGCTTTCAGCCCTGGTGAGTTTCTCTGACTTAATGGGAGTAGGCTGGCTGCAAGAATCTTTCCTATATTATCAAATAAAATAGGTCTCTTTTTTGGCCCTCTAGAAATCAGTGTTTTTTTTCTTTTCGTTTTGGAGAGCCCGGCCTTGGGGAGGATATGCATCAGTTGCTCTAGTGTGCCTCAGACAATGAGATAAGATGAAATAGGGCGTGCTCTAGGACCTCTCCACTTCCCCTTCCCGGGTTTCTGGATCTGACCCTTCGCTCCCTGCAGAAAGTTGGGTGAGATGGCAATGGTCCGATCTCATCCCTGCTGGGTGGGATGGCAGTGGTCCCTCTTGGGTGAGATGGTGGTGGTCTGATCTTGTCCCTGCTGGATGGGATGGCGGTGGTCTGATTTTGTCCCTGCTGGGTGGGATGGCGGTGGTCCCTGCTGGGTGGGATGGTGGTGATCTGATCTCGTCCCTGCTGGGTGGGATGGTGGTCTGATCTCGCCCCTGCTGGGTGAGATAGTGGTGGTCCCTGTTAGATCCTGGCCCTTTAGGGTCTGTACCCTGCTTGTCCTGAGCCCTTTATCCCCAACCTCCCGCCTGGAAGTCATTCCTCGTTCCCTTGTCTGAGTGGCCTGGAGCCGAGCTGTGTTTCTGGGTCCTTTGGCCAGGATCTAACTACAGTGGGCCAGCAGGAAGAGGCTGTGATATTTACATGGCCTCTATCTGTGTTTATGGTAAGCAGACACACCTGGCTTCATAGCACCGTTTTATGTGTGCACCTGCAAAGATGTTTACTTTTAAGAAAGAGAGACAGGAGAAGTGAAAGCAGGCGCAGGCATAGGATCTCTCCTGTCGGCTGTGGCCCAGTAGAGAGGTGTTATGCCTACAGTTGTCTAAGTGTCTAAGTGGATGGGAGTTCCCTGAGACCTCCCCCTCCCACCTCCCCCACCCAGGAGTTAAAAGAGCTTTGCTGCTTCACTGACTTTATTAACTTTGTGACCTTGGACAGGCCACTCCCTCTCTTTCATCCTCAGTGTTCTTATCAATAAAACGATGGGATTATGCAACAGTATCTCTGTTACACCTGAAAATGGAGCCAAGAGCTAAGGTTATAAAAGGAAGCAGCCCAGTTACTGATTAGACAGCACTTTTAGGCTGGGTGGAGCCACAGAACTCACACTGCAGGGAGGACAGAGGACCCACCATTGAGCTAGCGCCACTGCTGACAGCCTCGCTCCGTGGCAGAGTCTGGGGTGACCCCTGAGTCAATGCCCTCAGCCACCTTACCCCTTCTCATGGGAGTCTCTGTCTTCTGTTTCCCTGAATCCTTGCTCCCAGAATTCTGGAACCTAACCACACTGGGAGGCAGTAAACCAGGACCAGATTCTGGATCTGCCACCAAGTACTGGGTGACCTTGCAAAATCAGCATTCTTCCCTGCCTTCTTTATATAACACGGGTGATAGCACCAGCCAGTCTTGAATGAGTCACAGGACTGTCATGAAGATCCAGTAAGAAAATGGTTGTGAAATTACCCTGTGAATTGGATATACATCTAAACATGATAAATTATTATTTCATTACATTTCTTTTTTTCTTTGTTTCTTTCTTTCCTTTTTTTTTTTGAGATGAGGTTTTGCTGTCTCTGTCTCGCCCAGGCAGGAGGGCAGTGGCATGACTATGGCTCACTGCAGCCTCAGCCTCCCTGGGTTCAGATCATCCTCCTGCCTCAACCTCCCGAGTAGCCAGGACTACAGGTGCATGCTGCCATGTCTGGCTAGTTTTTTGTATTTCTGTCTTTCTTATCATTCACTGAGCCCTTTGAATTGGGTTTAGCCGTGTTGGCCATGCTGGTCTCGAACTCCTGGGCTCAAGTGATCTGTCCACCTTGGCCTTTCACAGTGCAAGTGTGAGCCACCATGCCTGGCCCTTTTGTTAAATATCTTTTTTTTTTTTTTTGAGACCGAGTCTCACTCTGTTGCCCAGGCTGGAGTGCAGTGGTGTGATCTCGGCTCACTGCAATCTCCGCCTCCCAGGTTCAAGCAACTCTTGTACTTCAGCCTCCCGAATAGCTGGGATAACAGGTGTCCGCCACCACACCTGGCTAATTTTTTATGTTTTTTGTAGAGATGGAGTTTCCCCATGTTGGCCAGGCTGGTCTCGAACTCCTGACCTAGGTGATCCACCCACCTTGGCCTCCAAAAATGCTGGGATTACAGGCATGAGCCACCGCGCCCAGCCACTTTTGTTACTTTTTTTTTTTTTGAAATGGAGTTTCGCTCTTGTTGCCCAGGCTGGAGTGTAATGGCACGATTTTGGCTCACCGCAACCTCTGCCTCCTGGGTTCAAGCGACTCTCCTGCCTCAGCCCCCCGAGTAGCTGGGATTACAGGCGTCCACGACCACGCCTGGCTAATTTTTTTTGTATTTTTAGTAGAGATGGGGTTTCACCACATTGGCCAGGCTGGTCTTGACCTCCTGACCTCAGGTGATCTGCCTGCCTCGGCCTCCCAAAGTGCTGGGATTACAGGCGTGAGCCACCACACCCGGCCTACATTTCTTATACATATATACACATACATGGTCTGTTCAGAGTGTAGCCGAAATCTGTGTTTTCTCATTCTTAAATATGATTAGACTACCAGAGGCCACCAGATGTCTAAAGAAAACCCAGCCTGAAAGGCGAAGTTCCAAAGATAACATAAAAATGTCTAGTTGCAGCTGGGTGCAGTGGTGCACCCTGTAGTCCCAGCTACTCAGGAGGCTGATGCAGGAGGATTGCTTGAGCCAAGAATTCAAGACCAGCCTGGGCAACATAGCAAGACCCTGTATCTTAAAAAAAAAAAAAAAAAAAGATTGCATTGCATCTATAGCTAATTTTGAGAATAGACACCTTAATATTGAATCATCTAATCCATGAACAGCGTATATTGCTCAACTAATTTAGGTCTTTTAGAATTTCTCCCAGCAGTATTTTACATCTTTCAGTGTACAGGTTTTGTGCATTTTTTGTCAGATTTACCTCTAAGTATTTCATATTTTTGAAGCTATTGTAAATGGTGTCTTTTAGTTTTAGTTTCCAGTTTTTCATTGCTGATATGCCAGTACAAAGACAGCTACGGGAGTGTTTCTAGCAGCTCTGTTTGTAATGGCCTGAAATTGGAGACACCCCAAATGTCCATCAATAGGTGAACAGGTAAACACATGTTGTGTGTCCAAACGATGGGATAAATGCAGCAACAACCAAAAGGTATGCACTGCTGGGCACACAGGAACCTGCGTGAGTCTCAGAGGAATCGTGCGGAGTGAAAGAAGCCAGATGGAAGAGTGCATACTGCAGAATTCCATTTACATAAAGCTCTGGGAAAAGCAGCCTGAAGCAGATGAGTGGTTTCTTGGGGACAGGAAATGGATTCAGGGAGGAACATGTGGGAGGGGCCAGGAGGAGATTTTGAAGGAGACGGACACGGGCATCATCTTAGCTGTGGATGGTTTCATGGGTGCATATGGATGCCCAAAATTGTACACTTAAATATATACACTTTATTTTATGCAATAATACCTCAATGAAGCTGCTTTTTAAATTTAATGGAAGGTTTGCAAGAGCAAGTCAAAGAAATTCCCAAAGTAGAACCAAACGCTGAAGAAACGCAAAATACGGGAGAGAAAAGATGACAGCTAGAGGCGTAGAGGATCCATTCTTATCCGTGATCTTCTGAAATGTCATCACAATACAATCTGTTTGGCTATATGTGCTGTTTCATTTGTCTTTCTCACCATTCACTGAGCCCTTTGAATTGGAAGATTTACAACTCTCTTCAGCTCTTGGAAACATCCTTTCAGTATTTCTTTGGTAATGGTCTCTTCTCTGCCAGGCTCAGAAAAGATTGGGCTCAAGTATTCTAGAAGACAGAGGTGAGACAAGAAAGGACATTGTTAGAAATACCCAAATCTCCACCTTGGCCCCAAGCAAAAAGACAAAGGCCCCAGCAGACTCCCACAGTGGATGGGAAAAATAGTCTGGAGAGATTGAATCAAAGAATATGTGGGCTTGAGAACCCCAGGTACAGAGGAAGGCTGTAGAGAGAGGTGAAAAGAAGGGGAATGAGTCTCTTCTCCTACGTGTTCCTGAATGCTAGTGGCTGGGTTTAAATCACTCCAGCCAGGAGATTAGAAAATTATTCTCTGGAGCAATGGAACCATCCACAGGAAGATGTATATAGTCTAACCATTGGGAGTGCCCAGAAAAAAAATCTGTTTAGCCACTCACTTGTGTCCCCGCCAGTGAAGCCAGTTGTGGCAAGGCATGCACACAGAGCTTCCAAACAGCCGCCAGGAGCTTGTTTCTAAATAAAAATAACCACCAAGGATCCCCCAGCATTTGAGGAAAGTCTTCAACATGGAAGAAAAAGTCAAAAACAGAGAAAAGATACTCAATGGAAATATAAAGATGAGAAGGTTTTGCATTCATGGAACAAATACAAGATGCCATGAAAGAGGAAAATTCAAAGAAACAGAAAGCTCTTAGAAATTAAAATTTTGATACCAAAAATGAAAAACTCAATTGAAAGGTTAAAAATAATGAGATGGATAATACAGAGAAAGGATAAATAGAGGATAAATATAATAAGGATTAAGGAATGGTAGACCAGAGGAAATGAAAGGGAGACATAATCTAAAAAATAAGACAGGAAAATCACTTTGGGAGGCTGAGATGGAAGGATAGCTTGAAGCCAGGAGTTCGAGATAAGCCTGGGCAACATAGTAAGACCTTGCCTCTACAAAAAATTAGAAAAAAATTAACTGGACACGGTGGTGTACAGCTATAGTCCTACCTACTCAGGAGGCTGATGTGGGAGGATTGCCTGAGCTCAGGAGTTCAAGATTACAGTGAGCTATGATCAGACCACTGCACTCCAGCCTGGGCAACACAGCAAGACCCTGTCTCAAGAAAACAAAAAGACCCAATTCAAAGCACATTCTCAAGGCTTTCAAAGAAAGACAATGAAGTCATAAGTAAAAGATAATGAGTTTATAACATTATCATATTTCTCAAAAGCAAATTAGAAGCTAAAAAACAGTGGAACCCTCAAAATTCTTTCTTTTTTTTTTGTTTTTGAGACAGAGTTTTACCCTGTCACCCAGGCCGGAGTTCAGTGGCGCAATCTCAGCTCACTGCAACCTCTGCCTCCTGAATTCAAGCGATTCTCCTGCCTCGGCCTCCCAAGTAGCTGGGATTACATGCACGTGCCACCGCGCCTGGCTAATTTTTGTATTGTTAGTAGAGACAGGGTATCACCATGTTGGCTGGGCTGGTCTCGAACTCCCGACCTCAGATGATCCACCTGCCTCGGCCTCCCAAAGTGCTGGGATTATAGGCGTGAGCCACTGCACCCAGCTTGAGCCCTCAAAATTCTAAGTGAAAATTATTTGAAACCTATAGTTCTATACCCAGCCAAAGTTCCATAAATGTGTGAGTGTAGAATTAAGGTATTTTCAGAAACATGCAAAGTATCAAAAAATATTCTTCTCAGAAAGTATATGTTCATCTCTTCTGGGTCTTTGTGGTTAGAAAAAAATTTTTAAAAAGTATGTGTTCCACCACAATGAAGTGTAAACCAAGAAAGATGAAGAAAATGATCCAGGAAATAGGAGTTTTAACGCAGAAGGAGATTAAGGAAAATCCCAGGGCAATGGTGAAGGAAGTTCCAGACAACTGCTATGAGAAAGGACAGGCGGCTCCAGGACTGTGGCCCTCAGGAAGAACATGAAATAAGTTATTTAACAGATGTTACATGTAGAAGATTGAGAAGAGTATTGCAGAGCTCTCAGATTGTATGTAAAGATTTGGGTACAAGTTAAAAAGAAACCCCAGTCAATGAAAATTCACAGCAGGAAAAACAAAGACATATACAAAGAAAGGAAATATAATAGTGAACAATATTTTCACAGGCTAATAATGAAAACCTAGAGTATGGATATAATTTTTTTTAAACTCTGGGCCTGTAACTATTGGGAGGATGGGGAGAGAAAGGGTGGAAGGACACTAAAATCCACATTGTCATAATAGAAAGTCAGCCGATGTCTAGATAGATGAATCAAGAGATTATGGCGTTGGCATATTATTTAGAAATATAGAGACAGACTCCAGAACAAGCATTTTGAACACATTTTAAGTGGCCGTCTGGGGTGTGTTTCTGTGTGTGATATTAGATCAAGTCACAAATATGGCCAATTAGGAAACTAAAATTGGAGTTACAAGTATCCTATCCCAGTAAGGCAGGAGTGAGGAGAATCTTTCATGCAGTGAGTTGATAATGGGTAAATGTGACAAACCAAGACATATCAGCTTAAATTTACACTGTCGAATTACGAGATCACCACCAGAAGAATGACATCAGGAAACTGTCAAAAGGGCCAACACCTGTGGGTGTGGGATGGGCTGTTGCTTTTGTTGTGAGCCGTATTGAGTGGGCGTGAGGTAGTTAAACTGAGAGTGCCACAGTGCCAGGCCATGGTGCATCCCCAGGATTCAGGGCGGGCAGACGGCATGTGCTATCGGCAGAAGCCTTCGCCGGTCCGTCACTGGGTGCAGCAGACACCCCACCTGCCCCTCCGTATTCTGGCCCCTCATCATGGATACCCTTGGCAGGGAGGAACCCGGGGAAGTTGCCATCCTGTCTTTTGGGCGTTTGGTTTGCTTGCTTTTCCCTCTGTTGGGGCTGCGCGTGGGTGTGGATTCCCACAGTGGGCCTCTCACTGTGCCTTGAGGTCCTGGACTGGGGCTCCCAAGGTTAAACACAGAGCAGTTTTTTCCATGACAGCACCACCTTTTTACTTTTGGCTGGTTCACCATTGGCAGGGCAAGGCCGCTGGGTAGGGTGTGCAGTTGAGTGCTGGCCACAGGCTCCTGGGCCAGGTGATGGGGGGATTGAATCTGGTAGGGGCTGTGTCCGAGGGAGCAGGGCCTGCTCCTAGAAGTCTGCACAGGGGTACCAGTTGCCAGTCATGGGCCTGGGCTGGGGCCACTCTCCGGGGCACCCACCTACGTCAAAGGTGATTCACTGAAGGGGAGACCTGGATGACCGGGTTCGACAGCCCTTCATTGCGTTTTAATTTAAATGAACAATTCGTAAGCAATGATCGCCTGGTGCTGTCCAGACCCTGAGATGCGTGGTTGGGAAGGCCGACCTCATGTTCCTCCCAGAGCATGCCCAGGGTTCATGTCCCGGGGTCTGCGCTCTGGGCAGTGGTCCCCATGCCTCTGGGGGAAGCCCCCTTCTTCTCACCCAAGCCCCTGCTTTCTTCTCCAAGCTGGACCTCACAAAATGTGAACATCTTCCCCAGCGGGGTGCAGGGGAAGAGCGGGTGAGAGGGTCTGAGTGGTGGCGCCTCTCTCCCTGCAGAAAGTGAATGGCTTGGAGGAAGGCGTGGAGTTCCTGCCAGTCAACAACGTCAAGAAGGTGGAAAAGCATGGCCCGGGGCGCTGGGTGGTGCTGGCAGCCGTGCTGATCGGCCTCCTCTTGGTCTTGCTGGGGATCGGCTTCCTGGTGTGGCATTTGCAGTGTGAGTAAAGCTGGGGCTGGCTCCGGGGAGGACGACAAGGGGTGGCTGTCCCTCTTCCCTCAGCGGACAGACCCAGGGCCACCTACTGAGTACACGAGGATCTCTTGGCCTCTCTGGAACCCTGATGGGGAGTGATGGGAAGCAGTCAGGGCTGACCCATGGCCCCCTCCTGGCATTCATTCCCCATTGTGGACGGCGAGGGACAGGCGGGGGTGGTACCACCTCCCCTGACTGAGCGCCTTCTGGTCTCACACAGACCGGGACGTGCGTGTCCAGAAGGTCTTCAATGGCTACATGAGGATCACAAATGAGAATTTTGTGGATGCCTACGAGAACTCCAACTCCACTGAGTTTGTAAGCCTGGCCAGCAAGGTGAAGGACGCGGTGAGTGCAGCCTGCCCAGAGTCCTGCTGGGCTGTGTGCGCTGGTGTCCCACCTGCTGGGCAGGAGGGACATGCCTCGCCTGTGCTCCCAGGGCCCTGGGATGGGGGTGATCTGCAAAGGGGACCCGGGCCCTGGAGGGGAGGGAGCAGCCCGGGCTTGGGGCAGGGTCATCGCCGCATGGGGCTCACCTTGAGTCTCTGCCCTTCCTCAGCTGAAGCTGCTGTACAGCGGAGTCCCATTCCTGGGCCCCTACCACAAGGAGTCGGCTGTGACGGCCTTCAGGTGGGTGTGGAGAGAAGGCTCAGTGGGATGCACCCCAGACTGGCTGGGAGTAGGATCGGGGTACAGTGTGTGGGGCAGGAAGCGGGAGATGGTGCTGGAGGTCCTGGCCTGGAGAGCCAAGGAGGGTCCTCGCTGTGTCCTCCTGTGCGTTACTTGGCAGCCTGACTCTTCTGCCCCCATGGCAAAGGTGCCTGTAGCTGTTGCTGTGATGAGCTGCCCAAAGGCCTGTGACGTGCTTGGCATGATGCCAGGAACGGCTGTGATTCTTTGTTGTTTTTCCAAATTTGGGTATGGGGGAGTTGGGGTACTCAGGCAGCCTTCAATGAGCCCCCACATTTTCTGTGCTTGAGCAGTTTTTCACGCATACTTTTGTAAAAAAATAGACTTTATTCTCAAAGTGCTTTTTATTTTGCTAGTTCGTTTGAACCCTGGGGAATGCTGTGTGGCAGGTGGCATTCCCAGTTCCTTTCTCAGGTCAGAAAACAGGCTCAGGAAGGTGACACTCGGTGTGTCCTCGCTTGTGGCCAAACTCCAATGGGTTTCCCCTCCTCATTCCTACCCCTGAGCAGCCCCCAGAATCGGTCTGGTTGGGGATGAGACTGTGAGAGCAGAGGGCAAAGGGCAAGGCCTCTTGCTTTGGGGTGGAAAGAGGGATGACACAAGAGGAGCTGGGGAAGGGCCTCTGCAGATGGCAGGCCCAGGTGTGCCCCGAGCCGCCCATGTGTCCTGGAGTCGCTCTGGGCGCACGTGGGGGAAATGGGGCCCAGAGCTCCGCCTCAGGCTCCCGCTCTCTCCCCAGCGAGGGCAGCGTCATCGCCTACTACTGGTCTGAGTTCAGCATCCCGCAGCACCTGGTGGAGGAGGCCGAGCGCGTCATGGCCGAGGAGCGCGTAGTCATGCTGCCCCCGCGGGCGCGCTCCCTGAAGTCCTTTGTGGTCACCTCAGTGGTGGCTTTCCGTGAGTCCGAGGGCCAGGGGTGGGCGTGGGACTGGCCAGCCTTCCATGGAGTGGGGCTGGGCCCTGGACCATTGCAGGGGACCGGCACTCCCAGGGCCCAGTGCCCCAGAGAGAAGACTACGTGCTGGCCGGGCACCTCCCTTTAGATAATAAGGAAGCAGGAATAAGGAAATGGATTGTATCAGGAAATGCTTTATTCTCCTTCTTATTCTTCAGCCACGGACTCCAAAACAGTACAGAGGACCCAGGACAGTAAGTATCGTGCCCGCCTCCTCTTCTGGGTGGGGAAGAGGCGGGATGTGGCCAGATGCCCTTGAGCCAGTGGGGTCCCCAGAAGCATGTCCCTCTGAATGAAGTATATTATGACGATCTTTCCAGGCCCTTCCTCTTCCAGGCCCTTCTGAGAAGCCCCCTTCCTGATTTCCCGAGGCCCAGGGCAGCCTGGGGCGTCTCGAAGGGGCGAGGCCTGAGGTCCACACCCACGGGGTCTCAGGGTCCTCCCCCAGCTCTGCCCAGCCCTGCCCCCACACGTGCCCTCCTTCTTGTCTCCTGCGCAGACAGCTGCAGCTTTGGCCTGCACGCCCGCGGTGTGGAGCTGATGCGCTTCACCACGCCCGGCTTCCCTGACAGCCCCTACCCCGCTCATGCCCGCTGCCAGTGGGCCCTGCGGGGGGACGCCGACTCAGTGCTGAGCCTCACCTTCCGCAGCTTTGACCTTGCGTCCTGCGACGAGCGCGGCAGCGACCTGGTGACGGTGTACAACACCCTGAGCCCCATGGAGCCCCACGCCCTGGTGCAGTGAGTACCCCGGGGGGCGGGTAGGGCTGTGGGAGCTTGGCGGCTGCCCTGTAGGGGGCCAGCTTCTTCAACGATTGGGATACAGTTTATGACTCTTGGCCGCAGGCCACTGCTAAACATCCAGGCAGCAGGAGGCACGTGTGGTGTGATCCTCAGCTGCAGCTCCAGGGGAGTCTGGGAGGTGATTTTTCTCAGCCTTGGCAAAGCAGAGGAAGGCTCTATAGTCCCCAGATACCAAATCCAGCCTGTGCGGCCTGTGCCCTGAACCGCCGGAGAGAAGGCACTGCCCACGGTTGTAAAATGTAGGCTTTATTATTCAGGGATATGAAGGCCAACAGATCAGGAGATGACTGCTCTTGAAAAGACAATTTTGTTGGCGGGCACGGTAGCTCATGCCTGTAATCTCAGCGCTTTGGGAGGCTGAGGCGGGAGGATCTCTTGAGGCCAGGAGTTTGAGACTAGCCTGGGCAACAAGACTCTGCCTCTATAAAAAATAAAAAGCTTAGCTGGGTGTGGTGGCGCATGCCTACTCAGGAGGCTGATGCAGGAGGATCTCCAGCCCAGGAGGTCGAGGCTGCAGTGAGCGGTGATTGCACCACTGCACTCCAGCCTGGGCAACAGAGAAAGAACCTGCCTCAGGCCACATGAGGAAACACCAGGTTGGTCAAGGGGTAACAGGAATGAGGGGAAAATGTAAGCAAGAGCCTTTTATGGGCCGGGCATGGTGGCTCACGCCTGTAAGCCCAGCACTTTGGGAGGCCAAGGCGGCTGGATCACTTGCGGTCAGGAGTTTGAGACCAGTCAAGCCAACCTGGTGAAACCCTGTCTCTACTAAAAATACAAAAATCAGCTGGGTGTGGTGGCGGGCGCCTGTAATCCCAGCTACTCGGGAGGCCAAGGCGGGAGAATCACTTGAACCTGGGAGGCAGAGGTTGCAGTGAGCCGAGATCGTACCACTACACTCCAGCCTGGGCAACAGAGCGAGACTCTGTCTCAAAAAAAAAAAAAAAAAAAAAGAGCCTTTATATGGTTTACACAGAAAAGGCAAGACAAATCAGGGTGAGAGGTTTAGAACTGGCTTGTTTGAATAATTTCAGTAGGCTCCGGGGCATAGGAGCTGTCCCTAGTTCTCTGATACTTGGGCCTGGGGTGGTTAGGGCAAAGAATAGTGGCCCTGAGTGTGAGATCCTTTCGGAGGAGGTGGGGCTGGGCCCCCATAGGTGGGTTTGCATAGGGAAGGTTTGCTTGCAGGTGAGTCCTTTCCTATCTCTAAGCATTGGCCAGCCTTCCACAGTCAGCAGGGCCTCAGATGTCAAAGCACCTGCATTACAGAAAACGGAAAGGCGTGGTTAATGCACCTGTGGGATACCCCACGTCAGGGTGGGGCGTACCTCGCAGAGGTGCTGTGCGTGGTGGGTGAGCCGCCTCTCCTGCACTCGCTGGGCCAGAGCCTTCCGTGGCTGTCTAGGGAAATGAGCTCGGCGGACGTTTCCTGATTAATAATGGGCTAAAATTCAGGCCAAGAACAACCTAGAACCATCTGCCGCCACAGCTTCGTAACCAGGACTTCTTTTCCATCTCTCTAATTTATTAATTGTACAACAAAGAAGTACATGTTCCCAGTGGGAGAAGGAAATCGGCAAGCAAAAGGAAGACTAAAGTCACTCGTCATCTTACTGTCTAGAAATAACCACTGTTAATTCTTTTTCTTTGAGATGGAATCTCGCTCTGTCGCCCAGGCTGGAGTGCAGTGGCAAGATCTCGGCTCACCGCAACCTCCGCCTCCTGGGTTCATGCGATTCTCCTGCTTCATCCTCTCGAGCAGCTGGGATTACAGGCATGCGCCACAACACTCAGCTAATTTTTTTTGTATTTTTAGTAGAGATGGGGTTTTACCATGTTGGTCAGGCTGGTCTCGAACTCCTGACCTCAGGCAATCTGCCTGCCTTGGCCTCCCAAAGTACTGGGATTACAGGCGTGAGCCACAGCACCCGGCCAAATTTTTGATGTCTATTTTCCCAGCCTTTTTTGCTGTGTGTGTGTTAAGAAATAGGATTATCCCGTGCATTCAGTCTCATTACCTGCTTTAACAAATGAAGTATATTATGATGGTCTTTCCAAATCAGTCACCCTCTCTCTCAGGGTTTTTATAAGGTTGCATTGTTTAGAAGGAGGGGACACAATCAGGATGACATGGTTGTGAGCAGTGTGGACTCTGGAGCTTGAATGCCTGAGTTTAAATTCTAAGCCTGCCACTTATTAACCATGAGATGTTGGGCAAGTTACTGAACATCTCTGTGTCTCAGTTTCCTCACCTCTGAGATAGGGGTAATAGTATCTACTTCATAGAGCTGTTAGGAAGATTATGAGTTAATAGATTTAAAAGCACCGAGAACCATGCCAGGCATGTTTTTTTTTTTGAGTCTCCTTGTCACCCAGGCTGGAGTGCAGTGGCGCAATCATAGCTCACTGTAACCTTGAACTCCTGAGGCTCAAGCAGTTCTCTGGCCTTGCCCCGGAGTAGCTGGGACTGCAGGCAAGCGCCACCATGCCCAGCTAGTTTTTTTGATTATGGAGATGAGGCGTTACCCAGGCTGGTCTGAAACTCCTGGCCTCAAGCAATTCTCCTGCCTTGACCTCCCAACAGGCTGGGATTATAGGCCCGACCTTGGCATGTTCTTAATAAATGTTGATTGTTACTACTGCTGTTGTTCTGATTGAGCCCACAGTTTATTTAATAAATCCTCTGTTGTGGGCATGTATTGTGTCTAGGGTGTTGCTCTTTTTTTTTTTTTCTGACAGTCTCGCTGTGTCGCCCAGGCTGGAGTGCGGTGGTGCGATCTCGGCTCACTGCAACCTCCGCCTCCCGGGTTCCGGTGATTCTCCTGCCTCAGCCTCTGGAGTAGCTGGGATTACAGGCGTGCACCGTGATGCCCAGCTAATTTTTGTATCTTTAGTAGAGATGGGATTTCACCATGTTGGCCAGGCCGGTCTCGAACTCCTGACCTCAGGTGATTCACCCGCCTTGGCCTCCCAAAGTGCTGGGTTTATAGGCGTGAGCCACTGCGCCCGGCTGGGTGTTGCTCTTTGATTGTGACAAAGGTGAACTGTTTATCACTAGCGCCTTCCATCAGTGATTGTGACAAAGGTGAACTGTTTATCACTAGCGCCTTCCATCAGTGATTGTGACAAAGGTGAACTGTTTATCACTAGCGCCTTCCATCAGTGATTGTGACAAAGGTGAACTGTTTATCACTAGCGCCTTCCATCAGTGATTGTGTGGGGGAGGGACTTACTTGAATGAAGGTCTTTTTGACTCCATTCTTGGCCTCTGTGGATGGGACCAGAGTTAGGGGTGGGGTCCTCAGGCACCTCTGCCTGAGAGCCTGGTTTGGGTGTGTGAGAAGCTTGGGTTCTGTCTGCTCTTCCTAATGCCCGCCCTCTGCCCCCACAGGTTGTGTGGCACCTACCCTCCCTCCTACAACCTGACCTTCCACTCCTCCCAGAACGTCCTGCTCATCACACTGATAACCAACACTGAGCGGCGGCATCCCGGCTTTGAGGCCACCTTCTTCCAGCTGCCTAGGATGAGCAGTAAGGAAGGGCAGGGCAGGGCGGGACTGCCCTCGGGCCACAGAGAAGGGGAAGGCCTTAGTGGGGGTGACCTGAGCTTAGGAGGCCACAGGCTAGACCCTGTGGTTGGCGAGCTGGCCTAGGTCAGCAGCAGAGGCTGAAGCTTGAGCCAAAGGCATCTGGCCGACCGCCTGGGTCAGGAGCCCTCCTGAAGCTTCGGCACCCGGCACCTGGCCTTCCTGGCTGTGCACCTGCTGTGCAGCATCCACGCGTCCAGGAGGCAGCTCCAGGCCTCAGGCTGCAGAGCCCTCGTCCGCCTGCTCGGCCGGGCAGGTTCCTGATCCTCTTGCTTTCTCCCACCTTCCCTCTCAGGCTGTGGAGGCCGCTTACGTAAAGCCCAGGGGACATTCAACAGCCCCTACTACCCAGGCCACTACCCACCCAACATTGACTGCACATGGAACATTGAGGTAGGAGCTATGGGGCGTGTGAACGTGTGTGTGTGTGAGCATGTATGTGCACGTGTGTGTGTCTCCCTGTGCAGATGTGTGTGGATGTGTGTGCATGTGTTTGCATATGTGTGCATGTGTGTGTGTGTGTGTGTGTGTGCGTATGTGTGTGTGTGAGACAGAGGTGGATGGCAAATGAGGAAGACAGAAGAAAAGGAAGAGGAGATCCTTTATCAACCCCAAAGAGGCAGCCAGATGTCGTGACTCACACCTGTAATCTCAGCACTTTGGGAGACCAAGGCAGGAGGATCACTTGAGGCCAGGAATTCAAGACCAGCCTGTGTAACATAGTGAGACCTCATCTCTACAAAACACTACAAAAATTAGCCAGGCAGGTGATACATGCCTGTAGTCCCAGCTACTCAGGAGGCCGAGGTGGGAGGATCACTTAAACCCAGGAGTTTAAGGCTACAGTAAACTATGACAGTGCCATCGCACTCCAGCCTGGGCAACAGTGAGACCCTGTCTCAAAAAACAACAAAAACAAATAAACAAACCCCAAAGAGACCATGTGTCTTAGGGCCCAGGGTGGGGTCAGGTCTTCCTGCAGTGTCAGGCAGACCCAGACTCTTATCTTAGCTCCTTGTCAGGTGATGGAACGACCTGGGCAGTTGCTGAAGCTCCCTGGGCCTCAGCTTGCCCCTAGGTGAAGTGAGGGTGATAGTGCCTGGGTCTCAGAGGCGCCGTCAGGAAGAAATCAAAGAAGGTGTGTGAGACAAGAGAGTCGCCTGTCCGTGCCGCTCACGCCATCCCAGCCAGAGCTGCCTCCCTTTCCTTTCTTTAAAAATGCCAGGAGGGCCGGGCGCAGTGGCTCACGCCTGTAATCCCAGAACTTTGGGAGGCCAAGGCAGGTGGATCACGAGGTCAGGAGTTCGAGACCAGCCTGGGCAACATTGTGAAACCCTGTCTCTACTAAAAATACAAAAATTAGCCGGGTGTGATGGCGGGCACCTGTAATCCCAGCTGCTCGGGAGACTGAGGCAGGAAAGTAGCTTGAACCCGGGAGTCGGAGGTTGTGGTGAGCTGAGATCTTGCCACTGTACTCCAGTCTGGGTGACAGAGTGAGACTTTGTCTCAAAAAAAAAAAAAAAGAAAAGAGGCTGGGTGTGGTGGCTCGTGCCTGTAATCCCAGCACTTTGGGAGGCCGAGGCGGGCAGATCACCTGAGGTCAGGAGTTTGAGACCAGCCTGACCAACATGGTGAAACCCCATCTCTACTAAAAATACAAAAAAAATTATCTGGGTGTTGTGGCTTGTGACTGTAATCCCAGCTGCTCAGGAGGATGAGGCAGAAGAATGGCGTGAACCCGGGAGGCGGAGGTTGCGGTGAGCTGAGATCTTGCCACTGCACTCCAGCCTGGGCGACAGAGCAAGACTCCATCTCAAAAAACAAACAAACAAACAAACAAACAAACAAACACGCTGGGAGAACTTTGCAACCTGTCTTGGTGATGGAAGGCATACCATCTCTCCCTGGTCCATGCCGCTGCCTCCCTTTGACGTCCTCAGGTTCAGGGAGGAGGGAGGGGAACTGCACATTCCCAGCAGCCTCTCTTCCCTCAGGTGCCCAACAACCAGCATGTGAAGGTGCGCTTCAAATTCTTCTACCTGCTGGAGCCCGGCGTGCCTGCGGGCACCTGCCCCAAGGACTACGTGGAGATCAACGGGGAGAAGTGAGTCCCCGGGGGTATGGGGGCTGCCGGGCCCATGCTGCAGGGGGAGGGGTCCCACCAGACCCCCAGCCCCCCGGCTCCCAGCTGTCCCTCCTCACCTTGTGCCCCGCCCCCCCTCCAGATACTGCGGAGAGAGGTCCCAGTTCGTCGTCACCAGCAACAGCAACAAGATCACAGTTCGCTTCCACTCAGATCAGTCCTACACCGACACCGGCTTCTTAGCTGAATACCTCTCCTACGACTCCAGTGACCGTGAGTGAACATTGTTGGGAGGAGGGCTGGCGGGGGCCTGCACCGCATGTTCTGTCTACCCTGCATCTCGTTAGCATCGTGCTTTGCTGATTCTAAAATGCTGGAGAATGTAAGAGCATCTCACCCCTCCCGTAGCTTTGGGAGGAAAACACGCTACCTTTGATGCATTAATGAAAGCAGGCTGGCTGTGAGCGCTGGCACACACTGTGTCCTTCTGGGTTGCAGTCCCAGCATGAGGTACCTGCGGCTGGAGACGCCCCTCATCTGAGCTTCCCCGGCCATCTGTCCCTCAGGCCCACCTTCACCGTGACTTTGATCATCTGTGCTTGCCTCTGTGGCCTGTTAGCACCGTTAGGATTCACAGTGTAATTCTGAGACACATGAGGAAGTGCCATTGGCTGTATGAGCAGTGGTTTTTCCACATATGCAATGTGTTTTTATTTCAACCCTGCGTCATAGAATAACCTTGGGAAGACATTTAACTATGCTTAGGAATCCAACTTTAAGGTAAAATTCAAGGGCCTGGCTCACCACCAAAAGTACACTTGGATGAACCAACGCCTTTGATCTAAACACTTACCTGTGACCGAAGTGTCCCTGTGCCGAGGCGGTGACAATGGTCTCCTTACAGCTTTGTCATCTGCAAAGTGGTCAGATGCCTCCGGATTTCAGAAACATTGAAATATGGAAAATGTTTAGGGTGAAGGAAGTGCGCGATGCCGCACTACATTTGGATAGGACACATCACATGCATCGGGGACCAGCTGAGCGTCACAGGCGGGGCCTGGCCCTCAGGGGCACCAGGCAGCCCAGCACACAGGGCAGGGCAGGGCAGGGCCTGCGACCAGCTGGCCTCTCTGCAGGGCACCTGGGGCTTCCTGGGCTTCGATCCTCAGTGGTGGGGAGGGACCCTGCCAGCCCAGGTTGGGGTCTGTGGCCAGCCCTCTTCCCACACTAGCTGCGGGTGCAGGAACCCCTTTGTCACAGCTTGGTGGGCCTGGGTAACCCCTGCCCTGGGCCACAGCACCTGCCCTGCTCCTGTGTGTTTGTGGCTGGGAGGTTGGCCCGAGGGAGGGAGCCGGGAGCCAGCGGAGGGAGGTGGGTGGGTGCTGGGGGCCTCAGGCCTGCCTGTGCCCGCAGCATGCCCGGGGCAGTTCACGTGCCGCACGGGGCGGTGTATCCGGAAGGAGCTGCGCTGTGATGGCTGGGCCGACTGCACCGACCACAGCGATGAGCTCAACTGCAGTGAGTCAGGCTGGGAGCCCCGGTCTCCCCACCCTCCTTCCCCACCCTGCCCGCGTCCCATGGCCCTGCTGGCTGACTGCCGAGGCAGAAAGGCCGGAGGTGGTGGGAGTTTTTGCTCTCGGCCCTGTGTAGAGACCTCTGGCCCCACTCCCCACCCTGCCATATGGAGATCTTGGCCTGTGGGGCAGGTGGTGGGGTATCTCGGAAGTGCTGAGGTCAGCTTGGTAGCTGGTGGAGCAGGGCCCCTTGGGCCTCTCTGTAGATCAGAAAGCGGTCCCCAGGTAGCTCTGATCGCCTGGGCATCCTGGGGAAGCAGTGAGTGATGAGGGCCTCACGGCCGACCTCCCCTTACCCCACTCCAGGTTGCGACGCCGGCCACCAGTTCACGTGCAAGAACAAGTTCTGCAAGCCCCTCTTCTGGGTCTGCGACAGTGTGAACGACTGCGGAGACAACAGCGACGAGCAGGGGTGCAGTGAGTGCTGGGGAGGGGCTGCCTGGGCGGGCAGGTGGGCGGGGCGACTGACGGTGGCTCCTGGTGGCTGAGTCCTGGTGCCTCTCCAGGTTGTCCGGCCCAGACCTTCAGGTGTTCCA
The DNA here is from genome assembly GCF_000001405.40 of Homo sapiens. Taxonomy (NCBI): domain Eukaryota; kingdom Metazoa; phylum Chordata; class Mammalia; order Primates; family Hominidae; genus Homo; species Homo sapiens. The sequence goes on from NC_000011.10 coordinate 130,198,538, forward strand.
ATGGGAAGTGCCTCTCGAAAAGCCAGCAGTGCAATGGGAAGGACGACTGTGGGGACGGGTCCGACGAGGCCTCCTGCCCCAAGGGTGAGGCCCGCCCCACCCATCTTCCTGTTGGGGGCCTCGCCCCTGGAGGAGGCTGCCCTGAGCACACGCACATGCAGGACGCCCCGAGTTTAATGAACACAAACCACCTGTGTGTTAAGTGTGATGAGAAAGGGCTCTGGTTGGGGGAGAATTTTCCAGAAGGTGGAGAACCTGTAGCAGGGCAGGGAGGCCAGTGGGCGTGGGTGGGGCAGGCCTGGGTGAGGGGGTAATGTGCAGGGGCCATGAGGCGCCATTGGTGGTTTCTGGCTTCTGGTCGGATGCTGCAGAGGAATTGAGCCCCTCCCTTGTCCTCCTCCTTGAACAGTGAACGTCGTCACTTGTACCAAACACACCTACCGCTGCCTCAATGGGCTCTGCTTGAGCAAGGGCAACCCTGAGTGTGACGGGAAGGAGGACTGTAGCGACGGCTCAGATGAGAAGGACTGCGGTGAGCAGGGCATCCGAGTACGGTTGTGCAGGTTGTTCACTGTGTGAAGTGCCCACCAGAGGGTGCACCTGGAGGTGCAATCCCGCCAGCACCTCACTTAGCAGCTCTGTGCTTGGGTGAGAGGGTGTGTCTCCTGGAGGAAAGGATAGCCTTGCCAGTTGGCATGAAGGCACCACCCCACGGGCTGGCTCTGGTCTTGGAGAAAGGCCCGTACGGCCAGCATCTCAGCGCCTCTGTAGCATGGCGGGGTCGTGGCTGCAGTGCGTTGCTGGCCCCTGCTGTGTAGACACAGCTGTGGAGCAGTAGCCTGGAGAAGAGCGGCCCAGCTCACCCAAGCCCAAGGCAGGGTGTCACCCCTGCCTGCCCATACTTTAATCTGCAGCCTCTGTGTTTCAGAAGCGTTGGCTGGCCACAGGTTAGATTTGAGCACAGCTCCAGCGTTCTGTGACCTCACATCAGCGGTTCATTCGTCCCTCTCAGAGCTGTGGCCTTCAGCATTCAAAGGCGCTTCTCCCTGCTCCATGCTGCCCCCTCCCCTGTGATGTCCCAAATGATGTCAAGTCAGGCAGATGACACCCAAATCAAAGTGAAGCTGACCAGCCAGCCTCCGGAGGCCCTCGCTGCATTTGTGAGGGAGGGGGAGGTGGGAAGATGAGGGTTTGAATTTGGGAGCGGGGAGAAGGAGGGGCATGGTGGAAGGGAGTCTGTGAAGCTCAAAGATAGTTTTGGGGGTCCCTCACGCCCTGGCCACGCCAGCAGTGCTGTGCACGCCAAAAGCTGGCTTCCCCACACAGGGTCTCCTGGCACACACTGCATGTCCCCTTGTGGTTTGATGTCCCCACCTTGACTTGCTGTCCTCTGGTTCTCTGCTCCCTCTGCAGACTGTGGGCTGCGGTCATTCACGAGACAGGCTCGTGTTGTTGGGGGCACGGATGCGGATGAGGGCGAGTGGCCCTGGCAGGTAAGCCTGCATGCTCTGGGCCAGGGCCACATCTGCGGTGCTTCCCTCATCTCTCCCAACTGGCTGGTCTCTGCCGCACACTGCTACATCGATGACAGAGGATTCAGGTGGGTCTCTGGGTGGGCAGCAGGGAGCCTCCTTGCTGGCCCTTTGCATCTGGGAGTAATGCCAGGATAGGTTGGCACCGAGGCAGGGCACTGGAGGGGTGGCCACATGTGTTAGTCCATTCTTGAGTTGCTCTAAAGAAATACCTGAGACTGGGTCATTTATAAAGAAAAGAGTTTATTTGGCCCATGGTTCTGCAGGCTGTATAGGAAGCGTGGTGCCAGCCTCTGCTTCTGGTGAGGGCCTCAGGGAGCTTCCATCCATGGCAGAAGGTGAAGGGGGAGAAGGCACATCACATGGCGAGAACAGGAGCAAGAGAGAGCAGGAGGAGGTCCTAGACTCTTAAGCAGCCAGCCTCGTGTGAACTCAGAACTCACCCATCACCATGGGAAGGGCACCAAAACATTCATGAGGGAACCGTGACCAAAACACCTCCTACCACGCCCCACCTCCAACACTGGGGATCCCATTTCAACATGAGATTTGGAGGGGACAAGCATCCAAACCAAATGAGCAGATATCCCAGGACGGGGCTCAATAACAGTAATAATAAAAACTCACTGTATTCGGTGCCCACTTGCAGCCAAGTGCTGTCTCTGTGCCTCTCCTAAAACCCCCTAGCAAGTTAGGCAGCTTGATTGTATCCTCACTACAGAAAGTAAGGTTCAGAGAAGTAGGGACGTTTGCTTGGGGTGGCACAGCTGTTAAGTGGCAGAGCCAGACTTGAGCACAGGTGTGGTCTCCGGTGAGTCTGCACTGTGCAACTCCTCGGATTGGCCAACGTGAGCTTTGGATTCATGCTCCAGCTCTGGCTTGCCGGTGGCCCTGGGCAGGTTATTCAAACTTCCTAGGCCTTGGGTTCTTCACCAATGATAGTGACAGTATCAGCTCCCACCCTTAGAGTTGTGAGAATTAAATACAATGCTGTACTTGAGACACTTTGCGCTGTGCCTGGCACATAGTAGGTGCTCAGCATGTCATGGCCTCAGACACACAGACAGATGAGAGGCCTGGAAGGGTCACATGGGCATCCCAGGAACAGGGGCACAATGCCGGGCTGCGCTATTTGTGTCTTAGCTCCTGGCCTCTCTGGGCGTCTGGCTGTTGGCTGAAGGAAGGAGTGTTAGGGCCTGGCTTGCCCTGAAGAGGCAGGCACAGGGGCATGGGCCTTCCAGGAGAATCCAACCTCGGAAGAAGGGGATGCGCTTTCTGCTGGCTGCACGCTTTTCCATGGTAGGCAGCTCCAGGAGCAGGTGACCCAAGCCCTCAGCTGCCCTTTGCAGGGAGGAGAGATGGGCCCACAGCAGGAGGGAGGCCTGAGGCACAGATGGAGTGTGCTCAGACCCATGCACAGGGCTTGGGTGATGGAGATGGACAGCAAGAGCCTGTGGGGAGTGGACCCAGTTCCATGGTCCCCAGCTTCGCTGGGTGCTTGACACGTGGCTTTGTCCAGCCTGAGGCTGTCCCTTGTCTCACTGTGTCACCCAGGCTGAAGTTCAGTGGTGCAAATCATAGCTTGCTACAGTCTTGAACTCCTGGGCTTGAGCAATCCTCCTGCTTCAGCCTCCTGAGTAGCTGGGACTACAGGCACATGCCACCATGCCCAGCTAGTTTAAAATTTTTGTAGAGACAGAGCCTTGCTAAGTTGCTAAGCTTGGCCTCCACCTCCTAGGCTGAAGTGATCCTCCCATCTTGGCCTCCCAAAGTGCTGGCATTACAGATGTGAGCCACCATGCCTGGCCCAACCACTTCTCTTTGAGGTTGGCTTTTGTGCCTCTTTGATATGCCCCATTCTTTCCTTTTTTGAGCCATGTCCTTGCTTTCTGGCACTACCAGGTACAATAGGCTCATCTTATGTTTCCCCAGCCCAGCCCTAGGACCAGCCATTTCTCCAAGGAGTCCTTTACTGGGAATGGTATTTAGAGACCAAGGTCCGGTTGCTTAGTGTGTTCATTGTCACCATGGTGTCATGTCCAGGCCCAGTTAGCAGGTAGAGCTAGGAAATGGCTGGGTGCATACTAAGAACTGCCCTGCCATCCTGCACTGCTTCCTCTTTTCCTTTGCTTCGTTGCTTTCTTTCTCATTTCCTTCTCCTTCATCGTGTGTTGATCATCAGTCATGCTTCTGCCAACGAGTAGTGCAATTAATCTTCAACACCCCTGGTTACTATTGACACTAGAGAGACCAACATGAATAGGACTTGGTCCCTGCAGATTGTGGGTCACAGACTTGTAAGGGTAGGGACAAGACATGACACACATGTGCAGTAAGTGCTGTGGCAGGGCTGTGTCCAGGCTCCCTTGGGCCCAGCATGTGGAGTTTAGAATTCTAAACCCATATGCCTGAGGGACTCGGGGGGTGACTGTTGGGAACACTCAACATGGGTGTCTGAACTGAGGGTTGAAGGTGAGGGTGTCTGTCAGCTGGACCAGGTGGCTCAGACCTTCCAGACAAAGGGAGTGTCGTGTGCAGAGGCAGGGAGGTGTGAGATGTGCAGGGGCATGGTGTCAAGGGACCCTGAGCACATGGCTAAGTCATCATGCATTCATTGGGCACTGCCGGGAGGCGGCATCACGTTGCGGTTAAATGCACAGGCTGCCTAGGTTGCAGTTGTGGTCTACAGCGTGTTAGCTATATGATCTTCGGCAAGTTGCCCTCTCTGTGCTTGAGTCCTCATCTTAAAAAGCGCGACCCTACCTCACAGGACTGTTTCAGGGATAAAACAACTTACTGTGTCAGCATCGAGAATTGTGCTTGGGACATCAGAAGTTCTACCTGAGCACTAGCGATTCCCAACTGCACTCCAGCCCCTGGGGTCACCATGGGGGATATCAGTGGCTGCATCTTCACAATCAGTCTCTCAGCTGCTGGTAGACGTGCATGCCTTAAACGTTAGAGGCTGAGTCTGCTGATAGAATCAAATACTGTCAGACTTACCGATTGGCTGGGTTTGCAGACAGGGCTTCATGAAAGCGGGGTCTTGAGCTGAGGTCGCCAGGTGAACAGGGCGGGCTTGGAGGAGGGAGGTGGAAACCCGCAGGCACAGGGCAAAGAGCTGGATGGGGGTGTCCATGCTGAGTGTTGGGGTCACGGGGAATTGAGCTAGAGGGACAAGGATGGCTCTCCCCTCTCCCCCGTCCCATGAGACCCTTTCAGCTACATGCTCGCCTCCTGGGTGTTCCTGAAACATCTCTACTCTCTTCTATCTGCACTGCCACCACCTTGCTCGTCCTAGCTCACTGTAGCCTGGGCAGCTGCAGCACCCTCCCCATCTACTTCCTTCCCTCTCAGGACTCTGGTCTGCACCACTCGAGCCCAGAGGGGCCTTCCCCAAATCTGATCACCCCAATCTCTTGCTTCAGCGCCTGCCACGGCTTGCAGTATAAAGCAGGAACTCCTTCACGACCGACACGGCCACGTTATCTGGCCCCTGCCCGTCCGTGCAGTCTCAGTCTCCAGTGCAGTCCTCATGCCTTCCCCATGCTCAGTGTGAGGGTTTCCTAAATGTGCCTTTGCTCTTTTTTCTTTTTTTTTGAGACCGAGTTTCACTTTTGTTGCCCAGGCTGGAGTGCAATGGCGCGATCTCAGCTCACTGCAACCTCCGCCTCCCGGGTTCAAGCAATTCTCCTGCCTCACCCTCCCGAGTAGCTGGAATTACAGGCATGCGCCACCGTGCCCGGCTAATTTTTTGTACTTTTAGTAGAAACGGGGTTTCACCATGTTAGCCAGGCTGGTCTTGAACTCCTGACCACGGGTGATCTGCCTGCCTTGGCCTCCCAAAGTGCTGGGATTATAAGGTGTGAGCCACCACGCCCGGCCACCTTTGTTCTCTTTAAACATGCGGCATTCTCCACCCCTTCAGGCCATAGGTGGCCAGGCCTACGTGATGTCGAGGCTTGGTTCATAACTCACTTCGTTTCCGGACTCCCAGCCCATCCTCTCCCACAGCTTTCTACCCAGTCCTCTGTGGGACCCTTCTTGTCACGCTGTAATTGGTGGTTTTCATATCTCTCCACATGTACACTGTGAACCTGAAGGCTGGGTCATAGATCGCATCACAGATGCCCAGAGATTGTTGAGTGAATGAGTTGATGGGGGTTGAGTACGTGGCTGGATGTGAGCAGGCTGGGAAACTGTTAGAAAGGTCAGGTCGATTAACAGTGAACGCAGAAGGCCTGGGTGGGTCACAAGACCTCACCTGGCAACTCTTGGGAATTCTTTTAGGCTGTGGAATGGGACGCAAAGGATCTCACAAAAACAGCTTTTGGGAAGTCATTTTCTGGTGGCAACAGATTACAGTGAAGCGAGATTGGGCATAGCCTAGGTTGGAAAACTGAGCTTTGGCCTTGGCGTGCGATTCCGTGGGGAGGTGGCTGTAAGAAAGGCCAGAAGGGGGCCTGGCGCGGTGGCTCATGCCTATAATCCCAGCACTTTGGGAAGCCGAAGCAGGCAGATCACCTGAGGTCAGGAGTTCGAGACCAGCCTGACCAACATGGTGAAACCCCATTTCTACTAAAAATACAAAAATTAGCTGAGCATGGTGGCATGCACCTGCACTCCCAGCTACTTGGGGGCGGCTGAGGTGGGAGGATCGCTTGAGTCTGGGAGGCGGAGGTTGTGGTGAGCCAAGATCATGCCACTACACTCCAGCCTAGGCAACAGAGTAAGACTCCATCTCAAGAAAAAAGAAAGGCCAGAAGGTGATGGACGCTGGGGCAGTGAGAGTGGACCAGGGCTCGGGTGGGCACGCGAGTGATGTGGAGGCAGAGGCTGGGTTTAGTGCTCCGGGGTCGGGGAGGTGCCCTGGCTGGGTGGTTCAGTAACCTTTTGACCTTCCTGAGAGGTGAGGGAAAATGAAGCGGGTCTTCATGCCTTTCTCTTGTCACGCACATTTTCTATTTTAAATATGTATTTTTCCAATGTTTTATTTTGAAATTTTTCAAACCTACAAAAATGTTGTAAATACAATGAATGAAAAAAAGGACTAGTACAGTGAACACTTTTTTTTTTGAGACAGAGTCTCACTCTGTCCCCAGGCTGGAGTGCAGCAGCGTGATCTCAGCTCACTGCAACCTCTGCCTCCCGGCTTCAAGCAATTCTCCTGCCTCAGCCTCCGGAGTAGCTGGGACTACAGGTGTGCGCCACCTTGCCCGGCTAAATTTTTGTATTTTTAGTGGAGATGGGGTTTCACCATGGTGGCCTGCCTGGTCTCGAACTCGTGACCTCGTGATCCCCCCATGCCTTGGCCTCCCAAAGTGCTGGGATTACAGGTGTGAGCCACCGCACCTGGCTGTACAGTGAACACTCTTATACCTTTGATCTACATTCAGTGATTGAGTTAATCACGTTTGCTTTCTCTCTGTTTGCACCCGCATGTATTTTTCAGAACCATTTCCCAACTGGGGGCAGCCATTGTGAGGCTTCCCACCAGGTGCCTCGGCCTGTGTCTCCAAAAACACGGATGCTGTCCCACACTGAGAAATGGCGGCATTGCTTTGTGCTGCGAGCTGACGTACGCGTCATAAATGTCCTCCAATCATGCCCATCATGTTCTTCTTTAGACGTTTTTTTTTTTGTTTTTTTTTTTGAGACGCACTCTTTCGCCCAGTCTGGAGTGCAGTGGCACAATCTAAGCTCACTGCAACCTCCACCTCCCAGGTTCAGGTGATTCTCTTGCCTCAGTCTCCTGAGTAGCTGGAATTACAGGCACCTGCCACCACGCCTGGCTAATTTTTGTATTTTTAGTAGAGACGGGGTTTCACCACGTTGGCCAGGCTGGTCTCAAACTCCCAACCTTGTGATCCTCTCGCCTGGGGCTCCCAAAGTGCTAGGATTACAGGCGTGAGCCACCATGCCCAGCCTTCTTCGGAGCTTTTTAAAAAAAGTCCTAGGATGCAGTCAAGGGTCACGCCTTGTATTTAGTCATTAGGTTTCTTTAACCTCATTTTAATCAAGAACAGTTTCTCTACGCCTTTTATTTTTTGGTTTTTTATGGCATTGACATTTTTGAAAAGTTCGGGCCAGTTATCTTACAGGATGCCTCTCAATTTGGGTTTTCCCGACTGTGTTTTCATGGCTGAGTTAGGAAGCAGTGCGCGGGCGGTGCTGTACCCTACTCGGGGAGAGCAGGATCCCCCGTGAAGGGGGCTGGTCGGGAGAGGAGGCTGAGCACCTGGCTCGGGACGCCCAACAGGTTTCGCCATCATAAAGGGGCTTCCCCCTTGGTCGTGACTACACTGCAGGTGATTCTTTGAATCAGCGTGAGTGTCTCGTTCTCCAGCCGTACTTTGCCCGGCGTCTCAGCGTCCGTTGGTGATTCTCACATTGTTGATTATTATTGTGGCAGGCGCGAATGTGGTTCCTTATTGTACCGTTTCTTCAGCATTTAGGGGCTGCTCACTCTTTCTTTCTTTCTCTTTCTCTTTTCTTTTCTTTTTTTTTTTCTTTTTTGAGGTGGGGTCTCACTGTGTTGCCCAGGCTGGAGTTCAGTGGTGCGATCTTGGCTCACTGCAACCTCTGCCTCCTGGGTTCAAGCAATTCTCCTGCCTCAGCCTCCTGAGTAGCTGGGATTACAGGCACCGGCCACCACACCTGGCTAATTTTTGTGTTTTTGGTAGAGGCGGGGTTTCACCATGCTGGCCAGGCTGGTCTTGAACTCCTAACCTCAGGCGATCCACCCACCTCGGCCTCCCAAAGTGCTTGGATTACAGGAGTGAGCCACCATGCCCGGCCAGGGGCTGCTTTTTCTCTGTAAAGAATAGCTTTCCTTTTCCCTGTATAAATTCTTTTGAAATTACTTTTTAGACTCAGGGTGGACTGATGGATTACCCCACCCTTTTTTATTATTCCACCTGTGTAGTAGTGTCACCCTGTCACCACTTATTTCGGGGTTCTTATTGTCCTAACTTTAGCCAGCTTTGTGAGGCCGCATTGCTGTTTGAGTGCTCGATCGCTTCCTGCAGAAACAAAATGTTCCAGGTTGCTTTATGCTTCCCATTAAGCCCCAGATCCGAAATCAGCTGTTTTTCCAAGGAGCCCTGGTTCCTTTCAATAGAGAAGGATATTTAGACACTAAGTTCTGGGTGCTGCTGGAGACAGTATTGGTTTTAGGCCAGTTTTTAAGAATTGTGAGCCAGCGGGCACGGTGGCTTATGCCTGTAATTCCAGCACTTTGGGAGGCCAAGGTGGGCTGGTCGTTTGAGGTCAGGAGTTTGAGACCAGCTTGGCTAACATGGCGAAACCCCGTTTCCACTAAAAATACAAAAATTAGCCAGGCGTGGCTGCACATGCCTGTAGTCCCAGCTACTCGGGAGGCTGAGGCAGGAGAATCGCTTGAACCTGGTAGGTGCAGGTTACAGTGAACTGAGATCACACCTCTGTACTCCAGCCTGGGTGACAGAGTGAGACTTCGTCTCAAAAAATAATAATAAAATAAAATAAAAACCATGAACCTTTCCTGATATCTCTGATCTCATTCCACATCTGTGCCTCCCTTTCCCCCCAGTGGGGTGGGCTCCGGCTCTGCAGTGCACGTGGAAAAGCTTCTGAATTGCTAAACCTATTCCATAGCCAGCAACAAACTTAGACACAACACAACATATTTTTCAATTCATTTTGGTCTTAGGTTATATAGCACTACATTAAAAATTTATTTGGGCTGGGCGTGGTGGCTCACGCCTGTAATCCCAGCGCTTTGGGAGGCCGAGGCGGGCGGATCACAAGGTCAGGAGATCGAGACCAGCCTGACCACCATGATGAAATCCCGTCTCTATTAAAAATACAAAAATTAGCTGGGTGTGGTGGTGTGCACTTGTAATCCCAGCTACTCAAGAGGCTGAGGCAGGATAATCGCTTGAACTCGGGAGGTGGAGATTGCAGTGAGCCGAGATCATGCCACCACCGCACTCCAGTCTGGGTGACAGAGCGAGACTCAGTCTCAATAAATAAATAAATAAATAAATTATTTGGATTGATTGTTCTGTTATTCCTCCTGTGAAAGATCAGGTTCGTAAGATAACTAATTTTTGGTCATCAGATTAAAAATGTATTCAAGGAAGGGGGGGTAAAGAGTTCAAGAGGGATTTCATACTGCAGCTGGAGGCACTTAGTAGTTTCTAGCTTAGGGTCAAGACCAAGTAAGAGCCGGCCCCATCGTCTTCTCGTAGCAGCAGCTGTGCCTCATCCATGCGGAATCCTCTGGGAACGCGCGGGGCCGCGAGGCCGTGTGCACAGACCCGAGTGACCGCGCAGTCTCATAGCGGCTCTCCCTACCAGGTACTCAGACCCCACGCAGTGGACGGCCTTCCTGGGCTTGCACGACCAGAGCCAGCGCAGCGCCCCTGGGGTGCAGGAGCGCAGGCTCAAGCGCATCATCTCCCACCCCTTCTTCAATGACTTCACCTTCGACTATGACATCGCGCTGCTGGAGCTGGAGAAACCGGCAGAGTACAGCTCCATGGTGCGGCCCATCTGCCTGCCGGACGCCTCCCATGTCTTCCCTGCCGGCAAGGCCATCTGGGTCACGGGCTGGGGACACACCCAGTATGGAGGTAAGCTTCGGGCTGACCTAGGGCTCCGCAGAGGGCCTGGGGCCTTTCTCCAAGGCCGTGTTTCCTCTGCGTGTCCGGTCTCGGGGCGGGGGGCTGCTCCAGTCTCCCTCTGCCTGGCAGAATGAGGCTGTCCAGGGCGGAATGGAGGCCTTTAGTAAAAGGGGCATGGGATTTGCAGCCTGGGCTCAGGATTGAAGGTTGGCTTTGCCCCTAACTAGCTGAGTGACCTTGAGCGAGTTGCTTAAGCTCTGATCCTGTTTGTGCATGCGCGTAATGAAGATAGCAACACCTTAAGCCCAGTGGTGCTTAAGGCACGTGAGGGGGTGGGTATGAAGGGAAGCAGGCCGTTAGTTGGCAAATGCTAGATTGAAAGAATCCACTGTACAGCATATGCTGAACATTTGTCGTCTTTGGAGAGGAAAGAAAACGAACAGGACTTACAGCTCCAATGCCCTCACAGAACCCCGCGGGCATTTGCGGCGCCTTCCCTCCGCCTCTCTGCTTCTTGTTCCCTCACCCCTGCTTGCCACGGCGTCTGTTCCCTCTCAACTCGCCTGGCAGATCTCAGCATGCCCCTGCTTCCTCTAGGTGGCTGCTATTGCCAGAGCCCACTGAGTAGACGCGGATTACCCGTTTGTCAGCCCCGGGCATCTGGGCTGTTCCAGAGTTTTCTAGTCCAATGACCCGTGGGGAGCGTCTCGAATGACGCTGCCCTCGAAGCAGCCCGGCTCTCAGCCCCGTCCTGCCCTCTCCCCAGGCACTGGCGCGCTGATCCTGCAAAAGGGTGAGATCCGCGTCATCAACCAGACCACCTGCGAGAACCTCCTGCCGCAGCAGATCACGCCGCGCATGATGTGCGTGGGCTTCCTCAGCGGCGGCGTGGACTCCTGCCAGGTGGCCCCCGGGGCAGGAGGGCGGCAGGTGGGCCCCGGGAGAGGCGGGACTGGGGACTCACGGCAGGGCTTGTCTCCGCCCAGGGTGATTCCGGGGGACCCCTGTCCAGCGTGGAGGCGGATGGGCGGATCTTCCAGGCCGGTGTGGTGAGCTGGGGAGACGGCTGCGCTCAGAGGAACAAGCCAGGCGTGTACACAAGGCTCCCTCTGTTTCGGGACTGGATCAAAGAGAACACTGGGGTATAGGGGCCGGGGCCACCCAAATGTGTACACCTGCGGGGCCACCCATCGTCCACCCCAGTGTGCACGCCTGCAGGCTGGAGACTGGACCGCTGACTGCACCAGCGCCCCCAGAACATACACTGTGAACTCAATCTCCAGGGCTCCAAATCTGCCTAGAAAACCTCTCGCTTCCTCAGCCTCCAAAGTGGAGCTGGGAGGTAGAAGGGGAGGACACTGGTGGTTCTACTGACCCAACTGGGGGCAAAGGTTTGAAGACACAGCCTCCCCCGCCAGCCCCAAGCTGGGCCGAGGCGCGTTTGTGCATATCTGCCTCCCCTGTCTCTAAGGAGCAGCGGGAACGGAGCTTCGGGGCCTCCTCAGTGAAGGTGGTGGGGCTGCCGGATCTGGGCTGTGGGGCCCTTGGGCCACGCTCTTGAGGAAGCCCAGGCTCGGAGGACCCTGGAAAACAGACGGGTCTGAGACTGAAATTGTTTTACCAGCTCCCAGGGTGGACTTCAGTGTGTGTATTTGTGTAAATGAGTAAAACATTTTATTTCTTTTTAGGTAAGTTTCTTTTCCTACTGGAGTTGCGCCCTCCTTCCTCCTTTTTCCTACTCGATTTGCAAGAAATTGGATGTACATTCCCCTCAGCACAGACCCTGGAGTCAGGCTGGGTGGGGCCCACAGTGCCGTTGCCTTCTCTAGGCCAGCAAGGGGCTGGTTTTGCTCTGACCTGTAGCTTCCAAGACCAGGGGCCTGGTGCCCTGGTAGGAGGGAAATGCGGGTTGGCGAGGTGGGGAGACGAATGTTGGGGGGTGCACTGGTGCCCAGGCCTGGGTCCAACCTAGGAGAGGGAGGAGCTTTGTCAGAGGAAGATGGGCGGAAGCGTGGCTTCGTGTTTGGTGGGGAGGTGGCCCTGTGAGCGCACACACTCACGGGGACAGATGTGAGTCTGGGCATGAAGACCTGGCTGTCTCTCTAGTGAAGGCTGAGCAGATGGGTCCCAAGGCCTTGGAGGAGGGGTGCTGCCTGGCTGAAGGGCACCCACACCTCCCGTGCCATCCCCCTTGATTTTTTCTTTTTTCTTTTTTTTTTTTTTTTGAGTCAGGGTCTTGCTCTGTCACCCAGGCTGGAATGCAGTGACATGATCACAGTTCATTGCAGCCTCAGTCTCCTGGGCTCAAGCTATCCTCCTGCCTCAGCCTCCTGAGCAGCTGGGACTAGAGGTGCCCACCACCACACCTGGCTAAGTTGTTTTTTTTTTTTTGTACAGACAGGGTCTCACTATGTTTCCCAGGCTGGTCTCGAACTCCTGGGCTCAAGTCATCTTCCCGTGTTGGGCTCGTGCTGAGCCACCACCCCCAGCCTCCCTAGATTTTTACTTAATAATTTAAAATATTTCCTCTCTTCTTGCTTGGTGGCCTGAAGGGACAATGTCAACAATCTGGGGAAGGCTTAGGGAGCTTTTGGGGGAACATTTGAGGGCTTCTTGTATGCTGATGCGCCACATGGGCTTGGGGCAGGGAAGAGGACCTGGGGAGAGAAATGACATGGCCAGTGTCAGGAGGGCAGAAGGTAGCCTTGGCTCACCGCTATGTCCCCAGCTCAGGCTTGTCTTAGAACATGCTGATATGTGTTTGTTCAATGAATGGTTTTTTGCCTGCCATGAGTTATGGAAACAAAAAGGAGGAAATATAGTCTGATTGGAGCAACACTGCAAGGCTTCTCGGGGGAGGTGGGGTTTGCAGAGCCTCTTTCATTTTAGCCTGAGTGTTTTACCTCTTTGAGGGAGGGAGTGTTGCCTAGAACCTGTGCGAGAATCTGTCGCATTTTCCTCCCTGGGGAGGGAAAGAACATCTGTTCTTACCAAGGCGTGGGAAGTAGAATGAGGATGATGCTGAAGGACTCCTGTGCGTGTTGTAAATGTCATTCCTTTTCTGCCCTGACATGGTCATTCCCACCTGATCGCATCGGACAGAAGTGCCCAGTGCAGGCGCTGAGGGAATGGTCTATGTTAAATGGAGAGGTTTCACGAGGCCTGTGTGTGGTCTGGTTCCTAAGTGTGCGTGAGCCTGGCAGCCGGGGCTTGGCCGGGGTGTAGACATGGTCATCCATGCAGTGGGATTCAGGGAGGCCAGCCCAGCCCGTGCCACTGCACCACCCTCAGCTCCATTGTGGCTTGACAGTGTTCTGGACTGCTCACTCCCCCCGGTCAGATTCCCACCCGGGGAGCAGGTGAAAACACAGATGGCTAGCCTTCAGGGTCATCCCACCCTTTCCGGGACTCTCTGCGGGAGGTCTGAGTGGGACAAGGCGTGTCGTCTGTGGCAGTGTTTCTCTCGGGAGGTCCCTGGGCAGGAATATCGAGATCTCCTGGGACTCATAGGTGCAGAGTCTCATGCTTCATCCAGACCTCCTGAACAGAAACTGGTGGGCCCGCTGGGTGGGGCCAGTGGCCTGTGCTCTAAGAAGCGTTCCTGTGAGGTTGGAGAGCACCGTTTTAGCAGTGGGTCATGCCATTCCAAGTGCCACGGAGCAGCAGCATCACCAGGTGCTCCATCAGATGCCCAGAGCCGCAGTTTGCAGGACATCCTTGGTCCTTGGGGGATCCTGGAAGCCTGCCTGAATGTCGAGAAGCATTTGAGCCCTGGAAAATCAATCATGTGTCAGTGCCTTTAAAAAGATTATGGGGCCAAATCCTGTGTTACTTCTGGCTGGAGTTCAGAAGATCAGGCTGAGACTCCCTAACTCGCCAGAGGCCAGACACATCACGCAGGCCCCGCGCCGATAGCTCTCACGAAGGCAGAAGTCTCTGGTCCAAGAGCCTGAGCTGACAGGGTGGGAATACCAGCAGGCTAGAGCCATTCCTCCTTGCTGAGGATGGCAGTCCAGACCTGCAGCAGCTGGGAGAGGCCAGAGGCCTGCGTAGGTCTGTGCTGACCAGCCTTTCCTTCACCCAGGTGAAGGCCACAGCAGAGGTCTGAAGGGTTAGAGGAGGAGGTGGGAGGGCCAGGCTGAGGGCCCCACGTGCACAGGTGCCCTGCACAGCAAGCTGGCCTCACAGGGGAAGAGTGCAGGGCTGCTGCTGCGCTCCCACAAGCTCAGTGCAGCCCCGCAGAGGCTTTCCCCTACTGACTAGCTGCTTTCGTTGCTGAGATCTCAAGATGATCCAACTCTCTGATCCCCCTAAACTACCTTGTATCGCCATTGTTTTAGCTAGGAATCATAACCATGTAAATTTAATGAAAATTTAACCCGACTCCTGCTTATTGCAGCCATGGCGAGTCCTACTCAGACCTAGAGTCTGCAGGAATCACAGTGAAATTTGGATTAGGAAGGACTTTATGGAAAAGGAAATGTTTAAAATCCTGGGCCCAGTTTGGAGGTCTCCAGAGACCTAGCGCTACGGACCCCAGGGGCTGAGAAGCTGTTGTTCAGGTCGACGGCCACACGGTGGCGATGTTGCGCCGTTCCAGGGCGTGGGCGCTCACGGGTGGGGCGGGGTGTCCGGGGCCGTCTGTTGTTGGCGGCTGCCTTCTGCTGCTTCCCAGTCACCTTTCAGGTAGTGAAATCGGTGCCTGGCTCAGGGTGAGCATGGAAGAGGCCCCCAGCCTGAAGCCTTTCCTGGCCAGCCCTTCAGCCCCTTTAGTGCCCCCACCTCCAGTCTGTAGCCAGGACCTGCTGGCTCTCTGGCATTGGGGCCTGGAGGACACATTCTCAGGGCAGGCTCTAAAGATGGCTTTTGAGATTGAGGACAGAGTGGTGACCTGTGGATGGCCACCAAGGTGGTGCCATCTCTAAGTGGAACTTTATCCCATGAGACACAACCGGCCCCAGAGACAACTGTGCAGGGCCATTTACCACACGTGGGCATGTCTGTCCATACACATGTACACAGGTATTCTGGGGGCAGAGGGGTGTGTACGTGCGTGCGTGTGCTTGCGTGTGTGTGCGCGTGTGTGTGTGTGTTGGGGATTGTGCAGTCCTGGAATAGACGGATTAGAATGTGCCACAAGAACATGACCTGGCTGCTACACCAGACGCCGTCTCCCTCCCCAGGAGCACCTGAGGGGCCTACAGACCCAAAGTTAGGTGCCTGTGACCAAACATTGCTTTTCACTTTTCATCAGTTTTGCAGGTTTGAGGCGTGTGTGTGTATGTGTGTGCATGTATGTGTGTATGTGTGTGCATGTATGTGTGTATGTGGGTGTAGGCGCGTGTGTGCACGTGTGCGTGCATGCATGTATGTGCGTGCATGTGTGTATGTGTGGTGTGTGTGTGCACATGCGTGCATGTGTTGCCCACCTGCAACTGCACGTTAGGGGTGTGTGTGTGCATAGTGTATGTGCGTGTGTGTGTGGTGTGTGTGCGTGCATGTGTGTATTTGTGTGTGTTGCTCACCTGCAATCACAGGTGAGGAAAATTGGATCTTCAGCCAGTGATTCTCAGATACTTGAATTTCTTGGAGCAGTGAGCTGAAAGGAGAAACACGGTCCAGCACATCCAGCGCTTATGAAGATCGCCTCCCGAGTGCTCTAAGGGCTTTCTGAGTCGTATTTCATTTCAACCTCACACAGCCCCATGGTCTTTCCCACTTTATAGATAGAACACCAAGGCACCAAAAATCTGAATAACCTGCCCAAAGGCCCCACACTCAGGAAATATGGTATTGAATGTCAGTGATTTGGCTCCAGAGCCAGCACTGTGCTCTATCATATCCATCTATATCACGCATATATACATCTATCTATCACATACATATCAGCACTGTGCTCTATCATACACATCCACACCGTGTACTATATATCAGTAGCATACTGTCACCAGCATTTCATAAAGAAAGGAGATCTTAACATGCTAACTGCAGGTAGGTCATACTGTTGGTATAAAAGACAGTCTTGTATTGCCAGGCACGGTGGCTCATGCCTGTAATACCAGCACTCTGCGAGGCCGAGGCAGGTGGATTGTTTGAGTCTAGAAGTTCGAGACCAGACCTGGGCAACATAGACATTTTTACCTGTCCGGTAAAAATGCAAAAAATTAGCCAGGCATGGTGGCGGGCTCCTGTAATCCCAGCCACTTGGGAGACTGAGGTGGGAGAATCACCTGAACCCAGGAGGTTGAGGCTGCAGGGAGCTGAGATTGCGCCACTCCTGCACTCCAGCCTGGGCAAACAGTGAGACCCTGTCTCAAAAAAGGAAAAAAAAGTATTTTAAATGCTTTAATTTTTGTGCAAACACTTGAAACTGTCTCAGCAGCAAATATGTGTGGATCAGCATTTGGGAATTGTCCTCCAATGAGTCCTCTTTCTTTTGGGAATCCTGACAAACCTTCCAGAGACCTTCAGGTTGTGAGATGTTCCTGCCAGAAGACCCATTTTCCAGGCTAGGGGTTTGCTCTAGGCTGGTCATGCACTTGTCTTCCATCTGCATTGCCACCCTCGATGGCATTGCTTCTTGGGTTCCTGGAGTCCACTCAGCCAGACGGAAGGTGATTTTCATTAGCCACGATGCCACCTCAATTTGCTCAGTGAGGATGGTTGATGGGGACAGGGAAGGGAGTAGAGTGTTGGTTGAAGGAGGTGAGGACAACAGCTATCTCAGGCCAGGCCACCGGGCCATTCCTCAGGGTGACAATCAGGAACGGAACTTGGAAAGGCCCCAAACACCACTAAGAATGATGAGACCAAACCCCAAAGAAGGAATGGGAGTATTTCTCCCCTGGTTTCATATCTTGGGACTGCCTAGAAGATGGTTCAAGCTGCTGTCCCATGAGATGACCAGCACAGCGTTGACAATGGGGGAAGACATCAGGGTGGGCATCCATTAGGGGTGTAGGGGGCACAGGTGCAACCCACAGCCAGGAGGTGCCTGCAGAGGGGCTAGCCTGGCTCTACGCCAGGGCTTGGCTGGCCACCAAGGAGAAGCCTGTGTATAGACACCTTCCCATGCAGGCTGTTCCCTGCCCTGCAAGCTGATGCGTATATGACACGAATTGCTTCTGTGACCTGATATGCCTACAGCGAGGACACTATATTTTGATAAAGAGATCCTCTTAGGATTTCAGCGGGCTTGACTATCCTTTTCCTATTTCTCTCCTTTTCTCCTCCAGAGGAATGTCTCCTCCCAAGTTCCACTGTCCTGTGCCTGCAACTCGGAGACCATGTGTTCATTCTACCCTTTCCACTCACTCCCATCGTTTCCTAAAAAGCCACTGTCCAGAGCTGCTTGCGGGTATGGGTGGGACTCAGCTCCATTGTCTGTTTATTCCATAGTCTCAGCACCTTCCAGCGGGAGGGATGTGTGTGTTTTCCTAGGATGGAAACTTAGCTCTCCCTTGCCCTTGGCTTGGCTGCAGGCTCCCTCCCCGACGCGCTGCTTTCACCTTGGAGGTTATCACTGTTCCCCTGCCCACACCCCTGGATCAAGAATAACCCAGCCTCTGCGCCAGACCCTCTGGAACTTCATATGGTCTCGTTTAACTCAATAGGGAAAGAGCTCAACAGGGAAATTCTACCACCCTCAGCCTGTGTGCTTTTTCCACAGAGCTCTGAGGTTGCAGTGTGAGGGAGGGGGTCGAGGGACCAGGCCCACCCAGGAAGGGTGGAGAAGATCTCAGTCTTCATGCAGAAGGACATTCGGAGGACAGCTCCCAGAATACACTGGGTATCTGACACCTCTTTGCAGCTCATAATCCAATTCCCATCCAAATCCCAATGAAGACAAATAGGACAGAAGAAATGTATAGGCATAAACTAGGAAAAAAATGAAATCTGTTTGACACATGTGACTCTGTTGCAAAAGAATGGGTAACAAGCTTACTTGAATGAGCCAAGGGAAAGGATGAGAGAAGCAGCCGCTCATTAATTCAACAAATCAGGCATCTGTGACTGCGGAAAGGGCACCCGGTGTAGGCTGGGGGCATCGGGCCCCCAGATGAGGCAGACACTTGGGAAACAAGGTCCTGGGCACGTCTGGGCGGGCAGACAGGTCACATTCCTGGCAGGGTCAGGTCACGGGGTCTGGCCGACCAGCCTGAGCCGAGCACAGGAAAGGTGCCTCTCTGGGGCCTTCTGGGGTGTGTGCGGGGACCTTTATGACCCTCCAAGGCTCAGTGGAGTTGCTGTTTCCCAGGAAAGCAGCTGCCTGAGGGACATCCTTTCAGAACTGGAACCTCACGGTTGGAAAGAACCTGAAATTCAAGGTGACCTACGCCAGATGCCCACGAGGCATTTTAATCCGTCCTAATGTGGGAGCACGGACAGGCCCGTCCAGCCTGGGACCCCACTGTGCTTCCACCCCGTCTTTGTGCCCCTGACCTTGCCAAGTGGGATGCCAAGCGGCCTCTTCCTGTCCCCTGCGCTGGATGTGAGAGCTGGAGAGGCCCTGGAAGAGTGACTGCTCCAATCTGTATGTCAAAGAAGTGTCAGGGACTCTGGCGGCGTGGATGCATCCTCTCACTTCACCTCTCACTTCAGCGTCATCACAGTCCTCGGGAGTGGGTTCTGTCATTCCCAGTTATAGGAGAGGACGCTGTGGCCGTGCAGATAGAGAGCCTGCTGCTCACGGTTCCTCAGTAGGGGAAGAGAAGGGTGCACCTGGGCCACTGGGTCCACCCGCACAGCCTCCTGCAGCCAATGCATGCTCCACCTGGGGCTTTAGGTGCTGGAGCCAGGACCTCTCTCGCCAGGTCATAAACTCACTGGCTTAGGCACACGTGGAAAAGGCCAAAACAGACTTTCGCTGGCAGGACTCCAACCCGGCTCCATTAGCATTTCAAAATCTTCCCCATGTCCTTTCTTTCCTTGGCCACCCCCAGCAGCCCCTGGGCATTTCCCTCTCTAAGGGGCCAAACCATCTGCTTCGTCTTACTCCTCTGCCTGGGGCAGTGTGGACTGGAGGGAGAATATGTTTCCTTGAGGTCTTGGCCGTGGGCACTAGAACAACATGTTCTGTCCTCTGATTCAGGAGGATCAGCCTGTGACCCTCGTCTTCCTCCCTGAGCAGTTCAGTTCTGCTGAAGGCTGCTTGGCCTTGCGGGAAGCTTAAGCAAAGGGAACAGAGGCCAGGGGTGATGGGGCGGGCCTCGGACTGGAGCCTAGAGGGGAAGGGCTGGAGAGAGATTCTGCAGGGCCGGCCCCTGTGCCCAGATTTTCCAGTCCCAAAGAAGACCCACAAACTGGACCTGTGTGGGGGGCACAGAAATATTCCTGCATCATCAGTAACAAGGATTTTCACTGGGACCTGGGGACATGTAGCAAGACCCAAGCTGAAAATATAATTCCATTTTGTTCTAATTCAAAGGCTTCTGAAAAACGAATGAGTGGTTCACAGCTTGAACTATTTTGTTGGGTATTTATTTTAAACAAAAGACATTTAATTTTTTTTTTTTCTTTTCTGAGATGGAGTCTTGCTCTGTTGCCCAGGCTGGAGTGCAATGGCGTGATCTTGACTCAATGCAACCTCTGCCTCCCCAGTTCAAGTGATTCTCTCACCTCAGCCTCTCGAGTAGCTGGGATCACAGGTGCCTGCTACCATGCCTGGCTAATTTTTGTATTTTTATGAGAGATAGGGTTTCGCCATGTTGGCCAGGCTGGTCTCAAACTCCTGACCTCAGGTGATCCACCCGCCTTGGCCTCCCAAAGTGCTGAGATTACAGGCGTGAGCCACCACGCCCAGCCTGGTTTAGTTTTTAAAATAATGTTTTGTAAGTTTGGGTTCAGTAAAGATGATTTGGGCCTGGTTCAGTGTCCGCCCTGGGACTCACTGCAGTGAGGGCAGCAGGGAACGCACAGTGTGTTTCAGCGGGGCCAGCTGGGCAGCAGGGCAGGATGGATGTGTGGTTCAGAAGGCAGCTTTGGGCAGCCCACCTCTCTCCACAAGCCCCTGCCCACACGGTTTATGGTGCGTCTTGGTGAAGCATAGACGTCGAACACCTGTGTTTCCATGAGTAGAAACATCAGGCCTGGAGGCCTCAGATTTGGACACCGCTGTGAAGGTGGCGTTCCAGGGGCTGGCCGGGCTACCTTCCTGTGCCCTGACCCTCACCCCGGGTGTTTTGGGCATACAGTGGGGAACTCACTGTGTCTTGGAGAGGCTGGCAGACACCTAAAGTCCCACAAGCGTTTCCTGAACACTTGACCAAAACGGTCCATCTCTGCACACATGGAGCAGGCCTCACTTCTGTGACCTTGGAGAGTGGTAAGGGCTGGAGCCACACAGGAGTCCCTGGCACATTCCCGGGTTGGAGCAGGTTTATGGGAGGCCAAGGGAATTTGGGAACATGGTCACTACTATGGGGAACCAAGTCCTCTCTTTGCTGTCTTCTCAGGGGTATAGAGATGCTCCTCAGATCACCTCTGCCAGAGCTTGGATTTCTTATTTAATGTACCTGGAAGCCTTCACATCTATAAAGCTTTTCTTCTCCAAGGTTAAATAATGCTGCTAACCTGCTATGTTCATATTAAGGCCTAGGGAAGTGGATGAAGACTTGGGGTGGGGCTTGCTAAGGTCCTGCAGAGCTGGCACGCACCACTTTCGGTACGGGGGCACCAAGGAGCACCCCGAGCCGTGAAGGGCTGGACTTCTCTGTGAACAGTTCATAATTGGCGTTCCTTCATTTCCGAAAATGCCCAAGGGAGGGAGGAAGTATATTGAGGCTCATATCGTACTTGGGGTGTTTAACTGTAACCTGATTACCAGACTTGCATTCCTGTGGACCCATTTCCAGTAGCTTCACTTTTTTTTTTTTTTTTTTTTTTTTTTTGAGACAGAGTCTCTCTCTGTCACCCAGGCTGGAGTGCAGTGGCGCGATCTTGGCTCACTACAAGCTCCGCCTCCCGGGTTCACGCCATTCTCCTGCCTCAGCCTCCCGAGTAGCTGGGACTACAGGCGCCCGCCACCACGCCCGGCTGATTTTTTGTACTTTTAGTAGAGACGGGGTTTCACCGTGTTAGCCAGGATGGTCTCGATCTCCTGACCTCGTGATCCACCCGCCTTGGCCTCCCAAAGTGCTGGGATTACAGGCGTGAGCCACTGCACCCGGCCAGTAGCTTCACCCTTCTGTCTCCCCATGTGTTCATCTAGAGGGTACTCACTGGCGTCTGTTTGCCAGGCCTTGTTCTAGGAACCAGGAGTACCGCTGGGATCCTCCGAATAACGCCTGGAGGGCAGCGAGGTGCAGGGAGGGGAAGGGACGCGCATGGCAAGCTCCTGCCTCGCATCCCCACGCACCGAGAGCCCTCCTGCCTGCACGTCTACCACAGGCGGAAGGAGGGAACCTTCCAGAGGCAGAGGGTACGGGCTGAGTGGTTTGTAAACATTTCATCAGCACTCAGCCACTGAAGGATGAGTTTTTGGCTCTGGAAAGGTAAGCGTGTTTCTTACCACATGTTCCTGTCACTCTGGATCCACATGACCTGGAACCTGCCATGGCCACCCAGATGCTTTTCATCCTTCTTAAGATGCGTGAGCCTCCTCTGTTTTGGACACTGGCTATTCTTGTAACGGCACCGTGGACAACTTCTGGGAAGCATGCACCGAACCTTAGTGTCTCTGAGCACAGGTTACAGAGCTGCTCACTCCCCGCACCTACAGGTGGCCTCTTGGGATGCCGTGTGGGGAGAACCAGGGACGAGGCCCACACTCCGAGGTTCTGGAGCTTGGGCGCTGCATGCTGTGTGGGTGGCAGCTGGTTCCCCTGGAGACTGAGGGCTGCTGGGCAGAGCCGAGCTGCTTGGTGGTTTCCCTGCTCTTGGCTCTGCTCATCCCTCTGCCCCACTCCCTACCTACGCTTTCCTCTGGAAGAGGAACTGGAAAGTGCGCTGATGCACACGAGAGGTGGGGCAAACCGATGACTGTGCCTGGAACGGTCCAGGTGGAGAGACAATCAGCAAATTGGGGCAATTCCTTCCACACCTGATGCCTGTTAACAGAGGCCAGTCAGGGGCTGGCTGCCACGGCAGGCTCCACGGGGAGCACGGCGATTTGTGTGTGTGGAAGGGCTCTTGTTGTCATGTACCTCATGGGTGGAGGCACAGGGCCCTACTGTCCAATCCCACCAGGGTCTGGGAGAAGGCATGTGGGTGGGCATGACTGGTGGTTACAGAGCATTCCGATGACATGGGGAGGACTAGGGGTCCAAAGGTTCTCTCTTACTCAACTGGGGAGGCCTCTCCTTCAGTTTTCCCTACTCTCCATTGAGATAAGTTGTACACGTCTGTGTGTCTGTGTAGATACATGTGCATGTATTGGCGTACTTACAAAGCACAACGTAAAGTTAGAACTAACTCTTCCTCCAAAGCTAGTCTGTGCCAGTGTTTCTCTTGAGACCACAAGGAAATCCCTGCCGTGTGTGACAGCCTGTATCTATGTAGGGGACTGGAATGCTCATAGGCAAGTGGCGGGGGCGGGGTTCGTACTGGCACATATCGGGTACTATCGGATGAATCAATGCAAATGCACAATGCCCCTGTTTAAATCTCATCCCCTTCCCAGGCCTTCTCCAGGGCAGTTAAACGTTCTTATGAAAGCCATTTCATATCTACTGAATGAACACATGGCACATGCCCGTGAAGCACATCTGCACGCATAGGCATTCTGCGTCCTACACGCAGGAGTAGCTGTGTAGTCAGCCAGACTCTCTGTGGGAAAGACGTGTCTCGGGATCTGACAGGTACAGGTCTTTTAAATGGCATTTTAAATTCCCACAGATGCCAACAATTTGGATATGGAGAATGAGCTCTTTTAAAAATTAAAATCTATAAGTGCCGCAAGCACCTGCCTCTAGCTCACAGCCACAGGGTCCTTGGCTTGTGTTGGGGAAACAAGCTTCGACTTTGTCCAGGAAAAGCCATCTTTTTTTGAGCCAGAGTTTTGCTCTTGTTGCCCAGGCTGGAGTGCAGTGGCGCAATCTCGGATCACTGGAACCTCCGCCTCCTGGGTTCATGCGATTCTCCTGCCTCAGCCTCCCCAGTAGGTGGGATTACAGGCGCCCGCCACCACGCCCGGCTATTTTTTTGTACTTTTAGTAAAGTTGGGGTTTTACCACGTTGGCCAGGCTGGTCTCAAAGTCCTGACCTCAGGTGATCCACCCACCTCAGCCTCCCAAAGTGCTGGGATTAGCGACGCGGGGAATCTCTCCTTTAGCCTAATTCTGAAGCCCAACTCTTGAACTTGGCCTAATTCTTGCTCCATTTTCTCTCAGACAGTTCCCTCTCAAAGAAACCAACAACAGAAAAGGGAGGTTGCCTAAGCGTTTAAGGCCACACACTTGGTGTTGCTACAGCTTAGAATGCAGCAGCTATTCTCTACGGTGCACAGAGGACACCTGGACTGAAGATCAGGTCCGCCTCTCCCCACTCTCCCCACCTACCACGTCTCCGTCAGCCCCGATGTCACGAACACACATCCCTTCCTCTCCAGCCCTACTCCCATCCCCTTCTTCTGGGTTCTTACCCGAAGTTCTGTTGTAACTCAGGGGTC
This sequence comes from Homo sapiens, assembly GCF_000001405.40. Lineage (NCBI taxonomy): Eukaryota > Metazoa > Chordata > Mammalia > Primates > Hominidae > Homo > Homo sapiens. The sequence continues at coordinate 130,222,282 of NC_000011.10, forward strand.
TCAGTTAAGTCCGTATGCATCCCTTTAATCTGCTTTTAATATTTCTAGAGAGGGCTCTGATGTTTCTGTGCTCGAAAATGTGAGACGATTCTCGATTTCCTACCAAATATAGCTGCAGTTCTTCAGGCCTTCTCTGACCTGGTGCTAGTCTAGTTTACAAGGTTTTCTTCCACTCTTTCCCTTCAGGGATCCTGCAAGGCTCAGCAAGCTACACTCCTTCTGTTCCCTCAACCTCTGAGGCTGCGTATTGCTTCCCGGAGTCATCTCCTTCTCCGTCACTTGTCTGTACAAATCCTACATCTCTTCCCAAGGAAGACCCAGCTCAAGTGGTGCCTCTGCCATGCTACCTTCCCTCACCCCTCCAGCCAGGTCTCCCACTTCTTCAAATTTCCAAAGTATACTTTTTGGTGTTTCTCTCAGGGCAATCAGTTATTTCTATCAGTTGTATTTCTGTAATTCTTCTTTACTTCTGCTTACTTCCATAAGTTCCTTAAGGGCAGAGACTTCATTCATTCAAACAACCTTGGGCCTGGGGACCCCCTGGTACAAGAAACAGATACGGTCACTGTCCTAGTGGAACTTGATGTAATGGGGTTTAGTCCAGCTGTTTAGTCAGTTACATTAGTAATAGAAGCGCAGGATGTTATGTGAACATAATACAAAGTCTCAACCTAGCAGGAAAGGCTCTGGGAGAGCTTCCTTAAGAAGGGATACTTAATATGAACTTAATGGATGAGGAAACCAGGTGAAGGGGAGAAAAACGGCAGATGCCAGTGTCCTAAAGAACAGTTCGGGGAAAGTCTAGCCAGGCTGATAGCAGTTGTTCTGAGGATTAAAGTTAGTATTAATTCATAACTCCTACAGCCTATTTCAGACCCTCATTTAAAAACGAGTGAGACTCTGAGACATTTGCTGAAGTGAGAGTTGAGGCTAATCATCAGGCAGTCTGATGAAAATAATTCTAGGTATTCTGTCCTAAAGTTCCCGGGTAAGTACCTGTAAGCACTGTCGTACATGGAGCTTATGACCACTTCTTGGCAACATTTAATCATTCCTTTGACAGTTTTTGAGTTCTCTGTACCAGGTACTACAGAGGACACACAAATAGAAGGCATATTCCCTGATCTCAAGAATGTAGTCAGGTGAGGGAGACACGCGAGCGTGATGCCAGTCTTGTAATCAACAGATGAGGCTTCTGAAGTGGTCACAACATACGAGGCATGGTTCTAAGCATTTTACATGTAACTCACTCGATTCTCACAACTCCTCTGAGGTAGATTTTGCAAGGCTGTGTGGCTGAGAAGTGGTTTGGTAAAGGCAAACAAAATCTACTGTGGGAATCTACAGGAGTGAGTCAACCTCAAACCGAGGCAGGTAGAAGGGGAGTGTGAGGGCTGAGGGGCGGGTTCCGGGGGAGTGGGGGGCAGGAGGCTTTCGGCAGGGCAGTGGCCTGATTAGAAAGATGACTGCAGTAGCAATGCCAAGGATGGACTGGAAGGAAGCCCAGCTGAAGGGAGGGAATGGCAGCAAGGAGGCTGGTGCTGTTATTAGGCCAGAAACAACACAGGCTCGGATGAAGCTAGTAGCAGCAGGGATGAATAATGGAAAATGTTATCAACAGGGCTGTGAAGGATAACCCTGTGGAGGTATTAAATAGATGACAGCACATGAGAAAAAATCGACCAGTGCACATCTTTAGAAAATGGTCACGAGCACTTCCTTTCACACCGTAAGAAAAAGTTACAATGGCTCTCCTTTAAGGTAATTTAGACACAGCCACCTAGAGAATTCACATTTCCCTCCAGCATTACCCTCCCTCAAAGGTTTCACAAAGTGCCAATGCACAAAAGAACCCCAATTCCTGTTCTTCCAGGAACTGTGTTTGGGAGAGAGCCGAGTCCACAGAGACTCCACCAAGTCAATACCTCTTGAGACTCCAGCCCTGTTCACGGCCTGATTTCTCAGTGGATCTTTCTCCCTGTAATGGGCAGGAAGGGCACCGTTTACGTGGATCACACATCTGTTAGTACTTTTCCTGTTTATCTTACTGGGTTTCTCAAGATCAAATAGCTAAAAAGTGCTAGCAGTTTATAAACCGTAAAACAAAATGAAAAGGATTGTTAGGCTAGGCACGGTGGCTCACGCCTGTAGTCCCAGCACTTTGGGAGGCCGAGGTGGGTGGATCACGAGGTCAGGAGATGGAGACTCTCCTGGCTAACATAGTGAAACACCATCTCTACTAAAAATACAAAAAATTAGCCGGGTGTGGTGGCGGGCGCCTGTAGTCCCAGCTACTTGGGAGGCTGAGGCAGGAGAATCGCTTGAACCCAGGAGGCGGACGTTGCAGTGAGCTGAGATCGCACCACTGCACTCCAGGCTGGGCAACAGTGAGACTCCACCTCAAAAAAAAAAGAACAGAAAAGGACTGTTTACTAATTTTGTAAATCATCTGCACTCAACAAAGAATTCTGTTCCTGGATGAAAGTTAGGTACACAGTTCCTACTATATGTACTGTTGTTGAACTGTCAGCATTTCTGTCTGAGCCCCAATTTAAAACGGGCTACAGAACATTTATTTGGTGTAATATTTTCTTGTTATGTCCTAAGGCAACTTTGTCAACAGAGGGTCTCTAGATGTCAAGAATCATCAAAGGCCAGGTCATTTGAGCTGGCCCTTTACTAGGGGTGTGTGTGGGGTACTGAGCCTAACTTTCAGGATCTCTGGTAAATGAGACACTCACTAAATGACTTCCAGCCAAAGGCAGCCAGAAATGTTAGTCATGGGAAAAATTAGGCAGGTGTGGAAGAAAGGGCATGGGATGAAGTGAGGAAGCCTTGCAAAACGATGCTAAAGCTAGCTCCACTTTCTCATCTACAAAACAGATAGGTGTAAAAATTTTAATTTTGCAGAAAAATTCAAGTAAATGAATTGGAATTTAAGAAAACAACAAAACAGCTTTCCCTTTGTCCATAAAGGTGTTCAAACCCTAGTTATAAATCTATTTGCTCAAGAGGACTGACTTTCTAGATTGAATATGCCCTGTGTTAGTTTTTCTATCTGTATAGAAGTTAACTCCCCAAAAAAGAATTACATTAAATTTGGGGGTTTGATGTTGTTACATGCAAGTTCTGCCCCTTTAAACCTTTGGTATGTTTGTAGATTTTAACTTTCTCAGTTTAGTTCTTAGAACCAAAATTCCTGTTCAAAAGAGAAAAAGCCCAAACTTTTTTTTTGCTCTATCAGTTGAGATACACATCTTTGGTCATTACTTTTAGTATCATTCTCTGAAAGGAATCTTTCTGGTACGTAATTTATATGCAAGTATGCAAAGCCAACTGACAGGTTCTCACTCTGTCACCCAGGCTGGAGTGCGGTGGTGCAATCTCAGCTCACTGCAGGTCTTGACCTTCCAGGTTCAAGCAATTCTCCCACCTCAGCCTCTTGAGTAGCTGGGACTACAGGTGCGTGTCACCAGGCCCAGCTTTTTTTTTTTTTTTTTTTTTTTTTGGGTAGAGACGTCTCCCTATGTTGTCCAGGCTGGTCTTGAACTCCTGGGCTCAAGTGATCCTCCTCCCTCAGCCTTCCAAAGTGCTGGGATTACAGGTGTGGGCCACCATGGCTGGCAAGGATATATCTGTTTTGAATTCTTCATTCTGCACTTATATACATCATCTGTGGTCAAGGCTACTGAAGAACCCAACATTTTCTGACTTTGAATGATTTGGTAAATTGTTAAAAATGCTCGACACACTGGAATGAAAGAGTGTGCTTCTTAAAATTTACCCTCTTCCTCTCTGAACTTAATTCTAAAATGATCCAGGTAGCTTGAGGTCAATAAAATAATTTTATTTGCCTGTTACTGTCATTCTAAAGACCGGTATTGTCAAAATCCACATCAGTGAATCTAAAGTTAGAAAACTTTTCCTTCCTCAGGATCTCATAGATTCATACCTATGTAATGAGCTGTTTTCCCCTGCTAGGTACCCACTTTTTACTCCTTGGTTGTAAGATATCATTGAAATGGCACCAATTGGTCTCTAGTCAATAAAATGTGACTTTATAAAGAATCAGAGCAACTTTGAAAGATGCAACCCACCCATTAGTACCCAGCTTTACACAAGAACCTGATTCAATAGCTCTAGGATTGGATGATGTCCTCTAACTAGCTGCCTTTATACTCTCCTTCCAAGTTGGGGTATGGTGTTTGTGAGATCTTTGCACTTAAGCTCTACTTCACCAAAAATTGACATGTGCTGTCTAATATAACCCTCTCTACTCTGTGCACTCTAAGTAGATAATTATTTAAGTAATGAATTACTCTGATGCCTTTTCTCACTCACATGACCGCAGGCAACACTGCCGCCCAGCAAACAATAAATAACAACAGCAGGAAGTTTTATTCCATAAAGCATAAGATATTTTAATGAGAAAACGAAAACAAAATCAAACCTTAGTCTCATGTTTCTATCTAAAGACACTCAAAACTAGTTTTTCCCTGCCCATCCCTTTCCTAACTGCAACTTTATGTGTGACCATGTAATAAAGGCCAGTTTAAAGATTTTTTTTTTAAAAAAAGTTTAAACCTTTTTTAAAAAGATTAAACAATCAGGCTAGCAAAAAGGTACTCAATACATATTTTCCTTATATCAAACAAGCTAATTTCAGTACAATATAACTATACAGAATATATACAATACACATGTTCACAAAGCAAACACTATAGGCTCAGAACAGATTTGAAAAAACATGATATTCACATTGATTACAATAACCCTAAAAATGATTGTAACGTTGAAACGGCACTTAGTTTACAAAAAAGGTCACAAAAATATATATATATATGTAGTCACCAAGAACTATGGTTCCTGTAAAATACTAATAGCCAGATACTAGTATATAAAATGTGAAGTTCTGATATTGTATACATTTTTTGGAAATAAAACAAAATCCAAAACCATTTTTGTTATTGTCAAAAGTCAAACATGCCAAGTTAACTTAGCTATGGCCAGTGTCACCAAGTAAAGCCATACTTGAATGAGATGACGACTGGATACAAAGCTGGTGAACTGGGGACTGGCACAGTTAAGAGTTGTACTAATTCTAGGAAAGGGGTAGAAGACATAAAAACACCCATCTATGTAATTTAATTCACATTTTCTCCCCTGCATCACCTTCCCTTGAGAGTTTCACAAAATGCCAGTGCCCAGAAAGAATCACAATGCTATAACTGGCAGGGTAAAAAAGTCCCCCCGCCCCGACTTCCTTGCTGCCGGGCTATAGGCAAATATTAAAGCATGCATCAGCTACCCAAAGCCATCAGTCACCCATCTGGAAGACCATGGTGTACAGTTTCCGCCTAGGCTGGCTGCACTAGGAAGTACTCCAGTTTTTAAATGGAGCCAGCTTTATGTTAGCCCTGTAAAATATTGAGCTACTGTAGCAGCAAATATGACATTACAGAAAAACAAAATTTTATTTAAAAAATTGTTACATCAAAATTTTTTTCCTTCAAATCTGTGTCCTTTAACCAAACAACAGTTTCTTCTATCACTTAATTCTGGTCTTATTACCTCAGTCTGACTTTCTCATTATGCTTCTCTGGAAAGACACTTCTAAATCCTGGAGATTAAATTTACTCTTAAAAATGGAAATACAGGAATTTTAAAGTAAAAAGAAAAGGTCTGTTCTAAAAGTTCTTTCACAAATATATATATTTAAATATTAAAATAGGCTACCTAGGATTTTTATAAAATGGCTTTTGAAAAGATAGTAGAGGCACAAAGAAGCCATATACTATCCTCCAAGTTGGACATAAGGTGCCACAAGGCTGCCCTACAAAGAGGCAGGCAATCTCTACCTGATGCAACGGGAGGCACCAGTAAACAACAGAAACATTAAATACATTATTGGGAACTTGGACCAAAACCAAATTTTACTCTATTAGGGACCGTTGCTTTTTTAAAAAATACCTTGAGATATAAGCATTAGAAGTCATCACTTTGTACAAGGAAGAAAATGAATACAGTTTATGATCTTACTCCTTCCAAATACCTGATGTCACTCATTTCAGGTACCTGAAAGATGAAAAGCAGTGCAACTTTCAACAATTTAATGGACTACTCTCATTATGAGAGACTTTACACAGCATCTGTCAACTTGAAAATTAAATTGGTAACTGAAATAAAAAATCGCCTAGAGAAAACACACATAAGCTAATCCTAGAAAAGGCTCTCCTTAGAAAGCAGGTGTTTCTAAGAACTGCAGGAAAGGCTTCCCATCTTGAACACAGCTTCCACTAATACCAAGGGAAACGTGCATTAAGAGGAGAGATGACAGGGCTCCCTTAAAGCAGGAAGATTTATCCTTCCTCAGCAGGTGATGTACTTTGGTAACCTCAACATTCATTTATGGGATGATTTTTCATCTGTTTTATTGAATAATGAAATCTAAATGTGGCTAGATTGGCATTTGGGAAAACAAGGGCCTTTTAATAAAAGTCCTGACACTGGAGCTCCTCCCACCACTAGGCACCAATTTTATCAGTATATCGCCACAACCGTGCCTGGGACTTTAAGCTTCATCAGCAACATCAGTCAATTTAAACGAGAAAGGAACTAATAAAAGAATTTGACTTTATAAACCAGGTACTTTGAACAAAAACTAAAAATTTTAAAGTTAAAAAAAGTTTTGTTTTTAATCCGCAGTCCTTACTCTTAAGTTCTCTGTAAACTATTATGCACACAGAAACCTTGGTATTAGCTGAAGCCGGCCTGGGTCTTGCACAGTGGGGGTTTACTTAAGTAAAAGTAGCACAAACATTTCAAAGACAATCTCAATTTTTCAGATACTGCCAAACCGAGATACCAATAACATCTGAAATCTTTGCAGAGACTATTTATAAAAACATGGAAGTGTTTTTATTTTCCCATCATAAAAATATAATCACGATAGAGTGGAAATGTCTAACTGTATTAGTTTAGTAAAAAGTTAAAAAAAAGTATGACCACTGATGGTACTGGTACTACAAGTCTTCATCCCATAACTGACACAGGCTTAACCCCCCATAAATATTACAACATCTCAACTTATCTATCGTCTAAAATGAAACATCCAGAGAGCGACTGTTCTTAGTTGAGCCTGGGATTGAATCAATTCCACTTTATTGTTTAATCTGAACCATTATTGCTTTTGGCTAATTCATCTTGCTGAGGACTTTCCAAATAAAAATACTCTGTCACCATACTGTCAAGCAAAAACGACAATGAAAGATAAAAATGGGTATAGGCAAAATAAGGAACAACTTAATTTAAATGTTCATAGTTTGAGTTTAAAGCCTGTGGGAGTATGCTTAGTTTTAATATTCCTCATAGACATGTTTGCCACAACAGAGCTTCCTTGTTACCCCAATTTTGTTTCACTGCTTCAGAAAAGAAAATTTAGCTTTTATACATTCATCTCTCAATAACTTTCAAAATCTAAATATATTACAAATAAAGCATCTTACGTCAATAACTTACTTACAGTGAAAACTACATTTATTTATTACCTTCTGGCAACTTTGGGTCTGTTTCTTCTAACTGTAAACTTCACACTAGTTTTTTTTTCCCAGTTAGTATTAATATTTAGAAAATTTTTAATTCTCATTCACTTGGATGTGTATTTCAGAATTACAGCTTCATACTTTGCAGATGACTGAAACAAAGTAACATATGAAAGTTTCTAATTCTTTTGTTCATTCCACAAATCTCAAACTTCAGCTAAAATATTAAAATTTTAGGATTATTCATTCAAGTAATAAGTCTCTGTTACAGAATTGCCACATTATACAGTAATGTATTTTTCAAGGACTATTAAAGCTAAAAGGGACTAAAACATAATCTGAGAATCTTCAAGAATAAAAGCTGATAAAATAGATAACTGGCCTCTATTTAGATTAAGAGAAAAAATTAGAAATAAAAGACTGAAAGATTTAATACAGCTTCCAAAGGCTCCCAAGAGAACCATTTATAAACTGGGAGAGTCTCCTGAACCAGCCTATTAGTTAGAAGGTAACTGAGTTACCAATAATTATGGACATCAGATGTATTGACTAGTCTATTTCATTTGGCAAAGTATTTTAACAAGATGAAAGTTTTTTTTTTTTTTTTTTTTTGCTAGTTATTAAGAACAAAGGGCATGTGTCGTAACAGGGGATCTAATTACTGTAAGCCAGAATGATTGCTGAAATGTCAAAATGTAAGATTGAATGAGGCTATTTAAACATTTTAGTATATTTTGTCTTACTGAAATTGATAAAAAAAAAAAACTGGCAATGTAACTAAATGCGTAACTAATTACTTGAAATAAAAAGATTACTTGAAATTCAAATTAAGAAAAATCCATTTAAATATATTTGTGGGTGATAATCTCCATCTGCATCCATTTATATAAAACTTAAAATGCCAAAAAATAAAGACCAATATTAATCTCTTTATTTCTGAATGAGATGAAATCACTGACATGTTTGATGCTTCCACTATTAGAATATACCCTTTAAACACGAAAAGAACAACTGCAGGAGCTTTAACATCCATTATCATGGGTGAACATCTTTGTTTACTTCTAAAGTACATCACACCTATTTGGTAGTTAAAAAACTGAAAATAAAAGCTTGTACAAAATGCTTGGTTTTAAAAAGGCAATTTATTCTGCATTCTGAAATTTAAGCCCTTTAGATACCACAAAGTTACCCTCCTGGCCTTAAGAAAGATAGCTACGTTTAAGCACTCTAAACTGGAATATTTATGTTTAGTTACACTGGTAATTTCTAATGAATGGGATAATATAACTGGCTATCTCTTTGCAATATTTTCAATATGTCCTGGTAAAAATTATGCATCTAGGCATCCCTAAGATGAATTTGAAATAAACCTAAATACTACTATATATACAATTATCCCTTGCAAATCTGTTTCCTAAAACAGATCCATAAACAGATCCAATATCCTTAAAGTACATATATATCAAGAAAAATGTACCCTCACTGAAATAGAAAAAGGCCTTTATTTGTATCATTTTATGTTAAATACTGGTTAGTTACTGGTATTGATAAGATCTGGGCAGCAGACAACTAACCAGATATGCATTTTCACAGTATATTCAGATTTCCCATAAAACTTGGCAATGTGTATTACCAGTGAAAATCTAAAGTTTCTACTTGGGAAGGAATACCCAGTGATGGGTAATCCCTCATTCTGAGAACACAGTCAGAATATCTTGGAGCTACCAACATTGTGCTTGGCTCTTAATGCGAAGTTTTCAGGGTTGGGGATGTGCTAAAAACACTTTTAACCAATCAATCTGCAAACCATTCTTACACGTTTCTCTTCTTTATTCTTCTTTCCTTCTTTTCTTTTTTCTTTCCTCTTGCTCTTTCAAAAACCACCTCTTGGAACTAAGGGTAACAATGATTCCTGGTCATAATTTTACCTATTCTTGTCAATACAGATTTTAAAATTAATTTTGAGATTTATCTATTGCTAGGCCTAACAGTTTTCAAAGACCACAACGTAACATTAAAATTCCTGACCTTTCCAGTTGAGACACAGCAGTACTATATGAAGTATTATAGTCTGCTGCAGAAAGTAATGCAACCCTATCAGTGAAGAAGCATAAATGGTGGGAGCCTATCATAACCTGTATATGCTGATTCTCCTGAAGGGAACACACCTATGTTTGGCAGCAAATGGGTAAAAACAAGTTCATGAGTGAGGTAAAGAGTTGAAAACAAGTTAAGGACTGCAGAATATGGGCAGACACAGAGAATCTTAACCTAAAACAGTTCTAAGGAATTTAATTTACTTTTCCTTTCTTCACATGTTTTTGGGGAAAAAATTACAGAATTAGCCAATCTAAAAAAATGAAACAAATCACTATAATTAAAAATATATACATTTAGTATGGTCTAGCACCTGAACAAAATTCAGATCTTGTGTTTTGACTAAAGAACTGTATTTTCTGTCTATCAAATCAGGTGCTCTCATAATTATTAAACTTTGGGTATCTACACAGAAACTTATTCCAAAGTTCACTGCTCATGGACTTACAAATATTTAGGATCAATATTAGAGATGCTTTAATGGCACCAGATGAAAAGTATACCCAAGTCTAGAGGATCATACAAATTTCAACTACAGACCAGAAAGTTTCATATTTTTAGCAGCAGAAATAATATTCATTAGTTTAAGGTTTTCAGTTTCTCATTAGTCTTAATAATTTTTTTCTCCCAGATTTATGAGTCATAGATGAAAATCTTACAGTCTATACTCTTCATTGTTGCCTACGTTGTGTAAAAACTATAGTTAACTGTTTTTAATAACTTTGCAATGTCTAAAAATAAATATGTAAGGACAATGTATCGCTGTCATATGGGATTCAGTAAACAATCTAGTTGGGTTAAGAATGCAGCCTTGGCCGGTGCAGTGATCCCAGCAGTCTGGGAGGCCAAAGGAGGAGGATCACTTGGTCTAGGAGTTCAAGACCAGCCTGGGCACCATAGTGAGACCTCATCTCTACAAAAAATAAAAATGAAGTTAACCAGGTGTGGTGGAGCATGCCTATAATCCTAGATACTCAAGAGGCTGAGGCAGGAGAATGGCCTGAGCCCAGGAGTTCGAAGCTGCAGTGAGCTATGACTTAGCCACTATACTCCAGCCTGGGCAACAGAGTGAGATGCCATTCTTTTAAAAAAAAAGAAAAAAAAAAAGAATGTAGCCTCAATAGAGAATTATTTATTATGTCCAAAAGAGCACAATGAAAACATCCCCAACAACACATAAACCTATATATAAAATATAGAATATCTCCAGTATTTTTACTTTATATGGCAGCACGCCAATATATGCAAGAGAACATATTGATGGGGCAGGGGGAAAACTGATCCGGGCAATGACACAGTCAGGCATTACATTCGGAGACCAGGTAAACAGCAATTTTAATCTGAAAAGCAGTATGAGAAGAGTTCCTATGAAGCTGGGATTTACATACTTCATTCTCCGTTCCTGGTCATTTCATCCACAGCTTGACTGTTGTCAATCATGGTTCCTTGCCTTTGGAGTGGTACTATAAAGGTACAGAGAATGCCCATCTCAGTACCAAAATTTCACCATGAAAAATCATAACAGAAATGACAAAGCTTAAAGAAAAGTACGCCGGATTTCAGAAGTATTTACCATAATAATTTTTAAGAAAGCTTACCATAAATACTTCCAAAAACAACAGGCTTTACAAAATATTATACAACATCCTGTGTACAGCAGTAAGTATCTACTCAGGCCATTTGTCAAGCTGTTTAGTAATTAGTTTCTCATGTACCCTCTTGTCTCAAGAAGGTCAATAATCATCTGATTTCCTCTCTAGCTAATGATCTGTTGTTAGCCTACTTTTAACAATGGAAGAAGGAACTGGTATATGTTTTAAGTCAACCAGTTCTCCTTAAGTCTCATAGTTTCTGTTTCAACATCATGTTATTGTGTACTTACAGAAGCAATCTCTCAGTTAGGAAAAATAAAATCAGTTTCAGGGCTCAGAAAGTAAAAAGGGAAATTCTTTCCCAATCTCCCCCTCCCTCCCACCCGGCTTTTTTTGTTTAAAAAATTAAATTAAATTTAAATGTACAAGACCAAGCACAGGCACTTTCCAAAAAACAAAACTGAAGCCAAATCACAAAACTACTCAATAGTTATAGAAGACAGCTCTGATTTTGGGGGGTCATCTCTGGTTGCCTCAGCACAAGCACTGCTCTTTGGCTGCTCTGGCACTTCTTCCTCTTTTTCTGCCAGCCCACCAAGAGACCCCAAGGGAAAAGTGCTTTCACAATTCTGGGTTGAGGAGACCTGTGAAATGACAGGCATTTGAACAGAGGAGTTGCTTTCAAAACCGTGTTCTCCAAGATCATATTGAACAAGGGTCTCTTCTTGTTCCTGGTTTAAGTAGTCCGGTACTAGGAAATCACTAGATAAGAGGCAAAGGATGAAATATGGAATTAATTTTCAAACCAGTAATAGATAAGCAACAGTAAAAAGCTCTGATTTATACAACAAAATTGGGACTCTTCATTTCACTAATTGTTCAGTGAAGATTAAAACTCAGGAACTTTCAACTTATAAACTTTCCTAAATATGAACCAAAACATCCATTAAAACCAAAATGTATCAATCTTCCCCACCACCAATACATCAGGTTAATTATCACTTTCATTATAACTCTGGACACCTTAACAGCCTTTCTTGTTCTATGTAGAGGAGTTTCTATATACAAAACAAATGTAGCATGCTCACTTAAACAAAGATCATCTGAGTAACTTTAATGCTAAACTTTTCTTGATTATACATTGAGTAAGAGATATATAAACCTAGCTTTGTATTACTAAACTTGACATAGGTTAGTTAAGAAACTAAGTCCTTATGCATAAATGACCTGATACATAATCTACTATAAAGTTGGGAAATGTAGAAAGTAATTTATGTGTATCCTGCTATTACATTTGGTATATGAAAATACTAATAAAGAATTTGGAAATGAATGCCTTGAGATTGGTTATGTGATAATCCTCAAAACGTGTTCAATTATTGGTCCCCACAGGCAACATGGACAGTAAAATATACTAAAAACAGTGGCTACTTTCCTTAAGTGATGAAATAGAAAATATTTTAAATTTCTTCTTCATACTTTTCTGTATTTCCTAAATTTCCTACTTATAAGCATCTTTTGGTAATTGAAACTAAGTATGTGAAATAAGTCTTATCTTAGAGGCTTTATTTAAATCTTTATTACTGAACTAAGAACTTCATTATACCATAATTGTCAATAATATATGTACTTAGACTTGATAAGGTTATTTTATAATTTCATTGTTCAGTATTAATAAAAAATTAAAATCTGTTCATCTGCAAAGTAATTTAGAATGCCCTATGTTATATTTTCTAAAAAGTCTTCATTCAGGTGTTAGAGAAGAAGAATGGAGAATACAGGGCTCTGTACAGGGACGATAAAGATAACATGAGTAGTTAACAGGAACACTATTTTAGTCCTGAACAAACTATGTTTAATATGATATGTATAACCTAAGGTTTAGTGATATGGCAACCACACATTCAGAATTAGAGATGACTGCATTAAACAAAATGAATGTCTGGTTTGAAGGGAAAAACAAAATCTACGCAGGAATAATTTGGAATTTGTTTACAAATAAGGTTTTAAGTCAGGGGTGGTGCCCACACTTGTAGCCCCAGCAGGAGAACTGCTTGACCTCAGGAGTTCGAGGCTGCAGTGCACTATGATTGTGTCTATGAACAGCCACTGCACTTCAGCCTGGGCAACACTGCAAGACCCTATCTATTCAATTAAAAAAAAAAAAGGTTTTAAAAATAAGGGTGATTTAAAATGTAAAGATTTGGGCTGGGCATGGTGGCTCACGCCTGTAATCCCACAGCACTTTGGGAGGCTGAAGCAGGCGGATCACTTGAGGTCAGGGGTTCGAGATCAGACTGGCCAACATGGTGAAACCCCATCTCTACTAAAAATACAAATATTAGCTGGGTGTAGTGGTGGGCACCTGTAATCCCAGCTACTCAGGAGGCTGAGGTTGCAGTAAGCCGAAATCGTGCCACTGCATTCCAGCCTGGGTGACAGTGAGACTCCATCTCAAAAAAAAAAAAAAGAAAGATTTGTAAAAATTTCATTTTATGAGAAACTAAGGATTCCTACAGAAGTACAATTCTTATAAACAATTTAAAACAACAGTTTTATATCTAGAGAAGGCCTTAGAAACCATCGTTTAAAGCTTACATTTTATCTTTCTCTAAGTTTCAAGCTTTTTCATGTGTAAAGTGACAGGTTTAATCAACAGCAGTTAGTGGCAGAGCTAGATCTAGAAGCTGATTTCCTGGGATGCCCTATAAATCAGAAAGGTAATTCTATTATAAATTAATATTACAAGAATAGAGCTCTAAACTGAATGAAAATAGCAATGACTTCATGATCTAAACCATCACACCCACTATAGTTGCCTTTGAAATTTTTCTTACTGGCCAATGGCTATTCCTTTATATAGAATATTTTTAAATAGAGAGAAGTGGTAAAGAATTTTATTAACATCTAGAGTCTGGAGTAATCCAGTATCACTAAGCATCATCTGACATGGTAAAATTTCCAGTAAGATCTATTTAAGGTCCATTACAGAATTACTTAAACCTTGTATTATTTAAAAAATATCTCAAGAGGACAAGTAGTCTACTTCTGCAGGAAAATATTTTTAATACCAACTATAAAATGTTTATAATTTTATATACGTAGAAGACTCAGCAAAATTTTATCAGATCAGGAGATTAGAGTATGAACAGTGGGAATCCGTAACAAATGTGACTGACTAGCTGGCAACCTGATGTAAAAACACAGAAGGCTGCCCTAAAAGCAGGAAAAGAGAGTTTAGAAAGCAGTTTTCCTGGTTGGGTTTTCGTTGTGCACCTCACCTGCTCTGGAAGTAGTTTGCTAGCTCTGATGCTTCATGGTTCAGACTCCTCAGGTGCACGATTAAATTTCCAGAGTTGGTGAACATGGCGCCACATGTTTTGCACTCGTAAATCCGAGGCTTGCGGATAATGTGCCGGGAAACCCTCATGTGGTGTTTATATTCCCCGAAGGAAGTGAAAGTGGCACTACATATCTGGCACCGGAAACAGCGTTTACCTTCATGCTTTAGGCGATGCATCTTTAGCGAGTAAGCCCTGGTGAACTTTTTCCCACAGCGGTCACACTGAAATGGTTTAATTCCTGTAAATAAAGCAAAACAAAATATCTAAAAACAAAAATAAACTGAAAAGTCATAAACCCTACAAATTTCTGAACTATATTTCTGTAGCAACAGATCATCTGAAAAGGCAAGAATTACCAGCAAAAACATATTCTAATTGAGTATCTCAGAAAATGTGCAGAATATGTGAAAAGTCACAAGTGCTTAAAAAGGAAAAGAAAAAAAGGCAGTAGGGGAGGCAAACTAGGTAACGTCTACTGAAGCTGATTTTTGAATGCTTTTCTAGATCATCTATTTTACTAACTTCAAAACACAATTTAACTACAGTATGTAGACAGAACCCAAATCCCCACTAACAGCACATATTATTTCATTTCATTAGAGGTTTACATTGAACGGATATGAAAATCATCAGTACCTACTCTCTGTTCCCTATCTCACAGAGAAACGAGAAGAAAGAACAATTTTAACATCTCTGAATGTAATGAGCATGACAGAACCATCATTTGATATAATGGGTTTTTTTGGGTAATATGATGTAATATTGATAGAAATAAATGAGTTATAAAGTGTATTAATAGTCTCCTCAAATTCATTATCACAGTGTTTTGGGGAAAAAATTTTAAAACCTTTCAAAACACAGTCTACGGATTGAACAAAGTCACAGAGAATTGGTGCTAGGACAGGGACTGTAAGACCTATCTACAGAAGGGGAAAGTGAGATAGTAACTCACGCAGCTGAAAACAGCAGCAAAGATCTCTTACTCGTCAGAGGTCAGTGTTTTACCCACAAGAATCCTGTTGCCTTCATGTGATTACTGAACTAAAATTTCAAATCCCCTCTATACATTTATCCAAAATCTCTGTTATGTTTAAAAAAATACAAACTACAAAGCTGACTCATCAGGGCACACAGAGATTTAGGACTGTAGAATTGAAAGTAAATTAGCAAGAAAATATTACATTTTTAAACACACTTTTATTTGGGAAAAATTTCAAACTTAAAGAGACATTATAAGAAGAACAGCACAAAGAACACCCATACAGACCCTTTTAACCCTATTTGCTTTACCATCTGTGTTTGTGATTCTCTATCTCACCTCTATGTGCACACCTAATATGTCTTTTTATTTACAAAGTACTCACTCCATATCACCTTATGTTCTTTTAATCAGAATACTCAACACCCGTGGCAAGCAGCTTTCTGACACTGCATCATTTCAGCAATAAACCTTAGCTAATCTGTTTTCATTTGACTTCCCAGAGTTTTTTTTAAAACTCAGAAGCCCCTGTTTTCTATTTTAACTGGGACTGCAAAATAAAATGTTTTAGAGCGTTCACTTACGCACCAACAGGGAAGGTGACATTACCTGAGTGGATGAGCATGTGCTGCTTTAGGTTCTGAATACGGGTGAATCGCACCCCGCAGGTTGGACACTGAAAAGGTCTGTCGGGACCATTTGGACTTGGTCGCTCTGTACTGCTGGTGGAAGGAGCAATGTAGAGTTGGTAGGGATACTGAACATTTTCCAATCTAAAAAAAACAGACCAAAGAAGGCAACCAGGCTCTGATTTTTAAACTGAATAAACACTGCTATAGGTCAATTTTAAATGAAAAAAGATAAAACACTTAAAGACTTTTTGAAACAGTTTAACTGTTAGACTTCAAGTTTTACTTTAACAATATGAAAAACAATGTTAATGTCCAGAATGCCTTTTGTTTTTTTTTTTTATTTTTTGAGACGGAGTTAGGCAGAAGTCATATCGTGTAGGGCTTTAGAAGGCATAGCAAGGCCTATAGATTTTAGGTATGAATAAAGAATGTTAAGAATCTATAGCTTAAAACAGTGACATAATCTGACTTAATTAAAAAAGAAAAGATGATTTTGGCTGCTACATGGAAAATGGATTAGGGGAAGAATGCAATCAGAGGCTACTTTGAAGGTTATTGCAGTAGTCAAGGCAAAAGATGGTGGTGACTTAGAGTAGGGTGGCTACAGTACAGATTAGAAAAGTAGACAGGGATATATTTTATAGGCAGAGTTGACAGGACTTAAGGATTAACTACGAGGGAGATGAAGAGTGGTAAGGAAAAAAGATTAAGAACAATCCTCAGAGATTTTGCTTGAGAAATTAGGGGATAATGATGATGCTTACTGAAATGGGAGAAAGGCTGGAGAAGCAGGATTCAGACAAGGAGTTAGAAATCAAGAGTTCTGTCTTGGCCTTGTTAAATGTGAAATGCCCTTTATACATTTATGTGGAAATATCAAGCAGGGAGGGAGTTATGGGTATACAGATCAGACTTTGGCAGATGTTTTTCACAGCAGTCCGTACAGCACACATTCTGACTTTGCACACCATACAGTCTGTTTCAACCACTCAACTCTGCCATCCACAAACAATATGTCAGCAAATGAGCCTGGTTGTGTTCCAGTAATACTTGATTTACAAATAAAGGTGGTAGGCTGGAATTGGCCTGTGGTTCATAGTTTGCCAACACTTGGTACAGATACGATTTAAAGCAATGGGACTAGGTAGTTTTGGAAATGCTGGGGAAAAAAAAAAGCCTTGTATAGGTACTCTAATTTATAATGTGATGATGCTACTTCATTACTTTGAAAAGTATACTGAAGTGAGGTTGTAATAAACTTCTACAACTCTTGAGATGAAATGCTTGAATTTGGAGTTGTAAACACAACCCTTAAGAGGTAACGAAATGCTATGTTAGTACTGACCGATCATCATCATCCGGAGGAGCATTAGTGCTAGACGTGCTTTGAAGTGTAGGCAAGCCCTCAGAAACGCCTTCATCTACTGAGCCTGTGAATAAGAGAAAGAGGACCACTGTAATCCTTTGGTGTGAATAAGCCAAGATTGTAACTGAAAGCTATATTATATCTAAGCCTCTGACATATATTATCTAGTGTTCATATCCTGAATTATTAATCCAAAGTAGTGTTCTACATTTTTTTTTTTTTTTTTTGAGACTGAGTCTCGCTCTGTCGCCCAGGCTGGAGTGCGGTGGCGCGATCTCGGCTCACTGCAAGCTCTGCCTCCTGGGTTTACGCCATTCTCCTGCCTCAGCCTCCCGAGTAGCTGGGACTACGGGCGCCCGACACCACGCCCGGCTCATTTTTTGTATTTTAGTAGAGACAGGGTTTCACTGTGTTAGCCAGGATGGTCTCGATATCCTGACCTTGTGATCCACCTGCCTCGGCCTCCCAAAGTGCTGGGATTACAGGCGTGAGCCACCGCACCCAGCCGTGTTCTATATTTTTAAATGTTTGTGATTTTAAAGAAAAACCACATGTAAGATAATAGTCTTATATTACTATTTAAGTTCTTTTAGAAATATTTCTTTGACACATTTCAGAAAGCAAGCAGGGCAATTCAAAAGCGAACAAAAATCCACATAAAACTGAGTAATTAACCATTTAAGGAAACACTGAAATTCTTATTTTTTAAAACTTATTGAAGACATACAACTTGTTGCACAACTTTTATACAGAATTTAACAGATAAAGTGAACACCCAGGCAACCTCCACACACAAGCCACACGAAAGCACGGCCAGCATCCTGGAAGTCCCCATTCATCCTTCCCTGATCATAAACCCCTCCCTTCTCCAAAAGCTTCTTATGGTTATCATTTTCCTCCTCCCATTCTCTCACTTTTAAAAGTAATTTTATCTTGAATACAAGTATCCATAAGGTAGGTATTCGTTCTTGCTGGAACACAACTTTGGCTGGACTAGGGCTGCTTCTGCCTACAGTGGCAGAGTTTAGTAGCTTTTGGTTGTGACAGAGACCATGTGGCAGTTATGTCTAAAACAGTTATCATTTTGCCTTTAAAGGAAAGTTTGCCAAGGCTTGCCATAAACAATACTTTTTAGTGTTGTCTGGCTGTTTTATATAAACCGGGTCATACTATATGTATTCTTTTGTCTTGCTTCTTTCCTCCAACATTGTGGACTCATCGTTTTTACGTGTAACCAAAGTTTATTTTCATTGTTTATAATATTCATCATTATCCATTTTACTCTTGATGGACAGTTTTTTGGCTATTAAGAACAATGCTGCTGTGAATATCCTTAATGCACATAAGCATGCTTTTCTCCATGGTAAAGACTTAGGAATGGAGGTGGTACATATGTAGGAATGGAATTGCTAGGTCACTGAACACATTTATCTTCAACTTTATTAGAAAATACTAAACTCTTTCCAGAGTGACTGTACTAAATTCACATCACTGCTAGTATATCAGAGTTGTGCTGCTCCATATCCTTACCTCCTTACCAACATTTGGTATTGCTGGATTTTTAAGTTATTACCACTGGTTTTTAAAATTATTACCAACCTGGTGTATGTCTTACAATATTTCATGGTGGTTTGAATTGCATTTCCCTTATAACTACTGGGGTGAATCTAGTGTCACATATTTACGGAATCTCCCTTCCTCCCTCTTTTGTGAAATGCCAGAGTTGTCTGCCTTTTTAGCATAAGAGTTCTTTTCACAATTTGTATATAAGCCCTTGGTCAGTGATACATACTACAAATATCTTTCCCCATCCCATGGCTTTTTTTTTCACCCTTTCTAATGGCTTCTTCTGATGAACAAAGTTTAACATTTTAATTTAATTAATCCTTTTCTCATTGTTATGGCTTTTTGGTCTTGTTTTTAAAAAATCTTTCCCTGTCTGAAATTATCTTATGAAAAGTATCATGTTTTGTGCCTTATGTTTTTTCTTTAACCCATTGGAGTTGACTTTGTGACCGAATGTCATGAAAGGTCTGCCTTCTCTGCTCTGCAGTGCCTCCTGTGTTGTATGTCATGTATAAATACATAGGTCTGTTTTCGGGTTTTCTATTAGTTCCATCTGCTTATCTGTCCTTGTATTAATGCCAATCTTTAGTTACTGTAGCTTTATAATAAATCTTGCTATCAAGTAGAGAAAGTTCTCTGCCCTTGTTCATTTGCTTTCTGAACATTCTGGCTATTTTTTGACTTCTGCATTCCTGTATACATTTGAGAATCAGCTTGCTGAATACAAGTGGAAATAAATATTCCATTTCTCCCCTTCTATTTGTTTAGAAGTTACACAATATTTTCCTATTTCTTTGTATTGGTTGCCTTAGAAATTAGAGATATACTTTGTTTACCAAAGTCTAAAGTTAAAACCTTTACTTCCTTCTGGATAATACAAAGATCCTAGAAGCTTTAACTCCATTTCCCACCACTTCCATCCTGCCATTTACAAATTGTCTGATATTTTACTTCTTTGTTCTGATTAAGCCCCACAAACATTATCATATATACATGTTCTCACATTTACCTCTGCCTTTGCTGTTCATTCTTGCAAATGAAACCACTCATCTATGCTCACTTCACTTCTGCCAAAAGTCCATTCTTTATAACTTTTTTGGCAATGATTTGCTGATGATCAATTCTTTTTGTTTGAAAACATATTTATTTTCAAATATAAATATTTCATTTATATATTTTTCAAATATAATTCATTCTTGAAAGACATTTTTACCCTGTGTAGAAATCTAGACTGGGAGCTATTTTCTTTCAGCACACTGAGGATATCATCCCACTGGTTTCTGGTGGTGGTAAAAAGTCATATTCTTTTGAAGGTAATGTCTTTTTACATTTTTTTCCCTGAATTTTCTCTACAATGTATCTAGGTCTGTGTTTCTTTTTACTATTCCTGTTTGGGACTGGTGTCTTTCATCAAATCTGGAAAATTCTCAGCCAACCTCTCCTCTCTCTTTAGAGCTTCCATCAAACCTACATTTGTTGTCTTCCGCACCCTTCTCCTCTTTGCTACTGCAGTTTCCACCACTGTGTCTCTCTCTGTGTAGCACTGAAGTAATTTCTTCTAGTTTATCTTTTAATTTCCTAATTCTCTTCTGTTGAGTGCAATGTGCTGCCAAAATGTTCACGGAGATTTTAATTTTGGTTATCATTTTTCTTTTCTAAAAGTCCCATTTGGTACTCCTTAAATCTGCTATGTCACTTTTTATAGTTTACTGTTCTCTGCAATTATTGTTCATGTTTATTTTGTTAAATACAGTAAGCATATTTACTTTATATCTGTGCTTGAAAACTACGCCAAGTGGCAATGCCAATATATTTCTGCTGCATTTAAAAAACACATTTTTTTTTTCCTGTTGGTTCTCTCTCTGCCTTGTTTTCTTGAGTGCTCTGGTAATTTTTCGACTGGTTATTGCCCTTGAAAATTATTTGTAGGAAATTGAGTTGCTGAGGTCAGGATACATAATGCCCTTTTCCAGAGAAGTTTTATGTTTGCTTCTGCTAGGTTCCTGGGCAGCATTAGCTATATGAGATTCACTGTTTGAGATTCCTTGGCCTACCCACTCAAAGTCTGTGTTGTAACAATTTGTAAGTGGTCTAGCAGTAACTTCTCAGGGATGTGTTTTCCTCTCTTTTTCCTTTTCTAGTCCGCTCATTGCCAAGGCAGGTTTTTCTACAGTCCCCTGGAGTTTGGAGGACAGGGAGCAGGTTTAGTTCTGACAGTACAATCCCAAAGGACAATGCACATGAGCATGCTTTTCTCCACAGTATATACTTAGGAATGGAAGTGGTATATGTGTAGGAATGGAGCCGCTAGGTCACTGAATACATTTATCTTCAACCTTATTAGAAAATACTAAATTCTTTTCTAAAATGATTGTACTAAATTTACATCACTGCTAGCAGTATATCAGAGTTGTGTTGCTCCATATCCTTACCAACACTTGGTATTGCAGGATTTTTAAATTATTACCAATCAGGAACGTGTTACAATACACACATTAAGCAGGGAGCAGGTTTAGTTCTAATGTAAACCTGCTCCCTGCTTAACGTGTGGGGCAACTTTTCTAAGACTTTACAACTTTTACACACTCTGAGCTTTCAGTTTCATTTCTCCTGCTCTTTGAGTTGATCAACCAAAGCCCATTTGTGTTTTGGCAAATGTCTTAAAGGCAAAACTGATTTTAGTGCTCTGATGATCTACTTACCTCCCTGGGCCAGGCTTTCTCCCCTAATTTAACCTTGCAGTTCCTTGGCCATCTTTTCAGCTTTTCAAACAGTTTAAAAGTGAATTTTTAAAAACTTAAAATTTGTTGTTTGTGGTGGGACAGTAGACTCAAACAACCTAGCTTATTCTCATTAGGTAATGAACTCTTTACTGAACACAAACCAGCTGTGTTGCACCAAATGAACAAATCTGAGCCTCTGAGAATTTCGGTCTTTTAATAGCAAACAAGCTTTTGGTTATAATATTTTAATGAAAATGAAAATGTGGCCGGGTGCAGTGGCTCATGCCTGTAATCCCAGCACTTTGGGAGGCCGACGTGGGTGGATCACAAGGTCAGGAGATCCAGACCATCCTGGCTAACACGGTGAAACCCCATCTCTACTAAAAGTACAAAAAATTAGCCGGGCGTGGTGGCGGGTGCCTGTAGTCCCAGCTACTCGGGAGGCTGAGGCAGGAGAATGGCGTGAACATGGGAGGCAGAGCTTGCAGTGAGCCAAGATTGCGCCACTGCACTCCAGCCTGGGCGACAGAGAGAGACTCTGTCTGGAAAAAAAAAAAAAAAAAAAGAAAGAAAATGTACTAACTGTAACAGTTTGTACACCACTACATACATGTGAACATTTAATAAGTATCATCTGCTAATGAACATACGGGATGAAATTTCCTTCTGATGAAGATTTGGAATCTAATACTTAAGTTTCCCTCTTTGGAACACTTGAATTGCTGTCATTAGGAAACAGGTACATCATCCACTTAAGTAAAAAGCGTTTTAAAAAACTAAATTTTAAGGCATCCAAACTTTATTTAATCACTTGTACTGGAAAACTTGTGACAGGGTTACATTTTGCCTTGACTTCTTAAATGAAGGACACCATATAGAACTTATTTTTTGTTTCTTGATGACTCACCACAATCATAAAGAACACTCATTACTATACAGTGTTCTAATACTTGGGTATACTCTGAGGCTTTTGAAAATACGCAGGACTATGTGTGTTTACATTCATTCCCAATTGCACCCCCATTCTTTCTGGTCTCCCCATTCCATCCCTTCTGGTGTATGTGTAGCATTTCTGTGTGTGTCTTTTCTTTTTCTTTCTCTATCAAACGGCATTCCTGCTTTTCCCCTATGTCTACTTATGCAAGTTACTCCCAGGTTCTTCTGACTTGTTTTTAATCCAGATGTAGGACAGAGAACCAGATAATGCTGCATTTTAAGAAAGAACTGTTTACTTGTCAGTATCTTCCCATTCTCAGTTTTTTCCTTAAAGAAAAGAAAAATAAACATTAACTTTTCAATCAGTCCTGGGCTAAGAAACTGGAAAAACACCAGTATTTAGCGTTGGTCCCATGGACATCAAGACCTATTTGACGGTGCTCTGAACTTATTCAGAGCACAGACAGTATTAAAGCGTACAGACAAAGGCTTGCCCCAAAACGCCTGGAGTTGTGATAAGGGTAGGCCAAGAAGACTGGCATCTGCTTCTCACTATCAGCTTGTGATAAGGGTAGGCCAAGAAGACTGGCATCGGCTTCTCACTATCAGGTTGTGAGAAGGGTAGGCCAAGAAGACTGGCATCGGCTTCTCACTATCAGGTTGTGAGAAGGGTAGGCCAAGAAGACTGGCATCTGCTTCTCACTATCAGGCAGGCCATACTCTTTCGAGGAGGGAATGGACTCTTGGTGAGGTGAGAATAAAAACCACACTGTCTGGGACCGATTCTAGTACCGTCAAAGGTTTGTTTAAAAAGCTGGTTGAAAAGAACTAAAATGCAGTACAAGATACATCTAGCAGATGGCCCTTCTTAAAACAAATCCATCTCTACATTCTAAAATGTCTAGATCCCCTGATTCAATGGATAGTGAGCATGCAAAGCAAAGCAAAACTATTTTCCCTCACCCATGGCTACTGAATGCACCAACAGCTAAAAATGAAAGCCACTCCAAGCTAAAATGAGTTAAAACAGACTTTTGGAATTCTATGTATACTGTGGAGGTAAACACATAGTGTTATATCACTTATGCAACTATCAGCAAAAAATAAATTTTGTGCAACTGTTTTTCTTGAAATGATGGTTTTTGCAAATAACACAAGTAATCATATGAATTGGAATTTCAGTTAAACTGATTTAACAGCAGAATATATACACATATATATACACACACACATATATATATACACACACATATATATGCACAATATTACTTTCCTGAGGTGACAGTGATGTTTCTTAAATTATTAAAATGAAGTTTCCTTTCTACCCTATAGGGATTCTGTTCTCAGTGGTAGTGAGGCTAAGAATTCTGGTCAGACACTTTTCACCTTGTGAAACAGTAAAACTGATTCACAGAGACAATCAGCTTTATATGGGTCAGGGCTAGCTTATCAAGACAGAGTCGACTCTCTCCCCAATTAGAAGTGCTGTATGATAGCTTCTGTTGCATCAAACTCAAGTTGCTGCTGCCACTGTTCAGGTATTCAAGATACTTACAAAGATCCCTCTGGAATTGAAAAGCAATTACAGTGGTCATCTCCTACTGAGTATTTACCATGTGCCAGGCATTGTTCTAAAAGGTTTTCAATATAAGATCTCAATTTATACTTGAAAAAGAGAAACATCTTCCAACATTCAGAAACAGGCTTGGCACTCATTTAGGGGTGGGGCCTGGTCCTTACAGCCACAGTATTCTCCTGGGGAACATAAACAGTCTCACAAAACAACATAAAATCAAGTCACTCTGTGACCCTTATTTAAAGCGAGACTAAAAAACACTTTTATTTGTGCAATCACAAACATACCAGTCATCCCCATCTCTCGCTGGCTAATGAGTCACTACTGCTATAGATTCACTTTAGTCTGCATTCCTAGATAGTATTTATTAAGATATTCAATAACAGAATTCTCTCTCCTTTCTGACATCACCAGTCCTGAGCAAACCTCACTTCCTTGAACCCTCCCTAATGGAGAGTAAGCATCCCTGAAATCACCCAACACAAGGCCAAATCCTGCGCTAAGGCCTTTTTAACACCTTCTTACTGACAACCAGCCCTAAAAACCCCATGGTGTATAATCTCCCTTGTTGCAAATGAGCAACAAACTCAACCTGTTCAATCATAGGTGGTCTTTGGCTATAGGGCCCAGGCAGAAATAAAGATCCACTGAGATTCAGCTAAATTCCTTGTTGCTTCGTCCTGGGATCCTGGATGAGAGGGCAGATATAAAATCCCTTTTGAGGTGCCACCTGCCCTTGGCTGGGATGTAAGTTCATGCTGAATTAAGCTCAAATAGTTCAATGAAGCCCTTCACTGTCAGGTTTGTTTTGTTTTCCTAGAAACAGTCTTTTGAAAATATTTTGGTTATTCAGATTGTGTTGCTCCTTGGTGAAACTGTTTTCTAGGCTAACACCTGCTCTGAAGATCATCTGCCTGCCTGCCTGCTGTGTTAACGGCCTACAAGAGAAATAAACGATAATGAGAGGATGAACATAGGTTGGATTAGTTCATCTGAACTGGCCCTGGAGGCCAAGTTCAGATCTCTGACTGGCAAAACCATTTCAAAACTTTACAAGGTATAACACAGATGAACTGTGAAAACATTATGGTAAAAACATAAGCCAGTGAGAAAAAAAAACCCACGTATTTCATGATCCCACTGATATAAAATATCCAGAATAGGCAACTATTAATATTTACAGTGGTTTGCCTAGGAGTGGGGATGGGGTTAGAAGGACTAGAGAGTTATCTTTTTAAGTAACAAGGCCCAACCTAAAACCAGCAGTCTTTTTTCTCCTTTAAATTTGTTGTATTTATTGCTTTTATTTGCTGCAAGTTGATACTGAATTTTACAACCTTTCCATGGGCAAGTGGAAACAAAAGGAACTTAAAACAGCAGGTAAAATCCTATCTGAACTAATTTCATGGATAATCAAATTATTATTTTGGAAATTTGAAAATAATACACTAAACATTATATTTTCTATCCCTAGAAAGACAAGATACCTCTCAGAGATGTTCTTTAACAAATTAGTAAGTAAAATTAAATACTCTTATGGAACTTACAGGGGAAAAAGTACCATGCACATCTTCCTTTTCTCCCTCTCAAATTTACTGACTGCCTTCAATACCGCAAGGAATTTTCTGTATGGCTTTGTTTTAGTATGCAAGTTTGGAGTTAAGATTGGTTTGTTGAGAGTGATTAGTACATTTGCCATGAAGGCAAGGAAAAAACATCATATTGGAGTTGGGCATGGTGGCTCACGCCTGTAATCTCAGCACTTTGGGAGGCTGAGGCAGGCGATCACTTGAGGTCAGGAGTTCGAGACCAGCCTGGCCAACATGGTGAAATCCTGTCTCTACTAAAAATACAAAAATTAGCCAGGTGTGGTGGCAGGCACCTGTAATCCCAGCTACTTGGGAGGCTGAGGCAGGACAATTACTTGAACTCAGGAGGCAGAGGTTGCAGTGAGCTGACATCACACCACAGCACTCCAGCCTGAGCAACAGGGCAAGATACTGGCTCAAAAAACCACAAAAACAAAACAAAAAAACACAAGAAACAAACCACATTGGGATTATCTGATTCAGAGCAGTTCCCATGTCTGCTTTATAGAATCCATTTATAATAATATATAGGTAACAGATTCTACTTATATAACTGAAAGATTTGTTCTACTTATTAACTTGTTAATAACATCATAAAGGGCTGGGTGCAGTAGCTCAGGCCTGTAATCCCAGCACTTTGGGAGGCTGAGGTGGGTGGATCACTTGAAGTCAGGAGTTTGAGACCAACCTGGCCCACATGGTGAAACTCCATCTCTACTAAAAATACAAATATTAGCTGGGTGTGGTGGTGTGTGCCTGCAGTCCCAGCTACTTGGGAGGCTGAGGCAGGAGAATTGCTTGAACCCAGGAGGCAGAGGTTGTAGTAAGCTGAGATCATGCTACTGCATTCCAGCCTGGGTGACAGAGTGAGACTCAGTCTCAAACAAAAACAAAACTATCATAAAGGCAAAACCTGAACTGATTATATATACTTGGGAGTGGTAAAGGATGACTATTTCACATGCCTAACTCAATATCTTAGATATTTAGACAGATTAATATTTGGGTTCCTACTTTCTTAAATGATTAAAATTATAATTATTCAGTAGGCAGTTCGTTACTCAGAAGGTACCAAGGTGTTTTCAATTACTGACTCTGGTAGTTTAGTAAAAACTTGGTTGTATCAACAAATAGCTATGATTTCTTGAAATTAAATATTTTGTTGGATGTGTGTTCATGTAAATTCTTCACAACTATTTTGACCCCAATTCAGGAATATGAACTTCAGTGGCTGCTGTGGGTGACATTATTTCCCCCAGAAAGACACTACGTCTTGGCTGCTGGCAAGATGGCCGAATAGGAACAGCTCCAGTCTGCAGCTCCCAGTGAGACCAACACAGAAGGCAGGTGTCTGCATTTCTAATGAGGTACCCTGTTCATCTCACTGGGACTAGTTAGGCAGTGGGTACAGCCCACAGAGGGTGAGCAGAAGCAGGGTGGGGCGTTACCTCACCCAGGAAGTGCAAGGAGCCAAGGAAAGCAGTGAGGGACTGTGCTATCTGGCCCAGATACTACGCTTTTCCCACAGTTTTTGCAATCCGCAGACCAGGAGATTCCCTCGTGTGCTACATCACTAGGGCCCCGGGTTTCAAGCACAAAACTGGGCGGCTGTTTGGGCAGACACCAAGCTAGCTCTTCTTTTTTCACACACCAGTGGTGCCTGGAACCACAGTGAGACAGAACCATTCACAGAACCTTTGCAGCCCCCTGCAAAGGGGGCTGAAGCCAGGGAGCCAAGTGGTCTCACTCAGCAGGTCCCACTCCCACAGAGCCCAGCAAGCTAAGAACCACTGGCTTGAAATTCTCACTGCCAGCACAGCAGTCTGAAGTTGACCTGGGACGATCAAGCTTGGTCGGGGGAGGGACATCCGCCATTACTGAGGCTTGAGTAGTTGGTTTTCCCCTGACAGCGCTAAAAAGGCCTGGAAGTTCCAACTGGGCAGAACTCAACACAGTGTGGCACAGTGGCTATGGCCAGACTGCCTCTTTAGATTCCTCTTCATTGGGCAGGGCATCTCTGAAAGAAAGACAGCAGCCCCAGTCAGGGCTTATAGATAAAAATCCCATCTCACTGGGACAGAGCACCTGGGAGAAGGGGCGGCTGTGGGCGCAGCTTCAGTGGACTTAAACGTCCCTGCCTGCAGGTTCTGAAGAGAGCAGCGGATACTCACAAGGAGGGTTCTACCAGCACAGTGCTTGACTTCTGCTAAGGGACAGACTGCCTCCTCAAGTGGGTCCCTGACCCCCATGCCTCCTGACTGGGAGAGACTTCCCAACAGGGGTGACAGACACCTCATACAGGAGAGCTCCGGCTGGCATCAGGCCGGTGCCCCTCTGGGATGAAGCATCCAGAGGAAGCAGCAGGCAGCAATCTTTGCTGTTCTGCAGCCTCCGCTGGTGATACCCAGGCTAATAGGGTCTGGAGTGGACCTCCAACAAACTGCAGCAGACCTTCAAAAGAGGGGCCTGTTAGAAGAAAAACTAACAAACAAAAAGCAATAACATCAACATCAACATCAACAAAAAGAACCTCCACACAGACGCCCCATCCAAACCCATCCAAAGGTCACCAGCCTCAAAGATCAAAGATAGATAAATCCACGAAGATGAGGAAAAACCAGCACAAAAATGCTGAAAATTCCAAAAACCAGAATGCCTCTTCTCCAAATGACTGCAACTCCTCTCCAGCGAGGGCACAACACTGGACAGAGAATGAATTTGACAAATCGACAGAAGTAGGCTTCAGAAGGTCGGTAATAACAAACTCCTCTCCACTAACGGAGCATGTTCTATCTCACCCAATGCAAGGAAGCTAAGAACCTTGACAAAAGGTTACAGCAACTGCTAACTAGAATAACCCGTTTACGGAAGAACATAAATGACCTGACAGAGCTAAAAAACACAGCACGAGAACTTCACAAAGCATACACAAGTATCAATAGCTGAATGGATCAAGCGGAAGAAAGATAACAGAGAATGAAGATCAACTTACTGAAATGAGGCATGAAGACAGGATTAGAGAAAAAAAGATTGAAAAGGAACAAACAAAGCCTCCAAGAAATATGGGACTATGTGAAAAGACCAAACCTACGATTGACTGAGGTCCCTGAAAGTGACAGGGAGAAATGAACCAAGCTGGAAAACACACTTCAGAATATTATCCAGGACAACTTCCCCAACCTAGCAACACAGGCCAACATTCAAATTCAGGAAATACAGAGAACATCATTAAGATACTCCTCGAGAATAGCAACCCCAAGAGACATAATCATCAGATTCTCCAAGGTTGAAATGAAGGAAAAATGTTAAGGGCAGCCAGAGAGAAAGGTCAGGTTACCTACAGAGGGAAGCCATCAGACTAACAGCGGATCTCTCTACAGAGAGTGGGGGCCAATATTCAAATTCTTAAAGAAAAGAATTTTCAATCCAGAATTTCATATCCAGACAAACTACGTTTCATAAGTGAGAAATAAAATCCTTTACAGACAAGCAAATGCTGAGGGATTTTGTAACCACCAGGGTTGCCTTACAAGAGCTCCTGAAGGAAGCACTAAATATGGAAAGGAAAAACTGGTACCAGCCACTGCAAAAACACACCAAAATACAAAGACCAATGACATTATAAAGAAACTGCATCAATGAATGTGCAAAATAACCAGCTAGCATCATGACGACAGGATCAAATTTGCATATAACAATATTAACCTTAAATGTAAATGGGCTAAATGCCCCAATTAAAAGACACAGACTGGCAAACTGGATAAAGAGTTGAGACCCATTGGTGTGCTGTGTTCAGGAGACCTATCTCATGTGGGTCAAAGACACACATAGACTCAAAATAAAGGAATGGAGGAATATTTACCAAGCAAATGGAAAGAAAAAAAAGAAGCAGGGGCTGCAATCATAGTCTCTGATAAAACAGTCTTTAAACCAACAAAGATCAAAAAAGACAAAGAAGGGCATTATATAATGGCAGACGGATCAATGCAACAAGAAGAGCTAACTATCCTAAATACATATATACGCAATACAGAAGCACCCAGATTCATAAAACAAGTTCTTAGAGACCTACAAAGAGACTTAGACCCCCACACAATAATAGTGGGAGACTTTAACACCCCACTGTCAATATTAGACAGATCAACGAGACAGAAAATTAACAAAGATATTCAGGACTTGAACTCAGCTCTGGACCAAGCAGACCTAATAGACAGCTATAGAACTCTCCACCACAAATCAACAGAATATACATTCTTCTCAGCACCGCATGGCACTTATTCTAAAATAGACCACATAATTGGAAGTAAAACACACCTCAGCAAATGCAAAAGAACGGAAATCGTAACAAACAGCCTCTCAGACCACAGTGCCATCAAATTAGAACTCAGGATTAAGAAACTCACTCTATCAGAGGTACAAAGAGGAGCTGGTACCATTCCTTCTGAAACTATTCCAATCAGTAGAAAAAGAGGGAATCCTCCCTAACTCATTTTATGAGGCCAGCACCATCCTGATACCAAAGCCTGGCAGAGACACAACAAAAAGAATTTTAGACCAATATCACTGATGAACATCAATGCAAAAATCCTCAATAAAATACTGGCAAACCAAATCCAGCAGCACATCAAAAAGCTTATCCACCATGATCAAGTGGGCTTCATCCCTGGGATGCAAGGCTGGTTCAACATATGCAAATCAATAAACGTAATCCAGCATATAAACAGAACCAAAGACAAAAACCACATGATTATATCAACAGATGCAGAAAAGGCCTTTGACAAAATTCAACAGCCCTTCATGCTAAAAACTCTCAATAAATTAGGTATTAATGGGATGTATCTCAAAATAATAAGACCTATTTATGACAAATCCACAGCCAATATCATACTGAATGGGCAAAAACTGGAAGCATTCCCTTTGAAAATTGACACAAGACAGGGATGCCCTTTCTCACTCACCACTCCTATTCAACACAGTGTTGGAAGTTCTGGCCAGGGCAATCAGGCAGGAGAAAGAAATAAAGGGTATTCAATTACGAAAAGAGGAAGTCAAATTGTCCCTGTTTGCAGATGACATGATTGTACATTTAGAAAACCCCATCGTCTCAGCCCAAAATCTCCTTAAGCTGATAAGCAACTTCAGCAAAGTCTCTGGATACAAAAATCAATGTGCAAAAATCACAAGCATTCTTATATACCAATAACAGAGAAACAGAGAGCCAAATCATGAGTGAACTCCTGTTCACAATTGCTTCAAAGAAAAGAAAATACCTAGGAATCCAACTTACAAGGGACATGAAGGAACTCTTCAAGGAGAACTATAAACCACTGCTCAATGAAATAAAAGATGATACAAACAAATGGAAGAACATTCCATGCTCATGGATAGGAAGAATGAATATCGTGAAAATGGCCATACTGCCCAAGGTAATTTATAGATTCAATGCCATCCCCATCAAGCTACCAATGACTTTCTTCACAGAATTGGAAAAAACTACTTTAAAGTTCACATGGAACCAAAAAAGAGCCTGCATTGCCAAGTTAATCCTAAGCCAAAAGAATAAAGCTGGAGGCACCACACTACCTGACTTCAAGCTATACTACAAGGCTACAGTAACCAAAACAGCATGGTACTGGTACCAAAACAGATATAGACCAATGGACCAGAACAGAGCCCTCAGAAATAATACCACACATCTACAACCATCTGATCTTTGACAAACCTGACAAAAACAAGAAATGGGGAAAGGATTCCCTATTTAATAAATGGTGCTGGGAAAACTGGCTAGCCATATGTAGAAAGGTGAAACTGGATCCCTTCCTTACACATTATACAAAAATTAATTCAAGATGGATTAAAGACTTAAATGTTAGACCTAAAACCATAAAAACCCTAGAAGAAAACCTAGGCAATACCATTCAGGACATAGGCATGGGCAAGGACTTCATCTCTAAAACACCAAAAGCAATGGCAACAAAAGCCAAAATTGACAAATGGGATCTAATTAAACTAAAGAGCTTTTGCATAGCAAAAGAAACTACCATCAGAGTGAACAGGCAACCTACAGAATGGGAGAAAATTTTTACAATCTACTCAACTGACAAAGGGCTAATATCCAGAATCTACAAAGAACTCAAACAAATTTACAAGAAAAAAACAAACAACAACAACCCCATCAGAAAGTGGGAGAAGGATATGAACAGACACTTCTCTAAAGAAGACATTTATGTAGCCAAAAGACACATGAAAAAATGCTTATCATCACTGGCCATCAGAGAAATGCAAATCAAAACCACAATGAGATACCATCTCACACCAGTTAGAATGGTGATCATTAAAAAGTCAGGAAACAACAGGTGCTGGAGAGGATGTGGAGAAATAGGAACACTTTTACACTGTTGGTGGGACTGTAAACTGGTTCAACCATTGTGGAAGTCAGTGTGGCGATTCCTCAGGGATCTAGAACTAGAAATACCATTTGACCCAGCCATCCCATTACTGGGTATATACCCAAAGGATTATAAATCATGCTGCTATAAAGACACGTGCACACGTATGTTTATTGTGGCACTATTCACAATAGCAAAGACTTGGAACCAACCCAAATGTCATCAATGATAGACAGGATTAAGAAAATGTGGCACATATACACCATGGAATACCATGCAGCCATAAAAAAGGATGGGTTCATGTCCTTTGCAGGGACATGGATGAAGCTGGAAACCATCATTCTCAGCAAACTATCACAAGGACAAAAAACCAAACACTGCATGTTCTCACTCATAGATGGGAATTGAACAATGAGAACACTTGGACACAGGAAGGGGAACATCACACACTGGGGCCTGTTGTGGGGCGGGGGGAGGGGGAAGGGATAGCATTAGGAGATATACCTAATGTAAATGACGAGTTAATAGGTGCAGCACACCAACATGGCACATGTATACATATGTAACAAATCTGCACGTTGTGCACATGTTCCCTAGAACTTAAAGTATAGTAAATAATAATATAATAATAAAAGAAACTCATTCAAAACTGCACAACTACATGGAAACTAAACAACCTGCTCCTGCATGACCACTGGGTAAATAACGAAATTAAGGCAGAAATAACGAAGTTCTCTGAAACCAATGAGAACAAAGAGACAAGGTACCAGAATCTCCGGGACATGCTAAAGCACAGTTGAGAGGGAAATTTATAGCACTAAATGCTCACATCAGAAAGTGGGAAAGATGTAAAATCTATACCTTAACATCACAATTAAAAGAACTAGAGAAGCAAGAGCAAACAAATTCAAAAGCTAGCAGAAGACAAGAAATAACTAAGAACAGAGCAGAACCGAAAGAGACACACGAAAAGCCCTTCAAAAAACTAATGAATCCAGGAGGTGGTGTTTTGAAAAGATTAACAAAATAGACAGACTGCTAACCAGATTAATAAAGAAGAGAGAGAATAATCAAATAGACACAATAAAAAATGATAAAAGGGATGTCATTATTGATCCCACAGAAATACAAACTACCATCAGGGAATACTATAAACACCTCTTCGCAAATAAACTAGAAAATCTAGACGAAAATTCCTGGACATATACACCCTCCCAAGACTAAACTAGGAAGAAGCTGAATCCCTGAATAGACCAATAACAAATTCTAAAGTTGAGGCAAAACCTCAAAAAAAAAAAAAAAAAAAAAAACACCCCTTCATGCTATAAACTCTCCTGAAATAGCCTACCAACCAAAAAAAGCCCAGCACCAGACAGATTCACCAGACAGATTCACAGCTGAATTCTACCAAAGGTACGAAGAGAAGCTGGTACCATTCCTAACAACAGAAAAAGAGGGACTCCTCCCTAACTCATTTTATGAGGTCAGCAACATCCTGATTCCAAAACCTGGCAGAGGCACAACACAAAAAAAGAAAATACCAGGCCAATATACCTGATGAACATTGATGTGAAAGTCCTCAATAAAATACTGACAAACTGAATCCAGCAGAATATCAAAAAGCTTATCCACCAGGATCGAGTTGGCTTCATCCCTGGAACGCAAGGCTGGTTCAACACACGCAGATCAATAAACGTAATCCATCACGTAAAACAGAACCAATGACAAAAACCACGATTATCTCAATAGACGCAGAAAAGGCCTTCAATAAAATTCAACACCCTGGCTGGGCGTGGTGGCTCACGCCTGTAATCCCAGCATTTTGGGACGCCGAGGCAGGCGGATCACGAGGTCAAGAGATCGAGACCATCCTGGCCAACATGGTGAAATCCCATCTCTACTAAAAATACAAAAATTAGCTGGGTGTGGTGGCATGCGTCTGTAGTCCCAGCTACTCAGGAGGCTGAGGCAGAAGAATTGCTTGAATGAGCTGAGATCACACCACTGCACTCCAGCCTGGTGACAGAGTGAGACTCCGTCTCAAAAATAAATAAATAAATAAAAATTAAAAATAAAAATTCAACACCCCTTCATGCTAAAAACTCTGAATAAACTAGGTATTGATGGAACATATCTCAAAATATTAAGAGCTATTTATGACAAATCCATAGACAGTATCATACCGAATGAGTAAAAGCAGAAAGCATTCCCTTTGAAAACCGGCACAAGACAAGGATGCTCTCTCTCACCACCCCTATTCAACACAGTACTGGAAGTTCTGGCCAGAGCAATCAGGCAAGAGAAAGAAAGAGTATTCAAATAGGAAGAGAGGAAGTCAAGGGTATTCAAATAAGAAGAGAGAAGGTCAAATTGTCTCTGTTTGCAGATGACATAATTGTATATTTAGAAAACCCCACTGTCTCTGCCCCAAAACTCAAGCTGATAAACAACTTCAGCAAAGTCTCGGGATACAAAATCAATGTGCAAAAATCACAAGCGTTCCTATACACCAGTAATAGACAAGCAGAGAGCCAAATCATGAGTGAACTTCCATTCATAATTGCTACAAAGAAAATAAAATACCCAAAAACACAACTTGCATGTTCAGCACATGCATCCCAGATCTTAAAAAAAAAAAAAAAAAAAAAGAAAAAGTACATCTTAATCCTTGCTACCAATGTATGTGACCTTATTTGGAAATAGGGTCTTAGCAGATGTAATCAAGTTAAGATGAGGTCATGCTGGATTAGGGTGGGACCTGAATCCAATGACTGGTGTCCTTTTAGGGAGAGAGAGATTTGAAGCCAGTGGCAAAACAGAGAGACAGGGAAGGTCATGTGAAGACGAACGCATATACTAAAGCACAATATCATATACTGGAGCTACAAGCCAAAGAACACCAAGGATTGTGGGCAGCTGCCACAGGCTGGAAGAGACAAGGAAGGATTCTTCCCTACAATCTTCAAAGAGAGAAAGATCCTTCAAAGGGAACTAACACCTGTCGTTCAGATTTCTGGCCTCTGACTATGAGAGAATAAATTTTTTTTAAACCATTCAGTTTGCGGTACTTTGTTGCAGCAGCCCAGGGAAACTCACACAGAGGGTAAAAGCACAAGAAACTAACAAAGTTAATATGGTCTTCCCGGTTCTCCAATATTTTGGACAAATCTTTATTATTCACTAGTGGCTTTTCTTCTATCCCTTCCCAAACCTGAATATAGGTATTCCCCAAGGTATCCCCTTGGTTTTGGCTCTTCTGTTTTTCCTATTGAGATTGAATTTGCCACTACTAGTAGAAAAGTCCCAAGTTGGGAATCTCACTTATCTTTTCTACTGCTTTTGAAATGACACTGCTTGATCATCATCCAAGCACAATTTACACAGAAGTGACCTTGATAATTTACTCTCAAAACTGGATTCCCACCACCTTCCACTGATTTTCATACGGCACTAACTACATTTAATAGATGCTAAAATGCTATTGATTCATATGATTGCCATTATTCTCTATAGCACTAAGGAAGAAAAAAGCAACTGTAGAAGACTGCCAACTGTAAGACATATCTGGATTCAGAAATAACAAAATATGAAAAATTGTGACTTAGAATCAATGGAATATAATAAAGTGTTACCATTATTTCCTAGTCATCAGAGTACTTTAACCTCTCCTGTTCTTTCAATATACATATTCAGTATCATCAGGTACTAAGTCTTTCTTTACAAAGTCTTGTAATATCTATTTTCTTTCACATGGTTTTAAGTCTTCATTCACACCAAGATAAGTGCACTGCAATTGGTCTCTGAGACTGTCTCTGTAAAACCAAACTCACTGCATGTCAATAACAGTTTTCCTAAAATATCTGCATGTTTTTGTTTTTATCCCTTTAATGTAGACTCCTTACTACCTACCACTAAGATAAAATCCAAGCTTACTTGGCCTACTTGTGGCAGACACTGCTAGTTGCATACTCAATATCCATTTTGCTCTAATTTTGTTCAAGGCATTTAGGTACCCAACTAATATACATTATCTTCCCAGATTCCCTTGCAGCTAGGAAAGACTATGTGACACAGACTAGCAGAAGTTTTTTAGGGATTTCTGAGAACATAGGTGCTTTCTTGATACAAAGCATTGCCCCTTTCTAGAATACAAAGCTGAAGATGAAATGAGCATCTTATGGATGAAACCAACAAAGTAAAGATGGCAGTTTATAAATATACAAGTTGCCTAGGCCACTGATTATATTGCAGATTCACTGTACCAGCCCTGGACTTTTATTCCTGAACACTTTGTGATAAAAAATCACAAGCATTCCTGTGCACCAGTAACAGAGAGCCAAATCACGAGTGAACTCCCATTCACAATTACTACAAAGAGAATAAAATACCTAGGAATATAACTTACAAGGGATGTGAAAGACCTCTTCAAGAACTACAAACCACTGCTCAAGAAAATAAGAGAGGACACAAATAAATGGGAAGACATTCCATGCTCATGGATAGGAAGAATCAATATCGTGAAAATGGCCATATTGCCCAAAGTAATTTATAGATTCAGTGCTATCCCCATCAAGTTACCATTGACTTTCTTCACGGAATTGGAAAAAACTCCTTTAAATTTCATATGGAAATTTAATGAGATACCATCTCACACCAGTTAGAATGGTGATCATTAAAAAGTCTGGAAACAACAGATGCTGTTGAGGATGTGGAGAAATAGGAAATGCTTTTACACTGTTGGTGGGACTGTAAACTAGTTCAACCATTGTGGAAGACAGTGTGGCGATTCCTCATGAATCTAGAAACAGAAATACCATTCGACCCAGCCATCCCATTACTGGGTATACACCCAAAGGATTATAAATCTTTCTACTATAAAGACACATGCGCACATATGTTTACTGCGGCACTATTCACAATAGCAAAGACTTGGAACCAACCCAAATCCCTGTCAATAATAGATTGGATAAAGAAAATGTGGCACATGTACACCATGAAATACTATGCAGCCATAAAAAAGAATGAGTTCATGTCCTTTGCAGGGACATGGATGAAGCTGGAAACCATCATTCTCCGCAAACTATCACAAGAACAGAAAACCAAACACCACATGTTCTTACTAATAAGTGGGAGTTAAACAATGAGAACCCATGTACACAGGGAGGGGGACATCACACAGTGGGGCCTGTTGGGGGATGGGGGGCTAGGGGAGAGATAGCATTAGGATAAATACGTAACGCAGATGAAGGGTTGATGGGTGCAGCAAACCACCATGGCATGTGTATACCTATGTAACAAAACTGAACGTTCTGCACATGTACCCCAGAATTTGAATTAAAAAAAAGAAAAAAATACTGCCAGAGAAAACAACTATAAATCATTTTATTTTCAATCTAAAAAGATAAATAAATAAATAATAAAGAAAAAATAAATAAAACTCTGCTACAGTTAAGTTACTGCAGAAGGGATTCCATCACCTGCACTTAAATGCAACCCCTACTGAAACTAGGATTCGAGGCTCTTTACAGCCTGCGCTCAACCACTCCTTTTGTCTGATCTCCCACTATTCCCTACAGTTTCAGGCATCTGTACTTACTTACATCATTTTGCACTGAATTCACTGTTTACCAAACACACAATGCTCTTCCATACCTCTGTGTTTGCATATATGTTCTGTGTTTTTATGTTTTCACAGAAATGACATTCCCACACTTGGGTAAACTCTTACTTATTGCATAAGACCCACTCAAACATATAGTGTAACTTGCTCTTTCCTTTGTTGCAACCATACTACTTTGTTCACACCTCCAGATGAGCACTTTTGATAGTTCACTGTAATCATTTACTTTCATATCTGCTTCCCCAATTAGATGATTAACCTAATTGTCATTGCAGGGACTATGTGTTTTTCTTTATGTATCATAAATGTTTGCTTGGCACATGGTAAGTTTTCAATACATATTTTAATGAAGAATAAAACACAAACTGGATTTAACTGCTTTTTTGTGTATGTGTATCTGCCTTTGTCCCAGCAGATACCATTCAATTATTTTTATCTTCCCCAATGTGCAACTTGTAAAAAATAAACGATAGTGCTAATAGCATCTCAAGCAAATCCAGTTACCATGTTTTACTCTTCTTTATATTTCCTATATGACCGAGCACAAAACTTTTTATCTAACAGGAACTTAAAAATGTTTGAATTGACTTTATAGCACCAAGAAAAACACAGAAGGCATTATACCTATAGAGGAAGACTGTGGACTAATCAGAAGGTCCTCTTGGACTTGTTCACTTCCTGGAACTGTCTGCTGATCACTCAGCGAACTCTGAGATGCACTGACAGGCTGGGACACTTCCTCATGGACCTCCTCATCACTTAATCTTTCTACTTTGACCCGGACATCTTCTTCGGTACCTAAAGGCAAGGTAGTTTTTGTGCTCTCACAAGTCACATAATCAGCCATTCTTCTACCGGTCTCAGATGGGCCAGGTAATTCTAAAGTCCGGGTATTTTCTGCTTGCTTAACTTTCTCAGGCTGAATCCTTCGATCAATTCCAAAAGGAAAAGTCCAAGGAAAAGCTAAGGAAGAGTCAACTGGTTGGTTTCTATTTTCTGAGTAGGAAGCTGAAGAATTCAATACCTGGGGTGAGCTTGTTTGTGTGCCACACTTTACAGGACTTTCAGGAGACATAACAATGTAGCTTTTGCGCTTTCTCCGGGATTCTCGGCAGACAGGAATGGTTCTTTCTACCACACTGCACTCTGAGGACACGGGAGAAATGCTCCCATCTCGAGAAGTAAAATTGCAGTTAGAATTATTTTCTTGTCCAGCATCTAGACCCTTTTCAGGTTGGCTGTTGGGTGTATTCCATAAAATGCTTGATTTCATGAACTCTGAGCAGGTGCTGGCAACACTGAACATTTGCATATAGCTGGCTGCTGCTAGAACATCAATAATATTTTCTGTGTTAATTGATAGAGTGGCTGTGTAAGCATATTCTAAAAGAGGTATAAAGCCAGTCACTGTAACATGATGCAGATCCAACACATTCTTGTTCTCATCCTCGGCTTGGCCTACAAGTTTGGTGCGAAAGAAATCACTGCAAGCTGCTAGTACCACCTTATGTGCCCGGAAGATTTTGTCCTGGACACGAATAGTGATATCACAAAAATGTCCATCATTTCGCAGCATATTTAGCTTTCCAAGCATTTCCTGGCTGTGGGAAGAGGAGCTATGAGTAAATGTTTTCACACCCATCTTTTACTTCCTCTTCTACAGATGCTCTTCAAGGATGCAAATAAATCAGAAATGTCCTAAAAAATACATAAAATAAAGCATTAATTGATATTTTAGTGGTTTAAAATGTGATTTAGATCATTTTCATGTGGCCACTGTACTAAATTAAAAAGCTGAAAGATGGTAGTGACAGAGAAACTTCAAGGTAGGGACTGTATAGAAATATATTCTCCTTATCTGCCTTCCAAACTGTCCAATCAGTGAAGTCTGTGAACCAATGTTTTTTTTTGTTTTGTTTTGTTTTTGAGACAGAGTCTTGCTCTGTTGCCCAGGCTGGAGTGCAGCGGGGTGGTCTTGGCTCACTGCAACCTCTGCCTCCCGGGTTCAAGCAATTCTCCTGCCTCAGCCTCCCGAGTAGCTGGGATTACAGGCACCCGCCCTCATGCCTGGCTAAGTTTTGTATTTTTGTAGAGATGGGGTTTCACCATGTTGGCCAGGCTGGTCTTGAACTCCTGACCTCAGGTGATAGGCCTGCCTAGGCCTCCCAAAGTGCTGGGATTACAGGTGTGAGCCACCATGCCCGGCCTGTGAACCAGCGTTTTAATGAGCTGCAGGGCTGCAACAGTTTGTAAATAATGACAATTATAGAGTGTCTTCTATGTGCCAGACAGTATTTGAAATGCTTCACATTTAATAGTTAGTTGATTGTCATCATATCTCTATCAGTAGGCGTATTATCATTCCTGTTTCTAAATGTGAGCATGCAGCAGGCAATGCCAGTGTAAACACTGAACAATCCATTACATAATCATCCCTGTTAATGTTTTATGCAGGTAAATGTATAGAGGAAAAGAAAGATGGGAAAAAGAAAAAAAGGAAGTGGAAAGAAAAAAAAAAAGATTTCAAGATGAATTTAAAAAGGTTGCCAGGTGTGGTGGCTCACGTCTGTAATCCCAGCACTTTGGGAGGCCAAGGCAGGCGGATTGCTTGAGCTCAGGAGTCCAAGACCAGCCTGGCCAACATGGCAAAACCCTGTCTCTACAAAAAAACACATAAAAATTAGGCGGGTGTGGTGGCATGGGCCTGTAGTCCCAGCTATTCGGGACGCTGATGTGGAAGGATCACTTGAGCCTGGGAGGTGGAGGTTGCAGTGAGCCGAGACTGCACCACTGCACTCCACCCTTGGTGACAGAGTAAGACCCCGTCTAAAAAAATATAAGTCACAGACTATTCTAACTTGAGAAGACAAAATGATCAATTTGAGACTGTTCCATGTCAGACTTCACAAAAGGATAAGGCATAAATCTCTGTTCCAAAGCAGCCAGGTAAAGCTACTGAAATAATTATCTTGACCATAATTAGTAACAGAAGTTCGAATGTAAACTGAGTGCTCCACATACCCTTCCTGAAGTCAACTGACCACAATGAGACACTAGACAGCCAGGGACTGGTCTACGCAAACCATCATGTAACATATTTGCTGATTTAGGTCTCACAAAAATGAGATGAAAGAAAGAAAATGGGAGGGCTATATATAAAGCGTTTTGTTCATTTATTGCATCCCAGGAGACTAGCTTCTGCTTTTAAAGCATGGCCTTCGAGAGTGCTTACTTTGGGATCATGTGGCTGAGGGAAGAAACATGCTTTCAGAGCAAGTGAATTAGTTATAATCCAGGGACCATCTGCATGAACAAAGGTGTGAAGGCAAGAAATTAAACAGCATATTTGGAAGACATGTGCATCGGAGTATTAAAATGAAACCATTTCCATCTTGAATAGGCCCCAAACAACAGATAATGTACTACGTTCTCAAGTGAGGCACAAGGGCACCTTATACAAGGGGTAGTGGAAAACTATTTTCAACCTTGAGTTACATCCACCTTCAGTCATCTTCCGTGTTCAAAGAGTAGATATGAAAAGGATTTTTGCTGAGAGTAATCAGTTTGTTGTGAGTTGCAAACCCCATTCTACTTCCCTGCTTACTCCCCTGCAGGGAAAGGGGCTTCAAGGCATGCTGATCCTTTACCTCAAATCTATGGAAAATATGTTACAACTGAAAAAACTCTGAAGGGCACATAAGTCTGATTTAAACAACAATCAAGGCCAAGACGTATGCCTACTATCTCCCAACAGTATATAAAGGCATCACAGTGGAGTGGTTGAAAGCACAGACTCTGGAGCCAGAATGCTCACTCTGCATGCTGGTTCTGCTATTTTTACCTGTGTCACCTTAGGCAAGTCATTAAACAAACCCTCTGTATCTTACTATATTCAGTGGTATAAGAAATATAACACAACACACCTCATAGAGTTCTGAGGATTAAATGACCTAATATATGTTAAGTGTTTAGAATAGTAACTAGTAACATAATCAATGCTATAGAAACATTAGTTGCTGCTGCTACTAACATTGCTATCAAAGACCTTTTCTTCCTGAAAGGGCCAGAAACCACAGCCAGCAAATGAAGAGAAGTGAAAGAAGAAAGTTGGGGAAGAGAGAAAGAAAGAAAAAGGAGGTAAACCACACCTAACTCTTCAACTGCAGGCCTGTAGTAGGCCTGAGGTGGGAAAGGAGGGAAAGCTTTTACTCTAAGTTTATTAGTTCTTGAAAAGATTGCTGGTATTTCCTGAAAGTGATCAGAACAGTTATTAAAACTTACTCTCCAGGAAGCTGGAGAACTAACTCCACAGAAGAAATAAAATGGCTCATGAGTACCTCCCGTAAGTCATGCTTGTTCACATATATGGTACGAAGTCTGATATACTTAGAAGTATGGGATGAGAAGAAGGTGATGATGAGGAAATGCATTCTCTACCATATATTTATCACATGCATTTCCCAATATGTCTGCAGAAACTCAGGCCCAAGATATGCTCCATAATACAAACTTATATGGACAAATATATTTTGGATACAGAGACATACCTCATCTTCTTGCACTTTGCTTTATTAAACTTTGCAAATATTGTGTTTTTTACAAATTGGAAATTTGTGGCAACCCTGCTGTCAGCAAGTCTACTGGTGCCACTTTCCACCAGCTTGTGCTCACTTCACATTTGTGTCACATTTTGGTAATTCTTGCAATATTTCAAAATTTTTCATTATTATTATATCTGTTATGGTGATCTGTGATCAGTAATCTTTGATGTTACTACTGTAATTGTTTTGGGGTACCACAAACTGCACCCATATAAGACAGTGAACTTAATGTTGTGTGTGTTATGACTGATTTACCCACTAGTCATTCCCCCATCTCTCTCCTCCTCCTCAGGTCTCCATATTCCATGAAAAACAAGGATATTGAAATTAGACCAATTAATAACCCTACGATGGCCTCTAAATGACCAAGTGAAAGGAAGAGCTGCACGTTTCTCACTTTATTTTTTTTTATGAGACGGAATTTTGCTCTGTCACCCAGGCTGGAGTGCAGTGGCACAATCTTGGCTCACTGCAACCTCCACCTCCCAGATTCAAGCAATTCTCCTTTCAGCTTCCAGAGTAGCTGGAAATACAGGTGCATACAACAAAGCCCAGCTAATTTTTGTATTTTTAGTAGAGAGGGGGTTTCACCATGTTGGCCAGCCTGGTCTCGAACTCCTGACCTCAAGTGATCCACCCGCCTCATGTTTTTCACTTTAAATGAAATGCTAGAAATGATTAAGTTTAGTGAGGAAGGCATGTTGAGAGCTGAGAGAGCCTGAAAGCTAGACCTTTTATACCAAACAGCTAGCCAAGCTGTGATAGCAAAGGACATATTCTTGAAGGAAATTAAAAGTGCTACTCCAGTGCACACACAAATGATGAGAAAGTAAAACAGCCTTATTGCTGACATGCAGAAAGTTTGCCTGGTGTGCACAGAAGATGAAACCAACCACAATATTCCTTTAAATCAAAGCCTAATCCAGCGCAAGGCCATAACTCTCTTCAATTCTATGAAGGCTGGGAGGGATGAGGAAGCTGCAGAAGAAAAGTTGGAAGCTAGCAGAAGTTGATTCATGAGGTTGAAGGAAAGAAGCCATCTCCATAACATAAAAGTGCAAGGTGAACCCACAAGTGCTGATGTCGAAGCTGCAACAAGTTATCCAGAAGAGCTAGTTAAGATCATTGACGAAGGTGGCTACACTAAACAGCAGGTTTTCAATACAGACAACACAGCCTTACACTGGAAACAGACACATTTAGGAATTTCACAGCTAGAGAGAAGTCAATGCCTGGCTTCAAAACTTCAAAGGACGGGATGCCTCTCTTGTAAGCGGCTAATGCAGCTGGTGACTTAACTGGAAGCCAATATTCATTTACCATTCTGAAAATCCTAGACCCCTTAACGATTAGGCTCAATCTATTCTGCCTGTGCTCTGTAAGTGAAACAACACAGCCTGATGACAGCACATCTATTTACAGCATGGTTTACTGAATGTTTTAAAAGCCCACTGTTGAGGCCGACTGCTCACAAGACTGCTTTCAGTATATTACTGCTTTCCAACAGTGCATCTGGTCATCGAGGAGCTCTGATGAGGATGTACATGACTGATGTTGTTTTCATGGCTGCTAATATAACATCCATTCTGCAGCCTATAGATCAGGGAGTCATTTTGATTTTCAAGCCTTATTATTTAAGGAATACATTTCAAAAGGCTATAGCTGCCATAGATACTGATTCCTCTGACGGATCTGCACAAAGCAAAGTGAAAACTTTCTGGAAAAGATTCATCATTCTAGATGCCATTAAGACTGTTTGACATTCATGGGAGGAGGTCAAAATATCAACATTAACAGGAGTTTGGACAAGATTGATTCCAGCCTTCATGGATGACTTTGAGAGGTTCAAGACTTTCACAAAGGAAGTAACTACAGATGAGTTGGAAACTGCAAGAGAACTAGAATTCAAAATGGAGTCTGAATTGCTGCAATCTCATGATAAAACTTGAACAGATAAGGAGTTGCTCCTTGTGGATAAGCAAAGACAGTGGTTTCTTGAGTTGGAGTCTACTCCTGGTGAAGATACTAGGAACACTGTTGAAATGACAATAAATGATTTAGAAAACTACA
The DNA here is from genome assembly GCF_000001405.40 of Homo sapiens. Taxonomy (NCBI): domain Eukaryota; kingdom Metazoa; phylum Chordata; class Mammalia; order Primates; family Hominidae; genus Homo; species Homo sapiens. The sequence continues at coordinate 130,266,903 of NC_000011.10, forward strand.
TACACCTTGTTGATAAAGCAGTGGCAGGGTTTCAGAGGATCAAGTCCAATTTAAAAAAATTTTTAATTAAAAATTTTTTTTAGCTGGGCGCAATGGCTCACCCTATAATCCCAGTACTTCAGGAGGCTGAGGTGGGTGGATGGCTTGAGCTCAAGAGTTCAAGACCAGCCTGGCAACAGGGTGAAACACCATCTCTACAAAAAATACAAAAATTAGCTCAGTGTGACGTCACATGCCTGTAGTCCCAGCTACTCAGGAGGCTGAGACTGGAGGACTGCATGAGCTTGGGAAGCAGAGGTTACAGTGAGCCGAGATCAAGCCACTGTACATCAACCTGGGCGACAGAGTGAGACCCTGCCTCTAAAACAAATTCAGAAAAGCTGGCAGAGGTTGGTTGGTTCATGAGGTTGAAGGAAAGAAGCCATCCTCATAGCATAAAAGTGCAAGGTAAAGCTGCAAGTACTGATGTCAAAGCTGCAAGTTATCCAGAAGAGCTAGGTAAGATTATAATTTTTGTTTTAGAGGCAGGGTCTCACTCTGTCACCCAGGCTGGAGTACAGTGGCATGATCATGGCTCACCGTAGCCTTGAAGTCCTAGGGTCAAGCAATCCTCCTGTCTTAGCCACTCAAGCATCTAGGACTATGGTGTGTATCACCACGCCTGGCTAATTTTTAAATTTTTTTATTTCTTTAGGTAGAGATAGGGGTATCCCTATGTTGCCCAGGCTGGTCTCGAACTCCTGGCCTCAGCATTGCAAAGTGCTGAGATTACAGGTTTGAACTACTACACCTAGCAATCAACTCTGATTTTGAAAGAAGTCCTTCTATAAGTAATATGCTATCAAACAGCATCACATCCTGTAGAGAAATCCTCGTGAAGGCCGGGCGCAGTGGCTCATGCCTGTAATCCCAGCACTTTGGCACTTTGGGAGGCCAGGGCAGGTGGATCCCCTGAGGTCAGGAGTTCGAGACCAACCTGGACAACATGGTGAAATCCTGTTTCTACCAAAAATACAAAAAATTAGCCGGGTGTGGTGGCAGGCACCTGTAATCCCAGCTACTCGGGAGGCTGAGGCAGAACTGCTTGAACCCGGGAGGTGGAGGCTGCAGTGAACCAAGATCATGCCATGCACTCCAGACTGGGTGACAGAGTGAGACTCTGTCTACAAAAAAAAAAAAAAAGAGAAATCCTCACGAAAGAAAGATCCAGGTTGGGTGCAGGGGCTCATGCCTGTAATCCCAGCACTTTGGGAGGCTGAGGCAGGAAGACTACTTGAGCCCAGGAGCTCAATGCAATGGAGTGAGACCCACGTCTAATTTAAAAAAAAAAAAAAGCGGGGGGTGGAGTGGGGTAGGGGAAGAAAGATTCAACCCATGTGGCAAACTTCATCACTGTCTCATTAAACAAACTGCCACAACTCCAATCTTCAGTGACCTCCATCCAGAGCAGTAGCACCCATCAATATCAAGGCAAGACCTTCCACCAACAAAAAGATTATGACTTGCTGAAAGCTCAGATAATTGCTAGAATTTTTTAGCAACAAAGTATTTTTAAGATATTTGAAAAATGTGCCAAGTATAGTGGCATGCAGCTGTAATCCCAGCTACTCAGGAAGTTAAGGTGGGAAGAGCCCTTGACTCCAACCTGGGCAACACAGCAAGACCCTGTCTCAAATTTTATTTTATTTTATTTTGAGACAGAGTCTCACTCTGTCACCCAGGCTGGAGTACAGTGGCACTATCTTGGCTCACTGCAACCTCCGCCTCCCGGGTTCAAGCAATTCTCCTGCTTCAGCCTCCTGAGTAGTTGCGAATACAGTCGCCAGACACTACACCTGGCTAATTTTTTGTAATTTTAGTAGAGATGGGGTTTCACCATGTTGGCCAGGCTGGTCTCGAACTCCTGACCTCATGTGATCCACCTGACTCAGCCTCCCAAAGCGCTGGGATTACAGGTGTGAGCCATCACGCTCGGCCTCAAATTTTAAGAGAGAGAGAGAGAGAAAAAAAGAAAATGTCATACATAATATGGACAGTTGAGAAACCACAAGGTATAACCTGAAGTTTTTATAAGTTAGCCAAGTCTCTTTAAAAAAAAAAAAATCTCGCCAGGCACGGTGGCTCATGCCTGTAATCCCAGCACTTTGGGAGGCCAAAGCGGGTGGATCACCTGAGGTCAGGGGTCAAGACCAGCCTGGCCAACATGGTGAAACCCCATCTCTACTAAAAATACAAAATTAGCTGGGAGTGGTGGTGTGTGCCTGTAATCCTAGCTAGTCGGGAGGCTGAGGCAGGTGAATCACTTGAACCCGGGAGGTGGAGATTGCAGTGAGCCGAGATCACACTATTGCACTCCAGCCTGGGCAAAAAGAGTGAAACTCCACTAAATAATTAATTAATTAATCTCATTTATCTCTGTGTGTAGATGAATATGTATATGTGTAGTTATAAGTTTAATTTGGAGGTCATTTAAAATTCTTGAGTAAAGATCAGTATTAACTACAATTACTAATTTAGACTTTGTGCAGCATTTACAAGTAATAAAAATGTACTTGTAGCAGTTTGCAATTTGAACTATTCAGTAATTCAGGAAGTTTACTTCCCACCCATTTTATTCCAAATTACTGATGAAATACTGCTATCACACATTCTTGTGAAAGTGGTATGTTGCTAAACAACATATAATTTAAGGGAATACAAAAAAGAACCTACAATTTTTTTTTACAGTTGGGTTGAAACAATTTTGCCAAATAAGGTATACAGCCTAGTTGATAAAGTAGATTGGTTTAAGTTAGACAAATCTTAGGTTTTAAATTTTCACTTCCCCATTTACCAGCCAGGCATTAAATCTGAGTCAAGTTGTTCACCTCTCTAATGATGCTTCTGTTTTTTTTCTCATCTGAAAAACAGGAATCATAGAAATTATACTTCCAAGATAGCCAAGAGGATTAAATTAGCACAATTCCTGGCATAAAGCAAGCATTCAATAAACGTTAGCTATTTATTCACACTAGAAAAAGTGTGAACAAAAATTAAATGTAGATCAAATTTTAAAATGTCTATTTTTCACAGCATTTTAAAAACCTGTATTTTGATATATAGATTAGCTGATAAAAATTATCAGAAGATTTGAGATTAAAACGAAGTAGCTCTTAGCATATAAAGTGACGTGGCTGCTTAACATGATGAAAGAGAAAGTAATGAGACTGTTAACCTTGGAAGTAATTTTAGTTGGATGGGAAAAGTTGATATTTGAAAGAATGTATCTATTTAAATATGCAGCCACATCTCAAAACTGGAAGCTAACTTTCAAAAGATACTAACCAGGTTTTAATTATGCTAAAACTGAACTGAGATCACTCACTCGCAGCTTATATTCTAATTAAAACCCATGAAGGACAGAAAAGGTTAAGGAGAGGGGCATATAAGTTTAAGATGCCTGTAAGAGGAATATCCAGGTGGAAATTTATACATAAACTTGTCTGTATTGGCTTTTATCAACTATGCTCCAGATAGAACACTAGGGGCTTTAGATATGCTATCTCACATGAGTTTACATTATAATACCCTGATTTTACAGATGAGGAAACTGAGGCCAGAAAATTATTTGGTTCAAGACCACTTATGTTTATACCAAGCTTCAGACCTACAATCTTCTTCAAAAAGTACAGGTAGCCACATGGGAGTAGAAGAGTCCTATCTGCCTTTTAAGAAGATTTCTTGGTGGCAGCAGTGAGGATAAAGAAAATGCATCTGAGAAATATTTAGAATGGAAAACCACCTAGGCATGATTTTGTACTAAGGGTGGGTGGAACAGTAGCTAAAAGAGTCAGATGGTTTTATCTCTAACTTTGTTTTCACCAAACAAGACAAAAGAAGAGCTGGTTTCGATAGGGGTTGATGATGGGGAAAGAAATGTTTCAATTTTGGATATACTGAGTTTAAAATACCTGAGAAGAATATCCACATGTAAATTTATACATGAAGTTGCCCATTCTGGCCTGCAGTTCAGGGAAGAAGTCACGATAAATTTCATTCTGCTGAATTTATCAGAGCTGAAGACATGTAAAGAATGTACGGGGACGAAGGGCAGAAAGGCACGTTGTTAGAAGCTTGGAGCAGATAGAGCAAAAGGCCTTGGTGAAAACATTTTGTGTCTAATTTCTCTCGACCCTGTCCAGTATTGCACATAACATACAACAGAGTGAAATATATGAATGAATAAATTTATGTTATAAAATTTCTGTCTGGTTTTGCTATATAAAATGCCTATATCTATTCATTATAAATAGTTAAAGGAAAAAGTTGCAATTTGAGTTTACAGTCTTGAATTTCACATTAAAAGCATCAGTATGAAATGATAATGTACTTAATCTCTAGCAATGAATATGGCTAGCACCCAGAATGGCTTCTAAATTCCATTTCTCATCTCAAAAAAACTATAAACTCATGGGTCCTTAGAGAAATGGCTGATTCCATGTCTCAGGCAGTAAATGCCTTCTGGAATATCTGACCAGATAACAAGGAAGCTACCAAAGATTACTCGGGGTATGTCAAAGCTCAAGTCAACTTGAGGAGGTTCCCAACAGACAAACCTAGGAGAACCCCCTCCAACTTCCTGCCAGCCCTAAGCAATCACTAATCTATTTTTTGTCTATAAACTTCCCCATCCAAGACTTTCATATGAATGGAATCATATAATAATGTGGACGTTTGGGGCTCACTTCACTTAGTATAATGTTCTACCATGTATCATGCCTCATTTACATTTATTGCTGAAAAAATACTCCACTCCATATTCCGCATTTTTATTATCTACAGGTTAATGGACACGAGTTGTTTCCAGTTTTTGGCTATTATGAATAATGCTGCTATAAACAATCGTGTAAGTTTTTGTGTGGATGTATGTTTTCAGTTTGTTGGGTATATGTGTAAGACAGGAATTGCTGGGTCATATGGTAACTCTATATTTAATCATTTGAGAAATTGTCAGACTGTCTTCCAAAGCAGCCACACCTTTATATTCCCATCAAGAGTGTATGAGGAGGCTGGATGCGGTGGTTCACATCTGTAATCCTAGCACTTTGGGAGGTCGAGGCGGGTGGATTACTTGAGGTCAGGAGTCAAGACCAGCCTGGCCAATATGGTGAAGCCCGAACTCTACTAAAAATACAAAAAAATTAGCTGGGTGTAGGGGTGGGCGCCTGTAATCCCAGCTGCTCGGGAGGCTGAGGCAGGAGAATAGCTTGAATCTGGGAGGCGGAGGTTGCGGTGAGCCAAGATCACGCCACTGTACTCCAGCCTGGGTGTCAACGAGACTCCGTCTCCAAAAAAAAAAAGAGTGTATGAGGATTCTGATTTCTCCACATCCTCACCAACACTTATGATTCAACTTTGTTTCTAGTCATCCTAGTGGATGTGAAGTGGTATCTCACTGTAGTTTTAATTTACATTTCCCTGATAAGTAACAATGTTGAGCATCTTCATGTGCTTACTGGACATTAGTGTATCTTCCTTGTCCATTTGGAGCTCTGCCCATTGGGTTGTCTTTTTGTTACTGAGTTGTCAGAGTTCTTTATATATTCTAGTTGTGAGTTGCTTACCAGAGAAATGGTTTGCAAATATTTTCTCTCATTCTGTGGGTTGTCTTTTATGACGGTGTCCTTTGAAGCACAGAAGGTTTTAATTTTTATGAAGTTCAGTGTTTTTCTTTTGCTGTTCATGCTTTTGGTATCGTATCTACAAATTCCTTGCCAAATACAAAGTCATGAAGATTTACTAATATCTTTTTTTTTTTTTCAAGGAGTTTTAAAGTTTCAGGCCTTTAACCTATTTTGAGTTATTTTTTGTATATGGTCCCACCTCGTTCTTTTGCATGTAGCTATTTAGTTGTCCCAGTACCATCTGTTAAAAAGCGTATTCTTTTACCACTGAAAGATCTTGGCATCCTTGTTGGAAATCAGTTGAACACAAATAGGTTTATATCTGGACTCTCTATTCCATTGATTTATATGTCCTTGTGCCAGTACCACAATGCTTTAATTACTGTTGTTTTGCAGTAAGTTTTGAAGTCAAGAAGCTGAGTCCTCTTATTTTGTCCTTTTTCAGTACTATTTTGGCTATTCTGGGTCCCCTGCAACTCCATATTAATTTCAGAATCAGACTGTCAATCTTTACAAAGTCAGCAAGGATTCTGATAGGAACTGCATTGAATTTATAGATTAGTTTGGAGAATACTGCTATCTTTACAATGTTGAATCTTCTGATCCATGAACATGGGGTGTTTTTCTATTTATTTAGATTGTCTTTAATTTCTTTCAGCCATGTTGTAAGTTTTCAGAGTATGAGTTTTTCTTTGTTAAATTTATTCTTTTGATGTCACCATGAATAAAATTATTTTCTTAATTTTTTTTTTTTTTTTTTTGAGACAGAGTCTCACTCTGCTGCCCCAGGCTGGAGTGCAATGGTATGATCACGGCTCACTGAAGCCTTGATCTGCTGGGCTCAACTGATCCCCCTACCTCAGTCTCCTGAGTAGCTGGGACTACGGGCATGGGCCACCAACATGCCTGGCTAATTTTTGTATTTTTTGTAGAGATGGGGTTTTGACACATTGCCCAGGCCGGTCTCAAACTCCCGGGCTCAAGCAATCCACCCACCTTGGCCTCCCAAACTGCTAGAATTACAGGCATGAGCCACTACCTCCAGCCTGTTTTCTTAATTTAATGCTTCACTGCAAGTGTATAATAAGACAACTCATGTTTGTATACTGGTTTTATATTCTGCAACCTTGCTCAACTTGTTTATTAGTCCTATACTTTTTAAATGAATTCCTTACGATTTTCTATAAACAGGTTGAGTATCCCTTATCCAAAATGCTTGGGGGCCAGGCATGGTGGCTCACATCTGTAATCCCAGCACTTTGGGAGGCTGAGGCAGGTGGATCACTTGAGGCCAGGAGTTCGAGACCAGCCTGGCCAACATGGAGAGACCCCACCCGCCCAACCCCGGCCCATCTATAAAAAATACAAAAAAATTAGTTTGACGTGGTGGCACATGCCTGTAATCCCAGCTAGTAGGGGGGCTGAGGCAGGAAAATAATTTGAACCCAGGAGGCGGAGGTTTCAGTGAGCCAAGAGCACACCACTGCACTCCAATCTGAGTGACAGAGCAAGATTGTCTCAAATAAAAAAAAAAAAGTTTGGGACCGAAAGTATTTTGAATTTTAGAATATTTGCATTACATGTTATTAGTTGAACATTCCTAAATCCAAAAACCCGAAATCCAAAATGCTCTAATGAGGATTTTGAGCGTCATGTTGGTGCTCAAAACACTTTGCACTTTGGCGCATTTCAAATTTTACATTTTTGGATTTGGGATGCTCAACGTGTATAAGATCAGGTCATCTGAAAACAGTCTTACCTCTTCCTTTCCAAACTAGATGCCTTTTATTTATCTTGCCTAATTTCCTTACCTAGAGTCTCCAGTGCAATGTTAAACAGAAATAGCAAGAGCAGATATCCTTGTCTTGTTCCTAGTCTTAGAAGGGGAAATTCCCAGTCTGTTATCACTGATTATGTTAGCTACGAGGTTTTCATAGATGCCCCTTTTCAGGTTAAGGAAACTCTTCTCTATTCCTAGTTTGCTACAGTGTTACTATCACTAAAGGGAATTCAATGAGTCAAATGCTTTTTCTGCATCTATTGATATAATCATGTAATTTAAAAATTATTCTATTAATATATTCCATTAATTAATTTTAAATGTTGAACTAGCCTTGGCAACCTGGAAAAAATCCCAGTTGATCATGTATGATACAGTTTGTTTTTTAAAAAAATATGTTGTGGGATTCAGTTTGCTAGTACTTTGTTGAGGATTTTCACATCCATTATTCATAAGAGATATTGGTCTGGAGTTTTCTTGTGACGTCTTTGTCTGGCTTTATTGTCAGGGTAAATACCAGCCACATAAAATGATATGGGAACAGCAGTTCCCTCCCCTCCCGTTTTTTGGAAGAGTTTGTAAAGAATCGGTATTAGTTCTTTAAATGTTTGGTAGAATTCACTGTAAAGCTATCTGAGCCTGGGCTTTTCATTGAAGGTAGTTTTTAAATTACTAATCTCATTACTTGATATAGATCTATTCAGATTGTCTACTGCTTCTGACATTTGACATATGACAATTATATTGCTATAAAATTTTTCATAGTATTCTTTTATGATCTTTATTATTTCCTTCCTTATGCCTCCTTAAGTAGGTTTGCTCTTTTTCCAGTGTCTTAAGGTGGAGGGGCGAGGTCATTCATTTGAGATCTTTCTTCTTCCTTAATATAAGCATCTGTAACTATAAATTTCCCTCTAAGCACTGCTATAACTACATACCGTGAGTGTTTGTAATGTCGTATCTTCATTTTTATTCACCATAGAACATTTTCTTTTTTAAAATACATTTTAAAAAATAGTGACAGGGATTCACTATGTTGCCCAGGCTGGTCTCAAACTCCTGGGCTCAAGCGATTCTCCTGCCTTGGCCTCCCAAAGTGCTGAGATTAAAGGAGTGGGCTACCATGCCTAACCCACTCTAGAATATTTTCTGATTTCATTTGGATTTCTTTTTTGATCTGTTGGTTATTTAGGAATGCATTGTTTAATTACCACATATTTGTGAGCTTCTCAAATTTTTTCCTGCTTTTGATTTCTAATTTCATTCCATATGGTCTCAGAACATAATCTCCATTTTTTTTTGAGACAGAGTCTCACTCTGTTGCCAGACTGGTATGCAGTGGCATGATCTTAGCTCACTGCAACTTCCGCCTCCCAGGTTCAAGCAGTTCTCCTGCCTCAGCCTCCCAAGTAGCTGGGAGTACAGGCGCGTGCCAGCATGCCCAGATAATTTTTGTATTTTTAGTAAAGACAGGGTTTCACCATGATGGCCAGGATGGTCTCGATCTCTTGGCCTCGTGATCGGCCCACCTTGGCCTCCCAAAGTGCTGGGATTACAGGCATGAGCCACCGCGCCAGGTCATTTGCATTAAAATCTATTGGCCAGGTGCAGTGGCTCACGCCTGTAATCCCAGCACTTTGGGAGGCCAAAGCGGGTGATCACCTGAGGTCAGGAGTTTGAGGCTAGTCTGGCTAACACGGTGAAACCCCGTCTCTACTAAAAATACAAAAATTAACCAGGCATGGTGGCAGGTGCCTATAATCCCAGTGACTGGGGAAGCTGAGGCAGGAGAATCGCTTGAACTCGGGAGGCAGAGGTTGCAGTGAGCTGAGATCACACCTTGGCATTCCAGCCTAAGCAACAAGAGTGAACGTGAAACTCTGTCTCAAAAAAAAAAAAAAGAAAAAAGAAATCAGAGGTTTGTTTCATGGCTAGCATATGGTCTATAATGGAGAATGTTCCATGTGCACTTGAGAAGAACATATACTCTATTGTTGCTGGGTGAAGTGTTCCATAGATGTCAGTTAGGTCTAGTTGGTTTATAGCGTCTATTTACTTGTTGACCTTTTAATTTTCTATACGTTTCTTTTTTTTTTCTTTTTTTTTTGAGACAGAGTCTTGCTGTGTTGCCCAGGCTGGAGTGCAGTGGCATGATCTTGACTCACTGCAACCTCCACCTCCTGGGTTCAAGTGATTCTCTTGCTTCAGCCTCTCGAGTAGCTGGGATTATAGGAGTGCACCACCATGCCTGGCTAATTTTTGTATTTTTAGTAGAGATAGGGTTTTACCATGATGGCCAGGCTGGTCTCAAACTCCTAAGTGATCTGTCCGCCTCGGCCTCCCAGAGTGCTGGGATTACAGGTGTTAGCCACTGTGCCCGGCCTGTTCTATACATTATTAAAAGCGGTATACTGAAGTCTCCAACTACTAATGTTGAATTGTCTGTTTCTTCATTTCTGTTTTTGCTTCATGTATTTTGGTATTCTGTTATTACATATATGCAACATAACTGTTACAGCTTCCTGATGAAATGACCCTTTTATCCTTATAAAACGTCTCTAGTAACACTTTTTGTTATAAAGTCTATTTGCTGGATACGAGTAAAACCACTCTCGCTTTCTGGTGGTTGCTGTTTACATGATATATTTATTTCCATCCTTTTACTTTCAATCTATTTTTCTTTGAATGACAATTATGTCTCCTTTAGCTAGCATACAGCTGGATAATGCTGTTTATAAACTTAGTCTGACAATCTCTGTCTTTTGATTTCAATCCGTTCACATTTAATGTTATTTGTATAGTTAGATTCAAACGTGCAATTCTATGTCCCATGTCTGTTTTGTTCCTCTACTATTCCTTTAGTGCTTACTTTTGTATTATTTTCTAATGTAGCATCTGCAGGTTTAAAATGATTTTTAATTATATTTTTTGAGTTGTTTTTAGTAGTTGCTCAAGGTTTTAGAATATATACCAGAACCAGCTTCAGATCTATACTAGCTTAATTCTTGTGACAGACAAAAACATGACTACTATATATGTCAATTCCCTCCCCCATTTATAGTAGCATTGTTACAGATATCATATCTGCTCATGATTACAAACACAATATGTGGTCATGATTACTGCTTTCCCATCTGTAGTCATTTCCTTAGCCCAACACAGCTTTGCTCCTACCCACTTATTTTTGTGCTGTTACTGGCAGATATATTACAGATTTATTACATTTCTTTGTTATGGGATCAGCATTACATATATGTATATACATATAAAATAGCTTGCTTTTTAATAAACTTATAACAAGAAAGGAGAAAAATGTTAATTTCTTTTTTTTAAAGTAATTATATAATTACCTTTTCTGATGCTCTATTTTTTTGTGTGCATTCAAATTACCATCTAGGGTCATTTGCCTTCAGCCTGAAAAAATTCCTTTGATGTTCCTTGTAAAGTGGGTCAGCTAGCAACAAATTTTCGTTTTTATCTAGGACAGTCTTTATTTTGCTTTCATTTAAAAAAGATAGCATTGTTGGATATAAGATTTTTGGTTGACAGTTTTCTTCCCTCGTCCTTTGCACATTTTGAATATGTTCTCCCAACGCCTTCTGGCCTCCACTGCTATAAGAAGTCAGCCATTAATCCTACAGTGGTTCCATTTTGAGTGAGTTATTTTCTTACTATTTTAAAGATTTTCCCTTTTTAAACTTTTAGCGTTTTTACTGTATGTTTAAATTGCTACATTTTTCTTACTTAGAAAAAGATTTTCAGTAAAGATGCTCCAATGTATGGAATTATATCCAATAAGCCCATTGTTAGTTAAAAATATCAAAGTCGAAAATGCATTTAATATACCTACCTTCCTAAAGATCACAGCTTAGTCTAGCTTAAAGTGCTCAAAACACTGACATTAGCTTACACAGTTGGGCAAAATAACCTAACACAAAGTATTTTTAAATAAAGTGTTCAGTACCTCATATGATTTATTGAATACCACATTGAAAGTGAAAAACAGAGTGGTTGTAAGGGTACTTGAAGCACGGTTTCTACTGAATGCTTTATCACTTTCACTTTTGTGCTATCATACACTAAAAACTTGTAAGTCAAACCATCATTCGTTTGTATGGGAAGTTTTCTGCCACTATTTGAGTGTTTTTTTCTATTGCTATATCATTTTCTATTGTTATCTTCTTTCTCTTCCTCCTCTCCTTCCAGAACTCCCATTACTCTTAAGTGTTTAATGGTATGTGGGATGGTGTCTTATGTTTTGCTGAAGCTCTACTCATTATTATCTTATCTCTGTTCCTCAGTTTGCATAATTTCTATTGATCTATGTTCGAATTCACTAAACCCATCTTCTGCCAGTGAAGAAGAGCACTGCTAGTGAATTTTCGGTTAATTATTTTTTTCAATTCCAGAATTTCTAATTGTTTTTTCAATAATTTTTATATTCTTATTGATAGCCTCTATTTTATGCAAAATTGTCACTATACCCACTTTTACCTCTTTATGCTTTTTCTCTAGTTCTGTGAACACACTTATGATGGCTATTTTGAAGTCTTTTCTGTTAAATCTGACATGTGGTCTCTCTCACACAGGCAGTTTATAAGGTCTGCTTTTTTTCTGGTGCATGAGTCATAATTTCTTTTTTCTCTGCATGCCTCATAATTTTTTGCTAGACACTGACATTTTTGATAATATAGTATAGCAAATCCAGTTACTGTTCCTTTCTTCTACCTCCCTCTTTCTTGGTGCTTCTTACTGTTTCTTGCTTATTTTTTAGTGACTAGCCGAATTATTTTAGCAAAGTCTATTTCCCCACTTCCCCAACCTCCACAATGCTAAGCCTTGGATGTTGATCCACAGAGAGGTACATTTTTGGGTACGCCCACAGTCACCCTGGACTTACAGTGATATTCTAGCTCTTATCACACCAAGGTGTTAAACTCCACTAACTGTTCTACTGTTATTTAAAAAAAAAAAAAAAAAAAAGCCCTGGGTTTATATTCTACAAATTAATTGAAATCAAAATGTGGCTCAGGTTGGGTGCAGTGGCTCACACCTGTAATACCAGCACTTTGGAAAGCTGAGGCAGGTGGATCACTTGAGGCCAGGAGTTCGAGACCAGCCTGGCCAACACGGCAAAACCCTGTCTCCATTAAAAATACCAAAATTAGCTGGGCTTGGTGGCATGCACCTGTGGTCCCAGCTAACCGGGATGCTGAGGCAGGAGAATCGCTCGAGTCCAGGAGGTGGAGGTTGCAGTGAGCTGAGATCATGCCACTGCACTTCAGCCTGGACAACAGAGCGAGACTCTGTCTCAAAACCAACCAACCAACCAACCAACCAACCAACCGTAGCTCATTTGAAGGAACAGTTTGAGGTCTATCTGATATTTCTTCTTGCTACAGTAGAGCTTCACTTAGCTGTCTTATTCTGGTCTTTTCTATAGTCCTCTCCCACAACTACCACCATTTTTGAGAGTGCCCTTAGCTTTGAAATTCTACACATTATCTTCCCAATTAAGTAAGCTGCATTCAGAAGAGATTAAGAACTATTGGTCTACTTCTCCCCACCACAAAAAATCTCTGAGCCAAGTCTCTAAAGCTGGGGATGGAAATAATTGCAAGATTCTCTCAGAATGAAATCCCTGCTCTAGGAGCTGAGTACTTGGCAGAAAGGGGGACAGCAACCTGAAGACTTCTAGGCTTGACTCAATCATTGCTTCACAAGCCAGCGCAACGGCAATTTTTGTCCCAGTATTCTCAGGGTGTCAAGCCCAAAGTACAGCCTTCATTTCATTAGCAGGGGATGGGTGTAAGAAGGGAGCCTCTACCTCTAAAGTGCATTTGCAATTATAATAAATGCAAATGATTTAATCACAACAATGAAAACACAGAGACAGCACGAGGAGAAAAAAGAGAAAAACCATGATCTCAATGTAGTCTGTTTATAAGTAACTAACTTCAAACATATCTTAGGTACGTTAAAGGGGAAAGGTTGGAAAAGAATACATACCATTTAAACACTAATCAAAAGAAAGCTGAACTGGATTAACTCATCAAGTGAAACAATTCTGTGTATATACCTTAAAAGACAGCATCAAAATACATGAAGTAAAAACGACAGAAATGAAAGAAAAAATATACAAGGCCCTAATCTTAGAGACTTTAACACTCCTGTCTCAGCCATCACAAAACTAGTAGGCAGAAAATTAGCAAAGACATAACACCATCAACCAACTGGATCTAACTGCCATTTATAGAACATTCTATGCAGTAACAGAAGAATAGTCAGTCTTTCTAATGTATGTTCTCTGACCCTAATGGAATTACAACACAAAAATTGGTAACAGAAAGGTAATTAAAAAATCACCAAACTTCTTTACGTTGACTTGTTCCTGTCATTGATTAGTTCTAGCACGCTTTTTGTATTTTTAAAAAATTACTTGGGTGTAAATAATCAGGTCTCTCAATAAGAAGTTTTGTTTTTTCCTTTCATATCTCTATGCCTATTATTTTTCTTGCCTTTTTGCACCAGTGAGGACTTTTAATATAATGTTTAATAGGATTGGTGGGAATAGAACTTGAGGGAAAGGACAATCTCGCCTTTTTAGCATCCAGTCTTACTATCTCTAGGTTTTTTGTAATTGCCCTTTGCCAGGTTGGGGAAGTTCTCTCATTAACACAACACACTTCTAACAATCCATAAATCAAAAGGCAAGACACAAGGGAAGCTATAAAACGTTAAAATGAACAAAAATGAAACACATCTACATTTATGGAATGCAGCTAAAGTAGTGCTTATAGGGAAATTCATTCCCTTAAATGATTATAATTAGAAAATGAGTAAGGTCTCAAATTAATCATCCAAAGTGTCTGCCTTAAGAAGCCAGAAAACAGGCCGGGCGCGGTGGCTCACGCCTGTAATCCCAGCACTTTGGGAGGCCGAGGTGGGAGGATCACTTGAGCCCAAGAGTTCAAGACCAGCCTAGGCAACACAGTGAGACCCTGTCTCCACAAAAAATACAAAAATTAGTTAGGTGTGGTAACATAAGCCTGTGGCTCCAGGTACTTAGAAAGCTAAGGTGGGAGGATGGCTTGAGCCCAGGAGTTCGAAACAGCAGTGAGCTGTGATTGTGCTACTGCACTCTAGCCTGGGCAACAGAGACCCTGTCTCAAAATAAATAAATAAATAAATAAATAAATAAATAAATAAATAAATAAATATTTTAAAAAGTAGTTTTATTGTTGTTGTTGTTTTTTGGGGGGGGGATGGAGTCTCGTCTCACTCTGTCACCCCGGCTAGAGTGCAGTGGTGTGATATCGGCTCACTGCAAGCTCCACCTCCCGGGTTCACGTCATTCTCCTGCCTCAGCCACCCAAGTAGCTGGGACTACAGGCTCCCGCCACCACACCCAGCTAATTTTTTGTATTTTTAGTAGAGACGGGGTTTCGCCGGGGTTTCGCCGTGTTAGCCAGGATGGTCTCGATCTCCTGGCCTCGTGATCCGCCCGCCTTGGCCTCCCAAAGTGCTGGGATTATAGGCGTGAGCCACCGCGCCCGGCCTATTGTTTTGATGATGTGCCCATGTCATTTTATTTTGTAAAAGTTCTCCAATACCCTATTTGCATGAGCCCAGGAATTCAAGGTTACAGTGGGCTATGATCATGCCACCACACTCCAGCCTGGGTGATGGAGTGAGACCCAATTTCTTAAAATGAAACATAACACCCTATTATAAACTAAAGCCTACATCATCTAAGTTACTTAATAAGCAGCAGTTAAGGTTATTTTTGTGGCAGAATATACACAAAATTTACTGTTTTAACTATTTTTAAGCATACAGTTTGTATGTTCACATTATATACATTCACACTGTGGTTCAACCATCCATCACTATCCGTCTCTGGAGCTTTGTCATCATCCCACAGTGAAACACAGTACTCATTAAACAATAGCTCCCCATTCTTCCCATCCCCATGTTCCTGTAGTCACTGTTCTACTTTCTGTCTCTATGAATTTGACTACTGAAGGTACCTCATATAAGTGGAAGCATTCAATATTTGTTTCTGGCTTATTTCACATAGCGAAGTGTTCTCAAGGTTCTTCCACAATGTACTACTGTGTCAAGATTTCTTCCTTTCTAAAGCTGAATATAAACCACATTTTGTTCATCCATTCTACTCATGCTGGACACTTGAGTCTTTTCTACAGATTTTAAATCCCTGACTTAACCAATAAAAGGTTTGAATCACAAACTTAATTTCCAGGTAAAGAGCAATGTTGAAGGCCACCTAGCCCTACAGCCTTCTACTAATTAAATCACTTGACTGAAGTTACCCCAAACATAGAATTCTGTATTTTGCAGTATTTTGAGTAAGAGTGGCTACCACCTTAAACGGTTCACATTTCTCTCTTCCACGTTGGCAATTATCACCTGTATTTTATTTAGCCACGACACACGACAGCAGATGTCATGTGTGTGACACACCTCCCTGGGCAAGGAGATTTTTGTTTAAATTAGAGATGGGGTCTCGCTATGCTACCCACATTGGTCTCCAATTCCTGAGCTCAAGCAATCCTCCCATATCAGTCTCCTAAGTAGCTGGGACTACAGGTCCCCACCACTGTGACTAGCTCCAATATTTTTTTAATTGTGGTTAAAAAAAATATAAAATAAAATTTGCCATTCTAACCTTTTTTTTTTTTTTTTTTTTTTTTGAGATGGAGTCTCGCTCTGTCACCCAGACTGCTGGAGTGTAGTGGCGCAACCTTGGCTCACTGCAACCTCCATCTCCCAGGTTCAAGCAATTATCCTGCCTTAGCCTCCCAAGTGGATGGGATAACAGGTGTACGGGACTCACCTGGCTAATTTTTTTGTATTTTTAGTAGAGAGGCGGTTTTGCCATGTTGGCTAGGCTGGTCTCAAACTTCTGACTTCAAATGATCCACCCGCCTCGGCCTCCCAAAGTGCTGGGATTACAGGCATGAGCCACCGTGCCCGGCCCATTCTAACCATTTTAAAGTGTACAGTTCAGTGACATTAAGTACAATCACACTGTTGTGCAACCATTTCCTATTTCCAAAATTTTTCATCAGCAAGGCCAGATTTTTACAAAACTCAAAAGAACTGCAGGGAACAAAAGCAAAGCGCACCAGACTTTATTTTGGCATGATCACTGCAAAATAATCTTATGTAAGAATTACTCAATTTAAATTTATATCAAAAGATTTTCATTTTTAATAAACACAATTATATGTTCAATCTCATTTTAAAAAATTAAGCTTTATTCGACAATGAGAAGGCATCTTGATTTTTTTTCTTGATATTAAAAAGGCAAAGCAGGCCAGGCGCAGTGGCTCATGCCTGTAATCCCAGCACTTTGGGAGGCCGAGGTGGGTGGATCACCTGAGGTCAGGAATTTGAGATCCACCTGGCCAAAATGGTGAAATCCCATCTCTACTAAAAATACAAAAAAAAATTAGCTGGGCATGATGGCAGGTGCCTGCAGTCCCAGCTACTCAGGAGGCTGAGGCAGGAGAATCTCCTGAATCCGGGAGGTGGAGGCTGCAGTGAGCCAAGTTTGTGCCTTTGCACTCTACCCTGGGTGACAGAGTAAGACTCCATCTCAAAAAAAAAAAAAAAAAAAAAAAAAAAAAGGCAAGCAGCTGGGCACGGTGGCTCATGCCTGTAATCCAAGCACATATGGGAGGCTGAGGTGGGCAGATCACCTGAGGTCGGAAGTTCAAGACCAGCCTGGCCAACATGGCGAAACCCCGTCTCTACTAAAAATACAAAAAAGGCAAGCAAGCAAACAGGTAGGTAAATTTTTTCACATTTAATATTAGAATTCATGCAATTTATAGAATTATACTGTATATGATGTTAATTGCAAATTTTTTCATTGTATCATTCTTGCTCATAGGCAATACGGACAAACAACTCACACTTTGCAGTCATCCTCCTCTTATTAAAAGTTTATTCATTGGTAAAATAAAATTCAAGTAACTAATAATCACAAACACTTTGGTAATGTATAATTACCACAACTGTTCATGGTACCTCAACAAACATTTACTGGTGGCATATACTTGTGCTAAAGCCCAGAAAAGTAAACCAAGTCAGTTACTTAATGTCAGTTATTAACGTCAGAGCTAGGGATGTCAGTTACTTAATGTCAGGGCTAGGGATGGAGCACAGATGACTTGGTTCTTAAGAGTCCACTACTTTGTACAAAAAGCACTGTTGGCCAAGCGTGGTAGCTCACCCCTGTAATTCCAGCACTTTGGGAGGCTGAGGCGGGTGGATCACGAGGTCAGGAGTTCGAGACCAGCCTGACCAACATGGAGAAACACCGTCTCTACTAAAAATACAAAATTTAGCCGACGTGGTGGCACGTGCCTGTAATCCCAGCTACTCTGGAGACTGAGGCAGAAGAATCGCTTGAACCCAGGAGGTAGAGGTTGCAGTGAGCTGAGATCATGCCACTACACTCCACAGCCTGGGAAACAGAGCGAGACTACGTCTCCAAAAAAAAAAAAGTCCACTGCTTTGTACAAAAATCACTGTTAAAAACAGGACCTGGGGGCCAATCTCTCTAAATTTTAAGTATATTTTGACTTCTTTTCTTTGTGAAAATCATCACATCCATATACACAAAACGATCTGACCATAATGCAGTCACTGACTGTGGCTCCTTCTATCTTGCGGCATCTGGGATTCTGGCTGAAAGGTTTTACCAGTGCTGGTGGGAACCAGTGAGTTCTTCCTTTCCGAAGTATGGAGCAAAGCCATGTCCTTTGAGTTTGAACTGGTGGAGCCAAGAGTTCCTCACTAGTCTCTTTACTAAGGAGTTTTTGGTTTTCATAAAAATCTTTGCTTTTTAATTTCTTCTCTGTATTTTTCATTCTTTAGTATTTCCTCCATCGTAGGTGGAGTTATTCTTGTTTTCTTTTTTTTTTTTTTTTTTGAGATAGAGTTTCGCTCTCGTTGGCCAGGCTGGAATGCCGTGGCACAATCTCGGCTCACTGCAACCTCCGCTTCCCGGGTTCAAGTGATTCTCCTGCCTCAGCCTCCTGAGTAGCTGGGATTACAGGCGTGCACCACCATGACTGGCTAATTTTTGTATTTTTAGTAGAGATGAGGTTTCACCATGTTGGCCAGGCTGGTCTCGAACTCCTGACCTCAGGTGATCTGCCTGCCTTGGCCTCTCAAAGTGCTGGGATTACAGGCGTGAGCCACCACACCCAGCCTCTTTTTTGTTCTTCTGATCTAAGCTTCCCATTCTGTTGGAATATCCCCTACTTCACAGTCTAATTTTTTATTTGCTGCTTCTACAATTCTTTTCTCTTGAATAGTTTGTCCTCACCTCTCCAGTTCTTGTACTCTGGAATAGAGTAGTATTTGTTCCCAAACCAGTTCATGCCCACATGCTCCTATACTTCTTTTGACAGTGATATCCACAAGGCACACAACAAATCCTGAGACCAACCCGTGCTGTCCACTCTGCTCTCAGAACTGCTAGCAGCCAGTATGCAGCAGGGGTAATGCTCCAGCCACTGATCCAGCCCACCTACAAGTATTCTTTCTAGTGATTTGATAATAGTGTAAGAAAACTTGTTTCTATAAAGGAACTGTTCTTGTTGGAATAAAAATCTTACTACTTCTAAAACTCATATTCGATCTGTTCAAAGCAGTAAATCAACTATCCGAAAAGTGACAAACTACACAACTAAAAAGATTGATGTGGAAAAATGTTAGGACTCATTACAGTCAATTCCTTTCTAAATTATCAGACTGAGACGAAATCAGGCAAATTCTGTAACAAAGTGATCTTTAAAAAAATGAAAAAATCACCAATGGGCCAGAATATTAAAAGCTGAGTCCTTAGCTGTAGTTATTTGCTGCCTAACAACCTAAAGAGAAAAAAGTGACTGTGAAAATGACAGATATTAGCCTATTCTGATTATCTGAATATCCCAGAAAAATACATACTTTTTGACCTGTAAATGTATTTTTAAAATTACAATAAACTTAAAAAAAATCTATTAATTTGAATAGTCTCTGAAACTTACTACCTGAAATTTTCCCCATAAATTATATCTCACACTATAACTACTCAATTCCTATTAAGGTTTCTAATTCTAGATCTGCCATAGACACTCGTGGTATCCCTGTCCCTTTGAACTACAGAAGATTGCTCCAAGGATAAATACATTTGAATCTTCTGACACATTACTAAGCATTAATTAAAAGAATTATAGTCTTTTCATATTACCCAAAACTCAGTGACAGATTTCTTCACCTCATGCATAATTAGGCTTTGAGTATTTCACATTCAATTCAATTATCAATGAATATATTAACGTTGCCTGGAGACAGCATGTCCACTAGGTAGAACAACAGCTTTTTAGTTCAGACAGACCTGCATGTTAATCATGGTTATATGACTGTAGTGGCTGGATGACCTTAAACAAGTGAGCTTTCTGAGGACTGTCATACAGATTCAATGAGATGAGTCTATGTAAAGAGCCCAGTGCCCAGCACAGACTGTTTATATAAGAATATGGTGCAGCAGTGATTAACAGATAAGCTATCATTATTGACAGATCTCTGACTCTACCACCTTTGACTAAAATCTCAGCAATATCCCTCTGAATGTCAATTCTGGGCTTCTACTGACCAGCTAGAGTGCTAGACAATTCCATCTGAATGTGTTCGCCATCTTGCAAATTCAATGTCTGAAAACAAACTCAAATTATTACCCAACTAACATACCACTACAGAATTTCTTAATCTGTTAATCATGGACACCTTCAATTGCTCAGTCACCCATAGCTTAAAATCTAGTACTCATTTTTGATTCTCCATGCCCCATCCCTCACCTCCCATCAAAACTGGGTATCATCCATCAGGCACTCTCCCTTCACAGCCAAGTTTATAAAAATTACAGATACTCCCCACTTATAAATGTTTATCATAAATCAAAGTCATTTCTCAGAGCAAGAGTGTTAACTATGCCTATTACCAAGAGATGATAATAATGGACTTGTGTGGTCATGTAAGTCTTAGCTCTCTAGTCTTCATTAGTTTTTTCTCTGTGCTTAGTTTTGAGGTATATTACTAAATCCAGCATGTTCGATAAGCACAAAAACAGTAAGAATGGTGAAAGTACTAACAAACAGAGGTAAGTGTTGGAAATAAAATGCAGAGACATATTAATAAAGAATAAGAAAGCTTCTGCTCCCATAAATGGGATCAATATTAAATAGAATGAATGACTCTAAAGTACTTGCAACAAATCCTGCAACATATGAAGATGATATACCTACATGATAACTGATAATAGTAAGAGAAGGAAATAATGATTGGAGAAATGGAAAAACTTTGGAGTATGTGGTTAGAGTGGGATTAACACTAGACAGCGGATTTTAAACTCGAATCTCAGGCCTCTTTACACTCTTAAAATTTATTGAGAACCCAAAAGAGCTTTTATTTACATGAACTATATCTAAAAATATTTACCGTATTATAAATTAAAACTTAGAAATTTAAAAAATTATTCACCTAAAAATAACAGTACATTTTAAGACAACATAGTTTTCAAGAAACTAAATTTTCTCAGACAAAAAAAAAAAAAAAGAAAGAAAAAGGCAAGAGTAGCACTGATTTTTGAAAATCTCTTTAAGTCTGGCTTATTGGAAATCAGCTGAATTCTCACATGTGTTAAGTCTGTTACAGTATCACACTTCAGCTGAGCACAGTGGCTCACACCTGTAATCTCAGCACTATGGGAGGCTGAGGCAGGCAGATCACCTGAGGTCAGGAGTTCAAGACCAGCCTGGCCAACATGGTGAAACCCCCGTCTCTACCAAAAATATAAAAATTAGCCGGGTGTGGTGGCGCACACCTGTAGTCCCAGCTACTTGGGAGGCTGAGGCAGGAGAATCACTTGAACCCAGGAGGTAGAGGTTGCAGTGAGCCGAGATCATGCCACTGTTCTCCAGCCTGGGTGACAGAGCCAGACTCTGTCTCGGGAAAAAAATAAATAAATAAATAAAATAAAATAAAAAAATAACATTTCAAGTAGGTAGCCTCTGGAAAACTCCATTGTATATCTAAGAATAAGAAAGAAAAATGGCAAGTAGTGTCTTAAAACACTGCTAGAAGACTGTTTTAATCTCACGTACTCTCTAAAAGGTTCTCGGGATCCCCAGGAGAGTCCTCAGACTACATTAACCACTGCTTTCAAGTTTAATGTTAAAAATCAGGACACAGGCCTGGTGCGGTGGCTCATGCCTGTAATCCCAGCACTTTGGGAGGCCGAGGCAGGCAGATCACCTGAGGTCAGGTGTTCGAGATCAGCCTGCTCAACATGGTGAAACCCTGTCTCTACTAAAATACAAAAATTATCCAGGCATGGTGACACGCACCTGTAATCCCAGCTACTTGGGAGGCAGAGGCACGAGAATCGCTTGAACCCGGGAGGCGGAGGTTGCAGTGAGCTGAGATCACACCACTGCACTCCAGCGTGGGTGACAGAGCGAGACTCCGTCTTAAAAAAAAAAAAAAAGAAAAAGAAAATGAGGACATGGTTAGGAATTTGTAGACAAGAACTTAAAACAAGACTAAGCAAGGTGAATGGACTGCTGTTTAAATAAACCACAGAAAGACAGTTCCACATCTGCAAGATTCTACCAAATCTGCATAGCAAAAAGTAGTAAAACAATGTGATGTGGGAAGTGCTCAAGAGGTCTGTTTTGCCATTTGTCACTGAAGATGGATGGGTGTAATGTTTGTGTATTTGAGGCAGGGGTCCCTTACCTGAACAAATCTGCAACGTAGATATAAAAAATTTAGGTGGCTGGGTGCGGTGGCTCACGCCTGTAATCCCAGCACTCTGGGAGGCTGAGGAATGTGGGTCACCTGAGGTCAGGAGTTCAAGACTAGCCTGGCCAACATGGTGAAACCCCGTCTCTACTAAAAATACAAAAATTCGTCAGGCACAGTGGCGCATGCCTGTAATCCCAGCTACTCAAGAGGCTGAGGCAGGAGAATTGCTTGAACTCGGAGGTGGAGGTTGCAGTGAGCCGAGATCCCACTGCACTTCCAGCTCCAGGGCAATAGAGCAAGACTCTGCCTCAAAAAAAAAAAAAAAAAGATTTAGGTAAAAGACGGTGGTCAAGAGAATGTTTATCTGGCCAAGAAAAATAGAAGCTAATGGGTAGCTTCAGAAGTTAGGTTTCCTTGCAGACTTTAAAAAAAAAAAGGTGGGGGTGGGGCACACAAAACAAGCCAACTAAATTTGCATATCTGTATTGAAGGCCTAGAATTGTGGGGATCGTTTTGTTACCATAGGAGAGCCAGCCTAAGGATGGCAAAGCAAGAACGTATGTCCTCAAGGATGTCACTGAATTGCTAATTTAACCAACTCTGAGGCTGTTTTTTGTTTTAAATAAATGTCCGTATTGTTTAAGCCACCTGATTCGAGGTTTTCTGATAACATAAATTGAATACCCTCATACACATGGCCCATAGGTACTTCAGCAGATCCCAAGTGAATTCATTATCATCTCTCAAAAATGCATTCTTCTTTTTCAAGTACTCTGGTCAATGACAGGACCAGCTCCAAAAAGCTAAAACCCCCAAATGTCCATGTTCTAATCCCTTGAATTTGTGAATGATACCTTTATGGCTTTGCAGATGTGATGAAATATCTTGGAATGGGGAGATTATCCCAGATTACCCAGGTGGGCCCTAAATACAGTCACAAGTCTCCTTATACAAGGAAGGCAGATGTAGACTTGGCACACACAGGAGAAGGTGAAAAGTGGGGAAGAGGAGGTGGTGTAGCAACGTGAAGACCAGTGATGAATGATATAGTCACAAGATGAATATGCCTGCAGCCCACATAAGCTGCAAGAGGCAAGGAATGGTTTCTCTCCTAGATCCTTCGGAGGGAAGGAGCACTTGCCAACATCTTGATCTCAACCCAGTTATGATTATTTCAAGCTTCTGTGAGGAAATTACTTCGTTGTTTTAAGCCATCTAATTTGTGATAATTAATTACAACAGCCACAGAAAACTAATACAATTTCTCTTCCCCTTTTCCTCCTAACACAGACCTGGTCACCAAGACCTATCTCAAATCCATCCCTTCCTTTCTCCACTGCCACTGCCTCTGCCTCTGCCTTGGACTACTGAAACAGCATCCTGATTGATTTCCTTGCCTTCAGTCTCACCGGCCTTATATTAATCTTTACTGTTATTTAAACTGTCTCTAAAATACAATTATCTGAGTCCAGACACTTATTAGCCCACAGCTTGATAATCACGCTGAACTATCAACAGTACTTGGTACTTTTCAGTACTATCCTACACTCTATCACATCTGACATGGACTGATTTAAATACATAAAATCCTTGAGATCTGGCAGAACTATTATTATCTCCCATTACATTGATGGGGAAATTGAGGCTCAGAGAATTAAATGACTTGGCTAAGCTTACAGGGCTAGTAACAGCAACTTATATCCTGATGGTAAACTTTCTCGCTATTTTATAATCTCTCTATTATGCTTTTAGATACTTTAGGCTGCTATCTCTCCCTCCCTGCTCTGCAAAATGAACTCTTTGCCCTAAACTGCTTTTGACTCATCATTTTCCATATGTATCATACATATTCCCACTCTCCCAGCTCTGGTCCCTTTTTGGAATTCCCTCCTCACTGATCTCCACAGGTCAAATTCTACTTTATTTTGTTTTCCCTTCTAAGCTAAATGTCAGGAAAGCCTTTGTTGTTTTTTTTTTTGAGACGGAGTCTCATTCTGTTGCCCAGGCTGGAGTGCAGTGGTGCAATCTTGGCTCTTGAATTGCTTGAACCTCTGCCTCCCGGATTCAAGCAATTCTCGTGCCTCAGCTTCCTGAGTAGCTGGGATTATAGGCGCGTGCCACCATACCCAGCTAATTTTTGTATTTTTAGTAGAGACAGGGTTTCACTATGTTGGCCAGGCTGGTCTCGAGCTCCTGACCTTGGGATCCGCCCACCTCGGCCTCCCAAAGTGCTGGGATTACAGGTGTGAGCCACCGCGCCCGGCCAGCCTTCCATTTTTATGTCACTTTCAGATGTACTTTCAAATATATTCTTTGGATCTTAAAATCTTAATGAAACTAAAGATGAGAAAAATAAAGATTAGAGAAAATATGGCCTAACAGGGATTCAAATTCAGAGCCTCTGACTTTAATTAAATCCTATCCTCATTTTATCATTAAACCAAGCTGTCTTTCTCTACACTGAACTCTGGTGGTAGTTCTGTTGGGACTCACTGATCCTGTGTTTGATAGCATATCAATTTAGGTTTACCAGGGTATACACTCTAATCTCTCCAAGGATTATTCCAATATATTTATGGAATCAATCACATCTGTACTTCCAGCATAGGTTCTTTAAAAATCACTTTATGAATGCTTTCCTGATATAATTCATGTACAATAAACTGCATAGTGGACAATTTGATGAGTTATAACATATATATCACCACCACAATCAAGATAAGGAATACTGCCACAATTTCTGTAAGTTTCTTTGCAGTCTCACCTTCCTGTCCTTGCCAGGAATTATCAATGTGCTTTACACTTTAGTAGCTCCATTTTCTAGAATTTTATATAAATGGGATTATATAGTATGTACTCTTTTTTTCTGGCTTCTTTCATGGACATAATTATTCTGAGATTCATCCATGCTGTTGAGCGTAAGGATTTTTGTTCTTTTTATTGCTGAATACTATTTCATTGCATGGATGTAACACAATCTGTTTATCATTTAATTGTTGATAGACTTGAGTTGTTTGCAGTTGGGCTATTACGAATAAAGCCGCTATGCACATTTGTGTACAAGATTTGTGTGGACAAACCAGCAGATGTTCTTAATTATTTCTGTTTCTATACCATTTATGTGTTATACTCTTAATATGGCTTATTATACTGCAGTGATTCCATAAAAAAAGTCACTATCCACCAGTATAATACTTTACATACAAGTGATCAGTAAGTAGTTTACAGATTTTGCTCACCCATGGGCCTAATGAGACTTGACAGAAAAGGCTGAGCCTTGTCTATATTCTATAACTGCCTAAAAGAGTACATACACTGGTATGCAACAAGATCATAAGAAAAAAATTAAAAATTAAAAAAATAAATAAAAGTGTGCATTGAAAAATTGCTGAATAAATGTTCTTGATTTACGGTGCTTATTTTTGGGATAAGCGTATTATTCTTTTATGTTCAATCACATTATTATTAAAAGCTTAATTGCAAATGATAAACAAAACATATAAATTAGTATTTTAAGAGTGTAACATACACAACATACAAACGTTTTGCAGGAAACCTGTTAAAACAATTGATTTAGGAATGGAAGAACCACAGCTCAACGTAGAAACTTCATGTTAAACTTACATGGAAAATGTATACGTGTACTCAAACTAGTGAAAATTACAACTCACCCACCCCACCAAAAGTTATTAAAATAAGACGTTTCTCACTATTAAGACTCTTTTTTACTTTACAAATAGAGCAGTACCTCATATTTTATATTTTGCTCTAAACTTGTCACTCTTATCAATCTAAGTAAAGGCATTTTCCCATGATATGAACCAAGTTTTTAGATTAGATTTACATGAGAACTCATATTTGGGAACATGCTTTTTCTTTTTCTGAACACTACTGAAAGTGTTTTGTGATCTTTATTTCACACTAGTTTACTTCCCTTAAGTGTTTTTTAAGTTTTCAAGGAGAATTTCAAATGGACTACTTTATCTGAGTTGTAAAAAGATAATTTTAGGCCTGGAACAATGGCTCATGCATATAATCCCAGCACTTTGGGAGGCCAAGGCAGGAAGCTCATTTGAGCCTAGGAGTTCAAGACCAGCCTGGGCAACACAGAGAGAACTTGTCTCTACTAAAAATTAAAAAAAAAAAAAAAAAATTAGCTAAGTGTGGTGCTGTGCACCTGTAGTCCTGGCTACACAAGAGGCTGAGGCAGGAGGATCACTTGAGCCTGGGAGGTTGAGACTACAGTGAGCTGTGATTTCACCACTGCACTCCAGCCGGGATGACAGCAAGATCTTGTATCAAAAAAAAAAAAAAAAAAGACCATTTGGCCGGGTGTGGTGGCTCACACCTATAATCCCAGCACTTTGGGAGGCCAAGGTAGGTGGATCACCTGAGGTCAGGAGTTTGAGACCAGCCTGGCCAACATGATGAAACTCCATCTCTACTTAAAGAAAAAAAAAAAAAAAAAGAAAGAAATTAGCTGGGTATGGTGGTGCACGCCGTCATCTCAGCTACTTGGGAGGTTGAGGCAGGAGAATCAGTTGAACCTGGGAGGCGGAGGTTGCCGTGGGCCAAGACTGCACCATTGCACTCCAGCCTGGGCAACAAAAGCGAAATTCCATCTCAAAACAAACAAACAAACAAACAAAAAAACCATTTTATAACTAGTTGTTTTTCAATGAAACAAAGATTCTAATCATTTTACTCTATGAATAAGCCCTTTCTAGTTCAGAGATTTGAAAAAGTAATGGAGAGTTATCAATAAATCAATTAAATCAGAAACATTAAATGATTAGAATTTCCTCTCCTTGTTAGTAGTCACCAAGTCATGCTGATTGTTACTTTCTACATCAAGAGAAGATAAATTAATGTACATTGAATAACTCCCACCAAGTGTCACTATCTCACTCTGGACTCACAAACTCTGGTAAAAGGATTTTTTATATCCAGTTATAGGCCGGGCACGGTAACTCACACCTGTAATCCCAGTACTTTGTGGGGCCGAGATGGGTGGATCTCTTGAGGCCAGGAGTTTGAGACCAGCCTGGCCAACACAGCGAAACCCCGTCTCTACTAAAAATACAAAAATTAGCTGGGTGTGGTGGTGCACGCCTGTAACCCCAGCTACTACTCAGGCGCCTGAGGCACAAGAATTGCTTGAACCTGGGGGGCAGAAGTTGCAGTGAGCTGAGATCACGCCACTGCCCTCCAGCCTGGGTGACAGAGAGAGACTCTGTCTTAAAAAAATAAAAATAAAAATAAAAATAAATCCAGTGTTAAATGAGGAGACAGAAAATCAAATTAAATTGTCCATTTCCCTATAACTAAGTTAACAAAACCAGGATTTACACAAAGGTCTATATGACCAAAAAAAAAAAAAAAAAAAAAAAAAAAAAAATCTTCAATTCCCAGTTATTTCTCCCCACCCCATTATGTTGTTGTTTATAATAATTTAACCCATTTATGCCAGAGGTTGCAATTATTTGAATTTTTGCAATCAGACCTTAGCGATGACCTTGAGCAGGACAGAAATAACTCCCACATGCTTAGTGTTCCAATAATGGAACGGTAGGCAAAACAGGTTAATCAGAGTACTTAAGGGATATCTGCTATTCACATCATATTATTTTATCTAGAAAGAAAGACTGAATAGAGGGCCTATCTATCTTATTCATCCATTTGGCTCCTTACATGAGCAAGTAAAATTCAAGTCAGTTTTAGTCAACTAGCATTTAAAGAGCTCCTTATTTTCCCTAAAGAGTTTTTAAGCGTCCACACCAAGTACTCAAGAGTTCAACTGCATATACGCTTTAAAATATGTATACAAGTGGAAGCAACGTCAGCCCCGAGAACTGAGTAGCTGTACTGTGTGACGTCGTGATCTAGGCACTTCTTGGACAGCAATGTCTCACCTGCCAATGAAAAACTCCTGCGCAAGAAGATCAAGAAGCAGAAACTCAAACTGCGGCACCAGAACCTAAAGTTGCAGGGGCCTCAAATCTGACCCTGTCAGAAACTCAAAATGCAGATGTGTCTGAAGAAACAATGAGAGGTAGAAGGGTTAAAAAATGAAAACATTCTATGAATGTGGGCTTATCAGAAGCTCCAAATGGAGACATGTCTCAAGAGGCAGTGGAAGATATAAAACCTAAAAAATCTCCCCAGAAATCCACCGTATTAACCAATGGAGAAGCAGCAATGCAGTCTCCCAATTCAGAATCAAAAGAGAAAAATGGTGAATGATGCTGGGACTGATACAAAAAAAGCAAAAACTGAAAACAAAGAGGAATCTGAGAAGAAAGTGCCGAGACTCCTAAAGAAACAGAAAATAACGTAGAGAAGCCAGATAATGATGAAGATGACAGTGAGGTGCCCAGCCTGCCCCTGGGACTCACAGGAGCATTTGAGGATACTTCATTTGCTTCTCTACATAATATTGTCAATGAAAACTCTGAAGTTAAAAAAAAAAATGGGTTTTACCAACATGACTGAAATTCAGCATGAAAGTATCAGACCACTTCTGGAAGGCAGGGATCTTCTAGCAGCTGCAAAAACAGGCAGTGGTAAAACCCTGGCTTTTCTCAAACCTGCAGTAGAACTCATTGTTAAAATTCATGCCCAGGAATGCATGCGGAGTCCTTGTTCTCTCACCTACTAGAGAATTAGCCATGCAAATTTTTGGTGTTCTTAAGGAGCTAAAGACTCACCACGTGCATACCTATGGGTTGATAATGGGTGGCAGTAACGGATCTGCTGAAGCACAGAAACTTGCTAATGGGATCAACATCACTGTGGCCACACCAGGCCGTCTGCTGTATCATATGCAGAATATCCCAGGGTTTATGTATAAAAACCTGCAGTGTCTGGTTATTGATGAAGCTGATCGTATCTTGGATGTTGGGTATGAAGAGGAATTAAAGCAAATTATTAAACTTTTGCCAACATGTAGACAGACTATGCTCTTTTCTGCCACCCAAACTCGAAAAGTTTTGAAGGTTGGCAAGGATTTCTCTGAAAAAAGGAGCCATTGTATGTTAGTGTTGATGATGATAAAGCTAATACAACAGTGGATGGTCTTGAGCAGGGATATGTTGTTTGTCCTTCTGAAAAGAGATTCCTTCTGCTCTTTACATTCCTTAAGAAGAACCGAAAGAAGCTCGTGGTCTTCTTTTCATCTTGTATGTCCGTGAAATACCACTATGAGTTGCTGAACTACATTGATTTGCCCGTCTTGGCCATTCATGGAAAGCAAAAGCAAAATAAATGTACGACCACATTCTTCCAGTTCTGCAACACAGATTTGGGAACACATTGTGTACGGATGTGGTGGCAAGAGGACTGGACATTCCTCAAGTCAACTGGATTGTTCACTATGACCATCCGGATGACCCTAAGGAATATATTCATCGTGTAGGTAGAACAGCCAGAGGCCTAAATGGGAGAAGACATGCCTTGCCCATTTTGGGCCCAGAATAATTGGGTTTTCTTCTACTTGAAACAATCCAAGGTTCCATTAAGTGAATTTGACTTTTCCTGGTCTAAAATTTCTGACATTCAGTCTCAGCTTGAGAAATTGATTGAAAAGAACTACTTTCTTTGTAAGTCAGCCCAGGAAGCATATAAGTCATACATATGAGGTTATGATTCCCATTCTCTGAAACAGATCTTTAATGTAAATAACTTAAATTTGCCTCAAGTTGCTCTGCCATTTGATTTCAAAGTGCCTGCCTTTGTTGATCTGAATGTCAATGGCAATGAAGGCAAGCAGAAAAAGCGAGGAGGTGGTGGTGGATTTGACTACCAGAAAATCAAGAAAGTTGAGAAGTCCAAAATCTTTAAACACATTAGCAAGAAATCATCCGATAGCAGGCAGCTCTCTCATTGAAGACATGCCTTTCTTTCATCTTGAATAACTGTTCTAAAATGAATTTTTTCCCCTTGATTTAATAAGATTTTTGTAGCCTTTAGAATTTAAACTTATCTAACAAGAGCATAAATTGACTTGGGTTGCAAGCACTGAGCACTGTAACTTCTATCAAGTCTCTTTTTATTTTTGGGATATAAAACAGGCTCTAATTTTCTTGGTTGCCCAAGAGCAGAGCAAGAATATTAGGTCTTTCTTGTGATTATATAATATTTTAATTTTAAATATCCCTCCCTCATACACACAAATGTATGTTACTGTTTTAATATAATTAAATTTTTGTACCTTTTAAAAAAATATGTACACAAGTA
This sequence comes from Homo sapiens, assembly GCF_000001405.40. Classification (NCBI taxonomy): domain Eukaryota; kingdom Metazoa; phylum Chordata; class Mammalia; order Primates; family Hominidae; genus Homo; species Homo sapiens. The sequence continues at coordinate 130,297,407 of NC_000011.10, forward strand.
CTGTGGCTTTCGCCAACTTACCTCTGCACAAGCAGTTAACTTTATATATGTCTTGGTATGGGGTTGAATTGGGTTCTCTAAAAAGATACGTTGAGGTCCTAAACCCCAGTGCCTCAGAATGGGACCTTATTTGGAAATGGAGTCTTTATAGAGGTAATCAAGTTCAAGGGAGATCATTAAGGTGTCCTCGTATAAAGGGGACATTTGTAGACAGACATGCACATAGGGAGGATGCCCCATGAAGACAAGCCAAGGCACTACCAGAAGCAAAGAGACGTGGAACAAGAGATGCTTCCCTCATGGTCCTCAGGAGGAACCAACCCTACCTATGCCTGATTTCGAACTTCAAGGCTCCACAACTATGAGACAAAAATTTCTGTTAACAGCCACCTACTTCGTCATAGTTTGTTACGGCACCCTAGCAAACTAATACATGTTGCTTTTTAATAAACTAAATGTTTTGACTAAAAGTCACAGATTGTCAGAAGAGATAAAAGCATTCTCAAATATATGTTTTTTATAAGAAACACACTTTAAATAAAAAAAGACAGATATGGAAGAACATATATCATGCAAACAGTACGTACAAGAAAGCTGGAGTTGGCTTACTTTAATATCAGATAAAGCAGACTTAAGACAAAGTATTATCAAAGATAGAGGTGAGTAATAAAAAATGTGTATGCTTCAAAATAAAACACTGACAAAATTAAAGGGAAAGATAATTCCACAATAATAATTGATGATTTTTTTTTTTTGAGATAGGGTCTTACTCTGTTGCCTAGATTAGAGTGCAGAGGCACAATCACAACACACACAGCCTGGACCTCCCGAACTCAAGCAATCCTCCCACCTTAGCTTCCTGAATAGCTGGGACTACAGGCATGCACCACCTCACCCAGATGATTTTTGTATTTTCTTGTAGAGACAGGGTTTCATTATGTTGCCCAGGCTGGTCTCAAACTCCTGGGGCTCAACGAATCCACCCACCTTAGCTTCCCAAAGTGCTGAGATTACAGGTGTGAGCCACCATGCCCGGCCAAAAGTTGAAGTTTTTTTTTTTTTTTTTTTTTTTTAAAGACTGAGTCTCGCTCTGTCACCCAGGCTGGAGTGCAGTGGCATGATCTTGGCTCACTGCAACCTTCAACTCCTGGGTTCAAGCGATTCTCCTGTCTCAGTCTCCCAAGTGGCTGGGACTACAGGTACGTGCCACCACGCCTGGCCACTTTTTGTATTTTTAGTAGAGACGGAGTTTCACCATGTTGGCCAAGCTGGTCTCGAACTCCTAACCTCAGGTTATCCGCTTGCCTCAGCCTCCCAAAGTGCTAGGATTACAGGCGTGAGCCACCACGCCCAGCAATAGTTGAAGATTTTAATATCACCTCTCTGCAATTATAGAACTGAACCACACAGACACACAGACACCCAGACACACACACACACACACACACACACAAAACCATCAGTAAAGATAAAAGATCTGCAGCTTGGGAAACATGGTGAAACCCATCTCTACAAAAAATACAAAAATTAGCCACACATAGTGGCATGCACCTATAGTGCCAGCTACTTGGGAGGCAGAGGTGAGAGGATTTGTTAACCCTGGGAGGTGGAGGTTACAGTGAGCCAAGATCGATCCACTGCACTCCAGCCTGGGTAACAGAGTGAGACCCTGTCTCAAAACATTAAAAAAAACTGTAAAGGGCAATCATCGTCACCACATTGACATTTATAGTACAGAATATACATTCTTTTCAAGTGCAAAGTGGTATGTTCACCAAGAAAGATCATATGCTGGGCCATAAGACAAATCTTAATAAATTTTAAAGGAATGAATGCACAGAGTATGTTCTTTCACCAAAACAGAAAAAAATAAGTAATAAAATATCAAGAAAGCCCTAAATATCTGGAAATTAAACAATGCACTTCTAAATAATAACCCATGGGCTGGTCAAATAAGGAATCAACAAAGGAAACTGGAATATATTTTTAACTGTAATTCAGCTAGGCATAGTGGCACGCACCTGTAATCCCAGCTACTTGGGAGGCTGGGGCAGGAGAATCACTTGAACCCAGGAGGCAGAGGTCGCAGTGAGCCGAGACCGTGCCATTGCACTCCAGCCTGGGTGACAGAGCGAGACTTCGTCTCGGGGACAAAAAAAAAAAAAAAATGATGGTCTCTAAATATCAATGACTTACCACCTCATACCCATTTGAATGTCTAATGTAATAGTAAAAAAAAAAAACAAAATAACAAGTCTTGGCAAGGATGTGGAGAAATTAAAATCCTTGTGCATGGTTGGTGGGAATGTAAAATGGCATAGCCACTATAGAAAACAGTATAGAGGGGCTCCTCAAAAAATAAAAAATAGAAATTACCATATGATCCAGCAATTCCATTTCTGGGTAGATACCCAAAAGAAGTGAAAGCAAGGACACACCAGTATTTGTACATTAATATTCAAAGCAGCATTATTCACAACAGCCAAAAGGTAGAAGCAACCCAAATGTCCACAAGAGATGAATGAATTAATGAGATGTGGCATAAATACACAATGGAATATTATTCAGCCTTAAAAAGGAAGGAAATTCAGATACATGCTGCAACACAAACAAACCTTGAAGACATTATGCGAGTGAAATAAACCAATAATTAAGGAACAAATACCATATGATTCCGATTACACGATGTACTTAGAGGACACTCAAATTCAGAGACAGAAAAGTAGAAGGGTGGTTGCCTGGGGATGTGGGGAGACAGAGATGGGGAGTTACTGTTTAACGAGCACAGTTACACTTCTGAAAGATGAAGAGAGTTCTGAAAGATGGGTGGTGGTGATGGTTGTATAATAATGTGAATGTACTTAATGCCACTGAACTGTACCCTTAAAAATGGTTATGATGGCAAATTTTATGTTACGTGTATTTCACCACACACACACACACACAAATCAATGGTCTATGTGTCTACCTTAGCTAGAAAAAGAGCAAAGAAAACCCAAAATAAATAGACAAAACAAAGCACAGACATAAATTAAACAGAGAAGCCATAGGAAAAATTAAAGCCAAAACTTGGTTCTCTGAAAAAAATAAGCAAAATTGATAAACCTTTAGCTAGACCAATTAAGAAAAAAAAGAGGAAAAAAGTGAAGGCGGGGTATCAGAAGGGAAACCTGTGAAAGAGATAGATACACAGAATAACCAGCATAGTAGGAGTTACTTCAGAAACCAAGGGTACAAGGTATTTCAAGGAGTGGTGATTGACAGTGTCAAATGCTGCTGACTGGTCAAATAAGATAGAAACCAAAGTCTATTTGATTTAGCCACAGAGGAATCACTGATGACCTTATAATAGCATATAAGAAAAAAGTAGAATTAGAAGCAAGATTGCCATAGAAAAAGAAAGAATATACAGACATGAGGAAGTGAAAACTGTGAGTAAAGATAATTCATCATAAAGTAGCTAGGTTCTAAAAATAGAGCAAGGGGGTTAGCTGGACAAAAGTAAGGGGTCAGGCGAGGATACTGATTTTTTACAGAATGGACAAGCTAGAAAATGTTTTTTTCCCTTGTTACTCTCTCAGATTTTTTTTTTATTAAAGTAAAATATAAACAGAATGTTTTGATTTTTGTTGGAAAAGACACAGAAAAGAGGGAAAGGTTAAAGATACAGGAAACGGGTGATAACAGATGGTATAAGGTCCCTAGATAGGTAGAAGGAAATGGGATTCAGAGGATGAGTGAAAGGATTAGCCTTAAACAGGCGGAGGCCCAGGCTGGGGAGATGGGGAGAGGAAAGAAAGAGTACAGCTATAGTTAAGTTTATTGGTGGCGTGGTGAGAAGTAGCTAGAGTTCTTGTCTGGCTTTGGCTTTACTCCTCTTTCAAGTTTTAAGAGGCAGACTCCTGAGAGAAAAGATGATGAAGTAGAATTTTTAAGAAAATGAAACATGAAAAATAACACGTGGAGGCCGAGTATGCTGGCTCATGCCTTTAATCCCACCACTTTGGGAGGCCAAGGCAAGCAGATCACGTGAGCTTAAGAGTTCAAGACCAGCCTGGGCAACATGGTAAGATCACGTAGATGCGGGCATCTACAAAAAATATAATAATCCGCTGCGTGTGGTGGTGTGCATCTGTGGTCCCAGCTACTTGGGAGGCTGAGTTGGGAAGATGGCTTGAGCCTAGGAGGCAGAGACTTCAGGGAGCAGAGACTGTGCCATTGCACTCCAGCCTGGGCAATTGAGCCAGATTCTGTCTCAAATAAATAAATAAATGTGGAGAAAAAAGTAGAAGGATGTATGATAAGAGGCACTGAAGACCCAACTGCTTTGAACCATTTTATATTAAAAGTAGTAACAATAGGCAAGGTGCAGTGGCTCATGCCTGTGATTTCAGCACTGTGAGAGGCTGAGTTGGGCAGGCTGCTTGAGCCCAGGAGTTTGAGACCAGCCAATGCAACATGGCAAAACCCCATCTCTAGTACAAAAATTAGATGGGAGTGGTGGAGTGCACCTGTAGTCCCAGTCACTCAGGAGGCTAAGGTGGGAGGATCTCTTGAACCCGGTGAGCCCAGGAGATCGAGGCCATAATGAGCCACGATCACACCACTGCACTCCAGCCTAGGCGACAGAGGGAGACCCTGTCTCAAAAAAAAAAAAAAAAGTAATAATAATCATTAGTTTATAGTTAATACTTACATAGTACCCAATATGTGCCAAGTATTGTTCTAAGTACGCTTTACATATTATGTAACTTAATTTTCACATAAACTTTTGTGATAGCTATCACCAGGTATCTTCATTTACCAGTGAGGAAAAGGCAGCATAGACAAGTTAAGGAACTAGCCACACAACAGGTAACAGAGTCAAGAGTTGAACCCAGCTAGCATGCTAACTGGTGCTCCTTACACTATGCTATACTGCCTCTCAAAGTGAAGTTAGGTAAAACTAGTGGCGGAAAGTAGAAAGAAGGAAAAAACAATACCAAGTGGACACAAAGACAAAGAGAAGCACTGATTCCTGTAAATAAAAATAATTCTCTTGGAAGAATGGGTTAGTTTTATACAGCATGTGAAGTGCACCAAAGACAAAAGAAACCGTCCTGATTCAGTAATGGAAAGCCACAAAAAGGAAATGAGCAGTGGGAAGGTCCAAAGCAGAAAGTAAGAAGAGCAAAGAGCCAAAGAAAAAGTAAAACCCAGGAAAAATGTAAAAAGGAGAAAAAGCTGTAAGTAGAAGAAACACATACACACAACAGTAACCACCACCAGTAAAAAAGTGAAATGAGGGCCGGGCGTGATGGCTCACGCCTGTAATCCCAACACTTTGGGAGGCTGAGGCAGGTGATCACCTGAGGTCAGGAGTTCGAGATCAGCCTGCCTGACATGGTGAAACCCCGTCTCTACTTAAAAAATACAAAAACCTGCTGGGTGTGGTGGTGCGCACCTGTAATCCCAGCTACTCGGGAGGCTGAGGCGGGAGAATCTCTTGAACCTGGAAAGTGCAGGTTGCAGGGAGCCAAGATCACACCATTGCGCTCCAGCCTGGGGGACCAGAGTGAAACTCCATCACACACACCCACACATACACAAAAGTGAAATTAAAGCAAAGTAAGTAAATCTAAGTCCCTGAAAAACTTATTCTTTATTTTCTTATCAAAGAGCACGATTATTTAATAAAATACACTATTGGATATGCTTATCTGCCAAGAATAGGCAAGGATCAGATACCTAACAGGTTAAGATTGGAATAAAAGAAAATAATTTTTAAAAGGAATCATCTAAAGTTGTTTCAGAAGCTAGAGGGTAGTAGTTCCACAAAAACTAGATTCCAGAGACTCACAGTCTTAGTTACACGTTGCCAAGATGTTTGTAGTTATGCTGAGTGCGTAAAAAACTATCAAAACCAAATCAATAGCAAATCACTTCAGCATTAAAAAATACATACCAAGGCCGGGCACAGTGGCTCACACGTTTAATCCCGGCACTTTAGGAGGCCGAGGTGGGTGGATCACCTGAGGCTGGGAGTTCAAGACCAGCCTGACCAACATGGAGAAACCCTGTCTCTACTAAAAATACAAACTTAGCTGGGCGTGGTGGCGCATGCCTGTAATCCCAGCTACTCGGGAGGCTGAGGCAGGAAAATTGCTTGAAGCTGGGAGGTGGAGGTTGTGGTGAGCCAAGATGGCGCCATTGCACTCCGGCCTGGGCAACAAGAGCGAAACTCCATCTCAAAAAAACCAAAACCAAAACAAAAAAACCCAAAAAAACACCCCCCAAAAAATATCATTTAATACCTGTAGAAGGATAGCAATATCCTGAAGTAAAAGAATATCAAAATTGTAAAAAGGCCAGGTATCAAACATCTGTAATTTTAAGTTTTTTTTTTAAAGCTATATAAGGAAAGTATTAAAAGGGAAGAATATTCAATGTGGAGACAAAGAAGGATGTTATTCTCTAATTAATAAGCTTCAGCCACCCATTTCACTCTTGCAAGACAGAGTTATCAACGTGAAACAACATGATAATACAAGTCAGTGATTTACTCCAGGGTAAGTTATGTAAAACTGTGCCAGCCAATATCAACATTGTAACTAATAATATTAGTGAAAAAATTAATTTAACACTCAATGTGGCCTTCAAGCATAATACAAATCTAATGTATTTTTTTAATTTTTAAAGGCACACATACAATCATTATTTTAAATCCTATGGCTTGGAATATTTCTAGCTCATTGCTTAAAATGGGGTGAAGTATTTCTACTATAAAGAACAAAGAAAAACTAATGTAACTTTTAGCTTAACAGGAGATAAATTTTAAACAATTATTCTGAAGTACCAAGGACTATCCGTTACAGTTGTGAATGTGGTAGCACTTAAAAAGCAAAAACACCCCATAACGCTTATATAGAGTGTATTCAATAGGGGTTACAAAATGTCAGGAAACCACAGGCGGAAATTTGATATATGAAATATTTATAAGAGTATTAAAAAATCATATTGGAAGGAGCTTAATTAGAAGCCTCCTAAGTAATGAGGGAACCCTCTTTACAACAGTCTTTAATGCTTGACCATTTTCAGTGATAAAAGACTAGGAAGAGTTAATAAATTTTTCAGAGGATCATCGTACACAGACATGGAGGATACAGCATGTTACTGGTTTTTACACAGCTGCCAATACTGCTTTATAATAAGAATATACATATATTTTTCTCTTTTTTAAAAAAAATATTGATTTTTCCAGTGCTCTACATATTCAGAGAAACTTCTCTAGAAACAAACTATAGAAATGATCCCTGAAAGTACAGTCCTAAGAATATATTTTTAGTCAGTAACATTTTATTTTGAAAACTTTTAGATACAGCAAAATTTAAAGAATTTTATACCAAGCTGCAAAGGAGGAAGTCAAACTGTTGCTGTTTGCTGATGATACAAACTTATACCTAGAAAACCCTCAAGATTCATTTGAAAAGCTCCTAGATCTGATAAATGAATTCAGTGAAGTTTCAGGATACAAAATTAATGTACACAAATCAGTAGCACTGCTATACACCAATGATGACCAAGCCGAGAATCAAATCAAGAACGCAATCCCTTTTACAACAGCTGCCAAAGAAAAATTAAAATACTTAGGAATATACCTAACCAAGGAGGTGAAAGATCTCTACAAGGAAGACTACAAAACACTGTTCAAACAAATCATCGATGACACAAACAAATGGAAACACATCCCATGCTCATGGATGGGTAGAATCAATATGGTGACAATGACCTTACTGCCAAATGCAATCTACAGATTTAATGCAATTCACATCAAAATACCATCATCATTCTATAGAACTAGAAAACACAATTCTAAAATTCATATGGAACCAAAAAAGAGCCCACATAGTCAAAGCAAGACTAAGCAAAAATAACAAATCTGGAGGAACCACATTACCTGACTTCAAACTACACTACAAGGCTATAGTCACCAAAACAGCATGGTACTGGTATAAAAACAGGCATGTAGACCGATGGAACAGAATAGAGAACCCCAAAATAAAGCCAAATACTTACAGCCAACTGGTCTTTGACAAAGCAAACAAAAACATAAAGTGGAGAAAGGACACCCTATTCAACAAACAGTGCTGGGATAATTGGCAAGCCACATGTAGAAGAATGAAACTGGATCTTTATCTTTCATCTTACACAAAAATCAACACAAGGTGGATCAAAGACTTAAATCTTAAGGCCTGAAACCATAAAAATTCTGGAAGATAACATCAGAAAAACTCTTCTAGACATTAGCTTAGGCAAAGAATTCATGACCAAAAAACCAAAAGCGAATGCAACAAAAATAAATGGGACCTAATTAAACTAAAAAGCTTCTACATAGCAAAAGAAATAATCAGCAGAGTAAAGAGACAACCCAAAGTGGTAGAAAATTTTTGCAAAGTATGCATCCAACAAAGGACTAATATCCAGAATCTACAAGGAATACAAACAAACCAGCAAAAACAAACGAACAAACAAAAACCACCAATCCTGTCAAAAAATGGGTTAAAAAAAACATAGACAATTCTCAAATGATATAAAAACAGCCAACAAACACATGAAAAAATGTTTAACATCCCTAATTATCAGGGAAATGCAAATTAAAACCACAATTAGATACTACCTTACTCCTGTAAGAATGGCTATAATTTAAAAATTAAAAATAATAAATATTGGCATGACTGTGGTGAAAAGGGAACACTTTTACACTGCTGGTGGAAATGTAAACTAGTACAACCACTATGAAAAACAGTATGGAGATTCCTTTAAGAACTAAAAGTAGGCTGGGCACGATGGCTCACACTTGTAATCCCAGCACTTTGGGAAGCTGAGGTGGGCGGATCACCTGAGGTCGGGAGTTCGAGACCAGCCTGACCAACATGGAGAAAACCCACCTCTCCTAAGAATACAAAATTAGCTGGGCGTGGTGGTGCATGCCTGTAATCCCAGCTACTTGGGAGGCTGAGGCAGGAGAATGGCTTGAACCCAGGAGGCAGAGGTTGCAGTGAGCCGAGATTGCGCCACTGCACTCCAACCTGGGCAACAAGAGCTAAACTCCACTCAAAAAAAAAAAAGAACTAAAAGTAGAACTACCATTTGATCCAGCAATCCCACTACTGGGTATCTACCCAAAAGAAAAGAAGTCATTATGTGAAAAAGACACATGTACACACACTTACAGCAGCACAATTCACAATTGCAAAAATATAGAACCAACCTAAACGCCCATCAAACAACGAGCAGATAAAGAAAACGTGGTATATTTACACCATGAAAACTGAATGAAATACTGGCTTTTGCAGCAACTTGGATGGAGTTGTAAGCCATTATTCTAAGTGAAGTAACTCAGGAATGGAAAACCAAATATCGTATGTTCTCACTTATAAGTGGGAGCTAAGCTACAAGGACGCAAAAGCATATGAAGGATATAACGGACTTTGGGGACTTGGAGGGAAGGGTGCAAGTGGGGTGAGGGATAAAAGACTACACATTGGGTACAGCGTACACTGCTCAGGTGACGGGTGCACCAAAATGTCAGAAATCACCACTAAAGAACTTATCCATATAGCCAAAAACCACCTGCACCCCCAAAACTATCAACATTCAAAAAAAAAAAAAATCAAAGAACAAGCAAAAAAAAAAAAAATTATAGTTGAATACCTGAATAGCCATACCTAAAGCCCACCATTAACATTCTACTGTAGCCCGGGTGTGGTGGCTAACGCTTGTAATCCCAGCACTTTGGGAGGCCAAGGTGGGCAGATCACAAGGTAAGGAGACCAAGACCATCCTGGCTAACACGGTGAAACCCCGTCTCTACTAAAAATACAAAAAAATTAGCCAGGCATGGTGGCAGGCACCTGTAGTCCCAGCTGCTTGGGAGGCTGAGGCAGGAGAATGGCGTGAACCCAGGGGATGAAGCTTGCAGTGAGCTGAGATCGTGCCACTGCACTCCAGCCTGGGCAACACAGCAAGACTCTGTCTCAAAAAAAAAAAAAAAAGTCTACTGTTATTGTTTTATCACATACCTATCCATCCATCAATCCATCTTGATTTTTACTCTACTTTTAAAATGCCTTTTAAAGTAGTATCTAAATGCAGTTTCTGAAGCAAGGGGTCAGAAACTCCCGCACCTATGAGAAAGGAAAATGATATACAATCATGCGTGGCATGTGTCCCTCAATGATAGACCACAAATACCACAACCGTCCCATATTATAATACCATATTATTTTTGAGACAAGAGTCTCATTCTGTCGCTCAGGCTGGAGGGCAGTGGTGCAATCTGGGCTCACTGCTGGAGGAATCACATTACCTGACTTCAAACTATACTACAAGGCTATAGTTACCAAAACAGCATGGTACTGGTGTAACCTTCCAGGTTCAAGCAATTCTCCTGTCTCAGCCTCCCAAGTAGCTGTGACTACAGGTGCATGCCACCACACTTGGCTAATTTTTGTATTTTTAGTAGAGACAGGGTTTCACTATATTGGTCAGGCTGGTCTCGAGCTCCTGACCTTAGGTGAGCCACCCGCCTCCGCCTCCCAAAGTACTGGGATTACAGGCATGAGCCACCGTGCGCAACCCTGTAATACCATATTTTTACTGCACCTTTTCTAGGTTTAGATATGCTTAGATATACATATACTTTCCACTGCATTACAAAAGCCTACAGCATTCAGTACAGTAACATGCTGTACAGATACGTGGCCTAGGAGCAACAGGCTATACCATATAACCTAGATGTAGAGTAGGCCATACCATCAAGTTTTGTCTAAGTACACTTTATGATGTTCATACAATGACACAATCGCCTAACGACGCATTTCTCAGAACATATCCCCGTTGCAATCTCTGAGGTTGTTACAGCATCAGTCATGTAGTTCCGTATTCATGGTGACTGAAAATTTATTCAATTTTTATGACTTGTTACATTTAGTTGTGAGGTGGAGCAAAGCAGCTAAGTGCTAACTCTAAACAGCCTTGAATTTGAAACCTGGGTCGGCCACTTATTGTGATACTCTAGGCAAGTCATTTAATGCTTTTAGATACCAGTTTCCTTACTGCAAAATAAGATACTAGTAGCAATGTCAAAGTGTTAATGTGAGATTTAAATAAGATAATGTATAAAATGTTTAGCACAGCTGGCATACAGAAAGGGCATAACAAATGTTAGCATTATTATCAACACTGTATTAGTTCATTCAGCCTACACAACAGGTTCTAGCTGCTACATGGCTACACATACCCATGCAACTGTTTATAGTATTCTTCTTCATCACCTTATATGTTCTAAGAACCTTGGGTAGTGTATGTATTTTACTGAGATTAAAGACAGAATGAGGGTGAATGGGTCCAAGTGCAAGCATTCTCCATCTTCCCACTCCACTCCCTAATGGAACTAGATGTTCACTCTGTTATTGAAAGCAGTGATTGTGGAGTCCTAGTAAGGGAAAAGGAGTCAGGCGGGTGGGAAAAGGGTACAGCAAAAAGAAAAAGCAGATAAGGTATAAGTCTGCCTTTCTTCATGGTCCAAGACACACAGCCCTCTTGCACAAATAACTCACAAGCTTTCTGCACTCAACTTATCACCAGACTCTCAGCTGACAGAAAAATGCAAGTTAGCTCACTGCAACCTTGGCCTTATCAGTACTGCACATAGCCCTCTCTGCAGCACACAGCAGAAGCATCATCCTGTAACATGCCCAGCAAGCCATTGTCTCCTGGCAGTCAGCTTCTCTCTTGCTGATCTGCCCGTTGCACCCTTGCAACCAACCTACTTTCATACTTTCTCTAATAAATCTGCCCTTCTTTACCTACAATTGCCTTGGTAATTCCTTTACCACCTGCAACGCCAGCCTCAGCTAGTGTGACCTATGACAGTGAGGATGAACACAGGAAAACACACTACAGGCACAGTTTTGCTTTTCAGCACTTGGTTGACAGGAGGCTGATAAACTGCCTAATTGTGCTCTGCTTACTTTAGATGAACACTGCTCCCTCTTAAAACTTCATTTGAGATCACATAATTATGAATTTATATCAAATTTGGTCCAACCCAAACAAAATGTGTTATCTCCACTGATCACATATCCAAATGCCTTTTTATCTGTACATAGCATATTTATGCCAGTTTTGTTGTAGATGGAGTCACCTGGGCGCAGTGGCTCACGTCTGTAATTCCAGCACTTTAGGAGGCCAGGATTACACTTCAGGAGGCCGAGGCAGGTGAATCACTTGAGGTCAGGAGCTCGAGACCAGCCTGGACAACATGGTGAAACCCCATCTCTACTAATACAAAAATTAGCTGGGCGTGGTGGTACATGCCTGTAATCCCAGCTACTAGGGAGGCTGAGGCAGGAGAATCGCTTGAACCCAGGGGGCAGAGGTGGATTGCAGTGAGCTGAGATCGAGCCACTGCATTCCAGCCTGGGCAACAGAGGGCGACTGCATCTCAAAAAAAAAAAAAAAAAGTTAAAAAAGTAGATGGAGTCATAAAACCTCTACCAACTACCTGCCTCTTTAAAGACATGATTTAAGTAAAAGCTACAGTTCTATTTTTATGGAATTTTTATTTAAAAATATGGTATCTAGGCCTACGGCTACAGGCTTACATGTGTAATCTTAGCACTTTGGGAGGCCAAGGCAGCAGGATCACTTGAGCTCAGGAGTTTGAGAGATCAGCCTGGACAACATAATGAGAATCTATCACTATTTTAAATCACTATTTAAGAAAAAGAGCTGGGCGCAGTGGTGTGTGCCTGTAGTCCCAGCTACTCAAGAGGCTGAGGCAGGAAGATCCCTTGAGCCCAGAAGTTCTGGACTGTAGTATCCTATGCCGATTGGGTGTCTGCACTAAATTAGGCATCAACATGGTGACCTCCAGGGAGTGAGGGACCACCAGGTTGCCTAATGAGAGAAGTGGCCCAGGTCAGAAACAGAGCAGGTCAAAACTCCCGTGCTTATCAGTAGTAGGATCACATCTGTGAATAGCCACTGCACTCCAGCCTGAGCAACACAGTAAATCCCCCGTCTTTAAAAAAAAAAAAAAGTAAGCATGGAATCCACTTCTCTGCTAACTTCTAAAAACTAGTCTTAGTTCTCTTTGCCAGAGGAAGCAGAATCTAATTTTAAAATTTAAAAGTACTTCTATGTGGCTTCACATAACATAATTTGTCTATTGCTAATTCTTCTGAGCTTGATGTGAGAATGTAGTAGATACTAAAAGGAGTATGGTAAAGGTAAACAATACTTCATCTTTAAAAACTAATTTTAATGAGGTTTATCCAAATATAGTTTTTTTTTGTTTTGTTTTGCTTTTGAGATGGAGTCCCGCTTTGTCACCCAGGCTGCAGTGCAATGGCGCAATCTTGGCTCACTGCAACCTCCCCGGTTCAAGCAATTCTCCTGCCTCAGCTTCCCAAGTAGCTGAGACTACAGGCATGTGCCACCATGCCCGGCTAATCCAAGTATAGTTTTAAAACATTATTTTGACTTCTACACTATGTACATACTTTACATATTCAAAAATAAAATCCTAAGTAAAAACTGAAACCTATGAACCATATCAAATTGGTAGCATAACCAGAGAAAAGTATTTCAAGTGACTTTTGAACACAGTACTCATTATACATTCTTCATGCAATATAGTCTAAATACGAAAATAAATGCAAAGAAATCTTAAACTACATGAAGCTTATTGGTATTAGCAATACCAGCACTATAATTTTAAAATGATTTTATGTATACAGTGGGAGAAAGCAAATAAGTTTATTATTTTTTTTGGAGACAGGGTCTCACTCTGTCATCCAGGCTGAAGTGCAGTGGGGTATGAACATGGCTCACTGCAGCCTCAACCTCCTGGGCTCAAGTGATCCACCTGCTTCAGCCTCCTGAGCAGCTGGGAACACAGGCACACACCACCACGCCTGGCTAATTTTTTTATTTTTTATAGAGATGGGGTCTCATCATGTTGCCCAGGCTGGCCTTGAACTCCTGGGCTCAAGCAATCCTTCCACCTCGGCCTTTCAACGTCCTGGGATTACAGGCATGAGCCACTGTGCTTGGCCAGTTTATTAACTGTATTAAAAACCAAGATTTTCATTTAAGACAAGAGACAAATATAGAGTCAAGGAAGAAAAAGTCTGCTTGTTAAATAGGAATTGGAATATCACTCTGAACTCATGATTAAACAAGCAAAAACCTTTTTCTTAGTTCTCTCCTCTCAAAGCACCTAGAAGCAATGATACTGCAGCAGCAACGAATATGCCAAACATCCAGAACTTGGTTTCTATATACGATTTCTCATTAAAAAGAACCAAGACTCCCTGGATAAACAGCTCTTTCCAGAGGTGAGCAAAGAAAGTATAAGATAAACCCTGGAGTAACTCGTGTCAGAAAGCACTCCAAGATTAATGGGGAGCAGGGGTGTCAAGACACACAATAGTCAGCTTGAAATGGTTCCTACTGACCAAATCTGGGACAATTTGGTCATTAAAAAGAAAGACGACTGTAACTGGTTATAAAACAAGGAATAAATTAAAACCCATGAGAGTCTGAAGTGGTATCATTCACCCCTGCCCCAAAAAACATCATTGGGGGTGGCTATTTCTCCAGCTCTTTACTATGAATATTGAAAAGTAAAGAGATTAAATTTAACATTTAATTTGCATTTTGGGGAAGAACAATAGTTTACCTGCACTTAATGAAGGAAATCTCTTCCTTACAGAGAACCTCCAATAACTGATTTAAGCAAAAGTCATCATGGGTGCTAAAAACCACTAAGCAAAAGATTGTCAGAAACTGGGTATTTGCTTAGTGTCCAAGTTTTACCCCAAGATTACATATTAATCACAAACTGGCAAACCACACCTTTACAACAGATCAGTAGTCAGCACTTTAATCAAATGGTTACATTTAGCATCATTAATAGTGTGGGAATCTGACATTGTGTGCCTCCTATATTATGCAACAGGAGGTACACAGCATCACCTATTAAATATTCTTGCCAAAGGAAGTTTTACTTTAAGCTAATTAAGCCTTCCTTTACACCTAACTTCCAGTTAATAGGAAATTCAGGGAGAAAGAGGAATAAACGAAATGACATTAGGAGGGCACAAATCCAGAATGTGGGTATATTTTACAAGACAACTGGTTTGGTCAATTACGTGTCAGAAAAAAAGAAGGGAGGGAATATTCATCCTATTTAATTTCCCCTGCAAAAAGAAGAGGGGATGGATACTCTTCATTTTACAAAATGACTAAAGACTTAATCACCAAATGCAATCAATGCATGAATCTTGACTGACTACAACTGGGGGCAGAACCCTCAAAGACACTTTGGAACAACTGAGGAATTTTGAAGATGGAGTTGTTAATTTTGATAGGCATTAATAATGATACTGGGGTTAGTAGGAGAATGTCCCTATTTTTAGGAAACACATGCCGAAATATTTGAGGATTACAGTGTTTGCAGCTTACTTTCAAATAATTACACACATACAGAGAAAGACAGGAAACAATATGGCAAAAATGCTAATCACTGAGTTGGTTATTCATTGCATTGATTAGCATTTTTATTCATTGCATGAATAACCGATCACAATTGTATAGAACGAACCTCTATACGACTAAAATTTTTCATAACAAAGTTAATAAAATTGTACTTCTATTGAGAAGTACGGTAGAAAGTACACGAAAGTACATCTATACTGGAATTATATTTGGGTTGAAATCTAAACTATCTTACTAGTTGTGTGCCCTAAGGCAAGTTGTAATTCTTCGTATCACTAAGTTTGTCACTTCTATAAAATTCAAGTAATAATATCTGCATCATTAGGTTGTTCTGAGAATTAAATAATTACAAATGCAAAAATGCCAAGCAGTACTGCACAAAATGAATAATCTGGTTTTCATAATTAATCAGTACATTACTAATAATCCTAAAATACAAAACTAAAGGACTACGTTCATTATATTCACATTCTATGATAAGGGGAAACTACATTAGGTAAAATTATTATTAATCCACTGACAGTCCAAGTGAAGTAATGGGGGAAATGAAGATTTATACAGTATTTTTTAAACCCAAGAATTCCAACTGAACACCTAGAGAAAAGGAAATCAAAATCGTGCAGCTTGCTTCCGGTATCAGCCGATCTCCAAATAAAGCATTAAGAAAATAAGTGGAAGTTATGGAGAATTTCTTCCTGACTTCAAGAGATTATCTACTTACACGCTGAAAAAGAAATTAAGTTTTTGTCTTCATTTTTGTAAGTTCCAAAAAAAAGCACACAATTACGGGGTTTTATTGTAAATTCTGCTTGGATTCATAGAACTCACATGGACGCAATTTCCTTTTAATCAGTTCTAACGTACCTGTCATTTCTCGAGGTAACCCCTTTTTCTGATTAGGCCAGCAATAAAACGACTAGATGCAGAGTGATCCTCAGGAAGGAAAGGAAAAGAGGTGTGTGTGTGTGTGTATGTGTGTGTGTGTTTGTGTGTGTGTATATATATATATATATATTTTTTTAAAGAAGTGCCATCTTTTTCTTTCTGTACCAGAGAAAAAGCAGAAGGGGAAAGGAGGAAAAAAAACAGGTCTGAGCCTCCCGGGTTCGACCAGGTGAGAGGTGGCAACACTCCGGCCGCTCCGGGTTAGGGTGTTGGGCAAATGGGCGTGCAAAGGACGGGCAGCTCCCTGGAAGGTCGGGGTAACTGCTCCGGGACCGCGGGGCCCAAGGCCGGTCTCCTCCCAGAAGGATTAAATGCCACCGAGGGGATCCCGTGGGGTGTCTCCCGGCGCGGACTAGGCTGACAGACCCGGCTCTCCGCTCCCTTCGGCGCCAGGTGGGGGCCACGCGGTGTCAGCCACGGGCAGCGTGCAGGGGCCGTCCCCCGCGCGACCGGAGCCCGCCCTCCCCTCCCCGTTACCTGCGGGCGGCGGCGCCGGGCCCGGAGGCCTGCTGCTCCTCCTCCTTCTCCCGCCAGGCTGGGGCGGCGAGGCGGCGGCGGCGGCGGCCCGGGGGGAGGGGGCGGAGCGCGGCTCGCTGCCTCTCTCCTCCCCCGGGAGGCTCAGGGGCCCCTATCTCGGGCCGCCGCGCCTAGGCCCGTGAGCAGCCTGTGGTGGGGCATGGCGGCACAGCCACCGGCGTGCCCGCGAGTGGGAGTGCGAGGAGGCGGGGAGGGAAGCACCCCCAGCGCTCGGAGGGGCCAGAGGGGAGGAGCGAGGGGGCCCGGGAGCCGCGCGCTGGCGACCGTTGGGGACGGTTGGCCGAGGGCAGGCGGTTGTTTGGGGAGCGCGGCGACGGCTCGCGTGTTCCCAGCGGGGCGGGGTGGGGAAGGGGAAGGGGACTGAGGGGAGGGGAGGGGGAGGTTGGGAGGGAGCCGCCGCCGCGCGCGTGCGGCCGGCGCCGCCGCCGTTGCCGCTCCGCTCACTCCAGCCTGTTTGGGGGCACTTTGTTTGTGTCCCACAATGCTCTGCGCCGGCGGCCTGGCTGGGGAAGGGGAGGAGAAGGGGGCGGGGCGGAGCGCGCTCGGGGGCGGGGCTCGGGGCGGGGAAGGAAACGTGATGATTGCGCAAGCGCAGAAAATGGGCCCTCTTGGCCGTCGGGACTTGTACTGTTGGTGACTCCGTCTCCTTAGACGGTGGAGCCTGCGTGACCCAGAAAGGCCGTGAGTCTTGACACTGTATTTTTGCATATGTGCGCACATGTGCCGATTTACATTCACATGCCCCATAAGCCCTGTCCCATTTGTCCTTCCTCTAAGCCGTCCTCTTACCCAGTTCCCCTCTCACACCTGAGAAGCATTTCTCCGCAGGAGTCACATTTATAGCATTATTTTTTTCTTCGAACTAAAAACATAACTCCTATTTTCTCGGGTAGTTTTTGTAGGGAGGTCGAAATAGAAACACTTCAGCCCCTCTTCGGCGAGGGAGGTTAGTTGGTAAGGTGCCCATTGTTCACCCATGGAAACAGGCCTGCCAAGGGCCGCCCCGCAGACAGGTGAGCCCGCGCCCCCGTCCTGGGCGGACTGCGACATGCGGCGGGTGTCTGGATTGCGTGGCTCCTCGGGCCTCCTCGCAGTGCTTGCTCTCTTCCGTTCTAGCACTTGCCTCGGTGACCTGGCAGGACGTGCGGTTCTTGAGATGAGTGGAGAAACGGACTCCCAGGTCCCTCTCGTTCTTCCAACACAGGGACAGCTAGAGCTGCTCCAAAAATATACCCTACTTCTTCCACAACCGTGAATCTGTCATTTTTACTGCACCATCACTTACTTCCTGGCCTTCCCGGAGGAAGTGTGCGGGCCTCCCCGAAGTAACCGGTACCGCCCGGGGGGTTTTGAAGTTCTTGGTCAACTGCAAAATCAATCAACCTAGTTAACTCCTAGGGCCCTAAGTCTTGGCTTCCCCTGGCCAGGCGGGCGAGCGCTCTCCACACCGCCCCCGGAGGTCATAGGGGTTCCCGGGACTGCAGGCGGCAGCGCCCCAGGTGCCTGGGGGCGGGCGGGGTGCGGGCAGGTGCTCCTTGGGCGCTTTCTGTTTTCCCACGCCTCCAGTTTGCAAACCGAAAGACTTCTTTCCAGAGGGTTTTGTGCAAGGTGGGTGGACGTCCCGCTGAAGTAGAGTGGATTTTCCTTTTGAAACACTTGGCAACATCTCACATTAATTCACTCTGAGAGACAAGCAGCCAAGCACCTGAACACCCTGACACTTGCAATCTTCTTTAGGAATAAAGGCAATAAAAACAACTTCTGTTTTTATAGTCCTTCGCAGTTTCCAACAAGTTTTCAAGCATGTATAATGTTATCTAATCCTTACGGCAACTGTAATTCACAGGTTTTATCACAGGTTTCTATTATTATTCCCACTATCATTCTTATTATTCCCATTTCAGAGATGAGAAAAATCAGAAAGATGCGAACTAGGCCCAGAAACTTTTGCACTAAGTTTTGAAGAGGGGAAGGGAAAGAAGGCGGAATGCTTACCTGGGAGAGGACTGGCGGCCACAGAGCAGGGCTCAGGAAAGGGCATGAGCTGGGGCCCTGGTGAGGAATGTGTGAGAATGTATGTAGGTGGTAAGCAACTGGACAAGAATCAGGGTGGAAATGAAGTAGTCAAATCCTATCTACCTCTCCTAGTGCCTTTAACAGGATAGTCAATAAAAGACCATGAGGCAAGTCTTTTCTAAGTGCTTCTCCAGGGGCTGTGGTGGCAGCTCCTCAACTACTACACTGACACAAAAATTTGCTTTCCTTTGTAGTACAACTTGAAGTCAGGTAGAGGAATGCCTCTAGCTTTGTTATTTTTGCTCAGAATTGCCCTAGCTTTTCAGGGTCTTTTGTGGTTCCATACAAATTTTAGGATTTTTTTTTCTAGTTCTGTGATGAGTGTCATTGATATTTTGGTAGGGATTGTACTGTACCTGTAGGTGGCTTTGGGTAGTGTGGATATTTTAACAATATTAATTCTTTCAATTCATGAGCGTGAGATATCTTTCCTTTTTTTTTTTTTTTTTTTTTTGTTCTCTTCATTTTCTTTCATCAATGTGTACACTTTTCCGGGTAGAGATTTTTCACTTCCTTGCTTACATTTATTGCTAGGTATTTTATTTTGCTTTTTTGTAGCTATTGTGAATGAGATTGTTTTCTTGATTTCTTTTTCAGATTGATGGCTGTTAGCATATAGAAAATCAACTGTGCTGGGTGTGGTGGCTCACGCCTGTAATCCCAACACTTTGGGAGTCCAAGGCAGGCAGATCACGAGGTCAGGAGTTCAAGACCAGCCTGGCCAACATAGTGAAACCCCATCTCTACTAAAAATACAAAAAAGTTAGCTGGGAATGGTGGCACGCGCCCGTAGTCCCAGCTACTTGGGAGGCTGAGGTGGGGAATCACTTGAACCCAGGGGGTGGAGGTTACAGTGAGTCGAGATCGTGCCACTCCAGCCTGGCGACAGAGCAAGACTCCATCTCCAAAAAAAAAGAAAAGAAAAGAAAATCAATTGATTTTTGTATCCTTCAACTTAACTGAATTCGTTCATCAAAGTTCTGAGAGATGGAGTCTTTAGGTTTTTCTAAATATAAGAACAAGTCATCTGCAAACAAGGATAATTTGACTTCTTCCTTTCCAATTCAGTTGCCCTTTATTTCTTTCTCTTGCCTAATTGCTCAGGTGAGGACTTCCAGAAATATATTGAATAGGAGTGGTGAAAGTGGGTATCCTTGTCTTGTTCCAGATCTTAGTGGAAAGGCTTTCAATGTTTTCCTGTTCAGTGTGATATTAGCTGCGGGTTTGTCATATATGGCTTTTATCATTTAAAAACTTTTCTTCCCTTAGATTATTCCCTTGTCTCCTCTGCCTTTTCCACTTAAAAAATTTTTTTTTGGAGACAGGCTCTCATTGTGTTGTCCAAGAGTGCAGTGGTGCAATCACAGCTAAATACAGTCTCAAACTCCTGGGCACAAGCGTCCTCTGGCCTCAGCTTTCCAAATAGCTAGGACTACAAGTGCGCCACTGTGCCTGGCTAATTTTAAAAATTTTTTGTAGAGATGGGTCTTGCTATGTGAACTTGGGCTCAAGTGATCCTCCTGAAGTGCTGGGATTACAGGCATAAGCTACCATACCTGAGCCCTTTCCTGCTTTTCTTTCTCATTTAACATTTAAATATTTTATCATCCTTCCACTCCACCCCCACCTCAGGTCTGAAGAATTTATTAACGAACAAATGACCGTGAGGCCCTTCAGAGCTCAATGCTAGATGCTTGGAGAGGGTGTGAGAAAATCTCAAAGAAGATTAACTTTGCAGGAGCCCTCTTGTCTGCTTTGGCTCTGGGCAGGGTCAGTTTCTGTGGCTTCTGCAGCCTCCCACCTTTTTCCTTCTTGAGCTGGTAGAGACTTGCCTCTGGGTTGCTGGAATATACACACCTTTCTTTGACACTAGGTTAAATAATACTGCTGGGAGGATTTTGTGAAATCAGAATCCTGTACACAGGTGAAAAAAACAAATGTAGACAGTATGAGGAACCTTTAATTATTAACTTGGTGTGGATGATTCTGAGGAATTCAAATTCCAGGCAAATTCCAGGAGTTATATTTCAGCCACGAGCTCTTTGGGGGAATAAATTCTGCAAAAGATGGCACTTCCTTGTGGAAGACCATTATAACTGAATGGAAACTTAGTTATTTAGTCCAAAAGCATTAGCATTAAGGCATGAATCCTTTCTACCCGACCTTGCCTCCTTATTAGATTAGATTATACAACTACATATATAAAAAATTAATCTCACTCTCTTACCCTAAAATTTATACCTCTTCTAGTGTTCACATTTTACCATTCACCCAGTGAAGCAGGGTGACTTTGCTACTTTACTACTGTATCTCAATTCCAATCCATCAACAAGTCCTGTTGAATGTGTCCCTCTCCACTGCCACCGTCCTAAAATAAGATGATACTAGCTTGTGCCTGGAGAATTATAATACCACTCACGTGGTTTCCCAAATGCACTCTCCCTTTTCCTCATTCTCTACATGGTCGCCAGAGTTGCAATGCATAGCAGTGATGTCAGCCAACAATGGCTTCCTATTGCTCCCCGGATAAAGTCCCAAACCCTCAGCGTGGCTTTCACACCGCTGTGCAATCTGGGCCCTTTCACTGTCTTGAGCTTCATCTCTTAGCTATGCTTTTTTGGGAAATGTGCCAGTTGCAGAGGCAGTTTTGTTTTTTCTTTTCTTTTTTTTTTTTTGAGACGGAGTCTGACTCTGTCGCCAGGCTGGAGTGCAGTGGCGTGATCTTGGCTCACTGCAACCTCTGCCTCCCGGGTTCAAGCGATTCTCCTGCCTCAGCCTCCCGAGTACCTGGGACTACGGGCGCCCGCCACCACGCCCAGCTAATTTTTTTGTATTTTTAGTAGAGACGGGGTTTCACCATGTTAGCCAGGGTGGTCTTGATCTCCTGACCTCGTGATCCGCCCGCCTCAGCCTCCTAAAGTGCTGGGATTACAGGCGTGAGCCACCGCGCCTGGCTTCTTATTCCCCCTCCCCCCCCCCTTTTTTTTTGAGACGGAGTCTCGCTCTGTCACCCAGGCTGGAGTGCGGTGGGCGATCTCAGCTCACTGAAAGCTCTGCCTCCCGGGTTCACGCCATTCTCCTGCCTCAGCCTCCCGAGTAGCTGGGACTACAGGCACCCGCCAACACACCCAGCTAATTTTTTTGGATTTTTAGTAGAGACGGGGTTTCACTGTGTTAGTCAGGATGGTCCTCGAACTCCTGACCTCGTGATCCACCCGCCTCAGCCTCCCAAAGTCCTGGGATTACAGGTGTGAGCCACCACACCTGGCTGAAATGTATTTCTTAAGTAAGACCTGAAAGTAGAAATAGCTCTGTGATCCATGGACAGCGGAATAGACGTTGTGTTAGCAGGCATGGAAACAACATTAATCTTGTACATCTTCATCAGAGCTCTTGGGTGACCAGTTGCACTGTTGGAGAGCAGTAATACTTCAAAAGGAATCTTTTTTGAGCAGTAGGTCTCAATAGTGCACTTAAAATATTCAGTAAACTATGCTGTAAACAGATGTGCTTTCTTCTTCAGGCTGTGATGTTTCATTTATAGAGCACAGGCAGAATTGATTGAGCATAATTGTTAAGGGCTCTCGGATTTTCAGAATGGTAAATGAACATTGGTTTCCACTTAAAGTCACCAGCTGCTTTAGCCCCTAACAAACAAGTCAGCCTGTCTTTTGAAACCAGCCACTGCCTTCTTCTCTCTAGCTATTAAAGTCCTAAATGTATCTCTCTCCAATCTAAGGCTGTTTTGTCACAAGAAGCATAGCTTTCAGCTTATCTCAGCTTTTGATCTGTCTTTCTCACTAAGCTTAATCAATTCTAGATTTGATTTAAAGTGAGAGACATGTGACTTTTCCTTTCACTTGATCACTTGGAGGCCATTCTAGGGTTATTAATTGGCCTAATTCCAATATTGTTGTGTCTCAGGGAATAGAGAGGTCTGAGGAGAGGCAGAGAGACTAGAAACAACTGGTCAGTGGATCAGTAGGAGCACACATGTTTATTAAGTTTACCATCTTACATGGGTGCAGTTTGTGGTGCCCCTAAACAATTATAATAGTGATCAAAGTTCACTGATCACAGATCACCGTAACAGTTATAATAATTAATGAAAAAGTTTGAAATATCGTGAGAATTGTCAAAATGTGATAGAGACATAAAGTAAGCGCATGCTGTTGGGAAAATGGCTCCAATAGACTTGTTCGATGCAGGGTTGCCGCACACATCTTCAATTTGTGAAAAATACAGAATCTGCAGAGTGCAATAAGGTGAGGCACAATGAAACAAAGTATGCCTATATACTCTAATCTGTAGGAATACACCATACAAATCTATATATTGAAGAGGAACTAACCTCAATTTTGGGGGGTTCTAAATTTATAAATCCCAGGGAAGAGACTTACTGGTTTAGCTTGGTTTGAGTACTCATCCCTAAACCAATCAACTTTCTTAGAAGAAAATGCAGCCTGGGCGCAGTGGCTCACGCCTGTAATCTCAGCACTTTGGGAGGCTGAGGCGGTTGCATCACAAGGTCAGGAGATCGAGACCATCCTGGCTAACACGGTCTCTACTAAAAATACATTAAAAAAATTAGCTGGGCGTGGTGGCGGGCACCTTGTAGTCCCAGCTACTCAGGAGGCTGAGGCAGAGCTTGCAGTGAGCTGAGATCCCGCCAGCCTGGGCGACAGAACGAGACTCCATCTCAAAAAAAAAACAAAACAAAACAGAAAATGCAGCTTTCATGCCAGATGTGTGGATGCTATGGGGCAGTTTCTAGGAGAAGGAACTATACCAGGCAGATAATCTCATAGTTGAGCACATGCATATTTCTTTCCATAGTCTAATTTCATAAATTCTCTTGTCTAGCATAATGCAGTTTTCCCATGTAGAACAGACACCTTGCCTACTAAATGAGAAACAAGTAAAAGACATGACCAGCTACTACATTTATCTTTCATTTCCAGAATCTCAGTTGATCAGGTCTGGATGTAGTTGTATATAATTTTGCAATCTATGGGCTAAATGACAGATGTAACAGCCCTCAAAACAATACAGTCGTATCTTTTGCAAAGGTCCTAAGGTCAGCTCCTGTTGTATGAGAAATTACCTTGGGGCAATGGTAGCCTCCTAGACCCTTAGGCAAAGCTATGTCAGGGGAAGACCCACAGGCCAAACTAAGTATCTAGAATCCCACAATTTATTAAAAAATTTAAAACACTCAGTGAGAAGTAAGAGGAAAGAGTGAGGTAGATTAACACCCTTTGGGTAAGGTACAAGCAGGGTGAAGGACCATACTACCTGAATCTAGATTACACAATGTTCATAGTCCTGTCTTTCCCCTTGCTGTGCCAGCTTTTCTTTCTGACGGTGAGGTTATGAGGATCAGAGGTGATGTCTAAGCAAGGGAATCCACCAGACGGAAGGTGTATGGAACCAGTATACACAGGGACTTGCCTATTGGAAAGACATAGGGATAGGTATGCATGGCAGTAGCTGTATCTCATCAATCAGCCTGATGAGTAGGTCTCAATTTCATTTGCATTTTTGGGGCAAAGGACAAATGGGGTTAGAATAATATCAACTATGAGTGGCTGATGTAAGTCTTCAACAATGTCAAGGGCTTAACGTGTCTCATGTATATTTAGTGAATCATGAATATTTGCTATGTCTTGGTCCTTCCTTCCCTTTCTATCTACTTTAGAACATGTATGTTCTAACATGTCTGACATGCCTGTTAGAAATGCTTGTTTCCCAGTGCCACAAAGAAATACCACTTGAACGTAAATTTAATTTTCTCAGCAAGGCCATTTTTACTTTCTGCAGAAAGGGCACACTAGCCAGCTGTTTTGCCACGAGAGTACACCGAACAAAGGAGACAGGGTTATTTATAACCTGACACGTCTACCCTACTGCTGTGTGTGGTTTCCATTGCCTGGAATAGGACCTGAAATTCTGTATTTGTCCCAACTGGCTAGCAACTTAGAACTTTCTAAAAGAGACAAAAGCAGAGGAGAACAAAGGAAGGAGGCAGTAACTTGTGGAATGCTGAGAAAGGTAAAAATACCTCCAAATAAGGAAGAGGAACAGGCTATGACCTAATGCTTGCTTGGACTAGTATAAGCATGCCAGGGCAAATATTTAGGCTAAATTGTGGGAGCTAAGAACACAAAGTACATTGATTTCTTTATTACGGCTAGCAGATATCTGAGAATGTTAGCACAGGTCTTTGAATAAATTTTGCTTCTAAGAGAAGTTACTATTTATTCCTAATTAGACAGGGAGGAAAGTCTTTTTGAAGAGGAACCTCTACTTTACTTTTTACATGCCATTTGCTTCCACACTTGGTTTCACTTAGCCTTTTTATTTTTTGTTTTCTGCTCTATTAGTAAAACTGAAAATTCTCTAAAAATTTAAAATGTGCATTACAAATTGAAGATCATGTATAGTCAACATTACTGTTGAAGATCTCTTAAATTGCCCATAAGGCACAATATATTGCATTTATGAGCCACCTTGGAGGCTGACATTCTGTCTCTCAGTAAGTCCAACCTAGAGGATTTTCCTTGCAGCATTGGAACAGATGGCTCATCCTTCTATTGAGCCCCAGAGGAAGTCATTGGCTTGCATGTAGGACTTCTAGACTTGGACTCAGACTGCTAGATGCCCACACTATGAGAGGCACCTGGAAACAGACCAACTGAGAGAATGACACGTTTGTGTCTTCTATATTCTGCTTACTTTGGGCATTAATTTGCTTAGTCAAATGATGCTTATACTTCCCTCTCTCAAGCCTTCTTCAGTTCATATGAATTAAATGTGTGTACATTCTATTTCTAGGGTAAAAAAGTATTAAATGATGAAAGACAACTAGAATATCCACAATTTTTAAAAAACTCTTTAGAAAAGAAGAAAAAGAAGAGCAACCTACAGAGGTCACTTGCCCAGATCTTATAGCACATCTTGCTGGAGGAAGACAATAAAGTAGATCATAGGGCCAGCAAACTTAATGTGCATCTGTTTGTTAATTTACTTCCTTAAGAGTGGATTAAGTTCAGTATGGCCGCCCCAGGATTCTGCTAGGAGGGTTTTCCTTATTTGTATCCAACAGGGCCATCCCTGAGTATGATGATTAATGTTATGTGTCAACTTGACTAGGCTAAGGAATACTCAAATAGCTGGTAACACATTATTTCTGGGTGTGTCTGTGAGGATGTTTCTGGAAGAGATTAGCACTTGAATCAGTAGATTAAGTAGAGATCACCCTCACCAACATGGGTGAGTGTCATTCAATCCATTGAGGACCTGGATAGAACAAAAAGGTGAAGGAAGGGTGCATTTGTTCTCTCTGCTTGAGGTGGGACATCCATCTTCTTCCACCCTCAGACAGCTGTGCTCCTGATTCTCAGGCCTCGGGACCCAGACCAGGATTTCCATCAGCTCCCCTGGCTCGCAGGCCTTCTGACTTCTGACTCACCATCAGCTCTCCTGGATCCAGCTTGCCAATGGCAGATCGTGGGACTCCTTGCCCTCTAATCGCATGAAACAATGCCCACAGTATGTCTCCTATTAAATAAATATATATCTAATCTCTTATTTGTTCTGCTTCTCTGGAGAACCCTGACTAGTACATTGAGAAACAGCTTGGGGAGGATTCCTCTGAAGGGGACTCTATTTTAGCAGTAGACTCCATGTTGGCGAATACATTTGAGCTGAGTCTTATCTTACGGGTTGAGCAATAATCACAGGTGATTTTGCAAGGATTGACTTTTGTTTTATTTTATTTTATTTTGCAGTGCTTAAGACTGAAACAGCTCATTGCATTCATTTTTGAGGACAGTGTTTGCTAATAACCCAATGCAGAAATCATTTGTGGTTAGGATTATGATCTAATCATTCACCAAACTTATAACAGATGATCTTCACTGGGTCACAAAAAAATTGCACAACAGTGGGGTAATTAATATTTTCTTATAAAAAAATGGAACTCTCATAGTAGCCATCTAGATGGGGGAGAAGGTGTTCTCAATTTTGTTATGTGTTTTTAATTCTGTTTGGCAGTTATATTCCATTTTTCTGGCTCATTCATTCTTTTGCACTTAGAAGACTATTTTCTATCATCTCTTCTGTCAGTCCTCCAATACTTCCTTTACCACTCTCTCTCAGTTGATGCCCATCATAAAAAACTACCACAGGCCGGGTGCAGTGGCTCACACCTGTAATTCCAGCACTTTGGGAGGATGAGGTGGGTGGATCACCTGAGGTCAGGAGTTTGAGACCAGCTTGGCCAACAAGGTGAAACTCCGTCTCTACTAAAAATACAAAAAATTAGCTGGGCATGGTGGTGGGCACCTGTAATCCCAGCTACTTGAGAGGCTGAGGTAGGAGAACTGCTTGAACGTGGGAGGTGGAGGTTGCAGTGACCTGAGATTGCGCGATTGCACTCCAGCCTGGGCGACAGGGTGAGACTCTCAAAAAACAAAACAAAACAAAACAAAACAAAAACAAAAAAAGAACTACTACAAATATGGTGGCTTAAAACAACACACGTTTTTTATCTCACAATCTAGAAGTCACAAGTTGGACAGAAGTCTCCCTGGCTTAAAATCAAGATATAGGCAGGACTATGTCCATTTCTGAAAGCCATACAGAGAAGCCCTTTTTGCCTTTTCTCCTTTCTAGAGGCCACTTGTACTCCTTGGCTCATGGTCTCCTTATTCCATCTTGAAAGCCAGCAACTCTTCTCTGCCCCTTTCCCCATCATCACGTTTCTCTCAACCATGTTCTTCTGCCTCATTCTTCCACTGTTTATTTTGTTTTGTTTTGTTTTGTTTTAGATGGAGTCTCGCTCTGTCACCCAGGCTGGAGTGCAGTGGTGTGATCTCAGCTCACTGCAACCTCCACCTGCCAGGTTCAAGCAATTCTCCTGCCTCAGCCTCCCGAGTAGCTGGGACTGCAGGCGCGTGCCACCATGCCTACCTGATTTTTTGTATTTTTTATAGAGATGGGTTTTCACCATGCTGGCCAGGCTGGTCTTGAATTCCCGGCCTCGGCCTCCCAAAGTGCTGGGATTACAGGCGTGAGCCAACACACCCAGCCCCCTTCCACTGTTTTTAGTAATAGCCATAGTGAAGATATAGTTCACATACCACATAATTCATGCATTTAAAGTGGACAATTTGATAGTTGTTAGTATATTCACGGAGCTGTACATCCATCCATTACCAGAACCAAGTCTGGAACATTTTCACTATCCCCAAGAAACCCTGTGCCCTTTAGCAATTATCTTTTATTCTTGCCCTCATTCCTAACCCTTGGTAACCACTAATCTGCTTTCTGCCTTTATGGATTTTCCTCTTCTGGCCTTTTCATGTAAATGGAATCACACAGTATATGCTCTTTTGTCACTGGCTTTTTTCACTTGGCATGCTTTCAAGGTTCATCCATGTCTCAGTACTTCATTCTCTTCTTCCACTTTTAAGGACTCATGTGATTAGATCGGGCCTACCCTGGTAATCCAGCAAAAGCTGCCCATCTCATGGTCCTTACTGTTTTTTGTTTTTGAAAGAGTCTCGCTCTGGTGCCCAGGTTGGAGTGCAGTGGCATGATCTCGTCTCACTGAAACCTCTGCCTCCTGAGTTCAAGTGATTCTCCTGCCTCAGCCTCCTGAGTAGCTGGGATTACAGATGCATGCCATCACACCCAGCTAATTTTTGTATTTTTAGTAGAGATGGTGTTTCACCATGTTGGTCACGCTGGTCTCGAACTCCTGACCTCAAGATCCGCCCGCCTCGGCCTCCCAAAGTGCTGGGATTACAGGTGTGAGCCACCGCGCCCGGCCCACAGTCCTTACCCTTAATCACATCTGCCAAGTCCCTCTGGCCATGTAAGGTAACACAGTCACAGATCTCAGGGTTTAGGACATGGACATCATTGGGGGCCATTACTCAGTCTACCACAATGAATATCCTTCCTATTTCAGAGAGAAAATAAAAGCAGTCAGAGGAGAATGGAGAATTTCCCCTATTCCCCAGCATGTGGAGCCATGGACTCTGCCTTCTCCCAGTCAAGATGGTACAGAATCTCATATTCCCAGCATTTCTCATCACAGAATTCCCCTTTCTGTCCTGCTAGCAAAGGCCATGCTGCCACTCAGCGCCGGACCCCTTCTCCTCTCGCTTACTCAGTGGCACTGTTGGAGCTACCCTCCCCTCTCCTGCATTATCATTTTACTTTTCTCTTGGATCATTTCAATTGGCCTAAAACAACTTGTAATTTCACCCTTCTGAAAACAAAATCCTTATTTGACCCCTTTCCCTCTTCTACTAGTGCCTCATTTCTTTGTTCCCCTGACTCTTTAAAACAAAACTTCATGAAAGATTTGTCTATGTTGTTTTCAATTTTTCTTTTTCAATTATGGTTTCATTTTGTCAGAGAGTCATTAAACATTTTTTTTTCTTTTTCAATTTTTTTTTTTTTTTTTTTTGCAGGGGCAGGTCTCACTATGTTGCCCATTCTGGTCTTGAACTCTTGGACTCAAGCAATCCTCCCACCTCGGACTTCCAAAGTGCTGGAATCACAGGCTTGAGATACCATGCCCAGCCAATTTATTGTGGTTAAGTATATATAATAGAATTTACCATTTTAAGTGTTTTCAAGTATACAATTCAGGGGCACGAATTACTTTCACAATGTTGTCCAACCATCAACACTGTCCACTTCTAGAATTTTTCATCATTCCAAACAGAAACTGCATACTCCTTAACCAATAGCTTCCATTCTCCCCTGCCCCCCAGCCCCTAGTAGCACCATTCTACTTTCTGTCTCTGAATTCGACTACGCTGGGTACCTCTATAAGTGGAATCATGCAGTATTTATTCCTTTGTGTCTGGCTTCTTTCACATAGCATAATGTTTTAAAGGTTTGTCTATATGGTAGCATGAGTCAGAATTTCATTCCTTTTCATGGCTGAGTAACATTCCATTGTATGCATATAGCACATTGTATTTATCCATTTCTTTCTTGTTTTTGTTCTTGTTTTCGTTTTGAGACAGAGTCTTGCTCTGTTGCCAGGCTGGAGTACAGTGGCACAGTCTTGGCTCACTGCAACCTCCACCTCCTGGGTTCAAGCGATTCTCCTGCCTCAGTCTCCCAAGTAGCTGGGACTACAGGCATGCGCCACCACGCCCAGCTAATTTTTGTATTTTTGTAGAGACAGGGTTTCACCATGCTGGCCAGGATGGTCTCAATCTCAACCTTGTGATCCGCCTGCCTCGGCCTCCCAGAGTGCTGGGATTAAAGGCGTGAACCATCACGCCCGGCCCCATTTTCTTGTTGATGGACACTTAGGTTGTTTCCATTTTGAGGCTATTGTGAATACTGCTGCCATGAACATGTGCATACAAGTATCTGTTGAGTCATTTCTCTTAAGTTCACTACAGTTAGGCTTTCACTCTCACTGGTCAACACAAATTGTTCTTGTCAAGGTCATCAGTGACCTCTGAGTTGCTGCAGCCAATTATCAATTCTTCATTCTCATCTTATATAACAGTGCCATTTGCATTGATCATTGCGTCCTCCTTTAAGTCTTTTCTTCAGTTACCTCCAGGACACCACCACACACTCCCAATTACCTTCCCACCTCACTCACCACCTTAGCCTCCTTTGTTAATCATCCTTGCTGCCCCCTCAGTAGTCTTTGGAACTATTCTCTTTTCTGTCTGTACTTTCTCCCTTAGTAATATCTTCCAATCTCAAGGTGACTCCAACTATTTACTTGACACGTCCACCGGATAGCAGGTGAGCATCTTACATTTAACATGTTGCAGACTACATTCCTGATCATCCCTATCCTCCCCATCAAAATATGCTCCTTTCGGTCTTTCTGAACTAATTCAATGGGATCCTTCTAGTTGCTTAGGCACAAGTCCTGGAATCATCTTTTATTCCTCGATTTCTCTCCCATCCCTTGTTCAGTCTATTAACAAATGCTGTTGGCACCTTCTTTAAAATGTTTACACAATCTGCCATGTGTGGCGGTACACACCTATAGTCCCAGCTTCCATCTACTCAGGAGGCAGAGGTGGGACAGGTGCTTGAGTCCAGGAGTTCGAGTCCAGCCTGGACAACATAGCAAGACCCTATCTTGAATACACACACACACACCCCCACACACTTTGATCATTTTTCTCCATCTTTACCACTACTGCCTTGAGGCAAGTCATCAACATCTCTTGCCTGGATTATTTCCATAATCTCCTAACTAGTCTCCTTGAGTCTTCTTTTGCCTCTCTCCAGTTAATACTCAATACATCAGCAAAATGATGCCATTAAAATGTAAGTTTCTCATGTTATTCTTGTTAATCAAGAAGCATGAAAGGCCGGACTGCAAAGCAGTTAAGACACTTATTGGGGTCTTAGGAATTGTGATTCAGGAGAAACAGATGTGGTCAAAGGCCACATTGTGTTCTGAAAAATAAAGTGGAATAGTAATTTTTAAAAAGATGCCGAGGGTGATTACACTAGTTGTTTTGAAAGAATTATTGTTGGTAGAGGAGGCTGGCTTAGTACATGAGTCCATAGTTCATTGGTTGTAGCTGTTTAGGCGTTATAGTGCTGGCAAAATTTATCTATTTTCCAAGATGTTTTGGTCATGGGGATTTGGCCCAGTTCAAAGGTTTAAGGCAAGTTTCTGGGTTTTTTTATTTCCAAGGTTGCAGGTTTTATAGAATTAGTACTTCTTTGAATGGCTTCCCAATTTAATTTGATTTAATTATTTATTTATTTTTGAGACAGGGTCTCACTCTGTCACCCAGGCTAGAGTATAGTGGTGTGATTGCAGCTCCTGGAAGCGTTGACCTCCCAAGCTCAAGTGATCCTCCCACTTCAGCCTCCTGAGTAACTGGAACTACAGTCACATGCTATCACACCAAACTGATTTTTGTAGTTGTTTTTAGTAGAGACAAGGTCTCACTATGTTGCCCTTGAACTCCTGAGCTCAAGCAATCCTCCTGCATTGGCCTCCCAAAGTGAAGATTACAGGTGTGAGCCAATGCACCCAGCCCTGATTTAATTTTAGAGCTCTGAACCAGAGTGACGCCATTTTGTATATCACATTTCACATTCCCTGTTTTGATCAAGATCTGACAGGAGGCAGCACTGCTGATCAATTATTATTGGTTGGCCATAGATTTGTTACATATTGTCTTTGGAGCTAGAAATGTCTGTTTTTAGAGTGGCTTGTCCCACAGAAGTGAGCTGTCAAAAGATAACATGCAGAAATTGGCCAAGTTGGAGTAACAGGGGAGCCATTTTCATAAAGAGTCCTGCATTAGTCTATGGCAATTAGCTGTACATCAGGAAAGGCATACATTTGGTTAACCACGTGTAAAGGTCATTCTTCAGCCTTCTTTCCTGAAATAGATGATGAGATTTCAGGAAGGAGATAGAAGGCGATTGTGTTTCTTTTGGTGAGAAGCTTTCTTGGTCAGATAAAGGAATTCCAGAGGGAGACTCTCTGTGCCCTTGGAGAGAGAGGAAAAAGACAAAATTAGAGGGACCTTGATTCTGAGGCTTATTTCTGAGGCCTTTCCATTTTCAAAAGCACTTAACATGTCAAAGCACCATATTTTTGGGGAAACATTCTCTGCAAACAACATTTCCATATGAAACTTCCCTAGATGTTTCACACACTGAAAGCTGAGTTGGTGGCTGTGGAGAGAATATTTCAGTTAATAGCTGAGTGGCAAAGGATCCCATTAACCCAGTCTCCCATTTCTGGAAATAGGCCAGCCCCATTAGACAGCTGTATCTGATTTCAGGAGATGGTGTTGCAGACAGGCTCTCACACAGAAGAAACACAAAGGTTAATGTTTGGAACAGTATAAACCAGTTTCTTCAGAGTTTGGAGGGCAGTCAGTTGGTGTCTTGATGTTAAACTCAAAGCATTCTCAGCTGAAGTAGAAATAGGCGGTAGCAATCTGACAGCTTTTCTGGTCTGTAATTTGCATATCACAAGGTTGTTTATTCATGAGCTTCAGCTTGCAGGCCCTCCAGAAAAAGGTAGTAGCAATTTCAGTGAGTCCAAGTCAGAAAAATGGAATAAAATGTTGGAAACATTAGTTTGGAGACTTGTAACCAGGAAGGAATTCAAAATTCAGTCTGAATTGTAGGCAAATAATAGAAACAATGGTCAGTGGTAGAATCTAATAACAGGTGTACTATAGTTTTTTTTCTGAAACATAATTTTTCAATCTCTAGTCCCCCATTTCTACCAAAGATAAATCATAGCAGAACCAATTTAATTGCAGAATAATTTTAGTCCTATTATACATGGCTTGATTATTTGCATAAAGTAAAGCAGCAATAGTGATTGGCTATATAGGCTCTTTATAAATTGTCTTTGCAGGGGCTTTTTCATAAGAACCTCAGATTATATTTTTAAAAGCTGGCCAGGCATGGTGGCTCATGCCTGTAATCCCAGCACTTTGGGAGGCCAAGGTGGGCGGATCACCTGAGGTTGGGAATTCGAGACCAGCCTGGCTAACATGGAGAAACCCGTCTCTACTAAAAACACAAAATTATTCGGGCGTGGTGGTGCATACTTGCAATCCCAGCTACTTGGGAGGCTGAGGGAGGAGAATTGCTTGAACCTGGGAGGCGGAGAAGATCGTGCCATTGCACTCCAGCCTGGGAAACAAGAGTGAAACTCTGTCTCAAAAAAAAAAAAAAAAGCCTCTCAAGGGTAGGAAGCCACGCCAAGGATTTTCCATCAGATTATACGTGTAATAACTACACAAATTGGATGAATTCTTCTCTTCTCAAGTGAAAGGCAATGGAAGGGGACCGTGGATCAATAAGGCCGAGAGGCGAGACAAAGAGGGCAAAAATCTTTATTGAGCTCTTGGGCGAGGTTCACTGGCCCGCAGGGGGAGGGCCAGGGAAGTCGCGCTGTGCCAAAGGTGCAGCGCGCTTTTATGGATGCTGGGTGAGGAGTGGGCGGGGTAGGGGTGGGGTCGGTTGAGTTTCGCGCTTCTGAGTGTGACACGCCCTAGTGGGCATGCGCGTTAGTCGGGGTGGCGGGAACAGGAAAGGTGAACCCGGAAATGCTGAGTCAGGGTATGTGAGGTGGCGATCGCCATCTTGGAGTCTTCACCGGAGTCCAATCATCAAGGTCCCCAAAATATCTTGAGGTTCCTGGGCCTGTTAGAAAGTGACATTCTTTACTTACCATAGGATCAAAAATCCTTTAAAGAAACTGTATAGACAAGGAACCAGGACAGTCTTTTTCCAAGTCTGTTGACTTTAAAGTCAGTTTCAGTTCCTTAAAGCAGCCCCATCACATATGAAAATATGACATTCCAGCCAAAGCCTTGGTAAAATAACCAGTGTCTCTAATTGTGTCCTATCACAAAAGAAAACAGATTATTACTGAGTTTATTCAAATACCTATATTGCCATAAAATAAAAATACTCATTAATAGTTTCCAAATTTTGAAGATATCAGTTAGGGAGAAAAGTAAATATTTCCATTTTGCTCACAAAAGTATACTTTCCCAATTACTGTAGGTTATAAATAGCTTAAGAGGAAAAAAAGTTTTTTTTTAACTCTGGAAAACAAAACAATTAGCAGCATACCTATAATCCCAGCTACTTAGGAGGCTGAGGCGGGAGGATTGTTTGAACTCAGGAGTTTGAAGCCAGCTTGGACGACATGGCATGGCACTGTCTCAAAATAAGTAAGTAAATAAAAGAATGTTTCAAGCAAAAAAGTCATAAACATCATTTTAGTCATTTATCAGGTTAGTCCCATCTACTTAATTATTGTTCTGTATGATGTCAGATTAGCAATTTTATGAGTCCAGTTTTTTTTACTGGAGTTTCTTTTTTTTTTTTTTTAACCCAGTCCACTTGAATAATCTCAAAGTCGTAAGCAGAGGTCTCTATTTAAAAGTACCTTTCAGAGGCTTTTTCATGAACCTCCTTGAAAATACACCACCTTAGGATTTGCAAAGAGCTCTTAGAAAAAAAGCATCAGAATGAAGCAATTTACCAAGACATATCAAGAGTTTTAGGACTTTCATACAATTTTGGAACATATATTAACACATTTATACAAATATAACTCAAGGAAAATTAAACACGATTTCTAAATTTGACAATGCTTTCTATACGATTTTAACATATCAGATAAGCCCAATATGTCTCTCTTAAGAGTTCCAGGGGCTCTTTTTGGCATGTCCAAAAGTTAGTTTGAAGTTAAAAATAATTTAGAATTCAAAATCTGCTTTTGGGTAGTTTGTCGGATGGCAATGGTTTAAAACACTTGATTTAAAGCTAATTTTAATATTATAAACAGATCTATCCAATCTCAGTCAGCCTTGACCATACAAGATAATGGTTCCACAACCCTTTTATAACTTCTTACAGATTTTTTTCCATTCTCTTTCCCCCCACAACTCTCTACATCCATTCAATTTTGTTTGTTTGTTTGTTTGAGACAGAGTCTCGCTCTGTTGCCCAGGCTGGAGCACAATGGTGGGATCTCAGCTCACTACAACCTCCGCCTCCCACGTTCAAGTGATTGATTCTCCTGCCTCAGCCTCCCGAGTAGCTGGGATTACAGGTTTCTGCCATCACACCTGGCTAATTTTTGTATTTTTAGTAGAGACAGGGTTTCACCATGTTGGTTAGGTTGGTCTTGGACTCCGGACTTCAGTTGATCCACCTGCCTCAGCCTCCCAAAGTGCTGGGATTACAGGCATGAGCCACTGCACCCAGCCTCATTCAGTTTTATCTATTATTTTTAAAACTTTTTTTAAATTTGTATGGGTACCTAGGGGATATATATGTTTATGGGGTGTATTTTGATGCAGGTGTACAATGTGTAATAATCACATCAGGGTAAACGGAGTATCCATCACCTCAAGCATTCATCATTTCTTTTTATTTTGAACATTCCGATTATATTCCCTCAATTATTCTAAAATTTATGACAAATTATTGCTGAATGTGGTCACCCTGTTGTGCTATCAAATACTATATCTTATTAATTATAACTAATTTTTTGTACCCATTAACCATACCTATTCTATACCCCCACTACCCTACCCAGCCTCCGGTAACCATCATTCTATTCTCTATCTCCGTATGTTCAATTGTTTTAGTTACTAGCTCCCACAAATGAGTGCTAACGTGAGAAATTTGCCTTTCTGTGCCTAGCTTATTCCACTTAACATAATGTCCCCCAGTTCCACTCTTGTTGTTGCAAATGACAGGATCTCATTCTATTTCATGGCTGACTAGTACTCCATTGCGTATATGTACCATATTTTCTTCATCCTATCCTGTTGACACTTAGGTTGATTCCAGATCCTGGCTACTGTGCATAGTGCTGCAGTCAACATGGGAGTGCCGATATCTCTTCAATATACTGATTTCCTTTTCCTTGGGTATCTACCTAACAAGGTAATCTACCTTGGGATTACTAGATCATATGGTTTTTTAATTTTTATTTTAGTTTTTAGTTTTATTTTTAGTTTTTGAGGAACCTCTGTACTGTTCCTCATAGTAGCTGTACTAATTAACACTTCCACTGACAGTGTATGAGGTTTCCCCTTTTCTCTACATCCTCACCAGTGTTCATTGTTGTTGCCTGTCTTTTGAATAAAAGCCATTTTAACGAGGGTGAGATGATATCTCACTGTAGTTTTTTTTTTTTTTTTTTTTTTTTTTAAATCAGGGTGCCACTCTGTTACCCAGGCTGGAGTGCAGTGGTGCAATCATGGCTCACTGCAGTCTTGACTTCCCAGGTTCAAGTGATCCTCCTGCCTCAGCCTCCTGAGTACCTGGGACTACAGGCGTGGCACCACCATGCCTGGCTATTTTTAAAAATTTTTTTTGTAGAGATGGGGTTTCCCTGTGTTGCCCAGGCTGATCTCAAAACTCCTGGGCTCAAGAGATCCTCTCTCCTTGGCCTTCCAAAGTGCTGGGATTATAGGCATGAGCCACTACACCCAGAGTTCATTGTAGTTTTGATTTTTCATTTATCTGATGATTGGTGATGTTGAATACCTTTTCATATACCTGTTTGCCATTCGTATGTCCTCTTTTGAGAAATGTCTATTCAATATCATTTTTTATTCATTCCATTTAAACAACCTTGAATTAACCTCCGAACTAGACAAAATTACTTTTCCTTTAACAAAACCCACATATTTATGTTTTTAAAAATAACCTAACAAAAAACACATTCTACTGTCCTTGTCCAATCTGTACACAGAATTATTTCTCTTATATCTAGTAGTTTTAATTATACAAACTAACTACAATTTGAATTCTTAGTGATTCTAAATTCTAGTGAACAACTTAGGAAGTAAGCAGTTTTAATTATTATGTACCAGATACAGAGCCCAGGCCTGAGGACAGGGCTGTGAAGACAATGCCTGTAGGAGCTAACCTCTCCCAGCATGGCCAGGAGGCACAGCTGGGCCAGGGAGGATGTATTGACCTTGGCTCTGCCCTGAAGCTGGTGGCCCAGGTGGTGTAGATACACGTCTCCAGACTTCACCATAGGCATTATCCACACCCCAGAATCTAAAGGCTCGAAATCTAATGTTAAAACCAGCTTTATTTACCAAAGATTACTAAAGTCATGTAAATTTGAAAAGCATTTGGGGCTGGGTGCGGTGGCTCACGCCCGTAATCCCAGCACTTTGGGAGGCCAACACAGGTGGCGCACCTGAGATCAGGAGATCGAGATCAGCCTGGCCAACATGGCGAAACTCCAGCTCTACTAAAAATACAAAAATTAGCCAGGCGTGGTGGCAGGTGCCTGTAATCCCAGCTACTCAGGAGGCTGAGGCAGGAGAATCGCTTGAACCTGGAAGGTGGAGGTTGCAGTGGGCCGAGATTGTGCCATTACACTCCAGCCTGGGCAACAAAAGCAAAACTCTGTCTCAAAAAAGGAAAAAAAAAGAAAAGAAAAAAGAAAAACATTTGGGCTATTTATCAATACTCATTTATTAATAAGTCAATTTGGCACCTTGTAGACAATATACAAACAGACATGTACACATGTATACACAAAAACAGAGAAAAACACAAAGATTTTATAGCTTCAATTTAAAATTTTTTAGCCAGGAGACAGGTAAAACTGTTTAAAGAAACAGTTGAATCATGTCTCTTTAAATGAGACAGTTGAAGTTTCTCTGGCCAACATAGCCAAAGCCATCTCAAAGCGCACAGAGAGAATATTAAGCATTTCAAGAAAGACTTTGGGTGAGTTAGAGGATTATTACAAATGGATGCCAAGGTAATACAAAATCACAGTTATTTGCTACAGCATTTTACAAGGAAAACATACAGATGAACTTAAGAGAACATTCAGAAACCTTTTCAAAATAAACTGGATGCCGGAAAGGAATATTTTGTAAACCAGTCTAGTTACATATGTGGCTAATTCAGTCTTTACTTTCTAACTGGAATACTGAGCTCAGGGCAAAGCCCATTAACAGGACCAACAAAGTATTTGCAGTTTCCAACGCCTAATATTTTATGTGTGAAAAGCAGACACAGCTGGAAACTGAACGACTAGATCCTCAGAAATCAAGGATCACATTTTACACTGGATCCCAGACCCCCCAAAAGAGAGATACACCACAAGACGGGGCAGTACACTTCCACAGTGCGCCTACACTTAAAGGGTGACTGACCCAGCACCCATCAGCCCACTCTGGGATCAGCCCAGTCCCCACAGGAGCTTTTTTTTTTTTTTTTTTGAGACAGGCTTGTTGCCAAGGCTAGAGTGCAATGGCACGACCTCAGCTCACTGCAACCTCTGCCTCCTGGGTTCAAGCAATTCTCCTCCCTCAGCCTCCAGACTAGCTGTGATTACAGGTGCCTGCCACCACACCCGGCTAATATTTTGTATTTTTAGTAGAGACAGGGTTTCACCATGTTGGCCAGGCTGGTCCCGCACTACTGACCTCATCAGGTATCTGCCTGCCTCGGCCTCCTAAAGTGCCGGTGTGTCCGGAATTGGTGGGTTCTTGGTCTCACCAACTTCAAGAATGAAGCCACAGACCCTTGGGGGGAGTGTTACAGTTCTTAGAAATGGCGCATTCGGAGTTTGTTCCTTCTGATGTTTGGATGTGTTCAGAGTTTCTTCCCTCTGGTGGGTTCATGGTCTCCCTAGCTTCAGGAGCGAAGCTACAGACCTTCACGATGAGTGTCACAACTTATAAAGGCAATATGAACCCAAAAAGCAAGCAGTAGCAAGATTTATTGCAAAGAAGGAAAGAACAAAACTTTCCCAATGTGGAAGGGAACCCAGCGGGTTGCCAGAGTACTGGGCAGCCTGCTTTCATTCTCTTATCTGGCCCCACCCACATCCTGCTGATTGGTCCATTTTACAGAGAGCCGATTGGTCTGTTATACAGAGACCTGATTGGTCCATTTTGACAGGGTGCTGATTGGTGCATTTACAATCCCTGAGCTAGACACAAAAGTTCTCCATGTCTCCACTAGATTAGCTAGATACAGAGTGTTGATTGGTGTATTTACAAACCCTGAGCTAGACACAGGGTGCTGATTGGTGTGTTTACAAACCTTGAGCTAGATACAGAGTGCTGATTGGTGTATTTACAATCCCTTAGCTAGACATAAAGGTTCTCCAAGTCCCCACCAGATCAGCTAGACACAAAGTGCTGATTGGTGCATTCACAAACCTTGAGCTAGACACAGAGAGCCGATTGGTGTATTCACAATCCCTTAGCTAGACATAAAGGTTCTCCAAGTCCCCACCAGACTCAGGAGCCCAGTTGGCTTCACCCAGTGGATCCCCCACAGGGGCGCCTGTGGAGCTGCCTGCCAGTCCTGCGCGTCCTGCGCCGGCACTCCTCAGCCCTTGGGCGGTCAATGGGACCAGGCTCCGTGGAGCAGGGGGTGGCGCTGGTCAGGGAGGCTCAGGCTGCGCAGGAGCCCACGCGGGGTGGGGCCGGGTTGGTGTTCAGGCATGGCAGGCTGCAGGTCCCGAGCCCTGCCCTGTGGGGAGGCAGCTACGGCCTGGTGAGAAATCAGGCACAGCAGCTGCTGGCCCAGGTGCTAAGCCCCTCACTGCCCGGGGCGGCAGGGCCTGCAGGCCGCTCCGAGTGCAGGGCCCGCCGAGCCCACGCCTACCCGGAACTCACGCTGGCCCGCAAGTGCCGCGCACAGCCCCAGTTCCTGTCCCTGCCTCTCCCTCCACACCTCCCCGCAAGCTGAGGAGGCTGGCTCTGGCCTCGGCCAGCCCAGGAAGGGGCTCCCACAGTGCAGCGGCGGGCTGCAGGGCTCCTCAAGGGCCGCCAAAGTGGGCGCCCAGGCAGAGGAGGCATGGAGAGTGAGCGAGGGCTGTGAGGGCTGCCAGCACGCTGTCACTTCTCACTGGAATTACAGGCAGGAGCCACTGCTCCTGGCCCAGGAGTCTTATCCTTTCGTGGCAGGTGTTCCCATAGCCTCCAAGTATTCAAACTTCACTTTTCTTATCTAAACTTGCAATGAAATGAGTATCCCCCTGCAGTATTAACTATTCACCGCAAACAACCACTGTCAGCCACCTCCAAAACTGCAGCCCTTGCTAGTGATGACTGGCCGTTGCACAAAGATCAGTCTTTCTTTCACAGTGCAAAGGAATCCCTGGTACCCTCAAAAGCCAGAGGAATTAGAGAGGTCAATGTAAAAGAGAGCAGAGCTTTAGCCCCGAGAGGATCTCGCCACAACTCTGGGGCTCCGTAAGGAAAACTGAGAATCCCAAAAAGGAGGCGTGGTGTCTTTTTCTGTGTGGCTCAAGGGGTTTCAGGGCCACTAGAAGTTCCTCCTAGATCTCTTCATGTGGAATCAAAAATAGCAAAAAAGAAGGAGCAGTAGAAGTGGAAGGAAATGGAAGAACAAATCTTAAAGGAGCCAATTTGGAGATTTAAAGCTTTCCAGAAAGGCCAGTGAAATTTTACTTTTTTTTTTTTTTTAAGCAAAATCATGCCAACAAGAAAGGAAGCCGACAGAGGAACCGAACACAATTAAAAAGGGATTTCAGTTGACTGAAAAAAAATTCCCAGAAACAGAATCCAAAAGAGAAAAACAGAAAGACCTCGAAAAAAAACCCCACAAAAACAGCCTGAATATCAGCTTTTAATTTGGTTGATTTCTGACTGTAGAGTTCTTTAAAAAAAAATCTTATCATATCTCTTATTTTCAGATTTCAGCAGGGATAAGTAGCCAATATTTCTGGCTTTTGACCTGTTTTTTCTTTTTTCTTTTTTTTTTTTTTGAGACAGGGTCTAACTCTGTTTGCCCAGGCTGGAGTGCAGTGGCACAAACATAGCTCACCGCAGCCTTGACCTTTTGGGCTCAAGCAATCCCCCGCCTCAGCCTCCTGAGTAGCTGGGACATAGGTGTGCACCGCTATGCCTGGCTAATTTTTTTTTTAATCT
This sequence comes from Homo sapiens, assembly GCF_000001405.40. Classification (NCBI taxonomy): domain Eukaryota; kingdom Metazoa; phylum Chordata; class Mammalia; order Primates; family Hominidae; genus Homo; species Homo sapiens. The sequence goes on from NC_000011.10 coordinate 130,338,971, forward strand.
TTTTAATTTATAGAGACAAGGTTTGCCATGTTGCCCAGGCTGGTCTCAAACTCCTGGGCTTAAGCAGTCCTCCTGCCTTGACCTCCCAAAGTGCTGAAATTACAGGAATGAGCCACTGTATGCAGCCAGTTGTTTTTTGCTATTGTTTTTAACAAAGGTACCTCCCAAGTGACTTACCAAAAGCAAAAACCTTAGCCAAGGTTATAACTTAAAGAAGGATGCATGAGGTATTGCCAAAGAAGTACAAAGCAGTCCTTACAAGACCCAGAACTACCCCCCCAAAAGACAGCTTAAAAAAAGGAAAGCTTCTCTATGGGCATCTCAGATGAAAGATTAAAACAGTCAGTAAGACAGGAAATCAAAAGCTGTATGGAAGGGAAAAGCGTCAATAACAAATGAGTATCCCAAAAAGTCACGAGTCACATAAATATTAAACCATAACTGGGCCATGGCAGTGAAAGCACCAAATCCTAACCATAGACCACAGAGTGAGTGGGTGCCTTTTTTTTTTTTTTTTGTAAATAAATCCTGCAGGAAATCCAAAGCAGGCAGTGTTTTTTGTTTGTTTGTTTTTGTTTTTAAACTTTAGAGACAGGATCTCACACCCTGGCCGGAGTGCAGTGGTGTGATCTCAGCTCACTGCAGCCTCACCCTCCTGGGTTCAGTTGATCCTCCCACCTCAGCCTCCCGAGTAGCTGGGACTACAAGCATGTGTCACCACACCTGGCTAACAAAGCAGGCAGTTTGAGCATACAAGGATTTTTTTCTTCAGATAACCCTGTTCTGAAAGCATACAAGGATTTTAACTTAGTTTTAGGTCAGAATTTTTGCTCTTTAATTTTGTCAAGATGATTTCTAAGGCTAGCCATAACACGATCATGTGTCTTTTTTTTCCAATTTGATCCTCCCGTAAATACAAATAATGCATTGTTTAGAAAGAGAGACCTCTAAAAACCTTTCAAGTATAGAGTCTTTCTAATTTAAAGGATGTATCTGTTGGTCACTGAAGGTGAGAAATTCTAGAAACTTGAAACTTGAGTTTTTTTTTTTTAATTTTAGAGATTTTTAAAAGTTATTTTGGCATGGTTATCTCTTAGGGACACTAGTTTAGATCTCTGGAGTCTTTTAGATACCTTGAGAAACCCAATTAAAGTAGGCTTCCCACTCAGGCTGTTTATTCTTTCATTTTAGCCCTGTAATTGAGAAGGAAAACAAGTTTTGGAGATTAAAAAAGCTTCAGGTTGGCAATTGTAATTCCAAATCACTTTCAGTGATATTGGTCCACTGAGAATGAAATTTACAAGGTGAATGACCATAATGTTTGTCTAAAAAACAAACAGGTGTTTAAGAAGGGGGGTAACTTAGCACCTATGCCATTAGAAGCAAAAGAGCTCCTGAATACCCACCAAAAAGGGAAGATTTTCTTTGTTGACAGCTGGCAACAAAGGCTACCCAATAAAGGCTTCAACCTCAACCAAGGTGGGAGGTTCAGGAAAATGAGAGGACTCCCCAATAGGGTTTGAGGCTGTCAGGAAGGCAATGGAACGCAAGGAGTTCCTGCAAATACCATGCTTGAAACCACAGCAGCACTGGGACACAGAGGAAGAGAGTCACTTGCATCCCACTTATGACACCATTTAATGTCAACCAAGAAGAGGTGAAAGACCTTACTGCAGAGCAAGGAATCAAGGCATTTATTGGGGTTGTAGGAATTGCAATTCATGAGACATAGATTCAGCTAAAGGCCAAATCATATTCTGAAGAGAGGAAGGAGAGTAAGGATTTTTAAAAGGATGCTGAGAGTGGTTACACTAGTTGTTTTTGAAAGAATTATCGTGGGTGGAGGTGGCTGGCTTAGTACATGAGTCTACAGTCATTGGTTGTGGTTGTTTAGGAGTCATAGTGCTAGAAAACTTCAGCTGCTTTCCAGGATGTTGTGGTCATGGAGGTTTGGCCTAGTTGAAAGTTTCAAGGCAAGGTCCTGTTTTTTGTTTTTCAAGGTTGCAGATCATGCAGGTCATCCTTAGAATGGCTTCCCTGCTCCATTTTAGAGCTGTGAACCAGAGTAATGCTATTTGGCATATCACATTTCATAGTCCTCTACTGAAAACTCTCCAAAGGCTCTCCATCTCACTCATAGTGAAAGTCAACATCCTGGAAATGGACTGCAAGGCCCTATACAATCAGGTCTTTCATTGGTTCTCTGACCTTACCTCCTATAGCTCTCTACCTCACTCATATTTTCTCAGCCATCCTGGCCTCGTTGCTTTTATCAAACATTCCAAGCACTTTTTCACCAGGGCCACGCAATTACTGTTTCCTCACTCCCTTGCCCTCTTTATTCAGGTGCCACCTTTTCATTGAGATCTTTCCTGATGACCCTATTAAAATTATAATCCTGCCAGCACTTTACTTTTCTTTTCTCTCTCTCTCTTTTTTTTTTTTTTGAGATGGAGTCTCACTCTGTCGTCGAGGCTGGAGTGCAGTGGCGCAATCTCGGCTCACTGCAACGTCCATCTCCTGGGTTCAAGCAATTCTCCCTGCCTCAGCCTCCCGAGTAGCTGGAATTACAGGTGCCCACCACCACGCCTGGCTAATTTTTTGTATTTTTAGTAGAGACGGGGTTTTGCCATGTTGACCAGGCTGGTCTTGAACTCCTGACCTCAGGTGATCCACCCACCTTGGCCTCCTAACGTGCTGGGATTACAGGCATGAGCCACCATGCCTGGCAGCACTTTACTTTTCTTTATTGTACTTATTACTTTGTAAGATACAATTTACTCAGTTATGCTTTTCGTTGTTTTTCTCTTCCTAGTAGAATGTAAACTATCTAGGGCAGAAATGTGTTTCTTTTGTTCACTGACGTAGCCCCAGGGCCTAGTACACTGCCTGGCACATGGCATATACTCAGACATTTTTGTGTGAGATAAAAGACCAAGTTCTAGTCAAGTCACACATGGAGGCAGTAACTTGGTGGTGAAGCCACCTGATACTCTCAGTATTGAAATAGGAAGCAAAGTTAGCTGCTGGTTGGCCATGGCTTGAAGAAAATGTTGCACATTTGCAAGAGCAGTTGTCGGGAATGATAAAAGCAGCACATGAAAGATTCCCAAACCTCACAGAGGGTCTTGCTGAGGTTAAAAAATCTATTTCTGAAGGACCAGTCTGGAGATTTTCTACAGAATCTTATCATAGCTACCATTTATTAACTGTGTCAGGAGCTATAGTAAATGCATTACCTTCACTATTTTATTTTATTTTCACAATAACTGAGATTAATATTATCATTTACATTTTACTGGAGGGAAAATGGAGGCTTAGATCAGTTGAATAACTTGTCCATGGTTACCCAACTAGAAAATGGCAGAGCTGGCCAGGCACGGTGGCTCACGCCTGTAATCCCAGCACTTTGGGAGGCCGAGGCGGGCAGATCATGAGGTCAGGAGATTGACACCATCCTAGCTAACATGGTGAAACCCCGTCTCTACTAAAAATACAAAAAATTAGCTGGGCGTGGTGGCGGCGGGCGCCTGCAGTTCCAGCTACTCGGGAGGCTGAGGCAGGAGAATGGCGTGAACCCGGGAGGCAGAGCTTGCAGTGAGCTGAAATCGCACCACTGCACTCCAGCCTGGGCGACAGAGCGAGACTCTGTCCCCACCCAAAAAAAAAGAATAGAAAATGGCAGAGCTGAGATTCAAAATCAGCTCTGTTTTACTCCAAAGTCCATCATGCTTTGCACCATGCACTATGCTTCTTGTTGGTGTGGTGTAAGAAAGAGGATGTTTGGATAGATCCAATCTGGAATGATTTCAAAGTGGATGAGGCAGAATAAAAGAGGTCTACAATGTTAGTTTGTAGGAAGTAGAGTGGTTGAATAGTGTACTGTGATTCTAGGCTGGACAGAGATGGTACCACGGCCATGAATGGAGTAAGGTTCCCAGAAGCCAAGGGAGAAATGAAGGAATTAGATATATTAATGAAGCAGTAATGCAGGGCGACGGACAATTTTAGCATCATGGCAGAATGAACCAGTGAGGATCTCTGCCACTCCTTTTCTACTGCAAAGACATAGAAATGGTGTTCTTGGGTGCCAAAAGTGAACGAGGAACTAAAGTCTGGATCTGTAAACCTGCTGCCTTAGCCAAGGAAATATCAAAGCAGGATATACACTGTATAGGCTAGTTTCCTGGCTTTTAACACCTTTGTAAGAATAGAAGATATGGCCGTGTGTGGTGGCTCACGCCTGTAATCCCAGCACTTTGGCATGCCGAGGCGGGTGGATCACCTGAGGTCAGGAGTTCCAGACCAGTCTGGCCAACATAATGAAACCCCATCTCTACTAAAAATTAGCTGGGTGTGGTGGTGCATGCCTGTAATCCCAGCTACTTGGGAGGCTGAAGCAGAAGAATTGCTTGAACCTGGGAGGCAGACGTTGCAGTGAGCTGAGATTGCGCCACTGCACTCCAGCCTGGGCAGCAAGAGTGAAACTCTGTTTCAAAAAAAAAAAAAAAAAGATATGGCCTTGAGGTAGGGTTAGTCAGGAAACTGAACTGAGATACCTTTTAAATCAAGCCAGGGCTCTGGTGGAGCTACTCCTCAATGAAAGGGGAAACTAAAAAATCCTCAGGGAAGTTGTAAGGGAAATGGATGTCTTCCCATGTTCAGACTTTTTAATTTGAATTTATCCCATACTTACTGTATTAATTTGAAGAGGAGATACTAGTATAAAAGCTGAGCCTGGACAATGAAATCCTTCTTGTGCCTGGCAGATGCAGATATAAAGTCACTATGTAACACACTTCTATAACTCAGCAAACTCACAGGGGAAAAGAATCCCTATTGAAGATGAGCTCATAGTTGAATTTCAAACCACATAGAGAAATAATCCACTATGCAAAGATTTATCAGGCACAGTATAATTACATTTCTAAAACTTTGATTTTTATAGAATGATCTTTAAAAGATTATAAAGTAAATAGTTTTGAAAAATGATTAAAAGGATGAAAGAAGATGAGATACAGGAATCATATGGAAAGAGCAAGACTTTGTAAAGACAGACCAGGTGGATTGAAAAGGAATCAAATAGAACTTAGAGAAATGAAAAACTTTTGTACTGAAATTAAAACTGAATAGGTGGGTTAAATTATAGATAAATATAGCTTAGTGATTGACTAGTGAACTGGAACACAGCTATAAGGTAACTATCCAAAGGATTGCACAAAAAGAAGAGATAAAGAATATAAAAGAAAAGTTGAATCATGGGGTTAGTATTCAACACACATTTAACAAGAGTTTCCAGAAGCAGAAAGTAGAAAAAAAAATGGAGGAAAAAAATATTTAAAAGGACAAATTTCCAAGGATTATAAAAAACTTGATTGCTTGAGCTGGGCACGGTGTCTCATGCCTGTAATCCCAGCCCTTTGGGAGGCTGAGGGGGATGCATCACCTGAGGTCAGGAGTTTGAGACCAGCCTGGCCAACATAGTGAAACCCCATCTCTACTAAAAATATAAGAATTAGCTGGGCATGGTGGCAGGCACCTATAATCCCAGCTACTCAGGAGGCTGAGGCAGGAGAATCGCTTGAACCCAGGAGGCGGAAGTTGCAGTCAGCTGAGATTGCGCCATTGCACTCCAGCCTGGGCAACAAGAGTGAAACTCCGTCTCAAAAACAAAAACAAAAACAAAACAAAACAAAACCAACTTGATTGGTCAAATTGAAGAAAGCTGACTTATGAGAGAATAAATTCTAGCAATCCTTATTTAAACACATTACAGAAAAACTCAAGGACACCAAAGATAAGAGTTACATATATAGAAATAACACATTAAATTGGTATCTCATCATCAAGAACAGAAGCCAAAAAACAACAACAACAACAAAACCCCACAAAACACTGGAATAATATATTTAAAGTTCTGAGAGGAAATAAGCAGGATACTAACATTATACACCTAGCTAAACTATCATATAAGATGGCGGCTAGGATAGAAACCTTTTCAGACAGTCAAAAGACTGAGTGTTCATCATGCAGAGGCTTTTTCTGAAATCATTAACAAAGGAGTAATTCAAAAAGAAGGAAGTTGGAATCAGAAAAAAACAAATGGAATGCAAGAAACAGTGGTGTTCAAAACAAAGCAGGTCTACTGAGAAAAAGAGAGTCAGCCAGCTGGTAGTTTAGAAAGTTGTGGTCAGAGACTGGCAGATTGAGGCTTAATATTTTGGAGGTGGAGGAGTCCTGTATATTGATAAATTCCATGTAACCTTGAGAGAGGGTGATTTAAATAGAGTGAGTGGAGTGAGGCTGATTTAATCCCAGAAAATCAAGAAACTTTCAAGCTGAGATATTAAAGGGATCATCAGTTGTACCATTCTCCTCCATTATCCCAGATACATTCTCCAGTTTTCTCCCAGTGCTGCTTTGAACACTAGGATACTGACCCCTATGAATTGTATTATTGAGGCTTTCTTGATAGCTGGCTTCATGTTGGATTTGGCCAGTTGGAGTCACTGGCCAAAAATCAAAATGGAAGATAGAGATTGGAATATTTCTTTCTCATTATTTCCCTGCTTCAGCATTGCTTCTCTGGTGCCTGTGTCTCTCTATGACTGAAGTTCTTAATGGGTGGCCTCTTTTCCATGCCTCCAGCTCTTACTGGGCTCAGATAACTGTATTTTTTCTTGGATTTTGGCCCTATGAACGGTAACAGATTTTTACCACCACTGGTTTCTAGGTAGTATTGAGAGATAATTCTCCATGGGTCTCTCGTGTTTCTGCACATCTTACGTGCAAGATGCTAATGCCTTTTCAAGGAGGTTTGTATACTAAGTGGCCTTGGAAAATAAAGATAGTGTCTCTGGAGCAAAAGGTAGTCATATTTACTATGCAGTATAAGAAAGATACTGTCTTCCTCTAGAGAAAGGGACAGGCCTATTTAGTGCCCATTACAAAAGATTGGGTTTCCTAAGCTCAGAATTCCCTCTCCTATAACTCAACTTACCCCACTGCATGTACAGTTGTTATCTGGCTCTTTTCATGTCACACTCTTCATGGAAATTAGGACCTGGGAAACTAGAATAAAAGTGCTGATGCTCGTGGGGCGCAGTGGCTCACGCCTGTAATCCCAGCACTTTGGGAGGCCGAGGCGGGTGGATCACCTGAGATCAGGAGTTCAAGATCAGCCTGGCCAACATGGTGAAATTTCGTCTCTACTAAAACTACAAAAATTAGCCAGGTGTGGTGGTGCATGTCTGTAATCCCAGCTACTTGGGAAGCTGAGGCAGGAGAAGTGTTTGAACCTGGGAGGTGGAAGTTGCAGTGAGTGGAGATCACACCACTGCACTCCAGCCTGGGTGACAAGAGTGAGAATTTGTCTCAAAAAAAAAAAAAAAAAAAGGTGCTGATGCTTTGGCTACTGCTGTTATTATGAACAATAAATTGTCCTTCATGTTGACCCAGGAGTGTCATGTCTTCTACCAGCATCTGTGAAACTAATAGGTTCTCTTGTTAGCTTTCAAATAAGGTACAATCTCAGATTCTTTACAGTTCTTAACAGGTAACTTGGCACCTCTTGTTTGTTCCTTTAAATCTGAGTGAGACCCTGTCTCAAAAAAGAATCTGATGATACCTTTAAAAATAGTTCTTACATAAAATTCATTTCAGTGAATTCTGTTTCCTGCTATCCCCTGCCTGATATATCTAGAGAGTTTGAAATCTCAAGGGGATGTGTGATGGTTAATTTTGTATGTCAACTTGGCTAGGTTATGGTGCCCATTTTTTTGGTCAAACACTAGTCTAGATGTCGCTGTAAAGTTTTTTTTAAAGATGTGATTCATTCTTTTTTTTTTTCTTTTTTTTAGAGACAGGATCTCATTCTATTGCCCAGACTGGAGTACAGTAGCACAATTATGGCTCACCATAACCTCGAACTCCAGGGCTCAAGTTATCCTCCTGTCTCAGCCTCCCAAATTGCTGGGATTACAGGTATGAGCCATTGGCCTATAATCTTTTTTTTTTTTTCTGACTTTGACTAAACTAGCTTACCCCCGATAATGTGGGTGGGCCTTATCCACCTAGTTGAAGGCCTGAAGGGCAAAGACTGAGGTTTCTCAAAGAAGCAGAAATTCTGCCTCAAGACTGCAATATACCTGTAATCTCAGTGCTTTGGGAGTCCAGGGTGGGAGGATCACTTGAGGCCAAGAATTCAAGACCAGCCTGGGCAACATAGCAAGACTCCATCTCTACAAAAAATTTTTAAAAAATTAGCCAGGTATGGTGGTGCATGTTGTAGTCCCAGCTACTCAGGAATGTTGGGAAGATAATTGAGCCCAGGAGTTCGAGGCTGTAGAGCTATGATTGTATGATTGCATTCCAGCCTGAGTGACAGAGTGAGACCCTGTCTCTATATAAAGAAAGATAGAAAAAAAGACTGCAATATAAAAACCCTGCCTGAGTTTCCTGCCTGCTGGCCTACAGATTTCAGACTTGACAGTCTCCACAATTGTGTGAGCCAATTCCTTAACATAAATATCTCTCTCTCTGTGCAAATATATCCTATGGGTTCTGTTTCCCTGGAGAACCTTGATTAACATAGGATGCCACAGAATTTAGTGAGAAGCCTATGCACACAGTGTCAAGGTCCCCAGATAATGAGTGGGGGTTTCTTAGGCAGAGAGTAGGAGACAGCTATAGAATGAAAAAGAGCTATTTACTGAAGAGAGTAGGATTTATAGAGTCTAAGAGGAGCATGAGGAACATGCCTCAGTGGTACCTTCAGGCAACAAAATAGGCAGAGTGCACTGATCTTGCCCCTGACTATGCATCAAGCCTTGTCACCCATCCCTGTCCCTCATGACCAACCCTATTGTCCAACTACCAAAAAATGACTTGCTGCTCCTGGAACCCAACTCCATACTATCTTATATCTCCCTGACTTCAGTCTTGTAGTTCCTTCTACTAGGAATTCCCTGTCAATCTCTCTCTCTCTGTTTCCTATGTCCCCAGGGCCCTTTACTCTCTCATACTTCTTACCTCCTTCCCTACCTTTTCTTCCTTTTCTCCAGTCTCATTAAAGCAGTCTGATGCACCATCTTCCTCACTCTTCCAGCACGGACACTATGCTGTAATTTTGTTGGTATGTCTTCCTTCTCACTGGTCTATGAGCAAGAGCTGTGACTTTTTACTCAGTATTATATGTATATAGGATAACACATATAAAATGTGCTCTGTACATGTTTGTTGCATGAATGAATAAATGAATGCATGAGTGAATAAATGAATTTGACAATGACCATGTACATGGTTGGAACAGGATTCAGCTAGGATATTCTTACTCCAAAGCCCAGTCTTCTTCCATATATGATGTGATCTAGTTCCTTAGGAATTCTGCATATAGAATCCACCTTTTATGAAGAAGAATTTCTGTCTGCAGTAGAAGGAAACAACAGATGTGGGGACATTGATAATGAATGCCCATTTAAAAAAGAATAAAACACACCAACACTTGTTTTATTTTTATTTTATTTTGTTTCATTTTTTTGGTTAGCTATGCTTTTCTGGTTGCTGACAAGATTCTCAAAGAATTTATCTCAAATATAAAAGGTATTTAGCATTTTGCTTTGCCACGGACAAGATATATATTAGAAGTCCCTCTTGCTTCAAAATGAAACCCAGTCTGGAAAGCTCCCGGGCTTATCCATACTCGGTTTATTCTAATACGCTTTATTACACACAACACTGAGTAGGCATCTGCCCATGTGATTCGATGTCAATGTCCTATAGGGGAGCTGCTCCATTCCTTAATCTCCCCTGCTGTGGAAGGGGTAGACTTACTTCTAATAATGGGATTCTACATTTAGACATTAATTCCTTTCACTTAAGGCAAATCCTCCTTTCTGTCCAGTGCACCCTCCAATCTATATCTGTATGTCAGGCTTTTTTCCTAACTCCACACCTAAATAGCCATCTGTTTCTGCCCCACAATCACCTCTAATACAACAGTTCCAAACAGAACCTAAAGGCCAGGCGTGGTGAATCACACCTATAATCCCAGCACTTTGGGAGGCTGAGACAGGCAGATCACTTGAGGTCAGGAATTCGAGACCAACCTGGCCAACATGGCGAAACTCCATCTCTACTAAAAATACAGAAATTCGCCAGGCATAGTGGCACGCGCCTGTAATCCCAGCTGCTCGGGAGGCTGAGGCAGGAGAATTGCTTGAATCCCGGAGGTGGAGGCTTCAGTGAGCCGAGACTGTGCCACTGCACTCCAGCCTGGGTAAAAGAGCAAGACTCCATCTAAAAAACAAAACAAAATAAAACAAAAACAAACAACAACAACAAAAAAACAAAAAACCCCAGAACTTATTATCTCCCTTGTATCAAAACTATTTCTTCTTCTAGGTTTCTAATTTTTATGAATTGTACCACCACTCGCCAAGTTTCCCAAGCTAGAAACCTGAGTGAGAGTCTTCCCGTCACCCACATCCAGCTGGCCACTGGCCTTTGGAGTCATTGTCTTCTTTCTTTAGAGACAGGGACCAACTCCGTTGTCCAGGCTGGAGTGCAGTGGTACGATCATAGCTCACTGCAGCCTGGACCTCTTAGGCTCAAGCGATCCTCCCACCTCAGCCTTCTGAGTAGTTAAGACCACACCATCCTGGCCAACACGGTGAAACCCTGTCTCTACTAAAAATACAAAAATTAGCTGGGCATGGTGGCACGCACCTGTATTCCCAGCTACTCGGGAAGAAGAGGCAGGAGAATTGCTAGAACCTGAGAGGCAGAGGTTGCAGTGAGCCGAGATCGTGCCACTGCACTCCAGCCTGGTGACAGAGTGAGACTCCATCTCAAAAAAAAAAAAAAAAACAAAACAAAAAGCACAGACCACCATGCCTGGCTAATTAATTTTGTTGTTGTTGTTGTACCGACTGGGTCTCACTCTGTTGTCCAGGCTGAAGTGCAGTGGTGTGATCACAGCTCACTCCAGCCTCGACCTTCTAGGCTCAAGTGATCCTCCTGCCTCAGCCTCCTGAGTAGCTGGGATTACAGGCATGTGCCGCCATGCCTGGCCTTCTGAGTCTTTATCATGAACGTTTCTTGACTCTTGTCCCCTGGCCTCTGTGACTGTTGCCACTCTCTTGCTTCAGGTCCTTCATCAGTCCTCACTTTAAATGAGGAGTTGAACCTCTCTTCTGTCCCTTTTCCACAGTGTAGCCAGGAAGTCTGTTTTAAAGATACAGCTGACTCCTCTTTCTGAACTTTTTTTGTGTGTGTGTGTTTGAGATGGAGTCTCGCTCTGTCACCCAGGCTGGAGTGCAGTGGCGCGATCTCGGCTCACTGCAAGCTCCGCCTCCTGGGTTCACGCCATTCTCCTGCCTCAGCCACCCCAGTAGCTGGGACTACAGGCGCCCGCCACCACGCCTGGCTAATTTTTTTGATTTTTAGTACAGATGGGGTTTCACTGTGTTAGCCAGGATGGTCTCGATCTCCTGACCTTGTGATCTGCCCACCTCGGCCTCCCAAAGTGCTGGGATTACAGGCCTGAGCCACAGTGCCTGGCCTCTGAACTCTTATGGAATGGCTACTCATTGCCTGTAAGATAAAGTGTGCACTCCCATATCATATAAGGTATTAACTTTCTGAGCCTCATCCAGCTCTCCAATATTCATCTTCTTCCCACCCCATTTCTACTGACTTCATAAGTTTCCATGTTTTTTTCAGTCTCATGTTCTCTTTACTCTATCTTTTTACATGTTAGTCCTCTTTTCTGAGAAGCCGTTTCCCCATTTCACCTGGCCAACTAATACACGTTCGTTGAGACTCAGCTCAGTCACTTACATTCTTTCAAAAGTGTTCCCAGACATTTCTCACGTAAGCTAAATGTTCCCATCAATGTACTTCCCAAGGTCCCTATCCTTACCAGTATCATGGTACTCATCCACATGGTATTGTCTGCTAATTTACTTCCATGCCTTTCTAAGTAGATTATAAAGTCCTTTATGAAGAATACTTTATGTATCTTTGAAAGCTGGGGACCTACCAGACAGCTGATATTTGGTTAGTGTTCAATAAATTTTGGTTAAGAAAAAAAGTTAAATGACACTTAGTGGATAGTCTGAGAGGGTTATGAAAACACATTTTAAGCCTGACAAGGTGGTGCGTGCCTCTAGTCTCAGCTACTTCATAGGCTGAAGTGGGAGGATCCCTTGAGCCTAGCAGTTAGAGGCCAGTCTGGGCAACAGAGTGAGACTCCATCTCTTAAAAAAATATTTAACATCCTGAATCCCCTTCCCGCAAAAAAAGAAAAAGGAAAGAACACATTTTGTCTTCAACATAATTTAAACTTTTTTTAAAAAAAATGTATAACATAAAATTTACCTCATTAACCATTTTTAAGTGTAAGTTCAGTGGCACCAAATACATTCAAATTGTTGTCCAACCATTACTACTAATCCTTTCCAGAACGTCACAATCCCAAACAGAAACTCATACCCGTTAAACAATGACTGTCCAGTTCACCCTCACTTAAGCTCCTAGTAATCACTATTCTATTGTCTGTTTCTATGAATTTGCCTATTCTTAGTAATATACAAGTGTAATCATACAATGTTTGGATTGGATCTGGTTATGTGGTCTTTTTGGGTCGGGTTTATTTTACTTAGCATAATATTTTCACGGTTCATCCAGGTTGTAGCATGTACCAGAATTTCATTCCTGTTTAAGGATAAGTAATATTCCATTGTGTGTATATATTACATTTTATTTATCTATTCAGTTTTTGATGGACACAGGTTTTTTTCTACATCTTGGCTATTGCAAAGAATGCTGCTATGAACACTGATGTACAAGTTATCTGTTTGAGTTTCTGCATTTAGTTCTTTTGTGTATATACCCAGAAATGAAATTGCTGGATATGTGATAACTCTAAGTTTCCCTTTTTGAGGAACCACCATACTGTTTTCCATAGTGGCTGCACCATTTTACATTTCTACCAGTCAATGCACAAGGTTTCCAATTTCTCCACCTTCTTGCCAACACTTGTTATTTTCCTTTTGTTTTAAATAATAGCTATTCTTTTTTTTTGAGACAGAGTCTCGCTCTGTCGCTCAGGCTGGAGTGCAGCGGTGCAATCTCAGCTCACTGCAAGCTCCGCCTCCCGGGTTCACGCCATTCTCCTGCCTCAGCCTCCCCAGTAGCTGGGACTGCAGGCACCCGCCACCACGCCTGGCTAATTTTTTGTATTTTTAGTAGAGACGGGGTTTCACCATGTTACCCAGGATGGTCTTGATCTCCTCACCTCGTGATCTGCCTGCCTCAGCCTCCCAAAGTGCTGGGGTTACAGGTGTGAGCCACCGCTCCCGGCCAATAATAGCTATTCTTTAAATGTGAAGTAGTATCTCCTTGTGGTGTCGATTTGCATTTCCCTAATGGCTGGTGATGTTGAGCATCTTTTCGTGTGTTTATTGACCAATTGTTTATCTTCTTTAGAGTAACGTCTATTTGAGTCTTTTACCTACTTCAAACAAATTTTGTTGTTATTGTTGAATCGTAGGAGTTTTACGAATAAGATGTATTCTGGATATTAATCCCTTCTCAGTTACATGACTTACAAATATTTTCTCCTTTTCTATGGGTTGCATTTTTGCTTTTTTCGTAGTTTTCTTTCTTTCTTTCTTTCTTTTTTTTCTTTTTCTTTTTTTTTTTTTTTTTGAGATGGAATCTTGTTCTGTTGCTCAGGCTGGAGTATAGTGGTGCAATCTCAGCTCACTGCAACCTCCACCTCCCAGGTTCAAGCAATTCTCGTGCCTCAGCCTCCCAGTATCTGGGACTACAGGTGCATGCCACCACACTTGGCTAATTTTTGTATTTTTAGTATAGATAGGGGTTTTACCATGTTGGCCAAACTGGTCTCGAACTCCTGACCTCAGGTGATCCACCCACCTCAACCTCTCAAAGTGCTGGGATTACAGGTGTAAGCCATCTCACCCAGCCCTTCATAGTTTTCTTTGATACACAAAATTTTTAAATTTTGATGAAGTCCGATTTATCTATTTTTTTTTCTTTTTTTGCCTGTGCTTTTCATGTCATATCCAAGAATTCATTGACAAATCCAATGTCATGAAGCTTTCCACTATGTTTTCTTTTCTTTTTTTCTTTGAGACGGAGTCTCACTCTGTCACCTAGGCTGGAGTGAGGTGGCGCAGTCTTGGCTCATGGCAACATCCGTCTCCTGGGTTCAAGCAATTCTCCTGCCTCAGCCTTCCAAGTAGCTAAGACTACCATGCCAGCTAATTTTTGCTGGCATATGCTACCATGCCAGCTAATTTTTGTATTTTTAATAGAGATGGGGTTTCACCAAGTTGGCCTGGCTGGTCTCAAACTCCTGACCTCAAGTGATCTGCCACTCTTCGCTTCCCAAAGTGTTGGGATTACAGGCATGAGCCACCACACCTGGCTCACTATGTTTTCTTTTGGGAGTTTTATAGTTTTATCTCTAATGTTTAGACTTTTGATCCATTTTGAGTCAATTTTCGCATATTGTGTAAGATAAGGGTGTAACTTCATTCTTTTGCATGTGAATATCCAGTTTTCCCAATATCATTTCTTGAAAACACTACTTTCTCCATTGAATGGCCTTGGCAACCCAGTTGAAAATTGTTTGATTGTATGTGCAGCAGGTTATTTCTGGGGTCTCTATTCTATTCCTTTGGTCTGTAGATCTGTCTTTATGGCAGTATCACACTGTGATGGTGTAGCACCATCAGAAAATGTGAGTTGAAAAATTTGTTATTTTTCAACATTGTTTTGGCTATTTGGGGTCCCTCGAGGCCCATATTAATTTTTAGGATGGATTGTTTTTATTTCTGCAAAAAACATTATTGGGATTTTGATAAAGATAGCATTGAATTGCTTTGGGTAATATTGACATATTAATTAAGGCTTCCAATCTATGAACATGGGATGTTTTTCCATTTACCTTTCGTTTCTTTCAGCAGCTTTTGTAGTTTTTCAGTGGACAAATCTTTCACCTCCTTGATTAATTTTATTCTAGGCATTTTATTCTTTTTGATGTTATCATAAATGCAATTGCTTTCTTAATTTCTTTTTCAGATTGCTCATTACTAATATGTAGAAATACAACTGATTTTTGAGTGTTGATTTTGTATCCTACAAGTTTTATGAATTTGTTTATTAGGTCTAACTGGTTTTTGGTAGAATATTTACTTTTTCCTACATTTCAGATTATGTCATCTGTAAACACAGATAATTTTACTTCAGTTGATTCAGTTTGGTTGCCTTTTATTTCTTTGTCCTGCCTCGTTGCTCTGGCTACAATTTCCAGTTTTGTTTTGAATAGAAGTGGCAAAACCAGGCATCCTTGTCTTATTCCTAATCTTGGAGGGAAAGCTTTTAGTCTTTTAGTATCAAGTATGATGTTAGCCATTGGTTTTTAATAATAGCTTTTATCAAGTTGAAAAGATTTCCTTTTATTCCTAGTTTATTGATTTTTTTAAATCATGAAAGGGTGTTGAATTTTGTCAAATGCTTTTTCTGCATCAATTGAGATGATCATGTGGTTTTCTTCTCCTTCATCCTGTTGATATGGTGTATTATACTGATTGATTTTTTGTGTGTTGAACTGTTCTTGCATTCTAGGAATAAAACCTACTTGGTAATGGTGTATAGCTCCTTATTAATATGCTACTGAATTTTTTGATAGTAGTTTGTTGAGGATTTCTGTGTCAATATTCATAGGGGACATTGATTTGTAGTTTTCTTTTTGTGTAGTGTCTTTGTATGGCTTTGATATGAGGGTAATGCTGGCCACATAGAATGAGATTTGTAAGTAGTTTCTTCTCTTCAATTCTTTTGAAGAGTTTGAGAAGGATTGCTATTAGTGCTTCTTAAGTATTTGGTAATATTCACCAGTGAAGCCAACTGATCCTGGGCTTTTTTTTTGTTAAGATGTTTTGATTACTAAGGCAATCTCCCTACTAGTTATAGTATTCTATTTCCTATTTCTTACATTTTCTATTTCTTCCTGAGTCAGTTTTGGTAGGTTGTGTATTTCTAGGAATCTGTCCACTTTATCTAGGTTACCCAGTGTGTGTTGGCAAACAGTTGTTCATAGAATTATCTTATAACCTTTTTCATTTCTTTCTTTTCTTTCTTTTTTCTTTTTTTTTTTTGAGATGGAGCATCACTCTTGTCGCCTAGGCTGGAGGGCAATGGCGCAGTCTCGACTCACTGCAACCTCTGCCTCCCAGGTTCAAGCGATTCTCTTGCCTCAGCCTCCTGAGTAGCTGGGATTACAGGCACACACCACCACACCCAGCTAATTTTTTTATTTTTAGTAGAAATGGTGTTTCACCTTGTTGGCCAGACCGGCCTCGAACTCCTGATATCAGGTGATCCACTTGCCTCGGCCAAAGTGCTGGGATTACCGATGTGAGCCACCGCGCCTGGCCAACCTTTTTCATTTCTGTAAAATCAGTAGTAATATCCCCACTTTTATTTATTTATTTATTTTTAAGTTGAGACAGGGTCTTACTTTATTGCCCAGGCTAGAGTGCAATGGCACCATCGGCTCACTGCAACCTCTGCCTCCTGGGTTCAAGCGATTCTCCCGCCTCAGCCTCCCAAGTAACTGGGGTTACAGGCATGTGCCACCACACCTGGCTAATTTTTTTATTTTTTGGTAGAGATGGTATTTTTTTGGTAGAGACAGGGTTTCACCATGTTGGCCAGGCTGGTCTTAAACTCCTGACCTCAGGTAATCTGCCCACCTCAGCCTCTCAAAGTGCTGAGATTACAGGTGCGAGCCACTGCAACTGGCCTCACACTTTTATTTCTGATTTTTGTAATATGAGTGTTCTGTCTCTTTTTCTTAGTCAATCTAGCTGAAGGTTTGTCAGTTCTGTCAATGTTTTCAAAGAACCGGCCTTTGGTTTTATTGATTTTCTGTATTGTTTTTCTATTCTATATTTTATTTAATCCCCTCTAATCTTTATTATTTCCTTCTTTCTGCTAGCATTTGGTTTAATTTGTGTCTTTTCTAGTTTCTTAAGATGTAAAGTTAGATTATTGATTGAAGACCTTTTTATTTTTATTTATTTTTTGTTTTGTTTTGTTTTTTGAGACAGAGTCTCGCTCTGTCACCAGGCTGGAGTGCAATGGTGCGATCTCGGCTGGCTGCAACCTCTGCCTCCCAGGTTCAAGCGATCCTCCTGCCTCAGCCTCCCGAGTAGCTGGGACTATGGGTGTGCACTACTACACCCAGCTAATTTTTGTATTTTCAGTAGAGACAGGGTTTCACCATGTTGGCCAGGATGGTCTCGATCTCTTGACCTCCTGATCCGCCCACCTCGGCCTCCCAAAGTGCTGGGATTACAGGCGTGAGCCACCGCGCCCAGCCTAAGACCTTTTTAAAAGAATAGGTTTACAGCTGCATATTCCCTCTTAGCACTGCTTTCACTACATCCCATAAGTTTTGGTATGTTGTGTTTTTATTTTCATTTGTCTTAAAGTTATTTTCTAATTCATTTTGTCATATCTTCATTGGCCCATTGGTTGTTTAAAAGTATATTGTTGAATTTCCACATATTTTTGTTATTTCTAGTTTCATTTCATTGTGATGAATGGACACCTTGCATAATTTAAATCTTAAGATTTATTAAGAATTTTCTGGCTAAATACAGTGGCTTATACCTGTAATCCCAGCACTTTAGAAGGCTGAGGTGGGAGGATTGCTTGAGCCCAGTTCAAGACCAGCCTGGGGCCGGGCGTGGTGGCTCATGCCTGTTATACCAGCACTTTGGGAGGCCGAGCCAGGTGGATCAACTGAGGTCAGGAGTTCCAGACTAGCCTAGCCAACATGGTGAAACCCGGTCTCTACTAAAAATACAAAAATTAGCTGGGTGTGGTGGTGCGTGCCTGTAGTCCCAGCTACTCGGGAGGCTGAGGCAAGAGAATCACTCAAACCTCGGAGGCGGCAGTTGCAGTGAGCCAGGATTGTACCATTGCACTCCAGCCTGGGCGACAAGAGTGAAACTCCATCTAGGAAAAAACAAAATGAAACAGAAAAACCAGCCTGGGCAACATAGTGGAACCCTGCCTGTATTTAAAAAAAAAAAAAAATTAGCTGTGCATGGTGGTGTGCGGCTGTTGTCTGAGCTACTTGGGAGACTGAGGTAGGAGGATTGCTTGAGCCTAGGATTTTGAGGCTGCAATAAGCTGTGATTATGCCACTGTACTCCAGCCTGGATGACAGAGTAAGAGCCTGTTTCAAAGAAATTTTTTTTCCTAGAGTTCTCTAAAGCCTAAAATAAAATTTCTTTTTTTTTTTTTTTTTTTGTGACAGAGTCTCACTCTGTCGCCCAGGCTGGAGTGCAGTGGCGCAATCTCAGCTCATTGCAAGCTCCGCCTCCTGGGTTCACACCATTCTCCTGCCTCAGCCTCCCGAGTAGCTGGGACTACAGGCGCCAGCCACCATGCCCGGCTAATTTTTTGTATTTTTAGTAGAGACGGGGTTTCACCATGTTAGCCAGGATGGTCTGGATCTCCTGACCTCATGATCCGCCCGCCTCAGCCTCCCAAAGTGCTGGGATTACAGGCGTGAGCCACCATGCCCAGCCTAAAATAAAATTTCTTTAAAAATTGTTTTGCTGCCTAAAATATGGTCTATCCTAGTGGTATAGTTTGGATGTTTGTCCATCTAAACCTTATGTTGAAATATTATCCCAATGTAGGATGTGGGGGCCTAATTTAATAATCCCCTCAGCAGTGAGTGAGTTATTGCTGAAATAATTAATTCCTGCTGCTTGTACAAAGAGCCTGGTACTGTGGCACCCCACCTTGCTTTCACTCTTCCCATGTGATTACTGCATACACTAGCTCCCCTTTGCCTTCCACCATGAGTGGAAGCAGCCTGAGGCTCTCACCAGATGCCTTCCAATCAGCAGAATTGTGAACCAAATAAACTCTTTTTCTTCATAAATTACCCAGTCTCAAGTTTTTTAAAAAATAGCAACACAAAATAGACTAAGACTTCTAGAGAATGTTCCGTGCACACTTGAGAAAAATGTGTATTCTGCTGTTGCTGGATGGAGTTTTCTGTAAATGTTTGTAGATCTAGTTGTTTTATAGTGGTGTTCAAGTTTTCTGTTGGATCTTTATTGGTCTTATCCTTATTGATCTTCTGTCTGGTCATTCTATCCATTATTGAAAGTGGGATATTTTAGTCTCTAATTATTATTGTGGGACTGACTATTTCTCTGTTTGATTCTGTCAATTTACTTTATATATTTGGTGTCTCTGTTGGTTCCTTCATATATATTTATAATTGTATATCTTCTTGATGAATTGATCCTTCATCAATATATAATCTCTTTCTTTGTCTCTTGAAACAGTCTTCAAGTTAACATCTAGTTTGTCTGTTATTAGTATAGCCATCCCAGCTTTCTTTTGATTACTATTTGCATGAAACATCTTCTTCCACCATTTTACCTTCAAACTTGTGCTTTTAGATCTAAAATGAGCCTCCTGTAGACAGCACATAGTTGCATTGTATTTTTTAATTCATTCTGCTAATCTCTTTTGATTGAAGAGTTTAATCCATTTACATTTAATGTAATTACTAAGAAAGGACTTCTGTCATTTTGTTATTTGTTTTCTCTATGTTTCTAGCTTTTTTGTTTCTAATTACTCCATTGCTGCTTTCTTTTGTGTTTAGTTGATTTTTCTTAGTGACATGTTTTGACTCCCTTCTCATTTCCTTTTGTATATATTCTATAGATATAATTTTGTGACTACTATAGTGAATACATATAAGATCCTAAAGTTATAACAATGTAATTTGAATCAATGCCAACTTAACTTCAATTGAGTACAAAAATTCTACTCCTATACAGCTCTGCTCTCCCCTCTCACTTTATGTTATTGATGTCCTGAATTACATCTTTATATTGTGTACTTATATTAGTTTCCTAGGGCTGCTGTAACAAATGGTCACAAATTGGGTGACTTAAACAAGAAAAACTTATTGTCTCACAATTTGGGAGGCTAAAAGTCTGAGATCAACATGTCAGTAGGGTTGCATCTTTCTGAGGTGGTAAGAGAATATGTTCTATGCTTCTCATCTAGCTTCCGGTACTTCTGGAAAAATTTGAAATTCTTTGACTTGTAGAAATGTTATCCTAATCTCTGATTTCATCTTCTTATGTCATTCTGTCTGTCTCCAAATTTTCCCTCTTTATAAGGACACCAATGATATTGGATTAGGGGTCACCCCACTTTATTATTACCTCATCTTAACTAATTGTATCTGCAATGGCTTTATTTCCAAATAAGGTCACATTCTGGGGTACTGAGGGTTAGGATTTCAACATACGAATTTTGAAGGGACATAAATCAACTCACAGCATTGTTTAATGATACAGCTTTATAATAATTTTTAAATGTATTTTCTCTTTTAAATCCTTTAGCAGAGCTCTTTACTTCTTCATAAAGCTTTAAGTTACATCTAACACTCTTTAATTTTGACCCAAAAGGACTTCCCTTTTCATTTCTTGTGGGGGCAAGTCTAAATGGTAATAAATTCTGTTGGCTTTTGTTTATCTGAAAATGTCTTAACTGCTTCCTCATTTTGAAGGAACATTTTGCCAGATATATAATTCTTGGTTGACAGTTCTTTGTCTTTCACCATTTTAAATGTCATCCCACATCCTTCCTATCTCCAGTGTTTCTGATGAAAAATTCAGTGATACTCTTTTTTTTTCTTTTTGTGTTAGTAAAAATCTCACAATTGTGGCATTTTCACTGAAGATTCCTTACTGAGTTGCATCTCTCTTGCTGTTTTCAAGACTCTTTCTTTGTCTTTTGATGGATTGATTATAATGTGTCTTGGTGTGGATCTTTTTGAGCTTATCATACTTGAAGTTTTTTGGCTTCTTGGAGTTGTTGATGTGTGTCTTTTATGAAATTTGGGGTGTTTTGGCCAAGATTTCTTCAATACCTTTCTTCCCCTTTTTCTCTCTCTTCTCTTTCTGAGATCTCCATAATACATATATTAGGCTGCTTCATGGTGAGCCATAGTTCCCTCAGACTCTATTCATTTTCCTTCATTCTTTTTTCTTTCTGTTCTTCAGACTTTATAATTCTAATTGTCCTTGTCTCAAGTTTGCTAATTCTTTCTTCTACTTGTTCAAATTAGCTGTTGAATCTCTGGTGAATATTTATTTCAATTTTTAGTTTTCAACTACAGAATTTCTTTTTTTTTTTTTTGAGATGGAGTCTTGCTCTGTTACCCAGGCTGGAGAGCAGTGGTGCAATCTCGGCTCACTGCAACCTCTGCCTCCTGGGTTCAAGCAATTCTCCTGCCTCAGCCTCCCAAGTAGCTGGGACTACAGTGTGTACCACCATGCCCAGCTAATTTTTTTATTTTTAGTAGAGACAGGGTTTTACCATGTTAGCCAGGCTGGTCTTGAACTCCTGACCTCAAGTGATCTGCCCGCCTTGGCCTCCCAAATTGCTGGGATTACAGCCATGAGTCACTGTGCCTGGCCAGAATTTCTGTTTGGTTTCTTTTTATAATTTCTATATCTTTGTTGATATTCTCATTTTGTTCATATGTCTTTTGTCTTAGTCTGTTTGGGCTAGTTTAACAAAATACCATGAACTGCGTAGCTTATAAACAACAACAACAGAAATTTATTTTTCACAGTTCTGGAGACTGGGAAGTTCAAGATCAAGGAGGCAAATCAAGATCAAATCAAGGAGATTTGCTGCCTGGTGAGGACCTGTTTCCTGGTTCATTGACAGCCATCCTTTTACTGTGTTTTCAGAGGACAGCATGGCTAAGAGGCCTTTTTTTTTTTCTTTTTTTTTTGAGATGGAGTTTCGCTCTTGTTGCCCAGGCTGGAGTGCAATGGCGCAATCTTCGCTCACCACAACCTCTGCCTCCCAGGTTCAAATAATTCTCCTGCTCAGCCTCCCGAGTAGCTAGGATTACAGGCATGCGCCACCATGCTCAGCTAATTTTGTATTTTTAGTAGAGACAAGGTGTCTCCATGTTGGTTAGGCTGGTCTCAAACTCCCGACCTCAGGTGATCCTCCTGCCTCAGCCTCCCAAAGTGCTGGGGTTACAGGCGTGAGCCACTGTGCCCAGCCAAGAGGCCACTTTTATAAGGAAATTTGTCATAATTACCGAATTACCTCCCAAAGGCCTCCCTTCCTAAGATCTTGGAGGTTAGGATTTTAACATATGAATTTTGGGTAGACACAAATATTCAAACCAAAGCATTCTTTTCCTGATTTCCTTTACTTCTTTTTTCTTTAGGTTTTCTTGTTTTAAATCATGTAGAGTTTTGTCTAAGTCTGAAGTCTGGGTTTCCTCAGGAATGGCTCCTGTCAATTTATTTTGTTGTTTTGAATGAGTCGTATTTTCCTGTTTCTTTGTATACTTTGTGATTTTTCAAATTGGGCAAATGCCCAATCATTATAATATGGTAATTCTGGAAAGGACTTTTTTCCCTTTGTCCAGGGTTTGCTGTTTTCTTTTTCTTTTTCTTTTTTCGTTGTTGAAGGCTGTAATAGTCTGTTAGTTTTGAGAGTTTTCTTAACTATTTTTGCAGAGGCTATTGTGTTGGATCACTGAAATCTCTGTTCCATTAGCTTATGTTTAGTTAATGCTTTAACAAAGATTAAACAACAATGTTGTTTAAATGCCAGCAGTTTTGTCAGTGTTTGTAGATTGGCCTTGTCCTAGGGCATTCTTTTCTTTTCTTTTTTTTTTTTTTGAGACAAAGTCTTGCTCTGTTGCCCAGGCTGGAGTGCAGTGGTGCGACCTTGGCTCACTGCAACCTCTGCCTCCCAGGTTCAAGCAATTCTCCTGCCTCAGCCTCCCGAGTAGCTGGGACTACAGGCACGTACTACCACGCCCGACTAATTTTTTGTATTTTTAGTAGAGACAGGGTTTCACCGGGTTAGCCAGGATGTTCTCGATCTCTTGACTTTGTGATCTGCCGGCCTTAGCCTTCCAAAGTGCTGGGATTACAGGCGTGAGCCACTGTGCCCGGCCAGTCCTAGGGCATTCTTTTAACACTTAGCTAAGCTTGTTTTGTGCCTAGGGATCAGGCACAAAGCTTCGAGGTGGAAGCTTAAGGTCTTCTCAGGTCTTTTCTGAGCATGCATCTTGCATGGACATGCACATGGCTTCCTAAATTCTCTCATATATATGGCTGCTTTTGAACGTCTGAATTAGTTAGTCGTACTGCAGCTTCTCCTCTGGGGTTTAGATGGTCTGTTATATATCTTCACCTGTAATTTTTTGTCCCAGGAGTCTGTGGATCTGCAGTCGCCTTGCAGGTTTTATGAGTAGTGCCTACCACTTTTTTCACCTGAGTTCTGAGTTAGGCAAAACAGAGACTATCTCTTTGTTTCAGTTTTTCAAGTATCTGCCAGAACAGACATACATAGTAATTTGTGAACAAGATCTGCTATGCTCCTTCTGGTTCAAGAAAGGGTACTGGGAACTAGGCTGTTGCCAGTTCAAGACCAAAACCACATAATGGAGAAGGGTGGGGTAAGACTCAGTAATAAATAATGTCAGAAAACTTTCCTACCATTTTGAAGATGGCTTTTTCTTTTTATTTCTTTTTTTTTTTTTTTTTTGAGACGGAGTCTTGCACTGTCACCCAGGCTGGAATGCAGTGGCGTGATCTCCTCTCACTGCAAGCTCCACCTGCCGGGTTCACGCCTTTCTCCTGCCTCAGCCTCCCGAGTAGCTGGGACTACGGGTGCCCGCCACCATACCCGGCTAATTTTTTGTATTTTTAGTAGAGACGGGGTTTCACCGTGTTAGCCAGGATGGTCTTGATCTCCTGACCTCGTGATCCACCCGCCTTGGCCTCACAAAGCACTGGGATTACAGGCGTGAGCCACTGCGCCTGGCTGGCTTTTTCTTGATTGGACATTTGCTTGGTGGCTGTCAACTTTGTTTTCCAGAGTTCTGATAAAGTTGGTTCAAAGAGTTTCTGCTTCTTTTCCCCTCATATGTTTCTGTGGGGAAATAAAAGCTTCACCCTTCCTAGCCTGCCATTTTGCTGATATTCTCTTCAACAGAGTTTTGCCTTCACTTGGACTTTCACCAAAGGGCAGCAGAGGACTCGGCATGTAACCTAAATGAAGGTGTGTGCAATCACAATATAACGGTGGGAACAGAGACACTCTTGGCCACTGTAAAGAAACTTGGAATAGGAACTTGGGTGGAGAGTTGGGATTTTATAGATGAGGAATCTAGGAGGATATTGAATGACAGTTGAGAACAGAGAAGCTTATAAAACAAAGTTTTGTCCAGGTAGTAAATTGCTTGGGGAGCTTGTGCTTGCTGACAGTAAGGGACAGCTGCAATTACATGCTATGAATGGTTGGGTCTGATTTCTGGTTGCAAATTAATTCTAGCTTATGAAGGATCCTGAGCAATGCCAAAAGTGACCAAGTAGAAGAATATGTGAAAAGAATGAGATGACTGGTTCTGGTATTAAACTAGAGCCTCTCCTCAGGGTTCAGAGAACCTGTCTAATTTACTGTATTCCTTATGGCACCTTACATATCAGCTTGTTTCACCCTGCCTGTGCTTGCCAGTCATATCTCAGAAGTGACTGGGGGAGGTAAGCCTCTGGTGATTGTCTCCATTTCTCCATCACTGCACTCTTTTCCCCATCAGCAGTGTCCCCTGCTTCTCCTCTTAGTGTTCTTTTCTACTACTTATCCTCCTTTGCCTCCTACTTCCTCTGAGGAAATATGCTCCAAATAAATAATCTGCTGAATGAATTCACACTAAGGTGGGCATGGTCAATAAAACTTGAGTGTAAACCTTCCCAGGGGCTACTTGCATTTTAATAGAAGCTTACATTTCAAGAAAAAAGAAAAAAAGTTCTAATTATGAAACTCCACATGCTAGCTGTTTCATAGGAAAGAGACTTTTTAGAGGACCTGGTCCCAACTCAGAATTTCTGTTTTCCAGGTACAATCTAATCCAAAAGGTCAAGATAAGGACATTCTAAATCAAAAAAGAGCTTTAGAAAACCAACATTTTCCTCCCGATATGAAAAGAAGATCTGGGGCTGATTTGAGCTGTGATATCGTTGGATAATGACCTTTTACACCTTTCCAGCCAAAGACACCAGGGATAAAACCAAGACCTTGCCATATTGAGAAGTTAGGCCAGGGGGATTTTCACCTTGCTACAGAAAAAGAAAGGCTGATGAGCAGGAATAGAACAGATCTAATTTAGGATCTTGGCTATTTAGAGGCTAATAAGCAGGCTCCATATGTTTATATGGCCTTTCTTCCTACTCATTGTTAGAAAATCTTCTTTGGGAAACAGTGTACCAAGTGGGGAGGTGCCAATGCTAGAAGAATGGGTACCAGAAAATAAGAGCAATAAGAGCTAAGAGTGGGAAATACATATCACCATGATTGATTTAACCTCTCCCGGCCTCTGTTCTTTCATCTGTAGTGTGGGAACAACACTATCTACTGAAGACAGTTAGAACCCTTTTTCTTTAATAGAGATGTGGTCTTGCTATATTGCCCAGGCTGGTCTCGAACTCCTAGCCTCAAGTGATCCTCCCACCTCGGCCTCCCAAAATGTTGGGATTACAGGCATGAGCCACCACACCTAGCCTTTCAGAATTTTGAATAATGATTAGGAAGACCTTCCCCATTCCAAGATTATAAGACTCCTCCCATGTTTTCTTCTAATACTTTTATGGTTTCATTTTTACATTTAGATCTTTTTCCATTTGGATCATATCCTTGTGTATGGTGGGAGGTGGGGCTCCTACTTTCATGTGTTTCCAGAGGCCTATCCCGTTTCCTTACAACATGTGTTGAACAGTCCATCTTTCCCCACTGATTTGTAAAGCCATCTTTAAAGGATGCAGCTTAAAGAAAATTAATGGCCAAAGTATTTATCATTATTGGAGAGATACATTAGAATTATTCTTGTAGTTTATAAAGAGCTTCCCTGTGCCTGTCTCATTTTATTTTTTGTTTTTGTTTATTTGTTTTTGGACTGCCCATGCCTGGAGAACATAGTGGGACTCCATCTCTACAAAAAAATTAAAAAATTAGCTGGGCATGGTAGCGAGTGCCTGTAGTCCCAGCTACTCAGGAAGCGGAGGTGGGAGGACTGCTTGAACCCAGGACGTCAAGGGTGCAATGTGCCATGATTGAGCCACGAAACTCCAACCTGGGCAAGAGAATGAGAACCTGCCTGAAAAACAAAAACAAAAACACACAATCAAAATTCTGAGCCCATAAAAAATATGATTGATAAGTGTAACTGCATCAAAATTAAAGTTTTTGTATGGTGAAAAACATCATTAGAAAGAAAGTAAAAAAACAAACAAACAAAAAAAGAAAGAAAGTCAAAAGGCAATCAAGGCAATCAACAAACTGGGAAAAAAAGGTGCATTGGAGCTGGCCTGCACTTATATGAGCTGATTGTTACGTTTTCAGGAATTTTGCAAGCTGGTTGTCACAGTTATTATTAAAAATTAAATTATAGAAACTTTAAAGTATGTTAGAATCAAAAGTAATAAATACTGAAAAACTCATCACTTCCTAATTATTTAACTACATTTTGCTATCATTAATGCTTGAGGTTTATTGTTTTTTGTTTTTTTTTTTTTTGAGATGGAGTCTCACTCTGTTGCCCAGCTGGAGTGCAGTGGCATGACCTTGGCTCACTGCGTCTTCCGCCTCCTGGGTTCAAGCAATTCTCCTGCCTCAGCCTCCCAAGTAGCTGGATTACAGGTATGTGCCACCATGCCTGGCTAATTTTTGTATATTTAATAGAGACAGGGTTTCACCATGTTGGCCAGGCTGGTCTTGAACTCCTGACCTCATGTAATCCACCCGCCTCGGCCTCCCAAAGTGCTGGGATTACGGGTGTAAGCCACCGCGCCTGGCCACATCTATTGTTGTGTTTGTGTTGTACAAATACAAATGTGTATTTGTATTGTATTGTGTATATAATTGTGTGCTGCTGCACATTTCTTCTGAACTCCACATTCAGTGACATAATGTCGGTAGCTTGAAATTGTCCATCATGGGGCTATTTACACAATGGAAATTGGCAAGTGCTATAAAGCTGAGTTCATTTTTCCCAGAGAGCCATTGTTATTTACCAACACACCACTGGAAAAAAGTGTTTGCAACATGCATGACAAAGAAAAGGCTAATCTCTATACAACGTGCTCCTATAAGCCAAGTATTGAAAGACTACTAACGTAATATAAACATAAGAAATGTATGAATAGTCCATTCCTAGAAATGAAAAGGTGTTCTGCCTCACAGCAAGAGAAACACAAAGCAGAACCGTACTGAGATGTGATTTTTAACCTATGATGGGCAAAAGTTTAAGTAAGTTTGATAAAACTATTGGCAAGGCTGTGGGGAAACAGGGATTCTTTTACCTTACTGCTGTGCATATAGATTACTAAAGCCCCTTTGGAGGCAATTTGGTTATATGTTTGCATATGTAAGTAAAATTACCTGCAGGCACAGTGGCTCCTGCCTATAATCCCAGGGCTTTGGGAGGGTGAGGCAGGGGGAGCGCATGAGGCCAGGACCTCAAGACCACCCTGGGTGTCTCTAGAAAAAATATAAAAAATTAGCCAGGTGGTGGCATGTGCCTGTAGTCCCAACTACTTTGGAGGCTGAGGCAGGAGGATCACTTGAGCCCAGGAATTTGAGGTTACAATGAGCTATGATCATAACACTGCTCTCCAGCCTGGGTGACAGAGTGAGACCCAGTCTCTCATAATAATAATAGTAATAAACCAAAATTACAAGTCCGTGGACTCTTTGACCCAGCAATTCTGTTTTTGAGAACTTATGCTATCTTTTTTTTTTTTTTTTTGAGACGTAGTCTCACTCTGTCGCCCAGGCTGGAGTGCAGTGGCATGATCTTGGCTTCACTGCAACCTCTGCCTCCTGGATTCAAGCAATTTTCCTGCCTCAGCCTCCCTAATAGCTGGGATTACAGGCACCTGCCACCACGCCTAGATAATTTTTGTATTTTTAGTAGAGATGGGGTTTCACCATGTTGGTCAGGCTGGTCTCGAACTCCTGACCTCAAATGATCCACCCACCTCGACCTCCCAAATTGCTGGGATTACAGGCGTGAGCCACTGTGCCCGGCCTAGACCTTTGTTTTTTGATAGAATTGGAAACAACACAGATGTCCATCCATATTGTCTGGTTTAATAAATTTTGGAATGCCCATGCAAATGGAAATAACGAGAACTGTAAAAATAATGGAACATGGCCGGGTGCGGTGGCTCACGCCTGTAATCCCAGCACTTTGGGAGGCCGAGGCGGGCGGATCACCTGAGGTCAGGAGTTCGAGACCAGCCTGACCAACATGGAGAAACCCCATCTCTACTAAAAATACAAAATTAGCCGGGCATGGTGGCGCATGCCTGTAAGCCCAGCTACTCAGGAGGCTGAGGCAGGAGAATCGCTTGTACCTGGGAGGCAGAGGTTGCAGTGAGCCGAGATTGCTCCATTGCATTCCAGCCTGGGCAACAAGAGCGAAACTCCATCTCAAAATAAATAAATAAATAAATAAATAAAATAATGGAAGGCACTCTCCACGTTGAGTGTGGAAAAATTTCAAAGTTACGTTATTAAGTGAAAAAGCAAGGTTAATATCAAAGTGTTGTGTTATCTTTTGCATAATAAAAATAAAAATCTATTTGTATTTGATTTGCATAAACAAAATCTGGAAGGATAAATAAGAGACTACTAATGAAAATGGTTAAGTGGGGAGTCCGATGTGCAGGATGTGGGAACTGGATGGGTAGGGAATGAGATAAGATCAAGACTTGGCAACATCATTTTGGACTAAAATGTTGAGCTATGTCAACATATTATCTTTTTATAAAATTAAATGAAATAAAAGAAACTTCGTTAGAGACCATTTGATTGTTCAGTTCACTGGTCACTCAATACACAGTTATTGAGCATCTACCATGTGGCAGGCACTGTTCCAGGAACTGTGCCCAGAAGACAGGCACCAGATTATACAAGTCGTGATCTACTTAAAGCTCAAGAGTTTGTGTCTTTAATCACAGAAACCACCCTTTGAATGCCACAGATTCCATTATGCCCACCCAATAGTTTCCTCCCAACCCATCCAGTCTCTTATCCATGACCTCACCATGGTAACAATATCCCCCATGGCCATTCAGATCTAGTAACAATTTAATGTTTGTCTTTTCTGTGTATGTTTTGTGTGTATATTTTTACATCTTGATTGTCTTTCTTTTTTTGAGCATGTTGTTCCATCTGGTTGGTAGAATATGATATGAAAAGGTCAGGACTTTAATTTTATGGACCATTTAGCTTCATTTGGAATGAGAATAAAGCTCCCATGACGAGAGATTTACCCGTCAATCTGAGCCAGAGGCTTAGCAGATGTCGGCACGTCCTCGATCACTGGAGGTCAGAGCAGGAGATCCTAGATGGTTTGCTCCCTTCAAACCTATTATCATTACCAGGAATGTCATCAGTAGAACACAACTTTTAGATAGTTTGGCAGAGGTATTATATTCGTAAATAAAAGTAAATATGTCTGTGTGGGTGCACTTGTGTATGCATGTGTGATGTTTTGCAATCTCCTTGAGGGCAGCAGAAACAATGATGAAACGTACAAGCATAATCCCAGAAATTGACAAAGCACATTCCCTCACATCTTTCATGTCTGCGTTCATATACCATCTTCTCAGAAAGCCTTTCCCTGACCACCACTAGAAAGTAACTCACCTGAATTTTTGTCTGTTTTGTCCACTCTTGCACTCTCTTTCATCCTAGCTCTTACTGTATTTTTTCCTTTTTTGCAATTGCTTACTAGATGGTGAGCTCCTTAGAGGGAAGTATAGTACATATTTCCTCCATGTCTCCAGTACCCAACACAGTGCCTGACGTTGAGAGGGCTCTTAATAAGTGTTTGTGAAAGACTGGTAGAGCAATGCCCTATGAAACAAGAAGCTGGATAACACTGTAAGTATTTCTTTGGTTTGGGGGAATTGGAGTCTAAAGGGCATGCTTTGTTTTCCGGTTGGGTGGGCTGGTGTACTGCTGGGTGTTTTTGGTAAATGTGAAGATTTCCTCCTGCCTAGTTAGCCTGCACTCTGCATGCATGCCATACACAAGGCAGCTGGCTCACCACAGTGGACTGTGACAGTTCACAGCTCCCTGCCAGCCAGTTAGACTGTCCCATCAATCTGTCCCAGAAGCTCCCACACCCTCTCATCTGACAGTAATTCAATCCTTTCCTTGGATTTCTCTGATCACCCGCCCTGTGTTCTTCTCTCTCCTGTCCCTTGCTGTCTGAGCTGCTCAGACTTCAGCAGCCATATGGACTAAAGCAAAAGTGAGTTCATCCACAGAGCATGTGCTTGGGCAGCCAAGTCCTCCAGGTTTGAATAAAATGACCCAACGCATTTGGTATTCACTGGGCAGTCACACAGGGACATGTCCATTCTAGGATGTCCCTCATAAAGGCCAGATGCTGCCTCAGCCAGATTCGCCTAAGTTCTTTGATTGGGACTCCTGGTGGCAGGCATGGGAGGTCAAACTCCTTCCACTTTCCCGTCCTATCCGCGCCTCCCAATTCCTCATTCTCCTAACCACTGGTTTTGCCTTAATGATGAATTCCAACAAGAATTCCCATTCCCAATTCCATTTGGATTCTTCCCAAAGTGAAATCCCTCACCTGGTCTATAGCTGCAAATTGAAAAGACTCAAATTATGGCTTTTATAGACAACGTACTACTGTATTTCTTGGGGGCAAAGAACTGGCACTGGCTAATGAGTTATATTCCAATGTACAATGCCCTCTGATTGTGTATTATATATTAGCACTCTGGGATTGAAAGAGACAATTGTGTCGTGTTTGCCCATTAATCGGGAATACTCATCTCAGCTGCGCTGTGTTGCATGCCAGCCAAACTTGTCATTCTCATACCCAACAGCTTTTAATTGTTGTGTTGCCCTTTCATGGTAACCTTTCTCAGAGTTTGGAGAGCAAAAACAGAGTCCTACCTAAATATCAGCTCCTTCCCACTCTGAGAAAAAAAAAGAATCCATTTAGATGGAAAGGATTTGGGTTTTCTCATTCCCAGAGGCTGACAATGCTTCAGCGATTTCCAGTACCCAGCAAGTCTAAATGCTAGCTATGGGATTGCTTCTTCTAGTAAAGTTAGGAAATATATCATACAAGAAAAGGGCTCCCATGACCTCACAGTAAGCTGGAGACTAAAATAGAAGAAATGCCTTAAAAATCATTGTCGAGACCCAATTCAATGCAAGTAACAGAAAAATCTAAATCAAACTGTCTTAGGTGAACATTTTTATTCACTCATATAACTGAAAAGACCCGGGATAGTAGTGCTTCAGCCTATCTAGATTCAGGGCTTGAAAATCTCTTCAAGACTTGGTCCCATCCTTGCCACATGTTTGCTCTTCTGTTGCCATATAAACTTCTGGTCAAGGGAGCTTTATTCTCCTTCTTGCCCATCTTGTGGCAAGATTGCGGCCAGCAGGTCAGTGGCAGGCTCTGAGCTCTAGTGGAAGTCCCAAGATTGAGTCTCACTGGACTAGTTTGGCTCATGGTTCTTGTTCTGAGCCAATCACGTTGCCCACGGGGAATGGAGCCTGAAAATTGGCCAGACGTAGGTCACTCTTGCCCCTAGACATGGAAGGGTTAAATCCATCCACCCAAACCACGAAAACTGCAATGAGAGGTGGTGGTGGTTCTCCAGGAAAATCCACGGGCTGTTACCAGAAAAATGGGGAACAGATGCTGAACAAGCAAGAAAAACAGAGGTACTGTCTCTTCATCTCAGCTTCAAGAATGAAGGTTGAATGTGTTTGTAGGTTGGTAATGTAAGTTAATGTCTTCTCCCAGAACCCTGTCCAGAATAAAGAGTACCGTTTACTGAGTGCTGGGCCCTGTGCCCAGTGTGGTACGTCCTTTCATTTAATCCTTACGCCTGCCCTGCCCTATGATGGGCCCCCGTTTCTAAATAAGGGAAGGAGGCATAAGGAGATTAAATGTCATGCTTGAAGCTACACAACTGCTAAAGACTGAGTCGTTATTTAACCGTGGTCTGACTGCAAAGCCCATGTTTATTCTCCTTTTGTGTATTTCCCAAACTTGCCTATTCACAAGACTCTCTGGGGGGTGTTTGTGAAAAACACAGGTTCTCAGGCGCTCCTCCTGGGAGATTCTGATTCAGAAAGTCTGGGCAGAAGTCTGAGCATCTCTTTTAACAGGTGTGCTCAGTAATCCTTATAATTAGACAAGGTTGAAAATGCATAATATACTGCCTCCCACAGGTTAAAAAATAGCTGACACGGCCTTTGCACAAACCTATCCCCCTTTCTCTGCTCTTCCTTTCCCGACAGAAGACCTGAGGGGATTGCTGGCATTGCTGTAGCTGCCCATCATGTTTACTCCACTCTCTAGAATGGTGCTCTGCAAAGATGGGGTGCATAAGAGGTCCAACCGATGTATGGGAGGCAATGTTTCTTTTCTGTCTATTTCTATTTAATTTTTACCCTAAAAGAAAAAAAAATTCAGCTTTACAAAGATTTAATATCCAAACTAACACTAGTATTCTTTTTTTTTTTTTTTTTTTTGAGACGGAGTCTTGCTTTCTCACCCAGGCTGGAGTGCAGTGGTGCAATCTCGGCTGACTGCAACCTCTGCCTCCTGGGTTCAAGCGATTCTCTTGTCTCAGCCTCCTGAGTAGCTGGGACTACAGATGTGCACCACCATGCCCGGCTAATTTTTTTTTTTGTTTGTATTTTTAGTACATACGGCGTTTCACCTCGTTAGCCAGGATGGTCTCGATCTCCTGCCCTCGTGATCTGCCCGCCTGGGCCTCCCAAAGTGCTGGGATTACAGGCGTGAGCCACCGCTCCCGGACAACACTAGTATTCTTACTCAATCATGAGCCCAGGGCCATATATGGTGCCTGAGGTGAGAAGAGTATCCCACAATAGGGGGGATAATGGTGCTCCCACTCATTTGTGAGCTTCCAGGCAATTGATAATTTATCTGTATTGAAATGAAATTACAGATTATTTATTCACTCTCTTGTCCCCTGAAGTTGCCAGTCATAGAGACAAGTACGGTTTCAGAGACACATTTTACAAAATCATCAACACACATACAGTCCTTATATTATACAAACTGTTTCAGAGCATAGAAAAGGGGAAAACCTACCCAGATCTTTTTACAAAATTGGTATAACTTTGATTCTAAAGCTGACAAGAACAAGAAAGTAATCTATTAATCACACTTAAGAGTGTAGATGCAGGCCGGGCACGGTGGCTCATGCCTGTAATCCCAGCACTTTGGGAGGCCAAGGCGGGTGGATCACCAGGTCAGCAGATCGAGACCATCCTGGCTAACATGATGAAACCCTGTCTCTACTAAAAATACAAAAAAAATTAGCCAGGCATTGGAAAGGTTGATATTGGCTAAGATTGCACAGGATGCCACGAACAGAGGCAAGTGCCCCAGAGACTCCACTTTCATTCCTAACTGTTCTCAAATTAATGCTCATGATTGAGTATTCTCAATGCAACTTGTAGAGTTTGATAAGTAAAAGTTACATGCCCCTGTGTTCCTAGCAAGATATTCACTGTTATCAAAGACAAGAGGCAGACCATTCATTCATTCTCAAAACACTGAATGCCATTCTGTGCCTAGTGCTATACAAGGCATGGGAGATTCAGTGTGAATAAGTCTTTGCTCTCCACCTAACAAGGGACAGTTTTAATTATAGGTTGTCTTCCTATTAAGTATGAGTTTTAGTAGGCATTAAAAATTAGTTTGATAATATGAGACCCAACCCTAACTTGCCAGAAGAATAATCAGTTCGTGAGCCATTGATATTTCCTGTATATTTGATGAATGTGACTTCAGTCATTCTAGTGTTAATACTGTGGAATGTCATTGGTGTAGCAACGTGGGTTCACCAAAACACCTCTTTATACAAAGGACAGATGCGTGAATTAAAGAGATTAAAGGATTATAAAA
Organism: Homo sapiens; assembly: GCF_000001405.40. NCBI lineage: Eukaryota > Metazoa > Chordata > Mammalia > Primates > Hominidae > Homo > Homo sapiens. The sequence goes on from NC_000011.10 coordinate 130,373,094, forward strand.
AAATTAGCCGGGCGTGGTGGCCGGTGCCTGTAGTCCCAGCTACTCCGGAGGCTGAGGCAGGAGAACTGCGTGAACCCGGGAGGAGGAGCTTGCGGTGAGCCGAGATCGCACCACTGCACTCCGGCCTGGGTGACAGAGCGAGGCGCCGTCTCAAAAAAAAAAGAAAGAAAGAAGTAGATGTAAAAATCCTAAATAAAATATTAGCAAATTTAGTTAAGCAGTGTATTAAAAATAGTGGGTAGCCAGTACTTTACATAAATAAATAGGATTCCTGGGGTATAATCATGAAGTAGTATTATTTTTCTCCTGTGATTGCACTTGGGTTTTCTTTGTTTTTAGTTTTTAGAAAGAGTCTTGCTGTGTGGCTCAGCCTGGAGTGCAGTGGCGCCGTCTCGGCTTGCTACAACCTCTGCTTCCTAGGTTCAAGAGATTCTCATGCCTCAGCCTCCCGAGTTGCTGGGACTACAGGCCACGACTAAGTTTTGTATTTTTAGTAGAGATGGGGTTTCACCATGTTGGCCGGGCTGGTCTCGAACTCCTGACCTCAGGCAATCTGCCCACCTCAGGCTCCCAAAGTGCTGGGATTACAGGCGTGAACCACCGTGTCCTCCACACTTGTAAGCTGAATAGATGGCAAGTTCTTTCTTGTCTCTGAATGAAATCTCTGCCAGGTGTCACTGACTTTTCTGGCCACTCTGAATAAAAAGTCCTCTGACCATGAAAACCAGTCTCAGTTCATGGATTAAGATATCTAGGCCAGGCACAGTGGCTCACGCCTGTAATCCCAGCACTTTGGGAGGCTGAGGCGGGTGGATTACTTGAGGTCAGGAGTTCAAGACCAGCATGGCCAACATGGTGAAACCCCGTCTCTACTAAAAATACAAAAATTAACTGGGCATGGTGGTGCACACCTGTAATCCCAGCTACTTGGGAGGCTGAGGCAGGAGAATCACTTGAAACCAGGAGGCAGAGGTTGCAGTGAGCCGAGATGGCGCCATTGCACTCCAGCCCGGGCAACAGAGCGAGACTCCATCTCAAAAAAAAAAAAAAAAAAAAAAAGAAAAGAAAAAGATATATGTCCCAGGTAGTTGTCAAAACTTCCAACATCACAAAGCATAAGTTATCTTGGCCCCTACCTGAGCCTGCAGCGGGCGGAGAGCCCGCAGTGGGAATGGAGGGTGTGGTATGTGTCTCATCTGTCTTCCTCAGTGGTGTTTTCTCCTCCTACCCATGAATTCTTTAGGTGGCCTCTGACTCCTATAGGTTGAAACAGGGTCACGCCAGTAATCCCAGAACTTTGGGAGCCCGAGGCGGGTGGATCACGAGGTCAGGAGATCGAGTCCATCCTGGCTAACACAGTGAAACCCCGTCTCTACTAAAAATACAAAAAATTAGCTGGGCGTGGTGGCATGTGCCTGTAGTCCCAGCTACTCGGGAGTAGCTGCCTCTCGGCTGAGGCAGGAGAATCGCTTGAACCCGGGAGGTGGAGGTTTCAGTGAGCCAAAATTGCACCACTGCACTCCAGCTTGGGCGACAGAGGGAGATTCCGTCTGAAAAAAAAGAAACGGAAGGGAGAGGGGGCAACAGGAAGGTCCTACTCGCACAGCACTGACGTGAGCTGGCATTAGAACTCCCTGAGCTGGGCGGAAGTTTAAAGTTAACTTTTTGTAGCATGGAGCACTTTGTGAACTTTTTTTGAGATCATGTCCCTCCACCCACCACCTGGCCCCTCCCTTTTTGGGAATCTCTCACCTGTCATTTCATTCTTGCAGGAGAATGCATCTTTTCTAAGTCTTCCCTTAGCAGCTCAGTGTTTAGCTCTCGTTCTAGTTCCAGTATTTTTTTTTTTTTTTGAGATAGGGTTCGGCTCTGTTGCCCAGGCTGAAGTGCAATGGCACAATCTTGGTTTACTGCAACCTCCACCTCCTGGGCTTAAACCATCCTCCTATCTCAGTCTCCTTAGTAGGGATTTCAGGTGCATGCCACCATACCAGACTAATTTTTGTATTTTGGGTAGAGACGAGGTTTCGCCATGTTGCCCAGGCTGGTCTCAAACTCCTGGCCTCAAGTGATCCTCCTGCCTCAGCATAGCTCTAGTTTTCTAGAAGCTGGTCCTCTTAGCTGGATCTAGGAAACTTTACAATGGCAAACACTCTCTTAGGGCTCACAACTGGCCCATGGAAGATATTTTCATACTTTGCTCAGATAAACTCTGGGAACGTGGAAATTCCCCAGTGCCTCTCTTTGCTGAGGGTAGTACTGCCCTCAGAGCGACTACCAGCCAGTCCCCCATCCTTTAGAGTTCTCAGATGTTAGATACTGTCTTCTCTGTCCTTCGTGCTCTGGGAGACTCTGAGGAAGAGCAAAAGGCCAAGAAGACTAAATTCCATTTTTAAAAAGAAGATGGTGGGACTTGTTCTGTGACATCATAAGACTTATTTAAACTATAGAAATAAGAACATAGTGGGATGGTGCAAGAATTGGAAAATAAGTCAATGGAATAGGATAGGAACCCAGAACATCCTCACATGGATGTGGACATTTACTATATGATAAAGATAGAATTAAAAATTGGCCAGGCGTGGTGGCTCATGCCTGTAATCCCAGCACTTTGGGAGGCCGAGGTGGGTGGAACATGAGGTCGGGAGTTCAAGACCACCCTGGCCAAGATGGTGAACTCCCATCTCTACTAAAAATACACAAATTAACCGGGCATGGTGGTGCTCACTTGTAATCCCAGCTACTCGGGAGGCAGAGGCAAATAATTTCTTGAACCCCGGAGATGGAGGTTGCAATGAGCAGAGATCATGCCACTGCATTCCAGCCTGGGTGACAGAGCGAAACTCTATCTCAAAAAAAAAAAAAAAAAAAATCAATGAGAAAATAATGAACTGTTTAATACGTGGTGCTTGGAAAATCAATTATCCATATGGAAAAACACAAAATTAGAACCCTGTCCTACATAACAGGTGGGTTAAAAATCCTACAAGTAGGCTGGGCACAGTGGCTCATGCCTGTAATCCCAGCACTTTGGGAGGCTGAGGCTGGTGGATTGCCTGAGGTCAGGAGTTAGAGACCAGCCTGGCTAACATGGTGAAACCCCGTCTCTACTAAAAATACAAAATAATTTGCCGGGCATGGTGACGGGTGCCTGTAATCCCAGCTACTTGGGAGGCTGAGGCAGGAGAATCGCTTGAACCCAGGAGGTGGAGGTTGCAGTGAGCCGAGATGGCACCACTGCACTCTAGCCTGGGTGACAGACTGAGACTCCATCTCAAAAAATAAAAGAAATAAAAAGAAAAAGGGAGGGCAGTAAAACCTGGGCGATGTCTGCACAGGAAGTCTCAATTATGTTTGCAAAGCTTAATTAAAAAAACACAAATCCTGAGGTAGATCTCTAAATCCCATTTCCCTTGGTGAAATGGCTGGTTCCAGGTTTGGGGCAAGATATGCACATGATGAGCATTGGAGAACTTGTTTTGCCAGGAAGTGAAGAAGCACTCTGAGACTACTTGGGATCGTGTCGAAACAGCAGAGGACCCACTTTGAATGGGTTCCCACTGGCTGAAGTGGGGCAATTTCTGCATCAAAAAGGATAGTAGTAATACAATGGATTAAAACCTATCAAATACATAAAAATCATGACTTCACAATGATTCCTAAAAATAATCATAAAGCCAAGCAACCTAATGGCTTGTCTTTGGAGGTTACGGTTGGGGTTTATTATTCTGAAAATGAATGAATAATGAGAAAGCATTTATTTTACCTTTCCTATGACAACTATATTTTAGAAAAATAAGTAGTTGATAAAAGTAGTTCCTGCCTATATAGAATTCCAACTTATCAATGCAGGAGAAATTACAGATTTTTAAAAAATTACCTCCAATGAAATAATTGATCTAGGGCTGGGTGCAGTGGCTCATGCCTGTAATCCTAGCACTTTTGGAGGCCAAGGCAGGAGGGTCACTTGAGGTCAGGAGTTTAAGACCAGCCTGGGCAACATGGCAAAACCTCGTCTCTACCCAAGATATGAAAATTAGCGGGGTGTGGTGGCGCATGCCTGAAGTCCCTACTAGGGAGGCTGAGATAGGAGGATGGTGTGAGCCCGGGAGATGGAAGTTGCAGTGGACCAAGATCTTGCCATTGCACTTTAGCCTGGGCAACAGAGCCAGACTTGTCTCAAAAAAAAAAAAAAAAAAAAAAGAAAGAAAGAAAGACTTGATCTAGGCAACAAGGCAACATTCAATAATGAGGCTAAAACTATTGGCTGGAATATTGATAGAGAACATTATAATGGAAGGGCCGGGCTGACCTCACCTATACCCCATGATCAATCTATGATCAATCTTAGCCTCCCTACAAGTAGGGCGGCTCAAACACTATGTGCCTCATGGTGTAATGCAACAGGAAACATCATTTATACTTTCTTGCCTAAACAACTGAACCTGATTGTATCATCTTTAGAATTTGCTACTAGTTTACAGGAAATATGAGTGACAGAAGAATGACTTAAATGACAAGAATACAGTCAGCTAAATCAAAAAGGTGGGACATTCCATTGGAAAGATGACCCAGTTTTTCTCCAATAATTATGCATTATTCTCCAACCAAGATGGCATTAGAAAAAAAGGGAGGGTGGATTTTTGGGATAAAATAGACTGAGAAGAGATAACAAATGCTATGTGAGACCCTTGTTTCCCTCCCAATTTGAGCAAATCAACAATAAAAACACAATTTGAGAAAATCAAGGAAATATGCATATGGATTCGTATTAGAAGACATTAAGGAATTATTATTTTTGTTATGTATGATGAAAGTATAGTGATTATGTTTAAAAAATATCTTTCTCATCTATATAAGGACACATTAGAGTGTAATGAAGGAGCCTGGGAAATTTTGCCTCCAAACATGGCACTCTAGCATGCTGATTATTTTAAATGAAAGGTCCTTGAAAGTAAGCAGACACTGAAAGATGGTATGCTCTGATATTCTCTTATCTACTTTAAGATTTGACCCTTGGCCAGGTGCAGTGGCTCACGCCTGTAATCCCAGCACTTTGGGAGGCTGAAGTGGGAGGATCACTTGAGGTCAGGGGTTTGACACTAGCCTGGGCAACATAGTGAGACCGCATTTCTACAAATATTAAAAAAGAAAAAAGAAAAAGTACTGGACCATCCAAAGAAAACACAATTGCCTTCCGTCCCCTCCCTGAAATCTTATTATCTATGGCAGAAAAGACTGAGGAATGCAACCACACCTGGTTGACTTTTTCACAAGATAACGTCTGCCTCTGTGGCTCATTTGAATTCCAAAAAGAATCATTTACAAGTTAATCTCTGTCTCCCGGGTCCATTCATTCTCCCTAACCATTGTTTACTACCCCTCAGATGCATGGCCTGCATTCTGCATCTCCCTCCACCTACGAAGAAGGGTGCAGAAGCATCTGTATCTCACTGGGTTATGGTAACCATTCTCCTGCGATCCCCCAGTGTTTATGCATGTTAATAAAATTGTATACCTTACAGAAACAAAGTAAAATAACAACAAAAAAATTGTATGCCTTTTTTCCTCTGTTAATCTGTGTATTTATTTATTTATATATTTATTTTTAGACGGAGTCTCGCTCTGTCACCCAGGTTGGAGTGCAATAGCGTGATCTTGGCTCACTGTAACCTCCGCCTCCTGGGATCAAGCAATTCTCCCACCTTAGCCTCCCGAGTAGCTGGGATTACAGGCGCCCGCCACCATGCCCAGGTAATTTTGTATTTTTAGTAGAGATGGGGTTTTGCCATGTCGGTCAGGCTAGTCTTGAACTCCTGACCTCAGGTGATCGCCCGCCTCAGCCTCCCAAAGTGCTGGTATTACAGAGTGGGCCTCCACGCCTGGCCAATCTGTGTACTATCAATTGATTTCAATAGACTTAGACTTGAACCATCATGGGAAAGTTTGAACTTCACTGCAGTAACATAGTGTCATACTAGACCCCTATTGACTCCAATAGAGATGGCATCATGTCCAAGAGGCCAAAGAAAAGATCTAGAGACAGCCAATGAGACATAGGGTTTATTTGGGGGAACTTACATACAGGGATGGTCTATTCGCAGTGGGCTGGACAGGACAACCACTACTATTGGTAAAAAAGCATGCAGTTTATACAGCATTTTCACATAGCATCCTCCACCTAGCAACCGTCACCTACTAACCTCCATTTAATCCCCCAAAAAGGGACTTGATCCCCTGTATTACCTGTGTTCCAAGTGACAGGCCAAAGGTTCAGATGTCCTTCGTGGATTAGGAGTGGATCTCCTGGTTGGCTGCTCCTGGATCCCTTAGCTTGGGACTCTGAACACACATTCTTCTTAGACCGCAGAGTCATTCACAGAGTCATGCTTCAGTGAAGTTATTGCTGTCAGGGGTGCCTGCCACATGCATGGTGAAATGCCTTTCAAATGGTCTTTTACCCCAACGCTTCAGGGAACCTTAAAGAATGAGAAGTAAAAATGAAAATATAAGCTCCCCAACTGACTGAACGGAATCCCTCTTGGCCAAGGGGACCCCAGAGAGACCTTGAAATCTAAGTTCCTGGCCATGATGGGATGGAAGCTCAGAAATGCCTCATTGTATCCCATCCCTCACTAACAACCATTAGGCTTTCTTCCCTAAGGGCTAAACAGAAACTGGCCCTTTCAGAAGAGTATCACTGATTTCCACCAACCACTGACTTCTGACCCTCCCTTTTGCAGTTTCAACACAACAACTGACCGATCTTCCTTACTGATCAGAGACCAGCAACCACAGAGTGGTTCTGGCCAGTCTATGGAGGATGTACAGTGAGGGTCTTCATGTCCTCTGCTTCACCTTTTGATCAGAGGGCTGAATACTCCATCAATGGATCATGGTAATGCCACCATCTTTTGAACATGGGTCCTGTGGAGAGGCATGAAGCTCAATTGTGCATGTGCATGTTTCTCCTTTCATGAATATTCATGACTCCTCCTATAGCTTATTGAATATATATAGGTGGCCACCCCATTCAGCATAAATCCCTGTTTTATATTTCTGACCCTTGGAGTTTCTGTTTCTTTTTGAGACGGAGTCTTGCTCTGTCTCCCAGGCTGGAGTGTAGTGGTACCATCTTGGCTCACTGCAAGCTCCGCCTCCCGGGTTCCAGCAATTCTTCCACTTCAGCCTCCCGAGTAGCTGGGATTACAGGTGCCCACCACCACGACCAGCCAATTTTGTGTATTTTTAGTAGAAACTGGGTTTCACCATGTTGGCCAAGCTGATCTCGAACTCTTGACCTCAAGTGATTTGCCCACCTTGGCCTCCCAAGGTGCTGGGATTACAGGTGTGAGCCACCTTGCCCAGCAAAGTGCCTGTTTCTGGCTTCTGGATGGAGGCTGTGCTTCCCGGCCTGTCCAAATGGTCACCCTGTAGGCCACAACCTTTTATGAGAAATGAAGCTCTCCTTCCCCAAGTTCATGAACCTCATCATTCTTCAGTTTTCATGAACTACATAAACTGGCCAGATGCTTCACTCAAGGGTCTATAATATGAGCACCTCAGTTGGTCTTGCTGGGCGCCACGGCCTGAGAATGTAATACAAACTAGGAGGAGCAGATTTCCTGCTTTCAGTGAGGTGGGTGCCGGAGCAGCGCACTGGAGCAGCACACTGGAGCACCGCACCAGTGTTTGTGGGGCTCAGAGGAGGGCACCAATGGGTGCAGCCATGCGAAGAGCAGTGTCCTGGGGGCCCTTGGAGAGAGGCTCCAGCACCCTTCCAGAGCACCCGTGGGGTGCCTGGGGGCTCCTGGAACCAGAAAGGCAGGGTATGAGGAAGTCTTCTGCTGACGAGGGCTGAGCCCCACCCAGGCTGATGGGGCTTGAGGACATCTGGCCTACACTCACAGAATGTAGATTAGGCATTTTACATACAAGCACAACAGTCCAAACCCTGGGTCACCCCTATTTTACAGTTACGGAAATAAAGGCAGAAAACCATTTAGCTTTTGACCTCTTACAAAGGCTGGGCGAGAACTATCTCCTGCCTCCAGGCTGCTCTCTCACCCCCACCATCCAGTAAATCTTTCTAACTTTCTGCACACCTTTGTCTAACATGCTGAAAGACTGTCAAAGGACTTGCAGGGTTCAGCCCAAGAGGTGTTAATAGCTACTATCTTCTTTCTGAAGCTTTTATCAGGAACTGCTGTTTTCACAAATCAAACTGTGAGAACATTTGCCAGAAATTTCCCTGGAGCCCAGGCTTCACTCTTCCTGCAGCATCAGAACGGGCATGTTTAGTGGTGGCGATTGCATTGCTTGAGGCCTGTGGCCACTACCAAGCCTGAGTCCGTTGTGTCCTTAGAAGCTCTGCTCTTTCCATTTGATGCCTGTGTCTCCGGTGGAGCCCAGGAGGGGGTGGCAACGTTTCTGTGGCACTTTGCCAGCGGCAAGAAGGCTAGGCTTGCCCTGAGAATTTCCATTTGTAGGCTCTGAATCAAGTCCAGGGAGCTACTTGCCATGGAAATCCTGGTGGTGGTTTGGCTAGAGGAGACAGGTATACTTGCAGGCAGCTATTTTCCCGGCCCTGCCAGCTGAACTGATGAAGCACCTGTGATGGACTCATTTCTCACATTCCCACGATTTGGCAATTTCTTTTGATAAAAGTTTCCTCCTTGCCATGTCTGTGGACTCAAATCTGGGAATTATGTTTGATGTTGAAAGACTTTTGCATTTTGGACTTGTTTGGACCATGTCTGCCTTGTTTATAGAGTGGGGGCATCTTCTGGTTTAGTGCAGTGGCTCACACCTGTATTCCCAGCACTTTGGGAGGCTGAGATGGGTGGATCACTTGAGGTCAGGAGTTTGAGACCAGCCTGGCCAACGAGGTGAAACCCTGTCTTTACTAAAAATACGAAAATTAGCTGGGCTGGTGGTGGGCGCCTGTAATCCCAGCTACTTGGGAGGCTGAGGCAGGAGAATTGATTGAACCCAGGAGGCAGAGTTTGCAGTGAACCAGGATCTAGCCACTCACTGCACTCCAGCCTGGGCGACAGAGTGAGACTCTACCTCAACAGCAACAGCAACAACAAACAACAACAACAGAGTCGAGCGTCTTCCTGTTATAAGTATATGTTCATCTCTGCTCTCTATAAAGACAAGAAATTAAGAAGGGGTTAATAAGAAGAGGATAAAAAGAAGTAGGGTATTTTTCCTGGTCTTCTTGAAGGTAATCCCATGATATATGTACCAGATACTGAAACCACCCAAACCAGATAGCAGTATTGTGCAGAATGGTATAGAGTAAAGAGCTCTACATTAGGAGATGAGCACTATGGCCTTTTCAAGGTGTTTAGTCCACATTGGCCTTGGTTGGCTCCTCTGTAAAATAAGACTAAATAATGACTAACCTAAGTAAAGGCAAGAGGTTCAACCTGATCAATATCTGGAGTGACTTTCCTTTTCTTTAAATCTCAGCAATACTGACAATCTAACCATCCATTCACTCATTCACTATTGCTTTATGTACTCATTGATTTGTACATTCGTTCACTCAACAGGTTTTCATTGAGGGCATATTACATTTTCTATGAAAAGAGCCCAACTCTGTAAAATATTTGAAGAGATTTATTCTGAGCCAACTGTGAGTGACCAGGGCCTGAGACACAGTTTCAAGAGGTCCTGAGAACATGTGCCCAAGGTGGTTGGGCACAGCTTAGTTTTATACATTTTAGGGAGACATAAGACATCAATCAATACATGTGAGGTATATATTGGTTTGGTCTGGAAAAGCAGGACAACTTGAAGTGGGGTGGGGCTTACAGGTCATAGGTGGATTCAAAGATTTTCTGATTGGCACAAAAAATACAAAAATTAGCTGGCCATGGTGTCACACACCTGTAGTCCCAGCTATTCAGGAGGCTGAGGTGGGAGGATTCCTTGAGCATGGGAGGTCAAGGTTGCAGTGAGCCGAGACGGTGCCACTGCACTCCAGCTTGAGAAACAGAGTGAGACCCTGTCTCAAAAAAGAAAAAAAAAAAAAAGAAAACATTCAGTTCCGGTAATCTGGGAAAGCATTAGGAAAGAGGTGACGAAGAAAATAAAACATGGTCTGTCTATAGATGCTCACAGGTGGGGAATCAGAAAGCAACAGGAGGTGGGTGGTTTGGAACTAAAGGGCTATGTAGCAGTGAATTTTGTCAGCATAAGCTGCCAGCCGCTTGTCTTGGTAGGGGCTGTCAAACTCAGTCTAGCAAGTTCCCACACAACCCACCTTGTTGGCCTCTGCAGTCTGCTTTTCTGCTTGGGTTGAAACCGTCAGTCTCTGGGGAAGGACTGTTGGCAGATGAGCCCGATGAGTTGGGGAATGAAGTTAGACCTAGGTGGTCTCCCAAGGGCAGGATTTTGTCAAGACTGACGTTTGACAATGAAGCTGATGCAAATGCAGACAGGTGGTGCCCGCTGTGCCCTTTGTGTTGCCTTCCTGTGCTTCTAACTTGGTGTGACTTGTTCAAAATCCCACCTACTACTTCACCAAGACTAGCTTTCCACACTCTGAAATGGATTTCTGTTTGTGGTCTGTTAGGCCACTGTGTGGTTTCCCCTATGGGATTCCTTTTTGTGGTTGGAGGTCAAATTCTTTCTTGCCTGCTGCTTCCAGGAATGTGTGCTGTGTGTCTCAGTGTGCTGCACAGGAGGGTCTTATTTCACCTCCCTTGAATGGAATGGCAGTTATCCAGCAGGTCTGGGTGCATGTATAAATAGAGGGATGCGTAAGCCTGCGTTTAATATCTAGCACATAAACCGGCCACCACTGCGTGCTACACAGTCATGTTTTCATTAAAGGCTGCTGACAGCACCGCAGACCATGCTGTGGGGCCCAGCAAACCACCTAATCCCACTGCTTGATCCCAGGCATAGATGGGGCAGATTTCACTGCCAGGAACAATTTCTTTCCAGCCACCGCAGCTCTGAGTTTCTGCTGCTTTTCCTGCTTCAGCTGCTCATTGCTGATGACTCTGGGTCAGACAGGCCAGAGTGCACATGGAAGGCTGAAGTGGACAGCTAATCCCCAAGTTGTAGTCTTTTTTTTTTTTTGCCAGAAGATTTAGATTCACTCCCCTGTGAATACTTTTGACTACAGAGCTGATGTCAGAAGAGCTGGTTGATCTTTTTTTCTTTTTCTTTGTTCTCGGCCATGAACCAAGAAGGGCCATTAAAAGTTCAGCATTTCAGCCAGGCGCGGTGGCTCACGCCTGTACTCCCAGCATTTTGGGAGGCCAAGGCAGGCGGATTGCTTGAGCCCAGGACTTTGAGACCAGCCTGTGCAACATGGCAAAACTCCACCTCTACAAAAAATACAAAAATTACCTGGGCATGGTGGCATTTGCCTGCAGTCCCAGCTACACTGGAGGCTGAGGCGGTAGGATCACTTGAGCCTGGGAAGTTGAAGCTGCCATGAGCTATGATCGGACCACTGCACTCCAGCCAGGGCAACAGAGCAAGACTCTCTCTCGATTAAAAACAAATAAACAAACAAAAAACAACCAGTTGTTCAGCATTTCTGTATCTTTGCCCAACTTTCTACAATGTGCCATGTGAGAGCATCACTTCCTAGTCTATACAGGATACAGTATGAATTCCTGCTTCTGCCATTCAGATTCCTCACAATGTAGTCCCAAACTACCTTTCTTTTTCTTTCTTTTTTTTTTTTTTTTGAGATAGGGTCTTGCTCTGTTGCTCAGGCTGGAGTGCAGTGGTGCAATCATGGCTTACTGCAGCCTCCACCTCCCCAGGCTCAGGTGATCCTCCCATCTCAGCCTTCCAAGTACCTGGGACTACAGGTGCACGCCATCACACCCAGCTAATTTTGTATTTTTTTGTAGCAATGGGGTTTCACCATGTTGCCCAGGGTGGTCTCAAACTCCTAGGCTCAAGGCATCCACCCACCTTGGCCTCCCAAAGTTTTGGGGTTACAGATGAGAGCCACCATGCCCAGCCTCCAAACTGTCTTTTTGATCTTATAACCACTGCACCCTTACTTTAACTTCTATGTAAGTGGATTGGTCTACTTTCCATTTTCCAATGCGCCTTGTACCATTTGTCATTATTGTAGTGGTCTCTTTGCCTAGATTGGCTCCCATTCTCTCTGCCTAGTGAAAGCTTTTCTGTCTACTGGGGCTGAGTTTGATTCTAGGGCCTCCATAACGACTCTCATCCACAGGTGTCTTTCTATAGCACGCATTATTTCTACTATTTTGTCAACAAGTAATTGTATCATAATCCATACTTTATTGTTGTATATACTGACTACAATTGAAAGATTTTAGATTGGAATTCTAGATTCTAGTCTCCCCTAGATTGGAAACCCCGTGAGGTCAGGGGTCATGCATGTGCTATGTGCTTGGTAACTCGTACAGTGTCAAGTGTTCTGTTCTACACATGAGAGGGGTTGGAAAGTGCTTGCTGATTGAATTAATCATAATCCACCCTTGAAAAAGCAGAGTTGGCAGTATTTATTAGTGAATCAAGTGACCCTTCAAGGACATTCTCTGGCTAAGCACTGGAACACTGGAATATGAAGTAGTAATTAAAGTTATTCTCAGGTCCAGAAGGGAACCCAGAGAATGTTACTCTCCTGACATCCCCTGGAGCCATCCAGAATGTCAGTTTAACTGACCTTACAGGTTGGGTTACTTCCAAAACTGTAGGTTTCTTGGATTCTATGCTATGAACTCAGAAGACCTGATTTTTACAATTATCATCCCTCAATATGTAGTTGATAATTTGTATTAAGGAAGGAACAACTGTGTCTAACTTTCTGCTAGATATTGTGGAGAATGCCTGGGAGATATATATATTTATTTATTATTATTTTTTAAATACAGGGTCTCACTCTGTCACCCAGGCTGGAGTACAATGGTGTGATCTCAGCTCACTGCAGCCTTGACCTCCCATGCTCAAGAGATCCTCCTACCTAAGCCTCCCATGTAGCTGGGACTACAAGCATTTGCCACTATGTCTGGCTATTTTTTTTGTATTTTTTGCAGAGACCAGGTTTTGCTGTGTTGCCTAGGCTGGTCTTGAACTCCTGGGCTCAAGCAATCCACCCCCCGTTGGCTGCCCAGAGTGTTGGGATTACAGGCGTGAGCCGCCATGCCTGGCATACCTGGGATATTTGTATAAGATGTGAATGCTTTTTATAAAAAATTTTGGTTTTGACCAATGCCTTTGGAATTCTTTAAGTAACTGAAACATATAGTCAGTGGCTGCAAACCTTTTTTTTAAAACAACAAATTTGACTTTTATAAACATCTAAATATCATTTTAGCTATATCTGATTAATAAAATGGAGACTCAGATACAATAATATCATTTTAGCAAAAGCAATAAACCAGGCACAGTGGCTCATGCCTGTAATCCCAGCACTTTGGGAGGCTGAGGCGGGCAGATAACTTGAGGTCAGGAGTTTGAGACCAGCCTGACCAACGTGGTGAAACCCCATCTCTACTAAAAATACAAAATTAGCCAGATGTGGTGGTGTATGCCTGTAATCCCAGCTACTCTGAAGGCTGAGAAGGGAGAATCGCTTGGACCCGGGAGGCTGAGTTTGCAGTGAGCCGAGATGGCGCCACTGCACTCCAGCCTGGGCGACAAAGTGACACTCTGTCTTAAAAAAAGCAAGAAACACACACACACACACACACACACACACAGAAAACCCATGATTTTTGCATGTGGCTTATAAAAGGGCTTTGACGGTAATTTGGAAAGATGCCTTTCAGAAATGTATTGAATTTTAGGAGCATTGCTGTAATAATAGTGGCTTTCACTGACTGAACATTTGTTGTGAGTCCTTAAGCACTCGATATTTAAAATCTTGTGTAATCCTAAAAGTAACCCTGTGAAGAGGTTTTTTGATGAGCTACATTTTAGAGGCCTGGAAGCTAATGGTTAGGATGGTTATCCAAGATGTTAACTCAGATTTCTCACACTCCAAGGTCCGTGCACCACGGTGGTGCCCACCTTGAAGGACAAACACTGACTGGTTGTGTTCAACTTAGTATTCTTAAGGCCACTTAGGGCTGTTCATTGTACAACCCCAGGAGGTGTCACTCATCTCCTGCTCCTAGCATATTTGGATAGTGTTTATGACAAATTTCTAGCAGACCACACTAAAGTGTCTTGAGGAAGGGGAGGTCTTTAATTCACAGTTGCTCAAAAGTTGAAAGTTGGTCTCAGTGCGCCATGGTCACCTGTAGAAGGCAGGGCCCTGAAACGGGGAGGGATTCAAAACCTTGAAAAGCTTTTACTTTATTTATTTATTTTTTTGAGATGGAGTTTCGCTCTTGTTGCCCAGGCTGGAGTGCAGTGGCACGATCTCGGCTCACTGCAACCTTTGCCTCCTGGGTTCAAGTGATTCTCTTGCCTCAGCCTCCTGAGTAGCTGGGACTACAGGTGCACCACCATGCCTGGCTCATTTTTGTATTTTTAGTAGAGACGGGGTTTCACCATGTTGGTCAGGCTGGTCACGAACCTCTGACCTCAGGTGATCCACCCACCTCGGCCTCCCAAAGTGCTGGGATTACAGGCTTGAGCCACCGCACCCAGCCTTGAGAAGCTTTTAGACGAGCCATGTTGGAACTGACAAATGAGAGTTCTTTCTTTATTTCTTTTTTTTTTTTTCTTGAGATGGAGTCTCACTCTGTCGCTTGGGCTGGAGTGCAGTGGTGCGATCTCCACTCACTGCAACCTCCGCCTCCAGCATTCATGCGATTCTCCTGCCTCAACCTCCCAAGTGGCTGGGATTACAGGTGCCTGTGACCACGCCTGCCTAATTTTTTTGTATTTTCAGTAGAGATAGGGTTTCACTATGTTGGCCAGGCTGGTCTCGAACTCCTGACCTCGTGATCCACCTGCCTCAGCCTCCCAAAGTGCTGGGGTTACAGGCATGAGCCACCTCACTCGGCCTTTTCTGTTTTTTTAAGACAGGGTATCGCACTGTTACCTAGGCTGGAGTGCAGTGCCACCATCATGGCTCACTGCAGCCTCAATCTCCTGGGGCTCAAGCAATCCTCCTACCTCAGCCTCCTGAGTAGCTGGAACCATGGGTGCTTACCATCACACCTGGCTAGGTTTTAAAAAAATGTTTTTATTTTGTAGAGATGGGATCTCCCTATGTTGCCCATGCTGGAGACTTTGTATTACTTAGGATCTGACACAATATCTCACTTACCTTTTTTCTGTCTTTGGAGTGAACTATATTTTCCCCTAATCTTAGGTGTTAATTTAGTTTCATGGAACAGGCAATGTACAATATTAAGAATTGATTGTATGGGAGATGCTATGGTAGGTCCCTGGCAGAAAGAATGAGGATGCGGAATGAGGAGAGAAGGATCAGTGGTGGGCATGGAGTGACATGGTCGGGGTGGGAACTCAAGAGAGATGCAAACGTGAGTAAGATGTGGGCTTGACCACAATGTATAAACGTAGAGGAGACCCAACTATGAAGGCTGTCCGTAAGTGTTATGGTGGTGGGGGCGGAAGGCATAAACAAAATCCTCTGGGTACACAGGAGATAGAGAAATACATTCTGCCTGGGAGAGCTGGAGAAAGCTTCATGCAGAGGGTGACATCTGAGCTGACTCTTGAAGGATGGGTAGGCCCCACACACACAGAGAAGAAAGGAACAGTAGCAGGAAAGCCATGAGGTGACAGTGGTCTACGGGCTAACATGAGAGTGAGCTACACGTGTTGGGGGTGGGTAGGAACTGTGGCAGGAAAAGCAAAGAACCTTGAATGTCCTCTTAAAGACTGTAGATTTTCTACGGGCAACGGGAGTCACTGAAGGTTTTTGAGCAGAGGAGTGGTGTCTTTTGATCTTTTGATTTTCCAGGGCTGGCTCCTTTGGCGTGTGCGGTTACCTGGTAGCGTCGGTTATATGATGTGGTGCGAGACTGTGCTTTCACTTTTCCTTTCCAGGGGAGCCCTCTCAAGGAAGAGAACATTATTGTGCTTTTATCTCCTTTTGTCCAGCCTTAGTTTGATCCTCTGTTTGCCATTTCCCCTCTCTTCCCTTTGATGTTCTTGGCAAGGGAAGAGTTATACCATTGACATCTTCCTATTGACATCTGTGTCAGGTATTTGATTCCTAATACCACATGATTATTCTTTTTGATGAATCAATGGGCAAGGAAATAAGTTGCTCTCACTGTCCATGGGTTGGAAACCCAGGAAAGTTTAGGAATAAAAGAGTCGAAGAAAGCAGCACACAGACAGAGAGGTGGGACGTGCATGAGAGCAGAGGACAGCATGCCGTGGTTGGAGGAGGTCTCAAAATAGAAGGTGCTTCTCTTGGGATTCACACCGCGGGCCTTGGCAGGCAGCCCACCCTTATCGTCATTAATTTCCTGAGTTCAGAATTGGGTACCACACCCTGGTGTTAAGCTGTTAACCTCCAGCATCAAGGCCACAGCCGCTGGGGAGAATTCTTTTCTCAAGCTGTGGCCTCGTCAGAGTTGTCCTCTGAACATGCCACAAAGGGTGAATGTTCCATCCAGTCCCACAATTCTGGAATTCTATGTATACTTATGTACCTCCCACGCCTTTCCTCCAGGACACGCACACACAGAGCAAAGTCTTCCTATAGCGGGCCATGATGCTGCAATTGCAGAGTATGTAAGTGTATGTGTAGGCGTGTGTATATTTGTAAAAGCAGAAGTGCACGCATACGTGTGTGTGTGCATGTGCATGCACATGTGTATAGGGGCATGCGTGTGCATGTGCACACAGAAATATGTAGGCTTTCAATACATAGAACACGACTTTCCTTTCAGACCTTTCTTTCTTCTATTGCCTGAAAGTATAAAACCTGAAATAATGTGGATAGTTTGAGGAAACCAAGGATGTTTCTAGAGCCTGGCTTTTCATAGGCTCTAGAAACAGAGCTCTGTCTGCTCTAGGTTTCGAGACTGGTTACCGTTCTCAGATCCAGGAGTTCTTTAGACGTCATCCAGTTTTCCTTGCTATGTGCTGTGAAATTACAGCCGTGCCATCAGTAGAGGGCTCCCTCAACCTTAGAAGCTGGTGAGAATGCTTGAAGGCCACGCAATGTAAATGGGAGAAAAATGCAGATCTGACTGTGAATTTTAAATCCAGTGCCCCAAAGTACTTTTGAAGAGAAGAAACCCTAACCCATCCTGAAAACAGACGATTTCAGCAAGAAGGTATTTGTAGTGTTTACATTACATGACACTGTTTAAATTCCTGGATCAAGGTCAGTGTAATGTTTATGCTCAGAGTAACACATAGCTAAGTTATTCTTCAAAGAACGCAAGAAGCAGGGCAACTCCCTGACCAATGGTTTAATTGTTTCTGGACGCGTCACTCATGTTCCTAAACTCAGGGTTTCCTAACTATACAATTACAGAACCATCAATCACCTTCAGTCTCAGTCCTGGGCCAAAGCTTTGCAGATGCCAGATCTCAATTTGGCATTTACCCAGATTTGTGCCAGCTAAACGTCAAGTGTCCGGCTGATAAAGCACCATGTCCGGGTGTTGAATGCCACAGTCTGCTCAGGTAATTGCAGCTGGCCAGCTGCTCTGCATTAACATTGAGAAGGCTGAGTGGTGGATATGCAGGCAGGGGAAGGAAGCCGGACACTGCTGAATCAATGTTTATCTATTGGTTGATATGTCTCTTTTTTACAATTTTTGAGACAGGGTCTTACTCTTTCACCCAGGCTGGAGTGCAGTGGCACAATCCTGGCTCACTGCAGCCTCCACCTCCTGGGCTCAAGCAATCCTCTTGCCTCAGCCTCTCAAGTAGCTGGGCCTACAGGTGCATGCCACCACATCTAGCTAAGTTTTTTAATTTTTGTAGAGATGTGGTTTTACTATGTTGCCCAGGCTGGTCTCGAATTCCTGGGCTAAAGCTATCCTCCCACCTCAGCCTCCCAAAGTGCATGAGCCACTCACTGCACCTGGCCTAAAGTTAGTATCTCGTGAGAGTATTCCGATTTTCCACTCTGAAGACAAAGTGGTCTAGGATCCAAGAGCATGTATTAGTCGGAATTGGAGTGTTCTCTCCCTCGAAATGTGCTAGGTAACCACTGTCCCGGTTTTGGATTGAACTCTTTTCCTTATGAGCTCTAGTCGGCCAAGCACGCTCCATTATTATAACATCATCTGAGACATGTCACAATGAATAAGGCCACCACTTGCTTGGCTTTGGGTATGTGTCCCTGAGGAAACTGCAGGAGCACACCCCAAATTCCTTAACTACATTTGGGAGGTATCTTGGGCTTTTAATTGGGGGTTGTAAGGACATATCTGGGCAGTGGGTGAGGCTTCCTGATGTTCTCAAATTCTGGAGAAAAGGAGACACCATACAATGTGACCAAAATCTACCTCTGACCCGTCTGCTATCAAAATGTATCAAACACAGCAACAAAGCCAAAGAATCACCTGCAGACTGGGGGGCGGAAGGGCTTGGGGACTGGAGAGAAAGCGGAGTTCGTGAGGTCAGGGTCTGTCATTGTGAACTGTATAGGTTTCCAAGAAGTAGCATGAGTCTTCTTCATGATAGAAAGGTAAATGCGCACAACTAGAAGTCTTGGGGAAGCCACTCCAGCCCACTGCAGTGGGAAACTTAGTGATTTCTGTTTGTCCTGGCTTCCTCCATTCAGATGTTTCTCATCAGCTACGTTCAGATTGATTCCATTTGCAAAGCTCTCCTGGCAGTCTCGGCGGAGCAGGCTTGGTGGCAAAATCTCTGGCATTTTCTGATCCTGTCCAGGCTCTGCTCTTCTTGTGTAGTTTCTTGGCGCTTTGGCTCCCAAGCAGAAACTGGCTAAACAGAGGCTGCTGCTGAACAAAGCCAAATGTAAAACAGAACATTGGAACGCCAAGCGGAGTGGTTTTGCTAAATGTGGGGGCTGGGAATGGGCAGAGGACAGTGAGGGATCAGGAGAGGGAGGGACCTCCTTAGAATCGGGCTGAATTACGCCCTGGTGAAAGTCTGTCGCGGCCCCATCATATCCGCATCCTCACTCACTGTGCAAGATCAAAGGTTGCATCCTTTCGCTCTCCAGTCTCACTAACGAACACAATATTTGGGTTGCACCCAGCAGCACCCTCTCATTTCCTGGCCCCCGTGAAGGTGTATGATCCTCGAGGCCCTGACACCTCTCTTCCTTCTCATCATCCATCAGCCCTGCCTCGCAGCCTCTTGTCAGTTTCCTTCTCGGCATCCCCCTCCCCAGCTGCACTGTTCCACACCTGCCCCATCTTTTCTTCGCCCACTTGATGCTAACATTTCCTGTACTGTTCTGAAGGGTCCTCATCCTCCCTCTCTTCACACTGCCGCAGCAGGGCGAGGAGGTCCAGTTGGAGAAACTGCCAGTTTCTCCCTTCCAGTGTCAGGAGAGGGAGAAGGATGCTGCTGTCACGGCCCCTTGGTTCTCTGTTGCAGGGGCTGACAGCACGCCTTCTGTTACTCTGGTACTTCATCTTGCTGTCTGGATTTAACTTCCCCACGAGCAGATCACACAGTCTGAACTTCCGGTGGATAGCTGAGTATTAGGAAGCAGGGAGCCCACTGGCTTTAAGTCCAAGATGTTTATCGAGTCCAGTAAAGCGGATTCACACACACATGCACAGGCACATCCGTGCACACGATCATGCAGTCTTATGGTTACACAGTTCAAAATTCAAAAGGTGCAAAAAGGCAGAGAGTGAATGTTCTCCCCTTTGTTTTCCCCTAGCTTCTTAGTTCTCCTCAGCAGAGGCACCTGTGTTTAAGCATCTCCTCTTCTGGGCGTGTTTTATACACATTCAGACAAATATGTGCTTACACTCACATATTTCTTCCACAATTGGTAGCATACCATAGATATGGTTCAACACCTTGCTGTTTTTCACTTTTTAAAATGGCTGCATAGTATTTTTTTTTCTTTTCTTGAGATGGAGTTTCGCTCTTGTTGCCCAGGTTGGAGTGTAATGGCACGATCTTGGCTCACTGCAACCTCCGCCTCCAGATTCAGGAAAATCAAGAGATTCTCCTGCCTCAGCCTCCTTAGTAGCTGGGATTACAGGTACACACCACCACGCCTGGCTAATTTTTTGTATCTTTAGTAGAGATGGGGTTTCACCGTGTTGGCCTGGCTGGTCTTGAACTCCTGACCTCACATGATCCACCCACCTTGGCCTCCCAAAGTGCTGGGATTACAGGCATGAGCCACCGTGCCCAGCCATGGCTGCATAGTATTTTGTTGAAAGAATTTCCGTAATTTATCTAACTAGTCCCGTACAGATGGGCATCAGGTTGTTCCCAATCTTTTGCTATTATAAAAAATAAAGCTGACATTTTGATCCTCACATCTTGTGTTTATTTCCCAAAGGCTTAGGACTCAGAGGAGAGAGGAGTGTGGTCTACACTGCACATCTCTGCCAAGCCTGGCACGGGATTTGAAGTTCCACACCACTGAGCCAAACACATCCAGGTCTGCTTTTTTGTTCCCCTTAATTCCCTCCAACTTGCCAGCATGCACAGAATTTATGCTACCAATTTTGGTGTTCACTAAATTAGGTAATTTTATGCGTTTCTTTATCTTTCTCTGCCTAGACCCTCTTCCAACCCGGGGATCTGGTGGTAAGCAAAATACTATTCCAGCAAGTGATGCCCCCAGTCTCCTAAGGATATAAGGTATTGAATTTCCTACATTCATGTAGTGTGTTGTAATTTGCAAACCACCGTCACACAGCATTCTTTCATTTGATTTTTGCATACATTTTTTGAGGCTGGTAGGACATCTTCTAGATGAAGAAACTGAGGCTCAGAGGAACTGACTGAATGGCTTGCCCAAGGTCACCTAATTGGTGAATGGCGAAGACAAAACTCAAAACCAGGCCATCTAACGCTCCGCCTGTTCCTTTTCTAACACGTGCTGATCCTTTAGCATATATATGACGTCAAAGTCAGCTCTCAATTTGCAATATGGTGGGAGGCTGAAGTTCTAGCAAATTTGCCTCCAGATTTTATTTTCATCACCAGATAGGGCGAGGCTATTGGGAATTAAGGACCAATACATCCACAGTGAGCCACTGGGATAGTGCGTAACCTAATCAGGGCAATGCCAGTTGTCCACGGAGCAGGAGAAAGTGTGTTGGAGAGGAGGGCCAGGACTGGAAGCCTCTGACCTAAAAGCACATGCTTGATGTGGAGGTCAAGGCGTAGGCTTACAAGCTGGGCAACAGGGAGCGAGGAAAGGAATGCGCATTTACGGAGCGTCCACTATGGGCCGTGCTGACCCATTAATCACTCCCAGAACTTGGGAAGGACACTCACAGAGATAGGCCAAGGCTGTGCCAGTTCACACCAGTCTTGTGGTGCTCTGCCCAGCAGATGGGGGACATTCTCAAGGGTGGGCAAGGGGCTTCATAAGTGGTGATGCCCAGTGCTGAGGGATAGGTTCTGGGCTCATCTCAGAACAGCCTCTTCTCTCCAGAGACTCAGGCCCAATTCCGTGTGTGTGTGGCTCTGCCTCTGTCAGGATGAGGCTTCTTTGCAGCAGCTTCTCAGCTCTGGGAGCACATGTTTCTGGCAGTTTTCTGCATCTGTTCACTCTGATGCTTGGATGTACTACTCGGGCTGCAGAGAGCATGCTTCGAGGGAGCTGTGGACGAGGTTCAGCGGCACCAATGCTGCAGACAGCTGAGCAGCCCCCTGGGAGGCAGGGGCTATTGAACAGGCATGAACTCTGGGCACGCTCCTGAAAGAGAAAGCCATACTTTCCAGGGGCACTGCTGAGTATCCCCATGGTAACCCAGGACTGGGTTATCACAGGCCCAGATGCTGAGCTGAGGACTTTAGGACTTCTTCTATAGGCAGTGGGAATTATTGAAAAACTTTCAGGAAAGAAGTGACAAGATTAGACTACATTTTAGAAATACTTCTCTGTCAGCAATTCACTCATTTTTTCTCGGAACACTGAGATCGTTAGCTATGGACTGACTTGTGTCTCCCCAAAATTCATATGTTGAAGCCCTGACTTCCAAAGTGACAGTATTTGCAGCTGGGGCCTTTGGGAGACAATTAGGTTTAATGAGATCCTGAGGGTGGGGCGCTTGGGATGGGATTAGTGCTCTTATAAGAAGAAACTGCAGAGAGCTCCCTATCTCTTCTCCACACACGTGCATGGAGGAAAGGCTGTATGAGCACACAGTGAGAAGGCAGCCATCTGCAGTCCAGGAAGAGAGTGCTCACCAGAACTCAGCCATACAGACTCCCTGAGCTCAAACTTCCAGCCTCCAGAACTGTGAAAATACATTTCTGTTGTATAGGCCATGCAGTCAGTGGCATTTTGTTACAGCAGCCCAAGCTAACTGAAACAGTGCATTACCACATGGCCAGCACTAGGTTGGCTCCAAATATCCATCAGTGAACAAAGAGTCCTTCCCCTCATGGAGCTTGCAGTCTAGTCGGGTGGAGGGAAGCATTAAATGAACAGTATTAATCCCAACACTCTGGGAAGACAAGGCGGGCGGATCACCTGAGGTCAGGAGTTTGACACCAGCCTGGCCAACATGGCGAAACCCTGTTTCTACTAAACATACAAAAATTAGCCAGGGGTGCTGGCACGTGCCTGTAATCCCAGCTACTCGGGAGGCTGAGGCAGGAGAATCTCTTGAACCCGGGAGGCAGAGGTTGCAGTGAGCTAAGGCTCATCATTGCACTCTAGCCTGGGCAACAAGAACGAAACTGTCTCAAAACAAACAAACAAAAGAACAGTCAATGTGAGATACATAGAATTGTTAATTATGAGAGTTACAGGGACCTCACTTAGATTGGAGGAGATAGGAAGGACTTTCTTAGGCTGTGATTGTCAACCTGAGACCCTAAGGATGAGTTGGGAAAGCCATGGGGGAGCACGAGAGAGAGCATCCCAGGCTTGGGACTGGCATGTGGGAATCCGCTAAGTGAGAAAGGGCTTGGTGAGCAAGTGACAAAAGAAAGTGTCACCAGGGGGATAGAGTGACATAAAATAAGACTGGGAGCTAGTAGGTGGCAGTCCACAGAGGAGCTTGGAGGGCTTGTTAGGAGGTGTGGATTTTTTAAAAAAATTCTTTGTGCATTTGGAAGCCATTAAAGGGTTTCAAAGGGTTTTCAATGGAGAAGTGAAATGATCCAATTTTCTTTTCTTTTCTTTTTTTTTTTTTGAGGCAGAGTCTCACTCTGTCAGCCAGGCTGGAGTGCAGTGGCATGATCTCGGCTCACTGCAACCTCTGCCTCCCTGGCTCAAGCAATTCTCCTGCCTCAGCCTCCCAAGTAGCTGGGATTACAGGCGTGTGCCACCACGCCTGGCTAATTTTTGTATTTTTAGTAGAGATGGGGATTCACCATGTTGGCCAGTCTGGTCTCGAACTCTTGACCTCAGGTAATCTGCCTGCCTCAGCCTCCCAAAGTGCTGGGATTACAGGCATGAGCCACCGTGCCCAGCCCCAATTTTCATGTTTAAAAGATCACTGAGTAATGTGAGGATGGGATTAGAGGGATGTGAAGTGAAATGGGACAGGGCTGTTGAAGCCATGCTGGGTGAGGGGATGGAGAGCCCCCTGAAGGCAGCAGCAATGGAGACGGAGGAGGAGTTTGCATTTGAGGGCCAGTGGATAGGAGGGGTGGAGAAGAAGGGGAAACAGAAGATAGGTCCTGGCCAGGCACAGTGGCTCATGCCTGAAATCCTAGCACATTGGAAGGCTGAGGCAGGAGCATCACTGGAGCCTAGGAGTTGCAGTGAACTATGATTGCACCACCACACTCCAGCCTAGGTGACAGAGCAAGACTCTGTCTCTTAAAAAAAAAAAAAAAAAAAAAAAAAGATAGGGTATAGGTGTAACAGCTGGGAGGAAGAGAGTGAGTTTGACTTTGAGCAAATTGAGTCAGGTGGGAAGTTGGAAACATACCCAGCCTGTGCAGAAAGGAGTTATCACAGCGGGCCTGACACTGCTGTTCATAGAAACACCTGCCTGCAAGGTTGGCCCTTGGCTGGCATCTGGGAACTTGGCTCTCAGAGCATCCCTAGTTAACAGTTAACTGATAAGGTGGTTCCCCATGGCTAGACTGTCTGTGCAGACAACACAATTTATGCCAAACACCTACTTTCCATCTGAGAGTCTAGGATTTTGCTAGGCAGAGGGTGCCCATGTGACCAGACCCCAGTTAAGACCTTTGGGCACTAAGTCGGTACTGGGCTTCCCCAGGCAGAAATGTCACACGTGTGTTGCTGCATTTTTACGGAGGGACAGTGGGCTCTGTGGGACCCTGGTGGTCGGAAAGAGCATAAGGAAGCCTGGCATGGGTTCCTCTAGACTCTGCCTGTGCCTTGACCCCTTATGATCCAGCGTGTGTCCTCACCACAGCAAAAGGATAAAGCCTCGCCATGAGCACAGCTGTGTGCTGAGTCCCAGGAGCCCTTCCAGAGAACCTTCAAACATGAGGTAGGCATGGGGGCCGCAGACACACAGCCTCTGGATTTAAATTTGGGAGTAATCAGCAGATAGGAAAAAATGGAAACCATAGGGGTGGATGGGATCAGCCAGGAAGAGTGAACAGAACCCAGAGGAACTCAACAACTTAGGGATAACAAGAGGGAGAGGGCATGCAGAGGAGGCCAGGATGCAGGCACAGGACTGAGGCAGGTCTGTTGGACTTAGCACAAGGTCATCGATGACCTTGGCAACACAGTCCCGTGGGCAGTGGTGTGGGGAGCTGGCTTGTTAGGGCGTGAGGAAGGGAGCAGTTCTCTCAAGTATGACTGTGGAAGGTGCACAGAGGTAGCAGAGAGAAATATGGGGAAGTGGAACATATTTTTCAAAGGGGAAAGGGAACGTGATCATTTTTTTTCTCTGCCTGCTTTATGGCAGGCTGTCAGCTAGACACGAGTGATGCAAATGAAGATGAGATGTGGCCTGGGACTCACAGTGTATGGTCCAGCAGCAAAGACAGAAGGAAGGGTGCTGAGTGTTTGAAAAGTGAAGTGCAGGCAGGGCATGGTGGCCCATGCCTATAATCCCAGCACTTTGGGAGGCCGTGAGGCGGGAGGATCACTTGAGGTCAGGAGTTTGAGACCAGCCTGGCCAACATGGTGAAACCTTATCTGTACTAAAAATACAAAAATTAGTCAGGTATGGTGGCGGGAGCCTGTAATACCAGCTACTCAGGAGGCTGAGGCAGGAGGATCACTTGAACCCAGGAGGCGGAGGTTGCAGTGAGCTGAGATCGTGCCGCTGCACTCCAGCCTGGGCAACAAAACCAGACTCTGTCAAAAAAAAAGCTAAGTGCACAGCAACATGAGGGTGCTTAACCTAACCTGAGGGTTTCATTGAGGGTGTGACCTTTAATCTGTGACCTGAAGAATAAGTAGGACTATGTTAAAGTGGGGAGAGAAGAAAGAGGAAAAGGAACATTTCCGGAAGAGGGAAGAGTATATGTGATGTTTGGAGAGAGAAGTTGTGTGCTTTGGAAGAGCAGCAGGAATTCAGGGAGCGAGGGGAGAGTGGAGAGACATAGCTGTGAAATGCGGGAGTGAAAAGACACAGCACCTGCGAACACCGATGGGGAGCTGTCAGCAGAGAGGGAGGGGCTGGGTCTTTGGGAAGGGAGGGGATGGTGGAGGGGCTGAGCGCCTTGAGAGGGTGGAGGGCTGCAGTATTGAGAAGGGATTAGTTTTGACAGTGGGAAAATACCTCTCATGTAACAGAAACAGAAGGAGAAAGGATAGATTTTAAAAAGGATGGATATACAATGGTTTTCAATTTATGATGGTTCAGCTTACAATCAATTGTTTGACTGTTCGATGGGTTTATCCCAATGTAACCCGATTGTAAGTGGAGGAGCGTCTGGGCTTAGGACGATTCAACTTACACATTTTTGACTTTACAATGGATTTATTGGGATATTAAACGCATTTTAGTCTTACGATATTACCATGGGTTTATTGGGGATGTAACTCTGTGTAAATTGAGGCGCATCCGTAGCTACCAGCAAGATTTCAGGATTCGTGGTAAGAAACGAACAGGGTTTTTAAAATTACGATTTCATTTTCTTGTGTTTTTTTTTTTTTTCCTCACCCTGTCCTGCTTCCTGAGATCTGACACATTTGTAGGCTAGGCTTTCGGTAATGTAACTCCAGATGGAGAAGAGGGAGACATTTTTTCACATCCTAATGCACCAGGGATAGGCTAGCAGGAGGCCACAGTTAGTACTGTGCAAAGCCTACTCTCTTAGGTATGCTGTCCTTGGTCCTGTCCCTGTGAGAGATTTTCCCCCTTCCCCTCACCCACCTTTGGGATCTGAAGAACCATCTCCATCTAACAGTGAAACTAGAAAGAACCGAGGGACTGACAGACCATGTCAGGGCCACACCCAGGACTCCAAACAGTGGTGGAAACTGAGGGGCCAACAAGGAGGATGAGGTAGAGAAGCTGGGCCATGAGGGAGCCTGGGTGTGTATTTATTTATTTACTTTTGAGAAGGGGTCTGGCTCTGTCACCCAGGCTGAAGTGCAGTGGTAGGATCACAGCTCACTGCAGCCTCGACCTCCCTGGGCTCAGGTGATCCTCCCACCTCAGCCTCCTGGGTAGCTGGAACAGCCCTGGCTAAGTTTTTTATATGTTTTATAGAAACGAGGTCTTACCATGTTGTCCAGGCTGGTCTCAAACTCTCGGCCTCAAGTGATTTGCCTGCCTCAGCCTCCCCAGATGCTGGAATTCCCGGCATGAGTCACTGTGCCCGGCGTATTTTTCTTTTTCTTTGTTTTTTTTTGTTTTAGACCTAGGTGTTTAAATCTCATGATGTACTGTGCCCTTCAGAGAGCTGGAGGATTAATTTAATCAGGGGGAGGAGTTATCTTCTGAGTCTTCACTCTCCTATGGACTTGACAGAGATTGAAACATGCCTGTTGAATCCAAAATAAGAGAGAGTTATAATGTTCCTCTAGATTCGTGTCTATACGTGGCCCGTTAATGGTGAGCTGGTGTCCCCTCTCCCTTCCATGATAAGAGATACGGTACTGGGCTCCACTTAGCAGTGGAGGTGAGTTTGTTCACTCACAGCGAAGCGTGGCATGGGGATGAGCTGGAGGAGCATGGGAAGCGCAGAATAGTTCTGTGGACAACCATCGGTATTGCTGAGAGGGGGTCTGCTCGGGTTGCTGGACAGTTTCCATCAAACGCTGTAACTTTATGGTGGCACCAGTGTGCTCAGGGCTGGGATTCCCCCGGGGTGTGGATCTGCTTGTAGCAGGATGACGTGAGAGGTGAGAGGTGGGGAGAGGGGAATGGGTGCCGTGTGAGGCTCTGCCTGCTGAGCAGCACAGAGAGTCTGTGGGGCAAGGGCAGTGAGAACACTGGCAAGATTGAGGTGGAGGCGCTGAACGTGGAGTCCAAGCAGCTCAGGGAAAGCTGAAGACAGAGGAGCAGGAAAGATGGATGGGGGAAGGACACGTGCGGAGGCGGTCAGGGCATGGGGAAGGATGCATTTATGGGAAAGATCTGGGAAGATGGGAGATTGTGGTTGAGGAGGAGGAGATTTGATGTAGGACTTCAGAGGTGGAGCAGTTCTGAGTAATGAGCAGCTTCAGAACGTGGCTTCAGGGCAGCCTCGTTGAACCTTGTCACTGATGGGACCCTCTCTTCCATCCCATGTCCACATGGCTTCTCTCCTTGCAGCCTCTGACGCACCTCCCCCGCAGCTACCCTTTTCCTATTTTCTGGTCCAGCAAGAGGAACTCACAGCATCTTTTCTTACTTCCGGAGAAATTCATTCCACATGTGTCTGATTCATTCGCGTTTACAGAAACTTGAAATTTCCAGTGTCCAAAAACCCTTTCAACTATTTTTTTTCTTCCCTTTCTTAGAAACAGGAAGTTGTGTTTGGCTGCGGACAAACTCTCTCAGTGCCCCTGGGACTTACAAGATGTTTGGAATGAGGAACGGTGAGGTCTGGGGAAGGCTTCTTTCCTCTCTCCTTTCCTGGGGCGATTCGCATCTGCCAGGGCTGGGCTGGGCAGCTCTGGGGGCTGGAAGGCCAGCCGGAACCTTCCTGTCTCTTTCTACTGAGCCCCAGGCCTGAGGGAAAGTATGTTCTAAAGAGACAGGTGGCTTTCTTGCTCTCTGCTTGTCATTACGGTTCAGAATGCACTTGTGCACTGGTGTCATGTCTCTTCCCAGTACTTGAGCAGTGGCTGTGATGAGTCCCTTGATCTATTTCAGGGGGTGTGGGCTGGCCGGCACTCAGTTTTAAGCAAGTCCTGCTCTTTCCAAAGTGGAAGGTCAGAAAAACTCCCCACCTGAAGAAGAACGAGCCAGGGAAGTGTGGTACCAGCTGTTTAGGACCACACCTATTGGTTACGTCTGGCCAGGTCATTCTGCAGTGTTGACCTGGAAAGCACACAGGTGCTTAGGAGGGGCTGGCCAGGGGCAGGGAAAGTGTGGGAGTCACAGCCCACCCACTCCGTTCGCGGGACCCTCCAGTTTTTACTGTTGCTCGTTGTGTTCTCCTGTGTTGTTTAGAATGTTGTCATATGTACGGTCAATACAACCACAGTATTTGTCGCATTAGTGATCACCAACATTGAGCCAATGAAGACGCTGGCTTAGATGGGTGACTTCTTCTTTCCCACATTCCACATGCAGCTCTCCCAATGCGAGCTCAGCGGAGGCCCCCAGAAAAACGTGGGGAGGAGAGTTTTCCCCATAAGACAGACTGTCCTTCAGCCCCGGCCACCAAAGAGGAGTAACCCGGGCCTGCTGTTCTCTGGGACTGAATGCGGCTGCATCCTTCCCTTCCTCTGCTTCCTGTCCCGGTACTTACTGACGGTGCACATGCGGGGCTTGGGGAAGCTGAGTGTCTAACCGCGGTGCAGCTACGGATGGGAAATTCTGGGCAGGGACGAGCCTGTCTTCACCTGAGGAATTCCCTCCCACATCACACAGGGCAGAGTGGGAGTGGAGGAGGGCAGAGGACACGTCTCAGGGCCAGTAACCTAGGCTTATAGAAGACGTCATCACCGTCCTCATGATGTTCACCCCGTCTCCTGTTTTTTGGGGCCATGTGTTCCGAAATGTAGCTTCAACTCATCATAGGGGCAAAAAGAAGTGATGAGTCTGTGGCAGCAGAAATCTGGGAATCCAAGGGTCGTGCTACATCTAGTCCTCTTTGATAAATTCTGCCTTCCTGTTCACATTTTTCGAGAAACCATTTTGAATTCCCAAACAGCAAAGGAAATGCTGCAGGTTCCTGGAGGGACCTGGTGATCTGGGGCAGAGCACACGGAGTCGAGATTGCTGCGGGGTTCACGAGCCTCCCCTCCTGGGACCAGGGGCACCTGGGCAGGGTAGTCTGCACCACGCAGGAAAGCCCAGTACACGCAGCTGCTCAACGCTGCAGACGCCATAGCGCAGGGCTGACAAGGCCTCCCTCTTTATCTGCCCTGGACCACAAGTGGAAAATATCAAGACAAAGCAAAAGCCAGTATCCCTTAAGAACTTTCCAATTGTTCTTGTCATTTGTAGTTTTGTTTTTTGGGGGGTGTGGGGAGGGAGGGGTGGTTTGAAACAACTCCGGAGCACACTCCAGAGGAAAACAGGAAGGGTGACATGTTTGGACACCAGAAAAGAGGAAGAGTCCTCACTAAGAGGGTGACTTGGTTAAAAAGTTCAAGCACAAAGGATGTAGAAGCAGGTGGATGTCATCAGAGAACAGATGCGGATCTAGTGAGATGGGTCCTACCACCCCTGGAATATGTTCCTGGGAGAGGGGTGGTCTGCTAGAGTGGACTGGGAATAGTAATATTGCATACTTTTGTAAATTCACAAAACCCTCTGATCTGTGATAGAGGAATAAAGGGCAGAGGATAAACCCCAGATAAAGATTCACTTATCTTAAAAATGAAAGGTTGGAAATTAACTTTATGCTACTGTACCACCTTCGAAGTATTTCTGGCAGGTGCCTGGAGGATTCAGATTAATGACCAAATTACCTGCCAAGTCAGGGCCTCCCATTAGAAGAGAGTACCAGTTTCCATTAGGAGCACTAGCTGGAAAACACAATCTTTCAGCAGAGGAAATACAGTCTTCTCTCCTTCTCTGGGTGCACAGAGTGGTCGTGGTTGGCTGGGGCAGATAATGGTGTGGTCTTCCTCTGCAGATCTGGTTTCTGAGTCCCTGGGCTGCAGCTGTTGAATTTCCAGACACAAACAAGTATGCGTTCTGAGAGCCTCGCCGAGCCCACACAACCGGGAGAGCCAAGCTGGATTCCATTCTGCTTTGCACATCAGCAGCTCTGCTGCCAGCTGAACTCCAGGGCAAAAGCTGTGCCTGGTAATGATGCAGGCAGCAGGGATGGCACAGCTGGCCTGGCTTAGGCCGTTAAGGGGGACACGCTTGGCCTTATTTGGGGGAGAGCGAGAAATGGAAGGCGATGAAGAGTTGCGGAAGCATACATCAGCCTCCACAAAACTGGTGCACAGCAGGGAAACAATCTGGTTTTGCTAGTCATCAACAACATGCCTGTGTGTGTGCCTGTTTATGCTTAGGTAAGCCCAGCCTCCCACTCGCTGAAAAGAGTAGGCAGACAAGAAGGAGTGACCAACTCTGAGTCAGCTGTCATCGTGTAGAGAGCAGCTAAGGGGAACAGTGGGGCTGGAATCTCATGGCCTTGCCTAGTGCCCCTACAGCATCCTCTCTGCCCATGGTGCCAGATATCTGAATGGGAGGACAAAGGGGGCACAGGTGGTGAAAAAAACCAAGATGCACATTTGGGTATTTTCCTTCTTTTGCTAGAATGTCATTTCTTGATGTCTGTTTCTTGTCACCCATTTGTGATCAGGGACTAAGTAAGTTCCCTCTGCACCAGACCAGGTGGAAGACTGAGCCAGAGTTCCTCTGAGCCACAGGAGAGATGAGGAGCTATGGAGCGGAGTAGGGGCTGAGGATCTGGTGCCCCCAGCTAAACTAAAAGGAGGCAGGCAGCATGTAAGAGGATGATGGGGTAGCTCACAGAGAGGAAGGGGATATTCTTTCTCAAGAATGATGAGCCCAAAGGCATCGCATAACAATTGTGATCTCCCAGCTGGACGTTTCCTGTAGCACAGGTGTTCACAGTGTGGCTCCCAAACCAGCAGCCTCCATGTCAGTCACTGGGAACTTGTTAGAAATGCAGATTCTCAGGCCACCCCAACCATTAGATCAGAAACTCTGGGGATGGGGCCCCACAATCTGTGTTTTCTTTTCTTTCTTTCTTTCTTTTTTTTTTTTTTTGAGACAGGGTCTCACTGTGTCATCCAGGCTGGAGTGCAGTGGCATGAAAATGGCTCACTGCAGCCTCAACCTCCTGGGCTCAAGTGACCCTCCCACCTCAGCCTCCTGAGTAGCTGGGACTACAGGCCTGTACCACCATGACCGACTGATTTCGTTTTTTAATTTTTTATAGAAACAGGGTCTCGCCATATTGTCATGGCTGGTCTTGAACTCCTGGGCTCAGGCAATCCTCCTGCCTCAGCCTCCCAAAGTGCTGGAATGACAGGTGTGAGCCACTGTGCCCAGCCTCACAATCCATTTTCACAGCCCTCTACGTGATCCTAATGAAACCTTGGGAACCACTGGTCTAGATCCTGCAAATGAAAGTTGCCCGAATGAGCTGGATTCTGCAGGCCTGTGAGGACCCAGAGCAGGCAGGGATCCAGCTGCTGACCTAGTTTCAGCCTCCATCCCTGGGTTCTAGGTTGCTGCCCTTTCCAAAGAAACAATGAATCAGACCAGACCACTGCATTGGCATAAGATCACACTTTAGTTCAGAGACACATTTGCATAAATACTTGAAATGGATCCACCCCTGCAGGTGGCAGCCTGAGAACATGTGGCTCTCCAAACCCTGCGACGCTGCGGCCCTTTAGGTGATGGATTTTAACACTGAAGACAGTCGTGGTCATTCTTGAAGACAGCTTGGGGTCCAGCTTTGGAGCCTGCTTTGACATTCACCATTGACTCCCTGCCCCACGCCTCTCTTGTACTAATTTTTTCCCCTGTGAGGTAGATTATTTATCGGGGAAACCAGATAGAATTTTTTTTTTCATTTAAGTTTGCTAGTCCTTTGCAAACAGACTGACGCTGAGTGTCCTGTCTGAGTCAATAAGTGCACTTTTACCTTTTAACCTATGCCCTCTACTTGAACCCGAGCAAGGTCCAGTCCACTGGACAGTTGATGATAGGGTCTGCCGCCCCATACCCTCTCCTCTTCCCCCTTAGGAATTTGTGCAGTACTGGAGGGGTTGCGGCAATGGGAGGCCTGGGTGGGCCGTGCTGCCTTGATATGGCCAAGGGACCCAGTCACCACAGTGGAGACCCTTGTCTGCACCTCAGTACCGCATGTCCAGGAGCACAAGACTGGCCCCTGCCCCCCTGAATCACAGGGGGCACAGCTGGCTTTCGCAGGGCTTGGCATCCTCGGGTTTCAGAGCCTTGTTGCAGGTGGCAGAGGCCTGGCCGGAGGGGTCCCTGCACTCTACAGTTCGCCTCTGCCAGCCGGCCCCGCAGGTGCTAGAGCACTCAGACCAGTCCCCCAGCACCCACTGTGCGTGGAGCAGCGGCTGGATGATGTTGGTGGTTGCTCTCTCTTTGCTGCTCTGCATGCTAAAGTCCACGTCATTAGGAACAAAGAAGGTGTATTTGACTTTTGGGGGGAAGACCTCGCCAGGGACTGTCAGGAGCTGCACTGTCAGAGGCTCTGGCAAGGGCCGGAAGCTCTGCAGGCGCTCCAGGGTGGCGATGGAGCCGCTGTACTTCAGGATGGTCCCCTTCACCAAGATGTCCTGCTCTATGGCAGAGATGGCCAGGTTGCCGTTGAGCAGGTACTGCCCATCAGCCGTCTTCAGCGCCAGGTAGTTCCCATCGTTCTGCACACCCGGGTGGCTCCGCTGCTTCACGTCAATATTAGTGGCACCAGCTGGGATGGTGACAATGTCATTGTAGCCATAACTGTGATAGAAACAGAAGGACACCCTTAGACCAGTGGCTGCCCAGCCCAGGTCACGATGATGCCTTGGAGACTGAAGTGGGCACCCCAGGTGGCAGACACGAAAAAAACAAAGCAAGTAATTAAGCAAGTTGCCTCAAAGTTCTCAATAAATTAGCTGTTTAGGCAGACAGAAATGTCTGTACATTGGGATTTTCAAGGGTGTTTGCTTCATCTGGCAACTCTATTTCAAAAGTGTGGTTGAGGAGTTGAGGTATGTGGGTGTTGAGAACAGCATAGAGACGAGGAGAACCCAGAAGGATGTGGAAAGCTGCACTGGTGTAGCCAAACCTGGCACCTGTCAAATGTGATCTCAAATACCTCTAGCTCCTTGCACTGGTATACAACTTTGATTGGCCACCTCCATACCCAGAGCTCAAACCCACATGGAAAAAACTGTTCCACACACCCCTTCCAGAACGTGAACAGGAGGGAAATTTCACACCACCTCTCTGAGTCAGTCGGCTCCTAGTATTTGATGAATATGGCCCTAGGGTGGGATCAGGGTGGGGTTGGGAGTTGGGGGTTTAAGCCTGCTTCTTTGAAGCCACCTTCTGGGAGTGCCCAGGCACCATGAGCACTGTGCTTCTGGAATGATAGGAAGCAGTTTTGGGAAACTGTTTCCAGTCCATTATAGGCTTAGGGCTTTAGGTAGGATGAAGAAAGATTAGTTGTTTGTTCTTTTCTGGAAATCTGGGTTCCATAGGCTGGGGAGAAAGTGAGGCGAGTGGTCAGGCGGGCTTTTTGCTTTTCTTACCATATGTCCAGCTGGGGCTAGCTGCTTAGTTTCAGACTCTTAGAGTGTCCACAGGCCCATCTGTCTAAAGCCTGAGGGAAAGTGGCCAAGGGACCCAGTATCTGAATAGTGTCTGCTTCTCTTTTTCTATGTCTTTTGAGCTTAAATGTAAAAAGAGTTCCAAGGCAGGGCGCAGTGGCTCATACCCACAATCCCAGCACTTTGGGAGGCCAAGGCGGGCGGATCACTTGATGCCAGGAGTTCAAGACCAGCCTGGCCAACATGACGAAACCCAGTCTCTACTAAAAATACAAAAATTAGCTGGGTGTGGTGGTGCATGCCTGTAATCCCAGCTACCTGGGAAGCTGAGGCAGGAGAATTGCTTGAACCTGGGAAGCAGGTTGCAGTGAGCCAAGATCGTGCCACCGCACTCCAGCCTAGGCAACAGAGTGAGACTCTGTCTCAAAATAATAAAAATAAATTAAAAAAAATGAAAACAGTCCCAAGTTGCCTGCTGTAGGCTGATTCTGTTCTCTCAGACTGGTGAGATGAGAGATGTAGAGACAGACAGACAGACAGACAGACACACACACACACACAGAATGGGGCAGGGTTTGCGAGCTTCACTAGGTAGAATACAATACAGTGAACACTTCTCAAAAACTCTGAGACCGTGAGTGGGGGAAGTGGCTGGACAGGTGGATGCTCACATAAGCCCTAGGACACATTGATGTACTGGAGGCAGACAGGCAGAGTGTGGCCCATATAAAACACCCGAACTTGCCCTTACTCTGCAGGAAGTACATGGAATGGGAGACAAAAGTCATCCAGGACTTAGGAAAACTAGGTTCTCTTCTGGCTGTCATTAACCATCAATGTGACCTTAGAAAAGTCATTTAATCTTTCTGTGCCTTAATTTCTTCCTCTGCAAAATGAGGAATAGTATTGGCCTTGCTCACCTCATGGACTTATTTTACAAATCAAATGAGACCATGGAAATGAAAGCGCTTTGGAAAATCCTTGGAGTTTTATGAATGTGGGGCATTAGGATGAGAAAAAAGTGTCTGGAGTTCTCAGATTCATGAAAGCCCTGAGGCTGCCAGGGCCCCTTTTTGGTAACCCCCTTCTCTGAAGATCCATCTGCAGAAAGGACAGGGGCTTGCCAGGCTTAGGGTGAGACGTCCTTCCCAAAACAGGCCTGGGAGAGCTGTTTTCTGGCAGAGGTCCAGGTTACTCAGTGTGGCTCGATTGACTCAGAGATGACAGCTCCCTATCCACATGGCCTCCAGCCCTCGTAAAAGTCACGGCTGCCCTGTGTTCTATCTTTTCTATGAGCTCGACACTGCCAAGTGCACATCCCATCTCAGGAAATCCTTACAACGACTCTGAGATAGAGATACTGCTGACATTTTACAAAGAAACTGAAGCTCGGAGAGTTTAAATAACTTGCCCAACCCTCACAGCTATTAAGTAGCAGCCACAGTTCAATTTGGGCCTAGCAGAGTGCAAAGCCCATTATGCTCTTCTACCAAGCAAGGTACAGAACTTCTGGGGAGACTCACTTGGTGGGGGTGAGGGACCCGGAGACCTTCCTGCAGGAGTTGCCTTTGCCCCCACACACCCCGCATTTGTCCAGCTTCCGAGGCGAGTCCACCACATGGTCACAGCCGGCCTTGACACACTGGCCACGGACACAGATGGCCAGTGTTTCTGGCCCACACAGGGTGCCATCAATCACCTGCAACGGGGAAAGGGAAGGTGAGGGAGGGCGTGTTGAGCACAGAAGCAGCCTGCCGGGGGGCGGGGGTGTGGGGACAGGCGACCTTCCTCCCCATCTCTGGATCTGAGTCCCAGGGTGATTCTCACCTTGGCCTCGAACACTTTGAACTCGCTCCTCCCCCGGGCTCGGCAGAACAACTTGCAGCGGTCCCGGGGGGACACCCCAGCATACTTGGGGACCCACTGCAGGAGATTCCCGTCCATGTCAGTGTAATTGTAGGCATTATACTTCTCACACTGCTGCTCCCTGAAGCTTTTCCCTAGAAAGAGGAAGAAACGGCATGGAGGTGACACCCATGCGGAAGCAGGAGCATCCGGTGGAGAAATCCCGAATTTACAGCACTTTTCTTCTTTCTTTTGGTTTTGAACTCAACCCAGGCGCCCAGGGCCAGTGTCTTCTGGGCACAACATTCCTAGACGCATGTGTGACCCTTACTCAAAAGGGCAAGGAAAGGAGCCTCCAGCCGCATGCTGGGCTTTCTAGGATAAATGCCCTTTCCATTAGGGAAAGAGACTCATTGTACTCTACAGGTGAATAAACGCAGGGAGCAACAGGGAACAATTCAGTAAGCTTGGAAGGCACAGAATGGCATGTGGAGCTATATTCTCAGGACACTACTAATTGTGCAGTATCGATTTCCTCAGTGACACCGGACATGAATCCAAAGACTCCTAAATCTACATGTCTAGCTCTGATCTTGCCCCTACACCCACATTCCGTAATTCTGGGTGTCCCTGGGGAGCTCCGTTTGTATGTACTGTGATTACCTCCAACTCAGCATGGCCAAGCTCCCGATGGTCCTTCCACGAACTGTCTTGACTTTCATTTGCTGATCTTACCATGCCCAAGTCTGAGACTGGTATCCTGGTATCTCCCGAACATTTGAGCATCTCTATCTGCTATTTCCAAACTGTCACAAAGACCCACACTATATTCAGGACAATCTGTGATTTAAAACGATGGCATCCCACTCTCACCACCACAAGCCCAGGCCTGCTGGCTTCATGGGGACCTGTGCCTGCCTCCTCTCCATCCTGCCACGTGCTGCTGCCAGACCAACCCATCTGAAGTTAGATGTGGGTTGCTTTCCACCCCCAAATCCTAAAATTAAAGCTGTTCTTCCTGCCAAGGTTCCCTGCCCAAACTGTGCATCTGAATGCCTGGGGAGACTTTGCCAAGGCAGATGCCATACTCCACGCCTGAGACTCTGAGTCAGTGCAGCTGAGGGGGTCTGGGCTGTGTCTGCAGGAGCTTCCAGGTGACTTAATGGGACAGGTGGCACAGATAACTCCCAGATACTGTGTCAGCCTTCAAGGACCTCTGTGGTCTGGCCTTGACATAGTGGTGTGCTTTGCTTGATTCCACCTAAGTGAATGAGGGCCCTTCTCACACCTTTCCACCACCCTGGCAGGTCCCCTCACACCTCACCCATCTCAGTCCTCCAGACTCTGCTCAGTCCTAACTCCTTTCAAAGCTTCCGCTCACCCAGCCTTTCCTTTCTCCGAGCGCCTCACCAACCTAGGGTCTGTGACTCATCCATTGAAATGTAATGGCTGTGTTAAAGGGATTTGGGTCTCTAATTGGACTACAAGCTCCTTAGGGACAGAGACCATGCCTTTTACATTTTCATACATTTTTATAGTTCTAGACACACAAAAAATACTAAAAAATACTCGACAGTAATGGCAGACTTTGGTGCATCTGACATCATGGCATCACTTTTCGTCCACACCTACCTTGCACCCTATATTCATTCTCATCCTCCCCCTTTCCCAGCAACGTCTCACCCTGTATGCCAGGCAAACTCTCATACAATTCCAGGGCAAAGTTTCTAGAGCCTCAAACCATTGTGGATCCTTCTTGTCTTGTGAAACCGCAAAGCCTACAGATTCTCCTGAGACATCAACCCAATGCCAGTGTCTTTTCCCGTGGTTGAATCTCTCCTAAGGCTCTGCCTGATTTTTCTTGCCTGCCAATCCTTCCTGGAGCTGCACACTGGGCAGTTGGATGGGATGGTGGGGAAAAACCTTGTAATGATTTCCCTCTCACGAGTTTGCTGCTGCCCCTTTACTGCCTCTAAGTTAATGTTCATGGTTTCCAGCAGGTACTGGGGATAGGAATATGCCAAGGGGAGGGAGAGGTAGTATTCCTTCCTGGGAAGATTCTGTCAAACAGTTGCCATGTTCCCAAGGGAAGATGGGCAACTCTTCTCAGAAGGAATGTGAACAGGAATCAGATTCAGAAATCCTCCCTCTGCCCTGGGCTGAATTTTGGCTAGAAAGACCTTGGAGGTTTGGCTCTGACACTTGCTTTGGAAAATGCTTCCATTCTGCACACAGATGAGGGTTCCTATGCCTCCAGGAGGATTAGTTTCCTAGACACCAGCCCCTCTGCAGAGGCTCCTCCCCAATAAGTTTGGTTGGGAGTGATGTCCTCCTCTCCACATCTTGGAAGATGAGCGTAATTTCTCTCCTTGACTTTGCCAGGCTCTCTGAACACTATGAGAGCTGTCCCGGGTCCCTGAGAGCTGCCCCTGGGATTGGAACCTTGCAGAGCCCATTTAGGTGGAGATCACAGGCAAAACTCTACATCCCAGGAGACCCAATTTACTCCCCTCTGGGAGTAACTCTATATCCCGGGACACCCACTTCACTCCCACTTTACACATCCTCTGGGGATGCGTCATAGCAATGATAGTAGCTGCTCTGGCAGGGGCGGCCCTGAGTGGTAATTACCGTCAGGGGGGCATTCCTCCGTGTGGCATGACTGGTACTTGGCTCTCCGACCCAGGCAGTATCTTCCTCCATTCTGAGGCTCGGGGTCCTTGCACTCACGGTGTGAAAACTGTACTCCTCCTCCACAGGTCCGAGAACATTCTCCCCAGGGTCCCCACGGTGCCCAGCCTCCATCTGCCACGGGCTGCAACATACAATGGCACACTGAATGAGGAGCAAAGGCCAGGAGGCTTCAGTATCTGTGTCACTGGGTGGCCAATGCCCTGGCTTCCTCATCTAGTCATTATCATCTTGGTGCATGGAGTGCCGTAAACTGCCTCAATCATTTGTTTAATGACTGTGTGGCCTGCATGGCTTTGTGAGCACAGAGACCAGGCTGGACTCATTCACTACTGACTCCTCAGTGTCTAAAACAGTGCCTTATGCTTAGTAAGGTGCTCAATAGGCTATCTGCTGAATGAATGAATGACACCCTTTTATGGGAATAAGGTTGCATATAATGCAGTGGTTCTCCGTTGGGGCGAATTCTGCCCTCCAGGGGACATTTGGCAATGTCTGGAGATACTCTGGTGGCTACAGCTGTGGAGGGTGTACGTGACCACATCTAGTGGGTAGAGGCCAGTGATGCTGCTCCACATCCAGCAATGCACAGGCCCCACGGTAACAATTATCCAGTCCTAAGTGTCCCTAGTGCCAAGGCAGAGGAACTCTGGTCTAAAGGAAACATCCCTGCGAGGTGTTGCCATAGTCTACCAGCCACTGGTTCTGGTGATAGGACAATGCTTGGGAAAGAAACAGAATTGCTTCCTTTTTTTTTGACAGAGTTTTGCTCTGTTGCCAAGGCTGGAGTTCAAAGGCGTGATCTCGGCTCACTGCAACCTCCGCCTCCTGGGTTCAAATGATTCCTGTGCCTCGGCCTCCCGAATAACTGGGATTACAGGTGCACACCTCCACGCCTGGCTAATTTTTGTATTTTTAGTAGAGATGGGGTTTCACCATGTTGGCCATGCTGGTCTTGAACTCCTGACCTCAAGTGATCAACCTGCCTCGGCCTCCCAAAGTACTGGGATTACAAGTGTGAGCCACCATGCCTGGCCCTGCTTCCCATTTTACAACTGACCTATGAGAACAAAGCTTTGCCCTTTGGAATGCTGTATGCCCAAAGGTTCATAGAGTATTCAAAATGAAAATAATTTTTTAAAAGTTATAAAAGTAATAGTTGCTCATACGACAAATAAAAAAATGCAGAAAAGTGTAAAAAAGAAATTAACACTTCTTTAAAACACCACTACCCAGATAAAACCATTAACATGATTTTCACCAATATTTTTCATACTTTTGCTCTGAATATATCATCATAAAAATGCAATGCTTTTATTTTACAAAAGATATGATTCTATGTATATATTCTTTCTGTCTTTCTCACTTTCTTTCTACCTCTCTTTCTCTCTTTCTTTCTCACTTTCTTTCTTTCTTGAAAGTCTTGCTCTGTCGCCCAGGCCAGAGTGCAGTGGTATGATCTTGGCTCACTGCAACTGCCGCCTCCTGGGTTCAAGTGATTCTCCTGTCTTGGCCTCTGGAGTAGCTGGGATTATAGGCACCTGCCACCACACTTGGCTAATTGTTGTATTTTTAGTAGAGACAGGGTTTCACCATGTTGGTGAGGCTGGTCTCGAACTCCTGACCTCAGGTGATCCACCCGCCTCGGCCTC
Source organism: Homo sapiens (assembly GCF_000001405.40). Classification (NCBI taxonomy): domain Eukaryota; kingdom Metazoa; phylum Chordata; class Mammalia; order Primates; family Hominidae; genus Homo; species Homo sapiens. Next base: position 130,413,129 of record NC_000011.10, read on the forward strand.
CCAAAGTGCTGGGATTACAGCACCTGGCCTGATTCTATAAATATGTATTTTCTGATCTGACTTCTTAAAAATAGAGGCCACACATCATTCCATGATCATTTCACGTCAACCTCTCCCTGCACTTAGCTCGGCTGTGCTCTGGGATTGGTGGCAGATCCCTCTGCTCTCCCCTCAATAACATGTGATGAGAATGAACAGGGTGAATGGGAGGTGGCTGAGGATCAGTCCATGAATCCTGCACCAGCTCAGGCTTAGGACAAGAGTACAGAGCTTACCTGGTGCAGGCGGGCTCCCAAGGCTCAGTGCAAAAGACATGCACTGAGGAGTGCTTGGGCCACCCTGGCGATTCAGCGCTGGCGGGGACCGGGCTGTGAAACCCAGTGGATGCTGTTTCATAGTGATGGCTCCATGAGTCACAGTAAGAGAAATGCGATCAGCCTCACAGTTTGGATGTATTCAGAGCAGGGCAAAGAAGTGAATCATTTAAAAACCCTCACTGGCACTGCCTTGGTTTTTCTTGTGAGTTTACTCTCTCCTGGGCCAAGTTTTTTTCTGCCTGGCCAGAGGCAGCTCTGAATCTGTCTCCTCTCCTCCTCTTTGAATACGGAATTCCCACAACTGCTCTCATTCTCCCAACCTGTAATTATGCATTCAGTTCAAGCACGGGCAGGCTATGAATACTTTTCACTCAATTCTTGATGGAATTTATTCCGCGTGTCTCTGTGTTCATGACGGAATTGACAGTGGCTCCATCTGTTGTGTGCTCACCTTCCTGTCTCCACCCCGCTCACCAATCTGCACCTGCACCAGCCCTGAGGCAGCCCCAAAGCAGCTCCCTAATGTCTGGAGCCACGGCAGTGTCAACCCACTGACCGAGGGGATAGCCTTCACGGGCTCCTCACCGTGTGGATAAATATGCTTTGGTTTGTTTGTTAAAAGATGAGTGATTTTACCTAGAAGTCCTATGTTGCAGCCTGGCCCGAAGTTTCTTTTCTTTTTTTTTTTTTTTTTTGGAGACAGGGTCTCCCTCTGTTGCCCAGGCTAGAGTGCAGTGGCATGATCATGGTTCACTGCAGCCTCAAACTCCTGAGATCAAGTGATCTCCCTGCCTCCGCCTTCTGAGTAGCTGGGACTACAAGCGTGAGTCACCATGCCTGACCTATTTTTTATTTTTTTGTACAGACAGGATCTCACTATGTTGCCCAGGCTGGTCTCGGTGCAAGTGATCCTTCTGCCTCAGCTTCCCAAAGTGCTGGGATTCCAGTGTGAGCCGCTCTGCCTGGCTGTCTCTCGGTTCATGACTCTCAAGTGTGGTTTCCTTCTGGAGAACAGCCCTCAGTCCTCCCCATTTCCTTTTGTTTCTCCTTTCCCCTCCCCGCTATCCTCAGGGGCTGTCCCTCACCTTGGGCCTCTCCACTTCCTCCTCAGGTAGACAGCTGCCTTCTGAGCAGAGGTGCCCAGGCCCGCACGGCGTGCCGTCAGCCCAGGGCAGGCTGCCATTCTTCGTGTGGCACAGGGGCTCAGCCCCATCAGTGTGGCACCAAAGCTGGGCGCAGACGTCCTGAGCAGAGGTGTTGGGGCAGTGGCGGAAATCCGGCCCAAAGATCTGCCTGCACTGCTGGTCCAGCTGGTACAGGGCCATGCGGCCCGGGAGGCCTGTGGGGAGGGGCAGGGCCGCAGCAGGGGCATCCAGGAGACAGTCTCCTGGGAAAAGAGGAAGCAGGGGTGTAAGAACATGCACAGGGCTGCCGCCCTCTCAGCTCTTCATGGCCTGTGATGGATGGCACTGAAGGTCTAGGTGTCACGACTTCTTGACCTCCAACTAAAAGCTGTCACCACTTGATGATCTAGTGAGAGCATGCCTAATTTTTGACTATCAGTTGCAAACGCTCTTCAGGACCGACTTTCCTTTGCTGTCCTGAACATCTAGGAAGCATTGCCCCCGACATTCTGTGTACCCAGTGAATGCCAGCTAACACAATATTCATCCATATCACAACCTAACCGTGCTCCTGAAAGCCACAGCATGCAAATGAAGACCAAATAATGCTGTCTGGATCATCTTATTTTTGCATCATACATGTCCCTGTCTCCCTCAGTGAGAAGGATCTAGAATATTACTTTACCAACAATTCCAACCACTTAAAATTGTTTTTTCTTTAATCCCCTCTTCTGAGAAGCAATTTTTTTTTTGAGATGAAGTCTAGCTCTGTTGCCCAGGCTGGAGTGCAGTGGCTCGATCTCGGCTCACCGCAACCTCCACCTCCCGGGTTCAAGCGATTCTTCTGCCTCAGCCTCCTGAGTAGCTAGGACTACAGGCGTGTGCTACCACGCCTGGCTAATTTTTTGTATCTTTAGTAGAGATGGGGTTTCACCATGTTGGACGGGCTGGTCTCGAACTCCTGACCTTGTGATCCACCTGCCTCAGCCTCCCAAAGTGCTGGGATTACGGGCAGAAGCCACTGCACCTGGCCCTTTTTTTTTTTTTTTTTTTTAAAGAGATAGCGTCTCTCTCTGTCACCCAGGCTGGAGTCAGTGGCATGATCACAGCTTACTGGTAGCCTTGACCTCCTGGGCTCAAGTGATCCTCCTGCCTCAGCCTCCTGAGTATCTGGGACCACAGGTGTGCACCCCATGCCTGGCTCCAGTCCTTTGAACCAGCTCCCCGCCCTCTTGCTCTCACAGGACGCAGTCACTGCCTCTGTCACGCCTGAGCTGTTGTAGGTTCGTCTCTCCTCTGTGCTATGTGCTTCTATTCCTTCAAGCGCTGCTCAAACCCTCCTCCTTCAGACAACCTTCTCGGATGACTTCCCCCTGCCTTGTGACTAATCTAAATTAGCGCAGAACTCGGCTGCTGGAAGATGGGGCCAGAAGAGCAGACTTCGGGGGTGGTGTGAATGCCCCAGCGTGGGAGGCTGGCCGGGGACTCAGCTCTAAGGGCCCTGTGAGGAGGCACAGCTGGAGGGGGTCTCTGCGCCAGCACCAGTGGAAGGAGGCCCACGGGGACAAGTAGGGCGGGGCCGCCGGTGCCTACCGTGCCCGCCGTCCAGAAGCTCTGTGAGATACATGGCGCTGCAGGGGGACCAGGGCAGCGTCTGGTTCAGGTGGACGAACAGCGGTGCCATCACGTGGTGCTTGCCCATGGGCCCGAAGAGCCGTGTGCAGGGCTTGGAGTCGTCGTGGGGCATGCTGAGGACGTGCCCTGGGGAGAGAGGCCTGGTCCACTCCGCCCTGTCCTGCCTGAGGGCGCCCCACCTGGCCCAGCTAGGGACAGAGATGGAGCTCCTCAGGGGAGCAGCCACCCCCTCACTCTCCGAAGATTTCTGCGTAGGGCTTTCCCCTGCGCTTTGCTCTTCCAGGACGCGTTCTCAGATGACTAAGAAACACGGATACCCCTTTATTTTCTGCCTCAGCCCGTCCTGAATTTGGATCTAGCTCTGTTATTTGCCCTCTCACATGACAGTCCCTGGACCATTGTTCTTCCCCCAGATCCCACGGCTTAGCTTGTGCACAGCTCCACGCCTCCACCCCAGCACGTGTCTGGTGTCCTGTGTCCTGGCATTTGCCCGGTGACCTGTGATAATCGTGTGGGATGCTGCTTTTGTATTTTGGCCATGTGCTCGGGGTGGGAGCGGAGTTGTGTTCAGCACTGTCAAGCGCGGTATCTGTTTGTATACAGTCACCCTGTCAAAATTAGGAGGAGCTATTCCTAAGCAAGGGCCGCATATTCCTTAGGATCTACGCAACCTTGGATCTGGAAGAGCAGTTCCCTCCGATGTGGTGAAGTGGGCTTTGGCACAGCAAATCTTACCTAGTTCATGGGCCAGGGTGTGGGCCGCCTGGAGCCCCTCATCCTCGATCACGGAGCAGCTTTTGTTGGGGTCACAAATGGTCCCGATGTCTGCCACACCCAGGGTGTCACACAGCCCCTCCTGCCCACAGAAGTTCTGCGTGGCGGGGAGAGAGCAAGAGAGTGCATCAGTGTGTGTGTGGGGTGCGCTGCAGGCCTGCAGGGCCGGGTGTGGCCAGCGTGCACGTGGGAGTGGACCACTGAGCGTCCCATAACATGTTTGCTGGCCTGTGCATCACCTGCATTTATTGAGCTTTTAAATTAAATTAAATTATTATTATTATTATTATTATTTTGAGATGCAGTCTTGCTCTGTCATCCAGGCTGGAGTGCAGTGGCACGATCTCAGCTCACTGCATCCTCTGCTTATGGGGTTGAGGCGATTCTCCCACCTCAGCCTCCCAAGTAGTTAGGACTACAGGCGTGCACCACCACACCTGGCTAATTTTTGTATTTTTAGTAGAGACAGGGTTTCACCATGTTATCCAGGCTGGTCTCAAACTCCTGACCTCGGACAATCCGGCTCCTTCGGCCTCCCAAAGTGCTGGGATTACAGCCGTGAGCCACCGTGCCCGGCCTAAATTAAACTTTAGAGACGAGGTCTGGCTATGTTGCCCAGGCTGGAATGCAGTGGCTATTCACAGGAGTAATTGTAGCTCACTTAGCCTCAAACTCCTGGGCACAAGTGATTCTCTCACCTCAGCCTCCCAAGTAGCTGGGACTACAGCCGCTTGCCATGTGCCTGGCTGACCTTTTTTAAGGAGGAAGACGCAACAGCAGTTTCAACGTGTCTGGATATCCCACCTAGTGGCCTCGCTTTATTGGTTCTTTTTGTGTTTATGGTCAAGCCAGTTCACCCGTCCCCCATCTTTCTAAATTGGAGAGTAACCTGTGAAATTTCCTTTTGTTAAAAAATAAAAACAGTCTGTAATCTCAGCATTTTGAGAGGACGAGGCAGGTAGATTGCTTGAGTCCAGGAGCTGGAGACAAGGCTGGGCAATATAGTGAAACCCCATTCCTACAAAAAGCAAAAAAAAAAAAAAAAAAAAAAATTTAGCTGGGCAAGGTGCTTGCGCTTGTCATCTCAGCTACTCAGGAGGCTTGAGGTGGGTGGATCATTTGGACCTAGCAGGCAGAGGCTGCAGTGAGCTGTGATTGTGCCATTGAACTCCAGCCTGGGTGACAGAGCGAGACCTTGTCTCAAACAAAACAAAACAAAATTAAAAACCAAAAAGAATATAAAATACAAAGGCTATCAAGATGGATTTCTGAGTGATAAGATCGGGAAATCTCTGTCTGTCTTCACATCAGCCATTCATGTAAGGGAGCCTGTTCTATGTTACAGGCTGGCTGTATCCTAGGGCTGGCTGCATCCTAGGGCTGGCTGCATCCTAGGGCTGGCTGGGACTTCAAAGGCTTTTTGTGGGGACAGGACAGCACAGTCATTCAGAACATGACTCTACAGCAGCACTGTCTTGGCTGGACTATGGGCGCTGCCGCTATGTGGCACGAGAGCTGTGTGGCCACTCTGTGCCTCAGTTTTCTCTGTTACAAAATGGGGATAACACCAGGGCCTGCCCGATGGGGCCCTTATGAGACTGAAGGAGCAGACAGGGCCTGGCACACAGGATCGCTCTCTTGCTTTCAGGAAGCTGTCTGTTTAAGTCATGCCGTGTAGGTGGGCAGCCCTCCTGCTGTGGGCAGATCTTGAGGGGACCCCCTGGCTACCTGCCCCTGTGTTTTACAACCACTGCAGCTAGAACTACTCTCTTCATTCCAAGCCCAGATCTCTCACTGGGCAGCTTGAGCCCATTTCTTCTTGTTATGTGTGACCTCAGGAGACAGCTGGTCACAAACTTTTGGAAGAGAGCCCTTACAAGATTCTTCTCCTTCCCTTGCAAATACCTCACACTTGTCCTCATGACCTCCTCATCATTCTGGGCATGAGGCTCTGGCGTCCAGCTGGGGCCAGCAGGGAGACGTTTCCCATGTTTGGGCAGGCCTCGTGGTCCTCCCTTTGATCTGCCCATCCTGTCTCCCTTCCTCCCCAGGGCTTCCGGAGCCAGGCACGGACCTGTCTGGTGAGCAGGATGGCCGTGTCGTAGTGCTCTGGGTGGCGGTCGCTGGGCTGGTTGAAACGCCGCTGCCAGTTGCAGAAGTTACGCAGTGTAAGCCCCCCATTGTCGGACACCTCTGGGCCCCATTTTTCATCTTCTACGATCAGCACTTTTACCACCATCAGGTTGATGGAATTCTTGATGCTGGGGTGCTTGTAGATTCGGGCTGCCACAGACATTAACGTCAGGATGTGGTTCTGTCAGGAAGGAGGAGACAAGAGGCGGAGTGAAGGGTTAAGTCTCAGGGCCCTTGGCCTGGCCTGTCCGCTGCCATCACCTCTTGTTATGGGGCTGAGCATCAGATTCCTACCAAAGCCTCACAATACCCCCGAGGTCTCCGTGTTACTCCCTTCATTTTGCATGTGAGAAAACAGGCTCAAGAACCTGCACGAGGTCACAAAGCTGATGCATGAACAGTGGTCTTTGAACCCAGACCTGCCTTGCTCCGAACTTGTGTGTCTAACATCCAGGACAGCTTCAGGGGACGACCTAAATCCAAATTCATTAAAATCCAAAACCTTAAACTTATAGCGTGGCACAGGCCACATTTCTAGTGCTTCAATAGTCATATATGGCTCGTGGCTACTGCACTGGAATGTGCAGATACAAAGTTCTACTGGACGGCATGGCTTATTCTGCCTTAATCCTGACACCGTCTCCTTGCCAACCACCCCCACCCGTCCCCGGCCTCAGCCCAGAAGCAAAGTTCTGAGCGCTCAAGGTTAGTAGAATTCCCTCTTAGAATCCAGCTGAACATTTTCCTGTTGTCTATTGGGGTAACTCTACTCTTTGGGGGGGGATTTGTTAACACTGAAAACTTTGCTGTGATAATCACTCCTAACAACAGCTACTCTGCCACAGTACCTCATTCAATTCTCACAATAACTCTGTGAAGAAGGTGCTGTAATTCCATTTCACGAATGAGGAAGGTCATGCAAATTAACCTGTTGAAGGTCACGCAGCTATTGAAACCAGGAGGCCAGCCCAGGTGTGCCTGTCTCTGAGGTCCACCGTGCTCTCATTAGGTTTCCCCGGGCGTGGCTTCCTGGTGTCTGCCTGGACAGCCCCGAAGGGTTCGTTCCCTCCTGACTGGGGCTTGAGAGGATCCCGTGGGCCTAAGAGGACCCATGTGCTTGGGATCTCACCTGCTCTCCCTTCCACCCAGGCTGGCCAACAGAGCATACATCACTGCTTGGCCTCTGTCTTGTCCCTGGGCTGCCAACTGCTCCCCTGCTGGATTCCAAGGCTTGGAGAGAAGGCCAGATGGGAACTCGCTCTCCTGCCTCAGCGACCCCTTGAAGTGGCCCTCTTTGAGCATTTTGTGGAAGAGGAGACACAGAGGCAGAGGTGGGTGTTCCTTGAGCCTGGAGTGTGGTCAGTTGGGCAGCACCTGCTTGCCCTGCCTCTCCGATCCCTAGATCACCACCTCTTGGGATCCCCTCTTCCTCTCCTCCTGTGGTCTGGAAGGTGGGAGTGGAAGGAGGAGAAAGGAAAGGGTAGAGAGGGACATTCCATCGGGTGAGGCCATGTGTGGGCGTTCCAGATGAATCCCATTATTTGTGAATGGGATCTGTCTGTTCACCTCACAGGCAATGAGCCAGGTATTTTGTTAGCCCTACAAGCAGGGGTTGGCAGGTTACTTGGCGTGTCAAGCACTCCAGCAATGTTTAGGCTGATGTAAACATCTTATCAACAAGGCTGAAACTTGGCACTTGCTCCTGGAGTTGGATTCTGGAGGGACAAAAAGCAATCACATCATTATGCAACCGGGGGTGAGCGCTGAGGAATGGTGGCTTGCCGAGATGAACTCCTGGCCGGGTCTTTGCTGCTTCCAGGAGGCCAACAGTATCCTGATCTCTCTAAGAAGGACCAGGGTCTGATGGGCCAGGGACCAACCCCTGGAATTTCTTCTGAGGCAAACTGCAACCGTCATCACAAGATTTCTTCCCGCTGAGTCCCAGTTTCACAATCTCAAAATGGGGAAGATGAGGTCGCACAAGGAAGGTGTAAAGCTAAGGAACACCAGCTGCTAAGCTTCGGGGCCGAGACAGCTCAGCACAAGGAGCTAAAGACAGGAGGTTGGGGCAAGTCTGTGTGCCCACGTTGAGCAGATCGGAGGGAGGCTGAGTGAGAGATGAGGCAGTGCTCACATCCTCAGTGAAGACCGGAGGAAGGTGAGGGTTAACCCCTGATTTTCATGCAGAATAAACTGCTGCTTGAAGATCAGGGCAAGACAGCACAAGGAGCTTCCCGGCCCTAAGGTTCCCAGGGAGCCTCCTTCTCTACAGCTCATATCATTGTCTTCTCCAGACAGTGCATAGCTGTCAGGCAGGGCCGGCTTCAGAGCCATTTAGCTTCGAGGGGTGGGCTGGACTTGAGGACATCTGAAGGTCCTTCTGGCCGCTGTCTCAGAAGATACTTTTCATTTTCAAGAAGGCTAGGAGGATTCTGTGGTCCAGTGTTCCCTTCAAAATCCCAGATCCCGATCCCACTGATCTCTCCTTATCTCTTGTTCTACTGAGTTTTTGGTTTTCCCCTCCCAGTCCGCTCTTCTGAGAAATGACCAGAGGAATGCCTTATATATGCGGTGCGTCTCACAGTTCCCTACGGAGAAGGACCACTGAGCCTGGGTGAGGTGGGGGACCTCAGGGCTGTGAGCCTTTGATTCTCCCCCAATATCCTGGGTTCAAAGGACAGGCCTGACTGAGAGTCCTGTGGGGATCAGGCCTGCGGCTGGTCAAGGAGGAAGTCAGATGGCTTGCTCCACCACCTGGTGCCGATTTACACCTCCCTGCTCCCCACACCAATGCAAGCTGCATGTGAAGAATGTGAACGGGGTCCTGGCCCCCCTGAGGAGCAGAGGCATCAGCAGAGCAGCCGCCCCCCAAACCACGGCAGGTAGGTGGGAGCCCACGGTCAGCCCAGCCAGGGTGGTCAAACAACCTGCTCTTGAATGACTTGGGGATCCCATACTCTTCACTTTTGTTAGGGAGAGGCGGCACTTTTTAGGGAGTCTGCTCGTGCATGAGTGACCCCAGGACCTGGAGTAGAGATGAACATCAGGCCAGTCAGGGTGGCTCATGTCTGTAACCCCAGCACTTTGGAAGGCCAAGGTGGGAGAATCACTTGAGACCAGCCTGGGAAACATAGTGAGATCCTGTCTCTATTAAAAAAAAATGAATTAAAAAAAAATAACAACACCCTGGCCAGTTGGGTGGGCCAGAGCCCCTTTTGGTTCTTTGAGATACGAACAAGGAGATTCCTTCCTCAGAGCTTCTGTGGTAGCCGAAGCCAGCTGCGGTGGGTGATGGGGACGGGCCGGCCTCCTCCCGCCCCGATGTCATCATTACATCCAGCCGGTTTGCGCTTCACCGGTGGCTCCACAGCTTTCCCTTGCGGCGCGCCTGGGGGGAGGTCAGGTGAGGAAAAGTGGCCCCGGGAAGCTCTTGCATTCCCTCTTCCTATCTGACGTCTCTAGGGCCTGAGACTGAGCTGGGGGTGTGGAGATGGAGAAGCAAAGCGAGAGGAAAGAAGTGAGAGGAGAAAAGAGCAACCTGCATCATATGCTTCATCTCCTCTTGTTCTGCAAGCAGCAAAGAGCAATGTTGTCCCTTGAAAGCATACGCTGACGCTGAACTACAAGTCAGCCTTCACCACTGAGCATGGGCAACTGAAAGAGAAGGTTCCTCTGCCATGTGGAACAGCAAAGCTGAAACAGCGGTGGCCGGCACTCTGATGGCATGGCCCAGCCCATCCTCCCCACTCTAACAAATGGTTTCCATCACCGAAGGCAACTCTAGTAATAGCCATGCCTTGCTGAGTATGTCGTCTGGACCAGGCACCAGGTCAGGTGCATTCCATATTTTCTTACATCCTCAAGACAAGGCTAGGACATTGGTATAACTGCTCCTACCTGAAATAATCGAGGTACACAGAAATAGGTGACTTGCTCAAGGACACTACATTATTTCGATTTCATTCCAAAGTTTGTGTTCTTAGTCTCTGTACTAACTGCCACCCATCTTTGCTGCTGTAAGGAAAACTGCAGCCTAGCCAAAGTGAACCCAAGGCTTGCAAGCAGCAAGTCCGCCTGTCATTGCCTATGCACACCCCACCTCCTGGGAGATGGGGAAGGGGCGATCTTTGGACACTGAGACATTTTCTTTGGGAAATACTCCATATCTTTGATCATTCTGACTGCAGCAGACATAAGGGATGGAAAAGATGCATTCTTTTGCCAATGGGAAGGACATCACGCACATATAACACTTGTCTTTCTCCCTGGTAGCCACAGAGCAGGGGGGGGCATGAATCTGTTTCTGTTGTCATCCAAACCAGGACACCCTTGAGAGGGAAAGACGGTAGTATTAATAATTATGCCAGAACAGGCAGAAACTGGGATGCTGCTGGACAACCTAGGCTGCATGCCCACTTTAGTGTCTTGTGGAAGACATTTTCCCCACAGCATGCAGGTAAGGGGGCATGGAGATGGCTGTGACAGCCGTCCCTGAAGTCAGTCCCCAGAATCTGACCTCCTGCGAGTGTTCTGCTGGACTTTGGGAAGATGAGCGCCACTTTTCGGACCCTCTCTGCTAAGAAGAGGACTCGAAAACTCTGCTCACTGCAGAAGCACTGGCGGGACAGGCGTCCCAGGCTGGCGAGAGTGGGCACTGCCATGCTGCCCCTCACTCCATCTCGCCCCGGGTTCACACAGGGGACACTGAGCAGCAGCTGGACGTAGACAGAGCTAATGGAGTCTTCCCAGGTGGTCCCTCCTTTCAGAAAGGCCCCTCTGTCTGAGCTCCTTAACTCTGAAACCAGATAAGAAGGTGGGAGACAGGGGCCCCTTTTCTCATGGGATTAAATGAACTCAATTGACAGAGCTCTGGAAAACTTCATTGTCGCGTAACATAGTGAGACCAGCTTTGGCAGTGGTGCGTTCTTTCTCTCAGCCTCCACGGCGGTTTCTTTGCAGGATAGGGCCTCACAGTGGGCCTGGATGGCTTTGAACTGCTGGATTTAAAGACCCACTCCCACAACATAAGCAAGTATCAGAGGGTCGACAGAGCCACAGACCCTAGTCCTGAGAAAGAGGCCGCCTGGTGGGATAACAGTGCACAGGATTCAGCTTTGGGAGACTTGGTCTGCAGGCCCAGCCCTGCCACTTACTGATCCTGATCGGTGCTGTCTGATCCTGAGGAAGCCACATGTCCTCTGTGAGCTGTGCAGTCTCCCTCTGCCCCCCTCACTGGTATTTTCATGGAGGTGATGTGTGTAAAACCACGCTGTGAATTGAACACGCTCAGAGAGTGGCTAAACCTTCCAGAAGACTGGCTCATCATGAAGCAGCCACACAGGTGCTCAGACCGGGATTGATCACCTAGTCCAGGTGTCCTGCTTCACAGATGAGGAACTCTAAGCCCTAGAGAGGTAAAGGCTCTTCTCATCCTCCACACCCCTGATTACCAAGAGTAATCACCCCAGAGTGCCTTCCCTCTGTGTGAATGAGGTCTCCACATAAAGGACTGGCTTCCATTTGCAGGAGGTGGGTGTGGGCAGCCAAGGTCTTGAGGCACGGGAACTTGATTTTCATTCTTCTCTCAGCTGGGCTCATGGATCTGTTTTCGGAAGCGCAGGGGACTGAGCTGAGACAGTCACGCCTGTCCTGCAGCATCTCCAAGGCTGGTCAGCTCATCATAGCACAGGGGCCCGAGGGTGGTCCTGGACACAGCTGTACCTCAGTCCCTCCCCCACCCGCCACGGTGGCAGCAGGAGCACAGGTGGGATGGGACATGAGACCCAGGGTGGAGGTGGCGGGGCTAGTCTCCCTGAGGGAAGACTTTTCTTCCAGGTGAGACTCAGAAGTCAACCCCCTAGGGAGAGGAACTCAGCCTTCAGAGGTGCCCGATGCCTGTTTTGCTGCGCTCTCCTGGTCCAGGTGGGCTGGCTGGGTGTGCAGGTGCCAATGTGCAGCTGGGAAAGGTCCAGAAATGCGTGTTTGTGGGGGATGGGGAGCGGGGCAAGCAGGAGCCACATCGCCCGGTCAGGAGTCTCATGAGGATGGCAATGCCTGGGTGTCTCTGACACAGAGAAAGCCGAATTGTCTGGGGCAGCAGACCTGAACTTTAAGCTGAAGGGAACAAAATCGGGTGCAAACCCAAGCAGAGTCTCCTGCTTCAGCAGCCCGGGCATCCTGGGGTCGGGCCTCAGAGCATGTCTGCCTCTAGATAGCTAGGATGTCTGGAGATGCGAGTATGTCCCTGAGGCAAATACTCAGTTATCTCCAGCGTCCAGGTGATCAGCTGAGAGAGTGAGACAGTCTGGCCCTGAAGGCTGAAAAATGGACTTTCTCTGCTGGCACGGAGTTCTCTTGGCTTTCCTATGTTTTGGTTCTTAGGTAGATGTCAGAATCTGTTCCATGTGTGGGGGTAGAGGGGTGTAGCACCCCGCTCTGGGTTTGCAATGGGTGCATCTTAGCTTCTTACTTTTTTTGTGTTTTTCTTTTTTCTTTTTTTTTTTTTTTAAGATGGAGTCTTGCTCTGTCACCCAGGCTGGAGTGCAGTGGCGCGGTCTCCGCTCACTGCAAGCTCTGCCTCCTGAGTTGACACCATTCTCCTGCCTCAGCCTCCCGAGTAGCTGGGACTACAGGCGCCCACCACCACGCCTGGCTATTTTTTTTGTATTTTTAGTAGAGACGGGGTTTCACCGTGTTAGCCAGGATGGTCTTGATCTCCTGAGCTTGCGATCTGCCCACCTCGGCCTCCTAAAGTGCTGGGATTACAGGCTTGAGCCACCGTGCCCGGCCATCTTAGCTTCTTTCTGGTGGAGCCCCCTAGGAGCCAGGTGTGGGGGTCCTAAAGAGATGGGAGAAGCCCTCTTCTCACCCCTCTCCTGCCACACTCTCTAGTACTTGCTTAAAGAAAGGAGTCAGAGGAGAGGGCTGGTGCTCCCACCGCTCCGTGCTCTCAGGACAGGCAGGGAAACAGGTGTTAAATCAGCGTGACCCAAAGCTGCTCTGCCCTGCTTTTGGGGAAGCAAATACCACAAGGGCTTGCAGGGGTGCGTCCCTGGGGTGTAGTCAGCACCTGCAGTAGCCAGAGGGGCAGCCACGTGGACTCTCACCCACAGCAGTTCCCATCCTAATCATCTGTTTCTCCCTGGGTCTTTCCTACCCTGCCTTTCCCAGTGATAGAGGGTGGGAAAGATGGGGTGAGAAACAGAAGGCTGATCGCCTCCTTGTCTGGACTATTCTGCACAGGCAATGCCTATGCCCTTGGGGCCCCCAGCAGTCGGGCACAGACTGAGCCTAGTATTGGGTCCCGGCCAAGGATGCCATCACCACAAAGTGTCAGCTTAGCTGCTGCATTGCCAGGATCCCTGTTTCAGGGAACTATGACGTCTGGGCAGGTCAGTTCTTCCTTCCCTGGCACATCTCTGGTTCTGTGCTCCCTAGGGGCAAAGAGCACCCCTCTTCTGGAAGCCTTACCCTCTTTTCCTCCTGGAAAAGCCTTCACCTGGTCTTTAGGGGAGAAATTGGGGTTTAGGGCAACACAGACACCTCCTGCTGAGTCAGCACCATCTTTGCATCTAGTTAGAAATGGTCTGGTTAGGTAGCCATCCCCTGGACTCTGTTTTTCTCCCCTGTTTAGGTAAGAGCTGTGTCTGGGCTAAGGGCAGCTGGGTGGACCAAGTGTGGGTCTGGCTTTACTAGAGACATTCACCCAAAGAGCTCGTTCCAGCCCCTGCGCCCCTCGCGTTTCCACCAAAGCTTCAGCTCCTGGGCTGAGCCCCCAGGCAGAAGTTCTCTGCCCCTCCCTCTTGTGCTGGCTGCTGGCATTGCCAAGTTCTGCCGGGGCTGAGCGCCAGGTTGGCAAGGTAGTCCATGCCCCATTGATCACAACCAGCTGGCTGCACAGAAGTTGGGCAGCCCCTCTCCAGGTTCAGCTCCTTTCAAACAATGTCTTTTGCTTATGGCGACCTCCATACCCAAGGGAATCAGACAGCCATCTCTCTCCATCCCATCTGCCTTTCCCTGGGAGCCTCTCAGATCTGGAGGCAGTAGAGGGCTGAGGGGTGGGAGTGGGAGCTATTCGTAAACGCTCAATTTTCATCTCTGCTGGGAGAGGCAGGTGCCGGGGAATGCGTTGATACCCACTTTCGGGTCAGTGCGCCACGTGCCGCGGGAGATTCGGATGAGAGGGATGGGCGTCGGCAGCCCCACTCTAAACTGGAAGGGACCTGGGGGTGGGGGCGCAGGGATCCAGGGTGGCAGAAGTTCAGAAAAGAGTTACTGCTCTTTCTCAGACAGGAGAGAATCTCGTTTGGGGTAAGGCTGGAGAAGATGAGTGGGGAGGGCTTTTTTTTTTTTTTTTTTTTTTTCTCAGAGGGATTGGAAGGGGAGATTTTAGAGACGCTGGGAGGCGTCTGGGGGGCCTCCGGGCACGGCGGCTGGAGGAGGCTCTCAGTCCTACCTGCAGGTCGGCCCCGTAGAAGGCAGCCATGGACGCATCGGCCACCAGCAGCGTCTCCACGAAGCGCGCCTCAGACACAAACCGCTTGGTCCTACTCGTGGCCCCCAGGGGCGGTGGCGGCTCGCTAGCGCCTTCTGCCTCCTCTTCTTGGCTCTCCTCCTCGCTGTCCTCCTGGTGGTCTCCTCTCTCCTGCCTCTGACCCTCTCCCGTCTCCACCTCCCACTCGGGTCCTCGCGGGAGGGGGCGGGCTCCGGCGGGACCCCAGCGCTGCAGGCGGTGCGGCTGAGCCAGGGAGCCCCCCGCGCCCTGCGGCTGGATGGTGAACTCCTCGCCGTCCAGCAGGAAGGAGCCGCTCAGCCCGCGGCACAGGCTGACCGCCGCCAGCGACTCGGGCTCCCCATTCACGGTGCCGGAGAAGAAGCAGCCGCGCAGCCCCCGCTCGCCCCCGGTCGCCCGGCCGGAGCCCCCGAGGCGCTCGATCTTGAACTCGGGCGCTAGGAAGCTGTCGTCGGGCGCCAGGCGCAGCACGAAGCCCTTGCCGAAGGCGGACAGGTGGAGCGCGAGCTCGCCCGCGCTGCCGGGCAACCGCGTGGGCACCACCAGCTCCGAGGCCTGCCCCCCGGCTGCGGGCCGGGCCGGGGCGCCGCGGGCCAGCGGCAGCAGCAGCAGCAGCAGCAGCAGGAGCGGAGGCCACCGGGGGGCGGCGGGGGCGGGGAGCATGGGGGCTGCGGCGGTGGCTGCGCGCAGGAGAGGGAAGAAGCCCGCCAGGCGCGGGCAGGTGCTGGCGGCCCGAGCGCGGCCCGGCCGCTCTCTCCAGGAAAAGCGGAATCAATCGGGTGCAAGGCCGACTCGGCCCGCGGGGCCCGGCGGCGGGAGCGCTCCCCCGGCGGCCCCTCTGGCTGGCGCAGCCCGCTCCTCCCGCGCCGCCGCCCCCGAGCCGAGCGCGAGCAGCTGGCCCCGGCCCGCGTGCGCCCGTCCTCCGCCCCTGCCCGCGCCAGCCCCGCGCAGCCGCCTCCTGCCTCCTCCCCACCCCGGGAAGCACCGAGTGGGCTGCCGAGCCCTTCTTATTTATACTTCCTTCCCGGCTTGACATAAGAGGTTTATTTTTGATCTCTCACTATTCCCGTTTCCCCTCCCCTGGGATCAGAGAGAGAAACTGAAAAGAGGGAGAGAGAGTGGAGAAAAAAAAATTGGGATGAAATGCAAAACCAATCAGGCAGCGAGACCCGTCCGCCACCCGCCCCCCTGAAGTGTCAACTACAACTTCTTTCCTTTCCCTCTACGCGTGGACCCACGTTAACCCCTACCATGCTGGACTGACCCTTTAGAAAGAGTCCCTGGGAGACCCCAACCGCTTTCTCCTCTGCGGCCAAGAGTCCAGGATGCATCTTCCGAAGAGGCTCGTGCACTGGTCTCAGCGACCCTGTTCGGATCCCTGCAGAGTCCGACTGCAGAGCCCGACACTGTTGGGATCCCTGCAGATGCCTCCGGAGATCCGACTGTGTGGGGAGAAGGTTCCTGAGCTTTTCATTGTAAAGCATAAAGGGAGAGGAGGAAAAGGTCATGCTAAAATCATGCCCTCCTCTCATCACTACTGCACAGCCTTCCTAACTTTCACTCCAAACTGAAGATGGGGAAAACAAAAACAAAACAAAAAACAACCCACCTGGTTAACCCTAAGAGGGACTCTCACTGTCCTGTTAGAGGGCAGGTGGGGCAGAGGCCAGCACAGTGGTAAGTTACCAGCACTGAGGTTGGAAGTTAGCATTTCCCCAAGAGGGAAACAGACCTCCAGTCCCTGAAAAAGGTCTTCTCTTCTGGATACTGCTAGTTGCCCGGGACTTCAAGTAAGGTGGCAGGCCCTTTCACTGCGTTGCCACAGCCCCAGGAACAAATGTGTATGAGGTGAATTTATTCTGTCCCATGTCACCACTGCCCCCTAGGGAAGGGGGTAGTATTCAGGAAGAGAGGGATGACATGGTCTCAAGACCACAAAACTGCATCCCATCCCAGTCTCAATGACACAGGTCTGGATTGGGTGGAGGGCCCTGTTCTCTACCTACAAACTCTAGACTCATCCACCAACTGTGCCTTTCTCTGAGTTGTCAATGTGGGTGATGCATTAGGAACCGCTGGGATCAGGGCCTTTAAATCCTTTGCCAATTCACCTGCCCCCAGGTACCCAGCTCTGTGCTTATGCTGGGGATGTTGACAGTCGAGGTCATCGCTGATTCTTTTCAGCCCATCTGACCCCTTCCTGCAGTGTGGTGGTTCAGCATGCATCTGAGACTCTCAGGGCTTGTTACCTCCAAAGAGGAGGCTCTTGCCCAGGGGAAAGTGCTGCCAAATTCCCTCTAAGTATCCCCCCTCTCTTTGCTTTCTCAGAAACACAGAGGGACAGCTGTGAATTAGATGAAAGGATGAACTTCCCAACCTAGCATGGTGCAGAACCTCCTTTCCTGCATAATTTATAGGATAGGAATAACGAGTCTAGAATGTTTTGGGGAAACACTTCTAGAGGAAGGACAATGGAAAGAATGGTCTCTTCAACCCTTTTCTCAAAACAAGCAAAACACTTCGTCCTAGCACAGTGTACAGTGCTTGGGACATCCTGTACAGTGCTTGGGACAGTCTGACCTGGGCAAGCAATGAATACAACTCTGTGTTGCCTCAGGGCTATTGTAACAGTTCAATGACTGGTTTTTACCTCCTTGAAGCCCCTTATTTGCTGTTTCCCAGAGTACAACTCCTGATTTTCTCTTTTTGAGACACAGTCTCACTTTGTCACCCAGGCTGGAGTGCAATGGTGCGATCTTGGCTTACAGCAACTTCTCCCTCTCAGGTTCAAGAGATTCTCCTGCCTCAGCCTCCCAAGTAGCTGAGACTGCAGGCAGGCACCACCACACCTGGCTAACTTTTGTACTTTCAGTAGAGATGGGGTTTCACCATTTTGGCCAGGCTGGTCTCCAACTCCTGACCTCAGGTGATCCGCCTGCCTCAACCTCCCAAAGTGCTGGGATTATAGGTGTGAGCTACTGTGCCAGCTAACTCCTGATTTTCAGTAGCAGTTAGGTCCTGTGGGTTTTCCTTCTTTCTCGAGTGTAAGCATCTGGGAGGAGTGGGAGTGAGGAGCGTGCCCAGTTTCCCTTTCTCCCGCCCGAATGCTAAGGGCTAGAAGTGGGAGATTTAACTGAACCAAGGAAAGTCTTGAGTGTCCATGGAGCCTTTGGTTGTGAAGGCTCTGGAAGTTGCTGCTTCATTTTTATTTTAGTTTTTAATTTTTTGAGATGGCGTTTCGCTCTTGTTACCCAGGCTGGAGTGCAATGGCGAGATCTCAGCTCACTGAAACCGCCTCCAGGGTTCAAGTGATTCTCTTGCCTCAGCCTCCCAAGCAGCTGGGATTACAGGCTCCTGCCACCATGCCCGGCTGATGTTTTTTTTTTTTTTTAGTAGAGACAGGGTTTCACCATGTTGGTCAGGCTGGTCTTGAACTCCTGACGTCAGGTGATTCTCCCACCTTGGCCTCCCAAAGTACTGGGATTACAGGCGTGAGCCACCGAGCCTGGCCACTGCTGCTTCATTTTTTTAATAGGATGAAGTGCCCCCATAGGTAGCATTTTGGAAGTTCTCTTTGGAGAGAGAAGTCAGATAGTGAGTTCTGGACTTTATCCTTCCTCATTTCAACAACAACATCACCACCACCCCCACCACCCCCACCACCCACCACCGCCGCCGCCGCCACCACCACCACCACCACCTGCTGACTGGTTCATTGACTGGCCCCGCAGTCCCCGCTCCCTCCTGGATTTCCCCTTCCCCAGATGTGCAGTGCTGCTAACTTCCAAGGTAGCTCCTGCCGTTCGCAATGCAACCACAAGGTGTCAGGCTTACCTTGGCTATGTTAAACCCAGGACCTGGCTATGTTAAACCCAGGACCTGGCTATGTTAAACCCAGGACCTGGCTATGTTAAACCCAGGACCTGGCTATGTTAAACCCAGGACCTGGCTATGTTAAACCCAGGACCCTTGCCACAGGGAGCGAGAAAGGGTGGGTGGTTTGTAGTGGCCGCTCTTAGAGGAGTGGCAGGTGAAAACAGTGCAGCAAAACAAACATCAACAAACCAACCCGTGAAAATCCCATAACGGCATTCTGCCAATTCCGGATTTCTTACATTACTACTTTATTTCCCAAAATATGTAATTACGGCAGGGTTGCCAAACTACGGCCCTTGGGCTAATTGCTGCACACTGCTTGTTTTTTTGCACTCTACAAGCTAAGAATAGTTTTTATATTTTTAAGTGGTAAATTAAAAAAATTAGAAAGAATATTAAAATTTCTTGACACTTGAAAATGGTATGAAATTCAAATTTGTGTCCATAAATAAAGTTTATTGGAATGCAGCCACAGCCATTCATGTACGCATTCTTTGCTCTTGAGCTGCGAGGGAAGGGTTGAGTAAGCCTAAAATATTTACTATCTGGCTCTTTGCAGAAAAGTTTGCTGACTCCTGAATGTAAAAGAGCATCAATTTGGATTCCTCAAATTTGGAATCTGGGATTACTTAAGCTCGCTATATGCCATTCTTATGGAATAAGAAGCTCAAAATAATTGCTTGCTCTGAATGTGAAAAGGAAATTATATAAAAAATGAAAATATCTTTGTTTTGTCTTTAATTCTGTATCTAATAGTTGCTTATTATTTAATCCATCCTTAATAATTAAAAGATTTTTATGTTTATGGTGTCTTATACTGTAGGCCTATAGTGATTTTTAAGTTTTTGATCAACTTACATTATTAGTGACTGCTTATTTCTTAGTTTATAACTAGAGTTTTATATGGTATATATGATACATTTTTAGTGTATATAAGTTCTGGTATTCTTTAGAATTCCAGACTCCTTAAAACGGGAAGAAACAATGGTGATCATCTAATCCACTGCCACTCACATTTTGCAGAGAAGAAACAGAAATTCAGAGGTTTCAGTGACTTACCCAAAATGACATAACTAGTGATGAATTTTTTTCCCCAAAATACTATCGTATCCTCTACATGAAGATAAAAAAATTGTTTTGCTTTAGAACTTCATTTACAATTCGTACATTTTCAGTAAAGTTTAGTGTTTACTATGGGCCTGGGCATTGTTCTGAGCACTTTTTTTTTTTTTTGAGACAGAGTCTTGCTCTGTCGCCAGGCTGGAGTGCAATGGAGCCATCTCGGTTCACTGCAACCTCTGCCTCCTGGGTTCAAGTGATTCCCCTGCCTCAGCCTCCCGAGTAGCTGGGACTATAGGCGCATGCCACCATGCCCAGCTAATTTTTAGTAGAGACAGGGTTTTACCATGTTAGCCAGGATGGTCTCGATCTCTTGACTTCGTGATCTGCCCACCTCAGTCTCCCAAAGTGCTGGGGTTACAGGCGTGAGCCACCGTGCCTGGCCGCACTTATTTTAATTTAATTTCCATTCAATCCTCAGTAATAATAGCTTCCATCTTTTGAGTGCTTGCTGTGCACTAGGCACTGTGCTGAGCAGCTCACAACTCTTATCTCATTTAATCATCATGACAGTCCTCTGAAAAAGACACCTTACAGACAGGTAAAGAAATAGGCTGGAGAGGTTAGAGAACTTGCTTATGGTCACCTAGCTAATAAGCAGCAGAGACAGAATTCTTAACCAAGGTGGAAATCATAAACTGGAAATTGAATACGACAGTTTTCTGGTGAGATTGTGGTACACTGAATTAGTGTTCCTTTGAGCAGAACCAAGGATTACATCATGGTATTACAGAGCTGGAAGAGACTCCAGGTGTTCATTGGGCCTGTCGTTGGAGATTTCTTGGGAGAATGGCCCTCCTTTAAAAATCTCAAAGAAGGGAATAAACAGCTTCTCTCAAAAGCCTGCGCTAGCACTTAAATATAAACAGAGTTCTTTCCTTCTAAACAAAGTAATACCATTTGTGCTACAATTCACGTCCATTTTCTGTAAGTTTGGCTATTGTGCAATGGCTGTGACTCCACATTGCCTGTAATAAAGGATTTCCTTGTCCTCCTCTATCATATCACTGAGCACACATCCCAGGCAGGCAATGTCTGATTTTTGGCATCACTTTTGTGCTGACAGTCGCCTTGTATTCCCTTTGGCCTGCAGGTTTCTGTGACTGCCACCTGCATGTGTGGAAGCATGTCTGTGCTGCTTAATTCTTCCTTAGTCCTAGATAGTCTCTCTTTTTGGAACCTTTAAAGGTTTTCAGTATTTAGAAAATCTTTTTTTTTTTTTTTTTTTTGAGACAGAGTCTTACTCTGTCACCCAGGCTGGAGTGCAGTGGCATGGTCTTGGCTCACTGCAATCTCCGCCTCCCAGGTTCAAGCAATTCTCCTGCCTCAGCCTCCTGAGTAGCTGGGATTATAGGCACCCACCACTATGCCTGGCTAATTTTTGTAATTTTAGTTGAGATGGGGTTTCACCCTGTTGGCCAGGCTGGTCTTGAACTCCTGCCCTCCGCCTCCCAAAGTGCTAGGATTACAGATGTGAGCCACCACGCCTGGCTGGAAATCATTAAATCATATCCCTGAGGCCACTTTAAGTTCAATTCCCTGTAAAGAGCTAGCTACTCTGATTATTTTTCCTGCCTTCATCTGGTGTTCACAGTCTCAACAGGCATGCTCCCAATTCTGTGATCTATATCAGGGAAAACCAGATTTAGCAGAAACTTTACTGCGATATTGACATTGTATTGCTTGCTAATGAGGTTTTAATTGATTTTAATACACTGAGAAACAAATTCACAAACAGCCCTTTCTGTTCCTGCCATTTGTATTCTTAGTGACTAACTGCCAAGTATTGGGTTCCCAAAGTTGCAGAAGAGATGGTTCCTGTTCTCCCAAGATACAGTCTTGTGGAGGAGTCTAGCAAGAAACTCGTAAAAGGTTGCCCAAGACTCCATGTGGAATGCATCCATGATTACAATCTGTGCTTACTACAGTACCTGGCCAGTAAGAGTTACTTGCACATTTTAGTATTATAAGCAGTAACAGTTGCCACCATGAGAACCGAGACATAGGTCATGCCTGTCTCACCACATTATGGCCAGGAGGTGGCACTGTTGGAACTTGCGCTCTCGCTCGCTCTCGGTCGCTCGCTCTCGGTCTCTCGCTCGCTCTCTGTCTCGCAACTTTCTAAAAAATTAGGCATCACTGCCGTGTCATGCCAGTCTAAGGAAACAGTCCTTCAACATTGTTCAAAAAATCTCAGCACACAGCAATTCCTCATAGCCAATCACCGGAGCCAGCTGAAGGAGGCTCTGTCCTGTTCCTTTGTTTAGCGTGAGTCGTGCGTCTCTCCTTCCTATTTATTCTTGTTTCTTCACTTTGATTTCTGCTCTTCATGACACCAGTGCCTCTCAACTCTAATGATCTCACAGGCTGGGAGAGCTTGCAAAGCTGAGATGTCTCCAGGGCCGGGGTCAACCTTAATCATGAGGACGGCTTGGTTTCTGTACACCCCAATTAATTAATGCAAACATGTATTTCTCCCAAATCTTCACTATTGATTGTAACCAGCAGGTGGGAGTGTTGGCATATTTACCTTTTATGGGTCCTGGAAGGAGAGGGTCTGAAAACGCCCTCAACAATGCATCTCACTAGCCACTAACCACTTCGGAGTTTATATATACATGTAATATGTGTAAATGTATTATACAAACTTGCAAAACTACACTTATTTATCTTTGTTTTAGAAGGAAAGAAAAGGGAAATGCAGGAAAGGAGCCAGGATCTTCAGGATCTGGGGTGATTTCTCCGAGCAGATAAGCTGCTTATTGAAAGTCACTGTAGCAAGTCCCAATGTAAGTCCCATTGTAACAAGTCCCTTTTACAAGGAACTTGGAAAAACTACCCAGTTCTTATAAATGTGCTTACAGTGAGTTAGAGTTGAAGTGCTAAGAAGCGTGCCTGGCACACAGTAGGCATGTTTATTGTTTTCTATCATCATCATCCTATCCTCATCATATATATTCCCATCTGGCCTGGTGCAAAGTATTTAAAATGTATCTTGTCACCTTTCCCCTCATCCTCAGGGTCTCTCTTCTTTTAGAATCACCTAGGGCTCTCCTCTGACCTTCTGTTCTCATGAACAGGAGGGAAGCCAATAAGTCATGAACGCTTTGTTTTGGTAGCAAGTACTACTAGAAATGTTTGAATTTTAAGAGATCCGAGGAAAGGGAAGCAAAAGAAATAAATGACTAATAGTAGAATTTCAGACACTGTGGCTCCAGCATGAGGGAGCAATCTGGCTGGGGTCCAGTGACACATGCCAGGGCCCCTAAGTAACTATGCTACCCGTCCCTGCTTGCATCTCTGCAGAACTTTGCACAGGGAGATATTTTTCATTCCTGGAAGTGTTTAAGCAATGACACGGGTACCTGCAGGGTGATAAAAGAGAATACCAGGACTGGGCAGGAGATTATAGGTCCTTGAAGGACCCATCCCTTCTAATTTTAAAATGTTCTTTAAAATTAAAAAAAATTAAAACTTATCCTTGATTTAAAGAAAGGGTCTTACTGTGTTGCCCTGACTTGTCTTGCCCTCCTGGGCTCAAGTGATCCTCCTGCCTCAGCCTACAGACACTGGGAGTAGCTGGGACTACAGGCACGTGCCACCTTGCTGGGCCTAATCTTCAAATAGTCTTGAGTAGTGGAGGATTATTTGGATTCTGGATAAGAAACACAGAGTTTTGTTTTTGTTTTGACTTTTAGATATCTACCCCCATTGCAAATTGTGCAGCTGTCTGTTGATCCCACTTCCTGAGGTTACAGGAGTTCTTTCTTTTTGTCAGAGCATTCTCTCTGGCAGGCGCTCTGTCTGGAGTCTCCTCATGCTCACTGGCATTAGAGAACTTTAAAGAGAGACGTAGACAGTAGAGGGGAATGGAACCTAGGAGATCCCTGTCTCTAACCTTTTACTTTTCTGATGGGGAAATTGAGACCTTGTTGGTCAAATGTCATTTGACCAAAGTCACACAACTGGTTGGCAGGAGATTCAGGGCCAGAATGTAGGTTCTCAGCCACTGTTCTCTTTATGTCACTTCGAATGCCACTGTCTCCTGAAGAGCAGGATCTGGGCATGACATGACCAAGTCCCGGGGCTGTCTGGAGGCAGGGCTGACAGTTCAATCTGGGTCCATGGAGTGGGGTGGGATGTGCTGATACAGTTCGGCATCTTCCCTAACCCAATGGACCATGTTATATTCATTCAGACTGCTCTCT
This sequence comes from Homo sapiens, assembly GCF_000001405.40. Lineage (NCBI taxonomy): Eukaryota > Metazoa > Chordata > Mammalia > Primates > Hominidae > Homo > Homo sapiens. Next base: position 130,436,827 of record NC_000011.10, read on the forward strand.
TTTAGGATGTTTGTTTTTTTCTTCACGAAAAGAGCCTTCTATTATGGAGGAATTCAAAATGTCTATAATTTGGCCATATTTAGTGACTTACAAAGGAGTGTTTTACCCTGTGTAAAACTATTTAAGAATGTGAAGGTATCCTCTGATTGCTTCAAAAGATGATGTTGAAAGTAAGAAGGGCTGAGGACTTAGGAAGAGAGTGAGGTTTAGAGCAGCCACATGGTGGGAGAGGAAGGGGGGAGGGGGATAGATGTAGCCTTGTGCACGTACATGGAAAAGCATTTTAATTAGCATTGAAGCTTCAAATGTTGAAAGCTTTTTTTCCACAGCTTGCCTTGTGTGTATGTATGGACACCAACTCACATCAAACCTGCCCACCCACCTACACACATGTGCACACACACGTATTTCGGTGGTGCTGGGAGAAGTGGTACACCTTTCTGTTTCTCCTCTTTCTCATTTTTCCGCTTTTGCTCCCATCTCTGGGCTCCCACCCTAGTCTTCTCTCTTCTCCTTGGACTTTACCAGATTTTCTTCTTTCCTCCTTTCCTTCCTCAGCTCCCCATTCTCTGTATCTTCACTTCCAGTAAGTAATTCCATTAACCTACTCTATGTCACAAATGGTGCTAGACACCAGAGGCAAAGAAATGCAAAAGATAGTTCCCGTGTTCTGATCACCTCTTTCATCATGACAGCTCTTTGTCTGGCAAAAGAGAAAGTTAAATAGCCAAATAAATATAATATAATGCTGCAAGTACAAGAATAAAGCTATAGCCACAAAACGTGGTATACGGAGTAGTAGTTCAGTAGACGTCTATTGTTGGAAGTAATACATTATGTTGGAAATAACACATTATGAGAACCCAGAAAAAGTAGTGATAGCTGTGTTTTGATGGGCAGGCAGCAGGTTGGGAAGGATTCCATTTGAGTGATATTTTTGTTGGACTTTAATGAATGAGTAGGAGTTCACCAGGCACTAGAGGGAGAAACCCGCCCCCCGCCAACACACACACGGACACACACACAGACACGCACACACACAGACACACAAACATGAAGACATTAAAGAGTCTGCCATGTTTGAGAAAGTGAGGAGTTCCCTGAGTCTGCGGTGTAAGGGGCTGCTGAGGCATGGCAGGACTTGCAGCTGGGACAGTCAGCAGGGCCGGTATGTGAAGGGGGGTATTCATCACCCTGGGGACTTTGGGCTTTCTCCCAGAGGGCAATGCAGGTTCATTGAAGCCTTGTACTCAGGGAAGTGACATGACCGTATTTGTCTTTGGAAAGACAGCTCTAGCAATTGTGTAGAATCAGGATTGCATTAGTGGAGAGATTGGATAATGGAGACCTGTCAGGACATGACTTCAGGAGATGGCAGTAGCCTCAGCTAAGAAGTGGCGGCAGGGAGGAACGCGGTGGTCACGGGGAGAGAGATGAGGCTGCCTAGCGGAGGCCTGAGGTGAAGAGATATGCCACTGGCCTAGCTGGGAAAACAGCAGGGAAGAGGTGTAGGTGGACATGCTCATTGCTTTGGGTGTGTGCATGGGGGAGGAAGAAGTCTGGTACAATTTTGAAAGGAAACAAAGACAACCCCAAATTTCACAAATATTCATAGAGCAATGTGCCTTCCTTCCTTCCTTCCTTCCTTCCTTCCTTCCTTCCTTCCTTCCTTCCTTCCTTTTCCTTCCTTCCTTGTCCCCTTCCCTTCCCTTCAATTCCCCTTCCCCTTCCCCTTTCTTTCTTTCTCTCCTTCTTTCTTTCTCTCTCTCTTTCTTTCTTTCTCCCTCTCTGTCTCCCTCTCTCCCTTTCTCCCTCTCTCTCTCTTTCTTTCTTTCTTCTTTATTTCTTTCATTTGCTTCCTTTCTTTTTTGACAGAGTCTTGCTCTGTCGCCAGGCTGGAGTGCAGTGACAAGATCTTGGCTCACTGCAACCGCTGCCTCCCGGGTTCAAGTGATTCTCCTGCCTCAGCTTCCGGAGGAACTGGGACTACAGGCCTGTGCCACCACGCCCAGCTAAATTTTGTATTTTTAGTAGATACAGGGTTTCACCATGTTGGCCAGGCTGATCTCGGACTCCTGACCTCAAGTGATCCACCCGCCTTGGCCTCCCGAAGTGCTGGGATTACAGGGGTGAGCCACTGCATCCGGCTGAGCAATACGCTTTCACTCCCACTTCAACTGCACATGTCTGCACTTGACTCCCAAATCTGCCTTTCTGGTCCCCATCACTGCCTGAGCTTCATCACACATATTCATTGCCACCTTGATATCCAGAGGGTCCTTACCTAGCCTGAAACAGACTTTTTTCCCCATTCCTCCATTTCTCTCCTTTTCCACATTTCCTAGAGCACAGGTGACATCTGCCTGTCAGTTACCCTCCTTGCTGTCTCCTCTCCCCCCACAACTGGGGCCTTTCCGGAAGCAGGAAGCACCCCTGGTTTTCCTTTGCTGATTGCAGTGACTTTTACTCAGTTGGGTTCTGTGGTCAAGTGTCTTCCGGTTGGCCTGTTGGCTGATTCAAAATGTCAAGGTGGGAGGTACCGACATGAAGGAGGAGGTTCCTGGCTAGTTGAGGGAGAAAAAGGAGAGGGAGGGTAGAATCTTCACTTGGAGTGACTTGGCTTTTGGAGTCTCACCAACCACAGCTTGAAAGCATTGGGCAAGTTGCTGGGCCGCTTTTGCCAGCTTGGCTAAGAAGTGACATTACTGGACCCTATCATCTCTTGGCTCTCAATGATGACGAGAGGCTGCACAAAGGTGCAGAGAGGAGAGAGTGAGGGGAAGCATGGCGTGGAAAGCCTTTATGGAGGAGACAACATCTGTTTCCTCAGTAGAGCACTGGGGAACCCATGGTGGGAGAACAGCAGGGTCTGCTGGGCACCTCAGGCTCTGCTCTGGGAACTGTGTACAGGTGGGAGGTGGGCCTGAGCCAGGGCAGCCGGAAGCAGATTTCTTCTGTGACTGGCCAGGCTCAAACACTAGTTTTATGTTCTTCTTTAGTTAAATACCAGAGTTGTCTGCCCTTTAATTTCCAATGTTCTTGAGGATCGGAGAAAACTCACATCTATAAGCCTCGTGCATATCAGGTTCCTGGAGGCTCAGTTGTAAAGTGCACCTGCCTCTTGGGCCCATGCTGCCTTGTTGACTGGCCGTGATGCTCATTCCCATTGCCTACTCACCTCCCACTGCTGGAGTGAAACACATTCCGTCTGAAGTGAGGCGATGTGCGTTGACCATTGGTAAAAGAGAGGGCCAGATGAGCTAAGCATTCCACACAACATTTCTAAATGAGATGCCAGATGAAAAATTTGAGGTTGAGAGCTTGCTGAATGGAAGTCCTCCCATCCTGGCTCTGTTGGGCTCAGAAAGAAGCCTGGTGGATGACAGCAGGGTGAGTACACGGAATCAGTTGATGTGCATGTGCTTTTTATCAGCTATTTTCACCTTAGGATAAATGAAGACGCTGGTAGCAAATTTTGAGAGATGGGAGTGAGGACGCATGAGAAGAATTAGAGAGAGCAGCAGAAAGCATGGCGTGGGGGAGGCCAGACAGGGACTGGAGAGGGTGCAGGGGAGACGGGCATGCTGGGGGAGAGAATTGACAGTAGGGTGTAAACCACAAGGGGCTGCTGCCTCTGGGTTTCCACAGGCTACTTGCCTACCCCCTAAATTCACCTAGATGAAGAAAGTAAGAGCCTGCAGCTCCCCTCAGTTTTTCTTGGCAGAACAAATCAAATAAATTGCAGGCTCCTGCAACGGGAACTGTATCATACTTTCTGATTACAAGAGTCCTAAATAATGTTATTCAGTCTGTGGGCTCAATGTGTCATTACTAATGATAATGAGACCGTTCTTACTCTTTCTGTAAGTAGGGGATTCAAAACTCCAGGAAGCATTTAACTAGCACCCCAAAATAAAGCAACCTCAAATAGGGCCGGGACTGGGCCCTGGCTTGCTGACCTGCAATTCTGGCAGTGAGTTAGACTGATCCTTGCTCTTGACCTCTCAGTCATACAAGGGCTGGTATGTTAGGCTCAGGTCCTGGCATGGTCTTTTTGATTTTCAAGTGTTTTCACAACTTACTCCCAGTGAGAGAAGAAACTTTTCCTCCTCTTTGGGCATGGGCAGGTCTTTCTAAGCCTCTGGGAGTTAAAGAATGAACTTCTGAGAGGCTGCAAATCTCCCAAAATTGTGGGCAGAATTTTGCGTGTGCATGTGCCTGGGTGTTTGTCAGGGAGGAGGTTTCACAGTGTTTGTGGCATTCTCCAAGGATCCGGATGGTTAAGGATTGCTGCATTAGAGCCCACGTGATCTATGTTAATATCCAGTGAGCTGAGTTCCTTTAGTGTCTGTATTAGTCTGTTCTCTCATTGCTGTAAAGAAATACCTGAGACTGGGTAATTTATAAAGAAAAAGAGGTTTAATTGGCTCACGGTCCCACAGAATATACAGGAAGTATGATGCTGGCATCTGCTCTGCTTCTGGGGAGGCCTCAGAAAACTTACACTCATGGTGGAATGTGAAAGGGAAGCACATACATCATGTGGCCAGAGCAGGAGCAAGGGACAGAGAAGCGGGAGGTGCCAGGCACTTTCAAACAGGCAGCTCTCACAGGAACTCACTCACTGTCACAAGATCAGCCCAAGTGGGAAACCCGCCCCCGTGATTCAATCACCTCCCACCAGGCCCCACCTGCAACACTGGGAATTACCATTTGACATGAGATTTGGGTGGGGACAGAGATCCAAACCCTATCCATGCCATAGTGCACAGGCAGCAAAGTAAAAATGAACGCAGTGGGAAAAATACTCCATGGGTGTTTTCCGTGGCTTCTTGTTGAAGCTCCAAAGACAGTGGGCCAAGTCACTTTAGGGCCATTAAGCTAATTGTTGACCCAGAGTAGGCTCAGCTTAAAGGCAACTCATTGGATTCTCATGAATTCTATTTCAACTAGCTTGTGAGCATGTGTTCAAGGAGTGTGAGAAGGAGTATGTGTAGGGGAGGAAGACGGGGGAGAGCTGAGTGTGGCTGGAAGTGTATGATACTGGGGTACACCCATGGTATGAGTCAGAATGGGAAAATGAAAAATGGAAATAGGATGGTCTTACCAGAAGAAAGGCAGCTGAGGTCAGAGGAGTCCCCAGGGCTGGAATTTAACAGGAGAGGAGTGTTTCAGTTATACATCTGCTGCTCAGGGATAAGGTGATCTTTGTTGAGTCACTTAAACTCTGAGTCTTAGTTCTTCTTACTCAAAAAGGAGATGTTAATAACTCCTGTCCCATCGCTCCCCTCCCTGAGTATTTTTGTAAGGATGGAATGATAATATATATCAACTTATTTACAAGTCATATGGTATTTTGTATATGTCAAGTATTTTTATTAGGAGGGAGGATGAGCTAATGGAAGAAACCATGCTACCTGGGAGAGCAATCAATTTTGTGTTGGGACCTCATCTGGGTTGCAGGAGCCCGGAGGTGGTCCTTTGCTAGAGATGGGGTGGAGGCCTGAGGCTCAAGGTCAAGCTCAATCTTGAAGCTACTCTTTGTTGACGGTGGGAAAAGGGGCATACTGGGAAGAGTAGAGGAGATAGAAGCTTTTTGGCAGGAAAAACTAATTGCTTTCTAAATCCCTAGATAGGAGTTGAGGATTTAGCATCCATCTCATCTCTATTTTAGGCATTCTCCTTCAACCAGCCTAAAAGCTAAAGGTGCAGCTATACGCAGAATAGCCAAGAGCTCCAAAGTAATTTGTCCTGGGGCGTGTGTGTAAATCTATAAAATAAATGATTGAATCAGGGAGCCCTAGATTTCAGGGGGGTAGCTGTTATTTAAGACTGTCTAAGGGGGATTCAGGGTGAAAGGAGGCAGCCTGGAACTATTGTTTGTTGAGTTTGTCCAAGCCACATCAAGACCCTTTGCTCTAATTTCCTAGCATCCAAGAGAACAAATACAGGAGTTAGCACCAGAGAGACTTCTACTTAAACGCTTAGCCCCAGAGTCAAAAACAGAGTGGGTGGCTGAGAGGGAAAAAACAGAGTTAAATATTTCCTCTGAGTAATGAAGAATGAACTCAGGCCAGGGCTGTAATTCATGGGGCCTTAGATGAATCTCCAGCTGCTTCAGCTGTCTCTGCATCTGGGAGAAGACCAGCCAAGAGCTCCAGCAGTTGTGGAAGCCAGTGGATGATGGCAGCTCAGTCATTTAACACTCGCTGGGCCTTCCCGGGGGCTTCCTGAAGCCTGTGCCTTTCTATACTTTGCCTGCTTTGCCCACCTCTGTGGCACAGATTCCAAGAGGAGCAGATTAAACGCATCTGGGATTTTTAGGGATCTTTGGTAAAGAATGATCAAGTCCTAAGCTCAAAACATGATAAATTTGTACATCTGTTTTCATGCTGCTGTGTAAAAACCGATTTAAGTCCTAACATGGTAGGCCAATGATTTAGAATAGCTAATCTGGGGAATTGGGAGACTTTCCTAAGTCATTTCCCTGCCCATTAAAATCTTGCCCAGATCATAGTGCTTGTCCCTCCACCCCGTTTTTCTCCTTAATTATTTTCTCCTGTTTTGAAGAGATCCTCCAGGATGCCCAATTTCACAGGTAGGCAGAAGTCATCCTGTGATGACTTCTGTGATGACTTCATCCCGTGATGAAGAAATCTGCCGGGCGCGATGGCTCATGCCTGTAATCCCAGCACTTTGGGAGGCCAAGGCGAGTGGATCACAAGGTTAGGAGTTCGAGACCAGCCTGGCCAAGATGGTGAAACCCCGTCTTTACTAAAAATACAAAAATTAGCTGGGCATGGTGGCGGGCACCTGTAATCCCAGCTACTTGAGAGGCTGAGGCAGAAGAATCGCTTGAACCCAGGGGGCGGAGGTTGCAGTGAGCTGAGATTGCGCCACTGCACTCTAGCCTGGGCGACAGAGCAAGACTCTGTCTCAAAAAAAAAAAAAAAAAAAAAAAAAAGAAGTGAAATCCAAACCTAATCCTTGTGGCTGCCTCCTTCTGGCCTCTGTGAGTTACCTTTTTGAGTTGATCTTCTACCTGGAACCTGCCGCATCCAGCTGGCTTGACCAGGAAGTTAACACCTCCTCTGGGGACTGTCATGGAGACTAGTATAATAGGAAAGGAAGCCCTCCTTTTGATGAGTTTCCAGACAAGTGTGGCTGCAGCCCAGTCTCGGGAAAAGGGATGAACACACAATTAGCAAAGGGCAAGCGAGTTCAAATGGACTCTGCCTATGCTGGAAATGGGATGCATATATGCCAGAGGAACTAACAAAAAAGAGCAACCAGAGCTGTGTGAGTTAAGTCAAGGGGCTTCCTATAGGAAGTGAGGGTTATATAGGCAGGCATGGATGAGGCTGAGAGGCCATTCTGTATGGGAGGAAAGGCTCACATAAATACGCATGCTGAAAGAACACTTTCTGAGCAGGAGCACTCAAGCTAATGAATTTAGCTAGGGCCAGGCTTTCAGATGAAGAGTAAAGAGAAACGATTTCATGAGATGAGTAGAGAAACTGGCTGGGTAGCCTTAGGCAAGTAACTTCCTTTCTCTGGACCTCAGCTGCCACACCTATGGGATGAAGGTAGTGGGCTAGGTGACTAGGGTACTAGGCTAGGTGACTGGGGTATTGGGTTAGGTGACTAGGGTACTGGGCTAGGTAACTAGGGTGCCAGGCTAAGGTTTTTGTCAGAGAGATGTAGAAATACATAATTATGAGAGAAGTATGTCAGGCACTCGCTCTATGAGAGAGCCACATTTTCATTGTGGAGATGAAGTATCTTGTCCAATATTTTACAGACTGTAAGGGACCAAGCTGGATTAGAATTGGGTTGATTCATTTGCTCAGTATCTTTGGAGCGCCCCTGTGAGCCCAGCACTGTGTCAGGCTCTGGGAGATATAACAGTGAACGAGATGGGGAAGGTCCTGCTCTCATTTTAACGGAGGGAAGTCAGTCAAGAAAAAAAAAAAAGATCTAAGTGAGCAAAATAGGTTTAGATAGAGAGATAGAGGTAAATGCTAGTGGACAAGACAAAACATGCAATCATGATTGTGACTTGGGACTTCTCAGATTGGGCGGTCTGGGAAGGCCCCTCTGAGGGGGCTGTACTTGGGCTGAGACCTGGAGGCTGTGAAGAGGCCAGCCTAGTTGGCGAAGGACAGAAAGGCCAAGCTGGGGGTCTTAGATCTGACAGATGGCTTAGACCCCCAGTCGTCCTCTGGGGGAAGAGCTGCTTTTTAAAAAATTTTCATTTTCATACATTGACAGGGAGTTGCTTTTTATTTTCCAGGGATGTTAAGATCATGGAGGGCAGGAGAAGCGAGAACTCCATGGCGGTTGTGGAGTCCCGTTATGGAAGTGGGACGTGGGAGCCAATGTGAAAGCTCCCGAGCAGAACTGGGAGAGGACACGCCCCAGAAAACTTCAGAAGGTGATGACAGCAATCAGCTTGGAGGGCCTAGCAGAGACTGATAGCACTAGGAGGAGTAATAATAATAGCACATAAGAATATTAGCAGTACTATTCGATAATATTTAAGGAACTTTTAAAATATACCAAGCATTGCCAAACACTTTGGAAGTATAATATTAACTCATTTAGTCCAGGCAGTGGGTAGAATTTGTATCCCCATTTTAATAATGAGAAAAGTGAGGCTTAGAGAGGTACAGTAATTTACCCAAGATTGCACAGCTAAGATCTGGTGGAGGCATGCACACAGGGCCCTCTGACCATGGGCTCTAAATCACTGTACTATGTTCCCTTCCATAGGCCTCAATCAGTCATGTAATATTTGACCTGGTCGTTATCTTAGGTATTATCTAGACCACAGATTTTGGATGCAGTTCTCTGGCTGAAGACCTCTGAGCTAGGATAACCCCTTCTCTTTTGACAGACGAGTCAGAGAATCAGATCAGTGATAGAAGTGGAGTGCCAATCCTGAGTATCACCTCTACTCAAGTGCTCAACATATCCCTAGATCCTCAATTCCCTGGCAAAAGTGATTGGATGGAACCACAGGCTTCCAAGAGGGGACAGTCAAGCATTAAATACGAGAATGCACATATAACTCTTGGTGCAATGTTTAGCACATACTAAGCCTGCAATACATGCTAATCCCTTTGAGCAAATCCACATGGCCAGTTTCTGTGCTCAGGGGTGAGAATAGCTGGGCTGTGATTGGGGCAGGGGGAGCACTAAGTGGGAGGGACTTCCTGTCTCAGGTCCCTGCCATCTTGACTGACATGCTGCAGCCCTTGCCAAAACCCATGGGTCAGAATGAAAGTAAAGTGCCGTTGAAAACCTTGCAATCCACCTTTAAAACTGCCGGGTGTAGTAAAACAATTGCTTGCCCCAAATAAATGACTTATCATTGCTGTTGGTTGTCTGCGTTTCTCTTTAATTATAGGCCCTCTTTGAACGCTCAAACACACAGGGCCTTTGTAAGCTTGAACTCCCTGTCTCACACACAGTCCTCCCATACCCATACACTCTCTTTCATTTGCAGAGTATAAACACCCATCTCTCACTCATTCACATAATGAATTTCAGCTCCTTGTGTCCCAATCAAGGAGAGGCCTCACTGGAATTATGGGCATCTGAGCCATCTTCATGTTCCAAGGCCCCAGGGGGCGCTTCCAAGAGTGGATCCTTTATGGGGAGAAGATAATGGGCAAAAAGTGCTCTTCACTGATGGACCAGTCCCAGCCTTTTCTCTCCTTGGACAATAGAGTTCTTCCCTTGAACAGCCACTTCCCTAAAAAAAATTCCAAAATTCTCCCACATCATCCCCTTTATGCTTAAAATCATCACACACTCCCTTCTTTGTCCTCCCCTCTTGCAAACTCAACTCAGAGCCCTTTGGCTCCAGAAAGATTTTCTAGGTATCAGGAGAGAGTAGCAAAGCCTCCCTCCTCTCCTTGCCTTTCTCCCTTGTCAGAGAAAGAAGTTGATTCTGCGGAGAGGTAAGAAGGATCTTGAGGTCTAGAGCCTGAAAAACTCCTTGGGCTGTTCTCCAAACTAGATGGGAACATAAGGTGCGATTGCATCTTCTCCAGCTGATACTCACTCGGCCTCCTATGCCAGTCCCCAGTCCAGGGTTTGGTCAAGGGTCAAATGAGATAATTTCATGGAGGAAGCCTGGCCCGATTTTTCTACTGTTTGCTGGAAGACAGCCTCTTCCTCTTGTAACTGCAGCCCCAGAACCTGATCTCCACATCCCTGCCAGGCAGGTAGCTGTGTACAAGGGCTCATCTTCCTGCCCCCAACCCCAGCTCTGATTTGCTTATTCAGGTGGTGTAAATACTTCTACCAGGACCTATTTCAAGCCATTGTGATGTCCCTGACTGGGGAGATGCAGGGCAGCACACCATTTAATATTTCCCTCACATTTCCACCCCATTCTGCACTCTTTTCTGGGAGTTGCTGTCTCAGAGGGTTGGCGGTTCTGGTGGCTCAAGACCATAAGTAATTATCAAATACTTAGGAAGCGACGGGTTTTGAGTATTTATTACCTTTTAAAAATGTACTTTGTGGCTAGGCATGGTGGCTCACGCCTGTAGTCCCCGCACCGGGAGGCCGAGGTGGGTGGATTGCTTGAGCTCAGGAGTTCAAGACCAGCCTGGGCAACACGGCGAAACCCAGTCTCTACCAAAAATACACACACACACACACACACACACACACACACACACACACACACACAAATTGGCCTAGCGTGGTGTCGTGTGTCTGTGGTCGCAGTTACTCAGGAGACCAAGGTAGGAGGTAGGAAACCAAGGTAGGAGGATCACCCGAGGTCGGTAGTTCGAGACCAGCCTGACCAACATGGAGAAACCCTGTCTTTACTAAAAATACAAAATTAGCTGGGCGTGGTGGTGCATGCCTGTAATTCCAGCTACTTGGGAGGCTGAGACAGGAGAATGGCTTGAACCCGGAAGGCGGAGTTTGCGGTGAGCTGAGATCGCGTCATTGCACTCCAGCCTGGGCAACAAGAGCAAAACTCCGTCTCAAAAAAAAAAAAATATATATATATATGTGTGTGTGTGTGTGTGTGTGTGTATGTATATATATATATGTATGTGTATATATATGTATGTGTGTGTGTGTGCATATATATATATACACTTTGTTTAATTGTAAGTGTGTTTAGTTTAATTTTTAATAATGTCCGTGATTAACAGCTGGCTGGCAAGATTCCTGAGAACTGAAGAGTTTGCCCCAGCCCATCCAGCACACCATGGGCCCAGGGCAGACCTTGGGGCTAGGCGGTCTTGGGTTCCAGAGGGCTCCCATGCCCCTGTCCTATTGCTCTTCTGGCAATAGGACATTTACGCGGGGGGGGGGGTGGTTCTTGATTCTGGGTCTTTTAGGGGACTCTGTGATTAAGAAACAGCAGGGATGTTGCAACAGCAGGGATGAGGTGGGCCTGGGGACGGGTCAGTGAAGGGTCTTCATTCCTAGCTGCTGACCTGATCTGCCCTGAGATAAAAGACTAAGACCCAGAGAGTGAACGCTGTCCGCGGGGGCAGAAGCGAGTGAGGCGTCGGGACAGTGGGGCATAACCAAGAGCAAAACGCAAACTGAGACTTCAGCGCCGGTTTCTCGGGCCAGCCCACGCCTCCTGCCTCAGCTCAATGCCACTCCCTCCCCGCCAAGTGGCTCTCCGCTCTGGAGGCGGGACCGAGTTCTCCGGTGGCCCCTGGAGGCTCCGGCAGCGAGCTCTGGGAGGCTGGGAGGGGAGTGAGGGGAGGGGCGCTGACTGGGCCGTCCAAAGAGGAGGGGGCCTTTAATAGGCTCGCCCAGCGCCTGGCTTGCTGCGCTGCGAGTGGCTGCGGTTGCGAGAAGCCGCCCGGCACCTTCCGCTAGTTCTCGGCTGCAAATCTTCGTCCTTGCACTTGACAGCGATTGTACTTAAGCTCCCAGGGCGCGCTTTGCTTGGAAAGGCACAGGTAGGAAGCGCGGGCTGCCGGGTGCACGCTCGCCGCCCTGGGAGGAGTCTCCCTCCCTTGGCTCTCCTTTCTGGGAACTGCCGGCTGTCCCGTAGCGTTGGCGGTTCCAGAGTGCGGGCTGCACGGAGACCGCGGCAGCGGCCGGAGAGCCCGGCCCAGCCCCTTCCCACAGCGCGGCGGTGCGCTGCCCGGCGCCATGCTTCTGCTGGGCATCCTAACCCTGGCTTTCGCCGGGCGAACCGCTGGAGGCTCTGAGCCAGAGCGGGAGGTAGTCGTTCCCATCCGACTGGACCCGGACATTAACGGCCGCCGCTACTACTGGCGGGGTCCCGAGGACTCCGGGGATCAGGGACTCATTTTTCAGATCACAGCATTTCAGGAGGACTTTTACCTACACCTGACGCCGGATGCTCAGTTCTTGGCTCCCGCCTTCTCCACTGAGCATCTGGGCGTCCCCCTCCAGGGGCTCACCGGGGGCTCTTCAGACCTGCGACGCTGCTTCTATTCTGGGGACGTGAACGCCGAGCCGGACTCGTTCGCTGCTGTGAGCCTGTGCGGGGGGCTCCGCGGAGCCTTTGGCTACCGAGGCGCCGAGTATGTCATTAGCCCGCTGCCCAATGCTAGCGCGCCGGCGGCGCAGCGCAACAGCCAGGGCGCACACCTTCTCCAGCGCCGGGGTGTTCCGGGCGGGCCTTCCGGAGACCCCACCTCTCGCTGCGGGGTGGCCTCGGGCTGGAACCCCGCCATCCTACGGGCCCTGGACCCTTACAAGCCGCGGCGGGCGGGCTTCGGGGAGAGTCGTAGCCGGCGCAGGTCTGGGCGCGCCAAGCGTTTCGTGTCTATCCCGCGGTACGTGGAGACGCTGGTGGTCGCGGACGAGTCAATGGTCAAGTTCCACGGCGCGGACCTGGAACATTATCTGCTGACGCTGCTGGCAACGGCGGCGCGACTCTACCGCCATCCCAGCATCCTCAACCCCATCAACATCGTTGTGGTCAAGGTGCTGCTTCTTAGAGATCGTGACTCCGGGCCCAAGGTCACCGGCAATGCGGCCCTGACGCTGCGCAACTTCTGTGCCTGGCAGAAGAAGCTGAACAAAGTGAGTGACAAGCACCCCGAGTACTGGGACACTGCCATCCTCTTCACCAGGCAGGTGAGTTGATCTGCCGTCACTTTGCACCCAGATAGTCCCGTTCTTTAGGGTCACCTCCCCTAGCGCTCCAAATCCCCTTTGTATCGTGCAATGCCTCCGAGTTTAAACCTCGTTGATCTCTTCCGACTCCAACTCTGTGGAGTTTCCAGGGAGAGCCCTCTCCCACGCTCCGCGGAGCGGCGGCTCACGTGCATCTGGGCCATTGGAGGAGAGCCTGCGCTTTCCGAAGGTGTTGGCCTGGCGCGGCCAATCAGCGCCTCCTGGATCAGGCGCCGAGGGGCCGGAACCCAGGAAGTTGCCGCCCCGGAGCTGCAGTTTGTGTCCAAGACCGATAGGAGACGCCGTGAGGATGGTGTTGGAGAGGGCGGGAACGGCCCACCCCTATTGTATGGGCGGCTGAGTCTTCTCGGACACCTCCTGAGGTCTCCTTTCAAGGGTTGTAGAACTGAAGGTGATCCAAGGTCAGCGCTTGCTACATTTCTCTCGGGTAACACGTTGTCCCCTCTCTGTACTGGGCCTGGAAAGCCTGGATTGGGGTGGAGGGAATCATTGAGAGATTTTGTGGGTTGCAGTGACAGGCCAGACTCAAGTACTGCGAGCATCCCTCCTTCACTGCCGCTTCTCCTACAGACTTCTCTGCTGGGCATGGTCCAAGAGGCTTCTAGACCATTCTGAGCAGGCGGTGTAGTTAGGGCACCTGTTTGGAGCTGAGACTGTTTCACTTGGAGTTTCAAGTGGAGTTTTACTTGGAGCTGAGTTGGGAAAATCTCTTCCAATTTTCCTGTATCCTTGCTGTCAGAGGGTGACCCGTTTGCCCAGATGTATACTACAGAGCAGAGCGGGCATGCTTGCTCCTGCTCCCAAGTCACTAAAATTCCTATGACCACACTTGACTTCAGGGCTCTAGCTTCTGCCCTTGCTGGGGTGGAAGTGGTGTGAGCTTAGTCAAGAGTATTTGGAGATTCCAGCTGTAGAGTTAGAAGGAAACTGAGTATTGGGATTAGAAAGATGGACCCAGCCCAGGAAGCAGCCCTGCCTTTTGCAAGGCCTTTCCTGATATTCTATGTCAAAGAAGCTACAAATCTGCAAACGTTTAGATTCACAGGTGTTGGAGTGATTGGGCACTGAGGAGTATTTGGATTCTTGAAATTTCTCAGATACAGGAGGCTGGGAGGAAAAGAGCCATCCAAGTGAGCCTCTTCTTCTGATTTGGGGGACTGTGACTTGAATCTGTGCCATGCTCTTTTTTTTGGTTATTATCATAACCACAGCACTCTGGGGATGGCGTGGAATCCTTGGTTACCTGTGGGGCTCTAACTCTCCACTGTTTCCAAATGGTCACTCAAAGTTGGACTGGCGCACACAGTCTGGAGCTGGAGTCTTCCACAGTAACCCATTTGGCACAGCTAGTCCCTTCCTGGAGTCGAACTTCCTCTGTTCCCAGCCTTCTTCTCCTCCCACCACCTGGTTTCTCTAGGGAGGTCTTTGGCCTGAGTCTGTTTCCTTGTGCTCATTCTTCCAACTGAGGTCTGTTGAGCTGCCACTGCCCAGCCTCTGCAAGCACTGCCTGAGTCATGGGGAAGCTGCAAAGGAGGTGGCTTTGACCTCTGCACACAGACCAGCTTGGCAGTTAGATTGCTGGGGCTTGAAAAAAAGCAAAGGCCAAGAACAGGATATCTTAATGGGCAAAGCAGCTGTTGCCCCATTCGTTACCTGGGCTGCCCCAGTGCAGGTCACTCACTGGCTCCAAAATAAAAGACCTCAGCCTCTGCAGCCTGGTGGTGAAGGCTGGCTTCTGGAGTCAGCCCTAGGAGAAGAACTCCTGCTGGGAATAGGGACCATGCCGTCAGAAGGAGGCCGCCTTTTGAAGAAGAAGCAATCAAACAGCATGACAGCTTCTATTTCTCAGTGGTGTGTGCTCAACCCCCCGGGGGCTGTGTTGTCCATGCATAATGGGTACAAGATGCATGACCACTGGATCAGAAGCAGTGATGTGCAAAATGTGACTTTTAGAAGCTGCCTTCCCCTTAGGTGCCTAGAGAGCAAAGCTAGAGAGTGAGGCTTCTGTGTGGTCAGGGCCACCATCAAGGTATGTACTTTATGCTTCAGAGGAAACCCCTCTTCCCCACCTCCTCAGCAGCTCAGACTTCAGGGCCTACTGCATTCTGAGAGTCTCAGGATCTTCTCACTCCTGATATCTCTGGGGGAAGGTACAGTATTTGATGAGAACAGGAGGGAGTAGCTGCCCTTTCTAAGATTAAGGCAGATGCGGTCTCCGGGAACCTTAACTGCCCGGAAAGGAGAATATAGTGGTTATACAACAAGTATTTTGACAATTTGAGGAGTTTACTTACAGATTCAGAATAAGTTCATGGAGAAAAGTGCACATCTGATTTTGCAAAGTGATCGGTCTCCAGGCTCATAACAGCAGGGTGAGGTCAGCACAGGACTGGAACCAGGATCTGCGAAGAACTAGAGCCAGAGTGTTTCTCATTTATTTCTATGAGGAGAAAAGTTTCTTTGGCTTCTTGTTGCATTGGGCGGCAGGAGCCAGGTATTTAATGCCGAGACTTGGTAGGCCCTCCCTCATTCCCTGAGACTTCTCTGTCTTTAGGTCCAATAACGCTGCCGTTTGGGTGACCCTTTGTGGTAGAATGGCTTTCATTCATTTATTTGTACACTCTTTTAATACTTGTTGAGCATTACTTATTATTATTTCTAGGTACTACCCTGGGCTGTGGAGCTACAAATTGTAATAAATTGTGGCCTTGGCCGGGCGCAGTGGCTCACGCCTGTAATCCCAGCACTTTGGGAGGCCAAGACAGGTGGATCATGAGGTCAAGAGATCAAGACCATCCTGGCCAACATGGTGAAACCCTGTCTCTACTAAATATACAAAAATTAGCTGGGCGTGGTGGCTCACGCCTGTAGTACCAGCTACTCAGGAGGCTGAGGCAGGAGAATCACTTGAACCTGGAAGGCGGAGGTTGCAGTGCGCCGAGATCATGCCACTGCACTGCAGCCTGGTGACAGAGTGAGGCTCTGTCTCAAAAAAAAAAAAAAAAAAATTGCGGCCTCAGGTCCCCAGGAATTCACCATGGGATGGGGAGCTTACAAGACAACAGCTAATTTCAGCAGGTTGTGCTAAGTGCCAGACCAGCCCTGTTGGGGAGGAGGGGCGTTCTCCTGAATGCTGAAGCTAAGGAAGTGCTCCAAGGGACGGGAGCAGGAAGGGCACTGGCTGCGGAGTCGGGGCTGGGGAGGGGAGCTTGTTTTCTATGTCGTCAGATGCCCTCTCCTCCATTCCACTTCTGCTTTGCTCTCTGTGACCTTTTCTCCTTTGGACTGATTTTTTTTTTTTTTTTAGGACTTGTAGTTTATGGTTTTACTGTCTGTTTCTTCATTTCTTTCTTCTTTTTTTTTAGGACTTGTATTTTATGGTTATTCTGTCTGCTTCTTCATTTATTTCTTTATTTTTTTTAGGACTTGTATTTTATGATTATTCTGTCTGCTTCTTCATTTATTTCTTTATTTTTTAGAGATAGGGTCTCATTCTGTCACCCAGGCCATCAACTCACTGCAGCCTTTAACTCCTGGGGTCAAGTAATACTCCCACCTCAGTCTCCTGAGTAGCTGGACTACAGGCCTGCACTACCGTGCCCAGCTAATTTATTTTTGTAGAGACAGGGTCTCACTATGTTAACCAGGCTGATCTTGAACTCCTGGCCTCAAGAGATCCTCCTGCCTCAGCCTCCCAACGTTTTGGGATTACAGGTGTGAGCCACCATGCCTGAGCTCTGTAATATTCTTTGTGAGAAGACTTTTAACTACAAATTTCATTTTTAAAACATATATATTCAAGTTATTTTTCTTGAGTGAGCTTTGGTCATTTATATTTTTCAAGAAATTTTTCCATGTCCTTTGAGTTGCGAATTTATTGACAAAAAGTTGCTTATAATATTGTCTACTATCTTTCTCACCTCAGTCTCCCAAGTAGCTGGGACTACAGGCATATGACTAATTAAAAAAATGCCTGACTAATTAAAAAAAATTTCTTTTTTTGGAGACGAGGTCTTGCTATGTTGCTGTGTTGCCCAGGCTGGTCTCAAACTCCTGGGCTCAAGCGGTTTGCTCGCCTTGGCCTCCCAAAGTGCTGAGATTACAGGCGTGAGCCACTGCGCCTGGTCTATTTTGTTTGTTTGTTTTTTTCCTGTTGCCTCTTCATATCATTTGATGCCACCTCTGTTTCCTCTCCTCTCACTCTTCTTCCATGCTCTCACCTTCCTCTTTTGGGACCATCCAGGCAGGATCTTTGCAGTCTTTCTCTTCCCCCTTATTCTCTTCATTTGTACTCTGACTTTTCCCCTCTCACAACCCTGAGCTTGGTGCTATCTTCTTGTTTTGACCTTGAGCAGTACTGTGTTTCATTGGGGATGCCCTACACTGCGCAGAGCGGAACAGCATTCTAGAACCTAATGTGAAACAGACGCCAGTTCTTTTGGTGATAAAGCACTTGTCATAGGGCAGTGATATTTAGTGTTCAGATAAAAATAGTTAATAATGAAGTGATAATACGTATGTTACACATATCTCCCTATACAATAGAAAAAGATCATGATTTCATTAGGATCTTTCTTGAAGTCGGGCCTTGGAAGATATTAGGAGAGAGGTCATTGGTAGATTGAGTATTTAATAATTTGTTATTCTTGGCCACTAACTGGAAACACAACACCATGCCTTCTGGGAGGGAGGAGGGAAGGAGTGGGAAGAGAGAGGGAGGAGTGCAATATGTTGGTTCCCTGTCGTGCAGGATGAGTGCTCGCTCTCTTTAGTTACATCAAATGAGTTCACCTGATATTAATGTCAGCAGATGGGGGAGGAAGGTTGGAGGGAATCTTTTTCTTTTATTTTTAACCGCTGGTCTAGTCAGAAAGGCAAGTGAGTTTTTCTCTTTCTTTAGGTCTTGCTCTCCTTCTGCCTTTGAACTTCTCTGTAGTTGTTTGCGTCCCCTCCCACCCCTGGAATTTTCCCCCCAACCTTTCCTTGACACCTTGACTCGATCACGTGGCATGATGGAAAGAACACAGGCTTGGAGTCAGGCAGAGCTGAGTATGAATCCGGGGGCTTGAACTCTCTAGCAATGGACATTGCGTGAGTCAGCTATGTGCACTTAACTTTCCTCACTCTTAGAATGAGGATAATGATGATGACATGATACCTCACTTACGGGGCTGTTGCACAGATAAGTGTTACTGAGTGGTCCAGAATAGGCCCCCAGTTATGGTAGTTATTATCATCTCATCACTGCCTTCGTAGTCACTCAGTACATGCTTCTTGTTGAATAATTAGCTATGGATCCCTTGCCAAACTCAAGTTTGGGATGGCCCTGATTTAAAGCATTCTGTCCCATTGTCCTTTCAAGTATGCTTAACATTTGGTCCAATTTTTGTATGGAAGCTATGGACATCAGAATTTGCTAATCCCACTGATCTGTAAACTCCTTTTAGGCTGGAACCTCTTTAGTCTTTGTAAGCCCCTTGGTGGATCCCTGCAAGTCGGCTGTTCAGTAGGTGATTGTGGAAGGAAGGTGCAAACAGAAGTGCAAGGGCTGCCTGTAGCTCTGGATGCTTAGGTAGCTCACCTCCCTTCCTGGGGATCATTCATCCAGCTTTTGAGGCGGTCAGGCTGCAGGGTTGGGAGAGGGAGTCTTAGATTCTTCTGGCATTTCATCTTGGCTCTTTGCCATGAGGTTTTGCCCTGAAGAAAGGAGGGGCTCCAGAGAGGTGTGTGTTTAATCCACCTTGGAGTCAGCAGACAAGGTGCATGGCAGGGCAGGGACGGGGTCAGTGTGTCAATGCAGGTGTGGGGCAAGGAGCCGGGGGCTCGTTCAACCGGAGAGGTGGCGCAGACGGTGCACTCAGAGCACTCTCGGCACTTAATCCTGCCTCTCCCTCTCCCCAGGCCTCTCCCCACTCAGTGTCAACCGGCACTTGCTTGAGCTACAGGGCGAGGCCTTCCATTCTTGGGGCGATATGCACCAGAGGCAGCAGGAAGTCATGGTGACAGCTCAACCCTGCCGCTGTGCTGCCTGGACTTCAATCCTCACTCTGCGCCCTTCCTCTCTGTCTAACCTTGGGCTTACTGTGTGACCCTGGGCTAGTTACTTACCTTCTCTGGGTCTCTTCTGTGCGATGGGGCCTGATAATGGCATCTTCTTCCTACAGCTGTGAGGATTAAATGAATGAAGGCAGATAAAACTCTCGCGACAGTCTGGCACACAGTAGCCAGTCAGTAACTGTTAGCTATTATCGCTCTTCTTGTAGGCGCCCTCTCTCTTGAAGGGGTGATTTTTTTTTTATAGAAGATTTAGCCTTCTTGCAAGCTTGGGGTCCCTCTTCTTCCTCATTGAGGTAATTATTATTGTTTTGGTGACCTCACTCTCTTGCAGTATTACCATTTTGTACATCTGGAGGGATTTATATGCCAGTGAAATAGAATCTGCCAGTAGAAGTAACTAACATTCTTCGTCACATTGCCAAGGCACTGAATTGCTAGATTTTATTTCTTCTAGCAAAGCAAGGCCCTCCCATCCTTGGGGATTACAAACAGACATGGATTTTGGGCTGGACAAGGAAATACAGTGATGCATGGCAGAGATTCGGATGGGAAACAAGTTAAAGGTACAGTAGTAATACTAGCGCAGGGTGCTTTTCACCAGTAATTATGGTCTCCTAACTAGTGTTGCATGATTTAGACCAAAGAACATAGCTTTGGATTGGGGACCTCATTCTTTGCTTAATAGCCATGGGGACTGGGGTGCATAATCTCAAGTCACTGAGCCTCAGTTTCCTCATCCGCAGCATGAGAAGACAGCCCTGCAGTCCTGTGAGTATAATACCTGGATGCTGTGATGTAGCCGCAGAGATGAGCTCTGGCTCTCCTGCCTAGAACTTCAATGGAAGCAAAGTCCGCTACATGAGAATGCGTATGTCTTCTGCCACATTAAAAATGTTAAAGTGCGGCCAGGTGCGGTGGCTCATGCCTGTAATCCCAGCACTTTGGGAGGCTGGGGTGGGTGGATCACTTGAGGCCAGGAGTTCGAGAGCAGCCTGGCCAACACGGTGAAACCCAGTCTCTACTCAAAATGCAAAAATTAGCCAGGCGTGGTGGCGCATGCCTGTAATCCCAGCTGCTCGGGAGGCTGAGGCACGAGATGCTTGAACCCGGGAGGCAGAGGTTGCAGTGAGCCGAGATCACACGACTGTACTCCAGCCTGGGCAACAGAGCGAGACTCAGTCTCAAAAAAAAAAAAAAAAGTTAATGTGCTTGATTTTTGTGCATCCCTCTGTCTTTGTACTGCTGGAAAACATTGAGCATCTTGGTACATGCCTGGGAAATGAGAAGAGGTAGGAAGGTGGTTCACAGGGATGGCAGCTGGTGGGAATCGTGGTGGAGGTGTGTATGGAGTGACACTGGTAAACAAGCTACTGTCAGATGTTATCCTTGTTTATTTATTTAAGGTGTGGCTCCAATCCTAAATTATTTTATAAGAAGGGACAGTTAGAAAATAACAGTCCAGGAGGATTAAGGTTCCTGGCCAAGATGATTCCAGGATCATCTGGAAAAGTGGCTGCAGCTACAAAGAAAAACAGCCAATTGCTGGGAATCGTGAGGCAGGTAGGGGCTGGGTTAGGAATACCTACACCTTCTGGGAGGAAGAAGGCAGAACAGCTTCTGTTTTTTGGAGGCAAGCACTTGGGCTGAAGAGGTTAAGGCAGTTTTAGTGCCTCTGAGTTCATTCCAGAAGGGTGGAGATTTTTGATGCCACAAAGGAGGCACTGCTGGGCCCCTGTATAAGCACTCGTAGGCGTTCAAAGTGCAGAGGCCCAGCGGTTCTTCATTGAGTCCCTGCCGGGGTGGGGAGGAGGACAGGCAGAGCTTCTGACCCCATACAGCTGTGTCTTCCCACAGTGAAGACGCTGGTTACTGCAAGACGGCTGCTTCCAGAGCCACTCTTACCCTCAGGAAATTTGCCGGCTCTTTCCTTGTTCCTCTCATTTGATCCAGGGAAACCGGGACTTCTTGATGGAAAGAACAGGTTGCTTCTGGCCAAGAAGGGCCTGCAGCTGCATGTCTTTGCTCCAGAGAAAATCCACCCTCCCTAGGAGGAAGGAGGCTTTTGGCCGTAAGGACTTCCCAGCCACAGAGGCGGCTGCGGGGTGGCTGAGTTCCAGACGCCCTCTAGATCCCAGTCTGAGCATTCAATCTGGTCTAGCGGTTTCTTTCTTTCTTTTTTAAATTTTAATTTTTGTAGAGATGGGGTCTTGTTACGCTGCCCAGGCTGGTCTTGACCTCCTGGCCTCAAGTCGTCCTCCCGCCTTGGCCTCCCGAAGTGCTAGGATTACAGGCCCGAGCCACTGCATCCTGCCTGGTCTAGGCATTTCTGAAGAGCGGGGCCGGGGAACAGGACTCTGAATCTCCACGTGGGTGACTTCCACTTTTCTGAGAGCGAGTGCTGTCAACTACATGACTTGGGTCAGTAGACAAGATGTTCCTTGGGGTTCTAAAAATATGTCATTCTGTGGGTTCCCTTTATAACCTACAGGGCCAGAAGGGGCTGCATGCTCTGGGACTGGGGAAGGAGCAGAGGCTGAAAGCACTGGTTGATTCAGGCTCTAGTTGAAAGTTGGCCCTTCCCCAGAGCAGGAAACCAAGGCCCCGAAGAGAGAGGACTTGGATAAAGTCACACATCTACTTAGTGATAGGGCCAGGACCGGAATCTAGACTTCTTGATTCTTATTTCTGCGCCCTCTCCCTCTTACACAGGGAGCAGTGAGTGTGCAGGGCAGCCCAGAGGCAAGGGTAGGTGCCTGCCCCCGCAGGCTGCAACTGCTAGGCTAGAATGTCCAGAGCTCCAGCCTTGCTGGGTCCTACACCACACCCGTCCTACACCTACATCCTTCACTATGCCCTTGCAAGAGCCTTCATCCCTGCCCTCATCTTGGCTCCCTTCCCCACAGTTCACACGCTGATCCATGTTTCTCAGCTGTCACATTCCCTAAACTGCTGGTCGGGTGAAGGTCCCCTCCCAAGTGTTTTTTTTTTTTTTTTTTTTTTTTTTGAGACAGAGTCTTGCTCTGTCACCCAGGCTGGAATGCAGTGGCGTGATCACGGGTCACTGTAGATTACCCTCCCAGGCTCAAGTGATCCTCCTACCTCAGCCTCCTCCTACCAGCCTGGCCAACATGGCGAAACCCCATCTCTACTACAAATACAAAAATTAGCTGAGCATGGTGGCAGGTGCCTGTAATACCAGCTACTAGGGAGGCTGAGGCAGGAGAATCGCTTGAACCTGGGAGGCAGAGCTGGGATTACAGGTGTGCACCATCATGCCTGGCTAATTTTGTTTATGTTTTGTAGAGACAGGGTCTCACCATGTTTCCCAGGTTGGTCTTGAACTCCTAGACTTAAGCGATCTGCCTGCCTTGGCCTCCCAAAGTGCTGGGATTACAGGCATGAGCCACTGCGCCCAGGCCCCTCCCAAGTTTTGACAGTGGTTGTTTTCTAGGTTTCAGAGCTCTTGGGAAGGAAAACTTTCTGGGAGAGTGGGTCTTTGAAGACGAAAGAATATGGGAAGAGAAGGGCATTTGAAGTCCTCCATGGGGCTCCTAGAAGTGGAGGTAGTGCTTCCAGCAAGCACAGGTGGCAGACCTGGCTGGGTGTGCAGGGCACACATCACTGCCTCTGGTGCACCCGGGTTCAGGCTGGTCACCCTCGGAATAACTGTTCACTCATTAGGAGGTGTGACTATCATCTGACCGTGGGAAGCCAAGTTTGACTGCTCAGGTGGTAAACCTCTGAGTGCTTTGGATTAAATTTTGCTGATTTTCTGTACTCTGACCGCTTTTCCTCCCATGCCCCCTGGCTCCTGGCTCCCTGCGCTGTGCTGCTGCCCACCTTCGCCCCTTGCCAGCATGTACACAGATGCACATGTGGCCTTGCATATACGTGCACATGCATGCAGACACATGCTTCTTTGCCTGTGGAAGGTGGTAGTAATAGTCGTTATTTCAGTGGGATGTTGTGAGGATTAAATAGGGCTGTGTGTGCAAAGTGCATGCACAGTGTCAGCATTTAATACATCATAGCCATGATGAACTATAGGCATGAGCCTAGTTCCCACCTCTGACACATAGATACAATAATATGTCTGCATCATAAGCCTATTGTGAGGATTAAATGAGGTGACACATGTAGCAGCTTCCTGTGAAATGCAGAATGCCTTATGCATTAAAGGCAGCGATGTAATGAGAGAACCAGCATCACTGATTCAACACACATCTTCTGTTTTTTTTTTTTTTTTGAGACGGAGTTTTGCTCTTGTCGCCCACGCTGGAGTGCAATGGTGTGATCTTGGCTCACTGCAACCTCTGCCTCCCAGGTTCAAGCGATTCTCCTGCCTCAGCCTCCCTAGTAGCTGGTATTACAGGCACCTGCCACCATGCTCAGCTGATTTTTGTATTTGTAGTAGAGATGGGGTTTCGCCATGTTGGCCAGGCTGGTCTTGAGCTCCTGACTTCAGGTGATTCACCTGCCTCGGCCTCCCAAAGTGCTGGAATTACAGGTGTGGGCCACCGTGCCTGGCCCAACACACGTCTTCTTAAGAGGAGCAGAATGTACACAAATGTCTTATCCTATTTCCAACTTTTGGGCTTTTAAGTTATCTGAATGTGTTTCTGGCCAACGATGCTCAGTAAGTTCTTTGAGATATCCACCCCGGAAGCCCTATCCTGCCTTTCTGCGTCCCCTGGGAATACTTCCTGTCAGGGTTTTCTGCTGGAGGCCCTAGGTTCTGTGGCCAAGTTAAGCTTCAGTACAAAACGAGGGACCTTCCTGCTTAGGTGGCCATCTCTCTATTTCATGTATCTTTCTTCCTAGCAGCCACTGAGCGTGTGTCCCCTTGAGCTTCTGTAGCCAATGAAACTGTGCCGGGATGGGGTCTGGGGTCCACCTCAATGCTTCCTCCCAGCCTGATCACTGGCATGGGTGGGTCCTTGGCCAGCAGCCCTCTGGCTGAGAATCTTAACTTAATTCATGGTTGGCCAAAAGGCAGCCCAGCAAAGACCGAGGCTGCTCGAAGCTGCCTCTGGGTGGGAATGGGACTGGCTTCCTCCCTGTTGCCTCAGCGAGCCTCCCTTGGCTATGGGAGTCACTGTTTTTCTGGTCTGGAGGGCCGTCTCTCTATAAAGTAGTGGCCCTTGTAGTTTAATTTTGTACCTCCTAATTTCCTCCCAGAGGACCTCCCTGCATAGGGTTTGGGCAGAGTGTTTTTGGTGAAGCCACAGAGCTCTTCCTGGGTTTCCTCCCTCAGCCAGGTTGATTCTGTGAACAGCCCCACAACCTCCTAGGAAGAAGAGCCCAGCTGGAAGGTGCTGGGCCTGGTGAGGTTGGAATGAGATGAGCTGGAATGTCCTATAGGATGTCCTTTCTTCCCTTCAGGTCCCTTCTGTCACTGTCTCTAACTTCGGGCTGGCTTCTGCTTCTCCCCCACCCGGCAGGACCTGTGTGGAGCCACCACCTGTGACACCCTGGGCATGGCTGATGTGGGTACCATGTGTGACCCCAAGAGAAGCTGCTCTGTCATTGAGGACGATGGGCTTCCATCAGCCTTCACCACTGCCCACGAGCTGGGTAAGGCTGGATAAGCTCCTCCTGGGGTCTTCTGGGTTTGCCTGGGGAGCCTGGAGGGTGGGAGACGTGTGTCTTTGCCCCCTTGTGTTCTGAAGCCTTAGGACCCCTTCTTAGGGCACAGTGAGCCTTAGCAGCAGCTTTGTACTTTTTCCGATTGCCCCAGCCCCGCTGGCCAATGACGTGGTTTGAGCCCCTTGGCAGAGTGTCTCAGCACTTAGGCACTGTGGGGACACCATGTTAACGACAAGGAGGTACACTCTGTTGTCAGGGAGCCCACAGCCTGACGGAGGGGACAGAAAACACAAGAACATGATCTTGAGGACATTTGAAAGCAGTCTGTCGATAGTTGGCAATGACCAGCCTGAAAACCTCTGACATGGGCTTTCTAGTTCCCCTGCCCCATTCCTCCCTCCAACCCCCATGTCCTTCCTCCTGCCCTCTCAGTCCTCTTGCCTTACCCCACAGGCCACGTGTTCAACATGCCCCATGACAATGTGAAAGTCTGTGAGGAGGTGTTTGGGAAGCTCCGAGCCAACCACATGATGTCCCCGACCCTCATCCAGATCGACCGTGCCAACCCCTGGTCAGCCTGCAGTGCTGCCATCATCACCGACTTCCTGGACAGCGGGCACGGTAAGCCAGGACGGCGGGAGGGCAATGAGGCCGCCTCGGAGGGGGCTTTGCTGCTGCCCCTGGTGGAGGTGCTCACTTCTCCGTCCTCTGTACATTAGGTGTGTGTGCCCCCTCGGAGCCGGGCTCTGACATGAGTGCATTCCTGTTGCCCTTGGTTCATTATCCCCTTACCATTCAGATTCTGGGCTAGCCAAACCTCATCTTCCCAGCTCATCCTAACGAACGCCCTCGGCTCTCTGCAGGTGACTGCCTCCTGGACCAACCCAGCAAGCCCATCTCCCTGCCCGAGGATCTGCCGGGCGCCAGCTACACCCTGAGCCAGCAGTGCGAGCTGGCTTTTGGCGTGGGCTCCAAGCCCTGTCCTTACATGCAGTACTGCACCAAGCTGTGGTGCACCGGGAAGGCCAAGGGACAGATGGTGTGCCAGACCCGCCACTTCCCCTGGGCCGATGGCACCAGCTGTGGCGAGGGCAAGCTCTGCCTCAAAGGGGCCTGCGTGGAGAGACACAACCTCAACAAGCACAGGGTGAGTGAGTGCTGGAGCTGCGCTCGGGGACTGCTGGGAGGAGGGATGGAGACCCGGGGGCCTCGTCTGCCCTTGGTCTTCACCAGGAAGGTGCCTATCACAGACTGGCCACGGGACCAGCACTGTTGCATGGCTGAGCTGTGCCTTCACTGCCCTGTATATAGTCCTATCCCCTTCTTGACTCTAAGACCGGAGAGAAAAGCTATGGCAGGTCAGAGGACTTGGTGAGGCCTCAGACACATGGGGAAAAGCCTTCAACAGGACGTGGGGTCTCAGCCCTGAGCTCCGGGCCTCGTCCTACCTGGGGAGGAGCTCTGGGCTCAAAACTGAACACATAGTGTCAGGAGCGGCTCACTCGCTGGCTCATCCCTTCCTTCTCTCATCCACTCTTTCCCAGTGTGTTCCACACCCAGGGAGCTGGGGACCATGCTCAGGAACAGGGCTCAGAGCTGCAATGAAGCAAAGCCCTGGGCAAGCTTCGGGAATTGGCTGCATTCTGAATCAAGCTTCCATTTCTGTTGCGATTGCTGTTTTTCTTTAGCAGGAACATAGTTGAATAATACTTGTTTTCCCTCCTGATAAATACGAATAGCAACCAAACAAGAACACATTCAGAATGCCAAATATTCTCTGTATATAATAACTTTATCTTGTTCAGGTCTTGTTTTGGGGGTTTTGGGGGTAGGAGAGGGATTTGTACTTTTCCGGGCAGGAATAAGAGGTCTGTTCTCCTCCCGGATCCTGGAGCTGACTGTCCCTTCCCATCCCCTGTTCTCAGCTCGGGGACGACTTGCCTCTGGGCACAGAGGCAGTGTCACAAAAAAGCATCCACCAAGCACATTATCAATTGCCCTGAGATGAGTATGGCACAGAATTATTTAAAATGTTTTTCTGTGTTCTGGGGATACATGTCTAATTAAACCTTCAACCGTTGGCTAGGCAAAAACCCACTGTGTTCAGGGAACTGTGTAAGATACTGTGGTGGTCAGAAAAAGAAATAAAACACAGGCCATGCCTCAGAGAGCTCACAGTCAAGTGGGGAAGCTCGAATTGTAGCTGTGATACAAGACACAGAGAGGCACATGTTATGCGGAAGGACAGAAGGATGAAAATTGTCACGGGAGAACCAGGGTCAAGAGATTAATGATGATGAGAGGGGGCTGAGAAAACTTGGAGGAGGTTGGATTTGAAGAGAGGCTGAGGGATAAGTAGGATCCCTGTAGGCAGAAACAGAGCAAGGCAAGGAGGCGGGCGGTCCTGGGCAGGTCGGAGTGAGCTGCAGGGCTGTGTAGATGAGGGCTCTATGGGAACCATCTTCAGGAAGGTCATTTGGGGCCAGACAGCAGCCACCTTGATTGCCAGGCACTAGAAGGTCCTGAGGACAGGCAATATGTGGCCAGTGCCTCGTCCTGAGAAGATGAGGCTGGAGGATGCAGAGACAAGGTGAGATAATATTGGATAGAGAAAATGCAGTCTGAGAAGCACCATCTTTCCACACTTTCTGGAATTCTGTCTATGATCAGGCAAGATCTACCTCCTCAACCTCTTTTCTAAACAATCCCTTGGCCACCTTGTTTTAACTGAAACTTTCCAGGAAACCTTCATGGAAGTCATTGCCCTCACTGGCTGAGGTCAGATCATAAAGCATGTCTTACAAATCACTGCAGCTCCCACAGATCTGTTTCAGGAATCCCATTCTGACCACCAAGGCCCTGTCTTCCCAGATTACTCCCTCTGGGTTTTGGATTCCAACAATTCCTCAATCCCATCTGGGCCTACAATCTATTGCTACAACAACCTTCCCATCATGCCTCACCCTTCCCATCATGCCTTCCCATCATGCCTCACCCAGTGAGAAAAACATGCAATTGTGCTCACTGGTCTCAGTTTAAATTCATGATCTGAGCTGGGCACATTGGCCCCCACTTGTAATCTCAGCACTTTGGGAGGCTGAGGCAAGAGGATCCCTTGAGCCCTGGAGTTTGAGACCAGCCTGGGCAACATGGCAAAACCCCATGTCTGCAAAAAATACACAAATTAGTGGGATGTGGTGGCAGATGCTTGTAGTTCCAGCTACTCAGGAGGCTGAGGCAGAAGGATGGCTTGAACACGGGAGGCAGAGGTTGCACTGAGCCATGATCACGCCACTGCACTCCAGCCTGGGTGACAGAGTGAGATCCCATCTCAAGGAAAAAAAAAAAAAAGAAAAAGAAAAAAGTAAAATAAATTGATGACCCAGAAATTTAGGTGGGCCCATAATGCTGTCCAGGAGTCATATATTTCATTTCCCCAGTTGGCTTACTCTCCCAACCTCCTGAACCGTTAGTTCACACCCACCATCACCTCTCTCCTCCCATTACTAACTCTTTCTTCCTCCTTTTCAGCTTTCACTGATGACCTTTCTTCTCATTTCCCGACGGGGGAAAAAACCAAGTAATCAGAAGGGAACTTCCACCCACCTCCCGACCTGCTTCCGCACCTGTTCTCCACTGTCCCCCTTTACAGTGGCTGAATTGTCCCTGCTGTGATCTGAGGCCATGCTGTGTGCTTTGCGCGGGAACCCCATCCCCTCTCGCTTGTTAGGGACATCGCTGATCAATTCTCTCTCTCCTGCAGTGCCAGTATTTCCCAATCTTGAGCTGAATCATGCCTTTTAGAATACAAACCTGTTGTAATTTCTCCCATCTGAAACAAAACTTCTTATGATCCCACTTCCTCTGTGGTCTGTTTCTCTGACTCCCTTCACAGCAGGTTCCCGGAAGGAGTTGTACAAGCTTGCTGTCTCCAATTCCATCTTCCCACTTTTCTCTGCTGCCCATTCCAAACAGGCTTTGACTGACATCATTTCTCCAAAACAACTCTTATTAAGGCTACCAAATGGCCTGCACACTACGAAGGTCAGTGACTGTTACCTTTCCTCCCATCGTCCAGCCGGCTAGCAGCATTTCTGGCAACCCAGAGCTCTGGGCCCTGGAACAGGGTCTCCACTGCCTCTCGGTTGTCCTCCTCCTCCTCACGCTGCCCCTCCCCTTCTCATTACCTTTACTGCTTCTTCCTTGTACTCTCATTTTCTTTTTTCTTTTCTTTTCTTTCTTTTTTTTTTTTTTTAAGACAAGAGTTTCACTCTCGTTGTCCAGGCTGGAGTACGGTGGCATGATCTTGGCTTACTGCAACCTCCACCTCCCGGGTTCAAGCGATTCTCCTGCCACAGCCTCCCCAGTAGCTGGGATTACAGGCGCCCGCCACCACACCTGGCTAATTTTTGTATTTTTAGTGGAGATGGGGTTTCATCATGTTGGTCAGGCTGGTCTCGAACTCCTGACCTCAGGTGATCTGCTCACCTCGGCCTCCCAAAGCGTTGGGATCACAGGCGTGAGCCACCGCGCCCGGCCTGTACTCTCATTTTCTGAAGTTTGGAGTGCTTCGGCACTCATTCCTTTCCCTCTTCACCATCCACACTCAATCTCTTCGCTGATTCATCTAGACCATGGCTTTAAATACCATTTAGAGCTTGAAGACTCCCAAATTTGCATCTTCAGTCCAGGCCTCGCTCCTGACCTACAGACTTGCTTCTCTAAGGGAATCTGGACGTGTCCATTGGACACCTGATTAGCATCTTATACATGTGTCTGTGAGACTGAGCTCCTGGTCATCTCCCCTGAAGCTGCGCTGGCAACTCCACATTCTGGTTGCTCAACCTGAAACCCTGTTTCTCTCACATGCTTCACACCCTGTATCTCCACGTCCCTGTGGATACCATCTTCAAGGCAGATCCAGGATCATTTCTCACCACTTCATCTGCTCTCACCCTGGTCCCAGCCACCACCCCCTGTCCCCTGGATTAATGCAGTTGCCTCCAACTGGTCTCCCTGCTTCTGATCTTACTCCTTACAGATGATTCCCGCCATGGCAGCTCTTTTGGAATGCACCTTAGGTTATGCCACTTCTCTGCTCAGCACCCTTTAGGGGCTTTGCCCCGGCTCCCATTTCTCGCTGCCTTGTTGGCCCTAGTGACACTGGCTTACTTCAGGCTCATCTCCTCTCAGGGCCTGTGCACTTTCTCCCTCTGCTTGGAATGCCCTTTCCCTGATGTCTGCCTGGCTTATGCCACCTGTACTTCCTTCAGGCACAAGAGGGGCCCCCATAATCCAGAGCAGCCCTTCCCAACTCCTCCCTACCACCTGCTATGAAGCCCACCCAATGCTCTGTGTTCACGGATTCATTTTTATTGTCTGTCTCCCCACTAGGGAGTAATTGCTCTGAGGGCAGGTACTTCCACAAGTGTTTGGTGAAGGAATGAGTGAATGGCACAGGGCGGGAGCACAGTGAATGTTTTTTGTTCAAATAGGAAGCAATGATACCAAATAAAAACCAGGTAGCATTGTCTCAGCAGCTGCAGGAACAGTGCTATGTGCTGAAGAAGAATTGGGGATCTTGAGGCCTAGGCACACTCTTTCAGTCTTCTGATGGCCATTGTGGCTTTTGAGGGGGCAGCTTCTGGGGTGTGATGGGGACAAAACCCACAGTGCAAGGCTCTGGGGAGTGAGTATGAGGAAAGAGCAAACGTGGGTGACGCTGTCAGGGAGTGAAAGGATGGAATGAGGTGAGGCGCTAGTTTGAGTAGTTTGAGGCCAAAGCAGGGTGGAAGGACGGCGGTGGTGGTTTTTATAGGATCAAACAGATTTTGACAAAATGAAACAAAAGCTATCTGACAAAAGGGTAGATTGAATAAATATGCTGGATATGTACACAGGTTAAAGTGTTTCCATCACATGCAGCCAGTTCCTGCTTAGTTCCATGTGAGTTAGGCACTGTGAGGGACGGTCGGTGGCAGAGTTTTAATTCCAGGCGAGTACAGCAGCCGGGCTGCTTCCTCTATTGCTCAACTGATGTGTGTTCAGAGGATCCAAACTCATTTCACTGTCATTCTAAGGAAAACATCATGGACAATGTAAATTTTATTCTCTTTCTACCCTGTTTAAAAAAACTAAAAAAAAAACCTAAAAAAAAAAAAAAGTCCTCCAAAACACTGCACAATTCACCCCAAAGCCAAACCGAGTTTTAGGATTGCTTAATAATGTCTTATCTTTATCTCTTCTTAAAAGAAACTTCAGAATGGTTCACGGTGAAACTTTCTCAAATACAGCCCCTGATCGAGGTTAAGATCAGTTTGGTCTGGCATCAAGTCTGAATTATAGAACACTAAGGAAGAAAAACATTCACGTCTATGGTGACATTTTTTATCCGCAGGGCTGGGGGTGGCCATGCCTTAGGGATGCCTGTGAATGCACTAACAACAAATAAAGGGAATCTTTTCTGTTTTTTCCTTTTATTCCCGGCAAGCTGTGAGATAAGAGCACTCTCTGAACTTTTGCCGGGGCCAGCGTGGTGCTGGGAATTTTCGTGCCTGTTACGCCACTTCTGTCATCCATCTGACATCAGGCCCGAGTATTAGTATTATCAAACCCATTTTTGCAAGTGAAGCACCGGAAAGCTAAGGAGGGTTTGCCCGTTGCTCAAGCCCACTAGGGTGCTGTGGTGTGGGCAGAGTCCGTTGAAAACATGTCTGGCCAGGCGCGGTAGCTCACGCCTGTAATCCCAGCACTTTGGGAGGCTGAGAAGGGCGGATCACTTGAGGTCGGGAGTTTGAGACCAGCCTGGCCAACATGGTGAAACCTCGTCTCTATTAAAAATACAAAATAAGGCCGGGCGCGGTGGCTCAAGCCTGTAATCCCAGCACTTTGGGAGGCCGAGGCGGGCGGATCACGAGGTCAGGAGATCGAGACCTTCCTGGCTAACACGGTGAAACCCCATCTCTACTAAAAATACAAAAAATTAGCCGGGCGTGGTGGCGGGCGCCTGTAATCCCAGCTACTCGGGAGGCTGAGGCAGGAGAATGGCGTGAACCCAGGAGGCGGAGCTTGCAGTGAGCCGGGATAGCGCCACTGCAGTCCAGCCTGGGCGAAAGAGTGAGACTCCATCTCAAAAAAAAAAAAAAAAAAAATAATTAGCCGGGCATGGTAGCCGGCACCTGTAATCCCAGCTACTCGGGAGGCTGAGGCTGGAGAATCACTTGAACCTGGGAGGTGGAGGTTGCAGTGAGCCAATATTGTGCCATTGCACTCCAGCCTTGGCAAAAGAGGGAGACTCCACCTCAACAAAAAAAAAAAAAAAAAAAAAAAAAAAGGAAAACACATCTCACATCTGTCTCACTCTACTGCCCAAAGAGGCCTCTCTTTTGCACGGCCTCCTTTGCACCTGGGAGCAGTTGCTGTTTGCTCATTAGTTGGTTGGAATGTCGGGTGGGCTTGGTGTGCACTGGCCATTTGTTTATTGTTTTTTCCTTCATGATACAACATTAATTTCATTCCAGGAAGGTGGGATGAGAACTTGGAGGCTGTACAGTGTAGTTTTCTATGGGCTGAGGGGCTGGGTGTGGCACCTGGATCCACCAAGGAATATAACAGGCTCTTCCTCACAGGTGGATGGTTCCTGGGCCAAATGGGATCCCTATGGCCCCTGCTCGCGCACATGTGGTGGGGGCGTGCAGCTGGCCAGGAGGCAGTGCACCAACCCCACCCCTGCCAACGGGGGCAAGTACTGCGAGGGAGTGAGGGTGAAATACCGATCCTGCAATCTGGAGCCCTGCCCCAGCT
Source organism: Homo sapiens (assembly GCF_000001405.40). Taxonomy (NCBI): domain Eukaryota; kingdom Metazoa; phylum Chordata; class Mammalia; order Primates; family Hominidae; genus Homo; species Homo sapiens. The sequence continues at coordinate 130,469,437 of NC_000011.10, forward strand.
CAGGTGAGGTGGGGAGAGCAGTGGTGGCCTGGGCCCAGGGGAGGTGAGGCTGGAGGTCCCCCCACCCCACCCCTACTCCATGTAATGCATGGCCTCCAGGTAATTGGGTACACAGGTAATTCAGGTAGTCTAGTATTTCTATCATGGATTCCTGCTGATGACAAAGGGACTGCAGTCAGGATTCCAACCTTCAGGACAAAGCCTGGAAGTGGAGAGGTGCAGATTCTTCTTGGGATCATTCCTCTTTCCACTCACCTTTGGCAAGGGTGTTTCCTTCTGGATGCTTAGCCTGGGAGACTAAATGGATCAGGGGAATGATACACTAGAAGTCCTCTTATCTGAGGCCTGCCCAGCCCATCTTTGTAAGCAGGACTCCAGAGCCCAAGAACTTGATGGGGAAAACAAAATTACATCTCTATTTTTATTAATGTTTCTATCTAACATTTAGTATTTCTTTCAGGGAGAAATTAGTATTTTTTTAACTACCTTTCCATCTAAAATTTAGTATTTCTTTCAGTTAGACAACAAAACTACAATAGTAGTAGAAGTACCTGTGACTTTGTCATCAATAGGAACCATGGATATTTTCACGTGACATTTTGGTTGTTGCAGAATTTTCAAAATGCTGTTTAAGCTCATCCTTACTTCAGAATTATAGTAGTTATCAGGTTCATTACTGAATCATATATATATATACATATATATATATATATATGTGTATATATATATATATATATATATATATGTGTGTATATATATATATATATATATATGTATATATATATATATTTTCTGAGGTAGAGTCTCACTCACTCTGTTGCCCAGGCTGGAGTGCAGTGGCGCGATCTCGGCTCACTGCAACCTCAACCTCCCAGGTTCAAGCGATTCTCCCACCTCAGCCTCCCAAGCAGCTGGGATTATAGGTGCCTGCCACCATGCCCAGCTAATTTTTGTGTTTTTAGTACAGATGGGGTTTCACCATGTTCGTGAGGCTGGTCTTGAATCCCTGACCTCTGGTGATCTGCCCGTCTCGGCCTCCCAAAGTGCTGGGATTACAGGCATGAGCCAGTGTGTCCAGCACTGAATCATATTTAATGCATTAACAAAAAAGCATGTATATCACAGACTTGTTTCAAAATATATCGATAGTTGTATAGCAAATGTAACTGGTGTTGTCGTTAATCTATATAATTTACTTTATGCACTGAGTTACATTATTCTGAAAATAGTTTGCAACCTAGAGGGAGTTTGAGGCTGGGTTACTGGAGAAGGTTGTGCATAGCTCAGGGGATGTGTTTTCATCTGCGCCCTGGGTCCTTTGGGCCCAGCCTGCTTTAGTGCTTTCAGATGGGGGGAGGTTGCAGCTTTGGTGATGAGGGTGGGAAGGGCTAAGAGAGCCACGGCAGGCTGGGAGGGAGGCTTGTCCTTTGCACCGGCCTTGTCCCTTCCCCTCAACTTCTTTCTTATGCTTCTCCCTCCCTAGCCTCCGGAAAGAGCTTCCGGGAGGAGCAGTGTGAGGCTTTCAACGGCTACAACCACAGCACCAACCGGCTCACTCTCGCCGTGGCATGGGTGCCCAAGTACTCCGGCGTGTCTCCCCGGGACAAGTGCAAGCTCATCTGCCGAGCCAATGGCACTGGCTACTTCTATGTGCTGGCACCCAAGGTGAGTGAGCCTGGGGCCTGAGAACAAAGTAGGGACCAGGTCTTCCGGGGAGCATCAGCTGAGCTGCCCTGCTCTTCCTTCTTTTTCCCCTTCTGGGGTGCTGCAGGTGGTGGACGGCACGCTGTGCTCTCCTGACTCCACCTCCGTCTGTGTCCAAGGCAAGTGCATCAAGGCTGGCTGTGATGGGAACCTGGGCTCCAAGAAGAGATTCGACAAGTGTGGGGTGTGTGGGGGAGACAATAAGAGCTGCAAGAAGGTGACTGGACTCTTCACCAAGCCCATGTGAGTTCTGGGCCCTGAAGGTCCTGCCAGGGAGCAAAGGGAGGGAGGTGGAGTTTCCCAGGGTATTGGAAGCTTGGGTTAGACTGGGGTAAATGTCAGATCCAGCCAGTACCCTTGCTGCAGAGGCCACCCATACCCTTCTAGGGCTGCTAGTCCTTCACTCACTCATTCATTCACTCATTCATTCATTCATTCATTCTTTCAGCAAGCAAAGACGAATGCTGGGGGAAGACCCACTTAACAGGAGATGGTATTCAGGAAGGTGGGCAGAGTTGTTAGGGGCTGTATAGTGTTCTAGAGTAAGACCGACCTGATTCAGATCGCAGTTACCCATTTTCTGGATGACCTTGGGCAAGTGAACTCAATCTCCAGGTCTCTAGATGTCCCCACTTGTAAAGTGGGTATAATACTAATATATTTCATGTGTGCTCTTGTGGGGAATAAGGGAGTTAGTCCAAGTAACACGGTTAGCATCGTAGCTTCACCTTGATGAGGCTGAACGTGACAGCTGCCAGCCTCTCCCTGGGCCTGAGGCCCTGACCTTGGGGATCAGATTGAGGTGAGAATGGCAATAAACTGCCAAGAGACAGCAAGTGGGCAGCTGGGACTGAAGGAGTCTTCACGTCTTGGGCAATCCCTGGGCATCTAGTCCCAACTTCAGAATCTGGGCCTCCCAGCTTGAGCTTCCTGAGGTCAAACATATGCTCCTTGGAAAGCCCTGACCCACGTTCTAGAAGAAGAGGGGGTAGGCAGGGCACCTGAGGTCCCAGTTAGGGGTGGAGGCTATGGTTGGCCTAGAAAATTTGGGAGCCCAGGTGCTGGTGATGGAAAGGCCTAGATGGCTGTCCTGGAGCCTTGACTGTGCCCCTGGACACGTCGCCCTCTCCTGAGCCCCTGGGTGGTGATGCGAAGGGAGGATGCCCAGCCCTGTCTCTGGGAGCTCGGGCACCAGGGACGGATGGCATTCCAGGCTGTGCTTTGCAGGGACCTGTGGTGGCAAGGCCACGTGGGGAGTGGGAGGTACATACCCCAGGCTTGCCTCACTGGTTAAGTGGCAGATGTTCCTTTTACAGCCTGTTGGAGCTGGAAGGAGCCTTAGAAATCATTTAGCTTAACCTACTCATTATGCAGATGAGGACACCAGAATCCAGAGATACTGGCTTGCTTAAAATTGCCAGGAGTTGGCGTGTGAGCCAGGCTGGATCTGCGTCCCTGCCTCCAGGGCCAGTGTCCTCTCACTGCATTGAGCTCCTAGCCTCAGGCTCTGGGATGGTGGACTTACTCCTCCCGCCCCACCCCTCCTCCTCCTCCTCCTCCTCCTCCTCGTCCTCATGGCAGATGTCTACATATCCTTGATGTGTGCCAGGCACCACGCTACATGCTTTCTGTGCTTTGGTGGACTCAGTCCTCCCTGCAATTCAGTGAGGTGTGTGGAATTCTGAGCTCCACTTTACAGGTGAGGATGTGGAGGCTTGGAGAAGTTCAGCAGCTTTCCAGCACCAATCGCCAAGGGGCAGGGACCTCTCTGACTCCAAAACCTGTGCTTTTACTCCCATGCCAGAATTCACCGAAAGCTAGGTTTACTGAGGAAAACAGATCCTGGAGCATAAGGTCCTCAGGTCCAGGCTTCTATCTGATGCACGGCCCCCCTTTCCCCCGCCAGGCATGGCTACAATTTCGTGGTGGCCATCCCCGCAGGCGCCTCAAGCATCGACATCCGCCAGCGCGGTTACAAAGGGCTGATCGGGGATGACAACTACCTGGCTCTGAAGAACAGCCAAGGCAAGTACCTGCTCAACGGGCATTTCGTGGTGTCGGCGGTGGAGCGGGACCTGGTGGTGAAGGGCAGTCTGCTGCGGTACAGCGGCACGGGCACAGCGGTGGAGAGCCTGCAGGCTTCCCGGCCCATCCTGGAGCCGCTGACCGTGGAGGTCCTCTCCGTGGGGAAGATGACACCGCCCCGGGTCCGCTACTCCTTCTATCTGCCCAAAGAGCCTCGGGAGGACAAGTCCTCTCATCCCAAGGACCCCCGGGGACCCTCTGTCTTGCACAACAGCGTCCTCAGCCTCTCCAACCAGGTGGAGCAGCCGGACGACAGGCCCCCTGCACGCTGGGTGGCTGGCAGCTGGGGGCCGTGCTCCGCGAGCTGCGGCAGTGGCCTGCAGAAGCGGGCGGTGGACTGCCGGGGCTCCGCCGGGCAGCGCACGGTCCCTGCCTGTGATGCAGCCCATCGGCCCGTGGAGACACAAGCCTGCGGGGAGCCCTGCCCCACCTGGGAGCTCAGCGCCTGGTCACCCTGCTCCAAGAGCTGCGGCCGGGGATTTCAGAGGCGCTCACTCAAGTGTGTGGGCCACGGAGGCCGGCTGCTGGCCCGGGACCAGTGCAACTTGCACCGCAAGCCCCAGGAGCTGGACTTCTGCGTCCTGAGGCCGTGCTGAGTGGGGTCATCGCTTTCTCCCCCTCACTCTCCACCCCACTGATATGCCAGCGTTCTGCCAGCTGGAGTAGCGGGCAGAGGACGGTGGCCAGGGGCTCACGCCACGATGTCACCCACATCCGGGGACAAGGACCATGGGCTGGGGCGAGAGGTTCCCTCCTCCTCCCTGGACTGGGCAGAGGGAAGCCCAGGAACTCCCGCACAGTCTACCTCAGGCCCCGCTCCTCGGGCCGGTTGCGGGGAGAGGCTTTGAGGTGCAGGGCAGAAGGTGCTGAGGCCCAGTTTCCAAGGAACTTGGAGGATGGGCACCTTCCAGGCAGAACTTCAGGGACCCCGGCCCCCAGAACGGAGGCCACAGGCTGCTGGAAGAGCCATGTCCCAGCAGCTTGGCACCCTCAGGTGGCCCCATGGGCTCTGAGCCGTGTCTGAACGAGGCAGGGTTTTCACGGTGCTTTTAGCCCACTTTCCTTTTTGAACTGACATGGACTAAGCAATAAAAGCTGGCTGGGGCTGGGCAGAAGCCACGGGGAGAGTGAGATTAGGGCCCCTGGAGCCTGGCACTCCACCTTGGAAGACGTGGACGTGCACAGGGAGTCCCGAGGTTTCTCATCCTGCACTCTTGGCCCTCCTATAAAGAAGCAGCCTCTCCTTCCTCTGATGTGCAGGGTGTAGGACTAGTGGTAGGGCTGCCACGGAAGTGTCCTCTGAGGCTCTGCAGGTAGCGGGGAAAGCCAGTAGGGAGTCTGCTGTCTTCTTCAAGATGGAGCCGGCCATTACAGAAAGATGTTGACATTTGCTAGGGGCTATGCAGTCTGTGGCTGATGCAGGGAGTTTTCAGAAAGTTCTGGAGGGTTCTGCTGTCACTGGACTGGGGTTGGTGCTGAGCTCTGGGCCTGGCTTTGGGAGATGTCACCCTGGGATAGGGAGGAGGAAGCTGCATTTCTAATGGCTTCCTCCTCCAGAGAGGCACGTATATGCAGGCTGACATCCGAGGGTCTGTGTCGCCTCAGACAGCCCTGACAGTGGCCACAGTCCCGTACCCATTGTGAGGGGCTGGGGCATGCCTAGGAGGGCTAGGTGCTGAACATCTATGTGCCTATAAACTCGTCTTCGTTCCAAACAGCTACTGCTGTCTGCCCTGGGCACGTCACGTTGCATCCTAGGCCTTAGCTTCTCCACTGTTTGCTACCTCAGATTATGCCCTCTGGGAACCCAGCCGTATCCCTCCCCTAGGACAGTGGTGACCTGGTCCTTCCACCACACTCAGTCTTTGGAGAGCGAGCTGTCCAGCCACAGAAATGAGGGTGTGGTGCGTGGCTTCCTGCTCCCCACAGCCCAGCCCCCTGTTGGGGCTCCAAAGCCGAAGACAGGGCCTCTTCAGACTCCTTGGGAGTAGGTTTCAGGAGGCACCAAGAATCAATGACTGACCCAGGGGGCCTGGCAGCCACTAGTATGAACTGCTGGAGACCTGTCTGTCTTATAGACATGTCAGGAAAATAGAAACAGGCATTTTCTCTAGCTCCAAGTGGGGAGATATTTTGGGGTCACAGCTTCTTTGGCTAAGCAGGGTGTTTCTTGAAGGTTCAGATGCCCCACTGTGTACATGGGATATTCTGCTTCTGAGTGTAGGTGATGAATCCAGGTCCTCAGTGGAGAATTTTCTGGAGCTAAGATCAAAGCATGTGTCTTCCTGGGAGAGAAGAGTTCCGTTCTTTTATGTGGGTTTCCCTAATAGTCAGAATCCACAAACCAGCCAGCCAGCCAGCCAAGCCTCTGCGATGATGTTCTCATCCGGTCTAACGCTGGGCTGGAAACCTTGGACAGAGTTCATGCGGGGGCAGAGGGGGTGCCAGTCTCTGAGGCAGGGCTGCAGTCACCCCTGAAGAACTAAGTGAACAGGAACCCCTCTGTGCCAGTGACCACTGTGGGGCTAAAGGGACAAAAAGGACCAGGGTACCAGGCAGAAGCAGATCCTTGATAGCTGACGACAGCACTGCGCCCTGTGCTTGGTGCACTCCCTCCTTCAGGAGGAGAGGGTGGCATGGGGTCTGTGCGGGATGGCAGGGGGATTGGGTGGGTGGGAAGAGAGGTGCCATCGGTAGGAGGCTGGCCTCCAGTAGAGGAGAGCAGCTTTTGCCATCAGTCACTTTACAAACCATTTCAAGGAAGGACAACCTCTCTGGCTCCTGACACAAGCCAGGCCTCGGTGCTTTTATCTGTTGTGGTGGTTTTTCTTCTTTCCCTTTTTAAAAGACGCATGACCAAGACAACCTAGGGAGTTTGTCTTGCTTGCCTTTGACTATTTCCTTAATCCAACCATGCTCTCGAGGGCTGAGCAGAGACTAGACTCAAGGCACAGGTTTCTGGTGATGGAGTAAAGTTACAGCGGTATCTCATGTCTACACAAGAAGAGGAACGTTCTGAAAGCTCCAACAACTTCTTGAGGGGGATGGACCAATACAGCTTTGGGCTCAGGATTCCCTAGCCTCCTCTGCCCATCGCGTGCACTGATTGGAGGAGTCTGGCCCAAACACTCTCATATGAACCTCGACATGCTGGAGTGGGGTCTGGCAGGAGCTGATGACAGTTTGAGGGACTTGAGTGTCCCTAGCCTGGCAGTTGGCTCCCGGAAGCACTAGACACTGACACTCATTGGTAGACCCTCCCTCCCCGCCGTTGTGTTTGGTTCTTTTGCACTCCATGTACTGCAGAAGGATGGAAGGACCTGGGTGCTGGCTGGGCTGTGTATACTGTGTATACAAGGGAGCTGGCTGCTGAGGTGACCACAGCCTTCTCCTAATAAAGCTGTAAGTATTTAAAACCTGTGTCCTGCCTCTGTGACTGCTTCTCATTCATGCATGCATTCCTCACATCCATGGAATGCCCAGCTTCGCCAGCCACTGTGCTAGGAGCTATGGAGACAGCAGTGACCTTGACAGGCACAGTCCTGGTCCTGTGCAGCTCCCAGGTTAGCTGAGGAGGCAGAGCTCAAGTCAGCAAGCAGAGAGTTGTGGCAGATCGTGCTACAAGTGAAGGAGACACCAACTGATGCTGAGAGTGGGAGCTTGGATGTGGGCGTTTGATCGCATTTGAACTTTTTCAGAGAGAAGGAGCTGAAAAAAGAAACGAAGAAAAAAAAGCTTGGGTGTGGGAGAGAGTGATCAGGGAAAGCCCCTCAGAGGAAGGGACAACGAAACAGATTGAAGGGTGAGACAGCAGCCCTGTTAAAAGGGGACGGGCCTTGTAGCAGACAAGCAGAAGGCCCAGTCCTGGGGGCCGCTGGGGCGGGGTTTCAGGAGTGCTTGAGAGAAGCTCTGGGGCCGTGCGTGGGTGAAGGGACGAGGCACGGGAGAGGCCAGAGGGGCCCCTGTCCTGTGGGCTTCCAGTCTCCTGCCTTAGGAGGAAACCCCAAGTGTCCCGAGGGAAAGGTTCCTTCTCTTTGGAGAGAGAATGTTTCTCTCTTCCTAGTTTTGTGCTGGTCTGGAAATGTTAGCAAATATACAGGCGTGGGAGAGGTGTGACGCATTGCAAAGAACATCTAGAAACTCGTGTTGGTCGCGGGTCTGAGATCCTCTCTTGGAATCCTCATTTCCTACCTGCAAAGTGAGAAGGGTAGATTCAGTGTTCTATTAGGGCACGTTCAGCTTTAGCAGTCTGGGTTTCTAGGCCCAGTTATGGTTTAGATTTTGCTAGCTGATGGTTTGTTTTCAGTTTGGGGTTCAGAGATGAAGGGGTTTCTCCTGTTGACTTTCCAGCAGGGCAAGGCCATGGGGAATGACTTCCTCTTGAGCTGCGAGAGCTGCCCCTTCAGGCATGTGGGTGAGGGATGTGGGGAGGTTGGACAAAGTTTCAGCACTTGATAGAAGGTTCTGGAAGAAGGAAGAACTAGCCAGAAGAGGCTGCATGAGTCTATGAGCTAGCAGAAGGCCCAGAAGGGAACTGCAGGGGTCTGGGTTAATGTATAAACTGGAAGTCAGCAATTGTAAGATCTTTCTAAAATTGCTCAAAATGTTGTCATATTCCTGGGGTTATTTTTGTAATCCTTTTTGTTTTCCATTGAAGCAATTGCCAGTAAAACCTTTCTAAGGAAAAGGTCCTCTGGGCTGCTTTGGGGATCAGCAAATTAAAGAGGAAGCAGAGGAGGCTGGGTCCCAACTACAGCGGCGCCTGGAGGCTCAGGAGAGCTCCAGGTAAGGCAATGGGGTGTGTGGCGGGCAACAAGCTTGGCTGCATTTTAAAGTTTCTGGAGAAGGAAGCAGCAGTTTCCTAAATTTGCTGGCCTTTGAAGAGAGGTAGGAACGATTTGCTTTGTAATCCATCCTCTGGAGGGGAATGCGTTCTTGCCCCAGTGAGAAAAAACCTTGATAATTACAAAAAGGTGTCGACCCCTGGGTCGTGCTCTGCCTGCCCAGTGAACCCTGGCGAGCCCCCAGCAGGCTGAGCTGGCGTGGCCAAGGGCAGCGCGTGTGACCCCAAGTGTCTTTCCTTTGCTCCTTGGCTTGTCTCCAGCCCTCATGGATGAGTCAGCCCTGAAGCCTGCAATCCCAGCAACAAATCCCAGAAGAGCAGAACATCCCCCTTCATCACTGCCATGGTGTCACCCCTCAGCCCCCGGCAGCTGTGAGAAGGCAGCAGTGAAATGTTTGCTGCTCCAAAGCATGAAACTGGGGAGGGAGAGGGCAGCCAGAAACTCAGCCTTCACCTTCCCCTCCCTTCAGGCCCACCCCTTCGTGCTCAGCTGGGCAGCCCTGCCTTTGTTTTGCTCTCCTGAGCTGTGGTCAGTAACGTAAGTCACGTTCCAAGCAGTGACCAGAATGTTGTGAAGGAGGAGATAAGAGTTCCTGACCTCCCGAGGCATTCCAAAGAAGAAACAGAACTATTTGTTTCCAAAGGAGAACAATTTTAGCAGAAAGGGTAAGATAGAGGGAGATGAAGAGAGGAGGGAATCTCCTCGTGAAAAACTGGATTTGGGAAAAGGGTGAAAATATTGTCATGGGGAATGGCTGGAATTTGATGAGATTTTAGCTGTACTCCTAGGCTGTTAGAAACAATTGCCTTCGTATCATTCCCCGTTCCTGTACCTAGCCACGGTCCCAGACAGTGTCCAGGGCCTTAAGCCACTGCTGTCCCAGACATCTGACCAACAGTTCAGATGACCTCAGGGGACTGGGATTCTGGCCTCAGCAGGGAGTACCCCGAATCTCTGCCATGGGTAATTGAGCAGATACTCCTGATGTGGTTTTGTTGTTGTTGAGGATTTTGAGAAAAGAGCCTTTGAGAGTGCTCTGGAAATGTGTTCAGGAGGATGACATGGCTTTTCTAAGCACCCTCCCTGGGCTGAGTCTGCAGTGCATGGGAACCTGGTTCTGAAGCTGCAGTTACACACAGCACCCAGAGCCCAGGGCTTGGGACACAGTCAGTGGTCAATGAGTATTTGTGACGCAGAGGCTTCCTTGGGAACACACAGTAAACCAAGAGGGATGAAGGAGCCTGTCTCCGGTGGAAATGTGGGGACGCTTCTCAGTGTAGGCACTGTCTGTCTGCATACATGGTCCTGTTTGATCTTCACCGCCTGCCCGGTGCTGCTGCTCCTTGCAGCCCTCTGCTCAGCTCACGCATTTCATACGCTTTCCTTGGGGATCACGTGCTATCTCACTGCTCAGTTAAAACCAACACATCAGTGGATTCTGCGTCTGCATACATAACCCTCCCACCCACCTGTGTTCACCCAGACTCCCCACCAACCCCACACAGACCACCCCAAACATCTCATTATTCATCCAGTCACATGACTTGATTCCACCTCCAGGATATCTTCAAACTTGGTCCCTTTCTTCCTTCCCACTGCTGCTGCTGTAGTGCAGGCCAGCATCATGTCTCACTGGAGTATATCCGTAGTCTGTACCTGTTTTCCCTTGTTTCAGATTCGTCCGCTTTCAATCTTTCCAGCAGGTGTGACATTTAGTGACAGCAGGTGCCCCATCTTGAGCTCTCATGGCACCCTCTGCGTCTTCTGACATTGAGCGAATTGCTTGTCCGTCTCTTTGGCTATACCCTAAAGACCTCGAGGGCAGGCTTTAATTGTCTTGGCACTAAGTGCTTGGCACACAGTAATCATATAATGATAATAGCCATCACCCAGCATTAACTATATATAAGCATTCTATTAAGGTCTTTACTTCTCTTATTGTATTTATTGTTCATAACAACATTATGAATTATATTCTATCACTGCCCCTCCTCGTGTATCAGGAAGCTGAGGATCAAAGATGTTAGGGACCTTTAGATATTCCCCCGACTTGTAAATGGCAGCATCAGGACTCCGAGCCCTGTATTTACTGAAGAAGTTGTAGAATGAACCGCTTAGCCTACTCCTCGAGAAACATTTTTTTGGGGGAGATGGACATGAGAAAATGATTATGATGGCGCATGAGAAGTGCTCCAACAGAGGTATGCTTCTAGATCTATGGGAATTATACACGAAGCAATTGCAGGAATCACTGAGTGGACCTGGGAAGGAGTCAGAGGAAATGATGCTCTTGAGCTGAGTTTTGAAGAATGAATAGAATTTGTTGGGCAGATAAGGAGATTCCTGGAAGTGTGGCCAGCACGTACGATGGCATGGAGGTCAGGAATGAAAACAGCTTGATGTGGCTGGACTGTAGAATACATGAGAGAGTGGTGGGCTTGAAGCCTAGGCTGGGCTGGGGTCTGATCATGGAGGGCCTTCTATGTTGCATTAGGGAGTTTTTGCTTTGTTTGACAGGCAGCAGAGAGCCATGGAAATATTTTAAATCAGACTGTAATTAGCTCACCACTCCAGTGAGCTGGTAGTAAGCATGGACTGGGATAGGAAAAGACTGTTGGCAGAAAGACCAAGTAAGAGGCTCCTGCAATAATCCAGATTTAAGACCATGAAAGCCTGGCAGTGTAAGTGGATTGGAGAGGATGACATAAATTCTAGAAATATCTAGGAGAAGTATGAGCTGGTCTTGAGTGCTAACCGTGTGCAGCGTATGACAATAAAAGCAATGTCAGAGGAAATGCAGATTAATGTTTTCCATCTCAACGACTTCCTTGCTTTACAAAAGAAGTATAAAATTAGGCCATTCCTTGACTCAGAGATATGAGCATGCAACAAGGGCAGGGGAAAGGCGGATGTACTTGACTTCCTCTTGGGATTAAGTTTCTAAAATATGGTACTGCCAGGATTCAGAGGGATGAGATGACTGATGGTTTCTCCTGTTGCTCTCACTTCCAACCACGCCTCCTTACCCACTGCCTTAGTTCCTGGCATCACATCCCTCAACCTCCAGCCTTAGTGTGGTGTGGTTAGCATGGCACCAAGAAGACATGGGCGAGTGAAAGGAAAAAATAGAGACCAGAAAAAACAACAGAGATAGTTCACGTACACTAGTGTGAAATCAACGATATGGTATTTCAAATGTACTTTAGCAGAGGTCGTAGAAACAGATTTATTTTTTAATATACCCCCTGTATCTTTCAATTAACTGTACATTGTGCATAATATATTTCAATACTGGTATCTCAGGATGGGAATAGCAGAAACATATGTTAGTGGAGTTGTATTAACTCTAGGGACAGTATCACTGGGTTACGAGATATTATGGCTCCACGTGTCTCAGCAACATATGTTACCCATAAGGAAGCCTGTGGCTTTAATGTGTAACACACTGTGGACTGGATTGGCAAGCGGATGGGACTTAGGTTGACAAAAACCGAAGATCTTCTGAATGAGAGGTTTATTTTATGTATTATATCTGGGCAAGAAAACCTTCCTGAAGCAATCTGGCTAAATCTCCTTGTTGCCTAATCTCTATCCGAAACGGGGATTCCAATGGTTTAGGCCACTGCTATTTTTTCCCCTAACATCCTAGGCAAGTTTGCACATATAGATTGCCTTCGAGATCATTAGATAAATACCTAGCTGCTGAATGGGAAAGTTTCTGTTAGTTCCCATGAGTCCAGGGCACTATGTCTTGGTAAGTTCACTTTAGTCTTATTTCTTTAAAAGTCACCTATTTAGACATGGCCCGGGTGGCCTGGACGACCACAGCCTGGGGAGACAGGTGACCTAAGCTTCTGTCTAGACTCTGCTAGCACTGGGTCATTTGCACAAGGTCACCCTCTGGGTGTTCATTTCCCTGTTTGTTAGATGAGGCATTGAACTTGATTGTAAATTACGCATTCCTTTTCAAGCTCTAAGACACGTCGATTCCATACATTGAAAATCTCAGCTCCAAGGGGATTAAAAAAGTGTGTCTGCCACTTCACTTGAAACAAAAGGAGATGTATCTTTTGGCTGTATACTTCAAAAATTTCCATGCTTCTCCACTCCTATTTGGAAGTTCCTCACCCAAGGCATGTCTACCTGCTCTTCCACCGGTAGGCAGCCCTCCAAAGGGGAATAAACATTTGCAAAATCTCAGTACATAGATTAGCTTCTGAAGTTTCCTTAGCTCCTCTTGACTTTTAAAGTAGTTTTAGATGTCAGCGACTAGGAAACTGATACCTAAATATTTCTATTTCTTCCCTGTACTTGTCATGCCCATACCTAGCAAATAAAATCCGTTTTGAACTCTGCGCTGCTGCCCAGTGGGTAGCTCTATTCACTGCATTTTCCTTGTACTGGGCCTTGGGGAAAGAGACCTCAGTTCCTTGTGGAAGGTGGGATAAAAAGAAGGCTGGCTTTTGCCAAGGGAGAGTTCTCAATACCCAGACACTCTTAAGGGATTGTATGTTGTATATGTCATATGTGTTTATAGTTTATAAGTGTTTACATCAGTTATCTGTCCTCATTGGAACTTGGTGAAGTACATTCTATTATTATCCCCATTTTGCAGATTAGAAAATTGGTGTTTATAAAAGTTGGTACGTGACAAGTGGCTTGATAAGTTTAGTGCTAGAGATGGTAAGAATGATTACTCCTGGGCCTCTGATCTCACAGAGATTCTCAATAGCCAAGTTTCTATCTCAATTGTCAAAGAACAGTGGGTTGGGTGGTGGATGGTATTTTCAGTTTAGTACAATAACTACCGATGGCAGTGTGTGCTTGGAGTACTAAGAAGGAAACCCAAAGCATTGGCCATATCCTTGAAGGGCCTATAGTCCAGGTCAGGGGACTGTGCATACACTTGGAAGGTAAATAAAGAGTATAGAGTAGTCCAAAAAGAGGAGGAGTTATGAAAGAGGAGTTGAAACAGGCAAGGAAAGCACAGGTCAGAGTTGGATGCTGGAGAAGAGAGCCATGAGATGGTGCAGAGGAACTCAGGAGAGTCCTCCCCTTGACGCAGGGCTGTGTCTTTCCCTGTTCTTTTTCTCTTCCTTCTTTCTTTTTGATATTTTGTTATTATTTTCTCAGTATATTCCAGAAATAATGGAATATGAGACAAAGGATGTGCACTCTGAGAGGTCACAGTCTAATGTTGACGTGGTACAGCTGATCTGAACAAAGACATGAGGCAGGGACAACTGAAGCCTCTCTGCAGGGGAGGAAGAAGCCGGCTTGGAGCAGTGGCGCTGTGCCTGAGAGGTGTGGCGGGGGAGAGGGTGTAGAACCAGACTGGTGGGGGAGCTTGAGTTCTGTCCAGAAAGTTGAGGCTTCATGTTAAGCCTTGGCAATGGAGAGTCTGGTTTCTAAACAAGGGAATAGTATTCTGAAATTCTGTGGTATTGACTTTTTTAGGTAAGAGAAATGAGGAGAGGAGAGAGGAATATAGATTTATGTGCCTCGTGCCAGAAATGCGTCTCTGCATTAATGGGTTGAGTTCTTTGAAGCCAACTACGGAGAACTCTGCAACACTGCCGTGCCACTGCCCGTCTCCCCCCAGAACTATTCTTAGAGGAATTTAGCAAGGACAACAATGACCTATGGAGCAGTGACATCCATGTGACTTCCTAGGTTGGTCTCTACAAGTTTACGGAGTCACTTAGGGTACTCAAGAGATAATAAGTCCTAAACTGAAACTAGAGACAAAACAGGCTCCTTGACTTCTCTGGAGTTAAAGGTTCTGTCATTTTCTAGAGTCAAGTATGTGAATGACTCTTTTTTCTTCCTTTTCTTTTTTGGCTCTGAAAAAGGTCAAATTCAATAAAAACAAAACAAAACAGAAAACCTAGAAGGGAGAGCAGGAAGCCAGTTTAGTACAGGGAAAGAACCATGATGAATTATTTAACGAACTGTATGCTTGCAAAACTCAAAGCTCCCAGGCAACATGACTTATACTGACTTATAAGATATGCTTCATATTTGACATGAGAGCTCTTTGATGAGTCTAACCTCTGAAAACACTCATTCATAAATATGCAAGATTACACCTGTAGGAATGTTCGGCCCAGCATTGTTTGTAATGGAAAAGGATGAGAGAAGAAAGAAAAACGAAAAGGAGGAAGGAAGAGAGGAAGGTAGAAAGGAAGAGAGAAGGAACAAGAAAAAGGATTTAGAAAGCTACCAAAAAGAGAGCTGTTTAAATCAGTTATAGTACATTTATAAAATGGAATTCTCTGTAGCAGTTAAAAAGAAACATGGCAGAGCTGTGTACTAGTTGGCCAGGGCTGCCATAACAAGTGTCACAGACTGGAGGGCTCACATAACAGAAATGGGTTTTCTCAACTCCACAGGCTGGAAGTCTAAAATCAAGGTGTCGGCAGGGTTGGTTTCTCTTGAGGCCTCTCCTTGGCTTGTAGATGGCTGTCTTCCCCTGTGTTTTCACATGGTCTTTCCTCTGTGTGTGTCTGTGTCTTAGTCACTCTTTCTTATAAGGACACCAGTCATATTGGATTAGGGTCCACCGTAATGATCTCATTTTAATTTAATTAACTCTTTAAAGCCTGTCTCTCAATACAGTTACATTCTAAGGTGTTGGGGGTTAGGACTTCGACATATGAATTTTGGGGCGGTCACAATTAAGTTCATAACAAGCTAAATATACTCATATGGAAAGGTGCCTAGAATTTTTAAAAATAAATAAATTGCAGATCAGTATAATTAGTATGATACCATTTTGAAAACAAATAGTATATATGTAACCTACATGTATATAGGTATACCAAAAAAACATGTGGAAAGATATATGCTGAATGTTCAACAGTGAAAATTTTGAGAAAGTGGGGGCCATGCTGGTGATAGGGATGTGGCGGTATAGGAATGACCTCTGGTGATTTCCCTCCATTTCTTTACCGTATGAATTTCTTTTGTTTTATGCTTTATTTTTGGTATTAGCTTAGTGATGAAGAGCACGCACCTGGAGTCAGATTGTCTGACTCTTGATTTGAGCACAGGCTCAGATCCTGACTTTGCTACTTTGGAACAGCTTTTCTAGATCTCTGTTTCTGCATTCATAATGGAGAAAATAATAAGATTTGTATGATAGATCAGATAACGAATGGAATGCATTCATTGGCACAGTGCTTGGCACCTAGTAAGACTGATGAATATTAGCTACTTTTATTACCATGGAAAGGCAATAGACAAGGAAAAAAGCTCTTACATGCAATTTATGTTAAGAAGTATGGCGTTCTTAATCCCAGAGTGTTGTTAAATCTTGTTCAGTTTAATTGAACAAATAATTGAGATTCTACCGTTTATGCAAGGGACTGCCCTGAAACGTGCAGAGAGGAATGAGGAATAAAAGTAGTTAGACCAACGTTTACTTGTAAATAACTTCACAATAGGCAGATACAGCTTCGTCTATAAAATAACCCTAACTCACAGGGCTGTTGCGACTGCTTAATGAAGAAATGTCTGTAAAGCAGATATTAGTAAGAATTCAAGACACAGCAACGTTTTTGTTGTTATATTCGCCTCTCTTTTGTAATAAAACCTACCTGGAAAATTAAATCTGGAAGGCAGCTCAGGAACTACAGATATAGGAAGAATTACTTAAGGGAAGTGTCACCAAGCCACGCAGACACTGGCTCATTCTAGATGTCTCTAGAAGCAGACAGGAATACCTGTCATGGCTAGGTGTTGTCTGCAGCACCAGGTGGGAAACTGACAGGTTTCCTCCTCACTATTCCTTTTTGGTGACCAAGAGCTTCTTTATAGCTTCACCACGGAGACAAGTGACAGCTTCTTAGGTTATTGTCCCCACCCAAGAGATTGGCTTCTTTTTGGCACTTGCTTCCCGGTGGCATGGATTATTTCTGAAAGGCACCTGTAGATTCTTGTCCCTTTCCCCGGGTCTTGCAAGACAGTTTTCTTTGTGGGTCCCTGGTAGCCCACACTGACACTTGGTCAGTGACACTGTGGCCACTACATGAGTAGTGATGGTGCTGGCCCATCCTGGGCTCTGCACTCTTGGTCTCATGCGTGGGCCGGGCCCCTGTCTGTGTGTCCACGGTGCGTGCCCACCCTGACGGCACCTGCTGGCGGCTCGCACCTCAGAGCCTGCGTGGGCCGCGGCTGCACCCGAGTCCTCTGCTTCATCGAAAGAGACTGACTTGGCAAGCCCAACTTGACAACAAATTAAAAAGAATGCTCGGGCTAGACATGGGGGACTGTTTTATTTCATTCTTTCCTTTGGGGGATGTCTTGTGGGATTGACTTTCTTAGTGAGAGAGATGAGGAGAGAGGAACATATACTTGCGGGATTTGTGCCAGAGGCGGGGAGGTGGGAGGAGTCTGGGGAAAGGATTACAAGAAGGGCCACGAGGAGCAGGGACTGAGGGAGGGGCTCCCGGGTCTGGGGTGGACCCCACCATTGGGGGAAGCAAGCGGAGGGAGAGCCTCGAGGGCAGCGTCCCATCTGCAGGGGTGCGCGGTTGGGGGCGGTGGGCATCTGGGAAGAGAGGTTGAGGCGCAAGAATCAGCTCAAGGATCCAGGTCCAATCCCCAGTTCCAGGCCCTGTGAACTATGCCTGACCTCCAGTGACGGTCGCTCCTGCTGGTGCTTTGGCCTCCTTATCTGTAGAGGGAGGTAATAGCAGTACCTGGCTGACAGGCTTGCAGAGGGCGTGTAGAGCACCGAGTGCCCGTTGTCCTTGTCACCCAGGTGTGCAGTGCAGGTGAAGGCAGCAGCAGTCAGGGCGCATGGGCACGGGAAAGGGGATCCTCCCAAACCTTATCCCTTCCCGCCTCTCACGTCTTGCCTTACTCAGGCAGCTTCTTAGAAGACAACGTTCCCTCCAGCAAGGTCACTTTTCCAACGCCCCTGGCTAGGGAGGCGGCACCTCCTTGAGCATCAGCCACCAATGTCCCCTCGGTGGGGTCCTGGCTCTTTCTGGATTGGATCTTATACGCTCTGGACACGCAGGCCCGGCTGGCAGAAAAAAGGGCCTCAGCTGCAGCGGTCACGGGTCACAGCAGATCACCCCTCGCGTGCTGGGCCTCTCCCTGCAGGGCACAGGCCCCAGCCTCTCAGCTTTCTGCCGGGTTCGAGGCCCGGCCCATCTGGGACGTTCATGTTGGAAATATGAAGTGTGACTTCCCTTGCCTGGGGACGCCTGAGCCAACCCAGGCTGGGCTTATCTCTTTACTCAACACAGTGTTTGTTTGAGGACAATCAAAGTATGTTCTCTTTCTGCTTTCTTCCAAGGGAGGAAAGAGCAAAGCCGGCTGCTACCCCGGGGCAGGGGCTGCCTGGCTCAGCGTCAGATCTGCGCTCTCTTTTTAGCCTCTGATCCCGGCCTACGCCTTTCTTGGGCCAGTCTATGGAATTAAGCATACTCAAGCTCAGGGCTCTGCAGCCGACAGCATCTCTGAACTTAGCTCTGTGGGGAGAGTTCATCCCCACCCTGCGCCATGACTCCCTCACTCCCCGGTCACAACCCTCCATCTCCAGCACGCTGAAGCCCTTTCTCCACCCCAGACTGCAGCCGCAGGCTCCTTCTGGCTGGGCCACCTCTTCATCCCACAGTGTCTGCAGCTCCCTCTGCAAAGCTAACTTGCCTGTCTGCAGGCGAGAGGCCTTGGCTTCCCTAGGCCTCTGGTTTCCGCCTTTCCTCCTGTTCCTGCTCCTTCTCTTTCCTTCTTCCCATTCCAGACCCACCAGTCCCTAGGGCCAGCACCCCATTCTGCCTGCCCAACTCCAGGGAGGGCCAGAGCCCCTGATCTCCCTCTAGCTCCCACCTCCACTGAGGGTCAAGGTTTCTCGTTGCAGGCATGGAGGGAGCTAAGCCCAGCCACTGGAATGGGAACAATCAACTCATTGTTGGAGATGCTTCTGGGGTCATTCAAAATCCACAGGTCACTGGGTGCCCTCAGCCAGGACTGGAGGACAAGGTCTATGTGTGAACTCGGGAAAGCCACATGGGGCCTCATGGAGTCTCACTGGCAGCCATGAGCAGTCAGTAACCCCTGGCTCGTGCTTCACAGGGCCCAAATCACTTTCCTCAGGAGCCCGCATGAGAAATGTTTTGAAACATTTTTACGATGACACTCAAAGATGCAAAAGCAGAGAGAAATGAACAACCAAGGCCCAGGCGCTCATCAGCCCACTTCCTGCTGTTGTTGTTTCCTCAACATCATGCTCCCTTCCCTGTGTAATACTCTCTTTTTTTAACTTGCAGATAGTTGATGACCTTTTAGATGAATTTATCACGTGACCCTCTGCTACAATAAACAGTAAAACTATGCTGTTATGTTTTATCATGGCCTATGCTTTGCCCTCAGGAGTTGTGATCTGTTTTAGTAAAGACCTCAATTCAATGGCAAAGTATTGTCAGAACAGCCCCGCTTCATGCCAGATTGAAAATAGTTGTTTTAGGCAGGCATTTTCCTACATCTAATCAGCCAACATTAAATAATGACGTGACTGGCTAGTTTCTGCAGCTGCTTTGTGCCGGGTGTTGGCTGGGGCCTAGCTCTTTACTGCCAGTCCTTTCTGACCCTCTAGCGGAAGCAGGGCTCCCCTAGATGAGAAACTCTTCAGCAGCCTCCCTGATTCTGTGGTGATGTAGCAGGGGATGTTGCCCAAAGTGACATTCACTGGCCTTTTTAAAGGAATGACACCGTAATTCCTTCTGGAAGACGGCTCCGGGGAAGGGTGTGTGTTTTTTGATAACTGGTATAATCTCTTTTTCTAACAATAAGAACTATGAACACCATCGAGTTTTGCTTTTTGCCTTGGCAACCAGGAAGCTTAGTGCTAAATTTAGGGCTCAACTGAGTGACTGTTTCACCTGCGATTCCAGTTAACTTATCTCCCCCATTTCCTTTATAATTTCTAATTTCTCCCTGTTATCTTTATGGGCATGGAGGTTTTATTGTACCCACCCTTCACTTTCATTTCTTTAAGCTTCAGAGTGGGAAATTAAAAGCAAAAGCAAATAGACTACAACTGCACATTCCCTGTGATCCATGTCCATAGAGCCTTGTTCGTGAGAAACCCAAAGGGGTTAGAGTACTAGCCCAAGATCACACCATCAGTGATGAGAATCAGACCTTAGTTTACACAGTGCATGGACGCTTTATAATCCATGCTTTATACTTTTAAAAGTCTTCCTCCTATCTCGTCTTAATTTATTCTTGATTTATTCTTTCAACAAATACTCACTTCTCACTTTATTTGTAATATACTAGGCACTGTGGACCAATAAAGATAAAACACACACTTTTGCCTTTAGGGAATTTACAGTTTAACAGGGAATATCAGAGTGCTCATCTAATTAAAACACAAGATAAAAAGTGTGGGAATGTTTTAGATAAAATTTATTGAAGTTGAGGGGAGGAAGGAGTTATTTGAAGGTAAGGAATGAGGACAGACTGTGAAGATGGTTGACATTTACACTGATTCTAGGAGAGGGAAGGATAGACATAGGGATCTTTTATTCTTACTATTGTCCCCATTTTACAGAGGATGAAATCAAGACAGAGGGAGGAAGATTTTCTCTATTCACCCAGTTGGACATTTTTACTGTTTTAATCATCCCTTCTGCCTGCCCCCACCATCAAAGGCTTTAGGACAAGCGAAGCCTGGAGTATATTTGTTCTTAGGTGACAACTACAGTCATGCACCGCGTAACAAGTTTTCAGCGAATGACAGTCCACATGTTCAATGGTGGTCCCATAAGATTGTAAAGGAGCTGACAAGTTCCTATTGTCTTGTGACGTAGCCCTCCGAACGTTGCAGTGCAAAGCATTACTCATGTGTTTGTGATGATGCTGGTGTAAACAAACCTACCGCACTGCCAGTCGTATAAAAGTCTAGCACATACAATAATGTACGGTAAATAGTGCTTAATAATCATAAGTAATGACGATGTTGCTGGCTTACGAATTTACTATACTATACTTATTATCATTAGAGTGTACTCCTTCTACTTATAAAAAAGTGTTTACTGTAAATCAGTGTCAGGCAAGCAGGTCCCTCAGGAGGTATCCAGAAGAAGGCATTGCTGTCATAGGAGATGACAGCTCCATGCCTGTTACTGTCCCTGAAGACGTGCTGCAGGATGAGCTGTGGGGGTGGAAGACAGTGATATTGATGATCCTAACCCTGTGTACGCCTAGGCTATTGTGTGTGTTCGTGTCTTAATTTTTAACAAAAAAATTTAAAAAGTAAAAAAGTAATTAATATACAAAAAGCTTATAGAATAAGGATATAAAGAAAAAATATTTTGGTACAGCTGAACAATGTTTTGGTGTTTTAAGCTAAGTGTTATTACAAAAGAACTGAAAAGTTAATAAAAATAAAGAAGTTTATAAAGTAAAAAAGTTTTAATAAGCCAAGTTTAATTTTTTGTTGAAGAAAGAAAAATTTAAAAATAAAACCAGTGTAGCCCAAGTGTATAGTGTTTATAAAGCCTACAGTATATACAGCAATATCCTTGGCCTTCACATTTACTCATTCACTCACTCACCCAGAGTAACTTCCAGTCCTGCAAGCTTCATTCATGGTAAGTGCTCTATGCAGGTATACCATTAAAAACATCTTTTATACTGTATTTTACTGTACTTTTTCCATGTTTAGATATGTTTAGATACATAAATACTTACCATTATGTTACAATTGCCTACAGTGCTGAGCACAGCAACATGCTGTACAGGTTTATAGCCTGGGAGCAATAGGCTTTACCCTATAGCCTAGGTGTGTAGGTTTGTGTAAGTACACTCTAGGATGTTTGCACAATGATGAAATAACCCAATAACGTATTTCTCAGAATGTATCTTTGTCATTAAGCAACTCATGACTGTACTTAATTAATGGTATTTAAACTGACAGAGCCCAAGTCTTGGTATTTGGGGCAGTACTATTTTACTCGCAAGGGACAATAATTGTCTTGAGCTAACTTAGGGTAAAATGGAGGAAATTCATGGAGGCCACTGAAGGATCTCAGATCATTTAAGGCAGGGTTGAAGAAACAACTGAGGCTTGCCAGCGTTTGGTGTTATCAGCGTTCTGGATTTTGGTCATTCTAGTAGGTGTGTAGTGGTATCTTATTGTTGTTTTAGTTTGCATTTCTCTGATGACGTATGATGTGAAGCATCTTTTCATATCTTATTTTCTATCTGTATATTTTTGGTGGTGAGATGTTCTTTCAGGTCTTTGGCCCATTTTTAATCGAGTTGTGCATTTTTAAAATTGTTGAGTTTTAAGAGTTCTTTACATATTTTACGTGATAGTCCTTTATCAGATATATCTTCTGCAAATGTTTCTCCCAGTCTGTGGCTTGTCTTCTCATTCTCTCAAGAGTGTATTTTGTGGAGCAGTTTTGAATTTTAATGAAGTCTAGCTTATCAATTATTTCTTTCATGGATCATGCCCTTGATGTAATATCTAAAATGACATTACCATACCCAAGCTCATTTAGATTTTCTTTTACATACTTCAAGGAATTTTATGATTTTGCATTTTACCTTTAGGAGTGATCCATTTTGAGTGAATTTTTGTGAAGAGTTTAAAGTCTGTATCTAGATTCGTTTTTCTTTTCATGTGGATGTCCAGTTGTTCCAGCATCATTTGTTAAAAGGAATGTGTTGGTTCCATTCTACTGCCTTTCCTCCTTTGTCAAAGATCAGGTGACCATTTTTATGAGGCTCTATTTCTGGGCTCTCTATCCCATTTCATTAATTTTTTTGTCTATTTCCCATCAATATCACACTATTCTGATTACTGGAGATTTATAGCAAGTTTTGGAGTTGGGTAGTGTCAGTCCTCTGACTTTGTTCTCTTTCAATGTTGTGTTGGCTACGCTGGGTCTCTTGCCTCTCCATATAAACTTTAGAATCAGCCTGTTGATATTCACAAAATAACATGTTGGGTGTTTGATTGGGATTGCGCTGGATCTATAGATCAAGTTAGGAAGAACTGATGTCTTGACAATATTGGGTCTTCCTATCCATGAATGTGGAATATCTATCTGTTTAGTTTTTCTTTGACTTCCTTCATTAGAGCTTTGTAGGTCTTTATTTTCACATAGTTCTTGCACATATTTTGTTAGGTTTATACCCAAATATTTCATTATTTTGGGTGCCAGTGTAAATGGCATTGTGTTTTAAATTTCAAATTCCACTTGTTCCTTGCTGGTATATAGGAAAGTGGTTGACTTTTGTATATTAACCTCATATCCTACAACCTTGCTTAATCACTTAAGTGGGTTTTTCTGGTCAACTCTTTTGGATTTTCTACATAGACAATCATGTTACCTGCGAAAAAAGACAGTTTTATTTCTTCCTTCCTAATCAGTATACATTTTGTTTCCTTTTTTTGTCTCACTGGATTAGCTATGGCTTCCAGTACAATGTTGAAAATGAGTGGGGAGAGGGGACATTCTTGCCTTGTTCCTGATCTTAGTGGGAAAGTTTTGGGTTTCTCCTCAATAAGTATGTTGTTATCTGTGGTTTTTTCACTAGCATTTTTTAAAAAGTCAAGCTGAGGAAGTTCCCTTCTATTTCTAGTTTGCTGAGTCTTTATCATAAATCAGTGTTGGATTTTGTAAAATGCTTTTTCTGTGTCTATTGATGTGATTATGTGATTTTTCATTTTTATCCTGTCAATGTGACAGATTATGTTGAGTTTCAGATGTTGAACCACCCTTGCCTACTTGGGATGAATCCCACCTGGTGTATATTTCTTTTTATGCATTGTTGGATTTGATTTGCTAATATTTTGTTGAGAATTTTTGTGTTTGTGTTTATAAGAGATATTGGGCTGTAGTTTTCTTTCTTTTAATATCTTTGTCTTTTTTTGTGTGTTAGTGTAATGATGGCTTCACAGAATGATTTAGGAATGAATTATTCCCTCTGCTTCTATCTTCTGGAAGAAATTGCAGAGAACTGATATATTTTTTTTCCTTAAATGTTTAGACGAATTCACCAGCAAACCCAGGTGGACCTGGTTCTTTCTGTTTTGAAAGGATATTTATTATTAATTCAATTCCTTTAATAAATATAAGTCTATTCAAAATGTTAATTTCTTCTGGTATAAATTTTGACAGATTGCATTTTTTAAAGATATTGGTACATTTCATCTAGGTTGGCAAACTTGTGGGCATAAAGTTGTTCATAGCATTCCTTTGTTATCATTTTAATGTCCAGGTTATCTGTAGTGATATTCCCTTTCTCATTTTTTATATTAGTAACTTGTGTCCTCTCTCTTTTCTTCTCTTAGTTATCCTAACTGGTGGCTTATTGATTTTATTGATCTTTTTAAAAACCCAGCTTTTGGTTTTGTTGATTTTTTAAAATTGATTTTATGCATTCAATTCCATGTATTTCTATTCTAATTTTTTAATTATTTGTTTTCTTCTGCTTACTTTGGATTTAATTTGGTCTTCCTTTCCCAGTTTCCTAAGGTGATATCTTAGATTATTTATTTTTATATCTTTTTCTTTTCAAATATATGCATTCAATGCTATAAATTTTCATCTAAGCACTACTTTCACTGCATTCCACAAATTTTGATAAGAAGTGTGTTGTAGGCTAGGCACGGTAGCTCAAGCCTGTAATCCCAGCATTTTGGGAGGCTGAGGTGGATGGATCATCTGAGGTCAGGAGTTCAAGACCAGCCTGGCCAACATGGTGAAACCCCGTCTCTACTAAAAATACAAAAATTAGTTGGACATGGTGGCACACGCCTGTAATCCCAGCTACTCGGAAGGCTGAGGCAGGAGAATCACTTGAACCTGGGAGGTGGAGATTGCAGTGAGCTGAGATGCCACCATTGCACTCCAGCCTGGGCAGCAACAACAACAACAACAACAACAACAGCAACAAAGAAATGTGTTGTTTAACCTCCAACTATTTTGGGATTTTTCAACTATCATTTTGTTACTGATTTTTCGTTTAATTTCATTGCAGACTGAAAGCATACAGTGTATGATTTCATTTTTAAATTTGTTAAACGTTGTTTACAGCCCAGAATTTGATCTATCTTGGTGAATGCTCTTCTAAGTTTGAGAAGAGTGTGTATTTTGCTGTTGTTTAACGAAGTAGTCCATAGATGTCAATAAATGTCATAGATGTCCAGTCGATTGATGGTGCTGTTGAGTTCAACTATAGCCTTAGCCTTATTGATTTTCTGTCTTCTGTATGTGTCCATTTCTGATACAAGGATGTTGAGGTTTCCAACTGTAATGGTGGATTTGCCTGTTTCTCCTTGTGGTCTATCAGATTTTGCTTCATGTATTTTGACACTCTATTATTACATACATACATATTAAAGACTGTTATGTCTTCTTGGAGAATTGATCCCTTTACATTATGTAATGCCCCTCTTTAGCCCCCATAACCTTCTTTACTCTGAAGTCTGCTCTGCTTGAAATTAATATAGCCCCTCTTGCTTTCTTTTGATTAGTGTTAATATGATATATCTTTCTCAATCCTTTTACTTTTAATGTATATGTGTCCTTATATTTAAAGCGGGTTTCTTATAGACAACATATAGTTATGTATTGTTTCTTCATCCACTTTGACAATCTCCAATCTTTGCCTTTTAATTGGTATATTTAGGCCATTGATGTTTTAAGTAATTTTTTTTTTTTTTTTTTTTGAGGCAGAGTCTCTCTCTGTCCCCAGGCTGGAGTGCAGTGGTGTGATGTTGGCTCACTGCAACCTCTGCCTCCTGGGTTCAAGAGATTCTCCTGCCTCAGCCTCCCAAATAGCTAGGACTACAGCCGTGTGCCACCATGCCTAGCTAATTTTTTTTTTTTTTTTTGTATTTTTAGTAGGGACGGGGTTTCACCATGTTGGCCACAATAGCCTCTACCTCCTGACCTCATGATCCACCCGTCTTGGCCTCCCAAAGTGCTGGGATTACAGGTGTGAGCCACTGCACCCGGCCCTTAAGTAATTATTGATGTACTTGGGTTAATACCTACTGTATTTGCTACTATTTTCTATTTATTGCCCTTGTTCTTTGATCCTATTTTTGCCTTCCACTCTGTCTTTTGTGGTTTTAATTGAGCGTTTCATATAATTCCATTTACTCTCATTTCTTAGCATAAAGTTATGCTTAAATTTTTTTTTAGTGGTGACCTTAGAGTTTGTAATATACATCTACAACTAATCCAAGTCCACTTTCAAATAACACCATACTACTTCACAGGTAGGACAAGTACCTTGTAATAAGAAAAATTATTTCCTCTTATTTATTGTATCATTCCTGTTATTCATTTCACTTATAAATAAACATATATTATAAATGTAACATATAATATATATTAAAATGTACACACATAAGCATACATAATCAAATATATTGTTGCTATTATCGTTTGGAACAAATGGTTATCTGTAAGACCAATAAGAATAAGAAAAATGAAAGTTTTTACTTTACCTTCACCTATTTGTCCTGTGATGATTTTCCTTTCTTTATGTAAATCTGAGTTTCTGACCTATATTATTTCCTTCTTTCTGAAAAAAATTAAAATTTTTTTTTTTTTTGCAGGGGAGGTCTACTGACAGCAAATTCTTTCAATTTTTGTTTGTTTGAGAAAGTGTATATTTTTCCTCCACTATTGAAAGATAATTTCACAGAGTACAGAATTCTAGGTTGGTGTTTTTTTTCTCTCAACACTTGAAATATTTCAGTACATCCTATTCTGAGGAGTTTCTGAGGAGAACTCAGATATAATTCTTATCTTTGCTTCTCTACATAGGTAAGGTGTTTTTCTCTCTGGTTTCTTTCAAGATTTTGTCCTTATCTTTGATTTTCTGCAGTTTGGATATGACATGCCTAGGCGTAGTTTTTGTCATTTATCCTGATGGTATTCTCTGAGCTTCCTAGATCTGGGTTTTGGTGTCATTAACTTAGGGGTAATTCTAAGTCATTATCACTTCAAATATTTCATCTATTCTTTCCTTTTCTTCATTCTCTTTCTGGTGTTCTATCCCACATACGTTATACCTTTTGTAGTCCCACAGTTCTTGGATATTCTGTAGTGTTTTGCTTTTCAGTCTTTTTTCTCTTTGCTTTTCTGTTTTGGAAATTTGTATTGAGATATCCTCAAGCTCAGAGATTCTTTCTTCACTGTTTCTAGTCTACTAACGAGCTCATCAAAGGTATTCTTCCCTTCTGTTATGGCATTTTTGATTTTTAGCATTTTTGATTCTTTCTTAGAATTTCTGTCTCTCTGCTTATACTACCCATCTGTTCTGACATACTATTTACTTTATCCATGAGAGTCTTTAGTGTATGAGGAGACTTTTAAAAGTTTGGTGAAATGGAATTAAAAAACAAAAATAAAATATAGACTTTATTTCTCAATATTGATCAAGTTCAAGACACTTTTGTAACTAATGATACTAGCGATTTAGTCCATCCCTAAAGAACTGAGCATCCTGAGAATTTAACCACATCAGTGCAGTCTTTTTTACATTAACTGAAGAAAAATGGGTGCCTTTTAAAGGCTTTCATTTGTTTGTTTTTTGTTGAGATGGAATCTTGGTCTGTTGCCCAGGCTGGAGTGCAGTGGTGTGGTCTTGGCTCACTGCAAGCTCCGCCTCCTGGGTTCATGCCATTCTCCTGCCTCAGCCTCCCGAGTAGCTGGGACTACAGGTGCCCGTCAGTACCCCTGGCTAATTTTTTTGTACTTTTAGTAGAGACGGGGTTTCAACATGTTAGCCAGGATGGTCTCGATCTCCTGACCTCCTGATCTGCCCGCCTTGGCCTCCCAAGGTGTTCAGAATGGTAAGATGGATACCTAATAATTTTCCATTGAAACTCTCACAAAGTTTCCCTTGTCTGATGAGAGGAATGAGCAGGAGTTTTGCTGTGGTGGAGAAAGACTCTCTGCTGAAGCTTTCCTGGGCCTTTTTCAACTTAAAGCTTTGGCTAACTAAAAATACTCTCATAATAAGCAGATCTTATTGTTCTTTGGCCAAAGAGAAAGTCAACAAGAAAAATGCCTTGAGCATCCTCAAAAATAGTTGCCATGACTTTTGCCCTTAACTGGTCTGCTTTTGCTTTGACTGGAGCACTTCCACCTCTTGGTAGCCATTGGTTTGATTGTGTTTTGTCTTCAGGATCATACTGGTAAACCATGTTTCATGTCCTGTTACAATCGTTTGAAGAAATGTTTTAGGATCTTTTAGTTTGTTTGTTTGTTTGTTTTGAGACAGTTTCTCTCTTGTTGCCTAGGCTGGAGTGCAGTGGCAT
This sequence comes from Homo sapiens, assembly GCF_000001405.40. Taxonomy (NCBI): domain Eukaryota; kingdom Metazoa; phylum Chordata; class Mammalia; order Primates; family Hominidae; genus Homo; species Homo sapiens. The sequence goes on from NC_000011.10 coordinate 130,497,379, forward strand.
CATCTTGGCTCATTACCACCTCCGCCTCCTGGGTTCAAGCGATTCTTCTGCCTCAGCCTCTGGAGTAGCTGGGTTTACAGGCATACGCCACCACGCCCAGCTAATTTTGTATTTTTAGTAGAGATGGTGTTTCACCATGTTGGCCAGCTGGTCTCCAACTCCTGACCTCAGGTGATCCACCCTTCTTGGCCTCCCAAAGTGTTGGGATTACAGGCATGAGCCACCACGCCTGGCCCTGGGATCTTAATCCCACTTGTTTAAAAATTCCACTGAAAGCTCTGCTCTTGTCTGCAGCTGATCTGGGTGCAATGGTTTTGTCACCTGTTGAGTGGAATGTTTGCTCAACCTTAATTTTTCAGTCAGAATTATGTAGGCTGAATCAATTGAGATGTCTGTGGTATTGACTATTATTTGTACTGTTAATTGTCAGTCTTCAATTAGGGCACAAACAAGATACATTTTATTCCTTACAAATTATGTGAATGCTTTGCTACTGTGGGCTTCATCTTCAACATCATCTCCTTCTTTATCAAGTTATCCATTTGTAAACTGCTGATGTATTTGAAGAGTTGTCCCTACAAACTTTTTATAAAGTGTCAATTATTTCATCATTTTTTCACCTAAACTCCACTGTAAATGTGATGTTTGTCCTTGCTTCAATTTTAGTAGAATTCATGTTGATGTGATAGGGGCTCTTTTCAAACTTATGTCTTACCCTTTTTAGTGCCTCAAACTAGGTCCTGTTCAGACATGTTATTACAAATTAGTACGAGTTTATTTTGGTGCAGACAAATTTGAAATTCATTCATGATTTTTTCTTAATGTGTATTTTTCATGAACTTTTTTTTTTTTAAATGAGGTCTCACTCTGTTGCCCAGGTTGGAGTGCAGTGACAAGATCTTGGCTCACTGCATCCTCTGCCTCCCAGGCTCAATTGATCCTCCCACCTCAGCTCTCCATCCCTGAGTAGCTGGGACTACAGGTGCATGTCACCATGCCCAGCTAATTTTCTTGTATTTTTTTTTTTTTGTAGAGATAGGGTTTCACCATGTTGCCCAGACTGGTCTCAAATTCCTGGCTCAAATGATCCACCCACTTCAGCCTCTCAAAGTGCTGGAATTACAGGCATGAGCCACCATGCCCAGACTTCATGAACTTTTGGAAGCCCCTTCATATTAATCATGGTTGTTTCCAATTCCTGGTCTGATAATTCCATCATCCCTGCCATAATCTAAATCTGTTCTGATGCTTCCTCTGTCTCTTCAAACTATCTTTATTGTCTTTTAGTATGCCTTGTAATTTTTTCTGGATAGTCAGACATGATGTACTGGGTAAAAGAAAGTGCAGTAAAGAGGCCTTTATTAATGTGGTGGTAAGGTGTGGGGACAAGGGGGGTGTCCTATAGTGCTGTGATTAGATCTCAGTCTATTAACATTGGGCTATTAACTTTACCAGTCCTTCTCAAGTCTTTTTTTTTTTCAACCCCCTTAGGTTGTACATGATGGTTAGGGGTGTCTGGAACTGGGTATTTGCTTTGCCCAGGTCAGTTAGACTAGGGAAAAACATTCATAATTTAGGTTCTGGTAAAATAATTTGCTTTTGAAGGAAGGCCTTGCTAAGAAGAACAGAGAGCCCCCCCAACGACCTTAATCAAGGCTGGGACCTCTCGTATTACATCTACCCAGGTGGGTATTATATCTACCCACCTGCTTTAGCTACAAATTTCAAGATGTTTCATTTCTCCCTTCCTCTCCTGGAAGCAGAAGGAGATTTTTTTGGTTTGTTTTTTGAAACAGGGTCTTACTATGTCACACAGGTTGGAGTACAGTGGCACAATCATGGCTTACTGCTGCCTTGATTTCCCAGGTTCAAGAAATCCTCCCACCTCAGCCTCCTGAGTGACTGGGACTGCAGGTGCACAGTACAGCTAATTAATTTTTTTTTTTTTTTTGTAGAGACACAGGGTCTCACTATGTTGCCCAGGCTGATCTCAAACTGCTGGACTTAAGCAATCCTCCCCTCAGCCTCCTAAGTAACTGGGACCACAGGTGCATGCCACCATGCCAAGCTAATTTTATTTATTTATTTATTTTTAGAGATTTGATCTTGCTATGTTGCCCAGACTAGACTTGAACCTGTGGGCTCAAGCAGTCCTCCCCCTTGTCCTCTCAAAGTGTTGGGATTACAGGTGTGAACCACTGCTCCTGGCCCACAAGAGGACTTTTAAATTAATATTCACTGTGAGAACCTGGAGGCAAAACTCACAAAAGTGTGTGTGCATGGTTCACTCCATGACTGGCTGCCCCTGAAGTTTTTAACTCTGAGACATGTCCACACTGAGCCTCTGGCAATTTGTTAATTACAATTTAGGTTTTCCTACTCCAATACCTTCCACAAAGGTTTCTGATTGTGGGTTTCTGCTCTGGTAAGTTGTGATTCTCTGTGTTAACCTGTCTGTCTCTCCAATTTTGGGGATGGTAGTTTGCCCTGTGACCTTACTTCTCCAATGGATCTAAGAAGAGTTGTTAATTTTCAGGTTTTTTTTTTTTTTCCCAGCTTTTAAAACTTGTTAGAATAGTGATTTCTAAGCTCCTTACATGCTGGACTGGAAATTAGAAGTTGGCTTGGCTTTTGCCATCAGCATAATTCTCTGGTGATTCATCTAGATTGTTGTGTGTATCAATAGTTTGTTTCTTTTCATTTCTGAGTAGTATTCTATAGTATAGATGTGCCACATTTTTTAAATCATTCACCCACTGAAGGATGTTTCAAGTTTTTGGCTTTAATTTTAAAAAAGGTGAAATAAATATTCATTTATAGGTTTTTGTATAAAAATATTTTCATTTATCTGGGATAAATGCCTAGGAGTTGCATGTTAAGTTTTATAAGATACTCCTAAACTTCTCCAGAGTGGTTATACCATTTTATATTCCTACCAACAATGAGTGATCTTGTTTCTCCACATTCTTGCCAGCATTTAGTATTGTTGTTATTTTTCATTTTAGCCATATTGGTACATGCATAGGGATATCTCATGGTTTTAATTTGCATTTCTCTAATGGTTAATGATGTGAACATCTTTTCATGTGCTCATTTTTTATTTTATGTCTTCTTGGATAAAATGTCTCCATGCTTTTTGCCCACTCTCTAGTTGGATTGTTGATTTATTTTTGTTTTGAGCATTCTTTATGTATTCTAGAGGATAGTCTTTTGTTGGAAATTTGTTTGCAAATACTTTCTCCTAGTCTGTAGACCTCTTGATAGAGTCTTCTGCAGAGCAAAAGTTTTTGATTTTGAAGAAGTCCCACTTATCATTTGTCCCTTTTGAAACTGTGATTTTGGTATCACCCAGGAACTCTTTGCCTAGTTCTGGATCATAAAGATTTTCTCGTTTAAAAAACAGTTTTATAGTTTTATGCTTTATGTTTAAGTCCATGATCCATTTTGAGTGAATTTTTTCTTTTTATAAGATGTGAGACTTGGATTGAGGTCCATTTTATTGCCTCTGAGTATCCAATGGTTCCAGTGCCATTTGTTGAAAAGGCTATCTATCCTTCATAAATTGCTTTTACCCTTTTATTAATAACCAGTTTGGCATATTTATATACGTTTGTTTCTGGATGTTTCTGTTATGTTTCATCGATTTGTGTATTTTTCCCTTTGCCAATACCACACAGTACTTATTATGGTAGCTACATAGTAAGTCTTAAAATTGGGTAGATGATTTCCTCTTAGAATTATTCTTCTGTTAAAAAATTTCTTTAGCTATTCTAGTTCCTTTGGCTTTTCTTATAAATTTTAAAATAATTTTCTATATATCTACAAAAATCCTTGATAGCATTTTAATAAGGATATGTTAGATCTGTATATAAATTTGAGGAGAATCTTCTCCTCATGTTGAATCTTCTAATCCATAGCAAGATATTTATTGCCGTTTATCTAGGTATTTTTTCTTTCATTAGCATTTTGTAGATTTTAGCATAGAAGTTCTACACGTGTTACATTTATACCCAAGTACTTAATTCTTTTTTAGCTATTGTAAGCAATATTGTATTTTTACTTTTAGTATCTATACATTCATTGCTCATGTATAGAAATATAATTAACTCTTAAAATATTTGTCTTGGCTGGGTGCAGTGGCCAATGCCTGTAATCCCAGCACTTTGGGAGGCCAAGGTAGGAGGATTACTTGAACCCAGGAGTTAGAGACCAGCCTGAGCAAGATGATGAGACCCTGTTTCTACAAAAAAATTTAAAAATTGCCTGGGTATGGTGGTGTGCGCCTGTATTCCCAGATACTTGGGAGGCTGAGGTGTGAGCATCACTTGAGCTCAGGAATTTGAGGCTGCAGTCAGCCATGATTACACCACTGTGCTTCAACCTGGGTAACAGAGAGAGACCCTGTCTCAAAAAAAAGAAAGAAAAAAAAGTCTTGTATCTCACAAGCTTGCTGAACTCATTCGTTAATTCTGGAAGTTTTTTTTTTTGGAAAAAATAGGTTAGTTGGAATTTTCAACATATATAATAATGTCATCTACAAATAGAGACAATTTCATTTGGATCTATATGCCTTTTATTTCTCTTTCTTTCCTTCACACTGGCTGGAACCTTCAGCACTATACTGAGTGCTCAGTGAGAGTAGGCAATTCTTATCTTGTTCCTGGACTTGACGAAGGGCGGGTAGATAGCATTAATTCTTCACCATTAAGTATAATGTTAGCTGTAGGCTTTTTGTAGATACTCGTTGACAGACTGAGGAAGATTACCTCTATTTCTAGTGTTGAATTTTGTCAAATGCTTTTTCCTTGTTGGTTAATATTATGATTATGAATACTTTCTTCTTTAGCCTGTTAATATGGTGGATGACCTTGACTGTGAATTGAATCGGCCTTGCATATCTGGAATAAACCCTAGTTGGTCCTGTGTTCAGTTCTTTTATGTATTGCTGAATTCTGTTTGATTATATTTGGTTAAGGATATTGGCATTTATATTCATGAGGAATATTGGTGTGTAGTTTTCTTTTTTTCTGTACCATCTTTACCTGGTTTTGGTATCAGTGTAATGCTAACTTCTTTAAATGAATTGGCAAGTGTTTTCTACTTTTATGTTGTTTGTAAGAGATAGTATAGAATTGTGTTAATTTTTTCTTTACATGTTTGGTAGAATGCTCTAGTGAAACCATCTGGGCCTGGAGATTTCTCTTTTGGAATTTTAAAGTTACAAATTTAATTTTGTTAATAGTTATAGGACTATTCAAATTACTAATTTCATATTGGGTGAGTTATGAGTTTGTGTCTTTCAAAAAATTGATTTCTTTCTTCTAAGTTAAATTTATGGCTGGGCGTGGTGGCTCATGCCTGTAATCCCAGCACTTTGGGAGGCTGAGGCGGGCAGATCACGAGGTCAGGAGTTTGAGACCAGCCTGACCAACCTGGTAAAACCCTGTCTCTACTAAAAATAAGAAAATTAGCCTGGCGTGGTGGCGAGCACCTGTAATTCCAGCTACTCGGGAGGCTGGGGCAGGAGAATCTCTTGAACCCAGGAGCCAGAGGTTGCACTGAGCCGAGATTGTGCCATCGGACTCTAGCCTGGGCAACAGAGTGAGACTCCGTCTCAAAAAAAAGAAAAAAAATTTATGTAAGAGAGTTGTTTGTAGTATTCCTATATTATTCTCTTGATATCTGTGAGCCTGTAATGATATCCTGTGTTTCGTTCCTTATATTATTAATTTGTATTTTCTTTCCTTTTTCTTTTTCAGTCTTCTTAAAGATTCGTCAATTTCATTGATCTTTTCAAATAAGCTCTTTTTTGTTTTATTAATTTTTTATCTTTTTTTGTTTTTGATTTCATTAATTTCTGCTCTTCCCTTTATTATTTCCTTCCTTCCACTTGCTTTGGGTTTATTTTGCTCTTTTTTTCACTGGGCTTTTTTGAGGTGGGAGCTTAGATTATTGATTCAAGACTTTTTCTTTTCTAATGTATCATTTAGTTCTACAAATTTTCCTCAAAGCCCTGCTTTGAGTCCCCCAAATTTTGATATGTCGCATTTTCATTCAGTTCAATGTCTTTTAAAATATTTCCTGAGACTTCCTCTTTGACCTCTAGATTATTTAGAAATGAATTGTGTATTCTTCTATTATTTTTCTGGTGTTGGTTTCTAGTTTTCTAGTTTGATTTTTATTGTAGTTGGAGAATAGAGTCTGTATGATTTAAATTAAAAACAATTTGTCAAGATTTGTTTTCCCAGGATATGATTTATCTTGATGTATGTTCTGTCAGCACTTGAAAAGAATGTACATTCTGCTTTTGTTGGGTGGAGCGTCTTATAAATAAATGACAATTAGGCCTCATTTGGTTATGGTGGTGTTGAATTATTTTATGTTTTTGCTGACTTTCTGTCTAGTTTTTCTATTAGTTGTTGAGAGAGGGTGTTAAAGTCCCCAACTGTAATTGTGAATTTGTTTATTTCTCCCTTCAGTTCTGTCAGTTTTTTCTTCACATATTTTGCAGCTCTGTTGTTTGGTGCACACACATTTATTCATTTATTTATTTCTAGAGACACTGTGGTCTCACTCTGTTGCCCAGCCTGGAGTACAGTGGTGCAATCATAGCTCACTGCAGCCTTGAACTCCTGGGCTCAAGTGGTCTTCCCACCTCAGCCTCTTGAGTAGCTGGGACTACAGGCGTGTGCCACCATGCCCAGCTAATTCTTAAACTTTTTGTAGAGACAAGGTCTTGGTATGTTGCCCAGGCTGGTCTTGAATTCCTGAGTTTGAGCCATCTTCCAGCCTCAGACTCCCATAATGTTGGGATTACAGGTGTGAGCCACCACACCTGGCCTGCATACACATTTAGAACTACTATGTCTATTAGTTAATTAACTCTTTTATTATTATATAATGTCCCTCTCTGTCTCTGGTAATTTTCTTTGCTCTGAAATTGACTTTATTTGATATTAATGTAACCAGCTATGCTTTCTTTGATTATTATTTGCGTGATACATATTTTTTTTCATTTTTCTACTTTAAATCTGCCTATATTGTTATATTTGAAGTATGTTGTAAAGAACATATAGTTGGGCCATGTTTTAAATCCACTTTGCCAATATGTCTTTTAATTGGTATATTTAGACCATTTACATTTAATGTAATTATTGATATATTCAGGCTTAAATCAGCCATTTTATTTTTTGTTTTTTTCCCTCTGTTTTTAGTCTCTCTGTTTTCTTTTATCTGCCTTCTTGTGGGTTACCTGAACATTTTTTTCTAGAATTCCATTTTGATATATCTATAGTAGTATGAATATAATTCTTTATATAGCATTCTTAGTGGTTGCTCGGGGTATTATATCGTGTGCATATACACATAATATAGTAATATATAAATAACTTATAAGAGTCTAATGATGTCATCATTTTATCAGTCTAAGTGGCATGTAGAAATCTCCTTTTATATCCCTTAGCCCCTCCTCATTTATATTATATTTGTATTAAATTTTTCTTACATACATTTAGAATCATATCAGACAGTGTTAGAATTTTTGCTTCATCTGTCAAACATTATTTACATATGGAGAAATATATTATAGTTACCCCTATTTTTATTCTTTTCATTGTTTTTCCATGTTGATGTTACAAGATTCCTTCTTTTGTCATTTCCTTTCTGCCAGGAGAACTTCCTTTAGCCACTCTTTTATGGTAGGCCTGTTGGTGACAAGGCATGTTAGTTTTCATCTGAGATGTATTCATTTTCCCTTCATTTCAGAAGGATATTTTTGTTGGATATAGATTTTTGTTTGACAATCATTTTCTTTCAGCACTTGAAAAATGTTATGCCATTTCCTCATGGCCTTCTTGGTATCTGGTGAGAAATACACCATCATTCAAATCGTTTTTCTTCTCTACATAAAGTGTCATTTTTCTCTTGTGGGTTATTTTCTTTGTTTTAGTTTTCAGAAGTTTTTTTCTAATGTGTTTGGTGTGGATTGCTTTGTGTTTATCCTTTTGAGTTTCTTCAGGTTCTTGAATCTGCATGTTGCTGTCTTTTGCTAAATTTGAACATTTTTAGCCACTATTTCTTCAAGTTTTTTTTCAGCCCTGTCCTCTTTCTCCTCTCCTTTCAGGACTCTGATGATATGAATGTCAGATTTTTTTTGGTGTATGTTACAAATCGACATGTCCTTAAGCCTCTGTCCATTTTTTTCAGTCTATTTTTCTCTCTGTTGTTAGTACTGAGTATTTTTTTTTTGTTCTATCTTAAGGTTCACTGATTCTTTTCTCTGTCCCCTCTATTATGCTGTTGAATCCATCAAGTGAGTTATTGTATTTTTCTGTTCTAAAATTTCCATTTGGCTCTTTATCTTCTAGAAATTTCCATTTGGCTCTATATCTTCTAGAAAGATATAGAAATGTATTCTATTTCTTTCCTTTAACCTACTATTTCTTTACTTACACTTTCCTTTCTTTTTTTATTTGTCCGAAGCCTGCTCATGAATTGTTCATTAAAGTACTTTTATGATGGCTGTTTTAAAACCTTTGTCAGACAATTCTAACATCTTTTTTATGTTGGTATTGGTCTACAGAGTGTCTTTTTCATTCAACTCATTTTCCAATTTCTTGCATGATGAGTGATTTTTAATTGAAACTTGTACCTTTTGAATATTATATTTTGAGACTGAGTGTTATTTAAATCTTCTATTTCAGCTTTTCTCCCCCTTGATATGGTTTGGCTGTGTGTCCTCACCCAAATCTCCTGTGGAATTGTAATTCTCAGTGTTGGGGGAGGGGTCTGGTGGGAGGTGATTTGTTCATGGAGGCTGTTTCCCCTTTGCTGTTATCATAGTGAGTGAGTTCTCATGAGACCTGGTTGTTTGAAAGTGGGTAGCACTTCCCTCTTCGCTTTCTTTCTATTCTGCCACTATGTGAAGACCTATTTGCTTCCCTTTCACCCTTCTGCCATAATTGTAAGTTTTTTGAGGCCTCCCCTGCCCTGTCTCCTGTACAGCCTGTGAAACTGTGAGTCAATTAAACCTCTTTTCTTCATAAATTACCCAGTCTCAGGTAGTTCTTTATAGCAGTGTGAGAATGGACTAATACAGAAAATTGGTACCAGAGAAGAAGGGCATTGCTAGAAAGACACCTGAAAATGTGGAGGCAACTTTGGAACTGGGTAACAGGCAGAAGTTGGAATAGTTTGGAGGGTTCAGAAGAAGACAGGAATATGAGGGAAAGTTTGGAACTTCCTAGAGACTTGTTGAATGGTTTTGACCAAAATGCTGATTAGTGATATGGACAATGAAGTCCAGGCTGAGGTGGTCTTAGGTGGAGATGAGGATCTTACAGGGAACTGGAGCAAAGGTCACTCTTTATATGCTTTAGCAAAGAGACTGGTGGCATTCTGCCCCTGCTCTAGGGATATGTGGAACTTTGAACTTGAGAGAGATGATTTAGGGTATCTGGTAGTAGAAATTTCTAAGCAGCAAGGCATTCGAGATATGGCCTGGTTTCTTCTAAAAGCCTATGCTAATTTGCATAAGCAAAGAGAACTTACATTTAAAAGGGAAAAAGAGCATAAAAGTTTGGAAAATTTGCAGCCTGACCATGTAGTAGAAAAGAGAAACCCATTTTCTGGGGAGGAATTCAAGGCAGCAGAAATTTGTATAAGTAAAGAAGAGCTGAATGTCAATAGCCAAGACAATGAGGAGAATGCCTCCAGGGCATTTCAGAGGCCTTCATAGCAGCCCCTCTCATCACAGGCCTGGAGGCCTAAGAGGGAAACATGGTTTTGTGGGCCAAGCCCAGGGCTCCACTGCTCTGTGCAGCCTCAGGTCATGACATCCTGTGTCCCAGCTGCTCCAGCTCTAGCTGTGGCTAATAGAGGCCAAGGAACAGCTCAGGCCATTGCTTCAGAGGGTGCAAGCCCTACACCTTAGCAACTTCCACGTGGTGTTGGGCCTGCAGGTGCACAGAAGGCAAGAGTTGAGGTTTGGGAGCCTCTGCTAGATTTCAGAGGATGTATAGAAATGGCTGGATGTCTAGGCAGATGTCTGCTGCAGGGGTGGAGCCCTCATGAAGAACCTCTACTAGGGCAGTGCAGAGGGGAAATGTAGGGTTGGAGCCCCCACATAGAGTACCCACTGGGGCACTGCATGGTGGAGCTGTGAGAAGAGGGCTACTATCTTCCAGACTCCAGAATGGTAGATCCACTGAGAGCTTGCACTGTGTGCCTGGAAAAGCTTCAGGTACTCAATGTCAACCCATGAAAACAGCCATGGGAGCTGTACCCTACAGAGCCAGAGGTGCAGAGCTGCCCAGGGCCTTGGGAGCCCACCCCTTGTGTCAGTGTGGACTGGATGTGAGACATGGAGTCAAAGGAGATTATTTTGGAGCTTCAAGATTTAATGACTGCCCTATGGTTTTTGGACTTGCATGGAGCCCGTAGCCTCTTTGTTTTGGCCAATTTCACCCTTTTGGAATGGGAGCATTTACCCAATGCCTGTACTCCCTTTGTATCTTGGAAATAGCTAACTTGTTTTTGATTTTACAGGCTCATAGGTGGAAGGGACTTGCCTTGTCTCAGATGAGACTTTGGACTTGGACTTTTGAGTTAATGCTGAAATGAGCTAAGACTTGGGGGATTGTTGGGAAGGCATGAGTGTATTTTGAAATGTGAGAAGGACATGAGATTTGGGAGGGGCCAGGGTGAAATGATCTGATTTGGCTCTGTGTCCCCACCCAAATATCATGTTGAACTGTTATCCTCAATGTTTGGGGAGGGGCCTTGTAGGAGGTGATTCGTTCATGGGGCTGTTTCCGCCTTGCTGTTCTCATGATAGTGAGTGAGTTCTCATGATAGTGAGTGAGTTCTCATGTGATCTGGTTGTTTGAAGGTGTGTAGCACTTCCGTTTTCATTTTTTCTCATGCCACCATGAGAAGACATGCTTACTTCCCCTTCGCCCTTCTGCCATGATCATAAGTTTCCCAAGGCCTATCCAGCTATGCCTCCTGTACAGCCTGTGGAACTGTGAGTCAATGAAACCTCTTCTCTTCATAAATTACCTAGTCTCAGGTAGTTCTCTATAGCAGTGTGAGAACTAATACGCTTCTTAAACACCATTCCAGCAGAAGGGCACTTACTTATTGCCATGTGGAAGCAGAAGCCTTGGCTGCCCACTTGACCTCTCAGGACACCTGAGAGAGGGTGATATGGTTTGGCTGTGTCCCCACCCAAAAATCTCATCTTGAATTATAATCCTCATAACCCCCACATGTCACAGGCAGGACCAAGTGGAGGTAATTGGATCATGGGGGCGGGTTCCCCTATGCTTTTCTCATGATAGTGAGTGAGTCTCATGAGATCTGATGGTTTTGTAAGCACCTGGCATTTCCCCTGCTTGCACTCCCTCTGTCCCGCCACCCTGTGAAGAAGGTGCCTGCTTCTCCTTTGCCTTCTGCCATGATTGTAAGTTTCCTGGGGCCTCCCCAGCAATGCAGAACTGTGAGTGAATTAAGCCTCTTTCCTTTATAAATTACCCAGTCTCAGATATTTCTTCATAGCAGTCTGAGAATGGACTAATCCAGAGGGATCCTCATTATGGCTGAGTGGGGGTGGGATTTCCAGCTCCTCACTAGGCCTCCACCGATACCTTTTATCTGGGAGGGGTAGGAGTGCCTGTTGCTGCTTTCCATGTTTCCTGCTGTGACATAAACTCTGCACAGTGGGGGAGGGGTATCTCATTGTTGCTACATGCATGTGAATTCTAGGTCCCTTTTTGTCTCCACCTACACTCTGAGGGAGGTTATCTTGTAACCATCCAATGAGAATAAAAGTCCCAGTTTCTTTCTTGGCCTTCTGTGACTGCACCCTGCAGGGGTCTTGGTGGTGCCTGATATCAGCCTGGTGAGGATGGTGAAGAGTAGCTCCCCTCTGGCCTTTGCTGGTGTGGGTGTGAGTGGAGTTACAGTTTTTTCTGGGATGTTTTGGCTGGAGTAGAGGAGTTATTTTCTAAAAGTGTTTGGTCTTGCTAGGCTGTTCCTTTCCTTGGGCTAGAGAGAGCAGGCCTTTGCTGGGGGGCTTGCCTGTCTTATTTTCTCTTGGCTGTATTCTTCAGTTCCAACTGTGGTATAGTTGAGGCAAAAAGAAAGCCCAGATTGCTCATCACTGTTGTCCTTGAGTCCCAAGATTCCTAGCTGATTTGCCTTTTTCTCTCCAGCTTTCAGAGTTCTCTTATGTTTATATTATATAGAGTATTCAGGGCTTTTAGTTGTACTTAGTGGGAGGAATAGGAAGAAGTATGACTACCATATCTTCCATAAAGCGGAAATTCAGCACTCCTTTTGAAACCTCACGAAAATTACTGCAATGATCTAAATTAGGGCTTGGAATCCTGGGGGAAGGGAAGCTTTATAATTTTTTTAATTTAATTTTTTTTCCCAAGACTGTCATAAAGCAGCATAATTATTTTATACTTTATTAAGTGCACATGTATTTAACACTGAATATTAAGATTTAATAGCCAGGAACGATGCAGGCTGCTTTACCAATGTCATCTTATTGCATCCTCACAGTCAGCCTCTAGGGCATTGCTATTACCCTGAGTTTACAGATCAGGAAACTGGGTCTTGGTAAGAAGGTTACCAAGGGTTCCATGCATGGTGAGGGCAGGGCTGGGCTCTGAATCTGCCCCTGATTCAAAGCCCAAGATTCTCATCACTGTGTTTTCTGTTGGGAGGCCTGGCCGGCTGCTGGCTCACTGATGGGTTGTTAACTGAAGGAGTTACGTGGTTTTGCCAGAATCTTCCTTGCTGTGATCCTTGGCACCTGTCAGGATGCCACTGTCCCAGGAAGACACTTGGACATGATTCTTAGAGGGTCAGGTTGTGCCCAGGATCTGAGGGCCATCTCTACCCTGTTTCCAGTCTCCAAACCCAAACAAGTCATTTTCTGTGGATGAGGTCTGTCTTATCTGTCTGCCTCACAGGAAATTAGACTTGTTTTGACCAGGCCACTCAAATCTGTACTTGACTTAGTTTGTATCCCCGAGTTTCTGAAAAGTTTCTAGAAAAGAAAAATCTTCCTTCATGTAAGGAGCTCTCTGGCTGTGCCCATGAATGTCTGTAAAAGGAGGAGTTTCCCTTGCAGGGTTTTCAGCTCAGGAGGCCTGGTTTAAAAACAAACATCACGCATTTGTCTTGGATCTTGACCAGCTCCACCAATCTGATACTGACTTTAAAGTGCAGTCGTGACTGCAAAGCATGTGGTAAAGACGAAAAAGGAAAACCCTTCCTACTTCACATCTCTGTGCCTGCTGGGGCTAAGAGCCCCCTTGCACACTGTTGCCTGTGTGAGGCCTGCTCCTTCTGGGGGAGCGGCTTGTGCTGGGGGGAGCCAAGGGCCCGATTGTTCTCCTTGGGCCACGCCTGGGGCTTATACTAGTGCTGCAGACATGAAATGCAGATTGTATAAGTCCCTGGGAAATTTAGCTGTATGTGAACAGACATGGGAGTTCTCTCTGATTCCTACCCCTGTGTTTTAGAATCTGGGATGAACTTACAGGCAGAAAGAATTGTGTTGAACTTGAGGAGATGAAGAAAAAGGGCTTCGGATTAGAGACATGCTAGTTCAACCTCAGCTTCTCCAGTTGTAATTTTGGGTCACCTGGAGGGTTCTTTAACCTTTTCAGCTTCCTCAGCTTTGAAGTGAGGATAGCAATAATTGACTGCAGAGGAAATGCTTGGTACATAGTAAGTGCTCAATACGCAGCTTCTGTGTTAGTCAGGGTTCTCTAGAAAAATAGAACCCATAGGAGACAGCTATTCCTAGATATCTACAGATATAGCTATTTACGGATAGATGTATATATATAGGATATCTATAGATAAATATAGGAGATATCTATCTATCCATATCCTATATATATCTATCTATAGATCCATATCCTATGTATATCTATCTACCTATAGATATACATAGGATATATATATCTATCCTATATATCTACCTATCCATGAAAAATATCTATCTATCCATCTATCTATCTATCTATCTATCGTCTATCGCTATCTGTCTATAGATATAGCTACAAGAGCTAAAGTAGCTATATCTATAGATAGATAGACAGCTATAGCCATAACATATTATGGCTGTATCTAGCCATAAATAGGTATATCTATAGATAAATTGATATCCTATCTATCTATCATCTATCTATTTATCTATCTATCTATCTATCCATAGCTATATCTATAGATATTGATTTCTATATTTGTCTCTATATATGCAAGCTGGAGACCCAGAGATGCAGGTGTGCAATTCTGTCTGAATTGGAAGGCCTGAGAAGCAGAGGAGATGATGTTCAAAGACAGGAGAAGAGGGATAACCGAACTCGAGAGAGAGAAAAGTTGGCCTTCCTCAGCCTTTTTGTTCTTTTTGGTCCCACAATGGATGGATTGAATGCCACCTGCCCACACTGGTGAGGGCGTATCCTCTTTACCCAGTCTGCTGCTTCAATTGCTAATTTTTTTTCAGAAACACCCTCACAGACACACCCAGAAATAATGTGTCACCAGCTATCTGGGTTTACCTTGGCCCAGTCATGGTGACACATCACATGAACCACCACAGCCTCTGCGCTAGATCACTTTGAGTGCATACAACTCATGGCAGGATCAAAATGCAGTTTCATATTTCTTGTGTCTCATTGTCCCTTTAAAATTATTCAGTGGGTGCAATATTGCCTGCCCACCCTAGAAGGAAACATGAGGTACATCCTGTCAACACTTTAAGTCCCTAATCTCAGTTCAGAAATGGCAATGTCCAGTGCAAGATACTAATAAACATTTGGAACTAGATTTAATATTCAGTCTTCCCGATTGGCTTTAGGCAAGAGCCACAGTGCAGTCTTCTGAGGAATGCCTGGAAGCCCCTTCTCACCAGACTTGGGGTAAGAAGGTAACCCCACATGGGAGAGGGGTGAGATCGCAGCTCATCCACGGCTCTCTCCACAGAAATCCTGAACCCTTCCCCACAACTCTCTGTCGACTTCCTGTATTACTGATCTGCCCAAATGTTCCAGGGTGGTGCAGTTTGTTCTGAAACATTCACTGTTTGAGGTCCCCACACTGGGACTGGTCTCATGCTCACAGTGGTCCCAATTTTTATTTTGTAGGCTCTTCTGCTGAAACTTTTATTTTGGTATCTTTTTATACATTTAATAGGCCCAGCATTTCAATTCTTTTAAAATTGTAGTTACACTCCCCCTCCCTGTCAAGTCCTCGTTGATTTCTTCCCTCTCTGCCCTCCTGACAAATGGCCAGGGTGTGGTTACCCCATAGCCCCTCTCTGAGGCTTACCTTGTTCCCTAAAACTTTGGAGAACTGGCCTCAAGGGATTCTGGAGTTTGTGGAGTTCTCTGTGCTGAACTCCAGACTCAGCAGGGGGTGTCACAGGTGGACGCTCAGTTTAGAGAGGACGTCACCAGAGCCTCAGCACAGAGGATGGCTGGATATCCGGTGTCTGGTCCAGGTCGGAAATAGGGAAGGCTGCACTTGGGAGGTCAGAAGGGGTAACATTGGAGAAGGCTCTTCTCCAGGCAGCTGGTTCCCTGGGCTTCCCCAAATGGCCTGGAGTTTTTGGGCTAATTTTCTGTCCCCACCTTGTGCCTGGGGAAGAACCTCAGTAGGGACTGTGAGGGGAGAAGAGGGCAGGTGGGTAGGAAGGAGAAGTTGGGCATGGAGCTCTTTTTCCAGACTGCCCACAGAAGCAGATGAATGGGCCCCTGGCTGGTTCCCATTGCCCCCGGCTCAGGATGTCTGGTCGTGAAAGTTGGCTGTAGCCTGAGCTCTGAGCTGGCCTGCGGAGGAGCCCTGCCCATCCTTCCCTATCTGGGTTGATGCCTGTGTGCTGGCTCAAACAGAGCTCACACCTAGTTCTCATGCTGGGGCTCAGGCCAAGTGGCCTCACTTCCCCTTCAGCCTCTTCATGGCTCCAGCTGATGATTTATGGCTGCCCATTGACTATTAAAATGGCTCAGCTCTCAGGAACATCTGCTGTGTGGTAGAGCAAGCTGTGTTGTTTGCAGGGACATATGGGCGGGCTCTTCTGGGGACAGATTAGGCTCATGGAGGGACAGATTCCTG
Source organism: Homo sapiens (assembly GCF_000001405.40). NCBI lineage: Eukaryota > Metazoa > Chordata > Mammalia > Primates > Hominidae > Homo > Homo sapiens. The sequence continues at coordinate 130,513,516 of NC_000011.10, forward strand.
GACTTTTGCTGCCTGGGGAAAGCCAGGCTCCCTACTAACTCAGCAGAGGGCAGACAGACCTTCTCCTTCCCTTCAGCCATTGCCCTACTGTGTGCAGGTTCCTGGGGCTCTTTCTGCTTGGCCCTCTCACCCCCAGCACCTGCCATCCTATTCCAGTTCTCATGGAGGGAGGGAGGGAGTCCAGATCTGTGGTTCTTAAACCTGGAGAGCTTGGGAAAACACAGATTGCTGGGACCTATCCTAAGAATTTCTGATTTAGTAGGTCTAGGGTCTAGAGGCCAATATTTTGCATTTCTTTTTTTGAGATGGACTGTTGCTCTGTTGCCAGGCTGGAGTGCAGTGGCGCGATCTTGGCTCACTGCAACCTCCGCCTCCCAGGTTCAAGCGATTCTCCTCCCTCAGTCTCCCAAGTAGCTGGGACTACAGGCGTGCACCACCACGCCCAGCTAATTTTTGTATTTTTAATAGAGACGGGGTTTCACCATGTTGGCCAGGATGGCCTCCATCTCTTGACTTCATGATCTACCCGCCTCGGCCTCCCAAAGTGCTGGGATTATGGGCATGAGCCACCGCACATGGCCCAATATTTTGCATTTCTAACAAATTCCCATGTGATGTTGATGCCATTAATAGGTCTGGGAGCCACACTTTGAAAACCACTGGTCTTGACCAAACCTGGAACTGGGAACCTCTCTTGTAAGGTAAGAGAGCCACCAGGGCTGAAGTGGAGGACTGATTGGCTCCGGGCTAGGAAGATGAAAGATAGATATGAGTGAGAAAGCTCTGAGATGCTGAGTTCTAAGCAGAGATTCAAAGACTCAGATTGCCAAATACCAAGTTGTTCTGGAGTATAGATCTCTTAGGATTCAGAGTGGGCTGGAGGCAAATTGCACAGATTGATTTAAGTGAGAGTCAGCTCCAGATCAGTCTCAGAACCCAAATAACAGAATCTGGGCAGAGAGCCCACACAGCTTGGTTTGTGGGCAGATGGTTGTATGCTCTTGCAATCTGGGTTCTGTGAGTGCATATGACCTGCCCAGTGAGCCCACAGGAAGAGTCCACATTGCAGATGTTGGGTCATCTGATAGAAGGACTGTCTACTAGACAGGCCAAGGGACTCCAATATTGGCTCCCCAACTCTGCTCCAGGGGGGGCTTCCTGCCTTTGGGCACCTTCTTCCCATCTCCCCTATCACCCCCACTCCTCAGAATGAATGGAGGTTCTGCTTCCTCATCACCACCTTCAGTGAAGGACCAGGTTCAAAGCACCTGTTCTGAATCCAATCTGCAGGTTCCTGAACAGGGGCCCAATGGCTTGACAAGGTGGCTGAGTCAGCTACCCGTGGGTCCCATTTCCATCACGAGCTCTTAGGAGGCAGATGTGGCCTCTGTCCCTGTTTAGCATAGTGCTGGGTGCAGTTCACGCTGAGGCTGAAAAAAGTGATGCAGTGATTTGAAGCACAGTGCTTGGGCTAGGGGGAGGAGGTGACATCTGAGCCAACACGGCTACTCATTTTTCAGCAGAGCTGAAGGAGCAGGGCAGGTTGGGCTTGGGCCGTGGACCAGCATAGAGATGGACATCTTGAAAAGTGACACCCTGCACTGAAATCCATCCTTGAACGCTTCCTGGCCAGGCAGCCTGGGAAGGCCATGTGAGGACACCCTCTTCCTGCAGAAGCTCCCTCTGTCCTCCTTCCTTGCTCCTCCCTTGTTGGTTAGGCTTTGGTAATTCTCCCTTCTCCAGCTGCCACCCCTTGGATGTGAAGTTTGTGGCCAATGTAGAGATTCATGAAGGTGAGAGCGGGGAGAAGGGGAGCAGTCAAAGTTCGTTCTGTGTCGCTTTTTGGTGTAGCTGGGTATTGCAGAGCAAGAGAAATAACAGAGGAGAAAATGAAGGCTGGACAAAAGCTATCAGCTTGGCCAAGGTAGCTATTAGTAGGCAGAACTGGGATTTGATTCCAGAAACTCATGGCTCTGGAGCCTGGATTCCATTTGTTCCACCTCATCTGAGCTGTCCTTTGAGGCTGTATTTAGAGTCACCATTCCACACTGGGGTAGCAGGAGGGCTATTGTGCTTTTGCATACAAGTTATACCTGTGAGGATGTTAGGTCTACAAATGTAGAAATAGCTTGGAGCCAAGCTGTCGATAGAATAATTGCCACAGTATGTTTTTGATTTTCGAGGTCAGTAGACAGTGTCTTTAATTCTCTCCTACTTACTTTCACTGGGTTCAAAGACTTACAGTAGAGAGGACAGAGGAAACTCTAGGGATTCCTATATATATGTGTGTGTGTGTGTGTGTGTGTGTGTGTGTGTGTATATATATATATATAAAATCTGGAAGTAGAACCTCTCTACTTTAAACCAAAATGAATGATTTTTCCTTAAAAGGCAAACTCCTCATGACTTGCCCTTCAAAGGCTTTGCCCTGAGCCCTATAACCAGGAGGATCAAATGCCCTAGTTTGCCCCAGTTTCAATTTACATCTGTCATCACAGCATAATTACTAACAATGCCTCCTTGCACTCTCAGAGTTTGCCAGTTTGGATGACAAATTTCCCACAGCGACTGGCCTTTCAGCTCAACATTGAGCATGCACTTGGGGGTAGGTGAAGAGGGTAAGTGAGCTGAGCACAGATGAAGCAGGGCTGGGATTCCCTCAACTCCCCCAGCTCCTAGCACCCACCTCTGTCACACCAGGGGCCACCAGGCGCAAAATCAAGACCTGGAGCCAGAATGGGGAGAAAAGCAGAAGAGCTTCCCCTGTTCAGCTGCCTCTCTGCTTTCCAGGAATTTCAGGAAAATACCTGCCCTGTGTTTCTGCCCTTCCAATCCGCCCATCCTCAGCACCTGGGTTTGATGTTTGCTCTGTGGAGGGAAGTGCTGGCTGAGGCCCCCAAGGCACAGTGCATGCTGGCGACCTCAGCTTTTCCTAAGGCTGTCAGGCTGAGTGCCATCCAGGGTCTGAGGCTGCACTTCCTTTCCTTGGCTATTTTCAGAGCATGTTGCTGTTGGGGAAGGGAAGGCCCAGAGGGGCTGGAGGTGGGGTGTGGTGTCTCCAGGGACCCCTGGAGCTGCAGGGAATGAGGCTTCTCCAGCAGGAGGGGCCTCAAGTGCCCCAGGCCCCCAGAGCACAGATATTTTGGCAGGTCCTTCTGAGGAGGCAAAGCATGGCCCCTGGCTTCTCAGGAGGTGAATGAGCTATTGTTTTGAGACTCCTGTTCCTCCACTGGCAGCTCAGGCATATAGGCCGAACACAGAGTACAATGTTCTGCGGTGGTTGCAGCCTATACTTGCATCTGAGCGCTGCCCTTTACCTGCTGTGTGATTTCAGACCACCTGCTTACATTCTCTGAGCCAGAGGGGGGCTCTTCTTCATAAAATGGGGAGAATAATAATCACCCTGCAGTTTGATGTCTGCATTAAATTAAAGAAAGTCCTCTATGATGCCTCGCACAGGGAAGGTGCTCAGTTACCACCTCCTCCTCGTGGCTCAAAGTCATTTGCTTCATTCATTTAACATTTTGCAGATCTGTGTGGAGCCAGGTATAGCTCCACCTACACTTTCTTGAGGAATCTACTTTCATAAAGTCAGTGCTTAATTAATATTCAAGACTTTTAACGTCTATTTCCTTCAGGTCACTAGTTCAAGCCATGAATGAATGAATGAAAAAGAAACCACTTGCTTTGTTAAAGATGTTACATGCTGTGGGGGAACAATCAAGGTGAATCTGCCTTCAGGAAGTTTTCGGGTCTCACAGGAGAAAACATTCTTCCAGCAATTATAGAAACTAGAAAGGTTGGGCCCAACCAAAGAAGCACTGTGATTAGAGAAGAGAAAGCTGAGGCTTTGTTAGGAAGGATGGGATGGGGCCTTGGGCAAGTGACTTCACCTCTCTGAACCTCACCTTCCTCCTCTCCACTATTGGGATAACACTACCTACCTCCCAGAGGGAATATAAATATCCGCTCTGTCGCCCGGGCTGGAGTGCAGCGGCACGATCTTGGTTCACTCCAACCTCCGCTTCCTGAGTTCAAGCGATTCTCCTGCCTCAGCCTCCCGAGTAGCTGGGATTACAGGCACCCGCCACCACGCCTGGCTAATTTTTGTATTTTTAGTAGAGACACGGTTTTGCCATGTTGGCCAGGCTGGTCTCGAACTCCCGACCTCAGGTGATCTGCCTGCCTTGGCCTCCCAAATTGCTGGGATTACAGGAGTTAGCCAGGGTTCCTGGCCAAGACGTTGTTTACTTACGTCAATTAACAAGCTGCCTGACACTAAGCAATCATGCTATGGCACTTTTCCGTATGCGGGGGTATTCTCAGCCATACCCCAGATGTAGCACCACCACTGTTCTCCTCAGCAGCCTCTAAGCCCTTCTGGCACATTTCCCCTTCTAGTCTTCTCTAGGTTACTTTTGGTCACTTGACATGCTTTCCATCCATCCCTTTCCCTGCCCAAGCGCTTTAAGACCCCATTGGAGTCCCATCTTCCCATGAAGACTCCTCAAGTTCATCTCCTCTGAGCTTCTTCCTTGGCTTGGCATGCAGCCTTGGTCCTAAAACCGCCTTTGCAAAATTATGACAGTGAGAAAAATCTAACATGGCTGCCTCCATCTTGCTTCTAACCTCCAAGCTGTCCTTGGTCATTACCGGGCATGGGCCAACCTAACTTTCAGAGGAATTTAGTTTATAGTTTAACCTTAAAGCAAGGATGATAATAGTGCTTCTCAAAACTAAACTGCCTTCATAAAACTAATGAAAGGCCACAAGGTTAGGGTTATGAGAGGGGCCTGAATTCTGCTAAGGTGTAGCTGTGGTTAAACGATAACCAGCCGTTGTTCCAGAGGTCACAAGATTTATAACATCCCCAATCACTCCTGTACATAACATCACTATTGTAGAACCTAAGATTGGCCTTTTGAGATGTCTTTTCAGACTTTTGCATTTCTGATGATTGGCTAATTCTACCTAGACTTGTGACTCATGATACAACGAGACCCATGGCCTCCACCCAGAGGTGGACTCAGTGCATAAGGACCAATTTCCACACCTCTGTAATTTCATCCCCCAACCAATCAGCACTCCCTAGCCCCCTGCCCACCAAGCTATCCCTTGCCCAACTCCTAACCTTGGAACTTCCAGGGAGATTGATTTCAGTAATAATTCTGTCTCCCACGTGGTATGGCTGGTCTTGCATCAGTTAAACTCTTTCTTTATTGCAATGCCATGGTTTTGGTGAATTGGTTTTGTCTGTGTGATAGGCAGGAAGATCCCACTGGGCTATGTCTTCTCTCTCCATTGGATGGTTGGATTCTTATAGATAGAATAGTTGGTTCCTTATAGACAGGAAATCTTTCTTTTTGTTCTCCTCTTAGTGCCCAGGGCTGGGTCATGCATATAGTGATATCTATGGATAACTTAAAGAACGTCAGAAACGGCCTCCTCCTAGAACCAAGTTTTTGTGGGAAGACAAACTAGAGAACAGCTGAGTGATTTTCCACAAATTCTTCTATTTCCCAGCAATAGCTTCAAGATCACATCTCTCCTATCCTCTACCCCATGTTTCCCAACACAGAGTTCTGGGTTTGCAGAAACCCAAAGGATTAGGGGACCCCAGGGTCCAAGGAGGTAGCAGAAAGCTGTGTTTCGGCATTCTGGAGCTTGATGCTGGGAGTATAAACATCCTTGCCAGACAAAATATTGGCCCCAGAGCAAAGGCTGGTGGCCACCTTGGCCTTCTTTGCCATTCAGGCCTGGTATCTGCAAGTAGCCCTTTCCTAGCCAAGAACAACAAGCCATGGCTTAGAAGGAACGACATGTGTGAGTATGTGTAAGAGTGCAGAGAAGGCTGAAGGGGAGGGGAAGAGGTGGGGCCAAAGCTTCATACAGGTTGAACCTCCAAGTTTGGGTAGAAGTGGAGATATGGGAACTGCATGAACATGTTTTTAGCTATGGCATTCTTCCTTCAAACTAAAGTTTACTTAGTTTGTACATAAAACAAACCAAGGTGGAGCCGCTCAGGGTGAACCTGGGGCTGAGAGCGGACCGTGGAATCTCCACCAAGCACACGGCCAGAATTGCTGGCATCACAGACCTCATTCTTCTTGCCAAAAAAGGAGGGATATTAGTGGGTTTTTTTTTCTGTTTTGTTTTTGTTTTTGTTTTTTTTTTCTTCCTAAAATTCCTAGAATAGATAGTACTTGACATTTAGCGTGCACTTGGGTTTCCCCATCTTTCCAGGGGGTTATGCAACCTGAAGGTCACATTCCTGCTTTAGGCTCCGGTCTCTCCCTTCTGCTATAGCACAACGCGTCTGAGTGTGATGGCGAGTGGATGGAAGGTTCTGCAGGCTCAGAAAAAGACTGTTAAGTGGGCCATGTACTTAACAGCATTGTTTTTGTCTGGGGTGGAGGCAGCAGGATACCCCGAGAGGGACTGTTGTGTGTATCATGGTGTGTGAGGTGTAGCGATCTGGGTGTCTGTGTGAGGCCTGGTCTCTCCCTTCTGCTATAGCACAACGCATCTGAATGTGATGGTGAGTGGATGGAAGGTTCTGCAGGCTCAGAAAAAGACTGTTAAGTGGGCCATGTACTTAACAGCATTGTTTTTGTCTGGGGTGGAGGCGGCAGGATATCCCGAGAGGGACTGTTGTGTGTATCATGGTGTGTGAGGTGTAGCGATCTGGGTGTCTGTGTGAGGCCTGGGTGGAGGCCTGTGCACGTCTTCTGTGTGTGGTCTTTCCAGCCTCACACTCACGGAAAGCTCTGGTTTGGATGTCACTCTCAGCATTAGAGGCCTTTGGGCTGCTTCCAGCGGAGCTGGTTGGTGTTGAAGGATTATGGGTGATGGCTGTGGGAATGGCACCGCCTGCCTGGCCTTGGAGGTGGCTGGTTTCCTCTGTATCCCTGGGGGTGGGCAGTGGTGTCACAAGCTGTGTGGGAAAGGAGGGCTACTCGGGGTGGAGCACAGGACAGCTTGGGTGTTGCCTGGGAGGCGTCAGGGAGGAAGGCAGACGTGGGAGTCTTGGGGAATAAGGAGAAAAGGGTTTGAAAACCAGGATAAGGCATTTATCCAGCACTTGGCTGTCTTTATCTCTTAAAATTAAAGCCAGGCCTCTCCTGGAACGTTCCACTTGGGATTCTGCTGGGAAATTAAAAAGACTGGGGAGGGGTGAGTGGTGAGTTGGACTTTTCTGCCTCAGTTGATTGTATATGTGCTGGGTAGGGTGACCCAGAATTTTGGTATTTATTCATTCATCAGTTAGTTTTTGAGTGTCTGCTGTATCCTAAACACTGACTTAAGAGATATGTAAAATAGAAGTCATGATCCCTGCTCTAAAAGAGCTCACTGTCTAGTGGAGAATGCAGACAAATAGACAGATGATCATATGATATGATAGCATCTTCATTTATTCATGCTGAAAAAATCAATAGTTTATATACTATTGATATAATATCCTTGGAGCTATATATATGTGTATATATATGTGTGTGTGTGTATGTGTATATATACATATATATATATATGGTATATATATAAATGGTGTATATATATATATATATATATAAAATTCTCACATGGCTATAAAGGACTACCTGAGACTGGGTAATTTATAAAGAAAAGAGGTTTAATTGGCTCATGGTTCTGTGGGCTGTATGAGAAGCATGGCTGGGGAGGCCTCAGGAAACTTACAATCATGGCAGGAGGTGAAGAGGGAGCAGGCATGTCTTATATGGCCAGAAGGAGGAAGAGTGTGAAGTGGGAAGTGGCACCCACTTTTAAACAACCAGATCTTGTGAGAACTCACTATCAGGAGAACAGTAAAGGGGAAGTCTGCCCCCATGACCTAATTACCTCCCACGAGGCCCCTCCTCCAACACTGGGGATTACAATTCAGCATGAGATTTGGGTGGGGACATAAATCCAAACCCTAACAAGGACAATGGCAAAGCACTTGGAGAGACATACGTAAGATATACATTATATATACAGTACTTGGGTATATGTCATATAGAATACATATGTAATCTTCAAGTGCTTTGCCATTGTCCTTGACATCTACCAATTCAGATAATCTCTGCAACAACCTCTGCTAATAAGTGGCATAGCTGGACTTGAACCCAGGCACTCTTACTCCAGGGTTCATTTCTTTTATTAATTAATTAATTTTTATTTTTAAGAATTAACAGATATGGGGTCTCACTACATTGCCCAGGCTGGTCTCAAACCTCTGGGCTCAAGGGATCCACTTGGCCTCCCAAAGTGCTAGGATTACAGGCTTGAGCCACTGCACCCAGCCTCTATTTCTTAATTACTCCCCCATACAGTCTCTCAACAGAGGTGGGTACAGGGTGCAAGACGAGATTACATATATGAATAGAGTCAGCTCTCTGTGTCCATGGGGTTCCCCATTCATGGATTCAACCATTGGCAGATCTAAAATACAGTATTCTTGGCATGCAGAGCTCATGGATGCAGAGGGCAGATTGTTTCCATATGAAGGTTCACAGGGCTGAGTTCTTGAGCACCTGTGGATTTTGGTATCTGGGGGGTCCTGCGGATTTTGGTATCCTGGTCCAGACCGCTGCAGATACTAAGGTATGACTGTATTTAACTCCGCTTCAGCGAGTCAGGCGAGGCTTCACAGAAAATGCATTATCTTGTAAAGACTAGTGTTCCCAAATTGTGTCTGCATCGTGTTGGGGCTGGGGAGTGGGAGGGCAGTGGGAGGTAGTCTAAGTAAGAGAGCAGAACTGCCCAGGGAGTGGAAGTGAGGGAGAGCAAAGCACCTCATTTCAGGTCGGCCCAGGGCTGGCCCAGGGAGCAGAGTGGCTCCCGGAGGATCCAGCCCAGGCCCTCCCGCCTTACGTCAGAGAAGGCTGAGTCACGGCTCCTATCAGCTGACTGTCGGCCAGGCTCCAGGCCCTCCTGATGACAGCAGGGCTGAATCCAGCCAGTGAGGGGACAGAGGGACAGCAGGAGGGAGGGAAAGGTATAGGAGGTGGGGGTGGGGGTTTCAGCCAGTCTCTTTCCCAGCAGTGATGCCGTCTCAGCCACCAGTTCTCTGCCAGCGGGGTCAGCACAGGCATGGTGAGGGGGAGAGGAAGGAGCTGTCTGTAACACTGCTTAACCTCTGGCACGTGGAGTCTGATTGCCTGGGTCAGCTGCTATCTGTGTCTTGTTTAGCATCCTTTCTCCTGTGTGTCCTGCCCTCTGGCCCATCTGTCCAGCTGATGGTGGGGTTTGCAAGCAGAGGGATGCCTGTCTCCCAGCTCTGGCTGTGTTGCTCTAGCCCAACAGATGCTTGGAACAAATAAACAGGCCAGCAAGTCTTGGAGAGGTTGTCAGGCTGAGTTGAGACATGCTGTCCCTTTTGAAAGCTGTTGATGTACTTAGAAGGATCAGCATCTGGGGCCAGATCATCTCTGACTCTACATTAAAGCCAGAGTTCTCATCTTCTTCATAATGATGGTATGTACTAGTGTTTAATGCTGCATTCTTTTCAAAGTCCCAAGATCACCAGCCAACAATTAGTTAACTGGGGCCCTGCAGTCAGGGTCTTGGACTCCAAGTCCTGAGTGCTTTTCCTGGCCAATGCAGATTCACAACTTCGGGGGTTAGTCTCGAGAGCATTAGAAGTCCCTCAGAAATTGTGAGCTGTGAGGGGACTGACTGTGATTTCACTGGGGTTACATGTCCCTTGCTTCTTTTAGGAGAACAAGCTTGGGACACTATTGGACACACTTCTGAGGGTTTGGATCAGAGGGGCAGGGGCATATGGAGGACTGATCCCCAGAGTCAGACCTCAACCATGCTGGGGTGTAGAAATGAGCCAGGCTCAGGAATCCAGCAGACACATGCTTTTGAGCACTGCCTCCATTTGGCAGGTCCTAAACTTCTCTGAGCCTTGGTTTTCCTCCAGGTAAAGCGGGTATGGCATACATGATAGTGCTTGGCGTTTTGTGAGGATGCACTGGGTGAGCATTCAGCAACTGTAACCTCCCTTCCTATTTCTCCCTGGCTTGTTCCTCAAGTCCCTTCTTGCAGAAAGACCACAGCCAATCTCGGCCCTTTTCTTCTCCCTTGCCTTGGCTGCCTCTTGTTCATGTTGGTCGGCACTCTTAACCAGCCCCCTCGTAGTCACCCGTGAGATTGAGCACGTGGCTGCCGCACAGCCCCCCACAAACACGCTGGTAGGGGCTGAGAGGCTTGAATGAGACAACTCCGATTCTGTGCTCAGCAGCTCGGTGGCCGGCCTGTTGGGTGCATGTTAACTGTGATTATTGTTATGCAGGACTCACGAGGGAAAACTTCAGTGACTCACAAAGTCTTGGGGTTGGAAGGGACCTTTGCCATCATTCTTCCCTGTTTCCTCTTTTGGCAGATGTGGTCTCAGAGGCAGAGTCACTTCACATCTGGGAATAAATCCCAGTCCTACCTGATTCATTCATTTATTTCACCCACACTTATTGAACACTTGCTGTGTGCACTTGCTGCTCCGAGTGTTGGTATATGACACAGTGCCGGCTGCTAAGGAGCCCATGGTCTACTTAAGGGGACAGACACGTATGGGATGCAGTGCCCCGGGGTAAGTGCAACAATGCTAGTATGGGGGGCATTTGGAGAGCGTAGAGAAAGAGCCTCCCATACACCCTTGAAAGGCCAGCAAGTGCTTCCTGGAGTTGATGGTACCTGAGCTAAATATTAAAGAAGTAGAAGCTGGTCAGATTATGTGGAGGTTGCTGGGTGTGAGCCCACAGTGGGTAGGTTTGCTATTTCTGGTGAGAGAGACAAACACAAGTATATTCAGAGAACTAAATGGTTTCCTGGCTGCTGCACCTGGATTCTGGAGAAGTAGATCTTGAGTGTGAGTTTCTAAAAAATGAGATAAGTTAATGATCTGTAATCTCAGCTACTCAGGAGGCTGAGGCAGGAGAATCGCTTGAACCCGGGAGGCGGAGGTTGCAGGGAGCCAAGACCGCACCACTGCACTCCAGCCTGGGCAACACAGTGAGTGAGACTCAGTCTCAAAAAAAAAGTTAATTGGTAGAGTGAACTTTTCCTCCTGAATGGGGCCTTGAAGGCATCATAGGGCATGGCAAATGGGTTGGGGTTGCCAGGCCTTGATCAGATGACTGGTGGAAACTGGCCGTGGGCTTTGAGCTGTACTTCTTGTCAGACTCTTCCCTGTGGATTACAGAAGAGCGCTTATATCTCCCAATTCACATTTGCTAAAAACGACAACAACAACAAACCAAAAAACAAAACAAAACAAAACAAAAAAACGAAGAATCAAACAAACAAAACACTGGAAGAAAAGGGTAAGGAACAGGGCACCAGATAACCAGGTTGTCTTTGAGTGTGCAGAGTGTGTGGCTGAGTGTGAGCATGTCATCTCCCAGAGGGCAGAATGCCTGAGGACAGTCCTACGTGGCCTGTGCAGTTAATACAACCGTCACAATTTTCTCAGTTACCTGCTCACTGCCCAGAGAGGACACGGTAAGTGTCACCTGGACTTCTTGGCACTTTAGGGGTTAGACGGTCACCTCGCAACAAGCCGAGGGTTCTTTTCTGAATCATTCCCTGTTATAATTCAGCATTAAGGTTCTTGGTTGTGAATTAAAAAAAAACAAGCAGAAGGCAAATTGATTGGAAGGGTATTTGGTAGCTCTTTGCTATCTGTGGGTAGTTGAGCACACCAGTCTGAGCACAAACAAAGGTCAGCAAGGCCCAGGGACATCCTACCCTGGGTGCTCTGGGCTTAGGGTGTTGCTTCTGGGTTCTCACTGTTGGATGCAACTGTCCCTGGAAACTTTTATCACATGAATGGCCTCCTGATAACCTCTAACTGATCCTGGACTTTGCTGCATGGACACGGAATTAAAACCTGAGTGGAAGCCTCTGACTGGCTGTGCCCAGGTCACATGGCCTTGCTGAGGAAGGAGAGAAGGGAACCACGTGCCCTCTTTGGCTCCCTTAATAAAGGAACCTGTCTCCCGCCTAATTTGAAATGTCCCCCCCGGAATAGGAGAGTGTTTGAATGCTGAATGGCCCCAAATGCCAAGTAACTACCATGTTTTTTGACCTTCCAGACCCGACTTTCAGACACATTTTGCTCCCCAGCGCTGCCCACCTTTGGTTTCACAGCAGTTCTGAGGCCTGAGAAACTGAGGAGTTTTTCTGGCCACTTTTGGGAGAAGCCATCTTTTAAATTCTTGATCAGTTTCTTCAGCCCCTTCCCTGGAAACAGACACCATTTCTCTTTGAGGGAAAAGAGAAGTCATTGCCTATCTGTGAAGGGGATTCCACTTCCTCTGAGAGAGCTTCCTGTCAATAGCCTCTTCTTGTCTCATATTGTGTACATCAGAGGCAATGAATTGAGCAGGAGGAAAGGGGCCACTTAGTCTCTGACTGTTTCAGTTTTTTCCTGCCTTGACAAATGGCAGAAATCATACTGTCTCATTGAGTAGGCCTCAAGTTAAAACACTCAGGGCCACTTAGACTATTCTTTTCTTTTTCTTTTTAAACAGGTTTATAATTGACATACAAAAACTGCACCTATTTAATGTATCCAATTTGATGAGTTTGAACATATGCATGCCCCTTTGACACCATTACCACAACCAAGGTAATAGACACAGCTATCATCTCAAAAGTTCACTTGTGTCCCCCCATTCCTTTTTTTAAGGGAAAGAACACTTAACAGGAGACATACCCTCTTAATAAAATTTTAAGTGCATGATACAGTATTGTTGACTGTGCAATGCTGTCCAGCAGATCTCTAGAACTAATTCACTTGTATGACTGTAACTTTATACCCATTGGGCAACGGATCCCCATTTCCCTTCCCTTCGGCCCCCGGCAACCACCTTTTTATTCTTTGCTTCTATGAGCCTATTTTAGATACCTCATCCAAGTGGAATCATGCAGTATTTGTCCTTCTGTGCCTGGCTCATTTCACTTAGCATAATGTCTTCCAGGTTCATCCATGTTGTCGAAAATGGCAGGGTTTCCTTCTTTTCTCAGGCTGAAAAATTCTATTGTGTGTGTGTACCACATTTTCTTTATCCATTCATCTCTTGATGGACATTTGGGTCGTTTCCATAACTTGACTCTTCTTAACCTTGTTGCAGTGAACACGGGAGTGCAGATATCTTTTGAAGATCCTGTTTTCAATTCTTTTGGGTATATACTCGGTAGTAGGGTTGCAAATTAAAAATGGAGCTCTCACAGACCATTATTTTCTTGATCCTTTGGTGCATTTACTTTGGGTTGCCTAGGAACTCCTCCGTCTGTGGATTTACCTTGTAGAGTCAGAGGGGATGATTGGGGAACCTGCATGGCGATGTGGGTTTTGAGCCTCTTTGGAATTCAAACAATACTGATTTACCAGAACAAGAAAATTTGGCTTTGGCCCCAATACAGGCTGAGAAAGTTCATCTTTTTAAAAGGGGCCAGTTCTTGATTAGTTAGGGTACTGGAATGGTCCAGGGAGGGATAACTCAGGCCATTTGCTTTGCCTCCTTCCCTTTCTTTCTGTCTGATCTTTGGCCAGTTCATGGCTTTCTAATCCTGCCACTGGGGGATGAAGGAAGATTAAACTTGTGCCGTTGCCTTTGCATGTTATGAGCTCTCCAGAAAAAGTTTGCATGGGAATGGCCGAAGATGTGGTAAGTTAAAGCAAAATCAATACACAGTTTACTATCCATGTCTTTCTGCTACCCTGCAAATTTTCTTCCTCTCCATGTAATCTCTTTATTGCAGCCTAGGAACTTTGTCAAGGGCTCCATGACCAGGGTCTTTAGGAAACTCCAAAGACCTGAGATTTCACCAGCAGAAATGACAGCTGTTCCAAAAACAGAAAGGAGGTAATTTCTTGTGTTTCAAATTTCTCCAAAGGTGAGAGTTAAGACTCACTCTCAAGATCTTTATGTCACATAGGTAATGAGAGGAAGGGGTAGCATTTTAACAGATCACATTCCCAAGGCCAATCCAACGGGAGGGCTGGAATTTGGGGAGGCTGCAGGGAGCAGGACTTTGGTGCCGCAATCACTGGTTACCCTGTAATAGTATCTCAGGAGACTTTCCTGGTTACTGAGGACCAGAACTGTAGCTGATTTTCAGCCCAATACTTGGTGGGTTCTGTGGAGTCCAGCATTCAAAGCCCTACCATCGAGTGTGACTTCAGTGTCACAGGCAGATGGTGTCACCAAGGCATAATGACTCCTGACCTGTGGCTCTGCTCTTCCTCCTTTCTCTTCCTCTCTCCCCTTCCCTGGGGGCCTGTGGTCCAGAGCTGCATTCCTTTGTTATCACACTTCCTTCCACAGACTGCACACGCCTGTTCAGGACACCAAGCTGTGTGAAAGCACTCCAGGCTGGTGGGAATACCGCTCCCAGAAAGAATCTGACTTGTTTCAGAAGCTTATCTTCTGGCACTTGCTCTTCCAAAGAAAAAGGCTGCAGCAGGAGGATAAAAGAGGCAATCCAGGAGTGTGTGAGATGGAGCCAGTTACATGCATCTCAGCCCAGGGAGGGAGTGAGGAGGGAATGAATGCGGCCTAAGTCCCTCACCTGCAATGTGTAGGAGGTAAATGAACCTGCTCACCCTCCCTCTCACCCAGCCACATTCAGGGTCATTTGCTGTAGCTCAGGTGGCTGCGGCTAGGGTGGGGTTGCCAGGTGGAATAATGGTCATGCACAGCTGCCCCTCCACAGGGGCTGAGCCCAGGGTGGCTTCACTGGAAGAGGGTGTGGGACAAGCTGGGTATCCTGGCTGACATCTCTGCTAGCTGTCGGAAAGTTGAGTGAGGGATGGGGTAGCTGTATCTGTGTGTGTATATGTGAGAGAGTGTGTGTTTGCTGGGTCCTCGTATGTGTTTGTTTCAGATGGATGTGTGTGGGTTTGAGGCCAGGGGAATGGTGAGTCAGGGCAGCCCTGGGGGCAGGGAGGGGTGGGTGTGAGCAGGGCGAGTGAAGTGGCTGCAGCAGGAACAGGGGAGGCATGCGGAACATGGGTGGCATGAGAGCTGACGCTACGACTGAATGGATTTTGAAAGGTCTTTGTCTGCCTCAATTAAAAGGATAGATCCTTTTTTTCTTTAAGGCTGAATAAATAATTTTTTCCCTTTTCTTCTTTGGTTCTTTTCATATAACAATTTGTCAAACTCCGTCAAAAACAAACACAAACAGAAAAACCCAAAAGTCTTCTTGAATGGGTTCAAGGTGCAGGAGGCACAGCTGAGCTGTGGGGAGCAGCGGTGCAGGAGCGGGGTGCTCGGTGGACTCTGGACCTGCTCTTGGGGCTGCTGGCCCCCTTCTTGCCCGTGTGGCCAGGGCAGCCCTTTGGAAAAGCTGTGCTGTAGCTTCATCTTTTGTTTTGGCTTTTATTGGCATATTCTTTTGTTCTCTTTAACTGCATCCAATCAAATTGGCACATCTGAGGTTCGGGAAGATGGTTTGGAGCCATTCCATTACTCTGCCTATCGAATTCTGGGATTTCTGCTTCCTGCCCTGTCCTGTCTTCTGTCCCCAGCTCACCCGGCCCCTACTGATGTCATGCTTTATCAGCTTTCCACTGTGCATGTAACTCTGCCTGGCATTTGGTATTGGGGTGGGTGTGGTGCTTTGAGAGAGGCACAGCAGAACCACTGAGAGAAAGGACGGTGTTTTTCCGTTTAGACCCTCATTCATCCCCTCCTTTCTCTATTTTGCAGGTGCAGAACATTGAGTTATGGGGGTCCAGGGTAAACTTGGCTACCTTGGTAAACATGGCTACAAGGTAAACATGGCTGCTTTAACGAACCAGGAATCAGTGTGGCTTTCTGATTCCTCATTTGGTTCTTGGAACACTTATTTCCTTTTCTTACCCAATTTTAGCTACTCAGGGACAGTAGAATCATAAAATTTTACAGTTGGAGGGATGCTTAAAGAACATTAGCATACAGGGGTCTTCAAACAGCGATGTGGAGAAACCCCTCAGAAGTCACCCACTCCACCTCTCAGAGCAGCGCCGTGCTTACTGATTTTGTAGCTTGAGCTTTGGCAAGTTGGGAACCCATCTGGTGTATTTCACGCACCTTTCATATTTAAAAGATGAGTAACATAAACCCGTCAATTAAGAGAAAAAATACCAGACACAAACATTTTTAATCAAGAGGCCTACTTACTTATTCACTACTGAAAAAAATACCCAAACTGAAGCCCTAATATTTTAAGATTTAGGTGACATTTATCAAAACAAGAATTGAAAATGCTTTACATAATCCTGGGGGAAAACAATCTGAATTTTTTTATATAAAATGCTTTTTTGGGGGGGGGCAGAATAAGAGAAGGTTGTTATTCCTACAAACGAACAAAGCACAGGACAAGCTTCATTTTTATATTCTTAAGAACATAGACTGGGCGCAGTGGCTGATGCCTGTAATTCCAGCACTTTGGGAGGCTGAGGGCGGATTGCTTGAGCCTAGGAGTTCGAGATCAGCCTGGGAAACATGATGAAACTCTGTCTCTACCAAACAAACAAACAACAACAAAAAATTAGCCTGACGTGGTGGTGCGTGCCTGTAGTCCCAGCTACTCGGGAGCCTGAGGTAGGAGGATCACTTGAACCGGGGAGATGGAGGTTGCAGTGGGCCTAGACATGCCACTGCACTCCAGCCTGGGTGACAGAGCCAGACCCTGTCTCAAAAACGAAAACAAAAAGCCAACCAAAACCAAACCATAAATGGTGGTGACATAGTCACAGAAGATAAGGTTTAAATGTTGAATACCAATGTTAAGGCTGATGATTAAACAACTTCATTAGGGACAAGTGATTTTCTTCAGGTGTTGAAAGTAAGTCTGGGATGACCAACTGGTGAAAGAAAGGCTTGGTGATCACCTGGTGTTATTTCCCACCATGTCTTCTTCTCTGCTAGAAATACTTGGCTGTTGTGATTCTCACCTGAAAGATCTCACTTGGCCTCCAAGAAAGGGGATGGGTAGCCACATTTAAAACAAAACAAAACAAACAGTCAGAGAATCCTCTTTGAAGCTCATCTATGCAACTGTGGACTAAAATCTAATTTCAACATATTCTAATATTTCTCAGCAATAGCTTGAAACAATTGAGAATTCTTTAAATTTTAGACCCCAGAAAATATCAGCATTCTGCTCACCCATTCCATCTATCTATCTATTTTACCTTTCATTAATTCTTAGTCCATCTGTGCTGCTATAACAGAATGCCTCAGATTGGACAATTATAACAAATAGAAATGTATTGGTTCACAGTTCTGGAAGCTGGGAAGTCCAATTCCAAGGTGCCAGCATCTGGTGAAGGCCTTCTTACTGGGTCGAAATGTGGCAGAAGGCGTCGTATGGCAGAAGGGCAAGGGGAGGGTGAGAGAGGGCAAGAGAGAGGGCTGAACTCATCCTTTATAAGGAACCCACCCTCATTAATGGCATTAGTCCATTCACAGACAGAGCCCTCGTGGTCTAATCACCTCTTAGGGGTCCCACCTCTCAACACTGTTACAATGGCAATTTGTAAGTTTCAATAAAAGTTTTGGAGGGGACAGACATTCGAGCCATAGCAAATTCCTTCACTTGTTCAAAAATTACTGGAATCTAGGAAACTTTCAACATGGAATTTGGAGGAACCATACAGATTTTCTGGTTCAGTGGTTGCAAACTATTCTCTGGGGTGGGAGTAAAGAGAGAGAGAGAGAGAAAGAGAGAGTTAAGGGGAAGCAGGTGGTGCCAAGTAAATGTCTTTGGGCTCCCCCGCCCTGCCTCACCCAGAGAGGCCATCCTGTGGTTGGCTGCTCACAGTACACTGGCCTGGTAGAGCTTTGTAAACTACAGGCAGTGATGCAAGCAGACCTTACTCTGATTAAGTCATGTTTTTCAAGCTTTTATTTAGCAATGGAATTATTTTTTTTTTCTCCACAAGGTCACCTGGTTATATCTACATTATTTATACTATATATTACATGTGATAAAATATATGTGATAAATAAAATACAGAAAATACGTAAAACCAGTATGGACCTGATGAAAGAAAGGGTGAAGGGTCAGACTCCTGTCAACTTTGCTCTCCTTGGTCTTCTCAGCTCCTTTATATAACTTTAGGTTTCGGGACACAGCATGGAAACCACTACTCTAGACGACAGGTACGTACAGAAAATGTTGTGTGTAAGTGGGGTCTTTGCAGATGAATGAACATCTTATTTGCCCAAGGGGACCCTCTGTGTTTTTGGCTGCAAACTAAACAGACTCATGAAGGAATACTTTAGAGAGACTGTGAAGCTGCATTTCTAATCAGGGAGTATAGCTGGAGCCCCTGAGAAGCAGAGGGGTAGATGGGCCAGCTTGTTTAAGATCAGCAGGTTACTGGGTACAGCCTGTGGTGAAACTCATTGTGAAAGTGAGTGAGTGTGTTGTTGGAAACACAAAGAAGCCAAGCTGAATGCCGCCCGAGGCACTAAGCTAGTGGTAGCTCCAGCAAATCCCCAGGATGATGTTGGTGTATACATGGCATGGAAAGACTTCAGGTCACCACCAGTGCCCTCAAAAGTCCATTTTCTGACACTAAGCCCAATGATTTGCTCTTTTTGCCCCTGCCTCCGGCTCTGTCTCCTTCCATTGGCCTCACTCTGCACCTGTCCCACAGGCAGGCAGTGGCATCCTCAGCTCCCGGACTGCTGGGGCCACCAGGTCAGCTGGCCCCTCACCCTTGCTTGGACATTTGGTTTGCATGCTGAAATCAGGATTCCTGAGTGACGTGAGGTCAGGCCCAGGATGGAGAGTCACAAGGAAGAGGTGGAATTCCATAGGTGGAGGTTGAAGAAAGTGTTTGGTTCCAGCTGGGGACTAGAGAGCAATGAGATTTTTAATTTTTTAATCCAACTATAAGATTTTCTGAATTAAAACTACCTGATATGCTTTGGATGTTTGTCCCCTCCAAATCACATGTTGAACTGTGACCCCTAGTGTTAAAGGGGGGTTCTGGTGGAAGGTTTTGGATCATAGGGTGGACCCCTTGCCAATGGCTTAGAATCACATGTTGAACTGTGACCCCTAGTGTTAAAGGGGGGTTCTGGTGGAAGGTTTTGGATCATAGGGTGGACCCCTTGCCAATGGCTTAGAATCACATGTTGAACTGTGACCCCTAGTGTTAAAGGGGGGTTCTGGTGGAAGGTTTTGGATCATAGGGTGGACCCCTTGCCAATGGCTTGGCGTCGTCCCCTTAGTCGAGTGCGTTCTCAGTTAGTTCACACCAGATCCGATTGTTCAAGAGTCTGGGACCTCCTCCCCTTCTCTCTTGCTTCCTCTCAAGCCATGTGACATGCCTGCCCCCACTTTGCCTCCCACCACAATTGGAAGCTTCCTGAGGCCTTCACCAGAGGCAGATACTGGCACCATGCTTCCTATACAGCCTGCAGAACGGTGAGCCAATTAAACCTCTTTTCTTACCCAACCTCAAATATACGTTTATAGTAGTGCAAATGGACTCCTACACCACTGACAGAGATTTTGTGGCTCATCTGATTGCTCTTTTTTACTCTAGGGAAATCTTTGAACACCTCAGTTTGTCAGTGGCCACATCTGTACAACGGGCTACTGGAAATGTGCTCACCTTCAGAAGATGCTATTTCAAACCCACGCATTTGCCCTGAGCCATCTGCTTTCTAGATGGCCCATCTTGTAGCAACTCATAGATGACTTTTTCAGATACTTGGTTGGGGGCGGGGTCAAGACCGTGTTTTGAGAATAGACTTTTTCCCTGTGGGAAACTGAAAGGCTTGTGGTGTAATGATCCCTGGCCTGGGGCCTCCTTTGCACAGTTAATTAATTCCAACGACAAATATTTACTGTGCATCGAGCGTAGCAGGCAGTGCCCTGACTGATTAAGATGATCTGATATGGTAATGCAGGGTGGACTTGAGAAATTAATGATTTTAAAATGTAGTTAGCAACCTAGGGTTCTGGAGGGACAATGCCAGACTTTCTTCTGGTGTTCAAACCGTCCCAGACTGTGAAGGAACTGGTCCGTGATGTCTGCCTGGGCTGCTTTGCCTCTGCTCCATAGCTGAGGGAAGGGGCAGCTCTTGGCTCTCTGCCAGTGTTTGTAATCCGCACAGCAGGCTCCCATGTCTTCTGGGTGGGCCTGCATCTTTTGTTACATATTTGTCCCCGAATCCAGACCACTTCTGAGCTCTCTGGGGAGAATGTGCCCAAGAGCTGTTCAGTGGGGTGGGCAGGCTGGTGGAAGTCCTCAAGCCTAATTTGTTCCGCTTCCCTTCAGCCCTTCAGTCCTAATTCATTTGTTTGTATTTGGGGGAAAAAAAATCTCTCATTATTGTCTATCCTTTATTTCCTGGAATTCAACATGAAAGTTGTCATTGTTTTAGTTTGTGGCCTCCAAAGAAATAAACCATTTGAGCAACAACTGCAACAATAGCAACAATTCTTCATGGCATGGGCGTCAGACCGGTTGACTTTGGAATCTAGGTGTCCATTTTGTTAGAATTGAATGTGCACTGGGTTTGGGGTGGGTGTGAGGGAGGCTGTATTTATTTTTGAACTTCTTTCGCCCATAATGAAAACCAGCTGCCTCTCCAACAAGTGCATTACTCTTCCCATAGAAAGCCTCATGGACAGACTGAAGCTACAGGGGTGGCAAGTCACATAGATGGATGTTTCTAATTTGATCTAGTGAGCTTCACCCTCTATCTCTCGGTCCTCCAGTCCTTGCTCGTGGGTTGATGGACACCTTGTCTCCTTCCATACTTGTGGAACCTAGGGGTACTTTTAGTTAGTGGAGGAGAAATGTGTCTCTTCTCCCCACTGATTCGCCAGGGTGGACATGGAGGGGACCTCCCCACCCTGGGAAAGGTGGCCCCATTCAGCTTGAGTCTGGAGTGAGACCAAACTTTCCTGCCTGCTGCATACAACTTCAACTCCAAGTCCAAGCTGGGCCCGTTATTTTGGCTGCTTGGAGAACATTCCTTCCCATGTGCTGATGCATCAGGGTATCTCCAGCTTCCTTTTCTCTGGAGGGGTGGCACTGAGTTAAAATCCTTCCCTAGGTGCATGGGCAGACGAGTAGGAGGGCTGAGGTGCAGGAAACGCAGCCGAGTGGAGAGCAGGACGGCAGACAGTGCTGTGCTGGCCACCTCTGTGGGTCTGGCCACAGGAGAATGCACAAGAATGATTTACTAGGTGCTTCCTCACCTCTCATGGGTGGTGCCGGGAGATGATGGAATGCGCTTTTTTCCCCGTAAGAGAATGCTTTTGGCAGAGACATTTCCCAGTTATTAAAAAACGGGGCAATGAGGTGAGCTATAAATGCAAACCTCCATATAGGAAAATCCAGAAGAAATGAGTAAGGACGAGGTGATGCAGTGGAGATTGTGGGGAGAGAGAAAAGATTAAAAACAGGCGAAGAGAAGAACAATGAAGCTGTGTTGAGACTGAATGGGAGAGAGCGGGAGTTCTGTAAAGGCAAGAAAAACATCAGCAATGGAGTCAAGGAAAGCTCAGCGGTGACTTTGCTCCTTGCCCGCAGTGTAGAAGCAGATAGAAGGCTGGGGAGGGGTTGACTAGGCAGGTTGAATTTGTAGGTCAGTGGAAGAAACAGCAAGAATGAGAAAAAGGAGCTCGGGGTGCTTAGGTCATTGGACACCCTTGAAGCTGTGGGTAATGTGCACTGCGGAAAGATTTGGGCGAATTTCCACAGAACCAATTCTGAGAACACGATATGGTGTGTCTTGACTCTTTATGGGGGGACGTGCCTTGTAGGACCAGAGAAATGCGCACAGCTTAGCCTTTACAGCTATATCCAGTTTCCACGGAGTTCTCGTTCTTTCCTGGTTCCCATAACGCTTGTCTGTGTTCAAATATATTTACCTCTTGATACTCTATTCAGCATAGTGAATTGTTCCTGTTATTCGCTGAGTTCTTTTTAGTGTATTTTCTCATTCTTTACAAGTCTGAGATTCTTAGGGACAAGGAGAGTGTCTTGTATTTCTTTTGTGTTATTCACAGTCTTGCAGAGTGGTGAGGAAAGGGTAGGTGTAGACAGCGTGAAATTAAATCGGACCTAAAGCTGCCTCCTACGTATTTCAGGTTTGGCCTGAAGGTTTCTGCACACCCAGCCAACTGCCACCTAACAGGATGCGTAAACAGACTGTAACCTCCTAGTAACAAGTCACTGAGTCTCAGCCAGTCACAGGCGGTAACTGTTCAAACCCTGCTCAAATCAGGCAAACACTGAACTGTAACCAGTCTGGCTGTTTCTGCACCCCACTTCCATTTTCTGTCCATCACCTTCTGTTTCCTATCTGTAAATGTTATCTGACCCTGTGGCAGCCCTGCGGTTGCTCTGAACCTGTTCTGGTTCTGGGGGCTGCCTGATTTGTGAACTGTTCTTTGCTCAGTTGAACTCTTAAATTTGACTTGTCTAAAGTTTTTCTTTTAACAATGGACAGTGCTGAAATGAGGACTCTGTAGGAGAAAACCAGCCAGCCAGGCTGCCCCTTCCCACCTCTCACTTCCTTCCCACATTTATTGAATGCTTACTGTGTGCGATGCCCTGTTCTAGGCCCTGGACACGAGCAGTCAACAGACAGATGAGCTCTGGTGAAGCTTCCGTGTCAGTGGGAGAGAAAGGCAGGACAGCAGAAGGAGTGCACGCACAAACGCTCCAAGCAGGGATCAGTGCTATCAGGGTGAGAAGGGGAGAGAGGGCCAAGGGGCTGCAGGAGAGGGTGTGTGACTGCAGTTTACACAGGGTACAGGGAATGTCCTTTTTCTTTCCAATGTCAGTGACACTTGCTTAGAGACCTGAATGAAACAGGAGGCTCTTTGGTGGAGAAGCCATGCTCACGGGAGCAGGGAGGTGCTGAGGAGAAAGGTGCCAGTGTGCTCAGAGGACAAGGAGGAGGCTGTGGGCTGGAGCGGAGTCAGGAGGGGTGGATGAGATCAGAGAGGGAACAGGGGCTGGACCACCGCAGTTCTTGTAGTCACAGCAAGTGAGGATATAGGATCCTTTTCTGGGTGAGGTAGAAGCTTCGGGGTGGAGGAGGGACTGAGACCACTGGGGCTGAAAGAGTTGAGAGGCAGGAATGGGTGGTGGCTTGGGCCAGGTGGGCGTGACTGAAATGAAAGAAGTGGTTGGATTCTGGATCTTTTTGGAAGATGGAGCTGACAACATTCGCCCATCTGAGGAATGAAAGAAGGAGGGGAGTTGAGGATGACTCAGGGTTTTTGGCTTTGTCAGAAGATGTGTTTAGCTTGAGCTTTGGGACTGGACAAGTTGTTGAGCAAAGGAAGCACTGGAATGAGCCTACACCTTGATTTCCTCAGTGACTTGCTGGAATGGTGTGTACATGCATGGTTGTTGCCAAACTCTGCCTCAGGTCAGATGAGGATGCTGAGGTAACAGGCTCAGAGGAGTTATTCACTCCACAAATGTGTATAGAGTATCCGTTACAGCAGGATTCTAGATGATATTTTAGGTTGTTTTGCCTCCTTTATCCAGGCAGAGTCTGCTATTGTTTTGGGACCAGAACTCATTCTGAGTAAAAGAAAAAAAAAGTCTAATCCAATTCCACTTCATTGTTGCTGCAGGGTGGTCAGGGCAGTTTATTTTATTTTGAGTTCCAGGGTACATGTGCAGGATGTACAAGTTTGTTACACAGGTAAACGTGTGTCATGGTGGTTTGCGGCACCTATCAACCCATCACCTAAGTATTAAGTCCCGCATGGGCATGCATTAGCTATTTTTCCTGAGGCTCTCTCTCCCCTGTCCTCCTGCCATCTCCGCAACAGGCCCCAGAGTGTGTTGTTTCCCTCCCTGTGTCCATGTGTTCTCATTGTTCAGCTCCCACTTATGAGTGAGAATGTGTGGTGTTTAGTTTTCTGTTCCTGCTTTAGTTTGCTGAGGATAATGGCTTCCAGCTCCATCCATATCCCTGCAAAAGACATGATCTCATTCATTTTTATGGCTGCATGGTATTCCATGGTGTATATGTGCCACATTGTCTTCATCCAGTCTATCATTGATGGGCATTTGGGTTGATTCCATGTCTTTGCTATTGTGAATAATGCTGCAATGAATATATCTGTGCATGTATCTTTATAGTAGAATAAGTTATATTCCTTTGGGTATATACCCAGTAATGGGATTGCTGGGTCAGATGGTATTTCTGGTTCTAGGTTTTTGCGGAATCGCCACACTGTCTTCTACAATGGTTGAACTAATTTACATTCCCACCAACCATGTAAAAGCGTTCCTATCTCTCCTCAGCCTCGCCACCATCTGCTATTTCTTGACTTTTTAATAATTGCCTTTCTGACTGGTGTGGGATGGCATCTCACTGTGGTTTTGATTTGCGCTTCTGTAATGATCAGTGATGTTGAGGTTTTTTCATATGTTTGTTGGTCACATAAATGTCTGTTTTTGAGGAGTCTCTATTCATGTCCTTTGTCCACTCTTTAATGAGGTTGTTTGGTTTTTTTCTTGTAAATTTGTTTAAGTTCCTTGTAGACTCTGGATGTTAGGCCTTTGTCAGATGGACAGGTTGCAAAACAGGTTGCAAACATTTTCTCCCATTCTATAGGTTGTCTATTTGCTCTGACGATAGTTTTTTTTTTTTTTTTTTTTGAGACGAAGTCTCACTCTGTCGCCCAGGCTGGAGTGCAGTGGCATGATCTCGGCTCACTGCAATCTCCACCTCCCGGGCTCAAGCAATTCTCCTGCCTCAGCTTCCCAAGTAGCTGGGATTACAGGCATGCACCATCACACTTGGCTAATTTTTATATTTTTAGTAGAGACAGGGTTTCACCATGTTGGCCAGGCTGCTCTCGAACTCCTGGCCTCAGGTGATTCACCCACCTCAGCCTCCCAAAGTGCTGGGATTACAGGTGTGAGCCACTGAACCCGGCCTGATGATAGTTTCTTTTGCTGTGCAGAAGCTTCTCTTTAGTTTAATTAGATCCCATTTGTCAATTTTGGCTTTTGTTGCCATTGCTTTTGACATTTTTGTCGTGAAATCTTTGCTGGTGCCTACGTCCTGAACGATAGTGCTGAGATTTTCTTCTAGGGGTTTTTATAGTTTTGTGTTTTACATTTAAGTCTTTAATCCATCTTGAGTTAATTTTTGTCAAAAATATAAGGAAGGGGTCCAGTTTCAATATTCTGCATATGACTAGCCAGTTCTCCCAGCATCATTTATTAAACAGGGCATCCTTTCCCCATTGCTTGTTTTTGTCAGGTTTGTTGAAGGTCAGATGGTTGTAGATGTGCAGTCTTATTTCTGAGTTCTCTATTCCATTCCATTGGTCTATGTGTCTGTTTTTGTACAAGTACCATGCTGTTTTGGTTACTGTAGCCTTGTAGTATAGCTTGAAGCTGGGTAGCGTGATTCCTCCAGCTTTGCTCTTTTTGCTTAGGATTGTCCTAGCTATATGGGCTCTTTTTGGTTCCATATGAATTTTAAAATAGTTTTTTCTAATTCCGTGAAAAATATCAATGGTAGTTTGTTGGGAATAGTATTATATCTATAAATTACTTTGGGCAATATGGCCATTTTCATGATACTGATTCTTCCTATCCATGAGCATGGAATGTTTTTCCATTTGTTTCTGTCCTCTGTTATTTCCTCGAGCAGTGGTTTGTAGTTCTCCTTGAAGAGGTCCTTCACTCTCCTTGTTAGCTATGTCCCTAGGTATTTTATTCCCTTTGTGGCAATTGTGAATGAGAGTTCATTCATGATTTGGCTCTCTGCTTGTCTATTGTTGGTATATAGGTATGTTTGTGATTTTTGCACATTGATTTTGTATCCTGAGACTTTGCTGAAGTTGCTTATCAACTTAAGAAGCTTCTGGGCTGAGATGATGGGGGTTTTCTAGATATAGAATCATGTCATCTGCAAACAAGATAATTTGGCTTCCTCTCTTCCTATTTGAATACTCTTTATTTCTTTCTCTTGCTTGATTGCCTTGGCCAGAACTTCCAATAGTACATTGAATAGGAGTGGTGAGAGAGGGCTTCCTTGTCTTGTGCTGGTTTTCAAGGGGGAATGCTTCCAGCTTTTGCCCATTCAGTATGATATTGGCTGTAGGTTTGTCATAAATAGCTCTTATTATTTTGAGGTGTACCTAGGTGTACCTTCAATACCTAGTTTATTGAGAGTTTTTAACATGAAGTGATGTTGAATTTTATTGAAGGCCTTTTCTGCATCTATTGAGATAATCATGTGGTTTTGTCTTTAGTTCTGTTTATGTGATGAATTATGTTTATTGATTTGCATGTGTTGAATCAGCCTTGCATCCTGGGGATGAAGCCGGCTTGATTGTGGTGGATAAGCTTTTTGATGTGCTGCTGGATTTGGTTTGGCAATATTTTATTGAGGATTTTTGTGTGGATATTCATCAGGGATATTGGCCTGAAGTTTTCTTTTTTTGTTGTATCTCTGCCAGGGTTTGGTATCAGGATGATGCTGGCCTCATAAAATGAGTTAGGGAGGAGTCCCTCCTTTTCAATTGTTTGGAATACTTTCAGAAAAAATGGTACCAGCTTCTCTTTGTACCTCTGGTAGAATTCAGCTGTGAATCTGCCTGGTCCTGGGCTTTTTATTTTTTTGGTTGATAGGCTATTTATTACTGCCTCAATTTTAGAACTCATTATTGGTCTATTCAGGGATTGAATTTCTTCCTGGCTCAGTCTTGGGAGGGTGTATGTGTCCAGGAATTTATCAATTTCTTCTAGGTTTTCTAGTTTATGTGCACAGAGGTGTTTATAGCATTCTCTGATGGTTGTATTTCTGTGGGGTCAGTGGTGATATCCCTTTTATCATTTTTTATTGTGTCTATTTGGTTCTTCTCTTTTTTCTTCTTTATACATCTGGCTAGTGGTCTATTTTATTAAATTTTCAAAAAACCAGCTCCTGGATTTGTTGATTTTTTGAAGTGTTTTTCATGTCTCTATCTCCTTCAATTCCCAGTGCACTTTAAATAGATGTTATTTTTAGAATGATTTTAGGTCACAGCAAAATTGAGGGGAAGATGCAGACTTCTTATACAGCCCCTGTCCCCACACATGCACAGCCTTCCCCACTATCAGCATCCCTCAGACTGGCACTTTTTTTTTTTTTAAACAATCGAGAAACCTACAATGACACATCATTATCACCCAAAATCCGTAGTTGGCATTAAAGTTCACTCTTGGAGTCATGCATTCCATGGGTTTGGATAAATGTATAATGATGTGTATCCATCATTATAGTATCAAAAAGAATGGCTTCATTGTACTAAATATCTCCTGTGCTTTCCCTATTAACCCTTCCCTCCCATTAATCCCTTGTAACCACTTATCTTTTTACTGTCTCTATAGTTTTGCTTTTTCTAGAATATCATATATTGGAGTCATATAGAATGTAGCCTTTGCAGATTGGCTTATTTCACTTAATACACTAAAGGGTCCTCCATATCTTTTTGTGACTTGATATCTCATTTCCTTTTAGTGCTGAATACAATTCCATTGTTGGGATGTACCACAGAATTTTTATCCCTTCAACTACTGAAGGACATCTTGGATGCTTCCAAGTTTTGGCAATTATGAATTAAGCTGCTGTAAACAGGTTCTGAGTGGACATAAAGTATTGAACTCATTTTGGTAAATACCAAAGAGTATAACATACTTTTACTATACAGTTCCTGGATTATGTGGTAAAAGTATGTTCAGTTTTCTGCCAAACTGCCTTCCACAGTGGCTATACTACTTTGCATTCCCACCAGCAATGAACGAGAGTTCCCGTTGCTCTACATCCTTGCCAGCATTTGGTGTTGTCAGTGTTCTGGATTATTCACCATTTTAATAGGTGTTTAGTGGTATCTCATTATTTTAATTTGCAATTACCTAATTATATGATGTTGAGCTTCTTTCTATATACTTATTTGCCATCTGTATATGTTCTTTGGTGAGGCATCTGTTTAGATCTTTTGCCCATCTTTTAATCAGATTGTTCATTTTCTTATTGTTGAGTTTTAAGAGTTCTTTATATATTTTAGTTAACAGTCCTTTATCTGATATATCTTTTGCAAATATTTTCTCCCAGTCTGTGGCTTGTCTTAATTCTCTCTACAGAGTATTTTGCAGAGCAGAAGTTTTTAATTTTGATGAAGTTCAGCTCATCATTTCTTTCTTTCATGGATCATGACTTTGGTGTTGTAGTTAAAAAGTCATCACCAAAACCAAGGTCATAGGATTTCTCTTGTGTTACGTCCTAAGTGTTTTAGAGTTTTGCATCTTATTGATGCACTTTAAAAACTTTCTATGGCTTCTGAAACTCTTGACTCATTTTCCCCAATGTCCTCTCCTTCTGGCCTCTTCTTTAATGCCCCTTGCCACCCAAGTAAAGGGTAGATATTGCATCTCAACTCCCAACAGATATAAATTCCTATACAACAACAGATATAAAAGAATATTCAACTCTAATTAAGTCCGCTGGGAGCTGCTGGGAGACCAAGGCCAACAGGCTAGTCCTTATTTTCTGGACTGTTTTCTTCAGACCAGCTTTTCTTATTACTGTGCCTGCCATCCATGCCCTGCCCACCCCTAACCTCACTCTTAGCTTCTCTCCAATTCCGTTTGAGTCATGAATCAACTCAAATGGAGCTGGCTTTTGAATCCTTTTGGTCAAGACTTCTTGTCCAATGCTTCTAAAATGTTGACAAAGTTCTGGAAATCACAGCTGTGAAGCCAACTCGTGTACTATGTTTCAGTGAAAAGTTCTGAAGAAGCTGTGAGCAACAGTTCCATGAAAATCTCCATCCCCTCTGTACCTACACTAAGGTTATGGGTTATGCCTGAGTGATCTCAGCATCATTTTGATCCAGTTTGCATCTAGGGACTGAATGCCAATTTCTTTCAAAATCCTGGGCTGACTGCATAAACCCAAGAAAAGTTGGCTTTTATTCCCAGTTGCCTTGATTTTTGGCTTTGCTTTTGTTATGTGCTATGCTTAAAATTTTTTTTAGGATTCCATAGGTTTAACTTTGGCTCATGTGAGTAAGTAGCCTGTTTATGCACTGTGGCCCTGAGGAACCAGAAATCCATTAGTGCAACTATGAAAACCTTCTGAAGAACAGGATATTCATCCTTCTGAGGTAAGGTTCAAGATTGGATAACTACTGTATCCCTCAACCCAAAAGTGACTATGGCAGAAGCTGGTGCATACTTAGCTGAAAGGATGGAGTTGAAGAGGAATTATGGTATCAGCCAGGATGGGGCAGTGGTGAAGGCGGTGCTTTGGGGTGTTAAAAAATTTAATTGGGGCTGGGCACGGTGGCTAACGCCGGTAATCCCAGAAATTTGGGAGGCCAAGGTGGGCAGATCACATGAGGCCAGGAGTTTGAGACCAGCCTGGCCAACATGGCAAAACCCCATCTCTACTAAAAATACAAAAATTAGCAGGAATGGTATTGCACATCTGTAATTCCAGCTACTTGGGAGGCTGAGGCATGAGAATCGCTTGAACCTGGGATGTGGAGGTTGCAGTAAGCCAAGATTGTGCCACTGCACTCCAGCCTGGGCAACGGAGCAAGACTCTGTCTCAAAAAAAAAATTAATTGGGATACCATTAGGCTAGGATGGCACCAGTGCCTTGGGTTCATATGTAAGCAGACTGAAGTCCAGTCAAACAATAAAATAAGACACAAGCTTTATCAGTCAGAAACCATTAGCTAAACTCAACTGGGGGCTTTCCATCAGATAATAAGACAAACACCTGGCTTTAGCTAATCAACTGATCAAGGATTTTGCTTTTGCATTCAGCCTGTAAAAGCCTCTGCTCACACTGCGAGGGTAGAGCTTGCAGAACCTCTTCCAGTTCTGAGTGCTGCCTGATTCATAAGTTGTTCTTTGCTCAGGGAAACTGCTGAATTTAATTTATCTGAAGTTTTTCTTTTAGCAGGGAGGAGAAACACTGCTTCTTCCAGCAAGTTGTATGAGGAAAGGACTACTAACAAAATTCTCAAGTATTATTAAAAAGGAGTATTAAAATATAAAGTACATGTGTTTAATTGGTAAGCAGATAGACAAGAATGTATTAGAAGAGAGAAGGGTATAGCTTTATAGAGATTGCTCAACAATAGTATTGAAGCAGGTAAAAGAATTCTCCCTGGGGAATGGAGGAGAAGGGGAGGCTGGAGAGAGAGGGATGTGGCACGTCTTTCAGACGTGACTCTGGGGTCAGCCATAAACTGGTTCCATCATCATCACCAGGGAGCTTAAGAATTTAGCTCAAAGAGTCTGATTTTCTGGGTTGGGTTAGAATCCAGGAAACTGTTTTAAAATGAGTCCCCTCCCCAAATTCCCAGGTGAGGCTGATTAACATCCGGATTTATGAAGTCATTGGCTGGGGGTCTGTGTCCTACAGCCTCTGGGCCCAATCCAGCCTGGAGCCTGTTTTTTATTTTATTTTTTAACTTTATAAACTTTTTTTTTGTCTTTATGTGCAGTCTTTATTTCAACTATTTATTTTTTCTTTTTTTTGAGATGGAGTCTCACTCTGTCGCCAGGCTGGAGTGCAGTGGCGTGATATCGGCTCAGTGCAACCTCCGCCTCCCAGGCTCAAGCGATTCTCCTGCCTCAGCCTCCCGAGTAGCTGGGACTACAGGTGCCCGCCACCACACCCAGCTAATTTTTGTATTTTTAGTAGAGATGGGGTTTCACCATGTTGGCCATGATGGTCTCAAACTCTTGACCTCATGATCCACCTGCCTTGGCCTCCCAAAGTGCTGGATTACAGGTGTGAACCACTGCACCCGGCCTCAAATATTTCTTAAAACACTGTAGTTATTTCTTAGGACAAGAGCAAAGATCACCCCCTGCAGAAACTCAGTAACTATATACAGAGCTTTGCAGAACAGAGACAGTCACTAAAGGCTGGCTGCTGGCCAGGGAATGGCATTCTGACTGGACTCAAGGAACAAAAAGAAACCAGGTTGGAAAGGGGCAAGCGCTCAGCTGAATTAAACTTCAGCTTCCATCAGGGCATATCTTGTGATGCTCACAGGCTCTGTTTCTAGAAGGTTTGGGTTCAGCACAAGATTCCATTTGTCTGCTTGGCTACACCCCCAGCTGAAGTGCCAAGAGGTCACTGTCACTCATGTTCCTGGCCAGCCAAACTCCTGAAGCAAAGAGTCCCGAATTGAGGATTAAGTATCTCTGGAAATCATTCCTATCAGTGGCAAAGCCATAGCTGCCATGAAGCCAATTTCCCACATTGCCCAGATTTTGGGTGATACATTTGCTGAGCTGGCAGTGCTCACAGTGACCACTGGAAGCCATAGTAGTGCTTTTGGGCTCTGCCAACTTTAAAAAGTGGATACATAATATTTACACAAATTTGTGGGGTACATGTAATATTTTGATACATACATTGAATGTGTAATGATCAAATCAGGGTATTTAAGGTATCTGTCACCTCGAACGTTTATCATTTCCTTGTTTGGGGAACACTTCATATCCTCTCTTCTAGCTATTTTGAAATACACAATATGTTGTTGCTAACTGCACTCACCCTATTGCGCTATTGAAAACTAGAACTTGTTCCTTCTTTATATTTGAGACAGGGTCTCACTCAGTCACCCAGTCTGGAGTGCAGTGGTGCAATCATAGCTCACTGCAACCTCAAACTAAATCCCTGGGTTCAAGGATTCTCCCACCTTAGCCTCCCGAGTAGCTAGGACTGCAGACCTGTGCGGCTAGTTTTTTTCTTTTTTTTAAATTTTCTGTAGAGATAAGATCTTGCTATGTTGTCCAGGCTGGTCTCGAACTCCTGGACTCAAATGATCTTCCCACTTTGGTCTCCCAAAGTGCTGGAGTTAGAGGTGTGAGCCACCGCGCCTGGACAGAACTTATTTCTTCTCTCTAACTGTATGTTTGTGTCCATTAACAGTCCTGTCTTTATCCCCCTATAAGTAGCTTACAGCTAAGAATGTTTTTTACATTTTTTTCTCCTTTTTTTTTTTGATGGGATTGCACAGTTTATTTCCAAACACTCAGAGGATAGGGAGTGGCCTGTGGGCTCCTTCTGCCTCCCCTCCCTGCATTTGGCTGAATCAAGAACTTCTCCCCCTTCACCCCCAACACCCTAGGCTGTGCCCGATAGAGAAGGTACTCTCACCCCCACACTGAGGAGAGACCCAGAAAGGTGAGGAGCATGGAGGGTCGGGGGACAGAGTTCAGGTATTCACAGTTCCCTATCTCCACCCCTGGATTACACTGTGCCAGAGCCATGAGGGAGGATCCCACCTCTGGGATTCCTGTGGTGTTGATAGTCCTTCTCCCACTTAGAACCTTCCAGATGAACTCCCTACTCCTTATCCCTGAAATAACAAACCAAGCCCTAAACCAAGCCCTGTAGTCTGGGCGGGGAGGGGCCTTAGCGCATCACTCACCCAAGGCCCCCAGGGATGGGGGTGAGGGCCTTCACCTGTAGTGAATGGGTTGGGAGCAAGTATCTATAAGGAGAGAGGAAGGGAGAGAGCTGAGAGGACCTTGGGAGGCAGGCTTGGAGGCTTCTGACACATAAGTTCAGACAGCTCTGGCCTGTTACTCCACGCCGCCCCACACCCCAAGCCCAGAATCCCTGAGAGTCCAACTGCAAAGGCAGTATGGCCGGAGGGAGGAATGGGGGCACGGGGAGAGCTGGGTAGGACCTTGGTCCCCCTCTCCCAGTCAGTCCTGCTCCTGGGACACATGATGCTTAGGGACGGCCAGGACCAGGATCAAGTCCTAGCTCTTAGGCTCTGATCTTCCAGAATAGCTGAATCCTGGGGCACGTAGTGTAGACCCACCAACCCCCACACCCCAGACATCCCGGCCTTGGGTAGAATGGTGGGAATGGGCTCTCCCAAGGGTATTATAAAAAGCTAAAACCGTTAAACACTTACTGGGGAGGAGTGGCTCCCAGTCTCTTGCTTCCCCAAGTTATCAGCCTCTGCAGCGCCTAGCAGACAAGACTAAGGAGGTCCCAGAGAGCCAAGGGAGGAGGGCACAGCCCCTGGGCCCAGAGAGAGGGCCCACTAGCACCGTGCAATGTTGAGGTGCCTCCGCAGCCTGACTGGCCCCCACGCAGGGGCCCTCCGCAGCGGGGGTGCACACTTGCTAGAGCTTCTGTACTTTTGAAGGGTGACCCCTGCAAGGGAGTGGGGAAGGCAAAGACTTGGCTTAAGTCCAGGCAGGGGTCACAGCTGGGACCCCAAAGGACACCCCTGGGAGTCATGATTTGAAGAATCTTCTTACCACAAACTGGCCCAGCAGAACCACACCCACAACCACCAGCACGTTCAGGATGGGACTATTGCCCAAGTCCAGGGCTGCCACCCAGCCGCCCCTCTGCGAGATCCACCGGGCGATGCCTTGTTGCAGCATGAAGACCACGAAGCGGGTCACCAGGCCCAGGAAGCCAGTCAAGCCGTGCTGGTAGACATGTAGGACCAGACGGTAGCCGAAGCCCAGGAGAGCCACCACACGGCCCCGGTTGATGCCACTCTCAAACAGGCTGGAGGCGATCTTGGTGAAGTACTCGTAGGCGTTCTCTGCCGTGGGCTGCAGGTGCTGCAGCATGGTCTGGAACTCCGAAGTCATAGTGCCGGTTGATGTCGTCCTGGTGATGGCGAGCTGCCGTCCCACCTGCCCCATGGTGCTGCTAGGTTGGAGGGGCAAGGTGACCATCTCTGGGTCGGCAGGGGCGGCCGCCCCTTCAGCCTCCTGTTCCTGCTGATGGTGGTAAAAAACGTAGCTGCGGAAAACCCCTCCATGTCCTGGGCTACCTGCTCCTCAGAAGCAGAGGGCAGGGCAGGCTTTCCGCACTCCTGCCTGGGAGGCCCTGGGCCTTGCCCCGATGCCATTTTTCAGGTCTCAGTGGAGGACAGTGTCAGCCTCCAGGGATGCTGGCTCAACCCGCGTGGGTCAGCAGGGTGGAGTTGAAGGTCCCAAGGGGCTGGAGGCTGCTGCTCCCAGGGGCTGAGTGGGAGCCCAGCTTCCAGGAACGGGCGTCAGTGCATTTCTGGTATCTGGATGTAGCCTTTGCTTGTCCCTGTGTGGCCCGAGGGACCCGTGAGACTCCAGTGATCATCTGTTTTTTTACATTTTTAAAGCATTGTAAACAAAATAATACAAACAGGGAGCAAAAAAGAATACATGACAAAACTGTAAGTGGCCTGCAGAGCCTAACATATTTATCATGCTACTTGGCCCTTTACAGAAAATGTTTGACTATCCCTGGCTTAGATAGGGAAAATTAAATGCATAAATGAATAAATAGATTTTTCAACTGATGAAGAGGTAACGAAGTCTGCAAATTTTCTACCATGGGTCACTCTCCACACAGGCGAGGGAACCTTTGCTCTGAGTGTGGTTCTTATTGGAATGGGACGCACTGTCACTCTTTAAACAATGTATTGTGCCTCAGGTGCTGCAAGGTACTGCTATGCTCACATGGACAAATTAAGGCTCTGGCTAAGGTAAAAATCAAATGGGCTGCCCACTAAAAGGGGTAGTTCAAATTATTTCAACTTCACTTTTGTTCAGCTAGGGAGGGAGAAAGTAGACTAGGCCTTGGAAGGTCAGGGGAAAAAAAAATACCAGTTACACAAACATAAGGCTCTTAAGCAGGCACTTGTTGTCCTGAGATGAAGGTATAAGCAAACTTTTTGAAATATGGCTTAGCAAATGCTGTCTTACTTTTCAGTGTGCAGACCTGGACAACAGGCAGGTGGGGAGGGATCTGTTTGTGAAAGGATCTGATCCCAGAACTCTCTTGAAAAGGAAGGGCGCGGCTGCCACTAGACTAGTTGCTCAGACTCAAGATAGTGGCTGAGATTGTAGGCAAGGGCTGGTGTTTGTGTCATGCGTGCTGCACCTAGCTGTCCTGCTAAGGGATTATGATTTGAGAAGCAATGGTTCGGGGTGGACTGTGACAGAAGATCTGTGACATTGGTGCCCATGTGGTATCCCCCAGCTAATGCCCACTCAGAAATCCATTCTAGCTGCAGGGGCAGATGCTGACTGCAGGGTGTGTCATCAGAGCAGCATCCGTGAAGCTGGTGAGCCATTTGGTCAAGGGCAGGGTGAATTTGGGTTGAGTAAACCCTAGAGTTCCTGGAAAACACATGGACACAATCACCTTAAGAAAGAGACACTAGGCTTTTTCTGCTAGAATGTCATGGGCTTGAACAATTTACTAAAAAACCCAAGGCAATATTTTAACCTGGAGTTTGCATAGCTTGGCTGCACATACTCATTCATTCATTCCTGTACAGATACACAGATGGGGGTTTAGAGAAGTGAAGAAGCTTGGCCAAGTCACACACTGGGTGGAGTGCAGGAATCTAAACCCAGTCTTGTGTGTTTCCAAAGCCTGCTCTCTGTCCACAGTACCCTATTGCCTCTTGTAGAGTCGTAGATTATTAGCGAAGTCTTACAAATTATTCACCATTTTTGAGTGAGAAACTGAGACTCAGAGAAGTGAAACAACTTGTTCAAGGTTGTTTAACTAATTACCAGAATTCCTACAGACCTGCCTCCAGATTCAGCGGGTCTGAGTTGCCATAAGCTTCTAAGAACTTCTTATCAAAGGAACTGAGAATGTCAAATGGAGTGAGTTGAAATCCATAGGGACAAAGAAGCATTGAAGGAAAAGTGAGATTTGCAAAGTGAGCCACATTTTGCTTTTTCCTAACGACCTGTTTGTTGATGTCCTCTTTGAAAGGGCTTCTAGGAGGCAGGAAGGTATGAGCTACTTTTGGCAGTTTGGCCCCAGAGATTACCTGTTTATTTATTTAGCACTTTAGACATTAAGTTGGCTAATATAAAGCAATTCCCCTAAAGTCTGGAGTTCATGGACATAGACCAAGTATAGGG
Organism: Homo sapiens; assembly: GCF_000001405.40. Lineage (NCBI taxonomy): Eukaryota > Metazoa > Chordata > Mammalia > Primates > Hominidae > Homo > Homo sapiens. Next base: position 130,549,442 of record NC_000011.10, read on the forward strand.
AAAGTAGTCTTCTCCATTCACCTCATGACCCCAAAAGATCATGAGTCTAGGTTGATCCCCAGCCAGTGGCTACATCTGTAACTTGACTACCCTGATTTCTCAATCAGCTCAGCTACAAATGGCAGTGGAAAAGATGCCCAAGAAGGGTCTTGAAATAAATGGAAATCTTTCATTTCCTGTTCTGGTCTCTATCCAAGAAGCTGCCACTGCCCAAGGGAGGCGCCCAAAGCCCAGTGTTCTCTGCAAGTCAGAGTCAGTTTTCAAAGCACTGAAGGTATAGCCCAGGCTTTCTTACATGCGTAGCTTCCTGGTGTATGACATAGAGAACCCCTGTGTAATTCAGTTTCGGAAGATGGTACAGCACATGCCTGGAGAAGCTGCCAAGTGCTCTTTGACAATGCTTAAGGGCAGGATCTAATAATCTCTCTGGGGTAATTTGGGCGAGGACTTTCCTAGAGGTAGAGGTTGGACTGGGTGCCCTCTTTCTTCTCTTGGCTTTGAGAGTTCAGAGTTTTGCCTGCAAGAGCAAAGTAGAAGGTGACATGAACTGAATTAGTATGGGCAGCCTGTATACCTGGGGGAAGTCAGGCTGGGATTATTCAGAGAGTTAACCCTGTTTCTACCTTCACCTTCCCGCCTTAGTAGATACAAATTTGGTCAAGATATACAGACAGAGTGGACACTTTTTGCCTTTTATTCTAGCTTGGCCTATCCCTGTAGTTAGAAAAGAGCAGCAGCTTGAGTCTAGTCTATTCATCCACGAGAGGAGGGTTATTTCTTTGCAGGCTTATTGGTGAAATACTCAAAGAAGGTTAGAGCCCTCAAGAGGCCTTAAATAATTTCTTGCTCAATGCCCTTGCTTTCAGGGGAAGCAAATAAAGTTCAGAAAGGCTACATGAGGAACTCAGGGCCCACATACCATGGTAGGGGCAAGGCTGAGCGGAACCTCTGATCTTTAGGTTCTCAGGCCAGTAGGTTTACAACCTGCTGCACTGTGTCCTATTGCCTCTGTACAGGGACTTCTTGTTAAAATCCACAGTCCACAGCAAAAGGAGGGAGGACCTTCATTTATTCGCTTATTCAAAAAATTGTATTCAGCTGCCCTTTGGCATAAGAAACAACAAGACTGATAAGGCCCTCCCCTCACTTCATGGTGCGAACAGCACCAAATATTTGCAAAGGACCTATGTGGACTTAGTTCTCTTGCTCTTCTCTCACTTTCTTAAGTTGGTGAGAAAAAGATGCATAGGAAAGAAGTTTTTAGGGAGGTGGAGAGATAGGGTGGCGGAGAGAGAATGAGGTGTATAAGGAGAGAGAGAGAGAGGATATGTCCCAAAGGATATTTGCAGGGAGGGAAATATTTGGCTGTCTCCCCAACCCCACTCTGGCCTCCCCTTCCTCCTATTCCTCCTCCTCCTCCTGCTCCTTCTGCTCCTCCTCCTCCTCCTTCTCATTCTTCTTCTTCATTTGTGGTTAGCTGGACTGTATCAAACTCCCTTAACTCTCTCAAATGCAGTCTTTCCTACTTTCTGGTAAACTTGAGTTGCTATGGTGAGAGAGTGGCCTGGGACAAGTCAATGGAAAACGTTGGAAACAACACCCCACCTGGAGCAACATATCAAAGAGTTAATTAGAAGGACCTGCCATGTGTTTCCCATTCCCTGCCACAGATTCGATTGCTTTATGTTTTATCAGCTGTTTTTCTAAGCAAAGCGTTAGCCCTCATTCTCAGTTCTCCTTTCTTGAAGGTGTTAACAATGGTTGGGGGCAGAGAAAGTAGGGAAAGTTGATCAAATGAGTAAATTCTCTGTTGTTCCCTTAGAAAACTTTCTTAGACCAACCCTGTGGACTTATTTTATCTGTCGTCCTCTCTCTCCCTGTTTCCACCACTCATCTCATGACATCCACTTGAGTATCTCTTTCTTAGGAACTGTTAGAGCTCACTTGTGAAAGTTCGCTGTGAAGTCCACAATAAACAATCCAATCTGTTTACATGGGGCTTGAGAGTTACAGAGCAACCTCACATTTCATTTTGTCCCAACTTCAGCAACCGTGCACAGTAGCAATGGCTATAGTTACCATAGCTATCTCTTAGTTACAAGAACAGGAATGAAGGCCAAGGGAAAGGGGAAGGGCTTGCCCACGGTCACTCACACAGGAGTGGGCGTAAGCCTGAGTCTTCTGAATTCAAGTCCATGATGCAGCAATGCTCTTTACAATCTTGCTGTGTTGTCAATAATTTGTGAACTTAGTGTTAGCCATAGCGGGATGAGCAGCTGACTGTGAATCAGAGGAGAACACTGTGTATCTCTGGTCTTGGTCTTGTCAACTATAAAATGAGAGTCAGAAAGGGAGTTTAATGGAAGTGTGGTGATACAGTTAACAATTCTGTGTTATATACTTAAATTTGCTAAGACGATAGATCATAAGTGCTCTTATCACACATACACACATGAAAGAAAATGGTAATGATGAGAGGTGAGGAGTATGTTAATTAACTTGACTGTGGTAATCATTTTCAAAATGTATACATATATCAAAATATCAAGTTGTACATCTTAAATATATCTATATCTATATATCTGTATATTTAAGTATATAAAGTTGAATGCTGGTGTTCCCCAAAATTCATATGTTGGAACCCAGTGCGGCAGTGTTAAGAGGTGGGACATTTTGGGAAGTTATTAAGTCAGGAGTGCTCTGCCCTCATCGATGGTATTAGTGCCCTTATAAAAGGGGTTGAAGGACGCTGCCTTGTCCCGTCCACTATGTGAGAATATAGCTAGAAGGTGCCACCCATGAGGCAGAGAAAAAGCCCTCAGCAGACACCAAATCTGATGGTACCTTGATTTTGAATTTCCTAGCCTCCATAACTGTGAGCAATATATTTCTGTTGTTTATAAATTACCCAATCTAAGGTATTTTGTTATAGCATTCCTAACAGGCTAACATAGTTCTATAACATTCAATATTTTATTTTATACACAAATGTGTTTAAAAAGTTATCATTTATTCCTAGACATACATAATCAATCTTAATGTTGGTATTGCTGTTAACAGTTATAAAAAAGAAATGTCTGCTTAAGGCAGGGACGGCTGAACTTTAATGGGGTCACTCAAGATTCAGGTGCTTGGTCAAGTTTTCAGATCCAAAATTTGATTTCAGTGATTCACTCAGAGATGTTCAAACAGGATAATGATAGTGATCATTCCAGATTTAACCAGACCAACAATAATAGAAATTGCTAGCATGTACTGGACACATGAAATGCAGAGCATTTTTCCTGGATTACTCTATTTTAATCTCCCTTAGCAATGCATAAGATAGGTACTGTTATTATCCCCTTGTCAGTGAGGAACTGAGAGCAGGAGAGCTAAATGATTGGCTCAGTGTCTCGCACCCAGTAAAGGCTAGATCTGGGCTGCCAACGCCAGCAATAATTATGCAGAAATGTTTCTTTCGCTAATTAAAAGCCAGAAAAGCAATGTACTAATTGACAGTGGGTGAGGTTCTGGTTGGAGAGCTGAGTGAGGGCACTCATCTTTGTGAGACTTGCCTTCTTACTTAGTCACTCCATTGAAGACACCAAGTGACAGCTAAGATTTTCCTTGGATATCCTGGAATTTGACCAGAGGTTATTGGCTGTCTTCAAGGGATGTTTCAACCTAGCAGGACTGATGATCTAGAAGCAGAGCTCTGGGCAGCGGTGGAGACACCCTGAGAGCCTCACTGCTTGGCTCTCAGTTTCCAGACTCCTGCGGACCCCCACCCTCTGCTATGACAACACAACATTAGCTCAGATTCATTGCAGTTCAACTGAGTAGGTTACCATAAACCACATTCCAATGTGTTTTCCTGGGGAGACACCCTGGGGTCACCCTGACTGGACTTGGGGGAGACTCTCGTGTCCTTAAGTGAATTTGTAAGGCATCCTGTTCTCCTTGACAGAAAATGGGGAGAATCCTCACTCACATCAACAGCACATTTACAACCATCTCCTGAGTGGTTTATTTCTGCAGATGGAGAATCTCAGTCATTTTATGTTCTTATTGTTTTCAATTTACTGACCAAATTCTGGGACTGGACCCAATTTGAGGTTTGTAACCTCTTGTGTGTTATTATAGAGAGAATTAGGGCACAATGAATGAATTTCTTGTTTTTCCCTCTGATTCAGACTCTGTTTTTTTTTTTTAAGTGGGACAGCTAGTTGTCATATCTTTATGCATGTAGATGAAGGTATATATGCACATACACATGCTTATTCAGGAATATGCATATTTAGTCCAGCACACTTTATAGCTGGAGAAAACCTCAACCTGGCCCTTTGTTTTTATATCTTGCTTGCTGTGATAGACTCATCTTCTGCCCTTTCCTTTTCTTTGCTTTTGGCATAGTTTTTCCACATCAAGTATTTTCACAATAGGAGTGGAATATAATGCAATTATCTATTAATTTATTTAACTTAACATTCCTTATATTGCACTACTGTGTGCCAGATGCTGCCCCAAGCACATTACAAATATTAATTGATGCAATCCTATTTATAATTCTTTGAAGTAGAACTTATTACTACCTTCATTTTATAGATCAGGAAACTGAGGCAAGTTTCTGTATCTGCTGGGAAACTGGATTTGCTTGGTGGAAAGGTGATGTGTAACCCTGCTGCTTTGTTTGAGAGGTTTGGGCTTTGTTTTCAATACATAAGAATGATAAAAATTAGTGGTATGTTAGCGCTGCAGGTGATAGAAAAAGAGCAGCCATTCCTCTGGAGCTGAAAAGCCAGAATCAGCAAAGGCTGCATTTACTAAACGATGTACTGGTTTCACAGCTAAACACTTACAGCTATTAGAAACACTTTTATTATTAAAATTCCTGCAGGAAACATAACTTTGTTATTGTGATACTCAAACTCTCTAGCTTTTAACTTCCCCTCCCTTTGAAGCAATTATGTGCGTATTGTGACTTTTAATAAACTGTGGTTTCTCTGGAACGCAGATGTCATGTTGGAGCATTGCAGACTGCTCTTCTCCCTTCTGCCTTTACATACAAGATGCCTGTTGCTGAGAACACTTGTTCCCACTTCTCTAGCAGGCAAGGATCTGGGCAGGACAACAACCACAGGTAAGGCCTCCGCTGACTCACCTTGCTTCGGCTCAGGTGATGGAGTCAGTCAAACCTGCATTCATCCAGGGAGTGGCTCATGTACATAGGCACCGTGGCTGTGACCAGGGTGATGGTGGTGAGGGGCTGAGAGGTGAGTGGATTCAAGCTATGTTTTGGAGGTAGCAGAGATAGGAGTTGGTGATTGGTCTTGGGGGATGAGACAGAGGAATCTGCTATAGATTTGGAGTTGTCTGGATGTTTGAGTCTAACCTCCTGGGATTCAGGGACATCTGAATCACCAGTGCTTCCCACAGCGATTGGCACATAGTAATCAGTTGATAAGTATGTATTGAACATGTGAATGAATCAGCAATGAATGAAGACAATGAGAGCCAATGAAGTTCTGTGATGGCCCACGGTCATGTAACTGTTGAATGACAAATGTAACCCTGGAATATAGGCTACCTGAGAGTTATAGGACCTTTGGCTGCTTTATATCCTTTTTGTGGCCTCTCTTCCAGATTTTTAACTCTTTGAAGGCAGGACTGTGTAAAAATAAACACAACTAGATCTGTTACTTGGCAGTGGAAGACTGGATTAAAGATGGATGTCTGTGTACCCAAGGGTGCCCATTTCTTAAGCATGAATGTGCTTTCCTTTTGGAATAAAGAAGAAGGTAGCTGGGGAAAGACTGGAAATTAACAGGTATCACAGGATTCCCAGGGTCTTCCACTGATAAAAAATGCCAACTTTACTTTTTCATTATCTCTTATATCTATGCTCTCTTTTCCATTCCATTCTATCAGTATCTCTACCCACCTCTTGCCTGGACCAATGCAAAAGCCTCCCAACCTTCCACCTCATGCTTTGTTGTTTATGTGTTATCGGCCTCATGAGATAGAGTTATCTTGGCTTTGCCACTTACTAGCAGGGCAACCTTGGCAAAGGCATTAATTTTTTTCAGAGCCTGAGTTTACTCATTTGTCGAAAGCAGATAATGACAAAACATGTCCTACTAGTATTGTGAAAATTTGTTTAAAATATCTGTGTGAACCAAGCCAGACCACAAAGGCTGGGCCAGGCTAGAGGACTGGAGAGGCCAACCAGGCAGACTTGGCGGTGGTGACTTCCTTTTAGCTTTTGCCTCTGCCAGCAAGCAAGGCAAGGAGGCAGAAGATACAAGCGGACACATCTCCCCAGCACAAGCCCAATTTCAGTGATTTTGGCAGGTTTCAGTGATGCAGCGGAGGACAAGGCTGACGTCAGGATGATGCCACTGTGTAGATTCTAAAGGAGGCTCTTCTATTAATGCCATTACTACATCTAGTGCTGGTATCTGCATTGTGCTAGGTATTTTTGCATACTTCTTTATATTCAATCAACATGACAAAGAGGGAAAGTAGGTATAATTGCCCTCATTTTACAAATGTCATCACTGATAGAAAGGTTCAGTAACTTACTCAAGACCACAAAATTAGGTCTTTTTGAAAATTAAAAAAAATTCAAACCCAGGATATAAACTCAGGTTTATTTTATTCCCAAGCCTATTAATTTCAAGTTACAGTTATTATCAAACTGTATGTTTCTTAAGGCAGGATCTGAGTTGTGTAATCATTTATCCCCATAGTAGCTTGCCCTTAAGAGGTACTTAGTACATATTTTTTGATGAATGATGTTGTACAAATAATGGTGTCCTGTTTTATAGGTTATGGTTTAAAAATAGAGGAAGTCTATAGGACTCTTAGAAAGTAATTAAGATATCTGAGAAGACTAAGATTGAGAACTTCTTGGAGGTCTAATTCTAAATTAAACTTCCAAGTTGGGATGCAAAAATAAGGAGGATGTTTGGAAACATCCCATGATTTATATTTACATAAGCTTCATAAGGAGAATGAATACAGACTGACCTTTGCTTGAGAGCCATGTGATGGCCAGAGAAAGCGGCATGGGTTAACAGCCAAAAGGAAATCAGCATTATACTAAAGCAGTGTTTCTCAAAGTGTGTTCCAGGGAAGGATATACCCAAGAAACAATATCCATCAAGAGACTTCTATAAAAAGAGGAGATAATTTAATACATATAGAAGCATGACATAGTTCCACGGATCCCTGAACAATACAGGGGTTGGGGGCATTGACCCTTGTGCAGACAAAAATCTGCATGTAACTTTTTTTTGAGACAGAGTCTCTCTCTGTCGCCCAGGCTGGAGTGCAGTGTTGTGATCACAGCTCATTGCAACCTCAATCTCCTAGGCTTGAGCCATCCTCCCACCTTAGCCTCCCAACTAGCTGGGACTACAGTAGCACACCACCATGTCCAGCTAATTTAAAAAAAATTTTTTTTTAGTAGAGACAAGGTCTCACTATGTTGCCCAGGCTGGTCTCGAACTCCTGGCCTCGAGCAATCCTCCCAATTCGGCCTCCCAAAGTGCTGGGACTATAGGGTGAGCCACCATGCCCAGCCTGCATATAACTTTTGACTCCCCCAGAACTTACCTACCAATAACCTACTGTTGACTGGAAGCCTTATGGATAACATAAATAGTTGATTAACACATATTTTATATCTTATATGTAATAATATCGGATTCTTACAATAAAGTAAGTTAGAGAAAAGAAAATGTAATCGAGAAAATTGTAAGGAAGAGAAAATATATTTACTATCCATTAGGTAGAAGTGGATCATTATAAAGGTCTTCTTCCTCCTTGTCTTCACATTGAGTAGGCTGAGGAGGAGAAAGAGGAGAGGTTTGTTTTGCTGTTTCAGAGGTGGCAGAGGTAGAAGAAGAAAGTCCACATGTAAGTAGACTTGCACAGTTCAAACCTGTGTTGTTCAGCGGTAATCTGTATACTCTTGTGGTATAAATGAACACATTAAAGGCTGAGAATTCTTATAATTAAAAAAAAATCCTAACCAAAAAAAAAAAGCAAAAACAAACAAACAAAAAACACCAGTAAAAGGAGTGGGGTGTGGTAGGTGCCTTAGGATTGACATTACTAAAAGGTTCGTCAAAATGTTGCCTTCCAAAATTAAAGAACAGTCTGTACTATAAAATACAGAAGTTGATTGCATCCTTCCAAATGACAGTATTAACTTTATTTAACGAGTATTCCCAAATATAGTTAACACTTACTTTTACCCATAGCCCCTCCCATTTCATCACTTATTTATGTGCCAAGGAACTAGTGGTTATCAGAGCCCACTGAGAAATGCTAGGAAAGAAACTGAGTGGTAGTTTTACAAAAATCCTTTTTTCACCTTTTCTTATCTTCTTATTTATATGTTTTTGTGTTTGTTGATGGAGGTTGGGTTATTTCAGGTATTCATTCAATAAATATTTACCAAATACCTATAAAGCATAAGACACAGTGGTACATTCTCTGAGTTAGTAGATTCTTGATTTCTCTTTGTCTCATGAGGAAGGGAAGAGGAAGGGGTTGGGGAGATAGGTGTGCAGGAGTGTTGGGAATCATACCTAATTAAGACGTCACCATATCTCCAGCCATCAGAAGTTATTCATGCGCAAATAACAAAAGCCTAAATCTCTATTGCCATAAAGGAGTTCAGTATTTTATTAGGGTTTCCTCCTCAAGTAATTTTTGGAAACTGTTATGGTTTGAATGTATTCTTCAAAGTTCATGTGCTGGAAACTTAAGCTCCAATGTAACCATATTGAGAAGTGGGACATTTCAGAGGTGACTATCCCCTCATGAATGAGTTAAAGCCTTTATCTTGGGAGTGGGTTAGTTATCACAGGAGTTGGTTTCTGTTAAAAGGATGAGTTTGGCCTTCTTCCTCTCTCTCTCTCGTGTGTACACGCAGGCATGTGCTTTCTCATCATGTGATGTCATCTGCCAGGTCATGATGCAGCAAGAAGGCCCTCACCAGATGCCACCCCTCCAGAACCATGAGCCAAATAAATGTCTGTTCTTTATAAATGAACCAGTCTGTATTATTCTGTTATAGCAGCACAAAATGGGTTAAGACAGGAACCCTTAAGGAAGCTGTTACCTAAATCCCCCCATTCTAGCTGGATAGTTCATATGGCCTCTGGCTCTGGGACAATGCTCCAGTCTGCTGGCTGCTCCTTGCCACCTGGCAGTTGTTTTTTTGAGGCTGTTGTCTTTCTGCTTCTTCCCAAGGACAAATAAAAAAGTGTAGTTGTAAGACAGCTTACATCTAGATTTAGGAAAAGAAAGTTGCAATATTTATGTTGTTATGCTCAATTTACATGTCCAAACAGAATATTTAACATCTCAGCCTAGAGCATATGGATATATACACACGTAATGAAGAAATAGGGCGTGGTAGGTGCCTTAGCATTGGCATTACTAAAAGGTTTATCAATGTATTGCCTTCCAAACTTAAAGGACAGTCTGTACCCTAAAATGCAGAAGTTTTGCAACCTTCCAAACAACAGTTTTCTAACTGGAAAAAATTTAAGATCTCATCTCTACCAGGTGGCCCATTACATATAGAGGAGACAATGTAAACATCTTGGATTAAAAGGAATTTCTGTAGTAATCAATGTAATTCCTGGATTTTGCTTGCATGTACAGAAACAGTAATGATCAACTTGGCCAAGCTAGAGCCAAATATACTCTGAAAAAGCAGTCTAAGAGATCCTTGGTAGAAAAACTGTGTGATAATTGATTTCTGATGAAGACTTGGAGAAGATATAAAGAAGAGAAGAGATTATGGATTATTATATGTACATGCACACATATATAATAAATGACATTCGATTGGGGGGTAGAATCTGAAAGGAGGACAAGTACATAATAATATGATGGTATTAGCCTGGGTTCTTCAAACAAACACAGCCTGATGTAAAGGCTTGTGGTGATAATTATTTAGGGAATGATTCCAGTGAACAGGAGTTGGGATGGGGAGATCGAATGGGAAATGTGGGAAATTCAAAGATGTGTCATTGAGCTGGTCATTGCTGTGGGCAACTGGGACCCAGTCATGCTAGGAAAGGCTGTTAGAACTAGAAATACCATTTGACCCAGCCATCCGATTACTGGGTATATACCCAAAGGATTATAAATCATGCCATAAAGACACACACTCGTATGTTTATTGTGGCACTATTCACAATAGCAAACACTTGGAACCAACCCAAATGTCCATCAATGATAGACAAGATTAAGAAAATGTGGCAGATATACACCATGGAATACTATGCAGCCATTAAAAAGGATGAGTTCATGTCCTTTGTAGGGACATGGATGAAGCTGGAAACCATCATTCTGAGCAAACTATTGCAAGGACAGAAAACCAAACACTGCATGTTCTCACTCATAGGTGGGGATTGAACAATGAGAACACATGGACACAGGAAGGGGAACATCACACACCGGGGCCTGTCATGTGGTGGGGGGAGGGGGGAGGGATAGCATTAAGAGATATACCTAATGTAAATGACGAGTTAATGGGTGCAGCACACCAACATGGCACATGTATACATATGAAAAAACCTGCACGTTGTGCACATGTACCCTAGAACTTAAAGTATAATAATAATAAATAAATAAATAAAAAGATTATACTATCAAAGAAAGAAAGAAAGAAAGAAAGAAACTGTAGAACACACCTCAGAATTTACTGCCTCCAGTACAGGAGAACAGTGTGTTTACCTACCAGCTCCAGAGCCCATTGAACAAGTGTTGCTGAATGGGCTCCTAGGTTCCTCCCTTTCAGGTTTGCCCCCAGGTCAGATGCCTGTGAGCCATCTGGATGGAGAGAAGCCCCAGGGAAGAGAGTGAGAGATACCAGCTACTGTCAAGTTAAGCCTGCCTTCCCCTCAAACCCCGCTGTTTGTTTATCACGTCACTTTCAGCTAAGGTCTTTATCTGGAGCAGCTTCTCAGTTCAAGGGTCAATTGCTCGTAAAACTAGAGGCAGCCTGAAGAAAGCACAAATGATACGGAGAGCAAACGTGGCAGCCTTGGAGAGCAAACGTGGCAGCCTTGGAGAGCAAACGTGGCAGCCTTTGCTGATGGCGGCTGCCCCTGCTCCCCATTCTTTTCTGGCTGCTCTTCGTTTAGTGTGCTGTGTACCAGGCACTGCACTCAGCACCGCCTGAGGATTACCCATCGTGTGCAGTCCTCATGGGGTGGACACTCGTGCTGTGCCCATTTAAGGGCTGATCCATAGAAGCAGATGTTGGGGATCAGCTCTACTCTGCTGCCAGAAGCGTGGGAGGCTCAGGCATTCAATCAATGTGAAGATAGCAAGGGACTCTTTCCATGGGCTTGGGAAAGGCCTAGCTGAGGCCCCATCACTCTCCCCTGACTCTACTTCATTTTTCTTCTTAACATATTATTTATTGGTCTAATTGTTTATGTTGATCTCCTGCCAATGGAACATGAACTCCACTGAAGTCGGGACTTTATCTGTTTTGTTAGAACAATGCCTGGACCACAGCAGGGACTCAGTGAATATCTACCATTGAATGAAAGAAAAATAAATGAGTCTTTATGGCTATGAATGCAATGAAGTTTGTTCTGTTTAAGAATTTTTTGATAAAAAGAGGTGACAGACACTGGTACAGGGAAGTAATAAGTTGTGAAACCTCAGGGAAAGGGAAGAGATCTCAACTGGAAGCCTATAGGGTATGGGATCAGTGATGAGAAAATGCAAAGAAAAAGAAGATAAAGGGAAAAGATGGGAAAGGGATTCATTCCCAATGGCCCCTTTATGGAATATTTGTTGGGCATTTTATCTGTCACCATGCATAATAGAGGCACGGTGGTTGGCTTCAATGTGATAAGATGTGGAGGGAACAGCAAAGGGGGATTGGAAATTGTGGGGAATTTTAGGAGAAGAAAGAGTCCTGAAGAAGGCTCTCTGTAAGACACACAGAAGGCCCGGCCTTCTCTCTGGAGCACCATAAGAGTGACTTTGGGGAAAAGAATTACAAGAAGTTTCACACTACAGAGACCAGGAGGGAATTTGCCTTTGTGGTCAGGCTTCCAGAGTTGAAGAGGGCCCGGCTAATGTCTGCCACTGATGCAGCTCATCAAAACGCCACCGGAAATGGAGGGCGGCATTGATAAAGGGAAAGCGGAAGCAACGAGCCATCGTGTGAAAATTAGCTCCCACAGGGTGGATTTCTTGAAAGTGGCCAAAGTTATAAAACCCGAGAGACAAAACAAAACACAGCAAATTATGTAGTGCTTGGGGGCGGGGGCATGCGGGTGTTGCAATTGGGTGCTGTGTATACAGCCAATGGTAGAACTGTGACTATTTGTCGAATGAATCACTGTTTCCCTCATCGAAGATGGATTTGTCAGGCAGACTTTCAAAGAGTCTGAGGATCCCCAGGGTCCTAGAAGAATGTGCCCACTTTTCCTTCTTTGTCTCAAGGCCCCTCTCACGCTGTTGTCTACATGGGTGCATTTCCCTATCTGTGGGAGCAGGGTTGGCCTGGGTCTGGAGGCCTGAATGAGAAGCCACTCCTGACCCATACATCCTGACTCTTCCCTCTTCTTCCTGTGTGGAACTCAGGGGGACCAAATTCCAGGCTGGCATTTCTGGCTTTTCCTGAAACTCTCTGTCCTGTTCTAATAGATCACATTATGTTGTGTAAATGATATAAGTCAGGCCAGGAACGCGCAGCCCAAGGAAGAAGCATATTCAATGTTTTGATTTCTCTTTTTTCTTTTGGCAAAAACGTGTTGTTCCCATTCCTGCGAGGGCAGAAATAAAGTCCACTTGGTGTGGAGATGGGAGGGGGCCATTCTTGAACGAACAGGCCTGCTGCCTGTTGCAGAGACTGAGTGGTGACAGAGAAGCCACCGTGGGAAAGCAGTGTGGGTAGGTCTGGGGCTTGGATAAACTAGGTGCTTCAGCACCCCCCGCCAACGCTGGCTCCCACGACACTTTCAGGCAGGCCTGGGTTTGCTTAGTACAAAGTGGCTGGATTGCAGATTTGATAAGACCTCACTGGATTGCATGATGCATAGAACCCTCCCTACCTGAGTTAGAGGTGAGTCTAAATTGAGAGAATACTTTTTGCCTGGTAGAAAATGCATGTAGTATTGCACAGATGATGAAATCAGTGTCATTTGTGGACTCTTCATTATCCACAGGAAGAGACTTTGAGAAATTTCTCTGTTTCCTCTAGGCCCTACACGGAAGCAGCCACCAAATCACACATTTAAAACAATCCTTCCTGGTACTCCCTGGCCTTTCCATGCCTAGCCATCTCCAGGCGGGAGGTGGATCCCTGTCTGGGAGGCAGTGGGGAAGGGCATGTGTAGCTCTAGAGAAGGATGCTCTGGACATGCTTCTTGGCTCTGTCCTGTGCCTGGGGCAAGCTCACATTTCTGCTTCTCAAGTTATTTTTATAAAATGGGGATGATAATACTTTTTACTTTGCAGGACTATTGTGAGGATTAAATGGAATAACACTTATAAAAATGCAGGTGACTAAACAGTGTGGCCCCACTTTTTTTTTTTTATGTGGTGATTAGTAGAAAAAAAGCCTATAAAGATATGCACCAAAACGTTAATGATTTTTTAATATTAGGGCGGTGGGATTTATGGGCTTTTATAAAAAACTTTCCTTTTTTTAATATATTTTTTAATTTCCACAATGAACTTGTATCACTGTTGTAACTAAAAACTATAAATTTTAATTAATTAAAATTCCACCGAACCTTTAAGAACCAGCTGAAATAATATGTCTTTTATTGAAACTTTCCAATCTTCCCATTGGCAGGGATCCCTCTCTGAGCAAGTTACTGAATCACTCTGAGACCTAGCTTGCTCCCCTGTAAAGTGGGGGTTAATAAACTTTAAATGGAAAATAGATATACTATATTGCATATAAAAATATGTTTTGTATGTACACACACAATTTTCTCTCTTTCTATGTATATATATGTATATGTGTATATATATGTGTATATATATATTTTTTTTTTCAATGCCTGGGTTATAGAAAGTGCTTAGTTAGTGCACTTTTCTTTCCCTGAATACTGGAAACACTTTGTACCTTTCTTGTAACATTTATGGTCTTTTGCTTTGAATTCTGGTTATTTGGGAACTTCTTATATCTCCTACTAGATTCTTAGCCCTCTGAGGGCAACAGCTATGTCCTGCTCAGCTTCTGCCACAGAGGGTTTAGTGTCTCATATGTAGTAGGTGCTAAGTAAATACTTGTTGAGTGACTGAAGGTCTAGGTAAAGGCAGAGGCTCCAGAAGTCGGTGCTGTGGCTGGGCCATTGCCCTTGGGCATCGTGTATGCCTGTCGGACACTGGGCCTGCCTGTGCTGTTGCACCACACATGCTTTTGCTTGGGAGGTGCATCTGACAGCAGGAACCCAGGGTCCTTGTGAGGGGAGCAGGGGACCAGGTGAGCAAGCTTGGCTGCTGACCGTGCCCTTCCTCCGGGAGGAGCTTGGGTCTTAGGACTGGATAGAGTTTCAAACCCAGACAACCCCGCAGGCCAGTCCCTCCAAACCCAAGACCTGACTCTGAGTATAAGGAGAGGGAAGAGGGGACTGTGAGTCAAAGAGAAAATGAAGGAAATGAAATGGAAAAAGCGGTTTGCAGAAAAGTCTCCAGGGACCTGGGGAGAAGCACACTATCCAGCTTTGGTAGCAGGTGAGGCAAGGGATTCTCTGACACTTGGTGTCCAGCGTTACTGACATCGCTCTAGATGGGTGATGTTGGCCCAGCAGGACTGCAGCAGACAACCATGGGCAAACCAAGCCACCTTCACAGAGTTTGAGGAAGCAGGTGGCAGGTGCCTCATGGTAGCCGAGAGGGCTGGGAATATGGGAAAGTCAGAGCATTGCCTATGAACCCCACTAGTTATGACTAATGGTGGGTTTCATACGCGTCTGTGTGAAGAGACCACCAAACAGGCTTTGTGTGAGCAATAAAGCTGTTTATTTCACCTGGGTGCAGGTGGGCTGAGTCCGAAAAGAGAGTCAGCGAAGGGAGATAGGGGTGGGGCAGTTTTATAGGATTTGGGAAGGTAATGGAAAATTACAGTCAAAGGGGGTTGTTCTCTGGTGGGCAGGGGTGGATCTCACAAAGTACATTCTCAAGAGTGGGGAGAATTACAAAGAACCTTCTTAAGGGTGGGAGAGATTACAAAGTACATTGATCAGTTAGGGTGGGGGAGGAACAAATCACAATGGTGGAATGTCATCAGTTAAGGCTGTTTTTACTTCTTTTGTGGATCTTCAGTTACTTCCGGCCATCTGGATGCATACGTGCAAGTCACAGGGGATGCGATGGCCTGGCCTGGGCTCAGAGGCCTGACATTCCTGCCTTCTTATATTAATAAGACAAATAAAACAAAATAGTGTTGAAGTGTTGGGGCGGCGGAAATTTTTGGGGGTGGTATGGAGAGAGAATGGGTGATGTTTCTCAGGGCTGCTTCAAGTGGGATTAGGGGTGGCGTGGGAACCTAGAGTGGGAGAGATTAAGCTGAAGGGAGGTCTTGTGGTAAGGGGTGAGATTGTGGGGATGTTAGAAGAAACATTTGTCATATAGAATGATTGGTGATGGCCTGGATACCGTTTTGGATGAATTGAGAAACTAAATGGAATAACAGAAGGAGAAAAACAGGTATAAAAGGTCTAAGAATTGGGACGACTCAGGATATCTGATTAGAGAGTGCCTAAGGAGATTCAGCATAGTCCTGCCAGCAGAGATTATTTATTTACTTCAAGAGTTTAGAGTGGCGGTTTGGGGATTGCACCAGGAGATATCAGCTGTGATGGCTTGGAGAAACAGTGTAAACCGGCAGTGTAAACAAGAGCAGGGCATGTATGAGTAGTTGAGAACGGTGAATAGGAGTATGACTAGACAAAAGATAGTAGGGATGACAAGTTTTTTTGGGGCACAGTCTAAGTTGGTCTGGTGTCAAATGAGACTGGGGCCTAATAAAAAGGAGCGTCTATACAGGAGCTTAAATGGGCTGTACCTTGTAGAAGTGAAAGTGGTAAAAGTATTATCCAGTCCTTTTTAAGTTGGTGGCTGAGCTTGGTGAGCTGTGTTTTTAAAAGACCTTTAGTCCATTCTACTTTTCTTGAAGACGGAGGACCGTAAGGGATATAAAGGTTTCACTGAAACCTACTAAGAGCCTGAGAAACTGCTTGGCTGATTTGACTAATAAAGGCTCGTCTGTTATCAGACTGTATAGAGGTGGGAAGGGTAAACTGAGGAATTATGTCTGACAGAAGGAAAGAAATGACTGCGGTGGCCTTCTCAGACCCTGTAGGAAAGGCCTTTACTTATTCAGTGAAAATGTCTATTTGGACTAAGAGGTATTTTCGTTTCCTGACTCGGGCATGTTGAGTAAAGCTAATTTGCCAGTCCTGGGTGGGGGCAAATCCTCAAGCTTGATGTGTAGGGAAGGGAGGGGGCCTGAATAATCCCTGAGGAGTAGTAGAATAGCAGATGGAACACTGAGAAGTTATTTCCTTGAGGACAGATTTCCACGATGGAAAGGAAATGAGAGGTTCTGAGAGGCGGGCTAGTGGCTTGTACTATAGCATAGCCTGCCTTTGCTGGTGTGTGGCGATTAGGCCTGGTGGAACCACCATCAATAAATCAAGTGTGATCAGGGTGAGGAACAGGAAAGAAGGAAATTTGGGGAAATGGGGTGAATATCAGATGGATCAGAGAGATACAGTCATGGGGGTCAGGTGTGGTATCAGGAATAATGTGGGAGGCCAGATTGAAGTCCGGGCCAGGAACAATGGTAATTGTGGGACTTAAAGAGTGAGTACAGCTGAAGGAGCCATGGAGCAGAAAGTATATGTGTCAGGTATACTGACAGAAAATAGATTTTGGAAGTTATGAGAAATGTAGAGAGTGAGTTGAGCATAGTTTGTGATTTTTAGGGCCTCTAAAAGTATTAAAGCAGCGGCAGCCGCTGCACGCAGACATGAGGGCTAGGCTAAAACAGTAAGGTCAAGTTGTTTGGACAGAAAGGCTACAGGGTGTGGTCCCAGCACTTGTGTAAGAATTCTGACCACACTAACCATGCCTAGGAAGGAAAGGAGTTGTTGTTTTGTAAGGGATTGAGGTTTGGGAGATTAATCGGACACGATCAGCAGGGAAAGCAAGTGTGTTTTTATGAGCATTATGCCGAGATAGGTAACAGATGAGGATGAAATTTGGGCTTGACTGAAGTAATGGGGGCTGTCTGTGAAGCCTTGCGGCAGTACAGCCCAGGTAATTTGCTGAGCCTAATGGGTGTCAGGGTCAGTCTAAGTGAAGGGAAAGAGAGGCTGGGATGAAGGGTGCAAAGCAATAGTAAAGAAAGCATATTTGAGATCCAGAACAGAATAATGGGTTGTAGGAGGAGGTATTGAGGGTTGGAGAGTATATGGGTTTGGCACCACGGGGTGGATAGGCAAAACAATTTGGTTGATAAGGCGCAGATCCTGAACTAACCTGTAAGCCTTGTCTGGTTTTAGGACAGGTAAAATGGGGGAACGGTAAGGAGAGTTTATAGGTTTTAGAAGCCCGTGCTGTAGCAGGCGAGTGATAACAGGCTTTAATCCTTTTAAAGCGTGCTGTGGGATAGGATATTGGCGTTGAGTGGGGTAAGGGTGATTAGGTTTTAATGAGATGGTAAGGGGTGCGTGATCAGTCGCCAAGGAGGGAGTAGAGATCTCTTATACTTGTGGGTTAAGTTGGGGGAATACAAGAGGAGGACACATAGGAGGCTTTGGATTGGGAAGAAGGGCAGCAATGAGATGTAGCTGTAGTCCAGGAATAGTCAGGGAAGCAGATAATTTGGTTAAAATATCTCGGCCTAATAAGGGAACTGGGCAGGTGGGGATAACTAAAAAAGAGTGCATAAAAGAGTATTGTCTATGTTGGCACCAGAGTTGGGGAGTTTTAAGAGGTTTAGAAGCCTGGCCGTCAATACCCACAACAGTTATGGAGGCAAGGGAAACAGGCCCTTGAAAAGAAGGTAATGTGGAGTGGGTAGCCTCCGTATTGATTAAGAAGGGGACGGACTTCCCTCCACTGTGAGAGTTACTCGAAGCTCGGCGTCCGTGATGGTCTAGGGGGCTTCCGAGGCGATCGGGCAGTGTCAGTCTTCAGCCGCTAAGCCGAGAAGATCTGGGAAGGAGTCAGTCAGAGAACCTTGGGCCAGAGTTCCAGGGGCTCTGGGAGTGGCTTCCAGGTGAGTTGAACAGTCTGATTTTCAGTGGGGTCCCGCACAGATGGGATGCGGCTTAGGAGGAATCCCAGGCTGCGGGCATTCCTTGGCCCAGTGGCCAGATTTCCGCACATGTAGCAAGCTCCTGGGGGAGGAGGTTCTGGAGGAACGCCTGGCCGCTGCGGTTCAGGCGTTTGGAAGTTCTTGTGTGCTGGAGATGTGGCTGGGGTTTGTCTCACAGTGGAGGCAAGGAATTGCAGCTTTTTTCTGTTATTGTACACCTTGAAGGCGAGGTTAATTAAATCCTGTTGTGGGGTTTGAGGGCTGGAATTTAATTTTTGGAGTTTTATTTAATGTCGGGAGCAGATTGGGTAATAAAGTGTATATTGAGAATAAGACGGCCTCTTGACCTTTTAGGGTCTAGGGCTGTAAAGCGTCTCAGGGTTGCTGCCAAACTAGCCATGAACTGGGCTGGGTTTTTATATTTGATGAAAAAGAGCCTAAACGCTATCTGATTTGGGATAAAGAAAAAGGAGCATTCACCTTGACTATGCCTTTAGCTCCAGCCACCGTTTTAAGAGTAAATTGCTGGGCAGGTGGGGGAGGGCTAGTCACGGAATGAAACTGTAAGCGGGACCGAGTGTGAGGAGGGGAGGCGATAAAAGGATTATGGGGTGGAGGAGCCGAGGCTGAGGAAGAATTGGGACCTGGCTCGGCCTGGCGAGGAGGGAAGAGGTCAGATGGGTCTGTAGAAAAGGAAGATTAGAAAGACTCAGCAACACTTGGGGTTGGGACTGAGGGGACAGGCAGGAGGGAAAGAAGGAAGATTTGGGACGAGTTGCACTGGGCACAGAGACTAGGAAGGGACTGATGTGTAAAAGAATGCCTGGACGTCAGGCACCTCAGACCGTTTGCCTATTTTACGACAAGAATTATTTAGATCTTGCAGGATGGAAAAATTGAAAGTGCCATTTTCTGGCTATTTGGAACTACTGTCAAGTTTGTATTGGGGTCAAGTGGCATTGCAGAAGAAAATAAGGCATTTAGGTTTTAGGTCAGGTGTGAGTTGAGAGGTTTTAAGTTTTTGAGAACAGAGGCTAAGGGAGAAGAAGGAGGAATGGAGGGTGGAAGCTTGCCCATAGTGAAGGAGGCAAGCCCAGAGAAAAGAGTAGAGACACGGAGTAGGGGTGGGGGGTTCTTTCCCTCCAGAAAAGCAGAGAAGGGGTTGGGGCACGGAAATAAGGGATTGGGGCGCAGAGATAAGAGGTTGGGGTGTGGAAATAAGTGATTGGGGGGTTCTTGCCCCCTAGGAAAGCGGGACTTGCCGCTGAGGGTGAAGGAGAAGGGGTTGAGGGGTACTTGCCCCTGCCCCAGGAAAGCGGGACTTGCCACTAAGGATGAAGGACCGAGGCAGGCATCCCTGCATGGTCTGACACCCTTGAAACGTGAGTGTATAATCAGAGAGGCGTCCCTACAATGATTAAACACCAAGGGAAGGCTGCCTTCCCAGTCCGTGACCGGCGCCGGAGTTTTGGGTTCACGGATAAAACATGTCTCTTTTGTCTCTACGAGAAAATGAAAGGAATTGAAATTAAGAGAAGGGAGAGATTGAAGTGTGGCACCAAGATTGAAAGGAGAAAGAGGTTGAGGGATAGCGAGGGAGGTTGGAGAAGAGAGTAAAAAGAGGCCGCTTACCGGATTTGAAATTGGTGAGATGTTTCTTGGGCTGGTCAGTCTGAGGACCTGAGGTCATAGGTGGATCTTTCTCACGGAGCAAAGAGCAGGAGGACAGGGGATTGATCTCCCAAGGGAGGTCCCCCGATCCGAGTCACGGCACCAAATTTCATGCGCGTCCGTGTGACGAGACCACCAAACAGGCTTTGTGTGAGCAATAAAGCTTTTATTTCACCTGGGTGCAGGTGGGCTGAGTCCGAAAAGAGAGTCAGCAAAGGGAGATAAGGGTGGGGCCGTTTTATAGGATTCGGGACCAAATTTCATATGCGTCCGTGTGAAGAGACCACCAAACAGGCTTTGTGTGACCAATAAAGCTGTTTATTTCACCTGGGTGCAGGTGGGCTGAGTCCGAAAAGAGAGTCAGCGAAGGGAGATAGGGGTGGGGCCGTTTTATAGGATTTGGGAAGGTAATGGAAAATTACAGTCAAAGGGGGTTGTTCTCTGGTGGGCAGGGGTGGATCTCACAAAGTACATCCTCAAGAGTGGGGAGAATTACAAAGAACCTTCTTAAGGGTGGGAGAGATTACAAAGTACATTGATCAGTTAGGGTGGGGCAGGAACAAATCACAATGGTGGAATGTCATCAGTTAAGGCTGTTTTTACTTCTTTTGTGGATCTTCAGTTACTTCAGGCCATCTGGATGTATACGTGCAAGTCACAGGGGATGCGATGGCCTGGCCTGGGCTCAGAGGCCTGACAGTGGGGGACTGTTAATGGAAACTGGCAATCTTGAAGGGTTGAATAGAAGCGGGCAGAGCCTGAGGAACGCTGACTATCTGGCCCTCGGGCACTCTTTTCCCTTGGCTACAGCAGACAGAAATACACACACACGCACACACGCACGTGTGTGCGTGTGTGTGTGTGTGTGTATGCAATCATATATATATGATGTGTTGGATCACGACTTATTGAGAGAACAGATCTATCAACTGAAAAACAAGAAGAAATCACATTAAATCTATATGCTACAT
This sequence comes from Homo sapiens, assembly GCF_000001405.40. Lineage (NCBI taxonomy): Eukaryota > Metazoa > Chordata > Mammalia > Primates > Hominidae > Homo > Homo sapiens. Next base: position 130,570,394 of record NC_000011.10, read on the forward strand.
GATCTTAAAGGGAAACAGAGTGGAACCAAAGCACATAAGGTACACTTTATACCATATATCTCATTTTATATCTTTTATATAAAACATTTATATCTTATATACATTACATATCTTAGATCATACCAATCAACCTCAAAATTGGGTGTAATTCTGACAGAAATAGAAAGTATGTTCATCGACCATTTCTCTTTTCGTGATTTCCAGTACAGATTGCGGACATAAAATTTTTCAAGACTATTACTGGAAATACATTTAAGGTGATATCTTAGTTGTTACTCTGTGTTCACTTCCACGTTTGTGTCCCCTGACCCACCCCATCCCACCAATAGATAATTCAGATGACAACTGGCTTGGTGGCATAGAGGGGGGCTGGTGAGGGAAAACGTAATGGAAGTGTGGTTGTGTTTGGGCATGGAGATGTGCTGCAGTGAGGGAGGACTCAGGCCCTCGGTGCTGGGAGTCTTATAGACACTGACAGCCATTAGCAGTCAGCCTCTGAGAGAGCTGCCTTGCCCAGCTCTCCAGGGTCACCATTCTGAGGGCGGACTACAGCCAGTGACTGCTTGAGGTGGAAGTACGAAAGCCAAGCTATTTGGCCAATGCAGCCCAATCTGAGGAGCCATTTGCTTTGGAGGAGCTCCCTGTGGAGTCGGTGAGGCTGCATCACCTGCATTGAGTCCAGCTTCTTCCTCTTCCTTCCAAAGGTGTGGGTCTCAGAGGTGTTCCCTGTTTAAAATCCGAACCTTAAACTCTTAGGCTCTGCTTCTTGGAGAACTCCAACTGCCACAGCTGGATCTAGCTATGTTTTCTTTTGGAGCAGAGGTCTGTAAACTGTTCTGCAAAGGGCCACAGGGTAAATATTTTAGGCCTTGCAGTCCTACTCTGTCTTTGTAGCATGAAAGCAACCATAGACAATGTGTAAATGAATGAGCACAGTGTTCCAATAAAACTTTATTTACAAAAATAATTGGTGGGCTGGATTTGACCTGTGGGTGGAGTTTGCCAGAGAGTTACTGGTTACTAAGAATTACTGATTAATTTCAGAGAACGGCAGAATTCTGAACAATTCCTGATTAATTTCTTCATGCTCAATTTTGCATAAATTACAGAGCAGCTCATTATTATGCACGATGAGTGCTGAATGCTGGATAAAGCCAGTAAGACACACTCTTAACAGAGCTAACAGCCCACAAATACAGTTTCAGCATAAGACAAATGTATGATCTAATACTGGAAGACACTTTTAGAAGTTGTCTTCTGCCCTGGGCAGAGTTACTTCCCTTTGGCCACATTGGCATGCACTTCCTAGGACCCATGGAGATGGAGAAAGAGGGCTCCCAAGGGGGAGAATGAAGGCTGGAAATGGACATTATTGAGCAACACTGAGGGCCCAGGGCTCTGCCAGGACCTTTGCATATGCTATGCACTTAATTCTCACAACACTGTGGGTATTCTCATCCCCATTTTGCAGATAGGGAGAGTCTCATCTCAGAGAAGGTAAGGGCCATGTCTTTCTTGGTTTGCAAAGCACATACACCGTGGCATTGATTTCAAACCCAGATGTGTCTGACTCTAAAGCCCGGGCCTTTTCACGAATGCAGGCTGACCTGTCAGGCTCTGGGCTTCGAATTGCATGTAGTTCTTTAAACTCTGGTTGTTTCTGCCTGAGAGGGCTTGGCAAAGGAGTTGGACCCTGGACCAGTTCCTGTGGCTATGTTCCTGGGGGTCACTGGAGGCTTAGTTTCCACATTTTTGCCATCGGCCAGCTCTGGGCTGTGGCATCTGATGAGCTGAGTGTTTTTGGTCTGCGTGCCTGGCCTCATGGTGCTGGCTGTGGTGAATTTAACTTTTCAGCTCTTGCACTGGACTGGGAATGAGCAGGTGAAAACTCATTCCCAGTCCAGTGCAAAAGCTGGAAAGGTGTGGTGGGGGCTCAGCACCAAGCGCCGTCACCTTCCTTCTGTCAGGCAGCTGTCATCGCCCCCACAGGCCTTTTCTTCACAGCCTGTTGTCAGGAGGCTGGCCAACTCCTTGGGAAGGTGAAAGAGGAAACTGGGAGGCTGAGAGCTGGAGGGAATGGTGCCATCCCTATTCTCTCTTTTCTGGGATCTGATGGACATGGCACCGCTCTGACACCTGGAGACCTGGCTGTAGCCCAGGCTCAGTGCACATCCGTGTGGCCCTGGGTGAGTCCTGTAATATCTTGGAATTGCTCATCTTACCCGTGTGAGAAGGATAAACGTTGTTGCTTGCTGCCTACTGCACAGTGCAGTTGTTAAGGATCGACTTGAGCGCCGCGTGAAAGAAAGCCCTGGGAAGAAGCAGGACACAGTCCAGTGTCTTCACATCAGTGTAGATGGATGGAAAGCAGAGTTCTGGGCCACTCCAGACTTCCTCATTCAGGAGATCCAGGGTAGGGCCTGGGAATTTGCATTTCCTCGTGCTTCAAGGCTCCTTTTCAAATTTCTTTTCCATAAAGCCTTCTTTTTCATTAAAAATTTAAAAGTTAAGAAAACTTAGCTTTATTGAGGTATAATTGATACACACAAAAAAATCACACTCATTCAACGTATTTATCTTGATGATTTTGGACCTATGCATACAGTCATGATACCATCACAACCAAGGTAATAAACACATCTCCAAACGTTTTCTTTTTGGTAAGAATACTTAACATGAGGTGCATCCTCTTCAGCTACTTTAAAATGCACGGTATTTTATTATTAACTATAGGCACTGTGTTGTACAGCAGAGCTCTAGAATTTTTTTTTTTTGAGACAGTCTTGCTCTGTTGCCTAGGCTGGAGTGCAATGGTGCGATCTCGGTTCACTGCATCCTCCGCTTCCCAGGTTCAAGCAATTCTCCTGCCTCAGCCTCCAAAGGAGCTGGGATTATAGGCACCTGCTACCACTCTCAGCTAATTTTTTGTATTTTTGGTAGAGGTGGGGTTTCACCATGTTAGTCAGGCTGGTCTCAAACTTCTGACCTCAGGTGATCCACCGGCCATGGCCTCCCAAAGTGCTGGGATTACAGGCATGAGCCACCATGCCCAGCCTCTAGAACTTTTTAATATTGTAAAATGGGACTTTATACCAAATGAGCATCAATTATGCATTTCCCCCTTCCCCAGCTCTTGGCAGCCACCAATCTATTCTCTGTTTTTATGAGTTTGACTATCATAGATGCCTTATGTAAGTGGAATCATGCAGTACTGTGTTTGTCCTTTCGTGACTGGCTTATTTCACTTAGCATAATGTCCTCTAGGTTCATCCCTATTGTTGCAGATGGCAGGGTTTCCTTCCTTTTAAAGACTGAGTAATATTCCATTGTATGTATACACCACATTTTCTTATAAAGACTTCTTCAAGCACTATAGTTCTAGCTGCTCTCTCTCCCCTGAACTGGGATCCCCAACTGGAATGTCCCCTCAGTTGTATTTTTGTGTAATGGCATTTATGAAGAACACAGCGGTGGCAGCCTGGGGTGCTCTGTGAGGCAGGATGCTGGAGCCATATCCTGGCCCAGGGCAGAGCACTAGCACTTATTCATGTACCTGTGGACAGGGAGGTGGTGGCATGCATAGCAGATATTCGCCATCCCTGACTCAGAGACTTCACATGCTCTACTGTATTTCCCATGTGCTGGGCTTGTCTTTCCAATAAAACTATACACTTCTTAATGACAAGGACAATGTCTTTTACTGCTGTATTTTCTAATAAAACTTGGCCTTGAGCAAATCACTCTGAGTTCTGAAGTGTCCTCTTCAATTTCAGTTCTTAGGACTAGCACAGTGGTGCCAGGGTATAGCATGGCCGCAAATATTCTTTGTTCAATCAAATAATAATAATTTTCAATTATTTCTTCAAGTTTTGTGTTGGTCATAAAGTAATGACCATAAATACGATGCACTTTTAAGTACATTTAATCTGCATATTAACACTTTCCTCATTAGTTTCTTAAGTCCAGGCAATCAACAAACCAACACACCAGGCCTTGATTTGCAGCATCTGCTGATTTCTGTGGTGTAAATACCCCCACCCTGGCCAATTTCAAGCCAATGATGTGATGCCACTGAATACAGAGTTAGGAAGAGAGGTACAGTAGCTCACCATTATACAGTGTTTCCACCAGGCAGATACACTAGACGTAAATAACCTCAAAGCACAAATCATTGAAAAATACTTGATGAGTTTTGGGTACTTATTATGTTTGTTTTTAATATAATTCATTTGATTGTAAGTTTACATAATTTGATTATTAATAATGGCTGTTTATAGCACCTGGCTTGGGTAATTCCTGAACCTTTAACAATTGGTATGATTTGCAGAAACTAGGACTTTTTTGGTTGCAGGTAATACAAGCTTAGCCTAAACTGGTCTAAGCCAAGAGGGATTATTTTATGTTACAAAGTTTAATGCATATAGAAGGGTAGGAGAGGTCTGGCTTCATGTCATGTGTCATTAGGACCTATTCTCTCTCTCTCGGGTTTTCTGTCCTCTGCATGGTGTCAGATGCCTGCCCCAGCTTAGGACTTCTTGTCCTCCCAGGCTTCAGTCTGGCAGAGAAGGAGCAGGTGCTTGGTCTCATTGCCTGTCATCATGTTCATATTTGTCCCTGAACTAGGTGCCTTGGCCAGGAAAGTGCAAGGCTCTCCTTGGCAAGACTCACTCTGACAGCTAGGGTAGACTCAGTTTCACCCCATGCACCTGGTCTGAGAGTGGAGAGGGGCTGATTACTAGAACGGTGAATGGATATGGACAGCAAAGCAAATGTCTATTGTAAGATCTCTCTCTCTGGACAGGGGAATAGCTTTCTGGCTTAGACGGTTTTGGTATCAGGGAAGCCTTTACGGGAATATGGCTGGATCATTCATTTTGTGCAACAAGGGAAAGAGAGATGAAGGAAGGATGAAAGATTAGAGGTAGCCACAGTCCGAGTACCTCTGTGATCCGGGGTCTTGCCCCGCTCCAAGGAGAATGGCAAGACACTTCAGGCACAAAGCACTGCTGGGAATTTTGAGTCTCAGGGTTCAAAATGTGGCTTCTTGGGTAAGCAGCTTGTGCCCAGGAATGGGAGCTCTAAGAAAGGAATATCTTTGCTGGAGAGGACCTTACTAAAACCAAGAGCGTCTTGCTGAGGTTTGGTGTGAGTTTTGGACTTGCCAGTCATCACTTCACCACTAAAGATCTGCCATCTTTAGGTCAAAAGAAAGCTCTTAAACTTGGTAGGTGAAGAATTCTGCAGGTGTCTAGAGAAGTGAAGTGTGAACTGGAGGGTCACAGGCCAATGTCTCCACTAGGAAATTGTGAAAGAAGAGAAAAGAGCTGGGGTTAGCAGTGGGCAAATATTGCCACAGCATTTTATATAAACTTCTGAGGAGGTGAAGGAGAGAGAAGCGTTGAATGCAACCAGATGGTGGTTTATCTGTTCCAGACCAATGACTGGGTCCTCAGGGTCAGGCAGGGCCATGGGTGAAGGAGAGAATGCCAGGCGTCCTGTCCAGCAGCAATTTCAGGATTCTCCCTGTCCTCAGAGGTTGAGAAGATGTTGACCTTGTGTCAATCCTTGTGCAGCAGAGTAGGGTCAAGAAGAACCCTCCATAGGAACGTTGGCTATGTGACATGGAGAGAATCTCCTGTACATGCTGGGCCCTGTGCCAGCTGTTTTCACACACATCCCCTCAATTACTCTTCAGAGCAGTCAATCATCCTCTGTTTGCAGAAGAGGAAACCGAGGCTCGGAGCCCATGGATCCATAGCTGGTGAGTGCCAGAACTAGACCACAGCCCAGATCTTTCTGATGTCAGTGTCATGTCAATTTCTACCACCACTACTGGCGCTGCAGGTGCAGTCGCCATTGGTTGGGCACTAATCCTGCGTGCAGCCATCAGCAGCTATTCTTGGGTGGGGCTGTGTCTTGTTCACAGTCACATTCCCCAGGGACTACTGGCAAAAGTTGAAAAAATACGTGATTACGTATACTTTTCTCAGTAACTCTCAGAGTAGGCATTTAAAAAATGCCTACTTAGAGACTAGGAAACTGATCCTCAGGGGATTTAGATAACTTTTCTTACCGCTCACAGATTGTAATTCAAATCCAGGTCTGTGTGAATTCAAAGCTGGTGATCTTTTCATTACCTGGTGTATCGTCCTCCTTGACTTGCCCTGGTGCTACTCAGTTTGTCTCCCCCATGGGTAGAGAGTGAGACAGGTGTGGATGGGGAGGGAGTGGTGGTGGGATTTGCATCAGTCTGGGTTTAGAGATAAGCCAAGAGGTAGACCAGCACGCTGGATTCAGGCCCACTCCTGTGTGGTTGGAGTAGTCCGCTTTATTTTTGATATTTTTTTCTTAAGATTTCATTTTTTTTCCAAATACAGTTTTTTTGGTTGGTTGTTTTGTTTTGTTTTTTGCCCTCAGGAAGAGACTTTATGTATAGAAAATATTATACAGAGTTTCTTTGGTTTTGGAAAATTAAATGTATTAAAGTTATACTTTAAAATTCTTATTATTCCAAGTTTAGCAAATGTTGGCAATTACTTTTAAAGGGACCCTTGATTACTAAGTGGGCCTTTTATAGCCATTTAAATGCCTCTAAGCCTTTTAAACTGCATTTATAAATTGAATATTTTAATCTCATTTTGAAGTCTTTCAATATCTTAACAAAATAAACCTTCCCAACTTCTTAAGTAACTTAGAAATGCAATAAAATAAACTTACATATGTGATGATTAAGTACTCTTAACTGTTCCAGTACAGTGTATAAACTTAGTAAGATTACACTTAAATATACAGTAAGTCACACATTTCAAATAGAAATGTTCAATGCAGGTATATTTTTTAATACTCAAAATTCTCTTGAATATTACAAATACTGATACTTCCAAGTATATACGGGTTCCTTCTTAATGCATAAATATTAATGCTCTAAGTTTGGTTCTCTTAAACATTTCTATTCTTAATTCTTGTTTTTTTTTTTTTCTTTTTGAGACTGAGTTTCGCTCTTGTTGCTTGGGCTGGAGTGCAGTGGTGCGATCTTGGCTCACTGCATCCTCTGCCTCCCAGGTTCAAGTGATTCTCCTGCCTCAGCCTCCCGAGAAGCTGGGATTACAGACCCCCACCACCATGCCCAGCTAATTATTGTATTTTTAGTAGAGACGGGGTTCCACCATGTTGGCCAGACTGGTCTTGAACTCTTGACCTCAGGTGATCCACCCACCTCGACCTCCCAAAGTGCTGGGATTACAGGCATAAGCCACCATGCCCAGCCTCTATTCTTAGTTCTAAATCTTTCCAGAGTTAAAAATGCTTACCCACTCAGGACATAATGATGCTATCTCAAGCAATTTGAGAGAATTCAGAGATTTTAGCTGGGATTTTAGCCTGGATTCTTGTCAGCCCTATTTGTAGCCTACACATCACGAGTGGTCAGCTGTACCGAAAGGCTGTGCACCCTGGCGTGGGTGCAGGGCTGTTTACCTCTGGTATGTCTGCTGGGACCTGTGCCATACAGGGTGTTAAGAATTTAGGGCATCCTTTTCTGCTTACTTCCATTTTATATCACCAGGCCCCATCCTGGGCTAGTCAAGGAAATTCTGCCTTCAACCCAGGCTGCTACATGATTTGACTTTGCTTTCCTTTGTCTACAATGTATTAATTTCTTTCCCATCTAGCTGCAGTGACCTTTGACATTGATGGAATTCTATCTTCTTTCCATATTCTCCCTGACCAGTAGGACCACACAGCTCATGCCGTTATGAAAATGATATCCAATTGCATCCTGCAAATCCCACAGCTTCTGAGTGAAAACTCCTGACTATTTTACAAAGGCTTCTTTTGTTTAAAAAGATGTTTTTAAACATAACACTGACTGGTGGAATCTTCAAGGCTTAGAAGAATGAACAAATATTTGGGGGGCACCTGCTATGAGCCAAGTACTTTTTATGTCCTCCAACACCCCTTCAAAGTGCTTATTTTTATCCCCATATTCAAATGAGGAAGCAGAGGCCACATGGCAAATATATGGAGGAGCTGGGACGAGATGTTTAAGATTGTTTGCAAAATGCAGCATCCTTCCACCATCCCAGTTCCCATGGCTTTCAAGAGTTTATTTCCAGGGTCTCTGAACAATGAAGCAGCCTCCTCACATCTTCGCTCTGACTACCAAAACTTTTAATAGAAACCTGGTAATTCCCAGCAACCACGGGCTCAAAGGCAATAATCTGTTCACTAGGCCCCTTCCCCTAATATTTCTTAAGCCACCAAAAAATCTGGTGAAGATCTCCAAAGATTTTCATGATAGAAACATGTCCTGGGCAAGCCTAAGAGTTACAGCTACAGCCTTGGGTCCAGGTGCCAAGGTCAGCCTTGCAAAGTTCTAGTCCTGGCTTCAGCTGAGATCTTTGGGCCTCCTTCCCTCTCCGAGAGGCCCTCCAACAGTTGGAGACACGAGGACTTCCGCCTCCCACTCTCCTCTGCCTTCTCTTCTGTTTGCCCAGTGAGATCTGCTTCCACTGCCAAGTCCCCATGTGGCTTGTGGCTCACACTTTCCTAGGAAGGGAATGGGAACCGAGGCCTCAAGCTCTGACGGCTGGGCCAGGTGGCTGAGTCTCCTTTGCCATGTTCAGGCAGCTGGCTGGCTTCTTTTCATGCACACTCAGTGGTCACCTGAGAAGGAAGTAGAAGTGTATTTGATGTCTTCATAGAAATTCATTGTCCCCTGTGCTGGGGTGTGGGGGTGGGTCATGCTGGTCATGCTGGCAGAGGGTGGAAGTGTTCCAGCAGAGCTCCAAGCAGATGGCAGCATTGAGGGGACACCTGATGTGGCTCAATGCCAGCCTGCAGGGCACTGGAGCCACAGCAAAATGATCCCGGCACCGGGGATGGGTCCTTGATTCCTGTCTTGGTTCTGTCATTGCCTGGCTGCGTGATTTTAAGCTAAGATATTGTCTTAGTCCATTCAGGCTGCTATAACAAAATGCCTTAGACTGGATGACTTATGAACAAAGACATTTATTTCTTACAGTTCTAGAGGGTGGGAAGTCCAAGCTCAGGTGCCAGCGGGTTGGGTGTGTGGTGGAGATTTGCTTTCTGCTTCACAGTCAGTGCCTTCTCTCTGGCTCCCTGGCTCATATATGGAGCCCTCTAGCTATGTCCTCAGATGATGGAAGCAGCACTTTGGGGTCTCTTTTATAAAGCACTAATCCCATTAATGAGGGCATCACCCTCAAAACCTAATCACCTCCCAAAGGCTCTACATTCTAATACTATCCCATTGGGGATTAAGTTTCAACATATAAATTTTGGGGGGTACAAAAACATTCAGACCATAACAACTATGAATTAAGGTCTTTTCCTCTCACTGCTCAACAGTTTTCTTTAAAAAAGGTCTTTAAAATGCCCTTCTAGACTTACTTACACATAAGTTTTTAAAAAATTGTACATGCCTAAGAAAGGAAACTTTGAGTAAAATAGATTGAATAAAGTATTCCTAAAACTTTCTCACATTTGGAGTCCCACTTTTCTGAATTACTTTTTGGCTTAGTCATTAAAAACCATATTTTCTCTACAATGTCATCCTGGGTGCTAGGTAAGTCTGTGATGACATGTTGATGGGGGTCACAGGAAGGGAGGGACCCAGAAATGCCCAAGGCCTGCCTCACTAATCACATTCCCACCAAGCCTTCTAAGATTCCCGAGGCAGGACCCACTTAAGGAGCAGTAGTTGGATAGGAGTAGAAGCATCACTTGCCTGTCAGCACTGATAACTCTGATCAAAATACTTAGAGGCCTTGTCTTGGGAGGCCAAAATGAAGATTTCTACTTGGGCTTTAAATCTCAATTCAGGACTACCCTGTTCCCACAGGGTGTCGGGTATTAATGTGGGAACCTGGGGTATCTAAAAGGTAGCACTGTCTGTCCTATGCCATGAGATGTTGCCCTACCAGAGCATGAAATCTTGGTTTTCTGGTTTCTTCATCAAAGGGTTAGCTCAGAGCACCATAGATAGCCACAGGCTATGGGACCAGATCCATTCTCTGGACTGGCATGGGTGCCGATTGCTGAGCCAGGGACAACAGCTTGAGTCTCAATTAGGGGGCTGGGTCAGACAGCCAAAAGGAGATGCCTGAAAGGGAGTCAGTGATTCAGTCGAGTTCCATTGTTTTCTGGAAGAGGAAGGCTGAGCAGCATTAATGGCCACATTCATTCTGCAGACAAAAGAACATTTGGTGAGATGATTCACCCCCTTCCCAGCCACGCCTCCCTTTATCACTTCACAGGATGCTGTACAGACAGAAGGTATTTAAACCTGCTGGCTTGGGCCCAGTTTCCCATCCCACTCTAGATACTCAGTGCTCTCTTTCCTTTTCATCGTGGGGACCAGGCAGGGAAGTGGGAATAGGCAGGTATTAGTCCTGGGAAGTAATCTTTCCCCCTAAATCAAGAAAGGATTCAAACTTCATATTCCTACGTGGCCTTGAGGAACCTTGGCTATCATTTCTTGCTAAGTTCCCAGGAATAGCTGAGAAACTACTTAAGACAAGCTTAGGGTGATCCTAGCCATCTGTACTTATCCAAACAAATGAAATGAATTAGGACACCCTGTGAGGCCAAAAAGATATGAATATGGCTGTATTTCAAGGTGGCTATCACCATGGGCTCTGGAGCCACAGAGATCTGAGTCTGACGCCCGGCTGTGCTACTTATTCTGTGATTCTGGGCTCTGAGCCCTCTTTAAACCTCAGTTCCCATCTCTAGAAGGGGACAATAACAGTGCCTACCTCCCATGAGGGTTAACTGAAAGATGTGTGCATTGAAGTTCTCAGCCCAGTCTCCCAGACTGGAGTCCCTTAAGCACTCAATAGACGACAGCAGTTGTTATTCCCGAGGGTGGGAAAGGGTGAAGGCGGATGACTCAGCACACAATTAGGCATTTAGAGAAGAAATTCTTGTTTCATCCTATTGCCTTTTCCCCCATGGCACATTTTGCTAATGTCTTTAAAATCTTGACACAGTGTGGTGTCTTGCCTAAAATGATATAATAATGAAGCCACTGTTGGAATGTGGTGAGGGCTGGGGTGTGTGTGTGTGTGTGTGTGTGTGTGTGTGTGTGAATATGTGGTGCCAAATTGGAGAATAAGGATAAGTTTATTAATTCTTTGGTAATTGCAGGCAATAATTGCATTACTGTGACAGTCCTACCAGGAGATGAAATTTGCCACTGTGAGGATCTGTTTTTCTTCTATTTTCTGGATTAAGATGTCAATGTTTTTAAAGGTCTCAGGCATCTTCCCAGCCTTAACTGAAACCAGTAACTACAGAAATAATTATGTTTCTAGAAACACCAACAGGAACTCAATGCTGGTTTCTGTGTAAGAGCCTGTGATCTCGACTTGGTCTCTAGCCCATCTGTGAAGGGAAATATTCTAAAACTTTATTAAACTCCTGTCCTTAGGATGCTGGCATTGGAGTTGTGGCTAACAGTAGGTGGTGTTAAGTGTAAAGAATACAGTGAGAAGCCTTTCATGCCAAACAGCCCATCTTTTGTGGGTAAACAGTCTGCTCCTGAAGAATAATCCAGCTAGCTGAGATGAACTGGAAATTCACATCGCAGTCTTCATTACAGCTGAACTCCCAATTGCATTCCAGAGATGGCCTGGGCTGGGTGAGAGAGACTGATATTCCTTATCTGAAAGTTCCAACTTCCATTGCTGAGGCCCCAAGAATAAGAAAAAAGGCTTTGAAAAAATCTAAGGAAAACTGAAACGCCAAGAAGTTTTTATCAGAAAATCATTCTGATATCATTCTTTATCAGAAAACCACAGCTCTGGGAGGGACCTCAGAGATGAGCTAGTAACCTAGTTCAAAGCACTGATTTTACAGATGAGAAAGCTAAGAGGCAGAGAGGTGAGACGCTTAAGGTCAGTAGAGACTAGGACCCAGGTGTCCTACTGCTGGTCTGGTGCTCTTACCATCTGAAACCAGTCATCACCCGTGTGCGGGTTGCCTGCTGTGTACAAGGGTATTCCCACCTTACAGCATGAAGCTGACTATGTAGTTCGACAAGCAGGGCACATATACACCAAGTAATAACAATTGGAGTCACATGTGATGAGTACCATGCCTGTGATGGAGCTGAGGCAGAAGAAGGTGACATTTAATTTGCGATAGCTCAGACAAGCTTTACCGAGAGATAGGGTTTCAGGGGGTGTCAGGAAAGATGTTTGTGATTTGGGTGAGAGGAAAGAAAGTCCATCTAAATAAGAAAAACACATCTTCAGAAGAGCAAGGGTAGGAAAGTAAGAGGAATGTTTGTGAGCCAGTGACATTTTGGTAGAAGAGGTAATTTTTGGCCAGGCGCGGTGGCTCATGCTTGTAATCCCAGCACTTTGGGAGGCCGAGGAGGGCAGATCACAAGGTCAAGAGATGGAGACCATCTTGGCCAACATGGTGAAACCCCGTCTCTACTAAAAATACAAAAAATTAGCTGGGCATGGTGGTGTGCGCCTGTAATCCCAGATACTTGGGAGGCTGAGGCAGGAGAATTGCTTGAACCCAAGAGGCAGAGGTTGCAGTGAGCCAAGATTGGGCCACTGCTCTCCAGCCTGGGTGACAGAGCAAGACTCCATTTCAAAAAGAAAAGAATGTTAGAATTGGGAGAGACGTCACAGATCATCAAGCTCAATTTCCTCATTTTACTGTTGAGAATATTAGGTCCAGAAATTTCAGCTGGCTTGTCCAAGGTTTTATGACTAAGCATGGTAGGGTGGATTAGAACCGCTGCCCATGACCCCTCATCCAGATCCTTTTTCACTACATATGCTGACCTTAGGGGAAGTGATGACAGAGACAGAAAGATCACAGAGGACCTTGCATCAGATTCAAGATATTTGTACATTAAGCACTGAAGACCTTTGACTCTTTTTGGACTGGGAAGTGAAACATGTTCAGAGTGGTACTACACAAGGATGGAGCTTGGGTCCAGTTTTGAGTGATGGTGTGTAGCATGAATGGACAAGATGGAAAAGAGGAGCAGAAAGACCAGTTAAAAAGGCCCCAGAACTGGACCAGCTATGAGAATACACTAACTAGGGTGATGGAAGAGAAAATGGAGAGAAAAGGTTGAATATGACACAGACGTAACCGAAGGGTACAGGAGAGTCGTGGCATAGGTATGGCAGAGGGGAGTCAAAGATAACTCTGGAAATTCAGAGTTGACCAGTTGTCTATGGAAGAGACCACCTGATACAATTTCTTAGAAACTGTTTTATGTTTTTTCCCTGGCTTTTGCTGTCATTTCCCCTTAGCACTTCATTCACTTATTCATCCTTTCATCCAACAAATGTTTTTTGAACTCTATGCAAGGCGTTCCATATTCACCCTAGCCAGTAACTAACTGAACGTGATGATTCTGTTGTTTTCTTGGGATCTGCCTTCTTGAACTCTTCTTGGTCAGGGTTGTTGGAGAGAACTGAGGCGAAATAAGGAGAACAGCTTGGTTACTGAAAAGAAAAGAACATGATTGTATGGGAGGGTGTTGAAAAGCCAGCAAGATTTCAAATGGGAGGAGGATCAAAGTGTCTTGGGAAGGCAGGAGGCGGGCTCTGTGCACACAGCAGCTCTTGGGCCTTGGGGAGAATGAAAAGTCCCAGTGTAACAGCGACAAAGGGACTCTTTTGTGCATTCACGGTCAGGGGCCTGAAGGGGTGATGAGCAGCCTTTGCCCTGAGGCCTGCTCCAGTGGATCTAGACTCAGGCCACTGCCCCCAGGAGAGTGGAAGGGCCCTTATATCAGCCATTGGAATGGGGGCAGATGCTGAGGGTTTCTTACGGCAGAGGGAGACCCAGAGGCCACAGCTTTGGAGGACTGAGCCTGGCTGAAAGGCTCATGCTCCCTACCATCATTCCAGCTCCCAGTGACTCCCTCCCAGAGACACACTGATCTCTGGGTTCCTTTAACAATTATGGTTTGTCCTTCTCTTGGCTATTGAGACTCATCATCTATCTTTATTTTGAAGGTTTAGTCTTACCAACCGGACTCTTGAACGAATGTGACAAATAGGTTAAAACATATGGAAAAACTGATAGACAGGCTATAGCTATATTGAGACGTATCTTCTCATGCTTCTAGACCAAGCAGAATGATTCTGGGCATCTAGGAAGTTCCAAAATTCTTTCAGTGAGTTTTGTTTCTGTGTCCTAATAATACCAACAAGAATAGCCTGAAGGGAGGTCCACAAAATAGATTAGGGAAATATAGTCACAAACTCTGAGTTGAATAGCTTCTCATTCACCTTCCAAAACGCGTAACTATTGAAAACGTCCTCTGGCTGCCTGCCGTGCCCCTGAGGTCAGGATGGTTGGGCTGCAGAGCTGTGCCCTGGAACCCTTTCTCTGCCACTTTCTAGTGTGTGACTTTGGGTAAATGAGTGAGTTTCTCTGGATTTTGTTCTTCATAGGTATGATATCTACTTCGCATAGTTTTATGAGGAGGGTTTAGCAAGTCTCTGTCAGAGACCAGGTGTGTGCTAAATGGAAAATATTATTGGAATTAACTCTGGGTTAGACCAATTCAGAGTTTAGGACATGGTATCTAATTCTTTCTGTTATCTCATAGTCATTTCCTATGTAGGATTCTGGAATCAAGGAATTTCAATTTCAAAGAAATGTGATCCTCGGGATAAAGACTATGGGGATAAAGATGGTGGGATTGTCATGCGTGAATTCCTCCTGGAGGTCAGCTTCCTCATCAGGCTGCCTTATGTCTGGACACCACCAACAACACCCATTTAGACTCTGTGACAGGAAGCCCGAGGGCTGAGGAGTGGGTAGTTAGTGAAGTCATGTCCCAGCAGGAAAGAGTGAGTGACTTGTGCAAACTGCAAGTTAAGCTGGGAATACAACCCAGGTGTCCTGAGTCTCCCTCCTATGCCTACTGATAAGGCCCCGTGCCACTCTCTGTATCTGGGGCTGGACCTCTCTGGAGCCAAGAGAGTGATACCAGGTCATTGGTGAGCTCACGGTGCTGCCCTGGTTTGGACAGAGAGAAGTGTCAGTGCTCCACGGGACGGGCTTTGCCGCTGGGGTTTCTCAGAGGCCAGCGGTGGGAACAGGTTCTTCCCTGGAGACTAGAAGGAGCACTGAGGTTTGAGGAGGCTCCACAGGCATGGGAAGGAAGAACCACCAAAGCATTGAAAGGGAAGGGACAGAATGATTTATGAGTAAAACCTAAATGAGCAGAACTTGCTGGCCTGACCTCAACACCAACTGAGGGGCGTGGGAGAGCATTCTGCAAATATTTAAGAGGCATCGATGCCAGAGAACTCAATGACTGAACCTGGGTGGAAGGGCGGGGAGGGAGTGCAAAGTTAAGGCTTTCAAGAAATCTTGCTCAGAGCCACCGGGGGCAGGGCCTTGTCCCTTAGGGATTGGTGTCTGTCTGGGCATCTCCCTCTGGCACAGGGCTTAAGGGCTATGACTGATCCCAGGATGCAGACCACGTGAGCCAGAGAAATAGGCCCAGATCACTTCTCCTGTAAGAAATTTGGGCAGAATGTGTAAGGAAAGACAGGCAGTGAGGACAAAATGAAAGAATAGCCCTGTGCTGTCTTTCCATGGCCTGTTCTAACTGGTTTTGGGGAGCAGTGTTATCTATTAGTTCTGGCTTGTTCCACCTTCTCTTGCTTCCCTCTCTATCATATCTTCCCATTTTATGAAGTCAAAACCTATATGGCCTTCGCAGCCCAGTTCCTCCTTTACCTCCTCTGGGTAGCCCATCCCTACCTCACATGGCACACACAGTCATTACCCTCTCCCACCCCCGGTGTACCTCGAAAAGCCATAATATAGTTTAGCATATGAAAGATTCTGTGCTGTCCTATGATAGAGACATGTTTTGAACTTTGTTTATCCTAATAGATCCTAAATCAGTTTGATCATGAAATCTGACTTTAAGAATATGTTACACGCTGGCTTAGAGGCTTTCTCACTCGGTGATCCGTGTATGTGTGACTGGCACCCCCTAGTTACATCCTAAGTGAGTCAGTGGTGAAGACATTCTGCTTTCTTTACAATCCTCATAGCACACAGCAAACCCTATGTGTTCCTCACGTTTGAGTCTAATTAAAGGGCAAGAAAAGCAACCAGAAACAAAATGAAAAAGCAAATGGCAAAACTGGAAAAAATTTGTAACATACACAGAGGAATGATACTTTGAACATAGAAAAAACTTCGTGTATTAGTAAGAAAAGCAATGAATGCTGCGGTAGAAATGGGAAAAATCATGAACAGTCAATTCACAAAAGAAACACAAAAAGCTCATACGTATTTAAAGTCTTTAATCTCTCAGCAATAAAAATATAAAATAAAAAATGAAGTAACAACTAAAATGGTAAAAGTAAAAGATTTGGGTTAGCAAGCATATAGGGAAATAAACACTCCTTTCCATTTTTGCCTTTTAAAAAAGTCAGCACATACCTATTTTTTCAAGATAGTACTAAAATGGGAATTGTCTTATCATGAATCATTTATCAAAAATGTGCTATTACTGGCTGCATAATGTTTCATAATATGGAGTATCAAAATTCACTGAGCCACCATTTTATGGCTGGACATTTGGGTAGTTTCCAAGGTCTTGTCTGCTCTTACACTATTAAGATAAAATTTTAATCATAATGTATTAGTTATATACTGCTGTATAACAAATCATTCCCAAGCTAAATAAATATTATGTAACTCAAAACAACAATAGCAATGTAATCTAGTTTCTGTGGGTCAGGAATTTGGACAGGGTACATCTGGGTGGCTTGTCTCTGCTCCCTAATGTCTGGGGCTTGCTTCTTCTGGAAGACTGGAAGTGTGGGGCCTGGAATCACCTGAAGGCTCACTTACAGAATTGACATTGATGTTTAGCTGGGGCTGTCAGCTACAGCCCTTACACATAGCCTCCCCACATGGCCTGGGCTGCCTCACAACATGGCGGTTAGGATCCATGGGCCAGTGAGAAGGGTTTTGCTGCTGTAACAAATTGCCACAAGCTTAGTGGCTTGGGTTGGGGTTGTCTGCTCATGCAGCTTACTCATGCCCTCCCATCCTGCTCAGGCTCAATCTCAGAAATACACCTTCCATTTTATGTTGGCTCATCAGCTTTGTGGCTTATGTCTGATAGAGCACGGCTCACCTCATAATGGGCAGTTCCACGTGTGTGCTTACTTGCTGTCCTGTGGTCAAGCATTCTGTCTCTACCAGGGCTCAATAATATGCCAAGAACTGTTCTCAGATGGCCTTACACCAGAATCACAGAGGCCTATATCGTGATTTTCCACTGGGGCTCATCAAAATCTCCATGCTGCATCTTTCCCCAACATGGACACTACCAGCACCGCAGAGTCTGCCAGATTACATGGCCTGAGTGTCAAGACTTTTGGCACCATGGTCTGGACGTACTGCAGAGAACTTTCCTAATCTGGACCCCTCTCAAGGCTGGCAGCCTCCCATGCCATCCAGTATATGGAGAAGAGCAATCTTTCTAGATGAGGACTGTGTGGCCTAGGAAACCCAAAGAAGCCAGCCAGGCTCTGTGCTTCCATCTTTGTGGCGGTGGATGTAAGATGCAGCAATCTGTCTTTTACTCTGGAGGGCATATCCTAGTATGCCTCTTACTACTGAACCCCTAAAAACTTCATTGAAGTGGCTGATCTCTGAATCTTCCTGGGGTTTATAACCTACCTCTGGAGTGCATGTGTTTTCCCAAAGCCCATTCTTCCCAATCAACATGAGCTTGTGATATAATGGGTCAGTGCCATATTCTGTGAGATATCTAGGCAGTCAGATATCTTTGGATTTTATTGTGACAGGGAGAGGGAGAGTTCATATAGCCTCATGGAAAATCTGTGAAGGAATATCATTTTCTGGCTCACACAAATGCAAACTGTTTCTAATTCTATTTATTTTTTAATTCTTTTTTTTTAAGAGATGAAGTCTCACTCTGTTGCCTCAGTTGGAGTGCAGTGGCTAGTCACAGGTGCAATCATGGCTCACTGCAACCTTGAACTCCTGGGCTCAAGCAATCCTCCCTCCTCAGTCTCCCAAGTAGCTGGGACTACAGGTGCACGCTGCCATCCCCAGCTGATTCTCTCTTTTTAATTGGAATGGAAAAAATACATTTGCAAAATCAGTGGTCACATACTCTGATACCTTATTCATCTACTCTAGCAATAAAATCTTTTTGGATACATTAGCTACAATGGGAGTTCCTACTTGCTTAGGCCTGTGGTTGTGTACAGTCATTCTCCGTGGTTCATTGGCTTCTGCAGGGGCCAGACTGGTAGATTAACAGGAGATATCATAGGGATTACAGGTCCAGCATTTTATTGTTAATGGTAACACTTGCCATGCCATCCCCCCCAGGGATGTGACACTGGCTGAGGGAGTTGGGGTAACAATTCAGAAATTACCAATTAAGGTTTCCTACTATGATAGCTCCTATCCCATAATCCAGGGACCCATCAGGGTTACTCCAGCTGGCAAGCAGGACAATTCCAATAATATGCTTGGGGATAGTGTGCATCTGTGGACCCTGTACGCCCACCATGAGCTGTACTGTAGGTAGACCTGTCGTGAGCCAGGACCATACTTATTACCTGGCTTCAGAGGTCTTAGTTCTAACAGAGGGGCTGTATTAGTCTGTTCTCTCATTGCTATAAAGAACTACTGGAGACTGGGTAATTTATAAAGAAAAGAGGTTTAATTGACTCAGTTTGGCAGGCTGTACAGGAAGCATGGCTGAGGAGGCCTCAGGAAACTTACAATCATGACGAAGATGAGAGGAAGGAGTCACACCTTACACGGCCAGAGAAGAAGGAAGAAAGTGAAGGTTGCGGGGGCAGTGTTACATACTTTCAAACAACTAGATCTCATGAGAACTCACTCATTATCATGAAAACAGCAAGGGGGAAATCTACCCCCCATAGTCCAATCACCTCTCACCAGGCTCCTTCTCCAACACTGAGAATTACAATTTAACATGAGATTTGGGGAGTGGCACAAATCCAAACTATATCATGGACCATTCCCATGCTGTGGGTCTCTGGGTGTCAATGTCAACTTAGAGCCTACATTCACTTGTCCTGGAAAATTCTGGTTATTCCCTTTCCCTGATATACAGTCACATGAGAAGATGGCTGTAGGACCCTCTGGGAATCACATGGTATCTATCATGAGATATTTGCCATGATGGGCAAGGTGTTTCCTCTTACTAATCTAGTAATGTCTCCAGTCAATGGGTATCAGTCAGGTCTGAGAAATGAGCAAGAGATAATATTTTGATTGGGATAAACTTCTTCTGCCTTCAGCTTCCTCCTCCTCCAATTTTGCCTTTTTTGGATTATAAATATTAGGCAGTACTCTTAAAAATTTCTTTGATTTGTCCAAATTTATGGGGTACATGAGAAATTTTGTTACATGTATATAATGTATAGTGGACAAGTCAGAGTATTTAGGGCATTCATCACCCAAGGACAGTACACTTTTGTTAACCCTAGACACCTTTCTTTGCTAGTACACATTGAATTTATTTCTTCTATTTTACTGTGTGTTTGTATCCTTTAACCCACTTCTCCTCATCCTCCTCCCTCCTCCCACTCACCTTCCCCAGTCTTTGTTATCTGTCCATGCTGTACCTCTGTGTGATTAAAGTTTTTAGCTTCCATATATAAGTGAGAACACGTGATACTTGTTTTTTTGTGCCTGGCTTATTTCATTTAAGATAATGACTTTCAGGTCTGTCCATGTTGCTGCAAACAACATGATTTCATTCTTTTAAAATGACTGAATAGTATTCCATTGTGTGTATATACCACATTTTCTTTATCCAGTCATCTGTTGATGGACACGAGGTCAATTCTATATCTTTCCTATTGTGAATATTGGTGCAATAAACAATAGAGTGCAAGTATCCATTTGATATATTATTTTCCTTTGGATAAATAGTAGTGAAATTCCTGGATCATATGGTTCTATTTTTAGTTTTTTTGAGAAATCTCCATACTATTTTTCATAGTGACTATACTAGTTTACATTCCCACCAACGGTGTGTAAGAGTTCCCTTTTCTCCTCATCTTTGCCAACATCTGTTACTTTTTGTCTTTTTAATAATAGCCATTCTGACTGGGGTAAGATGCTGTCTCATTATGGTTGTGATTTGCATTTCTCTGATGGTTAGTGATGTTGAACATTTTTAAATATACCTGTTGGCCATTTGTATGTCATCTTTTGAGAAATGTCTATTCATGTCCTTTGCCTACTTTTTAATGAGATTATTGTTTTTGTTTTTTTTTCCTGTTGAGTTGTTTGAGTTCCTTGTATATTCAGGATATTAGTTACATGTCAAATGAATAGTTTGCAAATATTTTCTCCTATTCAACAGGTTGTCTCTTCACTTTGTTGACTATTTATTTTGCTGTGCAGAGCTTTTTAGTTTAATTAAGTCCCATTTGTCTATTTTTGTTTTTATTGCCTGTGCTTTTGAAGTCTCAGTCATACATTCTTTACCTAGACCGATGTCCAGGAGAGTTTTCCCTAAGTTTTTTTCTAATACTTTTATAGTTTTAGGTCTTCTGTGTAAGTCTTTAATCCATTTTGAGTTGATTTTTGTATATGGTGAGAGATACAGGTCCAGTTTCATTTTTCTGCATGTGGCTATCCAAATTTCCCAGCACTGGCTGGGTGGGTGGCTTACACCTGTAATCCCAGAACTTTGGGAGGCAGAGGCAGGTGGATCACTTGAGGTCAGGAGTTCAAGAACAGCCTGGCCAACCTGGTGAAACCCCATCTCTACTAAAAATACAAAAATTAGCTGGGCTTGGTGAGGCGGGCCTGTAGTCTCTGCTACTCAGGAGGCTGAGGTGGGAGACTTGCTTGAACCCAGGAGGTGGAAGTTGCGGTGAGCTGAGATTATACCACTGTGCTCCAGCCTGAGTGACGGAGTGAGACTCCATCTCAAAACAAATAAATAAAAATAAAAAAACAAAACAAATTTCCCAGCACCATTTTTTAAAGAGAGTGTCCTTTCTCTGATGTAAATTCTTCTCAGCTTTGTTGAAGATCAGTTGGCTGTGAATATCAGTTGGCTTTATTACTGGGTCTCTGTTCTGTTCCATTGATCTATGTGTCTATTTTATAGCAATATCATGTTGTTTTGGTTACTATAGCCTTGTCATATTTTTGAAGCCAGGTAATGTGATGCCACCAGCTTTGTTCTTTTTGCTCAGGATTGCTTTGACTATTTGAGATTTCTTTTGGTTCTGTAGTAATTTTAGGAATTTTTTTCTAATTTTGTGAAGAACGACCTTCATATTTTGATAGAGTTTGCATTGAATCTGTAGAGTTCTTTGGGCAATATGGCCATTTTAACTATATTAATTCTTCTGAACTACGAGCATGGGATTTTTTTTTTAATAATCAATTTGTTTAATCAGTGTTTTTAAGTTTTCCTTGTAGAAATCTTTCACTTCCTTGGTTAAATTTATTCCTAGGCATTTAATATATTTTTGTAGTTATTGTAAATGGGATTGTCTTCTTGATTTCTTTCTTGGCTAGATCCTTATTGGTGTATAGAAACACTACTGTGTTTTGTATGTTGACTTTGTATGCTGCAACTTTACTGAATTTATTTATCAAATCTAAGAGGTTTTTTTTTTGGTGTGGTCTTTAGGTTTAGCTAGATAAAGGATCATAATATCAGCAAAGAGGGGCAATAAGACTTCCCCTTTTCCAGTTTGGATGTCTAAGCAGCACTCTGGTTGCCTCTATTTCTCTGGAGCCCTTTCATTCTGGTGGATATTAACAAGCCCAGCTTTGTTCCTGTCTTTCCTACCATGAGTCATGCAGGGGAAAGCCACCATGAAGGTTGCCAGATAAAATGCAAGATGCCCGTTCAACTTTGAATTGCAGATAAACAACGGCATTTTCAAAAGTGTAATTCAAAATCTTCATAGAATATACTTATACAAACAATATTGTTTATCTGAAATTCAAAGTTAACTGGAATCCTGTATTTTTATTTGCTAAATCTGGCAACTGTCATCCCCATCAACATTCTTTGGATCAGTGGCCCAGGTAAAGGGTGGGTCTTTGGGGCACTCCTATGGAACACAGTCCTCTGGTGGGTCTTCCAGCCTTACATAATCCATCTGCCCCAGCAGGACCACTTCTCTCAGCCTCTTCATGCCTTCCTCTACTGCCTGCCAGGGCAGCTTGGACTTGTCCAACTTGATGAGTGACCACGATTTTTCCAGGGTTTTAAAAGCCATCCCAGCAGCTGTTTGTGCCATCACCTGAGGTTTTTCCAACAGTGTTAAATCCATTGATCAGAGAATGTCCTGAAGTCAATTAACATTTGCTTACTAAGTCTTTCATTCTGGCCATCAAGTGCCTTCAGAATGCAATCCCAGGAGCACTCCTTGCTCCTGCTGGCACATGGAGGCTAATGTTTGCAAATCTTTCAGTGTACAGTTTCTTTCCTCCCCTAGTAGGTACAGTGTGTGCCCAGCTAAGTTATCCTTGGATTTACTGGACTATGCTCTAAGTTTTGGCCAAGCAACCAGGAAAGGCAATAGGGTCAGCTTCTGAGGGGGCACCTGTTGCCTCGTTGGGGAGATGCCCCTGCAGCATCTTCCATCACCAAAGTGCTAGCTCTTCCTAGTAAGGGGTGAGCCATCTCTGCAAGCCCAGAGGGTCTGTGGAGGAGGGGATGCTTACAGCATTAACATCTTCCATCAGGAAGTTCCTGTACCACATTCAGAGACCAGGTTTTGTCCACCAGGGCTCTGACTTTTGCATAAGAAATCCATATTCGCTAAGTACTTAACTGTTTCTGGAGCTCCGTGACTCAGAGTTAGACATTTGGCCTTCCATTAAGCTGTGTCTGTTCATCCACTGCCAGAGACAAGGGCCTCACCAACAGCTCCCAAAGAGGCCCTGTGGCTCTCACACAGCCACTATTGGTTAATGGCCCTCAGTCTTTATCATTCTTTATAATTTATAAATTTATAAAGGGCCTCTATATAATTTAGCAATAATTAGCCAACTCTGTTGTCTTTATAGGTATTGATCTTTCCATATTTTAAAAATCCTACGGCATTCCCCCCAGCTGCAACATTTCCTATGGTACCACTGGTGAAATCTTTAGGAATTTGAGCCACCACCTTGTACCAGAGACTATCTGAGCTTCATCTGCCAACAAGGATGGCTGGATGAGCCAGCTCAAATCTTAAATCCCTATATAACCTCCTCTTTTTTCTTGGACCACTCCTGGACCACTTGTGCTAGCAGTCCTCTCTGAGAAGCAGAAGCCAAGATGGGGTTAGAGAAAATGAGGAAGGAGGTAGGAAGGGCTGGGAGAGCTATCAGCCTGTACTATAGGTCTATCCCCCACTGAAGGTGAGAGGAAAGGAAGGAAGTTTGGGTAGAAGGCTCCTAGTCTACATTAAAGTTCGAAGAATGCCCCACAGGCTGCAGGGTAGTGTTCAAGCCAAAGTAGCTTATCAAGGTGCCCCAAGTCTTCTGGGTACAGGACTACTTAGGATCCTGGTATGCTTGGTCCTTAGCCTGGAACAGCTGTGGGAAGTGTGCGTGGCCTGAGTGCAGAGTGCAGTAGTTGGGGTTGTCAGTCTTGCACAGCTGGAGACATGGGATGTCCATTTCCATGGTTTCCAGAGAAATCACGCCTTTGAGATTCCTAGAATATGTTTTGTCCAGATCAGAGCCTCTACTAGCACCACCTTAATTCTCCCAGAGGCCCTAACAGAAGGGTACACCCTTAACTTGGTCTTCCTCCTGGGGTCCACATGCTTTATTGGCAACTCCCTGTATTTGGTCTGTGCTATAATTTAATTTGGTCTAGGCTATATTTGAGAATTTTTACTGGGTGAAGAGACTGAAGATAAGAATTGTTTTATTTGTATTTCTTCTGAATTCTGTGTTCAGATTGATCAGTTCTTTCCTAAGTTTCTCTCTCTCTCTCTTTTTTTATGCTGGCATATCTAGCTGAAAGAAGTCAACTCAGGTTTTCAACACTCTGTCCAAGTTTACAAGTTCATTAGATACATCTTCCAAGTTACTGCTGGGTATAATTTTACCAAATATTTCACCACCACATAACACAAGGTGATATTTTTTTTCCTGACCTCTATAATAATTTCCTTGGCCTTTTCTTTAGCTTCTACCTACTGTCCTGTTTCAAAGCCCAATGCCATGTAGTTGAGCTTTCTATCGTAGCAAAACCTAATTTCCCTGTAAGTACTATCAATTTCTGAGTTATTTAATTATTGTTTTAGTAATAGTGCATAACAGATAATCACAAGATCTGATAAAATGCAAACCATGTATTTAACTCATGCCTTCCTGGGGTTAGCAGTTTCAGGCAGTACCCAGCGAAGGTACCTCTGCTCCTGGTGTGTCTCATTTTTCTCATGGGACCAGCAGGACAGCTTGATGGTACTTTTCAAGAAGATGAGAGAAGGCGAATCCCATAAGTGTGTCCTAAGCCTTTGGTCACTTTGTATTTGGTAACATTCCATTGGTGAAAACAAGTCATGTGGCCAAGCTGAAAGCCATTGTGTTACAATTGCCTGTAGCAATTACCATTACCAATGGTAATTGTAACATTACTGTGTCATAATTGCTTACAATATTCAGTACAGTAACATGCTGTACAGGTTTGTAGCCTAGGAGCAACAGGCTATACCATCTAGCCTATAGGTCTGCAGTAGGCTGTACCATATAGTTTTGTTTTAATATACCTCTTGGTGTTAGCACAACGATGAAATTCCTAATTATAGAGTTCTCAGGACGTATCCCTGTCATTAGGTGACACATGACTGTTCATATGTCTGAACAATACTCTCTTCACCCTTACTACCTATCATGGTTACTTCTTAGTTACTATCATGGTTGCAAACTGTGTTTTCATTTTACGGTGTGGAGGTCAATTATATTTTCAAATATTTTTGAAGTAGAAGAAATTAAAATTTTCTGGAAACCAGAGGCTAATTTTTGAAAACACTTGTGAGGTTACTTTCAACTACTGTTTAAGTCTCTATTAATTGTCTAATATTGTAGGTAAAGAGACAGTCTGCACTTTATATGCCTTGAGAAGCATGTGTTCCTATTGAAGATCTACACATATTACCTTAGGACTGCAGACGAATCCCTCTAAAACCCTCGAACTCTATGCAGTCTTTGGCCCCAGGAACAGGTAGACAAGAGCTTGCTTTCTTGTATACAGTTGCTCTTTCCTTTTTAACATTATCACTTATGGACCACAGACCTGCCTGGCTGTGCCAAGTGCTGTGTTCAGTGCTTTAAATGCAGTACCGTATCGAATCTTCGTCACGACGCTATGAGACTGGCATTGTTATTACCATAGTCATAATCCCTTCTGGATGTAGAAGAATATGTCCCACATCTCACAGGAAAGTCAAAGAGATTAGAATTTAGGCCTATCTGACTCTAAAGGCAGTACTCCTATCCTTAGCAATACTGCCTTTTTGGTTGAATTCTGCCTCTATTTACTCTTCCATTAAAACAGAGATGTCCCTACTGCCCAAGAAGTCCATTATGATCCAATGGAATCAAAGAAACTGCTAATTCACAAGAATCTGACTGTAGATGACTCTCAGGAGGAGTGAAAAGCATTGGGATGTTTTGCTTTAGCCTAACATTGCATCTCCGTTAGGAAGTATAGCAGCCTGCTGAGGCTTGGTTACTAAGCTTACCAAGAGTACTCGCTTCCATGACTCTGTGTTGACGAAGCACCAGTGACAATGGAAAGGGAGAGAGCTTCCCTGGCCAGATGCCCCTTTTCCTCTTGGCCCTTCCAGTAAATGCTGCTCAAGGAGGCTCCGCATTGCAAGATGGGCAAGGGGTCACATGAGGAGGGGTGGTGAGTGATTTATTTTCCAGTTAATTAAAGGCCAAGGGAGTCCCTTCTGAAGTTTTATTTGGGGTCTCAGGCCATCTGTATATAGCAACCCAAGGAGAAAACCCCCAGCCACCCTGCCGGGGCAATTAGTTCTACATTTTCTTCCTCTCTGCTCCATAATCCCTACCTCACTCAGGCTGTGTCAACTGCCCAGCTTGCAGTCAACTTTCTAGCTCCATCTCTGAGGGATTTGTCCTCATTTCTGGGTTGGAAGCTTCTCACCTTCAAATTACACAGTTTCTTGAGAAGAAAGTGATAATGGATGTGACAGTGCTAGAAGATAGATAGATAGATAGATAGAGAGATAGATAGATAGATGGATAGATAGATAGATGGATAGATGGATAGATAGATGGATAGATAGATAGATGGATAGATAGATAGATGGATAGATGGATAGATAGATAGATAGATGGATAGATGGATGGATAGATGGATAGATAGATCGATAGATGGATAGATAGATGGATAGATAGATAGACAGACAGATAGACAGACAGACAGACGGATGGATGGATGGATAGATAGATAGATAGATAGATAGATAGATAGATGGATAGATAGATAGATGGATAGATAGACAGACAGACAGACAGATAGACAGATAGATAGATGGATAGATAGATAGATAGATACATAGATAGATGGATAGATAGATGGATAGATAGACGGATAGATAGATAGAAGGATGGATAGATAGATGGATAGATAGATAGATGGATAGATAGATGGATAGATAGATAGATGGATAGATAGATAGATAGATGGATAGATAGATAGATAGATGGATAGATAGATAAATAGATAGGAGACACCACCACCACCACCAACAACAACAGAGCACTGTCCGTCCTCATGGCCCATGCCCAGTGGGCATTTATCAGAAGTAAAGACAGGTGGATTGGCCAGAAAAAGTAGAGGTGTTTGCAAGTAAGGGGGTAAGGAATGGAAATTTCTAATTTAGAAGTAGCCCTTCTACTAAGGGCCAGATTAATTAGGAACGATGGGGAATCTGAAATCAAGATCTCTGAGAGTCTATATCCACACCAAGCTGAGCTCCTTGCAACTTCTGATCCTGAAGCCTGGGGAGTGTAATGGATAAAAGGCTACCTAGATCAACCCTCACCTGCTCCCACCTTCTCTCTCTGTCTGATGCTTGTTGGCCTTTGACAACACAATTTGCCTTCTACCCTCTGGCTGCACACACTCAGTGATGGTGAACTCACTCTATTCTGAGATGTAGATTTCCCTCCTTGGGCAGGTCTGCCAACATGTCCTTCCGTGCACCATGTTACCATCACCACTTTCCCTGATCCACTATGCTCCAGAATAAATAAGAGTTAGAGAATTGGGAGTAGGGTTTGCAGGTCAAGAATGTGTGCCTGGTGAATGAGGAAGAAAAGATTTGTGGCATTTCCTTGCGCAGAAGGAACAGAGGGAGGCAAGGGATGGTAGAAAGCCATCAGGTAGGAGACACTCAGATGCCTGCTGCTGGTGGTGTGCGCTGCGTCTCCTGGGACTGATGAGTGAGACACGTTCATCCAACTACCCTTTGAAGACGTGGCAAGCCCTCAGCAAGAGGTTAAGCTTCCCCCATGAGGATTTCCCAGGTCTTGCTTTGGCTCCAGAACAGTTATTTCCAATGCTCAGAAGCTCAGAAAGTGACCAGGAGAAAAGAGGTAGAGCATTGTGGAGAAAGAGAGAGAGGAGGTGGGAGGGAGTGTGTGTGGGAGACAGAGAGGAGGAGGAAGAGGCACTGAGAAACTGAATGTATCATAGAAGAGAGGGAGCAGCAGGGAGTATGCACAGAGAGGAAGAAAAATGGAGAGCTGAGAGAGTAGGGGAAGGGAGAGTGGGGACATGCCAGGGAGGGCTGGAGCAAGCAGCAGGCTCTGTAAGGTATGGCTGCTCTGGGCTCTGGGGTCCCACATTGCTTCTGCTACTGGGCCACCAGACTGGGAAACTTGGTGGGGGTCGGGGTTAGAGGGGTGGTTGGACGAGGAGGGCTGTGGGAATTCCCAGTCTGCACTGACAGGATCCGGAGGCCCAGCCCTGAAAGCCCCAGGAGCCCCGATGGCTCCAGGAAGATGGGTGCTGGGTGGATTGGACCTGGACAGAGCCACTGAGGGCTGCAATTTGGCAGTCGCCCTGGCTTTATTGGCAGCAAGTCTGACGGGAGCTGAAGGCCTCCCTGCTGGGCCCTGCGGCTGCCACGTGCCCGCCTCTCGGACGCCTTGCGAGGCTGGTCCCCTAGGGCGCCCGGGGGTGGACGGGAGAGCGGCGCGCATGCGCAGGATGCGCTTGGGCGAGGAGTGGGGAGATCCCAGGCAAGACTGACACGGATGGGGCATGCAGGCGACAGGCCGGGGTCCACCTAGGCCTGGGAGTGGTCGTGCTTTCTGTTCTGTTTTTCAATTTTAATCAATGGGCTGGGCGCGGTGGCTCACGCATGTAATCCAGCACTTTGGGAGGCTGAGGAGGGCGGATCGTTTGAACCCAGAAGTTGGAGACCAGCCTGGGCAATATGGAGAGACTCCGTCCCTCCTAAAAATAAAATAAATTATCCGGAGTGGTGGCGTGTGCCTGTGGTCCCAGCTACTCGGGAGGCTGAGGCAGGAGGATGGCTCGAACCCAGCAGTCAGAGGCTGCAGTGAACCACGACTGCACCAGTGTGCTCCAGCCAGGCCACCTTCTGAGACCTTGTCTCAGAAAAAATATTAAATTTTCATCAGTAAAACTTGTCTGGGAAAACCTTTCCTAAAGCCTGTAAAGCTTTACATTACTATCCCCGTCCTCACCAGGAGCCAACAAGGAATGTGTCGCTGCATTACAGAAGGGGAGCCCATGCAGGAGCAGCTCAAAGACTGCCCATGAGACTCCAGAGCTGGCGCTCTGCCCACTGTGGTGTAATAGCAGCTACTCTCTTGAAGGCTTAGGGCCAGCTAGTCCCAGGCCTTTGATGGCTGGGGCCAAAGGGGTGGGCAGGACTTGGCTTTTCACTTCCTTTAAAAGTCTGTCCACATTACCTGTGGGGCATCATGGAATAAAGGAAGAAAAGCATCCACCCTCTTTGTTTTCCCCTCCCTGGAGTGAAGCCGCCACCTGCTAAGTACAAGCCCACAATGAAACATGTCACTCCTGCTGGGGCTTACCTACCCAGGAAGCACACCCTGGGTCCATTTAAAAACACTGGAGATGGCCTGCTGTCCTGAGATGCACAGGGAAATGGGAGACACAACCAGACACCAATAACACACTGCAAGAGTGTGATGGCAAGTGTCCTCAGACCATCCTCTGGCCAGTACAGCCAGAGCTCAGTCAGAAACCAAGAAACTGCCCGGGTAGGAGCTGAGTTTAACCCTGCAAGTCTTAATTTTGTGCAAGGACTGTACAATGAGCTGTAACGGGTAGACACTGAGCAAGGCAGTTCAGCTTGTCTGATAGGACAGAAGCAGTACATATGGAACTACAGTATCTGGAGGGATAAGTATCTGGAAGTGGCAAGAAATGAACAGACTGGTGCTGTGGGGATGGGAGGAGGGAAACAGTCACCTTGGGCTGGAGAGTGAGCAATCAGGAAGGGCTTCACCGAAGAGGTGACCATCAACGTGCTATTTTGCATATAGATGGAGCTTTAGTTTACAACACTTTTGCATACATTATTTTGAGACACAGTGTTATGGTAGCAAATGTTGGCAAGGGCGAGAAAAAGTGCTAATCCACTGCTAGTGTTGAGAGTATAAATGAATTAAACTAATGTGGGAAGCAGTTTGACACTCATAATTCAAAATTCTAGGAATTTATGCTACGAACATACTGATACATACGGGCAGATATACAAGGACAAGATACCCACTATAACAAAGTTATTAGCAGCAAAAGACTGAAAACAACATAAGTGTTCATCAGTAGGCATCAGTTAAAGAATTACAAGTTATCCAAGCAATGGAAACTGTGCAGCCACTACAAAGAATACGGTAACTATGCGTTGCTATGAAATGGAATCTCCAAGATACCATGTTGAGTAAAAAATAAAACAAGGCAAAGAATGATGTGTATGGCTAACTTTCTTTTGAGTGACAATTGGCTGTGTATGTTTTTATATTTGAACAGAAAATTTTCAGAAGGTGTATTAATCTGTTCTCACACTGCTATAAAGAAATACCTGAGACTAAGAAATTTGTAAAGAAAAGAGGTTAAATTGGCTCATGGTTCTGCAGGCTGTACAGGAAGCATAGCAGCTTCTGCTTCTGGGGAGGCCTCAGGAAACTTACAGACATGGTGGAAGGCGAAAGAGAAGCAGGCAGGTCTTACATGGCCAGAGCAGGAGGAAGGGGGCAGGGGAAAGTGCCACACATTTTAAAAACAACCAGATCTCCTGAGAACTATCACGAGAAAGGATGGTGCTAAACCGTTCATGAGAAGCCACCCCTGTGATCCAGTTACCTGCCATCAGGTCCCACCTCTAACACTGGGGATTACAATTTGACATCGGATTTGGGCAGGGACACAGATGCAAACCATATCAGAAGGATACATGAGAACCTGCTCACAGTGGTTGCTGCAGGAGAAGTAGATTGAGGGCTTGGAGTGGGAGGCAAACTGTTAAAACGTTTTACATAATTGTGAAATGTATCATATATCTAGAAGAGTGTATAAAACATATGTACCATCTGAAAAGTAATTATAAGCCATACCAGACAATGTATATAGTATAATAAATTCTTGTACTCTGAATTTTATAGTCCGCATATAGTAATTTGTTACTTTTCCTACTGAAAAGAGTCTCTGTGAGGTAGACAAGGACATTCCTTCCTCTCCCATTTCCTAAGTGGACGGTAGGGCCGAGAGCTCAGTGGGAGGGCCTGTGGGGTATCCAGGGACAACAGCGGGTGACTGCAGCATGAAATCAGAGAGGAGGAGGGGCAGGAGATGGGAAAGCCGGGCTCCCTGCCGAGCACAGGATGGCCAGGCTCAGCCTGGAGTTTGTTTGTTAGTTTCAGAGGACGTGTTAAATGTTTTGGGGAGTGACGTGATCAAAGTCTTACAAAGAGGAAGTGAAATCAAATGCTGTGATGGTCAGCAAGGCCATAGCCAAGCAGACTAGCCTGGGGGTTGGAGAGGGGGAGAGAGGCTTGTCTTCCTTTCTGCTCTGCTCATCGTGGAGAATAATGAGAATGGGGCTCACTGATGGGCACTCACGTGCTGTGACCATGTTGATGGCATTGTGTCCGTCAATTCTCACGATGACACTGACTCACAGATGTTACATCCCCATTTTCCAGGCGAGGAAGTAGAATCTGAGTGAGAGCAACCAGCTAAAGGCCATGTAGCTGGAACGCGGCGCAGATGGGGTGTGCCTCCATAGCAGCCGTTTGTAAAGCCAGTGCTCTTGCTGGGAATCTGCGCGTCTCCCCACAATTGTTGGCTGTCGGGAGGACTTTCCCACATGCATCTTGCTTTGGGGCTTGATGTTTCTCCCACCATCCTGTGACGTTGGCCATGCCACTGCGACAAATGTGCAGTGGATGCCAAGGTACGCAGCGTGACATTGGGAGGCACTTGGCTCCTCTCGCTGCGGTCACCTGTCTCCCATCAATCATGGAGGCCTTCGGTGTGCACGAGAGTAACGCAGGGCAGTGGGCCACAATTTGAGAGGGAAGTCTCCCTGAGCTCAGCCTCTGGGGAAGGAAACTGCCCGTGTGCTTGCTCTGCTGCTCTGGGAATGGTGCTGGGCAGGCCCCTGTGCTCATCGCCTGGCTTTGCTGGGTATTCATACACAGCAGGCAGCTTCTGAGGAGAAGAAGGGGTTAATGGCCTTGCTCAGGCTCCTGCCCCCACACCCCAGAAACACACCAGTTATATTTTTCAATCTTGCACACCCCATAAATGAGCACCATTTCCTGGTGTCTGACACGATGGAGTGACTCTATGGGAAGATTTGGCCAGGATCCTGCAAAACTAAAGAAATACCAGAATCTGCAATATGGCCTGGCTCTGACCTGACCCCTGGGCCTGCCCTCTTCTGTAAACAGGCATGAGGGGTGCTGGAGGGTGCTAGAGTCAGTGCAGAGGGTGAGGAGCGTGGCTGCTTCTAGGGTTCTGGTCTAGTCATGTACTGGCCACAATGACAGTTGGGTTTGCACAGGGGGCGTTGTTTGTTACGGTGAATCCGCAGGTTAAAATTGAGGCCTGCTGTGTTGCCTTCCCTTTCTGGGAATTTGGTGGGAAGCACCAATGTAATAATCCTGATTTATATTTCTAGCCAAACCCCAAACCCAGCTCCAGTCCTTGACAAAAGTAATTCTCCTTTGGACAGTAACGTGCAGGAACCATGCCAGTTTAGCCTATTCTGTACATTCTTCCCCTTGACAGGCCAGAGCTCAATGAATATTTCACCTTCACAGTCTTGGCCACAGTCGGGGGTTTGCGAAGCTGTCTAAATCTGGTTTATCAGCAGGAATAAATGCCCTCAGACTTAAAAAGTGGGAAGCAGAACTTGGCTCTGTTGGGCTGGTGATTTACGAAGGAACACCGAGCTGGGAGTGGAGGAGCAGTGAGGGGAGGGAGGGCAAGCAGGAGTCTGTGGGATTCCACTCACAACCTATAAAAGCAGCAACATGTACTCTAAAGAGAGATCATATTCCAAGATACATTTCCTCCCATGAAGGATAAGGCATCTGGCATCCATCACTTGTCAGGGACAGAGGAACTGGAGGGACCCTGGCTGCCTTTGGGGTACGTGGCAGGTGTGGGGATAGGCCCCGATCAAGCCCAGGGCTACCTCTGCAGGAGTCATGGCCTTGAAGTGGCACCTCCTTCCCCTTTGCTGTCCACAGGGCCCGCCATGCTTGGCTTCCCACAGCCCTGAGGCCTTGCCCTTCCGCCATCTGGCAGCTCCTGAAGGCCCGTTCCCTCCGTGAATCATCTCAGGCCAGCCTGCGTGGGATATCCTCTCCCTCCACGATTACTGCTTCAGAGCCTTAAGTGGCCTAATCAAACCAATCATTTTCCTATTTGCACATTTAGTCTTTTGTTCTGTCTGTGCCACCTGCAAGGTCACGCCCTACTTCCCTGCAGATAGAATCTCAAAGAATGAGCCCTGTGTTTGGGACCTTGGGACCAGGATCAGGCTGCCTACGCTGACATCTCAGCTCTGCCAATTAAGAGTTGTATGATTTGGGTAAGTTTTTTTCTTGCACCTGTTTTCTCACCTGTAATGTGGGGACAATAGCACACTTACACTCCCTGGATTGTTGGGAGGATGAAATGGAGCAATAACTTAGCCCAGCACCTCCCACATGGTTATTGTTAGTTATGTGGAGACTCAGGATGATGGTGGTGATGATAAGACGGGCAGGGCGTCACAGTCATTGAAAAATACTGTGAGCAGGTGACTGCTTTAAACAGCTAAGGCTCTGTGTAGTTTCCACAACTTGGCTGGCTTTTGCTTTTTTATATAGTTTTATGATAATCGGCACCAGAGTCTCTTCTCAGCTCCTCCGTGGACACAGTGCAGTGCAAATATCATGAGCTTTGGAGTCACACAGGCCTGGAGCTGAACCATAATCATGAATAATTCACTTAATTTCATTGGGCCTGTTTCCTCATCTATAAAATGGGGATAATAGTAGCTACTTCGCATGATGGTGGGGCCGATTAAACGAGGCGTTGCGTATAGCTTGTTGAATATAGTGGTAATGTAATGAGTACCCCGATACTGATTTCATTCCTCCACCCTTGCCCCATAAGGCTCTAGGCGCCATTTATTTTTTGAGATCTCTTTGACACCTGCCTCTTCCATAAATGTTTCCCCATATGAACCCACTGATGAGATACTTTGTCACGTGTTGTTGTGTTGTTTGTCTTTGATTATTTCATGCATACCAAATTTGTCATCCAAGGTAGATTATAAGCTTTTAAAGGCAATGTTGTCTTAAATGTCCTTTTTCCCCCTTATAATAAAAACATGCTTCTGGGCACTTCAGCGCATCATAAACAGTTGAGGTGACTTGACTTTCACTTTAGGAGGAGCCAGCTGCTGAAACAGGTAAATTGGGAGACTTACGGCGCCAACTCTCTCTAAGGCTGAATTTCTTCTCTCTCTCCCCCTTTCTCTTTCAATCACTCTCATTCTCTCAGCTCTTAGGATCAACTGCAATTCCAAGAGACTTATGAGAGAGAAGAATGTTTGGTTTTTCTAAAAAGAGGAAAGAGAAAATTGAGAGTGGAGAGGGAGGGACATGGGATATTCATGCATTCTGTTTTTTTCATCTAACAAATATGTGTGTGATTATTGTTTGCCAAGCACTGTGTTAGGCTCTGAGGGGGAAAGAAGGTTATGAAGAGGAGAGGATAAGTTCCTGTCCTTAATAAATTTATAGCCTTGGGTCACTGAGTTGGAGCTTCCAGGTCTAGTTGACCTGCCAGGCTGGAATTCCATTGCTTTGGTTTCTCAAGTAATGAAGTCAATCCCCTTGGATTCATGGAGTTTGTCCAGAAAAAGTTGATGTGATTTGCTTCTCGCAGGAATGAGGACTCTTTGAAGGTGGTGTTTCTGTTTAATACAGGTCTGTGGGTCTTGTTCCTAGCATGTGACCTGGCAAAGAGCATATCCAGTGAGTGTTGAGTGAACAAAGGAGAAGTGGAAGAGACTGCAATGAGGAGAGAACTCCCTGGCTGCAGGCGGCTTTCTCGCAGCCCCAGGTGGAAGCTCTTCTACTGCACCAGCCCTGTGGTTATGTCAGATGGACTCAGGCCTCCAGAGTGTGGCTCCATAAACAACAGGAAAAAAACCAAAGCTTTCTGACCAGTCTGCTGTGTTTGGATTGGTGGGAGGTTCCCAGTTGGAGTCAGTGCCTCAGACATGAGTATCAGAGTCCTTCCATATGAGTGAGAGGAAGGCTTCTTGGCTCAGTCCCCAACTTTGGTGTGGAGTATATGGGCCTGGGGGTGTGACTCCGGGGGTGAGGTGGGGGCAATGCAGAGGGGTAGGCTGTGTTTGGAGCTTCTCAGGTCCTTCTCAGTTCCTCCCATTGGCCCAGGCATCCTCGCTTGTCCCCATGTGGTCTGGGGTCAGGACAGCAAGTTCTAATCCAGGCCCTGCTGCTTGCCAGCTGGGTAACCCCAGGCAACTCATTTCACCAACCTGGGCTTCAATGTCCTCATTGTAAAATGACAGGGTAGATTAGGCAATCCCTAAGGTGTCTCCTCGCAGTTTTATGAAATTAT
This sequence comes from Homo sapiens, assembly GCF_000001405.40. Lineage (NCBI taxonomy): Eukaryota > Metazoa > Chordata > Mammalia > Primates > Hominidae > Homo > Homo sapiens. Next base: position 130,605,603 of record NC_000011.10, read on the forward strand.
TTTTGTTACCCTGTAGCTGCAGATCCTGGCAAGGAAGCACTGACATTTTTGACATATGTTGAGATGGTTGAGGAAGACGGAGGGGTATCGAGAAACAGGGATATGAGATGTACCCTGAAACGGAACCTGGGACTCCTTTTCCCTGGTCTTTTGCACTCATCACTACCCTACCCTCTTTTTATCTGTCCTTTACCCCACCCCCAAAAGATGATCCTTCTGGGAGATGACAGCGTGCAATGGGGGAAACGCAGAACATCCCAGCATCTCTCGGCCTCCGTTTCTCATCTGCACAGGGAGGCTAATGCCACCTCCCTTACTTGGAGGTTGTGAGGATGAAGTGAAGTCATCTATATGCTGTACCTTGTAAACTGTCAAACACCACATAAACGCAAGGCATAAAGCTGGCTTGGATGGGAAAACTATTATAACATGTCAGGTAGCCCCTTCTTACGTGAAGATGTTTCAGTACAAGGGATGTTTCTTTTGTCATTTGTCAATGGCCTGTCCTGTTGGGTTTTGCCTGCCTTTTGGAGGGAGAAACACTGCTGTCCAACACTTCATTTCTTTGGATGCTTTTCCACTAGAGCAGAAAGAAAAGCATTTTCCATATGATTTGGTTTATCTCAGTACGCCTGTGCAGCAGCATCTCTAGGTCTTAAGATGACAAGGATTTGCTCTCCATCTCTGGAGCAGAGAGGACCAGGGAGGCTGCGTTGGGAGCGATGCCAGGAAGTGGTGGTTGGTGTGTCATTTTCTTTCATGGCCATATTAGAGTTGGGTCCAGGGGAAAGGGCACTGAACAGGACTGGAGTTACTTCAAATCGTTCTGGTTTTTGATTTCCACATATTAGTTGAAAGTTTGACAAGATCTCAGATAACATCTAGCTCAGCTGCTCTCTTAGGCCTGAGAGTTAGGGCCTAGCTGAAGCCATCTAGCTCATTTAGAAAGGAACAGGAACTAGAATCTGGTCTCTGGACTTGGTTTTAGTGCTCTTTCTGGAATACCACAAGCATCCCTGTTCTTCCTCCTTCTTCCCACATATTCCCCATCACTCCCCACACCTCCCTTCACCTCTGCTCTTTGCTTCCCTTTCCTGAGCCCTTTTGGTGTAACTCTCAGGATGGAAAAGCTTTCTGAGTTTCTGGGACAGGCTTACTGTTTCATAGGGTGGAGTGACCTTCCCAAAGCAGCTTGGCCATGTTCTCCGGATGTCAGGAAGCAGCCTGGGCACCAGCTCACTGCATGGGCCTCTTCTCAGATCCAGATGCAAGAGTCAGAGACTCCACCCATGGGCCCCATGCCTAAGGGGTCAGAGACATAACTTGTGAAGTGGGTTCTGTGGTGGCTGGGGCCCACTGTCCCCTCCCCGTCCCTTGCTGATGTGGAAGGACCAGTGTGTGCTGACCTATGGTGTTCCTTCCTGATCCAATCCTTCTAACCCCTGCCCCCTTACCTCCCACTGGGGCATTCCAAAGCCACGAAGCATCCACTTGGCAGCCCTCTCCAGCGTCACCCAGATATCGCTGGCCTGTGTTCAAGTGCCCATCTAAGCCCAACACGGGGTTGCCTGGTCTAGGGGAACTCACCCTGGGGAGATGTCACCCTCTGGCAACAGCTGACTCTATTTATTCAGATGAGAACAATTTTCTCTCCTTTTGCACTTTCAACAAGCTTGACTTGAGGCTCCCCCATTGCTAGGCTGCCAAAAGCAATAAAAGGCTGAGGAGGAGGTGGAGGGAGGGTGGGGGTAGACGCTCCACGGTAATTGAGCTGTCAGCTGAGCCCTGGGGCTTCCTGGATCTGGGGTGTCTCACAGCCCACATGGGCTTGTTTGCAGCAATAGGGAAGGGAGCCGTTTGACTTCATAATCACTCAGAGAGATAGCGGTGCTCAGGGCAGGTGGGGTGGGCCTGGGTGGAAGGCGCTGCTAACCAGACTCCCATGTTGTCGGCTTCCTTCTGGTCTGGGCTGGAGCTGCCTCAATAGTTTGAACAGGAAACCGAACTGTCACATGGAGGTGGTGGGTGGGGATCATTGTGGGGTAGAGGGCCTCAATGCTGTGTGCTCTGTGATGTGCCAAAATGAGTAAGTCAGGAGACGATGTCCAGGTACACCCCAAATCTGAGGGCCCAAAGAGCAGCTTGGCTCTCGCCAGAGCATCCCTGTTTGTTTTTCAGTTTTGCTGGCTTTTTGCTGTTCTACAGTAGTGACTCTTGTGGGATTATTGGGCTATTAGTTCCCCGGGAGGAGGGTCCTGGAGTATCATTTCTGCCAGCCTGCCACCGTCCGGGTGTCTTGGGTGAGAAGACAGGTATGCACTCTGGGCTGCTCTGAGTGGACCTGGCTGCCCTGGGGCTGCAAAGCTGGGCCCCTTTCACCCGGGGACTTGGATGGCTTGGGATGCTATCAAGAGTGGGATGCAGAGGAAGGCAGTGAGCAGCTTCCTTAAGGGAGGGTCACAAGGACCCACATCACTATCATTTGGAAACAGTTTATTGTCCCAGTTTGGCATTCAGCTGCTCTGCTTGCCTTCCCCTTCACACTCATTCTCTTGTCCTTCCCCAGTCCTCGCTCAGATCCAGCATCCCCCACACCTGGCACCACAGGGGCCTTTGCTCACACTGCCCCCTCTGCCATGATGGCCCTTTCCTCGTGTCCAACCACACCCATGGATCACACTCTACTTCCTCCCTAATTCCTTCCTGAAACTCCTCTGAGACCTCTCTGGCTTCCCTGTCCTTTCCTCATCCCTCACTTACAGCACCAAGACCCCTCTGTCTCCTGTCAGTGGCTCAGGAATGGCCCTGCGTCTCCCGCTAGATTGAGCTTCCTGAAGGAGAGATTCTCGCTCTCTCACGCTGTGCCTCCTTCACACGCCTAGCACAGGCCCTGTGAGCAGGTGTGCAGCAATTCCCTGTGTGGGTGAGACATCCCGCAAGCAAGCATTAACATTTGCACATTTGCATAGTGCATGATAAAGATGGAGCTCCTGCTCTCGGTAGCTCTTCATTTGGAACAGAGGGCTCTGATGGGGGCCAATGAATAAATGAAAAGGCCCTATGTATGGGTATGCCTTAAACCCGGTTTGTGGTTGTTGGAGCAGGCTTTCTACCAATGCTCCTGGGGCTCAGTGATAGTTCTGGATCACCCATATTGTCTTGTCAGTCTCACCTGCAAATTTCTAGTTTGAAAGTCTTGGGAAGCCTGCACTAGACACCTCTGTGCTAATCCTAGAGGGGAACCAGCTTAAGAAATAAGCCACCACCTTTGATGGGACCTAAGTCCCTAGGTCACTGTCCAGCAGCACCACTTGATTCCTAGCTCTGGCCCCAGGGGTTGATCTCAAAATAAATTTCAAATCATAGTTGATGGGAAAAAAAAGAAGATTGAGATGAAATTAAAAATAAATGGGAATAGCATACGGAAGTATAGGGAGGGCAGAGCTGGGGCCGGGGCCCCTGGGTGCTTAAAGGAGAAAGATGTTCTTCCCATGAGAAAAATCATCTAAGAGCATCAAATAAGCCTCTTGTGAGGGATAGAGACTCCTCTGTCCCCAGACTCCTCCCACTGAGAAAGTGGGTGGCTCTAGACTTGTGCTGGCTCCTGATGTAGGGCTCATGGGCGGGGCTCAGACTCAGGGCTAGTGAAGGAGGCTGAGAACAACCGGGACGTCATCTCAGAACATCTTTCGCAACTGGATTTAGAGATTAATTGAGGTAAAGGGAAGAGATGCAAATACTTCTCCTCCTCCTTCTATCGTCTCTACCCTCATCAGCTTCCAAGCTTGGGAAAAAAGTGATTTCTAACCATCTCTCTTCCTTGTCCAAGGCTCTTTGGAGAAAATAAGACACACAGGGTCAGAGGGAGGGTAGCCCAGCCAGGCGGGTGTCCCAGCAGAGACTGGGCAGGAGCCTGGCAGGCACACCCTGTCCAAGGCAGCCTGTGCTAGCCCAGGAGTGGGAGGCGATAGGAATGGGGGTGCTGTGTGCTGCCCTGGGCTCAGGGTGACACCCCTTTCCCTGAAAAAAACGTGTTATGTTATTTGACCTGAGGGAACACCCTTTAAGAGACTCCTGAGACCCAAACAAAGTCCTTTATCTGCAAACCAGAGACCTTCTTTGGGTACCCGCCAGCAACAGAGATCTGAGCTGGCTAGAGAGAGGGTGGCGGAAGCCCAGTGCCCGTCTTCCTTGAGTCCCAGATGGGAGCTGAGGCTTCTAGGTAGGGGTCAAGAGGCTTGGATTTGCCATGACCCCATGTGGCTTTTGACTGCAGAGCTCAGAGACGGCAGCCCACTGCCAGGAAGAACTCTCTTCCAAGTTCGGGCTGGCTCAGGGCCCCGAGGACTCTGTCCAGGGAGCCATGGCCTGTGGACCACAGAAATGGTCAGATGCTGTGGTGCGTGTGCTGTTGAATCAGAAGCATTGCCAGCATGAAGAATTTTCAAAGCATGCCAAAGCATTGCCAGCATGAAGAATTTTCTCCACTGTACAAGTCCCCCTTGAATTTTGTCTTGACCCTGCCCGCATTTTCTTAGTCACTGACATTTATTTTTCATCTCTCTGGGCTCAGAAAATCAACTCTCTTAGGCCCACTTGGTGTTTGAAGTGGGACAGGATTTCCAGGACGCCTGCAATTCAGAGGTCAGTAGAGGAATGAAGGAGTAGAATCTGAGCCTGAACCCCCCAAAATTCAAGGGGGACTTTGTTACCTTTTTGTAGTCGGACAGACATTGAAGAAATGCTTTTATGTCCTGGGTTTTCCAATTGCTATGACATGCAAACTCTTCTTAATGAAAATTTTTTGAGTGTGGGTTTACTTCAGGCCCTGGATCCTTTGCCTGGATTTCTTTAGATTGGCTTCGGAGACTAAAGCACGGGGGAGTTACTGCTATTATTTTCCTAAACCCATCACAGACAGGGGCATGTTTCCTGACCTCAGAGAGAAGTAAAGAGATCCTTTCTGTTTTTTGAAACCCCTTCTGTTCCCTAAGGGAATGAGACTGGCTGCCATCTCCAAGATTGCACGTATGCAGCAAGAGAGACAGGTGGGCCTGATTTCTGCAGGGCTCCAAAAGGCCAAACTGGGACTGACAGAAAGATCCAGGGCTGGCCGGGGTGAAGGGCTGTTAACTGGCTCTGGAACTAGGCTAGGTAGAATCCCTTGAGATCTTCCAGAGGGTATGCTGTCCCCAAATTCCATCTTTTTCCTTCATCTTGGAGGGTCTGGCTTGGCACCCCTGAACAGCTTTCTAGGATTGAAATTTCTGCTTCCTTTTTTGCCCTTCTCCTCCAACCTTTGAACCTTGTTTCTACTCCATGACCCACTGAGCTCTCTGGGTTTTCCATTTTAAAAACAAGGCCCTTATATTAAGAATGAAAACCAGAACCTCTTCTGGTTGTCACATGTGCTTCCAGAAATAGTGCCCCAATACTATTTAAGACCCTGAAGTCAGAATTTCCAAGGAAGCATCTGGGGTGGTCTCCAGGGGGTGAGGTGCCCTGCAGTGGCCTGGGAGATAGCTCTGCCCCACCTTTGGGACCACATGCTCCTTGGGAAGCTTGGACTGTCTCTTTCTCTGGGTCCCATCTGGCTAGTTTGTCAGCTGAGCAGCCCCTGGAGGATGCAAAGAAAGATTTGGCCCTTAACCGAACCAGGGATCAGCCTCCGCTGCTGAGTGCTAAGAGATTTAAGGATCTGGTGTATCCCAGAGGTTAACAGTAAGAGCTCTGCAGTCAGACCCACCTCTGCACTTTCCAGCTATGTGACCTCAGAAAAGTTCTTTTATTTTCCCTGTCTCTAAATCCTCATCTATAAATGGGAGCTGATAATATCTCCTCATAAGGTTGCCATAATGATTAATAAAGTAGCATAGAGGAAATGCTTGGTAGAGTTCTGGTCCACAGTAAGTGCTCAATCCATGGTAGTGGTCAGCACATATACGATTACCTATAGTGATGCTTCTTTCTGGATGTGCACGAATCTTTGTAAACAAAATAGGAAATATTGGACTTGCTGTGTCTGTGTCACTTCTAAATATCTTGTTTTGTTTCAGTGTCCAGCCCAATGCCTTGAACCTAGGAGATTCTCACTAAGTATTTGTTGGATAAATTAAGAAATGAACTGCTTTGATAGGTGGGAAGGGAGGCAGCCCACAGGGTGCATCTCTAACTGCTTCTTTGGAGAAGAGACTATAAATACCGCCTGCTCTAGCCCTCAGGCAGTACCATATCTGAGGAGTTTGCTTAGTAAGTGCTCGCAGTTTTCAGCAGCTAGAGATGTTGCTGAGCCCAAGAGTTCACATGGGGATGGGGGTATTGGGAAACCTCACCATTTCTGCTCTGCCTTAACCCAGGAAGGCCTTGTCACTACAATGAAGACATTCCCAAGCCACTCATTTTGCACATGCCTATGTGAATGGGCCTATTGAAGTTGTGCACTGCATAGCCTGGGTGGCTCTATGTGGCGGCCCTGGATGCTCCTAGCTTCGAGAATAATTTAGATTCCTTGACATGACGACTCACCTTCCAAAGGATGATTCATTTTCAAATGGCCTGAAAGAAATGAAGGAAGTAGAATCATCAAAGACAACTAAAATATCTTCTCTGGAGACAGGACTGCAGGAGGTCCTATCCTAGGAGACCTGGGGTGTCAGTGGTGTGCACCTGGAGCCACTCATACTAGCTCATGAGACCTGACAAAGCAGATCTTTTTCTAACTCTCAGGTGAGAACATTTACACCACAGGAAATGGCATATGCTACAAACCCAGGCTCCCCCCCTCATCCCTCCACCCCAAGAGCTGGTTGTTAAACATTTATAGCACACCACTGATTTTGACAGAAAGCCAAAGGTGTCCACAAGAAATAAAAGAGAGGATGGTGAGGAAGAGGATAGGAAGAAATCCTGGGGAATGCGTCTGGACCTATGCAAAGATTGTGGGGAAATGGAATTTTGCTTGCTGAATGCAGTGTGGAAAGTGTTCCCAGGCCCAGGCTGGTGAGAATGGCTATTTTTAGTTTTTAGTACTCTAGTGCAGGAATTTGCCAACAATTCTTTCTGGGGCCAACCTTGCCTTGAGAGACAGGGCTTGCCTTGGGGCTGAGGCAACTGGGTTTCCCAGGAAGCATAGGTGGAGTGAGGGATGGGACAGCCCTGGGCTATAGCAGATCTGAGTCCCGGACAGTCATACTGTTGCACTCAGCCACCCTCACTTCTTCTTTTCCCACAGCTGACCTTTCCTTTCCCCTTTTAGCACTTGAAGCCAATTTCAATAGTTAATACTCATATAGTAATTTAAACTTTATTTGGCACAAACCTTGGTACATAGTGGGCACATTAAAAAACAAACAAACAAACAAACAACCCAAAACCCAAATCCTAAGGTTAATTGAAGGTTTAGGTATGCTGTGACAAATTGCTTTACCTATATTACCTCATTTAAGACTAAGAACTCTGTGAAACAACTACTGTTATTCACTCCCATTAAAAAAAAAAAAAAAAAAAAAAAAAAAAAAGAGGCCCCCGAGATGCAGAGAGTTGTTCACTGGAAGTGAAGACCCAGGACACAACCGAAGGCCTTCCTGAGTCCAGAGCCCCCATTTTTCAGTGTTACACATATCAAGGAGAGAAAAGAGGAAGATACAACAGGCTTTTTCTAATTAGCTTCATTTAATTTATGCTGTCTCTGAATCGCCCTGCTGTAAGGCATCATTTTACTTTTGGGGGACTATGAAAGCCTCTGGGAACAACTGTGTCGCACTACCCCAATCCATCCTAATCACTTGGATTTCAGATAACATTCGCTAATTCAGTGCTCCTGACCTCAGTCTTCCTCCTGCCACTCATCTTCCATTTGTCCATCCAGCTACTCATTAAAGCCAGCTTCTTCCTTGGGAGGCTATACCGTGTATCTCTCAGTGTGTGTGTATGTGTAGAATAATAACAACAAGAAACCCAGCTCCTAAGCCACATGTTTCACTTTGCTGCTTGTTAATTTTAACAAGGCAGCTGGTGGTTTGGACTGAGAGGTTGCTTTTCTATTAACCGCAGATTTTCCTCCCTATGGATTTCCTGTTTGCAGTTTTGGAGGTAAAAAGTCTTGGTAGAGGCAAGCCGGAATTATTCCAACCTAACAGGAACAGTTTGAAGAACCCAGGCAAAGGGAGCCTCCAACTGGGACAAACTTGGTCCTTCCAATTGAGAACTTTTTATGGTGCTCGGTTATGGTCCAGGGACTCTGCTCAACATGGGAGACACAGCAGATGAAGATTACCAACACCCCCAGGAGTGTGCAATCCAGTAGTGGGAAGTAGACATGCCCATAGTATTATTGTAAAAACTGTGCTAAGCACTCCGAGAGTGGTACAGGCTGTGGCTGGTATGCAAAGGAAATAGCAGACTCTGGATCTGCAAAGTCTTCATGGAGGAAGTCAGATTCACATCGAGGGGTAGGAAGGTATGTTTATTTCTTATTTTTGTTATGTTTACAAGCAAGAATGAGAGGAAGGGCATTACAAGCACTGGATAACCCTGCGAAGAAAGACCTACAAGTGATCAGTTGTGAAAACAATGACTCTACTGGTTAGACCAGAGAAGAGAAATTGGGAGACCCAAGAATAGGGTTGCAAAGTCACTTGAAAGCCAGATCATGGGGTGCGGGGCACCTAAGGTCATGTAGAAATTGAGATTGTTTTTCAGGAAAATGATGGTCACTGAACATTATTGTGTATTAGAGGGATATATTCAGAACTGAGTTCTAGAAAGATAACTGGTAAGTGGACATTAGAATGTGGAGGCAGGGGATCATTTTGTTTGGGAGCACACTTGGGAAGCACTAAGTTCAGTGGGAATGGAAAGGAGAAATTGAGTGCAAAAGACAAGTCAGGGAGAGGCGGGGAGCAGTTGAGAGTGACCGAGGCTCTGAACCTGGGTGATTTGGAGGATAGTAACGCAATGACCAAGGAACCAAGGAGGATTCTTCATGCATGTTGAGAAACAGAATTTTTGACAAGTTCAGTTTAAGGTGTGGGTGAGACACTCGATTGAAAAGATTTAACTACCAGCCAGAAATGTGAGTATGGTTAGAAAGAGAGCCCAGGATCAGGGGATGGGTTTTAGACTCCTCTGGACAGAAAAAAAGGAGAAATTCCAAAAGAGGAAGACATTCTTAGAAGACAGCACAAAGGGAGTGATTAGAATGAGGAAGAAAATCAGGAGAGCTTACGGCTCCAAAGCCAAGGGGGACAGCATTTGCTCAAGGGAGTAGTCGGCTAGAAGCTGCAGACAGGTGAGAGAGGGTGAGAGACTGAGAGAGAAAACTAGATGTTACAATTAGGAAGACATTGAAGAGAGAAGATTCAACAGGGTAGTAGCCTCAGAAGTTACCGCATAGAGGCATGGGTGGAAGGTTCAGAACTGTTGCCTACAATTTATTCACTTACAAATTCATTCAACATGTAGTAGTCCTCTCTTAACTGTGGTTTTGTTTTCCATGGTTTCAGTCAACTACAGTCAACTGAGGTCCAAAAATATTAGAAGACAAGTTCTAGAAATAAACAATTCATAATTTTAAATTGCACTCTGTTCTGAGTAGTGTTATAAAATCTCACACCATCTACCTCCATTGTGCCAGGGACGTGAATCATCTCTTTGTCCAGCATCTTCACGCCGCGTGGTAGTCACTTAGAAGCGATCTCGTTATCACAGCAACTGCCATGGTACTGCAGCGTGTGATTTCAAGTCGCCCTTATTTGACTTCATAATTGGCCCCAACGCGCAAAAGTAGTGATTTTGGCAACTTGGATATGCTAAAGAGAAGCCTGAAGTTCTTCCTTTAAGTGAAAAGGTGAAAGTTCTTGACCTAGCAAGGAAAGAAAAAGAAATTGTTTGCTGAGGTTGCTAAGATCTATGGTAAGAATACATCTTCTATTTGTGAGATTGTGAAGGAAAAGGAAATTTGTGCTGGTTTTGCTGTCACATCTCAAACTGCAAAAGTTATGGCCATAGTGTGTGTGATAAATGCTTAGTGAAGATGGAAAAGGCATTAAGTTTGTGGGTAGAAGACACGAAGAGAAATGTGTTCTGGTTGACAGCAATGTGTTGTGCCAAAAAGCACTGAACGTATACGAAGATTTTAGCAAGAGAGCCCCTAAAATGAGTAACATCAAGGCATCTTCTGCAAGTGAGGGATGCTTGCACATGTTCAGGAATAGGTTTGGACTGAAAAATATAAAAGTTACAGGAGAGTCTGTGTCTGCCATTGAAGGAGCAGCTTCCTCATTTCTGGCAGAGTTGAAGCAGTTGGTTAGGAAGAAAGGATACCATCCAAAGTGAATCTTTATTTGTGATGAAACCAGGCGCTTCTGGAAGAAGATGCACAGTAGAATCTACATTTATAAAAGTGCAAAGGAGGCCCCAGGGCATAGAACATGGAAGGACAGATTATCTCTGGTGCCTTGTGGCTACATTGCAGGGCATATGAGAAAGTCAGACATAGTGTATGGAGCAAAAACCCACATGCTCTCAAAAACAAAATAAAAAATATCTGCCTGTGTTTTGGCAACATAATGAGAAAACTTCAGCGATAGTTATCTTGCTTGTGGAAAGCTTCATCAATGCTTCATCCTAGAAGTGAAAAAATACTTGGAGGAAGAAGAGTTGGAATTTAAAGTTCTTTTAATAATTGACAATGCACCTGCTACCCTGAATCCATTTACTGTGAAAATGAAAATGTTGAGGCTGTATTTCAACCTCCAAATGAAACCTTACTTCTTCAGTTCCTTGACCAGGACATCATTTGGTTTTTCAAGGCCACATACACCCACCTGATATTTGATCACATTCGATCAGCAATTGATGCAGACCCTAATCTGGACATAATATGATGCTGGAAATCATTCATTATTGCTGATGCAATAACTTGCATCAAAGCTGCAATGGAAGAGTTAAAACCAGAAACTGTAAATGCCTGCTGGAGGAATTATGGAGTGAAGTTGTGAATGATTATAAATGCTTCTGAGGATCAATGGAGAACTTAGGAAAATCATTCACTCAGCAAGACAAATTGGTGGAGAAAGATTTGTCCATATGCTTGATGAAGTAAAAGAACACATTGAAGGCCATTGCGAAGTGTTAGCAAATGAGGAATTGGAAGAACCTGTTGAGTCATTGCAGCGGAAGAGGAAGATGAAGAAGAAACTGAAGCAAAACCAGCAGTGTGAACATTACTGGAATATGCTGAAATGATTCAAATTGCACAGACATCAAAAGACAAAATTGTAGAATATAATCCTCAGATGGAATGCAGCATTAAAGTCACCTATATGATCACCAAAGGATTGCAACCTCTGCAGCAACGCTTGATGGTTAAAAAGAAAGAGAAAATAACTTTTGATTACAATGTTTTTCCAGACTCTTTTGGCAAAAAACACCCTATTAGGGATCCTTAATTATCAACATCATCTGTTCCTGACATCCAGTCATCGGCATCCTTATGGCTCGATGATCCAGGATCATGCAAAGCAGATAATCCTCCTTCTGATATACGGTGAGAAGGCTGATAGTAGCCCAATGTTACATCATGATGCCTACATCATTCTCCTACTTGATGTCATCACGTAGGCATGTGACATTTCATATCATCGCAAGAAGGGGAAGAGCAGAACAGTAAGATATGTATATTGAGAGAGATAGAGAGACCACATTCACATAACTTTTATTACAGTATATTGTTATGATCATTTATTTTATTATTATGTATTGTTGTTAATCTCTTTCTGTACATTTTGTATAAGTTAAACCTTGTCATAAGTATGTAGGTGTAGGAAAAAACATAGTGTTTGTAGGGTTCAGTGCTATCTGTGGTTTCAGGCATCTGCTGGGGGTCTGGGAACATATCCCCTACAGATAAGGGGGGTCTACTGTATCTACTGAACACCTACTGTGTTCTGGGCACTGAACTAAGTAAACACTAGAGATACAACAGGGAACAAGACGGAGACGTTTCTTTCTTAATAGATGAAACAGGCATTAAACCCATAATTACTAAAGGATTATTTATTACATCATGATATCTTAGTCTGGGGATCGGAAAAGTCTTCTTTGAAGAAGTGACATTGAAACTGAGACCAAGTAGGAACTAACTAATCAGGGGAAAGAGGGGCAGAGGAGTCGAGGGAACAGGAGGAGGGGGCAGAGCAGAAGGCCTTGAGATGAAAAGGGACTTGACAAGGGAAGGTCCTAAAAGAAGATACTTGTGGCTTCATGAATGGGAGAGAGTGGCTTCTTTTAAAAGTTCGTCAGTAAAACCAAGACAGAGATGTGAGTGGCTTGAGGCAGTGAAGTTCTACGTAAGACTGTGGCTATGAAAATGGAGACTCAGTTTTGGAGGCAGAATTCTAAGAGAGCCCCATGATGTCCACGCCCTAGTGTCATACCTTGAACACTCCCCTCCCCTTTAGTGTGGGTGGAACCTATGACTTGTTTCTAGCTGATAGAATATGGCAAAGGTGATGAGAAGTCATTCCTATGATTTTGTCCCTTTCTATAAGACTTGTCTTAGCAGACTAGAGTAAGACTCTGATGCTGATCTTGAAGAATAGCCATGGACTACCTCTGGAGACAGCTATGTGGCAGGGCACTACAGGTAGCCTCTGGCTGGCAGCCAGGAATAAGTGAAGACAATTATCACATGGCTGCAAGGAAGTGAACTCTGACAGCAGCCTGAATGAGCTTGGAAGAGGATTCCTCCTCAGCCGAGCCTCCAGATGAGAATGCAGCCCAGCTGATGCCTTGATTGCAGCCTGTGAGACCTGAGCAAGGCCCCAGTTAAGCCATACCTGAACGCCTGACACACTGAAAAGGCTAGATAATACAAGTTTGTTGCTTTATGCTGGTAGGCTTGTGGCAATTTGTTACACAGCAAGAGAAAACTCATATGCTCAGTTTTTTTGTAGGCTAAAATGTAGGAGGCTGTGGGAGAAAAATGTTGGGACGGGGCACCGCTATGTGGTCCAGATAAGGTTGTGGAGAAGGCAGGAGAGAAGATGGAGAAAAGAGAATTAGGCCCCTTCCTATTCTCAATGACTCCATAAGAAATGCTAAGCCACCTTGGGGTTGGTTGTGGCAACAGTAAAAAATCATTTAAAAATGTGTTTTAAGTTATGTTTATTTTTCATTTATATTTCCTTTGAAAATATTTACCTTAAGGGAAATTAACTACTTCAAGTCCATTTGAAAAATAACTTTATAAGTTGAAAACTTCCTTCAAATTTCTATCATCTTAACATCTTTCCAGCCTCTTGATACGCAAACATACCTACCTCTCCATAGCAGCTGTAATTGCAGTTATAGATATATAACTATAATTGGTACTTATATTCTGTTATTACAGAATTTACACATGTTTCTTGTTGAGAAAACATACATATAATGTCAATTTCTCCTACCATAAACATGTTTCACAGTATCTGTTATTTTATGACTGTTTAGTAGTCCGTCAAATTGAAATAACTTAAATTACTTTAATATTTATAGGTTGCAATAATTGTTAAATTTCATAGATTGTGCTTCAAAACCATCATTATGCAAATAACTTCTTTTTTTCTTTTGATAAAAAATTAGAATAAATTCTTAAAAGTGGGATTACTGGGTCAAAGGTAATAAACATTTTATGGCACTTGATATACATCCCATTAAAAAAATCTAAAAACATAGTTGAAGTGCTATACTTCCTTGTCTTGTAGAGTAAGCAATTATTTGAAATAATTTCTTCAGGATTTATCCCTATGACTGTTGGTTGGGAAGTGATTTAGGAAGGTGACCCCATTAGAACATAAAGGTATAATTTCCACAGATTATCCATCAGAGTATCCATTTCTCTATATCTACCCCCTCATCTGTTCATTCATCCATCCATTCATCCATGTGTCCATACATCCATTCAATCATTCATTCATTTACCCATACATCCATTCAATCATCCATCCATCTACCCATCAATTGGATCCACTCACCTACATATGTATTCACCCACTAACTCATTCACCCACCCATGCATCTTCCATCTATCCATCCATCCATTCATCCATCCATCCAACCATCCATCCATCCTCCATCCATCTATCCATCCAACCATCCATCCATCCAACCATCCATCTATCAACCCATCTAACAGATATACAATAAGCATCCACTATTGGCCAGGTACAATACTTCTACCATTATTGAAGCAAAGGTTACTGTCTTCCTTCATCCATATATAATTCTAAAGCTTTTCTGACTTCCTTCCCCTCTCAAGTCTGCTTTTGATGTTCACTTGAATCAATCATCCTGGATTTAAAAGTTTTGGCAGAAATGAAACCTTGGACCCTATTGTTTGCCTCACTCCTCATCCTTATATTCCAGACAAGTGTTGAAGATAGAATAGTATTGTTTTCAATCTAAAGAAAAACAGTTCATACGTTTTACAGGAAGGGAGCATTAATCCATGCTGGTGATATGGTACCTCTACTAGTGCCAGGTCTGTCAGGAAATATGACAAGGTAATCTCATTAAAACAAGGCACATTGTTTTCCATGCTGTGAAGAAAATTACAGGAAAGGCATTAACTCAATAGTTCTTAAGATTTTGAGATTCTTCCTTTAGGTTTAATACTTCACATAATTATGATTTTCATAAACGTCAATATGGTAAGTTGGTACCATCTTTGCTGGGTGCCTATGAAGAGCAGAGCTTCGGGAAGGAAGTGAAGAGAAACAGAGGACATGACCACTGAATCTTGCAACCAGACTGGAAGGTAGACCTTCTTTACTCCCTGCTTTCCTCCTTCCTCTTTTCCTCCCACTTTCCTTACCTCTCTTTGTAACATTTCTGGACTAAGCAATAGGAATTAAGTTACTTGTTTCAGTTAGTCTCATTTTCATTCTCAAAGATTTCTGGGCATATATCTGTATCTATTATATATCATCTATATCAACATCAGCTTTTACAATATTAAAAGGAGAAAATAATAAGATTAGCTTCTTCTGAAGACTTCTCCCTATTCTACTGACCAAATGAATGTTTTCTGACAAAACTCACATTGGTTTCCATTACAGTCTTCCACACGTAGAAAAATGACTCTGTCTGAAACCACATGCGTTACATGTCTAGCACAATGTGACCTGACACCCTCCACGCTAATTGTTTCCATCCTTAACTAGACTCTAGTGCTTATTTAAAACTATTATTCCTCCTCCCCCAACTCCCCTCTCCCACTTGCCACGCTCTTCTATTTGCCTCCTTCCTTTCAGCTTATTTCTTCCTTTTTTTTCCTTGCAGCCTAACAGTTTGTCTTAGCCAATCTCCTAAGTTGTCCTAGTTCAGGTGAAGCCTCTTCTAAGACACATTTTTTTTTTTTCATTCACTTTTTCTGCAGTCTTTCTTTCTTTCTTTCTTTCTTTCTTTCTTTCTTTCTTTCTTTCTTTCTTTCTTTCTTTCTTTCTTTTTTTTTTTTTTTTTTTGAGATGGAGTCTTGCTCTGTCCCCCAGGCTGGAGTGCAGTGGCGTGATCTCGGCTCACTGCAAACTCTGCCTCCCGGGTTCATGCCATTCTCCTGCCTCAGCCTCCTGAGTAGCTGGGACTACAGGCGCCCGCCACCATGCCCGGCTTATTTTTTGTATTTTTAGTAGAGACAGCGTTTCACCGTGTTAGCCAGGATGGTCTCAGTCTTCTGACCTCGTGATCCGCCCGCCTCGGCCTCCCAAAGTGTTGGGATTACAGGCGTGAGCCACCGCGCCGGGCCAGTTTTTCTCTTTTAAGTGATTCTGATTGCATATAGAAGATCATTAAATACGCACTTGTGTTTAGGAGCAAGGCACTGTGGTGGGTATTCGTGGAGAAACCAAGATACCCCCGATACCCACCACAGTGCCTTGCTCGTAAACACAAGTGCATGTGAATTGATTTTCTTGCAGGGTGTTCAGGGAGAGGACCCAAGAACTCATAGGATGTTCAGGGAGTGGACATAGATGCATAGGAAAGCTTCCCCCTACGCCCTAAAACAAACCAAAACCAAACCCCAAACCAACCACCATACAGTTTGGTGTATTCCCGTGTATATTCTCTTATAGCTATTCCCTCATTCACCTGATTCCTGTACTGTATTATTGAGTTCTCCTTGAGGGTAGAGAATTTCATCTCTATAGGTTGTATTTAGCTTTTAATATACTCAGTCATTGATCCAGAAAAACCTTTATTGAGTGTCTTCTATTTGTCAGACGCTGTTTGAAGATAGACAGCAGTAACCAGGATGGCCATGCCAGATGGTCAAACTGTTATATAAGGTGTCAGAAAAGGAGGAAAGAGATCCTTTTGGGTGGGAGTGGTTAAGGAGGTAGACTGTCAGGTGGACATGAATAACAAGTAGCATTTTGTTATATGGGTGGAGAGGGCCACAGGGGAGAAATGGAATGAACAGGAGCGCAGAGGAGGGTTGTATAACACAAGCCATGGGGCAGCGAGGAGGACAGCTTGGCTGAAGTGGAAGGTTTGTGCTTGCATTGAGACATCCCAGAAGATGAGGTAGGGAAGGCAGGCTTTTGTGCTGGAGAAGTTCCAGGTTACTCACCCCCACTCACTCCTATTGCTCACTTTCTCACCTCTGTTTAACTAGTTTCTATTTCTTCCTGGCCCCTTTCATCAATTTTCTGCTCCATTAGGATTAGGCTGGATTTCTGCAGGCATATCAAATTGCAGGTTATAATACAATGTTTAGATACCGTACCTTGCTGCTTTCTTAATGAAAGCATCTGGCTTACCTCTGCATAAACCTGTCTGCTCTCGAGTGCCCCGAACCACCGTGTTTACAGAAGACTCTTGACTGCTTTACGTATTTACAACTCTCAGCTTCAGTTCTCACAATCAAATTCCAGTCAGCCAGCATCTCTTAGCTACATCTCATAAAACCACATAGGGTCAGAGCTGGGAGGGATTTTGGAAGCTCAGCCACCCAACCCCTTCATTGCAGGGGGAATGAAATGGAGACCCCCAGAGGGCCGTCATTTGCTCAAGTCCACATTGCTGACTCGCTGATTTATCATGCACTTGCCCATTTGTCCATTCATTTAGTAAAACATTTAAGAAGTGTCTGTAAAGGCCACATGCTGAGGCAAATATGAATAAGGCATGAGGAACGGACTTGAGGAACACACATGCTAGTGCAAGAGACTTAGAGATGTTTAGAACCCATGGCCAGTGCTATAATCCTGACAAGAGCAAAGCAAGGAGGAAGGAGGTAACTTTGTCTTGAGGAGCCAGGGAAGACCTCACAGAGCACATCTCTTTTGACGTGGGTCTTAAAAGATGAGTAAGAGGTCGGCCAGGTTGACATGAAGCAAAGGTGCTCCAGGCAGGGAGAAGAACAAAGCAAGCCAAGAATCATAGACGTCAGAAGCACATCGTGGTCTGAGGGTCCCCGGCTGGGAAGGATGGGAGGTGAGCCCACAGAGGAAGGTAGGGGTCAGATTGTGAAGGTCCAGGTGTCCCCTGCTAAGGCAACCATTAGTTGGGGGAGGTCTTTAGTCAGGAAGTGACCGGATTTAATTTTTTCCCTTAGTAGATACAAAAACATCTATGGTGGTGTGGCAGACGACATGGAGTATAAAAGGTGAATTGTAGAGAGACAAAAAAATGATCAATACTCAAATCCTGATGGAGTCCTGCATTATTTGATGGTAATGGATTTGCAGGAGGGGGATCTGATTTGGAAGGAACACGTGAGTAGAATGCACAGGAGTTGGCAACCAATTGGTTTTAGGGGACGAGAGAGAAGGAAGAGAGGATGACTAACATTTTTAGCCTGATGGCATCAGGTGAGAAGGGCTGCAGAGGGAGGAGTGGATATGAGTGGAGAATGGAGGGGGAGATGCTATGTCCCAGTTGGTCACAGTCCTTCCAGGGGGAGAGAGGCAGCAGGTGCTGGAGACTGGAGTCTGGATGTTGAGGTCTGTGCAATCACACCAGAAGTAGATGTGTCCAGGCTGGAACCCCAGGTGACATTCACTGATTCCTAGACGTATGTTATACTCCATACCAACATGCTGCTCCCTGCCCTTCCTCTAGCTGGCTTCCAGTTCTCACTGGATGCTCAGTGGAGTGGAGGTAATGAACTAAATGGTTTCTCTCACTCCAGTCAAGACCAAGGAGTCTTTGTTGTTGGGTTTTTTTTCTCTCAAGTCGTTTCCCAGGACTGATGTTACCCCAGGACTCCAGGGGGAAGGCCTGTCAGATGGCGTTTATTTATTTAATGAAAAGAACTTAATAATTTGGTTTTGTTTCCCTTTGGTTCTTTATTTTTCTTTCTACCCCCTTCTTCTTCCCTGGGCTTTGCAGGGCGGAAAATGGGTCAGCAGCTTGTCCAAAACATTCTTGAGTGTTTAATTCTTCAGCTGTTTTACAAGCCTGCCTGGTTTATGTAGCTAATCTCTCTTCTGTTTGTCCCTGGAGGAATGTGTGTATGTGTGCGTTGAGGGGTGAGCAAGGGGTAGGTGGCTGTGGCAGGGCCCTGTTTGGTGAAGAGAACTGAAAGTATAATACAGTGTGGAGCGCCTCCTCTGTCTGTTTATTCCTGGGTCTGGGTTTCTGTGTACACCCTCTGTGCTTTCTTGCTCAGTCTGGGGAACTTGGCAAGGAGGTTTGTCTCAAGGTTTGCTGTGAGGTTTGAAGACACTTTGAAAGGTGTGGAGAGACATGATTCCAGGGTTTGGTCATTTGTGGGCCTCCTTGTGTCCAGAAGAGTCTCATTTTATCCAAAGCAGATAGTAAGTAGCTACGTGCTCAGGAATGAGAGTTATTCCCAGGCTGCCTCTTTCGTCCTTGGGAGACACTGACTACTATGGAATTGTCTGCTGACTGGAGTCTCCAGCTCCCTACTGCAGTTCTCCAGGAAGAACTGTAACCAGCTCAGACACAGCATTCTTCTTTATTCCTTGGCCTAACAGTGGCCCTCTCCACCAGCCTATCCAGCTAAACATTTTCACTGGAACTCTTGATCGAGGTGCAATAGAATGGGTACAAAAGCAGGGGACCAGGCCTTGGAATTCAGGAAAACATGAGTGGTGCAGGCCTGTTTGCCTCT
This sequence comes from Homo sapiens, assembly GCF_000001405.40. Lineage (NCBI taxonomy): Eukaryota > Metazoa > Chordata > Mammalia > Primates > Hominidae > Homo > Homo sapiens. Next base: position 130,624,720 of record NC_000011.10, read on the forward strand.
ATCAGAAAATAGGATGACTGTGAGTCTGAAGGCTCCCCAGTGTCTTGGATTTTATCTTAGGAAAGTATGTAGATTCCTAATGGATTGAAACTGGTAACAGAGTAGCTTTCATGCTTCCTAGGTGCTAGGCACTGTGAAGGCTCATACACATCACTTAAATTTATCAAAGCTTTATAGAAATGCATTGATCATGATCATCATCATGACTATTTACATTCTACAGATGAGGAAACCGAGGGCGTGAGGGTTAAATAATGTGTCCATGAAGGTTCCAAGTGCAGAGCTGCGGCTGGATTCCCTCGACCCCATGCTGCCGCACGGTGTGATTTTTACAGCATTCCCTCATACACTTGCGTATCGTATTCCCCACCACAAAAATGTCAGGTCAGGCTAGGTATGATTATCCCCTTTTGACAAGCGAGGAAACTGTGGCTAAGAAAGGTTAAGTGGCTTGGCCAGAGCCACAGAGCTAATTAGGATATGCAGACTTAGATCTTGGTCTCCTGATTCTTAGTCCAGACTTTCCCCTCCAAGCTGCCGGCTCCTTCTCGTCACTGCTGTACTCAATCTTATTCTTGGGTCTGGTTTTCTGAAGGTTGGAAAGTTCCCCTGTTTTAATCTCCAATCTTAAAGTGTAACTTAAAGAGCCCCAGAGAAAACGAATCAACTGCTGCGCTTTCCATCAAGGCTACAAAGTCTACCCCAGAGTTAATTGGACAGTTATTGTATATAAAATGCTAGCCTGATTAAAAACATATTTATTGAAGATTAGCAAGTCTGTAATAGCCATAAATCTCCTTCTTGGTCATTCAAATTTTAAAATATGTTTCCAATAACAGTGCAATTATTTATATCATAATTCTGGAGTGAAATAGAATTAAATGCATATTTGGAGAGTATGGATTTCAATCTGTATCCCTTACATAGAGAACCTGGGATTGTGGGATGGGACAACGGGAACAATGAAGGTCTCTTTAAATAAAGGGAGAGTGAGCAGGAGCATGAGGAAAGTCAGCAAGGCTCACCCCCTCCCACCGGAGCCCCAGTCCCGCCTGGGCCTCGGGTGTTTCCGTTGATTTTTCACACGGTGTTCACGCCAAGTATTTTCACTGCATTTCCAGATGTACCTAAAGTATTTCCTGGGCGAGAGTCAAAGCAGAAGAGGCAAAGTAGTCAGGGCCAGTCAACTGGGTCACAGCAAGCCGGCCTAGGTGGTTTTCCAACCCTTGCCTTGCCCAGCCAGCTCACTGTGTCGCTATTGAAGTGATGTACATAAGAATAATTATGTAACGGTATCGTTTTTGTGGCAACAAGGTTTAACAACCTCTGTGGAATTGTTGGCATCTTAGTGACAGTTTTACTGTGGCTGTGATCTTAGAGAACATTATTTATCATACTGAGATGGAATTGATGGCAAAATGAGCTGTTCAACAGATGGTGCTCCCTGCAACAAATGTGACCACGTGGTTTTACTCACACACTCCCATATGCCAGGTCTTACATTATTTATTCGTTCATTTACACATTAAGAGAACATTTACTGAGTGCCAATTAATTGCCGACTCTGGGCAGGGATTATAAGTGGGTTAGAATAAGCCACACCTTGCTGGTATGATTGCGGGTATGGGGAAAAGCTCCGAACTGTTCCCATCTACTTCTTGTCTCATGTATTCATTTACTCAACACATATTTATTGAACACTTGCTATGTGCTGGGAACTAGTCTAGATACCAGGCCTAGAACAGGAAACAAAATAAAGTTCCTGCTCTCATGGAGCTCACATTCTTGATGCTTGAAATTAGTTCACAGAGGAGTAAAATGTTGCAGTTGAACAATAAGAAATAAGACTTAAAAAGGTATCCATGCTAAAAAGAAAAAAGTAAAACTAAATCTACTTGCAGATGACATGATCTAGTATACAGATAATCATAAGGTATCTACCCAAACCATTAAAACTCATAATTGAGTTCAGCAAGGTTGCCAGATGCAAGATCAAAATATAAAAATCCATTATATTTTTATACACTAGCAATGAATGATCCAAAATGAAATTAAGAAAACGATTACATCTGCAACAGCAACAAGAAGAAAAAAAATACTTAGGAATAAATTTAACAAAATAAGTTTAAGTCTTGCACATTAAAAACTATAAAAAATAGTTGAAATTAAACAATACTCTAAATAAATGGAAAGACAGTTTGTATTCCTGAATTGGAAAGCCTAATATTGCTAAGACGGCAATACCCCCCAAAGTGGTCTACAGATTCAATGCAATCCCTATCAAAATTCTAGCTGCCTTTTCTTTTCCTCTTTTGCAGAAATCAACAAGCTGTTCCTAAAAGTCATATGGAAATGCAAGGGAAAAAGAAGGACAAAGGTGTAGGATTGACACTTCTAAATTTTAAAACCTGCTACAAGGGTACATTGATCAAGACTGTGTGATACTGCCATAAGAATAGATATGTAGATCAAAGGAATAGACTTCAGAGTCCAGAAAGAAACTTTTACATTTATGGTCAGTTGATTTTCAATAAGGATGCTAAGACAATCAATGGGGAATGAATAGTCTTTTCAACAAATGGTGCTGAGGCAACCTGATATCCACACGTGAAAGAATGAATTTGGACCCATAACTTATACTTTATACAAAAATTAACTCAAAAGGGATCACAGGCCTAGATGTAAGAGCAAAAATGATAAAATTCTTAGAGAAAACATAGGCATTTTTGTGACCTTGTATTAGACAATTGTTCCTTAGATATGGCACCAAAAGCGTAAGCAAGTAAAGACAAAAATTGGACCTCATCAAAATACAACCTTTCATGTTTCAAAAGACATTATCAAAAAAGTGAAAAGAGAGCCCACAGAATGGGAACATATATTTGCAAATCTTACATTGGATAAGGATCTAGTATCCAAAATATAAAAAAAGAACTCTTACAACTTAATAATAAAAAGGCAAGTAGCTCAATTAAAAATGAGCAAAGGATTTGAATAGACATTACTCAAATTGGACACACAAATAGCCAATAAGCACAAAAAAGATGCACAACATCCTTAGTTATTAGGGAAATGCAAATCAAAGCCACAGTGAGACATCACTTCGTTCCACTTGGATAGCTAAAAAGTCAGACAATCATAAGTGTGACTGAGGGTGTAGAGAAATGGGAACCCTCATATCTTCCTGGTGGGGGTGCAAACAGGTACAGTCACTTTGGAGAACAGCTTGGCAGTTCCTTAAAAAGGGAAATATACAGTTACCATATGACCTGCAATTCCACTCCAAGGTATGTACCAAAGATAATTGAAGACAAGTGACTACATAAAAATGTGTACATAAATGTTCCTAGCAGCATTATTCATAATAGCCACAAAGTGAAACAAACCCAAATGTTTGTAAATTAATGAATGGATAAAGAAAATGTAGTATAACCATATAATGAAACATTATTCAGCCATGACATAGGATGAAGTACTGATACATGCTACAACATAGGTAACCTTGAAAATGTGCTAATGAAGGAAGCCAGACGCGAAAGGTCACATATTATACGATTCCGCTTATCTGAAATGGTCAGAACAGGTAAATTCATAGAGACAGAGTAAATACTTGGTTTTCAGCGGTTGTGGGAAGCAGGAGTTGGGAAATCCCTGCTAATGGTACAGGGCTTCTTTTTTGAAGTGACGAAAATATTCTAGAATTAGATAGTGGGGATGGTTGTACAACTTTGTGAATACAGTGAAAACCATTGAATGTTACACTTTAAAAGGGTAAATGTTATGTTATGGTAAAATTTAAGGGTTAAGCATAAATTGAATTCTAGTTCAATTTAAAAAGAATTAGAAAAAAATAAAATAGAGTTGAGATGCAAATACCCCCAAGAGAAGTTATAAAGGGACTGATATTTCACCTACTGCAGTATCTGATATGCAGTAGGTGCTCAACATGTGTTTGTTGAGTAAATGAATAAACAATTAAGTTATTTTCCCAGGAATCAGGTTCTGAAGAGGAAAGAAACAAAGAGCAAAGAGAAGCTTGAGGGAGCTCTTCACAATCCACAGGAAGGTGGGGGCATGGGGAGGGCTGAATAATGGTAACTAAGTTTTTTTTGCTTTTCCTGATTTTACCCAGGGCTGTCTCTGCATAGTCCTGATGTCTCTCTTCTCTGACCTGGTTTGGTTTTGGTCGGCAGAGTATACCTAGTGCCTGGAACCTAGTAAGCTCTCTGTGAAGACTTGTTTAATAAATGAATGGTTAAAACCTCAACAACTCGTCTGAGACTCCTTGGTAATTTAGGGGGAGCTAAGGCTTGAGAAAAGGTACAGATCCTAGGTGGGACAGCCAGATTTGCCATTTGAAACAGGGTCCTTGTATTGGACAGAAAAGTTGAGCCTCAAGTCCTCAGGCCATCTGCACAGCTATGTACAAGGCTAGGGCATGTCCCCTTCCTTGGCTCCTACCGCGTGGTCTGGAGTTAAGCCAAAGAGGGAAGAGGTATTCCTGCAGACACAGATGCTGCAGTTACCGGCAGACTTGTTCTGACCTACTGGAGGGGAAGGCCTATGGGTTCAGTCCTGTCTCTAAGCAGTGTGGTTGATAAAGTCGACCAGGGATTACTGTGAGGTGCTTTGTGGGAGTGTTCAGAGTTAGCTAGGTATCTCGCTCAGTCAGCAGTACACACGTATTTATGTACGGTTTCATACGTGTGTCATTAACGAAATTTGTGTGTGGGAGAAGCATGCATTCATTTATAATTCCTTACATACCTTTAAGGATGCCTTTAATAAATGTATTGGAATAATGTAAGAAGGACTAGACTTATTTTTTATCCTGCTTTGTCATTTAGCAAAGGTCTTTAGCCATGTTGCCTGACTTCTCCTGTAGAAGTTCAAAGTTTCATTTCTAGCCTTTGAATTTGTCTTTTTCCACATACTTGATGGAGAAGATAAGGGGAAAGAAACATTAAAACTAAAGTCTTTCTTACAATTATTACTGAATAAAATCAATATGAAATGAAGATGAAGTCATCTTAAAAATCAAGGTCATAATAATAATACAGATATTTTACTCTGCTGAAAACTAAGGCATACACAAGGCCAGAAAAATGGCACAAAAGAAAAGCCTTTAACTTGGTCTGTTCCTTTTTTTTGAGACAGTCTTCCTTTGTCACCCAGGCTGGAGTGCAGTGCCATGATCATGGCTCACTGCAGCCTCGACCTCCCAGACCCAAGTGATCCTCCCACCTCAGCCTCCCAAGTAGCTGGAACCACAGACATGCTCCATTGTGCCTGGCTAACTTTTAAAATTTTTGTAGAGTTGGGAGTCTGTCTATGTTGCTCAGGCTCGTCTCAAATTCCTGGGCTCAAGCAATCCTCCCACCTTGGTCTCCCAAAGTGCTGGGGGGTTCACAGGTGTGAACCACCACATCCAGCCAAAAGCCTTTAATTTAACTAAAGAAGAGATGAACCACCTCGGTCTGCAATCACGTATCATGTGCAGTTTTAGTTTTTGTGCTTTTTGTTTCTCAAATTCTAAAAGATGTGATAGTAGTTAACATTTTAAAAATTATTTATTTTCTTTTTTTTTGGAGACAGGCTGTATAAGACTCTGTTGCTCAGGCTAGAGTGCAATGGCATGATCATAGCTCACTACAGCCTCCAACTCCTGGGCTCAAGCAATCCTCCCACCTCAGCATCCCAAGTAGCTGATACTACAGGTACATGCCACCATGCCTGGTTAATTTTTATTTTTTATAGAGACAGGGTCTCATTATGCTGTCCAGGCTGGTCTTGAACTCTGGGCCTCAAGTAATCCTCCTGTCTCGACCTCTCAAAGCGCTGGGAGTAGAGAGAGGTGTGAGTCACAGTGTCCAGCCTAGTTAACGCATTTTTGGTACTTTCCATATGTCAAGTGTTATACTGATATTATATAATTTAATTTTCACAACAGTCTTATAGGTAGTATAGTATTGTTTTCCTTTTATAGGCGATGAGACGGAGGCACAGAGAAGTTAAGTAACTTGCTCAAGGACAACAGTTAGCAGATGACAGAGACGGAGTTCAAACCCAGGCTGTGTTCCCGGCACTCCTTTAGCTACTATACTTTACTGCCTGTTGTTTTATGATTCAAAGACGTGAATCCATGAATTGAGCGTGTTGTGTGTGTGTCTCCCAAAACTACAGAGTAAGAAGTAGGGTAAGAGTAGGGAGTGGGCTGGGTGCGGTGGCTCATGCCTGTAATCCTAGCACTTTGGGAGGTGAGGGTGGGCTGATGGCTTGAGCCCAGGAGTTTGAGACCAGCCTGAGTAACGTGGTGAAACCCTGTCTCTACAAAAATTACAAAAATTACCTGGGCATGGTTGCACATGCCTGTAGTCCCAGCTCCTCAGGAGGCTGAGATGTTGAACCTGGGAGGTTGAGGCTGAAGCAGCATTCTAGCCTGGGCGACAGAGTGAGACTCTGTCAAAAAAAAAAAAAAAAGGAGTGGTTTATTGTAAATGGAGGTAGGACTAATTCTTGAACCATATTGTGGTTTTGCAGGAGGTGAGTCAGATGGCTTTTGGTGAGTCAGATGGCTTAGTTAAGTTGACCCAGCTATTGGGATGGGTTGTGCAAAGCCCAGGCACAGGGTTCAGACTCCATCTTCTGTGTTCTTCTTAATTGACAAACTGCAATGGCTGTCTTCAGAGTCTTGGTTTTCTATGGTGGTCAACTCCTGAGTTCTTATGATGTCGCTGGGCACAGAAAAAATAAACGGAGAAGGTAAGGTAAGAAGGGAGTCCTTATAAAGGTGGAGCTGAAGGGTGTTTTAGGGGGACCACTCCATCTCTCTGTCTGTCATTCAAAGGCACAACTATGCCCAATGACTTGGAGTAGCAGGTCTGAGGGGCGTTTAGGTTGATCCCTACTTTCTTTCTTTTTTTTTTTTTTTTTTTGAGATGGAGTCTCACTCTGTCACCCAGGCTGGAGTGTAATGGTGTGATCTCAGCTCACTGCAACCTCTGCCTCCTTTGCTCGAGGGATTCTCCTGCCTCAGCCTCCCAAGTAGCTGGGATTACAGGTGCCCGTCATCATGCCTGGCTCATTTTTTTGTATTTTTTAGTAGAGACAGGATTTCACTATGTTGGCCAGGGTGATCTCGAACTCCTGACCTCAGGGTCCGCCCGCCTCGGCCTCCCAAAGTGCTGGGATTACAGGCGTGAGCCACCGTGCCTGGCTGATCCCTACTTTCCATGGTTAGTTTCCCAGGCCTTGGTTTATGAGCAATAAATTCTCCCATGAGGTTTGTCTTTTCGTTTTATTGGAGGACGTTTTCTCATAAAGTCCCTTTCCAGGCCATCAGAACTCCCCAAACTCTTGGGAACTGCATTCCATCTGCATGCCTTGTGATTTCCTTCCCCCCAACCCCCACCAGTGTATCCTCTTCTCTCTCCTATTAGTAGTCAGGATGGGCTTTGCACGACCCATCTCAATAGCGGGGTGAACTCTAAATAAGCCATCTGACTCCGTGTCAGTCTTTCTCTCTCTCTGTCCACCCTACACCAACTTATGATCCCAAGAAACTTTGTTTTCCTAGGGCTGCCATTTTGAAAATGTTGCTTCCTACTCTAGGAACTGCTTTATGAGTAAGAGACACCTCTCCATTAGTCCATGAGGTTAATAATATAAATCTATAGAGAACTTAGGTACCATCCAGTTAAACCAGGCTCTTAACGTAAGGATTGTCTTTACAGTGTTTATGTCAAGCAGTCATCTAGTGGCTGGTTAAACATCTCCAGTGACATGGAACAGTCAGTTCAATTTTTAGACAATTCTGCTAGAACCCTTTTTGTTATAGCAGAAATGAGATATCCATAGTGCCCACTAATGGGACAATGGGATGTGGATGTGTCTGTAAGAATGTGAAGGTCTTTTTATGGGTTTTCTCCATTATTCACCCCAATAGTTTATTTATTTTGAGACAGAGTATTGCTCTCTGTTGCCCAGGCTGGAGTGCAGTGATATGATCATAGCTCACTGCAGCCTTGAACTCTGGGGCTCAAGTGATCCTCCCATCTCAGCCTCCCAAGTGGCTAGGACTATAGGCATGCACCATCACACCCAGCTAAGTTTTTAATTTTTTTTTTCTTTTTTTAAGAGACAGGGGTCTCAGGCCGGGTGCGGTGGCTCACACCTGTAATCCCAGCACTTTGGGAGGCCGAGGAAGGCAGATCACTTCAGGTCAGGAGTTCAAGACCAGCCTGGTCAACTTAGTGAAATCCTGTCTCCACTAAAAAATACAAAAATTAGCCAGGTGTGGTAATGCGCACCTGTAGTCCCAGCTACTTGGGAGGCTGAGGCAGGAGAATCGCATGAACTCAGGAGGCGGAGGTTGCAGCGAGCTGAGATTGTGCCACCGCACTCCAGCCTGGGCAACACGGCAAGACTCCATCTCAAAAAAAAAAAAAAAAAAAGGTTGGGGGGTTTCTCATTTTGTTGCCGAGGCTGGTCTGTGATGCCTGGCTTCATGAGATCCTCCTGCCTTGGTCTCCCAAATTGCTGGGATTACAGATGTGAGCCAGTGCACACAGTCTATCCACTTTCTTTCTTGAGGCTACATGTTTTGTTCTTTCAATGAATGGTTCTTTATGTATCAACACCTCTCTTGAAGGATGATGCCTGGAAGTGAAGCAAGGAATGTTCTAGGTGTGGTCCAATGACATTAAGGACGTGGCTTCTGTGTTCTGTGTCCCAGTTATATATCCTAACAATATGTTATGGTATTTGTTTGGTAGCTGCATCCCCATGTGAAACTTTCAGGAAATTAAATCTTTACATTTTTCTCCCTAACGCTGCTATTTAGACTTATGATCTCAGATGCAATAATAAGCTGATGAGCAGAATGAGAATAGGACCTTCTTTCCTAGAGAAAGGCATTCTCTGTCTGAGTCATAACTGCTGTGCTCTCTGTGCAGGCACCTGGCTAGGAGAGTGAAGGCTTGAAGCCATGTGCTCTCATGTGATTGGCTGAATTACTTGGTCAAGAAACCAGAGTGGACCCTTAGCCAAGGTCAAGGGGCTGGCATAGCAGAGAAAAGGCAACGGCTTCATCAGATGGTTAGCAAGTTGAAAAATATGTATTTGCATTTGGGTTTGAAAATCAGGGTAAAATTTGTCAGAAGCCAGAGAAAAAATATACGGGTAGCCAGAGAACAAATACAGTGAGGAATGAGCAGAGCCCAGGGGCTGCAGTGCCATTTGTTGATACAAGGAAAAGAAAGTTAGACATAAATGTTTCCTCTCTGAGCTGATGTTGTTTAACCTGTGAGCATTTGGTGTACAACTTACAGATCTTGATACACCCTCATCCCTGAACTGAAGGCATCTGTTTGGCAATTAGAAGAAAGGTCTTAAGTATGCTTAGCTGGTATTACAGCACGCCACTGAGAAACTGCAGGGGAAAGAGAGACGTGGCTGTGTTCCTGAGGCCCACTTCTTGAAGTTTCCTCAAAGGTGGGAGACGCTGATTTCTTCCCAGAATCCTCTGGGCATCCCTGTGGCCAGAGATTTAGGAACCTTGCTTGCCACAGACTCAAAGCAGGAAGGCCACCACTTCCTAACCCCAGGGAGGAGGCTCTCAGTTGCTAGTGAGAGTGGAACAGAGGCTGCAGGTTCACCTGAATTGGCCATAGAGGGGAAGGCATGGATGAGAGGGGAGAAGGGCTGGCGTCTTCCCTTCTCAGTGGTTCCCTCTCCTTCACTTGCCTCCTTCTGGTCTCCTCCTTGCCTCCTCCTGCTGTTGGAGTGGATGAGCTGGGGGCCCACACCAGGGCTTGGCACGGCGGGAGGAGGGCATGGAGTTTCTCTAGACCTTGGCTTTAAGTAAGAGTGCTGACCAGGCTCTTAAACTGGGGATGTGGGCTAGTCCAGCTCACTAGAGTGGAGTCTTAGGTAATATTAAGGTAATGCATTTGTCCTGAGAGCATCCCTGTTTAACCTAACCGGCCTTTGAGCATCTTAGCAGGGACAGTGCCTGGCAAGAGTCTCAATGATGTTTCCATGTCTCATTTTTATTGATAAAGTCTGGCTTCAGAACCATCTTTCAGGTCACCTGACCACTTGCTTTCCTAGCACAGTGGCTGGCATCTACTAGGCATTAAATAACCATGGGTTATTATCATAATTAAAAACTAGATCAGTTTTCTAAAATAGGGTTAACCATTCTCAAACGTTTTGAATCTGGAGGACCTAAAAGAATCTGGGGTCGCATGAGTCACCAGTGAGGAACTGTATAGAAACTGATTTTGTTATTTTTGCTCCTGACAGATAGCTAAGCCCAGTGACTTCCTGAAAAACCCCACAGAGCGTTAGCAAAGGCCTTGGGAGAAGAACTAGGAACCCTGCCTCGTCCCTTGCTATGTTAGGCAGCAAACCCTGCTTTCCTTCGCCAGGAACAGCAACCCGACTGTGCTCCCTCTGCCAGAGTGGAGCTTCCCTGCAGAGTCAGGCAGGATGGGAACGGCAGATGTCAGCCAAATGGGGCTCTGTTTGAGTCACATCCTGGTAAATGCGTGTCAGAAGCAGGTGAGCGATGTTAAATTTCACACAAACAACAATCCAGATGAAAGGTGAGAGCACAGCAGCCTTGAGCTTTGTCTTTGTGCCCAGACCACTCTCTGCTGTGCAGAAAGAAAAGCCTCACGGAACTCTAGAACACCCGGGTCTGGAATTAGGGCGATGGGGACATGGGCATGCTCCTGTGAGTCCTGCTTCCACCGATGGTGAGACTTTGAGGCTCAAAAGAGTCAATAATTGCACAATGAGAATGTACATAATACCACTGAACTGTACATTTAAAAATGGCTAAAGCATGTGTATTTAGTAAAGACGGGATTTCGCCATGTTAGTCAGGCTGGTCTCGAACTTCTGACCTTGGGTGATCCACCTGCCTCAGCTTCCCAAAGTGCTGGGATTACAGGCATGCCGGGCATGGTGTCAGGCGCCTGTAATCCCAGCTACTTGGGAGACTGAGGCAGGAGAATCACTTGAACCTGAGAGATGGAGGTTGCAGCGAGCTGAGATCACGCCATTGTACTCCAGCCTGGGCAACAAGAGCGAAACTTCATCTCAGAAAAAAAAAAAAAAGTTAAATCAGTAAATGTCATGTTATGTGTATTTTACCACAGTTAAAAAAAAAACAAAAAACAGCAGCCAAGGTGGATAGCAAAGTACAAAACATGCAACAGCAATGACAGTAGCAGCAATGATTTGCACCCAGTTCTTAAGTGCAAGCAGCATAACGGGGAATTAAACAGCTCCCTGTCAAGGAAGGCTTGAGGAGAAGAAGGGCAAGCATGTGGAAGCCCCCTGTGAAGGCTCTCCCCATGCACACTTTCATCACTAGGGCCTTGCTCTGTGACTCTGACCTCTCTTCTTGCCCAGCATGGTCCCTGGGACCTAAGAGTCTGCCTTTCCTCACCAGAATACAGCCCCCCTCCAAGGCTGCAATTTTTCTCCAGGGGTCCTACCTGGGAGCTTAGCTGTCAACACCACCCTCTCAGATGCTCACCGCCTATGGCATCCTGCACCACTAAAGCTTGGGCAAACATCTTGCGCTTTCCTTTTCCTTAGTTAAGAGTATGATATTTGCAAAGGAACTTTACTAAAAACAAACAGGAATAGATGAAGAAATAATGACCCAAGTTACAAATTGCATAAGCAGAAAAGTAGCTCTACTATATTAAACACATAATCCTACATTCATCACAAAATTAAGTGCTTGACATACTCATTTTTAATTTTTGCAACACTCTGAAAGGACGTTGTTTTTGTGCTTCTTTGAGAATCAAGGGAGCTGTTGCTCAGAGGTCTTAGGTACACAGCAAAGCTAAACCAAGACTCGCACCCTGGCCTGACTGGCTCCAAAGTCTTTCTTTTTACCTCTGTACTGCTCCTAGGGTTCTCATTCAAAGGAGGTTCATAGAAACAGCAGAGAGCTTTAACAGATGCCACAGGCTCCGTGAGAACCATGCTCTACCCCTTGCTTGCAGACACATTTTAGGCCGTTTGCCTGCCTCTTTGTCTCTTAGCTCCTGCCTCATCAGTAAACTCGTGGGGGTAGGAGCTTTCCTGGCATTGCTCAACCCTGTACCCGTAACACCACAAACAGAGCTTGGCATATAGTAGGTGCTCATAAATATTTGTTGAATGGGTGAATGAATGATGACTGATCTCTCGGCGACATTACATTCTGCCCCAGCATTCACAGACTTCTCTGCCCGTTTATCTTGTGCTGCTGTCCACAGACAGACGTCCACTTTCAATTGTAACTCAGTTTTCAGACCCCACAGCCTTCTTTTTTAATAATAGTTTCTGGGTGACTCTATTAGCTCTTAGTTAACTTATGAGCTCCACCAAATGAGCTAGTCCTTTCGTAGCCCAGGTTACCTTCTTGAACTCTCTCTAGAACCACACAGACTACTGTTTACTTAGGTGAGTCATAACGGTGGTTGTGATCATGGTGATGATGAATAACTAACATTTGTGGGGCAGTTAAATATTCTAGGCATCATCAAGTGAAGGACTATGCAGGCATCATTGCATTTCTTTGTTTGTTTTTGTTTTTTGAGACAGGGTCCCTGTCTGTCACCCAGGCTGGAGTGCAGTGATGCCATATCAGCTCACTGCAGCTGCAACCTCCCAGGGTTAAGCAATCTTCCAGCCTCAGCCTCTTGAGTAGCTGGGACTACAGGCATGTGCCACCATGCCTGGCTAATTTTTAAATTTTTATTAGAGACGGTGTTTTGCCATGTTGTCCAGGCTTGTCTTGAACTCCTGGGCTCAAGCGATCTGCCCAGGAGATCATTACCCCTTCAGCCTCGCAAAGTCCTGGGATTACAGGCATGAGCCACTGTGCCCGACCATGTCATTGCATTTAATTCTTACCTCATCGTTGGTCACGGGTCCTATAATTATCCCCATTTTACAGATGAGAGAAACTGAGACTGAAATGGCCCAAGTCCTGCATATTTATTTCTGCTTCCAAAACTTGAAACTACTTTGTACTTTGCAACCTGAAAGTTTTCTACCTCCTACCTCACAAAATACACGGTCTTAGAAAAAGCTGCACTCATTACAACAGACCTGTGATATCACAATGCCCTGCCACACTCTACTACGAATACACCATCTGCACCACAAAAATCAGCACCCGCTCTGTAACAGGTGGGATATCCTTTTACAGTAGATGGAATGCCCTGCTTGGTTGATAAAATTGGCCCATCTTTCCTCCTTCCAGGACCTTCTACCAGCATCGCATTTCCTAAATCACTTCCTTTGAAAGAACACAGTCCTTCCAAAAAGCTCTCAAGCTGTATAAGTTTTGGCTGGACCCCATTCAAGACCAGTATTTTACACTTAATCTGCTTCTACATGGAGCAATCAGGATAAAGAGGATTTATGAGGAGTGCTTTCCCGGAGCCTGACCTTTCTCTCATGTTTTACCATTTATTTATAGTCTAGTGTCTTCAGCAAAGACATCCTGGGGCCTCCCGCTGTGTGATGCTATCAGATCACCCCTCGCTGCTGGAGCCGGTGTTCTTGGCTATGAAAGGAAGGGGTTGGGGCAAAGGCCAAGTACGAGGCCTTGAAGCTTCTGGCACCTCTGGGATGACTTCTCAGTGACTTGCTGTGAACTGCTCCCCCACCACCTGCCTTGAGTAGACTCTGGCATTCTGTGGGCAATTTTTTCATGATCCCTAGAGCCCAGCCCTGCTTTCCTTCCTACATGGATGGCTCACCTGTTGATGACCAGTGCTTGAATTTAGCCTTGGAGATGGAGAGGGAGTGATGGAGGAGAAGAGACGTTTCAGTCCCAGATGAATTCATTTGGAAAAATAAGCCTCCAGAATTTGAGTAAATCTCCATATTATTCTGGAAGAGTTTCGGGTCTTTACAAAACCCAGGTAACATCTGTGGATGCCCCATCTCTTCAAGGTCAAACACTCCATGATTATAGAGTGAAGGGTTTCCCGTGCAGTCTCTCCTAAGCCCCACATTCAGAGAGGCGGGGCTGCCCTCTGTGTACCTTCCTGGTGTCACCCCTCAGAGCAACTGGTTCTTTCCTCAAAAGAGTGTTTTCTTTTAAAGTTCACAGTGTTCACTTTTTTGTTTGTCTTTCTGTTTATGTGCTGCAAGGAGAACTCTGAATTCTGATTGCAATCCTACCAGTTAGATAGTTTTACATTCTTCCTGAAATTTTGCAGAGTTGCTTGTAGCATTGGGAAAATTGGACACCAGAATTTTTAGATCCCTGGGCCAACAAAGGGCATGGGCAGGGAGTAACCTGGTCTTCAGAGCACTCACAACTTCCCTTTTGTTAGCACTTGCAGACTTTCCCCCTTTTTGCAAGCTAGTAGTGTTTATTTTTCAATGAAATATTTCACTCATACAAACAGAAAACATAATGCATGGATATTAAATAATATAAAATAAATACTCCCAGACCCATCACCCAACTTAAGAAATAGAATGTTCCCCAGATGGTGAAGCAGCTTCTGTGCCCCCCCATTGGTGGTCCCTCCCCGCCAAGGGGATTTATATTTATTGTTTGAAAGCATACTTAGTAAAATAAATGCATTTTAGAAATTTGTGTGCATTTGAACTTCATATGAATAGTATCACATAGGGTAATTCTTTGGTGTCTTATGCTTTTCAGGCTCATCTGAATTGACGCAGGTAGTCATAGTTAATTAATTTTTGCCACAGAATAGTATTCCATTATGTGACTATGCCAGCCATTACTTACCATTCCCCAGCCAGTGTATAATTGGTTGTTTCCCATTATGCTATTAAAAGTCAGGCTGCTATAAATGTTCTTGGCCATGTTTCCAAGGCTGGTAGGCAAGGGCCTCTGGGCCACAGCCCTGCATTTTAACCATCTTCTGCACATCCTCTTCTTCTCCACTTGGGTTCTCTCCTTCTTCAGTGACTGTTTCTGGTTATTATCCTCAGGGACTGTGCTGCACACTGGTGGTACACATGCCTTGGCCACTTCCGCTTTAGTGGAATAACTAATGCTGTCATTCATGTTGATGACCTGGCTGAAACCCTGACACCGAATTCCTGCAGGTCAGCTGACCCACAGTGCCCGATCTTCCACCCTCTCCGCTGGACCACCCTTCTTCCCTGCCTCGAAAGCACTACCCTCTCCTCCTTTCCTCTGCCTTTTGGTCTCTGCTTTCTAAGACAAACCTTTTACCTGTCCTTTTGATTCTATCCCATGACCAAATTCCCAACTACCTTTCCCATCTATGTACTTTCAGTCTGTCATTTCACTACAAACCTGCTAACCATGGAATGATATCCCCATCTCTCCCAAATCTTTGTTTTTTTAAACCTTAAACAATCATCTCACCTCTGCTTTCCCTGGAAAACCTCTGTGCTGCCTTTCTCGCTGATACCCAGGACCTCTCATCATTTGACTCTCCCCCAGCCCTCTACAGAAGGTGCCTCCTGGGAGCTCACCTGAGGCCTCCCAAGGAGCGAATTCACAGACTTCTTATTCACCTCACTTGCTGAATGCACCACCTGCTCCTAAACGCCTCCTCCGGCCTGCACAGCATGTCACTGCTCTGACAGTCCCTTCGAACCCCATCATGGTTCGTCCTCTCTTCCTCTGTGTACTTCCCCTAAATTATACGTCAGAGGTATTATCCTTCCATTTTAACCTGGAGAAGTGGGGCTTGTCTGGGAAGCCTGCTGGGACCTTAGCAAAGGACAGGGTAAAAAGTCGTGTCATACTCAGGCTTGATCTGCAGACATTCCAGGGGAGAAATGGCAGCTGGGCCGGGCAGCCTCTTATTCAGATGGCTAAGACATAGCCTCAGGCAACTGATAGCTATGTGGGTGAGGGTGCCCCAGCCACTCTGAACAAGACCCCAGACAGTAGGTGGAAGGTCTGGGGCTATGGGCCTGGCTAGAGCTGGGCAGTAAGTCCAAGTTCTGATCAAGTAGGCTGGTGTTCAAGGCAGGCCGTGGGCTGAGCACATGAGCCAGGGGATCGCAGGAGGAAGCAAGACCCCACTGTCTAGTAGCCTCTTAGCATATGTGTCACAGTCTTCATTAGGACTGGCGTGGAAATAGGGCAGATGAGCCCGGCATTTCCAGTGCCAGCAGCATGGCTTACACCCTGAACTTCAGTGCTGTCAATTTCACGTGGGTGATCCGAGCCCTGGCCTGCCTGCCAGGCTGCCTGTCTCTCTCTTCCTCCCTCTCTCTTTCTCCAACTTGCAGAAAATTTGCAAGAACAGTAAAAAGCACCTTTCTTTCTTGCGGTTGTTTGAGAGAAAATTGGTGACACGGCGCATCATCAATCATTTCACACGTATTTTCTGCAAATGAGGACGTTCTTTTTTTTTTTTTTTTTTTTTTTTTTGAGACGGAGTCTCGCTCTGTCGCCCAGGCTGGAGTGAAGTGGCGTGATCTCGGCTCACTGCAAGCTCTGCCTTCCGGGTTCACGCCATTCTCCTGCCTCAGCCTCCCGAGTAGCTGGGACTACAGGCGCCCGCCACCACGCCCGGCTAATTTTTTGTATTTTTAGTAGAGACGGGGTTTCACCGTGTTAGCCAGGATGGTCTCGATCTCCTGACCTCGTGATCCGCCCGCCTCGGCCTCCCAAAGTGCTGGGATTACAGGCGTGAGCCACCGCGCCCGGCCCGGACGTTCTTATCTGTAATCAAAACACCACCGTCAAACCCAGAAAATTAACAGTTACGGAGTACTGTGATTTAGCTCTCAGACTCCATGTGAGATTTACCTCCTGTCCTAGTGAAGTATTTTACAGCAATGGGTTCTAACCGAGAATTAGTCTCCTCAGCCTTTCCCTGACTTTCATGATCTTGACAGTTTTGGAGATAACAAGTCCAGTTATTGTGTTGAATGTCTCTTAAGTTTGATTTGCTGATGTAGCCTCATCATTAGACATAAGGTGTGCACCTTTGGCAGGAATTGGTGCTGCATCCTTCTTGCCTACATAGGAGGTATACGATTGCAATTTGTCCCTTTACTAATAAGGTTGACTTCGATCACTAGGTTGAGATGGTGTCTCTCAGAGGGGAAAAGTTACTTTTCCCTTCTTTGTAATTAATGAATATTTTATGGAAAGTTACTTTGAGGTATTGTAAGTATCCTGTTCATCATCAAGCTTTCCATTTATTTCCCTATTTATTTATATCAGTATGGATTCATGGGTTCCTGTTTTATTCAACAAGTTATAATCCATTGTTATTTATGATCATTATTTATTTTGGTGCTTAAATTGTCCAAGATTTGGCCAGTGAGAGTTCCTTCAAGCTGGCTTTTGTGTCCTCTGGACTTGCGCCATCACTCTTTGTGCTTTTCCTTATTTTCTGGCAAAAAGAAAGATTGTTTCAGGGTCATCTTTTACTTTTCCTACCTCGCCCTGGAATTAGCCATTTTGCCAAGGAATCATGGTTCTTTTCAGTGAAAAAATGGCATTTGGAAAAGAAAACCTGAGTGCTAGATGAGTTTACTGCCGTTGGGATGTTACTGTTCCCAGCCCCCTCTCGGAGGGCAGAGCTAGACAATAAAAAAACACACATACACATATTTATATCTACATTGCAGCTAGGTAGGTAGATAGATAGATAGATAGATAGATAGATAACTATGAGTTCACACCTACATCTCTAATTCAAATCCACAGGGTTCATCCTCACTTTGTCTTTTGCTGTTGTGAGAACTGTGATGATTAATTTTATGTGTCAACCTGACTGGGCAGATATTTGATTAAATATTATTCTGGGTGTATCTGTGAGGGTGTTTCTGAGTAAAGTGGATGGCCCTCTCTGATGTGAGTGGGCCTCATCTAATCCGTTGAAGGCCTGAATAGAACAAAAAGGCTAAGTGAGAATTCACCTTTTCTGTGTGACTGTCTCTGAGCTAGAGCATCCATCTTCTCCTGCCTTTGGACTCAAAATGGAAATACACCGTTGGCTCTCCTGGGTGTCCAGCTTGCCTATTCCAGATCTCGGAGCTTCTCAGCCTGCATATCTGTGTGAGCCAATTCCTTATAATACATCACATCCTATCTATCTATCTATCTATCTATCTATCTATCTATCTATCTATTATCTATCTATCTATCTATCTATCTATCCATCCATCCATCTATCTACCCCTCTACCTATCATCTATCACCTATTGGTCCTATTTCTCTAGAGAACCCAGGTTAAAACCATAACCCAGCAAACAGCCTGGCTTCCCTAATTCTCAATATATTTACTTATCTGACATATCCTCCTCTGTGTTAACAATTTCCTTTCACCTGCATCACCTGGCTGCCCCTGCATGGAGACCCTCCTCACCTCCCTGAGGCTCTGGCAGCCATTGCATGGGGCCACATTCCTGCACAGAGGGCCTCTTGTGGAGCCTGGGCCCTGGGACCCCTCAGAAGGCCAGGGCACCCTCTTGTGCTGACACTGCCTCTGCCGGCTCAGGCTGTTGTGCCTCTGCTCTGCTGTGGGAGTGCCTACCTTGCTGCACTCCACCAAAGCTTAGGACTGAGTTGTTCAGGAAAGAAAGGGAAGGGGAGAGAGGGGAAGGGCAGGGAGGAGGAGTGGTGGGGAAGAAAAAGAAGAGGAACAGGAGGAGGAACCTGATTTTTCTTTTCAAATCTAGTTCCTTCCTTCCCAACTATTTATTTGTCACTACCTTTGATGTATCCTGTAGGTGCTTTAGAATCTACGTATCTGAAACTGCTCACATTTCCTCTAGTAAAACCTTTCTCTCTTTACTTTCCTTTGCTGCTGGTGACAGTATAAGTTAATTTGATTCTTTCTGGGGGACAATTTTGTTTCAAAAGCCTTAAAAGCCCCCACATTTCCTTTGACTTCCAAATTACACTGTCAGGGATTTATTCTAAAGAAGTAATTAAAGATGTGTAGAGATATTTAGCTTCAAGGATATTAATTATAAGTAAAATTGGAACCCTGCGGAATGGTTAGCCTCAGGGAACAGACAGAGTAAGTTGTGGTAAATTCATAAATTAGAATTCTAAGTAATCAGTAAAATAATGCTGAATTACAATTATTGATGTGAAAAATGTATATTATATATTGTTGAGTGAAGAAAAGTCGTAAAATGGAATAATCCCAATT
This sequence comes from Homo sapiens, assembly GCF_000001405.40. Lineage (NCBI taxonomy): Eukaryota > Metazoa > Chordata > Mammalia > Primates > Hominidae > Homo > Homo sapiens. The sequence continues at coordinate 130,643,877 of NC_000011.10, forward strand.
GCAATTAAAGTATTAGAAATATATAAGCATAGAGAAAGAAAACAGTATACCAAACAGGAATAGTAGCAATGACATTATGGTCATTTATTTTTATTTCCCTTAATATGTTTTCAGATTTTTCTTCAACAAACACTTTTTGTGTATACAATAATCAAAAGCTACAAAAAGAAAAAAAAACCCATGTTTTTGTCTTGACTTTGCTATTTCTGTTAATAGCACAGGCATTCTTGAAGTCATGGAACCCTTGGCATGAACATTGACAGCTCCCTCTCGCCTGTCACGGAGTCCTGTTCACGATATTCCTTGGGGCATACCTTTCTCTCTGTCTGCGGGCCGCCTCTGCAGCTCAGGCCTCGCAGCCTCACACCTGGACTATTGCCCCGGCTCCCATTGCATTACCTTGACTGAGCTTTCTGCTCCACCCTGACCCAGGCAGCCAGAGTATCGCCCTGGGGAAGTTCTTTGATCACAGCTTCCTCTGCCGAAATGCAGAAACGTTAGTGGATCTCCCTTCTTTCTGAATCTGGGCTGCATTCCTTAGCCCAGCCCTCTATCGCCTGGTTGCAGCCAGTGTTGCCTTGTCCTTGTTTCACACTCAGACTCTGCTCCCACAAACGTGTTCTGGCTTCTCTTTCTTTGGTTTGACATTTTCCTCCTTCTCTGGTCTGCTCAATCACTGGCCGTTCTGGAGTTACTTTCCCTCCGCCCTTGCTCCTGCCTCATTCTTCAGTGCCTCACTCAAATATCATCTCTTATGTGATACCTCTCCCTGTAGTCCCCACTGGGTGCAATTTTCCCATCTCTGAACAATGTAGCACTGTGTGCCACTCCCATTTTCTTCCTATGGAATAAAGATGTACCATCTTCGGCTCTCTCTTTTTTCTTTTGTTTAGGCCAGCTCTCTTCCCCTGTGGCACAGTCTGTCCACTCCAGAGGCCGAGTCTTCTTCCTTGGAATTCCTTATCCTTGGCTCATCTTCCTGTCCATTTCATGCACTAATCTAGGTTGGAGAAAACCAGACATTGAGATCATAAAATTTGGACCTGATCTTTTAAATTTTTCTTGAAATTGCCTACTCCTCAATCCACTAAAGTCTAGTTTCTAACCCCTTAGATGCTATCAACATTGGACTAGCAAAGGTCATCAATAAGGTGATGAAAAAAAAAGGTTTCTGTTTGTTAAATCCAGCAGACTCATGGGTGTTAGGGGCACAGCCCAAGTGGGCTTCCTCTGCCACTGGACAGGCTAGAGTCCAAGTCCCAGCCTCCCCTTGCACTGTCTCTATCTTGTGCAAGTCACATACGTTCTTCAAGAACCAGTTTCCTCATCCACTAAGTGGAGATAAATAATAATAGCACAATTTTTAATAATTGTAAAAATTAAATGAGACAGTGTTCATAGAATGTTCACACAGTGTTGAACGCCATGAAGTGCTCTGCAAATATGAGCTACTGCTATTATCACAACCATAAAGTTAAAATCGTTATACTGGCCTCTGCCTACCCTTTACCCTCACTGCGTATTGCAGCCCTTTCCTCCTGCGTATCCAAGGCACTTTATGCTTCAGTTACAGCAAGATGCAGATAGCTTCCCAAATGCACTCACTCTGCCCCATCTCTGAGTCTTTGTGCTTGCTCTTCCTTTGACCAAGGATATCCTTCCCCCATCCCTTACTTGCCTGGTAGACTCCTATCCACCTATTCCTTCCCTCTTTTGAAACCAAATTCATGTGTTGCTTCCTAGCAAAAGCCTTCCCTTCTCTTCCCCGAGAATGGGATTTACTTCCTCCTCTGTGCAATCTTTGCGCCTTGTAAATATTTCCATTGTTGCACTTATCACATGTTATGAAATCTTATGTGTTTACCTTGTCACCCTCCAACTGTAAAATCCTAGACTCCGCTTCTGTTTCGGTATTCAGTATCTACCACAGTGCACGGCACACATTAGGCCCTCAACAATATTTGCTGAATGAAAAAAACATGGGAGGAGGCAAAACTCAGAAGTGGCAGAGCCAGGAATTAAAACCAGGACCTCTTACTCCTGACCCCATGTTCTCCCGCGGACATCCCCCAAGAGTCACGGACGCGGTGAGACAATTTTGCAGGTTGTCTTCTAATGTCTCATGGTCTTGGATTGACCTGAGAGTGAGATTTACTGCCCAGTGATAGGAAAGCTTCAGCCTCTAGCTCATCTCAAAGGAGTTGCACAGGGAAGGGACTAAAGCGCCTCAGAAAACAGTGGGCATGTGGAAGGCTCTGAGGCTGCAGGCAGGAACCTCAAAGACCCCATCCAAAGCAAAATGAAAACTCTTTGTAAAGCTCAGTAAAAAAAGAGAGACATTAAAAAAATTGATATTAATGTGATCTCCAGGCGGTGTTTATTGAAACAATCTTAGGTTCATAATCAAAACAATGTTTTATCATTTCCCCTCCAGGCTGGTCACAAGCTACAAACTGGATCATTTGACACATCTCTCGTGCACTCGAAACTCAAATTGAAACTCTGCCATTTTAACCGTACAAAGTAAAATAACTTTTCAAAGCCCCACATATATATTTTTCTGATTCATCCTTTTGATATTTTACTTGGACCAAAACCCGAATTCACTTGGTTTCCTCCAAGCACATATTTGGGCTACTTCCATCATTGTTCTTGGAAATGATTTTTCCTTTAGACATAGTGTACACTGGATATACAACCTGGTCAACACCATCACAGGCCACAGCAGTGACTCCCTCGTGGGCTGTCAGGAGCATCCTTAAAATATTATGTCTCCACAAAGGATGAGCAACTGGTTAGTTGTGCAATGTTCAGGAAAGCGTGTGTGTGTGTGTGTGTGTGTGTGTGTGTGTGTGTTTATGTCAGCAGGAGTGAGCTTTGTGTCTGCTGGGGAAAATGCTGGGTAAGCATGTTTTTCAGAGGGTTTGCAGAATTTCTGTGGCTTGTTTGCTGATATGAACGAATGACAGAATATGTTTTGGGAAGATATGTGGGTATGTTTTCATTTATCTTAGGGAGGAATCCTAAGTACAGGAGACTTAACATTGGGAGACGTTGTGTCTCCTGGGTGGTGTTGGCAGGGGCTATTTGTTAGGAGAATATGAAAAGCTCATCAAAACTGGGCAAAGTTTTACTTTATTGTCTTAGAGGAAGAAAAATCAACTTGTTCCACTGGTATGGGATTTGACCACGGCAGCTTCCAGGAACTGGGATGGCCTGTCTGGGGCAGGAGCAGGGAGAATGGAGCCAGCTACGTGGATTAGTCCATTTTGCATTGCCATAAAGGAATGCCTGAGAGTGGGTGATTTAGAAAGAAAAGAGGTTGATTTGGCTCATGGTTCTGCAGGCTGTACAAGCATGGCAGCAGCATCACTTGGCTTCTGGGGAGGCCTCAGGAAGCTTTATTCCCAGTGGAAGGTGAAGGGGAGCAGGTGTGTCACATGGTAAGAGAGGGAGCAAGAGAGAGGAGGAAGTTCCAGGCTCTTCAAAACCCCCAGCTCTCATGCGAACAGTGAGAGCTCACTCATTCCTGTGAGGGGGGCACCAAGCCATTCGTGAGGGACCCACTCGCATGATCTAGACACCTCCCACCAGGCCTCACCTCCAACACTGGGGGCCACATTTCAGCATGAGATTTGGAGAGGACAAACTTCCAAACCACATCACTATGCTTTCACCTGAAGTCAAGCTGCCAAACTCTTTGTTGTCCCTGGTCATCTAACGAGTCCACTGGCATGTACCCCACTCCTTCGTGTACCCCATTTCTGGCCCAAGCTCCCTCACATCAGGTTCCCACCTCCTCACCTGCCTGTGGCTGATCTTTGCCCCTTCTCCCTTATTCTTGGTCCCTTCTTTCCCAGTTTTCTCTCTCTTTGTGGTTGGTCCTGGCTATCTGCTTCTCCTCTCATTGTCTGCTCCACTGCAATCCACCCCATGCTTTTTTATTTCTGCCCTGATTTTTCCTACTGCTTCCTACCTCTGTTCATCTTAGGCTCTGCCTTCCCCATTCCCTTACCTCCCTTCCTCCCCCAGGCTCTGGGTCTGTGTGCTCTAATGGGAGCCTAGGTGAAACACCGACAGGGGAGGACGACCACAGTAAAAGACTCAAGTAAAAGAAACACCATGGGCATGGTGGCTCATGACTGTAATCCCAGTGTGATTGGGAGGCCAAGGTGGGTGGGTCGCCTGAGGTCAGCAGTTTGAGACCAACTTGGCCCACATGGTGAAACCCCGTCTCTACTAAAAATACAAAAAAAATGAGCCAGGCATGGTGACACACACCTGTAATCCCAGTTACTCGGGAGGCTGAGGCAGGAGAATCGCTTGAACCCAGGAGGCAGAGGTTGCAGTGAGCCGAGATCGTGCCACCGCACTCCAGCCTGGGCAACAGGGAGAGACTCCATCTCAAAAAAAAAAAAAAAAAAAAAGAAAGAAACACCATGGCGACAGGCAGGAGCAACTAGAATCCCTTGAAAGAATTCAAGTTCCTTTAATGTAGACTGTTCCTAATACACAACGGGGTGATCAGAGCCAGTGAAGCCATACTGCTGCCTCTGGCTCATTGCAGTCCGTTTTTAATAAAGGCTACAGCTGGACACAGTAAGCAGAGGAACTCGAAGTTCCGCCCAGTGCTGAGATTCTATGGTTTGCAGGATATTACAGCTGTAATATTTTAAATACTTTAAAATCATGAATACGTATCAGTTTTAATTGATCCAGGCCTAATCTTAGCTAGAAGGAAGAAGGCCCGGCCACTATCTGAGCTCTGTTGAGCTATTTGACAGGCTTGCCTGTCCTCTTGGCACTGCTGCCGCCGGAGCCAGGGAACTCTAGCACACCCAGAACTTTCACGGAGGCCAGAGTTGCTGCTTTCCAATTCCTCCCACAGTTTAGGGAGGCGATGAGATATCGGTGCTCTCATTCCATGTTGCTGTGACTTCCAAACATCATAAAGCAAACTGAGAATGGCCCTGGCCGAGCCGTCAGCCCCAGCCTTGCTGTACTTCTGGTCCGGAAGAGACCGGATGGGAAGCCTCCAGGTTCTCAGCTAGGGTAGGTCGTATGCACCTGGATGTCAGCATCTCCTCTAGTTCCTGAGGGGCCTCCTTCCTAGGCTCTTCCACCAGAATCCAAGTTGCTACCAGGCACAGCACTGCATATATTTCTTGGCTTGACTAGCTTTTGCCCAAGTGTGATGGTTAATTTTTCTGTGTCAATGTGGCTAGACCACCATACTCAGCTATTTTGTCAAGCACATCTGAATGTTGCTGTGAAGATATTTCTCAGATGAGATTAACATTTAAATCACTAGACTGAGTAGATCACATGAAAATATGGGTGGACCTCATCCAATCCTGTGAAAGCCTTAAGAGCAAACACACTGACATCCCCAAGGAAGAGGAATCTCAGCCTCCAGACGACCTTCAGAAACAAGACTGCAACATCGACTTTTCCTCAGTCTCCAGAATGCCAGCCCATCCTGTAGCTTTAGGACTTGCCAGTCTCCACTGTCCTGTGAGTCCATTCCTTAAAATAAATCCCCCCAACGCTGCTGTGAGTGCACGCATGCATGTGCACACACAAAGACACACAGACACACACACACACACACACTATTTGCTCTGGGGGGCTAATATGCCAGGTGAGGCCCAATCTAGACACAGCACAAGGTGGTCTTTCTTTCATTGTTTAATTTATTGCTGCCACAAGATCCTTAAAGCAACTCATTGAGTGTCCAGGATTAAATTAGCTCTTGGATGGTTGACTGCTGGTAACTAGGAGCTATCGGCCTTTAGGGTGACCAACATCCTGGTTTGCATGGGCTGAGGGATTTCTTGAGCTGTGGGAGCTTCTAGGGGTAAAACTGGGAAACCTAAATAAATCAGTCAACCCAACCACTTCAGCAATTTGGGCAACTGGGTTTTTTCCATTCAAATGCCTAAAATTTTTGAGACTGCACCTCTGGTGTACTTACTAAGAAACTGTTGTGCCTAACGTCTCCAGATCTTGGTTGTTGATGCAACAAGCACACAACCCCTGTCACAGACATGCCATTTTAAGGCCCTGGTGTTGCATCCAAGAACCACTCAGAGCCTTACATAAACATATCTTCTAATGTCCCCAAAGCACTTTAATGATGAGTGTGCCTCTTGCCAGCAAGCACATTTACATGCTGGCTGTGGAGTATTCTTAGGATTCTCACTGCTGGCTGCCACAAGCCACGGCCGACCCTGCTTAGGTTCTTTTCTGTGCTTGGGAGCCACAGCTGTGTATCTCTGAACCCTTCTTTCTCAAATGCTAGTGCTCTGTGACTTCCAGTTTTCTGGCAAATTCACCGTTGCCCGGCATGAGCCCTCCAAGTGCCCTTCTTGTGGTTAGCTCCAAAGCTGAATGTCTGTGTGCAAGCCCCTTAATAGAATCTAGACAAGATCAGGCCTCTCCCTCTGCCAAACCCCTTTCTGTGTGGACACAGTTTCTTGACGGCCCAATCTGTAAGACTGGACAATGGAGAAAGTCAGCGTTTAAGAGGTTAATGCCCCTCGCCCGATTGCCCCACTTCTCTCCTTCCTGGGTGGTGTGAGTTGGGGCCTCTCAGAGACTGAAGTCTAGAGGGCCCTCAGGCATTCAGGCCCTCCGAGCCCAAACAGTTCCACATGGCATGTGGGTTTTGATGTGAGAAGCTGCACATAGGAGATGAGTGTGTTGCTATTTATCAGACACTAAACTCCTTGCTCAGAAAAGCCAAGCCCCTGCACTCTCGCCCCATTAGAGTTGCTGACCATGAAACATACTCATCCGCGGAGCCACAGATAACTGCGGGTGGAAGTTGAGACCCTCGATGACCTCTGTGGCAGGTACTGTGTCAGGCACTCCACTCTGGGCAGTAGATAACACCACCACCATTTTACCAATGAGGAAATGGACTCAGATTAAGTGGTATGTTTGGTGTCACAGTAAGCAAGCAGTGAAGCTAGGCTTTGATCCCAAGTTTCTCTGACTCACTCCAAAGACCAGAGTCCTTCCTCTGATGCTTCACAGCTTAACAACATGCAGATACATGACATGTTCCAATCTCAACTTCATCCTCTGTGGACTCAGAATTAGGATGGCGTGATAGATTGTTAAATATGACCACAGATTCCTCCCATCCCCGTGTGCATGTCCTGTGCACGGCAAGTTTGCTGTTTCTGCCACCATGAAGTGGAGGCTTACTTCACTCCTTCAAACTGGGCTTGGCCAGGGAGCTAGTTTTGGTGAACGTGATGTTAGCAAATGTGATGGGACATGAGGCTTGCCAGGTGCTTGTGCATTGGGACTTGCCTTCTCTTGCTGCTGCAGACCCTTCCTCCCCCACAGAGCAGCTAGAGGCATAAAGCGTAGGCAGCAGCTAGCACCAACTGCCAGGAGGGCAGATGATGCCATCTTAGACCAGCCAGCCCCCAGCTGATCCTCCAGCTGACTAGAGCTGCATGAATGATTCAGGAGAGACTAGGAGAAGAACTGCTCAGCTCAACCCAACTTAATTATGTATAGATTTGTGAGCTGATAAATCACTGGGCTGGCTTGTTATACAGCAATAACTGGTATGGAGGGTAACACCCTCCCTTGGGCATAGGAACTGCAGAGGTGCATGTGTGCGCACACACACACACACACACACACCATCCCATGTTGATTTAGCTACTTGGTTGATTTCACTACTTGGGAGAAGGCCGACCACTAAACGCTCAGAGAGTGCCCCACCTGGATGGCTGTGCCTTTGTTTCCTATCTTTCTGTCACTTCCCATTACTTTCTTGTTTCAGACTCTTTGTGCCAAAGTCCCTGTGTTGGCGGGGGGTTGGGGAGGGGGCTGGTGATCGAGGGGGTGGCACTCAGCATTTCGCTGGGACTCATTGCCCCTCTATAGGATAATGGGATAATGGATTAGTTCTCTCGCTCATTGTTGGGCCTTGCACATTCTAGAGCCTCAGACCTTGCAAGAATTCACTGTTTTTCCTTCTTTCCGTTAAGCTCTGGGTTCAGCGGTTTTTGCTGGGTTTTGGGGAGGAGAGGATAGTGGGAGTGACAGGAAGATAGACTCTGATTTCCCCATGAACGAGGATGAGATGAGCTAGAAAATGATGAAGAACTTCCACTCCAGGGTAGAGTTGATTTGTCTATAAGAATAAAGATTAATTTCTCCCATACTCATTCTGCCCTCTGCTCATCTAGTTTTTTTTTTTTTTTTTTTTTTTTGAGACGGAGTCTCCCTCTGTCGCCCAGGCTGGAGTGCAGTGGCGTGATCTCTGCTCCCTGCAAGCTCCGCCTCCCAGGTTCACGCGATTCTCCTGCCTCAGCCTCCTGCATAGCTGGGACTACAGGTGCCCGCCACCACGCCACCACACCTGATTAATTTTTAATAGAGACAAGGTTTCACCGTGTTAGCCAGGATGCTCTCGATCTCCTGACCTCGTGATCTGCCCGCCTTGGCCTCCCACAGTGCTGGGATTACAGGCATGAGCCACCGCCCCCGGCCTGCTCATCTAGTTTTTAAGAGAAGTTTGTATTCCCCTTATCCTTATGAATGTAACATAGGCCTTATTTCTTATGAATAAAACCCTTGTCTAATTAAGTTTTCTGTCTGGTAAAAACAATGCCAAAGGTATAAATGTCCCTTCCCTCCCAATAATAGACCTGTTGATTGAGTAGGTTTATTGTTGTTATTATTATGTGATGTTAATGCACCTAAGCAGTGTCTTAGATTGTCCAAAGAAAGCATCAACGTATCTCAGATTATCCATGTTTCGTACTTTTTTAAAAAAGAAAGTAAGACGTGGTTTGATATTTTTGCTGAAATCACCCAGCAACCATCTACAACAAGGGATGGTGAACTTTCTATAAAGGGAAAGACAGTAAATATTTTAGGCCTGGCTTTCATGTGGTTACTAACCGAACTACTACACTGCTGTCGTAGCATGAGGGCAGCTGTAGGCAGCAGTAAATGAATGAGCATGGCTGTGTTTCAATAAAACTTTATTCACAAACACTGGCAGTTGGATTGGCTTTGGCCCAGCAGTTTGTAGTTTGCCAACCCCCATCTAGATGTGGAGATTCTGAGCTATGGGCATACAGTCTTTGGGGTTGTAAGTCAGTCTTCCCAAGATGAGCTTTTATGTACACTGGGAAGCTGGTGTTGTAAGGGGCCTCAGATAAGCCTAGACTGGTATGAAATCTAGTCCCACCCTCTCATTTTACAGATGAAGCAATAGAAGCTCAGAGAAGTGAAGCAAATCACCCAGAATGAGGCAACAGAACTCATGCTCCTGACACTGAGCCAGGGCACAGCAGTTGCTACATACTTTCTTTGAGTACTTCCAGTATGTTTCCAAGAGCTTTAACAATAATAACACCTAACATACAGATGTTTGCCAGTTTATCATTTAGAATGGTGAGAAAATATATCTTGTTTTATATATGAACAAATTGAAGCTCATAGACTTTCAGTGACCTGCCAGTGGATTCAGCTAGTCATGGATCTAGACACAGACCCATGCCTTTGGACTCTAAGGCTGGCACTATTGTGCTGTAGAAACACGTTCTATAGATAATGCCTCAGCTGCAGAACAGAAGAAGTAGAGAGAAACTGGTAACTTGCCATTGACTCGGTAGCTTTGGTTCTGAATGTATTTCTGGGTAGAGCAATAGAGGGGATCCCTCTTGGTTCCGTCTTTGAAGATTTGATGCTGTGAATTTGGACCTGGCCTGGCAGCAGATCTTAAAGTGACCCCTGCTCTTGAAGTTAAGGATCTCTAGTACTTCCTGGTGCTGCCCCATTAAATGCAAGAATCTGGCATCTACGTAAAACTTTTTTTTTTTTTTTGCATACGTTTTCAGGGATTAGAGAATGCAAGGCACTTGCTGAATAGTGGTCATTAGGTATGGAATAATTCAGGTAGACAAGCTCAGCTTTAGAGATGCTCCCTGCAGCTTTTTTCCTCCCGGGGGAGAGAGGTGGAGAGTAACTGTGTCTTGGTGGTCAGGTACACCTAGCACAGTACAGGGTGCACAGACAGCAGGACACTGCCTGGTTTATATCAGTCCCACCCCTTCCACCCTCTCAGTGACACTCAGTGACACTCTGCCAGGGCAATGGTGCCTGGCGACCTCTTCCCACTCACATTCCTGAGCACTGCTGAACCCAGCCCAGCTAAGCAAAGCCTGCCAAGCAACTCGGCACACAGAGTGCAGTGAACTGCCTAGAAGAATGCAGGGACTGAGGCCAAGGTCTGCTTGGCTTTGTTATCATTTATTTTGGTGTATTTATTTAATTGTATTTGCAATTTCTTCTTCATTTTCCTTCTTTGCTCTTGGATGGCACGTGACAAGGACTTCCTGGCATCACATCTAATTATACTATTTTTAAATTTTCCCTTCACGCCCCATCACTGGCAAATGTTTTTCAAAAAACTTGATGAGATTAAAACTAAATTGACCAGATGGCTTCTTTGCACCTAATTAACACAGTCCACTGGTGCCAGATTTCCAGGGCACAGGGACCCATTATCCTCATGCTTACTTCCTTGAGCTGCACCACTCTGTTCTGCCTTGTATATTTATCAACTCTGGAAATGGATTTAAGGAAATGCACAGGTGTTACTGAGCTAAGAGGAGTCTTGGGGCTTTAGGGTTTGGCAGAGAAATGCAGCAAAATGTGCTGGGAAGAGTCCCTAAGTTGCATGAAGGATCATCTTTTCATCTTCCAATTCTGCTTCCTAAAGCCCAGCTAACAAGGAGAGTAAATGGTCTAGAACTAGAAAGCTAGACCTGGGTTTCATGTTCTGTCCCTGTTGTGTTCATTGTCCAAATTTGTTAGAGGGTATGAGAATTTTCTGGTTAACACTTAGATTCATGCATCCATCCCATATTTTCTAAGTTCCTCTAACATACCAGACACTGAAATAACAGCTGGGGATATCATTACAAATAAGACAGGCAGTCTTTGCCATATCAGAACACATAGTCTATTTGGGGGAAAATATTAAAAAAGGTAGTTCAGGTGTTGTTGCAACCACTTCTTTTCCTTCAAATGGTAGTATTCCATAAACTATAAGGCAATTAAGAGATTTGGAGTATGTCTCTGCAATATCTTCTCCGGGGCCTACAGGGTCATAAGCCTCTCTATTGTTGACAGCCGTGAATGGCCCAGCATCCAAACCTGCCTATGGAGCTGCAGCCCACTTCTCCACTGGATCCAAGAAAGGAATACAGAGGAGCACTCCTTTCCCCACGCAACACAATGGGTTGTGGTACATACGTGACGTTCCTTATGGAAGAGTTGTGGTGATCTCAGAAGGAAACATTCCAACTCAAAAGGACAAAGCCTGAAACTGTACTTAGAACTTCCTATTTTATTACACAAAGGAAAGAGACTTTATCTTGGGCCTTCACAAGGAAGACATCCTTCTCCGACCTGGCTGTCAGGTTCACTTTTATATTCATGTGTATTTCTTCTTTAAGCCTCTCAATCTGCCACCTCTCAAATGTTTTCTCTGGAAAAATACATTTCCTCCACTGGCTGAGGCTCTAGGTTCTTCCTTTCAATCTTCAGTCTCAATTAGCATTAACTAGATGAGCACAGATGTTCACTGACTCTAAGTTTCTCAGGCTACACAGCCCATGAGTGAGTGTGTAAGTAGATCCTGTACCTACCAGTGAAATTGTGACCTGCTGGTTCCCGACTTAAGTGGTATGTTAGCTAAAGATATCACTCTAAGATAAACATAAGCTTTTCTTAGTGTCCAGATAGTTAAATCCCATGATGGAAAAATAATATTTCTGTATTAGCAGGCCTTTCTGGCTTAGTCCCTTGGGAATGATAGGACCTCATTAGTGGGTGAAAGGGCCCCAGGCTCTTTCCTGTTCTGATCAAGCCTGGAAGAATCACACCACAGTAACTTCAGTTTTTAATGGTTATTCTATTTATAATTTGGGAAATAATTACAGTTCTGATTAAATTATGTTGTTTTTAGTTTCCCTCAAATGGGAGGAGGAAGACTGCAAATTTGTCTCACTTCAACAATTTGTACAAATTATTTACTTACCGTTGTTATAATTAACCCAGAGGAAAAAATACAGGGTTCCATGATGTGCACAGCTGGGGACATCAGACATGATCTGGCAAGAAAGGGAGAAGGTTCCTTAAAGAGTTGAGATATAAAAAGTAACTAAGCGTCTTCCACTTCCAGTCAAGATGGAGTAATGGGGATTGGATTTACCCTCACACTTGACCCAACTACAGCACTGGACAAAATGTATGAAACAATGACACTCAGGACATTGACCATCAAGTGACAAAGGAAAAGTAGGAGGGGAGCCCTGTGATTACTCCAGCTTGCAACCTGCAAAAAATATTCAGGTCACAGTGCAGGTAAGAATCAGATGTTTCCTTGAGTTGGGAAGACAAAATTAGGAGTCCAGGGAAGCCAAGGCAGCTAGAATTTCCACAGAACAACCACCATAAATGAGAGATCCAGGCAGAGAGAATTCCAGAGATATTCAGGAGATTCCTGTCAAGTACTCCGTTGAGCGTGAATCAGGCCATGCATGTGAGAAATTATCCAAGGCTGGGGAAAGAATCACCTTGAGAGGATTAGAGGAAACAGTAACCGAATGTTACAGACAGTCTGTTTCCAAAAGCCACAGTTGAAAACCCGATTTAAGGGGCATCAGCTACAATTCTAAGAAGTGTCTTACCTCAATAGTGGGAAAAATTATCCCTAGGCTAAATGCAGCTCTGGTCCCAGCTAACGAAGTTTAAAGCAAGTCCTGAAAAGACCAACTGTTTTTGAGTAACCTAGCCACATTCTAGAATCAAACTTAAAAATTGCTCAATTTTTCCCCAAATCTGATTAAAACTGCAAAGCCACAGGCCTAAGAAGTTCAACAAATCCTAAGCACAAGTAACACAAAGAAAACCACATAAAAATGGTTAAATGTTAAAGTGTTTAAATTTTTTAAAACCAATTATGAAGAGAAAAATTTTAAAAGTAACCACTGGAGAAAGACATATTACATACAGAGGAACAGGGTAAGGATGACAGATTTCTCTCTGGAAACAATGCAAGTCAGAAGACAGTTGAAAAGCCTCTTTAAAGTACTGAAAGGAAAAAAAAGCCCCCCTAGAATTCTTTACGTAGCAAAAATATCTTTTAGCAGTTATGGAAAAATACAAACCTTTTCAAATATATAAAAGCTGAAGTAAATCATCACCAACAGACCAGAATTATAAGAAATGTTAAAGGAAGCCCTTCAGGCAGAGGAAAAGTGTTACTAGATTAAAAACCTCAATCTTCACAACAGAATGAGTATCACAGGAAATGGTAAATATATGGTTAAATATAAAGACTATTTAAAAAAGTTTAGTTATATTCAAACACAGTAAACCATTTAAGTGAAAAACAAGAACACTACTTTGGGGTTAATGACATGTAGGACGTATATAACGTGTAGAAAATATATAACAACCACAGCACAAAAATGAGATGGGAGAAATAGAAGAATAATGTTGCAAAGTTTTCACACTACACTTGAAGTTATCTAATATCACTTGAAGGTAGACTATGATAAGTTAAAATGTGTATTATAAACTCCAAACAATTTCTAAGCATGATGAAGGATTATTTTTTAAAAAGAAAAAAAAAAGAGACTGGGCATGGTTGCTCACGCCTGTAATCCCAGCACTTTGGGAAGCCAAGGTGGGTGGATCACGAGGTCAGGAGATTGAGACCATCCTGGCTAACACAGTGAAACCCTGTCTCTACTAAAAATACAAAAAATTAGCCAGGTGTGGTGGTGGGCACCTGTAGTCCCAGCTACTTGGGAGGCTGAGGCAGGAGAATGGCATGAACCCGGGAGGTGGAGCTTGAAGTGAGCCGAGATCTTGCCACTGCACTCCAGCCTGGGCAATACAGTGAGACTCCATCTCAAAAAAAAAAAAAAAGGAAAAAAAAAGAGATTAAATAGGATCAAAAAAATAAACAGTCTAAAGGAAGGCAGAAAAAACTGGGACACATAGAAAACAAATAAATTTAAATCTAACCACACAATCACCTTAAATATAAATGGCCTAAACCCTGTAACTCAAAGGCAGAGAATAACAGATTGTATAAAAAATAAGGTACAACTTTATGCTTCCTAGAAGAAACTCATTTTAAATATAAAAATACAAACATTAAAACTGAAGGATGGAAAATATATGCTAACACTAATCAAAAGAAAGCTGGAGTACTATATTACTATCAGATTAATGTATATTTCAAAGAAAAAAAATACTACCTAGGATAAGGAGGATTGTTTTATGACAATAAAAGGGCCAGTTCAAGAGGACATCAGAAATCTATAAATGTGTATGTACCTAATAACAGAGATTCAAAATACATCAAGCAAAAACTGAAGGTAGAAGAAATATACAGTACATGAAACTAGGAGAAATATACAAATCCAAAAATAATAGTCAGCTATTTTTACACCCCCAACTGTTAATAGTTGACAGAACAAGTAGATAGCCGTAAAGAAGACTTGAAAAACAGCTGTAAAGAAGACTTGAAAAATACTATTAACCAACTTGGCCTTAAAATTTACACTTATAGAACACTCCATCTAACAATGGCGGTGTACACCTCAAATGCACATAGAAGATTTACTGAGATATACCATGTTTGGGACCATAAAACAAATGTCAATTTATTTAAAAGGATTCAGTTCATGCAAAGTATTTTCTAGGGCTGCAATCAAATCAAATTGGAAATCAATAACAGAAAGATTTCTGGAAAATTCCCAAATATTTGGAAACTAACTAATATGCTTCTAAGTAACCAACGGGTTAAAAAAAAAGATATCAAAAGAAAAATCAAAGAGTATTTTAAACTAAATAAAAGTAAAAACAAATTATCAAACCTTGTGGGATGCATCTAAATCAATACTTTTAAGGACATTTATGGCAATAACACCCATATTATTGGAAAGAAGAAAAGTTTTTAATCAATGACCCCAACTTCTACGTTAAGAAACTAGAGGCTGGGCATGGTGGCTCATGCCTGTAATCCCAGCACTTTGGGAGGCCAAGACGGGCGGATCACGAGGTCAGGAGATCGAGACCATCCTGGCTAACATGGTGAAACCCCGTCTCTACTAAAGATACAAAAAATTAGCCGGGCATGGTGGCATGTGCCTGTAGTCCCAGTTACTCGGGAGGCTGAGGCAGGAGAATTGCTTGAACCTGGGAGGTGGAGGCTGCAGTGAGTCGAGATTGCACCATTGCACTCCAGCCTGGGCCATAGAGCGAAACTCTGTCTGCGGAAAAGAAAAAAAAGAAACTAGAAAAAGAAGAAGAAATTAAACCTGAAGGGAAATAATAAAGATCAAAGTGGAAGTCAATGAAATAGAAAACAGAAAACTATAGAGATAAACAATGAAACCAAAAGCTGTTTAAAGTAATCAATAAAGTTGATAAAGTCTAGCCAGACTGACTGGAAGAGACAGAGAGAGAGAGAGAGAGAGAGAGAGAGAGAGAGAGAGAGAGAGAATGTTATAGTATCAGGAATGAGAGAGATGACACCACACCAGATCCTATATGTATTACAAAGATAGTAGACAATATTATGAACAACTTTATGTCAATGAATTAACAACTCAGATGACATGGATAAATTCCTTGAAAAACATAAATATCCAAAGCTCACTCAAGAAAAATAACTTGAATAGCCCTGTATCTATTTTAAAAATGGAATTTGTAGCTAAAAGTCTCACGAAGAACACTACAGAGGCCAGGTGTGGTGGCTCACATCTGTAATCCTAACACTTCGGGATGCTAAGGTAGGAGGATCTCTTGAGGCCAGGAGTTTGAGACCAGCCTGCTCAACATAGCGAGACCCTGTCTCTACAAAAATAAAAAATAAATTAGCTGGGGTTGGTGGTGGTGTGTGGCTGTAGGCCCAGCAACTCGTGAGTCTGAGGCAGGAGGATTGCTTAAGCACGGGGGTTCAAGGCTACACTGAGCTATGATCTCACCACTGGACTCCAGACTGGGTGACAGAGCAAGACCCTGTCTCCCTTAAAAAACAAATAAACAAACAAACAAACAAATTCTTATTATTTATTAGCCTTATATCCTGCAAAGCACAAAATAGGTTTGAAAATAAACTATATTTTTATGTTGTAGCAATAGACAATCAAAATTAAAATAAAAACACCATTTACAATAAAATCAAAATACAAAATATTTTGGGATAAATACGGCAAATGATGTGCAAGACATGTACTCTGAAAACACAAGGCAATGCTGAGAGAAAATTAAAGAATACTCAAATGTGCCATGTATCTTGTTTATAGGTTGGGAGAGTCAGCATTGTTAAGATGTTAATTCTCCCTATATTGGTCTATAAATTCAATGCAACCCAATCAAAATTCCAGCAGGCTTTTGTATAGAAAATTTCAAGCTGATTTAAGAATTCATCTGGTAATATAAAGGACCTAGAATAGTCAAAACAACTTTGAAGAAGAACAACTTTGAAATAAGCCTTGAAGACACATTAAAGATTATTATAAAGTTAAAACGTAGCATTGAACTCAAGGGGGACAAATAGGCTAAAGGAATGTAATAGAGTCTAGAAATAGATCCACACATACATAGCATATGCAGTCAGTTGATTTCTAAATTTTATTTTATTATTATTATTTTTTGAGATTGAGTCTCACTCTGTCGCCCAGGCTGGGGTGCAATGGCGTGATCTTGGCTCACTGCAACCTTTGCCTCTCAGGTTCAAGAGATTCTCCTGCCCCAGCCTCCCTAGTAGCTGGGATTACAGGTGTGCACCACCACACCCATCTACTTTTTGTATTTTTAGTAGAGAAAGAGTTTCACCATGTTGGCCAGGCTGGTCTCAAATTCCTGACCACAGGTGATCTGCCAGCCTTGGCCTCTCAAAGTGCTGGGATTACAGGCATGAGCCACAGCACCTGGCCTAGATTTTATTTATTAATATATCTTTTTTTAAAGAGAATTTTTAGGCTTACAGAAACATTGAGCAGATAGTGCAGAGTTCCCATAAACCTCTGTACTACTTTCCGCTCACCACCCTACCAGTTTCCCCTGTTATTAACATCTTGCCTCAGTGTGGTTCATTTGCTACCTCTGGTGAACCTACACTGATACATTATTATTTACTGAAGCCCATAGTTTATACTAGGCTTCACTCTTAGTGTTGTATGTTCTATGGATTTTGACAAATAAATAATATTATGTATCCACAGTTACAATATCTTACAGAATACTTTCACTACCCTAAACATCCCTTGTGTCCCACCTATTCATCTCACTCTCCCTCCCCCTGAAAACCTCCCCTCCCCTGGCAATTACTTATTTATTTATTTATTTTTTACCGCCTTTACAGTTTTGCTTTTCCCAGAATGTTATATAATTGGAGTCATACAACAGATAGCCCTCTTAGAATGGATGCTTTCCCTTAGAAATATACATTTAAGGTTTCATCCATGTCTTTTCCTAGCTTGACAGCTCATTTCTTTTTAGTGCGAATAGATGTGCCATGGTTTGTTTATCCGTCCGCCTACTGAAGGGCATCTTCCTGTTTCTGGCAATTAGAAATGAAGCTGTGATAAACGATGGTGTGCAGGAGCCCTACTGATATGGTGGTAATATGTTGGGGGGAAGGGAAACTTTCTATTATCCTGTGACTGGATGTCAGTCATTGAGAGTCTGTGCTGCTGAGGTGTGACATTCAGGGGTGCTTCTCAACTTTCCCTTTCCCGTTTGGAGAAACAAGAAGGCTAGAGGAGGCTGGAGCTATTTCCCTTACCCCACATAGACAGCCACAGGGAGCTGGTGTTGGGGACATCCCTTCCCACAGGCCCATCAGGATCTGATAAAACCCCCAGTTATGCCCCAGTAGAAGAGGTTCCTTTGGGGGCAGGCCTTTGTTAAGGGGAAGAGATCACCCTGAACATATTTCAAAATGATTGCTCCTCTCCCCTTGCTGGAAACAAGAGGAGATTTTCTCTAATTTTCACTCTGAGATCTGGGTGGGGCTCCTGGACGTAAAACTTATGAAAGTGTGGGGCTCCCCTAAGAATGGGCTGCTAGGACTTTTTAGTCCATAGCTTGGTCTCCAGCAATGAGTCAATTATTGTTTAGGTGTTCCTACCACAGCTGGGGCTTCTGCTCCTGTAAGCTCTCATTCTGTGCATCTACCTTTCTCTCAGTTTTTGGGGTAGTAGCATGGCCTGTGACCTTTCTCTGATTGATCAAAGAAGAGTTGTTGATTTTCAGTTTGTTCAGTATTTTCCTTGTGAGGCTGGAAGTGATGGCAAGCTCTTTACAAGTGGAAGTTGGAAGTTGTCAATTGCTTTTGAACAATGATGCAAAGCCAGTCCATCCAGTGAAGAATGGATGGTCTTTAAACAAATGGTGCTGGAACAATGGGACACACATATTAAAAAAAAAATAAAGAAAGAACTTTGATCCGTACCTTGTACCACATGCAAAATTAACTCAAAATGGATCAAATTGATCCTAGAACCAAGCATAAAGCCCAACACCATAAAACATCTAGGAAAAAAGTTAGGAGACAGATCTTTACAAACTTAGGTTAGGCACAGATTTTTTAGATACAACATCAAAAGCATGATCCAGGAAATAAAAATCATTAAGTTGGACTTCATCAAAATTAAGAATGCCACCATCAGGGAAAAAATACTTGCAAATTACACAAAAGATTTGTATCCTAAATATAAAATCTCTATAATAAGGAAACAGACAATCCAATTGAAAAATGGGCAAAAGATTTGAACAGATGTTTTACCAAAGAGATACACAGATGGCAAATAAACATATGAAAAGATGTTTGACATCATTTTTATTAGAGAAATGAAAATACAAATTAAAACCATAACGAGATACAACTATAACCCTATTAGAATGTCTGACTTTAAAATCTCTGACCCCTACCCAGTGTATATAAGGATGTGGAGGAACTATTTCCCACACAGTATTGGTGAAAATGTAAAATATGCAGCCCCTTTGGAAACAGTTTGGCAGTTTCTTCAAAAGTGAAACATGGCCAGGCGCGGTGGCTCATGCCTGTAATCCCAGCACTTTGGGAGGCCGAGGCGGTTGGATCACCTGAGATCAGCAGTTTGAGACCAGCCTGGCCAACATGGTGAGACCCCGTCTCTACTAAAAATACAAAAATTAGCCGGGTGTGGTGGCATGTGCCTGTAATCCCAGCTACTCGGGAGGCTGAGGTAGGAGAATCGCTTGAACCCAGGACGCAGAGAGGTTGCAGTGAGCCAGGATCGCGCCATTGCACTCCAGCCTGGGCAACAAGCGACATTCCGTCTCGGGGACAAAAAACCAAACACCGCATGTTCTCACTCATAGGCGGGAATTGAACAATGAGATCACATGGACACAGGAAGGGGAACATCACACACCGGGGCCTGTTGTGGGGTGGGGGAAGGGGGGAGGGATAGCATTAGGAGATATACCTAATGTTAAATGACGAGTTAATGGGTGCAGCACACCAGCATGGCACATGTATACATATGTAACAAACCTGCACGTTGTGCGCAGGTACCCTGAAACTTAAAGTATAATTAAAAAAAAAGAAAAAATTGAAACATACGGGTATCATATGACACAGTCATGGCTATCTAATGATATCTCATTATAGCTTAAATTTATAGTCGTTTGTGAAGTGAAAAAAAAATTTAACTACTGGAAGGAAAAAATGAAAGAAAGGAGTAACAGATATTCATTCACACATCAGGGCCGGTCGCGGGGTGCGGGGCAGGGGGAGGGACAGCATTAGGAGAAATACCTAATGTAAATGACTAGTTGATGTGTGCAGCAAACCAACATGGCACATGTATACCTATGTAACAAACCTGCACGTTGTGTCCAGTTACCCTAGAACTTAAAGTATAATAAAAATAAATTAAAAAAAATCATTTGGCCATCCTCTTCCCCTAAGTTGAGGAAGGATCTTGTAAAAGTCCTCCAAGGATAAGTTGAAAGGATGTTCTATGGGATAGAGCCTAAAGAATATTTGCCTGCTAGGTTGTGTTTTAACAATGCAATTGCAATGTATACAGAAGTCTAAAAAGTAAACCCTGCTTTTAAAGATCATTGATATGTATATAAATCATTTTCTAAAATAAATGGGGACTTGAACTTTCCTACCTGCAATCTCCATTCCAAGATATGGTTAGAACAGCATTGTCCAAAGTGTATTCTCCACAATTCTTCTGCTCATAGGTGTTATTAAAAAAAGGTGAAATCTAGTAAAACTGGCTCGATGAGAAGTTTGAATATAAATAATCATGAGAAAACCTAGGGGAAGCACGTATTATGCAAGAAAATATACATATTCTAACCATGGGCTCTCTCTGTTTTTAGAGGCATTTTCTCAGACTAGTGTTCCATGAAATAATCTTTAGCGATGCCAACCTCAATGCAATTTGTATTCTGCAAATGCAATTTAAAACTGAGACCAGAAATCAATCAGACGTCAGGGAATGGTTAAGCAGGGTTCTCTACTCAGGATAATAATGATAAAAATGCTTACCTTTTCATGTTATTTCTTAACTTTATTAATCAGCTAGAAGAGCAGGGGTCTTGGGTGTTTTGTCAGCAGTCAGGGTCAGGCATGGAAACCTCTCTATGTGATCTGAGAGGGGGTGTCTTGGAGAGAAGCCAAGTGAGAAAGCCAGGTAGCCTGCCCATGAGAAAGCCTCAGGCAGAGAGGAAGGAGCTGAATGTGTGTGCCCGTGGGAGGAAACTGCATTTCTCAACATTTTTCAAAGATGCTATTGCCTTTCTACTATTGGACTTAGAAATTGCAATTGTTCTACATCAGTAGGAGCAAAGGTGAGAGGAAAAACTTAGAGGAGCTCCCTTGGTCAATGAGTGCAGAGGTTTGCAGCTCTTTATGGAGACGAGAGTAGGGGCAACTATGAAAGGTGGCCCTATATGAACATGCCCTTTCCTTCACTTTGTACCCCTTTTCCTGAGTGGAGGAGGCTGTGCTCTCCCTGGACTTACCCAAAAGAAGGCCTTGCTTGGCTCTGAGTTTCTACTTCTCAAGTAGAAAGCAGAGTCTGTTCTGTTTCTGGCCACTGTTCTCTCAATAAACCATATGCTATGGTTTGATGGGATTTTGCAGGGGTCCAGCATTTCTTTCCCTGTAGATTTTTTTTTTTTTTTTTTTTTTGAGACGGAATCTCACTCCGTCACCCAGGCTGGAGTGCAGTGGCGTGATCTCGGCTCACTGCAGCCTCTGTCTCCCGGGTTCAAGCCATTCTTCTGCGTCAGCCTCCTGAGTAGCTGGGATTATAGGTGCGTGCCAACATGCCCAGCTAATTTTTGTATTTTGAGTAGAGATGGGGTTTTGCCATGTTGGCCAGGCTGGTCTCTAACTCCTGAGCTCAAGTGATCCCGTCTCGGCCTCCCAAAGTGCTGGGATTACAGGCGTGAGCCACCTCCCCCAGCCCTTTGAGTAGATTCTAATAGCCCATCCTCTAATGCTTAGGCTATCAAATCGACAAGACAAGATGCAAGAACTCTACCTCATTGCTTACATAGGAGGATTTTTGATTTGGTCCACAGCACACACTGTGTTTGCTGGTTAAGTCCGTCTCAAAACAGGTTTTTTTTCCACCTATGGCGTCAGGTAGGGATATCATCCAATTAGATCCCAAGCCCTCAGGACAGGGGCTCTTCAAAGTTGCCATTCAGTAAGTTCTGGAAGATAGCTGAGATGTCACATGGGCCAAATGGCTTTCTTGTGCATTCAAAATGAGTTGAGCACATTTAGAAGCCCATCCTCCACTCATCATTTTTCTAGAGACAAAGTTGTGGGTGCCTCTGAGCATGAATTTCATAAAGGCTCATCCTGCACAGAGCTGGTTCAAGAGATTGTAGGAAGAGGTGGTGGTAAAGAATGATGACTATCTTGAGATCTGAATATGCCTGGAAGAGGCAACTTCTTTTGTCCCTCCAACTTAAAAAAAATTACGAAGTTCACTGGGGCTTATACAGGGAGAAGGAGGATCTGCGGAGGTCCCCGCTCCAGTGTGATTTTAATATATTGGTGTAGGTGCAGAGCTTGTGGAATGCGTCAATCTCACAGCCATACACATCATGTGAGGATATGTAGTTCTTCCTCCTCTTCCTGTCCCTCCTCGTCTTCCTTTTCCTCCCCCTCCTCCTCCTCCTCTTCCTTTTCCTCTTTTTCTTTCTCTTTCTCTTCTTCCTCCTCCTTCTTCATCTGAAACTATTCTTATAGGCAATCTGATGGTAGACATCTCATGGGAAACAGTGGACAGTGTTATTAAAGAGACTTATGGGTCATAGCCATCTGTGTGATTAGGGATACCATGGCTGGCGAATAATGGCTAATGGAAGCTTCTCCAGCCCTCACCTTGTGGCTTGAAGCAGATTCTTCCTCAACAGTGGGTATAAATGCCTAGTTTATTTTCTGGAGTCCCCTTGGACTGGGTGGGTGGGGATCCAGCCAAGCTAAATCAGGACTGGAACTATGACTTCTTTAAGTTTTACTACACTGATATAGAGTCAGAAACTAATGATCCTGACCTTCTCTGGGATGCAGAAAACCCTTCCTGTGGCCAACAAATTAGGTACAATGCAGGCAGGAGCAGCTTCCCTGGCAATTGGGTTGTATCTCATTGGATATGGCAACTTTGGATAGAGTGGCCTATTATTATTCTGTGGGACAGGCACAACTGGGCATCTGTGGGTAATGAAGGAGGGTGCCAGCCGTAGGAGATCCCTTGTCTCCCTGGTCTGGAGGGCTGCGGGACTGTAGAGGGCATGAGCTCAGGAGCTCAGGCCAGCTCATGGTGCAAGGCCTCTGGAAGCCTTCTCAAAATGGTATCTGATTTAATTAAGACTCTGGCTGAGAATCCAGAGTGCCAGGGCTTGGTGGGCCACACATCCTCTCTTGCAGCCTGTGTGTGGCTTTTCTGGCCACCTCCAGGCTGTCAGGGAGTGCTGTTAGACTTTTAGCCGCAGCCTGCCATCTGGAGGAAAGGAATTGGCCACTTTTCTGCATTTCCTGCCATAAATGGGAAAAAGTATGACAGAATTTTGAGGTTTTTTTTCTACCCTCATGGGGTAGAATGTTTTAATTTTGAATACTTGCACCTCATTCTACAAAGAATCTGAGGTGGCTTATACAAATGCACACAATACAAATGAGTGGAAATAAATAATTGAATGAGTCAGAGTGATGGGAAATACAGTGAGTAAAAGGAAGCCAAGGGTAATTTATTACCCCAAAATGCACACTCCATGGTCCTTGGTGTGTCCTGTGGTTGGGCCATATATTTCCACCTAGGGAGGAAGTTAAAGTCCTAAAATTTTGGTAAAAGCAATTTTAACAAAAGAGTAAACTCATGCAGTCCTTAAATCCAGAAGTCTGTCTTAATTAGGATGAAAAAAATTGTAACTCTAAGTGCGATTTTTTTCATTTTTTGTATTAATTTTAGTATGCTATTTGAGACTATTTATAATATGTGTAAGTTACAAAATATAGTATGATGAACATTTCTGAACCCAGCAGTCAAGCAAAGGACAAGTCCATTCCCAGTAACTCGTATCCACCCTCACTTCTGCTCCTAACCTCCTTCTGTGTCCTGCTTTTCTTTTCCGCACAGAGAGAACCACTATCCTGAATTTTAGAATTATTCTTTTGATTTTTTGTTTTGTTTTATCCCAAATGCATGCATATGTAAATAATATTTTGCCCAGTTTTGCTTATTTTTAGGTTTATTAAAATAATATCTATTAGGTTGATGCAAACGTAATGAGGTTTTTGCAATTACGTTCGCACCAACTGAATAAATCAAAGTCTTCTGGGTTCTTTCCTTTTCCATTCAACATCATGTTTCTAAGATTCCTTAATGTTCTCACACATGTGTGCAATTCATTTTTTTCTACTGCTTTATTATGATACTTTTCATGGATACATTGCCCCTTATCCATTCTCTGCTGTTGACTCTTTAGGTTGCCTTTAGTATTGTACTATTATGAACAAAGGTCCTGAAGTCACTTTTGAATATGTCTCCTGGTGCACATATTCAAGAGTTTCTCTAGGGTGGATACCTAGGAGTAGAATTATGTGGTATGCTTCACAAGATAATGCTGAAATGTTTTCCAAAGCAATTATACAATCTCACCAGTAAAGTATAAACCTTTTCAAATCCTTATTTGACATTGTCAGATATTAATTTTTGTCAATCTAGTGGCATAAAAACTATCTCATTGTGGAAATGCAATTGCGTACCCTTGACTAGTAGGGCAGTGAAGAATCTTTTCATGCTTTTTTTTATGGTTTTCTTCTTGTGTGAAATATTTTAAAAATGTATTTTGCACATTTTATTGGGTTTATTGTCATTTTCTTATTGATTCATGACAATCTTTTAGATATCTTCTCTTAGGCCAACGTTTCATTCTGTATCTCAGGCAGGCCATTTTATTTATTGTAATGGCTTGAATTTCTTTCTGTGTATTGATTACTCACAAATCTAAGTATTCAGCCCAAGATGTTCTTCTGAGCATCACACACATGAATCCAACCAGACACTCAACACCTTTATGTGAATGTCTCACAAGATTGTGAGGCTCAATATGTCCAAAATTGAGTTCAGCATCTTTCCACCCAGGCTGAATTCCTCCATTTTGTCTTCTATCTTAGAGGAATCACCACCAAAAACTCAGGTATCCAAGCTACAAACTTAAGTGTGGTTTTTGACTCTAGCTTCTCCTTTATATGTGATGTCCAATCAATAACCAGGTTCTATGGATAGTAATTTCTAAATGTCCCTTGAGTCTATTCTTGTCTCTGAATCCCCAATGCTGTTCCTTTATTCAATAATCACAGGCACCCCAAATTGCTTCAGGACCCTCCTAGTTGGACTTCTGGTCTGCAGTCAGCATACTGGAGCCGTGGAGATAGCTTTTTAAAACATGCCATGTGGTCAAGTCACTCCCTTGTTTAAAACATTTTAATGGTTCCCCAGGGGGTGGAGGCTGCAGTGAGTTGAGATCACGCCACTGCACTCTAGCTTGGGTGACAGAGCAAGACTCCATCTCAAAAAAAAAAAGTTTTAGTGGTTCCTATTACTTACCAAGGTCCAAACACATCATGGCTTAAAAGACCCTTCATAGTCTGACCCCAGGTCATCTCTCATTCCTCATCCACTGTCATGTCCTCTGCGTGCTTTGTGCACCAGTCGGACCCAGATGTGGCAGAAGCTGCAGATATGGCAGAAGCTGCAGATATGGCAGAAGCTGTCCTACCTGAAAAGATTAATAAAGAAATGTCAAGTAAAAAAACCACATACCACCTGTTCTCACTTTTAAGGGAGCACTAAGCATTAGGTACAGTGGAAATCAAGACGGGAACAATAGACACCGGGGAGTCCAAAAGAAGGGAGGGAGAGGGGCAGGAGTTGAAAAACTACCTGCTGTGCACTGTGCTCCCAAACCTCGGCCTCACACAATCTATCCACATAACACACCTGAATCTAAAACTAAAAAAATAAAATTTGGTTGGGTGCGATGGCTCACACCTATAATCTCAGCACTTTGGGAGGCCAAGGTGGGTGGATCCCCTGAGGTCAGGAGCTCGAGACCAGCCTGATCAACGTGGGGAAACCCCGTCTCTACTAAAAATACAAAAGTTAGCCAGGTGTGGTGGTGCGTGTCTGTAATCCCGGCTACTCCGGAGGCTGAGGCAGGAGAATCACTTGAGCCCGGGAGGCTGAGGTTGCAGTGAGCCGAGATCGCACCACTGCACTCCAGCCTGGGTGACAGAGCCAGACTCCGTCTCAAAAAATACAATACAATAAAATAAAGAATTGTTAAAATGGTAAAAGTCATGTTATGTATATTTTGCCACAGTAAAATAAAAATGGATCAAAAACAAACTTGGGTAAAACAGGGAATCATACAAAAATGACATATACATGTGATATGTATTTTATTTCAACTCAAAACACAGAAATCCATATTTACTCAGCAATGTCTTGAAACAGGGCCAAGACTTCTTCTTAGAATGTAACTTGATTGGTGTTTGGAATCATCTTTTTTGCATAAACCACACCAATAATTGATTATTTATGGTTTCTAATTACAAATGAATCAAGACTTAAGAACACTTATGAAGCAATGTAAGTACATAATTCTTCTACATTTTAAAAACGTTTCCCCCCAAAACTATTAGAGTTGTTTTTTCCATATCTAGTTTGATAGCATTTTCTTTTTAGGACTTAGACTCATGAAGTCTCTTCAAAGCATTCTACCTAGGATAAAAATAGCAACTTTCTTTTGTAATCATGTTTCATGAGTTTATATAATACCTGCTTAAGTCCTATAATTAAAATAACATTAAGTCTGGCATAAACAGTTTTGGGAACAAATACAGCTGACCCTTGCTAAGCATATAACTCATCCGCTGGAGTGGAAGTACACAGGCTCACCGGCCTCGCACGCTCCTGTGCTGTGTGTGCACTCGTCAGTATTTTTTTTTTTTTTAAGACAGAGTCTTGCTCTGTTGCCCAGGCTGGAGTGCAGTGGAGCAATCTTGGCTCACTGCAACCCCCACCTCTCAGGTACAAGAGATTCTCCTGCCTCAGCCTCCGGAGTAGCTGGGATTACAGGTGCCCACCACCACACCTGGCTAATTTTTTGTATTTTTAGTAGAGATGGGGTTTCACCATGTTGACCAGGCTGGTCTCAAACTGCCGACCTCAAGTGATCCACCCGTGTCGGCCTCCCAAGTGCTGGGATTACATGTGTGAGCCACTGTACCGGCCTTTTTTGAAAATGAGTTAATATAAGGGAAGGGTAGTTGAGAGAATGTCTGCTCTATTTGCAGTTCTTTAAATGTTCATCTCCATGTTTGGCTTATGTAGGTCCTTCTGCTCGAGAACCTCTTTCCTAATTATGTTTCCTGCTCATTCTTCTTCATGTCTCAGTGCACTCATCACTCCATCTGATAAGCCTTCTCTGAGGCTCCGGGACTCAGATGCCTCGCTTTGTGCTACTGTGTGTTTCTGTCACTCTCTAGGTTTTCCCAACATTTTGGGGCAGATGATGCTTTTTGGTTGGGTCTGTTCTGCGCCTTGTAAGTTGTTTAGAAGCTGGTCTCCCCAAGATGCCACTAGCACCCTTCCCCCAGTTGCAACACTCAAAAATGTCTTCAGATATTATCAATGTCCCCTTAAGGAACAAGATAGCCCTGGTTGAGAATGACCGCTGTAGATGACAGATGTTCATTGAATGACTGAAGGACCTTAGTTCTGGGATTGCTGCAGAACTGATCAGCAACAAAGCAGCATATAAATTCAGGAAAGTGCTCACGTCCTTTTTAGAACAGTATCTCCATCCTGTAAAATATATTTCAGTGGATTTTTATTTTGGCTCAGTGCTAATAATCTAGGAAGCTGTTTTTACTGCCTACAGGAGAAGAGAGTTAGTGGTATTTTATATAACTTACTCTGTCTCCCCTTCACCTCCATTTGCCATCTGCCAAAATCTTTGGCCCTCAGAGTGGGAAAAATACACTCTACCAGCCAACTGAGATCTACCAAGTGCATCATGGCCAAGTAAATATTGAACTCCCTGCTCCTGACGTTTTTGTGAGAATTGGTTTATATAAGGGGCAGAGCTGTGGAGTGAGGAGGGATGGGTTTGAAGTGCAATTAGACTAGCATCCCTTCCTATTTAACAGTCTTTCTGTACCCCATGAAAGTAAACTCACCAAACTTCTAGGTGGGAACCACTTTCCATGTCTCTGCTATCTATGGGAACTTTACTTATTTGTTTAATAAATATTTTTGGGCACCTAATATGTGTCAGACACTGGCTTAAATACTGGTCAATATGCATATGTTCACGTGATTTGCCAAAAAATCAGTTTCATTTATACGGTTCTTGGCCCCACCTTGAGCTCCATGCTGGGCTGAATCCTCCCTGTCATCCAGTTTATGGCTCCCACAATTTGAGAAAAGGTTGGGAGGTGATTCAGAGACAAAGAAGTGGTTAAAAGGCTGGCTGTGTCTGTTGAGGAATTACAGAGAACACCCACTGGGGCTGTCTTCTGAGGGAGAATCAGCATGAGGTGCATGTCTCATCTAGAAAAAGGGTCTCATACAGATTTTCAGAGCTTGGTTCTCCAAGTCCACGCGGCATAGAGAAGTGTCAGGCGTGAGGGAAACAGGTGAGACGTGGCAGAGCACTTCCTGACATACCTGCTGTCTCCCACCGAGTGAGGGGTGGTTCCCGGACCCACCCTGTGACCGGGCACTGGCTGCCTTGCCATGTGTGTGCTGGCACCTTGGGCTTCAGGGCCTGGGGAATTGTCATGGCAAATCCCTACCTGATAAAACTGCTGGGGGGAAAACAGGCTTTGATGCACATTCCCAGGACTCACTGCTGAGGATTGTGATTTTTTCCTGTGAGCTGTTGGCAGAAGCAGGCTCTATGACTAACCTCAGAAGGGCAAGGGAGCTTTCTGTTAACTGATCGCCTGCAGAGGATCAGAGAGGAATTCCTGCTGGACTCCCTGCTCTGGTCCACCCTGGCCTCGTTTTCCATCTCTGGATCCTTCCAGCCGTGCAAACATACACAGTGTTGCCATGGCGACTCTGGGACAGACACATGCATGAGAGAAAAGCGTGAGGCAAAATCTCTCCTCTGATGATTTGCTGGGAGGGAAGGAGGCCTTGAACAGGTTTCAAAAGCACCTTGTTTCACCCCCTGATTTTCACATGAGAGCGGCTACCCCAGCCATAAACACAGTGGCCTCTTTTCTTCTGCTTTGCTTGCTGAGGCGACTGCAGCTCTGGGAGACCTGAAGAGGCTCCAGGATGAAAGAGCCTCCCACCCTTAAACCCACCCATAGAATGGGTTGCCAGTCATCAGGTGGGGACACCATTGGATGGTGGATGATCAGGGCTGTCCCTGGTTATTAAACTCATTATGCTTTCACCAGGACCCCTCACTTGTCCTTGTGAGTTTCTGACATGGTCCTCCTCTGTCTCTTCCTCGCCAGCTTGGCTGCCACCCCTCGGGCTGGGGTCACTGGGGCATGGCCCACCAGCGGCCTCTCCATTCTGGCCCAGCTCCAGCCGTCCTGTGAGCTCAGGTGGACTCAGCTTTCCAGGTCATCTTGGAGGGATCTGGTCATGACCACATCACTCTGGAGTCTGGCTTATTTCCAGCATTTTTCCCAGGTGAAATCAGGCTTAAATGAATATTATGCAGTGACAGGAAAAACAGCTGCTGCCTGAAGAACACACACAGCAGAAGAGAAATGATGGTGGCGATGGAGGTGGGGTAGATGTTCAGTGGGAGGCCCTGGAGGCGGGGGTGGGGTTGGGGGAACAAGGGTAGGGTTTGTCAGCCCCCACCATGCTGGGTGTGTCCCAAATGCCTGTTCTGACTACTTGGTAATGTTTTTTGGGTGCTGTGCTGAGAAAGCCTGCGAGGCTGCATGAGGTTCCGCAGTAGAGAGCCCTGGTGCTCCATGACCAATGCCTGTGACTGGTGCAGCAAGAGGGACGTTCCTCTGCTGAAATGAATGAGTGCATCTTCCCTGAAGGTGGGTGTGGAGAAAGTCCATCACCAGGGTCCTGTTTGGAGGAGAAGCAGCAGATCTGAATGAATCAACTTTCATCAAGTCACCCCATGGTTCTAGGAGAGCCAGTCCACTTTGTCATCAAGCTCCAAATTCCCTGGCTGGCACTTTCGGCCTCTGCTTTGACCTGGCTCAGAGAAATTTCAGCTCCTGTTCTCAGCATGCCCCTCCTGCTGTGGTAGGGCATGTTGCCTTCTTGGTCCTTGAAGGTAGCACCCAACACCTGTTTCCATGCTCTAGTCCAAGGCCTGCTCTCCTTCCTCTGGCTTCCTGACATCCCTTGCATTGAAGGCCAAGTTCAGGACCATGTCCTCCACACACCTTGTGGACAGCTCCACCCGTGGTGGTCTCTCCTCTTCTGCCCTTTTCTCTGTAGTCTGTGCATTCCAGATCAGCACATGAGCTCTCTCCCCTGGCCTCCTTTGTGTTAGGCACAGATGGGAATCCAGGGCAGAGATGATGTTCTGCCCTTACTACCTTGCAGCAGACAGGATCAGACTTGTGGGACCTGCTTGGTTACCTACCACCTGCTGAGATTCTATTTTCTTTTATAATTTTATATTGTACATGTAGCACACTCTTGGTTGCTTACCCAGTGTGCGTTCCTCTTCTCTGCCTTGGTCACAGAACCCAATTTTATTTCAGTTAGTGTGATGCCCCGTTAAAAGGTATCCTTTCCATTTTATTATAAAGCTAAGAGTTAACATTGAAATGTGAGCAAACATGGACAGAGATGGATGTGTTACACATGTTTTCTCCCAATGTGTAGCTTGTCTTATTTTCTTAACAATGTTTTCCAAAGACTAAAAGCCTTTCATTTTGATGAAGTCCAATTTATCGCTTTTCTCTTTTCTAAGTCATGTTTTCTGTGTCATATCTAAGAAGACTCTGTCTGACCCATAGTCACAAAGATTTTCTTCTAGGGTTTTTGTAGTTTTAGCACTTAGTTGTAGGCCTATGATCCATTTTAAGTTAATGTTTAGATATGGTGTGTGGTAAGCATCAAGGTTCAATTCTTTTTCTTAATGTATTATTGTTATTATTTTTGAGACAGAGTATGGCTTTATTGCCCAGGCTGGAGTGCAGTGGTGCAATCACAGCTCACCGCAGCCTCAACCTCCCATTGTATTTTTGTTTTTGCAGTTGTTCCAGCACGATGTATTAAAATAACCCGGAGTTTAACCTAGCATTAGAGACCTCTGTGGATTTGCTTAGGGAGCTCCAGAACAGTTGAAGTGGCATGGAACTTTTTGTGTGTATGTGCTCGTGTGATTTGGGGATGGAAGGATGGTGGAAGTGGAGATGACTCACAGCTTTCACCAGATTCTGGAAGATGCCCTGTCTCCCAGAAGCTTAAACATCTCCACTGTAATGTAACAAGGCCTTTTTCTTCACCTCACTGAACAAAGGGAGCTACAGAGGGGAGAAAGGGATGTCAAAGACTGCGTGTGAGCTGCTTTTGAGTTCCTGGGAAGAAAACAATATGAACTTTGGGGAGTAAGCCTGTACAAACATACACAAATTATTCTTAATAATAGCATTAAAGCCAAGGCAGTAAAACTTTGTTAAATCTGATACTAGGCATCTTTCACACAGCACATAATTCAAAGCAACTCCATGGCTGTTTTAAGTTCATTCTTCTGGGCTGCTGTGTTTTAAATAGATGAACCTTACTGAGCAAGAGAGTTTAAAACCTAAGTTGAAAATGAAATTTTAATTAAGGGGATTTTGTGACTATGGCTAGAATGAGTACTCTGCATTCAGGATCTTATAGTCCCCAAATGTCAACTAGGTCTAATCACCAGAGATCACTGGCCCCCTCACTCTACTGGATTGGTCACAAGGCTCTGAAAACATGAGCTGCTTAACTCCCAGAGCTGCAAAATGTCGGTTTCCCTGGGCTAGAGCAGCAGCAGCCACTTCCCCACGAGGGTGAGGAAATTCAATATCTTCCTGATGGGAGACAGAGCCAGACTCCCACCGGCTGTTCTTTCACTCTAGCAGCTGCTTGCCCCACATTTTCCACGTTTCTGGTCAGGCCGCCCATCAGCCGACCCTTCCAAGTCACCGCTTCCTGAGAGCCCTCCAGTGTGACTCAGACCAATCCCATGGGGCTCCCTTGAGCCGTGGAAGGCGCAGAACCAGAGAGCTGGAAGGAATATTGGACACGAGCTGCTCTGAGCCCTTTCATTTCCAGAGAAGAAAATTGAAGCCCAGAGAAATAAGGCCAGTTGCCTGAGGTCACACAGTTAGAGGTAGAACTGAAACTAGATGCTGGGTTATCCTGACGTGAGGCCAACATTCTTTTTATGATAGTCGGAGTAGAAAAATGGAAAAAAGCACAAACTTAGGGCTCAGACATACCTAGGTTTGGATTCTGACTTTTTGTTCACAATCTGTGGAACTCTGTGAAAGGCACTTTACCTTTCTAAGCTTTAGTGCCCTCACTGGAAAACAGAGATAAATATGCGGCAAATATTAAGTTCCTTTTCTGGACTGGCACATGCTATTTTTGGTTCTGAGTACATAGCTGGGAATGAAACAAACCAAGCCCCTTGGCCCAAGGCATAGAACTTACATCCCAGTGTGTGAAGGATAATATCAGTGCTTCTGAGGTTATTGTAAGGATTCAAAGAGACAAAAAATGTGAATGTAAGCCCAGTTCCTGGCAGAGTAGATATCTAATAAATGGTAACAGCAATTACAATTATTACTTTATGTTCCAAATGTCAGTCTCCACAAAGAAGGCCAACTCCTGGGGTATAAGGGTTCCGTCTCAGTTTCCTTACCAGTACCCCAGTATATAGGACCCCCAGGAAGCCCTGACAATCTTTGGTGCTCAGAGTCCTGCCCTAACCTACTGTCAAACCCTTAGTTCTTGCTTCTGAATTCATCCGACAACCTATTGACTGATCTGTATGCTACCTTTATTTCTCTGCTGGGACTCCTTTGGAGAGCCTGAAAGGTGGTCTTGCTGGGATTGGAGACCCCCTGTCAGCCCACTTTGTCCTGCAGCTCGGATCATCCCAGTGGCCTGCTTAGCTCCTTTGTGCTCCCCTGGCTTCTGAGCCACAGCCATTAGATACTGGCTCTGGCCTGCCATTTGGCTCCTGACCCCTCATGTGGGGTTGGTTTTCTCTCTCCTGCCCAGCCCCAGCCCTGCCTGGCCCCTCTTGAGCTGCCAATGATTCAATTCCTCTTAATAGTCCAGCAAAAGCCCTTAGAGCTGGAAGCAGTTATACCCTGCCTTGGTCTCAACCATGGCGAAGCCCATGGTCCATTCTGAAGTAACAAGACTCACACGTAGGGAGAGAAGCCCTTGACTTCAAGGAACCACCCACTCTGTACTCTTCCCACCCTCCCCTCACATATGAAGCAGGGTGAGCCATGACTTGGGTTGATGGGTGTCATGGCAGCTTTTAGAAAGGAGAGGAAATGGGAATTTGAATGACCCATGTACACATAGCGGAATGCTGCAATCACATGCCTTTCCTCTCACTGCCAAATCTCAGTGGTGTTCTTACAAATTTTTCCTAATATATTCCTAATATATCCCCATTCAACTCCCAGGCTCTCCAAAGCAGAGGATATTGGGACTGGAAAATGAGCAATATATGTTTAAGGGAGTATGTTTCTGTATAAGAAGCCGATTTCTGAATAGTTCATCCCTCCTCGTCTTCTCTTTAGTAAAGATAACTGAGACTCAGGTAATGATGGCCAAGAATTATGAAGCACTCAGAGATCCTGTTCTAAGTAGTTTACATCTATTAATTTATGTAAGCCTCAAAACAACCCTATGAGGTAGGCACTATCAACATTCACTTTATTTCAGAGGAAGAAACCAAAGCACCAAGAGCTTAAGTAATTCGTCTTAGGACACAGAGTAGGGATAACAATGCTGGCAACCTGGCTCCTGAGCCATTATGCAGTACCACCTATGATCTACTTTCTGTTTAGTAGCCCAAACAAGAGAAATGTCTTTTATCTTATCTCAGGCAAGAGCAGTAATTTAACACGAGTATGCATTCCAGCCACATTTTGTTGTCAGAAACCGTTACCAGGGGCAGCAATGGAATGTGAGGCATGATGGTATGTGCCAGGCTGTGGTTTCTCTCCCTGTTGCATCAGGACACCTCCTTTCTCTCTTCCCTTGGAAAGTTAGGCAGCAGCCTGCTGTCTCTCCTCAGTGGCAGCCTCTGTGCATCCAGCTGGGGAGGCCCTCTCTTTGCTCAGATTGTCTCTTTTCAAAAGAACTTGGTTCCCAGAAGATTTGTAAATCAAGGTGTACTTGAAGGGGAAGCAATCATTCTGATTGGTAAATCGGGGATCAGGAACTGAGCAAGCGCAGCTCAGCCCCTCCCCTCTCTTCATGCTCCTTGTATCTACCTGAGGCACTAACATTCTGCTCTGCTTCTGCAGCAGAGATTTTAGAGGGTAGGTTCTGCTTTTGCTGATGGGCTGGAACTGCTATGGCTGAGTGGTTAAGTCTGTTGAATTTCAGAACTTGGTGTTAGGAAGCCTGTTATTGCTGCAAATTTAGGTTACGTTTTCGAACAGTTTTGTCAGTAATTAAGTTGATATTTGGATCTTCCAGTCTCAGTTGGTTCTAAACACAGACAAAGAAAAGAGCAGGTAATTATTGTTCACCCCTCATTCCTAACCATTTCCTTTCCTATCACTGCAGTTGGCTGAATTGGTCAAGAGATATAGTTCAAAAATACATAGGTACATTTACACAAATATATGTAGAGAGCTAAAAACCAATAATCACAAGTATTTCAAGGAAGGTTGCATGTGGTGGTTTCATTACTTCTATCAGCTGAGTCTACTGTGTTTGAAAGCTAAAATCTGAGAAGGCTGAGTGTTCCAAAGTAAATTATCTATTGTCTGTGGGGCTAAGTTGTCTTTTAAAGCTGTCTTTTCAAGTAGGCAGAATGGATTGCAGAAATAGGAAAAGAGCAGTGGTAGTGCCAAAAGAATGCTGGTCTTGGGTCAAAAACAAATATAAGCTTTGATTAGCCTAGATTTGGTGACCCCATAACTTAGCACACAGGAAATAATTAATTAGAAAGATAAATAGGTATGTGTCATTTAAAATAATGTGTTCACTGCCACAATTTATATAAAATAAATACCATGTTCCCAGGTTTCTATTTATAACAGGCATTTTCACATTCACCACCTCAGTTATTATCATGACCAACATTTTGAGGAAGCTGAGAGGCAGAGATTGAGGTTAAGGGACTCATATAGAATCATATAGCAAGACAGGAGATCTGAACTCATGTTTATTCATAGCAGGGTATATCGTCTTTCCATTATATGATGCTATGGACACAAAATTGCATTAAGTGTGGACATAGTCACTAGTTTTAGGAAACTTAACACTTGAACTGAAAGGATAACAATACACCCATGATAAGAAATTAACAACCAAATATGTTCAAAGAGCTAAAGGAAAACATAAACAAAAAACTAAAGAAAATCTGGAAAACAATGCAAAACTAAAATGAGAAGATGGAAAATATATAAAGGAACAAAACAGAAACTCTGGAGCTAAAAATATTGTAACTGAAGTAAAAATTTTAATAGAGGGCTTTAATAGCAGATTTGAGCAGGCAGAAGGAAGACTAAGTGGATGTGAAGATAGGACAATTGGAATGATCAAGTCTAAGGAACAGAACAAAAAAGAATTTTAAAAAGTGAAAAGAGCCTAAGGGTCCTGTGCACACCATCAAGTGGACCAACATATGCACTGCGCGAGTCCCAGAAGGAGAAAAGAGAGAAATTAATAGAAAGGTTATTTGATGACACAATGGCTGAAAATTTCCCCACTTTGATGAAAGATATGAATCTACAAATCCAAGAATCTCAACAACTTCAAGTGCAATAAACTCAAAGAGAATCACACTGACACGTTATCATCAAACTCTTGAAAGTGCAAGACAGAGAGAATCTTGAAATCAGCAAGAGATTGTGATTCATCATTGTATTAGTCCGTTTTCATGCTGCTGCTAAGGACATAGCTGAGACTGGGCAATTTACAAAAGAAAGAGGTTTATTGGACTTACAGCTCCATATGGCTGGGGAGGCCTCACAATCATGGCAGAAGGCAAGGAGGAACAAGTCACATCTTACATGGATGGCTGCAGGCAAAAAGAGAGCTTGTGTAGAGAAGCTCCTGTTTTTGAAACCATCAGATGTCATAAGACCCATTCACTCTCATGAAAACAGCACAGGAAAGACCTGCCCCCAAGATTCAATCATCTCCCACTGGGTCCCTCCCCCAACACATGGGAATTATTGGAACTTCAAGATGAGAGTTGGGTGGGGACACAGAGCCAAGCCATATCAATCATGCACATCAAGTCCTCAATAGAATTATTAGCTAATTTTTTATTAGATAATTTGAAGGCCAGAAGGCAGTGACCTTAAAATGCTGAAGGAAAAAACTTGAAAACCAAAAATTGTGTATCTGGCAAAACTGTCCTTTAAAAATAAAAGGGAAATTAAGACATTCTAGTAAACAAAATCTGAAGGAGCTCATTTAAACTAGCACTGCCCAACAAGAAATGCTAATAGGAGTTCTTTGGAATGAAATGAAGGAATGCTAAATAGCAACTCAAAGCTGTATGAAGAAATAAAGATATCCAGTAAAGGTGAATATATGGGCAAATATAAAAGCTGATATTATCATCATTTTGACTGATATTTTTACTTTTTATTTTCTATAGAATTTAAAAGACAAAGGAATAAAATAATTGTAAATTTCTTAATTAGACAATACATAAAGATGTAATATGTGACATCAATAACATAAAAGAAGAGGGCAGAGCTACATAAGATTAGTTTTGGTATGTGATTAAGGTTAAGCTGGTATAAATCTAAATTAAATTGCTTCAACTTTAGGATATTATATATGACTCCCATGGTAACCACAAAAAAATGTATCTGTAGACTATACAAAGAAGGAAATGAGAAAGGACTCAAAATGTGTCACTACGAAATATCAGCTAAACCCATACAAGGCAGTAATGGAAAAAATAAAAGACAGAAAGCATTTGCAAAATGGCAAGAGTAAGTTCTTTCTAATCAGTAATTACTTTAAATGTAAATAGATTAAGTTCTCCAGTAAAAAGGCACAGATCAGTAGAATGGACTATAAAAAAAGATTCAACTATATGCTATGCGCAAGGGATTCACTTTAGATCTGAGGAGACAAATAGGTTGAAAGTGAAAGAATGGTAAAAGATATTCTATACCAGTAGTCACCAAAAGAGAACTGGGTGGCTGTATTAATTCCAGGCAAAACAGACGTTAAATCAAAAATTGTTCCAAAGGCAAAAAAGTATGTTGTATATTGAAAAAAGAGTCAATTATCAGAGAAACATAACAATTGTAAATATATATGCATCAAGCATCAGTGTTCCAAAATACATGAAGCAAATATTGACAAAATTGAAGGGAGAGATAAATAGTGTTACTCCAACAATAGTTGGAGACTTCAATATTCCACTTTTAATAATGGGTAGAACAATCAGATAATCAGTAAGGACATAGAAGACTTGAACAACACTATAAACCAGGTAGACTTCACAGACATACATACAAAGAATATCACCCAACAATAGCAAAATATACATTTTTCTCAAGTATACCTGCAACATTCTCCAGGATAGATCATATGTTAGGCCCCAAAATAAGTCAATACATTTAGAAAGATTCAAATCATACAAAGCATCTTTTCTGATCACAATGAAAACTAGAAACAGAAGGAAAACTGGAAAACAGAAGGAAATATGTGTGGAAACTAAACAACACACCTTTTTTTCTTCTAACCCAAGAGTTCATCACAGCTTTATTCACAGTAGCCAAAAATAGGTAAAAATCCAAATAAATTTTCATCAACAGGTGAATTGCAGTCCATCCATACAATGGACTTGTTTTGGACAATGAAAAGGATCAAATACAGACAGAAAACAACATTGATGAATATGAAAAAGATGGCATGCTGAGTGAAAAAAGCCAGACACACAAGGCTACCTCCTGGGTAAATCTATTTACACGATGCTCAATGACAGGCCAAACTAATCTATGGTGGAGAAAATCCAGAACAGTGGGAGCCAGTGGCAGTGAATGTGGATATAAATGAGATGGAGCATGAAAGATCCTCCCAGATCAATGATGGACACACTTGTTAGCTGTCCATGAGAGGTACAATTATGACTGAAGGATGTTATTGAATGCAAATTATTAAATAGCCATTAATAACCATTCATCAATAGTGGCAAACACTAAATACAAGCAAATACCAAATACTAGTAAACTAAGTTCAGGAGCATTTTTTAAACTTTTCTTTTAAACATGTACACCAAATCCCAGTGACACGCAATTTACCTATATAGCAAAACTGCACATGTACCACTGTACCATGCAGTTTCATTATATAGGTAAATTGCATGTCACAGGGGTTTGGTGTACAGATTGTTTTGTCACCCAGGTAATAAATACGGTACCCAATAGAAGTTTTTCAATCCTCACCCTTCTACCACCCTCTACTCTAAAGTAGGACCTGGTGTCTGTTGTTTCCTTCTTTGTGCCCATGTGTACTCAATGTTTAGCTCCTACTTATATGCGAGAACATGCAGTATTTGGTTTTCTCTTCGTATGTTAGTTCACTTAGCATAATGGCCTCCAGCTTCATCCATGCTGCTGCAAAGGGCAGAATCTTGTTCTTTTTTATGGCTACATAGTATTCTATGGTACATATGTACCATATTTTCTTTATCCAGTCTACTGTTGAGCATTTAGGTCGATTCCATGTCTTTGCTATTGTCAATAGTGCTACAATAAACATACACATGCATGTGTCTTTATGGTAGAATGATTTATATTCCTTTGGGCATATATCCAATAATGGGATTGCTGGGTTGAACGACAGTTCTGTTTTAAGTTCTTTGAGAAATTGCCAAATTGCTTTCCACAGTGGCTGAAGTAATTTACACTCTCACCAGTAGTGATTAAGCCTTCCCTTTTCTTTGCAACCTCACCAGCATCTGCTATTTTTTGACTTTTTAATAATAGCCATTCTGACTGCTGTGAGATGGTATCTCATTGTGGTTTTGATTTGCATTTCCGTAATGATCAGTGATGAGTGTTTTTTCATATGCTGGTTGGCTGCATGCATGTCTTTTTTTGAAAAGTGTCTGTTCATGTCTTTTGCCTACTTTTTAATGAGGTTGTTTGTCTTTTGCTTGTGTTACAAATTTTGTTTAAGTTCCTTATAGATTCTGGATATTAGACCTCTGTTGGATGTATAATTTGTAAATATTTTCTCTCATTCTGTAGGTCGTCTGTTTACTCTATTGATAGTTACTTCTGCTGTGCACAGTCTCTTTAGTTTAATTAATTCCCGTTTGTCAATTTTTGTTTTTGTTGCAGTTGCTTCTGTCATCTTAATCATAAAATCTTTGCCAGGGCCTGTGTCCAGAATGGTACTTTCTAGGTTTTCTTCTAGGGTTTTTATAGTTTTAGGTTTTACATATAAGTCTTTAATCCATCTTAAGTTGATTTTTGTATGTGGTGTAAGGAAGGTGTCCAGTTTCAATCTTCAGCATATGGCTAGCCAGTTATCCCAGCACCATTTATTGAATAGGGAGTTCTTTCTCCATTGCTTGTTTTTGTCAACTTTGTTGATGATCAGATGGTGGTACGCATGTGGCTTTATTTCTGGTTCTCTATTGTGTTCCATTGGTCTATGTGTCTGTTTTGGTACCAATATCATGTTGCTTTGGTTACTATGGCCTTGTAGTATAGTTTGAAGCCAGGTAATGTGATGCCTCCAACTTTGTTATTTTTGTTTAGAATTTCTTTGGCTTTTCGGCTCTTTTTTGGTTCCATATGAATTTTAAAACAATAGTTTTTTTTATAATTCTGTGAAGAATGTCATTGGTAGTCTGATAGGAATAACACTGAATCTGTAAATTGCTTTGGGCAGTATGGCAATTATAACAATATTGATTCTTCCAATCTATGAGCATAGAATGTTTTTCCATTTGTTTGTGTCATCTCTGATTTCTTTGAGCAATGGTTTGTAATTCTCATTACACAGATTTTTCACCTCCCTGGTTAGCCATATACCTAAGTATTTTAATCTTTTATGGCTATTAAGAATGGGATTGTGTTCTTGATTTGGTTCTCAGCTTGGATGTTGTTTGTGCATAGAAATGTTGCCGATTTTTATATATTGATTTTGTATCCTGAAATTGCTGGAGTTGTTTATCAGATCTAGGAGCTTTGGACAGAGACCACTGGGTTTTTTAGTTACGGAATCATATCATCTGCAAACAGAGATAGTTTGACTTCCTGTCTTCCTGTTTGGATGCCTTTTATTTCATTCTCTTGCCTTATTGCTCTGGCTGCCCATTCAGTATAATGTTGACTATGGATTTGTCATAGATGGCTTTTATTATTTTGAGATATGTTCCTTCAATGCCTAGTTTTTTGAGGGTTTTAGCATGAAAGGATGTTGAATTTTATCTGCATCTATTGAAATGATCATGTGCTTTTTGTTTTTAGTTCTGTTTATGTGATGAATCACATTTATTGATTTGCATATGTTGAATCAACCTTGCATCCCAGGGATAAAGCCCACTTGATCACAGTGGATTAGCTTTTTGATGTGCTGCTGGATTTGGTTTGCTAGTATTTTGTTCAGGTTTTTTGTATCTATGTTCATTAAGGATGTTGGCCTGAAGTTTTCCTTTTTTGTTTTGTCTCTGCCTAGTTTTGGTATCAAAAT
This sequence comes from Homo sapiens, assembly GCF_000001405.40. NCBI lineage: Eukaryota > Metazoa > Chordata > Mammalia > Primates > Hominidae > Homo > Homo sapiens. The sequence goes on from NC_000011.10 coordinate 130,684,394, forward strand.
GATGCTAGCCTCATAGATTGAGTTAGGGAGGAGTACTTCGTCTTCAATTTTTTTTGGAAATAGTTTCAGCAGGAATGGTATCAGCTATTCTTTGTACATCTGGTATAATTCAGCTGTGAATCTGTCTGGTCCTGGGCTCTTTCTGGTTGATAGACATTTTATTACTATTCAATTTTGGAACTCATGATTGGTCTGTTCAGGGTTTCAATTTCTTCTTGGATTAATCTTGGGAGGTTGTATGTTTCCAGGAATTTATCCATTGCTTGTGGATTTTCCAGTTTGCATGCATAGAGGTGTTCATAATAGTCTCTGAGGGATTTTTTGTATTTCTGTGGGTTCAGTGGTTATGCTCGTTTGTCATTTCTGATTGCACTTATTTGGATCTTCTCTCTTTTTCTCTTTATTAGTCTAGCTAGTGGTCTATCAATCTTATTTATTCTTTCAAAGGACAAACCCCTGAATTTGTTGATCTTTTGTATGGTTTATTGCATCTCAGGAGCATAGTAAAAGGATTATACACCTTGATCAAGTGGGTTTTATTCCTACAATGGAAGGATGTTCCAATATCTAAACATCAATAAATGTAATATACCACATTAATAGAATGAAAAAATACACATAATCATCTTAATGTAGAAGAATAATTTGACAAAATTCAGCACACTGTCATGATAAAAAAGACTAAAAGCTAGGAATAGAAGGAAACTATTAGTAAAAGCCATATATGAAAAACCCATAAATAATGTCATACTCAATTGTGAAAGACTGTAAGCTTTTCCTCTAGGACTGCAGGAAGAAGACATGGATGCCTGCTTTTGTTATTTCTATTGAACATAGTATTAGAAGTTCTAGATAAGCAATTAGGCAAGAAGAAGAAATAAAATGCATTCAGATTGGAAAAAAAGAAGTAACATTATCTCTCTTTGCAGCTAATATGATCTTATATGTAGAAAACCCTAAAAATTCCAAACACAAAACAGAGCTAATAAATGAATTCATTAAACTTGCAGGATACAAAACCAATGCATAAAAATCAATTCCATTTTTATTTACTAGCAATGAAGAATCCAAAAAGAAACGAAGAAAACAATTTCATTTCTAATAGTATCAAAAAGAATAAAATATTTAGGGATACATTTAACCAAGGAGGTAAAAGACTTGTATGATGAAAACTATAAATCATTGCTGAAAGAAATTAAAGAAGACATAAACAAGTGCAAAGACATTTCATGTCCATGAATCGGAAGACTTACTATTGTTAAGATGACAATACTTCCCAAAGAAATCTGCAGATGTAATGTAATTCTTATCAAATACCAATGGCAGGTTTCTAAGAAATAGAAAAACCCATCCTAAAATTCACGTGTAATCTCAAGAGACTCTGAGTAGCTAAAATATTTTTGAAAAATAAGAACAAAGTTGGATGAGTCACACTTTCTGATTTCAAAACTTATTTCAAAGTTTCAGAAATCAAAACAGTATGGAACTGGCAACAGAACAGACATACAGATGGATGGAACAGACTAGAGAGTTCAGGAATTAATCTTCTCATATATGGTCAATTGATTTTCAGTAAGGGTGCTGAGAACATTTAATAGGGGAAAGGACAGTCTTTTTAACAAATGGTGATGGGAAAACTGTATATGCACATATAAAAGAATACAGTTGGACCCTACCTAACACCATATACAAAAATTAACTCAAAATACCTAAAGTAATAAACATCTAAATGTAAGAACTAAAACTACAGAGCTCTTAGAAGAAAACATAGGACAAATCTTCATGACACTGCATTAGGCAATGATTTATTGGATATGACATCAAAGCATAGGTAACAAAAGAAAAAAAATAGATACATTGGACTTCATCAAAACTAAAACCCCTTGTGCACCAAAAGGCACTATCAAGAGAGTGAAAAAGCAACCCACAGAATGGGAGAAAATATTCATGAATTACATAGCTCATGAGGGATTAATATCTAGAATATATAAAGAGCCCCCACAGCAACCCAATTCAAAAATGGGCAAAATATCTAAATACTTAGATATTTCTGCAAAGAATATATATAAGTGGCCAATAAGCACATGAAAAGATACTCAGCATCACTAGACATTAGCGAAGTGTAAATAGAAACTGCAGTTAGTCCACTTCATATAGGAGAAATGTTATTTAAAAAAAGGAAAAATAACAAATATTGTTGAGGATGTAGAGAAATTGGAACCATTGCACATTGCTAGCATGAATGTTAACTGTCACGTGTGCTGTGGAAAACCATTTGTTCCTCAGATAATTTAACATAAAATCACCACATGATCTAGCAATTCCACTCCTAGATGTATACCCAAAATTACTAAAAGCAGGAATTCAAACAAATGCTTATACACCAGTTTTCATTATAACTTTACCCATAGTAACCAAAAGGTGGACACAATCCAAATGTCTATTAATGAGATGGATGGATAAACAGTATCTGGTATATACATACGATGGAATATTATTCAGCCTTAATAAAAAATGAAATTCAGCCAAGAAGCAATGGGTCATAATAACTCATTCAAATTCTTTTTTTCTTTTCTTTTTTTTTTTTGTTTGAGACAGAGTCTTACTCTGTTATCCAGGCTGGAGTGTAGTGGCATGATCTCGGCTCACAGCAACCTCTGCCTCCCAGGTTCAAGCGATTCTTGTGCCTCAGCCTCCTAAGTAGCTGGGATTACAGGCATGCACTACCACTCCTGGATAATTTTTTTTTTTTTTTTTTTTTTTTTTTTTGTAGAGACTGGGTTTCAGCATGTTGCCCAGGCTGGTCTTGAACTCCTGACCTCAAATGATCTGCCTGTCTCAGCTTCACGAAGTGCTGGGAATACAGGCATGAGCCACCACTCCCGGCCTCATCCAAATTCTTTTTCCTCATTCTCCTCTGTGGTCAATAGCATCTAGAGTCTTGGCAAGATGGCCAGCTGAGCTTTGTGGTCCGTATGTGAAATCACATGTGGATTCATATGCATAAGCCTTAGAAATAGTATGCTAAGTGAAATAAGCTAGACACAAAAGGACAAATACTATATGATTCCACTTATATGAGTTTCTAGAAAAGGCAAATCCATAGAGACAGAAAGTAGAATAGAGGTTACTAGGGGCTGGGGGCAAGGGTTAAAAAAATATTGGGAGTTATTGTTTAATGAATATAGGGTTTCTGTTTGAAATGATAAAAAGTTTCTGGAAATAGTGGTGATGATTTCACATCATTTTGGGATGTCCTTAATGCCACTAAATTGTAAAATTGTACACTTAAAAGTAGTTATAAGGGTAAGTGTTATGTTTATTTTACCATAGTTAAAAATCTCAAAAAGATTAACTATCACTTAAAAGACAACTATAATGTTATGAGTAATATTTTAATTTGTATTTTCTGAAAAACAATGGATCATCCAAATTCTTTCGCCTGTTCTCCTTTATGATCAGTAGCATCCGTGGCCTTTGCAAGATGGCCAGCTGAGCGTTGTGGGACAGTCTGTCCCATATGTGGGGCAGTTCTGTCATTCCCTCAACTCCCCACCTGCCATATATGTGAGTCTAGCATACAGATATTTGCTTTAAAACATACATATATATATTTAGGTTTTGCAAATTGGGATGTGGACAAACAGTACATATATATAATGCAGCAGCAATTTTTAAAATTACTCCCTCTGAAAAGCAAGTTAAATTGAGGATTCATCTTATAATTAGTGATATATGTAAATTAAAAAGATATACTTGTGACTCCAAAATATGAATGATATGTGAAGGTCATAAAGGACTAACAGAAAGGAACTAATTAAGAAAACAAGTAAGGAAGACTTCTTGGTGCTAACTTCTGGGGCTGGCTAGGAAGTGGCACAAATTAGAAGAAAGGAGTGTTTGCCTTTCAAATAAAGAGAGTAGATTAAGTAGAGAGTATTTCTATACGTGTGTCAAGAAATAATGTCAATCAGCACTAAGATCTTTATAGATGTTCATCCATAACCCTCCTAACAAGAGTATAAGGTGGATATTATCATTAACCCCACTTTACAGATGAAGAAATTCATACACAGAATGAATAATCCCTACAAGGTTTCACAGCCAGTAAGTGGCAGAGCTGTGATTTGAACCCAGGTAGTCTGTCTAGAGTTCACCCTCTGACTACTACTAGCTCTACCTGCTTTGGGTAGGAGTCATTAAAATACAAACAGAAAAAGAAAGAGAAAGGAAATATGTAGTTACTGGATGCTTAAAACTACCAGCAAATTATCATTGAAATTATGTACAAGACACTGACTATTCATTGACCAAGTCCAACACATTGGCTTCAAAGACACTACTGCTTGGGGATATTGAGACAAGTGAATACTAATATAGGAAGTCAGTGTCAATCTGGGAATGCATTAGAGGTGTTACATGTAGAATTTAGCAAGGAGTTAGTCTGAGTATGCCTTATTGTATCTTTGGCAATAAGATGAAAAGTTTAGAGTGTAGTTAATGAATTTATAATGGTCAAACACCACAGCCAAGAAGAATAAAAATTCCTATTACCATGAGTAGGCTAATTCTTATGGGTATATTTTGATCAATGAACAGTGGAAGCACTGTTGGACTTCAGGCCAGTAGTAAGTGAAGGTGCCTCCCTGTGTGTATGTGTGGCGGATCTCTCCAGATGGAATGAATCTCAGTGTGTTTTGGGTGTGGGGATATGAGAACGTCTTGGATATGCAGGAGTTATTATGTAGTCATAGGTGAATTATTAGGTGCTTACTTTCATGATTTTCACTTTCAAATAAGAAAATTGAGGCTTAGAAAAATGAAGTAACTCTCCCGCAACTGCCACCCCAGTACAGGTCTGTCTGACTTGACCCCAGTGCTCTGAACTGAAGTTAAGGCAGTCTGAGTGCTTAGCCAGACATATTTCTGGAGCTTTTCTCCAAAAAGCTTGGCAAGTTTTGTGTTGTGCTTTAGTAAGGGAGGTATTCTCTTGTTCTTTTATGTGCTGATTAATGCTTTAGAGTCATTCCAAAGGGAGGCCTCCAGGGATATAGGACTTCCTGTGTTACCCACAAGCTTGATACGTATATCTTATATGTCTTCATATAATTAGCTGATAAAAATGTTGAATAAGAGATGGCCAGAACTGAGTAGTATTTCAAAATAACCTCAAAAGACTGGAATTAAGGGCCAAAATCAATAAGATGAAATTCAACTGGTAAAATGTCAAGTCCCGACTTGGTTTAAAGAAAAAATCAGTTTACATAAGTATCATGTGGTAAAGACCTGGTTTGAAATTTGGTTGACTGCACACTTAAGATAAACCCACATTGTGAAATAATGAAGAAAATAGAGCTTGAATTCTTAGGTTGCATTACAAGCAGTAGTGACAAGAGCAGGTGAAATGGCAGACCCATTGTACATGGGGCTAGTACCCCATCTAAAAATTATATTCGAGTCTATATAGAGAGAGGCATTGCCAGCCAGATTCTGGTCAAAGGGAGAGGGATGGTGACTGTTGAAAAAATCATGAAAAATAAGGAATAATTCGGGAAACTTGAGGTAGTTATAGAAGGGTCTGAATAAGAGAAGCCTTGAGGGTAGATAAATCACATATTTTCTCTTGGAGCTCACCAGAAATTCTGAATATCTCCCTAGCCAGCAGGCATAGGTGTGGAGAATCATGAGGAAAAGAGAAAGGAAATGGTAGAGGAAAAGGAAAGGGGGCTATCTCAGTCCATCTGTCCCTTTCTAAACCCACACATCATGCTGCCATTTAACTATGTATGTCTTGGGGCAGTGAGGCCTTCACATCCTGGAGTCCCAGTTGGAAATGGGGCTCAAGCTCCTTTTGCTTTCAGCTTCCCACTCGGTCCATCCACCGCCAGTATTCTTTTGCCTGCCCCACCCTGAGGCCAAGACTTGGGTAGGCATTGGTCTCCTGACAGAAAGAACCCATGGAGCAAACTGTCCAGATGCCTGTGTGGTCTGCGCATTAAGGTATTTTGTAATTCTCTATGATCCAAGCTGACCACATATGGTTTCTGATACTTACAGGGAGTGTTCAGAATTTAGAGAGTATCTTTCTTCTTTCAACAAAGTCTGTTGTCCAGCTGAGAACCCAAGAAAGTTATCTTTGATGCTCATTGCATCTTTGTTCTAGTAGATAGATACTTGCCTCTCTTCAAAAGCAATTGGTTCTATAGGTGGGAAGCTTAAGAGAACAATCATTTAAGGAAAATAAAAAATGCATTGGTTTAAATATTATTCCTAAATAATAAAGGTGGTAGGTAATGTAAGGTGGGGAAAGAGAGTGGTCTTGGAACTGAGGAACACTAGACCAAAGTGAAGTGTTGCAACTGAGCTCACATCTTAGAATTTTTAATAAAGAGTTGATAAATTAATGAATAAGGGACAAGATTTTTCTAGAATCAATACATTTGTTCCAAAGATCAGAAATTTTTTATGTGGGCCCCCAGTTAAAGTCAAATGCTGGAAAACAGGAAGTACTTGATAAATGTCTGTTGCAGACAGAATATATTTAAGAACAGAACTATTTAAAATAATTTCAACTTTTGTTTTAGATTCAGAGGGTACATGTGCAGGTTTGTTGCAAGGGGATATTGCGTGGCACTGAGGTCTGGGGTACAAATGATCCCATCACCCAGGTAGTGAGCACAGTAACCAAAAGTCACTTTCTTTTTCTTTTTTTTTTTTTTGTGACGGAGTCTTGCCCAGGCTGGAGTGCAGTGGCGCAATCTTGGCTCACTGCAAACTCCGCCTCCCGGGTTCACGCCATTCTCCTGTCTCAGCCTCCTCAGTAGCTGGGATTACAGGTGCCCGCCAACACACCTGGCTAATTTTTTTGTATTTTTTAGTAGAGACGGGGTTTCACCGTGTTAGCCAGGATGGTCTCGATCTCCCGACTTCATGATCCGCCCGCCTCGGCCTCCCAAAGTGCTGGGATTACAGGCGTGAGCCACTGCGCCCGGCCCCAAAAGTCAGTTTCTTAACCCTTGCTCCCTCTCTCTCTCCACCTCTAGTGGTCTCCAGTGTCTATTGTTTCCCTCTTAATGTCCATGTGTACCCAATATTTAGCTCCCACTTTTAAGTGAGAAGATGCGGCATTTGGTTTTCTGTTCCTGCGTTAATTGCTTAGAATAATGGCTTCCAGCTGCATCCATGCTGCTGCACAGGACATCATTTCATTCTTTTTAATGGCTGTGTAGTACACTATGGTGTATATGTACCACATTTTCTTTTTCCAATCTACTGTTAATGGGCCCCTAGGTTGATTCCACGTCTTTGCTATTGTGAACAGCGCTGCCATGAATGTCTGTAGAGCTGAACTATTTTGTGTAGAAGATATGCATACTGGGAATTAAAAGAATGCAAGGAACTGTGCTGCAGCTGGGAAAGTCTCACTGCACTTGGATAAGGGATTATGGTGAACATTCCTGAATTAACTGTTAAGAGGTCCATGTCCTTTATCATCACCAAACTCACCTTTATTTTTGTGGGATTTACATGGAAAAATTAGATTAGTCAAGAGGTTGAATTAGCCCTCACCATTAGAGATTAGACATGATCCCCCATTACCTATAAACTCACCTGTATCCATTCCTGTCTTCATTAACTTTCTCCCAGCCTTGGAGAGCAACGAGTGCTTTCTTAACCTTTTTGTGCTTTCCACACACCGTTAGGTTAAAAGACTCGAATGTGTCTATAACACCAGCAAATAAGTATAGGGGAATGACTTTATTAGAAAAGCAATGCCTCGGTGTGTATAAAAAAAATCTCCAATGATCATCTCTCCATTGCCTTCCATTAGCATGATGTTACTGTTTGAGTATTCACTGCCCTAACTACATTCTTTTACATACTCTTGCAAAGCTCTAGCACCTTTAAGGAAATACATGATCCTTCTTTTGCGCTAGGTTGACACTATGCTTGGTCTGTCACTTCTTATTTACAGGATGTTGGACAGAGTTGCTGATGTAAAAACCACAGCCTTCCAAACCTTTTCATTCAGCATTGTGCCTGGCAGATGTTGGCAACTGTAATATGCATAATTGTATCTCATACACAGATCACAGTCTGGTGGCACACTGGTTTGCAAGGCGGAGACGAACCCTCCCTCCTTCAGTGCAGGCTAATGCATAGATTGTGTCCTTGCCCAGTTCCCTCCTGATTTCTTCGGGACTTCATTTTATCTTGCTTTTCTCTCCCTTTATTTTCAACCCATACACCTCTCGCTTTGGCTTGAGACTCTTACCTTCACCCTGTCCTCACTCAGTCCCAGATACCTGTGAATCTCTTTTCCTTTTACTAATTTGAAGAAAGGTCACGGACCCTCATTCTGCATAACCCATTCATTCTTCAAACCACTGCAGCTTGGCTTCGAGGAACATCTACGGAAATTTCTGTCAATGCTCACCTTCTAACTTCCAACTCTTTCCAGGACTCTTTTTAGTGTCAATTTTTACTGAAATCCTGCTGCATTTGCTCATCCTCATCACTCCTCCTTTGCAAAATTTCTATTCCCTTGTCTTTTGTTCCATACCTCTGACATGCCTTCTCTTTCCCTCATGCGGTTCCTTGCCTTTGCCTGCCCCTTAAATATTGATGTGTCATAGGTTCTCATTCATGACCAGCTTTTCTTCTTATCCTAACCCTCTCCGGGGTGATTTAATCCACCTACAAGGTTTTAACCATCACTTATATGTGGATGATGATCAAATCTAAATTTCCAGCCCACACATTTCTTCTGAGATTCAAATCCAACCTGCCTGAAGTGGATCTCCTCATCCTCTAAAATACACCTGAAATTCTCTATCTCATTTGATGGCACAACCGTCCGTATGGTCAACCAAGATAGAAATCATATGTAGTTGTTGACTATTTCTACTGTTTTTCTTTTCTCAGAAGCTCTTGAACGGTCTTTTCTTGTCTATCCCTACAGCCAAAGTTTTATATCAGATCCTCATTTTTTTTCTGCCCAGATAATAGAAACAGCCTCAGAACTGACCCTGCTGTGTCCAGATCCATTCCCCTGCAGTTCACTTTCTGCAGGGCAGTCAGAGTGACCTTTTTAAACTTAAACAAAGGACGTCACCACCCCCAGTGATTTCTCCTTTGACTACAGGCTCCATGCAGGCCCGCGTGTCTCTCCATCACCTTCCTCTCCAGTGTCACCTCCCATCACTTCTAGGCAGAGCCCTTTCACTCCAGTAATGAGCAATGGTAGTAGAGATGTTCCCCTACTCATTCTGCTCCGCACCCTGGAGCCCCAGCCCCTGTCTTCCCTGTCGCTCCCAACTCTGACAAAAGCTTGCATGTTCCTCCTTCAGGATTCCATACATACTAGATCCACCAGATACAATTCACACCCTCTGCCTGACCCTGCTTGCGTGTGTTCAGGGGACCAGGTATTCTTAAGTGCTCAAGGAAGATCATCTGAAGACATACATCACTCATTATACTGATTTTGCAAACTTATTTTTCCTATAACATTTATTATTTTTAAAGTGATTGAAATGCTATAACATACTCAGTTCAGAAGACTTGGAAGAATAAACGTCACTCACCATCCTACTAGTCCTAGAAACTTCATTATTAAAATATCAACAGTGGAAATATTATTTCCATCACTTTTGTGTGTGTACGCATACACACAGATTTTTAAGTAATGTGGTGTCATTCAAAATATATTGAGCATTTAACATGTGCCAGGAACAGGCCCTACCCTCATTGAACTATAGTCTAGTTGGAGAGTCAGACATTAATCAAAGAGTCACACAAATAAATGCAAGTTACAACTTTATTTATATAGTTGAGAAATGCTAAGAAGGCGAGGCCATGGAGCTCTAAGGACATAAGATGAAGAGAACTGACCTCGTAGGAGATGAGGATGAATGAGTTCAGATTTAAAAGAAACTAGGAGTTAACTAACTCAGGAGGGTTGTGTATTGTTGAATTTCTGCGTTGAAAGCTTCTTTTCTTCCTTTAGGATTTGCACTTAGCAATAAATTGCAAACATTTTCCTGGTAAAAATTCTTTTGTGACATACACGTATTTTAGGTATAATATTCAATCATATGGATATATTGAAGTTTAATAAATCCCCTAACATCAGATATTTAAAAGTTTCCTACTTTTTATTATGAATTATGCTGCAATGAATATTTTTGCACATATGTATGTCTTTATGTATGTCTCCAATAATTTCCTAAGGATATATTTCTACAAGTGGGAGTGCTATGTCAAAGGGTGTGCATATTAAGGTTTTTGCAATTGGCTGCCAAATTGCTCTCTGGAAAGGCTCCACTGGTCTGCTTTTCCTTCCATCAGCCACAGCCGGGAATGCCTGCTTCTCGCCATGGTCACCAGCACTGCGTCCTTGCTTCCTTTGGAATCTTTACAGATTTTAATTACCCCCAAAATCATATCTTACTGAAGTTTTAGTTTTCACGTCTTTGCTTCCCATCGAGGCTGAGCTTTTAAATAAATTTTTGGCAGTGCAAATTTCTTTTGCTAGCTGCCTATTTTGTCACCATATTATTTTCAAATTGTCATTTCAGATCATCATTTTAAAATTGCATAAGTGTTTGTTTCTCAATAGATCACTGAGGGCAGAGGCTCTTTTTTTGCCCAGTATATTACTTTCGGCATAGTAAGTATTAATAAGAGTATTTTTGAAGGTGATTTGGTTTCTGTAGCATCACCAGTTACCTGAGCAGAACGAGCGTGCGGAATCAGGGTCGCTTCAGTCTCGTTATCCCAGACAGTTACCAAGATTAGAGAATCAATGCCTTCTTTCTAGATCACGTGATTCAATCATATGTACTATTTTTGCTTCTAACACTGTATAACTCCAAGTACCTAATCTTAAAGACATTCTAAGTATAAGAAAGAACCAAGCTTAGTGGTCTACAATATCTCTTTAATATTGTCTTCTCCTTTAAACCTCTGGCTCCCTAAAGGTGGTAACAAAGCCTGTGGTTCAGGGCACCCTGGCTCTTCCCAGAGAAGGGCAATGGGAAGATATTGGGTAGCTGATGGCTCTCAGCTGTGGACCTGACATCTCTAGGGGCTAGGAATAATCAGTCTTCAATGCCCAGAAGAGAACAAGGATGGCTGAAAGGATATTAAAGCAGATGATGAAAGGAATGACTTAAAGATCTGTGGGTGTTTAGCTGATAAAACAAATGATTTCAGGAGTGAGAAAATACAAAACTTGTCCTTAAATTCATTTTAATTATAACACAAATTTGTCTTACATAAATTGGATATAACACTATGGATTAATAAAGGACATGATTTACTTTGCACCCGTTACTATTGCTTATAAGTTGGTTCATTCACTCATTCAACAACTATCTAGTAAGTTCCTAACAGGAGCCAGATACTGTGGGAGGTGTTACAAACTGGAAGGAGAACAAGACAGCCATTACCCCTGCTCTCACAGAGCTTACAGTGGATCAGGAACAGAAACTGGCTGTGCTCTGGGAGGACACAAAGTGTCATGTGTAACACACTGACTTTGTCTGAGTGCCTTCATTTATGGTAACAGTGGAAGAGAAGGGTCTAGAAGAATTTGTGAAAACACTGTGTTAATGACAGTGCTGGTGCCAATAGGAACCACAGGGAAAGATCTTTTGATAAAAGGTAAATGCAACCAGATGCTGGATTTACTCAGTGACGTTTAAATTTTAAAACAGTCCACTTAAAACTATGCATCTTTATTGTCAAAATGTCTTCATGAAACAAACAAAAAACCCATTTTGTTATCTTGAGTCTAAAGTTCTCCATCTTTAATTTTTCCCTTCCTTTTGAACACATTATTTGCGAAGGCAGGTGTTCCTGGCATGCTGCTAATGAATGAAGGGACAGACTGCATTGGAACTCTATCTCTTGTTCTGCATGCCAGGTGGGAGGAAAGACCGATGACTGACTGCAAGCTGCAGGAAAGTAGTTTTTGGTTCAACATTAAGGTGAAGAATTTTGTAATGAAGGAAAAACAGAAAGGAGTTTTTTTTTTTTTTCAGAATAGTAGTGAGCTGTCTCTCTGATAATAATGACAATGCTGCAACAGCAGTGACTATTTTACTGTACACTTACTACCTCCCATATGTGTGCTCAAAGGTTTGCATGCATTATTTCATTTGATCCTCTCAAAAATAGCTAAGAGGTATTACAATCCATTTATATAGACGACGAAACCAAGGATGAGCGCGGCTGAAATATTGGCCCAAAGTCATGAAGTTACAAAGTGTCGGCACCAGGGTTTAGGCATGGAAGCATCTCCTCCCGAACCCCTGTTCTCAATTACTGAGCTAGTCTGTCAGGTTTTCATCACTGGAGGGGTTCAAGCATAAACTGGATTATTGCATGAATGAAACAATAAAGAGAGAATTCAAGCTTCAGATGAGGATGGAGGTCACAGGGCTAGTTAACAGCAAAGTCAGTAGTTCCAAACATTTTTAGTAATGGATTTTGTTGAGAATTTGACAACAATCTTTGGGCTTTCTCAAAAAAAAAAAAAAAAAAAATACATGTGTGCACACGGGTGCTACCCATTACAATGTAAAAGTTTGAAGATGCTCATGAACCTTTTGATACCATCTTGGGGTTCTAGATTGAAAGCCCTTGCTTGAAAGACACTTTTGCTCTGAGATTCTATATGCAGCTACATGCTTTTGGAGGTGAATTTCCCTCCAAGTTATGACTACAGGTGTTGAGATGGTGCTATCACCTTGTGGCACTATCAGCAAAACAAAACACTGAGACATCTCCCTTCCAGAAGAAAGAGAAGCCTTCATTCCACATTTCTCTAAGTAGGCTTTGTGTGCCACTGAAAATCTCTCCCTTGGCTGTTACAACTTCAGGTGCATTCAGAATGACTCAGAAATAGGGACCCAAACCATATGTACAGTCTCCATTCATATTATTATTTATAAGGCACAGGAGCCTGTCTCTCCCCAGCAAACCCCATTGCCAATAAAGAAGTGAAGGGAGACTGGGGAGGAGGGGCAAGATCATGGAGTGAAAGTGTCTGTGCAAGGCAATATTTTTATATGTTGTTTATTTCTGGTTCCTGCCTGGCCTGACAGCGCATGTGTTTCCAATTGGGAACGAACACGTAAGCTCAGTATCTAGAGAGAGGCTTATTGGGTGAAAGACCCTCCTCTCCTACCCTGCATTCCACTCCCACCTGCACTCAAGCACATGGGAACTCTGGTACTGGGAGTTTGGAAAACATCCCACAGCTGGCCTGGGCTCCCTCAGTCTGGCACCATCTCAGAAACATGTATGTGTGTGTCTGTGAGTACATGTGCATTGTATGGGGGTTCACTTAAACCTTCTCCTTTGGACATTTGGGTTGCAGCCGTTTCTGGGAGATTATGGATGCATGTTAGGGCCTTCTGGGTCTGCTGGGGAAGGCCATGGTGTTTATCCTCTCCTCCAGCCTACCTTCTCTTTTAATGCATTGTTACATGCTTAACTGCTTTGGCGCTGGTCCTTAGAGCAGCTCTCAGCACAGGTTCCTGATGATTCCTGCAGGGAGGCTCTGTGGGGAGGTGGGTTTGCCAAACAGGAGACAGGAGGCCAAGGGTTGTGCAGAAAACAGGTTTTTCCTCTGGCCCTGCTTCTGCTCTGCTTCGGGCCCTCTTATCTCTCATCTAGCCTGTGGGAATAGCCCCCAACTCCTTTCTCTGCCTCCACTCTTGCTCCCATTCAATTCATACTGCACCCCGCTGCCAGAGCAACCTTTTGTCAAAGGCAAAAGTTTCATTATATGGCTTAAAAGCCTCCAGTGGCTTCCTGGTATCTTGTTAGAAACAATAATCACGATATCTTCTACCAGTTTTGGAGCCCTCCCTCCGTGCCAGGTACTCAGCAAAGGCACTTGCCATGCACTCCCTCTGATAATCTTTCCAACGACCCTGCCAGGCACGATTTATTGTTCTCCGCACTTTATGGATGAGGAAGCTGAGATTGCGAGTATGTAACTAACCTGACCAAGGTCACAAAACTGGGAAACAAAGACGTTGTATAAGGTTGCGGGGCTTACACCCTGCCCAAGGGCACCCAGCAGCGGGAGGCCTGAGGAGTTAACTCCAGCCAGGCCTCTGCTGGCCAAGCCATATGCCTCGGAGAGAAGCCCCTTGTCTAAATTGTCCTGTTCTCAGGGAGCAACACGAATTCTTCAGCTCTTGACTTTCCGCCACCTGCTGATGCTGCTCTCCAGGCTATTCCTTTTGGTGCTGGTGTGACGTGAGCTGCTAGGGATACAGAGATCATCAAATATGGCTGCTAATCTCTGAAACTTATAGTTTTGCACTGAGGGCAGATGGTCACAGATAGCTCTGGGGGCAGATGGTCATGGATAGCTCTGTTTCCATAGGTTAAGAATAACCATGAACTGTGAAAAATGCATGGGAGCGCAGAGGCCAGCCATCTTATCCACCTTGGACTGGGAGTAGAAGAAGGGTGAGAGGTCCAGGAAGGCCTCCTGGAGGAAGATGATACTTGGGCAGTCTTAATAATGAGGCCTAGTTAGTCAGATGAGAGTAGAGGTAGGCAAGAAGAGGGCATTTGAGGCAGTAGGAACAAGAGCAAAGCAGGAAGGTGTAAACGACATGGAGTATTCAAGGCTCTGTTTTGAAAAACAAAAATCAAAGCCTTGGTAAGTAAATTTGCAGTGGAAAGATTTTACATCTTAAGGCAAAACTTGGTTGGAGACTTAGATCACAGTAAAGTTATGAAAACCTTCTGTACAAAATTTCAGGCAGGGCACGGTGGCTCACACCTGTAATCCCAGCACTTTGGGTGTCCGAGGCGGGAGGACTGCTTAAGCCCAGGAGTTCAGGACCAGCCTGGGCAACTAGGGAGACCCCATCTCTACAAAAAATTTAAAAAAAAGTAGCCAGGCATGGTGGCAAGCACCTGTGGTCCCAGCTGCTCAGGAGGTTGAGGTGGGAAGATCGCTTGGGCCTAGGAGGTTGAGGCTACAGTGAGCTAGGATCACACCACCGCACTCCAGCCTGGGCGACAAAGGGAGACCCTGTTTCAAAAATAAAAGATTACTGAAATAAGGACTGTCTGCTAAAGGCCAATGACTTTTGATCTGACTTGGGCTATTCTGAATAGCAGTCACCATGCTGTCAGACTTGAGGGTCTCCCTTTGTTGTGGGTCTGATGGGAGGTGGTGAGGTCATGAGGCTTGTATGAAGGCGATGCACCATTCACAGGCCTTCGTTGCATTTTTTCCTCCATTCTGATGTCTTGTGCCTTTCGGATTTCACCTCACCTGCCTTCCTCTTGCCAGATCCCAGTGATACGGAGACTTGGATGATTCAGATGGAAAAAGCATGAGTTGCCAGCATTAAGCTGCACGTGATTTCTGGGCAGGTATTTCTTAAACCGGGGCTTTATGTAGCCTTCATTTTGCTCACTCTGCACTTGGTGCAAAAGCCCATCCTGCCCGCCTGACTATCACACCTGTCCCTGCTCCATTTCTGCTCCAGGCTAACATCCCTTCACTTCTTTATCCCCAGGGCATCACTATATGAAGATTCACTCTCATTATGCCTTTTCTTTTCCCTTCTGTTCTTGCCCCACTTAAAAAAAATTAACCAAAGTAATGCATAAATGTAAAGTGTCAAACAGTGTTACAAGACTTACGACAAAAAAACCATTCCATGTTCCACCTTTTCTCTTCCCTAAGTCCTACCCCTGAGAGGGTGTCAGTTCAACTCTCAGCTTTTTTGCTTGGTGTTGCTTATTATTTCTTGTTTTTTCATTTTATTTTAAGGTATCATCCATTGGCCTCCTACCATGGGAGATGAGAATTTTAGTTCTCTTACAATCTGCCCCTGCAATATACACAGGCTTTCCCTCCCTACATTCCATAATTATGTCACAAGGTTGGTTAAACCAATACTAAATTTTTGTATGACTATGGTAATATAAATATTATTAATACCTGAGTCATAAAATTTAATTACATTTCTTGTTTTGTAATTTTTCTGGAGTTATTTTTCTTTATTAACTATTCCATGAATCTATCAAAGTTTTGCCTCAAACTCTTACAGACCTCAAAGTCTGCTCTCCACAGGGTCAGAAGCGCCATGCAGGTGGTTGACTCCCTCCTTGGTCCCTTGTTGAGCCGTCCCTAGTGCGTGCCCTTCCTTCTCTTGCTGTGAGCTGCACTGCTGGCTCCCCACACCTGCTGCATCTCCTACACCGTCCTTCTAGGAATTACCTTTGCTGTCTTCTGCTTTCAGCCCCTTATTCCTGAATACTTGCTACATAGAGTGAATGTTTGTGTCTCCCCCAAACTAATATGTTGAAATGCATCCTCATAGTGATAATATCAGGAGCTGAGGCCTTTGGGAGGTGATGAGGTCATGAAGGTGGGGCCCTCATGAATGGGATTAGTGCTTTTATAAGAGGAACCCCAGAGAGCTCCTTCACTCTTTCTGGCATGTGAGAAAGCACTGTCTAGGAACCAAGAAGTGGGCTCTCACCAGACACTGAATCTGCCAGCACCTTGATTTTGGTCCTCCAGCTCCCAGAAGTGTGAGAAATAAATTACTGTTGTTTATAAGCCACTCAGTAGGTTATTTTGTCATAGCAGCCTGAATGACTGAGACAATAGTACCTTTCTTTCTCTCATTTTATTCTTTCCCTCCCTGACTCTTTTTTGGTGAAGAAGTAGCTTCTTGAGAAAGGGTAGATGGGAGTTAAATTTTCAAAGAGGTCCTTATTGTATTCTCACACTCGACTGAAAATTAGGCTGGCTTTAGAATTTTAGGTTGGAAAAAAATTCCGCACTTAATTTTGAAGACATTGTTCCATTGTTTTTTAGCTTCTATTGTTGCTCTTGGGAAGTTCGATGCAATTCTGATTCCTAAGTCATTCCACGTTAATTTTTTTTATCTTTCTCTGGAAGCTTTCAGGACCATCTCATTATCCTGTCCGCTGTAAAATTTGGTAGCTCCATTTCTTTATGTGGATCTTTTTCATCCTTCGTGGCCTCTTGCTTTCTAGAAATTCACTTTACTTTTAGGGAAAATTCTTGTATTATTTCTTTAATTATTTCTTTCCTTCAATTTTCTATGTTCCCTCTTACTGCAAATTAGATATAATGTTGTCTAGATTTGCCTTCTAATTTCTGACCTTTACTGTTTTTCATTCTTTAACTTTTGGCCCTGGACAATTTTCTTCACTTTACCTTCCAATCCCTTAATGGCTTTTTGGTTTTGTACTTTTAACTTCTTCAGCACTTTCAGTCCCCAGGATCTGGCCCTTGTTCTCTGAATCTGTCCTTCTTCTAATCACATCCTGTTCTTGGGTCTTCTCACCAGTATGAGGATGTTCAGAAAGTTTACTTCTAAAGTTTTTTCTGCTCCTTCTGACCCTGTTTTGTGTGTGTGTGTGTTTAATTTTTCTGTTTATTTTAGTTTCTGTCCTCATGCTATAGGCTTTCATAAAATATTTAGTGACCTCAACTGGCCACGATTATTTTAGAGAGACGCATTGAAAAATTCACTGGAAGCTCTGGTGTGGGGTCTCAGTTTGGTGACTGGGGAGTTTCACTGTAAA
Source organism: Homo sapiens (assembly GCF_000001405.40). Classification (NCBI taxonomy): domain Eukaryota; kingdom Metazoa; phylum Chordata; class Mammalia; order Primates; family Hominidae; genus Homo; species Homo sapiens. Next base: position 130,702,004 of record NC_000011.10, read on the forward strand.
ATTCTTTTGGTGGGGGAACAGGAGGTATCTGCAACTGATTGTAGGTCTTTTCTTTCAGACCGGTCCATTTACCCAGGGAAGAGCTCCTGGCTAGAGAGGTGCAGGCCACCTTCTCCTGGCCTGAGTGTTTCGGTGCGGTGTGTGAGCTGGGCGGCTCACTCTGAGCCTGTAGACTTTCTCTTCATTCTGCGCTTTCACTGAGCATGGTACCCACTGCCCTCTGTTATGCATGGTATCCCCAAGCCCACAACCTCCCTGTTCCCCTATTTCCTGCCGGTATTGGGAAGAAACAGTCATCTGATCTGCAGGGTAGGGAAAAGGCTGGGGGAGGCCTCTCACTCCTCCTAATACAGATTCTCAACACATTCTTGAACTTTATTCTCCACCTTCAGTTCACCAGGCGCTACCCGTTTTTGAATCCTTTTGAGGTTCTGTGACCCAGATGGCCTTGCTTCTTGTCTCCTGTGCTGCAGTTTCACCCCTCTGGTAAGTCAGTTCCCATTCATTCATCCATTTTCTATCTTCCAAAGTTTGGTTGTGTCTCTAGTCTGTTGCCATCTTCTCTCATTCTCTTTGTCTTCTCATGAGTTCAAAATTCCTACTTCCATTTTAATACCATTTCAGAAGAGAATGTAGATTGATGATTTTCATGCTGCCATATTGAACTGAAAGTTATTTTATCTTCTTTTTTTCTTCTGACTTTTAGTCCTTCTCCTAAAAGTTACTTACAACAGCAGTAACTTCCTTTTGAATACATTGGTACTGAAAAGCTTGCATGCATTGAATAGGTAGAAAATAGAAAATTCATATATTCCAGAATTGAGCGTGAGAGAAACTGGCCAAGGCTTTGGTGTCTGAAATAAATCCGAGGCAATACAGGTTCTCAACTCCCAAAGAAGGCAGTGTGGTCTCTTGGAGCGTGACACTAGGCCGGTGGTCAAGAGACTTGCGTTCCTGTTCCAATTCCAATCTTCCTACTAGTTAGCTCTGCAACCATGGGCAGGTTAGTTCTCTCTGGGACTCCATTTCCTCCAGAGGACAATTCCTCCCAGTTCTTGACTTCCATGCCTGTGTTCTTAAGTTCTTGAGATTTAGCACTTACCTGAGGAATATCAGTTGCTGGGATGAAATCATGTGTGAAGGCAAACACCTATAAAAAGGGTCCTTGTTCCAATGTAGTCTGTAAGTTTTATTAATTTTCCTCTATGTAGCCTCAAATAACATTCTTTTAATTTAAAGAAAAATATCTTTTCCTACTGTCTCTGAGTAATTCCTGGCTTTGTTTTGAAATTATTGTGATCTTTGCTAAAAATACCATATTGCCGGGTAGTGGGTGCTGACACAGGCAGTTCTGGCCACCCATTTGGATTTGACCCCTTAAGAGAATCCTTCCCCAGCACATGCCTCAGGGCCCTCTCATGTGCTGATCCCCCTCTCTGGAACACTCTTCCCTACCCTTTGCTTTGAGTAACTCCTACTTACCCTTTAGTCCTCAGCTTCATATCCACTTCTTTGGACAGGCCTTCCCTGACTCTACAGACCCCTTTGGCATATGTTCTCCTACTTCCTTATCTCACTGTTTTTTTAATAGCTCATTTCACCTTTTAAATAAATAGTGCCACCTGGATGTAGCTGTTGCCTCAATTCATGGTAGGCACTCTCTCTATTTTGCCTCTTATCTGCTGGGTACAAAGTTTGGCTTCTTTACAAGTTTCCATAAGAAATTACCCACACCGTGGATGCTAGTAGAATTTACTCAAGATCTGGAGGACGTGTCTGTGTGTTAAACGCTGGAGGATGGGCCCTCCTGCCCTTCCTCAACCTCCCTGTCTTTCCTCCTTCCTCTCTTCCCTCATGGATGCCCTCGGCAGCTCCACATTCTATTCTCCTGCGCAGCGGCTCCCCTTTCTTTGCAGCTTTGGTGTCAGCTGACTTCTGGGCAGAAGAGTCTTGGTTTCCACACACATAAGAAGACAACCCTTGAAGATGGAAGGGAGCATGGCTGGCTGGGGGGACACAAGGCCACACTGTGTGCAAGGGCTTGTCAGATTCTTCTGCAAGGTGGCACCTTTCAAAGGCAGCTGTGGCGAGGAAAGGAAGCTGCCTGAGAGCACAGCTTGGTGCCTCCATGGCTCCGTGTTCACTCATTCCCAAGGCCGGAGGCCTGGAGCCCACAGAAGCTGCTGCTCTTGGAAACTCTGGTGAGCAGTGTCCTTGGATTCCCAAGCTCTTCAAATCCCAGGGAATGAAGATTAGAAAAGGCACAAAGATATAGGCAGTGTCTATCATGAGATACCAAGCTGGTAGGGGACCACAGAGGAGCCACTAGGGTGGAGACAGGCCCCAGAAATTCAGCTCAGCTCTCTAGTCCCCTACTCCAATCTACCAGGTCATGCGTGAAGATAATGTAAACATAACAATGGATGCTTATGATGATGAAAATAATATGATGTACAGAATGTATTTTGTCACAGAAATATTTATCAAGTACTACAGAAAATGTCTGATTCTAGCCATTTTGTAGGCTCAGACATGTGTTAGATATTATCTCTCTCCCCAAGAAACTTGAGTCTACCTTGTGAGAGAAGACACACATGGAAAGCTAGTCCTGCAGGTCAGCACAGGGAAGAGGCAGCACGAAGCAGTAAACCTAGCATGGCATGCTTGGTTTCAACCTTTTTACTTGCCCTATGATCTTAGCTTTGTCTTTAAAGCAGGAATGCTACCATTACCTTATAGTTTATTAAATATTAAATGAAGGGTCAGGTGCGGTGGCTCACACCTGTCATCCCAGCACTTTGGGAGGCCGAGACGGTAGGATTGCTTGAGCCCAACGGTTCCAGACCAAGCCTGGACAACATGGCAAGACCAAGTCTCTACAAAAAAAAAAATACGAAAATTAGCTGGGCATGGTGGTGCATGCCTGTAGTCCCAGTTACTTAGGAGGCTGAGGTGGGAGGATCACCTGACCCCAGGAGGTTAAGGTTGCAATGAGCCATGATTACGCCACTGCACTCCAGCCTGGGCAATGGAGTGAGACCCTGTCTCAAAAACAAAAGAAAAAAAATTAAATGAGGAAAAAACCATGCAAAACACCTATGTCTGTATGACGCAAGTATTGAGACCTTAATGGCCATTAAATCTAATTTTAATACATAACTAATAAGTGGTTATGTTTGTTTCCCAGGGCTGCCATGACAAGCACCATAAACCAGGTGGCTCAAGCTATAGATCTTGTTGCTTCATAGCTCTGGAGGCTGGAAGTCCAAGTCTCAGTGTCAGCAGGGTGGGCTTCTACCAAGGGCTGTGTGGGGAACCTGCTCCAGGTCTCTCTCTTAGCTTCTGGTGGTTTGCTGGCAATAGTAGGCTCTCTGCCTTGGCTTCTACTGCATCACCCTGATTTCCGCCTGCATCTTTGCAGGGTGTTCTCCTGTGTGTGTGTCTCTGTGTCCAAATTTCCTACTTTTATAAGAACACTAGTAGTGGATTAGGGACCCACTCTACTCCAGTGTGACCTCACTTTGACTTTATTAATTACATCTGCAATGACCCTATTTTCAAATAAGGTCACATTTAGAGGTACTGAGGTTATAATTTTGACATATAAATTTTGGAAGACACAAGTCAACCCATAACAATAGTAAAAGAATAAAAATCTAGAAAAGGTAGGAGAGATGGCAACAGATCCCTAGTACCCAGGGCGGTCAGTGGAACCTCTTAGATCACCTGGGGCTGAATCCAGGACGGGGCAGTTGGCAGAAACTTGGTGGTGGTGGGCATGGGGGCACAGCGAGAAGAATGTGACAAGCAAGGACACAAAAGCAGAAATGTGCAGGCATGTTTGAAGGGCAGTGAGGAAGCCAGCCAGGCTGGACTAGAGAGTATGGGCCAGGGAACACTTTGGAAGCCTTTGACTCATGAAGGAAGGAGTTTGCACTTCAGGATCTTGGCACAAGGCAGACAGTGAAGGATTATGATGCATAGCACTGAGACAAATAAGCAGTTAAGACCCGAAGGTGTAAATATTTGCTTTAGTTATTGAAAATGACACTAGAGAGCCATATTACTAGTGCATTCACTGTGAGTTACTTTACAGTAGTGAGATTGGATTGAGTGGACTTGTTCTCTATCCACCCTGGTTCTCTAGGCATATATTTGCCCTCTTGGCTGGTTGAACGTAGAGGTACAGTCTGATCAGATGAGAGCTTATCTGTGAGCCAAGTGACCTGATTTATATGGAGATCAGTCCAAATTAAGAGCACACACAGTGTTCTCAGAGCTGAAGGGAGGATAACAACAGAGGTCTGGCTGTCTGTGTTCTTCAGGAAGTGCTGGCAAGGAATAGGGAGCTCTAAGAGAGGAATAGGTGGTCTGCTGAATGGAGAGATGGTAGAAGACACAAGTAGCAGTCTCCAAAAACTCAGGTTTATAGATTACTACAGCTCACTGCGTTCATCCTTGCTCCATTAGGATCTCAACACCTAGGTTATACAAGAACAAATGTCTCATGGAAAAGTAAAAATGTATCCAACCAATCAATTGTCTGGTCTATGTGATGCCAACTAATTCAAGGGAAACTACTGTTTAACCTCAGTCTCTGGTTGCGGTGGCAGTAAGTCGGCACTGTCCTGATGTCTGGCACATCTGACACATCACTCAGCGTAGCAGCAACATCTGGCTCCTCGCAATTCTTGTGGGCAATTTTGCAGTCACCACAGACAGTGTAGACTCATAATTAACTTGTCAACACTCCCCACCAGGAATTTCCACTGGTCCTGGAGGGCCTAGCTCAGGGTGTGAGCCATAGCACAGGAAGAGTTTCTGGTCCTGACTCCTGGAACCAAGCCTGGCAGTTGTGGTGGGTGAGTGTGCTGGGATCAAGTCTGCGTCCACTGCTTTTCTGTATACTTTCAACTCTGCAGAGTTCTCCTTAGAAGGAATCTATTGTTGGTTGTTTAAAGGCTGCTACTATAGACCTATTACAGGGAGAACCCATACTCAAAGCCAATGAAAGCTGACAACACTGGTCTAATGTGCAAGTACTTTGATTTTGTATGTAACTAGCATGCTTCACTGCATGTTGAAATACATGGGTGCTCCCCACCTGGGCTTCTTTCTCTAAGGTCGTCCACTCACTTGAGAATTGGATGCCACATCTGTCTCCTTTTTACCATGACCTTTGGCTCTGACTGTCCCCCAGCATTGAGATGATGCGTGGAAAGCCCACTTATTACTCAGCCCTTGATATACAGCAAGCTCCAAATAAACGGTAGATAAATACAACAATTACAGCCACCCCCACAGTGTGCTAATTGTTGTATCAGCAAAGGCTCCACCAGTCTAGGAATTACCTTCTGTTTGGGTTTCTTATGAACAGTCAAGTCCAAACTGCAGCACTGACTGGAATTATCAGGGAAGGAAGAGGTGTTGGCTTCCCTGGTGTGGCCAGCAGTCATGGAATCAGCTGTAAGTAGTGCTCCACGAAGGGAGTCGGTGCCTTCCAGATATGGCAGGGATTGGTGATCCCTCTTGTTTTCTTTATCAGTTCTAAGTCATTCACTAGAAAGCTTGAAGAAATCCAAAGCTAGAAGATTTTATGGGTAGTAGTAGATAGTTGCTAGTTTTTCCCATTTGAAAAAATTTAGTTAGAGGAATAATCATTCTTCATTTTGTTTATGACTTAGTGCCTTTGGTGTTGTGCAGTGAAAGACGGGAAAGACAGAGGACACCGTTCCTATGATCAGAAGTTTACCATCTAGATGGATAAAGAAGGCATTCATACATAAACGCAATAGCTACAGGAAAAGGTTTTCAAAACTTCCCAGGCACTACCCCAAAGGATTCACAGATTTAGTGCAATTCCTCTCAAAATACCAATGATGTTTTCCGCACAAATGGAAAAATCTACCCTAAAATTCATAAGGAATCTCAAGGGACCCCAAATAGCCAAAATAATCTTGAAAAATAAGAATAAAGTTGGAGGACTTATTCTTCTGATTTTAAAACTTTCTACAAAGCTATAGGAATCAAAACAGATTGAAAGTGGCACAAAGATGGACATCTATACCAGTGGAATAGAATAGAGAGCTCAGAAATAAATTTTTGCATATATGATCAGGTGACATTAAACAAGGGTACCAAAACCATCAATGAGGAAAGAAAAGTCTTCTCAACAAATAATATCGGGAACACTGGATACATGCAAAATAATTAAGTTGGACCCTTACCTAACACCATATACATGAATTAATTCAAAATAGATCAAAGACCTAAATTTAAGAGCTAAAAATAGAAAACTCTTAGAAGAGAACATAGGGGAAAGGATTCGTGACATTGGACATGGCAATGATCTTTAAAGGTATGAAACTACAAGCATAGTCAACAAAAGAAAAAAACAGGTAAGTTGGATTTATTAAAATCAATAAATTTTGTGCATCAAAGAACATGATCAACAGCGTGAAGAGACACTCTTCCCCCATGGAATAGAGGAAAATAGGCAAATCATATATCTGATAGGAGATTAATATCCATAAAATATTAAAAAAAAAACTCTTACAACTCAATGACAAAAACAACCCAATTAAAAAACGGACAAAGGATTTGAGTAGACGTTTCTCCAAAGATTATACAGATGGCTAATAAGCACATCAACAGATGTTCAGCATCACTCATCATTAGAGAATTGCAAGTCAAAACCACAATTACACAAAGTCATTAGAATAGCTATTATCAAAAATAAAAACAAAACAAACAAGTATTAGCAAGGATATGGAGAAATTAGAACCCTTGTGCATTGCTGCTCAGAATGCAAAATGGTGCAGTGCTATGGAAAACAGTATGGCAGGCCCTCAAAAAATTAAACAGAATTATCCTATGATCCAGCAAATCTACTTCTGAACATACGCCCAAAGGATTGAAAGCAGGAACTCCAGCAGGTATTTGTACATCAATGTTCATAGCAGTGTTTTATTCACAGTAGGCAAAAGGCAGAAACAACCCAAATGTCCATTGATGGATGAATGGATAAACAAACTGTGGTGGGCATATGCATGGGGTATTACTCAGCCTTAAATGACAATGAGATTCTGATACATGCTACCTCCTGGATGAACCTAAAGATACTACGCTAAGTGAAATAAGCCAGGCACAATTGAACAAGCATTACATGATTCCATTATATGCGGGGCTGGAGGAAAGGAAGAGTGGAAAACTGTTGTTTAATAGGTATGGAGTTCAGTGTGGGAGGATGAAATGGTTCTGCAGGTGGATGGTGGCGATGTTTGCTCAACCATGTATATATATTTAATGCCACCAATCTGTACACTTAAAATGGTTAAAAATGTCAAATTTTATGTTACATTTCTTTTACCACAATTTAAAAAAATTTCCTGAGAAATCCAAATGACAAAAGTGATCAGCCTGGGGAAAATGTAAATGGATGGCTCCCTGGGGGAGCAGAGTCTTCAGGGAAGTCATGACCGCAGAGGGAAGACCTAGGGATGCTTGTCAAAGGCTCACACACAGCTCTGCATCAGCTTGTGTGTGGACAGCGTAGGGAGGCCTGGTCTGGCAAGGGCAGCAGGTGTTGGGGCTCTGGGTGAATGACGCTGGGTGAACATGGGGTGGTGGCAAGGAGTCTGCAGGAAGAGAAGGGCCGGCTGGTGGGGCTGGGTCAGAGCCCAGACAGGTCAATGGGAAGGGCTGTGTGCTGGAAGAGGGACTGGTGCTGCTGTGTTATCAGAACAATCTGGGAGAGAGACAGCAAGGGAGGAAGTCTGGGTGAATGGCTAGGACCTGTGGCAGCAGCCCAGGCCTGAGGTATCAGGGCAGGGGGTGGTAACAGTGGGGACGGGAGGCCCTGGCAAGCCTTAGCAGTCAGGCATGATTCCCATATTGTCTTCCTGGTCACCAGTGGATGCCCGGATCCTGTGCCTTGGGAAGGTCAGGGTTGAAACACCACCACCCTCTTCTTTTTGCAACTTTTCTGTTCTTCTTGTGGGCTCCTTTTGAGTTAGGTGTGTACAAGGAATAGACTTTAGGGTTTATCTGGGGAGTTTCTTCAAGTGGTTCTCTCATATAGTAAATGAGAAAGTTGGGTTAGATGACAGCTACAGCTCTTTCCTGCTTTTAAACACTGTGATTCATTTACTTGATTGATAATTGCTCAGTTCTTTCCATGTGCCAGGCACTGCGTGAGCCCATAGCTCGTACAACCGTGACCAAGAGGGCAAGCATCTGCTCTCATGTGGCTGCCTCTCCTGCCTTTGTGCCATTCCTGTTAAATGAACTCGTGTGTGCCATGGTGCCCGGCTCATACCTGGAGAGAGTAGTTGCTACACATGGTACCTATTGTGCTCACTGCTTCTCCTGGCTCTAGGTCCCACATCAACTCATCCTTCATCACATTGTCACTTCTCATGTGTGCTGTTTGCCCACACACCTTTCCTTTCTCTTTTCAGTTGTTATAATGCTAAGTCCAGATTACCAGCAGACACCACCACAGCATAGCCGTGAGCTCACCAGGCTTGAAGCAGGCCTAGCATTGCTTAGCAACTGTGAAAATAGCTTCAGCAGGCCCCACGGGACGCTCGAGAACCTCATCTCTGGGGTGTGTGGGAACGGAAGAGCTTCAGTTGAAATAAAGATGCAAACAAACCGAATTGGTCCCCAGACATCACGCTTCACATTGCCTGACACTCAGCGGAATGAGATACTTGTGTCCCACTCTCTCAAGCACCAAGTAAGCAGTCAGGGCTGGAGAATCTGCAAGCTGTCTCTTAGGGATACACACATAGCTTCACACACAGACAAACAACGATGTGCAAATCCAGCTGCACATGCATACCCGGTTCGGGCTGACTTCCTATTCCATCAGTCTGCATGGAGTCAGGTTGCTGTTTGCATGTCAGAGCCCATGGGTCATCGTGAGTGTTTGGATTAGTGAATGAGGACAAAAGTGGCTTCTGTCAGAGATGTTATGCAATTACATGTGATGGATGCTCGCTTCCCTCCCTGGTTCTTCTCCACTGCGCAAACTTTGTAATAGGTGGGAAGGTTCAAAACCCTTAAAGGCCAAATGCCACACCAAGTGGGGAGGTAGGGTGGGTGTTAAGGAACTAATTTCTCTCTCTGCACCAACTGGTGCTTCTGGTTTGCTTCTGGAGATGCCTTAGGTGCTCAGTCCCTGTAAAAGGAATGATTTTAAGGTGATGGAAAGAGACGTTTCAGCAGGAGAGCTATGCTGAGGAATTTTCTGCTATATCAAGAGTAGAAACAGGGCTGAGTGAGTGATTCGGTGACCTCATGAGGGTTGCCGCCCCCTGAGGCCCCCAGCTGTGGAAGATGATATGATCAGGAGAATGGCACGTTGCACTGACTTCCGGGTCTATAGAGGTCCAGTCTCCACCTCTGATTGTTGATTTGTCACAGCAGGGAAGAGTGAGGTTGGCTGGGCTCACATCTTGCAGAATGGCATTGCAGGCCCTGGGTCAAGTGGCTTGGGACTGAATTTTGGTTCTACCACTTAGTGGCTGTGTGGCTAAGGCAAGCCTTCGTATGTAAAATGAGACTAATGATAGCTCACAGGGGAGGCGAGAGACATTTTGGGGCTGTATGCATATGGTTAAAAGCCCGGACTCTAGCCAGCAATGACTTCTGTCACTATAACTTATACCCAACATGGTGTAAGTTTCTCATGCCCCTGGACTCTACAGCCAGCTCACCTCGAGTGCTTCTACCTGGCCAGGTGTCACTGGCTCTCCTGTTGCTCGACCTTGATGGCTTTACTGCTGCTTGATCACATCCTGTCTTTGGGCAGGTTCTTTAATTCCCCCTCCTTGCTCCTCTTGGCTTCCTTCACACCTCCTTGCCTCAATTCTCTTGGCATCAAGTTACCTCTATTTTCCTGAGCTTGTAGTTGACTCCTAGCTCATTAGAAAATTATCTATGTAGAACTCTTTAAGATAACTTAATATTGCAAGGTTTAAAAAAATATTGACCCAATTCATATGAGCTTAGACTTAGTGCTTCTACTTCTCCAATCATTTATCTTAGTCTTGCGGCTGGACTAGAGCCAGGATGCTTTGCTTCCAATCTTCTGACATTTTCCTCCTATGGAACTGAGGTGAGAATTAGGGTGACCCTGAATGTGTTGTGAGCCAGAGCTAACCCAGGATAAGTCTGGAATGAAACAGGGTCTGTAGAAATGGCTGTCTCCACATTCTTACCTTTAATTCACTCTGTATTTCACTCCAATTTGGCTTCCACTGTCACCAGTTTACTGAAATAGTTTTTGCTATAGGCAATAATTATGTTGCCTTCCCCTATGAACATTATTTGTCTTTTTTCTATTCTATTTTTAAAGTCAACTTATAGCTATTCAAAGTAGAAGGTATATTTAATTATTCAAAATCTTTGTGGCTGATACAAGCATTAGAAAAAGAATGCATAGTTAATAATTGTGAGTATGGGCAGTTTCACAGATTAATTTACTTTCTGGAAATCTAGAATCTCTAGAATGTATTAAAGTTATAAAGAGGTTGGATTAACTCATTTTATTTTGGTAAGAACACTTAACATGAGATCTTTCCACTTGAAAAGTTTTATGTGCACAATACAGTATTGTTAACTAAGGACAATATTGCACAACAGATCTGTAGAACTTATGCATCTTGCATAATGAAACTTTATACCCATTGAACAGCAATTTCTATTTTGGCTAAATGTAACCACATTAAAATACTTGATATTGTCTTTGGTCATGAAGCATAAATGTATAATGGTAGATGTATTTTAATCCTAATTCAGGAATGATATTTAAACAAAACTCTCACTCAGTAAGATATACATGACTACATTAGGAAAATCACATTCTAAGTTTTATAGAACACTCTCAGGTGATGTTAACAGATCAAAAAATAAGGAGAACCAATGCTGTCTTATACATATTTAAGCTGGGAAGTTTCTCAAGTAGTAGAGTCATATTCAGGAAGTAATATTTAAAATATAAACTCTTAATTGCAGTCGCTTCTCTGTTAAGTCCATCTCTTTCAGATTCTTCGGTTAACAGCAATACTCTAAAAATCAACTGTAAAATCTTAGCTTGCAATGTTTTGATTTTTTCCTGAATTTTGAAACTTTTAAAGTGCTATTACATGTCTTATAAATGAAATAAATTAAACATATTCTCAGGAGACTACAACTCAGGAGCAGCTGGATGAGATGGAAGAGATCCCCAGAGAGAGCCAGTGTGGGAGGCAGGACTTCCATGCCCTCTCCTGTCCCACCGCCTCCCCAAGGTGCGCTCACCAACCTGGAAGCCCACGCCACTCATCTTTCACCTCCCTTGTCCACGATGGGGTTTTAAGCTCCGCTGACCATTCCTTCCTTCTTGGAATGCTCTGTTGAATTCTGGGACTCCACACTCTCCTGATTTGTCTCCTACGTCTCTGGCCATTCATTCCCTCAGTGTTCTTTGAGGGATCTTTTCCTTCTGCCCAATCTTTAATGTTAAAGTTCCTCAGGTTTTGATCCTAGACCACCTTTTCTTCCTACTCTACTTCCATCTGGGAGATCTCAACCACTTTCGTGCCTTCAAATACTCTCTGAAGATGATGACTGCCCGTCATGCGTCTCTAGATAAGACTTGTCTTCTGACCTCCACACTCTCACATGCAGCTCCTGTTGGCTCTGTCAGCCCCCTCAGTTCCATCCACCTCTCTCCCTCCTCAGCCCTACTCCTTTGTCCCTCACCTGGACAATTATGATGGCCTCTAAGACACCTCCCTGCCTCTACTCTGATGTCTTCTGCACTCAACTGCTAAAGAGATTGTTTATCAATGCAAATCGGAGTCTGTCATTCACCTGTGTAGAACTCTACAGTTGTGCATCATTCTTAGGGTCAAGTCTAATGTTATTAACACGGCCTGGTGGGCCCTGAATGATCTGACTCCTACTCATTGCTTGGGCGCTTTGGCTTTCTTTCAGTTTCTTGAATTTACCAAGTTTCTATCCCTCTCACATTCCATTTCCTCACCAGGTGTGCCCTTTAATACGGTCATGAGTGCCATGAATTTTTCCTTTGAGGCACTTGTCACAATTGCCACTAGATAATTATTTGTTCTTTATTTTAATTTTTTTTCAGAGACAGAGTCTTGCTCTGTTGTCCAGGCTGGAGAGCAATGGTGCCATCATAGCTCACTGCAGCCTTGACCGCCTGGGCTCAAGCGATCCTCCCACCTCAGCCTCCTGAGTAGCTGGGACTACAGGTGTGCACAACCACACTCGGCCAATTATTTATTTATTGTCCGTCTCTCCAGTGAAATGGTCCTGAAAATTAGGTATCATGTTTTGTTTAACTCTTTATCCTTATCCTTAATGTTAGACACTGTTTTATTTGACTCAATAAAGACTTCTTGAATGACTGAATAAACCAGTGAGGGAAAAGGGGGTGTCAGGATGGGGAGATCCTGACATTGAGCTTTAGCCTGAACCTTGAAGGTGTTTGTTCAGATTGGTGCCTGGGAATAGAAGTGATGCCCAACTTTCTGCCAGATGTAGATCTTAGACTCCCACAGAGGGGACTGTCTGTATCAAGGTCTCCAGGTGGTCCAGAGGATAGCATTGCGTATAAAAAAGCCCAATGACAACAACTCTGTGAGCCTCTGGGCTTTCCTGTTGGGATCAACAGAGGGGAAATTGTGACCTTTTTTTGTTTTGACATGTTATTAGGTCATAGTATGATGCTGTGAAAAGAGATGAGTTTAGGCTCAAGCAACAAATAAACCTCCTTTGAATTCTGACTCAACAAGCTAATAGCTTGTAAAATCAGGTGAATTATTTAACCTCTCTGAGCCTATTTTATAGGGCTGTTGTGAGGATTAAATGAATAATCCATGTTAAATGCTCTGCTCAGTGTTTGGTACCTAGAAAGAACTGCCTAATTGTTGCTGTTGTTGTTGCTGTTAATATTATTAGTTGTCCCAGCTCTCTAATAACAAATGATTTGAGTAGGCTGCTTCCTTTAGCTGTAAGATTATCATCTTTTTGGGACAAGATGACCTCTGCAGTCTCTCCAGCTCTAGGATTCAATGATCAGGGGACTTTGAGATCACCCCCATGCTGGAACTCTTTGAAGCATTTCCATGGGAAAGGAAAGAATCACTTCTCTTTGCAGCCATGCTCAAACGGATTGTCCTGGAAGATAAGCAAAGATGACACATGTAGGAGAGGAAAGTCCAGTTCAGTCTGGCTCAGACCCTCCTGGAATCTGGTACTTTTGGGTGGGACAGGAGACAGATGTTCCATGACAGCCAACATCGTGTACTTCAGACTTTCTGGGAATGATGGCAGGAGAGGAACCAGAAGAGCAGGATGACTTGAATTTATTTTCTTGGAAAGACTATTTTGTTGGCAAGACTTATCCCTGGCCTCATAAATGGACCAGAGGCTAATGGACTAGGAAGAACTGCTCTTGAGCCGCTCCCTCCCTGCTGGTCAGGTCCAAGAACATTGCCTCCAAGAGCATGGACCCTCACCCCAACCCACACTTGCCTTCCCCTGAGGTCGCAGGCTGCCTTTCTGCCCCTTTGGTGATCTGCCATTAATCTGATACATGTGTAATTTGAATCCATTTGGATGAAATTGTAGAGGAGGAAAAGAAGAGAATGCAGAAAGGAACAATGATGCTAAGTAGCATGGACAAAGAACAGAGGCATCTTGTGCAATAGATAGGCCTCTATCCAACTGAATGACAGAAACCCTAAATTACAGTAGTTTAATCAAAGTTAAGATTTATTGGTATCTCACATTAAATTGTAGGGAGGCAGATGAGAGTTGCAATTGTGACTCTGCAATCATTTGTGACTGCCCTTGTTCTATACCACTCCTCTGCCCTCTTCAATATTTCTATTTTGTGGCCCAAGACAGTGGCTCCAATTTTTGTCATTACATCTGCATTCTAGCCAGCTAGAAAAAGAAAGAAAGGGGAGGGGAAGTGCATGTGCCTTCTCTTTAAGGACACTTCCCAGAAATTGAACACATTGCTTCAACTTATATCCCACTGGCCAGTACTTAGTCACGTGGCTACATCTAGCTGTAGAGACACTGGAAAATATGTCTTTATTCCAAGTGGCTGTGTGGTCAGCTAATTTTTATATAGTTCTATTATTTTTTAAAAAGGCAAGAACAGGTATCAGAAGACAATTAGCAGTCTCTGCCTCCCTTGGAAACAAGAGTGGATATTACAGATTGATGTCATAAAAATTGCCACAGTCAGCCTTGGGTGTAATCTCTAGATCCAGGCAGCAAGGGCCGATTGGAATTTTATTCCGACCAGATGCTAGCTGGGCAATGCTGGGCACATTGTTTAATCTCCCTGAACTTCAGCTTTCTCTTCTGTAAATAATAGTAATAACAAAGACTTCCAAGAATTGTAAACAGAACAAAATGAGTGATGTGTGTAGAGTGCTTCGTGCCCTTTTTGTATGTAGTCATGGGCCGCAGTAGATATTGAGGATCACTCTATTTGTTCTGGATGCACAGCCTCCCTGAGGATGCTCTTTTCCTCGGGATGCTCTTTTCCTCGGGATTTCTAGTATCATCATTCTTGTGACTACTATCCACACCCTTCAGAAAAGCCATCATTTTCTCCTGGATTAATCTCTTTCTTGAATTTTGAATTCCCCTAAAAGCCAAAACCTCCATTCTGTCAGGGCAGAACAGAGCCCCAATGTTTCTAAAGAAATAACTTACAACCAGAAAGTATCAGTAAATTCCCTTTTCCATGTTGCTTCATTCTCTCAAGCATGCATGAAATTTAGCCTTAATAAGTGGTTATTGTCCACTTACTAATAACTGCTTATGAAAACCATGCCTGGGGTCTGCGGTACAGGCATACAGCCCCAAGAACAGCTCCAACCTCCCCTTCACCTTCTCCTCCACCTGCTACCTAACAGCCAAAGTCTGTGCTTCTCCAAGAGGACTGTAGGAACCGTTATCATTGCAGGAAAGGAGCCTGTCTAGGCTGCTTCTTCCAACTCCATCCCAGTAATGAACTTGACCCTAAGATGCAAGGCGTCTAATCCCTTGAACCCGCTTGAACCCGCTTGAACATATCTGCTGGACTGATGTCTTCTGCAGGTTGCAGATCCTGACCATGGGCTGCATGTGCTGCCGGATGGAGGCAGGGCCATGCCCTGAGTGTTTTCTTCACATGGCACCAGTAGCGTTGTGTGTGATTTCTGATAAAATTGTAGAATAGCTAATGACATTTGACATTTGTTCAGAGTTTTGCAGTTCACAAAACATTTTCATATGTCAGTAAAAATAGCGAGGATAATACTAACCATGTATTGAATATGTATACTAAGTATTTTGTGTACATAATCTCAAAATTTTACATCAAGTATTACTGAGACTATTATCTACCAGTTTTACAGGTGGGTAAATTGAGGTTCAGACAGTGGCCTCTCCAAGGACACAAACTCATAGGAGGCAACTTTTGAAAGTGGCAAACTTGGGACGTTGCGCATATTCCTGATGCTGGTATAATCTTTTTGCCTCCGAAGGAAGCTAACTAAGTAGAAGCAAGAAGAGGACAGATCTGGGCCATATGAATGTTAGGAAACACTTCAGAACCACAGCTGAATGGTTGCTGTAGGAAGATTCTGCAGGCTCTGAGCAGCTCAGGAGCTGCTCATTCTCTTGCCTTCTCCAGGCTTCTTTAAGAGCTGGGGTTTGAAGTTTGCTGGCTAGAAGGGGTTGGAGAGAGAGATGCCCCTTCGATAGGACAGTCCCTAGCTCAGCATGATTGGTCACTTGAGTTTAGAGCTTTGCAAACACTGTTTTACTGATTTCTCACAGCATTCTTGCAAGGCAGATATTACTCTCTATTTTACAAATGAGGAAACTGAGGCTCTCAGAGGTTAATGCTCAAGGATGCTTAGCTGATTCGTGGTAGACCCAGGATTTGTGTCCTGGCAAATTAGTCAGATTCTGCCCATGCATTTAATTACTGCACTAAATGCAAATAAAGTTCTTACCACGGTGAATTGCCAGGTGAAAAGCTAGGGGACTGGAATATAGCAAGCACTCGATAACTTGTAATTATTATCTTATCAACAGAATTTCAGCTCATTGCAGGCAGGGACTGACCATTTTGTATACATCTTTCTATGTCTCTAAGTGGACAGTGCAGGACAGAGCTGTTGATGCTTAATACTCACTGGCCATGATTACTTCAGAAGTAATAGCATCCGTGGAGAAGGGTTGACGGTACGAGCACAGCACAGCTCACGGCATGTGATGTGGACATGTTTGGTGATGATTGACAGCTCAGCTGTCCCATGGGAACCCAGCTGGCCAGGCTGAGAGTCTAAGGCTCTCCAGGGAGTGGAAGAGCCTGGGAAAATCTGTGACGAGGAGCCGAAGGGTCATTTCCAGCTGTAAAAATTCTAAGATTTGGTTTCCAGAGAAAAGAGAGAGGATATGGGTTCACTGAGTTTGGAGACCTCAAAGTAACCACAGGGTTTTCTTAATTCTAGCAACCAGCCATGGATTGCAGCAAGTCAAGGAGGCAGCAGGGACGCAGGAGAGACACAGAAAGCATTCGATGCCCCTTTAGGGAGGGAGTGTCCAAAAATGATTCCAGCCTAATCTCCCTCCCAATCATTGTAGAAAACAACTATGGGGACTCAAAGGAACAAACACTGCATGTTTGGACCTGACGTCCTCCAGCATTGGTGGCAGCTTCCTCCCGGAGGGCACAACTATCTCCTGTCTTTACAGGGCTTCCCTAATTTCAGACCAACTCCAGCTCCCAGCTTGCTCTTGGCCCCTCTTCTATTGGGTTCACTTGGGTTCACTCTTTTTTTGTTTTTTTGTTTTGTTTTGTTTTGTTTTGTTTTTTGTTTTTTTTTTTGAGATGGATCTCTCTCTGTCACCCAGGCTGGAGTGCAATGGCATGATCTCGGCTCACTGCAACCTCTGCCTCCCGGGTTCAAGAGATTCTCCTGCCTTGGCCTCCTGAGTAGCTGGGATTACAGGTGCCTGCCACCACGCGCAACTAATTTTTGTATTTTTAATAGAGACAGGGTTTTGCCATGTTGGCCAGGCTGGTCTCAAACTCCTGACCTCAGGTGATCTGCCCACCTTGGCCTCCCAAAGTGCTGGGATTACAGGTGTGAGCCACCATGCCTGGCCTGGGTTCACTCTTTAACAAAGGGGAACTCCTAACGAATCAACACTTTTTGCCAAATACCCCATAGGTCAGACATCACTTTTGTCATGAAGTATGCAGACAACAGGTCAAATCAGAAAACCCGGGCAACTTTGAACAATCCACCTTAGCCAGAGAGGGACAAGAGCCAGCATTCCAGGCAAACACAGGGCACATGAGGTCCACCGAGAAACGATTTATTTGCTTTTGGTAATGGGCCTTCTCCGTCTTTAAATGCTAGCAGCTAGAGTGAGTGAAAGGGATTTCTGAAAGGTTTGTTTTGGGGTGGGTTTGAAAGCTCCCCTCTCTTGCTCTGTTTTTCTTTTTAGGCAGCTTTGCACAAGGGGCAAGTCTCCTGCCAAAAGGCCTCGTAATGCCCCTCTTTAGGGACTGAATTTATCCGCTCAGCTGTCCCTTGTAAATTTATTCCTGTGTGAGATTTTCCCCAAACCATTCATTCCTCCGCTTAGCTCAGGCAGCTGGAATGCAGAAAAAAATACATTTTTTTCCCCCAAGAATGTGCCTTTGTGTGCTTGGAGGGGCTGGGCTAAGGAGAAAAGAAAACAATCATGTGCAACGATGCACACACACACACACACACCGGACTGTGATGCACACACACACCGGACTATGATGCACGCACACGCACACACACACACACACACCGGACTATGATGCACACACACACCAGACTATGATGCACACACACACTGGGCTACAATACACATGTACATGCCAGGCTATGGTGCGCGCGCGCACACACACACACACACACACACACACACACACACCCCGAGCTATGATGCCCATGAACACACTGGGCTATGATGCACACACACACACATCGATTTATGATGTACACACGCATGCTGAGCTATGATGCCTGCATGCACACATGTGCACACACACACACCAGGCTACGAAGCACACAGACACACGGGGCTACAAGGCACATACACACACATAGGGCTATGCTATACACACACGCACCGAGCTAGGATGCACACGTACATGCCAGGCTACGGTGCACACACACACACACACACACACACACACACCGAGCTAGGATGCACACGTACATGCCAGGCTATGGTGCACGCACACACACACACACACACACACCGAGCTAGGATGCCCATGCACACACTGCGCTACTAACAGCGCCGCCGGGGCTCGGGGCTGCCCTGGGCGGTGAGGGCGGCTAGGGCTTCCTGGCTCCCAGTGCCCAGTGTGTCTGTGGTGTGGGCTGCGGGCCCTCCACCCGGGACGTGGCCAGAGCAGCACCTCGCTGGTTGTTTCCACAGCAACATCACAGTTTCACTAGAATGGAAAGCCACAGCGGTTTGGAGCCAGGAGAGGCTTTCCAGCTGCATGTGTGCATGAGGGTCTGTGGGGAGAGGGGCGCTGGGAACTTTGACTTGATTTTTCCTTGAGTGATTATGGTATCCCAGGCAGGTGAGGGCTGTGGCAGGAGCTGGAGGTGACATATGTGCTTAAGGAATTCAGGCTGCCTGAGGGGCAGGGAGAATTTTCCTGCAAGCCACGATGACTGAGGAGACCTGGGAGACTTGGCAGGGATGTGAGCCCACTGACCTCTCCATCCTTTGCGCGGCCATGATGTTTCTCTGCCACGATATCCCAGCACGTAGAGATGGTTGGAAGTTTAGCAGTGATGGCAGAAGAGTCAAGGACAGGAGTTTGCCCATTTTCTGGAACAACAACAGCAAAAACCAACCATGTGCCACGGAGCAAAGAGATTCTGCGGGAAGGTCTACGAGCAAGAGATGAGAAGTCCGGGTGTGTGGCTGTCTGTTCCTCCAGCTGCAGTCCAGGCAGGCGGGATTCACCCCAGCACCCCAGTTACAGATTCACAACTATGTCCATAGCATTTTGCGAGGGTTTCTGCCAAGAACTTCTGCCCTGCCAAGAATCCAAGTATTCTCTGAAAAACAGGCAAACAATTTGTAGAATCAATGAGCCTACAGCAGCCATCATTTTCTGCCTATGGAGTAGACACACTTTTTGGGTGCAGGTGCCACCTTTTTTTTTTTTTTTTTTTTTTTGGAAGCGAAGGTCTCACTCTGTCAGTCACCCAGGCTGGAGTGCAGGAGTGCAGTGGTGGGATCATAGCTCACTGCAGCCTTGAATTCTTGGACTCAAGTGATCCTCCTGCCTCAGCCTCCTAAGTAGGCAGGACTACAGGCATGCACCACCACATCTGACTAATTTATTTTTTATTTTTTGTAGAGACAGGGTCTCACTATGTTGCCCAGGCTGGTCTTGAACTCCTGGCCTTAACAGAGCCTCCCACCTCAGGCTCTCCAGGTGCTGGCATTACAGGTGTGAACTGCCGGCTAACAAGTGCCACTTTTATCCCTGCAGCACAAGAAGATTTGGGGAACTTAAAATGTTGTTCTGATTTTTCTTATATTTCCAAGCGCCTGCCATGAGCCTGCTGGCCAGAGCTAACCCGTGTGGCTGTGGTTTCAGGAACACATCACTGCTTCTAGTTTGAGCTCCTTATTTGCCACTGGGTTGATGGGATCCGATTGACTGTAGGCTACGCCCAGGAAGAGGCAAAAAAGAAATGGATGATGAAGACTTTGTCTTTAGGGAGTTGGCTGTCTTATGGGGAAGATGGTAGGAGCTGAAAGGCAACATCAGACTGGAGAACAAGTTAGAAAGTGGTGAGTCACAGGTTTCCCAAGCTTCCCGGACCTGTTCAGGAAATGTGGTGTGGCTGGGGTTCCGCCTTTCTCATAAGCTCCGAGTAAAGCCAATACAGCTGATCCACTGGCCACTCTGAAAAGCAAGGAGCTAGAACAGTCACCCAATGGGCCAGGGAGGCATTTTTGCCTCCCTGGAGATGGCAGAATGGGTAATACTCTCAATATAACTTTCCTGCCATTGTTCACGGGCAAGATGGTAGCTTCTTTTTTGTAAGCCTGTCTTTCCGGGTCTTGCCCTCCCGGAAACACTAAGCAGTTCAAATACCCATTGTCAATTTCAGCATGCCATCCCTTGGAATGAATGGGTTTAAGGGCAACTACAGTTTGTTCCTGAAACTGCAGTATCACTAATGGCTAAGAGCACTTGACATTAGTCAGACCTGGATTTGTCCTGGCTCCCCCACTTATATGGCCATGCAGACTTGAAGAAGTTACCTGTTCTCCTATCAACTTAATTTCCTCAACTGTACAGACTAAATGTAATAATATGTGTGAAGCATTCAATTAACATCAGCTATTATCATGACTGGTTGTGAAATAATTGATGCATATCATAAGTCATGAGCTGCAGGTCCAGGGGCCACATCTGCCATTCCCCAGATGGGTTTAATTTGGCCTGTACCGTGTTTTAAATAACGTTGAGTTTGTTGCCAACATTTTAAAATTGGGAAATTTCACATAAAAATCTGAATTTGGGGCTTATATTGAAAAATCATTAGCTCTGACAAACCTGGCACCAATTTCTTGCGTGGTAACAGTGGGTTAGCACTGGGGCTGAGCAGGGCTGGAAACTTTCCATGGCATCTGCACCTCCAGTTCACCATCGCCCAGTCCTCTCTTTGTGATACCTTCTCTCTGTGGACATATGTCCTTGGGTCCCACATCTATAGGGTCCCGTATGACTCTAGAATTCTAGCTATTTCGGCTCACTGGTATGTAGTAACGGCTTCTGGAACTCAACAAGAAAATGCAAGGATTATCTTGCCAACAATGCTTCTACTGCTTAAATGAAAGAAATCTGGTAGTTCTTCTCTGAGATCCAACAGAGCCGGTGCATTTATTGCTCTCAGTGGTATGTCTGGGGACCAGAACCCGCTGGCTCTAGAAAGTGCCCCTCGCCCATCCCTGCCCATGGGTTGCATCAGCAGCGTGTCTTCTTTGTTCTCTCCCTGAAGGGTAGGATGCTCATGACCTTGGCCTTGCAGTTTGGGTGGGTGCACCTCCTGTCCTGGTGCTGACATCTGGATGATTTATGAACATCATTACCCTTTCACTGGACTCTTACTCTTCGGAGTCTTCAGAGCTGCCTGGGCCTAGCGCCCAAGAAGTTTGCTCCTTGCATCAATGGCGATGCTAGACATATTCTACTGGCTGTGGCCCAAAGGTACTCCTGGTGCCTGTGTGGGAAGGGCCACGATGGGAAGAATGCTCCTTGCTCGCTCTCATTCTCCCAGCTTTTTATTTTTTATAGGCTGGAGGTGGAACTGTAAGAGCAGAGAGGAGGAGAAGGCTCACCATGAAGACAAAAGAAGTCCTGAGCCTTGGATTTTCTTCCTCTAGGGCTTTGTGGACCCACAGATTGGTAGAAGTTCTGTGAGGGCTGACTTCTCCCCATCTGTCCCAGATGGATCCCTTAAGGTGGGTGAGCCCTGGGGAGGTACTGGGTCTGCTTGTGGAGAGAATTCTCAGGGGTCAGGCCTGAAAGAGCTCATGCGGCTGTTCCTGCGGGTGGGTCAGTTTCTCTGGTGCATAATGAATAATGCTGCATGGGTTCTGGACTGTCCCCGTCCCCGGTGGAGGGTTTCAGTATTCTTGCAGGCTCTTGGTTGTGTGGATAGTGAGAAACAGTGGGTCTGCTCTTGGGAAATGTGCTCTAATGACTCTTTACCTACATGTCGAATTCTCTAACCTTGGGGACAGATGCACCATGAATTTGGTTTTGTAGGTTTGTGTATGAAGGTGGATAACAGACTTGTTAAAAGAGCTTTGAAATTCCTGCCATAACCTCTAAATAGTGGGAGTAGAGCAACCAAATTCTCTGAAGAGATGAGGAAAATACCCCTTTGGGCAGAGTCAAGCTTGCTATTCTTTAAATTCCTTCAGCTGGCTCAATAGGAGAGGAAGGGACAGCCAGAAGTCATAGGTCGTTTTCTGGAGGTTTGATAGCCTGAAGGTAATCCTCTCGTGTGTTCCCTCACCTAAAGATGAAGAATTTTCGTGTACTAGAAGTTGGGTTTACTAATCCTGTAGCTCTGGAAATGAATGGCCTTGCCTTCTCTAACTGTCCAGCTACCTGGCATCATGTAGACAGGCCCTTCAGGTGACTGAGGGTTCTGGAACTCAGTTGCTAGAGGCACACACGAAGAGCCTGCTCAGAACCTCCTGTGTTTCCCACAGCCTCAAGAGACGGGCAAGGCAAGAGCCCTAGAGCCTGTCTAACCCATGTCTCTGCAGGGCACAGGTTCTGTCACACTGAGTGTGGGTAGTTTTCCACCACAAACTCTGCGCCAGAATCACTGGAAGCTTCATGAATAGAGATTCTTAGGTGCCACCAGTGCACCGAGTCAGCACTCTGGAACTGAGCCGGAGATTGCACTTTTAACAAGCACCCCAGGTGCCTCTGAGCTGAAGAACCGCCAGTCTCACGTGTGGACTTTAAAATCTCATGCAGAGAATGTTTCTCATTGCTCAATTTAAAACCCTTTTTAATGGTGTCTCTGCTTAGAGTGGAGACATTCCAGGAAGAGAAAACTAAGCACAGGGAAGCTAAATACTGAGCCCTGGAGGGGTCAGGATATGGGCCTCATCATCATCTGGTGCTGTTTCACACTGCGCTCGGGTCAGGTGCGTGAGAGCCCCATTAGCTGGGATGCCCGCTGTGCAGGAGCGTCTATAATCTCTTCTGGATGTCCCAGCTAAGCCTGAATTGTTTTCTTAAAGGCTTGACCCAAATGCACCCTGATTCCAGGTGGAACACATTTTCACGTAAACCATCAAATGCTGGCTCTGAAGGGAATTTAGAGATCTATTCCAGAGCCCTTGTGTGTGTGTGTGTATATATATATATATATATGGAATTATAGGTTAGAAACAGACAAAAAAAGTGCCATGATGATAAATTCCTGAATGTACATTCAAGGAGCTTCGTGGAGAGAGGAACTTGGGAGAACAAGCAACTACCAGATTCAGCCAATGACTGGGCAGCAATGGCCTCTAGTTCCCTGAGAATCCCTTCAAGGTGGGGGCTGCACTCCAGGCAGGGACTCTGCAGCTCCACGTCCTCACTGGGCTTCTCCTGCCTATGGCCCAGCTCGCCCAGCCCCACCCTGCCTGGGCAGGAAACTTCCAGGCTCTTCCACCAAGAAATGCAGGCACCCTAACTTGCATGGGGTAGGATTTATTCTGTAAATACTGAGTGCCGATTCTGTGCGATTAACAGGAGAGATGGGAGCCACTCTTGCAGAGCTTACTATCTTATTCTAAACTTATTAAATTCTGTTTATGTGTTTTTAATTGTATAGTTTCTGCCTGTAGAGAAAATGTTGGTGCTTTGGGAGTTGGGGTGGGGGTGGTAAGGAAGCCTTTTCTGAAAGGGTCACAACTGAAGTGAGATTTGAGTGACAAAGGGAGCTGTTGAGAGATAAGGCGCCGGGGACAGCAACTGCAAAGGCCCTGAGCAAACTTGGTTCTGTTCCAGAAAGGCAAAATGCAGCAGTGAGGGTGGGGAAGGCCCTGACCATGGAGGGCCTTGCAGGTTGTGGAAGGGGTTTTAAACTATGAGGGGACCTGATCTGACTGACATTTCTAAAAGTTCCTTCTGGCTGTTTTGAAGAGAATAGATAGGGTGAGGTAAGGACAGGAGCAGGAACAGCATTTAGGAGGCTCTTGCACCTGCAGGCAGAGCTGGCAAGGTCTGAAGCCTGAGGGTAGGAGAGGACGTGCAGAGGTCAGGTGAGAGCAGGACATGTTTAGGGGAAACAGCAGAAAGGGTTTGAGGACAGAGGTCTTCTTACATGAAAACCCTGGCGAGAGTATGACATACATATGGGAAGACTGTAATTTTCTAGTCACTTCAGCATAAGCTTCGGAAGGGCAGGTGCCATGCCTACTGAATGCAGCATTGCATACTGTTGGTGAGTCACCTCTTCCTCTGAAACTGCAGTTTCCTACACTCACCCAGGCACCCCTTCTCCAGGCTCAGGACACCTCAGAGGACTGGTGCATGGGCTGCAGCCAGCCTGACCCAGCTCTATAAAGAAGCTCACCCTTTACAGATGCCCCAGAGAGGCCCCCATCCTGCCCTGCAGCCAGCTTCCTGGGCAAGTGGGATCAGGTCAGTACATGCGCCTGTCCTTCCCTGAGCGTAAAAGGGGAGTGTGGAGGGAGATGGTATTTGAAACTTGGCAGTGGGGACCCACACAGACATCAAGAACAATCCCTTTGGCTTTCCATTTGCCAAGTTGTTTCAGGGTCCAGGGTTTGTGACTCATCCTGAATGGAAACACTTGTACAGCACCACGTGGCTCCTTTCCGCCCCTGGCCGGGCGGCAGTGACCCAACCAGCTCTGCACTTTCTTTCTTCCCTTTTAATGTATCCATAGGCACTCGGGGTCTCCCTCCTCCAGGGTTTCCTGAAACAGGATGCATTCAGCCCTTGTAGAGTTGCTGGGGAAGTGGAAGGAAAACAGAGGTGACTCTTGAAGCCCCAGGAGCTGACCTTAGATCTTGACACTCCTGGTGTGTGCAAAGGTCTGAGGAGACGGCCAGATTGAGGTAAAGCAGTAAAAATCCGTGCTTGTCAGGAAAGTAGCAAGAGCCGAGTTCTACACTAACCATTGGCTGGCCTGGGGCAGCCTGCAGCTGCACAACTGCCTCGTACAATGGCATGGACAAGCAGTGTCGGTGACGTAGCAGGCCGCTGGGGACCTGGGAGACATCCTGCTGCTGCAGGAGTCCTGTGCAGAGCAGAGGAGAGAGCAGTTTGGCAAGTGCAGGGGTCCCACTCTTCTTTTGGTTGGTGGCAGGGAGCAGGTGGGGCCTAACCTGGGTGGACAGTGTCTACCTCCCTTCTGTGCATTTTGCATTGGCCTTAATTGGTTCTCCCGGGATAGTCACGAAAGCCCGACCTTTGTTCCAGGTAAAGTGCTGCATGTTTCATGTGTACAGCTCATTTAATCTTCACAGGACCTTATGAAGTAGTTATTATATCTATTATCATCACAGAAAAGAACACTGAGCCTCAGAGAGGTCAAGCAATTGGCCCAAGATCACACAGCCTGCAAGAAACAGAGATGGGACTCAGACCCTGGTCTATTTGGCTCCCATGTGCCTTACTACTATGTTATACCCACCCCTCCAGGTAAGATTGGGAACCAGCTGTGGAAAGACTTTAATAACGGGATGGAGGGACTGCCAAGCTCTCCCTCTGGCAGGATTGATTTTGCAGAGACTGTGAGCTTAATGAGAGCAAAACTCAGGTCTTATACTCCTTCATGTGCCCTGCAGACTCCAGAAGTGCTAGGATGTAAGAGGCAGACAAAAGAGTGATGTTACTGCTGTGAACTTTCATTAGGATGTGTAGAGTTCTGTTATATGTTTGGAAAAAAATCCATAATCTCAAGAGGCTATATAATGCTCAGAACAGCTTTAGAAATTCTCTTTGGAAATTGCTTTCTGAGCCCCAGGCACATAAATAATATTTTTATATATATCCTCAATCAAGGCAAGCCTTAGTCCTTCGAGGGTAGCTTGGAATTCCATAGGAATCTGAAGGTAACTCAGAGCCAAACTTGGTGAAGGGGGTGAAGTGTCAATTTCAGATTTGCAGTTTTGTTCAAAAACATGTTGATAAAGCAGCAGGCTGATGGTCATGAGCAGCTCACTAGCTGATTCAGAAGACATTTCTCTGCTGCAGCCAGCCCTGCTTCTGTGACTTCACTCACACTTTCCATCCGAGTGGAATAGCTCACCCTTGCCTCTTTCACACTCAGTCCCGTCCATCCTACACTCCACCCTTTCCCCAAATTCCTGTTCATTGTTCCACGTCCTCCCCAAGGGTTAGTGAATGGCCTCATAGCTGAAAGTGCTTTACTTGAAGCGAGTCCTGATTCTCCCAATCCGAAGGCCCTGCTCTCACCCTGCTTTTCACCCGCGCTGCTCCCTGGGCTCTTCAGAGGCGATTTCTCCTGCCTTGCTGTTTGTCTGTGCTCTCCACTGGACCATGAGCTCGCTGAGAACAGCGTCTGAGATACTGTAGTCCCAGGATCTGCAGCCTTTGCTGAATTGACGTGGATAAATGTACTATTTTGAGTACATTTGCAGGAAAGGGTGAGGTTTGTCCTGGAGAGGGAATAGGGCCAGAGACACACAGTGTCCCACCATTCAGGAATTCGATGCCTACAGCAGGTGTCCTGTGGCTCACCGTCCTACACATGGCTCACCCAGAGTTTGGTAGCTTGATTTTGGAGGCATACCTAGAATGTCTAGAATTCTCAATTACTCAGAAGGTAGGATTTGGAAAAAACAGAGAGTGGAGCATCAGAAAAGTGAGAAGAGAAGAGACTCAGGACCCCAAACCCATGCACCTCAGCTGACAAAACCAACGGACTCTCACTAACCTAAATTCTAAACCCTCAATAAAGAGAAGCAGCAAAGGTCTGCAGCTTTCTCACCTGCTGGGTTGGTCAATGTGGTGCTGGTGTGGATGCAGCCAAGCGTTTCAGCTATGAGGCCATTCACTCACACTTCACCCTTATTTCACTCTGCTTGTTATGGTCTGAACTGTGTCCCCTCAAAATGTGTATGTTGAAGCCCTAACTCCCAATGTGACCCTTAAAGAGGTAATGAAGGTTAAATTAGAACCTTAAAGAGGTAATGAAGGTTCAATTGGGGCCCATGGGTGTGGTCCTAATGCAATATGACTGCCAT
Source organism: Homo sapiens (assembly GCF_000001405.40). Taxonomy (NCBI): domain Eukaryota; kingdom Metazoa; phylum Chordata; class Mammalia; order Primates; family Hominidae; genus Homo; species Homo sapiens. The sequence goes on from NC_000011.10 coordinate 130,728,875, forward strand.
CCTTATTAGAAAAAGAGACATCAGTAATGCCAGTGGACAAGCCCAGGCAGAGGGCAGCTGTCTGCAAGCCAGAGAAAGAGGCCCCCAAGAAACCAACCCTGCTGGCAGACTTCCAGACTCCAGAATTGTGACAGAAGAAATTTCTGTTGTTTTAGCTACGTGGCCTGTGATTTTGTTTTGGCAACCCCAGCAGACATCGCTGCTTTCATTTTCTTCTCCATCCTTTTCTTTTTCCTATTGTTTTATTCCCACCTGCTCAATCTCTATCTTTTATTATTTATTTCTTTGTAGAAACAACAACAACAAGAGTATAAACTGATTTGGAGACTGTGGTTTAGAATTCTACCAGATAGATAAAAATCAGCAAACTGGACATGTGGGTTTCTGTAGTTACAAATCTTCCATCTAAAATCTTATTTCCCAGGCATGAGTTCCATTAGGAATTTTTTTTTCTATGCATATAAACATACACATATGCTCACAATTGCATGCAATTTTCATCAGTCTGATGGGTACACCCTTCCTGATACAATTCTGGGCTTTCACTCAGTTCTAATGTGACTGGAAACTAAATGATTAAGAAATATGAATGAATTCAGCCCTCCCTAACTCAAGCTGGGGGCATATTTTCCACTCTGTCTCTTGTGCCCTCTGCCCAGGAATTTCAAGTCCCAAGAAATGGCCTCCAGAAGGAAATCCTTTGCCATCCCCCTAACTTGAGTATTCAGTGATTTCTGGAATAGAACTTGCCTGTTACAGAAATGGGAAAAATATGAAGACACATGCAATAAAAATAAAAACTAAATTTAGAATGAAGAGGAGACACAACCTAGGTAAAATTTAATTTTCATTTTGGCTCATAGGTAATTTTATCCTGAAGTGTACTAGGGATAATGATGGCATGCTGTTTCACTAGAGTAACTGAGTGAAAACATAATAATGATGAAAATAATGAACATAATTTTTTAAAAATTCACCTTGTAGCTTTGTTATCTATAGATGATGTCATTAAAAGTTCTGAGAAATAAATATTACTAATTCAAGTTTACAGATGAGAAAAAGGAAGATCAGAGGAGATAAGGGATTTGCCCAATGCTAATCAATGAGTAAGGGAAATGACCAGCGTTGGACCTCCGAATCCGAGTGTAATACATCTTTCTCTGCAGAACTTTGACTCCTTTTTCTTTCTCATTCTCTATTCTTTGCCTTCTGGGATGCCAATTGCATGTTTGTTAGACCTTCTCTCTGTGTTTTGAGCATCTCTTATAATCTGCTCATTTCTTTCTTCCATATGCCGTTCAATATACATATTTTTTTCTATTGGCATGTCTTGAAGTTCAGGGATTTGACTGCTGCTATGTTCTATCCACTGTTAAACTCATCTAGGGAGTTCTTACTTTCAGATATTGCAGTTCTAGAATGTCCATTTGCTTCTTTTTTTTTATAAATTCCAATCCTCTGTCAAAATTACTTATCTTTCCATCCGTTTTTTTCAAACTTTCCCTTATTTTTTTAAAAAAATATTTTAAATAATTTCCTTCAAATCCTTCTCTGCTAACTCTAACCATTGGATACTTTGTGCATCTGCTTTATTGTATGTCTTCCCATTTATTGTGGGTCACATTTTCCTACTTCTTGCATCTCATTACTTAGGGTTGTTTGTCAGATGTTGTTGTTGTTATGCATAAAAGACCCGCAGCTACTGAAGTTGATGTTCTTCTCCCCGAGAAAAAGTTTGCCTTTTCCTTAGCTAGGCAGACAGTACAGGGGGTATCACTGGATGCTGTGAGGAAGTGAACTAGATCACGGCTGGGACTGCAGCTGGGTGTAACTCACTCTGGTTTTGACCATCTCCTGGGGGACACATGGGGCACAGGTAGCATGGACCCCTTTCTCTAGTGCAGGCTTGTCCAACCTGTGGCCCACAGGCTGCATGAAGCCCAGGACGGCTTTGAATGCAGCTCAACACAAATTCATAAACTTTCTTAAAACACTATGAGTTTTTTTGCAAATTTCTTTTTTTAGCTCATCAGCTACTGTTAGTGTATTTTATGTGTGGCCCAAGACAATTCTTCTTCTTCTGTAGTGGCCCAGAAAAACCAAAAGATTGGACACCCCTGCTCTCAAGGGACTTTGACTCTTAAGGAACATGATACTGAGGGGGATTTGACTCATCTCTCCCAGCCCAGCCCCCTTCCTGTATAAACCAGCCTCTATCCCAAACCTTCAACAAAGCTGAGTCAAGTTCTCCTAGGCTTTGGATTGAGCTCCTATTGTGTCTCTGTCACCTCTTCCCCGAAAGCTGAGCTCTTTAACCTCCACATCATGTGGATTCAAAATCTGCCAGGTGTTCTGATTGGGGCCCCGCTGGGTGTGGTTGTCAGCCTCTTCTTCTACTGTGACTTTGACTCCTAGGCACTCTGAGGCTATGGGAGATTTCACAATTCCTGGCTGGCTCATCCCCTCAGTGTTCTGTGCCACCCCAGATGCAATAACTGCCCAGCGGGGAAGGTCAGCCATGCTTTAGGGACTTCTGGATGTTCCATTCTTTGCCAGCCTGCAGGGCCCTGGGTCTCCTCTCTCTTTTCTTCTGCTCGCAGTAAGCCCACTCTTTAGATGGCCTCAGCAAATGCCCCTTGGAAAGAAAACTGCCAGCACACTCATTTCACTCTGCGGGAGCTATTCCCCTCTGGAATGTTCATTCTTTTAGTCTCTTTTGCCTCTATGATTCTCCATACTGTTTATAAAAACATGATTTTTGTGATACATCATTTTTCCCCCTAGCTGTTGCAGTCAGAGGAATGCCTTGCTAAATCTTACTCAAAGGCGCAAGTTGGAAAACTGACGGTTAATTTATTTTTTCATCAGTGAGAGCACACCGAGTCATATTTTTTGCCAATATTTTATTATGAAAGTTTGCAAGCATACAGCAAAGTTGAAAGAAGTTTACAATCAACAACTCACATACACAGCAGTGTGTCTGTAAACTGGCTCTCTGGAGGGAAAACAAAAAATCTGATTTGTATTGTTTGCTGATTTCTGTGGTGTGAATGTTTTTGTCTTTGCTAATTTCAAGTTACCAATGTGACGTGGGGGAGATTTGTGCAATATCAGCTCTGGGGAGCGTATGTGAGCCAGCTCAGGCCCACCACTGCCTGGAGCCATCACTTAGAATCTGTCACCAACATCTTAGGGTGCTTGTTGAGTCATGTGTGTATCTTGCCCTCTATCCACTGTCAATCCATCTTATGTTTAAAATGTATTTCAATGTAAATTACAGATATAAGAATAATTCTTTCTTCTTCAACATTAACTAGAGTTGGTTCACTATTTGTTTTTCACTAACTTGCTTTTACTAATTAATTTTTTACTATTTGTTTTGATGTAAAATGAAATCTTAGTCTTAATTGTGCATTCACTGAGTTTTGACAAATCCATACACCTGTGTAATCCAGTCCCTATCAAGATATAGAATACCATTACTCCAGAAATTTCCTTTAAAGCTTGGCCAACTAAAATTTTCAGCTTTTTGGGACATGGACTGTTACTAAACAAGGCCTCCTTCATTATACTTGACCAAATGATCATTCCACCCTAAATGCATGTCTTTATAATTGTTCAATTTTGCACTCACCAGGATGAATGATCAGAAATTTGCTAATACAAAACTTTGAAAGTAGATGCACCATAATAGGCTGAAAGCTTCAGTACCCAAAGTGTACACCCATGTTGAGTCATGCCAAGAAAACATCACAGACATTAAACACAGACCAAACCCTCAGTCCCCAGGAAACAAGGGGACGTACAAGCAACCTCACATCCATCCCTTCTGATTCTCTGAAGCTCCAGCTCCCACACAAAGTACATGTGAATCATTCTGATAATAATCCCATGACATAGTTGTCATCCCAAAGAACAAGCCTTTCCAACCTCCTGCCCTGGCTGATTCGGACGACACCTCACTTGGCAATATATGCATTTGGCTTCCACCTGCCATAAGTCAAGGAAAAATATCAGGCAATGGTGGAAAACAAAATCCAGGAAAATATTCACCAAGACAAAGGAGAAAGCAATCATTTGCCTTCAGTTATGGGGAAGGATATTTTAGGCTCAAGTGGTGAGAAATATTGGACAGTGTTTCAGTTCTCAACCACTAAACCATGTTCCAGATGAAGAAGGCAGGTTTGGAGAAAAGCAAATAGAATCTCTCACCTGATGGGCCAAACTAGAAAACATTTTCAAAAACAATTTCATATATTTGAGATATTAACCACGACAGTAATTGGGACATAGGCCTGTCTTTTATTATTTGAGAGCTGCTAAGATTATGATACCTTGCCCATATGTCACAGCTGATGAAGCTTTTGTGCTTCGCTACTTAAATTCTACCACTGATATCTCACTCACCAGACCTGTGAGAATGGATGATGCAGATTTGTTTAACCATTAGAGCTGTGTAATAATTAAATGGTTTATTGCTAGAAGGTTCCATATTTCATGACTTCATGACCACATGACTCTCTAGCGACCAGATTTTCCAAGGTGAGTTTGGGTCATTTTCATTTGCCAAATAAAAATATGATACCCAGAGATAAAGAATATTCAAGAATGTGTTATTATTTAGCTCATTCAACAAATGTGTATATTTATATATTTACTTCTGATCTCTTTTTCACACATCAACAGAGTTATGCTTTGTAGAATAATGATTTGTGAACAATACCATTTCCCTGCTATTGCACATTTATGGTGTTTCCAATTTCTTCATACGACAGGTATTGCCACAATAAATAACAAGGCATAGAAAGCGTTCTCTGTATATTGGGTTATTACTTAAGCATAGATCGAGGGATGTAAACCTTTTTAATACCCTTGAGCAACATAATAAAATTCCCTTCCTAAAAGACTGTATAAATTTACAAACCTATTTTAAAAAGTCTCTGAGCGTCCATTTCACTGCAGCCTTACCAGCACAGAGTGATGGTAATATATTGAACATGTCAAGTTTGAGTAGGGCACGCAGATCCAGGCTGGATATTACCACTCCAACTTTGGAGAATGTTCTGAAACAGGCCCTGATCAGTAGACTTAGCTGGGTGAACTTTAAGGTCCCTGCTAAACTTCTATGATTATATTTGCAATCAAATTTTAATTATGACACAGCTAGTTATACTATGATTGTTTTAATAATACAGCAATTATTTTCCATAAAATATTACTAAAAATATGCAGAAAATGCCTGAATTAGTTCATATGATAGATATTGGTATAATCTTTTGGTTTTCAGGATATTTTGAAGACTAAAGTGGGCATGCTTACAATTAATTGATTTAAGATGCAAATTATTTTTACTGTTTAGGTATATATATGTGTGTATATATATATCTAATATATATATAGGTGATATGTTTGCTTGGGCTGCCATAACAAAATACCACAAACTGGGTGGTTTAAACAATAGAAATTTATTTCTCACAGTTCTGGAGGCTAGAGGTCCAAGATCAGGGTGCCAGCATGGATGAGCTCTGGTGAGGATTCTGTTCCTCACTTACAGATGGCCACCTTCTTGCTGTGTCAATGAGGTGTTAAATGAGGACATAATAAAAGGAGAGAGAGTTGAAGAGACAGAGTGGGGAGGGTTGGGGAGAGATAGACATATCTTATAAGGCCATAGTCCTATTGGATTAGTGTTCCACGTTTAGGACTTCATTTAGCCTGAATCACCTCCTGAAGACTCTTTCTCCATATATAGTCACATTGGGAGTTAAGGCTTCAATGTATAATTTGGGGGAAACACATTTTAATCCACAGCAGTATGCATCTCCAATAAAAATGTATGGTTGGGATAATAGTTGAACAATACTAAAGCATATCTTTTTGAGTATAAATCGTCAAGTTGATTTTGTTTTCAGTCTCAAGTGTTTTTCTATGACTTCTTGTCAAGTCTCCTTCTAGGTCACCAGCTGGGATGGGAGGCCAACTCTCCAAATCAGAAGAGGTAAGCAGTTGTTACTGAGGAGTTGACTTCCTTCCCATTTTGTTCCCTTCAGATTTGGGATTTATGTTAAGACCTTGTTATGATTATCTAGTGCTACATAACAAATCGTTCCAAAATTTAGTGGCTGAAAACAATGGCAATCATTTTACTATCTGTTACAGTTTTTCTGGGTCAGGAATTTGAGCAGGACTTGCCTACGTGATTTTGGCTTGAGGACTCTCACATGGTGGTAATAGATGGAAGTTGAAACTGGAGCAGAGGAGCAGAAGTGGCTGGAGTGGCAGGAACTGGCCAGGCATCTCTTCCTCTCTGGATATATAGACACTGGGCCTCTTCATCGGGTCTTTCTGCAGGGCTGGTTGTGCTTCCTCACTGCATGGTGGCTCAGGGCAGTCAGACCACCTGCGTGGTGGCTCAGCACTCCAGCACAGTGTCCCATCACTCAAGGTAGAAGCTGCATTGTCCTCTAGGGCTTAGCCTCTGAAGCCATGCAGCGTCACTTCCTGAGCTTCCTTGTAACCACTTCCTGTTGGTTATAAGTGAGGCACAAGCCCATCCAAATTCAAAGGAAGAAGAGTTAGACTCCATCACTTAATAGGAACGTGGCAAGATTCTAGAAGAGCAAATGGGATAAGAATTATTGTTGCATTCATCTTAGAAAAATACAATCCGCTACAAAGCCCCCTCATGGAGCACCCAGATCTGAGAAGGGGGTGCTTTCCACTAAAGTCTCTGCCTCCATTTTCCACTTCCTCTGCTTCCTTCTCCTTCTTGTGTTCTCCATGAGCATTAAACCAAAATAAACAGTTCTGAGTACCCCTTTTAATCAAGATGTGTGAAAAAATGTGGAAGCTCATCCTTGGAAGAATAATAATAGAAACTAGCTTTATTTATCCTGGGTAAGAGACGTAAGAGGAGATGATGGGATCACTATCCCAGCACATGTGAAAGACGGGAACAGGCTTGTCCTGGGCTGCTCCAGAGGGTGGGTGGTACAGGATTTTTCACAGTCCTGGAGAAACTCAGAGGCTTCCTTGGCTGACCACTTTTTTTTTTCTCTTTTTCAGCTTTATTGAAAAACAAATGACAAATAAAAGTTGTATATATTCAAGGTATACAATGTGATGCTTTGATACATTGTGAAATGATGACCTCAGTCAAGCTAATTAAGATATCCATCACTTCCTGGAGGTACCTTTGTGTCTATATGTGGTGAGAATACTTACAACCTACTCTCTGAAAATTTGAAACATACAACCCATTGTTATTAACTACAGTCACCTGATGGATAAGAGAGCTCTTGGCTAGTATAAATAGAGCAAGTATTTTCCATAAAAATATGGAAAATAAGCAAGTGTTTTCCATAAATAGAGCAAGTATTTTCCATAAAATATCACTAAAAATATGCAGGAAAGGCCTGAATTAGTTCATATGGCAGATATTGGTATAATCTTTTGGTTTTCAGGATTTTTTGAAGTCTAAAGTGGGCATGCTTACAATAAATTAATTTAAAAGTGGTATCAGTTTTATATGTTCTGCATACAATTTTCTTTTTAAGAGTACCCTGTGGGTTAAAATATATTTACAGAGCAACCTCTCCTAACAAAAGAAAATTTCAGACCATTAGGCTTGGTCAGATAAATGAATGTTAGAGGGGCAAAATCAGGTGTAGCAAAGATTAGTCCATTGCAGAAAGAAACTAGGACTGTGCCTCTCCAAATAGGAGAGTACCAAAGAGGGTACACCCCTGTACCCCAGGGGTGTCTAGTAGTGTGCCTTTGGGTCCTAGAAGATGTAGAATAAGTATGGTACATCATCACAACAAGTAATTTAGGACTGTTTTGCAATAAAACAATCAATATTTATTATGCAGTTGATGCAATACTCACATATATTTTAAATTAGATGCTCTATGAGAATTTTCCAGTTGCTAATAGCTAGGCAGGTGACCCTCCTACATTCCCCTAGGATACTGTGTAGACAAGTTTGTATTGACAAAAATAAGAATGTAGACTGAAGAGCAAAACTGTTGGGTTCAAATCCTGGCTCTGTGACTTACTAGTTATATAACCCTGGGCAACTTAACCTGTTCATGCCTTAGTTTCCTCATCTCTGAAATGGAGATATTAATAATAATAATATTCACCTCATGGGGTGATTGAAAGAACAAAATGAGTTAATTTTAGTGTTTAAAGGAGTGCCTTGCGTGTGGCAAGTACCATGCAGATGCTCATTAAATAAAAGCTTGAGAACTATGAATGAGCCTCTCCGAGAAGGTCAAGAATGGGCACATAGTCTGGGTGATCATGAGCAGAGGCTGGAAGTGATGCATTCTGTTGAAGGAATTGTTCATGGGGTGGCCACTCCTTCAAAAGGAATTATAAAAATCTAAGACTTGAAGCTGAGATCCCCCACCTGCTGGGTGGTGTTTGATGGTCTAAACTGGGGGTTTGCAAACTCTTTCAGCAAAGGGCCAAGTAGTATATCCTTTAGAATTGTGGGTCATCCAGTCTTTGTCACATTTGTTCAACTCTGCCATTGTAGTGTGAAAGTAGCCATGGATGATATATACCTGAATTAAATGGACTGTTGTGCTGGGCTGGGGCCACAGTCCATAGTTTGCTGCTGCTTGTCTAGATCCTGCGGGGCCTGAGCAAGTGAGCTGGAAATAAGGTGGCTGTTGAGGGGGCTGAGGAGCAACAGGAAGTGAGAAGGGAAGGGAGATGGGTGCAGCACCACTACAATGCCACTTCCTTCCTGGGGTGAACTCACTTAGACTTTGAATAGGTTCTCTGCAGAGATGACTGAGACACTTGGAGCCATGCGCCTGCAGAGACACAGTGGGGGACCATGTTAGAAATGGGAGTAACAAGTCATTCATTCTTACTATATGTTTCGTTATTGCATGGCAAAGGCTTTGAAAAGAAAGCTGAGTCTTTTATTTTCCTGTGAATCAGCTCCGAGCCCCTGGAACAATGTTGTTCATTCTGCGGATGCTCAGCAAGCCCTTGCTGACTGTCTTTATTTCTTCACCTGCAATAAGATCCCCCCAGGCCCATATGGAAACGTAAATGTTCTTGAGGGACTAATTCAGTGAGACTCTTCCAGGGGAAGTTCAGTCCTCCTGGGAAGTGATTACACACTGATGGAATTTTTGCACACTGGATGGAAAGATGATCTTTGCCTCTTGGCTGTGTCACAGTAATAAGTGGGAGACTGATTATTTCTAAGAGTGCAGCTCTTCCCGGCACTGATAAGAATGGAATGCAGCGCTACCATGGAGATTCGGGTCACTAATTAGTCCCAGAAGCCTCTAGGCCTTGAATCACTGTTATATTAATTATGCATCAAATTAGAATGTTTGCAAAGGCTCAGAGCCAACTGTACTGCAGAACCCGGTGACAGCATGGAGAGATCAAGGAGTGTCCCGCCCAGCACACTGCAGGGACCAGCAGACAAATCCACGCGGCCTGCCTGAGCGTGCAGTGACCCCGCCTGATCTCTGATACAGCTGTTCGCAACTCCTGCCAGAGAGCTTGTTATCGGCACAGGGTGGACAAAAGAAGGAAAGGAAGAGAACGATGGCTTCCCCTCAGTTCCATAATCTAAGCTCTACTGCGGTAATATCCAGCTGAGAAAAGACACAGGACAATCATTTGGGCACTTTATTTCCATGGTAACAAATAGAAGATTCTTCCAGATGTTTGCTAACATCGTGGAGGTAACATGTCTGGACCGTTGTCTGATATTCAGTTTTTATAGCTGGGGAGACATGGCTTTAGCTTTGGGTAAACTATTCTATCTCTTCCTCCTCTTCCTCTGCCTCCTTCTCCTTCTTGTGTTCTCCATGAGCATAAAACCAAAATATACTTGATGCTTTGTTGTAAAATAAACAGATGATAAATAGCAGTCTCTGTGACTGTTGGGTTATAATTCCATCGAGGGCTGGGGTTGAAGTCATAAACCACAAGAAGTGAAGCATGACCCACAAATAGCCTTCAGGATGGAATTACAGCCCCATAATTCAGAGTAGCCCTTTGAAAAAATAATTCCTAAACCTAGCTATAATTTGGGGAAAGAGCCACGACAGTGGTGACGTCTTCTCTAATCAGTTCATCAGTAGACAAATTACTCCCCTTCGTTATTCTGATGATATTTATTAACGTTGGGGTGAGCACCCAATCTGTTTTCTAGGAGGTTACTGTTGAAACCAGGTAGCAGTCGCCCAAACAGAACCAAAGAAAGGGAAACTGGAGTCTCACAGTAAGAAAGTTCTCACCACAGATGAAGGTCAATGAGCATGAGGTGAGAAGAGACATTCATTACTTTGGAACTGATGAGAAATATTGATTCCTGACCACAGGAGTAGTGGCCGAGTTTGTTTTGCGTGGAGTGTGGCATAAATTCCGTCCCTGTTCTGCATCTTACTACTTCTCTAAATGTCTTTGCTATTTTCAAAACTGATTCTGCTTGATCTCATAATTCATTAAAGCAAGTTGATCTCATGCACCCCAAGAGTTATGAGAAGCTTTTTCATGATGGTTCTTGCATGATGAAAATAAATTCTCATTTATTACAGAGAAAATAAACCGAACCCAACAATTCTGTAGAAGGTGAATGTTTAAATGGCAGTTTCTTGTGATCATAAATTAAACCATCAAAATCCCATAAGGTTTCTCTGCAGCCTAGATATTAAATAAAACAACAAACATGCAAGGACTGGCAAGTGGTAAGGGCTTAATACATGGTCATTCACTACCATAATTTGTACCATAAAATTCAGAAATTCTTTACATGCTTTGTGTGTTATTATCTACTTTGTCAATGACGCTGAAGACATGAGGAGAACAAGGGTCTCATCTGACGCATTATGCCTTTCCACATAGACAATGTAGAATATTATTTAAAACAGAGTCTACAGCATGAAGAAAATAGAAGCAACAGAAAACAACAAGCTAATATATAAACTATTAAGGCAAAATGGACAAAGAATATGATCATTTAAAAGTCGAGCTTATTGAGGTATAATTTGCAGATATGCTTTGTGTTTAATTTGCTCCTTCTTTCCTAGTTTAAGGTGGAAACTTAGATCATTGATTTGAGATATGTCTTCTCTTTCAAACACAAATATATAAAAGTGTGAATTTTACTCTAAGTACTGTTTTGGCAACAACACACACATTTTGATATGTTAGGTTTTTATTTTTGCTTTGGTTCAAACTATTTTCTAATTTTTCTTGTGATTAAGTTTGAGAATTTAACAATAGAAAACAGAAAACAAATACTTCGTTATTGATTTCTATTTTAATTTTGTTATGATCAGAAAACATGCTTTGTATGATTTAAAGTCCTTTAAATTTATTGAGCCTTATTTTTTGACCCAGATATGATCTTTCTTTGTGAATGTTGTGTCTGCATTTGAAAAGAATTTGTGTTCTGCTATTGCTGGATGGAGTATTCCATAGCTGTCAGTTAAGACAGTGGTTAGTGGTTCCATTTATCTTCTATGTTTTTCTGTATGCTTGTATATCTGAGAAAAGGATGCTGAAATTTCTAACTATCACTGTGAATTTGTCTGTTTCTCCTTTTGGTTCTGTCATTTTTTATTTTATTTGTTTTGACATTGTTAGGTATTATTAGGTGCATGTACATTTGGAACTGTTATGCACTCATGATGAACTGAGTTCTTTCTTGTTATAAAATGTCTCCCTTTAGCCTACATAATAATATGTGTTCTGAGGCCTACTTTGTGTGATATGAATTACAGCCATTCCAGATTTCTTTTGATTAGCTTCTGCATGGTACTTTTTTCATCCTCTTCGTTTTATCTATATATTTATACATATTGTATATTTCTTGTAGACAAAAATAGGTATGTCTTGCTTTTTAAAACCCAATATGACAATCTGCTTTTTTAATTAGAATGTGAAGAATTTTCTCTAATATTTCTTATAATATAGGTCTGTAGTTTATGGATCCTATCAGCTTTTATTTGTATAAAAATATTTTCTCTATTTCTAATTCACTCTCTATTTTGCCTTCATTTTTAAGAGATATATTTCCTGGGAATCCTATGATGACGGTTCTTTCTGTCAGCACTTTTAAGATATTCATCCATTTTCTTTTGGTCGGCATATTTTCTCATAAGAAGTCTGCTGTCATGCTTGTCTTTATTACTCTGTAAGTAGTATGTCTTTTATCTCTGGCTGCTTTTAAGATTTGTTTATCTCTGATTTTTAACAATGGGATCATGATGCGTTTTAGCATATACGTCTTTATATGTATTCTGCTTGGGTTTCATGGAGCTTTGTTGACATAGTTTTCATTAAATATAGATAAACTTCTAGCTATTATTATTTCTTCATCTATCTTCCCTCTTCCTTTCTGGGACTCTAATTTCACATGGTAGACAGCCTTGATATTGTTCCATAGATACTAGATATTATTTTTGTTTTCGTCCATCTTTTTTGTTTCTCTGTACTTAATTTTGGATATTTTCTATTGGCATGTCTTTGAGTTCACTGATCTCTTCTTCTGCAGTTCCAAATTGGCCACAAAACTGTCCAGTATATTTTTTGTTTCAGATCACATAATTTTCACCTCTATCAGTTCCATTGTGGTACCTCTCTCTCTTCTTTAAAATATATTCCTTTCTGCTCCTCATAGTGTTGTTTTTCCCTCCTTCTTGAGCATATTAAGCGTGTTTATGATAGTTATGATAGCTGTTTTAAAATTTGTTTCTAATTTCTGAATTTCTGTCATTTCTGTTTCACTTCAACTTATTGGCCTTTTCTAGGTATGGGCCATATATTTCTGCATTTTTGCATACCTGATAAGTTTTTATTTGATGTCATATATTGTGAGATTTTACATTGTTGTGTGTGGATTGTGTTATATTCCTTTTGATAGTGTTGGACTTTGTCCTGGCATCCAGTCAGAACAGTGATTGCCTCTGGGAAGTGGTGAGATTGATGTTCAAGGTAATTGAATGGCTCTGTATCTAGATCTGGGTATTGGTTACATGGCTGTGTGCTTGCTACAAAACTCATCCATATATATACACTTACAACATGTGCATTTTACTCTAAGTAAATTACACTCAAAAATATTATAAAATGTTATATATGACCATTTAAAAAATTTGAAATAATACAATTATATAAAGAATAACAACTAAAAGTCCTATCTTCCTCCATCTCAATTGCACTGCCTCTTCATTATTCCTTCTTTCCCAAAATCTTACCATTCATAAACCAGTTAAATCCTTTTCTATATCACCTTCAAAATCTTTATCTATGGATTTACACCTGTAGCATCATGGTTAAGACCACAGGCTCTAGAAACAAGACTGCTTGGGACAGAATCATGGCTCTACTACTTAGTAGATTCATTTTGCCTAGTTTTGAACATCATACAAATAGACAGAAAAAGTAGGCATTTCTGTATTTGACTTCCTTCCCTCAATGTCATATTTTTGAGGTTCATTGATGTTGCTTATGTCAATAGTTTATTCCTTTTTCTTGTACCCAGTTATATATATCATTTTATAAATATAACACCATTTTCTTTTCTGTTCTCTGACTGATAGACATTTGGGTTGTATCCAGTTTGGGCTATCATGATAAAAGCTGCTGGGAATATTCTTGTACAAGTTTTTGGTGGATACGTGTTTTTATTTATCTAGAGTAAATATTTAGGAGTGAACTTGCTGGGTCATAGGGTATGTTTAAATCTATTTAAAAAAACCTAACTATTTTTATTTAACATTGCTTTCAGTAAAGTATGAGAGTTCCAGTTCTTCTACATCCTAACCAGCACTTGACATGGGTCAGTCTTTTACATTTTAGCCATCTAATAGGTGTGTTTTGATATCTTTTGTGACTTTAATTTTCGTTTCCCTGATTACTAATGATGTTAATATTTTCATGTGCTTATTTACCATTTGTATATCTTCCTTTGTTAAGTATTTGTCCAAGTCCTTTGCCTATTGTTCTGTTAAATAGTGCAGTGTAACACAGATAAACCCATAACTTATTGGCTTAAAGATTAGTTTTAAATTTTGTTTATCAATCTTCCATTTGGGCAGGATTCAGTTTGGACAGCTGATTTCTGCTCCATGTGGCATCAGTTGGAGGAGCTCGACTGGGGCTGGGTGTTCTCCCATATGGCTTACGTACATGCCTGGCAAGTTGATGCTGTCAGCAGGAAACTTCGCTAAGGCTGTTAGCCAGATGCCTTTGTTCCTCTTCACTTGAGTCTGTCCATTTGATTGCTTGGACTTCCTCAAGCGTGGGGGCTGTGTTCTAAGGATGTGTGTTTTAAGAGAACAGAAGTGAATGCTGTCAATCTCATAAGGTCTTGACTTGGGCACTGGGTTAGTAGCTTCACTTCCATCATACTCTGTTGGTCAAAGCAGTGCAGAATTCACTCAGATTCATAGGGAGAGGACATAGACTGTTTCTTCGTGGGGGGAATGAGACAACAATTAATCCACCATAGTCCATCCTCTGATTGGACTGCATGGTTGGAATGAATGATTTGCATCAATCCCATGTAAAAAATAGAATCAGTTCCTCCTAAGACCTATGAAAATTTTACACCTTGTCTCTAGCTTTCATCCTCCAATCAAACTTGAAGCTCTTAGGAAAAAGCCAGTTAAGTATGGATCTCATCCCTTAAATTTTCTTATTATTAAGGTAATATCAGCTCCATTTCTGTTTGCTTCCAGTACTCTTCAGTGTTTTCAAACAATTGATTTTTATATTTTGTACATAGTTTATAATTGCTTTTGGCAAGATTAGCATAATAAAAGCTTCTCCTCCTACTGTTGAAAACAGAGTCTCTTTGTATAACATACAAAATACATTTTTAAAATATTTATAATGAGGCAGGGCACAGTAGCTCATGCCTATAATCCCAGCACTTGAGAGGCTGAGGCAGGAAGATCCCTTGAGGCCTGGAGTTCGAGACCAGCTTGGGCAACATGGTGAGACCCTCATTTCTACAAAAACAAACAAACAAACAAACAAACAAACAAACAAAATTAAAAAAAAAATTAGCCAGGTGTAGTGGTGTGTGGCTATAGCCCCAGCTACTCAGGAAGCTGATGGGCTCACTTAAGCCCAGTAGTTTTAGGCTGCTGGGAGTTTTAGGCTGATGGGAGGATCACTTAAGCCCAGTAGTTTTAGGCTGCAGTGAGCTATGACCACACCACTTCCCACCAGCTTGGGCAACAGAGCAAGGCCCTGTCTCTAAAAATATATATATTTAAAATGAGGAAAAGTAAAAGTAACCCTAAACAATAGTATATAAAATGCAAACACCTAGTAAAAACAACAAAAAAAAATTCACATGGGAAATGATTTCTAGTCTTGAACAATTTACTGATTATTTGACATCAAAGAACAGCATTGAATGTAACATAAGCAGGTTGCTTTATATGTTTGGGCTCAGATATTTATCTGAAGGACAAGAGGTTTAGATCAGACAATGTAAATAATCCTTTAGATGTTTGAGGCCTACGATTCGAATAACCTTATAATTAAATGTAGCATTTGATTTCCATTTTGGTGAATGTAAAGAAAGCTTAAGAATTTACAATTTATATGGTCAGTATGACATCAGAATACAGAAAAAAGAAATTACCTCAAACCGTACAATTATCTTTTCAGATGGAGCTTACAGTTCCTTTCTTCTCTAACAGGGTTCACAAGCTCAAGAAGTACCTGAAATTGGGCTAGGAAATAGTCACAGAGTAAACATGGCTTGTTTTCTGAGGGTATCAATTTTACCTTATAATTTTGAGTAAAATCACATTCATAAATCATATTGCATAAAAATAAACTTAGATAACTTATGGTATAAAATACAAATATTATATAAATATTTAAAGCTTAAAATAGAAAAAAAGTCTATTTGGAGAGAAACCTTAGGGCAACTATTTCAGTTGCTGGAGGAGAAAGACTTTGTCTCTTCTGGTATTGTAATAGAAAAGTTTGAGAAATGCTATAAATTCACTGGGCGTTGGGCAAGAAGTCTAAAATCCTGCTCTTTATTTAAGATCTGCAACCATCATTGGATCTATGCCATAAATATGTTTTATTTACCCAGACATCTGCACTATTTATTTAGCTTTAGTCACTGAACGAACAGTTTTCATTCTGTATGAGGTGCTACCCTCAAAACTATTTGTCTGTTTCTCAGTACGTTTTTGGTTGATGGAGTTTGGATGAAATATCTGTTTCTCTGACCCTCCACTTAAGGCAAAACATAGCAGCCTGCCCTTCCTTTCCAGGTGCAGACAGAACTGAGATTAGCATGAACCATTCCTTCCAGTTGACTACCAAGGGGTAAACTATGAAGAGTTTTGCATTGTGATTTAGGGGTCTCAATTGTTCTCCCTTCCACCATGGGCTGTGATAGTGCCTAAAGCACCAGTCCTCTGAGGTAGGACAGAGTGATCTTGATAGGCCAATACTATGAAAGATGAGAGGGAAATCCTCTCTCAAGCCATTTGTCATTTCTAAACACCTTGATTCAAGCTAGTTGGCCATAATTTAAAAATAAGCCCTTAAATTATTTAACACTCTTCCTATTTAAAGTCAGACTCTAATTCCTCTTCCCCTGAATATAGTCCAGCCAGTGACTTGCTTTACAAGAATACACTTAGGCTGAACTGATGCTGTGTGATTTTTTTTTTTTTAAACTAGGGTAGGGAAGACAACTCAATTCTGCCCAGAGAGCTCTTTTTCACTCAACTGAATACGCACTGGGAGCCATAAGCCAACATGTAAGGAATTCAGCTACTCAGAAGCTATCATGCTGGAAAGACCATGTAGAAAACTTACAGACATAGAAAAAGTTCCTTGAGGGCTCCAGCCCCCAGCTATTTGAGAATTCCAGGTCCATGCCTCAGGCCTATAAGCCAGGAGCTTTCAGATGATTCCAGTCTTCAAGCCATCCCAGCTCCTGGTAAATCGAGCAGAGATGAGCCATCCCCGCTAAGCCCTGCCCAAATGGCAGATTCATGAGCAAAACAAATGCTCTTGTTGTTTTAAGCCACTGAGTTTTGAGGTGGTTTGTTGGTTTGTTAGGTAGTAATAGAAAAATGGATTCTTTCCTATTACCTAGTCAAATTCTGAGGAAATGGGACATAAGTAAATCATATTTGTTTTCATATACATTTCCTGTTTTAAAATTGGGTTGTTTGTAGATAAAAAGAGAAAGGCAAGGAGAGTTCAGAATCACAATGCACTAAAAGAAAGAGTTCAGAGAGGTGGGAAATGAAATACTTTCACAGATATCTCCAATAAATATGCATGTGCACAGAACCTTGAAAGTTTTAAATTGGCAGGGATCTTAGGAATCATAAAACTGAACCTACTTTTCAAAAGTAAAGTTCAAGGAATTAACTCATTTGGGCAGGATTCCAGAGCCAGAATAGAGCCCAAGATTCCAAACCTAGCCACTGACTGCAGTACCTCTTTTCTCGAGGCATGTATAATAAACTCCACCAATTTAGCCAAATAATAAGGGCAAGATCAAATAAACAAAAAAGCAATAGCAACAACAGCAACAATTCTGCATAACCTAACTGGCTATTTCTAAAAGTAGTTGTCTTTGCTCTGCCTGTCCCTGTCTATTGTCTCCTTGTGGAATAAGTGTGTCCACCCCTGGGTCCTTGACATTAAAGGGTTTGGGAAACTGCTACAGAATTCGCAGTTCTAGTTCTCCAGGCAAGGGAGTTAATGGATCTCAGACATGCTTATGTTATTTCACTACACACAGCAGTGTATTTGTGGAGTGCTTACCATGTGATAGCAGCTGTACTAAGTACTTTATGTACATTATTTCATTTTATCCTGCTTTGAATTTTTTATAAATCAAGTTTATTGTGGTATAATTTTTATATACTAAAAAGCACCCATATGATAGTTTAAAGAGTTTAGACAAATATATAGACCGTGTGACACCTAGCATAATCAACACACAGAAAATTTTCATTCCCCCACCCCCAAAAAGTTTCTTTATGCTTCTTTGCAGATAATCCTCCTCCTGCTGTGCCCAGGCAACCCAAAGTCCTTTCCATCACTATCGATTTTATGCCTATTCCCAAATTTCATATAAATAGAATCCCACATTATGTATTCTTTTGTGTCTGGATTCTTTTGCTTGGCATAATGTTTTTCAGGTTCACCCGTATAATTGTGTGGACCAGGAGTTTGCAACTTTTTATTGTTGAGTTTTATTCCATTGTATAGATATACCACAATCGGTTTATCCATTCTCCAATTTATGGATTTTTTTTTCCAGTTTGGGGCTATTATGATTAAAGCTGCTATGAACATTCTTGTATAAGTCTGGGTAGAAATATTTTATTTATTTATTTATTTTTTGAGACAGAGTCTCACTCTGTTGCCCAGGCTGGAGTGCAGTGGTGCTATATTGGCTCACTGCAAGCTTTGCCTCCTGGGTTCACGCCATTCTCCTGCCTCAGCCTCCCGAGTAGCTGGGACTACAGGCGCCTGCCACCACGCCCAGCTAATTTTTTTTTTGTATTTTTAGTAGAGACGGGGTTTCACCGTGTTAGCCAGGATGGTCTCGATCTCCTGACCTCGTGATCCGCCCACCTTGGCCTCCCAAACTGCTGGGATTACAGGCATGAGCCACCACACCCAGCTGAAATATGCTTTTATTTAATTATCTTAGGTCGATGCCTAAGGGCGGGCCATATGGTAAGTGTATATTTAACTTTGTGAGACACTGCCAAACTGTTTTCCAATATGGTTGAATCATTTATGTTTCTATCTGCCATATGTAAGAGTTCCAGTTTCTCCACAGATTTGCCACCCTACTATGTGTGTAGTGGTATCTCACTAAGGTATCAATTTGCATTTTTCTGATGTCTAATGGTGTTGAGTACTGTGTCTTTATTTGCTATTTATATACCTTTTTTGATGAAGTATCTTTTCAAATACATTCCCCATTTTAAAACGGGGCTATTTGTTTCCTTATTATTGAATTGTAGGTGTTCTTCCTGTATATATTCTGGATACAAGTCCTTTGTTAGAGATATGTACTGTCAATTATAGATGCTGTACTGTAAAAGTCTGTCACTTGCCTTTTCACTTTCTTGACAGCATCTTTCAAAGAGCAGGAATATTAAATTTTGATAAAACCTAATCAGTTTTCTTTCCTTTATGGATCATGCTTTTGATGCCCTATTATGTTAAAGTTTTAAAGTTGGACTGTTGAGAGGGAAAAGGAGCCAATCTGAAAAGATAATCCAAGGCATGACTAAGAAAGCATTAGTTCTGAATTCTGGGATTACATCAGAATCAGCAGGTGATTTAAAAACACCTGTCTAGGACCTAGCCCCAGAAATTCCAATTTAGACTGATCTATGGTGTAGCCTAATTGTGAATAGTCTTTAGAGGCTCTTTTGGTGATCCTAATGTGCAGCTATGGATGAGAATTATCAAAAAAGAGGTAAAGTGTGTGCAAAATATGTGAAATTTATTTCAGCATATATAAGGCTTTCATTAATGGGGTATTTTGTATAATTCTAAAGGAGTCACATGTTAAAGTGCACAACTGAAATCTAGTATGTAATAATCATTTGTATTTATACTTTTTTGAGACAAAGGAAGTAGATAAGCAACACCCCTGAGTTTCAGACATCACAATGCCATAGTGTGCTTTATGGGAATATAGAGATGCAAGGAAAAGTGTCTGAAAAAGACACACACACACATACACACACACACACACACACACAAGATAGTCAAGATGCTTTTATAATCATTTTAAGAGGTCTTCATCATGAGGTTAAATAAGTCATTAAAAAAAGCAAAATAGGCAGAAAAAGCTTTTTAGCAGAAAGTTTATAAAAATTGCTGGGGAGTAACAAACAGGATAAATAGGGAAAATCTACAGCTGATACATGTTGAAGTAATTGACTTAAAAGGTTTATTTAGAGGAAGTATTTTGCTATAGCAGAGTGAGAAGTTTAGCAATGCTTCTTCCCCCAAAAAACAAGTATAAAATTGGAAAAACTATTTAAAAAATGGTCTCAGGGCTCTGAAAATCAACCAAAGAAAAATAACAACTTGAGAAATGGTTATTGGTGAAAAATGGCTAGAAATGTGGATAAGAAAAGTGTAGATTCTATAGAGATCTACAGCCTTCTTGCCTAGGACTATCCCTCTCCCTTAACTCCTCCTAAAACTTGGTTAGCGCGCTAGTTTTAGCAAGGCAGGACTGACTATGAAAACCAGCAGTACTGCTAGAGGGGGTTGACTTGATTTGAACTGGAGGTTCCAAACCTATTCCTGGCAGCATTATCAAGAAAAGTAGGATACATGGTAGGAAATAAATGGGGAATTTTTACAGCTCTGCTAACCTGAGTTTGCAGTACCAGTTAGGGCTAGTTATGGGCTAGTCAAACTCTTAACAGGAAGTTTCTGGAAATGAGAGTCATATAAGGGCTAGATAAGCTCTCTGTGCCTTTCTGGCTGGATGAGAAACTACGTTTACAGGAGAGCTATGTAAAGTAAAAGCTAGGACAGACTTGAAAAGTGCCTGAACTTTGAATGCGTCCTCTCTCCTGTCTGCCCCACCCAATTCACACACAGATCTATTAGCAGAAGGTGGAAACCTTACAGGCTTAAGGTATTTGAGCACAACCTCTTATCAATCACTGACAAACCAGCAGATACAGGACTACACATTGGAAGCTAGGCAAAAATGAATGAATGAATGGAGAATTATTTTAAACTGAGCAGAGACATCAGTGGCAGCACATCTCAGAGAAACAGATTCTGTAAACTAGGTTGGAGTAAATTATCTAAAGGAACAACTATCTTGTGGGAAAATATCATATCCCAGAGTTGTTACAATATTAATCTAAAATGTCCAGTTTTTTTTCTTTTTAAGACAAGTTTTGGCTGTATCACCCAGGCTGGAGTGTAGTGGTGCAATCTCAGCTCACTGCAACCTCCACCTCTTAGGCTCAAGCCATCCTCCCACCTCAGCCTCCCAAGTAGCTGGGTCTACAGGCACGCACCAACACGCCTGGCTAATTTTTGTATTTTTTTGTAGAGGCAGGTTTTCACCATGTTGCCCAGGCTGGTCTTGAACTTGTGAGCTCAAGTGATCCATCCACCTTGGCCTCCCAAAGTGCTGGGATTATAGGCATGAGCCACCACGCACAACCAAATGTCCAGTTTTCAATGAAACATCATGACATAGTCAAAGAAACAAGAAAATGTGATCCATAGTCAGGAAAAAAACAGTCCATGGAAACTGACTTTGAGTGCACCTAAATATATTTAGCACACTAAGACTTCAAAACAGCTCTTGTATTTTAAAAATTAAAGTATGATGATAATGACACTGTAATAGGAATGCTCAGTAGAGAAACAGAAGCAATAATAAGGAACCAATGGAACTTCTAGAATTTAAAAGCCCTATAGCTGAAATAAAAAATTAAATGGGCACATTTGGGGTGGCAAAAGAAATAATTGGTGAACTTCAAATAGATCAATAGAAATTAACCACTCTGAAGAACATGGAAAAACATAGATTGAAGAAAAATGAGCAGAGCCTCAGAGACCCATGTGGCAATATCCAGCATACCTACTAACACGTAATGAGAGTCCCAGAAAGAGAAGATAGAGATACATGCAGGAAAAATACTTGAAGAAATAATGGCTAAACATTCTGCAAATTTAATGAAAAACATGAATTATACATCTACAAAGCTCAACAAACTCTAAATAGGATAAACATTAAAATCCCCATCTATACACATTAGAGTAAAATTAACTGAAAACCAAACACAAATAGAAAATCTTAAAAGCAGCAAGAGAAAACCAGTTCATCCTAAACTGGGGAATAACAAGACAATTAATGCCTGATTTCTTATCTGAAACAATGGAGGCCAGAAGGCAGTGGAAGGACACATTTAAAGTGATGAAAAAAAAAACTGTCAACCACAAATTCTGTGTGCAAAACAATTCTTCAAAAACAGGTGAAATAAAGAAACTCCCAGATGAAGACTGAGATAAATTATTGCTGACAGATACAGCTTCCAAGAAATTCTACAGAAAATGAAAGGAAATGACACCATAAGGCAAATCCACAGGGAGAAATGAAGAGCACCAGAAATGGTAACTACGTGGGTCAATATATAAGATTGTATAAACATGTATTTTCTATTTTTTTTAAAACACATCAGATTTTGTGAAGCAATAATTGAAACACTATTGTTGAGTTTATAATGTTATATAGATATTACATATGTGACAATAATAGCACATATAAGGAGATGGGATGAAATTAAGCTATATAAGAGCATCAGTGTTGGATTTTGCTGAAAGTAAATCAGTATTAACATGAATTATATTGATAAATTAAGAGTACACCTTAATCCCTACAGCAAACACAAAGAAAATAAAGAATCAATAGAATAATAAAGTGATACACCAAAAATAATTGTTTAACCTAAAGACAGCAGTAAAGGAGTAACAGAGGAACAACAACAAAAAGACATAAACTATATTTAAAACAAACAGCAAAATGGCAGACATAAGTCCAATTCTATCAATAATCATATTAAATAGTCCGTTAAATCAACTAAACACTGTAATGAAAATACAAAGATTGGCAGATGGGATACAAAAGAAAGATTCAACTATGTGCTGACCACGAAAGACATACTTGAAATGCAAAGATACAACTAAATTTAAAGTAAAAGAAGTGGAAAAGATATATTATACAAACAGTAATCATAAGAAAGCTGGAGTGGATATATTAATATCAAACAAAGTAGACTTTCAGAAAATAAATATTACTAGAGATTCAGAGGGACATTTCATAAGCATAAAAAAGTCAATACATCAGGAAGATACGATGTTATTAGCACCATGCTCTAACCAACTGAGCTGACCAGCCATCACATGATCTTAAATATATTTGTACCTAACAACAGGATTCTGAAATACATCAAGTAAAAGCAAAGGGCATTGAAAAGGCAATGTAGATGATTTAATAATTATAGTTCAAGATTTTAAGACCCTTGATACTGACAGAGAAAGTAGACAGAAAATTAGTAAAGAGAAAAGGTTAAAAAAAACGATTATTCAACATGGTGGTTTAACTGACATGTATAGAACACTTCCCCCTGCAGCAGCAAAAAATATTCTTTCAAGTGCATTTGGAAGTTTCTTCAGGACAGATCATACGATAGGCTTTAAAGCAAGTTTTCGGCCAGGTACGGTGGCTCATGCCTGTAATCCCAGCACCGTGGGAGACCGAGGCGGGTGAATCACCTGGTGTCAGGAGTTTAAGACCAGCCTGGCCAACATGGTGAAACCCCATCTCTACTAGAAATGCAAATGTCAGCCAGGTCCACACCTGGACACCAGGTATCAGTCACCTGTAATCCCAGCTACTCAGGAGGCTGAGGCAGGAACATCGCTTGAACCCAGGAGGTGGAGGTTGCAGTGAGCCGAGATCACACCACTGCATGCACTCCATCCTGGATGACAGAACGAAACTACGTCTCCAAAAAAAAAAAAAAAAAAAAAAAAAGCAAGTTTTCATAAACATAAAAAGATTGAAGTCATTCAAAGTATGTCCTTCAATCACAATAGAATTGAATTCAAAATCAATGACAGAATCTTGAAAAATCCTTTACAATATCTGGAAATTAGATAACACATTTCTAAATAACTCAGGATCAAAGAAGAAATTGAATGTAAAATTAAAGAATATTTTGTACTGAATGAAAGTGAAAAGACAACATATGAAAATTTATGGGATGCAGCTAAACAGTGCTTAGACAAAAAGTTGCAGCTTTAAACATGTATATTAAAAGTTGTATTCACCGTTTAGGAAGGTAATTGTTACAAATTAGAAAATGTTTTATTGTATGCACAAATTTTAGACTTCGTTGGTTTAATGTTGGAGCCTCCTCATCAAAGGTTTTTAAGTCTTTAAATACATAGCAATACATTATATATATATATATATATATATATATGCATGTATATAAGTGCATATAATATACTGTTAAATGCTTTATTCAGAAAAGATCTTGTAGATAATCACCACCATGTATTGATATTCTGATATAGTTTGAACGTATGTCCCTACCAAATCTCATGTTGAATTTCAATCCCCAGTGTTAGAGGTAGGGCCCAGTGGGAGGCCTTTGGATCATAGGGGTGGATCCCTCATGAATGGCTTGGGCCATGCCCTTGGTGATAAGTGAGCTCTTACTCTGAGTTCATACAAGATGTGGTCATTTAAAAGTGTGTGTCACCTCACCCCGACTCTTTCTTTCTTGCTCCTTCTCTGCCATGTGAAGTGCCTGCTCCCCCTTCACCTTCCACCATGATTGGAAGCTTCTTGAGGCCTCCCCAGAAGCAGATGCTGGTGCTGTACTTCCTACACAGCCTACAGAACCATGAGCCAATTAAACATCTTTTCTTATAAATTATCCGGTCTCAGGTATTTCTTTATAGCAATGCAAGAATTGGCTAACACAGATTCTATCCACTTGTGGGGCACTGGGCTAAGCACTTTATATATACAATTTCATTTAATATTCACAATCCTATTTTCATGCGCGTCCGTGTGAAGAGACCACCAAACAGGCTTTGTGTGAGCAGTAAAGCTGTTTATTTCACCTGGGTGCAGGTGGGCTGAGTCCGAAAAGAGAGTCAGTGAAGGGAGATAAGGGTGGAGCCCTTTTATAGGATTTGGGTAGGTAAAGGAAAATTACAGTCCAAGGGGGTTTGTTCTCTGGCGGGCAGGAGTGGGGGTCTCAAGGTGCTCAGTGGGGGTGATTTTTGAGCCAGGATGAGCTAGGAAAAGGACTTTCACAAGGTAAGGTCATCACTTAAGGCAAGACCCGGGCATTTACACTTCTTTTGTGGTGGAATGTCATCAGTTAAGGTGGGGCAGGGCATATTCACTTCTTTTGTGATTCTTCAGTTACTTCAGGCCATCTGGGCATATACGTGCAAGTCACAGGGGATGCGATGGCTTGGCTTGGGCTCAGAGGCCTGATATTCCTGACTTCTTATATTAATAAGAAAAATAAAACACAATAGTGTTGAAGTGTTGGAGCGGCGGAAATTTTTGGGGGGTGGTATGGAGAGAGAATGGGTGATGTTTCTCAGGGCTGCTTCAAGCGGGATTAGGGGAGGCGTGGGAACCTAGAGTGGGAGAGATTAAGCTGAAGGGAGGTCTTGTGGTAAGGGGTGAGATTGTGGGGATGTTAGAAGAAACATTTGTCATATAGAATGACTGGTGATGGCCTGGATATGGTTTTGGATGAATTGAGAAACTAAATGGAATAAGAGAAGGAGTAAAACAGATATAAAAGGTCTAAGAATTGGGATGACTCAGGATATCTGATTAGAGAGTGCCTAAGGAGATTCAGCATAGTCCTGCCAGCAGAGATTATTTATTTACTTCAAGAGTTAAGAGTGGCAGTTTGGGGATAGCACCAGGAGATATCAGCTGTGATGGCTTGGAAAAACAGTGTAAACCGGCAGTGTAAACAAGAACAGGGCATGTATGAGTAGTTGAGAACGGTGAACAGGAGTATGACTAGACAGAAGATAGTAGGGATGACAAGTTTTTTGGGGCACAGTCTAAGTTGGTCTGGTGTCTGGAATGAGGCTGGGGCCTAATAAAAAGGAGCATCTATACAGGAGCTTAAATGGGCTGTACCCTGTAGCATTCTGAGGACAGGCCTGAATTCTGAGAAGGGAAAGTGGTAAAAGTATTGTCCAGTCCTTTTTAAGTTGGTGGCTGAGCTTGGTGAGGTGTGTTTTTAAAAGACCTTTAGTCCATTCTACTTTTCTTGAAGACGGAGGACCGTAAGGGATGTAAAGGTTTCACTGAATACTAAGAGCCTGAAAACCTGCTTGGCTGATTTGACTAATAAAGGCTCATCTGTTGTCAGACTGTATTGAGGTGGGAAGGCTAAACTGAGGAATTATGTCTGACAGAAGGGAAGAAATGACTGCGGTGGCCTTCCCAGACCCTGTAGGAAAGGCCTCTACCTATCCAGTGAAAGTATCTACCTAGACTAAGAGATATTTTAGTTATCTGACTCAGGGCATGTTGAGTAAAGCTAATTTGCCAGTCCTGGGTGGGGCAAATCCTCGAGCTTGATGTGCAGGGAAGGGAGGGGGCCTGAATAATCCCTGAGGAGTAGTAGAATAGCAGATGGAACACTGAGAAGTTATTTCCTTGAGGATAGATTTCCACGATGGAAAGGAAATGAGAGGTTCTAAGAGGCGGGCTAGTGGCTTGTACTATAGCATAACCTGCCTTTGCTGGTGTGTGGCGATTAGGCCTGGTGGAACCGCCATCAATAAATCAAGCGTGATCAGCGTGAGGAACAGGAAAGAAGGAAATTTGGGGAAATGGGGTGAATGTCAGGTGGATCAGAGAGATAGTCATGGGGGTCAGGTGTGGTATCAGGAATAATGTGGGAGGCCAGATTGAAGTCTGGGCCAGGAACAACGGTAATTGTGGGAGACTCAACAAAGAGTGAGTACAGCTGAAGGAGCCGGGAAGCAGAAAGTATTTGCGTCAGGTATGAGGAAGAAAATAGATTTTGGAAGTTATGAGAACTGTAGAGAGTGAGTTGAGCATAGTTTGTGATTTTTGAGGGCCTCTAAAAGTATTAAAGCAGCAGCAGCCGCTGCACGCAGACATGAGGGCTAGGCTAAAACAGTAAGGTCAAGTTGTTCGGACAGAAAGGCTACAGGGTGTGGTCCTGGCTCTTGTGTAAGAATTCTGACCGCGCTAACCATGCCTAGGAAGGAAAGGAGTTGTTGTTTTGTAGAAGATGCTTGGGTTTGAGAGATCAGTCGAACACGATTGGCAGGGAGAGCACGTGTGCTTTTATGAGAATTATGCCGAGATAGGTAACAGATGAGGAAGAAATTTGGGCTTGACTGAAGTAATGGGGGCTGTCTGTGAAGCTCTGCGGCAGTACAGCCTAGGTAATTTGCTGAGCTTGATGGGTGTCAGGGTCAGTCCAAGTGAAAGCAAAGAGAGGCTGGGATGAAGGGTGCAAAGCAATAGTAAAGAAAGCATGTTTGAGATCCAGAACAGAATAATGGGTAGTAGAGGCAGGTATTGAGGATTGGAGAGTATATGGGTTTGGCACCATGGGGTGGATAGGCAAAACAATTTGGTTGATAAGGTGCAGATCCTGAACTAACTTGTAAGGCTTGTCTGGTTTTAGGACAGGTAAAATGGGGGAATTGTAAGGAGAATTTATAGGCTTTAAAAGGCCATGCTGTAGCAGGCGAGTGATAACAAGCTTTAATCTTTTTAAAGCGTGCTGCGGGATGGGATATTGGCGTTGAGCGGGGTAAGGGTGATTAGGTTTTAATGAGATGGTAAGGGGTGCGTGATCAGTCTCACCAAGGAGGGAGTAGAGGTATCTTATACTTGTGGGTTAAGGTGGGGGGGATACAAGAGGAGGACGCAAAGGAGGCTTTGGATTGGGAAGAAGGGCAGCAATGAGATATAGCTGTAGTCTAGGAATAGTCATGGAAGCAGATAATTTAGTTAAAGTGTTTTGGCCTAATAAGGGAACTGGGCAGGTGGGGATAACTAAAAAGGAGTGCTTAAAAGAGTATTGTCTATGTTGGCACCAGAGTTGGGGAGTTTTAAGAGGTTTAGAAGCCTGGTCATCAATACCCACAACAGTTATGGAGGCGAGGGAAACAGGCCCTTGAAAAGAAGGTAATGTGGAGTGGGTAGCCTCCGTATTGATAAAGAAGGGGACGGACTTCCCTCCACTGTGAGAGTTACTTGAAGCTCGGCGTCCGTGATGGTCTAGGGGGCTTCTGAGGTGATCGGGCAGCATCAGTCTTCAGCCGCTAAGCCGAGAAGGAGTCAGTCAGAGAACCTTGGGCCAGAGTTCCAGGGGCGCTGGGAGTGGCTGCCAGGTGAGTTGAACAGTCCGATTTCCAGTGGGGTCCTGCACAGATGGGACATGGCTTAGGAGGAATCCTGGGCTGCGGGCATTCCTTGGCCTGGTGGTCAGATTTCTGGCACTTGTAGCAAGCTCCTGGAGGAGGTTCTGGAGGAACGCCTGGCCGCTGCGGTTCAGGCGTTTGGAAGTTCTTGTGTGCTGGAGATGTGGCTGGGGTTTGTCTCACAGTGGAGGCAAGGAATTGCAACTTTTTTCTATTATTGTACACCTTGAAGGCGAGGTTCATTAAATCCTGTGTGGGGTTTGAGGGCCGGAATTTAATTTTTGGAGTTTTATTTAATGTCGGGAGCAGATTGGGTAATAAAATGTATATTGAGAATAAGACGGCCTTTTGACCTTTTAGGGTTTAGGGCTGTAAAGCCTCTCAGGGTTGCTGCCAAACTAGCCATGAACTGGGCTGGGTTTTTATATTTGATGAAAAAGAGCCTAAACGCTATCTGATTTGGGATAAAGAAAAAGGAGCGTTAAACTTGACTATGCCTTTGGCTCCAGCCACCTTTTTAAGGGTAAATTGCTGGGCAGGTGGGGGAGGGCTAGTCACGGAATGAAACTGTAAGCCAGACCAGGTGTGAGGAGGGGAGGCGATAAAAAGATTACAGGGTGCAGGAGCGGAGGCTGAGGAAGAATTGGGACTTAGCTTGAGCTGGCGAGGAGAGGAGAGGTCAGATGGGTCTGTAGAAAAGGAAGATTAGAAAGACTCAGCGACGCTTGGGGTTGGGACTGAGGGGACAGGCGGGAGGGAAAGAAGGAAGATTTGGGACGAGTTGCACTGGGCACAGAGACTAGGAAGGGACAGATGTGTAAAAGAATGCCTGGACGTCAGGCACCTCAGAACATTTGCCCATTTTACGACAAGAATTATTTAGATCTTGCAGGATGGAAAAATTGAAAGTGCCATTTTCTGGCTATTTGGAACTACTGTCGAGTTTGTATTGGGGTCAAGTGGCATTGCAGAAGAAAATAAGGCATTTAGGTTTTAGGTCAGGTGTGAGTTGAAGAGGTTTTAAGTTTTTGAGAACACAGGCTAAGGGAGAAGAAGGAGGAATGGAAGGTGGAAGCTTGCCCATAGTGAAGGAGGCAAGCCCAGACAAAAGAGTAGAGACATGGAGTAGGGGTGGGGGGTTCTTGCCCTCCAGAAAAGCAGAGAAGGGGTTGGGGCACGGAAATAAGGGATTGGGGCGCAGAGATAAGAGGTTGGGGTGTGGAAATAAGCGATTGGGGGGTTCTTGCCCCCTAGGAAAGCGGGACTTGCCGCTGAGGGTGAAGGAGAAGGGGTTGAGGGGTACTTGCCCCTGCCCCAGGAAAGCAGGACTTGCCGCTGAGGGTGAAGAAGGGGTTGAGGGGTACTTGCCCCTGCCCCAGGAAAGCAGGACTTGCCGCTAAGGGTGAAGGACCGAGGCAGGCGTCCCTGCAAAGATTAAACACCAAGGGAAGGCTGCCTTCCCAGTCCGTGACCGGCGCCGGAGTTTTGGGTCCACGGATAAAATGCGTCTCCTTTGTCTCTACCAAAGGAATTGAAAGGAATTGAAATTAAGAGAAGGGAGAGATTGAAGTGTGGCACCAAGATTGAAAGGAGAAAGAGGTTGAGGGATAGTGAGGGAGGTTGGAGAAGAGAGTAAAAAGAGGCCACTTACCGGATTTGAAATTGGTGAGATGTTTCTTGGGCTGGTCGGTCTGAGGACCTGAGGTCATAGGTGGATCTTTCTCATGGAGCAAAGAACAAGAGGACGGGGGATTGATCTCCCAAGGGAGGTCCCCTGATCCGAGTCATGGCACCAAATTTCATGCGCGTCCGTGTGAAGAGACCACCAAACAGGCTTTGTGTGAGCAGTAAAGCTGTTTATTTCACCTGGGTGCAGGTGGGCTGAGTCCGAAAAGAGAGTCAGCGAAGGGAGATAAGGGTGGGGCCGTTTTATAGGATTTGGGTAGGTAAAGGAAAATTACAGTCAAAGGGGGTTTGTTCTCTGGTGGGCAGGAGTGGGGGTCTCAAGGTGCTCAGTGGGGGTGCTTTTTGAGCCAGGGTGAGCTAGGAAAAGGACTTTCACAAGGTAATGTCCTCACTTAAGGCAAGGACTGGCCATTTACACTTCTTTTGTGGTGGAATGTCATCAGTTAAGGTGGGGCAGGGCATATTCACTTTGTTTGTGATTCTTCAGTTACTTCAGGCCATCTGGGCATATACATGTAAGTCACAGGGCATGTGATGGCTTGGCTTGGGCTCAGAGGCCTGACTCCTATGAAGTATTATTAAGAAAAAATAAGGTTTGGAAAGCCTATAACTTGTCTATATTAAAATGTCAAATACATAGCAGAGCTGGATTCAAACCCAGGTCTCTTGGAAGACAAAGCCAGTGCTCTTCTGTCCTAACCACCTCCCTTCCAGATCTCAGTGATTTTGTCTTAATTCTCAAACCTCTACATATATGTTTTTCTTCAGTCATGAAGACTAAGATGAGAAATCGCCATTTCTTATCTTTGCATACCTCTGTTATAGTTTTGCAAATCCCGGTACATTCTTGCTTTGCCAGTTTTTCGTTTCTCAACATGCCTAGCCTTGGTTTACTTTGGGTTACTACAAAATGGATTGTTTGCCTGCCCTACGAAGCATTTACTACAACATATATCTCTGACTTTTACTCCTTCTATTGAGATTTTTGTGTGTCCTTTCTGGGTATCTAAATCAGTATGCCTGAATTTGATGTGAACTCCTAGCAGTCAGGTACTGTCTAAAATAGAGGTTCACGTTAGTTTGAAAAACAGTGGAGATATTCTGATTTGGTAAGGAAGACTGAGTGTAAATAGTAGTACCTAGCAATATTGATCAGGCACAAAAATATGGAACTGAGAAACATCCTGATAATGTCAGTTGGGAAGATACAATGATTTATGGAGTGCCTGGAAATCACAAGCTCCTGTATGTGATAGCTTCCAAATGGCTAGTATATATATTTTAAAAAGATAAAACTTATCTTTGGTGAGAATGACTATATGTCAAATGGCTGAAACCATGGATTTGATTTTCTTTTTAATAAGTGGAAATAGAGATGGCAACAAAACTTGCTTCATAACGTCTCCCCAGACTAGTCTTCTTTGGCTAGAAAAATGGATTTTGGAAGGATTTTGGATGTCTTCTCTCCAGTTCTCTTATCTTACAGATAAAATGGAAGCCCAGGGATAGAGTATTTTAGTTACCCCTGAATTTTCTGCACCAAGCAACGTAGCTGGCTCCTAAGAGGTGCCCCAGGAAGTGTGTGGAGGATGACTTGTCAAAGAGCACCCAGTTGAGATCTAGAATTAAAAACCAAGTCTCGGATTTTTCAGGCTGGTGTTAGACTTTCACCCTAAGAGATACGCATGTCTGTTACAGAAATAAAATTATTTCTAGGACCCAGAAAAGCCATTAGCCAATGTGAATGCAGGAGGGGAGAATTACTTCACTACACAGAATAGGGACTCTGGGGACTTTTCCACTTATGTCTTCATGTGGGGTTTTAAATTCCTGAGAGAGCACAAGAGAAGCTGCCCCCAATACGTGGCCCTTATTGAGACACAGAGGGTCTCCTTTGTCCTCATTTTCTTGTGCCGGATGACCTAAAACAAAGATCTCTGAATAGCTCTTCTCTCCAGCCACTCGGGCCCCTGATTCTTCTCTACCATTTCTTTTGAAAATAGTCACTTTCTAAGGGTGACTGTTCCTGAAAGAGACACCCAGGAGGAGGCATGGAGCTGGGCGGTATCACATCCTCGGTTACTATCTCTCCTTCTCTTAGTTGCTCCAGTGTTCTTTCTTCCCACTGGCTCAGCTTGCTATTCCTGGCTACACCCAAGGCTGGACTACTTTGCATTTCTATGGCTTATGCCCACCTGAGTGTATTCAGTTCCTCCCCTTTCTCACCTTTGAGTAGCTGTCTCTGCATTTCCTGATCATCTTTCTTTGACATACTTGACCTCCAAAGGTCTCTCAGGTTATTTAAGGGTTGAGCCAAAACGCAAAGGGAGTTGGACGGAAATCTCAGATGGTATGGGGTGAAAGGAAGGAATGTGGAGGCAGGCACAGGGGAGGAAGCTGCTTCCTCACAGAGAGTTCACTTACCAAGCCCAGCCTGAGGGCCCTGGGCAGCTGCCCCGTGCTCTCACTGCCTCTGGACTGCAGGGTGGGAGTTGGTCTGCACACAGGATACCCTGCCTGTGTCCACTGAAATTCCCTTGGCTGGTGTGTCTGGGTCACTCTTAGCTGAAGAGAGAGCACCAGTGACTAGTGGGCGCTCCATAAACTTTGCTTAATTATGTTGTTTGCTCTTGAAAGTGGAGGACCCTGAAAGTTTTGATCAATGTACCACAATTGGTCAGTTTTCTGAGCCTTTTGGAAACAGCTGTGTTAGTTGTCAATAGAAATAACGTAGCAACGTTCATTTTTATCTAAATGAAAATAAAGAGCAGAAGTGGTGAGTAGAAAGGGCAAGATAGAAATGGGTTAATAGGAGCAAGAGAATGGAGAGAGTGCTGGACAGGAAAAGGAAGAGATCATCAGAAGGCACAATTAGAGCAATGCCCAGTAGACTAAAATTCTTGAGATGAGGCGTATCAGCTGCAGAGAACACAAAACGGAGCTGCGTCCCACGGGGACAAAAAGCCATCACCATGCTCTTCATCAACAGCTCTCAAACGGACAGAAGACATCCCTGAATGCCAGTTGTCTGTATGTATAGTAGCAATGTGGGCAAATTCGGAAATATCTTTAGCTAAGTGCCTCCAAAGGTATAAGATGGGACACAAACACAAGGACAGCTTTTTCTATGCAAAAACAAAAAGGCACCAAAAATATGCCAGGAATGTGTGTGATCAGCACAAAGCCATGGGACCATCCAGGATGATCTGAATGCAGGGATTTCACTGTGGAGACCTTGACAGCACAAACCCTTAGGTTCTGGGTGGCCTTAATGGCAGGCACCCATAACCCCTTTTTTGGGATTTTGGAGGAACTCTGACTTGTGAAATCACTGGGCTAGAGGGTGAGGGGAGGGTAGGCAAAGGAGAGCAAGGATGAAGCCATCATGTTTTCCCACCTCACCCCCACTGCTCACCTTTGGTTATCCCTCAGGCCTCCCCACAGCAAATTCAGCTCATCCTCTCTGCAGCCTAACCCAAGAGTAGGGATAAGAACAGAGTAAGTTAAAACATGTGACTTTCTGAGCAGGTTTTGGGAAGCATATTCCCCTCCTTCTCCAACTGCTCCAATAGGAAAAGGGGTTTGCTCACTGAAGGCTTTTGGTGACCTGAACTATTAGCAGAAGAACAAAACACAAATGCCGTGGTGGGAGAGGCACGGGCTTGAATCCCATCTGCCCCAGTTACTGGTGGAGCAAACGTGAAGCCCCACACTTTCTTGGTCCTGGGTTTCCTCATTTACAAAATGTGATTAATCAATAATCCCATCTATCTCATAAATGAGATGATCAATGAAAAGTCTGTGCAACAAAGCACAGGAGTGCTGGAGGTCTTGTCTCCCTGACCTCTCGTGAGTTACAGTGGGTTTGGGGCCCAGGCAAAATCTGCCTCTGGTTCTTTCTCCTGTGTGTCCCAGCACTGTGGCGATTAACTCCTGCCCTTTGCCCTGGGACCACCTGGCTGTGCAGGAACGAACCTCATTGAAGAGCCTTGACAGAGTTTCTATTTTTATTCCTCCCCAGATCCTTCTTCTCCAGGGCAACCACACACACAATGCCATTTTGCAATTTATTTTCATTTTGCGGAGGAGAGCCTTCTCTCCTCTTCCTGGCTTGGCTTCTATGGCTTGGCCCTATTAGTCTTGGATGGCCCGGGGCTGTTTTGGCCTCAGAGCTGGCATGGCCTTGTTATGCCAGCTGGGGAAGGACAACACACCTGTGAGCGTGCTAGGCTGGGTCTGGGAGGTGACTGGGCAAGGGTCCTAATTACTTGAGGGTGACACAGGCCTGCCAGCATGACTTCATCCATTTACTTTCGCCAGGCTCTCTGAGCTCTGCGGAGAAGTGCTGCATGTTTGTGCAGCTGCCCAGCCCTGTGGGAACGGCCTCTCCTACCTGTGGATCACCCCTCCTGGCCTCCAGGTGGGCACGTGTACTCAGACTGTGGCCACTCTCCCATATCTGGCTTACAGAACATTCACACGGCTGTCTTTCCTTCTTAATGTTTGGAATAGGTGTTGTTTTAAACAAACAAAAAAAACTCCCTGAAAAACAGATGGACTGTGGTTTCTAGACTTCACGTCTCCAAGAACAAGATAGAAACCAGGCGTCAGCCCATCTGACTCTTTGGGACCTGAGTCCACACTTCCCAAATTGGCAGAGTCCTCACCAGAGACGGAAGTGCCGAGGCAGCCAACTAGGGGAGAGCCACAGCTTCCCGCCAGAAGCATGCCTCCCGTCGCCACATTGTCACTTCGGCAGGAGGACTTGAGGCGGAGGCTGACTAAATCTCATGTGCTGTCACCTGTACAGAAGATGCTGACCCGCCGTCTGGAATCTGCTCTTGGGCTTGTTTTTGCAGGGGTGGTGACAGGAAGTGCTGAGTCAGCAATGGTCTCTATCCCCATCTCCCTTGGAGCCCACACGCTGCTTTAGAATTGGGGGTTCAGTCGTCTGGGACTTGGGAACATGCTTTTCTCTGTGCAAAATGGTCCTGCTAAGGGCTGAACCTACATCCCAAGCCCCATCACCTCCCTCAGAGGAAAAGGATGAAGTGTTCCCAGTGGGCTGGTCAGCTAAATGTGACACAGAGTAATGTGCCAACATAGAACTGGGGATGGGACCCAAGAGACCACGCTCTGCTCCCTCATCACATCCAAACAAGAGATCTGGGTAGAAAGTAAGTCTTGTGACCACAAGGAAAAATATTTGGAGAAAACATAATGAATATTAGTCATGGACATTTTCATCATAAGTAGAACTGCTCATAGTAGCACAGAGTTGCCAGGGGCCCAGCTCGTCTGGAATCACTTTGGGGAGCACTCTCCATGTGGGTGCATGAAGTCTGCAGGAAAGCACTCTCCATGTGGGTGCACGAAGTCTGCAGGAGAGCACTCTCCATGTGGGTGCATGAAAAGTCTGCAGGAGAGCACGTTCTTGGGCATGGGGTCCTGACCCAGGGGCCCCCAAAGTGTGTTCCATGGACTACTTGTGCTGGAAATCATTTTTATGAGGAAAGGGTTCCATGGTCAAATAAGATTGAAAAATACTTCATTCTCCACTTACCAATTCACAATGTGCATTAAAGAGTCAGAACTTATGCTTAAGAAAATTTTTGACTTAAAATGTGTTAATGTTTTTAAACTCAGTTTAATCCTGTTTCCTAAACATTTGATGATGGAATGCTAATTTTGCAACATATCTATGGAACACATTTTGGGGAAAGATGCTTATTAATGGGAGATGTTACAGGATGCCTCCAAGTTACAGTATCTTCTCTTCAAGCTGGGAAGGTAATATTCCTCAGGAATCATGAGCTCTGTTCATTGAAATGGATGAGTGATTCGCACACTCAGGGCTGGGTTTGCTGGCCTCTCTTGTGTATGAGAAATTTGATGTTACCGAAGGTGTAAGAAGAATTGTTACAGAGAAGGGAATTATTACCTTTACAAATTAACTTTCTCATATTGGTGGTAGAAAGTTTTGGGCTACAGAATAATCTAATAGTGCTCTGAGACTACAAGGTTAATCCCATTCACCAGTTTTCCGTCAGGATCTGTTATGCTGGAATGGCCACCTGGAAAGTCTGGATGGAGATATGATTTTAAACATCTGAGAGTCAAGGACCTTGTCTTTGATTGTTCCCCACAGTAACACAGCTTGGGCATCCACTAAGCCCTTGGTTCTACATTTGCTGAATGGAATTCATAGGGCTTAGTTTAACTTACAGTCTTGGAACATAATGTGTAGTCCCTAGTCCGGGTCATTGCTGACTTATTTTTCACATTCAGGGTTTTCTGTGTGCAAAAATTTATGACTTGAGGTTTGGAAAAGCTTAGTCAAGCCCCAACCCCTCTGTAGTGTCCCCTCAGGTGCCTCAGTCCTGGACTCACTTGCAAAGATTTCCTACTCAACTCTTCACACGGTTTTCTTGTAGACGCTGATCCTGCCAGCACAGGTCTCAGCATTCTTGCTTCACCTGTTATTATTCTTTCGATAATTTATCATGTGATCACTTTCTATCCAATGGTTCCGGGTTTTTTTCTCTTGGCCAAATTTTGCTCTGTCACAGTCACTGTAGCCCAGGATGGACCTCCAGACCAGCTTCAAAACTCTGATAAAACATTCTGCCTCCTGGTAATTACACTTGAAAATGGTTCCCAGTTTAGTCTTAGAATTCATGAAGTCTGTTCCAGGGCAGGAAATGTAGACTAACCCTTCTTTTTCCTCCCCCAACCCACTAACCTATTTAATGCCTGCTATACATTTGCTTTCAAAGGAGAACCAGGTGAAAGGGGAATGCAGAAGACTTCATTGAGTTCTGTGGGTGTTTCCATTTCTCATTCTTGATAAAATTACCAAGTAAGAAAACATTCCCCTAGAGCCATCTCTGCTGACCCTTCTGGGACACTTCTGGGGTTTGAAAGCAAATCAGTGATGCCGGAGGTCAAAGAAGTTCTAGCTTCAAAGGAAAAATGTTCTGCGTCGGTGCATTCGCTGGCCAGTGTTGCCTCTCTGGTTACTTCTGATTGATTCTTACATACAGAAAGAGACAGAGGATGCCCAGCAGTTACTCCTCCAAGTCTCCCCCACACACGATTGTAATTACAGTATAATCGCCAGCTGTCTCTGGGGAATGAGTGCTTGACCGTGGCTTTTTCATTACAGCCTCTTCCTTGAGGATAGGTACCACTGGATGGCACAGTTACGTGTGATTTGAAGTAACTCAATAAGAACCACTTGACTCAACCTGCATTTACACGATGTTCAAAAAAGAAGCAATAACTCCATTAACCATTTTGTCTACACAATGTCAATTATTTGGCTGGTTTTCTTCCTCCTGAAATTTCTAGCTGGTCCATGCAGTGGAGACGCAATCATAAACGGCAGGGATTAGTCTGCACTTTACGTGAGAATTGTCCCTGCATTCATTTCTTGGATGGAACTTTTACAAAATGACGTTTGTCCAGTGTGCAGAAATGTCTCTAGGCATTGCTTTCCAAGGGCTAAGCTGGGATGGGCTTAGGTGGTGCTTAAAAGCAATCACCCAAAAGGAACTCTGCAGAAACCACAAAATAATTTGCAAGGCACATAGAAAAACAGTTGTTTCAAATGTGCCCTCGGCACTCATACACATTTGCACAGCTTGGGGAGTTGTGCCTCTTCCATGATGAACTCCATATGTCTCTGTTTGGCTTTCTTTTTTGCAGGGACCACTTTGTTCCCTGGACCCATCCTCTCTTCCTTTGTTCGCCCTGCCTTCCCCTGCAGATCACTCATGTGCACTGACTATCTGGATGGCACCTGGAGAAACAAACAAACCTGCCCAGAAATAACAGGGTAATGGTGAAGCAAGGGGAAGTGAGCCTCATGCTGGGCCAGGAGGACACAGGGGGATTTCTCAGTTTCTGAAAGCCCATGATGGATGTGTGGCTCTAAAACTCCTAATTTAGAAACAAACAGGAAATGTAACCCTGAGGTTCACACCTTCTTGTTAAAATCTTCTGTTCTGTTGCTACTTCCAATTTCAACATTGCCATGGGGGAGGAGAGTGTGAGCAAGATTTTAAAATAATCTTGTAATCGACCACCTGGCTTTCATAACAATATCTGGCCCTGGACTTTATGTTAGACTGTAGGCAACACTTTTAACCTGGGAGGTATCTACTTGGAAGGCAATTAAAATAGGTGTTAGCTGGAGCCACCGGGAAATGAGTTCTGACTCACTTTTGGTGGTGGTCATTGCAGTCAAGAAAGATTTTGCAACACTGCCTCATTGGATCTGAGAGCCCACTAGGTTTGATGCTGAAGAAGTGGTTTGGGTATACACAGATTATAATAGCAACTACCTTAAAAAAACTTTAATGCTTATTACATTCCAAACATATAGTCTGATACCATTTTTAAAAACCCAGCTCATGTGGAAGTTACTATTATCATCTTTATTTAGCTGCAAGGAACCTAAGGCTTCCAGCAGTGGAGTAATCAGTCCCAGGTTATGCTGCTACAAAGTTGCAGAGCAGCCACTTGAGCCCAGGCAGAGTCTGACCCAAAGTGCAGTCACTTACTGCCTCTTGGGATGCACAGAAGGCAGGGTGGAAAACTGGGCCATCCCAGAAGCCCTTAATTTGGGATGGTAGGGGGTGGTGGGAGAGGGAGAGGGGAGCCCAGACCCTGCATTAATGGGCTTGGGGCCCAGTTCTATTTGTTAAGGTAAAGACTGGGTGAACTATAGTGATTCTGAAAGGAGTTAGCCAGCTTGCTTTAGGCAGACAGTAAAGGAAGGGCCCCCAGAGAGCCTCTGACTTATGTTTTGTGCAGATAAGGGAACTTGCACAGGGGGCTTACCTAAACATGCAGCAAACTAAGGGCCCACATGTGCACTGGAGGAATGGGGTGGAGCCACCAGGAATTCATACCTTATAAAATAGGAAACCCAGCTCTATCAGCTTGTGTGTAAAAGCCCTTGCATTCAACTGTGAAGGGGGCGAACAGGAACCTACTTTCAGGACCCCTTTCTTTGCTGAAAGCTTTCCTTTCACTTAATAAAATCTACTCCACTCACTCTTTGAATGTCTGAATGCCTAATTTTTCCCGGTCGTGAGACAACAACCTGGATCTAGTTGAGTTAAGGAGAATAAGAATCCTGCATCAATTCTGATGAGGATCTGAAGGGTTGTTGTGATTGGAAAAAAGAAGTTTACAAAGTACCCATGAAATAATGGCTATTACATGGATTTTTAAAATTCCATTTATGGAACTGCAGGTGCTGGAAATTTTATGATGATGATTGTTACCATTTTCTACTCTTTCACTCTTTTCCAAATCATTTCTGATCAAGATAGAAATTAGCTTTCATGTTATTTAGGGTTCAGTTTACTAAGTTCTTTTTTCCAGTGAGGGTAACGTTCTTTACATGTGAACATAGTAACTTCTACTAGGACAATTCCCTTCTGAATATTTGTGGGGGTTAACACTGAGTATTCATGGGGCAATCATGATTATGATTATAAAGATAATGATAATTTCCACTTATTAGTGTGTGCTAAGCTCTTTTATGTGCTTTTTCATTAACTCTAAAATAATCCTGTACGTATTATTTTCCCTAGTTAACAGATTAGCCACGTCACCCATTTTCTCCAAGCAGCTGATGTCTAGTTTTTCTTGGTCACAGGTTACTGATGCATATGCCAAATCTGTGGATATCATGACATCTTCCCCCTT
The DNA here is from genome assembly GCF_000001405.40 of Homo sapiens. Lineage (NCBI taxonomy): Eukaryota > Metazoa > Chordata > Mammalia > Primates > Hominidae > Homo > Homo sapiens. Next base: position 130,768,295 of record NC_000011.10, read on the forward strand.
CTCTACTGTAGATAGCAGGGTGTTTTTTGCCAGCATCCCCCAGCATCATATCTGCCGCCCGCAGAAAGTTTTCGGACCTCTGAGTTCTCCTCATGGGCTGTCAGTCTTGGTCTCTGGGTGTCTTTAGCTCCCTCTGCTCTATGTTCTCCATAAAACAGTTCCTGGAATATCCTACATATTTCCTGCCTACTGCGACTGCTTGTCCCGGAACTCTCAGAGCATGTCCACACATAGGAGGCAGGAAAAACCATCAGATACCACGGTACATGTCCTTAACCAGTTTCACTCCAAGGTTGGGCTTGTAAAAGTTAAGTAATTTTGACCAGTAACTTGAAATTCAAAGCATTTTTATAGCAAAACATTCTATAGAGTAGAATCAAACATTTACATACATTTAAAAAATAAAACAGTCTCGAAGTAGGATGTATCCCCAGACACCAAGGATACCCGTGTGCCCACGTGCTCACTGAGAAGTTCTTGACTGTGATGTTTATTAACACATGTTTCCAGCAGTTGTGTAGGACTTAGAGTGAAGAATAAGGAGAGTCCCTGAGCCCCGCCTAATAGGAGCTGCCAATGTCACAGACAGCTTATGTCTGTCTTATAGGGAACACCTAAATCAAGGCTATTCTATGGGCATCTGTATGAATTTGCTCTGCTACCATAACAAAATACCGCAGACCAGGTGGCCTAAGGAACAGAAATTTATTTCCTTAGAGTTCTGGAGGCTGGAGGTCGAAGACGAGAGTGCTGGCAGGGCTGGTTTCCTCTGAGGCCCTCTGGCTTACAGACGGCCACCTCCTTCAGTGTCTGCATGCGGCCTTCCCTCTGTGCCTGTATCCTGGTGTCTCTTCACGTGTCAAAGTTTCCTCTTTTTATGAGGACACCAGCCGGAATGGATCAGGGCCCAAACCAACGGCCACATTTTAACTTCATTTCCTCTTTAAAGGCCCTGTCTCCAAGTATAGTCACATTCTGGGGTGCTGGGGGTTAGGAATCAAATACACGAATTCTGGGGAACACGATTCAGCTCTAACAGCATCTAAGACAGCTTCACCATTCCTCAAGTGTGCTCTGAAGGAAAAGCAGAAGCCCGCTGTTCACATAGCAGGGTCAGGGTGAGGGTGAGAGTGAAGAGGGGGTTGCAGTGGAGAAGGAGCCGTTCCTGACAGCAGGAGCAGTGCTTTTGTGAGGTGCAAGACCATCATGTGTGGGAGGAAGCTCAAAACTCCGCGTGCTCCTGGAGCCCATTGGGAGGGAGAGGTGGAAAGTTGCAGGAGGTGAAACAGGAGCCATGGCCAAGATCACACCCGGCAGGGCACTGAGCACCGAGCTGGGAGCTGAGAGTGCGTCCTGTGGACTTTCAAGAAGACAGTGCTGCGGTCAGACCTGCATGCTGGAAAGGTGATCCTGGAGACACGGTGAAGCAGGTGTCAGAAAGAGCAAGGCTGGGGACAGGGAGACCTCTTAGATAACGGACAGAAGCCCAAAAATGGATGAGGCTCAGTAGTTCAACTGAAAACATTGTCCTTCAGATCTAAAGTAGTCTCCTTCCAGGGTAAGCGATCCCCACTTCCTTCCTGCACAAAGAGAATCATACTAGCGAATATTTCTCACAAACTTAGCGTGTGCCAGGCCATGATCTAAGTCCTTTACCTGTATGAACTTGTTTATTCTTCTCTGTGATTACTGCCCCATTTACAGATAAAATCAAGGAACATGAGATTAAATGGCCTCTCTAAGGTCATAAAATTAATGAGGGGAAAGCCAGGGCGTAACTCAGGTAGTCTGGCTCTATAGGCCACACGCAATCACTGTGCTGCACTGTCCCTACTAAGCAAATGAGAACCATCTTCCACATACCTGCTCAGCCAGAAGCTGTTGCCATCTTTCCACATTGCCCATCTCCGGGAAATGCAGCTTATTCCCAAGGAACTCTGAGGTTTTGTAATGGATGTCATTAGATAGACTGAGCAACCTGGTTGCAGTCCTCCTCCCACTCACATTCCACTTTCCCTGGAATAAGCTCATCGTCAGTTGCTGTGTATTGGATGCCCTCAGTGTGCTGAGCTCTAGAGGTGAGGGGTAAATAAGCTGTTTGTTTTCTGTCTTAAGAAGCTCACAGTCTAGATGGTGGAGTGCATAGAGAGGCCAGCGACCCCTGCAGAGGGATGAGAAGCAAGTCTGGAATCCTCTGTAGTAGAAAGCTGTATTCAGGGGAATGGTGTTTGGGGGTAAGAAAGGAAAGTCCTTTCTTTTTTAAAGGGATTTCCATCACATGCTCTCAAGACAGCATTACAGGGAGATCACACCCAAAGTGAGGGTGCAATCCTCATAGAACTCATTGCTGGGAAGATGTGGCCAGTGATGAGTTCCGTGAGGACTGAATCCTCACATGGATAAGGCACACGGAAATGTCTAAGGAATATGGCCACATGACAGAGGAGAGAGGACTTCATTCATTCATTCATTCATTCATTCCACAAGCATTATTGATGACTTACTGTGTGCCAGGCAGTGTACTAAGCAGTGCATGAATATCAAATTGAACCATGCTCCAATAATTCACTCCCAGACCCCTGCAGTGGAGACGCCTGTTGTCACCAAATATCAGAGAATTCTTCATTTGTTTCTGACCCTTAGTACCTGCTCAGAAGACAGAGACCTTTTAACAGAATTGGGTTTCATGTTTCTCCCCACGCTGCCAGTGAGCCTTCTTATGTCATAAGAAACAAACTCTCGAGCCGTCCACAGGGAATAGGGGTGGCACTAACATGCTGCCTTGTTACTGACGTTTGAACAGCATTGAGAGGCAAGCAAATCAATGACTTCCTCCTCTGAAGCAAAATCAACTTTAGAGAACTTAAGGCTTCATTGTTACAATGTTTTATTTAGAACCTTCCATCATTACCGACGTCACCCAAAGCCCTAATTGAGGGCTTAATTTCTGGGAACCTTATACTCACCATTGCCTGGAGAAAGTTTTCCTCTTCTATGTGTTTACAATCTGAGGGAGACGAAACTCAGGCAGATAGACGCTAAACGGAAATAGACACAACAAAATAGAGAACACTGGACAAACACAACTAGATAAGGGGAAATATTGCTTTTGTATACCCTTTGTTTATTATGTTGTATCACATTTTACAGAAAGAATTTTGTTCCCATAGACAGAGAGCCATCACTGTATCCTAGGCTCCTGGATTCGGCAGAGATCCAAAGTCCCTGTGGAAGTGTGATGTGGCCTGGGATGTACCCCTGTGGAAAGACTAGAAGGTGTGAAGGCTTCCAGACCTTTGTTGAGGACTTATGAGAAAGTGGGGAGGGAGTAGGGAGGGCTGTCGGCTTCTCTTCCTCCGGAAGGATGGCCCCTGCTGAGACAGGGGGCTGCAGCTGTCACTTTGCAAAGTCCCTTCAGTCCCCCGTCCTTCAAATCGGCAATTTTATGTGTACCTTTTGCAACGGAGACAGTTAACTGACCTCACTTCCCACTGCTATGGCTTGGTGGGAAGGGATGGTTAGGAACAACTGATTCACACATCCCCAGAGGGAAGGAGGTACAGAGAAAAGCTTGCCCCCGCCAACTATTCAGATGTCCACAAAGCAAAACATGCAGATATTTGGAAATAGCTAAATAATCAGTGGACTTGATCCAGTTTCAATTCTCATGCAACAAGTGCCTTTTGCACCGAGCATATCATGCTTATATTTAGTGTCAGGAAGACTTGGCCACAGCTAAGTCTTGGCTCTGTGTGTTTGCACGTGTGTGCATGTGCACGTGTGTGGGTATGTGTGAGTGCATGAGTATGTATGCGAATGTATGTGTGTATATGAGGGAGTATGATTGGGTGTGTGTATGTGGGTTTGTGTGTATTATGTGAGAGTATATATGAGCATGTGTGTTTGTATAAGTATGTGAGTATGTGTATGTATGTGAATTTGTGTGCCACTGCATGTGGGAATGTATGTGTATATGAGTTTACGTGTGTGTGTATGCCTGTGAGTGTATGTGAATGTGCCAGTTTGTGAATGTGAGTGTAGGCATGTGTGAGAGCTTGTGTGTGTGTGTGTGTGTGTGTGTGTGTGTGTGCACGCATGCTCAAACATGTGCCTGCATCTGAAAGCTCTTGCAGAACAGGAGCCTGGATTCCAGCTGGTGACATGGGCAGCATTTCCTGAAATTGCTTCTGACTCACAAGCACTCTAAGACCAGCAAAAATCATACAAAACAATTAAAATATGCAGAAACTTGGGTTTGCTTTCTTTTGGTTAGTTTACATCAGGGAGTTGTTATTGGAGAAGAAATTTGTCTCAAGGTTTCCTGAACACAGCAGAGGCACAGCCTCTGTCCTGACTTGGTGTGACCTTTGCCCCCTTCCTTGCTGGGCTGTATGGGGCCGTGTATGTCAGCTGCAGTCATAACCGATTTCACTCAGAGTTCCAGGTTGCAGAGCTATCTGCCTGACCTCATTGTGGTTTTCATGCCATGGCAAGAATGTCTAATGGAAACCACACTGGGCTGGAAGTCAGGAGTGTTCCTGTGTTCTTGGGTAGATCAACTAAACTGTCCAAGCCTTAGTGTACTCCTGGGTCAACTTGGGATTAGCAGCGTGGGCCTGCTTGCCTCAGGACTGATGAAGAAAGAAGAGAGGAGGGTAGCACACTGAAAGAAGCACTAGCCCTAGTATTTGGTGGTTAGCTTTTGAACCTAACCGGTAAAGTCAAGGGGCTCTACAGGTCAGCTCCTATGGTCTCTGATGTCCAGTCCAAGTTTCCTTCAGTTTCCATGGCTCCTTGCCCTGTAGCCACCTGCAAAGGGAGAGAGAAAGGGAGCATCCTCTCATTTATTGACTGTCCCCATTCATCAATTTAAAAATAACCCTTAATGTTCCACTGTCCCTAAGTAAAATCTGATTTTCCAAATCCCTGAACTTCTATCTTTGCACATTTGCTCCTGCCCTAGCCTTCTGCTCTTCTGCAGGGACTAGCTTGTGTCACACACATCTGAGGCTGGCTTCCACCACCTGGCCTTCAGAAGCAAGCGGCAGTACCTCCCTCCAGGACCCAAGGTCAGGAGCATGTGATCCTGACCCCAGCTGGACGCCCCTCACGACTCCACCCCACAGTCTCAGAAGTTTTCTCATTGGAAGGGAGAGGGAGGCCTAGATCACAGTCAGATCTGAGCAGAGAGGAATTCCTCTGTGAATGCCAATTCAGACTTTCTTTATCCAAAGGCCACACAATGTGAGCATAGATAATCTCTTTGGAAGTTTAGATCAAATAAATAAGAGTCATGTGTAAAGGCTATTCTCTTGTGTCTGTGATGAGAGCCAGAGAATTCCATTGTCACTTCAATGATTCCTTCTTCGTATCTTGGCCATGGCCCTCCTGCCTTGGAAACCCTTTCACCTATCAATAAATATGCACAAAGCACTTCTTTGTGCCAGCTGGTAAGTTGGGTATTGCAGGATACAGGGCTGTCCTCATGGGGTTTCAGTGCAACGTGAAGAAAAGATGTTAAACCAGAACTACAGTAAAATACAATGTGTTGCAAAAGGAGGTGTGCAGCTGGCTTTGGGTATACAGCACAGGGATTTAAACTTCTCTGGGGTCAGGAAAACCTCCCATGGAGTGATAAGTTTAAGTTGAAACTTGAAAGACTTAGGGGGTCAGCTCCAAGATGCATTCCCAGAATAGTGCCTGGCACAGGAAATTCTCCCTAAATATTTGTTGCAGGAATAACAGAGGAGTCAACAAAAGGGGATGATTTTGTGGAGAATATTCCAGGCCAAGGAAATTTCACACTGATGTTTATGTGGCCTGCTCAATGCAGCAAAAGAAGCCCTCATGGCTGCAGTAGAGAGATCAAAGGGAGAACTCCTAGGAGACAAAGATGGAGAGGGAGGCAGAGACCGAAGTGCAGAGGCCTTCAAACTTTATTTTGGAGTTTGGGCTTATTCTTGGGTCATGAGGAGCAAACACAAGCTTTAAGGCACTGTGATACTCGGGTGCTATACACATTAAACGGGGCCTTTTCAAACTGTAATGTGCAATTGAATCACTTGGACATCTTGTTGAAACGTGGACTCTTGATTCAGTAGGTGGGGTCTGGGAATCTGCACCAGTTCTGAGAAAGCCAATGCTACCAGTTCCAGGGAGTACACTTTGAGCAGAAAAAACACAAAATCTTGCATAAATCCTCATAAATCCTGACTTTCCGGTCCCATAACAATCCATATCTCCTCATCACCGTGAATCTGTAAAGTTCTGTCTTTTATTTTGGTACATAGGATAATTAATCCTCAGAACTGGAATAACTCTTAAATTCAAGGCATCTAATCTAAGGAAATGGAGCCTCTGGCTGAGTAAGCCACCACCTATGGTGCCCCCATTTATTAATAGTAGCCGTGGGTCTGGACCCCAGGTTTCCCTGAACGTCAGCTCAGGATTCTTTCTGTTGTGTAAACCTACCTCCCTTTTCCACATGACCTTTCCTCCACTGTGTCCCATCAGGATATGGGTGGAGGTGGCTGTGCCTAGAAACAGGCGATTGGCCCATGTTGGAGAGGATTCTGGATGCCATCCAAGTCCTGGAGGATTCACTGCAGTGCTCGGTGGCCTTGGAGCAAGGCCAGCTCAGAAAGTTTCCCAAGCCCAAATTAGCCACAGCCTGGGATCCACTCATGGTAACTATACTAGGGTCTTTCTCTTTTCTGGCTTCTAATGAGTTCTGGTAGTTTGGCCATTGGATGATGTCCTCTGGGTACCCAGAGTGATGAGTCAATGCTCCTAGTCACCATGGTTGGCCCTAGGAAAATCTGCAGTCATAGGGAGCCACCTGTGTGGAACATGGCAGGGGACATAAAAAATTCCTCCACTGAAAAGTATCACTTGCTTGCTTGTCATGTGGTCCACGGTTCCACCACTGGTTATTCACTCCTTGAGTTAGCACTGCCTCACCTTCTATCTCTTTTTAACAAAAATCTGAGAAGGCGAACTATTAAGTCCTCAACATCCATCAGTTCTTTTTTGCTGACCAGGGAAGGTGTCTTGGCTAAAGAAGGCCCCCCAGGTGGGGATGAGGAATAGAGAAAAGCAGGAAAAGGAGAGGCAGGAGACACCACAGACAGAACTCACTCCCTTCAATACCTTGCCCAGGGCCAGCTCTGATTTTGACCTCCAGATGCTTCCTACTTTTTCTGGCTCCTCATCACAGTTGGTGGTGATGTAAGGAACTGGAGTAACACCAGATTCCAGACTCTGGGTGGAGTTTACAGTAACGATATGAGTAATACCTGATGCTTGCATGCGCCTCTGTATCGCACAGTCAGTGGGAATCGCCTAAAAATCAGGTGTGCCTCTTCTAGGGTGGGACAGGAATGAGCTTAAAGTCAAGGACACAAAGTATAGGATTTTTGAACAGGACAGCAATGAATGACACACTTTGGTAAAGAGAGGCCCACCACAGGCCTTTGAAATGGTGCCCTGCTGCTTTCAAAGCAGTATCTCACTTAGTCTTAACTGTCTCTTAACAACTACCATATCAGGAAGGAAGGAAAATATTCTCCCCGTGGCATAAAGGTCACTGAGAAACTTGTCAAAAATGCACATTTCTGAGTTCCAAAACGGAGATTCTCATGCAGTGGGTTTGGGGTGTGGCCTTGGAATCTGAACCCTTTTATGTAGGGAGTGGGTGAGCCACCTTTTGAGAAGCATTGATTCCTTCATAATAGAGTTTTGGTCTATTACAGGGTAGAAACTGAGACTCATTCCCATCAGTGTCCTTCTCAGTGCTTAGCCTAGTGCTTTGCACATATTTTGTTCTTTACAAATGTTGGCAAAAGTTTAAAGGTCAGGGAAATATTCATAGAAGTAGCATCTGAACAGGGTCTCTAAATGAGAAAAGCCTGGGGTGGAATGCATTCCAGAAGGAAGAAATATCAACAGCAAAGGCATGAACATGGGGTTTTCCAGATGAGAGAGCCCTATTCTTTGATGGAGCACAGAGTATGCATTGGGAAGAATGAAGAGATATGATCACAAAAACACATTAAGATCATGCTGTGCAGGACCTTGAATTTAGGGATTGGTGCAGTTCAGAAGCAATGGGGTCATGTTGAATATCCATGTCTCTGTGTGTTGAGGGTACAAGGTAGGCTGGGATTAATTTGCAAACTATGAAACCACCTTCTTAATGCCAGAGCAAAGCCATTTAGGAGGCTTTTGTGTAGGCTCCAAGCAGCTCCAAAGCCTTGGCATTTCTGCAGCCAATCCCCAGGGAAATCTCTAATTCCCCACTCCCAGTTTTCCTTTACCACCTGAATGGTACGGGGCCCTAAATGTTCATCTCCAGCCCATCTTCTTTAAAAGAGTTTATGCCTCCAGACCTGCCCAAGCCCTCCACCCCACCTGGATGTACCATAAGCACCTTCATACTTACATGCCCCAGTGTAGACCAGTATTTTTCTCCAACCCTCTTCTATTCCTACCCTGGTTTGTGGTAGCCACCTACTCACCTAAATCAGAAACTGTCAGTCATTTTTCACTCATCTTTCACCCTCGTGCATCTGAACAAACAGCCTCAGGATTCCATTTTTCAGATTTGCCCCTTTCCTACCTCTAGGAAGTTTGTGATAGAAATTATAATATTTGCTTTTCTTTTTCATATTTCCATGTACATAATTTCTCCCAGTTTAGCCAGCTACAGCATCTATATCCAAACTGGTGATGGGAAGGAAGTTCTATTATTATAACAGAAAAATGGAGAAAAAGGGGTCAATATTCACAATTTAACTACCAAAATAGGATTGTTGAGTTCCTAAAAAGATTAGTCTCCAAAGAAATTTTTCCTTAAATTTGTTAAAATACCAATAACATATCAAAAGCCAGGGTTGCTGGGGCTAAATATTGAAATTTTTAGCTTTATTGAGGTATAATTGACAAATAAAATTGTGTATCTTTAAGGTATACAACTTCATTTCTATACACACGCACACACACACACACACACACTGAAATGATCACAACAATCAAACTAACACATTCCTTAGCTCACAGTTACCATTTTTGTCTTTTTTCTTTTCTTTTTTGTTTGTTATGATGAGAGCAGGTAAGATGTACCCTCTTGGTAAATCCCAAGTATATAATACAGTATTATTAACTATAGTCACCATGCTGTGCACTGAGTCTCCAGAACTTCTTCATCTTCAGTAACTGAAACTTTGTACTCCTTGACCAACATCTCCCCATTTCCCCTCCTTCCAGCCCTGGCAACCACCGTTCTATTCTCTGTTTCTATAAGTTTGGCTTTTTAAGATTTCACATGTACATGAAGTCATGTGGGGCTTGTCTTTCTGTGCCTGGCTTGTTTCACTTAGCACAATGTCCTCCAGGTTCTTCCATGTTGTTGCCAATGGCAGGATCTCCTTCTTTTTAACGCTGAGTAAGAGCCCACCACTGGGTGTACATGCAGAGAAAATGAGGATCTTGAGAGATAGCGTCAGTCCCATGTTCGTTGCCTTATTTGCAATAGTCAAGACATGGAGACAACCTAAATCTCTGCCAACGAATGAATGGAAAAAGTTTGGTCTATAGAAGCATATTTAATTTACTGTAAGTCAAGTCTAGAGAGATTTCAGGATCCATATCCTAATGGAAGTCCTCAAACCCCAAGAGAGGAGAGAAGGCCCAACTCTGTGGTCCAGTGAGGAATGAAATAGAAAGGAGGCCTGTGACCCACGAGTCCTGCCTTCTTCCCACGGGGCTGAAGCCCAGAGGACAGTGATGCTAGTGCCTCCCAGGGAGGCGTGCAAAGCACAGAGGGTGGGGGCTGCGCAGGCCTCATCAGAGCCCAGGGGTCGGCTGCATGGATGGCTGTGAGCTAGCAGGGGACGGCACGGCGGCATTGCTCCTGAGCGGTCCTCACTCCTGCGGGACATGGGGTGATCTGGGACCCCCTGCACGCCATGGGGCACAGGGTTAGCAGGGTGCAAAAATGGACCATGTGAGTGAGCTCAGAGGGGCCAGGAGCGAGGGATCAGCCGTGGCCACAGGGGTTAAGGCAGGCTGTTCAAATGGAGAGCTCTCTGAGCGGAATGGGTGATGGGCAGTGCAGACGGTTGCCATGAAAGGCAGCTGGGTGCCTTGGGACCAGAGAGTCCGGAGCTCGGAATCAGACCTGCCAGCACTGACCCAAAAGCACTGTGAGGCCGCGAGGTGTCCCATACCACCCCCACTCCCACATCCCTAAACACCTTCTTGGGAGGTGCAAAGCCTCGAAGAGGAAACCTGGAGAGCTGCACCCTGGCCTGAAAGACCCAGTTACCCCAGGGAGCCTGTTGGAACCAGAGGAGACCAAAATGCCCTTTGTCACAACAGAGTATTATTTAGCAATAATAGGAATAAAGAATTGATACATACTACAGCCTGAAAAACTTTGAAAGCAGGAAGTCAAAGAAGCCAGTCACACATACAGAAAACATATTGTGTGAGTCCATTTATATGAAATGTCCAGAATAGGCAATTTATAGAGACAGGAAGTAGACAATTGGTTGCCTTGGTATGGGGGAGGGGAAGGTGGAGGCAGTGACAGCTATGGGTATGGGTTTCTTGTTTCAGGGATAAAAATGTTCTCAGATTGATTGTGGTGATGATTGCACAACTCTGAATATATGAAAAACCATTGAGTTGTATGCCTTCTTCAATAGGTCAGTTGTATGATAGGTAAATTATATCTCAATAAAACTGTTATTTAAAAAAATATGTCATTAATTGACAGTTTGTATGTTTTCCCCATCCCCACTGCTTAGATGGGAGAGAACTTGTGAAGAAGATGAGATCAAGAGCATCTGAACGTGTGGTATTTAATTTCCAATTCTGCCACAATTGCTCCATGCTGACTCTCTTCAGTTTACCGTTTGGTTGGATAGTAAAGATGATTGGGAGAAACATCCTTTGAAATAATTTTGTTCGCATTAAGACTGTTGCTGAGGATATCATTACTTTATACATATCCTCTCTGCGAGGTCTCTCAAGATAAATTTGTTTTGGCTTTAGATTCAGCAATAGTTGTTCTTCTGAACAACTGGTTTACTTTTATCTTCTAAACATTGTGATGTGTGTGAAGGATTCTTCCCTGTTGGTGTTGACTGCTAGAGAGCTGAGAGCCAAATCTGTGATCCCTTCCTTGTCATTATGCACACATACACAGATGCATACACACACACAAATACACATACAGACACACACACATGCATGCATACACATGCACACACACATACCTACATACATAAACACACAAACAACATAATGTGCTAATCTCACTCCTGGCTCCATTTATGTCCCTACCCTTGTTTTCTCTTTGCCTTCTACTTCTAATTTTAAAAAAATCTTGCTCTACCCCGTGCCTATTTACATAAAAATTCTTTCTTGGAAAAAGCAGCACATTAATCCAACCCCCAGAGCATCTCTTGAATGTGTGCCCTCCCCATTTTGCTAGAGCTTTCCTGCATCTTGCTTGTATTGTTGTCGACAGGCTCCCAAGTGTGCTTCCAGACCCTTGTCTTATGTCTCTATACATTCATCCTCCATATCTCTGCTAAAAAGATCTTTTAAAACTTGTCTCTGTTTGTATACCTTAGTGTCACTCCTTTGCTTTTAAAATGCATCTCCAGTTTCTTGGATGAGCACAAGGGCTTCTTCCTCACCCAGGCTGGCCTCTCTCTCCTCTACTAGTCCCTGGACAGCACCAAGCCCCTCACTGCTCCTTGCCGCCTTCTCCTGGCTCTGGGACATGGCTCTTCTCTGCGTGGGATGCCTGCGTCCTCCTTGCTCTCACTGATGCCCTACCTCTGTGGACCTGCTCCCACACTGTGCTCCCAGCATCCCGTAGGGTAGCTTCCACTTCACTGCGATTCCTGGGCCTGTCACAGCTGTAGCTGATGGCTCTTTAGGGCAGGAATGCTGCTCTACTCTTTTGTGTGTCACTGGTCCTTAACAGTGTGTTTGCTTTGTAGCAATGACTGTTGAATTATTTTGTGTATGTTCAAGTTGGTGGCTTATAAATGATATTGCTTTTTCTTCCTCTTCCCTAAATTATAAATAATCTCCCCAGTGCTGAAATCAAATAAAGAGAGATAGAAGATCAACGATGTGGCTGATAACATTAGAGACTGCAGGATGGATGAGTGGCTTTACTCCAAGACCTCATGTTGGCGTGTATTAAGGAACAGTTTGAATTTAGAGAATACCTCTGTTTACTCAGAATCACTTCCTCACACTCCTCAAGGACAGAGATTTTCCTCCAGACTCAGCCTGCAAGGTGGGCCTCGGGCCTGACCCAGTGTGCTCAGCCCATGGAAGCTGAAGCCGGGTGGAACACAGCTGCTTTGTGGGCAGACAGTTACTTACAGAGAGAGAACCATGAATTGCAGTTCTATTCTCAATTTAGCCATCAGGTCACTCCTCCACAAGGTTGGGAGAGAGAGGAGCAGAAGTTACTCTTCTGAAAACATTCAGAGGCAGAAGTATCTATTTTATGGATAAGAGAAGTATGTAAGTCAGGGTCTTATAAGAAAGAGAAAGCATTTCTTGCTGATGTGAACAGAAATGAATATTGGGATATACTGAGCATTACTGTTAATCCTGGTGGGTGGAAAATGGCATGATGGTTATGGTAAAAACAGTCCTTATCAGTTAGAAAGGCACACACACACTGAGATATTTATGGGTGAAATAACATGAGATTTTGGGCTTACTTTAAAGTATTTCAGCAAAAACAAACAAAAAAATGCCCCCAAACAAACAAAAACAAAACAAAGCAAAAAATAAGAAACCAAACCAAACCAAAGAAACAAGACAAGAAAAGAAATGAAAACAAGAAACCAAACAGGTGAGGAGGGGGACAAAAAACAGGTAAAATAATTGGCAAAATATTAATTGTGGAATGGGGTGATAGATACACAGGAGTTCATTATTCTATTCCTTTCAATTTTCTGTATGTTTGGAATTTTCCATAATACAGTTTTATATAAAGGGATTTGGGGCAGCTTAGGGAATCTCTGCGTTGTCAACAAAGCCAGGCTGGGAGGTAAGGCAGCAGGAATGACACCCCAAATCACCCACTGAACTAAAGGCACGATGGCCCCCCACTGCTCACAGCAACCAAGCTGGCCAGAGTGAATGATGAATGCCAGAGTGAATGACAGATGCCACTCTAGATCTGCTACCAACTCTGTGTCCAGAAACCAGACATTATGGTCAACCCTATCCTCCTACAGCCAGAATGGACTTGCTGCAGTCTCTTTCCTTTGGACAGCCAGCTTCTGGAACAAAGCCTTGAGCATCTGCTTCTGACTGGCTGAGCCTGGGTTATGATGCCCTAGTTCCATGCCCTGGGTTGGGGACACAGCACCTGGCAGGCAGGAGGTGGGCTGTGCCTCAAACAGTGAGAGATTCCTCCAAGTTAGGAAGCGATTAAGATCGTATTTTAACAGAAGGATAAATACCCACTGCAAGGAGAAAATGGTTCTCCCAACACTTTGAAGTGTGATAAAAAATTTTATTATGTTTTCATTGTAGGACCTACAGCTATTAACACTTGTACAGTTCTTTGCAGTTTGCAAATGTTTTCACATACATTCTCACCTAATTCTAAGAATATTATGTCTATAGTTTACAGGATCTTCCAAAATTTACACCTCACAACAACTTTATGAGTCAGAACTATCCCCATATTATAGACAAGAAAATTGTGGGGAAGAGAGGCAAAGTGACTCACCAAAATTCCCAGAGCTTTTAAGAGGTGGCCTCAAAAGACAAACCCGGGCCAGGCTGTGTCACATCCCTGTGACATCACCAAACTCTTAGTAATGACTTCCAGTGAAATTGTTAGCATTTATTCTTCTCTATCGCAATCTGACCAAGAACCAAAAATTCATAGATTTCTGTCTCCCTTTGATAATTTTTCTAGACAGCTTTTCTCAGTCTTTTGAGGATTGTCCCAAGCAGACACAAGGGCCAAAAATCTATGAGCAGTTAGAGTTCTGGACAGAGCTGCAAATTTGTATCTTATACTCTCAGGCAATACAGATTACCCGATTCAAGTTAATTGTGGGTGAGATGGTGGCTCTAATAGAAGGCTGGTGAGTTAATTGTAAAAAAATGTGAAGTATGGAATAGGTTTCCAGGCAATTAAGCCTGCAAAGTAAGTTGGTGATACAGGACACTGCTGAGCCCCAACTATGAAAGAAAACCAACCGAGATGATTGCCTGGGACTCACTACAGCCTCCCCAAGAAGTGTTTCTGCAAGGGCACCTGGAAAAGGGATGGAGATCTGCGAAGTGTCAGGGAGGAGTTGCCGCTCTGGATGCAAATAACTGGCCTCAGCACATTCCAAGAGAGAAAGTGGAAAAAAGGAAAAGTGTGACGCTATGTCAAAAGAAGGCATCGGCCCAGCAAGCTCTCCCCTGCTGCTTAATACAGGAAATATCTCCCAAACATCTCCGCTAATCCTCCACCAATACAATGAGAAATGAGCACCTCTGGCAGCTAAGCAGTTATTAAGCTAGGACAAAAAAATATTCCGCCCATAGCAACAGAGCCAAAGATAACAGCAGGGAATAGCCAAGCTGCGGAGAAATGGCAGATAGAAAACATTCAGTCTTGGGAGTCCCCCAAAGCAACTGACGTGTGAGTAAAAGAAAGGGCCTCATTTTGCCCAAGAAGCTCAGCGGTGGATTGTAAATGTCAGGACTCAGTGTTTAGCCACGGCCATGCTGAACTCAGCTGCATGAACTAGAGTCATAGGTTGTAGAAATGACAGGCAGTCCTGAAATTGGGCAGCACTTGAGGCTTTTTGAGCTGGTCACCGGCCTGTTGATGAAACATACATGCGAGGCAGGAGAATACCAAAACTGCATTCCACATTTGCAACACAGAGATTCTTGAACACTGTTCCTGGATAAAGACTTCAGGGATAGAGGGAGATTTGCTTTCCAGTCAAGATTTCTCCAAAATACTTCCTTTCTTATTAAAGGAAGTATTAAACTCTCCCAATGTTTTTCCTAGTTCTCTGTCCATGCTGGGAGGGAACCTTTCCTAGGTATACAGTCTCTCACCATTACCTTGTAGCTACTGATTGTCTTCATTCAAGAGGAGCAATTTCATCTGCCATTTAAGAAAGAGGTGGGTTCCTGCCTCAGGCTTTTGTAGACAGCAGCAGAGGCAGCTGGTGAGAGGCGGAGCCAGGGCCCAGACTCAGGGGAAAATGAACTCAAAAATTAACTTTCTATAACCTTTTACTATTTAAAAAATACTTATGTGTTCTTTGAGCAAACTTGTTAGAGAGTAATAGAATTTTACTGTTTAAAGGACTTTGGAGGTAATCCAACAGGTTTATTTTACAGAAGGGAAGCCGAGGCTGGAAGTATAAAATTATTTCTTCAAGATGGGCCTAGACCCATTCTCCTGCCTCTGGGTCAGTGCTTCTTCCATTCACTGCCTCATCCTACCTAGACCCCGCCTTGATCTGGGAAATATGGACACCAGATGGTTTTTATGTTAGAGTTCTTTTAGGAAGAAAGTAAAAAATATTCCACATCTTGGCAAACTCTACCAATTTTATGGCTTCATTGGCCCGTAGCAAAATTATCCAAGTTCCTTTAATTTATCCTTGCAAAGTTTTAGAATTTTTATTAATTTTAATTTTTAAAAATTATCCCAGTGTAGTTCTGTATGGAAGTGAAATGTCGGCTGTTCACGTTAATTCCAAATCCACCCACTTCTGTCCCCGTGCGAGCACTCTCCCTGATCACCCCTCTTTTCTTCCTCCTCTGAGAGGAATTGTCCATAGGATGACAAAACTGTAGGCTGGAAAATACAACGTACTATTCATTGCTGGTTGACTGATACACCACAAATGACCCTCAAACCACCTGACTCCACCTATGCTCTCCAAATGGAAACTGAACCAACCTGCTTTGGCCCCATAGTGAAGATCCCACCAGGTCTTCCCTGCACATACTGAAGAATGTAGGCTGTGGACCATGAGCAAATTACATATTCTCCTTCACCTCAGTTTCCTCATCTGTAAAACAGGGATTAAATAGCACCTCCTTCAAGGGTAATGAGGGGTAAAGGAAGATTTAATGGGACAATCCATTTAAAGGGTCTCAGAAGACTGGCACATAGTAAATGGTAACTATCATTATTCCTGCAACTACTGAACTCCAAAAAAAAAAAAAAAAAAAAAAAGGAAAAAAATGGGAACATTAAATTCTTGCAAACAGCCTGGTCCATTCTTACCTTTAAGGATATTGACTTATCTCCAGATTTCAAATTGTTAGGGATAAGTGTATAAACTTTTAATCAGTTGCTTTCCCTCAAACTCCAATTTCAACCTTGTGTGCATGGAAAGGGGCCAGCAAGTATGCTGAGAGTATTTCTCTCCCTTTACTTAAACCCTAGGAACGCTCCGATTTCTCCACTCATCTGGATCAATGTGTAGAAACATCTCTTCACCCTTAAGTGTAAGTTTAGCCAAGACTTCCATTAACATTTTTCAAGAGGATAACACAGACACACACACACACACACACACACACACACACACACACACACGAACCTGGAAATAACTGAGCAAAAGTAGTTCAAGTTTCTTAGATTATACTCACCAATTATTGGTTGCCACCGCTCAAAAAGTACCCTGCCCTTACCTTGCCGTCCTTGACACAACCTGCTTAAATGGCAAAGTCTTATAACCCATGGCAGGCTTGGGCTGGCCCAGCTGCCGAGTGTGGTAGGAATTCTAACCCTCCCGCTGGACTCTTTCCCGAAGCCCTTTCTCCAGCTGGGGGCTGTCATCCGTCGTCTCAGACCTGGACTCCCAAGCCTCCCCTGTCCTGGTCCCTCAGGTGAGTGGGACACTTTCTGACTGTCTCTGGGCTTTAGGCTAGCCCCTCCCTTTACCTCTCTCCTGGAGATTTCCATGGTTCCAGTTCTACCTTTGCTGTTGATTCTTTCTTCTCTGCCTGTTTTACTGCTGTGCAGTTTTATTTGGCAGAAGCATGTACATCAGCTGAAGTTAACACTGGTTCTACCCTTCTCTACAGTTCCTAGTCTTCATCCATCTCTTAACATGGCATTTGGGTCTGGCCTTTGTGACAGCCGCTTCTTTCTCTAGGGTTGCTTGTCTTACATCACTGCCTTTCAAACCTTGAGTTTCCATTAGGACCACCCATTGGGTTCTTGTTTCCTGTGACCTAATTTGTTGTGAGCTAATCTGCCGGGAGCTGATTTGCTTAACAGAAATGATTGATACCTCCTTTGTCCAATAACTGTTCAAGCCTCTCCTGCTTCTGTTTTTAGCACTCCCCCTTCCTCAAATTCCCTTTGTTGACTCATTCCTCTAGAGGCTTTAAGGATCTTCCAGAATTCTGACATCAGTTTAGCAGAATCAAACACATTATGCATATACTATATTTTCCACATATAGTAGATGGAAAAAGACACCATTTGCAAGTAAAGAATCACATTTCTTGCGGCTAGGAAGCACTTGGTTAGACAAGAGAGGTGATTTATTTACTTCTTCTATGGTTGCTGAGGCAATGGATAGGAAATGTCTCTGCCTCAGGCAATCCCAATGAATTTTTGCTTCCAGTTGTAACCAGTTTGCTGACAGAGCAATAGGCCAGGCTCCCAATATTGTTCAGGCCATGGCATATGTAGAAAGTCATAATTGTATTATGGCCAAAGAGATCCAGATATGTTCACTTCCGGGGCTCTGCCTTCTCCAGACCCCACACAGTTATGTTGAGAGCTGAGGGAATTACTATCTCAGCACATCCTCAACTCATCCTGCTCGGGCCCAGGGCTAGGGAAGCACTGCATGAGGTTTCCAGTAGGAGTAACTTAATTTTCTGTTTACCCCACTGCCCTTCAAACCTTCTCTATGCAATCTTCTTTCTCCATGTCTGGAAGAAGTCCTGGCAGCTCCCTTTGCTTTCCTAGGTACGTTTGGGGATGATCTTATTTTCTATTTAGCTTAAATCAAAATGCAATTCTCACCCATTTCAAAGCTTCTCCCCTTCCCAACAGTTCAATCCCAGCCTCAGAAACTTGCAGCAGGAAATAGGATGGGCTGTCTTTCTCTCCTTGCCCCTGCCCCCACCTTCCTGCTGTGACCTCCTGGTTGGAGGCCAGGTAGTGAGTGCCAAGGGCTTACTTGGCCATTGCCCTCCATATTTGGGGTTGCTGATGTCTGTGTAGCAGACATCCCAGTGCTGGCTCTTTCTCACCTGGGGCAGCAGTGCACCCCATTCAGCCTTTCTGCCAGGGTTGCCTCATTTGACCCAAGCTTTGCTATCTTCTGTGCTTACCCCTCAGCCAAAGGGAAAGCTTAGTCATGCTGCCTCACTGGTCGAAATGCAAGTGGGTCCTTCAGCCTTTTCACCCCTTGCCTTTCCATCACAGGCGGCAGGTATTTCGACTTCTGCACATGAAGGGAGGCCCCAGTCTTTGAATCCAGAAACACAGGACAAGCTCTTCAAAGGTCACTCCAGGCCCCTGATAGCCCTGGGGCTGTGTGTTCCCTGTGCTCAAAGCCCTTCAGCTGACTGAAGCCAATCTCATACATGTATCAGGATCAAGAGAAGAAACTGGGATTATATGAAGTCAGGTCGCTCACGAGGTTCAGTACTTTTTTGTCTATTTAATTTTTAAGAATTAAAACCAAGCTCTTATTTAAACTAGCAGCAATACTTATTGGCAGCTGCAATTAATATTCACAGGAGCCTATTATTGAAGACACGGTTCCGTTGCTTCTGACATCACTGCCCAAGTCTGTTTGGAATCTGGAGCAGCTCTCCTGGAGATGTTTCAGCCATCCTGGAGTTCAGAGACTCTCCTCACACAAAACTTTTCCCAGAGTCCAGGCTCGGCCTTTTACTACGATTTGTGCCCTGGATTCTGCAGCCTGTCTTATAACACATCATCAGAGTCCCTCAAGATTCTCAAATGATTACATTTCAAATGAGAGAATTTTAATGCCTTCCAGGAAAATGTAGATGTTTTTCTTAGACATACTCAGCAAATCCCATGCAATATATTGAATGACCTGCATGAAAATGTTTGGGCGGACATTTCCTCAGAGGGCAGGCTGCCACATTCCTTTCCCATGAGCACAGCTTTCTAGGTGGCACAGAGAGGTAATGCCCAGCCTTCTGTCTCCTGAGGCCGGGTTTTCTCCCATTGACACCCATAGCTGCTGCGAGCATGCAGCATGAGCACCCAAGATCATTGAGGCAGAACTGGTGCCAGCGGCCAGGGCATTGGAGGAATTACACTTTTACCTTCTCCCTGGATCTCCTGCACTGTGACTGTTTTGAAAATGTTACAGAGCCGGCTGCCCACTATATACAGAGGTGGAAAAACACAAAGGAAGAAAATAAAAACAACAAAAACCTTTAAAATCACAAACAAACAAAAAATCCAATCACCGCCCATTACCCAGATCTGGGGGCAAATTCCTTCACCAGATTTTGTACTGTGAGTGATGTTAGAGCAGAATGTTCTACTAGAGGCTATTAAAAGCATTGAGAATATCATAGAAATGGAATCATACAGTATATATCCTTTGAAGACCAGCTTCTTTCACTCAGCATGTCTTTGAGGTTCATTTGAATTGTTGTGTGTATCAATATAGCTTGTTCCTTCTTATATCTGGGTAATATTTCATGGTATCATGCTACAGTTTGCTCTTTCATTTACATGTTGAAGGACATTAGGGTTAATTGCAGTTTTTGGCAATTCTGAATACAGCTGCTATAAACATTATGTATGAGTATTTGTGTTCACACATTTTTTTGTGTGTGGTGAAGTATTTCTCAACCTTAGCACCACTGATATTTTGGGCAGGATGATTATTTGTTGGCAGGGGTGTGGGATTTGTCCTGTGCATTGTGGAATGTTTAGCACCAACATTAGATGCTTCCCCATTTGTGACAAAGAAAAATATTTCCAGACATAGCCCTGGGAGACAAAATTACTTCCAGCTGCAATTCTCTGCTCTCAGGTAGGTACCCAGGAGTGGAATTGCTGCTGAGTCACCTGATAAGTGTATGTTTGATTTTATAAGAAATAGCCAAACTATTTTCCAGAGTGTCTGAACCATTTTGCATTCCCATCAGCATTGTTGCTGCACATTCTCGTCAGCACTTGGTATTCTCATTTTTTTTCTTAGCAATTCTAATAGTTGTGTAGTGATTTCTCATTGTGCTTTTAATTGCATTTCCCTAATGGCTAATGACATTGAACTTCCTTTTGAATGCTTATTTGCCAGCTTTATATCCTCTGGAAAAACGTCTATTCAAATACTTTGCCATTTTCAATTAGATTGTTGATTTTCTTATTGTTGAAGCTTTTTACATATTCTGGATACGAGCCTTTCTTGCATAAGTGATTTGCAAATATTTTGTCCCAGTGTATAACTTGTCTTTTTAGTTTCTTAAGATTGTTTTATGCAGAGCAAAGTTTGTGTGTGTGTGTGTGTGTGTGTGTGTGTGTGCACCCCCATCCATGTGTGTGTGTTTTCCAAGGTAACCAGTTTTAGGTTCGCATGCATAAACGGTAATTTTGGACAGGAGACTGAGGTGCAGGATGAATCTCCTCAAAAAGAGTCTCCCCTTCAGCAGTCCAGGGATGCAGAATGTGTCCGGTCTCTCTCCTCCCCAGATAGAAGGAAAATATGCACATCAGTGCACACCAATGGTCAGAAAACCCCCAGGAACCCATGCAGGTGGGAAGTGAGGGGGATAGCTCCTTATCAGTTGGGGAAAGAGAAAAATGGACCTCACAGAAGTCATGATAGGGCAGAAGTAGCAAGATTGCAGTTTTCCATGAATATGAGGGCAGGGCAGGCCGGTGGACCCTAGGGCAAGAGGGACTTTGACACTCAGGTGGTAAAAGACGTAATTGTTCTCATAGTGGCATTGCCCTTTATCATCAAATGTCAGCAAACAGAGCAGGTTGATCTGTCTCCTTCATGGCTGTAGCTTCCATCTTGACCTCAGTGGCCCAGGGCCATCATGGCCAGAGTGCTCACGAGAGGGCAGACCTTGATGGTCATGGCCTCAGTGACCAGGGACATCATGAGGCTTGGGGTCACAGCATCCCCCATGTCCAGGACCTTCATGAAAAATCTTCACTGCCCCCACTTATGCCACCACCAGTACTTTCATGAAAGAGATGCTTATTGGTGATGATGCCCACCAACTCTAACAATGATCCCACCAGAATTTCTTCATCCATTTAGGGGTCCTACTCCAGAGAGACTTCCTCTGGCCCCTCAGAGTGGAGGAGGTGGGAAAGGTTCATTTTCTTTTTGGCCACCACAGGCTTTATGGTATGATCCAGGAATTGGTTCTTGACTCTCCCCTCAATATTAGGCCACCCTGCATGGGGTCACCTGGGCTATCCCAGAAGGGGTCATCTTTCACTGGAGGGATTGGGGGACCCAGAAGATGTGGATCAACTGCCCATCAGGGTCTCCAGAGCCTCCATAGAAACCAGGTATAGGTCGCCAGTGCCAGGGGGAAAATGTCTTTGGACCTCCCAGGGCCTCCTGGTAGGAAACGACGGACTATTCAACCAGGACCTCAGAGGTTAGGTGGCAAGAGCAATCAGTCATCTTATCTGAATAGTCTGGTTGTTTTAGAAGTTATTTTGAGGGCTGACTGTTTGGGCTACCCATGATGAAAGTAAGGCTCTCCTGGACATTGATGCCTTCTTCTTCAGATCTCAATAAACCCTTCCAGGTACCTATGCTTCCCAGAAGATTGGCCAAAACAGGAGGCAACTTAGAACTGTCTGCCCCATCAGGCCACCTGATCCCTCAGGCTCCAGGATCTTAACATATGGGTCTTATTCGTGGAACGCTCCTCATCTAGGAGGTTGAGCTCATAGGGTATGGGTTCATAGGGGTCAGGATCAGTTCATGAGGACTCACCTTGTCCAGGAAGAGCTTCTGAAAAATTCCTTCCTCCCACCTCAGGTTACATGTTTCACTCCTGGCTGTTGCTTCCTGAAGTGACAAGAGGTGACGAGAGCAGACCCAGGGACTAGGGGCACATTCAGGGCACCTTTACCTTTATGTTGTCATGACTCAGACACTGGCCCATTTCAAATGCAGGTTGGTCTGACAGTGTCTCTCAGACCCCTAGCCAAACTCCTTGATCTTATTCACATTTCTTTGTTTGGATCCATCTACTTCAAAATATAAATATTCTCTCAGTTTGTTCCTGCCATGTCACAATTGCCTTCTTCCAGTTTTTATTAATCCGTTGGCTAGGATCTTCAGGATTCTCTACTGGCTTAGCATCCAGAGCCCCTGACACCAAAGAAGCTACACCCATGAGCTCTGAGACTTCAACAGGGAGTAATGGGGTCCCTTGACAGTCTTTGTCTGCAGCCTCAGAAGGAGGTGCTGATCCTGGGAAAGAAATTTTGGCTGTGCTTGGTTCTATGCATGCTTTTCCTTCGACGGGGCTTGACTTGGCAACTGGGAGTGACAGCACCTTCTTAATTTTGAGTTTGCAGATTAGTTCTTCTGCTTAAGTCTGCTGTTGAGGCTCTCTATCACATTTTTCATTTCATTCATTGTATTGCTGAGCTCCAGAATTTCTGTTTAGTTCTTTTCTATTATTTCTCTTTGGTGAAGTTTTCATTTTGTTCATGCATTTTTTTTTTCTGATTTTGTTGAGTTGTCTATCTGTGTTCTCTTTTAGCTTGCTGAATTTCTTTGAAAACATTTATCTTAAATCCTTTGTCAGGCAATTTGTAGATTTCTATTTCTTTGGAATTTGTAACTGAAAATTATTGTATTCCTTTCATGGTATTATGTTTTCTTGATTTTTGTGTTCCTTGTAGTCTTGCATCTGTCTGTGCATTTGAAGGAGCAGTCACCTGTCCTAGACTTTATAGACTGGCTTTGGTGGGAAAAGACATTCTTCTGTGGATGGGTGTGAAGGCACGAGCTGCGTGAAGCATGGCAGCTCTGGTTCAGGGGGTGGTTGTAGGGTCACCTCCTGCTTTGAGGGGTGTGATAGCATAGACTCTGGTCAACTTCATCAGCTAAGATTGGTGTCAGTGAGGCCAAGGCTGTAGGTATTTTAGTGGTGGTGAGGGCTGCTTGAGTACTCAATCATGAAGGGTGCTGTGGTCCTCCTATTCTCTTTCCCCCTCTAGGGGGAAGTCATGGCTGAGGGGATATCTCTTGGTTCCAAGGTCAGGGCATGTGTGCGGTGGTGCTGGGGTTAGGGGGTGGATTCAGCCCTGGGAACATGGGGTAGGGGGCAGTGGCACCTCATTCCCTGGAGGGGGAGTAGTGGTATGGACTCTGGGCAAATCCATCAGCTGGTTTCACTGTCAGCAAAGAATGCAGAGATCCTTGGTGGCAAAAACTGTGGGTGTGGGCTGGGCACGGTGGCTCACGCCTGTAATCCCAGCACTTTGGGAGGCTGAGGTGGGCAGATCATGGGGTCAGGAGTTTGAGACCAGCCTGGCCAACATAGTGAAACTCTGTCTCTACTAAAAAAACTACAAAAATTAGCCAGGCATGGTGGCACGAGCCTGTAGTCCCAGCTACTCGGGAGGCTGAGGCAGGAGAATCACTTGAACCTGGGAGGCAGAGGTTGCAGTGACCCGAGATTGCTTCACTGCACTCCAGCCTGGCAGCAGAGCGAGACTCCGTCTCAAAAAAAAAAAAAAAAGCTGTGGGTGTCCACAGTGGTGGTGAGGGCTTCTGGGGTCCTTGTTGGGGAAGGCTGCTGGGCTCCTCTTGCTCTTCTTTTCCCTCATGGGGAAGGTCATGACTGAAGGAATCTCTTTTGGTGCTGAGCTGTGTTGAACTGGGGGATGAGATGATATAAGTAAAATGTTTTCTATGCTTTTTGATGTGGCCACGCTCAGTTTTATTTTTTTTTATTTGATTTGATTTTATTTTTTTTTGATGGGGTCTTGCACTATCACCCGGGCTGCCATGATCTCAGCTCACTGCAACCTCCACCTCCCAGGTTGAAGCGATTCTCCTGCCTCAGCCTCCCGAGTAGCTGGGACTACAGGCACCAGCCACCACGCCCAGCTAATTTTTGTATATTTAGTAGAGACGGGGTTTCACCATGTTGGCCAGGATGGTCTCAAACTCCTGACCTCGTGATTTGCCTGCCTTGGCCTCCCAAAGTGGTGGGATTACAGGCGTGAGCCACCACACCCGGCCCACGCTCAGTTTTTGTACTCCAGTGGTTTGCTGTGGCTTTTTTGTTGTTATATTCCAGAGCTCTCTTAGAGATATTTTAGTGAGTAGGTAGTTGTTTAATCATCATTTTTATGGGGGCAATAGAATTGGGACCTTCTACTCTGCCATGTTTCTGACATCATTTTTAGATGTCCTCTTTTGACCCATGAATTACTTGGAAGTCATTTTTACATTTCCAAGTATTTGGAGGTTTTTCCTGTTGCCTTGTATTGTTGGTTTCTAGTTAGTTCCATTATGATCTGAGAACATTCTTTGTATGATTTCAGTTCTTTCCAATTTGTTATTTTAAATTTATAATCCAGAATAGTGCCTGTCCTGGTGAGTGTTTTATGGCACTTGAAAATCAATATTCTGCTGTTGCTGGGTGAGTATTCTATAAATATCAATTAGATTCAGTAGGTTGGCTGTGTTATTCTGTTCTTATCTGCTCAATTTACATATCACTGAGAAAGCAGTGCTTCTTTTCCTTAACAAGGAACTTAATTCTGCTTCTGCCACCTGCCTGGGATCATTAGCAGTATGGTACTACTTCAATCCAGTATCTCAGATGAGATGGTTTGAAGCTAAGATCTAATTCTTCTGAAGCCTGTATACTTCTGTTTAATCATACTTCTAAGGGTGTGGTGTACCAGTTATTCAATCCTTATCAACCTCCAGTTTCTTTCTTCCTGCACTAATGAGATTGTCAATAGATATTTTGACTATTTAGACTCAGGAATGGGAAATGCCCATAAGGCAAGAGTGCCCACTAGGTAGATGTCACTTCGATTGATCTCTGTTCTCCCCTGTGTAGTGACTGGTAATTCTTCAAGTGATTCTCCTGCCTCAGCCTCCCGAGTAGCTGGGACTACAGGCTACAACTTTTAGCTCTCCAGTACCTTCAAGCATATGCTTTTACTTATTTTTGCTTTCAGTTTTCTAGCTGGTCTCAACTAAAGGATTAATCTGTATTATTAAGTCAGGGATCACTAGAAGCAAAAATATTGTTTTTAGAATTAAAACAAAATCAGCAAGATCCCATCTCTCCCTTAAAAAAAGAATAATCTCTTGTGGGATACAGTAAAAAGAAACAACATGAAGACTGTTAGGATAAAGTTATGAAGAGGATATTATGTGAGCACATATAAAAGATATTAATCCAGTTTAGGGTATAAAGTCTACATAGAAAAGGTATGAGGTATAGCCTTGAAGGACAAATGAGATTATCTTGATGAATATACAGAAGAATGTCTGTGAAGTGGAGTAGCATGTGCAAGCACATATGGGCAAGACGAAGCGTTATAGGTTCAGGAAACACAGACAGTTTATCCATTTTACTAATTAATTGAGTTAATTAATTGATTCAGTGAGCCAGTTACAATTGAACATCTAGTATGTCAGATAATGTTGGATATATGAAAATGAACAAAAGCAGATACAGAATGACCAAGATGTAGTACTAGGGAGTGGATTTACCCTCCTTGCTAGAACAACTAATAAACTGGACAAAATATATAAAGCAATATTTTTTTCAGATATTGGAAATATGGCAGCATAGGATAATGATCTCTGAGACGGGGGAAAAAAGAGGGCTCTGTGTTTTCCCCAGATTAATTTTTGAGAAGTTTCTAGACTGTAATGAAGGGAGAAAGGGTGACCCAAGCAAGCCCAGTAATCACCCTGATTTAAGAAGAAGAAATTGAGAGTCTGAGGAAACCACTATGGCTAGAGTTCATGGGATAGAGTACTAAAGAGGAGATAGCTGCTGAGAGATGAGAGAAAGAGATCTTCAGAGATATTCAGAAGGTTCTCTCAAGTATTCAGCTGAGAGCTGCTCAGCACCTGCATGTGACAAATCTATTGGATGCTGGGGAAAGAACTACCTGAAAGGAGCAGGGAAACAAAACCTAGGGCACACATAGAGCTGGGAATAGATTGTGTTCCCACCAACAGAGAAGAAAACTTCATACTATAATTCAAAGGCATAAAAGCATTCAGAACAGTGATGCTTATTGCCTCAGCGGTGTGAAAGAACTGGCCCTAGACTAAAGGCTTGTCTGGTCCTGCGTAACAAAGCTTAAAAGAAATTTTAAGAGAAAAAACTGCCTCCAAGTAACCTAACTATGTCACAAAACAATGCTTCTACTTAAAAAAGTAGAAAAGGAGGAGCAAATTTAACGTAAAGTATAAGCAATGAAATAATAAGGATCAGAGTAGAAATAAAGGAAATATAAAAGAGAAAAACAATAAACTCAGTAAGACAAAAAATTTCCTTTTTTGAATAGATCAGTAAAAGAGAGAAGACACAAATTAACAGTATCAGGAATGAGAGGGAGTGACACCACCACAGCTTTTATAGATATTGAAAGTGCAAAAGGAATTTTTATAAACCACTTGATGCAAATCAATTTGAAAACTCAGATAAAATAGACAAATTACTTAAAAAACACAAACTACAAAAGCCCACTCAAGAATAAATAGATAACGTAAATATTGCCACATCTATTGATGAAATTTAACTTGCAGTTAAAAACCTTTCCAAAAGCAAGGCACATATGGTTCCTGCGTGGATTTCTATCATATATTAAATGAAGAAATAATAATTTTGCAAAAACTCATCTAGAAAATTGAAGAGAAAAAACTTTCCAACTCAGTGTATGAGCCCAAAGACTTTAAAAGAAAAATACTAACCAATATACTTCAAGAATATAAATTCAAAATAATCTAAAATGTTTTCACTAAATCAAATTAAAAAATAAATGAAAATATTAATATACTGTTACCAAATATTATTTATATTAGGGTTGCAATGTTGAGTTAACATTAAAAAGTCAAACAATATAATTTACCTTATTAGTAAGCAGAAAAAGCTGTATGATCATCTCAATATATGCAGAAAATCACATGAAAAGTCTAACATCTATTCCTGGTAAAAATTTCCAACAAATTAAGAATAGAAGGGAACTTCCTCAATCTGAAAACAGATACCTACAAAAAGCCTACAATGAATGTAATTCTTACTGTTGAAAGACTGTATGCTTTTCCCCTAAGATCAGCAATAAAAAATGTCTAATCATACTGTACAGTACTGTACTGAAGGTTCTAGCCAATGCAATAAGACAAAAAAAAAGAAAGAATTAAAAGGCATTTAGATTGGAAAGGCAGAAGTCAAACAGCCTTAACACACAGATGACATAATTATATATGTAGAAAATCTTAGATATATGAAGACAGTAAATAAGCTACAAAATGCTGCATAAATGAATAAATTAGTTAAGCAAGATTGTTAAATCCAAGATCAGTATATAAAATTAATTACATACCCATATGCTAGCAATAGTCTTTGACATTAAATACTAAATTGTGATATTGGGCCTTTCCTGGTCTCCAGCCTGGTATATGTACATTTTTTTTCTTTCTTCTTTTATCCCCATATCATGTAATAAAAGTTATATTGGCTTTATATTAGAATGTTTGAATATTGCTAACTTTACTTCCTAGTATTTAAGTATTGTTAACTTTATATTATTAAGTTACTAATATTAGTAAAGTGACATCATTATTTAAGTTATGGAATATTGAGAAGAATAAATATCACCCCAAAATCTTGTGTCTTCTTCTGGGGAAAATGTTAATGTATTTTCATTTGTATGCAGAATACTTGTATCACGTTAGGATACAAGAATACAAGTATTCTTGTAATTGTGACCACACATTCTTGACATGTTATTGAATACTTGACATGTTTTTGACATATGTTGTTGACAGCAGACCTTCAACTGATGTCATTGTTATTGTATCTACCCCAAATTTATATGTTGAAGACCTAACCCTTAATATGATGGCATTAGGAAATGAGGTCTTTGAGATTAACTGGGCTTAGATAACGTCATGAGGGTGGATCCCCCATGATGAGATTAGTGCCTTTATAGAAGGGGAAGAGATACCAGAGCTTTCTCTCCTGCCATGTGAGGATACAGCAAGAAGGAAGCTGGCTGTCGGCAAGCTAGAAAGAGGGACCTCACCAGAGGAGGACAATGCTGGCCTTCTGATCTCAGACTTCCCAGCCTCTAGAGCTGTGAGAAATAAATGTCTCTTGCTTAGCCCACCCAGCCTATGGTTTTTTGTTATGGCAGCCTGAGCTTACCAAGACACCTGACTAGAACAAAAGACTGACCTCCCATAAGCAAGAATGAATTCTATCAGCAGACAGCCTTTGGACTAGAACCAGACATTGGCTCTCGCCTGGGTCTCTAGCCTACCAGCTCACCCTGCAGATTTTAGACGTGCCAGCCTCCATAATTGCATGAACCGATTTCTCAAAATAAATCTCTCTCTCTGTCTGTCTGTCTCTCTCTCTCTCTCTCTCAACATCCTATTGGTTTTGGTTCTCTGGAGAACTCTCACTACTGCAGTCACTTTGGAAAATAGTTTGGTGGTTTCTTAAAAAGTTAAACATCTACTCATCACATGACCTAGCCATTCCATTTACCTCAGGGAAGTAAAGCAAATGTCCACACAAGGACTGTCCATAGATGCTTATACCATCTTTATTTCTAATAGCCCCAAACTGGAAACACCCCAGATATTTATTAATGGGTAAATTGATAAATTGTGGCATATCCATGCAATGGAGCAGTACTCAGCAATAAGGGGGAAAAAACCATTGATATACACAACAGCATGGTGAATCTCAAGTAATTATACTGACTGAAAGAAGCCAGGAAAAAGAGTGCTCATGGCATGATTTATTTTATACACAATTCTAGAAAATGTAAACTTACCTATAGTGTCAGAAGCAGATCAGTGGTTGCCTGGATATGGGAGGAGGGACAGAGGTTACAAAAGAGCATGATGAAACTTGGAAATGATAGATGTGCTTATTATCTCGACTGTGGCAATGCTTTCGAATATGTCAAAGCTCATCCATTTGTACACTTAAATCTGTGCAGTTTATTGCATGTCAATTATACTCAGAAAAGCTGTAAATGCCCCCAAACAACAATGAAAACAAATCAGACACAGGCCATACCTTCTTGGTGTTCACTGTTTAGTGGGATCATTGCTAACATTTACAGGGAGCTTCCTATGTGCCAGGGAGAGCACTGTACAGCTCATTTCTTTTAACACACAGGGAGTATTATTATCTCCTTATTGTAGAGGAGGAAGGTGAAGTTAGCGAGTTAATTTTAGGCAACTTGCCTTAACTCACTAACTTCACCTTTCTAACCAGAGATGTGAGTCTCTGACTGCATAGCCATTCTCATATAGAGGTTAGTATAGGGGGAGAGCAAAGTATGAGGAGAGACAGGAGGGTAAATGAGCCTCAGGACAGAAGCCGAGGCCTGCATGCCAAGCTCGGGGCCAGACCTTCATCTTGCAAGTCCATGGCTTTGCCAAGGGCTGCCATCCATCAGTCAGATAAGATAGAATCAGCAAAAGTGGATCAAAAGAAAGGAAGGATAAAAGGATGGAGACAAGAAAAGGATGAAAGAAGGAAAGAAGAAGGGAAAGGAGAAAAGGAAAAGCTGTTTTATCTTCAGGGACTTTACATAATAATTTAAGCACAAAACAGCATACTTCTGGCTGCAGGGGACAAGTGGGTAGAGAGAAAACAGTCTCAAGGCTTGAGGCCTGGGTGGATGAGGCTGACTGGGTAAGGTTGGTTTGCTGAGTCTCGCCCTCATAGTACCTCCTACTTAGCCGTTCACATTGTTCATTTTCCATGTGTTAAGGATAGTGGGGAAAATTCACTCTGATGATGTACTGAGTCAGGAATGGCCTGTAATGCTGAGAGATGATAGGCAGAGTGGGAGTGGGGAAGGGGAAATCAGTCAGTGTTCCATGGAGTTTCCCTGGAAATGCTGAATGATACCTTGGGAAGAAAACCTTGTGTCCTCTGTGGTCATAACACAATGACACACAGATTAGGGATGCTCACCCACAATGGGTAATCCCACAGACCTCAGGCAGAATGACTCACACGGGGGCCAAACAGAGAAAATATCTCCATTATAGTATTTTATGATGGTTACACATTACAAATGTATTTAACTTACTGTAAATGTCATACGATTGCTCCCAAAAGGAATTCTTTACTTTTAGAAAAATGAATATACTTTTCTTTTTTTCTGAAGAGGCCAAAAGGTACAATCTGAATAATCAACTTAAGACAGAATGCTATGGCTTGAATGGGTCCCCCAAAATTCATCTGTTGAAGCTCTGATCACCAACGTGATGGTATGTGGAGAGGGGTCTTTGAGAGGTAATAGGTCATGAGGAAGGGGCCCTCACGATGGGATTAGTGCCCTGTAAAGAAGAGACACCAGATGACTTACTCTCTCCACCATGTGGGGCACAGAGAGAAGGTGGCCACACGCAAGCCAGGAAGCTCGCCCTCACCAGGAACCAAATCTGTGCAATCTTGGACTTCCAGTCTCCAGGACTGTGGGAAATAAATGTTGGTTGTTCAAGCCACCCAGTCTGTGGTATTTTGTTATGGCAGCCTGAGCTGACTAAGAAACAGAACTACTGCAATTAATTCTGGGAAGAATGAAAATGGAATAATTTCCAAACATCACAGCCCAACAAAGCTACAGAGAAGACAAAGTGACAAAGAAGAGATAAGTGTTCTAGTTGTAACTCTCCGACTAACATAACATGTGACTTTAGGCGAGGCTTCCCTTTTCTGGCTCTTAACTGTATTCAGCTATAATATAAGCTGGTTGGACTGAAATGTGTTGAGCCCCCCTCTAGTTCCTTCAGACTCTTCCCTTCTTTTTATTGTTGGTGGAGTTGTTATGAACTATAACTTTACCTAGCCTAAATAGGTGAATTATATTTGTTCAAAGAGACTGAACAATTAAACATTTAAAAAATTTATTTTTCTAATTGATCCATAATTATACATATTTATGGGGTACACAGTGGTGTTTTGATACATACAATGTATAGTGCGACCAGACCAAGGTATTTAGCACATCCATTATCTCAAATATTTATCATTTCTTTGTGTTAGAAACATTTAATACCCTCCTTCTAGATATTTAAAACCATATATTATTGTGAACTATAATCATCCTACAGTGGGATAGAACACTATAACTTACTTCTCCTATCTAGCTGTAACTTTGTATCCTGTAACAAATATCTTCCTATCCTTATTCCTCTACTTTTCCCAGCCTCTACTATCCTCTGTTCTACTTTTGACAGGAAAGTAAGTTCTTTCTTGAAAGTATGTTCTTTCTAAGAAATGTTATGAGATTAACATTTTCTTGGCTTCCACATATGAGTGAGAGCATGTGGTGCTTAATTTTGTTCTTGCACTTAACGTAATGTCCTCTAATTCCATCCACGTTGCTGTGAATGACAGATTTCCTTCCTTTTTATGGCTGAATAGTATTCCATTGTATATTTCACGTATTCTTTATCCATTAATCTGTTGTTGGATACCTAGGTTGGCTTGGCTACTGTGAACACTGCTGCAATAAACATGGGGGTGCAAATGTTTCCTCAAAATACTGATTTCCCTTCCTTTGGCTAGATTCCCAGTAATGGGATTGCTGGATTATCTGGTAGTTCTATTTGTAGTTTTTGAGGAACTTCCATATTGTTCTCCATAGTGGCTGTTCTAGTTTACATTCCCATCAGTAATGTATAAGAGTTCTCTTTTCTCCATATTCTCACCAGCATTTGTTATTTTTTGTCTTTTTGATAATAGCCATCCTAACTGGGGTGAGATGTTACCTCATTGTGGTTTTGGTTTGCATTTCCCTGATGATTAGTGATGTTGAACGTTTTTTCATGTATTTATTGGCCATCTGTATGTCTTCTTTTGAGAAATGTTTGTTCAGATCATTTGCCCATTTTATAATCACATTGTTTTTTGCTGTTGAGGTGTTTGAGTTCCTTGTACATTCTGGATATTAATCCCCTGCTGGATAAATAGTGTGCAAGTATCTTCTCCCATTCTGTAGGTTGATCTTTTCACTTTGTTGATTGTTTCCTTTGTTATGTAGAAGCTTTATAGCTTGATATAAACACATTTCTTTATTTTTTTGGTTTTGTTGCCTGTGCTTTTGATATCTTATTTGTAAAACTTTTTCTCAGGCCAATCTATGTTTTCGTCCAGTAATTTTGTAGTTTTGGATCTTACATTCAGATCTTTAATCCATTTTGAGTTGATTTTTGTATAGATGACAAGTGGGAGTCTAGTTTCATTCTTCTGTGTATGGATATCCAGTTTCCCCAGCACCATTTATTGAAGAGATTCTCCTTTCCCCAGTGAGTATTCTTGGCACCTCTGTCAAAAATTAGTTGACTATAGGATATGTGGATTAATTTCTGGGTTCTCTATTCTGTTCCATTGGTCTATATGTCTATTTTTATCCTAGTACCATGCTGTTTTAGATTCTCTATTTCTTTTTTCTTTTCTTTTTTTTTTTGAGACAGAGTCTTGCTCTGTCGCCCAGGCTGGAGTGCAATGGTGCGATCTCGGCTCACTGCAAGCTCCGCCTCCTGGGTTCACGCCACTCTCCTGCCTCAGCCTCCTGAGTAGCTGGGACTACAGTGCCCGCCACCATGCCCGGCTAATTTTGTGTATTTTTAGTAGAGATGGGGTTTCACCGTATTAGCCAGGATGGTCTCGATCTCTTGACCTCATGATCCGCCCACCTTGGCCTCCCAAAGTGCTGGGGTTACAGGCGTGAGCCACCGCACCTGGCCTGGATTCTGTATTTCTAAACAGTTCTCATTTATCTGCAAGTTATGCAATTTCTTAATTTCAATAACAAATTTTCCTAAACCTGGGGCTGACTGCTAGAGGTTTCTGGGGCTTTGGCACAATCATGAATGGTTAATACATTAAGTGCCTGAGGGCAGGTTTGGTTGCCAGACGGCTAGTTTTAAGTTTTTAAAGAACTAAAACACTAGGGCTGGTTCAGCAGTACCTGTACCTCTTCTGTCACTGAGAGCTGCTTGTGGTGAGCTCGTGCCAGCAACAGGTGTTCAGCCTCAACTGTCATCACAGGTAGGTGGGCAAGACCAATTAGGCAGTGCAAAATCATTAGTGTGTGTAATTATTCCAGCTTCCCTTTGAAAGGCTGGCCATGGGAGAGATAGATGGACAGTAGAGGGGTCTGGCTGTCTGGGTGGGTGGAGGAAGGTGGGAGTGTTTCATGGAATTTCACGGTCCCCTTGGCAAACATAACTTGAGCCATTAGACTGATCTCATCCATCTTGATGTTATTTCCCTCAGCAAGCAATAACCTCAGCTTTCCACGGCCTGTGGTTTCTGTGAGTTGGGAATGAATTCCCTCACTCTGAGTGAAGGTGTCCAACTGGAAACAGAAAAAGAAGAAGTATTTAGCCCATAAAGGCTTTTTGTCATCAGGGAGTGGCCATAATTTGGAGGAGTCCCATGGATAAAGGTCACTTTGGACACCAGTATAAGCTGGAGGGGCGATGAATCAGTCAGTCAGGCATTCTTAGAACTTATTAAGCATCCGCTGTGTACCAGGCCCTATACTAACTGTTTCATATACTGGAGATGAACAACTGTGGTTCTTATGTTCCAGGAATTTATATATTAACAAGAAGGATGAAAGCAGAAACTATTAGACTTAATAACATGGATTACAGGTCTTCGACCACCTTGGCTTATTTAAAGAAAACAGCAATTTCTTAAGGGTCAGCCATGTGTTATGTCTTAAGTATAACAGGCTTTGGGCATGCAGAGGAAAAAATGACCAATTTAAATGTTGGACAGTTGTGAAAAAGGGTTTACTGAGGAGATGACATTTAACTTTGGCCTTGAAGAGATAATAAGATTTTGAAAATATTTTAAGAAGTGAGTTGAAAAGGAAGGAAATTGCATGTATTCCATAAATAGTTATGGAGCATCTCCTCTGTGCAGCATGGTATAATATGCTTGAGATAAAATGTTCAGCCTATATAGCTGATAGTCTCTGTCTTCTTGGAATTTACATTCCAAAGAGGGAGGCAGATCCTATGGAATAAATGTCCAATTAATCATTTAACTACAATTCTGAGAGGTGCTACAAAGAAGCAAAGTCTGCTATGAGAGAAAATAACTGGGAGCCTGACTTGCTCTGTGTGGCCCGGATAAGCCTTAGGTCGATTCTCCAGGATAAGAAGGAATTAACCAGAATAAGATACTAGTTGTAGAGAGCATTCCAAACAGAGAAATTAGCATTTGCAAAGGCCCACAGTAGGCCAAGGAGGCAGCATTTTGCCTCTTTGGGATTTTAAGATTCTGAAGAGTATGCTTCTCTCTGATCTAATCACATTTCTAGGGCTCTGCCTCTCCCTAAATATACACTAGGAGACCTGGGTTCTAGATGCAGCCAAATCACTAAGCAGGTGCTAAGCGAAGATATTTCAGCTAGGAGTCTCTAATCATAAAATGACTTAAATAGATCATTCCCACAGCAGCTTATAGTGTTGTATATCTAAAATGGTTTTATAAACAGATGCCTAAGGAAGGATAGCTCCAAGTGCTTAGGTTGGTGCTTGCATTCTGTGAAATTTCTATGTTCAGATAAAAATTTTAAGTGGAATTCCTTTTTGTTTCCTAGCTTGACTCAGCAATAGGAAGCATTTTCAGGAATGCTTATGGTCATAAACTTTGCTTTGGTCTGATGATGTTAGTAGTGCTCCTATATCCTATATTCTGCTCCATCATTCCTTCCCTTCACCTGCAATCTAACGGTCATCTTAGTTTATTCTTAGACCTCCCAGATGTTCACCACTGCCCCCCTTCAAAAGACCTCCAGAAAAACTTGCTTATTAGAAAAAATCTGAGTTTGTCAGACTTACTGCAACATTAAAGAACACCGTCTATTTTTTTTTTTTTTTTGAGATGGGAGTCTTGCTCTGTCTCTCAGGCTGGAGTGCAGTGGCGCCATCTCAGCTCACTGCAACCTCTGCCTCCTGGGTTCAAGTGATTCTCCTGCCTCAGCCTCCTGAATAGCTGGTATTACAGGTGCCTGCCACCATGCCCAGCTAATTTTTGTATTTTTAGTAGAGACGGGGTTTCACCATGTTGGTCAGGCTGGTCTCGAACTCCTGACCTCGTGATTTCCCCCACCTCAGCCTCCCAAAGTGCTGGGATTACAGTCATGAGCCACTGCGCCCGGCCTGGAAGAACGCCATCTTGACAGAGTGTTCCCAGTATCTCAAAAAGGCTAAGTATGTTACAGGGTTTTAGAACTTGGACAGGGTGATGTTAAATCATGTCCTGAAAGGTAGAGAACCAGTTGAGATTGGGTAGAGTTGATGCATGTTAGCTTTGGGTTAATGAGACCAGTGAGGAGAGGTCTTGAAGTACGTCTTATTGAATAAGCTATTAGTCTTGTTAAGTAAGCTGTTTTTATTGGTTCACCATCTTATCTTTCAGGAACAAATATTTTCTGGAGCAAGTCACTAAGATTTGTTTTGCCTAGACACAGTCTTGTTTATTGATAAAAGTGGAGCATATATTTAGTCCCAGAACTATTTAGCATAAGTGTGAGAAAACATGTTGGTTTCATTTCTCACAGGTCAGTCAGCTAAAGGGGACACATATCTGTGTGGAAGGAAAATTATTTAATAAAACGAAAACTGAATAAAAATGAAAGCAAAGTAAAGTAATTAAGGCTACTGGTTTTTTCCAATTGTTCTTAGATTTTCAGCCTCCTTTTCGGATTCTTGCTGATTCTCCTTAGGCCTTACACCCAGTAAGCCCTAGGGGAAATGGGCTGAAAACCGTTGGGAGCTCTTACCTGAGTGAGTATCAGAGTCACCCACAGCTGTGGGGCACAGGCACTTTCTAAGTGTCTCCCCTTCCAGACATGTGTGGATCACCTCGGCAGGGCTCAGTGTGCTGGTGAAGGAGCTCCCAATGGGCTCCAGATGGAGAAACAGTGCCCTGAGTCTGCCAGCTGAGGTCAAAATGGAGACAAGGCCGGGCGCAGTGGCTCGTGCCTGGAGTCCCAGTACTTTGGGCAGCCACGGCTGGAGGATCACTTGTTGCCCAGGATTACCTGGCAACATATCGAGACCCTGTCTCCACGAAATAAAAACAAAAACCTGAGTGAGACTGGCCTGCGTTGCTGGAGAGGTGAAGAATGGAGTTGGGAGGGAAATGAGAGGCTGGACAGCTGGTGCAGCCTGAAAGTCTCTGTGCCTCTTTCATGGACTCTTTGCTTCCTGTAAACCAAAAATAAAATTATAAGCCCCCCACCCCCAACCATCCGAATGCCCTCTTTAGCCAGGGCACTCTAAGATTTAACCTGAAAGACTGGTTGAGGCTGCGACAGGAAGAGAGGGTTGGAAATGCCTCATTAAACCTCTCTAGCATTAAAGCAGACTTTCGGTCTGGCAAGAAACATGTACAATCTGTTCTCTCTGAAGGCTGCTACCTGGAGGCTTCATCTGCATGACAAAACTGTGGTCTCTACAACCTCTTATCAAAACCCAGACATTCCTTTCTATTGATTCCAGCTCTTTAGATAAACTCTTTCAACTAATTGCCAATCAGAGAAAGTTTAAATCTACCTATAACCTGGAAGCCCCCGTCCCCACCTTCAAGTTGTCCTACCTTTCTGGACCAAACCAATGTAAATCTTAAATGTATTTGATTGATGTCTCATGTCTCCCCAAAATGTATAAAGCCAAGCTGCACCCCACTCACCTTGGGCACATGTTCTCAGGATCTCCTGATGGCTATGTCACAGGCCATGGCCACTTATATTTGGCTCAGAATAAATCTTTTCGAACATTTTACAGAGTCTGACACTTCGTTGACACTCTTCTTCATGTCTAGCCACTTGCAGCCTTCAGTGAAGGACTGGATGCCATCACCTTAAAAACGAGGTTGTTGGCCGAGCGCGGTGGCTCACTCCTGTAATCCTAGCACTTTGGGAGGCCGAGGTGGGCAGGTCACCTGAGGTCGGGAGTTTGAGACCAGCCTGACCAACATGGAGAAACCCCGTCTCTACTAAAAATACAAAATTAGCCAGGCACGGAGGCGCATGCTTGTGATCCCAGCTACCTGGGAGGCTGAGGCAGGAGAATCACCTGAACCCAGGAGGCAGAGGTTGCGGTGAGCCGAGATCGTGCTATTGCACTCCGGCCTGGGCAACAAGAGTGAAACTCCATCTCAAAAAAAAAAAAAAAAAAAAAAAAAAAAAAAATGAGGTGGTCACCCTCCACAGACAATGGAAATGAGTCTGCAGGTTCCAAGACCGTTGTACTCCACAGTCATGCTCTGACTGTAAGATCTTCTACTAAAAACAAAATTCTGTGGACCTAAGCGACTAGCTGTGTACGAGGCTCTGGGAACACACAGTGAGCAGCACAAGCAGTCCTGCCTTGGGAGGCCTGGTCTAGAGGCTGCACGTAAAGACAAGGACAATGTGGCTTGAGAAGTTCGTTAAAAAGAAGCACAGAGGTCAGAACTCATGGGAACAGCATTTGATACAGACATGGGGCTAATGGGGCTGGGGGTAGGAAGAAGCCATATCAGACTATTTCTTTCAGAAAAAGTTGGACTTCATTTTCGAAATCTAACAAGTTCACTTGCATCCCTGTGACAATTGTCTCACTTCTGAATCCAAATTCTTAGCTGAGGCATAAATAGCCTTAGCCTGGGCTTGTCACCAGATGAAGTCCAATACCTTCACCTCCAGTATTTTCTAAGGAAAATATGTCCTTACGTCTCTGTCGGGGAATCTCCTTCAGGACAGATGAGTTCCAGAGGTGTCCCTGTGTGTGGCACCCAGGAGGTTTTCACAGTGCAAGAAATGTGCCTTTGGGAGATTCAGGATGGGTGAGAGGCACACAGTGTTTTTATAAAGCGGAAGTTGGCTGAGGGGAAGAAAAGAGTTCAGAAATGTGAACTACAGAAGCAGGTATATTATGAGGCAGAAATAATACACATCTAAGTTGAGAATCTGAACATTAATTCCCTTAAAACAGTCAATGCTTGACTAGTCCCTAGAAAAATTTTCATGGACCCCTATTTAAAGAATATTCATTTAAAAATAACTCTCATTTGCAAACTTAGCTGAGAAGCACTCCATTCATTCAGTATTTAGATTGCAGGAATCACCCCTCCCCCCAAGTTTACAGACCTCCCTTCTCTCCTTTCAAAAGAACATACATGTTTAGGCCAGAGTGGGCTGGGGCAAAGATGCCAAAGCCCACAGGCTGAATTCCCATTCCCCTCCTCCCACCCTGCACAGCTTCCCTCACCTGAACTGTGGAGACTTCTAAAGCAGGGGCACCACTCTGCCTCGGGGTTGGTCCTCTGGGGTAGGTAGTAAGGTTAATTGAGCCTCAGGCTGTTTCCATGACAACAAAACAAATGGTGTGGTTCATAGAATCACAGTTTTGCTACAGCTGAAAGAATTTCAACCTGTCCAACGCTTATTTTATAGGTATGGAAACTGAAGCCAGAGAGATGGGTGATTGATGTTCCCCACATTTCACAGCTTGTCAGTGGCAGAACTGGAGATGCGAGACAAGGCTCCTGATTTTCAAAACCAGGGCTGCACCTGCAGCAATGAAGTTATTTGACACACAGGGAGAGAACAAATGGGTGGACTGATTGTATTGTTCGCTTTTCACCTAGCTGCCCCACTGTCCTTTAGACGTGCCTGTGATTTCTTCATCTGGGAAACCAGATGACCATGTACATCTCAGGGATTTTCAGAGGAACCGCAGCTGCAGGTGACTGAATCACTCTCCTAAGAGTCAGTTTTTCACAACCTTGATCACCCCTCAAGTGGCCTCAGAGTCCCCAGGATTCCTACTGGGCTAGAGCTGGACAACGGTCGGAAATGCTTCTAATTATTCCAAATTACATATGCTTCAAAATGAAAACCCTGAGCAAAATCAGCTGCTTCTCTGGAGCTTTTTCATTTAATTTGGACTTAACTGCCCATTCCACACTTTGTACGTGCTGGAAATTCCAGAGGATCAGAGCAGGTCAGCCATGATCAACTCCCAATTAAAGACCCCCATCAGCTGCACCTGACCCAGATGTAAAACAGCCCTCCGTGATTCTGGGAGAGGCCAATACCTGTTGTCTCAGCCTGTTTATGCTGCTATAGCAAAATACCTTAGACTGGACAATTTACAGATAACATACATTTATTGCTGATAGTTCTGGAGGCGGGAAAGCCCAAGATCAAGGAACTGGCAGGTTCGGTGTCTGGTTTCGTCTCTGCTTCCAAGATGGCACCTTGTTGCTGTGTCCTCACATGGCCACAAGCACAAGGGTAAAAGGACTTAGCTTTCCCAGACCTTTTTTAGTTTTTTAATTTTTATTTTACTTTAAGTTCCAGCCTGTTCATAAGGTCACTAATCCTATTCACGAGGGATCCACCCTCATGACCTCCTAAAGGCCCTACTCTTAATACTATCACATTTGTGTTCAGGTTTCAGCATGAATTCTGGAGAGGACACACACATTCAAACCATAGTCTCTTGTTGAGTGGGACTTCAGAGTTGGAGAAAAACACATCCTCCTTGCTTGGACATCATCACCTTCCCATTCCTCTGTCTGAAAGGATCCTGAGATGTGCCTATAGACATCAGCATGATGGTACATCTGAAACCAAGCCTCCATGGAGCGTGCAGATGAATCAAGTCTAAAGAGCGAGGAAAAAACAGAAATGAGTAATTGGTGAATTTAGGAAGAATAGAGAGTTCATCAGGGTAATCAGAAACAGTTTTAACATCAAAATTAGCAATCTCATTTCCTGAGTCCATGGGTAATTATGTCTCATCATTTTAGAAATGCCTATAATAAATCTTTTAAAAATAAATTCCAGTAACTTTGGAGAAAAATAAGAACCCAAATGAATATGACAATTATCTAGAGTTTAAAAATATTAGGATGAGAAGGGATTTTTAGAAATCATCTGTAAAATGCAGATGATACACATACCACTTAGAATTTTGGTGAAGATGAAATGTTAGAATGAATGTGACCCACT
This sequence comes from Homo sapiens, assembly GCF_000001405.40. NCBI lineage: Eukaryota > Metazoa > Chordata > Mammalia > Primates > Hominidae > Homo > Homo sapiens. The sequence goes on from NC_000011.10 coordinate 130,808,583, forward strand.
TAGCCAGAGCCTTGTATATACTATTATTATTTCAGCAAATATGGTTTGATCACTTTATGGGCCAAGGAAAAATGTGAGGTCTGGAGAGACTGACTTGTCTGTGGTCAGAAAGCTGCCACTGAACAACCCAAGATTAACATCCTTTAGAGTGATGCCCAGTATGGAATCCTTTCTGCTTTGCACAGTTTCAACACCCAGCAAGTTTACATCAACATGTTGTAACTCAACCCCAAAACTCTAGAAAATGCTAAGGAAGATGAGACTTTCTCAAAGACTCCTGGTGCATTTCAGTCACTACACATTGTTTGAGGTTGCTGGAGGAATCACGGAAGGCTTTGTTTCCTCCAGAGACTTGGGCATTCACGTTGGTTAGGGGGCTGCTCAGGAGGGCCTTTGGGAAGGAGAATTGGGAAGAAGGTGGTTAAGGCTTATATGGTAAATGATGCCTTTTGAAAAGGACGTGATGAAGCCTTCTCTTTTACCCCAAATTTCCAGAAAACTCACCTACAGTGGATATTTACTTTGGCCTCTCTCAGAATCACTGGAGTCTGCTTCATATCAGAATTCTGAGGAGCCGATTAGGGAGAGAATATGAGTTGGCAAAGCATGGGGTTGGCTGGCCAGGTTTGTCCTACCAGAGTCTCCACGAGGGGCTCTTTAACAGAGAGAAGCAGAGGTAGACCACGCAACTCATGCACCTATTAAAACTTTCCTAATAACATATAAATCCTCTAACTTTTTTTTAGCTTGGAAAAAAAAGCTATTAAATACTTTGTTACTAAGGTATTCTATTAAATTCATTCTTTTAAATGTTGGTGTATCTTTCCCCCTCTATTCATTGGATTTGGCTATTTTTTTTATAGCTTTAGACAACCTTTCTATTCAAGTTTATGTTTAGCTGCTTTTTAAAATATATATTTTTTTATTCTTGTTTTTACCTCCTTCCCTCCTCCCTGGTACTGTCCTGGATTTTAAAGAACGTATTTTTGGGGAGGATTGGAAGAAAAGGCTGAGGCTAGAGCTTGCTCAGTCATACTTACCTAATCACGGCCATTCATCCTTCACAGCATTCCATTCCCTCTTTGCGTGTGTGTGGATGTGAGTCTATCTATATGTATGAAGGCTGAGATATATCAACTTTTGAAAAAAAGATGGGTAAATTATATGTATTTATAATTTTGTTATGAATTCCACATGATGGTATGAGAATATTTATTAGGAAGACTGCACCAACTTTGATAATCCAAGAAGGCATCTCTGATAAAATTGTATTTGAGCTGAGAAATGGAGGAGAGGCCTTAGGGAAGAAAGAGAGCATGTGAAAAGGCCCTGTGCCAGGAAGGAGCACAGATACAGCTAAAGAGTAGGAGGAAGTCCAGCAGATCTGTAGCACAGAAATTAAAGAAGAGAATGACTAAAGAGAAGATTGGTCTGTGAATTGGGGCTCGAGCAGGCAGGCCCTTCGGGGCTGTGATAATATTTTAAGCAACACAAGTTAAAAAAAAAACTGCAAATATTCTAATATTTATGACAAAAACCACAAGTCTGCACACACATTTTGTATTCACATACATGTATATAGATGCATCTGCAGGGGCCTGGGATTGAGGGGGCTTGTCAAGGAAGACTTAACTCTTAACCTTCTTTTTATTTTTTAAATTTTATTTTAAATAAATAAAATGTAAACATATAATTGAAAATAAATCATTTTAAGGGAAAACTTTTCTGTAAGTTTTTAAAAAGGCACCAATCACAGTCAATTGAAGGGGCTCCAGATGGGCTTTATGTAGGAGGCTGCATTTTCGCAAGACTTGAAAGCAGAAATGGGGCCAGGCATTGGCTAGTCATGAGCGAGTGTGTGGAGGTGGAGATTTTAGGACATTGTTGGGATATGGTGGGTGAGCCAGGATTTAGATACGTGAAGGGATATGGCTGGAGAGGATATGGCTGGAGAGGAGGCTTGAGGAGACCTTGGATTCAAGTTGTTTTTATTGTATTCCATGGACAAAGAAGAGTTTATTGAAGACTTTTGACCAAGGCAATGACATTATCATAGTTATGATTTGTGAATTCCAACCTGGCACAGGCATCTGAGATGATGTAAAAAGAAGCAAAACTCTAAATGGGAGAACTAGTGAAAGGTGAATGTAGCAATTTGGCTCAGATTTCCTGATGTCTTGCTCTCCATAGTACCAATAAAAATAAGAAAGCAAGAGAGACATTTGCAAATGGAGTTTAACAGTGCAGCAAATTTGGAAATCATAATTTTTTTTCTTTATGGAGTAATAAAACAGCCCCTTTGTACCATGTATATTGATGAGCCCACAGAGTCTGACTGTACAAACCAGCTTATAGAATTTTTCTTAGTCCATTTGGGCTGCTATGACTCAATACCTTATCCTGAGTAATTTATAAACAATGGAAATTTATTTCTCACAATTCTAGAGGGTGAGAAGTCTCAGATCAAGGCACTGGCAGTTACTTTGTGTGTGGTGAGACCTTATTCTCTGCTTCCAAGATGGTGCCTTGTTGCTGCGTCCTCACGTGGTGGAAGTTGAACGGCAGAAGGGGTGAACTCACTCCCTCAGGCCCTTTTATAAGAGTACTAATTTCATTCACGGGGCAGAGCCCCCATGGCCTAATTGAAGTGGTGTCGTTGTCTGGGGTAAATACCCAAGATTTGTTGTGTCATGGCCACAGAAAACTGGGTGCGGACACACCAGAGTGAGGTTAAGGGTGCAAGTTCAATACACAAAAGAAAGAGAAGAGCTCTCTGTGGCAGAGGGGTCTGGAGAAAATGTGTTGCCACTTCTGCAGTGAAATGCAGAAGGTTTTATAGAGGGGCTTGAGGAGGCGGTGTCTGATTTACATGGGACACGAAAGATTGGTTGGACCAGGTATGCCATTTACATAGTGTGTGAAAAGCTGGCCACCCCACTCTAATCTTTCATTATGCAGATGGGTTCTCTACCAGGCCAGTGCCATGTGGCCTGCCTCTTTACTGTCTGGTGTCAAAGAAAAGGGAAGATAGAGCCTCCATGTTGAACATACTTGGCTTCCAGGTAGCCCTTTTCTATTGACACGGCTGCCAGCATTCACCTGTGCAAGCTTCCAGCTTGCTTATCTATGTCTGCAGCTCAATTTTTCAGGCTGCTCTTTGCTAGAAAAGAAATGACTTGGGGGCTGCTTTTTGTTAAAGGGGAAACCTTGCTGAGGATGCTTTTGCCCACACTATCTGTGTAAATAATTTCTTTATTGTGTCATAATCACCTCCTAAATGACCCAACTCTTAAGACCATCACCGTGGGATTTAAGTTTCAACATATGAATTTTGAAGGACACATACATTCAAACCGTGTCAGAATTGTAAAACCAAGATAAGGTGGCCTCAAGTATGGGCCACATTTTAAAATTGCATGTATGTTATATCCACGAGGTCCAGCAGCATTATAGGAAGAAGCAAAGGAATCAAGCTATTACATTATTGAAAGCAAGAGGTAGCATTTCATACGCTTAGAGGTTCACCTAAAAACCAAAGCATCATACATAAAGGCGTCTGGTTATGTGAGGTGAGGCTGAAGTTTGATTTCACCATGTCTGCTTCTGGGGCCTTCCATCCACATGAACAGGGTGCCAAAAACTCCAAAAGAAGGCAAGTGAAAAACAATTGGGCAGAGCCTTATCTCCAATCAGTTGTGGAGAAGATGAGACCAAAGAGATCATTTTCTCTGGATGCCTCTCTACACTTCCTTAAGATTTAGGTCATCAAAGCCTTAGAGCTCCTTGTAGCATCTACTAAGAAATCCTTTGTGTGTGTGTTTGTCTGTGTGTGTGTGTGTGTGTGTGTGTGTGTGTGTGCCAACGTTAAGAAATACTTAAGTGAAAATTGTATAAGGTAGGTCCGTGAGAGATCGTATCAGTCATTGAATATTTTAAATAGAGGGAATTTAATGCAGGGAATAGGCTCACAGGGGCTGGATGAGCTGAGAAGCCAAATAGGGGTCAAGGAGGTAACCCAGAGATTGCAGCAGCAGGAAACCACTATCTCTTGTGCGGCTGGAGATAGAAAGAAGGGATGGCACTCTTAGATCCAGAGAACAGTCACCTTGAAGAAGCTGAAACCACTGCAAACCTGGAGCCAGGGAGGAAACACAGCCTGTGCCAGAGATGCCAGCCAAGGCAGAGAGGAAGGAGGGATACCTCCTCCTTCTCTCCTCCTGCCCTCCAGTCTCCTGCCAGGGTCCTCATGGCTGGACCGTCAGAGCCCAGCTGACAAGGGAGTTTGGGAAATACAGTCTGCAGGAGTTGGCCATGTGATACAGTGAAGATGGGAAACAGGGAAGAAAGGTGAGCTGGCAAACAGCCCCAGGACTGACATGGTATCATTATTTCATCTTGTTTAGCACAGTTTCACTAATTTGAGGTTTCCGTAGATTATTACTCCATCATTTCCTCCATTGTCAGGCTCTTCCTTTCTTTGCTTTTTTTTCCTTCTACTTCTGTTCATTTCATGATTTCTTGGCTAATGAGGAAGCAAAATCCTAGTTTTCTGGGACACAGGCTCACTTCTCTGTTTCTAGAGAGAACCAGCTTGTCTTAAACTAGAGAATGGATTAGAGGTAGAAAGGGTGAGAGTGTCCTCCGCTCCATGGAACCTGCGCTCACCCACTGATTAGGTGTATATCATATCAGGAGGTGAATGTAGACAATGAACCAGGGCAGGTGAGGAAGGAAAACAGATTAAGCAGAGGTGACTCACTAAAAACTGTTAAGATGAGACTGGCCTTCCCATTGGCCGCTCCTTCTCTAAGTATCAGGTGTCCTGTGCTCTTCTCTACTCTATAGCCCCCACGATCCCACAACAGAAACTCTGTTTCTACCAAACAGGCATGCAAGCAGACACAAGCAGTATCTATGCCTCGAGCAAAGACCACGAGCCGCTTATACCATCCTGCGGGTCTAGTTGAGTATTCCTCTCCCAGAGGTACTTGCATTTAAAATTTTATCTCAAGTTATGCAATGAAATGCCTCTATGAAGGAAATAATATGTGTAGGAAGTCTATTTCACCTCTCAAAGCATATCAGATGCTGGTCTGCTATTCTGCAGGGCAGGCCCTGGTTCTGAAGGGGGTCAGCTAAGACTGGGAGGACAGACAGAGTGAGAGGGAGGCTAGTGTGGACTACTGGGGAGCCGAGAGTCAGACAGCCTGGAGAGCTGTGCCCGGTGCTCAAAACCACACATTTGTCATGGTTAATGTTAGGTGTCAACTTGGCTGGATTAAGCAGATGCCCAGATAGCTGGTAAAGCATGACTTCTGGTGTGTCTGTGAATGTGATTCCAGTAGAGATTGCCATTTGAATCAGTGAACCAAGTAAGGAAGATCTGTCCCCACCCAGTGTGGGCGGGAATCATCCAATCAGCTGAGGGTTCAGATAAAACAAAAAGGTGGAGGCAGAAGGCAAATCTGTACTGTCTCTCTCTTGTGAAGCTGGGACACCCTTCCTCTCCTACCTTTGGACATCAGAACTCCAGTTCTGTAGCCTCTGGATTCCAGAATTGCATTAGCAGCCATTTGTGTCCTCAGGCCTTCAACCTGAGAGTAATAACATTCGCTTCCCTGGTTCTGAGGCCTTGGACTTGGACTAAACCATGCCACAGGACTCCCTGGTTCTCCAGCATGCAGACAGCTTATGGTAGGACTTCTCAGCCTATATAATCATAAAAGCCAGTCCCCTGATAAATCATCTATCTATTTATCTGTCTATCTATCTATCTATCTATCTATCTATCTATCTATCTATCTATCTATCTATCATCTAGCTATCTGATTTATCTGTCTGTCTACCTAATCTATGTATCCTATTGGCACCCTACTCTCTCTGGCCTCTTGGGTTGTAAGTCACATCTCTTAACATCTGAAAATCTTGGTGGAGTAGATTTTCTGCATTGGATAAGAAAATGAGGCTAGTAAAGCCCCTTAATGAGATTTATCAGATGCGGTTAGAGGGAGAGTGGTTAGAAACCATACCACTTAAAGCTGCCCAGTTAGCTGAGTCTATCCTGCAGAATCAGGGTGGGCTCAGCGCCAAGGAAGGCAGAGGGAAAGAAGTAAGGAAGACTAAGTGATAAGGTTATATAAATAAAAATAGAAGGGAAAACATTGCCTTATCCAAAAAGAACACATTTACATTTTGATTTCATGTAATATACCTCCTGATCCACAAAGAGAATTCCCTAACCTCCCCATGCTATGTGATACCAGGCAAGGCTAATCCCTGAGCCCTGGTCAGAACAGCACTCAGAAAAACATCTGTATGGATTTGCTGGCTTTCCTTAACAGGAGGGGCGGCTCAACCCCTTCAGGGCCTTGTGAAGCTAAATTGCTATCAGGCTGTGCGGGGAAATGCAAGAAGGTTCTTCCTCTGTTACAAATGGGCTCTGTTCTTCCAGACTAGGGCTGCAGAGTATTGGCTGAGGATAAGAGCAGCTCAGGTTAGGAGTGAGGACTTCAGTGCAGAAGATCTTAAACTGGACTCTGCTCTAGAGAGAGAATCCATGAAGCACCAAGGACCTGTCCCACTCTTGGATGCCCCCACAGGAAAGTGGCCTGGGCAGTTTTTTTTGCTGACAGTGGATATGCGGGGAAGAGAGTCAGTGAGGCCAACCCTATTGTCTGGGTCATAGTTGGGTCAAGAAACAAATTTTGCTCAACAGGAACAACAAGGAAGTAATGACATAAACCAATCAAATTCTCTCTCGGGGAGGGAGAATGTGTGATGTGCCTAGAAAGGAGGGCCCATCAGGCTTAGACTCTGCCGGAAACTTCAATGGGTCCTTTTTCCAGCTCCCAGTGCAGTGTGCAGCATGTCCCCGGCGTGGGAAGGCTGAATCCTAGTGGGCTGTCCAGATGCTCGGAGGCTTTCTCAGCTGCTCCAGTGCCCCATGTATCTGGACAATGACCCTCGGCCCCAGAGCTAATCTGGGCATGGAGCGTTCTTGCGATTCCAAGTCCACTAATAGGATTGTAAAAAATTTTCCACTGTGAGGTGATGATTAGCTACTGTTGCTTCTCATGATCACCCTCCCTCCTCCATGCATATATGCCTAGCTTGTTAATGATCTATAAGTCTTCTAAAATGACATCTTAGCTCAAGCATCTTAAAAGTTTTCTGAAATCTAATGACTATAAGGGACTAGAGCAGAGTCTCTGCAGAACATTTGAGGTCATCCTCTCCAATCAGTGGCATTTTTCAGAGGACCTGCGCCTTCCTTACATGGACCCCCGAAGCTGTAGGTACCTGGCCCTGAGTGAGGGGCAGAGCAAGTTTCTCCCTGAGCCTTACATCACCCACCCGCCCCCCGCCCCATGGCAGTGAGCAGGAGGGTGTGACATTCTGAGGGCATAGGTGCTTGTCATCTTGACCTAAGTTTGCCTTGATATGACTTAGCTACACGTGCTTTGGAAAAAAACAAAAACAAAAACAAGCCAACCTGGTGAGAAAGCCTGAGATGGGATTGCTTCTCGGCCTTTTGGATAAGTCAGGCGGAGAAAGCCCGTGGTGGGAACTGGAGCAATTCACTCTGGGGACTTGTCTGGTGAGGTCTGTTGCTGGCTCCTGTGCGGGTGGACCCTGGAGCGCTGCTCCCTGCCTGCTTAATCCTACTTCCATCACTGAGGAAAACAAACATTTTGGCCATATTTACGCAGCATTTGAATCACATTTTAAGTCATAATGCCAGGTCATATGACTAGAAGACTAGTGATAGCAAAGAAAGAAGCACAAAGAGTAGATTACAGGTGTGGCCATGAGATGGGCTCCTGAAGGTCATTTCATCCACCCCCATGTTTCTACCTGTCCTAAGATTTCCAGAAAGAGGGAAGGACTGGAAGGAGGCACATTGTTTTTAAGTGTCAATTTTTTAAACGGAGAATCTAATTTTCTGGAAGTATTATTGGTTAGACTTTAAAGGAAGGATTTATGTTCCTATGAATTGTGTAGAAAGGAATTTTAATAACAGAGAGGCAGTGTGAGGCAACATGGGCTGAGATCGTAATTCAGGGACGAAAAGACTTTCCAGGAGGGATTAGCAGGCACTGCAAACTCCGTTACCAGAAAGCACTTCTATGTACTGGAGTTCTGCAGTGAATACACTTACAGGCATTTATTCACACAGTTAATAAATAACCCATCGCTTGCCCTTGCATCGATAATAACCGAGATCTGAATGCTAGGAATCCACACCTTGCTGGCTGCAATTTGATTATGTGGAGCAGGGTTTCTCCACTTGAACCTCCGCACTAGTAATATTTTGAGCTGGGTCATCCATTGTTGGGGTGGGAGCAAGGCTGCTGTCTTGCACACTATACAATGTTTAACAGCATCCCTGGTCACTCTCGTTAGAGTATTAACCACTGGTACTCCTCCTCCATAGTTGTGAAAACCAAAATGTTTCCCAACATTGCCAAATGTCCCCTCAGGGACAAGTCCCTCTCCTCCCCCCATGTTGAGAACCACTCATGTAGAGGAATGACATCTTTTTCTCCGATGTTTCCCAACAATTAAGTTAGCTCTTCGGGGAGTTGCAGAGGGGCAGACGACGTCATTCCCAATAATGCTGATTCCCAGCAGGCTGATGGGAGTGGGACGTGCTGACCACGTGCCTGCCTGAGTTAATGATTCCAGTCTGGACAGGAGGAGTGGAAGGTCACTATGGCAGCAGTCAGTTTCACTCCCATCGCAAGCACCTGGGTTTCCCATGAACAGCCCTGATCAAGTGCTGAGTGGGCCAGATCCTGCTGAGGCTGAGAAAATATGAATTCTGGATTCAAAACATTAACACAACTCATTGGCAACAGGCAGTGGCTAGAACAGAGATGAATAATTACACCACCTCCCTAGAAGAACCCTCTTATTTTTACAGGAAAGAAAGCTCTGTGTGCTGAAGCAGAGGAATGGAGAAATGTTGTCCACATAAAAAAAAATGCTCCCCAAACATGTGACATTACCCCAAGGGCTCTGAACAGAGGCACAGAACATCAAACACAGAAAAACAAAAACCTCTTGGCTCTATAGACATAGTGGATGCTTGCTCTACATTTGAAAAAAAAAATGTATCTGTGGTCAGCAACATCTGAGTGCTGTTGGATGAGGTAACCCTGGGGTTGCCATGGACACATATTTCCTAGTGGTGCCTGCATCATGAAACTGCATGAAGTTGCTTCTCATCTGCAGCTGAATGCCTCAATATTGAGGGAAGAGAGTCATTTGCAAACCAAGACATACCACAAAAGAGAACAAACCTGTTGCAACAGGGAGACTCTCCAAGCCCTTTCCATCAACAGATTTCAAAGATCAGTTTGGACCCAAGGAGACTGATGTGGGGACAGCAGTAGTTTCTGAGCATGCAGCAAAGGTGAGACAGAGGCAGAGTAGAATCAAATATGCATGAAACAGGCATGCAAGTCTCCACCATGCTAGCAGCCCACATCCAAAGAGGCATCTGTTTTGAGCACCCCTCTTTTGACGTGGAAGCTGGCCCCTATGCTCTGTCTTGCATTTTGTATTCACAAAAGAGGAAACATTTCTATAGCCACAATGGACTAGAAAACACTTAAAAAATCCACATCCTTGTCAACACTTAATATTTTCCATTTTCTTAAATCATAGCCATCCCAGTAGGTATAAAGAGGAATCTCAGGCCAGGTGCGGTGGCTCATGCCTGTAATCCCAGCACTTTGGGAGGCCGAGGCGGGCGGATCATGATGTCAAGAGATCCAGAACATCCTGGCCAACATGGTGAAACCCTGTCTACTAAAAATACAAAAAATTAGCTGGACTTGGTGGTGCGCGTCTGTAGTCCCAGCTACTTGGGAGACTGAGGCAGGAGAATCACTTGAACCCGGGAGGTGGAGGTTGCAGTGAGCCGAGATCACACCACTGCACTCCAGTCTGGCGACAGACCAAGACGCCATCTCAAAAAAAAAAAAAAAAAAAAAAAAAAAAAAGAAGAATGTCATTGTGGCTTTTATTTGCATTTTTCTAATGGCCAATTATGTTGAACATTTTTATGTGTTGATTGCCATTTATACATTTTCTTTGAGGAAATGTCTACTCAAGTCCTTCTCACATTCTTTAATTGGGTTGTTTCTTTTTATGTTGTTGAGTTAGTTCTTTATATATCCCTGAATATTAGACACTTACCAGATATATGATTTCCAAATATTTTCTCTCATCCCACAAGTTGTCTTTCATTTTCTTAATAATGTCCTTTAATGCACAAAAGTCTTACATTTTGATGAAATCCGATTTACTTTTTTTTCACTTGTTGCTCGTGTTTTGTTGGCATATCTAAGAATCCATTGCCAAATCCAAGGTTATTAAAATTTACCCCTATGTTTTTTTTTAAGGGTTCATGGTTTTTACTCTTTTAAAAAAATTCAACTTTTATTTTAGATACAGGGGGTGCATGTGCAGGTTTGTTACATGGGTATATTGTACCCAGGTAGTGAGCATAGTAGTAATAGGTAGCATTACCCCTCGGCTATCTTGCCTCTGCGGGTTTTCTCTCCATGTATGGGAAATCTGCCACATGTCCCAGCCCTAGCCATCTTTCAAGCCCCTTCCTTTCTGTAAAGCTTTCTCTGATCCTGACATATTGAAAAAAAAAAAAAAAAAAAAAAAAAAAAAAAAAAAAAAAAAGAAGGCTATACCTATACATCTTTCTCATTCCTCTGAGGTCTCTTTGCATGTGACATTGCATCTCTCCCCACCAAAACATAGACTCTATTTCTCTATGCTTTGAATCTCGGGCTTGACCATGTGGCTTGTTTTGGCCAATGGCCGATATTGTTACATGGGTATATTGTACCCAGGTAGTGAGCAATAGGTAGCTTTAGAAAATACTGTTGAGGGTAAGACTCGACTGCATTCATGGGGCCTGAATTCTGCTGAAGTATATTTCATAAGAAATCAGGCTGTGGTGCCTAACTCATACATATGCAAGTGGTGATAGGACGCTGCTGCGTGGGTGTTTCTCACAAGGAGCAATGTCGAGGGGATCCAAGACAGGCGCATGAACGTTTCTAGATGAAACTCAGGACACTGCCAGTCCCAGTGGCTTTCTCTCTAAGGATGAACTCATACCCAGGGAAGACTGGAATCAGCCTTCAACAAGTGGTGCCTTGTGGTTGATGTGTCTGCTTCCAATAAGGCAAGTTTTACAGTCTGTCAGTGGGCTGACTGCAGAGTTATAAATGTTGATCTCATAAAAAAGAAACATGAGTGGTTGACACATCACATTGTATCTGTGTCGTTCTGTGCTCTGGCAGCTAGACCAGCTCTCACTTACAGCAACGGAGGCGACATAAAAGCAGAATAATCAGATTTTAATTATAATGGGGATTTCTCCATCCCATGGGGCTCTGGAGGGCAGGACTATTGTGTGACTTCTGGTTTCCAGGGAAATATATTTTCCTGTGCCACTGCTGAGATGCACTTTGTAAATGCTCCCCAAAGAAATACTGCAGAATGGGATGGCTTCTGGCTTTTAATAACCAGAGTGAGAACTGATAAAATATTTGAAAGAAATGATAACTGAAGAAATACATAGACTTCAAAATAACACTTTTAAGCTCTCAAGACTTTACCAAATCAAAGCATTTGTCTGCAAATATGATGGCTTCAGTCTCCACTTTATGGTATGTCTAATTGCTAGAAGAGGTAGAGAAAGAACAGCTCATCTTAAGAACAACTCCTCCCCTGAATGCCCACTACATTTGAGGCTCTGCCTCACTTTGCTTCCTGGCAAGATATACTTCCATCCATGGTCTCCCTGTCCTTTTCAAGACTTTATTCCAGCCATTGTTCTACCCAGGGATGCAAGGGAGAGAATCTCCCATCTCTGATGCGGGGAACTCTACATAACCTGATGAAGGGGACAGAACCATTCATCACCTGGTGCAGGAGACAGGACTGTCCATCATCTGAAACAGGGACAGAATCACCCTTCACATGAAATGCAACACAATCATCCACCACTAGATGCAGAGGACAGAACCACCTATCAATCACCTGATGCAGGGGGCAGAATCACCAATCATCTGATGCAGGGGGCAGACCCATCTATCACCTGATGCAGGGACAAGGCCATTCAAAACCTGAGGAGAAAGAGAATTACCCTTAAATCTCAGCCTGGATGGGGAAATCCTTAGGATCTGAGGCTGCTCCAGGGACCTATCTTCTCTCTGTGTCTGCTTCTCTCTTTTCATCTGCTCCTTCTCTGCTCTCTGCCAGCTGACCTCCTCACCCTCAGCTCCCACATGTCCAGTTTGAACAGGGTTTTGGATGCCCTGTTTGTCACTGAACCTCAATGTGCCCTTCACCTTCACCTCTGCTGTTCATGCCTCCATCTCCCAGATTCCTCTTCCCAGCTTATCTCTCTCAGCTCAGCTTTTCAGGACAGGCCATAGTAGGTCTTTGGAAGCCTGTAGACTGGCTACCGTAGGTCCTTTGACTGTTGAGTCAGTGGTGGTGGCACTGCAGAAACAGGAGGAAACAGGCACAGCTGCAGGTGGAGCATGTTCTCTTGGGAGGGCTGTGCCCCTAAAGTGGAGGTCAACCTCTTAGAAGGCCATTGGAGACCATCCAAGTTCTTAAAGACAACACTCCATCTCCTCCATGATTGTGTTCCAACTTACTTTCCCAACCTTCCACTAGCCCAGAGGAAGCATTTGCTGGGCCTTGCAAACCCCTCAGCTATCTTGCCTCTGCGGGCTTTCTCTCCATGTATGGGAAATCTGTCACATGTCCCAGCTCTAGCCATCTTTCAAGCCCCTTCCTTTCTGTAAAGCTTTCTCTGATCATGACTTACTGAAAAAAAAAAAGAAAGAAAAAAAAAGAAGGCTATACCTATACATTTTTCTCATTCCTCTGAGGTCTCTTTGCATGTGATATGGCATCTCTCCCCACCAAAAGGTAGACTCTATTTTTCTATGTTTTGAATCTTGGGCTTGACCATGTGGCTTGTTTTGGCCAATGGACATTAGCAAAGGGGACACAGGGAGGAGCTTAAAAGAGTATGCTCAGGGCTTTCTCTCTCTCTTGCTGGTAGAAACCTTTCATGAGAGGAAACTAGACTAGACTTCTGGAGAATAAGAGGCCATATACAGAGAGGTCACATCTTTCCCAGTCATCCTAAACATGTGAATGAGACCATGCTCAGTCATCCAGCTCTACTGAGCCAACCCTGAGCAGAACTGCCCAGCCCACTGCAGAACTGTGAGAAGTAATAAGTATGTATTGTTTTAAGCCACTAAATCTTGGAGTGGTCTGTTATGTGGCAAAAACAAACTGATGTGCCATCCCTCCCCATTTCCCATGCTGGAATCTCTCTCCCTTCTGGAACCCCATAGTATTTATCAGTATCTTTCATTAAGTATCTGTCGCCTTCTACATTTTCTCATGATTGTCTGTGGAAATACTTAACATGTATGGGAGAATAAACTACTTGAGGGCTGAGTGCATTCTCAATTCATTTTTTTATTTCTTCCAAGCTCTAGTCTTGTAGCATCTGATTGATCCCTGACACAAAGCAAGCCCTAAAATGTATATGCAGGAATGAGAAGCAATGTGGAACAGTGATTTAGAACACCAGTGTTGGAATATCTGAGTTAAAATCCCAGTTCTGCTACTTACTAACTGTGTCTTCTTGGGCAAATTATTAAACCATTTTATTTCGCCGCAGTTTCCTCATCTCTAAAAACGGCATAATACTGCAACCTACATCATGAATTACTGTGAGGATTACTTGAGTTGATGTAAGTTGTTAAATATCAATAAATGACAGGCACCTAGTGCTGCATCTGGCCCACCCAGCATGACGAGGCCACACCATGGTCCTCTCGGTTCTCTACAGCCACCAAATGTCATCTTGTCTCTCATCTACTGAGTGACAGGATCTACTGGCAACCCACTGATCCGATAATCCAGCATGAAGAGAGATGGCTGGACTCTCCCCAGGCTCTTCTCCCTCTATGGAGCAGAGGGGTATCTATTTAAAAGGGAGCCTTCAGGAGGTAGGTGGTAAATGCAGGCCTTTCAAGACTTTAGGACAAGCTGCAGGTGCCTGCTCTATCTTGCATGACTCCAGTGATACTGGGAAGATTATGGTATCTCTCTCCATCTCCATTCCTTCCTCTATAAAATAGGGGTAACTATATCTGCCTCACAGGATTGGCACGGGGCATAACTGTGCACGGCTCAATTAAGAACAGCCTTTACTACTAGTTTTCCTCCCCTCTTATCTCAGACACTTGCATCTCCACTGCAATGGTCCTGGCTATGTGGTCTTGCCTGAAGGAGACCTTAATTAACACTGGATATCTGCCAAAGGCCCCATTATAAATTCACCTAAATTTAGGACTGTCTGGAAATACCTTCATCTCCTGTGACCTTAGTTTTGACTTCCACCTCCATATATGGTGGCCATTTGCACAGCTGTAAAACAGGGCTGTGGCACATGACCACGTCTCCTCCATCCTTGGCTTGCCACAAGCTGCAGACCTGCACTGAATGTCAATCAGAACATGAAAGAGGGTGGTGCTGGAGAACACGGCTGCAGCAGACTCGATTTAACCTTCTAAACATCTTCCGAACTCTTCATTGCTATGGCTACCACTGTAGTCCAAGCTCCTATCATGTCTTATCCAAACAGCTGCCACTGCCTCCATCTCACCCTAAGACACATTCGGAAAGCAGAGCCTACAACAAAGGCTTCTGTGCTCGTTGCTTACTGAGGAGCAGCCCCAGGAATCAGAAGTGAGGGGTAGGCAGAGTGGAAAAAGAGGGATGGACAATACTGGGTGTGTAAGTGAGGTTACTGGTTGGGCACATAGAGCCTACCTGGAACCTTCTGAGCCTTCACCATCCCCTGCACCTTGTTGAGGGTTGCTCCTGGAAGCATGAACTCCCCTCACTTCCAGATTGTGCCTATGCATGGGCCAACAGAGCTCATGCAACTGGAAGCTCTGGGGAAGAAAGCACTTGAGGTTGGGGTTGTTAGTGTGAGGTGGGGTGAAGCAAACGTGGAAGTTTCCCCCCTGGCTGCAGCTGGACTCAAAGGTGAGACTGAGTGGGCATGGGCCAGGCACTGCTTGCTCCTTGCTTTTCTCTGCCCTGGAGCTACGGTGACTGTTTTTTCAAAATGTAAAATGTATCTGTTACATATGCTTTCTCAACTGTCAGGATACAATCCTAACATGGCCTGGGAGACCCTGAACCAGCTTTTGCCCAGCTCTGCCCACCACTCTTGCCTCTTCTCCTCCCACCACTACCTCACTGTCTGCAATTGGGCCACGCTGCCTGCTCATCATTTCAACAAAAGTGCTGTTTCTACACTGACCACAGGGCCTCTGCACATGCAACGCCCTCTTTCACTAGCGAAGCCCTATTTGTTCTTCACTTTTCAGCTCAGGCATCACTTCCACAGAGAAGTCTTTCTAACTCCATCTCTAGGATGGGCCAAGATCCCTTGTGAGCCTCTTTGAGAATCTTCCTTTACACACAAGGAACTGGTGTCCGCAGCTCCTCCCCTTACCTGGGGTGAGGTTGGGGGCAACAGAAGAAGGGAAAACGACTCACTTCTCAGCGCACGCCTCCGGGATCCGTGGCCACTTATACTATGTTCTTGTGTTGCCAACTGAAAATATCAAGTGATTAAAAATTAATCGGGCTAATAAGGCAAGTGCCAAAATTGTTAATGGTTATCTGAGCTTTCTGGTGGCTGTATGCATGAAAGACCCTCCTTCTAGATTCCTGCCTTTTCCAGGTTTCCTCTCTTCTTCTGTGTCCTCTCATTGCACAGCTGGCGTCTCCCTTTCCGTGGGACCTGTGCTATTCTCTTCCTGAGACTAGCTGGGTCCAGGAAAACATATCTTCCTGGTTCTTTGAGTGCATGTCACCCTTTGTCCAAGCCTTGGGCTCCACCACTCCTTAAAGGCTTGGAGGAGAGAGCCTGCAGTAAGCAGTGTCGGGAGGAGACAACTCGCAGGAACCTCTCAAGGAAGCAGATGTAGATGTTTCAGCCACCTGGTTTAAGCAGATCACAAAACTTAGGCAATAAATTTGACTTTAAAGCCCTCTGTCAACTACGACCAAAAAAAAAAAAGATTCCGGGGAAGTTTTCTGATTTGGAGAAATTACATCCAGGAGTGTCTGTTGCGTAGGTTTGGGAGAAGTTGCCAATTTAAAACCTTTCTTTCAAAAGATTCAGCCTGTCCCCGCAATCACTTGGTTTTTTTCTTCCTTGCTCATTCCTGGTTTTAAGCTCTTCCCCCTGGAGACACCCCACTCCATTTTTTTTGTCTCCCTCATTCTCTTCTGTCTTGGTGCACCCCGTCTCTTCCCTCTTCCATTCCCCTCCTCTGTGTTCCTCCTCCTTTTCTTCTTTCCATTCTCTGTCCTCCCCACCTTCCTTAATGCTCTCCTCTCTCTTCATCTTCATCTTCTCACACACCTCCCACAGGGTTCCCATTCCAGGGGCTTCTGACAACTTGAAAGACTCTAGAGAACAAAAGAGAACTCAGCTGTCACTAAATATTCCTCCCCGCTCCCCCACCAGTCCCTTCCCCCAAGGGCTTCGGAGTAGTTCAGGCCCCAGCTCTCTCTCTTTCTGTAAATGAGCCTCTGCCACATTTTCCTTATAAATAAGAGCCATTCAGAGCAGTTTTCTCTTGAGCTGCCTGGGGGATGGGAAGTGTCCATCCCATCTGCATCCCGCAGCCCACCATGCCGTGCTGTCAGACACCGTCCAGCCACTACACCTGAAGCCCAAAGGCAACCCATGGTTCCTGCCCAGCAAGCCCAGGGTGAGTGTGGCATCTCCCACTGCCCTGGCACCCAGCTTCAGCAGCCCTGCCCACCAAGGCTCATGGAGCCTTGGCCAGGGAAATCTGCCTCAGGCTTGGTCAGTGTTTTAGGCAGAGAAGTCACTCCTGAATGCAGTTTAAATGTCTTTGGCAGCAACAGAACACGAAGGTCTTTTAAAGCAAGTCGTCCGCTATCTGTCAGAACAGGGGAGCCAGTTAAGATTTTATTACAGTTTATCTCCAGAGGTGGGGGTGGCGAGGGAGGGCTCAGGAGTTATTTTCCATGTGTGAGATAGACTAAGTCCTGAGGCTTGCTAAGTTTATAGATCACCAGTTGCCAGAGTTCCTTTTGCTTTTTACCCTGGAGGGGAAAAATAAAAAATTAAAACATCCACTTACAGATCAATTGCATCGTCTGCTGCTCAACAACATATGGGCCTAGGGCAGGAGGCTGTGAGCCAGGCCTCATTACTAAAGATCCCTGCAAAAATGGGTGCAACCCAGACAGCCTCTCCCTCCAAACCCCTGACCCAGGGATTGCTGTCCATGCAGCTGGAACAATGAGCACTTGTGGGGGTCCTCCCCCCATCAGTCTAGGGCCAAAGGATATCAGCTAGGGCCCCGAAAGCAATACGAGGTCTTCTACCACGTTTTTATTTTTCTTGCTTGGCTTTCTTTGAAATTTACATCCCAGAAGAATATCCTGGAACTTTTATAGATGAGGGAGTTCCTTGGGAGAGATGGAAAGGGGAGGAAGAGGAAATGGGAAGAGATTGGCGTGGGTGCAAGGAGGAGGAGGTAATGATCATTTAAAGGAGAAACGGAGGATGGAAGTGGGGTGGCGTGCAGAGCTGTGGTGGAACTCAGCCTCGGAGCTGGGCTTGGCGGGGTTGGAGAGGCCCTGGGCTGCAAGCAGGGGATCCTGTGCCTTTGAGGTACAGACTTTGAATCCACAGAAGTGTGTGTGTATCGCCCCACTTGATCCCAGCTTGCTTTCCTTCATCCCTTTATTCATTCATCTGAAAGTCCTCATGGGAATTTGTTTTGTGACTGTTACTGGGGACACAGCAGTGTACAAGACAGGCACGTTTCTTCTTCTCTTGGAGCTTTCGACTTGGTATCAGCCCATTTGCCTCTGTGAGGAGAGACAGTCGAAGCACCCATGAGTCGTTCTACTCTCAGAATCCAGCTCTGCCCGTGGTCTGACGAAGGCTGAGCCCCAGAGCTGCCACGTGGAGAGGCTGCTTGTCCACAGGCACAACTCCTGCAGGGCACAGCAGAAAGCGAGGAGGCATGCTGCTGGAGAAGGCCTAGCAGCAGTAACCGCCACCCTGCCAAACCTGGCCTAACATGGAAAAGACCCAGGCAGCCAACGGCCTCCTGAATTAGGTTGTTTGACAAAGCAATGAATGTAGCCTGGAGAGAAGCAGGCTGGAACTGCAGGGCATGCTACAGCTATCTTCAAAGATCTGAAGGAGGTCATAGAGGGGGCATGGTGGAGGTATGTACAGCGGCTCCAGAGGACACAGTTTGCAATGCTTGCTGGAAGTTATAGAAAAAGGAATTTGGGCTTACTGTAAGAAAAAATTACATGAAACATAGTAATGAGCTCCCTGTTCTTGGAGGCAGACAAGCAGTGTCTGCACCAACCTGCTAGTTAGTGATGGCACAGAAGAGGTGGCTGCACTGTATGAAGCTGGGCCTGCACGGTATCCCATGCTCCTTCCAATTTTAATACTTTATGATTCTGTAAAACACCGAGAAACTTTATTTTTAAAGCCACAAACCACTTATTTTTAATTTGGGTGTTCCTTTCCCATATTATTATTATTTTTTGTGGTGTGGGAAAAAATGTTTCCAAGGCCCTTCCCTTCTTTGCTGCCTCTGAAAAGCCAGACCTGGGCACGTTTTCACATGAATATTTTACCCTAGAAACTCCGGGCAAACGGGGTCCAGTGCCTTATACACTGGGAAACTGCACAGCTCTGAGCCCCTGAGAAGTGCGTAGTGTTATCTCCAGTTTATTGTTCATTCTTAGAAGGTACTCTGATGATTATTTAACTATTTTCCTGTCTTGGTTTGAAGAGGCAGGAATTAAATGTCAGTGAGTGTGTGTAACAAGAACTATGTAACCCTGCCCTTTGGGAAGAGTGTGTGGGGGGAAGCTAAAATTACTTAGATCATGTAGGGCTGCGCTTTGAGGTTCTCTGGAGCAAGGCTTGTGATGCCTGGGACAGCAGAGCTGGCAACAGCGGGCCCAGTGCCCTCAAGCCCCTGCTTCCTGCCTGTTTCTCTGGAAGTCAGCTGAGCTTCATGGCCACCCTAGAGCACAGCCTTGGAGCCCCTCTCCGCACACGTGGGTGTGCTGCCTGTCTCGGGTTAGCCATGGCCCATGAAGCTATCTCTGACTCCTGAGCAGCCAGACGTGGGGTGGGGTGGGGTGGCAGGGTGGGAAACCTCCCAGTCACCAACAGTGACCTTGGTGAGGCGCTGGGGGTGAGTCAGATCCTCCTCACAGACTACACACGGCTGCCACCTCCTGGAACTTGCCATAACCCAGGCAACTCTCAGATCCTGGGCCTTCACTTGTGATGTCAGGGATGGGGGCATTGCAAAGGAGGGAGGCGGGGACAATGGCTGGATGTTACCTGCTCTCTACTCTGGAAACCCAAGGCTGGAGGCTGCTGCAGCTCTGGGCGCCCTGGGGGCTTCTGCCAGCCCCGCCTGGCTTCCCTCTTGGAACAGAATGGAATCCTCACAGGTTTATAAAACCAAGCCTGATTTCAGGAAAGGGGGTGTCCTTTGGGGCACCTTTGATTTATCCTGCCATCCTCATCCACATCATGCCCCACAAGAAGCCCTTTCTCTCTGAGCCGAGGTGCTGTCACAAGCTGTTCAGAGGCCCCCATGCCCTAGTACCTCTGAGACAAGCAGTTGCTGTGGCAAAGGAGAGGCACCAAACAAAGACACTGGCCCTCTCTAAAGACTCTTGGTGACTCTAGAGCCAGAAGTCAACAGTGGGATGGACAGATCATCTCCAGCTCCTGTCTTCAAAACGCACCTGTGTTTTAACGGCTCCCCAGGGAAGGAGATCCAGTCACTGGCTAACATTCTGCGATGGTGTCTGATAGCCCTCACCAGCTCCAGAATGTTCCTATCCCTCTTAGGCTTTCTTTTTGTATCTTCATCACTCTGACGTTGGTGCGCTTTCAGGCCCTGTTTGCTGCAACCCTGACTGGAACCTCCACATTTAAGTTCCTAATGAAATCTTCTCTTTGACTTTTGCTCATTTATAAAACTTTGTGCCAGCTCTTGGGGTCCAGAGAAATCAGTTTCTAGACCAAATGCCAAGTGCCATCTCCCAAATCTGCAGGTGAGGGTAGTCACTAAAATGCCAAGTGACCTGTCTGCAAGCCGACAGCTGAGGGTGACCTTGCTGGCTGGGCTAGGCCAAATGGGCTCCGGCGTTCAGTGTGTCTCATTTCTCTGCTATTTGACCTGGTTCACATTTGGCTGCGGGGATTGAGCCCAGGCAGTGGGCCCAACTCAGCGGTGTCCTCTGGCCTCTGCACAAGATCTTTATCATGAAGCTAGGCAAGGGCTGTATAATCCTTTCCGTTACTTCAGGGTAATGGTCGAGGTAGGAAGGAGCTCTGGGTGACCTGCCTGGAAGAACAGGTTGAGGTTTATAAGGTTGATTTCAGTAGGTTTTGGGGTTTAATGGGTAGGGAAAGGAGAGGGGCTGGCTGATGATGGCCAGGCCATAGCACTGAAGTCCAAAGACCCAAGGTATACAGAGGTCAAAGCTTCAGGTTGGGCAGGAAATTTGTGCAGGCCAGCCTGGAGAGCATTCTTAAGTCTTGAGGATGGTACATTCCCCAAGGGCAATGACCACTTCGTAAATGTATTTTCACTCCCTTAGAAAACTCAGCACAGTACTGTCACATAGTATACAGATGATGGTCAAGAGCACTGAGTTCCAAGCCCTGCTCTAGGATTTAGCCTTGTGACTTGGGCGAGTTAATTAAATTATCTTCTCTGTGCCTCAGTGGGCTCGTTTGTTAAATGGAGATAATAATAGTACTTGCCTTACATGACTGTTACAAGGATTAAATGAGAGGATAAGCAATTATAGCAGTGTCTTGCTAATAGTATTAGGCACACAACAGGTAATGATTGAGTGAACGGCTAAAATTCAGATGGAATTATATTGCAGGAGGACTAAATTCCTAGTTTGAGGCTGTTTATCTCCAGTGCTTGATTTCTGGTATTTGTCACCTATTTTATATGCTAGAGAGTTTTATAATTATTTAAATCATGTCACCAAGACAGCCTGGAAGAAACTAGTACATGTATTGAAACCCCTTCCACCTCGAGGCTGGAAGCTGGGGCCAGGCAAGCACTGCCGCCACGTTCGCCACACACGTTTAAGTTCAGGGGCTGAAATGTGCAATTTTTTGCTGTTGATGGAGCTACAGCTGCCTGGACAGACCTAGGCTACACTGTTCAGCCCCGTGCTGCAGCTGGCTCCTCTCATGACCAGAGGCCAACATACATCCCATGGTTTGTTAGGGTCAGGGCAGCCACCTGGGGCCACAGACCAGAATGCTGCTCACTTATCTCCTTGGGGATTTGCATTTAGCCCTTGGCCTTGCTGGCCCTCTGCTCTGGCCACCTGAGAAAGCTGGCACAAGACAACAGGAAATTGGAAGCTATGTCACAGGTCAGGTGTCCAGGGAAAGGCCTGAAGGTGACCACCCTGGGTGTCATGTGGAGGGAAGGGAGGACACCCTGGCAGGAAAGCCTGGACTCAGCTTGGGCTGTAGCCAACCCCTCTCTCTTCAAAGCACCCACCAAAAAAGCTGTAACAGAGCAGAATGGCTGGGCCTCTCTCACCCCTTCCTTTCCCGCACTGAGCTCGCCTGTGCACCGGCCTCAGGACTCGCCTGCCAAGTCCCTTGGCTTCCCTCCGCAGTCTGTGGAATCTGAGCAGGATGATCCCTGGCCCAGCTGTTAGGAATCATTTTGAGGATGAAAACAATTAAGCTGGGCAAGAAGCCCACCACCGAATCCTGCCCCCTTTTTTGCACCCTTGCCCATTGTTCTCCTTCACCCCTTTCCGGGTCACCTTTTCTATCTATCCACGAACCTGCTGAGAACATTCACTGACAGTGTGCTGGCTTTGGAGGCACCCGCCCAACCCTGTGGATTTGGAGATCCTGGGGTGTGGGAGGAAGGGGTAACCGGATTCTGGAAGCATCTCCCCCCACAGGAGGCTCGGCCAGATTCAGCCAAAGTGCTGGCCATCTGTGTAACGTTGCTAAGCAGTGTCCTTTCCTGGACTTGTCCTCCCTGCCCTCTGGGCATCAGAACTCTTGGTGCTGAAGTAACAGATATGCACACTGAGGCATGTCTAAGGAAGGCTGTGAGCCATTTATCCATCCACCCTAGGCAGCCCTTCAGGCTCTGCAGGCCAGAGAGCTCACTGCTGCATCTGAAGAAGTTCCTCAGATATTTTGAATGTTCCCTGCAAGGGCAGGACTAGCTGAAGGAAGTGCTAGACAGGGTCCTGGGGCTCTGGACTCCAGCCTGCGAGCCAGGCAAGGGGATGACGGCAGCATCTTTGGTCTCTGGTGCTCCACATGGCTCCTGAACTCCTCTGGACGGTGTCTGTCTCTCCTGCCCCCCAGGCCACTGTGTTCTTCCCGCTGCTGTGTCCTGGTATCTAGGACCATGCCTGGCACACAGTAGGCTCTCAGCAAATTTGTCTCACTAAGGCTGACAATGCCCACTTTCTGCAGCAGGGCCAGCATCCTTTCTTCACGTTAAGGCGTTGCTATTCCTTCTTCACCTGGGTTATTTGCCTTAAGTATCAAAGTCCTAAGCTAAAGAAACAAAACGCTAAGGTGGATGATTTCAGGCATCGACAAGGGAGAAGAAGGCCTGTCTTGGGGAGGAGGTGACAATGGGAGCTTCGGGAAGACAGAGAATGCCTGTGAGGCTCAGCTCCCCAACTGTCCCTAGAACTTCTTCATTATCTCTGTGGCCCCAGGAAAGGGACCCAGAGGCTGGCCCATGCCCAGTGTGAAAGCTGGCAGCAGGCGTGCAGGGGGAGGGGGGAAAAGCAGCCCGAAGTGCATTTCTCAGTGCATTTCTCAGCACATCACCTTACTCTGATCCACCCTGTTGGTGAGGGCGGCTGCCCCGCCCACCTTCACAGCTGCCGGGGTGTGGCTGGGGAGGGGAGCCTGGGCTGTGAGAACAGATGATTTCAATTTAAGCAGCATTTGGGGAGAGTCCTGTTCCACTTGCTCATTTTTCTTAGCACTCCCCCCACCCCTGCTCCGAAACTTGATTCAATCAGTGGTGGATGGGAAAGGCCCGTTTCCATGACAACCCCACTGTGAGAGAGAAAAATCAGCCACAGAGCAGGCTAGAATTTTATCTGGAAGAGGGCACTTGGGTAGGTTTAGAAATGGAGGCCCAGCAAACAGTGCGATGGGCTCGCATCCCATGGTGGGACCTCGGACCCTGGAGAAGGCATGGAACACGGGGTGCCATCAAGGATGTTTATGCTCAGAGAGACACACCTGCTCGTTGCCTGGTTTCCATTAAACCTGCCTGATCTCTCTGGGCTCCAGTCCTACCGCTTGGGTTTATTTTCATGGCTGATGTAACCCAACCAGACTGATGAGTCTGGATCTTTCTCTTTTTCGTACAGTGCTTCCTGTTTAGTTAAGCGTGTTCAATATTTCTGTGCACATTCATTTCCCATCTGATGTTTCCAAAGATGACTGTGGTCTCGATTTCATCTTCCAAGGCGAATGCTCTGGAGCCCAAGGACCCAGATGTGTTGATAGAAAGCATGGTGTGGACATCGTTCACAAAGTTTCGATCCAAAGGGAGGGGATCTTTGGGAAAGATTAAGGGTTTCAGTTCAATCTCTACACCCTTTTAGAGTTGTAGAAGTTGAGTTTCTAAGGAGAAATTATTGGCTGGACGTAGTGTCCCAGCCTGTGTCCAGAATGAGATGTTCAGGAAAGGTGTTTCTAGGAGGGACGTTGCTCTGAAAATGTCCAAGTCTGGGCTTGAGGACTCAGGATACATTGACCCCTATCATTCTCTGAGATTCTCAGTCTGCTGGTTTCCTTGCAGATCTATATGCCAGCCCAGCTCTGGGCCTGGCAGAACTCATGGCCCTAGGTTTGGAAAAATCCCCAAATGTAATCTCCTCCAAGGGTTTTGCCCTTCACTCTGAACTCCATGGGGCCTTTTAAAGTAGATTGAATCCATATGTTTCTGATTCATTTACACTTAACTCATCAGAATGTTCCTTTTTTTTAAATGCGTGATTTGTTGTCTTAAGATGCCTTTGCAGTCTTGTTTATAAGTGCTTCTTTCGCCTTTAGAAACAAGATACTATGTCTTGTCAAGGCATGTGTTGGGGTGGCTGTAGTAGAGACCTTCTAGTTTCAGGTCTGAGTCTCATTTTGGTTCCTAAGAGGAAATGCACTATTTTTGCAGAGCTGCTTGGTTTGAGTGTTAAAAGATTTCATTTACGCTCTGAGCATGGGTTTGACAGGAAATATTTTTACTCCTTCCCTTAGGTTGGAAACTCAGTGAACGCCGCTTCTGAGTAGCAAAGAAACCTTGGGAAAATTACTTAATCCTTTTGGTCCTCCAGTCTTTCCTCTGTAAACTGGGGATGAAAATACCCCCACATCACAGGGCTGTCATGGCAATAATGTACTTCAAGATGTTATAAAAACATGAGTCATAGAATTAGCTGGGGTTCCTCTAAACAAGCCCATGCATTGCTCTAGCCTTTCCTTCATATGTCATCCCTTGGGTCCGCTTTACTCCAATTAATACATCGAGACTCAACCCAAACATCACATAGTCTAAGATCTTCCTTGTATATCAGCCTTGACCCCCGAAGAACAGTCCGTCAGTCTCTCCCCTGTGTCCATGCAACATCTTACCCATGTCTCTATCCTCCGACTCATCACTTGTTAGCAATTTGTTTATATAGCCCTATTTTCCCTTTATAAAACTGAGATCTCCTTGAGGGCAGGAAAATTATATTCATCTTGGTATTTCCAAAGACATGGACAGAGTCTGGCTCATGGAGGGGCTCAATAATAGTTGAAAATAAGAAAAAAAGACAGCAAAGGGAATACAATGCTATAAATTCTTTTGGGAAATCAGGATGAATCCGGTTAACTCCACCTGGCTTTGTAAGAAGTGAGGCTAAGGAGAAAGTAATTAGTAAGATTTCTCCTTTTTTCTGTAAGAACTGTTAATGCCAATTAGAGGGCAGCTTCCAAAAACCACCAGTAGCAACAGCACACTTCTTCAGTAACTATATCAGCTCCTTTGGTCACGCCCAAGTTTTTGAGACAAAACTAGAGATACCCAACCCATAGGGTCATATGTAATAATAAATATCAAGGTCCTACAGTAGAATTCCAAGCTATTTCCTTCTTTAAAGTATATCATGTGTAATGGGAAAGAGGAAAGTCTTTTCCCATTTTATGAAGGATTTTATTGTCAACACTGGTCCTCAATCCAACACTCTCTCTCAATCCATAACCTATGAGCATAGCCTTGGAGAAATAAAAAATAGGTCCATATAAATCCAACATTCAGAGTCATTGAATGTTAGATATGTAAAAAGCAAAGTGTGACTGCTAGTCACTGTAGGTCTTGGGGCAGCAAAGAAGCATTGAAAAGATCCCTGCCTTTGAGTATTGGTTGTAGATAAAGAGGCACAGCTAACTGCATGGCAGAGAAGATTCTGATAATTGCTAAAACAAAGGAACAAAGCATGGATACAGAGGAGGGAAAAGTACCTATGACCAGTTTAATCTGGGAAGGCTTCATGGGGGAAAGGTGGTAACATTTGACCTGAACTTTGAAATACAGCTAGAACTTGACAGATGGTAATAGAGAGAGCTTCCAGACAAAGAGAATAACCACCTGAACATAGTTCATAAGGTGGACATGTGCAGAGCATATTTTATGAACATCAAACAGACCAGGCTGGAGTGTATAGTTACTGGAAGGAACAGTGAGAAATTAGGCCAGAAAGATAGGCTTGAGCTTGAAGTTAAGGACTTAAGACTTTATATCACTATTTTTTATTATGGAATGACTTTTTCAGAACTATGGTATAGAAAGATCATCCAGGCCACAGTGTAATAATAATAGTCATCCTTTATTGAATACCTGCTATATTCAAGCAACCATTCTAACTGATTTATATGAATTAATTCATTTCATTGTCATTTCAATCTATGAGGTAGATTATGTCCCATTTTACAGATGAGTAAAATGAGGCACAGATAGGCTGGGTGACCTTCCCAAGTCCAAACTGCCAGAAATCAATAGAACCAGAATTCAGATCTTGATTTTTGGCCCCAGACCCCATGCCCTTAACACTTAACACTCTCATAGCAAAGAAGCAGAAAGCAGGCAATTAGAAGCTATTTCAGTATCCAGTAACAAGTTCTGAGGGCTGAATGGAAACAGTGGTTTAGAAAGAGAAAGAAAACATGTATGAATGACATAGTAGAGGCACTGCCCCCAGTTTGCTGTGGAGTGGAGGATGGTGAAGGAGAGCAGAGTCAGAGAAGACTTTGTGGCTTGGGATTTGAACCACAAAAGGCAAAGTAAATTTCAATGGGAAGGTGAAGGGTTCAGTTTTGAACATGTGGAACATAATACACATGTGATACTATCTTGCAAAATGTTGGAAGTGTGGGCTGGAGAAAGTTTGCAGCTACAGATGTTGAAACATTGTGGGAATCATTGAAGCCAGAGTAGGTCAGGCCATCAGGAGAAGCACAATCTCTTTGATGCCTTGTAAGATAAACTCTCATCATTTTTCTTTTTCTGGTTACTCAAGGTATAAAATT
Source organism: Homo sapiens (assembly GCF_000001405.40). Classification (NCBI taxonomy): domain Eukaryota; kingdom Metazoa; phylum Chordata; class Mammalia; order Primates; family Hominidae; genus Homo; species Homo sapiens. The sequence goes on from NC_000011.10 coordinate 130,835,365, forward strand.
CAGTTGTTGATTTGAGATCTTTCTTTTTTCAAATGTGAATACTTATGGCTACAGATTTTTCTCTTTGCACTGCCTTCACGGCATCCTATAAGTTTTGGTATGTTGTATTTTCATTTTCATTTATCTCAAGGTATTTTCTAATTTCTCTTGTGATTTTGTCTTTAACACATATGTTGTTTAAGAGTGTGTGTTTAATTTCCACATATTTGTAACTTTCCAGTTTTCCTTCTACTATTGATTTCTAGTTTTATCTTATTGTGGTTAAAAAAGATATGTTGTGTGACTTCAATAATTTTAAATCTGTTATGTCTTGTTTAAATCTGTTATGACCTGAAAAATGTTCCAGGTAACACTTGAGAAAATATGTACCCTGCTGGTGTTGAGTGAAGCATCCTGCATATGTATGTTAGGTATAATTGGTTTGTAGTTGTTGAAGTTCTCTATTTCCTTATTGATCTTCTGTCTGGTTGTCTTATCAATTTTTGAAAGTAGGGTATTGAAACCTTCTATTATTGTAGGCATGTGTACTTCTCCCTTCGAGTCTGTCAATGTTTGCTTCATATATTTTGGAGCTCTGATATCTGATGCATACATGTTTATATTTGCTATATCTTCTTGGTAAATTAACTCTTTAATCAATATATAATAACCTTCTTTGTCTCCTGTAAAGTTTTTAATAGTATGTTGTCTGGTATTAGTATAGCCATTCTTAACGGTTTTTTGCTGATATTTGCGTAGAGTATTTTTTACTATCCATTTTCTTTCAACCTATGTGTGTCTTTAGATCTAAAGTGAGTGTCTTATAGGCAGCATATAATTGGATTATGCTTTTTACAAAATACATTATGGCAACCTGTGCCTTTTGTTTGGGAAGTTTAAACCATTTACATTGAAAGTAATTAGTAATAGGGAAGAACTTTCTTGTGCCATTTTGTTATTTTTCTGTAAGTCTTATAGCTTTTTTGTTGCTTATTTCCTCCATTCATTATTTGGGTTTAGTTGATTTTCTTGTAGTGACAAGTTTTGATTTCCTTCTATTTTCCTTTTGTGTATATTCTATACATATTTTCTTTGGGGTTACATGGGGATTACATATAGTATCCTAAAATTATAACATTCTATTTTGAATTGATACCAAATTTACTTCAATTGCATACAAAAACTATACTTCTTTGAAACTACTCCCAATACTTTATGTTATTCAGGTCACAAATTATATATATAGTGTACACCTTAACATAGATTTATAGTTATTTGTATGCACTGGTTTTTTAAATACCATAGAAAATAAAAAGTGGGGTTGTAAACCAGAATTACAATGCCAGACTTTACATTTGTCCATATCTTTACTTTTACCAGAGATCTTCATATCTTCTTTGAGTTACTTTATAGCATCCTTTCTTTTCAACCTGAAGAACTCACGTTAGCATTTCTCGTAGGGCAGAACTAGAAGTAATGCATTTTCTCAGTTTTCGTTTTGTCTTTATTTCTCCCTCATTTTTGAAGGACAGTTTTGCTAGATACAGTTGTGTGTGTGTGTGTGTGTGTGTGTGTGTGTGTGTGTGAGTGTGTGTTTTATTTTGGGACTTTAAATATTGTACAATTGCCTTCTGGTCTCTAAGGCTTCTGATGAGAAACTAATCTTACTGAGGATCTACTATATATGATGAATAACTTTTCTCTTGCTCTTTCAAGATTTTCTTTGTTTTAGCCTTTCAGCAGTTTGTCTTCAATGTGTCTCAGCATGGGTCTTTTTGGTTTTATCCTACTTGAAATTCATTGAGATTCTTGAATTTGTAGACTCATGTCGTTCCTCAAATTTGGTAAGTTTTCAGCCATTATTTCTTCACATAAGCTCTCTTACCCTTTCTCTCTTCTCTTTCTGGGACTTTCACAGTCATATATTGATCCTCTTGATAGTATCTCTAAATCCCTTAGGCTCTGTTCACTTTTCTTTATTCTTTTTTCTTTCTGCTCTTCAGACTTGATAATTTCAAATGTCCTATTTTCAAGTTTACTGATACTTTCTTCTACCTATTCAAGTCTGCTACTGAAACCTTCTAATTTATTTTTCATTTCAGTTTTTGTATTTTTCAGCTCCATCATTTGTTTGGCTGATTTTATAATTTCTATCTTTTTGTTGATACATTTATTTTGTTCATATATTGTTTTCCTGATTTTCTTTCATTCTTTTTTTCTTTTTTTTTGAGACAGGGTCTTATTCTGTTGCCCATGCTGGAATGCAGTGGCAGGATCATGGCTCACTGAAGCCTTGATTTTTCTAGGCTCAAGCAATCCTCCCACTTCAGCCTCCTGAGTAGCTGGGACTACAGGCACATGCCACCATGCAGAGCTAATTTTTTTTTTTTTTTTTAACAGAGACAGGGGTCTCGCCATATTGCCCAGGCTGAGCTCAAGCGATCCTCCTTACTACAGCCTCCCAAAGTGCTAGGATTACAGGCATAAGCCACTGTGCCCAGCCTCCCTTCATTCTTTATCTATGTTTTTCTTTAGCTCTTTGAGCATATTTAAGAGAGTTGTTTTAAATTCTTTGTCATATGTCTGATCCTTGTGTTTCTTCAGGGATAGTTTCTGTCTTTTTATTTTATTTCTTTGAATGGGCTATGTTTTCTGATTTTTTTGTGTACCTTGTGATGTTTTGTTGAAAATTGAGCGTTTGAAAAACAAACAAAAAAACAAACAAAAAACCCATAAACTTCTCCCAGTCTTCACAGGCTGGCTTTGTGCCACGGCCATCCTCATCTAATTAGCCAGGCTTGTGTTCTGAGCCTTTGGATCTGTCTGAGGAGAAAGGTTAAGGTCTCCTCAGGTCTTTTCTGAGCGTGCATCTTGCCCGGATGTGCATGGCATTTCTATCACCCCATATACACAGCTGTTTATACATGTCTTAATTCCCCAGAGTCTTACCTCAGTTTCTCCTTAGGGACTTAAATTGTCTACTCTCCATTTCCATCTGTCAGCCCAGGTATCTACAAGTCTTAGTCTCTCTGCAGCTTTCCCAAGCAGTGCCTGCTACTTCTCACTGCCTCAGCTCTGAGTTAGGTGCAAGAGACCAATCTTCAGGAAGCCCTCAGATAAGTTAGGACATTGTGAATAAGGTCCACTCTGCTCCCTCCAATTCAAGTAATGGGATTGAGAACTGCCATCTCCTTCAGACCAAGATGGTGGCATGTCAGAGGAAGGAGGGAAAGGGTGAGTAAAAATACCACAAAATTTTCTACCATTTTAAAATTGACTTATTTTTGATTGGGCATTTTCTTGACTGCTGTAGACCTTTGACTGTTTTTCATAGCTCATATAAGAATACTTTATCCTGTTTTTGTTTTTTTGTTTGTTTGGTTGTTTTTTTGTTGTTGTTATGTCTCTGTGAGGGAACAAGGCTTGATACTCCCCAGTGTACCATTTTGCTGATGTCACTCTCCATTATCATTTTTGTGACTCCTTCTGGCTGCTGGATACCCTTAACAGACCAAAACGAAGGCAGACAAGAGAGTCAAAAACTATGTCTCTTTTCATGTGCCATAACAGATGAATTTTTCCTGTGAACAGTGTCTATGCTACTCAGGAATGACAAGCTATAAAGAATGAGCATATATAAACAGAGGCCTTGGAAAGCCCCAACTCTTTAAATCTTAACCGCTATTCCAAAACATCAAACAACCCTATCCTTGTATAACCCTAATGTGAACTTTGATTTTGCCATGGTTGAGGTGATTTTGCCATGGTTGATCCCAAAGCGTATCCTGTTCTGGATAGGCAGCTGTGAAAATACTAACTTTCTTAGCTCGGGTTCCCCTGAAAGCAAAGTCGTTTATCTGGGAGGTGATTCCAAGTTGCAGAAATGAGGGATGAAAGAGAATGAGAAACAGAAGAAGAAGAGGCCAATATAAGAATGATGCACTGATGCTGCTGCCATGCACATTGAGAGCTAAATTTTGCTGATATTCCTGAGAAGCATACAGAATCATCAACCCCCAGGAATTGCCCACAGAACAGATGGGAAGCCAGAGTATTTATTAACTGTCAAGGGTTTCCCTTGGGGAAATTAACTCCTTCTCTGATTTTCCTCTGAGCTGCACATGTACCTGGACCTGTCTCTGAGGTATTACACTGCAGGTGGGGCAGTAGTGGAGTCTGCCACTGGTCAAGGGTGTGTGGGAGCTGGCTAAAGTGATACTCCGTGGCAACTGGGGATGCTGATGTGTGTTGGGAAGAGTCAAGATGTCCATAGAATGGCAGTCAGGTGACAGCCTCATAAGTATAGATGAGGTGCTCTACCAAACAGAACTCAACAGTGTAAATGTAGAATCTCATCTTTTCTTTTTCTCCTATTTCCCTTCTCTACTTTTTCCTTGTCAAATTTCATCTATTTATAAAGAATAGTCACGCCATAATAATATAGAACTGAATTCCATGCTTTTCCAAGCCACTGCAGTTACACAAGTTGGCCCCCCACCACCTTGTTTTCTTAGCTTCCCAGTGGTTATTAACCAGAGATATATATTTCAATCCCACAGAGCAGTCCTTAGTATATTCTTGGGCTTTTCAGGGTAACCTTCTATATGTTGAGGAAGCAAGAACTCAAGGTTTTCCAAAAAGCTGTGGGTCCAAGTGGTTAATCTGCACTGGTTTGCATTAGTTTACGTGTGGGAAATGCAACACAAAGGAAGTGCCCAGCAACCCTGCACATAACGTGCAACCATTCATTCTGACTCTTTTCCCTGAGGATTTCTCTTGGCTGAACAGCAAGCTCTCTGGGCTCTGCAACTAGAGAACATCTCTAACATAACATAAACGTTGGGCAGCTGCTGGGAGCTGGAGAGGGCTCAGTCTGAACAGCTGTGTGAGGTTTGACCTTGGGGAAAACAACACCAAATCCCACCACCATAGGCTGGTTTCCATTTGGACTTAGTGCAAATGAGGCATAATAACAATTAAGCAGATATACTTGGAAGGGAAGGAAATTAAAAAGGCATTTTATGTGGGGTAAGAAGAGTGGGTAAAGAGAAGAAATTTCATGGATGATAGCTGAGGGAAGCTTTTCTGGAACTGATAGAGGTAAAAACTATTATGGGTTGTTAGCTGTATGAGAGTAGGAACTTTCACTTTTCCTTTATGTGATTCTGTACTGTTTAAGTACACTTGCTTATTACAAACATGCCCAATTTTCTAACCCATCCCCCTAGAACACAGAGAGACCCTGCAATTGTAGAAGTGTAGACATGTGAAAGGAGAGGGGTTGAGGGGTGAAGCTGTGTTTTAAGACAGCCACAGGCACTGATTAGACAGACTGGGATGCTTCTTTGAGTGGGATACTCACTGGTAAACATCTTGGCTAAAAGATGTCCTGGGAAAGATTATATGAGGACTTGGGGCTTTAAATCTTGGGAGAAGACTTTTGTAAGATCACTTGAAATTCCCTAGGAATTGCTTACAGCGCTATCATAAAAGGAACAAAAAAATCCATGTGAAAATATTAATCATAGGAGGCTGGAAAGGCAAAGACATTTGTGGCTGTGGACAATTTCAAATAAATTTTGTTGCCTTCCTTAAACAATGCCAGCTGTGTGCCTGCTTTCTCAAACCAAGATGAACTGTAAGAGAAGAAAGGGGAGGAAAAGTCCCTCCCGCATACAGACTTCAAGTGTGTCTGAATTAAGGCGGCTAAATTCTATTATTTTCATGTTCCTCAAATCACTATTGCAGGGTGGAGCTCATAAAGGCATAATAAATGTTTGTTCAACTAAATATTTCAATGACCCAAACTCTATGTGGATTAAGAAAATTAAAATTATGTTCAATTTTCCTATTGAATTTGAAGGCTGAGACTTTACTAAGCTTTCCCATTGTGTTTTTAAGTGGTTTCTTAAACAAGTTGACCCAAAGGCTTGGGTCATTCAACGAATGTGTTTGCTTCATGGCATAGCTTAGCGTGAGCTTTGCTGTCAGATGTGAGTTCTGGCTCCACCATTTACTAGTTATTCGACTGGGAAAATGGTTTAGCCTATGTAAAAGCTAAGTTTCTTCAGTTATAAAGTGGGTTTAATAACTGTACCTAATCTATGGAAGTTTGGTGATTAAGTGAGATAATACTTATAGAATACCTACCTCAGTATTTTTCACAGAGAAAGCAATGAACGTGAGTTGTAGTTGGTCATCAATATCCTCCTCCTCTTCTCCTTCATTATCTAGAAGAGGGGTGGGTAAACTAGGGCCCACTGCTAGTTTTTGTAAATAAGTTTTATTGGAACACAGCCATGTCCATTTGTTTATGTATTTTCTACAGTGGCTTTCATTCTACAGGGCAGAGTTGAGTAGTTGTGATAGAGACCATATGACCCGCAAAGCCTAAAATATTTACTATCTGGTCCTTTACAGAAAAAGTCTGCTGATCCTTATTCTAGAAGGAAGAAAATCTAGGGATGTGTTTGTGCGTTTCCTGAGCTTAAATTACCAGGAACTCATAGCTTTGATTAGAAGAAACTAGATGAAGGGTTTGAATAAACCCTTAAAGCATGAAACATTATGTTTTCTTCATAGATTTAAAAAATATGCCTAGAGGCAGAGATGCTCACATGCTAAGACAGACATGGGGAATCTTTAAACCTAAACATTTTACCTGAAGAGAAAGAACAGTTAGAATCTTTCGGCTTAATAGAAAAGTCACAGAAGCAAGCAGAGAAATCCTAATGAGTTAGAGGACAATCATTTCCAAGGATTTTGAGTGTGTCTTAAGTTATTTTATTGAAATAAAAATTCCTTTTCTGAGTTCAGAGGCATAATCTGGAGAAGGTCAGAGAGCACTTATAGCCAGGAAGTGTTTGCACATAATAACAGATATGCTATTTGTTCCCAGGAATTTTTTTTCTTTAAACCTCAGAGTTAACATAGTCAAATACAGAGCAAGTGGAATTCCTGCTCTGTATTTCTAAAATTGTCTTTTTAGACTCATAGTAGAGAAAACAATCTGAAAAAAACCACTTGGAAGAAAGAGTGACTACAGTTGATGACAACAGATTGAAAAGAGAATTAAAAAGGGTCAAAAAACCCACAAGGCTTTCAAGATTAGATAAAAACTGCTCTGGGCAGATGAGCTAGAGAGGGTAAGAAAGAGAGAGGAGCTGCCTAAAGAGAAGGGTTGGTATGGCTCAACATGAGGCCAGGGGAACCGTAAGGACAGGGTTAGTGATAGCATTAGAAGTTGGCTGGCCTCAGGCCACAAGCACCACCCTTCACTGGGGCTTTGTGAGCCACACGAGAGTTGAGTGAGGGTCCCACCACCATTTCCCGAACACATGACATGTGTCTCTTGGCCTAAGGGGCTATGTTAGATGATCTTGTCCAGAAGGAATGATGGACGGCCCTTTGTGCCCTTAAACTTTGCTCATCTCTTTTCAAACTACCACATATAATTCTCACGTTAGGGGCTAAGGGTGTGTGTGCATAAACAGAGAGTGGGACCTGGGCTACTGCAGGGTTGAAGTAAGGTAGAAATAACAGTTCCCAGTGTCTGTCCTGGGGCTGGAAGACAGTGCAGGGTTGATGTTAGCTGTAGATCTCCCCCAAACCAAGACTGTGGTGGGATCCACCCTGTGGAACATAGTAATGGTTAGGAGGATGTTAAGAAATTGATATGCAGAAGTTCCCAAGCATTTCTCATTTGCCTCTTAGCTTGTCCTAAGGTGTATAACAGTGATCATGTAAAGCACTGGAAATACTGCTTGCAGGGCAAGTGCTCAATGCATGATCGCTAGTTGTTTTTTTTTCAGGGAAACAGAACAAATATGTTAGATATAGATATATACAAGGGGGGATTTACCACGGGAATTGGCTCACACAATTCTGAAGGCTGAGGAGTCCCATGATAGCCTTGTCTGTAGGTTGGAGAACCAGAGAAGCTGGTGGTATGATTCAATCTGAGTTCAAAGGTCAGAGAACCCTGGTGGGGGATGAAAAGAGGAGGTGCTGATACAATTCCTAGAGTTCAAAGGCTCAAGAACTTGGAGTTCTGATATTCAAGGGCAGAGAAGATGGATGTACCAGCCCCCAAAGAGAGGGAAAATTCACCCTTCCTCTACCATTTTGTTGTCCTCAGTGGACTGGATGATACCTACCCAACACTGGTAAAGGCAGATTTTCTTTATTTAGCCTATTGACTCAAATGCTAATCTCTTCCAGAGACACCCTCACAGACATATTTAGAAATAATGTTTCACCAGCTATCTGGGCATCCCTTAGCTCAGTCAGGTTGACAAGTAAATTAACAAACACATTGTTATTATTTTTACGGTTGAAACCAAACTGAAAACTTTGTTTTTTGCTGTTTAGCAAATAAATTCTATTTGTTTTTTAAAAACAAACAACCAAAAAGCACCTAACCTGAGAAGTCAGCACAGCTTTCAGATCCTCACCCCTAGAAAGCTCTTGTCCTGGCTGCTCCCTCCTCCTTGCTCTGTGAGAAATTCCTTATGCAGCTACGTGCAGGAACTGACTGCGCGGGATGATCCGTGAGCTGCATGTGGACTACCCCAATCTGCTTTTTGTTCCTAATTCCTGAATGAGCAACTGAAAATTCCCCATGTGATCACTCCCTCTACCAGCTCTTGCTTTCCCAGAAACACTAGGCTTGCTGTTTTGTACATTTGCAGGATAAAAGAAATGTAAACATTTAAATAATAATGTATTTTTAAAGGCATAACGGGGTTAGTTAAGTAAAACAACCCATCTCACATCATCTGCAGAAGAAATCTAATAAGTTTTGGGGTTCATTGGGGAACCAGAGAATATTCAATTTTATGACAGGATTAAGTTTTTATTGAATTACGTCTTTATTCAAGGCACTTTTGTTCATCTACTAAAATAGGCAGTTTAACTCAGTGATCTTTGGACTAGTAAAATGAAAATCATGATAAGAATCTTTTCATAAATCAGTTCTTTCTTTCTTTTTTTTTCTTTTTCTTTTTTTTTTTCTTGAGACAGAGTCTTGCTCTGTCAACCAGGCTGGAGTGCAGTGGCGCAATCTCGGCTCACTGCAACCTTCCCCTCCTAGGTTCAAGCAATTCTCCTGCCTCAGCCTTCTGAGTGGCTGGGATTACAGGTGCGCACCACCACACCCAGCTAATTTTTGTATTTTTTTAGTAGAGATGGGGTTTCACCATGTTGGTCAGGCTGGTCTTGAACTCCTGACCTTGTGATCTGCCCACCTCGGCCTCCCAAAGTGCTGGGACTACAGGCGCCTGCCACCACACCCAGCTATTTTTTTTTTTTATTTTTGTATTTTTAGTAGAGATGGGGTTTCACCGTGTTAGCCAGGATGGTCTCGATCTCCTGACTGAGATCCGCCCACCTCAGCTTCCCAAAGTGTTGGGATTATAGGCGTGAGCCACCGCGCCTGGTCTATGAATCAGTTCTTTCAATAAAGACTCCGCTGGGGCTGAGGGCTGCCAGATATTGGGTGTCCCTGAAGATGAAGCCAGTTGTGTCTATTGGCCTCTTCTCCAAATAGCCAAAGCAAGTGTGCTCAGTGCCCTGGAGTGGCCCAAGAGCAGGGGAATGAATAGTAAAAAATGTCTCAGGAAAACTCAGTTCTAGTTATGGTTTTTCCATTAATAGTTGAGGCTCCCAAGCTTCTCTGGGCTTCAATTTTATCATCTGTAAAAATAAAGGCATACGACTATTGGTGATTTCAAAATACCGATCTCATGTCAAGCTAGTGACTTAAAACCCCTCCAGGAGAGGTTGTTAAAGGTACACATTTCTTAGCATAAATCTGGAAACAACCGAAGTGCCCATGAGTAGGGGAGTGGTTAAATAAGTTATGGTATATCCAACCATAAATGCCCTTTGAAAAGTGTGAATTAGATCTGCATGTGCTGATACAGAAAGATCTCTAAGGAATATCATCAATTGAAAAGAGTAAAGTACAGAGCAACATATATGGCAAAATTCCTCTTGTGTAATTGAAAATGCATATATGTGTGTGTGTGTAACTGAAAATGCATATATATTTATATATAAATGCACATATATATATGGCACAAACTTGCTTTCAGTTATTGTTTATGTGGGGGTATACATGAAACTGTTAAGAGTGTTTATCTTAATAGTTTAACAGCTGTATGGGCAGGGTAATATTTAAGGTATTGCTAATAACAATAGTAATGTTAATAGTTAAGGGCTGATTCACCCCACCTATTTCTGATGTCTTCTTTTTTTGTACCCGTCAACATTTATCTACCAATGTGTTAGAACAAGAAGGGGACTTGGTACTGTGGGGAGAATACTGAATGGGCTGTAAGTGGATCCGAGTTTAAATCATATTCTTGTTGAATATTCTTGTGCAAGTAACTTAACTTCCCTGGATCTCAATGTCCTCGTCTTTTAAATGCGGTGATAGGACTAGCAATAAAACACGGTGGTTCTATTTTAATTTGCAGGTAGTGTTTATAAGTTATCTGGGGAGACACACAGGAACACACACACACACACATACATACACACACACACTCAAATACAGAACAAATGAGTAAAGAGCATTGCTAACTCTCAACAAATACTTTAAGTTCTTTCTTAACACTATGGGCTACAGAGGAGAAATAACCTTTATCCTTGAAGAATTTTATGATCTTGTATGGGAGACAAAACAAATTTGTGTGAACCAACTAGAGAATAATATAAAGCCACATATGACAACCTTGGATTAACCTCATTCTTATGGAGCTCCCTTTAAAATATTACTCACCTGAAACTCAAGAAAACCAGACTCGGCAATAAATGTAAAACCCAAGTCCCTCGGCCACATTTGCACTGAAATGTAAAATAAAGGGTTAGACAGGTACAATTTCCTTTGTAGTGATAAAATCCTCTGATTCTATTGCATAATCTCCAAAAGCAGGTCCAAACCGAATAATTTTTTTCCCCTGAAACTAGATTCCTCCCTGTTTAGTAGAGTCCCCATTTCCAATTTAGGACTTTGCCAACCCCATACAACTTCTTTGCACAAAATACCCCAAGATAAGGTCAAGGAGAAGGCCTTACATTATGTCAGCCCCATTATCTGAGCTTGAGAGCCTCCCTTGGCTCCGCCCTGTCTGGGCAATGCAGTGGGAGAGGGGACTGGGCTGGGGGTGGCCAGGTGGCTGTCTAGCCTGCCTGGTCACAAAGACCCCAGTGAGTGTGAGATGAGCACATGACAGGGGCTCCGGGCAGGTCAGACTTGACGCCTCACTTGACCCCACTGACAGCCAGAGTTTGATAAAGACATGATTGAGTTGAGGATTTCTTTCTGACAGTTTAATGGATGGCTATAATTAGGGGCCTGCTCTGAGGGTGTGGAAACACATAGACCCCATTGTAGGGAGGCTAAATGCTACAAAGGTCAAGGCCAAAATATGGTATGAAAGAAGCTCAACGTTTTCCAACACACAGGAGAAGTGAGTCAGTAGTGAAACGTGTTTACTAAGCATGATCAAGCATACCCATTTCTTTTCAGTTCCTGAGCCTGATGGTTGTCATCAGTGGTGGGTCTCTGAAGCAGAGTTTCAGTCCTTGTGGCTCCAGAGACTAGCACTCTAAAGGTGGAGTTGACAGGATAAACTTCCCACCTGATCTCAGAAAGCAACTGACTTTCTTTTCTTCTCCTGGAACCATCTCCCTGACTGAAAATAAGAATGACAACAATAACTGAGACATACACATTGAATTTTAATGTTAAATTTAAACAATATTTGTCAGTTTGTTTATGCTTCATTGTCAAAATAATGATTAATGAAAGTGGCTTTAAGCCCTAGATACTTTCTGGGATGTTTTAAAAGACTTCTTCTTGGAATAAAGGAGCCATGATGTGCCAGCCATAATAAGATCCAACTAACAACGAACAAAAAAAATACAGTGAGTAATGGCAATAATGTTCTCATTAAAGGAAAATACCTCACAACTTAGACAGAAACAGAGGGAATTAGTGAAACTCCATCCATTGAGGGCTCATAGGCTGCCCTTGGAAATACTCTTACCTGGTCACAGTACTAGTGAATTCATTTCCTGGTTAAGTTGGTAAGGTAGGCATCTTGAAAGACATTCATTAATCAAAGAATCAGATAATCCCAGGGCTGAAAAGGATTTTGGAGGCCCTAGAGTGCCAAAAGGCTGACCCACCTCTGCCGTATGGATTCTGATGAACAGAAGCTCTGACTCCTTTACACTGCCTATCCCAATCTGGGTAGCTATGAGTATTAACAAACTTGTCCCGATACAGTAGTCTCCCTTATCTGCAGTTTCACTTTCTACAGTTTTAGTTACCTGTGCTTAACCGCAGTCCAGAAATAGTAAATGGCAAATCTCAGAAATACACGTAAGTTTTAAATTGCATGCCCTTCTGAATGGCATGATAAAAATCTCATGCAGTCCTACTCCATCTCACCCAGGACGTGAATCATCCCGTTGTCTGGCATGTCCATGCTGTCTGCGCTACTCACCCATGAGTCACATAGGAGCCGTCTTGGTTATTAGATTGACTGTCATTTGTTTTGCAGTGCTTGTGTTCAAGTGACCCTTATTTTACTGAACAGTGGCTCCAAAGAACAAAAGTAGTGATGCTGGCCATTTGAACATGCCTAGGAGAAGCTGGGAAGTGCTTTCGTTAAGTGAAAAGGTGAGAGCTCTTGACTTAATAACGAAAGAATAAAAATTGCAATATTAAAGTTGCTGAGATCTACAGTGAGAATGAATTTTTTTACCTGTGAAATTGTGAAGAAGAAAAAAATTCATATAGTTTTGCTGTTGCACCCCAAACTTTATCATAGATATGTATGTATAGGAAAAAAACATAGTTGGGGTTGGTACTATCCTAGGTTTCAGGCATCCACTGGGTGTCTTGGAACATATTCCCTGTGAATAAGTGGGGACTACTGCATTGAGCTAAAATCTGTTTTTTTTTTTTGTTTGTTTGTTTTTTTAACCTCCCACTAATTGGTTCCATTCTACCAACTGGGGTCACATAGAACAAGGCTAAGTCCCTGTTACATATGTTACTAGGACTGGCTATGTAATTTGCAGGGCCCAGTGCAAAATGAGAATGTGGGGCCCATGTTAAAAATTACTAAGAATTTCAAGATGGTAACAGAGCATTAAGCCAAGGGTGGAACCCTTCTAACTGCAGAGCTCTGTGTGGCTTTACAGGTAAGCAACCCAGAAAGTTGGCGGCGTAGGGAACTTTCTGTTTTGTTTCTGAATGACTGGATTTGGTACAGTGTTAATAGAAGGAAACTATTTTTCCTCCACTTTGTGTTATAACTCTTTTTCAATTCCTTCTTCCTTCCTGCAGATCCCATGGAATATTCTGGTCTTTTGCATATATTAAAAGCCCAGTTCAATATTTTATTAAACTCCAAGCTGTCAATCACTACCTTTGCCCTGGCTGGGGCTGGGAAACTTGCAGAGACTTGCTTCTTTTCTTTGTTCTCCTGGCTGATCTACCTCCCACTCTTCATGTTGCTGTTGGCTCCTTCAGGGCTGGCCAGGGGTAGAAGGAGAAGGGCAGTGGATGGGAAAGGTCTTCCTTACTTGGTAGGCCCAGGTGTGATCCGGCGTTTAAGGGCTCTCTGAGCTGAGCACTCAAGTGCTCCTCTTTTCTTTCATGGGTACATCTCTGGGTTCTTCTAAGCTCCTCCTCTGGGGACTCTCAACTGCGGTTTTCTGGTGCAGGGATGCCTCCTTTGGCTAGAAGTTGATGACATTCGCCCAGCCCATGGCTGGTGGTTCACTGCAGTCTCCTTCTGCTGGGGTCATCCACCCTGCACTCCCTCCCTAATTCCAGTGGTCCTCTTGGATAGAGTTTTCAAACTGCCTCATGCTGGTCTCTTCCTCAGGATTCACATGTGGACCTTGAGAAACATGTGTTTTTGCGCTGCCGTTTGCATAGCTCCCTTCAGTCTGCCAGCACAGCTTCTACTCCCTGCCCACAGCCAGAAACTCCCTCCTTCAGATTTTCTTCCAAGTAAGTGTGACTCAGATACCAGTTCCAGAATCTGCCCCAATTCCAAGGAATATATGGCAAGCCTGTTAGAGGTTCTTTGAAACTCATCTCAGTTGGCCTGAGTAGTGGAGGATTAGGAGGGCATTTCAGCATACAACTTTCTTTACTTTTTTTTTTAGGCAGAATTTTGCTCTGTTGCCCAGGCTGGAGTGCAATGGTGCAATCATGGCTCACTGCAGCCTCAATCTTCTAGACTCAAGCAGTCTTCCCATCTCAGCCTTCCCATCTCAGGTCCTGAGTAGCTGGGACCAAAGGCATGTACCACCACACCTGGCTGATTTTTTTTTTTTTTTTTTTTTTTGGAGAGATGGGGTCTCGCTTTGTTGCCCAGGCTACAACTTTCTTCCTGAAGAAAGCTTACCATTTGTTGCTCCTCCTTAACGGATACTTAGTCTTTTCTTATATCATCTGGAGATGAGTGATAGACCAACGCAAGCAGAACAAATTATTGGTCTTGCCCCTTTCTCTAAATTTGAAGGTAGTTGGCACCTATTGTGGTTAGTGTTAGGGCTTTAGCAGACAGTGAGACAATAAAGAGAAGTCCCACTTGAACATCCTGTTATACAAGTAATGGACTAAGAAACATTTGAGGATAACTACAGCTATGGATTCAATGTTTGTGTCCCCCACAAATTCATGTGTTGAACTCCTAACTTCCAATGTGGCTATGTTTGGAGATAGGGCCTTTATGCAGGTAATTAAGGTTAAATTAGACTATAAGGGTAGGGACCTGATCTGGCAGAATTTGCATCCTTATTCTTAATTCCCTTTCTCTCTCATGTGCCCTTCTCTCTCCACCATGTGAGGACACAGTGAGAAGGAGGACATCTGTAAGTTAGGAAGAGGGTCCTCAACAGAACTAAATTGGCTGGCACCTGGATCTTGGACTTCCCAACCTTCAGAATCGTGAGAAAATAAATGTCTGTTGTTAAAGCCAGTCTGCTATGGCATTTTGTTAGTCAGCCTGAGCTGAGTAAGATGACTACTCTGCACTTCCGTGAGTGTTGCCTTTCTAAATGTGAGCACCTGCCATTCCTTTAATCCTCCGCAGCAGACCAAAATCTGTTTGCTCACCTCTCTGGACAGGCTCTAGTTTGTTACATATTGGAGTCACACTTTTCACAGGAATTGTTCTCCGTGGAGAACATTGAGCATAAGTGGAAATTGTGTTAAGCCACCTCACTCTTGAAAACCTGTTTGGTTGTTCTTAAAATGTAAATATAAAATATGAGATCAGTAGGATAAAGAAGGGTTGGATGCACAAACATATAACTAGGATTACTCTCTTGTAAACACAATTTAGATGGTTGTCTTTCTTTTTTGCTGAGGTTGCATGGTAGAATTTGGGTAACGTAAATGCACTTTTGACGTAATGTGACTGTACTCAACTTAAAGGATGGTGCCCAGATCTGAACATGCTATCCCAGGGTGGTCTCCTGAGCAAAAGGAAGAGGACTCTCAACCCCAGGACCCAGAAACTGTAGTTCTCTGAATGTTTCCTGAAAGTGCAGTGATGCTGGTAGCCTAAATCCATCCTGCTATCTCATTTGGTGTCTCACTTTCTCTATTTTATCCTTTCTGTATGCTTTTTAAATGCAGGCACGGAACTCATACTTACCTCTTTCTTTCAGATTCTGTCCTTTGATGTATTAAAATATATTAATCGCTCTTAAAGTATCTCCTCACATGATGCTTATTAATTGCAAAAAGAAAAACAGTTAACTTTACAGAGGGGAAACTTGACAGCCTTCCCCATAAGCAAATGACCGGTGTAAGGTACAGTGGCATCATGTGCCTCTGGATACTATGCACTGAGAAGGACATAACACCACTGTGAGTATTGCTAAAAAGGCACAACCTCCATCGAACCTTGAGAAAACACCAGACACACACCCAGATGGTGGAACATTCTATAAAATAAAAGTATATCAATGTCATTAAAGAGAAGAAAGACTGAGGACCTAGCTCACAGATTGGAGGAGATTAAGAAGACATACTGACTAAATGCAATGTGGATAAGAAAAAGGCCACTGGTGGGAAAATTGGTGAAATTCAAATAAGGTCTGTAGATTAGCTAAGAGTATTGTATAAATGATAATTTCCTGGTTTTAATAATTTTACTAAGGTTTTATAAGATGTCAATGTAAGAGAAAGCTAGGAAAGGTTTTTGCAATTTTTCTTTGAGTCTATCATCATTACTTTAAACTAGAAGTTTACAAATTGTATTTATTGGGTCCCTCCTCTGTGCCACTCTCTGTGCTGGGAGGAGAGCAGTAAACAAGACACAAGCTCTGCTTTCAGAGGCTCACAGTAGACTTTGCAGAAGGCCAAGCAGTCATGTACTACTTGTTATGATGGGTGTATGCATACAGTGCCAGAAAGAGCAAACAGCAGGGCTATTGGCTGGAGAAAACTGGAAGTGACATGGAAACTGAATCCCAAAGATGGAGTGGAGCTATCCAAATAAACAAATGGCTTATGGAAGAGAGATATGGGAAGCTGTTCAGGCACAGAGGCAAACTGTGCAAAGGCAGAGCCCGTTGGGGAACTGTAGGAATAGATCTGAGTGCTTCCTCAGTGTGCTGGAGGGCAGGAAGGGTGCGTTTGAAGTCTGTGAGCACGAAGGGGAGCAGGATGCAAGGGCCAGCCCAGGAAGGTCTCCTGAAGGCCTGCTAAAGAGCTGGAAGTGTGAAACTATTGAAGGATTCCAAACAGAGATTTGAAATGAGATTTATGATGTAGTGCATGCACTCTGGTCACCGAGTAGCTAATTGACTAGAGCCAGTAGTCAACGGCTAGTCTCTGATTCCAGTCAGAGTCAGTGTGGCCAGACGAGGCTATTGAGGTCATCCAGATGAGAGGACAGTGGCCTGAGTGGGTGTAGAAATCAGTAAACGCCTCAGTGTCTTTGTGAATCTCACCTCTTTCCTAAGAAGGGAAAAGGAATTAATGTGATTACCTACCATGAGCTGAGTTCTGCACTGGACACTTCACTCTCATCATTCCTTTATGTGCCTATCAAAGCCTGATGTTAGAGGGATAGTCATCTTCATTTTAATCATAGGTAATTGAGGCTCTATAAGGTTCAGTGGTTGACATCCACTCCCTGCATCACAGAGGGGTGAATGACAGAACTGAGATTCAAGTCCAGGTCTGCATGGCTCCAGAGCTCATCCTCTATTTACTGTAAAATTTCACATATAATCTAATATTATACCTGTCAGCCTCATGTCATTGGCCAGTTGTCATGTGTAAGGTTTACAACCGAGAGAAACTAGTCTCCAGTGGCTCCTATTTTAGGTCAGACAGACTGTAAGCACACACAGAGCAGGAATCCGTCCGCCTGGTCCAGCGCTGGGCCTGCGCAGTCCCCACGGCGAGTTCTCACCACAGCAGGCAGAGCTCTGCCCCATACCCTCCCTAGCCCCTCTGTACCCCAGGCTGCCAGGTGAATGGAGCTGTGAAAGTTTGCTCCACGCCCTTCACTTAGTGTTCCAGTTAGGGAATTATTGAATGGTCTTAAGCTATTTCTCATTCAGATTTGTGGCACACTTACTCTCTTTCACACTTAGCTGTGTTTCATGTTCAACTTACATCCAGGTTCAAACTATTTCACAAGATGGTTTTAGATTATAAACTAAAGAGACCAAAAAGGCAGGGACATTCAAAACAAATTAGGCCTCAAATTATACAATTTCATGACTAAGTCTGCAAATGTAATCTTGTGTTGCCTCTCCTCTCTGCTCGGGGCCACCGTGTTATCTTCCTGGTGTTTTCAAGTGAGGTTCTGGATATTTATTCTGAAGACCATTCTCTCTGACTTCTTATGTCTTACCTCCTTTTGCCCACAAAGAAACCTCTTTCCCTCTGATCATGTAATGTTCCCTCTCAGACTACATTGCTTTCCAGACCTTTTCATTGCCAGCACTTACAGAGGTCTGTCACACTCTCTCTTCATAAATGTGCCCAACATGGTTCCTACCCCTCCACCTTCCACCCACTTCTGGAAAGAAACACACTTCCCACAGAACACTTTAAGTCCAAGCTTAGGGAAGCCACTTAGCTCCCAGGAGCAGATGAGACCCAGTCCTCCTCCTAGCCCAATTGTAAGCAAAAAAATAATAGCAAAGTCTTTGCTCGGGGTCTTTTGGGACCAAACCACTTAAAAATAGAATACCCCAGAGAACATTTTAATCCTTGTAATTGAGGTATTTATCATCTGGAAATATAGCTGTTTCTATGTTGCCAGGTACCTGGGGCTATTTGAGCAAGACCTCAATGCTGGGGTGATTGCTATGAATGTTAAGCCAGTCACCTGGGTGAATAGCAAAATAAGATTTTAAACAATAGTCTTGGCAGGTCCTATGCAAGGGAGAAATTTGGCTTAACCCAAAATAATAGATTTTTAATGGTGGAAACTATGGGTAGCATATTAGCAGCAGGTGAAAAATTTTGTGTGGGAGGCTTCTGCCTTCCAAGCATTCCTGTTTGTCTGCCTGTGATCCAGACCTTCAGAATTTGTTATCACGTCCAGGTAGTTCAGTGCGGGTGGGAATATCTCAAGTAATGTTTAATATTTACTGGTGAATAATTTATGGTTTTCTCAAACTTCCTTTGCTCCTTTGTTTATTCATTCATATAATCAGCAAATGTTTATTTGGGTATCAAAGATTCAAATATGAGATTATTACTTTTAAAGAGTTTATACTGTATCAGAGAGAAAGACATTTTAGTGGGAAACAGTGTACAATCAGTAAGCGCTATTGTTGAGTTATGTAAAAGGCCCCGTGGAACACAGAGACAAGAACAAGTTCTGCTTGAGGATCATGGAACGTTCTGTGGAGGAGACTGAGTTTAAACTCGCAGCTGGACACCTTCACTA
Source organism: Homo sapiens (assembly GCF_000001405.40). Classification (NCBI taxonomy): domain Eukaryota; kingdom Metazoa; phylum Chordata; class Mammalia; order Primates; family Hominidae; genus Homo; species Homo sapiens. The sequence continues at coordinate 130,854,300 of NC_000011.10, forward strand.
AGAGGTGAGGGGACAGGGGTGGCATGGGAGGAGGACATTTCAGGCAGGGGTAGGGTGACCTACCATCCTGGTTTGCTTGGGCCTGAGGGAGTTGCTGGGGATCCAAGACTTTCACCGCTAAAACCAAACAGTTCCCAAACAAACTCATGGTCAATCACCTTAGAGAGGGGGAAATGTATGCTAAGGATGAGAATGGTTTGGCCCTTCCCATTTCTACAATAATGATCTGTTCTACGTAGTCAATGTCTCTTTTCTCTTTAGATACTTTTTTCTTGCCTAGCAAAAGTTTTACTTATTATGGGTTATTTATAGTAAGAGCTTTAAGATCCACTTTCTATAACACGTCACACCTCATTTGCTCTCCTAAACCAATGCAATGCTTCAATGAGTCCTCAAGCAGAAATGAAGAACTGAGATCTGTTCTTACCTCTTTCTTTTAGCTACCCTTCTCTCTTTCCTGTGCGTCTTTCTTCTTTCTGCTGACTTCCTTCTCCTTCCCAGTCTCTGTCTCTTTCTTCGGCACCAAGTACCATCTCTGTTTCTGAGGAAGCAGCAGAGGAGCCTATGTGATCCAGAGAACTTGTTCTTGGCTTCTGGAAGCAGAGATGCAGGAATGGACCAATAAGGCATTAAACAAATTCATTTAGAATCTCAAGAAAGAAATATCTAACAGTATAATCATAATAACAAAATTTTGATTTCTTCAGAAGCACTCCAATAGCTTCACCCGCATTAGCTAATCTTGTGCAGTGAGGAGGTGCAATTCCCTCTAGTCTGGCGGATTCTGTTTGGTTACAGTATTTATAGTGGCTCCTTTTCAGAATCTGATTCTCTGCCCCTTTCTCCTAATGAATCTCCATGTTGGTAGAAATACATTTATACCTTCCCTCCTTTAAAAATGGAATATGACACTAGAGACAGACGGCATCCTAGTCCCAGTCTTCCAAGTTCACATATGTAACACATCTCTGTATTGTATATTCATATGCATTTTCCCATCTCTATACCTAACAACCACATGAACAAGTAGAACTTTGGGTGGACAAGGAATGGAACCACACAGAAGTTTAAAAGCTTAAAACAGAAGTGGGGGTCAGCTGAACAGCCTGCAGGTCCTTGAAAGTGGGGCTGTGAGTGCTGGGTCCATCAAGATGCCCTCAGCACAGTGCCCACCCAAAGGAAGAGCTCACTCTATATGTGTTGACTTCCTGATTGATGTGTATGCAGTGAGAAGGAATCAAACCAAAGACCAATAATTCTTTTTTTACATACTTTTTTAAAAAAATAATGCTTTAAGTTCTAGGGTACATGTGTACAATGTGCAGGTTTGTTACATATGTATACATGTGCCATACTGGTTTGCTGCACCCATTAACTCGTCATTTACATTAGGTGTTTCTCCTAATGCTATCCCTCCCCCAGCCCCTGACAGGCCCCAGTGTGTGATGTTCCCTGCCCTGTGCCCAAGTATTCTCATTGTTCAGTTCCCACCTATGAGTGAGAACATGTGGTGTTTGGTTTTCTGTCCTTGTGATAGTTTGCTCAGAATGATGGTTTCCAGCTTCATCCATGTCCCTACAAAGGACATAAACTCATCCTTTTTCGTGGCTGCATAGTATTCCATGGTGTATATGTGCCACATTTTCTTAATCCAGTCTATCATTAATGGACATTTGGGTTGGTTCCAAGTCTTTGCTATTGTGAATAGTGCCGCAATAAACATACATGTGCATATGTCTTTATACTAGCATGATTTATAATCCTTTGGATATATACCCAGTAATGGGATTGCTGGGTCAAATGGTATTTCTAGTTCTAGATCCTTGAGGAATCACCACACTGTCTTCCACAATGGTTGAACCAGTTTACACTCCCACCAATAGTGTAAAAATGTTCCTATTTCTCCACATCCTCTCCAGCACCTGTTGTTTCCTGACTTTTTAATGATCGCCATTCTGAGTGGTGTGAGATGGTATCATTGTGGTTTTGATTTGCATTTCTCTGATGACCAGTGATGATGAGCATTTTTTTCATGTCTCTGTTGGATGCATAAATGTCTTCTTTTGAGAAGTATCTGTTCATATCTTTTGCCCACTTTTTGATGGGGCTGTTTGGTTTTTTTCTTGTAAATTTGTTTATGTTCTTTGTAGATTCTGGATATTAGCCCTTTGTCAGATGGGCAGATTGCAGAAATTTTCTCTCATTCTGTAGGTTGGCTGTTCACTCTGATGGTAGTTTCTTTTGCTGTGCAGAAGCTCTTTAGTTTAGTTAGAACCCATTTGTCTATTTTGGCTTTTGTTGCCGTTGCTTTTGGTGTTTTAGTCATGAAGTCCTTGCCCATGCCTATGTCCTAAATGGTATTGCCTAGGTTTTCTTCTAGGGTTTTTATGGTTTTAGGTCTTACATTTAAGTCTTTAATCCATCTTGAATTAATTTTGTATAAGGTGTAAGGAAAGGATCCAGTTTCAGCTTTTTACATATGGCTAGCCAGTTTTCCCAGCACCATTTATTAAATAGGGAATCCTTTCCCCATTTCTTGTTTTTGTTAGGTTTGTCAAAGATCAGATGGTTGTAGATGTGTGGTGTTATTTCTTAGGCCTCTGTTCTGTTCCATTGGTCTACATCTCTGTTTTGGTACCAGTACCATGCTGTTTTGGTTACTGTAGCCTTGTAGTATAGTTTGAAGTCAGGTAGCACGATGCCTCCAGGTTTGTTATTTTTGCTTTGGATTGTCTTGACAATGTGGGCTCTTTTTTGGTTCCATATGAACTTTAAAGTAGTTTTTTCCAATTCTGTGAATTAACTCATTGTTAGCTTGATGGGGTAATCTATAAACTACCTTGGGCAGTATGGCCATTTTCACGATGTTGATTCTTCCTATCCATGAGCATGGAATGTTCTTCCACTTGTGTCCTCTTTTATTTCATTGAGCAGTGGTTTGTAGTTCTCCTTGAAGAGGTCCTTCACATCCCTTGTAAGTTGGATTCCTAGGTATTTTATTCTCTTCGTAGCAATTGCGAATGGGAGTTCACTCATGATTTGGCGCTCTGTCTGTTATTGGTGTATAAGAATGCTTGTGATTTTTGCACATTTATTTTGTATCCTGAGACTTTGCTGAAGTTGCTTATCAGCTTAAGGGGATTTTGGGCTGAGACGATGGGGTTTTCTAAATATAAATTCATGTCATCTGCAAACAGGGACAATTTGACTTCCTCTTTTCCTAATTGAATATGCTTTATTTCTTTCTCTTGCCTGATTGCCCTGGCCAGAACTTCCAACACTATGTTGAATAGGAGTGGTGAGAGATGGCATCCCTGTCTTGTGCCAGTTTTCAAAGGGAATGCTTCCAGTTTTTGCCCATTCAATATGATATTGGTTGTGGGTTTGTCATAAAGGGCTCTTATTATTTTGAGATACGTTCCATGAATACCTAGTTTATTGAGAGTTTTTAGCATGAAGGGCTGTTGAATTGTGTTGAAGGCCTTTTCTGCATCTATTGAGATAATCACGTAGTTTTTGTCTACCAAAGACCAAGGATTATAACTCTCCAACAAGCAAAAATACAAACAGGGAGAATGTTGTCTGTGGCACTTCCTCCCTTACACCACCAGCTTTTATAATTATTTCCCATGATCCCAGTGTCCTATTGACTCTTTTTAACCCCCAACAGCCCAAAGCTGTGGTGCCCAAACAAAGCTTCTGTTTTCCAGGAAACAGCTGATATTCCCATTGTCGTATTCCTTATTTTTATTCTGTAAGAGTGGGAGAGACAGTACAAGTAGGTAAAAGTTACAGGTTCTAGCATCAGACCTGTCCTCCACTCCTGGCTCTTGCTTACTACCTGTGTGACTTGGGCAAATCATTTTTTATCTCAGAGCCCTCTCCTTTATGTGTAGAACAATGACAGCACAGATTACCTCAAAAGATTGCTGTGCAGTTCAGCTGGGATAAGACTGGAGACATGGGGGTCTTCAGGGACTAAGGCTGAGTAAGCAGCCCCGTAACCACTTTTTTGAAGGTTACTGGTTGGTTGAGCCAAAAGGAAAAGAGAGCTCTGAAGGATGTCTCAGCACTTTTAAGTGGGTAGTAGGTTTGCTCATGTCTGATTGGCTAGAACTGGTCACATGGTATCATTCAACCAGGAAGAGTCTGGGAAGTACAATTCTCACAGGTGCCAGGAAGGCACAAAGCTGGGAATATTTGGCAATTAGTACAGCATGCAAAGTACCTAGCACTATGACTGGCATGTTTTTTGTGCCACTCCACGCCAGCTGTATTTTAGTTCAGATCTGTTATCTATAAAATGCTGTACATGTATTGTTTAATATATTCAAAAGTGTTAATTGCTGGTAATTGATATATTACGTCCTCCCTTTCAGAAGTTCCTACAGCTTAATAGAAATTCCTGGAGTGACTCAATTCTCAGCCAGTAACTCAGTTAGTGGAAAGATTTGGGAAGTTTTCTGAAGGAGGTAGAATTTGAACTGGATTTGGATGTTTCGGTAGCATCTCAGTAACAAGCTATCAGGTAGGACTTCCGACGCATGGCACAGAGTGCCTGAGTTCTTTGCTTTGCGCATGCAATTTATTTATTTATGATTTGCCCATTTGTTTATTCATTTAGTTATTCATCAAATGTTTACCAAATGTTTATATGTGCCAGGCACTGGAGATATTAGCGTGGAAGAAGGCAAAGATGTTTCTCTTTGTGAAGCGTGCATTTTAGTAGGAGAAGACACTCAACCAAAAAAAAGAGAGTAAATATAGTAATAGTATAGTAGGTGGTGATACGGTTATCAATGAATGAAGCAGAGTAGGGGGTAGACATGCAAGGGTTACAGAGAGTGGGAGGCTGTTGCTATTTTGTTGGGGGTGGTCAGAAAAGCAATAGAAGGGGCAGGCTCTGTGCAAATCTAAGAGAGGAGCATTCACAGAGTGACCAGCAAGGGCCATTGCTCTGAGGGGAGAGTCTTCTGGGCCTATATGGGGAAAGAGTGAAATGGTGGAAAGAACAGACACTAGGAGCTGGGTTATTATCAGGGTTTTAATCTTGGCTCCAGTGTTGATTTGCTGCTGTACTTGGAGCTGGCAATAAATAAAGTGGTTGCAAGGATCCATTGGGAGCTAGGCTGCCTGGGTTTGAATCCCAGCTCTGACCTTTACTAACTGGATAAGTGGGGTGAATTACTTCTCTCTCTAAGCTTCAACTCCTCCATCTGTACATGGGGGTGGGGATCCTCATACTTCATGCAATCTTTGGGAGAATTAAGTGAGTTAATCCACATAGAGCACGGAAACCAGGCCTTGACATGTTGTGAGCCCTCTCTGATGTTAGCTATTGCTATTAGAGCAAGTTATTTCCCCTTTTTGGGATTTCATACTGTTGTCCAGCGATTGTGAGCTTTGGAGGCATGGTCTCTTTAGCTTCTCTCAGGAAGTCTGAGGCTAATTTATATGTTATTCTGTGGACCATTTGCTTGTCATTTGTTCTCTCCTCAGGAATTGTGTTTTTTCACAGTCCTCTTGCTGGATTTAGCTTCTTTCCAGTGAAGTTGAGCATGGGATCTTTCATTTGTCTTTGCTAGACTTCCATTTCTCTCTGCCTCACTGGTGGGCTTTATTCCTTCCTGGAACTTTGCACACTACTTCAGTACATTTTGTTGATTAAAAACATTCTCTCTACAAACTTCAATACACTGGCAAAGGATCTCTGTAGCAGAAACTTTAAAACATGAAACTGCAGGCTGCTTTCTGTTTGGAGACCAAGCATCTGGGAAAGATGCCATTTGAACTAAGGGTGCACCAAGTCATAGACGCTCTTGGATGGCCCTTCCTGCAACATAGTCACAAATGCCAACAAGCATCTTACTGCTGTAGCCATGTGCTCTGGTTGCTAATCATATAAAGTAGTGCATTTGAGAACCCATCCTATCCTTGGTCTGAACATTTGTCTCCATCCAAAATTGACAGATTAAAATCCTCAACACCAAGGTGATGATACCAGGAGGCGGAGCCTTCGGAAGGTGACTTGGTCTTGAGGGTAGAGGCCACACGCATGGGATGAGTGCCCTCATAAGAGGGGCCTAAGGGAGCTTGTTTGTCCCTTCTGACATGTGAAGTTACAGTGAGAAGATAGGGTCTATGAGGAAACAGGCCATCATTTGACACTGAACCTTGCTCTCTGGACTGTGAGAAATGTGTTTTGTTTTGTTTTTTTTTGTCAGCTACCTGATATGGTATTCTGTTATGGCAGCTCAGACACAGTCCTGCGTCTTTAGAACTCAGGGTACACTGTGTGCTCCGTCAATGCTCATGACCATTTGGTACTCACGCTGGAGTGTGGGGGTTCGGAATGAACACTGAGACCAGCCATGCAGCATCTGTCCTCTCTTTCTGTGAAAAGTGCCATTCTGTATGTGACATGGACCCCTAGCTTTAGACCCTACAGATCACAGTGCAGTGTCTTTCACAGAGTGAGTGTGCTGGGTACTAGTGATACTAAGCTGGGTGATAAACCCTGCTAGAGAGGTGCGGCCTGCATGGAGTGGAGAGTGTGTGACAAGGTGAAGCAGCCCAGACAGAAGTGCCAGCACCACCATCCACTAATTGGGTGACCTCAGCCATGCACCCGAGCTCTGGGCCTCATCTTTCCCATCTATAACATGTGGGCATGTACCTTTGTTTTGGCAAATAAATGACAATATATGCTTTTAGAAACTGGTGGCTACTAATCTTATGTAAAGAATGTGTGTATTTATCTTGCCAAATAAATATATGGTTGCTCTTCAATTTCGGATCATGACAAGTCGATATCATAACGAATTTGTTGTATTTCTTGGTCAGGGAAGAAGGAGAGAGAAAAAAACCAGTGCCTAGTGATGACGCCAAGTCAAGGTAAAACCTGGCCAAGGGTGGACCTGGCTCCAGTGTCTCTTCCAGTTCTCCTTCACCCTGGGGATTACTCATTTATCTCTATGAATGCAGATTTATGGACCTATAAATGAATATATGTGTTAGGGCCACCATTGCTTGTTGTAACTCCACAAAGCATGTTGACCACAAAACCTATTGAGGGCCATAGGGGCCCAGCCTGCAACGCAGCCCATCTGCTCCCTGCATCCTCATCCACCGCCTTCCTTACCACCGCCCACCCACATGCCAGCACTGCCGCGCGGCCTCTGCTCCGGCCGTCCCTTGGCCTACACTGCCTTTTCCTAATCTTTCCCAAGTTGACTCCTAACACCTTTTAAGACTGCCTAGAATCACCGGGAAGGCTTCGCTGGCCCACCCCTGCCCGCCCAGCTTCCCCAGGCTGGGGGAAGTCCTTCTTCTGGGGGCTTCCGTGTGCACCTCTGTGCCTCCACGTCCCTCCTCACACGGTGACTTTCCGATGATGCGCCTGCCTCCCCTGTCCATGGATAATGAATTCACCCAGGACAGGGCTTTGTCTTTTTCATTCCTGAATCCGAAGCTTACCTGCTACTAGAGAATTTGTGAATTTCCGTTGAACACGTGGAAGACCTAGGAAGCTGTGGGGGAGAAAGAATGAATGACTTTCTTCAAGGCCTCCTGGCAAAGCAGCAGTGCAGCGGGAACCGGAGCCGGAGGACGCTGGCTCCTCACCTAGAGCCCTCCCTTGGGTCAGGGTGGCTCTTCTCTCCCATACCTAGCGTCCGGCGCTTGGCTTTGTTTCCCGGAGTGGGTGGCACTGTTTGGCCGCCACAGGCACAGCATCGCCCCTAGGCATCGCCCTCCGCACCCGGGGATGCGGCGTCCCCAGCCTTGCCTTTCTTGATGGCTAAAGCAACAGCGCCACCTTCCGGCCTCAAGGCCACCGGGCGTGGCCGGACTTGGGAGACCTTGGGCGCCCTCTTGTGGAATTTCAGAAGTTGGGCTGCGAAAATGACTCCGTTATCCCCAGCTGACCATGAGGCCCGCTGGGCACTTCCACCTCTGAGGTTTGAGTGGTTCAGTGGGCCTGTGCAGGGAAACCCAGCCTAGAAAGCAAGCCTTTATAGCTACCTTGGTGTAGAAGATCAGAGGCATATGAGGTGAGAAACAGGTGACATGTCACGCTCCCTGGAGACAAAATGTCCAGAAAGCTCCTCTAGGCAGCAAATAAAGAAGTTATGAAAAGGAACCGTGGAGAAAAAAGAGGTGAAGGGAAAAGAAAGGGAATGTTATTCTGACCCACATGCCTCACCGCCAGGGCTGAAGTCACTACTAACAAGGCCATTTAGGAAGAGCAGGCTGGAGTTGACAGCCTTTCCCCAGGAGTCCTCTGGTTTCCAGGTCCCCCGGTTTGAAGCACTCAGGAACACACTCAGCCCCTGAATCTTCACTCAGTTCCGTGGTGTTACTGGCAATCGTTGGATATCCCTGGCTGGGGCTCAGCCTCAGCTCCGGTGTCAGCTACATAAGAATCTCAGCATCTTGGGAACGTGAGCTCAACTTGAAATACACTTCCCTGAAAGGATTACTTTGTTTTGGGACAAGGCTCATATCAATCTGTCCTGCCAAGAGATTACTGCTGTTAAACTGTTGGTTTTCACTGCTGTCAAACATAATCTTACAAGGAGAGAGAGGGGCAATCACCCTCAACACCCAGCTGCAAGAGAAGACTTTTGACTGGGCAGGACTTTTCCTGGCACTCTCTGGAGAATAAAAAAGGAATATGTAGAATGGCTGTTGTGTGATTAATGCTTACACCCACAGTGCGGCTGAGCCATTCCCAGGGGTGCACTGAGTGGGATCCCTCTACATGCAACGACCCTGCTGGCATTTCACAGGTGCCTGTGGAGAAGGCCCATTGAAGACCTGGGGCTGAAAGTGCAGCTCAACTTTGCACATATGCTTGGATTTCCTCTCTATTCCAAGGCAGACAGTCCTCAGGGTTTGGCCTAACACACAAAGGATGGGAAGAATAAAGAAACGATGTTCCAACAGTATTTCTGCAGATCTAAGCTACTGAAGGGATGCTGGACCAACCACGATAGATGCTTCCTTTTCCGCAGTGCCTCGAAAAACACTTAGGAGTGTGAAGGAGTGAAATTTTATGCTATTGGCCTTGTTCTCATTTACTTTTGATTATTATAAAATTATTCTAACGCAAAACCCATAAAAAATTGGTAACTCAGAATCTCGCCAGATGAACTGTTACATCGGACTACGCTCTAGGAAGAAGTATTAAAAATCAAAGATATTAACTTTCCAAGTGTTCATTTCCATCTGTTTTCCCTCTCTGGGACTCAGTTTCCTACTCTGTACAATTGGGACGGTGACCTACTTTCAAGGACCTTTATAGTTCAAACGCTCTTCGGTTCTGTGAAAAGAAGCCTTACATCATCCCATGGTGGGCTGCATGTCACATTATCACACAGAGTGGTCCTTGCTTTACAGAAAAATATTCATTTGCTCATTCATTCACCTATCCACTCATTCCACAAACAGTGAGCACCTACGATATTCCTCACACTGCTAAAGGCAGAGCTGTAGGGTGAGCTGTGAATAAAGCAAGGTCCTGGCCCTCATGGGGCTTGCATTCTTATGGGAACCACACACAGTGAAAGATTTAAACATATATAGTGTAACCTGAAGTGATGTAAGCCAGGCACAGAAAGACAAATACCACATGGTCTCACTTACATGTGAACTCTAAAGAGCTGAATTCATAGAAACACTGAATAAAATAGTGGCTAACAGGCTGAAGGGTTGGAGGATTGGGGAGATGTTGGTCAAAGGACACAAAATTTCAGTTAGGAGGAAGAAGTTCAAAGATCTATTGTATAACATGGTGATTACAGTTAACAACATATTGTATATTTGAAAATTGCTCAGAGTATATTTTAAGTGTTCTCACCACAAAAAATCATATGTGAGATAAGACATATTTTAAATAGCTTGATTTAGTCATTCCACAATGTAAACATATATCAAAATGTTATGCTGTACCCAATAAATCTATATAATTTTGTCAATTAAAACAAATATAGTGTAATGTAATATAGTATAATAATAGAATATAAATCAATAGTAAGTGCTATGAAGAAAAATCAGCAGGATAGGGATTATGGGATAAGGAATGTTATTTTTTAGACAGGGTGGTCAGGAAAGCCTGAGAAGGTGGCATTTGTGCAGAGACAGTGGAGTAGGGGAGTGAACCATGCCGGGTAGAGGAAAGAGCAAATGAGAAGGCCTCATATTCAGGCATGTGCTTGGTGTGTAAGGGCACTGGTAGACCAGGGGAACGAGGCTGTATTCCTGGATGTGGTCTTAGGTTTTGATTCTAAGATGGCTTTAGAGTTTAAGAGCATTCTCAAGAGTCAGTGTTGTGTGCAAGGCTCACTGCTAGGCCCTGGGAGTACCCAGAGATAAAACACTAGTCTAGTGCTAGAGGACACTCCTAAGGGACATGCACTCATCTACACAAGAGAAGGTACTGACGGTGGAAGGACGCATGTGCCAAGCATCCAATGCGTGGCGCAGACACTAGTTCTGAAGGAGCTCCAGAGATGGGGACTCGGGCACTGAGAGATGCCTGGGCGAGCAAGGGGAGTTTAATGTGGACCTGGAGGAAAGGACCAGGCAAACTGAGAGGCAGACTGTTCAGGCAAGGAAGGAGTGAGCAGAGGGAGTCGGCAGAAGTGGGCATGGCCTAATTGGCAATGGCTTGGTTGGAACAAAAGCATCTCACAGCAGAGCCATGGGAAATAAGAGGTGTGAGGAAGCTAACCCAGGAGGAAGGAAGTGGCCTGATTCCTCGAGGCTGGATAAGAAGGCGCTCCTCTGAATTCAAATGAGACTCCATGATCAACATGGTCAGGACTTTGATGCTATTATTCTAGGAAAGGGTTAATGGTTTCCCCTTGAGGCGTCATTCTCTAAGTGCTGAAAGGGCTGTATACCTCACAGGCCACTAGGCCCCACCTGCCCCAGAGGCCCAGTTAAGGAAGGATGGCTGCTTAGCGCTGCCTCCAGGGTGGAGTCTTCTCATGTGAATGGCTGCTCTCCGCACTCTGCCTAAGTCCTCCAGCTGCTCAAGGGCCTTGTGACCAGAAATCACCTTTCTGAAAGCCAACCTGACTGGCCCAGGAGTGAGCCCATCTCCATCCCAGCCTGTGTCTTCCTGTCCCTACTCCTGAGTATGAAGATGTGCAAGACCCTAACTTACTGGAGCACGGCTTGGAGCCTCGGGCATCAGACCCTGTGTCCACTGAGAACTGTGGATGTGGAATATGCCCAGGACTGCATTCTCAGCCGTGCCTGCCAGCCGCACACTGGTGCCCGCCTGCTGCACCATCTATGAGATAATGTCTCTCCATTTTGGGATTGTGACATAGTTACATCAGACCTCAATGGCCAGTGCTTGCATTCCAGGCCTGAGATCAGTGTGACAGCAGAGAAACCTGAGCCGCGAGGGACATTCTCAGGCTCAAAAATCACAAACCCGACAGGGAAAGGAATTTGATCAGAAAACGACACCATTTAGGTTATTTTAATGCCTGGATCTGAGCTGCCCTTTAAGCAGAGCCCCTTCTGTCGCAGGACTTTATTACCAAGTGACCCCGGCAGATGACTTTCATTTGTTTTTAACTGTAGAACAAGGTCATGTTTGCTTCGGGCATACTACATGGAGTGGACTTTGGGTGACAGGGTAAGCCCTGGCTCAGGCCTGTTTTTCCATGCACGCAGCATGCAGGCTGACAGGGCAGAGGCCAGGTTCTGAGGCTTTGTAGCAGATGGCCTCCTGTGTGTGCAGGGAGAACTTCTTCCACTCTTGCACATACGACTCCTAAACCTTCTACCTTTACGGAGGCATATACTGTTGAATGCCACCTAGGCATTCTTTGATCATCTGAAACTTGCGACTAAGAGGTGGGAAGAGACAACTGTCAACCACTTAGAAGTGACCATTAGTTCCCCGAACAGTCAATCAATTTAGGAATCAAGAAACATTTGTGTATCTATTTACTAAGCATTTTTTATGTGCAGGAGAGAGTACAAACCAACATGCAACATAGTCTTCATTCTTAAAAAGTACATAGTAAAGGTATGAAAAACATTTGTATTCAGAGAATTCTAAGACAAATGGTCAAATATTCAAATGGCCTGGCACTAGTGGTAATTCCAGCAGACAAACAGCATGAGAAAAGGCCGGGAGACAGTAATAAATACGTGCCCATTGCAATGAGTTACCCAATCAAGCCCTTTTACCTCCTTAAGATGGCAGATTAGAAGACCCTCTTCCCCAGGAGAGTGGGAGCGTCTGCCTTCGGGCTGTCAGTAATATTAAATAAGAGTGCTTGATTTATAAATTTTAAAAACATAAGAAGGTTTGACATTCTGCCCAGAGCAACGGAGGGCAGCGTGGTTTACCAGCGAAAGGACTGAACAGAGTGCCAGGAGCCCTTAGCTCTAGACTTACTGAACAGAAAGACCTTGGGTGAACTTTTCATTGAAACACTGAAGGCTTTAGGTTCATACCTGTATACGAAGGATAGTCCTGGTGTGGGGCAGCAGAAATGCCACTGAGCTAGAAGCTGGAAGACCCAGGTCCTGGCTTTGCTAATAATAATGACATTTATTATGCACTGTGTGCTAGAGGTTGTTCTTAAACGTATGAGCTCATTTAGCTCCCGTGCCCACCCAATCTCTGTGAGGAAAGCTCTATTCTTATGAGCATTTAATGGACAAGGAAACTAAGCCACAGAGGTGTGAAATCCCTTTCCTAAGGCCAGACAGCTAACTACTGACAGAGCTGGAATTCTGCCTGGTTGGTTGTCGGCATAACCCATGTTCTTAATCCCCGTGCTGCTGCCTCCCAATAAACTGGGTGAGTGATCCTGGGCAAAAGACAAGCTCTCTGCATTTCAGTTTCCTCTTCAGTAAAATGAGGACATGAGTATTAATAACTTGCCAAATTACCTTAAACAGTGATTGTCAAGATCTAAATAAGACATTGGATATGAAATACTTTGTGATATAGAAAGTCCTATACATGTGTGAAGTCTTTTCCTCAGAGGAATGATGAAAAGATGAAATGAGATGGCTGATGGGAAACGCTCTGGGACATGAACATAAAAGTGCAACCTAGATGATCAGTGCCACCACCATCCTGGGAAAAGCTAACTGGCGGTGAGCAGGCTCTTGGACTCCATGAAAATTTAAGGATGTGGCTTCTTTTTCATATCTGTATGGTATCTTTACTCAACTTGATTTTGGCAGGTTTAAAGAGGAAAAATGAAGGATAGGAAGTTTTTATCCTAGAAGCCTAGAGAAAGTGAAGTATATTCCTTTCAAGAAGAGAATCCCCGGGTTTCTTTCCTTTCTTCCTTCCTTAAATTGAGACCCAAATGAGGTGGAAGAAAATCTCTACTGAGATGAGATGCATTTTTAGGACAAACATGGAGACCATCATCGTTGTTCCGGAATCTGGCCATGTGCTAAGAGACAGCTTCTGCTCCCTATCTGATATTACCAAGCTGGACAGCATCTTTTCTATGATCCAGTTCAACTTCTTTGTATGGAAGAAACTGAGGTCCAGGGAAGTGAAGAGATCGGTCCAAGATCACTGGAACCCATGACTACAAGGCAGCTCTTGCGATGCCAGGCAAATGTGTGTTCCTCCCCATTTCACTGCCTTTCCTTTGGGTGGCTTTGGGGGGAGTGAAATTTTTATGAGAACCCACATCATAATCCTGTGACAATGCCAAAGAACGAAATGATTTTTTAAAAAATCTCTTCTCTGAAATGGCTTCTCTGCCTTCATATTGCCTGAAGAGTTAAACAGACACAATCTGGATGAGTCTCAAAGATAGTAAGAATCACCTGTTTTCTCGTGGTAAGAAGGTGCTTCCAGAAGGCTGATTTTTCACTTCTCATGCCTTCCCTTTTCACACACTGGGGGCAGACACTCTCTCCTACTGACAGGAAGAGAATTAGCCTCCTTTGGTGTTACTGCTCCTTCCCACTTTAGCTCAGCATTATACACACAAAACGGGTGGGTGCGGAGCCCTTTCACCAGGAACTGGGTTGCAAAGTCTGTTAGTGGAAAAAAAAGCAACACCCTTCTTGAGCCCGTAATTTATCAGATTTTTTTTCCTGTGGCGATACAGAGGCCCCTTCACCCCAGCAACCAAGAGGCTACAGCTGGATATGTGCTTATGAGATGGGTCATAGTTAAGAGCTGCCAGCCTGGGGTCTGTTTCTGGGACATTTCCACCTTAGATTAGACAGGCATTGGAGTCAGGAGCTAGCTGGTTACTGTAGCAACAGGCCTTCAAAGCTTCACATTTCAAATGGAAGCTGCTACGCTATGAAACTTGCTCAGGACACCCTTTTTCTCAGTTTGAGGTTAAGTACTCCTCCGCCCCCAACCCCCCGACCACACCCCATGCCCAGTATACTCTTAGAGCAGAGAGGAGGTCTGGAGGAGACAAGGGCCTAAGGCTTCACCCTTGCTCACTTGGAACTAGGCATTCTTGCTGTCATCTGGTTTAGTCAAGGGGGTTGTGAGGCGTGTGGGCTCCATTGTGAGTGTAGGAAAGATGGAAAGAAAATTGCCAGATGGGGATGAGGATTCCAAGCCTATCAGGAGGAAAGAAATATGTTACTCACTGCCACAAGAAGGTTGCCAACGTCATTTATGGATCAGCAACTGCTTGTAGGCAAAGTCTGTTACATGCCTGTCACTGGGCTATGCACCCGAGGATGGAGGCACTAGCTGAGGCTTACGAGTTAGAATAGATAAGGTGAAAATTGTCTGCCATGGTATATGCTGGAAAAACTCTGGGAAACAAGACAATCTGCCTCCAAGGGATTAACAGCCCAGTAGGGAAGACAGACCAACAGGCAAACCCTAAGGGCGGGTTAGAAAGAAGCTTGACTAGTGTAGGTGCTTCAAAATGAAGACAGCTGTGTATGTCTCAGTCAAGCTGTGCGGGTCCAGCCAATTTAAGATAAACTCTGTTTAATTACATTTTACGTTTTAAAAGGAAACTTCTTCATTACATTGCCTATCAGTGCAGTTAAGTAAAAAGGCACATGGAACTATATGAACAGATGCCATTAACAGGTTTTTGCTTTTACATGTCATCTTTCCCATTTGAGCATTAATTACTCAGTATTTTCTCATCAGTTTTCAGAAAGTTTTTCGAGGATAAACTTGTAGAGGGATTTGGGGAGAGGAAGCTTTATTGGGATCTCTAGGGGCTATTTTATATTTTCCAATGTCTGAACTGTTTTTACAACAGATTTTCCACAGAAAGCTCAACAAGTCACTAAACTTTCTGAGTCTCAGAATCTGGGACTTAAAATCAGGGGAAGAGATGTGAATGGCTAAACTTTCTAGTTGTGTGAATAGTTTGCAACATATAAAGAATTGGTCAAAATGTTTATTCTTAGGGTCGGTAGTTATTCTGACTTCACAGAAGGGAATATCTGGCCAACTTTCCTCACAGAATATCAATTGTGGAATCAAGTATAGGGAATATCATGCATTTAAGGTTCACATATAGCCTTAAGTTGATGTCCATATTGATTTAACTATCAAAAAGGCAATTAGATTAGTGGGGTAGCCAAGTCACCCACAAAGACTGATGAGCTGATATAGAAAAAAAAAAAGGAATAAAGAAAAAGCAATTGTGAAGTTCCATAAGAATAGGAGAAATGACAGATATGAAGAGTTTTTTGAAGAAAGTTTCTTCTCTGTTGCTATTTAGTTTTAACAAAGGAGTTTCAGAAATGAACATAGAGAAGCAATTGGGTGAGGCTCCCTGCTAGATGAAGAAAACTTCTATCACTTGGGAAAAATCCACAGAAATCCTAATCCTATTAAAAACTTAGGTCATTCCACCCCAACAGTACTCTTTCTTCCATGTCCAAAACCATACGTGGAGCTTGCTTGTGTTTCAATACAAGCTCTTGCCTCAGTCCTCTCCAGATTGCTAAAAGGAGGTGTATAACCCTGCTCTTCAGCAGAAAGACCGCAGGTATTCCCGCCGCATCCACATATGCACACTTACTTCCCTTGGATGTGTGGCAACGAGCTCTGCTGCTGCAAGTGTTATATGCCATCCGCAAACCCACATGGGTGCAGGGTGCACACCTGAACAGGGGGTAGCCTCTGATGAAACATTTGAGTAATGGATTTCTTTACCTCACCTAAACAGATCCACTGAAAAGGAAACTTTTTGGGTTCCCACCCACACGCAAGATGTACAAAGCTGTCTGGGGCAGGTCTGGTACAGACTAGCCAGTGCCCTCCACTGGAATAAGTGGTTAATCTCAAAGAGGTTTACGGTGGTTTCTCCACATATCTTCACCCTTCAAGCCTTTCCATAAAAGTCACCAGCACCCTGTCTCTGGGATGTGGAAGGTTGGGAGAAAGGAATCAACAAAATGAAAGTAACAGTATCAAGATCCAGACTTATTCACAAATTTTGCCTCTTAAATAAACATAATCTTTAATTAAGTAAACTTTAATATTTATTTTGTACCTATCATGCACTAGGTATATACATATAGTTGGGGGGGGGGCATAAGGACATAATAGGACTAAAAAAGATAAAAGATATGTTCGTTGCCCTTGAAGAATTATAGTCTCTTACTGAGGACTTCATATACATGCACATTGACTAGAGAGGCAGTGTAAATAACTGAAAAGAAAGTGGGAAGAGTTTTGGCTGGTGCAATCAGACAGTGCTTCTTGAAAATGGAACTTGAATTGGTCCTTATGGGCAGAGGTAGCCTACTTGCCCAGCTGGAGAAGAGAAGGTAATCTACCACGTGGAAGGAAGGACATGAACAAAAAAATGAAAGCAGGAAGGAACATGCTGGTTTGGGCAGAATAAAAAATCCCTAGATTTTTTTGGAAGTTTCTCGTCTAACCTCCTGCCTAAACCATCTATAATACATTCTGTCCCCAAGAAAATGCTCTACTGCCAACTAAGCCCATGTGATTCTCCTAGAGATGCATGAGTCCTTAATGAAAGCTGCCCTCACTATTCTTGAAAAAGCCACTTGCATTTATAGATAACAGAGGGTAAACTTTAAACACAACTGCATAAAGTGGCAAGGAACTGGCCTGCCGTCAGCTCACTGAATTTGGATTCCATGCAAGCAGGATGTGTAAAGGAGGTAAACTCCAAAAGTGTTTTTCCTCCCTTAATAAGGTCTATTCTTCTTGGTGTCAAGGTATGAAAAGCAGTATTTCATATCAACGTTCATGGTTAATCTTTTTGATAGTTACAGGAGCAGGATGATTCTTCACCCAGGGGCACGGGCAAAAGGGCTGATTACCTATGCTCACAAGTCACCAAATCCAGTTCAACACAGTATAAACAAGCCATTGCTTCTGTCGACATTTGAGTCCTTTTGTCTGCAATCAGGGAGTTCTGTGTTTATCTAGCTACATCTTTACTCTCATGGGTTAATCAAAGTTTCTGGAAGTAATCACAGCCAACTCTTCTTTGCTTATAACAGGGTGCAGCAGTAACATGGAACATAAGGTGGGAAAAAAGACAAAAGTGTGGATGATTCATACATTATTCACAAACTTACCTTCTTAATCACTACAACACTTTAATATTAAAATTAGCTTACACTTCCTAAACAAACACTGACTGGTGACAAAGGGATTGGGTTAAAAGGAGCAGATAATGTCACTTCAAGAAATGTTTTCTAAGTTTGGATCTTGATTACTGTTACCTTCGTTTTGTTTTTTTAATTCTCCCCTCCTAAGCTTCCACATCCCAGAGATGGTGTGCTGGGGGCTTTCACGGAAGCGCTTGCAGGTAAGGCTTGGAGAAGTGAAGACAGGTGGAAAAACCAGGTTTCATCAAGCTGTTGAAGAGACATCAAAGCCAGGAGTAATTCTCTGCATCCTGTCACATGCTTGTTTCTGCCTCCAAGAAAGCAGAGTTAAAATGGACTTTCAGACCAGAGACAGGTGAGGATGACAGGGAGGCAGTGCAAAGGCTCCGCAAGTCTGAAAATAGCATAGTGTGTCTGCCAAGGTCTGCGGGTGCCCAAATTTCCCCCACCGCTTCACGGTGGCCTTGGCTTTACACACTGTTGCTACCAAGTCACAGAAGGAAAAAGATTCTGATGATTTTCACTTGTTTCACGCTTGACAATTAAAACATTCTTCTGGATTTCCTTTTTTTTTTTCTCTCTTAAACCAGTCAATGTTGTCTTTGTGTAATAAGAAATATCAGGTAAGTCTTAGGATGTGGACATCATGTTTGGGGCAATGTCTCCCTCACCGCCTCTCTCATCCTTTATACCATAAAAGAGTGATGGCAATATGCTAGCTGAAATTCACCCTTCGATGGTTTCATTTTCTTGTCTACAAAGGCAGGGTGAGCGACTGCTGCCCTGTGATTTCTGGCACTCCCAGTGGAAAGGAAGCAGAGGGGCCAAGTTATGGCAGAGTGCGCCCAGTTAGGCCTTCGACTACAAAAGTATCATGGTTTCCCTTCCTCCCCAGTTACCATTCTTTCCCTGGTTCCCATCCCCTTCCACATCCAGCAGTGTGGGCTAACCTTCCTTTCCTCATCCTGGGAAAACACATCTTGCTCCAGTGCAAAGTTAGATTGGACAAACAGCCGGTGTGGAGGGGGCTGTGGGAGGTACGGCTTGCCAGGACAACTTGGCTGAATGGGTTCCTGAAACAAGGCATCTCCAAATGCTCCCTGCCCCTCAAACAGCAGAGGAGTGTGATAATCATGCTGTCAACATTTTTAGAGCATAGCACTTACACTTTTACTAGGCCTCACTCCGGACCTATTGAATCAAAATTTGCATTTTAACCCGATCCCACGTGAATCACACACACATTAAAATTTGGTAAGCAGTATTCTAACTCACTAGACCGCAGGTCCACAAACTGACTCATGGGACAAACCCGGCCAGCTGCCTATTTTTGTAAATCAAGTTTTATTGGAACACAGCCACACTTGTTTATGAATTGTCTACAACTGTTTTTACGCTACAGTGGAAAAGCTGAGTAGTTACAACAGAGACCATACTGCTGCAAAACCTAGTATTTAGTCTCCAGACCTTTACAGAGAAAGTTTGCTGGCTCCTATACTAGACTGTAGACTCCTTAAAAGTGAGAACCTGATCTTGTTCTGCTTTGTAAGGTAGAAGGGCAGTTTAGTATAGTGGATATACTACGTAGACTCAGAGGCAGATTGACATGGTTTGTATCTAGGCTCTGCCACTCCCTTGCAAATGACTGTGGGTAAGACATAACCACTCTGTGCCTCATGTTCCCCACCTAGAAAATGGGGATATATTAGATTGGTGCAAAAGTAATTGCATTAAAATGGCAAAACTCCAATTACTTTTGCACCAACCCACTACATCAGAACCTACCTTTAAGGGTTGATTTGTGGGTTAAATAAGTGAAGATATGTAAAGACTTTAAGTAATGCTCTCAGAAGATGTTAACTATTAGCTGGTACCAGGCATTTTGGGAGTAGATAGGGGATCTGCTGAATGTTGGCAGAATGACCCATCCCTAGAGCAGACATTGTCTATCAATACCCATTCTCTGCTTCTTCCTTGCTAACATCAATTATTTCTGTAGATATCTGACCTTCATGGAAGATGACCTCATCTCTGGGGGAAAATACTATTGAAAGCCAATCACAATGCCATTCTCAGTGTCAGTGGATTGGCATGAGGTGGGTGGTTCTAGCCAATGAGTCATAAGAGGTTTTTTGTTTTTTTTTTTTTTATTTGGGGTCTCACTCTGTCACTTAAGGCTAGAATGCAGTGGTGTGATCGTAGCTCACTGCAGCCTCAAATTCCTGGGCTCAAGTGATCCTCCTGCCTCAGCCTCCCTAGTAGGTGGAACCACAGGCGAGAGCCACCATGCCCCGCTCATTTTTTATATTTTTTGTAGAGACAGGGTCTTGCTATGTTCCAGGCTGGTCTTAAACTCCTGGACTCAAACAATCCCCCAACCTTGGCCTCCCAAAGTGTTGAGATTATAGGTGTGAGCCGCTGTGCCCGGCCTAGAAGAGGATTCTTGAAGGACTTCTGGGAAATGGTTCCTTCATTCCTTAGAAGAAAACACAGAAGAGATGCTCCTGTTCTTTTATGAATGTTATCTCTGGGTGTGATGCCTGAAACTGCAGCAGCAGGAAGGCAGGCAGTCTGAGAGCACAGCTGACCTAATTAGAATGGCAAGGAAGAAAGATGGAAAGAATTCAGGCCCCTTAAGAGGTCTCAGAGTTGCTGAATCACCAAACTCCTGGGCTTACCTACTCACGTACTAATGTTATGAAATAAAATAAATTTTCCTCATAATTTAATTCTTGTCCAGAGCATCCTGATTCATATAGCCAGGGACCATAGTTACACATATTTTTACTTCCTCCAGGACCTAACAACTGGTGTTGTGTGCTATGAGCAAAGGAAGAGCAGTAGCTGGAAATGAATAACCTGGGTAGGACACAGGAAGACTCAAAAATGTTCTAGGCTATGCAAATCAAAACCATGAGATAGTAATATCACCTAATACCTTTTAAGATGCCATTATGAAAAAACAAAACATTACAAGTGTTGGAGAGGATGTGGAGAAACTGGAACCCTTGTACATTGTTGGTGGGAATGTAAAATGGTCTAGTCACTATGGAAAACAGTATGAAGGTCTTCAAAGAATTAAAAACAGAACAATATATGATCCAGCAATCCTACTTCTGGGTATTTATCTAAAATAATTAAAAGCAGGGCCTCGAAGAAACAGTCACACTCCCATGTTCACTGCAGCATTGTTTTCAACAATCAAGGCGCGGAGCCAACCTAAATGTCCCTCAATGAATGAACAAAGAAAATGTGGCATAGCCATACAATGGAATGTTTTCAGCCTTAAAAAGAAAATTCTGTCACATGCTGTAACGTGGATGAACCTGGAGGACATTATGCTAAGTGAAATAAGCCAGTCAAAGGACAAACACTGCATGATTCCACTTATATGAGGCGTTCAAAGTAGTCAAACTCACAGAAGCAGAAAGTAGAACAGTGATTGCCAGAGGCTGGTGGGAGGGGAAACGAGGAGTGGCTGTTCAATGGGTATAAACTTTTGGTTATGCAAGATGAAAAACTTGTAGCAGTCTGCTACAAAGCACTGTGCTGCTTCTAGTTAATAATGTACCGTCTCAAAATAAATAAATAATGTACTGTACACTTAAGAGGGTAGATCTCACATTATGTGTTTCTTTACAACAATAAGAAAATCACCTTGTAAACTGGAAATTTCCAAAATGGAAATTGGAGTAGCTTGTATTGATTTTAAAATTTATACATGCTCTCACTCATAGGTGGGAATTGAACAATGAGAACACTTGGACACAGGAAGGTGAACATCACACACTGGGGCCTGTTGTGAGGTCGGGGGAGGGGGAAGGGATAGCATCAGGAGATATACCTAATGTAAATGACGAGTTAACGGGTGCAGCACACCAACACGGCACATGTATACATATGCAACAAACCTGCATGTTGTGCACATGTTCCCTAGAACTTAATGTATAATAATAATAAAAATAAAATTTATACATGCTCCTAGGCTCAGATTTAGGAATTTATTTTCCATTTAGGTTTTATTAAGTCTAATCCAACAATGCAAAAATGAAACTGTGAGTTATATGTGATGAAAAAGTATAGCTTTCTTGAATTCAAATAAGCAATGGCAAAGATCACATTTAGAATTTGACAGAAAGAACACAGCATCCCTGCCTCGTCTTTTTTATAGATAGTAAGAAAAGGGAAAGTAGTCTTATTTCAAATATCAAAATTCTGACTTAAATGAATAAAATTTAGTCACGAGTAAATACAAAAAACAAGCAAACAATAAAACCTTCCTGGATCAGCACAGGCCCAATTCTTCCCTGCCTTTTATCACCCTGTCAGCTGGGAGTATCTTTTCTACCTGTGGCTCTCTACCAATTGTTACTCTCTTGTTGTCTGAACCTGCTAGCCAAACTTGGCAGGTCGTTTTCAAAGCCAGATGAGTTCTGATTGTTCCCTTGGCAATATCCATTATTTCCCTCCTGGGTAGAAGGAGGATCTGAGGACAGCTTATCTTTTTGGGGTACGTGGAGTAGAGGTGGGGACTCTTATATAATACGAAATAAAAATAAGTTCTTTGGGCTGGAAGTGTCAAAAGATTCCTTAGAATTTATAGCCACAGGGATTTCATGGTGTGTCTGATGTACTGATTTTGTGCCACATTTGAGCCAGAACTGGCAGCAGATTCAAAGCAACACAGGTGGCTAAGTACACATGAGGGGAAGGTAGGTATGGGGAGAGAAAAGTGGCATAAAACAAGGCTGTCCCCCTATGCTCATCGAGAATAGGATCTTAGCCCTCACTGAAGGAGCTTAATGATCAGCTCTAATACATTGGCTGGACTCCTGCAGGTACTCACGGAAAGTAGAGATGCTGAGCTACCTTTTCTTGTCAAAGTCTAGGGCTGGAGATGCTTCAAGAACTTTGGAGCCATAAAGTCACTGTAATGGTCAACTTTTAAGGCTAGAAGAGGCCATGAGACATCTCATTCATCTCCTTGCCTTTGGGCAAGAATTGCACACCTAAGCCTCCCGAATACATCAGACACAATTTAGGGTTAAAAGCCTCCAGAGGGGCAAAAAAGTAAAAAGATTTTACAACTTTCTTCCACAAACCACTTTAATTGTGTGCTCATCACCGACTTCAGAATCTAAGAGAACTTTGACACTTGTTTTTGACACCCCATTGCCTTCTCATCAGTCTAACTCCAAGACCTTCCTCCGAGTGGTAGGCTCTGGTAATTCAGCGAAAGCAAGGCGCTAACAGGCGAGTGTGAAGCCAAAGGGCTCCCAGTGACATCCTTGACATCTTTTTGCCAGCTATTCACATGCATTTAATATACAGCACTTCCCTGTGACTGTCTGCAGCCTTTTCTACCAGCAATTCCTCCTGATTTATCCTTCTCCAGCAATTCCCAGTTGCCTTGCCTTTCTAATAGATGTTGCAGTCTGACAAAACACCTTTGCCTTCATGCTGGTGTTGTTAAAGGACTGATTATAACCGTAAGGAATGGGAAATAAGAAGCTATTCCTTGTAAGTTTGCTAATCTTATCTGTTCAGAATAATAAAAGTTCTCTGTCAAAGACTTAGGAAGGGAGATTTCATCCCCCAGCCTTGCTAGTCCTACTCTTTGTGCATTCTTAAGACAGGAGGCAAGTGCTTTCCATTCTCCTTGGAAAAACTGAGGCTGAATATGCAGCTTGTCATGCAGTTTTGCTGAAGACAGAGAGAGGGTCAAAAATTCAAAAACTCAATTGCTCTAGGGCAGGGGGTTGGGAGCAAAGCCAATAAATAAAATGGGTGGTATAAATGCCTTTCAGGAAAGGGTGTGAAGGGTGGGGTGGATTTACCAGAAGCTTTGGCAGTCAGCTTTGAAGTCTTCTGGAAAGGAAAGTGTAGCCTCCCAGGCAAGCAGCCTCATGACATCTTCCATAAGGCTGATGTGTTGGGAAACAGCAACACATGAGCAAGAAGTTCCTTGAAAAATTTTCTTCCCTCCTTCTTCTTCTGGAACTGTTGGGAAACTAGATTAGACCCAGGAGTCTGGTTTTTGAGAATGGCCCTGAATGAATTTTTAGTTTCCGGGTAGGAACAGAGAGCTGAGAAGGTTGTTTTCTCCTCCAAGGAAATCTGGCCACAGTTTTTTTCCTGTTCTATCTAGAGCTTGTGTGCTGGTGGATTAAGCACATGTGTGCACAGGGCCAGGATTCTGGCAAACAATCTCAGGGAGGATGGCAAAAGGAGAAGCAAAAGGGGTTCATTCCTCTACCTCACAGCTTCTTTTCCCAAAGGAAACAGGATCTACTCACCAGCAACAATCCCAACATCACAAAAGGAACAGGGAAATAAACGTGCATACAACTGGGACACACAGACCCCTGTCACCTGCTACAAATGGAGCAGAAGTGGGAGAGAAGTGAGCCACCGAGAACCTAGGCCTTCTTAGCTGTAGCCTACTTGAAGAGGGCACGGGCTTCCTGACTGGTCTCTGGTGGCCGAGTAACTCTACTTCCCTGACCTGGGAAGAAGGCGTGAATAACCAGCTAAGAGGAGACACCCATCCTCTTAGAGTTGCCTGGGGTATCTGAGGCAGAGGTGGTAGCAGCAGACTCCTCAACAGAGGCACTGAGATCCAAGAATTCCAGGATGATGTCCCCAAGGCAGTAAATCAAATGCCTGAAACGAATGGACAAAAAACTTAGGGTCTGGCTCAATCAGGAAACACAAGATCCTGTTTATGACATTTATTTTCTCCTCCCCCATCACCGACACCCTAAACTTCAATAGCTTGATGAAACCTCTGCCATGAAATTAATGTTTTTTGAACTAATAAAGCCTCTGACCCTAATAAAGGCAAGAACAGTTTTTATATAAGACTAGTTTTATATAAGACTAAGTTTTATAAAATTCCATTTCTCTTTACATAGTTACATTAGCACTGCTCTGAAGAACTGTGATAACAAATCCTTGAGATGTCAGGTTACTAGACACTTTCAGAGCTCCTGACTACTGCTGTTTCTCATAATTAATTACCTTAAATTTATAGGCTGCCTTACAGGCAGTGAGGTAAAGCCAGGATCCTTGAGGAAGTTAACGAACACAGTCTACTTTGGGGTAGGGTTTGAGTGCAAGGTTACTCAATACTTCCAGAAGAGTAACAGCCCAAGGGATGGAATCTACCTCTTCTGGATTATTCTAGGACTCTTCACCCAGCATTTCTGGTCCCTTTATGAAATTCCAACCTTACTATCTTGTCTACCTGATATGAAGCAAAGACAACTCCTGGTCTTGACATGAATCACAGCTTTGCTATAAGGCCAGGGCTCATGGTGAACATCTTTACATGGTCTGTGATACACAGGCCAGGGTACGCTCTTGGAGCATTCACAGGGGCTGGCAGATGTTGGAAAGAGCACTGAGCAAGTATGCTGAACAAGCCTGGAGGATAAGAGGTCATTTTCAGCAGCTCATGTGGGGGCCTGCATAGAGTTCTTCCAAACACAAATGGTGGGTGGTCCAAGAGTGATTTCCTAGCACATGACGACCTGCTCAGAAGCCTGATGGTGTGGATTTTACTTAGAGTGTGTGGATCTGGACGTCAAACTCTGTAGTCAGTGCCCAGAGCAAGTAAAGACTACAATCCTATTCTTTGGAATGTGGGCTTTTCACTCAGAAACCTTGGATACCTCTGAGACCAGAGGTGGCTGTAACTATGCTGATGTTGGAATAACATTTTCCCACTTACCTGTTGATGAGGGGTTGTTGTAGTGACTCCAGGACTAGACCCCAGCTCAGCCGGCATTTGTTCACCCCAAGAATTTCTACTACGAGATCTGAGGAGGAAAAAACAGATGGAATTTGCGTGTTATCACTGAAGTTTTAGATTCTAAGGACAGTCTCTCCCCAGGATCTCTGCCGTTTTTACATAGGTTAGGTATTTCAGGCCTACCTCTAAACCATACAGCCAAACTAAAATCCTCACAAAACAGGAAAAACCTGAGAAAAATATGTTTCTCAAGTTAGGTGTCTACATAAGAATGGGCTTCAAAAATTATTTTGTAACCTGTCACTCAAATGCAGGTACTCCTTCCAATGTAACAGTTTAGGTTGGCAAACAGAGTTATAATAATAAGGGTAAATAAAACTGATTGTCCAGAGCTAAGTTCACAATTGTTTCCTGGTTATCACAGCCATAGGCAACAAACTGCCTTCCTGGCCCTCTAAAAACACAATGCAAGGAAAAACAACCTTCTCAGATTTTGTTTTAACTTATTGCTAAAGGCCATGTACCATACTCAATGGCTGCAATTTATTAAGTTGGAGCTTCTGTGAGACATGTGATTTTCTTCCTTGGTCCCAAAATGCTATGAATTGGTAGAGAATCTGAAGTCTTCATCTCCTGGAAATGGCTCTGAGACCTGTCCCTGCAGGCAGAGCTTCCCCAGACCTGCCAGCAGGTAGAGAGAAAGTTATTAACCTAAATATCTGCAGGATTGTCACCTAGTATTTAGGGTGCAGCTGTAGAGTTCCTTTCCATTCCCTTGGCATCAGCTGAGCAATGGATAAAAGAATTGCAGCCCTGTTCATTTTCCTATTAGCCTGGGAAATGATGGGTCAACAGAGTTTTGAATCTAGCCACATTCAGGGCCCTTTTACAAACAGGAAAAGGTGCAGGGGTAATGGTGGCAAAGCAGAATGGAAGAGAAATGTGATTGGTATAATTGATCTCATTGGTCCAATTACCTGGGAGGACTCCCATCAGGCTCTGCAAAGCCTGTTTCTCAGCAGCCAGTTTCTGCTCTTGGGTCCTTACGGGCCGTGGAAACTTAGGCAAAACTCCACCAGGCCAGATGGACTCCTGAAGAAGCAGGAGGTACTGCACCCAGCGCTGTGGACTTGTTAAATTAGCTACCTGCACCTCTAGCCACCTGTGGTAGAAGAGAGACGAAAGCTTAGATAAAGCTGAAGGAAAGGAAATAACAAGGCAGCGGACTGACTGTTTATGTTCCCCTGCAGATTCGTGTGTCAAAATCCTAACCCTCAAGGTGATGGCAGTAGGAGGTGGGGCCTTTGGGGAGGTGATTAGGTCATGGGGGCAAAGGTAAATGCCCTTATAAAAGAAACCTGAGAGAGACTTCTCACCCCTTTTGCCATATGAGGACACAGGGAGAAGACAGCTGTCTATGAACAAGGAAAAGGGCCCTTGCCAGACACCAGTTCTGCTGGTACCTTGATCTTGAACCTCCCGGCCTTTAGAAACTGTGAGAAATAAATTTCTGTTGTTTATAAGCCATTCAGTTTATGGTATTTTGTTATAGCAGCCCAAACAGACTAAGATACCATGAATTACATGAGCAATCAGAACAGGACAAAGTCAGCACTGACTCTTGCAAAGGAAACCAAGACAATTCAACAGCCTGGGATAACAGAATTTGAAGATGAGTAACAATAAGAATCGTGTTATTTATGGAGCGTTCACTATGTGCCATCTACCGTACAAGAAGTTTTACAGAACAGAACACTAAAAGGGCCTCCGTCTCTGGGTGAGCCTGCACCTATACCTTCCCAACTCTCCTCTGGCAAGGCTGCACCTATTATCTTTCTAGCTCTCCTCTGATGGGAAGCATTATAACCTTCTTGGTAACATGTACACACAGACTTCACAGCTACGGACTTAGCGATCTTTAAACAAATTCCTCTCTCTACCTCCCCAGCCATATCTTCTGGTCCTCATGACTGTCTTAGGGATTTCCTACATCTGCCCTTTGTTCATAATAGTTCTCTCACTAACAAGGGCCTCTTCTCGCCTTGCCTGAAGAGCAAGTCTCAAGTCTGCCCTTCTGGCAAGACCTGTTTCAACCCTACTTCCTCCATGAAATCCTTGACCATCACAGCTGGAAGTGCTCTCCTTCTCCATAGACCTCCTTTGGCAGGTAGCTCTGGAACAATTACTTTGGAATATGCATCTTTTTAAAGGTGTTTATAGCTTTACTTCTTCAACTAAATTATAAGCTGTAAGAGTTCTGTGTCTTGTACTTTAAAAAAACTCCCCGCCGTGCTTGGTGCTCAAGAAATGGTTGACTGACTGATAACTGTTCTTATTTCAATGAAAAATTTTCCCTTTGTCTTACTTTCGAAAATGAGTCAAAATTTTCCCTTTATCTTACTTTCAAAAATGAGTCAAAAATGAGGGGGAAGATATACCAAATCTGGAGTTCAGCTGGAAACCTAGAAAGTGGTTCAACGTTATTCTTGATCTGTTCCTGAATTTTTTTCAAAGTGATATGGTCAGAAGTGAGGTTCAAGGCTGTTGAGGCCTCCCCTTCACCCACCTCATTTAAGACTGACATAGCTGTGTGGGTCATGGATGGACAATCAACCACTTCTATTCATGCACGGAAGACTCGTTTGATCCTGCACCACATGGCAGCTCATGCCATCACTCCTCGCTCCTATACTCGAGTCACTTGTCACTCATCCAAGAGCAGAGGGGGCTGCCAAGGCAAACTTTATTTAACCTCCACTCTGCCAGACAGTCTGCATTCCACTCAAGCTGGGCATTCCAGCCATGAGGGCTGCAATCCCCCAAGCCCAAGGCTCACAACTGATTCTAAGAATAGGAAGTGTGTAAGGTAATAGCAGGGCAAGAATGGCAGCCATCGATGGAGATCAAGAGTGGCACAAAGCTGTTCTTGTCCAAAATAGCCAACACGATCGTATTTGTTATTATTAGGGCCGCATCTCCTTTTTATAGGGCTTTTCATTCAGTGAGCCTAAGATGCCTGATGAAAGGAATCCAGTAGCAAGAATTCCTGTTCCTGTTTATGTAAGAGGGTCACTAGAGGGAGGTGGCTGCAATGACCTGATCGGCTTCTCTGCAGGGGATTAAGTGACCCAAGGTCTCCTTTCTTCACCTCAAGCCATGTATACTTCTGCAATTTTTGCTGAGGAGAATGATGTGTCTTAGGGTCTCATCTAACTGTCTTGAGGGAGAGGGGCAAAGTCTTGCAAACTAAAATCTTTAGCCACATGATCCTTCCTAGACTGAACATGTTGTAACATGCCAGCAAGCCTAGGTACCTCAGCCATCTTCTGGCATGTCTTACAAAGCAAGAGTTACATTCTTTTGAATGAACATTAATTTATCTGATGGGGACAGGACCTCACATGGCATTAGGACAAGGATATCCTCCTTGTTCTCTTGCATGGTGATTAAGTGTCTCATGTACATGTGTGGGATGCAAAATGAATTTTATCATGTGGCAAAATATAAATTTATAAACTTATACAAATCTATAAGACAGCTTTTCAGACTCTAAATGGAAATGTTGGGGAGAGACATAAAAGTAGGAAAAGTAAAAATAAGCACCTGATGATGAAGATGAGTCTATGAGTCAAATAAATTTGTGGAAGCTAATAAGCACAACTCACCGAAGAAAAGGAGTGCCATCTCTGAGTAAGTATCAGCTGCTGATGAGACAAAGACACTGTCAAGCACTGTACATACAAGGCACAGAACTGGCCAACAGGAGGCCCTGGAAAAAGTCAGGCCCAGGAATATAAGAAACAGGACTTTCACAAACTGGCAGAAATAAACTCCCTCCAGGCCTACAAAGAGGGACAGAGTTTGGAAAGTGACTTCTAGTCCCTGGGAGCTGCAGAGTGCCAGCTTTCCTTATTCTTCTCCACACTCTGAAGATAAAAGACACAAACCACACACTTGCACCACGCATGGTTTAAACATTTGCTCTCTTTCCTGGATTCTCCTCTTGCCTACGTTCTGCCCACCCTTCCCCCTGTCAGCAAACAGAGGCTTTATCCTAGGCCTTTGGGCTCAGCATGGTCTTATTTCCTAGTCCCAGGCAGCCTGTGTAGAAGACCAAGTGCAACAAATCTTTCTTGTTCACAGAACTTCTGAGCGATGGTGTCTCGTTAAAAATGATGAGCACGCCAATCTGGAAGGAAAACATGATAAAGAGCAAACCAAAAAAATCACCACCACAACTGCCACTGCCCTCACACAATACAATCTCTAAATTTTTTAAGCTGTAATTCAATTTCTAAGACACACTTTATTATCACTCACTATGCCTTTCTTAAGTTGTAAATGGCTGTATATTCAGGGATTTGGTATACTTTGCCTTGCCCAACACCTGGATGGAACCAACTGCCACTGGTTCTTGAGAGCAATGAAGAAGGTGGAGATTTCTTCATCCAAATATCTTTCCTCTCCCTTTCATCCCTACCTTCCCTTCCTTTGGTTCTATCATCCTTCTCTAAGGTAAAGCTCCATACACACCACCATTTCATTATCTAACTTTATTAACTCCCCTAATCATGCTTGATTTATTTGGAAACTGGCTAGAGCACGGAAGACAAAGACATTAGGTGTAGGATTGTTAAAAGGGGCAGAAGTCTCAACTCCTCTCCATTAACTCTCTTCATCTCGCGATTTCTACACTGCATCTTTCTATTCTTATCATAGGAGTGGGAAGGTTAAAAAGAGATTCGTAACCCTATAGAGCTCTCTTTAAGTGGAAGGGATGGAATTTATGTGTCTGAACTCTAATACATCATAGGAGGTTTTCCAGCATCAGTTTCTGGACTTTGCTGGTACCATTTACTATTAGGCTGACAGAAATCTAAAGCTTCAAGGTCAACACACACACACGTTTCTCTTACTATTCATTAGAAATTACTTATAATAGGCCGGGCATAGTGGCTCACACCTGTAATCCCAGCACTTTGGAAGGCTGAGGCGGGCAGATCACCTGAGGTCAAGAGTTTAGACCAGCCTGGCCAACATGGTGAAGCCTCGTCTCTACTAAAAATACAAAAAAAATTAGCTGGGCACGGTGGCGCACGCCTGTAGTCTCCAGCTACTCGGGGAGGCTGAGGCAGGAGACTCGCTTGAACCCAGGAGGCAGAGGCTGCAGTGAGCCAAGATCACGCCACTGTACTCCAGCCTGGGTGACAGAGGGAGACTCCATCTCAAAAAAAAAAAAAAAAAAAAAATTACTTATAATAAATCATTTACTAAATACAAATGCTCTTGTTCATGTAATACAAGATGCATGAAGTAAATATGCTAAAATAAATATGGTAGAGAATAGCCTCAGATAGCACTGGTTTTATTTTCCACTACTATTCCAGGTCTGATATTTGATTTAGAGATATCTCTTTCTATTATCCTGCCTTCATCCCAAAGAAGAGAAGAAAAAAGAACCCAAACCAGGTCTCTTGTGTCAAGCCATCTCTGAATGATTCAGAGCCTTAATAGGGGGCCTAGAAATAGCCAGTAAAATGGCCAAAAAACCCCACTCCACAACCACATTTTGACCCCAAGACATTCAAGAGCTTCCCTTATGCCAGACAGGGGAGAAGAAAGGATGTGGAGATCAGGGCTTGTCAGTAGCTGGGACTGCACATCCACTCCATGTTCAAGGGAACCTGGTCTGAAATAGCCGCAGATAGGGGAATGAAGCAATGACTAAAAAGGAGACAGTTTAATACTAGGGCTTAAGATGGCACTTCAAGGTTAGTAGAAGGTCATTTCCCATCAAAACAGCAGAATCAAATCTCATGAGTAAGGAGAAGGCTTTAGAGACCATGTCTAATCCAATTAGCCAAATCCCCTTCATTTCTTTTCTAAGACAGCAGCTATGGCTGAGTGAGAAAGGGTCTTGAATCAGTATGGCTTAATGAAGAGGAGAAAGGGAAGAAGATACTAAAATCATAAAACAGAAAATATTCATAAGATCCACAACAATATTCTAAACAAAAATGCCTGGTGCAGTCTAAATATAAGGAAAATAACAGGTCCATTCCTTCCAGCCTATTTATCTATTGGCTGTACCTCTATAGACAATCCAAGGGCAATTATGCTCCAACCTTAAGATACCAAATACAGTTCAAAGGAAAAGAGAAAGAAAAGGAAGATCAAGTTAAAGCTTCTATCATCCTAAGTACACCTTCAGTAAATTAGAAGTATTGACTTATTTTATTACCCTGAGAGCAGGGTTTTCAACGTTGGTACTACTGATATTTTGGACTGCGAAATCTTTGTCATAGGGGCTTTCCTGTGCATTATAAAACATTCCACAACATCCTTGCCCCTCCTCCCCTCAAACTAGATGCTAGTTTTGCCAACCAAACATGTCTCCAAACATTGCGGCATGTCCCCTGAGGACAAAATTGCTCCAGTTGAGAATTACTGCCTTAGACCCAGGGACTTTTGGATATAATTGTATCAGGCTACTTTCACAGTCATTTTAAACCTCATGGTTGTAGCGCAATGTTTTTCGACCTGTGGGCTGGACATCATTAGAGGTCATATCATCTGTTTTGTTGTTTGTGATAACATAAAAAGGCATCTCATGTTTGGAGACACTTGTTTCGTATGTATGTACATATATATGTATATATCAGATCTGCGTGCATGCATATGTGTGTATGCGCCTGTGCCTATGTGCATGCTCACAGTGGGCTGCAACGTACAATGCATTTTTTACTGTAGGTTGAAGTTTTAAAAAAAGTTTGAAAAACACTCATGCAGTGTCAAGAATTAGGAGTTCCGAGAGAAAGTAGGAGAAGCCCAAGCCACATTTTTAGCTTCCTGGAAATGCTCCCCATCTCCACCCACCCAAGCACCCTGTAAAATGTTTGCAGGGGCCTCAACCATGAACACTGTGTTCTGTACTGCCAGTCCTAGCACATAAGTATGAGTATTGGCTCATCCAATCAGTAGCAGCAATCTATAGGGTGGGAGAGAAAGGAGGTCTTGGAGGTGATGGTGTAGATTCAGGACATTATCCATTAAACAAAATGTTTTTGCCCATTTCACACCTGATAAAAGTTATACTTCTTTTCTCTCTGATGCCGTTCCCAGGCCTCTGTCTTCCTGCCATGGCCCCTTCTTGTGTTTATAGACAGTTTCCCCTGTCAGCTCTCAGCTCTAGGCTTCTGTCCTGTAACTATCCAGACCCAAGTTACTCAGCTGTGTCTGAGAAAGTTCAACACTGCTGCCCTCTGACTGTGTATCTAGGTCACCATCCTTTCCTGCCCAGTGCTGGGGAAGAATGAGGAGGAAATGAACCCCGAGGGCAAGAAACTACCACTTCTTTCTCCCAATACTACTGTGAAATCTAAAATGGCTCAGAGTTGGCACAATTTCTTCTCTGATTTTTGCTTTCATGTTTTAAATCATGGATCCACATCTTTGAATCATGTACTTCAAGGGAAGACTTGACATTCTCCTAAATACCACAATATAAGAATCTGAGTTCCATACATTTATATCTAGCCACAAACAGTTTTTGTTTTTGATTAGTAATGTACACATCACAGATATAAAATTAATATGTATTAAAAAATGGAAGGATTCTTAAGGAAGGAACTTCAAAAAATCATCTGTTCAACCTTAGTGGTTTTTCCAATCTCACCAACTCTACATATGAAAGCATTGGGCACCAAAAGGAAATATTTTACATCAAGTGGCTTATAAGAACATACAACTTGAGAGTTGGAAGGAAACTTAGAGGTTATTTTATCCAGTCTCCTCCCAAAGCAGAAACCTCCTCTGTAATATAACGGCATAGACAAGGGTTGGGTCCTGTGAATCCAGAAACTTGGGCTTTTATCTTAGTTCTGCTACCCAATTAGCAATGTGACCTCAGGCAAGTGGCTTAATTCCTTAAAAGCATAATCTAAATTCATTGAAGATGCTTCTTAAACCTTGCCAACCCAAATCGGCCTCCTTGTGTTAATGAATTCTAGTCATTGGTCCTAGTTCTACTCTCTGGAGTTACCAGATATTAGGTTAAATCTCTTCCAAAAGACAACATTTTGCATTTTTAAATTCAGCTATTATTTCTCCCCTATGTCTCTTCTACATCCCATACATCCGTGATTTTGCCAACCTCAAAGACACTCAATAAATGTCTGATGAAAGAAGGAGAGAAATGAACCACTCCTCAACCTGGCTCCATCCTCTGGGTGTGCTGCTTAGCTTTTCTTTTAAAATGATGTGCCCAGAACCAAACAGCTCTGAGATGTGACCTGACCAGCAAAGAACATAGGGGATTGAGCCTTCCTTTAGATTTAGATACTATACTTCTCATACAGCCGAAGATTGTGTTAGCTTTTTGGCACACACGTCAAAAGCACTGACTCATATTGAGTTTTCAGCCAGCTAAAATCCTAAGTCCACACAGGTACATTACAAAAAAAAAAAAAATCGTGTGCCCCTCTGTTAAGTATAGTCTTGCCCTTCTGTATTTGTGCAATTAAAAAAAAATCTAAATTATAGTTCATCTTGTTGGCTTTAGATTATCATTCTAAGTTTTCTAAATGTTTTTGAATCTTAATTTTCATCATCTAGAGTTTTAACTACTCCTCTAAGATTAGAATTACTTGCAAATTTTCTGATGAAAAAATTGATCAGGATAAGATGAAGAGCAGTGCTCTATTACTAGAAATTTCCCTCTAGGATGGCATCAGTTTATGATATTATTTAATACCCTTGGGCTAAAGACACTCGACTAGCCACAAATTACTTAAATGTACTATAATGCAGGCAACATATTCCATTCTGTCCATATGGATATTATGGCAAAAACTTGTTGGAATCCATACACAATGTAACTACAACTGCATGCTAATCAGGCAGGGCACACTCCTACTGAACCCATAATGGTTTCTAGGGTTCCCCATTGCCCTTCCCAAATGTTCACAAACATCTATTTCGTCATCTGCTTCAGAAATTTCCAGAAATAAATGTTGGGGTCAAGAACCTTTAACCATTTTTTAAAAAGGCAAGATATCTGTGCATCTCTAACCCATATGGACAAATGGCAATGTTTCTTAATGACCTTAGGTCTTTAATGTTAAATATAAATTTGTTAAGTTTCATGGGATATAATTCATCTAGGCCATGTACAGGTTTAAATGTACAAACTTTAAAATAGGTTACGTGCTCTATTATTATTTTCATTTCTATTTTGGTCGCCAATTCTACTTTAATCATGTCTGTTCAATTCTTCTTGCTAGGCCATTTTCCTTGACAAAGAAAATAGAAAACAGCCTAGCAAATAATAGACCCATTCATTCACTGCTGAATGAATGAATAAATGCTTTCACCATGTAATCAGTTGATACTACAGCATCTGTCCCAAACAATTACCTACATATATTTTTTCTTGTTAGTAACATGTGACACGTGTATGTGTTTTTCACCTAAGTCTTTTCCCTTAATATTTATCTACAACCTCAGCTCCTTCTGAGTTGAAGCTTACTGGACCCTGTTCTTACTAGTTCTATTACTACTATTTTTGCATTGTTCAGTATGTGTCCCCTCTTTCTGTTTTTAAAATATGTTCACCTAGAATCTGATCGCAGTTAACTACCCTGGTTTCATTTGATGCTGACTCTTTTTCTTCCTCATTGGAAATGGGTGTTTAATTTGTTCATTCATTTACTCAAAGCATTGGTTGAGCTTCTTGTAAATGCCCCCCGACCCCCCAGAAAAAGACTCTTAAGGTTTTGAAGGCAGAAATCTTATGTAATTCATTTTGACATCTCCTTTAGCATTTAATAGTGTCATTCACAAATAAACAATCAAATATTTACTGAATGAATCGATCCTGTTGCAAAACTTTGAGTGATACCTTCAGGCGTGAATTTTAAGTTAATCTGTTCTTACAGCATGTAAAACAGTTTTTATCTCATTCTGTTACGCTCCTGTGAATTCCAGTACTCTCATCTATCTCTGCTTTCCTTTCTGTGTCAGCTGTTTTTCTCAATATCCAGTTTTAACTTTATCTGAATTTTTTTGTCAATGTCTTACTCTTCACTGGGTTGATGGTCTGCTGACAAACACATTCTTTCTACTATTTTTGAGTTGTATTCTGTCTGTGGTCAGAAGTTCACCATGTGAATAATCATACGTCATGGCACAGAAAATTTAAAAACCTTGCCTTGGTACCAGCTACAAGGTTAGCTATTCATTCTCTGTTTTCATTTTTCTTCTAAAGAAACTTACAGATAGAAAAAAAGTTGAAAATATAATCTGGGCCTTAAGTTTTCTACTAAAAAGAATCTCAAAATTATTAGAGATACAGTACAGGCTTCTCTGGGTGCATCATTGATTTTTATATAAATCAGAGTAGATACTAATCTATTACTTTAGTAAGCAACAGGATTTTAACCACAACCCCAATATGCTGTTCAGAAAGATATTACCCCATCTTTTTAGTTATGCTTCTCAATCTGCAAGGTGGAAAACTGTGTGAGTCATTCTTGATTTGTCTTTTTCTCAACCCTAATCCAACACCACATAATCATTTAAATAGTCACTAAATATAGGTGATCCTACCTCCTCAATATCTCATGAATCTATTACCCCTTTACCATCTCTATAGCAATGATCTCAGCTGAATGCCTCATCACCTTTTCTATCAATGAAACTCCTCCCTAATTTGTCTTCCTGTTTCTAACTTTGGCCCCTTCAATTAATTAATCCTCCACAGCACTATTTAAATGATTTTTCTCAATTGCAAATTTGCTCATGTCATCATCTGTTTATGTTTTGTAAAATTGTTTCCTATCAAATGAGTGACAAATGTTTTGTTCTTGGAATGACTCACAGGAGTCTGAATGAGCAGACTCCCTTTAAACTCTTCACTGTTATCATCAGCCATTATTCTTGCATATCATATATTCCTAATCAATCATACTAACTTCTTTGAGTACCACAAATACACTATATTGTTTTACTGCTCTGCCTTGAATGTTCTCTCTCTCTCTCACTGTCCGCTGGCAACGCCCCACATTCTTTAAATCTCATCTCTGATGTCATCTACTATAAGCCTTCCCTGCACCTCTCATAATTGATAAATCCCTTCTCTGAATCACATATAGAGTTCTTTTCAAAGCACTGATTTTATACTACAACTCCTATTTATAAGTTTGCACCTCCAATTGGATATCACACTTCCTATGGTAGGGATTTGGGTCTTTTTTTTTTTTTTGTATTTTGATCACTTAACGAAGTGCCTACCACAGAGAAAGCAATCAATAAATATTGGTTACTAAGTGAATTCATGCTGTATATGGGACAAACACTGGTCTTAAAGCATGGCACACAGTTCAAAATAGGTTCTGCAGAAAGCATACATCCCAATACTTACAACAGCAAAAACATTGAGCTCTTAATTATTCATGCTTACAGAGGAAGACAATTATAGATTTTAAAAAATCATGGACAATATAAAAATCCTTTATATTTGGCATTCCATATATGTTTATATACACGTCTGACAGATTTACTTTCCTAATAATCTTTTGTTTAGGCTAATAATAAAATGAAACTGTGGGCTAATACACCAGCGATAGAGCTGATGTTGTAACGGGTATGCTAGGTAATAAGTCAGGTGGTCTAGAACTAAGAATAATCCATGAAATGGGCATTCACACCTGGCTATGCATTCCTCTGGAAGGGAAGAGAGCTGGAAGGCAAGGGAGTGGGTCAGCCATGCTCCTTATCTCACACTATAAATCCTGGAGGAGAGAGACAGCTGCCAGTAGCTTATGTTTGGTCAATTTTCCTGGGAAATAGGCCCAGAGGATAGAAGAGATTGAAAGTCAAACAAAAAGCAAAGGGGGGTTATGAGGACTATGAGTCACACTTGTATTTTGGGAAGTGCCTCTGACGGATGGAGCAGCATTGAATTGATTCCAACCCATTATTTGAAACTAGTAAGAAGAAAAGAAGAGAGGAAGGTAGCAGAATGGGGGAGGAAAGACCAAAAGCAAAGGTCAGGTTACCTTTCTAACAAATGTAGAAAGAGAAAAAGACACTTGGGGTCTGTGTATTTTTAGGATAAATAAGACTGATTGTAAAGGGAAAGCTCTAACAATTTCTATATTTGAGTATTGTGACATGTTTAAGATTTCATTCTGAAAGTTTTTTCTTTTTTTTTTTTTTGAGACAGTCTCATTCTGTCGCCCAGGCTGGAGTGCAGTGGTGCAATCTCGGCTCACTGAAACCTCCACCTCCTGGGTTCAAGTGATTCTCTTGCCTCAGCCTCCCGAGTACCTGGGACTAAGGGCATGCGCCACGATGCCCGGCAAATTTTTTTTGTATTTTCAGTAAAGACGGGGTTTCACCATGTTGATCAGGCTGGTCTGAAACTCCTGACCTCAAATGATCCACCCACCTTGGCCTCCCAAAGTGCTGGGATTACAGGCATGAGCCACTGCGCCCGGCCAATCTGAAAGTTTTCTATGCACAAATCTAGTGTGCCTCTGAAGTCTTTCAAGTCAACCTTTTTTTGGCCCCATACTATGTTGCTACCGACATACTATAATCCAGTTCTGAGAAAATCAGGACTGACAGACTTTAAAAATGACACTGAAAAGCGACAGACAGGTTTGAACCTGGCTTAACCACATAAAAGTTGAACAAACTCTCTGAGCTCTGGCTTCCTTCATTATAAAATGGGCAAATTCTTGCCTTGCCTTTTTCACAAAGTTATCATCAAGATGAAATAAGAAAAATAAAAAGTATTTCTAAAAGTGCTTGTGTGTTTGCACATGTAAAAGAGAAAAAGACTACTTCAGACCTTCTGTAAAAATTCAACCAGGTTCAGCGAACTAATGATGGCAGGATCTGGAGTAAGCTTTGCATTTCATGCCTCAGTTTTCTCACTTGTAAAGCTTACTCTTCCTGGCAGGCTCAGGGAAGTAAATACTGAAACCAGTAAAGCATTTGGTACTGAGCAGTTAAGAAAATTGGGACGAGGCCTCAGGGGGTTTTGGATAATATGAAAACTCTATTTCCGAATCCTTCCTAAAACCAGACCTCCATGTACCAACCAATAAAACTTTCACTGCAGAGACTATAGGATCCAAATGTCTCTGTCTCTTCTTTCCTTGTCCCCGTGTGAACAGCAAGCCTGGCTCATTCTCAGTCCCCAGGTAGTTATCCTGAGCCTGCCTTTCTCAGCAGCAAGGGCAAGGGCAGAGAGGTGGGGTGGGGAAGGGGGAAGGTAATTAAAATGGCCACCCATTCAGAAGAAAATTGAGTCCGTGGAGGGGAAAGGGCAGGGAGAGGGAGCAAAACCCTTAGTGCTGAAGCACCAGGAAGAAAGGCAAGACACAAAAGAGGGAAGAAGGCAGTAATTTAGTGGTTGTCTTGACGACCAGAGTCCCTATTGTTCATGGGGGCTTTACCTCACAGGGAGATCTCCCTGTTCTGCTCTGCACATAGAACTCCCACCACAGGAAAGGAGGATGGGAAGGGAAGGGTTGCAGGAGGCAGAAGTGATAAGTAATTATGTGCTCGCAGAAGGGGCTGACCTCCAAATTTCTGCAAATATTACGGATAACAGATTTAGAGTGTGCTCAGCCATGATTTGGAAGAAAATTATTAGGGATTTATTTAAATCAGCAGACATGGGAGGACTTCAAATTATGCTGTGAAAATGGCTACAGGAGGCTGGAAAAGACCAGCCTTGAGGAGAATAAAGAATACATATATGAGAAGCAGATGCCCAAGATAAACAAAGAGAAAAAACACTGAGAGGGGTGTAGAGGAGAAGGAAAAGTGACTATCATTAACACCATCACCTTGGTGTAGAAGAGCTACCCAAAAGTATTTCCAGTTCCCTGTCTACAGGCTGAAATGTAAAACCTTTCCAAGTAGAAGGCCATCTATCCCGTTATGAAGGACGTAGGGACACCGAAGTGGCAACTCCAGAATCTCCACAGAATAGGAACTTTGGGAGCACTGACTATGGGTAGAAAACACAGAGGAGTAATAAATAAAACTGGAAAAACAACAAAAAGGAAACCTGGGGGAGAGAGGAGGCAGGTGTTGAGGAACTTACCTTGATGCTGCATTTGCACACCAGCCTCCCTCCCAGGAAGGCTGAATCCTCTCCGAGAAATCTTTCGGGGCCAGCATTATATTAGAGCTAAAGTATATTTCCCACCAATTTACCCAACTCCCTCCCTGCTCCAGTACCAAATAGCTCTACTTCTCCAAAGGGCACTTGGAGAAGCCTGCAAGGACAGAGGTAAAGATCAAAAGTAAGCAATAACATATGGTTGCTTCTCCAAAACCAAGTTAATGGGGGAGAGCCAAACGGTCTCCATCCATGGCCGAAAGCAATAGGGAATGTCCTTGATTATGTAACAGGTTGATAAGATTCCTAACATCGGGGCTATTCAGCACTGACAATCTCCATCTTAGTGAATACATAATGTATAAGATTTTAGGATCACAGGAGACCCTGAATATAGGTCCAAGTAGTTTATACAGAATATTAACAAAATTCTTGCAATTCAGATGTCTAGCTGGTCTCATCACCACAGACTCTGTTCTGCTCACTCTGTTCTGAATGAATCAGCTCCAGCACTGAATTTTTAACGGGTGGGATCCACTCAAAGGGGCAACTTCTGGTCATCCACACCACTCAGAGAAGCAAGCATATGCTGAAGACGCATTAGAGCAGAAGGAAGAAGGGTGAAAGATCAAAGAAACAGGGCTTATCTAAAAGTCACTGGCACTAAGGAGTAGGCAGATAAGTGGCCTCTAAACCGTAGAGCAAGCCAGGGAATGGCTTCAATATACTGTATCAACATCACGGCAGGGGACCTATAACTGCAAAACAAACAGGTCTTCCTCAAAGGACAGTGAATGGTATTGTTTAACCTGCAGCGCCACCTGGTGCCCATAGAGAGAATTCCTGTGCCCACGCCATGCAGCAGCAGTTTGGTAGGCTTTTTGTCACCTATTTGAAACAATAAAAGCAACACACATTCAGAAAGAAGCTGGCTAAAAATATTCCAGGTTGCTTTTTATTTGAAAGTAGAATGCCCCTCCTCCTGTTTTAAAAATGTCTTAGTGTCTAGAATATTATTTAGCCTAAACCAGTCTAAATGACACCTATCTCACAAGATCTAGCTGTTATACCTTCCTCTATAAAGCCTCTCTAACATTTACCTCTAAATTATCTCTTATCCCCCCAAAGAACTTCATGCACTAGGCTATGATTTCTATTTCGACAGTAACAGACAAAGGAAGTTAAGTGGTTTGTTCTAAGTCACATAGCCTCAAAGCAAGATCTGATTTCAGATCTGACTTCAAAGTCCAAGTTCTTGCTTTCCATGTGGAAGGAAAGAGGTGGAGAAAGTACAACAGCAGGAGATGCTTCCAGAGAGGGCAGGCTCGGTGGGGCTTCATACTGGGAGGCCCAGGTTGTGGAGGGGCGCTGCACTCTTTGGAAAGGAGAGAGCCATTAGAATGGGAGATGGCCTGAAGGGCCCCCAAACCTCTTTGCTTAGGCCGTACCATGGCTCTGGGAATCAGAATTCCCCAATTAACTGAAGATCTGGGTATGCCCTGTGTGGAGGGAATGAAAGACTCAGTTTCCATTTTGCTTCTGGTCCCCCAGCACTGTTGAGGAAACCCTAAGATTCTTAATAGTGATAAGCAGAGGGACTGCCTCCAGTAGAATGACGTGTGATCTTCTGTGTTCATTTATTTGACACAAATTTACTAGGTGCCTTCTATGCATGGGGCTGGGTGTTGAAGATATAATGGTAAATAAGACGCAGTCCCTGCCCTCAGGATGCTGACATACATTCTAAAGCTGTCATCAAAATGTCAAAATCTTAGGTTCCTGTTTGCAGTCACAGATGGGCAAGAGATGCCAAGAACCTGACTTGGAAAAAAAGGCTCTGAGGTTTAAATACCTCATGATATTCTGTTTTTTGTTAACTTTTACAATGAGCAATTTTGTACCTCTATTTGAGTATATGAGACTTCAAGAGCACACACACACAGAAATGCAAATGCAATGCTCAGGCACACGGCTGTCAGCTGCCATCCACCTGCTACAATCTCAAAGATATATTCCAGTAGAGACTGTCACTATGTGACAGGAAAGCCATGATGTCTTCATCCTAAGATGGGTGTAGAATAAGTGATACCCAAGAAATATGACAGGCAGACCACTCATATGACAGGGGAAACTGCTAGGGCCCATCCTGGCCCAGTCTATAGAAGTCAAGAGCTTCCCTTTGGCATGGCCTAATGGAAGAGGCCTGGGACAAGCAGTACTCCTTCCCAGGGAGCCACAGTACAATCTGAGCAAAGCCATCAATGAGAAAAATTAATTTCAGCACCTCTAAAAACAGCCCAAGCCAATGACTGGAGAGCCAGAAAATAAGCGAGAATTCTGAAGACTGAGCTTGAGTTAATTTTGTATGTGGGGGTCTTGCAAAAGTATGCGTATTTCTAGAAAAGCTGTGCATAGGAAGAGATGGGGTATAAGACATAGCCAGGCATCAGAGCTGAACTGGAAGAAAAAGTTACACAGCAAAGGAAAAAACTGTAATCTATGCTTCCTGAGAAACTCTGAGTCTTAACGTTGATAATCTTTTCCTGATTGTGAATAGCATATAAATAGAGATAGCTAAGAGACAATCTCTGGCTCAGAAGTGCTTTAAAAATAAAATCAGAATATGCAGACAAAAATAATTTATATGCTACCATCAGATGCGTGTGTCCCTGAGACCAGCTGGATGGAAAGCAAGAGAGGCTAGATGGGAATACGGCAAGGGAACTTTCAGGTGAACCCAGTTCTAGTGGCCACTGCTTTGTGGGAAAGCTTGCATGGAGGGGAAGCATGGCAGAGCAGTGGGAAACACATGAGCTCTGAGGCCAGGATGACTTAAGTGGAATCTTAAGGTGTGGTTGTTACGACTTTTATGATTTTGGGAACGTTATTTTATCTGAATGTAATTTTCTTCACTTATGAAATGTAGAACTACATGTCTATCTCATAGAATTGAACATTAATATAAACAGTACATAGCTGCTTTCCTGGTATTAATATTGTAATAAGCGTCAGTTCCTTTCCCATTGCAATTACTCGTGCACTTTTGGTGGCAGACCTGGAGGTTCTCTTAAGAAATAACCAATGTCACAAAGAACTGTTATCCACCTGCTAGTTAGACATGCCCACCAAGAAAGAGGCCCTTGAAGTAGAGTTCCACAGAAAGCGCCTTGATTCTGGAGCGTTCTAAGAGAACAGTGGAAGCAAGAGGGTTCATGGTCAACCTTTCCCAACTGTCCTTAGGGGAGGTGGACGTTGCGCCTTGCAGCACAGCACTCTCCAGTGCTCCCAGACTCTGCCGCAGCTCTCCTGACCTTTCCTAGGAGATGGTTTAGAGAGAGACATCTTCTCTAAGAAAGTGATTCCAAGGTCTGGTGTAAGGTCTAGAGCTTGCCATCAAGTTTCTCCTGGGTGCCCTGCTTGTTGGACTCCTTAAACCTGCACACCCTTTCTTTTCTTCTTCCTCTCTGGATACTTCCTAACTTTACACACTTCACGCTCCCCTCTGCCAGAACCTTTCCCCCTGGCTTTCTGCCAAGCCATTCCATTCCCACATGCCCCCAACACTCACACACACACACTCTGTCTCTATCTTACACACACACACACAGACACACACACACACACTCCCTTTTTAACTGAGAAATCCTGACGCAGATGCCAGGAATGTGTCTGCTGCCCTTTTGACACAGGTCTGATGCCATCGTTGGGGCCATGGGGAGGGCAGCGCCGCGGACGTGGCATTCACGCATTCTGCTGCTGGCATGGTTCCTATTTTTATCGTGGCATTGCTCTGGGTGTCCAGGCAGGGCGCCGGTCCAGCTTCTCATTCCTTCACTTTCCATCAGGACTCCACACCAATCCTACCCCTTACCTTGGCTGGATCTTCCTGCCCCAAACCCCCTACCATCAATGCAGCACAGTGTATCTCTCCTCTTTCCCTCCAACCCAGTCTAACTCTGAGTACTTGCCCAGTTTGCTAAATCTGATTCTGATGTTTGCAGAGATATTTTCAAGTTTCTTCTGTTTTCGGGCATGAGCAGAGTTTGCACAAGCCGGATTTGCTCCTTGGCTCAGAGTGCTACCCGCTCTCCCCTTCCCCTCCCTTTGTCTCTCATTCCAAATAAGGAGTGCTTCTTGTTACATAATTGGATGTTCCCAGCACAGAAGCTGACACATGAGGTTAGGCGCACATGCATGCAAGACTTCCCTTTGACTTAACAATGCCTTTTTTGGGCATCTAACTTCTCTTCAGCTCCCCTCCCACTTCTCTCCACATCATCAACAATCAACGGAGATTTATAAGCCTGGCTCAGATCAGAGCTCTTCCAACTTTGGCTTAGAAGGAGGGGTTATGAGGTCGAACTTACTCTGTTTTTTTTTTTTCCTTTGCAGGATAGAGAGTGTGCTTATAATTTGACAGAAGTCTATGGCGTCCAAGGCAGTAATGTACACAGGTCTTTTAAAGTTGCAAGATGGGTATACAAAGTTGGAAGCAGAGGAATAAACTTGCCTGCTTGGGGATAATAATACTGGAGGTTGGAACATGAGGACATTTTAAGGAGGAGATGCACTCAAATCTGGTGACTACAGCATCCCTGATGGTCAAACTGCAGTGAGTTCTAAATAACTAGAGAAGTGGCAGTACCACGTGTGGCACCAACACCAACTATCCTGCTCTTTTAAGCACGGAACTTAAAGGAAGAGAACCCAAGTACCCTGCAAAAGCATATGGCTCAGCTACCCGTGGTTTCAGGGAGGACAAACATGTAGCCTCCTAGGCAGCAGTCATGGGGATGGGAGGCAACGGGACCTCATATCATGCCTCTTGTGGGAGATGCAGGGGGTACAGTGGAGAGGTGCTGCAGCTCTGGAGATGTCAAGTTTCCAGCATATTGGCTTACCAAAGCAAATAAAGCTGAAGCATGCAGCAATGCATACACCACTTTTTAAAATTAAAACCTGCAACTGTCCCAGGGATAGTAACATGGGCTGTCTTTAGACTGCAGCACTGCCCTTAGGTTAGCTGCAAGTGTGTAGATACGGAGATGCAGTTTGGATTCTACAAACTGCCTGATAATCTCCAGTACTTGGAGACAGAGATTTTTGGGTTGGCTTTTATCCTGCTGAATTGCAGGGCAAAGATCTG
This sequence comes from Homo sapiens, assembly GCF_000001405.40. Lineage (NCBI taxonomy): Eukaryota > Metazoa > Chordata > Mammalia > Primates > Hominidae > Homo > Homo sapiens. The sequence continues at coordinate 130,898,928 of NC_000011.10, forward strand.
ATCCTGAAATTTAGACAATCATCACAGCTATAAATCAGAAAAACCTGGGTTCAAATTCTGCTTGTGATATTTATTAACCCTGTGATTTTGACTAGATAACCCACATTCTTTGTAAACCTTAGTTTCCTTGTCTTTAAAATGAGGGTCATAGTACCGCTTTCGCAGGACTTGGAGGAATTAAATGGTATTAAGTTGGTGCAAAAGTAACTGTGGCTTTTGAACAGCATGTGCATACAGTGTTCAGTACAGTATTTGCACTAAGTCAACTCTCGATAAACATTTGCTGGACAGCAAATGTGCTGATGCTGACGAGATTATCAACGTTTACACTCTGAATGCTAAAATGTGTTAGCTCCATGTCTATAATGCACAGGGTGCTTCCAGGTATGAGACCATGGGCCACCAGTGCCAGATCTTTGGAAGCTCTAGTGGAAGAACCGGTTCTTTCTTTAGATATCATGACTTCTAGCTTCCTATCTTAAGGAGGCTTCAGGAAAACTGTGAAACCAGCTATAAGGTACTTCAGAAGAGGGCCAAAAATGTCATTAAAAAGATGGGAAAAATGATTTGTAGGGATACATGAATGGCCTCAAACAGAGAAGTATGAGATTCTTCATTTAATTCTAGTCTGTGGAAGCTTGGGTGAGGAGACTGCTAACCAGATGTGGTCCTATTTTCATTGCAGCTAATACAAAACCAAATGGGCTAAGGATAAAGTTGTATTCTTAGATATAAGAACTTGTTGACAGGAAGGGATATGAGGTAACTGAACATGTATAAAACATCTTCACCTGGAAATATGTACAATGAACCAAAGATAACAGGCCATAGTTACAACAAGTTTTTCAAAAGTAACTAGCCGCAAAATGCTGTTCTTGCCCAATATTCACAGTGGCTTCATTCAAATTCACCAAATATATTCAGAGTTTTCCCACTTTTCCCATCACAATAGTGATGCTTTTCCATAAAACAGAATAAGACAAAACCAAAAAACAAAAAGTCAGAATGTGAAAAGAGGAGAAAGTCTAGGGAAATTCAGCTGTAAGCCCTCTCCCTCATTTCCTTTATGGCATGAGCTACATTTGGGTTTTGCTAGTCTGCATTCACCAGACTTTACCCAGCTCACTGGAGTTGTGGTTGTAGTTGGGGAGTGTCAGGGACAGGAATGGAAAGGTGAGGAACTTGCCTGGGCAACATAGTGAGACCCCATCTCAACCAAAAAATTTAAAAAATTAGCCAAGCACGGTGGTGTGTGCCTGTAGTCCTAGCTACCTGGGAGGCTGAGGTGGGAGGATGGCTTGAGCCCAGGAGGTTACAGTGAGCTATGATTGCAGTGCCACTGCACTCCAGCCTGGGCGACAGAATGAAATCCCATCTCACTGATATTTCATATATTGACATTTTATCCTCAATATATGAAAAATGAAAAAGAAAGAAGTCTCACAGCCTCTGCTCTGAACTCTAAAATGAGCCCTGTCTTTTCCATGTCTGCCACGCAGCTGGAGCTTGCTTCGCTCGTATTTAACTTTTCTGCCTTAGATCTCCCAGGGCCCCGGCCACATGAAAAAGTACTTCTGTGATCATTCTCTAACTCCCAGAATATAGGTATTTCTCCTTTATCTGGACTAGCCCAAACCCTTGAGCACTCTGAGTTATTCAAACTTCAGGTCAACTTTTTCCTACCCCTTTTATATAAGGATCTCAATCTTTTTTGAATTTCTCCTAACTCATCTATACTTTTATCCTCATACTGAATAATTTCTCGTGTTCTGAAACCAATCTGTCATGTAAATGACCTCAAGGAGAAGGGGTCATATTAGATCACACACTAGCTAGTTTTGGGATCTTCTCATTTTGTTTTTTTAAACCACTTAGAAGATTAGCAAAGGGAAGTCCAAAAAAAGAAGAAGAGAAATGAAGGCCTAATTAGTGACATCCAGAGGTGACAGAATAAAACTAAAGAGACTATACTTTCAAGTGTAAAGGTACTGGGAAGGGAAATGTTTATTTCTTTATTCAATATTTAATGAGTACCTACTATGTCCAGGCCCTGTATAAGCTGCTGGGGAGACAAAGCTAGTTCCGGTCCTTAAAGAACTAATAGTCTACACAGCATTTCTCAAGCTTGGTAACACTGATATTTTGGGCAGGATAATTCACGTTGTTTGGCATGGTGGACTGTCCTGTGTAGCTGCAGGATGTTTAGCAGCATCCTTGGCCTACATCCACTAGATGCCAGTAGGCATCCCACATCTCCTTCCCAGTTGTGACAACAAAAAATATCTCCAGATAATGGCAAGTGTCCCCTGGGGGACAAAAGTGTACCCCAGTTGACAACCACTAGTGTAGGAAAAGCAGATCATTTATATAAACACACTGTGACAAGTATTATTATCAAAACTTTGCAAGTTAGAGAAGAGGACTCCTTAATTCTCGGGGAAAGAGAGCAGATGCTACAGAAGGTTTCACAGAATAAATGACATTTTATGCTTAATATATGAAAAATGTTTTGCAGTAGGCCAAGCAGACAAGAAGAGGAAAAGTTAGGAACACATGGAAGGAACAGGGAAATAACAGGTAGAGAAAGACCATTCGAAGGCAGATACAGGAAGATGAGCAAAGGCCTGGGGGTAAAAGACCACAGAATATTCAGGCAATGATGGACGTTTACACGGTGGAAAATGAAAAATAAGACTGAAACCAGATCATGCCAAGTAAGAAAGGAGGTGGAATTTTAATATAAAGAAATAAATGCATATTTTAAACAGAGTGGAGCCCCTTTTCAAACAAAGCGTTACCTAGAGCCCCAGTATATTAAACTGATCAAAGTGTAACTTCTGTGGTTGGGTCATGGTCCACTCAGTTTTCCCTGAGCTTCTAAGTTGGCTTCAGAAGCACTTCTGCAGAACCCTAGAACTCTAGGAAACATAATGGAAAAACCACTTTTGTAGGTAATAGGATACTACTGAAAGATTTTAAGTGCAGAATATATGTTCAGATTTGTTTTTCAGAAAAAGGCACTCTAGTGGCAGGGCTGAATACTGAGTAGGAACAAGGGGAAAAGCTTAAAGGGACAAAGACCAGTCAGCATTTTATATGTAGGTTTCACTTGGACATCAGTCTTAAGGCTACAAGATACATGAAAAAAGCACATTGGCTTTGAAGTTGTACAAATCTGGTTTAAAATTCTAAGTGTGCTACTAATGACGACCTTGGGCATGTTAGTTGACTTTGCCAAGCTCTATTTTCTCATTCTGTAAAATGGGGCTACCTACCTCACTTGACCACTATAAAAAAGTACATGTAAATGGAGATTGGGCGCTGGCATAGATAAGCGCTTAGCAAATATAGATGTGCATCATCTTCTTTCACTTGGTCTCTTTATGATTCAATTTTATTAAACCTCCTTGATCCTACATAACTTAGAAAAGGGAGATTTAATTGCTTGCTGTTAATAACTTTTCGACTTGGTAAAGAATAGATACATAATTCTTTTTTATAAGGATGTATTTTTTGAGTGACCTGTTAGCATGAGCCTCATGCTAAGAGAAGGTCAGCATTTGGCTTCCTCTTACTTTGGGATGTGCCAGGACGTCTCATAAGAGGGAGTTCAAAACAAGAGTAGCCAAAACCCAAGCACTACGTGTGTCTGCCTGGCTCAGAGAGAGTGTTTCTGGCCTACTTCAGGTTAACAAAGCTTACATCAGTTCCATAGTTAGAAAGTCAGCAGCTAAAAACTCCACCTGTGTACAAATCTTTCAGGAGATCAAATGGTGTGAGGATTACAAAGACTGGATTAGAAAAGCCAACTTGCAAATCCAAATTTCCCTCTATTCTTTACCATCCTGTGTCAGTAAGTATTTCAGCTGTGAATATTTATGCCCCTCTCAGAGAAAACAATCTTTATTTCAAGAGCACTGATCTGTTTTCTCCTTTTCTTTCCCACTGTTTATCATCACAGTGATGACATAATGTCAGTTGAGACAAATGTCCACCATAACCAAGTGAGAGGTGCAGGGCTGGAGGATATAACTGGGTGGAAAATTGAGAGGAGGAAGAGTTCAGCTAAGTATTTTAGGATCACACACAGTGTCTGCAACTCAGTACATTATGCCAGAAGTCTTACAGTCTTACTTTCAAATTGTAGACAACAAGGTAGTCAATAAAAGCTTTCTGATACTCTCAAGGCATTTTTCATCCCTGTAACCCCTGTAACAGAGAATCTATCTTCTCTTACGGCTGCAGATTCCCTGGACACTATTCAGCATCACATCCACCTTCTCTGCAACTTGAGATTCTGATGTGAGGGAGAATTCAGCAGTCTTACCTTTGAACTAGGGTCCCAAAGATAAGACGAAGAAACTTTTGCATGTTTTCGGTACATAGCCATTTCCACTGTTCTGTTAGTAGCAAGAGGAGCAGATCCAGGGCTGTGTCAGCTAACTCTGTCTCTGTTCCTGAGGGATAAAATGGCATCAGGAGTAACTCAGAAGAGACCCATACTTGAGGAACATCTTTCAAGGTACTGGTGGCACCTGTGTCTCTCTACCTTCATGCCAATCATCTGGTATTTTTGCAATCCCTCTACACTCAAATCAAAAGAGGTTTAACTCATATCTAGAAGGTTCAGTGACAGGCTCAGCATTTCTTTACAATTTTTATTAATGTTCCTGATATTGTAACCTAATAAATGTTTCTATGTTTTTAAAAGATATATATCTTCTAATTATATATATATCTGCTAAATATATATATGTGTGTATATATACATATATATATATATACACATACACACACACACACACACACACACACACACACACGCACTTATTTTGCCTACTTAGTTTCTATTTCTTCTGTATTTCCCCAGGATGCTGAATACTTTCTGTTCCAAAGAAAATCACAACTAGTGACTAAGTGTAACTGGCAAGGCCTCCTCTCTTTCCAACCTTGCATTCCACTCGCCCCCACAAAGCATTATGGAAACACCGTGGCAGAAGTGGGGAAAGAGTTGGCATTCACTTTCCTGAAAAACCTCCATTACACAGAGCTGTGGGGTTAGGATTCAGGAGGCTTCAGTCTGATTTTGAGATAACATGTGGTTCTAGGAAGAACACCACACCTCTGGTAAAATGCCATAACAATTACTACGTTCTTTCCTGTTTCAAAGACTGTAAGGGCCACAAATGAGCTTATACCCATGCTAAACTAAGGTTTCCTGAACAAATGTATTTTGTGGAAGGAAGCACGTGCTGTTTAAACCTGTCCTGGGGTTCCAATGTCACGTCTGATTTGCCTCCAAGTATGTGATGTTACAGAATGGATCTGAGATATCTGGTGCCACTGCTGTGATTAATATTATAAGTAATATCAACAATGACTTTGTTAGTGTAGGACAAACGGATACTCTCTGGATCACCTTGCCCAAGCTCTCCTTGAACATGAATGACTTCCGATTTGGACAGATCTACTAGAACTGAATCATACTTCCCTCTTAACCCTATATAATACATATTTTCTTTTCTGTTTGTATTGCAAGGATTGGGAGCTGATATGTTGTGTGATTTCTAATCATCTTCTCAAAGATGGAATATTGCATTCCTTGGGAGACAGCATCATCCTGAGCCTTAGTCCTCAATTGTATGATTCTCTCAGGTTTAGCATTTGCTTGGAGCTGCCACCATGTGGTAACAATTAGTTACAGCAGTGAAAAATAAGAAAGCAAACAAGGTACCACCAAGTCAGTTGCCTTAAAGAAAATGGTAGATTTTTTTTTGTTTTTTATAATCATATGAGCATTTTGAGTCTCTCAGAGATAGAAGAAGGGTTTCAGGCCTAAACCATCCCTCTAGAGATATGATGTTCAACATGTACAGGCTGGACTTTGCCTAGAATGATATTCTTACCACACTGACCCTGCCCCCCACCATCTTTACAGTCTCTTAGAGTTCTCTGATGCTTTCACTGTCATATCACTTCATTTAGTTAACTGTGAGATGTGTGAAGGGATGGGGCTGTCAACCCCATTTTTCACAGACTTAAATTGAGGCCCTCAGAAGAGATGTCAGGTGATTTGTTCATGGGCACCTCAGAAAGAATAGTGAAATCAGCTTTTTCCCCAGTTTTGAATCCAAGATTTTGTGATCTTTTATTCTCAACAGAGGGCTTTATCTTGATGGAACTGATATACTTATTTTAAGTTCTTGTTCAGTAACCATACTGATTAATATCTAGGGCTTTGAATTTTTCTTCTACAGAGTACACATCTGCTCTTCTTCTCCTGGAAGGCAAAATTGCTCTGCCTCCAATGCATATAAGGAGAAAGTAAAGCTTTCACCTCTTCTCCCTCCCTACTTTATGTTGGGTAACTAGGTGGTATCATCTGCCATGGCAGTAAATAAAGATAAAAAGAATAGATCTGGGGAAAAAAGACAATTTCCATCTTGAACACGTTACATTTCAGTTGCCCTGTGGTATATCCAAGTGAAGATATACAATATTCAATGTTTAAGGCATCACCACACACATGTTAGAGCTGAAGCCAACACTACAGCTGGAGTCACCCTGGAAGAGTGTGTAGAATAAGGACAGCGAGCCAAAAATCAAGCTCTGGCAGGTGGATCATGGAGCCAACAGAGTGGACTAAGAAGCCACGAAAAAGGCATGAAGGAAACCAGGAAACTGAGACACTAAGGGAAGAAAGTTTCTAAGAAATGCAAGAGTCTGATATGCCAAAGCATGCCAAAAATAAGTTTAATGAGTTATCAATATTATCAGCATGATCTCATCCTGCTGGATTAGAACTTCCTGTGTTTGTGCCCTGTTCTGCTGCTTGATTCCGCTGTGGCAACTATGTACTACTCATCTCTGTGCCCCAACACAGCACCTCCAACACTGGAGTTCAACACATGGCATGCTCAGCTGAATGGAACAGAAATCAAAGTTACAAACTCCAACTACCCCAAGTACCAAGTGGATGCCACCCTGGCTCCCTTCTCCATGGGAGCAGAGACCTCGCCACTCACCTGGATCGCTGTTGCTGGGGTCTTGGGCTGGCACGGCTGCATCTGACACGCAACTGTCCACACGTCCTTTGGGAGGTTGTTCAGGATCTTTTTCTGGGGCTTTTGTTGGCTGCATTTCCAGTAACTTTGTCTGTTTTTCAATAAAAGATTCCATCGCAGACATGGATAGAGTCTCAGACTCCTAAGAAATAGTCAGTGGCATATCACATATGGAATGCTGACAGTAGGGGAGCAAATGCAGCACTCTAGGTTTCCCTGCCTCTCCCCTGCATAAGTACCTTGGGTATAAAACCCAACTGATGCTATGACTCCTTTAGGAAAGATTTTATTTTTTACCGAAGTTGCAAGTAAAACAGGCCTGCCCTGGGATTATCATTTCTGCACCCATTTTTGGTCATCCATTTTTTTTTCCAGGAACTAGCTTTCTTTCTTATCTTGTCATCCATTATCCGAAACCCACCATGGTTGAGAAGCCAACCTGCCAACCCAGAACTGGTAGGAATTCCAAACCACTTAGAGAAAATACTTTTAGCATAAAAGCTGGAGATCCAAACGTTGATTAAGTCATTTAGCAGGACATTTCTGACTTCAGAGAATATCTCAACTACCTGTAACTGCAGGACCAACATCTCAGATATTTTTGCCTCACATTCTCTGGGTTTTGGTTCTTACCACATTGCCTTCCTGGAGACAATAAAGAATCTTGTCTTGTGCTTCAGTCACACTTAGTGCTGGAGAAATTTTACTGGATGAGAACCTCAGCCTAGACCTGGTACAGAAACAAAGAGCAGAAACAGGTTGTAATTTATGGCCTTGAGCCTCACACTAAGGGCTGGCAAGTACTGATAATAAAACACAACAAGAATATCCATACTTATTCTGGGGAGCTTACTGTGGTCAGAGCTGCCAGGAAAGACTCGGCCCTGCAATCCCCCAAACAATGTATATTCTGGCAATTCTTGATAGATAATGTTAACGCATACACTAAGCTATGTCTACAGTGCACTTGTGAAATGGTTTCTGCTAAGTAAAACTGGCATCAGTGTGTATTATGGTTATATTCCCACAGGATAGATTAGCTAACACATAATAGGCACTCATTAAAAATTTGCTGAAGATTAAACAGACAGGTGGCATAGAGCAAGTTTTCATTATTGCTATTCATGGTGTATCCTTTTTGGACATCCATTTTTTCCCCTTGTGTTCCAAATAAAACCAGAAAAGGAACTGCAAGTGATAACATCAATGTTTCAAGGGACAGAGACTCATAAGCAGAGGTATCATGGTCATCCCTCAATATATGGGCCCAGTTAAGAAAAGGTTAGGTACTGTGAGTCTGTTATTGCTGGCCCATGAAACATAAGCACAGAGACAGAGACACACACACATACACACATGCTCTCTCTTTTTTCATAAGGACCCAGATATAGATGAAATTTCCAGTAAGGGTACATGTGGTGCCCTTGCTTGCCACATGTTGGCTTTGAATGCTGCCAGGGAACAGCTAGGGCCCTAGTGCAGGAAAGAGTAGCAGTAGTCAACCAGTTACTAAAATAGGCCCTGCAGGTTTCCATTCTAACCCTTTCCTCTTTATTGCTAATATATGCAACTTCTGAGCCAAGATTTCCAGAAATGATGGCAAACAGAGATCAGTTATAAGCCTTAATTCTTAGTAGGAAAGAAACATCTCAATTTTCCAGGAAAAGAGGAAAGAGAATATCCTAGTCAAAAGAGAATATTCTTCCTAGTCAAACATCCCTGGTCAGTTGGGCCCCAGGTTCCCATGGCAAAACCAAACATTCAGCAGTGCTGCCTCTGCAGCACCGCAGGCTCCTCCGGGTGGAAAACTGAGGAGCCTGGGGTCTAGCTTTGCCTAAAAACTGGTATGTCTGACCCACCTCCTTTCCTCTAGGGCTTGAGAATAGGGTGAGTGTTGGCTGAGGATTGGGGATCAATTTGAGAACTGGGGAAAGGTCCCTGGGTAACTGAGGGCTTCTCACTTGCTAGCCTTCTTGCCTTCTGTCTGGGGCTTGCTTTCGGTCTCGGCCTCACTCAGCTCCTCTGTGGGGCTCTGGGGTTCAGAGCGAGGAAACGCTGTCTTCAAGGTGTCCACAATGGCACTCACCACCATCTGCAGGGGTCAGAGGTGCAGGGTCAGTCCATCCACATCCACAGATGGAAACCGCCAAGCAAGCAGTCGCCTCACAGCACTTTATGCAACAGGACAAGGAGAGGGGCCAGGCTATCTAGCAAAGCCTTATCCAGTAGGAAGGTCGAATACCAGCTAATGACTTAGTGCCAACTATCTTTCCTTTTTTCCATGGCCATAAAAATCTTTTTCCTTGAGGAGTAAAACAAACAACGCCATGGGAAAAGAAGCCAAAACCAATAGTGAGAGAAATAAAAACCTGAGTTCTGCGGGCTGGTGATGTATTTTTCAATTTCTTTCTTTTTAAGTAAAAAGGTGATTTCTAGTTTCCAAATCGGTAACACCTTCATCAAGATGTGCATCAGTGGAAGTACATAGGTAGGAGTATAAAGAGAAAGGAAAAGTGAAGAAGATGATCAAAAATAAAAATAACAGTTAAGGGGCATAGTAATATTAACATGCTTAGAGTAACTTACACAGAGCAAACAATCAGTTTTTCTAGTCAATTCAAACAATTTCTCTTCTTTAGGTACAGAAAGAATAACAAAGATCACTCAGGTCAAAACTAAGATATCTGGAGTTGAGTTGTTATAACTTATCTACTCATACAAGACCAAATAAAATAATCCTCACTAAAGATTAACTCCATTTCTTCAGAATGGCAAAATGACATACAGATATTTGCTAAAAAGGACAATGTACAAACAAAACCTTAAACTATCAAAGAAACAGAACGAAACATTTACTCTTCCTCTGGTGCTTCTTGCTAACTAACACTGCTGGCTCAGAGCAGCACCATGCCTTCTTTGACTCATTCTTGTGGTATTCCTCCATAAGGAGTAAGCTAGCATAGCCAAGACAAGGCTGAAGAGAGTGGTCAGCAGACTACAGTAAAGACTGGGGGAGAACAAACCAGGGAAAGAACACTTGAGGATGCATGCATTTAGATAATGCAGCTTAGAAAATACAACTTGTTCTCCAGGATCACAGAACTGTAGTCTGTGAGGGTGGGGAGGTCCTCATCTGTCTCATTCACTGATGTATGAACAGCAGCTGGTAGAGTGTCTGGCTGAAAACAGGCATCCAGTAAGTAGATGTGGAAATAATGGATGAATGATATCTGCATGGAACTCTGGGCATTTACCCAGTTGATCCCTTTTTAGTTTGTAGTTTTTTCCATAGCAGTGGATATCCCCTAACACCTACTACATGAAATTCTATTTTATTTGTTGCTCCAAGCCTAGATGAGAAGAGGGAGGCTACTCTTCCGCCAATGTGTCAGTGTTTCCCAACCCTATAAAACACACATCACTTTTGATAAACATAAGCCTCAGACTTCTGCCCCAGAGATGCTCATATCAGTTGGTAATCACTGCTTACAAGCTCTGACATGTTACACAAATGTCCTTCTTCCACCATCTCCATAGGTGCTGAGATAACCTCTTGAAAAAGATACAATTCTCTCCATACTCTGTTCTCTAGCGGAGAACCATGACACCACTCTAAATCCAGCCTCAGGTCGTCTTAGGCTCTCTTTCCTGGGTGACCCAACACTGGAAATGAACTTTACCCTCTGAAAGACCACCCCTCATGCCAGCTATCTGTGAAGACACAGATCAATCTTCACATGCCTCCAACAGTACAACAATATAATGATACCCCCAGGAGATATGTGTACACTTAAGAGTGTTGGGGTACTGTTTCCCAGCAGCTGTTTCCTGTGATTCAGCAAGCTGATGATTCAACCAATATTTGGCAACAGGTCTTGACAATTTAAGTCCATGTTCTATTGACGGCTCTGTGCTGCCCCTTCCCACACCCTACTGCTCTTATTTTTCAAGGACTGCCTCCATTCTGATGAATCCTCCCCATTTATAGATCAAAACTAAAGCTGAGCACAGTGGCCCTGCTGGTACCTTGTCTATTCTAGAGACCATAAATGGTTTCTTGACAAAGGCAATACGAGCATCTGTGTTCAGAGCAAGGAACTCCTGCACCTCCTCACTGTTAGCGATCTCCGGAATGGCACAGAGTTGCTGCAAAAGTAAAACACACACACATTTTAAAGAGAAATTCCAGTCCCCAAATCTCTCCACCTTGGCTTGGGTGTTCTGGGGTTAGACACCCAGGTTAAAGTGAGAACAAGGCCAAAAGAGAAGGATGCTGACCTTTAGGAATGATTCTAGGAGGCTCTTACGGGCTTCTACTCTGTCACTGTCCATGTTTCCCAATGGAAGATCTGGAAAGAGCTTTTTAGGACCCTTCACATCTTCCAAAAAAAAAAAAAATCAAAATATTCACTCATTTAACATTCACAGAGAGCTATTCCATATAAAACATATAAAGAAAACAGAACTATTGAATATATTTCCTTGGATTAAAAAAAACAATTTCAGGACTTCCAAATATACATACGATCCATATGATCCATATAACACTAAATTGTTACAAGAGAGGGCTCTGAAGTCCAGAGACCCAAGTTTAAATCTGGGCTCAATCCCTACTATAATGATGATCTTAGGCCATTTGTGTTATCTTTCTGACTCTGTTTCTCTTCTACAAGATGAGGATAATGAGGGCACCTATCTCACAGGCTGACGGGAGCATTAAAAGAGCTAATACGTGTAAAGTGCTTAGGAGAGAACCTGGCGCATATTTTCAAGCTTGGCTCAGTATTAGCTATTGTGTTAAGAAAGAAAATACATAATTTATGCCCAAACTTATTCAACTATTTGGGTAATCATTTTTAAAAAACAAAGTAACCAGTTACTAATCCTTAAGAGTGAAATTTTATTACATTAAAAAATATTTGGCTGGGCGTAGTAGCTCACATCTGTAATCCCAGCACTTTAGGAGGCCGAGGTGGGTAGATTGCTTGAGGTCAGGAGTTCAAGACCAGCCTGACCAACATGGTGAAACCCCATCTCTACTAAAAATACAAAAATTAGCCAGGCGTGGTGGCGGGCGCCTGTAATCCTAGCTACTCTGGAGGCTGAGGCAGGAGAATCGCCTGAACCTGGGAGGCGGAGGTTGCAGTGAGCCGAGATTGCACCATTGCACTCCAGCATGGGGGACAGAGCGAGACTCCATGTCAAAAAAAAAAAAAAAAGGTTCCCCATGCCTGAGAGTTGTCATAACAGCACACAAAAGATCTGGGTGTTAAGGAAAGAAGGTGGCAACAACTTCTGTGTAATATTTTAATATTTAAGAACCACCAATCTATGAATCTGGAAAAGTTAATTTAACTCCTCACACCAACTTACAGGCACAGGTGGAAATGTGAACACTTATTTTTTAATCTTAAACTAGATGGGGCTCCAGAACAAAGCAGTTGGCAGTAAAGGACTACCTCTGAAAGAATGTGATTGCTGCTGTCCAGCACTAAACTTCAAAACTCCTGAAGCAAATCCAGGGAGCAGAGAACCTTGAAACGGCATTCTCCTCCCCGATCCCTCCCATAAACCAACAGGCCAATCAGCGTGGCTCGACGTGGGAAGCAAGCGGGCAGTAGGGGTTGGGGAAACTCCTGACTTTTGATGAACTTTCGTAGATCTGGTTTCTCCTCCAGACGGGTCTGCAGATTCAAGAACTCCCGATAGCGACGATTCACAGTGTGGTAGGCCAGCTGCTGCAGGCCGCTGCTGTTTTCACCGTCAAGGGCTGTCTCGTACTGTTCAACGAACAAATTGATTGACTCAATCAGCCGGGTTTCAGCAATCTTCTATTCTGGCTTTACTGACTACTTGGTCAATGGCCACATAGCAAGAGTACGAAACTAAGAACAAAGGGAGGGAGTATGTTCCTATTCTGTTCCAGAACCTCCTATATCTAATTGCTTAGAAAGTCAGAAATGAGTTTCACTCCTCCGCACTACTACTTTCATCTGAAAGCTCCCTCTCCCAGATACTTTCTTGACTTATAAAAATGGCTACATAACTGTTTTTCAAATGAATATTTGAATAGAAGGCATAACATCCATAAAAATGATACTGCCTCTATCACCTTTAAATTACAGGGCTAAACATCATAAGGGGCAAACCATTTTTCCATTATACTCTCCCGTGATTATTTATATTAGTTAAGGGAAGAAGAAGTAATCCAAACAGCAGATATAAATCATTTGTTTATCTGGAATAAATTAAAGGGTATTTGTTTTGTTTCACGCAGATTAATTTTCCTAATTGTTATTCTTAGAGCTAAACTGAATTTTTCCTAAGTACGTATCATCTGTATCACAGAAGTCACATGAAAATTGGAGATGTGATAAGGGGTCAAAGTCCACTGTCTTCCTAAGCTTAGAGGGCTGGTATGTGGAAAAGACGACTTATATCTCATGTTCCCCAAAGAGTGAATACCACGGATGGCATGGAATCTGCAACTCAGCATGGGGGCACACTTCTTGACAGGGTAGTTAAGACACAATGAAACGCTGTGGGAGAAGTATATATGTGCGCCTTCTCATTAGGAATGGGCTATTATTTTTCGGTTGAGGTATACTGTGGGCAAGAGGTGGAAAAAACTACCTCCTCGTTGGTGGGAGTTGTGGCTGGTGCTTTACAATTTTCTGGAGACAGGGTATTCATTATGAGCTGATGTGAGCAAAGCAGTCCCTCAGAACAGCACTGAGAAGGAAAGACCAAGTAAGAGCAACAGGTGGCATTCAGGGTGGGGCTCTCAAGCCTGGAGCATTTGGAACTATGAGGCTTTCTGTGGAATATGCTGCTCCTCGAGGGCCAATTTTCAACACCGTTATGGTTACTTCCATCACATAAACCGAAAACTATTTACTATCAGAAAGTATAATAATATTGATATACAATTTAAAATCAGTTATATGTCCATATAAAAATCTAAACCCAATTTCAAACTACTCATAATTGGCTATATTATTTCGTTCTCATTTTTTACTTTACTCTTTTCTAATGCTTAATTGAAGCAGTAGCAGATGTCAAAATCTAGCCAACAACAAAAAAGAACAAATAATGGGAGAAAGACTGGGAACTTAAACATTCTATCCATCAACTTAATTTTTCTGCTAATGAGGAGGGAAAAAACCTGCTGTTTTATGTCAGTATTGGAATAGTCATTAAAAAAAGATGAAATAACCAGAAGCCAACACTTAAATGTGAGAAAGGTGCATGGCATAGGGGCATCCAGAATTAGAACAAAAAGGCAGGAAAATGTTAACAAAGTTATACCAGTCCTTTGAGGCTAGTCTCAGTTATTTTATGACCAGACATCTGTACTTCTACAATTTGCCTATAATGAGTGTGTGTCTGTGTGTTCACCCATATGCATTTCTAATTACTTCCATTCCGTCTTACTTGAAAATGTCATAATGTTACTTTCTAAAATGCTATGTCATGATGCAGCTGTGTTGAGCAGATCAAGGAAGGTCTTTTCCCTCTTAGTTGGATTGGGAGTTCGGAGGAGTGTAGCAAGCAGGCTGTCCCTGGTGGTAGCTTGTGGACTCAAATGAGAGAAATTCAAGTGTGGAAGGCAAGTAAAATCCAATGGGTAGGATCTTGTCCAAGAATTTTCTTTCTCAACTTCTTCCCTGCTGATTTCTTTTTCAAAATACTGGTACATTTTGTACTTTGTTTTAGGAAGGTAGGTTATTTACCTATGTCTATCTCAGAAGATAGCAAGTTTTTGACTCTTGGAGGTGTGTAAGCAGACTTGGGAACAACTTGACAAGAGATAACATGAAGAGGGTTGGTTGGATTAGAGAGGCAATTCCCCAAGATGGCCTTAGGACAGGCTGACTCTATGTTATCTGGAGAGTTCTATTTGAAAATAAATAAAATACAGAATCCAGGGACCCCCTCCTTAGAAATTCTCATACAGAATCCAACAGAGTCTGTCAGAATCTGTATATCTGAAAGGCAGCTCAAGTGATTTTGAGGTGCAGCCAAGTTTGGGAACCACTGAAAATATAACCCTCAGCATTCTAGCAGCCCTGAGGTTCCAGGATTGCTTGTGTGAGTACAGGATAAACGCTACTCTGCCTTACATATTAGCTTCAGACCATTCACAGAGATAGATGCCTATTGAAAGAACCACTTCAAACTAACAGCATCTCTCCCCCAAGAACATTTGCTTCATGACTGCTTTCCAAACCCACTCCTAGCCCGGGTGAGCACCCACAGCTTTAATCCTGTTACCTTCACAGTATAGAGTGTGTATGGGTGGAATCCAGTGCCACTGTGCTCTCGGGCTGTAATGGTGCCAGTGATACGAAGGTTCTGGATGATAACTGGACCATCGGGACTGCTTAGGGGCTCAAAGCTGAAGGTGGCTGAGCTGAGAGGACCAGGTGGAGAGGAGGAAAGCAGAACTGGTGGCAGAGTAGGATCAAGGGAGCTCACATCATTGGTGAGATCCTTCTCTAAGCATGACGGCCGTGAGGGGCAGGTCTTTTCTGGCCCCTCCAGCAAAGCTGTAACAGAGGCGGTAACATCTCCTTGTTCTATCTCCTTGTCTGCTGTGTCAATATGGATCTCTGGGCAGGAATTCAGTGTGGAGACCGGCAGGCCTGTCTCTGTTTCTGTCCCTGGACCCTCCTCAGCCTCTGCTCCTTCAGATGCCTCACCATCTTTGGGTTCCAGAGCCTGGGAACTCTCTAGGGCACACAGGGCATCCTGAATCCTGTCAGAGAGAAAGCTGCCTGGAGTCATGAGCATGATGGTTTCTTTGCCCAGTTCAGACAGCGGAGACTCCAGCTCTGAGTCTTCACATAAGAACAGGGGACCTCGAACATTTGGCTGTAGGAAATGAGATGAGTTGTTTCCTACTTTTCTTTCTTCACACATCCCACCCAAATCTCCCTCTACAGCTTCGTGGCCTTCTTCAACCTCTGGAGAGGGGCCTGCAGAACCCTCTGGCTCACTGTAACTTAGGAATACTGGGGCTGCTACTGGAGAAGCTCTCCCTTCTGGAAGCTGCTCTACCTCAGCAATCAGTGGCAGAGATGTCGGCACTGAGGGCTGTTCGGGGGCACTGGCTGGGCAGGGTGCTGGATCTCTGGCCTTGGAAAAGATACCCACGAGTACAAGGTGGATCCAGTCAGGATCTGACAGCCTGCTGATCAGTGGTAAGATTACATTGCATGTGATGAGTTCGACCACTACATGGCGTCCGGTACGAGTCTCCAAGTGGGGCTTGGGCACCAGCCCTTGAAGCAACAAATTCACAACGCCACGCGTATAGGTGACTTCAGCACTGGGGCTGTGCACAGCAGGATGTGGGGCAGTCGCCCGGCAGTAAGCCTCCCAGAGGTGGGAAGGCTCAACTGGACCATTCTTCCCTGCAGTGGCCTCCTTTGCCTGAATGTAGCTCTGCAGGTGACAACCGCAGAGAGTCAGAACACTCTGGGCAACAGCATGACTGTCCATCACGCTCATCCTTCTCCGAAGCTCCTGGACCAACCCTTTCATGGCTGCCTCCATTTCTTCCTCAAAGGCTGGCTCCTGGCTCACGGAACGGTACCAAGATAACACAAAATCTCGAATAATCATCTGGATGGTGCGGTTGATCTCCCGTTCCAGCTGCCTTTCTGCCTCAGGGCATGGAGGACAGGTGGCCAACGGGATGAAGCGTTCCAGATGCAGTCGACCTGAAGCCACTCCAGCGAGGCTGGAGCCCAGCCATCCTCCCAGCACCACTAGCAATGCCGACAGAAGGCACAGCAGCCACACGTTGACCAGAAGGTGTATGACCAGGAGCCAGCCAAGCAAGACCCCCACAGCCATCAGCTTCCGGCTACTCAACAGGTTATTGAGGTGACAGCTCGATCCAGCTGGAGTTTCCTGGAACGGTGGCACTGTTTCTGTCTTCATGGCTGAACGGACAAGGTGGCTTCCCCAGATGACAGCCCTCAAGATTTTACTTCAGAGTTAGGGAAGGGGGGCATGAACTGTGTCTCAGATATGGGGCGATCTGGGTGCTGTTCAGGGAACCGGGGCTCCAGGCCCTCAAAGTCCTACAGGCACTGCAAAGCGACAGCTGCAGCTCCGCGTCTCCCCATGGCTACCACTAACAGAGCCCTCCAACTCGCCCCTTCCAGCTGAGGTGTGGCTTTGGAGGAAAACTCTGTGGCCTTCACACTGCCCCAGGCGGAAGGCCTCTTCGGGGCCTCGGGGCGGGCGCTGCAAGGCCCTGGGGCCCACGGACACTTACACACGCAGCGGGCAGCGGCCGGCGAAGACTGGGTCACACGCCGCCGGGAACCGCGCGCCCACACTCAGCCCCGACCTGAAGTGGACTCATCGCGGTCCTCTCCGGGAGCCTCGGCCCTCTGCCGCCGTAAACCTGGGCGACTGCGCTCCGCAGCCGGGCCTGTGTGAAGGCTGACCGCCGGCCGGCCGCCGGCGACAGCTTCCGGGTCGACGTCGACGGGAGCGAGGCATGCTGGGAGAGCGTCCGCGCGCGCCCCGAGGAGCGGCGCTGCCCGGCGCCCTCTGCTGGCGAGGAGCCGCCCTGACGGCCCTGCGCGAGGTAGTCTCTGAGCCTGAGCGTGAGCCTGAGCGCGCACGGGGCGCGTGCTCGCCAAGAGCTGGCGCAGATTTCCGAAGTGCCACGAAACAGCCGCCGCAGCAATCACCGCTAAGACCCAGACTTCCAGGCGCTTTAAAACGCGTCCTAGTTCTGGTTATTAAATGAAGCCTGTCCTTTACTGCTTAGGCACGCTGTCAATAATCCGGTTTATTTTAATTTCATGGAGGCGAAGTTTCATTGGCCTGATGTGTCTTAACATTTATCCGGTTTCCCCTAGAGCCGGTACCCCGCGTCCCCAGCACAAAGACCCTCATTTGTTGTCAGGAATTGCAGAATATAAGGCATGAAACGATACAGAGATAGATTTATGTTGTACATTTCATATACTGTATCACAAAATCAAATTTGTGATTGAGGGTTATTTGCTGGTGGCATTACACAAACAATCAAATATTTTGAGCATCTGCTGTCTTCAATGTGAGAGGCAGCGTGGACGAATAGAAGCAGACCTTGTCCTCCAGGACCTCCTGCTAACTGGGGATGCCAGCGCTTTGAACGCGATTGGCTATCTAGTAATGCCAGTCAGCGTGCGATATAGTAAAATACAAAATCTTATAGGAATTCAGGGGAAGGAGAGATCACTGTGGGTTGCAATGGTTAAGGAGAAGCTCACAGAAAAGGTGCCTTTCTGCTGAGTCTTCAAGGATGAGGGTTTCTATTTCCCTCTATCTCTTCTCGCCTTATCCTCCCCAAAAACATAGAAAAGGAAAGCAGAGATAGAGGTGTCCTTTCAGATAATCCTGTAATATATTTGCTTTGGAATATGCTCTATGTTGGATTGTTTTTGGTTTTAGCAAATTAGACTTCACTTGTCTACACAGGAACCTATAGGAAGACAAAATACCGGAAGCACTGACCAGGTGTCAAAAGTGTTAGTGTCAGTTTTGCGTGAAGCCAGCTTCCATGTCCACCTTGGGCCCTAGGAGCTGTGCCCGCAGGGTGGGTCTCCTTTCCATTTAGGCATAGGATTCGCATCGTTTGCACAGAGCTGCTCATGGTTGCCCTTCGTCCACCTTCTCTGTGCTGTGAGCAGTCTTTCATCATCATGGACTACTCCCTAGATGTTTAAAGGAATCTTCAAACAAATCCCAACCCAAAACTCTGCCAACAAGAAGTGCGTTGCAGCTTCCTGTCTCGTCCATTGCTGCTGTTGGGGCAGAGACTTCCTTTGAATACGAAAGAAGCCATCATTTAGATGTGACCCGTAGTTTACGATTCATCACTTCTAAAGCAAATGGTTTGATTTAGGATCAGTGTCCACTAAGCAGACTGGGCACTCCCGTGAGATGGCAGAATGTGAATCCACGGTTTCACGGTCCATACCTTTTCACTGCTGCCTGCCTTCCCGCAGAAAAGGAACCCGAGAAGTGGGCTCTGCCCCTCTACCTTCCCAGACCATTCTAATGTCCTCAGGAGCACTTAGAAAATGGCAACAATGCTCTGGAGAAAAGTCCCTGCCACCTAGTTGGGAGCTAAAACAGAAATGTGAATGATGAAGGGACTACCGACGGTGCTGAAGACTTCCTGTGGCAGTTCAAAGAGAAAGTTTACTTGGCAGCATAATCTGGAGTGTTCAGGGCAGTAAGGAAGTGACCTTGCAAGTGGGCGCTATGCCACCTGACCAGATGGTCTGGAGCATCAAGGTAGCCAAGAGTGCCTTCCTGATTCTGAAGCGGGTTTGATGGACATGCCCGTGCACTTGTCATTTGGACGGGTGTGAGCTCCTGCCTGGGGGTCTGGGCAGACCCTGGTCTCCAAACAGATTAATCACTGGGAGGAGGTGAGAGTCAGGACTGATGTGCCCTGGTGTGTGTATGTGGGGTGGGGAGACTTGGCCACACCACTCACCATCTGGAGACGTCCTTCCTTCTTTCCTTTTCCCTATTTCTCAAAACATTAAAGGCATAGTGCTAGAGTGTTGGAGAAAACAAGACAAATAAGATACAATAATTCTCCTCAAGGGACTCTCAGTCTAGTTAAAGGAGAGACACATAAATATATAAACGTAATGAAACATGATCACGTGTGTAATGTGATGTGTTCTGATGTGTTGTAATAGAAGTGCATACAATAAAATCGAAACACAAAGCGGGTGGTCAGCTGTGGAGGGGGGTGGCTCATAGACAGTTTTCCCTTAAGTTGGGAAATGAAAAAGAATTGAGTGTATTTTAGGAAATGTTGGGTAGCGAGAGCAAGGGGCAAACAGAAGGAAGGTCTTTCAGGCAGAGGCCTGCTCATAAGAAACAGGCAGAGACCATGAGAGCAGGGGGGCCCGTGACATAGGCCCTGCCAGAGCCAGCCCGCACCCCACTTGAATTTTCTCTCAAAATAGAAGACCAGGAGGCTTCCTAAAGAGAAGCTCAGTGATGGGGCAAGTGAGTGAGAAGAGGCGATGGTATGGAATTATTGCTGTGGGATATAGAAAGGGAGCTATCGAAGGTCAGGTAAAAAGATGAAGTGGGGGCTGGGCGCAGTGGCTCATGCCTGTAATCCTAGCACTTTGGGAAGCTGAGGCAGGCAGATCACGAGATCAGGAGTTCAAGACCAGTATGGCTAACATAGTGAAACCCCGTCTTTACTAAAAATACAAAAAAATTAGCCAGGTGTGATGGTGTGCTCCTGTAATCCCAGCTACTCGGAGGGCTGAGGCAGGAGAATCGCGTGAATCCAGGAGGTGGAGATTGCAGTGATCCGAGATTGTGCCATTGCACTCCAGTAGCCCGGGCAACAGTGCGAGACTCCGTCTAAAAAAAAAAAAAAAGAGAGAAGGTGGGGCTGAGGGACCTTTTTGTAGTGGCACCAATACATATGGTTGAGTTATTTTCTCTGGAGGTGTTTAGTATTGTATTAGTCCATTTTCATGCTGCTGATAAAGACACACCGGAGCCTGGGCAATTTACAAAAGAAAGAGGCTTAATTGGACTTGCAGTTCCACATGGCTGGAGAAGACTCACAATTATGGCAGAAGGCAAGGAGGAGCAAGTCACATCTTCCGTGAATGGCAGCAGGCAAAAAGAGAAATGAACTTGTGTGGGAGAACTCTTCTTTATAAAACCATCAGTCTCATGAGACTTCTTCACTATCATGAGAACAATGGGAAAGACTTGCCCCCATGATTGAATTATCCCCTACCGGGTTCCTCCCATGACACATTGGAATTGTGGGAGTTACAATTCACGATGAGATTTGGGTGGAGACACAGAACCAAACCATATCATTCCACCCCTGGCCCCTCCCAAATTTCATATCCTCACATTTCAAAACCAATCATTCCTTCCCAACAGTCCCTCAAAGTCTTAACTCATTTCAGCATTATCTCAGAATTCCACAGTCCAAAGTCTCATCCAAGACAAGGCAAGTCCCTTCTGCCCATGAGCTTCCAAAATCGAAAGCAAGTTAGTTACTTCCTAGATACTATGGGGGTACAGGTATTGGGTAAATACAGCCATTTCAAATGGGATAAATGGCCAAAACAAAGGGGCTGCAGGCCCCATGAAAGTCCGAAATCCAGTGGGGCAGTCAAATCTTAACACTCCAAAATTGATTCAAAAAGTGGGTTCCCATGGTCTTGGGCAGCTCCACTCCTGTGGCTTTGCAGGGTAGAGCCTCTCTCCCAGCTACTTTCACGAGCTGGCATTGAGTGTCTGGCTTTTCAAGGTGAATGGTGCAAGCTGTTGGTCAATCTATCATTCTGCAGTCTGGAGGACAGTGGCCCTCCTCTCACAGATCCACTAGGTGGTGCCCAAGTAGGGACTCTGTGTGGGGGCTTTCACCCCACATTTCCCTTCCTCACTGACCAGCAGAGGTTCTTCATGAGGGCCAAGCTGCTGAAGCAAACTTCTGCCCGGGCATCTAGGCATTTCCATACATCCTTTGAAATCTAGATGGAGTTTTCCAAACCATAGTTCTTGACTTTTGTGCACCCACAGGCTCAACATCATGTGGAAGCTGCCAAGCCTTGAGGCTTGCACCCTCTGAAGCCACAGCCTAAACTCTACGTTGGGCCCTTTCAGCCATGGCTGGAGCAGCTGGGATGCAGGGCACCAAGTCCCTAGACTACACACAGCACCAGGACCCTGGACCCGGCCTATGAAACTCTATTTTCCTTCTAGACCTCTAGGCCTGTGATGGGATGGGCTGCCGCAAAGAAAGATCTCTGACATGCCCTGGAGACATTTTCCACATTGTCTTGGGGATTAACATTCAGCTGCTCGTTTCTTATGCAAATTTCTGCAGCGGGCTTGAATTTCTCCTCAGAAAATGGGATTTTCTTTTCTATTGCATTGTCAGGCTGCACATCTTCCAAACTTTTATGCTATGCTTCCCTTATAAAACTGAATGCTTTTAACAGCACCCAAATCACTTCTTGAACGCTTTGCTACTTAGAAATTTTTTTCTGCCGGATATCCTAAATCATCTCTCTCAAGTTCAAAGTTCCAAAATCTCTAGAACGGGGACAAAATGTCACCAGTCTCTTTACTAAAACTTAACAAGAGTCACCTTTGCTCCAGTTCCCAATAAGTTCCTCATCTCCATCTGAGACCACCTCAGTCTGGATTTCATTGTCCATATCATTGTCAGCATTTTGGCCAAAGCCTTTCTACAAGTCTCTAGGGAGTTCCAAACTTTTCCACATTTCCCTGCCTTCTTCTGAGCCCTCCAAACTGTTCCAGCCTCTGCCAGTTACCCAGTCCCAAAGCTGCTTCCACATTTTCAGGTATCTTTTCTGCAGCCCCACTCTACTGGTAACAATTTACTGTATTAGTTCCTTTTCATGCTGCTAATAAAGACATGCCTGAGACTGGGCAATTTACAGAAGAAAGAGGTTTAATTGGACTTACAGTTCCGTGTGGCTGGGGAAGCCTCACAATCATGGTGGAAGGCAAGGAAGAGCATGTCTTCCATGGATGGCAGCAGGCAAAAAGAGAAATGAACTTGTGGAGGGGAACTCTTCTTTATAAAACCATCAGATCTTGTGAGACTTATTCACTATCATGAGAACAGCATGGAAAAAAACTTACCTCCATGATTCAATTGCCTCCCACTGGGTCCTTCCCACAACATGGGGGAATTCAAGATGAGATTTGGGTGGGGAACCAGCCAAGCCATATCAAGTATCCTCGGTATAAAAGAGAAGCAAGCAGGAGGTATCAAGGTAGATGAAGTGAAAGGAGAAAAGATTAGGACCTTCACATCCTGGGAAGAGAGTGGTTACAGTGGAAAATCATGGAGTCTAGGTATCTGGGAAGGAAAACGAAGCCAGGAGAGAGACAAACAGCTGTGAGGAGAGGATGAGCTGTACTGGGAGCAAGTGAGTAAGAGCCAGAAGAAAAAGACCTGTGGCTCAAGATTGGTCCATCAGAGCCTGTGTTTGTTCTTATGGCTGCTCTACCAAATGACCATCAACTTAGCAGCTTGCAGCAAACATGTTTATTCTCTTACATTTCTGAAAGTCAGGAGTCTAAGATGGATTGAGAGGGCTTGTTCCTGTTGGAGGCTCTAAGGGAAAATCTCTTTTTTGTCCTTTCCAGCTTCTACAGGCTGCCTGTGATCTTTGGCTTATGGCACCACATGCTCCAACCTCTGCTTCTGTGGTCACATCTCTTTCTCCCACCTTGACCCTCCTGCCTTTTTTTTTTTTTTTTGATGGAGTCTCTCTCTGTCACCAGGCTGGAGTGCAGTGGGGCGATCTCGGCTCACTGCAACCTCCACCTCCTGGGTTCAAGTGATTCTCCTGCCTCAGCCTCCCAAGTAGCTGGGATTACAGGCGTGTGCCACCACACCCAGCTAATTTTTGCATTTTTAGTAGAGATGGGGTTTCACCATGTTGGCCAGGATGGTCTGCCTTCTTCTTAAAATGGCCCTGTGATTACTTTGAGCCTCCGCAGTTATCTAGGAGAAACTTCCCATCTCAAGACCCTTAACTTAGTCTTATCTTTTGTTTCTTTTACCAAGTAAAACAACATACCCACAGGTTCTGGGGGTCCAGATGTGAACATATTTTGGTGGAAGGGGGCATTATGTGACCTACTACAGAGGCTACATGCCTAAAGATGAAAATGTTTTTGTGGTAATAAAGTCTGGGTGTGGCCAGATGAGTTTCTGAAATAGGGTCTGGATAACCTAGGGCTAGGGTTGAAGGAGACATTTTGAGTCTATGTTTTGGAGAAGGATGATCTACATGGTCAAGGAAGTCACTAATGTTAGGGTAGAGAGGACTAGGATCTTGGTACAAATGTTCTCAGTAAGTGAGAAGAATGACCAGGAAGTTGGAAGGTGATGTAATACGAGGAGTGATATGGTTTGGCTCTGTGTCCCCACCCAAATCTCATGTAGCACTGTGATCCTGAGTTTTGGAGGTGGGGCCTGGTGGGAGGTGATTGGATCATGGGGGTGGTTTCTAATGAGTTAGCACCGTCACCCTAGCGCTGTTTCGTGATAGAGTTCTCGTGGGATCTGGTTGTTTAAAAGTGTGTAGTGCCTCCCCCTTTACTCTCTCTCTCCTGCTGTCTTATGAAGATATGCTTCCTTCCCCTTTGCCTTCTGCCATGATTTTAAGTTCCCTGAGGCCTCCCCAGCCATGCCGAACTGTGAGTCAATTAAATCTCTTTTCTTCTTAAATTACCCAGTCTAAGGTAGTTCTTTATAGCAATATGAGAACAGAGTAATACAAGGAGTAAAGAAAGTATGGTGATACCAAAAGAAAAGAAGGAAATTGTGTGTAATTTGGGAAAGAATCATCTAAAAGCATCCATGAAGAACTAGGATATTGGCAGGAGCATCTCCACATCCTGCCTTAGGCGCGGTGATGGAGCAAAATAGCCACCAGAGGGCAGCAGAAAGTATGGCATCTTAAGGAGAAACTGCATCTTACTTATTCATTTGTCAGTCCCATGTCTATCCATTCACCCCACGAGGATTAAGCCAGATATTGGGAATTCAAACATGGTCTTTATATAGTTTATCTTCTTAAAGAATTCACAGTCTAATGCAAGAGATGGATATTGACACAATGTAAAAAGTGCTATAATCAAAATATGTCAAAATATGGGAAGGCAGAAAATTAGGAACAGTTGCACAGAAGAGATGACTTTTGAGCTGGCCTTAAAGGGTGGGTTGAATTTCCCATAAAGACAAGAGTAACAGGCCCGGCGCGGTGGCTCACGCCTGTAATCCCAGCACTTTGGGAGGCCGAGGCGGGTGGATCACCAAGTCAAGAGATCGAGACCATCCTGGCCAACATGGTGAAACCCCGTCTCTACTAAAAATACAAAAATTAGCTGGGTGTGGTGGCGCGCCTGTAGTCCCAGCTACTCGGGAAGCTGAGGCAGGAGAATTGCTTGAACCTGGGAGGCAGAAGTTGCAGTGAGCTGAGATCGTGCCACTGCACTCCAGCATAGCGACAGAGTGAGAGTCCGTCTCAAACATAAATAAATAAATAAATAAATAATAAAAAAAGGTTAAAAAAAAAAGACAAGAGTAACAGGTCGTACTAGGAATAAGGGAGACATGAGAAATACTGAGTAAGCTCCCATACTTGTTTGCTACGGCTCAGAACAAACTACTACATGCTGGGTGGTTTAAACAACAGAAATTTATTTCTCACAGTTCTGGAGGCTGGAAGTCTAAGATCAAGGTGTTGGCAGATTTGGTTTCTCCTGAGGCCTCCCTTCTTGCCTAGCAGAAGGCCACCTCTTCAGCGTCTTCCCTCTGTGCACACGCATCCCTGGTGACTCTTCCTCTTCTTATAGGGATACAGTCATATTCGATTAGGGCTCACCCATAAGACCTTATTTAATCCTAATTACCTCTTTACATGCCTATCTCCAAATAGAGCCACATTCTGAGGTATACTGAGGGCTATGGCTTCAACATATGAGTTTTGAAGGGACAGGGTTCAGTTCATACTACCTCTTTTCTATCTGTGGGTTATGTGAATGGTCATATTTTGATTATGAGGATACTAAAAAGGAAGATAATAATCTTGATAGTTCCCAATATTTTTTTTCATTTCATTCAAAAGTGGAAACAGCACTGAACTACAAGTTAAGGAGATCCAGGCTTAACTTCCTCATCTGGCTGCATACAATACTAAATGCTCGAATAGCCCTTCCCTCTGCAGAACAACCAGACACTGAATAGGAAACAGTTATTGATGAGTTAATGGGCTCAAATGAGGACACAAAATAGGTGAGAAGTCCAAGGTACACTATCCCATCCCACTCTAAAAACAAAACTATTAAATAAGAGCAAAACGAAACAGAAAACAACTCTGAGATGAGGATAGAACTGTCAGTGGAGAGCAGATGAAAGGAGCAGGGTGGCCCCAGGGACAGACGTCCTTATCAGATCTGTAATTCAGGTTCTGAGCCTTGTTCCAGCAGGAGGAGGTGAAACTGAGCCCCTGACTCCACTTGGAGCCACAATCCTTGAAGAGGTTTGAAGAAGTTCCAGGTCAGTGGCATTTCCAAGCTTCTGGAAGACACAAAAGAAATCCATTCTGGAAGAAAATATTCTCATGGTAAGACCATGAAATAAGCACACATTTAATATAGAGTACTATGAACTCTAAATCCAAGACCATCAATTATGAGAAGGAAGGCTAACATGAGTGAGAATCAGAAAAAATAAACAACAGATTGAGAACACAAGGACTGTGGATATGAATATTGTCTGCTGCTTAAGATAGAAGATCCATGTATGAGCTCAAAATGAATGAAATACAAGTATGTTCTAACAATAACAGATTGTCAAAGATGCCCATACAGTTTCAAAACATAGCCAAATGAAACTTTTATAAATGAAAAATAGGACTACTGAAATAAAATACTTAATGTATGTGTTAAATAGTTGATTATATATAGCCAAAGAAAAAATTAATGACCTACAGTATTTGTTGAAAGAAATTATTTAGGCTATAGCATAGAGAACTAGGGAACTGAATATATGAAAGAAAAATGAAGAGAAATGAATGCTAAAATAAAAATTCTAATATTTATATGATCAAGAGTTCCAGGAAGATAATAAAGAGAATGGAGGAGGATAAAAATTTATAGAGATTTTGGCAGATAGTGTTCTAAAACTGGATGAAAACGTAGATTCAGGAAGCATCAATAATATAAAGTAGATCAAAAGGCCAAAAGTTTATTGTTTTAAAAGACCAGTAAAAAAGAAAAAAATTTAAGTAAATTGATTGAGAATGAAAAAGAGATAAATAGTAAATAATATGGAGCCTGATAAAGGAGACATAATTATGTATGCAGTAGAATTAAAGGAATAACTTAATGACGGCAAATTTAAACTCTAAAACAAAATGGAAAAAGTTTTAGAAAAATATAAATTACAAAATAATCTAAGAAGAAATAGGATGTTTGAATAAATCTACGCCTATTGAGAAATTAAGTAACATTTTAAGGTTTCTCTCAAAGCAAATACCAGATAATTTTATAGGCCAATTCTCCCAACCTATTCCAAATAGAATAGGTCATTCCAAATTTATATAATCTTATATAAACTCCTTAAGATTTCTTAAAAGTACATACTTTGCAACTCACGAATATAGTGTAACCTTGAAATCAAGACTAGACAAGACAGAGAAAGAAAGAAAATGTATGGGTTAACCTCTCTCATCAACTTTTAAATGTAAACATTTCTTTCTTTTTTCTTTTCTTTTCTTTTTTTCTTTTTTTTTTTGAAACAGAATCTTACTCTGTCACCTAGGCTGTATTGCGGTGGCGCGATCTCAGCTCGCTGCTGCCTCCTCATCCTCCTAGGCTCAAGGGATCCTCCCACCCCAACCTCCTCAGTAGCTGGGGCTACAGGCACAAACCACCATGTCCAGGGACTAATTTTTAAATTTTTTTGTAGAGATGAAGGGGATCTCGCCATGTTGTCCAGGCTGGCCTCAAACTCCTGGCCTCAAACGATTCTCCCACCTCAGCCTCCGGAAGTGCTGGGATTACATGTGTGAGCCACCACATCCAGCTAGATGCGAACATTTCTTAAACAAAATATTAGCCAACTAAATCCAGCAGGGTACTTAGGTGAAACCCCGTCTCTACTAAAAATACAAAAAATTAGCCGGGCGCGGTGGCGGGCGCCTGTAGTCCCAGCTACTCGGGAGGCCGAGGCAGGAGAATGGCGTGAACCCGGGAGGCGGAGCTTGCAGGGAGCCGAGATCGCGCCACTGCACTCCAGCCTGGGAGACAGAACGAGACTCCGTCTCAAAAAAAAAAAAAAAAAAAAAAAAGATAACACAAGGGTGGTTTAACATTAAAAACTCTGTAATTGGCCAGGCATGGTGACTCACTCCGGTAATCCCAGCACTTTAGGAGGCCGAGGCAGGCAGATGGCTTTAGCTCAGGAGTTTGAGACCAGGCTGGGGAACATGGTGAAACCCCGTCTCAACCAAAAATATAAAAATTAGTCAGGTGTGGTGGCTGGTGCCTGTAATCCCAACTGCTTGGGAGGCTGAGGTGGGAGAATGGCTTGAACCCAGGAGGCAGAGGCTGCAGTGAGCCGAGATCACGCCACTGCGCTCCAGCCTGGGCGACAGAGAGAGACTCTCTCAAAAACCACAAAACAAAAAAACTCTGTAATCATCAGCCCCTACATTAAATGAGAAAATCTACACGTTGTCTCAGTAGATGTGGTAGAAACGTTTGACAATATTCAATATTCGTTCATGATTTCAAGTAACAATTATAGGAAGGCATTTCCTTACCTCAAAATATTATTCTGAATGGGAAACATCAGAAGCGTTTCCCCGGTTCAGTTATTTTCTTATATTTAAATATTTTAACAGCTCTATTGAAGTATAATTGACATAAGATAAATTGCAAATACTTAAAGTGCACACTTTGATAAGTTTTGACATAAATATATGCCAATGAAACCATCACCACAATAAAGGTAACTAACACATCCATCATCTTCAACTTTCCTCCTGCTCTCCCAGCATCACCCTGCCCCCTTTCCCAAGCAACCACTGATTTGCTTCCTGTCACTTTAGACTAGTTTGTCTTTTCCAGAATTTTACATAAATGAAATCACATATAATGTACCTTTTCGTGTCTGACTTCTCTCACTCAGCATGCATAATTATTTTGAGGTGCATCCACGTTGTCGTATGAATCAGTAGTTTATATTTTTATAGCTGAGTAGTATTCCATAGTATGGATGTATGATAATGAGTTTATTCTTTACCTGTTGATGAATATTGTCTCACTTTTTTGTTTTTGTTTATTACAAATAAAGCTGGTGTGAGCATTTCTGTGCAAGCCTTTGGAGATGTCCTTTCATTACTCTTGGGAAAATAGAGGTTAAGCATTCCTAACCCAAAAATTCAAAATCTGAAATACTCCCAAATCCAAAACTTTCAAAGCACTGACATGATGCCACAAGTGGAAAATTCCATATGTGACCTCACGTGACAGGTCTTAGTCATAACACAGTCAAAATTTTGTTTTTGTTTATAATTATTGAAAATATTGTGTAAAATTACTTTAGGCTATGTGTATAAGGTGTATATGAAACATAAATGAATTTTGTATTTAGATTTGAGTCCTACTCCAAAGATTTCTTATTATGTATATGCAAATATTCAAACATTCAAAAAAATTCAAAATCCGAAGCACTTCTGGTCTCAAGCATTTTGAATAAGGGATACTTCACCTGTACCTATCAGTAATATGATAGGGTTGTGTGATAGGCATATGTTGAACTATTTAAGAGGCTGATAACCTGTTTTCTAAAGTAATTATACCATTTTATATTCCCTCCAGGAGTATATGAGGGTCCCAGTTACTCCACAGCCTTTCACACACTTGGTATGGGGCTTTTTTTATATGGTCTTTTTTATTTTAAACATTCTAATATGCAATTGTGTTTTTATTTGCATTATTCTAATGAATAACAATGCTGAACATCTTACAATGTGCTTATTGATACCTGTATATATATTTTTGATGAAATGTGTGTTATAATCTTCTGCCTGTTTTTATTGAATTTTTAAAATTACTACTGAGTTGAAAAAGTTCTTTTTATATTATAGATGCAAGTGCTTTACCAGTACCTTCTCCCAGCCTGTGGCTTGCTTTACATTATCTTTTGAAGAACAAAAGTTCTTAATTTTGAAGAAGCCCACTTTTTCACGCCTCTTCCCACACCTCTTTGTCACCAACTTTCCAATCATGGTCCAGCCAAGCCCCTGACCATCTAGCCTCACCATTGGCCACAGCCCATGAGTTGGTATATAATTGCACGACTGGCCACTTTCCTTCTGGGATGGTTAATTTTGGTTGTCAACTTGACTGGATGAAGGACTATGTAGAGAACTGGTAATGCATGATTTCTGGGTGTGTGCATGGTGGTGTTCTCAGAGAAGACTGGCACATGAGTCGATGAGCTGAGTGGGGAAGGTCCTCTCTCGATGTGACTGGTACCATCCAATCAGCTGGGGGCTCCAATAGAACAAATCGGTGGTTTCTTCTCTCTGCTAGAGCTGGGGTGCACTTTTCTTCTCCTGTCCTTGGACATCAGAACTCCAGGCTCTCTGGACTTTGAACTCTAGGACTTACACCAGCACCCCTCACCTCCCAGGTTCTCAGGCCTTCATTCTGTTAGGACTGAGAGTTACACCATGGGCTTTCCTGTGTTCTGAGGTTCTTGGACTTGGATTGAGGCATGCTCTCAGAGTCCCAGGGTCTCCAGCTTGCAGATGAATTCTCATGAAACTTCTCAGTTTCCATAATCACATGAGCCAGTTCCCCAAATAAAGCCCCTCACATATATGGGTATATATGTAATACGTACATATATATGTGTGAATACATATGGATTTTATCCTATTCATGTACAATCATGTCTGGATACTTTCCTTCTGTGATGGTTAATTTTGGGTGTCAACTCTATATATATATCTTGTTGGTTCCGTCTTTCTGGAAAACTCTGATTAATACACCTTCCAAGCAAAATGAACAACTACGTGCACAGCTTGAATTCTGCTCCATGGAAAGATTTCCCCTCACCACTATTTTCAGGGGTGTCTCAGAAACGGGCTCTAGTACTGCAGTTGTCCATTCTGCATGGTGCTTGTGTATCAGGCAGAATCGCCTGTAAACCAAGCCTGAGTTTTCTCTTCCTCCATCAACTGATTATGGGTAACTCCCCATGAGGCCATAAGTACAGGCTGGGAGAGAGAAGGCACTGTGGCAGGAGAGAAACTATAGGCATTTGGGCCACTTCTTCATGTAACTTACTTATACCTTCAACTTCAGGGTCTACTTGGGCCCAATTATGTTTATACCACTTCAATTTGGTAATGGAGTACCACTTTGTACACCCAGCTTTATGGCTTGTTCATCTGCCATAAAGCATAAATACTCAGCTCATAATGGGCAACTCAGATTGCAGGTGAACGTGGCTGAGCATTCAGTCTCTACTAAAAACCTGTTTCAAGCCAAAAACTGTTCCTCAAAAGGAGACTCATGTGCATATGATGGCAGGGCTTTGCTTTAAAATCCCGAGTCTACACTGTGATACACCTTTAATATAAAGTCCTGAGTCAACATTGTGATATGCCAGCCAAACACTCCAGATAACATCTTTGTCTGACATTGACTCCCCAACAACCATTGGATCGGATGGATCACTGGGCCTAACTTGCAGGGCAGCTTTCATGTCAGTTTGGACCTGTCGCAGAGCCTTCTCTTGTTCTAGGCCCCACTAAGAAATAGTAGCTGTTTGGGTGATTCAATAAATGGATTGGAGTTACACACCCATATGATAAATATTTTTTCTTCTAAATCTAGAGGGTCACTAGGCATTGTGCATAAGATATTTAGGGATATTTTGACATGTGTTACACAACTAGACTCCTAGAAATTTCAAGGATAGGGAAGACATCTGAATTTTTATCAGAGTTATTTCTCATCCTCTGACATACAAATGTATCTTAGCAATTAATCCACAGTAGCTGCCACTTCTAACTTACTAGATCCAATCAACATAATATAATCACGCCATCAATGTAAGGGACCTGTGCAATGTCTTGGTGAAAGGAAAAGTGATCAAGATCTCTGTGGACTAAATTATGACGTAGGACTGGAGAGCTGATACACTCCTGAAATGAGAGAGTGAAGGTGTATTGCAAGTTGAAAGTAAATGGCTGCTAGTGGTCTTTAGTAACACGTATGGAGAAAAAAACATTTTCCAGCTTAATAACTGTATACCAGGTGTCAGGGTTTATGTCAATTTTTTCAAGCAAGGAAATAACATCTGGAATAGCAGGTGCAATTGGGATCAGCACCTGGCTGAGTTTATAATAACGCACTGCATTCTCCAAGGTCTGTCTGTTTCAACTTTCCAAACAGAAGAGTGGGAATGTGGTGAACATCACCCCCCAGCCCCCAAACTCAAGTCCTTGAAGTGGCACCAATCTCTGAAATCCTTCAAGGGATGTGGTATTGCTTTTGTTTGACTATTTTCCCAGGGATCCTGCCAGCTGCTGAGATGTCCATTCCAAGTATGCATTCCCGGACTGCAGAAATAACTACAGTGTGGACCCATGGTGAGATGTACCTTAGCTAAAACTTCATTGATCACCTGATCTCCATAAGCCTGTACTCTGACTGAAGGGCCACAGTGACATTTTGGGTCTCCTGGAATTAGTGACAGTTTAGAGCCAGTGTTTAGTAATCCTCCAAAAGTCTGATCATTTCCTTTTCCCCAATGCATAGTTACCCTGGTAAAACTGGGTCAGTTTGGGAATTGATTGAGGGGCCATAACTCTGTTCTCATGATTCAAGTTATTAGACTTCTCTTCACTTGCTGTAGAACTCTTCTGCTTAATTTAGTAGACTGCCCATCTATTTTATTTTATTTTTAAGGACAACAATCAACTAGTGATACCATAGGTCTCTGTGGGTTAAACTATTCTGCTTGCTGCTTTTACTCTGCTATCCATAATGGTAGCCACATGGACCTCATTTTTGGTGATTAAGTGCCACCACTTGGCCCCTTCTACCCTGTGATCCAGTTCTCTCTGGATCTTGCAATCTCTTACATTGCATGTAAGTATCCCGCCTCTGAGGTAGCAGTTCCTACTGTTATTTCTGGCCTGCAGAGAAGAGTGACTACAGACCTCTTGAAGGATGCTAGGGCTACCTTCACAATTTATTTCTCATAGTTGTGAAAATCATGTCCCTTGGACCTTCCCAGGGTGGGTAAGCAGGCCTTATTTGATAAATGCACTCTGAAATTCTAATCTCCCCAAGCCTTTGGGTACCTTCCTGTACCGCATAGCAAGGAAGAAGTCCTTCACTTAGTGTTAGCCCACTTTTGGCTCATGCTCCAGCCAACCAACCAAACAAACATTTAGAGCCTTGTCTAACCCCTTGAGCTATAGCTTTGAATCTAGATTCTGCTCAGAGAGCCCGTATCAATAAATTTAGCCTGATGCAACTTTATGTTCCCTTTACCATTTTCCCACATGTTTAGTATTCATTCACACATGTATTCTGCAGGTTTCTGCGTGTATTAATTTAAAACACATCCGCTTCATTTGGAGTGTAGCATACCACCTCATGGGTCATACCTTGCATTGCACCCTTTGAGGCCTGCTGGGACTTGAATCTAGCTAAAGGCCTAGAAGCAAAGAAGGGTGGTGGGACGGTTCTGAGGAGAGTCAGCAGTGTCTTACAAGGCAATTGCCTGGGGAGGACATTAAGCTCCCTCAGGAAAAGCAGGGCTAACCTCCTCATACAAAGGTGGGAGGGCTGCTGCTTCTATTGGCAAAGAAGATTCAGTGGAATTTAAGGGTCAGATATCCCCAGCTTCATGGGCCTGTTAGGAACCAGGCTGCACAGCAGGAGGTGAGTGGTAGGCAAACCAGCAAATCTTCATCTGTATTTATAGCTGCTCCCCATTGCTTGCATTACTGCCTGAGCTCCACCTCCTGTCAGTGGCATTAGATTCTCACAGGGGTGTGAACCCCATTGTGAACTGCGCATGTGAGGAATCCAGGTTGAGCACTTCTTATAAGAATCTAACTAATGCCTGATGATCTGTCACTGTCTCCAATCATCCCCAGTGGGACTGTCTCCAGTCATCCCCAGTGGGACTGTCTGGTTTCAGGAAAACACACTCAGGGCTCCCACTGTTTCTACATTATGGTAAGTTGTGTAATTACTTCATTATATATCACAATGTAATAATAATAGAAATGAAGTGCCTAATTAATGTAATGCCCTTGAATCATCCCAAAACCATCCCACCCTAAGGGTCCAGGGAAAAATTGTCTTCTGCAAAACAGGTTTCTGGTGCCAAAAATGTTGGGGACCACTGACATTAACACTTCAAGTTCATTTACGCTGAGCTTGAGCTGGGAATTTGGAGCCCTGAGATTAAGCTCATCCTTTTCCTCACAGTTAGGAGCAAACAACTAGCTTCATTATACTAGTTAGCTGAACTAAAATGTTCTAAGGACCAAATATTAGGTTGGTGCAAAAGCAATCGTGGTTTTAATACATGGTCCCACAGAATCTCACCTTTTATTATAGGTGTGTGATTTGAGGTGTCCAATGGTGGTATTTTGCATTTTGCATCTGTCTGTTGCCACATCATGGCATGGACTATCTGTGCCCTTCTTCCATAGGAGTGTTATTAGTGCCTTTAGATAGTGTTAGATAAGACAACCAACTCCGGAAGCCCTAGGAACAATTCAGAAAACTCACCATTAAGATTTCGTTCCTCTAGAGCCACTCACTCTTGATACTAAGATATATATCAGTCAGGGTTCTCCACAGAAACAGAACCAAAAGTTGTATTAAAGCAGGAACCTGTGCACTGGTTACGACTTCAGCCCCCCGCATCCTGGCCTGCAGTTTCTACTGCTTGCACAAATCACACAACAAGCCCAGTGAAGCAGCTTCATCACTCTTCGGTAGGCAGCATGAAGCCACAGAAGCTTAGGATTTATGGCACGCTGCTCTCCCATGCCTCAGAAAGCTGCCCAAAAGATGGAATCTTTTCTGTGTGTGCTCAGCTTTGCACCACCGCTGAGGGACCCTGGA
Source organism: Homo sapiens (assembly GCF_000001405.40). Taxonomy (NCBI): domain Eukaryota; kingdom Metazoa; phylum Chordata; class Mammalia; order Primates; family Hominidae; genus Homo; species Homo sapiens. The sequence goes on from NC_000011.10 coordinate 130,933,730, forward strand.
AAGCAGTCTACTCTGGGGTTTATACCCTGGGGCCCACATGGATTTCATACCTTGGAGGCAACATTAGACGCTGGGCTAAATCACTGTAGGACGTCCTATTCTAGGAGGGAAAGGAACAGCCCAGGCTGTTCTGGCAAATTCTTTTTTAGCTCATGTTCTTGCATTCTCAACACACTTGAAAGTCATTTTTGATAACTACAAGCAAAAAAGGGGAAGAGAACTGGGTAGGTCAAAGGCCTCCAGGAGATGGAGGATGTAAGTATGTATGTACATACATACATAATATTATATATATAATATTACTGTCCTGTTTTATATATGTATATATATTACTATCCTGTTTATATATATAAAATATTACTGTCCTGTCATATATATAACATATATAAACATGTTTTTATATATACACATATATAAACATATATGTTTTATTATATATATGAAACAGGACAGTAATATTATATATAAAATATTACTTTTATAAAAACAAATATATAAAATACCTATAAATATATAAAATTGATGTGTGTGTGTGTGTGTATATGTATCTGAGACAGAATCTCACTCTGTCATCCGGGATGGAGTGCAGTGGTGGTATCACAGCTCACTGCAACCTCCACCTGCTGGCCTCAAGTGATCCTCCCTCCCATCTCAGCCTCTTGAGTAGTTGAGACTAAAGAAGTCGATAAATATTTTTACATATAAATTATCTGTCTACCTGTCTAGAGATTTATTGAAGGAAATATGTCACAGAGTTTTGGGGCTGGCAAGTTTGAAATCTGTAGGGCAGGCCTTAGGTAGGAGTTGATGCTGCAGTCTTGAGGCAGAATTTCTTCTTCTCCAGAAAACCTTTCAAAGTTCTTAAGGTCTTTCAAGACTGTGGATGAGATGCAACTGCATTTTCAAGGGTAGTCTCCTTTATCTAAAGTCAGTTGATTGTAGATGCTAACTGCATCTACAAAATACCTTCACAGCGACACCTAGATTAGTGTTTGATTAAATAACTGAGTGCTATAACCTAGCCAAATTGATGCATAAAACTAACCATAGCATCATTAAATACTTTTTCTACATCTATTGAGATAATCATATGGTCTGTTGATATGGTGAATTACATTGATTAATGTTGCAGTGCAAGCCCCACCTTGGATTCTTGGGATAAGGCTCCTTCAGTCACAATGTATTATCCTTTTTTAATATATTACTAGATTTAATTGGCCACAATTTAAATAATTTTCTTTCATTTGTGTTTATGAGGGATGGCTATAACCTCATTATGTGTGTGTGTGTATATACCTCATCTTGTGTATACACACACAGACACACACACACACACACACACACGTTCCTTGACTTAAGATACGGGGTTATGTTCCAATAAAACCATAATAAATTGAAAATATGAAGTCAAAAGTGTATTTTTTTTTTGAGACAGAATCTCGCTCTGTCACCCAGGCTGGAGTGCAGTGGCGTGATCTCGGCTCACTGCAAGCGCTGCCTCCCAGGTTCACACTATTCTCCTGCCTCAGCCTCCCCAGTAGCTGGGACTACAGGGGCCCACCACCACATCTGGCTAATTTTTTGTATTTTTAGTAGAGACGGGGTTTCACTGTGTTAGCCAGGATGGTCTCGATCTCCTGACCTTGTGATCCACCCACCTCGGCCTCCCAAAGTGCTGGGATTACAGGCGTGAGCCACTGCACCCGGCCTCAAAAGTATATTTTCAATGTGATGTTTTCAGGTTATGGTTGGTTTATCTGGACATAACCCCATCATAAATTGGCACCATTTTAAAGTAAAAAAATGGTAAGTTGAATCATTGTAAGTTGAAGACCAATTGTATATATGTGTGTGTGTGTGTGTGTGTGTGTGTGTGTGTTTTATTTTTTTTTCTTGTAATGTCTTTTGTTTGGAAATCAGAGTAATGCTATCCTTATAGAATGAGTTGAGAAGAAGTCCCTCATTTTCAATTTTGTGCCATTATTCTCTTGGGTGCCCTGCTCCAAAATTGCCTAATGGTGCTCCTTTCAAATTGTGTTCCAGCTTTTTTTCTTGATTAGTGTTAGAATGTTATGCAGTGTTCCATGTATTTACTCTTAACACATTTGTGTTAATATATCTAAAGTGGGTTTTCATAGGTAGTTTATAGTTAGTTCTTGCTTTTTTAAATCAAATATGTCAACCTCTGCCTTTTAATTAGGATGTTTAAACCACTAACATTTATTATAATCATATATGATGATTTTAAATCTGCCATCTTGCTATTTATTTTTCATTTTTTCCATCTATGCTTTGTTTTCTGTTTCATTTTCTTGGATTGTGAGCATTTTAACTATACCAGATTGTCTCCTGTGTTGCTTCATTTGCTATAATTTATTAGTGTAGTTTTAGAGTTTATAGTATATATATTTAACTAAATAACATCTCCTATCATGTAATGTCATACCACTTTACATAGAGTTTAAGAGAATTATAACAGTATCTATGGATTTCTCTATTTTTGGCTGTTGTTATATTGTCGTTCTACATTTAATGTCAGCATATCTTCTGAGCCCTAGAATATATTTATTATTATTTTCTGCTTTAAAGAGATTCAAATAATAAAAATAGATTTTATATTTATCCATGTGGTTGCCATGTCTAGAGGCTCTTAATTTCTTTGTGTGGATCCACATTTCTTTCTGATATAATTTTCTTTCTGCCTAAAGGACTTCCTGAATGTTTTTTATAGCTCAGCTCTGTTGGAAATAAAAACTTTTACCTTTTGTATGCCTGAAAAAGTCTTTACCTGTGAAATATATATTTTCTGTCTGTAGAATTCTAGGTTGAAAGTTTTCTCTCTTAGTACTTTAAAGATATTGCTTCACATTCTTCTGGCTTTCATTGTTTCTGACTAGAAATCTGCTATCATCCTTAGCTTCATTACTCTGTATAAAATATGCTTTAAGTTTTTTCTTAAATTTGGTTTTTAGTAATTTGATTATAATGTGGCTTTATGTAGTTTTCTTCTTGTTTCTTGTGCTTAGGGTTTATTAAGCTTCTTGGATCTGAGATTTTAGAGTTTTTATCAGATTTGCAATTTTTGGACCATTATTATTCAACTCTTTTTCTGTCCCCTAAATTCTCTCCTTCATACACTCCAAAAGATGCATATATGAGCCTTTGACATTGCCACGCAGCTCGCTGATACTCTGTCTATACCCATCCTTCTGTCAGGGCTCAGCACCATTTCCTTTGTTCTGTGGTGGGCAGGTAGACGCAAACCTATCCCCAACAACGGAAGGAGCTGAGAGGTCAAAGGAAGAGGCCGACAAATCCAGCTTCTCAAGAAGTAACATTCCATAGGGACTTACAAAGAAAAACTACCTCTCAGACAGCCGAGAGTTGGTGAGTCCCCACACCCACTCTGAAGAAAGTATCTTTTTTTTTACAGTAAGCTTTTAGGGTAAAACATGTTGCAGCTGGTCATGCCTCAGACTTTCTTGCAAAACTTGTGACCACTGGAGGGGTTAGATAAATATCTTTATGAAGGGTTACCTATGCTTCAGGCAGTGTTTCTTCATGAGGGATTTTCTATCCTAGGGGATTCCTTGGAATGCAGCAGTCTAACATTGCTCATCATGGTGAATTCACTTCAAGACGGTTTGACTCTTTCCATGCAATTGGCTGTTTTCCTATAGCTATAATCCTTTCAAGTGTGTTTTTCTCTCTGGGCATGGTAGTTTCTTTCTTGCATTCACCGATTGGTACTCAGTTGAAGATTTGTAACTATCCAGAGTCCTTTCTGTTAATCTTTCTCTTCTGCAGTGCTCTGTGAACTGCAGCCATCTTGGCCTTCAGACTTTAGTCCATCTTCTTCACTCAGGGAAACTACCTATTTCTCTTTGCAGTGTGACCTGGAATCTCTCTTCAGGCCATTAGCAGGGTAATTTTAGAATTCACCTGGTTTGTTTTTGTACCACAGGGATGATTTTGTTTTGTTGTTTAATGTCCATTGGCTCAGGAAGCATTGTTTTGTATATTATTTTCTGGTTGTTGTAGGAATGAGAATAGGGTGATCTTGCTCCACTTTTATCAGTCATGGAGGTCCTGTTTGCTTCCTACTCTTGCATAAATCACCCTTTCTGTATGTTAGGCCTCAGATGTACAGGATTGAGTTAATCGTTCTTTGCAGTTCATGCTAGTCAACTTTGGCATATGTAAAAATCCTCTCATTTTAATTTTCCGTTTTTACTTTTGACCCCTACTCTCATTTCTTTCCTTTACCATAGGTAATCATTTTAGTGGGTTTATATGTATATTTTTATTGAGTCTTACAAATATATATTGCAGATTTCGGGGTATATTTTAAATGTATAAAAATGCCATTAATATGTAATCACTCTTTAAAAATGATTTATTACTTAGCACTGTCTTTAAGGTTCATTCATATTACCATGTATACATGTAGTCTATCACTGCTCTCTGATGCAGTAAACCATTGTATGCATCTACCATATCTAAGCAGTTCTCCTCCTAGAAGCGAACACTCAGCTTTTCTTCAATATTCTATCACAAAATAATATTGGGATTAATATCCTTGTCCACTTTCCCTTATAGACCTGAGTGAGAAAACTGCCAGTTTCACTCTTATAGCATCTAAGTGTCCTCTTCTTCCCACACATAGAGTAAAACTCTTCTTTAATAACTCAAAGTCTCATTCAGCTAATGCATCTGGTTCAAAATATAGGTCACTTGGATGATGCTTATTTCTTTCCATCATATCTTATTATAGCTTCTTATAGCTTACTAATAAAAAATGGCAAAGTACATTCATCCCAATACTTCACACTCATCATGAAATAGTGGATTAATGTGACCGCCTATTGTCTTTGGAAATTCGTTCTCTCTTCCATTTAATAATAGAGTTTTAGGCAAGCACATGGGCACTCAGCTACAGAACATATTATCTAAACTTTCCTGCAGCTAGATGTGGACATGTGACAAATTTAGGTCAATGCGACATATGCAAAAGCAATGTGTGCACAGTTTCCGTTACCACCTCGGGGACAGGATACTTGCAAGCTGGAATTGACAACAACTCAGATACAAAAAGAGAAGCAACAGTGATGTATTAAGGATAACAGCTCTGACCTGTCACCATAAGGCCATGGGTTGCCTCTTAGAATCTGCTTTCTTTGGAAAATTAATGCAGAACAATATAAACTTCCATTTTGGGATATTTTTGCTATAACAGCTTTATCTATATCTTTACCAATGAAAAAGATAATTACAAAGAAAACTACCACTTGGAAAGCAAAGAATGAGAAACATGAAAAGTCATCAAATCTTGGGGCGCATGAATTGCGAAGGCTCCATACCCTGGCAGCAAAGCAGGTTCTCTGCTTAGCACACCTGGCCACCCTTAATCCTGTTTTCTGGAAGTAAATCCATTGTCCATTGTTACTTTTGTCCTTCTGAGTTTTCTTCCTCTTTCCACAATTCTCTGTATATGTGTCAATGGGAAAATATGCCTTACAGGGCTGCACACTCTTCACAGTCTAATTCCTGCTAGTGCAGTTTTGGGGGGCCCAAGTGTGGCTTCAGGCATTGAATAATCTCATGCTTCTAAGTGTCAGGAATTTGATTTTTGTGTTAATATAATGCTTCACAAACTAACTAGCATTTGATCTCTGTGTTTGTAATTAGTTCCATGTAAGATAAACATCCAATGATCTCTTAATATTTTGGTTTTTACATCTGTCAGATCTCTTTTAGTTAACACCTTTTGTGCTCAGCTCATAACTCTCGCTCAGCTAATGATAGCTATATTGAGGCTATTTGCATAAATATTGTGGGGTGTGAAGGCATCATTCTTGATCTGATCTTTGCCATTAAATTATCTTCCATTCCGGTTGGTGAGAACAGTTAATGGGGTATTCTTGAAAATGCCTCTGAGTATCAGTCTCATTGCCTGTTGTTTGGGGTTACAGAATTTGTTGGCTTTTCCAATACTGTCGGACCCCAATCCTAGTCTCAGTAGATTAGATTTCACCATATTTTTAAGGTTCTCATGAGAAAGTTTCACCTATCATGTCTACTCACAACCTACTGTCCTCAACTAACCCATTTGGTCACACCTTGCTGCAAGTTAGCAATGACTCCAGCTGAAATGGATAGTGTTCTATTATTAAAAAGTTGGAAAAATACATATTGCATATTGTTAGCAGTCTTTGCCACACATATAGACTGCAAATAAAGACAACATTCTTATCTCTTTCAGATACAATTACTTGTCTATAATTTACTGAGAAATTATTAGAAATATTGATAGGATTTATCTAAATGACTAGCTACAGAACAATAATAGAAATCATTTGTATTTCTATATATTATCAATGAAATGGCAAAATACAGGTATAGATCTAACCAAATATATATAACTTAGGTATAGATCTAACCAAATATATATAAGAACTTTGTGGAGAAGATTATAAAACTTGATTGAAAGATATTAATGTTCAATGTTCATGGAAAGAAATGCTCAATACTATAAAGATAGCAATTTTCCCCAGATAGATTTATAATGCAATTCTAATACAATTTCAACAGCATTTTGAGTAGAAAATGACCCATTGATTTTGTAATTTATATGGAAACTAAAAGGGTCAAGAATAGCCAAAATACTAAAGGAGAAGAACAAGGTGGAAGGACTTGCTCTACTAGATATCAAGTTTTACGCTAAAGTTGTAATGAATAAAACTATGTGGTATTGGGGTTGGGATAGACAAATTGCCCAATGAAACAAGACAGAGAGCCCAAAACACACTGATGAATACATATGACCTGAAAGGCTTTCAGGGCTACTGGAGAAAAGGAGAGACTATTCAATAATAGTTCTGGGACAACTGATTTTCCGTTAAAAAAGTGACATTATATCCCTGCTGTACAAAGAGCAAAAAAATCAATTCTAAATGGATTAAGAACGTAAATGTGAAAGCAAAACTTTAAAACTGTTAGAAGGAAATGTGAGAGAATATATTTCAAACCTCAGGGTAGACAATTATCTCTCAAAAAAGGCAAAAATCACTAACCAAGATAGAAGGATTAACAGTTTGTTCTCAGTAGAGCTTATAATTTCTATGCATCGTAAGTCACCATGAAGAAAAAAGAAAGACAGGCTACATGCCAGCAGAAGTTATTTGCAACACACATAATTGAAAACACATTTATATCTATAAACATAACAATTAGCCAATAAGAAAAAAACTCAAATGACCCATTTTGAAAACTGATGAAATAAATGAATAGGATTCCACAGAATAAAAATATGAAGAGTGAATAAGCATTTAAAATTATTTCCAAGCTCATTAGTAAATCAGGGAAATAATTAGTAAATCAAGAATAAAAAAATGCATCCCTTAAATGGATAAGATGTTTGACAATGCTTTTAGAGAAGACGTGAATGAAGTAAATCAAGAATAAAAAAATGCATCCCTTAAATAGACAAGATGTTTGACAAGGCTTTTAGAGAAGACGTGAATGAATAGGAGCTCTCACACATGCAGGTGGGTATGTGAATCTTTTTATTTTATTTTGTTTTATTATTATTATACTTTAAGATTTAGGGTACATGTGCACAATGTGCAGGTTAGTTACATATGTATACATGTGCCATGCTGGTGTGCTGCACCCATTAACTCGTCATCTAGCATTAGGTATATCTCCTAAAGCTATCCCTCCCCCCTCCCCTCACACCACAACAGTCCCCAGAGTGTGATGTTCCCCTTCCTGTGTCCATGTGTTCTCATTGTTCAGTTCCCACCTATGAGTGTTTGGTTTTTTGTCCTTGCGATAGTTTACTGAGAATGATGATTTCCAATTTCATCCATGTCCCTACAAAGGACATGAACTCATCATTTTCTATGGCTGCATAGTATTCCATGGTGTATATGTGCCACAGTTTCTTAATCCAGTCTATCATTGATGGACATTTGGGTTGGTTTCAAGTCTTTGCTATTGTGAATAGTGCCACAATAAACATACATGTGCATGTGTCTTTATAGCAGCATGATTTATAGTCCTTTGAGTATATACCCAGTAATGGGATGGCTGGGTCAAATGGTATTTCTAGTTCTAGATCCCTGAGGAATCGCCACACTGACTTCCACAATGGTTGAACTAGTTTACGGTCCCACCAACAGTGTAAAAGTGTTCCTATTTCTCCACATCCTCTCCAGCACCTGTTGTTTCCTGACTTTTTAATGATTGCCATTCTAACTGGTGTGAGATGGTATCCCATTGTGGTTTTGATTTGCATTTCTCTGATGGCCAGTGATGGTGAGCATTTTTTCATGTGTTTTTTGGCTGCATAAATGTCTTCTTTTGAGAAGTGTCTGTTCACGTCCTTTGCCCACTTTTTGATGGGGTTGTTTGTTTTTTTCTTGTAAATTTGTTTGAGTTCATTGTAGATTCTGGATATTAGCCCTTTGTCAGATGAGTAGCTTGCAAAAATTTTCTCCCATTTTGTAGGTTGCCTGTTCATTCTGATGGTAGTTTATTTTGCTGTGCAGAAGCTCTTCAGTTTAATTAGATCCCATTTGTCAATTTTGGCTTTTGTTGCCATTGTTTTTGGTGATTTAGACATGAAGTCCTTGCCCATGCCTATGTCCTGAATGGTAATGCCTAGGTTTTCTTCTAGGGTTTTTATGGTTTTAGGTCTAACGTTTAAGTCTTTAATCCATCTTGAATTAATTTTTGTATAAGGTGTAAGGAAGGGATCCAGTTTCAGCTTTCTACATATGGCTAGCCAGTTTTCCCAGCACCATTTATTAAATAGGGAATCCTTTCCCCATTGTTTGTTTTTCTCAGGTTTGTCAAAGATCAGATAGTTGTAGATATGCGGCGTTATTTCTGAGGGCTCTGTTCTGTTCCATTGATCTATATCTCTGTTTTGGTACCAGTACCATGCTGTTTTGGTTACTGTAGCCTTGTAGTATAGTTTGAAGTCAGGTAGCGTGATGCCTCCAGCTTTGTTCTTTTGGCTTAGGATTGACTTGGCGATGCGGGCTCTTTTTTGGTTCCATATGAACTTTAAATTAGTGTTTTCCAATTCTGTGAAGAAAGTCATTGGTAGCTTGATGGGGATGGCATTGAATCTATAAATTACCTTGGGCAGTATGGCCATTTTCATTATATTGATTCTTCCTACCCATGAGCATGGAATGTTCTTCCATTTGTTTGTATCCTCTTTTATTTCATTGAGCAGTGGTTTGTAGTTCTCCTTGAAGAGGTCCTTCACATCCCTTGTAAGTTGGATTCCTAGGTATTTTATTCTCTTTGAAGCAATTGTGAATGGAAGTTCTCTCATGATTTGGCTCTCTGTTTTTCTGTTATTGGTGTATAAGAATGCTTGTGATTTTTGTACATTGATTTTGTATTCTGAGACTTTGCTGAAGTTGCTTATCAGCTTAAGGAGATTTTGGGCTGAGACTATGGGGTTTTCTAGATATACAATCATGTCATCTGCAAACAGGGACAATTTGACTTCCTCTTTTCCTAATTGAATACCCTTTATTTCCTTCTCCTGCCTAATTGCCCTGGCCAGAACTTCCAAAACTATGTTGAATAGGAGTGGTGAGAGAGGGCATCCCTGTCTTGTGCCAGTTTTCAAAGGGAATGCTTCCAGTTTTTGCCCATTCAGTATGATATTGGCTGTGGGTTTGTCATAGATAGCTCTTATTATTTTGAGATACGTCCCATCAATACCTAATTTATTGAGGGTTTTTAGCATGAAGGGTTGTTGAATTTTGTCAAAGGCCTTTTCTGCATCTATTGAGATAATGATGTGGTTTTTGTCTTTGGTTCTGTTTATATGCTGGATTACATTTATTGATTTGCGTCTATTGAACCAGCCTTGCATCCCAGGGATGAAGCCCACTTGATCATGGTGGATAAGCTTTTTGATGTGCTGCTGGATTCGGTTTGCCAGTATTTTATTGAGGATTTTTGCATCAATATTCATCAAGGATATTGCTCTAAAATTCTCTTTTTTGGCTGTGTCTCTGCCCGGCTTTGGTATCAGGATGATGCTGGCCTCATAAAATGAGTTAGGGGTATGTGAATCTTAAAACACTTCAGAAAATAATTTGGCATTGCAAAATTCAAAGTTTATGTAACTGATTTTCCACCAATCCCACTCCTAGTTATATATCCTACAAAAACTCTTTCTCTGTACACTAGGGGACATATAAGATTGTTCAGAGCGGTATTTTTCCTAATATCAGAAAAAACTGGAAACACATCAAACACTCATTCACAGAACTACACCTACATACAACAACTTGGATAAATCTGTGATGAAACAAACATTTAGAACAGTGCGTCTTGCGTCTCAAACTTTAGTATACGGGCATCCTGTTAAAATAAAGATTTTCAATTAAGGGATCTGAGCTGATGCCTCAGATTCTGCATTCCTAGCAAGCTTTCAAGTGATCTGAAAAGGAGATCTCCCGATATGACCCTCTGCTGCTGGGTGACGGATCACATTTTGAGTAGCAAGTCCAAAGGTTACACCTGGTAGTGGTAGATACCGTGTTGATAGATCTCAACAACAATTTACTCCACAGAGGGTGTTATTTAGGTGTACAGTAAATACATATGGCATAAACTAACAAAAAGGACAATCAGAAAATCAGGATAGGCATTACTATTCAGGGGATTGGGACTGGGAGAGAGTGCATTCTATTAGATTGATACAAATTATTGGTAGTGTTATTGTTCTTAAATTGTATGGTGGATCATGAATTTTCTTTTATTAAGTGAATTGGCCCTGCAATTCTCTACCTCATCCTTTGACAGTGATTCATAATCTATACCAAAACAGGATGAGGTTAGTAGGCATTTTCAATTCTAACTGTGCACCATAATCACCTAAGAAAGTTTTAAAAAACACCAGTGCCTACGTCTAATCTGCAGATATTCTGATTTAATTTCTCTGAGTTGACACCTGAATATTGGTGCTCACTAGAAGATCACCATGCAGTGGTCATGTGCAATGAGGTTTGAGAACCACTATGACATAGCACCTCTTGCATCCCTCTTAATGCCAGTAGTCTGTGATTGAATACACAATGTTTTTTTTCTTATTAACTGGACTCCTTAAAAAGAGTTTCCTGGTTCAGCTTAAAATCATGTCCTTTAGTAATTAAGATAGGGGTTTTCAAACTATAATCTTCATGACCATAGAGACTACATCGCATAGCTCACTTTTCCCTGGTATCTTGTACAATGCACAGCAGGGTTGTCACTTAATGTACATGTGAAAGTATCCACGAATGTTGGTTGACTGAGCACTGTCTCATTGAGTATTAACCAAATGTCTCCTCCAGGCCAATTTCCCTCTCTCCTCTGGGCTCCCATAGCAGCTTACATTGACTCCATTAAGCCACTGCTACTTTTCATTGCAATCGTTTATTTGCAGGTCTGTCCTCTGCAATGCTGTGAGCTCCTCAAAGCCAGGGTCAGGTTGTATTACTCCTAGACTCCCAGAACTCAGCCCAGGGCCTCAATCACTATTTAGTAAAGCAGTAGGCAAAATGATTTTCAGAAACTTTTCTGCAGTGTGATATGACCATTTGCTGCTTCAGCCCTGGTCATAATTTGATCCTTCTGGAGTCAGGACTTCCAGAGCATCAGGCTGCAGACAGGTTCTCTCATTCAAGCTCTACAGATATGCATAGGGGAAGAGATGGGCTTAAATTAGTTGTAAGCCCAACATACATCATATAATTTTTCTCTTTAAATGGACTTTGTTTATTAGAAAAGTTTTAGTTTCACAGCAAAATTAAGCAGAAAATACAGAGTTCCACAATGTGCCCTGCTCCCCACATACACAGCTCCCCCCACTATTGACACCCTCCCACCAGAGTGATGCATTTGTTACAGTCAGTGAACCTATGTGGACACATCCTTATGACCCAAAGTCCATCTTTTTGGTTCGAGTTTACTGTTGATGTTGCACAGTCTAAGGGTTTTGACAGACCTATGATATCCTGTGTCTACCATTACAGCATCATACACAGTAGTTTCATGGCTCTAAAAATCCTCTGTGCTCCAACTATTCATGCTTCTATCCTCTCAACCTTGGCAACCACTGTTCCCATAGTTTTGTCTTTTCCAGAATGTCATATACAGCAAGCCCTTGAATAATGTTTTTTACGTTCAACATTGTTTCGTTATAATGCTGCGGAGAAGGAAAAAAAAGTGGTTTCCCTGCCTGGCCTGTGTCCATGTTGAGTTTGTACTTTTCCCCCATGTCTTCGCGGGTTTCCTCTGGGTCCTCTGATTTCCTTCCACATCCCAAAGCCGTGCATGTGAGGTGGATTTGTGTGTCTCCGTGGTCCCATAATGAGTGAGTGTGGGCGTGCGTGTGAGTCACCCTGCTGTGGGAGAGCATCCTGTCCAAGGCTGGCTTCCATCTGACTCTTTGAGCTGCTGGGACAGGCTCCAGCCACCCACTATCCTGACTGAAATAACTGGATAAATAATTATCTTACTTGTTTTTACTAATCTTCCTTAAATGTGCATATAGGTCACATTTATTTCAGTGTTAAATTTTAGAAGTGTTTTGGTCTTTACCTAGAAGTTTGGTGATGTTTTTATAACCAGAAATAAGCCATAGGAATTTAACTCTTGTTTATATCAATTACCAATATAAAGTTGGTTTAATTGTACAGAATTTTGCTTAAAATTGCAATTTCCAAGAACCTATCGATGACACTAAGTGAGGACTTACTGTAGTTGGAATCACACAGTACGTAGCCTTTCCAGATTGAATTATTTCACCTGGTAATATGCATTTAAGGTTTCTTCATGTCTTTTCATGGCTTGATAGCTTATTTCTTCTCAATATTGAATAATATTCTATTGTCTAGATATACTACAGTTTATTTATCCATTCACCTACTGAAGGACAACTCGGTTGCTTCCAACTTTTCGCAGTTATGAATAAGGCTTAAATAAACATTTGTGTGCTGGGGTTTTTTCTTGTGGACATGCTTTCAGCCCCTTTGAGTAAATACAAAGAAGCATGATTGCTGAATTGTGCAGTAAGAATATGTCTAGTTTTGTAAGAAACTGCCAAACTCTTTCAAAGTGGCTGTACCATTTTGCATATTTACCAGCAATGGATGAAAGTTCCTGTTGCTTCACATCCTTGCCTGCATTTGGTGTTTCAAGTGAGCTGTGTGAAAGTGCTCTGTATTTGCACCTCGGGCTCCCTGGAAGGTGAGAGGAGACCCACTGATGTAAATTCTCACATAGGTGGATGGGAGTCTTAGATGACAGATAGGCAAGAGGCTGTGGACGTGGGCACTGGTTTGTTTTTGTACTCCGGCTGAGCCCAGGCAACTCCTTAATGAGCTCCTCTCAGTAAGAGGGGAGCCTGGGGTGTGGTGTATTTTCTGGATTTTGGTTATTCTAACAGGTACATAGTCTCTCCCTGTGGCTTTAATTTGCATTTCCCTGATGACATGTGATATGAAGCATCTGTCCACGTGCTTACTGGCCATCTGCATATCTTCTTTGGTAAGGTGTTGGTTCAGGTTTCCATTTTTTAATTGGGTTGTTAGTTTCTCTTAATTGTTGACTTTTTAAGGGTTATTTTTGTATATTTTTGAATAATAGTCTTTTATTAAATTTGTTTTTTGCACATATTTTCTTTCAGTCTATGGCTTCCCTTCTCATTCTCTTGACATAGTTTTAAAAAGTCTTGGCTATAAATCTGAAATCTGATTATTTGCCTCTTCATGCCAAAAGGGAAGAAAAGAAAAAAAATCTAGTTAGTTGAGGATTTAGGTTACTATTGCTCTGATTGGTTGAGGCTTTCTCATCTCTGGCTTTGGCAGGCAGCGACATGCCCATTATTTCCCCACCCCTTAAGTGTGGGTAGAGAAAAAGATGGTCATGCGCTCACTCTCGCCCCATCTCTGTGCCAGGTCCCACCCTATCTGTCCTTATCCGGCCAAATCACCGATATCCAAACACCTGGGTGAGTAAGAGTGACAATGAGGCCCTCTGCTCTCTCCCAACATCCCCCAGGCTCTCTGAACAACTGATAACCACCAAAAGGTGATTTCTACGTGTACAACTACATAGAGACAGAGCTTGAATCACCAGAGACAAGAGGCACCGTATATTCCTCCTTGGCAGTCTCTTAGGTAATTATTTGGTGGAACGGTGGAAACAATACTTCTTTGGAGTGGAGAGAGAGAGAGACAGAGACAGAGAGAGACAGACAGAGAGAGAGAAAGAGGGATTGAGAGAGAGAGAGAGAGAAAGATATTGCGAGAGCCTGTGAGTCTGTGAGCCAGTGAGTCATGTGAAAGTGCCTAGCATTTTCACTCGGGGCTCCCTCAAATGTGAGAGGAGAACCACTGAAGTAAATTCTTCCTGTAGGGGCACAGGAAACTTAGGTGGCAGACAGGTAAGAGGCTGTGGACCTTGGCTCTGTTTGGGTCTGTACACTGACTGAGCCCAGGCAAACAGTTACGGGGAATTTTCCTTAATGAGCTGCCCGAGCTTGTAAGAGGGGAGCCCTGAGCCTTGAGGCATGTCTTCTGGGTTACTTTGGGAAGTGGAAGAAATGAAAAGGCCACTTAATTGAGCAAAGAGAAAGGGCCTTGGGAGGACAGTTTCAAAGCATCAGGGAGGGAGGACTGAACATAGCTCTTGTGTGATTCCTGTCCGTTCTTCCTGCCCACTCCACTGGTTCTGCAAATAAACCTTGCCTTTTAAGTCTTTATTCTGAAGTCCAAGACTCTAGCTATCTTGTTCTAGTAATCTTTCCACCTAGCTACATCTCCTTCTATTTCCCTGCATGCATCCTGTCCTGCAGAGACTTCCATTCTGTCTTCCTGACATGCATGATGCCTTCCTTCCCTTTCTGCCTCTTTCTTCTGCATCGGCCTTTAGCCCTCTTGGTCCCGCTTGTTCCTCCCTAATTTTACCTGAAGGGAATTAAAGAACACAAGCATACTAGAAAAAAAGATGATTCTTTTATTCCTTTGTAGTATTTGGAAAACAGCTTTAAACATGTATAGGTATACTAAAGCTGGAAGAGGTCTTGTGAATTTATTATTTCCTAACTTTAGGCAGAAACTCACTGAAACCATTGCCAGGAACACCCAGTTCTCAGAAAATATTCTTTAGAAATTTCAGTAATATGCAATTTTGAGGGAGGACTTTTAGTGTGGTGGTTAAGAGCACAAACTCTGGAGCAGGTTCTCAAGATTCAATTCCAGGGCCACGATTTGCAAACTGTGTGCCTTCAGACAGGCCAGCGAAACTTTCTGTGCTTCAGTTTCCTCATATGGGAACACTGACAGCGTTTACTTCCTAGGATTGTTATAAGGGCTAACCCAAGTTAATAGATGTAAAATATTTTATGTTTACCTGCATGATAGAGTTTGATACACAGTAAGTGCTGCATAATATATACATGTTTGTTATTTTTAATGAGAAGCTCAACATTTGGGCTTTTACTGGGCAACATTTTTCAGGCCTTTGGGACTTTTGACATGTATAAATTCTCCCTTGGTAGGGAGGAAATGGGACAGGAAATGATGGGAGGAACCTTTGGTGAAGAAGGCAAAATACTACTGAACCTTGAGGTTTTGTGTTCAGCCCCAGGACAGACATTGAAGATGGAAGGCTCGGGCTGATGTCAACAGGTTTCCCAGGGGTCTCCATCCCCTCCAGCATTCATGCAAAGCCAATTCCAGCTACAGACTGCAGCTTGGGGTTGTCTTCTGCAGCTGTCTACAACAGGGACTTGTCAGGGGTAAAATGAAAAATTTTATCATGATTTCTAATTTTTCTCGATGTCTCAGTCATTGAAAGTTTCACATTCAGGGCCATTTGGGTGTCATGAAAACATCAGGTTTAAAGAGGAAAGATGATGGATCGTGAATGTTTATGAGGAGATGGTAGCAATTATAATGATGGTAATGAAGAGTGAAGCGAGAAGATCAGCCTGTGGGGATGCTGCTCCTGAGTCTAGGCTGCTGGAGGAAAGTGCTCCAGTGGGCTTGGGCATTACCATTGTACCAAGATGGATGAAGCTTCTTTTCCAACAGCCCCTCCAGATTCATTATTTTTTTAGAAATATGCCTTGTGGAACCAGGTTTGCAAGTTTTACATTGAGTGAACAGCTATTTCTTATGTTAAGTTATTTTAGCTGAAGAATAGAGAATTGTTGAAATAAATGGCTAGAGAATTCGAATTGTATTCATTCTTGACATTGGAACTGACAAATAGCTTCATTCCCCACTGAAATGGAAAGCTTATTACTCTGAGATACAGGCGGGTTTGAGGGAGGGGGGCATCTGAGTTTTATTTTACTGTAACTCTTGTAGATGCTGTGATACAATGAAATAAAATGCTTTTCTGAAATCCTTCTGGAATCCATCCCTGCCCCATTCTCCATATTTGACTGGGAATAAAACCAATTAAAACAGATTAATTTATAGCCAGTATAAAATCCACTCTGACAGCTGGTTATTACGGCCTAAGCATGGAGTTCTCAGGTAGAGCAGGGCTGGTCGGTGGTGGAGGATGCATGAGAACTGATCATCCTGATGGGTTGAGCTGAGGCACCTTCCAACTGAGCCCTGCCCACCAGGGACTGGGCATCTCCAAAGAGGAACCATCCATGCTGGGACGGACTCATGGGATCTGGAGGATGCTTTCACCAGAGCCCTGGAAACTGTTCATATGAAAATTGCAGATTTCTCCTTGACATCCTTGGTACTGGATGCCTCTCATCCCCCTGCCAGCATGATTCACTGCAAGGAGAGATGCATTGAGCGTGGCAGCCAATGAAGCTGTGAACATAGCAAGGCACATGGGAGCTGCAGGCTTGTGGGGTTGCTGGGCTGGACTCACCCGACCACTCCTGTTGCAAAGTCAGCCTGAACCTTCTGATGTTGTCTTCGGAGGAAGTGGGATGCAGCTGCTCGTCTTCTATACACCATCCCTTCCTGCTTGTATAGTCCTTGATCTTCCCACCATCTCACCTTGTCTTCTCTAACCTGTCAGAGGCCTGCGCATCTAACAGACTTCATGAATGATAACTTGCCATCCCACGAAGTCTGCTGACTTCATACTGATGACTGATTTATAAAGTCCTGATGAAAGTGTCCGCTGAGCACTTGCATTGTCCATGTGGAAATCACGGGATTCTTCTTCATGTTTCTTTAATATCATTTGCCTTTCATTACCTGATTTCTGGCAGGAATCCTCAATATAGAATGTGTGGTGGTCAGCACAGCCTTATGTGTGACAGTTGTAGGTATTTGGCCACTTTCAAATTATGCACTATGAGAGCTGGTCTTGAGGTTGAGGAAGAGAGAGAGAACTTGGGGCCCAAAATCTAAGTTGGAGCTGGAATTTGGCCCTGACCAGGCCAGCACAACATAGCTTAGGGATTCTGGAGCCCCCCTCTTCCAGAAGACTTGAGAGAAGTCTTTTGCAGGCTTGGGATTCCAAAAACAACACTATCAGAGGATTGTGGGTGTGCCCATTTTGCCTAACAAAAGCTGTTTCTTAGGTCAGCTCACCTTAGTCCCTTAATTGCTTTAGAAGTAGAAGCAGTGCTGGTTTCTTTCTGAAGCTCTAGAATCTTAAATGGAAGCAGGTAACCCCTCCTGTGATGACATTGCTGATAAAGTGAGCAATGGCAGCAGCTGGGTGCAAACTGGCCCCTCCCACCCATGCTCATGTTGATGCCCCTTGGTGTAATTTCCTTATTTACATCTGCCTTACTTGAAAGCTCATGCTTTTCTCCACTGTCTCTTATTAGAAGAAAATCAGGAATCCTATGGTCAAAGAAGGAACAGGTAGGAAAGAGAGAACTGCCCAGGTCTGGGGATCAAATAGATTTTTTTACAGTCATCTCTCTGTGCTAGATAGTCCTGAGATGTTGATCCAGAGTACCAAGATATAACTTTAGGGGTTCATGGAAGCTGCTGTCATGAGTGCCATTCCAAATGTAGGCATAAAAAGGATCTAGAAGAAAAGGAATTGAGTGTCCAAGGTAGGAGCAATTATGTCTCCTTCTAAGAGTGGTCTGACTGTCACTTTCCTTTAAGAACATGAACATTCTAGGCCTAGATGTTAAATGTCGATAATATGGTGACATTGATTTAATGAG
This sequence comes from Homo sapiens, assembly GCF_000001405.40. NCBI lineage: Eukaryota > Metazoa > Chordata > Mammalia > Primates > Hominidae > Homo > Homo sapiens. The sequence goes on from NC_000011.10 coordinate 130,951,920, forward strand.
TTGAATTTCTCAAGTGTCTTAGTCCATTTGGGCTACTATAAAAATACCATAAAATGAGTGGCTTATTGGCAACAAAGAACTGTGAGAAATTTATTTCTCATAGTTCCGGAGGCTGGGAAGTCTAAGATCAAGGCACCAGCGAATTCGGTGTTGCCGTGGGCCTGCTTTCTGGTTCACAGGTGGCCCACTTCTCACTCCATCCTCACATGGCACACAGTGAAGGGGCTGTCTAGTACCTTTTTTTAAAGGGCACTAATCCCACTTATAAGGTCTTCACCTCCATGGCCTAATCATCTCCCAGAGTCCCCACCTCCAAAATCCCTCTGAGGGATAGGATTTCAACATAAAAATTTTGGGAAAACACAAACATTTAGAACATAGCACCAAGTTATTCAGCTACTGTTGCTATTGCTAATTATAGCAGTTACCAATTTTGAGCCCTTGCTAGGTGCCAGTAATTATACCAAGTACTTAATATTTCACTTTATTTAATTCTCACCAGTTAGTTTTCTGCCCTCTCACGTTCAGTGAGTGGACCAGGTCAATCCCATTCTCTTACAACATTGGTTATACTTGTCCTAGACCCAGTGATGACATGGCAGCCAGGGTTGTTGACTGTCAGTTCCAGATTAAAAGTCAACAACAATCTAGGCCCCAGGACATTCAGAAGATGGAAAAGAAATTTAAGCTCTACCACTTAGCCAATAACACGGGAGACAGAATCCAGCTTTTTTGCTAAAGTGGAAGCAGAGAGTTATGAGTTAGCCTCCATTCTCTGTTGGACCTTTCTGGCCTAAACTTACACTTTACTAGCTATTTGCAATCTTCTCATTACCAGTGAGCTGTGAACACAGTGGGGCAGCTCCCATGGGAAATGAGGTGTGTACATTTCTAGGGCATGGTGGGTGAGTAGAGGGGACAAGATAAGATGAAGCATGAATACTTCAGCCTGATGGGCAAGGCCAAGCTTCACTCTAAGTGAAGGCTCCACTCCAATTTGATGGTTTTGCTTCTGTCCCTGGGATATGTCTTCTACAGAATTTTCTTCTATGTCTTTGTGCATTGTTACCCTGAATGGTCTTGGTCCTTCATATATAACTTCTGATTTCCACTCCTGGCCTTACAAATCATTCCTAATCTGTGAAGCCTTTCAACCCCAACTTAGACCTCCTTCCTCCTTCTGTCTTTTCCTTTCTTTTTTTCCTTCATGTTTTCTCTTCATTGGATTCATGTCTTTACCATGAACAATTTGGTCATCACATTGCTAGAAGCAGTTCAGCATACAGATTACATATGCAAGTGGTGGGCTTCCAATCCCAGTTTACAAGCATCTGGGCTTAAATCCCAGCTTCTTCATTTAATGTCTAGATAACCGTGGAAAACCCCTTAACTTCTTTGTGCCTCAATTTCCTCACCTGCAAATAGGGTTGATGTTTAAGTACTTATGTCACATGGTTGATGTTAACAATAAGTTATTGTGAAGAAATAACTTAGATTTTGCTTGGCAGGTAGTAAGCTCTCAGTAAACATCAACTATCATAATGATGCTATCAGTATCTTTTCATGTTCATACTGTAATTAAAAGAGGCTCAATTAGGTTACTGTAAGAAAAAGAGAATTGCATGGTGCAAGGGAACAGGCATTGAGAAGGCGTTGGGATGGGGAGGAAACTGGCTGCTCTCTTCAACCTGATCTCATGGGCTCCATGGGCTCCATGGTCTCTCAGCCATTTTCTCAAAAGAGAAAAGAATCTGCTTTTCTTTTGGACTCACACTGCTATCAACTAAAGCTCTCCATATTCTCTAGTGTGAACTTTAGTGAAAGTCTGATCGGTTCTCTTAATTGCTGTCACTGCTTCTGGGTAGAGCTCTTTAATGCAGGCTGCCTCAGGATCACCTGAGATCAGGTGACATGCATTATAGAGACTCACACATCTCGAAGACCTAAGGGAGTATGTGCAGTCTGTCGAACTGCAGTGATAAATGCAGTGTGTCAAAGGCTTAGGCACTAATTGAAGTGAGCTTCCACGGAAAATTCCATTAAAGTGTTTCTGACTTTCAGAGGTTATGAAGCAGTTTCCATTTCCCACGTGGGAATTGTCTCTCAACTTTGTCTGAACTAGCTAAATGCAGCCATGTTCACACCACGGTATTACACAGACTTGGTAACTTTGCTAACAACGGAGCAAGTCAACAGCCCATGGCAAAAGACTAAGGGGTCTTGAGAAAGAAGGAGGGAGGGAAAGGAGAAGGATTGAAAAGCTAGCTATTGGATATGGGTACTATGCTCACTACCTGGGTGACAGGATCAATCATACCCTAAACCTCAGCCTCAAGCAATGTGTCCATGTAACAAATCCACACATGTTCCCCCTGAATCTAAAGTGAGGTGGAAATAGAGACATAGTAAGTGGTGAACAGGTGGAAATAGAGACGTAGTAAGTGGTTAACTTACTGCGTCTTTTGGGGGTTCCAAAAAGAACCTCAGATGGAAATAGAGATGTAGTAAGTGGTTAACTGGAGCAAAGAATATTTGCTGTCTGCTAGCTACATATACCCCATAGTTTTTGAGGTAAGGCAGATTTCCCATGGGAGTGCATATATCTTTATTCATTTTATCAGGACTTTGGGAGAAAAGAGCAGCATTTGAAGACAATAATTCCTTGTGGCCTGTCCTCTTGACCTCTTCCCTTCACACCCAAAGGGCCATCCTCATTCTGTATCAGAATTCCATTCCAGCCTTCTACACACTGGGTCTCAGAGTGCTTAGGAAAGGATCCTCAACAAAAGCCTTTGAAAATTATACACTTTTGTTGGGAGAATTAAAGGCTTTATAGAAGAAAGACTGCAGAGAGAAAACTGATGAAAATGCTGAAGATTCGGAATTGTGCATTTATCCACAAAGGGGCTTTTAACAGAGGTATACAAATTTAGCTGAACTGAAGAAATCATTCAACTGGAGTCTGCAGGGGAAACCAGAGGTAGATTAAGCAATGATTGATAAATTAAGTGGGTAATTATTTCTATTTTTAAAAAATTTTGCTTTAATTGCATTTCCCTTTAACTATGGAGGGTAGACATCTTATGCTGGGTTCAGACAAGTCACTTGATGTTTGGCAAGCTAGTAAAAAATCTACAAGGTTTAGCATGGAGTAAGAAAAACACGGAGACTCCCAGGAGGATGCTTGTCTTTAGGCAAAGGAAGCCAGGCCTACCAGCTTGACCTATATTAAAATAGAGCTGTGGGGCCTGAAAGGAGAAGGATTCTGGGTACAATGTGGTGACTGCCATTCAGGTTTGTGTGTGCACAGAGCAGCCCCTCCTCACCTCCAATTCCTGTTCTGGGCTCTTGGAAGACAAGTGAGTGTACAGTAGTAAAAATAGAAAGAGCCACCTCCTTACAGTCTTCCAAAACTATGAAGAAAGCAGCAGGGCTTTGATATCACTCTGATCAAGTCTACTCCAAAATGGAAGTGGAGGCTCTCTTGCCACATAGCCCCAGACCACTTTGCAGCATTATTATTACTTTTAAACAGCTTTACTGAGATATAATTGACATACAATAAATTGCACATTTCAATTTGAGATTATACCTGTGAAACTATCATCACGATAGAGATAAAGAACATGTCCATCACCCCAAAACTTTCCTTGCACTTGATATGGTCAATCACTTAATTTTAGACATTCCAATAGATGTGTAGTGATATCTTGTGATTCTAATTTGCATTTTCCTATTGACTAATTCAGTCAACATTCTTTCCCATGCTTATTTGCTATTCAAAAGCCATCTTTGATGTATCTGTTCAAGTACTTTGCCCATTTTTTATTGGGTTGTTTGTTTATTTGTTTTTACTTCATTTATTATTTAGCTTTAAGGGTTCTTTGTACATATATTCTGGATACACATTCTTTGTCAGAAATGTAATTTGCAAATATTTTCTCCTAGTATATAGCTTACCTTGTCTTCATTCTCTTAACAGTAGCTTTTGCAGAGCAAAAGTTCTTAATTTTGATGCAGTTCAATTTAGTTTTTTAATTTTTAATTTTGTGTGGATCATGCTCTTGGTATTGTGTATAAGAAACCTTTGCCCAAACCGAGGTCACAAAAATTTTCTCTTATGTTTTCTTCTAGAAGTTTTATAGTTCTAGTTTTACACTTACGTGTAGTATCCGTTTTTAGTTAATTTGTATAAGGTGCAAGATATGTACTGAAGTTTATTTTTAATTTTTTCTTGTATACAGTTATTCAACTGTTTCACCATATCTTGCAAAAATATATTTTTTGTCTACTAAACTGCCTTTGCACCTTTGTAAAAATCAACAAATAAGATATGCATGGATTTATTTCTATACATGTTATTCTGTTCTATTGATCTGTCTCTCTTGATGTCAATATCACATTCTCTTGGTTACTACGGCTTCGAAATAACTCCTGAGGTCAGGTAGTATGAGCTTTCCAACTTTGCTCTTTTACTTAAAAAAAAATTTTTTTTTTTTTGAGACAGTCTTGCTCTGTTGCCCAGGCTGGAGTGCAGTGGTGCGATCTCGGCTCACGGCAACCTCCACCACCTGGGTTCAAGCAATTCTCGTACCTCAGCCTCCTGAGTAGCTGGGATTACAGGAGTGTGCCACCATACCTGGCTAATTTTTGCAGTTTTTAGTAGAGACGGAGTCTCACCATGTTGGCCAACAGTCTTGAACTGTTGGCCTCAAGTTATCCACCCACCTTGGCCTTCCAAAGTGCCGGGATCACATGTGTGAGCTGCCACACTTGGCCCAACTTTGTTCTTTTTCAATGCTGTTTTGGCTATACTAGAATCTTTGCATTTCTTGCAAATCAAAACCACAATGAGATACCATCTCACACCAGTTAGAATGGTGATCATTAAAAAGTCAGGAAACAACAGGTGATGGAGAGGATGTGGACAAATAGGAACACTTTTACACTGTTGGTGGGACTGTAAACTAGTTCAACCATTGTGGAAGTCAGTGTGGCAATTCCTCAGGGATCTAGAACTAGAAATACCATTTGACCCAGCCATCCCATTACTGGGTATATACCCAAAGGACTATAAATCATGCTGCTATAAAGACACATGCACACATATGTTTATTGTGGCACTATTCACAATAGCAAAGACTTGGAACCAACCCAAATGTCCAACAATGATAGACTGGATTAAGAAACTGTGGCACATATACACCATGGAATACTATGCAGCCATAAAAAATGATGAGTTCATGTCCTTTGTAGGGACATGGATGAAACTGGAAATCATCATTCTCAGTAAACTATCGCAAGGACAAAAAACCAAACACTGCATGTTCTCACTCATAGATGGGAATTGAACAATGAGAACACGTGGACACAGGAAGGGGAACATCACACTCTGGGGACGGTTGTGGGGTGGGGGTGAGGGGGGAGGGATAGCATTAGGAGATATACCTAATGCTAAATGATGAGTTAATGGGTGCAGCACACCAGCATGGCACATGTATACATATGTAACTAACCTGCACATTGTGCACATGTACCCTAAAACTTAAAGTATAATAATAATAAAAAAAGAAAAAAAAAAGAATCTTTGCATTTCCATATGAATTTTGGAATTAGCTTGTCAATTTCTTCAAAGTAATGCCTGGTGGGATTTTGATCGAGATTGCAATAAATTTGTAGATTAATTTTGGAAGAATTGACATCTCAACAATATTTCATCTTCTGATTCGTGAACTTAGTTTGTACCTATCAATTTATTTAGGTTTTCTTTAATTTCTGCCAGAAATATTTTGCATTTGTCAGTGTTTGGGTTTTGCACATCTTTTAGCAGATTTGTCTCTAGGTATTTCTTATTTTTGATGCCATTATAAATGGTATTTTTTGTAGTTTTAATTTTTTTGTTGCTTATGTACAGTTGGTTTTTGTGTATTAACCTTGTATCTTGCAGCATTGATAAATTATTGCTTTTACTAGTTCTAATAAGTTTTTTTCGTAGACTCCATCAGATTGTATAGGTAGACAATCAGGTTTCTGCATATAAAGACAATTTCACTTCTTCCATTTTAAACATGGATATCTTCTTTTTCTTTTTCCTGACTCATTGTACTTCTGGTTTGATGTTGAATATAAGTGGTGAGAGTAAAAATCCTTGCCTTGTTCCTAATCTTAGGGGAAGAACATTCAGGTTTTCATCTTTAAACACAATGTGGGCTTTAGTTTTATTGTGGATCCCTATATCATGTCGAGAAAGTTTCTCCCTACTATGTTACTACTACGTTTTTTTTTTTTCTCAGAAAGAGATATTGTATTTTCTCCAACTTTTTTTCTAACTCTATTAGGATGATTTTTTTTTTTTTAAGACAGGGTCTCACTTAGTTACCCAGGCTGGAGTGCAGAGGTGTGATCGGCCTCAACGTCCCAGGCTCAAGTTATCCTCCCACCTCAGCCTCCTGCATAGCTGGGACTATAGGCACATGCTACCATGCTCAGCTAATTTTTAAATTTTGTTTTGTAGAGACGAGTTCTCACTACGTTGCCCAGGGTGGCCTCTAACTCCTGGGCTTAAGTGATCCTCCCACCTCGGGCTCCCAAAGTGCTGGGATTACAGGCATGAGCCACCATACCCAGCCAGGATGATCTATTTTTTAAAAATAATTTCAACTTTTATTTTATTTATATTTCTATAAGTTATTGGGGAATAGGTGGTGTTTGGTTACATGGGTAAGTTCTTTAGTGGTGATTTGTGAGATTTTGGTGCACCCATCACCCGAGCAGTATACACCACACCCTATTTGTAGTCTTTTATCCTTAATTCCCTTCCCTTCCCACCCTTTTCCCTGAGTCTTCAAAGTCCATTGTGTCATTCTTATGCGTTTGTATCCTCACAGCTTAGCTCCCACTTATGAGAGAGAACATACGACGTTTGGTTTTCCATTCCTGAGTTACTTCGCTTAGAATAATAGTCTCCAATCTCATCCAGGTCACTGCAAATACCATTAATTCATTCCTTTTTATGGCTGAGTAGTATTCCATTATATATATATATAAAAAATATAGGAATATATATATATAATATACGTATATCTATATATGTGTCTCACAGTTTCTTTATCCACTCATTGAATGATGGACATTTGGGTTGGTTCCACGTTTTTGCAATTGCAACTTGCGCTGCTGTAAACATCCATGTGCAAGTATTTTTTTCATATAATGATTTATTTTCCTCTGGGTAGATATCCAGTAGTGGGATTGCTGGATCAAATGGTACTTTTAGTTCTTTAAGGAATTTCCACACTGTTTTCCATAGTGCTTGTACTAGTTTACATTCCAACCAGCAGTGTAGAAGTGTTCCCTGTTCAACACATCCACGCCAACATCTACTATTTTTTGATTTTTCAGTTATGGTCATTCTTGCAGGAGGAAGGTGGTGTCACATTGTGGTTTTGATTTGCATTTCCTTGATCATTAGTGATGCTGAGCATTGTTTCATGTTTGTTGGCTATTTGTATATCTTCTTTAGAGAATTGTCTACTCGTGTCCTTAGCCCATTTTTTTATGGGACTGTTTGTTTTTTCTTGCTGATTTGTTTCGGTTCGTTGTAGATTCTGGATATTAGTCCTTTGTCTGATGTATAGATTGTGAAGACTTTCTCCTCCTCTGTGGGTTGTCTGTTTACTCTGCTGATTGTTCTTTTTGCTGTGCAAAAGCTCTTGATTTTACTTAAGTCCCAGCTATTTATCTTTGTATTTATTGCATTTGCTTTTGTGTTCTTGGTCATGAAATCCTTGCCTAAGCCAAGATCTAGAAGGGTTTTTCCAATGTTATCTTCTAGAATTTTTATAGTTTCAGGTCTTAGATTTAAGTCCTTAATCCATCTTGAGTTGATTTTTGTGTAAGGTGAGAGATGATGATCCAATTTCATTCTCCTACATGTGGCTAGCCAACTATCCCAGCACCATTTCTTGAAAAGGGTGTCCTTTCCCCACTTTATGTTTTTGTTTGCTCCATCAAAGATCAGTTGGCTGTAAGTATTTGGGTTTATTTCTGGGTACTTTATTCTATTCCGTTGGTCTAAGTGCCTATTTTTATACAAGTACCATGCTGTTTTGGTGACTATGGCCTTATAGTATAGTTTGAAGTCAGGTACTGTGATGTCTCCAGATTTGTTCTTTTTGCTTAGTCTTGCTTTAGCTATGTGGGCTCTTTTTCAGTTCCATATGAATTTTAGAATTGTTTGTTTCTAATTCTGTGAAGAATGATGGTGGTATTTTGATGGGAATTGCATTAAATTTGTAGATTGCTTTTGCCAGTATGGTCATTTTCACAATATTGATCCTACCCATCCATGAGCGTGGGATGTGTTTCCATTTGTTTGTGTCGCCTATGATTTCTTTCAGCAGTGTTTTGTAGTTTTCCTTGTAGAAGTCTTTCACCTCCTTAGTTAGGAAAGTTCTAAGTTTTTTTTTTTTTTTTTTTTGCAGCTGTTGTAAAAGGGGTTGACTTTTTTATTTGATTTTCAGCTTGGTCACTGTTGGTGTATAGAAGAGCTATTGATTTGTGTACATTAATTTTGTATCTGGAAACTTCACTGAATTCTTTTGTCAGTTCTGGGAGCTTTCTGGAGGAGTCTTTGGGGTTTTCTAGGTAAACAATAATATCATCAGCAAACAGCAAGAGTATGACTTCCTCTTTACCAATTTGGATGCCCTTTATTTCGTTTTCTTGTCTGATTGCTCTGGCTAGGACTTCCAGTACTATGTTGAAGAGGAGTGTTGAGAATGGGCATCCTTGTCTTCTTCCAGTTTTCAGAGGGAATGCTTTCAACTTTTCCCCATTCAGTATTATATTGGCTGTGGGTTTGTCGTAGATGGCTTTTATTACCTTGAGATATGTCCCTTGTATGCCTATTTTGCTGAGAATTGTAATCATAAAGTCATGCTGGATTTCATTGAGTGCTTTTTCTGCATCTATTGAGAGGATCATGTGATTTTTGTTTTAAATTCTGTTTATGTGGGGTATCACATTTATTGACTTGTGTATGTTAAACCATCCCTGCATCCCTGGTATGAAACCCACTTGATCATGGTGATTTATCCTTTTAACATGTTGTTGGATTCAGTTAGCTAGTATTTTGTTAAGGATTTTAGCATCTATGTTCATTAGGGATATTGGTCTGTAGTTTTCTTTTTTGGTTATGTCCTTTCCTGGTTTTGGTATTAGGATGATACTGGCTTCATAGAATTATTTAAGGAGGGTTCTCTCTTTCTCTATCTTGTGGAATAGTGTTAATAAGATTGGTACCAATTCTTCTTTGAATGGCTGGTAGAATTCTGCTGTGAATCCATCTGGTCCCGAACATTTTTTGTTGATAATTTTTAAATTACCATTTAAATCTTGCATCTTGATTCTTGTTATTGCTTTGTTCATGGTATCTAATTCTTCCTAATTTAAGCTAGGAGGGTTGTATCTTTCCAGGAGTTTATGCATTTCTTCTAGGTTTTCTAGGTTATGTGCATAAAGGTGTTCATAGTAACCTTGAATGATCTTTTGTATTTCTGTGGTGTCAGTTGTAATATCTTCCATTTCGTTGCTTATTGAGCTTATTTGGATTTTCTGTCTTCTCTTCTTGGTTAATCTTCCTAATGGTCTATCAATTTTATTTATCTTTTCAAAGAACCAGGTTTTTGCTTCATTTATCTTTGTATTTTTTTGTTTCAATTTCACTTAGTTTTGCTCTGATCTTGGTTATGTCCTTTCTTCTGCTGGGTTTGGGTTTGGTTTGTTCTTGTTTCTCTAGTTCCCTGAGGTGTGACGTTAGATTGTCTGTTTGTGCTCTTTCAGACTTTTTGATGCAGACATTTAGGGCTATGAACTTTCCTCTTAGCACTGCCTTTGGTGTATTCCACATGTTTTGATAGGTTGTGTCACTGGTGTCATTCAGTTAGAATAATTTTTATATTTCCATTTTGATTTGATTTTTGACTCAATGATCATTCGGAGCAGGTTATTTAATGAAGGTTCCTTTTGGATTTGATTTCCAATTTTATATGAAGGTTATGAAGTTTCCTTTTGGATTTGAAGGTTCCTTTTGGATTTGAAGGTTCCTTTTAGATTTGATTTCCAATTTTATACTACTGTGGTCTGAGAGAGTGCTTGATATAATTTCAATTTTCTTAAATTTATTGATACTCATTTTGTGGCCTATCATATGGTGTATCTTGGAGAAAGTTCCATGCACTGTTGAATAGAATGTATATTCTGCAGTTGTTGGATGGAATGTTCTATATACAACTGTTAAGTTCATTTGTTCCAGGGTATAGTTTAAATCCATTGTTTTTTTGTTGACTTTTTGTCTTGATGACTTGTCTAGTGCTGTCAATGGAGTATTAAATTCTCCCACTAATATTGTGTTGCTGTGTATCTCATTCCTTAGGTCTACTAGTAATTGTTTTATAAATCTGGAAGCTCCAGTGTTAGATGTGTATATGTTTAGGACTGTGATATTTTCCTGTTGGACAAGGCCTTTTATCATCATGTAATACCCTCTTTGTCTTTTTAAACTGCTGTTGCTTTAAAGTTTGTTTTGTCTGATATAAAAATAGCTACTCCTGCTTGCTTTTTGTGTCCATTTGCATGAAATGTCTTTTTCCACCCCTTTATTGTAAGTTTATGTGAGTCCTTATGTGTTAGGTGAGCCTCCTGAAGGCAGCAGATAGTTGGTTGGTGAATTCTTATCCATTCTGCAATTCTGTATCATTTAAGTGGAGCATTTAGACCATTTACATTCAATGTTGGTATTGAGATGTGAGGTACCATTCCATTCATCGTGCTATTTGTTGCCTGTACATGTTGGATTTTTGCTTTTTGTTTTTTAAATTGTATTTTTGTTTTATAGGTCCTGTGAGATTTATGCTTTAAATAGGTTCTGTTTTGATGTGTTACCAGGATTTGTTTCAAGATTTAGAGCTCCTTTTAGCAGTTCTTGTAGTAGTGGCTTGGTAGTGGCAAATTCTCTCAGAATTTGTTTGTCTGAAAAAGACTGTATCTTTCTTTCATATGTGAAGCTTAGTTTCTCAGGATACAAAATTCTTGGCTGATAATTGTTTTGTTTGAGGAGGCTGAAGATAGGGCTCCAAATCCCTTCTAGCTTGCAGGGTTTCTGCTGAGAAATCTGCTGTTAATCTGATAGATTTTCCTTTTTAGGTTACCTCATGCTTTTGTCTCACAGCTCTTAAGGTTCTTTCCTTCATCTTAACTTTAGATAGCCTGATGACAATGTGCCCAGGTGATGATCTTTTTGAGATCATTTCCCAGGTGTTCTTTATGCTTCTTGTGTTTGGATGCCTGGGTTTCTAGCAAGGCTGGGGAAGTTTTCCTGGATTATTCCCCCAAATACGTTTTCCAAACTTTTGGATTTCTCTTCTTCCTCAGGAACGCCAATTATTCTTAGGTTTGGTCATTTAACATAATTCCAGACTTCTTGGGGGCTTTGTTCATATTTTCTTATTTTTTTTCTTTGTCTTTGTTGGATTTGGTTAATTCAAAGACCTGGTCTTTGGGCTCTGAATTTCTTTCTTCTACTTGTTCGATTCTATTGCTGAGACTTCCCAGAACATTTTACATTTTTATGTGTGTCCATTGTTTCCTGAAGTTTTGATTTTTTTTTTTTATTTATGCTATCCATTTCATTGGATATGTCTCCATTCACTTACTGTATCTTTTATTTTTATTTCCTTACACTGGGCTTTGCCTTTCTCTGGTGCCTCCCTGATTAATTTAATAACTAATCTTCTGAATTGTTTTTTGGGTAAATCAGCCATTTCTTTTTGGTTTGGATTCATTGCTGGTGAGCTAGTGTGGTTTTTTGAGGGAGTTACACAACCTTGTTTTGTCATATTACCAGAGTTGGTTTTCTGGTTCCTTCTCATTTAGGTAGTCTCTATCAGAGGGAAGGTCTAGGGCTGAAGGCTCTTGTTCTGATTCTTTTGACCCACAAGGCATTCCCTTGATGTAGTACTCTCCCCCTTTTCCTATGGATATGCCTTCCTGAGAGCTGAGCTGTAGTGACTGTTATCCCTCTTCTGGATCTAGCTACCCAGCAAGTCTACCAGGCTCCAGGCTGGTACTGGAGGTTGTCTGCACAGAGTCCTGTGATGTGAACCACAGATGGTGAGGTGGCCAGGGAGGGTGGGGGGCGTGGATGTGAAATGGACTCTGTGAGGGTCCTTAGTTTTCGTGATTTAATAACACTATTTTTGAGCTGGTTGGCCTCCTGCAGGGAGGTGGCACTTTCCAGAGAGCATCAGCTGTGGTAGTATGGGAGGGATCAGGCAGTGGGTGGGGCCCTAGAACTCCCAAGAGTATATGCTCTTTGTCTTCAGCTACCAGGGTGGGTAGGGAAGAACCACTGGGTGGGGGCAGGGCTAGGCATATCTGAGCTCAGACTCTCTTTGGGAGGGTCTTGCTGCGGCTGCTGTGGGAGATGGGGGTGAGGTTCCCAGGTCTGTGGATTTATGTTCTTAGGAGGATTATGGCTGTCTCTACTGTGTCATGCAGGTTGTCAGGGAAGCACGGGAAAGCTGGTAGTCACAGGCCTCACCCATCTCCCACAGAAGCTGAAGAGGCAATCTCACTCCCACAGTGCCCTACCCAACAGCGCTGAGTCTGTTTTCAGGCACTGGGTGAGCAGGGCTGAGAACTTGCCCCAGGCTACCAGCTTCCCAGCTGTGAAAGCAAGTAGGGCTTTTATACTTCCCTGCCTGTGGAGTCTGCTCAACAGATTCATGAACTTCCCTGAGTTCTGGCCAGGAGACTTCTCGATTAGTTCAAATTGTTACAAAGTTCAGCTGGAGATTTTCTTCTCCCTGTGACCTTTTCCCAGTGCCTCTGGCCACCCTCCCAAAAGACCTTTGTGAGACCAAGCAGAAATGGTTTGCTAGGGGACACAGCAAACTCAGAGGGCTTTTCCTGCTGCTTCCTCTACCCCTGTATTTCGCTCGGCTCTCTAAATTGCCTCAGTTCCAGGTAAGGTCAGAATCTTCTCTTGTAATCTAGACCTTTAGTTTCCCCAGTGGGGGTGTGTTTTCAGGAGCCGACAATCTCCCTTTCCCACTTCCACAGTTTGGGCACTCCCAGTATTTGGGGTGTCTCCTGGGTCCTGCAGGAGCAATCCACTTCCTTCAGAGGGTCTGTGGGTCCTCTCAGGTTTCCTGATTTATTCCTGCAAAAAAATCAGGAGCAAAAAATTCATTATGCGAACCTCCACACGGTGCTCTGTCCATCTGAGTCAGAGCTGCAATTTAGTCCTGCGTCCCATCTGCCATGATCCACCTCAACTTTTATTTTAGATTCAGGGGGGTATATGTGCAAGTTTGTTACATGGGTATATTGTGTGATACTGAGGTTTGTGGTATGAATGATCCCATCACCCAGGTGTGAGCACAGTACCCAATCAGCTCTTCACTCCTCCTTCTCTTCCCTCTCTAGTGGTCCCCTGTGTCTACTGTTCCCATCTTTATGTCTATATGTACCTAATGTTTAGCTCTCACTTATAAGTGAACATGCAACATTTGGTTTTCTGTTCCTGTGTTAATTCCCTTAGGATGATGGCCTTCAGCTGCATGCACGTTGCTTCAAAGGACATAATTTCATTCTTTTTTGTGGCTGGCATAGTATTCCATGGTGTATATTTACCACATTTTCGTTATCCAGTCCACCACTGATGGGCACCTAAGTTGATTCCATGTCTTGGCTATTGTGAATAGTGCTGTGATGCACATATTAGCGCATGTGCCTTTTTGGTAGAACAATTTATTTTTCTTTGGGTATATATCTAGTAATGGGATTGCTGAGTCAAATGGTAGTTCTGTTTTAAGTTCTTTGAGAAATCTCCAAACTGTTTTCCAAAGTGGCAGAAATAATTTATATTTCCATAATAGTGTATGAGGGTTCCATTTTCTCTGCGAATTTTCCAGCATTTTATTTTTTTGTCTTTTTAATAATAGCCATTCTGACTGGTATGAGATGATATCTCATTGTGGTTTTGATTTGCATTTCTCTGATGGTTAGTGATAATAAACATTTTTTCATATGTTTGTTGGCTGCTTGTGTGTCTTCTTTTGAGAAGTGTCTGTTCATGTCCTTTGTCCACTTTTTAATGGGACTATTTATTTTAGGCTTGTTGATTTATTCTAGTTCCTTATAGAGTCTGGATATTAGACCTTTGTCAGATACATAGTTTGCAAATATTTTCTCCCTCTTAGGTTGTCAGTTTACTGTGTTGATAGTTTCTTTTACTGTGCAAAAAGTCTTTCACTTAATTAGGTCCCATTTATTAATTTTTGTTTTTGTTGCAATTGCTTTTGAAAACGTAGTCATAAATTATTTGCAAAGGCCAATGTCCCAAGTGGTATTTTCTAGGCTTTCTTCTAGGATATTTAAAGCTTGAGGTATTACATTTAAATTTTTAATTCATCCTAAGTTAATTTTTGTATATGGTGAAAGGTAGGGGTCCAATTTTATTCTCCTGCATATGGCTAGCCAGTTATCCCAGCACCATTTATTAAATAGATAGTCCTTTCCCCATTGCTTATTTTTGTTGACTTTGTTGATGATCAGATGGTTGTAGGTGTGCAGCTTTACTTCTGGGCTCTCTATTCTGTTCCACTGGCATGTGTCTGTTTTTGTACCAGTACCATGCTGTTTTAATTATTATAGCCTTATAGTATAGTTTAAAGTCAGGTAATGTGATGCCCTGGCTTTATTGTTTTTGCTTAGAATTGCTTTGGTTATCCAGCTTTTTTTTTTTTTTTTTGGTTCCATATGAATTTTACAATATTTTTTCTAATTCTGTGAAAAATGATGTTGGTAGTTTCATAGGAATAGCATTGAATCTGTAGATTGCATTGGGCAGTATGGCCATTTTCATGATACTATTTCTTCCAATCCATGAGCATGGAATGTTTTGCCCATTTGCTTGTGTCATCTCTGATTCCTTTCAGTAGTGTTTTGTTGGTATCCTTGTAGAGATCTTTCACCTCCTTAATTAGATATACTCCTAGGTATTTTAGTTTACTTTTATTTTTTGTGGCTATTGTAAATGAGAATTTATTCTTCATTTGGCTCTCAGCTTGAATGTTATTGGTGTATAAAAATGCTACTGATTTGTGGCCAGGTTCAGTGGCTCATGCCTGTAATCTCAGCACTTTGGAGGCTAGATGCAGGGATCTCTTGAGCTTAGGAGTTCAAGACCAGCCTGGGCAACATAGCTCACTACTAAAAAATATTAACAATATATTTTAAAAAATTAGCCCAGCACGGTGGCAGCCATCTGTAGTCCCAGATACTCGGGTGGCTGAGGCAGGAGATCACTTGAGACCAGGAAATGGAGACTGCAGTGAGCTATGATCCCACCACTGCACTCCAGACTGGGCAACAGAGATAGAGCAAGACCCTGTATTAAAAAAAAAAAAAAAAAAGAAAAGACAAGAAATGCTACTGATTTTTATACATGAATTTTGTATTCTGAAATTTACAAAAGTTGTTTATTCAGGTGTAGAGTCTTTTGGAAGAGTTTTTAGGGTTTTTCTCCATATAGAATCATATTGTCAGTGAAGAGAGATAATTTGATTTGTTTTTCAATTTGGATGCTGTTTATTTCTTTCTCTTGCCTGAGTGTTCTGAGTAGGACTTCCAGGATGATCTATTTTGAAAAACATCTGTTAATATAGTCAATTAAATTAATTGATGTTTAACTAACCCCACGTGTCTATGATTTATTAATCTTTTTAAAATAGAATTTTGGATTCTTGGCTAAAATATTGTTAAGAGTTTACTAACATTTTGTTAAGTGTTCCTGAGGAATATTGATCTGTAGGTTTATTTTCTTGTCATGTCTATGTTTGCTTTAGTATCAGAGCAATGCTGAACTTAGAATGAGGTTGGGAAGTGTTTTCTCCTTTCAATATTCTAGAAGAGTTTTTACAATTTATAATATTTATTCCTTAAACATTTGATAGAATTCTCCAGTGTAGCTATCTGGGCCTGAAGTGGGAAGGTTTGTGGGAAGATTTGAAATTATGCATTCAGTTCCTTAATAGATATAGGGTTATCCTGATTATCTGTTTTTCGTGAGTGAACTTTGATAGTTTGTGTATTTAAAGATTTTTTTCCATTTCGTCTAGGATGTTGAATTTATTTACACAAAGTTGTTCATAATATTGCCTTATTATCATTTAAATTCCATAGAATTCAACTGATCTTTTCAATAAAATAAGATTTTGATTTCATTGATTTTCTTTATTGCTTCTCTATTTTCTGTTTTACTGATTTCCATTCTAATATTCATTATTTTCTTTTCTCTGCTTACATGGCAATTTATTTGCTCTTTTTCTTAAGGTGGGAGCCGAAGTCATTATTTGAGAACTTTCTTTTTTTACTGAGTTGGATATTTAGCGGTATAATTTTCCTTTTTACTACTGTATTAGCTATGTCCTTCAAATTTCAATATATTTTGATATCTAACATCTATCTTCCACAATGCCCCATATATGTGTAATAATTTCACATATGTGTACTATTATATATAATGTAATAGTGTCTAGATATGTGTATATATATATATTCAGTTCAGAATACTTTCTAATTTTGCTATTGATTTCTTCTTTGATCAATATGATTCATTTCTAATTACTTTCATTGTGGTCAGAGCATATATTTTGTATGACTTAAATATTTCAAATATACTATATTGTGACCCAGACTATAGACTATCTTGGCTTGTGTTCTGTGTGTATTTAAAAGAAATGTTTATTCTGCTGTTGTTTGGTGGAGTGTTCTATAAATGTCAATTAGGTCAAATTCGTTGACAATGTTTTTCATGTCTTCTTTATCCTTACTATTTTCTTTTTTGTTTTATCAATTGCTGAAAGAAAGCAATGAATCTCTAAGTATAATTGTGGATTTGTCTCTGAAATCTACTTTATCTTACGTTAATATTGCTGATCCAAATTTCTTTTGATTAATGTCATGTCTTTTCTCATTCTTTTAATTTTAATGAATTTTTGTTTTTATATTTAATATGGGTTTCTTGTAGACAGTATAGTATGTATGTTATTTCTTGTTTGTTTGTTTTTTTTTTTTTGTCAAATTACAGTTTGCGAACCACTGCCTTTTAGTTGGGGTATTTAGACTATTTAAATTTAGCATTATTATTAATGGCTGGGTTTATGTCTGCCATCTTACTATTTGTTTTCTATTTGTCCTATCTGTTCTTCGTTCCCCTTTTTCATATTTTTCTATTTTCCTTTGGATTATTTCTTACAATACCATTTTATCTGTTTGTTACTTATTAGCTCTATATCTTTGTTGTGTGATTTTAGTTGTATGGTAATATGAATCTTTAACTAGTCATAGTCTACTTTCCAGCAATAGTATATTACTTTGTGTATAGTATACGAATCTTACAACAATATATTTCCATTTCCCTCTCTGTCTTTGTGCAATTTTGACTTACTTTCTACTTTTTTATGTTATGAAACCCACAATATATTATTTTGCTTTAAATAGATAATTATCTCTTAAATATATTTGATTAATAAGAAAAAATATTGACATATACCTACATAGTTTTTATTTCTGGTGTTCTTTATTCTTTTGTAAATTTGAGAATAGAATCTAGAATATTTTTTATTTTTATATTTTTTTACTGCTGAAAGAAATTTATTTGTTTCTGACAGAGCAGGTCTTCTGCTAATTAATTCTTTTTTATGTCTGAAAATATTTTTACTTTACATTCATTTTTGAAAGAAATGTTTACTGGGTAAAGAATTTTAGTCAGATAGTTTTTTCCAGTGCTTTAAAATACTTATTGCTTTCATTATTTTTAATTAAAAAAATCTGCTGCCATTCTTAACTTTGATCCTTTATATAATGTCTATTTCTTTCTGGGTGCTTTTAGGCTTTTTTGTCACTGGTTTTAAGCAATATGAGTTGGTATAGTTTTTTTTTTAATGCTTGAGATTTGTTGAAATTCTTGGATCTATAGAATTATAGTTTTCATAAATTCTGGAAAATATTTCACCATTATTTTTAAGAAATATTTTTCTGTCTCTCCCATTTCTTCTCCCCTCCAATTACACATATATCAGAACACTTGAAAAGTTTCCACAGCTCACTGATGTTCATTTTCCCCAGTTTTTTCTCTCTTTGTTTTACATTTGGCATAGATTTATTGAATTTATTCAAGTTCACTTTTTTTTTTTTTTTTTTTGAGAGAGTCTTGCTCTGTCATCCAGGTTGGAGTGTAGTGGTGTGATCTCGTCCCACTGCAACCTCTGCCTCCCAGGTTCAAGCGATTCTCCTGCCTCAGCCTCCCAAATAGCTGGGACTATAGGCACTCGTCACTACTCCCGGCTAATTTTTGTAAATGTAGTAGAGATGGAGTTTCACCATATTGGCCAGGCTGGTATGGAACTCCTGACCTCAGGTGATCCACCCGCCTTGGCCTCCCAAAGTGCTGGGATTACAGGTGTGAGCCACTGTGCCTGGCCGAGTTCAGTAATCTTTATACAATGTCTAATTTATCACGAATTCATTCTGTGACTTTTCCATTTCAGACATTGTGGTTTTTATTGCCAGAAGTTCAATTTAAGTTTTTAAAAATATCTGCATGTCTCTACATAACATATCAATTTTTTATCTAATTTCTTAAACATGGGATACACTAAACACACACACACACACACACACACACACACACAAAACCTACTTTAATGTTCGGGTCTGCTAATTCTATTATATTTCTAATTACTTTGTCAGTTTTTATTGATTAATTTTTCTCTTTTTTATTATACTTTAAGTTCTAGGATACATGCACAGAACGTACAGGTTTGTTACATAGGTATACATGCGACTTGTTGGTTTGCTGCACCCATTAACCTGTTATCTAAATTAGCTATTTCTCCTAATGCTATCCCTCCCCTAGCCCCCATGCCCCCTACAGGCCCTGGTGTGTGATCTTCCCCTCCCTGTGTCCATGTGTTCTCATTGTTCAATGCCCACTTATGAGTAAGAACATGTGGTGTTTGGTTTTCTGTTCCTGTGTTAGTTTGCTGAGAATGATTGTTTCCAGATTCATCCATGTCCCTGCAAAGGACATGAAGTCACCTTTTTTATGGCTGCATAGTATTCCATGGTGTATATGTGCCACATTTTCTTTATCCAGTCAATCATTGATGGGCATTTGGGTTGGTTTCAAGTCTTTGCTATTGTGAACAGTGCTGCAATAAACATATGTCTGCATGTGTCTTTATAGTAGCATGATTTATAATCCTTTGGGTATATACCCAGTAATGGGATTGCTGGATCAAATGGTATTTCTGGTTCTAGATCCTTGAGGAATTGCCACAGTGTCTTCCACAATGGTTGAACTAATCTACATTCCCACCAATGATGTAAAAGCTTTCCTATTTCTCCACATCCTCTCCAGCATCTGTTGTTTCCTGACTTTTGAATGATTGCCATTCTAACTGGTGTGAGATGGTATCTCATCGTGGTTTTGATTTGCATTTCTCTAATGACCAGTGATGATGAGCTTTTTTTTCATATGTTTGTTGGTTGCTTAAATGTCTTCTTTTGAGAAGTGTCTGTTCATATCCTTTGCCCACTTTTTGATGGGGTTGTTTGTTTTTTTCTTGTAAATTTGTTTAAGTTCCTTGTAGATTCTGGATATTAGCCCTTTGTCAGATGGACAGATTGCAAAATTTTTCTCCCATTGTGTAGGTTGCCTGTTCACTCTGATGATAGCTTCTTTTGCTGTGCAGAAGCTCATTAGTTTAATTAGATCCTATTTGTCAATTTTGGCTTTTGTTGCCATTGCTTTTTGTGTTTTAGTCATGAAGTCTTTGCCCATGCTTATGTCCTGAATGGTATTGCCTAGGTTTTCTTCTGAGGTTTTTGTGGTTTTAGGTCTTACGTTTAGGTCTTCAGTCCATCTTGAGTTAATTTTTCTATAAGGTATAATGAAGGGTTCCAGTTCCAGTTTTCTGCATATGGCTAGCCAATTTTCCCAACACCATTTATTCAGTAGGGAATCCTTTCCCCATTGCTTGTTTTTGTCAGGTTTGCCAAAGATCAGGTGGCTGTAAATGTGTGGCATTATTTCTGAGGCCTCTGTTCTGTTTCATTGGTCTATATATCTGTTTTGGTACCAGTACCTTACCGTTTTGGTTACTGTAGCCTTGTAGTATAGTTTGAAGTCAGGTAGCGTGATGCCATCAGCTTTGTTCTTTTTGCTTAGGATTGTCTTGGCCATATGGGCCATTTATTGGTTCCATATGAAATTAAAAGTAGTTTTTTCTAATTCTGTGAAGAAAGTCAATGGTAGCTTGATGGGGATAGCATTGAATCTATAAATTACTTTGGGCAGTATGGCCATTTTCATGATATTGATTCTTCCTATCCATGAGCATGGAATGTTTTTCCATTTGTTTGTGTCCTCTCTTATTTCCTTGAGCAGTGGTTTGTCGTTCTCCTTGAAGAGGTCCTTCACATCCCTTGTAACTTGTATTCCTAGGTATTTTATTCTCTTTATAGCAACTGTGAATGGGAGTTCATTGATGATTTGTCTCTCTGTTTGTCTATTATTAGTATATAAGAGTGCTTGTGATTTTTGCACATTGATTTTGTGTCCTGAGACTTTGCTGGAGTTGCTTATCAGCTTAAGGAGATTTTGGGCTGAGACAATGGGGTTCTCTAAATATACAATCATGTCATCTGCAAATGGAAACAATTTAACTTTCTCTCTTACTATTTGAATACCTTTTTTTCTTTCTCTTGCCAGATTGCCATGGACAGAACTTCCAATTCTATGTTGAATAAGAATGGTGAGAGAGGGCATCCTTGTCTTGTGCCAGTTTTCAAAGGGAATGCTTCCAGCTTTTGCCCATTCAGTATGATATTGGCTGCAGGTTTGTCATAAACAGCTCTTGTTATGTTGAAATACGTTCTAGTGGCCGGGCGTGGTGGCTCATGCCTGTAATCCCAGCACTTTGGGAGGCCGAGGTGGGCAGATCACGAGGTCAGGAGATCAAGACCATCCTGGCTGACACGGTAAAACCCCATCTCTACTAAAAAAATACAAAAAATTAGCTGGTTGTGGTGGCAGGCGCATGTAGTCCCAGCTACTCAGGAGGCTGAGGCAGGAGAACGGTGTGAACCCAGAAGGCGGTACTTGCAGTGAGCCGAGTATGCGCCACTGCACTCCAGCCTGGGCGATAGAGTGAGACTTTGTCTCAAAAAAAAAAAAAAAAAAAAAAGAAAGAAAAGAAATATGTTCCATCACTACCTAGTTTATTGAGAGTTTTTAGAATGAAGAGGTGGTGAATTTTATTGAAGGCCTTTTCCGCATCTATTGAGATAATCATGTGGTTTTTTTCATTGGTTGTGTTTATGTGATGGATTACAATTACTGATTTGCATATGTTGAGCCAGCCTTGCAACCCAGGGATGAAGCTGACTTGATCGTGGTGGATAAGTTTTTGATGTTCTGTTGGATTTGTTTTGCCAGTATTTTGTTGAGGATTTTCACATTGATGTTCATGAGGGATATTAGCCTGAAATTTTTGTGTGTGTTTGTCTCTGCCCGGTTTTCTTATCAGGATGATGCTGGCCTCATAAAATGAGTTAGGGAGGAGTCCCTCTTTTTCTATTGTTTGGAATAGTTTCAGAAGGAATGGTACTAACTCCTCTTCATACCTTTGGTAGAATTCGGCTGTGACTCTGTGTGGTCCTGGGCTTTTTTGTTTTGGTTGGTAGGCTGTTAATTGCTGCCTCAATTTCAGAACTTGTTATTGGTCTATTCAGGGATTTGACTTCTTCCTGGTTTAGTCTTGGGAGGCTGTATATGTCCAGGAATTTATCCATTTCTTCTAGATTTTCTAGTTTATTTGAGAGGGGGTGGTTTTTAGTATTCTATGATGGTAGTTTGTATTTCTGTGGGATAAGTGGTGATATCCCCTTTATCATTTCTTATTGAATCTATTTGATTCTTTTTTATTCTTCTTTATTATTATTTATTATTCTGGCTAGTGGTCTGTCTATTTTGCTAATCTTTTCAAAAAACCAGCTCCTGGATTCATTGATTTTTTTTAAGGGTTTTTTGTGTCTCCTTCAGTTCTGCTCTGATCTTAGTTATTTCTTGTCTTCTGCTAGCTTTTGAATTTGTTTGCTCTTGCTTCTCTAGTTCTTTTAATTGTGATGTTACAGTGTCGATTTTAGATCTTTCCCACTTTGTCCTGTGGACATTTAGTTCTGTAAATTTCCCTCTAAACACTACTTTAGCTGTGTCGAAGACATTCTTGTGTATTGTGTCTTTGTTCTCATTTGTTTCAAAGAACTTATTTATTTTTGCCTTAATTTCATTATTTACCCAGTAGTCATTCAGGAGCAGGTTGTTCTGTTTGCATGCAGTTGTGCAGTTTTGAATGAGTTTCCTAGTCTTGAGTTCTAATTTGATTGCACTGTGGTCTGAAAGACTGTTTGTTATAATTTGAATTCTTTTACATTTGCTGAGGAGTGTTTTACTTCCAACTATGTGGTCAATTTTAGAATGAGATGTGGTGCTGAGAAGAATGTATATTCTGTTGATTTGGGGTGGAGAGTTCTGTAGATGTCTATTAGGTCAGCTTGGTCCAGAGCTGAGTTCAAGTCCTGAAAATCCTTGTTAATTTTCTGTTGTATTGATCTAATATTGACAGTGGGGTGTTAGAGTCTCCCACTATTATTGTGTGGGAGTCTAAGTCTCTTTGTAAGTCTCTAAGAACTTGCTTTATGAATCTGGGTGCTCCTGTATTGGGTGCATATATATTTAGGATAGTTAGCTCTTCTTGTTGCGTTGATGCCTTCTCCACTATGTAATGCCCTTCTTTGTCTTTTTTGATCTTTGTTGGTTTAAAGTCTCTTTTATCAGAGACTAGGATTGCAAACCCTGCTTTTTTTTTTTTTTTTGCTTTCCATTTGCATGTTAAATATTCCTCCATTCCTTTATTTTGACCCTATGTATGTCTTTGAATGTGAGATGCATCTCCTGAATAAAGCATACTGTTGGGTCTGGATTCTTTACCCAATTTGCCAGTCTGTGTCTTTTAATTGGGGCATTTAGCCCATTTACATTTGAAGTTAATATCATTATTTGTGAATTTGATCCTGTCATTATGACGCTAGCTGATTATTTCTCCTGTTATTTGATGCAATTTCTTCATAGTGCTGATGGTCTTTACAATTTGGTGTGTTTTTGCAGCGGCTGATACCGGTTTTTCCTTTCCATATTTAGTGCTTCCTTCAGGAGTTCTGGTAAGGCAGGCCTGGTGGTAGCAAAATCTCTCAGCATTTGCTTGTCTGTAAATTTATTTCTCCTTCACTTATGAAGCTTAGTTTGGCTGGTTATGAAATTCTGGGTTGAAAATTATTTTCTTTAAGAATGTTGAATACTGGCCCCCACTCTCTTCTGGCTTGTAGATTTTCTGCAGAGAGATCCTCTGTTAGTCTGATGGGCTTCCATTTGTAGGTAACCCGACCTTTCTCTCTGGCTGTTCTTAATATTTTTTCCTTCATTTCAACCTTGGTGAATCTGACGATTATGTGTCTTGGGGTTGCTCTTCTTGAGGAGTATCTTTGTGGTGTTTTCCATATTTCCTAAATTTGAATGTTGGCCTGTCTTTCTGGGCTGGGCAAGTTCTCTTGGATAATATAATGAAGAGTGTTTTCCAACTTGGTTCCTTTCTCCCCATCACTTTCAGGTATACCAATCAGACGTAGACTTGGTCTTTTCACATAGTCCCATATTTCTTGGAGGATTTGTTGGTTCTTTTTCATTCTTTTTTTTCTAATCTTGTCTTCATGCTTTATTTCATTAAGTTGACCTTCAATGTCTGATATCCTTTCTTCTGCTTGACCGATTTAGCTATTGATGCTTGTGTATGCTTCACGAAGTTCTTCTGCTGTGTTTTTCAGCTCTATCAGGTCATTCACATTCTTCTCTAAACTGGTTATTCTACTTAGCAATTCCTCTAACCTTTTTTCAAGGTTCTTAGCTTCCTTGCATTTGGTTACAACATGCTCCTTTAGCTTGGAGGAATTTGTTAATACCCACCTTCTGAAGCCTACTTCTGTCAATTCATCAAACTCATTCTCCATCCAGTTTTGTTCCCTTGCAGGCAAGGAGTTGTGATCCTTTGCAGGAGAAGAGGCATTCTGGTTTTTGGAATTTTCAGCCATTTTGGGCTGGTTTTTCCTCATTTTCGTGGATTTATCTACCTTTGGTCTTTGATGTTGGTGACCTTCAGATAGGGTTTTTGAATGGATGTTCTTTTTGTTGATGTTGATGATATTGCTTTGTTTGTTAGTTTTCTTTCCAACAGTCATGCCCTTCTGCCGCAGGTCTGCTGGAGTTTGCTGGAGGTCCACTCCAGACCCTGTTTGCCTGGGTATCACCAGCAGAGGCTGCCGAACAGCAAAGATTGCTGCCTGTTCCTTCCTCTGGAAGCTTTGTCCCAGAGGGGCACCCACCAAATGCTAGCCAGAGCTCTCCTATATAAGGTGTCTCTTGATTCCTGCTGGGAAGTGTCTCCCAGTCAGGAGGCATGGGGGTCAGGGACCCACCTGAAGAGGCAGTCTGTCCCTTAGCAGAGCTTGAGCACTGTGCTGGGAGATCTGCTGCTCTCTTCAGAGCTGGCAGGCAGGAAAGTTTAAGTCTGCTGAAGCTGTACCCACAGCCGCCTTTTCCCCCAGGTGCTCTGTCCCAGGGAGATGGAAGTTTTATCTATAAGCCCCTGTCTGGTCCTGCTGTCTTTCTTTCAGAGATGCCCTGCCCAGAGAGTTGGAATCTAGAGAGGTAGTCTGGCTACAGCAGCTTTGCTGAGCTGCAGTGGGCTTCGCCCAGTTCAAACTTCCCAGTAGCTTTGTTTACACTGTGATGGGAAAACTGCCTACTGAAGCTTCAGTAATGGCAGATGCTCCTTCCCCCACCAAGCTTGAGCATCCCAGGTCCACTTCAGACTGCTGTGCTGGCAGCGAGAATTTCAAGCCAGTGGATCTTAGCTTGCTGGGCTCCATGGGGGAGGGATCCACTGAGCTAGACCACTTGGCTCCCTGGCTTCAGCCCCCTTTCCAGGGGAGTGAATGGTTCAGTCTCGCTGGCATTCCAGGCACCACTGGGGTATGAAAAAAAAAAAAGGTGCTAGCTCGCTGTCTGCCCAAACGGCTGCCCAGTTTCGTGCTTGAAACCCAGGGCCCTGGTATTGTAGGCACCTGAGGGAATCTCCTGGTCTGCAGGTTGCAAAGACCATTGGAAAAGTGTAGTGTCTGGGCTGGAATGCACTGTTCCTCACGGTACAGTCCCTCATGGCTTCCCTTGGCTAGGGGAGGCAGTTCCCTGACCCCTTGCACTTCCCGGGTGAGGTGACGCCCCACCCTGCTTTGGCTCTCTCTCTGTGGGCTGCACTCACTGTCTAACTAGTCCCAGTGAGAGAAGCCAGGTACCTCAGTTGGAAATGCAGAAATCACCCGCATTCTGCATTGACTGCACTGGGAGCTGCAGACCAGAGCTGTTCCTATTTGGCCATCTTGCCAGTCACTATCTAATTTTTCTCTTTATTATGGGTTATATTTTTCTGCTTCTATGCATGCCTGGTAATTTTTGACTAGATGTCAGACATTGTGAATTTTACAATGTTGGGTGTTTGATTTTTTTTTCCTATCAATATTCTTGAGTTTGTTCCGGGATGCATTTAAGTTATTTGGAAGCTATTTTTGATCTCCTCAGGTCTTACTTTTAAGCTCTGTTAAGCAGGACCAAAGAAACGTTTAATCTGAGACTTTTTTTTTTTTTAACCACCACTTAGGTAAAACCTTTCTGAGTACTCTACTCAGTGCACTGTGAATTATGAAATGTTTCACTATTCTGGGTAGAAACAGGCATTAGTCCCAGTCTTATGTGAACCACATGTTCTTTTCTTACTGATCTATTCTGTTGTTTTGTTTTTGGTCTTACATGCCTTCCTCACATACATGTGTTGACCATACTCAGTTGAATAATTTAGAGAAATCTTCTGCAGATATCTGGGTTTTTTGTTTCCTGTGCAACTCTCTCTTCTGGTATTCTGTTCTACTGAATTCTAACTGCCTTAATCTCCTTGGACTCCCATCTCCTTTATTCAGAGAGTGTTCTGGGCTCTGCTGGGGTTCCCCCTCCTTGTGCCATGCCCTGAAACTCTCTCCAGGCAGTAGGCTGGGCAATAACAGGATTAACTTTTTTAAATTTCTAATTTTTCAGCAATCACCGTTTCTTGATGTTTAAGGTCTAGTGTCTTCAGAACCATTGTATATTTGTTTTATATTTTAGGTATTTTAGGCGTGTGGTTGCATCCAGTTCCTGCTATTTTCTCTTGTCTTGATATATGTGTTTTGAGTGTTCTGGGATATTACTGAAAGTACAGAGCAGGACGCAACTGTGCCTGAAATGCACCATGTCTCAGGATCACTGGTCATGCTGTTCCCTCTGCTGATAACACTATTCCACATATGTTTCATCTAGCTAACTTCTATTAGTCCTCTAAGTCTCTGTCTACACATTACTTTGTTCAGAAACCTGTTCCATGAACATCTGTCCTCTTAAATTTCCTCTTT
The DNA here is from genome assembly GCF_000001405.40 of Homo sapiens. Lineage (NCBI taxonomy): Eukaryota > Metazoa > Chordata > Mammalia > Primates > Hominidae > Homo > Homo sapiens. The sequence continues at coordinate 130,978,602 of NC_000011.10, forward strand.
TAGATGATTCTATAATATTCTGTACTTCCCCTTTAGTCACACTTCTTTACAGTTATAATTTCCTTTATTTGTCTTTCTTCCCTGCAAAGTTATAAGCTCTATGAGGACAGAACCATCATTGTCTTATTCCCTATAGGATTATAGAAAGGTGTTTAATAAGTTTTTGTTGAATGAATAAATAAAAGATGATGACAGCAGTGTGTATAGCAGGGGCAATGGTGCCTGGTGGGTGGTGTGTACTCAGAATAACCATTAATTATTGCTGCTGTAAATCACATGGTAGCTGACTGGAATGACTATTTATCTACACACACACACACACACACACACACATATATATATATATATATATGCATATCTGACATATGTTCTAAAATTCCAGACATAATTCATGGTTGAAGACAGAGGAAACTCCATGTAAGAAGGGGTCCTTCGTAGACCGATTAGTAAGGCAGGGGCAGTCAGCAAAATCTGGATGATTATTGTCATGAGTTAACTGTCTTTATAGACTGGTGGTGCTTGGGGATGGTCAGTTTACAAATATTTTATTTATCATGATAGGTGTGTGTGTTTTGTGTATGCATGTGTGTGTGTATATATATATATGAAGTTATATAGGATAAATATGTATTTTTATTTGTTTGTTGCTTGTTTTACACCCCAAGACATACTTCCTAGGAAGTCAGGGAATGGCTTATTATGTTTTCTGCCCTCTTCCTGATTCTAGAGCAATCTTTTTCACATAGAGGCACTCAATGAATATTAGTTAAACATAGGAATAAGATACCTTTATGCTATTCTATTTTAATTCTGACTAAGTAGTATGATAAACTACTTCTTTTTTCCCTTTTTTTGTTTATTTTTAAAAACACAATTAAGTAGAAATCAAACTACAGTCTCTCTTTATTTTATCATGCCTATAGGGAGCCTGGCTGCAGAGATTAAAATGGCTTAACTAAGGCTCCAATGTCCACCTGGTGGCAGCTTAACTTAATCGCAGCCAAATTACCTCAGGAAATTAACAGCTTTCCAAAAGCTGATCTTGACAACTCAAACGTATAGAAGTCCCTGGGTACCTACGTGTCCACACAGCTCCTGTCTCTGGAGACAAGAGAAGCACCACGTTAAGCAGTGGGGAGACATCATTAAGGTTGTGATTAAGCTGTCTTGCTAGGCAAAAGATACCCTTCTGAGAGAAGGCCAAAGTTCTACCTGAAACATCACTACTTATTACAAATTCCTGGTAATTTTCCTTACCAAATAAAAATAGGAGGAGGAAGTAATACTGCCTCAACATGAATGTTGCCAGAATAAAGACTGGGATGTGCAGGGTTAGGTGTTATAGAAGCCATAAATAAACGTGGATTTATGTACTCCCGAAGGGTAGAGTTATGGGGACAGGCAGGGTCAAGGACAGTGTAGATTCCAAGTAAGAAAAGTTGAGAACGGATCCTGAAAGGCATCAGAGACATGGCTGAGCAGGAAAAGAAAGGCTCAGTATTTTGGGAAAGCATGTATAGCACTGGTGATGAGGGCAGAAAGAGTAGTTTCCAGGGTGATCTGACTGAGAACAATAGGACGGCATCTTTCCTCAGATCCACCTTAAATGAAAAGCTAAGCATATGCCAGCTTTCACTGCCTGAGTGTTGGTACCACCTGGCCCCTCTCTCCATGGCTCTCTTGGCTCATGGCAACAGACCGAGGTCCAGATGGGAAAGGCTAGACTCTATCTAGGTATGGGATTTGATGTGTCTATTAGAGCAAAGCAAGAAATAAAATTTCAGTGCCATACTTTAACCATTGTTGTTTTCAGGCTTCAGTGCACAAAACAAACCACTCAGGGTATCTTAAGCAGATAGGGACTTATTATGAAAAATTAGTTCCTCCAATATGATTGGACTTGCTGCAGAAATAGAGTCAAGGGTTGAAATCATCAAGTTCAAGCTGCAATCCAGGGAACAGAAAGCAACTGCGCTTGCCACAAATGCCTCTTGACACCCACGAAGCTGGGGACTGGACATGAGAATGACATATCGGGCCACTCTTGCTTCTTGATCCTCACATTTTCAGCACTTTACCTGCCAGCATGAACAGCAGCAGCAGGGAGATGGCCTCTGCTCACATCCATCTTCTAAGTGTCAATCAAGTGTATTCAATTGGCTGAGCCTAAACTGCAGGCAGAATCTGAGAGACTGGGAAACATGGGGTTTTGTTTTTGTTTTCAGTATTTCATTTCTCTCTAGAAGGGCTGGGACCAGAGTGAGGCAAAAGAGGGACCTAGGGCACACTCTTCTGGCTCCTAGTTTTCTTTGCTGATTCCTTTTCTTTTTCCTAACCTTTAAATATTATAATTCCTCTAAGCTCTATTATAATCCTCTTCTTGTATCACTCTACACACTCTCTCCCTGGTGACTTCACTCATTCCCATTCCAGATTACATCTTCAAGTCTGGTATCTTGTTCTGAATACCCAAGGATACTAATACTGTCAAGGGAATATGAACATATATTGGGGACTAGGGACTCACATGCTTGTTCTATATATATAAATTGCATAAGGATTAATAAGAAAGATGCACAGTATGATACTTATTTCAGAGGAATAATTAATGAAGTAGATCAAACAAGAATTTAAAATAAGCATATGAAGTGTTTTCAAAGATATAAAGAAAGATATTAGAAACATAAATCAGAAATAAGCAGTTATTAAGAAAAGCCAGAATGATATCAGTGAAAATGGTGAAGTAAGGAATAATAAAAGCTTATCTCTCCATAAAAGTGATGAAAAAGCTGGAAAAATGATCAGAATCAACTTTTTGAATCTCAGTAAAAACAGTGAGCTTTCTAACTTACCCTAGTATTCTAACTTACCCTAGTCTTATCTCCAGCTCCCTCATTCAGAGGCAGTCTTGAGAAATAACAGCTTTTATTTTCAGTACCAGATGGAGCAGAATAGAGCTGGAGCTTTTTCAAACACTCATACTCAAAGAAGAATCATTATCTGATCTGTCCAGTAGTTCCTTGGAAGATGCTACTTGTAAGACTTGTCCTTATCTGACCTCATTTGAACTTTCCCAGTGCTAAAAGCCTCTCCCAAAGGGGTGTTTGTCAGACAGCTTAAAATAATGGCTATCTGAAGGCGTGATAGCAGTTGTGGTAAATGACAGACTAATGAGAAAGCTAAATAGGAAAAGCTAAGGCATGAGATTCCATGAGCTTGGAAATCCTGTCATATATTTAAGTAATCTTAAATATATCATACATAGAGCCGTGTGCACACTCAGGAAAGATTGGAGAAATCTCTTAGCTCTCACCTTTGATTGACCTTGAACCTTTGAGTAAGCAGGAAGTGAAGGCTAAGGCAGAGTTGTAAGCTGTCTGGCTGGGTGTGAAAGTGTGCCCCAACTTGCACATAGAGCACATCAATGTGTTGACTGCCTCATCTTCATTTCATTAGCGATGGAGGAATTCAGACCTTAGAGTCATGTGACTGGCAGAACACACAGCACCAGACACTGGACAGATGAGCTTAGTGGTAGCTTATTAGTCATATTTATTCACAGCCTGAGAGAGGCGAACATTACATATCACACAGGGCTTTGCAAGGGTTACGACTGGGATCAGAGTGAACAAGCAGGGACTGTGGAAGCAGGCTTTGTAGTAATGAGGGCATAGTGACCCTCAGAATATGACTGGTTTCTTGAATAATTCTGTAGGCTGGTAGGAATCCAAATCCAGCTACTCAGTGATAAACAGGTGCTGTACATGGTCCCATAATGAGGAAGATTGTTTGGCTAGGGGACTTATTTATAGGAGCATAATAGGGAGGAGAACTTGAAGTTAGGCTATTTGAGGTACTCCCATTTCTCCCCAGGTGTCAAGGCACATATAATGTTGGACCTTAATTTTAGGGCCTATACCAGTCTTGGCAAAGACTGGAAAATTTATTGGTTCCAGGCATTTAAGGAAATCTCTGTTCAATCATTAGCTTACCACTAAGCTAACCAAGCATAGACTGCAGTGGCCATGCACAACAGATACAGACTTTAAAGAATCAGTTAAAAAAATGAAAACCCTAAACAAAAACAACTACAACAAGCATAAATAACAAATCATGAGCAGAAAAGAATCTTATTTCTGTACTTCCACATTATGTTATTTAAAATATCTGTTTGTCAACAAAAAATGATAATACATGACATGCAAAAAAATAAGAAAGGATGATCCATACACAAATCCAGATCTTGAATAGTTAATGGCACCCATGGAGATGATGGACTGAACTGGGAACAGGAAGGGGACACTGGAGAGAGACAAACGGGAAGTGAGTGTATGTTGGAAATTACCTTTCTCATTTTTTGAAGAGAAGATATGTTGATGCACTTTAAAATTCTTGTTGATGCACTTCACAAGTTTTTAAGAAAAGTAAATACAAATACAGGCCTTGATAACAGAAGAAATCATCAAAAGAAAAAATACTAAGTGTATAACTTTAACCAGTAGAAGGAAATTTATCTGGTGGAAGACAGAAAAGTAGAAAAGAGAAAAAAAAGTTAGTATGACAAATAGAAAATGTGAAATAAGATGGCAGAAATAAGTTCTAATATCATAGTATTTACAATAAAAGTAAAGGGTTACAATAAAAATCATAGATTCTTAGACTACTGTATAACAAAATAATATTTGGCAATATGTTGTTTTCTTTATAAAATATAATTCAAACAAATAGTTTAAAATAGTCAGATGTACAGGGATAAAAATAATATAAATGTGAAAATATACCAAATGGAAACAAGGCTAGCAATTGTAATATGTGAGAAAATATACTCTAGTAAAAAATTTCCCACCAAACACAAGGGACAGAGACAAGAAGATAGTGACTATGAACATCTATGCACATAACAATATAACTTATAACTTCAAAATGCACAAACTGGTTACTAACAAATCTGAAGAGAAAGAAATCAGCAAATTTAGTTACCACTAGTTCTACCTATGTTAACAAGTGACAGAACACCCCTAGGTTCCACATAGTTCTAGGGGTCTTATTCAGCACAATAAAACAGGTAAAAGAAAAATGAGTATGAATGTTGGAAGAAAAGAAGAAAAAGCTATCATCATTTGTGGATGATATGATTAGGCATGAAGAATGCCAAAGAGAATCAACAAAAATTTAGAAGTTATAAGATCAACTTACAGACATCAATGGTAATAACCAACTAGAGAATACAACAGAGAAAGAGATAGCATTCATAGGATCATCAAAGATCCTAATAGCCAAAATAGATGGAATGCTTATCAGTTATCAGGAACTAGGAGTTCTATATAAATTTTTATGCTTAGCATATTATTAGAATCTTATGAGATAGGTGACATCATTAGTTACATTTTACAGTCAAGGAAACTGAGACAAAGAGAGATTAAGTAATTTACCAGAATAAATAGGTGATGGTAGAGCTAAGATTTGAACCTGGGCAATTCACTTTCACAGTCTGTGCCTGGAGCTACTACATCAGGCTATCTCAATAAAAGCAATGTATACGAATTAACCAAATAAAGAGAAAATTAAAAATCATGTTAAAGGACATAAAGGAAAAGACCTATTAAGTAGAAAGATATATCATATGAAGGAAAAGTTTAGCATTAGAAAGATATTAATTCCTGGGGGAGGAGCCAAGATGGCCAAATAGGAACAGCTCCGGTCTACAGCTCCCAGCGTGAGTGACGCAGAAGACGGGTGATTTCTGCATTTCCATCTGAGGTACCGGGTTCATCTCACTAGGGAGTGCCAGACAGTGGGCACAGGTCAATGGGTGCGCGCACCATGCGCGAGCTGAAGCAGGGCGAGGCATTGCCTCACTCAGGAAGCACAAAGGTCAGGGAGTTCCCTTTCCTAGTCAAAGAAAGGGGTGAGAGATGGCACCTGGAAAATCGGGTTACTCCCACCCAAATACTGTGCTTTTCCGATGGGCTTAAAAAACGGCGCACCAGGAGATTATATCCTGAACATGGCTCAGAGGGTCCTACGCCCACGGAGTCTCACTGATTGCTAGCACAGCAGTCTGAGATCAAACTGCAAGGTGGCAGCGAGGCTGGGGGAGGGGCGCCTGCCATTGCCCAGGCTTGATTAGGTAAACAAAGCAGCCGGGAAGCTCGAACTGGGTGGAGCCCACCACAGCTCAAGGAGGCCTGCCTGCCTCTGTAGGCTCCACCTCTGGGGGCAGGGCACAGACAAACAGAAAGACAGCAGTAACCTCTGCAGACTTAAATGTCCCTGTATGACAGCTTTGAAGAGAGCAGTGGTCCTCCCAGCATGCAGCTGGAGATCTGAGAATGGGCAGACTGCCTCCTCAAGTGGGTCCCTGAACCCTGACCCCCGAGCAGCCTAACTGGGAGGCACCCCCCAGCAGGGGCAGACTGACACCTCACACGGCTGGGTACTCCAACAGACCTGCAGCTGAGGGTCCTGTCTGTTAGAAGGAAAACTAACAAACAGAAAGGACATCCATGCCAAAAACCCATCTGTACATCACCATCATCAAAGACCAAAAGTAGATAAAACCACAAAGATGGGGAAAAAACAGAACAGAAAAACTGGAAACTCTAAAAAGCAGAGCGCCTCTCCTCCTCCAAAGGAACACAGGTCCTCACCAGCAACGGAACAAAGCTGGACAGAGAATGACTTTGACGAGCTGAGAGAAGAAGGCTTCAGACAATCAAATTACTCCGAGCTACGGGAGGACATTCAAACCAAAGGCAAAGAAGTTGAAAACTTTGAAAAAAATTTAGAAGAATGTATAACTAGAATAACCAATACAGAGAAGTGCTTAAAGGAGCTGATGGAGCTGAAAACCAAGGCTTGAGAACTACGTGAAGAATGCAGAAGCCTCAGGAGCCGATGCGATCAACTGGAGGAAAGGGTATCAGCAATGGAAGATGAAATGAATGAAATGAAGCGAGAAGGGAAGTTTAGAGAAAAGAATAAAAAGAAACCAAAAAAGCCTCCAAGAAATATGGGACTATGTGAAAAGACCAAGTCTACGTCTGATTGGTGTACCTGAAAGTGACGGGGAGAATGGAACCAAGTTGGAAAACACTCTGCAGGATATTATCCAGGAGAACTTCCCCAATCTAGCAAGGCAGGCCAACATTCAGATTCAGGAAATACAGAGAACGCCACAAAGATACTCCTCGAGAAGAGCAACTCCAAGACACATTAATTGTCAGGTTCACCAAAGTTGAAATGAAGGAAAAAATGTTAAGGGCAGCCAGAGAGAAAGGTCGGGTTACCCTCAAAGGGAAGCCCATCAGACTAACAGTGGATATCTCAGCAGAAACTCTACAAGCCAGAAGAGAGTGGGGGCCAATACTCAACATTCTTAAAGAAAAGAATTTTCAACCCAGAATTTCATGTCCAGCCAAACTAAGCTTCATAAGTGAAGGAGAAATAAAATACTTTACAGACAAGCAAATGCTGAGAGATTTTGTCACCACCAGGCCTGCCCTAAAAGAGCTCCTGAAGGAAGCGCTAACATGGAAAGGAACAACCGGTACCAGCCGCTGCAAAATCATGTCAAAATGTAAGGACCATTGAGACTAGGAATAAACTGCATCAACTAACGAGCAAAATAACCAGCTAACATCATAATGACAGGATCAAATTCACACATAACAATATTAACTTTAAATGTAAATGGACTAAGTGCTCCAATTAAAAGACACAGACTGGCAAATTGGATAAAGAGTCAAGACCCATCAGTGTGCTGTATTCAGGAAACCCATCTCACGTGCAGAGACACACATAGGCTCAAAATAAAAGGATGGAGGAAGATCTACCAAGCAAATGGAAAACAAAAAAAGGCAGGAATTGCAATCCTAGTCTCTGATAAAACAGACTTTAAACCAACAAAGATTAAAAGAGACAAAGAAAGCCATTACATAACGGTAAAGGGATCAATTCAACAAGAAGAGCTAACTATCCTAAATATATATGCACCCAACACAGGAGCACCTAGATTCATACAGCAAGTCCTGAGTGACCTACAAAGAGACTTAGACTCCCACACATTAATAATGGGAGACTTTAACACCCCACTGTCAACATTAGACAGATCAACGAGACAGAAAGTCAACAAGGATACCCAGGAATTGAACTCAGCTCTGCACCAAGCGGACCTAATAGACATCTACAGAACTCTCCACCCCAAATCAATAGAATATACATTTTTTTCAGCACCACAACACACCTATTCCAAAATTGACCACATACTTGGAAGTAAAGCTCTCCTCAGCAATTGTAAAAGAACAGAAATTATAACAAACTATCTCTCAGACCACAGTGCAATCAAACTAGAACTCAGGATTAAGAATCTCACTCAAAACTGCTCAACTACATGGAAACTGAACAACCCGCTCCTGAATGACTACTGGGTACATAACGAAATGAAGGCAGAAATAAAGATGTTCTTTGAAACCAATGAGAACAAAGACACAACACACCAAAATCTCTGGGATGCATTCAAAGCAGTGTGTAGAGGGAAATTTATAGCACTAAATGCCCACAAGAGAAAGCAGGAAAGATCCAAAATTGACACCCTAACATCACAATTAAAAGAACTAGAAAAGCAAGAGCAAACACATTCAAAAGCTAGCAGAAGGCAAGAAATAACTAAAATCAGAGCAGAACTGAAGGAAATAGAGACACAAAAAACCCTTCAAAAAATTAATGAATCCAGGAGCTGGTTTTTTGAAAGGATCAACAAAATGGATAGACCGCTAGCAAGACTAATAAAGAAAAAAAGAGAGAAGAATCAAATAGACGCAAGAAAAAATGATAAAGGGGATATCACCACCAATCCCACAGAAATACAAACTACCATCAGAGAATACTACAAACACCTCTACGCAAATAAACTAGAAAATCTAGAAGAAATGGATAAATTCCTTGACACATACGCTCTCCCAAGACTAAACCAGGAAGAAGTTGAATCTCTGAATAGACCAATAACAGGATCTGAAATTGTGGCAATAATCAATAGCTTACCAACCAAAAAGAGTCCAGGACCAGATGGATTCACAGCCGAATTCTACCAGAGATACAAGGAGGAACTGGTACCATTCCTTCTGAAACTATTCCAATCAACAGAAAAAGAGGGAATCCTCCCTAACTCATTTTATGAGGCCAGCATCATCCTGATACCAAAGCCGGGCAGAGACACGACCAAAAAAGAGAATTTTAGACCAATATCCTTGATGAACATTGATGCAAAAATCGTCAATAAAATACTGGCAAACCGAATCCAGCAGCACATCAAAAAGCTTATCCACCATGATCAAGTGGGCTTCATCCCTGGGATGCAAGGCTGGTTCAATAGACGCAAATCAATAGACATAATCCAGCATATAAACAGAACCAAAGACAAAAACCACATGATTATCTCAAGAGATGCAGAAAAGGCCTTTGACAAAATTCAACAACCCTTCATGCTAAAAACTCTCAATAAATTAGGTATTGATGGGACGTATTTCAAAATAATAAGAGCTATCTGTGACAAACCCACAGCCAATATCATACTGAATGGGCAAAAACTGGAAGCATTCCCTTTGAAAACCGGCACAAGACAGGGATGCCCTCTCTGACCACTCGTATTCAACATAGTGTTGGAAGTTCTGGCCAGGGCAATTAGGCAGGAGAAGGAAATAAAGGGTATTCAATTAGGAAAAGAGGAAGTCAAATTGTCCCTATTTGCAGACGACATGATTATATATCTAGAAACCCCATTGTCTCAGCCCAAAATCTCCTTAAGCTGATAAGCAACTTCAGCAAAGTCTCAGGATACAAAATCAATGTACAAAAATCACAAGCATTCTTATACACCAACAACAGACAAACAGAGAGCCAAATCATGAGTGAACTCCCATTCACAATTGCTTCAAAGAGAATAAAATACCTAGGAATCCAACTTACAAGGGATGTGAGGGACCTCTTCAAGGAGAACTACAAACCACTGCTCAAAGAAATAAAAGAGGATACAAACAAATGGAAGAATATTCCCTGCTCATGGGTAGGAAGAATCAATATTGTGAAAATGGCCATACTGCCCAAGGTTATTTACAGATTCAATGCCATCCCCATCAAGCTACCAATGACTTTCTTCACAGAATTGGAAAAAACTACTTTAAAGTTCATATGGAACCAAAAAAGAGCCCACATCGCCAAGTCAATCCTAAGCCAAAAGAACAAAGCTGGAGGCATCACACTACCTGACTTCAAACTATACTACAAGGCTACAGTAACCAAAACAGCATGGTACTGGTACCAAAACAGAGATATAGATCAATGGAACAGAACAGAGCCCTCAGAAATAACTCTGCATATCTACAACTATCTGATCTTTGACAAACCTGAGAAAAACAAACAATCGGGAAAGGATTCCCTATTTAATAAATGGTGCTGGGAAAACTGGCTAGCCATATGTAGAAAGCTGAAACTGGATCCCTTCCTTACACCTTATACAAAAATCAATTCAAGATGGATTAAAGACTTAAATGTTAGACCTAAAACCATAAAAACCCTAGAAGAAAACCTAGGCATTACCATTCAGGACATAGGCATGGGCAAGGACTTCATGTCTAAAACACCAAAAGCAATGGCAACAAAAGCCAAAATTGACAAATGGGATCTAATTAAACTGAAGAGCTTCTGCACAGCAAAATAAACTACCATCAGAGTGAACAGGCAACCTACAAAATGGGAGAAAATTTTTGCAACCTACTCATCTGACAAAGGGCTAATATCCAGAATCTACAATGAACTCAAACAAATTTACAAGATAAAAACAAACAACTCCATCAAAAAGTGGGCGAAGGACATGAACGGACACTTCTCAAAAGAAGACATTTATGTAGCCAAAAAACACATGAAAAAATGCTCACCATCACTAGCCATCAGAGAAATGCAAATCAAAACCACAATGAGATACCATCTCACACCAGTTACAATGGCAATCATTCAAAAGTCAGGAAACAACAGGTGCTGGAGAGGATGTGGAGAAATAGGAACAGTTTTACACTGTTGGTGGGACCGTAAACTAGTTCAACCATTGTGGAAGTCAGTGTGGCGATTCCTCAGGGATCTAGAACTAGAAATACCATTTGACCCAGCCATCCCATTACTGGGTATATACCCAAAGGACTATAAATCATGCTACTATAAAGACACATGCACACGTATGTTTATTGAGGCACTATTCACAATGGCAAAGACTTGAAACCAACCCAAATGTCCAACAATGATAGACTGGATTAAGAAAATGTGGCACATATACACCATGGAATACTATGCAGCCATAGAAAATGATGAGTTCATGTCCTTTGTAGGGACATGGATGAAATTGGAAATCATCATTCTCAGTAAACTATCGCAAGGACAAAAAACCAAACACTGCATATTCTCACTCATAGGTGGGAATTGAACAATGAGATCACATGGACACAGGAAGGGGAACATCACACTCTGGGGACTGTTGTGGGGTGGGGGGAGGGGGGAGGGATAGCATTGGGAGATTTACCTAATGCTAGATGATGAGTTAGTGGGTGCAGCGCACCAGCATGGCACATGTATACATATGTAACTAACCTGCACATTGTGCACATGTACCCTAAAACTTAAAGTATAATAATAATAAATAAATAAATAAAAAGATATTAATTCTCCTCTAAATAATATACAATTTACGTGTAGTGTAAATCCTAGTTTTTTTTTTTTTTTTTTTTTTTTACAAACTCATCAAACCGATTCTAAAATGTAATCACAAATCTCCAAGGCACTTTTGAAAAGGAAAATGACATTTAGTAGGTATTACTAAATACCATAAAATAAGATATTGAAAACAGTATGATACTAATTGAGGAACAAAGCAATAGACCCATGTAGAAGAATAGAGAAAGCAAGAGAATTAATGTACATGAGCATTTAGCACATGATCAAGGTTGCTTAACAGACTGGATGAAAGACGGGTGTGTAGATCACCGTCTGTGAAAGACTGCTTCACTATGCAAAGGAAAACCCTGGATTCCTGACTGGTCTTAGATCTACTTAGCGGCTTACTAAATATCTACTTGCCCCCTTTTCCTTGCTGGTTGAACTTTGACATTGTTTAGGGTGTCCCTGTGAGGCTAAGTGCTTGCTTCTGCACCCTCCCTGGAAGCTTGGATTGTCCTTGAGACAAATAGAGTTCTGACTTGTGAGAGATCAGGGAGTTCTGGGAAAAGGAGTGGATTCAGCCAATGAACTCTTTTCCTTCTTCCTCCCATGAATGTGCTCATGATATCTGAGTTTGTGGTAACCATCTCCTGACTGTGAAATGAGAAACCTCATATCACAGGGAAAGAGCAGACCATCAAGCCACTAATAAACTCCATCAGATACTATCTCCAATTCCATGAGCTACCCCATACTTAGGGGAGAATCAAATATGTTCACGAGGTTCAGATAACTGCTGTGTCATTTTGCAGGAGCTACTGCTGTTCTCATGGTGTCAAGCTTAGTGTCTGGAGCCCTTGAGGTCCTAAGAATGTGTGGTGGACTGTGTTGGGGTGGGAGAAAACACGTTTCTTCTCTAGTATGAGTCCTATTAAGGTGCAAAGTGCTAGCTGAGATATTTCCTTCCACCCTGGTTGACAAACAAAGCAGAGATTATAGAGAAGAATGTGTCCTATTGAAAATAAAGATAATAATTTATTGAGGGCTGAGAGATTAAAGAATGCTGTTTCTTGGTAAGAAACTCCAAGTCTACAGTCTAGAGAGGCCAGAGGGATTTGATGGCCTTTTCTGAACCACAGCTACAAGCAAGGAAGAAAGAAAAAAAAAGAGTTAGGGGAGAGGATGTTTCTGTGCCCACATGTACGCATGTACGTATCGTGTGGGGTTGAATGGTGGCTATACTGAACCCAGATCCTTTGAAAGCTAGGGAGCATAACTGAGTGCAGGGACCTTTAGCCACTTCATCTGTAGATTTCTGAAGATGAAAATTATGCAGAAATAGATCATGTCATCTGGGCTTGAAGGAACTGTTGGAAGGATGGCCTTGTGGTGCTTGCAGAGTGGAAAAGGATCCTAATAATTCCTGTGGCCCTATATGATGGAATATAGAGACTAGTGGAGGGGTTGGAGCCATAGGATTTCCTGGGTAGAGAATGGAGGTGATGTCTGCTTATCTGAATAGAAAGGGGTTGGAGTGTGTACTGATAATGGGGGTTAACAATATATGATGTTCTTTTGGGCAAAATTGGGGAGGAGGCTGAATAATCTCCTCCAAGATGAAGAGAAACCAAGATGGAGGTTAAGCTCTGCACCCCACCCCCAATATTGTAAAATAAGACCATCTTAACAACAAAGACCACAGAAAGCATGAGAGGCAGACCAAAATTTAGGGAGCAGGGATGGGGAGGTGCCATGACTCTCAGGGCTCTGGCTTGAGTAACAGAAGGAGGACAACAGGAGGTTCAATTTGGAGAAATGGCGAAAATTCAGTTTTGAACACATTAAGTTTGAGATCCCTGTAAGACATCAAGGAGAAAGTGTTAAGAAAGCAACTGCCCACCTTAAGGGGACTGCCAATCACATAATTTGACTCTTCTTTCTTATCCTGCTTCTGTCTTCTTTCCTGAACAAGACAGATGACAGGGGCACTTTCTGAAGAAGGGACTCAGGTGGGAAGGTGAGGGCAGGATAACCAGTGATAAAGAGAAGGAAGGAGAAGGAGAGAGAGAGGGCAAGAGGTGTCCCAGCTTGAAACTGTGCATGGGACTTAAAAACAATATTTACACTTGACAGGATATTTTCTTGAATGAAATGGAGATTTTAATAAGTGGATGAAATTATAGAAATCATTGATCTGGACTAAAATTTAAATAGAAATACAATGGGAAGAAAATAAAATATGTGCTGCAGGCAGATTGAGTGCTCAAGGCCAAAAATGTACAAGTAATTTTGAGAATAAAACATTCTTCATGTTATAGCTAACTGAATTGAGAATTTTGAATTCACTAAACAATTATTTATTGTTGAGGCATTAGAAATAGAACAGGGTATAGTTTTTATAACAATCTTTTTCCTCATGGAGCTTACTTTCCAGTGGCCACCAAACCATTTACATAAGTGACATACTGAGGAGTGTCTGCTCATTCAGCCTGTGCCTCAGACCCTAGGGCAGCCCTATTCATGGGCCGTCCTGCAGTGATGGACTTGTTCCACATCTGTGCTGTCCACTAGTCACGTGTGGCTAGCATGACCAAGAAAGTGAATGTTAAAATTTTATTTAACTCATTTAAATCTAAACAGCCATGGATAGAGCAGCTCCTGAGTTTTAGTGAAACTGCATAATCAGCTTTTTTAATGCCCCGTTACACTTTAGGACTGAGAAACTGATCTGCGTGACCGTTCCATGGTCTCTTGAAAAATAAAGCGCCGTCTCTTTTTTCCAAACAAAGAGCTTGATAAATAGCAATTAGAGCTGCCCTATTATTAAGGGCACTGGCATTCCTGCCAATTGCCCTGTCATGGGCAGAGAGGGTAAAGGAAAACCTCCTTCTGCTGATATGCTGCTGCCAGCATCTCAGTACCCAGCATTCAGGAACTTTGTTCTCAACAGGACACTACCTTTCAGGTCATTAATGGCTACTTGGAAATGAGTAAGTGAAATCAGTATGTCACTTACCATTTCATACCCAACATGTGAATTTATATTCAATATGTGGAATAATAGGAAAAATTTGTTCATTATCGCACCATAAAGCACCGGGTACCTTTGGAACTTCAAGGGCTTCTTAGCTTTGACGCAGCATGAGGTCATAGAAACAACAGTCATTCCTTGAAGAACAGAGCAGCTGTCTAGACATCGTGAACACATTTGATTTGCTCATAAATGCGTGGGAGAAGGTCGTAGAGAATTGGAAGTGAGCATCTGATGGAGTTGTTCAGTGGCTTCATGGTGTCCGACCAGCATCTCTGTGACTCTTGACCATCCCTTCATGCCTGCACTGCATGGGGAGAAGATGGCTACTGGAGCTCCAGACATCATGTCCTCATTCAAAATAGGAAGGTATGGGAATGGGGAGAAAGCTTTTCCCAAGAATGTATCATTTTTCCTAGAAATGTTCTACATATGTGTCATTAGCCATAAATATGTCTGTTGCATGGGCATGCTGAGCTTCCAGGGAGGGTGGGAAAGTGAATGATTAGACTGACAATGCACACCCCACATAAAGTCAAAATTCAGTTGGTAAAGAAGAGGAGGGAATGGATACTGAGTAAGTGACTCAGTATTTAACACAGTAGGCCTCCCATTTAGTTTTCTTTATATAGTGAACCAGTTTTCCCAGAAGATAAAAACAATTACTAATTTTATACAATAATCTTTAAATCACAAATCTCCCAGTCTGCGGAATTGGAATGAGACAACTGCTAGTGATAAACTCATGCTATCCTCAGAATCACTTTTTTATTTCAATAAATAGTGTTAATGGGTTGAGCTCATTTCAGCACCTGTATTCTTTCTACCCTAATACGAGTATTCTCTCAGGAGGCTCTTCAGCAATTCATGCAAATACATTTCTGTCAAACTCTTACATCAGTTTGACATACATGCTTCAACATGGCTGAGCCCCCATGGAAATTATTCAGGTGAAGAGTGGGGCAGAAGGAATGGCATCACACAAGTGTAGAAACAGCTGAAACAGTCAAGAAATAAAAAGTCAATATAATAAGCTATGGAGAGATTGGCTGGAGACAGAAGAAGGGGCTGTGTCTTGCAGAGCCCTGAAGGCCAATGGTAAGGACTGGGGATTTTATTTTAGGTGTAGTAAGAAGGTGTTGAGGTGCTTAGTTCATGCACAGGGCATAACTGGTTTATAGACTTTACCAGGGCAATCGCCCGTGGGTAAAAATAACTTACATGCATTCAAATATCTTTTGTTAAGTAAGTCGTTTGTCAATTTTGATGTGTCCAATGCATTACTTTGATAAGCGTCTTCTGTACTTCACACACCTAAGAAGAAAAATGCAGCTCTGTGTATAAGAGAGGGCTTTCCATAGACTTCTCTCTTTCTTCCAACAGCACAGACTTGCAGAGTTCTCTGGCAGGTAAGCATCCTTTTCATGGGCTCTAGTTTCTCTTCTGTACTCTCATGCCATTGTGAACAGCTTCATTATCTGTGTGCTAACCAAATACCGACACCCATCATGTCTGTTAAAGAAACCACTGGAGATTTGGGGTCTTGGAATGAATTACTTTTGATGGGCTTTTTAAAGAAAATGACTGGCTTCTGTATTAGTAATAAGATGGAGGGCACAAGAGTGGATTGGGGAAACAAGTCAGGAGTTACTTCAGGGGTCTCAGTGAGAGGTGGCTGCGTGGCTTAGCTTGGTGCTAATGGATCAAAAGAGCTGTAGCTAACTTGAGCTATATTTTGAAGATAAAGTAGAATATAGTGATGTATCGAGCTAAGGAAAGGATAGAGAAGGAATAATCAAGTATAATTCCCATAGTTGTGGGTCAAAAAGTAGTAGCAGAGTACTGGTCATTTATTAGTAATACTTGTTGAGTGAATGTGGAAAAAGGGGTGCCATAGTTACAACACGTGCAATATTTAAACAGTGTTAAAACGTTTAAACCTCACACCTTATGATATTGGCTGGACGGTTTATTATTTTTTCTTCTTTACAGATGTGGAGAACCCTCTCATAGTTCTGCTTTTGTTCATCTGGAGACTGGTCAGAGACAAAAGATGTGATGTGAAAATGGGAGGGAACAAAACCAAAGAGGCTAAGTGTATCTACAGAAAGAGCAGGAAGCAGGGGAGGTTAGAGGGAAGTGAGAAAAGCTGTGGGCTTGCTGGAGACAGCTTGGGTTGCTGGAGCCTCAGGGAAACTTGGAGCAGGGGCAGAGGGTGTTGAGCAGTGTGGCTGGAAGCCATGACTGGATCTCCTTTAAGTGGTTTGAGGAAAAGACTGCTTAATTTTATTTTTTATTTATTATTTTTTTTCAGGGAAAGGTAATTACTTCTGATAGCTGGCATATTCTGGTTTTTATGTGGTTCCAGGCAGAGGTTGAGTTCCTTAAGATTCTGACTTTAATGCTGTTTAACCAGTTTGGAGCACACAGAGGAAACGAAACCTGAGCAAAGGCTGATTTGGAAAGAAGCAGGGCAGGACTGGGGGGCAATGAAACGCAGTGGATTTGACCAAAGTCTTATTTTGAACTTTAGGGAAGACAAAGTTGGACTGGTCCATTGGATACAGGCTATGGAAGGCTTTGAAAAATTATGAATAGGAATTCATACTAGGTCAATTTTTTTGTGAACTATTTCTCTCTCCCACTGAAAGAAATTTTAGGAAATACGGAAAATTATTAAGATGATAGAAAATATTCATCATTCCATCATATAGAAAAAACTTTTCAGATTTACTGTATTTTTCCAGTCTTATATATGGGTGCATATGTATGTGTGTGTAAAAACTGTAATATGATTCATGATTGGAATTGTACCATAAGAACCATTTTACAATCTATTTAAAGTGATCTGTGAGTGCTGTCCTGTTAAATATTTCTCACAAAATAATTTTTGGCAGCAGGACGGTATTTCAGGGGTTGGGTATACCATGAGTTATTCAAACATTTCCTCTTAGACTTTATTGTAGCTATTCTCCCACTTCCCTAGTGAATATTATTATCTGCTACCTCTTTTTTGCCATTATGAATTCATTATAATCAACATTCCTGTACTAAGTCTGTAACTGATAAATTTTCCAGAATTAGAATTACTGATCAAAAGTAATGGACACTTTTATGGTCACTGGTATTATTGGTAGATATTGCCAAATGGCCTTGAAGGTTTGAACTCCTTTATATTTCTTCTAGGAAATGACTGGATTTTCTATTTCCCATTTCACTGCCTCCTCCCCAATTAACTGGGGATTAATTTTTAAAACATGAAAAATGTTATCTCATGACTTTAATTTGCAAGTCTTTGCTTATTAGTGTTTTGACAATTTTCATGTGTTTACTGGCTATTTTTCTCTTAAAAATTAAATTTTTGTTTTCAGTTTATCTTAAAAGGATAAATTCTAACTGTCTTCATCATTTAAGACAGTTTGGTCCCTAGACAGAGAGGTAACTAAATCAGTATTTCTACAATAGACCGAGAATCCATGTGGACTTCCACCCAGGAACCTATAATGCATACAGTTTGCTACTCCTCTTCTGTTCATCTTCCCAAATTTAACAATTTCTTCTGTGAAATGTAGTATTCAGAGAAAATGTGATTTTTTTCCTATTCCCTATAGTCCTTTGAGACATTCCTTCGATTGAAATTTTTTTCTCATTTTCACTGTTCCTCATACATCATTAGTAGGAACTCTTGGGTTATGGGAGGGCGATGTATGGACTGCATATTTATTGGGCTCTAATTGTGTGTCTAAATGAACGCACCAGCCATGCAACTACAAATGTAAGTCTTAAAAATGATAATTTGCATAATTAGCTGACAGGAAGGCCTGAGCTATTATTTAAGTTCACATATAACATTACATCGTCAGGTGTTAATTTATGCTCTGTTCTTTCCAGAATGATTGAGCTGTTTGGGAGTTTTATTTATGACTCATGCTCAGATCTATTTTGCAGTGCTGATAATGTAGAGATAATGGGAATTTATAGTTGGCTCTGACAAGAGGCCATAAAACAAATGACTGGATGTTTTCTCTATTGCTACAGGCTCAATTTGTAAAATAAAGTACTTAATAATTGTTATTAATGAACTCACTATGGTTGGTATATAGACACAGCTGGAAATCACATCTGTTATCAGGCAGCCTGGGTGGAGTAAAGTACAGACGCTGCAGGGAACTAATAGCTACAAAAGGAAATGACATCACAGAGCCATAGGAAGTGCCCATAGATGTTAGCTGTAGGGAGACAGAAGAGACTTAGGACAGAGATGCTTAGAGAAATGGGCTCTTTTTATTTATTTTCTTGCATATGTATCCCAATTACAAGCCAGAGTTCCAGGATTGATCCATGTATTAAATATCAGTAAAGCTTATATGCTATTTTTTAGGTAAAAGAATTAAAAGACACAAGATTCAGCTGGCCAACTTACCTTTTCTGTCTTATCTTCTGCTACTCCCCTTGAAACACTCTGTTGTTCCCTTGAAATTGTATATTTGTCTTTGTTTTTATAGACTTCTGCTTTCCTGCCTATGTGCTTTTCCTTATGTTTTTGCCTCCATTTGAGGCCACTGCTCTTAAATTATTTCAAAAGAGAAAGAACTATTCTTATTCATTCATTCACTTACTAACTTATTTGTATATGTCCCCAATCCCAAATTTCATTTTTTTAATTCATTCTTCATTGGCAATCATTCTAATGTATTTGGTATGTATCATTCATTTATATGTCATTTTAAAAAGTGTGTTTTGTTTTGTGTGTCTGTGTTTTTATTCTATGGAAATAATGGTAAGTTGTGGATCTCATTTTGTTTCATTTACTTAGCACTGAAGTGCCAGTCATGGTGCTCTGTGAACATCTAGTTCATTCTTTCTAAATGCTTCATCAAACTCCACGTGTATCCACCAAACTTGGTCTATCCACTTTTCCAGTTAGTGATGGACACTCGGATTGTGCTGAATCCCTATCACCATAAACAAGGCTGCAACAGACATGGCTATGTATGTCACTTGTGGACCTGTGGGAGAATTTCTTTGGTCTACACACCTGTGAGTGTAATTGCTGGGTTGTAAAATATATGTAAGCTTGACTTGACTAGGTGCCGACAGATAGATCTTGAGAATATCTGCACCATTCTTCTCCTAGCAGGAGGGTATGTAGGGTCCTCTATCCCTACACTCTACCGATAGTTGAGACTGCTTATTTTTTACATTCTAACTAAATTAACAGGGATAAGATACTGTTTCATTACTGTTTTCATTTGCTCCTGTGATGACTAATGAATTTGAATGTCTCTTGATTTACATATTAGCTGTTGGTTTTATTGCTTATTCATATTTTTGCCCATTTTTTTCTTTTGGTTTATCTGTCTTGTTGACTTAATCCTTACATGTTTGCATATTGCCAGTTTTGGATATTGTTGATAAAAGATTATCTCTCTTTATCCACTCTTCCTCTATTAAACAAAAACACTTAATTTTTTTAATAGAGGAAATAGTCATTTTAAAGACAGGTTTGCCTTTGCATGTAAGCTTTTCAAGTTTTTAAAAAGAGTTATTTCTTGACTCTGCATTGCAAACATGTACTCTGACATTTTCTTCTATTGATTTTCTATTTCATCTTTCATCAATCTCTCTGGATTTTACTTTTATATGTGATTTTAGTTAAGAATCCAATTTTATTTTCTTCCTAATGCCATAAATAAAACAACCTCTCTTTCACCTTTGATTTTTGCTGTTATACTTCTACATTTATTGTGATTTAAATTTTCATGTATACATGATCTTTCTCTAAGTTCAATGCTTTGTTCTATTGTTCTATTTGTCCATCTGTTCTTAAATCACTACCCATTTATTTTATTACTACATGTTGGGATAGGAAGTCTGCCATGGGCCCTGGAAATCCCTGAACATTCCTGCTGAGAATGCCAAACTGCAAGACTTATCTGTCTCCTGAAACTGAGCAGTTTCTGTAGCTGGTCGTACAGGCAGCCAAGTAGGTCAAGCAACCATAGTATGACTATTTGTCATTCTCTGGTGGCTGGGAGGGAGAGGGAGAGGGAGAGGAGGAGAGGAGGAGAGAAGGAGAGACTCTCCTGTTTGCTGCTTACTCTGAATGGTGCTGTACCCATCTGAGTGGGGCTGCTTGATCATTGTCTTGCATCACTTTTATCACTCCTGTTTCTAAATGTAAAATTGTAATAATTAGTATTGATGTTTTATGTGTATGTGCCATGAATTCTCGTAAAATCCATGGGTGATTGTCCCGATTGAAAGGAGCTACTTGTAGAGAAATTATCATAGACAGTGGATCATCAACTAGTTTCCCAGTTCCTCTGTTGATGTACAACAGAAAGCAGGAAGAATTCTTGGAAGAGAAAAGGGAATCACAGTCATTGGGTCTGTAAACCCCATGGACCCTTCTGAACCATGGATATGTGCTACTGTTAACTGTGCTCATTGGACTAATATGAGTGAATATTTTGTCAACACTCGAATGTGTGTATTCTGCAATTGTTGAGTGGAATATTCTGTGAATATCAATCATTTCAAGTTGTTGATAGTGCTCTTCAAGACTTGTTTATGCTTTCTCTAATCTTCTGCCTATCTTATCTATCAGTTACTGATTGAGGAGTGTTTAGAGCTCTCATTTTAATTGTGTATTTGTCTATTTCTCATTTCAGCTCTTTGTTTGCTTCATATATTTTGAATCTGCTATTAGATGCATATACATTTAAATTTTTAAAATAAATTAACAATTTTATCCTTAGGAAATATTCCTCTTTATCTCTGGTAACAAGACTTGTTCTGAAGTCTGCATCATCTGATATTATCTTAGGCATTGCAGCTTCCTTTCATTTAGTGCGTGCATGGCATGCCTCTTTCTATCCTTTCACTTTTAACTTAACCATGTGTTTATATTTAAAGTGGGTTTCTTGCAGATCATATTTAGTTATTATTTTAAGTCCAATTTGAGAATCTCTGGCTTTAAATGGGAGTGTTTACACCAAGGGTCAACAAATGTTTTCTGTAAAGGGCCAGACAGAACAAATGTTAGGCTTTTGGGATCATATGGTCTCTGTTGAAATCACACAACTCTGCTATTATAGCATGAAAGCAGCACAGATAACACAAGAATGAATGGGCGTGGCTGTGTTTCAATACAATGGAACGTTATAAAAAATGATGATGGGCTGTATTTGGCCCATGGGACATAGCTTGCTGACTCATGGTTTAGACCCTTCACATGTAAAGTAAATATTGTCATAGTCAAGTTTAAATCACTCACTTTGTTGTTTGTTTTCAGTTTGACTCATGTGTTATTCATTTCCTACCATCCCCTGCCACCTTCCATATCCTTTGGATTGTGTATTTTTAGGATTCCATTTTATCTCCATTTTTCAATGTATTATCTGTACCTCTTTGTGTTATTATTAAATGATTGCTCTGTGGTTTACTATATACATACCACAGTCTACCTTAATATTACAGCACTTTATAGATAGTAAAAGAATCTTAAATACTTTCACCCCCCCAGCATTTTATGTGATTTTTTGTCATACATTTACTTTATTTAAATTATAAGACCTCCAGTGCATTGCCACTACTTTTGTTTGATGCAATCAGTTATCTTTTTTAAGACAGTGATCCCAGGCCTGCTGTGTTAACTTGCTTTTTTTGCACAAGTGCAATAAAGGATGTATTCTTTTTCAACTAGAGTCTCACAAGATAAGTTCTGCCAAAAATGATTTATGTGACCCTTTTCTCAATTTTCCCTCAGGCAGGATACAACCAATGCCTTTCTAAATGTATAGGAGCCAAGTTAACTCATTACATATAACAAATGTATTATGTAATGTACTTTACATATTATAAAATGTAATACTATACAAAATACAATAGTTTACTATATATAATAAATGCATTAGGGTTTGTCTTCCAGAATCTGGGTTGAATTGGTGGGGTACATTGAAAACTGGAATGCACTATACAAGCTTAGCATGACCTGATATAATAAGAGCAACGTTATCTATCATTTATCTATTAGACCAAGAGCGTCTCTGCCACTCTTCCATATTCCATGGTAGGTGAAGTAATGGCTCTCCAAAGATGTCCATGCCTCTGGAACCTGTGAATATATGACCATACACTGCAAAAGAAACTTTGGAGATGTGATTCAGGTTAAGGACCTTATGCTGGAAAAACTATCCTGAATTATCCAGGTGGGCCCAATGTAATCACATGAATCCTTAAAAATGGAGGATCTCTTCTGACTGTAGGCAAAGAGAGGTGTGACTGAAAAAGTGTGTCTGAGGCATCAAAGCTTCTGGCTTTGAAGATGGAGGAGAGGGTCACAAGTCAAGGAATGTGAGCTGTCTTTAGAAGCTGGAGAAGTGAGGAAACACTTTCTCTCAGGGCATCTCAGTGAGACCTGTGTTAGACTTGTAATTTACAAAATGCTGAGAGATAATACATTTTTATTGTTAAAATTACATTTGGGCTAATTTGTTGCAGCAGCAATAGCAATACACCTTCTTTTTTCAGAAATGATGACCCTATCAGGGAGGATGATTTATCCATTAGGCATTGTTGATAGTGCTTTGGTAGTAGGGATTCATGAGAAGCTACTGGGGGAGTATTCACTGTGTGTGTCAAAAAATGGTTATTGGGGATAATAATGAATGAGACTGAGATTGTGAGCATGTAGGGAAGTCCCTAAATACCTGCAGTATTATCAGTGAACATTTCTTTAAAAATACTTAACATGTTTATCTATATTTATACTTTCAAATGAAGAAAACTCAAAGGCATTTGTCCAATACTTTTTGTAAGTAACTTAACCTTTCTGGATATGTTTACTTGCCTATAAAGTAGAAATACTATGCCTCTCCATAACCTATCTCAAAATTCTTGGCATCAACTCAGTTAAGGTATGTATAAGATCTTTGAAAGAACAGATCCTATCCAGGTGGCTCCATGTTTACTCAGTGTGTGCCATGCTTCAGAAATAGTGGTGCCGTGTATGAGCATGTCAGGTTTAATCATCCACCCGATTGCTGTCCCAAGGCTGAGTGTTGTGATCGCAATGCTGCTATTGGCACTTGTTCTTATGAAATCTCTGTGTCTCCCACGTGAAAAATTGTTTTGTTAAATACGCAATTCTGGATTGATCTGTCTGTCCGTCTATCTATCTATCTATCTATCTATCTATCTATCTATCTATCTATCTATCTATGTATCTTCAGTGCTCAGATGGTATTTAATTATCTGATGGCTTCCATAGGATAAAGTTAGCTCTAAGGCTAAGTTCCTCCTTTGCAGATCATCAGTACTTTCTCTGGCTGATTTTAAGATCTTTCTGACTTTGTGTTCTGGTGACAACATTGTGTGCACACATAGATTTCTTTTTATTTGCCCTGCGTGGAATATATAGTGTTTTTAAAACCTCTATAATCAAGACTTTTATTTGTTCATGGAAGATTAGGAAGATTCTTATTAGGAAGATTCTAGCCATTATTTCTTGCCACTCCTTCTGGAACTCCAGTTAGCTGTGTGTTGCATTGTTTATTCTATCCCTCCATTTCTCTTAACTTCCTTTTGGTATTTTCTTTTTTTTCCTGTGTAATTTACTCATATATAAATTCTGGGTAATTTATTCAGATATACCTCCCAATACACCAAATTATTCATTATGCAGTGGGCTTTTCCCATTTGAGTTCAATACTTTTAATGTTATTTCAGATCTGCCTGGTTATTTCTAGCAGTCCTTTCACTTGCTCATCTTTGTGATTTCCTCTTTTATTCCTTTAAATATTATCTACTCAGCCACTCTATTTTCTGTATCTAACAATTCTAATTTGAATATCTGCAGTCTAAATGATCTGTTGTTTCTGTTTACTCACACATAGTGGATTGCCTCTAATGTATTTGGTCATATTTAAATATGAACTCTTATTTTCATAAGTTAATTTGAGGAAATCCTGAAGGCCTACATTTTCGATTTGCTTCTTTCTAGAAAGATTTTCATCTGGTTCTTCCAGGAGTCAAGAGGACGACTGATCTGCAGCTACTTTTGTATCTTCAAAAGTCTCCGATTCACGTGGGAGCCCCAGTTTTAGTTCATCTGCTTGGCGGCTGTCTCAACCTCAGTCTTAAGGTCACAGAGCTGCTACTGGCCTTTGTCCTCAAGGAGACCCTGTGGCCCATTTGCTCACTACTCACTGCTCTTAGTTTCCAGCTTCTATTTAAGTATATAAGTTAGAGGTGTTTTTTTTTTTTTTTTTTTTTTTTTTTTTTTTTTTTTTATCACGGGTGTGTGCCCATGGGGAGAGTGTTTCCTTAGAGATTTTCCCTAATTTTTGAGAGTCTATTAATACATAAATCTTGTTACCCAGGATTTAGTTATTCTCCAGGAGTAGTCCTCCTCCCTGCCAGACTGTCTAGTCTTTGTAATGCCAGAAGCAAAATCCCTAATTTGCTTATTTTTTAAAAAATTATTATTTTAAAATTGGGCCTAAGAAGCAGAAGGTTGAGTTCGTCACACTTCGCAGTTCAGGACATATCACTTGCCCATGCACGGCTGATCTTTTATTTATTTTTTGATTTGATTTTATTCCATTTCTCTACTTCCATCAACCCCACAACCATTTTAACATATTTAATATGTATCCCTTTGTTTTATATGTTTTTATAAAAATAGTTTTGTATGCACATATTCAGTTAATGCATACAAATGGTATTGTGTTATCTCATTTTGTTTCTTACTTTTTAAAAGCACAATGATTTATTTATTTCTGTTTTTGGAGGAGTCTCACTATGTCACCTAGGCTGGAGTGCAGTGGCTTTTCACAGGGATAATCCCACTACTGATCAGCATAAGAGTTTTGACCTACTCTGTTTCCAACCTGGGCCAGTTCACCTCTTCTTAGGCAACCTGGTGGGCCGCTGCTCCCAGGAAGTCACCATATCGATGCTGAACTTAGTGTGAAAACCTGATAGGCAGAGCTGACTTCAGCCCAGAAGTCCTGGGCTCAAGTGATCCTTCTGTCTCAGCTTCCTGAGTAGCTGGAACTGGGATTATAGGCATGCACCACCGGGCTTGGCTAAAGCACATGTGTTTAAGATCCACCCGGGAGGGCGAGGTGGCTCATGCCTGTAATCCCAGCACTTTGTGGGGCCAAGGCGGTGGATCACCTGAGGTCAGGAGTTTGAAACCAACCTGGCCAACATGGCGAAATCCTGTCTCTACTAAAATTACAAAAATTGGCCAGTTGTGGTTGTCAGCGCCTGTAATCCCAGCTACTCAGGAGGCTGAGGCAGGAGAATTACTTGAACCCGGGAAGTGGAGGTTGCAGTGAGCCAAGATTGCACCACTGCACTCCAGCCTGGGCTACAGAGCAAGACTCCATCTAAAAAAAAAAATCCACTCAGATTTCTCTATGTATGTCTAGTTTGCTGTTTCTAGCATCTTCATAGAACTGCGTGGTATAAATCCATCACATCTGTTTATCCATACTTCCAGTAATAAGCATATTGCCTCTGAATCCCCATAAATCTCATTATTTTAGCAATGTGAAATCAGAAGATCTGGGAGGCAAATTGTTTTGTTCAAGATACATAACAGATTTTTTTTTCAGTTTTTGAGCATAAATTGCTTGATTATTGATCCAGTAATAACCCTACTATATCCTATTGCTTCCTCATGCATCCTTGATTGCAACTATTATCTGAAATAAAGCAGAAAGGTCTTGTATCATTTTGAGCAAATAACATACCTACTATATGATCAAAGACTTGGAGTCTAGAACAGGGATCCAAATAGGCTTCATCTTGATTACCATGTTGGATCGAATGGTAGAGGCTTCTGCAAGCACTGTCAGGAAGAACTGCGGGGCACATTTGAGATCTGCAGCAGACTGTGCTGTTATCATCAGTAGATGCCTGTCCAAAGCTTGGGATGAGGAGTATTGGTCATCTATCTTATCCTTGATCTTTCAGCTGAGTTAGAGAATGGATAAATAGCGTTGAAATATCTTTAATAAACACCTCTGGAAATTACAAATGCAAAGCCCAAATATAGTTGATGAGGACGTTTAATTTCTCTGTGCCTTTAGTACTAAGCACCTATCCCATGACTTAGGAAACGAAGGAACTGCTATGATTTTGGATTACTTAAAGCTGGCTATTTAAACCAATTCCTTACACCCTCAAAGGGTAATATTTAATTTGGAGAAGGCACATTTGTTTAGAAATAAATGTGAGATATTAATTATGTTAAAATATAATAGCTGTCTATATGAATTGTTTTAGAAATAAAAACATGTTCAAAAGGTCATGGTAGGGCTCTTATGAAGAAATGAGGGGATGTTTGGGACTTTAATAACTGATTAAAGGACTAGAAGCTATGTAGTGATGGTTTGGGGAGGTAATCCCTAGCAGGCAGTGTGAACAGAATCACGTAGGAATCACTCAAAGATGAAGCAGACGTGGTAGATTAAGACACCAGAGTGTCTTTGTCTCAGGTCTGAATAAATCTAGACTCCAAGTTTGGGAAGGAGGGACTCTGGGAGGTCATCTAGTCCAGATTCTATCCATATTTAAAATATGTTACCCATTTTTGTTTGAACACGTCCATTGACGGAGACCTCACTACTGAAAAGATAGCTCAATTTCTTTTTTTAAAAATTATTTGTTTTATTTAATTTTAATTTTTATTATTTATTTATTTATTTATTTATTTGAGACAAGGTCTCACTCTGTCAACCTGGCTGGAGTGCAGTGACACAATCATGGTTCACTCCAGCCTTGACTTCCCGGCTCAAGTAACTCCCTGCTCATCCTCCTGAATAGCTGGGACTACAGACACACACCACCATGCCCAGCTAATTTTTTGTTTTTATTTTTAGTAGAGACAAGTTCTTGCTATCTTGCCCAGGCTGGTCTTAAACTCCTGGCCTCAAGCAGTCCTCCTGCCTCAGCCTCCCAATGTGCTGGGATTACAGGCATGAGCCACTCTGCCTGGCTCCATTTTGTTTTTGGAAAGGATTGATTGGAAGTTTTTCCTTGAATAATTCTAAAATCTGCCTCTTGTAAACTCATTCACCAGGCCCAGTTATGTTATCTGGAAAAGAATCCAGAAGGAGTTCTGTAACTTTGGAATAATAATGCCCCTCTCATAGCTTCCACAATTCCATTGGTAGGAGGGTAAAGAGAGGGCTGTGGATCCCCATATATCCCTACATCTCACCATTTACAACCTCAGGTGCTTCTAGACATTGCCAAATGTCCCTGGGGTAGGTGGATGGAGAGCAAATCATTGCCATTGAGAACAACTGCCCTAGACTCTGTTCCTCAACCTCCTTTTCTCCACATATTTTTGTCTTTTATGATAAAATATTTTGGAAACTATCATCTT
This sequence comes from Homo sapiens, assembly GCF_000001405.40. NCBI lineage: Eukaryota > Metazoa > Chordata > Mammalia > Primates > Hominidae > Homo > Homo sapiens. The sequence continues at coordinate 131,006,741 of NC_000011.10, forward strand.
TACTTTTCGTCCTAATTTTTTATCTACAAATCTCTCTTAATCCCCTTTTAGGTAAGGAGTCTGACCCTATTGCTCCTCTGAAGCTTCTCTTGTTAAGGTCACTATAGACCTCGATGTTGCTAAATCCAATGTTCAATTTTCAGTCATCATCTTACCTGACTTATCAGAAGTATTTGACATTATTGATCACTTTCTCTTCATTAAAGAAATGTCTTTACCTTGAATGTTACCTCGTTCTTCATTTTTCTCCTATCTTATTGGTCACCATTTGTCTGCCTTTATCATCTGACTCCTAAAACTTAGTAAGCCCGGGGCTCTGTGCTTGCACTTCTCTTTTCTATCTGCATTATTCCCTTATTGACTGTGTCCAGTCTAAATATTAATAATATCTAATACATTATTGATTTTATAGTTAGATATCCAACCTGACTTACCATTTAAACTTCATACTCTTATCCAGCTGCTACTCAGCACTTCAACTTGCAAATCTATTAGTTCAAACTTAATATGTTCCAAAACAAACTTCCAATTATCCTGCTCTTTAAATCCTCTCCTTCTGTAGTCTTTAACCGGTAAAAGGAAGTTTTTTTTGTTTTTTTTTTTTTTAATGTATCAAGGTTTACATCACAGAGTCTCCTTTATTTTTTTTCACATTCTTTTCCTATTTTTTGAAAAGTGTTTTGCATTTACCTTAGAGACATATTGGAAGTCTGGACCATTTTTATGCACCTCCAGCATTACCAGCTGGATCCAAGCTACTATCATTCCTCTCACCATCCCCAGATCATTGCACCAGTCTCTCAAAGAGCATCCCTGCTTCCTTCCTCTCTCTGCTACCTCCCTCTGTTGTCTATAGTCAACACAGCCACTATCGATCTGCATAAAACCATGTTAAAATGAGGAAATGTTGGTCAAAGTGTATAAACTTGCATTTATAAGATAAATACATTATAGAGACCTAATGTACACCTTGGTGATTATAGTTAATAATGTATTGTATACTCAATTTTGCTAGGAGAGTGGATCTTAGGTATTCTTACAACACAAAAACAGATACCTAAGTGAGGTGATGGATATGTTAATTAACTTGGTTTAGGTAATCATTTCACAATGTTTACATCTATCAAAACATCCAATTGTACATCTTGAACACAGAGATTTTATTTATCAGTAGTACATCAATAAAGAGTAAAATTACAAAAAAAAACGATGAAGTTCGGTCATCTCACTTCTTAACTCCAAACCCTTCAGTGGCCTCTTATATTACTCAGGGTGAAAGTCAAAGCCTTACCATGGTATAGAAGACCCCATCTCTTCCACCGTCTCCGTCTTTGTTTCTTCAGTATCCTCTTCACTGGTCCTGAAACATGACCCTCATGTTCCTGCATAGGGGATTTTGTGTTTTCTTTTTTATTGGCTTAGAATGTTCTTCCCCAAATATCTACATAGCTAACTCTCAGATATCCTTCCAAAGTTGGCTTTTAAATGCCCTCCTCACTGAAGCCTATTTAAAATTGCACTCCCTGCTATCTCTGGTCCTCCCTTTCTTGGTCCTTTCTTTAAATTTTCTTCTTAGCGTCTATCACTTCCCAATGTGCTATGTAATTTATTGTTTGGCTTATTGTCTGTTCTCCATCACTGGAATAGAGTCGTCTTCAAGGTGAAAAAAAGATACTTGCCTGCTTTGTTTACTGCATGATGACCAGTGCCTGAAAAAATAATACTAAAAAGTATTGTTGAATGATTGACTGGAATAATAGAAAATAATTTCTTATTTTGATTAATTTAGAAAAAAATCAGAGGCTGAGCCTTGTTTTCAGTTGGTCCTGTTTTTTTTTTTTTTTTCTTTTTTCTTTTTTTTTTCGAGACAGGGTCTGGCTCTGTTGCCCAGGCTGTAGTGCAGTGGCATGATCTTGGCTCACTGCAACCTCTGACTCCTGGCTCAAGCAATCCTCTTGCTTCAGCCTCCCAAGTAGCTGGGACCAAGGTACGTGACACCATGCCTGGCTAATTTTGTATTTTTGTCGAGATAGGCTTTCACCATGTTGTCCAGGCTGGTCTTGAACTCCTGAGCTCAAGTGATCCACCCGCCTCAGCCTCCCAAAGTGCTGGGACTACAGGCCTGAGCTGTGGTGCCTGGCCAACTGGTACATTTAAACCTGGTTTGTCATCTGCCTTAGTAGCAGGATAGCTCAGTTATTTTTAACCTATACTAAGATGACTTTTAAATCTACACTATAAAACTGAATATAATCACTATAATCCTACCATATATGATCTCTATGCCTAAATTTCTTTATGTTGTACAAGTGAGTTCTGGACCAAAGTGTCTGTGTATGCTGCTTTACGATGAATAGGTGAGAAAAACATTATGCAGAATCATCATTGGGGTAGGTGAAAGCTCAAGCCTCTGACTTAAATTTTCTTTATATGCAAAAAGAAGATTTAAAAAATTCGGATAGGATTAATAATACATGATCATTATGATAAATTCCATTAACTCATAAAATATTAAGAAGAAAGTAAAGGTCACACTGAAATATTCACCATTAACATTTTGGTGACCATCTCTCCATTCATTTCTTTACATAATATATGCTACATATTATTTTAAATAAGTGGTATTATGTTCATGTTTTTATTGCACATACATTCATAAATGACCTTCCTATCCTGCATTCCGTTTTTCCCCACCCTCTTCACTCTTCCTGAGAATAACAATGGGAGGTATATCTTCCATGCACTGCCTCTTCATGTCTATGTAGTCATGTACAAATATAATGATGCACCCTGTTCGGATTTTCTTTGTATTTATTCTTCTTGGAGCTCCTTGGTCATCTTGGATTTATAATTTAATGCTTTTAAATAATCACATATATCATATTTTTGCCATTATTTTTCAATTATGTTTTTGCCCCTTTATCACCTCTTCTTTTGGTCTGTCTACAATTACACATGTGTTAAACCACTAAATGTTTTCTTGCAAGTCATTAAGTCATTTCATTTAAATTTTTTGTGTTCTTCACATTTAAAACTTAATATTTCTGTCTTCAAGTAATTGATCCTTGCTTCTGCAATCTTCAATCTAGCATTAAACCCACCCAGTGTTTTGTTATTGTTGTTTTTCCAGATATTATTCTAGAGTTTCCATTTGGTTCTTTTTTTATAGTTTCCACTTCTCTGATGCATTTCTGTGTTTTCATTCATTATGTTCATCTTTTTCTTTGTCTTCTTGAACAATAGTAGCTTTAAATTCTTGTTATCTACTTCCAACATTTGGTCATCTTAAGATCTATTTCTATTTACTTTTTTTTGGATAACATTGGACCATATTTCTTTTTTCTTTCCATGTCTAATATATTTTTCATTAGATTTTGGATACTGTAGATGTTAGCTTGTAGGAACTCTGGGTTCTTTTGTGTTCCTCCGAAGAGTGATTAGTTTTGCCCTCACAGGCAGTTAAATTACTGGCTAATCACCTTGAACTTTTGGAGGCTAAATTTTACACCTCGTTAGAGCAACTCTGTTTTATGTTTCCCCTCAAGTCCTAAGAGGACACTCTTAGTTTTGGGGTATAGCATTTACTCCTAAATGTGGTAATTATGGGATTTCAATGGAAGCCGGGGGTGTTTGTAAGTACTTCTAATTTAGTGCGATTCAAGTTCAAAATTCAGACTTCATTGCAGCTGAATTCTCCTCTCCAGTTTTGCCTTCCAACTGTTGCTTTCTGCTAGAGTCTTTGAAGCCTCCTCCCTGCATGTGTGGTTCAAGGGTCAGCCAAGGATTTCTCCATTCCTGGACTTTCTTTTTTAATTTTCAGTTTCTCACACAGCCTTGGATTTTGTCCCCTGATGCCTTAAGTTAAAAAGACAGTGTATGGTTTTCTGCCTGAGTTCTAGGGGCTGCATACCATGTGGTCTTAAAGCCTTTAGAAGAAAAGCCACATGTGATGGTAAGTTTTATGCGTTAACTTGGCCAGGTGATAATGCCCAGTTACGCAGTTAAATACTAATGTAGGTTTTGCTGTGAAGGTGTTTTGTAGATGTGGTTAACGTATTGGTTGACTTTAAGTAAAGAAAATTATTATCTGTAATATGAGTGGACCTCCTTTAATCAATTGAAAAGCCTTAGGAGCAAAACTGAGGTTTCTCTGAAGCAGTAGAAATTTTGCCTTAAGATCATAGCATCAGCTTTTGCCTGAGAGTTTTCAGCCTGCTCCTGTTCCCTGCAGATTTCAGACTTACCAGCTCTCAGAAGCATGTGAGCCAAATCCTTGAAACATGACACACATGTATATATAATTATTTATATATAAATATACGTGTGTGTGTGTGTGTGTGTGTGTGTATGTGTATCCTGTTGGTTCTGCTTCTCTGGACAACCTGACTGATATACCATGTAAACATGTATCTGTCTCAGTTCATTTCCTTTCTTTGAAATATTTAATCTCCTCAGTTCCTACCTGGTTTTGTCATTTTTTATGACTTTAAATAGTTTTTATACATTTTTTTCCAGAGCAGGTAATTGTTAGCTGCATGATGTTTAACTTGATACAAGCTACTTTGGCATTAAAGGATCTGATTTTTATCGAAATATAGGGTTAACTGTGCATCCCTGAGATGAATCTAATTTGGTCATTACTGAAATACTATATGCTACTTGTTTGGTTTGTAATATTTGCCTTAGAATTTTAACATTGAGGTTCAAAATTAAAGTTTGCCTATAATTTCTATTTCTTGTACCAATTTTGTCAGGTTTTAGAATAAAGAATATGCCAATTGACTAATAGAAATTAATGTGTTTTTCCCCCTTAAAAATAGTCTGGAAATGTTTAAAATTAAATTTTTTTCTTTTTTGTGTGTTAGGTAGAACTTGCATGTAAATGTGTCATCTTATTTTACTGTTGTTGGTAATGGTGGTGTTCTCTCTCTTCATATGTTACAAATTTGTAAATTTTATTGTTTTTTCCTAGATCTTTCTCTTTAGCTTTGCTGACCTTTGTTATTTTTTGTTTTCTATTTCATTAATGGTTACTTTTAAGTTTATTATACCCTTAATCTTGATTCGTTTTTATTCTGATGTTTTTACACTTGTTAAGATGAGAGCATATTTCATTAGCTTTTTTTTTGTAATATAAGGATTTAGGGTCACACATTTATTCTAAGTATTGTATCCTATATGTTTTGATATGTTTTATTATGTTTTAGTATTAAGTATTTATCAAATCTCCATTATAGTCTTCTACTTGACTCTTGAGTTAGTAAAAAATGTTTCCCTTTGTAATTTCGAAAGTGAGTTTTTAAAACAACGTTTCCTTTCACTTACTGATTTCTGTCGAGTGACTTTTTAGTTAAGGAAGAACATATATGATATGTTACCAGTTCCTTGAAGTTTGTTGAGCTGTGTTTTATGGTCTAGTATGTTGTGAATTTTAATAAATGTCCCATGTGAATTTAAATAAAAAGTGCATCCTGTAATTACTGTTGGATTTTTAGAGGGCAGCCAACATAATACACCTGTCTTCTCCACAAGAGTTCTGGCAGCATCAAGAAATGAAACAAAATGTTGATAGATGGTGTCCAACTTATTCATTTTATTACTGATCAAGCTGATGTTTTGACTGTGGCTTAAAGGTATGGGCAAGTGAATGTCTTAACACTAAACATTTAGGCAGAGTAACCCATTTGGTTTCAGGGCGCGCCAGGCCGATGTGGCCTTCTCTCATAATGGATGGTAGCTACTATGGCCAAATTATGGCAGAGACTATTAGAGCAGATTATTTAGTCCCTGTCAGAAGCTTAGTTCTAAGAAAAAGAGAAGGGGAAGGATTTGGCATCTGTATGCCACATTTTTCTTTCTATGCTGAATGATAAGATTAATCCTTTGGGGAAGAGTATGTTAGGATTGAAGAATGGCCAGAAGTGTTACTCTAGTGAAATCCCCACCAGATGAAAGGACATATCAGGTGTGTTCCTCTAACACTATTTTCTGTATTTTCATTAGGTGAAGCTTGTTAAGTGTAGTGTTCAAGTCTTTCAAATTATTATTTCATGCCAGCTCAGCCAAACATGCAAAATATATATGTGTGTGTGTGTAAACTAAAGTTTGGGATGTGTAGCATATCATAGTACACAAGACGAACATTTGCTTTTTGTTTTATATATTTATGCCTTTTTATTTATAAAATATCTACCTTCTTTTCTAAAACAGTTTTGTTGTTTTCCTAATTAAAAACCTAGTAAGTCTCTTTCATTTTCAGTTTTCTTAATAATAAAAACATTTTTATGTTATACATTATCTTCTGAGTATAGTTTTTACCTTGCTTCATGTTCTACTTTTTGTTCTATAGACAGTCTCTGACTTATGATGGTTTGACTTCAACTTTATAATGGTGTGAAAGAAACATGTATTCAGTATAAGCCATGCTTCACACTTTAAATTTTGATCTTTCCTGGGCTAGGGATGTGTGGTATGATACCTTCTTGTGATGCTGGGCAGTGTCTGCAGGTCCCCGTCAGCCACAGAATCAGGAGTGTAAGCATCTGAGACTCTGCAGTGTACTGTGTCGCCAGCTGATTTTGCCCAAATGTAGGCTAATTTCGCCCAACTGTAGGCTAATTTCAGTGTTCTAAGCATGTTTAAAGTAGGCAATTGGTTAGGTGTATTAAATGCATTTTTGAGACAATATCATGTTACAATGGATTTATTTGAATGTAACAGCATTTAAGTTGAGGAATATCTGTTCATATAAATCAAACATAAGAAGGCTCTGAAAGGTGGAAAGAAGAATGCTGACTGGCTAGGTAGGGTCTTGGGGCCAGAGGAATGACATGGTGGTGGGCTCCCTGGATTTTCTTTTTGCCTTCTATATCCCAGACTTTTTGGTGGAGAAACTAGCAGCACAGAAATGCCAGTGGGCACAGAGAAAAGAAATCCTGAGAAAAGCTGGCTCTTCTAGCTAAAAGTCCAAGAAAGGGAAGCCTAGAAGGACAGAAAGGACTAGAAGTATAAACAATAACTTCTCTATTTCTGCCAAACACCACAGAAAAAACTGCCATCATTTCCATTCGACCAGCAAAGATTGAGTGCGGAGACTAGATGCCCGCCCTTGCAAGGCTGTCATGAGGTGGCTCAATACCCGCACTGGGATGGTGTTAGAGAAGACCAAGCGGGGTGTTGGGACTTCTATCCCCACCACACGGCAGTGGGGCATCCCCACTGTGGTGTCAATGGTGACCATACGTGGGGCCGGAACTTCCACCCCCACCTGGAAGTGACATGGCATCCCTCCCCGTCCTCAGTGGGATGGCATCATAGGAGGCCTAGCAGAGAGTCAGGGCCTCTGTCATTGTCCAGTGGCAATAAGGCTGCTCTCACCATGGTATCAGTGGATACCACATGAGGCACTAGAACCATCGCACCTGCCTAGCAGTGACAGGGAACACCCCACCTCAGGTGACAATGAAGGCCAGGTGGGGAACCTGCACTTCTACCTCTAACTGGAAGCACCAAGGTGGTGCACACCACATTCCCTCATCAGAGAAGTATCAGGAAAAGCCAGGTAAAACAAAAGGTTTAAATGAGATCCGTCCTCATAACATAATACCAGTATGTTCAGGTTTCAATAAAAAATCACTTGTCATACCAAGAAGCAGGAAGAGCTCAAAGTGAATATAGAAGGTAGTCAAGATATGGCAACACCAAGGTAACAGACATGTTAGAATTATCTCACAAAGACTTTAACGTGGTTATGCTAAAAGCTCTTCAATAAGCAATTACAAACCTGTTTGAAACAAAAATATTGAAAGCCTCCACAAAGAAACAGAAGATCAAAGCAAAGAAATAGAGGATATAACAATAGAAATATTTACAAACAAATTTTAGAACTGAAAATACAATAACCAAAAAAAAAAAAAAACAAAACCACACTGGATGTGCTCAACAGCATAATGGAGGGGACAGAAGATAGAATCAGTGAACTTGAAGATAGAACAATCAAATTATCCAATCTGAATAACAGAGGGAAAATAGATTAAAAGCCAAAAAAAAAACCACCCATAAATATAGCCTCAGGGAGATGTGGGAATATAACAAAAGATCTAAGCTTCATGTCATTGGATTTCTGGAAGGAGAGGAGAAAGGGCAGGACTGAAAAACGACTTGAATAAGTAATGGCAGAAAACCTGGCAAGAGACATAAACCTGCCTTTATGAGAAGCTGATCAAACCCTAAAGAGGATACACCTAAATAAATCTATATCAGACACATCCGAATTAGAGTTTTGAAAACTAAAGTTACAGGATTTTAAAATCTTGAAAGCAGCCACAGAAAGATGATACTTTAGCTACAGGGGAAAATACTTTAAATTACAGCAGATTTCTCTTCAGAAACTATGTAGTCCGTGTGGAGGTGGCACAATATTTTTCAAGTGATGAAAAGAATGAACTGTCCACCGGCATCTTATACTGAGCAAAAATATTTTTCAGGAATGAAGAGGAAATCATCTAGTTCTTAGATGAAGGAAAACTATGACAATTTGTTTCCAGCCGATCTATACCCAGAAAGGATAGCTAAAGAAAGTTTTCTAAACAGGAATGCAATGGTAGAAGAAGAAACCATGGAACATCAGGAAGAAAGAAAGAACATGGTAAGCAAAAATCTGAGCAAATGTAACAGGCTAACAGGCTTTCCTTTTACTCCAGAGCTTTATAAATTACATTTTGTGGTTGAAGTAGAAATGTAATACTGTTTGACGTGGTTCTAAATGTATGCAGAAGAAACATTTAAGACAATTATATTATTAATGGAAGAAGGTAAAAGGACATAAAAGAGGTAAGGTTTTTATAGTTTACAGAAACTGGTAAAGTTACAATTAGACTATGAAATGTTATGTGCATATAATGTAATATTTAGAGCAAACACTACAACGCCTATACAGAGATAACCCTAAAATTATCACACAAATATTAAAAAGGAATTCTAAAAACGTTTAAGTAACATAGGAAGTTAGGAAAGAAAACCCCGAGAAACTAAAAGCAGAGAGAACAAACACAAAAGAAAAAATAAAATGGCAGACTTAAGCACTGACATATCAATAATTAATTAAAAGACAGAAATTGTCAAAGTGGATTAAAATACATGACTTGATCTGCTGTTTATAAGAAATTCACAAACTACATGCAAGTTGAAAATAAAAGGTAGGAATAGGAGATCAACATTTTTAGCTTTCACATAGGAATGAGAACATGCAGTATTTATCTTTCTGTTCTTGTCTTATTTCACTTAACGTAATGTTCTCCAGCCTCATCCGTATTGCTGCAAATGACAGGATTTCATTATTTGCTATGGATGAATAGTATTCAATTTTCTATATCTACCACATTTTCTTTATCCATTTATCTTATTGATGGACACTTAGGTTGATTCCATGTCTTGGCTACTGTGAACAGTGCTGCAGTAAACATGCCAGTACAGATATCACTTCAACATATTGATTCGCTTTCCTTTGGATATACAGTTGACCCTTAAACAATGTGGGGGTTAAAGGTGCTAGCCGGTGTGCAATTGAAAGCTTACACATTAACTTCTGACTCCCCCCAAACTTAACGACTAATAGCCTATTGTTGACCAGAGCCTTACTGATAACATAAACAACTGACTAATACATATTTTTTGTTATATGTATTATATACAGTATTCTTACAATAAAGTAAGCTAGAGAAAAAATTTACTAAGAAAATCATAAGGAAGAAACATATATTTACTATTCATTAAGTAGAAATGGATCATCATAAAGGTTTTCACCCTTGCCTTTTCACATTGAGTAGATTGATTACGAGGAGGAAGAGGAGGGGTTGGTCGTACCGTCTCAAAGATGGCAGAGGTTGAAGAGGTGGAAGAGGTAGAAGGGGAGACAGGGAGGGCAGGCACACTTGGTGTAACCTTATGGAAATAACATCATCATTTTTGTCTGACTTTTTTTTTTTTTCATTTCTCTAAAAGTGTTTCTATACGATACTAATCCTGCTTTCATCATTAGGTTTCATTTCAGTGTCCATATCATAGAAGGGAGCACATTATAAAAGAAGTCAAAAGCGGTCGTGAATAATTGAAACCCTCCTGCCAGATCGGCTAATGTCAATTTGTTTTCTGGCACTGCCTCTTCTATGTCTTCTTCCACATCATCTGGTACTGATTCAAAAGCGCTCATCTCCATTAAGTTGTCTTCTCTTAATTCCTCTGCTGTGGTGTTTATTAGATCTTGAATATCTCTGAGATTCATGTCTTGAATCACTTCATGCCCCACCTTTTTGATATATTCACAATCTCTTTGATGATTTCCTTGGTCTACTCTGTTGTAAATCCTATGAAGCCACGCACAGCATCTGGACACAGTTACCTCCGGCAGGAATCTATTGTTTTCCACCTGATGGCTTCCGTTGCCTTTTCTGTAACAATGATGGCATCTTTACTGGTGTAATATTTTCAAACATTCATGACGTTCTCTTCCATAGAGTTGACAATCCTTTCCATAGACTACCAAGTGCGAATGAGCCTGATGACTCCCTGATCTAGAGGCTGAATTAGAGACATCGTGTTTGGTGGCAAGGAGGCCATTTTAGTGCCTTCATTGCTGAACTCGTGGGGTTCTGGGTGGCAGGGGGCATTGTAGAATATCAAAAGACTTTAAAGACAGTCCCTCAATGGCAATGTGTTTCTTGACTTCAGAGAAAAATCATCACTGGAACCACTTGAGAAAAAGTGTTCTTGTTGTCCAGGCCTTCTTGTTGTACAAACAAGAGACTGGCAACTAGTGTTTATATTTTTCCTTCAAGGTTTGGGAGTTAGTAGCTTTATAGATAAGGGCAGTCTTGATCATAAACCTGACTACATTTGCACAAAATGGTGGAGTTAGTTTATCCCTTCCCTGCTTTAAATCCTAGTGCTTACTAATAAATGTCCTTTGTGGCCTGCCCTGCAACCTCCCTCCACTAAATGGTGCACTTTTGTCTGCATTAAAAACTTGTTCAGGCAGATATTTTTTCTCTTTGATGATTTTCTTTTTCTTTCCTTTTTTGGAGCTGGGGTTTTGCTCTTGTTGCCCAGGCTGGAGTGCAATGGAGCAATCTTGGCTCACTACAACCTCCGCCTCCTGGGTTCCAGTGATTCTCCTGCCTCAGCCTCCCAAGTAGCCGGGATTACAGGTATGTGCCACCACACCCGGCTAGTTTTGTATTTTTAGTAGAGACAGGGTTTCTCCGTGTTGGTCAGGCTGGTCTCGAACTCCTGACCTCAGGTGATCCGCCCGCCTCAGCCTCCCAAAGTGCTGGGATTACAGGCGTGAGCCACCGCGCCCGGTCAAATCATGCAAATATTAATCGAAGGAAGGCAGAGTGGATATATTAATATAAGATAAGTTAGACTTTAGAGTACAATATGTTATAAGAGATAGAGAAGTACATTATTTAAAAAGATTAATCCCAAGTGTATATGCACCAGACAACAGAGCTGCAAAATATGTGAAGCAAGAACTAATATAACCAAAAAGAGAAATAGGCAAATCCGCAGTTACAGTTGGAAACTTCAACATTACTCTATCAAAAACTCTTAAAACAATAAGAAAATTAGCAAAGATATAGAAGAACTCAACACCACCATCAACCAACAGGATATAATCAACATTCATAGAACACTCCACTCAACAACAGCAGCTACACACTTTCTTAAATACGCATGGAACATATACCAAGATAGAATATCCTGGGCCACAAAACAAACTCAAATAATTTAGAAAGAATTAAAATTATACAGAGAATGCCCTTTAACCACAATGGAATAAAAGTAGAAGTCAAAAACAGGAAGATAACAGGAAATTCTCCAAAGACTTGGAAACTAAACCACACACTGCTAAATAATCTATGGGTCAAAGAAATTCTCCAGAGCCATGAAAGTAGACATTGAATTGAATGAACATGAAAATACAACATATCAAAATTTGTAGGACACAACTAACGTGGTGCTGAGGAAGACTTATAGTACCAAATTCAGACATTAGAAAAGGCTCAGATCAATACTCCCACCTGAAGAACCTAGAAAAAGAAAAAAGTAAACTGAAAGCAAGTACAAGAAAATAAATAATAAAGGCAAGAAGAGATAACTAGGAAATTAAAAACAGAAAATACAATAGAGAAAATCAATGAAAGAAAGAGATTATGCTTAGAAGAGATAGAAGGAAATTGCCAAAAAAATTGCAGAGAAAAAACGGAGAAGACACAATTATCAATATCAGGAATGAAACAAGAGATAGCATTACACATCCTACAAATATCAAAAGGGTAATAAGGGGGTGCTGGGAAAACTGGATATCCATATGCAAAGGAATAGAACTAGACCCCATCTCTCACCCTATACAAAAAATAAATCAAGATGGATTAAAGATCTGACATTATGAAACTATTACAAGAAAACACTGGGGAACCTCTCCAGAACATTAGCCTGGGCAAAGATTTCTTGGGTAATACCCCAAAAGCACAGGCAACCACAGCAAAAATGGACAAATGGGATCACATCAAGTTAATAAAGCTTCTGCACTGCAAAGGAAACAATTAACAAAGTAAAGAGACAACTCACACAACGAGAGAAAATGTTTGCAAACTATCCATCTGACAAGGGATTAATAACCAGAATATATAAAGAGCTCCAACAACTCAATAGGAAAATATTTAATAATATGACTTAAAATGGGCAAAATATTTCAATAGACATTTCCCAAAAGAAGACATACAAAAGGCAAACAGGTATATAAAAGTGTGCTCAACATCATTGATCATCAGAGAAATGCAAATCAAAACTACAATGAGATATCATCTCATCCCAGTCAAAGTGGCTTTTATACAAAAACCAGGCAATAACTAATGCTGGTGAGGATGTGGAGAAAAGGGAACTCTCATACACTGTTGGTGGATATGTAAATTAGTACAACCACTATGGAGAATAGTTTGGAGATTCCTCAAAAATTTAAAAATGGAACTATCATATGCTCTAGAAATTCCACTGCTAGGTATATACCCCAAAGAATGGAAATCAGTATATCAAAGAGATATTTGTACTCCCATGTTTATTGCAGTGCTATGCATGGTAGCCAAGACTTGGAATCAACCTAAATGTCCATTGACAGATAAATGGATAAATAAAATGTGATACATATATATAATGTAGTACTATTCATCCATAAGAAGGAATGAGATCCTGTAATTTGCCACAACGTGGATGGAACTGGAGGATATTATATTAGGTGAAATAAGCCAGATACGGAAAGACAAACTCCACATGTTCTCACTCATCTGTGAGAACCAAAAATTAAAACAATTGAACTCATGGAGGTAGAGAATAGAATGATGGCAACCAGGGGCTGGGGAAGGTAGTGGGGAGGTGGAGGAAGTGGGGATGTTAATAGGTGAAAAAATATAGTTAGACATAATGAGTAAGATCTAGTATTTGATAGCACAACAGGGTGACTATGGGCATCAATAATTTGTACATTTCGGAATGACTTAGAGAGTACAATTGGAATGTTCATAACACGAAGAAATGATGAATATTGGAGGTGACGGATACTCTGTTTACCCTGATGTATTACACATTGTATGCCTGTATCAAAATACCTCATGTGCCTTACAAATATATATACCTATTACATACCTATACAAATTAAAAATAAAAAAAATTTTCAAAAGACAGTAAACGAATGAGGCAAACAACTCTACACACAAAAATTTGGTAACATTAACTATCACAACACACCCAATATAAAATGGATAATTTGAGTAGCCTTATAATTGTTAAGATAATTGAGTTTATAATTTAAAAACTTCCAATAAAGGAAATCTCCAGGATCAGATTGTTTAGATAATTCTACCAAACATTTTTTAAAAATGGATACTTTGGCTAACTAACACCGCTGTAGATCTTTGAAAGAGAGCCACACAATCTCTTTCTGAAAATAAAAGAGTACAGGCCACTTACCAATTTATTTTATGAATCTAGTATTACACTGATATAAAACAAGGTAAACACAGTATCAAAAACCTACAGATTAATGTGTCTCATGAACATAGGTGCAAAAATCCTTAGTAAAACACTCGCATTCATATGTTGAAACCTAAACACTGATGTGGTATATTAGGAGGTGGGGCCTTTGACAGGTTATTAGCTCATTCAGGATCTACCCTCATGAATAGGATTAGTGCCCTTGTAAAGGAGACCCCAGAGAGCTGCCTTGCCTTTTCATCATATGACAGACACAGTGAGAAGGCACCATTTATGCACAAGGACGTAGGCCCTCACCAGACTTCAAATTTGCTGGGAACTTGAACTTGGACTTCCTAGCCTCCTAAACTGTGAGGAATAAGTTTCTGTTGTTTATACGCTAGCCAGTTTATGGTGTTATAGCAGCCCGAATAATCTAAGGCACCATGACTAAGTGGAATTTATTCCATGGATATAAGCTTGTTTGATATTTGAAATTAATCGACATAATCTACCATATTTGCAGACTTAAGAAGAAAAAACACATGACCATATTACTTAATGCAGAAAAAGTAATTGACAAAATTTAAGATCTGTTGATGATAGAAATTTTCAGAAAAATAGGAGTAGAGGCGAACTTCTTCAACTTGATAATGAGCATCTACAAAACAAACAAACAAACAAAAAACTAGAGCTAACATTACACTTAATGGTGAAAGACTGAGTGCTTTCTCCCTAATATCAGGAACAAGACAAAGATGTCTGTGCTCACTATTGTCATTCAACATAGTGCTGGCCATTCTAGCCAGTGAAATAAGGCAAGAAAAGGAAATAAAATGCATACAGTTCAGAAAAGAAGAAATAAAATGATTCCTATTTGCAGACAATGTAATTGCCTAGGTCGAAAATATCAAAGGGTCTGAAAGAAAAACACTAAAAGCCATAAAAATTTATTGTTATTTTGATATACTAACAATAAACACTGGAATTAATAATACAACACTCTTTACAGTTGCTTAAGAAATTAAAATACTTAGGTGTAAATTTAACAAAACATGTGTGGGACTGTGATGTGAAAACCACAGAACAATAATGAAAAAAATTAAAGAATATTTAAACTAATGGAAAGATGTACTGTGTTCAAGAATTAGAAGACTCAACATATTATAAATTTTAATTCTCTTCAAATTGATATACAAGCTTAAAGCAATTCTTATCAAAATTCCAGCAAGCTTTTTTTTAGATATGACAATAGGATTCTAAAATTTATATGGAAAGGTAAAGGAACTATAATAGCTAAAACAATTCTGTAAAAAATAAAATGTGTGAAGGTAAATACATGGACAAATATAAAAACCAGTATTAAAATAATTTTGTTTGTTACTCCACTTTTTATTTATTTTCTATAGGATTTAAAAGAAAAATGCATAAAATAATTATATATTTATGCTTTTGGGCACACAATGTTTAAAAAATGTAATTTGTTTGGGAGGTTGAGGCGGGTGGATCATTTTAGGTCAGGGGTTCAAGACCAGCCTGGCCAACATGGTGAAAGCCTATCTCTCCTAAAAATACAAAAATTAGCCAGGCATGGTGGTGCACTCCTGTAATCCCAGCTACTTGGGAGGCTGAGGCAGAAGCTTTGCTTGAATTGGGGAGGTGGAGGCTGCAGTTAGCTGAGATCGTGCCACTGCACTCCAGCCTGGGTGACAGACCAAGACTCTGTCTAAAAAAAAAAAAAAGATGTAATCTGTGACATCAATATCATAAAGAAGTGAGCAGAGCTTTACAGAAGTAGAGTTTCCATATGTAACTGTAGTTAAGTTGGTATTAATTAAAAATAGATCAGTGTAACTGTGAGATGCTATATGTAACCTCTGGCTAATCACAAATAACATATATAGAATATACACAAAGTATACACTATATACAAAAATTAACTCAAAGTAGGTCAAAGATTTAAATGTAAGAGCAAAACGATAGAACTCCTAGAAGAAAGCAGGCTAAAGCCATCATGACATAAGATTTGGTGAGGATTTCTTGGATCTGACACAAACAGCATGGGTAACAAAAGAGAAAAATAGATAATTTTGACTCAATCCAAATTAAAAACCTTTGTGCATCAAAGGACATTATTAAGAGAGTTAAAAAGCAACACACAGAGTGGGAGAAAATATTTGCAAATAATACATCTGTTAAGGGACTAATAGCCAGAACATATAATGAATTCATGTAACTCAACCACAACAACAAAACAAATCAACCCAATTCAAAAATGGGCCAGTATATTGAATAGACATTTTTCCAAAGAAGATACACAAATTTTCAATAAGCACATGAAAAGATGTTCAACATCACTAGTCATTAGGGAAATGAAAATCAAAATTATATTTAGATACCACTTCACACCCATTAGGATGGTTATTATATATATTTAAAACAGACAACCCCCAGAATGACAAGTGCTAGTGAGGAGATGGAGAAATTAGAACACTTGTGCCTTGCTGGTGGGGATGTAAAATGGTGCAGCTGCTGTGGAAAACTGTATGGTGGTTCCTCAAACATTTAAACATAAAATTACCATATGATCCAGCAATTCCACTTCTAGGTATATACTAAAAAAAAAATGACAGTAGGTACTCTAACAGATACTTGTACACCAATGTTCATAGCAGCATTATTCACAATAGCCAAAAGACGGAAACTATCCAATTGTTCATCAGTGTATAAATAGATAAACAAAATGTGGTACATGCATACAATAGATTATATTCTTTTTTTTTTTTTTTGAGACAGAATCTCAATCTATTTCCTAGGCTGGAGTGCAGTGGCACAATCTCGGCTCACTGCAACCTCTGCCTCCTGGGTTCGAGCGATCCTCTTGCCTCAGCCTCCCGAGTAGCTGGGATGACAGGTGTGTGCCACCATACCCGGCTAATTTTTGTATTTTTAGTAGAGGTGGGGTTTCACTATGTTGGCCAGACTGGTCTTGAACTCCTGACCTCAGGTGATCCGCCCACCTCGGTTTCCTAAAGTGCTGGGATTTCAGGTGTGAGCCACTGTGCCCAGCCAGATATTATTATTCATTCTTAAAAGAAATGAAATTCTTACACATGGCACAACATGGGTAAAGCTTGAGGACATTATGCTAAGTAAACCATACACGAAAGGACAAATATCATATTATTTCACTTATAAGAGGTACCTTAAGTAGACAAAATCAGAGACAAGAAAGTATAGAGGTTATCAGGAGCTGAAGGAATGAAATTACTTTTTGATGGGTATAGAGTTTCTGTTTGGGTTGTATGAAAGTGTTCTGGAAATGGACGTGATGATGGTTGTACAACCATCTGTGAATGTACTTAATGGCACTGAATTGTACTTTTAAGATGGTTAAAATTGTAAGTTTTATGTTATGTATATTTTACCATAATAAAAAGCAACATATTGGAAAAAATAACTCATTCATATAGTTCTTTATATGCTTTTGCACCCATTTTCTTTGATTTTCTGGGTTATAGCCCCTTGCCATCCACTTCTATATACCCTGGGTTTATCCTGTCATAACACTCGTGCCAGCGAGCTGTAGTGTTTGATTATATTGTCCTCTTCAATAGTCTGCAAGTTTTCAGAAGGCAGATTTTCTTTCTCTTGTTCACAGTTGTGTCCCAGGGTCTATTTTGGTGTCTAGCAAGCAGTAAATGCTCAAATACTTGTTGAAAGCATTAACTACTCACAGGTGTGTAAAACGATAGAAGACAAATGTCTTGTGACTCTAAGTCTAACCCTTATTTATTGGGACAATCCAACATTTTCTAATGATCTCTCTGCTTCTAGTACACTACTTCTGTCATTCGAGCTGTATCTGTCTACAGATATGAAAGGTAGATATGTCTTTATAGAAACAGCTTGTATGGGCATGTCGCTTTAAGGATTAATGGTAAGTTCCAGTACAGTCTTTGGAGGAGGTTTCTTCTTGTATACCTGACATTGCCTTTCCCTCATTACCTATAAAATTACCTATAGAAATAATAAGGCAGAGTCTCCTAGGCAAAAATGGAATTGAAAGATCAGTATAGGTCTATTCAGGAGTATTTTCTAGTTTAATCACCTATTATTATATTCTTCCTCGAAGGTTTCTTGTTATGCTGCAATGCAAAGAATGTCCAATGAATTATAGTCAAAACTTAAGTCAGTTCAATACCAGAAACATATGTGTTTCCAAATCATAGTTTTCAAATACATTATTTTTAAACATGTGTCTATTTTGGCATTTTGCAGGCTATAAAATGAAAATATAGCTGAGAAGCACAAAGAATTCTGGCCCAGGTCCCAGATGAGAGGGAAGGGTGGCTTGAGAGGTGAATGTATTTGTTGTGTGAACACAGAATGTTGTGGGCGAACTATTGGGAGAGGATGCATAGGTGGTGCTGTCTTGCTTATTCCCAGCAGAGGGTGCTTTCAGCCTGTGTGAAGCCTCCTGGGTCCTCCCAGCATTCTTCCATCCTTGAGGTTTTCTGTTCTTGTTATTACTTTTAAGTCTCAGCTTTGGTGGCCATAACCTTAGGGAAAAGCATTGAGATCTGAGGTTTGGCCAATGGTTCAAGGTTTATTGAGAAATGCTATGTTCACTTTATCAGGCTGGAGGAAGCTCTCTCTAGTTTTAACCAAAGGCCTGGGGACTGGAACTAAAATTAACAAAAAAGTTTGCAAGGCAAACAGCTCCACCTCTTCTCCCAGACCCAGATTCCTTTTCTCTTTGAACAGTTGGCTTTGAAATCACACCTAGTTTCTCCAGGTTGCAGAGAAATGTGGGAGCATGCGAGATTGTTTCAGTATGGCTGGCTTGGAGAACTGTGTGTCCCAGACTAAATTATCTGAGTGTGTGAGAGGATGACAGGTAAGAAAGACGGGGGAGTAATATATCTTTCATTTGACAGCAAGCTAAGGGACATCTTTGTAGCTCACGGGAGAACCCTGGGAAATGCCAGGCAGTCATGAATGCTAAAGCCTTTGGGATTCCTGCCAAGGAGAGGTGACCTACATGCTCCAGGCCATAACAATTTCACAGGCTACACCAAGAGTGACAGGTTGGCTTACGCTGGAGGTTTTACACTTTGTATGTTCGAAGGCACTGTTTCAGCCACCCTGCCCTCCCCAACACCCACTTTTGCAACCGTCTGCACCCCCAGAGACGTTTGAAGACAACTTTTAAACTTTCAGTGTTAGTATTCAACTACCCATGTGAATGCAAATGGGGAGGTTGTGGAAAGTCTGTGGTTTCCATCATAGACAGCTGCTGGGAGTGTTAAATCATGAATTTCTTGCTTTAAAAGGTCAAGTCTCTTATTAACAGCGGCTTGAATGGGAATCAGGCCTTTGGCTAAGCGCTGGGGATAAGAGGGGAAAAGGGACATTTGCTGAGTTCCTGAAATGTGCTAGGTGCTTGTTCTCCTCTGGCAACCACAGAGCCCAGTGACATCAGCACAATCATCTTTTACCATGTAGTGAACTTAAAGTTTAAGAACCCCATCCAAAGTCACAGTCAGGGTTAGGGCCAGAATTGGGCACATGTCTGTCTGTGAACAAATTTCTGATTCATTTCACCCATCGATACTGGGCTCCTTGGGATTTAAGGAGATCAAAATCTTTCCATATGTGTAGTGCAGTTTCCTTCCTAGGGAAAGGGCAGATTCGCTTGGGAAGCTGAAATGAAATTGCTATGGGGAAAAATGGTCTATGAGAAATAGGCGCACTTGGGTCATAGCTTCTTTCTAGGTATCAAGGCTGAAGCCTGGGCTTATTCCCCAGATTGCTTTTCTTGTGGGAAGGTACAGACTGGGCCAATATGGTCTCCGAGTCCTATTAACCTGAGCCCAATCTGCAAAATCTCTGCACCCCATACAGAAGGCTCTGGGTCTTCTGGGAAGAAAATTCTTTCTTGAAGAGTCTGATTGGAGCTTTATCGCAGCCCCTAGGAAGGAGGGTGCCTAGGGAAAAATAAGAAATCACTGGGTCTATAGAGCAAAACATGCTGTATTCAAGTGTGTTCTACTGAGTAGCTTTTCTTAGCACAGATTCTGGGAACATGACTTTGACGATGATGACAGTGGTCTGGGCTAAATGAGGTACACATGGAGTGGACTTGGGTTTGTTCACATGAAACTAGCTGATCTCCTGGGATGGAGTGAAGTGGGAACTGAAGAAAGCTGGGCAGGTGATGTGAGGGAGACAGAACCTAGGAGTTGGGAGAACTCCAGCTGGGAGGGGAGGCAGTTGGCCTCTGGGCAACCAGCAGTGGAGTTTCTCATTGTCTCTGAAGTCATTCATAGGGTCCCACCATGGGCCAAACTTCCTCAGTCATGGGACGAAGGCTTTCTAAGACCCTGTCCTTTTGCACAAAGAGAAGGTAAAAGTGTTCCTTCAGATATAATTCAGTTAAAGCCCCAGGTACAGTGGGGCTTGTAACCTTTTTGTCTTCTTGCCGTTACTCATCTGTTCTTCTCTCTTGGGGTGTTCTTCCCTACCTCCCATCATTGGGCAAGTCCCATTTATTTTCCAAGTCCCACTTGTCATCTCCCCTCTCATTCTTCCTCCTCACTGTCAAACGCAGGCACCCAAATAAAATTTTGGTAAGTCAAAGCTGAGTTTCTTGCATGCCATGGCGGAAGAACATGACACTGATGGAGTTCTTGTAGTGTCTTGGAGGGAGGAGGGCAAGGCCGGGCTAGTTCTGAGGCTGTGAAGTCTTGTTTGAGGTGGGCCTTTCAATGCAGAAGCTTGATTAGGATTGGGTAAAGATTGTGAGTGGTGGACACAGAAGGGGAGGGTTTTGGCAGGAAGTTTGGGAGTGATTTGGAGCATAAAACATCACTTGATGCTATCTATTGAAGTTGAGCAATTTTAAGTGGATTTTTAGGAATGTTCAGATAAAGACGTAAATCTTTTTCTTTCTGGACAAGGGTTTTTTGGAATGATAAAGTCATGTCAATGAAGACAGTGGAATAGCCAAACCACATGGCTATGTGGTTTTGGTTCTCACCAACTGTAGAAAAACATTTTCCTCCAAGACAGACCCAGCCATTTATTCAAATCCCACCACAGCACCCTTCAAGGAGGGCTGTAGCTCTGAGTCTCTCTACCTGCCCCTCATGTGGGTTCCTTGAAGGCAGGGACAGAGCTGGCAAACATTCAAATGTATAAACGTTGACAATGTTCTAGAATAAATGAAAGAAAACTTGTCCAAATGTGGCCCCTACACCAAACACAGGTTGCATTGCAGTTTACAGAGAAATCCTACCACAGAGGCTCAGTTCTACTGCTCCTGTCTTCTCTTCTACGGCCCTACCTCTTGCTCTCAATGACGGGAGAAAAATGTGATCAATACGGAGGGAAGAAAAAATACGAAACTACAATCCGTTGCATCTAGTCTTTAATCAGAAGTGTGGATATATATTTCTGACACGGGAAAAAGGTCAAAATCGGCATTTAAAAATGTGATGTAACTTAGATAACCTCCATGAAATGTTGGCAGCATGCCTTTTTCTTCTGGATCAGTACATGAATTTCAAGCCAGGTTACCTATCTGGCTACAATATTATGGCAGCTTCATTTTCTTGCTTAATCTTCCAGAATCAATCAGAATTCAGTGTCTGAGCTTTGCTACAGTAATTGCCTGGGAGGGAGCTGGGCCAAACTAATAAGGGTCACTTCATGATTTTTCTACTGGGCTCTCAGTGGTCACCAGGAAGAAAACTCAGCCGGGACCTAGAAGTCCTGCTTTATTTACCATGTCCGTTTTCAGACAACACTTGGGAGGCATCTTCCAGCTGTCTCTTACCTAACCATGAATCCACAGAGTATTGTAGTCTGCAGTTTTTCTACTAGAACAATCAGTGAAAGGATAAAAGAAGATAGGTTGGGGAGGGAGCTGAGGGCAAGATTACAGCAGAGCCAGATAATAAGAATGCCAATAACGCATTGTGATAGAATCACATTTGCATTACAGCCTTGTCAATAAAAGCTCTTCCCATCCTCACTGAAAAAATTAAAAGGCGACAACCAATTCACTCTTCCTATCAGTGACTTGTCCGGGTCTCTTCTCTCAGATGGGATCCAGTTGAGCAAATAGCAGGGGTGTATTTTAAGGATGCAGAGTCCTGAGAAAGGGAAGGGGGAAGCAGGCATATGGCCTCCACATTGGCCCACTCCTGGCCCAAAGAGCAGCTCAAGACTGAAGATGATGGCTGTTGAATAAAAGGGCAGAATTCGTGGCTAGGTGAGGATGAATGATAGCTTAGGAAAGGACAAAAGGGAGCTCCTGGTATTTAGTAATAGCTGAAAAGTAGCTAACTTTTACTAAGCCTATAGATAGTCTGTGTCATAGTCGCACGATGGAATATCACACAGACGTGAACATGAAAGAACACAGACCTTCCTGGCAACAAACTTGGAAGAAAAAAAGCAAGTCCTGGAAGACTAATGTTATAGTGTACCCCTTTATAAAGCCTAAAAACAACTGAAACTAAATAATATGTTGTTAGGCATATATTTTTATAAGAATAATGTGAAGAAATAGAAAATGATGAACATATCATTTAGAATAGCAGTTATGTCTTGGGAAAGGAAGGGAAAGGAGACGGTGAGGAGTGTGTAGGTTGATGGGTATTGGATGTTTTATGTACAAATATGTACATAAAAGAGACCATTGCATAGACAGTTGATAGAAGCATGTCATGGACCAAGGATCACCATTAATTTAAATTCTGCATACCTTAGACAAACACAGACACATACCCATAGATAACCATGAAACAAACACTGAACGAATCAGATGCGAAGCACTTACCGGCAGACTCGACTCAGCATTTTGTGTGTCAGCTCATTTATTCTTATGACCACTTTGTGAGGTTGGTAGTGTGATAAGTCCCATTTGACACATGAGACAATTAGGCACAAAGAGGTTGAATCGCTTGCCCAAGGTCACTCAGATATCAAGTGGGAGAGCCAGGGTTCAAATTGAGTCTGGCAGCCAAGCCATATTGTTCAGAATTCCTAGCTCAGTTCCTTCCTCAACCTTGACATGGCTCACTTCAGTCAGCATCTACCTCCTTAAAACCCAGCACTTGACACAACACAGGTCAGTATGTCGGTGTGTACATAGCACCTGTCATCTCCATTAGTCTGACAGTGCTGACCCATGGCCTGGCCCAGGGCAGTTGTGACAGGGGGTATTTGTGCAGAAATGACCACTGATCGACCAGACGTGAATGCCCACCCTCCCAATGAGTTGTCTGGCCATAGTCTGCTGGTTGTTCTGTGAAGTGGTCTGTGGTAAGAACTTGGCCCAGGAGTGGACAGAGCTAAGCTCATCAGACTTGAACTCCAGAATATGGATTGTGGAGTAGAGAGAAGATTGCTCAGCAGGTAGAGAAAGGAAACGGCATGCAGGGAAGAAGAGAGACGTCAGGAGAAATCACGCAGGCCCTGACATAGACCTGGTTTCTGGTGATATCATTTGTCCAGGGGCATAGAATATAGTCCTATCTGTGATTGTCTACATATGTGTATATACTACACTTGCCTAATACTTTATTCACCTTAGTAAACAGTGTAGAAAGACTAAGGGGAGTAATTATGAATGAGGTATGATAAATTCCATTTTCTACACAATACATGCAAAAAGATGGATGTAAATGCACTCTTTTTTCTTAAAAGAAAGGTTTCCTTTCAGCAACACTTCCTTGGGGCTGACTTAGAGGCCACAGAGAAGGGCCTCTGGAGAGCCCAAGTGAGAAACTAGCATGAGGCATAAAATTAAGTTGAAAACCTCCTTTGACATTTAAGAAAAGTCAACAACCATCTAAGTGATGAGAAAGACCAGAAATATAACTGGCTGAATGTCAATTTTAAAACTAGAAAGATAGCTGCTACTTTATCTCACCGAGCAGGTGTTTCTGAGCAGTAAATAACTCACGGATGGTCTATTAAACTTTAATGCTTGTGATAACAGCAAAGAGCATGTTGCCGCCCTCCTAAAAATACATATATATATATATATATATATATATATATATATAAAAACAAACAGCAATTTTCAACATTTATGCTTTGCACCATTTGCTTTTCACAGTTGTTTTACTGCATTATCTTTTGCTATTATCTTGGCCACAAGTCCCTTCTGTATGAAGTTGATTTGCAATCGTGGGCAGAACAACCTAATGTAATTAACTATCTGGCAAGTGTACAATGATCATTTCCACCTAAAAAAGATTCTCTCCTTGAATGAACACTCTCCAAATAAGGCACTGATTTCACTGCGTGTAAAACAGGGGATGAAATTTTAATTTAAAAAAAATTTTTTTTGGGTTGGAGGCTGGATGGGGGAGGCATGATTTCTCTGCTTTTTTTCATTTAGTTTAAACTCATCATCTTTGTGAGGTTTTTTATTGAAATAGTAATTACGGTACTTCAAAGTGACTTTTAAAAAATATCCAGAAGAGAAAAATGAAGCAACGTAATTGGAAAAAGGGTAGACATGAAGAGATGTGCAATTGGAATCAGCCAGATGAGAGTTATTACCTAATAATGAGGCTTTGCACTCCTATTACACTGCCTTTTGTATCTGAGCCTTTAAAAACCATGAGCTAATGAAGCTCTCTGCCTCCCCTGTGACTGAGGTCGTTGTTGTCACTGTCTGATGAATGGAGAAAATAAGGCACCAGGAACAGGTGAACTTGGCTTTTCTTCAGTTCAAGCCATTTATTAATGCCATGGTTTGGAATAAAATTCAGAAACCTCCACCCCAGGTTCTCCTGCTTATTTGTTTCCTTTTTCTAGAATGCCAAGGGTTCTTATTCCTTGCCCTGCACTATGAGGTCCCAAGGTGCAGAGCAAGTGCCACACAGCAGTGATAGGAGCTGTATTTACCAGCCCGTATCCAATGAGGCTCAATGGACCTAGCAGTCAGGGCCCAATCCTCTTATGGAAATGGGAAGGAGCAAAGGAGAGGGACAAAGCCACGTGTAAAAGCCAATTGTTTAATATTCAGGAGTTTGCCAGCCAGTTGTTAAACCCATGGTAGCTTGAAATCAGTCATAGTAGGAGTGTTTACACCACAGGTATCATCAGACACTACAAATCAGGGCTCCCCAATCACAAAGCACAGTCACCAGCATCCCACCGAGAGTGAGTAAAGAGAGCTGAGTGTTCCAGGGTGTCACATGAGTCCTCTAAAATGGTTTTGTATCCTTCATGAAAAGCAGTGTTTTGTAATCATTGAGCAGGTGATAATGAAATAGAGGGAGAGAGAAATGCCCTGGGAGTTTAGAAAGCTTTGGTTTATGCTGCAAGGGCCACTTAAATCTGAGGTTTGGACTACAATTAGGTGATTGTGGGAAAGTTGGTCATTGAAACCAAGAAGTGAGTCTTTCCTTTCCCTGGGTGTTTGGCCTTGTTTCTAGGTCCTCTTCTGTCTCCATTTAGTTCCCATTATTCAATCAGTAATTCATTCAGCAAGGTAGTGTTCATTTCTCCCTGAATAAGTACTTTTAAGTGGGAGGGCTGGGAGAAGAGGCCAAAATAATAAGCTAACACTTAATCTAACACTTTGCACAGACAATTTCTTATGCCCTTATGATTATTAACCTATTTAATCCTCAAACAACCTAATTAGGTGAATATTATTATTATCCTTATTTTATAGATAAGGAAACTTAGGCTCAGAAAGATTAATGTAATGTATCCCTAGGCTGGCAGTGCCTGGACAGGGCTTGTCTAATTAATATTTAAGCAATAACCTTCACATAGGCATCAGCCTGCTAACGAAGGCTATTCTGACATCTCCGTCAGATTCTGTAGAAGAGGAACACTGAATTAGAGTTCTGAAGACCTGTGTTCTAGTATTTTTTTTTTCTTTTTGCTACTTCCTTTTGCTCCTACAGACTGACTGTGTTTTCTCATGCAAATGAAGATAATATCTGCTTTGTTTTCTTTATATGTTTTGGTGAGACCTGAAGAGACATGTGTGGAAAGGCATTTTGGTTAATGGTGAATTGTTTTGCAAATATAAAATCAACCCTATTTTCTTTCTACTTGAATCATGCCTGCATCCCTTTTCTCTTACCCTCCCCTTTTCCCAATGGTCTCCATCAATCTAAGAGATTAATTTCTATTCCAAAGAAGGTGATCTTTTAAGTCATTTCCTTAAAACTTGCTGAGATCCTTGAACTGACATGCTGTATTTTGTAGAAATGCTGACTTGTCATACTGATGTCCATATTTATGCCTAATTTTTGGGAGAGGTCTCAGATCCTCAGAGCAAATACTGACTCATTACTTCTGCAGCTGTTTGGTTAGTGCACTCATACATGTGCACCCATGCACACATGCACATACACGCAGTGCCTTCATTTAAACTGATATGGGAAACGAGGGGATAGACATGACCAGCCATATGGAGAGTGACTCATGCGGCACTGATGGGAAAACTGCAAGTCATCACCTCCTCTGCTGCGCTGAGCTTGCCGCAGAGAGCAAGGTCACCTCAGCACATTCCATTGGTATCTACTGTGGCCCTGTCTCCCTCATTTCCTTTCTCTCCACCCACACACCCCTGCCTCCCTCTGCAGAGCATCATAGACCTTATCCCTCATCTCTCCAACCTGCTTCCAAAGTCTAAGCATCCACTTGTCCCTGAAGGAGAGCCAGGTTTCCACACTATGCTGCCTGACCTGCCACTGTGGCCATTACCAGACCTCTCTACAGGAAATGTGCCCCTCCCCACACCCAGGGCAGGCTGAGTCAGCAGGGGAAGGATGGCTGGAGTGGCAGAATCAGGTTCAGCAAGCACAACAGGCTTAGACCAGTGACAGCCTCACCTGGGCTCTTGGCTGTTGAGTTGTAGCCTTGGCTCTGCCTCTGATTTGACAAGTGATATAGGCTTAAAGAAGCTATGCCCAAAAGATACTCTTTCCAAGTCTGCTGCAAAGAGGGACATGTTGATTAAGTTAACATTTCCCCAGCACTCACTAAGTGCCAGGCACTCTTCTAGATAATTTACAAGCCCTTATTTAATCTTCCCATCAACCCATAAGGTAACTACTCTTATGACTCCCATTTTACAGAGGAGAAAGCTGAAAAGCAGATAGGATAAGAAACTTGTTCAAGGTCACAGCTTTAGTAAAACTGAAGAGTTGGGATTTCTACATTCTCAAACACTTCTTCCTTCTACCTTTCAAAAATGACTTTTTACATTATTTTCTCTCCAGATGATAACTAGAGGGTAGAATGTGGTAGGCAATTCCTAAGAGGACCCCATGATGTGCACCCCTTGGTGTTACTCTCTGTATAACTTTTCCCACTTCAGTGCAGGTAGAACCTATGATTTGCTTCTGGCAATAAAATATGGCAAATGTGATGAGATGTCATGACCATGATTTTGTTACATTATATGAGACTTGTCTTGGCAGACTAGAGTGAGAGAGACTCTCCTGCTGGCTGTGAAGAAGAAAACAGCCATGAACTGCCTATAGAGAAAGCCATTTGTTAGAGCACTTCTGGTGGACCTGAAGGCAGCCTCTAGCCAACAGCCAGTGGGAATTGGAGGTCTTTGGTCCTATGTCTGCAAGGAAGTAAACTCTGCCAACAACCTAAATGAACTTGGAATTAAATTCTTCCCCAGTCAAACCTCCAGATGAGGATGCAGCATGGCTGATACCTTGATCACAGCTGATGAGACCCTCAGCAGAGGACCCATCTAAGCCATGCTGAGATTCCTAAACTACATAAACTGTAAGATAATAACTACGTGCTGCAGTAAGCTGCTAAGTTTATGGTAATATGTTATGCAGCAATAGAAAATTAATACAGGTTAAAAAATTTGCTGAATATGATACCCTTAGTAAAATTAAAGAGCTGAGATTTGAATCCAGATGTGTCTGACATGAGTCCCCATTCTTAACCACTTATCTATTCTACCTCTTCCACCATTCTCTCCAACCTCTTCTGGCCACTGCTTCGTGGCAACCTTCTACCCTTGGTTGCTGAGCACCAATGATGTCTTATTTGTAGAGTTCACCTTGAAGGCATTGTCTCTGATGGTAGGATTTCGAAAGTACGAGGATCCAATTCACTATGTGTTAGAAATGACTCTAACACATGAATTAAAATAAGATCTACAAGCCTCTAGTCTATAACATTCTCCATTTTTTTTTTTTTTTTTTTTTTGAGAGAGAGTCTCGCTCTGTCGCCCAGGCTGGAGTGCAGTGGCGCGATCTCAGCTCACTGCGACCTCTGCCTCCCTGGTTCAAGTGATTCTTCTGTCTCAGCCTCCAGAGTAGCTGGGACTACAGGTGCATGCCATCACGCACGGTTAATTTTTGTATTTTTAGTAGAGATGGGGTTTCACCAACTTTCTCCATTTTATTCTTCTGTTTCCTTCAAATAGGAGCAAGGTCTTTGAATGAGAAGAAGGATGGAAGAAATATAAGATCAGTAACCACATTTGGTTGACTGGAGTTTGGCGCCCAAGTCACCACTATCTGAAGATGGAGGGAATGTCATTTTTGGAAAGGAGCACATTTCTGTGGCTGCTTTCTCCCTCCTCACTAAGCTTCAGAACTCCTATGGTGATTTAGCCTTGACGTTTTTAAAGTTATTTTTTAAGGTTTAATAATATATCAAGATAGATTTCCTAGGTCAGATGAGTAGCTGCCCCAGTCAAGGCTGGTCATGTTTACCAAGGCTCTGTGCACTGCACATAGACAAGGGAGTGGAAATATCCAGAGCTGCTGCCTAGCTGATCCCCGAAAGAGCAAGATTTTAGGAACTACGAGAAAGCTGAAATCAAAGGACAATGACCAATGGAACACTTTAGTAACTGCCAGAGATTTGTGTGTGCAGGCATATCAGTGACAAATGAGGCCACCAGAAATGTGCCATTTGCTGAATGGTCTATCAGAAAGCTGGTCAGAGGTGGCTCATAGTCATTATGGAAACCTCAGTTTATGGTGTCTCCAGAATGAGTTGTCTTTAGCTTCCCTATTATTTTGTATAATCCAAGCACCCAACTGATTCATCCATATTTTTGTTTTCTACCCTACTTCTTTTATTCTTTCTGCATGACCCTTGGCCAGTGAATTGTCCGAATGCAGCTAATCTTATCTGAAACCTGACTGGGAGGCATACTGATGTGCCCACAGCTCTAATCTGTTGGAATAAAACAGGCAAGATGTTTTTTTTTTTTTTTTTTGAGACAGAGTCTCACTGCATTGTCCAGGCTGGAGTGCAGTGGCGCGATCTCGGCTCACTGCAACCTCCACCTCCTGGGTTCAAGCGATTCTCTTCAGCCTCCTGAGTAGCTAGGATTACAGGTGTGCGCCACCACACCCAGCTAACTTTTATATTTTTAGAGATGGGGTTTCACCATGTTGGCCAGGCTGGTCTTGAACTCCTGACCTCAAGTGATCTACCTGCCTCAGCCTCCCAAAGTGCTGGGATTACAGGCATGAGCCACTGCGCCTGGCTGCAAGATCTTAATTCTATAGGTTTGCATATACTGTGTGCATGTATGTATGTGTGTATATACACACACATATATATACACTCACATGCACACATACACATACATGAATGTATATGTGTATGTGTGTGTGTGTATATATATGTATACTACAGGATTGGCTGCAAGCCTTTGATAACAAATAGAAAAATACTGTTTATATTCACATGGGGAAGGGCTTGACTATCAGAACTGAGCTCTTCACAACATAATTACAACTTACTGAGTGCTGTGGCTCTGGTGAACAATGAAGATATAATCAGTGTACCTATTTGTCCTCCTGGATTCCAGCTGCTGAAGCAATTTCTTTTTCACAGAACCGGCAGTTTTGCGGCTCTTGTGAAAATCCACCGTTTCTCCCCTGAAATCCTGTGAAATGGAGCTCGCCAGTGGAAGGACTGTGAAAGCAGCCTGGTTCTTGCATCATCTCCATGAAATTAGGCAGATCATATTTTCAGCACTGCTATCCTGATTGCATGTTTGTTTAAAATGACAGTTGATGTTGTGTATCTCTTTCATTAGGGAAGCTCAATGATCTTGACATTATTAACTAACTGCAGTACTTGCCGCATATAAACACTAATCCGTAGAGACATCTCAGATAGTACTTGAAGAAAAACAAGGCACTTTGAGTGTGAGGAACCAACAGAAGGATCTTGGCCATATGTAGAATTTGACAGGTGCATTATCAGCTATTCACAAGCAAGTCATTTTCCACGAGGCCTAAACACCAAGGTACGGAGGGCAGACGTCAGCGTCTGGGTTCAAGCACTTAATGGGGCCAGATGAGGTGAAGGGGAGACTGGGGACTCCTGGAGGAGGATGAAAGCCAGAGTAGAACCAATGGGCTTTCTTTTCTCTTGTTCTCTGAGCCCTGGCTGCACTAAGCACTGAATGCCAGGTAACAAGGCCGATAGAAACAGGAATTATCCCTTTGTCTTCTAGATGTTTTAATTGCACGGGCACACTGAAGTCCTGATTCCAAATGATCAGAATTTGGTGGGCTAGGACAGCAGTCTCCATCCTTTTTGGAACCAGGGACCGGTTTTCTGGAAGACAAGTTTTCCATGGATTTCGTTTGATTCTCATAAGGAGTGCACAACCTAGATCCCTCAGATGCGTAGTTCACAGTAGGGTTCACGCTCCCATGAGAATCTAATGCTGCTGCTGATCCGACAGGAGGCGGAGGTCAGGCGGTCATGCTCACTGGCCGGCCACTCATCTCCTGTTGTGCAGCCTGGTTCCTAACAGGCCACAGACCGGTAGGGCTTTGTGGCCTGGGGGCGTTGAGGACCCCTGGGCTAGGAGACCTGGATATGATTTTGGTGTTTTCTCATCCACTGTTTTTAGAGTCTGTGTGCCCTATTACCTCTTGTGGATACTGCCCCTTCAATAATAGGGAAGGGCTGGGTGGGAGGTGATAGGATGCTCCCACTCTACATCAAAGGACTTTCTGATGGTAGAGGATTCTGGTGACACTCACCTCTCTTCCTCAGTGAGACTCCTTTGTGGCTACTCCCTCCCGACCTGACCTTCCAGCCTGTCCCTCGCATGCTGCTCCTCTGAAAAGCCACTTTGCTGACAGTGAGGGTATTCCAGCGAGGCTCTGCTCCCACTCAGTCCTGCCTTTCCATCTTCTTGCTCTACTCCTTTCTAGCTGGTCCCATTTGTCCCTTCAGTTCCTGGGCTACACACTCCCCTCCCCCAACTCCACCTGCAGCACTTCCCCGAGAAGCCTACAAGCCTGCTGGATGCTTAAAAAGGGGATCCAACATTAGGTCTTTGCTGACCCCACGTGGTCCACTGTGGTTCCACGCTAGTCTGTTTCTGGCACAGACCTCCAATCCCCAATCTCATCGTGATTTTGGGAATGGAAAAAACAGTCACGTAATAATGACTCTTGTGAGAAGAAAGGGATAGGGTAAAGGAGTAAAATTATTTTTAGGTCTGTCAAAAAGAGGGAGCAATCTTTTTTGTTTGTTTGTTTGTTTTGGAGACAGGGTCTCTCTCTGTTGCCCAGGCCGGAGTGCAGTGGTGGACTCACTGCTCCCTGCAGCCTTGACCTTCCGGGATCACGGGATCCTCCCACCTCCCAGCCTCCTGAGTAGCTAGGGCTACAGGCACCTACCACCACGCCCAGCCATTTTTGTTTAATTTTTGTAGAGATAGGGTCTCACTATGTTGCACAGGCTGTCTTCGACTCTGGACTCGAGGGTTCCTCCCATCTTGGCCTTTCAGAGTGCTGAGATTACAGGAGTGAGCCACTGCACCTGGCAAGTGGGAGAAATCTTGATATCTTCAAAATAATTGCTTTTACCTCCCTTTTTTCCTTTTCCTCTTCCTCACGGATGTCATTAATTTTGCTTTGTTGTTCCTTCTCCAGAATGGGGAATGTGAAGGTGGAGTGGGTATTGTTGGCCAAACCAAGAATACACCACATAGGGGCAGCAGAGAGTTTATTATAGACGAATGAGCTAGAGACGGGGCGGATCTAAACATCATGACAGTGACCTCCACTGATGGCTTGAATGTACATGTTCCTGAACTGCTTAAAATACAAGTCCAACGTCAGCACAGTACTAGAAAGCTCAATTGCAGAAGGTTTGCATTGTATGATCAGTTCACCATGGAAATAGTAGTAAGCATCTCCATGTAAGAGGGTGACCATCTTTTCTGAGTTGTCTAAGGCAGTCTCAATTTGCTTCCGAGGTCCTAAGTTAATTATAAATAGCACCTCCCTTCAGTTTCAAATGTATTCAGATTTGGGTGATGGCGGACACACTCACCCTATGCACAAGTTCTCTGGTGTCTTTAACTGGCCTAAATTCCAGATGAGACCAGTTCTGGGAGTGGGAGGGGATGAGCAAGAGTCAACAAGAAAAATAACTTTTAAGATGGGTTTTGAAAGTGAGTTTGGCAATAAAAATGGTAAACAAACAACCCCCAAAAATATATAACCAAAGCAGAAGAGCGGAGATGGGAATGTGAGATAAACTAAGAGGTTCCAGAAAAGTTAAACATGGAAAGATCCCCAGATGTATCTGTGTCTGTAAGTGGGAAAGAAAACTTCGATAGGCTGCTGGCCTTGGATGGAAAGGGCATCATTATTGGCAGTAAGAGTTTGGATATGACAATTTATTAATCGAGAACTTTTGATCCTTCTTTTTAGACCCTTATCCATTGGGCTGTCTTCAGGGTTTTAATAGGTGGAAGATCAGCCTGGCCCTTTGCCAAGGGAAATGATAATGTATTCTTTTTGTTTTCCAAAGTGTTCATGTGGGAATTGTTAATTTCTGAAATATAAGAGTTGATCTGGTGTTTGATCACACAGGGGACACCCACCATCTGCCATAGGACCTTTGCCCTTCTGGAAAATTACTGAACCACAGTATATCAAAATGATACACAAACAAAAATCAATTGCTTGAGATTCCAACTCTGACCACAGAGTCAATAAGAATGACAAGGATAAATTTGTTCTTCCCTTAAATGCTCTTACAATACAAATAGAGTGAAACTCAAGTATGGAGACAGGTGTAGAGAAACACTTGAAGATTGGGGAAGGCAGAAGAAGTGGGAGAATCCAAAAGAGGATAATAGGGTCAAGGACAGAAAATAAATAGAACAAGAAAGTAGACATGAGGAAAACCACCAGAAAAAAGCCCTAAGTCCTCTTCTTTCTTGAAAATTGTATACGCTCTTGTTATTTTTCTGCAACTTTTTCATGTGTCTCAAGGGTAGAAAAGGAAGTAATGGCAACTGCAAATAGCTCTGTGGTGCTTGCCAGAAGCTGGGAGATGGGGAGATGATCGTCCTATAGAAAAGGGTGCAGAATCAGTGCATTTAGGCAAAGTAACGATGATGCTGCTAATGGTAAGAATGTAATGATAGCTAATTCTTCTTGAGCTCTTAAAATGTGTCAGGCATTTTCTGAAGTGCATGTTTTTTAATTCTTTAATTTTTATAACTACTGTTTAAGATAGGCTATATTACAATTTTTATTTTAAAAATGGAGAAACTAAGGCACAAAGCAGCCAAGTTAATTGCCCAAGTCACACGACCAGTAAATGTCAGATTTCAGATGTAAGGCAATTGATTAGAAATGGAGATGAAAGGAAGTTTTTGACTCTATCCAAGATTCAATGAACATAGTGAAAGACATTCAAGGAAAATTTCCAGAGGCTAAATATGAAACAAAATCACCTTAATTTCACATATTTATTCAAGAAAGAAAATCAAATGCCCATGGTTGAGGGTGAGATAAATGGGTTTGTAGATCTGTCTTCCAAGATATGTTTGTGGCTAATTCAGTCTATGCCTTAATACTCATTATTTATATATGTAATAACTAAACTTATTATATTATTATTGTAACCTTTTTATATGTATGCTTGCCTGATATTTTAGTGTGGAGGTTGGGGATGTGGAAGATAGGTCAGACACTAAGTAATATTTTATGAAACAAATGATCTGGAAAAGGTTTGTGAAAGATGACATAAGTGATGGGGACTCATAAGGAAAAGAATGTGTCTTACAGAATGAAGGACACTCACCCAAGATTTGGCAGCAAGATCATAGAGCAAAACGAGGGCATCAGATTACAGGGACATTTGCTGAAGTTAAGGGGATCACTCTTATCCTGATTTCTACTGCCTTTGTTTATCATGCATAAAGCAATTACGCGAACTTAAAGTATAATAATAAAAAAATAGTAATAAAGAAACTCTTCTCTCAAGGAGTTTATATTTTGGCTGGAAAGACTGGATCTACATAACAAGGTATTTGCTAATATTCAACCCAGGTAGATTGCAGCCTCCGCAACGGCAAAGACTGTATCAACTCGAATAAAAGGAAATCAGCTAAAAATGGCTCAGTCAAGAAGATATTTATCTCACAGAACAAGGATTTCAGAGACGGGGTGTGGTCACTTTGACTAATTCACTGGTTCAAAGTTATGCCCAAGCTGCAGGATTCACTTCTCTGTGATTGTCTTGGCTTTCCCCTCATGGTTGCAAGACCACTCCTGCTGTTCCAGAAGTCCCAGGTGGTGTCAATGTCTAGAGTCATAAAAGGAAATGCCTTTCCAGTTTTAAGAATAAGTGAGACCTTCCAAGAAGTCTCTCAACACATCAGTCATAGGCCAAAGTTGCCTCATGCACTCAGGACTAAACCAATAACTTGTAAAAAACAGTGGCAGGTAAAACTGCCAGCACCTTAGCATGAATCAAGGGAGTGGCATCCAGTTCTGCTGGTAGCCATCGTATTATTCACTGCCGCCTGCTCACAGTAAAGAACAATGCCAGTTTCACTTAAAAATGTCCTTGATGAAGCAATAAAAGTTACTAATTTCATTAAATCTTGGCCCATCAATACGTGTCTTTTTAATATACTATGTGACAAACTGGTAGGTACACCTAAGGCACTTCTGTTGCATTCTGAAGTATGATTGTTTCCTGGTCATCTTGAGGCAAAAATGCATGTGTGCTTACGTGAGTTATAAGCTGAAGTATTTAATGTTTCCACAGAACACCATTTTTACTTGAAAGAACAACAGAGAAACTATGATTATTCAGACGTGGGTATTTGGCAGACATTTTCCCAAAAATGAATGAAGTGAGTCACTTCAAGGAAAACAACCAACAGTGTTTGTTGACAATAATAAAATTTGAGTTTTCAAGTGAAAATTGGAATTTTGGAAAAATCAGTATCTGTGTCCGCTTGACAGTTTCTCAGTATTTAAAGATTTTTGTGATGAAATTAGTGGCAATGTTAACAAATGTAGTTTTTAAAATTTTGTCTCAGAGTAAACAAGTCAACATTTGGAAGATCTGAATAATTCAGTGAACCAATATTTTCCAAATGACCAAGGCATGCTGTTACAAAATCATGCATGAGTAAATGATTCATACAAAGAACAAGAGAAATAAATGGATTTTAGTGAAACATAATAGAAAAAGTTCATGGACTTGGTTTAAGATTCCACATTGCAACTAAGCTAAATTACCACTTGTCAAGTTTTGGAATATCAAAGAAGAATATCCACAATTAGCTAAAAAGGAAATATTCCTCTTTCTCTCTCTCTCTCTCTCTTTTTAATTGCATACCTGTATTATTAAAGATGAGATTTTCTTCCTATACTTCAACCCAAACAAGTATTGCAGCAGATTGAATGGAGAGGCAGTGATGGGATGCAGCTGTCTTCTATTAAGCCATGTTTAAGAGATTTACAAAGGTGCAGCCCAGTGCCACTCATCTAACCAAATCGTTTTGGAAGATGTAATTATTCTTCATTAAAAATGTATTATTTATGTTAACATGTACTGGGCTTATTATTGTTCGTTTAAAATGAATTTACAATTTTTTTTTAAATTCTGAATTTTGAATTCTAAAATGGTAAGTATAAATAGAAATAACCCATATAAACAAAAGGTCATTGAAGAGGGTATTCTGAAGAGTTGAAGTCCTGAGACCAAAAAGTTTGGGAATTGCTCGCTTAAAGAAACAAGATTCATGCCTGGGCCTGGGAGGAACCAGTCTGCCTTGAAGCAGATGGATACCTGATACCTGAATCCTGAACCAGTTAGGAATCCTGTCAGGAAGGAACAGGGGGAGGCTGGGTGGCCACTCAGTGTTTGTCACAGAGATCATTCGGTAAGAAATGGAAACTGGAAGTAAAAGCTACTCTTACAAGAGGGAAAACCATAGTGCCACTGAGGAAACAAGGCCCACAGATGTTGATGACCGTGACTTCTCCTTCTTTCCTCTCTTATTTTAGAAAAGAGAGACTCAATGCATTTAGGAGGCAAGGAGGGCAAGCACCAGTGGAGAAGACAGTATACAAAGTAGAGAAAACAAGGCCAAGCGCGGAGTCTCACCTATAGTCCCAGCACTTTGGGAGCCGAGGTGTAATGAATGCTTGGTGTAGATTAGGGACTACTGAAATGCTTGTTCTGTGAACCTCTGCTTCTAAGGACAGTTGTGACCTGGAGGTATTTTATACTGCTGGAGGAGCTCAGGGATGGGGCACACCTGGGGGGTCATGGAATGCACCTGCAGTCAGGTTCCACAGAGGCTGAAGGCCTGCTTTGCACAGTCTCACTGGGCTGTCATCCAGGGTGCCTTACCCACCTGCAGCCATCTTGCTCCTGTCTCTGACTCCTTAAGACTCTGTGTTTTCTCTCTTATTCCATCTCATGACCCCTAATCCAAACTGCCCTTAGCTTCAGCTTCTCTGGGCCACTGGCTATGAAAATTTAGCCCCTCATCTTGCTCCTAGTCTTACCCTTTCTTGCACACGCTGTTCTCTTGACCTGGAAGGGCCTCCCTTGGTTTCCCATCTGGCAAACACCTATTCATCTCTCAAGATCCAGCTCTAGACTTTCAAATTCTGTGATATTTTCCTGGGTTCTCTAGGAAGCATTAATTATTTCCTTCTCCCCACAGCTTTTTATTTGCGTCTTTGCTATAGCCATTCTTACAGGGGATCAGGCTTTGCTGGTTCCACACGTTACCCAGAGTATGCTTGGAGCTCCAGGGAGTAGAGGCTTCGCATTACTGTCAATGGACATGCAGCACCCGGAGAAGAAACAGCCTAAGGAATGTGTTTCACGAATGCTTGGGAATCAGTGAAAGAATGAGAGCAACATCTCAGGGCTGATTCTCTGAGCCATGTGTATAGGCAAGCCTTCATTCTCTACACAGTTCACCCCACTTACTCATTCTCCTTTCTTTTTCTCATTCTTCTTTGCCCTCAACCAGAAGCCTGAGCCTTTCATCTGGTGTTCAGGGAGCCCACTTCTCACCTAGGGCCCAGCGGCTGAATCATCATTACCAATTAGAATACATAGGTATTGTCATTTAGCATAAGTTTTCACAAGGCAGCGTCCTGTCCATACTAAGTAGTTATGCATGTGGGTACACTGGATGGAGGATGCTTTTCAAACAGTGAATTGATTAACCTATTAACTGGTATGTATTGAGTCCATGCAACGTGCCTGGTACTAGTGATGTGGGATTGAGGGAGGAAGAAGTTATATTTTTATGCAATTGTCACTATTTGGTGCTAACAAAATTACCTCTAAACTCAAGGAGTTTTTATATAGCTGGGGTTGCTTAATGGCCATATATTGCAAAAGTGGAGGCCAGGGAAAGGTGAACATAACCACCAGAGGATGACAGAAGGAGGGGCTGCTAGGAGGTTGGGGAGCAGAACTTGCCTTGGGTCCTGAAAGTGGGTAATAGTCGTATGCTGGAGAATAACACACCCAAACACTGGAGGACACAGCGAGCTCCGTGTGTGGGGCCAACTGGCAAGAGCCTGGTGGAGACCTTGTGCCTGTAGGGAAACAAAGCCACCTGGAGGGGCAGGGGCCAGATCCTAGGGGCAGTTAAGAGTAAGCCTTACCTTACCTTCTTGCTTTGGCTGTTGTAGATTCAGGACAAGCTGGGAATTCCACAGAGTTGTGCTTTGTGGAGATTAGGCTAGCACTGTTCTAGACCTGTGTGGGAAGCCCTTTTTCTTGATAAGTTTTCCTTTTAAGGTTTTTCGTTTTCATCCAAGGATACTAATTAGCAATGAAGGCATGTTAGATTAAGTAATTTCCTCGAAAGGATATTTCCTTTAAAGATTACCTAGTCTCACATAAAGAGAGGTCAAGAATAAGCTCCTCGCTGTGTTTACAATTTTGATAGTATCTTCTGAGGCATGCTCCAGCTCTGCTCGGGGCCTCAAAATGCATTCCTAGCGCTCTCATCTTGAGGCAGGTGTCTTGGTGCTGGGCATCTCAAGCCGGAGGCCTCTGCAGATACTGTTTCCTGAGTAGGGCTCTGATCTGGAGGCTCGTAGCATCTCAGAAGTTCCTCATGCCCAATGTCTGTGAAAATACAAGAAAGCCTTTTACCTAGCCTTTTTTTTTTTTTTTTTTTTTTTTTTTTTTGCTGTCGAGGGATTTTTACATTTAGCTCAATGACTGGAGGTGACACAGCTCCAACAATGGTCTGCAGTGGGTTGTCTGAGACCACTGGGATACACTTATGGATCTATAAAACAAACAACAAACAAACAATAAACACTTGTATCACAGCAGAGGGTGGCACTATGTTGAAAATCCTTAAATAAACTCAGACCATGTTCTAAACTGACTTCATAGTGCATAATGGACTCTCCCATCTAACTTTGTTTTTACGTGAAAACCCATTTTGGATTGCAAGTCAAGGGCTCAGGTGTGCATTTTTCTCTAGTGCAACTGTGAGAAAGGGAAGGGATCTTCTTCACCTTTGCTCTTTGCCTTGAAGAACAAACAGGCTGCTTACAGCCCTGGCAGTGGGACTTGGGAGTCTGGTGACCAGGGACAGCTCAGGTTTACGTCTGCTGTCCCGTGTACCCACGACTGGAGCTTCCAGGGACAGCTCAGGTTTAAGCCCACTGTCCTGTGTACCCACAACTAGAGCCTTCTTTCATTTTCAGAAGTTCCCGATTTGGACAATACATTGAAATACGCAAAACAGCTGATCACCGGAATGACCCTGCTTATGAGGCCTTGAGCGCTACAGCAGGGAAGGAAGGAGGTGGCGGGAAGGAGGAGGGACGTGGGGATTTGAGTATGTCTGTAGGGGTGGCGTGCGGGGGGTGCACAATCTGCCTGTGGCAAGCCCCTGACATCTCCCGGGACAACACCAGCCGGGAAACATTTCTAAAGAAGGTCTCGGCAGCGAGGAATGATGTAAGGGCTGATTTCTACTTAGGAAAAGTGTCCAAAGAGAACAAGAGGAAGGGAAAAAATGAGAAACCCTGAGAAGGGTCTTAAAGAGTCTGCTCCTCTCCTGTCACCGACTCTTCCTCCTTCTGGTATAAGAGGCACTGTGTTTTATTTACTGAAAATTCTGATGAATGCGAGAAGGAATAGAATTCAGCCAGATTCTCAGGGCTACTGGGTGGTGGGCGGGCACCTCTCAGCCTGGGCAGGCGCTGATTCCTGCAGAACAAAAAATGGCTGTGAAATGCCCACTTGGGAAGGGGTGGCAGAGCCTCCTCAGCCACAGCACCTACTCCTGGGGCTTAGTCCAAGGCAGAACAATCCTATCCATGCTGCCAGTGGTTCCCCTGCTGTCAACAGGGGTTATCATATCAATAAACCCACAAATAATTGCCTCCACCAACTACTCAATTTCCCAGAGAAGCTAATCCCTGAGGAGGAGAAAAGAAAGAGCTAATGAACCACATCATCAGAAGGCAAAGCAGAAGGAAAATCTCTCCTGGAAAAGTCAAGGCAGCACAGGCTTCTCCGTGAGATGATAACGCAACTGCGTGTGTGACTGGGACAGACTCGTAGCTGCAAAGTAGACCGAGGAGGCCGGGAATCAAGGGGTGGCGGGAGAAGGAAAGAGAATCAGCTTTTTGCCCTGTGCGCCTCATGAAATGAATGATCAAAAGTAAATTACAGACTTGCAAATGGGTGGTTAACGACTGAGACAATATGAGTGCAGGGAGAAGCTCATCAGAACACACTGGGCAAGAGCAGGGGAGCGGAGTGCTGAATACAAATGCTTGCCGCAAAACCGAGCATCAGCGCACACGGCCCCCAGCGGAGGGACGGGTCATTCCCCACACCTGTCAGGGGCGAGGGGAGAACGTGCTTGTGGAGCCTTCTTTCAAAGGAGGGGTAGAGGAAGAGACTGCATGGAGAGAAAGAACAGCGGAGAGGAAAAACACCAATGTCACGGAGCCCCCAGCTCCCTGGGAAGCTGATGAGACCAGCCCTTTCTTCCCTAGACAGTGGGGTGGGACATCACTGGCAGCTGGACAGGAATGGAGAGCTATTTGTAGCTGGGGTGGTGGGTGGGTAGGAGAGGCTGAGGGAGATAGGTGAATTCTTTGTAGCAATTCACTGGTTCTGGACCCATGGCTGCTCTGAGTTGTAGAAGTCATTGAAAGGAGTGAGGCTGGGGTCGGGGAGCTCCAGAGTCACATAGGATCCTGGTGAAGCCCTGTCAGCTGCTTAGTCCTTCAGCTGCTGCTCATGCCCTGGGAATTTCAATGAAAGCTGGAGAGCTCAAATGTGGGGAGTGTTTTACTGGGAAGGAAGGTGCCAAGGCAGAGCCATGCTACCATAGAGGAATGCGGGCCATATGTATTTCTAGGGGTGAGCACCCATGTAGCAACCTCTCCACTACTTTGTGACAGAATGAGGGATTTAGTGAACCATTAGAGCTGGCTTCTCCAAAGACCAATCCTACTGCATACTACAGAGCTCTATGCATTCTGTGGACCGTGGTTAATCATGAAATGCGTACGTTTGAACCCTTACGATGTACCAGGTACTCTGCTAGGTGCCAAGGGTACACAAACGGTTCTAATTTGTCCCTGCATTTAGGAAGCTTCCAGTACAGTAGGGAAGATGGATATACAAATAATTCAGGAATAATTGCATTATAACAGAAGAATTGCAACATGCAGTTCTTTTCCCAGAGGAGAAAAGGACAGCTAACGCTGAGCACCGTGGGAAGCGTTACAGAGGAGGTGGCGTAAGATCCGGGTCTTAAAGTGCCAGATGAGGGTGTGGGGCGAGGGTGGCAGCAGAGGACAGAGTGTACACAGGCACAGAGTTGGGGAAAGAACATGAGGTGCTTAGAGAATGGCAAGCAGTGTAATGTGGCTTGAGAGTAGGAGATGAGTGTAGGGGTGAATCCGGAAACTTAGACTGAGGATAGATTGGAGAAGGTCTGTAAGTCATTCCAGAGAGACTGGACCACCTAAAGTTCCTAAGTAGGGGAAGGGCATGCTGCTGTCTGTGTTTGAAAGTCCTCCCTAGCCATGGGGGATTCACACACACAGAGATGCCTGGGGACATTGGTCCTTCGGCAATTGGGTACATCGGCTGTGCCAGGTGCCTACCTGTGTATGGATAGGGACATGTGCAGGAGGAGCAGCATGGGAAGAGTAGATTGGCAGGGAGAGGCTAGCCATGGGTACAGATGTCTCATTCTACATGAGGGAGAGCCACCTACCCCATGCAGGCTAGAGCCAGCCACACATTAGGCTCTTTCCTGAAGAGCACCTGCTCTTCGGGCTTAACTGGTAAATGCCAATACAAAGGGTGTAGGAATGCAGAGCAAAAGAGAGCTATAGGCAAGTCAAAGCAGTCACGTTGGCATCTGCCCATAAATTGCCTTAAGAATCAGGAAATCAAGAAGCTTTCCAATAGGTCTGAATTTCTGATAAATTAGCCAAGACAACTAAGATGGTCTCTTTGCTCCTCTTATCACTTAGGCATGACATTTGCCCTGATTTAATTTTCATGTGTTGACATTTGCAAAGGATGTTGGGACTGGAATCCTTTTGCTCTCCTGGCATGCTACTATTTAATTGAATCCCATTGATCCTGTAGGTCACGGTTTAAGTGTCACTTCCTCAGAAGAACCTTTCTCAGCTCCACAGGCTGGCTCTGGCTCTCTCGTTTTGTGTCTCTCCTATCTCTTCAGCAATGGTCTGTTTTAGATCCTTTATTATTGTTTTCCCCTCTAATTTCTACTTCAAAACACATCCACCCAATGATGCATTCTCCCAAGGCTTAGGAGCTGGCTAAACGACTGACTGAAGCCGGAAATACACAGATGAAAAATGTAATGTTAGGACTGCCCTTGGCTAAGTGTGTTGCTTAAGTGAAAGGGGGTGGTTAATACTTTGGATTTCAGGCATTTGTCATTAACTTATGAGAGGTCCTTATTCCCCAGTGGAAAGGGCCACCCAATGCAAAGGGAAAGAATGGGAACATATTTGACTTGGTGGATCTTCTCCATCATCTCTCAAATTCCACAGTATTACTATATGTCCCCAAGAGACCCTCGTATTTCTGATAGCTCTATCACTTCCAAGGCATTGGCTGGAACATATGGCTCCATCCCAAATGAACAGCTACAACCGTTGCTTGCCAGCTTCATTCTCCACTCCTTCCTTTTAAAGATGAGTGTGTTAGGAGCAGCAAAATATCCAGTTATGTCTCCTAGCTTCCTTTGTACCTGGAGGTAGACATGTAACACATTTATGGCCCATAAGATGTCAGTGGAAGTCATTCTGCAAGGCTTTTGAAAAGGTTTAAGGAAAACTGTTTAAGGGAACTAGACTCAGCTGGCACATGTACCTTTTCCACTTCCCACATGCTGGAACTAGGATGTGGTGACTGGAGCTGGAGCAGCAATCTTGCAACCATGCGGCAAACACCAAGTGAATTCCAGCAACCTTTGCTTTGACACTTTTGAGCCAGTAAATCAATGTTAGCAACTGGCCACATCTGGATTTCTCATTAAGTGAGAAAAATTAACACCAATCTTGTGTAAACCACCATATTTTGGAGTTTTCTGTTACATGTAGTAAAACTGAGTCCTGAGCTGATGCACCCATCCATCCATTATGGTTTGCAAATTATCTTAGTGAGTGAGTCAGTCAATGTTTGTTGAGTGCCTACTATGTATGGCACTGGGTTGGGCCCTAGGAGACATCTCTTTCTCAAATTATATGAACACCAATAAACAAGTGCATTTGCCTTATGTGGGTCTACAGGACCCTGCTAGACCAAGCTCCTGCCTCCCTCTCTCATACCATACTTCATTTCCTGCCATTTTCTCCTCTTTTCCTGCAACGAGCTCTAGTCCCACTGGTCAAATCTGTGGAGCACAGTTTTTCTGGGGTCAGGGCTTTTGGGCTTATTATTCTTTCTGCTTGGATGTGCCTCCCTTCCTCTCCCTCTCTCACCCAGCTCTCTGCAGGGCTTCTCAAGACTTCCATAAATGCCACCACCTAACCTTGACTGTACATCCAAAGCAAGCCCTTTCCTCTTTTCCCTATAATTTTGGATCTCAACACTATAAAAAAAAACCATTCACAGCACAATCACAATTTGAAACTGTTTTATTAATTTTTGGTCTACATGTTTTGTTTTGTTTTACATGTTTGTCTCTCTCTCTCTCTATGTCCCGTCACCCCACCTCCACCTCATCTGAAGGCTATAGACTCTGCAAGAGCAGGACCATTTCTGTATCACCCAGCATTTTATTCTCATGGCACCTGCATAGCATCTTATGTGCTGCCAACATAAAGGGTGTGATATAGTTTGGCTGTGTCCCACCCAAATCTCATCTTGAATTGTAGTTCCCATAATCCCCACACGTCATGGGAGGGACCCGGTGGGAGGTAATTGACTCATGGGGGCGGTTACTCCCTTGCTGCTGTTCTCCTAATAGTGTCTGAGTTCTCAGGAGATTTGATGGTTTTATAAGGGGCTCTTCCCCCTTTTGCTTGGCACGTCTTCTTGCTGCCGCCATGTGAAGAAGGACTTGTTTGCTTCCCCTTCCACCATGATCGTAAGTTTCCTGAGGCCTCCCCAGCCACTCAGAAATGTGAGTCAATTAAACCTCTTTTGTTTATAAATTACCCAGTCTTGGGTATGTCTTTATTAGCAGCGTGAGAATGAACTAGTACAGGGTGCTCAGTAAGGACAGTCCATCCTCTTTATTCATGGA
The DNA here is from genome assembly GCF_000001405.40 of Homo sapiens. Taxonomy (NCBI): domain Eukaryota; kingdom Metazoa; phylum Chordata; class Mammalia; order Primates; family Hominidae; genus Homo; species Homo sapiens. The sequence continues at coordinate 131,050,845 of NC_000011.10, forward strand.
TTTGTATTTGCAAATTTACCTACTCGCTAACATTTATTTGTAACCCCCAAAATTGATACCCGTAGTGATTTTGCAGTTTTTCACACATATATTCAGAGCTGTGAAAAATTTGAGTCACCCAACGTGCAAGTTCCCAACTGAGGTGGAACAAGGCGATGCTCTGCCGTCTTGTTTCAGCTCTCAAACAAGTGTCCTTTTCTCAGTCTTTTTAGTGTTATGTTTTTCGCATTTGTGAGCTTTTCCATGGTGATTTTGTTGTTTAAAATAGTCCCCAAGCATAGCGCTGAAGTGCTGTCTAGTGATCCTATATGCAAAAGGGCTGAGATGTGCCTTAGGGACAAATACCCGTGTTAGATAAGCTTTGCCCAGGCATACATTACAGCATTACTGGCCGTGAGTTCAGTGTTAATGAATCAGCAATATATATTAAATAAGGTGTCTCTAAACAGAAACATACACAAAACAAGGTGACGTATTGATCCATTGACAAAAATGTACCCAAAGGCTTGCAGGAACCTAACCCGCTGCTTCCCCCTAGGAGCAAGGCTCCAGTGTTTGTTAGTTCAGTGTTCATGGTGACTTGACAGAACTACAGCACATAAGAATTAACTGTATTTGTTGATGAATGTTAAAGTTCGTGCAGGGCACCCTGGGGGCACAGAGGAGGGAATGGGCATCCCCAGCATGCCAGCCAATGCACAGCCTGGCTGTGTTCTCTACTCTTGATCTGGCTGATATTGCTGTTGTTTATTAGTTGTTGCAGGTGGAGGGACATTTCCCTAATTCTCTTGGCACCTTCCTGCAGAAAGACTGCAGTGAGTGCCCAAGAATCCACAAGGTGCCCCGAGGTGGTGATGTTTTTGGAAAGGAAATTAAGAGCCAGCACCTCTCCATGCCTCCCTGTGTCAGACGATTACAGAGAAGAAGAATGACAAGAGAAAATGAAAAGGAAATGGGCTGACAGCCTGCAGAGTGGTATTTCAACTCCAACACAAAACATTCCCTAGTAATTGTAGAATAACCTTCATTTAAATGCAAATCAGCCTGTAATTAAGATAAGGGACCTACCATTTGCCAGCATTTTTTTGTTGTTTCTTTTTATTTTTTAAATTTTTGGGGTGACAATTATGGTTTCTCAGTCATTCTTCTGTTTTATTGATGAGCAGTCATTATGTTTATGGATTGTGTTGTGAGTGCAATATTTGGATAACTGCAGAACAGAAATTAGTGTCACTTACTTTCAGCTGCCCCCAGCAAAAGAAAAAAAATGTGCACAGCCCGTGATGTTGACATAAGCAAAACTTCCTAAGTGGCATGGCCCTGGACGACATCAAATAATGTGCCGTCCCAGATCACCAGGAGCCTGAGACAAATGCGCTGAGTCCAGAATTACTGGGGGAAACAAACAGCTTTCCTGATGACTTCTAGCAGAGTCGCTGAGCCCTTGCAAAACACCTGCAGTTGAACCAAGCGCTTTTCCTTGGTAGAAAATGGGCAGAATAAAGATACCATTTTTAGACATCGCAATAGGATCCCCAGAAGGAAAAGATGATGACATGACTGTGGTCTGCATGTTAGTTTGTGACACAGGAAGGTAACCTCTTTTGCTAGGTTAACACTGATCACCTCACTGTCAGCTTCTGTTAACTGTGGTTGACTTGTACTCTGGATTAGAGAAAGTCAGATCCCTGGGTTGGACTAAACACAAAAGGGCTATTTGCAAGGTAAGCATTAATTCATTCAATAAATATACGTATATGTACACACACACACACACACGTATTCACATCTATCTTTATCTATCTATGTAATCTATCTGATCTCTCCCCCTCTCTCTCTCTGTCTCTGAGCATCAACAAGTGCCAGAACTGTTCTAGATGCTTGGGTATATAGCAGTGACTCCTTTTTAGGCATAAACCTGAAACAAACCCATACAGCACATGCTGCAGACCTCTTCCACACCTGGCTGTGATTCCAGGAACCTCACCCTGAGGCCTGGTCCGGCCACCTCTACCAGTCCCCGCTGCCGCTACCAGTCCCTTTTCTGAACTTATTGACATAGCTTGGAATGGAAGCCTCCTTTTCAGCCAGAAAGCATTGAAAACAGGGGGTTTCAGAGCAGCTGAAAGGTACAGCAAGTTCAGTGTGTTCTTTTAATTAGCAAGGGGATTGCATTAATAGTTCATTAGCCATCACTTAATTAAAAAAACATTTTTCCCTTTAAGGCCACACACGGTGGCTCACGCCTGTAATCCCAGCAGTTTGGGAGGTCGAGGCGGGTGGATCATGAGGTCAGGAGATCGAGACCATCCTGTCTAACACGGTGAAACCCCGTCTCTACTAAAAATACAAAAAATTAGCCGGGCGTGGTGGCGGGCGCCTGTAGTCCCAGCTGCTCCGGAGGCTGAGGCAGGAGAATGGCGTGAACCCGGGAGGCGGAGCTTGCAGTGAGCCGAGATCGCGCCACTGCACTCCAGCCTGGGGGACAGAGCGAGACTCCATCTCAAAAAAAAAAAAACAACAACAAAACAACAACAACAACAACAAAACCTTTTCCCCCTTAAAATGTACAGAACTCAAACTAGGACTTCCCAAGGCATTGTTCTTTTCCATTGGTTTGTTAGGCCGTCTGTGTGCCATCCTACATCCTTCAGGAGAAAGGCAGCTACCTCCTTGGTTTTTTTGTTTGTTTTGTGTTTTTAATGAAAAAAGCTCTGAAAGGATACAATATATGTCTGGGATTCTTTGCTGAATTGGAGAGTTTGGGACAATTAGCTGGGTAAAGAGAGGACAGACGAATTCAGATGGCAAATCTGACAAGCCTGACACTCCTCCCACGGGGTTGTCACCCCCCATCCTACCTTGTCCTCTGCCACCTTCCCTCAATACCAAGAGGATTTCACAAAAAAAAAATCATGCATTTTAAATGAACACACCTTGCCTGAAACGTGGTTCCATAGCTTTCCTTGGACTCTTTATCTCTATTAAGTGTTATCTGTTTATCTGGCTATAAATGTTTCCTAGGGAACCTCAGATGCCCTTGATAGGGTTCACACACTGCTACCGAAGACTGAAATGTGTTTGATGGATTAACTGGGGAACTTACAAAACTTTAATGTCTTTTTTTTAAGTGTCTAACTTTGTATCCTCTGGGGTGATTGTTAACTTTAAAAGCCATTTCAAGGTTCAATAAAACTAATGGAGGTGAGATGGGCTGAGTAGAGCATTCTGATTCCTGTTCTCACCATTCTTTATCATCCACACGATGAGCTTGCTAGCAACTCTGCAGTCTCCATGCATAATGTAAACTCATCCTTCATTTTTACTCAAATGACACCTCCTCCGTGGAGCCTTCTCTAAGATCCCCTGAGAATACTAGAATTAATTAGATGTTCTGTAAGAATAAGACATCATTCCCCCACCACCCGATGCTATTTGAATACTCCATATTTCTTGGGGTAGAAAATGGATCTTAAAATTGTTGAAATTTATTATTTGGGGAATCATATGCTGCTTCTACATTCTAAGGAGAAAGCTCAGATTTGTTCTGTGCCATTCCTTTGTCCTAGAAAGGGTCACCTTTTTAAGCATTGCTTTTATGCAGCTTTGAGGCAGATAGCACCCATCATTTTTAAGAATTCTTAAACTTAGGGGAAATAATCTAAATTCAGATACTTCAGACTTATGTGTTAGATATTCTGTTTAATAATTAAATAAGGCTGTCTTCATATATATATTTGGAGAGGATGTCATGAAGTTAGCAAGATTTTTATTCCTCTGCTTGTGGCCAGAGAGTTGGGATGAGTTACCTGAATAAGAGGGAAGGAAAACAACTGGAAATGGCTCCTGTCCTGGTGGTCAGTGAGCCCGGGTTACCCCGCAAGACGTTGAAAAATAGGGATGACTATTTGGGCCCCTTTGGAGAGACTGGCCACTGTATTCTGGGAAAGTTGCTTATCATAGTGTAATTTTAATTTCCCCTTTAATTCTTGTAGCTTCTTTTCCCCTAAACTTCAGTCAAGTCTTAAAAATATTACAGTTCTGTATTAGCTGTGCTTAGAGCCATAAATGGAGATATTTATATCAGCACTTTGAGGGAAAGAACACAGAGGAGCGTCAAAGCAGTGTTGATAGCATCTATGAGAAATCTGAGGTAATGGACAGAGAAACCTGAAGCAATGACTTGGAGAAAAAGCTGCTGAACGGCAATGAAGATGGATTTGTGCAAGGTTTCAGTACTCCTGCTTGAGGAAGGGACTAGACTGCTTGCAGTTATGTAGATGAGGGCTCAGTACAATAATTTGGTTCTATAATTTATATCCACATGAGTGATAAGCCCCACCTGCCTTTGGAGTCTGGGGAGAGAATTTACTCATACTCATTCTTTCTGTTTTCTGGCTTCTAACCAGTTAAGTGTGGATCCAAGGATCCTCATGAAGATAGAAATACAGCATTTGCTTTATTACTGACAAATCTAGTTTGGAGTATACAGGAGAATTCTGTTCTTTTAAACCTTGGAACCTGCAGGATTCTGGCAAGGACTATTAAGTTGCAGCAGGATGAAGTAGAAATGAATATAAAGCCATTTTCAGGTATCTGCAATAGACACCGTTTTAGTTTATTTCCTCGTGACCTAATTGCTCTTAGTGGGCTCCACCTCCCAATATTGTTGCATTGGTGATTAGGTTTCCAACACATAAATTTTGGGAGACACACACAAATCATAGCAGATACTGATACTATTGTTGAGGTTTGTTACATACGTTCAAATTGAGCATTCATATATATATATATATATATATATATATATATCTCCTTATATTTTGCCATCAGAGTAAGTTCACAAATCTCCTAAATTTCCTCCTTGGATTCCTTAAGGGTCTGTGGAGCCCAGATTAAGAAACCCTTCCCTGGGAAGAAGTTTAATGAAAAGAAAAACATCAACGAGCATTATTTTAGGGACTACCTCTCCAGGTGCATCTCCCTGGAAGGCTAAAGTTGGCCAAGGTCGGGAGGGCAGCTTCCTGGCCCCAAAGACCCTGCTGTATGCCTTACTCTGCTCCAGCTCTGCCCTGACTTGAGCTCTTTTGCTCCCTTCACCAGCTCACCACGGCCTTAGTGGCCTCCCACCGCCTGTCCCGTTCTGAATTTCACATTGTTCTTAAGTGAGAAAAGCTCATTAAATTTCCCCTCACTCTCTTCTGAAGGGAAAGCAAAACAAACACAACAAAAAATGACAGATATCTTTCTAGACGCCTACAAATTCATCTCTTTCTTGGATATTTTAGTTTCACTGTTGACAGCAGTCAGGAAACTTGGTCAGCATTCCTTCATGGATGGTTCATTAGGGATGGGGAAGAAACATCCATGACAGTCACCAACCCAACCCATTGTTTGTTGCTGTGAAAACCACAGAGCAAAGAACATGGTCAGGAAAGCACATAGTTGTTAGTGTGGGCTTCCTAATGACCTTCCTGACAAATGCAGTGGGAAAAAAGCCTCCTCTGCCACTTTGTTGCCACGTTTGTCCAATTACCTGTATTTGAACAGGTCAGAGACTGTGAATGTCATCCTGAACCATTTAGCTGAGTACCTACTATGTGCAGGGCGCTGTATAGGGTGCTGTGCTGATTGCCAAGAAGAATTAAATGATAAATGACAGTAAGCATCAGTCTATAGACCCTTCAGAGGATGGAGGAATACAGGTATCATGATGGTTAATTGTATGTGTCAACTTGGCTGGCTAATGGTGCCTAGATATGTGGTTAACTATTATTCTGGATGTTTCTGTGAGAGTGTTTCTGGATGTGATTGACATTTAAATTGGTGAACATTAATGAAAGCAGATTGCCCTTTATGATGTGAATGGGTCTTATCCAGTCATTTAATGCCTAGAAGGATCAAAAGGCTGACCTCCCCTGAGCAGGGGAGACCCAGACAGCAGACAGCCTTTGGACTTGACCTGTAACATCAGCTCCTCTCTAGGTCTCCAGCCTGATGGCCCACCCTACAGATTTTGAACTTTGCTGCCTTCATAATTTTGTGAGCCAGTTTCTTAAAATAAGTCTTTCTTTATTTGTATAGCACATTCTATTTGTTCTGTTTCTCTGGGGAGTCTTGACTAATACAGATATCTCTACATCTTTCTCTTCCATCTGTTTTGTTACTTTTAGAGTATCCTTCCCCCACGAAATTGTCTATGTTCAGACTCTCCTATAGCAGCATTGTTCTCTATTTCCTTAGAGACTTGGTGGAGAAATTCATCTACATGTTTAATAGCAGCCTTGGATTTCTGCAAAGAGAGTCCAAGCTTGCAGAAATAGTCTTTGACTTAAAGAAAATAATAAGCAAAATGAAAATGATTATAGAATATGTAAAGATTGGCCAGGCACGGTGGCTCATACCTATAATCCCAGCACTTTGGGAGGCCGAGATGGGCGGATCACGAGGTCAAGAGATCGAGACCATCCTGGCCAACATGGTGAAACTCCATCTCTACTAAAAATACAAAAATTAGCTGGGCATGGTGGCGTGTGCCTGTAGTCCCAGCTACTTGGGAGGCTGAGGCAGGAGAATTGCTTGAACCCGGGAGGCAGAGGTTGCAGTGAGCTGAGATCGCGCCATTGCACTCCAGCAATGGAGTGCACTCTGCACTCTGGTGACAGAGTGAGACTCCATCTCAAAAACAAAAACAAAAACACTCCAGCCTGGCAACAGAGCAAGACTCTGTCTCAAAGAAAAAAAAGAAAAAAAAAAAGAATATGTGAAGATTTTCTTTCCTACTCACATAATTGGGGTAAAGAGTGATTTTCTCCTCTGATAGTACAATTATTATAATCCATGGCTACAGAGAAGGGGCTAACTCCCCCATGTCTAGTTCAGGACTGGAAAAAAATGGGGCCAACTCACAAATGGGCTTTGGTTCTGATGGTTTCCTGCTGCTCCTACTCTGTATGTTCTCTTCAGGGGCGATCATCCTAACCCATGACTTCGATGACCAATGCCATACTGATGATGCTTAGGGCCCTGACAAGCTCTGGACTCCTGTATTAGTCCATTTTCACACTGATGATAAAGACATACTGGAGACTGGTTAATTTATAAGGAAAAAGAGGTTTAATGGACTCACAGTTCCACATGGCTGCTAAGGCCTCAAAATCATGGTGGAAGGTGAAAGGCTTGTCTCACATGGTGGCAGACAAGAGAAGAAAGCTTGTGCAGGGAATCTCCCCTTTTGAAAACCATCAGATCTCGTGATACTTATTCCCTATCATGAGAACAGCATGGGAAAGACCTGCCCCCACGATTCAATTACCTCCCATCAGGTCCCTCTCACAACAAGTGGGAATTGTGGGAGCTACAGTTCAAGATGAGACGTGGGTGGGCACACAGCCAAACTATATCAGCCCCAGACCCGTATGTCTTCTGTATCTTTACATCTCCTCTTGGAAGTCTCATAGGCCTCTTTATGCTAACATGTTCAAATCTAAGTACATCATCTTTCCTACAAATTCCAGATTCTGTCTCCTTCTTGTGTCCTCTGTCTCAGCAAAGTGCTCTGCTTACCCAACTGTGTAAACCAGAAACCTGGGTTCATTAACATAGTTCAAATTTCCCTCTTCAGCTTATTTTCTTCCACTTGTTTTAGTGCAGTTTTTCATCTGCTCAGGACTGGATTATTACAACATCCCTTTCTCTCCTTCACTTTACCTTCATACGGCTGACCGCATGACTTTCCAGTGTCCACATTGTTGTTCACCCATTTAAAATCCTTTAATGACTTTCTTTCAGTTTCAAGATAATGGTCAAACTTCACAGCATGGTCTATTATTTATGTATTGTTGCCTAACATATAACCCTACAACTTAGCAGTTTAAAGCCCAAACATGGTCTCTGAGCATTAAGCATCTGGGAGTAAGCTTGTAGTCAAGCTGTCAGCTGGGGCCGCCATCTCTGAGTGCTTGACTGACTGGGAGATCTGCTTCGTAGCTTACTCACAGGATTATCGGCAGGGGTTTTCAGTTTCTTACTAATCTTGGACATGACCTGCCATCACTTCTGCTGTGTGCTGTTGGTCATACAGACCAGCCTTGATAGAATGCAGGAGGGGACCACACCACTGTCTGAATACCAGGATCACTGTGGGTAGGGCCATTTTGGAGACTATTTTAGCTTCCGTTTCTATTGTACTTCCATATCAACCTCCATCATAACTATTAATTTCTTCCTTGTGCTCTGGATTTTAGCTATGCTAAACTTCTAATGCATTGTGTTTTCAAAATTCTTTGTCACCACTTGCTGTTTTCTCTTCCTGAAAAATCCTTTCTATTCAATTTTTTTTTTTTGCCTGGATAACTCTATTTTGCCTTCTATGACCCTTAACTTCCAAAAGACCTCCCCTGACATCCCTTGACTCCAACTTTAGGTCTTTCTCTAGGCTTTCATAGTGCTCCAACTCATCTCCATTGTGCTACACTCTAGTGTGCTACTAGAGTGCACATTGTGCTACTCTACATTTTATTGTAATTATTGGTTTATGAGTCTCCTACACTCTAGTGTGATGTCCCTGAGTTGAGAGATAGTGGATTATTTATCATCCATTTTATTCCCAATATCGAAGTGCTGGAACACAATAGGAGTTTAATAAATGCGTGATGAATGAGTGAATAAATGAATGCCGAGTTTACTGCAGAATATGAATTTTAGGGAGGAAAGAACACAAGCTCTTCTGTCAAATTTTATTATGTCTTAAAATTTTGTGGGTCAGGATTATGGGAAGGCTTCTCCTAGCAATTCTTTTGCTCCATGTGGCGTTAAGTAAAGTCACTCAGCAGTATTTGACTAGTCCGGAAAGTAAAAGATGTCCTCATTCATGACTGGCACCTTGTTAACCATGACTAAAAGGTTAGGCTCGGCTGGGAGTACCCATTGGGGGCTCAACAGAACGGCAGCTCAGGGTAGTCTGATTTCTTGGATGGCTGTTAAGAGCTCTCAGAGATAGTGTTTCAAGAGAGCAAGTAAGAAACTTCAAGGCTCCTTCTGGCCTAGCTTTGGAACATCACTTATACTGCATTTTATAAGTTCCAGCAAGTCACACAGCCAGCCAGTATCCAATGACAGGAGACTACGAGGTCATGAGTAGCAGGTGGCACAGCTCATTGGGAAGCCGACTTTGGACACTAGCTCCCACAACTATAATCAACTATTGTCATGTTTAGCCTATGCTAACTTTCTCTACTATTTTTTTGAATGTGAAAATTTCCAATGTTTCCATCTTGTCTTTGTGAATAAAAAGGAGGAATATGGCTCTATTACTGTACGTTGAGGCAGATGAGCAGCTGAATGAAAATTATATCCATAGGGTGTTTTACATAAGTAGATGTCAAAGTTAAAGGAAGTCTATACAGGCATGATAGAGGGCTTTGTTCTTTAATTGCAACCTTTTCAATGGATAATTTGATAAAGATTCTCAACTGCGGTGGAATCTCTTTTCTAAGGGCATTTTAGAGGTGTGTAGTATGATTTTCCATTGTCACAATGTCAATCAGATGTTGTTCATTAATATTTAATTCCATCCTGCAATATGAGGGACAGTCCCACACAACAAAGAATTTTCCTGTCTAAAATTTCATTAGCACTCTTGTTGAGAAACACTGAATACATAAAGATATGCCTCTCATATTTGCGGATGTCACAACCTATTATAATTATGATATGAGAGAACTGACTCAATAGCTGATTATGTGGAAAAAATAGAGATTTTAGTTGGATGCAAGAGCCAACTTCATGATGTGTCTGCCAAAAATTGCTGCTATCTTAAGCTATATTAATAGAAATTTCAGTCCAGAACACAGAAAGCTATATTAATAGAAATTCCAGTTCACTATATACTGGTCAAAGAGCTCTTGAAGTTTGATGGTCATTTCTGGGCACCTGGTTTTAAAAGTGGCGTAGATAAATCAAAGAATGGCCAAAAGGAGGACAGAAAGTCTGGAAGCCATGCCTTACGAGTGGGGAAACATGAAAGCGATCTTCGAATATTTGAAATGTTGTGTGAAAGAAGGATTGGGCACATCCTTTGAGATTCTAGAAAGCAAAATTAGGTTAAATGAAGAAAGATTTTTTAACCACTGAAACAGTTTTTCAAAAAATGTAGTGTTCTGCCTTGTGTGATAATTATCCCTGCCTTGAAGGGTCCCTGCAGAGAGTGGACAGCCATGGGCCAAGGGGTGGTTTTAAATTAACTGAATATTGTGAAGAGAACACCTATATGAAGTGGTACCCTTCAGTTACTTTTCATTATTGTGATTATTTTATGATTAATGGACTCGTATTTATAAAATACTGTGGACACCACCTCTCCATGCTTCTAAAATAATGCCTCAGTTCTTAATACCTTTCTCTAGCTTCATACCCCTAAAGAAATCCCTTAAGCTAGCTAAGATCTCATTTCTTCAATCACAAAATAAGAAATTATGGTGCTTGACATATTTGTTTAACAGGATAGCTATGATCATCAAATTACCCAATAGTTTTAAGCTGTAAAGTATAAAACAAAGAAATTATTTTTTTTCATCAAAGTTGTGGACTGTCAATATGCATTCCTATAACTGTCTTTTGCCTGAGAGAAATGTTTTAAAATTATTTTTAAAGCCTATTCTAATGACTTGTCATTATTTTCCAGCTTTCTGATAAGGTGTGAAGGTCTCTAATAGCTGTCAACAGTGTGTCACAGGGAGTGATTTAATTAGCACTTACTGTTCTCTTATTGGTTGGCCTTTATTTGGTCCAATACAAAGTCCAACTTTTAAACCAAGGGAGAAGACAAGAAAGGGTGACGCAGAGATAAGCTTTTGCTTAAAAAATGTTTATTTGGGGGAAAATGTTATCATCATGATCTTCCAAAACACATTATATTACTAAATGTGTATTGGCATCTACTCTCTTACTTTAAGATGGTTCCAGTTTTTGAAGTAGCCCAAATCCCCCAGATTGTTACCAGAAATTATCAAAAGGAGAAGAAACACATTCACTTCAGCTGATTTTTGTTGTTGTTTATTGGAGATCCAAGGTAGTCAAATTAGCCTCAAGAAGCCCTTCTGAAGTCTAAGAAGGAAAACCAAATTACTGTTCATTTAATGTTTAATTAAATTTATTATAGCTAGTAGGCTGGTTTTAGGCTGTTTATGGTACACTAATGTTAGAATTTTATGCATTCTATGTACACTTGATAGCACATTGGGGTCTCTCGGTATAATCAACATGTACAATATACTCATGCCCATTTTATGTGAGTTGGAACACACCTTTACTATTTTAAATGATTATAGAAGTTTATAGTTATATTTCTCCCCTTAAATTGTTAGTGATGTCTATAATTTATTTGATGCCACATTCTTGATATGGAACTCAATTCCGAATTAGCAATCTTCCTACAGGGAAAATTCTACTTGGTTCATAAAATGCATTTTAGTATGAGATTTCTAGGAATGCGGTTACAAAATGAGGCAACCGTCTGCATTTTCACTAGAGGTAAATGGCGGTTTTTTTTTTTTTAACTAAAGATAAAGATGATAGTTCTTCACATGGAACTGCAAATAAGTGAAAGTGAATACTGATTTCTCCTGACGTTGCGAGCGTTGGTCTTCAGTGCCCTTCCATTTAGAGTCATTCCTTCCCTTACCTTCTGCAAGTGTTTCTACATCAAAAAACAGAGCGGAAAGAAATTTTCGAAAACATCTTGTCCTAGTCTGACCCTGCACGTATAAAAATGCTGAGGTCGGGGTGTCACAAGTGACTTGCCTCGACCTGTGGGGCTGGGAAAGGCGGGAGCCAGGCTTGAATTCAGATCTGAATTCAAACCCGGGATGATTTTTCCTATTCACATTTCTCCTTACTATTGTGGTGAAACTTGAGGAAGCAAGCAGGAGACAGCATATGTTATTTGATACTAAGTCCCTGCTATAGAAATGCCCCTCCCTACTCCCGTCCTCCTCTCCAGGTGTTCTGATGATAATCAATAGTGTTCCAGTTATATTGGGCAATGTCTGGGAAGTTCTAAAGCTCTGCCTAGAAAGGGAAAATGCCATTTGAGTTGCCAGAACAAAATAAATTTGATGGACTCCCTTACCTCTAAGGTACGCTCCTTGTGATAATTACCCCTTTATTCTCTCTGACCCTTCTGGGCCCAAGGCCTCCCATGCCCAGATTAAATGGTTACTATATACTTATTTATGTTCCATCAGCCAATATCCTTCAGCAAGAGTAGCTGCAACCTTGATTTGTTTTCTCCTTTTACAGCGATGTTGCTGGAAGAGGTGGATGGGACATTTAATTTGGCATTAAATTCTATGCTGGTGCATTATCCCCTATGGCAAACAAAAGTGGTGTGGAAGGTTTGCATTTATGATTTTGCTCAGTTCAACTCATTTTTATGCCCAGGGAAGGTTTTTGCTCAAGCTTTTCGTGCTTCTATTGCAGTTTTATTTCTGATTTCATAGAGATGATTTCGTAGAGGGAAACAGTCTGCTTTCCCTTTGTATTCAGACTACCATTTTCCATTTGGAAGTGTTGGCAACAACCTTGTTTCTGCGTGTATGTGCAAAAGAAATAGAATGTTTGAATTTTGAGTTCTCTTCTCAAGGGATGTGGTCTGTGTCAGAGGCAGGCACGACAGGGATACCTTGTATCTGTGAGCTTTTGCCATCCAATGTGCCTGGGAGGGAAAGAGATTCCTCTCAGCTCTTCTTTTCCTGTTTCATTCCCTCCTCTGATTTCATAGTGGATGTTGCAGTGGGGGGTCTACCATCAGCAGGATTCACAACCAACTTGTTCTGTGCTTTAGAGTGATCATCTATGGGATGAGGTTGCCTCAAGGCTTTGCTGGATAGCTGCCAGCCCCGAGACCTGCCAACAGTCCCCTTCTTCTCAAGACCTCACAACACTCCAAATTGCTGCTTTCTCTGCAGAGAAATGCTCTTTGCTCTCTATTTCCTCTTACCGTGGCCCTTTGTCCTCAGCACTCGGCCCGAATTCCTTTCTTCACAAACAATAAAAAGGTATGCCCTCAATTTCTTCCTCCCACCCAAGCATTGACCACATTAGCCCTGTAATCTTTTTTTCTTGGCCCTTGTCTACACTTATTTCCCAGCGTGTCCTTGGTTAGGAGCGGTGTGTGTGTGTGTGTGTGTGTGTGTATAAAGTGAACTGCAGAGGAAGAAAACAAAGAAGGTGCAACAGCGAAAGACTGCAGGGGCAAGCAAGGCTTCTGGAGGGAACTTGGGCCTCACTGCCACTCTCTTGCCTCTTCCAGGGTTTCTTGATCACTGATGTTTCCAAGTTGATATTGGCAGTTTTGAAGAAGCCTTTGTTCTTCATGTATGTGAGAGAAAGGGACTAAAAAGGATAGAAAAACCACAATTGAAGCTGCTAATCCTGAACAGAGCCCGAGGCTGTGGAAGACAAAAAGCACCGTGCAAAATAAATTGCAGAAGAGAAACAAGAAAATTCACAACGGTTTCCTATGCCTGGCCTATTTCTACAATTCTTCTGTTAATGAATATTCGTTTTCTACCTGTAGTTCAGCACACTGTTAGAGGAAGAATCAGTCCTCTAACCACACACAGGCTTTCCCATGCCGGAACATTCCAGTCTTGTATCACTGGGACAGAACCCCCAAGAGCCACAGGGCGAGACACCACAAGTGCTTCCAGCGTCGATCGCTAGATGGAGCCCGTGTTATGCACAAATCCAGCCCCAAGGGTCCTGGGGTAGCTGGTGAAGCCATTAGCTGGAGGGCAGCAATTTTAAAGGGTGGTACTTGATTAAGAGAATCCATTTCTCCTACAGTTAGCCCAGAAGCCCAATTGCTCTTGCAGGTGCTTAAAAATTTTCAGTATGTGGATTCACGTTATTCTCTCTCTCTCTCTCTCTCCACCTTGATCAACTATCGCAGGTCTGGATGAGCTCCACTGGCAGCGCTGGTCCCTCCAGGCATCTCGGCAGTAGCTGGAAGCCCCACATTTGGGGTGAGACTCTCTGGCTTCATGAGCTTGCTGCTTCAGTATAATTAGCTGTCTAACTGCTCACCCACACGGAGCCCATATGTGTGTTACTAATTATGATTTATTTAAAAACTCTCTGTTTGCCATTCTTTGTTCTCTATTTCCTCTTTATTGAAGGGCCGAGGGAGGGATTTGATTTGGAAGCTGTTCTGAATGGTAGGTTTTACCTTCCTTTGCATTTTCTGGACTTTTCCTTCTAGTTTCAAAATCTAGGCAGCTTCTGTACCTAACTCTCAGCATGCTGACCTGCTGCTTGCTACCTCTCCCTCCAGCAACAAAATGTACCAGGACAGGTGTGGTCACAGCATTTAGAAGGAAGTAGCTATTACATAAACGGCCGCATCAACATATCTGCTGCTCCCAAGTCTGTATTTCCAACACAGACATTATACCCAAGCTTCAAACCCATATATACCATTGCTTACTGGACATCTTCACCTAATTGTACACAGGCAGTTCCAACTCAGTGTGTGCAAAACTGGACCCCAAGTCTTAGCCCCAAACTTGTTCTCCTGCTGTACCTCATCTTGTCCAGAGTAGAAACCGCAGATCCTCAAGTCCTCCCTCTCTCTCTCCCTCCATCTTTACCTTCATGTTTGATGGATTTCACTCCCTCCCAGCTCTCTTCCTGTCATGCTTTCTGTTTCCAGCGCTGCTGTTTAAACCAAACCCTCCCATTCCTGCCTATAGCGTGGCAAGGGGCTCCACTTATCTTCCTCTGTCCAGTCCTGAAACTCATATTCCATCCACACCATGGCCAAGCTCATCTACCCAGTACACCATAGGCTCAAGTTCTTCACCTGTTTAAAGCCGTCAAAGACCCCTCACAAGCCTTAGCAGACCTTTCCTGAGAGCATGCTGTCCCTGGCAGGACCCTCATCTCTGGAGGCTGCGCCCACCCCACCTGGTCGCTGCAGCTCCCTCAGGTCACGTTGCCATGTGGCTGCAGCCCCGGAAGGGACTTTCTCTCCCTCCTTGCCTGAATGGGCCCTGTTTACTTCACCCCTCAGCTTGAGCCGAGCCCTATCCCCACAGGTCCATGTTATCTCCTCCTTTGTGTCGCTGCAGTCCCAGAGCATGTTTCTGCCAGGACTGTTGTCACAAGTCCTTGCAATTGCCTCTGCTTGCTTGCCTTCCCCTAGAGACCACAAACTCCACGAGGCCCGCACTGTGCCATGTGACCCACAGGTATCTGCACAGAGTACCTAGAACAGCACCTGCTAGTAGCTCCAGAAACACTTAGTGAATGAACAGAAGCCACTACTAGCATTAGCACTGCAGCGGGGTGGTGCTCATCAATGGCCAGCTGGACTGACTGGTGTTTGCATGTTTAATTATGTGTGTGTGTGTGAGAGAGAGAGAGAAAGAGAGAGAGGGGGAGGGAGGGAGAGAGAAACAGAGAGAAGAGAACTATTTCTGGGGCTCACAGCAGGTCCTCACTTCTCTCCCTTTTAGTTAATTATTATCTAAATGAAGACCTGCAGGGCACATGGCATTTTGCTTGAAGCCTGAGGGAGGTTACCTACAAAGTGAAATATTCATAAAGTATACAGATGTCATACACTACAAATTCATGCCTGAAGGTGAGAAGAATATTTGAGAAAGAGACACCAGAGAACGCAAAGGACTGCTAATGAGAGACTTGTGATCAGGAGCCCTGGATTCCAGACAGACCTTAACTAGTCACCCTCCTGGGACAAGGAGGGGCAGAGGAAACAGAGATGCCCCGGAAGGTCCCTTTGAGCTCGGAAGCTGTTGACGTTGAGACTGGAATGTGGGTGCAGTACTTTGCGAGTGTGGCAGATATGGGGAAGTGCTCAAGGCCATGGAACTGGCTGCCCAGCTGAGGGGTGTCCCCTCAGCAGTCAGCCCCTTCAGGGTTTGTCTCAACTGCAGCTCACATCTGGTGACCGAGCTGGGTGGAGGTTCAGAGGTCCAGCCTCCTCAGCTTGACAGGCGACAACGCTGATGGGCAGTGGTTACTCCAGAGCCCCAGCTGGCTGGCTGAGGCTTATTCAGGTCAACTTCACAGTTGAGCTTCTCCCTCTTCACAATGATTTCTCTGCCCTTGTTTCTGGCAGCATTGGTCCCTGATTGTATATTATGTTATGCCCCACTCCATCTCAGCGTCTGGTGTAGACAACTGAACCTCTGAAGGTGCTAACCTACGATAGTACTAAGATATGGCCTGAAATGCGGCTTTGTAGCTGGATCACTTTCTGATTGGCCAGAGGACTCCTTCATCAGATGTAGGTGAGCAATAGTAAGCTTCTAGCACAAAGTGGGGGTCCAGTACTTAAAACTCACTGGTGGTGTACTGGCACGAGGAAAGGCACTAATGGGCATGATATATCAGGCATTTGAAAAATATGGAGAAAATAGTATAAGGAAAACGAGGGTTATTGACGCACTACAGAGTGAAACTAACCAGTGGTGAGTAACAAGCAATTGAAAGCCTGGTGTGAAAGCCAGAGGGTGTCTTTGGTTGCGGACAAAGAAACTCGAACACTCAGGTGGGCTGAGAAAGCTGTGCGCTAAGCCTAGGACATATCAAGCAAAGTCACTGAGCTTCAGTTGCCTGGTTAACCACCCAACAAAGGCAGGTCTGTTATGCAATAGACAAGGTCTTGATAGTAACACTTGGGATCCAGGCTGACTGGTCAGGGGCCTGAAGTGACAGAGATTGAAAGACTGGGGACTAGGAGGTCTAAGGTAGCGGCATGTGGATGGGCATGTTCAAGGCGCCATGTTGAAGATCTTCATGTCATTCCTTAATGACCACCAGATATCATCCTCCAGGGAAAGGACACTCAAAAACCGTCAAAACAAAAGAAGCCAGGGAGTTGACATTAGCCATTAGTGTCTGAATGACATGGCCATGGTGGCAGAGGTGGAGGTCCTGCCTGGGTCCAACAACATGGGCTCTCACTCACCGGGACCGACTTCTGCTACTGCTATGTTCAACCTGCCAGCAACAGAGACTAATGCGGAGACTCCAAAATGGCATGATACCTCAAGGAGACCAACTGGACACTTGAAGGCAAGTTGGCTACATTAGGCCCTTTCCTTCCTGACAGAGCCCAGGTTTTATTTCCAGAGAAGTAGACACACATTTTAGACATGGGTTTGCCTTTCTGACTCTCAGGTCTCAGCCAGCAGTGCTATTACAGAGCATATGGAGGGTTTAATTTGCTAATTCTGAATCCCACATATCATTGTGCCAGAGCAGGGAGCCCAGTTTAAAGTAATGGAGGTATGGGAGTGGTGCCATGACCATGGGATCCATCAGACGCAGCTCACGCCACACTACCCAGGTTCTGCTGAACTCATAGGGCACTGGGGCTTGCTAACAGCATCAATAGATCACGAGTTTGGGGGCAATATCATGCAAGGATGGGGTGCTGTCCTCAAAGACGCAGTACACTCACTGAACTGAAAACCTTTACATGGAACTTTATCCTCAATAGAAGACAAACACATGAGTCCAGGAACCAAGGGTATGAAGCAGGGATGATCCCACTAGGACATCCCTAATGGCCCTCTGGGGAATACAGCACAACTCTGGGCCCTGCAGAGTTAGAGCTCCTGGTCCCTCTAAAGGTTACACTCACCAGGGAACACAGCCAGATTTCCACGGAAGTATAAGCCATGGCTGTTGGCATTTTGGGAATGTTGTGTTTTTGGATCAACGGACAAGAAGAGGAGTCACAGCTTGGCATCATCAGGAGTGGGTAGAGCTGTCTAACCCAATGGGGTCAGGGAACAATGCCAGTGGGCGTTTCTTGGTACTGCCTTGTCTAACTGTGACTGTAAATGGACAGGCCCAGCACCCCAGCCCCAGGAATGACATGGTGAGCAGAGGCCCAGGCCCCTCCTCTTGGATTAGAGTCAGTTTGCTAGATAAGCCATTGTGGCCAGCAGAGAGGTGCTAGCTGAGGGTAAGGGTGACCTAGACATGGTTGTGAAGGGTGGAGACGAACAGCATCAATTACAGCTCCAGGACTAACAGGCTGTGGCTTGTCCCAGCAGCTTCCCTGTCCTAAGTTTCCCCTCTGGAACGATGACCCACCAAAATTCTGGAGGGGTTACTCCCCGAACGTACGTGGAGAAATGGATCCAAGTGGCAAAGGGGTAGACTGTGGAAGACTTGGGGGTGTGTCACTCGGATCCCCTCAGGGATCCTGCCCAGATGTGGTGCACGCATCTTCCCATTCTCAGGTCCTCAGCATCTACCTCTGTGGAAGGAATGGCCTCATCTGAGGTGACGTCGTCCTTTTGGAGACAGCCTATGTTTGGTGGCTGGGCAAAGTGAGCATATAAGTGCCTTATATTGGCCATTGTGCCCAACATGAGGAAACTTTGTCAGACACTACTCGCTGAGAATTCCCTGCCACATGGCACTCCTCTTCCCCCTGCCCAGGCCTGCCTGCTCCCCTTTCTCTCCTAATTGTTGATTCCTAATGGACACCTTGCATACCGTGCTCTCCTCACAGTCTGCATCCACACAACTCAACCTACAGCACTGTCCACTAGCAAGAACCTTTCTGCCTCTGGCTAAGACAGATTATTATTATTTTTAAAGTTCAATAGCTTTAAGATTACAAATTATTTTTGGTAACCTGGATGAATTGTATAGTGGTGAATTCTGGGATTTTAGTGTACCCATCACCTGAGTAGTGTATATTGTACCTAACAGGTAGTTTTTCATCCCTCACCCCTCTTCACCCCCTCCCCTTGTGAGTATCCAATGTCTATCATACCACTCTGTATGCCTTTGCATACTCATAGCTTAGCTCCCACTTATAAGTAAGAACATGTGGTATTTAGCTTCCCATTCCTAAGTTACTTCACTTAGAATAATGGCCGCCAGTTCCATCCAAGTTGCTGCAAAAGAGTTATTTCTTTTTTTATGGCTGAGTAGTATTCCATGATGCACACACGTGTGTGCACACACGTGTGTACACACACACACACACACACCATGTTCTTTATTCTCTCATCAGTTGATGGGCACTTAGGTTGATTCCATATCATTGCAATTGTGAATTGTCCTACAATAAGCAATGACTTCTTTTCTTTTAAGTAGGTACCTAGTAGTGAAATTTCTAGATAGAATGATAGATCTATTGTTAGTTCTTTGAGAAATCAAGATTCTTCTTGGTTCTTATGTTGAGAGCCTATTGGTCAGTGCTGAGGTTGTGGAGTTGAAGGCAGCCTAAATTCTCCTTGGTAGACCTCTTCTCTAGCTCCTGCTTAGTTCTGAAGCACAATGCATAGAGGGCCAGTGTGGAAGGCATTCTATCTTTAGTTTCAGAGTGAAAATCTCCTATTAATCTTGACCGCACATCTGCTTCTTGGCTACGAATCCATTTCTTCTCATACATTCACTATGGTCCTTTCAGGGAATTGAAATTCAATTTAGTGAAGGAAGCTTTGATCTAGTGTTCCCGTGATTGGAGAGAAATAGGAGAAAAATCTCTGTTCAAGACCAGGTATATAACAGCTTTGCAACTTGGTTGGCAGAAAAGGGTGAATCAGGATAAATGTACATGTTTGAAAATAACAGCTCTCAGAGAACAACAGCAATAGTAATAGCCGACCCAGCGAATGTGATGTCCAGATCCATTTGGCCACTCTGTCGCCCCCTCCCTGCAGCCTTAGCCACTTTCCCCAGGAAGCTCCCTGGGGCTGGGTCTTACTGAGCAGACATGTAAGGGCCCTGGCTTCTCAGAGAAGCATGGTCACAGTACTCAGAAGGACCAAGAAGTAGGGCTCTGTGAGGTGAACTATGACCATTAGAAATGGGAGATGCAAAGGAGGCAGGAGATATACTGCCGTCTTTTCCTTCCTAAGGGATTGTTCTTAGATGCAGTAGTTCTGTGTGGCCTCTCTGGAGAGGACTTGTGGAATGAACAACCAGCAGAGTTTTCTTGTGAAGCTGTGGCCATCCCATTATCACGTGATTTTGGACCTTTCTCTCCCTCCTTGTTTCCCTTCCTTTCCACCTCATTCTTGTTTCCTGGGATTTCACCTACCTCCTTCCCCTTATTAAGGGTTATCACATGAGCTCTGCCTCAGTTTTCCAGGGAACCTAGGCTAAGGAAGTAAGAATACTGAGTTTTGCTAAGTGCCAGGCATCCTTCTTAGTGTGATATGGGTATTAAATCATTTATTCTCCATAGTAACACCACGAAGTAGGTAGTATTATTATCTCCACCTTACAGATGAAGAAAGTGAAACCCAGACAATGTAGATGACTTGCCCGAGGTCACTATGCTAGGAAGTCTTAGACCCAAAAGCCAGATCAGATATTCTGGCTCCTGAATCTGTGCTCCTGCCTCCTGAAGAATGGCCATTGTCAGAGCATTCGCTAAAATTTCCACGTTTCCAGCACCATGTGGACTGGCAGCTGAGAGAACTTTGCTAATGAATAAAGGAGAAGGGTTACTCCTTTGTGAAATGAGACTCTTAACACCCTCTGCCATAAAAGACCACCATTTGTTGAGTATCCATTGTTGCAGAATGGATTCTGAAAATGAATCTATTCATAGATTTTTTTTTTGTTTTTATAGTTTGATTGTTGACTGTCAGTTCTGACTGTTGACGAAGGCTCCCAGAGAGCATGGGCCTTTCTCTTTCCTATCTTAAACACACAACATTACACCAGATGTTGATAAGCTCTATGATCTACTAATGTTCTAGCTCAAAACATCAAGAAGAAGCTTGTGGCTGGGTGTGTGGCCTTGAGTGAAATCTGGGGAGAAAGGTGAACCAGGAGAGAAAATATTCTACCAGCTAGCCTGCTAGAAATGCAAGCCTTCCTCACATGGGTCTATGAACACCTAATATCCTATTCCCATAAGGATCCACAGGCACACTGGAAGTCCATGAAGAGCCTAAAATCTATAAAAATGTGAGTAGGTCAGTATCTGCACTTCCTTTTCAGTCAGGGGAAGACATATAGATTACATCAGATTCTTGAAACTGTTACTATTATGGATAGAAAACTAAAACTTGAGGCCTGGCATTATTTTTTTCTGGTGGCCTTGTGTAAGTCATTTAACAAACAGGATCTCAGTTTCCTCATATGGAAATAGAACATGGTACTTCCCAATGGCCAAGGTTGTTGTGAAGATCAGATGAGATGCAAAATGCCAGTAGAGGAATGGTGTAATCTCTAAAGTATCTTACCAATGTGGGCTAGATGATCATTGTCATTCCCCATCCTCCGAGCCTGAGACCATAAGATACAGAAGGAAGACTCTGACAGTGACTAAGTACATATGTCTTAGGTTTGGTTCATCCAGATGTTGATCTTGGGAAGAGGATTTGAAGGTGAGTAGTTTATTTGGGGTGTGATGTCAGGATGAATTGGTAGAGGAGTGTTTGGGTGAGAGGGGAAGGAAGGAAGGAAGCCTATCAGCATGTGATCATAAGCAGGTTGCTTCTGTGAGCAACTAGGACTCAGTCCCAGAGTATAAAAAATGCCTTCCAGTTGTCTGACTTGAGGGCCAAGCATGCTCCTGCAGCCAGAGAAGCTTTCAGGCAAAGAGTCACAGGTGCTTGCACTAGGAGGCCATCTGCATGTACTAGGGTGGCAAGTGCCAAGAGGAAGCATGGGTGGGACATTGACAGCCAACCGTGTCTGCTACAGTGAATTGTAAGCTAGATACGGTCATGTGCATTATCTATATTAACTTCTAAGTCAGTGGTTCCCAAACATAGCTTCTCACCAGAATTACCAGGGAAGTGTAAAAAATGTCAGACTTTGAGACCCATATTTGGGAAATTTTAAATTCAGAATGTCTAGGGCAAGGTCTAAGAATTGACTTTTTTTTTTTTTTTTCAAAGGCTCTATAGGTAATGCTGATTACCAGTCAGTTTGGGGGAAACATGATACTTAAACCATTCAATGCAGGCATTTTAAGGAAATCGATCTTGGTGTGTTCAGTATTTTATACAAAGTTACATCTATATTGGGGTGGAAGTAAGGTTCCAACCCAGTGCTCATCTCTTTACTTCAAGGTCACACTGCCTCTTCAGGGACCTGTTTCTCTTGCAGAGGCCAGGACCACATCTCTTAAACCCCAAGGGAAAGGGTGGGATGCCTGCATTATGAAGTGTGGAGCCCTGAGCCTGCTCCTGCCAGTCATATGGACTGCCTACTAATAGAAGGAGTCTTCTCAGCGGACTTTCAACACACTTCTTTTCCACCTTGTTCTCTGCAGTGGCCAGATTCTTACCATGCCATGCCTGGATCATTGAAACTTCCTCCTCACCCACCTCCCTGCCTCAGTCCTCACTTCCTCTAGTCCCATGTCTCACTGCAACACACCCTGCATCACCACCCTCTTTCTCAGATGGACAGGGCTCCCCACTCCTGATCTGTAAAATGGAGTCGAAAGCTCTTGGCAGGGTATAAAGTCCTGCATGACCCAGTTTCATTCTGTCTTGTATCTCTTGTAGGATGTATTAGTCAGCCTACAGGGAGGAGAACAGGAACCTCTCTATGTATTTGAACAGCGAAAATATGGAACCAATTAGCCTGGTATTGCAGGACTGAAAATATGAAAAGGTGACACCAAGGTATACAAAGGTTTAACCACAGAAGGAGCTATTGATCCTAAAGCTGGAGGGTCAAAAAGCAGAGATTGGAATTATTAGAACCTAGAAACTTAGAGAGCTGTGGAGATATGGCTGAGATTTCTGAGGAGGGAGAAGTACTAGACAGCTGCTAGTAACTCAGGGCTCAGAGGAGGGTTCTCTCAGGGGAGGTTCTCATACCTCTAAGGAGAAGAGGGGTTACTCAACTTCTGCTGGGATTCAGAAGTTTGGAGAAAGCCCCTTGTGGAACTGGGCTTAGACCTCTAATGAGAGGGAGCCCCCCTGCCATGGCTTGCACTTGTATGAGAGGTCCCGTAAGGCTGGGAGTCCATGATCCTAGAGGTTGGGACACTTGCAGCTGCCAGGATGAAGAGCCATTACTGGGGCAATGCTGATGGGAAGCACAGCCAGCAGGTAGGGGCTCCCTCTCTAGAGCCAGCTCCTTGTGGGTCCTAACAGGCAGCCAGCTCCAAAGGAGGCCCCAGCCCTAGCACCACACAGCTGGGTAGAGAAGGGCGAGGAGGAGCTGAGGGGACAACACCTTAATAACTGGCACAACACCTGCAGTGTTAGAGTCACCAAAGATGCTTGGCCCTTATGCATCTCAACTCTTTGGCGAAGGCTATCCTCTCTCTTTGGAATTTTCTTCCCATCCAAAGGTTGTTTGGCTCCCGTCAGCACTCAAATGTCTCCTCCTGTGAAGCCTTCCACGTCTGCCCCTATTTCTAAATCCCCAAGCCAGAAAAACACCCTTTTCATATCCAGTTTCCCCTGGCATTCATGAAATGATCACATTTTATAATAATTACTTGCTTCAGGTCTGTATCTTCTATTTGACCATGAACTTGTCAAGGGAAAGATGTTGCTTTATTTATCTTGATGTCTTCAATAGTTCAATAAGTGTGTATCAAACAGCAAAAGCCCAGATGTCTGAATGAAGCCAGAATGCAGGGGGCAGGTGCAGATTGCCTGCCTGCAGAGCACAAAGCCCAGAGGAGTCCACAGCTCCAGGAGAGGTTGGTGGGAGGCTGCCCTCCCTCCCTTTCAATCATAGTAGAAAACCAGGGAAACAAAAACATAAAACAAACATTGTTTCTGGGAATGTTTTAGAATGTAGAAATAGCATTAGATTTCTAACTTCACATACTTTTGGCCAAAGGAAAGTCGAGAATTGGACTCAAACGTCTCCTGTGTGTGAAGCCTTCCAGGGACCATTCAGCACAACTCACTTCCCTATTTCTCCCACTTCTCCACCCTTCTCTTATTTCTGCAGAACCTTGGCTGCTTACCCATAGCAATTACTTCCTGCTGAGGTCTTCAGTAATATTGGTTTGAGGTTCTGAAGTGTATTTTGATGGGAATTCCCAATGGCTGGCAGTCCTTCTAGAATCTGAGGTCTGTATCGCTAATGGTGCAATTTTAGACATTTTTTTTTTTACAAGGGGCTGTGAGTGAAGGTATTTTTGGAAACCTTCATATTCATACTTGTGTTCCTAAAAACTCATTTAAATTCTCATCTAGCACATGCTTATCCAGCATTAGTATATTCTAAGAATTCTATTAAATGCTTTGGCATGCATTGTATCATCCAAGTCAATCTTTGCAGCAGCTCTGAGGTGGGTATTATTATCCTGTATTTATATCTCAGGAAGCTGGGAGCAGGGAGATCAAATGACATGCTACAAGTGACAGGGCCAGCATCTGAAACCAGGTCTACTAACTCCATGCTTACAGTTCTTTTCTCATGAATTCTGCTTATAGGCGGGCTCAGCTCCAAACTGGATTTGGTCTCCCAGAGAGTCTGAGATTTGAAGGTAACATGATGAAAGAGAATTTTGTCTCAATGTCCAGAAATAGACCATGATACAGAAAGAAAGGCTAAAGTCCTGTGTAAAAGTCCCTTACTTTTCCAGAGGGCAAAGACCTTCGGGTACATATTTCTCCAGAACATTAGCCCCAGGTGGTGCATGAGTCTCCTACTCGACGAGGAAATTAACTGGAGAGGTGTGGTCCAGGTGCAAGATCCCTGGCTGGGAAACCAGAGGTGTTTCCCCAGGGTCACTTGACTTCCCTGATCTTGGGTTTTCTCCATTGAAGAATTAGTGGTTTAAGTGACATGACCTCCAATGCTCCCCTCAGTTCTAAGATAGAACGAATACTGCCTGTTATGGAATGAAGGGCTCTTTTACCTTGAAGGTCAAGTCCTCTGTCGAGTCTTTAAGCACTGTCAAAAGATGATAAAGGGTCAAAAAGATTGGGAACCTTGAGTCTCTGGTTTAAAAATCAGCTTTCTGGGGGTAGAAGCCTCAATTTCCAGCTTGCAACCTGTGAGGGAGATGAATTAGCGGGTCTCAGGCCCAGCATGGACAAATGTCCCCAACATTAACTCTAGTCGTCTCAGCCAACCACTCTCCCCACATCTCTATGGATTACCCCAATCATCGCCCACTCAGCATTTGGAGCTGGTCTTGCGCTGCCCTGGTGAAATGCTGAATAATTCATTACACTCTCTTTTCCTGCTATTGCTGCCTTGAACAGCTCTTGACTCTGCCCTTTGCTGCCGCTCCCCAGAGCTCATGTGAATTAGGTTTGGGGAAGAAGACATGTGAGGCTCAGAGGATGCCAGTCCCTAGGGGAGGCAGACAAACATAATCTTGGTTTCTATAGCACCCTGAGACCCCAAACTGCGGAGCCTCCCACATCTCTCATCGTAACATTAAGAGCCGCCTTGGAGTTCACCCGAGGACATGTTCCAGGGAAATCATAGAATATTTATTAGCGTTATTACATTTTCTGCAGCACCTTTCATCCCAAAGGATCCCAAAATGCTTTGCTAACAAAATATCCAGGGAGATTTTATCCACTTCTAAAGTCAAGCCACTGTTCCACACTTTCCCCCTCACCACACCCCTTCCATTCGCCTTCCCCCAATCCATTTCTGCCTGGATTGTCATGACTCTTCATTGCTTATTGGGTAACACTCAAATGCCTTCTCCTGGTCGTATGAGTTTCCTGTGACTGCTGTAACAAATTACCACAAACTCAGTGACTGAGAGCAACACACACTTATTCTCACACAGTTCTGAAAGCCAAAAGTCCTAAATGTGTTTCACTGTGCTGAGAACAAGGTGTTGGCAGGGCTGTGCTCCCTCTGGATGTTCTAGGAGAGAACGCATTTCTGTGCCTTTTCCCACTGCTGGGCCTGTATTCCTGCGGTCCTTGCCTCATGCCCTTTCCACCACCTTCAAGGTGAGCAGCTCAGCATCTTTAATCCTCTCTGTCCAGGCTTCACATTGCCTTCTCCTCTACTATCAAACCTTTCCATCTCCCACTTATAAGGATGTTTGTGATTACATTTAGGGCCCGTCACCAAATCCAGGATAATCTCCTCATCTGCAAAGTCACATTTGCCATAGAAGGAAACATTCACAGGTTCCAGGGATTAGAGCCTAGATATTGTTGGGGACCATGGTTTAGCCTACCATGCCTGGCACTGAAGGCCTTTTCCCCCGACCAAAGTCAACATCTAATTCCCACCACTCCCCACAGCAGACTGCACACCACAGCCACACTGAGCTGCTCAGTTTTCTATTCAGAAAGTTTTGCCTGTTTCTGCTTCTGTGTCTGTGCTCTTGATTGTCTCTTTCTTTGGAATGGAAGTGCCTCCTTTCCTCCGTGGCTCCCTGTTCTCCCTGTTTGCCTTCGCTGGAGCAAATCCTCTGACTTGGGAGCCATCCCTGCAGCCTCACTGTCCCCTAGTGTGTGCAGTGTTCACTGGCCCCCCCCATGCCAGGATCCCCTCTCACATGGGACACGCTCCTTGTCTTCACATGGACAGCCTTTAGGAAATGCCACATAAAGTATTCCCATGGGAATGATAGTACAGGGAAGGGTTTCAGGTTGATTCCACAACTATGCTTTTGACACTCAACATATATTTATTATTCATTTAAAATACTTATGAAGTTCTTCCTCTGAGTCTGGCCTGATTCACATTGATGAAGATGTATGCCTTAGCCCTTAAGGAATTTAAGGCCTGGAGGGGATTAAACAATAATTGTGAGTCCCACCACTGCTGAGTCAGAGGAAGTTCAGGGTGCCATAAGATCATACACAGAGGGCCTATCTGGCCTCACAGTGGGTGAGAAGTGAGGGAAATTAATTTAGCAATTAGAGATTCTACTAAAAAGACAATCATAATATTATTATTCATAGCAAAGATCCACCTTCCATTTGCATAGTGCTTCTTATGAGGTGTGACCATAATGTAATAGAATGAGTTTTCTTATAAAAACCAAACATAACAAATTATATTACAGGGAATCTCAGCGTTGGGAAGGACCTTAAAGGTCATATTGTTCAACTTTCTTTCTGATGCAGCTCTTCCCTCTAAACTACACCTAATGCCTGTGCTTGCCTGAATTCTGCTTGAAAATCTCCAAGGAGTGTGGTTTTTCATGAAAGTCTCCTTGGATTTTATGTGTATGTTAGCGAATAGAAAGGAAAGAGGGTACCTTATACTTACTATCTGCATACGTACATATCAATATATAAAATTTGTGTATATATTGTATATATAGATATATCTGTATATATATATATGTATATGTGTGTGTGTGTGTGTGTAAAGCAATTGTGCTGCAATTCCAATTCTGCACAATTGTGGAAGTTCCAAAAATGTGTTGGAAAATTGCATTAATGTTAGAACCTATTGGGATGTATGTATATTCTCTCAAAGTGACTACTTTGACCAGGAACACATACATGCATACACAGGTCTGGAGGTATTTAAAAATTATTGTCTTTATAATTATTTCAAAATAATTTCACAGGGTAAGCATTCCCATGACGGCTCTTCCTTTTTTTCTAAAATGGAGATTTGTGCTGAAATGAGGGTGGTTTAGTAAAAAGACTGTGAGTCTCAGATGGACATGAGATCAAATCATGGCTCTTCTTCTTAGAAGCTACATGACCTTAAATACATTATTTAATATTTCTGAGTCTCAATTTCATCTGTAAAATGAGGCTAATATCATTTTCCTTATAGGACAGTTGCAAAAATAAATATGCCTAGCACATAGCAGAAACTCAAATTATTTTCTACTCTTTTATGAAGAAGTTAAGATGGGTCTTATGGCTAGTTTTGTGGTAAATAAAATAAGAAATAAGAATGTAAGACGATTTTTCTAGGGTTTCATAAACTTCTAAATACCAAGGCTGGGTTAGTTGTTTCTGACATGCCCTTTATTTTTCTCCATTGCAAAGGATGTACATGGTTTTTGTTTTATTAATGGAGAAATACAAATGTCTGCCTATGTGCACATGCACCTTTATCATCTCCTGACACGTTGCCTCACTTTTTGGTTATGTATATTCCCCTACTCAGTTGCCTGAGGAAGAATGTATTGGGACCTTCTCTTTTGGAATTGGAACCCATATCAGTTATCTTAGGAGAGAAGCATTTTTTAATAAGAGGGTACATCTTAAGATGTTTAGGATGCTTTGTGATACATGAAAGCTCACCTGAAGTTTGTCATTGTCATCTCTTTGACTTCTAACCCTGCAGTAGTTAGTTTTACTAAAAGGCTGCACCCAATTCCTCCACCTACATGTAATTCATCAAGCAAGCCCACATCACCCTTTGCTGTCATTGAGCGAATCAGATTCAGCATCAGAGATGAAAGGGTTGCTGTGTTATAAGTCATGATTCAGCCAGGGAATCAGAGTCATGGTAAGTGTGGGTAAGATGTTTATGATGGCAATTAGACCTTACACAATTGAGAAGGAACTGGGTAGCAGAGGTCCACGCAACGAGTTGGAGGAACAGAATATGAGTCAGTAGCCAATGGACAATCTGAGACTGTGTCCAGTCTCTGAAGTCAACCATAAAGGGGGCATCTTGGAGGACCATGGGAAATGTTGCTTCTATGCAGCTATAGCCTCTGTGGGTCTGCAGCCAGGTGTCTGATGATGAGCCTGAGTATTTTCTGGGTTACCAGATGTGTCACTTGAGGAGAGGGCTGAATGTGGAATGGAAAAGAGTGAGAAAAAAGTGAAACCCGTCAGGCAATTTGCATGTGTTTATCACTACATCTGACCATGGCAGCTTCAGAGAATATTGGTTGCTGTTTCACTCCTACCTTCCAGATCTTGTGCAAATTTTTCTTTTGGCCGACTCTAACTTGGAAATATATACAGAAGAAATTCTGGGATAAGTTGTTTCAGTTTAACCAAGTTGATGCAGAAGAATCCACCAGCATTGCTTACTGAAGAAGACAGAGCGAAAAGAGCTCTGCTGTATATATTCTTGTCCGCTTTCATCGATACTCAGCAGAAAGCACCCTGACCTTCTTGTGATGTAGTCTACCAAGAGGAAATTGCAATTTATTATTTTTCTTATTGTGGTAAAATTCACATGCAATTAAAGGCCAAGATCTCAAGTGCAATTCAATGAGCTTTGAAAAATACATATACAGTGTAATAAACACCGCAGTGAAATCTTGTAAGCTTTGAAACCAGGTAATGTAAGCTCTCCAAATGTATTTTTAAAAATGTTGTTTTGGCTATCCTAGGCCCTTTGTAGTTTTATGTAAATGCTGGAATAAATTTATTGATTTGTATAAAATGGCTGGTTGAAATTTTTCATAGGATTGCATTGACTCTATAGAAAATTTGGGGAGATTTGACATTTCAATAATATTGATTCTCCAATCTATCAACAGCTTATTTCTCCTCATTTATTTATTTTTTATCTCTATCAATAATATTTTGTAGCTTTTGATTCACAACTCTGGTACCTCTTTTGTTAATTTTATTCCTAAATATTTTTTGTTTCATAATGTTATTGTAAATGTTATTTTAAAATTTTATTATTCTAATTTTGCATATTGATATTTATATAGTGACTTTATATGCTGTGATCTTACTTTATTTACTTATAAGTTCTAATAGCTTTTTAAAGTATAAATTCTTTAGGATTTTCTATGTAAACTATAATAATATCATTGAATAAATGAAATTTCCTCATTTCTAATTTTTATGCTTTTCATTTATTTTTCAAGCTTTATTTTACTGGTTAGCAGTATAATGTAGGATAGATTTAGTTAAAAGGAACATTCACACTTCGTTTATGAAAGAAAGGGGAAGGAGTTCAATATTTCATTATTAAGTATGTTAATCAGGGGCTTTTTGTAGATGTCCTTTATCACATTAAGAAGAAGTTCTGTCTATTTCTACTTTGCTTAGAGTTTCAACTATGAATGGGTGTTGAGTTTTGCCAATTTTTTTTTTTTTTTTTTTTTTGAGATGGTGTCTTGCTCTGTTTCCCACTGGAGTGCAGTGGCACAATCTTGGTTCACTGCAACCTCTGCCTCATGGGTTCAAACAATTCTCCTGCCACAGCCTCCCGAGTAGCTGGGATTACAGGGGTACACCACCATGCCTGGCTAATTTTTGTATTTTTAGTAGAGACAGAGTTTTATCACATTGGCCAGGCTGGTCTTGAACTCCTGACCTCAAGCGATCCACCTGCCTCCGTCTCTCGAAGTGCTGGGGTTACAGAGGTGAGCCACTGCACTTGGCCCCAAATAATTTTTAAGATGATTATATATTGATATAATACACAGTTTTTCTTCTGGATTTTGTTAATATGATGGATCATATTGACTGATTTTTGAATATTAAAGCAATCTTGCATGCCTGGTATGAACCCCACTTGGAAGCTTTGTATAGTGCTAGGTTTAATTTGCTAATATTGTGTGAAAAGTTTTTGTGTTTATGCTCAGTCTTATTTGGCTATAATTTTTTTTAATTAAAGTGTATTTGTTAAGTTTTGATATCATAATTTGGTTGGCTTTGTAAAACAAGAGATGAAATGATCATTCTTTATTTTCTGAAGTAGTTTATGAATTATTATATTATTTTTTCTCTATGCCATAGAACTAATAGGCCATTTGGATTTTCTTTATGGTTATGAATTTCACTTTAAAAGAAAACTGCATATGGACTATTTTTATGTTCTATAATTTTGTATCAGTTTTATAAAATTGTGTTTTCAAGGATTTTGTTCATTTCATCTAAGTTGTTAAATCTAGAGGCATAAAGTTATTACAATATTCTTTATTATTCTTTTTATGTCTGTAGGATCTGTAGTGATATCCCCCTTTTTATTTCTGATGCTGGTAATTACTATATTCTCTTTTTTTCCTGATTGATTTTGCTCAGGTTTACTCAACTTTATTAACAATTTAAAGAACCGTGTTTTGTTTTGTTTTTTAATTTATTTTGGGTTTAATTTTCTCTTTTTTTCTACCTTTTTATACTGGAAACTTAGATCACCTATTTTCAAAGTAATAAATTCCCTCCTACCACCATTTGAGAGGTATCATACAAATTTTGACATGTTGTGTTTTCATTATCATTTAGTTCAGTACAGTTATGTCTCAGTATACATGAGGACTTGGTTCCAGGATTCTGGAGTACAACAGAATCTGTGCGTACTCAAGTCTTGCAGATATATACAGAAAGTTTGCCCCCATATACGTGAGTTTTGCATCAAGAGAATATTGTATTTTTACCACATTGGGTTGAAAAGAAATTTACGTATAAGTGGACCCCTGCAGCTCAAACTCATGTTGTTCAAGGTTTAACTGTATTTCCTGACTTCTCTTATTAGTTATACTGTGCTCCATGAATTATTTAGAAGTATGTTGCTTAATTTCCAAATATTTGAGCATTTCTGCGTACATATAGTTAGTATTTTTGTACTTAATCTTTTGTTGTCAGAGAACATGTGTAAGATTTCAATCTTCTGAAATGTATTGAAACTTATTTTACATATGTTTACAACATATGGTTTGTATGTGCTACACATGTATATATGTTATACCATATATGCCTGAAAATATGTCTATTCTATAGTTTTGGGGTTATAGTGTTTTGAAAATTTCAGTTATATCAAGGCAGTTTATATTGTTGTACAAACCTTTGTATTTCCTTTTTGACTTTTTTTCTAGTTATTCTAATAATTTCTGAGTGAGGGATTTAAAAATCTCCAGCTATAACTGTGTATTTTTCTGTTTCTTTCTTTATTCATGTCTTTTCCTGCTTTGTGTATTTTGAAGTTCTAATATTACAAGCACACGCAGTTCTAGGATTGTCATATCTTCCAAAAGAAATAATCTATTTTTACTATTGTGATATATCTCTGTCTTTGGTAAGATTTCTTGTTGTCTCTTTTGTCTGATATCAATATAACCACACAAGGTTTCTTATGATTACTATTTGTGTGATTTATCTTGTTCCATCCTTTTACTTTCAACCTATCAGGGTCATTGTATTTACCATGCATGTCTAGTAGACAGGATGTAATTGAGTCTTTTTTTTTTCCTATACAGTCTGAAAATCTATGCCCTTAACTGGAGTTTGGTGCATTTGCTTTAAATGTAATTATTGATGATCCTGGATTTAATGTATCATCTTGCTATTTACTGACTGTTTGCCTCATCTTCTTTGTTTCTGTTTTTCCTTTTCTGCCTTCTTTTGAATTCACCAAATTATTTTAGTATCCAATTTAATTTTTTCTATTGGCTTTTTAGCTTTACCTCTCTATTTTTCATAGTCATTCTAGGAAGCACTAGGAAGTCCTTACCTTTTTACAGTCTACTTAGAGTTAATATTGTACCTTATAATATAAAATGTAAAAATCCTATAAGAGTGTAATTCCATTTACCCTCACTTTTTCTAGTACTGCTTTCATATATTTTACTCTGAAATGTGCTAAAACCATAAAATACATTTTATGCTGTGAAAGCCAATTGTTTATAAAAGAAATTAAGAGAAGAAAAAAATATTATTTTTATCCGCATATTTACCTATTCCTGAGCTCTTCATTCTTTCTTGCATATCAGAAGTTCCCTTCTTTTGTTCCAAGAGCTTCCTTCGAGTATTACATCATGGAGGCCTGCTGAACATGAATTCTTTCAGTTTTCACCTATCTAAAAATTATTTTATTTTCACCTTGAAGATTATTTTTGAAATCTATAAAGTTCTGGGCCAATTGTTCTTTTTTTTTTTCTTTCAGCACCACATATAATTCATTCATTTATCTTCCAGCTTTCATTATTTATTTATTTATTTATTTATTTATTTTTTTTGATCATTCTTGGGTGTTTCTCGCAGAGGGGGATTTGGCAGGGTCATAGGACAATAGTGGAGGGAAGGTCAGCAGATAAACAAGTGAACAAAGGTCTCTGGTTTTCCTAGGCAGAAGACCCTGCGGCCTTCCGCAGTGTTTGTGTCCCTGGGTACTTGAGATTAGGGAGTGGTGATGACTCTTAACGAGCATGCTGCCTTCAAGCATCTGTTTAACAAAGCACATCTTGCACCGCCCTTAATCCATTTAACCCTGAGTGGACACAGCACATGTTTCAGAGAGCACAGGGTTGGGGATAAGGTCACAGATCAACAGGATCCCAAGGCAGAAGAACTTTTCTTAGTACAGAACAAAATGAAAAGTCTCCCATGTCTACTTCTATCCACACAGACCCGGCAACCATCCGATTTCTCAATTTTTTCCCCACTCTTCCCGCCTTTCTATTCCACAAAACCGCCATTGTCATGATGGGCCATCCCCAATGAGCCGCTGGGCACACCTCCCAGACGGGGTCGTGGCCGGGCAGAGGGGCTCCTCACTTCCCAGTAGGGGCGGCCGGGCAGAAGCGCCCCTCACCTCCCGGACGGGGCGGCTGGCCGGGCGGGGGGCTGGCCCCCACCACCTCCCTCCCGGACGGGGCGGCTGGCCGGGCAGGGGGCTGACCCCCCCTCCCCCCTCCCGGACGGGGCGGCTGGCTGGGCAGAGGGACTCCTCACTTCCCAGTAGGGGCGGTTGCCAGGCAGAGGGTTTCCTCACTTCTCAGATGGGGCGGCCGGGCAGAGACGCTCCTCACCTCCCAGACAGGGTTGCGGCCCAGCAGAGGCGCTCCTCACATCCCAGACAGGGCGGCGGGGCAGAGGTGCTCCCCACATCTCAGACGATGGGCGGCCGGGCAGAGACGCTCCTCACTTCCTAGATGGGATGGCGGCGGGGAAGAGGCGCTCCTCGCTTCCTAGATGGGATGGCGGCCGGGCAGAGACGCTCCTCACTTTCCAGACTGGGCAGCCAGGCAGAGGGGCTCCTCACATCCCAGACATGGGCGGCCAGGCAGAGACGCTCCTCACTTCCTAGACGGGGTGGCGGCCGGGCAGAGGCTGCAATCTCGGCACTTTGGGAGGCCAAGGCAGGCGGCTGGGAGGTGGAGGTTGTAGCGAGCCGAGATCACGCCACTGCACTCCAGCCTGGGCACCATTGAGCACTGAGTGAACGAGACTCCGTCTGCAATCCCGGCACCTCGGGAGGCCGAGGCTGGCGGATCACTCGTGGTTAGGAGCTGGAGACCAGCCCGGCCAACACAGCAAAACCCCGTCTCCACCAAAAAAAAACCAAAAACCAGTCAGGCGTGGCGGCGCGCGCCTGCAATCGCAGGCACTCGGCAGGCTGAGGCAGGAGAATAAGGCAGGGAGGTTGCAGTGAGCCGAGATGGCAGCAGTACCGTCCAGCTTTGGCTCGGCATCAGAGGGAGACCGTGGAAGGAGACCGTGTGAAGGGGGAGAGGGAGAGGGAGAGGGAGAGGGAGAGGGAGAGGGAGAGGGAGAGGGAGAGGTCATTATTTCTTATGAGAAGTTAGTCATCATTAATATTGTTGTTCTACTATATGCAATGTATGTTTTTCCCCACTGGCTTCTTTAAATATTTTTTGTTTATATTTAGGCTTCAGTAATTTATATATAATGCATTAGGGGTTTTAAAAAAATTCTACATCTGGTGCATCAAAATCTCAGAAATCACCACTAAAGAACTTATCCATGTAACGAAAATCCACCTACACCTACAAAAACTATTGAAATAAAAATAAAATTCTACGTTGGGTTCATTGACTTTAAATTTGAAGGTCAAATTCTTGGCTTATTTGAAAATGTTTGGTTATTATTTAAACATTTTTTCTTCCCTTTTTCTCTCATCTTTTGGAAATTAACTATGGGTATATTACAACACTTAAGATTTTTTTCACAGAACACTAAATTTCTGTTATTTCTATTTATTAAAAAGTCTTTCTCTCTCTCTCAGTTTAAATACTAAATAGGGATATGTACAAGCTCACTGACTATCTCCTCTGCCATCTCTTATTTGTGTGAAGCTCATTCAGCACATTTTATTTCAGATATTGTAATCTCACTATTAGAATGTCCATTTAATTTTTAAAATGTCTTCTGAGACTTCCAAGTACTCAGTTATATTTACATTATCTTTTAATATTATATTTTCTTTTGACATGTTGATGATAGCTATTTTAATGTTCTTGCTTGCTAATTCCAATGGGGCCATCTTAGGGTCTGCTTCTATTGGCTATTTTTTTGCATTCTAGTAATTTGTTATTGTATGGTAGACCCTGTAGGTGATACATTGTAAGGAGTCTGGATTACCTTGTCCTTTTTAAAAGAAAGCTGAATTTTGTCCTGGCAGGCAGTTAAATTGTTGGCAGATCTTTTTGAACCTGTTAGGATTGTTTTTATTTGGATTAAATGGGTCAAGTTCAGTTTTATCCTTAGCCCTAGGATGTGGCTCTTTCTTCAGGGCATGGTTCTTACTCCTAAGTGGAGACCTTTCTGAAGTCTCAATGGAATGTCCAAGGCTTACCATAAGGTCTCTATACTCACCTCCTAGAATTATGCAAACTCTAGGATCTTCATTTAGCTCTAAGGCCCAGAGCATCCATTCTCTGCTAGGCCTTGAGCCTTTCACCACTTGAGGTAGCTTCTCTCTGCAGCTCTCTCCCGTTCTTTACCCTGTCACTCAAATTCAAGGAGTTTTAGTAGTTCTGAATGCTGATGTCTGTTTCCAGGTCTCATATGGGCTCACGTGCTCTGCTTGAGCTCCTCTTTCCTGTGTCACCATCTAAAAAGTATCCTTGGTCAGAAAGCTTAATACCTCCTCTGAAGACTGATAATATACATCATCTTCCTGGACCAGTCTACAAGTGAGGGACAGTGAATATTTTGAATGGCAGCTTTTAGGTAAGCAGAGAATATGCAATGGGGGTGCATAAATAAGTTTCCTGGAAGCCATTTGTTTGAGGAGCTAAGGTCTTTATGTTGCTCAACTGGCTGAATCTCAGGGGTACAGGTAAGTGTGGACTAATGATAGAATGAATGTTAGAAGAGATTTATCACCTAATATGTACCTGAATGCTGCAACATTAAAAACAAAACTATTAAAGTTATTTTTAAAGACAAAGAGGTTAGGATTGCTTCTTTAGTTTTCAGCAACTGTAAGGTAACCTGTTTAAATAATTAGGGTGGAGGTATAAGTTCATTCTCTTTTGACTAGTAGGCCATCAAGTGGCCAATGGATTGCAACCGTTCCCAGAGATCCTATATTTTTAAACTAATTCTCTTCTGGATTTGAACAACTTATATTTCAACTGCTTCCAAATTCTTTAAAATATTTTGGTCACCAGCTTGTTACAGGTGCTGAATCTCTTGCTCCACATAGGTCACTCATGGGTGAATGCAACATCTGCAATATTTGCTTACTGGAGAAAAATCATTTACATTCAGAGGTCTCGGTTGCTACAAACATAATTCTGGAAGTAGATCATACATTCCATTTAGCTACTTTGATTCCCTGTGGAAAAAAAAAGGTGTTGAGCTCTTCATCTATATCTTCATTATATCACATTTTATCTTTTATTATGTTTTGATGTAAGATATCTTGTTTGTTTATCTGTTGTTTATTGTCTTGTTTTCTCTGCTGTAATGGTAAGATCTATTAGAACAAAATCCTTGTAGATTTTATCCCTCTTTGGAGTTTAGAATTGGAAATAGTATTTTCTCAGTAATAATTTTTATACATATATCTCATCTTTTCTTGACAGATAACAAATCCTCAAAGAGAGATAGAGTCTTACTCATCTCTAACATGTGCTTGACTGTGGAAGACTGCCAATTAATAATGATTGAGTGATTTGCTAAATAAATAAAATCTCTGAACATTGCAGTTAATGTTAGTAAGTATTAAAGTTGAAATAGTGCTTGAACGTTCAGCAGTGAGAGAAGGAGGCAAGGTCCAGACCCTGGAAGGGAAGGGAATATATTCCATTTTGTGAAGATTCCTTCCTGGCTATGGTCAGCAGCCACAAAATTCCCCCTGGTAATTTCTACAGAAACACTGACACTGACTCCAGACAGTATGTATTTGCATTATGGAGGTCAGGGACTGGAAGTTAGGATTTTGCCATCTTTTCTTGGCTCTGTTACGCTGTCTTTGCACAGCATGACCTTGTAGAATCATAGCATCTTTGTGCTATTTTGTCCCTATGGAGATAAGAGAGCAGAAAAGAAGAGCTTTTTTCCCCCTTCCCACATAAGTGTTTGTTTTTAGCCTCATGAATTTGCTAGAGTGCTTAGATACCAAGGTGACAGATGTCAGAGAAAATGTGACAGCAAAATAACTTTTAGGAAGATATATGGAAGTGAAGTGTATTTCTTGAGGGGTGTGGAGTGTGGGGTCTGGAATAATTTAGTGAAAAGTTGGGAGATCTTTTTATGAATTTAGTAGACAAGTTTAGTCCTGATTCAGATAGGATCTTGGCCAAGGTCAAGGGAATGAGGTAGTTCTAATGGGCATTGATCAGAGTCACCCCATAGGGGTCTTAGGTAAGGCATGAATGGCAGAAGCTGAAGCCAGAAAGAATTAGAATTGAATGTGCCACCTGTCTCCCCCTAACACAATTGGCCTGTTGCGGTGATTGCTGTTCCAAAACAGAGAAGCTGCCTCCAAAGGTGTCACAAATCACAACATGCTACTCCAGCTCAAGCATTCTACTGTTTCATTTTTTTTTGTTATAGTAGCAAATAATATTGCTGTGGACAACCAAAGAGATATAGTCTTTCATTTATTTATTTTTGGGCTTCTTTGTTACCTGTGTGTAAGGTTGGGGGGACAGGGAGTAGAGATGATAATGAGGATGGTGGAAAGGCTTAGGGAAGAGACTGGAGGAGTGTGAAGCCTATCTTCATTTTTCTAACCTCTTCATTTGTAGCCACGTCATGAGAGAGAGGTACTGAGAGCAATACAGAGTTGCCATAACAACTAATAAACTGTAATTTGTCAAAGGAGGGGGAATGGAGTCAAGAATACCAAAAACAAACACAAAAAACAAGAAAGGGGGGGTGGGGAGAGAGAGATTTAAGAAAGGGAAGACTGAGTTTTCAGTGAACAGTGAGATGAATGTAAAAGTGTGTTTTAGACTGCCTTAGTGGGGAATATATGATAATGAATTAAAATATAGAAGGGGAGATGAAGAAAATGACAACCATTCATGTAAGGATATATTTTAAAACATGGAAGTTCTCAAAATGAAAGAATTGATTTGAGATAGCAAACTAGGGGAATCTCACACACACACACATACACTCTCTCTCTCCAGAAGAGAAGGAGCCTGGGACCATCATGCAAGGCCAAATTGATGTAGATGATTTTCACGTTGAGATTTCTAAGGGTGCTCTCCCATGATTGAACTGAGGCATTGTATGTGGGGATGGTAGCATTGTGTCTCCATGGGTCAATGCCTTTTAATGTCCTACCCTTCACCTCACAGACCACAGATCCACACCATCATCCCTGCCCTTCCAGTTGACTGAAGAAATAAACCAGCAAGAGGCACAGAGCAGGGATTCCAGGAAGATGGGATGGGAGGCAGCAGGGACACCTGACGGCTTCTCCCAAAGCCTGGGCTGGGAGGTCCAGAGTTAAGGGCAGTAGTGCAGTCATTCATTCAACAGATATTTTTGGAGTCCCAAGTTTCAGTTATATGTGGGACACAAGGTGCAGAAAAATGATCCATGACAATGGTGAAGCTGAGGTTGTGCTTGTGTCCATAACTGAGAAT
This sequence comes from Homo sapiens, assembly GCF_000001405.40. Lineage (NCBI taxonomy): Eukaryota > Metazoa > Chordata > Mammalia > Primates > Hominidae > Homo > Homo sapiens. The sequence continues at coordinate 131,089,498 of NC_000011.10, forward strand.
GAAATGTAGGAAGCAAGGTAGAGAAGGAAACTCATTGTCTCTATACTCTATCCCCAAGCTCTACTGGGAGCCAGAGAGGGAGTGACCCCACGATGGCTGGCCAAGAGCAGGAGATGGATGAAGAAGCTGAGGGATGTTTCTCAGGAAGAAGAGTAACAGGCATATTTTCACGTAGTAAAAGGATTATGGTGTCTGAAACTAGGGGTCAAAGTCTCCAGTGATCAAACTGCTTCCCTCAATCTGCTTCTCTCACCTTCAGCAAGGAACACATGGATCCTTTTTGCTGCTGAGTTGAGCCCACCTTCTCCTTTGTGAGCAGGGAGGATCTTGGTCCCCTTATTGGGCTTGGCAACTGCGCCTCAGAGCAGAATAAGACTGATGAAGTATGGCTGTGCCTGTTTTCCATTAGAAACATTAGCAAACTTGACTACAAAAGGCCACCTTGCAGAACAAAAAACTTGCAATGTGCAAAGTACAATGAAAATCTCCCAGCTGCCAAGACAGGGGACCTTACAGAAGATAGAGCATAAAAGAGATTCTGCACAAAACAAAAGTCAGAACACAATGGTATACATTTGAAGCACATGAAAGGCTGTGTGGCAGCAATACTAAAGAGACATGATTTTCCTACAGAACAGGGGCAGAGGAAGAGCAGAAACCCAATCAGCCAATACGATTGTGGCAGAGAAACAGATCTGGTCCTGTAAAGGGAGAGGGGGGAGAAAGCTTATTTTTTATGAATTAATCTCCAGTTGGTTTTCATAAGTTGTTCAGAAACAAGTGAGCACATGAATAATACATACTGTACACAGGCCCAAAAACACAGAGCTATCTCCAGTTGAGATTGTGAAAATGAAGACATTTTGAGAAAGATAATTGAGTAAATCGACCAGAAGGAAGGCATCTTAAGGTAGAGGCATGAGTAGCAGCAGGGAACAGACACCCCAAGGGGAAAATGTATATTTCTAATTTCCCCAATTAGCTTGCAGATTCCTGGAGAGCTGGGATAATCTTTTCAACTTTAACAGAATTATATGTTCCCAGGTTATATAAAATAACACTTTGCCTGTAGTAGGTGCTAAAAATATTAATAGATAAATTAATTCAATGTTGATGTGGTAATAAATTTGACTGATAATTATGGTATCATTGGTATGGAAATAAAAAAGTAGAAATCTATGTTCCTGGGACCGACATTGATAAGGATGAGGCGCCCGTTAGTTGCATAGATGAATAAATAAATCCAGGGATGATGTGCTTTCAGTGATGTTTTATGTGGTGGTACAATTCATTGATTAGCCAACCAACCTCAAAGTGGCATACCTGCTTTATCTAATGACTGCAATACTGAGCTGAAGTTAGAGGTCCTGCTCAGTGCTTCCACAGAACAATAGTCCCACAAGAAGCTCTGTGGAAAAAGAATTCCATGGTCAATTAAGCTTAGGAAATGCTGCTTTCTATATTCCTCTCATTATCATTTAAAAGGCTCAGAGAAATCCTACAGTAAATTGCCCTGTTGAACCTTGTTAATCTGATACTTTCCAAACTAAGTTGACTATGGAAGATTTTCTTTTTCTTTATTTCCATCTTCTTCTTTTAACAATATCCATTAGCCTCTTTCAAAACTAGCTTTCTATGAAGTGAACTGTGATGGTTAACATTAGGTGCCAGCTTGACTGGGCTAAGGGATGCCCAGATAGCTGATAAAGCATGATTTCTGGGTGTGTTTGTGAGGGTGTCCCTGGAAGAGATTAGCATTCCATCAGTGGACTGGGTAAGGAAGATCCACCCCCACCAATGTGGGCAGGCACCATCCAATCTGTTGAGGGATCAAGTAGAACAAAAAGGTAGAAGCATGAATTATCTCTCCTTTCTTAAATTGGGACATTAATTTTCTCCTACCCTTGGACACCAGAGCTCCTTGTTCTCTGGCTTTCAGATTCCAAGATTTATACCAATTCTCCCCAGATCTCTGTTGTCAGGCCTTTGGATTCAGGATGAATCACACTACCAGCTTTTGTGGCTCCCCAGCTTGCAGATGGCATATTGTGGGACTTCTCAACCTCATAACCACATGAGCCAATTTCCATAATAAACCTCCTCCTATAGATCTCTATATATCCTATTGGTTCTTTCTCTGGAGAACCCTGACTAAGACATAAGGAACCCTGATTTTGTTGTAATGATCAGAGTATTCACCAAGTGCCTTCCATGTTCTAGGAATAGGGGTGAGACTAGAAAGGGTGACTAACATGCAGCTCCTTCTGTTAGGGAGCTTGGGATCTTGCAGAAGAGACAAACCATCATCCATTCACAACCATGCCCATCTCCTCTGACCCTGATCATAGGCTGTGTTCCTTCTGAAGTAGAGCCCAGGTGTGACCCAGCAGGATCTTTTCACTCCACCCACTCCAACGCTACATTTCATGTGCCTCCTTTGCATGGATCATTTCCTCTATTCCTAAGCCAAGCAGCCTTGGGCCCCAACCATGCCCACTGTGAGTGCATGAGGGAAGCTCTGTGCATCTTCTCCACTGAGGCAGCCCCCTCCTGCAAGCTGTTTTCAACGCAGAGGCCCCAGAACAATTGTTACTGTTATTCACAGATCTCTCAGATTTTCTCACACCATAGCTACTGGACAGAGAAACATGAAGTGTCTTTCCACAACTCAAAGTGGATACGAGGGTCTTCTCCGGGGAACTCTGGCTGCCAAAGTTCTCTGGAAATGGTCACATTGACGCTGTTGTGTAGCTACTTTCAGAGCGAAACCTCACAATGAATGAGCCTATACTCTTGAGTCTCTAACAGCAGCCTGGGCTATGGTAGGTGAGGTTGCTATTATTTTCTTACTGTGGAGAAGTTATCTTGAGTATCAGTAACAGAGGGCTGAGCCCATGGAGCATGTAGAGTATGCCATCAGCCAATGAGATTAGATGATTCCAGTACTGCACTTACTCTCCAGTACGTGGCAATGCAGTCTTGATGGCTACTGAGTGCTTGCTGCCATATAAAATGAGACTGACACATCCATGCAGAGGGCAGCCACTGCTTCTCCTCCGGGAGGTTTGTAGTGATGGGGAGGAGTCTGCTGCTTCTATTAAAGTTAGTTATTTTCATTTCTGGCCCATTTCTTCATTATCTCCCACTACACACCCACACACATCTGCTGTACACTTCCATCTTACTCACCCTGGTCCCACCCCGAGACCTGCAGCAGAGTTTCAAGATTGGACAGTTGTAGATTCATCGGGTTTGCTACTATGGGACTCTGAGTAGATTAACTTTTCTGAGTCTCCAATTCTCTATCTGGGAGGTGAAGATGATTTCACTTATTGCATAGACTATCAGGTAATTTAATGAGCTGCCAAAGTACAGAGATCCTCCTCCATAGCAAGCGCTTAGTAGCTAGTTTCCTCATTCTCCTCAATTTTCCTCCAATAGAAGTCCACAATGTTGGAAATATTTTATATACATGCTGTCTGGCATGGAAGCTACTTAGACCCAAGTGGCTAAGTAGCATTTGAGATGTGGCCAATGCAACTGAGGTACTGAAATTTCAATTTTATTTAGTTTTATTAATGTGAATAGATGCATACGGCTAGTGGATACCATATTGGTCAGCACATCACTATATAATTTAACTATTAGTTCTTCATACTCAGCACTTCCAGAAGATGAATTAGAGCTCAATCTGGTGTGTGTGTGTGTGTGTGTGTGTGTGTGTGTGTGTGTGTGGTGCGGGGGTGGTCAATGGCCCTGCAGGGTTTGAAGCCAGCATGAACCGTAGAGAACTTCTAGAAATAGGGCCAGGAAAAGAGTGCCTGCCATGCCTCTCTGCCTCTGAGGCCTGGGGAGAATTCACACACCCATCTAACCAGGGATATACCTCAGGAAATGGAGACTGTGTCTTGGTGGAATTTCAAACACACTTGAGCTTGAAGAAGATGTTTATATATGCTAGAGATGTTTCAAAAATCTTGCCACAAAAATGTAAAGGGACCGTCAGACTCCATCTTACTCTATTCCATACAATTGTATCCACCTTTCCAATCGCTGGTCCAAAGATGAAATAACAATATTTGCCAACAAGATTTTAGAGCCTTGCCAATTAACAGAGAACACTACCTAACCCCATATGAAGACACTTCTCTCTTAGATGTAAGCTAAATTTATAAATGTCAAGGTCTTCAAAATGTTAAAACCATTAGAGATAGAGAGTTGGGGAACTGGGGGGGAAGGAGAATGTAAATTTGGTGAAAAATTAGAATATCATGCAATATTTATTTTTGTAGTGCAATTTACATATCTAAAATCATTTTGCTAAGAAGAAACATAAAATGTATTATGTATAACTTGATTTGCTCATAAAATTATCATTTAGGTAAAATTAGAGACATGAAGAACTGGAAAGACAAAATGGAAAAAATAGGAAAGAACAGATTTTTTTTTAACTGATTCATTTTCTTTATATATTTATTTAACAAAAACATGAAGGGGGGCATGGGTAAAGTTCCTTCTGAAATACTTTCTTTCTCTTTCTTTCTTTCCTTCCTTCCATCTTTCTACTTTCCCTCTTCTTCTTTTTCTTTTTCCTTCCTTCCTTCCTTGCTTCCCTTCCCTTCCTTCCATCTTTCCACTTTCCCTCTTCTTCCTTTTCTTTCTTTTTCCTTCCTTCCTTCCTTGCTTCCCTTCCCTTCCTTCTTTCCTTTACTTCTCCCCCTGCCTCTCTTCCTTCCTCAGTTCCCTCCTTCCTTCCTTCCCTTCCTTCCCTTCCTTCCTTCCCTCCTTCCTTCCTTCCCTTCCTTCTTTCCTTTCCTTCTCCCCCTGCGTCTCTTCTTTCCTCAATGCCTTCCTTCCTTCCTTCCTTTGTTCCCCTCCACCTCTTAGGTCTTTACTTAAATCATTCCCTTTTTGATCTAAGCCCCCTTTGTTGTTAAGGCCCTGCAGTGAGAATAGCTAGCTGCCCTTTTCCTTAAACCACACCCTCAAGTTAGAGTGCTTTTGAGACTTCTCAGGTGTCTCTCTTTTACAGCAGAGCATTGCAAATTCTTCCCCACTCCATGCCTGGTCAACTCCTTCAATTTCTTGCCAGTCTTTCCCCCTGCTCTCAAGCCCAGGGTCCCACAGGCATGGGGGAGCTGGAGTTGCCAAGTGTATCTCCATTTGGCTTCTGTGTGGGCCCACGGATCGGCCATTTGGTCTGGGCCTATTCTGGTTGGTGGCTGGGGCAGTGCTTTGGTTCTCGCCATTCACTGTGGAAAGAGAAGGAGTTGGGTGGTGAGGAACACAGCTCTAATCAGGGCCCATTTCTCCTAACTGCTCACAAAGTGCCCAGCACTGCCCTAAGCACTTCATATCCATTTCCCCATTTAATCTCCCCCAAACTCTAACATTGCAATGCTATAATTATTCTATTTCATGGATAAAATGTGGGTTATGGAAAATTAAATCACTTGCCTGAGGTCACACAGCTGGTAAACTGCTAAGCCAGGCCCTTAAGCCTGCATTCAGACCCAGCCTGCTTGACTCCAGTGTCTGGCCTGAAAAGCCACCCAATAGTGCCTTAACAACCACCAGCGGCTTCTATTTCCCCAGGGCTTTATGGCTGAAAATGTCTCACACACACTGACTTATGTGATTCCTGTGCAACAAGGTTAATAAGGAAGATATGGGACAACTAGTGTTCCCATTTTAGAGATGTGTGGACAGTCAGAGGTCAAAGTCCCTACTCAGAGTCATATAGTAAACGGTGTTAAAGCAGGTATTCTGACCAAAAATCTATTTTCTTCTCCACACAACGTTGGGTATGAACAAAGGGAACTGTCTTTGGAACGATGTGCACACACCCGTATGCAAACTTTTCAGACCTGATGCTAGTGCGTGGGGCTGAGGGAGGGTAGGAAGGCTGGCCCAGCTGAGGGAATGTCTACCACTGTCCTGATACAAAATTTACCACAAGCATTGAGAGACATCGAGAGAGAAGGCTTCTGGCTTTTCTTGCTGTTTTTGTTTATTTGTTTCTCCTTTTAAAAATCTTTTTTATGAGGCTGCCATAAAAACACTCATTAGGCAGTGTTGATTTTCATTAATGTTGATTCTCCAAGAGCTTAATCAATCTTCTGTGACCAATGACCTCATTCCCCTGGGAGAAGAAAGCTGTTTAACGAATTAGCTTTACAGGTTGTAGGTAAGGCATTCAGATGTGAGGTAGCCCGTGTCGCCAAAACAGGATGTGGATCAGTGGTTTAATATGCACAAAAACAATAGCATTAAACAGTCTCCTTGCTGATTCCAAAACGCATCATTAGGAAGCAGCTGTCCTCCTTCCCCTGTTGCACCTGCATCCCTCCTCACTCTCCTTCCTCGTGCTCACTTTTACCTCTGTGAAGTCTGAGCTTGGAAAGCACCTAGAGGCAGCAGCACATCTGAAGTTGGTAGGAGGAAACAAATCACAGATGCACGAGGGATGCGGGAGGGGAGACGAGCACAGCTATGAGTGTGGATGGGAGCCTAGCAACTGCTCTAGGAGCTCTCATTATTCCAAGGCAACTAGAAGAACTTCCTTCCAGACAGTATCCTCGCCCAGGTGTTCCTCGCCAAAAGTTCCATTGTTTATAGGGGCTACGTGCTTTGGGTTAAATTATCATGTCCTCTCCAGGTGGCCTTTTCAAAGGCAGATATTTGGTGGCTAGGTAGCCCAGTCAGTCTGGAAGAAGCCCTAGAGGTCCGAATGAAAGGGAGTCATGGACCTTGGGACAAAGGCTGGGCAAAAACAGCATTTCCCTACATCTCAGTTTGGCTCATGGCTGTGTCTGGTGGCAGCAACTCCCCGCCACAGGCCATGAGGTGTCTGCAGTTGGTGCTGACCGGCTGGTTTTCGCTGTGCTGAACAGCTGAAAGGGGTCATGGGTCCTTCCTCCACCAGACCCTAGGGGCCTGGAGCCCGGCAGCTCAGGGAGCCAACTATGCTTGGGCACTAGCGCTTTCACTTCCAGAGCTCCTTCCCAGTGAGCAGCTGGTTTTATTTTCTTAACATTCCTGTGGGACAAGCAAGGACAAGAAGGGACAGAGTTATTGTTCTTAAGTGCTGAAGAAGAAGGGGCTCAGAGACATAATAATCTGACCATGCCTCCACAGTGGCAGAGGCAGGAGCCTGGAAGCACATCTCTTCTGAGGGGAGAAGGCAAGGTGAGTGAAGCTCTTTCTTCGGGAGACTGGCTGGTGGGGTGGGGTGAGACATCCTGCTGGCTCTAAGTGCCCTTCCCTTTCTGGCTTCTGACCTTGTCCCCTTGGACTTGGGCACTGAGCTTGCTGCCCAGCTGAGGTTCAGATGAGTGGCACGTCTGTGTGCCCCTTTAGGGTCTCTCAGAACAGGACAAATGTATGCCCTGCTTTCCACCTGAGGCTGGCCTTTGAAATGCCCTAGCCTTTCTTCTAGCCTCACATCTCCTAGAGATGTGGGGAGGGGCACCTGGAGATGCTTGGAGCCCCATCCATGCAACTCTCCTCCTTGCCTCAGCCATGTCCCTGGATGGCCTGGCTTATACAATCAGGAGCCTCCTCCCTCAGCCTCCTGCTCAGCAGCCTGCAGTGCAGTCACATGTCCAAAATCAGGCCACTGTTGTCAGCTCTGCAGCCACACGCCACTGTGTGTCAGCCCCAGCCTGGCTGCAGAATCCTGCAGAATGGGTTGCAGTCCTGGGGTGAGAGAGATCACAGACACAGGTCCCTGTAAATTCACTCTGGTGGTGCAGGAAGCTGGTGAGACCACCAACTTTCTGTTGGCCTCTTTTCACTTAGTTAAACTGATCAAATACATTTTGAGTACCTACTACATACAAAGTCCATTAATAGGCCCCGGGGATGGGGGCAGACCAACAAGAGTAAGACAGTCCCTCACCGCAGTGAGCTTTCTTGTTCCGCGTGGAGGCCCTTTTGCCTGTGGCTTTTATGGATCTAGGGCATTTGATAGCCTCTGTGTTTCCTGAAGTGGTAGCCCTCCCATTAGTTCTGTGTCTCCCATCCTTTACTCTTAGTGTACTAGCTATTCAATAGGATCCACCACTGTGCCCAGTGCTGAGTTGGTCCTTAATAATAATTGATGAGCGACAGATAAATGGACCTCTCTGGTAGAGCCACAAATATACCCCTGTGTAGCTCCTGGGAAGAGGATCCCTATTGCTCATCTGCTGCCATGTCTTGAGCGCCTACTGCGTGTGAAGCATGTGCTAAATGGTGTGGATAGGCCATCTCTAACCTTCACAACAGTGCTATCCCCAGTTACAGATGAGGAAGGGAAAATGCAGAAAGTTAACTCATTGGTGTAGGATTATAATCAGAAACAGCCCAGTTCAGGATTCAAGCTCATACTTTCAGACTCCAGAGCCATGGTCTGTCCCCCACTGGTTGTGACCAGGCCTAAACAATAGGTAGGATGAGTTTCTACCTATTGGTTATTATATAAGAAAAGTCAAGCAGGGAAGGTGAAGTCACAGCCCAACTGCCCACTGGAACAGTGACATCTTGATCACTGTTTCAGATCACTACCCAGGAAAAGCTGTAACTCATGGGATAAATCAGGCTCCAATCTTCCCCTGAGGCTCTGGGAAGCCTTAAGCCAAGGACTTGCACTTACCGTCTAGGGGATCAAGGGTGCAAGATAGTGTAGAAAACAGCCTTGCAGGCTGTCTCCTCAGACTGGACTGAAACTGGCATTCAAATACTTCCCAAAGATTGCAGAACTGCTCCCCAAGAGCAATGACTTTCAGCTGCAGCCATCCCTTGGGCTGGAAGTGAGGCAGTGACTTCAAGGTGAAAGTCTCCATATCCCATTACCAATCCAATTACCTGGCACTTGCAGGTTAGATGGGAACTGCCAGACCGGAACCCAGCCATGGATCATTTAGACCTGTGTCTTGTCTCTGACAGTACTCAGGGCCGAGCGTCTCACTCAGGTGCTTCTTATTGTCAACCTGCCGACACACCAGCACACTTTCCCTTAAATGAGGGAATAGAGCTGGTAATGGGGATGATGAGCAGCAAGAAACCCACTCTATTACCAATGCTCCCACCCAGCCCCAGCCCCAGCCTGTATCCCTGGATTCATTAGTTCATTGAACAAATATTTACTGAGCAGCTACTATACACTAGGCAGTACTAGGCAGAGGATATGGTGATGAGCAAAGTCTCTGATCTCCTGGACTTCCATTGTAGTGGGAGAGTGCAGGCAATTGCACAGATGGTCATGCATCATGACATTCGTTATCAACACAGTGTGATAAAGGGGGCAGACAGTGATGAAGAGTTGGTGATTTGTATACTGGGTGGTCAGGGAAGTCTCTCGGACAAGGTGACATTTCAGCAGAGGCTTGAAGGCATTGTAGGAGAAAGACATGACTATCTGAAGATATGTGGGGGACACCTGTCTTTGTCTTTTATATTGGGGGTTGATGCTGGAAGCAGAAATGTAAGCAGGCACAAAATAGAAATACATTTGCAGTGAACGAGGAATAGTGGAAGAGCAACGTGGCTGGTGTGGCTGGATAGGAATGAGTGAAGGGAGAGGTGGAGGTGACTTCAGAGAGGTTTGGGCCCTGGAGGACTTACGGACCATTGTTTGGCCATGGCTTTTACTCTGAGGGATGCAGGAAGTCACTTGAAGTGTTTTGAGCAGTGTAGAACACCGTAACTAAGCATTCATTAAACATGCCTTCAGATAAATATTTGTTGAATGAATACATGAAATACTTGTTGGATGACTGAAAGAACAAATAGCACTGAGTCACATGAGTAAGTACACAGAGATTTCGAGAATAACACATCTGTCCATATTTGCTCAGAAGAGAGCAAAGTCTTCTCACTGAAAGAGGGATTAACTATCGGCCGCAACCCAAATGGAGGGTAGATGGTGGTAGAGGAAGAAAGGTGAGGGTAGACAGAGCACACAACAGATAGCCTGCAGCCCAGTATCCTTTGAGGACTGGGGTCTGGAGAGAAGGTGAGCACCACAGGGATTCTTAAGTTTTGACATGAAATCACAGACCCTCTAGACGAGGCCACTTCTTTTGGAGACGCAGGATAGGTGCCCTGTGCTGGGTGTGGTTTGAGATGCTCTTTTTGTTTTCACCCCAAATATCTACCTGCCCCCTGTCTCAGTGCTTGGAATGCCACATCATAGTGCCATGCTTTTCTTGAGCCTCAGAGTCATTTTTTTTCTTCGAGAGTATCTTCTCAAACAGAATGGGAGGATAAATCCATTCTGTGTTCTTCCCCTCTTTTCAGCAAAGGTTCTCTTCAAATGTTACTTTTAAAAGATGCCTTTCTTTAGTCTTCTCCTTGACTCCCTTTCTTACAAAATGAACAGCTGCCTTCTTCCCTCTATCTGCATCCATAGTTCTACAAAGGACCCTGGGCCACTGTCCTGAGATCAACAGTTTGCATTCCTCTCTCCCTTCCAGACCAGAAGTTTTTTGATGCCAAGAAGCATACAATATCCTCTTTGTCTTCAGCACCCAGCACAGTGCCTGCAAAGTGTTTGTTTTTCTTTTCCTTCTCTCTTTTTTAATCTTTTCTTCCGTTTTTTATTGTTTTCTTGCTTTTGTTTTTTAATCAACCAGAATGAAAGTTTTTAAGAGCATGTTTTTCAATCTCAGGAACAGTCTGGGGGGAACAATTAATACAACAAAAGGGAATGGAGCTTGAATAGAGAATCCAAATCTTAGCCTTAGTTTCTTCATCAATCAAGTGGGAACCCTGATACCCACTTCCTTGATTTAGTGTGAGAAATGAATCATATGACTATTGAAACTGTTCTGCAAGTTATAAAGTATCTTTGTGAAATTTTAGACACATTTTTGACAAAAAAAAAAAAAAAATAGCTGTCTTAAAACAGGTGCAACCAGGCCCAGGAGCCTGGCTTGAGATTCTTGTTGCTGTGTTGGCACCTCACACATAAGGTGAATGAGGACTAAGTGTGAATGCAGGAAGCTGCTAAGTCACCTAGGCTGCCAACAAGCTGGGATGTAAGTTTGGGATGCACAAGTCCGTGGGCATATCAGATACATACAAGATTCTTACTGAGTCGTGAGCCTCTCAAGTGACTGAATTTTTTTTACAGCTTTGGTTTTTATTATATAGGTAGTGCGTGATCATCACCAAACAGTTAGAAAATACAGGCAATGCTTCTGGATATAAAAATCAGCTCTATTCTACCACCTGTTGATGTTTCAGTGGTTCTCCTCCTGAGCCCTTTTTCTACAATACAGGCCTTTTAGAGGCCCTACTTGCAGGGGTACCTGCAAAAGCCAGGCAAGAGGGTTGGGAGTAGGGGTGGACTATGGGCACATGCTCAGGTATGGACAGGCAATGATGTGGCTGCCTACAGCCTGACTCTGACCCCACACTCCCACTTCCTTCGGCCTTGTCAGCACAGTAGGGGCCCAGGCTGGCCATCTATCTTGTGGGATCGAGCTGCCAGAACAACCATCCATGTTATATTCTATTGTCTAACAGCTGGATGCCTCTGAACTCGCATTTCCCTTCTCTTCGTCTCCTTTCCCAGACTTTCTGGTGCTGTCTTTGCCTGCCGTAGGAGGTCCCAGACATGGCACCTTGCCTACACATCTGACATTGCTCCATCTCAGTCTCAGAACATAAGTATCTGCCTTCTCTGGAGACTTCACAGGCTTGACTAATTTACCTACTAGAATGTTACTACTTAATTGACTGAACCTACAAAAAACAAACCCATACTGATCAATAGAGAAATAATTTTGCAAATTGTGGGCATAAATCTTTAGCGATCTGTGTGCATTGCCATTTGTTAAAATACTGAAAAGGTAAATCAATTTTCTTTATTAAAACACAATTGCTTCATCTATTGCTAGTTTAGGCAGAAGCCAGGAGGCAGGGTATGGGGAGGTGTGAGGGAGGAGGTTTTGGAAGGCTTTTTTGCGCTTCACTTAGGGGTCACTTGTTAGTCTGAAAAAAGGGTCAAGTGTTGGGGAGGAGATGAAAGCTTTCAGGCTGGCAAATGCCTTAGTGTTAGAAGAAGACACAGTCACGGGCTGGTGTGACATGTGGGGAGGCCGGGATTGAGATCGTGGAAGAGGAGTTAACGGAACAGCAAGAAACCTCTTATCGTCATCATTCCAGAGCACATCAGCCAGGATAAGTCAGATGAAAGCTGCGGCAACAGACTCAAAACTACAGTGGCTTTGTCACCAAGGTGTATTTTTTGCTTACACTACACAGGCATTGCTCGTCAGTGGGGGATGAGGCTGCTGGAGGAGCCACAGCCTCAAAGTTGGCTACTCAACATGCCAGACATAGAGAGAGGAGAGTAGAGGCATGCCTTGACTCCTGGAGCTACCACTTGGAAGTGGAATCCCTGTCTTCTGTTCTCACTTCAGTGGCCAAGGAAGAGGGCATGAGGATGCACAGTCCTATCACACGCCCTGATGGCAGAGAGGCAGAGTGCTCGCCTCTGCTGATGACCACCAGACATTGTAAATGGGGACCTCTATTTTATGGTATCTTACACTGTGAGATGATGTTATGTCACCACATCTGTGAGCACAGGGTGCACACTATTTCTGATTCATCTTTGCAGCTGACACATAGCATGAAATAAAAAATGTTTGCTTTACAGACTAAGTTAATTAATTGGTGGACAATAAAGGAGGGAAGCCACAGGACTTTGTACAATGACATGATGAGGGAACTGCACAGTTGCACCCGTGGAAGCATCTTATGATCTGGCATGGGTGACACTGTTTTTTGTTTTTTTTTTTTCAGCCTTTTATTGTGCTCACCACTGGGCTAAGGTGTTTGAGTGCATTATCTCATTTAATTTTTTCAATAACCCTCCCATCATGTATTTTCAATTTAGAAACTCATTCCCCTCCACAATAAAGATCATCATAAATTTTGGAGATGACAGGGCCCTCCCAACTCCTATCAACATCATATCATGATAAAGTCAAAAGGACCAGACACTGTTGGTAGCCTTGGAAGAGTCACTAGCATTTTCTGGGCCTTAGTTTTCTAATTAGTTAAAAAAAAATTGGATAAACTATCCTCTAAGATCCTTTCAAACTTTCTTGCTCCACAGACTTTTGATGACTTGCCTCCAGCGGTTTGCTTGGTTAACTGGAGAGCTAAACAGGGGGCTCTCCTGGTGTCAGTGTGCACAGTAAGTTACCACTGAGCCCATGTGAGGAAGAGTACAACTCAGAGAAGCCAAGTTTTAAATCCACAGTGTCACTAGATACAATATTGTTCAGCTGAAGGCTTTCCAGTACTAACAAACTATCATGAATGTTGAATTTCAAGAGGCCATGTATGTCTCCTATGTGACAGAGAATGTGTTCAGGAAGTGTCTGAGGACGGAGGTTTCAGAGACAGTGTCAAGATATATTTCATTCAACTTCGTGGCCATAGGCCATATTTGGATGTTTGCACCCCATACTCCCCTTAAAGGATCTCGAAACTATGAGAAAATGAGGTTTGGCCCTGGCTACTCTGCTGCTAACTGCTCTGCTTGAAAAAGATACTGAGCCAAGTGATGAAAGTCCCTTTGGCCATACCTGGGAAGGACAGGGTCTTAGGCCATGTCCTCTTTGGATTTAATACAACAGAATGACAGGGCCAAGCATTTAGTGAACTGAGGTGGACACAGAAATCCAAGGCATTGTGGTAGAGCAGGCATGGGAAGCTGTGCTTGTTCATCCATTAAAATGTCCCAGACACCCTCAAAGTCTCTTAGACAAGCATGAGGAGACTTATAATTGTTGAATATTCGCTATGTGCCAGAAACTATTGTTAGCACTTCACAAGCATTATTTAATTCAATCCTCTTCATATCAACACCGTGCAGAAGAGGAAACTGAGGTACAGAGAGTTTATTTAAGGAAATTACCAAGGACCCACAGGCAATAAAAGCCAGAATTTGTAGCAAGGTGGTAAATTCCCACTCTCAGCTGACATGTTTTGCAATCTCAGTGGGTCCAGGCCATTTAAAATGCCACATGGGATTGTGTCTTGCTTATATAAGAGTATCAAAATAGCACACAGAAACCATGTGGAGGTGATTTTCTAACCCTCAAGCTCTGGGTTGTCTGCTGTAGCTATTTCTCAGGTCTCTTCCCTGAGGTCCTGGCAAGCAGGAACAGTGTCTCCATCATTCCTGTTTTCCTAGCACTTAGCACCCGCTACATGGCAGGTGCCCATTAACTATTTGCTAAAGAAGAAATGTGGCTAGAGCTGTTCTCTACATTTTACAAAGGATTTGAAAAGTCTGGGACTAGGCTCTTGGATAATACAAAGGATGGTTAATGAAAACCCAAATATATGAGGGGTTGGGAGTGAAATGTGGTCTGATTTTTAAATTTAATCTAGTGAAAAGGAGGCTGGGGAGATATAGGAATGGTTTGTACCTTGAGGTTTTTGTAATTCTGAACCCATTTATCAAATATCTTTTAGGCACCCACTACCTGTCCAGCATGGTCCTAGGTGCAGTGAACAAAAGGCTAAGGCAGCCCCTCAGGAGCTCAGGTGCTATCTCCACCTCCACCCACCTTGCACAGACACAGTGGAAGCTTCAGGGGCTGTGGCTTTTTTCGTTCCCTGGAGTGCAGTGAACAATGGGAAGCAGCCCCAGGACCTGCAGCTCCTCAAGATCCTTAAAAACAGAAGACTTCTTAATGTAGGAGTCCTGCCCAGAGAGGAGAGAAATCAGTTCATGTCTGTCAGAGGGAAACAGCTAATGAAATCACAGTGGTGATTTTTAAAATTTTCATTGCTTTTTCAGTAGTTGTTAGTGAAACTCCAGGTTCTGTGGGGCTGCTAGAGCCTGGAGAGGAAAGAGTGTGGAAAGGGGAAGGCTCAGAGGGAGGGCTGAGATTTCCATCAGAAGAAGCTTGTATTGTTCTATTATTTATTTATTGGGTCCACAGATGATTTTTTCTTGTTAAAAAAAAAAAAGCACCTGTATTAGATCATTCTAATGCTGCTAATAAAGATACTCGAGACTGAGAAATGTATAAAGGAAAGAGGTTTAATGGACTCACAGTTCCACATGGCTTGGGAGGCCTCACAATCATGGCGGAAGACGAGGGAAGAACAAGGGATGTCGTACATGGTAGCAGGCAAGAGAACTTGTGCAGGGGAACTCCCATTTATAAAACTATCAGATCTCATGAGACTTATTCACTACCTTGAGAACAGTATGGGGGAAACCACTCCCATGATTCAATTATCCCCACTTGGCCCCACGCTTGACACATGGGGATTATTACAATTCCAGGCGAGAATTGGGTGGGGACATAGCCAAACCATATCAGCACCCTACTTCTTCAAACAACAAGCAGGCACAAATGGTTTAAAAGGTCCGGGTTTAGGATTTCGCCTTGTGTGGTCCTTCCCCTCATCAGCACTCGTGTGAGAAATGGAGGACAGGAAACTTCCTTCCTCAGAGATGAGGGGAGGGTGGCTGCAAGGGGAATTCGGCTGCTGTATCAATTTCCTGAAACGAAACATTCACTGATGCAAATGTGCAGGCACCAGCCTCTGAGCTGAAAAGAAGGCATTGGACTTTTCTGACAAATAAAACTAGAACCACAATAGGCAAAGCTTCAGGGAAGGAGGATAATCACCGTTTTCTTGAAGACAGTGGATCTAGAGTGAAGGGAAGTGGGTACCCGGAAGCACTGTTGGCATGAGATGGCTGCTTAGGGGTGGAAGAGGAGGCTAGCAGGGATGGGATTTCCCTTAGTCCATTTAAGTTGCTCTAAAAATACCCTAAACTAGGGGACTAATAAACAACAGAAATTTATTTCTCACACTTCTAGAGGCTGGGAAGTCCGAGATCAAAGCACTATATTCAGTGTCTGGTGAGGGCTACTTCCTGGTTCACAGATGTCATCCTCACATCATGGAAGGGATGAGGGGTCTCCCTGGGGCATCTTTTATAAGGATACTAATCCCATTTGTGAGAGCTCTACCCTCATGACTTAATCATATCCCAAAGCCCCTACCTCCTAATAGCATCACCATGGAGGTGAGAATTTCAGCATATACATTTTGGGGAGACATAAGCATTCAGACCATAGCAGGGTCCACCCATCTTTTTAGGTTCTATATTTCTAGACTAATGAAGAGACAGAGAAAACGTGGTGGAATATAGTAGGCTGCAAGGCAGAGAACTTTGGGTTCAAACTCTAGTTCTGAGCCAGGTGCAGTGGCTCATGCCTGCAATCCCAGCACTTTGGGAGGCTGAGGCAAGTGAATCACCTGAGGTCAGGAGTTCGAGACCAGCTTGGCCAACATGGTGAAACTCCTTCTTTACTAAAAATATAAAAATTAGCTGGGCATGGTGGCACACACCTGTAGTCCCAGCTACTCGGGAGGCTGGGGCAGAAGAATCACATGAACCCGGGAGGCAGAGGTTGCAGTGAGCTGAGATCATGCTATTGTACTCCAGCCTGGGCAACAGAGCAAGACTCTGTCTCAAAAAAAAAAAAAAAAAAAAAAAAAAGCCCACAATCCTAGTTCTGCTATTTAATACCCAGAGGATGCTGGCATTTTAGAGCTTCCCTGCAGGTCTTTTCTCCACTTAGAAGCTGGGATGCCACGTGGGTATTAACTGATACCATAGGTAAACACATCTGACACAGGCTCAGCACACTGTAGTTGGAATCATTTTAAAACAAACTCTTGTAAAGTCCTTCTTAGAGAGACAGATCCTTTCTAAGGGGAAGATATAATACACGACAGGTAGAACTTGTGTGCAGAGCGCGGTCCATGCCCAGTGTATTGAGAAGGTGGGCAGAAAATCTCCTGGAAAAGCATGCATGGGTAAGTGTGATTTTGTGAGGCGCACAGGGGAGTTACGTGGGAGTTATGAAGGAACGGAGGCGGGAGGGGGAGGACCATGCTTCATGGTAATAGAGGGCCCAGTACCAGGCATTATGAGAAACCACCTCTCCATCCATCAGTCTGTCTTATCACGCCAGCGGGAGGGCAAACTTGGAATCTGAGAGGGGCAGGCTCTGGCTTGGCCGTGAATGATGGGCCAGGATTCTGCAGGCATTTTCTAGGGGTGGCAGGAGAGAAGTGATGGAGGATTCTGGGAGAGCTGGTGGTTCTAACTGACAAGATAATGGAGTGAGTAGTGGAAGAAAAAAATAAAGGAGAAGAAGGAAGAAATCCATGATAAATCCACCTTTCACGGACAGTGGAGAAAGATAAACTCTCTTTCTAACCGTTAAAGATGGCTTTTCCTTCTTTCCGTTTTTCAAGTTCATTGGAAGTGACACTAAGTTGGTGCTTTGCTTCCCACTTTGCCCCCTTTACTGCAGACTTTCTGATCTTTCCTATGGGGGTCCCCCTCAAGGTCTTTTTTATGTCCATGTTCACATGTGTGGGAAATTACGGTGTAGAACAGCTCATGCTGGTTACAATCTGAAGTTAGTGCAGGGAAGGACTAATTGGTTCTTCCAAGGACCAGCTCAGCCCTTATGCCTGGTGTACTCCTTCTGAAATGCCAGCCCAGCGTTTATGCAAATCACTAGTCTGTCTCTCTTACTCTCTCCCTTGTACTTTTAATGTCTTCATTATTTTTCTGTAAGTGTTTACAATTCAACTTCCACTGTAACAGTGAGTTTACATTTGTACTATTTGCTTTACATGCCATGAAGGTATGAATTATCTACATTGTATTGGTGAGAAACCTAAGGTTCAGAGTATTTAGTTAGGATTAAAGTCAGCTTGCAAGTAACATTTATTTATCTCTCATTTTAAATAAAGTTTTGAAGCACACAGTGCAGGGGTAGTTTGATGGCCTCATGAAACTACTGTTAGATATTCAGGCTCCACCTTCCCTAGATGTGGCCCCCATCCAAACAGTTCCACAAGGGCAGCTAGATATAACTGCAGCTACTGTATACAAATTTCAAGTAGCAGCTAGAAGAACCAAATCAAGAAAGGGCAAAATCTTACACAGCTGTCACTTTGACCTCACCAGCTGGAACCTGGTCATGTGGCCAGTTTAAAGGGGACTAGAACATATTCTCTTTATTCCAAATGATCATGTTCAAGCTAAAAACAGGGGTTTTATTACTAAGAAAGAAGTGGACAGCAAATCTTGGTGGGCTCACATGTGTCTTGCCAGGGTCATAGACCAGCAAGGGAAAGAACCTAAACCTAGTTCTTTGATTTAAGGCCCCACCTTCTGTCCATGACATGAGAGTGTCCTGAGGGGAACAGGCTGGGCACTGCAGAACCATAACTGAAAGGTGAGATATGGTTTCTGCCCTGAAAGACTGCAATCTTTGATAAATTTATAAAATATATAATAACTGTTAAACAGTGTTTAAGTATCAAGGGAAGGAACCTGTATAGTAAATGCATTGGGAGATCAAATTAAAGAAGTATTTCCATGTGGGCTGGAACTGCCAAGGAAGGTTCCATGAGTGAGGGTTTGAAGTCAATTTTGAGGGCTTTCTTGCTTCATATACAGAGGGAATGGATTCTTTGACTGGGAGCTTGTTAAAGAGGCTGGTTTCTTATCTTTGGAGAATAACATGACTGTCAAATCAGAGCACTTCTACTGATGTCTGAGCTAAAATAAAATAAAATAAGCCTTTCCTTCTGCACAAATATACTCTGAAACCTCTTAACTGCAATAATAATATCTATCCACAAACATCTCTTATAGTAATAGTAGTAGCTAGAATTTAATGAGCACTTATGTGCCCTGAGCCATCACATATATCAGCTACTTATTTCTCCCACAGCCTTATGGGGTAGGACTTACGTGCTTCCATTTCACAGTCAAGGAAACTGAAGCTTACAGAGGTTTGGTAACTTGCCCATGATCCCGTATTTGATAAGTATTAGAGTTAATGTTTGAATCCAAGCACTCTGGTTTCAGAATCTGCATTCTTCACCATGAGGTTACATAACTTTCCCTGCAGCAGCCCTTGTTTCTGGAAACGTATTTCTTTAAAGCTGCAAACTGAGAATTGTTCATGCTCTCAGAGAAGTGGTTAGGCTGGTCATGAGAGTGATTTTGCAGTTTGTTTGTTTGTTTGCTTGATTATGGGTGGAGTTATTGTGTCCAGAATTTCTACCCAACTCTTCTGATTTTAAAAACAAAAAATGAAGATTGGAGTCCAGAGGTTTGCGGAAGTCTTTGTACCTTCCTTGGTTTTCACTTCTGCGTTGTGGTGCATTTTGAAGTTTCCAGTGAAGTTCTGCTGAGCTGTGCTGCACAGTGCTAATGCTCAAGCCCTTTCTAATCCACTTGCTCTCCATTTTCAAAACTCTAAAACATAGAACCAGGATCAGCTCAAGACACTGCAGCCACTTCATCTTGTGCCTGCAAAGCTCCAGATACCACTTCACAGCCCTTAGATCAGTAATGCTTGAGATATGCAGCTTGCAGACAGCCTCCACTCCCACATCCTTGAGCTGCCCTGTAAAGACAGTCTGCACCCATTCCACAAGCATTTGCTAAGCACCTGCTATGTGCCACACATAGCGTTGTGCCTGGAGACACAAAGGCAAATAAAATATTGGCCCTCAGACAGCTCAGTCAGGGTGGAGGCTCTTAACATGAGATCCCTGAATGGTTTTCAGTGGATATGTAAACACCCTGAATCTGAACACAGTGTGTTCATATCTGCCAAGATGCTCACATTTTTCACAAGGCAGAAATTTTATACTTTTCATCAAATCCTATAAGGAAGAGTTTATCATCCAGAAAAGATTAAGAATCACTGACAATGTAGTCAAGACAGAAATCTAAAGAAATAATCACAACATAATATCAGAAATGTTATGATGAGAGGCATGAATGCATTGCCCTAAAAATACAGAGGTGGGAGCAAGCAACACTTTTGCATCTGGGGATTGAGGTGGCTCAGGGCTTCCTTAGCAGATGATGTCATCTGGGGATGAGTAAGTAGGAATTTGATGGAAGGGAAGCCGAGGAGGAAGGCAGTCTACGGTATGAACTCAGAGACCCAGAGGATCTAAGCTGTCTTGTACCAAGAGAATGCATATCTAGATTTTGATGTTGAGTATACAGGCTGTGAGGATTTGGGTGCTGGTAATATGAGATCCATATAATCACGCCTAGGATTTTCTGGGTGCGTGGGGAGGGTGGCTACCAAGGACAGTGGTAGTTGAAAGTGGGTAGAGGAGAGAAGCCCAGATATACCTCTAATACTAAGCAGCAGAAATTTGACCTTAGGAGACAGGCTGTCTGCGCCTCAGAGGTCAACTTCACATTTCAGCTTCCTCTTCCTGAAAACTGGGCTTGATATTTGATAAATAAATCATGCAATCTTCCCTTCACACCCTGCCCCAAATGAAAACATTCACTGTTACCACCACTTCACAACCGGCCACGGTGGCCCCTGACAATCAATTACCCACCGGAGATGAAATTATTGTTTAATGGCTCCTGGAATGGGCTCCCACTCTGACATTCATCACAATCAATAATGCATCAGCAGGGACAAAAGAAATTACCTGCCTCCTGCCAAGTGAAAGAGTCCATTTATATGCAGCACACAGCCCCTTCACACCTACTGAGCAGGCCACCACAGGTGGGTGTCCACATTACGGAGCTCCTCACTCCATAGAGATCAGTAAATGGGCTCTTGGGTGAGAGGACAAACACGACTACCCACTCATGCTCGGCTGAGTACAGGCAGGTCTTGTGGGTGTGCCAGAGATGGGCATGGTGAACAAGCAGTGATGGTTTATCAATTTACAATGAGCCAGTTGCCACTCTGCCTTCCCCTATTTTTTCACTGTATATTGCATTTTCTCTGAAGATGGACAGGAAACAATTTCCTTATAGATATTTAGTGCACCACTGGGTTTCGCTTTTGGTGAATCCTGGCTCTGTAACTTCCTGGCAGAATGACTATAGGAAAATTTTTCACCTCTTTGATTTGAGTTTCTCATCCACAAAATGGGGCCAAATAGTACTGACCTTAAAAGACTGTTCTGAGAATTAAATGATACTGTCACAGGATCCTTGGGGTGTTGCTTTTCAGGCTGGCAACCTCTGTGGCCAGTAGTGAGTGTCTTTGCCTGAGTTTTGCTCAGACCTGCTGGGCCCACTTGGCCTGGCAGGCTGTGCTCAGCTTGCACTACTGGCCTGGATCCCATGACTGCCAAAGGCGAGCAGAGCAGCAAGGGTTGTGGGAGTGAGTGTGGAGTCCAGCCATTACGCACAGCCAGGCATACTGGCTGTGGCAGGGCAGGCAGCTCCAGGCGCTGGCCCCTGTGAGGCTCCCTGTGAGGCTGTGGCTGGACCAGGTGTACCATAAGCAGCTTCCATGGCAGGCACTGGGGAATATGGCAGTGCCCAGAAGCTTGGAGATGCCGGGAAGTGCAGAGCCCCAAGGAGGGTGTCAGAGCCCTGACTCCAGAAGCTCCTAGGTCTGGGCTTCCTGAGAGGCTGCAGCTCTTCTAACCTTCTCTCTTCTCTCTTTCTTGCCACCTGCAACATGGTGAGCAAGGGGCATATTTCAGCCATGTTTGTATTACAGCTCTTTCAGCCCCACCACTTGGCGGGCTTGTCTAAGTTTTTGTCCCATGTCCAGGAAGAATGAGGTATGTGGACAAGTGGAGGGTGAGCAAGGTGAAGAGGAGCTTTATTGAGTGACAGAAGAGCTCAGAGGAGACCTGCAGTGGGTAGCTCCTCTCTGCAGGCAGGGTGTCCTGATGAGTGTTCAGCTCTCAGCAGAGAGAAGACCCTGGGGTGAGCAGCTCTTCTCTGCAGCTGGCTGTCCTGTAGTCTCCTAGAGTCTAGCTGAGTCCAGGGCTTTTAAGGGCCTCAGTGAGGAGGAAGTGGGTACCAATTGGCCCATGAGCAGCCAGGAGCAGGCCTGGAAAAAGCACCACAAGTTCCCACTCTGGTCCTTTGGACCAGCAGCCCAGTCCCCAGGCTTCAAGCCCTTCCTGGCTTGAAGGTGGGACTTCACTGGGGATCTGCCCACTTCTGCCCAGGAGCTCATCTTCCTCCTGACTTGTTCATGGCACCCAGGCTGCTCATGCTAAGAGGCATCTATAGGCCAGCGCTCAGCTGCCCTTAGCACCCCCTTGGCCTTCCTCCTGAGCTCATTGGCATCCAGCATCCAAAGGGGGCCAAGATGGCAGGGGGCTGGGGTGTGGGCTGGGGTGTCAGCACTGCCCCAAGTGTGTGCAAAATTGGCTGGGCTGTGATAGTGCCCAGGCTTGGCCCCAATCTTGCTCCAAGATTAGAGTGAGTGCCAGAAAGAGGCCAGACAGTGGGAGCAGACATCTCTGAGCCTGTGGGGGAAGGTGGGGGCCTTCTGGTCACCAAAGATCACAGGGATGCCTGGGTCCACAGCCATGACTTGGGCAGCTGCAGCTGTATCCAGAAGGGCAGGACTCCTGCCTGCTCTTGGCCCCCACTGGCTCCAGGAACGTGCAGCCCCGGCCGTGCCTCCCCCACTGCAGCTGGCGTCATGGCAGCAGCTGCTCCAGATGGGCTGCCTCTGCCATCAATACATTATACATATGTAATAGGCATTCCCTTCCTTTCCCACCCATATTTGAAAGAATATTCTATAGATAGTGTGACTTATCCTGATATTGCTGATGGGTAAGGTTAATCTAAATGACAAGTCAAGAGAATAATATGTCCCCAAATCTTAGGGAGCTTCTATGCTACTTCAATCTTTATACATCAGCAAATAGCATACAGAGACCATTTATACTATTAAAACAGCTCAGAGCCATTTTAACCGAACCAGACACAAGGCCTCCTCTCTCTCCCTTTTTCATCCATCAATTCACCCACACATCTATCATCCATCCAACCATCCATTCATCCATCTATTCATTCATTCCTCTATTGGATTTTTATTGGGTGCTGACTATTAACCAGGTACTATGTTAGGTCCTGAAAATATACAGATAAAATAAAAATATACTATTCTTTGTCTCTGAGAACTTACAGTATTGTGGATAAAAAGTTCTGAGTAGATAATCTTAGAGTGAGCAGTGTAGCAAGTACCATGTCTTCTAGGCTAGTTGTGAAGGGCTTCAATGAGGAAGTGATATGTGAACTCACCCCTCTGGAGAGGAGGGAGTTTGCTAGTGTACAAGATAGGGAGGTCCCTTAGGTAGAGGGACGCATCTTACTGATACTTGATCATGGATTCTCCAGTGAGTTTCTTACTTTTTTTCACAATCCTAATATTTTGTGCTGTATTCATTTTACAGATGGGTAAACTAATTTAAGGGAAGTTAAGTGGTTTGTCTGAAATCATAGAGAGATTGTAGATAAAGCTGGAATTGAAGTTCCCTTGTCCCGATTCCCAGTCTTGGGTTTCCTTTTTCTTTTTCTATTTCTTTTTCTTCTTAGAAGTTATTTGTGGAGTAACAATTTTGTTGCATAAAGTTATTTTTCTGCTTTATTGAGGTATAATTGAAAAATATGTATTCAAGAAGGACATGTGATAATTTGGTATATGTATATATTGCATAATGATTGCCACAATCAAGTTAATAAACATATCCATCACCACACTTAGTTACCCTTTCGTGTGTGTGTGTGTGTGTGTGTGTGCGTGTGTGGCAAGGACACAAAATCTATTCTCTTAGCAAATTTCTAGTAAACGATACAGAATTATGCTGTACATTAGATCTCCAAAACTTATTCATCTTATAACTAAAGGTTTGTAGCCTTTGACTGACACCTTCCCATTTCTTCCATGTCCCAGCCCTTGGCAACCACTGTTCTACTGTCTGTTCTGAGTTTGACATTTTTAGATTCCACATATAAGTGAGATCATACAGTATTTGTCTTTCTGTGTCTGGCTTATTTCACTTAACATAATGCTTTCCAGATTCATTCATGTCGTTGTAAATGGCAGAATGTCCTTCTTTTATTATAGCTGAATAGTATTCTATTGTGTATATATGCTGCATTTT
The DNA here is from genome assembly GCF_000001405.40 of Homo sapiens. Lineage (NCBI taxonomy): Eukaryota > Metazoa > Chordata > Mammalia > Primates > Hominidae > Homo > Homo sapiens. The sequence continues at coordinate 131,113,477 of NC_000011.10, forward strand.
CCTTACCCATTCATCTATCAGAGGAGACATAGGTGGTTTCTGTATCTTGGCTATTGTGAATAAGGCTGCAGTAAACATGGGAATTCCAGTATCACTGATGATTTCATTTCCAGACTGGTGTTTTTAACCTTTGCTGTTGCTCTGTGGGGCCTTACATAAAGGAGCAGACTCACTCAACCTCCACTGCCCTGCATTGGGGTCCCCACCCTGCTAGGCCGTAGTGAGGGAGGAGTTAACATAAGGACGAAAAACACTGTAACGTAAGACATGCAAATAAATGATAGCAGTGCCACAGTAAGCTTAGAAGGAGTATAACAAGCACTAAGGACCACAGAGAAAGGAATTATTCACTTTTGGAGGAGAGGGGAAGGCTCCCCAAGACAAGATGATATTTGAGGGGTTAATAACAGCTATCTTTGCTGGAATCTGTCTAGCTCAGCTCACTGTTGCCTTGAAGTAACAATAAATTCTAAGATGATACAATTTTAACATCGCCCCTGTTTGTTACCCAGCTGCTCCACCTTTATGATGGGCTTCCTGATTGGGGAAAGCTGGGGTCTGCCCTTCTACTACAGTCTTCATGCTTTCCTGTCAGAGGTCGCTCTTGAGCCCAAGTCTGGATGCCTGGCAATACTGAAGCAATAGGCTTGTGTAGATGCAGGACTCTCTGCTCACACAGGAGTGTTTTATTGTGATTAAAACACGTTATTCCTTAAAACAACAATTTATATTGGTAATTACACGGCGGAGTCCATCAGCTTTGTGCTCTGAAGGGTGCAACATTATTGTCGAGAAACTTGATTGCTTGCTCTTGTTTTATAATCTTGGCTTGCACTTTAGGCTCTATCCTAAATATTAACAGAGAAATCAAGAATGAGACAGTGATAAATCCAAAATACGTGGATGTGCTTTACCCACGGGTTCCTGCTTCCTTGCAGAGATGGGCAGTGGGATGAGAAACCAAACCAGTGTCGTGTTAGATGCTTGAGAATGAGGAGTGTGAACCATGGGAACCTGCTGAACAGATATAGAAGCCCAGACAGATTCAGCCACATGCCACATGCCAAGGCAAACTCTTCCTGCCTTCAGTCACATCTGATGCTTCCCCTGACTTCATTTTAAATTCATTTTCCCATTGGCTAAACATCCTGAAATTCCACCATTGGACATTCATTCCTTTGGATTGATGAGACCTAATTCTAGCTGATTCACTGTCTTTCCTTCTCCCTTCGGTCTCCCTTGCTCTTTCTCAATACAAATATAGGATCATTTTACTTGTAGTTTTACAAAACTCAAATTAAGTAAGTACATTTTTCTGTAACTTGTTTTTCACTTAACAATATATCATAGAAATCCCTCTGGGTCAATAGATATAGATCGAACAAGAACACATTTTTTATTAGCTGAAAAATATTTTATGGTATGAGTGTTCTACAGGGTACAAAATCATTCCCTTATTGAGGAGCATTCAGTTTATTTCCACTTGTAGTCACTACAAACTATGCTATAATAAACATCTTTGTATATATATTTTTTAGTACTCTGCCTTCATATCTGTGGGTGAGTGAGATTCAGTGAACCAACCGTATGTATATTTTGAATTTCTGAGTTTTAATAGATCTAATCAGGTCACTGTAGCACTGTAGTTTGAGAATGTCTTACCCCTGCATTCTCGCCAGCACTGGCTCCGGGGTCAAAGGACAGTGATGATCTCAAAGGATGCAGAAAAGGCCTTTGATAAAATTCAACATCCCTTCATGCTAAAAACTCTCAATAAACTAGGTATTGATGGAATGTATCTCAAAATAATAAGAGCTATTTATGACCAACCCACAGCCAGTATCATACTGAATGGGTAAAGCCTGGAAGCATTCCCTTTGAAAACCGGCATAAGACAAGGATGCCCTCTCTCACCACTCCTATTCAACATAGTATTGGAAGTTCTGGCCAGGAAAATCAGGCAAGAGAAAGAAGTAAAGGATATTCGAATAGGAAGAGAGGAAGTCAAATTGTCTCCGTTTGCAGTTGACATGATTGTCTATTTAGAAAACCCCATCATCTCAGCCCAAAATCTCCTTAAGCTGATAAGCAACTTCAGCAAAGTCTCAGGATACAAAATCGATGTGCAAAAATCACAAGCATTCCTATACACCAATAACAGACAAACAGCCAAATCATGAGTGAACTCCCATTCACAATTGCTACAAAGAGAATAAAATACTTAGGAATACAACTTACAAGGGATGTGAAGGACCTTTTCTAGGAGAACCACAAACCACTGCTCAAGGAAATAAGAGGACACAAACAAATGGAAAAACATTCTATGCTCATGGATAGGAAGAATGAATATCGTGAAAATGGCCATACTGTCCAAAGTAATTTATAGATTCAATGCTATCCCCATCAAGCTACCACTGACTTTCTTCACAGAGTTAGAAAAAACTACTTTAAATGTCATATGGAGCAAAAACAGAGCCCGTATTGCCAAGGCAATCCTAAGCAAAAAGAACAAAGCTGAAGGCATCACCCTACATGACTTCAAACTATACTATAAGGACAGTAACTAAAACAGCATGGTACTGGTACGAAAACAGATATATAGACCTATGGAACAGAATAGAGGCCTCCGAAATAACACCACACATCTACAACCATCTGATCTTTGACAAATCTGACAAAAACAAGAAATGGGGAAAGGATTTCCTGTTTAATAAATGGTGTTGGGAAAATTGGCCAGCCATATGCAGAAAATTGAGACTGAACTCCTTCCTTATACCTTGTACAAAAATTAACTCAAGGTGGATTAAAGACTTAAATGTAAGACTAAAACCATAAAAACCCTGGAGGAAAACCTAGGCATTACCATTCAGGACATAGGCATGGGCAAAGGCTTCATGACTAAAACACCAAAAGCAATGGCAACAAAAGCCAAAATTGACAAATGGCATCTAATTAAACTAAAGAGCTTCTGCACAGCAAAAGAAACTATCATCAGAGTGAACAGGCAACATGAAGAATGGAATAAAATTTTTGCAATCTATCCATCTGACAAAGGGCTATATTCAGAATCTACAAGGAACTTAAACAAATTAACAGGAAAAACAAACAACCCCATTAAATGTGGGCAAAGGATATGAACAGACACTTTACAAAAGAAGACATTTAATGGCCAAGAAACATATGAAAAAAAGCTCATCATCACTGGTCATTAGAGAAATGAAAATTGAAACCACAATGAGATACCATCTCACACCACTTAGAATGGCAATCATTAAAAAGCCGGGAAACAACAGATGCTAGAGAGGATGTGGAGAAATAGGAACACTTGTACACTGTTGGTGGGACTGTAAATTAGTTCAACCATTGTGGAAGATGGTGTGGCAATTCCTCAAGGATCTATAACCAGAAATACCATTTGACCCAGCAATCCCATTACTGGATATATACCCAAAGGATTATAAATCATTCTTCCATAAAGACACATGCACATGTATGTTTATTGCAACACTATTCACAATAGCAAAGACTTGGAACCAATCCAAATGCCCATCAATGATAGAATGGATAAAGAAAATGTGCCACGTATACACCATGGAATACTATGCAGCCATAAAAAAAGGATGACTTCAGGTCCTTTGCAGGGACATGGATGAATCTGGAAACCATCACTGTCAGAAAACTAACACAGGAACAGAAAACCGAACACCACATATTCTCACTCATAAGTGGGAGTTGAACAATGAGAACATATGGGCACAGGAATGGGACATCACGTACGGGGGCCTGTTGTGGGGTGGGGGGCAAGGGGAGGGATAGCATCAGAAGAAATACATAATGTAAATGACCAGTTGATGGGTGCGGCAAACCACCATGGCACATGTATACCTATGTAATAAACTTGCACGTTCTGCCCATGTATCCCAGAACTTAAAGTATAATAAAAAATAAAAAATGCAAATACTCCTGGAAGGGTGTTTAACTAGCAGTCAAATAGCAATGCCTCAAATTTGTATAATGTTTTTGCAGTTGACAAAATGCTTTCTATCACATATATTATCTCATCTAACCCCACAGCAGAACCTCAGGCCCAGAATGCAAAGTGATTTGCCCAAGGCCAGAAGGCTAATTGATACTAGAGTGACTTCAATGCAAAATTGATCGCTTCAGGGCACTTTCCCATAGACCTAGCCCCATTTTTACCTGTGGGTATAAACTATTTTCTCTCAAGATGCAGTGAAAAGAGTGGTGCGTCTATGCCCCTGGCCTGGCCCTGCCACTAAAGACCTGGCTATATTGGGGCAAGTTGCTTCACTTCTTGAGATTCCAATTACTCTGTAAAATAATGGATTAAGTTATATTCTCTCCCAGGTCCCTTCCAGCTCTAAGAGTAAAGACGGAGCAACGCTGACTGATGGAGGCTAACAGGCGTGCATGCAGAGGCCCAAGGGAAAGGAATCCTTTTTTTTTATTTTTTGAGATGGGGTCTCACTCTGTTGCCCAAGCTGGAGTTCAATGGCACAATCTCAGCTCACTGCAGCCTCTGCCTTCCGGGTTCAAGCAATTCTCCTGACTCAGACTCCTGAGTAGCTGGGATTACAGGCGCCCACCACTGCGACTGGCTAATTTTTGTATTTTTAGTAGAGACAGGGTTTCACCATGTTGGCCAGGCTGGTCCCGAACTCCCAACCTCATGTGTTCCACCCACCTCAGCCTCCCAAAGTGCTGGGATTACAGGCGTGAGCCACTGCACCCCAAAGTGCTGGGATTACAGGCATGAGTCACTGCACCCGGCCAGAAAAGGAATTCTAACTGGGGTAGGGAGCACACTGGGCAATGGGAGAAAGGAATTCTTTACAATCATGGAACACAGCGCAGACCACAAGGGTTTTTTTTTTTTTTTTTTTGTACACTGAGGTTGAAACAACAAAGGTCGAAATCTGCCTAACATAAAGCCTGGCATGTGACTTCTGCCAGTGTTTGGCACTAGGAGGATTGATTCTGAGTAGTTGCAGGTCAGGGCAGGCAGGAACTGGGGAAAATACCCAAATGATCTTGGAGCATGAGGTCATCAATTTCTTATAAATTCTGGCATTTAAAAGCTTACCATGTGCCAGGCAGAAGGTTAGTGGCTTGATACACATTTTGCCATCTACCCTGATGGATGGTCCTGTTCTCTATGAGGGTCTTTCTGGCAGATTACAGCTTCTCTGTTTTGTTGTTTTTGTTGTTTTGAGATAGGGTCTCGCTCTGTCACTGAGGCTGGAGTGCAGTGGTGCAATCACTAACTCACTGCAGCCTTGACCTCCTAGGCTCAAGCTATCCTTCCACCTCAGCCTCCTGAGCAGCTGGGACCGCAGGCATGTGCCACCATGCCTGGCTATTTTTTCTTTTTAAAATGTAGAGAAGGGGTTTTGTCATGTTTCCCAAGCTGATCTTGAACTCCTAGCCTCAAACGATCCTTCCACCTTGCCCTCTCAAAGTGCTGGGACTGCAGGCCTGAGCCCCCGCACCTGGCCTCTGGCAGATTCTTTAATAAGTCAAATACGTCTATTCAATTTACCACTGAGACGACGTTTAGAAACCTCATGCTGAAGTCAGGTCAATGAAAACTCCTGGATATTTTTCATACAACTTGTTGTCAATTCAGTCTCACCTGTTCTGTTAATTAAGAGTTTTTTTTCTGATTACAAAGTAGCACATGCTGATTTACAGATTTTAAAGGTATAAGTATTAAAATGAGTATAAATAGATGTCTAGTCATTAAAACTTAAAAATATACAATTGAGGTCCTTCTGTGTGTATATAATTTGGGGTCCTGCTTTTTTCCACTTAGTATTATAACATCAGCATTATTCTGCTCCCCTCAACATAGGTGAAGCTTATAGTCCACACATTCCCATGAGATGCAGGTGGAGAAGCTGCGAAGACAAAATATTTTCACAGATGTGCATTATCTTTCAAAACAAGGAATTTATCCACTGTTGAAATGAGGTCCCTTGGATCTTAGTATCTTTGCAATCAAGAGAGCAATTCTTCCCCTGAGGGCAGGTGGGGAACATATTATGAAAAGGTCAATGGCAGTTTCCTCTCTGGGGACTGAGGCTGCCTTTGGGAGAAGAGGCCTAGGAGTTCCCTCTCCATGACCACGTTTTCCTGACTGTCTTCGAAGAGACAAAATGATGGAATAAAGACTGTTGGGTGTAGGCACCGTCATGTGGTTTATTTCTCTATGAAAGATTTCAGGATGTGGGGTGACTAGGCTGAACATGCATACCTTAAAGTTTCTGCATGTTTGTACAATTTAATTTGGAAACTAAATGTATGTGAAAATACTTTGAAACTGTAAAGCGACATCCAAATAACATTAAGATTATTATTGCCATTAAATGTAATTTGGTTGCTTGGGAACGTCTTTTTCAGACTGTATTTTAAAGACTTAAATAGTTATGAACATTGATTAGGCCACATCAGTTTCTCTATCTGTAAAATGAGCATAATGATAATAATAATGCCTACTTTATTTTTTTGAGGATCAGAGAAATAATGTGGGAAAAAGTGCTTTGTAAACTGCAGAGTAAGGCCAGATGCTAATAGTTATTGCTAAATTAGCCACCCTTCCTACCTTTTTGTTATCAGAGGCTTTTAAAGCAAGCCTTCTATATCTTCAATTTATAGTGAGGAGAGAAAGAATGAGCCCTGGCCGTTGGTCAAAAGTGATTCTTTTTTTATTTTTTTGAGGCAGAGTCTCGCTCTGTCATCCAGGCTGGAGTTCAGTGGCATGATCTCAGCTCACTGTAACCTCTGCTTCCTGGGTTTAAGCAATTTTCCTGCCTCAGTTTTCTGAATATCTGGGACCACAGGTGCACGCCACCATGCCAGCTAACTTTTTGTATTTTTAGTAGAGTCCGCGTTTCGCTATGTTGGCCAGGCTGGTCTCGAACCCCTGGGTGATCCACCCTCCTTGGCCTCCCAAAGTCCTGGGATTACAGGTGTAAGCCACTGCACCCAGTTAAAAGTGATTTTTTATACTGGTGCTTGGAGGATAAAGTGGAGAGATTGACTCTTGTCCTGACATCTCATGGCTATGTCCCTTAAGATAATTGCCGAGGGCTGGGTGCAATGGCTCACGCCTATAATCCCAGCACTTTGGGAGGCCGAGGCGGGTGGATCACGAGGTCAGGAGATCGAGATCATTCTGGCTAACACGATGAAACCCTGTCTCTGCTAAAAGTACAAAAAATTAGCCGGGCGTGGTGGCACATGCCTGTAGTCCCAGCTACTTGGGAGGGTGATACAGGAGAATCGCTTGAACCCAGGAGGTGGAAGTTGCAGTGAGCTGAGATTGCACCACTGCACTCCAGCCTGCTAGGTGACAGAGTGAGACTCCATCTCAAAAAAAAAAAAAAAGGAAAAAAGGAAAAGTGCTCAGAACTTTCTGAGCCATATATTAGATACATTATACGTATTTATGCGTGTATATGTGGTAAGGATTAAGTGGCATATTATGTGCTTGGAAGATCATCATGATTGGTTAATGATTATTATGAGTTGAAGATTATCTTTCATTTTCTGATAAAAGGACAATTATCAAATATTTTTCCTGTTCAAGGGGAGCAGGTTCAGACTGGCCAATTGGGGGACCTGAGGCTGCTACAGAATGTTTCTCTAAAAACTCCCTGTGGCTCCAGTGATACTGTTTCTGCTTCCAAACACATATGTTTACCACTGCCTTCATTAACAAGAATGCAACTAAGCAAACGGTGATCCTGGGAATTACATTATGGGACCTTGACTTTTTTTTAAACTAAAAATAGCAGGCGATGTCCTTGAAACCAAATAATTTGGGGGGAAACTAAGGCAAGGAACAGGTCTTTGGCTCTGGTTTTGCTTTGTATTCCTTTTGTTGGGGGAGAGGCAGGAGTCTCGCCTCTTGACTCACATGGAGCTGGCCCTGAGCTTGGAATTCTCCTCACAGTTCTCTCTTGATTTGTTATCCTACTCAGTCTAATTCAGACTCAGGGGGCTGCCTGATGGCTGCAGGAGGGCTCTCCAGGCTGAGAATTCTGTTAAGTTAGGAGGAGGGAAGTTGCATCTGAGGTCAGGTTTCTCACATACAGGATGCAGAGCCCAGGGGAATTGAAGCAATGTTTCTGAGCTACATGGGAAGATGAAGCTGGGGATGTAGGGGTGGAGCTGAGCAAGTGCTGAGGTCAAACCAGGGAAAGGAGGAGAGAGAAAGAGAGGCAAATAGAAATCACAAGGTGCCTGTGCTTAGCTGTAATCTAACATGACTTTCCCCTCCGTAGGCAAAGGGGGGCACATGATGTTAACATTCATTATCATGTCATATTCGATTGACTGCCAGAATTTATTATACTTTCTGTTGTTACACACCGAATACTGACAAAACCCATTCCCTTGCCCAAGAAAGGTCTCTGCTTTCTAATCTTCACAGAATAACAGGGAGGTGGAAGGCCATCAATACCAGAGTAATGAGTGTCACAGTGAGGCCAGGGCTGAGGCACCTTAATTCCAGAAACAGCAGGGGAAGGATGGAAGAGGAGGCGATGGAGGTATGTGTGCCTACCTCAAGATAATGAAGCCCTGAGGAGGGGCTGAGCCTCTAACCAGGTGCAGAGGGTGCAGCTAGAGGGGCTCATTCACCGTGGGGCTGTCAGGACATGGATCAACAATGTGGCTTCAGACAATCTTTGGCTAAGTACCGAGGACAGCAGCAGCAGAAGTCGAAGCCATTTCCAACATTGAAAGAATCCAGCCTGCAGGTGAAAATGCATGTAGCCTACATTCATTAATTAACTCCAAATTATTTACTGAGCACCCACTATGGACCAGGCACTGTGCTAAGTTCCTAGGGATAGAGGAAAACAGACATAATTCTTCAGAATGTAGCAGTCTAGTGAGAGAAACCATCTAACAGCTCTTGGACAATGTGCTAAATTCTTTAATGGAGTTTCATTTAGTCACTTGAATATTTATTAAAACTGATTATTTAAGACGTTGAGCTAGATGCTAGAAATGTGAAGATAAATAAAACAGGATCATTGTCCTCCAGGCCTTCCGAGAGAGTGCTGGGGGAGCACAGAGACAGGATCCATTCTGAAGGGGGAGAGAGGGGCTGGGTGCAGGAGCTGACTCTTAGAGGGTCACTAGTTGTCAGGCAGAAGTGGGGAAAAGGGGCTGAAGAAGAGAGATCAGCAGGTGAAAAGGCTCAGAGTAAGAAAGAGAAAGTCCAGTTGAGAAACTGCCGCATGTTCTGGGGGTCTAGAGCGTAGGAGTCCTGTGAGGGGAGGGGCCTGGAGAAGTCGCCTGTCCCCACTCCACAAGGTGACATCAGCAGGATGTGTATGGCCTCAGGAAAGTCATTGATCAAGGCAGCATTTTCCTTGTATCCTATCCATTTCCCCCTTTAGGGCCCCCTTTCCCATTTCTTTATTTTTTATTGATACATAATATTTGTACATATTTATGGGGTACATGTGGTATTTTATTACATGCATAGAATGTGTAATCATCAAGCCAGAGTATTTGGGGTGTCCATCACTTCAAGTATTTATTTTTTATATGTATTGGGAACATTCAAGTCCTCTCTTCTGGCTATTTTGAGATACACGACACATTGTTATCAACCACACTCACCCTACTCTGCTGTGAAACATTAGAAAGTATAATTTCTATCTAACTGTATATTTGTACCCATTAACCAACCTCTTTTTTTTTTTTTTTTCTTGAGATGGAGTCTCGCTCTGTCGCCCAGGCCGGAGTGCAGTGGCACAATCTAGGCTCACTGCAAGCTCCGCCTCCTGGGTTCACGCCATTCTCCTGCCTCAGCCTCCCGAGTAGCTGGGATTACAGGCGCCTGCCACCACGCCTGGCTAATTTTTTTTTTTTTTTTAAGTAGAGACGGGGTTTCACTGTGTTAGCCAGGATGGTCTCGATCTCCTGTCCTCATGATCCTCCCGCCTCAGCCTCCCAAAGTGCTGGGATTACAGGCTTGAGCCACCACACCCGGCCCCAACATCTCTTTATAACACCTCTGCACACACACCCTTCCTAGCCTCTGGCACCTATCATCCTATTCTCTGCTCCAGAAGATCAACCTTTTTCACTCCCACATATGAGTGAGAAGATGGCAATATTTGTCTTTCTATGACTGACTTATTCTACTGAACATAATGACCTCCAGTTCCATCTATGTGCCCGCAAATGGCATAATTTTATCCTTTTTTCTGGTTGAATAATATTCCATCATGTATATTACCACTTTTCCTTTATCTGTTTGTCTGTTGACAGGCAACTAGGGTTGATTCTATATCTCTGTTATAGTGAATAGTGCTGCAATAAATATAGGAGTGCAGGTATAACTTTGGTACACTGATTTGTTTTCCTTTGGATAAATATCTACTAGTGGGATTGCTATATTTTTGGTAGCTCTATTTTTAATTTTTGAGACATTTTCATACCGTTTTCCATAGTGGCTGTACTAGTTTACATTTCCGCCAAGAGTGTAGAAGAGTTCCCTTTTCTCCATATCCTTGCGGATCTGCTATTTTCTGTCTTTTTTAATAATGGCCATTCTAATCGGGGTAAGATGATATTTTACTGTGGTTTTCATTTGCATTTTCCTGGTGATTAGTGATGTTGAGAATTTTTCAAATATCTGTTGGTCATTTGTATGTCTTCTTTGAGAAATGTCTATTCATCTCAAGTCCTTTGCCCACTTTTTAATGGGATGATTTATTTTTTTCCTGTTGAGCTGTTTGTGTTCCCTTGTATATTCTGGATATGTCCATTATCAGACGAATAGTTTGAAAATGTTTTCTCCTATTCTGTAGGTTGTCTTTTCACTCTGGTGATTGTTTCCTTTGCTGTGCAAAAGCTGTTTAGTTTAATGTAGTCCCATTTGTCTATTTTTGTTTTCATTGCCTGTGCTTTTGAAGTCTTAGCTATAAATTCCTTGCCTAGACCAATATCCCAAAGTGTTCTCTGTTTTCTTCCAGTAGCTTTGCATCTTACATTTAAATCTGTAACCTATTTTGAATTAATTTTTGTATATGATAAGCTATAGGAGTCCAGTTTCATTCTTCTGAATGCGGTTATTCAATTTTCCCAGAACCATTTATTGACAAGGATGTCCTGTCCCCGGTGTATGTTCTTGGTGCCTTTATCAAATATTAGTTGGCTCTACATATGTGTATTTATCTCTGGGTTCTCTATTCTGTTCCATTGGTCTATGTGTCTGATTTATGTTAATACTATGCTGTTTTGATTACTATAGTCTTGAAATATATTTTGTGTATATATATTTCAACAAATATATATATTTATAATCACTATATATTTCAACAGTTTTATCTGTTTATATTTAAAATTATTATTAATCTATGAGGGCTTATTTCTGTCATTTCATTAATTGATTTCTGGCTGTGTAGTATATCCTTTGTTCTATTGTTGCTATCTTATTGTTTACTCATTATAGTTTGGTAGTTTCCTGTATAGTAACATTTGAATTCTTTCTCTTCCTTATTCTGACTAGGATTTCCAGTACTATCTTGAATAGGAGTGGTGAAAGTGGGCATCCTTGCCTTGTTCCAGTTCTTAGAGGAAAGGCTTTCAGCATTTCCCCATTCGGTATGATGCTAGCTGTGGGTTTATCATATATGGCCTTTATTATGTTGAGATATGTTCCTTCTATGCCTAGTTTATTGAGAGTTTCTACCATGAATCAGTGTTGAATTTTATCTAATGCTTTTTCTGCATCTATTGAGGTGATCATATTCATTCATTCTGTTGATGTGATGTATCACATTTATTGATTTGCATGTGATGAACCATCCTTGCATCCCTTGAGTAAATTCCACTTAATCATGGTGTGTTATCTTTTTGATGGGCTGTTGGATTCAGTTGGCTAGTATTTTGTTGAGGATTTTTGTGTCTATGTTCATCAAGAATATTGACCTGTAGTTTTCTTGTTGTGCCCTTGTTTTGTTTTGGTATCAGGGTAATGCTGGCCTCATTAGACTTAGGGAGAATTCCCTCCTCTTCAATTTTTTGATATAGTTTGAGTAGAATAGATGTTAGTTCTTCTGTGAAAGTTTGGTAGAATTTGGCACTGAAGCCATCCAGCCCTAGACTTTTCTTTGTTGGAAGACTTTTTTATTACTGATTCAATCTAATTTGGGTCTTATTACTCATTATTGGTCTGTTCAGGTTTTCTATTTCTTCCTAATTTAATCTCGGTAGATTGTACATGTCCAGGAATTTATTCATTTTCTCTGGGTTTACCAGTTTGTTAGTGTGTAGTTGTTCATAATAGTCTCTGATAATCTTTTGTGTTTCTTGAGTATCAGTTGTAATGTCTCCTTTTTCATTTCTGATTTTGTTTATTTGATCTCTCTCTTTACGGTTAGTCTAGCTAGCAGGTTATCAATTTTATCTTTTCAAAAAAGTCAAATTTTTCATTTTGTTGATTCTTTTTTTCTTCTTAATTTCTATTTCATTTAGTTCTGCTTGGATATATATTATTTCTTTCCTTCTACTAATTTTGGATTTAGCTAATTCCTGCTTTTCTAGCTTCTTGAGGTGCATCATTAGGTTGTTTATTTGAAATCTTTCTACTTTTTTGATATAGGTGTTTCTTGCTGTAAACTTCCCTCTTAGCATTGTTTTTACTGTATCCCAGAGGTTTTGATATTTTGTGTTTTGATTTTTATTTGTTCCAAGAATTTTTTTGACTTTTTCCTTAACTTTATTTGTTAAGTAATGGTCATTCAGAAGCATGTTGTTTAATTTCATGTGTCTGTACAGTTTCCAAAGTTCCTCATGTTATTGACTTCTAGTTTTATTTCATCATGGTCTGAGAAGATGCTTTATACGATTTCAGTTTTTAAAAATTTGTTGAGAATTGTTTTATGTCCTAACATATAGTCTATCCTGGAGAATGTTTCATGTCCTGATGAGAAGAAAGTGTATTTTGTAGCAATTAGATAAAATGTTCTGTGAATGTATGTTAGGTCTATTTGGTCTAATGTGCAATTTAAATCAGTTTCTTTGTTAATTTTCTGTCTAGATGATCTATCTAATGCTGATAGTGGGGTGTTCAAGTCCTTAACTATTATTGTATTACAGTCTCTTTCTTTAGATAAAATAATATTTGCTTTACATATCTGGGTGCTATAATTTTGGGTGCATATAGATTTAGAATTGTTATATCCTCTTGCTGAACTGACCCCTTTATATTTATATGATGACCTTCTTTGTCTCTTTTTATGCCTTTTGACATGAAGTCTGTTTTATCTAATGTAAACGTAGCCACCTCTACTCATTTTTGGTTCTTGTCTGCATACATGAGGGATCTCTTTTTTATTCTTTTACTTTCAGTTCGTATGTGTCTTTACAAGTGAGATAAGTTTCTTATAGGCAGCATATTGTTGGGCCATGTTTTCTTTAAATCCATTCAGCCAATATGTATCTTCTTAAAAAAATTAGAGATGGGTGTCTCGCTTTGTCACACAGACTATAGTGCAGTGGCATGATCATAGCTCTCTGCTGCCTTGAACTCCTTGGCTCAAGGGATCCTCCTGGCTCAGCCTCCCAAAACGCTGGGATTACAGGAATGAGCAATGGTGTCTGGCCTCCAGTTTGGATATTTGAAGTGGAAAGTTTTATCTGTTTGTATTTAAGGTTATTATTAATAAGTGTGGGCTTATTCCTGTCATTTTATTAATTGATTTCTGGCTGTTTTTTATATCACCTGTTCCATTCTTGATCTCTTATTGTTTATCATTTTGGTTTGGTGGTTTTCTGTAGAGTAACATTTGAGTTCTTTCTCTTCCTTATGTGTATATTTGCTCTACCAGTGGATTTTATACTTTCATGTGTTTTCATGATGGTAAATATTGCCCTTTTGCATCCATGTGTGGGACTTCCTTAAACATTTCTTGTAGGGTTGGTCTAGTAGTAGTAAATTCCCTTAGCTCTTGCTTGTCTGGGAAAGACCTTATTTCTCCTTCATTTATGAAGAGCAACTTTGCTGGGTATAGTGTCCTTGGCTGACAATTTTTTTTTTCTTTCAGCACTTTGAATATGTAATCCCGCCTTCCTGGCCAGTAAGGTTTCTGGTGAGAAATCTGTTAATCTGATGGGATTCCCTTATAAGTGACTATACATTTTCTCTTGCTGTTTCTATAAATTCTCTCTTTGTCTTTGACTTTTGACAGTTTCAGTATAATGTGTCACAGAGAAGAACATTTTGAATTGTAATGTATGGAAATCTCTGTGCTTTTTGTATCTTGATGTCTAAAGTTCTTGCTAGACTTGAAACATTTTTAGCTATTATTTAGTTAAATTGGATTTATATCCCTTTCATTTTATCTTTGCCTTCTGAAACTTCAAGAACTCAAATTTTTTGTTACTTTATGGTGTCTTATATGTCATTATAAAGATTTGTTTATTCTTTTTATCTTTATTTTTGTCTGACTGGGTTATTTCAAAAGAGCTGACTTCAAGTTCTGAAATTTTTTCTTATGCTTGATCTAGTTTGTTGTTGAAGCTTTCAAATGTATTTTTTATTTTATTTAATAAGTCCTTCAGTTCCAGAACCTCTGTTTGGTTCTTTTAAATGGTATCTGTACTTTTGGTAAATTTCTCACTCATATCCTGCATTGTTTTTCTGATTTATTTGTATTGTTTTTCTGTATTCTCTTATATCACACTCAGCTTCCTTAGTACCAAAATTTCGAATTCTCTTTCCAGAACTTCATAAATTTCTTTTTGATTGAAATCTGTCGTTGGAGAGTTGTTGCAATCCTTTATTGCCTTTGGTGGTGTCCTATTTCCTTGCCTTTTCATGTTTCCTGTGCCCTTATATTGACATCTATGCATCTAGTATAGTGGTTGCTTCTTTCAATTCTTTGAATTGGGTTTTGCAAGGGAGGAATTTTGCCTGAAGAAGTACCTATGGCATTGGTTGGGTAGGGCACATTGGCTTTGACTCTGGTTGCATGTAGTACTATATTCTCCTTCTGATTTTTTCATCTGTAAGCCATGTCAGTGGTATCTGTGATTTCCTCTGGTTTAGGGTGCAATTGTTAGTGAAGGCTGTAGGAAAGTTTTACTGGGGATGAGGATACCAGGTGGGCCTGTCTTTGGGTCCCCAGTGGTAGCAGCAGTGGCCCAAGCTTGCCTGTCCTTGGATGCTAGGGTGGCATATGCTGGCACTGCTGCTACTGGGTCCAGGGAATCCTAATCTCGGACCTCCAGGTAATTTGCTCATGTTGGTAGTGACGGCAATGGGCTGGTGAATGGGCAGGTTCTTGGGCCCTTGGGCAGAGGGTGTGATGTGAATAACATCAGTAGCAGTGGTGAGCCAACCCTCTGGCTCCCAAGCAGACCATGCTGGTGTTGCAGTGCCTGCAATGGGTTTAGTGAGCCAGTCTCCAAGCCCACAGGTGGCACATGCAGGTGTATGCCAGCTGTGGTGGTAACAGCAGGTTGGATGGGCCTGGCCTGCAGCCCTCAGGAGAAGTGCTCAGGTGCCAATTGTGGTGGACTAGGTTGGGTGGTCTCCAAGCCCACAGATCATGTGTTCAGGTACTTGGAATGGGGTATGGAGTAGGTCTGGAAAGACCTGTTCTTAAGCCTCCAGTGGTGCATGTAGATGCTGGCTGTGATAGGCAGAGGCACAGTGATCACCAGGCCCCTGGTGGAATGCTAGGGCAGGGGTGGCAGCAGCTGTGCCACAGCCTTGCTATGGGGGAGGGCAGGGCTCCTTTTGGTGACAGTAGCCACTTGCAGTTGGCTGGGGAGTGCATATTTTTCTCATGCTTTGGACCTTGTGGTGGCAATATGCAGTGGCGGCAGCTGTAGAAAGGACAATTTATCCTTGGGGTGTGTGAAAATACATGGTGGCTTTGCTGCTGGGGGGAGCAGGGTTGTTGCCAATGGCTTGCTCTTCAGCCCTGGTGGCAGCAGCCAGCTGTGGTGCTGGCTGTGGGCAGCAGTGGCTGTGGGCAGGAAATGTTAATGGGGATTCAGGGATGCGGAGATACAGAGGCAGTTGGGCAGCCTGGTAGGATGCAGCCTGCTAGGGCCTGGGCTCTCTATATGGCATCTTGCTGTGGCTCTTTAGTACATGGGAAGGGGGATGTAGGACCCAGTGTGAGCTTCCTGTCTGGAGCAGTGCCTTCAAAGTTTCCAGGCAGCTCCTTTTGATAGCCTCAGGGCCTATGAGGATCTAGGGGCTCTTGCATGGCTAGAATTGCAGGAGTCTGTGGTGAAAATGTGGGCCACTGCGGGCCTCTCACTTACCCTTTATCCATATTGATGAGCCCCTCCAGGCTCCCAGACAATCCTGGCAAACCAGGCTGTCCTGTCTCCCTCTCCTTCCTTGCTTTTGGTGTTTCCTGTCATTTCTGTGTTGAATTCCAGTGTTGTCCCTTAGATGATCTGTCTGAGATTTCTCTTTTTCCCATCTCTACTCTACCTTATCTTTTTAAAAACATTTTCCTCTTTTAAAAATTATTTTTAATTAACACATAATAATTGTAGCTTTTTATGGGATACAGTGTGATATTTTAATACATGTATATAATGTAGAATAACCAAATCAAGGTAATTAGCGTATCTATCACCTAATCTTAAAGTATATTTTCGTAAGCATTTTCATCTGAGTATTAGGTGAGAATATTTGATGAGTCCAAGGGGAATTACATTAATGAAGACTCCTAAAGATTGGACAGACTTCAGACTTCACACCCTAGAGTACTGGGTGGGAATGTAGGGGCAGGCAGTGGATTTTTCCAACCTCGCAAATTAAATTATCTGCTTGTGATACTCATCTGCTTGTGGGAGGTGAGAACAGAGAAAGTGAACCCTGGGTGCTCTGAATCCAGGCAAAGGCCTGATTAGAGAAACCAGACTGCTAAAGGCCTCTGCTATGTCCTGGCCTGAATTTCCAAGGATAGATTCTCTTTTATTTTATTTTTATTTCTATATTTGGAGAGAGAAAATTCCAGAAAGAGGTTTTGTTTTTTACATTTATCTCAGCCCTAAAGAACATCATGAGGAGTTAAAAATATCCTTGATGGGGGTCCAGAGACTCAAGGTTTTAAATTCTGAAGAAATAGCTCTCATATGGAAAGCTGGGGGTTTATTTATATTAGAACGATTCAGATTTGCTGGAGCCCTAAGGATGGGTCAACTGAGGTAAAGTAATCTTACCAGTTTTCTATAAACTTAAGGATACATTTGCATCTTTGTTTGTAGAAATTAAAATAATCATTTACATACACATTTGCATGCCGTACCAACTCTGTGTACCTAAGATTAAATTCATTAGTACCTCTGATATGTAAGTTGTAGCTAACTAGTAGCAACAATGTTGTATTGTGGAAAGGGCTCAGGTTCTGAAGTCTTTGAAGTAGAATTGGGTCTAAATTTGACACCTGCTGCTCATGGCTATAGGACTTCTCTTCGAAAGTCAGTTTCTTCATAAACAAACACTGGTGAAACAATATCTACCTCAACTATTTATCGTTTAATTCTCAGATAGTTAAAAATAGATACAATGTGCCTAGCACAATGCGCAACACAAAGAAGGTGTGCAACATAAATGTGATCCTTCAGCAGCTCAGGAGTGTGGCCAAAGCGAGAAGAGAGAGCATCAAGAGCAACCCTTAGCTGGGGCCTCTGTCTTCCTCAGGTTAGTTCTCTGAAGAAGGGATGGTTGATCCACTGTACGGTCCTGAGTGCATGGCCTGACACTCTCAACTCTCCATGGTTTGTCACCCTTCTCAGGGGCTCACTCATCTTCCTAATCAACTTGGATTCATATTCAGAGCTATATCTGCTTACAATGGGAGCGCTCCATGTCTTTGTCCCTCTGTCACTCCTTCAAGAGCACTTGTTAAAGTCCAGCTTCCTGCTTACTGCATGTATGTGTGGACCATTCCTGAAACAACTGAAGATGACTGGAGAAAAAGATTCATAACCTCATTGTGTTAGCTGGAATCTCTAGGAAGCAGAAGCCAAGTTGGAGCATGAAGTGGCTTGTAGGAGAGGGTAACTCCCCTTAGAGATGATGTTGGGAGGGAGCAGGAGGAGGCAAGGACAAGTTTCGGAATGCAAGGCAGGTCTAACATGTGCGAGGGAGCAGGAAGAGCCTTGGATTATGCTGCAATTCTGAGATAGTCTTGGCCAACCCAACGAGGAGTTTTGAGATCCCTTCCATGCTCAGTCACGAGCTGGGAGCTGCAAAGAAGAGCGTGGCCTTGGGTTACATGTTCTCATGGATCCTGAATGCACTCCACAGGAAGCTGTCGTCCAACTGCCTTTCCCCAGCCAACTACCCATTCTCTCTTGAAGGGCATCTGAGTTACACATCTCCTTGGTGACTACACATGACTGCAGGAGTTTCTTTAAATTAAGACCAAAAATATCAAATGGGCCAATCCTACCACTTTCCCTTATATAATTCATTCTCCTCCCTCTGAGATTACTTCACATCTTCTCTTCTCATGTCAAAGTTCTCCCCCTCTCTTCCTTTCCTACCTAGGTAATTTCTATACCTTATTTCCCTGCAACAATAGAAATGGTCAGAAACAATCCACTACTCTAACTCTATTACCCTTTCTAGGTCTGCTCCCACACGCTCTGCCTTCTTGCCCACAGCAGTGATGAGCTGCGCCTGCTCCCATCTGAAGCCACCCTCCACTCTTGTGCTGGATCCCCTCCCGCTTGATTGCTCAACAATCTAGCTCCTTTTCTCCCCTCATTATCCCAACAGAGAAGTATCTAGTGATCATCCTGACTCAGTTCACATCTTACTTCTCTGTCTCAGAGTAATACTCTGTGAGCTGATTGTCCAAATGCTTCAGCTTAATTTCTTCACTTCCAATTTTTTCTTGATCTCATTCCAATGAAGATTTTGTCTCCACCATGCTAGTAATTTTTCTTGTCAAGGTTATCTCAGACTACACCTTATTTGAATTCCAGGCACATTTGGCAGGGGATTTTTGTTTGCTTGCTTTTTTTGTTTTTTGAAACCCTTTCTTTACTTGATTTCTGAGATGCTGTGCTCTTGGTTTTCTTCTTCTTCACTGGTCACTCCTTAGCCTCTGTCTTAAGCTGTTGAGGCATTTAGATATTTCTTAAACTGGGTGACTTATAAACAACAGTAACTTATTTCCCACAGTTTCGGAGTCTAGGAATCCAAGATCAAGGTGCTGGCAGATTTGGTGTCTGGTGAGGGCTCTCTTTCTGATTCGTGGATGGTGCCTTCTCGCTGTGTCCTCACATGGTGGAAACGGTGAGGCAGCTCTCTGGGGCTGGGCTTCTTTTATAAGGACACTAATCCCATTCATGAGAACTTAACCGTTATGACCTAATCACCTCCTAAAGGCCCTACCTCCTGATATCACATTGCAGATGAGGATTTCAACATATGAATTCTGCAAGACACAAACAGACCATAGAGAGTGTCCATTATTAGTTTCTCCTAATCTCCATAATCTCATAAATTGGAGTGCTGCGAGGACTGGTTTTCATAGCCCAATCCTGTATAAAGTTGTTCCCTGTCTTTAGCATCTATTTACTGACATCTTTCATCTCTAGCCTCTTCTCTTTGTTGAAATCCAGACCGGTGTGTCCAACCATCTCCACTTGGATATCTAATAATATTTGAAAATCAACAATTCAAAACAAAATTTTTGAATGTTGCCCTTTCTCTAAAACTCCCTCTCTCCCATTTACCCAGATATTCAGATCACAACTCTTACAGTTGTCTTTGACTGCTCTTTGACGCCAACATCTATACTAGCAGCAAATGATCCAGGGTTGACTTTTGAAATGTATCGGGGATGTGATTCCTTTCACGCCCTCTAGCTCCACCTTCTACTCCAAGCCAAACCACCTCTCCTGGCACTGCTTGGATAGCCCCTCACTAATCTCACCACAGTCTCTAGTGCACCCCTAGGCTCTATTCTTCACACAGCAGGAAGTCTGCTCACAAGTCTCCCAGTGGTTGCCATCTCCTAGTATTTAAATTATAAACTATCCCTACATTTAGTGGCCTAAAGCAGCAACCATTTTTGTTATGTCTCATAGTTTGTGGACTGGGAATCCAGGCAAGGCTGAATGAGGTGATTCTACATGGCATCAACTGAGGGCACTCAAGAGGATTTGGCTTGAGGCTGGCCTGGCATAGAGTATTCAAGACAGCTTCACTCTCATGATCAGCACTTTAGAGGGGGAATTGAAAGGCTGGGAACCACTGGGCCCAGAGGGACCCCCTCTTTCTCACCACGTAGTCCAAAACTCCCCAGCAGGACTTCTGTGTGGTTGCTAAGGGCTCCCAGAGACCAGAATGTCATCTGGCAATTCTGCTAAAACCTAGGTCCTCAACCAGCTCAGCATTCCTTCCGCCACTGTCCATGGGAAAAGCTGTCATATGCCAGCCAGTATCCAAGGGGAGGAGAAATACACCTCTCATCTCCATGGGATATGTGGCCTCCTTGAATTCACCAAATTAAAAATACAATTGTGTGACTTAAAGCAACAGAAATTTATTTTTTTGCAGTTCTGGAGGTCAAAAGTCCTAAATCAAGTCGTCTATGGAGTTGTGCTCCTTCCAGAGGCTTTAGGGGAGAATCTGTCTTTGCCTTTTCTAGCTTCTCATGGCTCCAGGCATATCTTGGCCTGTGGCACTATAATTTCAACCACTGCCTTCAACTTCTCATGGCCTTCTCTTTCATGGGTGTCTCTTTTGCATGTCTTTTATAAGGAAACATTGGATTTAGAGTCTCCATGGATGATCTAGGATGAATCTCATCTTGAGATCCTGAATTACATCTGCAAAACTCTTTTTCCATATAGTGCCATATTCATTTATTCTAGATTTTATAATAGAATGTGGGCATATCTTTTGAGGGGTCCACCATCCAACTCACTACAACTTGTCCGATAAGAATTTGGATCTAAAATTCAGGGGAGCAGAAGGCTCTTGGCAGCAGCTGCAGGCTCTCGTCTTGAGGTTCTCTTTGGTGGAGTACAATGCTCCACATTATTGGATTCTGGTTGCCACTCCAGCTGCATTTCCTTTGCTCCGTTCATTCCAGTCATCCTAGCTTCCTTGCTGATTTTTCAATATTCTTCCAATACAAGATATTTGCACTTGCTGGAAAATCTCCAAAGCATTTACACAAATCAAATCTCCCCCTGTTCATTCAGGCATCTGTTCAAATGCCACTGCTCAGAGAAGTCTCTCACCTGGCCTGGCCCAGCTCCATCCCTGTACCCCACCCAACTGCTGGTCATTGTCATTGTCACCTGACCTGCCATTACCTATGATTTGCTTATTCTTTATCATTCCATTAGAATGGACTTTTTCTGTTTCACATGCCACTGAAACTTCAGCCCCTAGAAGAGTGTTTAGTACTTCAAAGTCCCTAAGAAATGTTTGTTAAACATTGAGGAAATCAAGGAACTCCTTTGTCTTCAAGGAGCTTAGCAGGGATATTGGGAAACCAGGTAGAGATGGAGTTACTCTTATTTTCCCAGCCTGCTCATTAGAAACGGTTTAACTTGACTTGTATTTATTTCCTATAATTGCCTGTGGGAATCAAGGGGAAGAAAAGTCCCCAAAGTAGCGATAGAAAAGGGGATCTGGGGGCTTCCTTCCCATTGCTAGCACCGGCAGCCCCCAGTGCCCTCTGCATGGCTTAAGTACATGAATGTAGTCAGGGTCTCAGTAGAGGGAGTTTTGGGTTTACAAAGGCTCTTGTCTTGTGATGGTGGGATGTGGGTAGGGCTGCAATGTTTAGTTAGAGCAGATCCTTTCTACTGAGAATTCCAGGATGAAAATGAGTTTAAAATACCATGGTTCTGCCAGTAGGCTGTTTTATTCTTCATTAAATCCCCAGCACAGAGCCTAGTGCCTGTCACATTATAGCCAGTCAATAAATATTAGGAAAATAATGAATTCTATTGAGAATTATATACATGGCATCTGTTACAATCAAATGTGAGACTTGATGCTGCTGATGGGACCCTGGCCAATTCCAAGCACTACTTATAGGATGGGCTCTGGGCCAAAGGGGACAGGGGCATCCTGGAGAAGTCTGTTTCATCCTACCCTCACTCCTGCAAGATGGTTACTATTGCTGTAGTTGAAGCCACAGAGACCCCACATGAGCTGGCTAAAGCACAATGGCCACCATGAATGAAGCACTGTGGGGGATCTTACAGAATCCATGGGTCTGAGCCAGCCAGGAAACCCAGCTGGGTCTCAGGAGGAAGTCGAGCTGGAGCCTGAGATGCTGGCAGCATCCCTCTATCTTGCATCTCAGTGTTTCCCTGCTGCATGTTGGCATCTTTCTCTCCTACTGGATAATGGTTTTCTACATATGGCCAAAAACATGGCCACGAGCAACATTCAAGATTTATGGCTTTAGTGAAAACAGGAAGGCTTATGTGATTCGCATAGACTCAACTTCAGAAATTGAGGAGAAGGGAATTATCAGTCCAGCGGGTTACAGGTGTCACATCCTGAACAAATCCACCATGGTTAGAGGTTGGGTCATGTAAGAACACAGCATCTCATGTGGAACTGCATGAATTGGAGGGAGGGAAGTATGGCTCTCCTAGAAGGGCAGCACACTGTTGAGATGACAATGCTATAGTTCTCTGCCACAGCCCCTGGAATAGGTGCAGCAGATCCACATGCAGGGCCTTCTGAGGGACAGTTGCTGCGTTTTCCTCCACACGGCCATACTTTCTGTCTGCAGATGATTGTGCATTGTGCATTGTCCAAAGGCCAGCACATCCCTATACTTCATAGGTCATGCACTGGTCCAAAAGGAAATCATGGGCTAAATCAAATTCTTTTCTAGGAAGTTTGGAATTGGGAAACTTGGAGATTGACGGAGTAAGCAGCGGAGCAGAGGCAGAAGGGGTGCTTTGGGAGATGACACCAGGTAGACTTGGGCTCAGCAGGGTAGCCAAAGCCACACATAGCTCAGACATGGGAGGAGGCAGCAGTCATATGGAAGCAAAGGAAGCTGCTCAGTGGCATGAGCCTGGAACCTGTGGATACAGAGACAGAGGCCAGCTGTCATGATAGAAGGGAGGGTGAGACGGGGTGGGGTCAGAGATATGATCCTTATGAAAGGGAGCAGCCACTAGTTCCCAGGGCTTCCTGGATTCCTGCTGGCATTCTCAGTCTCATTCTGCAATCTGAGAATAAACTCTTCTGTATGAGTAAGCTTGAGTAGGTTTCCTTGAAACCAGGACACATTTCAAGGAAAAGTTCATCTTTATCATTTCCTGTCCCACATCTCTGGTTGTGTGTTCTGTTTCCTGCTCAGGCCAGGTTCTGGAGCACAGGTTAGAAAATCAAGGGACTGGGTGTTCACGGTGAAAGGTAAGGAAGTGAAGATTCCTCTCATTTTACAAGTGAGGAAACTGGTGGCCATATAGTTAGACATCTTGCAGGAGGTCAGACTGTGGATGAAAGAATTCAAACCAGTTCCTTTGACTCTACGCCAATGACTTCTCATTCTGTCACAGCACCCTCACCTTCGGTTGCCTGCACCAAAACTGATAGGGTTCTAGGGTCCTAGGACTCTAATAGATGGGACAGAATAGCATTTATAAGAAAAACTCTACAGAGAGAAAGTATGCTTTTGCTTAGGCCTCAGTAAACGTGACACCTTGTTTGGAAGAAAGTTTAAATTTCCTTGCTATGTAGTCACACACACACACACACACACACACACACATACACACACACACACAACTCATGAAGAGAAAAAGTACATAGTTCTACACTGACTCATTATTCTCCCTGAAAAAATATGTTTTTATTATGATAATTTTCCCAGAGTGATTGATTGAATACTTTAATACTATGAAGAATATGATTTTTAAAAATTATCTTTCTAACTTAATTTTACTATTTAATTTAAATGTAGCATTTGTTGCATAGTCAGTACCTGTGGTGGGTCAAATGGTGGCCCCTGAAAAGATATGCCCATGTCCTAATACCCAGAACCTGTGGCTGTGACCTTCTTTGGAAAAAGAGTCTTTTCAGAGGTAGTTAAATTAAAGATCTTAAGAAGAGATCATCCTGATCATCTGGATGGGCCCTACATCCAATGCTAGTGTCCTGGTAAGAGAGAAGAGAAGTCAGAGGCACAGAGAGGTGAAGATGGAAGCAGAGATTGCAGGGTAGCCCCACACCGTGCAACACCTGGAGCCACCAGAAGCTGGAGAGGCAGGGAAGGAATTTCCCCCAGAGCCTTCAGGGGAGCTCAGATCTGCCGACACCTTGAAGTTGAGCTTCTGACTTGCAGAACTGAGAAAGAATAAAATTCTGTTGTTTAAAGCCATGTAGTTTGTGCTAATTTCTCATGGCAGCCACGGGTAACTAGTACGGTATCCCTACTTTTTCCTTTAAGAAAATCTTTCTTTTCTGTTGCCTTTATTCTCTCAAGCTAATTCATAATATTTGCTTTGTGACTTGGTTATGTTTTTAAAAGCATTTATTGAGTATTTTCAGTATGTTTCAGACATTATGTTGAGTGCTTTATGGGATTATGTTGTTTAAACTTCACTACAAATTTCTGAATTTTTAACATTCTACCCTCTTTCTGTGTGCAGAAAGTCTTAGAGAGGTTACACTGTTTTTTGGTGGTCACAAAGCTGGCAGGTGGAATGATCGGGATTTGACCTTGGGCATCTCATCCTGCAGGCTTGGTTTTGAATGAGAAGCTGCTATTCCAGCTGCTTAAGGCCTGAGAGACTTAGTCACCCTGGGAAACCTGGTTGCCCCTGTGGCTCGTTATTTGCTTGCCTGAACCGATCTGCATGGGGTGGCACCTGTGCACTGTGCCTTGCATGCCAGTGCCTCCCTTGCCAAAAACAGCCACCTTCCTCTGTGCACCTTCTCTGGGCATCTCAGCTTCTGTTCACCTCACATCTGTATCCGAGGCCCTTCCTCCAGTCTGAAATGACCTGAGAGGTACCTGTGGAGATGGTTCCAATGTGACATGCCCTGAGCATCTCTGTCCAGTAAGGTTAAGGTTACGATGTAGCAAGCAGTGTCATAATCTATGAGGGCCTTCCTCTCAGCTGACAGAGTGAATTAACATTACTTTTTGCATAAAATATTAGGAATCATCCTTTAAATTCTTCTGTTAATTGTATTAACGAGCTAGGGTTAGGCTTTTTCTTTCTCTCCTTTAAATCTTCTGAGCCTTGAAAATGGAATTTGAGTAAAGAAAAACATTTGTCGAACACTCTTACACAGCAGTTTTCTTATGTCAAACTTGGCTGGTTAGGATTGTAACAATCCTTAAAGGATTGTTTTCTTGGCATAAGGTGGCGTTTCTTGATCTAAGTTGACAGGAAGGTAAACAGAGCAATTAAACTCCGGACTACCTCTTTCCTCAGACTCTATTGGATTTGTTCATGTATTTGTGCTGTCTGGGAGTCCCCTGGCTGTCCATGTCATTAACAATCCCCTTTCTGCCAAGCCCCTCACAAGTGATGTAAGATATTTGAAGACAACCTAACAACGTTCTAAAGCATTGAGGAAACAGGAGAGCAATGTAAACATCATGGCTAATGCTAGCTTTAAATTAAAAACACTATTCCTAACACACACACACCCCCCAAAATTAAAAAAAGAAGTGCATATCTAGTGGAGATTATTTATGTAAATGCTTTAAAGAATGGGCCTAAAGATATTTTTCTTCTCAGCAGCCTTTTGAGCAGTTTCTATCTTTTTCATCTGTTTTCATCTAAGCTGCACTTTAATGTCTTTTAACTGTATAGTTTTATGTGTCACCACTGATGCTAGTCGCCAGATAAATACAGCAGAGCGCTGGCATAGGTCTTCTTTATGGGGTATATATACACAAAGTTGCTTCTGCATTTGTACACGTGCTCCATATTTTTGGAACCTGAAGCTGACAGGAGAAATAATAAACCAACTTTGTAAAGTAACATATTCCCAATAGTTTAAGGCATTGAAGAAATCTTGGCAACCCTGTTTATTATGATGTATAGACAGCATTCATTCAGCAGCAAACATTTATTTTGTCATTACCAAGTTCTAGGCCCTCTGCTAGGCACTGGGGATCCCACCATGAGTAAAATATGGGCTGTGCTTGAGACTGTTAAGGTCTTGAGAGGCAGGCCTGGGTATAAAGGAACTGAAAGAACACAATGCAATAACTTAAATAGAGTATCTTGGGAGCACAGAGAGGAACACAGCCAACATTTTCTAGGAGGACAGTCAGAAAAGGCCTCAGAGCACAACCAAATTCAGCATCTTCCTGAGAAACAAAGAGTTAACCGAGGTAGATTCAGAGCTGAAAATAACATTTATTCTACCAAAAAAAAAAAAAAAAAAATAGGACAGTAAATGGGTGACAAATTGCTCCATGTTTATTTCTTTAAAAATGGAAATATTATAAGCCACCATGAACAGTTTTTCCTGTTTGCCAAAGTCTTCCTCTAGCTCACGTGGAAGAAGGAAATCATAAAAAGTAGCTGTGATAGCTGCCTTCAAATATCGGAGGTGTGTCATGTGGGGAAAGAATAACACTTGCTCAGAGGTGCTCCAGAGCATCATGGCTGGGACCCAGGGGCAACACTGACAAGTAAGTAGATTCTAGCTTCACGTGACCAACAGTGCTTGTCTCCCATGCCCAGCTCCCTTGTGGGCAGTGAGCTCTCCATCATCGGGAAGATTCAAGACCAGCTAGAGGACCATGTCTGTAGGAAATACCCAATGGGCTTTTCATTGGAAACATGCATTTGTGCTAGATTAGGGAGCAGAAGGATATTTTGGGGGAAAGGGTGAGACAAGAGGGCACAGCGGTGGCATTTAGGACAAAGGATTCTTGCTTCTTCCTTGAGGTCTCCAAGTGGAATAATTGTACGTCATTATCCACTCATACTTCTTCAGGCCTCAGGAGGGAAAGAGGTATGGATATTATCATTCCAATCCTCCAGAGGAGGAAGCCTCTAAAACACAGCAAGGGTAACATCTACCTTTCATCAAGGTAGGAGCATGAGGCTTATTTCATTATGAGAAGGCGGGGGCTTGCAGATTCTCAGAAGAAAGGGAGGCAGAAGGGCAAAGTAGTGTTTATTTATAAAGCCAGATTTTACATACAGTGCCCGCCAAGGATTTAGTGCCGCGCTTCAAGTGAATAAATCCCTCCAGTGTCAGAGACATAAGACGTTGTCAAGCTGCCTGTGAGACAATGTGATCATAAAGTCTTAGAACCGAAATACCTCCAGTCACCTTGGTAAGAAAATAATCCGCTCTCAAGTGATGCTTTGAAGTTTAATGGAGTTGCTCCCTATCCAGTAAATGAAATCTGGTGTTGTTCTGAGATGGTAGTGTGCTGTTGCAAGAGTGGAGCAGGCAGGCTCCTTTCTCTCTCACTCCCAGTCCTCCCCAGGCTGACCCCAATCTGCTTTTATAGCCCCATTTCCCATAACTGTCCTCCACAAAGCACATGCCTCAGCCAAACCATCTACTCAGCCTGTCCAGGAAGGCCATGAAGAAGAATTCAGGCCAGGGGACCTGCCAGGGTGGGGCAGGGAGTGCCTTCTTCCCTTGAACGTGGTTTTGGCCAAACAGGCAGGATAAAGTCAAAACAAAGGCCAGACTAGATTTGGTTATGTAGTCAGAGTTAGAGTCAATAATCAGCTCTGCATCTGGCCAGGTGAGCAGGGGTAGAAGTCTTGTAGAAATGTCTATCCTAACAGCAAGGATCTGGCAATGTCATGGCTGAATCCATGAGGGTGCAGAAAACAGGATAGGACATATATGGTGATTAGTTTGAGGTCAGGAAAGGAGGCTCAGAGGCTGGAGCTGGGGTATCAGCCAGTGCAAAGGCCATGAAGTCATAGGATTTACCCCTGGAAAAAGGAGTTTCCCTGAAAGAGCTTGCAACCCAATGCCATTTCATTATAGGATCAATCTAGACAGGGCTGAGTCTCATTAAGACAACCTTCTTTGCAGAAGGGAAGGGCACACCCAGGCCTCTTGTTTCTGCATGCTGGAATTCTGATGCCAATCATCAGGGAGGATCTGACCTTGTGGACCTGACATTTAGATATAACGATGGCCAGAGAGGCTCCTCAACATGGAGCTCTGTGAAGGAGACAAAAGGATTTAATTGTGATAGACTCACAATGTGTAATGAGAACTGTCCACAGTTCATTTTTCATTGCAGCATAGAGCAAAGGCAGTGCTGTGAATGCTGAGATAGGCGTTCAGCTTCTTTTTACCAAGGAATTGGCAATAATCCTTAATGTGGTTTAACCCACTTAGTCCTGACATAGTCTGGCTCTCTCTTGAGTGTTACCCATATTGCCTTTGACTCAATATTGGAGCTAAGATAAATATTTCTTGCTGAAGGAGCTTATCTGCCAACACACATTTTCCCTAAGGACAGTTTTAAGGCCTGGGCCATTATTAGTTGAGTTCTCTGGGAAGCCATACTTTCCTTTAATATGTTGCTCAAACAGCTGGTTATGATGGACATGTCCTTGAGGCACATTTGACCCCTCTCTTAGATAGATGAGCCTAGGCAGATGGGCAGAAATTAGATCAAAAGGTCTGTCAGACCAATGGGAAAGCCGAGCCCACTGCCCTAGCTTCAGACTGTGGGCACTGGGGGTCACTGAGGGTGAATAAGCAGGGAAGTGGATAGGTCAAGAAGGAGAACATGGATGGCGGATGGCAGAGAAGCTGAATCCCAAGCACCTGTGGGCTAGGTATCTAATTTATCTCTCTTGAGGCTGGGCCCATTTCATCCTCCACCAGGCCGATCATGTCCCAGGCAGAACAGGGTGCTGGACGTGGAGTGCCTAGTGCGCCCACGGTGCACAGACATAGAAGGAGATTCTCAAATACCTGAATTTGGAGATTCAGAGTAGAAATTAACAAAAATAGAATTTGGCAGTGTAGCAGTTCTTGGTGATGGGAACAGTCAGTCTCGTATCTGAAAATTTGGATAAAAAGAAGCCATTATATAAGGAATCAGACTTTGCCCTTAATTTGCCTGGCAGCTGATGCTTTTTGACGTGAGTACAGTACAATTCTTTGGCCTCTGGAGCCTGTGAGATTTCATGTTTCTAGAAAGAGTTTGCTCATGGCTGGCCCAGGGGTGGAGAAATGAGGGAGGGGACTTAATGCAAAACTCTGTTCTCTTATTGAGAGGCCTGGAAGTGTTCTTCCACCACCACCAAGTTCATCTCCCATAAGAAGCCTCTAGTGTTCTTCTATCACCACCAAGTTTATCTCGCATAAGATTACCTCTAAGAAGCCTCTTCTGTGAGGTGGACTTGGTGGTGGTAGAAGAACATTTCCAGGCTTCTCAATCTACCACCCCCAAGTGTTCTTCTACCACCACCAAGTTCATTTTGCATAAGAAGCTCTAGGGTTTTTCCAAGTTCATGGTGAGATGAACTTGGTGGTGGTGGTGGAAGAACACTGGAGGGTTCTCGGAGGTGATTAGTCTTTTCTTTCTGGCTGTTTGCGTAGGATGATGAGGAAGGGACAAGGGCAATTGAAGTAGCAAAGTGAAGATGAATTCCTGTCAAAACTATGAAATATACCTGGGTGCTCAAAGATGATCTGCTGGGGTAAGGTTATGGAGGTGGAAAGTCCTTTGGTTAGAAGAAAGTAGGACCTGTTATGAGTAATACCACTGACTGTAAAGCTGAAATTGTTACCCCGATATGGGTGGTGTCAGTAATAGAAGACACCAGCCATGGAACAGGGCCAATTCAAGCTTGGCAAAGATTAAAGGAGATTTTCAGGTTTTCTAGATTTTCTTTTGGCACAAATGGACCTTCACAAATAGCTTGATATTTTGGCATCTTGATTAATGATCACAAAGTCTCTGTCTCTGAAGTATAAAGGGTAGATTGGAATTAGTGAGAAGAGGGATAGGTGGTAAAAAGGAGGAAACCCTAACATGCCTCAGAAAGAAAACACTATGCTCTGAAGCTCAGGAGCAAGAAGGAGTGTATTGCCTTCACCCGTGGAAGGTATTTCAGTATGACAGAGTAAAGGGTGAGGAGTCATGAGAAACAGGTTCATGGAAATCCTTGTAGGTCATTTTAAAGAATGTAAGCAATGAAGACCTTTAATGAGTTTTAAACTACAGAATACGGTGACGTGCTCAGATCTGGAGTTCAGGTAGCTAACAATGGTAGAAGGCTTGAGGACAGAAGGTCTAGGAAATGAAACAGACAAGAGATGCTGAATATCTGAACTGAGGCCTTGAGTGCAGGTGTGGAGATGATGAGAAAGATTAAAAAACCAAAAAGAAAAATTGGCCTGAGCTGGAAATGCATGACTATGACAAGTGTTTGCGTGGGAGAAGACAAAGATGACTGCCAGGCTTCTGGATTAGATGGTGGGTCCATCACAGCAAAGGTTGAAACAATCAATTATATTAGGGAAATCAGGCAAGGGAGAAGGTTTTGGGTAAATTGGGGCACCCGTTTTTAGATATGCTGAGTATGAGGTATTGTGAGACAAGCCAGAAAAGTTACCCATGTGAAGTTCTCGTAGGAGGTCAAGACTGGAGATGTGGATTTAGGATATATTAACTCTTGGGTGGCAATGAAGGTAATGAAGTGGAGCTAAGGGGAAGCCTTAAGTGTATATGGTCAAGAACACATGGGGCCTGTGTTGTTCAGGTGTTCACGGCATCAGAGAACCATTCATTCCCTCCCTATTTGGACAACTCGGCCAGATGCTGACTCAGAAGCTCAAGGTGAGCTCCTTGGATCAGGTGGACACCAGCGCTAAATCCCAGCCTTTCTAATAGTGTCATTTCTTGAAAAAAGGAGGTTTCCAGTGCTATGTTGTCAGCTAGGTGTTCCCTGCCAACTTCTCCACTCTCCTGTAAACGTGCAATGCAATACAAATTTATATAAAGTGACAGGGTCTCTCTCCTGGAGTCCTTTCCATGTTGGTAGCCATGGACTCCGTGCAGCCCTGTTGAGCCTGGACAGAGCTCTTCGTGGATAAGAACCAGGGTTGTATGCACTTTGCTACTCTTATCTCATTGGTTTTTCCTCAAGAATTCTTTTATACATTTTCAATGCATGACATTGGTGGTGGTGGTGGTAGTGGTGGATGTGTGTGTGCACATGTGTGTGTCTGTGCCCTTTTTGCATGACATACATTCTTACCTGATTTGGGGGGTAGGCTTGGCCAATGAATGAAATGACCTGAAAGCCAAGGTCCTCGCTAAATATACCCAGGAACCTCACTGGGAATTAGTTTGAAAGATTAGGAGCATGTAATTTATTCCAGTTGGAAGTTACTGCAGGATTTTATGCAAGGGAATGACATGTTTTCCAAATTTCTTTTGGAGTATTGGCATAATCAAAATCCCATAATCAAAATGAAAACCAGACCCCTAAAGAATATCTTTGAAAGGAGAGTCTCATAGTAGGATAGGGGTTCTGGAACCTAGGGCTCGAATTCTGCCTGTAGAAACCCTTTTTTGTGAGTTTCTTTCTGACTTCTACTGTATTGGCCAAATCATTTTTTCCTCAGACCCTTTCCCTTGCGTGTTCTCAACATGCCCCTGAGACAAGGTCCAGTGTTCTCACTCATTATTTTGAAATGTTATGAACACTCAGTAACTCAAATACAACTTTGTTAAGATTTAGGGTTTGTTTGTTTGTTTGTTTGTTTGTTTTGTTTTTGAGGCAGGGCCTTTCTCTGTCACCCAGGCTGGAGTGCAGTGGTGTAATCTTGGCTTACTGCAACCTCTGCCTCCCAGGCTCAAGCGATCCTCCTACCTCAGCCTCCCAAGTAGCTGGGACCACAGGTGCATGCCACAACACCTGGCTAATTTTTTGTATTTTTGATAGAGACAGGGTTTCACCAGGTTGCCCAGGCTGGTCTTGAACTCTTGACCTCAAGCAATCCACCTCAGCCTCCCAAAGTGCTGGGATTATAGGTGTGAGCCACCATGCCTGGCAAAAATTTAGTTTTTTTAAATGACAATTATTTAATAGCAAATAATTATTGAATGTTCACTCGAAGCAGGGAATTATCTTGAGTGCATTACACGCAATCACTTAGCCTTTGTAACAACCCCATAAGGTAAGTCCTGTGATGACTCCCATCTTAAGGGTAATGAAGGAAGGTAGAGAAAGAGTAAATAACTTTTCCAAGATTATTCAGCTAATTAGTGATGGAGTCAGGTTATGAATGAAAACAGCTTGCCTCCTGGTCTCTTGCTCTGTTACTCTGATACACAGCCTTCTAGAAATAAACAGAGTTATAACATGTATCTAAGGGATTATACAACCTACAGCCTGGCCTCTCAAGTTCACAGATCCCTTTCCAGGAAGAGTCCATGACAGGTGGGGAGTAATTCCTCCCTTTTTGCTCCTAGACTCGTCCCTTGTTCTGGATATCAGTTCAACACCCGTCACCTACTTTCTACATTCTGGAGTCCTGCCCGAGGCATCTGTTCTGTCTGGGAGATTGTCGACAGGAATTATGTTCTTTTTCTGTGTTGAGCCTACCTCCATGAAGGAGCAGGTCCCAGCTCTGTAATTCCATCCAGCGAGCAAATGCAAAAGACTTGCAGAGATTGTCTGCCTGTTGGGGGGGTCAGGCTGGTAATTTCCTGATTCCTCTAGTACAACTTTCCACTTTCTTCCTTTTTTCGGGGGGGTATGGGGTGGTTCTTCTTCTAATGTTTTCTTGGCTGAAGCATGATGCCTGTTTCGATCTCCTCTGGATGGTTCATAAGTGCCTAGAGGACGGTGATCTGTCCTCTCTGTATCACTTAATGCATATTTGCACACACTGGGCTCATACGAAGTTAGTGTTAGATGAATGAATGAGGGCATGAGTAAAATTAATATAGGTCAGTCCTGTTTAGCATCCAGCCTCCTGCCCTCATGTCCCCCTCTCTCAATTTTTTAATCTGTTGAACGCTTTTAAAATCAGGTCACATAACTTAGCAGTACCTTAATATATTCTTCCAGAATCTTCTATTAATTAACTTAGTGATTTAACAACACTGGACTTTATTGTCGTTTTATAGTGCTTTGCTAATCCTTCATTTTTATACTCGTTTTATTTCCCTACCCCCAATCTGAAATAATTTTTTACTATCTTCCGTGCAGCACTTTTTCCCCTCATAATCAATATTAATTTCATTCTAAGATCATATTTTGAGATGGAGCTGTTTGCTTGGTTCAAGTTGGGAGATCAAGAGGCAGTTTGTAGAATCTGTGTTTTCAAAGAAAATTTCTTATTAAGATAATTATCTGCTAGGCTAGCAGGATAATTTCAATCACATTGTTGCAGAACTCACAAGTGGATGTGTTTCCACTTCAAGGTGACTCGGTCACTCTCTGAGAGAGACTGTCACAGCTTGGGAGAAGCTAGCACAGGCAGAAAAGGAAAGGAATCCAACAGGCAGGTGGCGTTCACCCCATTGCCCTGGATTTCTGTACAGTTGGCATGGCCAGGCTTGGTATAGGGAGCCAAAAGCCCATCTCTCCAAGCTCTGGGAAGCATTTGACACGCTGTATGGAGTGAAGGTTCTAGGAACAAAGCCATCAATGGGAAAGGGCCAACGAGAGAAAAAGATGGGAGAGAGCTGGCCGAGAGATATCAAAGGTAATATTCAGGAGAATTGCAGTGATCTGAAAACACTTCTTTGGATATTTGTGGGAAATTTGTGCTCTAAATTCCAAGTACATTATGAATGCAAGATACTCCATTTGTCATAAAAACTTAAAATGGTTTCAGTAGAATTTTTTAAAGATGAATAATAGGATTAACTTATTCATCACTTAAAAAGCTAAGTTGTTGCTATACAACTGCAGAACAGAAACAAAATAAAAAATCATTTCTGTTCTTTCTGGAATCAGCATTTCTGAAAATTCAGGATAAGCCTTTCTTTTCTTGGCTTTATTTATTTTTTGGAGGATCAGGAGAATGTTATCAATTGGGTAATTATGCAAAGGTTTGCACAGGGAAAATGCAGAAAATGAACAAAACTCTGTAAAAAGGAAACATATATAGCATCATGGCTTATTTAAGAAGGAGGCCTTCTGATTTATAAATACATCATGAGATGATGAGGCTGGAGGCAGAGCGAGCATTCTGAGGATAGAAATGGACTTTGTTTTCTCTGTGTTTACGCAAGTCTTTTTTTTTTTTCTTATTCTCTGTTTTAAACAGCTAAATGGAAACTGCCCTAGCATCCTTTCTCTCTCTCTCTCTCTCTTTTCCTTTGTCACCCTTCTCTTTCTTCCATGTCTTTTTCTCTCTCTTCCTCCCCCATTGCTCTCTTCTTCTCTCTCTTGCTCGATGCTCTTTCAAAATTGCTCCCTCAGGTATCTCCCCGAATGCACACTGATTTTTATTTTATTTTATTTTGGTGTGTTTTTTAATTTTTATTTTAGATTCAGGGGGTACATGTGCAGGTGCATCATAAGGGTATGCTCTATGGTACTGAGGTTTGGGTTTCTGTTGACTTGGTTACCCAGAGAGTGAGCACAGTACCCAGCAGGAAGTTTTTCAGCCCTTGTCCCACTTTCCTCCCTGCATTTGGAGTCACCAGTGTCTTTTGTTCCCATCTTTATGTTTGTGTGTACCCACTGTTAGCTCCCACTTGTAAGTGAGAACATGTGATACTTGGTTTTCTGTTTCTGCATTAATTTGCTTAGGATAATGGCCTCCAACTGCACCCACATTGCTGCAAAGGACATGATTTCATTCATTTTTATGGCTGCATACTATTCCATGGTGTATACAGACCACGTTGTCTTTATCTAATCAACCTAAAATTACGTTATTTTCTTCAGGCTTTATTTCTTCTGGGTGGGCTTACTGATTTGAATGCTGAGACTCATAGCAGTAGGTACCCATTAAATATATTTTAATTTATGTATTGCTATGAAGCTTCTATCATGATACATTTTATATTTTTCTTCCCATTATTTAATTTGACCTTCAAAAGCACCCTGGGAAGGAGGTAGAAGTATCTCGTCCTGTTTTGTAGCCGGGGAAACTCAAAGATGACTTCACAGCTCAGGCTTCCATGCCATGTGAGCGGGAGACCTCAGAACCGGAGCCATGTTTTAAAATTTCAAGCTTGTGGCCCTTTCCACCCTTTCCAGCTCCTGTGGAATTCTGCAGTAATCTCCTAACTTGTCTCCCACTTTTACTTTTGTGTATCTGCAAAGTGTTCTCAAGGTAGAAGCCCACAGGGCCTTTTTAAGGTGCAGATCTGATATTGCCATACCTTGGCATAAAAGCCTTCACGTTACTCATGGATAAAGACCAACGTATTTAACCCACCTACAGGCTCTGTATGGCTCGACCCAGGTGCCTGCCTCTCAGAGCTGCCCCTTGCTCCCCTTCGTTCCCTCCACTTCAGGACATTGCTGTTCTTTCAGCAGCGTGCTCTGCTCTGCCCCCTCCCACCATGGGCTTTTTATTCTGTCTGTACGAGATGATTTTTTTCTTCCCCTTACTGCCTTCCAGTATTGGCTCAAGCACTGATTCTTCTTAAAAAAATCTCTATCTTCCCCTCCAACATAGGGCAGATCTCTCTCTTCTATGATCTCAGGGCACAGTAGAAATTTCACCTTCATTGGATGAAATATTACATACATTACACACGTTTGATTAGTATTTATCTCCTCTAATAGACCTTAAGATCCATGAGGCCAGGGGCTATGTCTTTATTTGTTTGCAATTTTGTCTCAATAGATTCACAAAAAGTATTTGTGCCAGTGAGTAAAATTGAGCTCTGCAGGGGCCCAGTGAATATAATTTTCCTATGTGATTCATCTTGGGGGGATGTGGCTCTGGGCCTGGTCAATTTAACAATTTCTTTAGAACACAGTGATTGATTAAGTCTGAAAAACAGTGATTAAGTATGAAAATTGAGGACAGTTCAAGATAATCTTGAAGATTAAAATGAAAAGGTAGGAGGACGTAAGTCTCCAAAAGTAGAGTCAAATACTGTGACTTTGGTGACATCTTTCCCAATCCACTCAGGTCCAGTTGGGTGTTTCCTGCTCTTTCCCTCAACCATCTTGTACACTCTGATTATTTAAATGACTATCTCCCCAAGTTGACTCTGACCTTTGCCTCTTAGGGCAAGAATCATGCCTGTCCACCTCTTCACATGACTTCGAACATGGTGGGCATTTAGCTAGTATTTGTTGAATGAATGAATTTGTACTTATTAAGGAAAGCCAGGCCATACCTATATATCATCAGGAAGAACTGACCCAGGTAATGTTGGGCAAGGGTTGAAAGGATGTTAACGGATGGATCACGAGCTAACTGGGATTCAATTGCGATGTCCTTTGGTTACATCTTTCCCCTGTAATACATCTGTTTCACTGAAGGTGACGAGAGATAGGTTTTAAGAATCTTATTGTTCTTATTGTGCTCATCTCAGGTTCATTTTATCTTCCACAGAAAACCTGTGGTTTGCTGAAAAAATGGTAGGTTTTGTTGTCATACAAATCTTGGTTCTAATTCTTGTCATTTGTTGGGTCTGTAACCTCAGGCCATTCTTGTCACTTGTTGGGTCTGTGACCTCAGGCCATTCTTGTCACTTGTTGGGTCTGTAACCTCAGACAATTGTTGTCACTTGTTGGGTCTGTGACCTCAGACAATCCTTGTCATTTGTTGAATCTGTGACCTCAGACAATTCTTGTCATTTGTTGGGTCTGTGACCTCAGACAATTCACCCGGGCTTTAGATTGCTCACTATGGAATAGAGATAATAATATCTTCTTCTTGAGGTTGTCACCTAGCTTGTGAGACAGGCACACCTTTCATTACCCTGTGAATGTTCTCAGCCTTTCCTTTTCCTACTCCATATAGCCCCAACCACCCCATCAAAGAAAATGTCTTTGTTGGCAGCCAGTAAAGCTTTTCTTCCTCCTTCATCCAAATGAGAATTCTGTCTTTGACAGCTGGTTATGCAGTTTTTGTGATATAGAATCCACTGAATGAGTAGAGAGAGACTTGACTGGAAAGGTAGGAGGTAGCAGAGAAAGGAATGAAAGACTAGGGCCTGGTGGCAGGAGCTCCAGAAGGGACCCGAGGACACTGGAAGGGGAAGGTCTAAAGGAGGGCTCCAAGGTAGTAGCTGTGGGGCAGAGGAGAGCTGGAGTTGGGAGTCAAGGTGGT
The DNA here is from genome assembly GCF_000001405.40 of Homo sapiens. Classification (NCBI taxonomy): domain Eukaryota; kingdom Metazoa; phylum Chordata; class Mammalia; order Primates; family Hominidae; genus Homo; species Homo sapiens. Next base: position 131,150,726 of record NC_000011.10, read on the forward strand.
TTGACTGTTTGTTCTGGGGAAGTGTTGCTCTATATTATGAATTGGTTTCTCTTTTATATAGTTCCAAGAGTTAAAATTGCAATCCTCTTGACCCTTATTTATGACTTGCAGACTGTGATAATTTGAATGAATGGACTACTCCAGAATTGGGTAGGTAGAGGCCCAGATCTTAGCAAGTGTAAACCGAAATAAGATAATGTATGCAAAGCTCCTTGGGCATTGCTTGGAACATGGAAGACACTTAATACATTAATCCCATTGTCCCCACACCCAGTGGTCTTACTGATACAGTCCTGGGTTAGGTTGACAAAGTGATGTGGCAGATGAAGGAAATCACTGATGCAGATCACTTCTAAAGCTCCTTTTGCTTCAATTATTTCACTATTTCTAAGGAAAATGGTGTTTAGGGCTTGAATTATTTGGATAGTTGATAAGTGGCCACTTTACTTGCCCTAAAGTGAGAAAGCACTGCAGGGCCTGTTGCAAATTTGGCTTCTGTGGGTTGCCTTTCCTTTCTAGGTTGTTGATTGAAAATAGTGAATAAGACCTGATATTCTCAAGCCAGCTGCCAATCATGAGTTAGATCCTCAAGTCCCATTGGCTAGATTTGAGGTGGTGTGCAGGTCAGCCTCTGGGGCTGCAGCTACATGATGATTCAAACTTCCAGAGCTGGGCTGACCTTTCCAATCGACATTGGCAGGTTCAGGGCTCTGCAGAAGGGGATGCAGCTCTGAATGGCAGTTTAAAAAGGAGAATAAGCAGAACAAGAAGAAGAATAAATCAAAAACAAATAAATAAAACACAAGAAGAGAAAGGAGATTTCAACATCAAAGGAAATAAATGCTATGAAAGATAAAGAGAAGATTCTGACTATTTAGTCCTCGTTGGTGGCTCCCGTCGCCTTTCCCTTTTGACACTCTTGTCTGCATTCTGGGGAAAATGGAGGAAAACATTCTCACTGATTTTTGTCAAGTGAAAGATGCTTAATATGGTAATCAGTCCCTTCTGAGGAGCATGTGAGTAGAAGCTCAGCCCCAGCAGCAATGATTATACAGTCCCTAATTGTCTCTGGTGTCGGCTCAGACCAAAGAAGATGAAGGCAAGAGGGGGGAGCCACCAAAAGAGGGAATTTTAATCATGTACCATGGGGCATTCTGAACTTCTCAAACCATGTGGGTGGAAAGCTGGTGATGGGGGAACTGTACAAATCCTAGTTTTTAACTTGACACTTACTGAAACTGATTTTTGATCTTTGCTTTTGTTTTTAATTTTTATAGCTTGATTCCCCCAGAAGGATTTGAGCACTTGTTTAGGAACCTGCGCTGAATCCTAATCTGCTTGTTTCCTCATGAAGTTCCTCCACTGGAGTTTTGTTAAAAAGCATGATGGATGACCTTCAAACAGGAGTGACCAGCTCCTGAAGCTTGGCGGGGCATCCGCCTGCCCAGTGCAGTAACATTAGGTTTCCACACTGAGTCCGCAGCAGGCGAAAGGACGGTGTTAATTTGCAGGGCACCAAGCAAAGAGGACAAGGCAGCTAACACTTAAAGCCTGACCTCTCTGATGGCTTGCAGAAAAGGATTTTTAAAGGCAGGGGTAAATTTCAGGAAAGCAGAAATTAAAGGCAAAAATTGTTAAATCCGTGCAAGACGTTTCATATTGGTTTTGGCCTAAATGGGTGGGATATCTTGAAGGGGTAGGGGCTTATAGGTCAAAGGTGAATTCAAAGATTTTCTGATTTGCAGTTGGTTAAGGAAGAGAAGCTTTGCTTAAAAATTGGGGTCAGCAGAAAAGCATGTGAGCTCTGGCTCATGGGTGTGACTTCCTCAGGCCCTTCAGGAAGAAATTTAGAACAAAGAATGGAGGGTTCAGCCTTCAGTTCCCCTTTATCTGAGGTCTGTGTGCCAGTGGATCTGTTTGGTGGGGGTCTGGGTTTCTGAGAAACAATCAGGAACACAGGATAAGATGGCTCTCTGTAGCTTCTATAGGCAACCAAACATCTCCTGACTCTACCTTCCTTGGCTATTGTTTTAAGTTACTATTACCTTCTTGCTTATCAAATTACTCATTTACTTTTTAAGGCAAGCCAGGTGCCTGGAGTTTCCTTTGAAGGAATTCAAGATTTTCTTTTGTGTTCATGCTGGCTGGTAGCAGGTATAGGACTATAAGAAGGGTCTCTGCTCCATCTCAGGACTAGGCAGCAGCAGCTGCTGCTCTCTCCTCTAGGCCAATAAAAATAAGCCTTCACCTTCAGATGCATTGGGGAGTCACTCCTGAAAAGTCAACATTGCTAAGAAGCCCTAACATGATCTCTCACCATTCATTCACCACTGAGCCATTCAGCCCTTTACCTGGAGGCAAAATACCCTGGTGAAAAGTGTGAGCTCTGGAGCCAAGTGACCTGCCCAGTTACATGCTAGCTGTGTGGCCTTGGGAAAGAGAGACAGTTACTACGTACTCAGTGGAGTTGTAGTGAGGATATGCATCTGTGGGGATGGGCAGGCAGACACATTGTATTAGTTTGTCTTCACACTGCTGATAAAGACATATCCAAGACTGGGTAATTTATAAAGAAACAGCAGTTTAATGGACTTACAGTTCCATATGGCTGGGGAGGCCTCACAATCATGGCGGAAGGCAAAAGGCACATCTCAGATGGCAGCAGACAAGAGAGAATGACGGCCACATGAAAGGGGTTTTCCCATCAGATCTCATGAGATTTACTCACTACCACGAGAACAGTGTGGAGGAAACTGCTTCCATGATTCAGTTATCTCCCACCAGGTCCCTCCCACAACACGTGGGAATTATGGGAACTACAATGCAAGATGAGATTTGGGTGGGGACACAGCCAAACCATATCAGACATTGATAGAGAAATGGAAAGAGAGAGCAAACAAGAGGGTCCTGCTCAGCGCTGGTCACATAACCGACACTCAGAACAGGTAGTAGTGTTCAGCCTCCCTGCAAACACAGTGCCAACTCTAAGCTGGCACTGAGCTAGGTACTGAGGTAGCAAAAATAAAATATATGCATCCTAGGAAGAAACTGTTTGGGAATCTAACATTATTTTTAATCTCCTGCATATAGAAACAACAGACTACACCATGATCTCTGCAAAGGCATCAGCTATGCCTGAGGTGGTTGTATAGCACAAGATGTAGGCAGGCATTTTCAAGCAAAAGATTTTAAGGAAAATCTCGTCTTGTCATTTCTTGAAGGACTGCAGAAGAAGTAGGACTTTGGTGTAATAATGACTCTATAGTGTAATTTCTTAAAAGAATTGTTCAGTCTTAATTGAGAAGTGATTAATACATAAATTTCAGGCATCCATAGCAGAGCTTAATGGAAGAAGATATTTTGGGGTGGGAGAGGGAATGGAGACTTTACGAGTGTCCCATAAATCCCTGCTTCTGAAACTGTACTGTGAACAGACATCACTCAGGAATCTTGTTAAAATGCAAATTTTGTAGTTGGTCTGAGGTGGGTCTTAAGAGCCTGAATTTCTGAAGTCCCCCGGTGCTGCTGGTGCCGCTGGTCCTGTGACTGCACTTTGAGTAACAAGGTAATAAACACAACATTTCGGTAGCTATGTCTACCCCTGCAGGGAGGGAGCATTGCCCCTCTATCAGCAGGAAGGTGGGTGTGATTCATGAAACTTCCTTCTTGGACTACATTTTCTATCCCATTGGTCCTGCTTCAGCTAAAAACCCCGCTTGACTCATCAGGTAAACTCTCTCCAACCTCCTAGAAACACATCTCCCAGAGAGACAACTGAACAATGACTCCTCGTGGGCTTCTATTTGGAGCTCAGCAGGTGAGAGATTGCACGACTTCCTTGGATTGCACCAGCAAGAATTCTATCTCTGCTGGCTGCAGCTCTTCCCATGTTTGGACGACAATGATTAAAGGCCCATGCGTTTCCAGCGAAGTGTTGACGATTGGCTGGCAGGCTTGAAAACACCCACTTTTCCAGAGGTTGGTAAGCATTGGGGAAATATTTTTCATGCTGAGCAGGACTATGTAAATTGCCCAGCATCTGGAACAAATTGCTGTATGGATACCTGGGCTGTGGAGGATCAGGTGAGAAAAGGCTGCTATTCTTTGAAAAAATAAAAATAAAAATAAACAGCATCCTGACTTGCAGGCGAGGGAAGGGCAGCCACAGGATCCTGGGATGCTGTGGGGCTTCCCTGTTCAGTTGTGGGGAGCAGCATTCCCCTGGTAGTGTTGGGAGGAGAAGCCCCCTTGCTAGAAACCCAGAAAGCAGAGTTTTGCAGGGAAAATGGAAAAATGTTCACTGTGAAGAGGGAAGTGGGGCTCACTATGGACTCCAGAGCATGTGAATCACGCTGTGGCTCCAAGTCCCAGACAGTAGTCATTATTTCATTTTATTTTATTTATTTATTTTTAGAGACAGTTTCTTGCTCTGTTGCCCAGGCTTGAGTGCAGTGGCACCATCATAGCTTACTACAGCCTCGAATTCCCCGGGCTCAAGTGATCCTCCCACCCCAGCGTCCCAAAGGGTTGGGACTACAGGCACACGCATGCACTCTCAGCTATTTGTAGAGACAGGGTCTGGCTATATTGCTCAGGCTGGTTGCAAACTCCTGGGTTCAAGCAATCCTTCCACCTCGGCCTCCTAAGGTACTGGGATTCCAAGTGTGAGCCACCATGCTGAGCTCCAGACACTAGTAACAATAACTAAAAGCTGTCCCTTGCCAAGAGCATTTAAGTGCTGGGGGCTGTGCCTGGTTCTTATTTGCATTACTCCGTTAATCCTCAGAGCAATTATTTGAAGTAAGTTAGATGCTTTTCTAGCCCCATTTTATTGGTGAAAAAATTGAGGCCTAGAGAGGTGAAGTGAATTGCCCAAGAACACGCAGCTGGTAAGTGGAGCCCATGATAACTGAAGAGACTTGGCAGTATCCTGGGAATGCAAGTGTTTGCAGATTGGGAAGCAACAGGAATGGGCACCTGAAGCAACAGGGATGGGGTCAGCAGGTCTCTTCTTCTTTGGCAGGCCCTCCTCCTGGCAACATCAGCCTGCCCCTCAGCACCTAGGGGAATTCTGCTGCCCTCTTTGTGGGCGCTTTCCTCCCACCCTAGAGCCTCTTCCACCCCACCAAGTATTGGTTCCTGTACCCAGTTCTTTCCCCTTAGGAATATCTCCCCACCTTTAGCCATCAGAAGCTGCATGTCCCACTTTCACTGCCTCTTGTCTGTGACAAGAGTGACAGGGAGAAAGGCTGATAAACTGGTCCACGCTGCTGCGCAGCTGAGAGTGGGCCGGCTCCGGCCACCTGATGGCACCCCTCTTCCCTGGCAAGAGGGCACTTAGCAAACATGACACAGGCAATACAACAAACAGCAAAGCCCTAGTTCCTGAGTTAGTGACACACGGCTCCTGCTCCTACCCAGGCCAACAAGCTGAGGCACATCATGCACTTAGCCCAGCAGCAATAAAGATTCATGCTCTCCACACTTCGTGCCACTCATCAATCAGTCCTTTGACTTGCTTTTGGTCTGCTTCTTCTCCCGATATTCTCAACTCTTCAGAATTTTGCTCCAATGTGTCATCGCTTCCCATTTCTTTAACAATTTATTTCCTTCGATTTCTTCTTTTCTGCCCAGAATTTTACTGTTCCTCCTGTGGTAGGTGGGAAAAAAATGCCCCCCTAAAGATGTATTCATGTCCTAATTCCTGGAACCTGTGAATATTGCCTTACAAGGCAGAGGAGTGAACATCATCTTCACTGGCAAAAGATGTGATTAAGTTAAATTTGTTGGAAGGAGGAACGTGTTCTGTATCATCAGGGTGGTCCTAAATCCAATCATAAGTGACCTTATGGAGAGAAGCAGAGGGAGTTTTGAGACTGGCACGCAGAGAAGGTGAAGATAGGGACTGACACTGGAGTGATGCAGCCACAAGTCGCAGAGTGCGCACAGCCACCAGAAGCTGCAGAAGGCAAGGAATAGACTTTCTTCTGGAAGCTACAGAGGGCGTATGGCCTGTCGACATCTTGGTTTTGGGCTTATGACTTCTAGAACCATGGAAGAATGAATTTCTGTTGTTTGATGATGCCGGTTTAGGGCAATTTGTTATGGCAACCCTGGGGGGTGAATACACCTCCTCCCTGAGCCCCGGCTCTCTCCTGCAGTGGCTGCATTTCTTTCATACCTGTATCATCTCTCTGCCTTGAAATTTGGTTTCAAATGCCCTGATAAGGCCAGCTGCAGCCTCTTAACTCTCTAATGTCTAGGCCAGGCCTGTGGTGTTCCATGCAGCTTCCTTCCTCTCCAATGTTACTTCTAATTTTGCCCATCTTTTCTGTGTAACTGTTCCTTTCTTTTGGGCTTCCATTTCTCTGTCAATCTTTGAAGCACTGGCTGTCATCTGGATTCCCCTTGTTGACTCACTGTCCTCTATGTCCACATCGCCTACTAGTAAGATTTAGCTAGAAGGCCCATTGATGTGGTTCAGATATTCATCCCTTCCAAATGTCATGTTAAAATCTGATCTCCAGTTTTGGAGTGGGGGCCTGGTGGGAGGTGTTTGGGTCATGGACGTAGAGCTCTCATGCATAGTTTGTTGCCATCCTTGCAGTGATAAGTGGGTTATCACTCTATCAGTTCCCAGGAGACCTGATTGTTAAAAAGAGCCTGGCACCTTCCTCCCTTCTCTCTCTCACTCCCTGTCTTGCCATGCAACATGCTGGCTCCCCTTCCCCTTCTGCCATGACTGGGAACTTCCTGAGGTCCTCGCCAGAAGGAGATGCCAGCACCATGCTTCTTGTACAGCCTGCAGAACCTTGAACCAATTAAACCTCTTTTCTTGATAAATTATTTAGCTTCAGGTAGTGTTTTATAGCAATGCAAATAGACAAGTGGACTAAGACCCGTGGTCGTCGGCAAGGGCTGTGTTCAAGTCTTATTCCAAACCTCAATCACTACTTCTCCTCTTCTGCTCCCAACTCCCACAACCTAAGCTGACTCTACCTCTTTTGGTTTTGTTAGAATCAAAAGTAGCAATCATCCACGGCCACTAAACCAAGAGGCGCATCAGACACAGCAGGACCATTGACACAGCAGGGCTCCTGTGCAGGCCTTTAATCAAGGCCCTCATTGGCTGCTGTCCTGGCTTTCCAAACATTCTTTGTCTTACACTGTGGAACACAGCCAGAGCTGGGACCAGAAAAGGGTTCTCTGTCCCTGGGGGTCATATATAGGCCTCACTCAGACTTTCTACCAGGTTATTCCAGTGCTTATCCAATGGCTTCTGAAAAAATGCAGGCCACTCCTTCAGCAGGAGACCAGCCCCCTAGCCACTGGCTTGCCTGGGCACACCATGCCCTCAGTATTCATGCTGCCTGTTGCTAACAGGTAAGAAAGGGGCAGCACGATGCTGTGAGCAGAGCCAGTAAGGGGTGAGCCTGGGACTGGTGGCTTCATAGCTCAGCAACAGGTGGGAGGAACCGCACAGCTGCAACCAGAGCCCGGGAAGTGCTGTTATCTATAACAGGCTAGGCCCAGCCTTTATATTTTTAGTCACCTTCTATCAACTCTTAAAGCTGGGAATCAGAATCAGTTCTCTGATTATACTTACTTAGGCCAAAAACAGGATGTAGGTATTTTCAGCATTCAGACAGCCTTCCCGGGCTAGGACGAGCTATCAGCTATAATCACGTGCGCAACTAGCAGATCTTTACTTCCAGCCTAGGCAGCTCCTCTGAACTCCAGCCTAAAGTCGCTCCTGCCTTGATACCCTGCATACTCCTCAGGCTCAGGCTCCAAATGAAATGAATTCTCTTTCTTCCCCTCTATTTAAAATGTTTTCCTAAATTACTTACTTTATTAGTCAGCAACCCCATCCACTGGCGGCCGATGCTGGACCCTAGGGAACCTCTTGACTCCTCCCTCTCTCCTTACCCCTATCCTAGCATTCCGGGGTCCCTTCTGCAGGCTTCCTAAATCTCGCGCCTGCCCTTCAGTGCTACAGCTCCCTTGGCCATATGCCTCAGTCAAATTCTCCATCTCCCTATAACTCAGTTTCTCTTGTATAAAATAGAAATCTTCATAGTGGCTTCCTGGTAGAGTTATTGTAAACATTAAATATGAAAAACTTTTAAGAGCTTTGAATGGTGTCTGGCACATAACAAACACTCCATAAATATTAGTGGTATTATATTAAAATCTTTATCATCTTCTATATATTAAACTACTGGGTGACTGACAGTGGATTGGGCCTTCTGCCTTATTTTGTCCTGTTCAAATCTATTTTTTCCAGAGCTACCAGAGTGATTGATGATTTAATACACAAATCTAATCATATCATCCCTTTTAAAAACCTCTTCAATGGTTTCCCCATTACTTACAGGATAAGAGAGTTTCCTAACAAGGTAAATGAGCCCCTCCGTGACATGACTACTGCTCGACTCCTCAGCTTCAACCCAGCATTTTCTGACACACTTTATGTTCCATCTGCACTAAACCATGTAAAAAATCACTTAATCCTCGGGGAGCAGGTAGGTGCCTGTGCTCACAAGCTCTTTTGCTGATGCGCCCAACCCCACCTTCGGCCCACACCTTTCTCCCAGTGGCTGACCCTCATCAGTTTGGGAGTTAGTTCACGTGCCCATTGTACCCTTTCTCACCATCTTTAGATACGGGGCCGAGTGCCCCTAACTTACAGCCCTGAGCATGCTGATATAGAATGTAACCAGCTGCAGAGGGTATTATGTGTTTATCTCCTCTACATCTTTTTCTGCTTTGGATCCCAGTGTGTGGCATGGGACATAGTCAATGTTTCCAAAATGCTTGCTCTGCTTAATTGTCTCCTCTGTCTAGGATTAGCTAAAATTCCAGAGTGGGTTCACAGGAGCCATAACTTTGCCACTTTGATGAATCTGGAAAGCCAGAGAGCAGGCCTGCCATGCTCTACCACGCATGCTGAGACCTGTACAACTCCAGGGCTTTCCACGCGGGTAGATAGTGTGTTTGGCAGCTCCTGGAACTCGGTGGTAAAGTGGCCTCCTGGAGAGGCCACGGCAATATGAACACCATCATTAGGAAGCAATTGCTCTGAACACCGTTAACACAAAACATTTAAGGTCAGTTAAGGCTAAAGAGTCCAGGTGGTACAATGCTGGGACCAGAGGGCAGAAGACTGAAACACTGGAAGGAGACAGGGCTTGGGGACTAGAACGTCTGTGGAGGTGGCCTCCAGAGGCATGGCTGCAAGGGATGGGCACAGGTCCAGAAGGGTCCTTGCTCCAGGTAGATGGTGGGGGATGCAGGGACTTCAGCTGGGTTGCCTGCTTCTGCCTCTGGGCAGTCATAACGGATAAGCCTTCCAGTCCAAGAAAGAACATGAAATTGAGCAATGCCGGGTAACGGTGCCTCTCTGTGGCTCTGTGGGGTGTGGAGGGCTAGACTCAAGTCCTGCCAGGAAGGATGACCCACCGGAACCAAGGAGGGGTGACGTGGGCACCTCTTGGTCATGTGAACACTGTGGGGCAGGTAGTGGGGTGAGGGAGGCATTGTCACAGTGGCCATGGGTACCCAGGCCATCCTCAGGTGCTTTCTCCCAAGAGGGAGTGGAACTTAGAAGCTGTCAGCAGTGATAGGGTCCTCAGGCAGCCGGGCCTGGGTGCTGGGATGCTGGCTGGGGAAGGCAGCTTATTCTGCACCTCGCATCCTCAGTGAGAGGACGCAGTGTCATTTTAGAAGGGTTTTCCAGGGAAAACAAGACCCCTTCCACATGGAATGTACACATGGATCACAAGAGGTGTCCTTGTTTCAGAAATATTCAAATGAGTAGTTCAGGAAGTAGGGAAGGCAAATCCCGCAGACAGGCACTTAGGGGAAGGCAGAGGCGGCAGCCCTCAGCCAGCTGTGCATGCCCAGGACTGCAGAGGATCCTGGCGGGCAGGCAGAGAACCCCATCCCTACGGAGACCCTCATCCCTCCCTGCTCGGCTTATGTTCTGAAGCACTGACTTAGACTGCAAAGCCCCAGAGTGGCTCTGCTCTCCTCTGCCCTCCAAGCAGGGCTGGGCCAGGATTCTCCCTTTGCTTCAACATTTTCCAGGACTTCCCAAGAAGATCCTATACTCCTCAGTTGCCTGTCCAAGGGCTTTGTGCCACTATCTGTCACTGACACACTTCCTGGTATCAGAGAAGCTGTGGAGCAGCAGGACACCTGCCTGTCCCTTTTTTGGGATCTTTTTGTGCTGGGTCTTCATCCTTTCCTGGTTTGCTACCCCAGATGACGGATATTCCAGAAGCACTCTCTTTGCCTCCTGTACGTTGGCAGAGAAGCAATTTATCACTGCATTTTAAAAAACCCTCATTAAGGCAAATTAAGGCAGCAAAGCCGACAACAGAGGGTTTTTGAAAAAAATAGTGTTCATGAAATATTTATTAAAACAGCCATTGTAATAAATATTTGAAAACCAGTTATTAACGTTAAATCATATCAGTGTCAAGCATACGTTACACGCCGTCTGTTCTGCTAATTGAGTGTCAGGGTCAGATGCTCCTTCTCCTGGCAGGTCAGCAGGAGCAGCGTGCCTGTGAGCCGTGATAACTTCCCAAAGTCTCCACCGAACACCACTCCAGAACCGAGATCATCCAGCAACAGGGAAGCTCCGGGAACGCGGGGCCTTCTCACAGCTTCCTGCCCACCTACGGAGACGGACAGGACAGGGGCTTGGGACAAAAACATCAGCACCAGGAGGGGAGTTAAGGGATCCCTTAAGACAGAGAGTTGTCTCTGCCAGCATTGACGATTTCTTTGGAGATGGGAGTAGTAGAGTTATAGAATGACTGAATTCTAGGAATCACTAGAGATACTATGGAACAAGCCCTTATACCCAGCCCAGTGTGATTTAAAACTACACCACACCTGGTTTTGCTTCTATTTGTTTTGCTTTTCCTTCTCCATAAACACATCATGTCCATGTGTGACTCCAGCCCATCATGACACCTGTAAGTCCTATAACGCACACAGGACATTTATAAAGACACCATGGGCACCCTGACCTTTCAGCCTCAGCTCCAGCTTCCCCCTCAGCCCGTCCCCGCATGTCCTTCTCTCAGTGTTATTGGCCACTATCCTGCCACGTGTTTGCTCATTTCCATTTTTACCTCCTGGATTGTGTTTTTTAGTTTTCTTTAACACAAATTATAAAGACCGAAGCACAAACAATCTACAAACCGAGGACAGACATAGTCATTTTAACCCTCCCTTTGAGGTTCATCAGTATCACTGTTGGCTTCCTTACCTGTCTACCTGCCTCTGAACTGAGCACTGTCCAACGTGTTCATTCCAGTGGAGTCGCTGACTTTTCTTCCATTCCTGATGCTCTATGAGCTCCTCCTTCCAGCCATGGGGCTGTTGAATATGCCATTCCTTGGCCTGGCTTGCTGTCCCCTCAACCTTAGCCATCAGCTCCCTTCTTCTCTCTCTCCAGTCACAGCTCAGGTGCCACCTTAGGCTTCCATGGCACCATGTGCCTCATATAGACCTCGTCACAACTGTCATTTGATATTCATCTGTGGGACTATCAGACCAATGTCTGTTTGTCCAACTAACTGGATGATCCATGAGAGACAGGATCCATGTAATTTATCCCCTCTTGAAGCCTAGCATTTAGCACAGAGCCTGACACATAGCAGGTGCAAATAAATGTGTGTTTAGTGAATAAATTAATGAGTGAATAAATAAGTGGATCCTCTCACAACTATTAATATGTTCCCTCTGGATATTTTGTATAAGTTCCTACATTATGAAATCATTTAAACATGCACACAAATGTGAGTGTGTGTGTGTGTGTGTGTGTATATATACATTTGTGTATATATATATAATTTGTGTATATATATACATTTGTGTATATATATACACATTTGTGTGTGTGTATATATACATTTGTGTGTGTATATATACACATTTGTGTGTGTATATATACACATTTGTGTGTGTATATATACATTTGTGTATATATATACACATTTGTGTGTATATATACATTTGTGTGTATATATATATACATTTGTGTGTATATATACATTTGTGTGTGTATATATACACATTTGTATATATATGTAACATTTGTAAACCACTATATGTAATATCATTTATTTACTACATAAAACCAAACAATATGACATATTCCTGTGTTATTATTTCCACTGAGGCAGGACTCTGAGGCTCAGAAAGCTTAGGTCATTTGTTTAGGGTCATACAGCTCATGAAGAGTAGATCCTAGGCTTCTGATTTTATGCTTTCTCGACTACATCTTGCAGCTTCTTCTAAAGTTAGATGATTTGTGAAAGGCTCAAGTGCATAAGTCACAGTGACTATATGGATATAAAAAATGAATTTTCTTTGGGTTATCCGTTCCTCCCTTGCTCATTTCTTATGACTTCCACCCAAGATTCCTGACAACTCGGTCTAAGGTAAGTTCGTTGTGTCTATAAAAGCATGGATAAAAGGCAATGGTAGAAAATGCATCTGAAAAGTGGAACATCAGTGTGCTTTGTACTTTGCACAGCAGAGTCCTGAGAAAGCTGGGAGCAGGGATCTTACTTAAATGGATTCAAGTTTCTGAGTCCTTAACAGTTCCAAAGCCTGCAAAGATGCTATCGCAATGTACCAGTAAACATAATAATAAGAAAGCTGTTCAAACCTGATGAGGGGCAAAGCCAATGATTATTTTTCAATATAATATAAACTGAATGATTCGCCAGTGGGGCAAGATAATTATCCCATGAGCTTTCCTGAAAGAACAGAATAAATGTGCATTCTACAAACCACAGTCTCAGATGAAGCAAAGCAAGAAAATAAATCTTAATGTCTGGATAATAACAGATACAGTAAAATCAATATTGATTATTTGGAGAAAAAGGCAGTAAAAATGTTAAGTTCTAACGCTAAAATTATACTAAAAAGCTAGAGTTTAAACACAGAGTATGGGTCTGGAATGCATATAAAGCATTTTCTGAGCACCAGTACAGATATTTTATTTCTAGTGTCAACACACTCTGCTTTATGGGAGGATACGGCTGCGTGTTTAGAGGCCTCAGAAGCAGAAGGCGGTGATAGTACCAACGGTTTCGATTAATTGGGATCTCGTGGGGTCTGTAAATCTCTTACCTTTGTTTTTGGCCCTGTCATATTTCTCCATGGCCGTGGGGACAGGATAGAGATATATGTGTCCTTCACATTGATATAAGTGAAAAGAAGAAACAAAGAGCAGAAACTGCCAGAAAAACAGTGAACTCAGCTCCTCTGTAATAAGATGTATAATGCTAAGCAGGTCACTCACTTGTCTTGCTGCTTCTGTGACGTGAAGGTATCTTTGCAGCTAGGTTAAAGAACCATTTATCCATGGAGGCTCTGCAACCCACAGAGGAAGGAAACTGAAGACCAAGCAGAAGTAAAATGCAAGATAATTTAGTTTATTTTGAAACAGAAAGTGTCCTGAAGCTCATTAAGCATACCCATTTTAACAATGAGAAAGCATAGTCCAGTTCAGTGAGGCTGCGCCGTGTGCTCTGAGATGTGCGTGTATGTACAGACACAGTGCACCTTTCCAGTGCTGTTGAGATGAGGGGAGCAGGAGGGTGTCAGGGGAGGAAAGGTGACAAACAGTGCATGTGCAGGACGAGGACAGAATGGAGCTCAGAGAGAGAGATGGTTGCATAGGGAAAGATGCTGATGACAGAAACATGCTGGGATCAAGAGTCTTGCCCCTTCTTCTGACTGTTTTGTTTGTTTTTATTATTATTATTTTAGTTTAGCTTAGTTTTATGTGACGGTATTAATTGTATATGTTTATGGGGTACAATGTGATGTTTTGAGAGATGTATACATTGTGGAATGATTGAGTCAAGCTAATTAATATATTCGTCACCTCACCTACTTATTTTTTTGTGGTGAGAATATTGAAAATCTCTTTTAGCAATTTTGAAATATACAAGACATTATTATTATTATTATTTTGTGACGGAGTCTCACTCTGCCACCCAAGCTGGAGTGCAGTGGCGCGATTTCGGCTCAATGCAACCTCCGTCTCCCGGGTTCAGGTGATTCTGCTGCCTTAGCATCCCAAGTAGCTGGGACTACAGGCGCTCGCCACCACCCTCAGCTAATTTTATTCTTTATTTTTAGTAGTAGAGACAGGGTTTCACTATGTTGGCCAGGTTGGCCTCAAACTCCTGACCTCGTGATCCGCCTGCCTTGGCCTCCCAAAGTGCCGGGATTACAGGCATAAGCCACTGCGCCCAGTCGACATTATTATTAATATAGTTACTATGTTCTGCAATATATCACTAAGACTCATTTGTCCCATCTAATGGAAACTTTTCACTCTTTGACCTACATCTCCCCTTTCTCCAACCCCCTCTGTCCCTCAGTCCCTGGTAAGTACCATTCTACTCTCCGCTTTTATGAGTTTGGCTTGTTTAAATTCCACATATACGTGAGATCGTGTGGTATTTGTCTTTCTGTGCCTGACTTACTTCACTTAGCACGATGTCCTCCAGACTCCTCTATGCTGTTCCAAATGGCAGGATCTCCTTCTGTTTGCAGCTGCACAGTGTCTTATTGTGTATAAATACCAACTATTACTCAGTCTCTCTTGGCCCGGTCCTCTTTTCTAAAATAAGGAAGAAATGGAGAGATGACACCTCAACCCCAATGCCCCAAAGTCTACAGTGTTCTGGAATCCCAACGTGTTCCTCACCCAGGCCCTATACCTTGGCGATGCTTCCTATTATCACTACAAATCCACCTTGAACATTGTCTATTCAGCTTTAATCAAGATAATATACGCATATTGTAATAAATCTAGTGTTATAAACAGCCCCTGGCCCCACCCCCTATTCCCTCTATTGTCAGTCATGTTCTGTCCTTTTAGAGTGGTGATTCTCTCCTGGTTGCACTTTCCATTGGCCTGGGACCTTTCAAAAAACCTCAACACTCCAACCTCATCCTAATGGAATTAAATCAATCAGAATCTCAGGGGTGGGACACAGACATCAGTATTGTTTAAGGCCCCCAGATCCTTGTGTTGTGTAGCCAGGGTTGAAACCATGTCCTAATCTAGGGCCTCACAATAGAACCTAGGAAGTATGCTTAAAACTTTTTCTTCATTTACCAGTTGTAGTCAATCTTAATCTACTTCTTATATAAATGATGAGAATTTAGGTTATCAATGCTCCTCCTAGACACACACACACACACACTATATATATATACATTATATATATATATATATAATGTATGTATATATGTATCCTTCTCAATATTTGAAAATTTTATTGTTGTTTTTTAAGAGATTACGCTATTTGGTTACACTAAATATATATACTTAAAAATATATTTAAAAATATATTTTTATATTATACTTAATATATATATACTTAAATAAAAATATATATACTTAAAAATATATTTTAAAAAAATAAGGATTTTTACAACATCAACTTTTGATGCTATCATTTGATTATTCTCTAGTGGACATGAGGGTATTAATGTCTCTAAATTGTTATTCCTTATTTTCTTCCCCTTCTATATCACACTCTTTTTCTCTCGCTTTGTCAAGGCTGATAAATCATTCACTTGCTGCACTGCAGCCACAAGCAAGGCTTCTGTTCTTTGTCCACAGATTTTATTTAAAAGTTGAAAATTAATAAACAGCATTTACATTATTCTGACCACGAAACGTATTATTCAATCTCTGGCCAAGGAGAGGGCTGGGATTACATTTCCTTCTCTATGGGAGGTCCCTCTAGGAGACTATTCCTAGATTCTAAGTCAAATAGATTCTTTTCTTACACCCCATCATTTGCTTAAAATCATGCCTAGTTTATACTGTTTTCTATTTAGAACGTGCATTTTTATGCTGTTTTGAGAGAAATTAATATCTTTTTATGGTTGTGCCATTGTCTTTATCATGCCCTCGGTTATTTTTCAAACTCTCAATGAGACCCTCTGTCTTCATGAGTCCTCTGTTTGTCTTTTCCACTCCCGTCCTGGAGCACCATCCTTCTCCCCCCATCTCTATGGATCACCTTTAGGCTCCATACACAGCAGTCATGATGAATGGCCTCTGCTGCCCTCTTAAGTGGGATTTTCTGGTTTTTGGATCAAGTTTTTCTATTCTGGGATCATCCCTATGATGGAGTCCATTCTCAAACAATTTCCCAAGAAAAGGTGTTTGAGAAGTAACATTTTTTATTCTTACATTCTAAAAGCAACTTTATTCTACTTCTTGATAGTAGAATATCATCTGAGTAGCAATCATCTAGACTTAGTTGATTGTCTAGATGAGCATAGAATTCTGGATTAAAATTATATTCCTCCTGAACATTGAAAGCACCCCTTCATTTTTTTCCTGAATCCAGGTTGCTGCTAATTGAGAATCAGATGGGATGCATGTTTGATTCTTATTCTTTGTAGGTAACTTTTTTTTTTTTGGTCCATCTGGAAGCTTTTCTGTTTGTCTGTGTCATTATGTTTAGTTGCAGTTCTTTTTCTTTGGAGTATGCTGGATACTCTAGGAGCTCATTTAATCTAAAGTCTCATGTCTTTGATCTGCAGAAACTCTCATTTCTTGTTTCATTGACAATCCTTTCCTTCAATTTGTTTATTCTCTCTTTCTATGTAGGATGTGCATTAGTTGGATGTTACATCTCTTGAATTGCTCCTCTGTAGCTTAGTTGTCCTTATAATTTCTTTTCTTTGACTCTGTGCTTTGTGTTCTAGGAGCTTTTCTTAATATTGTTTTCTACTCATAGCACTTTAAATTGTCAGTTGCATTTTAATATTTATGAGCTTATTCTTATGCTCCCATTGTTCCCTTTTCATCGTGGAGAAAGTATCTTTGTCAATCTCTCTGAGATGGTGATGATGATGATGATAATGGTGAAAGTTCTATTCTGTTTCTTAAATCATGTCTTTTTCTTCCAGAGCCCTTTGATTTTGTCTTTTTCCTGCTTGCAGTTCTCCTTATATACAAACACTCCTTGTTTAGTTGTTAACACTGACGAGAGAATAATGGGAATTTTGCTCTGAATGGCATGGAGAAAAGCCAGAAGAAGAGTACAAGCATGCTTAACTAAAAACTCTAACTTTCCACATTTTGTTCAATTTCCTTAGGGAACTTTTTTCCTCCTTTTTTCAGTTTAACTTTTCATTCTTCTATGCCTGCTCACTCCCAGCCCAGACCCTTGTAGAGTTTCATGGGGCAGTCTAGACCCCACTTCACCTGCTGGCCCCTTGTAGCTAATGGCGTTTTGTACTTGCGTCCTTAGACAGCCTGCTTTCTGTCTCCAAGAAATATATTAAAACTTCTTATTGCTTAGTGATGCCCCCATGTCCTAGCCCTCTTTACTTAGCTTACATGTTAGTTTATTTCTTTTTACACTTCTACGCTTTTGTTTCAATTGTTCTTTAGATGGGACTGGAGGTAAATGGGTATGTGCCTAGCCCACCATTTTAATCTTAGCAGAGTACAATTTGTCAAATTATTGCTCAATAAAAGTTCCTCAATTCTCATATAACCGTAATTTTTCTGAATTTCTGTTCCGGGTAGGACAGCTATCGGCAAAGAAAAGTATTTTCTGGGCAATTGTCAGAAATCCAAACAATATTAACCTAAGCCAAATGAAACCTAGCTAAGGACTGTAGGATCATCTCTTCTATGATGGGCACACACTGATTATAAAACCACAGTTCCAGAGAATTTTAGAATCAGGTGGAACCTTTTGGGTTATCTGGTAAGAGCTTCTCATTATAAGAATGAGTAAGCTCCAGCTTAGGGACACTGACCTGCCCAAATCATGCAGCAATGAAGCCAAATCTACAAACTCTCATTCCACTGTTATTTCCACTATACCAGTCTTAATTTTAATTAAATTGCTATTGATTAAAATATAATCGCAATCCTTTAACTGGTGGTTAAAAGGCCGTATTTGAATAGGCAGAGCTCAAGAAAGACTAATGTGATCACAGAAGAAAACCATAATTTTGTAACAGCTACTTTAAAATAAAATTCAAACTTTTTAGTATGTTTCTGTGGGGATCACATGGTAGATTCAAGATGAAGACATATTAACTTTTCTCTCTGGTTTCAATATGGCATTTTTGGGGGGTCTAGACCTGCAGAATCATGGCCTGCAATGGCCCCACCAGAGCAAAGCAGTGCGATCCAGAGATCCTGGCTGCTGTCAACGGGGAGCAAGTGCCTTGAAGGTGGCCCAAGGAGGGCACATCCACTAGTCAATGGCTCCTACTGCCATACCAGACAAGAGACCCATGGTCCCAGGTTTCCCAAGAGATTTCTCTAAAGGAAAGTGAATAGTTGGTGTTATTTACAAAGCAAATCATCAGAGTTAGCTGGAGACCACACTTTTTTTGTTGTTAAAGAAAAAAAAGAAAAAAGAAAGAAAGGATAATGAAGCCGAGCTCAGGCCTGGTTCACATAAAAGCTGATGTAAAACAGATTTACAGCAGTGCACTGCGTGCTTTTATGTGAGACTGAGCTCAGAGGGGGCACATCCATCTCTGAGGAAGCCAAAGTGAGCAAGATTTAAAAGGCGGCCTTTCTTTGTTCCATAATAGGTTGGACACTTCAGAGTAAAAGAATCAAAAGGTGTTAAGGATGATATTTATAACAGCAACATTGCACACCTATTTTGGTAATAGGCTTTAAGTACTTAAGACATAGAATCATCTTATATTTCATGTGCTAGGCTGTGTCTCTTCCTTTGTAAATTTGTCACATAGGAGTGATGTCAACACAGCTTGCAAATAAATGGTTGTCAAACCAGAAGGTTGATGTCCAGGGCCTTAGTTAGCTTACTGTTGTAAAGATCTTAAATTCCCAGGATGATTCAGGAAGCATGTAAATGGATTGTTTCACAGGACAGAGGAGCTTACCTACATTATGTGAACAACCTTGTTAATAATTACAAAGTTTAGCCTTCTAGAAGTTAAGTCTGTATATCATGAACTATTCAGAAATTTGATCCATCCAAAAAGGTCCCCTCTGATCTCGGTGTTTTCTTAGGCCTGCAGATAGAGTTAGAAACATCTGCAATCATTTCTGCAGGGTGGTCTTTGCTTTTTAAGTGCAATTAGACTTTTGGGGGGTTCTTCACAAGGTCACCAACACCTTTGGACTCTTCAGTTTTCTTTTAGGTGACTGGAAAGGAGAGAAGGAAGAGGCAGCTGAGTAGAGCAGGGGAAACTGAGAAGCTTTTACTAGTGTGATAAAGCGGGAGGAGAGGCTAGACTCTGATATTGCACTTGTATCATGAAAGAAGCCAGGGAGCTTCCCCATTCATGTACACATAAGGAATTGCTGCAGAAACTAAAGGCAGGTTATGCCGGATGAGGTGAAAATGTGTTTCAGAGTCAAATAAGGGCACCTGAGCTTTGTAGAGAAAGTTAAAATGAGAACAATGTCTTTGTCCATATTGAGTGCATAACAATTAGGTGAGACAGAAGAGAAGATAGAAGAAGACATATGGAGAGGAAAAGTTGATGAGCTTCCCCACTTCTGGTGTGAAAAGTTCATCAACTGAAAAGCCAAGAGTGCATGAATAACTAGGTAATAATGCATTTCACTGTCATCATCGCTGCCTTAATTCATTCCTCCCCCACCTACCCCTTGCTCCTGTCTTAGGTTCATAAAATGAATGTACATTTTTTGGTGTCTGTTGGATCCCAAAGTTTTCTTATGAACTCCCTGTAAGGGTCAGTGACAAGTTTCCATTGTTTGAAAGAGAATAAGAACCTAAAACGGATTATAAAACCAGACTTGCCCTGGGCCTGTGCTGTCCCACTGAGCAACACAGACTGATCTAAAGGCACTAGGTCATCTTGAGGGTCTTGATGATCTCTTCACATCCAGAGGGAATATGAATCAACATTTTCTTCCTTTTGTTGCAGGAGTTTTCGTAGCTTTCAATGCAGCAACTTGTGGTTTTCCACAAGACCCCACAAATGTACATTAATAAATATGTGTATATTTGAAATTTTGCAAAAGTTTTATACCGTCTTCCCTCCTTGTCAGTCAGGGATGCAGTAATAGCAGTAGTGAGTATAAAAACAACATTTATACACAGGCATGTCCTCTTTTTCTGGAATATCTCTGAGTAGACAAGAGGGCTGTTAACCCGCCAATTTATGTGTATTTCTCTCCAGGGTGAACTGAGACCAGATGTTCATCACACCAAACTAAGTACACATTTGGTAATTATCTGGTGAATTTTGTTCAGTGGGGACAGCTCTGGGCCTAAAGAATGTGAGCCGTTTTGATGTAGTCTTGTCCACTTTCCTTCCTGAGTTTCTCTGAATCTCTCACCCGAGTTCCCCTTGGGGCTCACACTCCTCCGTGAATGACTGGTCTTCATCTAGCTCTGTGCTAGTGGATGATCTCCTGCTTAGGTTTGTACTCCCAAGTCTCCCGAAGGCTCCATGAACAATTTACAGTGTAAATGACAGGGGGAATTTCGTTAGGGTGATAGAATTTAATTATCCACTTTTAGCATTGAGCGAAGATGCAAGGCTAACAGCTCCACGCTCGCCAGAAGTGCCCGGGGACCATCTTCTCTGAAGATGAGTGTGCTTGGTGTGTTCAGAGCCTGGGTTTTCATGCTTCTTCTGCAAACCCACAGAGAATCTGCTCCTCTTCCCACTGCCAGACTCACTTCAAACCCTGCTGGGTACTGAGCCCGAATCCCAGGCAGAGAATTGCAGTCATTAGATCTCACAAAAGCTTTTTATTTTGATCATGTTTCCATTTATCTTGTTTTTGTCACTTACTCTTTTATTCCCAGTCCTATAGATGACCAGGTCACTGTATTGCCATCTTCAATAGCTGAGTTCTATTTCTCTTTGAGTTATTTTTTATGGTTGGATTTGCCGGTTTTAGGGGGAAAATAGAATCATTTCAGTTTTGCCCCTATTTGAACTTATTTTGTGCCTACGTACCTCCCACTGAAGCAGGGGGAGGATGTGCGGTGCTTGACATTCAGAACGACCTTGTGTCGATGGAGAGCTCCTATTGGCCCCAGGGTGATTGTGTCAGCCTTGAAAACCTTTCTTCCTAACTTTCGAGATGACTTTCGTAGGATCACATGGCCTGAATAATACATGCTATGTAAGCACCAGAGCATTTAAATGTATGAAACTTGTTAGAATTTTCTTAGTTTACTGATTTCTCCCCAATACCCTGTTTGATTTACCCATTGTGTAACCTGTATGGTGATCTCGGATGATGGAAGAAGAAAAAGCCCTAAAATTTGCCAGAATCCCTTTTGAAAATATCTTCCTGTCCCTTCTCACAGTTGGGATGACTTTTACCTTTGTAGCTCAAAGCCCTAAACTGTCCTGAATTCCAGATTTGTTTACCTAAGTGCCTAAGTGACATAGCCACTCAGGCATCTAACAGACCTCTCAAAGCTAGCATTTACATGCATCTTGATTTTGCCACCAAACCTACACCTTCCCTCGTTCTTATCTTAACAAATGAAGGAGCCATTGACTTAGTAGCTCAAGCAACCACATTGAATTGCTTAAGCAAGAATAGAGGATGCTGTCCTTGCCTCCTTTTATCTCCATTGCATCCTGCCAAAGATAAAATCTAATGGCCAATCCTTACACTTCTGTCTCAAAAATTTATCTCAGATCTGTCTTTCCCTATCTCTCCTGCTACTCTAGTCTCAATTACCGTAAACTTTTACTTGCATTTCTGCAAAAGCTTTTCATCTCTTTCTTGTTCTTATCTATCTACATCTATCTATCTATCTATCTATCTATCTATCTATCTATCTATCTATCTATCTATCTATCTATTGACCTATCTATCTAATCCATCTATTGAGCTATCTATCAATCTATTATCTATGTAATTATCTATCTACCTATCTACACTTGTCTAATTTTAAAATAGTTAATAAAATGACTTTTCTCATGGCTTAATAAAACATAAAAGGACATATGGTAAAAAGTGCACCTCACAATACTGTACCACATCTATTCTCTAAGTAACAAATATGAAATTTAAAAATAGCAACTTTTAAGCCAAAACATATGTAATGACCAATTTTGATCATTTTTGACCTTCAAAAATGTCAGTTGAATATGGTTTTATCTACTAGTTTCTTATAATTTCTTTCAGCTACATGAGAATACATAAAAAATATAATTTATGTCCCCACTATTTTACACAAAAAACAGTATCCTTTAGATTTGGTTTGTCCCAACTTCTTCGTTTAATAATAGACTGGAGACATTTTGTTAACAGTAAGGAAAGAATTGTTTTTTAAACAACTATTTATCAGTCCCATTGTATGGCTATACCATTATTAATTCACCGTCTCACCCATTGATGGACATTTAGGCTGTTTCTAATATTTTGCCATCACACAATGCTGCAGTGGACAATGTTGTACATCCATTGCTTCGTGAGCACTTGCGGAGTTCTTTCACTCTTCACTTTCTCCAATTCATTTTCCAACAACCAAAGTCATCTTTTAAAAGCGTAATTCTAACAATGCTACTCTTTTTTTTTTTTAATTATACTTTAAGTTTTAGGGTACATGTGCACATTGTGCAGGTTAGTTACATATGTATACATGTGCCATGCTGGTGCGCTGCACCCACTAACTCGTCATCTAGCATTAGGTATATCTCCCAATGCTATCCCTCCCCCCTCCCCCCACCCCACCACAGTCCCCAGAGTGTGATATTCCCCTTCCTGTGTCCATGTGATCTCATTGTTCAATTCCCACCTATGAGTGAGAATATGCTGTATTTGGTTTTTTGTTCTTGCGATAGTTTACTGAGAATGATGGTTTCCAGTTTCATCCATGTCCCTACAAAGGACATGAACTCATCATTTTTTATGGCTGCATAGTATTCCATGGTGTATATGTGCCACATTTTCTTAATCCAGTCTATCATTGTTGGACATTTGGGTTGGTTCCAAGTCTTTGCTATTGTGAATAATGCCGCAATAAACATACGTGTGCATGTGTCTTTATAGCAGCATGATTTATAGTCCTTTGGGTATATACCCAGTAATGGGATGGCTGGGTCAAATGGTATTTCTGGTTCTAGATCCCTGAGGAATCGCCACACTGACTTCCACAATGGTTGAACTAGTTTACAGTCCCACCAACAGTGTAAAAGTGTTCCTATTTCTCCACATCCTCTCCAGCACCTGTTGTTTAATGACTTTCTTCACAGAATTGGAAAAAACTATTTTAAAGTTCATATGGAACCAAAAAAGAGCCTGCATCGCCCAGTCAATCCTAAGCCAAAAGAACAAAGCTGGAGGCATCACACTACCTGACTTCAAACTATACTACAAGGCTACAGTAACCAAAACAGCATGGTACTGGTACCAAAACAGAGATATAGATCAATGGAACAGAACAGAGCCCTCAGAAATAACGCTGCATACCTACAACTATCTGATCTTTGACAAACCTGAGAAAAACAAGCAATGGGGAAAGGATTCCCTATTTAATAAATGGTGCTGGGAAAAATGGCTAGCCATATGTAGAAAGCTGAAACTGGATCCCTTCCTTACACCTTATACAAAAATCAATTCAAGACGGATTAAAGATTTAAACGTTAGACCTAAAACCATAAAAACCCTAGAAGAAAACCTAGGCATTACCATTCAGGACATAGGCGTGGGCAAGGACTTCATGTCCAAAACACCAAAAGCAATGGCAACAAAAGCCAAAATTGACAAATGGGATCTAATTAAACTGAAGAGCTTCTGCACAGCAAAAGAAACTACCATCAGAGTGAACAGGCAACCTACAACATGGGAGAAAATTTTCGCAACCTACTCATCTGACAAAGGGCTAATATCCAGAATCTACAATGAACTCAAACAAATTTACAAGAAAAAAACAAACAACCCCATCAAAAAGTGGGCGAAGGACATGAACAGACACTTCTCAAAAGAAGACATTTATGCAGCCAAAAAACACATGAAAAAATGCTCATCATCACTGGCCATCAGAGAAATGCAAATCAAAACCACTATGAGATATCATCTCACACCAGTTAGAATGACAATGCTACTCTTATGCTTAAACTCCTCCAATGATTTCCCATAATGTTCAAAATAAAAGCCCAGTGCCCCATGCCAGGACCATGTGGTACAAATGACCAGCTGCTGCTAACCTCCTTCCTCTCCTGTGCCCTCCCCTGTGCCACCACACTCCAGCCTTCTCTGCGTTTCTCAAACATGCCAAGTGTATTCTATGTTGTAGGGTGAGGCAGCAGTTGCCCAGAATATTCTCTCCTGGGTTTTTCTATTGCGGACTCCCTGTCATCCAGGTTTTGGTTTGAACGCGGTGGTGTGCCGGTAAATGTTTAACAGGCAGCTGTCCCGGGAAAAAGGAAGCCATGATGTGGGGCATTTACCAATTTGTGTAAATATTCCACCATGGCCTAAAGATACGGGAGTGATGTCAATCAGCTCACCAACTTGTGGAAATTTTAATAATTCATTCTTCTGAGCTGTTAGCTGCCTCCAGTTTAGCAGTGCTTGAGATGATGTTTTTCCTCTGAAGTAAGCTCCAATGATGGTTAAACCTGTTTGTTTGTTTTAAATTTCTGTCTTAACCATATCACTAGCATAGAATCTTTTCTTCTTCATTTACTTACTTACTTACTTGACTATTGAATGATTCCTGCACCCCCACTCAACCAACACACACACACACGCGCACACACACACACACCCCTACCTAAGTTTCATGAAAGCAAGGACCTTGTCTGTTTTTTCAGTGCTTTATTTCCTGTGTTCACATTGGTATTTTGGCACATAATATGTACTCAGAAAATGCTGGTAGAACGAATATATGAATAAATGAATTTCAATCAGTAATTAACTCCCCAGTTTAATTCTGACCCCAAATGCTTTGCCATGGTCCTGACTAGAATTCACCTGAATGTGTCCCACAAATCTGATGCCACTCTCCTAAGTGCAGTCACCTTTAACGTTTCTTGGTGTGTGGCCACTGTTTTTTTGATTGCTTGGATTGGCAATTTCTCTGTACTCAGATTGCATGAGGCCTGTCCAGCTGCACAGCCTACCTATCCTAGTCCACAAATTCTGCTCAGTCTTCTCCTCCCACAAAAGGCAATTCCAATGCCCATGTCTGCATGTTTGCATAGGTATTTACCTGCTTCTATCTGAGCATTTGCTCCACCCCTTCTTTCTAATGTCAATCCTTCACAGCCCAATTCTTATCCTCTTTCCTCCATGAAGTATTTTCCTTTCTATTCAACTCATACAGATTTTTCCCTTCTCCAAACTTCTGTTGAGTCTAAAGTTGAGAAAATTGCCACCTTTGGCCTAAAACAGAGGGTACATCTTAACTATGGACTGTATGCTCTGGGGATGTTAACAAGTTAGTATTAATTTCCTGTGGGTGATTATGACACTGGGGTTATGTAGGAGAATGTCTTTATTCTTGGATAATATCTGCTGAAGAACTGAAGGATAAAGTGTCATAATGTCTACAATTTACTTGCAAATTATTTTTGATATGTGAGAGAGAGAGAGGAAAATGGAGCAAAATATTAATAATTGGTATATCTAGATGCTGAGTATGTAGATATTTATCACTACATTATACTTTCATTATTTCTGTAAGTTTGGCATTTTCAAAATGAAAAGTTGAGAGATAAACTGGTGAATTAGAAATATCTATTAGGCTTTAAAGCATACAGTTGTCTGGTTCCCACTCTTGAAGCTCTATAGCTTCTGGCTCAGTAAGTCTAGGTGGTTAAGTTCAGGTGTATGTGTTTTTATAAAACTCCGCAGAAGATGCTAACATGGAGTCAGGTTTCTTTGAAGCCCAGTCTGAGACCATGGGCTTCGCTGGGCAATAGCCCTTAGGGAAGAGGAGTCAGGGCAGCAGAATAGGACTGTGGAGAGAAGCCAGGCAGGGATGGGCTTCGCTGGAGCCTGACTTCAGGCTGAGCCTGTGGGAGAGTTCTGGAGCACAAGTCACACTGCAGACTTGGTCCCACGTGGACGCAAGAGGCTGGTCTTCTGTATCCCTAGGCCAGTCAGGTTTGCTGAGGTCTGATCTGGAAGAGGGGCTGGTGTGGTGGGTGGTAGCTGCCCACATGAAGGTTTGGCCAAGGATGACTCTCTGGAGAGACAGCTGTGAGTTACTCATCAATGCTCTAGAGGGGGCACAGGGTCCCCTCCAGTCGAGGGGACCTGGGCAGACACCAGCAGGCTTCAGCACATGTGGCCGAGTGTTGAAAAGTACTGCTGTCAAACAGCACGGGCTGGAAATGTATTGCTCCTTACTTCATGAGCCCTAACTCTCCAACTTGAGGCAGGGACCATGCCCGAGGCTATTAATGACCTCTCCAGAGGCTGGCGCCTGTTGGGCACATTCTAAACAGCCAGTGCATACTCACTGGCTAAGGGAACTGGCTTGTTTCATACCCCTACAACAGCATCCACCCAAGCCATAAGAGACATTTCCTTAGGAGACAGGAATTCTTGACTCTGGTGTTGTGAGGAGGAGGGTGTAGAAGGCTAAGAAATGGAGCTTACCACTTGCTCAAGAATTCCACTTTATAATTGTCAGCTCCTGTTTTTCATTATCTGCTCTGTATCAAACTACTTAGAGCAAATACATATTATTTTAGTTGGGGTCTCTCCAGAAGCAAAGATTTAAATAGTTGGTTTGGGAGGTGATTCCAGCACACGCCAGTAGAAGAGTGAGCTGACATGGGAAGGGAAGGTAACCAGTACAAGGCACATCACCAAGTGAGATGCCACCCTGGGACTCAGTCCCTCTGGGAAGTGCTGGGCCCAGCGTGGAATATGTGCCTCAGCGCCATGTAACTCATGATACTAGGGTGCTAAGATACTTATATGCCAATCACATCAAAGTTTGCGTGTGGGATTAGGGAGGTCTTTAATTCTCCAGTTCCAGGCCAGTGCTGCTTGGGGGCAGAGCAGTTTCTGGTCACAGAAGAAAGCCCTCAGGCGACACGATGCAGAAACACTGCAACAGTAAAAAACGGCATTTGCAACCCTGATCCCATTTCATTTTACCTACAATAGCCCTTTAGCAATATCCTCTTCTACAGGCTAGGAAGGGGGACCAGAGGAAGCTCAAGAGCTTCCAAACTGTAGCTATTTAGTAGCCATCAAAGCAAAATTTGAACACTGGTAGGCTCTGTCCCAAAAGTTAGTGCTCTTACCTGAAACAGGTCCTAAAGCTTTCATGGGTGGTGACTATCACGATTATAAGTGCTGAGTGAATGGATGGCCTAGGACGTTTGGCAGCTCTCTTCGGGCCAGAGCTCAGTGGTGAATAAAAATCCACCAGGTGTCAGTAAATTGGAAATGGGCTTAGAGGCAACGTACACCCTACTAAGTAGCAAAGGTCAGCTTGTCTAGAGAAGCATTCATGCAGGAGCCAGCTGGCACTGAGTGATTTCTCTGGCACTGCCTAAGCCTCTAGGAACACACATCGTCGTTTCTGTCGGTCACAGCTCTAGCCTGCGTGGGGTTCCGGTGACTGCCTCCTCAACCTTCACGTCAGCGCCAAGCCCCTCACTCATGTCATTCTGCACCTCACCAGCTGTCTGTCAGGACCCTGATAGCTCTCTTCTAGAGGAGTCTCAGCTCAGTTGTGTTGATTGAAGACTTCTGCAATTCATAAGCACAAAAAAAGAAAACCAATGGGGAGGTCAGGAAAGAGAAACTTGGAGAAGAGCTCCAAGATAATTTACTAGGTAACAGCCTTAAGAGAGCAAGCTTTCGCTATTGCAAGGATTTCTGCATTCAGGGTATTCATGTGTCTCTGATGTCTCAGGATTATTTTTGGTTGGTTTCACCAGCATGCCGGGTCACTGGGTTGACTAGTCCTGGGACACCATTCATATGAAAGTCTATGTCCATTGCATGGCCCACATGCTGTGTTTACTGAGCCAGCTGGGTCTACAGCTGGAATATGTAGATCTGAGTCTTTAGAAAGAAGCGGTTGAGTCTCCGTTGCCATGAAATAGTGGCCAAAACAAAACAAAACAAAACAAACCTTTGGAAAGTTGCAAACTCACAGCATTTAAGAGAAGACCAGAGGTTGGAGGATAATCCTAGAAAGCTTAGCCAGAGTGGGTGGAAAGTAGGAAGTTGGATTAGATGTTCTCTAAATTTCTTTCCCAGCTCTAAGGTCATGCAATTTTAAATCTCAAGACAGAATACTTTTGATCCCTGTTCATAAAATAAATTTAAGAAAGTACTAATGTATTGTTTACATGATAAAACTCATATATAGTAGTCCTCCTCTATCCAAGGAGGATACATTGCAAGACCCCTAGTGGATGTCTGAATCTGCAAACAGTACTGAGCCCCAGCTATACTGTATTTTTTTTCTATACTTACATACCTGTGATAAAGTTTAATTTATCAATTAGGCATGGTAAGAAACTAACAATAACTAATAATCGAACAGAACAATTGTTCCAATATACTCTAATAAAAGTTATGTGAATATAGTGCCTCTCTCACTCTCTCTCTCTCAAAGTATCTTACTGTGTTGTACTCACCGATTTTCAGACCGCAGTTGATCTCAGGAAACTGTAACCTTGAAAAGCAAAATTGCAATAAGAAGGTACTACTATATACATAGATATTTGCAAAGGATGACATTAAAATATAAATACATATGCTAACTTTTTTTCTAGGTCCCTGATGAATAAACTTACACCACCCTTGAGGTATAAATATTGTAGTTTGGATACGACTGCTATAGGTGCAAATTCTTTCCTTCCCTGTTTCACCTAATACTGCTTTATAGTACCAAAGGGATTTTGACAAAACAAAATTTTTAGGAGGGCACTGTGCAGAGCCATTCAGAGTACAAGAGCTCTGGAGTCAGAGAGCCCCAGGTTTAAATCCTGGCTCCATTCATGTTTAGCCACATGACCCTCCATTTGTTGCTTAACTTATTAAGCCTCAGTTTTTTCACTTGTAAAAATAGGCCTAATTATAATCACAGTACCCATCTTCCAAGATTGTTGAGACAATGGAGGTAAAGCATGTAAAATGCTTAGGAATATCCTGGCGCATAGTAAGCATATAATAAATGGCAACTACCATTCATTTTCAAATGAATCTGCCCCCGCCCCGACTCCACCCCAAAAACTTCTCCTTCCCCAGTACACAGTACTTATTGCTGGACTGGCTCAAAGATCCAAGCCCCTTACTGGGCTATGACACTGCTGTGAGGGCTCTGGTGCCTGCTGCTTCCCCCTGGAGGCCTCCAGGTCCTGAGAAGTGCCTCTCAGACAAGTTCTTAGGATGGTCCCTGGAAACTACCTGGTTGCTTTCAGGTGTGGCCTCCTCCTGCCCAGCGTCACCATCCTGGGATTCAATGATACAGAGAAAAGAGTCTTCCTGTTGTAAGAAATGCATAGGCCCAGTGACAAGGAGGAAGTTTCCAGAAAGAACCACTCTAACTTTGAAGAGAACTTGGAGTTTTCTTCCTCCTTCTCCACTACTCTCATCACATGCGTTTGATCCTGGAGAGTGAAGTTTCTTTCTTTTCACTATCATTTATTTTCTTTTTTGAAGCACAATGTATTATAAATTTTCCTGAAAATTTTTTTCTTGGTCAAGATGAAAAATAAGAGGTGAAACCAGAATCTGGAAATTATGAATCCGAGCGTCAATTTGTTCATCTGTAAACTGGGGACTCAACTTAGGATTTAAAAAAACAGCCGACGTAAGGAAGTGTGCTTTGTATACATTTCCATATGTAAGGAAGGAATTACTTTTGACTCTTCCTCGAGGGGAAATGGTATGATAAAATTGTGAGCAACAAACCAGGAAGTCTGTTTTGATCCTCCGTTCCTCTGTGGGGTCTATCATTGACAGAGAGAGCACCCTGGAGAGCCAGAGAGTGCTAAGGCAGGAACGGGAGGGAGGGAGGGAGAGAGAGGGAGAGGCTTCTCCATATAATTTAAGGAAGCGGGCTTCAGAATGAGAGGGGAGCAAAATGAAGGGTGAGGAATGTAACTATTATAATTCTGATCTATTGCACCATCTAAAAAAGACATCTATTTGAACTCCTGTACAAGCAGCAATTACCTGGAAAATAAATGTAATAAGGATCTCCTAAGTTGGCAGTAAAATTAGCATCGCTGAATTTTAATTAATAGTCCAGCTTGGAGAAATATACTACTCCGTCTGATGGAAAGAATGGCCTCATCCATGGAGCACGCTCTCTCAAATCAGTGCTTTCAGCAGGTATTTTGTTTTCCTTCCATTTCCCAGAGATTTTGGCAACTCCAGCATCACTGGGAGAACCAGTGGGTAAGCATACTGTAGCAGCCCGTCCAAAAGAAATGCTGTTGGTCACATGCTGCCTCTGTGGACCTCAGTTTCCCCATTTGCAAAATAATGGAATGGTGTGTTGTGGATGGGAAAGATTTGAATCTCTTGTGTTCCTTTAGCTTAATATTTTTTGTGTTTTTGTCCAGACACCTGTTCTTTTTAGGTTCCTCTGTTTTCTGTATTAAACACTGCCACAGTAACAGTGACGTAGACAATGGTGGTGGGGAAGAGGGGTTTTATTGAGAACCTAGGATGTGCGGGCACTGGATGAGAGGCTTTGCAACCATTACTGATTCTGGTCTTCATGACCTCCCTTTGAAGTGGCTCTTATTTGTGTCCCCATTTCACGGATGAGGAGAGACTGCTAAGCCAAGCCTTGTTCAAGGCCATATAGCTGGCCACCAAATGATTGTGGTGGTCATAGGATGAAGAAAATTAAATAACGTTTTTTTCACTGGAACTCTTAGGAACCCCACTGCTCCTTTTGAAAGTCAGAGAAATGTCCTGCCTCTGGGACTTTTAAATTTCTCAGGGTGAAGTCTTACAAGATTCACCAGCCCCTCACCCATCACATTCCCCTACGGATTCGCTGCTCCTCCCATTTCTGCTTAGTGCAACTATTTTCTCATTGTAGTACTCTGAAAATGTTCAGATCACCCTTGGTTATCTGTTCCTCATTCTTCATATCCAGGCATTCATCAAATTCTCTGCTTTCATTACTTAATTCAGTGCTAATATGTCAGATACTGCATGAGAAACTTAATCATAATAGCTCCTTGATTTATATAGTGTTTTGGATTTTCAAAGAGCATTCACGTGCATTATCTTATTTAATCCTCACAATGGCCCTTGAAATAGATGATCTATATTTTACAGATAAAGAGATGGAAGCTCAGAGAAGACCAAAGTCGGATAGCTAGTGTGAAGAAGAGTTGTATTATCGCCCACATCCAAGTTTAAAGGCCAGTGTTCCAAGTAACATAGTCTTCCTCAGTGTCTCCTATGTCTGCCTTACTTTATTCATTTCCACAGTTTCTTACAAGTTCCAACCCATACCATCTCACCTCTGCTTTCTACGGCAGCCTTGTGGTTGGCATCCTTGATTCCTGACTCTCTATTGTGATCCAGATTTAAACTCCAGTTCCTTGTTTTTAAACCTATGGTGGATCCTTATTATTTTGGATCTAAGTTATATTCCTCTATAAATCTTTCAAGGTTCTCCATTATCTGTCCTGATTCTGCACTTGCAAGCATGTGTCCCACCTTCCTCAACTCATCTGTGTATCTCCAGAACCTAGCTCCATGCCGTGCACATGGAAAACCACTCAACACTTGGAGCACATTTTCATGACCCTCTACATTCCATTCTCATCAATAAAAGACTAATTTTTTAAAGAGCCAACTGCACCATGTTAGAATAATCCTAAATTCTGTTTAATACTTACAGTTTATATCTTTGCTATTCAAAGTGTGGACCAGAAGGATACACATCACATCAAAGCTTGTAAGAAATGTAGGATCTTGGGAACCTTGGGCTTAATCAAGATCTGAATATTAACAAGGCCCTAGGTTACTGGTATGCATATTAAGTTTGAGAAGCACTGGGCAAAAGATTCTAGTCACGATGTAATGGGCCAAGTAGAGGCTCTAATTCATAAGTGCCTGAGTTTGAATCCCAGCTCTGCTACTTACTGGCTTTGTAACCTTGATTAAACTTGTAAAGTTCCTTGGGTCTCTATTTCCTTGTTTGTAAAATGAGATTAGTAATAGTTCACTGACTTTGAGTCAGGCATTTTGTATGCATTATCATTGCATTTTGGATATTCCTATTGTATTTTTTGAGATGCGAACACTGAGGCAGTGTGGTATAGTCAGGTAACACAACACATTAGCTGGCAGAGTTGCAGTTCAAACCCACATCCATCTGATGACAGATAAGTGACATTTCCACTTCACTTTCCCATTCTATATGCTCTATTGTTGGGTTTGATCACATATTATTGTGAAGACCAAATGAGATTCAGGTTGTTCTGGGTTTCCTACCCTGTAAAACTACATAGAAATATTATTAGTTATTCATATTATTGCTTGCTTAAGTTGTTCTCTAATCGCTTTACATATTTTACTTTGTTTCCTTGTAGCTATCAGTGTCCTTCCTTATTGCTTGGATATTTGAAGAATGTGAGGTACCACTTCTTGCTGCAAACAAGAAATTCAAGTACACACTGAATGTACATGTGGATGCTTGCACAGGTTGATTAGTGATGCCAGAGAGGGAATGAAAGGAGTCAGAAGATAGAGGAGAATAAGATCAGTTGGCATTTGATTTATCCAGGGAAGAGAAAAGTATGAAAGAAAAATGATTAGAAGTAGGTCTAGGAAAGTAAACAAGATGAACCTGGAGGGTTTTAGATTATTTAAGTAGGAAGTAGAGAAAATTTTTGAGAATGGCTTAGGCTTAAAAAGCTAGGAAATAAACTGGTCATTGGGTTTTAGATACGAATTTCCCTAAAATGTGAAATGAGTGTAGTATTTTTTCAGGAAGCTGGGCTTTCTCACACCATGCTGTTTGT
Source organism: Homo sapiens (assembly GCF_000001405.40). Lineage (NCBI taxonomy): Eukaryota > Metazoa > Chordata > Mammalia > Primates > Hominidae > Homo > Homo sapiens. Next base: position 131,183,714 of record NC_000011.10, read on the forward strand.
CCTTTTGTATATAAATGTATCATTCACCCATCACTGCTGCTGTGGAAGTTCTAAGATGTGGGGAATAATAGAGTGATCAAAGCCTTAGCAACATCTAGGAACCAGAGAGAGGAGGCATTTCTCCTGGAGGTGTTATTGTCATTTGTCGTATCACCAAATGCACATCTACGGTGATTCTGGACCATTTTCCTGCCTTGATGAATGGAGTGGTCACCACTGTGTTGAAGATACAGCCATCAAAAGGCAGCTGAATTGTGCCTTCTTTCATGTGCACCCCTCTGGGCTACTCTTTTCTCAGTCGTGGGGGAGAAAACAGCACATCTGATTCCCCAGTAGTAGAAGGAGATTTAGAATCTGGGAAGAGAGCAAATAACTAGCAGCTTAGGATGTCTGAGATTACTTTACATGTTAGTCTCAACCCATTGATTGTGTGTAGAAAGCTGTCAAGAATGAATATCTTACAGAATGGAAGCCAAGAGAGTCTAGGTGGTGGAGACAGCTGAATTCCTATGAATCTAAGGAGAAAATCCAGACTTTCTTCCTAAGCTGGATCAAGCTGGATGGTACCCCTACAATGTATATGTATAACTTGCAGATTTACATTTACATTCCCATGATCCTCACACTGTCCGCAGCTGGACTGTTAGCCCATGACTGAGAAGATATAAGGGAAAGTATTGAAAGGACTTCCAATGCCCAGTTTAAGGAGTAAACAAAGAGAGCATCACACACTTTGGTTTAGAAATAACTTTGTATTTCATTCCACCTCCCAGTTGAATAATAATCTACTTGAGGGCAGGGATCAGGACCACTGAACTATAAAGAGAAAATTATAACCCGAGTCTGATCTGAGACTGAAAATACTTGTGTTCAAACTCAGCACTTTGCTATTTAATTGCAGTATGCTCTGCAAATGTACTTAATCTTAATCTATAAAATGTAAAATTAACACATTTCATGGTTGTTTGGGTAAAGTATGATGATATCTGAGAACATTTTTGTAACCGTTGACTTACTTGTTTTTGTGTTTGAAACTCTGTTTCACCTATAGCAACTTTAAAAATTAGTAAGAGTAACTTATTGTTTGCTTTGTGCTAGGCATTGCACTAAAGATGTCATATACATTCTCTACTCCTTGGAGTATCATTTTGAAGTAGATAATATTTTTGTCCACATTTGACAGATGAGTAAATTGGGGCTTAAAAAATTAATGAATGAACCTAAGGTAGTGTAACTGCTGCATGATGAAGCCAGGACTTAAATTTCCATCTGTCTCTTTAAAGCTTGAACCACCTTGGTCTCTCAACTCTAGCATCACAAGGAATGATTGGTTGGTATTCTTAAAGACCTGTGGTTAGATTTATAATAATCTGAGGGAGGAGCAGAAGTGTTGGGTGAGCAGATCTTTGTTTCTGCAAAGGTCACAGGCCAATATCTTTGGAGACAAAGGCCTTTCATAGGGGGGTTCAGTTAACTTTGAATTTCAGATAAACAATATTTTTAAACTATATCTCATACAATATTTGGAATATACTTATACTAATAATTATTTGTTATATTTTTATTTGCTAAATCTGGCAATGCCAATATAGGAAATCATCAGCCCTAGAATGAAATAGAGTTTTCCAGAACCCCCCTCAGGGCTTGGCTGGAATCTGAGCAGTGATTCTGGAAGTGGGAGAGATGAAGGTCAGTGAGGCACAGTGATGAAGGTCAGCGGGGCACGGGGCACAGTGATGAAGGTCAGCGGGGCACAGTGATGAAGGTCAATGGGGCAAGCCTCCATTGGTCCTCAGGACATCCATATTCCAAGCCTTTCTCCACCCTGTCTGGACAGGCTGCCACCTCCGCCTCCCTGCTGGCCATGTGGTTGCAGCAATATGCCCTTTGTGCCCAGGCTTTAGACCAGAATTGGTCAGAGTCATTGCAGCAAAAATGGGTGTCACCTTCAAGAACCAAAGATTTGGGCAGAGACATGGCCATGAAACAGGGTAATGTCTTACAACTGTCTATAGGAGCAGGGGGTGTGGAGATTATTTACATGTAAAAACTGAAAACCAATTCATCCATAGCTAATTTCAGCTCAGACCAGCAGGAAAATTGCTGTTCAAATTGGTATTTCTATTGCCAGGTTTATTGACAAACATGAAATAAAAAAGCCTCTTTGCTTTATGAATTTGTTGTAAACTTAAAAAAAGTAGAAAGGGGGTTTATATTCCCCAGTTGGTGGCATACTGGATTTTGACAGACCTTTTCTTTTGTTAAGTGTGAAAATGCTGTGGTTGTTGAGCCAGGATACAGCCCCATTCCATGAAGAGCAGTGTGGCTCTGGGTCTTTGGATAGAAACTTTCATCAGTGCATGCTTCGGTGCATTCTTCCCTCCTCCCAGGAGGCCTGTCCTCATTTCAAAGCTGGGGAAAGCAGGAGCCAGATAAGGGAAGTGACTTTCCCAAGGTCACAGACGGACAAATGTGCTAGCTGCTGGGCAGAGCAAAGCTCAAATCCTCTACAGCTGGGCCTGCACCACCTTCCCCCCACCATCCCCCAAACCTCCCCCGCAACCTGGCCAGGGAAGCCCAGGATGCCTAGACCAGCCCCTCAAAACAGTGGGCACTTTCCCGCCTCTCCTCACCAGTTCACAGCCACCTTATCGCCTGAAAGCCTGCTCCTCTTCTCCGTCACTGTTGTCTCCCAGCCCTTTCTCACTGGTGTTTGCAATCCTTCTCGGCTTCACTCAGTCTGAAATATGTAGGGATCATAACTTGTGGGTTCGTACAAGAAGCCAGCAGCCCTTCCATAATTGCCACTGACGTGGAAATACAGGAGCAAATGAGTAGCGATTCATATGTCGCCGCATGAAAGAACAAAAACCTCTACCGAGGAATTAAAGTCATAAATATCCTACAGGGCTCCTACCTGTGAGCTTGTTCCTGACATCTGGAATGGCAGCTCACTGGAGCCACTCTGCTGTCAGCATCCTGCTCCACGCTGGCTGCAGTGAAGCTGTGAGAGCAGAAGGGACCAAAAGGGGAAGTGCGGGGAGCCAGGCCTGAGGGTGGGGGACTTCCAAGGGAAACCTGGTGACAAACAGGTCACTTTCCCTTACCATGACCACAGCGACTAAGAGGCCCAGACTCACTCACTCCCTCTTGGAGCCGCCCCGAAAGCCTGCCTGCCACAAGAGTTCCTGTCCTTGCGAGAGGCGGAGCAGCTTTGTGGCTGATCTCCCATCTGGTTGACAGGAATGACAGCTCAGAGTTGTGCTCCTGGAGGGGAAAGTGCTGAGGGCAGAGAAGAGGAAAGAAACTGCAGCTAGGGGTTGCCCACGCGGTCGTGGCAGGCTCTAACAGGCTGCAGAGATGAGGGAAGCAGGCAGGAAGCTCAGAAGAAAGCCAATCGATGACCCTTAGAAGGTGGGAATTTTACTAATGGGGCTCTCTCTTGGCAGATGTTTACTATTTCTGGAGGTGGGAGGGATGCTGGCGGCGGGGATTGCATCCTATGCTGGAAGCAGCTGTTGAATGTGATTCTGTCATTGTGGCAGGGATTCCCAGGCTTGGTGCTTTTTCCTGGGACCAACACTATTTGCTAAATGAAATGGATCCTTAGCTACTCATGACAATTTGCCCAGTGTTTTTTTGTTTTGTTTTGTTTCATCGTTTCTGGCTACTGTTATGAAGTGAAAGCACAGTGTTTTCTAGGGGCCCTGAGTTGAGTACTAATTGGATGGGTACTGACTGGAGACATTTCACCTTTGCTTACCCTATATCTCTATCCATCGTTCAACAGGTGTGCTAGTATGATTGAGCTCCTGGATGCAGACCAATTCTAGTAAGCCATTCCTCATAAGGATGGCCTTGGTGGTTGCTGGAAACTCTCATAGGCCCTTTGTGCCTTAGTTTTTTTATTGGAAAAATAGGAGGCTGGGCGCGGTGGCTCACGTCTGTAATCCCAGCCCTTTGGGAGGCTGAGGTGGGTGGATCACGAGGTCAGGAGTTCGAGACCAGCCTGGCCAATTTGGTGAAACCCCGTCTCTACTGAAAATACAAAAATTAGCTGGGCGTGATGGCACGTGCCTGTAGTCCCAGCTACTCGGGAGGCTGAGGCAGCAGAATCGCTTGAACACAGGAGGCAGAGGTTGTAATGGGCTGAGATCACACCACTGCACTCCAGCCTGGTGACAAAGCGAGACCCCATCTCAAAAAAAAACAAAAAAGGAAAAAAAATATTAGCTTGTTCATTTGGGCTGCTATAACAAAATATCTTAGACTGGAGGTGGCTTATAAACAACAGAAATTTATTTCTCACAGTTCTGGAGGCTGGGAGGTCCAAGGTCAAGGCACTGGCAGATTTGGTGTCTGGTGAGGGCAACCTTCTTCTCACTGTGTCCTCACATGGTGGAAGAGATAAGGGCACTTTCTAGGTCGTCTCTTATAAGGACACTAATGCCATTTGTGAAGGCTTCATCCTCATGGTCTAATCACCTCCCAAAGATTTTACCTCCTTATAATATCACTATGGGGATTAGGATTTCAACATATAAATTTTGGAGAGAGGTATGTTTCAGGCCATTGTACAGCTGCACATCTTTTTGTGATTGCTAAAGTGAGTAAAGATCTGAGATTTGAGGTCTAAAGAGCTGTCTTCCTCCTGTCGTTTACCCAGACGAAAGCAGCTGAGCTTTTGTCTTCCTGGTTCTACATAAAATTGAGGTGGATGAAAATGAAGAAAATGGAAAGGAGTTCTTCCCTACAATAATTTAGGGATAGAATTGAAAATGCCATATTTTTATGTATAAACCAATTTTGAGATTCTATGAAAGGAAGATAAAAATAAACAGCAGGATTCAAGATAGATGCAGGCTATCCTGTTTTACATCAAGGCAAAAATGAGTAGGCATTAGTTCAAAACATCTCCCTACTCCTGGCTGTCATGTAGCTTCCACTTTTAGGCCCCAGTGTGGGTGATGACCAGCAGAGGAAAGAAACTAGGGATTTTAAGTTGACCTACTCTGCAGGAAAGCCTAATGCTACAGCTGCCAAACTAGTTAAACATACCTGCCTTTTGACCTATTTGTGGCACCTCACCAAGACCTTGATATAGATGGACTCTTCTTTGCCTTAACATTTAAACATGTTGCTCTAACATTCCTTGAGTTTTCATCACTTTTAAGACATAGTGGTGCAGCTTGGTAAGAAAGAAAGAGTGTGGGCTTAGAACAGTTTCAGCTCCACATCCTGACTTCCCTACCAGTAAACCATGTGACCTAAAGCAAACTTTCTTCTCTATGTCCCATGGTCTTACCTAAAAGTAAGGATACTAATCCTCGCCTGCCGGTGTTGTGGAAGGGTAGGGGACCATGCCTTTGCTCAGCAGATCCTGGGCACTGAATTAATTTTTTTCCTGTGCTCCTTATTCCTGGAAGTTGTCAGCACATGCCACTGCTTCTGCTAAAGGAGAGAGCAAATAACGTGGCAATATAAGCTAATTGTGTGTTTATTTTTGTAAAGGAGGATGGCTGCTTTTAGACTCACCACTTCCAACTTACAACCCAAGATAGTATGTTCACTGAAGAAGCAAAGATACTGCATTTGACCAACTAGGCACCCAGGAAGTGAATGAATAGTCATGCAAGTAAAACATCAAAGACTTGAAAAATTCTTCTAGGGGTTTTCTGTTCAGAGGTCCAATCTTTAGGATGTAAAAATTAAGTAAATAAGAAAATTATGTTTAAATCTTTTAAAATATTTTGTAAATTCCCATTAAAGATACTGTATCTAGGGGAGTATATATCATATCTTGCCATCTATGTGAAATAATGGGATGGAAAGCCATATGTGTTTGCTTATATATGATGGACTGTTTCTGGAATGATTCAGAAGAAATTGGTAACTGGGTGACACCAGGAAGAAGAACTTAGTGTGAATCGGGAATCAGAGGAAACTATTTCACTGGGTGCTCTTTGGCCCTTTTGAATTTTGAACTACAAATGTATTGATTAGCTCTTCACAGTAAAAATAAAGAAAATTAAAACTTCAAGTAGAGATTGTATCTTGTGAAAATCAATGTACTTTCTGTTCATTTCTAAGAAGTTAAATATTTGTAAAACTATGCCATGGCAAATGTACTTCAAAAATACAATGTCGACTCTAGTTAATACCCAGAGAAAATCCCCTTATTTTGTACCCATTATTATGCTGTTATGCTGGCTCACCAAGGATTTAACTCTCAGAGTAGTCCTATTACCCCTGTGAATTCTGTGTGTGTGTGTGTGTGTGTGTGTGTGTGTGTGTGTGTGTGTGTGTAGAGACTTCCCTGGCTAGGGCTCAGCCCTAATGAGGCTGAAGTCTTGGGTCTGACCTGCAGATGACAAGTTAATTGCACTCTGTTCTGGGGGCACAGAGTGTGCCTTTCACCCTGATTAGCTGCTTGTGCATGTGGCCATTGGCCTTGCAGCTTGCAGTGGCAACCCTGGGTGCAAGCCTGATGAAATCCATACAAGTTCATCTCTGAGTAGAACGACAAGTGGGAGGTCAGGGGAGCGCCCACGTAAGGGTGGAGGCAATCTGGGTGAGGGTGGGGGAATATACGGGATACTTACAAACCAGCGCTCCCCTGCAGCAGGGATAGGTCTGCCAATCCATTTTCTGCCCACTGCCCTCTTCTGTTCACACTCTTGACTCTTAAACTTTGTGGTTAGAGTTGGTGCAAGTGCTTAAGTGGGCTGGGATGGGGGTAGAGGTGTTGCAAAAATGCCTACCGAGCTTTATTGGAAGTTCTAACTAGATATCTGAACACATTTTGGGAGTCGGCAGGTCTGGGATTAATTCCTCCTCTGCATTCTGCCTCAGATCAGCACTTGTGATATTTTAGACATGAGAAAGTTTTCAGAGTGTCATGCAGGGTGTGTGTATGTGCATGTGTGTGCATGCCCGGTGTGGGGCGTGTGTGTGGGAGATGCAGAATGTGAAGGCTGTGCCTCCCTTCTCAGTACTGAAAGTTTTCTAGATACCACTGAGGGTGGGAGTGGGCTGGGGAGAGGGGGTGGTTCTAGTCCCTGTCTAACCATATCTGTGCCCCCTACAAAGTCCCACATAAGAGTCCCAGGCTCGCATAGTGACAACCAGGTTGGAATCACAGTTTTAATAACATACACTTGTAAAACTTTATTTTTCTAGCCCTGCTCCCATGCTAACTGTTTCATTCACTAGGACTGGACAACCCTTGGACATAGGCTTAACTTTATTTTGCATATGAAGAAACTGGGGCCAGTCTCGAGAGTCTCCTTCAATATCAAGTCTTGAGACTCACACTATTTCTCATCTATGAATAAGAGGTTTGGGGATATTTGGTATTTCTGCATCATGGTCTGATTCAGAAGCCAGGAAAACATGGTAAGTGTAGGGAGCTTGCTCACAGATTCAATTATATTCCTTGAAGAACATTTTCACTGGAGCCTAGATTTAAGCCAAATTTGGGGCCAGTTCTCATTTCACCTGAAGTTAGTCCTAATAGCTACCTGTTAGTGTTCATTGGTGCTTACCTAGCAGGAAGTTATTGGTAAATATCATGTGTTTACCCAGTAATAACACACCCATGTGAATTACTAATTACACTCAGCAGGTGCAAAAGTCATTAACCACAACACATCCCTGGCACTGGGGGTAAAGGAGGCAGACCATGTTGTATTAATTTAGTAACTGCTTATTATTCACCCTATCTGAGGCTAGTTCCATCTCAGAACAATGAGAAAGAGCTGTGTGGTCCATCTGCTGAAGCCATTTGTCATTGCAAGTCAAGGACAGAGCTGGGCACGGGGCGGTGTGGGTGTGATTGGCCTCTCATTCTCCTTGTGTGAACTACGTGAACAGGCAGACCAGGGGGGATACTGGAGGTCTCAGGCCAGCCCTGGTGGCAGAAGAGCTGGCCTTAACAGCCATGTGGCCATGACCCATACGGGTCTGTCCTCAGCAAATTTAAAATCCTTAGGCTGGCCTCCCAATGCCCAGCATGTTCCTCAGCTGCTGTGTGCTCAGGGAATTGAAACTAATTTTCATATTAGCCCTAAGCAAAGCATAATTAGAAAGATAAATCTTCAGCAACTTTCTCCTACCCAGGCCTCTCCACTGCCACCTCCCACCCCCGTCCCACCTCCCTGCCATCATGTATTATGAAGCCCGATATAAACGGCTTTGAGATTATCTGTAGCAACACTAAACACATTTGTTCAGCTAATTGAAAGTTGGTTGAAAGTCAGGCAGGGAGCAGTGGTGTGAGCCCTGTGAGGTGTCCTGCCTCCAAATGCTGGGAGGAGGAGACAGCTTGGTGGGGACCTTCCCCGCTCATTCCTTCAGATGCCCAGCCCTCACATCATTTGTTCCTGGAGCAGATGCTGGCTTATCATGGCCACAAGAACGTATAAAACCAATGGTGAGATATTTCTTGCATGGAATAAGGCTCCCTTAGATTTCAAATGTCCATCTTCATCTCTGGAAATAACTGTTCATCTTTCACAGCTTTATGTCACTGCAGAGAGACTCTCCTTGTTTTTGCTTGGTCTCCTGAAGGAGGACACCAAGATGGCAGGCATGTGTCTGGCAACTTAAGGAAGGAGTGTCCATGGGGGAAATCAGATTGGCTTCCCCTGGGGGCAGGAACCATGGTCTGGAGTGATGGCCAGGAAGTGGGCTGCTGTCTACCCACCCACGGGTTAGGGAGAGCTGGGCTCTCTGTAGACATGAAGACAGCTAGATTCTCAATTAAGGAGAGAAAAGGGGCTTTATGATTTAGGGGGAACTTGGCCTGTGGACTGGATGACTGAGAACTTCCTGCTTTACTCTGTTGAAAATGGGCTTGGCTAATGATACTAGGCCATCTTGGATAGGAAGACCAAACTCTATTTCCTAGTTCTTCTTTATCTTTCTTCCAGGAACCAGCACGAGGTTGCCTTCTAATTCACGTGTCTCATCATTTCACTGAAGATGTATGGAACGCTTCCCCCTTTCAAAGTGTTAAGTACTTTGCTGTCAGCATCACCATCACAGCCTGCGAACTCGACACTAAAGAGAGAGAAGTGGAAAAGGCAAAGTAAGAACAAAAGCCAGCCACGTCACAGGGCTCAGAACTCGTCCTGACAGCTGGCCCCTCCCTCCCCAGGCCTGACATGAAAGGGTCCTTTCCAAGCTCGCTGGAGACTCTCTGACCCCCATTTCTTCCGGTCCTGAGCCCCAGCTATTGTGGTTTCCCTGCGGACACCTCACATATCACCGACAGCAGACCAGAATCCCGAGCCTTCTGTTCTTCACATATTTCCCACACCTTTTTTACCCTACAACTGTCATCTTTGGCTTTCTTTAAAAATTTCTACTCTTTATATTACGAGGTGTTAAAAACAGGGAGGTGGGGGCGTGGATCTTAGCTCAATTAGGGAACTCTGGAGTCAGCTTTCTCCCGACAGCAACACCCCCATTCCTCACCCTGCCCCAAGATCAAGTTCTAAACCTGGAGCGTTCCACCAACCCGCTTGCCCTCATTCTCTGCGGTGCATACCCCCAGATCTCTCCTGTTAAGTCTCCCAGTTATCCCCAATTTCGTGATCTGTGGTTGGTGCTCTAAAGAAACAGGCAGGATCTCGCTAGCACCCTAATCTTGAAGCTCTGACTGCGTGGGTCAGGGAGCTCTGAGAAAGGAAAGCCTGTGCAGAAGGTTGAGGTAGAAGGAGGTGTGTGCATCGCAGCTTAATCCCCACTCTCTGGGCTGCAGGTGATTCTAAGGCACTCGCAAGTACACCACATATAGTACACGCACTCCTCCGTGCCTTTTCTCAGGCTCTTTCCTCTGCCTGGGATTTCTTTCTCTACTTTTTTTTTGTGGGGAGATATTCTTGGTTCTCATTCATGGATCATTCAGGGTTAACCCCTTTTTTCATGCTTTCCCCAGTGATCTTGAGGCTGACTTAATCCCTCTCTCCTGTGATTCCCTGTTGCCCTTAGCCATAGACAAAGCATGTGGGGACAGGGGGTGGTTCTTCCACTAGTTTGCAGGCTTGTCTGTGAGATCTGGTTCTCATTTATCTTAACATTCCTAGTGCCAAGAGTGATACCAAGACACAAAGTAGGTCCTGAATGAGGCCAGAGTGAATGTAACTCCCAAAGCAAGCCAGCACTTTCCAAGGGTCACCTTGACCTTTCTAAACACAGTCCCAGGGCTTTGTGGGAAGAGGACTGACATCTATTAGTACCCACTATGTGCTAAACGCTGCGATAAGTCCCTTACACCTGTTCCTTCACTTAATTCTTAGAGTAAGTGAAATGGGCATTTTCATTCTTTTTAAGAGATGCAGAATTACTTACAGAGGTTAAGGTAGCTTAGGCTGAAAAATTGCAGATTTCCTATGCAAACCCACGTTTCTCTGGCTCTAAAGGATGTATGTTTTCCCAGCCTTTGCTGTCTCCTCAGGGAGCTGAGCAGGAAAAGAGTATTTCCTCTTCGCCAGGAGCACCCACTTCTGAGACCTACTTTGTTCCAGCTTCATGGGGATTTGTCCATCCCTTTTGCAGAGATTGATGGACCCTGCATGGGGGAGATCGGGTACATTCCCTTCCTTCAGGGTACCTCTTTTAAGTCTCTGATGTAAACAAACAATTTCTGACCAAATCCCAGTTTCTCTGTTATGCACTGTCTTCTATTTTCCGGCCACGTCTGCAATCGGTTGTATGGAGAAAGTCTGCCTGGCTCTGGAGTGGAAACTCCACGAATTCACTTTGAATGTGGGGAATTCACAATCGCTGCTTGAAAACAGTCCCTCTGAGCTGGCCCACCCCGCTTCTCTCTTGTTAAAATGCCACTTATTTGGCTTTTCAGCCATATACAGGTTTTATACGATCTATTATGTGGTGCTTTAATTACTGTTGTTTATTGATTATGATTGTATTCGAATTTCCATGGATTGCCAAGAATGACTTGGCAAAGGGCACACAAAGACAATATTATAATATCATTACCAGGAAGGCAGTAGGCCTGGGTTACAGTGTGAAAAGCTAAGTAGCAACTGAAGGGAAGGGACGGTCCTCCTGACTGGTGTGGCTGGCGTGTAATTGTGAGTCTGCAGTGGGTTGCTCATGGGGCCTTTGTTTGGAGTAAATGCTCCTAGAAGGAAGCAGCTGAGAATCTTCCCCAGTGTTGTGTAGCACTTGGTAGGACTTCAGTGAAATGTGCTGTACTTCCCGTACAAAAATAGCAGCCCGCTCTCAGTGTGTTTGCCAGCAATAATGATGCCTGTGCTGGGATCCGGCTATATATACCTTTTCACCGGATTCCCACTGTGATCAGGGCCACAGATCCAGAGAAAGAAACTGTCCCACATGAGGACCATTGCTCTCCACTCATCAGCCTCATATTATAAGTGGCCACCAGCAGGCAGGGTTCATTTACACTAAACCTCAATGCTCTGTGAAAGGGCTTTGCTAGAAGCTGTACTCGCTGGACCATCACAGCTCGCTTATTGGCCACTGATTTATTGAAATTTTCATAAACGCCCGTCCTGTGGTAGGTACTCCTCTCTCCCACCCGCCAACCTTAGTAGTTAGGGATAAGGAGTACATGGTCGTAGCTACAAGGAATTTAAAGATCTAGCGCCTATCTTCATGGAGCTCAGCATCTGGTGGGGGTAGACAGAAACCGAAAACAACAACGTCACCCAATAGGTGTTCAGGGTTTGACTTCATCACCCTCTACACTCTGATAATACTAGGTCATTACCAAGTGGTCTGCATTCACGTTCGGAGCTGCAGAATCAAAATGTCAATGCATTCCCTGCCCCCAGAATCACATATTTATTCTCAGAAAAGATGAGCTAAAAATCAGCTCTTTGAGGAAGGAGCCACTTCGCTTGCTCACAGTTCCAGTGGTTACTAGTCTCTGCCTTCAGTCAGAGAAGGCATCCTGCTTCTTCCTTCAGAACTTTGGGCTTTTTGGCAGAAAAGATACTGGAGGAAAAGTGTAGATCTGCCAGAATTGAATAAAAACATCGTCAGAGAGGACAGATAAAAGGGAACAGAGCAGCAGGTCCTAAATGGGCAGATAGGCAGCCCTATGAAGAGAGCCGCCTTCAGGGTAGTAGGTCGAGGACTGAGCAGAGGTCTGGGGTGGTGGGCATGGGGGGAGAGTCAGGGCACAGCCTTCTCCACGGAGAAATGGAGGAAGCCAGCCGTATGTGTGCAGGGTGGCTAGGTGCCAGGCGGGCACGGGGAATCTTCAAGGGGATAAATACTCAGAGATTTCCAACCCTTTTGGGATGAGTGCCAGGGAAAGAGGCCAAGATTCCAGGGAACACAGCCAGGACAGGGTTATTATAATCCCTAGGAGGATTCATTTGCCAGCTACTGAAGCAAAAGCAAGCAGCACCCTGAAATGGAGACTAGCTATTTCGGAGCAATTAGCCATTGGTGCCTGCTGCTGTCTTTGGAGAAGCTCCAGAAGCCAGTAGGGTAGAAAGGAGGGCAGGGAGCCCTGGTCTGCTGCAGGGGAGATGACTCCATCTTTGGTATCTCCCCACCTGACAGCTCCCTGCAAATCCAACACCAGACCTGAGATCCGAAGGGCTTCTGCTCCTACTGGGTTCATGCCCTGCCCTCAGGACAGCACTGAGCCATCACAGGCGACACATAAACAGAACAGTCCCTGGCTGCCCAAGAGCGTAAAGTCCAGAATGTTAGAGCTGACCAGATTCTCTTCTCACATCAGGATTTTGAGCCTGGCACACATTAATACTTTAGAGAATTTGCCTTTGGGGGACAATGAATCACCCCAAATTATTCTATGTATACGCATTGTATATGTATATGTATAAAATTGTTCTATGTATATGCATTTTTTTTTCTGGTGAGAAGATCCAAATATTTATTAGAATTTCAAAGGGTCTGTTATTTGTTTATACTACTTTGTCCATTCTTAGTCAAACAGAGAAAGGCTAAAGAGGTCCTTATCCCACCCATATTCTCATTATTGCTGTCAAATGTCACTCATCAACATGGCCTCTTTAAGGGTAGTCCAACAAGACCTGGACATTTTTGGGGTGAAGGCAGGATGGGGGACAATTGCACTTAAAAACTTTAAGCTGCTGCTCCATAAAGGATTCACCAGTGCCTTTTTTCTCTCCACATTGCCTGTTCGGAAAACTTTCCAGGCTCTGGTCTCACTGACTTCTGTGCCTTTGGGGTTTCTTTCCGGACATCCTGGGCCTTGGAGCCTCTGGTGACAGCTTTAGCTCATTTGCTTTGGTCTGAGATCCTGCAAAATCCTGAGGCATGGCTTGTGTCCACTGCCCTGTGTATCTCTCCTGCTTTCCAATGGGCTTGGCTACTCCCTGGAAAAAATCCACTGGAGTAGAAAGAGATTAGGTGCTATTGCAGTTGAATAAAACAGCAATAAACTTCCAACTTTATGGAGCTAGAGAGGCAGTGTATGTCTGCGTTTTGTTTCACAGCACTGGATACAAGAAGAACAGATTGGGTGGGTGCTGCTCCACCTGCATGGGTAGATGAGGCCGGAGGGGAGCCAGGCAATGCATGGGGTGTGGAGATGCTATCCTAGTGGTAATAATGTTTAAAACTTTTATGCCAATATAAAGGAGTCCTCAGCAACTCTTGAAGGAAGGATCTCTTTTGTGCACTGCAAAGTAACTCTCCAAGTCTTTGTTGTGTGTCCTCACCGTTCTCCATCCTGATCTTTTTCCCACAGCCCTCCACTTTCAGCTGCCTCCCCAAAACAGAGCTGTTGCTCAGGTGCTGCCCATAGCCAGGGCTGGGGCACGATGCCTTCACCCAGAGCTAGGAAGATACCAGATACCTTGTGATAAGGTCATTGGAGGGGATTAGCACTTTCTAGGCTGAAGTTGAACTGGAATTACCTCTTGAGGAATCACATCTCTATGGACCTGTGCTGGCACTGCAACAGTGAAGAGAAGAGCATGACCCCAGCAATATTCTGCAGGAAGCAGCTCCAGCAAGTTCTGTGCTGGATGCTGAAGGGCGAGAAGAGAGAGGCGATAATGGGGTATCACAGAGGGGTTTGCGTGGCTAATCCCAAGGGCTTCAGCTTCAGTCCCATCCCAACCACTAAGGAAGCGATGAAGCTGCCTGTGACTCTCCGTGTCCCTGGAAGGATGGGCTGGGAGCCGGGGACACAGGCGCAGGACGCAGCAGCAGTATGGGTGCTGCTGCTGGGTCTGTTCTCTTTGAAACTGGATGAAGAGAGAGAAATAGGGGAAGAAGGGGAACGGCTGCGTCGTCACTGTGTTTATTTCTGACCGCCCTAGGGGACAGTAACTGTGCAGGTGGCCCCGACTCCCAGTCTTGCATATCTGTGCATTTCCTCACCTCCCCTTCCTGATCATGCTTCCCAAGGACTCACATTTGAAGAAGTTGGTATTTCTGGAGCACTCACTTTATGGGAGACAATCTAAGGAAGAGGTAGTTTAGGATGAAACATGTTTTTTAAAGCCTAACGGAGGTGAGGCCTCTGCCCCAACACGGTTCCCCTAACCTTAGGACCAGGTCATGCCCCACTGCACCTAGACGCATCCCACCTGTCTGGCACTCTTTGTGCACCAGCCTTGCCTCCTTGCTCCACCTCAGGCTCCCAGGTGCAGGAACCTGCTTTGCATGCCTTCCTCCCTCCACCACATGTGGCTAGCACAGGGCTCTGAGGAGCGACGGGGGCCAGGCAGCAAGGGGGCAGGGCAAGTCATTCCTTGGTGCCTCCCCCTTCCCAAGGTGCTCCTCTCACCACCGCTCTGAGCATTTGTCTACAGGTCGAAGACACAGGGGCACACACAGGATGTGCCCGCAGCAAGACAGCACTCCGATTTCTGTGCTCTAAAGACGAAGGAGCTTATTGCATATAAATGATCATGCGTCTTTCAACGGCTTTGCTAGTATCATCAGCTGGTTGGCTGGACACGTGCCTGTCTCCTCCCTGGGTCACCGCCAAGTTACCATTCTTTGCCAGAGTTATCTTCTGATCAGGACTCTGGGCTCAGGTCATGCCTGAGGTAGTCCTTTAGTTCCCACTTGGGCAGCATAACTATCAAAGCCCTGCTGGACACCTGGTTGTGATGCAAGCAGCCAGGGGAGGGGGTCAGATGGCCCAGCCTCAGGCCGAGAAGTCCAGGGGGTGGCTCTGGGGCAGGAGCCTGTCCAGCCACAGGCTGCCTCTGCTAATGGGAGGGACCTGTTGTCAGGCACAGCTGAGCCCAGCTCCTAGGGACTGGCACATGGCACAGAGGCCTGCAGGGCTGACAGGAAGTTGGTAGCGGGTGCGGGCACAGTCTGCCACCCTTGCCTGAGAGGCAGGGTCTGGCTCCTGCACCATCTGAACATCTTGATTTGCTGCTAATGAGCAGCCGACACCCACCAAACCATGGGGCCCGCAGCAGCTGAGACCAGAGCCTCCAGCCCCTGGCTCACAGGGATCCACAGAACCCACGGCCATGCCTACCCCGAAGCTGACTGGCAGGGCCTCCAGCCAGCGAGGGGCAAGGGCCTGGCTGTGGGCCCGAGGGAGGCCAAGGGAGGCCTGGCTCCCCAGCTCGGGTGCCACGGAGCTCCACAGCTGGCTGCACCCAGATCTCCTGAGGTGGAGCAAGGATGAAGTCCCAGCCTCATTATCCTGCTTCAAATCCTCTCCATGCCTGCACATGCTGGATGCTGTTATCTCCATTTTACGGACAAAGGAATGGAGCTGAGGAAGGGGAGACAGCCGAGAAACAGCTCACAGGCAGCAAGGCTGGGAAGCGACCCCAGGGGCTCTTGGCTGCAGAGTTTGTACTTGACAGACTTGAAGATGGTGTCGCTTAAAAAAAGACAAAAGGAGGACTTGTCTTTCTGTGCCTGGCTTCTTTCACTAAGCATGGTGTCCTCCAACATGTTTGTTCATGTTATCACGTGCGGCAGGATTCCTTCTTTTTGAAGGCTGAATCATATTCTATCGTATGCGTAGACCACATGTTAAAACCCATTCATGTGTTGCTGGGCCCTTAGGTTATCTCCACATCTCGGCTGTCGTGAGTAGCGCCGCCATGACCATGGCAGTGCAGATAACTCTTTCAGATCCTGATCTCTACTCTTTT
Organism: Homo sapiens; assembly: GCF_000001405.40. Classification (NCBI taxonomy): domain Eukaryota; kingdom Metazoa; phylum Chordata; class Mammalia; order Primates; family Hominidae; genus Homo; species Homo sapiens. The sequence continues at coordinate 131,199,844 of NC_000011.10, forward strand.
GGAGAAACAGGCATAAGTGGGGTTGCTGAATCGTGTGGTGGTTCTGTGATTCCCTAGAGGCATCTAAAATAGTCCTACTCCTAGAAGCAAGAATAGAATGGTGGCTGTAGGGTGGGGGTATAAATGTTAGTTATGCAAGATGAGTAAGTTCTAGAGGTCTGTCGGGCAACAATATGCTTACAGATAACCACGATGTATTCTCCACTTAAAACATCTGTTAAATTCGGAAGATAGATCTCACATTATTTTCTTATTACAATACAATATTTTTTTTTGAAAAAAAGGAAAGAAGGAAAGAACCCATGATGACCCCATCAGCATATCATTCATGAATTTCCTTCAAACATTATGATTCTCAATATAAGGAATACTGGGGAGAGCAGAGTAGTAGTTATCTTGTACTCACCTGATAAGTGTAAAGCATGCCTTTATATCTGTCATCATATTTGATCCTCATAACCACTTTCATGAGGTGCGTATTTTCTAGGTTTTTCAGGTGTGCCTAAAACCCAAGGTCCAGGTGAGTAGGAGGCTCGCTGGTCGCACAGCCTGCCCCCACCTTTGGGTGCTGGCTCAAGTGTGCTTCCCACCTGGCACCTGGAGCCATTGGCAGAATCGGTGTTGGGATGGGCACCGATCTATCCCAGGTCTTTGCTCTGCTTTCAAGCCCCTTACTGCCCAGCTTTGACCCGGTGCATGCTGATGAGTCTGTTCCAATCACTGCTCATTTTTGCAGTGTCATCCTTCAAATCCATTTGTTCCCTTATTTGATTAATCCAGGGGATTAAGCCAATGCGCAGAAGCTTTGATGTGGCAGGAGGAGTGTTTAAGCATTTCTCTCTCCCCCTTGAAGTGCTTCTCCCTCCTGGTGGTACTGGGGAAGGAGAGGCAGGGCACACGCAGGTGAGAGAGAGCATGTGGCCCTGCAGATGAGAAAGGCGGCACAAATGAAGGGAATGACCTGGAGCCTCACAGTTTTTTACTGGAAGTAAAAAAATCAATCCATGACCTTAAAGAACTTTATGAATTCCTAGCTTAGGAATCAATGCACACCGATTTTTGGGTCTCCGCTTGGGTTGTGCATGTACTCTATCAAGCGAGGAAAGCTGTATTTTGCTGGGGTTGGATTGGGGATGAGCAAGTGCCATTTCTGCCACATTGCCAAGAGTCAAAAAGAAAAATGAAAAAAAAAAAAATCTTTTGCCCAGTGAAGGTCTCAGTCCAGAGCCTGGGTCTACTGGCTGTGCCTGCCAATTTCAGGGTTCTAAGGTAGCTCCATCAGAGGATGAGCATCATGCATTCCTGAAAGCAGGATCCTGATTTTTCCTCCCCAACCCCTTTCCATGGCCCCAAACATTTCCACCTACAACCCCCCTTTCCCAAGATGGTTTTCTAAGCTTTGATTTACAGGGTGAAGGGTTGCTAGGAGAAGAAACGGTGGGAGATAAACAGGACGTGTCATGGAAAGGCACCTTCATAATTTCCATTTGAACAGCATATCTTCCATTGGAAGAACACTCTTCCGTACATTATGTCCTTTGATCATCGACCTCTGGAGCTGGCTGGAGCATGTATCAGCTCCTCATTTACAAACAGGTCATGGTGGTTAAGGAAGCTTGGGCCTTGATTAAGACCCTCTAGCTGATAGGGCCACACCCAGCCCTTTACCCAGCATGTGTTCATCCTAGTCTCCTACACTGGGCTGGCTCCTGTGATACACAGAGGACAGAACAGCTCGGCTGTTATGGAACCTCCAGGCTAAAGGAGAACAACCTTTACGTGTAGGGCAAATGTGTCGGCATGTACATGAAGCATGTGAAGGAGGTAACGTGATGGAGTCAGTGTACAAGAATACGCTCAGGGACCCTGAGGTAGAGAGGCCGGCAAAGACATCCTGAAGGTACGGCCTGGGTTGCTGCAGGAGTTGAGTCACCCTGGGGATGCCAGGTTCAGCATCCCCAGCACTGAGCAGCAGTCATGGGGCGCAGGCTCACAGGGCGGCTCAGCTGCTGGGGACACCGCCGTCAGGGATGGCCCTGGCACGTGGCACGTCATGCCGCAGGGGATCTCTGCATCCCAGCACCCCACATTCCTGCTCCTGAGTGGGGCTGCCATTGCCTGGTGCCTTGTCCCGAAGCCCAGTGTCCTGCTGTCTTCCCTTCCAAGTCTGCTCAGTCAACAGCTCTTATTTTTTCTCTCCATTTTTTAGACGACTTTAATAAGAATTATTAGTCTCACAACTGCTTTCTTCAAGAGCTGTATCTGGAATATTTATTCTTTTTTATTTTTTGGTTGTGATACAAAAAGTATGAGTTCTAGTCTCATAAAAATTTTTTAAGTGTACCGCATGTTGTTAACTCTAAGGACAATGCCATACGGCAGATTTCTAGAACTTATTCATCTTGTAGGACCAAAACCTTACACACAGTGAACAGCAAATTCCTCTTTCCTCCCCACATGCCTTGGCGACTGCCATTCTGCTCTTTGCTTCCATGAATGTGACTACTTTAGATACCGCATGGAAGTGAGATCATGCAGTATTTGTCCTTCTGTGTCTGGCTTATTTCCTGTAACACATTATCTTCCAGGTTCATTCATGTTGCCACGTATGGCAGGATTTCCTACTTTTTAAAGGCTGAGTAATGTTCCAGGTCAGTGTTCTTTATCCATTCACCTGTCTATGGACATTTAGGTTGTTTCTATATCTTGGCTCGTGTGAATAGTGCTGCAATGAACATGGGTGTGTAGATAATTTTTGAGATCTTGCTTTCAATTATTTTGGATAAATACCCAGAAGTGGGATTGCTGGATCATATGGTGGTTCTATTTTTAATTTTTTGAGCATCTTACATTTTTCTTGAATCTGGAGTCCATCCTCCTCTCTTATTCCCCCATCTTTCTTAGTTCATTCAGGATCTCATAATTTCTTACATGAAATACTGGTGTCTCTTCCTTCCATGTGTATATTATTTAATTTTTTAAATGGCCATTGTTGTGGAGTAACCAACTTTAGCTATTAATAATGATTTCTCCTGTTTTTTATTTATCCACTTTCTTTCCTCCTTAAAACAATAAGTCAGAAGCACTGGCCAGCACTATGGGCATGAGGGGACCCCTGAGTGGGGGACGGTCCGCCTGCTGCCTGGAATTGCTGGAGCACTTCCCAATCCTTGGCTCAATCTGTGAGGCAGCATCACCTCAAAATCTGTGGTTAAAGTTTTCTAACAACTTTATCAGACAGGACACTTAAAGGGAGTTCCAAAAATGTGATCAGTCTTATGCATCTAAACTGGTGGCTGCAGTTCCCAGATACTAGCTCCGTGTATTATCAATAAATCTGAGAGACACTGAGATGTCATGTTGAAACAGAGCAGAGCCTCATTCCTCTCCCTGCACCACCCTCACCCACAGGAGCCAGAGGGGGCTTGCCAGGAAGTGCATCTCATCATTTCACTCCCAAATTTAAACCCTCAGGACCTCTGCATGTCTGCATATTTGAGGCCACAAGTCTTAGTAGGGTCCTGGGTGCCTCAGCCCCAGCCACCTGTCTCCCCAGCCTGCTTCCTCACTAGCCAGCCTCTCTGTTCTGTTCCCTTCATGGAATCACTTACCAACCGCAGCAGGCCCATGCCCTTCCATGCCCTTTATCAGACAACAGCTCTCCTCTCCCAATCCCCTTGTCTCCTGGGCAACTTCCAATCGATCTTAAACTCTTGTCCTCAGACATGAATTCTTCCAGAAAGCCCTGCCTGATTCCCCGGGCTGGGCCCTGACCCACCTCCCATGGCAACTTCTCAGAGCTGTCAAGCTGCAGGGCAGCTCCACGGTGGGCTTAGCGTTCAGTGGGCCAGGCTGCTGGGCCAGGCCATGATGTGTCAGCGCAGGCTGGTGACAGGCAGAGATGGTCCTTCAGGAGAAACCTGCCCCTCCACTCTTTACAGCACGGAGGGCACATTGGGTAGAGATGAATTTGAGGCCTTTCGAGGGTTGGCTTCCATCAGGCTGCTAGCACAGAAAAATATATACCAGTAGCTTAAAATGAAAGATCAAGAAATAAGGTGTTAGCCAAAGTGACTTCTGGCAAGAAAGGTTAGTACTTTGGGAATAAAGTTTCCTCCCTTTACTTGGGCCTGTGGGTCCTTCTTTTCACTGAGGTCTAATAGGGTTGGGCTCCCTCTGGGCAAGTCCTAGAACCTGGGAGAGAGACAGAGAGACAAGTCTCCCCACCCCCACATCCCCAAAGGAGTAACAAGCTCCAGAGAAAGAGGAGGGAGGGAGCCATAGACCATTATGTGTGATTTCCATTTTCCCATCCCTCATTCTCTCCGTAAGTTCTTTCGCATTGTCACCAGATAATTCAGCCAGCCCTTGGACATGGGGGTGGGAGGTCTTAGACTGGAAAACCTTGAGCTGATAATGATTAGGGACTCTGATCAGTGTCCATCACCACATTTGCTTGATTTTGAGGACTAGATTGGGAAGGGTTGGAAACGGAGGCTGCACAGACGATTGTGCAGAAGGGACGCTGGCATGGGGCATCCAGGGGGTTTGTTCCTTGGAGGGAGATGGCATAAGCTCCCAGCCTCCTCTTGCAGGCAGCAGGCAGCAGGCAAATATTCATCCGCTCTTGGTGGTCCTTGTGGCTGGAAGCCAGTCTTCCATCAGCACTGGCGTCGCTTCTGAGCATCCTTTCTGCTTTTGTGGGCGCATAGCTCCGAGCGAGTGTATGCATGATGTGTGCTGCAATGGGTCCATGCATATATATGGATGAAGAACATAGAGAAGAAAACGTGTTGTTTTCTTTCTTCTCTCTCAAGTGTTTGCCCTCATTTTGTGTGGAAGGGAGCGTCAATTGGAGGATGCCTGGCTCACAATGGTGTGGAGCTTCCCGGGGCCAAACTGAGTGTGTGTGGAGAAGGAAGGGCAGGGAGGGGCTCAAACGCAATCTGCAGAGCGGACTCCTAATCAGAGCAGCCCATTCCACAGGCTGACTGGGAAACGTGAACACCAACCCTCAGCGCTGCCTGGGAACACTTGCTGAGAATACACACCAGCTCCGTGGTCAGTTAATGGTGCTCTTCGGGCTCGGGCCACAGTACAGCGAAGGAATGCAGCCAGGAAATGACAAGGGTGGCGGCTGGGGCAGACCAAAAAGCACAGAGAAGGGGTGAGCCTCACAAGTTGTCAGGCTTCCTGATTTATTTTGTGGAAAATAAAATTCACTAAAAAAATACAATAAAGGGGAAAATAAACAGATTAAAGCCAGAATGAGCCAGCTCCTTGCAAACCAGCCATTCTACTCCTGATGGAGAAGGCAGCTGAGGGAATTAGCGAGCTTAATCCCTCCAGCCAGCAGCTACAGGCCGTCCTGGGGCTGGATAGCTCTGCTTCAAGGTATTCCTTTTAATATGTATTCTGGGGGGATCATAGCATAGGGGAGTGAGGAGCTATAAATAAAAAAATATATATATATATATATATATATTTTTTTTTTTTTTTCTTCTTGTTGGGCTAGACAAGAGTTTCCCAACCACAGCACTATGGAAATTTGGGGCTGGATCATTCTTGTTGTGGGGCCTGTGCCTTGGTGGATGTTTAGCCGTGTCCAAAGTCTCTACCTACCAGATGCCGGTGGTTCCCCTGTTGCCAGATGTAGCAACCAAAAATGCCTCCAGATGTCCCCCAAAGTCAAATGTCCCCTGTGGGGGAGGAATTGCCCCTGGTTTAGGAACCCTGAGCTATACTCTGTTCTGGGACTTGACATGTATTATCTGGCTCAGTTCTCACTGCAGGCACAGTTTTCCCTTCCATTTGACAGAGAAGAAACCAGCCTGGGACTAGTTTCCAGGTCTACCTGATTCCAAGGCCTGGAGTCTTTCTGTTACGGGCCTCTCCACTGGAGCAGAGTCTGTTCCACTATTCCTGACTGATCTGTCCTCTGCATCACAGTCACTAATGGGGGAGCCCTTCTGGGTCCAGTTTGACTTCAGGTGTGACTTCAAGAATATATGGAAGGCCTCCTTTTCCTCTTTTTATATTTTTATTTTATTTTGTTTTATTTTTTTGAGATGCAATCTCGCTCTTGTCACCATGCTGGAGTGCAGTGGCGTGATCTCGGTTCACTGCAACCTCCGACTCCCAGTTTCAAGCAATTCTCCTGCCTCAGCCTCCCAAGTAGCTGGGACTACAGGTGTGCACCACCATGCCCAGCTAATTTTTGTATTTTTAGTAGAGACGGGGTTTCACCATATTGGCCAGGATAGTCTCGATCTCTTGACCTCATGATCTGCCTGCCTTGGCCTCCCAAAGTGCTGGGATTACCAGTGTGAGCCACTGCGCCCGGCCTCTTCCCTCATCTTAACTTCAACCACACCAGATAGTCTATGATTAGAGAGTCTATATTTTAGCTTTAAGTTAAACCTTAGTCTGCTGGGGTAGGTTAGGGGATGGGAGAGGGAAGAACCTGGAAGGGATGATCCATTAAGCTGATTCATATCTCAGTGTGAATAAATTTACTAGACCCAAACTGGAAGTGCCCTTTCCTCCCAGCCCCCACATCAATCAGAATAATGCTGAAGTAGGAGACTTTGTAAGCAAAAGCACAATGGGATATCCCTCCTTCCTGGTATTAGAAACCTTAGAAATAAAAATACTGTGTGCATTCATTAGGTTTCCAGTAGCTCACTATGATAATCTTTGTAGAAATACTATCATTATGGTAGAATTAGTACCACTAGTAGTATTCTCAATGGAGGAAACAGTGCATAAGAACTGAAATGTTTCTAAGTGGTCATCATTGATATGTATTTTTATTTCTCGGTTAAGGGCCTTATCTATTTCTGCCTGAAAATTTTGAATGGTCCATAAACAGGTCTCCCTGGCTCCAGTCTCCAGCCTATCCATTTGTCCCATCTTTGCCCTTCACATTGATGTGAGACTGACTTCCCATATTATAAATCCACCCATGCCTTTCCGCTTTCCATGCTTGGAAGGCTCCCTCTCAAACCTCGAGATAAATTTCACATTCCTTGGCATGACTCACAAGACTTTTCTTAATGTGCGTTAGCCCTACTCCTTGCTACTCCCACATCAAGCTTATATTTCAATCACACAGAACTAATGGAAATTATCCAAATGCATTTGGTTTCCTCATTCCTTTATAAACCTTTGCACCTGCTATACACTCTGCCTGGAATAATTTTCTCATTTTTCTCCATCTGGCTAACTCTTTCTTGTCCTTGAAGACTTAGCAAGGATCTCTTCCTTCCAGACAGTTTCCCTAACTCCCTTTTCCCTTGTCCACTCCATTTGCCCTCCACAGCACCCCATGTAGGCCACAGTGAGATCCCATGTCCTACCACAGGAAAATTACTCCTTCACTAGCCTATGAGCCTCTCCAGAGCAGGGAATGTATCATCATTTTATCCTCAGTGCCTAGCACATGCCTGACATAAAGGAGATGGAAGAGATATTCAATCAATATTTGCAAGATGGCCGGCTAGCTGGCTGTGGTTTAGCCCAATCATTTTCCTTCTTCTTTTGACACCCTGACTTAGATAATACTCAGATTTTTAAATCTATTGAAAACCCTCTCAATCAGATCTTCAGAACTGTTAAATTATTTTGGGGGGATCAGCTATTTTTATTACCCCTCTGTGGAGTGTTAATCAATTAAGCCTCCATGTTCAGCCTCTTCCACCATTCAGATGCTTAAAAGCCAGAGGGACTGAAGTTGGAAAGCAGAGTGGATGTCAGGATTAAAGCAAAGGGAGCATCTTCCACTTTTGCTGGATTTGAAGTTTGCTTCTGATACATGTGCATTGTTTATTATCATTTATGGTTACTTTACAGGTTCAAAATGATGGAGAGTTGTTGATATTGGGTTTCAATCATACCATGAGGTCTTTGTCTTCCTGGTTGGCTATTTGTCTCTTTCCTAACAGCAAGATGTTTCCTTGCATGCTGTAGGTGCTGTATAATTGTGGACCCACTATCTGACTGACATCAGTAGCAGGTTCTTCTGCATGAGGGCAGAGAATGAAAAGAAACCCGATTAGGTTGCCTTATCCTGACATAGGTCGTGGTAAGATTTCAGTCTGCGCCAAGCTGAGCATGCTACACGGAAACTCTTTATTTATTAATTTATTTTGTCTGCCCACCCACCTTTCTTCACAGCTGCAAATGTCTTTTGATAACAACTGTGGATTATGAAGGGTGTTAGAAATGTGTTAGGAACAGAAGGTTCGGAATTCTGTTCAGCTGTTAATAACTTGTGAGTTGTGTCAGCGTGCATAGCAGCAGCAGGCACTGAGCTAGAGATGGTGGCATGGGCACTGCCTCTGGGCCCAATGCCCGTGGACCTCACTTTCAGTGAGGGTTTATCAGGGGTGCTGCTAGCCACCTAAGGGAAGGGTCCTGTGTCATGGGATCCTGGAAGAAATCATGTGTCTGATGTCATCTGCAGAAGGAAAGGAGTTTTCTTCTCCCTTGGCTACAGTAAATCCATTTGTCAGCCAAATGTAGCACCAACTTGGCAGTCCAAATGGTCAGGATGTGAAGGGAATTAATAAAAATTTTATAGTAGCACAAATGAATCCGAAACAGACACTATAGGTAATGGGCTGTGTTCACTAAAAAAAACAAAAGTAACTGAATTAGTATCTCCTTTCCCTATTTAAGTCCAGGGAGAAGGGGCAGGATAATGTTTGTAAGGTCTTTTTGAGGAAGATGGTGTTGCATTGTCCCTGAAGAGGAAGGATTAGATAGTATTGTTTGCATTGCAGAAGCAAAAACTGTACATTCAGAGACAGAATTGGAGCTTTCCCAGAGACAGTTGAGGGAGAGACCCATTCTTCAGCATCCCCAGGTGCAAGGCTGTATTCCTCAAAACAGGCTGTGGGGAACAACATAGACAAGTATACCCAAAGCAGAGTGCCGGAGAGAGGGATAGCAGATGACAAGTACCAAGGGCCAGTGCTGGGCAGAGATGTCTGCAGATGGCTGCAGAAATAGAAAAAATAAATATCGGGACAATCATTTGACTCTATGGAAGGAGAGAGAGGAGGCCTCAAATTATTGAGATTCGTAGCTGGGAGCTTAGAGCAGATTAAGTCTGATTTTGAGAAATAAAGTAAAGTGACATTTATTGGATTCTGGTAGCATACCAGCTACATATTCTCGGAGAGGCTCGGAACGTCATAGAAACATGGGAGCAAAAATAAACAGATTGTTGATGAAACTCCATGTCATGCCAGCAACTGTACATAACATTAGAAACTTGTATTCTGAAAAATTCTGATAGTCCATGTTTTTATAGGGGTTTAGAATTTGTTGCTGCTCTCTAGCTTTCCTCACTAAGAAAGGAGAGAATAGAGAAGTAATTTGGGATCATCAGTCTATTTTGGTTTTTATATGGAAGCCACATTCAAGCTTGCCTCTTGTTGGAGATAAAGGTCTAATCTTAGAATCCATGTCTCACTGCCATGAAGAAGGCCAAGTGCTGTGGTTAAAGAGCACTCACTCTGGAGTAAAAGGCGTGTGCCTGGGTTCCCATCTCTGCTCTGCACCTTGGTAGCTGAAGGACATTGGTGAAGTCCCTTAGCTCTGCACTCTCATGTTGTCTCCATCTGGGAAATGCAGTTCTTAGTAGTCCCTACTTCACAGTGCAGTGGAGGGTTCAGATGTGATGGCACTTGCTTTTTTTCTTTTTCTTTTTCTTTTTTTTTTTTTTGAGATGGAGTCTCGCTCTGTCACCAGGCTGGAGTGCAGTGGCACAATCTTGGCTCACTGCAACCTCTGCCTCCTGGGTTCAAGCAATTCTCCTGCCTCAGCCTCCCGAGTAGCTGGGACTACAGGATCATGGATCATGCCACCATGCCTGGCTAATTTTTGTATTTTTAGTAGAAATGGGGTTTCACCATGTTGGCCAGGATGGTCTCGATCTCTTGACCTCATGATCTGCCCACCTTGGCTTCCCAAAGTGCTGGGATTACAGGCGTGAGCCACCATGCCGGGCTGGCACTTGCATTTTAATAGAGGAGAAAAGAAATACTTATTTCTGTCAATAAAGAAATATTACTCTAGTTTTAAGTAATGAAAAGTGATACAAAATAAGTCAGGCAACAGATTAGAGGGTTGGGCAGAGAGCGGTGGTTCTTTATGTCAGGCGGTCAAGGAAGGCTCACTTCCAGAATGTAAATTAGTACAGCCACTGTGGAGAACAGTATGGAGGTTTCCCAACAAACTAAAATAAAACTACCATATGATCCAGCAGTCTCACAGCTGGGTATATATCCCCCTAAAAGGAAATCAGTCTACTGAAGAGACGTCTGTGCTCACATGTTTGTTGCAACACTGTTCACAAAAACCAACATTTGGAAGCAACCCGAGTGTCCATCAACAGACTAACAGATAGAGAAAACGTGGTACATAGTGGAGTACTATTCAGTCATAAAAAAGAATGAGATCCTGTCATTTGGAACAAGCTGGATGGAATTGGAGGACATCATGTTAAGTGAAATAAGCCAAACACAAAAAAACAAACTTCCTACATTCTTACTTATCTGTGGGAGCTAAAAATTAACATAAGTGAACTCATGGAGATAGAAAGTCGAATGATAATTGTCAGAGGTTGGGAAGGGTAATGGTGATGGGGAGGGGGAAGTGGGGATAATTAATGGGTACAAAAATTTAGTTAGAATAAATAAGATCTGGTATTTGATACCACAACAGGGTGACGACAGTCAATAATAATTTATCATAAATTTGAAAATTACTAAAAGAGTGTAATTGGAATGTTTAAAATGCAAAGAAATGATTAATGCTTGAGGTGATACCCCAGCTACCCTAATGTGATTACTATACATTGTATGCTTGTATCCAAAGACCTCATGTACCCCATAAATATACACATCTACTATGTACCCATAAAAATAACACAGAATAAAATTAAAATAAATTAAGAAAGGCTCACTCTCAGATGGCCTTTTGGCAGAGACTACTGGAGGTGGTGGGGGCAGTGCAGAAATGAGCCGATACACATAAAGCCCAGACTATCTTTCCCGCACAAAGTGAATGTCCCATAACTGCCTGCTGCCCTGTTCCTCAGATATACAGAATCTGATTCAGGACAAAGTGTCTGTTCAGGAACATAGAGCTTGGTAGGATAGACTTTTTACTGTCTTTCTTGTATCTAAGTCTGTAAGTCCACAGGCCTCTGACATTAACACAGGGCATAATAATTTTCTACCTTGGAGATGCTTTAACTATCAAGGCATGGCTCTTGAAAGACTGGACAAGCAAATACAAAGAATGAGATGTAAAAGAAACAAGGGGATACACACAGGGAAGATTAAAAAGAAAGCATGTTTGTGTGTGTGGCGGGGGAGGAGAGTGAGAGAGACAGAGAGGAGGAAGAAAGCAAAGATAACAATGGAAATGAGATGGGAACAGGTGTAGAAATGAAGAGACGCTTTTTAAAAAATTTAATAAATATAAAATAATAAACACAAATATAAACTATATAACTCAAAATAAAGGATGTATTTTGAGTTAATGGGTTGCAGTGGATTCTCAGTGGGTTTTTGAGCCCCGAGTTGCTTGCAGTGCATTAGCTGGACTGTGTAAGGAATTGGCTCCCAGAAAGGCAGGATCATTTGTTCTCAGTTCTGTGTGTTCCCTACCCTCCTACTGCTCTGATGTCAACTTTTGACATTTTCCATCGTGCAATTTATACACTATCACCTGCCAGCCTTCCCATAGTACTCGTGTTTGTTTGATCTCATACAAACTCCCCTCTCCGATCTGTTGATGAAATAATAAATCTGGGACCTTTGAAGATGGTGCACTGCAGGAGAGCACAAATGAAAATCTTTCCTCGATACTTAAGCGTTATGAATGCCGAGCCCCCAGTGCTGATTTGGTCTACATTGTACACTTCCTTTTAGACACATTTAGACAAATCCATCAAGCAGGAGTCCCTAAAAGCCTGTAATTTTCCAGCCAATATGGGCAACACACCACATTGGTAATGGAAGATTCTTGTAAAGCAGCATGATCCTGAGCAAAGCTATCTATTTATTTGATTTAAATTGTTTTAAGTACTTTTGAGTTCCTGGTGCGATGGCAGGAAGCTCACATGATTTAACTGGAAGTCATAGAACTGACCCTCGAAAAACTTACTGTCCCAAAGAACATTGCTTATTGAGGACACTCTTATTTCCAAAACACGTTTTTGATCTCTCACAGCACTAGCTGAAAATCTGAGCAACTCAATGGGTTGTTGAGTACATTTTAGGCTCTTTAACCTGGAATTCACAGTTTTCCCCAGCCTGAGTTCAGGAATCTTCCAGCCTATCTCACTTTTCTCTTTCATGGAAACCTTCTGTTCTGACCCCATTGGCTAACTCATAGCTCCTGAAGGCTACCGGTCCTTACAAACACAATCCCTGCTGTCCATACCAATCCATTCTTGAGAAGTTACTGCAAACCCCACTTTTTCCAAGCATCCTCTTGCTTGTTTTTTCTTCTAAATACACTAGTTTTTAAAGTAGTTTTAGATCACAACAGAATTGAGAGGAAGGTACAGAGAGTCTCCATATACCTATGTCCCAACACGAGCATAGCCTCCCCATTATCAACACCCCCCACCAGAGTGGCACATTTGTTACAATTGATGAACCTACATCAGCACATCATTGTCACCCAAAGTCCATAATTGGCACTGGGGTTCACTCTTGATTCTATACATTCTGTGGGTCTGAACACATGTACGATGCCATGCATCCACCATTACAGTCTCATATAGAGTAGTTCCACTAAAAATCCTCTGTGCTCTGTCTATGCATCTTTCCCTTCCCTTACCCCCTGGCAACCAGTGATCCTATTATTGTCTCCAGAGTTTTGCCTTTTCCTGAATGTCATACAGTTAGCATCATACAGCTCATACAGATTCCTTTTTAGATTGGCTTCTTTCACTTGGTAATATACATTTAAGTTTCCTCCAGGTTTTTTTCATGTCTCAATAGCTCGTTTCTTTTCAGCTCTGAATAATATTCCATTATCTAGGTATATACCACACCTCACTGCTCCTTTTAAATCTCTGGTGGTTCTTACTGTCTAAACCTACTCTGTCAGATGCAGGAGCCACTAGCTACATATGGCTGTTTATGTTTAAAATAATTTAAATTAATCACAATTAAAAATTCAGTTCCTCAGTCTCACTAGTCATTGAAACTGTCAATAGCCACAAGTGGTGAGTGATTACCGCATTTAGACAGCCCAGATGTGGAGCATAGAAGGTTCTATTGGATAGTGCTGCTATGGACTATTGACTTGGTCATTAGATATGATAATGTATTGAGGTTCTACTGTAGTTAAATACTTTGCCATATTAACATGCATTAACTCATTTACTCTTACTAACAACTGTGAAAGGAAAATAAATCTCAGGACCCCGAAATCACTAAGCCAAAGGGAAAAGTCAAGCTGGGAACTGCTTAGGGCAAACCTGCCTTCCATTACATTTTTGGAAAGGGTAACTACTAAGATAAGGAAGCTACATACCTCCCTCACAATTTGTCCATAAGGAAATTCCTTGTGGACAAAGGACAGACAGGACTCAAAGTCATCCCTCTGCTCACATGAGACAAATGCCTATCTGATTGCTTCCTTTGCCCTATCGTTTCACTAAGCCAGATTAAGGCATAAGTGACTATTCCTGTAAATTGTGTATTCAGTGAAAGGCTAATCAGAAACTGAAAAGAATGCAACGATTTGTGTTTTATCTAGCTATGACCTGGAAGCCCCCTCCCAACTTCGAGCTGTCCCACCTTTCTGGACCGAACCAATGTACATCTGACATATATTGATTGATGTCTCATGTCTCCCTAAAATGTAGAAAACAGAGCTGTGCCTCAACCACCTTGGGCACATGTTGTCAGGGCCTCCTGAGTCTGTGTCATGGGCGCGTCCTTAACCATGGCAAAATAAACTTTCTAAATTGATTGAGACCTGTCTCAGATACTCGGTTTACACAACCAACTGAGGATGGTGCTCTTATAATTCCCATCCTGACTCCAAGGCTCTGCTCTTACATAAGTCATTGTCCTACCTCCCATTTGCTGTGATATCTCCTGTCTCTCATTGCCTCAGATTTTACTTCATTTCTAATCATAAAATACCTAAATTGAAAATGGCCTGCAGATTGTCCCTCCCAACACTCTCATTATATAGATGAGAAAACAGAGATCTCAAAATGGGAATACCTTATCCAAGATTGCAAAAGTCAGATCTTTGGCAGAAGAGGGATGAGAAGTGAAGTTCCCTAATTGCCAGTCCGTTGAAGCCTTGTTTAGCCCTGTTTTCTAGAAGGTGGGGGTTGTTTCACAGTTTTGTAGCCCCATAGCAATTAGTATAAAGCCTTTGAATTAGATAGTGTTTGAGACAAAAGTATGCATCTGCATATAAAGCCTTTGAATTAGATAGTGTTTGAGACAAAAGTATGCATCTGCATTTGTCACAGGGCAAGAAGAGCAGGGGGTGTGGTCTAGTTTCCTCAAGCAGGGAGTTGTGGGAGGTAAGATTAAAAGTATCTTTCACACACTTCCCTGGGCTGAAATCTGGCTTCTTCTCAGGACCCAGAGCAGATGTGAGGTGATGTTAAACAATGAGGTGGTAGGCAGTCAATGACAATAACTTATTTATTCAACAGCATTCAACAGATATTTATTCATCGAGCACCCCCTGCATGCCAAATGCTGAGATGGGTTCTAGGGTCCAAGTGTCAGTAAGAAAACCTGGGAAAAGATGTGCACACTCAAAACTAACACTAGGAGACAAAGGACAGTTGGGAGCAGCAGGAGCATGGCTGGGGATGGGAGGAGGAAGAACAAGTTGTCTTTTGCAAAGACAAACCCTGAGGCTGATGAAGCGGCCTCCTCAGAGAATGCCTGGTAAATGCTAAAAGCGAGATCAATTTCTGACTTTTCCACTGTGCAGGAGAAGCCTCCTGACCTCAATGGAGGATCCCTGAGCTATAGGACTGACGGGGGCTTCATATTTGCAGCTGGAATTTACACGCGCCTCTGCCCTCTTCCACGGCCAAGGTTCCCTTCAAATGGACATTTGAGCATGCTCTGATTCTCAGCACTCCCTGGGGAAAAGAAAGAAGAAACCGGGCTGGCAGAATGGAGGTGAGGGAGGAGGTGGCTGTCTTCAGTATGTACTCCCCTCCTGAGCCTGGCCAAGAGCTCATGCACTCTTTCCCCTGCCTTCTTCCTCTGTGTGCCCACTCTTCTGTCACTGTTCCTGCTCAGCCCTCCCTTCTGCCTTGTTTCCTAGCCATCATCCTACTCCAGACCCTGATTTCTAACGACAAAATCTCAGAGGATACTGGCTGCAGCCCAGGGGTGGGTGTTTCCCACCTTTCAGCTCATCTTCTTACCCCCTACCCTTGTCCTGTCTGGTCTATTCTCAGCCCTCTGACCAGAGTGACCCTTTTAAACATTGGTTGCATCATGTCATTCCACAACTCAGAACTCTCTAATGGCTTCCATCCACCCTGAGAGTAGACTCCAGCCCCTTTCAAAGGATGACAAGGCTTTGTGGCCTGACCCCCAGCTGTCACGCTCCCTCCTGCTCAGCCAGTTCCAGCCAAACTGGCCTTCCTGCTGTCCCTCAGGCATCGTGAGCACGCCTGGCCAAGGGCTGCGCTCAGCTCTTCCCTCTTGCTGCACACTCCCCGTAGCTCTCGCTCCTTAGTGTCCTTCACTAGAGACCAGCTGGGTTAGACAGAGAGCTCCCAAGGAGAGAAGATGGGAAAGACGGCCAATGTCACCTTCTCAGAGCACTGTTCCTCAACATGTCTGGTTATCTGCAGCCTCTTTACTTGGTTTGAGTGTTTTTCTCCAGAGCACATATCAGACACGGCTGAATCCAGGGGCTCTGTCACTTTGGAAATCTTGCCCGCCATGCCCTGTTCCAGTGTCATTCCTCTTTCCCCAGCATTGCAAGAGGCCACCTGCTTCTCTCGGCTTTCACCCCCACCCAGCATCCTCCATGCCAAGAACATGCTTCCTAGCCAATGGTTCCTGGAAAAACACAAGAGCTGACTCCCACGGGGCCACGTTGAGATGGGGCCTGTTTACCACTCTGCGTGGTGAGCGGGGAGGACTATTCTGCCTAACTAGGCCTGGGCCTCACATCTGTCTCTGAAAGGAAGTGGGAGTAGAATCAGCTCCTCCCAAAACACAGGGCTTGAGATGGACAGGAAATGGGTCCCGAATGAAAATCTAGGCCCAGTCCACCCATTAGGAGAAGAGGAAATGAGTACTGAACATGTGAAAAGAACCCATATTCACTAGACCCTGCAAACCCTTCCACAAGTGCGTCCAAGCCTCTTCTCCCTAGGGCCATCCTGTCTGCATCCTGCAATTGTTTTGAACTCATTAAATATCCCTTCTGATCTGCTACTTTCCTGTTTGTAAGTCTGTGGTCCTTAGAGGTTAAAGTCCAAATATCCTAAACTAGCATTAGAAGCCCAGCACAGTGGCCTGGCCTCTCCCCTCTGTCTCTGTGTGGCTTCTCTGTGTGGTCCTCCAGATACACTCACTGCCTGCTGTTGCTTCCCATGCTTTTCCTGATGTGCTATGGTGCCTGTGACCTCCTATGTGAGAACTTCCTGCAACGCTCGGACACACTTTGCTAAAACTCTTTAGTGTTTATCATCTCCACATTCTCTGTATCTTCTCTTGCGTTGTTAGGTGTTCACTCGCGACTTCGCCTTCCATTCCCCCAACCCTGCTGTAGGCTACTTGAGAGTGGGGGCCATTTTGCATATTCCTTAGTAGCAAAAATGCTTCCTAGCCAATGGTTCCTGGAAAAAACCTTAGCATATGTTGGGAACTCAAGAAACCATTACTGATTGTGTAAATGCCATCGTCCTAAATTTCAGCCTTATTCCAAAGAAGCTGTTTCCTCTTCACCAAGTCTCCCAGATGGATGCCTGGACCTAGGGTTGTGTTGCATTGAGAAGTCAATGGGTCGTCTGAGAAAGCTGAAAACTGAAAGACTCTCCACTCTGTATCCCCAGCTTCTCCCTGGCTCCTTTTGCAAAGTTAGGATTTTCTCACCAGGGTTTAATATAATCCCCCGAATTTTTGCTATTTGCCTTCTGTTTTCTGGAGACAAGTTCCAGGGCTCTCATCTGGGCTCAAGAGAGTAGAATGTAGATATTCAGAGAAGCAGAATGACCTGCTTTCTGCATCTCTACCCTCTACTCCACTCCTCACCAATTTTGTGTCTCTCAGAGCTCTGCTCCTGTTCTCACTGTCTCTCAGGTACTGCTGGGTATAGTAAACCTTGTCTTCCAGCAAGGAGGTCGGGCTGGATAACTTACTAGCCACGTGACCTTGAGCAAATTATTGCTGTGACCTCTCTGAGTCTCAGTTTTCAAATTTGTAAAATAGGGATATAATATGAATTTCACAACGATTATGCAGATCAAATGAATAAGGAGTGAAAAAGCTTCTAACTGTGCCAGACACAAGGTAAGCACTCAATAAATATTAACTGCTTAGAATCTCTCTGTCGGACTCTGCCTCTCTTTCATTACAGCTGACATGAGGTTGCCATCTAGTGGGCTCCCTGCTGACAGCTGTGAAGGGCTAAGCAGTGATGGGTGCCCCACAAGGACCAAGACCCCAGGGGCTCCTGAGGCAGGCAGCTTGGATGTCTGCCTGAATCTGAGTGTAAGCATTTGGATTTCTCGCTTGTGTGGCTCCATAGCTCAGTCCTGAGGCGAGATCTCTCACACATCTCTGGCGGCTCCTTCCTAACCACGGAGAAGAAACCCTAACCTGACTCTCACTTGGCTCTTGGTCATGCTTCCCACCAACTCCTGCTTTGTGCTGTAGTGGCAAGCAAGGCACGAAGGCTCTGTTTGGTTTGGAGAGTTCAGTTTTATTAAGCTCCAGGTCTCCCCTATTTTCAGCAGTTTTCCTGATTACCAGATGGATTGGGTGTGCTGAGGGGGCATGGCCAGTGTTTCTATGGAGCAGAATACCTTTGAGTGAATGGGAATCAAACAAAACCAAGAGTGCCTCTTTGAGACTAAAATCCTACTATCAAAACAAGCCTTTGGCCAATCAGAACCCTGTTCTTAACCATAAAGAAATTGAGAAACTTGAGGCCACAGAGGAGGAAGAAATTCACCAGCAGGCAGAAGTCATTAACACCACACAGCATGTCAGCACTGTTATGCAGATGCCCCTCCAAAATTATCACTGTGGGCATGCGGCTGGGAGAGTCCTGTATTGGGTGCCTGCCCCACAGAGCTCTGGGACCACATCAACATGTCAAAGCATAATATGAAAGGGTCTCAGGAATCTTGAAGGAAAAACATGCTTAACTTTAGCTGGGCTTTCATCAAATTAGGTTGGCAGGAAAATGCTTTTTTTTTCCTGCATAACCGCTATTAACACTCCATAGAGCTATTGTTTCTCAGAACATATTGTAAACAATACAGAGTTATACACAGCTCTATGCTAGATTGTGTGTAAAACTGTAGGAGTTCATTCATCCACTCAAACATATTTCTGAGCACCTGCTGAGCACTAAACCCTGATGCAGCAATGAGAAGAACACAATTCTTTCCCTCGTGGAGCTTGCATTCTTGGGGGTAGAGACAGGCCATAAGTGAATATGTAAAACATTTGATACATCAGATGGTGATGCGTATGGTGGACAGCAGTAATCTCTACCTGATGTGAAGTGGACAGGGGTTCAAAGGGTGAGGGTGATGGACTGATATTTTACATAGAGTGGTCAGGGAACTTTCTGAAGGAGATTGGCCATGTGGTCATTGGATGGAAAAGCATTCCAAGCAGAGGAAACATCCCTGAGGGCCTAGTTCCAGAGGCTGGAATGTGCTTGCTGCATTTGAAGGATTGCAAGGAAGTCAAGGAGCCTGTCAAGTGAGAGGTGGGGTGTGGGGAGAGGAGATTAAGGGATAAAGGAGGCAATGGTCAGAGTGGGATATTGAAATGATATTGGAAGAGGCTTCAAGAGTGGGGAGAAGGCAGGGAGGTCAGGAGTGAAGGAAAGAGTTGAATCACGTCTGGAGGATGGGTAGAGTGTGGATATTTAAAGAAAAGAAAGGAAGGAAGGAAGGAAAGAAAGAAAAAGAAAGAAAGAAAGAGAAAGAAAGCTTTCTAGACATGAGCAACAGTCATGAAGAAAGATGGAAGGTTGAGAGCAGAGTGTGTCCTCTGAACTTGGCTTCATAGGATGTGGGTTCAAGCCCCATGTGTGTACCTCAGCGTCCACAATGACAGAATGGGAGAGTGGCACAGACCTCCCTGTGATATGCAGTTAATTGTGTGCCAGCATGGCACGTGCTAAAGAAAGGTGAGAGTGCATTATTAAGAGAGGGAGATTTTATCAATGACCCTGCAGAAACAGGTGACTCAGGGATCCAGCACTTCCCCAGCACCAGAGGTGAATGTATGAGCTGCAGTTTTCCTTCCTGATTTAGGGAGAGGCAGGTGGCTGGTCTCTGTGACAGGTGTATGCTTTTCTTGGTCTAAATGGCTTCTCTCAATCCCAACGCCTTAATGAGATATTAATTAGGTATTATTGTCCATCATATTTTAGAAAGTGGGGAACTATGAGAGCACTTAGATGTTCGAAGTATTTCGGCAAATCAGCTCTTGGAAGAAGGGTTGAGATAGAACTGCCTGGTTCTGTTCATATTCTTGTTGAAAACGACTCATTTCCAGAAGTTAGATAAGCTTTCTTTTTTTATTTTTAATTGTGGTGAAATACATGTAACATAAAATTTTTCATATTAACTATTTTTAAGTGTAGAATTCAATAGTGTTAAGTACACTCACATTGTTGTGTAACCAATCTCCAGAAGTCTTTTCATCTTACAAAGCTGAAAGCCATTAATCACCCATTAATCAACTCCCCATTCCCCCTTCCCCCAGCTCCTAGCAACCACTCTTCTTTCTGTCTCTGTGACTTCAGCTGCTTTAGGTACCTCATGTCTCTGACTTCAACTGCTTTAGGCACCTCATGTAAGTGGACTCATACAGTAGTTATCTTATTGTGATTGGCTTTTTTTTCATGTTGCATAATGTCCTCAATGCTGTAATGTGTATTCACATTCATCCATGCTGCAATGTGTGTCAGAATTTCTTTCCTTTTTAAGACTGAACAATATTCAATTGTAGATATATTTGTTTAACCATTCAGCTGTCAAAGGATGCAGCTTGGGTGGCTTTTGCCATTTGGCTATTGTGAATAATGCTGCTATGAACATGGGTGTACAAATATCCGTTTGGATCCCTATTTTCAATTGTTTTAGGTATATGCCCAGAAGGAAAATTGCTGGATCATACAGTAATTCTATTTTTAATTTTTTGAGGAACCTCCATACTGTTTTCCAAGCAGCTATGCCATTTTACGTTCCCATCAGCAGTTCACAGGGGTCCTAAAATCGATATATCCTCCTCAATACTTATTTTCTGTTTATTATTATTATTTTTCATAGTAGCCATCCTCATGGGTATAAAGTTGTGTCTTGTTGTGGTTTTAATTTGCATTTCCCTAATGATCAGTGATGTTGAACATTTTTTTCATGTGCTTATTTACCATTTGCGTACCTTCTTTGGAGAAATGTTTACTCAAGTCCTTTGTCCACTTTTTAATATGGCTGGCTGTTTGCTAGCCAAGCATTTTTATTGACCACTGAGCTAAGGTAATAAGTATAAAGAAATAGGCCAAGCTGGGCTAAGAGTTTATCTGTTCAGACTCCAACATTCCAGCTGGTGACTTCCTCACCAACTCACCGCCATGATCAAGCCTCATGCTCAGGGTGGCTGTGGATGCTCATGGTGAGAAAGGAGTGACTGGTGAAACCAGGAAACCAGGGCAGACTTCAGGACCCCAGCTTTTATCCAAACTGAGGTTGAAAGATAAATTATTTGTGTTAAAAACGCAACAACAAACAACGACGCGTCCTTTTCCTTTTGCCCTCTCGGCCCAATCTGAAGCATTGCCACTACAGCCACCCCAGCAATTATTACCATTTCCCTCTAACTGTCACTGTTACTATCCCCAGACATGGATCAAGGGCTTACTGCGTCTCACATATGCACCCCAAGTGCTTAATACATCTGGCGCCCCTGTGGCTAGAATCAACCTGTATTCAAATCCCATAAGTGAGAAATAACCAGCCATTCAAGTCATTTGAATGGCTGAATATACTACATGTCTGAAAATGAGAAGAATATCTGAGTGTTTCTTTCTCTTATGTTTTCATCCGTACCAGAGAATAATGAAGCTTGTCTTTAAAATTTTTAAACAGAAGCTTTGGTCAGGCTGGGTGGTTTACAGAGATTAACTTAACCTCCTTGTAGTGTTCAGAAACTAACCAGAAGGCTCTCCGAAGCCAAGCAATTTTATAATTAAGTGGTAACTGTTTTTTTTTCTTGGAGGGCTTTTTCTTTCCTGGGTAGCCTAGAGAAAGATAAACAGCTGCAGGAATCAATAAGCATCAAGGTCATAGGCTGAATTATTTACTGATTCTCTGTTGTTTATCTAAAACTTTCCTCTCTACAAGGAAAAACTGTGTCTACTTCACAGAAGATTTAGAACGTACCTGGTTTAGTTTCACGGTTGTTGTTACTGTCTTTACCCTTTTAATGGCTGAGCAACATCACTGCCTTCCTAACAGAGCCTCGCAAATGGGAGAATGGAAGGATCTGATGACCCGGCTCATTCACCAAGCTGGGTCAGGATGGGGGAAGCCTGAATGGGCTCTGAGCAGTAGGAAGCACAAGGTGGGTGAGGTGAACCACAAAAGATGTGAGCCAACTGCACACAGGTTCATCATTGTGCATCTCCCTGGCGGCTGCAGCGTCTTCCATCGGGTCTCCAACTTTCTTCTTTTCCATGCTCCACCCACAATGGATTCTCCAGTCTATCATCAAAATGGTCTCTTCTCGGCTGGGCGTGGTGGCTCACGCCTGTAATCCCAGCACTTTGGGAGGCCAAGGCGGGCAGATCACGAGGTCAGGAGATCGAGACCATCCTGGCTAACACGGTGAAACCCCGTCTCTATTAAAAATACAAAAAAGTCAGCCGGGCTTGGTGGCAGGCTCCTGTAGTTCCAGCTGCTGGGGAGGCTGAGGCAGGAGAATGGCGTGAACCCGGGAGGTGGAGTTTGCAGTGAGCAGAGATGGTGCCACCGCACTCCAGCCTGGGCGACAGAGTGAGACTCTGTCTCAAAAAAAAAAAAAAAAAAAAAAAAGATATCTTCTCAACCCTCATGTGTTAAGACTTTTGTGAAGAAGTCTTCTGGGCCTTCCTCGTCCTCTCTGGAGTATCTAAATCAATCTACATTCTCTGTGAGTGCTGCAGCTGCTGTCCCCCTGCACATTTCCTGGCCACAAATCCGGTTGCTCTCTGCCTTTCTCCCTAAACTCTTACCATACATCTTTGAGTTCCTCAAACACACCTTGCTCTTTCCCCTCAGGTTGTACTCAACTGTTGGTTCTGCTGGAATAACTTACCTCTCCTTCCCAGGGCAGGCCCTCCTCATCCAAGTTCTAACAGCCCATACCTTTTGAAGCTAACACATTTCACAACCCTCATTAGTGGTCTTGAGTCGTTGCAGGTGAAAAACCATGTCCACGCGATGTCTATTATATCACTAATAATAGTTCAATGCTGAGCCCATAATAGATAGTCAATAAATATTTGTGTAGCTAATAAAGGAGTCTCGTAAGTTACCATGGACTACTGAGAAAGAAAAAGAGCTCAGAGAAATGTCGCCCACTAAAATGTTGCTGTAAAATTCTAACTGCCTGTCTGAAAGCACCTTGCTTGCCTTTGATTGAACTTCACACTGACAGGAAATAGGTGTGACTGCTGCAAGAAAGCACAATATTTTAAAATTTAGTACTAAAAACTTGATATATTAGGAGACAGTTGTCTATTCATGAGGATTGTGATTCCTCTAAGCAAAACTGGCCACTTCCGTGTATTTTACTATTGGATCAATTTGTATACAGCCTTCAAGGAATATACCAGTTCTATAAAACAACAAGACACCTGTATCAAAAATACCCACTTTTTGATGGGTCACTAGCTCTTTCGAATATTAGCATGTTGGTTATCAGAGAAGGGAGTACAAGGAGCTTGGAGGGACAATGTAATCTTGATATGCCGGCCCTCTACCAATTCTGAATTAGCTGAGTTAGAAGCACCTACATCCAAAGTCAAATTGACTTATTGTTATTTCATGTTCTTTTCAGGCATAGTCACAGTTTGTTTTGTTTTTTCCTGTGGTAGGTAAGGCTGATAGGTAGCTCTGAGTTTGCTAAAGCACCTCTATAAATCTAAATGGTGCCAAGTATTTGGATGAAAGCTATTTGAGATTATGTAAGTAAAATATCTGCATAAATAGCACAGGAGTTTTCTTTTCACTTGTATTTTGGGTGCTTTGCAGATGAATTGAAAACATGTGGTTTCCTGGTTGGAAGATGTTACTCTCAGGCCTTGGGTGTTAATTGTGGTTCCAGGCCAGGCACCAGATCCTTGCTCAGTGCTCTCTACTAGCCAGGAATGGTTTTTGAAAGAGCTTCTTGATCTGCATTAAGGGTGTAGATCCCAATGATGTATTCATTTTCTCTTTTTCCTTTCTCTCTTCTTCACCCCAGCAACTATTAATGAACTCAAAATCAATCTGTCTGGTTGCTTGATGAGATTAGAGGACTTTCACTTGTCTTGTAACTGCTCATAGGAAACCAGATGCAGCAATCAGTTTATTGTGAACTCTCTTTCTCTCTCTGTATCTCTGCTATTGATTAAGTAATGCCACCCTGGGGCTTGTTCCTGATAAAGCTGCTTCAGAGAAAGCAAAATGATGGGCCTCCACACAATCCTGGCAATTATTCTCCATCCCAGCACCAGAGCAGGGATGGCTTAACATAAGCAAGGCAACATGTTGATGCTAAGCAGTCCCTCCTGAGAATCTTGGTTTTAATCTGCAATAGTGTTTATTTTGAGACAAGATTTTTCCAGAGGTTAGGCAGGGGCTGGGAGGCTCTACAGGCTATACCACTGGCTGTTTGAAAGGATTCAAATAACTTGATAGTAGGAATCCAATTCAGCTTTGCTGAGTGTTCCAAACTCCAACCCTTCATATGATCTTAATTATTCTAATCCTAATATACAGGGACTGAAGGTTAGTTATGTCTCCATAATGACTCCTGAGGACAAAAGGAGAGTGTTAGAAACAGGAAAACAGGGGCAGCTGAAGCTGGGAGGCAAGAAAATCTGCAGCCCAGAAGAAGCTAGGTGTGGGGCCAGGCTTAGGAAAGCCTGTGTAGTATGGAGAACTGGAATCTATATATGTCTATTGTTTTCTTTTACTGAAAATCCGCATTAACAGCTTTCCCTAGGGGGTCTTCACTTCTTTAGAGACTAACAATCAACTGCATGTGTTTTAAAGAAGTAAGTGGACTCTATCATGGATAAAGTTCGCGACAGTAAAAGTAGGGGCTGGATTCTTTTCCAGAGTCCTTGTTCCCAGTTTAAAAAGTAACAGCAATTTCTCATTGTTTTCTTTAAATAGGGATAATACAGGGATTGCAGGAGAAATTTGAGTTACTACACAAATTTATCAGCTCTCTTGGGCAAAGAAAATTAAAGAGGTACTATACAGTATTAGTTAGGATTTATTGTAAGCTGCTATTACAAAGAAGGCCACCCAGTAATGTAGAGCTTAAACAAAAATGGAAATCTCAGCCACTTTATCACAGTGTTTCTCAGCCAGTGGGAAGATGGACAGAAGCATGGAGCTCACATACAGATTCCTTTTAAAGCACAACCAGGAAATGACAGAGCTTTGTCACATGGCCGCACAGCCAGGCAAGGCTGGAAAGTCAGCCTTCCGCTGGGTACCAATGTTCCGAGACTAAAGACAGGAGTTCTGCTATTAAAGGAAGAAGGATAAAGTGATATTGGTGGACAATTTGAAGGCTGTGCCACACGTAGAAGTAAAGTAAGACAAAATGGAACTCAAACTAACATATCAATCTGCTTGGATCAAGATAGCAACTGAAGAATAAAAGAGAAGGACTAAAGAGAACTTTAGATAAATAAAATAAATTAGATGAAGAGGGGCAAACAAAGTTGTATATACTGGAAGGAAGGATTGGAACAGGAAAGGAGTACATAGTCTACTTTCTAGTTTTTAAAAATTCAAGTCCAAAGTAGCTGAAACAGGGCTTAACTTTAATCAGCTGGGATGCTTGATAATAGGAATCCCATATGAAAATTCATTTTAATTGGGCTGGAATTGAAAATCTATAATTCTGTAGCCCTTTATTTTGAAATGCCCTTCTTTATTCATGGTAATATCTTTGGTTCTACTTCGTTTTTTATATTAATATAGCATCTCCAGCTTCCTTATGGTTAATTTTTGCATGACATATGTTTAAAGCACATCTTTTTTTGATATTAAAAGATTTCTAGTAGACAACATGTAGTTTGGTATTGCTTGTGTATTCAGTCTGACAACATTTGCCTTTTTCTTTGTGCATTTAGACCATTTACATTTAATATAATTATTGATATAATTGGTTTTAAGCCTATCATCCTACTACTTGTTTTGTATTCGTCTCATGTGTTCTTTAGATTTATTTCATCATTTTCTGCTACTATTTGGATAAAAGATAGATTTTCTACTATTCCATTTATATCCACCGTTGGCTTATTAGCTATATATCTTGTTTACTTTTCTTTTAATGGTTGTTCTAGGGTTTATAATATGCACTTAAGGTATCATAGACTGCCTTGAAATAATATTATTTCTTGTGTAATGTAAAAAATGAAATGAATGTCCTTACATTTCCCCCTCCCATTCTTTGTGCTGTTGTGATCATACATTTTACTTCTACATATATTATAAAATCCCATTATACATTGGTTTCTTTTTGCTTTGAACATTCATTTATCTGATAAAGAAATTAAAAAGAAAAAAGAAAATATTGGCCTCTTTAAGTGCTCTTTTTTTTATGCGTAGGTCTATGTTTCCATCTGTCATTATTTTCCTTCTGCCCAAACAACTTGTTTCAATATTTCATATAGGAATGATTTACTGGTAATAAATTCTTTCAGTTTTTGCTTGTCTGCAAAAGATTTTATTTTGTCTTCATTTTTAGGGACTATTTTCACTGAATGTAGTCTTTTTCTCTTTTTAATAGTTTTAAGATGTTATTCTATTGATTTAAAGCTTGCATAGTTCCCTGCTCCAATTTTTATTACATAAAGTGACTTCTTTTTCCTCCAGCAGTGTTTAATATTTGTTTAATATTTTGTCTTTATCACCAGTTTTAAGCAATTTGATTACAATGTGCCTCAGTGAGGTTTTCTTTGTGTTTATTCTGTGTGGAGTTCATTGACCTTATTTCATTTCTGAGTTTATAGTTTTTATAAAATTTTTTAAAAACTTGAGCCATTATATTTTAATAATAATTTTATACCTTATTCTCTTTTCCTTTTCTTTCTACTACTCCTGTTACATGTACATTAGGCCGCTAAATATTGTCCCCAAATCACTGTGGCTCTATTTATTTTCTTAGCAGTCTTTTTTCTCTGGATGCTTTATTTTAGGTAGGTTCTATTATTGTCTTCACGTTTACTGGTCTTTTCTTCCACAGTGTCTAATCTGTTGTTACTTTCACCCAGTAAAACTATTACTTTATAAATTGTAGTTTTTATTTCCACGGCAAGGGTTGGCAAATTTTTTTCTAAAAAACAAGCTAATAAATATTTTAGGATTCCCAGGCTAGTTTCCTCCTTTCTGGAACTCTGTCCTACAACATTCAGTTGCCACAGGTTTCTTGAACTCTGTTCTCTCTCCTTGATTCGTGAAGGCTATTACATATTGTTAGGGTTACCCTTCCTGAATGCAGTTTAGAAATTTCCTCCAGAAATGTTCTCTTCTTTCAGCAATTATTATTTCTTGTTTTTGTTGTTTAATGTCTGAAAACTGTTAATTCATACATTTTGTTTAGTTTTCTGATTGTTTATTATGGTCAGTTAAGCCCAATTTTTGTTACCCCATCATGGCAGGAAGCAGCAGCCTTCTCAGCCCTCCAAAAAGGAGCAGTCACAAGAGAATCCCTGTTGTATATTTACATGCAGCTTCTTAATATATTCTTCTATGACAAAATGGCTAATTGTTTAAGCCTCTAACTAATAGATGTATAATAAGTGAAAGAATCCTGGTAGGTTTGGTGATGTCTGACCTTTTTCATGGAATGATGCTACTCTAGGTTCAGTAGTGGTTGACATCATGAGATTATACAGAAATAGTAGTTGTAATCTGAATTTTTTAAATGGAGAATTAATGTTCACTAAAATACATTGGGAAAACATTCTGCTGAATACTGGCCAGTTATATCACATGGCAGAAATATTATTGAAAAAATAATTTTTACTAAAAACTCAAAATGACAATAGCAAGTATGAATTCAAAATTAGACTCATTTATTTCCATATTAACACTATTTTAAATACATTTATGGTATATATTTTGAATGGACTGAAACTATGAGGGACAAAGGAGGTGTGTTTCTGGGTGAGGGTTTAGTGTGCATAAGCAGGTATTCTAAATGAAGCCTAGTAATTGAAGTTTGATGCATGCTGTAGGGATTCTCCTTTGACTTAAATATTGAGCAGCCACGCAAGTTGTAGCTGAAAGAATAAATATCCGTTCAACTTTGTCTTTTAGTTCCTCCATGTTGGAAGCAGCTAGGACTGGGGACTGTCTGGACCTAGAGTTGGTGCTCATCGTCCTGATGGTGAAGGAAAGAGCAAGGCATCTGACTTATTTTGGAAGGTCTCTTTTTTGACAAACAAGATACTTTAGGGGGCTGTCTCTAAAAGGGTATATACACTGGGTACACAGTCATATTGGGGCTTCTCTGCAGAGGATATTTCAGAAGTTTTGCAGGTGGTCACTGTTTTGACAACCAAGGCATCACTGGTTTTATCAAAAGTGCAAGGCTAGAGTTGTCAAGTAGAGAAGCCAAGCATGTTGAATATTGAACCTCAATGCTGGTGTGACCTTGCATTGTGTTTTTTTTGTTTGTTTGTTTTGTTTTTTGAGACAGGGTCTTGCTCTGTCACCCAGGCTGGAATTCAGTGGTGCCATCAAGGTTCACTGCAGCCTCAACCTCCCAAGCTCGTGATCCTCCCACTTCACCCTCCCAAGTAGCTGGGACTATAGGCGCACATCATCATGCCTATATGCTAATTTTTTAATTTTTTGTAAAGATGGAGTCTCACCATGTTGCCCAGGCTGATCTTGAACTCCTGAGCTTAAGTGATCTGCCAACCTCGGCCTCCCAAAGTGCTGGAATTGCAGGCGTGAGCCACGGTGCCCGGTCAGTGTTTGTGTTTTGTTTTTGTTGTTTGTTTTAGTGATGAAGAGAAGAAAGAAAATCAGTAAGGAAAATTCCTGTATAAAGGCTGAAGTGTATTTTGTGTTTTTTCTTCCCATCATCCAGGGTTAGATAACCATAAAAGCACTCTTTTATAGCACTTAGGGTAAAAGATATTGTAAAAATATCCTCTGTGAAACACCTTAAGGTCATTCGAGACCAAAATTATTCCCACTGTACTTAAGCTTAGTTTCCATTTCTCATCTCCAGAAAAGTTGAAAGTAATACTACTTAGAAGTGGTCTGTGGACTGGGGCCAAGCCACAAAACGTGAGCTACATGTACAAACCAAAAATAAGCATTTAGAAATTTTCATAAAAATGTTTGTAACTTTATGTCTATTCCTTTTAATCTAATCATAAAGAATTTGGACTAGTACTTTACACATCTTTTAAGATTTTGTTTCATATTCCTGATAACTTATTTCTCTTTCTTTTCTTTTCCTTTCTCTTTCTTTCTTTCTTTCTTTTTCTTTCTTTCTTTTCTTCTTTCTTTCTTCCTTTCTTTTTCTCTCTCTTTCTTTTTTGATTTTACAAAAGTATTTGATCCACAATGGATTGGGGGAACAAAAAGAAAAAAACATCTTGGCCCTCCCTGTATTATTTGATTTTTTTGCAATTTCTTATGAATCTATAATTATTTCAAATAAGAAGTAAAAACAAAACCAAAATAGGACAAAAGAAAATGTAAATAAAAAGCTGGTCCTTGACCACAGATAGTTAGAGAATCAGTAGCCTTGGACCCAATCAGCTACACGTGGGAAGAGCAACTTATAAAGGAGAAAAAACATCTTAAGGTCATGGTCAGTAGTTACGGCTGGATTCATCGGGATATAATGTGGTGCTACCTTTTTTATCTGTTGTGTATTGCTACAATAATGCTGTGTAAGAAAAGCAAATAAACACACAAAGCCCTGTGGCATCAAACAATAGACATTCATTTACCTCACTGGCAACTCTTCTGGGCTGGAGTCTCATGTCTCTGCAGTCAGCTAGTGGCTCTCTGGGAGGAACTGGTCTAGGATGGCCTCTCATGAATTGTCTGGCCCCAGTCCCTGTGGTCTCCTATTCTCCAGCAGACAAGCTTGGCCTTGTTCTTATGACCGTCACAGGGTTCCAAGAGAGCACACAGAGGAATGCAAGGCCTCTCGAGGCCTGGGCTTGGAACTGGGATGCAGTCATTCTTACTGCAGGACCAGACTGGATTCTAGGAGTGGAGGAGTGGGCTCCACTTGAAAGGGCAATGGATAAAGAAAGGGAAAGGATTGGGGCCATTTTGAAACAGCTGACCAGGACCTGGCTCATTGTTTGAGCTTCCACATTCTCTGCGATATCAGGGTGATCTCAGATTCCAGATGCTAGTGCTTGTCATCCCTACCCTAAGGACTGCTGATGAAATATTGCCCCTTTCCTTCAAGTAACCAAAATAGACACAATTAATTGATTCGTGTACTCTGCTCATTAACTCGAATGTGGCTTTTAGAATCTTTCAGAATTGGATTTATGTGTTGAAATCTATCACTCAATACTACAATTATGGACACGCAGCAGGTGGCTCAGGAGTCCCACAGCCCCTTCAGAGGGTGCGGGACATGCACTGGTGGTTAGAGGTGGTGGTGACCATACCCTCTCAGATATAAATCTTGACCCTTCACAGGTTACTGTGGCCCAGTTACAAGGCCCGAGAGCATCTACTACCTATTGAAAAGCAGATTACAGCCAGACATTTGTCAAGGAAAATATGTTCTCCCACATAGGACAAGTAGCCTTAGGTTGCACTTGGGGTCTTCCAAGCTTCTCTGGGTGAAGACACAGTGTTTTTCTGTTAGTTTTGAGGTTATCAATTATAATAGATGTGGTTACAATAATAGAAGTTCTCAGGAATGGCATAAAAGGATGCTGAATGCTTTAGGTCACACACTGGGTCTGAATTCCAAGTATTCATAAAATCGTTTTGTGTATGTTCTCCCATAGTTTTGGAGAAAATAAGCAGAAGGCATGGGGACTGGAAGTTGTGAGGTACGATGAGGCTTTTGCTGATACAGGAATGATGTCCTCACCCACTGGGCCATAGGAGTGGCCTCCCAGGATCAAAGAACATGGGGAGCCAGCACTGGTGAGCCATGGAGACTGGGTGGGGGCGGGGTGGAATTCCTGACAAGGGAGAAGGTCTCCCTACCTTGGCATTCTCTGAGGTTTGCCTCTATAACAATGACAAAGCTTCCAAAGAACAATTATGGAACCCTGGGGACTTCAGAAAGGCAGAAACTGTTCATCACCTTTTCCTCCGCAGTATCTCTGTGCTAGACACTATAATAAGAACGTCACACAATCATTATGAACATTTACCCCATTCCTGTGAGACTCTAGCCACATGTTAGAGAGAGCTGAGAAAGAAGTTTTTTGCCCAAGGTTCCACAGGGGTCAGTATATAGCTCAGATATGTGACGCTGAAATTTATATCCTTAACCATTTCTAACACTCTATGGCCTTGTAAGGATTTGAGAACTGTGGAAAAGGCAGGGGTTAGTTTTGTTTGTCCCAGAGATAAACACAAACTTCCAAGGTGGATGAACTGCACAGACTTTGGATACAAGGGAAGGTTGAAGCAGCCATAGCTAAATCACAGGCACACCATGAACCTGAGCCACTTTCCTCTGTAGTCCATAGAAGGCACAACAGACCCCCTGTAGTCTTCCCAATGTGCTTTGGTCAACCAAGGAGGACTCAGCCCACTGAAATACAGGCAGACTAGGAAGGGTGTCTGTAGGGACCAGTAGAACAGGCTTCGGGGCTCAGATGCACGAAAAGCCTCTACAGAGGTGGGATTTGGAGATTGACAAGCTCCCTGGGGCTTCATAGAGGAAGAATTGCTCATTACACGAGTCCAGTGAAAGGGAGCTTGTGTGTATGAGAGCAGGCAGGGGAGGAAAAATACTATAAGGAAATGTAAACAGGTCCTAGAAGTCCATCTGGTCGATCATTCTGGGACAGCAACAGCAACCTGCCTGGTGTGAAAAGGTCCCCAACGTGGAAGCTGAGACATGGGCAGAGTTCAGATTTTAGAGAATGGTGTCCTTCAGCTCCCCAAAACCTCAGTTACCAGAACCAAGACAGACCATCAGAAGGGAAAGCCTGAGAATAAGGTCAGCTTGAGGTTGTCACGTGATGATCCCTCAGTTCCCCCAACAGAGGACTTTATTAGTTCCACTCCCCCCACACAGGCCTGAATCACTGCGGATTCATGCAGAGGGATCAAAATGTCCAGATATTGATGGCAGAAGGCTTGGGGCCAGGAGACAGAAAATCCAGATGGTTTTTATAGTTGAAAAGGGGAGAGATTTTTCTCATTCTTGGTGTATTCTCTGCCTCTATTTTGCTTTCATGCAGATCCAAGATTTCAGAAAGAGGGTCTGCCGAACTTTATTTAAATTTTTGTTCTTTTATGTTGCAGTATTTTGAATCAGTAAATTGTCACAGTTTTTTATTGGCTGGACCCAGGAAAGCATGAAACTGGCTGGAATTGCAGGAGATATTTGAGTTAGACACGTCAGAGGACTTCCTGGCCTGAAGGGCACCAGCATGAGAGAATAAAGTTATTTCTGTCGCTGTCATACTTGCTTTTTTTTCTCTGCCCTTTTCCTCTCTCTTTGGAACATTTTTTTCTCATTCCTCCTGCATTTCCCTCACTGATTTCAGCCAGGACGAAGAAAGAGCTTCATTACTATGAACTTGCTTGTGGCTGGAGGAATTGAAGTGGAGACGCTGACTCCCGTGAGCTTGGAGACTGCAGGGATGACAACCTTATGTTACATTGATGTGTTCTCATTTTTGTTGAGTATGACTATACTTCTGTACATTTTATTTCACTCTTTAAACATTTATGTTCCTGTGTTATGATTAATTAAGTGTAGTAAAATGAAGTGTTTGCAAAGTTAAAAAAAAAAAAAAAACCCTCACTCCTCTGGAGTCTTTGTACTGCACGTTCTTTTTGCTCTTGCCAGTCCTTATTTCTCTTTGCTCTTTTCTTCGATTTGTCACCTTTCTTTATTCCTTCCTTTTGTTCCTCTGGGCCGGTCCTTCAATCCCCACTCCATTAAAGGCCTTGCTGACGCAGAATACTTTCAAGGCAACAGGGCTTTATTCCAACTAGATAATCAACTCTCCTCTCTTTCCTCCTCTCCCCTCTCCTCCCTTTCCCTCCCCTCCTCTCCTCTCTTTTTCTCTTCTCTCATTTTCACTCATTTCATCTCCTTCTGTTTCTTCATGTCATCTGATACCTCCCATAATATGTTTTGGTTTTTGAGATGGAGTCTCCCTCTGTCACCCAGGCTGGAGTGCAATGGCGCGATATTGGCTCACTGCAACCTCTGCCTCCCAGGTTCAAGTGATTCTCCTGCCTCAGCCTCCCAAGTAGCTGGGACTACAGGTGCGTGCCACCACACCTGGCTAAGTTTTGTATTTTTTAAGTAGAGATGGGGTTGGCCAAGCTGGTCTCAAATTCCTGACCTCAAGTGATCCACCCGCCTCGGCCTCCCAAAGTGTTGGAATTACAGGTGTGAGCCACAGTGCCCAGCCCCATAATATGTTTTATCAAGATAATAGCAGTGACGACCACAGTCCATCTGTAATGTCACAAACCAAGGGAAACCCAGTGAGAGAGGCCAGCAGATTTCTCCTGGCCCCAGGTGCCTATTCGGTCAGCTAGGAAGATGAGTTAGGAGCTAAGAACATTCTTGGATCATCCTCTGACATGCAGGCCGACAGTCTTAATGAAGTAACTGGAAGTACGAGAAAAATTTACCCCCACACTTTATTGCTTAAACCTTCCTATACTTAATTCTGAATCAGTCAGAAGAAAGGCTTTGTAGAATGTGATTTTAGAGATGCCTCTATACATGGTTTAGTAAATTTACGAAGTGCTTCTGAAAAGGACTTAAAGCTACTACTGAACAAACACTCATTTATCTAAGTCAGTATTTCTCAAACTTCAAAGAACCTAAGGCGCACTTGGTGGGCTTAGTAGACTGAATTTTCCCAGGCCTCACCTCTAAAGAGCCTGGCTCAGGGTATCTGAGAAAGGAGCCAGGGAGCTGCATATTAAACAAGGTCCCCAGGTGATTCTGAAGCGGAAGGTTCACGGACTGCACTCTGAGAAGCCGAGTTTAAATGAATAAAAGCTGTCATTATTCTTGAGATGAAGGTGAGGAAAAAAATCGTGACTACTCCCTGATATCACACAAGTATTGAGTGCTCGCTGTATGTAAAGTTCTGTGCTAGGCACTGAGTGGGAGGCGAGGAAATAGATGCCGAGGTCCGTATCAGCAGTTCTCCATCTGTCTTTAATTGCTTCTCCAAGTTTTGAAACAGGGCTAATTTATCCATGTCACAATGTGCTTGGGTACCCACTTCTGCATTCGCTTTCCTAGGCCTCCTACATTCGGTGTTTGACTACTGTATAAACACAGAAACTAATCAGGAAAATAAGGTAATACTTATATTATTAATGGTAGTAGTAATAGTAGGAGTAGCTGAATGCAGGTCCTGGGCTATGTCCAACCGAAAGATGTCCTGTGGCCTATATGAAAATGATGCTAAACACATTTCATAGCATGGCCTTTCTTTTAAAATTCTTTGAACGTAGGAAAGATATCATGCATGCCTCCCTCTTGCCTTTGATCAGAAATGGTGTTTGCATGCCTGCCATTCTGCTTCTGACCACAGCTGGGATCTCGGAGCAGGGATCTCAGGGCTGCATCCCTGAGGTGGGCCTAAGCCCCAGTGGCTCCCACTGGGAGAGTTCCTCTGATGGCTTTAAAACTCCTCAGCAGTCACCCTGATTGCATGAGATCTGCTTCTTGCCTTCCTCTCAATGACGGTTTAGTAGTCAAAGATGAGTGGAATGTTCTTGTTGCATGTCTCAGGGCAAGATAATTTCCTTCCCTTTGTTTCACCTGCGAACTGTGCACACCCAGCCTAGAGCCAGGCTGGTCAGATGCTCTGAAACACCCGCAGGCTCCTGAGAGGCAGAGGCTGCGGGAGTGCAGCTCTTCAGTCCTCGGGAGTGTGCAGCTGCCAGGTGGGGGCATCAGGACTGGGGAATGTGTGTGTGTGTGTGTGTGTGTGTGTGTGTGTGGGCGCGCGCGCGCACGCGCACTCGTGCGTTTGTGTGTGTAGTCACAGCTGTGCCCATCCCTGCCCCAGTGAAAGCTATGGATTTAATCCCCAAGCGTACTCAATGAATCAAATGCAGGTATGGATTGTGGATCCCAGTAAGCCCGTCCATGTACTCCAGGTAAGAAATGCTGGTCAAGGTGGAGAAGAAATATCTTTGTATTTCTTGAATGTAAGTGGGGGACAAGGCCTAGAAAAGGTAGCTCTCAGAAAGGTGGGTGAGTCACAGAGGTGATTTGCACCACCTTAAACTGGAAGTTCTACGGACACTGGGAGTTCCTTTATGTGATATTTTAATCGTTTTCACTCTGGCCTGACAGGGTTCAAAGTGTGCATGAAAAAAAATCATTATTTAAAAATTAATGCATGTATAATATTTAATCACTTTTGTCCATTCAAAATATATTATACACATACATTTTTTGAGTGCCTATTAGTGTATTGCATAGGACTAGGGTGGTGGAGAAAGGAATTACTATTTATCAGTCAATTATAGGTTGAGTCTTTTAACTGATTCATTACTTTTCACAGTGATGCCGACGTGTTTATTTTTTACCCCCATCTTACAACGAGGGCGTAAAAGCTGAGAGAGTTTAGATTACTGACCCAAGATCACGCAGCTCGTGACAGTGGTACTGGTCTTGATTTCAGAAAGCCTTTTTTCTTTGCCTTCTGCCTTCTGCCCCGTGGCCTTGAACCACCCTCCTGTCAGGGGCCACGAAGGAATCACAGAACTGAGCACAAAATACAGCCCCAGGTGTGCCTCATCTGGTCCTCCCAGCAACCAGCCCAACTGGCAGCTGCAATCGGAATCACATCTCTACTGTAGAGAAGCCGAGTGAACATTTCCAGTTAGTGTCAGGGACAGTGCCAGCACCCAGGCAGCTCTATGCCTACCCCGTGTGCTTTCCACTGCCACTGTTACCTTACATTCCTACTGCGGACACCCACTACCTCCTGCAAACACATCCTGCTTCCGGCTGGTCCCTCCCACTGCCCTGCCTGCTCCGCTGGGAGGAGCACATCCCTGGTGCCTCACAGGATGGGGGCCTGCAATGCCTCCCTGACTCCAGGTGTATGTCTGAGGAGGTAACACCCTCTTCACTATTCATCACATAACAAAAAACTCTTTGGGAAAAAATAAATTAAATCCAGACCAAAAAAAAAAAAAAAAAAAACAGCAACAACAAAACGCAACCCTTTCCTCCAAGTTAATTAATTTGAGCACTATTTTCAGGAAAAGCGTTTCTTAAATCCCTATCGCTGAAGGCAATTTTCTTGCCACAATCAATCCGTGTTCCTGACAGAAAGGAGCATAATCACTCCTTGACAGAAGGTGACTGGCAGAAAGAGGGCTGAGGGGAAAGTGAGTTTCTATAGCCATGGAGGAGCTGCAAGCGCCTCAGAGGACACCCCGCCCCCAAGGAGGCTCTAGCGCCTGACCAGGGAGGTCTCTCTGCAGGGCATGTTGACTGCTGTGTGTGCGTGTGTGGGAGGCATGTGTGTGTGTGCATGTGTCTGCGTGTGCATATGCCTGTGCACATGTGTGCATGTGTGTGCATGCACGTGGGAGTGGTGTGCTGGTGGATGGAGAGAGGGGCAGGATCTTTGCCTCCACAGGGATCCTGGACACACATCGGATCCTTGACAGGGTACAGGGTTGCTGGCCTCGTGCAGGCTGGTTTGCCTGGGCCACACATGCTGGCATGTGCAGGGGTCTGCTGAACTCAAGGCTCTACCACGCATTGGAGGGCCACACGTCCTTGGTTCCCTCCATGCCTACTTTAATGCCTCAGCATCCTTCCAACTGCAAGTTGGAAGTTGCAGCTGGGCTCTCTCGGGGTTGGAATCGACTGTTATTGATGGGAGAGCTTTGATGGAGCTTTTCCCACACCTGGAAATGGGGGTAAAATGTACGATCAGCATGGGGGAGCATGCCATTTCTCCTTCTGCTTGGAGGCAGCCAGAAAACCGTCTCAGCCCCAGTGCCCTTAGCCATTAAGAGTAATAATAGGTTCCATTAATCAAGCAATCAAGCACTAGGCTAAGCATTTTATGTGTTTGCATACATTATTTCTTATAATCTTTCAACAACCCTGAGAAGTTGCTATTCTAATCACTAGTTTACAGATGAGAAAACTGAGGCTCATGGGGAACATGACTCACGCAATTCATGCAACACAGC
The DNA here is from genome assembly GCF_000001405.40 of Homo sapiens. Taxonomy (NCBI): domain Eukaryota; kingdom Metazoa; phylum Chordata; class Mammalia; order Primates; family Hominidae; genus Homo; species Homo sapiens. The sequence goes on from NC_000011.10 coordinate 131,236,718, forward strand.
CAGAACTTGATCCCCAGAACACATTACTGTCAAAGCCCTGCGCTTAACCAGTCCACTCTGATGCAGCCTGCTGTCCAGGTTAGGCACTCCTCGGGCCATGAGCTGATGCAAAAGGAATGGTGGTCCCTGAGGGGCCTCGACTGGGAGGACCTTTAGAATGAGGGGCTTCTTCTGTCCTCCAGAACTGAAGATTTATCTGACTTTGGATAGGGCAAGAATATTTTTCCTTCCCCAACTAACGGACAGAATTCATTCCTTCACTGGTGGGTGAAGTGATGCTAATGAGAGAGAGTCCCGTGAAGAGCAAAGCAACAACATCTGAATGTACCTGTGTGCACCGGGGCCCAGGTGAAGAACAGCAAATGGTAGGCAAAGGCCCACGGGATGCCTTTGCTCCTTGCCAGCGTGCTTACATCATCGCTGAGGCTCAAATGATTCAAGAGTAAATTAAGGATAAAATACTTGCCTCTCTGGGTTTTGTGAGCATTAAATAAAATAATATATGTAAATGGCTGAACACAGTGCCAGGCTTAAAGAAGTGCTCAGGAAAGGGTAATTAGCATTATTAATTATTTCCTTCTCCAGGTGGTAAGTAGCAGTTCCTGCTGCACTTCTGCACCTGTAAGCACCAGGGCTTGGAGCCGGGTGTGTCTAGATCCCATCTGGACCTGCCAGACTTGTGACATTGAGTACCATACTTCCCTGAGACCTGTGTTTCTCATTTGCAAAAGGGGAACTTCATGGTCTCTACCGTCTAAGGTGGTGTATAGGAAAAGGGAAAGAGGGGCTGGGCGCAGTGGCTCATGCCTGTAGTCCCAGCACTTTGGGAGGCTGAGGCAGGTGGATCACAAGGTCAGGAGATTGAGACCATCCTGGCCAACATGGTGAAACCCTGTCTCTACTAAAATACAAACAATTAGCGGGGCATGGTGGTGCGCACCTGTAGTCCCAGCTACTGGAGAGGCTGATGCAGGGGAATCGCTTGAACCCGAGAGGCGGAGGTTCCAGTGAGCCGAGATTGCACCACTGCACTCCAGCCTGGTGACAGAGTGAGATCCCGTCTCAAAAAAAAAAAAAAAAAAAAAAAAAGAAAGAAAAGAAAACAGAAAAGGTAAAGAGGAAAGAGGAGAGAACACATCTAAAGCACAGTGCGAAGTCATGGCACCGAGTAGGTGCTCAATAAACAGCAGCTATTTTTGTTATCATCATTATTATGCTTGTACTGCTTACGCATCAGAAAAATCTGTAGGTGTTGTCCAAGTTCCTGTTGAACCTAGGAGCTGCAGAGAGCATCTTCATTGCCTGGAGATGAGAATATCAGCACAATTCATAGTTCATTAGAGGAAGCGGTGTATTGCTAAATGAGTCCCCTAGGAGTTAAGGACACTTCTGAAAATTGTTTCAAGTCAGTCTATGGAGTATAAAGCAAGGACAGAAAATAGTCTTTTCCTCAGGCCTCTTTTGTGCTTATGTTTTGACTTTGGTCTGAGCACAGCTTCCATCTGAGGAGGTGCCTTTCTCCTCTCTTCTCCAAATCATATGGATTGGGGACGCATGACTCTGGGTCCTTGCACGTCACCTGAGAAGCATCTGCTAATAAGAGTGCAGAATGTGATCACCTTGCACTAGCCCCACGGCTTTATCCATATCCCTCAGCCTTGTCTCTCAGACCAAGCCAGACTGAGAGGTTTTTGTGTTTCTAGTCCTTCCTCTCCTATGTCCTAAATTTATTTATTTAAATTTTATGCCCTTCTCCATTTTGGATATATTTGTCTTCAATCCATCCATCTACACACGTTTGTCTAATTCAGTGGCTCTCAACCTAGCATATGTTTGAATCACTTGGGAGAATTTAAACATAGGAATCTGAATTGGGGGTGGGAAGGAGGGGTCTTGGGTATCGGTTTCTCTTTTACAGCTTCCCAGGTAACTATGCAACCCCATTTGAGAATTAGTAATCTAGTTCTTTCTCTGTGTTGGCAAAAATACCAGCCTTGCAAGATTGATGAGGAAATCCAAACTGAGATCATGTCTGTGGAAGCTCCTTGTCAGCTAGCTATACAGCAACATACATACATATGTCTCTTGTTGCCTTTGGCTTTTAGACAGATCTACACGTTGGCTTCCAGATGCACTGCTGCAGGTGAGCAGTGAACAGTTTTTGCTGTCAGTCCTCATCTCCCCACTTGCTGCTTTCCACAACCTCCGTTCCTCTCTGACTCTCCCTGGGCAACTTGTGTGGACCTCCATCTGCCTCAGCGTGTCTCCCCAGCCTGGCTGACTTCAGAGGTGACTTCATGCTGCAGATCCATGGAGCAGGACACAGCCCTCAAATTCATGTGGCTTGTAAACTGATATCGTTACTGAAATGAAATAGTTACTGACAGGGACAAAGGTGGCCCTCTGTGTCCTATCTTGTCCACCTAGGGCACTGCTACATGGAAGCGGGCCTTTTGGCCAGGTCTACCAGATGATTAACACTTTCATAAAAACCAGCACCTTACAGCTGTGTTCATCAAATCAGACAGTGCCTGTGTCAAATCCACTGTCTCCCAGTGTTGCCCTGTCCCTGATTTCCACACATGAAATCAATTACCACACATTAGCGGATGTTTAACACTTTAACGGAGTATTTTTCTCTACCATTGTTTGCATAGAGGGGACATGAGGAATCATTACCAAGTGACCAGCAATGGATTTTGTATTGGCAGAGAGGAGAGGCTGGAGCTTAGTGAAGTGAATTTAGAATGCCCCAGGGAACATTACAAAGTCCCTATGCCGGGGCTCCTAGTGGCTGAAGAGGTTGAGAAAGCTGCACGTGGAGTGCGGATTCACTGGAAAATTCTGAAAGTCCATGTGCAAATCTGGGGAATGCCAATCACTTCCTCTGAATCTCATAGATGTACACCTCGGCTCACACTCACATTCTCCAGCCATCCTGCCTAGTGCTGGCTTTTGCTCATGGTAGGCTTCACACAGCACGTTCCTCACCTGAGGAGGAACAGTGTCATTCTGGAAGGCATGGTGACATGGCTTGGCTGTGTCCCCACCCAAATCTCATCTTGAATTGTAGCTCCTATAATCCTCATGTGTTGTGGGAGGGACCTGGTGGGAGGTAATTGAATCACGAGGGGCAGGTTTTTCCCATGTGGTTCTTCTGATAGTGAATAAGTCTCATGGGATCTGATGGTTTAATAAAGGGCAGTTTCCCTGCACACCCTCTCTTGCCTGTAGCTGTGTAAAACATGCCTTTGTTCCTCCTTCATCTTCCGCCATGATTGTGAGGCCTCCCTACCTATGTGGAACTGTGAGTGCATTAAACTTCTTTATAAATTACCCAGTCTGGGGTATTTCTTCACAGTTGTATGAAAATGGACTAATAGAAATGGGCTTGAAATCAGACCATAATGACATGAATCCCAGCCCCAGTCACTTCATGGCTATGGGGCTTCAGACAAGTCACCCAACCTTTTTAAACTTCAATGTCTTCATCTATTAAATGGGGGTCCTACCCAATAGGACTGGCCTTGGAAGAAATAGAATTAGAAAAGCTCAAACATATAAAAGCATTTAATTCTGTGCTTGGTGCTACTTCATAAACGTCAATAAATATTTTAGAATAAAAGTTTTCTTCTCTCTCTTCCTTTAATCACAGAGCCACTTGTCCTTCGATCATACTAAGTATCTTCTCAGCAATATCATTTCTGGAGTCAGCTCTTTCTCTTCCTCCCCGTCCTCCACTGTCGTCAGCAAAGGGGCTGGCCTGGCTTCTCTCTAAAATCCTTCCCAGCTCCGGTTCTAAATGTGGCTGGTGAATTCAAATAAACACATACACATACACCCCCACCTCTCTTACATGCGCAAAGACAAAGAAAACGGATGAAGGTTAATTTTTTTGGCCCCTTCTCATAATGACTCATCCATAACGATTTCTACTGGTTGTATTTTCTTCTGTGACAGAAACAATTGACTGCATTCTTGCAGAGCCCCCATTTTCTCAGCGTGATCTAGTTGTGTGGTGGTTTGGGAAGTAATTTACTGATATTTTGCTTCAAAACAGCTTACAAAGACCAAGGGGTTTTGTTGACACCAAGGTGCATTCCTTATGGGCTAGAAAAATAGGATAAAACCATTTAAAAAGTAAAAACATGGTATTACCATCACTTTGAACTTCAGTTGTAAATCACAGACCCCTAGTTGAGACTGGCCTCTCCTCCCCTTCATTTCTGCATCTTGCTCTGTGTGCCAGCACTGGATTGTTTGTCTGCATGGGCAAATTCACATTCCATCTTGTTGGAAGCAACTTTCGTATTTGATTATATTCCTCATCCTTGGAATGCCAATGTATGACTTTCTTCCATTTCTTACCTTTCACTCTATGAAAAGCAAGCAGCCATCGCAAGGCCCGTAACTAAGCAGGGTCACAGAGCCGTCATCTCTCTGGGTTCTGTCCTTGGTCCCAGCTCCTTTTTTCCCTTGGGCATTCCTCAGCCTGGTAGTATTGATTCTACAGTAGTTCCCCCAGTCCTCTCTTCAGGCTGCAGACCAGAGAGCTGCCCGGAGGATCCTTACCAGTCCTTGGCTTTCGGCAGAAGCAGTGATGCTGTCCTCCTCATCCTCATCCTCATCCTGTCCAGGGAGGGAGCATCCTTAGCCTCTCTCCATAATCCGCTCCAGCCTGAGCTCTCCAAATTAGATAGGATTTAGGCTTCTTCTTGGTCTTAGAGTTGGCAGGCATTTGTTATTGGTTTTGCCCAAGGTTTTATACTCATTTTAAAATTAATAATGATTTTAGAATTTTATAATGGGCAAGGTTTATGATCATCAGTCTAATCTTATAAGCCTAAATCCTAAACCAACATGAATTATGCTCAGGGTGGCCTAAGCAGCTGCACAGATCTTTGATTTCCTGAGAAGTAGACATGAGTAGGGAGGAGAGAGGAGCAGCTATTGTCAGCTCCACACTGTGCCCTCCCCGACTGGGGGACTGTGGAAATTGACTTCTAAAGGAGAGGGCTCCAAGGCCCTAACATAGGTTACCTTTGTTAGTAGGTTTGCTTAAGTTGCACTTATGAAATTAGAACGTGATTTCCTCTATTTTTTCAACAACTGTTAGGTTACTATGCTGAATTTCTGGGCATTTTGTAGTCTACATTTAACCATTTGCTCATTCCCAAGCATCTGTGGAAGACCTACTACGTGTAAGATGCTGTGCTAGAAGCTTCAGAAGAGATTTTTTTCAACGGCCACTACCTTGGAGATGCTCCCAGTTTAGTGGGGGAGGGCAGTGTTCTCAGACATGTAAGTATTAAAGTTCTTTTCTTTCTATATTTGTTATCTTCTGCTCCTTTAGCTGACTAGATGGAGCTCAAGTGGTTGGGCTTCTCAAGTGTCACTGAGTTAATATGAGTAATGTTCCCATCTGCATTCATTTCTGATTCCTGACGTCTTGACTGTTTCTTTCCTCTTTCTCTTCCTGCCAACATGATATAAGAAGATAGACATTTATTTCTAAACCAAAGTACCGAGAAATGACCCATGAAACTGTCTTAGGAGAGGTCACGTTTCAAAAAAGTAGTCTAGAATCCTGCCTGTCTCATTTTTGTCTGTCCTGATTTCCTTGCAGCCTGGGCATGCGCTAATTTGTTCTGCATTATCCTGTGACAACTCGGTTGCAAGGACAGAAAGTTAATTCTCTATGAGTCAGGTCTCCAGAGCTACGTAGTCAGGTAAAAAGTCCAATGGGTCTTCAGATAGGATATTTAAGGCCCAAATTGTATCACTTGCACTCACCCACTGCCCAGACCCACAGCCAGCACCAGCTTTCTTGAGTGGCCTGGGAGGGACAGTACCAAGATGACGCTGACTGTGATCAGACAGTTTAGCACTGGACCTCTTCTGGGCTACTTGGCCAAATTAAGGCCATTATCTTCCTTGTCCTTCTTTCATGAAGGCTGCTGAGCTCAGCTAAGTGGCCCTGGGACCCTGTGGAGAAGGCTGACAGTCTTCTTGATCTGCCAGGAAGCCTGGGAGAGACACATGTCTAGTTAATAATAGAATCAGCTACTTGACAAGGCTCTTTTAGTTTATTAGAGGGATGCCTCAGAAAACAGGTGGTTGGTACTAGGGAGGAAAAAAATGGGGGAGTAGTGTTTCTATTTTGCATATGGCATTGGCTTGTGAAGCTACTTCCACCCCTAATCCCTTTGACCCTTTTGTAGCTCAGCTGACCAACAGGGGAATACTTATTTATAGTGTCCCTTCCCCTCCTCTAACTGAGATCAATGCATTTTATTTAATTGGCGTCACCCCATCATATTAGAACATTTAGAATTTGTCTTTATGGCCTTCTTTATACCCCAGGAAGGGCTCTTGAGGGCAACGCAAAAGGGCAGCTTTGGGTGTTGAACGGGGTCTCCATTAATTTGGGATGAACTGAGTGTCAGAAAATTGAGTTTCAAGGGCAGCCTAGGAAACTTGTCAATTTCAAGCTGTCTGCTGTGGAGCCAAAGCATCCTTAGTTGCTGGATTTTGGAGGCTTGTTTACGTTGGTTTATGTAATAGCTACAGTCCCCCAGGTTGATTAAGTAATTTCTTCATTTAGAACATCCTAAATTGCATGACATTTGAGAGATTTCCTTGACCTTGTCAAGGGCAGATGCTCACTTTATTGCTTTTCCTTATTCTTTGCTTAAAGAAAACAGACTGCTTTCTCCCTCACGGCAACTAGAGGTGAGTGGAAATGACCACAGATGTTTTATGATTATCAAGCCCTTGCAGTTGTACGCCCTAAACTGGCTAATAGCTTCTCTCCTGTGTATTCTTGTTCTGTCTTCTGTAATTTTTCCTCCCATTTTCTTTCCAAGTCAAAATCTTTGCCCTTTATGTGAAGCATAATAATACTTAGCATTTATGCAACACTTTGCATTTTTAGGGTCCCGAATGATCAGTAATGAGCTAATCCACACATGGTGATGGTTGTGCAGCAGGCCAGCTGTTACCCCATTGCACAGATGAGAAAACCAAGGTCCCAGTACAGCAACTCCCAATTGAAAGCCAGGCAACCCTTGCACATCTGAGTCCCTGGCTTCAAGTGAAGGCTTCCTTCGCACTTGGCTCCCAGGAGTAAAATCGAGAGAGAAAGAGAAGGATCAGAAGTTAAATTTTCCCTACGTGCTTTCTTTATTAAAATTTAACCTGTTCCCATTTTCAACTATTTCTTTAATAACCTGCCTCAGCCATAGAGAATTCCAGTCCAGTTCAACAGGAAGCTGCCTGCATGCCACTTCCAGTGCCACCCATGACTTAATAAGCCCTTCCTTGCTCCTGTCACCAACGTCATCAATGGAAGTTGTACATGCTTCAGGACTCAGGACACATTCCTCCCCAGTGCCTCTTTCTTGTCTTCTTGGGCCGACAGCTGGCTGGTTATCACAATCATCTGAGTGCACCCACCTTCTAGGGCAGTCTCCTAGGCTATATTTGGTTAGCTTATTTATGAGGATGTCACATAGGCAGAATCAACAACCTTCCTGTTCTTGAGCTCTAATATGTTTATTGTGTCATCACTTCTACAAGAATCATCTTCCTCTTTGAGACAGGAGTAACCTGGGTGGGTCAGACACAATGTGCTTCTTTCAAAGCCACACTGGTATTTCCCAGCACTCTGCGGTTTGTCTGTCTCCCAATTGATTCTCTTTTGATTTGCCCTGAGAGTCTTTCTCATAGGAAAATCAGGTTTTGTTATCAATCTCTAACTTTCCAAGTCGCCTTCCTGCCTTTTTAAAACATACATTGCATTTATTTGTTTCTTGTGTTTGGAAACCTTATCCAGTCCTTCATGAATTCTCAAAAACAGGATTTGTTGAAACTACAATTCCATCAGTCAGTTTTTAATGACATGTCCACTAAGTTATAAGACTGTGGATGGCAAGGACAATATTTTATTTGATTTTTAAAAAAATTCTCCATGGTGCTGAATACTATGCCCTGGCAGATTAACAGGTGCTTAAAACCTGTGTGAAATGCATCTGCCCAGCCCTGTAAGATTCTAGGTCCTCTGGGAAATACTACAAAATATATTATCTTGTCCAACCTTCTAGGAATTTTCAATTTAGGTGGGCAAGCGAGTCTTACATCCATGAAACTTTTAGAAAATAGTAAATGACAATATGATCAAGGGCCAGAATGGACAATAAAGACTGTGTGTATAATGCTCCAGTAAGTAAGATAATTAACAATGGGATCTTATAGGTGGCTAAACTGGCAATGTACTCCAAATGCAGCTGCAGGCATTGGAGGGTGGGCCTCGATCTGGGCTTTGGAGTCAGACAGATTTGGATTTAAATCTGAGGCTTCTGCAATCAAGTAGCTGTGTGATTCGGACAAGTTGCTTAACCCTTGTAAGCCTTGGGTTACTTATCTGTCATATAGGAATAATCCTACTTCTAATAATGCATTCCTATGAGGATGTAAACTCCAACAGGAAAGAGAGTGCTGTCTCTTTTGTTCACTGCTCTACTCCTATTGGCTAGAAGACCAATGACCATTTGTTGATGCAATCAACCTCACCAGGTTTTCATTAGTTTAGGCAATATACATAAATTAAAAGTTGAATGCAGTGCTGAGCATAATATGTGCTCAATACAATTTTAAAATCATTATTGTAGCTTCACTTGGGTTTGGCAGTACTTAACCTTCTGGCCATGTAATCCTTGAGTTCTGTTTCCTGTAGCAATGAGCCCATAGCAATGAACCTAAGTGCTGATATTCTAAAAGAATATCAGGTCTGTAGAAAGCTGTCCGTATATTCTGACCTGCTTTGTGTATTTCTTCAATTACTTCGCCTTACTATTGTATCTTCATTTGTTTGTTTAAATCTTTTGAATCTGGATTTCTTTGTTATTTTCCTCCAGATTTTGTGACTCACTTGAATCATGTCTTTTTCCATTGCCTCTCTGGCATCTTGATAGTTGTAGGTGATTTTCTTATGAAAGACCAGTGCCCACTGTGAGGCCATGGGACACAGCCCGAAGCCCTTTAGCTCCTGGATAACTAGCTAATAGTTCCCTAGAAGGAATGCCCTCAGGCTTCCTGAGGACTGGAATGACTCCTTGGCAGAGGTGAAGCATTTTTTAATCTATCTGAGTTATTTAAAGTTTAAGACAGGGATAACCTACACGAGAGACTATTTTCTTGAAGAATACAGACTTGGGGTCCAGGCTCTGCTATTTGCTAGATTTACAACTTTGGAGAAATTAACCTCTTTGGTTTTCCATTTCTTTTTCAGTTAAACTGTGGTGAAAAAATACCTATCAAATAGGGTTATGGTGAGTGTTAAGAAAACCGATGTGTGCAAAGCACATATATATTTTGTTTTTATTTTTATTTTGTCTGTTTCATGTTTTCAGAAACCATGATCAAAGCATTCATAAGTTCTCCAAAAGGGTTCCATTGGTCCTCAAAGCACTTTTCACACATAAAGAGGAGGATGCTCAAAGAACTAATTTCTTGCAACTGACCTCTAAGTGTGGCTAGTACTTTCAGGCACTGCAGGGGGCTGGCTGCTGTAAAGGATACCAAAGACTGTGGAATTCACACTCTAAGGAGCCAAGACTAACAGGAATACACGAGACTACAGTGAGCAGCACAGATAGCAGTTAATGAGAGCTCAATTAGGTGGTGCAAAAACCTAAGTGCTGAGAGGAAGGTCAATGACAGCTGGGTGCGCTAGAAAGGGTTTGACTGCAGATGCTCTGCAGGCTTCCCCAGCCCTTGAAAAAGTACACTTGAGGGAGGAGATAGGATGAGGCTTTTGTTGGCAGCGTACTGAAAAAAAAAAAAAAAAAGATTTTCTTGGAATCAGCCCCACCAGATGACTTAGGGATACTATAAAAATGAGGCCATACTCGCTACCTGGAAGTCAAGAGACCTCAGCAGCCCAGGAGAAGGCCATGGTGGGAGCACACGAAGATTAAGCTGGGACCACCTGTAGTGGCAAAAATCAATACCTAACACTCAATGCCCAGATGCAGATGGGGTTCTGGCCGTCAGGGGGCACTGTAGCAGAAGCCCTGGAGCCCCAGCTGTGCGTAGTCAGGGCCACTGCGTTTCAGGACTCCAGGGAGTGCCGTTCCCGTCGCGTACACTGGGAAGGTGCCACCTAAAGTCGGCACAAAGTGGCGGCCCCGAGTGTAGCTCATCCTGCATGATAGTGTCTTCTCCAGTCAATATAAACCCTGGGAAGATGCCACGTGTAGTGAAATATTCCTGCAAACTCTATCGACACATGTCAGTTTTCCTCGATCAGCACAAGAGGAGTGTTCAATAAAACAGCGTATAAGGTTAATTACCAGGGCATTCCACATAGTGCGATCACTTTGTTAGTATCACAACCTTTTATATGTCATGTGTGACAACACTGCAAAGTGGTTTGTACTGTTCATTAATTGTAACTTGGAACTTCCTTCATTTGAAAGTGGTCATTTATAGGCACACGTCCTCCAGATCCTGAGTAGGTGGAGATTGTTTTAAAAGGGGGATGGGGGTGACAGTTTCCCCACCTGTCTTCACTAACATGCTTGCTTTTTAATTTTTTTCTTTCTTCCTTCTCTTTTGTCTTTATCCTTCGCTTTCTTTCTCCTTTCCTTCTTCCTTCTGTTGACAAAGGTGAAATGAGTAAGATGCCTTTTAAGGAGCTCTGGGTGAGTGCACTACCTTCTACTCTAGAAAAATAGAATGAAAATGGGCTGGCTGCAGAAACCAGGAACTTGTCTGATCCCTACGTGTATTATTCCCTTTTCCTTGTTCTATGCTATTTCTCATGCTGCCTTTGTGCTTTTGATTCCTGACTTTTTTTTATGGATTTTGTATATGCTGGAATTCAGAGGCTTTCAACATTTTTTTGACTGAAGCCCTGTATGAAATAGATTTTATAGCTTCAGCTCAGAACACACACAGAACTATACACTCACATACTCACATAACAAACAAAAGAATCACTGAATAACATTTAATCTTAAGATGGAGGATGTACTCTGACATTTTATATTCTAATCTGTCTTTTCCTATTTTATTTCATCTATTCAATTTCACTTACAAAAACACTCAACCATAGCTCACTAGATTTATTTCATAGCTAATTAATGGATCATAATTGATAATTTGAAAAACTGTTTTAAATGATTATTAACTCCTGAATTACTCCTGTCTCTTAGTGGTCTTTCATTCCTACCCAATTTCAGCATATGCTTGATTGGATTATTTTCTTGAAATCCAAATGGTGACACCGATAGCATAGATTAAAGAGCAGATAAAAAAATACAAAAGAGCATGCAAACAAGTTTGAAGTACATTAAGTTGGTCTAAAAAGCTTGAAATCTCACATTTTATTCAATATTTTAAAAGGTTTTTCCTTATAGTATTGTAATCTCTACCTGTATGTGAAGAAAATCCTGACAGGCTCATGACATTTTTGCTCACTGTTAAGCAGGTATACACACTGGCCAGTCAGAATGAACACAGGCAGTAGGCAATCTCTGTGACAGTACTGTGGCTGGCTGGTTCAATACCAGATTAGTTCTTAAGCAACAGATCTTCTATTTAAGTTACAAATGCAATCTGAGTTTGGAAATTAGAATATGCAGTCTAGGATTTTCATCACCATTCTGAACTGAATTTAACATTAAATCAACCCTGCACCAGTGTGACAGTAACCTTCCTCCCAACCCCCTTGGAACTTGAAGACAGCCTCTGATGGGGCTGGGCAGAGGAACCTAGGAGGAAGGATGGTCACAGGAATAGGGGCGTCCTTCCCTTCCCCGTAGAGCAATCAGGCCCTGGCAGCTGAGGAAAGGTGCATGTTCATGGCAAAACAACAATATGAGGTCCCACGGATCCTCCTTGCCATTGTATTTCTCTCACACTCTGGCGGGAGCCTTCTTGGGCAAGACTCAAAGGAGGTCAGGCCCAGCTCTCTTGCTCTGGCATGGCCATGCCTGAGTGTAGGAAGCATTGCTCACTCAGATTAACTGGGAGTGCAGGCTAATTGGGGCCACCTTCCTATTCCACCTTTCCCTGTGAGTCAGGTTCTGGCCACTTGCCCTGACACTGACCACTAGAAACTCAGCCTTACAACCTCTCTTGGGAAAAGAAGGAAGCTCCTCCACCCACTACCCCCAGGGGCTGAGTCTGAAAGCACAGTGATAGCTATTGGTAAAGGAAAACCCATCATATCCTCCCTTGACCCTTTATGTCCTGAAAGCAGGAAAAGTGTAGCACTGTACAGAGTTTTTATTAATTTCCTTGTGTAATCTACACTGTCTGACCACTTACTTTGGAATTTTCTACCTACTGCATCTTGGCATCTCTGCTATAACTTCAATTTTTCTATCTTGTCATTCTGTGAAGAGCATTTAAAGTTACATGTGACTATGAAGAAAACATAACGGAATTTTTTGGGGCATTGTAACTCTTTGTATTATTGTAAGCCAGGTCAAATTAATTAATTTCAAATTCGTCAATTGCATTTGCATCACTTAATTATATCTTTCTTGACAATAGATCTGTTGTATTTTTTTCTTTACAAAATTCATGTAAACTTGTTTCAGAATAATCCTTTTATATTTAGGATTCACTACTAAAATAACAGCAAAATGAAATCTGCAGCTCACTCTTTTCAGTCTTCACAAATGAAATCTTAAAGTAGATATTCCAAAAAAGGAGACTGGGTAGCCTTCTGCTCAGTTACCATAATGGGACTTGGAGGGTCAGGGAAGTTCAAGATAAAAATCCCCACTCCCAAATTATTTGCCACACCCAACTTCGTCAAGCTAAGTATGAAGTAAGGGGAGGAAAAGGGAAGGCAGCTGCCAGTCATTGCAAGCTGTCATAACGAAGTACCATAAACTGGGTGGCTTATGAACAACTAACAGTTATCTCTCACACTTCTGAAGGCTGGAAGTCCAAGATCAAGGGGCCAGCAGACTCTGTTCTGATGAGGGTCCATTTCTTGCTTCTTGGTTTAGACATCCGTCTTCTCACAGCATCCTTACCTGGCAAAAGAGGATCAGAGAGCTTTCTGGGGTCTCTTTTATAAGGGGACTAATCCTATTCCTAAGTTCTCCACCCTCATGCTCTAATCACCTCCCAAAGGCCCCACCTCCATCACACTGGAGGTCATAATTCAACACATGAATTTTGAGGGAGACACAAACATTCAGTTCATAACACAGCCAAGTTAAGCCATAAAGTCAGGAAAATAAAGGACCCACCATGGTTCAGGAGATCAGGCTGGAGGTTCAGGACATCAGGCTGGAGAGAATAAGAAGACTTGGCAGAGCTGCCAAGAGGACCTGCCACTTTCTGTGTTCTTAACAATGGCAGGTACAGTCAATTTCCTAGTGCACTTGAGCCCGGCTCCAGGTGACCCTGTGTGTCCAGCCCACAGGTACCTAGTCTTCCTGCCTCCTGCTTGCTCCCACCCTCCCCAGGTCTAACAGCCAGTCATGGGAAGACAACTGTCATTCAGCTTTGATCCAGCATTCCAGGTGGCAATATTTTCCTGTTTTACTTTCTTTTGGTGGAGATTAAAATATTTTTACTATTAAGCAGCTACTACCTGAATAATAAGAATCTATTTTTGGGGTGAGGGTTATCGGGGGAGATTATATGGGAGCTCTATGTGAATTGTAGAGGAACACAGAGAATAAGTGTAAGCTGAGGGCAAAAGATTGCTATTTTAAAAAATGACTTCATCCACTTGTGCATTATAAGGGAGTAGAGGTTTTATCTCAGGGAAGATGACTCTTTTGTTTAGGAAAGGCAATTAATAGGCCTTTGGGTTAGGCTCCAAAGCCCAGTCTGCAGTGGAGGATTGAGACAAAAAGGAATTAAATCCTTCTGCATAATAAAACAAAAACCTGGACCAGAGAGCTGTGTCACATTTAAAGCAGTACAGTCCAAACTGGAATTCCAGGTCTTTGCCAGATCTTCAACAGAGCCCAAGGTGCTTGAGCACTCAGTGACCCTTGGGAGCTTCTAGATTTCCTTCCTCCAAGGTTGTTTCTTTCACACAAACCATCCCATGTCATCGTCTCCATCTTGCTTGGAAGATAAAAGTCCATATTCATCTCGCTCCCAGTTCCCGTCATCTTGCAGGACCTCCTACTAATGGGTCAAGCCCCCAGAGCAAGGGCCCTGGAGGGCATGATCCGTACTCCATGGTGACTGCAGTTCTGAGAATTCTTCCACATGGCTATTGTCTTTTCTCTTCCAGTGAGCAGAGGAAGGTGGGGAAGCTTGGTAACATGCACCTGCTGAACCCCACATGGGCATGATTGGGACAATTATATGCTTTTACATAGTAATAAGTTGCTATTGTCCTGAAAGTTATTGGAAATTGCATGGAAAGGAATGGAATTTAGGCACCCCAGGAGCCTAGGTAGTCTGACAATGATAGGTGCTCTGGGGATAGAGGACAGGACAAGACCATGCCCTGTGGCTTCAGGGCAATTCCCAAAGACAGGGGAGAGGGGAGCCCCTGTGCTCCGAGACAAATCAGTGACTATTTAGGAATAGTGGCATCTGGAATTAAATTTGATACAGTTTCTCTTAGAGCCTAACATTTCCCTCTTTTCTCCAAAACAGCCGTCCTTGAAAATGGATATTTGGGGCATGAGGAGCAGATTGAGGTGAAGAAATGCAGAGCTAGGATGGCGGAGGGAAGAAGAGGGAGACTGAGAGCCCAGGGGATTCGGAAATCCGGAGGACTGTGCTGGACTTTCTAACAGGAGAGAGCCACTCAGGAAGACTGGATGACTGGGGCATACTTCGATGATGGAAGAAATGATGGTGATGAAAACCCTCAAGGAAATAATTCACCTCCAGTAACATCAGAGCTGTCCTTTAGGTTCTGAAGTTAGCACAGGCCCTTATGAGTGGAGGGGCAGCTGTTCATTATCCTTACCTACTCCGCTTCACCCCAAGGTGGTCCCCTGTCTCACTGGTGTCAATCAACAGCAAAGATCCTGTCCTCTAACTACCTGCAAAAACACTACTTAAGGTGTCGCCCCCTCTTCATGGGAGTAGACATATTCTCCTTCTCTCTCTTCCTCTCTCCCCACTCTCCATCTTGTGATTGATTCATCTGACACCTCTGAGATGATCTTTCACTCACAAATACAGATGTTCTTTAAACTTCTAATTTTTCCCCTTCATTTGGATCCCTTGCTTAGTTGCTTCAAGAAATGTCTCCCCCCTTTTGTCTTCCTGGCCTCTCAACTTCTTCTTTTCCTCCCTGCCTCACCCTGTTTCTCTTGCTCCCTTTCTCAATCAGAAGGGAAAAGCAAAAACCAACTTTAATTACGGGGGATAAGTAGAAGTAGTGCCAGCTATATACCTGTATCAAGCAAAAGTCAAGGCATAAGCTTTGAAGTGAAATGAGGTGCATTCAGCAGCCTGAACCATCAGCCTCAACAGCTCTTGACATAACCTAAAGCCTCCTTCAAGAGCACTGCACCGTCTCCACTACCTCCTCATTCCTGTCCAGTTAATCTTACTTTCCTCAAGAATGAACTTCCGTGTGTGTGTATGTATGTGAGAGAGACAGAGAGAGAAAGAGTGTGTGTGAAAGAGAAAGAGACAGACAGGGAGAGGGAGAGAAACATTTTTATTGTTCTACTGTTTGGTTTAATTATGGGTATTGAACTGTTGTTTTCTACAAAGTTTCCTTGCAACTCCATAATACCAGTAGCACATTTTGAGTTAGATGTGCATTTGTGGGCTAGGCTAGAGCACTATTTATAACATCGTTTCTATGGGAAAGTTTATTCCAGGTCCCAAGCAACTAACTTAAAAATGAACTTTTTGATTACAACTTGGAACAAAGCATATACATTGGAAAGTGCTTGCTCATGAATATGTAGGCTAGGTTTGTGGGGTAAGTTGGTATACGGTTCAGCTAGCACACTGGCATTTTCTCTACGTTCTCCTACCTGTTCTCAGCAAACAAATGGCAATTGGTCATGCTCTGGGCAATTTACTGATGCAGAACCACTGGTGACAAGGTAGATGGACCCCTACTTTACTTAAGGGGCTCACATTCAAGTGCATAGTCCTAGGATCCTGTGAAAGGTGAGTTCCACGGAAATGGTTATTCTTATAGAAATACAATCTACAGAAGGGCTCTGAAGTCAATTTCTTTTCTGGTAGGCCTTGGGAGGAAGCGTCTTATAATAGCCAACACCCAAGTGCTCTTTTGCGAGCTTATATGGGTAATCTTAAACTAGTCAATTTAACTTTTCAGACTCTTCACAAGGAGGTTTATCATGAGAAAAAAGAAAGCAGACTTTTACTGGGAAAGTGTAATAAGCATGATATGCATACACACACACCTTTCATTTTACAATCCTTGTGATTTATTGGTTGTACTAAAGTTGGTCAATGGAGGATATTTTCCTGAGCTAACAGGAGTTTGTGCCACATGGATTGGAGACTTTAATCTTCCAAGCATTTACCTCCAGTGATGATCATCTGGGGAAAAAAGAAGTTGCCAGGGCAATGCTGTCCCAGCCCCCAGCTCCCAGAATGAGTCCCCTGTGGAGAGCCATTTACACTTAGGAAGAAATGTGATCACCTCATGCTTACTGTGGTGTTTGGGGTGATTTGAATTGCAATGTGGTGTATCCAATCCATAGAGTAAAGAAAACTGAACCAGTATCATTAAAGCTTGAAGTGTTGAAATAAGTGGCCTGGGACTGGCTTCCACGGTGATAAAAGATTCATCTGGTAGCACCAGAGTAAAAGAAGTCTCACTAAACACTGGCCGGGCAGCTGCTGCTCGGTGTGAGCATCCCGGGGATGCAAGCGTGGGGGAGGTATGTATATATTTTTTTTCTTTCTGGTCACTGATTTTTCTGTCTTAGATAAATGATTCATTGGAACGCCATTCTCTATTAGGAGAGGATCCAGCTTTCTTCCTTTGAGGGTCAGAAATGTTTACAAATTCCTCTAAATTATTTCCCTACTCCCTTAAAAGATAAGGAGTTGATTTGCCTAGGGCTATTGCAAAAGGGTTCTGTCCACAGAGCATTAGCAGCTCCTGATATACAGGCACATTTGAAGCGGCTGGCGGCACCACCCTTAATAACACTCTTCTTTACAAAGTGCTCATTGTTAAATATTTATGAAGCCTTGCAAGATGGGCCCCGATCACTGCTAGGGCAGATATAAGTTCCTTGCTCTCCCCCAGTGCGTGGAGCTGCTCTGCAGAAGGTGGGTGCAGCGTCTTTCCACTCCACCCTTCTGTGATGCTGCTGAAACTGCATGTCTCTGAGCTGATGAAATCACACACTCAGGGGAGGGCTGCCTGCAGAGGTGCTGGCAACAGAGCCAAAGCGGGAGGGGTGGGGGGTGGAGGGATGCGCTTCGTTCCCAAGTAAGAGCCAAGGCAGGCTCCCACCATCACAATCTTTTAAATATTAATAGGATCCAAAAATATATTCATAAAAAATGAACAAAACTAAAATAAAAGGAAGAGCAATAGACTGGGGAAACGTTTGCTGTAAAGACGAAAAATTAAAGGTTAGTCTTTCTCTCTCATTGCCCCCCTTCCCCACCACGCGCAGCTCACTTGGGTACACAGCCCTCTGCAACAACAGCAGAGGCGCAGGACCCATTGGGAAGAGAGAAGAGTCGCTGAGCCTGAATGTGCTGGTGCAACACCTGGGGTCTTGTCGCCTGAAGTTTCCAGGGCAGGAGGCCTGGGAGGAGCCTGAGGTTCTGATCCCAGCACAGGCTCCCAGGTGAAGCATTTCACTAGCATCCCTGTGAAGAGACCACCAAACAGGCTTTGTGTGAGCAACAAGGCTGTTTATTTCACCTGGGTGCAGGCAGGCTGAGTCTGAAAAGAGAGTCAGCAAAGGGAGATAGGGGTGGGGCCATTTTATAAGATTTGGGTAGGTAAAGGAAAATTACAGTCAAAGAGGGGTTGTTCTCTGGCAGGCAGGAGTGGGGGTCACAAGGTGCTCAGTAGGGGAGCTTTTGAGCCAGGAGAAGGAATTTCACAAGATAATGTCATCAGTTAAAACAGGAACAGGCCATTTTCATTTCTTTTGTGGTGGAATGTCATCAGTTAAGGCAGGAACTGGCCATCTGGATATGTACGTGCAGGTCACAGGGGATATGATGGCTTAGCTTGGGCTCAGAGGCCTGACATTCCTGTCTTCTTATATTAATAAGAAAAATAAAATGAAATACTAGTAAAGTGTTGGGACGGCAAAAATTTTGGGGATGGTATGGAGAGATAATGGGCGGTGTTTCTCAGGGCTGCTTCGAGCGGGATTAGGGGTGGCGTGGGAACCTAGAGTGAGAGAGATTAAGCTGAAGGAAGATTTTGTGGTAAGGGGTGATATTGTGGGACTGTTAGAAGAAAGATTTGTCATTTAGAATTATTGGTGATGGCCTGGATACGGTTTTGTGTGAATTGAAAGACTAAACAGAATAAGAGAAGGAGAAAAACAGGTATTAAAGGTCTAAGAATTGGGAGGACCCAGGACATCTAATTAGAGAGTGCCTAAGGAGGTTCAGCATAGTCCTGCCAGCAGAGATTATTTATTTACTTCAAGAGTTAAGAGTGGCAGTTTGGGGATAGCACCAGGAGGTATCAGCTGTGATGGCTTGGAGAAGTAGTGTAAACCGGCAGTGTAAACAAGAGCAGGGCATGTCTGAGTAGTTGAGAACGGTGAATAGGAGTATGACTAGACAGAAGATAGTAGGGATGACAAGTTTTTTGGGGCACAGTCCAAGATGGTCTGGTGTCTGGAATGAGACTGGGGCCTAATAAAAAGGAGCATCCAAACAGGAGCTCAAATGGACTGTACCCTGTAGCATTCCGAGGACAGGCCTGAATTCTGAGAAGGGAAAGTGGTGAAAGTATTGTCCAGTCCTTTTTAAATTGGTGGCTGAGCTTGGTGAGCTGTGTTTTTAAAAGACCATTAGTCCGTTCTACCTTTCCTGAAGACTGAGGACCGTAAGGGATATAAAGGTTTCACTGAATACCAAGAGCCTAAAAAAATGCTTGGTTGATTTGACTAATAAAGGCTGGTCTGTTATCAGACTGTATAGAGGTGGGAAGCCCAAACTGAGGAATTATGTCTGACAGAAGGGAAGAAATGACCGTGGTGGACTTCTCAGACCCTGTAGGAAAGGCCTCTACCCATCCAGTGAAAGTGTCTATCTAGACTAAGAGGTATTTTAGTTATCTGACTTGGGGCATGTTGAGTAAAGCTAATTTGCCAGTCCTAGGCAGGGGCAAATCTCTGAGCTTGATGTGTAGGGAAGGGAGGGGGCCTGAATAATCCCTGAGGAGTAGTAGAATAGCAGATGGAACACTGAGAAGTTATTTCCTTGAGGATAGATTTCCACTATGGAAAGGAAATGAGAAGTTCTGAGAGGTGGGCTAGTGGCTAGTAGTATAGCATAGCCTGCCTTTGCTGGTGTGTGGCGATTAGGCCTGGTGGAACCACCATCAATAAATCAAGTGTGATCAGGGTGAGAAACAGGGAAGAAGGAAATGTGGGGAAATGGGGTGAATGTCAGGTGGATCAGAGAGATGCAGTCATGGGGGTCAGGTGTGGTATCAGGAATAATGTGGGAGGCTGCATTGAAGTCGGGGCCAAGAACAATGGTAATTGTGGGATTCAACAAAGAGTTAGTACAGCTGAAGGAGCCGGGGAGCAGGCAGTATATGTGTCAGGTGTGAGGAAGAAAATAGATTTTGGAAGTCATGAGAAATGTAGAGAGTGAGTTGAGCATAGTTTGTGATTTTTAGGGCCTCTAAAAGTATTAAAGCAGCGGCAGCTGCTGCACGCAGACATGAGGGCTAGGCTAAAACAGTAAGGTCAAGTTGTTTGGACAGAAAGGCTACAGGGTGCGGTCCCAGCTCTTGTGTAAGAATTCTTTCCACACTAACCATGCCTAGGAAGGAAAGGAGTTGTTGTTTTGTAAGGGATTGAGGTTGGGAGATTAGTCGGACACGATCAGCTGGGAGAGCACGTGTGTTTTTATGAGCATTATGCCGAGATAGGTAACAGATGAGGATGAAATTTGGGCTTGACTGAAGTAATGGGGGCTGTCTGTGAAGCCTTGTGGCAGTACAGCCCAGGTAATTTGCGGAGCCTAATGGGTGTCAGGGTCAGTCCAAGTGAAAGCGAAGAGAAGCTGGGATGAGGGGTGCAAAGGAATAGTAAAGAAAGCATGTTTGAGATCCAGAACAGAATAATGGGTTGTAGGAGGAGGTATTGAGGATAGGAGAGTATATGGGTTTGGCACCACGGGGTGGATAGGCAAAACAATTTGGTTGATAAGGTGCAGATCCTGAACTAACCTGTAAGCCTTGTCTGGTTTTAGGACAGGTAAAATGGGGGAATGGTAAGGAGAGTTTATAGGCTTTAAAAGGCCATGCTCTAACAGGCAAGTGATAACAGGCTTTAATCCTTTAAAGCATGCTGTGGGATGGGATATTGGCATTGAGCCGGGTAAGGGTGATTAGGTTTTAATGGGATGGTAAGGAGTGCATGATCGATCACTAAGTGGGGAGTAGATGTGTTTTATACTTGTGGGTTACGGTGGGGAGATACAAGGGGAGGATGTGAAGGAGGCTTTGAACTGGGGGAAAAGCTGGCAATGAGGTGTGGCTGTAGTCCAGGAATAGTCAAGGAAGCAGATAATTTAGTTAAAGTGTCTCGGCCTAATAAGGGAACTGGGCAGGTGGGGATAACTAAAAAGGAGTGCTTAAAAGAGTATTGTCTAAATTGGCACCAGAGCTGGAAAGTTTTAAGAGGTTTAGAAGCCTGGCCATCAATGCCTACAACAATTATGGAGACAAGGGAAACAGGCCTTTGAAAAGAAGGTAATGTGGAGTGGGTAGCCTCCATATTGATTAAGACGGGGACAGACTTACCTTCCACTGTGAGAGTTACCTGAAGGTCGGCGTCCGTGATGGTTTAGGGGTCTTCCGAGGCGATTGGGCAGTGTCAGCCTTCAGCTGCTAAGCCGGGAAGATCTGGGAAGGAGTCAGAGAGCCTTGGGCCAGAGTTCCAGGAGCTCTGGGAGTGGCTGCCAGGTGAGTTGAACAGTCCAATTTTCAGTGGGTCCTGCACAGATGGGATGCGGCTTAGGAGGAATCCTGGGCTGCGGGCATTCCTTGGCCCAGTGGCCAGATTTCCGGCACTTGTAGCAAGCTCCTGGGGTAGGTTCTGGAGGAATGCCTGGCCACTGTGGTTCAGGTGTTTGGAAGTTCTTGTGTGCTGGAGATGTGGCTGGGGTTTGTCTCACAGTGGAGGCAAGGAATTGCAGCTTTTTTCTATTATTGTACACCTTGAAGGCCAGGTTAATTAAGTCCTGTTGTGGGGTTTGAGGGCCGGAATTTAATTTTTGGAGTTTTATTTAATGTCGGGAGCAGATTGGGTAATAAAATGTATATTGAGAATAAGACGGCCTTTTGACCTTTTAGGGTCTAGGGCTGTAAAGCGTCTCAGGGGTGCTGCCAAACGAGCCATGAACTGGGCTGGGTTTTTATATTTGATGAAAAAGAGCCTAAACATTAACTGATTTGGGAGAGGTCGGATAAAGAAAAAGGAGCATTAACCTTGACTACGCCTTTAGCTCCAGCCACCTGTTTAAGAGAAAAATTGCTGGGCAGGGGGGGGAGGGCTAGTCGTGGAAACAAACTGTAAGACGGACCGGGTGTGAGGAGGGGAGGTGATAAAAGGATTATAGGGTGGAGGAGCGGAGGCTGAGGAAGAATTGGGACCTAGCTTGGCCTGGCTAGGAGCAGCCCAGGGAGGAGGGGAGACGTCAGATGGGTCTGTAGAAAGGGAAGATTAGAAAGACTCAGTGACCCTTGGGGTTGGGACTGAGGGGACAGGTGGGAGGGAAAGAAGGAGGATCTGGGACAAGTCACATTGGGAACAGAGACTAGGAAGGGACCAATGTGTAAAAGAATGCCTGGACATCAGGCACCTCAGACTGTTTGCCCATTTTATGACAAGAATTATTTAGATCTTGTAGGATGGAAAAATCAAAAGTGCCATTTTCTGGCTATTTGGAACCATTGTCAAGTTTGTATTGGGGTCAAGCAGCCTTGTAGAAGAAAATAAGGCATTTAGGTTTTAGGTCAGGTGTGAGTTGAAGAGGTTTTAGGTTTTTAAGAACAGAGGCTAAGGGAGAAAAAGGAGGAATGGAGGGTGGAATGTTGCCTATAGTGAAGGAGGCAAGCCCAGAGAAAAGAGAGAGTAGAGACATGGAGGGAAGGGGTTCAGGGGTTCTTACTCTCCAGAAAAGTGGGAAAGGGGTTGAGGCACAGAAATAAGGGGTTGGGGTGCAGAGATAAGAGGTGGGGCATGGAAATAAGGGATCAGGGCACAGAGATAAGAGGTCAGGGCATGGAAATGAGGGATGGGGCACAGAGATAAGAGGTTAGGGCATGGAAATAAGGGATTGGGGCACAGAGATAAGAGGCCGGGGTGTGGAAATAAGGGATCGGGGGGTTCTTGCCCCCTAGAAAAGCGGTACTTGCCGCTAAGGGTGAAGGAGAAGGGGTTGGGGGGTTCTTGCCTCCCAGAAAAGTGGAGAAGGAGTAGAGACATGGAGAGAAGGAGTTGAGGGGTTCTTGCTTCCCAGAAAAGCAGTACTTGCTGCTAAGGGTGAAGGACCAAGACTGGCATCCCCGTGTGGTCAGATACCTCTGAAACGTGGGTGAATAATCAGAGAGGCATCCCTTCAATGATTAAACACCAAGGGAAGTCTGCCTTTCCGAGTCCGTGACTGGCACCAGAGTTTTGGGTCCACGGATAAAACGTGTCTCCTTTGTCTCTACCAGAAAATGAAAGAAATTGAAATTAAGAGAAGGGAGAGATTGAAGGATGGTGCCAAGATTGAAAGGAGAAAGTGGTTGAGGGATAGTGAGAGAGGTTGGAGAAGAGAGTAAGAAGAGTCCACTTACCTGATTTAAAATTGGTGAGATGTTCCTTGGGCTGGTGGGTCTGAGGACCCAAGGTCGCAGGTGGATCTTTTTCATGGAGCAAAGAGCAGGAGGACAGGGGATTGATCTCCCAAGGGAGGTTCCCTGATCCAAGTCACAGCACCAAATTTCACTCATGTCCATGTGAAGAGACCACCAAACAGGCTTTGTGTGAGCAAGAAGGCTGTTTATTTCACCTGGGTGCAGGCAGGCTGAGTCTGAAAAGAGAGTCAGCGAAGGGAGATAGGGGTGGGGCCATTTTATAAGATATGGGTAGGTAAAGGAAAATTATATTCAAAGAGGGGTTGTTCTCTGGCGGGCAGGAGTGGGGGTCACCAGTTGGTCAGTAGGGGAGCTTTTGAGCCAGGATGAGCCAGGAGAAGGAATTTCACAAGATAATGTCATCAGTTAAGGCAGGAACAGGCCATTTTCATTTCTTTTGTGGTGGAATGTCATCAGTTAAGGCAGGAACCGGCCATCTGGATGTGTACATGCAGGTCACAGGGGATATGATGGCTTAGCTTAGGCTCAGAGGCCTGACAAAGCAGGAGCTGCCGCTGTGGCCCGTGCTGGCCCACCTGGAGAAGCAAGGTCTGGAGCCCCGTCCCACAGCATGTCCTGAGACGGTGGCTTGTTCTGCATCTGTGATGCCCAACACACTTGCCACGACCTAGGCCTGGAGAGCTAGCTAGTGTGGCTGAGTGTGACCAAGGGGCCAGGGTTTTAACTTTTGTTCATTCACTTAGTTTACATGTAAATGGCCTTTTCTTTTCTTTTTTTTTCTTTTTATTTATTTATTTATTTTTTTTTGGAGAGGAAGTCTCTGTCACCCAGGCTGGAGCTTACTGGTGCGATCTCAGCTCCCTGCAGCCTCCGCCTCCTGGGTTCAAGTGATTCTCCTGCCTCAGCCTCCCAAGTAACTGGGACTACAGGCGCCCACTGCCATGCCCAGATAATTTTTGTATTTTTAGTAGAGACGGTTTCATCATGTTGGCCAGGCTGGTCTCAAACTCCTGACCTCAGGTGATTTGCCCCACTCGGCCTCTTAAAGTGCTGGGATTGCAGGCATGAACCACCGCACTTGGCTGTAAATAGCTGTAAATAGCCATATGTAACTAAGGGCTGCCTGTGGGAGAGCTGCGGAAGAGGCTCTGACAGTCAGCTTGGGAGCCAGTTCTTGCCAATGGAAGGGAATGCCTGCAACTGGGTCCCGAGTCCAAGCCCCTTGGGAACTCTCAGTGCCCAGCAGGCTCCTCCCACCCTGCTCGTGTGCTTCTGTGCCAAGTCCCTGACTGAGCTGCCACCTTGCTCTCTGGTTTGTCCTCCTGCTCCCCAGTGAGTGGTGCCAGCCCCAAAATGGCACCTGGCAATCAAGGACTGTGACAACCTGCCCCTCTCCTGCACACGCCTGCCTTTGAGAACTCCACTCTGTCCAAAACCCCAGATGCTGCCAGGGCCCTGCCTCTGGTCAGATGTCCTCAGTATTTGAATAGCATCTCTTTGAGTGCCTCTGCAGACGCCTTGCCCACAGAGTGGGTGGATCCACATCAGTCCCCACCGACCCAAGAGCACGGTCCTCCCCACCCTGTGCTTCAGGTTGTCGCCACGTGTTCTTGTGAGTGTGGCAAGGCAGCTTGAAGCAGCGGGAAGGAACTCAGGCTCCAAGTGCAGAAAAACATAGACGCAAAACCTGACTTGCTTCTTCCTATCTGTAAGGTCTTGGGCAATTGTAACTTTTCTGAGTGTCAATATCTTCTCCCCATCATGGAGTTACCATTGTATCTACCTTTCAGTAATATAAGGACTAGATATAGTATTTGCAAAATATGTTCTGTAAATGACATCTGTTGAGGAAGAGGAAGATGATAATAATGTAAATATAATTATATGCTTTACTTCTTCAGCTAGACCCACACCTCCACCTCCACCTATTCCTAGTTTATTCTCTTTTCTCAATGACCCCACAATAGTCCCAAAGATTTAAAAAACAAAATATATGGGGACAATTCCTAAGAGAAATTGCCAGATTTACTTTACTAAGTAGAGCACAAGTGAGAAACAACACAAACACTAAAAGAAAAATTTTGGAAATATGCTTAAACCTGCTAATCATTAAATTAGTGAAGAGAAAACCACTGCTCAAACTATTAAAGAGCCTTCTAGAGCAACAGAATTCTGTACTGGCAGCATTGTAAATTGGTATAAGAATTCCAGAAAGCAATCTGCTAAGAGTCATTCATTCAGTAGACAAGTATTGAATGCCTACCAACCAGATATTTTGTTAGGCTCTGGGGATACAGAATGAATAAGGCCAGATCCTTATTCACAAAAGCTTATGAAATGGTTGGCATACATAACGTGTCATCACAAAACTCCATCTTACTTCTTGACTCAGTAACCACAAGTAAATAATATTAAAAAGGTATTTTCATATATTGATGTGCATTGCTAAACCATCTATAATAGTGAAAGACTAGCTACCTGCTACCCAAATACCCAAACAAGCAATGTTTAAAATTAGAATAATTTATTAATAGAATAAAAGTTAACAGTGAAATCCAAATTACAAATATGAGAACTATAGAGACATGACAAATAATGCCAAATGGAAAGAATACAAAATAGCATCTATATAATAATTAAGTATGAAAAGTTGTGCATGAATAACCTAAGAATCAGATATCAGTGAATTTTATCAATGGGGATTTCGTTTCAAGTGGAGGAAGAGGATTGTGGCAGTCACGAGAGCTCCTGATGTTGACTGTCTTCACATCCCACCCTTCCTACTTCCCAGATCATGGTATCGTGGTAGGATGGCAAGTTTCTGACCCTTTTGAAGTCAGGCAAAGTCATGAGATTTGCTTAGGCCAAAAACATGTAAGCATAAGAGCCACATGGTTTTTCTCAGGGTGGTCTTTCTCTTAAAGTGAAGCCAGTTCTCTTCATATGGACAATTTACCACATTCCTTTCTTGCTACCATCACAACTGACAGCACTTTATATGTTAGATGTTCTGTCAACCTGAATTCTGGAGTAAAGGGATATGAAACAGAGGCCCAGATGACCTGAAATGTATACTTATCAAGTGTGAAAAATAAAATTTTGTTATTTTGAGCCCTGAAATGCTTTTTCTAACCAATATCCCGATCAGTACAGATATGTGTGTTGTTGTTGTTTTTTTTAAACTTTGTAGACAGCTTATTACTTCTGAAGGGATCCTGACATGGCTTTGCAGAGCTGTAACAGATCACAGGGTGCCATGAGCTTTATGTCCTTAGACCCACCACCTAGGAGAACTCCTTGCATGTCTGCAAGCATGAAAGGGTCTGAACACCAACTGGTGTGTTCCAAGCCAGTAGTTCTAAAATTTTTGGTCTCTGGAACCCTTTATGTCCTTCAAAAACATGAGGTTCTTGGTGTATAGCAGGGTTACCAATTTGTGTACATTAATTTTGTATCCTGAAACCTTGCTGAATTCATTTATCAGTAGCTGTGCTACTCACCAACAGTGGCCAAGCTGAGAATCAAATCAACAACTCAACCCCTTTTACAATAGCTACAAATAAATAAAACACTTAGGAATGTATCTAACCAAGGAGGTGAAAGAACTCTATAAGGAAAACTACAAAACACTACTGAAAGAAATCATAGATGACACAAACAAAAGGAAACACATCCCATGCTTGTGGATGGGTAGAATCAATATTGTGAAAATGACCATCCTGCCAAAAGCAATCTACAAATTCAATGCAATTCCCATAAAAATACCACCATCATGGCCGGGCGCAGTGGCTCCCACCTGTAATTCCAGTACTTTAGGAGGCCGAGGCAGGCGGATTACAAGGTCAGGAGATGAAGACCATCTTGGCTAACAGGGTGAAACCAAGTCTCTACTAAAAATACAAAAAAATTAGCTGGGCATGGTGGCGGGCACCTGTAGTCCCAGCTACTTGGGAGGTTGAGGCAGGAGAATGGTGGGAACCTGGGAGGTAGAACTTGCAGTGAGCTGAGATCGTGCCACTACACTCCAGCGCCTGGGTGATAGAGCGAGACTCTGTCTCAAAAAAAAAAAAAAAAAAAAAAAGTACCACCATCATTCTTCACAGAATAAGAAAAGAAAATCTTAAAATTCATATGGAACCAAAAAAGTGACCTGACTTCAAATTATACTATAAGGCCATAGTCACCAAAACGGCATGGTGCTGGTATAAAAATAGGCACATAGACCAATGGAACTGAACAGAGAACCCAGAAATAAAGCCAAATACTCACAGCCAACTCATCTTCAACAAAGCAAACAAAAACATATTGTGGGGAAAGGACACGCTATTCAACAAATGGTGATGGGATAATTGGCAAGCCACATGCAGAAGAATGAAACTAGATCCTCATCTCTCACCTTATACAAAAATCAACTCAAGATGGATCAAGAACTTAAATCGAAGACCTGAAACCCTAAAAATTCTAGAAGACAACATCAGAAAAACCCTTCTGGACATTAGCTTAGGCAAAGACTTTATAACCAAGAACCCAAAAGCAAATGCAACAAAAACAATGACTAATAGGTAGGACTTCATTAAACTAAAACGTTTCTGCACAGTAAAAGAAACCATCATCAGAGTAAACAGACAACCCACAGACAATCTATGGAGATTGTGGAGACACTCTTCATAATTTACACATCTGATGAAGGACTAATATCGAGAATCTATAGTGAACTCAAACAAATTAGCAAGAAAAAACAATCCCATCAAAAAGTGGGCTAAGGACATGAACAGACAATTCTCAAAAGAAGATATACAAATGACTAACAAACATTTGAAAAAATGGTCAGCTTCACTGATGATCAGGGTAATGCAAATCAAAACAGCAGTGCAATACCACCTTACTCCTGCAAGAATGGCCATAATAAAAAAAATAATAGATGTTGGCAGGGATGCAGTGAAAAGGGAACACTTTTACACTGCTGGTGGGAATGTAAACTAGTACAACTACTATGGAAAACAGTGTGGAAATTCCTTAAAGAACTAAAAGTAGAACTACCATTTGATACAGCAATCCCACTACATTTGATCCAGATAATCCTCTGGGTATTTACCCAGAGGAAAAGAAGTCATTATACAAAAAAGATACTTGCACACACGTTTATAGCTGTGCAATTCCACAGTTGCAAAAATATGGAACCAGCCCAAATGCTTATCAGTCAATAAGTGGATAAAGAAATTCTACCATATATATATGATATATATAATATATATACATATATGTATAGTATACATATATACATATACATATATGTATATAATATATGTATATACATATCTTATATATATATCTTATATATGATATTTCTTATGCTATGAGATATATATCTCATATATCTTATGCTATGAGATATATATCTCATATATCTTATGCTATGAGATATATATCTCATATATCTTATGCTATGAGATATATATCTCATATCTTATGCTATGAGATATATATCTCATATATATCTTATGATATATATCTCATATATATCTTATATATATCTCATATATATCTTATGATATATATCTCATATATCTCTTATATATGAGATATATATCTCATATATCTTATGCTATGAGATATATATCTCATATATCTTATGCTATGAGATATATATCTCATATATCTTATGCTATGAGATATATATCTCATATATCTTATGCTATGAGATATATATCTCATATATCTTATGATATGAGATATATATCTCATATATCTTATGATATGAGATATATATCTCATATATATCTTATGATATATATCTCATATATATCTTATGATATATATCTCATATATATCTTATATATATCTCATATATATCTTATATATATCTCATATATCTTATGATATATATATCTCATATATATCTTATATATGATATATAT
Organism: Homo sapiens; assembly: GCF_000001405.40. NCBI lineage: Eukaryota > Metazoa > Chordata > Mammalia > Primates > Hominidae > Homo > Homo sapiens. The sequence continues at coordinate 131,265,659 of NC_000011.10, forward strand.
CATATATATCTTATCTTATATATCTCATATATATCTTATATATATCTCATATATATCTTATATATATCTCATATATATCTTATATATATCTCATATATATCTTATGATATATATCTCATATATATCTTATGATGTATATCTCTCATATATATCTTATGATGTATATATCTCATATATATCTTATGTATATATCTCATATATATCTTATGATGTATATATCTCATATATATCTTATGATGTATATATCTCATATATATCTTATGATGTATATATCTCATATATCATATATATATCTCATATATCTTATGATATATATATCTCATATATCTTATGATATATATATCTCATATATCTTATGATATATATATCTCATATATCTTATGATATATATATCTCATATATCTTATGATATATATATCTCATATATCTTATGATATATATATCTCACATATAACTTATGATATATATATCTCACATATATCTTATATATGAGATATATATATCTCATGTATATCTTATATATATGAGATCTAGATCTCATATATATCTTATATGTGATGTATAGATCCCATATATATCTTATATGTGATGTATAGATCCCATATATATCTTATATGTGATGTATAGATCCCATATATATCTTACATGTGATGTATAGATCCCATATATATCTTATATGTGATGTATAGATCCCATATATATCTTATATGTGATGATGTATAGATCCCATATATATCTTATATGTGATGTATAGATCTCATATATATCTTATATGTGATGTATAGATATCATATATATAAAAGTATTCCCTTTTACATTTTTCAAATGTTAGTCATTTGTAAAAATGTTCACTTATATATGTATATATGTATATGTATATATACATATATGTGTATATATACATATATACATATATATACATATATGTATATATACATATATACATATATATACCGTGTATATATATACATATATATACACTGCATATATATACATATATATACCGTGTATATATATACATATATATACACTGCATATATATACAGATATATACAGTGTATATATATACAGATATATGCAGTGTATATATATACAGTGTATATATATACAGATATATGCAGTGTATATATATACAGTGTATATATATACGTTGTGTATATATATACAGTGTATATATATACGTTGTGTATATATATACAGTGTATATATATACGTTGTGTATATATATACCGTAGAACACTATTCAGCCATAAAAAGGAACAAAACAATGGCATTTGCAGCAAACTGGATGGAATTGAAGACCGTTATTCTAAGTGAAGTAACTCAGGAATGGAAAGTCAAACATCGTATATTCTCACTGATAAGTGGGAGCTAAGCTATGAGGATGCAAATGCATAAGAATGATACAATGGACTCGGGACTCGGGGACAGGGTGCGAGGCGGGTGAGGGATAAAAGACTACACATTGGGTACAGCATACACTGCTCGGGTGATGGGTGCACCCAAATCTCGCAGATCACCACTGAAGAACTTACTCATGTAAGCAAACACAACCTGTTTCCCAAAAGCCTATGAAAAAAAAAAGAGAAAAATGAATAAAATAAAGAACTAAAAACAAATGAGCTTCTTAAAAGGAATTAATATTACATGTGGGTTATTGCTGTGAATATTGCCATATTAGCAATAAAAACTGAAAAAAACCAAGAGTATCAATTAATGTAAAAGCAACAAAATTCCTTTACACAGTAACAAAAAAAGAATAACCATATTTTCACAAATAAAAAAAAGAGAATGTGTCATTATTTTACATTTTGCCAGTATCATTAATGTCTGATTTAATAGAATTTAGTTAGGGACTCATTTCTGTTTTCGTATTCAATCTGTTGGAATAAGTTGTTTTGATCAAAGTATCTGAAAATGTGGCCTCATACAGACATGTAGTAGGGAAAAGGAGAAATACTCCAACAGACTTTTCAGGTAACTGTGGCTATTCTTCTTTGACACTGACCTGTAATTGACTGTTAGTACTAGCTTTTTAAAGGCCAATGAGATATGGAATCTGACACAATATCAGGAAACTTTTCATACTCTGTTATATAAAAATTATTGGCTTATTTTATACTTTTTTATTATAGTTTAAGTTCTGGGATACATGTGCAGAACGTGCAGGTTTGTTACATAGGTAGAAATGTGCCATGGTGGTTTGCTGCACCCATCAACCAGTCATCTACATTAGATATTTATCCTAATGCTATCCCTCCCCTTGCCCCCTACCCCACAACAGGCCCTAGTGTGTGATGTTCTCCTCCCTGTGTCCATGCATTTTCATTGTTCAACTCCCAGTTATGAGTGGGAACATGTGGTGTTTGGTTTTCTGTTCTGTGTTAGTTTGCTGAGAATAATAGTTTCCAGCTTCATCCATGTCCCTGCAAAGGATATGAACTCATTTTTTATGGCTGCATAGTATTCCATGGTGTATATGTGCCACATTTTTTTTTATCCAGTCTATCATTGATGGGCATTTGGGTTGGTTCCAAGTCTTTGCTATTGTGAATAGTGCTGCAATAGACATATATGTGCATGTGTCTTTACAGTAGAATGATTTATAACCTTTTGGGTATATACCGAGTAATGAGATTGCTATGTCAAATGATATTTCTAGTTCTAGATCCTTAGGAATCACCACACTGCCTTCCACAATGGTGGAATTAATTTAGACTCCCACCAACAGTGTATAAGTGTTCCTATTTCCCCACATCCTCTCCAGCATCTGTTGCTTCCTGACTTTTTAATGATCACCCTTCTAACCGGCATGAGATGGTATCTCATTGTGGTTTTGATTTACATTTGTCTAATGACAAGTGAGGGTGAGCTTTTTTTCATGATTATTGGCTGCATAAATGTCTTCTTTTGAGAAGTGTCTGTTCATATCCTTTGCCCACTTTTTGATTTTTTTTCTTGTAAATTTGTTTAAGTTCCTTGTAGATTCTGGATATTAGCCCTTTGTCAGATGGATAGATTTCAAAAATTTTCTCCCATTCTGTAGGTTGCCTGTTCACTCTGATGGTAGTTTCTTTTGTTGTGTAGAAGCTAGTTTGCTTAATTAGATCCCATTTGTCAATTTTAGCTTTTGTTGCCATTGCTTTTGGTGTTTTAGTCATGTAGCTTTTGTCCATGCTTATGTCCTGAATGGTATTGCCTAGGTTTTCTTCTAGGGTTTTTATGGTTTTGCCTTACATTTAAGTCTTTAATGCATCTTGAGTTAATCTTTGTATAAGGTATAAAGAAGGGGTCCAGTTTCAGTTTTCCACATATGGTTAGCCTGTTTTCCCAGCACCATTTATTAAATAGGAAATCCTTTCCCCGTTGCTTGTTTTTGTCAAGTTTGTCAAAGATCAGCTGGTTGTAGATGTGTGGTGTTATTTCTGAGGCCTCTGTTCTGTTCCATTGGTCTATATCTCTGTTTTGGTACCAAGTACCATGCTGTTTTGGTTACTGTAGCCTTGTAGTATAGTTTGAAGTCAGGTAGCATGATGCCTTCAGCTTTGTTCTTTTTGCTTAGGATTGTCTTGGCTATTCAGGCTCTTTTTTTGGTTCCATATGAAATTTAAAGTAGTTTTTTCTAATTCTGTGAAGAAAGTCAATGGTAGCTTGATGGGGATAGCATTGAATCTACAAATTACTTTGGACAGTATGGCCGTTTTCACGATATTATTTCTTCCCATCCATAAGTGTGGGATGTTTTTCCATTTGTTTGTGTCCTCTCTTATTTCCTTGAGCAGTGGTTTGTAGTTCTCCTTAAAGAGGACCTTCACATCCCTTGTAAGTTGTATTCCTAGGTATTTTATTTTCTTTGTAGCAATTGTGAATGGGAGTTCACTCATGATTTGGCTCTCTGTTTGTCTATTATTGGCATATAAGAATGCTTGTGATTTTTGCACATTGATTTCTTATCCTGAGATTTTGCTGAAATTGCTTATCAGCTTAAGAAGATTTTGGGCTGAGACAATGGGGTTTTCTAAATATACAATCATGTCATCTGCAAACAGAGACAATTTGACTTCCTCTCTTCCTATCTGAATATTTTCCCTTGCCTAATTGCCCTGGCCAGAGCTTCCAATACTATGTTGAATAGGAGTGGTGAGAGAGGGCATCCTTGGCCTGTGCTGATTTTCAAAGGAAGTACTTCCAGCTTTTGCCCATTCATTATGATATTGGCTGTGGGTTTGTCATAAATAGCCCATATTATTTTGAGATATGTTCCATCAATACCTAGTTTACTGAGTGTTTTTAGTGTGGAGGGGTGTTGAATTTTATCAAAGGCCTTTTCTGCATCTATTGAGATAATCATGTGGTTTTTGTCTTTGCTCCTGTATATGTAATGGATTACGTTTATTGATTTGCTTGAACCAGCCTTGCATCCCAGGGATGAAGCCAACTTGATAGCGGTGGATAAGCTTTTTAATGTGCTGCTGGATTTGGTTTGCCAGTATTTTATTGAATATTTTCACACCAATGTTCATCAAGGATATTAGTCTGAAATTTTCTTTTTTTGTTGTGTCTATACCAGGTTTTGGTATCAGGATGATGCTGGCCTCATAAAATGAGTTAGGGAGGAGTCCTTCTTTTTCTATTGTTTGGAATAGTTTTAGAAGGAATGGTACCAGCTCTTCTTTTTACCTCTTGTAGAATTTGGCTGTGAATCCATCTGGTCCTGGGCTTTTTTGGATGGTAGGCTATAAATTACTGACTCAATTTCAGAACTTGTTATTGGTCTATTCAGGGATTCAACTTCTTCCTGGTTTAGTCTTGGGAAGGTGTATGTCTCTAGGATTTTATTCATTTCTTCTAGATTTTCTAGTTTATTTGCGTACAGGTGTTTATAGTATTCTCTGAAGGTAGTTGGTATTTCTGTGGGATCAGAGGTGGTATCTTTTATCATTTTTTATTGTGTCTATTTCATTCTTCTCTCTTTTCTTCTTTATTTGTCTAGCTAGCTGTCTATTTTGTTAACCTTTTCAAAAAAACAGCTCTTGGATTCATTGATTTTTTTGAAGGGTTTTTCATGTCTCTCTCTCCTTCAGTTCTGCCCTGATCTTAGCTATTTCCTGTTTTCTGCTAGCTTTTGAATTTGTTTGCTCTTGCTTCTCTAGTTCTTTAAATTGTGATGTTAGGGTGTCAATTTTAGATCCTTCCCACTTTCTACTGTGAGCATTTAGTGCTATAAATTTCCCTCCAAACACTGCTTTAGCTGTGTCCCAGAGATTCTGGTACGTTGTGTCTTTGTTCTCATTGGTTTCAAAGAACTTATTTATTTATGTCTTAATTTCATTATTTACCCTGTAGTTATTCAGGAGCAAGTTGTTCAGTTCCCATGTTGTTGTGTGGTTTTAAGTGAGTGTCTTAATCCCGAGTTTTAATTTGATTGCACTGTGGTCTGAGAGACTGTTATGATTTCCATTCTTTTGCATTTGCTGAGGAGTATTTTACTTCCAATTATGTGGTCAATTTCAGAATAAGTGCTATGTGGTGCTGAGAATAATGTATATTTGTTGACTTGGGGTGGAGAGTTCTGTACATTTATATTAGGTCCACTTGTTCCAGAGCTGAGTTCAAGTCCTGAATATTCATGTTAATTTTCTGTCTCATTGATCTGTCTAATATTGACAGTGGGGTGTTAAAGTCTCCCACTATTATTGTGTGGGAGTCTAAGTCTCTTTGTTGATCTCTAAGAACTTGTTTTATTAATCTGGATGCTCCTGTATTGGGTTCATATATATTTAGGATATTTAGCTCTTCTTGTTGCATTGATCCCTTTACCATTATGTAATACCCTTCTTTGTCGTTTTTTATCTTTGTTGGTTCAAAGTCTGTTTTATCAGAGACTAGGATTGCAATCCCTGCCTTTTTTGTTTGTTTGTTTATTTGTTTGCTTTCCATTTGCTTGGTAAATATCCCTCCATCCCTTTATTTTGAGCCTATGTGTGTCTTTGCATGTGAGATAGGTCTCCTGAGTACAGCACACCAGTGGGTCTTGACTCTAGACAATTTGCCAGTCTGTGTCTTTTAACTGGGGCATTTAGTCCATTTACATTTAAGGTTTATATTGTTATGTGTGAATTTGATCCTGTCATTATGATACTAGCTGGTTATTTTGCCCATTAGTTGATGCGGTTTTTTCATAGTGTCAATGGTCTTTATATTTTGGTATGTTTTTGCAGTGGCTAATACTGGTTTTTCCTTTCCACATTAAATGCTTCCTTTAGGAGCCCTTGCAAGGCAGGCCTGGTGATGACAAAATGCCTCAGCATTTGCTTGTCTGTGAAGGATGTTATTTCTCCTTCACTTATGAAGCTTAGTTTGGCTGGATATGAAATTCTGGGTTGAAATTTATTTTCTTTAAGAATGTTGAATGTTGGCCCCCACTTTCTTCTGGCTTGTAGAGTTTCTGGAGAGAGATCTGCTGTTAGTCTGATGGGCTTCCCTTTGTGGGTAACCTGACCTTTCTCTCTGGCTGCCCTTAACATTTTTTCCTTTGTTTCAGCCTTGGTGAATCTGATGATTATGTGTCTTTGGGTTGCTCTTCTTGAGGAGTATCTTTGTGGTGTTCTCTGTATTTCCTGAATTTGAATGTTGGCCTGTCTTTCTAGGTTGGGGAAGTTCTCCTGGATAATATCCTGAAGTGTGTTTTCTAACTTGGTTCCATTCTCCCCATCACTTTTAGGTACACCAATCAAACGTAGGTTTGGTCCTTTTGCATAGACCCATATTTCTTGGAGGATTTCTTCACTCCTTTTTATTCTTTTCCTCTAATCTTGTGTTTGTGCTTTATTTCATTAAGTTGATCTTCGGTCTCTGATATCCTTTCTTCCACTTGATCGATTGGGCTATTGCTAACTTGTGTATGCTTCACTAAGTTCTCATGCTGTGTTTTTCAGCTCCATCATGTCATTCTTCTCTAAACTGGTTATTCTAGTTAGCAATTCCTGTAACCTTTTTTCAAGGTTCTTAGCTTCCTTGAATAGGGTTAGAATATGCTCCTTTAGCTCAGAGGAGTTTGTTATTACTCACCTATGAAGCCTACTTCTGTCAATTCGTCAAACTCATTCTCCATCCAGTTTTGTTCCCTTGCTGGCAAGGAGTTGTGATCCCTTGGAGGAGAAGAGGTGTTCGGTTTTTGGAATTTGCAGACTTTTTGCACTGGTTTTTCCTCATCTTCTTGGATTTATCTACCTTTGGTCTTTGATGTTGGTGACCTTTCGATAGGGTTTTTGCATGGTCATCCTTTTTGTTGATGTTGATGCTATTGCTTTCTATTTGTCAGTTTTCTTTCTAACAGTCAGGCTCCTCTTCCACAGGTCTGCTGGATTTTGCTGGAGGTCCACTCCAGACCCTGTGTGCCTGGGTATCACCAACAGAGGCTGTAGAACGGCAAAGATTGCTGCCTGCTCCTTCCTCTGGAGGCTTCGTCCCAGAGGGGCCCCTGCCAGATGCCAGCTGGACCTCTCCTGTATGAGGTGTCTGTCAACCCCTGCTGGGAGATATCTCCCCGTCAGGAGGCACGGGGGTCGGGGACTCACTTGAGGAGGCAATCTGTCCCTTAGCAGGGCTCTAGCGCTGTGCTGGGAGATGTGCTGCTCTCATGAGAGCCAGCAGTCAGGAGCGTTTAAGTCTGCTGAAGCTGCACCCAGAGCCACCCCTTCCGCCAGGTGCTCTGTCCCAGGGAGATGGGAGTTTTATCTAAAGCCCCTGACTGGGGCTGCTGCCTTTCAGAGATGACCTGCCCAGTGAGGAGAAATCTAGAGAGGCAGTCTGGCTCTATATTCTACTCTTAATAGATATTTTACCTATGCCTAATTTCATAACATCAGGCACTGGACACTAAAAAATACTAGTGTGCTGAGTTGTTCAGCTCTTCCAAAAGCTGACACATTCCATTACACAATATCAAAAAAATCACATTTATTAATATAATTACTGATTACATCAGAAAAGTCTGAGTATCGGAAAGCTGTCAAGTTCACCGTCGTAGACACATGTTTTTTTTATTCTGATTTTTGCTCAGAAGTTCAACTTTTATCATTGGCAACCAGTACTCTCAGCTGTTTTCCTTTAAGTGACAGGCTCACTTTGCTCATTTTTGAGAAAATGCCTGCCAAATGCCCAAGTCTGAATAACCACAGTTTGTCTGGAATTTGTTATTTTAAGCAAAGATTGTGTTACAAGGAAGAAAGTGGCTAGTTCAGCGCACAGCTCAGTGGCACGAGTGCTGTCCCTCGAAACAGCCATCGTACTTCAGTTAGCAGCGTATGTGCTTTATCGTTTTGCCACACACAATATGAAAAGGGTCTGTATTTAAGGAATGAGATTTAATAAAATTAATCATTTTTCCTGTTTCATCAAAGAGCATGCTTAAGTGAGCGGGCTTCTCTTGCCCTCACTGTGAGTGTGTGGTGATGAAGAAGAACCCCACGGCTGCTGATAAATTTGGGTGCCCCTGGCTTGATTTGTGCTATGGGGCCAGCAGTTTTACCCACAATTACTTTATTTCATCAGTGCAAATGTCAACAGAGGTTAAAAATGAAATAGCTTTCTTAGTATGATTATTAAAATAATTTTGACCGCAAAGTCTCCTGAAAGTGTGTCCAAGACTCCCAGGGTTTTCTGCAAACACACGACTGTTCCAGTCGATTGCAAAAGTGGCCTGTCACAATAGCACCAGCACTCCTCTTCTTCACTATCCTGCTTTTGAGAATCCATCTGGCCTTGGGGAGGGCACTTTATCTATTGAGCTTCAGTTTCCTTGTTTGCAAAACAATAGCATTCATTGACTTATTTATTCATGCATTCAACAAATATTTACTGTCTCGTGTTATATGCACTGCTAGTGCATAAGGCCTTGAGAATAAAGCCATGAAAAGACAAAGTTCTTGCACTCACTTTATGACCTAGAGGAGACCAAAACGTGTGTGTGTGTCTCTGTGTGTGTGTGTATATTTATTTAGATAAAAACAATATGTAAATATTTAACAAATAAATAAATGAATGAAACCACTACACTGTTGTATGCACTAGAGATTTCATTTGGTAAATTAAATGAACCAAAGGGCTCTGATAAGATTTAGGGGAGTGGGTGGCACAGTGGACACAGGATGGCCAAGGAAGCTTCTGTTCTGAGAAAGTGACATTCAAGCTAAGACCTAAGGGGTTGAAGCTACCAGGCAGGTATCTTTCCAACTCAGATTTCTTCTGATTTTGACAGTGCCCAGTGGGGCACCTGAGAAATGTCTTCGGGTTCTAAAAGGGGTGGTGAATAAGTGTTGGAAAGGGATAAATAATACCAGTATTAATTAACATATTAAGCACGTATTGTCTTCTGGGCAATGTTTTAAAGAACTTTTTATGAAATAATTTAATCTTTATAATAACTTACTGAAGTAAGGTTCTATTACTCCCATTTTGTGGAAGATAAAATTGAGACCCAGAGGTCCCACAGCTAGGAAACAGCAGAGACACGATTCAGACTCAGGAAGTCTGATGCAAGAGGTATTCGCCATTTCCTGAAGTAGATAGGAAGTATTTTACTATTTCTAAAGCACATAGAAATCCCAAGATATGGGTACGTATTATCATTATTATTGATATAAATATATTTTTAAAATACATAAAACTCAGTAATACAAATTGAGTTATTTTTAAAAATTATTTCACAAATTATAGAACATGTTATCTACAGAGCTGGATAAAATTGTAAGGGTAACAATGGGAATAAAGTTGGAGCTGTATTGAAGGGCTAAGGCAAAGAAAAGTATGAACTGCCTGTGTTTGGCCTTGTTTTAAGCATGAAAGGGAAAGGTTAGTGATCTGAGTGTGTAAGGTGTTGGCTCTCTAAACTGCTCCGCTTGAAGGGCTATTCTAAGAGCAAAGTGTGGAGGGCTCTATGATTGTGCGTAACTGGGGCACACCTCGGGACGGCTCTTTGGATCCATTTGTTCCAGCTGCCTCTGAGCTCTGGAAGATGCTTCCGCTTGCCCTTCCCTGAAATCCTTCCCTGCATTATTAAAGAGGCTTCCCTGTTCCCTGCTCATTCACGCGCACTAATCTTGGCCCAAGGAGAGGTTGGGAGCGAGGTCTGGCTGTATTTTCTCTGAGAGGCAGCACGGAGAGAGCTGCTTTTGAAATTCTCTACTTGACAGATTTGCAGCTGAGCACCAGGCATGGTCTGTGAAGGCCAAGTTTTTATTAGCAGCGGCTTTTCTTCTTGCTCTTAGGCTAAGGTGATCCTGGAACACAGGCATGCTTGGTCTTGAGTTTCTCTTGGGAGAAACAATGGGTTTTGTTCCTTCTCTGTTTCTTAAGCAGCATGCTCTAAATTGGGTCCATTTTCTCAGGATGAAATTTTTTAAAACCAGAAGGCAAGGGTTTGGAGAACCTAAAGAAAACCATTAGCTGAACAAGAGGGCACAGTGAATAAATAATTTTCAGAATTTCAGAGGCAGTAGATGATAACGTAGACACATGGAGTTGGAGATGAAGGTTAATGTAGAGTCAACACGGTTGGGGGGTTCTGAACTGAAGACCTGGCGCATTTTGACAAGCTACCTTACGTTTCCTGCCAACAGACCCAATAAGCATTCTGATTTGTCATAGGTTTATGTCGTATGTTTTTTAGCAAGTGCATTTTTATCAGTGTGGACAAAACGTGAATCTGGATATTTTAATGCTGCTCTCCTTGGAGCAGCATCTGAGCCATCAGCAAAGAGAATGAGAGTCAGTCATTCACTCAACCAGTGGTAACAGAGCTGGGCACAGACAGTGTGCAGCAAATCAGACGGAGCCTGCCCTTGCCCCAAGGAGCTGCCTACACCTATGTAGATGCTGTGCATGGCATTTCCTCCTGCTGACATGCACATTTAGTGAAGTTACTACTGTTAAGATAAATATGAACACTTCATCCTTACAAAAGAGCTAAATAAATGCCTTATTATTACTATTGCAACTGATAGTGGGTGATATGGTTTGGCTACGTCCCCACCCAAATCTCATCTTGAATTGTAGCTCCCATAATTCTCACATGTTGTGGGAGGTAATTGAATCATTGGGTCGGTTTTCCCTCTGCTGTTCTTCTGATAGTGAATAAGTCTCCTGAGATCTGATTGTTTTGTAAGGGGAAACCCCTTTCACTTGGTTCTCATTTTGTCTGTTACCTGCCACCATGTAAGATGTGCATCTTGCCTTCTGCCATGGTTGTGAGGCCTCCCCAGCCATGTGGAACTCTGAGTCCATTAAACCTCTTTCCTTTATGTGCAGGGGGCCTTTATACATTACCCAGTCTTGGGTATGTCTTCATTAGCAGCGTGAGAACAAACAAATACAGTGGGTAATGGTAGTAAATAACTAAGCATATGTAAACCAAGGGTTATTTATGCTGAAGGAAAATGAGTGCAGGTTTTTCATAAGAATGTGGTAAATACAAATTTTAGGTATAAACTCTTTCTTCTTCCCCCGACCCCAGAAGATCCAGTTTTCATGTGCCTATGACCCTTCTTGCCAAGATTTAGGCGTTAGCTTTCTGTAAGCACTGTCCTTGGGGGAGTTTAGATAAATACTGAAAAGTATAAATTTCTGTGTTATTAAATATATAATTTAATGTGCAGCAGAAACAATGGTCTTGAAAGTTTTTGATTTGCAAGTGCTGGGCTTCAGAGAGAAGAAAAGGCTCAGGGCATAAAATATGTGCCACACCAGCAGCTGGGTGGAAAATGCATGAGAGAGAAAAATTTAGGTTCCACACAACCAGAAGAGGTGACCCTTTCCAGTTGCAATGGTTTCCAGAGAGGTGTGGAAGTGAATATGAAGACAATGTCAAAGCTACGACATCAGGAAATAGGACCCCTCCCCTCCATCCCATCCTAGGATCAAGGGTGGGTGGAATATCCAAGAAGATAAGCTTAATATGAGGACGACAGAGAGGCTTCTACCTTCCTTCCCAGCTGCAGGTGTACTTGGGCAGGGGCTGCCTTAGCTGCAGGTTAGTCTGCATTGAGAGAGGTGCTAGACAGATGGGCCCAGGGGCAGCTTCACAGCATACAGGCAGCATGGTCCAGTGCCAAAAGAGCAACTGGGAGGTCCTGAGCCTGCAGCAAGGCACTAAGGGATGAGAGAGTAGGTAGAACTGGAGTAGCCTGTGCCTAAAACAGAGAGGATGCACAGTGTTTGCTCCTGGATCTCACAGAACATTCTGGAATGGTGGATATCAACAAAAGACACTAGGGGAAAATGACAAGGACCAGAGGAGGCAAGTACATCCCAAAGGTAACTGACAAATGTGGAGGGCAGGAAGGAGCCAGGTAGCAACCCCTGCAATAGTCCTGGATGGTAATATGCCTCCCCTCTTCCCCATCCTGTTTTGTTCTGACCACCGTCAGGATTGGGGGGTTGCATCCGAATGTGTGCTAGATGACAGCTCTAAGGTGATGTGTTAACAACAAGAGCTATAATCACTTAATTTATAGGGAAACTGTAGGGGGAAATTGGAAAACTGGACAATGGACAGAACTTTTAAATAATTAACGTGAAGACAGACTATACATACACACACGCGCACACACACACATACCACTCACACATATTCAGTCACTGAGGCAATTTCTGCTTATAGTGGAGAAACCAATGACATCAGTGACCAGGCTAAACCTATGCATTTTGTGGGTGAATTTAAATTTCAAGTGAGTGCAGAGTGTTTTGGATTATCTCCGCCAAGTTGCTGCCTAGCATGGCATGCCATTCATGTGCCTAGATCAATATAAATATGGATACCCCTATATGAACTAGGCAGGGAAAGTGGGACAATTTGACAGCCCCTTGCTGAGACACAGCGGCTTCCATCCCTGGGAAGGGCCTGAATAGCCCAGTGCAGCCCTGATGGACTATAAGCAAGAAAACAGCAGCCCGGAAAATGCAGATGCTTTGGAGATGCTGGCTTGACAGACTGAAGCCTGTTTGTCAAACAGGCTGTCACCTATCAGAGTTTTAAATAGGAGCTTTCTATGGGATGTTACGTAACTTGCTGGCTCACAACAGCCCCAGTGGAATGGAACGGGGGGCAGGGGGGGTGGGGGGCAGCGCCAATGAGAAGCAGCTGCGGGATAGAGGACAAGGCCCTGCTATTCTTTTCCTTAATGGATTCCCTGCCTCCTGCATTGCCATACTTGAACACACAACATGGGAATGGAGGTGCCTGCTCTTTAAGGGCTGTGTCAGTCAAGCAAGGGACATTACATGTGGCAAAGTTGGAAAGAGAGCAGGGTAGAAAGATATAGGTTCTCTGTGGTGGCTGGTCCCTTGGGCTAGTGCCCTGGGCGATGCGGGGTGCTCACCCCAGCGCTGCCCCTGGTCTACCAGGCCGGCATCGCCCTCCTACATACCATGTCCCAACTGAAGGCTGATGGTTGAACTCGGTTCTCCCCCTTTGGGAAGGGACGTAGGTTCAGTTCCACAGAGGGTGTGAGATGAGATGTTCATATGTTTGAAATCATGTAATGGTGTGTGTGTGTTTTTTTTTTAATGTTCTCTGGACATAATATTGCTGCTTTGGTTTGTCTTCTCTTCCAAGGAGGACCTAGTTCTTTTTTTCTTTTTTTGGGAGATGGAGTCTTACTCTGTTGCCCAGGCTGGAGTGCAGCAGTGCGATCTTGGCTCACTGCGAGCTCCGCCTCCCAGGTTCACACCATTCTCCTGCCTCATCCTCCCGAGTAGCTGGGACTACAGGCGCCCGCCACCACGCCTGGCTAATTTTTGTATTTTTAGTAGAGACGGGGTTTCACCCTGTCAGCCAGGATGGTCTCGATCTCTTGACCTCGTGATCCGCCCGTCTGAGCCTCCCAAAGTGCTGGGATTACAGGCGTGAGCCACCGTGCCAGGCCTAGGACCTAGTTCTTTACTGCCCCTTCAGTCAAGTTGAATCCAGTGAGAGAATCATCAGTCACAACTTACCCTATGTCAAGGTGTAGTCCTGAGAATCTATTAGTAAAGTAAGTTTGGAGATGAGTTTTATTTTAGAGGCCCTAGGGGAGTTGGCTATTTTAAAGACTCCTGATGTAAGAGCGAATAATTCTATTGTGATGGGATGAATCACTCTCTACTTTCTGATTTATCTGTTTTATAAGTTTGGAATTTTGCATATTAAGTTGTTCTTCCCTTATGTGTATTAGCCACATACTGCTGAGTCATCAAAGGGCCTGAAGCAGAAAGGAAGACTTTGGATGTAAGTTTTCACATAATCAAATTTTATGTAACCAAAAAGAAGAGCCCTGTTAATAGGTAAAGGGGCTGTACTAAAGTGACTGGAATTTTCATACATTTGTAGCAGTCACCCTGTGTTATATTGGGGTGACAGCATTCTCTGACATGGAAAGTTGAAGATGGTATACATAAGCTGTTGTTGAAAATTCATACGGATTGGTTATTGAGGCTGTCATAATTGAGTTGCAGTGTGGTGGCAGCTATGCCAGTGGAATAGCAGCAGTGCCTGGCAACACCCAGTTGTAGTGTACTATTTACAAAAACACAGTGATAACTTTCCTTGGTTAATCCCCTCCCACACTGACTCTGGGTCTGCCCATGCAATTTCTGATGGCTGATAAGACAATAGCAAATCGGGCATACCCAACAGCCTGAACATTTCTCATGTTTTGTGGTTTGCCCTTTTTGGCTGCTCTGGTGGATCCTGGGAACACCACCATGAGAAGGAGCTCAGGCTAACCTGTGGATAATGTGAGACATAGGAACAAGTCACCTTTATTGCCCCAGCAGACTTCCCCAACCACCAAATGAGGGAAGGCATCCTAGAACACATGGCCTCGTTTGAGCCACCAGCCGGTCACAGTGATCAACCAAGCCATTCCAGACAAACTGCCCAAAACTGTCCAGGCACCCTACCAGCATTCATGAAAAATAAGAAATGTTTGTTGTTCAAAGCCACAGGTTGGGGGCAATTTGTTAGGCAGCAAAAGCTAACTGATACACAAGTTAAGATCAGTAAGTTGTAGTATTTTGTTGGGGAGAGGAGAATTGTTAGGATGACTTGAAGTTGATCCTGCTTGGATACCAAAGCCATGTAACCCAGCAATAACTTCATTATATAATAGGGAATTTAAATACTAAAGAATTAATTTAGAAAAACTTACAGGGATTATGGTTAAATTAGACAGAGTTTTATTAAATAGTTAACCTAGTCACGTATATAAATGATTGAAATATTTATAATACAGGTGTGATGCTATCTCACAAAGGGATTAGCAGATTCCTGCAGCTATGGACAACTACAGGCAAAGTCTCAGAGTTGGTCCTATCTTGTACAGGTTTCTCCTGGGGCTTCATATTTGTCCCTGCAGCCTGGTCATCATCTTAGTGATAATAATGTCTCTAGAGAATGTTGGCTACCAGTGCTCTGTAATATCCCTCTTAACTAATTAAAGTCAAATTTATGTTGTTTCAGCCATTTTCTTTTAAAAGCTGCCGCTGCTACTGTTATGCTGTTATTATTAGTAGTGTTTATTATGTCTTTCAGCTATTCCTCTATTTTTGCCTTTGTATATCCACACATTGCAGGGCACTGTGGGTGTGAGACATTTGCTTCAGTCTTGTTAGGAAAAGCAACTTTACTTTAATCTGCTGTGCTGTGTACTTGAGGCATAGCATTGATCCATGCTGGTGACAGCTTTCCCTGACCTCCACTGACAGTGAGCTGTATGACCTTTCTGTGGGCTGTTTGCACCCACTTCTCAATCCTGCAATCTCCCTTTAGTCATCTGCCTCCTAAACTTAGGTTTTGAACTTCCTGGAATGTTAAGGGACTCTGCTCTGGCTATGCAGTTGTCCACCTCCCTAACCACATGTTCTGCTTGTGCTGACCAAATTAAGCACACTGACTACACCCACCCCTGGCTAACTTGACCCCGTCAAGAACAGCAGAGGCCCCCGACGGCTACCCTTCTGCCCTTTCTTCTCATCTTCAGATTCAAGGATTCCTCTCATTATTATGACCCTCTGGTCAATTAATTTTGCATTCTCCTCATAGCCTACTGGGGTGGCTATGTCTCTTGCCCTGTTCATTTTGAATGAGCAGGCCCATAATAGTCCCAATAATCCTGTTGTGATGGCTAACTTTGTCCGTCAACTTGACCAGTGTGCCCAGACATCTGGTCACACATTCTAGTTGTGCCTGTGAGGGTGTTTTGTGTGGGATTAACACTTAAATTGGTGGATGGAGTGAAGCAAATGGCCCTCCCTATTGTGGGTGGGTGCCTTGTCAATTTTTGTGTTGCTATGAAAGAATACCTGAGGCTGGATCATTTATAAAGAAAAGGGTCTGACTTGGTCCATGGGTCTGTAGGCTGTACAGGAAGCATGGCGCCAGCATCTGCTTCTGGTGAGGGCCTCTGGAAGCTTCCACTCATGGTGGAAGTTGAATAGAAGCTGACATGGAGAGATTATATGGCAGTAAGTGAGAGAAAGGGGTGGAAGGTGTCAGGTGCTTTTTAACAACTATAATTCTTTTGGAGACTAATATAGTGAGAAGAGAACTCAGCCATCACCAGGAAGACTGCACTAAACCTTCATGAGAGATCCTCCCCCATGACCCAAACACACCTGATCAGGCCCACCTCCAACACTGGGGATCACATTTCAACATGAAACGGTGGCATATCCAAACCATAGAAGTAGGCCTCATCCAAGCCACTGAATATGGAACAAGACTGCTGAGTAAGAAGGAACTCCTCCTGCCTGATGACTTGAGCCAGGACATTGCTTTTACTCCAGCCTTCAGATTCAGACGGAAACACTAGTCGCCTTGGGTCTTGAGCCTCCTGGCTTTTGGGCTGGAGCTACACATTGGTTCTCCTGGGTCTCCAGCTTGCTGGCTGAAGATTTTGGGACTTCTTAGCTTGTAGAATCATGTGAGCCAATTTCTCTCTTTCTCTCTACACACACACACACACACACACACACACACACTCACACACACACACACACACACCCCATATTAGTTCTGCTGCTTTGGAGAACTCTAATATATATTAATTTGTAAATTGTTTGTCCCAGGAGAAAATAACAAACCTTTCTCTCATTTTTTTCTTTTTACTCTTTGAAAAGTGTCCCCCTTCTCTTACAGTTGTTGAACAAAACATAAATGGTCATGCTTAACATATATCATCCAAGTCATAAATTCAATTTATTCTAGAAGAAACTGTCAACGAACATTCTAAAATTGTTTAATCCTTTTTCGATCCAAGATAAGTGAATTTTATTGAAATTTGACTTGAGAAGACATTAACTTGGAAATAAGTAGTCCTCTCATGAGCTATTTTATAGAATTGTAAAGAAAACAAAACTGCTTTGAGAGAAAGCGGGGAGAGGCTGAGCAGAGATGTGCATGGGTTGTGGTGAGAATGAGCCCTGTGGAGAGGAAACTTAATTGGACCTCTTATTCTAGGCTGCGATCTAGAGGAAAATGAATTTAATTCATGCTAGTTCTGTAGCAAAAACTTAGTGATGACCCTGAATTAGGCCTTGAGTGATTTAAAAATTAGAAAAACAATTTAACCTGAGAATAACAAAGAGTGGCCTATGCCATAGGCAGGATGGGCTGAGCTTCTCAGTGCCAAAGAGGCCAAGAGAAAGAGCTCCAGGCTACTGGGGGCTGAGGTGAGAAAGAAATAGACAGGAGGTTCCCAGGAGCTGTCCAGGCTCCATGCAGGATGAAAGCCATGCCAAACAGATTTGAACAACACGAGGCTGCGTCCTTGTGACTTCCTCATTTATATACAATTCCACTCCAAGGTTCTCTGCCACTCTGCCACAATAGCACATGCTCCATTGACCGCCTGTGTTGTGCTGGAAAGGACACAGTGTGGGGAGTCAATCCCAGAGTCCAGCTAGAGGTGGGGAGGGGACACACATTTGGAGGGAAGACTGGTCACCCAGGGCCTGGCAAACAGGTCACAGAGCTGTGTTCAAATGCCTGCAGAGGATCATTCTATATCACATTTGCCAAGAGGTGCATATCACTTCGGGGTCTGTGAACAGAAGGGCATTCCGGCAAAGAGACTCACTCTTTTGAACACTGGTGGATTTCCTGGTCGCAGGGCAGGACAGCGAGGAGAACAATGCTTTTTTGGAACTGGACTCTCTATGCTGCGTCCTTCTGTTTTCTGCTCACATCTGCTGGTTCCTCAGCTGTCTCCTGTTTAGGTTTGATGTGGAAGTCTGGGGCATCCCACTACTAATAGATGCCAGATTGGGAGCTGCCTGCAGCCAGGAGCCTGGTTTCAAGCCTGCTCATTAATGGGTTACATCTCCAGTAGCATCTTTGTGTCTGTGTCGCAGAGAGGGCAGCCACGTGGGAAGCAAAGAGCTTTACCTTGGTGCCTCCTGGAGGTGCTTCAGGAAGAGTAGACAGGAGGGAGGCTCCAAGCTGGGAGGCAGGCAGAGCTTTCAGACCCATAGTAGGGTGAGTTGGGAGGCGGGCAGAATTTCCAGACCCACAGCATGGTGAACAGTGACAGGCATGAGTGCCCTCGGGCAGGTGCTCACTCACTGACATGCTCATCATACCTCTGACCCAGCAAAGGGTTTTGCCTTGCCCTGTTTAGTGAGCCCGTTGAGGGAGTTTCTCTTGTTGCAGTCTGGTGTGTAAGTGTATAAGAGAGAAGTATTCTGAAAGTAGAAGAGAAAAGGGGGAAAAAATCACACTTCCCGGAGCTCTTCTATAAGTAGGGAGAATTTTCCAGCTGGTATCAATGGCGAAATAAGTTAAAAGAGCTCAGATACTTAGCTAGTATGAGAAAACTAGAATTGTTCTTGTCAAGATTAGCAATAACTCCACTAAAAAAAAAAAGATCATATACATTGACTGTCTTCAGTTTATTTAATTCTTTAATATTTTGGGCATTGTCATTCACTTTCTTCTTTTTGAAACTGGTCTTCAAGTAAGTTTTTGACTCAAGTGTAATATATACATATAGATACAGGAAAATGCACAAATTAGAAGTGTATATATAAATTAGTTTTCATAAGGTCAGAATATGCATGGAACCACCACCAAGGAAATAAGACACTGCCAACACCACAGGAGTCCCCTCATATCATTTCCTGTTCACCTGCCACGTCTCCAAAGGTAACTGCTAGCCCGATCTCTAACGCCATCAGTTGACTTGGCCAGTTTGAGTGCTCTACAAAAATGGGATCACATATTGTGTATTCTTTTGTTTCTGGCTTGCAGTGCTAAATAGTAGGTCTGTAGGATTCATCCATGTTTTGCATATAGCTGTAGTTTGTTTATTCTTGTGTAGTATTTCATTCCATAGATAAAATTTAATGGAGCATTGCAGTGTTAATAGACATTTGGGTTATTTCCAATTTGTGTCTACTATGAATCCTACTTTTATGAAAACCATCATGCATATTTTTTGGTGCCTATATGCACACATTTCTTTTGGTCATCTACCTAGAAGAGAAATTTCTGGGTCATACATCTACCTTCAGTACATATTGTACATACTGCAAAATCATGTTCCAGAGTGGTTGTGACAACTTATACTCCCACAATCAGTGTATGACAGTTCCAGTTGCTCCGTCTCTTCAATGACACTTGGTATTGGTCTTTTTGATGTAAGATGTAGTCATATTTCATTATTTTAAGTCATAGTTCTGTGATTGCTAATGAAACTAAGCACTTTATGATTATTTGGTATTTAGAGTTCTTATTTTGTGAAAGTCCTATTCAAATCTTTTTAGACAGAACTTTCAGAAAGTTAGAATTAGATTATCTGATATCACCCAATGTTATCTAACATTTGCTCACTTTTTAAAATTAAAATTTTGCTCACTTTTTAAATCAAAATTATGTCTTTTTCTATGGATGTAAAGGCGTAATGAATATATTCTGGATATGAGTTCTTTATCAGTTATATATATTGCAAATATTTCTTTCCACTCTATGGCTTTGATTTTTACTTTTGAGTGTGTGAAAACATACATTTTTAATTTTAATACAGTCCATTTTTCTCTACGATAGTATTGTTTATATCCTTTCAAAAATTTACATAAATCAAGGTTATGTAAATAGTGTTCTTTCTATCTCCTAGAAAATTTATTTTGTTTTCCTTTTACATTAGAAACTAAAATCCATCTGAAATTTACTTTTGTATATGACATGAAGTAGAGAGCAAAATTTTATTCTTTCCAACGTTGATATTAAATTCATTCAGCACCATTTATTGGAAAGATTATCCTTCCTTTACTCTGCCACAGTACCAACTTTTTCATAAACCAAGTGACTGTATTTATGTAGACTTATTTCTGGGCTCTCTGTCCAATCACTGCACACACTGCACTTTCTTAATTAGTGTACCTTTATAGCTGCAGTGAATGAGTCATGGTATTTAGCAAGTTAAGTCTCCTAACATTGTTCTTCTTTTTCCAGATAGCTTTGGTTATTTTTAGCCCTTTGTATTCTCATAATGTAAGTATCAACTGGTCAATTTCCACCAAAACCTACTGCAGAGATATTGATTCATACTGCATGGAATCTATGCATTAATTAAAGAAGAATTGGCAGCTTTAAAATATTAAATCATTAAGTCACCAATAAATAACGTGGTCTATTTCACCATATATTCAGATTTTCTTTAATTTCTCTTAGTAAAAATTTATAGTTTTCTTGTATAAATATTGTACATCTTTTTGTTAAGTTTATTCCTAGTGTTTGATGGTATATAAACAATATAGTATTATAAAAATCTCATTATTGGTGGTATGTAGAAATATAACTATTTTTGTGTAATTAATCTGGTAATTATTGATTTGCTATACCTGTGTATTAATTATAATACTTGCTTTTTGTAGATCATTTTATGTTTTCTAGGCTCCTCATCATGCTACCTGTGAATAATGATGGTTTTATTTCTTTCATTCCGATTATGATGCCCTTTTTTTCCCTGCCTATTTCATAGTCTGTAATTTTCAGTACAGTCTTGAATAAAGATGGTGAGAATGGGTATCTTTGTCTTGTTCTTAGACTCATAGGAAAGTTTTCAAAATTCCATTACATGTTAGTGCCATAGTTGTTTTTTTTTTGTTGTTGTTGTTGATAATTGTCATCAAATTAAGAAAGCTCTCCTATATTTCTATTTTCGTAAGAGTTTTGTGTCATTTTATATCATAAATGGTGTTGAATGCCATCAAGTCTTTTGCATCTAAGGAAATAATATCTTTTATTTAGTGTACAATGTGCTCAATTATATTATTTTGTTTTAGATTTGTGAAACTGATTTTGAGAAAGAAGGCATGTACTTTTATCTCTTTTATAATATTTGGGTCATGTTTTGATAAGAAAGTTATGTTGGCCTGATAAAACTAATTAAGTTCAATCTGCTGTGTAACACATTTATTGGGTTTATAATTTCAGAGTTTATTTTCCAGTTCAAGAATTTCTGTTAGAGATAGGTGTAGAAATTGCATTCTCCAGTGAAATTCTTCATCTTGTCATTCATTTTACTGAACATATTAATTACAACTATTTTACGTTCAGTTTTGAAAAGCCCAATCTGTATCATATGTGACTTTTTTCTGTTACTATTTTTATTTTTATTTTGTCAATTAATATGTTTGGTATTTTAAAAAAATATCAGACATTTCATATAAATAATTAAATGGCTCTGGCTAATGTTGTCTTTCTACAGAGCAGTTTACTTTACTCTCTGACAGCCATTAGAATAGAAACAAAACACATCAATCCAATCACAAAGTGAGCTAACAAAGGCAAGGTTCCCCACTGCAAAGCCACCTCTGGGTCTTTCTTACTCCTAGGATCTAGCCCTTCAAAGATACTGACTGAGATCCAGAATATAGCAAGTGCCTCCAACACATTATTAAATGAATGAATAAGTAAATGAATGTTGGTAATAAAGGAGGAGGGTAACTCTGAAAAGAACGATGAGAAAATAAACATTTCCAAGTGATAAATATGGTTCAAGAATAAAGGAGAGGAGGGATCACCCATGGTAAAAAGTTTCTAGCCTGTGAGTACTCGTACTACTGATAGCAGAGTCAGTCACTGGAAGCATAATGGAGGTATTTGGAATGAAGACAGTTCGAGGGAGGAAATAAGGCAGAATATGAGTACCATTTTCAGCTAGATAACATTGGGTGATATCAGATAATCTAACTGCAGACTTATGGTAGATGGCTAAATATATGGGATATGAATCAGTGCTCTGAACTGAAAGAGAGAAAGATGTCAAGTTACCCCCAGCCTGAAAGTTACAGAGTGGGCCAATTTTATAAGTTTATATAGATATGCCAGCTGTTTAGAATGACATTTGTGGATATAGCAAGAGGAAATTTGGACCAAATGAAAACAAAAATTAAAACTTGAAAGTTCTGCCTTTTGAAAAGTCCAGCTATGACTTGAGTTCCCTTCTAAGTTCAAAGAGACTTTGAATGAACAAGCAGAAGATATTTGTTCATTATTCTGAGAGGAAACCCCTTAAGGGGCTGTCTTCCCTGCTTACCCTCCTGGATCCCTCAGTCCCAGGACCACTAAGCATGGTAAAAGGAAACATTTTTTAAATAAAAGAAATCACTTTATTGCTTCCTCAGTACTCCCTACATAAGCTCTTGGGTATTTTTTTAAGGTCTTGATTAGTCCACATTCCTGATCACCTTAATTGTTCTTATATTTGCCTTACTGCACATCTACATGTTAATCAAATACATAATTCAGTACCAGAATATGCAGTTTGGCCACAAAACTCACCTATGTGGCATGGTAAACATTGTGTTGAAAGTTATTGAACCATTTAAATTTATTTAAATTCATGATTTCCAATTGTGGGCCTTTATATTTTCTGTGGAAAATATTCTAGGTAGTCTAATGGTAGCCCAGAACCACATTTCTCTCTTTCTGAGAGTTGCTAGAGCAGGGCTCCAAGTAATTGTCGTTTCCGCTAAGACTCCAACATGAATTACAGCCCCGTGTTTCAGGAGCCCTTTAGTGTCCTAGGGTTTGTAATAGATGTTTCTAATTCTCATGAAATTATTGAACAAACATCAAGGAAAGATGTTTTACAATGTAAAGCTAATGCAGAGGGTCATTAACATTGTTATTATAGACAATCAGCATGATTTAGCCAAGACCTTTGACAAGGGTATACACCTGTCTGTGAATAATAGGTCTCTGTTTATCACCCAAGCTATTAATTAGACTAAGATTAAAGATGGGGTGGGGTGCATGCTCCAAAGAGTGTCTAAATGGCCGAGAGCATGAGCTAAGAGGTTGCAGTGACTCTTTCATAGATGGGATATCAGCTGCTCCTGTTCTGCTATGGGCACAGACATAACAAGAGACCTTACGTCACCTGAATGCCCTACCCCTAAACTCAAATTGCATCTTCTCCCAGAATTCCACATAAAGTGAACTCTTAAAGCAACTTGTATCATTTCTACTATTGTGACGTATCCTTACCAGTATTTTGGGTATTTGGATCTCCTAAATGTATGCCTTTCTCTAACATACTTCACCAGTGCTGAGTTATTTCTTCTTCATTGTCAGGACAGAATATCTATTATAGGAATAACTTGAGTCTCAGGTTGAATTTTGGTAAAGTAAGTGAGAAATTACCTTGTAGTATTTTTATTTTTTTTATTCTTATTTTTGAGATGGAGTCTCACTCTGTTACCCAGGCTGGAGTGCAGAGTCACAATCTTGGCTCACTGCAAGCTCTGCCTCCCGGGTTCACGCCATTCTCCTGCCTCAGCCTCCCAAGTAGCTGGGACTACAGGCGCCTGACACCATGCCCAGCTATTTTTTTTTCTATTTTTAGTAGAGATGGGGTTTTACCATGTTAGCCAGGATGGTCTCGATCTCCTGACCTTGTGATCCACCTGCCTCGGCCTCCCAAAGTGCTGGGATTACAGGCGTGAGCCACCGCGCCCGGCCCACCTTGCAGTATTTTTTTTTAATTAAAAAGTAAAATAATACTTCTTTAGAAGAATATAAAATAAAAAAATGTACCTTAATTAACTACCACAAGAACAAATCAAACAATACCAAAATGTTTGATAAATGGCCAAGGAAAACACACATGAGCTATGCATTGTCTTTCTTAATTAACTTGTAACCCGTTTACCTGTCGCTCAAGACTGCTCACAGCTGGGCTTTCTATAAAGCCATCTATATACTCTGGAGCTGGGTAGCAAGCTTCCATTGTCCCCTGCTCCATCTCTTACACATGTCATTCACAGGCTGGTAGGTTCAGAGTCGGTGTCCTTGTCCCTTTTTCTTACTGCTTGTACAGCTTCTCTGTTCTCCATTATGGCTCATTATTTGAGTGGATCTTTCTTTCCATTTCTTGGTGGTTGGGTCATTATCCATATCAGTCATTGTAACCTACACTAATGCCTTTAAATTCTTACTGTATGTCAGATATTAATACATTTCCAAATGCTTTAAATGAATCGTCTAATGTAATACTCACGGGAATTTGATTCCTTGTTTTTGGATGAAGATATGGAGGCTTTGGAGGTACTACACTGACTGTCCCCACAGGAGGTTAATGGCACAGCTGTGAGGGAGGCACACCCAGTCTTTTCTCTATTTTCCTGCTTGCAGAGAGACTGTAGTAAATCCCTCAACTTTGATGTGCCTGTGAGTTTTATTACAATGCAGATTCTGGGATCTGGGATGGGCTGAGAGTCTACATTTTTAACACACTCTGTGGGGAGGATGGCGTCACTGGTCCTGGATCACCTCTGACTGCCCAAGGCCAAGAGGGAATTCTTTCTTTCTTCAGGAATGGGGTGGGGGGAATGGAGGGTAGGAAAATTTGCCTCACATCAACTAAAATCCGAAAGTTTCTTTCTAGTCCTACCCTATTGCATTTTCTAAATCCTTAAGGGGTAATAAATTTAGTCTTTTTTTTTTCCCCTCTCTGCCTCCGTCTCAACAGACTGCCCCTGTGGACAGCATGGGGGAGGGCTCTGTGTGTTCCAGAGGGTCTAGCACAGCGTTGCCCCTCTGTTTTTCAGCAAACACCCCTGGAGGATGAGCTGCAATTGGGCAAGCACAGAACGTTTGATCTTCTTAGAAAGGCTCTCTATTGTTTGCTTCAAAAATGACCCAAGGCTGCCAGTTTCCCCAGTTGAGGCTTTAAACATATGATGTCCATTTATCTATTTTCAGTCCTTTCAAATTCCTTCTCATTCTTGTGATTTGGGACGGGGGAGAGGGCAGCACCTGAATGGCCGCTCCTCGCCATTCATTATCCAATAGATCTCTATTAAGCCAAAGAATTTTTCTGCAATTGTTTCTTTCCTTCTCTGGATAAAGACCTCCTTTCACCCATTATGTCTCTGATCATTTCGCTGCCCTTTTCTGAAACTTCACTTTGTTGGCTCTGCTTTCTTTGAGGCAAAGATGATCAAAGCAGCTCTAAGCATGCCGGCAGTTTTTACAATAAATAGCATTTTCTGGGTTATTTTTCATTTCCATTTTAATGCAGCTCACTCACCTTGCTGGTGCTTTAAACTGTCCCCGTGCATTCCCTATGGCTTTATATCAAACAGAAAAGTCATTTCAGATTACATCAGAATACTTGTCCCTATCCCAAATTCACCTTAATTTTGTGATTGAAAAGATTCAGTAAATTGTGGCTCCGTAATGGTTTCCTTTTCTTTTTCCTTTTCACCTCTCTGTTGTTGTTGTTGTTGAGTTTGTTGGAAGCACAGTGATCTGCTGCCATAGCCAGGAGTAAATTTGAGTAGCATCAGGCATTTACGAATTTTTCAAGCTTCATCAAATCGTAGACATTTCCCTTGACAAAACAGTGCTTCTGGAGCTTGTGACACTTCTCACTTTCTGGGTCTTCCAGACGGATAATGAATCACCTACCAGTTGCATCTGTGTCTGCTTTTTCAACTCCAGCTTACTCCTACTACTACTGCAACTATTTGCCAGGTAAGAGCAGTTTGTATTAATGGCTAAAATTCACTGAGCACTTACTATGTGCCAGGCATATTTTAAGAACGTTACGTGTGTTAACTCATTTAGTCCTGTCTATGACACTTTGATAGGTTCAATTATTATCCCATTTTACAGATAAAAAAATTAAGGTGCACAGAGCACTTGACTATGGCCATATAGCTAGTAAGTGGAAGAGGCAGGATTCAACCCAGTCACTCTGGTTCCAGAGCCTGAACTTTTGAAAACCAATCACCTTCTTACTATGCAATAGGCAAGCATTCAATGCTTTCTATGCTTTTCTATGCCTTACCTAAATTTCAGTGATAGTATGCCCTATTTGAAGAACTTCATGTTTCTATCTCTCATCCAAATGAAACGATATCTCAGTCTGTTACAAAGACCTTACTAATAAAGGAGTAAGCAAAGGTCAGAGCCTCCAGCTACAAATCATTGAGGCAATGCCATGCTTGTCACATTGGATATTAAAGGGTTTGCCCATAGTAGACACTGAGCACTTTGAGGACGGGGCCATGCTTTCTTCATCTATATATCAAATCTGTACTAGTCTCTGAGGAAGGTTTAAACGCAATTCTTTCAATGGTCCAGGGATTGATTCAAAGCCACGTAGTATCTGAGAGGAGTGAGTGTGGAAGGCTGGGTGTGGAGCTCCTAATTGAACTACTTCCTTTATTGCAAGGGCTCTGGAAGGTGGTTCCACATTCATCTTGTTTTTTCTAAATTCTTTTTCTTCTCCCTGCACTTTGAACAATCCTTTCCCTGCTTGTGCCTGCAAATTTTGTAGCTTCCTCTGATCAAACGTTGTTGTCTTTAGAAGAGAGAAAGGGAGATTCTGGTTTTGATGTAACTGTTGACTGTACAGAACTGAGGGGCTGAGCTCATTTTCCCCCAAAGTTCCTCTTATGCCTGTAATTCAATACACTGTCACTGTAAGGATTCAAAGACCCCCATTTGTTCCATCCAGGAAATCAATTCCATTGACTGTTTTTTGTGAGCTAGCACCCTCGCCTCAGAGAGGTCCTCCTCACACTGCTTTTATATTCTGCAGCTCTTGCGGGTGGCAGGGAAGGGTAGAGGACCCAAATAATGCACCTCAAATTCTTGGTGGGCGTGGGATTCATCAAGACATCTCAGTTTCCCCATCATGCCCCAGGCGTGTCCCTCAGTGTTCAGAGAGGACAATACTTACCTTGCAAAGCTGTCGGTTAGTGAGCCTGCTCCAGTACAATGCCAAACGCAATGCCCAAGCATAATAATCAATTTTGAAAGTGTTGAAATCCTTTCTTGCTGTTCCCTTACTTTTCTCTCCCATCTCTATTTCCTGTTGACTCTATACTCCGAGCAGAGAGAATGAAAGTTGTTATGCTAGTGTACAGAAAGCAAAACTGAGGCAGAGAAAGACTGGCCTTTGGTATGATTTCATAACAGTTCAAAGCACAGGCCTAGCACTTGGCTCGGTGACAATTGATCAGAGCTGCCTTTACTCTCAGTCAAGGACATTCACTCTCCATTGTGGGGAGTTGAGTTCCAGAAATCTAAATGCAAATATAAAATCATATCAAAGAGTGTTTAATATAACATAGTAACAATAATAATGACACTTGCATTCATGTAGGGCTTTCATTGACTGACCATGCTGTACAAAGTATATTTGTAGATCACCTTCTTCCAAACTCACATCAACAGAGTGCTATTTCATTGGTGCAGTACAAAGTTAAATCAGCAGGAAATCTTTCAGTGACAGGTAACAGAGGTTCATTTTATGTTTTATTATAACAAAGATGTGCTGGTTGGTAGTGGCTTATGTAGATTTAGCAGCTTAATAATGTCAGGGCTCAAGGTCAGTATGTCTGCAATGCTAGTGACCTTTTCATGGTCATAAAATGGCTGCAGCAGTGCCAGAAATCATGTCCTGCATTCCAGTTAGGAAGCATGGCACAGAGTATTCTTCTCTCAGGGAGGAAAACCCTTCCTATTTCCATCTTATTGCCTAAAATAGGATTAATGGGCTGAGCTATGTTTCCTAAGATCAAAAGATCCCCTCTGACTCCTAAATAAATATGGGGCAAAATTCTGCCTGTTAGCAAGAAGAACCAGGTTTTGGGGAGGCAATTAGCAGTACCTGACACAAAAGGACGTTGGCCTAGAAGTAAAATGAACAAAAGTCAGGTCTTTTTCTTCCATTTGCTAACTGAGGCACATTGTAAAACTCCTTATGCCTCTTTGCGCTCACCTATAAATTAGGGATAATAATAGCCTATTCCTCTCACAGGGATGGAGTGAGAAAATATACATATGCAGAAATGTTTCGAAGATTGTAACATACTGTGGAAAAGCAAATTATTACATCTAGGGCATTTTTTTCACTTGGGATATTTAAAAAGCATAAAACTGTCTCTTCCTAACGTGACTCATAACTAGATAGAAAACCCAAGCTATTCATATGCAAAATTTGGAGTAATCTAAGGTTTAGCTATCAACTCAAGACAACAATAGTAAAGTTATTAAAAGCAGTAAAAAGGAACAATAAAATATAATGGTTAAGAGATTCATAGTTACACATATCCGAGTTGAAGTCCCAATTTCAGCACATCTGAGTTGTGTGATCTTGGGCAATTCACTTATTTTCTGAGTCTTACTTTCCTCATCTGTAAAACAGAAATAATTCCTGCCTCACAATGCTTTTGAGGTATTACATCACTTGAAATATATACAAAAGAACACTTAGCACAGTGGCTGGCATTGGAGATGAACTTAATAAATGTTAATTAACAAATAGCAGTCATTACGTGATTTACTAGAAATTTCTCCTCCCTTTAATGCTTCCTCCATCCCTTCTAGAGCCAGGTGTTCCGTGTCTCAGGGTAGTGACGGCCTTTTAACATATTGAACATGTCCTGAATTATCTCAACACTCACATTAGTTACCCCAAGCTCCAGATTAATCTTTTCCCAGGATGGTTATTGACAATCTACTCTCAGTCTTTGCCTCCTGTCTCTTGATTTGTTTTGGATTTACAAGGAGACTCTGTTTTCAGCCCTGAGGTTGCAAATGAACTCATTCCTCTCTTTGCCTGAATCTTGGCCCCTTGTTACTTACTGAGTGAAAATGGCCCTAGCTTTGTTTTCAACTGGCTTGGAGGACAGCAGGGAATAAGACATGACAAAATGTCAAGAGGCCTGTCAGGAGAAGGGAGACCCTCAGATATGGGCCCCTCTATCCTGTGTCAGTCCCTATTATACCTGCATGAAGATGTTTTAGAATTCTGGGAGAAAAGGAAGAAGGTTGCCAATTGCCTTAGGATTTTTGGCATAATTCTTTTCATCTTAAAACAATGTTTTACATGTGAAGGCTGTTGTTTGAAGACTTGTCTGAAGCTGGTTTTCTTCATTAGAAATATAAACAGTCATTGAATTACAACAGGAGCACACTGTAATTTAAGGTAGAATTGCAGGAGGGCTGGTCCATGGAACAGGGGTTTTAACCCTGGATGGGTTAAAAAAGAGGCTGCACATACCCCTCCTCTGCTATAAAACGGGAGAGATTTTATTATTATTATTGTTATTTTGAGACAGAGTCTCACTCTGTCACCCAGGCTGGAGTGCGGAGTGCAGAGTGCAATGGTGCGATCCCGGCTCACTGCAACCTCTGCCTCCCGGGTTCAAGCGATTCTCCTGCCTCAGCCTTCCGAGTAGCTGGGATTACAGGCGCCTGCCACCATGCCGGCTAATTTTTGTATGTTTAGTAGAAACAGGGTTTCACCATGTCGGCCAGGCTGGCCTTGAACTCCTGACCTCAGGTGATCTGCCTGCCTCAGCCTCCCAAAGTGCTGGGATTACAGGCACCCACCACCATGCCGGCTAATTTTTGTATTTTTAGTAGAAACAGGGTTTCGCCATGTTGGCCAGGCTGGTCTTGAACTCCTGACTTCAGGTGATCCGCCCGCCTCAGCCTCCCAAAGTGCTGGGATTACAGGTGTGAGCTACCGGGCCCGGCCTAAAACAGTAGAGTTATTATGTAATGTCAATCATTGTCTTTCTTAGCATCCCTTAGCTATAGCCACTCACGCTTCCTAATCTGAGTGTATTCCTCCCTCCCTACCTCTTGGCTAGAAACAGCAGTGGAATGGCAAGCTCAGGCCCATTGGGTGGTGGAGAAGAAACTGCAATGATGAGCTTGGGATAGACCAGCAACTCCAGATACCCACCAAATTTCAGCCTCCTCTCCCTCTTCCCAACAATTCCTACACGGTGTTCAATCTGGAGGGTGGATTTCCTGGTTTTTACATTCAGAGCTAGTGTTCATTTTAGAACCAGGATCTGTTTATCTGGGCTTTGCACCTACTCTTTCTTACCAACCTCCTCCAGCAAGGGCTGAAACGGGCTTCATTCTTTAGCCCTGAGCTAGGTCCCATTGTGAGTGGATGATCCCTGTGCCCAGAAAGCCCAGTTGCTATTGTCATCCTGAGCACGTGCCACCAGTGCCTATGTTGGGCACACGGACAGGACAGCTGAGCTGCCAGCTACCAGAATCACATGAACTTCTTCCTGTCAGCCTTTGTCGTCCTCTTTCTACAGAGCCCCCAAAACTAAAAGCCTGAGCTTGCTCTGTAGCTAATCCACCTGAACCATGAGAAATCATATCTTCGTGCATGAACTTTCAGATACATTTAGAGCCAAGCTTTCTGTAATACCCTGGGCTACCATACCTGAGGAATATGGCCACATGCACAGGTGCTGGGACAGACATAACTGGATTCGAGTCCTGAGTCTGCACAGGCAGTGTCCTCAGGCAAGTCACTTCCTTTTCTGAGCCCTCAATTCCTCAACTGCAAATGACATAACGAGACCCACGTTCACAGTGAAGCAATGCATCTGACACACTCAGACTAGTGCCTGGTACACAGTAAGCGGCAATACAAAGTACTCATTATATTACCATGCATGATTCGGGAAGGTAAACCTTCTGTTTAATCCTGTGATACCTGGCTGCAATTTAAAACATAGTTTTAAACATTGAAATAAGCAGAGTTGCATTGTGAGCAGAGTACAACATTCATATAAATCTTTCAGATAAAACAGGTAACTTCCCAAAACTTTCTTTCTGCTGTGCGTTGCTTTGGGCTCCCCCTCTGACAGCCTGAGGGGAGAAGCTTTTTTCTCTGCTCTTCAAGGTATTTCAAAGACTTCGGTAATAAACAATAAAGCTTAAGTCAGAAAGGGAAGAATACAGGAAATACATTTGCAGAGAGAAGATCAATGTGTTAGGTACGGATGGTTAAGAAGGAGGTTTAGATTATTTTTGGCTCTTTTTACACAGACATTTACCCCTATTTCCTTGGTCATCTCTGTCCAGCCCCTCCTACCAAACAAATGCTCCTTTCAGGGCTGTAGGGAAGATATTGTGGGAATTGTTATCTGGAGGGAAGCTGGTTTGGAAGCTTTGAGAGTAGGAATAAGTTTCTGAAATTCTTTGGACCTCAGTTTTCTCATCTGGCAAACGGGATTTCTAATACTTACCTCACAGCATTGTGGGATTAGATATACGTCTCTAAACTACCACCCACGTTTCCCAGCCCTACCCAGAATCAGAGCTGTTACCAGCCTGGCCACAGTCACCTCCACCATGACCTGGGCTCCTGCAACATCCTCCCAGTCGGCGTCCCTATTTCTGTTCTTTCTCACCCTGCCTCCAATAACCAGAGTCCAGCCAGCACATTTTTGAGGAACTGCACTAGCTTCGTACCTTTTATCTCTTGCAGCCCTCTTTTGGCTTTGCATTATGCTTGGAATAAAATCCAGGCTCCTTACCAGCATTCGCCCAGGCTGCCTCTCCTCCTCATGCTCCAACCTTCTCCCCAGGACCACACTTCACTTCTTTATGTTCCTGAGCACATTCCTGTCCTAGAAACTCAGCCTGCCAGCCCCTCTCCCAGTTGCCCTTTGTTCTGGCCACCTTGAGGCCGATCCATTCACATCCTTCGAGTCCCAGATGAAATGCCACTTTCTGTGTAAGACAGAAGGCAATGGAACCCCAGCGAGAGACGGTGAGCCCTGAACTAGAGCTTCTAGCTGATTTCCCTCCTCCTGGCCTCACTCTTTTCAAACCCAGCCTCCTCATGGCTCAGAGAAAGAGAGCTGAAGCATGAACGCATCACTCTTCTTCTTAAATCTCCTAATTCCTCCCCGCCATTTGGAGGATAATGTTCAAGCTCGTGAATTTGGCCCGTAAGACCCGCCACAACGCTTCTGCAGCTCCAGCTCCCTTGTGACCATCTGGCCACAGCCCAGTCTGTTTTGCTTTCATGCTACCATTTCTCAGTTCGGTATCTTTTGTTCATGTTGCCCTGTGTACCTGCTGTGCCCCCCTGGCACCTCCTCCAGGAAGCCAAGCCACCCGGTTTGCCTCAGATGCCCCTCCTGGTATCCCCATCAATCTCTGGGCCTAACCTGAAGCTACCTCTCTGCTTAGTGTCATTTCTTGATGTCTTTATGACCCTAGGGTCTCACTAGACTCCTGCTTCTCAGCATCTCTGCACTGCCCAAGGTGCACAGTGCACCCCTGGAGTGTTACTCAATGTTTGCTGAATGAGTGAATAAATAAATGAACCTGTGATTCAATAACAATCTATTTCTTGGTGCATTTGCTTCTTTGATTCATTTTGGGCATTATGAACTCTCTTCTGCTTCGCTAATATAACCTAATGTACATACTCATCTGACTATATTTTGGTCAGCTAATCGATTCTGTTTGCTACTCCCTTGTCTTTTATGTGGTTCTATGCAGCTGTGTGAAATGATACCCATAGCTGTCATTTATTCAGCACTTACTCTGTGCCTGACACTGTTTAAAGGCTTCTTTCCATGTGTTAAGTCTTGTAATTTTTTAAAGAACCTTCTCAAGGAAGTATTATTATTATCATCATTCCCTGTTGTAGATGATAAATCATAGGCAGAGGGCATAATTTCCCCCATCATGCATAACTGGTACAAGGCAATACCAGTCTCGGGGCCTATGCACTGCTGCTCTAGGGCCTGGCACTAATCACTGGATGGCATTTTCCTTCTTCTGCCAGAACCAACCTCTTCTCTCGGTGAGGCAGCCCGGAACATCACTTGTCCTCATTTTGGTGTTCATAGGACCAGTCCGAGGCACATTTTGTGTTTTCCATGTTCACATTTGTCCTTTCAACATCCTTGTTTTTCCTTTTTCTTACCTGATGCTGTCATATGACTCCTTTATGCTTAGGGTAGTGGACCAGAATAATCTGGAAGGCCTCTTAAAGCACAGACCATGCATCGCACTCCAGACTCTCTGATTCAGGACGTCTGTAATGGGGCCCAAGGTCGGGGGCTTCTCACAAGTTCCCAGGTGGTGCTGCTGCTGCTGGTTCGGGGGCTGTGCACTGAGACCTATGGTCCAAGGCCACTTGCAGCTCTGCCCTACCCCACCTCCCCAGCACATGGCCTTCCATGTTCTTTTCTGATTTTCGCACTCCCAGTCTCCAGTTTTACTTGTTCTAGTGCTTATGGCCCCAGGGATTTGCTCTGGCCCCTGAACACTTGATATATGTAAAAGTGTTGTGTATAGTTAGGTATTTTGTTACCCCAACTAAGTAGCTGATTTGCTTCTGTCTGGAAGGGTGGGTGGAGGGCATCCTGGGTGGAAGGAAGAGGTAGGCGAATGGGTGATACTCAAGCTCTCACCTGCATGCATCACACCATGTTGGTAAATCTTTCCCACCTCTGTGCAGGTCTGGCCTTGGCAGGGATCCATGGAAGTAACCGACAACCCTCCTTTTCACCCACAGTTCTGCAGAGAAGCCCAGCCTTATCTATGCCTCGTTCTTACTGCACACCACTCAGGGAATCACATTAAAGCAAATAATGAGATTTGCATACAGACATTAGACAAAGAATAGACTCCCTAAGCAGGAAACCACACAGCCCGTAATTGCTGTAGGTATCTAAGGTGTCAGGCCTCTGCTACCCAGTGAGGCTGCAAACCAGCTTTTTCATCATAAAGGAATGAGCTGCCAATGATTTTCAGAGCTTGATTAATGCTCTTCAAACCGATCTCCATTGGGTGCAGAAGTGAAGCCCGAGGAAGATGGATGTTTCCTATTACTTGACGTAATGACTGTGAGGCAAGCTAATGAAACCTTTACAGCCCGAGTTTACAGGAAAAAAACCAACAAACACAGATCAATACCTGAGTTACAGTTCCAATGCATTGATAAATGGATGACAGGCTGTGGGCCTGGCCCCAGCATAAAAAAAGAGAGCAGGAAGAAAGGTTGGGGGATGTTGAAAGGGAACTGGAGGCAGAAAGAAGAAGAAGGGTTAAACCACAGTGTGGACTGATGGGCCCAAGGGCACCAAGAGGAGGTTGTAAATCTGAGCACGTGTGTGTCAAGGGAAAGAGAAGGACCAGACAGCCAGGAGGTGAGAGGAAGTAAAAAGCGGGCAGGCTGCACAGCCAGACTTCCTTCACTCAAGGAATCGGGTCCACAAGTGAGGCTGGGACGCACATCCTGGCCAGGCTGCTCTCATCATGAAATGGGCAGCGCTTCTGATATTCCCCTGCACTAATTAAAACTTCAGCCCCACTGCTTGCATTCCCAGTTCTCATTATGATTTTCTTCTGGTGACACAGGCATCCCTTTGTTTCCTGAGTCCTAGAAGCAGGTCCCCGACGAGGAACAACGATGCCTGGACTCAGCTTCAGCCTCTGTTCTTCTACCGTTCAGAAGCCACCCTCCGGCAAGGTGACCCCGGCTGCTGGATGGGGCAAGCCCAGGAATTCTCGGCTTCTGACACATGACGCATTCATCTTCTCCGACAGTGTTCCCATGCACAACTTGTGGTTCGGGTTGGAAATGCAAAGTGGAAAAATGCATAGCAGTATCCCCTCCTCCAAGGCCTCAGTCTCTGTGCTCATATTCACTGAGACTAGTGACCCCCGACTTCCCACTCGCCGGCCCCTCCTCCTCCCCTTCCAACATAATATGCTGTTTACTTATTTATTGTGTTCATTTTCCGTCTCACCCAAATCTATTCTAGAAAAGGTTTTGTTTTGTTTTGTTATTTTTCAGTGTTCTGTCCACTGTTGTACCCCCAGTACTTAGCTTCCCATTTGCTACGCAGCAGACACTCAGTAGATATTGGTTGAGTGAAGAAATGATTGAGGACCAGTCATCATGCTTTTGTCCTAGCCTCACTGGGAACCAGCTATACAGCTATTGCCCTGTGTCTCAGTTTCCTTATTGGGAAATGGGGATAATAATCTCTAAAGAAACAGATGGATGCATATATGCAAACTATTTATATGTTTGTATATTCCTATCTGTAAAGTGTTTGTATATTCACATATGTAAAGTAAAAAATGTAAAACGTTGGATAAGTATAATGGATGCACACTATTTACAGTGCATGGACACCTGTCATGATAAACAAACTGGAGAAGCAATCACTAGCAAATAGATCATATCGATATGTGTGTGCCCCCATGAAAACCTCCACATTGTTGAAAGTGCTACCTGCTCTAATCTCCTGTTTGTGAAGATTAGCCCTATTTCTCTATCCAAAAAGAAGTTATCTTGGGGGCCCAGCACCCCAAAAAATTAGATCTCAGGCCATTGCACTATGTCTAAGGGGTATGTTGTATAAGATGTGCACGTAGTGGAAATTGGACAAAGGGCACTATATATAGAATGTGAAAGTGGAGTTTTCAGGACCTGTGCTTTAAATATCAGGCATGACATCGTCACCAGCACCTCCAGGAGCGGAGCCGGAGGCAGGATTCTCTGGGGAGTGCATTTCCTCCAGTTCTGCTGATGCAGGAGAGAAGGGTGAATCAGCAGTAGGCGGCTGAAAGTTTTGATAATCACAATTTGCTCTGGGTGATCAAGTGGGGCCTGGATGGAGGGAAACAATTGGATATCTAACTAGGCTAAGCAAGAGGGCTCAGGGGACTGGCAGGAGAAGGATACAGTGCTTTTACCTCCTGATCAAGCTTTTCCCATCTGGTCATTTTATTTGTCAATTTTTCCCATTTCATTTACCAGGCTGTTCCCTGACTGTTACCTCCTCTGGCAAATAGCTCAGCCAATCATTCTGCCTTGGGAAGGATGTCTGGCTAAAGTGCCCAATGTGGCCCCACCTAGGCCTTTTCCTATGAGTACCCCTCTCTGTGGCCCAAGATCCTCTCCAGCTCCCCCATGATATTAGGTGTGGGATCCACAACTTGCCTGCGGCAGAGAAACCCAGACACTCTCATCCTGCCCTTTTCTTTCGTCATGAAACAGGGTTGTGGGTTGGGTGGGAAAGGGGCTGAGGGGGTGAGTTTAGAGAGAGGAGGCTGGAAATGAGATTCCCAGCTCCATCATTATTAGCAATGTGACTTTGGGGATATTGCCACACCTCTCTGAGCCCCATCTTCCTTCATACCAAGATGATAATCTCTCTCTCATAGTCTCTGGTGAGAACCAGAGAGCAGGAGACACAAGTGCTGACCCATAGTAGGTGAGGGGTACACAACTATTGAGTATACACAATGGTCTCTCGAGAGCTGTCTCTACTGTTGAATTTTTGAATTCCTAAAACCAGAAGGGAAGAAAAACCAACATTGAATAAAAGTGCTAGACTGTAGTAGGTGCCTGTGTATGTCATCATATCACTCCCCGCCAACAGACTTATAAACTGAAGAGTAGTAGTCCACTGCTCTGGTTTACATATGTCCCCCAAAAACCGTGTGTTGGAAACATAATCCTCAAGGCAACAGTGTTGAGAGGTGGAGCCTGATAAGAAGTGATTAGACCACAAGGGCTGTATGGTTACGAATGGATTAATACCATTATTACAGAAG
Source organism: Homo sapiens (assembly GCF_000001405.40). NCBI lineage: Eukaryota > Metazoa > Chordata > Mammalia > Primates > Hominidae > Homo > Homo sapiens. The sequence continues at coordinate 131,302,569 of NC_000011.10, forward strand.
TGGGATCTTTAAAAAATAATGAGTTTGCCCCCCTTTTGTCTCTCTCTCACTCTCTCTTGCCATTCTACTTTCTGCCATGATGATACATCAAGAAGGTCCTTGCCAGATACCACCTCTTGATCTTGGGCTTCTCAACCTCCAGAACTCTGAGCCAATAAATTTCTGTTCATTATAAATCACCTAGTCTGTGGTACTCTATTAAAGCAGCCCAAAATAGATGAGGAAACTGAAAAACTTAATAGATGAGGAAACTGAATTACAGAAAGAATTACTAACTTGTGCAAGGTTAGGCTGCTGATAAATCAGAGCTGGAGCTCCATACTGGTTTTGATTTCAAAGTCCATCCCTTTCCCCATCACTAGGCTGAATCCCAGGAGACTGAAGGTTAACCAGAGAAAATTCCAGACTGCATGACTGGTAGAGTTTGCCCACAACCCCTAGGCATGAGACACGTGGTTTGTAAATCACATTGCACTTGCCAGTATGTCTGCTGCCACCACCTCACTGCACAATAATGAGAACCACCTGCTGCAAAACAAAGCAAGGAAAAGAAAAGAAAGCTTCACTGTGGTCTGGAAATAGCTGCAATTAACAGTAGCACTCTAGCCCAGCACATAGGCAGATCATGAGGCAGCCACAAGGCATAGCCCTCTGCAGCCAGGGCCTGGGCAGAATAACCTAGTGGAGAGTGGTACCCATGGACCTCCAGCCTTGGATTTGATAAAGAGAAAAAGATGAGCTAATATTCATTAAACTCCTAATATGTGTCCCTCATGGTACTATATACCTCCCTATACTGTACTTTATTTGCTTCTGAAAATAATCTTGCATAGTGTATCTTACTCCCATTCTACAAATAAGAAAACTGAGGCTTAACAAAGTCACCCATCTGGAGAGCAGAGTCACTAGCTAAGTAAAAGAATTCAGCAGAAGTACTGAGAACTGACCAAAGGCAGAGTCCAGAGAAACAAAGGGAGGGAGAGAAGTTCCTACGCATATACTAGTTCTATTTGCTGTAAAGTACTCCCTGTCTACCCAACCCCATCCTAACCTAAAGAACTACTATTCAACCTTTGAGAGTTAAGTAAGTCATCACCTCTCAGAAGCCTTTCCCAACATCCCCAGTTAGGTCTTGTAATCTAAGGACCTGACATAGTGCTTAGAATACTAGCGCCTGCCTAATAAGTGTTCAATATTTGTCGACAGATAAATAAGTGACTAAGCAAAAGTCTAGAGCTGTGTTGTGCAACAGAATTCTTGCAATAATAGGGATGTACTTTAATCTGTGTTGTCCAGAGCAGCAGCCAGCAGCAACATGTGGCTTTGGCTGTTGTATAGGACAACACATGTCTGGATACCTGGTGCTTTCTGTGCTCCCGCCATTGCTGCCATCAGAAAACTCATTAACCACGAAGGCTGTGGGGGCCAATCAGGCCCAGCTGATTCTGCACTTGAGTAAATCCAGCCATGCTCCTTGGAACGTGGCTAGCTCATCCTGTAATGCTTTTTGGGAACTTCTACTTTTGTTAGCTATTTGTTCAAGATAGCAATTTATAAGGAAATATGAGAATTTGATTCTCTGTGAGCACCAAATCCTTCCATGACAGTAAGATAGGCATCTTCATCTCTTCATAGGGTCATTTTGGGTCCATTTTACTTCTCAGCTCAGCACTGTGGGAAGCCGACCACAGATGGACAAAGCTCAAGCATTCACAGTCTCGAAAAAGGGATTTAGGGTAGAGATTAGGGCACAGAGAGGGCAACACCAAGGTTGAAGGCATCTCCTTGGGAACACTTTATTATCTTCCGGGTTTCAAATATTAGGGCACTTCAATAAGTATTCCAGGAATTGGTACTTTAGGAACATATCGATACTCATTTAGATTGATCTATTCCTTCTTCCAGAGTACATGACCTACCTTAAAGTTCAATAAAGAGTAAAGAATGGCAGGAGGTGAGGCAGGAGCTTTGACACTCGGTAGACAGCTTTCACACAGAGCTGTTAAGCCAACTCTGAAGGGATAGCAATCTACTTCCTGTCCTCCAGTGTGGTTGAAGAAGGAAATCAGAGAGGGCTAGTGGCCCCTGGGTGATGTGAGGTCCCTGGGTTTTAAGTAATAGAATCACTGCTCTTCCCAGCTGGACTGGGCTACCGTGACAGGCACTCGCTGGAGGCACCCTGTGTCTCAGCTCTGTTCTGACCTGAGAGCTCGCTCTTGGAGAAGGCTGTTGAGGCTCTCTTCAGGATGTGAAGAAGGTGTAATAGTGGCTTTCACCCAGCTTGGCGGCCCTGGTTCTAGATGTTTGTGGTTTGCTTGGATATTAGGTGTAAGGGAGATAGAGTGTGGGAGGCTGAGACAGCCCTGTGGGTGATTCTGGGATGCCAGGCAGAGCTGGGTCTCACTCTGTCTCTGAATTCTGCCCCTAACTCCCCACAGTGGGGCCACATACATTTTCCATCATGGAGCACTCCTGTTCTCCCCACTTTCCTATTCCAGGCCCCCTTTCCTCTTGAGATGCAAATACACTTTTCCTTTCCAGTCTGAGTAGTACAAGATTCTCTAAATTAGGGTGCTGACTCTAGGAAGAAATGCTTAGTGAATGATGGCTCATGGTTGCTAAGCAAATCTGAGCTGCCTGACTTCTGCATGGAGTTCTCAGGATTCTCCATGGAGTGACTAAGAACGGAACAAATCATTTGGCCCAGAGTAGTGGGTTTCTGTGCTATTAGTCGAGGCAGCTTAGTGTAACAGAAAAAGCAGTTTTTTCTTTTACTGGTTGTCAGGAGTTCTCTAGATCTGCCTCTGTCACTGCCTAACTCGAGAGCTATGACCTCTCAGAGCCTCAGTTGCCTAATCGATGGAAAGAGGGCATCGGATCAGATTTTATGCTTGTTGAGCTGTATTTCTCAGAGAACACGGTGGAATGGTGGTAGGTGGGACACTGAATCCCCACTTCTGCTTCCAGTGGATTACTTATGTGTTTATCTCTTTTATTGATTTACATCTCTGCATAAGATTTGGTTTGAAAAAATATTTGATGGCTAAAAATAATCTGAAGTCCCTGGACTAGATGATCTCTAAGGTGCCCTTGTAGCTCTGTAATTTTAATGTAGCACCTGCTAATTGGATCTGATCATAAACCCAGGTCAGAGACTAACAGCTTGAGGTAAGAAGTCTTGAGGCTGTGTTTCAACTCATTTTAGCAATTTGCTCACTTCTATACATCTGACCCTTGGGGTTAAATCTGTAGCTGTTTTTGTGTGTGAGCATTTGTGTTTGTGAGTCCTCTAGAGCACTGGGAAAGTGTGCTGAAGATGTCTTTCTCATTTCATTTTCCCTCTGAGGGGCCTGTAGGATGGCACACAGGTCTGCAAGGGAGACTGAGCTTTCTACCTTTGCCTGGAGACTTCTGATGCCTTTGCCCCAGGAGGGCTCACCACACGGGGAGTCAGGACAACCTTCACTTGCGGGTCATGGGAGATGTTGTACCTTATTCTCCCTCTGAAAAAATAATAATGACTCATGAAGCACGGGCCAGGGTCAACCACAAAGATAGATTGATCTAATGACTTTTTCTCAAATGCCTATCGTATGCTCTAACACTTCAATTCACCTCTTCCTGTCACTCTACAATTTGGGTTTGTGCTCTAGGAATTACAATAGGGAACCCACTCTTGGAGTGAGAGCTAAAGAACTCCTCTACCTCAAAGTGTCTTTTTTTTCTTTTAAGATCAACTTTATTGAGGTACAATTTACATATGATAAAGAGACAGTTATAGAACTCCAGTGCATAGTCTACAAATTTTGAGAAATATGTTTTCATGTGAATACTCCCCAATCAAGATAATGGAGCATTTCCATCACCCACTCCACCATCATGTCCACCACCATGGCATACAATTGGTAGGCTAGTATAGCATGGTGGTGAGGAGTGAGTGGTTGGCTGATGGAAATACTCTGTGTTTTGATTAGGTTTGGGTTACATGGAATTTACATGCATCAAAATTCATTCAACTGAGCACTTGAAATGTGTGCAATTTACAGTTGAAATTGAGAAAGCTTAAGTAAATGCCTTAATACCACACATTTATTAAGTGACTGACCCCAAACCTGACCCAAGTACCATTGAATTTCAATGCCATCCTCATCACTACCATGTTACCCTGCCTCCCCTCATGACTGTATTCATAGATGGAGGTAGTGCAGGTTGGGAACTAGCACTCTGGCTTAACCTTTTCATTGTATAAAGAAGAAAACAAACTGTTAGAGGTAGGGCAATTTATGTAGCAGATTGGTAGTGAAGCCCAGACCAGATCCCATATTCAGGGTTTCTCAGTCTAGTGAGGGAGCTAAGAATGGCAGTGTCCATATCATTATATCAGTTATGAGTTGTCATATCACAGAACTTGCTTGGACATGAAGAGCTGTCAGTGCCCTATTTGATTACAGTGATTATTCCTATGAATATGGAGTGCTTTACAGTCATACTTCTCTCACAGAAGACACATGGAATCAGGTGGAGATCTTGTTAAAGTACAGATTCTGATGAAGGAAGTCTTGGGAATCTCAAAAACATTTTGAAGAATTCAAAACCAAAATTAAGTACATTATATTAAAAAATTCCCATAAGATTTCCTCTCTTCCCGTGGGGGAAACACACACACACACACACACACACACACGCACACACACACACACACACACCAGCCTTGACCCCAGGTATCAGTGAGCTTCTGATATCAGCCTTAACTTGATCACCAAAGTCTTGACTATAAGACAAATTCCTGGACATGGATTGATTGGTCATACCCACAAACCACAACCGAATGTTTTATTGGCTTACATTTTCCAGCTGAAATTAGATACCACAGGATTGACTATTTTGATTGACTTTGCATCTGGGTCAGTCAAAATTGCGGGTCCCAGGGAAGGGCTATGTTGCACTAAGAGATTTTCATTTTGTGCCGCCAGAACCACTTTTGGCGAGTGATTGATTGATAGATCCCAATCCAAATCTAATTGCTCATGCTTTCTGCCCAGAAGGATTCGGGATGTATTGATCTCTGTCCAAGCTCATCTGGGGAGAACAATGCTTCTATAATGGAGAGAGTGCCACTTGGGGTCCTTCATTGTGCTGCTTTTGTTTCTCCTGCCAACTCAGACCAAGGCTTTATCTGCAGAACTTTCGGCAGCTGGCAGGCATGATTCTCTGCCGGAGACAAATTTGATTCCCCATTCTACTGCCTGTCCTTTTATGGCAAATTCATTTAGGCACATTACAGTCATACAGATGCAGACTGACCCGGTTAGCTCTACATGCCTTGTGAATCCAGTTAATTGTATATCAACTAATTGCATAATTCATTTATTAATGGACTGAATTAAAATCCAAGTGTTGCAGCTCCTCTTCAGGATTAGTGAGAAGAAAAGCCTTGGGAGAATTTCATTTTTCAGATCCTTGATCCTCCCCTCTCCAAAATATATTCTCTCTCTCTTTTTCATTTGGGAAAAGAACTATTCCACAAAACAATTAAGGATAAGATAAAAAATAAAACATAGTTACATTACTAAAACTGCCGTTTTTTTTTCTTTGAGACAGTCTCACTCTGTCACCCAGGCTGGTGTGCAATGGCACAACCTCGGCTCACTGCAACCTCTGCCTCCCAGGTTCAAGTGATTCTCTGGCCTCAGCTTCCCCAGTAGCTGAGATTACAGGCGTGAGCCACCATGCCGGGCCCTAAAAATGTTAATTCTTTATATCCACCTGCATAACATTAGGATACAAATATTAACAGATTACATTGGTGCCCCCCAAAACAATAGTTTTGAGAACACATATTTTGAGTTTAGAAGAGGGTCCAGATTTTCCTGTGTACCTCTAGGTGACTCCTCATGGGATGACTGTGCTTGCCAAGTGGTTGGGGTCACATGAGCTTAACCCCTTAAAACCTGAAAAAGCTCACTCCAACCCAATTTCATTGCTTCCATTCTGTCTTCACTGTGGGTCCAGAAAAAAATGACCTCTGGTTCTAGAGAGAAAATATTCCCTCTCCATTCCTTGTTTTACCTCCTTCTCCACCTCCCAGAGTCCTAATTTTCTGCCTTAGGATAAAGTCTCTTCCCTAAGAGATTCTCAGTGTGCCACACAAATTCCTTTTAGGGGAAGCACAGCCATGCCTCCAGGAGTGTATTCTGTCCCTATATCCAGATGAATAGTTAGAAAGTGATCTTTCAGTGGAATGTTTTCCAGTATATGGATTGGTAAGTCCTGTATATTATTATCTTGTATATTAATAATTACAATAATAATGCCTTACCTTTCTATTGTTTTTATAATTTCCAATGGACTTGTATTTTCTGAGCCAATTCTACCAACCTCCTGGGAGGGAGGCATTATTAGATATTACCAAGAAGAAGATCAAATACCTAAGAGGGTAATTCAGTCCCTAAGGAGTGAAAATAGCTATTAAGAACTGAGGCTTCTCAATCAGTTGACCTGAGTCCAATTCTTGGCTCCTTCGTTCACACGCTGTGTGCCTGAGACAATTTGCTGGACTTTTCTGAGATTGTTTTCTCACATATGAAGTCAAATTTGTAATAGTCCCACTCCACTGGAGTGTCTTGAAGCTTAAATGGAATAATGGAAGGAAAGACTAGTGACTGGCTCATAGCAAGTGCTGATAGACCGTGTTGTTACTATTAACCGACTCAGTCAGAATTGCCCAAAATAGACAGAGCTTGAAGCCAGATCTTGTGATTGTAAGTCTTATGTTCTTTCCCACCGTTTCATATTTTTGGTTAAATTCTGCAATTGACCCCAAATCATGCATTTTGGTGTTAGATTTGTGCTGAACTTTCTCTCAATTCCTATAAAATATGATTCAATCATAGTGCATGACTTGGGAGGAGGAAGTTTTCAATGGTTGAAAAATAGAAATAAAAACATTCATAGAGCCATATAGCTGCAGCCTCCACGAGTTTAGTAGAACAAATGCCATGTACCCAAGACAAAACTATCTCAAGCAGAATAAATTTGCCTTTTTATGCTGAGAGGAAGCTGAAATGAAGCTTTCAGGGTCTCGGTGTCACTGGCATCATCTTTATGTTCTTAAATGAGAACAGAGAAAGGATTTGCTTTATTACAGGAGAAAGGGCCAAATGTGTTTGCTTTCAAGTACAGAATAAAATGAAATGCATATTCTCAGGGAGGAACTTCATTTTGATTACCCGTCTGGAAAAGGAGAGCAGGAAACGGCCGCCCATACCCATCCTGGCCCCCCGTCTTCCTCTTTTTATTTGTTATTGAAGCAAATGAGGCCAATTGTTGGAAATTTCTGTGCAGCCCTGAATGCCTCAATTGTGACTCTCACAGAGATTAATGCATTTAATTTACCTCTTTGGTATATTCGAGACACTATTCAGCAGCCAATTGGGAGTTCCTTGCCCTGTAAGCTGCTCCATGATGAGATACACTCTGGCTGTCTCTACCTCACATGCTGCAGAGGACTTCAGTTCAGCCCAGGGTGGAGGAGGGTGGCCCTGCATTTCCAGGCTCCCTTCCCCTCCTCCACAGGTGGCCATTAATGAAGAAAATTGGAAAGAGCTGAACTACAAGGACAGATGAGCCAAAAGACCTGCATGTACAATCTTTCTGGGCATTATGGACTGTCTTCTCCCACAGTGTTCTCATCAGTAAATAAGTCACTTCTATTTAAGTAAAAGTTCCCTATGTATGGGGCAAATCAAGGGGACTAAGTAGTTTTCCTATGGATCAAGTAGTTTTTAACTTTTTGATATTAAGTATTGACTTTGGCATTATTTCCAAGAGAGATAACACTTTCTGTCCTTGTTTCTTTATTCCCAAGTGTTTAATGAGTATCTACCTTAAGCCAGGGACAGCACTAGGTCTGAGGATAGAGTAGGGACAAGAGACACGGGGTTCCTGCCCTCTGTGCCCTAGCCTGTTGGATGGTACACAAACAAACACACACAAGTCTACCTCATTACAGTTTTGATAAATGTCACGAGAGAAACACACAGATGACCTAATCTAGACTGGAGGATTCCAGGGAAATTCTCTTTGAGGAAATATGTTATAAAATATATTTTGAATGATGATTGAGAGCCAAGAGATAAGGAGCATTTCATGGTTGAGGGGAGAGTAGGATATAGGTGTCATCGCTTTCAGCTTTCAGCTTGCTCCATGGCAGCTGTCTCATCAGGCTGGGGTTGGTCCTTTTGCTGCATCTCTAAAATCTAGGCACATTAGGGCTAGCACCCATGAATTGCCACGGGGAAGCTATTCTGGGAGGCCCTCTTTGATCTTATGGTCTCTAGGAGGCCCTCTTTGATCTTATGGTCTCTAGGAGGCCCTCTTTGATCTTATGGTTTCCAGTCTTAAGTGCATTGCATTGTCTTAAGAGCTCCGTGGGAAGAGAGATATTTTCCTATTTATTTTCAACATTTCCTGGGTGTCTACCCTCAGTATATGGCTATAACTTGCTTGATCTACTCTCTCAAAAGGATAGGAGAATAGTATAGCTACCCTTCGCTCTATTCTTCCAACCCCACTAGGAGTATTTTCAGAAGGAAATAACACCCAAAGATTTACCTTTAGAAATTGAGAAATGGAGCTTTAGCCCAAGACTTCCTCAGATAACTTTATGCAGTGTCAAAATACAGATAAAGTACCTATACATTTCCCTACTCATACATACATTTCCCCTGATACTCAGAAAATATCCTGATGAGGCCACTTCAAAAGATGAAACTCAGCACGAACATAGTAGGTGATCCCTGCAGAAGGTGAGCAAATTTTCTAGGCCAAAGCAAGGTCTCAAATCCAATTTCTCACACACATTATAATATGGTGAGGATTTCTCCCATGGCTAGAAGCAAACACAGCTTTAAAAATTCAAATCCTGGATAATTCATGCAGAATTGGAAACTAACGTTTTTAAAAATGTTAAATGCATGTTTCAAAGCCAACTTCAAGTATAAATTGAGTTCCTAACTTGCTGCATGCTATTGGGAGCTCGTTGTTTCTATTGGGGCCTTAGTCCTTGAAGTTTCCAATATGGGACTACTGCCATCAAAATACTGTTTTCCCAATTGTAACACAGATGAAGGACTTCAGAAACACCAGAGGAGGGTACTGTCTGAAACAGTTTATTGATTATTTGCATCCCTTGTTAGGGAGAGTGGACCGAGGGTTGGGACACCTAGGCCTCCCTCAAAGCCCTTTAACAGCCTGACTGTAGGAACTGGAGGAAAGTGTGGCCCCTCCCTTGCCTCTGTGACTTTGTTGTCTAGCAGGAATTGTAAGGAATTGTAATCGCGCTCTCTCCCTCCCTGCTTGCCCTAACCTGACTGCAGGGACTGCGAGCTCTAAGGAGGAGAAACATCATGGGGAGTGATATGTGAGCCTCGGAAGGCTTCATCATTCACTCTGAAATGCTGGCACCGAGTCAAGTTAGTTCTTATGTGACATTAAAAACCTCACTTCAGTGAGGAAAACAAACAGATAAAGAATAGCAGCTAATGACTTTGGAAGGCTAGAGAGCATCTGAAGTATTGTTTTTTTAAATGCAATAGATTTTAAAAGGCATTTCCAATAATGAATATGTCATCCAATTACTGCACTCTTCTCATTCTGAACACCTGTCCCAGTGATTCTCAATCCCCAAAGTGACTTTTATTTTTAACGATATTTATTATCATGAGTGTTATCACATTAGATGAAATCAGCTGGAGATAGAGGCTGCATTCACTGATGGCATGGAGGCACCGTGCCCTGGGGAGGCTGTTTTTCATCCTCCTTTGGATACTGTAGCTGCTTTACACTGCTGTCTTTGACAGTCCCCAGTGGACACGGAGGACCATCTCATAACCACTCTTCAGGGTAAGATCGCCCTAGGGTGCCCCATGACTGTCATCTCAAAGGATCCCTAGTATTTCACAAAGCACTTGCTTGGAGAAAAATCTAAGAACAGCCTCACTTAGCGTCCAAAGACCAGGGCTTTGGGGAATGGGACTAAGTAGCTATGTCACCACCATGTGGCATTTCCCATTTGCTTCTGAGGAACTGCTAGAGAATTGTCAAGAAAGCAGAGAGGCAACAAGGGCAATGGCTCAAAAATGCCTTCAGTGCGTCCTTTTTGTTCTTCCGATAGGGCCCAGAAATCACGCAAATGCTACTTACACAGTTCCTACAATGTCCCTAGCATTGGACCTGTCACCTATCCTTACAAAGGATCTAATTGGGAAGCAAAACTAGCCCATATTAAACAGTATTTCATAAAAGAAAATTCTTTAGTTATTTATTCAATAATCACTGAAGGCCTACTATGCATTTTACATGAGAGACTTGATATACCAAGTTGAATTAAGACAAAATTCCTGTATTTAAGACAGTTCTGAGTAGAAAGGCTTGAGTAAGTAAACAAAGTGGCTGGGAAGCTTGAACTGGGTGGAGCCCACCACAGCTCAATGAGGCCTGCCTGCCTCTGTAGACTACACCTTTTGGGGCAGGGCATAGCTGAACAAAAGGCAGCAGAAACTTCTGCAAACTTGAAGGACCCTGTCTGACAGCTCTGAAGAGAGCAGTGGTTCTCCCAGAATGGTGTTTGAACCCTGAGAATGGACAGACTGCCTCCTCAAGTGGGTCCCTGACCCCTGTGTAGCCTAACTCGGAGACACCTCCCAGTAGGGGCTGACTGACACCTCATACAGCCGGGTGTCCCTCTGAGACAAAGCTTCCAGAGGAAGGATCAGGCACCAATATTTGCTGTTCGGCAATATCTGCTGTTCTGCAGCCTCTGCTGGTGATACCCAGGAAAACAGCGTCTGGAGTGGACCTCCAGCAAACTCCAATGGACCTGCAGCTGAGAGACCTGACTGTGAGAAGGAAAACTAACAAATAGAAAGGAATAGCATCAACATCAACAAAAAGGACATCCACACCAAAACCCCATCTGTAGGTCACCATCATCAAAGACCAAAGGTAGATAAAACCACAAAGATGGGGAGAAACCAGAGCAGAAAAGCTGAAAATTCTAAAAACCAGAGTGCCTCTTTTCCTCCAAAGGATTGCAGCTCCTCACCAGCAATGGTACAAAGCTTGTTGTAGAATGACTAGTTGACAGAAGTAGGCTTCAGAAGGTCAGTAATAACAAACTTCTCTGAGCTAAAGGAGGATGTTTGAACCCATCGCAAGGAAGCTAAAAACCTTGAAAAAAGATTAGACGAATGGCTAAGTAGAATAAACAGTGTAGAGAAGACCATAAATGACCTGATCGAGCTGAAAACCATGGCACGAGAACTGTGTGACGCATACACAAACTTCAATAGCTGATTCGATCAAGTGGAAGAAAAGGTATCAGTGATTGAAGATCAAATAAACGAAATGAAGTGAGAAGAGAAGTTTAGAGAAAAAAGAGTAAAAAGACATGAACAAATCCTCCAAGAAATATGGGACTATGTGAAACGACCAAATCTATGTTTGATTGGTGTATCTGAAAGCGACAGGGAGAATGGAACCAAGCTGGAAAACACTCTTCAGGATATTATCCAGGAGAACGTCCCCAACCTAGCAAGGCAGGCCAACATTCGAATTCAGGAAATACAGAGAACACCACAGAGATACTCCTCAAGAAGAGCAACCCCAAGACACATAATTTTCAGATTTACCAAGGTTGAAATGAAGGAAAAAATTTGAAGGGCAGCCAGAGAGAAAGGTCGGTTTACTCACAAAGAGAAGTCCATCAGACTAAAAGCAGAAACGGTACAAGCCAGAAGAGAGTGGGGGCCAATATTCAACATTCTTAAAGAAAAGAATTTTCAACCTAGAATTTCATATCCAGCCAAACTAAGCTTCAGAAGTGAAGGAGAAATAAAATCCTTTACAGACAAGCAAAAGCTCAGAGATTTTGTCATCACCAGGCCTCCCTTACAAGAGCTCCTGAAGGAAGCACTAAACATGGAAAGGAACAAACGTTGCATGCCACTGCAAAAACAAGCCAAATTGTAAAGACCACTGATGCTAGGAAGAAACTACATCAACAATGGGCAAAATAACCAGCTAGCATCATAATGAGAGGATAAAATTCACACATAACAACATTAGCCTTACTTGTAAATGGGCTAAATGCCCCAATTAAAAGACACAAACTAGCAAATTGGATAGAATCAAGACCCATCGGTGTGCTGTATTCAGGAGACCCATCTCATGTGCAGAGACACACATAGGCTCAAAATTAAGGGATGGAAGAAGATCTACCAAGCAAATGGAAAGCAAAAAAAGCAGGGGTTGCAATCCTAGTCTCTGATAAAACAGACTTTAAACCAACAAAGACCAAAAGAGACAAAGAAGGCCATTACATAATGGTAAAGGGATCAATTCAACAAGAAGAGCTAACTATCCTAAATATATATGCACCCAACACAGGAGCATCCAGATTCATAAAGCAAGTCCTTAGAGACCTACAAAGAGACTCCCACACAATAATAATGGGAGACTTTAACACCCCATTGTTGATATTAGACAGATCAATGAGACAGAAGGTTAACAAGGATATCCAGGACTTGAACTCAGCTCTGCACCAAGCAGACCTAATAGACATCTACAGAACTCTCCACCCCAAATCAATGGAATATACATTCTTCTCAGCAGCACATCACACTTATTCCAAAATTGACCACATAGTTGGAAGTAAAGCACTCCTCAGCAAATGTAAAAGAACAGAAATCACAACAAATATTCTCTCGGACCACACTGCAATCAAATTAGAACTCAGGATTAAGAAACTCACTGAAAACCACACAACTACATGGAAACTGAACAACCTGCTCCTGAATGACTAATGGTTAAGCAACGAAATGAAGGCAGAAATAAAGATGTCCTTTGAAACCAATGAGAACAAAGACACAACATACCAGAATCTCTGGGACACATTTAAAGCAGTGTGCAGAGGGAAATTTATAGCACTAAATGCCTACAAGAGAAAGCAGGAAAGATCTAAGATCAACACCCTAACATCACAATGAAAAGAACTAGAGAAGCAAAAGCAAACAAATTCAAAAGCTAGCAGAAGGCAAGAAATAACTAAGGTCAGAGCAGAACTGAAGGAGATAGAGAAACAAAAAAACCTTCAAAAAATCAATGAATCCAGGAGCTGTTTTTTTGAAAAGACTAACCAAATAGATAGTCCACTAGCAAGACTAATAAAGAAGAAAGGAGAGAAGAATCAAATAGTTGCAATAAAAAATGATAAGGGAGATATCACCACCGATCCCACAGAAATGCAAACTACCATCAGATAATACTATGAACACCTCTACACAAACTAGAAAATTTAGAAGAAACGGATAAATTGCTGGACACATACATCCTCCCAAGACTAAACCTGGAAGACATTGAATCCCTGAGTAGACCAATAACAGGCTCTGAAATTGAGGCAATAATTAATAGCCTACCAAAAAAAGTCCAGGACCAGATGGATTCACAGCCGAATTCTACCAGAGGTACAAACAGGAGCTGGTACCATTCTTTCTGAAACTATTCCAATCAATAGAAAAAGAGGGAGTCCTCCCTAACTCATTTTATGAGCCAGCATCATCCTGATACCAGAGACACAACAACAACAAAAAAAGGGAATTTTAGGCTAATATCCCTAATGAACATTGATGCGAAAATCCTCAATAAAATACTGGCAAACCGAATCCAGCAGCACATCAAAAAGCTTATCCACCACGATCAAGTTGGCTTCACCCCTGGGATGCAAGGCTGGTTCAACATATGCAAATCAATAAACATAATCCATCACATAAAGAGAACCAAAGACAAAAACCACAAGATTATCTCAATAGATGCAGAAAAGGCCTTTGACAAAATTCAACAGTGCTTCATGCTAAAAACTCTCAATAAACTAGGTATTGATGGAATGTGTCTCAAAATAATAAGAGCTATTTGTGACAAATCCACAGCCAAAATCAAACTGAATGGGCAAAAACTGGAAGCATTCCCTCTGAAAACTGGCACAAGACAGGGATGCCCTCTCTCACCACTCCTATTCAATATAGTGTTGGAAGTTCTGGCCAGGGCAATCAGGCAAGAGAAGGAAATAAAGGGTATTCAGTTAGGAAAAGAGGAAGTCAAATTGTCCCTGTTTGCAGATGACATGATTGTATATTTAGAAAACCCCATTGTCTCAGCCCAAAATCTCCTTAAGCTGATAAGCAACTTCAGCAAAGTCTCAGGATACAAAAATCAATGTGCAAAAATCACAAGCATTCCTATATACCAATAACAGACAAACAGAGAGCCAAATCATGAGTGAACTCCCATTCACAATTGCTGCAAAGAGAATAAAATACCTGGGAATGCAACTTACAAGGGATGTGAAGGACCTCTTCAAGGAGAACTACAAACCACTGCTCAACGAAATAAAAGAGGACACAAATGGAAGAACATTCTATGCTCATGGATAGGAAGAATCAATATCATGAAAATGGCCATACTGCCTAAGGTAATTTATAGATTCAATGCCATCCCCATCAAGCTACCAATGACTTTCTTCATAGAATTGGAAAAACTACTTTAAAGTCATATAGAACCAAAAAAGAGCCCACATTGCCAAGACAATCCTAAGCAAAAAGAACAAAGCTGGAGGCATCATGCTACCTGACTTCAAACTATACTACAAGGCTGCAGTAACCAAAACAGCATGGTACTGGTATCAAAACAGAGATATAGACCAATGGAACAGAACAGAGGCCTCAGAAATAACACCACACATCTACAACCAGCTGATCTTTGACAAACTTGACAAAAACAAGAAATGGAGAAAGGATTCCCTATTTAATACATGGTGCTGGGAAAACTGGCTAGCCATATGTAGAAAGCTGAAACTGGATCCCTTCCTTACACCTTATACAAAAATTAATTCAAGATGGATTAAAGACTTAAATGTTAGATCTAAAACCATAAAAACCCTAGAAGAAAACCTAGATAATACCATTCAGGTCATAGGCATGGGCAAGGACTTCATGACTAAAACACCAAAAGCAATGTCAACAAAAGCCAAAATAGACAAATGGGATCTAATTAAACTAAAGAGCTTCTGCACAGCAAAAGAAGCTGCCATCAGAGTGAACAGGCAACCTACAGAATGGGAGAAAATGTTTGCAATCTACCCATCTGACAAAGGCTAATATCCAGAATCTACAAAGGACTTAAACAAACTTACAAGAAAAAAATCTAACAACCCCATCAAAAAATTGGCAAAGAATATGAACAGACACTTTTCCAGAGGAGACATTTATGCAGCCAACAGACACATGAAAAAATGCTCATCATCACTGGTGTCATCACAGAAATGCAAATCAAAACCACAATGAGATACCATCTCACACCAGTTAGAATGGTGATCTTTAAAGTCAGGAAACAACAGGTGCTGGAGAGGATGTGGAGAAATAGGAACGCTTTTACACTGTTTGTGGGACTGTCAACTAGTTCAACCATCGTGGAAGACAATGTAGTGATTCTTCAAGGAACTAGAACTAGAAATACCATTTGACCCAGTGATCCCATTACTGGGTATATACTCAAAGGATTATAAATCATGCTACTATAAAGACACATGCACAAGTATGTTTATTGTGGCACTATTCACAATAGCAAAGACTTGGAACCAACCCAAATGTCCATCAATGATAGACTGGATTAAGAAATTGTGGCACATATACACCATGGAATACTATGCAGCCATAAAAAAGGATGAGTTCATGTCCTTTGCAGGGACATGGATGAAGCTGGAAATCATCATTCTGAGCAAACTATCTCAAGGACAGAAAACCAGACACTGCATGTTCTCACTCATAGGTGGGAACTGAACGATGAGAACACTTGGACACAGGGTGGGGAACATCACTCCCCGGAGCCTGTCATGGGGTGGGGGGATGGGGGAAGGATGGCATTGGGAGAAATACCTAATGTAAATGACGAGTTAACGTGTGCAGCAAACCAACATGGCACATGTATACCTATGTAGGAAACCTGCACGTTGTGCACATGTTCCCTAGAACTTAAAGTACAATAATAAAAAAAAAAAAGAAACTTCTGATTCTAGTGTGCTTTAGTATCTAGGGGATACTAGAATCTAAACTATGTTTAGATTAGACTGTAAACTAATCTAATTTCATAGTTTAGATAGGAATGATAACAATAATATTTTAAGTACCTGGAAAATATTGAACTACTCAATCTATAGACATTTTATAGACAAGACTATAAAGCACACAGAAATAACTTGCCCAAGATCACACAGATACTAATGAGTAGATTTGGGATTGGAACCTAAGAAGTTGGTGTCCAGAATGCAGGCATTTAACGACCATGCTCTATAGCTTCCCACAAAGATGGGCGACAAGGATAAAATAACTACCCTTTTTGAATGCTTAAACTGTAGGCTGCCAATGTGCTAACCATTTAATATGTCATCATAGAATTTAGTGTTTAGAACTACCCAGTTAGGTGCTCATGAATCTTGATTGTAAGAAATAGGCTTAAGTAAAAAGAAGAATTTACACAAGTAGATCATAAGATGAAAGAATGCAGGGCAGATCCTCCAGCAATAGTGACTGGAGCTAGAGATATGTACACTGTTAGGATTCTCCTTTTTTCTCATTCTTGTTCTCTCTCTTATTCTCCATTCTCTCTCTCCCTTCTCTCTTTCTGCTTCTCTCTCCCTCTCTCTCATCTTTTATCCTTGCTCACCGCTTTCTCTCCTTTCTCTCTTCCTCCTCTTCCTCCTCCTTTTTCTTCTCCTCCTCCCCCTCCCCTCCCCTCCTTCTCCTTCCTCTTCATCTTCTTCTTCTTCTTCTTTCAGTCTCTCTCTCCATGTCATTTTTCTCCACCTTCCATTTCACCTTCACTGCCTCACTCTTATCTACTACATACAAACTTTTTTTTCACATGTAAGAGACAAAGAAATAAAGCAGCCCATGGCTGATACATTTACGTCTTTACCATCAGTGTAATAGGTTTCTCCCTCAGCTCTAAGAAAATTCTCAGTAAAGACATAGATTGGCTTTCATTCTATCAAGTCTAAAGACTAAACAAGTCTAAGACTAAGCACAATGAATAGCAAAGGAAGGTCATAAGAAGATTGTCATTCCCATTCAGGCCACACATTAGACTGAAGGGTATGGGAAGTGAGTATTTTCCCCTAAAAAGCGGGTAAGTAGGGATGCCCACTGAGAGAATCATTAGGAACTTAATAACCAGCCTAGTATGTGGCTATAAAGTATAGGTTTGTTGATATCCTTTATTGCAGATGATAAATTGAGAATGAGATGAGTTAAGAAATTTGCTCAAAGCATCATCTATTGCTCATAAGAGATCTGAACAAGGTGGAATATATGGTGTGGCCTGGATCCTAAGCCATACTGGCATGTTGTCAGGAGTTGAACTATTTAATAATCATCCAGGAAGAGACAGTGCCCACTCTGCTTATTGAAGAAAGAGCAGAATTCGGAGTGGCAGAGAGAAAATTATTCCAGGAAAAACCACAGGAGGCAGAAGAAAGAGTTAAGCTGACATGAAGGAGGCTCAGGAAGAGGCCAGTCTCAAGGAAGTGGAGTGTTTTTTGCTGTTGTCAGAATAATGGGACTGCCATTTGAGTCCCTTCATGGAGGCCAATGGGATAATGGGTTCTTTGTACCCAGTGCACAAATGCTGCCTCATGGTTGGCACCAAGGTGATTTGCAGAGCCTTCTCTGTGGAGCTAATACCTGTGGCTGAAAGATCAGAGTTCCCTCAAAAGAGCAGTGCAAGATCTTGAGGCTAATCATCTGTCATCACCCTCCTGGGGAATAAGTGAGTGTTCTTTTTTTTTTTTTTTTCTGAGACCAAGTCTTGCTCTGTCACCCAGCTGGAGTGCAGTGGCACAATCTCGGCTCACTGCAAAGTCTGCCTCTCCTGGGTTCAAGTGATTCTCCTGCCTCAGCCTACAGAGTAGCTGGGATTACAGGTGCATGCCACCATGCCTGGCTAAGTTTTGTATTTTTAGTAGAGATGAGGTGTCACTATGTTGGCCAGGCTAGTATCAAACTCCTGACCTCAAGTGATCTGCCCACCTCGGCCTCCCAAATTGTTGGGATTACAGGTGCAAGCCACCATGCCTGGCCAGGTATTCATATTTTTATCCAAACTTGGAGATCACAGCCTTGACATGCATTTTCTTCCATGCCTCATGTCCTCACAGTTTGGAAATTAGAAAAACAAGGATGCCCAGGTGACCTATGCCTACCAGAGTCTATGACTAAGCCATGTATCTGTAATTCAGACACAAACCTGCTTTGAAACTGGAGCTTCCCCTGAACCCTGGGTTACCAATTCTCATCTCTAGATTCTGTGGTCATGCCTAGTTCAAATCATTCTTCCTAAGTCTTCCCTGCCCAAGTCACTTTCTGTAAGAAACTTTGTTTCAGCCTCAGCTGGTTCTCTTTTTTCTCCTTTTCTAGGCTTCTGACAGTCTTTACTAAGTGCTGCTTCTGAATTTTCTCCATTTCATCCTTTCTTCTTTCCTAATCAGCACCTTCTCTTCCCGTCTCTGTCCTCTCCCTCTGGTCACATCTCCATTTGTGCTTCCTGGCTTTTGCTTTTCTGGTTGGCAACTAGTGGATCTTCTATCGTCAGAAACCGTCTTCTAGCTCTTTCTGCCAAGTGGGCTGGAGCCCCCAGGAATGTGCCCAGTCTCTTGTAAATTTAACCCCAATCACAAAATCACCAGAGCCTCTAAAAAGAAGGCCCCAGAATCCACCATGGGTGGCTTTGCTGCCTCCACCCAGGGAACAAATACCGCTTGCTCATTGAGAAGTTTCTGGACTTGTATCTCTGCTTTGACCTCAGTCAAAGTCCCTCTACTTAACCATCACTATTGGGGACTTTTTAAATGACCCCACAGAATCTGTTTTATTCCCACAATCTTCTTGTAGAACAAAGACAGGGGCTGTCTTCTGAGAAGGAATGAGGAGAATCAGAAACAAGCAAACAAATTTAAAAAAAAAAACTGCTGCAAATCTTTAAAAATATAAATTGTGAACCTTGTATCTGTACTTCCTATGCCCTCTCACCTCTAGAGCACAAACGGAATATATTCCCAGGCTCTATGTGGGTCAGCCTCAGAGCTCTATTGTTTTTCAAGACCAAGTCCAACATCTAAAAAGTAATTGAAGTTTCTAAAGTCTTTATTCATCTCTTAAAGGGGATAGTGCTTCTTTATGATACTCTATGACTTCTCTTTCTGTCTTACTGCCTTCTTTTTTTTTTTTTTTGAGTCAGAGTCTTGCTCTGTTGCCTGAACTGGGCAACAGAGCAAGACTCTTGCACCACACTGGGCTAAATTTTTAACTTTTTTGTGCAGATGGGCTCTCACTCTGTTACTCAGGCTGGAATGCAGTGGTGAGATAATAGATCACTGCAGCCTCAAACTCATGATTTCAAGCTATTCTCCTGCCGTGGCCTCCCAAGGCATTGAGATTACAAGTGTGAGCCACTGTACCTAGCCTACATTGGTTTTTGTTATGTCTTCAGACTGACCCTTTGACCTTTTTTTTTTTTTTTTTTTGCTTTTTCCATTGCTAAGATTTGTGTTACCAACTACAGCAGAGAATATTAACCCAGCAAGAAGAGCTATTCTGAAACATGGGTATCCGTGTGTGTGTGTGTTTGTGTGTGTCCTAATACTTTATTAAATGCTTCTTCTGCTATATAAGTTTACCTGTTTTTTTAAATAAAGTCAGCAATTGAGTTGCCATGGGACTTTGGCCCAGGGAGACACTTACAGGCTGCAATTTGGTTTTGAGAGACTACTCTCCTGTGTTGGAAGCATATTTGCACATTTTGATACAATGTGCATACAATTCTTAAAGAAATTCCCAGCTTGATTTCCCAGCAAGACAGATTTTGGTACTTCTGAGCTCTAGAGGTGAAGGTGGACTGGCTTTCATCTAAGTTGTTTCAAGTCACTTGGCAAATATTTCAATAAAATCTCCTGCCGGTGAGAAAGGCATTCCTCTAGTAATTCATAATGTTTGTTGAAAGTTTCCTCTCTGTAGATTCATAAGTTTCCCAGTGTAGGATAAGTGTAGCTGACAAAATCTCCTGCCTTCAAGAAGCTTGGAATTGAGGAGAGATCTCTTTCTTTTTCTTTCCCTCATGTAGAAGTATACACATTCATACAATACAGAAACTCTTATCAATCTACATGTAAGCAGCTATGAAATAGAATTCAAACTTAGTATACAACCTTTAAGTATATTAGGCGATTTGTTGAGACTTCCTGGATGAGAAGCTAAGTGAAATTATATTTTCAAAAGCTGCACTTCATAAATATTTGTTTTTGAAACTTAAATTATTTATTTTTTATATCATTACAGAATGCAAAATTATTAAAATCAAATATGAAACTTTCCTCTCAAAATTATAGTCCAGCCAATCATTTTTGATTCACTCATTTCTCAATTATGTATCAATCCCTGACTTTGTACTGGGCTGGGAACTCAGGATAAACAGATGAATAAGCCATGACCCTTACCCTCAAGCCCAGCTTCCATGGAAGCAACAACTATGGAAATAGCATCTCAGCAAGCATGTGGTGAGCCTAACCATGGAGGCTGCATGGTGATTATGGCAGCATGGAGTATGGATGCACACACTGGGTAATGGGGCAATTAAAGAAGATTCTTGAAGAAAGTGAAGCCTCAGATGTCTTTTCAAGGGCCTGTAGGAGTTAGCCAGGCAAACACTAGGTAGGAAGAGCATTGTAGCAGAAGCCACAGAGAAGCAACGACAGAGATGAGACATGGCCCAGGCAGCTATATGTGTGTTTGTGTTGGGGTAGGGTGGTTGACCTCAAGTTGTTTAAGCGCAAATTCCTAAGAAGGTTGTATTGATAGACAAGAGTGAACAGATAGGTAGACGCCAGATAAGGGAGGTCTTATGAGCCATGTGAAGGATCTTGAACTTTCCCTGTAGGCAGAGTGGATGATGGTGGTGGATGGTGATTTTAGTCTGGGAGTAATTTCGCCAGATTTTTATTTGACATAGCTCACTCTGTGATGAGGCCGCATTAGGGAACAATTAGCAGACGGGGAATCAGTTAGAGATCTGCTGCACTAATCCTGGTGAGAAACAATGGGTGGATAAATTAGGGAAATTGTCTTAGGGATGAAAGAAAAAGAGTCTAGAAATCCCTAAGAGATAGAACTAGCAGGGCTTGGAAAGTGATTTTTAATCACGAATCATCTTAGCAAATGCCAACTCTGTTCTTCCACTTGATCAGTTCAAAGGCCCTTGGAGTCACCTTTGGCTCCATTTCTCTCCAATAGAGAGGCCTGTCCTTTAGGATTCAGCACCTCCACTGCCAGGACTGTGGACTTCACTGCTAGTGTTTCTCAGTGAGAGTGTCGCGGTGGCCTCCTGGTGGGTCTTGTGGCTTCTCCCCTCCCCCTCCTTCATGTTATTCTCTGGAATGCAGAGATCCTATTAACACATGCCCAGTCAAAATCCCCCATAACTCCCCATCTCACTCAGTAGAAACCGAAGTCCTCAAAATCCCCTTCAAGCCTGCATGACTGACAGCTCCCCTGCTCCGTACCCCTCCTGCCTTGTCTTCTCTCCCGCCATTCCTTCCGCTCTGGGCACCTGCACCTCCTTTGTCCTATTGGCCAGGTGTGCTCCCACCCAGGGCCCGGACCCTTGCCGTCTGCTGGTGCCGGAGGCTCTTCCCTTGGTGAACGCATGGCTCACTCACTCATTTCTTGCAGTTGTGTCTTCACCTGCCAGCTCGGCAAGTCCCTTCCAGACACCCACGTGGCACTGCCGTGCCTCCAATGCATTCTATCCCCTTCCACTTCATGTCTCTCCTTGACCCTCTCACAAGCTGACGTATTTCAGCTATCTTCCTTACTGCCTGCCTCCTCAGAAGTGTTGTCTGCTCTGTTCTGAGCTGTATCCGTAGTGCTAGAACGGTGCCTTTCATATACAGGGTGTTCAGTAAACTTCTGTTGTTGAATGAATAAGTAAACAAGAGAAATTGATCTGATAGAGAGGTAAGAGAAGGAGGAAGTGTGAGAGTCTGTGTGGAGGGTGGTGTGACCAAGTGTGACAAAGGGCACAGAGATAGGAGGGGACGTGAGGGGTGTCGATGAGGTCCGCAGTATGATGTGCTCTGTAGATGTTATCATTTGAGACAACAGAACACAGGAGTGTTCACGGAGGATTCCACAGGACAACATGCCTGTGAAAGCAGGAGTCCACTGGATATTATGATGAACAGAGAAACAAATGTACAGACACCCCCAACCCATGCCATATCAGGAGGCAGTGCATCCCAGGTGGTTGAGCGAAGACGTTTTCAGCAAGATTCTGAGGGAAAGGAAGAGTTCACATTGATGGGGAAGGCTGTCCAGGCATGAGAAACACCAGGGAGAAGGGACAAGAGCAGTGAACCATTTGTTTATCTTTTTATAATGAAACATCCACGCTTGGGTGCTCTATCCAACAACCAGCTTGTTTTCCTATCATGGATGAGGCAAAGGCATCTAGTCCAGCTTGGATGAAAATGCTCAGAGCCCAGGTGCACTGCCTGGCAGGCACAGAGTGGGATGTTTCTGTTCCCACAACCTCTGTCCTTCTGCTCGCCTCCAGGACAGACACGCTTAGGCTCCTCGTACTTATCTGTGTGCAAACACCACACAGACACTCGGCGAGACAGCCAGTGGTCTGCATTTTCTAATGTGAGCTTATGCTGTGCAAACAGCTTTATTGTCAGCCCGCATGCACAGAAAGGCCCACAGCAAACAGATGCTCAGCCCCACCCCTTCTTACTGGGGTCCTCGTGAGACATTCGGAGCACAAGGTATTAACATTCCCCACCCACAATAAGTACATTTCATGCCTCATATTCACCTCCTATACCCTGCTCCATACAACTTTGCCCAGCGTATAGCACTCTTAATTCTTTCCAATCATTCCTATAGCCGACCATACTCTCTCTCTCTGTGTGTGTGTGTGTGTGTGTGTGTGTGTGTGTGCGCGCGCGCGCGCGTACATGCATGCAAGTATATGTGTGTGTAAGCACTGCTATGGTTAACGACACACTATTCCAAAACATAGCACCCTGGCATTTGAGAAAACAGCAGAAGCAGGAAGATTGCTTTCACTTCCCCCAAGTCATTTTCCCCTGAAGCAGGTCATGAGATCCCTCATTCCAGAGATGCCCTTCCTCTACCTGGAGGGAAGGAGCACCCTTATCTCTGAAGACACCTTAACACCGAGCAGAATCTGAACAAACAGGGCCTTGTTAACTCCATCCCCAGTTTATTGCCATTAGATCAAACCCTTATGTCCAATCACACTTCCCCGCGGCTGTCCACTCTTCATCAGACCTCAGCAGAAAAACGCACGCATTCTCTTGTTTTGGGAGGTGTTTATTTCTGAAGGCTCTCACGTTATATAAAATTTGTGTTAAATACATATGTGTGCTTTTCTCTTGTCAATCTGTTTTATAATATGTGGTAACATGAAAAAGTATTTGTTTTTCCTACAGTATACATGTATATTAATTGTATTGATATGTATAGATGTACATATATAGGTATATACATTTTCAGATCTTGGATAGCTGACACAGGAAAGTTAATATCACACTGAGAGTGTGTGCTGCAGAGTCTTCAGAGCTGGGTCAAACTTCAGCTCTGCCAGTTACTAACTTTTGATTTTAAATGAGGTATGTAACATGTATAAGCCTTCCTTCTTATCTGGAAAATGGGGATAATAATATATGCCTTTCAGAGTTTGAAGATAATCCATTAAGCGAAGGAAGATAGTGTCGGGCTGAATGTTACTGTTATCGTTAAAAGTATAATAAAATACCATTGGACCCTTAACAGAATAAGAGATACATGTAAAATTGGAAAGGAAAGAAATCTGTGGAGACAGAAATGTAAGTTGGTGTGTTGTGTGTTTGCTTCTGTGATAAAGCACTCAAGGGCCTCATTCGGCCCGGGAACCCTGGAGAGTTCTCTGGGGAAGGCACCTTCTTGGACTGTGCTGCTGAGAACATTTGGGATGGGATGGTCCAGCCAGCAGTGTCCTGGCATTCAGCCCTGTGTCCTTCCAGAAGCTGGTGGCAGGGCTAACTGTGACCATCTGCCAGGTACCCTCAGTCGAGCGTATGGGGTCAGCTGAGGTTCTAGAGGGGTCTGGTCTTGACAGACTCACGTTTCCTAGAGCCATGTTCCAATAGACATGGAGGGGCTGTCCTCATCTCTTGTTTAAAAACATTTTCTCTTTGCCCATCCTCTTGATGCCTCTCCTCACAGGAGGCAAGGATAGAAGGCGAGGCACAGGCCACACGGGGCTCAGAGAGCCTCTGCCCTGATGCAGAGCCTGGGTGGCCAGGAGGTGTGAAACATGCAGATCCACTGGCTCTTGCATTCCTCGGGCCTCTGGTGGAAAGCAAATAAAAGATTCTGCTCTCTGGGGCTCTTAAGCCATCCTCCCTGGAAGCCAGTTCTACTCAAAAATGTTTAATTAGCATGCTCCCACCTTCCTAAAAATAGGAAAGAAAAATCAATAAGCACTAAATGGCTACAATCCTTGGATCAAAGTGATTTTAAGTAAGGTTGTCTTCAGCTTTAGACCCTCTCTCGCACTCTCCATCTGCAAGCAGAAGACGCAAACTTGGTCCTCACACCTGCATGAGTGCTCATGGCAGCAATGGGTCCTGTTAACCTGCAGAGGTTACCAGCTGGATTTGTAAGTAAAAAGGGACATTTCAAAGTCTACTTCCAAACCCTTGTGCCTTCAACTCTGGTGCTGAGATGTTTGCTAAGCTCAGATATTTGAGATGAGGAGGGCGTGTGGATCCAATCAATGTAATTAATTCTGACAACCTAGGTCCTAGGGTCTTTGCACGGGCTGCCTCTGCCTGGGATGCTCTTGCCCTTGGATGCAGGGCTAGCTGTCTCACTTCCTTAGGTCCTGACTCATACACCACTTCCTCAGCGAGGCTTTTCCTGATCCGACATTCCAAAGTTTCCCCAGGTTGAAACATCTCATTCCCCTCTTCTGCTCCATTTGTATTCCTTACTGCTGACCACTTTCTAACAAGGTAGATATTTTACTGACTTGACTTGTTTATTGTCTGTCTCCCTCTCGAGGAGGTGAAGAAGAGATTTTTGTCTGTGTGGAGCTCTAATGTATTCCAAGCCCTTGGAATAGTGCCTGGCATTTAGAAGGAATTCAGTCAGTATTGATTGGAGGACATCCAGTAGTTAAGAACCGGCCTTTACGGGCATCTCGGAGGCTCAGATTCCAGGTCCACCTCTTAACAGCTCTTCACCTTGGGCAATCCTTTAACTTAGCCTCTCTGCATCTTGGTCTCTTCATCTGTAAAATGGGGATGATAGTATAGTACCTGCTTCACAGAGCTGTTACAAAGATTAAGTGTGTCGATATATAAAGTATTTAGAACAGAGCTCTGACGCATGATGTGTGCTTTAAAAGTGTTTTTATGACTGTCATTATTTAAAAAAGACATTCAGTAATTATTAAGTACTTACTATATTCTGGGAACCACATCATGAACATATAAAGCAGTTAGAATAGTATGTGGCACAAATTAAGTACATAATAAATATTAAGTACTATTTTATTTTATGTCTTTTGATACTCAAAACCACACAGATACTATTATTAATAGATACTATTATTATTATTATTATTACATTTGGTGAGGTTACTTCACTCCCTCAAATCCAGCCTGCTGGTAAGGCTTAGATCCACAGAGCCATCCCCAAGCACCCCACAGCCATGCCTTTGTTATGGGACTACCCACCTGCCTCTATCCTGTTTCCAAGGCACGGGTGCTGTTGCTTACATATAGGCTGGTCCTTTTTTGCCTAGTTGTTGGTTTTAATGGCTATGAGAGAACACTCTGAGGCTCCTTGGATCACCCTCCACCCCTAAAAGTTCAAATTCAATCCAAGCCTCTTCTCTCTCTTACAGGATGAGTTACATGCAATTTATCATATGGGTCCTGTTGCTTGAAATTGTTTAAATTGGCTCAATACAGACACTATAAATCCAGAGCACAAAGCTTCTGAACCGACCTGGTTTGGGAACTGAGGCTGTGGCTTTTCCCTGAGGGCTTGCAGTATATTTGCTGCCCTATATAACCAAAATTGTATCCTGTTCCTTCCTGCAGCACCTGCTACCTGGCAGAGCCACACTATCTTCCCTCACAGCCGAGGCTGATGGGGCTGGGAAAGAAGCCCCACAGAGCCATGGCTGGGGTTGTGGAACAGGCAGAGGCAAGTGCTCACACCTTCCTACTGTCTTAGGGTGGAGATGAGTTTTCAGAGCTGAGGGTGGGGAGGCAGGCAGTCAGCAGTGGGGGAGGCAGGCAGTCAGCAATGAGTGAGGCAGGCAGTTTTGAGTGGCAGCACTGCCTCTAGGGATGTTTCCAAGCATCACCCATGACTAGGTTTCAGTTTCTTTCGCATCATGGGCTGAAATCCCCTCTTGCCCCAGTAAGGGCAGGCCAGCATGGCCAAGAGGCCTTGCTGCCATTTAGGAAACAGTGTCCTGAATTTGTGGCTACGGGGTCCAGAGCTTATCCCAGGAGGAAATGTGCGACTGAGTTGCAGGAGAGCCTCTTGTGTGGAGGCAAGCTAGTGATTAAGATTTGAACTGCCCCTGCATCAAGTTCAACAAGAGAGGCACTGTCTAAGTGGGGCAACTGAAGAAGTCACCATAGGTAGGATCAGGGAAGGGGAGATACAGAGGAATGGCTGCATCCATGCAGCGCTGCAAGAAAAAGACAAATCCGTATGCTGATGGGGCTCTATCCGTGGGAAGAACAAGCAGAGGAGCACAGTCCACCAAAGCCACGGGTGCAGGATGAGAGGAAGGCAGAGTTGAAGGGAACATGACCTGTAAGAGAAAATGGAGCATTGGAGGGAAGGGGAAAGTGGCCCCACTAACTCACAGAGCTGAGCAATGTTGCAAAGAAAGCTTCCCTTGCGGGGAGGCCCAAGCGTTGGCTGCAGAAGTGGCCTTAGCTCTTGTCATCGCCACCCCTGTGTCAGAGGTGAGGCTGATAGCAGGCCAAGGAGTCAAGGAGGCACCGAAGCTAAGGGGAGGCAGATGGCACAGCCAGCTCTATGCGTCCTGGAAGGCCCTTCCCGCCCCCACATAAATTCCATAGCTTATTTGCTCTTTCTTCCTTTTATTTTTGTCTTAAATGTAAAATTTGGTGTCACTCTTCTGGGGTAAACAACAAACTGGTCTTTGGAAGGGATCCACTTGAATAGCAAATATTACAAAGCAAAAGTGACGAGTGTAAATGCGTCCTCTTATGAGGGCATCAGAACCTTGCTCAGCTGCCCCATTGGAGGACACATGGAAAGCTCAGCTTCCAGGGCAGGAAAGGCCAATGGTATCCCCTTCTCCTGGAGCTCAGTAGGCACAACCCGGGGGTCTAAGGGTATGGTAGCAGGCAGCGCCTCCTAATGGGTAACCCTGGACAAACGAGCCTAGGGAGGGAGAGGTGAGTGTTCTGGGCTAAGGAAGCGCCAGGCCAGAAAATAAACATGGCAGCCCCAAGTCAACTATGGAGCTCCGTGGTCTCCAGCTGTCTCATTCCTTTGCTGTTTCCCACCATGAATCAGGGGTCATTTCTCATGGGTCATTTCTCCCCCATTTCCTCTTTCCTCTCTGCACAAGATGGAATCTCAGAACTCCCAAGCATTTTAATTTTTTTTAATGAGGAAGCAGCGAGCTGACAAATTTCTTGGAGCACAATAATAAAATATCAGAGAAAAGTAGAACAGTCTCATATGATTTTTCTCAGTCCATTTTGCCTCCTAAATATTCATCCAAAATAGCGTATTAAACAGTAAAAAATAACAATGCTTTATTATGCAGTGCTCACACTCGAGTGTGCGTGGCACCGTTGTGACACCTGGACTCCTTGTCTGTCCGTTTGTTTTTCCTTCTGTTTCCTCTTCTCTCATTGGAGTGAGGAAAGAAGAGGGGAAAGGGGAGCACTTAGAAGAAGGGGCACAGAGGGGCAGAAGGACCAGGATGGGGCAAAAGGGAGAAGAGGAAGACAGAACACAGAGGGGAGAGGGGCAAGGGCGTTAGTGCTTAAACACCTGCCATAAATTAAAATCCTGAAATCACACTCCTGGTCAATAGTTTTTGAATTTTTTTTAATAGAGAGGAGAAATGTAAAAGTGGCTAGGAGTGGAGCTAAAGGCAAATTTGGTTTTTCTCATTAGACTAAGACTATTTTCTGTTTTTGGCAAATCAGATTCTGCTTTGAAAGTAAAGAGGTGGGTGGTGTAAGCTAAAAATAAAATCCTAAGCCCTTGCCATAGGCTGAGTGGACCCCTTCTTGGCAAATGGGGCCCCAGAAAAACCTTAAAAACTTAGCTCCCAGCCACAGCAAGATGGGAGGTCAAACAC
The DNA here is from genome assembly GCF_000001405.40 of Homo sapiens. Classification (NCBI taxonomy): domain Eukaryota; kingdom Metazoa; phylum Chordata; class Mammalia; order Primates; family Hominidae; genus Homo; species Homo sapiens. Next base: position 131,331,108 of record NC_000011.10, read on the forward strand.
GTTGTGCTGCGTCCCCTCCCTTTTGCGTTTAGATACAACAACCAACCAGCATTTAGCAGAGACCATAAGACAGATGGAACGGACGCTTTGTGGCAACAAGATTTCAAATGATAAACAGGACCTAAGGCCGTGCCAGGCAGCAGTTAAATCATGCACCCCAGACTTAAAGCATAAGCTAGGTTCCAATTGCCACAAGGTTCTTTCTTTTTCTCTAGCAGCTAAACAAGCACTGGCCTTGAGATAAGCAAAATTAAAACATACACAACTCATCAGCTCGCAGAGGCTGACTAACAGACCCCTGTTTCACCAGCCATGACAACACCTTTGATTAGACAGGGACTGATTTCAGTAACTTTCTCCAGGTAAGAACACTGACCATGCAGTGGTTCCGGCTGATTTACAGAGACTGTGCACTTGCGTGCCTTCATGCCCTGAGACCTTTTGACAAATAAGACCTAATTGTAATACATTTAAATGCTCCGTCTCCACCCCAAAGTGAACATGGGTCATATGTTACATGCATGTTTGTTCAGTACGTGTGTGTCGGGATCACCTTCGTGAATATTCATAGCTCCTCCTGTCACCTGTTAAACAGGTATGTTTAGCCAACCCATTCAGCATAAAGCTGTTAGTCCAGCAAATCCTCCTGTGAAGTGCCTGCCTGGGTTTGGCCGAGGCAGGTCTCTCAGCCCAGGGGATGGCCCTCTTGCAGGCTGTAACCCTCTATAAGAAATAAAGTCTCTCCCTTTCCTTTTCTAAATTTATAAATTTGGATTTTTTTTAAAGTTACCAGTGGTGTGGGAGCTTTTATGTATTCTCTAAGCAGAGTAGGAAGAGAATCCCAGAATTAGAAAATATGGAATAATCAGATTCTGTTTAACGTCTTTCCTGGCATCCAGGGAGATTACACCTAAGCCACTTAAGCTGAAGTCTCAAGGGTTGCAGTTGGTCCCATTTCTATTAAAATCTTGCCTAACAGGAGAGCACAGTAACTTTTTTTTATTAAAGAGGAAAAGAAAAAAGCTGATGATGATGCTAGTCTAACTCTAAATGATACTAGTTCATCTAATCACTCAACGATGCAGTATGTTTACCATCTAATTTCATCCAAAACACCCTAAACTGAAAATAAAGTGCTGCTTAATAGACATGCAAAGATGTCATTTCATTTTGCTGAATGTTCTAGTAGCAACTACTAATTATTTCAATGTACTTTTTTTCTGTAATTATTTGGAACAAACTATTCAGCACTCCCCTATTAACTTCAGAAATATTTCAGTGTCCTACAGAAATTCAGTAGTATAAATTTAAATAGCTTTTTCCCTCCTTTCTTCAATGTGCTGGGAAGACAGCTGGATGAGGTTGAGGGAGGAAACACATCTTGTACAAACAGAAACAACCAAAGAAGAGTAAGAAAGAAAGAAATCCCACCCCTGAACTCTCTCCTTTTACATCTGGGCCCCTTTCTTCCCACATTCAATTTTCTTCAGGTTCCTGTGGGCAGGGTTATAGAGCTAATCCCCCAGATCTTCCTTTGGTTGCTGATGGACTGAGCAGCCAGCAGAGAAATGGCAGACACAGGGAGCAGGGCTGTCAAGGAAAGCAGTTGGGAGGAACTCTGTCGTCTTCCTGGAGTGTTTTTTAATCAGTCTCCTCCAGAGCCAACCCCTGATTCCTGTTGATATCATTTAGAATGAAGAAGATGGGGTCAGGCGTGGTGATGCATGCCTGTAATCCCAGCACTTTGGAAGGCCGAGGCAGGCAGATCACTTGAGGTCAGGAGTTCTAGACCAGTCTGGCCAACATGGTGAAACCCCATCTCTACTAAAAATACAAAAATTAGCTGGGTGTGGTGACACACCCCTGTAGTCCCAGCTACTAGGGAGGCTGAGGCAGGAGAATTGCCTGAACCCAGGGAGCAGAGGTTGCAGTGAGCCAAGATCGTGGCATTGCACTCCAGCCTGGGTGGCCAGAGAGAGGGACCACTCCTAGCCACCCGAGGAGCCGGATTGCTAGGCTTGGCTGATCCTGACAGGGGCTCCAATGTCCGTCTGAAAAGGAGGGCAATATCCCATCCATTCCTCTTCAGGGCACACTCTACCCTGAGGGCCACATCACAGCCACAACTTCAGCAGCACAGGGCTAAGAGGGGCTGAGCGTTGGCAGGTACTGAGTGGTGCACCAAGTGTCCTACCCAAGGAACAGCAAGGCTGAGAGGATCTCATCTAGCATCCTCATTTGACCAACCTGTGGCACAAACCTTATGAGCAGGAGATTTTCCCAGAGCAAGAGGAAGAAATGATAACAGCAGGTGAACTCACCACCAGCATTTGGGTTTCTGCTGCGAGTGTATTCACTGCTCCTGAGTCCACACATCTTCATTAAAACCTCGTCATGCATAGCGAGCACTGCTGAGAGAGCTTGTCATTTTACAATGCTCTTGTGCCTACATTCACCTATGTGAGAGTGACTACCAGGTGTGGGAGTAGGGAAGCCCAGCTCCCCCGTGGGCACAGCTCTGAGGAATGCCTTACCTGAGGTAAGGCTAAAGCGAGCCTCTGGGGTCTCCTGCTTGTCTGGTTTCTCCTCTTCCCTGTCCTGTCCCTCTACCTCCAATGGATCCTTCGGGAGCTCTTTCTTAATAAATCACTTGCATGTGATGAAAATAAAACATAAAACATGGCATGTTACCATATCTCACACTGTTTAATAGCTACTTGTGTGGCAGCAATCAAGAAATGGGGGGGTGGAAGCAGTGGGAGAAGTTAAATCACAGCCCCTCGTTTTCTATAACTGGAAAGTGTCTGCTTTCGTGTGCACATATTATAACTCCTCATTTAGTGTTCTTAAGGATACCGCAAAGGAAATCTCAGATAGGCACAAATTAAGTAATTTTTTTTAGATAATAAAGAAGCTGCCCAAGAAATGATTAATTGACAAAGGAAGACTTCTAAGAAGAGGTAAGTTCTGTGTGGACCGTACAGAAAGCCCCAGAGTCAATGGTTGGGCATCATTTTTTTCCATGGTCCTTTAGAGTAGGCTGGCCAGAGTGCTGAGCAGCTGTGGAGAGATTCCCTTGCAGATCGTAGTGTGGGTCCTGCCTAAGATCCAAGGTAGAGTGGACCCACCTCTGGGGAACTTCCAACTTCAAAATGCCATAAGTTTTTGCTTTTGCTTCTCATTTTTACTGACTGAGCCAGTAAGTAAAACATAACATTCACATACAACCTAATGATGTTTAAATACTTGAATGTCTATTATTTCTCTGATCTTCTCAATGCACAAGTGCATTACTTAGTGAATGATGAAATCGGGTCAGAGACAGAAGGCAACATTCCCCAGCTCACTCCCAAGCTCTTGGATAGTTAAGTGGCGGGGATGTGGGGGAATCTGCTTGTTTTGACTGTCTAACATTTCCTCCAATATCATGATCAATACCTTAATTTAGATGTTCCATGGGTACATCATAATTCTAATGTTCATTCCCATTTCTCTAAAATTATTTCTTGCTCCCAGATGATCCCCACTCCTTAATTTCTTATAACCATTAATGAAATAAAAAATGTGGAATTCAGCCTGGATCCTTCTTCTTCATGATGCTCATGGCTACCCAATCATTAGTCATCATTTCTAGGCTCACTTTTCATTCATAAGCCTTTTTCTTCTTCTTCTTACTAAGCATGTGTTTCCCATTTACATTCCTGCCTGTCATCAGGTTTGTCCCCTCACATCTATCCTCCATAGAGTGCATTTCCACTGAAAACTGTGCAGTGGCTTGCCACATCCTTCAACAGAATGAGGTTGGGGGTATGGGGCTCAGGCCACTCACTGCTTTCCCCTAGGAGAGGCCTTGCAGGAGAAACAAGTCTACATAGCCTGAGGGCTCCCAGACATAAAGTTTGAAAGTCATTGGCTTAGTGAATAAGACTATCTTGCTGTGACCATGGCAAGCTCCTCCAAGACCTGGCCTCGACTTCTTTCCGTCTCATTCCCTGTCACTTACTGTCTTCCAGTTTACACTGCATAGGTAGAAAAAAACACTGAGAAAATATTAAAGATTATTTTTCTATATTTGTTTTATAGATGAGACTATCATGACATGGCATAATTAAATGACATGCTCAAGGAGACACAGCAAACACATGTGTGAGACAGCATGAGCCCAAAGTTCATGCTTTTCCTCACAGCATGGCACCACCCGACACCTCCAAGGAGGAATATTCCTGAGCAAAGTCCAGGATGCACTCTGTTTAGAGAAAATAAAGAATGCCAAATATTTAATTCTGGCCCTTAGAGAATCCAAATAGAAACACTTAAGTAACCTTACATGTACTCAAATAAAAAGTGCAATTAATACAGCTCTGAGAAGGATGGGTTCCTGATGTATAAAACATTGACTTTACAAGGTTGTGAGGATTAAATACAATAATGTATATGGAAGGCCTCTGCAATCTTGAAAGCAGAGAACAGCACAGGTAACATGGATGAATTCAGCTATCCAGGTGAGGACAGGGAGTGCCGATGAGTACCTGATCCTTTTAAAGAACCCAAAGCTACTCAGTTCTAACACACCTTTGCGTGAGACTCAGAAAGAAGGTTCTTGGTGTGGGTAACATTTCTGAATTCCAAAAAAAAGTCTTCCTATTTTTAAATAGTGACAATTTTTAAAATCACTATGTGGGTCAAACAAAACTTTGGGAATCATGCAGAAGGATTTGGCCATGAGGGTGACAGTTTGCAACCTCTGCCTGGTTAAGGGCTTCAGGGATGTTGGCATTGTCAAGAGAGCTGAGTGGAACCTCGCAGAGCAAACTACCAAAAGAAAGGGAATTTGGAATCAGACTGGGTGTCCTCCCAAGATGCTCTAATTTTAGTGTGTCCAGAAGAAGGGGAATAACGATTGTCTGTAGATAGGAAGCAGACATGATAGGTGAGAATCATCAAGCAGGCAGAAAATTAGAAGAGTCAGAATCAATCTGCTCTTTAGAGTCAAAGGACTCAATTAAGGTGGAAAAAAATAAAGAGAAAACTGAAATCAATGAGTTCCAAATGGTTTGTTTTGAACCCTGGCTCCAAAAGGGAGTCACATAAAATGCTGCTAATATCTTTTCTAGGCACTTTAGTCTGTTCACTCAAAAAAAAAAAAAAGAAAGAAAAGAAAAACAAAACAAGATGCTATCTTCATGCACTTAGTTTTCTAAAGGACTCATGAATTGGATCCTGTCACTCTACTACTTAAAACCTTTTATGATTTCCCATACTATATCCAACAAGATAAAAGCTAAACTCAAAAATGTCAGCAGATAACCAGAAAGTATAAAACATTTTCAAAAGAATGAAGTGGAAAATTAAACGTAAAAAGCACAACAAACCTTTTTTACTTCTAATTCTCATTTACCTAGTCTTCCTCATGCTAACTGATGACAATTCTGTCTGGCTAATTGCTCAGGCCAAAAAACATAGAGTTGATGCTGAATCCTCTCCCTCTGTTTCACCTCATAACCAATCCAGCAGGAAACTCTTGGCTCCACCTTCAAAATATATCCACAACCCAAACACGTCTATCATTTCTAATACACATACCTGGACTCACCCAACATCTTCTCTCACTTAAATTCTTGCAGTATCTTATGCTTCTCCTCTTGCCCCTATATTGGTAAGAATAGGCTATATTATGCTCCAGAAATAAGTCACACCAACTTCTCTGTGACTTAACTACCAGGGTTAGTTCTCACTCACTGTCACATTCGGCATTGGTTGGAAGAGGAGCTCTGCTCACCATAGCCTCCGCTGGACCCAGACTGACAAAGCTGCCCTCGTCACCAATCACACGGTAGAGGCCAAATTGCCCACAAGCCCCTAAACCTTCTACCAGGAAGAGAAACCTACCACTTCTGTTTGCAGTTCTTTGGCCAAGTTAGTCCTATGGCCATGCCTAACTTTAAGGGAGAAAGAAAGTACAACTTGTTCATGTTCCAGGAGAACCAGAAATAATTTGCGGGCAGTACAAATGACTATCACACCTCCCTAGAATCTGTATTAAATCCAATAGACCAAGTAAGTGATCTTTTTAAAGTCGTAAGCCAGATGATGTCACTCTTCTGATCTCCATTCCCCCAGAGTCGAAGCCAGAGCTCCCAAGATTGGTACATGGTGCTGCCTGATATCTGCTGCCCCATTACCTTTCTGGCCCAACATGCCCCACTTTCTACCCCTTCCAATCCCAGTGCTGCTGACCTCCTTCCTATTCCTCAAGCAGGTCAGGCAGGCTCCTATCTTTTAACTTAGCACTGGCTATTCCTTCTGCCTAGAACACTCTTCCCCAAGTATATGCACAGCTATCTCCTTCACAACCTTCAAGGTTTTGCTTAAATGTCATCTTATTTAAAATTGCATCCATACATCCCTTTGTTTGACTAGAGAATCCACAATATCCAAGCTGCATTTATTGAGAAATTAGCTTAATCCCTTAGAACTTCAATATCCTCCCATGTAAGATTAGAATGATAGGGCTCACCCTGCTAGACTATCATAAAGATGGAATAAAAAAGACACACACATGGTGTTATACTTCTAGCTGTCACTAAACATGAGGCTAGTCTCTCTTGCCCATCCCCAAGCATAAAATAGCATAATGGCCACTTAATGGTCTTTCATAGAATCCCATAATTTTGGAGAATTGGAAGAGATATTTAAGACCATCTAGTTTAGTCTTCCCAAAGTATCTCTGTATCTCTACTGATGCTAACCAAAACAAAACAAAGTAAAGCAAAAATAAAACAAAACCAATACAAAACCCCCAAATCCTAGGGCCAGATAAGTTGAGAAAAATGTTTCTCCTATTTATAGTCAGCTGTTGGACACTCAGAAGTCACATTAACATATTAAAACCTCCAAGAATTCTTGGAGTAAAGAAACCTTTCAACTCTGTTTAACCCAGCATCCCCCAAACTTAATTGACCACAGCACCCTCTTCTTTTTTCTTCACATTAATGCGCATTAACACACTGTAGAACTAATGTTCTGTTGAACACAAGTTGAGAAATCCTAAGCTAGTCTAAACCTCACATTTAATCGAAGACTAAATCATAGGCCAGAGAGATTAAGTGTTCAGTCCATTGTGACCCAGAAACGGTATAGGATTGTGTGTTAATCCATTCTCACCCTGCTAATAAAGACATACCCAAGACTGGGTAATTTATAAAGGAAAAAGGTGTGATTGACTCAGTTCTGCAGGCTTAGGGAGACCTCAGGAAACTTACGGTTGTGCCAGAAGGGGAAGCAAATGCATCCTTCTTCACATGGCAGCAGCAAGAAGTGCAGAGTGAAGTGGGGGAGAAGTCGCTTATAAAACCATCAGATCTCCTCGTGAGAATTCACTTGCAATCACAAAAACAGCAGCATGGGGGTAACTGCCCCCCTGATCCGATTACCTCCCACCGGATCCCTCCCATAACATGTGGGGATTATGTGAACTACAATTCAAGGTGAGATTTGGGTGAGGACCCAGTCAAACCATGTCATATTGGAACCCAACTTTGACATAATTCAGCGTCAAGTTCCTCATTTCTTACTCACTTCATAATAGAGAAAGTCATTAAACATGAAAAATATACTCTTTTTCCATTTAATGACACTGTCAGACTCCCACTTCCCACCCTGGTTCAGGACTCGGGGCTTTCTTTCCCTTCCTGTTTTCATGCCACGTCCCCCACATTGTTCTTGCAGAAAGGGATACTCTTCCTTTCACCACTGAGCTTCTCTGTTCAGTTTGGATCTCACGGCACAGAAAAAAATAAAAATTTGAGAACAAATGTCTGGGCAGAACTGTTAGGTATTATTTATCTGTGCCTAGGTGTCTCACTAGATTCTATGTCTAAATGAGGGGGAAAATTGCTCTATAAATAACAGCAATAATCACTCCATGGCTTTCCCGTGCAGGAGAGCTCACAGACTGAGGGCTGCAGACAAATGATCTGCCATTCTCTAGACCCCCTTCCTGCCCTCAAAGCCCCCTGCACCATGAGCCACCTACTACATGCTCATGCCTTTTTTATCATTAGCTCGTATTCTGTGTAATGTGATGTGACAGGTGGACTTTTCTGGGGATAAAAGTTTTCAGATAAGATGGATGGGCTGGAGCCACGGGCCAGACATACACTATTGGAAAACATAGCTCCTGGCCTAGGTATATAATACTTCCTTCCCCAATGTACCCACAGTTAAAGAACAATGTATAAGAGCTATCTCTGGAGTGATACCTAGATCTACATTGTTATTTACATCCATGAAAAGTATGCATTTCAATAATGTATTTATTCTCAGGTATTGTCATATTAGATGCAAAATGATGTCTCTGGCTGACATGTTGTGAGTAACACAGCCTTTCTTCTCTGCTCTTTATGTGATCCTGGCTCTCATAAGCTTGTTTATGTCTCACAGTTACCCTATGAGATGGGCAGGGATGATGTGACATGCCCTTTTTGTAGGCAAGTAAATCGAGGCACAGATCAGCTATTAGAAATTTGAAGAGGAGCACTTTGGGAGGCCGAGGTGGGTGGATCGCTTGAGATCAGGAGCTCGACCTGATCAGGCCAACACGGTGAAACCCCGTCTCTACTAAAAATACAAAAATTAGCCAGACATCGTGGTGTATGCCTGTAATCCCAGCTACTCAGGAGGCCGAGGTGGGAGAATCACTTGAACCAGGGAGGCGGAGGATGCAGTGAGCCAAGAATTGTTCCGCGGCACTCCAGTCTGGGTGAAAGAGTAAGACACCGTCAAAAAAAAAAAAAAAAAAAAAAAAAAGAAAGGAAGAAATTTAATTTGAAGAGGTTGGACGTGAAACTTTATCATTTGTCTCTAAGTCCTGGACTGTCTTCTCAGTATGACTTGTGAGCTAGGGAAGTCTGGCCCTGCTCTCTTAGCCTTGTTCCTGAATGAGCTCCCTGATTGGTGACGTGGAAACAACATGTGGTGGAGTCAAGCTCAAAGGAGCCATACATGCCCAAGATGCCCGCTTTCAGTGAGGAGCCCACTGCCATCCCTGTAGTCCATAGCTGAACAGACAACCTTTTCTCAATCTGTCTCCTCACCTGAGCTAACTTTAGTTAGGGGAAAATTTTATATAACCACATTGCTGATATATTCTATTTTTTGCGTAATAAATCTCTATGCCTTAGTCAACAAAAGATGTGTACAAGTAGTAAAATGCATAATTTCTCCCTAAGTAAAAATAGCTTTAATGTGTTAGTTTTCCTGATTATAAACGCAACATGTTTATTGTAAACAATTCAGACAACAGAGACACATATTGAGAGGATACAAACATAACCTTATTTCCCACTCCTGAAAGGCATTCAGCGTTGAGGTCTTGGTGGGCACTCTCTGGGCACAGCCCTCATCCAGCCTGCCCGCATGCCCTGCAGGAGACAGCACTGGCCTCTCTAGCTCTGCTTTTCTGAGCTGGCTGCTTCAGGGGCAACCATAAACACTAGCAAATTTGATCAGTTCTGAGGGGTGGCAATGGGAAAAGAAGAAAATCCTGCCTGATGTGGTTCTAAGCCATCAGTTCTTGACTTTTAGGAGGTCATAGATCTCTTTGAGACTTTGGTGAAAGACATGGATACTTTTCAGAGAAAAAAGCATCGACCTATATTCATAGAATATTTTACATACAATCTTAAGAAACATATGGACTCCCAAACGCCCATCTATAGTTCCCTTGAATATATACATAATAATAATATATAAATAATAATAATATATAGATAATAATATATTGATGGAATATAACATAGATAATATACAGATAATAATATATATAGATAATAATATGTAGACAGATAATAATAATATATAGATAATAATGTAACCTTGAAGCCTTCAAGTTGAAAAGACTCCTGTTGTAAAAGAAAATACAAATGTTCATAACACATGTCATAATCTGTATTTATATATTTATTTATTTACTTATTTAATATTTCTCTCCCCTACTAGATTGTAAGTTTCACAATAGCAGGTACACTTTATGTTGTTCAAAGATGAACACCCAGCGCCCTGTAGGGAATCTGTGTCTCAGTTATCAGTAAAATGAATTAACAGATAAGTGAATGAATGAATGAATGAATGAATGAATGAGTACTTATTGGTGTTCCTTCTGCCACCAGAAGCTACTTAGGTTTTTTGTAAATAGGTGGACTGGCTAGGGAGGTTTAGGGAGAGAGGTGTTTCAATTTACCTTTTCTATACAGATGTAAAAAGAATGGCAGGGTGCGAGACCCTACCTTTAGGGGAGAGATGGCATTGATTGTTTGAAGGATGGTAGTGGCCCAGGTTTTTGAAAACTATGCCCAATGGTCTATCACAGGAAAGTCTTTTCATCTACTTAGGAGAAGTTGCCTTCCCCTGACCCAGGACAGGAAGGCATAACCCAGAATTTCCCATTGTTTTTCCAGGCCCTTGTTCCCATTATATTATTCTAAGTGCTCACTTTTCTCTGAATTCAAGGTCGCAGCTCTCTCTCCCTCGTACTCAGTACCTAGAAGGTCATAGCATATTGTTCACACTCGCTAAATTCCTTACCAGTTACATTTCAATAAGAAACAATGTTCTTTGCTCCAAATAACTGGTGCTGCTCATTGCCAGGTTTGCATCTGAAGAGCTGCTTGGGCTGCATTCCGGTGGGCTCTTTCTCAAGAGAGCCTATGGTTCAGGTTTGAATACATAGTGCAGCAGGGCCTCAGAGAATGGGAGAGGAGCACCTCATTCTCCTGAGATATTAAGCAATGCACACAGCCAGGGCATCATCCCTTAGCCTTTGCTGCATGTCATTATCTTGTTCAGTGTACTCAGCACTAATTGCACAATGAACACAAATGTGCTTGGTGAGCTGCGCGGTGTAAAGCAATAAACTGGATGGGAAGATTAGATCATGGCCACACCATTGGGGTAAGAGGTGCAGGCAGGCAGAGGGGGTGTGGAAGGAGCAGGGACCAGTGGGTGGAGTGACACTGAGTCTCCCCACTGGGAGGCAAGCATTGCTCTTCAAGACCAGACCACAAGAATGGCAAGCATTGCTCTTCAACACCGGACCACAAGAATGGCAAGCATTGCTCTTCAACACCGGACCACAAGAATGGCAAGCATTGCTCTTCAACACCGGACCACAAGAATGGCAAGCATTGCTCTTCAACACCGGACCACAAGAATGGCAAGCATTGCTCTTCAACACCGGACCACAAGAATGGCAAGCATTGCTCTTCAACACCGGACCACAAGAATGGCAAGCATTGCTCTTCAACACCGGACCACAAGAATGGCAAGCATTGCTCTTCAACACCGGACCACAAGAATGGCAAGCATTGCTCTTCAACACCGGACCACAAGAATGGCAAGCATTGCTCTTCAACACCGGACCACAAGAATGGCAAGCATTGCTCTTCAACACCGGACCACAAGAATGGCAAGCATTGCTCTTCAACACCGGACCACAAGAATGCTCTCGTCCCTTGCTTCTTCTTCCCCCTTGACCTCATTGGCCTCTGGGACCTCCTAGCTTTTAACCAGACTGTTAATGCCTAGTACCTAGCAGGCAATCAATAAACACATGCTGATTGCAACTAGAGAATAATTTAATTCAATTATTCAGAAATTTATTGAATTTCTCTCTTCCAGATATTGTACTAGGTGCTAGAGATGAGATGATTTTCCTCTCTAGTTCTAGTCCAGAGAGAAAATTCACCCATAAACAATTTTTAAAAAGTACAATGTCTTAAGAGCTAGAATAGACCTAGACTATTGTTCTATAAAAGTACACAGAAAGAAGTAACTCTTTTGGTTTACAACATCAGGAGAGCATATAAGAAGTGACCCGTGAGGATGTATTTACACAAGCCACATCTATTGACCATCTATGATGTGCCAGGTGTCATGTAAAGCATTAGGGAAAAAAAAGATGCAGAATCATTTTTGTTCTAAAGGGACTTACAGTTTAGTGGGAGAGACAGACAAATGATAAGGCATTCAAGTCTAAGCACTTGTGGTGGATTGTAATGGTGTTTACAAACATTGGTTTCATCCTCTGTAGGAGTGCACATGCCCATTCTTGCCTTGCCTCCCTGAGAGAGGAGTGTGTTTTTCTGCCTCATTGATGTTGGGCTTGGCCATGTAGCTTTCTGTGGCCAGTTGAATGTGAGTATATGCAACCTACCCATGTCCTATCAGAAGCTTTAAATTCTATGGCATTGTTCAACTCAGCCTCTTATGTTCCTGTATCATCTGCCATGAGAAAGGCATGTCTCAGAAGGGGGCTTCCCTTTAGGCTTGAGTCCTAGGAAAGGGGATACATGGAGAAGACCTGAACTTGACCCACAGCCTGAAGCAGAGATTCATCAGCCAGCCTAATCTGCAAACATGCAACAAGGGTAACAAATGATATATATTCTTGTTTTCCCATAAACTGCTGGGACTTCGGGGTTGTTTGTTATGTAGTATATCCTAGTTAAATCTGCCCTAGTACTGTGGTATAATAGAAGTAAGCAGAGAATACGATGAGGAAACATTCAATAAGTTCAAAAGCAAGCCTTGAGCAATGGTCAGCAAAAACTGCTTTGAAGAAGAGATGCATGTAAATTAAGTCCTGAGTAAAGAGAAGTTGGAAGGAGAGGAAAGATGATCAAAGAAGTGGGACGCTCATACAGAGGCTCAAATATAATAGCTAGCATGATATATTCAAGACCATCTGGAAAATGAAGATTGGTTATGAGCTTATGTATGTACAAGGGAGAGTGTGGAGGACAAGCTGGGGAACAGACTAGTGGGAGGTAAGACTGGAGAGGTAAGAAAAACCATCTTATGAAAGACTTCTGGTGCTATGCCAGCAGTTTGGACTTTATATTTTCAACTATATTCATGGAAGCGATTTAGAAGAGGGGGTAGGGGAAGTAACTTGGCATTTGAAAGTGATCATTCTGGCTGCATTTGGAGGATTGGATAAGAAGAGATAGAAAGCCTGAGACAAGGGAGGCAGGTAAGAAGGTGTTGTCATATAGATGAGAGAGACAGTGCAAACAGAGAGAAAAGGGTGCAGTCTGGAGATAGTCAGGGACCAGGATCTAGAAAACTTGGCAGATGATGAGAGGCAAGAGAGAGATGGGAAGGCAAGAGGACTTCTAGATTTCCGGAGGAGCAGTAAGTGGATGATGATGCCGTCATCTCAGCTAGGGAAATTGTGTAGGGATTAGGATTAGGAGTGGGTGATGGGAGAAGAGAGTGAGTTCAGTTTGGGACACACAGTGCTGGTGCCCCTGAGGCATCTAAGTGGAGATATCCTTTAAATGCTGGATCTGAGTCTGGGGCTCAGGGGGAGATCTGGCAAGAGACAGAGACTTGGGAGTTGTTAGTATAGGGATGTGAGAATGGGATTTTGTTTTGCGATTTTTAAAACATGATATGTTTAAATGGTATTAGAAAAGGCCTGGCAAAGAAAAGCAAAGTCGGAGAAGAGGAAAGAGGTGATATAATGAATGGAAGGAAGTCTCTGAGGAGGAAGAAATGTCATCTAGGGCATTGAGGAATGACAGTGGAGAGAGACCCTGGATCCCACGGTGATGGGAATGGGAGGGGACACAGTGCAGGTGGCTGTGGGCACAGAGTTCTCAGAAGAGGGAGAAGAGCTTGACAAATGTTCATGTTATGTTCCTTTGGAGTCCCCACTCAGCACCTTATCAATGAAGCCTCTCTTTACCATCTATTTAAAATATTGATTTGCCCTTTCCCCGCCCCTTCTTCAATTTTCTCCATGACAGCTTCGCTATCAGACATATTCTTTGGTAATGAACTTGATTATTTGTTTACTGTCTGTCCATTCCCAGTGGAATAGAAGCTTCACACGGGCAGGGATTTTTGTCTGTTGTGTTTACCACTATGTTCCTAGCAGCCTCTCACAGCCAGACGCATCCCGGGCTCATAGAAGGAACACGATAAATACCTGCTGAATGGATGAATGAATGAATGAATGATGACTTCTATTTTTCCTCCAGTGAAATGGGAGGCAAAGTTGTCAGCTAACGGCGAAGAAGAGAGTATGACAATGGGGAAAAGACATATCTAAGGAAGGACAGACATATTGTCATGCAACATTAAGGCCCCAGGGGAAGGTAGAGGCCATGACATTGTTTATGAGTTGTGATTTTCTCCAAAGTCTCTCAGCAGTTCCCATATAGAAAGGGAGATGATAGTTGGATAGATCCAGGGTTGAAGCTTTTTCTGGGTCAATATAATGGAAAGAAAGAGGGCAAGAACATTTTGGGAACTTGACAGGAGTAGGGTTGAAATGTTAGACCATGGAGTTTTGCCTAGATAGAGAAAGAAATAAGAACAGAAGGGAACTGACAGATTGGGAAGGAGGAAGGAGCAGCCTTCATGGTAACGAAATTGAGAATTCGAGGCACAGTGCATTGCACATCCTAATGAATGGCGGCAGGCAAGGCATGCCCTGTGTGAGATGGAGCTGAATGAGCAGACTTGACAGGAGGTGCAATTAGTCTCAGCTGGGCAAGGGTCTTACATACCATGCTTAGGGATGGCTCTATGGAAGGGGGTCTACATTTAGAATCAAGACCCAGGTTGAATTTAGACTCTGGAACTTACTAGTGTGTGATCTTTGATGAATTCTTCTCTCTAGGTCTCCATTTTCTTATTTTAAAACTAAGGATAATAATAACATTTTTCTCATGGAACATTTATGAGGATTGAAGGAGATAAGATATGCAAATTCAACTACTATATTTAAGGAAATACTTTAGATGGCACAGACAGTGCATATTGCCTGTATGGAATAAGTGTTCGATAAATATTGGTATTCTATTGTGTTGTTGGTTTGCCCATTTGTTTTTTGTTTTGATAAGTCTTGATTTACACACATATATAGCTCTGGTGGTCATGTGGAAAACACATAGGTGGGAGAGATTGAGTTGCATGTGCAGAGAGGCTGGGAATGTCACAGCCAAGATGGTTGTCTTGGCAGGAAACTGGAAGAAGTGAGAGGTTCATCTGACCTCTCTTTAACTTTTCTGTGTCTAAGGAATTGGGCATTAGGAAAGATGAATTGGATGCCTTATAGCTTATGTTTGAAAGACTGGTCAGATTCAAATCCTGACTCTTCCATTTATTGGATATATGAGCTGGATTAATTACATCATCTTTCAGTTTCATTTTTTCTCATATGCAAGCTAAGAAAGTAAAGTTCACCTCAGAAAGCTACTGTGAGGATAAAATGAAATTATGTATCCTAAGGGCATCTGACAGAGGTCCCATCTGGCACTAAGCAAGTGCTCATTAAATGACAGTAGTGTTTATTGTTGATTTTGTAATTACTGGTGTCCATGAGGTTTCTGAGGTGGGGAAATCTCTGAGTTTTTTCCAACAGGTAAATAGTCATGACCTCTGTAGTTAGAAAATAATACATGGTTAATATATTATTTAGGACAGGTGCTAATCTCCACAACAAAGAGATATTAAATTACAGTGCTATCAACAAAATAGAAATGTATCCCTCTCTCATCTAACAGGCCCACAGGTAGTGGCACAGAACTAGTAGAGCAGCTCTGCCATGCTCGTGTGGCTTCTGCTTCTGAGTCCAAGGCAGCTGCTCCAGTTTATTCACCCCTAAAACTCACAGGGAGTTCCATTGCTACAAGAGGAAGATGGGTAATGGGTAGGAAAGAAAAGAGAACAAGGCACCCCTGGGAAAGGGAAACTGGGTAAGAAAATGGCAAAGGTACATTAATTTTAAGCAACTGGAAGACTTGGAAAATTCTTAGTAAGGTGAGGTTACCTTTTCATCCACCAGAGCTGAATCAGAGGTAGCCTGGTCCATGTAGCTGAATTACAGAGAGCCTCTGAGCCAAAGATCCAAGAAGGGGTTTATCATAGAAGCCTTATAGGTGGATAATCAGGTAGTCTCCAGGTAGGACCATCATCCCAGTTTGCCTAGGACTGCTTCAGTTGTATCAGTGAAATTTATCACTGTCAGTGATAGTTGGTCAACTTATCTCAAGGATTCATTTGTGAAATTTCTTTCCAGTGATTCTTCAGTTACTGCTAAGTAGGAAAGACTTCCTTCCTCCTATCACCACAACAGCAAAACACACACACATACACTCTAACCCCAAACTTCCCTATTGGGTAAAAATGCTATGATCAATCTCTTCTGGAATGATAAGGCTCAAGGAAAAATATAATTTGTTCACTTTTTCCGGCATTCGTATGTACTAATCATATAGCAAGTACTATAACAGGCACACAAGGTAAAAGGACAAATGAGGCATGAACCCTGATTTCAAAATGTTCACAATCAGTTTTGGAAGAGAGATCAGGAAACTGATGATTGCAATAAAATTTGTAAGTGGTAAGTACCATGATGGGAAGAAGCCGGGGATCTGTAGAGATGCAAGGGCAGTATGTCTGGCTCAGCCTAAGGAAAGCAGGGCAGGTTTCCTGGACATAGTCACCTTAAATTCTTACCTGAAGGAGGGTTATTAATTACTCAGGCAAAGTAGCTATTGGAAGGAGGATGGTGTGTAGGGAAAGGAAGTTGTGTAGGAAGAAGAGAGAAGGAAGCTATCCCAAGCAAAGGGGGCAACTGAATGCCTGAAACATAGATTAGGCAAGAACAGACTTCACAGTTGACACTTAAGAAGGAGTCATGTTGGTTGAATGACAACCCCACTTCTAAAATCTCCCTACACTGCCAACTCTCTCCTTGACCAGGGTGCTCTTGCTGTTAGAAGTGCACTGGGATCCTAGTAAGTCACTGAGAAGTGAGATGCTCCTTTTGAAGACTTCATCTTTAACCAGTGCTCAATATTTTGGAAAGCAGGTGAATGAAGTCAATCAGAGTCTAGAAATCTTCCAGGAATCCTGCGTCCATGTCCTCAGCATGTCCAGCCGGTGAAGATGCAAATGCATACCAGAAAACGGGGGCTCTCAAAATGCAAGTGAAGCACATAGGAACTCAGCCTTCTCCCCAGAAATGCCTAATGCCAGCTGCGTATTTTTCTCTAATGGAGCTGTGTTGAGCTGGTGTAGGGTCCAGGAAAGTTATGAAGTTAGAGGATCTTCCCATGTTTTCCATGAGTAACACAAAGTATTGACTAAAACAATTTGTTAATAAAATTACACATTGCTATGATCAAATCCAATCAAAATCTTAATTGATATTTATATTAACATTTGCCAGAACTCAAATTGAGTGAGCTTCTCCTCCTGGAACCAGGTCCTGCCCTAGTCCAGGCCTCATGTTATTCATCTCTTTTATCCTGGCTGCATACTTTTTTTTTTTTTTTTTTTTTTTTTTTTGAGATGGAGTCTTGTTCTGTTGCTCAGGCTGGAGTGCAATGGCATGATCTTGCCTCACTGCAACGTCTGCCTCCCTGGTTCAAGCAATTCTCCTGCCTCAGCCTCCTGAGGAGCTCGTATTACAGGCGCACACCACACCTGGCTAATTTTTGTATTTTTAGCAGAGACAAGGTTTCACCATGTTGGCCAGGCTGGTCTCAAACTTCCGACGTCGTGATCCACCCGCCTCGGCCTCCCAAAGTGCCGGGATTATAGGCGTGAACCACTGCGCCCGGCCTCTGGCTGCATTATTAGCAACACCAACAGGTACTTCTGGGATGCAATTCTTGGCCCTGGTCAAAAAGAAACCCTTTGGAAGGTGTGTCTTTTCTTTTCAGGTAAGTCTCCTTTACCAGCTGTCACAACCTCAGACTCTTCGCTGAATAAGGAAGAAAAGAGTGGGGTTTGCCTTTCCCTCTCAGTCAGCCAGGAGGGCAACACCTTTGCTAGGAGAAAGGATCTTACCTGAACCTGCCCTGACTTCTGCATCTTCAGCTGGATTCCTCTCTGCCTTTAATGGGATGAGGGTTGGGAGACACTCTTCAGAAGGAAAATTGAAATTGGTTCCAATGGCAGATCACTAAACCTCTACACCTTAGGCAAGGCTGAAGGTGTGTTTTGAAGATCAGACCAGGTTACATTTTGTAGAGGCAAAATGTCTTTGCTGGAAGGATTTCTGCTTTCCTGTTCTGGGAGCAAATGAACATCTCTGTCTCCAAGACCTCCTGGGGGTCCTTTTTTCTCTAGGGAAATAAAAACCCATCTTTTCTGTTCAGTCTCCCTCCATAAGGCAACTCTCACTCCTCAGCCAGCAAGATGCATTGGCAGTGATGGATACACCCCAATTCTCACACACAGCCCAACAGAGTTGGAGAGTGAGAGGGCACGAGGAATGATGAAGAACACATCTGGAAGGCGTTGTGGAGTGAAGACTGGAGGCATTCCCTCGCCTGCACTTATGAAGAATTCATGGGTATTCTTGCTGCAGCCACTTCATTTATGTGGATCTCTCACAAAAGAGGCATGCATAATTGAATGGTCAAAACCAGTGCCTCCTGCAGGAGAGTGGAGGGACCTGCGTGCGGGCTGTCTGGTGCATGCATGCAGTGTCTGGTGCATGCATGCAGCTGTGCAGGATATGTTCTCTGACATCGTCTTCTGTGGCCATCGCATTGCTTTATGTTTAATGCCTCAAATGTGCCACAGTATTTGGTAGCGAGTACTGTGTATCTAAGTAGATGGATGCTGGACCGTCACTATGGGGTGGGTGATGCAGGGAAGACATGCACAGTCTCCTGGCTGGTTGGTGTAGAATTTCGATTGCTCTTTTCTAACTGCAAGTCTTGCCACATTAATGGTCACAAAATTAACTTATTAAGCTACAGTCAGCATTTTTTTTAAAAGAATAGGATAGAAAAGGATAAAAAATTTCAGCTTGGATACACACACACACACACACACACACACCTCACAATGTATCCTGATATAAAACGTGAGTTGTGATAAAAACAACATGAAAGCCACTGATATATATGTCTTTTAAGTCCCTCTTACACCTGAAATTCTGTCATAATCCTATGATGCTTCTACTTTGTGTTGAGCCTCATGCAAGGCACTGTGGGATATGAACAGGTTTTAACATGTATTTCTAGTCTGGGGGCCTAATCCAGGGAAGCAAAAATCAGCTGATATGTCTAAGCTCCTCCCCTCCACCAGGCACATGGCTAGACTCTCATGTGTTATTTCTTTTAATCTCAGCAAAAATCCTGTGAAATATATATTGTTCTTTCTTATGTTCCAGGTGAGCAAACGGGTTGAGAAAGGCTAAGTCACTCCACTTAGGTCACATGGCGATCATGGAGCACAAGACATCACCTGAAATAACCAGGGATGATAGAATTTGGGATCACAACTTCATTCCAAACGTTTGATACAGGCAATAATGGTAATAGAGAATGCATGGAAGAAGAGATCAATGTGAAATACTCTGTACAAGCAAACTGGTTGTCATGTTGTCCCCAGTTTCATAACCTTTGTTTAGGAAGCCAATTTTAGTTGAAGGGACAGAAATATATAAGTTCAGATCAATTCAAAAAACACTGACTGCATTCCATATACTGTGTTAGCAATTGGAGCACAGCAACATGTTTTAAACATCCCTGCCTTCAGGGAGCTTCACGTCTAGAGGAGGAGGTTGCAGAAGGGAGCATTAGAGTAGTATGCCCATCTCCATAGCTGAAAGCATTTCAGGGGGCTCAAGCAATTTCCTGGTACCTGGAACATATAGTTGTAAAGGAGTGGCCCATGTAAAAACATTGTTTTTTCCCCAGTTGCCAAAGTTTCACTTAGCAGAGAAAGAGCAATTTACTGAATTGTATAGAATGACTGGAAGAGCGAGGTGCTTTTTCAGAGCAGCCAACAATATAGTCAGGGAGTTTCTCGGGCATGGGAAGGCCCTTATTCAGCAACTCTGAATAAAACCCAAGGTATATTTAAACGGCCAGAGTGTGGGCTTGGATAAGATTCATTCAGCCTGCTCTATGTTCAGAGCTGCCTGGGCATCGCTCCAAGGGCCCAATCATCTTTTGGATGTCTCATCGTTGCCTCTCAATCATGTGTGTCTTATTATTTCAAAATTCCATGCCAGGGCTAAACGACCTCCCTCGTGGTTTACTGGTACCCACCATCCGCTTTTCTCTAGCATTTCCTCGTCTCTATCAGAGCCAGCTCTTTTGCCCTGGATTTCCTTCTTTGTCCTCTTCTGTGTTCCCCTATTGGCTTTTTGCTAAAGCTCAGCAAAATGTCTCTTTGTCCATCTCCTCTTTTTCTCCCACTCATGTCATTCCCAATTCATGCCTCAAAGAGTGCCTGTAAGGCATCCGTTACACACAGAACACATGCCGACTTCCTCAAACACCTGCTGTCTCTCAAACTGAGCTCCTTTAGGAAGTTTTCCCTGACTCAAGATCAGAGAGACAAGATCTCACCTTATAGAAACATCCCCTTTATAAAACTACTTCTTAAAATGAATTCAGTGCAGCAGATACACAAGATCATTAGGAACGGCAGCTGCTTTAGCTTTGCGATGTGGCCTTAGAGCAGGTGTTTCCAATGGAGGAACCCCTTGTCTTTCTACTACATAATTGAGTGGTAGCTGGCATGCTGCGGAATTCAGCCAACAGAAGCAATGCGGGGATAGACCAATCCATTCACGCACAATTATTGGATTTCTTATGTTCTGGGGGATACCAAAGATTAAAACATAAACTGTGTCCTTTGGTAGGTTACACTGGATCTGGAAATGGGGATGCAGACATATTAGTAAAGGATCCTTGACAAAAGACAGAATCCTAAGTGGAAGGGCATGTATGATTCTGGGCTGCTATACCAGGCACCTTTATTAGTTTGTTTCTCTTCTCTCTCAGGCCCAACAGGCCCACAATCTTTCCAGGAATGATCAGACAACTCCTCAGCTCTTTGCTTCCCCTGCCCCCATGGTGCATCCCTGCATTTCACCTGTCCTGCCTTCCCAGCAGTCAGGAGATGGCTCCCTGAGGATGAATAAGAAAGGGAATTTCATCCTCCATGCATCGTGCTCAGTGCCAGGATGGGCATCCTGATGAGCCAGGATCTGGGAGCAAGTGCAAAGGGGATGAAATCATACAAAACTCAGTACTAAAAAAAAAAAAAAAAAAAAAGGAAAATCAAATAAAAGCAAAATATTTTCTGCCTATTTTTTCCTTGCAAACTTCTCAATTCTATACAAATATTTGATGATTGTATTTTCAAATAAAGAAATGAAAATGGAAATAATGGAAATATGGAAATATCCAAAGTGAAATATGAAAGCCACTCTTCACAGCTGTCTGTCCATTGATTCCCCATTGATTCCCCTCTCAATATACAGGTACATTTATACCTGTCTTTTATCAATAAACAGGATGCTATCTTCATTGCTATTTAATTTTTTAAATATAATAATAGGACAGAGATACTTCCATGTGAGGACACATATCCTATACCAAAATTCATAGAGCTACATCTCGTTCTTTTCAACAACTATATAATATTCCACAGAATGGAAGAACAAACATGTACTTTAAAGTATCTCTTCTTGGCTGGGCGCAATGGCTCACGCCTGTAATCCCAGCACTTTGGGAGGCTGAGGGGGGCAGATCATGAGGTCAGGAGATTGAAACCATCCTGGCCAACATGGTGAAACCCCATCTCTACTAAAAATACAAAAATTAGCTGGACGTGGTGGCATGCACCTGTAGTCCCAGTTACTTGGGAGGCTGAGGCAGGAGAATCACTTGAACCCGGGAGGCGGAGGTTGCAGTGAGCTGAGATCACGCCACTGCACTCTGGCCTGGTGACAGAGTGAGACTCCGTCTCAAAAAAACAAAAATGAAGAAAGAAAATCTCTTCTTGTGGGCATCTAGGTAGTCCTTGTTTTTATAGTTACATACAGGCTGTAGTAAACACATTGTGGATGGTTCTTTGTGTCTTCGTGTATTTCTCCACAATAAAGGACCTAAGAGTAGAATTGTTGACTCAATGGGAATGCACATTTAAAATGTTGATTGACGCTGCCCAATAGTGGTAAAAAACACTCATTTCTTTCATCCTCAACAAGTCTTGATCTTATCAATATTTCTACAAATATTACCAATCTATGGCACTTGGTGGAGTAGTGAATCTTGTTGTTGTTTGAAGACCTTTGCTTGCTGATAATCTTGAACATCTTATGCTTAATTATGTATTTGATTATTTTTCCTTTCTGTGTATTGTCTGTCGCTTGTCTGTTTTAATATTGGGGTGTTTCTGTGTGTGACAATGCACTGCCTGGCAAGGGGAGCACTGTCAGTCCCTCAGGGATCACCTTCTGGGTGATCACCCCCTTGCCCAGGGTCACACCCTTCCCACATCTGACTATATTCAATGACTCATTGAGATGTAGGTGCCATGGCCTGGCCATCTCAGCCCCTGCAAGACAACTCTGTTGGGACAGTAGAACTCCAGAGATCCCCATGGGGTCTGCTTGGTGCTTTTGGGCCAGCTTCATAGCTCAACCTCTTTCCCTGGCCAATCCTACCTCTTTTCCCTTTTCTTCAGGTTTTGGTACCCTAACAAGCATCCTGCACCATTGCTCCATCTCAGAGCCGGCTTCCCAGAGCCTCTGCCCCGCAGCAGACTGTCTGCCTCTATAATCATCTTGCCTAACAGGACCTTTTACACTCTGGATACCAAGTGAATGCTGGCAGTGTAATGGGTGCCAAATTCATGGAAGCGAAACTCTTACCTTTTCTCCAACTTTGATGTCAGCCCTTTCCATTAGGTGGCAGAAGCTGAATCTTAGACACGACCATCATCAGCCCTTTCCTGGTCTGGGTCCAGGTTTGGGAGGGTCCTGGTGGCAGGATGTGGTGGATCCTCAGTCACTTTTTGTCCACATTGGCATTCCCTGGGGAACACTTATTCCCTCTGGATCTTGGTGCTGAAGTTAAAGCTGACTCAGCCCTTGCCCCACTTCAAGTTGACTTTACTTGCTACTTCAGTGCCATTACTGCATGTACTGGGATAACTTGGCTATTTTTATGCATGTCAGGCCTGGGGGAAATGTGTGAGAATGTGTCAAGTACATCCTCCAAGACACACCACCCCTCTTCTCTCCCGTAACACTGGGCTGAGGGGAAGGAGTGGAAACACTGGTGGCTTGTTCCTCCCTGGGCTGCTCCACTTTGGAAAAGGGACATCGGATTCTTTGTTTTTTGAGTTTTCTGTCACTAACAAACCTTGCTACCCATTGCCCCCTGCTGCCCCAACACACTGCCCCTGCAGAACCAGGCACAGTCCCTGGCCAGGGCTGGGGCAGAATCTCTTTCTCCTCAGCTCTTTATTTCCCTTTCATCTGCTCTTCTTCCTAAGCCAATAGAATCTTGACTGAGAATCAAGACAATCAAATCTTAACATTGAGGTGGCTCCAAACACATTTTTCCACATAGTTTATCTAGACTTCGTCCTAGTCTTTTGAAATTCAAAAACTGCGAATGGCCTCTTTGTTCTCTGTGTAATGCTGTGTCATCTCTTCTCTGAGGCGATGAACATAGAATGCCTTGGCTGCTGCCAAGTGGGGAGGGGCGGTTGGTGGGGATGGGGGTAGGTGTAACAGGAAGTTAGAGAAAGATCAGTTATTACATCAAAATATTATTCCACTGCACTGGTGTTTCTTTCACTTGTCTTTTAACTTTGTTTATGGAGTCTTTTGTCACGCAGACATTTATAATTTTTGTACAGCAAAACCTGTCAATCTTTTCTTTTATAAATTCTAGGTTTTGTATCTTTCTTAAGAAAGCCTTCCAGTATATAAATTAAAAATAAATTCTCTGATATTTTTCTCAAACACTTTACAATTTTGCTCTTTACCTTATGCTCTTAAATGCATTTCAAATTAATTTTTTTGTACAAAATAAGAAATTAAGAGGCCTCTCTCTTTCTCTCTCTCCCCTACCCCTTTTAGATAGACAGCTACCATTTTTTAACACTCTTTATTTTATAGGCTATTTCCTAACTGATTTAAAATTCCATTTTCACTATCAACTAAACTCTGATAGATGCACAACTCTTATTCTAGACTCTATATTCCAGAATTTCCCAGATCATAGTAAGGACGAGATAGTTGTATATTGCTCATTCAATTGGCTTCCATTCCTGTGTGCATTTTGTGAAATTGAATGTGATTCTAATGTCTAAAAATAATGTTTTCATGCAACATGGCTGCTAAATTCAACAAGGTACTTCATTTTTAATCCACTCAATATAAACCCAGTGAACTCTTCCAATTCTGGAGAAAAACAAATTGTCTATCCTGGACTCCTAAGAAATTGTAAAAGATAATTTTGACTGTACATAATTTTGTACATTATGAAACTCCATTGTATTCTTTTAATATACTGATAGATAAATTTTGAAATAAATTTGAAGATTATTGTACTCAGAGTTTCTGCCTCTTGAGTAAATATTGGCAGTTCTACATTCCTAAAGAAGCTTCTATTTTATATAGATTTTCAGAAGATTTGGTTTAAAGTTGTACCCAGCAATTCTCCTAATATTTAACATTTAATTCACGTCTTCTTTCTTATTTCTAAAGTTGCTTGGATAACACATTTCCTTTGATCTCACTGGCTTGAATTTTATGTATTTCATTTTTTTCAAATAACTATATTTTACTTTTATTGATCAAGGTTTCTGTTTTGTTTCTGTTAGACCTTTCTTCTTTTCTGGCTATTCGTTATTTTCATTGACTTTACTATTCATTTTCAAGTTTTCCTTAGAGCCAATGTTGGCCATTTGGCAAGTTCTGGCCAAGAAAACGTACCATTTTTATGTGTGAGGGAAACATTTGCTTTCCTGATAAAAGAGGATGGAGAAAAGCTGATAAATCCTTTCATATTCTGTTTCTTCCTGCTTGGACTATGGATGTAATGTCTGGAGAACCAGTTGACATCTTGAGAGATAAGGCAAAGACAAAGGGAATTGCAGCAACACTGGCAATGTTCTCATTTAGCCACTGAACCACTGAGCCAGTGACAGTCTGCTCAACTCCAGACTTCTGAGTGAAGAAAAACAACAATAACAACTAGTTCTCTTTGTTTAAGGCACTATATACATATATTTTGCTACTTGTGAAATACATATAACAAAATAATAACAGACATGTATGCCTACTGAATTCATTTATAATCTTTTCTACCATCTAATAACTTCATTTAGGCCTATAAATTTCCTTTTGTCACTTTCATGAGATTTAATATATAAGGCCGGGCATGGTGGCTCACCTCTGTAATCTCAGCACTTTCGGAGGCTAAGGCTGGTGAATCATTTGAGGTCACGAGTTTGAGATCAGCATTGCTAACATGATGAAACCACATCTCTACTAAAAAAAATAAAAAGATTAGCCAGTTGTGGTTGTGGGCGCCTGCAATCCCAGCTATTCGGGAGGCTGAGGCAGGAAAATTGCTTGAGCCTGGGAGGTGGAGGTTGCAGTGAGCTGAAATCATGCCACTGCACTCCACTCTGGGCGACAGAGTGAAACCATGCCTTGAAAAACAATAAAATAAATAAATAAATAAATAAATAAAAAAGGTTTAATATATAATGTTCTCATTCTTTTATCAATATTTGTAATTTTCATTTGAATCCCTGTTTAGGATTTTTCTCTTTTGGCGTAAAGAAAAAGAATTTCCTTATTTCTCTGTTAATTTCTATTATTGCATTTCAATCTGAGAATGAGCCCAGAGCATTCTGATTGTTAAGGTGTATGCAGACTTTGTTGACCTAAAGATGATCTGCTTGTGAAAATTTCATTGTGTTTGGAAAGGCTGAGCATTTTCTATTCATGAATGTAAGTTTCTGTCTGTTTTTTGTTTGTTTTTTTTTTTGTTTTTGTTTTTGTTTTTTTTTGAGACGGAGTCTTGCTCTGTCACCCAGGCTGGGGTGCAGTGGCGCAATCTCGGCTCACTGCAAGCTCCGCCTCTCGGGTTCACGCCATTCTCCCGCCTCAGCCTCCCAAGTAGCTGGGACTACAGGCGCCTGCCACTACGCCCGGCTAATTTTTTGTATTTTTAGTAGAGACGGGGTTTCACTGTGTTAGCCAGGATGGTCTCAATCTCCTGACCTCGTGATCCGCCTGCCTCGGCCTCCCTCTGTCTGTTTTTTATACCTACCTATCTATCCACCCATCCATCCATCTTATTCATTTAATTATTTTCAGAATGTTGATTTCTTACTAATATCACTGTGTCCTATGTGTTTTTCTGATTTGTGCTCTCAGTTTTTTAAAGTTGCATGAATATTTTTTACTTTAATTGAGGAATTGTCAATTTCTCCTTGCATTTACAAAAGCTTTTAATTTGATAAGTTTTTGTTCATTTCATCAAAGCTCATGACTATTATTTCTTCTTAGTGGATTACACTATTTATCCCATTAATACCTCTGTTTTTCTCATGGTTAGTCTTTTCATCTTGATTTCTGTTCCTTTTGATATTAACACCATTGTATCTGTTTTCTTATTATTTTCCTTGCATATTATTAAAGCTTCTGGATTGCATTATTTAAGATGTACCTTAACAAATAGCATAAATTATATATTTTTTCCAATCTTCAAATCTCTCTGTTTTTATAGAGAAGGTTCATTCCGTCATATTTATTTGGAGTAGTAAAATGGGAAGATTTTTTCTAGTCACCTGCCTTTATGTTCCATTCTTTGTAATTGTTTATTTCCCTCTTTCAGATTTTTTGCTGTATTGTTAAAGTTCTCTGTATTTCTGTTTTTGTCTTTTGTCCTTCTCAATAGTTTAGAAGTTATTATCTTTCCATTTTTCTGCATATTATTTATACATCTTTAACACATGGGATTACTTTTTTTTTTTTTTTTTTTGAGAGGGAGTCTTGCCCTGTCACCCAGACTGGAGTATAGTGGCCCAATTTCAGCTCACTGCAACCTCTGCCTCCCAGGTTCAAGCGATCCTCCTGCCTCAGCCTCCCAAGTAGCTGGGATTACAGGCATGTGCCACCATGCCTGGCCAATTTTTGTATTTTTAGTAGAGACAGGGTTTCTCCATGTTGGCCAGGCTGGTCTTGAACTCCTGACCTCAGGTGATCTGCCCGCCTCAGCCTCCCTAAGTGCTGAGATTACAGGCGTGAGCCACTGTGCTCGGCTGGAATTCATGTATTTTTCTAAAAATATGTAGAGCTAGTCATTATTCTTTAGCTTGTCTTTTCTTCCTGCTTTCTTGTTCCACTGTTGTCCACCTAGCAAACCCTTGGTCTCTCCCATGTCAAAAGTATCTGACATTTAAGTTTAAGATGTTAAGAATTATTTATTTTTACAAAACCATCACATCAATAATGATTTAAATTGAGTGATAAATAATACTGGTTTATTTCTACTCTGCTATTACTGTTATCTCTATCACTTTGGCATTTAGAAAATGCTTTCTGTCTCCTTTACTATTTTTTATAATAATCATTATGTTCAATAAAACTGTCCCAAGATTTGTCAGTATCTGGTGAAAGGCATCTTCCAGCATAGCACCTTACAGGAGGTGTCTCTAGACCACAACTCCTACTTGTTAGCTCACTGCCATGGCCTTAGTTTGGGGCCTTCACATTTTTTGCCTAAGCTTTTTTTGACCTGCTAATTGGTCTTTCTGCTGCCATATGGGACTTAGCATGAGCTGAAAACAACAACAATAACAAAAACCACAACAAAAATTACTTTCCCTTAAACCACTGAGATTCTAAAGTTTTTTCTTTTGTGTCAGTTATTGTCACTCATCTTGATTAATTCGATAACCATTATAACTGCTGATCAGTATCCCACTTCAACTGTGAACAACTTTACAGAAAAATAATACTAATAGTTGTATCTCTAGTAGTTGGAAAGTGCCTGCCTCACAGTAGGTGCTGAATAAGTACTGGACTACTAATACCACAACTGAGTAAATACGTGGTGTCCTCCTGGATGGCAGGGGTGAATTGTCACAATATCTAGACCAGACAGAGCCGACCACAGTGCCTGAATGTAGCTTGAGCTCAATAACACTTGTTGATAGCTTGATTTATGAATGCACATCTTTAAGTCTCTCTAACTTGACAGAGAAACATAATAAAATCCTATGCTATATTTAAAGGAAATAAAGCACTCAGCACTTCTGTAATATGAACAATGCTTTTCTAAAGTGGGGACATCATCTGGAATCAGTAATTGTGGTGTAAAGGCTGAGGGGCACACCTCAGGCATTCTTTTTCTGATTTGATTATATTGTGACTGCTTGATTATTTTGCTGCTCACTTTTCCTTCCTATAAGGAAGAAAACTAAGGTGAGTAAAGCATGGTATAATAACCAATAAACATGTGAACATTCTGGTTGTATTTTCACTACGTTCACTTTCACATGTGATTTTGATTGAACTACTTTAGTAAGTGCAGAACACAAACTGGAAGAGAAAGAGTGTGTTAGGCTGTCTTTGTTGTTGTTGTTGTTGTTGTTGCTATAGAAAAATAGCTGAGGTGTAATATCCTTATAAAGAAAAGAGGTTTAATTGGCCCACAGTTCTGCAGGTTGTGCCGGAAGTGTGGCGCCGGCATCTGCTCTGCTTCTGGTGAAGCCTCAGGGAGTTTTACTCACGGCAGAAGGTGAAGCGGGAGCAGGCCCATCACAAGGTGGGAGTGGGAGCAAGAGAGGGAGAAGGGGGAGGCCAGACTCTTTGAAACACACCAGATCTCACGTGAACTGAGAGAGGACTCACTTATTATCGAGGAGATGCTGCTAAACCATTTGTGAGGGGTCCCCCTCCACGATCCAGTAACCTCCCACCAGGCTCCACCTCCAACACTGAGGATCACATTTCAACATGAGATTTAGAGGGGACAAACTTATAAAGCATATCAAAGAGGGAGACTGTGGTGTGAGTGTGTGTATGACTGTGCCTTCAGCTTTTATTAGGAGTTACATTTCCTTGCCCCATGTAGGTGCCGCACTTTTGCAGTGACATTTCTATAAACATTTCATTTCTAATAACATCAAACACAAACATCCTCATTAAAGCCATGTTTCCCCCAAAAGCCTTTGCAATGGCACAAGGATGTTTCTGGACTATTGTAGCAGGCACAAACAGTGTCTGTGTGTGCACAGTTCTCTTGACATTGACAGGAAGTTGTGAATTGAGGGCCCCTAATCTCATCTTCTCCCAAGAAAAGGCCTCCCTTTTGAATGAGATGGATGTGGGGAACAGCGTTTCACCTGGAATTACTTCCTCTCCCATATTCCAGCAGCCGGTTGTAATATATTTGTCAATATATACCACTCCCAGAAAGCTGTTTTGGACTAAATGCAAGGAAGATATACTGAAGCTTAATTTATCTATTAAGTCAACAACCTGCACTTAATTTACAAACAAAAGAAAATAAAGACAGAAAGAAAAGAAATCAAAGGTAGAGCCAAAGAAATCAAAATTATAACGTAAAATCTGTCTTTATTTCCTTAAAAACTTTCCCCCAAAATAATCATATATCTCTACTTAATTGAAAAAAACAATGTTCCTCTAGTAGGAGACCTAATATATGCTTTGAGCACCTTGAGTGCCAATGGCTTTACATGTGTGCTGTGTTTAATCTTGTGAGGTTGTTTTTCTTCCCCATGTTCACTAATGGGGCATCTGAGACTCAGACAGCTTAAGTGTCCTATGAGAAAAAGCTGCGTATACGCGGAGACACATACTGGGGGAAGAAGCCAGGTCTGCCTCCCCTCAATGGCCATGCCATCTATTCTGCCTCTAGGCCTCTAAACTAACCGCAGGGACTTTCTTCTTTCATAAGGTATTTTTGTTAATACTTTTATCATTGTCATTATGTTATCTGTGCATAGTTTCTTTTATGTTCTGTAGTAAATAAAGATGACTGATTCCTGAACATTGAGAAGAGGGCAGGGTGTTAGGACACCTTGGTTCCCACCACCCCTTCACTGCTGCCTTATTGTTTGTTTTTGGCTGGGAGTTTCACTTTTCAGGGAAAGTCAGGAAATCCAGGCTCTATTTTTCATCCTGTTACTTTTCTAAGATCACTTCCAGATGTAGCATGCTATCATTTTCTTTTTTTTTCTTTTTTTTTTTTTTTATTTGACGGAGTCTCGCTCTGTCGCCTGAGCTGGAGTGCAGTGGTGCGATCTCGGCTCACTGCAAGCTTCGCCTCCCGGGTTCACGCCATTCTCCTGCCTCATCCTCCCCTGTAGCTGGGACTACAGGCACCCGCCACCATGCCCCGCTAATTTTTTGTATTTTTTAGTAGAGACGGGGTTTTACCGTGTTAGCCAGGATGGTCTCGATCTCCTGACCTCATGATCCGCCTGCCTTGGCCTCCCAAAGTGCTGGGCATGCTATCATTTTCTATGCCTCAGTCTCCCACCCTAAAACAAAAACGACAATAACAAGCACTGATGAACACGTATTTAATAAGTAGGTTATGAAGTAGGATATGTAAATGCACTTTGAAAATATAAATGCAACTTAGAGATATACATGTGTTTGTGGTTAGATCTGTTCATATATCATGGTCACAGAACACTTTGCCAAGGGCCCAACATTCATTAATTTGCTTTCCCTACCATTTAGCTTTGATCTCAGCCTAATCTAAAGCCCATGCAGAATGGCAGGAAGGACTTGCACAGAGGGCAACGAATCACAATTCTTAGTGAGACAAAGGGCAGAGTGTATGGGTATGGGTGGGTGGCTCAGAGCACTTCAGAATGATTCAGGTAACTGTCTCCCTCTTTCCTCTTCTGGGCATAAATCAAGGGCTCCAGCTTTCTAGGCTGCCAATTCAACACCTTTTATAGGCACTTAATTCACTCAGAAATTAAAAATATATACATATCCCTAGCAGAAAGTACCATTATTCTTCAGCATGACACATGATTTGATTTTAAGCCTTTATATGTCTTGTCTGTATTCTACTGTGGGTTAGAATCAGTCAAACGTCTATGATGAACAGCCCTTGCTGCCTGGGCTAGTCACCTCCCACAGAGACTCCACTGATCCCCTCCTCGAGGAATCTTATCTCCTCCCACCCCTGTAAAAGTCATCAGCGTAGCTTTTGGTGGGGACAGCACATGGACAAGTTGGGTGTATGATAAGACCATTACCCCACGCCCTTCTGCTGCCAGCTCTCCTATCTCCTCTCTGGAAAAGCAACTGTCAGAATCACAAAGAGGACCGCGTCGGTCGTTGTTGCTGTCAAACCCAGTCTCTCAGGTTTCTATTCCCATTCTCACTTTCCCTTTCCCCATATTCCATATGCCCATACCCTGCCCAGGGTTCCAGGGATCTTCTGGTCTCACTGTGTATGGTCTCACTCCTTCTTTTATAACCTATGCTTGCTAAGGAAGCTGAAACCCCTTCACCCTGAGCTTTTAGTGATAGGCCACAGCTTAAATTGTCTGTCTTTATAAAAGGCATGGTTGCATTTTTAAAGACTTAGAATTTGAAGTTATAAAGAGTACAGTTTTGGGTAAACAAGCCAGAGTGAATTTCTTGGTCAGAGGATTCTTCACAAGGGGCCATCCAATCAAACTTTGAAGGCATCCAGACACATTCTGGAATAAAAGAAACAACATTGGACAAGGACCAAATGAGTTGATTCTATTCCCAGTTCTGTTGTATGAACCTAAGCATGCAATTGCCCTTCTCTGGACACCACTTCTGAGTATAAAATGAAAGCATGAGATACTCATAGAAGGGTTCCTAAGCTGTATTTCAGAGTCTTCCTCCAAATTCAGCTAGTGGAGTTCAATTGTTTTTAGATAGTATTAAGGTAGCACAAAGCCAAATCATTAAAAAAAAAAAAAATCCCTAGACTATACTGTTCCTCCCTATAAAGTCTTCAAAATAGATATGTCCATGGATAGAAATGGCCAAAAGCGGTAAAGTGACACTTACCTGTCAAATAAGCTCTGTTATCAGCGCAAGTGTAGGAAAGTGGGTCTGCTCCAAGTAACCCCCAAAATCTCCCCACCTTCCTTGAAGCCTGACCTCTACTCCTACCATTGTACTGTGTCCTGTTCAACTGGCTGGTGGGCAGCAGACTGCAAATAAGAGGTTTCTAGGGCCCACGAGCACCAGAGCTACTCACACATGTGATGTATGGGGGTGGCGGATGGGGCTAAACCACTGTCCCACGTCTGCCAAACTAGACTAGAGATTAGCACAAGATGGGAAGTTGTCGACATCCAGAGGGCCAAGAGAGGCTTCTCTAGGGGAATTACCTAATTCACCATCCATTCCACTGTATAAACCTTCAGAAATATCAAATTTTATTGTTTTCACTTTCTTACTCAGAATCAACAGCAGTGATCTTCTCAAATTCAGTTCAAACTGTATAGATATTCAGGACTCTCTAGTTTAGGCCCAAACTCTATGAACTCTCAGTACTCTTGAACCACAGCCTCAAATTCATCCACGTTGGATCCTGCTGATTTCCACAGAGCTTTATGTTCCCATCCAGCCTTTACCATGCTATTCCCTTCAGTTTAAATAAGTTCCTACTTTCTTTCATTCCAAACTGATCAAGACCAATGTTATTTTGAGAGTTCTCACCAACCATGCCAGGCTACCATGATCTTTTCCTTTTGAGTCCCAGTTTCACTTAAAGTATAGCCAAATATACTATAAGAGAAAGAGCAGGCTTTTGGGTGTTCAGAGACCTGGCCAGTTACTATCTGTACAACTGTGGATAAGTTAGCTAACCTCTTTACTTGAAAATTAAGGATAATAGTATTTATCTTCTAGAAACACTGTAAAGATTAAATAAAATGACATGCAGAATTTTCACACAGAAGACGTTCATTAAGTGGTGTTTTGCTCCCCACTTCCAGAGCCCCACCCTTTGGAAGAAGAGGGATTTGGTCCATTGTGATTTCATCTATGACCTTATTTTAATTCCAATTTTATATCAACACTGGCTACTTGGTTTTTTTTTGTTTTGTTTTTTTTTAAGTAAACGGCTTCAGATGCCTACATCTCTGCCTAAGGCATTCTCTCCCACAAGCATAACACAATATCTAGACATTTTCATTGTATCAGGGTAAGTCATGTGGGAAGGGCAGGAAAGCAAGGACATTTCTACTCATGGCCCTCCAGATGGACGCGTTTAGTCTAGATCCTCTCAGGTGTGAGGGACAGAAGCTCAACTCAAACTAACTTAAGCAAATAAAGGATCAGGAATTCCGAAAGGTGGGTGTCTGGTTCCATACATGACATGTCCTCCTTTCTGTGATGGCCTCTCCTCTTGTTCCTTCTTTCCTTTTTGTTGACTCCATTTCCTTGCAGAGTTCTCCATGTGTTAGGAAAGATGTCCTCTAGTTGCAGTCCCTCTTTCCCAAAGCACCTGGAAATTTCTCAGGAAAGAAACTGATTGACCAGGCCAGGGGCCTGTGCCCACTCTTATGCCAAGAGTAGAGCAGTGCCCACTCCAACCGCATCCAACTGATTCCCAGTGGTCTGGGGATCCAGATGCAATAGCCACCCTGTCTACTACAGACCCAGGAAAAATATCTCTGACAGTAAGCATCCTGAAGGTACTGACTCACACTGTGAAGTTCATGTTGAATATTATCCAGCACACTGATTGGTTTTTCAAAGCAAGCTGATCCTAAAGACCAGGAGCCAATGTGTCTGCATGCTGATCACTGTACTGGGACATTTATAACCTTCATTTTAATGAATCTACAACAACTCTGTGCAGTAGATATTATTATTTCCACCTTAAGGATGAGGTGGGATGAGACGACATGAGAACGTTGAGCATTACTGGATTGAACTTGATCAATGGGATTAGACTCGAATCCAGGTCTTCTGATTTTAAATCTTAAATTACTTCTGTTATACTGCTCTATGGTAGTTCTTCTTTTTGAGCTGAAGGTGATAAATATAAATCAAGGCCAGATGACTATGCCTGTAATTCAATTAGAAAACACTGAAAACTCCCTTTGTAGGACTTTGGGCTTATATCCCTGTGTCCTTAATTTCTGGGCTGTTAACAGTTACACTTTCATTTTAATATCAGGTTAGGCAACTTATCAATAAATCAGAAAACCTGCTGCTCTAAGTCAAATTCTCAAAATAGACTCACATAATTCAGACATCACCTGTGCCTGGACCCATTCCATTCCCATCCAAAGTGACCATGCTCAGAGCTCCATCCAAGATGGCTGCAGCTCTCCCTTTCTGGGGAGAGTCCCTTTAAGGTAGGAGGCTGCCTTCTTCCTGCCATGGTTTTCACCCTCCCTGAAGTGGCATTGCAAGTCAAAGCTGAACCCTGCCCAACCCCAGATGTGTGAGGGCAGGCTGGCTTTCTCTTCCCCTAGGGCAGGCTCCTCCAAGCTTCTGGGCATGTAAGATCACCCACCACATGGAGCCTCAGCAGAGGCAGGCCACAGCAGGCGGATGGCAGCAGAGCAGCGGCTTTTGTTAAGTCCTGAACATGATTTCAGCACTGCTCTTTAGATTTAAGCTCCCGCAGTTCTTTCCATAATAGCTGAGAGAAATAAAAAACACTGCCTCCACACCCCTTCCTCCCTCACTCACAGGCACACACACACCCACCTCCTCCTCCTCCTCATGGTGGCATTCTGTCTGCCAGTCCTTCAAGCCTGGCCCACCATGTGTGAGTGATTATGCATCCCCTCTCCTATGTCTGCTGTCAGGGTTCAGCTGGGATTTGGACAGCAGGGCAGCCAGGTCCCACAGTGAGCTTACTGGACTTATTGTCTATCGTTGGATAAGGTGACAGGTGTTCATGGGGGCAGTTTACAGAGAATCAATCCCTATTTGTACTAGCTCATTGCACACAGTGCAGATTCCTAAGCTGCCCGATGATGAAAGGTTTATGAAATGCAATCCTAGCTGCCCTCTCCAAAGGAGTTAAAGACCTCATCTGTTTCCCCTTTCTTATTTTTTTTTTTAATTTTTATGCCCCTTCCTTGTTTCTTATCTGCAAACAGAAAAATCATGTCTGTAGTAAAGTTCTTCTAACTTCAAGGAGTGTGGGTGGTGAAAAATTATCATTCTGTCTAGAATTTAAGGTCCCTTTCCAGACATTAATTTTGTCTTACGCCATTCATACTCCTCTGCAAAAAAAGTGGACTCATGAACTGGGAAGTAAATGGTGCATAACACAAATCTGGCTAATGCAAAAGGCAAAGTGAGTCCTCCAGGCACCTGATGAGAAGTACTTGAGCCTTCTAACTCAGAGGAAGGAGCTCTGATTGTTGAGGAGGGAACTGCGATTTCAAAGTGTCC